>NC_000002.12:167489618-172489618 GCF_000001405.40 Homo sapiens
TTCACTGGCTCACGTCAGTATTATTATAGACTTGATGGGGTACTTTGGGATTTGGTAGGGATTTTTACATTAGAAAAACTTAGGCATAGGAGATTAGGAACCAAATGTGTTAGTTTATCATAGCAGAGTAAAGCAACAAGACAGTATTAAGGAAGCCACAGACAAGACTGTTTAGAACTAACAATATTCTACTTCTCTTGTGGAAATACTTGCTATTATAAGTGAGACCGCAGAATAAAATTAATGTCTGGGGAAAGTAAGCAAATAATTGTGGAAAATTGTTAAAATGACTTTATAACCAGTAAAGACATCATTTATTCAAAGACAGATGTCTTTGAATAAACGGATAAGGAGGAGATTATAATGATATAAAGGGAGAAAATTCCTTTTCAAATTAAGTGTTCCTCAAGTGCTGATTGTTTTGTGCAGAATAATTTGATGTAAGATATGTGGAAATTTTATGAACTGGTAAAAAGAGAATCTGAACAACTTGAAACAAAGTGCTAATGTCAGCTGAAGTGCCTCCAAAGTTACTCATATATTTTTCTTTCCTTTTAGACCCATTAGAAACGCTTCAAGAGCTGCTCAGTCCAGGAGTGGAGGGATTTTGTGAAGACACAGATGCTCCCTAAAAGGAGTGCAGAAATTTTCATCATAGGGTAATAGCCGATTCCTATTTTTGATTTGATAGTCTGAATATTTACAAAACTGTGATATAAAAATAGATGATATTATTCAAAATGTTAAGTATGCTCTGAATTTGCTTATAGCTTTGTAGTATTTCATGCTTTATACCTTTCATGTGAAATATGATCAGAAATAATTCCTCACCAAATATTGTCTTCACATTTGGAGTAGGATAATATGTAGAAACAAGAGTAATTGCAAAGCATCAGTCTAACCACTTTGGAATAGAAGCACCATTAGCAGAGATTGCAAGGTGTTTTGTCAGGCTTCTTGCCATGACACACATGGAAAATGGTAATATTCCTAGGATACACTGTGAGGGGGCTGCTCACAAGCAGAGATGACTGGCACTGCTGAGCAGCTCCAGGGCTGAAGCCTTGGCATCTTATTAGCACATCTGTAAACACTTGTGTTGGGGAGCTGTGCTGCTGAGCAATACAACCTTTCCTTTTGGAAAGCCCTACAGTGTCTGCTGCTTTTTATGCATGTCTATGATTGAAATCTGGACTTAGAGGAGTTTTTCTTAGGAAAAAATCAAGACATTGGGTTCTAGATTTTCAGTGGAAGTTAATTTTACCTAAAGATTGACCAGTATTCCTGATCTTGTGTCAAGAAACTTGAACTTGGAATCTTTTCCTTTTTCTTCTCCGTTAACAAAATGATAAAGAAGCTCTTCCTTAGAGGATCCAGGGGCACATCTCAATTCTGGCAGGATCCCTTGTTTTCTTAGGGTTCTGGAGAAATTTACACAAGACAAAATTTTGCCCCCAGGGTAATGAGAACTCCCCATAATCTGAGGTAGGTGTGTACTTTTAGGCCTCACTTCAATATTTGGACTAGGCCGGGTAACTCCTGATTCTGTTGTGTTAGTAGTCATTCAAAAAATGTTTAAGTGCTCAGCAGGTTCTGCACCTGACTCAAAGCCAGACTGAATATTGAAGAATTGTAGGTTTCAGGCTAATGGGGCCTGAACACTCTGTGGTATTTCTTCTGTACCTTATTCCAATATCATCACAGGTACCACCTCGGGAATAAGAAGTAACAACTGCGAAACCAGGGGTATCACCATAAAAGGCTGCAGTTACAGTTCTAGAAGTTGTCTCATCTGACCAGAATTGTAGTCTTTGTTTGGTTTGGTTTAATTTTAACAACTTCTGTGTCTTTGGTTTTACTTTTGCTTTTTTTTTTTTTTTTTCATTAACAGACTTTTTAAAGAGTAGTTTTATGGGCTGGGTGCAGTGGCTTACGCCTGTAATCCCAGCACTTTGGGAGGCCGAGGCGGGCAGATCACGAGGTCAGGAGATCGAGACCATCCTGGCTAACATGGTGAAACCCTGTCTTTACTAAAAATACAAAAAAATTACCCAGGCGTGGTGGCGGGTGTCTGTGGTCTCAGCTACTCGGGAGGCTGAGGCAGGAGAATGGCATGTACCCAGGAGGCGGAGCTTGCAGTGAGCCAAGATCACACCACTGCACTCCAGCCTGGGTGACAGAGCAAGACTCCATCTCAAAAAAAAAAAAAGTGATTTTATGTTTTCAGAAAAATTAATTGGAAAGTACACAGAGAGCTTCCACATAATCTTCTCGCTCAATCCACACTCAGTTTTCACTATTATTAACCTCTTGTATTAACATGGTACATTTGTTACAAGTGATGACTCAGTATTGCTAGAGCCTTATAAACTAAAGTCCATAGTTGCATAAGGTTTCAGTCTTTATATTGGATATTTCATGGGTTTTGACGCACATATAATGACAAATTTCCATTACTGCTGTATCACACAGAATAGCTTCGCTGCTCTAAAAATCCCACATCTTCCTCTGATTCCCTCTTCTCTCCCTCCACTGAAACCTGGCAATCTCTGATCTTTTTACTCCCTCCATAGTTTGACCTTTTCCAGAATGACATATAGTTGGAATAATGCAGTATGTAGCCTTTTCAGTTTGGCTTCTTTTACAAAGCAGTATGCTTTTAAGGTTCATCTATGTTTTTCTGTGGCTTAATAGCTCATTTCTTTTTATCACTGAATAATATTTCATTGGACGGATGTACCATAGTTTACCCATTTACCTAATGAAGAATATCTTGATTGTTTCCAAATTGGGAATTACTTTTTTAAGTCACTGTAAATATTTGTTTGCAGATTTTTGTGTGGACAGAAGTTTTCAACTCATTTAGGTATATACAAAGGAGTATTATGACTGGATCCAGTGGTAAGACAGTGTAGTTTCATAAGGAACTGCCAAACTGTATTTCAAAGTAGCTGTAACATTTTGCATTCCCACCAGCACTGAAAGAACCTTCCTGTTGCTTCACATTTTTACAAGCATTTGGTTTTGTCAATGCTTAGAGTTTTAGCAATGCTAATAAGTATGTTGTGGTTTTTCATGGTCTCATGTTCTAACATAATAAACTGTAAAAGAGAGTGTGACTGCCCAAAAGACTCTGAATTCTTAGCTACTATGAATTTTTTCAGTATGCACTTTGTAATAACAGTGATCAAGAATCTGAGGTTTTCCCTGACAGCACCAAGATTAGTGTGAGTTATATCCAAGTGTGTGTATTTAGAGATGTGTGTGTGTGTGTGTGTGTGTGTACCTAGTATTCTCTGTTATAGAAAGAGGTCATAATAGGCAAAGACTCTTTTAATAATACACCATTGAAATAAAAATATGCAGAAGATATAAAAGATTCTGGCTTGTTTAAATATGCATATTCTATAGATCTTGATATTAAAATAGGCCATGTTTGATGCTGTTCAAAGTTAGCTTTCTGGCATGAACTACAGTGTTACATATGAGGCACATCAAATTAGGCAGTATCAATTTTTGTATTCAGTTAAATTTGGCCATGCAGATATAGTCAAGAAAAGAGATTCTTCATGAGCCTTTCACATTATAGTCATTTTTCTGTATGTTTGATGCATGCTTTAGATTTGGTTATATTATTTTGTAAACCTTTCTGATGATACCAACTTCACTGGTAGAGGGCTACTTTCTCCAGTGTAAGGACCACTCCTCTAATATTTCCATTTTCAAATACATCAGAATGCCTGACACATTTATTTTGTGAATATATACAAAGCCCTACATCAGTTACTATAGAAATATTTTAACAAAGTTCCAAAGATACCAGACAAGCTTTATAATTTAAGAAAAAAATAGGTAAACCATTTCAAGCCATGCAAGTAATTTTGTGTGATGATCAAAACTAACTTCACAGGGTATGGATCTGGTTAAAAATTAAACAACTAACATTCTTATGCAGTTTTTATGTGCAAAGGAGAGTCTCAACAGTGACAGAAATGCAAAGATAAAATAGACATGTTCTCTATTTTCTATAAAAGACGGACTCCAGTGCAGGAGGGTTGGGTGGGGGAAGAAGTAGGATGATAAGAAGTGTGTTGGCATTGGAAGTACCTTAAATCTATGCTGCAGATTTGCTGATGACATGGTATATGGAATGCTGGATTTTCAAACATTAGTATACAGAAGAGTTTCTTTGGATCCTTGTTTAAATTTCATTTTCCTAGACTTCAGAACTAAATATCTGATTAATTTTGTAGTCCATGATTCTCCACTTTTATCAAGCTCCTCATGTTGTTGTATTACTGGTGATCTATAGGCTACACTTTAAGAAACTGATATGTACCAGTTACAATTTCTATCCCTTCAGTGTGGTTTATGTTAGAAGTACTCCTGAGACAGAGTAATAGGGAGATCTGGGCTAAATATAGGAAACCAAGAGAGTATGCCAACAAGATTGAGTAACTTTATGGCCCATTATAGTTGTATATATACTTGATTGCAGATTGTCCTAAGAGTCTGAAAATTAGAAAACAAACTCATTGGAGAGACTAGCAAAAAATTGTGTCTAAGATTACAGCATTTTTAAAAAAGAATGAAGTGTATAATTTTAAAATAGAATAAATATTTAATAAATAGATCAAATGCAATACAGTTGCATCTATATTCAATGAATTGTTTATATAAAAGATATCAGTTATGGGCGACAGAGTGAGACTCCTCTCAAAAAAAAAAAGATATCAGTTATGATATTTATATTTTAGGGAAAAAAATAAATACCTAAGAAGTCCAAAATAGGAAAATGATGAAGTAAGTTAGTACCCTCATTCCAATGGAATGTTATTTTCACTGTTTTAAAATATGACAACACGTAAGAAGTATCTAAAATAAAACTATGTCAAAGAAAAATGAGACTCTATAACTGTATGTTTGATATGATTATATCTACATAAAATAGCATATGTGGTGAAATTTCAGGTAGTTTTAATTCTAAAATTTTCCTAGATATTTTATGGTACTCACAAAATCAAATGTTAGGTTTTAAAATCTAGATGAGGCAAATTAATAATCACAAGCTTTAGTCATACGTTTTTAATTTTAAAGTAAATAATTTTAAAGTTGAAAGGTGTTTTGAGATTTCTCTACTTAATGAGCCCATGGTAAACTCTGTAAAGCAGTGATACCCATATCTGGCAAATTATCAGAATCATTTGGGAGACATTTTGAAAACATAGCTTTCTTACAAAAGCTAGACAAGTAGTTCAATTTCTTCAGAACTGACTTGGGGCCCTGGTATCTGATTTCTTTAAATGTTGTACCATTGGCTTTACTGATAAGGGAAAGATGACAACCACTGCTGTGGGGTAGACAATTTCTGTCTTCAGGAATTTCTGTAATGTATATGTATATGACAAAAACAAAAAGATAAGGTAAAATGTTGTCAAATTCTAAACTGTTTAATGTTTGTAACACAGTAAAGTACAGCAGAAATTCAGAGTAGAGAAAGCATAAATGAGGATTATTTGGGAGGGCCTTCTAGAACAATAATCTCATAAGCATTGGTGGCAGACGTAGGAATGCAGAAACCAAAAGCTTCATCATCATTTAACAACCTTCATGTTGATGGGAAGTGATGAGAAAGTGAAACTTTGATACACTTAGAGAAGGTGATGAAGAAGAGGTGCCATTTTGCTTTTTTCGCCAGCTTGCTTGCCTTTTTTTTTTTTTTTTTTTTTTTTGTGATGGAGTTTTGCTCTTGGTTTCCAGGCTGGAGTGCAATGTCACAATCTCAGCTCACTGCAACCTCTGCCTCCTAGGTTCAAGTGATTCTCCTGCCTCAGCCTCCCGAGTAGCTGGGATTACAGGCATGCGCCACCACGCCAGGGTAATTTTGTATTTTTAGTAGAGACAGGGTTTCTCCATGTTGGTCAGGCTGGTCTCGAACTCCCAACCTCAGGTGATCTGCCCGCCTTGGCCTTCCAAAGTGCTGGGATTACAGGCGTGAGCCACCGTGCCCGGCTTTGCCAGCTTTCTTACCAATCAAAAGTATAAGCCCTATACCCCTTCCCCAGAGTCCCAGATCTGTTCCTAGGCTTTTCCTTCCAGGTTTTATCCTAGCTTTGAGGCAAGGGATGCCTTCAGGGAAAAGATGGTGCTTAGAATTTTGGGATGGGAAGGCCTATGTAATCCATAAATCAATGTTTCGTATGGTGAAGGGAATGAAGGTGAGGAAAGGCACCTCAGAATATTTGTGGAAGACAAAACATTTATTATTAATGTTTATTAAAAGGAATTATGGCTTTTAAAAGGCATAGAATCAATCACAGAGCAAGTTAAACTTGAACCTTTAAATATAGGTACAATTTGCTTTTCCAGAACATGAAAGTAGAAGAAAGAAACATTTCAGTCATGGGACCACATGTACCTGAGTAAATCGGCCAAGTGTCTTTCTTCTGTGGTCTCGATTTCTTTTTTTAGTACAAATGTTGTTTAAGCTTTTATTCTTCCAGTTCATTTGCCTAAACTGACAGTAAATTATTTTTATCACACATAGGACCTAGGACTAGGAGGTCAACTATTTCTTAAATGAAAAAGTCAATACCAGCTTGGCTAAAGTTGACTGGGGAGTGGGTGCCCATGAGGCTGGATGTGATTGGTAGTCATACTGAGCAGGGCCTTAAGTTCCAGAATAAGGAATTTTGACTTGGCCTTACAGTGAAGGTTTCTGAGAAGGTTAATGAGAAGATAAATTTGGGCTTTGAAGAGGAAAATCAGCCAACAGTAAAGGAGATGGATTAAAGAGAAGAGTAGAAAGAAATGTAATTAGCATGCTAATTGGCTAATTACCGTGAGAAGAAACTTAGACTAGGCTGTTGGCAGTGAAAAGAGAAAGAAGGTAGTGGATATTATAAGGAAGTTTTTAAACTCAATTAGGGTAATAGTCATTGATTACCTTCAAAGTGCCAGTCACTGTTCTAGGCCTTTGTGACATCAGTGAACAAAATAAAGCATATTCTATCAGGGTGTTACGGACTGAAGTTTTGTATCCCCCTCAAAATTCCTGTGTTGAAATCCTAACTCTCAGTGTGATGGTATTAGGAGGTGAAGCCTTTGGGAGGTAATGAAGTCATGAAGGTAGAACCCTCAGGAATGGTATTAGTGCCTTTATATGAAGAGGCCAAAGAGCCAGTTCCCTCTCTTTCTACCACATGAGGATATGATGAAACATTGACACTCTGTAACCCTGAAGAAGGCTCTCACCAGAACCCAACCATGCTGGCACCCTGATTTCAAACTTCCAGCCTCCAGCACTGTAGAAGTACATTTCTCCTTGCGATAGTTAAATGATGAGTTAATGGGTGCAGCACACCAACATGGCACATGTATACATATGTAACAAACCTGCACGTTGTGCACATGTACCCTAAAACTTAAACTATAATAAAAAAAAAGTACATTTCTGTTGCTTATAGGCCATCTTTTAAATGATATTTTGTTATAATAGCTGGAACTAAGAAAATGGTAAACAAAAAGAGCAATATCTAATAAAGAGAATTAAGAATGTATAATGTGAATTTAGAACTGTTGTACAAAAATACAAAGTTGAGCAGAGGAAGGGAAATGAGGGGGGATGGGCAACGGTTACAGTATTAAATATGATGGTTAGAAGAGTCTCCATGAAGCGGGAGGTATCTGAGCAAATATCTGAAAAAAGTGAATGAGCTAGTATCCTAAGGGAGAGTATTCCAGACAGAAGGAAAAGGAAGTGCCAAAACTCCAAAGTGGGAATATGCCAAGGGTGTCTCAGCAAAAGCCACATTTTAAATTTTAAATCAATCTTTAAGCAAGATGCTCAATTGTACCGATCACCAACTACTAAAATAGAGGATTTTTTCTGGGAAAGGATGTTCCTTCTTAGAAGTTCTGCTTCAGGCTAGATTGAATTGGGACAAAAGAGATAAAAAGAAGAGTTATTAAGGAGTCAGCCTTGAGCCATGCCCATAGCTAAAGAACCTGAGGGAGATTGGAGAAGTCAGCAAAACCAGGATTGTGCCTGTCCTTGAAACTATATGAAGAAGGCTTGGCTAAGAAAAGGAGACTCTGAGGTGACAAATGCAACAAAAAGATTAGGAAGAAGAAAGACTGGAGAAACAAGAACCCAGGGCTTACAGAGGCCATTGATGACCTTAGAGAGAGGCCATTGATGGAGAGCACAGGATTCCCAAGTACCCAACATCTCATGTTTTCTATACTAGATACAGTGAAAAATCTGTACTTTTAAGAATTAGTAGTATACTAACCAAGGAGTATATGAGTTTTCAACTACCTGTTAAATATTAACAATGTTTTGAAATCTGTCTTTGGTTAAAAAAAAGTGCCAACAAGTTTGAAAGCCTAAAGTTAAATGTGTTAGGCTTCATACTTAAGGTGTATGCAACTTCTGTTCCGTTTTGCTCTTACCATCTGCTCTGATTTTATAACAAAGCCCAGTACTGACATGTTGAAGAACTGAGGTCTACACACGCTTTGGCAAAGTGATGTTGCAGGATTGCTCAATTTACAGAAATTCCCTGGCCTGAAGTATGGCTTTTGTCAGGTCATCACCAAAGCTTGTGCTTTATTAATGTATCAAGGCTTTTTATAGGACACGTTGATTTTTTTCATTCAAAAACCTGGAAGAAACACATGGTTATAAGATTAAGAATGGAGCCTGTCAATTGAGAGTCTCTTCAACAACTCCTTATTGGATTTTTTTAAGTTCGTAAGAATTAAAATGTAGCAATAAGTAATAACTCAGTATACTTCTAATAGAATGTTAATAAAAAGGTATGCAAAAATCAGGGATTTATGAAATTGGTACAGTAAGCTTTGTTTCCTGCTTTCTCTGCCATGACCTAAAATTCATTTTTTAAAATATCTTTCTATGTTATGTAGCAAGCATACCAGAAAAAGTACTTTGAAAGAAGTAGGAGATCAGACATTTAAAGAATGGGAACAGATCTTAATGTAAGAAAAGAGGCGGGCTTGTTATTCTGGGAAACAAATTGAGAAAGTGTATTAAAGTTGATGTGATAGATGGTAGGAGTCATCTGGAATTTCAGGATTAGTTATATGGGACGTTCTGAAAAAGATGCAATTCATATTCCAAGTCAATTCTTTGCCCCCATTCCCTTTCTTCTCCTTGCAGATCCCCATCATGCTGCCCCTATTAAAAACCACTGTCAAGAAAGGACCCACTCTCAGTCTTTTATAACTTCCTAACTTCATATGAATTTAAATCAGTGTGTTACTTCTCTGAAGAGTGTTTACATTTTCAACAGGAAAAGAGGCTGGTATCTCCATTTAAAATAATTACAAAAACAGCCTGCTTGGTCTGTATGTAAGACCTGGGGAATTTTGTTGGTCGTTTTTTGAGTTGGTGGTTACACTTTTATATTTATTTTTGCTTCCATTTTATATTAAAAGAATTCTGTAGTTCCTGTAATTGCAACATGATGAGATTCTCATTGCTTTTAATTAACCTGCCTTTTTCTTTCTCAACTCCACAATTAACTTGGCTAAATTTGTTAGCAAATGAAAAATTCTGACTGCGTTAGTTGCATGTTGATTTTACTGTCTACTATTTGATACTTACATCATTATGTTTTAAATGAAACAAATCTTAAAATCAGGTCTAGATTTTATATTCTGTGATAAAAATCACCACATTTTCCCCTAAGGCATTGCCCCAGAAATGATTTTTTTAAAAGATAGCACTATTGGTTTTATTTCTTGGAAGGGAAAAAATGTCAGTCAGAGTAGTAAGGTAATGATCCAGTTTATTTGGTACTATGAGACTCAAGGATTTAGCAGTAAAACGAAATCTTTGTTAAAGAAAAAATAAGCATATCATATTAAGAGGAAGAGAATTGAATTTCTATATTTGATGGCAAATCTGGCAACACTAGAAGTGGTTACCTAAAATTAAAAGCCTTTTACAAACTTTTTATTTCAACTAGTCACTGTAATTGCATAAAAAACAGAAATCTTAATTTTTATAAGCACAGAAATATGCATGGATTTTTCCCCCTTCCACCGTCCCCACCAAATCCATAAGATGTATGCTTGATACAAGCAGAGTTAGAGAGAACATAACACTTAGGAAACACCTCAGTGCCCTACATTAAAGACAAAATAAATTACAGTTCTTCCTTTCCCCAGTAAAGAGCAACAAAATAACAATGTAGGTAGAGGAAATAAGTGAGCCAACTGAGAGTATGTGGCTGGGCTGGAATCTGGAGATACCACAGTTAAATTAACTTGATTTTCCTTTCTACTACTAGAAGTTTAAGTAAAATACTGGCAGGTCAGGGGTGGTGTGTGTATATGTGTCCTGTGTGCGTGTGTGTTTGTGCATGCGAGAGAGACAGTCCAAGAGAGATAAAATGGCCTTTGTTCCTTTGAAAACATCATTTCACCTTCTTGGTTCTGAATTTTTCTGAGAAAAACATCCAGTTAATGTCACAATAGCCTCACAGGAACAATTTCCTAGTCCCTGGTAAAAGCCTATAAGGACTCTCAGGATAGAAGATGCAGTTTTGCAAAGGAGTTCTCAACCTCTGTCAATCTTAATTGAACAAATTGAAAACCAGATGGGCTTATTTATCGAGACATAGGTCCCAAAAGGCAAGAAAATTTATTTAGAAATTATTAAAATGCTAGTCAAATAATGACCAGACAATTACAGGTTGATATTTTTCAGTGGCACTTCTTCTAAAACATGGGTTCAATGTGACCAGTTTTATATCACCACTTTAAATGATAACTAATGAGAAAAAAAATTGTGTGGGGGTGTCATTGAAATGATCTTTGCAGCAAATTCTCTTCCTTTGTATTTGTTCTATGAATCGGGGGACTGGAGTTGGCACTCCTCTCAGTTTGGCCATATCCAGATTTTCTGGTTATGTTCTTCCCTAGAGTAACCGCAGATAGATAAGAGGCTCTGTGCTACACAAGGATCTCAGATAGAACTTGACTTATAAGGAAAAAAAAAATGCACATATTGTGCTCATTATTAAGGCAGGAGTGTTTGCCTATTGCTATATTTTTATGAGCATCAATAAGTCTTTAACGATGAATATTACTAATCATCTTTTGGCTAATGTTATTGAGACTTTCAATTCATGTGCTAAATTACTTACTCCTGGGGTAAGAGTAGAAAAATCTTTGGAAGAATGATTAATGGGAAGAAGTTGGTGCCAATGAGGTAATTAATTATTGGTTATTTAATAACCTTTGATTGTTAGAACCATAATCCTTTACTGATAGCAAGTCTACCATACTATCTGGGATAGTGAGACCATTAACTATAAATTGGATAATTTGGCTTTTTTTCATTGGTTTGCTGTTAAATTCCTAGAGTAGAACAATAGAGAACCCATTTAAAATAGACATTTAACGAATCAATGAGACAACCAACTTCAGGATGTATTTTAATAAATTAAAATACAGCCATAATAAAAATGACTATTCTTTTAACTAACCGTATAAGATGTTGTGTGGTAGAAGTAAATGGAAATGGACTTTGAATTCACAAATCCAGAAAACTCTTTAAAGTGGGTATGTTGAACTCCTAATTGATTTTTATTAGTATGATTGGGGCAAAATTTGTTTTTTTCTTTCTGATTGTGTATTATTAAATAGCAAATGAAAGCAAATAAAAAATGTGTATTAACTCAGTATTTAAAAATATATTAATATCACTTTATAATTTTAAATAATTTGGTAATGTTTTAGCTATAATAATACATAAGATGTTCAATTGCAATTCCTAGTGTTCAAATCTCAAGTTTTCAGTTGCTTCCACTTAAGCTTTTAAATATGCTTTTTAAAAAAATTTCTGATTTTTGTTTAAAGTTTAAACTTAAAAGACAGCAACAAAACCAAGATAAAAACAATACATTTTATTTACAAAACACAAAAAAGATTTTTATCATTATGAAACAATTTGCATTAGACTTCTAGTTGTAATGTAAATATAAAATCAATTTGGTCATTTCCAAATTTTGAAAACTTTTTGCTCCTAAAAGCAGTTCTCAGAAATGTTAATTCACACATCTACAGTGGCAAAAAAAAAAAAAAAAAAAAAAAAAGTCAGTGAGGCTGAGCAACCATGGGGCTACTCTTGGAGTAATTAAATACCTTGAACTTTATCTTGAAGTACCTACTTGTTTCTCGGCATTAAGCCTTTAAAGTAGTGTTGAGTTTGAGACAAGTACATGAATGAATTGCATATGACATTTATGGCAAGACTTTGTGTCTCATTTCTGTTTTACACTCTTTAAAGTGTTAATTCATTTCATGTTTTAAGCATATTAGTGAAATAACTGTAAATGAAGTCTTACATAACTTCTACATCCTATTTTTATCTCTTTATAATGGAAACGAAAAATAAAAGACCATGGTGGTTCGTTCATTCATTTAACAAATATTCACTGAAAGTTTCCTGAAAGGCACTGGACAAGCTATTAAAAGTTTACATTTTAGTAGGGCAGATATGCATTAAACAAAAAATTTCACCAATCTTTCCATAGTTATAATTATGAGAAATGCGATAAAGAAAAGAACAAGGTAAGATGAGCAAATATAACAGAATGCCTTTTGACTAGCCTCTGACATAGTCAGAGGGGTGACTCCCCAGGAGAAAGATCAGTGAAAGTAAGGGGAATATCCAAAGAAAAGCAACCACAATATTCTAGGGATATATTCACTTGGATGCTTTCTGAAAAAACCTGTAGGACCACAAATGTATAGGATTTTAATTATTACTTGTATTAGTCTGTTCTCACATTGTTAGAAAGAACTACCTGAAACTTATAAAGAAGTTTACTTGCATCACGGTTCCACAGGCTGTACAGGAAGCATAGCTGGGGAGGCCTCAGAAAACTTACAATCATGGAGGAAAGTGAAGAGGTAGGAGGCACATCTTAAATGGCTGGAGCAGGAGAAAGAGAGCAAAGGGGGAAGTGCCACACACTTTTAAACAACCAGATCTCATGAGATCTCACTCACTATTACAAGAACAGCAAGGGGGGGATCCACCCCCATGATCCAACCACCTCCCACTAGGCCCCTCTTTCAACATTGGGGATTAAAATTTGACATGAGGCCGGGCACTGTGGCTCACGCCTGTAATCCCAACACTTTGGGAGGCCAAGGCAGGTGGATCCCTGAGGTCAGGAGTTCGAGACCAGCCTAGCCAACATGGTGAAACCCGGTCTCTACTAAAAATACAAAAATTAGCTGGGCATGGTGGCAGGCGCCTGTAATCTCAGCTACTCGGGAGGCTGAGGCACGAGAATCACTTGAACCTGGGAGGCAGAGGTTGCAGTGAGCCGAGATCACGGCATTGTACTCCAGCCTGGGTGACAAGAGCAAAACTCTGTCTCAAAAAATATATATAAAAATAAAAAATAAATAAAATTCGACATGAGATTTGAGCAGAGACACAAATTCAAACTGTATTATTACTTTATGACATATAAACTATTTCATGATACTTTTAAAGTTAAGATTATTGACACACTGAAACATCTTAAATTTTCCCTTCATTTCTACCCAATCATGGACTCACTCAACTATTATAAAAATTATTACAAGCAGTGAATATACCTGACAGGTATTTATGGGTGACTTTTTGAGAAAATTTCAAGGGTGCATATACTTTAAATCAGTATCTACAGAGTGTCTGGCTACCACAAGGATTCCCTTCACCTGACCAACAGCCAGGCTTATGCTGGTTCCTGAACACTGGCAAAAAGTGAAAAAGCTTACTGTTAAGCTTTCATCTTGTTAGACTAAAGCCTCCAATAACTGATGTATTTTATGAAATAATGTCAAAATAAAGAAGCTTAACACTAAAAACTCTTTACAGTAAATGTGATCGCCAACCTACATTTCCAGCATCATTATCCACTACCTGCTGACACAAATTCTACGTTTTGACCAAACGTACTCTTCCCTTGAGTATTGCATTTCCAAGAAATTTCCCTCAACTAAAATGCCCACTCAATTTCTCTTCTTGAACAGCTTATTCATTCTTCATATCAGCACTGACCACCTCACTCCAGAGCACTCTTTTTCTAAATTGCAATTTTAAAAATCACAGGAGGTCTCTAATGCCATTCCATATTCCTTGATGCCCATCCACTTGCTAACACTTATGAAATGGTCATTGCCTTCATTGTATTAAAATTTCAAGTGCAATTTGTTATCTTTGCTGTATGCATGGATTCCATTTACACACTAGACCCATATATTTTCTTATATTCTAGGTGTCTTTTTTGCTTCAAATTCCTTTCTAGCTTTTCTTTAAATCCTTACTTTGCCCATCTTCAGTGCTGGGTTGGTAAAGGAGACAGAAACTTAACAATATCCACCAAGCAACAGAACTACCACATCAACACCAAGAACTTCCTGGCTTCCTGGGCAGATATGCAGTGGGCACAATTTCATAACAGATTAATTGCTACCAATCATGAAGAAGTTAAAATACTCTCAGAATTTAGAAGGTATACTTGATCACATTGAAGTTTTGTAATTCTGTGCCAAGCCCATAGATTGAATGTCTTCTATTATTTAGTTGGCCTTGTTTACTTAGTGGTAATCATTTCCTGAGACTGTACAGAACATTAAATTGGAATGGATACAATTCTAGCCTAGAGTCTATAGCCTAGAATTAGTTATAAGTAGCTCAAGATTACATAGTGTATGCAATTATATGTCACCCATGAAAACAAACACTACCCAGTTTTCAGGATCTCAAAATAAATCACCTCAAAGGTCCTGCTTTGATCTGTTTTGTGATTGGGTTGCATGGGAAAGCAAATTATAGGACTATGTGACCATGAAAATGCCTCTTTTCCCTTTAACTAGTGATAAATAAAAAGTGAAAAGAAAATTACTTATCAGAAAGGAGTAGCATCCTTCAATCTTCATTGATAGCTGACTGATTAATGAAATGATGCATCTGTGCAACATAACACAGTCATACACTGCATGACAGTTTGGTCTTTGATAGCTGTATATATGATGGTGGTCTCACAGATTATATTTTTACTGTACCTTTTTAATGTTTAGAAATGTTTGAATACACAGATACTTAGCATTGTGTTACAATTGCCTATAGTATTTAGTACAGTAACATGCAGTACAGGTTTGTAGCCTAGGAACAACAGACCATATCATAAAGCCTGGATATACAGTAGGCTATTCTATCTAGGTCTATGCAAGTACACTCTATGATGTTTGCTCAGTGACAAGATCACCTAACAATGCATTTCTCAGAATGTGTCTCCATTATTAAGTGATGCATGACTATATGTACAGCCATAAAAGAGAATCAGTGTATAGTTCTGTATGTATTGATATAGAGAGATCTACAAAATATATTAAGTGAACAGAGCAAGGGCAGATCAGCATGTATGATATGCTACCATCTGTATAATAAATACAAAGGAATATGGGTGAATCTATGTATACAAAGGATGTATTGGGAAGATTACACAATGGGCTGGTTATGCTGGATATCTTTGGAGGGTAGTGGAGCTGATTAAAATGAAGAGATGAGAAGAAAATTTTTCACTTAATCCACTTTGTATCTTCTAAATTTTGAACCATGTGGATGTCTTAACTATTAAAAAGTAATCTTTAAAAATTTTTAAATAGAAATAAAAGGGGAGGAACAAAAGAAAGGAGTATTTTTAAGTGTGATAGAGCCAGTGTAGGTTTTCTAAAAACAATAGACTTGTGTGAAGCCTATAACAATCTAAAAAACATCTTCAAAGCGCCTCTTCTTGATATTAACACTCACAAATTTATCAATGGCCAAGTTACAGAAATGTGATTAGAGACTCTAAGGAGAAAAGACTCTAAGGAACAGGTAAATTATTTCCTACGTGAGGGCATGAAAGTAGATATTTGGAAAGCTTATGCAGTTGATCATGAGGTGTTCAGTGTATGTGGAGTTTGAGCACATACTCAAGACATGTTGGAGAGCTACCTAGAAATCATTGATACCCTGTTCACAAAAATGTATTTTAGATCCAAGTGGGAAAAAAATAATACAACTGGGAAAAAAATCTAGACTCTTTCTACTGAGTAAATGATCTTAAAGACACAGATACTAGGCCCAGCACAGTGACTCACACCTGTAATCCCAGCACTTTGGGAGGCTGAGGCAGGCAGATCACTTGAGGCCAGGAGTTCGAGACCAGCCTGCCCAACCTGGTGAAACCCTGTCTCTACCAAAAATACAAAAATTAGCTGGGCGTGGTGGCGGGCTCCTGTAGTCCCGGCTACTTGGGAGGCTGAGGCAGGAGAATCACTTGAACCCAGGAGGTGGAGGATGCAGTGAGCCAAGATCGTGCCACTGCACTCCAGCCTGGGTGACAGAGCGAGACTCCACCAAAAAAAAAAGACAGAGATACTAATTCTGTTCATTCATGGTTCAAGCAACACAACTCTATGATGTCTTTCCTTATACCCCAAAGCAAATGTAGATTCTCCCTCCTCTGTATACCAACAGCAAGCATTGCACACCTCTGTTTTCATATAAGTCGTGCTGCCCCTGCTGGCAGATTTTTTGATGTGATTGTTGTCTTTAAAGACTCTTTATTTTTCACCATTGTATCAATGGCATATAATAGAGTACAATGTGTAGAGATTTAATATCTGTTCAATGAATGAATGACTTTGAAGCAAAAAGGAGACTATCTAAAATTAAATACTTCTTAAAAAGATGATTTAGAATACAATTTGGTTTTGTGAAAAGTAGATTACCACCCTAGAAATAGAACTTATGGCAAATAAAGTGAATGCTTAGGGAAAAGTGTTATGTAGGAAACTCGATGAGCTGATAAAGAAAACTTTAAACTTTGTGGGGTGAGGAAAGAAAGAAGTAAAACCACATACTATGATTTATGACAAACATTACATATACTCAGTCATTCAGGCATGCAAGTGCTAGTATTTCTGGGAGGTGAATAAGACTTAGAATTTACAAGGGCCTTATATTCTAATACAGGAGACACATTATGCAAATAAATATCCACAATATAAGTAGCATGTGGCATAATACACACATAGATAAAATAATCATGTTGCTTGGCCTTCAAGTATGAGTTGGATTTGGATTTGGATGGTGGAGAAAGTTAATCCATGCAGGGGAATTAGAACAAGTGTATGGGTGAATGTTTAATGGTATACATTGCAAACATCAAATTTCATTGACTGGAATGTAACATGTATAAAGTGAGTGAGTAGAACATGAACCCTAAAAGATTAGGTGGGACAAGACTATGGAAGCCTTACATACCCTGCTATCACTCTAAGAAGACTCTATTCAATAGAAAATGGAGAATCATTAAAAGTTGAAGGGCATGATTATAGTGTGTTTTGTCAAGACTAAAACCGTAAAACTGACATAAAAAAGAATAATAGAAAGTTTGCCAAATATTTCTTAAAAAAATACATTATTAAGAGAATGTGGTTCTGCCACAAGAACAGAAAGATGAGTGGAATAGAGGAGAAATTCCAGTAACAGATCTTGGTGAATATTAAAAAGTAGAATAAGAGGGCGGGTGCAGTGGCTCACGCCTGTAATCCCAGCACTTTGGGAGGCCGAGGCAGGTGGATCATGAGGTCAGGAGATCAAGACCATCCTGGCCAACATGATGAAACTCCATCTCTACTAAAAAAATACAAAAATTAGCTAGGTGTGGTGGCACGCACCTGTAATCCCAGCTACTCAGGAGCTGAGGCAGGAGATTCACTTGAACCAGGGAGTTGGAGGTTGCAGTGAACCAAGATCGCGCCACTGCACTCCAGCCTGGAGACAGAGGAAGACTCCGTCTCAAAAAAAAAAAAAAAAAAAAAAAAAAGTAGAATAAGATAAAGGTGGTATTAAGAAAAGAATAGTTGGAATGAAAATAATTTTTTACTGAAACTTAATGGATCAAATGTTTATTAACTTGGGGGAAAATTACACTAATATATATTAGTAGCTAACCAACACCAAGAGACAGATACGTATTGTGAAGGGATCATGAAACTATGTGCATAAAGCCCTTAGTTATTATATTTGGTAATTGAACATTTACCTTACTTAATTTGTCTTAACATTGTAAGACAAACCATAATTGTCTTAACATTGCAAGACAAATCATAATTGTCTTACTAATGACAAAACCTTGTACTTAGTGAATGTCTTAGTTCAGGCTGCTGTAATGAGGTGCTATAGACTAGGTGGCTTATCAACAACTGAAATTTATTTCTTACCATGCTGGAGGCTGGAAGTCCAAGATCAGAGTGCCATCATGGTGGAGCCTACTTTCAGGTTACAGACTGCCGACTTCTCTTTGTGTCCTCATGTGACAGAAAGAGCAAGAGAGCTCTCTGGGAGTCCCTTTTATAAGGACACTAGTCCCATTTATGAAGACTCCACTCTCAGAACTCTAATTCACTTTCAAAGCTCCACAACCTAATACCATCACATTGGGGTTAGGATCTGAAGGTATGAACTTTAGGCGGACATAATACATTCAATCCATTTATTCAAAATAGTTCTTACTTCACAGATGTTTCTTTCTTTCTTTTTTATTTTTATTAATTTTTTTTTTTTTTTTTCAGACGGAGTCTTGCTCTGTCACCCAGGCTGGAGTGCAGTGGCAGTGATCTCGGCTCACTGCAAGCTCTGCCTCCCGGATTCACACCATTTTCCTGCCTCAGCTTCCCAAGTAGCTGGGACTACAGGCACCCGCCACCACTCCCGGCTAATTTTTTATATTTTTAGTAGAGACGGGGTTTCACCGTGTTAGCCAGGATAGTCTCGATCTCCTAACCTCGTGATCCACCTGCCTCACCCTCCCAAAGTGCTGGGATTACAGGCGTGAGCCACTGCACCTGACCCAGATGTTTCTTAATAGTGTTTTCTCAGTCAATGAATACTAAAAGTTATGCTCTAAAATTGAACTTTTTTTTTAGAGTTTCTAATACTCAAATTTTGGAAATGACTGGCATACACCAAAATGTGTTAAAAGTATTAAATAGTTTAATACAAAAATGAAGTTATTACACAATTGGGAGATGATACATAGTAAGTACAATTTATTTTCTAAACTTTTCATAAAAAAAAAAGAAAGGAAAAGTTTGGTAGAATTTAGCAAACACACATTCAACTTTCTGTACACCAAGTACACCAAAATAAATTCAAAGGTACATGACAAATTGAAGAAAAATGCATTGGCAGATTGTCATTAACATGTTTACATAGGAATTTAATATGTTTATTTTTTTCCTTTTCCAATGGGTTAAGGGAGAAAACAGATTGGGCATCTGCTGCTAACCCTTTTGTTCCCAAAGAGTCAAGATAAGTTTCAGGATTTTGACCTTCACGACAGGAAGGATGGATGTCAATTAACTGAGAAGAAGTGAGAAGAGCAGTCCCTTTGGAGCAAAAATACATTGCAATTTAAGAAAGATTTAATAGCATTCTTATGCAGAGAGTTCTTACTAAGCAATAGTAGAAAGTTAGCACATAGGAAAAGAAATGAGCCAAGTCATAAGTAATTAATTTAAAATAAAGTAAAATGGCTAATAGACATATAACAAAATTGACCCTCATGCATAGTAAATATCAAATGAAATGACACATATGCATTCAGCACTTACTGTGTATCAGGCACCTTTGTAGAATCTGGAAACAACAAATAATAATAAACAACAAATAAAAATTTTCTGGTTTCAGGAGCTTAACACTAGTGGAAGGAGACTATATATATACATATGTGTGTGTGTGTGTAATAAATAAGGAGACTACATAGGTATTTTAAAGGGTGATAATTGCTAAGGGGGAAAAACAACATAGGTAAGATGAATAAGAAGTATTGGAGGTAGAATTGCAATTTTATTAAGATGGCCGAAGAAGCCCTTTTCTTAAGTCCTGAAGTAAATTAGACAGTAAACAAGCCATGCAGAAATCCAACTAAAAGCATTAGGAGGTACAAAGACCTTGACACGAGAGAATGCCTGGCATGGTCAATGAGCAGGACATTCAGTGTGGCTGGAGCAGTGTGAGTTAGGGGAGAGGAATGGAGGATGAGATCAGCAACGTTAAGGGGAAAGACTTTGCAGTTCATTGAAAGGAACTTGGCTTCAACTCAGAGAGATGGGAAGCATTTGGAAGGTTTAGAACAAAGGAATGACGTGATCTGTTTACATTGTTAAAGGATTTATTACTCTGGCTGCTGTGTAGAGAATAAAATGAAGGAAGTTGAGAGCATTTGGAAAACAAAAGAAAGTGCCAGAGAGAGATGAGAATGGTGTACTGAGAAGCGAGAAAAGTAGGAGACAAGCAGATATGATTTGAAATCCAGTAGTGCTGAGTATTAGATGTTGAAAGATAAAATTAAAAGTCAGATCATCAAAGCAGACTCACAATGAATTATAGGTCTTACCCAATATCAAATTTGCCAATAAATTATGGATACAAGTAGTAGTCAGACACGAGCCAAGCATTCTTCCCTTTGAAAGGTGTAAAACCATCAGGTGTAACTCTCCATAAAATGTCTTCTTCATGTATGAGGACATGCTCTGGTTCAAATTTAACATGAGAGATTAAGAAATATATGTGATACATTGCTTGCACAGAATGAGTCATTTCAGTTATGAAGCATCTTCTTGTTATATTTTTTTAATTACATAATTTATGTGATTTTTTAATGGAACCATGCCTTATAAATTCATGATTGCAAGTTTTGTTTTTTTTTTTTTTTTTTTCCAGCCTAAGTTATCCTAGACTAGACCAGATACATCCTGCTAAAAGCATTCCATAGATAAGAACTCCCCACTAGTAAATACTATTTGTATGTTTGGTAGGATTGTGATTGGCATGTTTACAGAGGAATCTAACTGGGTTATCTCATTCTTTCCCAGATGTGTTACAAAGGCAAACAAATTGCAAGCCTGCTGCTAACCTTTGGCTTCCCAGAGTATCAAAGATGATTTTCAGGGTTTTCACCTGAAAAACAAGAAAGATGGAATTGTCATTAACTGTGATGGTAAAGACAGGAAGAAGAGCAATTCCCGTGGAGTAGAAGTATAGGAGCTCAATTTTGCACAGTTTAAATTTGAGATGCAAATTAAAGCATTCAGGTGGAAATGTCAGTTAGATAATTAACTTTATGAATTTGGAATTCAGGGAGATATCTGGAGTATAGGTATAAATATGGGAATCATTAGCATATAGACAATATTTAAAGCTATGAGATGGGATGTGATCATCAGGTGAATGAGACTAGATAAAAAATGTAAATTAAAATAGCAATATTAGAATCAATAAAAAAAGAGAAAGTAAAATATTAATCATGATCCTTAGTATGTGCATACTATTTCAGTTAGAAATTTCCATTTCAGTAATTTGCTCTATGGGATAATCATGGATATACAGAAGGATGTTTGTTGTAGTGTTTGTTTTCTTTAATAAGGAGATATTGAAAACAGCCAAATGAGAGAAAATAGTTAAATTGTGTTCATTCATCCATTAAGTAATTAAAACGATATGGAAAATGATATGATTTGGCTGTGTCCCCACCCAAATCTCATCTTGAATTGTAGTTCCCATAATCCTCATGGGAGGGACCAGATGGAAATAATCGAATCATTGGGATGGTTTTCCCCCTTCTGTTCTTGTGATATGGAATTCTTGGTTCTCAGGAGATCTGATGGTTTTATAAGGGGCTTCACCCTTCACTGGACACTCATTTCTCTCTCCTGTCACCACGTGAAGAAGGATGTGTTTGCTTCCCTTTTCACCATGATTGTAAGTTTCCTGAGGCCTCCTGAGCCCTGTGGAACTGTGAGCCAATTAATTAAACCTCTTTTCTTTATAAATTACCCAGTCTTGGGTTCTTTATAGCAGCATGAAAACAGTCTAATACAGAAAAGAATAAAATAGATTTAGAATCAGCTTAATTTTAGATATACCAAAAGGATATATTTTTGCATAGATTTTTTTTTAATTAGGAAAGTCTTCCAAATGTTAGCAAGAAATTGTCACTGAATGGTAGGTTTTCCTTTTCCTACTTTTCTGTATTTTGCAAATTTTCTACATAAATTATGTACTCAGAAAAATGTCATCTAAATAGAAGATGAAAATGAATTTCATGAAAAAATAACTAATAAGATGGACTCAGATTTTAATATATAAAGAACATTTTTGGGCTTGTTACTTTTACTCTCAAAATACATTTATTATTGGGCATCCACCATGTGCCAGGCACGGGGAATACAGCAATGAATACAAAAGACAAAGTCCCTTCTCTCTTGGGGCTCACATTCTGACAACAGGAGATATAAAAATAAATATATGATATGTTAGGAAGTTAGAAAATTTGAATATTTTCTTCAAAAGTACTATGAAGAAAAATGAAGTATGATAGAGGGCAAATTGTCAAATTCATGGCACACTTTGTATCACAGTAAAAGTATAATTTGAAGTAAATGTAATATTGAGCATCCTTTTCTCATTTCCAACATTAGCTGAAAAAAATTCAGTATTCCACCATTAAAAATGATGCTTGCTAAAGATATTTTTAAAGAAATTCTTTATCAGTTATAGCATATCTCTTATATTCCTAGGCTGCTATGAGTTATGAATACATTTTGAATTTTGTCAAATTCTTATATGTCTATTGAGATTATCCTATTTTTCATCATTATTCTATAAATATAATAAAATGTATTGAATGATTTTATAATGTTAAACCAACAATGCTTTCCTGAAATAAACCCACTTTTGTTTATGTTAATTATACAAGTCTGTAATTTATATATTTGTATTTTGTATTTATATTATACATGCATATATACATATATATGTGTGTGTGTATATATATATGTATATATATGTATATATATATGTATATATATATGTATATATATATGTGTATATATATATATGTATATATATATACGTGTATATATATATACATATATATATATATTTTGAGATAGGGTCTCATTCAGTTGCCCAGGTTGGAGTGCAGTGATGCCATCTTGGCTCACTGCAACCTACAGCTCATGGGCTCAAATGATCCTCCCACCTCAGCCTCCCAAATAGCTGGGACCACAGACCACAGATGCATGCTACCATACCCAGCTAATTTTTTTATTTGTTGTAGAGATGGTGTTTTGCCATGTTGCCAAGGCTGGTCTCAAACTTATGAGCTCGTGTGATCTGCCTGCCTCAGCCTCCCAAAGTGCTGGGATTACAAGCATGATGATTCTACCCAGCCTATATTTTATATTTATATATTATTTGTGTAAATATTTATTATTTAATATTTAAATATATTTACATTCAGTGAGACAATTGCTGTTTGACAGAATTCACAACACTATATATGGGGTATTCATGCCACAAAAAAAAAAAAAAAAAAAAAAAGTGGAATCACTCAAACCTCTAGATCTAACTACTTACAGAAAATTTGGGGGACTCAGGGAAGTTAAATGACACATGAAGAAGTCATCAGCCATGTATAAAATAACAGAAATTTTACAAAGTAAATAACCTCACTTATTCATATTTAGTGCTGAAATATTAAAATCTCTTCACCTAACATGGAGAATGGGAAAATAAGGATGCTTGCTATCACAGCTTCGATTTCCAATTGTACTTTTTACGATCTTTGTAACTGTACTTTGTAAAAGGGGAAACAAAGGAAAGAAATAGAGACATACAAAGGACAACAAACGCAAGTGTAGGCCATTTTGCTTTAATGTGAACAAATCAATGGCAGAAGACATTTTTGAGACAATATGGAAATTTGAACATCAACTGGATATTAGAAGACATTAAGAAATTATGGTTAATGTTAGATATATTAAAGATTCTATAGTTTAAAAAGTTACTGTCTTTTATGTTGAAAAGAAGTGAAATGTCTTCAGGGATTAAAAAGCTTCAGAAAATAAGTAAATAAAGTAAAATACATAGTATGGATGGGAATAGAAGAACCAAAATTAGCAAACTCTTACTGAAACTTATGTGTAAGATATGGGTTTATTATATACTGTTCTTTTTTATTTTTGTGTATGTTGAAAACACCCATCATAAAAAGAGTTTACATATTTTTTAAAAGAATAAAAAAGAATTGCTGGTTTACAGATGTACACTCTTCAGTTTTATTTTTACTGCTGCTATAAACTTATCTACTTTGCTTTTCCCTATTACATGTAGTTTATTTTATTTGTATGTATATTTATTTATTTATTTTTCTTGAGACAGAGTCTCTCTCTGTCACCCAGGCTGGAGGGCAGTGGTGCAGTATCGGCTCACTGCAAGCTCCGCCTCCCGGGTTCATGCCATTCCCCTGCCTCAGCCTCCTGAGTAGCTGGAATTACAGGCGCCCACCACCACGCCCAGCTAATTTTTTTGTATCTTTAGTAGAAACGGGGTTTCACCATATTAGCTAGGATGGTCTCGATCTCCTGACCTCGTGATCTGCCCACCTCAGCCTCCCAAAGTGCTGGGATTACAGGTGTGAGCCACCACACCCGGCCCCATGTGATTTAAACTTTAAAATAATTTTCAAAATTAATAAATATTTTACAAGGTACTTTTTAAGACATTTAAACCACATTTTAAAGAGGATCTCGATTATCCCATTTTGTAAAAGAAAAATGTTTGGAACTGAATAAGCAAAATCATTGCAGTTTTCTATGAATAAAATGACATTAATTTTTGAACATTAGATGATTGTCAGACAGCTGTAATATCCTACAAGAGAACAGGAAGAATATCCCTTCTCTGTCTTCCTGCCTTGCAATCTCCCTTTAATGTCCCCCATTGAAAGAATCTCAATGGATGCATATGGCTAAGGAGAAAGTTAGTTTACAGTCCCAGCCCCAGCATCAGAGCCAAGTATAAATGAGTTTATTTGGAGCTGAGACCTAATAACTGCCAAGCTAAGTATTAGTGATTCTATATACTAAAGTTTAATACAGTTTTAGTTTTTGTTTGTCATCAAATAAACTGCACAGAATAATGATTAATAATGTAGACTTTAGAATCAAGCAGCTAATCCTGGCTTCTAACTGGAAATATGGATAAATTCCTGAGACTGTCCAAGCCATAGTCATTTCATCCTTAACATGAAAATAATAATTAGGTTGTTATGAAGAAAAGGTGAAATGTAAAAATAGGTAATAGGATCTGGTTAATAAATATAAACTACTATAATTTGTTATGAAGAAAAGGTGAAATGTAAAATAGGTAATAGGAACTGGTTAATAAATATAAACTACTATAATTTGTTATGATCATTATCTTATTATCATTATGATTTTTATGTTTTACTTAGAAATAGACCAAAAGTTTAGTAAAAAATTGAGTATAAATATTTTGATAATTTTGAAGCTAATTTGTCTATTTTTAATTATTGTCATTCATGCATTCATTTTACAAGTCATCATCTTCAATGATATAGCATTTAGTCATCAAAATAATATTGGGAAACAAAAATAATGTTTTCAGCTGGAGCTAACCTAAAATAGCTTGGAAAATTCAGAGAAACATTAGAGATTTTCCTCTAGAGGTAAGTAAGTATATAGATTTCAGCTAGAGACCTCTAGAACTGATGCACATATCTACTTCAAGTGTTATTATTACATTCACTATGCTTAAGGCCAATCAAGCATCCTTCAAGAAACAAATACTTCAGATGGAGAAGGTCTTTACTTCAAATTGTCCTCCTATTTGTGTTGGAGTTTGAAAAAGAATTCTTAATGATGAGCCACTGAATAGTGTTAGTTAACACAGTCCTACTGATTAAGCATCAACTGATAAACCATAAAATTATAGGGAAGCATAAAGCAAAATGCTGAAAAGTTCCTCTGCCAACAGATTACAGCATCAGGGATGATGTGTTGCTAGTATTTTGTCTTTATACTGAGTATAAAGCCACTTCCATTATTGTTTGTCAGTATGGAATATATATGTATATTTTGTTTTGATCTTAAACTACCTTCAATTTCTTTATTTTCTTAAGGAAATGACACCCATCATAGAGCAAGTTTATCTGAAAACTTTTTTGTAAAATCATGATGTAATGACTTAAATTTGAGACCCTCTTCAGAACATATTTACCTAGTGAATCTTCTCACTTTACTGAGCAATCAAGATATTTTTATTACAAAGTAACTTTTATGTTATATGATTAAAGAATACTCCAGCCAAACAAATGACTTGTAAAAAACAACGTGATTAGGTCACAACACAAACCTTCCTAAATTTTCTAGGCCTATCTATGTATTCAGCGTATTCTAGCAATACTATTCTGAAGCAAGGATTAGGCAGAATCAGTTTTGTCTTCTGAACAAAATTTACCATCATTTTAAATTATATTTGCCTATTTGTAGTTTTTCCCATTTTTCTTATTTTTTAGACACGCCTCCCCCACCACCACCGCAATTTAACTGGCTCTGATCCTATCTCTAGCTAGAAGATTCTGTTAGAAATGCTGCAAATTTCAACATAATTTTTTTTCTGCTAAGAGATATTTGTCATCTGCCTTTTGCTTTCTATCAGGCCCTTGTGATTTTTTGTTAGGACTGATTTAAGAACTTACCAATGGCCCTGACAGTATCTCATTTCCTTACAAGCCATCCTCAACACTTCTGCCTAAGCGAGTTCTCTAAAATATAAACCTGAGTTTTGTTTTTGCTTTTGTTTTTGTTTTGCTTAAGTTTTTTATTTCTTCTATATCATCCTCAGAATTAATGTCAAACTTTACTGTGATATACAAGATTATACTTACCTCTTTAATCCTCAACTCTGACCAAAGTGTTTAAGTTCTAGCTCAATAGTTAGTTGGGTTGCCTTTGGCAAGTCACTTAAGTCACTTAAACTCTATAGGCCTCTATATACTTATTTGTAAAATATTAGAAATAATAGTATTATTTTCAGAAGTTATTGTTGAGAAGATTAAATGAGTTAATATAGGTTAAGATGCTCAGAATGATGCCTGGCACAAAATAGAAACTATATAACTTTAGCCACTGTTACTATTTTGTTGTTGCTGTTTTGTTGTTGTTGCTATGTTTATTTTTCCTATCATAGCCTTATGAAACCAGTACAAACACATGTAATGCTGCAGCCATAATGATCTGATCATACTTAGTTAGCATTCCTTTGTCTCTCTTTATTACTTCTTTTTGCTCTTCAAGATTTACTTCATGTTTCAATCCCGTGACCAGCCTCCACATAGGTTGCCTGCTCATATGACATATAAGTACTTCTGTGTGTGTATATATATATATATATATATGACACTTAAGCTTCTTTGTTATCTATATTAAAAGATTGTAAATATTTTAAAGTCAGGAACTGGTTTGTTGTGAGCTTTTCATTTCTAATCCCTGAACCTCTAACAAAACAAAGTCTGGTGTATACATATATTAAATATTTGATGAATATTTGAATCATTTTTGTGAAATAGAGACAAGCAGACTCTCCTCAGTTGAATTTTCTTCTCTCTGTTAAAACATCACTTGCTACTTTGGGGTTTTATTGTTAAGGTTTTTTTTTCAGTGCATCTAGAAAGAAATCTAATACTCAGAACCTGCCTTTCTCTTTAGGGCTAAAAGATTAGTAGCAGCAACCTCAGGTCAAGTACAAAACAAGCTTTTGTATTTTTGAATGAAGATACAATTTGTTGAGAGGAGTTACAAGAAAATCTTCTCAAAGCAAAATAGTTTTTAGTAAAGAAGGAGTTAAAAAAAATAGCAACTATTATACTGAACTGATTTCTACTGTTAACCAATTTTAGCCAGTTAGTATACTGCCCATGTAATCAAGAACTGCTTTTCTGAAATTTTATATGCACTTTTTATTTTCTGTTTTATAAGTAAGCCTCATCTTTTTCATTGATTACCATTAGTGTGAGAAGAGCAGTGGTCCAGAAACAACCCATGAATTGCATTATCTAATTTAATTAAGGTGAAATGGAAGTTTCTCTGAAGATTGAACAGTCAGCAGACAACTAAAAATGAAACTTTAAACTAGCTTTGTAGTGGACATAAGCTTCTGCCATTTACCATGACTATCTACTTTTACTTTCTTTGACAGGTTTATGAATAATTCCACAGACAATACAGTGCTGGAGTTGTATGAGCAACACAGGTGTTTCCATAAATTAATCTATTGCTTAGTCCCAAACAATCGTAGGATAAAATCCTTAACTCTAATTTTATGAACTATCCTTTTGATTGTGTGCCACTCAAGTCTATAAAAAACATTTTATAGTATCAGTGTAATCTCATTTGATCCCAATATCCGTGAACTCTCCTTGCCATGAGATTTCCTGGTCTAAATTTACAACAACAACAACAACAAAAAAAATTGTATTTGTTTTCTTTACCTGAGAAGTAAAGCCAGTTTTGCCATGAGCTCTTCACAACTCATATCCTCATTCTCCTTTCATAAGAATTCCATCGAGGATCCAAATTATGGCCTTTGAATGGTTTTCTTCCACATAAGACTAATTGCCCTATACAGGAATCAAACCTGCAATTGTAATCTCATTAGCACCATATTCTAACCAATTTAGCTGACTCCTATTTACTTATTCAAAAATCAGCAAATGGAAAATTATTTTCTTAAGCTTAATGTAAATTCAAACTACTCATTTTATTCTTTCTGGCAAAAGGCTCACAATAATAGATATTGAAGTTACTAGACCCTTTCATAAACAGTATGAAGTCTTACAAGAAATAAATGTAAAAATTGATTTAAAGAATAACTGAAAAAGAAAAATATTTTAGACATTAGGGTAAAATGTGAGAGAATAAAACAAGTAATACTGAATACTGAATATTTGCTCTATTTAGGTAACAGAAAGCAAATCATTTGGTAAGAATTCAGCATGCAATAGCTGATATCAGCATCATCTCAGGAACTGTTCTTACAAAGTTTTATCTCTGTTCGAAAGATGGGCGTCTATTCAGATGCAAATCCAGAACCAAGTCTCGGGATGTGCAGTCAATGAATCAAGTTCTCATCCTCTATTTGTTAGAACTTCAATGTGTGCCAACTTGCTACAGTGCATTTGAAGGAAAACAGTTAATGCCTGGTACTTTCCTTACAACCTTAAACTTTATCCTTACCCCAGGAATGTATCTTTTTCCTGAAAGCCACTTACGGTCAACGTTCTACTGATGGAAGCACATTGGTTAGAATATGGTGCTAATGAGATTACAATTGCAGGTTTGATTCCTGTATAAGGCAATTAGTCTTACGTGGAAGAAAACCATTCAAAGGCCATAATTTGGATCCCCAATGGAATTCTTATGAAAGGAGAATGAGGATATGAGTTGTGAAGAGCTCATGGCAAAGCTGGCTTCACTTCTTAGGTAAAGAAAACAAATACAATTTCTTTTTTTTGTAAATTTAGAGTATGTAGCTTGTCTACTGGACAGTAGCATCATCATTTTATATGATGTTACATATAGTTATGTAAGTGGACACTTAAATGGAATATGGACTCAGCGCATTTCTCCTTTAGCTCCATGCCATTGGAAATCACTTGGAATTGGCGGGCATACTGAACATAGATCAGAACTGCAGAATGCAAAGAATAATTGAGAAATGGCCCGCTGCTAGAACAATTATTAAGACTCATTATTTAATTGCTATAAATATTCTATCAAACTGAGCAATACCAAACTTAAAAACACATTCATTTAGATACATTTACTAAGATAAACAATTAAATTTAATTTAATTTTATCCAGTTTGCTTTGTATATTGCAAATCTTTGCTCATCAACATGGATTTTGGAAGTATATTTTATATGTGCCATATGTTTTCTGCATATTAGCCAGTTGTTGGTGTATTAAAAGTAAGGTTAAAAAACTCAACCTGTTTTTAGGTTTATTGTATATATTAAATTACTTTTCACATATTTGATTGTTTTAATAACTCTATAGCATTTTTAACAGGAATAAGTAGCTACCGTAGGGAATTTGGAAAATATATAAAAGTGTAAATTAAATGAAAATATGAGGTATTCACATTTCCTGCCAATACACGTAATCGTATCATTGCATGTCCTTTTGTTCCTTTTCTCTATACAAGAAAAATATATTGGCCATGCACGGTGGCTCACACCTGTAATCCCAGTGCTTTGGGAGGCCAAGGCAGGTAGATCACTTAAGGTTAAGAGTTTGAGACCAGCCTGGCCAACATGGGGAAATATCATCTCTACCAAAAATACAAAAATTAGCCAGGCCTGGTGGTGGGCACCTGTAATTCCAGCTAATCAGGAGGTGAGGCAGAGGTTGCAGTGAGCCAAGATTGTGCCACTGCACTGCAGCCTAGGTGACAGAGTAAGACTCTATCTCAAAAAAAAAAGAAAAGAAAGAAAAATATATTAATATGAAAGATGGAATCAAATACATAAAGATACTTTGAAAAGTTCATGTTAAATGGAATTAAAAGATAAAAATATAAACTTTATTTCTCAACATAAACCCCATCAAGACATTATTTAAAGCAATGATACCAGCATTTTAGTCCATCCCTAAAGTATTAAGGATTGTGGGAATTTAACCATGTAATGCAGTCTTTTTTACATTATAACTGAAGAAAATTAAATGCCCTTTATACATTTTTTTAAGATTAGGAAACAAAAAGAATTCAGAAGAAGCCAAATCAGGACTGTAATATGGATGCCTAATGATTTCCCATCAAAACTCTCCCAAAATTGCTCTTGTCTGATAAGAGGAGTGAGTAGGAGCATTGTTGTGGTGGAGAAGGACTCTCTGGTGAAGCATCCCAGGAGTTTTCTTCCTAAATCTTTGGCTCTTTTTCTCAAAACACTCATAATATGCAGCTGTGATCATTCTTTGGCCCTCAGGAAAGTCAACAGCGAAAATGCCTTGAGCATCGCAAAAAAACCGTTGCCATGACTTTTGCTCTTGATTGGTTTGCTTTTGCTTTGCCTGGATGACTTCTACCTCTTGGTAGCCATTGCTTTGATTGTGCTTTGTCTTCAGGATCATACTGGTAAAGCTATGTTTCATCTCCTGTTACAATTCTTAAAAGAAATGCGTTAGGATCTTGATTCCACTTGGTTAAAATTTCCGTTGAAATCTCTGCTCACATCTGCAGCTGATTTGGGAGCAATGGGTTGGCACCCATCAAGTGGAAAGTTGGCTCAACGTTTACTTTTTCAGTCAGAATTGTATAAGCTGAATTAATTGAGATGTCTATGGTGTTGGCTGTTGTTTCTGCTGTTAACCATTGATCCTCTTCAATTAGGGCACAAACAAGATTAACTTTTTTTTTTTTGTAAATTGACATAGATGGTCTGCTACTGTGGACTTCATTTGCAACATCTTCTTTTTCCTTCTTGAAATAAGTTATCTGTTTGTAAACTGCTGATTTCTTTGGAGCATTGTCTCCATAATCTTTTTGTAAAGCATCAGTGATTTTGCCATTCTTCCACCCAAGCTTCACCATACACGTGATGTTTGTTCTTGCTTCCATTTTAGTAGAATTCAAGTTGCTCTGATAGAAGCTCTTGTAAAACTCATGTCTTATCCTTCTTAGTGCCTCAAACTAGATTCTGTTCAGAGATCTTATAACAAGTGAGTGAAAGTTTTTTGTAGTGCAAAAAGTACATATTTTCCCTGATCTTCTTGAAGATCCCTTTTACAGGCAAAACTGTAGCCTACTTTTTCCCATTTCATGATTATTTTCTATCAGTTTTTTTAAAATACCACTTTAATGGCTGTATAATCTTCCACTCTAGGTATGTACTTACTTAACTAACTACTATCCAAATCTTGGAATTTATGTTTTTATATTAGAAATAATATGACAGTGAACATCTTTGTCTACAAATGTGGCCTAATTTTTCATTGGTTCTTTAGTAATACTAAAGACTGACATTGTTACTTTAAAATGTTTGAATGTGTACAAGTCCTTTGTCATAAATTGCCAAATTTCTTACACCTTTCCTAAATCATTCAAATTTATTTTGCTACTATCACAATACAGGACACTCAGTTCTTTACAGTCTCACTGCCTCTACTACCATTATTTTAAAACTAGGAGCACCACAATGTTATGTAATTCCTAGAACTTGCTTTGTATAACTCTTTTTATTTCTAAGCAAATTTACATGGTAAAAGACATATCATTCATATGTTTTTATTTTATTACCCTCAAAATCATACATATATTATTTAGAAAGATATATTGTAGACACAAAGCAATATTAACTTTTTATAAATTAATGAAAATAGACATTACCAACATATATGTGTGTGTGTGTGTGTATATATATATATATATATATACACATATATATATAATTATATATATGTATATGATTTAAAAGGTAAAATTGTTTAAATGTGGCCCAAAATATATTAGGAATTACTGATATGGCCATTAGACCACAAAAATTATAGATTGTAATGTGACCTCTGCCATAAGGCTTCTAGAAGGGAAATGGCAACCTAACTTTTATGAGACCTGCTTTTGGTATCGTTAATAAAGTGTCGAGTCATTACTCAGCCTACTGGAGGCTGCGTTTGAAAATTCTGTTAGGATTTTTTGAGAAGACAAACTAAATATACAAAATCTTCTCCAGATTTAGTCATTCATGTGTGCCTGGGTTTGCCTCTTCTTCTCCCAGCTTTGTTCTTTCTTTATTTTTGCCCTGAAAATATTATCCCAATTCTGGTCAAATATTCCACTTGCACTTAAAACCATATACCAGTGAAAATACTGAATTAGCAGCAGATTGACACATTTTTCTAGATTTTTCTAGAATTTTCTCTTGCCAATATCCGAGATGTTCATGAAAGTCTCTGCTTCCATGTTGGGCTAAATTTTCTCTATCAAAAGACATATTTAATTAGAAGAAAGATGTCTTCCAATGTTGGTTGTGTATTTAATTCACAAATTAAAATACACTGCTAATTAGCAACTTTTAGATTTCTTTCTATTGAAAGTTAAACAGTGTTTTAGAATTCAAGGTACCAAAAAATCTGTACACATTGAAAAAGAGTAGGTGAAGTCCCTATCTAACCTTCCCAAGTCCAAAATAAAATGGTTTTCCTTAAATTGATATTAATATGAGATTTAATGTTTTTCAATGAAAGAATGAGTGTTCTTTGTGAACCGTAGACTTCACTGGAGTCTTTCACCTGTGCCTATAGATTCCTATAGGATGTACAGTAAAAGCATTCTAAAGCATGAAGGTGCTTTCAAACAGCAAGAGCCCTGTAAGTACTTCAGAAGAATTTCCAATCTAGGACCAGCCAAGAGCATAGTAGTGTAAGTGGTAAACCAGTGATTTTCATGTTGGTGATCTCCCTCTCTTTAGATGCCACTGGACACCCATGACTCCCCAGAAAAGCATCTGCTGTCCCATAGGCACCCATCCTCCACACCTCTTCTGTTTTTTCTTATCTTTAATTCTAGTCTCGATTTTATTTCATTCACAATTCCATGCAGTTAAAACTAAAATTGCTGATTGTGTGTCAGATTTTTGGAAAGAACATCTTAATCTGAAAGAATGACTTCTATAATGGAATTGGATCAATGCCTAAAATCACACAAGTTTTATTAATTAAAACTGTAATGTTACAAAATCGCAAATTACTAAAGGGTATGTAATGAAAAGTCTCCATTCTGCTCTTGCCCACACATTCCCATCACCCATTTCCCCTCCTCAGGAGCAACCACTATCAAAAGTTTCTTGTGTATCCCTTTTTTTTTTTTTTTGAGACGGAGTTTTTGCTCCTGTCACCCAGGCTGGAGTGCAGTGGCACAATGTCAGCTTACTGCAACTTCCGCGTCCCACGTTGAAGCAATTCTCCTGCCTCAGCCTCCCAAGTAGCTGGGATTACAGGTGTGCACCACCATGCCCAGCTAATTTTGTATTTTTAGTAAAGACGGGGTTTCACCACCTTGGCGAGGCTGGTCTCGAACACCTAACCTCAGGTGATATACCCACCTTGGCTTCCTGAAGTGCTGGGATGACAGGTGTGAGCCACTGCACCCAGCCTTATTTGTAAGCACTTCTGTCAGTTCCTTGTAAGTTCTACACAAACAAGAGCAGTATATACACGATGTCCTGTACTTTGCTATTTGAAATATAGTGATATCACAAAGACATTTTATTTTCTCACATATAAAGTTGCCTCATTTTTTAATGGATTCATAATAGTCCATTAGATGGGTGGAGCATTATTTCTTTTATCAGTTAGTATTGCTGGATATTTAGCAAATTTTCAAATTTTTATTCTTATAAACAATACTGCAAATGATTATTCTTTTATATATGTAGAATTTTCTTGATATAGGATGTGGACATTTTAAAAACTTCTAACATTTAGTGCTAAATTGCCCTCCATGGAAATTGTACCAGTAGTTCACCAGAGTTTATCTTTATCCTTACCAGCATACCACATCGAACATTTTTATTTTTGCCCATGAGAAGCAAAAATTGTATATTGTATTTTAAGTATGAATTTCTTTTCATGAGGTTGGACATATTTTTGTCATATATATTGCTTTTCTTCAAATCATACTAATTTAATACCTGGCCTTATCTATGCACCCCTAAGAAAAATATTCTGTGACCATTAACCACTTGAGAAAAAATGCAGATTTATTGTAAATAGCAGGTTAACCACTGTTCAGTGACCTCTTTATAACATGAAAACACTGTCTCAACATTTTCTTCTCCAGGGTAAATAATTCCTTTCCCAATGGCTATAAACTGCTAAACTCAGTTCATAGCTAATTAATTAGTTTAGGCTGTTAAAAACCTCTGAATGTTTTGTAAAAATGTCAACTCAATTGATTATCTTGTTAGCAGAATACTAATCAAAACTTTGTTAAATGAATTGCATTTTTGAGAGATTGTGTTGAACTCTTCAGGTTTTAAAATAGATAAACCATGAACAATCTACAAAATTCACATTCAAAACAGTATACAATGAAAGTAACTCATCTATGCTCCTCGATCTGCCATCAGACAGTACTTCTCCCAGAAGACAAACACCTTTAACTAATTTCTTTGCAAGAGAGAGGCAGAGAGAAAGCTCACAAGTATATATTGTTATCAAGCCAAATAGTCACACTATCAGCACCTTGCCTTTGTTCTTCCAGACAACATATCAACATGTTTTAGAGACGTTTTCATATCAGTATGTCTAAAGTCATATCATTCTTTTTAGCAGCTATGTGGTATTGTAATGGGTAGACATGCTTTAGTCCATAATACTGGATATTTAGATTATATGCAGCACAAATTGCCTACATCATCAAAAATGTTGCAGTAAACTATCATGTGCACATGCCATTTCCCATATATGCAAGAGCATCTGCAGGATAAATTATTAGGAGAAATCTTTGATAAAATGGTAGGTATATTTTCAGTTAACACATGTTGTTGTATTGCCTTTCCTGGCAATTGATGCCGATTATACATTCACTTCAACATGTCTCTATATCAGAATGTTTCTACACAGCCTGAACAACCCAGTGTATTTTCAATATTTTTATATTTGTCAGTCTTTGAGAAAGGAAATTGTGTTTTGCTGTAGTTTTTTTTGTTTGGTACGTTTTCCTTTTTATTTTCTAAATTGGAATCATATTGTCTATTTCATTTTTTAGTCTGCTTTTATTCATTTAGCAAAATATTTAGAACATTTCACATTTATTATTCTTTATAAACAATATTTTAATAAACTTATTTTGTAATATTTTTAAATTTACATAAATATTTCAGAGATAACACATTTGTATTTTCTCTCTCACTTATATATTTATTCAGTCATTTATTTATATTGCTATGGACTTACGTATATTATATAACTTTAGGTTGTAATCCAACACTCTGCTGTTTATTTTGTTGCTCAGATTCTTTCAGATGTAGCCATTGGGAGCTCTTTCATTTTTTTTATTTTTTATTTGTATTTATTTTTGAGACAGGGTCTCACTTTGTCACCCAGGCTGGAGTTCAGTGACACGTCACAGCTCAGGTGACCCTCCCACCTTAGCCTCCCAAGTAGCTGAGACCATAGGTGCATGCCACCACACCTGGCTAATTTTTTTTTTTTTTTATTTTGTAGAGACAGGGTCCGCCTATGTTGCCCAGGTAGGTCTCAAACTCCTCAGCTTAAGTCTTAAGTGATCCTCCTGCCTTGACCTTCCAAAGTGTTGAGATTACAGGTGTGAGCCATCTAGCCTGGTGGAAGTTCTTTCAGGTTGTTGCCTATGTCCTTTTGATCACAGTCCCCAACATTTTGTTCCTTGAGCACTTCTTTATTTTCTGGTTCAAGATGCTCCTGGATCATCTTGTACTTCCTTGCCTACACCTGCAATCAACCATTTCTCCAAGGACCCCTGGTTCCCTTTATTGGAGAATGGTATTTATAAATGAAAATCTGGATACTGTTTATGTTTGTTGCTACTGGAGATTCATTGCTTCAAAGCCATGTTAGTGCACAGAGTTAGGTAACACACACACACACACACATATATGTATAAAATTATGTCTGTATCTATCCCTCTGTTTATATATTAAGGTAAACATGAATTCCTGTTTATGTCTCCAACCCTTATCCAGTAGTACATTCTAGTCTTCCTTTTTTATTTCTCTGTAACTTCCATCTCTGAGGGTGTGAACAACATGGCTGTCTCCATCCAACATCCGTTTACTTATTCATTCAACCCCACAACAAACATAAAGCCATTTCAGAATTATAACCTGTATCCCTATAAGAATATAACCTTATCAACCCCTGTATGAGGCTATTAGACAAACTCAGTAAATAGAAGTTGAGATATACATGTTTATAAAATAACACTAATTAGGCCTATTTCTTCAAGTCCTCATAAATATGTGTAGTGTTATGTCATTGTGTCATGCACAATTTGTGTATGTGTGTATATGCACACCTGTCTCATAGGCACGAGTGCCCAAGAACTCATGCATAGGAGTGCTTACAGAAATGTAATTTGCATTTTACAGTATCAAAGCTTAGGTAGAATATTTTAATAGCTGCACTTTATTTCAGAATTTATAGTTACAAATTGTTGTTTCTTACTAATTGTAAATTCAATTCATGGCCTTTGTCAGTATTTTAGAAAACAGCAAAGAAAGATAATATAAATTACATATATTTCTACTACCTACAAATAGTTATTATTAACATTTTCTTGCATTTCCTTTCAGAATTTTTTCTATGACTACGTATTTGAATGCAGATTATTATAGAATTTGCATTCAACTATATCACTAATATATACCGTATATACTGTTCCTAATTCATTTAAATAAAGAACATTTCACCATTATCTTCTAATATATTTCCTTAATATCTGCATTTATTACAACTTATGAATTTGTCATAACTTATTTAATCATATCCTATGATATGATGTTTATAGTCCTACTTTTTCTTTTTTCCTATTTCTCATTTCTTGGGAGGAATTCCTAAATATGAAACTACCACAGTTAATGATGTGAAAGATTAATGTCTTTTTTATATAGATTTCAGGCAACCAACCATATCAATGATATTTAAGTTGCCCGTCTCACACCACTCTCTCAATATTATGAACTTGGAAGAATCCATTATGTCCTTTGCCCATTTTTTTCCTATTGGCTTCAGTGTTTGGTTGATTTTAATCATTTTTCTTCATATTAAAGATATTCAATCTTTATCCATTATCTTTGATACAAATAAGTTTCTCCCTTATGTGATTTATACCTTCATTTTATAGAAATGAAAAAAAGCAAATACATTTGTGATTACTTTTCTAGACCAGAACTGAAAATCATGTTATGCCATTTATTTATAAAAGATGTACACTCAGATAACTTTGACTAATAATTTGACTTCCTTTTCACAAAACCATAAATAATAAAACTTTATTTTCAAACTTGTGTATTCATCAAAAAAATTATTTGACTCCATATTGCATGCTTTTTTCATAACATAATAATCGTGTGTACTGGTATACAATTTTTAAAATACTATTCATAATCTTATACAATCCCTCTAAACCTTGTGCTTTTCCTCTCTAAAAGTTGAAGAAATAGAGGTATTATATGGTCAAGTGGTTTTCTGAGGACTAGCTGCATATGTAACGGCAATGTCAAGTTTAGAACCTGAAGTTTGTCTACTCTAACCAGAAAAAGAATATTAAAGTTATTTGTTTGTGTTAAATTTTTCCCAGAATTGTTTTTCAAGAAGGGAGCAATTCAATAAACTGTTGCTCTTTTTTGATTTTGGATGAGGGAAGACATTGGATAACATTATAAAAGATAAGGTTAAGTCAGATTGGACATTTGAAGAGAAAAAGCATGTTGCAATATACCATCAAGAGATGGGCCATACATTTTGCAGCCCTCGTGGAGCATTAAAAATGATCCTTCACCTGCACTTAGAATAAAAGCCACACAGCTTACTGTGGCCCAATGAGACAGACATGATCTGGCTTCTGCCTGTTTCTCTAACCTCATTTGTTTGACTTTCCTGCTCTTTGTGCTTCAAGCATCCTGGGCTGGCCTCCACTCTATTGCAAGAAAATGTCAGGTTATTTCCATGTCAGAGACTTTGCATTTTGTATTTCTTCTACCTAGAGACTCTGCCCTTTGGCCTCTGAATATCTGGGTTTTATTTAATTCTTGGTCTGTTTTGTGCGTCTGGAGTTCCTGGTCCCCTATTTAAGGGTGCCTCTCCTCCATTTATTCACTGTCATATTGCTCTGTTTATTTCCTGTAAAGCACTTTCCATGACTAGTTGGTGAGGGACCATGTTCACTTCTTCAGGGAGACAAGAGTGTATAGTCCATAGCCAGACAACCTAGACCAAATTCTACTTCGCTACTATGGTTGCATGACATTAGACAAGTCTCTTAGTCTCTCTGTCTCTCAGTTTCCTTATGTATAAAATGTACTTAATGAAATACTCTTACAGGAAATAGAACTACATGCTCTATACAGTTTTTTCATTAATTCTTCTCTTGTTAATGCAGGTCTGTGGAGTAATGGGAGGATACAGAAAGGAAATCTTATTCCATTTTACATCAAATAAGGCATTAATTGTTGTAATACTTTTCATTTATTTTGTTTTGTTTTCTAAACATAGAGATCTTAGGATTCCAAGGATTCCTAGGAGGTCTCCTGTTTCCCAGCTTTGTACCCTTGATCTTGGGTCTGCTTCTGGCTTCTCTGCTCCCTTTTGTATTAATAGTAAAACTCCTCTAGAGCTCTGTCTGTGCTTCCTGTTATCTCCCTTTGTGTATTGATCCCGTTTCAATAGTATTTTCCTTCCTATCACTCCATTGAAATGCTTCAGTTGACATTGCAGTCCAGTAGTCTCCCATCTCACTGAAACTCATGTCATTTCTCATTTTTCATTTACTTTATGTGTCAAAAAATTTGACACTTTGATCACTCCGTCCTTATTTAACAAATTTTCTGCCTATCTCCTGGAACACATACCTTCCTGGTTTTCCTCCTATCTCACCAGTAGTTTCTTCTCAATTTTTATTACTGGCTTCTCATTCCCATAACCCTAAATGCTGGCATATCTCATTCCAGACTAAACCTTTGATCCCTTCTATATCTGCATTCTTGCTAGGCGATTTTCTTATCATATGTACCAAAATACCATCTATGTACACTGGCAACCTCTGAATTTATACTTGCAGCCCAAACCTCTACACTAGTGCCACATTCTTGACATTTGCCTCTTTGGCACTCTAAGAGGGCAACTAATAGAATTAGGATGAATCTAAGAGTTTTGGTCTGAGCTACTGAAAGGCGGAGGTGCTAGTAACTGAGATGGGGACAGCTGATAGAATTCTCAGACTCAGCATATGGAAAACTTTGTTTCCGATCTCACTCTCCTCCCACATGAGCACCACCGTCAGCTGTCCCCATCTCAGTTGCTAGCACCTCCGTCTTTCAGTAGCTCAGACCAAAACTTTTAGATTCATCCTTGATTCTTCTCTTTTTCTTGTAGCTCACATCTCTTAGTAAATCTTGTTGGTTATATCTCAAAATATATCGAGAGCTTAACCACTTCTCACCCCTCTTTGTTGCTACCCCTCTGGTACAAGCCACACCATTTCTCACCTGAATTATTTCAGTAGTCTCTTATATCATCTCCCTGACTCTACCCTTCCCCCAAATCTATTCTTTACATAGCAGCCAAAGCAGTTTTTTTAAAAATCATAACTCAGATTATGTCACTCCCCTTCTCTCAGTTCTCTAGTGGAGTCCTGTCATCTTTAAAGTAATATTTCAAATCTTTACAATGGCCAGTGAGACTCTACTTGTCTAGCTCCTGTTTACTTCTCTGAGCTCACTTCCTACAAATCTCCCTGTACCTATTTCTTCCTTGATCATGAAAGCCAATCCAATCTCTGTGACACTGATCTCTACTTGGACTCCTCTTCCTTCAGATATTAGCAGAGCTTGCTCCCTCATTTAATTCAGATCTCTGTCCAAATGTTCTCCTCAAACAGATTCTACCCCCTATTGGCCAGTGTTAACTAAAATAGCACTCACATCTCCCTTTGTCTCTTCTCTAAATCTATTTTTGTTATTACACTTATATATTACATATTTTTGTTTATCTCTTTTTTGTCTGTTTCACCCACTAGAATGTAAGTTGCATGAAGGCATAGGCTTCCTATAACTCCCTTGCTCCTAAGATCAGTGCTTGGCAGCCAGTAGGTGCTCGCTAAACATTTCTAAAGGAAAGAATGAAAGAATGAATGGTCTTCTTACAATGCAGTATATACATGCTGCTGGAATAGTTCCTTAAATAAAATGTTAATCCTCTTTTGTGCTGGATTGGACTGAATAATCCACTTTCTTTGATGTTTGATGTTAAAGTGATGCCATAAAACAGCTATTAAAAAATTGAGAATTAAGGATCGAAGAGAATCCAAATGCTCAGCTGACTTAGCTACCACCCTGTAGCCTGCATGGCACTGAGGCAATCATCCATCTTTATTGAATGCTTGTCTTATTTTTACAACTCTTTCAGCCATTCACAACCTTGATGGGAAACCTTTTCCAATATTTAATTATTCTTTCAATTGAATATCTTTTTTTAAATCAAGTCAGATTTAATCACACCAGTTTAAGCTCATTTCTTTTGTAGATCTTCTGGGGAAATAGAAAATTACTTCTGCATACAATCTGCTTAGGTAGATTAGCCTGCATATTCAGTACAAGGGTACATAATAGGTGCACTAATGCTTGTTGTATGTAGTTGAATGGATTGCATGTGAACAAGAAAGAACTGTTTAGCCATTTCAAGTACTTTAGGGTTTTTATCTTGAGACTGTTTTTATCCATTTAACTATTTTTGTTATTTGGCTTTAAATACTGTTTCATTCTCCTACCAAACACAGACATCAACATTCACATAGCAAATGAGCAATGGGAACTTTAAAATATTAATCCCAAGGTCTTGAATGTCAAAGTAATAATTACTTCATCTCAGTGACATGTGATGCTTTTAAATAATAGCTCTTCTGTTTGTCTGGTGATGGGCATAAATCTCAGCATAAATCTGTGTGAGGGTGGATTGGGGTGGAGTTGGCAGGGGAAAAGGAAAGGGGATAGAGCAGAAAGGATACTGTCAGGAAATTAAATGAAGGACGGGACTTCTTTAATAATGTAGTCTTTTCTTTTTTTCATAATATGTTAGAGTAACCCAAATGATCAACCACCAGGTGTGAAGATTGAACCTGCTGTGGTGAGTAGGACTACCCTTTGGACAGCATTATTAAAGCCAGTCACAAAAGGCATATTTCCAAGATAGGAAAGTCTGATTCAATTATTTCTTTCTTTAACTACTACACAGCTTACTTCTGATCATAAAAATAATATATATTGTTCTAAAAAGTTAAAAAAGAAAGTAAAACACTGTGATGCCACCATCTAGATAGGATCATTATTATTTCTGCACTTTATTTCTTTCTCCTATCTTCTATGCATATTTTAACGTGTTACTGAGAGTCGTGTTAACTATACTCTATAATTATGTATTATAACTTTTAACTATTATGACAATATATGCCCATTCCTTGCAAACATCTAATTTCAATAATCAAATAATATTTCAAAATTTATCAAGATATTTTAATTTACTTAGCCATTTGCTTATTGTGAATATTTTGGCTCAATGGGTTTTTTCTGCACAAAACATTTAAATTATTTTTTGGATAAGTTCATTTTTACAAAGAAGAATTTGGGGTCAAGTGTTCTGAAAACTTGCCTTTTTATTAGTAGTGGTTGTTTTGGTCCCATGCATTCCTCATAATTTTGTTTTAAATTTCTAAGTTGAATATGTAAATTACTAATTGGATCTCATTGTTGTTTTAATTTGTATGTCTTTGCCATAGCTGATGTTGAACATTTTCTCCTGTTTGTTAGCCACTTATGTTTCTTCTTTGGGGACTTGTGTCATATAATATTTTAATTTGTCTATTGGGATGCTAGCATATGAATTTTTAATAAATAATTTCTGCAATCAGGACAAAACAATCAGGTTCACCAGCCATTTAATTTTAGTGCTGTTTGGTTTAACTTATTACTGTAGCATAATAAAGAAATGTTCAAGGCCATTGAACCACATAATGTGTTAGAAAATATTCTTTGTTTAGGCCCTGTCCAAACATTTGCTAAATAAAATATCAAGAATTATTTTATTTATAGGCAATACTGTTATACATAGATTCATTTTCTGTATTTTTTGTTTGTTGCTTTAAATCAAGGAAATCAAGTAAAATGTTTTTCTGTATCCACACTTTCATATATTTCTTTACTTCACGCTGTTCTCACCTACACACACACTTACACATACACACACACACTCACTATCATTCATTAGCTTCTCTTAGTTTTTGGAAAAGGAGAAAAAAAAATAACGTTCATACTCACATATATGTTATGCTTATGTATAACCTATGCATGTTGAGTGCTTATTTTTAAAGAAAACAATGCAACATTTCATTTTTAGGTTTTTTTTAATTGCTAGTAAATAAAACTACAACTGAGTTTGTATATTTTGTTTATATCCTGTTTTATAGCTTTCTTAGAGTATTTTATATAGATAATCATGTCTGCAGATAGAGAAAGACAGTTTTACTGCATCTTTTTTTTTTTTTTTTTTTTTTGGGAGACAGAGTTTCGCTCTTGTTGCCCAGGCTGGAGTGCAGTGGCGTGATCTCAGCTCACTGCAACCTCCACCTCGTGGGTTCAAGCGATTCTCCTGCCTCAGCCTCCAGAATAGCTGAGATTATAGGCATGCGCCATCACGCCTGGCTAATTTTGTATTTTTAGTAGAGACGGGGTTTCTCTATGTTGGTCAGGCTGGTCTCGAACACTTGACATCAGGTGATCTGCCTGCCTCGGCCTCCCAAAGTGCTGGAATTACAGGCATGAGCTACTGCACCTGGCTACCTCATCTTTTTCCATGTAAATGCCCTTAATTTTTTCACTTGACTCATTTCACTAGCTAGGATCTCCAGTGTAATATCCACAATAAGAATGATCATCTTTGCATTCTGTCTTTCACCATTACGTTACCTGTAGGTTTCTCATATGTACTTTTTATTTCTACTCCTAGTTTTCTGAGAGTTTTTTTTTAATTATAAGTGAGTATCGACACATCAAATACTTTTTAAGAATCTATTAATAGTGTGACTTTTCTTTCTACTAATGTGGCATATTATTTTTGGTATTGTATTTTAGATAATTTGATATTTAGATATTTGATTCAACCTTGCATTACAGTGGCAAACCCAATTGTCATGATCTATTATCCTTTTTTATCTTGCTGTATTCATTTACTAGTATTTTGCTATGAAATTATGTGTCCCTGATGATGAGGGATATTGGTCTGTAGTTTTCTTATGACTGCTCTATCATTATACATGTAACTACCTATTGTTTTTGTACTATTTTTAACCACTCTAATTGGACATTATTATTGCTGTGCTTGATAGTTATTGTTCAGATTCCCTTACGTTTTACCAATTTATTTGCTCACTATTCCTTTTTAATTTCAGTCCTTCTCTTTGCAACCATGTTTCTTCCTCCTGGAGTACATCCTTTAAAAGGTCTGGTAGTGAGTTATTTTAGTGATAGCACTTTCAATTTGTTGTTTGCCTAGAAATGTCATTCTTTGAATTGTTTAGACAGGTGTACTATTCAAAGGTAATGGGTTTTTTTTCCTCTCAGCACTTTGAAAATGATATTCTACTGTCTTCTAAACTCCATTGTTGCTGTTGAAAAGTTTGTTTTATGATAATTATTCATTTTTGGTAATTTGCCTTTATTCTGACTGATATTAATGTGTTTTCTTTGTCTCTGAGCTTTTACTGTTTCATTACAAAATATATATGGTGTATTTCTTTTTATTAATCTTGTTCAAAGCTTATTTCTGAAGATACTTACCTTTCATCATTTTTGGACCATTTTTAGCCCTTAACTCCGAAGACATTGCTTTCTCCCATCCTCTCTTTTCTTTCCCTCTGGAATCTCATGTTGATGTAGGTTGGACCTGCATATTCTGTCATCTACATCTCGTAACTCCTCTTTTATATTTTTGTATCTTTTTTCTCTTCTTTTGTACAGTAGGTAATTTCTTCATATCTGTTATCTAGTTCAATTAGTGCTTTTTTTAGGGGAAAGAGGGAATACAGGCAAGACATTGAAACTTTTGGGGATTAGGGAATGGAAGAGAATTTGTTCACGGTTTGCCCTGTTTTTATGTAAAACATACTAGTTGGAAATATTTCTGTGGGTGGACATTTTTAATGGGGAAATCTTTGCTAGCTATGGAAAATCAAAAATATTTTTCTAAATTAGGATGTTTTAAGTACAATGAGTATCACAAGGAATGCATCAAAAAGAGATCCCAAGATAGTAGTTGAGCTGAGTCATAAGCTACCATAAGAACCTTTAATTTCTCTGCCAAGCAACTATGACTGTAAACATGAAGAGAAAGTATATAGATATTTAGATATTTATATGAGGGGAGGGCACAGCTACAGTTAAATTATGTCATCTTAGGTAAATTTGTGAAGCATTGTTAGTACCACTGTTCTTACAATTTTAGTAATCAAATCTGGACTGGCAAATATGTGGGAGAAGGAAACCAATATTTATTAAGCATTTGTGATATTCTGCATTAGGCACTAATTATTCTTACAGTGGTCCTGAGGTTAAGATTTTGTTATCCTCATTTTAAAAAAGAAGAAAGTCATCTTGGAGGAGTATAGCCACTAAGGTTTACAAAGCTAGCAGGTGGCAGAGCCAGACTCAAACCCAAGGGTCACTTCTAGGACCATGATCGATTTCACAAAGCCATGCTGTTTTATCAGAAGTCCCATTCCCTTGATGAAGCTAAGTCATCAAGGGAACAAATGAAAAAGGGTTATCTTAGAGTAAGTCATTAGAAAGTATAAAGAATAAAAGCAGTAAATCATAGAGTTATAGATTTTTTTAAGTGGAAGAGACTTCCATTTATGGTAGGGATGAGTGTGCAATAAGGCTGAGCATGGCTGAAGAGATGGAACTGTGTACAACTTTAGGGAGCTTATGAAAGTGGTGACCCTGGAGTTGTTCAGTGTACAATCTATACTGTGTACCAGCCCATCATGGGAAAGACATGGCCATCTGGTCTTCCTAGTTCTGAGATGCCACCTGCAATGTAACTTCAGGAATACCTCACATGTGGGGATACTGAATCTTAGGGAAAATTCAAGCTTGGTCAGCTAACAGAGTTAATCTAACTGCTTCAGTATTATACTGGCATGCCTTGCAGAAAGAGGCAGCTCAGTCTTTTAAATTTGTTGTCTGAGAAGAAGACAAAAAGAAAAAAAAAAACAGAACACATAGGTATAAAAAGGAGAGGCATACCATGTTATCCCTCCAATTTAACAGATGCTCTGTTAATTCCCAAGAATAAATGGCTGGCATTAATTACATTTTCAGAGTAATAAGATTGGAAAAGTTTTCTTCTGTATTAAAAAAAAATGTGGTTTTTATCATTTCTATTGAAAAACTCCTGTTACATAGAATACAATAATAAGAGCCATTATGAATCAAACTGCATTTTGTATTTAAATAGTGTACAGGGTCAAAAAGTTCAGTTTCAAAAGTGTCTTATTCAACAAAATTGGTTGTCTAGTGTAGCAACATTGCAATTAGATTTTTGTTTGTTTGTTTGTTTTTTGAGACAGAGTCTCACTCTGTCACGCAGGCTGGAGTGCAGTGGCGTGATCATGGCTCACTGCAACCTCCGCCTCCCAGGTTCAAGCAATTCTCGTGCCTCAGCCTCTTGAATAGCTCCACCATGCCCAGCTAATTTTTGTACTTTTAGTAGAGACGTGATTTCACTATGTTGATCAGGCTGGTGTCAAACTCCTGACATCAAGTGATCCACCTGCGTCGGCCTCCCAAAGTGCTGGGATTATAGGAGTGAGCCACCGCGCCCAGCCAAGCATTGCAATTAGATATTGCAGTCCATGCCAGATACACACTTTCTTAAATGTTAGCCAGAAAGAGAGAAAGAGCAAGAACAGGAAATAAAGAAAGAAGGAAAGGAGAGAGGCAGGGAGGGAGGGAAGAGGGAATAAAAGAAAGAGAAAGACGTGGAAATAATTAAAGAATTATTAACTCACATGGAAGCAACTGAGGCATTGGTGGTTACAAAAGACAATTTCTTTTTATAATGCAGACTAGGAAACATTTTATTTGTCCTAAAATGGTAAGTGTGCAAAAAGAAACATAAATGTACGATCTTATTCATCACTGCTCTGTAACTTCTTTCAATCTGTATTTGAAGGCTCACTGCCCTTCTCTTCCTGCTCTCCATTCTCTATCCTTTAACCAAAGCAATTATTGTATTAGAGATAAAGATATATTTGTGTGTTAGAAGAGAGAGGAAAATGTGAAAGAAAAGCAGTAAACATTTCTGATCCCTCTTACGCAGGATATGTCCCCCTAAAGACTCCAGGAGAGGTAAGACTCCTGAAGGAACCAATGTACCCAGGCCCCTCCACTCTGCTGCTCAGACATGGAGAAGGGAAAGGACCTCCTGCCAGTTGTGGAGGAACATATTGACTAAGGAACTAGAAACTGACCCACTAAAGTTGCAGAAGAAAATTAAAATTGTAGCTGCCCTTCAACTCCAACACTCTGAAACTCTATTTCGGAAGGTAAACTCCATCTGCTTGCTTCTTGCCCAACATGGGTTTCTGAAAGCCTACTAAAAGTCGCAGATCCCTGGGCCAACTAACTCTGAAGCCTAACATGGTGATTGTATTAGTCTGTTCTCACACTGCTAATTCCAAGTCTGGGTAATTTATAAAGGAAAGAGGTTTAATTGACTCACAGTTCCACATGGCTGGGGAGGCCTCACAATCATGGCAGAAGTTGAATGAGTAGCAGTGTCAGGTCTTACCTGATGGCAGGCAGGAGAGCTTGTGCAGGAAAACTCCCGTTTATAAAACCATCAGGTCTCATGAGACTTATTCATTCACTACCATGAAAACAGTATGGGGGAAACCACCGTATGATTCATTTATCTCCACCTGGCCCCTCCCTTGACACATAAGGATTACCACAAGTCAAGGTGAGATTTGGGTGGGGACACAGCCAAACCATATCAGTGATCAAAAAGGAAAAAAAATTACAGTATCTATATGTGCTGTATGTTTCTGAGAGAATCTAGTAAAGACAGCATAGAAAGGGATATAATCAAGAAAAGGACTTAAAATCTAGAGATGGTAGTTAATCATATGTATGCTTCCTTCAGTTACCCCTCCCAGATTTCTGTAAATAGAACAATAATCCACGTAGATGCTGAAGCCAAACATAAGAGTCATTCTTAATTCCCCTCCTTCCTTGTTTTCAAGCCCCTTCCCTGATACCATCACAAAGCATCAGCAAATTCCCTCAACTGTACCTCAGAAATTTTCTGACCTCCACTCCGCCTATCTAAACCTTTTCCTTACTTCTGCTCCTACTGGTGGCTCAAAATGATCCAAAAATCTATGATTTCTAAAAGCCTGAAGCCTTTTCAAACATTCATCTTTAAATTCCTGGATGCTTGTTCTTTTTTTTTTTTTTTTTTGACAGAGTCTCATTCTGTCGCCCAGGCTTGAGTGCAATGGCATGTTCTTGGCTCACTGCAACTGCCCGCCTCCCTGGCTCAGGTCATTCTCTGCTCAGCCTCCTGAGTAGCTGAGATTACAGGCAAGTGCCACCACGCCTGGCTCATTTTTGTATTTTTACTAGAGTTGGGGTTACATCATGTTGACCAGGCTGGTATTGAACTCCTGACTTCAGGTGATCCACCCACTTTGGCCTCCCAAAGTGCTGGGATTGCAGGCATGAGCCACCGTGCTTGGCCCTGGATCCTTGTTCTAAAGTCACCTGTTCCCCCAGCGTATTACTTTGTGGTGGCTTCCTCTGATTCACGTCATATTAACTTAGATCTACTAAGATTTATGCCACATCTGGATACTAGAAAACAAACAAGCAAAAGATTTTAAACACTATAAACAAACTTGGTTTAGCTGAGTAAATTACACACATGCATGCATACAAATACATATCTGTGTATATGCTTTTAAAGTATGTATCAGTATATACGTATATGTGCATGTATCTACATATATATTTATGTGTATATCTATATTTATGTTTTTAAAGTCCTGAGAATAGTAGGGTGGTTGAGGATATAAAACCTGAAATATTGGTGAGGACACATTAAGGGTGTGATTTCAATCTCTGTAAGTATTGTTTCACCTTTTTGCTTCTGTATAATATACCTGACCTCTGTAGACTTTAAAACATTGGTGAGCAAATTCCCTTTGAATCACCCTGGGTGGAGCAGCGTACATTACTCTGTTCACAGGAGATGTCTTTAGTTATTCTCCAAACTCGGTCTGTTTTGCTCACCAAAATGAAAAATTATAAAGAAAATAACTATGGTTTATCTTGGTATAACTCAAATCGTTTAGAACATTATATAAATCATAGAAACTACTGGATTTAATATGAAAGTAAACAGATTTTTAGTAGAAGATTCTTTAAAATACTTAACTGTGTCTTCTTAGTTTTCACACACAAAAACTATGCCTGCTTCTAGAGTGCTGATAGGTAATACAGTGTTTAAAAATGTGAAAAAAAAAGAGTAATTTATCTACAAGGCCTAATTGTACCTCACATTCTGTGATAAATATTTCTTGTGCTCCAAATTATTGCCTTGTTACTTGTATAAAAAATTCAAATGAAACATCCGATTATACTTAGTTTATAATAGTTAATGTAAAAGTTATAAAAAAATAAATACACTATTTGTTAATTGTTAATCTATGCTAAAAACTAATGACAAATGAAAGCAGTCCAATAAGAGTAACAAATAGGTTAATTTCCTTAAACTCATATGAATTATGTTATGCTCTACTTTTTCCCCAATAGTGTAAACAGGATTAGAATTCTCAAAAAGAGCTTTAGCAGAAAATAGTTATTTCTTTTTCTATTTAAAAAAAAAAATTGGACTGGGACAGAGTTAGCTTTATCAATGAAAAAAATCTTTGTAATTTAGTAAAAGAAGAAAAATGACACCTCCAAGGACAAAAATAAAGTGAAAATACCTGTAATTTCTCCGAGTGGTAAAGTTATATACATCTAGCAAAGGTGAGACAACAATTATTCTTTATCTCAAATAAACCCTGAATAATGCATTACTTTGCAAAAACAGGTTGCCCTCTTTCAACAGAGTGATATCTATTTTGAACCTCAAATTGATCTTACTTTTGGTACTGATATATTTTGTGAGAAGACAGGATAGTGCTGACTATTCTTTAACATTACAGCATAAATTGTAGGTCACATAAACATGCAAAATTGAATTATAGTAAAATCACTTGCAGAGCTATACTCAGTCTCTTCTCATATAACTCTGTTTTAGTTAACTAAAAATAGCCTTCTTTCTATTTATACAGCTTTATTTGAGGTTATTAGAAGGTAATATAAGGTGAAGATAATATAATTTGGTATCCACAAAATATTATTGAAAATAGGAAATAACAAGATATAATTTAAATATAATTTTTAATTTAATTTAAATGGCTTTCTTGTAAGCTTTTAATTATTTTCTGTTTTCTGAACCTTGGCTAATAATCAAATCAATAATAATTTTTTTCTCTCTAACAGTTAAAAAATAACTCTATTCCTTCAGGAGAAAAGGCATACTGAATATGATTCAGATTTTATTTATTAGGAACAGGTAGAATCTATTAAAATGAATCAATTTAAAGTAATTACCAAATGATCATTTTCTGTCTTGTGCTTGGGAAAACACTAGTCATCTTTCTCTTCCCAAGAGAATTCTGCATATTCTGTTCTTGTCTCCCCTCTGAGTGGCCTTGTCACTCTAGAGTGACATCCATAGGAAAGAGAACCAGCTAGTCCAGGGGTTACCAAGACTATCTCAACTCCTGGACAGCTTATTCAAGCATGCACCAAGAAAGTGCCTGCACCTGTTCCTACTCCAAACTATAGTGCCCTGCTATTCAGAAAGTGGTTTCCAGACCAGCAGCATCCTTATCTCCTGGAGCTTGTTGGAGACAGGAAAATCTCAGGCCCCATCCCACAACTACTGAATTAGAATTTATGTTTTAATAAGATCTCTAGATGATTCACAAGCATATTCATGTATGAGAGGCACTGCTCTAGGCTACTTATTTGGTGCCTGAGTACTCTTCCTGATAGTAAACCTGATACTCACTGGTTTTCTTCTAAGTATTGAAAACTATGTACCATGCTTCTTCTTTCATTCAAATTCTGCCAAAAACCTGGTGCTTACTTTCTGTTCTATCTTAGAGATTCCAGTTGATGTTAAACAACTTGTCTCTTTTTCATTGTTGTTTTTGGTTGTCCTTATGCCATTGGCTCCATCTGGTAGACAAGCATGCCTCACCTCATATATGTTATTTCTAATGTACCATTAAATCTACTTTTATATTTTATCTCACTCCCTATTAAGTCTAATTCTGGGGAATTAAATTAATTTCACCATCAAATCTTGAAAAACAGAAGGTAGGGATGTTGGAAATATAAAGGTGACTTCATTCAAACAAGGCTACCAACCAAATGGCAACAGTGGATGTTAATATGAAATTATTGAAATGATCACTTTCCAACCTTGGCACATATAAATCAATCATTAAAACAACCCAAAATAAAAGCATGCTTTGTTTGGATGAAATTCTGAAATTACTTTAAAATGGAATTTTTTGTTCTAGCCAAGTGGTAACCTTTTTATAAATAATGGCTCCTTCTTACTTTTTTAAAGTATCTTTATGCATAAGCTTTTTTACTGAAGAGTAAGTTCTGAGTCTTACTTTTCAAACCTCCTACTTCTTTTTCTATCACTGCATTCTTCCCTTTAAGGTGGAAAACAATATTCTCCTTTCTGATTTTACCGATCATATGATCAAGAGGATAAATCGTCAGTTTTAGCTTTTCTGACTCACTTTGATTAAAGATGCGGTTTCTTGCTCAGCCTGTATTTCTTTCATTTCTATTCTTCTCCTCACATCTAAATACTAATTTATTTTACAATGTACATATAAATGACATCAGATGAGAAAAATCCTTTTTAGGTAAATTGAAGTTGTAAAATTTTTGTGAGTGGCCTTTTCTTTGTACCACTTTTTTCTTATGGATATTTGAAAATGTCTTGCACAAGGATTTAAACTATGTACACATGATGAAACGTGAAGATTTTAAGTAATTCAGATTTTTATAAAGTAATCTCAATATTTCAGTTGTGATTTTAGGAAAAGTCTAAAATATTTAGAAATTGCCTCAATTCTCTACATTCTTTTTATCTGTACAGATAGATTTCTTTTTTTCTGGAATCACTGCAGTAGTGCCAGCTGAACATTTACTGGGGGCCTATTAGATTTTTATATTTTTATGCTGATTATATTGTCCTCCATGAATACCTTTCAGCTCACCCCAAACTCCCAACAGTGGCCACATAAGGATACAATTATTTAATTCATTATTCCTAATTAACCTGTTTTGCATTTACATAGCAGTTAATCTCTTGAACATGACCCATTCCCATGAAAGACAAATCATCTAGTTGAAACAGTTCAGAGGTCACAACATGAAGCTTTTGGTCCTGAAGCTGCTATTTGATGAGTGAGTTTCCTAAAAGGAGCTACTTGTGCTCCATGTTTGTATGGCAATATTAATACAGACACTGAACTTAGAGGGATATTTTGAAAAGACATTAAATTCTTTTTTAAGTCCTTCTGAACCTATTTATTTATTTATTACATGTGTAAATAAATCCTATTACTGTTTTCTTCTGCTTTTATTGAATCCCATCACATATTTTATATATTTTTTTAAATGTTTCACTTATCTTGTATAAATAATGTAAGATGATTTTTCTGCCTGATAGAAAGGAAAGGACCTGTCCTTTCATAATTTATAGATGTTCTCTTTGTGTTTTCTAAAATTTCAGTCAGTTGTATTCAATTTTCTTTTCTAACATGTTTTGAGATTTAAAATAAGGCTTAAGTGATTCTGCTATGAAGTATCCTGCAAAACACTTAACTTTCTACAATGGGGAACCCAGATGGTGGTTTTGCTACATGCTTATTCTGTGTTTAAAATGTGGCCAAATCAGGGTCTATCATTTCTTCCCTAAAATCTCCATGTTGGGAAGAAGGAGAAAGCCACAGGCATAGTTTCTTCCTTTCAGACAAAATATATATTATGATTCAGGGGCTTTTGCTTGTTTTATGCCAATAAAATGAGATATAAATTCAGCAGAATGCTTTTACAGAGAAATGGAAGAATATTTGGAAGGACTCTGATCCACTTGTATAAAAGGTACTTTATTCTCAAAAATTTTTGAGAATCAAGTCAGATGTTGATGGAAAAGCAAGTCCACAAAGTGGAATTCTGCTTCTCCTATCTTGTTTTTGAAATGCATAGTTTACATAGAATGGGCAGAATCTTTTCAGTACTGTAATATCCTATAGATCTTTGTATTAAAGCTTTTTTTTTTTTTGTAAGAAGAAAGGGAAAGAACTCAGGTAGATTCTAAAACCAACAGTGACATTATTTAGATGTATATTGTTTATTTATTTGTACCCTATAAGTTAAAAAAGTACTCCAGACTAGAACATTTTGAAGTGTGAGCTTAAAGTTCTTGGTGTGAAAATGTAGATGTAAATATTCTTATATGAGATTTCCTAATTAAACATTAATAATAAGAAATTAGAGGGACTGAAAAGTGATTGATTTATAGGTTTTTGTTTAGTGCAGACATTTTGGAAGGGAAATATATACTAATTATGTTCTCAGCTCAGTCAATAACAGAGGAAAATTACAATTTATGGGCTTTATTCTCTAGAACTATGGGATTTATCCTGTAAAACAGAGATGACTTTTTTTGAAATAAACAGAATAAGGTGAGAAAAGTCTTTTTAATAATTACTCATAAATGTAGTCAATTTAATATTTGTTTAAAATCAAATAAACAAATTTATTTTGAGCAAAGATTATATAGATGCTTTCCAGCAGCTGAGATAAAATTAATAAACTTTTTGACATTTTTTGAGAGTATTAATGCTTCAGTGGATAGAATAAAGTAGTTTTAGTATAAATGCTTATGACATGATTATGCACCACATATGAAGATATAAGGTATGCTGGGATGGGAGTTGGTAAATGTCAATATAAAAAGATGTCTGAAAAATATAAGAAAAATTATGAAAAAAGCAAATTGATCATTCAAGTTAAATTATTGTTTTGAGGCTCTGGTAATACATCACTGAGCTATATGTATATAATTTATGTAACTGGAAGGTTATTTACATTATAGAATAGTATGTAGAATATGAAGCTTATTATCATTCATAAAATAAAGGATAAAATAGGGGGAAAAAGTAGCACTGAAAAAAGTGTTTAGTAGGAGTCAGGAAACTGGAGCACCATCTTGGTGCAGCCTCTGACCTTGAATGTGGTGCTTCGTGTCTTTATTCCTTCTTGAGGGACTTGGACCTGCTATAAGCGCATTTGGCTACAAACAACAGGGAATCAGACATATACTGGCTGTAACCAAATACAGAATTATTTTCCTTACATAACAAGAAGTCTGGAAACAGGTAGCAGAAGGCTAATGCAGTGGCCTAAAAATGTCATTAGTGCCCTTGGCTCGATTCAGCTCTCCTTAGCATGTTGGCTTATAGCCTTACAGTCTGCCCTCCAAGCATTGTGTCACATTTAAGGCAGATAAACCAGCAACAGGTGAAAAGCAATATACTTTCTTATTAGGAGGGCAAAACCTTCCCCAGAATACATGCGTCCCCCAGAAGAAATCTGCTTAGAGCTCAATGGTCAGACCTGGGTCACATGAAGACCTACAGATTAAAGGGAAACAGAAAATAGAATTGTCATGATTGACTTTGACCGAACTTGATCCAACCCCTAGCTCATATAGGTACATTGCTGCCCTTAAAAATGTTCAAGAAAAGGACAATGGATTTTTTGTTTGTTTGTTTGTTTTTGGGACAGAGTCTCAATCTGTTGCCCAGGCCGGAGTGCAGTGGCATGATCTCGGTTCACTGCAGCCTCCACCTCCTGGGTTCAAGCAATTCTCCCACCTCAGCCTCCCAAGTAGCTGGGACTACAGGTGTAGGCCGCCACGCGTGGCTAATTTTTGTATTTTTTTTATAGAGATGGGGTTTCACCATGTTGGCCAGGCTGGTCTCAAACTCCTGACCTCAAGTGACCCACCCACCTCGGCCTCCCAAAGTGTTGGGATTACAGGCGTGAGCCTCTGCACCTGGACGGATATTTAATGGCCAGATAACAGCGTTAACCACAAGGATGCAGCAGACCCTAAAGAGGAAGGAGACTTTACATGAAGAGCACCCAAAGAGAAACTCCAGGTTCAAGGCACAGCCTTCTAGATTGCCAACTCCGCCGACGTTGTCTGACACCAACCTGCAGCTAGTTGTCAAACAGCAAGTCTGATGGTGAGACCAGAAATCTCCCTGTCGAAGGTCTTTTCTCGATCGAAGGGTTCGTGGTCTCACGGGCTTCAAGGAATGAAGCCGTGGACCGCAGCGGCGAGTGTTACAGCTCGATTAGAGAAACGCGCATGTACCCAGAGTGTGCAGCGGCAAGATTTATAAAAGCGAAAGTAAAATGAAAAAGAAAGTAAAGCTTCCATGTGGTGGAAGGGGACCCGGAAGGCCGCTTTTGGCTTGGGTGTCTTTTTTTTTTTTTTTTTTTTTTTTTTTTTTTGAGACAGTCTCGCTCTGTCGCCCAGGCTGGAGTGCAGTGGCACGATCTCTACTCACTGCAAGCTCTGCCTCCCGGGTTCATGCCATTCTCCTGCCTCAGCCTCCCGAGTAGCTGGGACTACAGGTGCCCGCCACCACGCCCGGCTAATTTTTTTGTATTTTTAGTAGAGACAGGGTTTCACTGTGTTAGCCAGGATGGTCTTGATCTTCTGACCTTGTGATCCGCCCACCTCGGCCTCCCAAAGTGCTGGGATTACAGGCGTGAGCCACCGGCCCGGTGTGCCTTGGGTGTCTTATGCTTATATCCCCTTATGACCCCTCCCCTTTTCCTTTTCCTATCCTATAGAATTAGCTTATTTTCTATCCTCTTGTGGGTTGGTGGGCCTCACTGGTTAAAAACATCAGGCTGCAGCTAGAGCTTAAACTCCCTATATGATTGGTTGAAGTTTCAATCCCTTAGCTTGCCGCTATAACTCATTTTGGCTTAGGGGAAAGTCCCCTTAGGGAAGTCCCTATTGTCCCAGGAAGTCCAGCCAACTTAGCCACCTAGTCCCTCAATGGCACAGTCCTGTACAGGACTGCCCTCACTTCAGACACCAGCCACAAGTTCAAGGGTCCCCAGGGCACCCTCACTTCAGACCAGCTGGTCACATTCAAAGTCCCCACAGACTCCTTCAGATTCAGTAATCTGTCAGGATGACTCACACAACTCAAAAAGTTCTATACTTAAAATTACAGTTTTATTATAATACAGGTTGAGTAACCCTTATCCAAAATGCTTGGAACCCAAAGTGTTTTGAATTTCTGAAATTTTTAAGGTTTGGGAATATTTGCATATACGTAATGAGTTATCTTGGGGATGGGACCCAACTTTAAATACAAAATTCATTTATGTTTCATATACATCTTATATACATAGGCTGAAGGTACTTTTATACAATAGTTTTACTAATTTTGTGCATGAAACGTGAGGTCTGGTGTGAAATTTTTCACTTGTGGCATCATATTGGTGCTCAAAATGTTTTGGATTTTGGAGCATTTTGAATTTTGGAGTTTGGGATAAGGTTTGCTTAGTCTGTAAAAGGAGACAAATTAGAACCAGGCAAATAAAGAGGGCACAGCAGAGGAGGGATACAAATGCAGAGCTTCCAGTCACCTTCTCCCTATGGAATCCTGGATGGTATTGCCCTCTCTCAGCTATGATATATGACATAACTCAGAGAATATTGTCAACTGTGAAGCTCACCTTAGTCTTGGTGTTCAGAGATTTTACTGGAGTTTAGTCTACTGCCCATGTGGCTGATCTTTAGTCTCTAGCTCCTCCCAGAGTTTTAGGAAAATACCTCTAGTTGCTAGTTCTTCCAGAGTTTGCAACTGATAAGGTATGTCCTAAGCCCCCATCATATATCACATTGTTAGGCTGTGTGGTGACCGAAGCCCTGAGGCAAACAAAGGTACTCCTATTAGTCAGGACATTGTGGGTACTTAGATCTCACCCCCCACCCCAACTCCCAGCCAAGGACAGAGACCAGAACTTCCTTTGGGTAAGCTAATTCTTCACTACACAAAGGGAATTGAACAGAGGATCTGCTGCAGTTCTCACATACTTCTGGCATCCAAATGTACCACCCACCAATTCATAGTATAAGGTTTCTGCTTAATGTGGAAGAACACCCCCTCTGCACATCCCCCTATTTATATTTTTGGCCTTGAACTTTGTCTCTCACTCATATATTTCCCTGTGGTGCAGTCAAACATCTTTCAACATCACCAACCTAAAGGAGTATGAAGCATGCTTAGCACCAGAAAACAAATGTCATTTCACCAGAGTGTTTCTGCATTGAGCCAAACCTCCTCAAGGTCAGGAAGCACCCTCATCCTTCACTTTCCCTTGACCCACTATGCCCCTGGCCATTTTCCCAGCATTGCATCCTGGATTCTGCTCCTCAGCCTCCATGAGCTGGGCACCCAGGCTGCTGGAAATGATCCCTCACTAGCTCAGAAAGCTGAGCTGTTACCTGGGCTGGCTCAGTCCCACCACAGCAGCACGTCCTCGGTCTTCTCAATACCACACACAGTTGCTTTGCAGCAGACGCTGTACTGCTGCTGTTGCTGCTGCTACTACTAAAACCTTCCACCATGAGAGCAGCCACATGTTTCAACAGATCCATACACAATTTATTTCCCTCTTGGTCAGCCTGCCCGTTCAATGTACATCTGCACATTAAAATATTTGTGACATCCTTAGTGGGAAGCAGAAAGATTTTGGGTTACATTATCTTCTTGGGATACCAACAAAAAAATTACATTTAGTGAAATTGAAACCCCAAGAAGTTAAATGATTTGTTAAAAGTCACAGAGGGCCGGGCGCGGTGGCCCACGCCTGTAATTCCAGCACTTTGGGAGGTCAAGGAGAGCGGATCACGAGGTCAGGAGTTCAAGACCAGCCTGGCCAACATGGCAAAACCCCTCTCTACTAAAAATACAAAAATTAGCTGAGCATGGTGGCAGGTGCCTGTAATCCCAGCTACTCAGGAGGGTGAGGCAAGAGAATCACTTGAAACCTGGGAGGCAGAGGTTCCAGTGAGCTGATACCATGCACTGTACTCCGGCCTGGGCAACAGAGCAAGACTCTGTCTCAAAAAAAAAAAAAAAAAAAAGAAGAGTCACAGAGGCAGTGAGTGGCCAAGCCAGGACAGAAATCAAGGTCTTCTGACATATCTTCCTTGCTTTACTAGGCTAGCTGCCAAAAAGAATTGGATCCAGCAGACCTTGCTATATGAAATTTTCTGCATGCAGAGGCTCATGAAACATCATATCAACAATCTCTAAATGACAATTTCCACTGGCTATGTGTAAACTAGGACCAATATCACCAAGGAATGAGAACTCTCCCTTCATGACTCTGGGATTCTAAACCTTTCTCTAGAACAATGACCTAGTTAATTTATTAATCTAATCTTTTAAATGTTAACCTTTTGAACCTTTCCCATTTCATAAAGTCACTGGGCCCAGCTTCACCAGTCTGCTTTTACTCATGATAGAATTATAGAAGTTCAAATCAGTTAAATAATTTAGCCCTCATTTTACAGATGAGAAAAAGCAAGCAGAGAGAAAGACAGCAGTCTTACCAAATGGGTGGCAGGGCTGGAATGGAAGCCCAGATCTACCTTCTTCCTGCCTCTTTCTTGAATGTGCATGTGCTAGTTTTCTCCTTAGAGAAGGAAATCAAAAAGAGAAATCAAGCTTACCAGTGACTTCCCAACTCCACCTCCATTATCACTCCCACCTAATACCCATGATCTCTTTCTCTCTCATAAATGCCTGAAGACTCTAGTTCCCAGATGCTTGGCATCTCAGTATGGACACATGACTAAGTTCTGATAGTAAAAAGTTAATGGAAATAGCTTGCCATTTCTAGGATGTCTTTTTAAAAGAGAGGGTGTGGGCCCTTCTTCTCCTTTTCCTCCCTCCTGCTGCCTGGAATGCATAGGTGTGGCTGGAGCTTTAGCAGCCATCGTGGACAATGAGGCAACAGTGAGAATGCAAGCATCAAGGTAGAAAGAACCTGGCTTCTGACACTGAGCAGATGCCATACCAGCCCTGGATTGCCTGTCCAGACGTGTGTGTGAGTGTGTGTGTGTGTGTGTGTGTGTGTGTGTGTATGTGTGTGTCTATGTATGAAATAAAATTTTATCTTAAGTCTTAAATTAGATTACTCTTATTTGGGTTTTCTGTCTCATGCAGACAAATCTGTCCAATTAAATTTCAAGAAGTAAAGCAAACCAAAAAGAACTTGAGTTGTCTTTTTTTATTATTTGTCTTTTTTAACTAATATTTAATCTCTTCTGTTCAGGAATATATTTAACCTGGTTCAAGTTCTACCTCTCATTTTGTATTAATCTACAATCCATATATACTCTTACTGGCATATGATTTTATATTAATGTTTATTGATGCCTGAATATGTGTTGACTATCCAAATAGGTTGTAATCTCCTTGAAACCAAAGTCCAATCACTTTTTAGAATCACTTATAGTTTCTAACTCATTACTGACAACACATAAACCTCTCAAAAAATATTTAGAGAATTGTATTAAATGAATTATCAATGTTTGTTAGCTATTTATAACAGTTAAAAATAGCAATGCACGTATGTATGTTGGCGGGGGGCTCACAAACTTAGGCAGGTGTTAGTATCCCTATTTTGCAAAGAAGGAAACAGAATCAAAGAGGCTCATAACCTGCATACTAACCTTCCTTGGATGTCCATCTTGGAAGAGATAGAGCAGAACCAAACCCTGGCCTGCAGAACATATGTCGACTTTCCACAGTGCCCTGCTGCCTCACAATCATAAATAACAGTATGCTCTTCACTCTGTATGGCATACTTCAGACGAGTTCCTGACAACAAGAAGCTTCCCATTAAAGTCATTAATACGGCATTTCCCTCATATTAGCAAATAATCATTGCTTTCCCTTCCTATGTTCAATTCTTACCTACATCTTTATGAACACTGGCAGAAGTGGCTTACCTATACCTGACAAGTGTGCCTCCCCTTCCTTGGTGTGGAGACATCACTGGGTAGGCATAAGCAGCCTCTCTACCTGCCCACAGCAGCAGACTAAATGTCATTCAGTGAGTATTTAATATAGTCATAAATCTGAGTCTAGATGATTTGAAAACTTTACAGAAACTTGCTGCCTTCTCTCAACCTAATGTTAGCATCAAATATTACCATTAAAGTCATGTAATTTTATTTTTATTTTTCCTTTTAATGTTTGTATTGGGTTATTCCAGAGCAAAAGTAGTTTTGAGGAAAAAAAATACTTCGGAAATATTCTTTTATACTCTTACTCTTTGATCAGATAAATAGCTATACCAGACCTACCTTGCAATAGGATATTCTCCATAATATTTTTTAAGGTTTTTAGTTTTCAGGTCTCAATTTCCAATTCTAGTTTTGATTATCTATAGTAGTATTTCATACCATTTTCTACTTTGTTTTAAATGTACTTAGCTTATCACTAACTCTACGTTAACCGTAACAGTTGGTTCTAATCTCAAAAGTCAACATCCTTCTCATCTCTTTGCATTGCTATCCACTGAGGGAGTTGGAGAAAGCAGATGGAATATGCAAGCTAATCTCAGATAATGAGGTAATTTTGTATAGTGCATGCATTTCAAAAAATAATTAAGTACACTTATTATCCTTTAGATGCAAGTCTGAGTACTTGTGAGGGAAGTGGTGGAGTTTAAAGGATACACTCTAGACTTTGTGACCTAAAATGCAATAAGTCTCCAGAAACTTACTTTTACTTTAAGAACCTGTGGCATTTTGACTAAGAGCAAAAAACAAACTCCACATGTTCTCTTCCAGCAGTAAAGTATCTCAAACCCCAAGCCCAAATCCATTCTATGATAACAACTGGGAAGGTAGAAATTGCATGATGATCTCTAAAATTTTGATAAACCAGAGCTACTTTTCACTTTACTGTAGCCTTGATGTCTTTGGATGTAGAGAGGAAACATGGTAGCATTGAATTTCCTGTACCATATAAAAATAGTGGCCTCTAGTGGTTGTCTGACTTCTCACTAGAGCCTAGCAAATGGAAAGTGGTGCATTTTTCAGTGGGCTTTGGTGATGCCTTTTTAAAGACATTCTGTTGAAAGAGGGATGAAAGAGAGGAAGTTGCATCTGAAGAATGAGAATGAAGTGACATACACTTAAAAGATGTTTTATTTAGTTTTTGAATGGTAGAGGCTTGAGCACGTGCATTAAGTAGGGTAGGCCAGCTTCTGTAAAAACCACCAATTTCAGTGACTTAACCCAAACACCGTCTCACTTATGTTACAGTCCAGGGAGGGTTGGCATGGCTGGTCAGCTCTGGAGTTGTTCAGGGACCCCGTTCCTTCAATCTAGTGATCCTGCCATCCCCCACGGCCCACAGACCTCTACTGGATATTCTGCACATGAGAAAAGATGGTGGTGATGTCGGATTGCCCAGGACATTGTATAGGCTAGTCCCACATGCCTCTGGTGTTTGTCCATTTGCCCATCTGCCAGATCTTAGTCATAAAGCACAGCTAACTGTAAGGGAACCTGAAGAATATAGTCTACCTGTGTGCCCAGGAGGAAAGGGGAAAAGTTTTGGTGAACAGCTAGCCAGCCTCTTCCACCAAATTACTGTTACCTGGAAGGTAGTTGTGTTTTCAGTGTAAATAAAAAGGTGAAGATAAATAAGCAAAAATATGTTGTTTGATTGAGCTGGTGGAAGATGAGCTAGGAGGCATTGGTGGAGATGTTGCCTTTGGATAAGGGGGTAGAAAAATTTGTTCTTTGAGACTAGAGAGAAGGCAATGTAAGTGTTGATAGGTACCCAGTAGAGGACTCTGCAACCATGAAATCACATTTTAGTCTTCATGGAACTAATGAGACAGACAACAGATTCAAAATCAAGATCATTGTGTAGACTTGTGCAGTTTGTGTTTCACAGAAATGTCGTGCCAGGAAAGCAGGAAATGATAGAAATCAGCCAACAGCCTGCTCTCTAAGCAGTGCCCTCGGGGGTTGTCTGTATCCTCCTGGATGAGGGGTGCAGTCATCTCCAGTCTGAGGAAATGCAAATTGCCCAGATGAGGTGCCTTTTTCTAATTTAACCACCCAGACGAGGCACATTTTCTTAAATTCACACAGAGGCACCATATGGGGTAGCAGCAGCCCTGCTCAAGAGTAGGGGTGACTTGGACCAGACCGAAGTAGATATGTGAGAAGTGGCACTATGTCTCCCCTGTTGGAGGTCTGGGAGCACACTGGAGGGGGCATTTGAGAAGGGTTCTGGAGTCCTCAGAGCTGGGTCCTTACATTATAACTTTGCTATTTCATTTGAAATAATCCTTTTCAGTAGAGTAAACAGACATGGAGCATTTCTGTCATGTTCTAGGGTTTTAACGACTTATTGTAAGGAGGCTGTTTATTTTTCTTAGAGCTTTATTCTCATTGCTAGTTGCTGCTAAGAGCTTGCAGCTGCATCAGTTTTGCTTGCAATGGAAAATTCTCAGTATTGGAAGCAAGGAGAATTGGGTCTAACTTTCCCCCTAACTAACTGGATGACCTTGAGAGTCTTCACATCTTCGACCCTGCATTGTCTCATCTGTAAAATGCACTCATTTTGTTAATACCAATGATTCCTTGACTATATGATTACCAACCTCTCCTTCAGTTCTGACACTTCCAGATTCTAGGGTAAATAGCAAGCACAGCAGTTTAGGCAAAGATATTTCATATAAAAATTTAGGAGACCCAGACGTGTACAACCTTGCATTTATCTGTTTTTATGAAAATAAACGCAAGTATTTATTTAGAATATAAAAATAAAAATACCATTTAAATTTCCATAAACAACTTAGTTATACTATAATAAAGTAGATAAGTAGTAAAACAAATTTAAAACATTTGATATGTTTTTGTGTATATTTTAGAATACTGCTTGTCACTTAGCAAATGCAGTGTAGGTATATGTTATTGTTATTGTTACTATTATTAACACTTTTTTCTTACTGGGACCAATAATATAGAGTAAATAGTCTAACTGTAATCAAAAAAATTCTTCCAAACGGAAGTTGCCTTTCAGTGAGTTTGGAATAAGTTTCTAGATTCCTTCATTCTGATGTGGCTTTGACTTTCTCCAAGGATACTAGTGAGCTTTTCCTGAAATACTTTTTCCTTTGGGAAAACCAGTGTGCATGACTACAAATATTAAAATGGCTTGGTTTCCAAACAAGATATTCTCTTTGTGTTTTTAATCATACAGTGCATCCCATCTTGCTGTTTTTTGAAATATGTTTCTGGTCCTTAAATTTCTCCATTGGTCACCTTTATCATCTTATTTCTGATTCCTTAATAGGAGTTTTAATCAAGTCTTCAGTACTTGAATGTGTTGGTACACATCTTCGGGGGGTACTATTTTATCCCTGATTATATAATCAAAATGTCATCAAATATTTATTGTATCATCATCATTAAAATATTTAATTCCAATCCAGAGAATAATTTTTAAGCTACCTGAGCTTTAGATAAGAATGTCAGATTTTTAAAAAGGCTTCAAGGATAACCAAATCTAAAACACTTAGATCTTAGCATAAAAGCTGTTCATATCAGAAAAGCAAATGAGAGGAGTATTCTGAATCAGCATCGTGGTAGGCTTAAACATGAATAAATAATAACAATGTTTATCTGACATAGCCAAATTGACTCTGATGTAATAAAACTTGGGTTAATAAAATGTTAGGAGCAAGCTAAGAGATTCAACTGTAAGAAGAACCCCTTCTTTTCACATGAGGAAATTGAGACCGAGAAAACCTAAGTGGCTACCCAAAGACAGCACAGCTGTGCAGTGGCAGATCTCGATTTATGGGACCCCTGGCTACTGGTCAGGATTTCTTTGTATTTTACCTCCAAGAAAACATGCAGAATCCCATGGCTGCATCCCAGTCTCAGTTCCACCTAAAGGTATGCCCTAGGTATTATACAATCCAAGACCACTTCTGAGCCCTCCATTTCATCTATAAAATGGTCAGCTGGACCATATAGGGGCTTAGATCTTTTTTAGACCTAAATTGCTGTGTTTTCCCACCATGGTTCATTTTTCTTAGTGATAGAAACAAAATCTTTTTCTTGGGCACAATTTAAACTTGTAATTTTGGAACTACAGCTATGGATATGAAGCTCTTAATCATCAAGGCATTTTTCCTAAACACTTAAGCTGATGCAATTTTCAGAAATTCAGAAAACAAATTTTGCAATCACTTTTCCCAGTGATTAAAAAGAAGGTAAAAGGACAGAAATGAGAGGCATAATTATATGGTACATTTAGTCAACAACTGTACAGGCAAAATGTCAAAAAAATAAGGCACCCATCAAGCATTTCAACCGTACCTGACTAACCATGTTATGGATTTGCCTCCTGGGGATCTGCGTTTATTAGGAGAATAACAGAATAACCTAGTTAAGAGCATGACCGCTGGTCACTGGCCTAGATTCCAATTCTGGCTCTTCCACCTGCAAACTGTATGACTTTGAACAAGCAATTTCCCTAAACTTCAGTTTTCTCATATTGAAAATGGGAATAAGAGCTGTACTTAACTTATGGTGTTTAAGAGAAGATACAGTGATAATGTATTGATACATTTATCATCATGCTTAACATGTAGTAAGCACTTAAGATATGTCCTTTCTGAATAGTTAGTTGCTATGCTGTACAAGTTGTTAAATTTGTACATCTCCTTCTATCTATAAGGAAGAGTGATTGATAAGGAAGACATCACTAAGCCAAGTCACCTCACTCAGTAAGTAATGGTGGATGAACCAGCGGTAGGATGACCAGGTAACAGCCGAAGGTAACACTAAGAATTGTTTCAAAACCAGCATTATTTTAGAAACCAATGTTATGCAGATAATCTGCCTGTTACCTTCTTTCCTAATAGACATACTCTTAGTTTTCTTCTTTTTCCTCCCCTTCTATTGCAGAGCTGGTGTGAAAAATACTAAGTGTATGCAATAAGAGTAAAGACTATTTTAGCCATTTAGATATCACATCTCATTTTCATTGCTATTCCATAAAACTCATAGCACATCTTCCACAAAAGATTTTTTGCCTATTTGCCTGAAGATTATTTTAAGCCTATCCAAAATTTAAGACTAAATTGCTAGTCCAATTAAGCAAAATTAACGTTTGGATTACTTGTAAGGTACCTACTAACTTTAGTAGACAAAGCTAATTTTTTGTGTCCTTTCATATTATTTATTTAGATGTCTTGCCATTTGATCACCATAGAAAAGTTCATGAAACTCATCATAAAACATGTTAATTAATCATATACATGATATCAGGCAGTGAAATATAAGGTAAGAAGGATGGCTCTGTCTTCTGGGTCTTCAAACATAAAATAGATGACACAGAAATGACGTATGTGCTGAGTGATATACAAATCCAAATGTGTGTAATAGACTTATATTTCAGCTAACTGAACTATATGCCATGGGAATGCATAGGACTGCTATGTATATGCTTCACTTTTCAAAGTCACAGTTTCTATCCAATCTATTGGGAAAATCTCAGGGAAACAATAGAAGATAGAGAAGCATAGGAATAGACAGTTATTGAATGCATTGCACTCTAACTTTGTGCATGGCATCATGCTTTAGGAATTTTGCATACATTATCATACACATAAATCTCACCATAGTCTCACATAGTGAGTGTCCTTATCTCTGAGTTCAGAAGTAACTTGCCCTCAGGTCACACGACTCCTCATAAGCTGAGATAGAACTGCAAAGTCCCTGTTCTTTCCACTATCCCGTGTTACTAGGATAAAGTAAAATTCAATCTTTTATGGGTATTTTCTTCTTACCAGCATATAGCTCAACTACTTGTCACTGAATTACCACATCTGGAGCTATCTTTTTGCTTACATTTTACTTTTATACACTGTTATAAAAGCTGCTTTCCAGGAAGAAACACAGGCTTTTATTCAGACATAAAAATAGGCTAATGGCAATGACAGGGATGACTGTGAAGGGGAAAGAAAAGCAAGAGTGATATTGCCAAATCTATGTTAGGAGTTACAGTCTTCATTAGAAAAGAACTTGAGCATGTCACATTGTGAAATAGCATGTGATAGAAAATACAGTGTGGTACCATGAAGGGTTCTACTTACCATATGGCGTGTTAATATATCCTATTTCCTTGGGGAATGCACTAAGGATGAAAGGAGAATGGAATCCTTCAAAAAGTGTATTGAATAATCATCTGAGTCTGAATGGATTTTGATTATACCAACATGCACAATGACTCAGTGAGGATAATGAAACACCAGAGGCTCTGAATACATGCCTCACCATTCTGTAGCTATTGACTTTAGCCGAATATGAATTATGCCAATGGGATGGAATCTCCAAGGATTTTTCTATGGATCCCAGGGACAACTTGGAAGGAACAAATGCCAAATATTACTGACTTGTGAATTGCTCTTTTTTACAATTATAGCACAATAAAGCATCACATTTTCAATGGTAATCAGAAGGACAGGTAATGAAAGGAAAGATCACTCTATATGGAAGGATTCAACAACATGATTAAGAATATATTAAATATTGTAATTATGGAGGCTTCACATACTCAGAGGTTGAATTAAAAAAATACTGCTGTAACTATGATGCTTAAAACTGAGCGCAAATGAGGCATTGGAATAGAAGCAGGTAAACAGTTTCGAGGACTAAAGCACTTTACAATACTTTAATGTAGAAAATCTCTACTTATCTATTTATCTATAATGAACAATAATGAGAATGTACAAATTTTTAGGAAACAATTATTGGCAAGCATGCAAGCTAAAGTATTAAAAATGGACTATAAGGACACCATGGGGAGATTAAGTAACATGAGGAAGCCTTTCTCATGTTAAAAAAATTCTGCTGTTTTTAAAACTTGTCTTTTTAATTTCAATAATGAAGTTTTATTTTGATCAAAATATTTAAACTCAAGAACCTCACTACTTTATTAAAATCTAGAGCTAAGACAATGAAGTAATATTTACCAAAGAGTTGTAGGAAACAACGCAGTGAGTAGACTATTCATCCCTCATTTTCATTGGTCAAGGATGCCCTTAATTGGAAAATGTTCGTTCACTGCAACTTCATAGAGGAATGAACATTCTAGGTATGTATGCTACACTATTCTCATTTAAGAAAAATTGTCTTCTTGTGGAAAAACTGATTACTTCTTACTGTGTGCCATCTTCCTGCAATGGAATATTTATTTCTCACAATAAACCTAGGAGGTAGGTAATGTTATGTCTGTTCTACAGAAGAAACTGAGGAAAGTGAAAAGACTGGAGAAATAAGGAATTGTGCCCTTGGGTCCAGCCAAAGTTCATTTATGGATCTCTGTGATTCTAAAAACTTGTGTCTTAAAACTAAACCATTTGGCTGCATATTATAAATCACTCTACATTGTAGAAAAATAATATACTGCCTTTTACAGAACTACTGACTATAAAAGCTGGTTATCTACATAAGTACATTAGTCTTTTTTTTTTTAATTCTGTTTATACACCTCAAAGTAAATTATTAAGTGACTTGGAGATGGGTTGTGTGATCAAAGACATTTTCATTTAAATATCTTATATTGTATACTTTTATGAATTATAAACACTGACCAACAAAGTGTTCTTTGTTGCCAAGAATGTCACCTTTTCTAATAAAAAGTTATGGATATTTTTACCTTCTCAACTAAAACCTTATCATTTTGATGCAAAGTAATAAAATACTTGGCTACAGAATGGAAATTACCTGATTGAAATTTTAGGTTTGTTATATATTATTTAATATCTAAAGTGTTTGGCTCTCAAAGTTTCAGTAGAACTTAGAAACATGATATCTTGGATTTCAAGAACAGTATTTGGCAGGACACAGGGCAACCCTCGTTCTTTCTTTCTGCTCTTTGGAGGTCAGAATGTAAGAGGAGAGAACCCTGTGTGCATTCCAGCCCCAGCTCTGCCCTGGACTGTCAAAGTGGTCATGGACTGCACCCCATCCCACAATCCTCAAATGTATAATATGTTTTTCTTGGTAGCTGGTATGAGAGACCAAAGGCATATGTCAGTTTCTTTAACTCACCCAAAACAAATGAACATTATGTACTTTTCTGTTCCACGTAAACAGACATCATTGGCTTGACTGGAGACCAAGAAGGGTACTTAGCGAAATTGCGTCCTGGGAAAGGAAGAATCCAATCTGTTGGCCAGCATCACTTATATAGTAGTTTTATATTCAGTCTAAACCTTTGCAAACTGTGAGATTTCATCTACATTGCCCATTCAAGGAAAAGGGAGCAAAAGCCCAGCCCACAATGCATTTAATCACTTTTCTTATGTTTATTGTTTCCTGCTTCAGAATGCTCAGCCTTGCTTCTGGACTGGTGGTCATTCACTGAGCCAGGGATAAAAGGAGTAATACTGAGTTCTGGTTAAAACTGAGGTGCTCTCTAATTTTTTACATTGTTTTTGTCTTATCTCTGAAGGAGAATGAAGACAGTGTGTGACAACCTGAAAAAGACAAGTCTTTGGTTATCAGAAAAACTACCTTTAAAGCTAATTTTGAAAACAGATCATTTAGATAAAATAACATGGAGAAGATGAAAAGAAAAATCAAGTTTACAACAGATTCAGAGAACCTTGAAGTTGATTATGATTTTAAGAATAACAGAGGAGCCAAGATGGCCGAATAGGAACAGCTCCGGTCTACAGCTCGCAGCATGAGCGACGCAGAAGATGGGTGATTTCTGCATTTCCGTCTGAGGTACCAGGTTCATCTCACTAGGGAGTGCCAGAGAGTGGGCTCAGGACAGTGAGTGCAGCACACCATGCGCCAGCTGAAGCAGGGCGAGGCATTGACTCACTCCAGAAGCAGAAGGGGTCAGGGAGTTCCCTTTCCTGGTCAAGGAAAGGGGTGACAGATGGCACCTGGAAAATTGGATCACTCCCACCTGAATACTGCGCTTTTCCGACGGGCTTAGGAAATGGCGCACCAGGAGATTATATCCTGCACCTGGCTCGGAGGTTCCTACGCCCATGGAGTCTCGCTGATTGCTAGCACAGCAGTCTGAGATCAAACTGCAAGGTGGCAGCGAGGCTGGGGGAGGGGCGCCCACCATTGCCCAGGCTTGCTTAGGTAAACAAAGCAGCCAGGAAGTTCGAACTGGGTGGAGCTGACCACAGCTCAAGGAGGCCTGCCTGCCTCTGTAGGCTCCACCTCTGGGGGCAGGGCACAGACAAACAAAAAGACAGCAGTAACCTCTGCAGACTTAAATGTCCCTGTCTGACAGCTTTGAAGAGAGCAGTGGTTCTCCCAGCACGCAGCTGGAGATCTGAGAACGGGCAGACTGCCTCCTCAAGTGGGTCCCTGACCCATGTCCCCTGAGCAGCCTAACTGGGAGGCACCCCCCAGCAGGGGCAGACTGACACCTCACACGGCCGGGTACTCCTCTGAGACAAAACTTCCAGAGGAACGATCAGACAGCAGGATTTGCGGTTCATGAAAATCCACTGTTCTGCAGACACCGCTGCTGATACCCAGGCAAACATGGTCTGGAGTGGACCTCTAGCAAACTCCAACAGACCTGCAGCTGAGGGTCCTGTCTGTTAGAAGGAAAACTAACAAACAGGACATCCACACCAAAAACCCATCTGTACATCACCATCATCAAAGACCAAAAGTAGATAAAACCACAAAGATGGGGAAAAAACAGAGCAGAAAAACTGGAAACTCTAAAAAGCAGAGCGCCTCTCCTCCTCCAAAGGAACGCAATTCCTCACCAGCAACGAAACGAAGCTGGACGGAGGATGACTTTGACGAGTTGAGAGAAGAAGGCTTCAGACGATCGAACTACTCCAAGCTACAGGAGGAAATTCAAACCAAAGCAAAGAAGTTGAAAACTTTGAAAAAAATTTAGACGAATGTATAGCTGGAATAACCAATACAGAGAAGTGCTTAAAGGAGCTGATGGAGCTGAAAGCCAAGGCTCGAGAACTACGTGAAGAATGCAGAAGCCTCAGGACCCAGTGCGATCAACTGGAAGAAAGGGTATCAGTGATGGAAGACGAAATGAATGAAATGAAGCGAGAAGGGAAGTTGAGAGAAAAAAGAATAAAAAGAAATGAACAAAGCCTCCAAGAAATATGGGACTATGTGAAAAGACCAAATCTACGTCTGATTGGTGTACCTCAAAGTGACGGGGAGAATGGAACCAAGTTGGAAAACACTCTGCAGGATGTTATCCAGGAGAACTTCCCCAATCTAGCAAGGCAGGCCAACGTTCAGATTCAGGAAATACAGAGAATGCCACAAAGATACTCCTCGAGAAGAGCAACTCCAAGACACATAATAGTCAGATTCACCAAAGTTGAAATGAAGGAAAAAATGTTAAGGGCAGCCAGAGAGAAAGGTCAGGTTACCCACAAAGGGAAGCCCATCAGACTAACAGCAGATCTCTCAGCAGAAACTCTACAAGCCAGAAGAGAGTGGGGGCCAATATTCAACATTCTTGAAGAAAAGAATTTTCAACCCAGAATTTCATATCCAGCCAAACTAAGCTTCATAAGTGAAGGAGAAATAAAATACTTTACAGACAAACAAATGCTGACAGATTTTGTCACCACCAGGCCTGCCCTCAAAGAGCTCCTAAAGGAAGCACTAAACATGGAAAGGCACAACTGGTACCAGCAGCTGCAAAATCATGCCAAAATATAAAGACCATCGAGACTAGGAAGAAACTGCATCAACTAACAAGCAAAATAACCAGCTAACATCATAATGACAGGATCAGATTCACACATAACAATATTAACTTTAAATGTAAATGGACTAAATGCTCCAATTAAAAGACACAGACTGGCAAATTGAATAAAGAGTCAAGACCCATCAGCATGCTGTATTCAGGAAACGCATCTCATGTGCAGAGACACACATAGGCTCAAAATAAAAGGATGGAGGAAGATCTACCAAGCAAATGGAAAACAAAAAAAGGCAGGGGTTGCAATCCTAGTCTCTGATAAAACAGACTTTAAACCAACAAAGATCAAAAGAGACAAAGAAGGCCATTACATAATGGTAAAGGAATCAATTCAACAAGAAGAGCTAACTGTCCTAAATATATATGCACCCAATACAGGGGCACCCAGATCCATAAAGCAAGTCCTGGGTGACCTACAAAGAGACTTAGACTCCCACACAATAATAATGGGAGACTTTAACACCCCACTGTCAACATTAGACAGATCAACGAGACAGAAAGTCAACAAGGATACCCAGGAATTGAACTCAGCTCTGCACCAAGCGGACCTAATAGACATCTACAGAACTCTCCACCCCAAATCAACAGAATATACATTTTTTTCAGTACCACACCACACCTATTCCAAAATTGACCACATAGTTGGAAGTAAAGCTCTCCTCAGCAAATGTAAAAGAACAGAAATTATAACAAACTCTCTCAGACCACAGTGCTATCAAACTAGAGCTCAGGATTAAGAAACTCACTCAAAACCACTCAACTACATGGAAACTGAACAACCTGCTCCTGAATGACTATTGGGTACATAACAAAATGAAGGCAGACATAAAGATGTTCTTTATGTACCAACAAGAACAAAGACACAACATACCAGAATCTCTGGGACACAGTCAGAGCAGTGTGTAGACGGAAATTTATAGGACTAAATGCCCACAAGAGAAAGCAGGAAAGATCCAAAATTGACACCCTAACATCACAATTAAAAGAGCTAGAAAAGCAAGAGCAAACACATTCAAAAGCTAGCAGAAGGCAAGAAATAACTAAAATCAGAGCAGAACTGAAGGAAATAGAGACACAAAAAACCCTTCAAAAAATTAATGAATCCAGGAGCTGGTTTTTTGAAAGGATCAACAAAATTGATAGACCGCTAGCAAGACTAATGAAGAAAAAAAGAGAGAAGAATCAAATAGACACAATAAAAAATGATAAAGGGGATATCACCACCGATCCCACAGAAATAAAAACTACCATCAGAGAATACTACAAACACCTCTACGCAAATAAAGTAGAAAATCTAGAAGAAATGGATAAATTCCTTGACACATACACTCTCCCAAGACTAAACCAAGAAGAAGTTGAATCTCTGAATAGACCAATAACAGGATCTGAAATTGTGGCAATAATCAACAGCTTACCAACCAAGAAGAGTCCAGGACCAGATGGATTCACAGCCAAATTCTACCAGAGGTACAAGGAGGAACTGGTACCATTCCTTCTGAAACTATTCCAGTCAGTAGAAAAAGAGGGAATCCTCCCTAACTCATTTTATGAGGCCAGCATCATCCTGATACCAAAGCCGGCCAGAAACACAACCAAAAAAGAGAATTTTAGACCAATATCCTTGATGAACACTGATGCAAAAATCCTCAATAAAATACTGGCAAACCAATTCCAGCAGCACGTCAAAAAGCTTATCCACCATGATCAAGTGGGCTTCATCCCTGGGATGCAAGGCTGGTTCAATATATGCAAATCAATAAATGTAATCCAACATATAAACAGAACCAAAGGCAAAAACCACATGATTATCTCAATAGATGCAGAAAAGGCCTTTGACAAAATTCAACAACCCTTCATGCTAAAAACTCTCAATACATTAGGTATTGATGGGACATATCTCAAAATAATAAGAGCTATCTATGACAAACCCACAGCCAATATCATACTGAATTGGCAAAAACTGGAAGCATTCCCTTTGAAAACTGGCACAAGACAGGGTTGCCCTCTCTCACCACTCCTATTCAACATAGTGTTGGAAGTTCTGGCCAGGGCAATTAGGCAGGAGAAGGAAATAAAGGGTATTCAATTAGGAAAAGAGGAAGTCAAATTGTCCCTGTTTGCAGATGACATGATTGTATATCTAGAAAACCCCATTGTGTCAGCCCAAAATCTCCTTAAGCTGATAAGCAACTTCAGCAAAGTCTCAGGATACAAAATCAATGTACAAAAATCACAAGCATTCTTTTTTTTTTTTTTTTTAATTGATCATTCTTGGGTGTTTCTCGCAGAGGGGGATTTGGCAGGGTCACAGGACAATTAGTGGAGGGAAGGTCAGCAGATAAACAAGTGAACAAAGGTCTCTGGTTTTCCTAGGCAGAGGACCCTGCGGCCTTCCGCAGTGTTTGTGTCCCTGGGTACTTGAGATTAGGGAGTGGTGATGACTCTTAAGGAGCATGCTGCCTTCAAGCATCTGTTTAACAAAGCACATCTTGCACCGCCCTTAATCCATTCAACCCTGAGTGGACACAGCACATGTTTCAGAGAGCACAGGGTTGGGGGCAAGGTCACCGATCAACAGGATCCCAAGGCAGAAGAACCTCTCTCAGTACAGAACAAAATGAAAAGTCTCCCATGTCCACCCCTTTCCACACAGACACGGCAACCATCCGATTTCTCAATCTTCTCCCCACCTTTCCCCCCCTTCCATTCCACAAAACCGCCATTGTCATCATGGCCCGGTCTCAGTGAGCCGCTGGGCACACCTCCCAGACAGGGTGGTGGCCGGGCAGAGGGGCTCCTCACCTCCCAGCAGGTGCAGCCGGGCAGAGGCGCCCCCCACCTCCCAGACGGGGCGGCTGGCCGGGCAGAGGGGCTCCTCACTTCCCAGTAGGGGCGGCCGGGCAGAGGCGCCCCTCACTTCCCGGAAGGGGCGGCTGGCCGGGCGGGGGGCTGACTCCCCCACCTCCCTCCCTCCCGGACGGGGCGGCTGGCCGGGCGGGGGGCTGACCCCTCCACCTCCCTCCCGGACAGGGGCGGCTGGCCAGGCAGAGGAGCTCCTCACTTCCCAGTAGGGGCGGCCGGGCAGAGGCGCCCCTCACCTCCCGGACGGGGCGGCTGGCGGCGGGGGGCTGACCCCCCCCACCTCCCTCCCGGATGGGGCGGGCTGGCCGGGCAGAGGGGCTCCCCACTTCCCAGCAGGGGCGGCTGGGCAGAGGCCCCTCACCTCGGGACGGGGCGGCTGGCCGGGGCGGCTGACCCCCCCACCTCCCCCGGAGGGAGCGGCTGGCCGGGCAGAGAGGCTCCCCACCTCCCAGCAGCGGCGGCCGGGCAGAGGCGCCCCTCACCTCCCGGACGGGGCGGCTGGACTCGGGGCTGACCCCCCCACCTCCCCCCCGGAGGGAGCGGCTGGCCGGGCAGAGAGGCTCCCCACCTCCCAGCAGGGGCGGCCGGGCAGAGGCGCCCCTCATCTGCCGGACGGGGCGGCCGGCCGGGCGGGGCCGATCCCCCCACCTCCCTCCCAGACGGGGCGGCTGGCCAGGCGGGGCCGACCCCCCCACCTCCCTTCCGGACGGGGCAGCCGGCCGGACGGGGGGCCGACCCTCCCACCTCCCTCCCGGACGAGGTGGCTGCTGGGAGGAGACGCTCCTCACTTCCCAGACGGGGCGGCTGCCGGGCGGAGGGGCCCCTCACCTCTCAGACGGGGCGGCTGCCTGGCGGAGGGGCTCCTCACTTCTCAGACGGGGCGGTTGCCAGGCAGAGGGTCTCCTCACTTCTCAGACGGGGCGGCCGGGCAGAGACGCTCCTCACATCCCGGACGGGGCGGCAGGGCAGAGGCGCTCCCCACATCTCAGACGATGGGCGGCCGGGCAGAGACGCTCCCCCCCTCCCAGATGTGATGGCGGCCGGGAAGAGGCGCTCCCCACCTCCTAGATGGGACGGCGGCCGGGCAGAGACGCTCCCCACTCTCCAGACTGGGCAGCCAGGCAGAGGGGCTCCCCACATCCCAGACGATGGGCGGCCAGGCGGAGACGCTCCCCACCTCCCAGACGGGGTGGCGGCCGGGCAGAGGCTGCAATCTCGGCACCCTGGGAGGCCAAGGCAGGACGCCGGGAGGTGGAGGCCGCAGCGAGCCGAGACCACGCCACTGCACTCCAGCCTGGGCACCACCGAGCACCGAGTGAACGAGACTCCGTCTGCAATCCCGGCACCTCGGGAGGCCGAGGCCGGCGGATCACTCGTGGCTAGGAGCTGGAGACCAGCCCGGCCAACACAGCGAATCCAAATCACAAGCATTCTTATACACCAATAACAGACAGACAGCCAAATCATGAGTGAACTCCCATTCACAATTGCTTCAAAGAGAATAAAATACCTAGGAATCCCACTTACAAGGGATGTGAAGGACCTCTTGAAGGAGAACTACAGACCACTGCTCAATGAAATAAAAGAGGATACAAACAAATGGAAGAACATTCCATGCTCATGGGTAGGAAGAATCAATATCATGAAAATGGCCATACTGCCCAAGGTAATTTGTAGATTCCATGCCATCCCTATCAAGCTACCAATGACTTTCTTCACATAATTGGAAAAAACTACTTTAAATTTCATATGGAACCAAAAAAGAGCCCGCATTGCCAAGTCAATCCTAAGCCAAAAGAGCAAAGCTGGAGGCATCACGCTACCTGACTTCAAACCATACTACAAGGCTACAGTAACCAAAACAGCATGGTACTGGTACCAAAACAGAGATATAGATCAATGGAACAGAACAGAGCCCTCAGAAATAATGCTGCATATCTACAACTATCTGATCTTTGACAAACCTGAGAAAAAGAAGCAATGGGGAAAGGATTCCCTATTTAATAAATGGTGCTGGGACAACTGGCTAGCCATATGTAGAAAGCTGAAACTGGATCCCTTCCTTACACCTTATGCAAAAATCAATTCAAGATGGATTAAAGACTTAAACGTCAGACCTAAAACCACAAAAACCCTAGAAGAAAACCTAAGCATTAGCATTCAGGACATAGGCAAGGGCAAGAACTTCATGTCTAAAACACCAAAAGCAGTGGCAACAAAAGCCAAAATTGACAAATGGGATGTAATTAAACTAAGGAGATTCTGCACAGCAAAAGAAACTACCATCAGAGTGAACAGGCAACCTACAAAATGGGAGACAATTTTCGCAACCTACTCATCTGACAAAGGGCTAATATCCAGAATCTACAATGAACTCAAACAAATTTACAAGAAAAAAACAACCCCATCAAAAAGTGGGCAAGGATATGAAGACACTTCTCACAAGAAGACATTTATGCAGCCAAAAGGCACATGAAAAAATGCTCACCATCACTGGCCATCAGAGAAATGCAAATCAAAACCACAATGAGATACCATCTCACACCAGTTAGAATGGCATTCATTAAAAAGTCAGGAAACAACAGGTGCTGGAGAGGATGTGGAGAAATAGGAACACTTTTACACTGTTGGTGGGACTGTAAACTAGTTCAACCATTGTGGAAGTCAGTGTGGCGATTCCTCAGGGATGTAGAACTAGAAATACCATTTGACCCAGCCATCCCATGACTGGGTATATACCCAAAGGACTATAAATCATGCTGCTATAAAGACACATGCATACATATGTTTATTGCGGCACTATTCACAATAGCAAAGACTTGGAACAAACCCAAATGTTCAACAATGATAGACTGGATTAAGAAAATGTGGTACATATACACCATGGAATACTATGCAGCCATAAAAAATGATGAGTTCATGTCCTTTGTAGGAACATGGATGAAATTGAAAATCATCATTCTCAATAAACTATCGCAAGGAGAAAAAACCAAACACCGCATGTTCTCACTCATAGATGGGACTTGAACAATGAGAACACATGGACACAGGAAGGGGAACATCACACTCTGGGGACTGTTTTGGGGTGGGGGGAGAGGGGAGGGATAGCATTAGGAGATATACCTAATGCTAAATGACGAGTTAATGGGTGCAGCACACCATCATGACACATGTATACATATGTAACTAACCTGCACATTGTGCACATGTACCCTAAAACTTAAAGTATAATAATAATAATAATAAAAGAATAAAAAGAAAAATTAGCTCAAAATAAACTTTAAAAAAAAAGACAAAATAAAAAAGAATAACGTAGTCCAGCCTCCTTATTTGAATGACGTGAGGTTTAGTGAAGTTATGGAGTTTGCTAATTGAGCCATATGAGTAGTTAATACCAATGTTGTAACTAGCACCCAGGTCATCCAGGCTGAAAGCATGCTTGAGCATGTATAGAATGGGTCTAAAAGAGCTAATGAAGTGCAAAAGGGTGGTAATTTCAATGCTGTCCTGAGTCACTCAGTCCTTTAAAAGGCAGTGTCAGTGACTGTGCCCTCTGGGGGTAGGAGGGTTATTGAGTTTAAATACAATAAAATTGGTCTCTCCCCTTAACATGTTCTTCAACAGCAATTTTTGAATCTTAGATCGTGAACCATCATCTGAATCCCCCGGGTATTTATTAAGGGTAGAGATTCCAATACCTCTTGCAATCTTACTGCATCAGAATCTCTGGAAAATAGCACAGAGAATTACATTTTTAACAAGCTCTTTGGTAATTCATATAGACTTAGGTTTGAGAAAGCACTTGTGAAGAAGTTGAATTTTAAAGTGGAATGATGATCCCCTTCCTGTATAGTATATGAATCTTCTCTCCTTCTCTTTTTCTTGAAGCTGAGGAGAGTGTGGCTGTATAAAATTGGTATTAGAACAGTGACTGGTGATTAGAAAACTGTATCTTAAAACTCAAAAAAATAAGAAATAGAATTAATCTGCAAGAATGTAGATGACAATACCTGATTATATTTCAGATAGTGTTCAAATGAATGTAATCCTTTGATTTAAATATAGGAGTTGTCTTTTATTATGCATGGAATTTTTATTTAGTTTTGATAATCCAAGGCCATCTCAAGGATGTATTAAGCTCTCTGTACCATTGGAAAAAAGGGATCATTCTCAAAGTTTTGTATTTTAAATAAAGTGAAATGATAGTGACAGTGATGTTTAAATTGGCTTTTGAAAAAATATCTACTGTCACTATGCCTGTTTTGGTTGTTTTATTGTGGTGTTCTTTGTTTTTAATTAACAACTTTACTTTTTTAGAGCAGTTTTATTTTCACACCAAAATTGAAAGGAAGGTACAGAGATTTGCCATGTACTTCCATCCCCCATACATGCCAGCCTTCCCCGTTATCAACATCCCCCACCAGAATGGCACAATTGTTACAACTGATGAATCTACACTGAAACAACATTATCCCCCGAAGTCCATAGTTTACATTAGGATTCACTCTTGGTGTTGTACATCCCATGGGTTTAGACACATGTACAATGACGTATATTCACCATTATAGTATCATGCAGAATAGTTTCACTGCCCTAAATATCCTTTGTGCCCCACCTATTCATCCTCACTCCCCCTTAGCCCCAAGCATTTATCTTTTTACTGTCTCCATAGTTTTGCCTTTTCCAGAATGTCATATAATTGGAATCATACAGTATGTAGCATTTTTCAGATCAACTGATTTTACTTAGTAATATGCGTTTAAGTTTCCTCCGTGTCTTTTCATGGCTCAATAGTTCATTTCTTTGTAGCACTGAATAATAGTCCATTATCTGGTTGTACCACAGTTTATTCATTCACCTACTGAAGGACATCTTGGTTGTTTCCAAGTTTTGGCAATTATGAGTAAAACTGCTATAAGGTCTTTGTGTGGATATTAGTTTTCAACTTTTTTGAGTAATTACCAATGAGCATAATTGCTCGTAGATACCTAGGAGCTCCATTGTTTGTATGGTAAGTTATGTTTAGTTTGGTAAGGACCTGCCAAACTGTCTTCCAAAGTACCTATACCATTCTGCATTCCCAGTAGCAATGAATGAGAGTTCTTATTGCTCCATATCCTCATCAGCATTTGATGTTGTCAGTGTTCTAGATTTTGGTCATTCTAATAGATAGGTAGTGGTCTCTCACTGGTTAGTATGCCTTCCCTGATGACACATGATGTGGAGCATCTTTTCATATGCTTAATTGCTCTTGAATGTCTTCTTTAGTGAGTTACCTGTTAAGGACTTTGACCCATTTTTTAATTGGGTTGTTTGTTTTCTTATTGTTTAGTTTTTTAATATATATTTTAGATAACAATATTTTATCAGATGCATCTTCTGCAAATATTTTCTCCCAGTCTGTGACTTGTCTTCTCATTCTCTTGACATTGTATTTCAGGGAAGTTTTAAATTTTCATGAAGTCCAGCTTATCAGTATTTCTTTCATGAATCATGTCTTTGATTTTTTTTTTATCTAAAGAGTCATTGCCATACCCAAGATCATCAAGATTTTCTTTCTCCTGTGTTATTTTTGAGGATTTTTATAGTTTTATGTTTTAGATCTATAATCCATCTTAATTTTGGGGAAAGGTACCATAAGGTATGTGTTTAGATTCATTGTTTTGCACGTGGATGTGCAGTTGTTCTAGCACCATTTGTTGAAAAGACCATCATTGTTCCATTTGTATTTTCATCGTTCCTTTTTCAAAGATCCATTGACCATATTTATGTGGGCTTTTTCTGGGTTCTTTATTCTGTTCCACTGATCTATTTGTCTTTGCTTTTACTAATACCACATTATCTTGATTACTGTAGCTTTACAGTAAGTCTTAAAGTCAGATAATGTCAGTTCTCCAACTTTGTTCTTCTTCAGTATTATATTTGTTATTCTGGATTTTTTGCCTCCCCATATAAATAGTAAAATCAGTTTGTCTACAGCCATAAAATAAGTTGCTAGGGTTTTGATTGAGTCTGTATTGAATCAATACATCAACATCTTCCTATCTTCCTGGTTATTTACATGAAATATCTCTCCATTTATTCCTTCTCCTTAGATATTTTTATTAGAGATTTTTAGATTTCCTCATATGGATCTTATACAATTTTTTAAATATTTGTACCCAAGTATTTCATTTTTGGTGGTGCTAATTTAACTGGTATTGTGTTTTAATTCTAAATTCCACTTGTGCCTTGCTAGTATATGGTAAAGCAATTGACTTTTATACAATTGCTTATCAGTTCTGGAAGTTTTTTGTTGATTCTTTTGAATTTTCTAGACAATCACGTCATTTGCAAACAATGAGCATTTTACTTCTTCCTTCCCAATCTGTATACTTTTTCTTTCCCTTTCTTGTCCTATTGTATCAGCTAGAACTTCCTGCACAGTCTTGAAAAGGAGTGATGAGAGGGGACATCCTTGCCTTGTTTCTGATCTTAGTAGGAAAGCTTCAAGTTTCTGACCACTAAGTGTAATGGTAGCTGTAAGGTTTATGTAGATATTCTTCTTAAGTTGAGGAAGTTCTCATCTATTACTAGTTTACTGAGAGTTTTTATCATGAATGGGTGTTGAATTATGTCAAATGATTATATTGATGTGTATTATGTCTATTAATATGATCATGTGATTTTTCTCTTTTAGCCTCTGTATGTAATAGATCGTGTTAATAGGTTTTTGAATTTTGAACCAGGCTTGCATACTGGGGATAAATCCCACTTGAACATAATGTATTCTTTACATACATTGTTGCATTTGGTTTGCTAATATTTTGTTGATAATTTTTGCTTCTATTTTTATGAGAGATACTGGTTTGTACCTCTTCTTACATTGTCTTTCTCAGTTTTTGTGTTAGTGGAATGCTGGCCTCATGGAATGGGTTAAGAATTACTTTCTCTGCTTCTGTCTTCTGAAAGAGATTATAGAGAATTGGTGTAATTTCTTCCTTAAATGTTTGGTAGAATTCATCAGTGAACTCATCGGGGCCTGGTGCTTTCTGTTTTGGAAGGTTATTAGTTATTGATTCAATTTCTGTAATAGATATAGGTCTATTTTTTCTTGTGTGAGTTTCGGCAGATTGTGTTTTCAAGGAATGGGTCCATTTCACCTAGGTCATCAAATTTGTGAGCGTACAGTTGTTCATGGAATTGTAATATTTTCAATAATGCTATAAATGTTTTTATGATTTCATATGTTTATGCATTATTTGCTTCTAAGCGATTGTAGTGGGTAATGAAAAAAGTGTTATAGTTTTAATGTAGTGGATGATATATTAGCTATTAATCATTATTTTGAATACTCAGCATTTTTTTAGCTTTGTGCTTCTTACCAGTTAAGTCAAAAAATAAATACAGAAAACTTACATATGTTCAAATTCATGTCCTTTAGTTTTTTTCTTTAGTTCTTTAGAAAGATTTTAATCAGTGTTCTTTTGTTGCTATTGTTTTACCACCCCCCAATTTAAACAGTGTTCTGAAAACAAGGGGTTATATCATATAGTGAGCTTGGAAAATGTGGCTGCTAAAATCTTCTTTTTGGAGCCTCTCAGTACACATTAGCAAATCTACTTCTTGAGGACATCATGCAGTTAAAAAGAAATCTGTTCAATTTTTTAATCTTGGTTCAATTGTCAAACAAATTTAGTTTCGCAAGTATAGACTTTTCGATTCTCATACATAATAACATCCTCCACAATAATTTTCTTTTAAAACTATTTTGGAAACTGTTAAGTTACATAATTCTCATTCTGGTGAAAGGGAGATTCTATCTTCAAGAAACACATTTCTTCCAGGTATCACATTCTAAAAGAAATTCACCATGGAGTGAAAGAGGGCTTTTGTAAGGGACATTCAACAACACCACAGATGGGAATTTCAACAGAAAATTTCTTTGAATAATCATTTTGGGAATCTGCCCTTAATGAAAGTCTCTGCATTCACATTAAAGCATAATTCTGTATAGGTGATTCTGTAGTAGGGGAATCCCATGTGGCTCAAACGTGCACCTCTCCAATGATTTAGGCACAGGCTAGAATTCCTAGTTCACCTAGAAAAAGCATTTTCCTTAATTCTCTTTATTAACTGTTACTGTGGCAGCCACATGTTTGATAGGCCTGGAGAGAGCAAATTGAGGATTATACTCCTTGAGTATTCTGTGTTTCTAATCGAAGGGCAGCATGTAGACAGAGGCAGGTTCAGCATTTACTTGGAAAAAAGAGAAACCTTGCTTGGATCTTACCCATAGCACCTCACACAGAGGGGTGCTGCAGAGTTCCCTCCAGAAACACATGGGTTCTGATCAGTCACCCAGTTTATGGTTCAACTTATAAACCAGAGTTCCAAGCTATGGAACAAGAATTTTAACCTGGACTTTCCAAAGGTCAAAAGTAACTAGCAGTTCTAGTAAGCCATAAGAATTATAGTACCACTTTCTGTAGCACTTCCGAAGTTAAGCAGGTTTTGTTTGCAGTATACATGCCGGCATGAGTTAGCCAAAACATGCAACTCCAGAGAGCTGAACATAATTGACTTGCTGAAGTGAGTAATTTAGACACTTGAAATTTTATGAAATTATAACTATGGAAACAATCAGTGAAAGGAAGGATAGAAAGAAAAGAATCCAAAATTAGAGTATAAATTATACAACTTTTACAATCAAACAAAAAGATGCTATAATCTAGTTGTATCAGAACCAGAACCATCAAGAAAGAAAATGTCTCTTATATTGATGCAATGTTAAATCAGTATGGCGTCTAAGTCTTGGCCAACATCATATTATGTTATTAGAAGTCAATAATAAGCATAAATGCAGTTAGTAGAAACAGAAGTAAAGGGAAGAACAATAATTAAAATGAAAGTCATTTCATTTACATTATTAATACATACAGGCTATTCATGTAGTATTCTTTCCTTCTCCAAATGTCTGCTTGCTAGTAAATTCCTTCACTTTAATAACTTTCCACGGAAAATATGTAAATGCTATCTGTTCAGGAATATTTCTAAATAAGTAACTTTGTTATATCTGTTCAAGTTGTAAATTATAGGCTACAAACCTCCACTTTTTAAAGTTATCGACATTTTCAGCTTTATGGGAAAACTTCCAGAAAACGTTTTTCAGATTTGGGATGTAGAGTGAACAGATGCTTTGCTTCCTTTCTTAGTTTGTTGAGGATTAACTATTCCAGTACATTAAATTTGCCACAAACTGTAAGCATAGAAAATGAAACAAGACTTTCTCATTTTAGCCATGTCTCACCAACAAAACAAAGATTGGAAGTCATGAATATTTAAGGAAAGCTGTGTGTCTGCTTGCATATCTGGTACACATCTGCCGATTGAGGTCACTACCTCCACTTTGCACTGAGTGTTTCATTTGTCTGGAATTGGATCTTTTGTTGTTAATACTGCCCTTGATGTGATCATTTGGTAGGTGACCTAGCTCACTTTACAAAAAATATGTCCGTATTTTTACTCCTAAGGTGACTACCTGGATGCCAAAAGGAGCCCTCCAATGACTTTTGAAGGGACTAGTAGGTTGGTGAGAGATGCTGATGTATGGATGCCTTAGGTTAGCGGGAAAAAAATATTGCTAGTTGCCCTACTAAATTAGAAATAATGAGAGAAAGTAAATTAAATCCTGCTGCCTCCTTACCCCAATTCAAAGAGACATTGTTGAATTGAAGCTTCTAAAGTTCCCTCTCAAATTATCCCAAGTCCTTAATGATGCTTACTCAAGTTCTTGCTCACAAGAATTTCTTCTGCATGTGCAATTCCTGCTGTGTGCAAAGGTGATCTGTCATAAAGATGTGCTGAGATAAGACAGGTATGAGGTGAGATGAGGAGTGTCACCAAGGTTGTAAAGAGATAGATTTCTTCTGAAAATAATTTCAGAAGAAAGATAAAAGCTCTTTTAACCAAGAAAATACAATATTTATATTTTACAGAAATAGTCTTTGGGTGTTACTTGATTATCCCAGCAAATTGCTTTTGGTTTATACTAAGTGAGTTGAAAAATAAAAGGTATAAACTTTTAAGAACTATTTAGAAGATTATTGAATTCTGTTTGACACCAGAGATGACAGCAAATGTGATTAATTGCCACTCATAATTGCAGTTTCATTCCAGTGGTTATTGCTTGTCAGTATCAATTAATAGCTCAACGGAAACCTCATTCATTCCAGAATATTAAAGAATGATGGCTTGTGGGAATTATGCTAAACTAGCACTTTCAATTAGATTTTGGATTTTATAGGATACTGAATAATAGTTTATGAGTTTATAATAGTAAGTACCAGTGAGTTATTGTTGAATTGTAATTGCTGTAATTATGTATGTTTATCTGGAGAATTGTAATTAGCATTTTCTCATGTTTAAAAATAGAACTATTGTACTTAATTTTTCACTTAATGTATAGATTTTGAAGTTCATTACACAAAGAATAGGCTACATAAATAACCTATTCCAATAATCCAGAAAAAAAAGTGTGCTTAGCATGACAATTGGCTTATGGGGGGCAGTCAGAGGGATAAAGAATAAATAATCTGACAAGGTGCAATTCAAGAGATGAAGCTCATGTGTATCCTACACACAGTCCGAATTCTATGTACAAGTTTCTTTTTTATTGTGCACAAAATTTGCCATATGAATTTATGAAAACAGAGATATGTAAGAGTAACAATATGGGATCCAATGCAACTTCCTAATTAAGAAGATTAAAATTTAAACTTCAGTTTGCTTCCAGAATCATTTTGAATTTACTTTCAAAATTATTTTGTTTACAGAACTTTACTATCCATCAATCCTCAGGATATAAGAAAGAATATAAATTTCAAATTCAGTACCATAAAATACAAGCTTTGCACTTAGTACTATAATACTATATTAAAAAACAGTCTACAAGGGCATTTGCATTCAAATGATACCTTCAAAAAGGAGCAGAGAGGTCAGCAGTCCAATCTTAAATTTAAAATCCAGAACAAAAGTCTGATAAAATTGTTAGTTTTGTATATTCAGAGTAAATTGAAGCCACTAAATCTACATCCAATTCCCTTTTTCTTAGCATAAACATACCAGTAGTAGTCAACTAAAAATAAGACAAAGTAGGGACCATTTGATCAAATTAAGTGAATATTGAAAGAAGGGCTGATTATTTGGGAAACATGAGGATCGCCCAGTTGATTCAATTGATGATGTGGTAATTGTACATTAACATGTTTGAAAAAGAAATGAAGGGACTAAGTCACAGGCTACAATTTCACTTGGATATCTAGATTGCTGCCTTCATCAACTGGATTTATTGAATTTCTCAAATTTTCTCATCATTTTCTGTATTAAGCTCAAATTATACCATGTTTGATTTTATGTTATTGTTTCTTCATTAATGAATTAAGAATCTTTATCAGTTCCATATAAATTTAGGAAGTGTATAGGGCATAAAATTAGAATATGAATTAATTTGAAGCAAGATGACACCATATAGAAGAACAGAAATGTTCTCTCTTTAATTCTAGATACATTTCTTCCACAAATGCTGCTTGAGATAGCATTAATCATTCTGGCAACAGTGATGTCTCATACTGAACTGTCTGTCAAAGAAAACTTCAACTAAGGGCTTTTAAACCGTGTCTCCCCTAACATCCTGTGCTTATGTACTTGTTTTTGGAAACCTAAATGCAGACTTTACAGCATAATGTCTCTAGAATTAGATGGTCTATACTTTGTTCACACCTCTTCTCTATTTACTGGCTTTACAACTTACAGAAAGTAGCTTACTTCTCTTTACCTTGGTTTTCTCATCTGTAAAATGGGAATGATAGGAACTATCTTATAGCCCTGTTATAAGGATGAAATAAGTAATACATGTAAATATGAAGAAGAATAGCTGAACACAGTAATGGCTAAAATAAAACATTGCTATTGCTTTTATTCTTTTATATGAGGGATTCAGTTGTCAAATACTGACTTTACAGTCTGGGCTTAAGCCTGGATATGGATGTTTTCTGGCCACAAATACATTCCTGGTGATATCAGCCCATGATTCCAGCCTACCAATTTGCTATAGAACTCTAATGCTGTTTTACAGTTTTTAGCTCTGTGAGGTCTGCAAATATGACAGAATTTCCTTCTATGTCTTCATACAGATCATTCATAATAATGTTCATCAAGACATGGTTGAGTACAGAGCTCTTTGGCACACCAGCAGAGGCTCCTTGCCAGGGTGAAACTGATCCACTAATCTCACACTCTTCATACAGTGGATCAACTAGCTTTGCTTCTGCTTAACCAGATTATCATTCAGCTCACACATCTCTATCTTGTGTCTGAGGATATCATGGCAGATATTGTGAAATGGCTTTCTGAAATGCATTTTTATAAAACTAACAATGCCTATCTCCAAAGCACCTTTTAATTGAAGTTTTACGTAGGCAATCTGTAGGCTTACTCAGTTATTTCACTCTATCTCTGTATCTTCCACATACAAAGAACAAAAGAGGGTGAACCAATGGAATAAACCATTATTATCATTATTATAACCTGATTTTTATGGCTTCCCCAAATGTTTTCAAAACAGGGAGTTCACGTTTTCAATTTCCAGGGTACACATGAAATAGAGCCATTTAGGCATATCTCTTTGTTTCACAGTTTTGCCTCTTCAACAATATATTATTATCTCTCAATAATCTTATACCCTTAATAAAACCCATAAATAAAAATCCATATACTCAGTACACAGTGAATTAAGTTAGGACTATGGTTCTCAAACTTCAAATTTTATAAGTTTTGATGGAGCCCAGGACTCTGATTTTTGTTCCAGGTGATGTTTGCTCCAGGTGATTTTTGCAAGTTGTCCATAGGCCTCTTTATTTAAACACTGAATTAAGGACTTTATTTACATTTCTGTAAAATACTTCCCTTTTCAAAATGTTTCATTGTAGATCCTTTTAAGAAATGTGCTTTTCTATTACCTTAAAAATCAAAATGTCAAAACTTACCTCAAAAATATTTTTCTGATCACAGAAATATTGTATATAGAGAAATGTCTCTCCAATTAGAATAGTGTACTTTGAAACTTTAATTAAACTGCTCTGATTGCTTTAGCTGGATAATTGCTGATCTCAATTGTACACTGAAAAGGCACAGGCTAAGGAGAATTTTTTAGTGAGGACAGGTTTAGTGGTTTCGTGGAGGAGTAAAAGTAACTCGTTTTTTGTTTTTCTGTTTTTTTTTTTGTTTTTTTTTTTTGTTTTTTTTTCAGTTCACTGAGTAACATTTGATACAATTCAGGGCAAAAGCCTTAGCAAAGGGTTTCAGATCCAATCACTGTGACATACATAAGATAGATAGTCACTAAATATGTGACTAAATAAATTATCAGAGGAGCAGTGTTTATTAGCATTGATCATTTGTCCTGGGTTTATTTCTATTCTGTCTTTCTAAAGGTGTGTGGTCTCCATTTGCATAAATCCTATTTGTTCCAACTCTGCCTATTCACTATTAGGGAGAGAGGATGAGGGAAATTAATGCGACTCTCACCACATTCACCCTGCCTTATCTTCTTGCCACCCTTGTGTGATGGTACCTACCCTTCAACTCCAAATATCACAGCTTTTAAGGAGAAAGTAATGGAGAAAACAAAAGAGAAATCCTATCCCTGATTTCTCCCATCTGTCCTTATTCCAGGTCCCCAGGAGTGCTAGGCTTAATGTACTCTAGGACTTTCATCACATCATTGTCCTCTCTCTCTTTTTTCCTCCTCTCCCCATACACTAAGCACTTTCTTCTTGAACAGGCAACCTTTTGGTCATATTAGCAGTTGGTGAAACTGATGGCTTTTTGGTATAACTGAATATGAAGTCTTAACCTCAAGGAGCAATTATGAAATCCCCTTCTCTGTCTTCATGTGATGTATGATACTTCTACCACTTTCTGCACCCTACTCATCATACTACAATATTAAGAAATGCCTTAGTACATAAGACTTGTAAGACAGGAAGGCAATTAAATTGAAACCAAATGACTGGAATTCTAATACTGATGCTAACAATTACTTTGAAAAAGTCCCTTCTTTGTGCCCCTCAAGGTATTCATTTATCAAGTGGAAAGATAGGACTAGATTAATAATGGTATATAGATCAATTGAAAATGAACACCTTTATTTTTATTTTTATGATGAGCATTTGGATAGAGTAGCAGAATGATATATGTTTAAGAATGATAGACAATAAGGCATTGCTTTCAATGAATTAATCCAGATGCATCAGTTGATCACTTACCCCATGCTGCATGGATTCATAATGAACAGGTTTCTTTCATAATGAATATTTTTTTTCCTGACTCACTGTACTTCTTTAAGCTCGATCATATTTCTGATTTGTATGTAACACAGTGGCTTATTTTTGGTGTGGAAAATGGCTTCAGGGATTGCAGACATTGAAATAAATTTCCTATAGGTCATGCAGTGTTATGGAAGAAATATCAAATAGCATAGAAATATTACTTCATTCAAGAACATTCTGAATTACTAAAATTAACCTAGCTACTCTATATTAATTTACTGAAAAAAAAAGTTAAGAGAAGTTAAGAAAGATGTCTCTTAGTGAATATGCACATGAGAAAACTCTGCCCCTGTAGTCCTATTAGACACTTAACTTGTCAAGTTGTCCTTGAAATTGAGTATATTAAAATCTTGCATAAATAAAGCAATCAAAAATTTTTTTTACCCTGCACAATTCTATTCAGAGATTTATTATAATCTACCATAAACCTTGAACAACAGGAATGTTAGTGAATGGATTTTATTACTTTTTCATTTTATCAGTGCTCTGCATTATATTGGCATGTGAGCAATTACTCTTGTATGGTTGTAAAGCATAGTATTGAGTTCTGGAAAGGGCCATTCAGATATCACCTAGCCTAGCTCTCTAGCAAGAGGGACATACCCAAATCATTTCAACAGAATAAGAAGAAACATTTCCTGATTACAGATGTGAAAACTTGTTAGTGAAAAGTTCTAGGACTATCGAAGGACAAACCGAAATCCCATGGCAGTAGGTTGTGCTAAGGCTGTAGATTACCCCAGACCCACACTGTCTTCATTAGTGTTACTACTCTAATGAGAAACTGCACTTCAAACTGCTGCTAGAATCATGACTAAATGAGTTCTAGGCCAGGATTTTCCTGATTGCATCAATATATTCAAAATGAATTTTCTTCGAGGTTTTCTCGGGGGTATTGGAGGGTAGGGGAGCTCACCTTTGAAAATGTAGCCCAGATATCTTCAGCTTCTGTAATAAGTGTATTTTCATCAGAGACCAAAGCAACCAAAATGTTCTAATAAGGGTTCTAATAAGATGTTCTAATAAGGGTTGTCTTAAAATCATAACAGATGTCCTGATACAGGTAAAGAAACAAAAATAGCCTGTGTGGGAATGTAGTTAAGCTCTTGAGCTTTAACATAATATTTTTGTCATTTAAACATGTTCCAGGGAAATCCCAGAAGCTGGAAGTCAGTGGTGCTCTGGAACTTAACAGGTACCAAGAGTTATGGGGATATTTGGAGGGCAAATATTCTGCTTTTTCCTTGCAAAATTCTAATATTCAAACCACAGAATGGAGCGTGTATAATAGGAAACCTAATAATATAGTGGGAAGCATTTCCTTTCAGCAGAAAAAGAGGAAGATACAAAAGGAACAGATGGTGATAAGTTTGTGGTAATAGGGCGAAGCACTAAATAGTCTTTGACAGAGCTTGCCCCCAGATAAAATGGCAGTGGCAGGGCTTAAATCATTTTTTACATTGCTTATTGACTTTCTTTGCCTACTAATAAGTCTTCAGAGACTGAATTTAGTTTGCAGCTTGATTTTGCCTTTCTCTGTTAATGTTACATGTGCTATGCTGAATTTGTTCAACCTTATGACCCCAATCTTGATTTCAGTACCCTCTTTTCAATCCTTTCCTCTTTTTAAATAAATTTTTATAGAAAGAAACTCTTGCCCTCAACTATTACTATTTTCTATTTAAAATTTTTATAATAACCAGAAATACCTGGAGAAGGAAGTGGTTCTCAATTCTAACTACACATTAGAATCAGTTGGAGAGTAGTTTGGTTTTGGTTTTGTTTTTTTTTGTCTTTTTTTTTTTTTTTCCATTTAAATTCTGATGTCTGGTCTCCACCCACGAACACTTAAATATCTAAAAATCTCTAGATTTCTAGCCTGAGCATTCTGGACATAGGTATGTTTTCAAGGTCGCTGACACTCAATGAGGCCTGATAACTGCTAGGTTAAAGTCCTCAAAAGTAGGAAACATTGTACACAGGCTACTCTAAAGAGCCATTTGATGCACTGTTGAGAAAACAAGGAATTTAACTTAATTGGAAGCCATTCCCTCTTGATACTGCAGTCAGTACCTTTGGTTCATCTTATAGTGTTTACCTCATTTTAGCAAAATTGTTGCTCTTTTTTTGTCTCTCCCTCTCACCTTTAGAGAAGGCAGGGATTAGATTTCATTAATCTGTCTGTCTTTAAAGTCCCTCACCTTTACACAGTCAGTTGTTAAAAATCAATTCCTAGATGTAGAGACTAGATTTTTAAAAATATTTTAAGTTCCTAGCCTTTACATAGGTGATTGATAGTGATTGATAGATGGTAGAGTTCAATTTTTTCAACTGAACTTAAGCTGTTGAAATTGACAAATTAGGTTAATGCTTCCCAGATGCCAATCATTCTTGCATCATCTTCACGATATTGGGAAACACGGTGTTGGATAAAATAATGATATTTCAGTGTTCTCAGTACTGTATTGCATCTTCTGCAGCAAGATAAGTCCTGTGGTAAGCCACAAATGGGCTTGTGAAAGAATACCTTTTAAAATATGCTTGGGCTCTTACTGAAATTAAATAGGGCATTAAACTTACAATCTTTTAAGATGATAAAATTTAAACAAAAATACTTATGGAAATATATTTTGCTTTAGTTACTCTAAAATAAACCCTATTGCTAAAACAATAGTAGCCTCTTGATCCAACACTTTCTCTCCCCTCCAACCCCTCCGACTTCTCTTGTCTAACTTGGCACTTAACTGCTCAGTTCTTTCTTTTTCTTGGAAAAAAGGCCAAATACCAATCCTCCTTTAAACAAATAAAAACCAAAAACAAACAAGCAGAAAACATCCCCCAGCCTTGGGACTTTAAGGAGAAAATCATTTTAGCCCCAATGAGAAACTGTATCTAACTTCACAATGAGACCAAAGCCCCTGTGTCCTCCCTACCCAGCCTCCCTGAAGAAATGCAGACCACTCTCTGTTGGGCCTGACTCTATGTTAAAATATCAATAAGCTTTTGGAAATTTCACTGATTTTCAGTTCTGTTAGTGTCATGCCAACTGATAAAAAAAAATTATTTACCAACATCCAGGATGAAGGAAGGTGGGGAGGGACTGGGTTTTGTTCATCAAATGTCTATAGTCTTTTTGGAGGATACACTACTGGTCTCCAGTGAAGATAGAGTAAGAGATCTTTCTAGGAGCCGTGTACCCTTGCAGTGGTCAGATGATCTGAGGGAGGAGGCTTCAAGGGCCTAAAGAGACAGGTGTGGAGAGACACTGATATGTGTTCACTACAGTTTCTACTATTATATATTTGATTTTTTAAAATTTGGGAGAAACTCAGAATGGCCTCTTAAGTCTTTTGTTATAAACTGTATTCTCCTCCTCCACTCACCCCATTCTAGGCTCAATATAAGAAATACCTTATTTATTGCAAAACATTTCTTCCCAATAAGCTCTTAAAATTATTTGATGGCATTCCAATTTGATTGATATTAAAGGTTTTCTGTTCCTACAGAGTAAAGGATCATCCATTATCAATTCAACATCATTGATTGCATGCCAGCATCATAAAAAGATTTAAAAGACTGCCCATGTCCAAAGCATGCACACATTTACCTATGGAAAGCACTTTGTAAATAGGCAATTTCAATATAATATATGAACTGTGTGCTGTGGTAGAGGTACCTACAAAATGTTAAAGTGTAATGTGCCTTTAGAAACACTATAATAAATTGCTAATAATCATTAGAATCATACTTCTCCACCTGACTGTTCCATTATTAGTCAACAACCTATAATCATTTCCTTATACTTCCTCTGAACTTTTTAATCCACTGTAAAATGAAAATACAACTGAAACAGACTAAGTATTTCTGCTGGGTTGCCTGTTGCTTTAAAACACTTCTTAAACGGATATATCTGGACATCACCAGATCTCCTAGTTCTTGTGAACAAGTGTTTTCTGATTCCAGCTCTGACAAGCCTCCTGTGCCATTCATGCAGTTATATCAAGTGAAAATCATAAATAACAAAGTAATGACAGAGAACTGTATTGCAAGACCAACATAATGTCCATTAAATCAGAACATTAATTTCAGTAATGCAGAGGCTGTTAAAAAACCATAAAGGGGTTTGCACATTTTTTTGAGGAATCACATTCCAAATATTTCCAAAAGGTAGCTATCCTGTTTATTTATGTATTTGTCTGTTGGGAGTCACATGGGTCCTTAAAATTAGAGTGCCGAGAAATAAATTTTTAGGTCTGCTTTCTGTTTATTTTGTTAAGAACGGTCTAACTGAATGTGCCCTGTCTTCTGTGCATATGTGTACTGGTGAAACTGCAATGTTCTTTCTCGGCTACAGGTTATCAGCAGCTTGCAGAGTGACAGCACTAAGATAGAAGAATAGCTCCTCTCCAATGAACTGATTTAAAATGAAAGGAAAAACCAAGCCCATGTTTTTTGGCCCATCTCCCAGATTATAGAAACTGATTATCTCATTAGTGATTAAAACACCAGCTGTTAATGTCTTAGAGCCGGTTGACCAGTTTAATTATCTTGGAATCTGGCTAGATTCCTCTTCTTTTAGCCAACATGGGAATTTTATTCTCTTCAAACTCACCCTGAAGCAAAAAAAAATTCAAATGGTTTTGAAAACGGAGTGTTGTTGTCTGCCTTGGGTTTCCAGACTTGGCGTGCAGTTGTTTTAACAATAGTAATAAGCGTTATGAGACTGGCTTTGTGGTTAGCACTGCAGTGGCATCATAAGTTTACTCACACTGTACTCAGATATGCCAAGAAAATATAGTGTCTATTCTCTAAAACTGCTCTTATGTCTTTCACTAGCTTCCACACACTAAGTAGTAGAAAGTAAAGACGTACTAAAGATAGTCCAAACATAACCTGAAGCCAGTAATTTAGTCTCTCTAGATTTAACTGTTTCTTTAAAAAGATAACTTGGTTTTCTCATTTTTCCCTTTTTTATTTTGATCCTTCATAAGATGGTGTTTGGTGATGGGGCACGGCTTAGGTGATCTAGTACATTGGTTAGGAGCGGTCCTCTAAGCCCCTTGCTGGTCCCTGAGTCTGTGCTGGCAGGAGTCTAGAAAGGATTCATCCAAGCCCATCCCTGGGCATTCTACAGCGATGTGCTGCTGGATCTAGAGGCTGATGTAATCCACGGTTTAACCTCTCACATCTAAATCAAGGCCCCGCACTGATCCTGGCCAGCTCTGTCTCACACTCATGTTGAGCTTCTGCCATGCTCCTCAAGGCAGCCCAAGACCTCACAGCTCAGCATTCCTGCCATATTGGCACTGAAAGAGCCATGGGCTACACACTGGGCTCTGTGCTTAGCCATCCCACCCCACCCCTAGTGACTTGGTTGAACAGCTCCCTGTTAGTAAGCATCTACCCCACACCACAGTCTTTTCTCAAGGCCCATGAGGGAGAGGGACAAGAACTCCTCTGCTCTCAGTGTTACTTTAAACTTTTGTAACACATCTCCAGCTGCAGCCCAGAGAAGCAAGATTAAGCCTCATGAGTCAGACATTCTACCACCCTATTGCTGTATTGCTGTATTTTTCCTTTCTTTTCCTTTTGTCCCCCCTTGTCCCTTGGATGCCAGGGGCAGACATTTCTTTTATTGCCCTATGTCATTTCCTCTTCATGATGTAGCTGCAAAAAAGCATCTTCTCTACATTTTGGGAAAAAAAATGCTGTGATCTGTCATTTTCGTGATTAGAGGTTCTTGTTCATACGTTAAAGAAATTTAAGAAATTCATTTTTTCTCCCTCTCTCCCTTTTTTTTACCTGCTTCTTCTCTGGGAGTTAGACAACTCGGGGAATGTCTTTTACAAGGTAACTTACAGTACAGCTGTTTATATTTACAAACATTATATCTGTTACTTTAATTTCAACATTCATCTTTACAGATCAGTATCTCAGACTAATATGCATTTCTCCAGATAGTGTGAACATTATTGGGAATATTTGAATGTCTTAAAACTTGATGTCAGCATTCTTTAAAAATTGCATTTGATATTGATCATACATATATACTCGATTTGTCAGATCTTAATCACTTTACATGTCCAGGGCAGTAATTCTTAAATTTTTTAATTTTACAGTGTTTTTAATAATCTGACAGAAATTTTGGATTCTCTGCCCCATGAATATTTTCTGACTAATGAAATTCTGCTTAAATTTTGGAAAAAAACCCAGGCTGCAAGCTCCACATCTAGAGTCAGCTCCTGCTGTAACAGAATAACTTAAGCCAAACTAACCATGCCTCTAAAAACAACTGTAATAGCAAAATTATGTCTAGACATATATACCAAATACCCAGCTGTCCAAAGGCATTGGAGAGTAATTCAAGATAGCTAGAGACTGGAGATTGGGGGTGGGGGTGGGGTGGCAGGCTGGGGGAGCAGGGAACTAAGATCCCATAGAGAAGAGAAATGTAGTCAAGTGGACCTGGCTTTTTTTCCCACTTTTCATCACAAGATACTTGCTATTTCTTAAATGGCAGGGAGCTGAGAGGCTGAGTAGAATATAGCAGTTCTGGAGTTTTCAGCAATTCTTAAAGTTAGGGAGATGAAAATTATAATTAAGAGTAACAATGAAACCAGTGTTAAGGGGCCAAGATTTCCAGGTAAAAGGAAACACAGAGATGTGAGCCCTTTATCCCCTTGAAGCATTTGCTAGTAACTAATTTTTCTATGGGGAAAAAACTCAGTTTTTCCCACTATGCTCTGAGATATGGAAGAAAACCCTACGTTTTTCCTATTCTCTACTCTCAATTCAGCACAGTCATACACTTCTGACATCAGATGAATGGGGACTTCTCCCTACCAAGCAAGCAATTAGTTTCACAGCAGATACCAGCTGGGTGTTCTCTAGTTCGGTTCTGACACTATCTGGAGATAGCATCAGTTCCCACAGGTTGGGAGCTCAGTCCCCAAGACTGCCCACCACTTCTGATGCTAATCGCAAGCCCTAAGTTGTTTTACCTGTGATACTTTTGACTGACTGGCTATAAATCGGGGTTCCTACAACCCCCTCCTTGGTTTGACTAATTTGCTAGAGTGACTCACAGAACTCAGGAAAACACTTTTCTACCCGGTTGACTAAAGGATACAGAGGAAGGGATGCATAGGGCAAGGCATATGGAAAGGGGCACGGAGCTTACTTGCCCTCTCCAGTCACACTACCCTCCGGGAATCTCCATATGTTCAGCTATTCAGAAGCTCCAGGAACCCTGTCCTTTTGGGTTTTTATGGAAGCTTCATTACATGAAGACCATTGATTAAATCATTCACTGTTGGTGATCAGCTTAACCTTTTGCCCCCCGTCTCATCCCCAGGGGAGGGTGCTACTGGAGCTGAATGTCCCAATCCTCTACTCCTGCCTTGATTTTTCCTGTAAACAGCTCTCATCCTGAAGCTACCCAGGGGCCTCCAGCCACCAGTCATCTTATTAACAGGCAAAGACACTCTTTTCGCTCTTAAAATTCAAAGGATTTTAGGAACTGTATGCCAGGAAACAGGAGAAAGACCGAATGAATTTTACAATTATCACAGTAAGCTAAAAGGCTAATCAGAGCTCTTGGTAGTGTCATGGTTCTAAGCAAACCGAAATTGGGAGTTCAGTACCTATATTCAGGATGGACAGAAAATTCATGTCCAAAATTTATATGTTGGTCCCAGAAATCTGTTAAACAAAAACATTAGAAAAGCCCCTTAATAATTGGGCAATCAGTTTAACCAAGCACTTTACAAGAGGCTATCCAAATGGACAATAAACATACAAGAAGATGCTCACAGTCATTACCTCATTGGTCATTGGGGAATTACAAATTAAATCCAAATTAGATATAACTACACACCCACTAGAATTGCTAAAATTTAAGAAAATGACAAATCTAAGGATTTAGAGCAAATTGAGAACTAGTGGGAACGTATATTTGAACATTCGCTTTGGAAAACTTTTTTGCCAAGTCTACCAAAACTTAACATCTATTTTTTACGATCTAATAATTCTACTTCTAAATTTATACCCAATATAAATGAATATATGTGCTCCAAAAGGCAGATGTAAGAACTCATTAACACATTCCTATTAAAACATTGGGAACAACTCAAATATCCATCAATAATAGAGTAGATAATTTTCGGAATAATACCTAGAAAATTTAGGAATAAATACTATGGAAGAATATACAAAAATAAAAATAACATAGATGCTTGTCTTAAACATACTATTATGCAAGTTAAGCAGGCACAAAAGAACGTATATGTATCCATTTTTATGGAACTCAAACAAAACTGATCTATGATGAGAGGTCAAAATAGGCATTTGCCCTTTGGAGGGCTTAATACCTAGGGCAGCACAAGTCAAGTGTCTAGGTAAAGCGCCATTTTTTGGAGTGGCTGGTAGGTGTATTCACTTAGTAAACACTAATGAAGCTGTGCACTTTGATTTATGCATTTTCTTATATTTTCATAATACTTTGATTTTGTAAAAGTTTGCTTAAAAGTTAGATTCAATTTATAAGAGACTCTTTGTTTTGAAAAAAATTCTTCAATCCTTCCTTAAATCCAGGAAGCAGCAATGTGCAAAGTCCAGGAGGCCTCCTTGGGGGCATTTTGCCCAATAATGAAAAAAGTCATATTTTCTTTTTTTTTCTTTGAGATGGAGTCTTGCTCAGTCGCCCAGGCTGGAGTGCAGTGGCACGATCTCGGCTCACTGCAACCTCCGCCTCCAGGGTTCAAGTGATTCTCCTGCCTCAGCCTCCCGAGTAGCCGGGACTACAGGTGCCCGTCACCATGCCTGGTTAATTTTTTGTATTTTTAGTAGAGACAGGGTTTCACCATGTTAGCCAGGATGGTCTCGATCTCCTGACCTTGTGATCCGCCTGCCTTGCCCTCCCAAAGTGCCGGGATTACAGGTGTGAGCTACCACGCCAGGCCAAAAGTCATATTTTCACAGATACCTTTCAACTGCACATTTAAAGTTCATTTTAACAGAGAGCTGAGTGTTTGAAGTTATATGCTAATCATATGTCACATAGAATTAAAGTGTCGGAATATTGATAACCAGTTTTAAGATAAGTTAAGGAACATAGTGTTTCATTATACTATTTTTCTACTCATATTTGTTTGAAAACTTAATATGTAATTTTTTTGAGAAGGAAAACACAAGGGCGTGCCTATTCAAAAGAAACTAAAACTCAAGAGAGTAACAAAAAACAAGTTATATCCCAAATGGATTCATATAGGAGAGGAGAAAGAAGAGTCAGGAAATGAAATCATATACTTACTAACATTGGATGATAAAACTTGATTTGCTTCACCTATAAATTTCAGTTAAACATCTTGTACTCCTACCTTCATCCCATCAAATTGAATTCTATTCCTATTTCTAGAGCTTATTTTAACCCCTCCTCTCTAAGAAGTCTTAATTACTACTCTTGTGTCTAATCTCAACTAACTGCTCAATTATTATTTGTTATCACTTAATTGATCCTAACTATATACTGTGCTGGACCAGTTATATTTTTATGCGTGTTATTTTTCTTTAAAATATTTTACTACTTGCCTAGGTACCTTGTCATGTCCAGGAAGTATTATTCAACATATTTTTACGTAAAATGTATCAAACCCATATTATCATTTTATTGATTATTTAGCCAATACTTATTTGTCAGCACCTTTGTAAACACGGCTTCTTCTTAGCTGCTACAAATTAAATATACTCATTAACTTATTTAGTCCTTGTAAAACTCATACAAACTTATTATTATACTCATTTTATAAGTTAGGTAATAAGGCACAGAGAATAGGTTAGAGGAACTCACAGCGAGTGTGCTAGCTCCAGACCTAAATTTTTGCATCTACCAAATGCTGTCTCTTGTTTATTGAAGCTAGCTTAGCATAGTAGGAAAAGGACACTCCCAAGGTACTCCAAGAATCTAAAGCATTTTCTTCAGCGTTGACTTTTTAACCATAGCAAAATTTTCTTTACTTCACAAGATATGGCACATAAAGTCTATTCTCCTTGAATACTGAGTTTGTATTTTCTTCACAAGACCATTTGAATTACATCACCAAAATTTGGGCCTGAATTCTTGCAACTGGTGTTGAACTGCTTACCACTAATTATTCTGTTTGCAAATTCTTCAGTCTAGTAATTCAATGTATTTATTTTATCTCTAAAAAATATTATACAACCTTTTGGATATAATTGGAGAGACAGTCTTAACTAATTATTTTACTGTCCTTTAGAAACAGAATTCAGGTTCCGTAGCTTGTGGAGACAGAGAAATTGCTGCCATGTTATATCACACAGGCTCATTTGATGGAAACTGAGTGTACTGTTAAATATTTGAGAACTAGAAATTGACTGGCACTGATGAAAATTTGCTTACTGATCCTGATGAAATCATTGCACCTCTTTAAACAGGTGTTGCTCTTCTTGGCTGCCGTGTATGAAATGTGTTCAGGAAATCCACCATGCCTCTGAAAATAGCCAGCTCAGGACTATGCCTTTTATTTCCAACTAGGGCTTCTAGTCGAAACATATGGAAATGCAAATACGTATTTAAATCACCTGTGAGCTAAAAAAACTATGATTACCACTGATAACATTGTGGTATATATTTCTTGTCTTCTTTTCATCAACAAATTAAGCTGTTTTGCTAATTAAAGCAAAAGGAAAAATAAGGTACTAGTATAGATTCCACATTTGCATAATTGCCAAATTATTATGTATATAAAATGCTGAAAGACTTGCTGAAGCTAATACAACTTTAGACATTTTATACATATTATTAAATCCCTTTCTTGAAATTTTGAACTAATTTACACTCCCCACAATAGCATATAAGGGTGACAGTTTTCCACACTCATACGAACAATGGTTATTATTTTTCTATATTTATCAGATTCAGTAGCATCTCAATATTTTACTTTGCCTTTATTTGATTACTGAGATAGATGAGTGTTTTTCATGTGTTTATTGGCATTTGAATTTCTTTTGGGAAGAATTATTTCTTTATACTATTTGCTTATATGTTTTTTCTAATATGCTATTTATATTTTTATAATTTATAAGGTCTCTGTCTATATACGTATATCCAAAAAGAAAATGGTTATATATATATATAATTCTTTTTTATATAACCATTCTTTTTCCTTCCTTCCTTCCTTCCTTCCTTCTTTCCTTCCTTCCTTCCTTCTTTCCTTCCTTCCTTCCTTCCTTTCTTCCTTCTTTCCTTCCGTCCCTCCTTCCCTCTCTCCCTCCCTCCCTTCCTTCTTCCCTCCTTGTTTTTTAGAGGTGGGTTCTCACTCTGTTGCCCAGGCTGGAGTGCAGTGGCACAATCACAGTTCACTGCAGCCTCAACTCCTAGGCCCAAGAGATCCTCCCAACTTAGCTTCCCAAATAGCTGGGACCACAGGCATGAGCCACCATGTCCAGCTATCTTTTAAAATTATTTTTTGTAGAGATAGGGTCTCCTTATATTGCCCAGGTTGGTCTCAAACTCCTGGGCTCAAACAATCCTCCCATTGCAGCCTCCCAAAGTGCTGGGCTATTAGGCATGAGCTACCACACCCAGCCTATAACCATTTTCTAAATATGTTAGATATGTTTCTTTACTATATTTTTCTTTTTATGTTTTTGACATGTAGAAGTTGAATTTTTAAGTGGTTGTACATATTAGTCTTTTTCTTTTTAATGGTTTCTGCCTTCAATATTATTTTTAGGACAGCCCTACTCCAAGTATTAATAAATGTGAACATTATTTATAATTATTCTTACTTTCAAATTTGAACCTGGCTAAAATGTACATTCTTACAAGGTGTAAGGTAAAGATTGAAAAATTTTTGTTGTTTGAAACAACTCTGTTTATTCTAATAACATTTGTTAAATAATCTACACTTTGCCCACAAATTTAATATTCCAGTTTTATCACATGCTTCTGATATAATTGATTCTCTTTCTGAACTTTTATTTATTTTCATTAATCTGTCTTTTATGCTGACACTAGTACTACTTTTAGGGATTTTTATTAGGCTACATTAAAATTATATATTATTTTGAAAAAATCACCGTTACCTACTTTATATTTTTATTATAGATATAATAAAACATTGGCAGTTTTCTAATAGCACAAAATAGAGACTTTTTATTATTCTTATTTCATTAGTATTGACAGTTATAATGCTTTGAATAATAAGAAGCTCAGCAACAAAACTTGGGTTCATCTCCAGTGACTCTAGAGGGCTTTCAGGTACACATTTTATATAGTATTCCTATCCTTAACTTTATCATTTTCTCCCCATCTCCATTGCCTAATTTGATTATCTTTGAAAATCTTTTGTATTGTGTTGACAGCTGCTAACCACCTTACATCCTGTTTAGAAATAACATTTAGTGGGCCAGGCGCGGTGACTCACGCCTGTAATCCCAGCATTTTGGGAGGCCGAGGCGGGCGGATCACGAGGTCAGGAGATCGAGACCATCCTGGCTAACACAGTGAAACCCCGTCTCTACTAAAAATACAAAAAATTAGCCGGGCGTGGTGGCGGGCACCTGTAGTCCCAGCTACTTGGGAGGTTGAAGCAGGAGAATGGTGTGAACCCGGGAGGCAGAGCTTGCAGTGCGCTGAGATCGTGCCACTGCACTCCAGCCTGGGCGACAGAGCAAGACTCTGTCTCAAAAAAAAAAAAAAAAAAAAAGGAAGACATAACATTTAGTGGATGCTGGGCTTAATACCTAGGTGATGGGTTGATCTGTGCAGCAAGCCACCATGGCACGTTTATCTATGTGACAGACCCACACATCCTTCATGTGTCCTCCAGAATTTAAAATAAAAGACGAAGGAAAAATAAAATAAAATAGAACCCAAGGGGGGAAAAAAAAGAAATAACATGAAGAAATATGTAAAAGCTTTCAAGAGAGTCTCAAAGGAATTCATGACCATAAAGATTATGAGCAACTGTCCTAGGCTATTTAAGATGACTTAGTGGCCAAAACTGAATGCAGTTTTACACATTTTCTAACACTAAGCTACTTTAAAAATCCATGTTTCCCAAATGACTCTTGATATTTTTTTGAAGAAATATATGAAAAATTAAAATGTTAATGTGTAAGAAGGCTGATGCCAAAATAAAGCACCACTCACCAAGTCCAAAACAAAATTCTTATGTTTCAGGATAACTGCAATAAAAATGTCCAATTGAAAAAGGAGAGGGTATAAAGTAACAGAGAATGGTATCTGCTCTATACTACATTCCATAACCTGCTGGCCAGGCATTTATTCATTCATTTTTTATGCATTCTTAAAACACATTGAGCTCCTTATGTGACAGACACCACAATAGGCACTGGAATTATAACATGAACAAAACAGGCCAAAATCCTTGCCTTCTTGGAGCCTACATTTTTATGGGAAGATACAAGCAATAAAAAAGATAAATAAGTGAAATAAATAAATCTGATGTTGCTAAGTACAGTGGAGAATTAGGAAGTTGATAGGATCTGTGTGTGTAAGAACGTAAAAATTTGAGAGAGGATTATTGGGAAAGTCTTACTGTAAAGATGATACTTGAGTAAATAAAGACTTCCCATTCAAAAGTCATGATCTGGGGGCATGCCAAGCAGGGAGGTAGTATGGCTCAATTAAAGTGAGGCAGAGAAGAACAGTAGGCGACGAGGTTACACGGATAGTGAGGTGGGCCTTGTAGACCACTGTAAATCCTTTAACTCTTACAGACACATCAGAGGATGTAGGACAGAGGAGAGATTTGATCTGATCCATGTTTTACTTTAATTAATTTATTTATTTATTTATTTATTTTGAGACAGAGTCTCACTCTGTCTTCTAGGGTGAAGTGCGGTGGTGCAGTCACACTCACTGTAACATCAGACTCCTGGGCTCGAGCAATCCTCCCACCTCAGCCTTCGGAGTAGCTGGAACTACAGGTGCATGCAACCAAAATACACTGCTAATTTTTTTTATTTTTTGTAGAGATGAGGTCACACTATGTTGCCCTGGCTGGTCTTAAACTCCTGGCTCAAGAGATCCTTTCTCCTTGGCCTCCTAAAGTGGTGGGATTACAGGCATGAGCCACTGCACCTGGCCTGACCTGTTTTTGTTGTTGTTGTTGTTGTTATTATAGCAGTTGTGTTGAGAGTAAATAGAGAGGGACAAGGTCAGAGGCATATCCACCAGTAGGGAAGCTATTTCCATGACCCAAAGGTGAGATGATTGTGCTTGGTATAGAGTGATAGCAGGGGAAAAATCAGGTAGTGATAGGTGATCAGATTCTGAATATAATATTGAAGGTAGATCCAATAGGATTTGACAGTGGGTAAGGTGTAGGGTTTGAGAGAAAGAGAAGTACTGATGATAGTGATAAGGTTCTGGCCTGAGCTAGAAATGTTACCATTATCTGAGATGGGGAAATCTATGGGAGGTGCAAGTTTGGAGGCAAAAGATTTGGAACACCAAGTGGAGATGTCAACTATGTACTTAAATATGTGTATCTGGAATTCAAAGTGGAGATCTAAGATAGCAATATCAATTTGGGAGCTTTCAGTGTATAGATATTCTTAAAACTATGAGGCTAATGCAGTCACTGCGGACTCTCTGCCCCAATCATGAAGTTTCCATGGTCAGTCAACCTTGCTGCCCCTAATCTAAGAGGATCTCTCTCACCCTTTGCCCTCCATGAAACGGGCATTATGGAAGATGCTCCTAGGCATAGGAGGGAGGTGCTGCATGTCTTTATCAGCCCACTTTCTATGGCTGCAGGTTTGTGGACATAGAAATTTCATTGAGTATGAAATAGCAGACCCATCTTGTTTGAGAGAGAGTGATTTTCTGCAATTACAGCTCTTTCAATTGTTTAATGCTCTTTCTATCTCTTTCCATTCACTGAATTCTATGAGCTAGTTATCAAAGCCAGAAATGTTGCAGAGTCATGGCTTTGGAGGGTAGAACCCTTTCTGTGAATGTCTGTGTCACAGAAAAAGGCTCTTTGTTCTTCAGTCCTCCAGTCATCAGTTTAATGGTTTCTATCTTGGCCATTGCTTCCACCCTGGTTTCTGGCTCTAGACAAGTTAAAACACTAGGCTTGAGGGGAGGAGCATGGTTAATCTTATCCTGGAAAAAGACATTTGCAAGATATATTACAGGAAAAGGGCCAATTTCCTTAACTTATGTATAGAGTACTGCAAAGGATCAGAACAGAGACTACACAGCAAAAGAAACAAAAAAGAAAAGAAAAAAGATGGTCAGTGTCATGCGTAATAAATGCAATGGGAAGTCATGTCACCTATCAAACTAACAGAAGTTGTGGGGAGGGAGATCAAGGTATAGGAAGACTGTGAACAAGATACAGATAGTGTATAACTAGCATAACCTCTTTGGAGGGAAAGTGAAAAATGAAAATATTCATACCATACACTCTAGCATTTCCTCTTGTAGGTTATCTAAACACTTAAGTACAAAGATAGCTGTGCAAGAATATTATTTTTAGCATTCATCATAATAGAAAAAATAGCAAACAACTGAAATACATATAAATAAGGAAAGGCTAGGTAAAATATACTGTACTCATGTGATATATTATACAACAGTTAAAAGAAATGAACTATTTCCATATATATCAATATAGATCCCAAGATATTATTGACTGAAAAATGCAAGCTGCAGTAATACATGTATAAAATACTATTATATATTAAATGCATGTTTTCCTAACCGCACACAATAATTCCATCTGTTTTGTTCAGTGCAAAGTTTGTGTGTTAGAAATAATGTTTAAAAGTCTAAAATTATATCCACAAAACTCATAACAGTGGTTACAGGGAATGGGCAAGGAAACTAGAATTTGGATAGCAGTCAAATGATTTCAGTTTTATAGATATACTTCAATTTTTTAAAGAAAGAATAATGAGTTATGTGTGCTTATGAAATTTAAAATTATAATAAATAAAATTACTGAGATAATATGGTAGAAAAGAAGAACTGAACACAGCCATTTGAAATGAAAATCCAACAGCATGAACTGAGGTGGGTGAGGAACAAGGGCAGCCAAGGTCCCAGCCTGGGTGATGGGCGGTGCAGTTCCACAACACGGAGCTCAGTGGGAGGAGCCAGTTTGGCAAGGATGCTTTCAGGAATGATGGATTTAAAGTAATAGAGAAAAACTGAAGTAGAGTGAAGGTGAGAGAGGGAAATATTGGACATATAAATTGAGGACTTACCAGGAGGAGATAGGCCAAAACTATGAGAATGGATAAACCACCCAAAAGTGAATTAAAAGCAAGCAAACAAAAACACAGAAGCCTAGATATTTACAAATTCTGTACTTACTTTGCTTTGGCCTTTTCTATACATTTATAAGGTGAAAATGAACTCTTTTTATGTACCTGGCTTACAAAAAATAGCCACTTAATTACAGGTGTTCAACATGACAAGAGGATTGGAAGAATAGGGTGCAATATATTAATAGTGGTTATCTCGAGTGGAGGTAGTTTTGCTGTGGGAGGCTACGTAGTGTAGATGTCAAAGTCACAGACTTAGCTCCATCCTTTGGGGGTGGCATTAGACAAATCAAGGCACTGCATGTCCTTCTCACATAGTGCTCAGTAAACCATAGGTCGTTTGCTTTCACTGAATATATTGTATACTTCTATAAATTTCTTTTAATGTCAGGATGGCACCATTATTAAAAATAAAGAAATAGTATTCCAGATCAATTGACTGACTAAAATACTGTATCACCATAGAGGATTACTAAATACACCATACAGTAAAATAATGCATATGGTCCCCATTATGTGGCATGACTAAACTGGGGTTTGAAAACCACTTGCCCTGTCAACAACATTTTTTCCAGAGTGTTTTTTTAAACTTTCTGGAATCAAGTGGCCACTTAATCACTTTTGGCATTACAGCCTTGAATTACAAATGTGTATAAAAACTTGGATAGGGGCCTGGCACGGTGGCTCACACCTGTAATCCCAGCACTTTGGGAGGACGAGGCGGGCAGATCACCTGAGGTCATGAGTTCAAGACCAGCCTGGCCAACGTGGTGAAACCCCGTCTCTATTAAAAAATTAGCTGAGTGCGGTGGCAGGTGCCTGTAATCCGAGCTACTTGGGATGCTGAGGCAGGAGCATTGCTTGCACATGGGAGATGGAGGTTGCAATCAGCCAAGATTGCGTGACTGCACTCTAGCCCAGGTGAAAGGGTGAGACTCTGTCTCAAAAAAAAAAGAAAAGAAACAAAAACTTGGATAATGGACAAACGTGTGGGCAGCTGCTTGTTCTGAACTTCATTTAACAATCAACTTAAACCCATCCCTATATATTACTTTGGCACTTGATCTGTCCATCAAGGAGCCAAGTATTTGCTTCTAACTGGGTACACTTCTAGGGTGAACATTTGACAGGAAAGCAAATGTGGAGCTGGAAGTTGAGCCTACAGGAGAGGATGCAGCAGGCTGGTGTGACACTTTGCAGGGACATTAGGATGGGTGCTGTGTTGTGGGGACCAGCAGAGCAGTCATGAAGGAAATGACAAGGAAAGAAGGTCAACACTAGGGGGCTAACACTGATTATAAAGTTCTCTGGGGGTAATAGAGCAAAAATAGACAAAAATAAGTCGTTTTGACTGTCTGCTCTGCATCGCCCACCCATATCATGTGCTGTCTCATTAATCCATTTTGGTGTCATAATTCTTCTTGGAATTAAACACAATTAGAGCAACATGGTCCCGTTAAATCATAGGTGACTAAAAGCCTTCAGACTGTTGGATAAAATTTTGAAATATTGTGCCTTCCTCCACATGTGTGTATGTATATGTTCGGGGGACTTACAAAAATAATCTACTCTTCATTCTGTTTTACATTTTTTAAATAAAATGGAGAATCACTGAATCCCAAACTCAGAGTACCATGGCAACCCCTAACAATGCCCAATGTCTTTCACAGATGACTTCATCATGGGGACAAGGGGTGAGGTTAAATTATTCACTTTAGAAATATAATGTTTAATATTAATTCCACCAAAATGAAATGAGAACACAGTCAATACTTGTGTGAATTAAAATATGGGCTTTTATACTTTGATAAAATGAAAATGAAAGTTGTTTCTCTGTTTTAAAATATCAAAGACTCATGTGAGAGAGATTAAGAGGGCTGGTTTGTCTCTTTCTGTGTTAGCATCTGCATGTAATGGTTATTCTCATTTATTCCAGAGGGATTTAAGCTTTTCAGTTCTTATCACTTTATCTTCTTACCACCTAATACTGCTATTTTGTAAGAGAAAGGCAAAGCTCCTAGGAGCCTTCCTAGAAGAGAGAATTGTGCAGGGTTCCCTGGTCTCCCTCTTCAGCAGGTAGTGGTTAATTAGTTTGTGCACTTACAGATTGGTCTCCCGAGGAGAGAAATTAAATTTCTTCCTTTTAGCCTAGAAGAGCGTAGATATTTTGAGAATGTTTTCATCTTATTTAGACTTCAGGGTAATGCTTTGAGCTGCTTTTGAGAGAAATAGAATGAGAACAACCTAAGCTCAGAGAACGATAGGTCATTTGCTGAGTGTGCCAGTCATCTAATAACAGGAAGTACCTAAAGTGTGGTGCCTTATTTGACTGTGCCTGCTGACTTAACATTGGACTCTAGATATGGTTACATTTTTACATCCTTGCTCATTTGAGTGAAAAAGAGAGGCAGTGTGCTGTAGTTGAGAGAACACCCATTTCTAAGTTCCAAACACAATTCTACCATTTATTAAATGCACAACCTTAGAACAGGTACCTACATTCCAAGTCTCATTGTTCTCATCTGAAAAACAAGAATATTCCTACACACTTTAAGGATAATTAGAGATACTGTGTTTACAACACTGAGTATAGTATAGGCCACATAGTTAATTTTCAATAAGTGATAGAATGTCATTGTTATTATTATTGAAATTCACCTAATTTCTCCGTCTCTTAAGTTTTTCCCCAGTAATATAAAAATAGAGGATTTTTTTTTGTAGAAAAGCCTAATACCCTTAAATAATAAAGCATGCATTAAGATGACCACATTAGTGCCCACAGCAGTTGAATAATTTTAAAGGAAACGTAGATGGCACATTTATTACAAAGTTTTCTTAGGGAGCCCTCAATGTAGTGACTGGTAAAATAGGAATGACATAGAAAACAGAGTGTGAATTAAATGGCATAAGTAGAAATTTTTTGCTAATTATAGATTACACAAATGTCAAATTGGTTCTGGAAAGCACTTTAGAGTTTATCTAAATCCCTTATGTTAAGGATGAGAGAAGTGAGAATTAAAGAACTTGCGACTTATCCAAGGGCATGCAATTAGTGAGTGGCAGAGCAAAAGCCTAGATTTAGTGGCTATTCCATCTACTGTGGTTGCTTAATGTGTATCCATTGTCATGTTTTTTGGTTTTTGTTTTTTGTTTTTGTTTTTTTTTTTTTTTTTAGATAGAGCCTCTCTCTGTCGCCCAGGCTGGAGTGCAGTGGCGGAATCTCAGCTCACTGCAAACTCCGCCTTCCGGGTTCATGCCATTCTCCTGCCTCAGCCTCCCTAGTAGCTGGGACTACAGGCGCCAGCCACCATGCCCGGCTAATTTTTTGTGTTTTCAGTAGAGACGGGGTTTCACCGTGTTAAACAAGATAGTCTCGATCTCCTGACCTCATGATCTGCCCGCCTTGGCCTCCCAAAGTGCTGGGATTACAGGCATGAGCCACCATGCCCAGCCCATTGTCATGTTTGAATGGGCCATTTGGTATCCTTCTAGTTCTCTAATACTCCATTGGTATAGCTACCATTCAGGGGCAGAATGTGTAAAATCAGAATGAAATAGTGCTGCCAACTGACACTCAAGAGGGCTTGATTCTGTCTTAGAGAAATGAGGGAGCTTTGGGATTTCCATATCCTACCACATCACCTGTTTCCCCTGAACTAGCTCCAGTCTGCAAAGCCCTCCGTGTTGCCTGACACATGAATTAGAATGAGGTATTTTGAAGCAAACCCCTAGGGTTTTCTCACTTTCTTCAGAAGAAAAAGTTGATTCCAAATCTAGGCAGCCATTTTGTAGATGTAGATATAGATGTAGATTTCTGCTACTGGGGAAAACATGTAAAAATGACTCTCCAATAATGCCATCTTTGAATATAAGGAACAGCTTTGCTTCCCCCAAAATAGTTAGCAACTTAAATCGCATCAGATTTGTAGATATTATATGAGGGAGAAAGCAGTGGTGAGAAGGTAAGATATGACATAAATTAAACCATAGATAGACCTGCTTACCCAGAACTGCCTTCACAAACTAAAGAAATGGAAAGTCATTTCACCATGTACTTACCAATCTGAGGACAGCTTTGGTATCTAGTTAATCTTTAGGTTTATTCCTGGAATCTAGTACGGAATTCACATGTGTTTGTTGAACTAAAGAATTCTAGCAGATATTATGTGGATCTAGACTGAAAGGTGGAACTACATTTATTCTGTTATTGAAAAATTGAAGCAAGACTGAAATATATAGCCAGAGAAATCAGAAATTGTAAGCCATGTTTATGTTCAAACCCTCAATTCTGATTGTGTGTGTGTGTGAGAGAGTGACATGTACACATACATACACTATATCTAGTATACATGCATTTATATATACATATTGCATAATATAGAATATATTTGTTTTAATATCAAAAGGAAGTTTTTAAGATAAACTATTAATTTGTCAAAATCAGGGAGACAGCCAATGTGAGTGACAAAAGGATTCAATATGAATTGCCTCAGATATCAGGTGCTGTGCAGAATTTAAGTTTTGTCGCTGTAGAAAAGTACTTATAAAATGGAAAGAGAAAATTATCCCAGAAAAACCTCAAAAGCAGTATTTGGAAAATATTTCTATTATAGGCTCAAATATAGGCTCAAGTATAATTAACTTAGTTGACCCTGAAGAACCGGAGTAAACTGGTTTTCTCTAACACATTCTCACGTGGCGTGTCCATCTCTAACACATTCTCATGTGATGTGTCCAGTATCAGTGGCTTGTGGAATAAGGCTTCCTTTATTAAATCTAGGTGTTTGTTACATATATAATAGGGCTCTTTGCAACAATACCTGAAATGGCTTCAATTATTCCATTTTTATTGGTTTCAGATTATAATTGCTTAAGGCTTTTCACAATAAACTCGATCGTAAGAGTGGGTTAATTAAAATGTGGTAGAAAAGGACATTCTATTATCTTTCTTTACTATTTTCATTCTATTCTCTTTCTTTATCTTTTAGACTGTCCAGTACCACAGAATATCACAGAATCATAGACTTCCAGAGATTTGTAAAATATTAGATATAGAGAGATCATCTGGTCCAAACCTTTTTCTGTATAAATGAGATGAATTAGGCTCAGAGAGTGGTTGCTCAAGGTGAGCCAACAGCAAGTAGAATTAGGTCTCCTGGGTTCACAATCCTCACTGCTACAGTAAGCTGCTTTTCTCTGCATTTGCTTTCAGTAGTGGCTGTTAGCTACAAAATACGCAGTTCTCTCTGATTCAGAGATTACTAAAACCAATAATATTTTATGATGAAAAGGATTTCATTCTTTTTTATTATGTTTTGTGTGACTTTTTAGAGTCTGGAGTATAAGTCATAATAGAAGATAAAAAAGAAGTGGAAAATAATGAGATTCCACTTTATGAAGATAACAAATCCAAAAACATAGATAACAAATCCAAAAACAGATCACATTTCTGGTTTTGGTTTCCAGTGATATTATCAAAATCTCCATGTGCACATCACATTCAAGAGCCTAGTTACAAGCTCTGTTATAGATTAGGCTTCAGATTGCATAGGTGGCAAAGGACAGACAGTTTTTCATGATGCATGTGTTGGAGAAAGCTGTGATTTTTGTGGGCGTTTTCTTCCCATATGTCATAAGAATATCTTCAAATTAAACATTTTTGTTGTGTGTCACCAAACTATGTGTCAGTTTGTCAGTTTGTGGTAGAACATTTCATTTTACATCTTATACCTTCCTAACTTTAGATAAACATAAACTAAATTCAGATTCTTTATCACAACATATACTGTTTTACTGCCAGAATTGTTATTGCTTCAGAATTGAACAATTCTGATGCATTGCCAACTGGACACATGTTTTTTTTCCATTTCTGACAGATTATTTGTGTGGGAAAGTTAGTTTTATCCAGAGTATTTAACACTTGGTTGTTGACGATTAATCATAGATATGGAAATCTATAATGGAAAAAGACAGCAATAAGCAAAAATGAAACATTTATCATATTTTTATCTGTACTAGAGTAGGAATGTGTCTCCCGTATGCTAAATGCCTTTGCAGACACTTGATATTATACATTACCAATCTACTTTTGTGTTACTTGATGCATTATTTATTTCTTTTCTGATGGAGACAGCCCATTCAGGATAATATAAATCCCTAAAAAGAGGAAAATTTTGCAAGTATGATCAAGAGTGAAATGACCTTCAAAATCAAATTAGGACAAAATCCAGCAAAAATCTGAGCCGTAACCACAATGGTAGCATCCCACAATCAGTCATCACCCCTCTTTTACAACTCCAAGGCCACCATGTTATTGAGAACGGCCAGTAGTCTAGCAAAGTATTAAGGTTTTGTGGATTTTGTAGCCTTTTCCAATCTATAGTCACTATTTATTTGCTAACAATTTTATTGAGATATAATTCTCATACCACAGAATTCACCCATTTAAAAGATAAGATTCAGTGGTTTATAACCTGTTCACCGAGTTGTACAACCATCAACACAATCAAATTTAGACAATTATCATCACCTCAAAAAAGAAACCTGTACCCTTTGGTACCGCTCCACCATCCTCCCCACCCACTCCTGTTCCCCCCAGCCTTAAACAACAACTAATCTGTTTTCTATGTGTAGATTTACCTTTGCTGGATATCTCATATAATGGAACTATGTAATGTGTGATCTTTTGTGACTGGTTTCTGTTACTTAGCATAATGTTTTCAAGGTTCATCCAGGTTGTGACATGTGTCAGGACTGCATGCCTTTTCATGGCTGAAAACATGGCTGAATAACATTCCATGGTATGGATATATCATATTTTGTTGGTTCATTCATTAGTTGAAGGACAGTTTGGATTCTCCCCCGCCCCCCAACTTTGGTTATGATGAATAATGTTTTATCAACACTCATTTACAAATTTTTGTATAAACGCATGTTTTTATTTTTAATTGTTTTTAGTATAAACATAGGAGTAGAAGTGCTGGATTGTTTAGCCACTTTTAGATTTTAAAGTGAAATTTATTATTAAATTGAACTAGATTATTATACCGTCAGAGTGTTGTCTTGACTTCTGTAAAGAACAACTAGATCCTCCGTTTGTTTGTTTGTTTGTTTGTTTGAGAAGGAGTCTAGCTCTGTTGCCAGACTGGAGTGCAGTGGTGCAATCTCTGCTCACTGCAACCTCTGAGTCCCTGGTTCAAGCGATTCTCCTGCCTCAGCCTCTCGAGTAGCTGGAATTACAGGCACGTGCCACCACGCCCAGCTAATTTTTGTATTTTTAATAGAGATGGGGTGGCCAGGATGGTCTCCATCTCCTGACCTCATGATCTGCCTGCTTTGGCCTCCCAAAGTGCTGGGATTACAGGCATGAGCCACCACGCCCAGCCTAGATCCTCCTTTAGAGTTGGTTCTCAGGTCATAGGCAAGATTACATTCCCTCTTTGCCTCAATTCTAGATTAAGTGATTTCAATTCTCCAGATATTTCAGATTTTTAAAATCTATTGCTCTGGTCATTTATTTTAGCCCAAAACGCTCTAATATCTCCATTACATGTTTTTACACTTCTGATGAACAAACCTTCCACTGTTAGACTTATGGTGTCCATTTATTGACCACTTTACAACCATATGAGATAAATATTATTATCCCATTATTACAGGTGAGGGAACTTCAGTTCAAAGAAATTCAGTGACTCATTCAAGGCCTGCAGCTAATCGAGTGGCAGAAATGTATTAGAAAAAGCCCATATGGCTCAGACACCTGAGTTCTTCTCACACACCAGGTGATTCCATATTGAGAAGTGCTTGACTAGTGACACCAAATAAAATAATTTATCCACAACTGTATGTGATTGTGTCAACCCTTCACTTCAACATAGACACACTCAGCAGTGAACATGAAAAGCTTATGCATAAAAACCTCAAATATCTGTAAATAATTGAATACTTAATACTCTACATTAAATAGCATAAAATGGTGACCTTCAAAGTTCTTTTTATCACAGTCCAAAATAAGAAATATGTTTTATATCAAAACAACAGAACACTACTTACAAACAGAAGTTTCAATCATGGCTGTATATTCCATGCAGATTTCAGGACCCATAGGTGCTCTAACCACAATTTTTTAAAACATTGATATAGAGTATCTGCAATTGAGACAGAATATTTTTTAAATTCCAGACTGACCTGAAAGCTACTATGAAAATAGCTAGGAACTGTGAGAATCCTTCCCATTACCATAAGAGCATGAAGCTGCTGAGTGAAAAATAGCAGGCAAATTGGAGAAACAGCAGTGTACAGAGAGCTGCAGCTATCATTTTTCAGAGCTAAATGAGCTCCCAGCAAAGAGAGCATATAGAGAGACAGAGAGCTGCAGTGCCACACAATTGAACAGTTCCGGAGTACTCAATACCTAGTTGTGGGCAATTTGTAGACCATATTTAGGGGAACTAAAACCACTTTAGAAATATGGCTGAGATTCTATTTTCAAATGACTGCAGAGTTAGAGACAAATACTTGCAGGATTCTTTGCAATTTATGGTACAGGCCTTGATACAAGAAAATGGTTTTCTAATATATCAGTGTAGGACTCCAGCAAGCAGAGAGTAGATCAATATTTAGGAATAAAAGCATAATACTAATACTAGTCTTGATAAGCTACTAGCCACATTTTTTAAAGATTTCCATAATTTCTAGGAACAGTGGATTAAATATTTTGGCCTAATGATATACATGTTACCTGTGGTTTGTTATGACTCAAATAGTATTTGTATCTTTATTAGAATTCTCAGCCCATAGTAATCATTTGCTCATCCTGGTCTTTCTATTGCCTTCACAAAATCTTGAGTTTAAAAAAAAAATCAATCTATTTTTAGAGATGGCTATTTAGTAGGCTGGTCCCAAATGACAGTTTCTGAAAACTAGGGCACATGAGATCAGCAGCACCCCTTGTATAATATTTCTTTAGTGAGAATTATTCTTGTTTGGCCCTGCACTACATCCACATGAGTGAAGCCACCACCTTACTCAATAATGGCAGGATCAAATAAAATGGCACCATTGCCAGATCTCCTGCTTGGAGAACTTTCTTAGCTTTTCTCCCGACAGGAAACAGGGATTGCACACAAGTGTAGTTTCCAGCATATAGGTCATCAGGATTTTAATAAAGAGGACTTTACAAACATGTTTCCTATTAAGATAACTAATTCTAGTTCTTTGTCAGTATCAGGCAGATGTCATGTTTCATGTGACTTCTCAGCTTTTCCACCTCTACTCACAACTTTATATATCTCAAAATTAGAGCCACAGAATGATGCAGTGGAAGGACCCAGGCGCAAGAGTCAGAAGATACAGATAAATGCCAACTCCATCTTCTTTACTGTGTCTTAGATTGTCTCTTATTGAAACATAATATTAGGAAATTCAGCAATCTTTTTGAAAGCCTCAGTTTCCTCCTGTGTAAAACAGGGAAAACATTAGTATCCTGGTATCCATCATGGGATTGTTGTGAGAGCTGAATGAAATAAAGGAGATGGAAGTTCTGTGTAAGCTGAACATTACTATAGAATGTAAAGATGAGGGGAACCTCATTAGGCAGCCTCTTCCTTTGCACTTGTGATCCTTACATGCTGGTTATCTAAATATTCCTACCCAGCATAATAACTAATTGTTAGAACTGCTTCCTTTGCCTGTTTGTTCACATCCATATTTGGCAGCCAGTTGCCTCTATATGTGATTCTTACCTTTTTGGCTTTCTGGCTCTCAAATCACATCTTCTTTCCCTTGAAGTTCAAATTGTCCTCATTGGGAGATTCTACTATTGTGAAACGCAAGAGACTGTCATCACATAGATGCAGGCAGCCGAGAAACACATAGCTAAGGAGTGAGATGTAAACATTTCTTCAAACTGAAGTCTTTAAAAGAAAAAGTTCTTTTTTTTTTTCAAATCACATAGAACAAAAACGACTGCAATTTTGAATAATTTAAAATTTCTGTGGCTTAATTGAGTTATCTCAATTAAAACAACTCAATGAGAAATGTTCTATAGAAAAATTGCCAGAAAAGAAATAATTAAAATAATTACTATGTCTAAGAAGAAATTTCCTGAACTGAATGTACTTTTTATACTAAAAATCTTAAATTATTATAATCTGCAGTAATCATTTTCTTCACATTGCACATACACAATAAGTATTCTGTTCCTAAATTGATCGTGGCCTCTTTGGGTAAAGGAAAGGTAGCTCCCAAAGACAAGGAAACTTTAATATACTGATGCCAAGTGTGCCATGATCATTGCTCAGCTGCCCCCATGTGATTATATGTGATTATAAAGCTCATCAAAGATGACAAGAATTTGCTCCACGGGAAGTAGGAACTTTCAGAGGTTTCAGGAGTTTGATTACATATCAAAAACAAGGGACATTATTGGTTACTGAGTATGCAGTTGTGTATTTTGATACTGTCACCTCTGTAAGGAAATTTACATAGAATCGCATAATCACTTTGTTTTGTAGATTACTATAATTTTCATTCACTTGTGTTCTGGGGAAAGACTGTGTACATTTGTAACCTGCAATACCGTATCTAGTACCACACTGGGTGTAGCAACAATGCTTCAGGGCAGAGAAAGAAAGGCCCAAACTGGAAATCTAAAAGGAGTGTCCCTTAGATGTCATAGACTTTAAGGAGGTAACTAGTCAAGGCCAAGGGTAAGTGGGTTGGGAAGCATCAGTGATCATAAGGAGAAGCTTAAGAGAATACCAAAAAGGAGAGGCAGGAAGCCTACACAGGCAGGAAATGGGGACAGGCATGTTTGGTGCCCAGTCTGTGATGTTCACAAAGATAGATGGGAAGAGGAGAAGGGAAGCAAATAGAATATAAATCTGGGAAGATCATAGGCAAGGAAGAGTGAGCCTTTCAGGGCTACACCCTTTAAACAGGTTGTAACATCTGATTTGAGGGCAAATATATTCTCTGTCCTGCTTTTTATAGTCATTTAAGAACTCACAAGAGGTTGTGATGTAATGAGAGAATGCACATTACAGTGCGTACAATGGAAAGAGAGCACTAGTTCTTCTAGACGTCTTGTATTCAAGTCAAGTTTTCCTTCTTTTTGGCAAAGCGCCTACTTCCCTATCCCCATACCCCAATGCTTTGGCACTGGATGGCAGTGTGGGACATACTGTCCCTAAAGCCTCTCAATAGAGCAAAGAAAGAAACATCAACATATGCTTTTTTCCACATCACTGGGGAAAAATAATTGCTTCATTTATTGAGCATTCTTTTGGATAATTTTGCTGTGTAACAAACTATCCCAAACGTAGTGGCTTCAAAAAACAAAACTCTTCTTTTTTTCTTCTGAGTATGTGGATTATGTAGGCACAGCTGGGTGGTTTTCCTCTTCTGCATGGTGTTGGCTAAGTCTGTAGTTCTCTTGAGGGTTTGGCTGGCTTGGAGTGCCCATGGTGGCTGACCCACGTGGTTGGTGGTTGGTACCGATTGTCACCTGAGGGCTCAGATGGCATGTCAACCCGAGTGCCTTGTGTCTCCTCAGGGTGCCTGTTGTATGTCCTGTGGGTTTCACATGGCTTGATGGCTGAGTTCAAAAAAGAAGTGTTCCCAGCATGAGAATGAAAGCTGAAGATATGTTAAGGCCTAGCCTTGGAAGTTACACAGTGATATTCCTGTGATATTCTTTTGGTCAAGGCAAGTCTCAGGAGAGAGTTGGAAAGAATTTGCAGCCATCTTTATTTTACTGCATCTTTATTTTATTGTTCCAGGCACTCTGGTAGGTACTTTATATCTTTATCTTCTGTAAACCTCAGAACAAGGTTAACAGAGCAAGTTAAACATTATATGCTCAGTTTGTCAATTAAGAAACTTGATGCTCAGAGATATAGTTTATAGAGTTAATAAGTGAATTAGATGGGATTTGAGTATAACTCTATCTCCATTGCCCAAATAAGCCATAGAGAAAGATTATAGGGATGGTAACAGGCTGTGTGCATGTATTAGGTCAATTGGATGGCTCTATTGGCAAAGACTGTTGGTTATATCCTCCCTGCCCCATTCCTGTCACCTTAAAATCAAGATATTTTTTAAAGCGTATAAGGCTAAGTTGATTAAATTGTTTCAAAATTTCATTGGAACAATTTTCTGTACTAGCTTGCTTTGCTCCTCCTAGTTCTTCCAAAGAAATGGGTGTGTTGAGTTCTTGCCACTCATGGAATTAGAAAGGGAGATTAGGGCAAATCATATGCCGCTAAGTTTTTCAATTATGTCCAGTTCTGGCCTGAGCAAATATACTTAATTGAAAGAAACCTATGGGGGAATGTGCTTAGCTGAATTGAAAGTAACTATTATCACAACTAAATTTAATCCAAATGAATTGAACTATAAAATATGCATAGACATCTAACACTTTAAGTCTCTGAAAAAATTATATCATTAAACTTATTCATTATCATTTTCTTTGAGTACTCAGTTTCAGATTCTGTTATTTAAGGCTACAGAAACTATGTGAAGAAAGCATTCAATCAAAAGTAGTTTTGTCTATATAAACAGCTGGTTGAATGGGTTTCTTTTCTGCTTCCATTTACTTTTCTACCAAATAGATCAATTGTGTGACTATGGCTTATGAAAGAGAGATATAGAAAAGTTAGAATTGTTTGACGTTTTGAAACTCATTTGTAAGTAAAGATTAAAAAGCTGTTGTGATTTAGTTTAGCCAGAGAAGAAAAGATTGGGGCAAACTTAAAGTGTTCTCATGAATAGGAACTTCTATGCTCTATTGAAAGTAAGACAAATAAAAATGTGTTCAAAGAACAGTTATGGGATGGGTAGACTTCTTTACAGGTAAATTTTGCCAAGAACTTTGACTTTGAAATAAGGATTTTGAAATAAGAACTTTAGACTTCAAAATAAGGATGTAGAATCTTTTACCGTAAGCTCCTTTAAAAGCAATGAAGAGTCTCAGTTTGTAGCATTTAGGGGGACGGATTCTACATGAAGGCATGGAGGTGGAGCAGTTGGCCTACAAAAGATCCTGCAGGTTATGATTTTATGAAATGCTTGGTATGTATCCCTGGATTTATGATTGAGAACATGAAACCCCAAAAAAGTTAATTAGCTTAGTCAAGGTTAAGCTGAATTAACAAGAAGAAAACAGATTATTTGAAGATGATTATTTTTCTTCTTTCAGTTCATAGGTTCTACCTGAAAAGGGAAAATGAAAGAAATAAAAAGAAGAGAAAGCCAGGATGATCTAACTGCATTGCAATGAGTCCTACATTCTTAGAAATGTAATGCTATCGTTTTCCTTTTTTGCTCAGTCATAGTTCAGTACAAATATTCAGCAAGCGTTGGCTTTTGGAGTCTCTCCTGGGTCTTTTGTTTTATGCAAGAAGAATATGTAGAATTATGGAGTAGGTTTTCTGGGTCACGACTTCTGCCTACCTGCAATTAGTCAGAACTCAATCATATGACGCCACCTTATTACTTACGATCTTACTGCTAGTGCATATAACTTAGCTGTATGCCCAGGAGTACTGTGTGAGTGTGTGCGTGTGTGTGTGCACAGGTGCACACACGTGCATACACGCAGGCAGGAGAAAGGAACAAAGAAAAGAATTTATCTATATGTACTTTCTTTTAAAGCACTTGTTAAGCATGAGTTTTGGCACTACCAGGGTAAATACTACAATGCATTAGTGCTTCAAGCATAAGACCTTTTTTAATCTTTTAAAAATATACTTTGAGAACAAATGTTGAATTTTTAGTGTGGGCTCCTACTACAATTTCACTTGAAAATCAGACTTGCTGCAAATTCCACTAGAAACTCTTAGGGCTGAGCAATGAAAGAGTGCAATTTTTAGCAAGTGCCAACAATTTCCATGTGAATGGGGCCTTTATTAAACATACTTTAACACTCCTGTGGATTAATAATGTGTTAGCAGAAAAAGACATGTTGAGCTTAGTGCAATTATCCTTCCATCCCAATTATACTGTGACATTAAATCTTGTGACATTTAATAAGAAAGGCCATTTCACCCATGGCTACCTCTAGTGCAGACGATTTATGCAACAGTGTTCCCGTAGACAAAATTATGAAAAGAAGGCATTCCTACATGCTGATATGTCTAACGGCCCATGTAAATTAAATAAGGTGTAGCAAAATATATAAATTGTTAATATTATGATTACTTGGTACCTGAGACAAAAGAAAGACGAATTAACAACCTTGGCTTTTAATCCATTACAAAATTAAACAAACATAAGTGGACAACTAATAAGATAGAGAGTTGCTTAGTAAATAGGGAATCAGGAAGCTATTTCTGTCCCACGGGAGGCATTTTAGTTTTTGTCATAATACATATTCATCTGACGTATTTGGCGTATAGCATAACTTAGTATTTGTGGAGATTTAAATTAATTTGATGTTAGAGTTATAAGATGCCTATCTTTGAGAGTTTAAAACGCTTGTATTTAAGGTTTAATTCTTAATCTTTTAAATTTAGGTGTTTTGATACCTCACATGTCTAAGTGTGAGTGTGTGTGGTGTGTACTTTATCTGTCAATGGTTATATAACATATTTCTTTCAAACAGTTGGTATGTTTAACACTTATTCTGAATTTACTAGGATTTTCCTGTTAAGCTATTTGTTTAGCATAGGAAGTTCTGATCCAATATTTGTTAAGGTACATATGGACTTTTGTTTCTGACCTTCACACTGTTGACATGATGGAAAAACCATCAAATGTGATGGAAAACAAATCAGCAAATCATACATTTGGAGGGTTACATTAAATCTTGAGTGACCAAGAGGAATTTTCCAATTGTTTTTGGTTTTAAATACAGAAACATAAAGTGTTTAAGAGAAGTTGCCAGGTTTCTTACCAAAAAGCCATATTTTTTGGTAAGCTGAGAGGTTTGTATTATGCTACTATGGCCTCTAGACTGATTTGGTCTCATCTGCCTTGTAAAAGTCTCTCATTGACTCAGTGATGGGATCAGCTCCTAAGGCCCCTGGAATATTTTATCATTAGAGAAACAAATATTACACTTATTGATGTATCTGTTGCTCATTTCCATTATAAATGTTGCTTCTTGAAAATGGGACCCATGACTTACTTATATTTATAACCTCTTGGCTACTTTCTAATTAATTGTTGTTGATGTAGTCAGAACCACACCAACTGTCATGATCATATAAATAATTTTAGATATTTAAGCTGTTTAGGAACACAGACCAATAATAACGTATTTGTTCTATGTTTTCATGACTTAGATTTAAAGAGAAACCTTAAAGAAGGAAAGCTTTAGCTCCCAACTGGGGACAGTCTTTACCCATGTGACCACTTTACTGTTCCAACCAGTAATGTGGAGAAATTGTGTCAGTTTGGATCCTTTTGGCCATAAATAATAGAAAAGCCAACTTAAGCTGATTTAGGCAATAAGGAAACAGAGCATAAGGTAGGGTGGGACGAGTGGCTCAATAGTGTCCTCAAGGTTCTACAATTTTTCTCTCTTCCGCTCTACCACCCAGAGCATCATCCTCATCCTGAGGCTAGTTCCCCTGTGATTTAGGACAACTTCCAGTGGTTGTTACATACTACATTGTTCAAGTCAGTAGGAGGTAGAGAGCTTAGCTTCAGCTGATCTCTCCTAAGAGCTAGGAAGAACTTTCTTACAGGTCACCAGCAACTATCTCCTGTATCTCATTGTCCATTATTGTGCTACACACTGTTCTTGAGAGGGTCACTGGCAAAGAGGATGGAATGCCCAAAGGCGTATCACAGAAAGATCAATTCCCCTAATTGAATTTTTGCTTCCACATGGAAATGAATGGGAATGATTGTTGCATTACCAACCACCATGTTTACCACAATGGTGTAAGTGCAAGCAGGAAGAGAATAAAGAAATAGATGTGGAGCGAAGGTATTGTGGGGCTAATGGACCACCCTTTCACTAGAGAGAAATAGAAAAAATACAAACCAAGCAAAAGAGTGAAGTTAGAAGAAAAGAACAAATCAAAGACAGTTAAGAATATTTCATTTAAAAAATATATAGTGCTAAACTTTTGCAAAAAAAATATTTTTTTGAGAGGAAAATGAGGATATAGTTAAAGAGGACAAAAGAAAAATGAGACAGTGCTATCTTTTAGCGAATGTTAACTCATGATTTAGGATGAAGGTTAGTCGTAAGAAAGACTAACCTTTTGCTCCTGCTTGAATGGATGTATTTTGTCTGTATGTAAAGATTTAACTACGTAAATGTTGACATATTAATTAGATGGTTTGTTTCAAGCAGGCAGAGCACAGCTAATGAGAAATTTAACCGTGCTTAAAATCAATGGCCTTCTTTTTGTAATAGGTTGTAATAAGCCTTCTCTTATGCACATTGGAAAACATGTTCCTTGTAGAAAACCTATCTCCATACTCCTTTCTGGATTTTTGTTTATAGGGGAGATTTTACCATTTCACAATCAAGATTGTGTTCAGTTAATAGTTTCAAAATGTACACTATTGCTATCCAAACATGTCAGTACAGAACCCTAGAAGACTGACAGATTCTCCTGCTTAAAGGTGGAACTATCACAAAAGCAGGCCGTGATTAAATATTGATAACCAAAATATTTATTCTAATGGCATTTCAAGCAGGAAATAAGAACCACACCTGGTAGTGGTAGTTATTCCAAAATGTCTGCCTCCTTAAGTTTAATCCTGGACCAACCCAGATCTGAAATCTAGGATGAGGAACAGGTATCTGTGTTTGGAACAAGTGTGCATGTCTAGTAGTGGGACCAAAAAGAAAACCATATAGAATCTAACAACCAAACCTGTGTCTTAAGGCGAGTAAACTATAAGGTATTGGGGGTCATAGGACCAACCTTAGAGGAGAAGTTGTTTGGGAAATAATTCAGGAAATTCTCTTCCTGGTTTATTTGTACAAAAAAAAAAAAAAAAAGAGAGAGAGAGAGAAAAGCCAAACAACAAGAACACCTGGACACAAAGAGGGGAACAGCAGACCCAAGAGCCTACTTGAGGGTGAAGGGTGGCTGGAGGGAGAGGATGAAAAACTACCTATTATTACTTTGGTGACAAATAATCTCTACACCAAACCCCCATGACACACAGTTTACCTACATAATAAACCTGCACCTGTACCCCTGAACCTAAAATAAAAGTTAAAAAAAAGAAAATCCTACTATCGAGAACCAGTTATCTGATTAACTTCTATTAATTTTTAATTTTTTAAATTATTAATTTTAATTGAGAAGTTGCTTCACCAATCATATTGCCTATGTAGAATAATTCTAGGCATATGTACACTTTCCCAAAATATGTTCATTTTTAAATAACTGAGCTTTTTACAATATAATATTTTATACTTGTTAAAATATAGCAAACTGCCCTTTCTGGAGGTTACCTGGAGCCCTTTGTCGTTTTCTTTCATTTTCTCAAAATTCTCCCTCTGGCCAAATCTAGACTGTATGTTGGAGTTTCAATTATGAAAGTGTTGAAAAGGCACAAAAGTCCTTTTTGCATTAAACGCAAAAACCAGCTATCACCTGGCAAGATGGCTGATTTCTATAGAAATATAAGTATAAAGATTATTTATGGTGTAAATAGACATTGCCAGCGAGTTGTAGTTAAGAAATGATGTCCTTGCATTGCCCAGTAAAAGGGGTATATCTGTGAGTATTTCTGTGTACCAAGCAATTTCTAAGGAAGAGCAGCGCCTTGGGGTCACATAGTTACATCTCAGCCAATATCCACCCTTAGTTCTCTCCTATTCCGTTGATACGATGGTAAAATACGATGCACCTGGACCACATTACTTTTGGCCTTAAGGATGACTTTGCCTTATGAAAAAAAAAATTCCTTGTCAAGTTTAAGCAGAAATATTTCAGACATCCAGACTCAAAAATCATTTACAATGTGAGAAATAAAATCCATCATATTTATTCTCCTATGGAAAATAATATCTAACAGATTGTTTAATTTGAAAAAGAGAACAAGTGGCCTGTTGATGAATTGCTTTAGTTCCTAACGTTACTGGCAGATAGCTGATGAAAATGTCTTCATATATAATCATTAACAGTAGGACTTTTTCAGAGGGTTGGTGATAGCCTGTGGATAAACAAAAGAATTAATGTACTTCAATCTAAAGCAGCATGCAAATCCATTTTTCACTGTTAAAGGGCAGTTAAGAAAATTACCAGTTTCTTTGAATGATCTAGTTTGTAGCTTTTAACACTAGATGGTTAATTCATGAATAGTGGACCTAAAAAATTCAATATTTCTCTCTTGTGATAGTATGTTTGCAGTAAATGAGACATTAACCTTTTTAAATCTTTTGCCTAAAACCAGGAGTCAAATGGTTTTAGCAGATATTATTAGGCCTTTATTATTATTATTATTATTATTATTATTTTGTAGCATGCTTCCTACTACAACTTGTTCACTGTACTTTTACATTGTGTATCAGCATAGAATTCCATAACACAACTACCCAGTTCTCTGGTAATCCTGTATGTTGTAATTCCCTTTAAAACATTGAGTAAACTGAGCTGTATACTTGATTTGCATAGGATAGGTGATCGAGGTTTCTTTGTGTCTTGAAATCTGATATTTAAAATTCCAACATTTTTTTATTTGCTTTTTAAAAATATGAAATTTTTTGCTATTTTCCAAATATTCTATAATTACTTATGTGTGAGCTTTACAATGGAATTTTAAAAAATTGTAAAGAATATCCTTTTTGCTTTGAAGAATAACATGTTAGTACTGATAATGATGTCAGAATCTAACCATGGATCATGGGAGAAATTGTGAAGATTTACTAGCTTGAGCAATTCTAAACCTTTCTGCACTTTCTACAACAGCTTCTATTTTGGTTCATCTTATTGAGAAAGCAAGATTGAAATAATTGTTTGTCCTGATGAAGAGTTTGTCAAAATTGATTGCTATTGCTAAGTTGTGTTATTGGAAGTCAATATTGTGTGTCAAAAATAAATGTAGTGTTTTGTTCAATGTATCCTATACATTTGAGCATCTGGCATTTCCCCAAAAGAGGAGCAATGGGGACAGGTAAAGAGAGAGGGAAAAGAATCAGAGCCTTGTGTTCCTGAGAGAGAGGAAAAAGGGAGCTAGGGCTAGCACACTTTACAAAGTCTTATAAATGTTCACATGCTCAGCATTGCAGTTCAATCTCTAAGATTTTTATCCTACGTAAATAATTGAAAAAAAGTTTTAATGTTAACGAAGTTTATCACAGGATTATTTTATAATATAAGAAATGTATATACTACAGAAATGCCTAGTAATAGATAAATGATCAAGTAAAATATGGTACATTCATATAGTATAATATATTGGAGGCTAGGACATGAAATTGTAGTTGAACATTTTATGGCATTGAAAGCTATTCATGGTATGTATTGTTAAGTCAACAATAAGGATAAAAAATATAATTATATTCTTAAAATATTTTATATAATATACTAGAAAGAGGAAACAAAACATATGAAAACCCAATACCAGATATCAACTACTCATTGTCTCCTGTTTATAACGTGAGTTTTGTTTTTCTTTAGTCTTGTTTATATTTCCAATTTTTAAATTAATGGATGCATGTTACTTCCATAAGAAAAAAATGCTTAAAAAATATACTTAAGCACTTTCCCTCTGAGGATGTTGGGAAGAAAGCCCAGATTTCTGTGCTTTATCTCTTAGAAGCCAGAGTAAAAATAGGTTAAGATACCACAAAACTTCTCTATACTCTATATTTTATTTTCTGAAATATTTATTGTGTATAATAGAACTTCCAAAATATGTGGTTTGCCCCAAGAATATAAAGATATTTAAATATCAAGAATGTTTTAAATGATTTAAAAAATCAAGCATCCACTTCCAATACATTTTTCAGTCAACTAAGACTGAAGGTTTTTTTCCCTTGACATTATAATCTACCAGAAATCAAGAAACAAGAAAATATTAATGTCATGTTTATTAAAGGCTATGATGAGACCAAGCTTCCATGAACACTACTCTCGTTTAATATTTTTCTAGATGTTCTAGCAAATGTAATAAAACAATAACACTAAATAAATGTATACATATTGGGAAAAAAAGAGAAAAATTAACAAAATTACTATTATTTGTGCATAATGTGTATGACACCTAAGGAAAACGTAAGTAAATGAGCAAATAAATGCCTTATTTTAAAAATTTAGTAAATTGACTATGCTTGTTTATACAAAAATTCAATGTCCCACACTATAGTATATGTCATTCATAATCAATAGCAAAGAAAATGAAAAAAAAAACCCATTCAATTTAAAATAACTTGACATATGAAAAACCTAGGAAGATACTTAAAAGAGACAAAGTCTTTGTAAAAAAAAAAACTACAAAATCATGAGGACAGACATTAGAAAACAAAACTGAATGGAAAGTCTAAATGTTTAAGAGTTTTCAATTGTCTCTGAATCCATTAGTAAGGAAATCTCTGTGAACATCTTAGTAGAATTTTGAGGAAATGCAAAGTTCTTAGAAAAAATGTTTCTTAAATTCATCCAACCAAGATCAATATTCAAGAGCAGCTAAAAACAATCATTTTGAATATAAGATAAATGCAAGTAGGCTCATTAAAATGTATTCTAGAGTTCTTATATTTGAAACAGTATGGAACGAATAGATATTTCAGAAATTTATATGTCAATGGGACATAGTGCAACATCCAGAAGCTGACTAAAATTTAAATGCAAATTGGATTTATAATTATAATGCAAATGCAAATGCAAAATGTGATAAACATATTTCAAATACATTAGAAAAGGATAAAATATTCAGTAAATCAAATAGAGACAATTGGCCAAAAATAGATCAATAGATAGATGGATGGATAGGTAGATGGTAGGTAGGTAAGTAGATAGATAGATATATTTACTCATAGGTTACTCTTAAAAGAAGTTTCAGAGTGATTTGAATGTTAAAAATAAGAATATATAAATACTAAAAGAAAACACAGGAGTTTAAAAATAAATAATGTTTTGAAAATGGACTGCCTAAGCATAGTACCAAAGCAAGAAGTAACAAATGAAAATAATCTTGGATTAACCACATGAAAATATAAAACTTTGAGTTACATGACACTTCTTAAAAAGTTAAAAAGCAAGGTATGAATAGATGAAGAAATTGTAGTGTATATGCACAACAGAATATTATTCATCCTTTAAAAAGAAAGGAAATCTTGTCATTTGCCACAACATGGATGAGCCTGGAAGATGTTATATTAAGTAAAACAAGCCAGACACAGAAAGACAAATACTGTGTGATCTCGCTTATATGTAGAACCTGAAAAAATCGGATTCATAGAAACAAAGGGTAGAATGATGGTTACCAAGGGGTTGGGGCCTGGTGGAGGGTGAGGAGAGTAGGAATTGGGGAGATATTGGTCAAAGGATACAAAATTTCAGTTAGGACAAGTAAGTTTAGAAGGTCTACTGTGCATAGTGACGACAGTTAATAATAATGTATTGTATGCTTAAAAATCACTAGAAAAGTAGATTTTAATGTTCTCACTACTAAAAATAAGTATACGAAGTAATGAATTTGTCAATTCTATTTATACATGTATCGAAACGTGTTGCATACCATAAATATATACAATTTTTGTCAATTAAAAAATAAAAAAAAATTGAAAAGCAAACAATGTTAAGATTTAGGACAGAATACTAATATCTCTAATAAGAGTAACAATAATAATAACCAGGTCTTATGTAGTGTTTAGCACGTGTCATGCACTACTCTAAGTGCTTTAATGTAGTAACTCACTTAATCTTCCTGTGAGCCCCATGTGGTAGGGTGCTTTATTATCCTCATTTTACAAGCAATGAAACTGAGGTGTGGAAAGGTTTTTAGTTGCCCAAAGTTAGACAGTTCTAAGTGGTGAAGCCAGAATTTGAACCCAGCACACAGGTAGATTGGCTGTTGAGACTGTGCTCTGCTCATTCTGACATATGCCACTCAACATTTATGAGTTATTCATGGTCAGGAAGCTCAAGATAAGCGTTCAGTAGAATAACAGAACAAAACAAAAAGCACTTTACAAAGAAAAAAGAAGAAGGGAATACTTTAGTTTATAAATCCTTAGAAAATGTTAAACAATAATGGTTATCAAATACTGAAAAAGAAAAGGAGATTGAATATCTAATATTTCAAAGCAGTAATGATTCAAATGTTGAATAAATCTCCTGAAGAGTGTGGTAATAGGAACTCTTATGTTGATAGATAAGTACATCTCTAGAGGGCAATTTTGCAAACTGTATAAAAATAATTTAAATCACATACTTTGACCCAGTAATTACTGCCCTGGGGAAACTATTAAGCAAGGGTGTGTGTATGCGTGCGTGCACATCTGTGTCTCTGTAGGAAAAATATATAATAAAATGTAGGCCAGGCACGGTGGCTCACACATGTAATCCCAGCACTTTGGGAGGCCAAGGTGGATGATCACTTGAGGTCAGGAGTTTGAAACCAGCCTGACCAACATGGTGAAACCCCGTCGCTACTAAAAACACAAAAATTAGCTGGGTGTGGTGGTGCATGTCTGTAATCCCATCCACTCAGGAGGCTGAGAATCGCTTGAACCTGGGAGGCAGAGGTTACAGTGAGCCGAGATCACGCCATTACACTACAGTCTGGGTGATAGAGCAAGACCCTGTCTCAATAAATAAATAAATAAATAAATAACAAGAATATATACTGAAATGTTAATGGTAATTCTGGTTGACAGGAATCTTTATTTCTCCCTGTAAACTTTCTTGTATTTTCTGGGTTATTTGAAATTAGGGTGTAATTCTTATAAAATCAGAAAAAATTACAGCTACATTTTTCTTGATAGTACTTTGAATTGATTCAGATCTCCTCTATCTGAGAAGGTTATGTATTGCTTAAAGCTTTGAAGCAGACAATCATGTCAGTTAGCAATGCTTTTGGCTGAAAGAAATATAATAACCAAACAATGGTCTATTATAAAATAAAAGTTTTTGATTACATCAAGTAACTTGACTTTTGGAAGTAGGCAGTTTCAAGCTTGATCTAGTGACTATATGCTATCATTAAGCACACAGGAACTTTTTGTTTTCCTATGTCCCACCCTCCATATGTTGTTTTTTTCTCCTTTAAACTTAAAGCCTCATGGTCATAAGATAGCTGCCTAAGCTGTAACCATCACATTCATCATCCACATTAAAGGCAGAAAAAATAATGGAAGAGTTGAGGAGAAATGCTTTCTTCTTGTGAGTTTCCATCTTTTTATCTGAAAAGAACATCTGTTTCATAATTGTTCCATCTCAGCAAACTTCAGCTTATTATAGGCAAAACTCACATATTCACTCTTAAACCTATCAATGGCAAAGAGACATGGTATGCTTAGAACAATTATAAGTCACCCCCTGGAGCTGGGAGAGAATTCACCCTCATTGTGATTAAGGAATAGCCCATTATTCCACTCCCGCCTATACAGAATTAGGGTTCTATTAGAAGTGAAAAGGGGTGTTAGGCCACAAGCAGTGTCTGCCATAGAAACTGAATTTTCTTGTTAATATAGTAAAACAAAACAAAAAACCTTTGTAAAACTTTTTTTGGAGAAATAGGCTAGCCCACATTTCTAGTTAACTACATTCTTTTATCAGTTCTAATTTGGGAGGTACAGGATCATAGAAATTTAGAACCATAAGGAAAGTTTTAAATCCTTAAAAATCACCCAGCCTAATTCACTTAATTAATTAATGAGGAAAGTAGGGGCATCAAGGTTCTAATCTACTCCACACCACTTGGCTATAATTAAAGAGCTGGGCCCAGCCTCCTGATTTCCTCTTTAATGCACTGTCTCCCATGGTTTTGCCTTTAGCATATTTGAATCTAGATAATTAAAAGGAATGTTATAATGGGCTTCTCTTCATTTATTGTTTTGTCAGATCTTTTGCTGTTGGATTAGAAGTTTTTATTTACCACATCCTGGCTTTCTCTTACTTTAGTTCTTGTTAAATCTAAGTGGAAACCTGTCATATTTTACCATGGCAGAAAACAAACCAACAAAACAAACAGGAGCGAAGGTAGAAAATGCTTTAGAACTTAATTTTCCTTCTTGTTACCTGTCCCTCTATGAAAATCTCTTCCTTGAACCTTTATTTCACTTCCTTACTTGAGATATTAACTCAGTTTCGGATTCTTAACAGCTAATGCTACAATAATTTCTCTAATACAAAATTTCTGAGAAACATATTGGACCAGAGAATATTTGTTAAACTTTTTATTAAATTCAGATTTATGGAAAGATTGCAAAGACAGGACAAAGAATTCCCATGTACATTTCATCCATAGTACTCAACTATTGACATTTTAGCATGTTTGCTATATTAGATATGTGTATGTATAAATTTTTCTGAACCTTTTGAGAGTACAGATATGACCTGCCTTTATTCCAGGATACCTCTATATGTATTTCCAAAAACAGAGACATTTTCTTACATAACCACAAAACCATGATCAAAATAAAAAAAGGTAACAGTGAAACATTAGTACTATCTAATCTACAAATCTTACTCAAATTTCATTAATTATACGACTAATGTTCTTCATAACAAAAAAAATTTCTAGTCTAGGTCAATTCAGCATCAGATATTTCATTTCATGTCTTTTTAACCTCCTGTACCCACAGCAGTTCCTTAGACTCTTGGTTGTTTTTGAAGAATACAGGTCATTTATTTTGTATTAATAGAATGTCTCTCAGAGTTAGTCTGTTACTTATGATTAGATTCAAGTTAATATTTTGATGGATATTTCAGAGCGATGGAGTTGTATCCTTCTTAGTGCATCAAGAACCAAATTATATCTTTTTCCTTTCCTGATGATGTTAACATTGATCATTTGATGTAAGATTTTTTGCTAGCTTCATGCACCCTAATGTTACCTTTTTTTTTTCTTTCTAGTTAGTAAATATCTTATGGGAAAATACTTTGAGACTGTGTAAATGTTTCTCATCTACCCTACCTAATACTTTTGCCTGAAACAATTATTACTATGGTAGTTGTCAATGATTTTCTAATTCCATTATTCCCAATACATTTATTAGTTGGCATTCTTCCATTAAAAAACATCTTTCTCTTCTCTCTCATTTATTTTTATCTGTATGCACTCCTAGATTTTTGTTTTATTCTATAGGTTATACTATTGATGGCTCTCACAAGTACAACTCCAACTCAGAAATATTTTTGGCTCCCCCTGTCCCCTCCCCATTGAATGCCCTCTTAGCACTTTTACTTTACTCTCTAACACATATCACAATTTGCAGTTATATATGTATGTATAATCATTTATAGTATGTATATATTAATTTATATAATCATTTGTCTAATGGCTGCCCCCCAACATACTAGAATTAAACTGCATGGGGACAGGGACTAGGTCTATTTCATTCATTTGACATCCAGTGGAGTGCCTGACCGTAATAGCTACTTTTTGAGAGAACACTTCTGTATCTGAATGTATTTTTAAAGACTTAAACATATATATTATATAGTACATTGTGCAGAAAGAAAATAAAGCATGAAGGTTAACAAACCAAATTAAGAAATAATATTAACTGGTTTCATGATTTTAATAAACTAGCATCTCTCAGATCTTTTATGGCAATTCTACCACACATGTTTATATGCAAAGGTCCCAATATAAATGGTTTAAGTCTCACATAGGTAATTGTCCAGCTTCCAGTTGTCAACTGTGAAATTTCTGTGTAGTGAAAACTAATTAATTTTTAAAAGCACTATTCATTCATTTAGTCAGTCAGCTAATATTTATTAAGGCGCACTGCAGTGGCCAGATATGATGTTAGGAATAGGTATGCACTGGTAATCAAAAAGGAACTATTTTCATAGAACTTGCAGTTTAGTAAGAATGATAAACATTAAACAAACAAATACTGAACTATTTTAATCACATTAAGCTATTTAAAAAGCTCAAAGAGGATCTTATGAAGGATATTAACAGGAGGCACCTACTTTAAAGTGGATCGTTAGGAAAATCATGTCTGCAAAGAGTATGATAAGTTCGCTGAGATCTGATGGACAAGAAGGAACCAACGGTGTGAGGAGTGTGTGTGCAGTTTGTGTTACATGTGTGTAGGAGAGAAAGAGGAAAAGGGCATTGCAGTGTGTAGGTAAAAATGTACAAAAGTGTGTGAGAGACTGCAGGTAGGGAAAACTTGGGATGTCCATAGAATTGCTAAATAGCTCATATGGCTAACCCATAAATACAAAGAGAAGGTAGCTAGAATTGATAAATAGCCCATGTGGCTAACCCATAGTATACAAGAGAAAGTAACTAGAGAACAGGCAGAGGGAGGGGCTGGACTCAAGTTGTACAGATCTTTGTAGGCTGGCTTAAGGATTTGGGATTGTATTTTTTTCTGAGCAAAATACAAAATCATTAGTGGTTTTAAGCAGAGGCATCATGGGATTGAAAGTACAATCAATTCTTAGTATTTGCAAATTTTATATTTATATTTGCAAATCTCATATTTGCAAATTCACCTACTTACTAAGATTTATTTGTAACCCCAAAATGTGCCCAAAACTTGTGGCACTTTCACAGTCACAGAGTGGTGAAAAATTTGAGTCACCCAATCAATGCGCACATTCCCAGCTGAGACCTAACAAGGTAATGCCCTGTCTTCCTGCTTCAGCTCTCATACTGTAAACAATGTCCTTTTTATGGACCATTTAGTGCCATGTTTTCAAAACTTTTAGTTAGATGTGGGCTTAATTCATTTATTCATTTGACATATATTTAATTGGCTTTCAATGGCTGTTAAATCATTATCTGTCAGAAAATGTCTTGTTCACCAACTTGTAATATTAATACTAATCAGCCTATAAATGCAAATTTTTTAACCTTATCATCATCCAGAGAGCCTCAAAAAGATATTCCCCTCCCACCACCATCAAGCTGAAGGATGCTTTCTTTCATTTTCATAGTAGAGAGTTTAGTATATTAAAATACTTAATGCTAGCTGCAATTGGGATATTTATGAAGTTCCCATCTTTTATATTTTTCAGTTCTTTTTTTTTTTTTTTTTGAGGCAGGGTCTAATGTTGTCACCCAGGCTGGAGTGCAGTGGCACAATTATGGCTCACTGCAGCCTTGACCTCTGGGGCTCAAGCAATCCTGCCACGTCAGCCTCTTGAGTAGCTGGAACTACAGGCACACACCACCACACCTGGCTTATACATTTATTTATAGAGACAGGGTCTCCATACGTTGCCCAGGCTGGTCTCGAACTCCTAAGTTCTAGTGATCCTTCCACCTCAGCCTCCCAAAGTGCTGGAATTACAGGCGTGAGCCACCTTGCCTGGCCAGTGAGTTATTTTCAATCAATTTAACTAAAATGTTATTATTTTATCAGAGGGATTTTTAAGAAGAAAGCAGTCATTGATGAACCTTTCTGCCACTAATCATAAGACTTTTTTTCACTTCAAAGGAACTCCAAGAGCTTTCCATTATAAAGATTAAGCAATTGAGGGAAAACGTATTACTTTAGCAAAGAAATTTCTTTAGAAGTTGATATGGTTTGGCTGTGTCCCCACCCAAATCTCATCTTGAATTGTAGTTCCCATAATCCCCACGTGTTCATGGGAGGGACCCAGTGGGAGGTAATTGAATCATGGGAGTGGTTACCCCCATGCTGCTGTTCTCGTGATAGTGAGTGAGTTCTCACAGGATCTGATGGTTTTATAAGGGGCTCTTCTCCCTTTGCTTGGCACTTCTAACTGCTGCTGCCTTGTGAAGAAGGACATGTTTGCTTCCCCTTCTACCTTCCACCATGATTGTGTGTTTGCTTCCCCTTCCCTTTCCACCATGACTGTATGTTTCCTGAAGCCTTCCCAGCCATGCAGAACTAATTGAGAGTCAATTAAACCGCTTTCCTTTATAAATTACCCAGTCTTGGGTTTGTCTTTATTAGCAGCATGAGAATGGACTAATACAGAAGTATATACATCAGCAGAGACATACATAAACATATTATATCATACACATTCATTACCTGCTCAAATTGTTACCCTTTTCTTCTTAGCAGTAGTTCAGTATTGTTCACATAATCTCCTCCACATGTCTGTGTTCTTGGGAAAGACAATTCTATCACCAGCCCCAGTAGTTTGGAAATTGAACCACTTTAGCCAATGATGATTATTTCATCCCCTCTGCTTGGGAAAAGTCATGTGATCCAACTCTGGCCAAAGAACCCTGAGTCTGTTGTGATAACTTCTAAGAAAAATTTTCCAGATGAAAAGAGACACGTGGAAAAAATACGTCTCTGAATGTGGGGTTAAGTGAGCCAGTGGTGCCAGGAGATGTCTAAGCCATCTTGCAGCTATAGCAGTTTAAGCATGAGGACAAAAGGCAATGCCCTGAGGAAATATATTAAAAATCTAGGTATATGATGCCACCATCTAATGACCGAATTAACCAACCTACAGAGGAAATTGTATCTGCAGCTTATTGCTTTCAGCATTTAAGACATTTTGGGTTGAGTCTTCTATAACTTGGAGTCATAAGCATCTTAATATGAACCACCATTAGGAAGTTTATTATTTCATACTTCATCATGTGTAAGATACACATATTTGTACATTTTAATATCTCTAAAAAGGAAATGCATCTTACAATTGATGGCACCTCAGCTTCAATGAACTAAAAAATTATTTCTATGAAAAGTTTAATATTCAACATTAAGATATGCAAAAGCATTATGTTAAGCAAAGGTATCCTGATGACATTCTAAGGTATCTAGTCATTGGTAGAACCTAGGGCATTCAGTATTAATCTGATACAAAACGAAGTAATGCATCACCCGTTAGATTAGTTACAAAAATGACTATGGAGTGTGAACTGTAATCGTGGACTCAAGATCAAACAGTCAAGATTATAAAATCTTTTGATTCTCCTCAAATATATTGTTACATATGGTTAGCATTCTTTCCACTAGAAAAAAAAAGGTATTTGCTTTGAAAATACATAGTCATGTCAAAGCCACAATGAGATACCATCTCACGCCAGTTAGAATGGCGATCATTGAAAAGTCAAGAAACAACAGATGCTGGAGAGGATGTAGACAAATAGGAACACTTTTACACTGTTGGTGGGAGTTGCAAATTAACTCAACCATTGTGGAAGAGTGTGGCGATTCCTCAAGGATATAGAACCAGAAATACCATTTGATCCAGCAATCCCATTACTGGGTATATGCCCAAAGGATTATAAATCATTCTACTATAAAGACACATGCACACATATGTTTATTTGAGGCAATGACTTAGAACCAACCCAAATGCCCATTAGTGATAGACTGGATAAAGAAAATGTGGCACATATATACCATGGAATACTATGCAGCCATAAAAAAGGATGTTCATGTCCTTTGCAGGGACATGGATGAAGCTGGAAACCATCATTCTCAGCAAACTTACAAAAGAACAGAAAACCAAACACCGCATATTCTCACCCATAAGTGGGAGTTGAACAATGAGAACACATGGGCACAGGGAGGGGAACATCACACACCAGGGCTTGTCAGGGAGTGGGGGGCAAGGTGAGGGATAGCATTAGGAGAAATACCTAATGTAGATGACGGGTTGATGGGTGCACCAAACCACCATGGCACATGTGTACCTATGTAACAAACCTGCACGTTCTGTGCATATATCCCAGAACTTAAAGTATAATAATTAACAAAAAAGAAAACACATAGTCATTTCTGATTAATTGAACATAAATTCAATTGAATGGCAACTGTGAATATTGTGTAGCAGGATGTTTTCACTGGACATAAGGGATGTATTTAATATATGAACTCAACATTTTAGGCAGGATAAAAATGCAGACAAGTAACTATAACACATGGCCATGTTTAGTCATGGTATTAACTGCTACCAGAACACCAATGTAGTAAAAATGGATACTTTTCTAGGGTATTGGGAAGTCTTAAAGTAGAGGAATCATCTGATCTCAGTTTTGAAGGGTGCATATAATTTAGACAAGTCAAGATTCAATGGGCTAAGAATATTCCGAACAAAATCATAGAATCTGCAATGGCCAGAGTATTTTCCAGAAACAGGCCTCAAACCAAGATGTTAAAAATGTTAAAATGATGGGAAATAGAGTTGACAGGTAAGGAAGTTTAGATGCATTTTCACCACCAACTTCTTTCTCTCAGGTTTTCTGGAAAGACATGTTGATGAAATTCTAATCTTAGACCCCCGGAGATTGAAATCCCTCATAAGCAAGAACTGACCTTCAGCTTTCTTTAATAGGCTTCCTTACAGTTTTCCAAAGTAACTTAGGACAGCATGGTGAAGAACAGGAAAGGAAATTGTAGCTAAACACTCATAGGAACTTCAGTTAAAATGAAACTCAAAACAGTTCATCTATGTTACATGCCAGCACTGTGCTAAGCATTTTACATATTTTAGCTAATGTTCAAAGCAACTTTGTGACAGACATGAGCGTTTTATTTGTGAGAAAGCTGAGTTTAAGTACCTTGCCCAAGGTCAAACAACTAGTTAACAAGAGCTAGAATTTTACTACAGTCTAACTCCCAAATTTAAATTTATATCCACTATATTATATGACTACCAATCACTTTTCAAGTACTGATTTAAATAGGTGGGATTAGCTCTTTGGTTTGCCATGTGAAAGGAGGGATTTGGAGGCATTATTTTCTTTTAGTTTATTTGTTCTTTTTGCAAAGTTATTTCTGCTTTAGAATGCTATTTGCATCAAACCATATGAAGAATGCTCATGAGGAGCATCCAGTATTTATAACTAGGAAATAAGCTATAATTAACTACTTTATGGAAAAAATAACTGAATAGCTGTCTAAAGATTGGTCAATTCTAACTGATCAACTGGCTAGTGATTTTTCTATCAGCCTAAAGTATTTACTATTCCCTTGTGTCAAATTTCATTCCATAAAGAATAGAGGGCTAGGCCTAACTGGAGAATAAATCTCAGGCATGCATCATGAGAAATATAGATTTTATTTTATCTTCTACAAATAACTTGTCATGGAGGTGCCTGGAACTTCAGAAAAAAATTGGAGTTCTACAGACTAAAGTGCAGGTAAATTGGAAAAGTATAAACCCTTCCCTCTTTTTCTTTCAAACAATTTAAAATCCAAGTCATGTGCTTTTTGATTTTTAAAAAAATATAGACCAGTCTGCAACTCCAAATGCCACAAAATGCCATAGAAATAAAAATGGATGGCTAACCTTTGAGGAAGTACTAACATGGCCACAATAATTCTGACCTTCACCAGTTCAGTACTTTGATAACAGCTTTGTCATTCATTTATTTGGAGTACTTTTAAATATTATGTAATGGGCTAAAAAATTTTCTTGACCAAGCAGTATTTAATGGAGCAATACAAACAGGTATGTGTCCTATAAGATGATTATTTGATTAGTAAAATAAAAATTTTGAAAAGGCCGACTGTCAGAAGAAGAAATTGGATATAAAACACTAAACCAAATCAACCCACACCCTGATATTTATTTTCACATTCAGAAGGGAAAATCCGCTAATATCCAATTATTTATTTTCCATGTCAAAGGAGAGCTTTAGATTCGTGTTACAATTAACCGTATGGCATGATTCGTTGCAAACTATACTTTCTCTGCAATTTACTTGTAATTAATTTTCTTCTTTTTAATCTTTGGAAACTGGCTTTTGTTTCTGTCCCCCCCTTTAATTTATGTAATGATTGTCCATTGACTGCAGAATTATATTTGGGTGTGGCACATTAAAATGAGGCTGGAGTAATGTGTGTAGAGATATTTGTAATGTCTGCTTTCTACTTGAAGCTAGGTCATATAAATTAGAAACCATCCTAGATGACAGAAAAATCAATGACTAGGCCATATATATATATATATATATATATATATATATATATATATATATGACCTAAGCCACAGCAATATTTGCTGAAAACTCCAAAACAATTTCACTTTGAAGGGAACAATTTTCAGCTCAACTGAAAGTACAGCAAAAGGGTTAGGAAAAAGAAAAAGAGAAGGTGATTTGAAAAGAAACATGAAGTTGGTCATGAGCAGAATAAAAACTATTTAAGTAAATACCATATTTATTTTTTGGTGTTAAAGTGACAGTGGACCTTAGCCATATCAAGATTTTTTAAATTTTAAATTAAATAATACGTTTATAAATAATAAAATCATACTGAAATCTCGAATTCTAATCCAAACCCATATAGATCTTCTTTGCCTTCCTCCATTAAATATGTGTATCTTCTTTATCTCACAGTAAGAAGCTTTGCACTCAACAATATCAATGTATTTACTCATTTGCTCCATCTTACAATATAGGACAACAAACCTACCAAGTAAAAGTCAAAATTGCTTTATGATTCCATGTCAAGAATTTGGGTGTCTGGATAACGTATTTTGAGGCTGAAAATGTTGCCAAACAGGCAGATTTCATCAGAAATAGATCTGGAGAGAACATACAGTTCTTTTTAGTTCCTGATTCATTCTCTTATCCAAAGACCCAGAAAAAAAACCAAAACAGGGAAATATATTTTTCCCTCTTAGTGGTTTTGGACTGTTTGCTATCTTTCTGTTAATATCAATTTAATGAAGAAAGTTAAACATTGAAAAAATATAATATGGTTATTTATTCCTATGTCTCTGTACATGTAGTATTAAATATTCTGTAAGATGCTAATAGGAAAATTTCACAACCAAATACATATAGTAAATATTCAATTAAGCATCTTTATAGTCACAGCAGAGACTCTTGGGATTCTTAACATATTAACATTCTAATAAGGTGGAGGAGAGAGTGGAAATGGGTACAAAGTCTCTTGATCCTAAAACTCTTTACTCAGGTAGTTTTCTTCAAAACACAAAGCAATTATCACAGTGTATGTTTTCACATTTACACAGTGATTTCATTAATATCTGCCTAGATGAATGCTCCAGGAAGGCAAGGGCTAAGTGTATTTTTCCTCATCATTTTATTTCCAGTGCCCAGCATAGTGCACTTTGGTCTAATTGCAATTTGGGGTCACCAGGGCTCAGGTCTCCATAATTCAAGTTTATCTAATCTATAATGTGTGTGTATGTGTGTGTCAGTTTTTTTATAATGTTTGCTTTTTAAAATATATTGTCCTGTGAATTTTAACAGACCTATACAGCTGTGTAGGCATCACTACAATCAAGATGTAGAATATTTCCATTACACTGAAAAGTTTTCTTATGCTCCTTTATAATCAGTCTCAACACTTCTCCCCTTTGTCCCCTCCAGACAATCAACTGATACCTGATTTCTGTCTCTATCAGTTTGCCTTTTCTGGAATGACATGTAAATTGAATCATGCAATATATAACTTTTTGAGTCTGGCATATTTCTTCTAGCATTATGCATTTGAGATTCATCCACGTTGCTGCATGTATCTGCAGTTTATTCCTTTTTATTGCTAGTAGTATGCCCTTGTATGAATGTACCACAATTTGTTTTTCCCTTTTCTACTTGATGACATTTGAAATGTTGCGAGATTTTTGCAATAAGGAATAAAGCTGCTATAAATATTTGTGTACAGGTTTTATGTGAACTTATATCTTTTTTTATTTTGGGTAAAGACCTGGGAGTGGAACAACTGGGTCATATGAGAAGTGTATGCTAAATTTTTAAAATATTAAACTACCAAATCATTTTCTGATGTGGCTGTACCCATTTGTGTTCCCACCAGCCATATGTGAAAGTTCTAGTTGTTCTACATCCTTGCCAGCATTTGCTATTGTCAGACTTTTTAACCCATTATGAGTATTCATATGAATATATGACACATGCTAATAGGTGTGTGGTGGTATCTCATTGTGATTTGAATTTGCATTCCTCTGCTGACTGATAATTTTGAATGACGTTTGATGTGCTTATTTTCTACCTGCCTCAATTCTTTGATGAAGTGTCCATTTTACTTTGTTGCCCATTTAAAAAAATTTGGATTATTGTTTTATTATTATTGCAATTTGAGATTTCTTTACATATTCTGGTGAAAAGTCCTTTGTCATATATATGTTTTGCAAATACTTTTTCCCAGTCTGTGGCCTGTCTTTTCATTTTCTTAACAGTGTACATTGTGTTTTTGACCCCAAATGACTTTTTTAGCCTATTGTTCCGTTGTGAATTGGAGAGAATAAACTAAGACCCTTTATACATGGAAGTGGCCTTTGTGTATCAGTATACATTATGCTTTCACTTTAATTCCATTTAAGGTCTATGAGAGTAAACTTTTAGGAGACAGAGTTGAGATGATTGCATCTACAGTCATTCTTCCTATTTCGAAACATGGCTTGTAGTACCATTCAATAAAAACTCAGATTGTATATCTAACCTCTACCCAAATCATAGATGGATATGTGGCCAATCTTTTAAGATACAAACTTTGAAGATGAACCTACCTGGCCTCCCGGCTTCACCTTGATCCTCAGCCACCAGTAGGATTTCTGTAGAGTGGTAAAAATAAAAGATAAGCAAGCTAGTGGATTTAATAATTCTCATTTTTAAATCAGTGGTCTGAGTATAAATCATTGTGAGACTTCACTCAAATTCTCTTGTGTCTCTAATATCACTGAACTAGGTAAAGATAACAAAAAAGTGGAGGGTGGAGGCATGGGCCTGGGGATAAATTCTCTAAACTTTATGGGACTTCGGGAGCAAGCTGTCAGGCTTCCATCTTCATTGTATTAACTGTAAGCAGTAAAGGCCTATATTTTGCTAAAAATATATATATTCAATGGAGTGAGGTGGTGATATGTCATATGATAAATTTTATAAGTTTCAGATTTATTAGTGTGGGAAATTTTATTTGTTCTGTGGAAGTTACTTGCATAGGGCACATGGTATAGAAGAAAATGCGCCAGAATCTAGCAATCTAGGTCAAGGTCACTAGTATCTACCATTAATATTTGGAGCCTACCATAAATTGGACATAAGGGAAGTAGAAATAACCTCTCTGAGTTATATTGTATAGCCAACAGAGGACGGATTGGAGCAGAGGTATGTAATGATTCCTTAGACAGGCAAAATGGCTTTTCAGATATTGTTTTCCAGTAACAATATTGAATATCAGCATACCTAATCAACCAGAAGAGAAAATCGGTGATCTCGTAATGTCTAAGAGATAGGTACATTTTAAGAGAGGAGCTTTGGTGTAAAAGTCCCATTGGCAAGGCCAGAACTTTTCTGAACAGGGATGAACTGGACATATTTGGCCTGAAGTTATTAAACTTTGGAATCATTTAAATAATTTTCCCTTGTTTTAATTTTGACGTCAGCCTATGGGCAGATAATTTATTCATCACATAGATGAGAGTTCCAGCGCACACAACTGTTTTATTTCTCATCATGAATTAATAAATATACACTCCATTCTCATACATGAATTAAGTTAACATGAGCTCATCCTAAAAAAGGTCCTCTATGGATTCATTCTCTTCTGTCATAATTTTATTGCTCTAACTATATAATATCCTCTGAACCTCTGAACCATTGTTTTATTAACATTTTTCTTTAAATTAACTCACTCCTTTTTTAAACTGAGCCTCAGATTAAAGATTAATATCTGAGGTCAGTGAACTAGTTATGTTATTTCCCTAAGACGCATTAGAATAAATTACTACAGAAATAAAAATTTTTTGTGCATGGATCAAAAATTACCTTGCATGCCACACTTTGTAAACACTGCTTTATACCTTGGCAGATTTACAAATGTAATGCCACCCTGTGAGAAGCCAGCTGACCTTTTGTGGTGACACCAGCTCATTAAGTGCTTTTTGCATTTGAAAATTATGTACTAAATAATTACATGACTAACCATATCACACAATTGGTCTCTCTGGGCATTTTTTTCTTGGTATGTAAAATTAAGTATTTTCCAACTCTAAATGTTATGACACTAGACAAAACTATATGTGACATACATAGAAAGAACAAGAAAGAGAACACAGACAATATTTGACCTTAGAGAATTGAATTGACCTCTCTAACCTCCATGTTCTTATCAGTAAAATAGGTGTACTAGTATAATTAGCATCTCTGGGTTGTTGTAAGGATTAAATGAGATTAGATACACAAAATACACTTACCACAATGCATTAAATGTAGGCATATTGGTTAGTTATGCAGAAGATGAGGGAGTAGAGGAACAAGTTAAATGACATCCTGAGGAAACAACCAAACAGGGTTGATCTCTTCATAAAGTCAGTGTCATCCTTAAAAAATGTATGAAGAAGCTCATTGTTCTAGATTATGAGAGATTGTAAAAACTTGACATCCAGATTCAAGATGTCATCATTAATTAAATACAAGTTCTACAGAAATCAATTGATGACAATTGTGAAATAATTGGAGACATTTTGGTAGTCACTGGGTATTATTAATTATTGTTATATTTGACAATTATTGTTAATTTTTTAGATACAGAAATGGCTGTACAAGATGATATTCTTGGTTTTAAGCAGTAAGTGCTGAAGGATTTTGGAGTGAAGTGTCATGATATCTGCAGTTTACATTGAAATTATTCAGCAAAAAAAAAAGCTAGATAGATAATTGAAAGATGGAATCATCAAATAGGGCAAAATGTTGATAATTTTAATCAAGACAGGGTGTATGGGTGCTTATTGTACCAAACTTTGTAATTTTCTGTATATTTGAAAATTATCATAATACAGACTTTGAAAGAATGATCCAAATGCATTGATAGGGAACAGATTCCAAGAAATACTGTAGAACAAATATACCAAAATGCCAAGGAGTGTACAGAATAGTCCCATTGTGTACAACTTTCTTGCTCCTTATTTCTCTCCTTCATTCCTGCCTTCTTTCCTTTTCTTCCTATTTTCAAAGAATGAAAAAGAAACTATCAACCATCATTTATTTTTCAGAAGAGGAACTAGGATTGGGGGTAAAAAAAAGGGGGGGGAATTTTACTTTTCACTTAACTTTGCTCAATATTATTTGAATTTTTTACCATATTCATATGTTGCTTTAACTCTTTTTTAATGTTTAAATAAAAGTCACAACCAAATATTTTTAAGTTAATTATTATTAGCTATTTAGCCAAAATTATTAGTGTTTCTCTGAATGAGACTCTTCTTTTGAATAAACAGGGCATCATGTTCTGAAACCAATGATTCTGTGCAGAGTGCCTGCTGAAGATGCTGATTTGACCATAAGGAAAACAAGGGTTGATCAGGACAAAACACCTGGAGAAGAGAAAAGTTTGCCATACACACCTGCCATTCACATGAATAGAAGACATATTCAGATACCTGCTCTTTAGATTCTACAATTTGCCCTTTTAAAAACTCTAGATTAATGTTAGAGCTTTCTAAGATTTTTGTCTAGCAGGATAACCCAATAGATAAGTATTTTTATGGTTTTCTGGTGGAAACTGGAAAACCTGCTAGACAAATTCTAAAAGAGGCCTAATACTAATCTGGATTTAAAAATTTTTTTTACTAATCTGGGTTCTTAATTAATTAATTAAAGTACAGATTGTTTAAATAGTCATGTTCACCCTCATAATGTAATTTTAAAATTTTTTATTGGAATATATTTTTCTTAGTTGTCTTAGTTGAATAGTAGTTTTTTAGAATAGGATAACTACAAATACTAGCTTTCTTTCCTCTCTCTCTCTCTCACCTACCTCTCCTTTTCTTTTCTTTTTTTTTTTTTTTTTTTACTTAATCTCTTTTTTTATTATTAATATACTTTAAGTTCCGGGATACATGTGCAGAATGTGCAGGTTTGTTACATAGGTATACCCGTACCATGCTGGTTTGCTGCACCCATCAACTCAGCTACATTAGGTATTTCTCCTAATGCTATCCCTCCCCTACCCCCCACCCACTGACAGGCCCCGGTGTGTGATGTTCCCTACCCTGTGTCCATGTGTTCTCATTGTTCAACTCCCACTTATGAGTGAGAACATGTGGTGTTCGGTTTTCTCTTCCCGTGTTAGTTTGCTGAGAATGATGGTTTCCAGCTTCATCCATGTCCCTGCAAAGGACATGAACTCATCCTTTTTTATGGCTGCATAGTATTCCGTGGCATATATGTGCCACATTTTCTTTATCTAGTCTATCATTGATGGGCATTTGGGTTGGTTCCAAGTCTTTGCTATTGTGAATAGTGCTGCAGTAAACATACTTTTGCATGTGTCTTTATAATAGAATGATTTATAATCCTTCAGGTATATACCCAGTGATGGGATTGCTGAGTCAAATGGTATTTCTAGTTCTAGATCCTTGAGGAATAGCCACACTGTCTTCCACAATGGTTGAACTAATTTACACTCCCACCAACATTGCAAAAGTGTTCCTATTTCTCAACATCCTCTCTGGCATCTGTTGTTTCCAGACTTTTTAATGATTGCCATTCTAACTGGCATGAGATGGTGTCTCATTGTGGTTTTGATTTGCATTTCCCTAATGACCAGTGAGAATAAGTTTTTTTTTCATATGTTTGTTGGCTGCATAAATGTCTTCTTCTGAGAAGTGTCTGTTTATATCCTTTGCCCACTTTTTAAAGGATTCGTTTGTTTTTTTCTTGTGAATTTTTTTAAGTTCCTTGTAGATTCTGGATATTAGCCCTTTGTGAGATGGACAGATTGCAAAAATTTTCTCCCATTCTGTAGGTTGCCTGTTCACTCTGATGATAGTTTCTTTTGCTGTGCAGAAGCTCTCTAGTTTAATTAGATCCCATTTGTCAATTTTGGCTTTTGTTGCCATTGCTTTTGGTGTTTTAGTCATGAATTCTTTGCCCATGCCTATGTCCTGAATGGTATTGCCTAGGTTTTCTTCTAGGGGTTTTATGGTTTTAAGGCTTACATTTAAGTCTTTAATCCATCTTGAGTTAATTTTTGTATAAGGTGTAAGGAAGGGGTCCGGTTTCAGTTTTCTGCATATGGCTAGCCAGTTTTCCCAACACCATTTATTAAATAGGGAATCCTTTCCCCATTGTTTGAAAATGATGGAGAGAATGGAACCAAGTTGGAAAACAGTGTTCAGGATATTATCCAGGAGAACTTCCCCAATCTAGCAAGACTGGCCAACATTCAAATTCAGAAAATACAGAGAACACCACAAAGATAATCCTTGAGAAGAGCAACCTCAAGACACATAATTGTCAGATTCACTGAGGTTGAAATGAAGGAAAAAATGTTAAGGGCAGCCAGAGAGAAAGGTTGGATTACCCACAAAGGGAACCGCCCATCAGACTTGTAAATGGGCTAAATGCCCCAAATAAAAGACACAGACTGGCAACTTGGATAAAGAGTCAAGACCTTTGAATGTGCTGTATTCAGGAGACCCATCTCACATACAAAGATACACAAAGGCTAAAAATAAAGAAATGGAGGAATATTTACCAAGCAAATGGAAAGAAAAAAAAAATAGCAACAACAAAAAAAAACCAGGGGTTGCAATCCTAGTCTCTCATAAAACACACTTTAAACCAACAAAGATCAAGAAAGACAAAGAAGGGTATTTACATAATGGTAAAGGGATCAATTCAACAAGAAGAGCTAACTATCCTAAATATATATGCACCCAATACAGGAGCACCCAGATTCATAAAGCAAGTTCTTAGAGACCTACAAAGAGACTTAGACTCCCACACAATAATCACAATAATAGTGGGAGACTTTAATGCCCCACTGTCAATATTAGACAGAACGACAAGACAGAAAATTAACAAGGATATTCAGGACTTGAACTCAGCTCTGGACCAAGCAGACCTAATAGACATCTACAGAACTCTCCACCTCAGATGAACAGAATATACATTCTTCTCAGCACCACATCACAATTATTCTAAAATTGATCACATAATTGGAAGTAAAACACTCCTCACCAAATGCAAAAGAATGGAAATCATAACAAACGGTTTCTCAGACCACAGTGCAATCAAATTAGAACTCAGGATTAAGAAATTCATTCAAAACCACACAACTACATGGAAACTGAACAACCTGCTCCTGAATGACTACTGGCTAAATAAATAACGAAATTAAGGCAGAAATAAATAAATTCTTTGAAACCAATGAGAACAAATACACAACATAGCAGAATCTCTGGGACACAGCTAAAGCAGTGTTTAGAGGGAAGTTTATATCACTAAATGCCCACAGGAGAAAGCAGGAAGGATCTAAAATCAACACCCTAACATCACAATTACAAGAACTAGAGAAGCAAGAGCAAACACATTCAAAAGCTAGCAGAAGGCAAGAAATAACTAAGATCAGACCAGAACTGAAGGAGATAGAGACACGAAAAACCCTTCAAAAAATCAATGAATCCAGGAGCTGGTTTTTTGAAAAGTTCAACAAAATTGATAGACCGCTAACCAGAAGAATAAAGAAGAAAAGAGAGAAGAATCAAATAGACACAATAAAAAATGATAAAAGGGATATCACAACTGATCCCACAGAAATACAAACTACTATCAGAGAATGCTATAAACACATCAATGCAAGTAAACTAGAAAATCTAGAAGAAACTTATAAATTCCTGGACATATACATCCTTCCAAGACTAAACCAGGAAAAAGTCAAATCCCTGAATAGACCAATTACAAGTTCTGAAATTGGGGCAGCAATTAATAGCCTACCAACCAAAAAAAAATCCCAGGTCCAGATGGATTCACAGCCTAATTCTACCAAAGGTACAAAGAGGAGCTGGTACCATTCCTTCTGAAACTATTCCAATCAACAGTAAAAGAGGGAATCCTCCCTAACTCATTTTATGAGGCCAGCATCCTGATACCAAAACCTGGCAGAGACACAACAAAAAAAGAAAATTTCAGGCCAGTGTCCCTGAGGAACATCAATGCAAAAATCCTGTATAAAATACTGGCAAACTGAATCCAACAGCACATCAAAAAGCTTATCTACCATGATCAAATTGGCTTCATCCCTGGGATGCAGGGTTGGTTCAACATATGCAAATCAATAAACGTAATCCATCACATAAACAGAACCAATGACAAAAACCACATGATTATCTCAATAGATGCAGAAAAGTTCTTGGATAAAATTCAACACCCCCTTTATGCTAAAAACTGTCAATAAACTAGGTATTGATGGAACGTATCTCAAAAAATAAGAGCTATTTATGACAAACGCACAGTCAATATCATACTGAATGCGCAAAAGCTGGAAGCATCCCCTTTGAAAACCGGCACAAGACAACGATGCCCTCTCTCACTACTCCTGTTCAAAACAGTATTGGAAGTTCTGGCCAGGGCAATCAGGCAAGAGAAGGAAATAAAGCGTATTCAAATAGAAAGAAAGGAAGTCAAATTGTCTCTGTTTGCAGACGACATGATTGTATATTTAAAAAACCCTATTGTCTCAGCCCGAAATCTCCTTAAGCTGATAAGCAACTTCAGCAGTCTCAGGATACAAAATCAATGTGCAAAAATCACAAGCATTCCTATACGCCAATAACAGACAGAGAGCCAAATCATGAGTGAACTCCCATTGACAATTGCTACAAAAAGAATAAAGTACCTAAGAATACAACTTAAAAAGGGATGTGAAGGACCTCTTTAAGGAGAACTACAAACCACTACTCAAGGAAATAAGAGAGGACACAAACAAATGGAAAAAATTTCATGCTCATGGATAGGAAGAATCAATATTGTGAAAACGGCCATACTGACCAAAGTAATTTATAAATTCAATGCTATCCCTATCAAGCTACCACTGACTTTCTTCACAGAATTAGAAAAAACTACTTTAAATTTCATATGGAACCAAAAGACTCCATATAGCCAAGACAATCCTAAGCAAAAAGAACAAAGCTGGAGGCATCACGCTACCTGACTTCAAACTATACTACAAGGCTACAGCAACCAAAACAGCATGGTACTGGTACCAAAACAGATGTAGACCAATGGAACAGAACAGAGGCTTCAGAAATAATGCCACCCATCTATAACCATCTGATCTTTGACAAACCCGACAAAAACCTACCTCATCTTTTCTAAAGAGATTAAAAAAGAAATTGAACTGAACTAAGTAATGAGCACAGTAAAAGCAACTTTGTCAGCAGCTGAGGAGATTAAGACTCTCAGAGCAATATTAACTTTAACCATCACTGGTTCTACTCCTGCCTGGCAGGTGAGCATGGCAGGGCAGGAGCAGAGCACCTCTGATAATGGTGAAATAAAGGGGATTAGTTTACCCCCACCTAGAAATTCAAAAGACCCTCTCTTCACCAAGCTGAAGATATGCTCTGTAAGAAGGTAGGTACTCAGACACTTCTACACTGTTGGTAGGAGTGTAAATTAGTTCAACCATTGTGGAAGACAGTGTGGTAATTCCTCAAGGATCTATAACTAGAAATACCATTTGACCCAGCCATCCCATTACTGGGTATAAACCCAAAGGATTATAAATCATTCTGCTATAAAGACACATGCACACATATGTTTATTGCAGCACTACTCACAATAGCAAAGGCTTGGAACCAACCCAAATGCCCATCAATGATAGACTGGATAAAGAAAATGTGACATATATACACCATGGAATACTATGCAGTCATAAAAAAGGATACGTTCATGTCTTTTGCAGGGACATGGATGAAGCTGGAAACCATCATTCTCAGCAAACTATCACAAGAACAGAAAGCCAAACACCGCATGTTCTCACTCATAAGTGGGAGTTGAACAATGAGAACACATGGACACTGGGAGAGGAACATCACACACTGGGGCCTGTCAGTGGGTGGGGGGCTATGGGAGGGAAAGCATTAGGAGAAATACCTAATGTAGGTGATGGGTTGATGGGTGCAGCAAACCAACATGGCATGTGTATACCTATGTAACAAAACTGGACATTGTTCTGCACAAGTATCCCAGAACTTAAAGTATAATAATAATAAAAAAAAATAGAAGGTAGGTACTCAGTAGTATGCCCTTATGGCTGCTCCCAGCTACCCTGATTAGTTAGTGCCCATGCTATTCCAGTTTGTTAGATATTTTGGCTCTCACCCATGTCTGCAGGAATATGTATGGGGAGCAAATTCAGACACCAACTCCTGTTCTGAATCAAGATGGATTTCTGTTGCTTTCACTTCGACTTTGTGGTGCACGTATGTGGTGCTTAAGTGAAATAGAAGGGCTTGAAATCACTCTGCTACTCTTTAGGAGACTAAAACATCATGGGGATTCTTCTGTCACCAATGTTCTGACGGCCGCAGCACCAGCACCGTTATACTAATGCCCAGAGAAGTCAGATGCCTCTACCTGTTTTTTTTGTTGATACATAATATTTTTACGTATTTATGGGGCACATATGATATTTTGTTACATGCATAGAACATGTCATGATCAAGTCAGAGTATTTGCAGTATCCATCACCCTCAAGTACTTCTCATTTGTATGTGTTGGGAAGGTTTTAAGTCCTCTTTTCTAGCTATTTTGAAATATACAATACATTGTTGTTAACTGTAGTCACTCTACTCTGCTATTGAACATTAGAATGTATTCCTTCCAACTATATGCTTGTACTCATTAAGCAACCTCTCTTAATCCCCACTTCCATCCTCACACCCTTTCTAGTATTTGGTTACTGCCATTCCACCCTCTGCCTTATATGATCAATTTTTTCAGCTTCCACATACAAGTGAAAACATGCAGTATTTGTCTTTTTGGGCCTGGCTTATTTCAGTTAGTATAATGACAATCCATGTTGCTGCAAATGGCATGATTCCACTCTTTTTTTTTTTTCTTTTCTTTTGGATACATCCACTATTGACTCATTCCTTGTTTGTATGCCTCACCTCTCTGAAGTCTCTGCCCATAGTTGCTGGGCCAATAATAGAAACAAATTACAGAATACATCAATAGTAGTGGCTATAGTGAACAAAGCAGGAAGTCAGAATCAGCAAAGCTGCTTCCTTTGTCAACATTTGGCAAGTATTTGTCATGCACAGAACACTATATAATACTTCTTTGGATATAGAATAAGACCAATAAGTGGCATATTTGAAAATTCTAGCCCTGTAGATCTGCTATTGAAGTGAGCTCATGAATAGAGCAACCCAATGAATTTTAGTTAATCAATTTGAAAATTAAGCTCAGAGATCCATAATTTCATGAATATTTCAGTAAAGTTTAACTAAAATGTGTTTTAGGCTATTGTATGATATTGAAACATTTTCACCGTGAAGCAGCACTGCTAAAACAAACTAGCATTGGCATGGCAGTCATATTTCATAAATGAAAACACAGTTTAATGATATGACATTGTATGAACTTAAAAGAAAACTGATTTTTCAATGATCTTGTTTAAAGCAAGCTTTAATGCCCTTTGGCTTTCCATAGTCAGCAGTCTGCCGTGTTTCATGTGTCACTGTACCACGCAGTGAGATTTGTGTTTGAAACTTCTTAAGTCAGAGAGAGGGAACTAAAAGAGAGAACACATACTCCAGTGACTCTAAGGAATGATCTGGTTGTTAGAGCTCAGAATAGGAAATTTTACCCAACATGCAAAATGTTAGTGATATAGGAACTGACACTTTCACTTTTTGGAACAATAAATTTGATAATAACACTGGATCTATTAAGTTGTACAATTCTATTGTGTTTTTGTGCCTTCATTAAAAAAGAGGGGGTTAGGCTATATTCATGGTAAATAAGAAAAAATTTAAATAGAATCTTATTGATGGTTTTCAAGTCTTTCTTGAATATCAAACTTTTAGTGTTAATAGAGTCCATTAATACAGTAAGAAGAGCACCAATCTGGGATTCTAGTTGCAACCCTGACATTGATTAGCTGTGTAAACTTGGGCAAATTACTTTTCTGGTCCTTAATTTCCTGGTTTACCAATTCTGTCCCATCATTCTGTGCTTGTATTTTTTAATTCCATTGGCCTGCCTATGATGAGAGCAAGGAGTATGCTTAGTTAATACTTTCACAAGTTTGAACTTCTAATTAAGATGTAAGTTGTACATATGCTCAAAAATGATTAGAGGTAAAAAGTAGCCATAGGAGCTCAAATAAAAAGTATGCCTGTAATCTCCCCTTCTGGAACATACATTGTCTCCGGAAGAAATAAAGATAGAAAGTTACACATTATAAACCAGCATGGGTCGTTAAGACATAGAAAGTTACATAGTGTAAGCTATGATGGATCATTGTAAAATCCAGCCTAAGAAATGTCATGTTGCAAATTTGACTATTTCCACAGTACCCTCCTAGATGTCTGATACCTGGTTTGCCTGTGATTTGAGAATTAATCTACATTTTAGTAATGAGTTTGTATTCTTAATCTAAATGTTGAAGCTTACAGAAGTCATTTATTTTTTAAATATCCAGTAACCTGCAAAGATTCTTCAGTCCAAGCAGAAACACATTAAGGAAAGAAAGCCCATTCTTTTGGGTAACTCCTTCATAACTGTTATTCATAGTAAATTTTTTAGTAAATTGAAATTCTATATACCTTAATTTAATCCAGAAGCTTTATATTAGTGATTACTGGAGACTTAGATAGACAGAGATACAGAGATGGACAATATTATGGCAAATCAGCTCCCTTCTAACATATACTCATGCAAATAAAGTAACCTTGAAGCACCAATACACTAAATTTTTTTTTCTTTTGGTCTATCTGTGTGTAAATGATGTATCATTCCACAGATCCAGACAACAAAGCAGTCTGCTGCCATTGTTGATCAAAAGAAATAATTAAGTTGACATCCAAATCATTGAAGTATTAACTGGCCCCTGCATATGGTTAGCACCTCAATTCCATACTTCCTTGATGTCAAATCCCAAAGACCCTACCAGGAGGAATGATGTCACTTGTGAAAGTGGATCACAGAAAATTTCTTTTGAGGTTATCTGGGACACATTGTAATTTGAGATGCTAAGAAAATTATTTTAAGATTAAATGATGGATTTGAATATTATTTGTCAGCACTGCTACAGGCAATAGTTTTGTATAATATGATGTTCCAAATAACATCTCTGTAGATAACATTCCTTTGATCTAAGCAGTATGTTGTGAGATGTGCCAAGCAGTTATAAAATATTTACTGACTATAGAAGATACTTTTTTTCCCTTAGAAAAAAAATTGATCTTGCATCCTCCCACTTCTATGAATGCTGCCTAAGGCTGTCACCTCAACTATTGCCTCAGAATTGGGAAAGTGTGAGCAGTGTAACACATTGTTCACCTTAACAGTAGTCCTCAGAGCCACCCCCATGCAATGGAGTTTTCCTTAGAGCACAGAGTTTTTCAGACAGATCTGTTGTAAATATTAATAACAGGTTACATATGTTTTTTCTTCTCTACTCTCATGAAAGGCCTTGGAATATATTTTTTTCTCTTACGGCTTTTATTTTTAAACTATCAGCTGCCTTGCTATCTAAAATTTTAATAAACTATGTCAAAAAGTCTTTAATTCACTTGTTTTACTGTAAGTTTGATTTTTTTTTCCCCCTCAGAATCAACCCTCTGCATTAGCTGAGTAGATATTGTGCAGACCAGAAGTCTGCCATCGGACCAGGTATATCCCATAGCCTTGTTTATTTTACACTGAATAGTATTATTAAAAACATTGAATTGGATGCCAGCACTCTAAAAAATGAGGCATATTTCGCAGGAAAATTCTTGACTTCTGGCTTTTCTTTATTATGCCCCAGTCTTCTTATTCCAAAGCTTAAAACTGACTCATGGTGCTCATTTCCATTGCAGCCTGGTCTCTGTAGGCTTTTGAGCTTTGGACTTTCAATCTAGACAGACAGAGCTATCATCCCATAAATGAACATTCGGATAAATTGTTGACTTAACATTTCATAAAATTTTATATATTGAGCTCAACAATGGTCTGAATATCCTTGGGACGTTATACTTGACCTTTCTATCTATTCAAAGCCTACCTATCTATAAAAGCATCTCAAAATGAATCTCTTCCGTTAACCTCTTCCTAATCCTACACCTAGTAAACAGTAATTGAGAAATTTGGGTGAGAGCTAAAATATAGAGGTTAAGAAATACAAAGTATGCTGTCAAAGTGCTTATGGTTCAGCAGGAAAGACAGTTATCAGAAATAATAATTACAATTATCAGCACTATTTTAATAACCTCTATCTATGTGGAATATTCTAAGTGCTAGGCATAGTAATGTTTTACATGTCTATACCTGATATCTGTACTTTCTCACTTCCCATTTTCCCTTCAAACCACTTCATTCACTCCAAGTGCTTCACTGCTCTACTGAAACAGCTCTGTTGAAGGCCATCAACGTTATCCATCTTCCTAAATCCAGTAGTCAGACTTCATGACCAGGGGCAAGTTATTAATATTTCCTGCCACAGTTTTCTCATCTCTAAAACTGTGACTAGAACATTACTGACCATATGGGTATTGTGCACAGTAAATGGGATAATCTGTATAAACTCTTAAAACAATGTTTTGCAGCTAATACAGGTATAACACATGTTAGCTGCTATTATTTTTATTACACAATCACTGCTTATTTTTGCAGTGGCATTTGACACAGTTGGGCATTCCATTCTTCTTAAAGCGCTGTCTTTTCTTGGCTTGCCTTCCATGACATTACAGTCTCCTGGTTCCCCTGTAATGGGACTGGCCTTGGTTTTCTCTGCTGGCTCCTTCTCTTGTCAGCCCTGCAAATGTTGGCGTGCTCAAGGACTCAGTGGTGGGACCCCTTCTCTTTCCTGTCTACTCTTTCTCCATAGTAATCATAGATTTAAGTGCCATCTGTGCTCTTATGACTATTCAACTTGTATCTCCATCCTTGACTTTTCCTAAGTTTTAGGCTTGCATAGCCAAGTGCCTTCTCAACATATCTATCAGGCATCCTTCATTGGAACTCCTAGTTTCCCTCACACATCTGTTCCTTCTATTTTGACTCTTTCTCCAGAGGTTCTGTTCTCCATGAAATAGCACAATGATTGTTTCTAAGTTTCAAATCACTCAGTCCATCTCTGTTGGTTGACAGATAGCTGTGAGCACCATCATCCCTTTGGTTGTGTGATGGCTGATTACTCTCACTGCAGACTTGGGGAGACAGAGCTCAACAGCCATCACAGTTTTCAACTACTCCCTGGGTTTATCACTTGCTTCTCAAATTCTAGAATGAAAAAGGGTGATAATCAAATATTTTTCACCATCGGGGGGTCCAGTCAGGGATTTTATTTTGCCCTAGAAGATAGTTAACCTAAAGCTATATCTTAGTTTGTATTCATGTGCCGTAAAACCAGCCAGTATAAAAAGTAAAAATTTTGGACTATAAAACCAGTTGTTTTGTCCATGTTCAATGGACTGATTAGTTGAAATAATTTTATTTTCTGATTGCCTTCTTGGATTAGTGCTGTGTAACTACAATCTATCAGAAGAAAAATCATCTCAAACTTGTCCTCTTGAGAGCTCCATTCAAATCTCTGCTCAAATGTCACCCTATTAGGAAAGGTCCTGACCTGATCTGACATTGATCTTAAAAAACATTTTATGCTGGGCGCAGTGGCTCATGCCTATAATCCCAGCACTTTGGCACTTCATCTCTCTATACTCACTCAGGAGAGGAGCAAGGCTAAATATAGCCTATAACCTGCCTTATTTTTCTTCTCATATATTATATATTTACTTGTTGAGTTGTTGTGGTGGTTGTTGTTGATATCTGTCTCCCTCTTCAGGAGTGTAAACTTTGCAAGAAGAGGGACTTCATATTTTGTGCTCCTATTTTATTCCCAGCACTTAAAACATTGGCTAATATAATATTAGGCATCCAATAAATAGAAATTTATAAGTGAATGAATCCTATTAATGTGTAAAATGTATAAAAATGTATATTTTTATACTTTCAGAGGACTCATCCTGCATTATTTCAACAAAAAAACTAAGACCATAGTTATGTGTAAGGATGTAAAGAACCTGCCAATTATAAAGTTGCTTGGAGCTGCAGCTTACTTCGTAAGAATTTTAAAAACATATAACAATGGAGTAGGTTAACTTTTATGAAGATAATTCTTCATATAAGTAAGATAAGCTTTGTGCACATACCATCTATGAAATTCTGTTACAAAGAAAAGATAAAACGTATACATTAAATCTGTGTTTGAGTTTACCTACATTAAGAATGAGACATTCAGAGCCTTCTTTTACTCTTTGTTGATGATTCAAGTATTTTTGGGATATTATCTCTTTGTGTATATGCTGAAATTGATCATGTTATAAGTGGCATTTAATAATACATTTTGGGATTGGATCAAAAGCCATCACAACTGTGGTTTACATCATCGATCCATTGGCATTGCTGGCCAGAGAGGTGCACTGGCATGACTTGGGATCTGATGCCACCTTGTCATGTTAAGTGGTAGGGGAAAGAAAAGAAAAAATGTGAAACCAAAGTAGTCTATGAAGAATTGGAGTAATCATAGAAGACTTGAATTTGGGATGCTGACCCAGACCACTGATAATACAAAAGGAGAGGAAAAGAAAAAAGCAAAAATCCCAAATGATTCAAAACATGCCACAACCTCTTTTCCCATAGTCATCATGCTAAATGGGAGAGGTCTCCATACACCCAGCCCTCCTAGAATTAACACATTCTTCCTAAAATCTTCCCTTTTATGAAGTTTGTTTAAACTGAACAGTATCTGTTTACAAATGTATAAGGTGTGGGTAAACTGGCAGTATGATTTATATAGGTTGGCGAACCTCAGACACCATAGGCAGACTGGTCTGTGGGAGCAGTAATACTCCTGATTATTATCATACAAGTTATTTATGGGGACAGCTCTTTTTGCCAAGTGAACCAGAGAACTGAAGAAGCTGTTTGGAATTGTCTTGTCTTTACCTCTCTCTGTCTTTCATGTTTAGACAGTGTCAATGTCTGTAAATTGGGTGGGATTAGCAGTGCAGACAAGAGAAGAGGAGCAAAATACAACCCAAAATTAAAAAGTAAAGTAAGATAAAAGAGCACAAAATAACCATAAGAGTTCAGTTTTCACAGTTTTAAGGAGGTGTTTAGAATTGTTAGAAATAATTATTTTTTAACATGATAGTTATTAGTTTCCATACTGGCAGAAGTGGATACTCATTGGAAGGGCAGTTTTGGAGTAAATGGTCAAAAGTCAGAGTAGGGTCTAAAGCAAGAACACAGATGAATGTGTTTAACTAAGGTGTTCTGGATGAGAGAAGGCAAGTTCTTACCAGTAGAAAACAAACAAAAAAACCTCATTATATCTTTAAAAAATGGGAAGGGACAATTTCCTGGAAGACTTGAAAGGAGCACTACCATTTATTTGACTGACATAATTTTCCAGTAAAAAGCCCTGAAAACCCTGTACCCAGAGTAGCTAAAGGAAACATTTTTCAAGCTCACCTATTGAATTGATCTTAAAAAACATTTTACGCAGGGCACAGTGGCTCACGCCTGTAATCCCAGCACTTTGGTAGGCTAAGGCGGGTGGATCACGAGGTCAGGAGATCGAGACCATCCTGGCCAACACGGTGAAACCCCATCTCTACTAAAAATACAAAAAATTAGCCAGGCATGGTGGTGGGGGCCTGTAGTCCCAGCTACTCGGGAGGCTGAGGCAGGAGAATGGCTTGAACCCGGGAGGCGGAGCTTGCAGTGAGCCAAGATCGCACCACTGCACTCCAGCCTGGGTGACAGAGTGAGACTCTGTCTTAAAAAAAAAAAAAAAAAAAAAAAAAGAATTTACTGGCTTTTATTCTGGCTAATACATTCCTAATAGATTTTCTTTTGCACTTCCAAACAGGAGCCCTCTTTCCAGAATTTGCCATATTGTTATCTAAGCTTAGCACCATTCAGACTCAGAGCCATGTTGATCTAAAGTGCTTAATTGCAACTGAATATTTACTGGAAAAAGTCTGAAACTTCACTTTCAGAATATTTTTCAATATATTTCCCATTTATTCTGAGTACAGCACCATAGAGAGTACTAGGTCAAGAGCTTTCTTTATCTTCACCATAATCCACCCCTCTTGTTATCTTCAAAGCAAAACTCATAGTGAGGCCGGCAAGAGTAAGGGTGCTGACTTTTGAATGGACTCAGCCGTCCACCATTGCTCAGTAAAGGATGCCTGCAGAATTGACCACCAAATGCTGCCCAACCTGATTTATTTTTTACAGCCCCTCCAGATCTTTTCTAGCAATACTTTTATGAAACAAGAATTACTCTAATGGAAGATAATTTTTAAATTTCTTGGCAATATTAAATTCTTCTCCAAAAAGTCATTAATAGCTTTTTGGAGGAGCAGGGTGATGCAGACAAGATAAAATATTTAACTATCAAATTATGAACACAGAAAGGTAAAGCTGTGGACATTATCAGAAATCAAAAGCACTGGTTGACTGAAGACTAAATTGTCAACACATCTCATGACACTTCACTGGTTTTAGAAGTGTTTACACTTGTTCTACCCTTGGCCACTGCCAATAATTTTTTTTTTTTTTTTTTTTTTTTTTGAGATGGAGTCTCACTCTGTCACCCAGGCTGGAAATGGAATGCAGTGGCATGACTTCAGCTCACTGCAACCTCTGCCTCCCAGGTTCAAGCAATTCTCCTGCCTCAACCTCCTGAGTAGGCGGGATTACAGGCATGAGCCACCATGCCTGGCTCATTTCTTTTGTATTTTTAGTAGAGATGAGGTTTCACCACGTTGGTCAGGCTGGTCTCGAACTCCTGACCTGAAATGATCTGCCTGCCTTGGCCTCCCAAAGTGCTGGGATCACAGGTGTAAGCCACCACACCCGGCCCAATAAAAATGTGTACTTGGGGTGGGAGTGGGTGATTGCGGTGTTTGTAAAATGTCTGTGTGAGTTTACCGTAAGGAGAATGGCTTCAAAAGCTATAAATGGAAATGCAGAAGTGACTTCTGAGTAAATTGTGTCAGCCTGAATACCCTTTCCTGGTGTACAGTTTTCTATACCTTTTCTGAAATCACAGAATATTAAGTTGAAAGAAAGCATAGAGATGATCTCTTTTGACCCCTCTTTTTATGGGCATCTGAGGTTTGGTGCGAAGAAGTGATTTGGTACAAATTAAATTTCCTGAGGATAAATCAGGAAAGACAACTACAAGCTCAAAAAGCATTACCACAGACCTAGTAAAAATGTGGGAGCTGTTCTAAGTGAACCAGCAGGTTGGGTAAAGGAAGATAAGGCCTCCTTGATTTAGCCTTCCAGGTCACTCATGGGTAGGACCCAGGGTTTCTGCCAAACTCCCCTCTTTCTAAGTCATCCAGATCAGAAAGCAGTTCTTTCCTTGCGTGAAGGGAGCGAGAGAGAACTATTTTACTATTACCCTGTTCCTCTTCCTTCTCCTAGTGCCTGCCCACCTCAGATCCTCTTTGTCCAACTCACCAATGTAGTTGCTTACATAGCTGAAACTACCTTTTTGTGAGTTGCTGTCTTTTGCTCTGTTTGACCCCACCTGCCATCACAGGATCTTCTAATGATACTTGTAGTCACAGCAGTGGAAAATCAGATACTTGTAAAAATGCATCTAGCAAACAAAGCTGAATTGGCACAGTTCTGAAACCATTTATTCCCTGAGGGTGAGTAAGGACCCACTCCCCCTTGTGAGAAGAAAAAGAAATAAAAACTGACAAGAAGAGAAAGTAATGGCCCGACAAATGATTGGTCAGCAATTATTTGTTAGTGAAATGCACCATTTTTGTGACAATAAATTTTGAAAGTGGGTGTCTATTATTGTAAGATTTGTATAGGGCTTTTTTATTTGCAGCATTTATAAGATTTTAATCTAAATGTATTTTTTTTCTTCTCTTGAAAAAGTTCTCTTGCTGTGCTGCTGGGTCCTCAGAAGTGTTCTGGAGATCGCCTCTTTGAAAGCGTAAGTGTAAAGTTTATTTGGCTTACTGTAGTTTCTTATTTTGGTTGCTTTTGATCCTCAGTGGTCTCATCTCACCTTCCATACTAGAAAATTGCCTTTATTAGAATAGAGAAATCACCTGCAAGAAAAGCCAGCTTAAAAATTAGACATGAACCTTCTCAAGTATATTTAATGTACATCTCAGAAAGGAAGTGGCCATGTTCCCCATGAAGGTATCCACACAGCTTACACAATGAGGCTAGTAGGGACCCCAGATGCATGTATGCACAAATTTTCCTGAAAATCCAACTCGACTATTTACTTTTGAGTTTATACTTGACTTGGCTTATATTTCTTACAGCACCAAGCTGAGCATGAACAGGAAAGGGAAGCCCTGAGGGGTATACTTCCCTCAAAGCAGCAGCTTACATGCTGTGTGGTACCCTGTAACAGCATTTCTCTCATCCCATAAGTCTTTGTTTCTTCATCCTTCTGTAGAAATAGACAAATGCAAGAGGAAAGGCAGAATCCTTCCATGAAATAATGATGCAATATGCCGACTAATTTTTCCAGAGTATCCTTAACATTTGAAACCCTTAGAAAGAGTACTAGAGGTGGTCAAACAATGACTTTCAAATCTGTATTTTCTGACCTGGATTCTCTCTTTACTTCCTGTTCTGAATGTCTTCCCTAAAGGAAATCATTAAGATATGCATCTGGGCTCTCAAACTCAGAATGTCCAAGTGGACTTATTGTTCATGCCACAGATCTAGTTCTTTTTCCCAGTCACTCAATTTTTTTATAGAGTTTCTGCTCTCCTTTTATTTTTCTTTCTTTATTTTTTAAATTTTATGGGTACATGGTGGTTGTATGTATTTATGGGGTACATGAGATGTTTTGATTCTGGCATGCAATGTGAAATAAGCACATCATGAAGAATGGGGTTTCCATCTCCTCAAGCATTTATCCTTTGAGCTATAAACAACCTAATTTCGCTCTTTAAGTTATTCTAAAATGTACAATTATCTACTCTCCTTTTAGTTTCTCATCTTACAAACCTTTGAATCATGATGAATTTTTCAACTCTAACTCATCCTTTTAATTAATCTGCCACTAAATTTTATGCTTATGTAATCTTTTCTTTCAGTCTCAGTGTAATCATCCTAGCCTCATGATAATCTTACCTGGATTACCACAAAAACCTCCTGAACAGTCATCTCCCTATTATGATATCTCAAATTTTCAGTTCATTATAAATACCATTAAATTTATCTTCTAAAATTCTGCTCTTATCATATGATAACCTTGCTCAAAGCATAAAGGATAATGTCCAAACTCTGCACACAGGCATTTAAGAACTTCGTTGATCTAGTCCCAAGATTCATATCCAAACTCAATTTTTTTTTCTGTACAACATAAACTATTACACTAAACAAAGTCCTTACTGTCTCATGTATCCCCTTTCTCATGTCCATCTCATTATGCTCCTTACTTACAAGAAATGTCTCTACTCATCCCATCTCTGTCCAATTCCTACCCATTTCTTAGGATACAATATAAATCTAATTTGCCATATGAAATATTCTTACCCATCTTTGCCCCACACTAATGTATAGATTTCTCTTGTGTTCAGATAAAATTAAGTACAATTTAACACCAAATTATTTTCTACTTCATGTGTATTTGTTGTTCAAGCTAAGTGGGTGCTTTTAGTGGCATTTTGTTTAGCCATCAAATGCCACATAAATGCCTTTAATTACCTTATCTTTATTTTTCCATATGCCACCAACTCATCCTCTTTTATGGGAACTATTTCATCCGGTAGCCCCCATTTAATTGCTTTGCCTCATACTTCTGTTTTTCTTCCATTAGATTGACTACTACTGGATGTGTTCCCTGGATTTCAGCTTGGTTTTCCCATTTATTATTCCTTTTAACCTCCATTAACCCACTTCCATGCCTGAGTCAGACTCAGAATATTCTTTCTAAGTCAATTGCATTGGCTTCTGCCTGCCTCCACGACAGGCAGAGGAGATGACAGTAGATTTTATAGCCTTTCACTTGCTCAAACTATATAGTGTCATGCTGTGACCATAGTAAGAGCAAATAATGTTTTTTTATTGACTCACTGGACCTGTAGAAAAGATTTTTGTTTTTATCAACACAGCTTTACCACCCCTACTTTATCCACAGATAATCCCTTACTTTTTATTTTTTAAAAATGTTTGATTTACTTTTTAATATTAGTCAATTTTTCAAAGATAAACCTTGGCATTTTTCATTTGCATTCACTCTAATTCATGCATAATAAATGTAACACAGAATTTCCTTCTTCTCTTGTTTTTATTTTTATTGAGGCAAAATTCATATAACATAAAATTAACCATTTTAAAGTGTATAATTTAGTAGCATTTAGTACATTCACAATGGTGTGCAATCATCACTACCTTAAAGTTTTAAAATATTTTTGTCACCCCCAAAGGAAACCCAGTATCCATTAAATAGTCTCTTTACATTTCTCTCCTTCCCCAGCCCCTGACAAACACTAATCTGATTTCTAAGAATTTACAAATTCTAGATATTTCATATAAATTGAATTATACAATACAGACCTTTGTGTCTGGACTCTTTTACTTAACATCATGTTTTCAAGGGCCATCCACACCAGTGGAGATGTATCAGTAATTTGTTTCCTTTTTAATGACTGAATAATATTCCATTATATGGATACGCTACACTAGCATGGTTTTCTTAATTTGATTTTTGATTGATTATTGCTTTTATACTGAAATACAATTGTTTTTGTATGTTGATCTTGTGTCCTACAAGTTTACCAAATTTGTTTATTAGCTCCAATCGTTTTTTGTTTGTTTTCTGTGGATTCTTTAGGATTTTCTATAGATAAGATCATTTCATCAGCAAATATTCTTGCCTCTTCCTTTTTAGTTTGAATGTCTTTTATTTCTTTGATTGCCTAATTGATCTTACTAGAATTTACAATACAATGTTGAATAGATGTAATGAATATGTGCATCTTTGTCTTTTTCGTGACCTTAGGGGGAAGCTTTAGTTTTTTCACCACTGTATATGATGTTAGCTCTAGCTTTTTCATAAATGCACTTTATGTGCTTGAGGAAGTTCCCTTCTATATCTACTCTGTTGAGTGATTCTGTCATGAAATAGTATTAGATTTTTTCAAATACTTTCTCTGCAGCAATTAAGAAGACCATTTTTTTTCCTCTTTTCATTCTACTAATGTGATATATTGTATTGATTGGTTTTGTATTGTTGAACCACCCTTGCATTTCAGGGACAAATGAAATGCAAGGGTGGTTCAACAAAAGAAACCACTTGATCTATATATATATATGTGTGTGTGTATATATATATTTATTATATATATAGTGAGAATATATATCAGAGAACCACTTGGTCATGTTATATATACATAATCCCTTTGGTAAGCCGCTGGATTCATTTTGCAAGTATTTTGTTGAGAATTTTTACATGTTTATGCATATGTCATATTGGTCTGTAGTTTTCCTTTTTTGTGATGTCTTTATCTGGCTCTGATATCAAGATAATGTTGACCTCATAGAATGAGTTAGAAAGTGTTCCTTCATTTTTTGGAAAAGTTTGAGAAGGATTAGTATTAACTCTTCTTTAAGTGTTTGGTAGAATTCATCAGTGAAGACATCTGGTCAGGGACTTTTCTTTGCTTGGAGGTTTTTGATTATTGACTCAATCTCTTGTTATAGGTCTGCTCAGATTTTCTATTTCTCTTTAAGCAAATTTAGTAGCTTCTGTACTTCCAGGATCCCTTACTATTATTCTTCATCACATTTTATTTCTTCTTCCATCTTCAAAGATTAAATAAAGCTGAAGTTCAAAGAAGAAATACTCCCTCTTTGAAAGTAAATCTAAATGGAAATATGCTAACAGAAGTAAGCCAATTTCTTCACCGAAACAAACCAAATGAGACAAAAGAATATCTCTTCCTTTAGTATAATAAATGCTCCTTAATTATGTGTTCCCCATGCTTTAAAACAAAATTCTTAAGGAAGCAGATGTTAGATTTGACCTTTCAAAGCCTTTTCTAAACCTGTTTTTTTCTATAAAGATAAATTGTCCTGAGATTCTCGGTGAAAAAAGCATTCAGTATTTATGCAATGAACTTTTGTTAGGGAACTCAGAATACTATTGCTCCAGTCCTTCTCATGTTGCCTTCCCTAGAAATTCTGCAGCACCTTTGTATGAGTATCCAGATATATTCCTGGAAGAGCAGAAAGGTTGTGTGTGTGTGTGTGTGTGTGTGTGTGTGTGTGTGCGCGCACGTGCACACATGTGTGCGTGAGAAAGAGAAAAATAGACACTTTATTTGTGATTATTAGTCACTCTAAGAATAGGTAGAGTTTAGTCCAGACAGTACTACCCATACCCCAAAACTGTCTTCTGATAACTTAACATCTTCGTTACTTTCCCTATATATTCATTACCTCTTATAACCTGAGTCACTAAATTATCTTTTAACGTGTGCAGTCAACATAGTTGTTTCTTCATTCAGAGAGAAAAAGAGGTAAGTGCTGAGATAACCACACACAGCCAGCTGCTTCTATTCCAAGTTCATTCATTCAATTAACTTTTATTGAACACCTACTATGTGCCATGTATCCATTATGTTGGACTTTGAGTACACAATGTTTAACAAAACAGACATGTTCTGTAAAAGATTCAGCCCATGATTCCTTTTATCAAAGACTCAGTTCATGAGAATCTTACTTTTACCACGTGCTGAGTTCAATAGTGCAGTTGAACAACAGTTGAAGGCTCACATACCCTTGGAAGTTAAATAGTAATTCAGCAACGACCCTAGAGTTCTGCTCCCTGGGAAACATTTAATGGTGTTACCCAGGAAGTATCATGACACCTTACAAAGGGGAATCTGTTTGCAACTCTAACCCTGACAAAGAAGCAATTCTTCCTGCCAAAGGGAGTAGAAAAATCCCTTCCCTTTGCCCCAGCACACCCCACACCATTGATCAAGCAGAGAATTCTGAATGCTTACAATAGACAGAAGACTGCAGGGTCAACCAAACCCACAAGAGCCACCCCAGGGGTTAACAAGGAAAGCAGGAAGCTAACATTTTGCTGAACATATTGGGGGGAAGCAGAACCTTGAAGCCGTTGACAGAGGCTGTACCCAGCACAATCTCAACAGCCAAGAGTGAGATAATCTACCAACAGCTAAGAACACAGAAAGGAGAAAGCAGCCAATCTCACAACAGACATCCTGGGAAAAGAGTGGTCCTAGCTAAAGAAAAGATGACCAGCAGAGCCAAAGGCAGACAAGCTTGTTCTTGTTTTAGTGGTGTGGAATTGTGGCTGGCCTTAGGATTGAATTCTAGCTCTGCCACTATCCCACTGTGACATTTTGTAGCTCACTGACCCTCTCTGAAACTTAGAAGTTTTATCTGTAAAACAAGCTTGCAGCATTGTGAGAATTAGAGAAAACAAATATAAAGTAGACATTCAATAAATAGCAGCTACTTTTATTCTGAAGTATGTGTTCATTCATCACAAATGAATTCCTCAGTAGTCTTCTTAAAGTTCCAACATTATCTTTTGTGGTTAAGAGTCTGGTGTGAAATCAGGATGCCTGCCTTACAGATTCCTTTTAAATGATTTATCTCTGCTTAAATGTGGTACATCTTATGGTGCCCTTATTACATATTAATATTTATCTGTGTACTTCATGTCTCCCACTTCCTGCACCCTCTATAATAGGTGCTTTTTCAGGCCAGACCCATGTCTCATTCATCTTTGTCCCCAGTGACTGTGGTAGTTTTTGCACATAGTAGGTATGCTACCTATAAATATTTAACATTCTGTATGTCTTTCTTTTTATCACTAAATGCCACATTTTCATACATCTTTTAACTTAAAAAGTCATACCATAAGAAAAACGAAGTTGTTTGTGTATTTATATGGATGTGTACCTATGTACACATGTGTGTACATACGTGTGTGTCTTGTGTGTAGAAAAAGAAAAACCACCTCACCTATTAATACCTGAGTGCCTACACATCCTAAGGATTTGTGGAGAATACCTTTCTCATTTATTGAAGGGAATATCTACAAATGGGATTTGTAAAAATATGTACATATGTTAAATGCCAACGATAGTAAAAGCACATAAAGAAGACTCTTCTTCTGTGCTTCAAAAATAAAATGTAGTCATTTAATTTGTGTGGCAGTTGTTGATTTATCACTTAAAAAGTATTTAGTACAAAAAGGTCTGAAGAAATTAGGATTCAAAACAGCAGGCAGCTACCCAATTGTGGTCAATGTGGACATTAACCACAGTGCTTTATTTCCTAATGATTATTGCTAATTTTAGTCTTCGGACTTATATATAGCAGTTTTAAAACCCCGAAAATTCCATGAGTTCTTTTGTTAAAACTCAGCCGTGCCCATGATGATCTCACTGTTAATTATTTTTTAATAAGTAGCTTCACTCCAAGCATCTGAGAACCTGCTTGAGCTGCCAACGTTAAAAGATAGAAATTGCAGAAAGAGCAGCAATATCTCTCTGGAATCACAGAATTATCAAGGCTTCCAAAATGAAAGGCTTTAGAGGTCAACAGGCTCAACTTGCTTCCCTGTGCACTGCATTCCTTCAGCATGATATTTACAGGAGATGTTGCAGGCTCACGCTCCTAATAGGCTTCCTCATTTGCCGAGCAGTACCTGCACCCAGTGTCGAGGGTCTATGCTTGAGTCTCCTTAACACCACAAGAATTAAAGTAGCAAAACCACCTCAGTAGCTAAAAGGTGCAAATATATGTGCCACCACTGCCAGTGCCCTGGTGGGAGTTCACTGGTTGGCTCCATTTAGTCCTCCTTTGCTCGGTTCATCACCAGCAGCCATCCAAGGTCCCACCATGCATTCTTCAGTCTTATGAGTTATTTTTCTGAGCTGTTGAAGTTACCTATTCACAGTAGATCTGTGGAGTTGGTAGGCAAAGTCTTGGATATGGCTCCAGTTAGACAAGAAACAGGAGATGCCAACCTGGCTACCTGAATGGACCATCCTGAAGGGCAGTACAGTGGTGGTTAAAGTGTGGCCTCTGGAGTCAGGTTGGCTGGTTGACATCCAGGCTTCAGCGCTTATTACACCTTGGGCATATCACTTTTTGTGCCTCTGTTTTCTCTTCCAGAAAATGGAAATAATAAGAGCACTTAATGGATTGTGTGAAGATTAAATGAGCTAATACTCATAACACACTTAGACTGCAAGGCATTTAGAATATATTTGATAATAATACTATCTACTATTAGTCTCTCATCGGGTAGGACTAAAGACAAAACTAACTCCTTATTACCAGCTTCTGCTGACCTCTGAGACTTCACCCTGTGAAATCTCTTCCAGGCTTTCTGCTCCCCACTTCTCCCAGCCTAGGAATGAGTGGGAAGGGGGAGCTAAAAAATAACTCTGAAAGTCTGCGTCAGAATGTTCTCTCCTTTGCCAAACTCAACTGCTTTTTGTTTTCTCTCTCTCTCTTTCTTTTTTTTGAGACAGGGCCTCACTGTGCCACTCAGGCTGGAGTACAGTTGCTCAATCATAGCTCACTGCAGCCTTCTGGGCTCAAAGGATCGTCTTGCCTCAGCCTCCCAAGTAGCTGGGATAGCAAGTGTGCACCACCATTCCCAGCTAATTTTTAAAATTTTTTTGTAGAGACAGGATCTTGCTTTGTTGCCCAGGCTGGCCTTGAACTCCTGGCTTCAAGAACTCCTCCTACCTCAGCCTCCCGAAATGCTGAAAATAGAGACATAAGCCACAACACCCAGCCTCTTTCTTTTTTTTTTTTTTCCACTTAACTTTAGACTCTAATTCTTGACTCTCAGATTCTGTAATATGACCTTTTATAGTCCCTCTCCCCCAGGTAACTACCCACTAAATCAGTAGTTAGTGTCTGTAATTATCTGGGGAGGATAATGAAGGCCCATGTAAGAGAATTAATGAAAAAATTCCATGAATAAAATGGAGGTAAGGGGAATTGATTAATATTCTCTGTAACAAAATTCCATCATATAAATCTGGAACTACACTTCTCCTTAGAGATTTATACTAATATCTTATTCTTTGAACCTACTTAATCTTGATATTTTTTTACTATACTTAATGAGATACACAAATTCCATTTGAATGCAGCACAAATTATTGGCTACATATGTTTTTAAGTTGGATCTTGAAACAAGCAGGAAGATTAACAACAAGACTGCCTATCTCTGTAATCTATAGTCTCAACTTAAATAACATACAACTCTAGGGCTGGCATGTGTACTGCAATTTCATAATATAGCTCATCAGAGCAGAAATTAACTCAGTGAAGGAGGTGAGAATTCAAGAGTTCAGAAGAAAAGTAAAACTGAAGAAAGATCCTGAGCATTTGACCTCACACAAATCAACCACAAATAACACTGACTAAATTTTATCATGCAAATTTCAAAATTAACAATTTAGAGCCTGAAAATCAACATCTTGTTACATGTACATATAAATTATGGAATCATATGGAAATAAAATAACACCCATAGCAAGGGAGCTCAGAAAGTATATTTAGGGCATTTGAAATTTACTTTCAGATGGAACGTGAGAATTCATTTAAAATTGTTCATTGACAGTTTGTAAATCATTTTTTCCTATCTTTATCTGTGTGGTACAGATGGGAGGCTAACATCTTCCAAATTCATTTCTCAGTTATACATATGTGTAAATTAGCCTGTGAAAACTACACATTTTATTCATATGCCTTATTAAATTCTGTCACAGCTGTTATTAGTACTGTTTTATATTGTCTAGTACTTGTAGAAATTGACAATGTAGGCCTGTGAGTTAGTCAAAAGACTTTTAAATGTCTGATCAAATGTCAGCAAACTAATGAAAATGCCTGAGTATATAAATATCCATGCACACACACACCACTAGCATTTTTATTCATGTAAAAATGTATTCAATTTAGAAAGTGTCGAAGTATTCCATACGTTGTGTCAGCCCCTCTGGAAGTCCTCGTCTCCTGATGACAGTGACAGTCTCACTGTCTGTTTAGGTATCAGTCTAGTGGACTGAGATGGGGTGTCCTCTTCCCATCCCATAGACATTTTCCAGATTTATGTGAGGACAGAATGTTGGGCTTTCTAAGACAGTAGAGGCCTTCAAACTGAAAACCACTTTGTAATCTTCCTCCTGCCCATAATTTTCCTATTTAGAGAGTGCCCTCCCACTCTCCCAAGTTCTAATAGAGCTCAGTTTCACTTCTGAGAAAGTAATCATTCTTGGGTCTTCCTTATGTTTCAACACTTGTAGATAATCACAATAGATCCATGGAAACTTGATGACAAAGAGCAAAAACAAGCAAAGTGACGACAGCAAATTTAGGCATAATGCTCATTGTGGAAAAGAGAAATTTTCAGGACCTTTTTTTCTTTAAGAATTGTACTTAGTAGAGTTGAATTATTTTTACAAAGTATTAACAACTTTTTCAATCCTCTTTTACATGCATTTTCCTGAAAACTCTAAGGAATCTAAATTTAAACCACTATGATATTAAGGAAGAAGAATTATATTTACTGTATCTTGTGCTTCCAGCATGTAATTGGAAAGAAAAAGGCATCAAAAATGACAGTAATGACAAGGCATTCAGGCATTGAATTGGCATATTTGAAAGTTGTGACTTACACTGGATTAGCTGTCCTACAGCTTATTGTTGGTGAAGCAAAGGAAAACTGATTATAGTGTATAATCTATACCAAATTGGACCATATTCCCTTAATAAATACTCGATTTTGGCACTTTCCTAATAGATTTAGTGTCTGGATTTGGGGGAGAGTTGGAACCCCTAAAGGATGAATAGATTTTTTGTCTAACTAGAGAAATAATGGTATTCAACAAATACCGAGAACCTATATTTGTTATGCACAGTGCTGGCAGCTGTAGATGCCACAGTGAAGAAGCCAGAGCTCACCCTCTAGTGAGGAGAGAAATCAGGAAAGAGGCATCCCTGAGAAGAGTATAATAAAGGGCAATGATAGGGGAAAAAAATGGTTTTTCAACTGGTCAAGAGTGGTATCATTCTCTGAGATAGGCAACATTGGGAAATGGAAGTGTGCTTACTGGGGAGTGCAGAAAGATGTATCCAGTTTGAGAGCGGTTCCTTCAAGATACCCAGGGGATATTCAAATGGAGATGTCTGGTGGACAGTTGAGTTTGCAAACTTTAAAGCTAAAGAGATATTTGAGCTGAAGAATAAGATCTAGGGAATTATCAGTTTTTGATCATTGAATCCTCGGGACTGGCTGAGTTCAACAGAGGAGAGTATACAGAGAGAGAAAAATAAACGGCCCAGGAAAGAAACCTTAAGGGTCACTACCATTCAAGGGGTGTGCTGGGGAAGGGAAGCCTGCGGGACAGCCTGAAAGGAGTATTATCAGTGGTGAAAGACACTGCCGGCATGTCCCCACAGTACAGAGGGAACAGGGATCACCCTGCTGATATAGGTAGCCATCTATTACATCTGCTTGTAATTCACAGAAAATTTTATCAGATAAATTTAGTTTCTACTGTGAAATATATGATTTATCAAATTGGGACAAACATCTAATTATTCACTTACCAAGACTTTATAACCAGGAACAAGTAGTATTCTGTTTAGGTGTCAGTCTAGTGGGCTGATAGTGATCAGTACCTATCAATAGTGATAGGTACTGTGGTGTGTAAGGTTTTTTTGAACCCTTCCTAAACATTGTCAGGACATTTACCAATAAACATCAATTTAAATTAATGTGGTCTATTTTATAAGAATGTATAATATAAAAATCATTAAACATTATTTTATTAGTTTCAAACTGATATGAGTCCCTCAAGTATTTTGATGACCCAAGCATACAGTATTATTTTTCATACTCTTTAAATGAATCAAAATCTATTCATTTGTCTTAAGACCCAGGGAATATTTGAGACCAGTGTGTAGAATTAGGAAGAGATTCATTCCCACCAACATAAAAGATAAATTTCTAACAGTAAGTGTTGCCAATGATAAAAGGCTCTTTTACGAAGTTCTCTATTGTTTTCATAAACCAGCAACTATTTGGTAAGTATGTGCTATGTGCCTAGAACTATTATAAGTTCTGGGGAAAAGGGTATGAACAACATAGACAGGGCTCCTGCACTTGTAAGGCTTCCATTCTATTTGAGGGAGACAGAATATAAACACAATTAAAAACCTAAACATGTAAGAAAAAAATATCAAATAGTAAATGCTATTGAGAGAATTGAAAAAGAATATTGTGATTATACATGGCTTGTTAGATGCTGGTAGAAAAAAAATCCTCCAAAAATGAAGAAATTGATGATTTAGTGAGAGGGGAAGTTTAATTAGGAATGAAGTTTTTAGAAAATTAAAAGAGATTGGATCCAAATCCCGAGTTGAAGAATTTATAGAACAACTTTATAGAACAACTTCATCATAATAACAAAAGAGAAGAACTATTTGCTCCTGAGAACAGATTATGTGCATCTCTTCCTAACTCCACTTTAGAGGCTTCATGTTGGTATCCTGAGATTAGTATTTATACCACTGAAATTGGCAAATGATAGAAATAAGGGCTTTTAATTTTTTTGGACTACTGTTTGTTATACATTTACCAACACATTAATGGAAACTGTATGAATAGGTTGATACAGTTCATCATAGGAAGATGGGGCATTTACTGCCTCATATCTACTTATTTCTATGAAGTATAATGCAAGGTAATTAGCAAAAGGAGAACTGATTATAGTGTACAATATGACATATAGGAGTGACATATAGGATATTTGAGGCATTTAAATAAAATCTGGATAGTTGCTGTTAATCAAGGCCATGTAGATTTGTGTATCTGGTAAAACTTTGAACTAGATGATACCAACAGACCTAAGACTATATGATTTTTATCATAAAGGTGATTGCTAAGAAACAACAAATTCTAGTCCACTTTTTGTCTCGAGTTTTGTAAATATGAATATAAGAATCACTTGCCACTTTTCTTATTTTAGTTATCACTACTATTCAATTGCACACTAAGTTTCAGTTTGAAAAGTCTGTAATTCTGTGATTTAGAACTTGACTGCAATTTGGAAAAACCAAAAAACCAACTCAGAGATATAAACAAGATATAGATACCTGAACAGTTGACATTATGAAACTGATATAAAAGCTTTAATTAGAAAAGCATCTTGAGCTAGTTCCATGTGTTTTTTTTTTGGTGGTGGGGAGGGGTGTTGTAATTAATTTTTTAAATTGTTACCCTTTGTCAGTAGTTATTCTGTTATGTTCCTTTGGCTCCACATTGCAGTGCAAGTACTACGGGGTAGTTCAATATTTATTATTAGGAGCCTTTTGACAAGTGACTAGATAGATGAAAACTTCAATACTGAAATCTTACTAGATGAAAACATTGAAGTTTTATCAAAATGAAATTTGTAGAATATTTATTATTTCACCAACACTGTCTAGATGATCTTTATTCCTCAGTCACATACATTGTACGGAGTCAGGAGGCAAAAATGTAATACCAAATAGTGTTTCATGTGGTTTGTGGACAGTAGATGCAAATACTGAAAAGTCCACCTGTGCTGGGCTCTGTCTTCATGCTTCATGATAAAGCCAGAGAAACATTTGTAAAGAGACCATTTTAGCCACTCCAGTTGTAAAATATTTCTTTAATCTCTCGTGACTTGCTTATGAGAGGGCTCCTTTGCAGGGAGACACTAATGTAGCTGATATCCCTGCCAGATCACCAATAGTTGAGTCTTAGGGCATTTCAAAGAGAGAGAATCTCCTCTCTTCTTCCTCGAGTGGATAAAATAATTTTACTCCTACCCTAGAACCAGAGTACCAGCTGCCTGTCACTGTGTAGTAGTGATTATTTCCCCCAATTCCAGAACTGATTCGTATTCAATTCAAATTTTTATCCCAGTTTCAGGTCTGTTTGTCGTGATCTGCATCTGGTCTACCCCAAGAAGTATTTCCTAGAAAGGACCCCATAAAACTCTTCGTATCACTGCCCCAACTCCTCATAGAAGGTGTGCCAATTTGTAAACTAGGTGACATTTCATAAACATATCAGGATGTTTTGGCAGGAAAATTTGAAGTTTATGCAGCATGTTTAGGAAGTGGATTTTATCACTTGAGCATTGAGAGCTGTATCTTTTCATAGCTCTTTCTAACTAAAAAATGCAAACCCTGGAAGTTATTATAGGAAGTTGCCTCTAATTGCTGTTTTGCCCTCTTTCTTGCTTGTGTGGCTCTCCACTTTATGGAAATGGGAATAGTGATAGGTACTGTGGTGTCTATTTAGCCTGTGCTTTAAGGGTCTAGAAACAGTCCAGTATGTCAGGGAATAACTTTAATGCAGTTAAGATAAGTTCAAAGATGATTCAGTAGAAGGAACAAGCTTAATGTTCTCTAAGATTGCAAAGGTACTGTGAGGGAAGATTCTATTATTGTAATTTGGCTTTTAAGGTCTCAGGGGCCTGAGTATTTTCCATATCCTAATTTCTTGCATACTATTTCTAGAATAACTCATGAATGGACTGTGTGAATTAGTATCTGTGAGGAATCTTTCAAAATACAAATCATAAGGGTCTGGAACCTCCTTTCAATATGCACGTGAGTCTCACTGTCACTAGAAGGTGTTAGCCACACCCCTATAAGCAGATATTTAGGTAATCCTCCTTATTTTATTGAATGTAGGATGCACTGATGCTGACATTTTCTTTAGCTTATCAAACGATTTTCACATAACTATAGGTTGACAGTGATTGTACGATTGCATTGCATTGCAAGATAAACCTTGTTTCAGAGAGATTAAAAAGTGAAAATATGTGCAGCTGAAAATCAATAGAATAAAGTAATGAGAGAGAATTTCCTGGACTACCCTAACACATTTACAAATTTGATAAATAGCCTTTGAAGAATTGTTGCTGATAGTTTGGGATTGTTAATGAAATTTGTAGTCTTCAGATATGTGTTTGATCAACTGGAATGAAAAGAAAGAAGGGTACACTGTAATCTCTGGATTTTCTTCGTTGTGCAACGGAGCTTAAATCCTTAATACAGGATGGACATTCACCACCATCATTCATCCTACAAAAGAAATTAATTGAATAAGTAGAAAAATATTCCTTTAAATCTTGGAGGCAACGTTGTCACCCTCTTATCCCTCAATTACAGTGTGTGAAATCTTGTTAGTATTTTATTGAAGATGCTTTTATAGCTCTTTGTGATGTATTAAGCCAGAAAGCAATTTCTATTATATACTATGGTAGGTGCTGAACTGATGCTTGAGTTACTCTTTGGAAAAGCCCATTATGGAGCAGCTTTAACTGTCTCTAGCCCCAAGAAAACCAGTCTTTAGAGGCTGATTTCTTCAAACTGATGAAAATTCTGCCTGCTTAGAATGGTAGCCACTCCATTCTAAACTGTTATTCAAGAGAAGTTTCTCAAACTTAACTTACTGACATTTGGAACTAGATACTCTACCTAGATGGGAGCCGTCCTGTGCACTGTGGGTGTTTAGCAGCATTGTTAGCCACTAGGTACCAGAAGCACCCATCTCCACAAAAGTGACAACCAAAAATATCTCTAGACATTGTCTAATGTCCCCTGGGGCACAAAATTGCACCTCTGGTTGAGAATAATTGTTCTGGATTGCTCTTTTCCAAGTTAAATATGCCCTGAGAGAATAAGGTGCTTTGAGAATTAGTTCTCATCTATGTGATTATAATGATCAAATATGAAACCAAAGGATAAATTAGTCAGGGGTTATAGAAAAACCATAAAAGCAGTAAAACAGATGCTTTCAGGTTCCGGACTCAATATCACAACATGAAGCTACACTATGAGATAACTAAGTGTCAGGGGTGGGTTTGAAGACAAGTAGGATAGCATATACCTATCTCACTCTGGGACATTTTCTGTAAAGAGAAATAAAACCTTTAGAAATGTGAAGAAACTTCCAAAAGAATACAAAATCTACTTTCTTTATTTTTGACTCTGTCTTGATCCTGTATATGTTTTCAGAGATGTTAAAAAAAAAAAAGCAGCAAGTTTTTCAGCAAGACAGAGAATTACAACAAAGAGAAACAACAAATTCTGTGGTATAATTCAAATAAAAATATTGTTATAATAACATTATTGTTGCCCCATGAATGGTTTCCATCACATGAAAATATTTGTCATCCAGATGCTTGTCCACAAGTACTTTTTTTGTATATAAATAGCCTGTTCTTTAGTAATTCAATAGTTAAGCCATGATTGATTGTGGTTTCTCATTTTATTTAAGATTTCTTTTTACAGCAGCTTTAGTTTCACAGCAAAATTGAGAGGATGGTATAGAGATGTTTCATATGCCCTCTGTCCCCACACTTGCATAGCCTCCCACATCATCAACATCCCACTGCCCCTAATGCTGTGGTGTGAAAAACTAAGTTTGTCATCCCCTCCAACAATCAGTGCCCAGTTGGCACCAGTATGGAATGGCATCATGTCTCCCAAAGACTGTTATAATAGCCGATTTACTACCTCCCTGCTTCCACCTTGTCCCTTAAGGTCTATTCTCCACTGTAACAGACAAAAAGATCCTGTTAACATCACAGCATTATGTAACTCCTCTGCTCACAGCCTTCAATGGCTCCCCATATGACATAGAGGAAAAGTGAAAGACCATACAATGGTCTGTAGGGCCCCACCTCTCTGGTTTCATCTCGTATCACCTCTCTCCTTTGCATGCTCCTCTCCAGCTACATTGACCCCTTTGGTGTTCTTAGAACATACCAATTTTGTCTCAGGAATTTTGCATCTGCTGTTTCTTTTGCCTGTAATGCTCTTCCAAAGATATATATGCATATGACTGCCTTGTCTTCTCCAAGTCTGCATTAATGTCACTTTCTTTTTTTTTATTGTATTTTCTTTTTTTATTCTTATTCTTACACTTTAAGTTTTAGGGTACATGTGCACAATGTGCAGGTTAGTTACATATGTATACATGTGTCATGCTGGTGCACTGCACACACTAACTCATCATCTAGCATTACGTATATCTCCCAATGCTATCCCTCCCCCCTCCCCCCACCCCACAACAGTCCCAAGAGTGTGATGTTCCCCTTCCTGTGTCCATGTGTTCTCATTGTTCAATTCCCACCTATGAGTGAGAATATGCGGTGTTTGGTTTTTTGTTCTTGCGATAGTTTACTGAGAATGATGATTTCCAATTTCATCCATGTCCCTACAAAGGACATTAACTCATCATTTTTTTATGGCTGCATAGTATTCCATGGTGTATATGTGCCACATTTTCTTAATCCGGTCTATCATTGTTGGACATTTGGGTTGGTTCCAAGTCTTTGCTATTGTGAATAATGCCGCAATAAACATACGTGTGCATGTGTCTTTATAGCAGCACGATTTATAGTCCTTTGGGTATATGCCCAGTAATGGGGTGGCTGGGTCAAATGGTATTTCTAGTTCTAGATCCCTGAGGAATCGCCACACTGACTTCCACAATGGTTGAACTAGTTTACAGTCCCACCAACAGTGTAAAAGTGTTCCTATTTCTCCACATCCTCTCCAGCACCTGTTGTTTCCTGACTTTTTAATGATTGCCATTCTAACTGTTGTGAGATGGTATCTCATTGTGGTTTTGATTTGCATTTCTCTGATGGCCAGTGATGGTGAGCATTTTTTCATGTGTTTTTTGGCTGCATAAATGTCTTCTTTTGAGAAGTCTCTGTTCATGTCCTTCGCCCACTTTTTGATGGGGTTCTTTGTTTTTTTCTTGTAAATTTGTTGGAGTTCATTGTAGATTCTGGATGTTAGCCCTTTGTCAGATGAGTAGGTTGCGAAAATTTTCTCCCATTTTGTGGGTTGCCTGTTCACTCTGATGGTAGTTTCTTTTGCTGTGCAGAAGCTCTTTAGTTTAATGAGATCCCATTTGTCAATTTTGGCTTTTGTTGCCATTGCTTTTGGTGTTTTAGACATGAAGTCCTTGCCCATGCCTATGTCCTGAATGGTAATGCCTAGGTTTTCTTGTAGGGTTTTTATGGTTTTAGGTCTAACGTTTAAGTCTTTAATCCATCTTGAATTGATTTTTGTATAAGGTGTAAGGAAGGGATCCAGTTTCAGCTTTCTACATATGGCTAGCCAGTTTTCCAAGCACCATTTATTAAATAGGGAATCCTTTCCCCATTGCTTGTTTTTCTCAGGTTTGTCAAAGATCAGATAGTTGTAGATGTGTGGCGTTATTTCTGAGGGCTCTGTTCTGTTCCATTGATCTCTATCTCTGTTTTGGTACCAGTACCATGCTGTTTTGGTTACTGTAGCTTTGTAGTATAGTTTGAAGTCAGGTAGCATGATGCCTCCAGCTTTGTTCTTTTGGCTTAGGATTGACTTGGCAATGCGGGCTCTTTTTTGGTTCTATATGAACTTTAAAGTAGTTTTTTCCAATTCTGTGAAGAAAGTCATTGGTAGCTTGATGGGGATGGCATTGAATCTGTGAATTACCTTGGGCAGTATGACCATTTTCACGATATTGATTCTTCCTACCCATGAGCATGGAATGTTCTTCCATTTGTTTGTATCCTCTTTTATTTCCTCGAGCAGTGGTTTGTAGTTCTCCTTAAAGAGATCCTTCACATCCCTTGTAAGTTGGATTCCTAGGTATTTTATTCTCTTTGAAGCAATTGTGAATGGAAGTTCACTCATGATTTGGCTCTCTGTTTGTCTGTTATTGGTGTATAAGAATGCTTGTGATTTTTGTACATTGATTTTGTATCCTGAGACTTTGCTGAAGTTGCTTATCAGCTTAAGGAGATTTTGGGCTGAGACAATGGGGTTTTCTAGATATACAATCATGTCGTCTGCAAACAGGGACAATTTGACTTCCTCTTTTCCTAATTGAATACCCTTTATTTCCTTCTCCTGCCTAATTGCCCTGGCCAGAACTTCCAACACTATGTTGAATAGGAGTTGTGAGAGAGGGCATCCCTGTCTTGTGCCAGTTTTCAAAGGGAATGCTTCCAGTTTTTGCCAATTCAGTATGATATTGGCTGTGGGTTTGTCATAGTTAGCTCTTATTATTTTGAGATATGTCCCATCAATACCTAATTTATTGAGAGTTTTTAGCATGAAGCGTTGTTGAATTTTGTCAAAGGCCTTTTCTGCATCTATTGAGATAATCATGTGGTTTTTGTCTTTGGTTCTGTTTATATGCTGGATTACATTTATTGATTTGCGTATATTGAACCAGCCTTGCATCCCAGGGATGAAGCCCACTTGATCATGGTGGATAAGCTTTTTGATGTGCTGCTGGATTTCGTTTGCCAGTATTTTATTGAGGATTTTTGCATCAATGTTCATCAAGGATATTGGTCTAAAATTCTCTTTTTTGGTTGTGTCTCTGGCCGGCTTTGGTATCAGGATGATGCTGGCCTCATAAAATGAGTTAGGGAGGATTCCCTCTTTTTCTATTGATTGGAATAGTTTCAGAAGGAATGGTACCAGTTCCTCCTTGTACCTCTGGTAGAATTCGGCTGTGAGTCCATCTGGTCCTGGACTCTTTTTGGTTGGTAAGCTATTGATTATTGCCACAATTTCAGATCCTGTTATTGGTCTATTCAGAGATTCAACTTCTTCCTGGTTTAGTCTTGGGAGAGTGTATGTGTCGAGGAATTTATCCATTTCTTTTAGATTTTCTAGTTTATTTGCGTAGAGGTGTTTGTACTATTCTCTGATGGTAGTTTGTATTTCCGTGGGATCGGTGGTGATATCCTCTTTATCATTTTTATTGTGTCTATTTGATTCTTCTCTCTTTTTTTCTTTATTGGTCTTGCTAGTGGTCTATCAATTTTGTTGATCCTTTCAGAAAACCAGCTCCTGGATTCATTAATTTTTTGAAGGGCTTTTTGTGTCTCTATTTCCTTCAGTTCTGCTCTGATTTTAGTTATTTCTTGCCTTCTGCTAGCTTTTGAATGTGTTTGCTCTTGCTTTTCCAATTCTTTTAATTGTGATGTTAGGATATTTCCTGCTTTCTCTTGTGGGCATTTAGTGCTGTAAATTTCCCTCTACACACTGCTTTGAATGCATCCCAGAGATTCTGGTATGTAGTGTCTTTGTTCTCGTTCGTTTCAAAGAACATCTTTATGTCTGCCTTCATTTCATTATGTACCCAGTAGTCCTTCAGGTGTAGGTTGTTCAGTTTCCATGTAGTTGAGCGGTTTTGAGTGAGATTCTTAATCCTGAGTTCTAGTTTGATTGCACTGTGGTCTGAAAGACAGTTTGTTATAATTTCTGTTCTTTTACATTTGCTAAGGAGAGCTTTACTTCCAACTATGTGGTCAATTTTGGAATAGGTGTGGTGTGGTGCTGAAAAAAATGTATATTCTGTTGATTTGGGGTGGAGAGTTCTGTAGATGTCTGTTAGGTCCGCTTGGTGCAGGGCTGAGTTCAATTCCTGGGTATCCTTGTTGACTTTCTGTCTTGTTGATCTGTCTAATGTTGACAGTGGGGTGTTAAAGTCTCCCATTATTAATGTGTGGGAGTCTAAGTCTCTTTGTAGGTCACTCAGGACTTGCTTTATGAATCTGGGTGCTCCTGTATTGGGTGCATATATATTTGGGATAGTTAGCTCTTCTTGTGGAATTGATCCCTTTACCATTATGTAATGGCCTTCTTTGTCTCTTTTTATCTTTGTTGGTTTAAAGTCTGTTTTATCAGAGACTAGGTTTGCAACCCCTGCCTTTTTTTGCTTTCCATTTGCTTGGTAGATCTTCCTCCATCCTTTTATTTTGAGCTTATGTGTGTCTCTGCCTGTGAGATGGGTTTACTGAATACAGCACACTGAAGAGTCTTGACTCTTTATCCAATTTGCCAGTCTGTGTCTTTTAATTGGAGCATTTAGTCCATTTACATTTAAAGTTAATATTGTTATGTGTGAATTTGATCCTGTCATTATGACGATTGTTGGTTATTTGGCTCGTTAGTTGATGCAGTTTCTTCCTAGTCTCGATGGTCTTTACATTTTGGCATGATTTTGCAGCGGCTGGTACTGGTTGTTCCCTTCCATGTTTAGCACTTCCTTCAGGAGCTCTTTTAGGGCAGGCCTGGTGGTGACAAAATCTCTCAGCATTTGCTTGTCTGTAAAGTATTTTATTTCTCCTTCACTTATGAAGCTTAGTTTGGCTGGATGTGAAATTCTGGGTTGAAAATTCTTTTCTTTAAGAATGTTGAATATTGGCCCCCACTCTCTTCTGGCTCGTAGAGTTTCTGCTGAGAGATCAGCTGTTAGTCTGAGGGGCTTCCCTTTGAGGGTAACCCGACCTTTCTCTCTGGCTGCCCTTAACATTTTTTCCTTCATTTCAACTTTGGTGAATCTGACAATTATGTGTCTTGGAGTTGCTCTTCTCGAGGAGTATCTTTGTGGTGTTCTCTGTATTTCCTGAATCTGAATGTTGGCCTGCCTTGCTAGATTGGGGAAGTTCTCCTGGATAATATCCTGCAGAGTGTTTTCCAACTTGGTTCCATTCTTCCCGTCACTTTGAGGTACACCAATCAGACGTAGATTTGGTCTTTTCACATAGTCCCATATTTCTTGGAGGCTTTGTTCATTTCTTTTTATTCTTGTTTCTCTAAACTTCCCTTCTCGCTTCATTTCATTCATTTCATCTTCCATCGCTGATGCCCTTTCTTCCAGTTGATCGCATCGGCTGAGGCTTCTGCATTCTTCACGTAGTTCTCGAGCCTTGGTTTTCAGCTCCATCAGATCCTTTAAGCACTTCTCTGTATTGGTTATTCAAGTTATAGATTCTTCTAAATTTTTTTGAAAGTTTTCAACTTCTTTGCCTTTGGTTTGAATTTCCTCCCATAGCTCAGAGTAATTTGATCTTCTGAAGCCTTCTTCTCTCAGCTTGTCAAAGTCATTCTCCGTCCAGCTTTGTTCCATTGCTGGTGAGGAGCTGCGTTCCTTTGGAGGAGGAGAGGCGCTCTGCTTTTTAGAGTTTCCAGTTTTTCTGCTCTGTTTTTTCCCCATCTTTGTGGTTTTATCTACTTTTGGTCTTTGATGATGGTGATGTACAGATGGGTTTTTGGTGTGGATGTCCTTTCTGTTTGTTAGTTTTCCTTCTAACAGACAGCAGGACCCTCAGCTGCAGGTCTGTTGGAATACCCGACCGCGTGAGGTGTTAGTCTGCCCCTGCTGGAGGGTGCCTCCCAGTTAGGCTTCTCGGAGGTCAGGGGTCAGGGACCCACTTGAGGAGGCAGTTTGCCCGTTCTCAGATCTCCAGCTGCATGCTGGGAGAACCACTGCTCTCTTCAAAGCTGTCAGACAGGGACATTTAAGTCTGCAGAGGTTACTGCTATCTTTTGTTTGTCTGTGCCCTGCCCCCAGAGGTGGAGCCTACAGAGGCAGGCAGTCCTCCTTGAGCTGTGGTGGGCTTCACCCAGTTCGAGCTTCCCGGCTGCTTTGTTTACCTAAGCAAGCCTGGGCAATGGCGGGCACCCCTCCCCCAGCCTCGCTGCCGCCTTGCAGTTTGATCTCAGACTGCTGTGCTAGCAATCAGCGAGACTCCGTGGGCTTAGGACCCTCCAAGCCATGTGGGGGATATAATCTCCTGGTGCGCCGTTTTTTAAGCCCATCGGAAAAGCAGTCTTCGGGTGGGAGTGACCCGATTTTCCAGGTGCCGTCTGTCACCCCTTTCTTTGACTAGGAAAGGGAACTCCCTGACCCCTTGCGCTTCCCGAGTGAGGCAATGCCTCGCCCTGCTTCGGCTCGCGCACGGTGCGTGCACCCACTGACCTGCGCCCACTGTCTGGCACTCCCTAGTGAGATGAACCCAGTACCTCAGATGGAAATGCAGAGATCACCCGTCTTCTGCGTCGCTCACGCTGGGAGCTATAGACTGGAGCTGTTCCTATTTGGCCATCCTATCCCATTCTCTAATGTCACTTTCCAATGAGGCCTCCTCTGCCTTCTTTATATAAAGTTGCTGTCCCCCTCCCTCCCCATTCTACTGCCTTTCTCTTTATCTTTCTCTTATTTTTTCCGCAAAACATGTAGCTTCTAATATATTAATTCCTTGTTGTGGTCTGTATCCTTCACTCCTCCTAAGAACAGAATTGAATGAAGACATACTTTTTACTGTTTTTTTCTCCTCTTATGTCACAAAAGCTTCATAAGGGCTATTGATGTATACTTATTGAATGGTTCCATAATAAGTTTCAGGGTAGGCTAGTGGCATCATTTGAAACTCATGAAAATAAGTAATGGATATTATAATCAAAATTTATTTTCAAAGTGCAAAATTCAAATAAGTTCTTGAAGTTTCAAGATATCTTGAGGACAGAGTTTCAAGTTATATTGAATATGGTCTGGTTTTTTTCTCTGTTTTCCCAAGAAACGAAGAAATCAGATATGGAGAGGAATAATGGACAATTCAAGGAATTTCCCAGTGTGAAATATGAAATGTGGAATTTATTGAATGGTTTTAAATCATCATGATTTTGAAGTATATGTATACTTTATAGGAAAATATCAATCATTAAATTTAGCTTTTGGCTTTAATCAAATTGAGGAAAAAGAAATGTATCTAAAATTTATCATATATTTTGTACATTTACACTTTAGAAATGTATGTAAAATGTATTTCAAATATTTTATTCTTTGAAAAACATATTCTGAGAAGATAACCAATTTTTTTCATCTATAGATGATATATATAAGAGAGACCCCCTTGGCCTACAGTTTATCTTATCAGGGAAAATGAGACAGTGCCTGGCTTCCCAAGCCATGTGGGACACTGCCCAAGAAGCCCGCCAATTTCTCACCCCACCCAGAACACTGAGGGGATAAACACAGCTAAATAGTCTGTAGGCAGCTAGGAGCAGTGAAAAGGGGCATGGGCTCACAGAAACCAGGGTTCAGAACTCCACAACAAGCCGCAGATTCTAACTACCTGAGAGACTTCATGAAGAGGCTCATTGAAAAATCTCAGAGGATACATCACCTGCAGACTCCCTCCAAGCTAGCCTATCCATGCTTTCAGTACTCTGCATGTCTTATACAGCTGGCATCCTGTGTGTACACTAACTGATGGTGCCTATGAGCCTCTGAAGATTGTGCATGAGTTCATACAGACAGGCTTGACTCTGCTAGGTTGGAAGAAGGTGTCTAACCTGGAACACTTCAGAGCACTACCCTAGGAAAAATAAACAGGAGGCTATCAGCCCCACCCTAGCTTTTCAGGATTTAGAGAAAACATGCAATCCTAAGAATTATCTTCCAAAGAGGAAAAAGGAGAGTAGAGTAGGCACACCCATAGAAAAAGTCTGAGACCTCCAAGTCTTTAGCCAAGCTGATGGTAGAAGTCTTTCTCTCCCAAAACCAGTCAATAAAGACTGGTAGAGGTGACTGCGTCTTTAAATGCAAAAACAACAATGCAAGATTTCAAGGAACATACACACAAGAAAAATTAAGGAAGCATGATACCACCAAAGTAATAAAATAATTTTCCAGTAACAACCCCAAAGAAGTGGAGCTCTATGAACTGTCTGGCAAGTAGTTCAAAATAATTGTTTTAAGAAAGTTTAGCAAGCTATAAGCAAACACAGATAACTCAATGAAATAGGGAAAACAGTATACAAATAAAATGATGTCTAACAAGATAGAAATCATGAAAAAGAACCAAACAGAAATTCTGAAGCTGAAAAATAGAGTAAGTGAAATAAAAAATACAATAGAGAGCTTTAATAGCAGGCTAAATTAAACAAAAGAAAGAATTTGTGAACTCAAAGACAAGTCACTATTCAATCAGAGGAGAAAAAAAGAATGAAGAAGAGTGAATAAAGCTTCTGCGATTTTAGGACACCATGAAGCAAACCAATATACAAATTATGGGAGTTCCAGAGGAAGAGAGAGAGAGAAAGAATGTATATAGGCTGAAAGTGAAGGGATGGAAAAGATATTCCATGCAAATGACACCCAAAAAGGAGCAGGGATGGCTACACTTTTATCAGACAAAATAGACTTTAAGTAAAAAACTGTGACAAGACCAAGAAGGTCATCATATAATGACAAAGGATGTAACAATTATATATGCACCCAATGTTGGGACACCTAAATATACAAAGCAAATATTAACAGAATGGAAGAGAGAAATAGACAGCAATACAATAGTATTAGGGGACTTTAATAACCCCCATGGAAAAATGTATAGATCATCCAGAAAAAAAATCAATAAGGAAACAGTGGGAGGAATAACACTGTGGGCCAAATGAACCTAACAGACAAATACAGAACATGCTATCCAACAGCAAAAGAATACAAATTATTGTCAAGTGCAAAGAGAATATTCTCCTGTTTAGATCATATGTTGAGCCACAAAATAAGTCTTAACAAATTTAAGAAGATTGAAATCATATCAAATATATTTTCTAACCACAATGGTATAAAAAGACAAATCAATAAGAGAAAAACTGGAAATTTTACAACTGTGTGGAAATTAAACAACACACACCTAAACAATATGTCAAAGAAGAAGTCAAAAATGACATTTAAAAATATCCTGAGACAAACAAAAGTGGAAAGACTATGGGATGCAGCAAAAGTATTCCTAAGAGGAAAGTTCACAGTGATAAACACCTACATAAAGAAAAAGGAAAGATCTCAAATAAACAACTTTAAAGCTCAAAGAATTAGGGAAAAAAAGAATAGACTTAGCACAAAGTAATTACAGAAGGAAGGAAATAATAAAGATTAAAGCAAAAATAAATTAGAGACTAATAAAAATAAAAATGATTGACAAAACTAAAAGTTGGTTTTTTGAAAAGATTGACATTTAGCTAGACTATTTTTTAGAAAAAAAGAGAAGACTCAAATAAATAAAACCATAAATTAAAGAAGAGATATCACAATTGATACCACAGAAATACAAAGGATCATAAAAGACTTCTGTGAACCATCATACACCAATAGATTGGATAAACTAGAAGAAATGGATAAATTCCTGGAAACACAGTATTGTCACTGTTGCTGAATTTGTCATGGAAATTTTTCTGTTATTTTTAAAAAATATTCCAAACTAAATAATGTATTTGAAAAATTTTAACCTGAAATTTTTCAGAAAGTTTCCAGCTTCCCTTTTGGAGAAACCTGCCATTACCTCATTTCATGGACACCCTCCTTACGATCCCCATCTACCTTTCAGATATTGTCATGTTAGCCCTATGAACCATGGTGCCAGCTGCATACCAACACAACCTAAATTTAAAATATTATTTTCTCAATTTACTAAAAACATTTCATGTACCAAGAAAGCTAGTACTACACTGAAATTAAATAGGAATAAGAAAAAGCTTGGGTTTACATCCTCTGATCTAGCCCTAAAAATGCACAGCCCTAATGGAAGATGTTCATCTTCATTCCTTCTTCTACATGACTCAACATGAGACTCAAAAGATCTGAGGAAATAACAATTGCACTGATTTTTAGAAAGAACCTGATACAGTGATTAAGAGCCAGATACTCTGGGGTGAAGCCAGCTTTGCCATGTACTTGTGCAACTTTAGACAAAAGTCTAATCCCCCTGTGGCCAAATCACTTCACTCATAAAGTAGAGATAATCAAAAGTACTTACCTTTAGGGTTGTAATAAGGATTAAATAATTGAATACTTGTAAAGCACTCAGAAGAGTGCCTGGTACATAGTAAGTGCTGTATAAGATTTGTACATAAATTAATTTTATAAACTCAGAAATGGTCACAAGGTACTAACCCTAATTTATAAATATAGATAAGGGACTCAGATTGTCCAATTTGAATAATTATAACTATATTTTATGGCAAACCTATTAATTTCACTGCAATTATTCTTCAGACCTCATTGAAGGCCTGTAAAACACCAGTAGATTCTACTGAAAATTGACTAGGAGTGTAAGAGAGAGAGAGACTGTGTGTGTGTGGGAGGGGGGTATCTGGGGGTATCTAATAAAGGTGCAAAATAAAAAAAAAAGCCCTCAAAAAGTAGACTCAATTAGGAGTTGAGAAATAGGAGTTGATATAGTAGATAAAATGTGATTCCTATGATAAGGCATGGGAGAACGTTATAGAGCATCAAGGTGGGAAAGATTCCTTTCTACCAGAAAATCTCAAAGATGGCTTTGTGCAGAAGGTGATGACATGAAGTATGAGAGGGAAACAGGAAAGTTAATTAAAAAGCAGGTTTCTGATCACCTTGTTGTGAGTCATAAACGATAAACCAAAGCACTGTACTTGTTAATGTGCAGAATAAAAAATTGAAAGATAGAAAATGCATTATTTTTAATGATAGAAATGCATAATTTCTAAAGATAGAAAAGGCAGAAAATAATTAGGTCTTGAAATAACAGAAAATAGCACCAACTCTTTTGAGAGATCAAGGTGATAATTATTAGATTCTGTAGCTTTGGAAAAAGAAATTGCTGTTTATTAGATTAAATCCCTTAGTTCTACCCATTTACTTCCAATGATCCAAGCACTTAGGGATATACTTGAATAAGATTAGTGTTTGCATACTACCTTGCCCATAGTAAACAAATATTTTATAAATATATATTTATAAAATCAACACTAAAATCCTTATATTGAGAACCCAAAAGGGTCTTAAACAAATACTTTTCAAGATAGTATTAATATACCAAATTATCCAATTAGTAATCATAACAGTTAAAAAATTATCTACTTCAGAATTATTTAGTTAGATATTTAGAATATATTTGGAATACAGTTAGATTTATACAGTTAGCTATCTAGCAAAGCCTTTTGGGGTGAAATATTTTCACAGACCTCTGACTAATCAGAAAATTTGTCCCCTTCCTTACATTGCTGAACAAAGATATAAAGTAATCACTAATTATTGTAACATTAGCTATGCATGATTAATCATATAGTTAGATCATTTGGAAGTTATATATTTACTGGTTCTCAGTTAAGCTTTGCTATTCTATTTATTCATGCAAATTGTTATTTTAATTAAATACACAACCATAGTAAATTGCAACAAGTGGTCTCAGGATCTACATGAACTAGTAGTTACCAGAATTTAGTGTATATTAAATACAACTAATATTGGTATTAAAAGAGGAAATTTATATTTGTATTTAGGGCCTTTGCAACTGTGAATCAAATATTTTTACTTGTTATTAAGATGGTGCCTGCCAACAATCTGTTCAGAAATACCCATTAGAGTTATAAAGCAAGAATTTATTTTAGCTTATTAATGGAAAGTTAATGGAAAAGCATGGTCTTTGTCTCCATCTCTCCCTGCTTCCTATCCCATTATAGCTACTACATTTTTTTCATTTACTTCAGAAAAAAAATGTTTAATAAATGTCCCAATTTGTTTCATGTAAGCAAGATATTAAATAGAAGTATACTTGTAACATAAAATGGCTAGTTACAAGGCAAGGGGCCATGTCTGGACTGAAAAACATTTTGATGCAACCTTCAGATAAGCTTTTCTCAAAGAATAACAAGCATATGACTTAACTAAATAGTCCATCCAGAGTTCAATTTGTTCAGAGTTGTATAGACCCAGGTATCTCAAAGGAGCCTATTACATCCTGTTTTGGACATATGTAAATGATACTCTGGCAAATGCATTGATAAACTGAAAAGTACTTGATGAAAATATTAAGTCAAAGACATGAAGGACCAGGGAAGAAAAATCAAGCTTTGTCTGTTTTTTAAGAAATACAAATTTTTTTAAGAATTTGGATTCTGACTATTTTTAAATACTGGGAAATCTGACATTAAATGTGATGAATAGTTGCATATTTGTGATATGTATATAAAATATATTATCAAATTATTTTTAAAATATTTTTTCTTCAATACAAAAAGGCAAAACTGTAATATATCACCTTCTGAAATTATTTTTGACTGGGTTTCAAGACAAGCAGCCAGCATGGGACCTGACCCTGGAAGTATGTTTTCCAAAATTACAGACACATAACAGCCTTAAGCATCTTGCCCAGGACTGTGGTCTGGACTTCCCAGATGAGCCCCTGTGCACCTTGGTGGCTGAGCTCTTGTTTAGCACACACAGGGGTCTTCTTGCTTCTGGTGTGCTTTATCATCCTCAATTTTCCACAGTATGTGAATTAAAATGGCCTCTACTTGGAAACGTTAAAATCAAATCAAGAAATGAACTGGGTTCCCATTTCACCATAGTGTAAGAGAAACTGAGTGGTCTGAAAACAGTTTTATGTTACTTTGTCACATTGGCTCTCAACGCTGTCATACTCCAAGCCCCATTTTTATAGCAAATATTTTATGACACACCTGTATTCTCCTCAAAGAAATTCAGATAAACTACCTGCACAGACTATTTCAAAGAAATAAATAGAGTGACCTACATGCAATCTAAAGGAAAAATATATAAATGCCTCGGAGCAGGACAGTGGTGACATAATGAAATAATCAGACACTTGCATCGTTCAGAGGTAGACTGGCTGTCGGCTCATGGTGAATGTGGCAGCTACACAGGCAGACTGATACAGGTGATTGGAATGGGAATTCAACTGCTATGAGCAGTGTTACTGTCCTGTGATGTTATTTTCCAAAACAGTGAACAACTCCTAGCAAAAACAAACCCCAAAAACTCTGACCAAGATACAGCCTTTCCTTTCTTTACACAGTAGCTCCACTACTGAGAAATTCAATATACATTAAAATCATGCTTTTAAAAATACTTTGTGATTTCATGTGAAAACATTAGGTTTACAGCCTTCTGTAATTACAGCCAGGTATTTCACCTGAGTGCATATGGAAACCCATGCAGGATCGAGGAATATTCTGTATATTACAGGGTATCTAGTATCCCTAGCCCCCACCCACTGAATGCCAGTAGCACCCTCTCCATTTTGGTGACTACCAAAACCATCTCCAGAGATTTCCAAAGCAGCTCCCAGAAATGGTACCGAGGATGTTGAGAGCCACACCTGGTTCTCCACATGGCACAGGATCACCCACTATTTCCACCCTGTGTTGGCCCCCTAAGGGCCTAGACCACGCCCCTCCCGATGCAGGATGGAGCGAATCTCATGGTTCCAGATTCTGTGCTGCTCCTCCCTCTCCCAGAGGCTGCAGCACCCCTCGCTTCCTCTCACACACGCTGTTCTCAACACTCCCCTCTCTTTTTATGAGTAATTCTTACCAAGTGCAACATGCAAACTCATAAATAACTTTTTTATCCCAAAGGTTTTGTTTTGTTTTGCTTTTTTAACATTTATACTCACAAAAATATGAAGAAAAAAATGTAAGGTTTCAGAGAAGCAGAAAGTACTGACAGTGACGTTTATTTTTTAAGTGAATACGTAAAGGCTTTCAGAGCTAAAGATGCATCAGATGAGTTGTTGAGAGAACGCCTTGAATTTTTATCAACTCTTCCCATCTAACCTTATATATATATACACACACACACACATGCACACACGTGTATGTTTATACACACACACACACACACACACACACACACACACACACATATATATGTGTATGCATTTCTTTTGAGACAGAGCCTCGCTTTCTTGCCCAGGCTGGGGTGCAGTGGCGCAATCTCAGCTCACTGCAACCTCTGCCTCCTGGATTCAAATGATCCTCCTGTCCCAGCCTCCCAAGTAGCAAGGATTACAGGCGCCCACCACCAGTAGAGACTGGGTTGCTCCATGTTGGCCAGGCTGGTCTCGAACTCCTGGCCTCAAGTGATCCACCTGCCTAGGCCTGTGAAAGTGATGGGATTACAGGCATGAGCCACCGCGCCTGGCCCCAATAATTAATATTTATAATGTTTAGAACCATGTATGCACATTATAAGTTCTATATAGTCTTTACTAAGTAACTAAACAAGTACTCTCAAAGTTATTTTAAAATTCAAATTTGGTCCTGTTTCTTCCTTGATCAAAAACTTCAGTGGATTTTTATTTTAAATTCAAGTGTTTTTTAAGAAAGTCAAATATGTATACATAGATAGAGAATAAAATAGTGGTTATCAGGAGCTGGGTGAGGGGTAGGAAAAAGGGGGTGTAGGTCAATTAATATGAAGTATCAGATATGTAGAATAAGCAAGTCTAAATATCTCATGTACAACATGAGAACTGTTGTTAACAGCAGTGTATTCAGAATTTTTGTGAAATGAGTAGATTATAGCTGTTCTTACAGGGGAGATGGGTAACTGAAATGATGGGTATATATCTCATAACACCATGTATGCATCTCATACTGCCACATTGTATACCTTAAATATACACAATAAGACTTAAACTATTTTTAAGGAACAGATTCTTTTCTTCACATAAAAATCTTACATGAAAACACACTATATAAAAGAGATAAAAGCAGTTTTGCTCTGGCTAGAACTGGCGTAAGCACCATCCCACTCTAACCTTTTCTTCACAGTGGCTAAAGCAATTCCACAGGACCCTCTTTCTCAGGAAACTGCTGACCTCAAGATTCATGAAAGATTTTTAGCATGGCCCTATAAGGCCCCCAGGCTGTGATCCCAGAACCCCTCAATCACTATAGACACCCTCACACTGTAGCATCCCACCTTGCCCTGCTAGGGGCAGTTCACCAAGTGCCTCAGAATGTCTCCTGCCTTTGTATTTTTTTTTCACTGCTCCCTCTACCCTGGACCCCGTGTAGTAGTCCATTCTCATGCTGCTATAAGGACCTACCCAAGACTCGGTAATTTATAAAGGAAAGAGGTTTAATTGATTCACAGTTCTGCATGGCTTGGGAGGCCTCAGGAAACTTACAATCATGGCAGAAGGGGAAGCAAACAGGTCCTTATTCAAATGGTGGCAGGAGAAAGAAGTACAGAGTAAAGGTGAGAAAAGCCCCTTATAAAACCGTCAGATCTTGTGAGAACGCATCCACTATCATGATAACAGCATGAGGGAACCAACCCCATGATCTAATCACCTTCCAGGAGGTCCCTCCCCCAACACGTGCGGATTATAATTCAAATTACAATTCAATATGAGATTTTGGATGGGGACACAGTCAAACCATATCACCCCCCTTATCCAATCACCCAGGTAAATACCTACCCACCTTCTATCTGCTCTCTGGGATGTTTTCCTTCATATCCCTAGATAATTAGCCTTTCTATCTTTGTGTCCCCATTCCACACTATTCTGACATCCATCACAGGTTTCATAATAGCAACTGCTGTTGATAGATAGTTTCCACTGTACTGGGGCTGTTCGATCCACTTTCCGTTTTAACAATTCTTCCTCATAATAATCCTATGAGATAAGTACTGATAGTGTCCCCATTTTACAGATAAGAAAACTGAGGCCCAAAAAAGCTAAACAATTTCCCAAAGGTTATTCAATGACTAGGAAGTGGGAGCATCACAATCCGAGCTTAAGTAGTCTGCCTGATGAGATGACTGCACCTTATTATTTTTTTTAGCACCTACTGCCTTCTACACTGTGACCTCCCTAAGCACCATCCCCATCTTATACATCTTACAATACCCACCACTCAGAAATGCTGTTGAAAAAAATCAAATGAGTGATTTTTTCATGGGCTCAGTCCACGGATAAACTTTAACTCAAAAATGTATTAAATGTTTGTTGGCTTTTCTATTAATTTCCATTTTCCAGTTTTCCTTACCTTCTTATAAACTGATAAAACTAAGAAGGCTAGATCACAGTATAGCAGCTTGCAGCTCAAATGGTAATCAAAATTTAAAAGATTTTAAAGTAATTTCAATTAATAGATTTATCATTGTTTTCTGGATACACTTTACGTAAGTATATTAAACATGCTTATTTGGTAGACAGTTTGCTTCATGTAATGTATATTTTCATGTCATGATATTCAAGTGGCTTTTTTCCTGTAAAATATCTTAAAATGAGTAATGTATGCACTTCTATTTCTATTTCTATTTTTCCAAAGACTTGGAGTTTTTTAAATTAACTGTATGTAATTTGAACCTTTCCAATCTTTTTATACCTATTCTTTTGTACCTCTTCTGTTCACAATAACTACATTTCTTTTTCCCCAACATTGTTTTTTGTTTTTGTTTTTGTTTTTTTGTTTTTGTTTTTTTTTTTGAGACAGAGTTTCACTCTTGTCACCCAGGCTGGAGTGCAATGGCGCAAAATCTCGGCTCACCGCAACCTCCGCCTCCCGGGTTCAAGCAATTCTCCTGCCTCAGCCTCCTGAGTAGCTGGGATTACAGGCATGTGCCACCACACCTGGCTAATTTTTGTATTATTAGTAGAGACAGGGTTTCTCCATGTTGGTCAGGCTGGCCTGGAACTCCTGACCTCAGGTGATCCGCCCACCTCGGCCTCCCAAAGTGCTGGGATTACAGGCATGTGCCACCACACCTGGCTAATTTTTGTATTATTAGTAGAGACAGGGTTTCTCCATGTTGGTCAGGCTGGCCTGGAACTCCTGACCTCAGGTGATCCGCCCACCTCGGCCTCCCGAAGTGCTGGGATTACAGGCGTGAGCTACTGCACCTGGTTTCAACATTGTTCTTAATTCGGAACATTGTAGTGGCCTCTGAGAATTTTCCAGGTCATGAGAAATCAGAGCTCCCAGTAGTTACAATTGTGGGTCTCAGAATCCATCAGCCTCTAGATCTGTCTTTTACTAACTGAATGACAGTGAGCAAAGTCACCCATCATCTCTGAGTATTCATTTTCTCACATGTAAAAGTGAATTTTAATAGTCTCTACCTCAGCATCTTCAAAACACTTAACTCAATGCCTGGCTCATAGTATATACTCAACAAATGTTAGTTGCTTTTAAATTTCATATTTATCTTACGGGCAGAGGCTGCTTTTTAAAAATAAATGTCTCAACTTTCTGTTAGATATTTTACTTCTTTTGGTGATATACTTATTTCATGGTTTTCCTTTACTGATAGAATGAGTTATCTGATATTGGTCTTTCCAGTTCATAAACATGGGTTTTTTCTACTTAATAAACCGTATCAATGTCTAAGTTACTTTTTTTTCCACTACTCTTTGGTGAAAACTTACAGCCTGGCATTTTCTAAATGCTAATTGCTTTCTTTTCTCACTTTGGTAATTCATTCCAAACACACACTTCTGATGTAGGATTAGTTCTACATAAATATTTTGTAAATGGAAAATATCACGTAGAAAGTTAAACCTTTGCTTCAGATGCACGGAAGAGATTTATAAATATGCATCAGTGATTTGGAGTCACCACGTTGCTAAAAGCCCAGGACAGGGGGATTTGTTTCTACATTTCAGTAAGCTGATACGTAAAAAGTCATTAACAAAAAGTCAATCTGTCAAAATGTTTTGTGTTGAAATCCAGAAATAAAGATTTCAAATAGAGAAACAGATTGAGAGAGAGAGAGAGAGAGAACTTTGTATGCACTCACAAGTATACATCAAAATCTCCTGGTGGTTTGCATGACATAGAGTGGGAAGGCAGCCTTTCTAATGACCAAATTTTTTTTTTGGTAGGAGGGAGCTAAAAACCTATTCCCTCTATTTTTATCCTGTTTTTAAGTAGTCAAACTGTTTTCCCAACATTCTCTAAATTCACAGATTCTGAAAGAGCTAGCTATTTGTGATTCATGTAGTTTTTAGCAAGTGAAATGGATATCTCAAGAGGTTAAGGGATTTGTCTAAGCCAAGGCTGTTGAAAATGTAGCACTAGAATGAGGACTTGGAGACATTCCTCATATTCTCTCCGATTATTCGCGCAGAATTTTTTTTTATTTCAAAGAACTGAAACCATTAAGAAATTTTTATTATACTTCTGATAAAATGAAATAGATAAAATAAAATGACATGCAATGTAAGTTGCTCATATTTGCAAAAATCTGATCCGATATCAGAAATAGAAGTAAGGCACTTTTTAATTTTTTCTGTGAATGTGTTCCAGTCATTTAAAAAATTCTAAAGCTGATTAATTCTTTTAAAATTTGTAATTGCAAGGTTGCTATAATTACTGTTGTTGTTTAACCAGAAAGCATAAAACATGACAACAAAGGCTGTGACAAGGAGCTCTGTATAACCAGAAATGAGGTTAGGAAGGGGATGGAATAGAAATGAGGAGAGGAGCTCATGTCAACCGCGCTGCAGCAAGCACACAGCTTGGGAGAGGGCCACATGATATAGAAATATTAACTCCCAGCATAGCATTTTGCTTTCAAGGAGTGAAGTTGCAGCCATCAGATATATATATATATTTTTTTAATCTATCCCAAAAATCTGTTGTAAATCAAATTATTATTTTTGCCCTATCTCTGTTTTAATGACCCAAATCGTCTGTGAAATACCTCCCCATCCTTTCAACCCCAGTGAATCTTATAGGTCATTTCTCCAAAGTCAAACTGATGGTTGCTGTTAACCAGGCAAAACATCTGGAAGCCATCTGCTAGAGTTCATGCAGGGAATCTCAGACTCAAACTAGTCCCTGCTATGATATACAGTGTCCTAAATAACTGTGTCACTGACTGAAGCACCTTTCGTTTGGATTTTCCAGTGTAAAAATATAGCAAGAAGACAACTGATTTCAGTGGTTGATTTACATATCACCTTGTTCGAAAGTAGAGGCATGCACTAAGTTTCTCTAGAAGTTGTTTTAAGCCAGAAAATGCTACTTCCAATCAGTATCACAATTAATTAATGAGTTCGTATATTCTAAACCCATATATGTAGGGCCTATTATGTGCAAGTCACTGTAGCAACATAAGAAGAATGTGGATCCTACAGCCAAGATGCTCATGGCACCGTGCAGGCCCTAAATCTAAAGAGGATACACAAAGCCTTTGTCAGTAGTGCAGGCTGTTTTCAGAACAATGAAGAATTATGCTGAGCTGTCCTTTTTTTGGCTTGCTTTCCATCGTCCCACTTCTGTGAAGTGATGTCATTAAGGCAAATCATATTAAATCAGTTCCATATTCCAATAATTCTAAAATAATGAATTTTTGTTTTTTTAAGAAAATGTCACAGCTGTTTTTGCTCCTTGCCTTTCCCACCTAATTGGAGAGCATGTCCTTTAATTTTCCCCTTGTTCTATGACTCACTTCTCCCCATCCTGTTCCTATTGCCTTGGTGTCCATCCTCTTCTCTCTTGCTTAGACTGTTGCATCCTCCCTGTCTATTCCCGGCTAGCTCCAATTTACTGTCTTTTTTTGTTTGATATTTTAACTGTGGCATTTTGATCCAATGGAATGAGCTTTTACAAAAGAGAAAATAAATAAGATAATGACCTTTCAACGAATTAAAAGTATCAAATAGCTATGAAAATAATTCTTCATCCAAATTCCAAATATTATTTGATATCTTTGCATCTCTCATCTCGTAATTTCTGCTGCCATGTTATCACAATGGTCCCATTTGCATTGCAAAGTTAAAATGCTCTGCCCTCTTCTGCACAGCTAACAGAGCATTCCTTCTAAAAGGTTTAACCTATTATCCCCCTCTCTTGCTTAAAAGTCTTCAATGACCTATTACTGCAGCAGATTCTCAAACTTGAATATGTGTGAGAATAACCTGAAGAGCTTTTTAAAAATGCAAATTCTCAAAGCCAAGCCGTCCCGAGATTCTGATTCTGATGAGTAGAGGTGGGGATCCAGCCCAGCATGGCTGGGGTGCCCTCTGTCCTAGTGTCCTTCTTTCCTGGCAGCATCTCCACTTCCGCCCTCCCCACCTAGTCTCTCCCTCTATCCCCTTGCTGTAAATTCCTTGCAGATAGGAATCTATGTCCCTAGAACCCGGTAGAGCCCTTAGGGAATGGATGGCTCTTCATAATTACTTTTAAATGAAAGAAGGAAATAATATGTATACTCAAAGTAACTGTCTGATTTGATAAAATTAGAAATCTGTGAGTTTTTGACAACTGTCTGAAATGAATGCATCAATTGTTCAAGACTGAAAGAAATCATACAGAGCGTTCAGCTTTGGCTCTGATTAATATTTATTTCTGGTTACCCTTAGAGGAGGAAATTCTAATGTATTACTATTATGATTTATTATGAAGATGACTCATAAACATGTAGATTTTTAGAAAAACAATGGGCTTGCTTTTAATTTTCAGGGTTGTTCATTGACCAAGGCACAGATTCCCTAAATACTTTAAGCAGTTGGAGCAAGAATAGAATATTTATGATCATTTGTGACAGTGTGTTAGTATTATTAGGTACAGTACTTCCTGGATATCTGTACTTCTTTATATTACAGGGTGGCAGTAGACACCAAAGACCTTCCAAGGAAGGTGCAGGGTGATCAAAATAACTATGAATGTAGTCTTCTTCAAAGTTCATAAAGCCCTGCCCCTCTGCAGTACCAGCCAGTGGAAGCTGTCTATAGCCCACTTTGCCAGGGCATTGGATTTGGTATGAAGTCATAGCCCAGATAAAACACATCCAAGGGGCCAGGCACAGTAGCTCATGCCTAGCACTTTGGGAGGCCTAGGTGGGCAGATGGCTTGAGCCCAGGAGTTCAAGATCAGCTGGGGCAACATGACCAAACTCCATCTCTACAAAAAATACAAAAATTAGCTGGGCATGGTGGTGGGTGCCTGTAGACCTAGCTACTCAGGAGGCTGAGATGGGAAGAACACCTGGGCCTGAAAGGTCGAGGCTGTGGTGAGCCGTGATTGTGCCACTGCACTCCAGCCTGTGACAAAGTGAGAGTCTGTCTCAAAAATTAAAATTAAAATTAAAAAGAAAACACACACACACACACACACATCAAAGACAATCCAGCTTCTGAAGTACCTTTTGTGATTCCTTAGGAGGAACTATGTTTCGAAAGAACTTAGGAGAATAAGCATAACTGTTATTTTATTTTTTGTGTTTTGGCCCTGTTGGATGGCAAGATACACTAATGCATTCACATGGACATCCATGTTCTTCTCTCTATCTGGAACACTTTCCTTCTTCACCAATCTCTTTCTTACTCATCCTTCACATGTTAGCTTAGAAGCCATATGGTCCAGCAAACCTTTCTGTCTTCTACTACCTAGGTTAATCGACACCCTCTGTGTCTTCCAGAGCCTGTCTCTATCACAGCACCTAATGCAAGGCATCAAAATTTCACATTAACTGGTTAGTCTCTCCATTTAACTATGAGTTCTTGGAGGGAGAAATGCTACTGCAGTCTCCATTGTACCCCCAGTATCTAGAAAAGAGCCTCCAATAACGTAGGCAAGGAATAAACATTTGCTAGGTGAATCAATGATTTGTGTATGTTTATTCAATAAAATCACTGAATATAGTCACAGCCTACAAATTACCTAAATTTTTCCCATGTTCCTGTTTTCTTCCCTCCAAGCCTGAAACATTACCCAGTGTCTGATTTAATTTCAATAGAGGAATAAATTGTATAGTCTGGAAAGCCAGACAGCAACAATCTGCATTCGGTCCTGGCTCTATTACTAATTAACCCTCTCACCTTTTTTCAGATCATTATGCCTTTCTGGTCCTATTTTTGTTACCCCAGAAAGCTGATTTCCAGCCCAGAGATTCCATGAGTCCAAAAAGATAGTCTTCATATTTCAGGAAAAATACCTGCTCCCATGATAAATATAAGCCTCATTTGTTCTCCTAGGATGTGATAAAAGTTTTTATGGTGATATTTTGTAACACTAATCAAAATCCAATGGCTTTAGCCACATAGCATTTTTCCTCTTTATTCTAAGCAGATTATTTTAATAATTCTCATTATTGGAATTCTTTAACTTGAATATTAAAGAAAGAAAAGGTAACTCGTACCTAATGGTGATGGCAACAGCTTGGCAGTCAGATCAGATGGCAGTGATGCCACATGTTGAAGGATCAGCTAACAGTCCACACTCCTGTCCCATCAGTTAATCATAGCCACCTGGGGCTCGTGAAAAATAGACACATGACAGTTAGGGGCATAAACAACATCAACCACCACCACTTAAATCTGAAAATGAGTCCCAACATAACTACTTCCTACTCCAAACTGTGGAAATAAGGATAATGTCACCTTACTTTAATTGCCTCTCAGATTGTACAAGAGTCTAAGGATATAACAAGATATTGTACATGGAAATCTTGGTAAGTTGTAAAATGATGCTGCAAATGTTCTTAGACAAATTCAGACTGCCATGGAGCCTCCCTTTAAAATAACCTGAAAGTCTGTCAGTCTGCAAATATTTATTAAGCACATAAGTGTCAAACACAGCACTTGGCATGGTTCTAAAAGAATGTTATCCATTATTCTTTTTTTAAAGAGATGGGGTCTTGCAATGTTGCCCAGGCTGGTTTTGAACTCCTGACCTCAGTGATCCCCCAACCTCAGCCTCCTGAGGAGCTGGGATTATTGGTACATGCCACAGTGCCTAGCTATCCATTATTCTAGTTAGAGTAAATAGAAAACAAGCACATAGGAAAACAAACAAAGTATTAAAATTGTTTTCAGCGCTTCTGAGAAGGCCTTTAGCAAAGAAGCTCAGGAAAGGCCTGTGATTGGAGTTGAGAGCTCTGAATCTGAGGAAGAGAATCCCAAGCAGATGCAGAGGCCCTGAGGCACAAAGGAGCCTGACATATTTAAAGGATGGAAACAGGCTGAAGGTAGAGAATAGAGAGTGATGCCCAAGAGGTAGAATATGAGTCAGAGAGAGAGCAGGGGCCAGGTCTTATAAGGCTTTGTGGACCAAGGTGAAGAGTTTGGATTTTATTCTCTGCAGTGGAATACTATCAGAGAATTCTAAAGCAGTGTAGCCACGTGCTCAATGGCCCCCAAACCCTGCTCTTTTATCTACTTTTTTCCTTAGAGGAAGGAGCCGAAAGGCAGTCTCTCAGGCAAATTTAAATCAGCTAAGGACACGCACTGTTTTGTTTGCTTTCTTAAACCTGTTAAATATTTTACTTTACCTGCTTTACTTAAATAAAAAAGGTCACTTTTAATTTATTTATTATTGGTTTGCTTTACTGAAAACTAAAATAAGATCAAGAGTTATTTGCAATAAGCAGTGACTGTCAGTCTGTGAGCCTGGAATTCAAAGAGAAGGACTGTTAGAGTTCTTTAACCCTGCTTTGACTTGCTCATTGTTTTTAGTATTTCATTTTGAGAAAAATTAAAGATAGAAAGATTAGATAGTACACTAGGATTTATAAACAGCTGATTTTAATAAAATCTTTTAATACTTTATGCAAAATTTAGGTTTACTAACAAAATCATGTGCCACATTCATCTCCACATTCCCACACATTTACCCACAGTTATATACTAGGTTACAGTTTTATAACATATTTAGAACCTGATTTTATAGTTCCCACCTAGGCAAAAACCTCACCTATTTAAGATTTTTACTGGAGAATGAAACATAATCTTAGAAAATTCGGCAATGCTTATTCATTCACGTGTATTTTTATCTGATTAGCCATTAGAGGAATCTAGATTGTTTTTTGTGCTTCCAAATATCATAAAATTTAAAGGAAGTGCCATTTTAAGCATCTACTGTAAGTTCTCAAGTTCAAACCAATTCCTTCTCCTTGCTATATTGTTACTTATTTGATGATTTTGTTTTTGTTTTCAATTGAAAAGAACAACATTTTAGTAAGTTTTAACTCCTCCTCAAAGCCAGTCAAGTTTTCTAAGAAGTATTTAAAGCTCACAGTCACTGTATTATTTCTATTTCGTGCTCATGCCAACATGTCCATGTGCACACTTACACGCATACACACAGAGTAAATATATTTCTTTAGTTTTTAATATGTAAGGCTCCAAGAGAAGAGGAGACCAAGCCTAAACTTGTGGGTACTGACTATTCTTCACGTAGAGCCACTGCTTTCTCTCTCTGCCGTGCTCATTCCTGAGCAGCACGTCAGGCCCTCTGCTGATTCCTGTAACGCGGACAGTCACACCTTCACACAGCCAGAGGATGAAGTGGACCCACATCCAGAGAGACATTTCTTAATCTGCCAGGAAGAGATCTTTATTGTCATACAATACTTTTCAATATTCTGCCGTGGGTGTGTTTCAGAGGTCTCAATGTCAACCTAGACATCTTGGAATTTAGGAGAAGCTCTCTAATTTATTTCACAACACACATAAATTGTGCTCTGACCCTGAGTGACAAATTCCTGCACAGAACCTGAAAAGCTCTCTTAGACAATAGTTGGACTTTTTAGCTGGCTTTGAAAGAATTATGGAAAATAGATGTTTCATAGCCAGCAACTCTCTTGCATTATTCTCATTGAAAGAGAGAACTTGAGGACTTATCAGAGAACTAACATTTTAAACAAAAATTATAGAGTATCCTAAATTGCTGAAACCACATCTCTAATTTAACAGCGAACATATTTAAGTGAAGATAAGCTAAAGGGTTTGGTAGTCATGGCAACATGATGTGAAAATATACCATGTCATTCAAGTCTATTAGAAAAAAATAAATTATTATGCCAAAGGTTTTTGTTGCTACTTTAAATACTGACTGTAAAGGAGGAAAGAAAAGAAGAAGAGAAGAGAGGGGCAAGGATTATATTTAACAATTTTTTATTAGGAAAATACTGGTTTGAAAATAACATGATCTAAATTCTAAATACATTTGACTAAAAACAAAATTGATATTAAAAATAAAGAACATGGAAGAAAAATAAAAAACAAATATGCTTCCTTACAAAAATGTGTTAAATCTGTTTCCTTCAAAAAAAGAATCTAGAAGTGGAGAATAATTTCATGTTTTTCACCATTTAAATGAATTGCTTTTAGAACACACAATTTTTGACTATTCATATGAGAAACAAAACCCCAAAAGCACAACTTTAAATAAATTTAAACAAATATACAAACTAGTCAGAGCCTTATTCAAAATCATACGATAGGCGATTAAATTGAAATTATTGCAGATAGTTTAAGGTACCGAGAGTCAAAAATAGAAATCGTCCAAATTTTATATTCATTAAAAATCCCAGCTAATATTTTTGAGGTCTGTTCTTAACTTTTTTCTATGCTAGAAATTCATAGCTAGCTGTGAATTTTTTTCTTATAAAATATAATCACACTATACATATTGTAATATAATCACACTATACATATTTGTCTACAGTTTGATAGCTTAAAAATCTGGCTTTGATATCAGATACACTTGGATTCTAGACTCAGCTCTCAGTCCCATTTCTGAAGGTGTGTTTTGGGGCCCATCTGAGCCTCATTTCCCTTATATGAAAAAGAGGACATAATAAAAGCACCTTAGCAAAGGACCATTGTCAGACCAAAATATATCAAATGGAATGAAAAAGACAATCAATAGATACTAAAACAGATCTGGCATAATGTGAGAATTTTCTGCCAAAGATTTTAAAGCAGCTGTCATAAAAATGCTTCAACAAGCAATTACGAACACACTTAAAACAAATGAAAAAATAAGAGTCTTGGCAAAAAATTAAAAGTCTCATCAAAAAATATAAAATATGAAGAAGGACTGAATGGAAATTTTAGAACTGAAAAATACAATAATGAAATTTTTAAAACTCGATAGGTGGCTTAACAATAGAATGGAGGGGACAGGAAAAATCAGTTAAAGGTGGAGCAATAAAAGTTACTCAGTCTGAACAACAGAGAGAAAATCAACTAAAAAAAATGAACAGAGTCTCAGGGACATGTGGGACTAATACAAAAAAAACTAACATCTTTATCATCAGAGTCTTAGAACTAGAGAAAAAAGGGGCCCAAACTGAAAAAGCATTCAAATAAATAATGGCTGAAATTTTCCCAAATTTGACCCAAAACCCCACAAACCTATAGATTTATGAAACTGAGCAAAACCCCAAATAGGATAGGCCTAAAGAAATTCATAACACTGTAGTCAGCATCCACAAGTTTATACTTGTTCACCTCTTTTCTGGGAGCCTTGTGTATTTACTATGTGTGTATGTGTGTACATGTGCACACAGACATGTTGACATGAACCTGGAACAGAACCAACACAGTGACTTTGCACACTCCACATTACTTAAATACTTTTTAGAAAATTTGACTGGCTTTGGGGAGGAGTCAAATCTTACTAAAATATTGCTGTTTTCAATTGAAAATAAAAACAAAATCATCAAATAGAAACGCCATAGTCAAACCTCGCCCCCAAAAAGACCAAAAAAAAAAAAAAAAAAATCCTTGAAAGCAACAACAGGGAAATGCATTACTTATAGAGCAAAACAGTTTGAATGACAGTGGATCTCTCATCAGAAACCATGGAGGCCAGAACACATTGTGAAAGTGCTGAAAGAAGAAAATAGCTAACAATCTGGAATCCTATATCCAGCAAAAATATCCTTCAGGAATGAAGAGGAAATCAAGACATTCTCAGATCAAGAAAATTAAGAAAACTTGTCACCAACAGACATACCTGAAAAGAATAATTACAGGAGGTTCTCCAAATAGAATGAAAAGAATAAAAGGAGGAATAGTGGAACATCCAGCAGGAAGAAAGAACATGGCAAGCAAAGATACCACTAAATACAATAGACTTTTCTTTTCCTCTTGAGTCTTCAGGCAAGGGGTGAAGGACTGATCACCTTAAAAGGACTTCTGGATTCCAGAAGATAGGGGGAGCCATTTTAAGGTTGGAAGCAGAGGACTGGTGTGATCTGATCTGGCCTTTAAGAGGATCTTCCTGGCTGCTGTCGGGAAACCAGAGTCAAAGCAGCGAGACAGGCATATGATCACCCAGAATGAGATGACAGGGACCCAGACCAGGATGTCTACAGAGAAGGGGATGAGACATGGTCTATTTCTGGATATATTTTGAGGGAAGAATCAACAGGATCTGCTGTTGCATTGATTGTAGAGGAAGACGGAAAGAGAGGTTTTGTTAAGGACTGTGCCAGGATTTCTGTTTCAACAACTGGAAGCATAAGGTTGGCATTACTTGATATTGAAAAGGCTTCTGGTAGAGCAGAAATGGGAATAAGGGAATGAGCTTCGTAAGAAGACATCGAGAAGTAAATTTTGATAAAATTTAAATTCCTTAATTATGTTCTTATACAGACATGCAGAAAGCCACATTTATCTGTTTGCATATTAGAGACATCCTGAAATTTGGAGATTTGGAAATAGTCCAAACCATTAACTGTGATTTGAGCTATAGATAAACAATGATTTATTACGAGAGAAAAATGACAAAAACAATCAATTTAAAATGTTGAAAATTTATGATTTAAAAAAATCAAAATAAATATTAATACTATAAAATATGAACATTTATAAACATTATAAAACATCAAGTAAAAGTTAACTATAAAATATAAATGCTAAGCATAACTTAACATTCCAATGAAAATAATTACTCAGTAAAAGTAATTACAAAATAGTTCAAAAATAAATTATTTATAAGTACAAATAAATAACATTTAACAAATAATTTTTAAAAAGAAAGTGAAGTAATATTTATTTTTCAAAAGTGAAATCCTTAAAAAACATAATTGTCATTGTTGAGTTTTATTTTTGGTGCAGATTTTCTATTACAAGAAAGTCTTTCTGAACATAAAAGGGCTTAGGGAAGAGGGAAAACACAGTTATAAACCAATTCCAAATATTTTCCTGTGACTCCATTTTCAAACAATTCTGTGTCTTATTTGATACCTTCGGCAATCATTTTTAACAACTTTCTGTTATTTACAAGAGCTGAAATAGTTTTATTGAGTGAAAGCTGCAATTGTGTTTCAAAGAATGTATTACCAATCTATCGTCCCTAGTTTCATCACTATTCAATGCAGGGTCTACTTTTTAGAAAGTCTTTGATCTGAAGTAAGAATTATTTGTTCAATAGAAGCTTTGCTTTGCCAATTTTCATTGTTCTCTTCCCTTTGGAAATTATTTGCATGCAGAAGAATGCTTTCTAAGCAGGTGCGCCTTTGTTTATATAAAATTTTCATCAGTTTTTAACTCTCTGGCTGAATTGCAACATGGAAATGAGTCTTAATTTCATAGTTTTTAAACGGGAAATAACAATAAGAATGCAAACAAAAATATCAGTATTTTAATTATTTAAAATATACAAAATACCAGAACATTTGAATATAAATAATTGATGTTTAAATTCAATGATAAGTAATTTTCCACTCTAGTATATTTTTAAGCAATTACAGCTAAACTTTTCAAAAACTAAAATCCTTATAAGTAGGTCTAGATCACTTTCCTGTTTCATTTGTTTCCTTCTTCAGAGCTGGTCAGAACTTTCATTTCTGTATGCATATGACCTTTGCTTCAAAGTGTATTTAATTTAAACTGGCTTCAAATGGCCCATTTAGTCCTTCCCATGTGGAATGGGCCTCTTTTTCTAATCACAAATAAACATCTTAAAGTGTTTTTACCTGTTTTGCTCACAACTAACATTGAAAAGTGACATTTGATTTTAACTGTGCAATCACTTTGTTTTCATCATCAAAACATATAATTAAAGGTTTACCTGTATTTTTTCACATTTAGTAAAAATTAATACCAACAAACTAAGATCATCACAAAAAAACTTATACAAATGGTATTGTGTCACCATGAATGAAAAGTTTTGACCTCTCAAAATTCACTAAAATCTTCAGGAGGACAGTTTTTGTCTGCTTTGTTCTCTGCTGTATCACCAGCACTTGCATTTTGTTGGTGCGTAGCAGATTTGCTAAATAAATGTTGTGTAATGTGTATTTGCTGTATTTGAGAATATTCAGTTCTTCTATGGAAGACTAAAAAATGAGATGAATGTGTTAAACATAAATAATTAATTTAGTAGCTTAAAAGGCATAGATAAAATGTATAAGCTGTGTTAGATAAAGATAACAAGTAGGCAGCTTGTGAAGCACAGGCAGGACCTATAAGATGTGCATATATAAGTAAATAAGTAACCTACGAGGCATATTACTCGTACATAAAGTAAGTAGAGCTTGTAAGTACCTAATGTGCATCACATGCTAAATATATGTGAGGCCTATGTGGGACATGTGCTCAATATTCATGTACGTATTAGTTGGCCTTCCTTGAGTGGCACACATTTTAGCAAATAAAACCCATTGCTGCTCATTAGGCTAATTAGTAACCTCTAGCTGTGGCCAGGTGTATTTGCCTCTGTTGTAAGATGTGTATGTTGGTCTAGGCACCTTCCAACTGCCAGGTACCATTTGCTCACACCTCGTCCTTGATCCTCATGACCACACAATTAGCAGGAAGAGAGAGAGTGGATATATAACATCATATAATCCAAAATTAAGGCAGCAGACTCCTGCTCTGCTTGCACTTTTCCTACCCATCTCTTGCCTCTTTCTTCTATGTGTTTAAATTGAGTCAATGAACCAAGTGAGTCAGGCATCTTAATTTGGTCTATGAGCCTTTCTATTCCATGGCCTTTGGGGTAATTTGCGTAATCATGTACTTAGAGTCTACCTTGCATCATATCCCATATGGCATAATTTCCATGATATTAGTATATGTGTAAATATGTATCACTTTGTAATAAAAAGAGCATGCATACTCATTTTTAAAAAATTTTAGAGCTCAGCACAATTCCCCCTTATTTCCACTGAATTGGTTTGAGAACTAACATGCATTTATTAACTTGATGCAAGCTTTGTAAGTGCCCTGTGGTTTAAATTTTATGTCTTTCTTTGCACTTAAACAGATATTTTCACTTTAATGGGCTTGGATATATTTCTGATTAATAATAACAATAATAGAACTTTTCAAGAGTTTTAAAATAACTCCAAATCATGAAAATCAAATGCCAAGTGTCATCTACTCAGTAACATAACTACAAATAAATGATTTTTTAAAATTATCTTAATTTTTTTAATCACTGGGGCTCTGCTATTTTAACTCAGTGAATTCTTCATGGCCTGTGGATAATCTGGGAGAAAACTGATGAGATGGGCTCTTCTTTCAAGTTCCCCAGATATGCAATTCAGGCCAATTTCCAACAAGTTTGATGAGCCAAGGAAATGAAGGAAGACTGCAAGAACTCAAGCTGACAGCATTATAAGTAAAATTATAGCCCTTGAGGAAGCAAGAGCAACATTAGGGTTGCTGAACTCGTGATTGAATCTTCTGGGGCTCTCAGTGGGAGCATTGAGATGTTGGTAAGCCAAATGAGAATTCACAACACAAGAGTGCCCAAGGTCCCGGTGCAATACCCTTTACAGAGTATGGGGAAATGATTACCTAATTTCAGTATTTCAAGAGGCTCTTTTTGAAGAGCCACACTTGAAATTGAATACCAACTTGAAAAACAGTGGGAGATAGAAACAAAAAAAGAGATGTCAGCAGATGTTGCACCAGATGCCAATGAGTGTGGCAGTCTCTCAAAATAGCCTAGGAAGCAGGAACTTGATGTTAAAAGGCAGAGACCCTTGTGCTTTTCCCATTTTAAAGCCCCGTAGGAAAAGATTCAGTGAGCTTCAACAAGATTGAATAGACAAGGGAATCAATAGAACTGTAGGCTTCATCCAACCTCATGAGAGTGGCAAACACTGTCTGCTGTAAGATGCTCAATCTACAGTCTTTTGCAGAAACTGTTATTTGGGGGAAAGAAATTCTCAGAGTGATGCCTCATAAATAGGAAAAAAGAAAGAAAATGCCCCTTTTACAAACTCAATACACTAATGATAAGTTCAGATATTTCACTTTGCTAATTGACACTATGGATGTCTACACTTTCTAAATTTGACGTGCTATCTGTTCTCTTTACTGCATTTGGTACTATAGATTATCCCCTACTTGAAATGGTCTCTTCCCTGTTCTTCTATAACACTCCATGATTCTGAACCATCTCCAACCCTCTCAGATTTCTATTTCTTCTACCATATCAGTTAGCTATTGCTGTATAATAGACCACCCCATAACACAGAGGCTTAACACAATTTATTACTTCTCCCAGTTCTACTAGTTAGCTGGTCTGAGCTGGGCAGTTCTTCTTTTCCGTGTGCCGTTGTCTGGGGTTCCTTATGCAGCTATATTCACTGAGAGCTCAGCTGGGACTGGACCATCAAAGATGGTCTCACTCACATGTTTGGAAAAGCTATGGTGACTGGAGCAGGTTAAGGTTGGCTAGGTTCTTTTTGGCACCAATCCCATTCATGAGGGCTTTACCCTCATGATCTAATTACCTCCCAGAGGCCCCCCTCCTAATACCATCACATTAGGGGTTAGGGTTTCAATGTATAAATTCTGTAGGGATATAAACACTTGGTTTATTGCAGGCATAATTCTCAGAAATTGTATAGCCAAAGACTGAATAAGTAGGTAATGGATTATTTTGCCAGCTTTTTACTTTCTGTGGAGTTGAATGATAATTTAAGTTTCAATTAATAGATCATTTAAAATTTTGTTGTTAGATATTTATTTTTGGCTTATACCTCAAGAGAGGTCAAATAATCAAGTGAAATTACTGTAACAAAACTTCCTCCATTTTGTTAACTTAACTATGTAAACAAGGCTCTCAATGTTTTCTATCTAAAGAACTAAAAATCAGAGTAGAATTGATGCTGAAATTTATCTCATTCTAGCAAAGAATAATTATTCAATAATCTGTGAAATAATAAATTTTAAAGAAAAAGTAAGAAAAAAAAGTTGGCTAGGCCTTTTCTGTTCATCAAGGAGAAGGCACAAGCCACTAAGATAACAAAAATGGAAGCTGCATGACTTTCCAAGGTCTAGGTATAAAGTTCTTTAGTGTTATTTCCACCACATTCTGTTGGTGAAAGCAGGTGGCCAGATTCAAGGGGCAGCCGAGATTCAAGGTCAAAGACCCTACCTCTTAATGGTGGTAATGGCAAAAAAATTTGCAGTCTCTTTATAAAGCACTTTCATCTACTCCTTTTTGTCTTTCCAATCAATATGTATTTCCATTGCTGAAGAGTTGAATCTTAACTGTCTACTTCTCTCTTTTTAAATTTCTTTGCTTAGATAACTTCATCTGAAAACTCTTTTAAGTATTACCCAACACCTCCTGCAGTCTGACCATTCTGGATTGCTCTTGTTCCCATGCTCTCTCAATTGAGCTCTGCCCAAAACCTTCTCTACCTTATCACTCCTGTCTTCTCATCTGATTCATTTCTAATCTTCTTATAGGTCTCAAATTAAGCATCAGTTCTTTTAGAATGATCATCCAAATCAGAAGTAAGTTTTACTCTATGGACTCCAATAGCATTCCATTTTCTCTCTTATTCTCAAATTCAGTTCACTCTGGGATGACAGGTTCTAATTTGTATATCAGCACTCCTGATCTAGATTATTGGATAATCTTCTACCTTTTGTTCCTATTTCCTGGCTGTTTCTTACTAATCATTCCCCAAGTGATTAATTATTGGTTGTCTTTAGTCAATCATTAATCTTTGAGAAAAAAGTTTTTACCATAACACTCAGAGTAGGTAATGAACATATATTTGATGAACAAGCAAGTTAATGAATTAATAAATTTACAAACTCTTGCTTAAAACTCTTCAGTTGCTCTTGTTTACTAAAATGTAAATCTGTACTCCTCAGCCTTACCAGGGAAATCGCTTCATAACCTGACTTCCCTATACGTCTAAGAATATTTCCTGCTGTTTATCAAATGCACCCTTAGCTTTCATTTTCTTTCTCAACACAATTATTTTTATTACTGCTTCTGCCTTTTAACCTTTGTGATCCCACTTGATGAATTCTTTCAGATACAGGTCAGAATCCAAATTAAAGTCTGAAATGACAGTGACTTAAGTTGGGAAGCTATTTCTTTCTTAAATAATAATCAACACATAATGATTCTAGGGCTAATACTACCAGCCCATGGTGTTAGAAACTTCACATCTTCCTATTCTCAACCAGCAGCTTTCATCTCATGACCTACGATGGCTACCGTTGCTCCCACCGTCATGTCTGCATTCCAACCAGAGGGAAAGGAGGCAGGGGAAGTGACAGTTGTATACTGTCTGTTGTGTATTTTCTTTTTTAAGAAGTTATACACATCCCTTAGGTCATATTTCACTGGCTAGAATGCAAGCACATGGCCACACGTTGCAACAAGGAAAAATAGCCTTTAACTGGCATCCATGTGCCCTACCACATTTTGAGGATTCTATTCCTAAAGAATGAAAGAATGGACATTGGAATAAAAAGTTGTCCCTGTCACACTTTTAAACATATACTTATTATATATAGATTTCAAAACCTAACTTACATTCTGGAGTTGGACAGAGTAACATAAAAATACCAGTTCTGCCTTTTCTGCCTTTTATTAGTTGTGAGACCTTAGGCAAATTATTTAACATCTTAGTCTCATTGGTAAGAGGCAAAAAAAAAAAAAAAAAAAAAATACCTACCTGTCAAAGCTATCAAGAGGAATAAGACATGTAAAATACCTAGCACTGTATCTGACATGTAGTAGGTGCTCAATTAATGATGGTTACTATGGTGATTATGTTGTACTACTTTCTTCATTAAAGCTTTGCTGACTGTCTTAACCCTCAAGGAATGCCTTGTCCTTATATTCCAGTTTTACACATTTAGCAATCAGTTCCATACCATCAAACAGGTCTGCCCTAGTTTCCTATGTAGTGTTACTCTCTCTCCAATTAAGAACAGACATGATATCATCTCAGTTCTATAGACTTTTCCCACTTTGCCAACCTCACATATAATAAAATATTTGGTCAAATTATATCCGAACAGAAGTTAATGTAGGACAACCTCAAGCTGGGAATCAAAAGACAAGAACGCATCATGATGTAAATGGTAACATAAATAATAGCAGTATTGTATAGCAGGTTTCTATAGATATTGACACTTCCAAGAAGACTCGTCCATCTCTTCTATCAAGAGATGAGTATTGGCAGCAACAGCTGTTGATTGATTTAATCTGAGTTTGGGGACTTAGTATCCCTGGGCCTCTGTTTTATAATCTACAAAAACAGGTATAGTGATTCCTAACACATTGGGTTATTGTGAGGATTAAATCAGTGAAGGCACATAAATTACTTTGCATGCTGTCTTGAACACAGTAAGAGTTTAATAATCTTGAGCAGTTGTTCCTGTTTCTGTTGTTCATGCATTGCTCTCAAGGCAGATATTGCCTTGACTGACTGATTCAGATGTGGTAGACCTCAAAAAAGGCACAGCATTGCCCTGGATTAAATAAAATTGAACATATTATATAGAAATAACTATGTTTTGAAAATAAGTGGTTGTAACAATTATATGCCCACTTGCAAAGTTTGAATACAATCAGTGACGTTGCTCATGATTAGAGGATTGGTTGAGATGAATAAACAAGGAGTGAATTAGCTGGGAAAAGAAGCCATGCCATGAATGCCCATGCAATTGTGAAGGACCAGTTCCTTTCATCCTAGCATCAAAGCTCCACACCTGGGCTGTGATGGTTGTTTGCATTCCAATAAGATGGCTGCATTGGGCAATTTGTGGTCCTGTTCAACAAGGTAACCCAACTGTCTCTGGTTTCCCATTTGAGAAATATGCTCAGTCTCCTACACTGATGGATTCTTCCACACAACAATACAGCTTGCTATCACTTACAAGGAGTTTGTCAGTGAGTCCTAGTTTATGTGCCTGTCTCAGTAACAAAACCTTCATTTACAATTAAAATTAAGACTTAATTTCTGCCCTCTAGGAGCTAACAGATAGTGAGAATTAACCAGGAAATCAAGTATTATGATACCTAAGTATTCCAATGGAAGTAGGTACTGATTGTTTGAAAAGGAAAAAAAGTATCAGCCGAGAGATGCCACACATTTTTCCCATGAGAGCATAGCTCAAGAAGCAGATAAGTGAAAGCATTGATTAGGTTGATCCTTGAAAACAAACAAACAAACAAGCGAAGTGGAAGTGAGCTAGGCGGTCATGAGGAAATCACAGTTTTACCATTTGAATTGATATTTTACCCATCAAAACATTTGCCTCAGAAACACTTAAGTTGTGCAATTTCAGTTGTGTCTTATCTCCTAAAGAAAAGCTTTTAAAAATTTAAATTATGTAGCATTGGAAATGTATTTATTTTCTGAGTATTATCATGATTGCACTTCATAACTGTGAATTTTAAAAAGACCATGTTTATTTATGCCAGCGCTATGGTTTCTGGGCTGGTCTTAGGAAGCTTGATGGTTCTGTAGGGAGTTAACATCACTTAACCGCATGGTTTTGCAAATTAGTAGTTCTATGGAAAGAAGGAAAGTATTTTGAAACATCTTGGTCATTGTGGATATTTTGTTTATAAGCAACTCAAGGTTGTGGTTGGAATTTTATTTATGGCTCATTAAGCCATACTTTCAGGTTCAAAAATGCTCTGAGAAATAAACTTAGTGAGGAAAAGATACAAAATTATTTTTAAAGCATTTATTTTAAGATCATCTCCTTCCTATTTTGCAATCTGTTAGTGTGTTAATGGATTTAAATGAAAAAAGATGTAAAAAATGGAGATTAGAGATTATCTCCCTCAAAGTCCCTCACTTTACAAATGATCACGGCAATTCAAAGTTAAGGTATCTACCCAATCCAGGCAGAGAGGCAGGAACCAAGCCGGAGAGGTCACCCAACTACCAGTCCCCTGTGCTCTTTTCCACACCATATTGTCATTTCTGATTAAGGGGCAAAGAAAATGAGATAGACTTACTGGCTTTTATTTTAGAGCTTCTGAAAGTTACATGAAGCACAAGACTTTGACAAGTTTGTTCAAGGGTAAGCTATTCCAAAAAATCTTGTTGAAATAGAAATGTTAGAGGATGATTATGCACAATAAAATAACTAACAAACAAAACACTGCCGTTCAATAAGTCTTTGGCCTCTGGAGGTTTGACATTTGCGTTTTTGACCCTGATGGCCCATCACATGCTCTTAGGCAGGAATTTTGAACTTTTCAGAACAGCTGAATTTTTCTCTACTTATCATTGAATACATAATAAATCTTCAGAGGATACTGTTTGTGGAATTTCCATCCCCAAAGGGAAGCCACCTTTAATGTTCAGAACAAAAATGACGAGAGAATAAAGAGATCTTAAAAGAAAACAGTTTTTCTTAGTATGAAAATAATTTTTAACATATTTTATTCAATATCTAAAGAACCCATCAGGAGCCAAAAGGGAATTTCTAACTTTTTCGGTTACGGGAAAGATACCACAGGATTACTGTGAATTTGCAAAGATCTGGAGGGTTTTCCCCACTCTGAGGTATCAGTAATAAGTGGTTTTTTAATGGTATTAAAATAATAATTGATTTTGTTTTTTTCTCACAGTTAATAATGACTCTTTAGCAGAGGCATATCTTTATAAAGATAGGTTTGTAAACATTTATATAACATCGCCTTAAAGAAGTTGTTGCAGGAAGGGTACAATACATGTTTGGGGGAGTTTTTTGCCATTATTTCTATTTTTTTTTTTTTTTTTTTTTTTTTGAAGAAAACCTATTAACTAAAACCCCAATTAACCACAACATTACATACTCTCCTTTAGTTGAAAGGGTAAATGACATTTTTGGTGAATAGAAAATTTTTGCAAAAATTAAAGTAAATTTCTCACATGTAATATTACAAGTATGTATTTAGTCTCCTACAATTTTTATGTCTAAATGTTTAAAAATATGAATTGAATTTCATGAAAATTACTTTTAGTTATTATAGCATCTCAGTCATCAATAAAATGTTAGGGAACATAGAGTCCACTTACCTTACATAGGCAAGAATATGAACCAATATATTTTAGACAATATATATTTTTTCAAGACAGAGTTTCATTCTTGTTGCCCAGGCTGGACTACAATGATGCGATCTCGGCTCACTACAACCTCCACCTCCCAGGTTCAAGTGATTCTCCTGCCTCAGCCTACTGAGTAGTTGGGATTAGAGGCACCCGCCACCATACCTGGCTAATTTTTGCATTTTTAGTGGAGACGGGGTTTCACCATGTTGGTCAGGCTGGTCTTGAACTCCTGACCTCAGGTGATTAACCCACCTCGGCCTTCCAAAGTGCTGGGATTACAGGCGTGAGCCACCATGCGCAGCCTAGACAAATTTTTAGTTAGAGTTTAATATAGTTATTGCTAGCCTTGGCAACATGGTAAAACCCCATCTTTACCAAAAAATTTTAAAAATTATCCAGGCGCAATGGTACACACTTGTTGTCCTAGCTACTTGGGAGGCTGAGGCAGCAGGATCCTTTGAGCCTAAGAGGCTGCAGTGAGCTATGATTGATTCACTGCACTCGAACCTGGGTGACAGAGTAAGACCTTGTCTCAAAAAATAAATAAATAAAATGTATAGTTATTGCCATATGACATTTTATGAAGTAAAATATTAGTTTAGCAATCTATATGGGAAAGGTTACCTTTTCTTGATCTGTTAGAGTTTTTTGTTATTTTCCTATTTTATTACCACTATAGAAATAATCTAGAGAATCACTCCTTTTCATTGAAAAACAAAAGGATATGGCCACCTATGAAAGAGATAAAAATTTTTGGAACATCAATTTTGGGAACTGATCTGCTTAGAAAATGTGCATTTTCTGAGATTTCAAGTCTAATTCTCAATGGACTAGTCTCTAAAGTGTATTAGTATGATAGAAATGTATGTCTTCAAAGAGAAACAGAGGGAATAAATTAATGGAACACCCCTTTGCTGCTATATCTCAAATAGTTTCAGAAAAGCATATTGGATTCTCAGTACAGTCAAAAAAAAGAAAGAGGAGTAAACTGAAAATAATGGTGCAGTGCGGGTAGGGTTGAGATTGAAGAGCCAACCACGCGTGGAACTACTATGGCGAATAGTGTGACCCACAGGCTCAATCAGATAGCAAGCCTGGGCCCAGATTGACACTCATATCTCCGGGGTTCACCTAGGGGTAGGGGAGGGGTAGAGAGTGATCAAGAAGAAGATATCTCCAAGAAAGTGTGACATTTGTAATCACATAGGATCGTGATTCAACAGATTGTACTTTCTCAGAACCAAGATCCTAACACCTGCCCTCGTAATAATAGTAACTTCTTGAATGTTTACCATGTACCGTGGATTGTGCCTAGCACAATATAAATTTAATATTCACGTCAACCTTATAAGAAAAGCACTATTTGTTGTCTTTATTTTACAAAAGACAAAAAACAAATTAACAAAAAAGCTGAAACCACCTCACTCAGCAGCTTGGCAAGACCTCACTGGTGCAGTGAGTTCTACCAAGACTAAGAGTAGACAGAAATGCAGAAGTGTCTGGAAGCTGTAGGAGAATGGAGATAGCAAATGCTAAAACACTAATTCCTGAAGCTTTCTTATGGGGGGAGGAGGGGCGTGACCACCAGATATGGTGAGGGGGAGTGAGTTCCTGGGGAAGAGTCTTGGTGCTAGGTGTGGCGGGGTGACTAGCTGAAGATTTCCAGTGCAGCAGCCTGTGGACAGAGACCACAGGCACTGAAGCTTAGAGCGGCCAAAGTCATCAACATTTTTCTTTAAGAAAATGATCTGCATCCTATAAAGATACCTATGATGGTCGTAAAGTTTACTCTCTAAGTGCATCAGCAGAGTAATGAAGGCTGGGTTTCATAACAATAAAAATAAGTTATGTCTTGCACCTGATTTTTTTCCCCCAAGGATTGTTAAATTGACAAAAGTTTTAAGATCTATGACTTCTTTATGCGCCTTTGTTTTTACTAAGGCAGATGTCCTTGATCAAAAATTAATTAGTTATAATATAAATCAGTGGTTCTGCATAATTGCAAATAAAATGCAGTATGGAAGGCTATCTTTTTCTTTGACTAACATTCAGATAAGCTTTCAAATTTGGCATAACGTTTCCTGGCCAGGCATTTTTGAGGACAGATGCTATTTGGCAGCCATCAACATGCTACATCAAGCGTCTTTCAAGTCCTTTGTGAGCTCTTTGGTGCTTTACTACTGCACTGCATTTGGACCTGTTAACACCTGTGATAATTTCTCATCCATTTCAAATTATGCCCACTAAAATTTGGCGTGTCAGCTACCGCCCTGAGTTAAGTTTGAGTTTTAAAAGAGTTGAGACTTTCTGGAATCCTTTGCAGAAAAAACATTATACATTCATAACGTTAGGATCTGTAATTCTTTTAACTAAACCCCAGAGCAGTGGCTTATAAGTATCTCTGTGTGATGCAGTCCTCCACCAGAAGTCCTCCCTTCATGGCTTCCTGAGGAACTCTTATCCCACTCAGTATCCCAACATGCCAAAAGCCCAAAATCTTCCTTGGTCACTCAGCAGCAACTCTGTGGAAAAGCAACCAGGGAAGAAGAAAAAGGATCTCATATAGTCAAACCTAAGTCAGAGTCATTCCTATACCTGCCAAATATTGTATATTATTCCTGCATTACATTATTTCTCTGAGAAATGTTCTCGATGAAGCAATATTCTTCCATCTTCAATTTCTGGATGAGGATGATTAAAATAATGTGCATATATGTTGAAGGGCAGAGGATGGTATTGCACAATATAGATGAAATAGTCATTGGTTTGTTTTACATTCTATGCATTTTTAATGAGCAAATTCCCATTTACAGGAATTAAATGTTCCAGATATTGATTTCAGAGGGACAATATATAATATGAAAACAAAATTCAGTAACATTATGTGATGATTACATGATGTGTAATTCAATATAGCTAGAACCCTGGAAAGTGAATAATATAACCATTCCTATAAAATATTTCAGAAAATCAAATTTATTCCCTGAAGTACATTATAATAAAACGGAAACAGTGTTACTTGATTTATAGTCCTCTAATTCAGGCTTTTAAAGCTATTTTCATGTCAAAAATAAGGGATTCTTTCTCCCCTTGTCCCCAGTCTTGTGCATAGTTTATAATGACAAGAAAAGCTACAAAAGAAACATTACAAAGCAGATGTGCTCCCAAGTTTGTTCCAGTTTAAACTTCAGCTTTAAGCATCTTGTGGCTATGAAATATTCATGTAAATTATGTAAGTGCATCTAGTTTAGATCCCAGTCACTCATGGGTTTTCTCACAAAGTAAAATACCATACTTGATCCTGTCTATTTCTAGAGAGTGAATGCTCACCTGGTGGATTTGTACCAACCCCTTAGGGCATCAGGGGGACAATCAATTAGGTTCACTGGGTGTTTTACCTGACAGATACTCTCCTAAATACTTTCAAATGCCCTCTCATTTTGTTCTCACAGGACCTGAAGAAGTAGGTGTCATTTTCATCCACACTTTGCAGGAGGAAACAAATGAGGCTCAGTAAGGTTTTAATAACTTACTGGTTGTCATACATGAACAGCCAGGTTTCAAACTCAGGAATCAACAGGGCTGCCCTGACTACTGGGCTACTCTCCCTACATTAGATGCCTAGAAGGTATGCAAGTGGCTGGAGTAGGGGCACCGACTTCCATGAATGGTTAGGAGTTTGGTGTATGAGCCCCTGACCCATGCTGAAGTGACTCAGGAAAAGCCTAGTCCTGGGAAACTTACGTTTTGTATTTTTTTTCTCTTTAACAGTTGGTACTGAAGGATTAAAATTAAGGTTAAAAACAGGAATGGTTGAGCATTGCAAAAAGCTTTTGCTGTTAGAATAGATGACATCTGCTGCCTGGCTACAAGTCATTTTAAGATGACACAAAATGATGCTATGGAGACCACAGAGCTTTTGTAAGAAAGCAGAAACGCTTGGTCACTTTTCCGCTAAGTGACTTCCCTTTATTGGAAGCTGTACTAAATCTGGAATGCTTATAAATGGTTGCAAGGGCAGATCATTTCAGAGTAAGAGATATTTAAAAACAAAGGGCTAAGGGAAACCTCAATTGAAACTAGAGCAATACAAAATAAAATCTCCTACTGAACCCTAAAAGACTCCTACTGACTGACCCCTCAAAAGCACCCCATATGTCTTTCTCTTCTCCTCTGAAAAGGTAACTCAGGGCCCGGCGCGGTGGCTCACACCTGTAATCCCAGCACTTTGGGAGGCCAAGGCGGGCGGATCACGAGGTCAGGAGATCAAGACCTTCCTGGCTAACACGGTGAAACCCCGTCTCTACTAAAAATACAAAAAATTAGCCGGGTGTGGTATCAGGCGCCTGTAGTCCCAGCTACTCGGGAGGCTGAGGCAGGGGAATGGCGTGAACCCGGGAGGCGGAGCTTGCAATGAGCCGAGATCGCACCACTGCACTCCAGACTGGGCAAAGGAGCGAAACTCAGTCTCAACAAAAAAAAAAAAAAAAAAAGGTAACTCAGAATTATAAACTGGTAAGTCATGGAATTATGAAGTTTCTATCCTGCCAACTGTGACAGGCTGTCAAAATATTAGAAGTATAATGATGTAGTTTTTATTTTTAACAACTTTTTGTCATAAAAATAATGCCTGCTTACCGAATAATATTCAAACAATATGATAGTATGTAAAGGAAAAAGTGAAAATGAGACACCACTAACACTCCCTAGAGATCATCTAACCTTCCTAATCCTTCTAAGCAGATATACACATATATTTATTTGCAAAAATAGTATCATACCATGCACACACACACATATACCCACATATTATTCTCTAGCCTACTTTAAAAAAAAAAACTAGGAATGCCTCATTTATATTAAAGATCTGGCCTCTAAAGATTTTAAAGGATTAGACTGAGCTGGAATTACTATAGACAGATGCTGTAGAGCTCCAAGTGGGTAGTTCCAGAGAGATCAGTGGTACATTAGTTAGTCTGTTTTTAAGTAAATGAACATGAAAGTTTAAGAAAAAGAGAAAATGTCATCAAATTGATGCATTAAGATGAATTATCCCATCCACATTCATTGGAATATAAAATAGGTTATTAAAGATCACAACTGGTAATCTAATTTCCAGATACCCCAAGTCACTGATTTATTTACTATGTCAAAGCATCATTTTTCCAAGGATAGAAGCTTTTTAAAAAGCATTGATTTTATCATCACTATGATAAAATAAAGAGGGAGAGAAAGAGAGAAAGTTTGGGATAGGTGTGATAAATTGAGTTACTCGCCATAAATCTTCACTCTTATTCATCATCCATCCCTCCTAGTGGGAAAAGCGTGCTATCCCACTCTTGTCTCTTGGCTTGGCTATGTGACCTGCTTGTGTATTTGACTCTCTATGAGAACATGCCCTGAGATACACAGACATAAGCAGACCTGAGCAACCTACAGCCTAGAGCCAAACTTCATTGTACTCAGCCTAGATGAGCTGAACCCAGTCAACGTATACTTGTTTGAGTTGTGAGCCACTGACTTGTGGGGTGATTTGTTACACAACATGATGTTGCATTAGCTGACTTATGATAGCTATTATAGCAGACCCAAAAGAAAAACTTATCTCAGCTTTAATCCCTGAAGAACTCTTCTTTTGCATTATGCAAAGCTATTCATCATATTAGAAAAAATGGGAGAAAGGCAATACAGGCCCGGGGCAGACTTAATCAATGACAAGGCAAGGCTTGGGGAACCTTATAAGAAGAATCAAGATGCTTTTTTTTAATTCTTTATTTTTTTCTAGTAAAGTGCCTTGAAGTCCATGAAAACAAGATAATTGGCATAGCTCTGTCTTTGGTAAATGAGGCTAACCTCATAAAATAAAACTGATCAGATTGTAAAGTCAGAGTCCAGTTAAACTCTTCATGCCTTTAATTCTGTGATGCAGCTAGAGCTGTAACAATATATAATAGACCCACATACTCCTAAATCTAATTGGGACTCTAATTGCCTCAAACCTTCTTCTTTGGCTCTAGGCAGTTTTCAGAAACTGAGGACATAAAAGTCACACTCATATTCCAGCATCCAGAGTCACATTCTGCAATATGGTAGCCACTAACCACATGTGGCTATTTACTTTTAAGTTACATATTCACTTTCTCAGTCACACTAGCCACATTTCAAATGCTTAATAGCCACATGTGGCTATTGGACACGATATTGGACAGCACAAGTATAAAACACTTTCATCATTGCAGAAATTTCTGTTGGATAGCATTGACTAGAGGCAAGAGGACCCATACATTAGTTCTAAAATCAAGAGCCTGAAGCAATCTAGGTTTGGGATTTTAAACCCTTTTTAAGGGGGTCGGGGGAGGCTGAAAAGAAGAGACAATCAGTAACTGAGCTCTCTATACGGAAGCTACTTTAACTGATATGAAAGAGCACAAGATACAGAAAATTTAACTTCCCTCATTTTATCTACTTATTTATCATTCAACCAAGCTTAGTCTTCCAGCTAGGAAACACAGATATAAAGAAACTGTGGCAAAGAAGGCAGAGGACACTAATCTTTCTAATTGCAAATCGGCTAAGACTGTGTGGGATGATGTACCTTGATTAATTAAAATTTCCAAAGGTTATCTAAATTGTAGTTCTGTTATTGTGAGTCTGAACCTAATGTGTATACTCCAGAGTTCAATTAGGTCTGGACTCGCTAGACTCTACTTGCATAAGACACTGAGGACCTTCAAAGAAAATGTCCTATTTGGGTATTCCTTATCAGAGGAAAACCAAAAGCAGAGAGACCAAGAGCTGCCATTCCTCTTTTGTTACAGCCTAACATACACACTCCTCAATGGTGATAGTGAGATGGGAATAACAACAGACTTTTCATTATCAGAAGACACAGCTGTAGTCAGAAACAAGTGTGGGAAGCAGGAGATGAAAACTAAAAGTGCATGTAGGTGGTAAGTGCAAAGCTTACTTTGAAGTACACATGGAATATCCCCAGTGGTCCCCCAGAAATGATTTTGGGATACAATGCACAAGCAGCTGAGGTTTCACATAAGTGAGTATTGCAGATTGTAACTTCCAAAGGTGGCTTCACAACTGTCTGCCATCTCACATGCTTTACTAAAAACTTGCCATTCCTTACCAAGGGATAAATCTCTGTCCAATCCTCTTGAACCTGAGCAGACCAATAGAATCTGACAGAAGTGAAAGTATATTACTTCCCAAGCTAGGTAATAACAATGTCGCATTTTGGCCTAAATCCTCTCCTTTGCTCTCTTGGAATGCTTGATTTTGCAATCATCTTGCATCATGCTGTGAGGAAGTCCAAACAGCCTGTGGAGAGAAACATGGAAAGGGAATGAGTTCCCAAGCCCACAGCCCCAGCTGAGCTTCCCAGCCCACCTCCTGGTTGACAGCTAGTGCACACCTTTCAGCCGTGGTAGTGAGCCACCTTGAGAGTGGACTCTCCATGCCCCAAAGAAGCACCCAAGATGATGGTGTGTAGCACTGAGACAAACACCCCTATTGAGCCCTGCTCAAATTATAGGTTTCCAGGCAAAATAAATGATTCATTTTGCTTAGGCCACTTAATTTTGGGGTGGTTTATTATGTAGCAATAGATAAGTATTGACAGATATGCGTTTGCTGCCATAATATTCTTGGTGGTTTAAAACAACACAATTTTACTATCTTTCCATTCCGTAGGGTAGAAGTCTAACATGAGTCTCCATGAGCTAAGGTCAAGATCTTGGCAGGTTTGAGTTCTTTCCTGTATACTCTGCAGAAGAATTTATTTTTCTTATTTTTTTTTTCCGGCTTCTAGAAGCAGCCCAAATTCCTTGGCCCGTGCTTTCCTTTCTCCATCTTGAAAACCAGAAATGGTGGAGTCCTTCTCTCACAAGACATTGCTTCTGCCTCTCACTTCCACTTTGAAGGCTCCTTGTGATTTCATTGGGCCCACCCAGATAATCCAGGATCATCTTCTCTTTAAGGTCAGCTGATTAGCAACCCTAATTCCAGCAGCAACCTTAAATCCCCTTTCCATGTAACCTAACACGTCCACAGATTCCAGGGATTAGCATGTGGGCCTCTTTGGAGGGCCATTATTCTGCTATCACAACACGTAAGGGCAAGAACCAATGAAACCTGCATTATAATTATAAAATAGCAGTTACATTGGTAATGGCCTCTAGATATTAGCCAGGGCACCACATCCATTGAGACATAAATAAAATTGGTTCAAACATCATGCATAGTGTGGGTTTCAATGTTCTTTCCAATCACTTCAGGAATTCTGGTGGAGGAGAGGATGACTTACATTGTTCCCAGTCACCTCTATTTTTACACTCCCATGCCTCCTAAATTTGTTAAGTTTATGGATTTTTTCACCATCCCACACATGGTGTCTCTGCTCTGTACTACATCTCACTTAGATACAATTTCTCTCCTTTCCTTGATTGCCACAAAATAGCAAATCAAATGTAGGAAATAATAAAGCCAACAGACAAATTTTACCTGAAGTGTGAGGAGACAGAAGGTGTGCATAAGAATAACAACTTAAAGTTACACTTTAGACATTCTGATTAGATACCAGTTCTGCTAACTCTGCTCAGCCAGCCACCCGGCATGGTTCAGTGGTTTCTTCTGGAGCAAAACACAAGAAAATGGAGTCAGGCCAGGTGCGGTAGCTCACGCCTGTAATCCCAGCACTTTGGGAGGCCATGGTGGGTGGATCACCTGCTGTCGGGAGTTCAAGACCAGCCTGACCAACATGGAGAAACCCCGTCTCTACTAAAAATACAAAAAATTAGCCGGCACAGTGGCGCATGCCTGTAATCCTAGCTACTCAGGAGGCTGAGGCAGGAGGATCACTTGAAACTGGGAAGCAGAGGTTGCGGTGAGCTGAGATCACACCATTGCACTCCAGCCTGGGCAACAAGAGCGAGACTCCATCTCAAAAAAAAGAAAAAGAAAATGGTATCATCCTATCACTTCATGCAGATTGAACCAGGCAGCTCCTTCTAGCTCCAGCCCCAGGCTCAGCTCTAGCTCTCCCATTGTATACACCAAGCTTATTGATGTGCCCAGTTTCTCATTTCTCCTTCCCTCACCAGTGTCTGCAAGAGGAATGGAGAGAGAGAGATTTATTTCTAGAATAATATAAATAATGCCACCACCTCCATCTCCCCCAGTAAGAAGGCAGAAAATATTACTGTCTATTTTGCTTTAAAATATTTTTTCTCCTCCACTTGGTTATAGGACCATAAAATATTTATGTAACTTTGATATTTGGGGAATTCTGTGAATTCAGGAGTCTGGAGACCTTAGGATAAATGTTTTGTTGGGTATTTTTGCTTCTGCCCATTTCATGCCCTGCTGTGACCAAGAGACCAAAAAGCAGACAAAGCAAGCAGACTGAGAGGCTGCTCATCAACAGGGCAAGTACCTGGTGATGTGTGCTTGAGAAACAAAAGGAGATGTTTTTGCCATGGGCTGGCCTAGGCCCAGAGCAGTGTGGTGCCAAAGGGAGGAAGGATAACAAACCCAGATGGAATCCAGAGTCTGCAGCAGTGCTTTAGAGTTTCCAAGGAAAATTAAAAACTAATAACCAGATAATACCTTCTGAGCACTGTGCCCTGTGGACTTCTGCTGAATTTTGGATGAGGTGAGAAAGAGAGGGAAGGAAGGTGACTAGGGAAAGAAATAAACCTTTAATAAAATCCACAGGTGTAGCATAAACCCCTATTCTAACTGGTGCCCCAGGGCTCAAGATGTCATTGGGTTTTTGAGTATGCTAAAATTGTGTTAATATTTGTTTGGGAAGATGTACTAAGCCTTGATAGGAAATGTGAGTGGAGCAGAGTTATGAATAATGAGAGAAATTTAGAAAGGCTACAGCCTCAAATAGCACAAAAGGCATAGTGATAGTTGTACATCAGAATGCTACATGGAACAGCTGGGTTCACACATTGTGTTGTGATAAGTGATTTTCACATATCAACTTATTTAATCCTCGCCATGAGAAGTGGTAGGTATATATCTCTCATTTCCAAAGATAAGAGCCTGACTAAGAAGTCTGGCAGAACTGGGTGGAAATTCTAGCTCTACAACATGCTAAGACTCAGTTCACCCATTTATGAAATGAGACAAATATTCCTACAACTTCTTCTTGTGAGGATTAAATAAGTAAATATGTGAAAATCACTTATCACAACACAAAGTGTGACACATAGCACATGCTCAATAATAGCAAATATATGTTTATGTATATATTTGTGTAAGTACAGATAATATGTTTTTTCCACTCAGTGAAGTGACCCAGCACACTGGGTACCCAGAAAAAAAAATTATTCAAATAAAGGAAAGCATTCTAACTGTGGTTTATTTACCCCTAAAGAGAAGAATTTTACCCCAGGTGCAAAGGGTAGACTTAAATGTTCAAGCAAAACTATCTTCACTTGCTGTCACTTCAGAAAGACTATAAATACTCAACCAAGAAAAACTTATTTTAAATACAGAATTAAGTGTAGGAATGAAACAATTTTTTTAAACCCTGAAGTATCTTTATTACTGTAACTTATTGTGTATGGCTTATGTACTCAAGATCCCTAGAATAGACCCAGTAGGGTGTCAATCCACAGAATTTTTAAATTAGAAGCAACCTTAGAGAACATCTAATTTAAAACTTTTCATTTTACAGACGAGGAAACCGTGGCTCTTTTGCAGTGAAAATCCTGGCTGTGCTCCAAAGCTACCCAAGGGTGGTGAAACTGCTCGGGAAGTTTCTGTTAGGAGTTTGGCCTGCCTTTCATTTAGAATTGGTTGTGCTTCTCAAAGCATTGTCTGCAGGTCCTCCTCGATGTATGAGAGACCAACCTCCTAGGGCATTAATGTCTAAAAGGAAATGCATATATCTACTGCAATCCAGATGTTACTTCACTGGAATTTCATCAAGTGAGCTCCCTGTTTCCCATTCATTTTGCAGAGCTGGGAATATTTTTGCTGAGTTTTTAAGTCTATTTAACGTGATCATCCTTGGTTCCTCTTTTCCTTTTGCTCCTGGCCCCTTCAAATCAATAGGCAAGACCTGCTAAGTCTGCTTTTAAGACATACCATCCTGGTCTAAGAGGCCATCATCTCTCACCTGGGCTAAGTTAATAAATAGCCCGTAGCTGGTCTCTTTGCTTTTATCTTGTCTCCCTAATGGCAGCAATCTTTCAAGTGGATCAGATTAGTGGCCCTGTGTAAAGCCCTCCAGGGTTTTCCACTGCATTTAGAATGATATCCAAATGCCTCACTCTGCCTACAAGGCCCTATGTAAGATGATCCCTCTCTCCCCACTCAAACTCATCTTTTACCCATCTTCCACTTGGGCCTATGCTCCAGCTACTCTTGCCTTTATCTCTTCCTTGAACATCTTAGGGCCCTAATACTGTGTTGCATCTACTTGGAATGCTCTTCCACCAAAGCCTCTAATATCTAATCAATCCCATCTCCACTTACATGTCACCTTCTCAAGGATGCATTCCCTGATCCAATCTAAACAAGACCTCTAGTCGCACTCCATCACATCACTCCTCTGTTTTATATTTATTGTAGCATCTAATATCTTCATGCTTTATTTACTTGTTTGGTTTTCATTGTAACCCAGCACCTGCATTAATGTCTGACAATAGCAGATATTCAATGAATGTTTTTAGAATGAACAAATGGGTGAATGAATGGCACTGCAGGTAGAAAAAGGTAGTACCTGACGGTCCTCTGAGTCACTGAAGGAACTACTGACTGACAAGAGTACAGAAGAAAGAAACTTAAAGCACTAAATGCTATTCTGACTTAAGGTCTAAAATAAAATCATTCAGTATTTTTTTTCTGAGTCTGAATCTGGTAATTTCCAAGTGGTAAGAACTTTCATCACTACCAGTTCTACATAAGTAGCCTAAGTCTTGTAAATAAAAATAATAATTTAAAAATTCCAACTGGGAGTGGTGACTCATGCATGTAATCCCAGCACTGTGGGAGGCCAAGGTGGGCGAGTAGCTTGATCTCAGGAATTTGAGACCAGCCTGGGCAACATGGCAAAACTCCATCTATCCTAAAAATACAAAAAAAATTAGCTGGGTGTGGTGGCTCACACCTGTGGTCTCAGCTACTTGGGAGGCTGAGGTGGCAGGATTGCTTCAGCTGGGGAGGTGGAGGTTGCAGTAAGCTGAGATCATGCCACTACACTCTAGCCTGGGTGACAGAGCGCAACTTCGTCTCAAAAATAAAAAATTTCCACCATTTCCTTGGAAATACAATGCAAAACTTATTAGCTTTAGTGTATAGATTTTTTTTCCCCAATGTTCAGTTTATTTCTGTGTTTTTGGCTTTCATTCCTTACTTCTTTTAAGCCTTTTGGAAGCTTCTCTTTCTGAATGGTTATGTGGGTTGATTCCCAAATTTTAATCCAAACTTTTAATAATGGAGCAGTGGGAAAAAAGACAGTGATCAAGGATATATGGTCCAGAACCTGGATTTACCTCTTCAATTTAACCTACTACTGTATTTGTATTTTTTAAGAGAGCCTCTAAATATGCTGCAGCATGACATAGCCATGGTAGGTAGCCATACCTGCCAGATGGTTTCCAGAGTACAAACACATGTGATTAGTGTTGGATGAAGAAATGGGAATAAAAATAATGTGGAATCCAGTGAGTCCACATACCTGCAGATAGCAACTCACACTCACAGCATCTAGCATGCCATAGAGCACAGCCAGATGGCAGCCTGGGGGGAAGCAAAACCCAGCATTTCCTCCAGGAGCCTGATCCTCAGCTTGGCCCATGCTTGAAATGCTTTAAGTAATGATTTTTTAAAGTTTTGCGGGGTTTGTTTTTCCTTTTTAAATCTGAAGGTGCCTTGCTCACTAACCCTGTTGGATTAAATCTCTAGCAAATTGGATTACTCTGTGCTTACTTGAGAGAACTTGGACTTGAAACAAGACCCATTTTCTTTTGTTCTTCTTCCAGATCCTACTGTGGATTCTACTGCACTTGGAATTCTTTGAGCCATTGAAATTACCTGGGGCATCTGTTAGGGCTATCTCCATTTTAAGCACTAGGAAAAAGTGTTGCTTCCTATTGGAAGTGACCCCATCTCTAATAGCAGAGATTTAGAAAAATAATGCATTCAATGTTAAATTTATTTAAATAGCTGCAATGATTAGTTTCTCTACTGTCAATAGGGGGAAAAATACCATGTCAAGGGGTGAAATCAGTGACCATTTTGGATAATGTCCATATGGGAATATTAGATAACAATGAGTCTTTGGAGAAAGAGGCCCATGGATTTTGCAGGTGCACACATGGCAATTATTATCCCTTCTGAGCAGAATAGACAACTGAGTGCATCTCAAAATTTTAGTCACAATTCTTACTACTAATGAAACATAGATCTATTTACGAACTCTTGTGCCCATTTCCAAAATCTAGAAACAAGTAATTACACAACTTATTAGCTTACTACAAGTTCACTGATAACTCTACTGCAAGAACATGTATAAATTCCAAGAATAAAATATAAATAAGGCATTACGAAGGTTTTCTTGGAAGGAAGATCTGTTTGAACTGAGAGATAAAACATGAATTTTAATTGTTTTAATTAATTATTATCACAAAATGAAGTGAAAATTCTATAAAATGGAAATCACATGGGAAAACACACTTAATTGCACCATCCTAACAAACTTATCTGTATTGTATATCTTTCAAACATGTTTCTACATCACTATACATTTTGTTTTTGTTTTTTTCATGTTTAAACCATCTTTATTTACAAAATACTGTCCTGAGAACTGTAATTCCATTAAACTTCAATTTGAGAAAAGTGTAATCACTTAAGTAACAGCAGTTACTTAAACTGAAAATGAGATCAGTCAAAGTTGCTTTTGAAGAAAGCAAAAATATTGTCAGATTTCTTGCTGTGGTTCTGGATGTTCAGTAGCAGGCTCCTTTGAAGGTGGAATCAACCCTCAAGGGAACTTGCTTCTACCTTCAGAATGTGGGGTTGGGGTAAAATCCAGGTCTTGGATGAAAGTAAGGAGGTAAACCCCTCTGTGGATAGATGTTTCTCATTGCAAATGGAGCATGTGGTGGACCTGGGAAATCCCTTGATAGAAAATAACCTCGTGAAGCTCCAAACATGGTTCCTGGAGGAGGTTGGGGGAAAGGAGGTCCTCTTCTCGTGAACAGGCCCCTTGTATCCACTGGAAACAATGGACCACTGATTGCAGCAAGAGGTGGAGGAATAAAGCCGGGGCCAGTTGCTTCATTTTCGGCAGGGAGAGATGAATCAGGCACATTTAAATGACCAGGATCATCTTTGGCATCATTTCTAGTGGATTCCATTTCTGAAGGCATTGACCCATCCATTTTATCCAAACAAGGCATATTAAAACTTCTGAGTTCTGCTGGTCCAGACAGTCTATCAGAATTAGAATAAAATCTGTCTTCCCTTTGTGGAGGAAGAGCTGAATCAGGATATGATTGTCCTGGTGGAGGAAACATCATCCTACGGTCCTGTTCCCATGGAGATGAGAGGGACCCAGTGTCAGAAGGAGCCCTGTGAGCATCAGTTGACCTATCACAGCTTGGTTCTCCTCTTTTATTGGTAATCTGATGGTCCAGAGGATTCCCTGGGCTGCTTGGGCTTCCTCCTCCCCCTGGAAGCACAGGTGAGAGTCTGAGTGGATCCTCCAACAAAGTTTGAGGAGAGAGAAAAGCTCTCGTTTCAGATGAAGGCTGACCCAACGGTGAGGGACCATATGGCGAACGCTCTCTGCCAAATGTTGTATTTGAAACATCAAGTGCATTAGGATCTTTTTCTAAAAGTTCAGATTTAAACTCTGTTTCAGTTAATTTTTGTTTGTTGTGAGCATTTTCTTTCCTTAAATCATTGAGGTTTCTTTCAGCAGTCCGAGCTGCCAACCAATTATTATGTCCTTTTTTCTCGTAGGAAATAACCTGCTTTTGATAAAAATGAACAGTTCTCTCCAATTCTTCTTCAAGATCTTTGGCTAGCTTTCTATAGGTCTCCAGCTCTTCAGTGACATGGCTGATCTTTTCTTCCACTTTAGAAAGCTTCTCTTATTCCTCTATCTGGTAATTTTCTTCTATTGTCAATTTCCTGTGGAGTGTCATTTCATTTTCTTGATATAGTTCAGTCATTATTTTAAGTTTCTGTTGAAGCTTCTGATTCTCACTTTCAAAATATATGTTTTCTGACTGCAAAGATGCTTGTTGAGTCTGAAGATTTTTAATATGCTCGGTAAGCTCTTCCTTTGTTTTGTCCACTTCAGATAACTGAATAATAATGTGGTTTCTTTCTCCTTCTAAGGCTTTTAAAGAAACATTTAAGTTAGCAGCATGAATCAGTTTCTTCAAAGCTCCTTTGGGAGGATCATCTAAGTAAGCACCATTTTCCGATTGACTGTTCACTTCTAATTCCAAGTTATCATCATCCGTTGTGTCTTCTTCAAGCACAGCAGCCTGATCTTTCATCATTGGCAAGTGTCCAGTCAGGGTCTTGATGTGATTTTCTTTATCATTCAGAACTTGTTCTGCTTATACTTTGGAGTCTTCAAATGTTATTTTCTGTTTATTAAGTTCAGTCACTTGTTCTTTCCATACTTCAGCTTCTCGCAAAAGCTGTTTCTGGCTTTCCTGAAGTTGAGAATTTTCACTCAAAGCATCTTTTATTGCTATCGCCCGTCGTTCTTCAGTCATTGGAAGAATCTTGCAGATGATTTTGGCTTCAGCTATTTGTGATTTGAGGGATTTTGACTCATCTTCTAGAGATTGTATCCTTTTTGAAATATCTGCCATCAGTTCATCTTGTGGAGAATGTTTAGATTTCTCTTCTTTTAACTCTATTTCTAGACAGAGGATTTCATCCTCAAGTTCAGAATTGGACCTGTTCAGCTTTTCACAGGTTGCCTCCAAACTTCGTGCTTCTGCTGCCGCCTTCTCAAAGCTGGCATCCTCTAAAGATGACTGTACTTCATAGCCTTCATACTCTTTTGGAATAAGGCTAAATTTTTCAAGTAGTTTACATTTTTCTTCAATTAGTCCAGAAAGCATTTCACCAAGTTTTTTTCTCTCTTCCCACATAAAGCCGACTCCTAACCGATCTAAAACTTCTCCACAAAAAAAGGAGAACAACAAAAAATCCAACAACAGCTGCGCATACCACCAGTTCGCATGGAAAACCATAAGGATTCGAATCTTGTCTCATACTCTCAGGTAGTGCTGCCACAATTCTGCGTAGCTCCTCCAGGACCAGCCCCAAGTAGGGCCGAGCGGTAGCGCCGGGCTCCTCCATAGCGCCAAGCTGCTCTGGCGGTCACCGCAGTTAACACTGGCCACAACAAGCGGTGGAGAACACGCAGCCTTGGGTCTGGAACCCGAATCCGCACGCGGCAACCAACCGGAGCGGACTACTGCGGAGCCGGCTGCGGAGGGAGCTGGGGAATGCGGGCACCCCCCACAGGCCTCACAGGCCCGTGCTGCCCCCCGCACCCTCCCTCGGCCCCCCTGTTACACTTTACATCCTGAGGCAGCGCTGGTCCGAGCCCGACCCGCCTTAGTTCTGGCAGTTTTCACATCACATATTTTGAAGCTCTATTTTTTGGTGAATACACTTTTAAAATTGCTGTCTTCTTCATGGATTAAACCTTTGATCATTATATAATCTCTCTGTTTCTGGTAATTTTCTTTGCTTTATCTGATATACGTACAGGCACTGTTGCTTTCCTTTCATTAATGTTTGTGTAATATATCTTTTTTCATCCTTTTAATTTGGCCTGCCCTGTATTGGTAAATTTCAAGTGAGTTTCTTGTACACAGCACACAAGAAACATATAAGAAAGGGTCATAGTTTTAAATACACTCTTCTATTATCTGTCTCTTGGTAGATCATTCATAATTAAACTAATTGTTGATACTTTAGTGCATAAGCCTGACATTTTTTGTTTTCTGTATCAATTCTTGTTTCTCTGCTTATTTTTGATGACTTCCTGTGGGTCACTTGAACATTTCTTTTAGAATTCCATTTTGTTATTCATAGTGTTTATAGTGTATCTTCTTTTTTATAGTTTTTTTGGTTGCATTTTATAGCTTAGTGTATATTCCTTTATATATACATTATCACAGTCAATTGGTATCATCTTTAGTCCAGTCTGAGTGAAGTGTAGCAACCCTCTGTCATATTATGTCTCTTTACCCTCTCAAATTTGTAGTATAATTGTCTTACATACATTTAGAATAACACTAGACAATGCTGTGATTTTTGCTTGAAACATCAATCATAATTTAGGAAATTAGAATCTGTGAAAATAAAGTGAGCATTTTAGAGCTGCCAGAAAGAAATCTGACACAACCTGTTTTGTCTTTCATTTTTTCTTTCTTTCCTTTATATTGATCATAGATATCATGATGCCCTATCTATTTTTTCTTTCTTTCTTTCCTTTGATTTTTCTTTCTTTCCTTTATATTGATCATAGATATTATGATGCCCTATCTATTAACTCCAATATCTGGATTATCTATGAGTTTTTTTTTTATACTTTTAAGTTTTAGGGTACATGTGCACAATGTGCAGGTTTGTTACATATGTATACATGTGCCATGTTGGTGTGCGGCACCCATTAACTCGTCATTTAGCATTAGGTATATCTCCTAATGCTATCCCTCCCCCTACTATACATGTTTTATACAGTGATAGTCATGTTGTTATACATAGTTTTTTTTTTAACTTTTCAACTTACTTATTAAAAGTACTTTCCTTTGTCGCCACACCTGTCCTCATAATTGTCATCTTTTTTTGGTTGCAACATAATATTCTACTTAACGTAATTTAATTAGTTTATTCACTATTATTTGACATTAAGTTATGATATTAGAAAAACATATCTTTACAGATAAGATTTATTCCTCCTCCTTTGGTTTCTTTATTTAGGATAAGTTTATAAATGTGGGATTATGAGATCTATGCTTCTGAACATTTTTACAACTGTTAATATATGATGCCAATTTATTTGGCAAAGGCAAGATAATTAATTCTTTTTCCAGCCATACATGAAGTTTCCAGATTCACCTCAATATTGTCAGCAAAGGAATGTCTATCCGTCTGTCTCTATGCAATTTAATAGGTTAAAAAATGCAATTTTCTTCATGCTTTCATTTTTACTTGTTTACTAGTGAAATCATTTTAACATGTTAAGGAATAATTATATTTCTTCCTTTTGTATGATCTGTTACAGTTTTTTAACTGTGTTTGTCCAGTTAGGGGGAGGTCTTTTCATCAGAAAACTCAGGTTGATGAAGGCAGAAATGCAGAGCATTTTGATTTGTTTGGATTATAGAGTACACAAGAGGGGAGAACAGAAAAACAAGCATGAATCAAACTGTGACCAAATTACAGAAGGTCAGGAAAGGAAGAGCAACTTTCTCAGCAAGAATTAAGATTCTCTTCTTGCAAGAGTTGTGTTAAATGTGGATTAACGGTTATTAAACAGGATTTATCCAAATTGGTTCATAAACAAAAAAAAAAAATCCCCAATTTCAAACCTCTCTTATGATTCATGAAACAATCAAATATCATCTTTGTTCTGCAGGGCAAAGACATGATATAAATATGTTAGTGTCATTCTGCATATGACGAATGTATTCTTAATAAATATTGCTTTTGAGTGTCAATATTAGTTTTTGCAATCACTAAGTTTTAAGTGTAGAATAGTGGAGGGGAGAAAAGCAATATTTTTCCTCACCAGTTGCTAGGTTCATGGCTGAGACTCCTATAAAAAAGATAGTTTAACAAGATACAAGTCTATTTAATAAATTTTAAATTATTTCATACAAATGTATTTATTATGTTTTATGTGACACAAGGCCTTCAAAATTGAAGACCCAAGAAACAGGAAAACTGTGTGTTTTTATAAAGAGTTGCGCAGAAGTGTGATGGGAGGACAAAAGGGCATGATCTAATGGTCATCAACTGGGTCAGGGGAGATTTAGCAAGGCCTGTTTGTTTAGATAGGGTAGGACACCTGTCACATGAGGGTGTTCAGGGGAGAAAGGAGGGAGAAGGTCAGAAAATGACCTTTCTAATAAGTTTTATGGCCTGCTTCAGGGGAGGACAACAGAGAACTTCCTGTTTCTGCTGTTTTCTCAAATGCCAAGGTGCCTTATTTTGGGGTAGCATATCTGGAATGCTGTTAATAGGTAGATAGGAATTCTAGCGTACAATTTAACAATATACACTTCAGTAGGAAAGATGTTTGATTCATGCAACATCATCTCAGTGATAGATTTATTATCAATACACAAATTAATCTAAAAAATAGCATTAGTTATTATAGCAGTCAAGGTCAAGTAAAATAGTGGCATATTCAGCTTGACTACCAAAGCACACTAGCATTTCTATTTAGAGAGTTTGAAATTATCCCAAGCTTCATGACTATAATTTTCTTTGAGTTTACTCATTTTCTATGTTTTTGTGTCAGATATGTGTTCATGTATGTGCATTGATTTTTGAGATGCTTTTAAATGATATGTAAATACCTTTTTAGTTATGAATTTTGCAAATAATATAATGCTTGACGTACAGGCAGATTCCGCGAATGTGTGCTTGATATGCTACAAGAGTAATAATAAATACTAAATGATTGTAAGTGCTCTTTTTGCACTAAAGTTTACCTAATATAATTTAACACAAGCTTATCAAATTTATAGAAAATAGAATTTCATGTCTGTGATTGCCATCTGTTATAATAGAATCCTAGTCCCAACTTTATACCTGCAGAGGAAAAGCTTGTTGGTCACTAGATACAACTGCTTTGTTTGAGAGGCTTGATTCTTTGTTTATCAGAGCAGTAGATAACAAAGGTGATAGATAAGAAAGTGCAGGGGACTGGGCGTGGTGGCTCACGCCTGTAATCCAGCACTTTGGGAGGCCGAGGCAGGCAGATCAAGAGGTCAGGAGTTCAAGACCAGCATGACCAACATGGTGAAACCCCATCTCTACTAAAGAATACAAAAATTAGCCAGGTATGGTGGCACGTGCCTGTAATCCCAGCTACTCAGGAGGCTGAGGCAGGAGAATCACTTAAACCCAGGAGGCAGAGGTTGCAGTGAGCTGAGATCTCACCATTGCACTCCAGCCTGGGTGACAGAGCGAGACCCTGTCTCAAAAAAAAAAAAAGAAAGTCCAGGAAGCCTGGCCCAGTAACAGGTCCCTTGGTGAATGGGGAGATACAACCGCTGCACTTGAGCAAACTGAGTTGTACCATGTCTAAAATTCTAGCAAACTAGTGTGTGGTTTCCTTTACATCATATGTTGTGATTAAAATGTTATATATATATTTTTTACATAATGGGCTTTCTCAGTAATGCAACTCTAGAGATAAAGCAGGATTGAACATTTTGATAAAAACAGTACTTGTTTTATATCAACATTTTCTACGTAGGAATTGGCTTTTATATGGTGAAATTGATTTTTGTTTATTTAGTTTTGTGGTTTGATGCTGTCTACTAATTTAATCACTTATTTGGTCTTTGCTGGTAGAGGGGATATTATGATGACACTAGCTAAAACATCTGGGGGGAAGTTAAAACATTCCATTATCTGTCTGCTTCACCTACAGCATGGCAAACATCTGGACACTGGAAATTGTTCCCAGTTTTTGTATTCAGATGATTACAAATGGTGCCAAACTCAGTCACTGTCAATAAACACCACTTGCATTAAAGTAACACGGTCACACAACTTGCAAGATCCATGAAGAGGATCTCATTTGGGGAGTTCAACAAAAAGAAGGTTTTTACACAGCTGCATAGTCACCAAAGAAGAATCCCAGGGACAGGACATGTGACAACCTCATTTATTCATTCGTTCATCTACTCAGTGTCATTCAATACATATATGCCAATGCTGTTGAAAGAAGACTATGGTTTTGGAAATGGTGCATTGGAGTGTGGTGTTGTTTAAATGTCCTCCAAGAGAAAATACCCCTGCTACACATTGATGCTCTTTGTAACCATTCTTGAAATTTTGGTTTGGTTAATTGTTTACTGAGGATATTACATGGGGCTTTCTGACTGGCATGTTTCTGCCTTTTGAACACTGAGAGTGTAATATTCTCAAGTTTCCCCTAGAGAAGAGGTACAAAAGATGCATTGGGAATCTCACATGAGCCATCCTATGAAATCAACTTTCTATTGTATGTTGTTGTTATTGTTATTGTTATTGTTCAGCATTCTTTCTTCATCTCCTTCCTTCTTTCTCTCTCCCTCTCTCCCCCATCTCTCTCTGTATATCTCCATCTTTCTCTCTCTTCTCTCTCTCTCACTCTTTCTCTTCTCTCTCTCATCTCAGCCAGAAAATGCTGTGCAGGTGTTATTCGTCATTGAAAATACACTCCGTTACAGACAATTTAGTTTATGTGCTAAAGCAAATACACAGTTACAGATAATTTATTTAATGCAACCAGGAAATGCTGGTATCTGATCAGAGCTTCTATTTGGACAACATGAAAGAATTTAGCAGGTTTATATGCAGTTAAAGCTGAGGAAAGGGAAACCATTTGTGAGCAATTGAAGCAGTGCAGAAAAGGGAGAGTTGGTAGATCTCACTGTATTGCCTTTGATTATTCCCTGTTGTAAAAATTCCTCTTTGTGGACAGAGGCAGAAACAGAAAATAGCCATATAAGTTAGATTTTTTTTTCCCATCAGAAAATGCCAGATGTATCTTAAGAGAGGTATAACAGTGTTGTGTTTTCTTTCTGGATGCACTGCCTATGGGAACAAGAACACAGACACCAGCTAGAAATTGATAGAACAAGAATCAGACCTCAAAATAGAGAAAGGAGGAGAAAACTGGGGAAAGCTGTGCAAAGCGCCAGGGCACAAAGCCAGTGTTTCAAAACAAGAAACATCCAACTCAGAAAAGAAGAAGAAATCAATGTAGAATCTTGGGGACCTGACTGTGGCTGACACATCCCAAGGAGAGCTACCTAGGGCTCTGAGCGTACCCTGGCCATCAGGCAGCAATGGCTCTGAATCTGGGGAGGGCTGGTCCTGTAGGCAAATGAAATTCCGGCCAGGTAGTAAACTAGAGGTTGAGAGCAGTCAGGGACTGGCATTTGCCACTTCAGTGGCACTATTTTCTTTTCATTTTTCTGAACTCTTGGAGGGTTCAATTATTTGTCTCTAATGATAAATATTCTGTAATGATGAATCCAGTGTTTTTCATTTATTTTTATTGTTTCTTCAAATTATCACCCTTGGCTGTAGTATTCTCTCCAAATTGCTTTTGTTGAAGAAATTTATTCTGTGTAAAGAGGATAAAGGAGTCAACTAATTAGTCTTCTCAAATGTTAATTCTAGTACCAGTACTCGTTTACTTGGAATCTTTGTATAATGATCATAGGCTTTGAGGTAGGCTATAGTATAAATGCACTGTAATGTAAGTATAAATTCCATTTGTAGTTGAGAATTCTCTGCACAGATACTCCGAAGATAATGAATCTATGTAATACTTTACGGACTGAATACTTTTTTCTCCTTTTGACATAACAGTGAATTACAAATTATATAAACAATTGACTGCTCTTCTCAAGCAAAGTCAAGAGGCTGCAATTACCCCAAGAGAAAGACTTTAGTGTCTTTGACCTGACATTGACCACAGTTTTCAACTTTCCAAATGTACTGAATAAGTAGAGAATATCAGATATTCAGAAATCTTCGTTCCTTTTGATTAGCTTTTAATTAACTTTCTATGTCCTTTAATGAAGATTCAAGTTTTTTTATAATCATACAGAGTTCATGACTCCTGCGTATCCTTAATACCACTGAAGCCAGAATTTTACATAATAATTGGTTACTTAAAATGCAATAGCATGGTAGACAAACCATAAGCTGATGGCTTTGAATTAGCGTGGTCTTTGATAAGAGCTTTATTCCACTGCCCTGGGAATCATATGCTTTAGGAAAGATTTGTTTAGAATTGGACAAAAATCAGAAGTAGTAAAAGCTCAAATTCCTAAATCAAGTGACATGAATTTTAGTGAACCGGGGACATAAAACTGAATTGGCCCCAAAATTATTTCTTCCTTTGGCTTCTATCTCTACTCCACTGTCACCACCTCCAAGGTAACCCAGAAAAAAAGTGTAAAGGAAAAGAGAAAGTTCAATGATAGATGAGTCCAAAATTATTTTATTGAAAGGTCTAAATTCCTTACAGGTAAAAATTCTACTCTTTCCTGAAATACTATAATTTTCTGTGAAGATAGTCTCAAAGTTTTCTGTAAAATACCACTTAATATCACTTAACTAGTGTCAGCAGTCACTATTTTGGGTTGATCTTTTCTAAGGTTGTGATGAATTTCACTGTAGAACTTCATAGCAAATATAGTTTATAGGACAAACAAAAAGAAATAAAGCACAGCAGGTGACATGTTTAAACTACCTGAGAGAACAGACTCTACTTAAGAAACCTACTCTGTTTATGGCTTACATTGGAATGAATGTTAGAACTGGTGATTATTGATGCAGTCTTCTCATTTAGTAGATGTAAAAACTAAAGAGGAGTGAAACTACAGGACTTAATGAAAATTTCAAAGCAGAAGTTTTGCTTTCATTAAAATAAGCCCAACAATAGATGTATTTTAAAATGCTGTTATTTATTAACCAGAAATTTGACATATACTTCAAAATATTAAGATTTAATTCATTTAAATATTTTATTTGAACATATTACCATTCTCAATTTATTTTCTTTCTTTCCTTTTTTTTTTTGTTTTTTTGAGACAAAGTCTCACTCTGTTGCCCCCAGGCTAAAGTGCAGTGGTGTGATCTCAACTCACTGCAACATCTGCCTCTTGTGTTCAAGCAATTCTCCTGTCTTAGCCCCTCGAGTAACTGGGACTACAGGTGCATGCCACCACACCCAGCTAATTTTTGTATTTTTAGTAGAGACAGGGTTTCACCATACTGGTCAGGCTGGTCTCGAACTCCTGACCTCAGGTGACCCACTCACCTTTGCCTCCCAAATTGCTGGGATTACAGGCTTAAGCCACCGTGCCTGACCCCACTGTCAATTTATTTTCATATATTTAGTTTGAACTTCATCTCATTAGCCTAGTTTGCTGAGATTGGCCTATAGTCATAAGTCTTTTTGCTCTGAATATAAAGCTTAACAGTATTGTTTACTGTTTCCTATAAATTACACTCTAGTGAAATATTGAGTGACAGTTTTTACATTTGATACATCTAAGTGATGAAGATTCAACCAGTTACCTAGAGATAACATTTCAAAATGGAATATTTGGCACCAACATCAATAGAGACATTCTCCTTGCATTTATGTTAAATTTGTCTTCAGTCAATTCAACCATGCCTGGTTGTGCAACACTCTCTTTGATTCTTGGTTTACTCCAGAGGCTGAAATGTAAGTGAATATTGTAATGCCCATCAATATTATCTACAAGGCTTATTCCAAAGCTTAAATCCAGTCCACAGTGGAGGGACTCAGAGTCCTACAGGGGAAACCTCACATGCCTGATGAGCCAGCCCCACATCAAAACAAGTAAATAATCTAAACACCCCAAGGGCAGCGCTAGTATTTCCCAGACAACTTAACATCTACAAACTCGGAAACCAAACGTATTTGTTCACCTTTAAGCTATTATTAAAGGACTGGTTACTTATTCAGAAGAACTTGAATTCTTATGCCTCTATAGTAGTTTTGTCAAACTTTTTGATCTCTGACCCTTTACTCTCTTAGAAATTATTGAAGACCCAAAAGAGCTTTTTACTATATGGGTTATATTTATCAACATTTACCATGTTATAATTTAAAGCTGATAATGTTAACATCTTTTATTGAATTTTAAAGAAGCAATACATTCATTATATATTAGAAATAAATCATATCTTTTTAAGAAAAAAGAGAATTATACTTTACAAATCAGCGAGAAGATGACAGTGGCTGGCCCAAAGGAAAACAGCTGGTTTCTCATATCTGCTTTTGCAATCAATGTGCCATGATCTGTTATTTTAGTTGGAGTGTAAGAAAAAAATTCAGGCTTCATGGAGATACGCAGTTGCAAAAGGACCTCCTCAAATAGTATCAGAGACCTACAGGTGTCCAGGGACCACACTTTGAGAATCACAGCTCCAGAAAAGACAATACCTTTTTCCATTCAGTGCTTGGAGAACATGACCACTGGAGAACCCCAGTTTTATTATTCAGAAATGACAATGAGACTCATTTGTCCAGAAGAATGTAAAAACTATTAAGTCAAACACTTCATTGTCAGAGAGGTTCCTATAATACAAATCCTGTATGTTCCAGCAGGGGCATTTTAGCCCACAGCTCGCTCCTGTATTCTGATGTACTGCCCTTCAGCATTTTGAACTTATAAAACCCTAATGTCTGTCATCTAGAAGCCTCAAAACTTGGAGGACAACTGTCAATTCAAAGCCATATATGAAGCCCATATTTCTACCAGTTCTTGTCCTAGAAGCACTGACTGGCTTCTATACTCTTGTCCCAGTTCTAAGACACCATGGTACTTTGCAACCAAGCCAGTGATACCTTGATATATATTTTGTGTGTGGTCCTGGAAGTGCTTGGTTGAGTCATGATTATTTGGACTTTGGCAGTTCATTTTCCTCAGGAATAAATGTTGCATCTCTGGAAACCCTGAACTAATAATGTTAAGCCAAATACTCCAAATTTCTTATCTTTTATAATAAAATTTCTTGTCTGTTCCTAAGGTATGTAAGTTCAGTCCCTTCAGTTTTTAGAAAACAGAAGCTAAGAAGGGCTAAAATACTTTCCCAAGGGTACACGGAAAGTAGGGCAGAATTTAAGTCCACTTCTTTTTGGACCCTTAATATAAGTGTGGTTAGACTGTCTAATGGACTGAAATAAATATGGCCCTGGAAAAATATACCCGAAAACCCTCTTCCACACTCTGACCTCATCTAGTTGAAACATTCCACAGTTGACCCCATGAACCCCAAACTCCAGCATCATAGTAGTGTTCAGGGAGATGAAGACCTTCCTGACAGAACCATGTGTTAGTTCAGGATCTCTAAGAAGGAAGGGTAACCCTAAGTCAAACCAATTAAAGTGACAGTTGACTTATTTCTCTGTATAGAAGAACCAATTCAGAAGACTTCTGTGCAGATATTATGCCACTGCTGACCTATATTTTAAAATATTTATGGGATTAAAATTTTCTCTGGTGTTGGGGATCAAATATGCTTTAACAGATCTTGGGCCTTTAAGACAGAGATATGTTGGTTTCTCCATAAAATCAGTTCGATAAGTCTGAGTTGTCTCCTTTACAGGCAGGAAGAAATGGCTTCCCTTGGAGCTATCCATGGAACTTATCTAAGGGACTCATGTTTTTAGCCTGCTTCTCCAGCTTAGGTCTGCCCTGCTTCCAAGTATTTCTAGCACACCAAGCTTCTTTGTGAGTCTTGCTATGACTAGTTTTTGAAATGGAACCTATGTTTTTCAAGCCCAGAGGCCTTACACTGCAGGTTAATATTTCCAGTCCTACCCTCTACCTATTCATCGCCTTCTTTGTGCTAGCCCCATCTTTGCCAGGAATCCGCCCACCTGCCCCTTGTCCAGGCATATTGCCCTGCCCAAGACAGAGACTGACTTAAAGAGTAACCAAGACTAACCTTAAAAGCAACCAGTAAGCATGATTTAAGGATGATTGGAAAACATTTCCTGCCCCCAAAGTATTCCTCCATTTTAGACTTGGAATGTGACAATCCTCCTATTTGGGAATGTAGCAACAAAGAACAATGTGACTGGATTTGCACAGGGCACCAGATTAAATATTTTATATACTTTGTCTAGTTGACATTCACAACATCTCTATGAGATAAAAATCATTATCCCCAGTTTACAGTTGAGGGAATCAAGGCCCAGAGAAATTAATAACATGTCTAATTTAACACAACTGGTATGTAGCAGAGGCAGTTTCACACTTCAGTCTAACTGGCTGTATACCCAGTGCTTTCTGCCTTGCAGAATAGAATCTGAAATAACCTCAAGCATCCTTAGATTCATTGTTGTTTACATGTAAGCAACATTTGGCATCTGGCCTTTAATATCTCTTTGCTTTAGGCACTTCATCATTTTTATGTCACATGCTCATTCACCCTTGACCAAGGCTAGGGAAGATATATGTTCTTTGCAAACTGACTGATTGAGTACAGGTGTAAAGCTATGTCATGAAAAACCTTTGACCCCTTTCTTTGTCCCAGGTAACAGGCAATTAAATCAGAGTAGTTTGCTTCAGGCCAGAAGATCATTGACCAGTACAAGGCATCTTTACTTTTTTTTTTAGCTTAGAGATACCATTAATGTCACAGAGCCCCGTAGCCAAAACGAAGGACAGTTTTGCAAATGATGGATTTAACCTTTGTCTTTTGGAAGCTAGATGTGATTATCTCCATCAGCTTTTGTTCACACTCTTATAGCTCATTTTCTAGTGTTTTAATCTTCAGTCGTTCTAATTTCAAAGTTCCAAGGCTCAGAGAACTAACTCACTCTGCATTAATAACTAACTTGGCCAGCCAACTAGTTAGATAATCGCTTCTTCTAAAGACCTGAATTTAATCACATATAAGATAATACGCATTGGCTCCTAGGATTAGAAAGAAAATAGACCTTTGGGGTGTCGGGCACTGTTTAGCCTACCACAGTCCATCTTCTGATTCCCAAAGATTCATGTTCATTCCACGTGCAAAACCCATTCACCACATTCCAGCATACCTCAAAATCTCAACCCATTACTGCATCAATTTAAAATTCATCCAAATCTCATCTAAATATCAGCACCTAAGAAGTCCAAGATGATTTAGAATTATCATCAAAATCATTGAAAATAAGGTATATTTGAGAGGCTGGGTACATTCCATCCTACGGCAGAATTCCTCTCCTTGTTTTTCCTCATAACAGGCTCTTTATCAAGACATCTTTCTTACATTCGGGGTTGATATTAAACTTGTGAGGCAAATCAAAGAACTTCCAAGGCCTCACAGGAATTTTTTATTTGGCTAGATTCAGTTTCGTTTTCTGCTTAATTGTATTACAAATGGATGAAAGTTAAACAGCTTGTCTTGAAAGTCAGCTAGAAGCTTTTGATACATTGGTGTCTGAATGAGAGTCCTTCATGTTGTCTGAATCAGTCACACTAGCTTCTTCTGGTTTTGAACCTTCTGCAATCTAGTCCTGGAGATTTGGCTATTTCTAGTACCTTTAATCGCAGTGTCTGCCATGTGACAAACACAATCTTCTGTATACACAATATTTTTCGTGTCAAAGCTGCACCAGGCCGGGTATGGTGGCTCATGCCTATAATCTCAACACTTTGGGAGGCCAAGGGGGAGCGGATCACCTGAGGTCAGGAGTTTGAGACCAGCCTGGCCAACATGGCGAAACCCAGCCTCTACTAAAAATACAAAAATTAGCCAGGCATGGTGGCACCACCTGTAATTTCAGCTACTCGGGAGGCTGAGGCAGGAGAATCATTTGAATCTGGGAGGTGAAGGTTGCAGTGAGGTGAGATCACGCCACTGCACTCCAGCCTGGGTGACAGCGTGAGACTCCATCAAAATAAATAAATAAGTAAAGCTGCACCAAAATGTATTTTAAGACAGATTGACAAATAAAATGACAATTAGAGGTACAAACAAGTGAAAATTAAATATATATGGCTATACCATTACAAATAACTGAGGTGAGACACAGATAAACAGAAACTTTTCTTTTATAGCTACATTTGCTCATGCAGGCAACCTTTTATGTCACGACTTTCTGATCTGCTTAGTAACTGTTGACTTGTTTGGGGGTTTGTTGTGAAATATTTCCCAGTTTCATGAATGTTAAAAAGCAAACCTTATGTATTGTAGACTTAAGATTATGTGGTATTTCCATATCATTAAATATCCTTTCATAGAGTCATTTTTAATGATTGCATATTGTTTAATTGTATACAGACAACCACTTTTTATTGAATATTTAGGTTTTTTTCAAAATTTCTCTAATTGGGGCTTGCAGTATATACCTTTGTACTGAAATGGAGTTCAGATGTTTTAACATTTATTCCAGAAAGTATCTTACTGTGAATTAAGAAGATACCCTGGATTAATACACAAATGGAAATGCTTTTTTTATCTCAGATTCTGACATGTTTTCTTCTTAGCCCTTATTTTAATGTATTGGTTGAATAAGTTGACTGTCTATCCCATTAAGTCATGATCACCTTACACATATACTTGTTTGTTATATGTGTTTCAGTACACTGGAAAGAAAGACTTCAGGAAGAAGGCTCAGCCCTGGTGAACTGTGAGGGAGGGAGTGGGGATGATGGGGAAAGTCCTGGACCATGAGTGAGTATCAGGGAAAGGCAGTCTTGCTCACTCACAGGGACACCTAAAAATCATTAAGGGGTAACTTGTTGAATGAGCAGGTGAGGACAGGTGCTAACAAGAATGATGGAGGATGGTGGAAGACAAACATTGTCTGCTTCTTAATTTACCCTAGGGATTCACCTGAATGGCACACTCATTACTATGCTTCCCCTGCCAAAGGGCAAGTACAAATAGTTAACACTAGGACGATGTCAAGGAATTAGAGAAGAGCTGTGGGGAAATGGAGGAGCACATAGGTCCCTGAAACACCAGCTCAGAGATTGAGTGTTCATAATTATGGAAAGGCGATAATAGCCTAGAATTATGTATAATGTCACACCTCACCAGGGCCTGCAGTGGGAACTTCTGCTGTGAGTAAAACTTGTCAATTCTGTGTATTTCTTCCTCTCTCTATTATGTAAGATTTTTATTTAAATCTTTAATAAAGTCTGGTTTCATTCTTCAACGTGTTTCCCTACCAAATTTTAATGATACATTTCTATCAATCATCACATCCATCCGTCCTTTCTAGTGCATTCCCAACAGTCTCCTGTTTCCTACCCACTGTCTGTATGCTTAGACTCAAAATAGATTCAAGCAGAACCAAAAGTCATGTGAAGAAGTGAAGTGGCCAAAATCCCTTTGATAAAAGCATGAAAAGAGCTAAGGGGCATCCTGTTGACCTGCCAAGCTGCAGGTGGTGGCCAAGCCCACCACAGGTCTTCCTCCTCCAATTAGACCCATTTCTCCTTCATAGGGGGAATTCCAGGGGGTGTGAGTTTGTGTGTGTAGTATGTGAGCCATCTTGGCTTATAGCTGACCTGCAGTGCCCAGAAGGGTGCACCACAAGCATTGTTCCAGCTCCAAAAGAAAGAAAGGAGTCCATTGTCTCTTTATGACAGCCAAAAATAGAACTGCCCTTTTAAATACTGCACAACATTGTAAATGGTCCAATCTATTTTCTGGCTTACTATATCCGCCGGGGCGCTCATCCACAATGTTGCTCTCTAGGCTTCTCTCAATCTGTTTGAGTCCTTTCCACACATACAGCAAGCTACATTTTTTTTCAAGGTTGAATGGCATTTCATTTTTTTGTTTGTTTTAAACTAAATTTAGCATAGTGTGTCTCAATTCTTAATGGTGTCTGCAACAACTCCCAAATTAGAAAGCTCTTCAAACTTCACTAGCAAAGTGTTGTTTTCTTGCTTTTTTCAAACCTTCTCACGGTGCTAACATAATACCTAATATTTGTCTAGTACTTTACAGTTTACAAAATACTTTCAAACCCATTATCTCCTGAGAGGTAGTATTATTATCAGGAACTCTCTTTACCAAGGCAGAGACAGGCTCAAAGATATTAATTTGTTTGTCAAAAGCTACACAGCTACTAACAAAGTTGAGACTGAAACTGGTTTTCTGGCTCCAGACCCCGTGTCCTTTATACCACTCAGAGCTGGCGCCCTTCTTTACTAATTCCTGTTTATGTATTTCCACACAAGCAGTTACCAATGGCAAATATTATTATTATTTAGCAGGAAACTGAATAAAATTCAATAACTTGAATAAATGTCTAGAAAGATGCTCTGACCATAGATTTTGGTCAGAAATATTTTCTTATGTCTCTGCCAACATGAAAACAAGACACAAAATCAGTGGCAGGTACTTTTAAAGATATTTATAATTGTCATTTATTGAGTACTTACAATGTGCCATACTCCATACGAATTTCCTTCCAAATACTATCTCAGTTAATTCAAAGAATAAACCTATGAAGAAAGTACTAGTATCCTCCTCAGTTTGTAGATGAGGAAACTGAGTTGTAAGAGATCATGTAAGCCCCTCAAGCTAGTAAGTGGTGCAGTAGGGACTTGAACCCAGGAAACATGGCTCCAGCGAGCATACTCCTAACCACTAAACCATAAGGATTTAGAGTTCTGGTTCTGTAACCAGCCTTAAGGTAAAATTTCAGCTGCACACTGACTAGCTGAAATTTGGGCAAATATTTAATCTCTCTGGAGATCAATTTTTCATCTGTGAAATGATTAAATAAGTGAACAAAAATTGGCACCTAGCTAGTCATCAGTAAATGTTAGCTTGTAGTCTACTGATGCTACACATTCTTCATTTATTTCTTTATTCCTCAACTAGGTATTGAGCCCTTCCTTGCTGTGTGTGCCAGATGATATTTCTCTGCACACTTAGTTTTAAAAGGTTTCATATTTTGTGTACCCCCAGGATCATCAGCGCCCAAAGCTAACCAGGCACTTTTCCTTCTTTCCTGTGTTTGAACACCATATGGAATCAGGATTAGTCACTTTGAGCCTTGTGTGAGTTGCTGTTGTTTCAAATGAGTTTGCAACTGCAGCATCTTTTGTTTTGTTACAGTACTACCAGTCTATCTTTTCCCAATATCTTTTTCTTCAAAATGCTGGAATTCATTTGATTATTTTCTAGGGCTATTTGAGCACACCCTCTGTGTGAATGAAGGAAACCAGGTTTTACTGCAGGCATCTCCCATTTACATGGCATAATTTAAAATTAAAGGCTTCCATTGCAAGGCAGCCTCTGTTTCCTGTTCCACCGTCTTTTCTGCTGATAGGTTGGATCATGGACTGTCCTCTCAAAGTCAGAGCAGTGGTGCTTGATGGCTCTGTACACTTAAGGAGATTTGTTTCCAGACCCCTCTTTCCCCAACTATTAATTGTCTTTTCCAAGATACTGTTTTTCCCATTCCTCAACCCTTAGAACTTATTCTACAGACTTTCACTTTGCTTTTGACTTATGACGATTTGGTGAAACACTTTTGTTAAGCCAGGCTGTACTCACTTGGAAGGGCAGTTTTTTATACACAGTATTACAACCTATATAATACATTTCTATGTGAATATGGCCAAGAAGAAGTACTCTAAGCTCAATGTCAAACCTGATGCCATTGTGATAAAACAAATACACAATGCCTTTAATTGCAACAGACGTTTTATGATCTCAATATTTCTGTAAACTCAGTCCACACAGCCAGTGTAGCCAAAATTAGAATACATTAAGAGGCATAAAATTGTAAATTGGACATGTGGATAAGCTTTATTGATATTGTAAAATATTATGGTAAGACTTTCTGTCGAGTCTCCTCATTTTTGGCACCACATTAAAAAACAGAGTTGTGAGTAGTACTGACGTAATTAGAAGTTGAACCTGTTTGGATTCACAGTGGTCACTCCAGACAATTACATTTTTAAACCTTCAGCAGATGGCCAGAATTAAGTCCTGGTGAGCCTTTTCCACAGCACCGGAGCCAACATGCAGTGGATATGCCACTGGCACAGATTTAACTTCACCTGGAAATAAGCTAGTGGGACGGAAACTGCTGCAGAACAACCGCTTCCATTGTGAGTTCCCACTCTCTCAGCATGGAACCAAAACAATGGCTGATTGCAAGGGAAACCAATAATTGAATAAGGTTGGGGAGGGAGTAGAAAAGGGAAGTAAATGTTTCCTCTGAATTGATTATTTGTGTAAGCAAAGTAAAATGTTCTTTAATGAAAGGTATTTCTCTTATACATGTAGTAGTGGCATTCTGGTAACATAACAATAATCTATCAGGACCCTACATTGAAGATAATTAAATGGAAGGAAAAAGAAGAGCAAAGAATATTCTTTTGATGACTTAGGAAGATTATGCTTTGTTAACAGCCAGCACTTTGAGTGTTTACAGTATGTCAGGGATGGTGCAAACTCTTTAGATATGTTGCCTTGTTAATCTTCACAATATCCTATGAGACAGATACTGTTTTTATTTCCATTTTACGCTGAAAGAAATAAGGCAAAAGGTTACACAGCTGGTAAGTGGCAGCTGGACTGTAAAGCATCTACTAAATCTAACCATCGGGGGTTTATCTGTGACCCCTGTGAGGGCAGTTTTAGGAGCATTGTTTGTTGGGAGCGGGAGGAGAATCTGATCTTCTTACTAGCAGGATGTCTAGAGGCAGGGACATGAGGGGAACTTATGGATACCTTAACATTCTCTGACATGGATGACACCCTGGATAACTTCTCATCGGGCTGTTTAGTTCCAGTGCACTCTTAACCATTATGATACCTACCTTGTGATGCCTTATTTGTTTAAATCAAGCTTGTCCAACCCATGGCCCGCAGGCCTCATGCAGGTCAGGACAGCTTTGAATGCGGCCCAACACAAATTCTTAATCTTTCTTAAAACATTATGAGTTTTATTGAGATTTTTTTTTTTTAGCTCATCAGCTGTCTTTAGTGTATTTTATGTGTGGCCCAAGACAATTCTTCTTCTTCCAGGGTGGCCCAGGGAAGCCAAAAGATTGGACAGCCCTGAATAGTTTCTCACTTTCTAAAACAAGTTTCTCAATTTCTAAAACAAATTGCCTACAATTTGATTGCCTCAACAATCCTGTAAAACACATAGCTCTATTTTACAGAGCTAGCAGCAGAGGCACAGAGAGGCTCCGAATGACTTGCCAAGAATGGAAGGCTAGTTGCTGATGAAGTCAGTATGAGATCTCCGTAACAGTGTTCTACTATTAAACGACCCATGGAACTTAACATTCTTCAAAGCCATTTGCCTTTGGCTCAGGTTTCCACAGATGAGGCTAACAGGAATGCTTCACTGTGTCTCTGATGGTCTTAAGGAGATGTTGTGTGGCAACTGACAGGATCCATGACACACTGTCCTCCTCCAATAACATGGTGATGTTATGACCAAATTCACTTGAAAGTACCAAGCATGTTGCCATTTCCTGGTTTAATCTAACTGCGGCTCAGCTTTCAAGGCCAGGAAAGTAAGAAGCAGACAGTTTAAGTTCAAGGTCATAGAGTGAGTCAGAGAGAAGATCCCAGGCTGCTCAGTTCCAAAACAACATGTCACTTTCCCTGTGCACAGGCAGGACATGGAATTAACGGGTTTATTGACATCCAAGAGTCATATTTACAGGTCTATAAAAAATATTGGTTGCTATAAAAATTCAGTAACATAAGTCCAGGGAATGTTCTGCAGAAGAAACTCCCTATGATACTTTCAGAGTGAATCAGTGAGGAAGTAAATGTATATTGGTCTAGTCACTATTCACCCAAGCCAGGATGTACAGGGGAAAAAAAAAAGTAGAAGTAGTCTTTGATCTCATTTCCCCCCAGTTTACAAGTTTGTTTGTTTGTGGCTGCCACTGTAACACCAAGTTAAATCAATTTCCAGGCCACTTTTGCTGTAAGGCAATAGCAACTTTTCAGTTTCTGTGGACGTGGTCTGAGTGTGTGGGAACACAGAGATTACTCAGAGAGCCAAAAATGAATGACAAGAATGAGACCCCCGTGCACCATGTGAGTCCTTGGCCATGAAATCAATGCCATGATCCGTTTGCTCCTGAGGACACCAAAAGATGTGCAGGTAGTCCCAACAGCCTTGGCAGTCACTTTTTTAAAGTTCTCAAATATGGATTTCAGAGGACAGAGAATAAATTATGAAAGTTTCTCTTGTAAAATTTCCTTCTAACAATCTGATTCCCCAAGTATCGTTCCTGGACTGCTTTTCTATTAAATTAAGTTGATAATGTAAAGGGGAGACTGAGAGACATGTTCCAAGTATGTTGACTTCTGTTCATCATATTTTCTCTGCATCTTTTATCTTCCAATTTTTCTCTTTTATATCTTTTTCCATCCATCTTTCTTTGCTTGATTTCCAACTATTTTCAAATACCTTATTCATAAGTCCCATTTTTCTGCCCCCTCCTCATTTTAAATATGTTCAGTCTTTTATTTCTCTTCCCTTTCTGCTTATGCTGCCATCATTTTCTCACTCTCTGTTCAAGTAACTGGATTTGCACATGGTTTTATATTTTAAACAATCACTCCAACAATATTTCAGCTGTCTCTGGGGGAAAAGGAATACAATCGTAAATATAAATCAGCTGGAGCCAAGTGAAAGCAGGCTTAAGCGAAGCATTAAATCCCCCCTTCCAATTTCCAAAACCACACAGAGAAATAGCTTAGGTCAGCTACAGTGAATATGGCAAAAGTGAAAAATGATAGTGCAAAGAGCCCCTGGTTATATCAAATTCTGCTTTTTTGTTACTTTGGACTTGCCAATAAATTCTGGGGGCCATTCTTTTATTAATATATTTCCTAGATCTCTACTAACTCCAGCATTTGGCAGATGAAATTTCACTAGACTGTTTAGAGACCTCCTGCTTCTACAGCAGCTAAACATCTCAATGGGCCAACCACAGGGGGAGAGCAATAAGTGTGAGAATTCCAATCTATTTCTCCCTGTGCTTTGCTGTCTTAGCAGGAACTGCTTATGTTTGATAATGTGTAGAATAATATTTGAGAAACATCTTCACTGGCTCAAAGCTAGTTGCCTAAAAATAGGGAAACAAATATATCTCTTCTGCATATATTCCTACAGATATAGATATATATAGATATAGATTTGTATCAGTAAAGAATACAAGAGGGGTGGAGGACAGGAAGGAAATGAAATAATGCATAATGATTCATTGAACCTCTACTCTGTCCCAAGTGCCCTAGATACATTATCTCATTTAATCTCACAATTATCCAGTGAAGAATATATTAAAATAAACATTTTTAAAAGATAGAAAAATAGAGGAGCAAGGTGATTGAGTAACTTGCCAATGGTCACCTAGTAAGTGGTAGAGTTATCTATGAATGAATCCACATGATGAAGAAGGAGAAGGAAGAGGAAGAGAAGAGAAGGATGAGGAGGAGGAAGAATGTTTATCAAGCCAGACCCTATACTAACTAGCATTTCATATAAATTATCACATTTGCAGAAATTCTCTGAAGCAAACAATATTGATACCTCTGTTTTATTGATGAAAGACCAAAGCGTAGCATAGGTACAATAATTTGTTCAAGTCACAGAGCTAGTGGGTAGAAATTTCAGGATCTGAACCACAGTGAACCACTTCAGATTCCACAGCGTCAATCCCAAATCCATGTTTTTTCACTATATAACCATGTCTCTTGAGATATTCAAAATGGAAATCCAACATCAAAATTATATTTTAGTGCCACATTTAAGAAAAATGACATGTCTGTAATGATATTATAATAGAAATCCTATTTCATTCAAAAATAGCATTTCAGTGTAGCCCAAATACTGAAAGGCTATGTCAAAAGATAATTCAGCATGTCTGGGAAGTATTCATCAACTTCTTTTCATCACTATAGAACATGTAGGACTCCTTCAGAATGCCTTAGGGGTTCAAGGCAGTGGTGGATGGGGGAGAAGAGAGCAGTCTTAAAATGGCAAGCTCAGCATATCCAGTAACTCTATCCCTCATGCAGAATTAGATTGCTATTGAACTGTACTAATACATTCAAAAGGTTGCAAAAATTCAGCTAGAATAGATTTCAGATGTTAGGACTCCCAGTAGAATTAAACCAATGAGGCTGGATGCAGTGGCTCACGCCTGGACTCCCAGCACTTTGGGAGGCTGAGGCGGGTAGATCACTTGAGGTCAGGAGTTTGAGACCAACCTGGCCAACATGGCGAAACCCTGTTTCTACTAAAAAAAAGAAAGAAAAATATGTATATGTATATACACATGAAAAAGTAGCCGGGTGTGGTGGTGCATGCCTGTAATTCCAGCTACTCGGGAGGCTGAGGCATGAGAATCACTTGAACCTGGGAGGCGGAGGTTGCAGTGAGCCCAATTTGCCACTGCATTCCAGCCAGGGTGATGGAGTGAGACTCTGTCCCCCCCTTCCCCCCCAAAAAAAGAATTAAACCAATGAATTCATTCTGATAAATCCCTCTTACAGCATTAAAGCAATTAATGATGTCAGTATTTCCTTTGTTAAAAGTAGGCTTTCAAGCAATGCAGATTTTAAAATCTATTTTTTTCCAATAATTACCTTTCCATTTAATTGTTTAGATCTCCTTGTCTTTCACAAAAATAATTTTGAGGAGGTGAAAAGAGTATGGCCTTACAGGAGCTTACATTCATTGAATATTCGCCAGGCATCATGCTAAGTACTTTGCTTGCAGTTAAGTTTTGTGAAGTGGGTACTTTTTAATCTCTATTAACTGGATGAGGAAACTGGTTTAATGACATTAGTTAATTTTCCTTTATCACATAACTAAAAAGAGCTTGACTTCAAATCCAGGTGTTTCTGACTACAAAGCCTGAGCTCTTAATCAGCATTCATTGAAGTCATAGCTGATCAAATAATTATATTCAAAAGCTGTGATTTAACACATCATTTCCAGCATGGAAGGGCTGTGTATTGTTTTCAGTTCTGGATCTTGCTGTCTAAAAGTAGTACAGATAAATTGAAGTGTGCTCAGAAAAGAGCAACTTAAATGGTGAAGGGCCCACAACCACTTCAGTTGAAGAGGAGTCTTAGGGGCCAGCAACATTTTGCTTGAAGAAGAGAAAAATCAATATGGTCCTGTCTTCAGACATTTGGAGAACTGCCCTGAAGGAGGTGAAATGAGCCTGTCAATGGAGGGAACTGTAAGAGACCATCTCCAAGGTTCTTTGGCAATCTGTGATTCTCTGTTGTATTTCCTCATGAATCCAAGGAGTAGAGTCAGTGGAAGCTACATGTTAGCTGAGCATGAGAAAGAATTTTCTGCTAGAGTAAGCTGATGATGGCAGTTGTGCCTCAGACTTAACCCATCAGTGGAGTTTCTAGCATAGGCCAGAAAAACACTTGGTGGGAATTTTGGGAAGGAAATTTAAATATAGAATGATTGATTAAACTAGATGCCTTTCCCGGACCTGAGAGCCGTAAACTGACAAATAAATGCTCCATGATGACAAACCCCAAGACTATCTGCTGAAGTTCCTCAGAGCCTGAGATTTATGTTTCTTTTGCTCTTCCAGAGAAGCCTCTCATTGAAAGGGAAGATTAGAGAAAAGAACTTACAATGACAGTAGTGCAAGCTCTCAGATCTTACACTTGAGTTCTAAAATGACAGACAAGGTTGTAAGAAAATCCATGCAAGAACTGATGAGATAACTCCTAAGAAAATGTTTCGAGAAGCACAAAACACCATTGAAATTATAGGGAATAAAAGTAATATTAGCAAGTTAGGGAGGCAACAGTCCTCATTGTTAGGGAATCTTTCTTGGTTAAATGTCATTGTGCATCTATATATGGAGTGGGCCAAGGAGTGGAAAATTCAAATTAAATGAAAGATCAAAATCATTTTTAAAGTGTAGTAAAATCAGTCAGTATTGGACAGAATGGCAGTGACAGGACCCACTCAGAAAATACCGTGAAGGTGGAATCAGTTTCATCTTTAGTTTTTATCAAATGATATTTTTTCTAAAGACAAGCACAAACAGTTGTTAGAAGTCACCACAATGGAGTTCTTATGTTTTTTCCTCTTTCAATCTCAAATACTACTAGTATCTTCTGTGTGAAACATGAATATGGATACACAAACAAACAAAAAAATACCATAAGATCCCTGTCAGAGAGACAGGGTTACAATTCAAAACTGAAAAGAGAGATTTCAGATTTCAAGTAATGCCTCAAGATTCTTAGCCTTTTAGAATAACTAGAAGTTTCAGAGAAAAGTCAAACTCTCCCTTCTGATGTTCATGTTCTTTGTATACTTTTGTGGGACCAACTCTTACTACATTTGAAACCAAAAAATAGTTGCACGTTGAACTTCATGTATCCTGGATATATTCCATTTTCTGACATACATTATCTTTCCAGGTTTCCCTTGACAGCACTTAGATTGAAATGTACAGCTATTAAGACAGTATTATAAACAGTCATTCCTTTATGATTGGACATGAAATATTCTGTCTCCCTATGCTACACCTACCCTACATTTCAGTTTTATGGTGGTCAATTCCAGTACATATTCCATTCCCTCTGCCCCTCTGCTCTAGATTGGATTGATATTCTTTCAGCTGCCTTAGCTATAAGAATTGGAATTGTGTAATGAAAAATAAATTGGCTATCATTCTAAGGTGCACCCTGTTGAATGGGGAGATTTTTAAATTAAATTGTTGTTTCTAACTTTTTTCCAAACACCTGTAATTTCTGAATTTAAGACTCACATGTAGCTCTGCTCTAACTTTCAGGATAGCTTGGTGAAGTGATGAAAAGTTTAAATAATCCCTCAGATGAAAGCCCAGAAACCTATTCATAAGACGTAACAGCTTCCTTGGTCCAAGGAAAGAAAGCAGAGGGGAGGGTGGATAGAAATGGGAATTAGGAAATATTTGTTCATAGTGCCAAGGTCAAAGATTCTTCCTGAAGACTGCTGTTGGAAGGACCATGGTCCAAATGGTTTTATTTCTCATATTTAGAAAAGCATGAGAAAGTGACTTGTGCTGCCTTCAATCACATATTTTTGGGTATTTAGCATTAGCATTTTTCTTTCTTCTTTCTGATTCTAGCCTATTTTATTTTCTCCATAGTGCTTTTCTCTACCTAACGTATTATGTATTTATTGTTTATCAGCTTTCATATCACTGGACTGTAAGTTCCCCATCATTCCAAAGATTAACCCATAGAAGTTCAATAAATATTTGTGAAATTAAGGAATGAATGAATGAATAGTGAGACAACCTTTTAAAATATAATCCACATTTCTTTAAAAGCAGTTCTAGGCCAGGCACAGGGACTCACAGCTGTAATCCCAACACTTTGGGAGGCCAATGCAGAAGGATTGCTTGAGCCCAGGAGTTTGAGACCACTCTGGGCAACACAGTAAGAAGTTGTCTCTACAAAAAAACAAACAAAAAAAAAAAAATCTAGGCGTGGTGGTGCATGCCTGTAGACTCAGCTATTTGGGAGGCTGAGGTGGGATGATCACTTGAGCCCAGGAGTTCAAGGCTGCAGTGAGCCATGATTGCACTGCCATACTCCAGCCTGGGCAACAGAGTGGGACTCTGTCTCTAAATAAATAAATAAATAAATAAATAAATAAATAAATAAATAGAAAAGAAATTCTACTAGAGAAGCTTATAAAGCAAAATGTTTGGTGCTGCTCAGATTAGGATAAATGGAACACATTTAATAGGTTCTCTGAGGGGTCTACTTTTTTACAACAGTGAAGGTAGATGGTACCTACCATCTCTAATTTCATGCCAGAAAATGAAGCATATATTTTAATTTGTAAATACAGAATTTTCAGAGTTCTTTGGCCTATTTCTCTCCAGGAATGTTGGTACATGCTGTTCCTGAACATCAGTGAAACCACCTTTAATGAGATGTCTTTGGCCCAGCTGGCATTCCTGACTTGGATCCAAAATGATATTGAAAAAAGTCTTTTGTGGACTTTATTTTAATCAAATAAATGTGGCAAATAAAACAATATTGTTATAGGATGATAATAAATAACTATATTATTTTGCAGATACTTGGCAAATGCATTATAGGAATGGCCCACATAGTAAATTATAATAAAAAGAGTATAAAATAGAAATATATTTCCTGGCCACCCCTCTAAATGGTAGTAAGAAGCAGATGAAATTCATCTTTGTGCAAATACTCTGAAAAGTAAAATATTACTAATTTAAATAAGTAATAAAAAATTTCTAGGAATAGTTCATGTACATTGTGTCATATTTAGATTTTGTTCAATATATCATCATAAGCTCTATCCTAAGTCAAAACTTGCCTTCAGACCCCACTATACAACCAACCACACTTTAGTCTTTTGGCAGGCACTGTGGTAACTTCTCAATTTCTGGGCCCACTTCAGCTGGTAAATAAGCCAGTTCCTTTCCATCTCTGGGAGGAGCTCCCTCCTTCCCTGGCACTAGGTGTCATTGATTCAGGGGTAAGCACAGGACTCAAGCCAAGACAATGAGAATAGAGAACAGAAATTGGAAAAGTAGCTTCCTTGCTTTTCTGAGAATGCTTCTGGAATCACTTTTCTTTGTCTCTCTCTGTCATGGACAAGGACTTCTGTAGCCTCTGGTGTTGTTGGCAGCCAGTTTGTATCTATATAGGCCAGATGACACCCCAGAATGTAGGATGGTGAGGCAAAAAAAAGTGGGCATTTGATGACTTTGTTAGTCATTGAACCAAGACTCTCATGAGTCAGTATATCCACTTTATTGTAAATATCAATGTAAATTGGGTGTTTGGTTACTTATCACTGAGCACATTCTAACAAATGAAATTCCTTTCTTCAAAAAACATCTACTAAGTGCTAAACTTTGGTATACAAAGATAGTTAAAACATCTTCCATGCCCTCAGAGAAGTTACAGTCTGGTAGGAAAAGCCAACAAGAAAATACCAAGGTGGGGTGGATATAGCCAGAGTGGTCCATCACAGGTGTAGGAGATAAGGGGGTGCATTGTTTCCAAATTATTTAGAATATAATAATAATAGAGATTTGAAATTTGCATACTTTTTATTATCACCATGCATGCCAATTCTAAACAATGCCAGTGATAAAAATACTCCTCCCTGCCAGGGTGGACCATGCCACTCCCTTCAGGTCCCCAGCCCTTGTAACCACAATGGTTGTTAAATAACTATCTATAAATCACACTAAACATCTTTGACCTTGAAGTTCACCTTTAGGGAGAAATAAACTCCCTAAAGTATGCTGTTCTTTGATCATACTGGGAACCAAAATCTTGACTACAATAATGGAGTTGAGCTATCTAGATTTTATAATGTTGGCAACAGAGAGTATATAATTCAGTGCTATGTGAAGGCAACTTCATAACTTACTGAGAGTATATGAAGATACATAAGAGGATAAGGAATATAATATACCACAAGGTATTAATACTGTAAAGTGGGAGTTGATATGAACTTTCAATTTGCCCTTACTGAGAAACTGATGACACCTCTCAGTCAGGTGTGCATAACAGACTCTAACGACTCCAAATGACTCTAGAAGTTTCTACTAAAGTAATTTAATTTACTGATGCTCTTCTGTGCATCTACCTTTCCAGGTGTAATTGAGGAGTCCTTACCGGAAGGTCACTTTACTATATCAGTGTTTTTCACTCTCGGTTTTTGATGAAATACTTGCTTTAAGATTGCTTTAAGTGTAGTCTTTATCCATTGTAGTATGAGAGACAGTTGCTTCACCATTATTGTTTGCTTGGCTGTTTCCTGCCTGATGGATGCAGAGTACACTGCAGTGTAGGGACAGGTAATGTGTAGTGGGAGTTCTGAAGCTGGTGAAGTCAGTCCTCACTGGGCAAAAGAGCATATCTGGTTCCTGAGAGATGAGAAATATTTGTGTAGAAAATCTTTAAGAAAGGGAAGGCATTGAAAGCTTAGGAAACAGTTTAAGAAAAAAACACAAGAGCATAAAAAATGTGTATTCAGTAAAGACAGTAAAAAAGCAAGTCCAAAATATGGGTGTGTAGCGGCATATGGTGGGGTAAAGAAATCTGTTCTATCACAGCAGAAAGATGACTACGTAGCAGAAAGAAGTTGCATCTAGAACTTCATGCTAACCACTTAGGACCTTATTTGTTAAATAATAAGAACCCATTTTTTTTAAGTATGAGCACAGAAATGATGTAATTCTGTTTTTCAGATTTTTATTATATAGTATTTGAACATTCAGAAATCTATTTCAAATATGTCATGAATAATATGATTAGTATCCATGAAATTGTTGCCCAACTTAAAGAACTAAAATAATTCTAATACCATTGTGCCTTTCTTCTGGTTCTCCTCTAATCTGCTCTTTACTTCCTGCTCAAAGTAACCTACTATAATGAATTTTGTTTTATCATTTATTTGCTATTTATAAAGAAAAAAATGTGTCACATGTATATCATAAACAATATGCATATTGCTTGGTTTTCCTTGGTTTTACACTTCATAAAAACCATATCATACTACATATAGCCTTCATGATGTACTTTTTCTATGAATATTATTTTTAAGGAGCATCCATATATAATTGTTACTGTAGCTATAGTTCACTCATTTTTTTCAATGTCTAACATGCCAATGTGAATATATCACATTTATTTACCCAAACTCCTACTAATAGATTTTTTCCTTTTTTGTTATAACAAGCAATATATCCTGGCATGCATGAACAAAAGTTTCTCGAGTATGTACCTAGGAGAAGAATTGCTGGGAGTTAAGTTTATAAAGGTTCTATTTTACAAAATAGTAACCAATTTTTTTCTAAAGAGGTTAAACCAATTTAAACCCCCATCAGCATTGAGCCTCAAGAACAGCAGTATTTTGTATAGTCAGACTTCTTGTCTTTTTGCTAAATAAGAAAACAATAGAATATTTATCATTGTAGTATTAATTTCTATATCTCCAATTACTAATGAAATTTTAAAAATATATTTGTGTGCTATTATTTCTTTTCTTGTAAGATATGTCTGTTTTTATCTTTTGCCCATTTTTCCATTGAAATGTTTTTGTAGTTATAGAACTATTTCACTTTTCTATATTTTAAATCGGTTTTGGTAATAATATGTTTCTCTTTATTTTGTCTAAATCTCTGATATATTGGTAGTTTATGTTCTCATTTATATCCCAAGTATTTTCTATTTGTGTCTTCTCTCTTTTTCTGTTAATCAATCTGGGCACCATCTTATCTATTTAAACAGTTTTTACAAAGAAACAACTTTGGCTGTGTTGACCATCTATTTTAATCTGTTTCTTATTCCAGTGGTTTTTTTGAAAAACTCATCTTTATTACCTCTGTTATTCTGCTTTAGTGGGACTTCTTCTGTTTTTCTAACTTCCTAATTTGATGGCTTAGCTACAAACATTTAAGACTGCAAAATTTTATTGAGTATTATTTCAATATAACATTATTGTTCAGCTGAAATATTTTTAATTTCCACTAAAAAGGTTTTGATTTATGAGTTATTCAACACTATATGTGTGCCTAATTTCCAATTATGGGGGGATTTTTAAATTAATCCTTTAATTATTAACTTCTAATTTATTTGAATTGCAGTCAGAGAAAATGGCCTATGAGTACCAATGGCTTACTATGTGAATAATTTTTTAAATGCCTCATGTTTCTTGATAAGAATGCAATATCACTAGTTGTGTGCAGGAGTCAATAAATCAAGCTGGTTAATGGTATTGATCAAATCTTTCATATATTCATCATTTTTATCTGCTTCATCTATTAATTGAAAGGGTTGTATTTGGAATCTTTCATTATAATAAGAGATTTCTATTTGTAGTGCTAGCAATTTTAAAATATATTTTCATGTTATTTTATTAGATTAATGTAAGTTTGCAACTATTATTATAGATCTCTCATGAATTAAACCTTTTTATTAGTTTGTAGTGTCCATTCCTATTCTCAAAGGCTTTTTGTCTTTAAGAATACTTTTTATTCCTCAGCTTTTCCTTGGTTAATATTTACCTGTTAAACCTTGTCTATCCTTTTATTTTTAATTTTCTGTTTTCTTATAGGCCTATCTCTTTTTCTTTTTTTTTTCTGAGACAGAGTTACACTCTTGTTGCCCAGGCTGGAGTGCAGTGGCATGATCACGGCTCACTGCAACCTCCACCTCCCGAGTTCAAGCGATTCTCCTGCATCAGCCTCCCAGGTGGCTGGGATTACAGGCACTGACCACCACGCCCGGCTAATTTTGTATTTTTAGTAGAACAGGGTTTCTCCATGTTGGTGAGGCTGGTCTTGAACTCCTGACCTCGTGATCCGCCTGCCTCGGCCTCCCAAAGTGCTGGGATTACAGGCGTGAACCACCACACCCGGCCAGACATACCATTTATACACAGTAAATGTCTTGTTTTGTTTTTATATTCAATCAAATAATCTCTGATTTTTTTATTGGCAATTTAAGATCATTTACATTTATTTTAATTGCTAATATACTTGGACTTATTTGTGTAATTTTGCTTTATAATTTCTCTGCCTCTTTTTTTTTCTCTTTTTGTCCCTTTACATTTTGAATTAATGAAAACTATTTTTTGTCTTATTCCATTGTTTTCTATCAACTGGTGTGGAAGTTATCTTTATGAATTTGGTGGTTGCCCTAGAAGTTTTAATATGCATATTTAATAAAGTCTGATATTCCTCAATATATTAATTCTATTCTAAAACCATACAAAACCTTGAAACATGTAATGTAGATTGTTGCTCACCCCCTCTCCTAACATTTACATTATTCTCTATTTGTTTTAATTCCCTAAACTAGACACGATTATGGTTATCTATGTAGACACTGTTTATTATGATTTGTTTATTAAACAGTTTCTTCTCACTGTTGCTTCTTGCCTTTCATACTATTCTTTTGAGATCATTTTCCTTCTATGAAGTATATAACTTCAGTATTTCCATAGTGATTGCCTATTAGAAACTCCATTTTGTTGTTTGCTTATTTTTAATGTAAATGCCTCTATTTTATCCTCATTCTTAAAAGATGGCTTTGATATTTATGTTTAAAACTATTTTTTTCTCAGCAATTTGAAGATATTCTATTGGCTTATGATTCCCTTGTTGTTGAGAATCTTACTATCATATTTTCATCCTTTTTAGCTGTTCGGTTTTTTTCTCTCTGTTATGTTGAAAACCATCTATTTATCTTGGTGTTCTGCAGTTTTACTGGATATGTGTAGCTGTAGAATTCTGAAAATTTATTCTACTGACGTATAGTGTGGTTCCATTATCTATCTGTGGATGCATGTTTTTCATCAGTTCTGGAAATTTTTCAATTAATTATTGAACTTAAATATCATATCTCCTCTGTTATCTCTAGTCTGTCTTACTGGCACTTGAATTGTATATTTATGATTAATATCCTCATATTATTCTTCATATCTCTTAACTCTCTCTAATAATTCTCATTTTCTTATGTCTACATAATGGTATCAGATCTAAGTCTTCACCTTTGTCTAATCTCCTGAGTCAGATGAATTGTTGTGGTTAGAAAAGGAGAAGTAAGGGATGATTTAGAAAGTGGTAAAGTCATTTCAAAGGTAAAGGAGACAAATTAATTCCTCTATTAGATAACTTACATTAAAACTGTTATTATTATTGTTCTGTTGGTTGTGAAATATCTATAAAATTCATGCTGTGCAACTGATTTGTTCACTTAAAAGAAATTTAAGTGCCCTTCCAAGTCTTATATGAGGACATTATTTTTTCTTTTTAAAAGACAAATAAAATGAGATCTTTATTAAGTTTCAAAGTTTAGTTAAGAGACTTGAAAGTTAATGCAGTAACATGCATTTGCAATCTTACTGCATTGATTTGTTTGACATAGAATCATCTTCCAAGCCCTCTCAAGCCTTTTTTCTCACATCTGTGACAGGGCATGCATGACCTAACCAAAGATCAGCATCATGTTGTGTGAGCATGTGATTTGTTGTTTTCTAAAAAAGTCATAAGTTCAACAAATACAGCTGAATTCTTTTGCTGTTGAACAAATTTATTTTATTGACTTGCTTCAGAAATATGTGACAATGGAGCCGCTGTCCCACTCTTCTTAGCAATGACAAATTGGTCATACACTTCAATTAATAATATCTGGTAAATAGCTCTGAGGCACTTGTTTGTAAAAATTAGTATTCCATGTTATACACTAATTAAAAATACAGAGCTGCCATTATGAAATGTGTTTTTAAAGCTCAACATATTATGTGTAATAGCCCTTAAGTTTGCTATGTCTTTGCAGTCTGCCTTTCCCACAGATTGTGAATCAATCTGTTTTTTCATTTTATAGAAAAATTGGGTTAGTACATATAATTTGATCTCACAGAGGTGTTGAAAGTGCATGCATTCTATGTATCTAATAATATATTGTGATAACATTCAGATTAAAGAGATAATTCTTTTGTGCCCTATGTTGCTGCCCTTTTTCGCTCCCTTTCTGCTTTTCTTTCTTCCCCTTCCCCATATCGTACCTCCAACCCACTAAATTCCGATGATTTAAAGCATTGTGTCGACATTTTTCCCTTTTATAATGAGTTCAGCTTTTGCCACTGTCAGTGTTTGGGGCTTATATGTAAAATGACTTGATTATTCATGGTGATAAAGGGGGAGAGCATTGTGGGAAGGAGAGTCTCCGGTACTCTTAGAGCAGGCAGCCAAGATGTTGGGGTTGGAAGGCTGTCTGACCCTTGATGCCACCTTTGAAGACTTAAAATTCTACCAATCACAATTTATTCCTTTGGATTAGGGCATTGCCCCTTATCAAAATGCAAATCCCTCAGGGCCAGAAAATGCCTAAGCTGCTATCATTCATTAACATCATACAACTAATTCATGTATTGGAATCATTCCAGCAGAATTAGGCTGACAGCAATTTTTAAGAAAAATTAGACAGATACAGCTTGAAAGAGATTCAGAACTAGATGAGGTCACTAAACATCCAGAGAGCAGTAGAAGGCCATTGTAGACAGAGAAGAGGGAGAGGAAAAACAACTAGAGGTTAAAGAGGCTCAAGAGAAACTCATCTAATTCACAGTTTTGCCCAACCTTGGTCCTAAGTGTGATTTTATGTTTAAGTGAAGAAAGCAAACATCCACATGAATACCGTGTGAGTCTAGCTAGCCCAGGGAACATAGTTTCCTGCGGAATTTCATCTGGGATCACTATATACACAATAGTCATGGAGAATGGGAAGTACCTACAGAAATTAACTTGTAGATGATCAAAAGTATGAAGGCGTCAGAATGGGCTAGAGGTTGTTTATTGCATTTGCAAAATTTCAAAACAAATGTGTAATTCTGATCATGACTATTAAAACTGAGCAGAACTGGTCAAAAGTCTCATTTCAGGCCAATGGTTAAGTATTTATTTCACCAAATTTTAATTAGATATGTCTGCATATGCTCCCTTTTCCTCTTCTTACATTTAGTAAGCATTTCTAGTATCCATATTTGTACAAAGTTTACTGCCAGCATTCTGGGGAATACAAAGAATAAGAAATACAAAAAAGCTGTTTCCAAGTAGCTACTACAAAGCTGCAAGAAGAAAATAAAACAATAACTATAATGCAAGTTAGACTATGATACGAGCTCTCTGGAAAGCACAGATGAAGCACAATGTGATATGTGGGGAGTGTTAAACAATGCTTGATGCCATCATTATAAATAACTTATTCAGCCATTGCTATAAAGATTGGCAGTTGGGGGTGACAGTTACTTTCATGCAGATCACCTAAGGCAAGCCATCAGTTATCCACCGAGATGAGCGATAACTTGCAAATCCTGGGATTCATCATTGATGAAAAGAATTTCTGTTCCCCATTTCACTAGAAATTTCCACAGATTCATTAAGTCTTCAAGGGAGAAAATGGAAATTAAAATATCTCTTGAAGCTTTTCCTGAGATTATTCTTTTCAGGTCAGGATCTCTCCTTGTCATGGTAAAGTAGGGTTGGGGGTTGAGAGATCTCACAGTCCTGTAGGGACTTTTGAGCTGAGGTATCAGAAGGCACCAAGGCAAAAGGAAGGTTCAAAGTGGGCAACTATGTGGAAGTGCATGACTCGGAATGTCAGGCAAAACTTAATGGACCACAAATTAGAAGAAGCCAGAGGCAGGTATTGAAGTCAAAGTATAATGCCTAACTGAAGAATTCTGTTAGTCACATTGAACAATGAATTTTAGTGTTTGAGACTTGCTTTTAAGGAGTCTGTGGGAGAAAGGCCACAGACTGAGTGGATATTGCCAGACAAGCCAGTCTTCCTTGGACAAATCAGCATCTCTGTCCTTGTGTTCTCACACTGCTCAATAATAAGTGATGAGAATCATTCTTCCAGTCATTCATGCCACACACATTTATTAAGCAACTACTATGTTCCAGGCTCCATGCTGAGTGTGCACAGAGATTCAAGTAGAAGTAGTTGGTACTCCAGAATGTAGAGTCCAAAGACACCTATAAATAAAAAACAGACAAGCCAGGCATAGCTAAGATGCATGTATTTTTGTGAGGCTGGCCAAGGGTTGGCCTTAGAACTAGCTTCAACTTTTAAATAGTCATGACTAAGCATCCCACACATGTCATATGATTAATCATGAAAGTCCTTTGCTTCACAACCTTTTCATAGACAGATATTGTGTAACAAGTTAACCTTAAGGACACATGCCTTAAAGGACTATTGAGCAAAAAAAATAACTAAGCTCTTTCCAGGTAACACTCAGGGAACTTTTGCAGTGTCATATCCGTTCTCTGGTACCTATGTGTCCGATCTTCCTGCCCATCTGTTTCTTTCACTCAAAGTCCCAGAATCCTATGCCACGGGCAGGATTTTCACCTCTCAATATAGACCCATGTACCTTACCCCATGTTCCAACTGACTTCCTGAGAAATAAATCATTGTCCTTGTATTTCATAAGAGACAACAAACATTGATTTTGTTGTTAACATATGTGAGGCTTCGTTCATCCAATAACTATATATTTTAATCACCAATAAGTATCCTAAAATTTCAGACGCTAATGCCCTGAGGGATCAACTTTTAATCAATTATTGACTACAGTTTGAGGGGTGCCATGTCCAGATTAAATGCAGTATGATTTATCCTATGGTAAGTAAATCCTCTCCACTTGGAGTCTTGAAGTTGTTTTAAATGCCTTAAACTAAGTTTCTCCAACAGCAGTTTCAAGATTGTGACATTTAATGCTAGTTTTATAGCAAAAAGAATTCTCTAGCAATGTGTTGAAAGGCAACATGAGTTCATTCTGAGTCTTTGATTATGTTTAATAAGCTTTGCTGTCAGACGCTGAGTCATGATCTTTCTCTTCTGTTTTACAGTTTGTATTTACACCTATTTGCATTTGATAAAAGCAATGTAAGAGCTCTGCCCTTTGGCAGTGATGACTCCTTTATTTTAATCAGTGCAAAGAAAAAAATAAGAAAATTTGGCATGAGAGTGTGTAAAACCCCTTCCTTTGGCCATTTTAAATTTTAGTAGTTATGTATGTATTCTTGTAGAATGACTACTTTGTGACATTAACTGTCAGCACATCCATCATTTGATTTACATTAGAAATTTTGCTATCAGGTTCAATTTAGCAAATAAGGCTAAGAAAAGTTTTTGTCTTGTCTATTTGCAAGCCTGAGTGATGTAGATATTTATAAGCATGGCTTTATAATATTTTACTTAATGGGAAAAAAATCTATGCTAATTGTATTTCCAATCCAATAAAGTGAAATTTGTCTAGCAGCAGGGTGTGGCCAGAGTAAATAGACCGTAAGGAAAACACTCACGAAGGAGTGGGATTGGTATTTCTGAATCCCCACTGGACAACAATAATTATTAACAATTTATCTCAAGCTTGCTCCTCTCTTAGTGGCATTTTTTAAGTCGTTTCTTCTAGAAGTCTTTGAGCCTAGAAAAGCCAAGTTTTGTGTTTATTTCTTTCACATACATTAATGTCTTGAGTCAGATATCACTAATTTGAAAATGGGTTTCATCCTTTTTGGTGAAAATAATTTGGAGTTCAACCAGGTTGGTACCTGGGTACCTGGTACTGTCCCCTCAGGTGTCATATGACTAATCATGAAAGTCCTTTGGTTCACGGTTCACAACCTTTTCATAGACAGATATTATGTAGCAAGTTAACCTTAAGGACACATACCTTAAAGGACTGTTGAGCAAAAAAAAAAAAAAAAAAAACTAAGCCCCTCGCAGGTAACACTCAGGGATCTTTAGAGTGTCATATCCCTTCTCTGGTACCTACATATCAAGTCTTCCTGCCCATCTGTTCCTCTCACTCAAAGTCCCAGAATCCTATGCCACGGGCAGGAATCTATTTAGGATCCAAGCAGTGAGATGAAGTAATGGGTGAATGTAACATGGAAGTAGGCAGCCTTTTTCTATAAAGGGCCAGATGGTAAATATTTTTGGCTTTGTGAGCCATACAGTCTCTGTCACAGCTACTCAACTCTGCTGTTGCTGCAAGAAAACAGGCGTAAACAACATATAAATGAATGAGCTTGGCTGAGTTCAAATAAAACTTTATTTACAAAAATAGCAAGCTAGATTTGGCTTGTGCATCATGGTTTGCTGACCCCTGGTGTAAGATATCACTCCTCTGTGGATTATATTTTGGCACATTACTAAAGAAATAGTGACAATACAAATTTTCCTGACACATAATACAGAGAAAGTGTTGTGGCTCCTTTGGATACTGAGAAGTTATTTAAAATGTGTCATAATACCAGCAAACCCTTGCTCCAAGGCTTAGAAGACCCTAGGCAACAAGTACTTGAGTAAAAGGCAGAAGAGGACCAGATGAGATTGGACAGAGGCACCAGACAATCTGCCCTGGCATGTTTTCCCAGGTATTAATAATGTGGAATGGAGTGGAGGAAATAGTCTGTCTGTGGGAGAATTTCAGAACAGAGAATTTTTTGCCAATATGTCCATTCTAAATAAGACTTCATCCAGGGGCTTAAGGAATTAGGAGTTATGAGGATAATTGGACCCTAGCCTCATAGTCAGTTCAGAAAACAGTCAGTCCCAGCAGAGATATTGGGCTGCCCACCAGGCACCACTTTGGACTGATAGAAGGTATGTGTGCTGGGTCAGTGGAGGTGAGGGAGTGGTGGGTGAGACATTCAGAAAAATGAAACTTGTGTTATTTCACAGCTCATTTAGTCATCCAAGTTTTTCTCAGACAATTCCTGGGGTACTGCAAGATTTAGTTAAGGCACCTCTGGAGTGTGTGCCCGAGTTTCTGATCAAACGATGAGTAGATGTCAGCAGATACTGCTGCAGTCTAGGAAAGGAGATCTTCAAGACCTAGGAACCAAGTAGGGGCTGACCACATTACTACTGTAGGCATTTTGCTCATATATGGCAAACACTATGAGAGCCAGAAATGAACTTTTTCTTTATAAAGTCTCATTTATACCTCCACAGGAAAATCAGACACTATGCATAACACTGCATTGTTCCAGGAGAGTCTTAGCTACTGAAAGTAGTATTGTCTACCTTTTTTTTTTGACACATAAAGAACTTTTACATTGTAAAAAGATTTTATGGGATGCAGTGAGAATTTAACTTGGAAATTGCAGCATTTTCAAGGTGAAAAGTGGAAACAAAGAGCAGCACAATAGCTATTATGCACAGTAGACACTTCCGGTTAAGATGAGTTAGAGTGATGTAGACTATTTTTTAAAAATAAAAAGAACAATACTTTTAACCTTATATGTATATTTAAACACTCATAAAACATTGTTACAATTTATGACAAGAAGTCAGGAATTGCAGTGTACTTACAAATGAAAGTAAAGGAGAATACTTAATAGTAATTTTATAAAGGCCGTGTAAATGTAAAGCATATTGCTTTTGTAGCCATGAGGAGACCTACGTGATGTTGCATACCATTTATGTAGATTTATTGTAAACTTTCCAAAAAGAGGTACTCTATTTGTTTTTTTTTTTAAATAAACTGCAGACCTTTCCATCAGTGCAGAATAATAGCATCCTCCCCCCCGCCCCTCTCCCCCCACACCCCCCTTCCCCGCTTTAATGTCACAGTTAGTGGCTTCTCTAGATAAGATTTGTCTGAGAGGAAAAGTGCACTCGGATTCTTAGAAATTAACATCTCCTAGGTGAACAAAGCTCCGAAAAGGAAAAAACAAAAAGTCTCAACTCAGCAACTCACAATTGTTGAAAACTGTAGGACTGTCACCTTTAGTCACATCACTCTTTGGCAAGGGCATTTGGGGAGCTGCGGTTGAACTGACAGAGGCAGAGGAAGTGAATTTGAGATAAACCTGACTGAACTGTCTCCTGAGTGAGCCAGGAGAGATGCAACAGCTGAGTGCATGCAGCACTCATTGTGCTTGGTTCCTTCAGGAACAAGGATAACTCTGCATGTGAATAGTGGAATGTGGAGAGGAGACATGATAGAACATCTGCCTGTAGGTCCACAGTGATTCTGGGAAATAACCATGAATGGGGCAGCCCACCAGTGTTAATGAAGGTCCTACTGCATTCAGAGCATTGCACTGGAGAGAGGGGCCATTGCCATGGAAACTGAGAGCCCAAATGCAATCATACACCTGAGTTTGAAATTTAGGATTATGAGCAGTACTCATTTTAAATAAAGAAAAACATAGGAAAATTAAAACTAAGGTAAACAGCAAAGCCCTCTCACACTTGTCCAGATTAGAGCAATACCCAGAGCCATGCCCCTTAGCGGAAACTGTGAGCAAGAGACAGGCCCGTCAATCTGCGCTAGCCATGGGACTAAAGCCATGCCAGGTTGGGAGAGTCCCTGACCAGCAGGTGAAACCCAAGCACACAACCTGCTGAGGAGTGAAACCATGGTCAGGCTCTGAGGTTCCTGGTCCTTAAGCCATTTGGTGATCCTCCCACTTTCCATGCAGAGAGAATTCAGACATCTAAAAAGCCCTTGTGAAGCTTTTTTCATTTCTGGGAGCTCTTGTGTCTCCACTGAGAAGGCATCCTGGGGAGATTCTGTCCCCACAGCCACCTCATTCCTCCTCCTCCCTGCCCGTGAACATGTGGAAAAATTCATGGACTCACCAAATGGTTTGTCTTGATTCCAGACAACCCACTTTTCTCATTGTTTTAATTGCACAAAATTTGCTTGCCAATGATTTCTCATGTTACTGTTCTACATTGCAGACCTTTCATTCACACTGCTTCACCACAGCCCAGTGTGGGGGTTCTGAGAGAAGCTAAACTCTTCTGGTTGCTAATCTGAGGGAAACCCACCAGATTCATTCACTTAGCCTCTCCACTCAATTTGCACTGTGATAAACTGGGCTTTGCTAGTTTTATGCCTGCTTTATTCAATAGGGATAATGGAAATAAAATGCATACCTCAGAACAAAGACAATGAACTGTTATTATGGCTGATGAAGGTCTGATTTGTTTCAAATGCCAGTTGCTTAGAGGCAAGGATTTTGTAAAAATCAAATAATAAATGGTTACCGTATTGGCAATGTAAATATTCCCTTATTGATCTTCTATGAAAATCAGATTTCAGACAGAAAAATGCCTGATATGCTTAAGAATAGATTCCAGGGCAAGTATCTGTGATGAATTGTTATCAAGTTCTTAACTTGCTTACATTACATTTTCAGAAGCACCCTAGTACTTCGACTTACAAATTTTCCTATGTTACTTGATTTCTAGATTCTACAGGTTAATAAAATTGAAAAGTGAAAGTTTTCATGACTCAGAATGAGGCTATAATGCAGCAGTTCTCTTAAGTCTGCAGTTAGACTCACCTGGGGAGTTTATTTAAAAGACCATTTCCCACTACCGTATCCTCTAGAGGTTTTGATTCAGTAGTTAGAGGAGGGCCTAGCAATCTGCCTTTCCACGAAATACCCCATGTATTTCTATGCTGGTCACCCTTGATTATAGTTAGATACAACCTGCAATAGAGTGCATCCTACTTTTGAATCAGATTTCACAGAAAGAGGAAGGGAAGTTAAGAGGCTTAAAATAGCTAAAATCAACAGAGATCAAGCCTCTGGTTTAGAGTACCAAAAGAGAGGAAAAAGATACAAAAGAATATATATAGCCAGGCCACTCACCTTGCTACCTTTCCACATCAAGTCCACATCTTACAAGAGAACCCAGCACTAATCCCCAAGTCTAGAAGCACCCACTGAGTTCAACACTCTCTGCTTCTCAGAAATAAAGACAGGTTTTAGTAAGCAACCCTGCAGTTACAAAGACCAAGGCTACTCAACACCAAAAAACAAAATAAAATAAAAAATAAAAATGTCAATCACACAAATGTGTTGTCTGCCCTACCAATTATTTTAAAACATCTGGCTAGCATACTTAGTCAACAGTTTATCCAGATGTTTTGGCTTTGTGTGCAGAGCCGAGCCATGCATTCAAGCCTTCTCTTTTGATACGTGTTTTCATTCTTGAGCAGTGTCTAATGAGTATGTTGTAGGGGGCGGGGTGATGGTGCAGCCTAGAGCCATGCACAGGTAGCCCCCAGTTTCAAACAGATTCTGTCCCACAGGTTGGTTTACAATTCAAAATTCGAAGCATAGTTTCCTCTGGAAACCATTTTACATGCAGTGGTTAACTACTGAGGCCAGCCCACAGAAGGCTTTTTAATCCATAACATAGCTAAAGTAGGATACGGATTAAAATACCCAGATGAATGCTAGAAGTACGATGCCCTGATGAAGCACTGAAGGAGAGGAGGAGAGAAAGAACTTTTTCTTTCCTGGATTCAAGGAGGACCCTGGGCAGAATGTTGACTAGAACACGATTGGTTGATGTTGCATTGTTCACCCTCCTAGTGTTGCGTCCCAGGGCCTCCTATACTCTTCTCCCTCCAAACTTGCCCTTCCATTTCTTCCCGAGAATTCTATGCTCCAAAATATCCTGCCTCCCTTCCTCACCCCTCCAATCAATGAGGGGTGAGGAAGGGAGGCAGGATATTTTGGAGGGAAAGGGAGGCAAACCTCACCCACCTAACTGCAGTTGGTCTGAACTAAATGTAATGAAGAGAAATGTGGACAAATTTGATTAAGTAACTAAGTGGCTGAGAGTCCCCTAACCTTCCAGGAGCTATTTGCCTTTCAAAAGAGACCATTGGCTGGGTGCAGTGGCTCACTCCTGTACTCTTAGTGACTCAGGAGGCCAAGGCAAGAGGATCAGTCGAGGCCAGGAGTTTGAGACCAGGCTGGGCAACACAATGAGACCTCATCTCTACAAAAATAACAACACAAATAAATTAGCCAGGCATAGTGGCACAATTTTGTGGTCCCAGCTACTGAGGAGGCTGAGGCAGGAATATCATTAGAGGCCAGGAGTTTGAGATTGCAAGGAGCCATGATGGAGCCACTGCACTCCAGCCTGGGCAACAGAGTGAGACCTCGTCTCTTAAAAAAACAAAAAATAAAAGAGACTGCTTATTTTTATAAAATGAATCTCTAACTGTTGAAATGGGAGGCAGTGTAGCATAATGTTAGAACTACATGAACATAAAAGGGAAATATTCAGATTCTTTTGAGGAAAGGGACATTATAGATAGTCCACACTTACTTAAGAATCCTCCCCTAGTCTGCCCATTCCCACCCCGCCCCCCAGGATGCTTCTCACATTTATACCAACAACTTCTAATTCTCTACTTCCAACTGCTAAGATATTCCAAAGGTTATGCGTTAGGTTTTGAGGTAGCCAATATGAAGGCAATGAGACCACCCATAGGTGTGTGCCAAGCAGGGGTTGGGTAGAGCCAAAGGGACAAACATTTGAACATACGGATCATTTGTAGGTGAGCTTCACCTCTACTGAAAAACATGTTGGTCTATGTAGACAAATACTCTTGTTGATCGCATATAAATACACTGAGTGTTGATGGCAAATCATGTTAATTAACACAGACCAGCACTTCTCAGCGATATGCTACGATCAATACTGTTCTATTATGATATTCATCTCTAATTAATTTTGGCTCGGCAGGCTAGAACAGCAGACTGTAGCTACCCGGGGAATGGAATTTGAAATATGCATTGCTTTACTTGCGGACCAAACTAGTGAATGGCTAAGCTTCCGGGGGTGGATAATTCATCTCACATCACCGCTTTCTGTTGATGTGTTTCAACCAGAGAACCTCTGCAGAGAGGGAAAAACATAATCACTGCAGGAGAAGAATTTCAGAGGCAGAAAGAGAAAGAAACTATGCGGATGTCCAAGAAAATCTTGGGACTTAGAGTAGAAGTCGTCCAGAAGGACTGGCCCATTTACTGCCATTTACTGCAGAAGCTGAACACTCATCTGGTTTCATTCCACTATCTTTGTAAGAGGATGAAATATCTCTTTTTAGTGTTAGGAGGTGGTGGGATGGAGCAATAAATAGAGGGGGTTCTCAAGTCCTCAAGTCCAAACGAGTAAATTCAAATCCTACCTCTCCTCCACTTCTCAACCATTTTGTTTGGGACAAGTTACTTATTCTCTCAAGCATCCTTCTCCTCATCTATTATACGGGACTAATAATAGTTATTATCATCCACTACGTCAGAGGAAGTGGTACAGAAGAAGATATGCCTGAAGAAGCCTGGCACTCTATCAGCATTCACCAGGTGTAAGCAGTTATTAGGTTGAAGGAAATAATTTGCTGCCGTGCCCCATTCAGTTCAGTGTAATAATGGGCTGTGTGTAATAGCATCCCAGCCCACCCATCCAGACATAATCATTACTCTGTATGCCAACTCTGCCACCCCCATGATGGTGGGTGTCCAGGGTGACAAAATCCACTGTTTCTCAAAGCTGCCTTTCAGTGACCTCAAGTTTCTGAAAGTACAGGTACCTTGCAATGTTCAATATTTGGTTAGGTGAGCAACTTCTAGATGGGTACACACTAGAAGTCCAACCCCCACCATTACACTGTAATACCCATGTAACAAGTGCAAGTGCCTCCCTAAATCTAAAATTTTTTTTAAAGGGGGGAAAAAGGCATAGGTACCTTAGTCTCAGGCTGGACTTTTTTTGACCAGTTAAGTTTCTGTAAGGATGTGGCCATCTTCATTGTAATCTTAGGACAGGACTGATCACAATCTGAAAAGGAGAGAAGGTCCCCCCTCTTATCTAGGTCATATATGTATATATATATAAAGGTCAGCCTATGGCTGATTTGATTTGATTTCCTATTTGCCTTGTAACTGTGGGCCATGTCCAGCATGAGGACATCTGGGGTGCACCTTATAAAGCCAGCCCATAATTCAGGGTATAATTCCAGTTCACCCAGATGAAGGAAAAGAGCAAATTCCACAGCTCAGGACTGAGGAAGCCATGCAGGTTCCCTCTTCATTATGCAGTGTTGTAACTCATTTGCTATTTGTCCCTCACTCTAATATTAGAGCACTGAACTCACTCAAAATATACTAAGAGATCATTTTTATTAAACATGATATTAAGAAAAAGTTTAGCTTCTCTTTTAGCACTGCAGGCAATTACTGAAATGTATGAATTCCAATGGGAGTAGCATTATAATAGGTTTTTGGTTTTTTTAGGCTTCCCGGATTCCACCCTTTTTCTTTCCTCTCCTTTCCCTCCTTTCTCAGCTCTGTCGAATAGGACTGTAATAAGAACATATAACAATATCCCAGGAGTCTCTTTTAGAGAGCTCTCTGATAGATAGGCCAGCCCAGCCCAAGCATAGTCTTTGGTTGTAATCACTTGTGAATATCTGCATCTGCCTCATTAGATCACAGCTCCTATAGACAGGGATGGTGTGTTGGCTTCATTTTTTTACTCCCAGCCCCGAATCCTCCCTGCCCCAGTCCTGGGCTCAGAGACATTCTGAGATGATCTCAGCGATAGGACATAGTGCTGGGGATACAAAGAAAGGAAGGAAGCCCAGGAATGGGCTCGGCAATTTGCATCCTAATGGGTCATGGAGCACTGGATCCTCACTAAGGACACATCAGCACCTCTGGGCTCCAGTCAGTGACTCCGGCCTCCTCTTTGACATTGCTGCCTCCGATGCTGCTCCCCACCACTGCTCTGCTTTCTGCCTAACACTCCTCTTCCCTCATGCCTGTCCATTGTCTCCTGGCCTGTTTCGTGCATTTTTTTTTCCCTATGAATCTCTTGGCATCAGTGACTTCTCTGTGTGTGCCTCATATTTGAACTCTCAGGGAGCAGATTGATTTGTTAAATTATTATAAAGGGTTTTTATATTAAGTCATCTCCCTGGGCTGCTGGCTGGTCTACAGATGGTCAGGCTCAGATCCCTGACCCAGTCAGCTGTGGTCCAGGGTAACTGTTACTTGGGACAAAACGTGTCCACCAGGCCCAGTGTGTTTCTGGGTACTCTGTATGGAAAGAAGCTTTCGTGATGGTAGGTCCTCAGCCTCGCAGCACCTTTCCTCCAGCCAAGAAGATAAGCTCTCCAAAAATGTTTTCTGGATGGCCAACTGGTGTTGGGGGCTGGCCCTTTGCTTTAGGCATGGCAAATAATCGACCTCTCTTAAAGACAAGCACAAACCAGAATACATTTCCAAATGCCAACACTGTGCAAGACGTAGAGGAGAGAATGACTGACGAAACACTGACTCCGTTCTCGAGGTTTCCACAGACCAGCAGCAGAAGACGGTAGGAGTGCCTAAGACCAGCAGCATATGACTGTGGCTAAGAGTGTGGGCCACTGAACACCACTTCAAACTATCAGTTTTCTACTTGATCTTAACTTGCCTAGACTTCAGTTTCCTTGTCTCTAAAGTAGGGCTTTGTACTGGGAATAAATAAGAAAGGAAAGATACCAAGGAAATGGGTTGAACCGCTACATAGTCTGATGCTATGTGGAGAACTAGACTAGGGGGGCAATAATTCCTAACTTGCATGATGTTTGCACATAAATCACTTAGCACAGTGCCTGGAGCACAGAGAGATCTTACTGAAGGATAGCGATGTATTTTCCAATGCAACCTAAAAGTTAAAATGAAAGTAACCATAAAGTGCCATGGAAGGAAAAAAAGAGAAAATGAGGGCCAGAGAAGCCTCTACTGAGAGCTAGTTGTTAGGAGCAAGCCGGTAATTGGCAGGATTGATGATGAAACTAATGGGCAGTGTTGATTTTTTTCCACTGTGCTGTCCTGAGCTGTTGCAGCTTCTCTCCCCATCCTGATGGGGAGCCAGAGGCAACTCTGCGGGGAAAAACTGAAACATGCCACTGTGCTAGGGGGCAACTGCAGCCATGTCTGTGGTAAGCTACTGTGTTATCTTGCAAAGTGTGTATCTTGTTATAATAGGAGAGCTCAGAATTTCTATAGATTTGCATGGATTTTGTGTTCATCTAGGCTTTTTGGGGTGTCGTTATAGCTGAGCCACCATTTTGAGGGTTTGTTTACTTAAGTTTAACTCCTCCTAGGGAAAGCATAGAATGAAAAATACATGACTATGGTCTTGGATTTATTTAGCTCAAGTTTTTCTATCATTGAGGGAGTCTCAACCCAAGGTACTAGTTTGAACATCTAATTAACAGTCAAGAAGGTCATTAGAGAAGAACTTGAGAGTTCAGTTAAGGATACTGCCATACTTAGTTTACTCCATGTAAAAAAAATTAAACACAAAACTATTAGCCAGAAAGATTCATTTTTTGCTATGCAACTGTTTTAGACCACATAGGAAAACTATACTTGTTTAAGCTTTGGACTAAAGTAAAAGGTCCCCTGAAATTTTCATAATAAATGAGAACTCATTTTTGAGTAGAGGTCACAACTTATAATATTAACTTGACCAGAATTATGATGGCAGTGAATTTCTGTGAATCACTGAGTATAAGGATTTCCATACACTGGGTATGGGAAAATGCATTGTTTTGATGAATGAAGACGCCGGATGTCACAGCAGCAATCGTCCTCTGTAATAATCAGGCCAAGCCACTACCTGCAACATACTGAGCAAGTAGGTAATCAGAAACAGTGCGATGCATTGAAATGACAAGAAGGATCTGCTAAAAATCAGGCCCAACAACATCACAGTCACCGTCTTAGTCTGAGATAAAATGAAATGCTGAACTTTTTACAGTTCTTGTCATCTTCCTTCTAAACATAAGAAAATTATCTTTTGGTATCAGCTCAATCTTACCTTACACATTTCTTAAGACACGGGCTGATCTAAAGAATAGCAGTTGGCCCTTGCTTGACTTTGGCTTCTTCGTTAGTTTCTCAAGCTACCTACTAAGTGGAACTCTTATATGTGCGTTAAAATGCTTAATACATATCATGTGGCACTAGAAATTCTAGAAGAGGAAGAAAAAGAGGATACAGATGTCACCCATATCTTTGGCATTCATCAAAGAGTTTATAACATTTTTACTATATGCACCGTTGCATACATCAGAGGCAGGATTTGGAACACAGCATATGTGAGCCTGGAGTGCAGCAGGGTGCTTTATAATTCAATATTACATGTGCCTGTTTGACCTTAATTTCCCTGAGAAAAGACTCTATGGTGGGGCATTCATTGGCAGCATGGTCTCAGGGTTCTAGATCATTTTTCCAAGTGAAAAAGTAATAGAAAATACTTTACCAGCAATCACGTAGTGATAGTTTAGCCTGTTATCAGCACCCTTTTTGTAATAATAAAAACAAGTCCAAGTTTGAATTTCAGTAGCAGGTCTTTTTTCTGCAGCTGAAGATATATTTTCAAATTATGATGCTGGATTGATACAAAGCATCATTTCCCTCAGAACATTGCTGCAGTTGCCATTATCAGATCCTCCCTCGTTGGAGAAATGTCATACGTGAAAAAGGAGTATATTTATAAAAGTTAGAAATAAAATTACAGGTTGGGCACGTGTTCCTAGGGAGCATGCATTCCAGCTCAGTAGATTCACAGCATTATCTCCTTCTCTATGTATGTGTGTATGTAATTTTACCCATTCTTATGAGGTTGTTTGGCAATACTATAAATCAAGGCCTTTTTTTCTTTTTCATTTGTCAACTGGACTTTAAGGGGAAGCATGGGAAGAGGAGAGATTGTGAAAGAGCTGATACCTGGTAACCCAAGGCAGTGAACCAGTACTCCTAGATTTGTGACTATCCAGGGCAAGTGAAACCCTTACTATTTCTTTAAGCAGCCTTCTGGCTTTTTGTTCAGAGGTCAAAGTCTTTCCAAAGCTGTGAAGTTCACCGTGTAGAAATAGAGATAAGAAATTGATTATCTTCCACTTCCAACATCTCCACAGGATAAAAAGACTCTTAAGTCCTACAAACACATTCAACCAAGACATTTAATCTACACACATTTAAGGACAGGGTCTGCTCTCATGGTCTCTCATGTCTGTTAAATGTCCAAGTTCTAAATAACTCACCTCTTTTTCGTTGTTGACTTCCCACCACAATGCCTGGCTCATAGCAGGTATGCAAATAAGTATTAGTCAAACTAAGTTGGAATTTTGAGAGAGTAAGAATTCCAGATTTGACTTGGAAATTATCGGAGGGTGTAATTTCTCTTTTTCCTTTTTCTAATTAAAAAATATATGTAGATAGGGAAAGGTACATAAAATATAGAAATATGCCATTTAGCAAGTAATTAAAAAGTGAACACCCAGGAGTTTTCAACCTCTTTGTTTTGGCTTCATAGTGGTTTGGTTTTATTCCCTACAGTTCTCAGCACAATGACATGTCACTTGATGTTTAATTGAGATGAAAATAAGATTTAAAACAATACCAATACATACAAGAAATTCAGATTACTAGACCAAGAATATGGCATTTTGAATGAGAACTATTTCTTCTTCTACTCTGATTGCTTTGTAATTACAATTATATTTTGAGAGACAATTTACCATCCCTATGAAAATGCTGGGATTAACATTTCAGAAACATCCGAAAGAATAAAAACAGGTCCTCTTCCTCTGGAGCAGGCCACTACTACCTCTGCACTCAGGTCAAACAGATACCTTAGGAGTCTTAAGATACCTTCCAAGAAGGTCAAAGAAATTGCTTTGTGAATACAAAGGAAGTCTGGACCAAAAATAAAAAAAAAAAAAAAACACTAATGAACTGAAAAGATAAAATTGAAAAAGACAGCTAATTCTTGCTTAATGATTTATTTGGGTGCCGATGGGACTGAAGCCTCTTTGCACTTAGAGTTTGGGGTATGACTGGGCTCCTTTCTGGAGAAAAAACTCCACCAAATTTCCTGAGAGGCTGGAGAGGAATTTGAATTGAACATTTTGTATGAAGGACTTCAGAAGTGGCTCAATTTAGCTAACTTAAGGTTGAAATAGTGAGAAAACAAGTAAGATCCCAAAGGCAACATTCTTTCTTCTGTAAAAACTGATCTTTTGCCAAAAATGCTTGCTTTAGAGCACAAAAAGAATTCTGTTAGATTTGTGATTCTGAAACAGTTACCATTATTCTTGCCCAGAGGGTGAATAGACCTGAAACTCATCAGCCAGGTAGGAAAAGTACGTCTATTTGAAATAAAATGCATTTTTTCTTCATAGAGAGTCTTAATAAATACTCCGTAAGTGATCTCTAGGTTTCAAAATTATTAAGTGTTTTTATTTATTTATTTATTGTTAAAACAATTTTAAACAATGAACCTTTATGAAGTACCCAGAATGTATACGGGGTTATACTAGGTATCTGAAATGCCGCAAATGAATAACTATGCAGATTCTGTCTTGAATTATGAAATAAATGCTAAAAGTATTCATGAAAGTAAAGATCAGAGAAACTAATATTTTCTTTCAACCTTTAGTTGGCCTTTTCTCTAATTAGCAGTTGGAAGGGCATAAAGGGACAACTTTGTTTAATCAGTTTATCAATAAAAAAGTAAACACTTTGGAAGGTAGATAAGAGCTGCATGTTTTAAACTAAACATAGACTGGACAGCATCTGTTGAGACAAAAGAGGAGAAAAATTATGGTCCATTCTTCCTTCACTAGAGCCTCCTCTATGTCCAACAGACTCATTTTAAGATCTCTAGTAAACGTAGCCAGGTATGGTGGCACGCACCTGTAATCCAGCTACTCGGGAGGCTGAGGCATGAGAATCACTTGAGCCCAGGAGGCAGAGGTTGCAGCGACCCGAGATTGCTCTACTACACTCTAACCTGAGTGTCAGAGCAAGACTCTGTCAGAAAAAAAAAAAAAAAAAAAAACCTCTAGGAAACTATTCAGGTATGAAAATAGAAGCTAGTCTATTTGTGTTCAAAATAAAATAAAAGATTTCTGATCACTGGAATCATCTCTAGCCTGTAAGGAAAAGTACTACATAGTCTAAGAGCATCAAAGGAAAACATGGCCTACAAGCATCTGCTGGAAGACAAAGGACCCTCATCCTGATGAGTATTCAGATAGGACCAAAAGTATGAGGTAAAACATGACCTAGAGGCATTTACCTGGAAGTATAGTTGATGCTTTTGGAAATGAAATCACTCCATGCTTAAAAGTATGCAATATATAGGTCTCAAATTTTTAAGTGCTATAGGAAGTGGTAGAGTGCATTTAGACACAAAATTACTTTTATCTCAATTTTCAACAGATTTGCTGCAATAGAAAAGTTATCTTTTTTTAGATTTAAGAGCTCCAAATAGCACTGTAGCCTACATTAAGCATCAAGTGCCCCGTTCCCTTCACAAAAGTTTTCTGGTTCATTCGAGTCACTGAATTCCAAATAATGCACATTGGGTTACCAACATTAGTCGCCACTGTCATATTCAGAAATTAATCCTAAATGGTTTACAGTCCTTCTCATTTTTTCTCTTTCAATTATGTGACATAGTCCACACTTTTCATTAAAGTTATTAATAATATAAGGATCTTAGGTGGCAATTTTCTGCACAGCTGGGGAAAAGTTGCATATTCAGTGTAGGTATGCAGATGCTTACTGAATCCCAGAGACATAAATGGTTTATTCCCAGGAATAGTCCTACCTTGCTATTGTTTAATAAAGGTCTAAATTAGATTGGCATCAGTACAACAAAGCATTCATTTTTATTTATGCATCTCGAATACACTTTTATACATATGTAAAATGAACACATTTTGAGAGTTTAATAAGTTTTATAATTATATTTCTAGATAAATGCACTTTTTGAGAAAGACAAGAAAAATAATTATTTTCTGATGTATTTCACATTAGCAAAAGGGCCTAAAACATAACAGTGCAAATAATGAATGCAAATAAGGAAGGACTCCACAGATTGCTTTCCTTCGGCCACAGAACTATTAGAACGTAAGGATATGAAAATAACTAACGGCTTTCTACACTAGATCTTGATCCCTGCTAGTAGTAGACTGACTGCTTGGGGGTAAACAAGGGAAGCCTTGGTAGTTCTTGCTTTACAAAGGCCAGAGAAAAGGAGGTTCGGGATAGGGTAGAATGAGCTCTTTCTTTAGGTATTGCTGGCACTCCCTGCCTTAAAGTGACTCATCTCCAGATCATAATGGAGATGGGAACCTTTACCCACCTGCATCAGAAAACCGTTCACGCTGGCATTTTGGAAGGAGTAGGGACTCCGTCCAGTTCTAAGGTCACTATTTTTGGCTTACTATTACCCTTTGACCATTATGATTGTGTAAAGTGGCTTAAGTATAAACGCAGCCTGGAGACACAGCAGTTACTGCCTGAGACCGGACTGCCTTCTGACTGGTGATTCACTGTGGAATTATTATTTGGCTGATTGTGTGCACTGTTTATATGGATGGATGGAAGCTCAACAGTTGCTTCCATACGTGTATACAAACAACAATCCACAAAATCAGCCACATAATAATTTAAAAGGAAACTGAAGCCCAGGTAGAGTATAACAAGAATCCTCTTGTTCCACTCGGCGCTATGGCAAATTTGTGAGTCCAGGAGGAAGTGGGAGCCCCTCAGGTGTAAGTTCTGTCAAGGTTGGTTGGAGCAAATGACACATTGCTAGTGGGAAAATAGAAATAGTCAATAAATCTCTTGTTCTTGATCAAAAGCAATTCATAATAGGTTTTATTTCTAAACAATTGGGTTTATAACTAGAATTTGCCTATTGGCCAAATGAACATTATTCTTTTCTTATTCGGCTGTAATTAATGAATGAATTAAAAACCAGCATTAATACAAGGAGCAAATAAATTTTCATGACAAAAGGATACCAAATTTGACTATAAAATACGTAGACATAAAAATTCTTTTTACCCCAATTTTTAACTCTGATAATGTGTGTTAGGAAATGTCTTTTCTTCATCAGATGAAGATAAATCATGAACATTGACTCTCTAAAGTGTATTATACCGATAAACCTTATAACACCATAATAAGCTTGCACTCTCTTGAGGCTTTCCTCATACCTGGCTAAGGATCTTCCAAAAGCATTTAAACTCTGTTGCCATCTATTAATACACTATTTGAGAGATGAACAAACCTTTGTGACCAAGTGAAAGCATACTTCCTTTACCGAGCTGTCAGCTAGTTTTCTAAACATTCTGGGGTGTTTGAATTCTCCAGACACATACATAAATTTACGGATTGGATGCAAAATTATTTGATTCCCATAGATTACAGATGCCCTAAAGATTTTTCCAACTACTTGGTTTTGCATCCAAGGAAGAAAGAGTCACATGGCTTGGTCTGACAAAATACCAATGGAAAATCAAAGTTGGAACCAGTGTAAAATAAAGGACTTGTGAATGGAAGGAGGATCATGAAAAATTCAGTGATCTGAATGCACTAATGGCACAAGTCTTCTAGCATTACTTCTACTTGTCACTACTAGAAATTGCGACAAAACTCAAAGAAAAACCTTTCTGTAGAAATCGTAGCCACATAGGAAAATCACGTGTACTAGGGGACTCCAAAAAGTTCATGGAAAAATGGAATGGAGAGATGAAAATTAAAAATGTAAACTTTATTTCTCAACATAAGCTCCGTGACGTTCAAGACACTTTTGTATGCAATAATATCAGCCATTTATTCCACGCCTAAAGAACTGAGGGTCCTGGGAATTTAACCATGCCAATGCAATATTTTTTACATTATTAATTGAAGAAAAAAGGAATGCTCTTTATAGACTTTTTAAGATTGGGAAACAAAAAGAATTCAGAAGGAGCCAAATCATGACTATAAAGTGGAATGCCTAATGATTTCCCATCAAAACTCACAAAATTGCCCTTGTTTGATGAGAGGAATGAGCAGGTACATTGTTGTGGTGGAGAAGGACTCTCTGGTACAGTTTCCCAGGAGTTTTTCTGATAAAGCTTTGGCTAACTTTCCCAAAACACTCTCATAATAAACAGGCGTGATCACTCTTGGCCCTCCAGAAAGTCAACAAAAAAGTGCCTTAAGCATCGCCCCAAAAACTGTTGTCATGACCTTTTTACCCTTGACCAGTCCACTTTTTCTTTGCCTGGATCACTTCCATCTCTTGGTAGCCATTGCTATGATTGTGCTTTGTCTTCAGGATTGTACTGGGAAAGGCATGTTTCATCTCCTATTAAAATTGTTCAAAGCAGTGCTTCAGGATCTTGATCCCATTTATTAAAAATTTCCCTGGAAAGTTCTGCTTTTGTCTGTAGTTGATCTGGGTACAACAGTTTTGACACCCATCAAGTGGAAAGTTTGTTCAATCTTAAATTTTCTGCCAGAATTATGTAAGCTGAACCAATTGAGGTGTTGGCTATTGTTTCTGCTGTTCTTGGTCCTCTTCAATTGGGGCATCAACAAATTTGAAGTGGATGTTCTGCTGCTGAGGGCTTCTTCTTCAACATCATCTCATCCTTTCTTAAAATGAGTTATCCATTTGTAAACTGCTCATTTCTTTGCGGCATTGTCCCCATAAACTTTTTGTAAAGTATCAATGATTTCACCATTCTTTCACCCAATCTTCACCACAAATTTGATGTTGTTTCTGCTTCAATTTTAGCAGAATTCATGTTTCTCTGATTGGGGCTCTTTTCAAACTGCTGTCTTATCCTTCTTCATGCCTCAGACTAGATCCTACTCAGACATGTTATAACAAGTTAGTACAAGTTTGTATTTGTGCAAAAAAATATGAAATTCCTGTATAGTTTTTCATAATACACATTTTCCATGGGCAATGTGAAGACACCACATATTTGTTAATGTGTCAGGTACGGAAGAAATCTAGCAGTTTCTTTGAATTTAGCCTTAATTAAGTAAATTTTATTATAAAGTATCTTCTCAAAGGGAGAATTGTGTGAAAAATTGTTATAACACTTTATAGTTCTAACTAGGAAAGTTTTCTACAGAACGAATACAATATATATAAAGAAATTTATTATAAAGTTTTGACTCACAAAATTATAGAGGCTGAGAAGTCCCATGATCTGCTGTTTGCAAGCTGCAGACCCAGGGAAGCCTGTGGTGTAGTTCAGAGAGCTGAGAGCTGACAAGATGATGGTGTAGATTCTAGTCTGAGTCTGAAAGCCTGAAAACCAGGAGATTGATGTCCCAGCTCAAGCAGTCAGGCAGACAGAGAAATCAACCTTCCCCTGCCTTTTTGTTCTATTCAGGCCCTCAAGTATGGGGCCCACCCACTTTGAGGAGGGCCATCTGCTTTACTCAGTCCACCAATTCCAGTGCTGATCTCTCTGTCAGAGCATCCTTACAGACACATCCAAAAATAATGTTTAACCAGCTACCTGGCATCCCTTGGTCCAGTCAAGTGGACACCTAAAATTCACCATTACAAAAGGTATTTATAAAATATGTAGAGAAGCTTCTTCATGCTGTAGCAATATATTTACTCCATGCTTCCCAACAACAAAAATTTTTCTCTACACTGAATAGTAGGACTAGATTTATTATGCATCTGGCTGGAATTCTTTCTTCCTTCCTTTCTTTTTTCTTTAAAGAAAATAGTCATCATGGTCTGAAAAATGGTAGGCCAAAAAACCTCCTTACTCAGTATTTATGATGCTAGATTCTGACGGAAGCCTGTTAACTTGCATGGCATATCCACTCTAGTGCAGAGGCTATGGGATGATGTAATTATAAATTCCACTGATAATAGGAGGATGACAGGAACATATTTATTCTCAAAGATATCAGAACATAAATTAAAATGTCAGATACTCAAACTGACATCTAGAAAAACAAAGGTTATTCCCACTGTGTAAAGTAGAGATTTGCCTCTGACAAGTTCATAGAATGCATCCTTTTCTTGGCATCGTCACCAAAAACTCACGCAGACACCTGAAATTTCCCTAGTTTTTAAATGCACTTAAGGTTGCCTAAAGTGTATGAGAGACATTCGGAAATCACAAGGTCTGACTGTGCTTGATAGCGATTATGTGAAGATTCTAACAATAGCCAAGGTGCCTTTGAATCCTATTTGCTTTTCCTAATGCCTTGTCCATAAATTAGAATCTTGTTACCTTTGCTATTCCATTTAGGAAAGTATTGCTTAAGAGGATCCTAGTCATCTTAGAAAAGTAATATCCTTCCAGAATTACTTAATGTTCTCACCTTTAAAGGACTAACATAAGAAATTTTTCTATTGAATCTATCTAATGGCTAGGCAGAAGAAGGAAAAAAATGTATTTGAAATTGCACTCAATTAGTTGCATTCTCCCCTGGGTACCTGGTGCCCAGGGCCAAGCAATCTCTCTGGGGTACTGGGCCAGCCTCAGCTGTGGCAGAGAAGCCTCTGAGCTCTGAGACCTCACAGCTGTTATTTCAGCCTGCACAAATCCTAGTGGGCACAAGATGTAGTGTGCTGCAAGAAATATGACTAAAGCCAAATCCTAGCCCCCTCCAAACACCTTCCATGCTTCACCAAAGCTAACCAAGGAAGTCTTATGCTGAGTTACATCAATCTCAGTGCCTTCTTTTTTCGGTACTTTGAATTTTTATTTTCATCTTTTTGAAGTATATGTACAGTAAAATTCACTTTCTGGTATATACTGTTATGAATTTTGACAAATGCATGAAATTCATAACCACAATCACTATTAAACTACAGAATAGTTCTGTCATTCTGAGACCCCCAAAATCCATCAGGCAACCCCTTTCTAGTCAAATCCTTCACCCATCATTAACACTGAGCAGAACTAGTCTCTGTTCCTATAGTTTTATCATTTCCAGAATATCATATAAATAGCATCATACAATATATAGTCTTTTGAGTCTGGCTTCTTTTGCCTAGCTTAATGTATTTGAGATTAACCCATATTCTTGCTTTTATTAATCATTAGCTCCTTTTTATTTCTGAGTAGTATTCCATTATACGGATGTGCCACAGTTTATTTATCTATTCCTCAGCTGAGGGACATTGGGTTTTTGCCAGAATCAGACATATAGGAACAATATATTCAAGATTTTGTGCAAACATGAATTTTAATTTCATTTGAAATATGTAGGAGTAAAATGTATGGGTCATATAGTAAGTGTATTTAACTTTGTAGGAAGCTATCAAACTGATTTCTAGGTGGCTATACCATTTGGCATTCTCACCAGCAATGTATGAAATTTCCAAGTGGTCTACATCCTTCTCTGTACTTGGTATTGTCTGGTTATTGCTTGCTGTGTTTGTATGTTTATTTAGGTTTTTGTTTTGTTTTGTTTTGTTTTTTTGAGACTGCGTCTCCCGCTGCCACCCAGGCTAGAATGCAGTGGTGTGATCATAGCTCACTATAGCCTTGAACTTCTGGGTTCAAGTGATCCTCCCACCTCAGCCTCCCAAGTAGCTAGGACTGCAGTCATGTGCCACCGCACCTGGCTGTTTCGCTTCATTTTTATTTTAGCTATTCTAATAGGTGTATTGTGATATATCATTGTGGTTTTAATTTGCAGTTCCTTAAAGACTAATGAAATTGGGCTTAAAGACTAATGAAATTGGGCAGTCTTCCATATATTTTCCATTTGTATATTCTTTTTGGTAAAATATCTGTTCAACTGTTTTGTTCATGTTTTAATTAGGTTGTTTATTGTTCAGATTTGAGGGTTCTTTAGATATTCTGCGTATAAGTCGTTTCTCAGATGTATGATTTGGAGATTATTTTCTTTCAGTGTATGGCTGGTCTTTTCAGTCTGTTAGTGGTGTCTTTCTCAAAGCAAAAATTGTTAACGTTGATAAAGTCTAATTTACCAATTTTTTTTCATAGATCATACTATTTCCACTAAACCTGAGAAATCTTTGCCTTACCCAAGGTCACAAAGATTTTTTCTTATATTTTCCTCTAAAAGGTTTATAGTTTTTCATATCAGTGTCCTATTTTAATGAGGCCAGGAAGTACTCTGTGAATTCTGAGTATTATAAATGGACATAGAAAATTTAAGATGTCAGGGAAATTTTTAAATGCCCAATTAGATTTTTATTTCAGTGAAGGCAAAGGTTGCATCTCCCAGTGATATCGCTGTGCCTTGCCCTATCTCCATTTTCGATAGCAGCTAGATGTTCAATAAACACTTATTAAGAATTAATAAATCCTCTTGGAGAAGCTAACTTATTATTTAGCATTGTGTAGTACAGAAAGAATAGGCTTTTAGTCAGCTGTATATTCAAATTACAGCTCCGTGTCCTGCTGGCTGTATGTCCTTGGGCAGGAGCTTCATAATTCAGTTCTTTGGGCTGGGTTTCATGACTTTAAACTGTGGACTAATAATGTATTTTGTGATTTTAGTGAGGATTAAATGTGGTAACGTGAAAGCGTCTTCATAGTGCCTGACATATATTGGCATCCTGTGAAGAGTTATTTTCTCCCTTTTTTCTCTTCTATCCAAATCCTAGATATGTGTGTGTTTAAACAGTCAAGTAGGCCGTGTGCAGTGGCTCACGCCTGTAATCCCAGCACTTTGGGAGGCCGAGGCGGGCAGCTCACTTGAGGTCAACAGTTTGAGACCAGCCTGGCCAACATGGTGAAACCCCATCTCAATTTAAACAAACAAACAAACAAAAAAGTCCCAGCTACTCGGATGGCTGAGGCAGGAGAATTGCTTGAACCCAGGAGGCAGAGGTTGCAGTGAGCCGAGATCGCGCCATTGCACTCCAGCCTGGGTGACAGAGCGAGACTCCGTCTCAAAAAAACAAAAACAAACAAACAAAAAACAATCAAGTATCTCTGGTTTAGAATAACTGAAAACTATCATATCATGAATGAATATATTCCATATTTGGCCTTTGAATGTATTGTTTCATGTATACATGCATTTTTAACATGAGAAGACTCAGATAGACATAGCCATTTTCAATAGGTTCTCTTCTTAGGATTACCCTTCTACTATGCAAAAGTAGAGGGAATGAAAAGGGGCCAGGTTGGGATGGGGACGAGGCAGAGGGGAAATCCTGAAGTGCAGCATCCATGGGAGAGTCCCTTCTCATGCATATTGGCATTTGGCTCAATCAGGGCCAGGAAGCAGATACGCTAACCAATAATGAAATACAGACTGGGGGAGAATGGTTCTGCTCATGTTTGCTTACCAGATCATTACCATTGTAAGTTATGCTGCATTTTATTTTAAAATACCAGAAACTTTTACTGAACTAAGAGGATTTTTCTAGTTAGAAGGGCTCACTAATGACTGACGGGGGGAATCCAAAAGGCTGCCATGGTTTCTAGTCCCAGACATTATGTTGGTAAACTAAACTATCACGTGCCTAATTGACAAGGTGCAAGTAAACACCAAAATTAGTTAGCACAGAAGCACAGGCCGATTTAATGTCTTGAGGTACTCTTAAAATTGATTATTTTGAAAAATAACCTGAAAGGAAAGTCACAACGATATTTTCCCTAGTAATAATGCTATTTATTAAGTGCATGCTCAATGCCAGTGTCATTGAGGGTTTTTGTGTATTATCTAATTTAGTTCTCATAACAACCCTGTGAAGTGAGTGCAATTAGCCTCCTTATTTTATGAACAGGGAGACTGCAGGCTTAGGTAAAATATCTGCCTTAAAGTTGCACTACTGAAAATGACTAACTCAGAATTTGAACTCAAGGCAGTGTAACTGGAAAGCCACTGTTCATAACTGCTATCCTTTATCACCTTACCCCACATGGTTTATAGCTTGTAGAAATGCTCTAAAACATGCAGCCTTCATTTTGGAGACTTGGTGAATCAGTAATGTTCCTCATTTTTAGATATGCAGCACAAGGCCTTTTGATTAGGTGCATATATATTTCAGTTTGCAATTACCAGATTAAAGGTCACTCTAGTTTTATGTTTCTTTATTAATCTTCTAAACATTTTAGCACTTTCAAATGTATGACACACTATGTTATTCTTCCCAAGCTCATATAAACATATCCAGTGTTGCTGATTAAACATTACTGACACCTGTCAAAAGGTAATTATCATTTAACAGAGCTGTCCAAATGTTTCCTAATTTACTAAGTGCAGAATTTCCCCAGCCAAAAGTAAACATTTCCTTTACCCCTTAGGCCAAAGGGATCTGAAGCCTCTAATAACACTTTCATCAAAAATTTCTATGGGCTTCATAAGGAAAGGAAAATATCCTATTAATTGTGGCACATTGCATTACCTTTCAGGAGAGAAATGATAAATGTTTGTTGTGTTGGTAAATGAATGAATGAATGAGTCTGTTGGAAATTTTTAATTCAATAAGTGTTTTTAGGATGGATGAATTGAGAATTTATTAATCTACTTATAAATTTTAGCCTATCAAATAATAGTTTAACCCATTTAGAATGAATTTTAGAACGAGATAATTTAGAAGCAATCTTTGATATTATATGTTGTATTTGAATATAAAAATGCAAATATGTATTGTGTATATATGTATGTATATACATATTTTTAAGAAAAACAGTATCGAGTTTAATTTACCCTAATTTACTATGCATTTTCATGATATTACATTTATAGTTCATGGATATGTCCTCATGACTAACACTTCTAAATGGTTTACTATAAACTAGATCACTTTTACAAAAGAGCTGCATAAAAGATTCATAAAATAATAAGCAGCAGTCACACGTTAGGTTTGGGACCTTGTATAGACTAAAGATAAGTTAAAAATATAAGAAGGAAGAAATTAACTGCAGAAGAGCAGGACACTGACTATATTGTAGTGGCAGACCCTTCAATTCTACAAGACCCTCCCCAGATAAAGTTACAAAAGTCAGAGACCCTATAATTCTGGGCTCCATTGACCTGGCAAAGTGCTCACTGCATGGAGACCGCTCAACTACTATACTTTCTGTGTTTCTCCCAAAGGCAGTGGGAGCCACATGCAACCACATGTAATCTGCTCTCTCATCTCTCTTTTATATGCTTGTTAGTTGGCTCCGAAGTAAAACAAAGTGGGAGCAACCATAACCAAGTCCAAGTGGTCATTCATTCTTGCCAGTCTACTAATCTGGACAAGACTTTGTCTTCTGACGTAGAGGATGGCCAGCCCAAGCCTGGATGTGTTTTCAGTGAGCTAATTGAAAGGTTAAACTGATAGCTAGTTATTCTAAATGCTCAATTTAGAGAGCCATGCTTCAGATATTCCAACTGAAGTGGTATTCCATTTTTTACAGTATTTGAAAGACAATTTATTATGCCTAAATGTAAAGCACGTTTTTTCATAACCTGATATTCACTTGTTAATTTGTTGAGCCATTCTGTGGACATAATGCGATCACCAAAAAAGTAATTTCTATTTTGTGTAAGAATCCCATGTTACAATAAATCAACCATGTGACCCAGTATGTTCAAATTCTATAATGCTCATTCTTTGAATATTTACTATTAATGTTAAGATACATATGTATTTAAGAGTCAAAGTCCCCTATGTTTCTTTACCCTGGAAAACACCAGTAATCCATATCAAAATGAGAATATCACTGAAAACAGGTAAGATTGAAGAATCATTTTCTTTGGCATTGTCATTCCAAGACTATTTTCTCTCTATGTGAACCTGAAGGACCTAGTATCCTTTGCATACCTGCTTCTGTAGTTTTTCTGTGTTTATTGGTTTTTTTTTTTTGTTTTTTTTTTTGTTTTTTTTTTTTTTTTTGGAGACAGAGTCTTGCTCTGTCACCCAGGCTGGAGTGCAGTGGCGTGATCTCGGCTCACTGCAGTCTCCGCCTCCCGGGTTCAAGTGATTCTCCTGCCTCAGCCTCCTGAGTAGCTGGGATTACAGGCATGTGCCACCGCTCCTGGCTAATTTTTGTATTTTTAGTAGAGACAGGGTTTCACCATGTTGGTCAGGCTGGTCTCGAACTCCTGACCTCATGATCCACCCGCCTCAGCCTCCCAAAGTGCTGGGATTACAGGCGTGAGCCACCACGCCCGGCCTCTATGTTTATTCTTAAAATTTGAACTTAAGCTAATGAACCAAGTTTTCTTAATTACATTAATAAACTTATTAAAAATCAAACTCACTAACAATCAAAGGAATGCAAATTAAAGTAGCAATAGGATATTATCATTTGCCTATCAGAGCAGAAGCACTTATTTTTAAATGGTAATGTTTAATGCTGATGAGATTACCTTTTGATAATCACTCCCATGTGTAACTTGTAGCAGTACATTTAACCCCTTGGAAAGTCATTAAAATGTTTCTGCCTTTTGATCCAATAATCTGATTTCTAGAACTCTATAAGAAGGAAGATAAATATATATTTTCAGACAAAGATTTGTTAATAAGAAAATTCTTTATACTGTTATATCAGACAAAACTTTTAAGCTAGCTAAATGTTCACAACATGAAAATAAATAAATTATGGTACATCCAAATGATGGCATATATTTCATGCAATAAAAGGTGTGTTTAAAATATAATGAAATGGGCTGGGCGTGGTATCTCACGCCTGTAATCCCAGCACTTTGGGAGGCCGAGGTGGGTGGATCACGAGGTCAGGAGTTCGAGACCAGCCTGGCCATTATGGTGAAACCCCATCTCTACTGTAAATACAAAAATTAGCCGGGTGTGGTGGCGCGTGCCTGTAGTCCCAGCTATTCGGGAGGCTGAGGCAGGAGAATCGCTTGAACCTGGAAGGCAGAGGTTGCAGTGAGCCGAGATCACACCACTGCACTCTAGCTGGGACAACAGAGTGAGACGCTGTCTCAAAAAAAAAAAAAACAAAACACACACACACATAATGAAATGGTTATGATGATATAACATTTTATAAAAATATAGACTATGAAAAGTATAACTCCAATTTATTTTTGAAAGTATACACACACACACACACACAAACTTAAACAGGTGCTTCCATATTCAAATGCATGAAGAAACAGTATGGCATATATTACCAATTTCTACACAACTGATTACATGACCAGCAACATCTTTACATAAATCAGACAATAATAGGAAATGTGCTTTCACTACATACAGAGCTTTACTCCAGGAACTGTCAAATACAGAGCTCTACTCCGGGAACTGTCAAAAGACACAACAGAGACAGTTAACAAAGTCCTTAATCTTCAGGGACCTGTAACTAAATGAAATACACCACAGTACCCCAAACAACAAACAACCAAATACAGAACATGTATTAGGTAACTATATAAGTAGATAATTATGCAACTGTGCACACACACACACACACACACACACACACACACACACAATTATAGGTATTTGGAATGTTCTCCCACTTTCACAGAGACTTTTCTGACCTCTGTACTCAGTACCCAGCGCTTGTAGACCTGGATATGGTCTTTCCAATCTTTGAGCATTTATGCAATTAACATAACTTGAAGATACTTTGATATTGAATGACAGGGGACTCCGGACATGTAAACTACGTAAGGGAGTGTTTAGTGAGGAAACTTCCACACTATTTTTCCTCAACTATGCTCCGACAGAAATGGACATGTTGTAGAGGAAAAACCGTGACCTTAGAATTCAAAGACTCCCTACCCACTCCGAGTTCTGCCACTGGCTGAACTTACTTAAATTACTTTACCTTACTAAACGTTTTCTCTAAAGTATGAAAGACAGAGCTGATGACATAGGGTTTTCTGAGCAGTAAAGCAGAGAACACGAGTGACTGAGCTAGGCGGAGTGCCGACCCATGGCAGGCACTCAATACGTTTACTTGAAATTAGATGCAGAGCCTAGATGTGGACTAACGAGGAGTGGACAGGCCGAGAACTCCACTATGGTTGCTTCTGTGTATCTGACACACTGTTTGGCAAACATGTCATAAGAATTTACTTTCATGGGCCCCTGCCTTGAGGTCGTCCGGGTCTATGAAATGGGAACTTATATAACTTCAGTGTCTGTTTTTTAAACATCTGAGGAACTACAGTGGCAAATCTGAATTCAATCATAAGAGACTTGAGAATAAGATTTAGAAAAACTTTCTAAATAACTTCTGTAGTTGTACACCTTGAGTTTGGTGTTATCTAGCTTCGTTTTGTCTTTGAAAAAAAACCTTACTTTTAAAGTCTTATTGGTTTTGGTCTCCACTTATGTGTGTTGCTTCTCTGTGTGTACACAGGCTAAGGTTTTTTTTGTTCTGCTTTGTGTTTGTTTTGGTTTTTACGGTCAAGTAATGATCTATTAATATAGAACAAAGTATATCACAGTAACTTGTCAGTGACTATTGGAGAGAAAAAGAAGAAGAGACAAACTCTCTAATTTTTCTAAGTATCAGGCATATAGTTGACTTTCTTGCAACTAAAAATATACAGCCCCACTGTTTATTAGAGTTTGGGAAAAATAGAGTTTATAATAGAGTTTTATAATAACACAATCATAAAATGAATAACCATATATTTAATATGAAAATGACACCCAATAACACTTATCAATATATCAATTATGAATGATCATTATGAAGCATCATAGTCTACCAATAAACAATTTTCTTTTTAAAAAACTTCTTATATTGTTGTTGTTTTGTTTTTTGAGACAGAGTCTTGCTCTGTTGCCCAGGCTGGAGTGCAATGGCACGATCTCGGCTCACTGCAACCTCTGCTTCCTGGGTTCAAGCAATTGTCCTGCCTCAGCCTCCCAAGTAGCTGGAATTACAGGCACCCACCACCACGCCCAGCTAATTTTTTGTGTTTTCAGTAGAGACGTGGTTTCGCCTTGTTGGCCAGGCTGGTCTCAAACTCCTGACCTCAGGTGATCCACCCGCCTCGGCCTCCCAAAGTGCTAGGATTACAGGCATGAGCCACCACACCTGGCCAAAACCTATTATATTGTTATAGCATTCTTGCAAAGGAGTACATTGTCAATCCCCTGAGACCAAATAACCTAGTTTCTCAATTACAACGTGACATATTTTTATCCTGATGTCTAAATATCTCATTGTCACTAATTACCAAGTACATTTCATAGCACTGAGTAGATATATTACAGTGTGACATAGGACTAGGACAGTGATTCTCAACAAATAATTTTTTGCCCTCAGGGGACATATGGCAATGTCTGGAGACAGTTCTGGTTGTCACATCCAACAGGAAGCATGGTGCTGTGGTATCTAGTAGGTAGAGGCCAGAGATGCTGCTAAACATCCTACAATGCACAGGACAGCCAGTATCACAAAGAATTATCTAGCCCAAGTTGTCAATAGTTCTAAGCTTGAAAAACACTGGCTTAGCACAAGAATGAATTTCGGGGTAATCTGTAACATATCCATTTATTCAGTCCATATGGAGTTAACAGCAATGCAAAGTGCCACAAATAGTTTAGACATTTTGCAGATGAACATTTGCAGTTAGAGAATAAGATAGTAAGAAGGTTTTCTCCTTAACTCTGAATTGGTTAATCACTTTCTTCACTTTATCTTCCTTGTGTTCTACTGTCTCCTCTGTGTTTTATTTTCTCTTTTCCTCCCCCTATTTCTCCCTTCCACCAACTCCCCCATTTCAATTTCCTTTTGTTTCCCTACCACCCACCCTATACCTTTTGTCTTCTATTCTTCTATCTTTTTTAATTTTTAATTTCTTAATTTTAAAGGGTTTATTGTAATCCTCTAAGATCCAAGTATTTAAACATTCTTTCCAATCAATGCATAAACTATGTAGAAATGCAAAGCCAAGTTGTATTTGTAGAGATATACCTACAATTACAACTCCCTCTTCTCACAGAGAGAAGAGACTGCAGACTTCTTTCATCAGCACTCAGAATAGAGACCCAATAGCTATTACAATATTTTGGCTATTCTCTTCTTTTGTTAGTATTTTGAAAAAGCTTTGGATTTATAAGTAACTTATGTCCTTTTAACAAACAGAATCTTATGTTTTCTTTTAGACCACATGTTCACAAGGAAAAAACAACTTGTTTATGAGACTGTACAAATGTTTGTGGGTGGCAAATCCTTTGACATGAAATCCTCTGGGAATTGATAAAATATTAAAGCAACCCATTTTCTCTAACTCATCCCATTCTGCTGGACTGAGGGGAGGGGACCACACAGAGCAACTGTCAGACCTCATTGGAAAGGTTAAGATACATAGGATCATTCTCACAGCCAACTTCTCTTCACCTCCCAGTGAGGTTGTAATAAGGTTTTTCTGTGACACCTGTCAATTCCTACCCATTAACAATGACATTGAATGCAAATATTTTGACCACAGAATTGGAAGGAGGCTAGATCTATGCAGACGCACTCTACTGGAAAGCCCAGGAAAGCATTAAGAAGAATTTACAAAATAGAAATACATCTTTCTTTCATTCACTCACTTTTCATATATGCCAGATGTAAGTGAAGTATTTGGATAACATGTCTTGGTTTTTTTTCTCCCTTTTTCTTTCTTTCTACACATTTTTGGAGGCTGTTTAAACAAGCCACGTAGCAGAAGAAAGACATTTGGAGCCACTTGGAATTGCTTACCATACGTAGATATAAACTGAATTTAATGATCTGCATGATTAGAAGGGAATGACAGACTCACCAGGAAGCTAGTGGAAATGTCTCAGGCTGGTAAATATTTTAAGGCCGACAGATTTCTTTAAGTTACCTGCTATGACAGGTGCATTTTCTTTCCACTGTAATATGGCTCTGACTTGCATAAAATATATCCACAAGTCATTTCCTGTTTTTCTGATGCGGTTAGCCCTGATCAATAAATAAGCTTTTGTTGGGTTGTTGTTTAGTATTTATTGATCATAGCTACTACACTGAGAATGACTGTTGAAATACAAATCAAGATGCATGCTCTGACGGACTATTAGTGTCTTGCACTAATTTGTAGGTACTGGTCATTTTATTTGTCTAGATGCTCTGCAGTTCAGTGCACAGGGCCAAATTTGAAAGTCTGTTCATGAAAACAACCATCAAAAAGAACAGTAAGAACTGGAGCATTACATATTGCATTGTTCTCACAGTGCCACTCAAAACTCCCAACTGTTATTAATTTCAGAGTAATCGCTGAATGATAAGAGTTCTATCCATCTGTTCAGAGAATTGAGGAAAACTATTAAAAGATTTACCACATATGCAGTCTCTTCCATTTGATATAACATATCCTAAAAACATCCAGCATTTTAAAATGTATATCAAAATGTCAATGTGAATGTTAGAAAGATTATTTGCTAAAGCCATTTGTTAACTGCCAAGGTCTATTTTACTGCCCATATCACAAATCTCAAGCAGGTTTGAAAGAGATTCGAGAAAATATATTACAAGTGTTTATTTTTTATCTTTGCTGTGTAACCTCCACCGTATTCTAGAGAGTGCCTCAAGACAGTGATTCAAGAGTTCAAATAAGTTTTGGCAAACACAAACTTTATGCACCTGAGAGAATCTTGAATTACAAATACTTATGGAAGGTATTGCATTGCACACAATGTTTTAGATTGGAGCTTCCAAGCTGGTATGCTGAGAGATTGAACTCTCATTTCTTGTGTGTGTATTGGCAAGGAAAAGGTTGAGAGTGTGCTTTCAACAATCAACTTTAGTAATCATAAGAAAAGCATTTTGTACTCTGCAAGGGCCACTGAAATTCTAAGAACTCACTAACAAAGAGAAGACAGCTATTATGATGGCATCTATAACACTTGTTCATTGGCAGGCACTTTCAAATAGGTAGTCAATTCCAACAACACTACTCTGCCCATAAAGCTTCTAGGAACTGTCATACCTTTCTGTTAGCGCATCTTGACAAACTCTTAGAGATGCACACTTTATTGGTAAAGCCCGAATTATTGACTGGATTGCTATATTTTGGATGCATCATTGTCCTCTGGAGTTGTTTCCTGACACCACCAAAATGCTACTTTTCTGGAATCAAAGATGTGATCCATGCTGAAGTTTCAGGCATGGACTTTATTGATTCAGGTATTTCACTTAATGAAACTTGATTTCTGCTCTGCAGATGTTATTGTATCTGACAGGCAGCATGAATTAATGTGTAAAGTGTCACTCTATGGTCATTGACAGAATACACCAAGAGGGGTTCCTTTTGGAGTGATGAACATATTTTGTAAGTCAATAGAGGTGGTAGTGTACAACATTGTGAATGTACTAAGTGCTACTGAACTGTTCCCTTTAAAGGACTTAATTTTATGTCATGTGAATTTCACTGCAATTAAAAAATATTTTAAACATTTGAAATCAGAGAAATGTAATATTAGAGAGGGCTTGGAGCCCACCTAGTCCAGCACATAGTTGAGGAAGAACACCCCTCAGAATTACTAAAGTTATATGCAAAATTTCTCTTAATTGGTACATAAGCATAAGAAAGTTTATTGGTCATATGTAATGAATGAATGACTCTAAATAAGCCCTACTAAGAATTTTTAGTATTTTTTAATACTCAGAGTTCTTTAATACTGTTAAATTTAAGGGTGAAAAAGAGAATGATGGACCATTTTTTGGATCCAGCACAGCAAAGAATGTTTTTAAAATATTTTGGGCAGTGACTCCTCCTAGAAAATATGGCGACATCCTCTCTTCCCTGGCAAAATCTAATTGGTTTTTTCACAGGAACTTTCTCAAAGCCAGGGGTTCATCTCCTGTTTCTATTTAAAGTTAAAGGCTGCCGGATGGGTGCAATACTACATTTAATAAGGCACACTGTGATTCCTCTGAAAGTTATATCTGTCTGTAAAGCTTCAGGAACCAAAGAGGAAGATGAAGACATAAAGCATATTAAAAAATCAAAACGATTTTGGCTCAAAGTTTGGTGTTATTTCCTCACAGTATTTCCAGATTATTTCTGAGTGGCTGACCCCCTTTCCCTCTCAGGCAGGGAATGGACCATGGTCAGTGTCTTCCAGCCTGGGCTCCTGGGCTTGTGGTTGGAGGTGGGGGGTGTTGGCTGCCTCTTTTTTTGTTTGTTTGTTTTTGTTTTTGAGACAGGGTCTCACTCTGTTGCCCAGGCTGGAATGCAGTGGCGCAATCTCAGCTCACTGCAACCTCTGCCTCCTGAATTCAAGCAATCCTCCCACCTCAGCCTCCTGAGTAGCTGGGACTACAGGTGTGTGCCCCTACGCCCAGTGAATTTTTGTACTTTTTAATAGAAACGGGGTTTCACCATGTTGGTCAGGCTCGTCTCGAACTCCTGAGCTCAAGCGATCTGCCCGCCTCGCCCTCCCAAAGTGCTAGGATTACAGGTGTGAGCACTACACCCTGCCAGCTGCCTCTTATTTATGGTTGTGATGGGGGAAGCCAGAGATAAGAGACCAGAAATTGTAATCCTGACAGAGAGCTGACAGCTAAAACTACAATAGTAAGTCTCACACTGTGTCCAGGATGCAGGGACCTGGGTGGAGTACACTAACGGAGATTCCATGCTTAAGGAAGAAGCTGAGAAGGTGAGCAGCACCCACAGAGCAGGTGAATGAAAGTGGCCTGGGAATCCTGAAGAGGAACGGCGATGCCCCTGGTGACTTTATTGAACATCCCTGCATGGGTCTGGGTGGGTGTGCAGGGTTGAGGGTTGTCGAAAAGGACCCCAGTGGTACAGATGTGGGGAACTCTTAAGGCCCAGCAAAGGGGCCAGGAGTCAAGACCTGGCATCATCTAATACACCTCAAGAAATGTCAGCATCTGTCTGATAAGATGGGGCACAACTCTTGATACTCTGGGTAAATATTTCACATTTTCACAATAGAAATCTCACCTTACAAATATTATTTTCAAACAAAATCACCTTCAGACTTTTAAATGCAACAATATCACAGAAGGATTTGCTCATCCAAGTGAATGTGGCATATTTATCTCAGCTATTCCATAAATAAAATAGGTAATTATACACCCTTCCCAGCTCCTGGGGGGGAAAGTTATTTTAACAGGGTGTGCATGTTAAGATTCTTGGTAGAAAAGTATGCAAGCATTTTTCTAAACATGATTTCTAAAAACCTTAAATTGTTTACAAAACCTTCCTAAATATGTACAGTTATATTCTCTACCAAAGTCCCCTTGAAAGCCATGTTTATAAGGTCATGAAATTATTTTAGTATGAAGAGTAAAAAGAGAATAATAAGAATATATTAAAGAAATAAACATTTTAGATAAAATACTAGACACAGCATCTGACTGCATGATTTATTGGATCACTAGGGAGCTCTCACAAATGTATGGGCACAGAATCTGGTGAGATGTTTAATTTATGGTGAATCGGCAGAGAACAAGAAAATAGGCTATCTGCTGTGAATTCTGAATTCATGGGGGAATAAGGTGGATAATTTTAAACCCACCACTTCTGCCTCCTGTGATGCCCCCAATCTCATGGCAAACAAGTGAAGTCTGAAAGAAAAACAAAAGTGATTAGAAAGAATAAAGAGGTATTTAAAAAAAAAAAGTAATGCCTCTTTCAATAAGGCTAATCATTGAGCTCAAAAAGAGTACACGGAGGGAAAAAATGTCAAATGTTTGTGGCCCACATGAGGACATTTTTCTGTTTATCTTCGTGTTAACTACAACTGGTAGTGGTGAGTGAGGAGATGGTAAAAGCTGAGAGTCCATGCAATTATTATTTCCTTGAGCCAAGTGAGCTGCAAAATCCATTATGTTCCCTTCCCACCTCCACCTAACGCCTGACTCTGAGTCACTATGTGATGCTCCCACCAGTAGAGTGGGAGTTATTTTTCTGGAATCTGAAGAAAAAAAGGAATAGACATTTTCCACACAATTTTTTACCCTGAAGCAAGTTGGGAATTTATTTTCTTATCTACAACAGAGCTGACAGCTTTAAGAGCAAATAGGAAAGAAGGGTGAGATGACTATTAAGCACAGGCTGGAAGAGGAGGAGGAAACTCTGGGATCCTGTCCATATGGCTCCCCAGTGACTCGGCAGGGGGCAGGGGGAAATAGAGGTCAAAGAGACAGTGTGCCCCTCTAGCTAATCTCGGTTTCAAATGCCAAGTCCTGCAGTCAGGTGAAATGGAATTCAGCAAAGTTGCTGTGGTCATTAACTTACTCTGTCTTGAGGAGAACACCCATCTCATTAGATTTGAAAGCCATTTTTCCAGGCTAGTAACCTCTGGGGGAATCCAGGGCTGATGACTGTGTAAAACAGAAATAAGCATGACCATCTGCAGTGACCACAGTGGCAAGGTCTGGGGAGGAGCCAGCAGTGGTGGTTGTAAAACGCTATGAAGTAGATGGCTTTGAGGAATTTGAATCTGGGAATGCCAGAAGAATTCCAAGCCACCTTATCTAGACTTTTATTTTTTTCAAACTCCAAACCATTGCCCCCTGACTCTGTCCCCTGCCCTTCGCTGTCCCCAGGGTACTGATTTCTAGCAGGTCAGCTAAAACACACAAAGGGCCTGAAGCTGAATCATCAGAATACCCAGCCACCCCCATCACTGCATCTGCAGATTGCTGGCTTCCGATTACCAGGAGATGTGCACCCCTGCAGAGTCCTGTGACCATGCTTGGCTGCTGAAGATGCTGTCCACAGACCATTGTTTTTGTAGAGATTTGCAGCCATGTCATTTTTTTCATGACAGTGTAAATGTTCATCGAGGTAGTAAAAGAATAGAGATCCCCAGGTGCTCCCATTTATTAATGGCAGCACTGCTAATCATTGTTATTTTTCAAGAGTATACTGGCACTGCAAGAGCTAAATAAAATGATCATGCCCCTTAAGCTAAGTATTCCCACCTTGGGGAATTGTCTAAAGAAAATAGCATTTAAGCCTACTTGTACAAAGATGTTTATAGCCACTCTATTTGTAATAGCACATAACTGGAAACAACCCAAATGCTCAACAATTAGGGGGTTATTAAGCAAACTTTAGAACTTTAATATGGTAATAAAGTCTGTGGCAATGAAAATGATGAATATCTGGACTACGTAAATACTTAGAAAGCCTATGTAAAACAATGCTGTATTAAAAAGGAGACCACCCAATATTCCAAGTATAATATAAAATGTTATTATGACATGAATATCATAGCTTAACAATGATAAGAATAGAAAAGACCCCAGTCTCATACAATTAGTTCTCAGAGCGAATGAGGACTTTGAATTTTTAAGGTAATTTAAGGTGGTCTTTTTTCACATAAAATATAAAGCTATTTTAAAATGTAATATTTCAAGATAGTATCATTACTTTGGCATGGAAAGCATTGAAAGTGTCCATATAGTCTAGCCACTCATCTGCCGTGTACATCTGACCTATACCACAGGATCAACACAAATTGGTGACCCTGGAGAAGTCAGTAGGTTAAAACGATATATAACTGGCCTTACCTAAAAGTAAGACCTAACATTGCCTTCGGTAATAATATTCACCATTTGAATCAAGATATAAATCAAGGCCAAGAATTTTATAGACAAATAAGCAAGGGGAGACTCAGAGTCGAAAGACTGGATCTGAGTTAGAAGCACAGGACAGGTGAGGGATCTGTGGGAAGATGGTTGGGATCGTAGAGGTACAGATCAGGGAGGGAACAGCCAGACCCAAAGACTGGAATAGAGAATCGACCGAGAAGCAGACCTCATCCAGGCTTTTATGCACTGGCCTATCCCAGGAGCAGCTTTATTCTCCTTAGTATTTGTTTGCAGATTTCAGACAATAGTGCCACAGCTACTCCTTGGAAAAGACCCATCTTAAGTTTTCTAGAAAGGATCCACATACCGTTCTAATCAGGTTGTGTTGCAGGTAAGAGGCCATGTGAATTCTGAGATTCAAATGAACAGTATAATTTTCAGTGATGGACACCGTGGTGTATGGTCTATGTCATGTTATTAGCAATATTTTATTTCCTACTCCTGGAATAAATCACATAGCTAATTGGAACAAAATGCATAAAACCTTTAAATGTCATGCTTCACTGAGCATTTAGCAGGAGTGCTTGGATCTAGAATTATTCGTGCAGGGATTTCCTTATGAATGCAGTGGTTAGTCAGACTCCAGATTCCCTCTGTGTGGCTTCTCCTCTGGGAAGCGGCATGCATTTTTACTCTGCTCTTTGTTCGTGAAGTCCTATGAGAGAAGTGAAGTCAAAGCCCTCTGTTGGAGGTTGACAAAGCTCTGTTCACCCTTGGGATTTTTCTACTACTGCTTTTCCGATTTCATAGTAGTAAACTCTTAACAACTGTTCAAATCAGCAACAACCATTGATTCATGGGTGCTACGTTGAAAGCAATTTTCCCTGCTCATTTCCAGTTGTTCCCACTAGTCAGATTTTCTGAGTCACTATAGCTATTAAATCAACACAGATGCAAATGGCAGGTCTGCCTCCTACCCTGAATTTGGATCGGCTTTGAAATTACAAAAGATCTGTTGACCCTAGACCATTCCTGTTAGTGTGAAGTAGTATAAAAAAGACAATTTTTAGAAAATCTGGGTTTTAGTTCCAACCTTGGGTAAGTTTTTCACAACAGGGAATCTCAGAAACCTCGCCTGTTACACAGGAATAATAGCATCACTTGTCTTACAGAACTGTGATGAAGGTCAAATGAAATAAATATGGGGAAGTGGTAATTAAACTATATAGCATCATTTGATTCTCTTTCAGAGAGTGGTGCTTTGGTAGCTACTGTGTTCATTTTCTATGTTGGCTGCAGTCATACTACCCTTATTCCGAGCTTACTTAATAATGTGACCTCAGGTTACTGACAGAAAATTCTACTTCTACTTTTGGTCTTCTTTCTATGCTATAATAATGATTTTAGTAAGTTAAATGGTAACTTGACATAGTTACGAGACAGGCTGTAATCAATATAACCCACTGTATCTTTATTCCTTTGTCTCATGTTAGCAGAGTGGCATTTAGGCACATGGAATATTTGTAACTGAAACATCAAGGATGTACTGTTTGGTAACTTCCCTTTTGATTGCATAGAAGTATCTACTAGTATTTCTTTTCAAAACCTACTTTCTTAGCAATGTTAATTCTCACGTGCAACCCAGAAAGTACTGAAGTAAGCAGGAATGGTTCTTACCCCTGGCTGCAATTAGAAATATCTGACGAGCTTGGCACACTCCATGCGTGAGTCCATTCCCAGACACGGAGATTCTGATTTAATTGGCTTGGAGGAGGTCTCAGGAGTGGTGTGTTTTTGTTTGTTTGTTTGTTGGTTTGGTTTGGTTTTTTAACCTCGTCATGTGATTCAAATATACAGTTAAGACTGAGGCCCACTACTTTGCATTTTGATTAACTAGAAGTAGGAAATCCCTGGGATCTGATTATGGCCTGGTCCGTCTGTATTTTGACCAGCTAGAAGGCCATCAGTAGCCAGGATGCCTAAATTCAGCTGTGGACAGGCAAGTGTGAAATATCAGGAAAAACACAGACTTTGGAGCCAGCATGGGGTGAAATCTGGATTTGCTCCATCCTAACAGTGTTGCTATGGACAAGTGACCTGACCTCAATGTGTCTTATCTGTCACATGGAGATAAGAGCACCTATCTTGTAGGGCTGCTGTGAGGTTTATATCAGGAAGTTTATGTACTAGCAGGTACTAAAACATGATAGCTCCTTAGATAAGTAATGCAGCAAACCAGATCCCTGTTTCCTCATCAGAAATGAACAAACTGAATAAGTAGGTCAGAAAAAAATGACCTCGATGCTAATGCAAGGGAGTAGGATGTACCAGCCAAATTGAATAAAAACTTTCTGGTTCTATGTATTTGATTCTATTTGTCTTGAAATAATGACAGCATAAATGGTACTTCTCTTTTTGTCTTAAGTCTCTGCTGAAGCCTCAAAGCTGACATATTAAGACTCACCATCACATTTTCAAGAGAGGTGCTTCCCCATCCATTCTGGACATGCCATGGTAGAGCAGACTTAGTTCTATGACCCCTATCCCAGCACCATTCCAGGACAGGGCATGCTGCCCAGTGCTGCCAAACCAGAGCCATCTTTAAAGGATCTTTCCCAAGACGACTCCCTTGAGGGTGGAGCAGCCTTAACCCAAAGGTCAGGAGCAGAGAGGAGGTCAGCTGGAGAGTCTGTCACCTGTCAGAGATGAGTACTGTTCAGGGGATCCTGGGGATGCAGAATCGAGTGGGTGGTGGTAGGCAGAGAGGAGACCTTGAACGTGCCCCAAGAGCCAAAGAGCCAGCATTTGGGCAACTTCCAAAAATGTTGATACCAGATTACGGTAGCCCCATTCAGGTTGGACCTTGCTGTCTTACTTGAATGCCTAGACTTTTTCCTGGCCCTGGTGGAGCCAGAAGTGGCACAGAGAGTAGGGTATACTGGAGAGGAGAAGAGAAAAGTGGAATCGTGGTGCAAAAGGAGATGCCCCATCCCTTTCTGACCCCTGACCAGGTCTGAGCTGGGAAATAGAGTTTCTTTAAATTAGATGAGAGATTGGAGTTTTAATTTAGATCAGTAGTCCCCAACCTTTTTGGCACCAGGGACCAGTTTCATGGAAGACAATTTTTCCACAGTCCGGAAGTGGGTGGGGGCGGGGGGGTGTTTTCGAGATGATTCAAGCACATTACACTTATTGTGCACCTTATTTATATTATTATTACATTGTAATATATAAGGGAATCATTCTACAACTTGCCATAATGTAGAATCAGTGGGACCCCTGAGCTTGTTTTTCTGCAACTAGACGGTCCCATCTGGGGGTGATGGGAGACAGTGACAGATTGTCAGGCATTAGAGTCTCATAAGGCGCATGCAACCTAGATCCCTTACATGCACAGTTCACAATAGGGTTCATGTTCCTATGAGAATCTAATGTCACTTCTGATCTGACAGGAGGAGGAGCTCAGGTGGTAATGCGAGCGATGAGGAGCAGCTGTAAATACTGTTGAAGCTTCACTCCTTGCCCACCACTCACCTCCTGCTGTGTGGCCAGGCCACAGACCGGTACCAGTCTGTGGCCCAGGGGTTGGGGACCCCTAATTTAGATGATACTTGGCTTTCCCATAACTTGAAAATGAGACCCTTCTAATGTCCCAAAGTGACCAGAAAATTTATGGGATGAACCTAAGATAATGACCAAGGGAGAGGAAGGGAGAACCAATAGAACAGTTTCAAAGCAAAATAGTGTCAGAAGAATTAATCATATTCCGTGACTGTCTTCTACCCAGCCTAGTCCATTCCATATTCCTGTGTATATTTTCTCCCAGGCAGAGGGTCAGTGGTCCCTTGGCACTTCCAGAGATGACTTGAAATGGCATCAGGACTCTTCTGACACATATCATTCTAGTCCTGTAACAGCTCCCTCGATTTCTTTCAAGCTAAAGACTTCCCTGACATTTTTTAAATTGGTGCGAGCCATTAACTCGCATGTCACATAACTTATTTAATTCTTACTTAATTTGAGGCATCGGAAGACAGGTCACTACATCACTTCTAGTTTTTTTCTGCAGCCTAAGCAGAAAGATATCACCATGTCTTTGTGGCTTTGTCGTATAGCCCTTTTCTCCTGATGACAGTCCTGAGCTCATTATTTATACAAGTATGTAGAGAAAGTTAGAAGCATAGGTTTCAGAGTCAGACTGATGTGAGTTTTAACCCTGACTCTGTCACTAATTATGTCATACTAGTATGTTCCTTAACCTCTCTAACCTTGGCTTTCTCACCAACAACACGAGCATGATATCTGCTTTATAGGATTGTCTTAAGGATTAAATGATAAGAGCATAAATAAAGCCTTTGGCACACTCTATGGTTCATAAATTCTAGAGAACGGTGGATTCCAATATAATAATGATGATGGTGATAGTTATAATAATAACAATTATTATTGAAAGGATGTTGCCACAGCAAACTGCTGTGTTCATTATTGAGGTAATAATAACACCAATACCAAATGCCAATGCCAATACCCAATACCAAAAAAAGGCACTTTCCTTTAGTACATACTGGGAAAGAGGAATGTTATTGTAGATCCCTCCAGAGTTTTCCATCCCTTTCCTCCTTTCCTCCCCTACAGCTTCTCCACCTTTCCTCCTCCCCCACAGCCCCCAGCTCCACCATGGATCAGCAGTCACTTATGCCCAGTGGTTACAGTCTGGAAATTATAGACACGGGCCCCTTGGAACAGTGTCTTCAAATCTGCAGAGAGAAGGGTGACCGTGCGGTAGGCCCACTCCTCTTGTCCTTATTCTTTTATTCTCTACACAACCACCACCCCGCAAAGACAGACAAGTGGTTCAAACTTCTCTGGGGGTTAGTAATAACTAAAGACAATTACAAGAGACAGGAGTTTTGTTTTGTTTTGTTTTGTTTAACCTAATTGTTTATTTCATCAGACTATCCCCTAGTCCGATAAATCTTTTCACTGCTGCACCTTGATGGCACGCTTAACTCCTAGTCTTGCTCTCTTCACTCAGGTTGTCTGCCTCTCCTTTTACATATCTACTACCATGTCAGCCCCGCTTTTGAGAAATATAATTCTACCCAGTGAGTCAGACTCACCTTTTTCTGAAGCTTTGTTTCCCCAAGCCTGGGTTGTTCACTCTAGAATTACCCTCCACTGGGACTCAAACTAGGAATTCAGGGTGGGCTTTGGTAATCTACATCTGCTGGCACAGAATGTCCAGGAGGGGCACTGTGAGTCTGGTTTCATCTGAGATGTCTCCACCTGGGTAAGCTGTGGCCACAGTTTCCTATTCTTCTGTGACTCTAACAGATAACTATTTGGACTGTCCGTCTCTACCATCATCCCCATCCTACTCTCGACACACAACCACACGCTTTCCATGCACAAACTAACATTCCCAGAGTCAAGGCTTGGAAAGCATGGAGGAAGTAAAGCATTTCTCTGAAAGGTGAAAGACCCATCCCTCCTATCTCTTCTTCAAAATGGAATTAGTGTCCACATTCTTGTGTAAATCCTGGTTAGCTCCTTCCATCCAAATCTTTTCCTCCTTTATCTAATTGTGCCATTCATTGTTTGAAAGCCTGGTTAGCTCCTTCCATCAAAACCTCTTCCTCCTTTTTCTGTCTAATTTGCCATTTATTGTTCTAACAGGATTTTTTTAATATCAATTTTGCACCTTTTAATGGCTGTTCCCTAAGCTACAAAAACACCAAGCCAAACTTTGAAATTATATTTTGTATTGACCTAATTAAGTCTTAAACAAGGCGCTTCCCTTTTTTCCTAGTTATATTATTACATTATTTTCTTCTAGTTGCCCTTTTATGTTGATACGGCAAAATTCAAGGCTCTACTTTAGATTTCTATTTGCTGGAACCCTGTCAGGAGATGAATACAAATTATTATTTATCCACCAAACACTTACACAGCGCTTCCTATGTGCCAGGCTGTGGTCTAAGTGTTTTATAAACATTAGCACATTTAATCCTCATGAAAACTCTATAGATAGGCATTATCATCACCCCCACTTACACATGAGGAAACTAAAGCACAGAGAGGTTAAGTAACCCAACTAAAGTCACACAGCTAGTGAGTGGTAGGATTCAGGCAGCTTTGACCAGTAGACTATCTTGCCTGGCTTTGTCATACAAACTACTTTCGCAGTTTTTATCACACTGAAAAAAAAATCCAGATGTAGGTAATTGTATCATTGTCTTTAGATATGGAAGGAAATTAGACTCCAAAATGGCTACCTGGTTTTTCCAAGTCACAATTGGTCAAATCTCAAATTCAGAAAAGTGCTTGTATAAATCCATGATCTAGCTATAGTAGACTGCCTTCTGCCTGCCTGGGTCTACTCAATGTAGTCTCTGAAGATAAACATGAAGGAATTTTTGCTATAGAATTTTATTTCCTCACTTGACTTTGCTATCAATACAGTCATTTGATCAGACCTTTAACTAATGCAGAGCACATGTGCCCAGAGGATCCTGTAATGAATCCATTTTGTAAAATATAGAGAAAACTATAAATTATTTCCACATAAAGTGAGCATAGATCAAGGCTGCTATATTCCTATGAGCATTGTGGTTTACCCTTAACCAAAATTGTATTTTCTCCTTGTAAACGAGGATGAAAATTACATTGTTTTGACCTTTAGATCACTAGATCTTGTATTTTATTTATATATTTCTCAAAAGAATTCACAAAGGTATGCAGTCATTTAACCTGCTCCTAGAAAAAAAAAAAAGATAAAAAAGCAAAAATACTGGGCATGTAATAGACATGCAGTAACTACTTCTTTATGGATTGAATTATTGAACAGTTCATACTTTGATCATTATTTAGTGCAATTTATGACTTTTAAGAGGCCATTTATCAATAATTCCTGAACGATTTTCCAAAACAAGTGCAAATCTAAAAAAAAAAAGAACAATATAACCTCTCTGACGGGATCCTGGTTATTGTGGTATTGATCGTACCTGATCATGATACAGGTATTATTAACTAAAGGTGAAGAAAGCAGAGATACTATATACATTTCTCACATTGAAACTTAAGCCCTCTTGAGCTAAAATTTCCCACCTTTGCCCTGTAGACATCTCTCCAAAATCAATCACAATGTACTTGTTAAGCACCTACTGTGAGCAGATCACTAGATTGCATATTACAGATTCCAAAATAAGTAAGTCATGGCCCCTGGCTCCAAGGCATTTGTAGTTTACTGAAAAAGACAGAATTACAAACAAATACCAAGGATATTTTGATACAAGTACTGGTAAAGTTACCTATAAGATACTGAAGTGGTACAAAGAGGGAGTAATCCATTGACCAGAATGGGTCAGCAGTAGCATACAGGGAACTTCTTTCTTTTTAATTAGGTCTTGAGGGATAAGTAGGAGCCAGTTGAACAATGTCCTAAAAGAGCATTTTAGGATACAAAACTTGGCAGGAACCAGATGGTAGAACACCTTGTAAATATCATGAAAATAGTTTGGACTTTGTTGACCATTTCTAACAGTAAGACACTGTTAAGGAATTTGAGTGGAAAAATAATGGGATTTAGTTTCCCTTCTGGAAAGGATATTATGGTTACAATTGGCTGGATAGACACAGAGCCCCAGCCTGCAGACAGGGAGGTCAGTTAGAAAATATTCTAAAAGCTCAAAAGAAAGACATTCAGGAACAAAAGCAAGATGGGGAACAGAATTTTTTTTTTTTTTTTAACTAAGGAGGTCAAATGGATAGGATTGGGGAGATGAAGAAGGAGGAAATAAAGGAAGATGACTACTCACTTATGTGGTTCTGGGAGAATAGTGCTATTCTCTGAGCTTAGGACAGAATTTATCAGTTAAGGTGCTTTCAGCAGCAAATAACAGGAATTTCAATGAAAATTATATAAACCGAAAAGGAGTTTATTATCTCAACCACAAGTGTGGAAGTCAAGTAAGCCCAGAATTAGTCAACTGAACAAGTCCACCAGGGCCCAGGCTCCCTTTCCCTCCATCTTTTCACTCTCCATGCTGCTCGCAGGCACAGGATAGTGCCCACAGTTCCAAGCATCAACACGTGGCAGCATAAAGGGAGCATCGTGCACCTAGTGCTTCTTTTTCAGATAAAGGAAGCCATTTCCAGAATCTCACAGCAGATCTCAAGTCACAGTGCCAGAATGGAGTCAAATGCTCCTGCCTCACCCAATTGCTGACAAAGGAAACAATGCCCCCAGAGTGGCTTAGATCACTGTGACTGCTGGGGCTGGGTTCGCCCCGTCCTGGATCACGGGGAGGGTACAGATAGGAACAAAATGCTGTTATTACTAAGGAAGGGTTAGAGAAGAATAACACCAGGTAGGAACTAGAATTAACCTGGTCTACTGCTGGGAAAATGATTAGTTCGGATTTTCTTCCACATTTCCAATTGTGTAGGCAAGGTGCATGGAGGAAAAGGAAAATTCTAAAAGTAAAGTGTTAAGTAAAATTTCCTCAATATAAATAACCCACATGATCAATATTTTGGAGACTCGGGAGATAAAGCAGACATCTTCAATCATTTTTATTTTTAGAAACAAAAAATTCAGCCCCCTAACCTAATGTTTGGCTTGCGTGGATGGCATCTAGTCCCAAATACTTAGCAAACATATGAATAATGGACATTCATTTGCCTTTTGCAAATGTTACAGGCCATAGACTGTGTCTCTCTATAAATTCCCTGAGCACATTTCCTCTTTCAAAGACTCTCCCTTCATGCCCTCCGCATAGGGAAGAGATGAAGCAATCAGACCTGACACTTTGCCACTCAGCTGATTCCCTTTTTTCTTCACAACCAGCCTATGTTTCAAATGAGATTTTCCAAAAAGGGGAAATTTAGGATTCTCCACCACCAGATATCTTAGTGGAAGAGCCACAGCAAACATATGATGCGCTTTTTGCTCTTCAAACCCCATATGCACCTTGGAATTCTCAGTCCTCTGAGCCGTTCTCACATTCTAGGACTCTGCTTCTAACTGCTTTGAAATATTTCTAGTATTTCTTGAAACACAAACGTGTTCTTCTGCGTTTAACACTAGTCTGATTCAATTATTTTTCAGCTTTATTATCACTGAATAAACTAAAACCTTACAGTGAGCCTAATGAATGTATGTTTTATTCAAATAAGTCTGGTTGAATTTGATGTTTTTAATAGAGAAACACACAGTCTGGAACATGTTGCTTTAGTTCAGGAAGTAAAAGAATAAAATTCTTTCTGTTGATTTACTGTTGCATAAAAAATTGTAGGAGAAGTGCCAGCTACTTTGTTGTACTTCGTATAACAATAACCAGAGCATTTAATAAACAAAAATTCCCTCATTTAGCAGGAAACCAATTTAAGTGATAGTTTAGAATCCTGACTCCTCCCTAGCCAACCTAACAGAACAGAAAACCAGAAAGCTTTGCTGCATACCCGTTATTTTCCTCAACCTTGAAATTTATACATAAGGCATTAGTAAAGCCCCTTTGATGTAATAGAAAGGTCAATTGCATTGTCACTGTTTTTCTAACATGCTATTTGTTGAGCAAATCCTTTTTATTTCTCCTCCAAAGAAGTTTAGTTTGGAATGCACTAATGTGATAAGCTGTTGACTTTCATCCTGGTCATTTAATTCCACAAAGTCAAAATGATCAAAGACAAAGCGATTTCTCACCTTGCTTTAAAAATCTTGCTGCCTCCATGGAAGAGGGAAGGTAAACAGTCACACAGAGCTCCAGTTACCAATATCAAGATAAAAAAGAAATAGCTTTCCTTTTCCCATCTTTGAAATTATATATGGATGTATGTAAAATACATTTCATAGCCTCAAGTCCTTTCTTTCTGATTGCAAACAATTGATTCTGAACAAGAACAAATAACATGGATGAGTAGAAGGAGAGGTAACCCGGTTACTAGGTAGTCTCAGTGAGTACCATGATAGCATGGTGCACTTTGGACAGGTGTCTACTACCAAACTCAGCTGCCCTTTGCTTTTTTATTATTTCAATTAAAGTTCTATTGGAAAACTATCATTTATACTTTCCCATGAACCTATGTAGAAGATATGTGGTTAAGAGAATTAAAGAGAGCCAAAACTCTAAGGCAAGACAGAAATAATTTCATATTATTTTCTCCAAAACAGAAATCTAAGGGGAAGAGTATTCTGTGACCACATAACACCAATGGTCCCTTTTGAAAATTTTAATTGGGAAAAGCCACAGAATAACTCACTTTTGCCTGTGGGTTGCTTCCTTTCTGCCCTGGTTAAAGTCATCATTGCTTTTTTGGCAGAATTGCCCTTGTATTTGCCTGAAGTCACTAAAATAATCAGTTATTTTATATCTGCCTTAAAAATAACTCCCTCCCCAAACCATTTTTTTTCTCTGTTCTTTGGTAATATTCAGGACATTTCCTCAAATCTTAGAATCAATCCAATGCTGTACTCTGAGGAGAATCCTGATGCCTTCACTCATTTCTGTGCTAAGATAGGTTGCCCCCACATCCTCTACCAACAGGAGTCCATGCTGGTTGGTTTTCTCATTTTTCACAGGAAACTGACTGTCCTACCACTGGTTGATTTAAATTCTAAAGCTTATAGATCCATCACCAATCAGCATTATAGAAAACTAGCTCTCCAAGGTTTCCTCCAGAAAATGAACTTTGAATGGTCAGCAATGCAGATATTTATAGCGCCAGATAAAAGAGTGATTTAAGAGAAAATGGAGGGTAATTGATTGATTCATGTATTCATATCCTGGGCAGTGCATTCATATCATAATCATCTGGTTTCTCCTGGAACTGCCTTCACTAAATTGTGCTTTAATGTTTGTTCATGGCTTTCAGTTGGTTTAATAACTGGTTGTGTAAAATACACTTCAACTTTTAGATAGTGCTCATTATATAATTTAATCTTCCCTCTTTATGCAAAAATCATTCCAGAACTTAATGTCAAAATAACTTAGTCTCCTGTGAGAAACACGTTTATTACTTTCAGATTTTTTTTTAAATATGTGACTAACTTGTCACATTTCTCACCTTTGTACTGGCTGCCAGGAAGCTCAATGCAAATCTAAACAAGGCCTGTGGCCATTCGTGACAATAATAATTTTTATGATTAACTTATTTGATTGTTTCATAAATTGGATCTGATTTTTCACTTTTTTATGTGCCTTATGATTATCTCTTCTGCCTTATATCCTTGAAATATTTTTTGGTAAGAGATGATGTGTCTGAAAATCCAAAAATTAAATTATTCTTATCTTGGCATAATAACATTTTCCCATTCTAAAACATATGAAAGTTTTATAGGCCAGGTATGGTGGCTCACACCTGTAATCCCAGCACTTTGGGAGGATGAGGTGGGAGATCACTTGAGGACAGGAGTTCGAGACCAGCCTGGCCAACATGGCAAAGCCCCATCTCTACTAAAAATACAAAAAAATTAGCCTGGTGTGGTGGTGCTTGCCTGTAATCCCAGCTATTCGGGAGGCTGAGAGGCACAAGAATTGCTTGAACCCAGGAGGCGGATGTTGCAGTGAGCTGTGATTGTGCCACTGCACTCCAGCCTGGGTGACAGAGTGACACACTGCCTCAAAAAATAATAATAATAAAATGAAACACATGAAGGTTTTATAAAGAAATTGTAATCAAATATTTTATCTTTTAAAAATATTGAAGAATAGAAATGAATATGATAGATTATAGTAGACATTAACAAGCAATTAGTAAAATTAAAGATTTTTCTCCAGTGAGGCTAGGTTGATGAGGGAGACTGCAGGAACATTTTCTTTTCTTTTTAAATCGAGCATTTTTTTCTTCAGCTTTTATTTTCAGTTTTAAGGTACATGTGCAGGACGTGCAGGTTTGTTACAGAGGTAAACGTGTGCCATGGTGGTTTGCTGCACAGATCAACCCATCACCTAGGTATTAAGCCCAGCATCCATTAGCTAATCTTTCTAATGCTCTTCCTCTTCCTATCCCCCAACAGGCCCCAGTGTGTGTTGTTCCCCACCTCCTGTCTCCATGTGTTCTCATCATTAGCTCCCACTTATAAGTGAGAATATGCGTTATTTGGTTTTCTGTTCCTGCATGAGTTTGCTGAAGATAACGACTTCCAGCTCCATCCATGTTTCTGCAAAGGACATGAACTCATTCGTTTTTATGGCTGCATAGTATTCCATGGTGTATATGTACCACATTTTCTTTATCCAGTCTATCATTGATGGACATTTTGGGTTGATTCCATGTCTTTGCTATTGTGAATAGTGCTAGAATGAATATACAAGTGCATGTATCTTTATAATAGAATGATTTATATTCCTTTGGGTATATACCCAGTAATGGGATTGCTGGATCAAATGGTATTTCTGCTTCTAGATCTTTGAGGAACTGCCACACTGTCTTCCACAGTGGTTGAACTGATTTACACTCCCACCAACAGTGTAAAAGTGTTCCTTTTTCTTCGCAACCTCACCAACATCTGTTGTTTCTTGACTTTTAATAGTCGCCATTCTGACTGGTATGAGATGTATCTCATTGTGGATTTTGTTTTGTTTTGTTTTGTTTTTTGAGATAGAGTCTTGCTCTGTTGCCCAGGCTGGAGTGCAGTGGCACAATCTCGGCTCACTGCAAGCTCTGCCTCCTGGGTTCATGCCATTCTTCTCAGCCTCCTGAGTAGCTGGGACTACAGGTGCCCGTGACCACACCTGGCTAATTTTTTGTAATTTTAGTAGAGATGGGGTTTCACCACGTTAGCCAGGATGGTCTCAATCTCCTGACCTCATGATCCACCCGCCTTGGCCTCCCAAAATGCTGGTATTACAGGCGTGAGCCACCATGCCCGGCCCCTCATTGTGGTTTTGGTTTGCATTTCTCTAATGATCTATGACATTGAGCTTTTTATCATATGTTTGTTGGTTGCATGAATGTCTTCTTTTGAAAAGTGTCTGTTCATGTCCTTTGCCCACTTTTTAATGGGGTTGTTTTATCTTGTAAATTTCTTTAAGTTTCTTGTAGACTCTGGATATTAGACCTTTGTCAGATGGATAGATTACAAAAATTTTCCATTCTGTAGGTTGTCTGTTTGCTCTGATAATAGTTTCTTTTGCTGTGAAGAAGCTCTTTGGTTTAATTAAATCCCATTTGTCATTTTTAGCTTCTGTTGCCATCGCTTTTGGTGTTTTCATCATGAAATCTTTGCCCATGCCTGTGTCCTGAATGGTATTGCCTAGGCTTTCTTCTAGGGTTTTTATGGTTTTGGGTTTTACCTTTAAGTCTTTAATCCATCTTGAGTTAATTTTTGTACAAGGTATAAGGGAGGGGTCCAATTTTTATTTTCTGCACATGGCTAGCCAGTTCTCCCTGCACCATTTATGAAATAGGGAATCCTTTCCCCATTGCTTGTTTTTGCTGGCTTAGTTGAAGATAGATGGCTGTAGGTGTGGGTCTTATTTCTGAGTTCTCTATTATGTTCTATTGGTCTACGTGTCTATTTTTATACCAGTTCCATGCTGTTTTGGTTACTGTAGCCGTGTAGTATAGTTTGAAATCAGGTAGCATGATGCCTCCAACTTTGTTCTTTTTGCTTAGAATTGTCTTGGCTATTGAAGCTCTTTTTTGGTTTGCAGGAACATTTTCAAGAGGCCATGAAGTAAAGGATAGTTTTGGCAATTTTTTCACATCACCTTAAATATGCCATCGTTATACCACTAAATTACAGTCAGATTGTCTATATTTCTGACTTTTCTAAAAGCTGTTGTCTTCTTGAGGGTATGACCCGTTATTTAGTCATTCCCAGTAGATACCACAATATGTGACCCATAGTAGGGCTTCAATAAATATTTCTGAATGTCAAGTGAGTTTTCACATATTCAGAGGCATTCCTGTCTTAATGTTTCGAGGTGCTTTCCAATCCTGTGATTTCAGTGAGTACCCTCTTATTTATGTTGCCATAGATACCATTTCCTTAATATAGTACTTGATGCAGCCCCTTGGTTTTGAAATCATTTCACCTGTGAGCAAGACATTATCAGATTTTTGTATTTCAATAGCTTTAGGGGTACAAGTAGTTTTTGGTTACATGGATGAATTGTATAGTGGTGAAGTCTATACAATTCCAGTGCTCCCACCGTCCGAACAGTGTACATTGTACCCAATAGGTGATTTTTATATCCTTAGCCCCCTCCACCCTCCCCCTTGCAAGTCTCCAAGGTCCATTATGTTACTTTGTATACCTTTGTGTACCCTTGGCTTAGCTCCCTCTTATACGTGAGAACATTGCAGTAGGACATTTTCAGATTAAAAGAAGCCTGCATCCAAGCATTTCTCTCGTTGTTGATGAAATATACCAAAATCAACTCTTGAACACAGACTGTCATCTTCAGAACCCAAGAAAAATTAACACAGTATATTGCAAAGGATTGTTTTTACTATACTAACTTTTCCTAAAAATAGTGGTGACTATCCAGCACATATAAACAGAGAGTTTGAACAATTGTTTCAAACCAAATCATTAAACCCGATTTTAAGTTTTGAGAAGTCATGCTTTCTAGAGCACTCTAAATGGCTCTTAGTGGTTTTATTTCTTGTGCTTGGCTTTATTTCTTCTGTTCCTGTCAAGCTGTGAAGAGGTTGTAATCTCATTAAGAAATGAGGGGCAAGTTTAAAGCAAATGTTAAAGGGCAACCTAATTACTTTGTGAAATGTGAAATGTGTTCAAGACCCACAGACAAAGGTTCTTAGTTTTAACAAAATTTCTGTCTGACTTCAATAAAAGTTCTATTAATGCAATGTGTATGTATACACTTATGTATACACTTATGTATACACATAGTTTCTCTTCGCTAGAACGTATGCTTCACCAGAGCAAGGATTTTTATCTGTTTTGTACACTAACTTATTCCAAGTGCCTAAAATAGGACCTGACATGAATCTATTCTCAGTAGACATTTGTTGAATGAATATAAAAAGTTCATGCTGGGTGAAAGATAGAATTTCACTATTAGCTCTAATGCAGTCCAATTAAACTTTTCCCATCATTTTATTTCGTGGACATAAAATCATTGGGACAGGAAGCCCCAGAGGAGAAACATGGAACATACAAGTAGCTCCCAGAATAGCCAGTGCTCAGCATCCTTGTATGATGCCTCCAAAAATTTGGAACCCCAAGATTATTTATCCCCACAATCAAATAATCTCTGGAACACTTTCTTACCATTAAGTAAAATGTTTAGGGAGGAAAAACTCCCACCTGAACTACCCTCCCCACACCCATTATCATTCTACCCTGTTCACAACCTTCCCCTGAAACTTTCTTCCCAACAGAGCAAAATCAAATAAAGCATAAAGATATACAAATACAATTAAGTTCCAACCTAAAAGAAAGTACTTAGTACACTAAAAGTACTATCTGCCTAGTAGTATCTGCATCTCAGCTTCCCTACCTGACCACAGATCCTTGAGACTTTGAAATGATTCCTCACTATTGGACAGCCTTTGGAAACTTGGCCTCACACCATTTAAACTCATCTTTTCAGTTTCACAAAAGAGAGGTTTCCACTGAGGAACCAAAAAAAGTCTGTTGATCCTTGTCTCTGTCAGTGACTCGGGATGGGCACTTGTTGTCTGAATAAGACCAGTTCTTGGTGAGTCCTTAGAGACCATAAAGAGCGTAGATGGACAGCTTTCACGTCTTCGCCTAGAAGTCCCAAGCTCATTTAGCTTTGACAGGCAGAGTCTAGAGAAAGCATTTGTAGAAAGGAGACAGTGTCTAAACACCCATGTTTGGAAACCATACATGAGAAATGATTTCAAAAGAGCCACTCAGTGAATATATCCATTGAGGGTTGTTTCTATTTGACAGAAATTCATCAGGGTGAAAGGTGAAGGGGCCAATCAGACATGTAAATAATGAGTAAATGCATTATTTAGTACTTGACAAAACAGGCTCTTGGCTAGAATGCATAGTTATAGACATAGTCTTGAATACAATACTGCAAACATCCGGGCCTGAGGCCCTGAATATAGATCCTTCAGAGCAATAGTGAAAACAAAACCAGTTGATGTGTATTTGTCGTCTATCAAAGAACCCATCCCTGGAAAATTCACCCCATTTTGTTTGTATTCTCTCTGAATGAATAAGAGAAATCATTGTAGACATAGGAGATGGAAGAAAAAAAATGTGAATCTTCATTTTAAATAATTCATTTCCTCCAGACCATACTTTAAATTTAAAGATCTAGCTTAAACATAAAATGAGAAACTTGAGTCTTATATTTGTGATGTTTTCATTCACTTCACGTCAAAGACCGGTCTCATTCAACTGGCTTTATTTTCACTATTGCCCTGAAGGACCTATATTGTCAAAGCCCCAGGCCCTGATGTTTGCACTACAGTATTCAAGACTGTACTATGACTATGCAATCTAGGTAAGAGTGTGTTTTGTCAAGTAGCAAATAATGCATTATTAAAATCTGACTGGATTCCTCGGAAAAAAATAATAGTGCATTTGCTTTCCATTAAATTTTCTGAAGGACATAAATGTTTTTATCTGCTATGATGAGTTACCTGAATGTCATGCCATAATACAACATGACAACACTTAACCTGGAGTAATTCAGCATGACAACATTTGTGGGGAAAGAATTTCAAGTATTTTAGATTGATTTACCATATTAGCAAGTGTTGCATGGAATTTGCTACAGCCTCTCAAGTTTAAAGGCATTAAATGTCACATGATTTCGGTGCATCCCTAACACCAAATACCAGCTCTCATAGAGTTACACTGAGGAGAAGCCACCATGGATCAGCCAACTACAATCTCCTGGTGTCTGACAGACTGGGATTTTATACAAGCTTTGTGGGGTATCCCTTCACATGTTTGGAGGCAGGAGGCAAGAATCATTCTTTCTCTCTGCACACATAGGCAGCTGTGCCACAGGGCACAGTTGGGTGGGAATATACTGTAGACCTGTAGCCACACTACAAGTGATATTGAGATGACAACTTGTACTGCAGTCCTCCCTGTGAGCTCAGACAGACTTCATTGTGAAGTGTCCAGCACACGGACTTAGCATGTGGTGAACATGATTGTCAATTTGGGGGGCAGCCTCTGAAGTTACAAGGAATGAAAACATTCTCAGCATCTGAACTTAAGCCTTGTGGAAGAAAACAGACTGAGAGAGGGGCCCTGGAGCCAGCACCTCACTGGCCCCCAAATAGGCTATTGATCTCATTTTGTGTGGTTGTTTTTTATCATTTTTTAAATTATAAAGTAATATTTGAATGCATGATTGTTGTAAACACCTCAAACAATACAGAGGTCTAGAGAATGAAAAGAAATCCCTGTGCACCACCAGCTCCTCGCACAATTTCACTTTTATCCCCAGAGTTAATACCTATTGTTTTGCAAATGTTTTACTTTGGGGCTAAGCCTACACATTTCATCTTAATATAACCAAATGGCTTAATGATTCTTATAATGGAACTCATTCGTAATTGAAAATCCTATTATATCTATTATATCTCCATCGTATTACATGTCCCTATTAAGCCCTTGTTACAATTATTTTATTAGTAACTCTTGAAATACATTACCCCAGGTTAGAGCAACGCATGTAATCCAAGAAGGACAGCTCTTTCTTAATGTTTAAAATGTTCTGATTGCCCATAGAGAGTTGCTATGTTTTTTTAATCGGTGGATTGAAAAATAGCAATAACAAAAATGTACAATGAAGTTGACAACACTTTTAAATAAATTAGTATTTTTTTATCACAAAGGTATATATTCACATTGGAAAAAATAATAGTACCTACACATGTGTTATTTAGGCTGCAAAAAATGATTGATGTGCAGATGGATTGTGAGGTAACTTGAGGAAATTAATTAATTCATCACTGCTGACAATGTTCATTTGACCCTAACAAACACACACACACACACACACACACACACACACACACACACCCCTTGGTTGGGCTGGGGAATGGTTTCAGAATACAGAAACTTTCCATCAAACAGGAAAGTCTACTTAGAGCCAATCCTTAAAAAAATTGTGGTGAAGCAACAGTGCACTAAACAAGATGGCTAAATGGGTCATCATTTAATTTTTAGATACTTATGCATTTTGAAGAACAAATAGACTTCCTATTCCAAAATAGCTCAATTATGTTTTGATTGCAACATCAGATTTTCCAAGGATCTTGGATCTCAAATACTGTAATCATTTATACATAAATTGATCATTACTTTACAAAAATAAAAACTTGCTGTGGCAGTGGTATAGTGTGGGCATATGTGGAGTTTTCTGTCGTCCCTGAGATTTCACAATAGGCGTAGCTCTATTGTTTTTGGAAAACATGTTGTTGGATTCTGGATGATTTAAGGCATCTGCAGTCTTCCAGGTAAGGAAGAGGAGAAATATGCTGGTGCTGTGACTCTGCAGAGCCGCATCAAGACAGGGTCTTGTATGTAGCAGCTCACCCATCCCTTTGACCTTTAGCAGATGGTTTTCCTGTGCGTACTTGGCATCACTGGCTTCCTGAGCAAAAGCCTCATAAATGAAAGAACATTCAGTCCATTTATCCAAAACTCTCCTAAGGAATACTTTTTTTTATATAAAGTACACTCTTACTGACCCATTCACACTCTCGTTCTGTCACACACAGCACAATCCTATTGAGTAGTGAGCAGTTCTAGGGTAGGCATTTAGCCCCATGAAAGAGTTGTATTTTACGTTAATGGAGGCATATTTCACAGGTCCTTTTGTATTTATGACGACTTTTTTCCAGGGGAATATGTATTGCACGAAGTATACACATATTTGCCCTGATTTATGACTCTTCTCAAAATGTCTTTTGAGATGGAGTCTCACTCTGCTGCCCAGGCTGGAGTACAGAGGCGTGATCTCGGCACACTGCAACCTCCCGGGTTCAAGACATTCTCCTGCCTCAGACTCCCAAGTAGCTGGGATTACAGGTGGGCACCACCACGTCCAGCTGATTTTTGTATTTTTAGTAGAGACGAGATTTCACCACGTTGCCCAGGCTGGTCTCAAACTCCTGACTTCAAGTGATCTGCGAGCCTCGGCCGCCCAAAGTGCTGGGATTACAGGCATGAGCCACCATGCCCAGCCTCAAAATTTCTTTTTTGTTTTGTTTTGTTTTTTTCTTTTTTTTTTTAATTATTATACTTTAAGTTTTAGGGTACATGTGCACAATGTGCAGGTTAGTTACATATGTATACATGTGCCATGTTGGTGTGCTGCACCCATCAACTCGTCTTTTAACATTAGGTATATCTCCTAATGCTATCCCTCCCCCTTCTGCCCACCCCAAAACAGGCCCCAGTGTGTGATGTTCCCCTTCCTGTGTCCATGTGTTCTCATTGTTCAATTCCCACCTATGAGTGAGAACATGCGGTGTTTGGTTTTTTGTCCTTGAGATAGTTTGCTGAGAATGATGGTTTCCAGCTTCATCCATGTCCCTACAAAGGACATGAACTCATCATTTTTATGGCTGCATACTATTCCATGGTGTATATGTGCCACATTTTCTTAATCCAGTCTATCATTGTTGGACATTTGGCTTGGTTCCAAGTCTTTGCTATTGTGAATAGTGCCGCAATAAACATATGTGTGCATGTGTCTTTATAGCAGCATGATTTATAATCCTTTGGGTATATACCCAGTAATGGGATTGCTGGGTCAAACGGTATTTCTAGTTCAAGATCCCTGAGGAATCGCCACACTGACTTCCACAATGGTTGAACTAGTTTACAGTCCCACCAACAGTGTAAAAGTGTTCCTATTTCTGCACATCCTCTCCAGCACCTGTTGTTTCCTGACTTTTTAATGATCACCATTCTAACTGGTGTGAGATGGTATCTCACTGTGGTTTTGATTTGCATTTCTCTGATGGCCAGTGATGATGAGCATTTTTTCATGTGTCTTTTGGCTGCATAAATGTCTTCTTGTGAGAAGTGTCTGTTCATATCCTTTGCCCACTTTTTGATGGGGCTGTTTGTTTTTTCCTTGTAGATTTGTTTGAGTTCATTGTAGATTCTGGATATTAGCCCTTTGTCAGATGAGTAGATTGCAAAAATTTTCTCCCATTCTGTAGGTTGCCTGTTCACTCTGATGGTAGTTTCTTTTGCTGTGCAGAAGCTCTTTAGTTTAATTAGATCCCATTTGTCAATTTTGGCTTTTGTTGCCATTGCTTTTGGTGTTTTAGACATGAAGTCCTTGCCCCTGCCTATGTCCTGAATGGTATTGCCTATGTTTTCTTGTAGGGTTTTTATGGTTTTAGGTCTAACATTTAAGTCTTTAATCCATCTTGAATTGATTTTTGTATAAGGTGTAAGGAAGAGATCCAGTTTCAGCTTTCTACATATGGCTAGCCAGTTTTCCCAGCACCATTTATTAAATAGGGAATCCTTTCCCCATTTCTCATTTTTGTCAGGTTTGTCAAAGATCAGATGGTTGTAGATACGTGGCATTATTTCTGAGGGCTCTGTTCTGTTCCTTTGATCTATATCTCTGTTTTGGTACCAGTACCATGCTGTTTTGATTACTGTAGCCTTGTAATATAGTTTGAAGTCAGGTAGTGTGATGCCTCCAGCTTTGTTCTTTTGGCTTAGGATTCACTTGGCAATGCAGGCTCTTTTTTGGTTCCCTATGAACTTTAAAGTAGTTTCTTCCAATTGTGTGAAGAAAGTCATTGGTAGCTTGATAGGGATGGCATTGAATCTATAAATTACCTTGGGCAGTATGGCCATTTTCACGATATTGATTCTTCCTACCCATGAGCATGGAATGTTCTTCCATTTGTTTGTATCCTCTTTTATTTCCTCGAGCAGTGGTTTGTAGTTCTCCTTGAAGAGGTCCTTCACATCCCTTGTAAGTTGGATTCCTAGGTATTTTATTCTCTTTGAAGCAATTGTGAATGAAAGTTCACTCATTATTTGGCTCTCTGTTTGTCTGTTATTGGTGTATAAGACTGCTTGTGATTTTTGTACATTGATTTTGTATCCTGAGACTTTGCTGAAGTTGCCCATCAGCTTAAGGAGATTTTGGGCTGAGATGATGGGGTTTTCTAGACATACAATCATGTCATCTGCAAACAGGGACAATTTGACTTCCTCTTTTCCTAATTGAATACCCTTTATTTCCTTCTCCTGTCTGATTGCCCTGACCAGAACTTCCAACACTATGTTGAATAGGAGTGGTGAGAGAGGGCATCCCTGCCTTGTGCCAGTTTTCAAAGGGAATGCTTCCAGTTTTTGCCCATTCAGTATGATATTGGTCATAGATAGCTCTTATTATTTTGAGATGCGTCCCATCAATACCTAACTTATTGAGAGTTTTTAGCATGAAGGGCTGTTGAATTTTGTCAAAGGCCTTTTCTGCATCTATTGAGATAATTGTAGTTTTTGTCGTTGGTTCTGTTTATATGCTGGATTACGTTTATTGATTTGCATATGTTGAACCAGCCTTGCATCCCAGGGATGAAACCCACTTGATCATGGTGGATAAGCTTTTTGATGTGCTGCTGGATTTGGTTGCCAGTATTTTATTGAGGATTTTTGCATCGATGTACATCAGGGATATTGGTCTAAAATTCTCTTTTTTTGTTGTGTCTCTGCCAGGCTTTGGTATCAGGATGATGCTGGCGTCATAAAATGAGTTAAGGAGGATTCCCTCTTTTTCTATTGATTAGAATAGTTTCAGAAGGAATGGTACCAGCTCCTCCTTGTACCTCTGGTAGAATTCGGCTGTGAATCAGTCTGGTCCTGGACTTTTTTTGGTTAGTAAGCTATTAATTGTTGCCTCAATTCAGATCCTGTTATTGGTCTATTCAGAGATTCAACTTCTTCCTGGTTTAGTCTTGGGAGGGTGTATGTGTCGAGGAACTTATCCATTTCTTCTAGATTTTCTAGTTTATTTGCGTAGAGGTGTTTATAGTATTCTCTGATGGTAGTTTGTATTTCTGTGGGATCAGTGGTGATATCCCCTTTATCATTTTTTATTGCATCTATTTGATTCTTCTCTCTTTTCTTCTTAATTAGTCTTGCTAACGGTCTATCAATTTTGTTGATCTTTTCAAAAAACCAGCTCCTGGATTCATCGAATTTTTGAAGGGTTTTTTGTGTCTCTATTTCCTTCAGTTCTGCTCTGATCTTAGTTATTTCTTGCCTTCTGCTAGCTTTTAAATGTGTTTGCTCTTGCTTCTCTAGTTCTTTTAGTTGTGATGTTAGGGTGTCAATTTTAGGTCTTTCCTGCTTTCTCTTGTGGGCATTTAGTGCTATAAATTTCCCTCTACACACTGCTTTGAATGTGTCCCAGAGATTCTGGTATGTTGTGTCTTTGTTCTCGTTGGTTTCAAAGAACATCTTTATTTCTGCCTTCATTTCGTTATGTACCCAGTAGTCATTCTGGAGCAGGTTGTTCAGTTTCCATGTAGTTGAGCGGTTTTGAGTGAGTTTCTTAATCCTGAGTTCTAGTTTGATTGCACTGTGGTCTGAAACACAGTTTGTTATAATTTCTGTTCTTTTACATTTGCTGAGGAGTGCTTTACTTCCAACTAAGTGGTCAATTTTGGAATAAGTGCAATGTGGTGCTGAGAAGAATGTATATTCTGTTGATTTGGGGTAGAGAGTTCTGTAGATATCTATTAGGTCTGCTTGGTGCAGAGCTGAGTTCAATTCCTGGATATCCTTGTTAACTTTCTGTCTAATGTTGACAGTGGGGTGTTAAAGTCTCCCATTATTATTGTGTGGGAGTCTAAGTCTCTTTGTAGGTCTCTAAGGACTTGCTTTATGAATCTGGGTGCTCCTGTATTGGGTGCATATATATTTAGGATAGTTAGCTCTTCTTGTTGAATTGATCCTTTTACCATTATGTAATGGCCTTCTTTGTCTCTTTTGATCTTTGTTGGTTTAAAGTCTGTTTTATCAGAGACTAGGATTGCAACCCCTGCCTTTTTTTGTTTTCCATTGGCTTGGTAGATCTTCCTCCATCCCTTTATTTTGAGCCTATGTGTGTCTCTGCACGTGAGATGGGTTTCCTGAATACAGCACACTGATGGGTCTTGACTCTTTATCCAATTTGCCAGTCTGTGTCTTTTAATTGGAGCATTTAGCCCATTTACCTTTAAGGTTAATATTGTTATGTGTGAATTTGATCCTGTCATTATGATGTTAGCTGGTTATTTTGCTCGTTAGTTGATGCAGTTTCTTCCTAGCCTCAATGGTCTTTACAGTTTGGCATGTTTTTGCAGTGGCTGGTACTTAGTTCTTCCTTCAGGAGCTCTTTTAGGGCAGGCCTGGTGGTGACAAAATCTCTCAGCATTTGCTTGTCTGTAAAGTATTTTATTTCTTCTTAACTTATGAAGCTTAATTTGTCTGGATATGAAATTCTGGGTTGAAAATTCTTTTCTTTAAGAATATTGAATGTTGGCCCCCACTCTCTTCTGGCTTGTAGAGTTTCTGCAGAGATATCCGCTGTTAGTCTGATGGGCTTCCCTTTGTGGGTAACCTGACCTTTCTCTCTGGCTGCCCTTAACATTTTTTCCTTCATTTCAACTTTGGTGAATCTGACAATTATGTGTCTTGGAGTTGCTCTTCTCAAGGAGTCTCTTTGTGGCATTCTCTGTATTTCCCGAATTTGAATGTTGGCCTGTCTTGCTAGATTGGGGAAGCTCTCCTGGATAATATCCTGCAGCGTGTTTTCCAACTTGGTTCCATTCTCTCCATCACTTTCAGGTACACCAATCAGACGTAGATTTGGTCTTTTCACATAGTCCCATATTTCTTGGAGGCTTTGTTTGTTTCTTTTTATTCTTTTTTCTCTAAACTTCTCTTCTTGCTTCATTTCATTCATTTCGTCTTCCATCACTGATACCCTTTCTTTCAGTTGATCGAATCAGCTACTGAGGCTTGTGCATTCGTCACGTAGTCCTCGTGCCTTGGTTTTCAGCTCCATCAGGTCCTTTAAGGACTTCTCTGCATTGGTTATTCTAGTTAGCCATTCGTCTAATCTTTTTTCAAGGTTTTTAACTTCTTTGCCATGGGTTCGAAATTCCTCCTTTAGCTCGGAGTAGTTTGATCGTCTGAAGCCTTCTTCTCTCAACTCATCAAAGTCATTCTCTGTCCAGCTTTGTTCCATTGCTGGTGAGGAGCTGCATTCCTTTGGAGGAGGAGGGGCACTCTGATTTTTAGAGTTTCCAGTTTTTCTGCTCTGTTTTTTCCCTATCTTTGTGGTTTTATCTACCTTTGGTCTTTGATGATGGTGACGTACAGATGGGGTTTTGGTGTGGATGTCCTTTGTGTTTGTTAGTTTTCCTTCTAACAGACAGGACCCTCAGCTGCAGGTCTGTTAGAGTTTGCTGGAGGTCTACTCCAGACCCTGTTTGCCTGGGTATCAGCAGCAGAGGCTGCAGAACAGTGGATATTGGTGAACAGCAGATGTTGCTGCCTGATCGTTCCTCTGGAAGTTTTGTCTCAGAGGAGTACCCAGCCGTATGAGGTGTCAGTCTGCCCCTACTGGGGGGTGCCTCCCAGTTAGGCTACTCGGGGGTCAGGGACCCACTTGAGGAGGCAGTCTGTCTGTTCTCAGATGTCCAGCTGCCTGCTGGGAGAACCACTACTCTCTTCAAGGCTGTCAGACAGGGACATTTAAGTCTGCAGAGGATTCTGCTGCCTTTTGTTTGGCTATGTCCTGCCCCCAGAGGTGGAGTCTACAGAGGCAGGCAGGCCTCCTTGAGCTGTGGTGGGCTCCACCCAGTTCGAGCTTCCTGGCTGCTTTGTTTACCTACTCAAGTCTCAGCAATGGCAGGCGCCCCTCCCCCAGCCTCGCTGCCACCTTGCAGTTTGATCTCAGACTGCTGTGCTAGCAATGAGTGAGGCTCTGTGGGCGTAGGACCCCCTGAGCCACGCGTGGGATATAATCTCCTGGTGTGCGGCTTGCTAAGACCATTGGAAAAGGACAGTATTAGGATGGGAGTGACCCGATTTTCCAGGTGCCATCTGTCACCGCTTTGACTAGGAAAGGGAATTCCCTGACCCCTTGCACTTCCTGGGTGAGGTGATGCCTCGCCCTGCTTCGGCTCACACTCAGTGCACTGCACCCACTGTCCTGTACCCACTTTCTGACACTCTCCAGTGAGATGAACCTGGTACCTCAGTTGGAAATGCAGAAATCACCCGTCTTCTCTGTGGCTCTCACTGGAAGCTGTAGAGTGGAGCTGTTCCTATTCGGCCATCTTGGCTCCACCCTTTGTTTGTTTTTTCATTGAAAGAGAAAAGTGAACAGATTGGTATTTAGGAGCCAGACAAAGAAGAAGGAACAGATTGACTGCTTAAGGTATCATATCTTTGGGGTTACTGTTGTGCCAAGTTCAATGAATATAGGCAGCAACAGGAATCTTAATATAAATTTTTACTCCAACATTGACCATTCCAGCCATCTGTGTATTACAAAGTACGTCATTGTTTACTACCTAAGTTTAACATCCAACTAAGCTTGCTAAGCCTCATAGATCCCACTGCATGCCCGACACAAAGAAAACAACACACAGACCCAAAGGCAGCTTATCAGATAATTTTTAATACAACTCCAGGAAAACTCTGCACATACTGCCCCAAGTTGTCAATTGTTATCTCGGCAGAAAAATAGTTGCTTTTCCTCCTATCTGTCCTGTTAAAATGTACAGCTTCCTCCTGAGAAGAAATCAGGTAAAAGTAATAATAGAAGAAGAAAGCAGGAGGATGTAGCTCATTCACTGTGTTCTCAGTACCAGAATGGGCTGCCTAAACATCAGAGAAGTTCAAGGCAACAAAGAGTGGCAAGCTGTCCAGGTGATGTATTGCTGTGGAGGTAGCAAGAAGTGGCATCCTATATGCTTAGCCAAGAAGAGATTCTAGATCAAAAAACCTGGAAAAAATAGCATTAATCAAAGTACTGAATAGGTATAAAATTGCATTCATGTCACCTAATTGTAATGAAAATTGTAAGCCTTCTTTTACAAACTTATTTCTTGAGTGTCTGACATTCAGATCAAGTTCTTTGGGATCTTCAGTCTACAGGCTTTACCTATCTTTGTTTTCCAATCAAAGGACTTGTGTTTTTGAGCATGAGTTCTAACCATTTCTCTTTCTACTCATGGCATTTCTAAACTGATTTATCTCACAACTTAGCCAAGGCATGGGAAACACTTTCACAGCGGCAGATTTAACTCCCTTTTTCTTTTGAAGGTCTACTAAGGAAAATATGTCCAATTTGGAAGTAACAGGTGTGCATTTTCTGTTCACTTTTTAGTGCTCATCAATAAAAACCTATGGTGAGAAAAGAACTTTATGCTTCAGAGGAAAGGGCACTGTGCTCTTATACTAGGCCTATTGCTTGCCATGTACAACTTCAACAAATCTCCTTGATCTTGATCAATTCTCATTCAAGATCTCATTGATCTCATTGATGTTTGCAAAATACAAATCCCCATCTAGTACGATTGATTAAGGGCAAAGGGTGGCTTCTTTGTAAGCACCACCTCCCAATCTCCTATCTTCTGGGGGCTGCTGCAGCTTCCCTGTTATGCCTCTCTGGTCAATACAGCTGCCAGCATCTGTACCAAATATTCCTGGATATATAATTCCTGGATATATAATGGAGAACCACTTAAGTCAGGAGGAGGATTGTTTTCCCAGCACATATCAGGTCAAGATGCCATCCTTTAAATTAAGAGATACTATTGCTGTTTCAACTGTCTATAGGGCATAATCATTAAGCTCTTGGTTTTGTTTTGCTGTTTTTCAGTGGTGGTGCTATATGTGTACAGATGTTGGACTATTCTCTCGCCCATTTTCCCTATCAACAGATAACAATATCCATTTCTAAAAAGACTGATCTAGAACAAAATGCCTATAGAAAAATAAGCAAAAGCAAAACAACTGCCCCCAGATGGTCAGTGTCATTTCTCACTAGAGCTAACTGGCTGCAGAGAGCCTGTGTTAAAATCAGAAGCCATGTTCAAATTCCATGAGCTTACAAGGCATAGTTTCCTATAACATTGTTTGCAAGATATGCTGAGCATGACCTGAGAAATCCAGTTGGGCAGAAGTAGACTCAGTCAATATGTAAACTTTCCAAAATTTGTTTGTACATACGCCCTGGAATGGACTTAATTTTAAGAACTAGTTTCTTCCATTTTTAAAGGCAGAGACCTAAAGCTGTATGTAAAAAGTTTGACAGCCAGACATGAACAAGGATCTATCCCATTGTTCTGTTTGCTTGTTATAAAGGTAAATGCATGTTCTACCAAAATTCTTTGTGAAACAACTCATTTATCTAGGCTAAAATTTTATAGGTAGATATCAATTAGAACATTTATATTCCTGAATGGCATTATAAAATTACATCAAAATTTTAAAAGGCTCATGGTATACCAGATATTTGGAATTTATTGCTTAGTAAGACTTTGAGAACAACTTGGGTTTTCTCCATTCCTCTTTCAGTCCTCAGCACCTAGCATGTGAATTCCATGTAAAAGGAAAATAAAAATATTGCTGAATTGTTGAAAGACTGGCTCAGATGTATTTCAGTTTAAAATCAGGAAAAATAGGCCAGATTATTTTTAGGGCTCCAGGCTACATTCCTTCATCCTCTCAATATCCCCTGTTTGATCAGCAGAAACAGTAACTGGGTTTATATTTTACAGTCCAAAAAACGGAAGCTTTGCTCTTAATTATCAATACTCTGAATACCTCATTCAAGAGAAAAATGCATTTAATCACACACCAAGACATACATGCATACACACACACACACACACGCACCACCACCACCCCCACCCCCCCCCACACAGTTCAGGGTCCCTCTGTTTTTTATTATCTCCATTACTGTACTTTATTATCTGGATGATATCTGTCTTCAGAAAGACACAAGATTCTCTGTATCCCTAGCCCCTAGTAGAATATGACAGTACAGAAAATAACACAGTTTTTTTGAATGAAGCAATGAATATAACAGGAGAGGAAATAAGAAACTGATTACAGAATCCAAATGTGGCCCTAGCTATATCTCATCAATTCATTTAAGAAGATGATATTGAAATAGACTCTGTGCTGAGCTGTGATGTATAAGACAGTTTGCTCCCAATGATTTCATGTCATGGAAGAATATTTGTTGGAGTCCTCACTTTCTGTCTTCTTTGATGCTTGTTATAGAAATGTGGTAGCCGATAGAATAGATATAGTCAACACTGAGTCACTTTTTAATCGCTAAATTTCAGAATCATCCATGCTTGTCTTATTGAGTTTCCACATTCTAGCCTTATTTAAAATCAGGACAACTTCCCCCCCATTTTATGCCTATTTATTTCTTTTTCATAAATTGATTGCCTAACTAACTGATGTTTTTGCAATTACTACATTGCCAGGAGTTAATATGGGTATAGGATGTAGGGTGCAAAGCTGAGAAGAAATTCTGTATAATCTGTGCCTGTCAAATCTTGGATCTTCCTTTAGTTGCCTTTTTCTATAAAGAGCTCAGAAGAAGAAAGAACTCTGATACATGTGCAGCTTTGTTCAGAATAGTACCCTTAAATATTTCTGCTACCCAAACTAATGGTGAACTCTCCCATACCAGCTCTCTGAGTTTCTTAAAGATAATAGTATTTGCATACAGCAATTGGATATTGAGTTGCATACAGCAATATCCTTCTCAGGATGGACTAAGTTTAAAATCAACTTTTAAAATAGCTGGAGTGATTTTAACTGAAATTCTTTGGTTGAATTCTTGGCTAATGTATCTAAAATCTTCTCCTACCTTCTGCACCCTAAACTGGCTGCAAAAATCTTTTATGACTTCATTAAACAAATACATGCCATAATTATTGTTATTCTACTTCATTAGTATGAATGACCATGTTTACAAGTAAAGGCATAGCAATACATTTAAACAAAATCATTTCAGTAATCATTTCAGCTGGGTTTCTTTTTTCTTTCTAAGTACTTTATTCAGGATATTGTTTGATCGTTCTAGTACTTATTAGATACTTCTTTGATAACTCTGTCACTTGGGCTTTGGAGGTCATATCACTAAGTTGTATCTTAAAGAGATTGTTCCATTTTCATGGGAGCTTAGTTGCCTCTTTCAGAAAGGCAGTAAGAAAAATCACTGATAGCATGGCAGGGATAGAAATCCTGAGATTAGATTAATACTTGGTAGAACAGAGGAGGCTTGGCCTAGAGAAGCTATAACAATACAAGACTTAGGATTATTGTATAGAATTCCTTCTACTGTGGCACTGCTAACAATTAAGAATTTACTGGGGCCGGGAGCGGTGGCTCACACTTGTAATCCCAGCACTTTCGGAGGCTGAGGCAGGCGGATCAGGAGGTCAGGAGATCGAGAACATCCTGGCTAACACAGTGAAATCCCGTCTCTACTAAAAAAAAAAATTAGCCAGGCTTGGTGGTACACACCTGTAGTCTCACCTATTCGGGAGGCTGAGATAGAAGAATTGCTTGGACGCGGGAGGCGGAGGTTGCAGTGAGCCGAGAGCGTGCCACTGCACTCCAGCCTGAGTGACAGAGTGAGACTCCATCTCAAAAACAACAACAAACAACAGCGAAGAATTTATTGCATGAATTTGGGCACAGAGATAGATATGGAAGCAATCTTTCTTCACTGTGGCTTTTCTGGCAAACCAGCTTTCTAGGCAAGGGAAGTGGGAGAACCCCTGGTTTCTAGCATTGCCTATTTTTGTGTTATAAACGTATGTGCCACCAGTTTCAAGATATCAACATGATGTCATTGAATGTGAAGTTGGGAAGAAGTGCGCACCACCAGCTCTGCCCAAGCCCATGCAAGCTGGCCTGGCACGCACTGGACTCTGCAGAACCATCCCAGCCCCAGAGCTCCCTGCAGGGTCAGCTCAGGTCTGTGCTGTGACTGCATCAAGGTTCAGACTCTCCCTTTGCCTTCTTCTTTCTCCTCTCACATTAGAGACAGGTGTTGTTCCTAAGAACATGCTCCAGTAAACTTCCTGCGTGAGAATCTCAGAGTCCCAAAGCGACCCCACCTATAGTGAAGAGAAATTGAAAGTTAAGTTCATGATCATTGAAAAATAGAGAGCGAAAGTCCTCTGTTCTCTCTCCTAAATTCATTAACTAATTAGATCAACTATGGCCTCCACCTGGTTCCCTAATGAGTCATAGAATTTACCTTGATAAGTTAATAAATGGGCAACTCAGTGGCGCTTTGTGTTTTGTTCTGTTGGTCCTTATTTAAGTCCTTTATCTCAAACAGACCACACACAAACCAGGATCAAATGTAGCCAGATGCTGACATTAGAGATCCACAGTACAAAGTCCTTTGTTGCCACAGAGGGCTGTAGCAAAACTGGGAAGACTAAATCTCATGTCCAAATATTATTACTGTCTTGTTTATCCTATTATGTCACTAAATTCTCCCATAGCTAGCACTCATAAGTCGGTATACAGAAAGAATGGATTTCTCAGCCATAAACAGCACCGGCAAAATTCCTTTTTGCCACATGAAGCGAAAAAGAAGGGGTGATATTAATGAAATGTAATGGAATAATGTGCTAGAATAGCTATAATTTTTAGACCTGGTAAAATTGTAAACTAGATTAAAATGTGGGTGACAAATGTTGAGTCTAAGCTATTTCCCCAGAAAAACACAACAATTTCTACAGTCAATTTTCAATTATCTGCCCAAGGAGAAATAGCAATAATGGCAATTATCCAAAAGAGTAGATAATGAACAAATTCATTTCTACTTGACTTTGAAATATTATTTTGTATTCTGAAACCAACATTTGAATGTAGATGCATTTTATATTCTGGAAAGTTGCAGTGCCTCTAACTTAAGTACTAAAATTACACTTTAGAAATCAGACTAAAGAAAGTAGCTTATATTTTTCCTCTTTTCTTGTACAATACGTTCCCACTTTCTATATTATTCCTGTGAATAGATGTCATTATCTCTTAGGATAATGTTCAGTTCATTCTAAAGCAGAGAAAATTTGCATGTATATGTTTTCTAGTTAATATTTTCCTGCATTGATGGCAATTAAGTATTTTGATTAAAAGGACACCCTCCTTTCCTGCCTCTGCTTTGCTAAAATTATTTTTTAATGTGTGAAAAGAAAAATCCCAAAACAAAACAGAATGGATATTCAAGATAAAAGTTACATCTAAGTAAGATTTAAGTTTTAAACCTGCATCTGCCCATGGAAAAATGAGTTAGCTATTTACACATTTTCCACACCTTTTTTTTTTTGGCCCTGGTTTGGTTATTTTTCACTCAGTGAATGCTATGATGACTATAATAATACCTAGGATAGGGTCTGTCTCATGACAGCATTCAGTAACTTCTCATTTCTTTCATTCCTTGCTTCCCTTTTCTTTGTTCAATAATATTTTATAGAAGATGCTTCATATTAAGGCTTCATATATTTCAATAATGTTTATGTTTTTTTCCACTCTTTCCATAGTAAATTCTACAAAAGCAAGGAAATGTTTTAAAAATATCGTAGAGTAAAATCTTTCAGGTGCTATTTTTCCAATGTCAACATTCAGTACATGTTTAAATTCTTAAAAGCTACCTCCATTATTTTATCAATATTATTAAGCAAATAATCTAGTAAGTGCTATATGCACTTTAAAGAGCAGAATGAGGGTTCATGCAGACTAAAAACTGACTACATGCTCTCCTGTCTTATGCTTACTTACATGGTACACTCCCATTATTAGAATAAGACATTTTTTACATAAGGCAAAGGATTCCCAAGTGTTGCAATACTTTTGATTGTTTCTGGGACTCTTTTGCTTTGGTATTTGACTTGATAAGCAGTTGGTGTTTGTCTGTTTGGCCAAATAGACGTGCTCTCCTTTAAAGTTCTGAAATTTGTCTTCAATTGAACAAATGACAAGGCACTGGAGAGGTAGGTTAAGCAGCTGTCTAGGCTGAGTAGATCTAAGTTCAAACAAACACTGGCTCCACTAATCCCAGGATGACATTGAACAATAGACTTGCTCTCCCTCAGTCATGTTTTCTCATTATTAAAATGAAGGTAATAATACAAAACTAAGAGGATTGTGGAGATGATGACAGATAATACGTATAAGTAACTTGGTGTAGGCATTCAGTAAATGTGGGTAGTTGTTACAAATACTAGCTAACGTTGATGACTACCTATGCAAGCACCATCCTAAGCACTTTCTATGTATTCATTTATTTGAACCTCATGACAACTCTAGGATTCAGGTACCGTCATCATGATTTTGCACATGGGACCTAGAAAGGTTAAGTATCATCAGTGGCTGAGTCAGTCTCTAAACCCAACCCATACACTTACCCATCACACAACAGTGATTATCATAGAAACAGAGAGTCTTTTAACAGAAACTGGAACCAGCAAATGGATCCACTGGAATCCACTTGTGCCTCTGTCCATATTGTTCACATGGGGCCACACTGCTGAAACACCATCCCAAACAAATGCCTTTGATAAGAGTTTTATTTCATATGAGGACCCATCACATTTCAGTCACTCAGCATTACCCAGAACTTACTCTATGATATACATGAACAGTTAGTTAGAATAGAACATTCCACTTTTTATTATGAAGCTTTGTATACATATATAGCTTGAGACCCAAGAATCTGATCAATAGAAGGCAGGTCTAGTTGGCTTCCATCCTGTTATTTAAACAAACAGGTCTGGATCAGATTCAGCCAGTGGCAGAGTGGTCATAAGTGACACTAAAAGGTCTTAAGTGAAAGGGAAGGTGCGCATGCCTAAAATCCCAGCTGTGCCGTGAATGAACCAAATGTCTTTGCCCAAAGGCAGCTTCAGCCCTCTGGACCTTTTTTATCACTTGGAAAGTTAAGATGTTGCAGAAGACCTTAGGTAAAAGCTGGCCATCCATGTGCCAATCCTGACCCCTCACGTGGACTTTGGTTTTAGCCTTGTCTGACCTGTGCAGTTTTGTTTTATTTTTAAAATTAGATCCTAAAGTACAAAACTCAAAATATTTCACATTTAAAAAATCTATATTTCTGTTTTTCCCTAAAAATTGGACGTTGTGACATCATTGGGCCTGTTTATCTTTGTGGCATCAGTCAAAATCATCAACTAGACCTGAGCAGTAGCTGCCCCTTCAGGTGGGGCATGGGCTCAGTAGCTCATCACAGTACCCACCATTCCTTATTATCTCACACCCAGTCTGCTGGCTCATTGATACCACCTGCATGGGCTTGAAGGCATCTGAGTTTGTAATCCTAGTACCAGCTGAAACCCTAAATGAGGTTAATTTCTTCATTCTTTTTTCATTCAGTCCACCTCTATTCAACGCCTACCCACATGCCATTCTTTGTATTGTATTGTCCTTAAATAGAAATATTTTTTTAAAGTGGCAGTTCTGTTTTCATTTCTCTGAACCCAATTCATTTCCGTTATTTCTAAATTTTTCTCTCTTCTTGGTGTCCACTTAGGGCTACGCAGCTTGCTCCTGGCACGGGCACCTTGAATCTCCTCCTCACACAGATGGAGACCATGCTTGATTTCCTGAACTTGTAGTAAGAAGAAGGAAAACACAGCACGCTGGAGCCAACAGGTAGGCGAGAAACCAGGTAGGCGAGAAACACGTTTCTCAGTTATGCAGCCCAGCGTCGAGGAAAAATAACAGCAACTCTACAAAATCAGAAATCAGCGTCTAAGGACTAATGAGCAGAGAGAAAAGTCTAGGTTTTTTTCTTTATTAATGTTTACCTGCTATAGTATGCAAAATATCCTTGCCATAAAAGCCTTATTTCTTTTTTAAAATTTTTAATTGTATTTTAAGTTCCAGGATACATGTGTAGGACGTGCAGGAAAAAGCCTTTATTCTGAAAGATACAGGAGAAAAAAACTCATAGCTTAAAAGAGTGTCTTTTTAAAAAATTCATACTTACAAGTGTCTATGAAACATTTTAGTGGTGGCCTCTTTTAAGATAAACTATTAGGTAACTAAAGATATGCTTTAGATGACCTAAGACAATTCCTATTTAAAACCCATTTCTCCAAGGCCATCACTAATTGATTCTTGAAACTTCTTTGCTGAAGTAAACTCATCCCACAGGCAATTGTGCTTCAATCATTTCTTACTTCAGTTGAAAATAATAGGATTTTGCATAGAAAATGATGGTACAGTTATTAAAAGTCTCTAAAATAGTGAATAATTGTTAAAATGTTTTTATTTAAAGTGATAAAAAGCAAGATAAATACTTAGAATATTCCTTTATACACTAAATGGCACATTAAATAAATAAAAATGATTGCAGCCTATCCGGACTGTGATTCAGGGAAAGAAGCACCATGCTGGCAAGAGGTCACCTGGATGACACTCCTATCTTTCCCATCATAGCCTCTGTGACTTTGGGCCACTTACTTAACCTTTCTAAACTACAGTTTCCTTGTCCATGAAATTGACAGTTATTTCAGAGTGTCTTCAAAATGCCAAGCAGAATCAGACCCTGAAATACAATTGTTAGTGGAAGGTGGCGGGTAGCTCTGAGCCAATTCCCTGTGAGCTATTTTTCCAAAAGCAAGTTCAACAAAACTCCAATTCACCAAATGCCTCTCTCCTGGTTCTTATTTACAAAATTCATAGTAATTTGCACTGGATATGTTGGTTTTCACAGCCTTTGGAGATTTCTCTAAGGTTTCAGTTGATAGTTTTCTCCCTCCGCTTACTGACAGCATTGGAAGGAATGTGCAGTTTGTTTCAGCCCCTGACAGTGAGTCGCAAGAGGACCCTCTGATGAGGAGCAGTGGAGCAGCGTCAGCACACAGCCTAAACGGGTGGACACAGACTAAGAGACATGAGATTATACTCATAAGGATTCTCCAAGTTCAAGACAAATATACTGAGTATTTTAAATATATGAAGCCGATTGGGTACTTTTGAGAACAGCTTTATGGAATCAGCCTGCTGGTATAAATAATACTTCCTCTTAGGGATCTTAGCGTCCAATGGAGGAAACAGACTAAAAACAAAACAGAAAATAAATAAATAATACAATTACAAATTGCAATAAGCACTATGAAGAAAACAAACAGGGTGCTCAGGTAGTGAAGAGGTGGAACCTGCTTTAGAAAGGGTGGTTAGGGGAGGTGTGAGAGTCAAGAGAGCTCTCCCTGCTTCCCTTCCCTTCTGGGCACATGAAAGGACCAGATAACTTGGGGCTATGGGATGTGGGATGACCAGTGAGTTGTGAGTAGAAAGGATCTATGGCACTTCCATGCTGGAGCATTTAATTGCTGTTGCAGGACTCCCTGGCTCCCTTCCCCTGTGACATTCTGACTGGTGATGTGGCTCAAGGTGTGGTTTTCTCCTTCAGCCTGGAGCCTGTGTGACTGCAAAGAACAGAGTGCCCCTCTCCGTCCCCCCAACCCATGGACCCACAATGGACCTGTAACCTGAGCAAACAACAAACTTTAATTGTCTTAAGCCACTAAAATATGGAAGCTATTTGTTAGTGCAGCGTAACTGAGACTATCCTGACTATTATTATTAGGGGCTTTAAGACAAAAAGCGTTAAGCTTCGCTGATTTGTAAAATTGAAAGATAGCCATTATGGCTGGATTACAGCAAAGCAAGAAAAAGTAGCAAATTAGAGTTCTCCTTCTACTACAGGCTGCCTGCCTCAGGCTGTTCTGATGTTTGTTTATATTCCTGGCGATGCTTTAAGACAGATTAAGTAGCTTGACTCTAAATGCTTTTGATTTGTTTACACAAATCAAACTCTCATATTTTATCTCTGCCTCTGGATTATGATAGTTTTTATCAAGAACTTTGCATGTGTGCTATTGATATGATAATGCAATCCTAATGCCTTCCCAAGAGCTAAGAGCCTCTATCCTTTCAGTCAATACTGAGATGCACTTGGGTGTATAGGCCATTCATAGCTGAGGCTTGGGATGGGCAGTTCACAGCACTTTGCAATTGAATCATATGTAATACTGTGCAGTTTTTAAGCTCTCAGTTTTTCATATCAATTTCTAATATTCTGGCAACAGAAGCTAGTGAAAAGCCCAACTTTTATGGGACTCATCATAGGCCCTTGAATGTTTAAGTCTTTTGCACTTAAGATCTTGTTTGCAAACAAAACAAAACCCCCAAGCAGAAAGCAAATTGCACGATATCCAATTTATCTTCTTTGGAAGAAAAGAAGAGCTGAGTCAGCCCTCATGAGATTTGACAAGGAAGGTACTTTTTTTTTTTTTTTTTTTTTTGAGACGGAGTTTCACTCGTGTCCCAGGCTGGAGTACAATGGCGTGATCTCTGCTTACTGCAACCTCTGCCTCCTGGGTTCAAGTGATTCTCCTGCCTCAGCCTCCCAAGTAGCTGGAATTACAGGCATGTGCCACCATGCCTGGCTAATTTTTATATTTTTAGTAAAGACAGGGTTTCACCATGTTGGCCAGGCTGGTCTCGAACTCTTGACCTCAGGTGATCCACCCGCCTCATCCTCCCAAAGTGCTGAGATTACAGGCGTAAGCCACTGCACCCAGCCTAGGAAGGTATTTTTTTTATCCTTGACACTGCTCAGATAGAGCCACTGATATTATAACTGCCTTTATTGTAGTTTGGTAGCTTTACAGGAAGTACATCTGTCGGTTATTACAGTCATTCTTGTACAGTTCTTAAAGTCTTAAGGATTTTTATTTGAGATGAGTGAAATCTCACTAAAGAAAAGGAAAGTTGGGAAGGGGAAAGGAAATGGATCTAAAATTAAAATTGTATCCTTAATATAGTCTAGGCTTAGTGCTAGGTGCTTTCATATGCATTACTGTTCCCCTATCCCCACACAGTGGAGGAAGCAGCTCAGAGAAGTTATGATCACCCAGCCAGTGAGTGGCAGACCAAGGAAGAGGTCTTCTCCCTCTAAAAACCCTGCTTTTTCCTCTTTATTATGTAGACTAGAATGTCAAAGTCTCCTGTACCATCCCTATAGTCAAATCCAAAATGGCCAAATCTCACATTCCAAAAATCCTGCATTACCAAAATTTAAGAGTTCTCTAAAAAATAAATGCTAGGTCACTATTACATATTGATTTATTACATATCCAGGTTCAGAAGAGGTGCTAAACTAAACAGAGCTGGTTATAATAGGCTGTACTTTGCTAACTGTGCATCCTCCCTTTGTTCCACCTCATCCTGTGTAATTAACACAGTCTTGAAAGTAGAAGTTTCCATGACATTAAAATTCTTACACAGCGCACCCTCTAATTATTTCATATCTTCACATTAGGGACCAAGATACTCACGGTGGAGGGTGGGATTCTGTTTGTTATTTAATTACTTAAAGAAGGAGCACAGGAAAACCAAGACAAAGAGATTATTAAAATAACATTTACACTTGACTCTGAGTTGCCTACACACAGACCAAGGCACAGGCATACATTTCTTTTCGCCTTCTTACTCCCACCTGGCTTCAGACCTCCTCTCTCTTGGCACTGGTTTTCATCTCAGTTATGCCTGTTGCCATCTCTTCCTATCAAGGACTTGCTTATTCTTCAAGCCCCACTCAAAATTCACTCCTCCACATGCCTTTTCAGATGTCCACAGTGAAAATTAAGCTCCTTCTTCCCTTACCCGAGGGCACTTTTTACTAATCTTACAGCATCTCTCTGCATTGTACTATGAGGACAAGGGTGGGACAGAGAATGCTGATGATTCAATCAGATGTGTTTTCTCTTTTTTCTTCCTGGACATATAGATAGACCGCATTTCCTAGCCTTCCTTAGAGTTGGGCATGGCCACATAATAAATTTCTAGCAATGCAAAATGAGTAGAAGTGACATGCTTCATTTGGAAGCCAGGGTTTTGAGGAAGGAGGTATGCCTCCTCTATGCTTTTTGCCTTGCTGCCATCAGTAAAGGAGCTCTGAGACCCCCCCAGGTGGGGGCCCCATGGGGTGAAGAAAGCCTGGGTTCCCAAATCACCAGGTGAAAAGCTTTCTGGCCAAGCAGCAACGCTAGGTTGTTACACAAGAAATAACCACCTATTGTGTTAAGGCTTAGAAATTTAGGGCTTATTTGTTACAGCTGCTGGTGTGGACCTAACAGAGAGTATGCATCTTTCTAAGTGTGTGCTTGAGTGTGTGTGCTTTTAGAAGCCCCAAAAGGACTGGAACTAAAAAAAAAATCATTCTTAACTGTGTGTAAAATTAAACTGAGTTGGTGCCTCATTTGGAAATGGAGCAGATGGTCATTAAAATGAAAAGTGGAGGCTACTCTAAAGCATCTCCAATATTAGGAATGCCATTTTCTCATTTGCAAGCAGCTGTCTAGAATTTTGTAAACAATCTCATAGGTGACTAATTTGGTATAGCGAACAAAAGGAATACCCAGTTTTCATGTTAAAATATGCCCTGGTTCATTTCTCATTTGAATATTCATTATTTCATTCAACAAGTACATATGGAACACATTCTACATGCCAGGCAGTCCTCTAACAGTGCTGATCCATGAACAGTGGCCCCAGCTCATTCCAAGTACACAGGCCAGTGGGGGAACCAAATATCCACTAAACTCATCACACTGCTGAATATGCTGTCAGCATATCACCCAGGTTCTCTGGTTCCTCTCTTGGAAAATAAGAATGATAATACTGGCTATTTCTCTAATTTTAAATTAGATAATATTTAGATATAACAATTATAAAATATTTAGCAGTGTGCTTGACACTTGAACTTGGCAAGCACGTGATAATTCTTAGCTATTATTATTTGCTTTGATTTAGAGAAATACTATGAGATTGTGTAATAAAGGAATCTGACTAGGCTGAGGAAGGGGTGTGTGGAACACAACAGTTTCCTCTGGAAATGACTCCTGATATGATAGCTGAGAAGTTGGGAAGAATATTCCAAATTCTTAAAACTAGAGTAAAAACAGTATATTCAAAGAACCCATGATGGGGACTTCATTTTCAGGAATTAAAAGAAAAAGCTAGTTTAGCTGGAGTCTAGAAAGCAAGGGGAAAACTGCAGCAGGATAAGACCATGTAGAGCCTTGGGAACCAATCATGGTATGATTTCCAACACATAATGGCACAGAATGATAGGATCAGACTTAGTTTTTAGAAAGATCACTATAGCTGGAGTGTAAAGAAAGAAATTTAGAGGACAGACTGAGAATAGGCAGCTACTTGCAACTTGCAACTTGCAAAGTTAATATAGGAGTCAAGATAAGAGATACCCATAGCTTGAGTGGTGGTAGTGGAGCTTGAGAGAAGTAGAGATATAAGAGAAATTTCTGAAGTGACATTGGCAGGATGTGGTGATGGATTAGGTACAGAGTTAAGAGGTGAAACCGGGACTTGACTCCCAGTCTTGCTCTCGGTCCTCTCTACCACTCCACCCTCCAGGGCTCATGGCTTGATCCTCTCCAGCCTCAACCTGGCCAGGTTTCCCCTCAAGCCTCCAGAGCCTAAGGAAGAGGAGTTGACAGGAAGGACAGGGACCAGTGTCATTTGGTCCCTGATCTCTCTTGGGACAGGTCCCCAAGCAGCTGAGCCAGAGCTGTTAGGAATGGCTCCAGGTCTTTCCGATACAGAGAGGTACATTTCACAGAAGTGGGGAACCATGAAAGAAGATCAGGGTTGCAGGATCATGAATTTACCTTTGCATATGTTGCATTCAGATGCCCTTCAGATATCCAAGTACACAATTAGATGTGTGGGTCTGGAGATCCATAGAGAGAGATCTCTGAGCTAGAATATAAACTTAAGAGTTATTCACATGCAGATGGCAACTGAGGTCATGGGCAGAAAAAAAAATTGCATAGAAAACAAGCAAAACTGCCTGTAATCCCAGCACTTTGGAAGGCCGAGGTGGGCAGATCACCAGGTCAGGAGATCGAGACCATCCTGGCTAACACGATGAAACCCCGTCTCTATTAAAAATACAAAAAATTAGCTGGGTGTGGTGGCGGGCACCTGTAGTCCAGCTGCTCAGGAGGCTGAGGCAGGAGAATGGCGTGAACCCGGGAGGCGAAGCTTGCAGTGAGCCGAGATCGCGCCACTGTACTCTAGCCTGGGCGACAGAGCAAGACTCCGTCTCAAAAAAAAAAAAAAAACAGAAAAAAGAAAACAAGCAAAACTTAGAGTGAGAAGAAAAGAAGGCCTAGGACCTTGGCTTGAGGAACTTGTTAGCAAAGGAGACAATGTTAGTCAGGGCTCTCCAGAGAGAAAGAACCAATAAGATATATGCAGGGGTGTGTGTGTGTGTGTGTGCGTGCACGTGTGTGTGTGTGTTATATATAAATTATATATATATATAAATTATATATACATATATAAAAAGGCCACCAATAGAAGACAATTCTCTTACTAATTCCACGTTGTCAGACTCAGAGTACACCATAAATAATTTTTCCCCTTAGAGCACCTTTTTCATTTTCACTTCTGAGATAGGGATCGATCCCTTTTCTCTGACCCACCCAGGGCAGTTGTTCAGAAAGCACACCACTCTTGACTCCAGCTCCTGTAGAAATGAGAGACACTGTGATTGTGCATCTGCCCCTCTGACTTTGTCTCGGGCTTGGGCAGGGAGTCTGTGCCACAGCCCTTGGCTCCACTCTTCTATCTCTGTTGCCTTGCATAGGTGTTTAACAACTTATCCAGCTTGTAATTCAATATCCACTGTGAGGTTGCCAGGTGGTTTTATTTTTCCTTTTAAATTAAATACTGATAAAGATCTTAGACCATGACAAATTCAGAGCAAATGTTACAAATGTTTTCCCTCTGATTCCTTCTCTTTCAGTCCAATAAGCTAAGGCCTTAATTTCAGCATCATTTCTTTTTATTCAGAGTAGAGATTGGTGCCATACAATTTCCCTCAAATGGGCTTTCCTTGACATTCTTCAGCTGAGAAGAGTAGCAGACCCTCACCTCTGCATTTGGTTTCTACATCTTGCCTACATTTCCTAAAGTGATGTGGGGTGAGCCTAGGTCACACGGCAGGGAATGGGTCAGGTCACTTGACTCCCGGTCTTGCGCTCAGTCCTCTCTACCACTCCACCCTCCAGGGCTCATGGCTTGATCCTCTCCAGCCTCAACCTGGCCAGGTTTCCCCTCAAGCCTCCAGAGCCTAAGGAAGAGGAGTTGACAGGAAGGACAGGGACCAGTGTCATTTGGTCCCTGATCTCTCTTGGGACAGCTCCCCAAGCAACTGAACCAGAGCTGAGGAAGAGGAGGCAACAGGAGATGGTGGGCTAGACTCAATTCCCTGCACATTAGCATAGCAGCCTGGTGCTCCCTATGCCCCTGAGGAGGTCTCTGAGGCTTAAACCCTTGAAGAAACTCAAGAACTGATTAGAAGACACCCTGTCAGGAATGGGGTGAGTGTAAGGGATCAGGTGATGACCAGTATTGAATAAGGCTCAAAGAAGGAATGAAAGTCAAAGATGGGGTGAGAGTCAGGGATGTTTATGGCACATATGAATCAGCCCACTGTATCCACAGGTTCCACATCTGAGGCCTCAACCAACCGTGGATTGAAAATGTTTGTAAAAGAGAAACAATAAAACATAACAACACAACAATAAAAGATAATATAAGTAAAAAATACAGCATAACAACTATTTACATAACATTTACATTGTATTAGGTATTATAACTAATCTAGAGATGATTTAAAGCACACAGGAGAATGCATGTAGGTTATATGCAAATCCTGCACCATGTTATATAAGGAACTTAAGCATTTGCTGATTTTGTATGGTGGAATCTTGGAATCAATCCCCATCAGATACTAAGGATGACAGTATTGGTAAATAAATCACGTATTTTTCCACTGTACTCTACCAAATGTCCTCGACACCAGAACAATCATGCTTCCTGTTCAGAGGCAGAACTCCAGGCTCCAAGAACACCAGTGGGACAGAATGTACAAAGGTCAAGACTCAGACACCAGCACAAATGGCACATATTCTCTGTGCCAGATGCCTCACAAGCTATTTCATCTACTGCCCAAAACAGCCCTTCAAGTCAGTGCTTTAAGATTCACCTGCCAGTTAAAGAAACAAGGCTCCAAAGGTTGGGGTACAAAGAACAAGACAGGTGCCAGTCACGGTAAGCAGGGTACAAGGTGGTCTATTTAGTCACAAAGAACAAAACAAAATGCAGTTGGCTCAACTCCTAAAGGCTGAGCACACGGTCAGTTGGAAATATGACGAGATCCTTGCCACTGTGTTACTGCCCTTGGGCCCCCTAAATTCTCCCTAACTAGGGAACTGCATTGGTCTAGACTGGCACCTAGGTGAGACTGAATGGGCAACATGAAGCCAAGCAGCTCTCGCTATGGGCAGTAGTGAGCTAAGGAGCAGGGAGTCAGGCCTGTTTTCTGCAAATAGCGCCCACCCCACCCCTTCCCTCTCTGGCAGTCCCTGCTCAGTGCGTGGCTGCTGCTCAGAGTGCACTTTCTGATGGCGTGTTTGCATATGGCCTCGGATGCTCTATATCCAAAGTCCTTCGCAAGCTGTGCTTCAGCCACTGAGCAAACTGGAATGGAAACCAGAGCATTACACAATTCCTGGGTTTACAGACTTTGAAAGGCACCAAGAGTGGTTTGTTGGGGTTGAGATTGGCCACATCCCAGTGTGCTTTTCTGGGACTTTGTAACAGTTATTTCTGAGAGGGTTTCACTGAGCCCTAGAGAGACTGCTAGAAGGTCAACACAGAGGGCTCTCGAAGCACAGCAGAGACAGGCAACAAACCCGTCACAACCACAGCATTCAGCCCCCTCCCCTGCCCTCTTAGGGTAGGTTGCTCTAAGCTCTCTAAGAACACACAGAATTAAGTAAGGGTTTATTTCCCAGTTGCCTCAACAAATATTTATTCAGCTGTGTATAAGACCTCATGTTTCTCACCAGACTGTGATGCTGTGTAATGTACCTTTGATTCCCTGGCACCTATTCCTGGGCCTAAAAGAAGTGGATGCTCTACAGTTGTTAGTCAAATGAATTAGCATACACCATCTAGTCCTAGAATTTGGAAAACGCCCTATAATGTGAAACAGTCAACAAATCCCCTGTCACCAATTGAGTCTACCTGCCGTCCCATAAATGACTTCTCACATCTTTCCTAATAGCACAAAATTGCTCTCAAGCTCGAGTGAAATAAGTCTAACCTGTGATGAACTGCCGAATGAATTAATAAACACCACTTCATGGAAAGTGTTCTGTGGGAATGTGACATGGTCAGAAATATGATTGGCAGAGGTCATAGAGTGGATGGGAACCTACCAGTGTGTGGTTTCTGATATTTTTTCCTGCATAAGAGATGAGTTTCTCATGGCTCCTATATTCCCAACAGGCACGTTTAAAACATGTCCCCTTCTTTGTCTCTCAGGAAAGCAAATCAATCAGTAGGCAAATGCATAAAATTGATATCTTCACAAGGACAAACCTGAATGTGCTCTCTTTTTAAAAATCACAATCCTAATAATGGACAGCCTTTACTGAGTGCTTACTCTATGCTAAGCACTGTGCCATGAGCTTTGCATATATGATCCCATTTGAGCTAGAAACAACCAACCCTGTGTGGTTTGTTCTGTAGGATCTTCATTTTGCAGATTAGGAAACGGGCCTATAGAGGTTGCAGAACATTTCCAGGAGTAATATGTGTGTGGGACTGAAATGCAGGTCTTGACATTAACACTGTCCTGTCTCTAAAATTATCATACTCAAATTTCAGTACTTGGTGACTGTCATCATAAGTTGTCATGCTGTCCCTCACAACTGACTGCCACAATCTGTGTACTATAACAGAGAGAAACGTTTACCAAAAGTACGGTCTGGCTTTTATCAAAACTAACTTTTTGCTTCATGGTTTGAACCAAATTGTCCAATACTGATTTGAGTTACTCGGGTCTTAAAAAGCAATACGTTAATAACTGTCTCTTACTGATTGTCTATAATGTCCTACTCACTATATCAGACATTTTTCAAAAATTATTTCTAATAAAAATAGATATCTAGGCCAGGTGCGGTGGCTCACGCCTGTAATCCCAGCACTTTGGGAGGCCGAGGTAGGTGGATCATGAGGTCAGGAGTTCGAGACCAGCCTGGCCAACATAGTGAAACCCCATCTCTACTAAAAATACAAAAAATTAGCTGGGCCTGGTGGCGGGTGCCTGTAATCCCAGCTACTCAGAAGGCTGAGGCAGGAGAATCACTTGAATCTGGGAGGCGGAGGTTACAGGGAGCCAAGATCACGCCATTGCACTCCAGCCCGGGTGACAGTGCAAGACTCCATCTCAAGGAAAAAAAAAAAGAAAAGAAGAAGAAAGAAAAAAAAATAGATATCTAAAGTATGATAAATAAAGTTGGAGCAGGACAGAAAGGGGAGCCAAGTCTTCCCCCACTTATGAGTTTCATTTTTCAGGCTCCAGAGGCCTTTCATGTCTCTTTTTCCCACTCTTGAAAAGTCTCAGTTGATGCCTTTCCTTCTCTCCTCCTTTGTTGATATCCTTCTCCACTGGCATCATCTCTACCCCTCCCCTTGGCTAAGATGTGAGCTGTGACTTCCTGCTGGGCAGGATGAGATGATCTGGGAGAATAGTCCTCTGAGATGCGCGGAGAATGGGGTGGGAAGTTATGTGAGAAAGAGAAGCCATAGCAGGGCGAGTGCTCCAAGGAGGGGTGCAAAGCCCATGTAGGTAAATGAAATGGAGTGGTGGTCCTTCTGAGGAGAAAATGGAAAGGCCAGGAGAAGGGGCTGACTACAAGTAACCACAGTCTTTTGGGAGGAGAGGAAAAGGCAAAAGAAATGTCTAGAAAGCACGGATGTTCTTTATGAACAACCACACAGGAAGATTAAAAGCAGTGTTTTCCTCACCAAGCATTGACATTTGTGTGGAAGTCCTGTTGACCACTGCATCATTTCTCTCTGTCGTTCTCGCCAATGCCCACCAGAGTCTGGAAGTCACGCCCAGAGAAATGTCTTCAAGGACTGAGCAGAAGTGAATTCTCTGCAGCCCTCAACACTTGAGCAGCTTCCTGAATGACAAACCTCACTAAGGCCGGGTCTTTTTCACAGACCTGGGAGCAGGGGTCAGTAGCGGGCAGGCTGTGCGGCAAACATACCATTGTCATTTGGATGAGGAAAGACATTAAGCGGGAACAGGGCAGGGTAGGGATTCGTTCATACTTAAAAAAAAAAAAAAAGTTTGGTTAGACAATCAAGGAGACGTGCAAATGTTCCCCAGCCTTCAGTGAAATGCTTTCAGGCTTTCACGTGAAAAGTTTGTACATTAATTTACTTCAAACTTGTCCACAATTGTGAACTGTCAATATCAATATGGGCCCATGTGCTGCCTATTTGAAGATGATGCTACCATTGTTGATTATCCTGGATGTGTATGAATTTAGTTGAAAAGACTGCTGCATGCTCAGCTGTTTCCTCTGTTGCACAAAAAACTGATTTCAAACTGTAGCCGTTTGAAAATATATACCACCAAAAAGTTTGATGTAAAAATAAGCAAGTGCTTCCTTAACCCGTGTTTTCACAAATAGCTGATTCAATCACTTTGATTTTAAATTAGCAAGTCAACAAGTCAGTTTCATTAAAAATACATGCACAGTCTAATTCATTGGTTGACTGAACTGACCGTTCCCAGGAAGCAGCAGCGTGAGGTGTTGCTAAGAGAAGTGGCTTGAATATCAGGGCAGCCTTGCCATGGGTCTGGACGCCACTGCACACCAGTTGTAAGAACATGGGTGAGCCTCTGAGCCTCTGGACATTTGTCTCTACCTCCTGGATTCTGGCGATAATCATAGTGTAAGTAGAAATAAATTTGTATGCTACCAAGTTCTCTACAAAATCTAGTTATTACTATCAATAACTGTCACATAGCCCCAAAGCCAAGTATTCATCAACTCTTTGAAATGTCAGCATTACATTTGACACACTTATTCACGGGAACCTTCCCATGCTTAACAACTGCTGTCCCTCTCCTGTCTGAATCATACTTTCTAATAGTTCTCAACAGTGCCCTTTATTAACAATTTAATTCAGCGCTCCCACAGTTAGTTATAAGCCCAACTACAACTGCAGTTAATGGAAAATCTCCTTTATACGAGGTGCATCTGCTGTGACATCTGTCTGGAAGCCATGGAGAGGATTCAGTGTTCATAAGCAAATTGAGTAATTACTATGTAATCACACAGTAAATTGTGTAGTCACTGATTTGCTCTCAAAATTCATATCTTTGGGACATAATATTAAAACCACCTGGGTTCTTTCAGAATGGGCAGGTATGTTCTTAAAATGGCCAAAATAAGGATTTGAGGTAAACACTTGTGGCCAAAAAATTAGAGTATTATCTCCAGAAGAGAGAAAGAGAAAGTGGTGCAGCGGGAAGAAATGAGAATGTGGAAAGGAGATATGAATAGAGGGAAAAAGAGATGGGAGGGACGCTTTAAAGGTGGATTACTAAGTGCTTTCTCAGTCATCTCATGAAATCTGTGACATTTTTGAGCCTCACTGGTTGGAGAAAACACAGAGAAATATAAATGAGGAAGAGAGATCAGAGATGCAAGATTTTACCTGTCTCAGGAAGAGCCCATCACTGGTGACAGCTATTTGGACTTTGGAAAACTGCAACATATGTAGAGAGGAGAGAAAATAATGACTCAAAAGATAGTGTCTAATAGTCTTTTATAATCACCTAGATTTACAGTGGTAAAACCTGAGACCTAATAGTTCGCCAAATGGTTACAAAACATGAATCTGTGGCACTCTCTAAACTCCCTTTTAAAAAGCCAGTCAACAGACAGTAGCCATATATATTGTGTGTAATGTATACAAGGTGAGATTCTTGAAATAAGACAAAATATAAATAAATAAGGCAGCAGCATGGCACCATGGAAGGAAGGCTGACTATAGATTGTGGCTGACACTAGTTTGAATCCTGGCTCTCCTGAAGTGCCATAGAGAGCTGCTGATGTTCAACCATTTTTAAGCTACATAAATGACAATTTCATGTGCTTCCACCAAATGGAATTAGACGTCTCTAAATACTCCAGGCTTCAGTTTCATTATTTCTAAAAGTAAGGATGATAACTTGAGAATTACAGAATAGTTTCTGACACCAACGTACTATACATTATTAGCAAAAGTAGTATTGTTATCACAAGTTGTAATTACCATATACACACATGCCAGAAGAGGTGTACAAACCTCCCACTGTCAATCCCCCAGCAAAATGACACCATTACTGTACAATGGGAATGGGGACAAAATAAGTCAATGCAGCAAAATCCAAAGTTATGAGAATCTCACTTTTAACCACCATATACTTAAAAATACAAATTTCACTGAACAGTTAATATGAGGAGTTTCAATTAAATATGAGGACTCACTTGTTAAAGCAAAGGCATTTGCATAACTATGCAAACATATGTCCAGTTTCTAAAACCAAAATTTTATGCTGAACACCCACCCTCAACAAACGCTCTATTAAAAATTAGTTACTATGCAATTGCATTAACATCAAATGGTTAGATTTTAAACAGCAAAGTGCTTTCCTAACAAACATGTTCCTTCACAATCTTCAAAAGTTCTATACAGGGGCAAGTGAGGGTAGTGCAGTGTAGTAGTTAAATGTACAAAGCAACGTAAAGTAAAAATGCAGCCCAAAGCAATCCATTACATGAACATGGGTTCCTTCCTTTGGGGGAGGAGCGGCTGCACATGGCACCATTAGAGGTGACAGCAGGGAACGAGCCAGGGCCATTAGTCAGTTTGCTAAGTAGAAATGGGAAGCAAGTTCAATGGAGCAAAAAGGTTTCTGCTCTGCAGACTTGATGGAGAGCAGTGTGATTGGTTTCTTAAGGGACAGGCAGAGGGGCAATGCGTAATTTCTCCTCCCCTCACTGAACATGCCTGTTTATCAGAGATGATCAACACCTTAGATAACACATTATGCAAATGACTGTGGCAGTTTGGCACCTAATGCAGTCTCCCTGCCAGAGTTTCGATTCACTCTCACTGTGGTCTGGGAAAAGTGAAAATAAACATGCCTCCCTTCCCTCCTTGGCTTCTTTGTCCTTGAAATAAATATTCTTCCAAGCCCACAGCTCGGAGGCTTAGCTGTATGGCAGATGGCAGTATCTCCTGCAGAGGTTATGAATATGAAACTCACAGGCTAGGAAATTAATTTAACAAAAACAAAAATAGAGGCACTAGGGATTATGGCAGGTCATACAGTGGGTATCTCAGGGAAATTCAATTCCTTAAGATTCGGAAAGATTCCAAAGATGTTTCAGTGATAATGAATCAGATGAAACTCACTCCCCAAGGTAGCTATTTCCTGATTTGCTCATTGAAAAATGACACTGGGCAATAACAGAAAAACTACGCGTGATGTAAATTCTTCTTTTCTCCCACCATTGAAATGGGCATATCTTAACCTGGAGAAAGGAAAACTGAAAGTTACCTATCTATCTAAACATAGTTACTATAAAAAGATAATTGATTGGACCAAGTCCCAAAATAAAACTGGAGGATACGTGCTCAAACTACACAAATAGCTATTCTATCCATGAAAAAATGACATCTTTAAGTAAATATGATCAGATCTGAGTACAAATTCCCAAAGGAAATACTGGAAGCTCCTGCTGTAATTCCTAAGATACATCTGTATCTAAGGTACTGTTTACACCTAGAGTAGATAATTTTCCTAAATTATCTCTAAGACTACTTCCAACGCTGAAATTTGAGGTGTAAGGATAACATCAGAATTTTTTATTAAAAAAACAAGCTCAATGTTGTTGGATTTCTATATCAGTGAGGAGTAGAACTCTATTGCAGAGTAGATTCTTATCTAAAAAAGGAACTTTGCTGCACAAAATAGGGTATGCTGGTCTCTGTTTCAAAAACAGTCTTTAACAAAAGGCAGAGTTCAAAAACAAACAGAATGAGATCAGAGCTGTGGTATTCCTGTGGGTCATCATGTCTTTATACTCAGATTAAAAGGAGCCTCCACTTTGTATCATGAAGACTGGGTACATGTAACAGTCTTCTGTATAAACATCTGTGCCCAGAGTAGAAAATTTAAGCTTGAAGTTAATAATAAATAGCACCCAAATGGAGCCTAGGTTTTTCCTTATAAAAAGCAAGCAGTGTCTGAATAATGGTTTCCTTATTGTGCATCCTTTGTAAGGTCATAAAATGAGAAGATGGAGAAAGATTGGCTTGTCCTGGCTTGTCCGTCCTTGAAAGCCATTGTGGTCTCTTTTCCAGAAGATGACAAGTCTCCTAATAGAGACTTCAGTTCTAGGTTAGATTCTGCTGGCTCTTTTACTTTGGTTACAAATGGTTAGACTTTCTACAAATGTTCTCCCCATAAGATATAGTAATAAAGTTTCTAGGCAGCACTTTGGGAGGCCGAGGCAGGTGGATCACCTGAGGTCAGGAATTTGAGACCAGCCTGGCCAATATGGCAAAACCCCATCTCCACTAAAAATACAAAAGTTGGCTGGGCACAGTGCCACACACCCGTAATCCCAGCTACTCAGGAGGCTGAAGCAGAAGAACTGCTTGAACCTAGGAGGTGGAGGTTGCAGTGAGCCAAGATTGCAACACTGCACTCTAGGCTGGGCAACAAAGCAAAACTCCACCTCAAAAAAAAAAAAGTTTCTAAACTAGTTACACTCATAAATATGTTGAGATCTGTGCCCAAGGAGAGGCCTGACATTTTTATGCAAGCTAAGAAACTCTGCCTCTGTCTTACATCTTGTCATTAATTTCACTGAAAATGACAACTTGATAGATACGCCTATGTGATAGTCATAACCTCCTTGAAAAGCCTTTTTGAGGGGAGGAGCCAAGCTGGCCAAATAGGAACAGCTCCGGTCTACAGCTCCCAGCATGAGCGACGCAGAAGACGGGTGATTTCTGCATTTCCATCTGAGGTACCGGGTTCATCTCACTAGGGAGTGCCAGACAGTGGGTGCAGGTTAGTGGGTGCAGCACACCATGCGCGAGCCGAAGCAGGGCGAGGCATTGCCTCACACAGGAAGCGCAAGGGGTCAGGGAGTTCCCTTTCCTAGTCAAAGAAAGGGGTGACAGATGGCACCTGGAAAATTGGGTCACTCCCACCCGAATACTGTGCTTTTCCGACGGGCTTAAAAAACGGCGCACCAGGAGATTATATCCTGCACCTGGCTTGGAGGGTCCTATGCCCACGGAGTCTCGCTGATTGCTAGCACAGCAGTCTGAGATCAAACTGCAAAGTGGCAGCGAGGCTGGGGGAGGGGCACCCACCATTGCCCATGCTTGCTTAGGTAAACAAAGCAGCTGGGAAGCTCCAACTGGGTGGAGCCCACCACAGCTCAAGGAGGGCTGCCTGCCTCTGTAGGCTCCACCTCTGGGGGCAGGGCACAGACAAACAAAAAGACAGCAGTAACCTCTGCAGACTTAAATGTCCCTGTCTGACAGCCTTGAAGAGAGCAGTGGTTCTCCCAGCATGCAGCTGGAGATCTGAGAACGGGCAGACTGCCTCCTCAAGTGGGTCCCTGACCCCTGAGCAGCCTAACTGGGAGGCACCCCCAAGTAGGGGCAGACTGACACCTCACACAGCCGGGTACTCCTCTGAGACAAAACTTCCAGAGGAACGATCAGACAGCAGCGTTCACGGTTCACGAAAAACCACTGTTCTGCAGACACTACTGCTGATACCCAGGCAAACAGGGTCTGGAGTGGACCTCTAGCAAACTCCAACAGACCTGCAGCTGAGGGTCCTGTCTGTTTGTTAGAAGGAAAACTAACAAACAGAAAGGACATCCACACCAAAAACCCATCTGTACATCACCATCATCAAAGACCAAAAGTAGATAAAACCACAAAGATGGGGAAAAAACAGAGCAGAAAAACTGGAAACTAAAAAGCAGAGCACTTCTCCTCCTCCAAAGTATCGCAGTTCCTCACCTTCAATGGAACAAAGCTGGACGGAGAACGACTTTGACAAGTTGAGAGAAGAAGGCTTCAGACGATCAAACTACAAGCTACAGGAGGAAATTCAAACCAAAGGCAAAGAAGTTAAAAACTTTGAAAAAAATTTAGAAGAATGTATAACTAGAATAACCAATACAGAGAAGTGCTTAAAGGAGCTGATGGAGCTGAAAGCCAAGGCTCGAGAACTATGTGAAGAATGCAGAAGCCTCAGGAGCCGATGCGATCAACTGGAAGAAAGGGTATCAGCAATGGAAGATGAAATGAATGAAATGAAGCAAGAAGGGAAGTTTAGAGAAAAAAGAATAAAAAGAAACGAACAAAGCCTCTAAGAAATATGGGACTATGTGAAAAGACCAAATCTACGTCTGATTGGTGTACCTGAAAGTGATGGGGAGAATGGAACCAAGTTGGAAAACACTCTGCAGGATATTATCCAGGAGAACTTCCCCAATCTAGCAAGGCAGGCCAACATTCAGATTCAGGAAATACAGAGAACACCACAAAGATAATCCTCAAGAAGAGCAACTCCAAGACACATAATTGTCAGATTCACCAGAGTTGAAATGAAGGAAAAAATTTTAAGGCAGCCAGAGAGAAAGGGCGGGTTACCCCACAAAGGGAAGCCCATCAGACTAACAGCGGATCTCTCGGGAGAAACTCTACAAGCCAGAAGAGAGTGGGGGCCAATATTCAACATTCTTAAAGAAAAGAATTTTCAACCCAGAATTTCATATCCAGCCAAACTAAGCTTCATAAGTGAAGGAGAAATAAAATACTTTACAGACAAGCAAATGCTGAGAGATTTTGTCACCACCAGGCCTGCCCTAAAAGAGCTCCTGAAGGAAGAACTAAACATGGAAAGGAACAACCGGTAACAGCTGCTGCAAAATCATGCCAAAATGTAAAGACCATCGAGGCTAGGAAGAAACTGCATCAACTAAGGAGCAAAATAACCAGCTAACATCATAATGACAGGATCAAATTCACACATAACAATATTAACTTTAAATGTAAATAGACTAAATGCTCCAATTAAAAGACACAGACTGGAAAATTGGATAAAGAGTCAAGACCCATCAGTGTGCTGTATTCAGGAAACCCATCTCACGTGCAGAGACACACATAGGCTCAAAACAAAAGGATGGAGGAAGATCTACCAAGCAAATGGAAAACAAAAAAAGGCAGGGGTTGCAATCTAGTCTCTGATAAAACAGACTTTAAACCAACAAAGATCAAAAGAGACAAAGAAGGCCATTACATAATGGTAAAGGGATCAATTCCACAAGAAGAGCTAACTATCCTAAATATATATGCACCCAATACAGGAGCACCCAGATTCATAAAGCAAGTCCTGAGTGACCTACAAAGAGACTTAGACTCCCACACATTAATAATGGGAGACTTTAACATCCCACTGTCAACATTAGACAGATCAACGAGACAGAAAGTCAACAAGGATACCCAGGAATTGAACTCAGCTCTGCACCAAGCGGACCTAATAGACATCTACAGAACTCTCCACCCCAAATCAACAGAATATACATTTTTTTCAGCACCACACCACACCTATTCCAAAATTGACCACATAGTTGGAAGTAAAGCTCTCCTCAGCAAATGTAAAAGAACAGAAATTATAACAAACTCTCTCTCAGACCACAGTGCAATCAAACTAGAACTCAGGATTAAGAAACTCACTCAAAACCGCTCAACTACATGGAAACTGAACAACCTGCTCCTGAATGACTACTGGGTACATAACAAATGAAGGCAGACATAAAGATGTTCTTTGAAACCAATGAGAACAAAGACACAACATACCAGAATCTCTGGGACACATTCAAAGCAGTGTGTAGAGGGAAATTTATAGCACTAAATGCCCACAAGAGAAAGCAGGAAAGATCCAAAATTGACACCCTAACATCACAATTAAAAGAACTAGAAAAGCAAGAGCAAACACATTCAAAAGCTAGCAGAAGGCAAGAAATAACTAAAATCAGAGCAGAACTGAAGGAAATAGAGACACAAAAAACCCTTCAAAAAATTAATGAATCCAGGAGCTGGTTTTTTGAAAAGATCAACAAAATTGATAGACCACTAGCAAGACTAATAAAGAAGAAAAGAGAGAAGAATCAAATAGACGCAATAAAAAATGATAAAGGGGATATCACCACCGATCCCACAGAAATACAAACTACCATCAGAGAATACTACAAACACCTCTACGGAAATAAACTAGAAAATCTAGCAGAAATGGATAAATTCCTCAACACATACACTCTCCCAAGACTAAACCAGGAAGAAGTTGAATCTCTGAATAGACTAATAACAGGAGCTGCAATTGTGGTAATAATCAATAGCTTACCGACCATAAAGAGTCCAGGACCAGAAGGATTCACAGCCGAATTCTACCAGAGGTACAAGGAGGAACTGGTACCATTTCTTCTGAAACTATTCCAATCAATAGAAAAAGAGGGAATCCTCCCTAACTCATTTTATGAGGCCAGCATCATCCTGATACCAAAGCCGGCCAGAGACACAACCAAAAAGGAGAATTTTAGACCAATATCCTTGATGAACATTGATGCAAAAATCCTCAATAAAATACTGGCAAACCAAATCCAGCAGCACATCAAAAAGCTTATCCACCATGATCAAGTGGGCTTCATCCCTGGGATGCAAGGCTGGTTCAATATACGCAAATCAATATATGTAATCCAGCATATAAACAGAACCAAAGACAAAAACCACGTGATTATCTCAATAGATGCAGAAAATGCCTTTGACAAAATTCAACAACCCTTCATGCTAAAAACTCTCAATAAATTAGGTATTGATGGGACGTATCTGAAAATAATAAGAGCTATCTATGACAAACCCACAGCCAATATCATACTGAATTGGCAAAAACTGGAAGCATTCCCTTTGAAAACTGGCACAAGACAGGGATGCCCTCTCTCACCACTCCTATTCAACATAGTGTTGGAAGTTCTGGCCAGGGCAATTAGTCAGGAGAAGGAAATAAAGGGTATTCAATTAGGAAAAGAGGAAGTCAAATTGTCCCTGTTTGCAGATGACATGATTGTATATCTAGAAAACCCCATTGTCTCAGCCCAAAATCTCCTTAAGCTGATAAGCAACTTCAGCAAAGTCTCAGGATACAAAATCAATGTACAAAAATCACAAGCATTCTTATACACCAATAACAGACAAACAGAGAGCCAAATCATGAGTGAACTTCCATTCACAATTGCTTCAAAGAGAATAAAATACCTAGGAATCCAACTTACAAGGGATGTGAAGGACCTCTTCAAGGAGAACTACAAACCACTGCTCAATGAAATAAAGGAGGATACAAACAAATGGAAGAACATTCCATGCTCATGGATAGGAAGAATCAATATCATGAAAATGGCCATACTGCCCAAGGTAATTTTTAGATTCAATGCCATCCCCATCAAGCTACCAATGACTTTCTTCACAGAATTGGAAAAAACTACTTTAAAGTTCATATGGAACCAAAAAAGAGCCCGCCTTGTCAAGTCAATCCTAAGCCAAAAGAACAAAGCTGGAGGCATCACACTACCTGACTTCAAACTATACTACAAGGCTACAGTAACCAAAACAGCATGGTACTGGTACCAAAACAGAGATATAGATCAATGGAACAGAACAGAGCCCTCAGAAATAACGCCGCATATCTGCAACTATCTGATCTTTGACAAACCTGAGAAAAACAAGCAATGGGGAAAGGATTCCCTATTTAATAAATGGTGCTGGGAAAACTGGCTAGCCATATGTAGAAAGCTGAAACTGGATCCCTTCCTTACACCTTATACAAAAATCAATTCAAGATGGATTAAAGACTTCAATGTTAGACCTAAAACCATAAAAACCCTAGAAGAAAACCTAGGCATTACCATTCAGGACATAGGCAGGGGCAAGGACTTCATGTCTAAAACACCAAAAGCAATGGCAACAAAAGCCAAAATTGACAAATGGGATCTAATTAAACTAAAGAGCTTCTGCACAGCAAAAGAAACTACCATCAGAGTGAACAGGCAACCCACAAAATGGGAGAAAATTTTTGCCACCTACTCATCTGACAAAGGGCTAATATCCAGAATCTACAATGAACTCAAACAAATTTACAAGAAAAAAACAACCCCATCAAAAAGTGGGCAAAGGACATGAACAGACACTTCTCAAAAGAAGACATTTTTGCAGCCAAAAAACACATGAAAAAATGCTCACCATCACTGGCCATCAGAGAAATGCAAATCAAAACCACAATGAGATATCATCTCACACCAGTTAGAATGGCAATCATTAAAAAGTCAGGAAACAACAGGTGCTGGAGAGGATGTGGAGAAATAGGAACACTTTTACACTGTTGGTGGGACTGTAAACTAGTTCAACCATTGTGGAAGTCAGTGTGGCGATTCCTCAGGGATCTAGAACTAGAAATACCATTTGACCCAGCCATCCCATTACTGGCTATATACCCAAAGGATTATAAATCATGCTGCTATAAAGACACATGCACATGTATGTTTATTGCGGCACTATTCACAATAGCAAAGACTTGGAACCAACCCAAATGTCCAACAATGATAGACTGGATTAAGAAAATGTGGCACATATACACCATGGAATACTATGCAGCCATAAAAAATGATGAGTTCATGTCCTTTGTAGGGACATGGATGAAATTGGAAATCATCATTCTCAGTAAACTATCGAAGAACAAAAAACCAAACACCGCATATTCTCACTCATAGGTGGGAATTGAACAATGAGAACACATGGACACAGGAATGGGAACATCATACCCTGGGGACTGTTGTGGGGTGGGGGGAGGGGGGAGGGATAGCATTGGGAGATATACCTAATGCTAGATGATGAGTTAGTAGGTGCAGGGCACCAGCATGGCACATGTATACATATGTAACTAACCTGCACATTGTGCACATGTACCCTAAAACTTAAAGTATAATAATAAATAAATAAATAAGTAAAAATAAAAATATGCCTTCACCACAAAGAAAAAAAAAAAAAAGAAAAGCCTTTTTGAAAAGCCATTCAAGAGCCATCTCCTGCCCCAGGGTGTTAGAGCACAATACAGGTCAGCACAACATGCTTAGCCTTACAACAGGAAGGTGGACTTTCTGGTTCCTCAGATCTGACATTTAATCATTGTGACCACCTCAGGGTCTAAATGGAGACCGAAAATTTGGGTTGGTGCCTTTCTGTGCCTTTGGGCCAATAAAGACAATGGGATTAAACCTCCTATTTCACAAATTCTCCAGAGATACTGAGATTATGTGTATACTCTTTCACATTCTCCAGTTAGCAAACCTGGCTGCAATGATGTGACCACACTTGCCTGAGCAGCATCTGTGAAATATACAAATGAAATGTATCAACCACCTAATGAGGACAGAAGGCCCCTTCCAGCCTCCCCCTTCTCCTAAGAGAGTAAGGAGCACGTTCCAGGCTGTTTTGTTTTTTCTTTTAGCCAGAAGCCACTGAGCCATGCTCCTAATTAGGAAAGTAAAATGCCCTAACCAAGATACTAGAAATCAGAATGGTTACAGTGAATATAGCTTTTCAGATTCTATATTTGCCAAATGAATATTTCAGGGAAAGGGGAAAATAAGGTTAACCATAGGAAATAATGATAGAAAGACTATATTTAAGTAACTTTTCATACAATAATGTGCTTCCTTTAAAATAATAAAATTTTTTGCTTGTTTTTACTTCAACACTATTACCTATTAACTTGACTTCATCCAGGTTTTTAAGCACTTTATTAGAATGCGGTTTAGCATAAATATTAATAAAGCTGGAAAAAGACCAAATGAATTAAAATGTATTCCCTGAACTGGGCTATATAAAGACACATATTATTACAAAAGTTACTTTTCACCTATTATGGTAGGGACCTATTTTATCATATCTTCCAGACAATAAAAGCCAATGGTCAAAACAAAGCAAAATAGAAACACATGAGGTCTCTCCAGTTCTTTAGATTTGAGCCTGAGTTTAAAATCCTAGAGAGAAGTAGCAACCACAAACTTTCAGTTACCCATGCTGCTGCCTGGCCAAGTAAAACTCCACTGCATGTGCCTTTTGACTCCAGCAATTCTTTCCCACATCTGTTCAAGCTGAGCAATGCATCTTCACATTTCATACTTACTTCTATGTCATTATTTCATCAGTTTCTGTAGAATGTATACTGAAATAAATCGTAAGTGACTACTGTTTAGACTTCAACTCCTTAGAGGACAGGAGCGCCTGCACTTAGTAAAGACAATAGTAATAACAGCACCTAGATTGCTAATAAGTTGTATTAAATATTTAACTGTATGTATAATTTTCTTTAAATGTTAAAATTAATAATATTAATATTTGGCTGGGTGCAGTGGCTCACACCTGTAATCCCAGCACTTTGAGAGGCTGAGGCAGGAGGATCACTTGAGCTCAGGAATTTGAGACCAGCCTGGGCAACATGACGAAACTCCGTCTCTACAAAAAACTATCAAATTAGCTGGGTGTGGTGGCACACACCTGTAGTCCCAACTGCTTGGAAGGCTGAGGCGGGAGGATTACTTGAGCCCAAGAGGTGGAGGTTGCAGTGAGTAGGATCATGCCACTGTATTCCAGCCTGCACAACAGACCCTGAATCAATAATAATAATAATAATATGTATTAAGCACTATTGTGTTCCAAGGCTGGCATTAAGTGCCTTTCTGACATTTATTTCTTTCATTTTCATGAACCTGAAATAGGCACACTTTTCTCATGTTGAAGCTGAAGAAATGATTGCGGAGCAGTGATACAGCTAGTAAATGGCAGGATTTGAACCCAGGATGCCTGACCACATGGTCTGTAGTTTTAGCAATTCACAATACTGCCTCCTGGAATAAGTCCCTTAACAAATGGTCTTCAAAATTACTGACAAAATTAAAAATCCTGATAAGTAAAAAGTAAAAGTTTGCAGCTGTAAATTTTCGTAAACATTTGACACTTAGAGAAAGCTGATGTATTTTTAGTCTAATTTGACTGCCTTTATATGAAAGATTATTTCAAGATACTTCACAGTTCAGGAAAGTAAGATGAAAGGAAATCAAGATAACATACCTGGAGTAGAGCTCCATTTAGACCAGGGCAATCCAGCCTGTCAGACTCCATCATGCCACACTTGACCAGATGCCCAGAAGGACCTCTGTGGTGAATCCCCAGATAGGAATCCTCAGTGCTTGGCAGTCAGGTCAAATCATTATTCTATTGGCTAATCAGACAGACTGCCAGGATTGCTGATTTCAGCCTCTTAATAACTGCCGCTATGGTGCTGGAGACACTACCTAGGATAGAAGTGATGTGTCTTTGTCATTCCTGGACAAGCTCTGAGATAAATAACCAGGAAGACTTCAAACCAAACATGGTACTGTCTTATGCTGCCACCCTAAAGACCCCAGATCACATACTATTGTCATCCTAACATCAGAAGGGTTGACTTAGTGCCGTTCTGTGTACTTGACCCATAAATTGCAGGTTTCAATTGCCTGTATTGTTCCTCTGAAATATTAGTGGCCTGGGAATAAGTTGTAGTTGCAGAATGATGAGCCAGGTTGGGAAGTTATGACTTTCAGTGGCACTATGAGTATGATCTGAGGACTCCAGACAGCAGATCATTGTTAGTGCCTTTGTTCTCTGACACCAAAACTGAGGCATGTGAAGTTTCTAGGACAAGGCTTTATAGAACCAAGAACAATGTCATCTGTCCCTATATTCATATCACTGGATTCTCTGAGAATGCTCACAGAGTAAATGTGGGAAGAATAGGAAGCCTATTAGACGAAATATCTAATAACAGTGGAGAGATGCTTACATGATTGGAATATGGCAGTCATTGAAAATGAATGGCACAAGAGTACATAGTCAAATGCAAAAGTGTTGATGATGCTTGCTAAGTGGGGGAAAAGCACATGAAAATCTGCAGACTACATGATCCCATATTAATAAATGAAAATATGTAAGAGGAGGCAAGGATCATCATGGTGGACGGGAGGCAGGACTGGATTGCAGCTCCACACAGAGCAGCATGCAGAGACTCGCATTATGAATTTTAGCTCCAGATCGACTGCAAGAACAAACCAGAAATCCCGAGAGGACCCACAGACCCTCTGAAGGAAGCGGACTGCTCCTGCAGGACTCGGGAGACATCCCAAGTACTATGAGTGCCCCAACTGCGGTAGTGGGAAAGGGAGACCCTCCTCTCCCAAACACACACCCCTACTGGAGAAACTAAAGGTCTGTTTGCAGGAGAAGCTTCAGACCTTACCTGGAGCAGAGTCAATTTAGAGAGCCTAGCGAAATACAGGGGTAGAGGAAGCAGCAGAAAGGCCTTGGGAGCTCGCTGGGTCCCCAAACAGGCCCTTCCTGCTGGGCACCACAAGGATCCGTCGAGAGGGCAGCCGGAGGAGCAGGAGGTAAAACTCCACAGAAAGAAAGAAATCTCTAGCTGAACTGTATAACAATTTGAATGGGGCGAGAAGCCTCCTGGCCAGAACTCAGGGGAGGGCGCAAATCCAGTGTGCAGACTCCACAGGCAGGAAAAGAACCAAGCCTTGTTCTTTCCCAGCTGGGAGGCAGGTAGCCTGGGGCAGGTTTTCAAGCCTGGCTTGCCCTCTGCCTGGAAACAGACTGGGGGCTGTTAGGGGGCACAGTGGGAGTGTGACTGGCCCTTTGGTTTGCATGAGAGCTGGGCAAAGCCTGTGACTGCCGGCTTTGCCCCACTTCCCTGACAACCTGCATGACTCAGCAGAGACAGCCATAATCCTCTTAGGTAGACAACTCCAATGACCTGGGAATCTCACCCCCATCCCCCACAGCAGCTGCAGCAACACCTGCCCAAGGAGAGTCTGAGTTCAGACACGCCTCCCACTGCCCCCACCTGATGCTCCTTCCCTACCCACCCTGGTAGCTGAAGACAAAGAGCATATAATCTTGGGAGTTCTAGGGCCCCACCCACCACCAGTTCCTCTCCATACTACCACAGCTGGTGCTCTCTGGAAAGCGCCACCTCCTGGCAGAAGTCCAAGCAGCACAAAAACAAAGCATTAAACCACCAAAGCTAAGAACCGTCACAGAGTCCATTGCACCCCCCAACCACCTCCACCAGAACAGGTGCTGGTATCCACGTCTGGAAGGCCCATAGACGATTCATATCACAGGACTCTGTGCAGACAACACCCAGTACCAGCCTGTAGTCAGGTAGACTTACTTACGGAGTGGCTAGACCCAGAAGAGAGACAATATTCACTGCATTTTGGCTTGCAGGAAGCCACATGCTTAGGAAAAGCGGGGAGTACTACATCAAGGGAACATCCTGTGGGACAAAAGAATCTGAACAACAGCCTTCAGCCCTAGATCTTCCCTCTGACAGAGCCTTCCCAAATGAGAAGGAACCAGAAAAGTAATCCTGGTAATATGACAAAACAAGGCTCTTTAACACCGCGCCCCCACCCCCCCGCAACAACAAAATCACACTTGTTCACCAGCAATGGATCCAAACCAAGAAGAAATCCCTGATTTACCTGAAAAAGCATTCAGGAGGTTAACTAGGGAGGCACCAGAGAAAGGCAAAGCTCAATGCAAGGAAATCAAAAAACAATAAAAGAAGTGAGAGGAGAAATATTCAAGGAAATAGCTTAAACAAAAAAACAAAAAACAAAAATCAGGAAACATTGGATACAATTATAGAATGCAAAATGCTCTGGAAAGTGTCACCAATAGAATTGAACAAGTAGAAGAAAAATTCAGAGCTCAAAAACAAGGTCTTTGAATTAACCCAATCCAACAAAGTCAAAGAAAAAAGAAAAAGAAAATATGAACAAAGTCTCCAAGAAGTCTGGGATTATGTTAAATGACCAAACCTAAGAATAATCCGTGTTCCTGAGGAAGAAGAGAATTCTAAAAGCTTGGAAACCATGTTTGGGAGAAAAATCGAGGAAAACTTCCCTGCCTTGCTAGAGACCTAGACACCCAAATACAAGAAGCAAAGAACTCCTGGAAATTGATCGCAGAAAGATCGTCACCTAGGCACATTGTCATCAGGTTACCTAAAGAGAAGACAAAGGAAAGAATGTTAAGAAATGTGAGACAGAAGCACCAGGTAACCTATAAAGGAAAACCTATCAGAATAACAGCAGATTTCTCAGCAGAAACCCTACAAGCTAGAAGGGATTGGGGCCCTATCTTCAGCCTCCTCAAACAAAACAATTATCAGCCAAGGATTTTGTATCTAGCGAAACTAAGCATCATATATGAAGGAAAGATAGATAGTCTTTTTCAGACAAACAAATGATAGAATTCACCACTACCAAGCCACCACTACCAGAACTGCTAAAAGAAGCTCTGTTTCTTGAAACAAATCCTGTAAACACATCAAAACAGAACCTCTTTAAACCATAAATCACACAGGACCTATAAAACAAAAATATAATTTAAAAAGCAAAAACAAAAAAAAGTACACAGGCAACAAACAGCACAATAAATGCAACGGTGCCTCACATTTCAATACTAACATTGAATGTAAATGGCCTAAATCCTCCACTTAAAAGATACAGAACCACAGAATGGATAAGAACTCACCAACTAACCATCTGCTGTCTTCAGGAGACTCACGTAGCCCATAAGGACTCACATAAAGTAAAGGTGTGGAAAAAGGCGTTTCATGCAAATGGACACCAAAAATGAGCAGGACTAGCTATTCTTATATCAGACAAAACAAACATTAAAGCAACAGCAGTTAAAAGAGACAAAGAGAGACACTATATAAGGGTAAAAGCCTTGTCCAACAGCAAAATATCACAATCCTAAACATATATGCACCTATTACTGGAGCTCCCAGATTTATAAAACAATTACTAGTAGACCTAAGAAATGAGATAGACAGCAACACAATAATCATGGGGGATTTCAATACTCCACTGACAGCACTAGACAGGTCATCAAGACAGAAAGTCAGCAAAGAAACAATGGATTTAAACTATACCTTGGAACAAAAACAACATTTCATCCAACAACCACAGAATACACATTCTATTCAATGGCACATGGAACTTTCTCCAAGATAGGTCATATGATAGGCCATACAACAAGTCTCAATAAACTTAAGAAAGTTGAAATTATATCAAGCACTCTCTCAGACCACAGAGGAATAAAACTGGAAATCAACTCCAAAAGGAACCTTCAAAACTGTGCAAATACATGGAAATTAAATAACCTGCTCCTGAATGAGCACTGAGTCAAAAATGAAATCAAGACAGAAATTTAAAAATTCTTCAGACTGAATGACAATAATGACACAACCTACCAAAGCCTCTGGAATACAGCAAAAACGGTGCTAAGAGGAAAGTTCATAGCCCTAAACGCCTACACATCAAAAAGACTGAAAGAGCACAAACTGACATTCTAAGGTCACACCTCAAGGAACTAGAGAAACAAGAACAAACCAAACCCAAACCCATCAGAAGAAAGGAAATAACCACATTCAGAGCAGAACTAAGTGAAATTGAAACAAACAAACAAAAAATACAAAAAATAAATGAAACAAAAAGCTGGTTCTTTCAAAAGATAAAATTGATAGACTATTAACAAGATTAACCAAGAAAAGAAGAGAGAAAATCCAGATAACCTCACTAAGAAACAAAACAGGACATAATACAACTGACACCACCGAAATACAAAAGATTATTCAAGGCTACTATGAACACCTTTGCATACATGAACTAGAAAACCTAGAAGAGATGGATAAATTCCTGGAAAAATACAACCCTCCTAGCTTAAATCAGGAAGAATTAGATACCCTGAACAGAACAATAACAAGCAGCGAAATTAAAATGGTAATTTAAATATTACCAACAAAAAAAAGGTCCAGGACCAAATAGATTCCGAGCAGAATTCTACCAGACATTCAAAACAGAATTGGTACCAATCCTTTTGACACTATTGCACAAGATATAGACAGAAGGAACCCTCCCTAATTCATTCTGTGAAGCGAGCATCACCCTAATACCAAAACCAGGAACGGACATAACCAAAAAAAGAAAACTACAGACCTATATCCTTCATGAACATAGATTCTAAAATCCTTAACAAAATACTAGCTAACCAAATCCAACAATATATCAAAAAAGATAATCCGCCATGATCAAGTGGGTTTCATACTGGGGATGCAGGAATGGTTTAACATATGCAAGTCAACAAATGTGATACACCACATGAACAGAATTAAAAACAAAATTCACATGATGATCTCAATAGATGCAGAAAAAGCATTTGACAAAATCCAGCATCTCTTTATGATTAAAACTCTCAGCAAAATCAGCATATAAGGGACATACCTCAATGTAATAAAAGCCATCTATGACAAACCCACCGCCAACATAATACTGAATGGGGAAAAGTTGAAAGCATTCCCTCTGAGAACTGGAACAAGACAAAGATGCCCACTCTTACCACTCCTCTTCAACATGGTACTGGAAGTCCTAGCCAGAGCAATCAGACAAAAGAAAGAAATGAAGGGCATCCAAATTGGTAAAGAGGAAGTCAAACTGTCATTGTTTGCTGATGATATGATTGTTTACCTTGAAAACCCTAACGACTCCTCCAGAAAGCTCCTAGAACTGATGAAAGAATTCAGCAAAGATTCTGGATACAAGAATCAGTAGCTCTTCCATACACCAACAGCAACCAAGTGGAGAATCAAATCAAGAACTCAACCCCTTTACAATAGCTGCAAAAAAAATAAAATACTTAGGAATACACCTAACCAAGGAGTCAGAAGACCTCTGCAGGGAAAACTATGAGACACTGCTGAAAGAAATCACAGACAACACAAACAAACGGAAACATATCTCATGATCATGGATGGGTAGAATCAATATTGTGAAAATGATCATACTGACAAAAGCAATCTACAAATTCAATAGAATCCCCATCAAAATACCACCATCATTCTTCATAGAATTAGGAAAAACAATTCTAAAATTCATATGGAACAAAAGATGAGCCTGCATAGTCAAAGCAAGACTAAGCAAAAAGAACAAATCTGGAGGCATCACACGACCTGATTTTAAACTATACTATAAGGCCATAGTCACCAAAACAGCATGGTGCTGGTATAAAAATAGGCACATAGACCGATGGAACAGAATAGACAACCCAGAAATACACCCAAATACTTACAGCCAACTGATCTTCAACAAAGCAAACAAAAATATGAAGTGAGGAAAGGACACCCTTTTCAACAAATGGTGCTGGGATAATTGGCAAGCCACATGTAGGAAAACAAAACTGGATACTCATCTCTCACCTTATACAAAAATCAGCTCAAGATGGATTAAGGACTTAAACCTGGCCGGGCGCGGTGGCTCAAGCCTGTAATCCCAGCACTTTGGGAGGCCGAGGCGGGTGGATCACAAGGTCAGGAGATCGAGACCATCCTGGCTAACACAGTGAAACCCTGTCTCTACTAAAAAATACAAAAAAAATTAGCCAGGTGTGGTGGCAGGCGCCTGTAGTCCCAGCTACTCGGGAGGCTGAGGCAGGAGAATGGCGTGAACCCGGGAGGCGGAGCTTGCAGTGAGCCGAGATCGCGCCACTGCACTCCAGCCCCGGGAAAAGAGCGAGACTCTGTCTCAAAAAAAAAAAAAAAAAAGGACTTAAACCTAAGACCTGAAACTGCAACAATTCTGAAGATAACATTGGAAAAACTCTTCTAAACATTGGCTTAGGCAAGGATTTCATAACCAAGAACCCAAAAGCAAATTCAATAAAAACAAAGATAAATCACTGGGACCTAATTAAACTAAAGAGCTTTTGCACAGCAAAAGAAACAGTCAGCAGAGTAAACTGACAACCCACAGGGTGGGAGAAAATCTTCACAATCTGTACATCTGACAAAGGACTAATATCCAGAATCTACGACAAACTCAAACAAATCAGTAAGTCAAAAACAAACAATCCCACAAAAAGTGGGCTTAGGACATGCATAGACAGTTCTCAAAAGAGGATATCCAAATGGCCAACAAGCATATGAAAAAATGCTCAACATCACTAATGATCAGGGAAATGCAAATCAGAACCACAATGTCATACTACCTTACCTCTGCAAAAATGGCCATAATCAAAAAATCAAAAAACAGTAGATGTTGGCATGGATGCTGTGATCAGGGAACACTTCTACACTGCTGGTGGGAATGTAAACTAATATGGCCACGATGGAAAACAGAGTGGAGGTTCCTTGAAGAACTAAAAGTAGAACTACCATTTGATCCAGCAATTCTACTACTGGATATCTACCCAGAGGAAAAGAAGTTATATGAAAAAGATACTTGCACACGCATGTTCATAGCAGCATAATTCACAATTGCAAGATTGTGGAACCAACCCAAATGCCCATCAATCAAGGAATGGATAAAGAAACTGATATTGGAGACTATTATTCTAAGTGAAATAACTCAGGAATGGAAAACCAAACGTCGTGTGTGCTCACTGATACGTGGGAGCTAAGCTATAAGGATGTAAAGGCATAAGAATGATACAATGGACTTTGGGGACTTGGGGGGAAGAGTGGGAGGGGGCCGAGGGATAAAAGACTACAAATATGGTGCAGTGTATATTGCTTGGGTGATGGGTGCGCCAAAATCTCACAAATCACCACTAAAGAACTTTCTCCTGTATCCAAATACCACCTGTGCCCCAATAACTTATGGAAAAATAATAAATACAAAAATAAATAAATGAAAATATATAAGATACAAAAAAAGCAAATTATCTACATCTACTTGTCAATAGTGCCTATATATACTTGATAGGATTATGGGTGATTTTTATTTTCTTCTTTTTATTTGTTTTTATCCTTTAGATTTTCTGTTTTTGAACATGCATCATTTTTGTAATACTAAAACAAAAGCTTTCTCAAAGGCAATAAAGTCGTCAAATACACTGTTAGAGGTTAAAAAAATCAAGAATAATAAGCTACTAAATTTACAAGAATTAAAAAAAATACATGTGATTAGGTTTACCCCATAAGGCAAACCAAAAGGTGATAACCAGCCCTACCTTTTATTAGAACTCGTTTAAAAAGCAAAAAACACAATAACAAAAAAGTGATGATAGTCATTTACAATTCCAAAAGGGAAGTCACAGAACATCTTAACTGTCCACTAAGGCCTGACACCCCAAACTGTCTTCTCAAGAAGCTGTGAGTAAAAACAAAAATCTGTGAGCCATGTTATGTCTCCGTCTTGAGTTTCTCAAAGGAATGGATCATATTAAAGACTCTAAGCAGTCTTTCCATAAATAAATCTGATGAACATTGTTTAACTCGTTTCTACCCATTAGCACCTCACTACCCAAAATAATAAGGCTATTGGAATACACTCTGGCTGTAAGCCAGCATTAGAAAAACTTCTTTCAGAACTCCATGAATATTTTACTTCTATTGAGCATTTACTTATGTGCTTAGCTCTCCAGCCCAAGTAGAAGATAAATAATAATCCTGATTTCTGACAATTGTTCCAGGAACCATCGCCTAGAGTTCCTGGGGGAACCAGAAGCATTGGCACTTCTCTACTAGTCTTCTGAGACTGACATGTGCCTGGGGAGACACGGAGCACATTATTGCTGTTGTGCATCATGCCTTGAAAACTTTCCAGTTGCTGGAGGGTTATTCTTCACCCTGCTCCTATTACCCAAAAATGCAATTTATTCTCTTCAATCTGGCAGTAAACAGCCTATGTAAAGAATTTTCAAGCATTTTAAAACCAACTTACCAATAGCTCTGCTGATAACTTCTTGGAAGGGCAATTTTGGCAGTGAAGTTATGTTGTCTTCAAACTTTTCAATATATATATTCTTATCAGTAGCTTGGGTGTGACATGAGTTGAAGCATCTTGTTAGGAAATTTCAGAGAACACAGCACAGCAGCTATTGCAAATAGTGACTGTGGCTATGGTCACCCGAGGTGAAAAGCACCATTTGCACCACTTTATCACTTCTTAGAGACACAATTTACACATTACTGCTCTTACTGGATAAGACGGATATAATCACAAATGACCTACCACAACAGCAAATCAGAAATTTATTAAAAATCAGCTCAGAAAGACATTTCGGAAAGAATAATTCAAGGATTTGGCAGTTGACAACCATTCATCACAGAAAAGATTCAGATTTTGTATTAGGTTTCCCAACTGTCTCTTTTATTCGTGATGGTGTGTGTGTGTGTGTGTGTGTGTGTGTGTGTGTGTGTACGTGCTTATCATCTTCCACTAGGATTATTTTCCTAAACACAGGAACTTTTATTTTATCGGAAAATTTATTTTTAATCTAGAAACATAATGAAGTTATATGAGTTCAAGAACTAAATCAGAGGCAGAAATTTGCCTTGAATGGCACAGTGAAAAGGGCTAGGCATGGGGAAAGATACTGTATACTCAAAATATGAATATAAAACATCTTTTGATACACCTTTCCAGCACATCACATAAAAACTTACTCTAGAATATAGTCCACTTTTCTATGATATCTCAGCAAAGGACTCTTGTTGAAGCTAATACTGGATGACGAATTACTGTTTATGGCTATCTGGAAGCCATTTACTCAGATTATTTCTTCCTCAACAATGCTTCTTGCACTGTGCTAGTATGCTGAGGCAAAAATGATAAAGATAGAAATAGTAATGAGAGTGACAAAAATAATGATAAAACCAGATTAAATCTTTGCCCTTACAGAGGTTAAAGTTTATCAAAGAGTCACAGTTCAAAGCAATTGAAAAATTAACCTATTGATTGAGTTATTTTCCCATTTGAGGTAAGGAAACAACCAACCTAAAATACAATCAATTGTAAAGCTACAAAGGATTACTGAAGGAAAAAATGATGTAGGTATGGTGGAGGAAAAAATATTCAGATGATCAAAACCTCCCTTCGCATTCTCAGTTTCAACTTTATTCTACCATGAATCCAGCATTCTCTCATACTGGACAGCTCCCTACTCTAGAAATAAATCAAATAATTTAACACCTTTGTGTCTCTGCAAATGTTCTTAACTTAGCATTGAATGTCTCTCCCCCACAATCAATTTTTCTCCTATTGAGAGTTCTCTATTTTTTTAATTTGAGAACCACGTCAAATATTGTCTCTTCCATGGATCTAACCCAATTATCCTTATCAATAATTAACTATTTCAATTGTAGTATCATACAAGTGGTACCATTCATGATTCCTTATTTTTTCCCATATAGATTATAGTTAATATAACTTGAAGCTCCTTAAAGGTAGGAAATTTGCATTTTCATTTGTATATTTATTATAATGTTAATAAATGTTAATAGTGGGATTATCAAATATGATGAATTAATAAATGCAAACAAAAGCATAGTGGTTTTCAGTACCAAAAAATGGAAAAAGAATAACAAGTTGTCAGCATGTCTCCAGACTCACCAACAGGCACATGTATGTTGGCACATGTAATTATAAATAAAAATTAACACATCACAATAAATGAACTAAGTAAATTCTCAGCAATTTTTGAGAGTACATTTATGGTGGCCTACTTTAAAATGAAGATTCTGTGGTTTTCAGTTAATTCACCTAGGGGGAGGGCGTGCAAGTGTTCCCTGAGAGAGATAATCAGTTGTCATCCAGGACAAGTTCACAAGAGGGCCATGTGACATCCAGTCAAAAGACACATGCCATTTTTAGACAACATGAAAAGAGAAATAGGGTTTTCAGATATCATCTTCAATTCAAAGTGCTGCTCCTCACATGGGCAATGCTAAGTAGCATTTTCCAGGATGAGCACAGTAGGGATTGATTTATTTAGTTTATGGTGGTTGATATTTCTCTTGGACAATGCCAAAATGACCAGCAATTAATAATAGCCAAAATTAAACTCTGTACCATATAAAGTTTATGATTTACCTCACAGCCAGCCTGTAAATTAGATTATCTTCATCTCATTTTATACTTAAAGAAATAGAGACAATGGTGTGTGGCTAAGGGTTGTAAACAGGGGAATCTATTCAACCAGGCTAAGGAGAAAGGGACTTATCAAATAAGTGTCAAGGAGCTCATGGACTCTCTTGAAGGGCTTGACCTGGATTTATTAACTAACCAGCCAGAACAACATGGCCATGAACAATGCAGCCCAAAAAGTACCTGATAATTCTTTGGACTTGTTTTAGTGGACACGTTATTGCTTCTATTGCCTTTACTCACAACTGTGATGTTCACATTTGGAGGCTACAAATTCTATCATAGCTGCTTCAGTAGAACCAGGGACCTTTGTCACTCCATGTGTTTTCTGGAACATCCAAATAACCAGAAAACAGCTGCCATCTCATGCTGCTCACTTCTCCATCTATGTCTTGCCCAGAGGTATCTGATGGGTGGAAACTAGGTCATTTACTTTTATCCTAGTTGTAAAGGAGCCTGGGAGACTTCATTATGGATGTCAGTTTCTTTTACAGCTGGCCCATTTCCAGGAAGAAAAGCTAAGGGGGAATTGGAACAGGAGAGGAGTTGGCTAAACTGCCAAATCGGCCATGAGTGGAGAATTTATTGACCATAGTCACATCGCTAGTAAGGGGCAGAGCCTTCTGATGCCATCTCTTAAGTTCTTCCCAAGATAAAATGAGTGCCTCATTGTAGCAGAGATGAGCAGCTCACCTGTCTCTCAGAGCTTAATTGAAATATACCTTAAGAGCAACTGTTGCCTTTTAACCTAGGATTGCATGAACTGCAAGTGTCATTACTGATTTGGCTTTGTAGATACCTTAATATTGTTAAGGAAGTAGCCCAGTGAATGGGGATGAATTCTTCATCCTCTGTGCAGTTTTCATTTAAAAATACTAGCACACCTACACTGTGAAACTGAGAAGCTCAGAGCTAGACGAACCCTTAAGCCAAGGTGAAATGCATAGCAGCTGGACTACATTTTCCCTACCTCTCACATTAAGTCATGGATAATTAAAGGAAATAAGAAAATAAATTTGATTCTGACGACCATGTAAAAAGTGAGATGCAGAATATGGTGTATAGACCTACATATTACAGTTTGATAGACTTGTATTCAAATCCAGGTTTAATCACTCATTAGCTATGTAAAGCTGGGGCAAGTTGCTTAATCTCTCCAGGCCTCAGCTTTCTCTTCTGTAAAATGGGAACCATGCCTACTTCTTAGTAGAAGTAATTATTAGTGAGATTGTATACATTATTTGTAAAACACTGTATAGACTGTCACATACAGAAGGTATTGATTAAATAGAAGTTACCGTTTAACATTACTTTAAAAGAAGTAATTACTAAATGTCACAACATTGATTTAACAAATCTTTAAAAATATGTGCTGTAGTAATCCATCCAGCTATGAAAATGGTTACCTATTGAGGGTACAGATATAGAGAATGGCAAGTGAGATATTTTTCCTTTGATTTCTGATATTTTGTATGGTTTCATGTGTTTAAAACAAGGACTATTTCCTTTCACGACTGACCTGTTTTCAGTCATACTTAGAGACCTTCCCTAAATTCTACTTCTACCAAACTTTCAAACTGTCTGATGGACTTTCAAATTATGTACTAAGGGAAAGGGAAAGCAAATAGCTTGGAATTTCTTAGAAAACTCACCTATACCATCTGTTCAGAACTTACTAAAGAAATGACTATTAAAATGTCATTTCTTTAATAGTCTTTAAACAACAACAAAAAAAATAGCCTCAGAATTTCATGGAAAGTCATCTCTAAAGGGCCAAGTAAAAACATCCTTTGAATGAGACTTTACAACATTTTAACAATTTCAGAAACAAGCTGACAGCTAAAATATAAAGAAAAATAAAACACATCTATGTCGATGAACAAAAACTACAGAATTGTTTTTTGACCTTTTGTTGTCATTAGCAAAACCTGTCCTATATGCCTACTAAGTTTGTCTATGATACAAGTATCCCAAGAAATTTAACTCAAAACACTCATGTTCTAAAATATGTTTTCTATTTATGAAAAACAAGAGCAAAAAGCAGAAGGAAGGCAAACTTCTCCTTCCTTTGGTATAAACTTACATATATACCATTTAAGAGAGAAAGCAGTGCTGAAAATATGCAGGGCTATAAAGTGCATTGGTCTCTGATCCACCTGCTGGTGAACATATTTGGAGAGTCAATAGCAGAAGTCTTGTTCTCAAGAGCATGAGTACTCCATGCTGATGAGACTGGAAGGAGGGATAAGCACTGGTTTGGAGGCTGCAAAAAGCAGGCTGAGGAGGTGTGAAGAGAAGAAAACACATAGGACCACCAGCAAAGTGAGCAGAAGGACATGAGGGTGCAGTCAGAAGGAATCCAAAGCGGGAGTGAAAGAAGAGAGTGACTCAGTGTGTCCAAAGCAGCTGACACCAGGAAAGCTTGGACTGGGAAAGTTGTATGCTTTACTGAGAATAGCATCAAGTGCCATGTTGATCTATTGTAGGAGTTAAATAGGTAAGGAAATGGGAAAAAGCAGGAGAGAGTGCCCAGTTAAGGCCCCTAGCTATGAAACCTAGGAGGAAAGCATGATAGTAATTGGCAGTGATGCCAGGGTCAAGAGAAGGTTTTGCTGTTCTTGTTATTTTTCTAAGCAAAGGAAGACAAGCACTTCTAGAGACAAAACAGGAGTCAATGGAAATGGAGAGACTAAAAACACAGAATATAAAAGAGTCCTTTGTTAAGGGGGCTGAGAAAGCATGTACTAGTGACAGGATTTCTGATCCGTGAGGATTAATGTGATTTTGAAACTAAGAGATATTTTTAAGGGGAAAACATTTCCAAAGAGTTTTTATGGTTTTATAACAGAGCTACCACCAGTTTTCTGTTGACTGACAACCCTATGCTTTGTCCAGGAGACCAATTTACCTTAATGTTTCTTTGATTATGAGACCTTAACCCCAGAATATTTTAAGGCTCAAGAGTAAAAATACAGGTGATGGACAGTAATGGGAATTGATGCAGTGGGGAGGAGAGCATAGAGAAGTGATAAAGGAACAGGAGTTCCTTTGCTTTGAAAAGCAAAGGCCTTGGGAGAGATTAAGATTGTAATCCCTCTTCACAGAGTCTAAATGAGAAGAGTCCAGCATAGCCTGAAAGAGTTTCAAGAGCAATGTGAGTAGACTGTGGCAAAGAGTTCAAGGCACCAGTAGGATGAAAACTGGCAGGCTGAGTCTCTAGCCATAGAGGAAGTAAGAATCATGAACCAAAAGGAAATTGTAAAAGAGGAGAATGCCTAGAAATAGAAATCTCAAGCATAAAATGGTATCCAGTGAGAGTGAAGCTGAGCAAATGTTTGGTGAGTAGCTTGTGAATCCAAGCAATGCTGGAGATTGGCAGCGGGGAGGACTGTGGAGAGCCAGCATAAATGACTGAGCATGGGAACAAAACAAAACACAGCATTTTCATCTGATTGGCCAGTAAGTACTAATTTAGGAAAATTGTACACATAACCACAGATTTCAGAAACAAAAAGGCTTGGTTAAAAAGCTACTCTGCCAAATAAAACTATCTGTCATTGTCACCCAGGCATTCCTTTGGGTGCATTTCTAGAACAATTTATAAATCTGATTCTAGCGCTGAAAATTGCTAAGTCCCTCCATTAAGTGATTAAATGATGATTCTCTTGGCAAGATTACACTTCGGATTAAGTTTCATTACAACCTTGACAAGCCTATGAAGAAAAAAAATCACAAAATCACAAAGTTATATTTTATAGTGGCTTTGTCTTAAACCTCTGTAAAATAATCATGGTATAGCCATTTCAGGCTGTTTTCGTATACACAGAATGTTAATTATGGCTATGTAAATATTATTCGGAAGGCTATTTAAATCTGGTAGATTTTTAATATCCTAAAGTTATATTTGAGAAAAGCAAAATTCTATGTCACATTAGTGCTAGTAATGACAATAGTCATGACATTTCCTCTAACTTGTATATATCCTCCCCATTTTTTTTACAACAGTGCAAGACTTTTTAATATAGGCTCTGTCAAGTAAAATTGAAAGCTTCTTATGAAAACGGTCAACTGGAGGTGCCAAGTTTTTGTTTTTCTTTTGAACAAGAGCGAAGTAAAAAAAAAAAAAAAAAAAACTGCTTTTGCACCAATTAGTCAAGATGCATTGACTGATCGTTCCTTATGAAACATCTTATAGGCAATCCTCTCTGAATTTGTCTTTATTTGTCATGTTTACATTAATAATGATAATACTTTATGTTCATGTAGCACCATTTGACTTATATAGTATTTTCAAATACGTTATCTCATTTGATCTTTACAGTGATCCTTACTGGCAAAGTCTGGCCAGACATTATCATTCTCATTTTATAGATGAGGAAACAAAGGCATAGAGTTGCACAGGCTTCAGAGCTGATGACTCCAAGTCTAGAACTTGAATCTGGGTCTTCCAATGCCATAAGGCTGACTGCCTACAAAATAATTTCCACTGACAGCAGCTACATAAAATTATGTTTGGCTATTATGGATTCCAGTAAATCAATATTATATAAAGGAACAATTGAAAACAAAAGAAAAATCGCCAAGTCTGTTCCATGTATTATCAGTCGCTGCATAGTACCAATATCATTCTTTGAAATATGATCTAAAATAATACTACCTCTCTGTGGTGAGCTGAGAAATACCTCCCTAGACTTTGTAAATTTTAGATAGTGAATACACTAACAGCTTTCTGGTTTCTAAGAATATCCATTAATATCAGCCTCCCCCAAAATAATGGGCCGAATGAATACTCTTTTTGTTATCACATAGTTCATCATTTTTAAATTCTCCCAGCTGCTGTTTATATTAGTAGGATGTCTTTCCTCTCATCCTCTTTCACATTTCTAATAAAAAATACTGGCATTTCCTTTCCCAGTGGAGAAGCCCCACCCGAAGCCCAATCACATTGCCGGGCTTCTAGGCTCTAATGATTAAATAAGTGATTGCTCTGCCTAGCTTTAAAAATGTGTCTTATATAAGGCAGTCAAGACACAATATCCATCACTGTAAAGGAAGCCAAGCATTTATTTAAAATGATGAAATATCCTCATTTTCATTTTTCCCTGAGAGGATTGTAGTGATGTTAAAAAATTCTCTGAATTCTAGAACTAGGGCAACACATTGATTTGAAGAAAGCTATAATCTTCCCTTCTAATTTGAAGTATACTTTCTCCTCAGTGAAATAAAGTGTGGCTTTCAGAATAGCAAGAGCCCTAGGCCCACACACACAAAGACATCCTCATCCCAACCACTCCTCTTTCAGGTCGGCCCCATTCTTCCCAAGGCAGGGATTTATAAAGACCTTTTCAATAAATGTCAAGGTATATTAAACTAAAAAAGAGAAAGGTTCAAATCATTTCTTCCAGATTTGGGAGGGAAATGATTTCAACTGCCAAGTCATGATGAATATTACCTCTTGCTTTACACCACTGCCTCATTGCAAATGAGTAAGTTGGGTAAGTTCAATTATGGGGTCTCTTAGAAAAGATTCATAATTAAATTTTTAAAAGGAACAAATTAGCTCTTTATCTATCTAAGGCAGAGGAGTCAGAACACTTATTCCTATGAGCGTTCAGGGATTTCAACATCTATGGGTAGATTTCCTTAAATAGCCAAGGAGGCTGACTTAAAGGCTAGGAGAGCCAGCCCTCTGTGATTTGGAGAGATAATAAGTTAGCAAACTGGATAGCATAATGGTTTATGAAATTCTTCCTTCAAGGACCATTATCTAGTGCTAATAGTGTTTTATGTCTTCCTCTCCTGTGCTTATTTACAGCATAATTATAAGAGTGAGAAAAAGGGGAGGAGTTGGGTATCAAAATAACCATATGCCAAATTAATGCAGCCAACTAGAATCTCTGGCCCTTGGGGCTTGTTTATCAATTAGTTCTGTTGCAATTTGAGTTTCTGTTTTTCCCCACAGAATGAAGATACTTTTTGATTTCACTCATATGCCATCTCCAAGGAAAGTCATTTGAGATCAAAACATTTTTCAGAAAGGATCTCTTTTCCCCTTTTCAATATCATGATGTACTGCACAGCCAGCTCCTCACTCATTTCAAGACCATTTCATAGCACAAATAGTTAACCCTTTCTCTCTGTCTCTCTCGTGTGCTCTCTTTCTTTCCCTGTCTTGCCTCCCTTTTAGCTGGTTAATGTTGGGTTTATTTTTTTTCAACTGCTTTATCTTTCTTCACCATGTTTTTAAAGCTACTATGCAAATCTCTATGTTAAAGCCACTTGTGTGTGCCATATGTGATCTGTAAATATTTAACAGAAGTTATTCAGAGTCAATTAATAACAGAAGTTATTCAGAGTCAATTTTAACAGAAGTTATTCTGAGTACTAGTTTGAGATAGTATAAGATGTAGTAGTATTTTGCAGTGAGACAGGAGAATTGTTTGTATTCTCCAAAACCAAGCCAGTACATCAGGAACTGCTGGTTTGGGAAATGTGCCTCAATCCCAGCTTGAGTTTCTCAACTAATCTGAGTTTTTAAAGGGATCAGAGAAAACAAGTTGGCAGGAGCAAGGAATTGCCTTAAACTATGATATATTCTTCACCTGGTCTTAGGAAAAGAATCTCAACTGGCTTTTCTTTTTTTTTTTTTCATCTAAAAATAAAACAAATTTTGCATCCCTTTTCACACTCGTGCTTCATTCTTCTTTGAATGCTAATTACAAATTTTTCAACCTTTGAAAGTTGGTTTACCGAAACCCAAGAAATTACTTGCTCAAATCAGGAAAATTAAAATGTAAAGGAGTGAAGTCTTGCGGAGCAAAGTACAGACAGTTCTCCACTTTGATGAGCTGACTTAGGATTTTTTGACATTACCATGATGCCAAACCATCATGATTTCAAGTAATGTACAGCATTCAATAAATTATGTGAGTTGTTCAACACGTTATTAAGAAATAGGCTTTGTGTTAGATAATTTTGTCCAACCAGGCAGCACATTTAAGTTAGGCTTGGCTAATCTATGATGTTTGGTAGGTTAAGTGTATTAAATGAATTTTCAACTTAGGATATTTTCAATCTACAATGTGTTTATTGGGATGTAACCCAATCATAAATAGAGAAGCATTTGTGCTTTGTTACTGTAGCTATAGCAAACTAATACAGTGGATAACCTGTGGCTCTGGAGGCCGGAGGAATTTGCAGGAGTGGGCAGAATGGCCACAGCTGGGAAACACAAAGATAACAGAGCCAAAAAACAGTAGGGGTAGAAGTCAAAAACCACAAAGATGCTCTCCTAATATAGCATGAATCAAAAAAAGCCAAGCAAAGGAGACAAAAACTTAGTAAAAGATTCAAAGACTGAACCAGAGATAGCAAGTCATTCTGTTCTCAGCTCAGATGTCACCTCCTTAGAGAGTGACTAATTTAAGGTAGCCCTTCTCCCCCATCCCACCTTTGTTTAGTCTCTATCCGATTATCCCCCTTACCACTACCTGAAACTGTTTTTGCATTTGTTTATCTTCTGCCTCTGTCTCCTAGAAAGTAAGAGAGAGGAGACATTTGCATTCCCTTTGCATTTCCAAATCTACTTCATTTGTAGATTTGTTTTCAACATTTTTCAGATGTCTTACCAGCTCACTGCCTGGCACCTAGTAGTATTCAGTGCATCCTTCATGAACAAATGAAGTAGATTTAGAAATGCAAAGGAAATAAGAAACTGGAGACATTCCTTGAGACACCAGAGGATGGAAGCAAGCTGCTTGGTGAGGCTCCTGCAACCTTGCCCATGGTGAAGGGAAGCTCAAATGATTGCCAAGCCAATTCGGTGTAACTGGCAACCAAGACATAAGAAATCAGTGTTGACTTGTATTTGCCTATAGTTAGGATTCTCCAGAGAAACAGAACCAATAGGATATATTTAGATATAGAGAAAGAGATTTATTATGAGGCATTGTCTCATGAGATTATGAGGGCTGAGAAGTCCCATGATCTGCTCTCTGCAGGCTGAAGGCCCAAGAAGAAACCAGTGGAATAGTTTCAGTCCAAACCCAAAAACTTGAGAATCGGGGGAGCCAATGTTGTAAATCGCAGTCTGAGCCCAAAGGCTCGAGAACCAGAAGCACTGGTGTCTGAGCTCAGGAGGAGATGCATGTCACAGCTTAAGCAGAGAGAGCAAATTAGCCCTTCCTCTAAGTTTTCGTCCTATTTAGGCCTTCAGTGAATTAGGTGATGCTCATTTACATTGGTGAGGGCAGTCTTCCTTACTCAGCCTACCGATTCAAATGCTAATCTTTGCCAGAAACACCCTCACAGACACACCCAGAAGTAATGTTTCAGCAGCTATCTGGGCACCCCTTAGCCCAGTGAAGTTAACACATGAAATTAACCATCACACTGCCTGAACCATGAAGATGGACATGAAGCTGGCACCCCAAACAATGCACAGGTCACCAGAGACACACTACCCACCCGCTCCTAGGCCTTACCTCTGGCTGTACAAAAGAATTTCAGCAATTCTGTGGGTTTCTTGAAATAAATTATTCAGAATAACAGACAATCTACCATGCAGTTTCTAGGAGAAATACGTGCTTCTTAAATTGAAAATTCTGCCCCACTAACTTCCTGAAAGATGAAGGTGGATAGTTACTGAAGAGTTCTGTGAATGAGGTAATCTGAAATACAGTAAGGCCCCTGGGGAAAAAGTCTTTCGAGTGTTCCAGTTGAATGTGTCTATTTAGAGGGATTTGTATTTAATGGATGACAAGTTAATGTGTCATCAGTGTCTGTGGCTGTGGTGAAGCTGCTAGGAAAATGACAAGTGTTACACGTGCAACTTTCTATTTTACTGATACACTAACTGGTCTGTTAAAAAAGATTTTTTTTTAATCTTGTAAAACTGAAAGAACTTTCCAGAGGTTTCTGCTTTTGTGGTATTCTCTCTTTTTTTTTTCTTTTCAGTGGGCTTTTGGCTTTGAGTTTTCCAGGAAGGAGACAGATTTCTTAAGCAGAAAAACCTGTACTCACGAAGCTGGATGAACAAACCAAAACACTAACAGCAATACTATTTCTTTAGAAGAATGGATCAATATATGTCCTCAGGATCTAAAACCATAAACTGATGAACTGACATAATCCCCTCACTCACAATAGATCCTGCACTTTGTATCATAATACCATCTGCCTGGACAGAACCCTTTCCCCGGAAGCTCAGATGATTTGGCAATGGTTGTTAATACCTGTGATGTATTTGGAGATAAAACAGATTTATTTGTGCCCTCTCTTTATGTTTAAGGCTACTGAGACACAGAAAATCCACACCACAAGTCAGAATTACTCAAGGAGTAACCACAGACATACTGACCCATTACCAACTACTTTATCCAACTTACATGAAATGAATCTTTAGAGTTCCGTGCATCATGCTACTCTTTCTTGTCTTTAGTTACATTACTATTTCTGGCCCATGGGCATATTTTTGTACTGTTTTGCCACCTGAGAAATCTGTTTGGTTATAAGCAAAAAGGCTATTTTTTAATACCCCTTGCTATGAGTTCTTATTGTCCTTAGCCACTCTTTAGGTTTTCAGCAAGTTTCTTTTCAGACTTCAAATTCTCTGTTTTTTCAACAGAGGATTTACTAGATTCTAACTTGCATTCAGTATTGTCTAAGATGTAATACTGTGCCTACTTTTGTTCTCACGTCTGAAGACAACAGGAAAAAAGGTCAGTAGAAATAGTGATTCTGTGTGCATGCATGTATGTATGTGTGTGTGTGTGTGTGTGTGTGTGTGTGTGTGTGTATGTTTCAGGTCTTCATAGAAAAGAACCTGCAATGTGTTTCTAAACTTCTTTAACAGTTTCAGCTTCCCCACCCTGCTCTCAGCATCTTCAAGCTTTAATGTGCTCTTTGCAAATCATCCCTTTTTGCACTTTTTGATTATCAAGAATCCCTACAGAATTGATATAGCACAGTGTGTAGGAAACTAGAATGAACTAGAAAAAATCCAAGCAATGGAACCACATCTAAGAAAATAAATGCATGAGGACAGGAGTGGTGGCTCACACCTGTAATCCCAGCACTTTGGATGGCCAAGGCCAGAGGATCACTTGAGCCCAGCCAAGGTTGAGACCAGCCTGGCCAACACAGTGAGACCTTGTCTCTACTAAAAATAGAAATTTTTAAAAAATTAGCCAGGCATGGTGGCATGTGCCTGTAATCTCAGCTACTGGGGCAGCTGAGGCAGGAAAATCACTTGAGCCCAGGAGGTCAAGGCTACAGTGAGCTGTGATTGTGCCACTGCACTCCAGCCTAGGTGACAGAGTGAGACCCTGTATTAACTTGTTAATAAAAAATAAATGCATATATCACTGGGCGAATAGCAGCCTGAGATGCTCCCTGACACCCTGGGCTTTCCCATCCAAGATATTGCCTATGTCTCAACAGGCCTTAGGAAGCTTGGAAGTGGCTATTTATGTAGTCACTCACTAGCTGTGTGATCTTGAGCAAGCTACTGAATGTTTCTGAGTTTCCATTCTCTCATCTGTCAAATGGAGAAAATTGTACCTCTCTTATAACACTGTCAGGAATGAAACTCTAAAATATAAACAGAATAGAATGGCATGGAATGCACCACACAGCACAGTGCTTCCTACAGGCCTTTTAAAATGAGAGCTACAGTAATAATGATAAGAAGTATTATATTTATTACCTGTCCAGAAAAGAATGCTCATTCTTCTGTTAAAAAAAAAAAGGTGTTTATAAACTTTTTTCATGTTCTCCTCTGTTTCTGTTATATTTCTCCTTTTTTAGCTCCTTCTAAACCTCCCAGCTACCTATGTTTATGCAGTCCCTTCCCCCAGAAAATCACGCGGAAAAGTATCAGATAAAACAAACTCTCAGCTGGGCAAGGTGGCTCACAGCCTGTAATCCCAGCACTTCAGGAGGCCGAGGCAGGAAGATCACCTGAGGTCAGGAGTTGGAGACCAGCCTGGCCAACATGGTGAAACCCCATCTCTACTAAAAATACAAAAATTAGCCAGACATGGTGGTGCACGCCTGTAATCCCAGCTACTCAGGAAGCTGAGGCAGGAGAATCGCTTGAACCCAGGAGGTTTCAGTGAGCCAAGATCGCATTGTCGCACTCCAGCCTGGGTGACAGAGTGAGACTCCATCTCAAAAAACAAAACAAAACAAAAACAAATTCTCACTCTTCTAAGAAATAGAACTATGCAAGAGGAGAAATCCTTAATATGAATGAGTGAACTGCTATTGAAATAAATGGGGCCGGGCACAGTGGCTCACGCCTGTAATCCCAGCATTCTGGGAGGCCGAGGCGGGCAGATCACAAGATCAGGAGATCGAGACCCTCCTGGCTAACACCGTGAAACCCCGTCTCTACTAAAAAATACAAAAAATTAGCCAGGCGTGGTGGCGGGTGCCTGTAGTCCCAGCTACTTGGGAGGCTGAGGCAGGAGAATGGCGTGAACCCGGGAGGCGGAGTTTGCAGTGAGCCGAGATTGCACCACTGCACTCCAGCCTAGGCAACAGAGCGAGACTCCGTCTCAAAAACAATAAATAAATAAAAAATAAAATAAATAAATAAATAAATGGAACAGGATTTGGGGAAGATAAGATCCTCCTTCACACCCTTTAGATTTCACAGATGGGTAACTAGCTACTCAGCTCAGGACGGTGTCTGAGAACCACTCACCATCTGACCCCTGCTAATCTCTCAACCCACCCTCCCCCATCCTCCTCCCCATCATCCTATCCTCTTCTTTTACTCAACTAGTCCTGGTACACACCATCCTCTCTCTCATTTTATGCCCTTGCATATGCTGTTTCCTTTGCCCAGAATGCCTGACCCTCATCCAGATAACTTCTAGCCATCCTTAAAGATTCAACTTGGTTCCCCTTTAGTGAACTTGCCATAGCATCTTCCCCAGGACTCCCTCATTGTTTGACTCTGGCATGGGTGGAGGAGTGAGATTCACGTTACGGCTAGTGTGAATGGCACCCTCTGGAGTGGTACTGTGGACAGTCTGCAGGACTTAACCTTGTTCTCCCACATTCTGCCCAGCATTCTTCCCCTGTGTATTCCAGTAGCCTCCTAATGTAAATTTTTATTCCACCATTTTATCCATTTACTTGAAACCTTTCCTCCTAGTCTAGCAGTTTCTTAAGGGAGGAGTATGGATTCTGTTTCTGTTTGTCCAATACTTCACATACAACCGGCACTCAATAAACATTTGATTAATTGGTTGATTGATGGATGCATGGATTAACAAATGAATGAATAAATTCAAGAGTTGAATGAAGGCTTAACCATAGAGATAGAGGATAATAACTTGTGAAATGAACTCTGTAGACATGAGGAAGGAACAATAAAAAGGAGATCAAAATGTAAAGTGGAAAAATCCTCCATTAACAGCCTGATTACTGGCTCCCAAATATTACCTGACAGGAGCCTCTTCCAGGAGAGGCTTTTGGGGAGGCCCTTAACATCTTACTAATAGGTGGCTCACAATGGAGTAGGAAAGTATGCAAGAGGACAGAGCAATATAATGACAAAAGTAGACTAAGAATCAGATACATAGCCTAGGACAATGGCAGAGAAAGTTTGCTTTCTAGTACCATCTTGGGACTCACTTACAACCTTTTGTAATTGAAATGGAGTCCATGTCTGTATATCCCAAGTTGAGAAGCTCTTTTTTTTTGAGACGGAGTCTCACTTTGTCGCCCAGGCTGGAGTGCAGTGGCGCAATCTCAGCTCACTGCAAGCTCCACCTCCTGGATTCAGGCCATTCTCCTGCCTCAGCCTCCCGAGTAGCTGGGACTACAGGCACCCGCCACTACGCCTGGCTAATTTTTTGTATTTTTAGTAGAGACGGGGTTTCACCGTTTTAGCCAGGATGGTCTCGATCTCCTGACCTCGTGATCCGCCCCCCTTGGCCTCCCAAAGTGCTGGGATTACAGGCGTGAGCCACCGCGCCCGGCCGAGAAGCTCTTTTTTTCTATTCCTAGTTTCTCTCACTTCCTTTTGCTTACTGTTTAAAGTTTCAAAACTTGCTGCACATCACATCCTTCTTTTTATCAGCTTTGGTGCACCTTAGAACAGAAATTTCTCCCGGGAGGACAGGATACAGGAGCCTGTATTTAGAAAGTACTTATTATGGGTTGGATGAAGGCCTAACTATGCCTAGAGTCAAGCTGCTTGAAGCCATTCTAATATTCATTTAGTTAGAACGGTAACCACACTGAGTTATTGCTGGTCTCATATGGATCATATATTCACAGTCAGCTCTTGGCTTAGACAAGAAGATATATATTGTCTCTGCTGTTCACATCGTGTATTTTTATTTCATTATGACTATTGTGCTTAGAAGCATGATTTTCAATCTATATTCCCAATTAAATTATTTCTACACAGTCTGTACATGTAAGCACATGGTTTTCTTTGAAGCAGACTTTGTTAAAATTGATACCTATTCTCTACTATCTCTGCCTTCCAGGACTACCACATTCTGCCCTAACGAGACAGGAAGAAACAATTTTTTACATGAATGGACTTCATAACCAGGCATATAGGAACTGGCGCGAAGTTTTAAAAGTTCTAGAAAGCAGTAGAAGTTCTAGAAAGAATGAGAGTTCCAGAGGAAAATTAAATTTGAACACCAGCTGAAGTCTCCATCACATCTTCATTGGATCTGTGGCCCCCAAACTCAATTGTCCCTCTCATTATACTCATATTGGGTTTATAGGCAAATGTAACTAGGTAAAAAAAAATTAAAAGGGCCAGTATAATTTCATCAAGGGAACACATGGGTGAATGGTTGAAAACCATAAAAAGTGACACCGTTTAGATCAACTCCAAAATAAATGCTGCCAGCTGTCTGAAAGGTCACTTGGGTGATGGGTTCCATGCTTGAGAGGTCAGCATATCCTCTGCATGAAGTTTCATAGAAAATTAGAATTAGAGCTAAGAGTTGTGGAAGCCAAAGTAAGGAGAAAAGGAGGAACAGTTGGGAATTACTTCTAAGTCTGAACCAAGAGAGACACAGCATTAGCAGAGATTTTCCAGTGTGATAAACACATATTCAAATAGAGAGTTAGAGAAAGCAAGGAAATGTTGAGAATCAATTCCTTCACCAGAATCAAGCAAACAAAAACTCAGACTCGGAAACTGGAAAAGAGATATGAGGCCATGGGTGAGATTTCCTATCTTGAAAGAAGACTTTAGTGCCAGAAAGTATGTCACTGTTAAAAAAAAAAAAAAAAAATACGTCATGTGAAGAGGGGGAATTCTTATTTAAAAATGACTAATGTTCCGCTTACTTCACCTTCATCTAGAATTTATAATCTATGTATTTCTTAATTGGGTATTAATATACATACACAGCTTCTATCAAGGAGAGAGGAAAAGGGGAGATGGTTATGACAGGAAGTTTTTGGTACTGATGGAAATGAATGATCATGTGTATTTTAATCCTTGAGGGCAATTCTTATACCCTTGTTATGTTTATTTCAGTATGTAGAACGATGACATAAATCTAAGTGACAACTGTACTTTATTGATTTTGCAGAGTTAAGAGGAAGATTTATGAGTCATGGAACCCTCCATCAGATTTGGAAGAAAGTAGAATGAGCGCAGAGGTGACAGACAGCCACTGAGGCCCATGGACAATCTCCACCTCACGCTTCTCTATCAAACTTGAAGATTTATTAGTAATATGCTGCCTTTGGAAGATGAAAACAAACTAGTGCCAAGGAGGCGTATTCTTCAATATTTGGAATAGACGTGTTCTCAAGACAATGGCTTCAAAGGTCTCCTGTTTGTATGTTTTGACAGTTGTGTGCTGGGCCAGCGCTCTCTGGTACTTGAGTATAACTCGCCCTACTTCTTCTTACACTGGCTCCAAACCATTCAGCCACCTAACAGTTGCCAGGAAAAACTTCACCTTTGGCAACATAAGAACTCGACCTATCAACCCACATTCTTTTGAATTTCTTATCAACGAGCCCAATAAATGTGAGAAAAACATTCCTTTTCTTGTTATCCTCATCAGCACCACTCACAAGGAATTTGATGCCCGTCAGGCAATCAGAGAGACGTGGGGGGATGAGAACAACTTTAAGGGGATCAAGATAGCCACCCTGTTCCTCCTGGGCAAGAATGCTGATCCTGTTCTCAATCAGATGGTGGAGCAAGAGAGCCAAATCTTCCATGATATCATCGTGGAGGACTTTATTGACTCCTACCATAACCTTACCCTCAAAACATTAATGGGGATGAGATGGGTGGCCACTTTTTGTTCAAAAGCCAAGTATGTCATGAAAACAGACAGCGACATTTTTGTAAACATGGACAATCTTATTTATAAATTACTGAAACCCTCCACCAAGCCACGAAGAAGGTATTTTACTGGCTATGTCATTAATGGAGGACCGATTCGGGATGTCCGCAGTAAGTGGTATATGCCCAGGGATTTGTACCCAGACAGTAACTACCCACCTTTCTGTTCGGGGACTGGCTACATCTTTTCAGCCGATGTAGCTGAACTCATTTACAAGACCTCACTCCACACAAGGCTGCTTCACCTTGAAGACGTATATGTGGGACTGTGTCTTCGAAAGCTGGGCATACATCCTTTCCAGAACAGTGGCTTCAATCACTGGAAAATGGCCTACAGTTTGTGTAGGTATCGCCGAGTTATCACTGTGCATCAGATCTCTCCAGAAGAAATGCACAGAATCTGGAATGACATGTCAAGCAAGAAACATCTCAGATGTTAGGATTTTTACCAATGTAAATATGTTTCTTTTCTTTTTTTAAGAAATGGGACCTAAGGTGTTGGTATTTTCCAGGTGTCGGGGGAAATGAACTGGTGAAGGGGTTTTGTAAAGTTTTTGCTTCCTGCTATAAGTTCTTTTCTTGGATTACCAATTTATGAATGTTAGACTCTGGTCATAGAAACAATAAATGAGTTAGAAGGGCCAGATTTCATTCTCAGTCCCAGAGCATTGCTATTTATCTCAAAAAGTGACTTCCAAACAACTCTTAGGATTGACGTACCGTGCATCTGAGATAAAAATTTGGTTCTGGGAAACTGAAACTCACAGTAATGTGTCATATCATCCCTGCAAAAATTAATACACAAATAGAAACCATTTTCAAAAGCAATTCAGAAAGGATGCACAGTCAGGAAGACACACTGGATGTGATTATTAATATCGTGTGTGTTGTTACATTATATTTTTACATATATTCCCATGTAATGTGTACAGTCTTTGCAGTTCCACCAAGAAATGAACTTGGTACCTGCAGAGTGGCTGCAGTTAAATAGATGGGAGTTTAAATTTGAGAATCAAACATTCTATGTGTTTGGAAGACAACTCTGCTTGCTCATCCAAGGATTAAATCTGGTCAGCAGGTGGAATGTGTATAAAATGCTACTTAACAAAGTAAACAAAAGATTTTTTTTTTCTTTTTTTTTCTTTCTTTTTTGTTTTGCTCTTTCAGAACAAACATTAAATGGTGCCTCCAAGGAAACTTTGCCAAATATAATCTCACCTGCTTCCTTCCAGACAGTGTCGCTAAGTGCATTTCACAGTTTTTGGATCTGGCAGGCATATGTCTCTATGTAGAAAATAAGTTGGTTGGAGGCCAGAGAACAATAAATCACATTGAGAAAATACAAATTTAAGTATGCATTATAATTAACATAAGCTTAGCAATAGTATAAGATGCCCCCACACACAGACATTTGCAAAGCACATGAGAAAATCTTTAAGGGTGTCAATATTATTGAAAGACTTGGCCCTACTTGCTAACATCTGAAAACACCAGAGCATGTTCAGCAGCAATGCTGTTATGAGGTATTCTGGGGGCTCTGTGATTGAGGAAGGATGGGGAAGGCCAGGTTCGGGTCCCGTTGATGCCACCATACTTATTGGGCCATATGAGTAGGCATCGTAATCTTGTGCTTCAATGTGTTCATTTATAAAAATGGCTGTAAAAAACACCTACCTCACAGGTGCTGTGAGAGCAAATTGCATTTGCTAAGTATTTTGAGATCCTTAGCTTAAAAGGTGCTACGTAATGCAATGTATCATGTATTATGCTAAATGCTAAAATAATTGCATAATTACAATGATGGTCATCAGTAGCAGTAATATCATCTTAATATAAAATCTGCTGAAATAAAGATCAGCTGTGAACTATCACTGCACCTAATTCTACCAAGGCTTGACTTTTCCTTGGCTGTAATTTAGGTGTTTGGGAAGGCTTCCATTTCTCTGAGATTTCTTCTGGTTTCAATGAATAAGTGACTAGGTCAGTGTGTTGCCTTGATATCCCAAGGTGCTGAAAGTAGAGGCAGCTGCCTTTCTTTGGGAAGGAACCTCTGGTTGGGGTATATTACAGTAAATGAAGCATATACTTTGCAAAATGCATCACGACAACTTAGATCTCAGGAACCACTGAATCTGAATTCTCTCTAAGAAATTTGAGCGCAGGTAAAGCTAGTTCACCTCTTTCAGAAGCAGCAGAATAGGCAGTCAGCAAACCTGCACATTGCACATCTTCTACCATTTATTAGAAAACACCTGTTTGTTCTCAAAGAAAGCCCCACAGCTGAAAGAGTGTACCTTTTTTATTTATTTACTTTTTTTTTTTTTTTTTTTTTTTTTTTTGAGACGGAGTCTAGCTCTGTGGCCCAGGCGGGAGTGCAGTGGCACAATCTCGGCTCACTGCAAGCTCCGCCTCCCGGGTTCACGCCATTCTCCTGCCTCAGCCTCCCGAGTAGCTGGGACTACAGGCGCCCGCCATCACGCCCGGCTAATTTTTTTGTATTTTTAGTAGAGACGGGGTTTCACCGTGTTAGCCAGGATGGTCTCGATCTCCTGACCTCGTGATCCGCCCGCCTCGGCCTCCCAAAGTGCTGGGATTACAAGCGTGAGCCACCGCGCCCGGCCCTATTTACTTATTTTTTAACCTGACCCCTGGAGCCCCCCGTAGGAGTTGATAGCAAACAGATAGACACAATGAATAAGTGGAAGTCATGGCTTGTTTCTGCAAAACACGATCTCTCATCCCCCACCCGAAAGGACCTGATATGAGACAAGACTTCCCATCCCTTAACACATCTTCATCTTATGGTCAGCAGGACTGCTGGTTTTGATTAGACAATAGCAATTAGGTAACCTGGGGAGAGATGGATCAGCACAAGGTGAACCACCCTCCAACCTGCAGCCTCAACTGCTGTGAGTTCCAATCACTGGGAAAGTCTCACGACTTCTTACTTGGTTTACCTTCGAGTTGTGCAGCTGAATCAAGCCTCTGTCTCATACTATTGCCTTGCATCTACCCCATGCTCAGTCAAACCACCTCTGGTGTCAAGAAATTACACATTATAAACATCATATATGTACACCTATGAATCGTTTTATATGTGTGTGCATACATTATGATACAGCCCTGATCTTTAAAAGGAGCAAAAATCAGAGAATCGTATGTCTTAAAGAACTATTTCCTTACTTTTTTATGCTAGGTAATGCCCATGTGACAAACATGTAAATATTCATCAAAGACCACATGTATATATTTTAAAGGCATTTTTTCTTCTCCCCAACTGTATGTATAGCTAGAATCTGCTTGCTGTGTAACCTTTTCTTCTGCATGGAGCTTTTGGTGAAGCAAGGCCATTTGTCCAGTGTTTCATAGCCTTAAGCATGTTTGCCCTTCGTTTTTTGAATGTTCAAAAAATGTTTAAGTGATCAAGAAAAAGCTCTAACTTTCGACTTTTGTTAATTTTATGACATGACACTGGCCAAAATATTGTTTCAATTACTGTTGAGCCATTCTTATCATTTCCCTGACATAAAATATGCAATGTTTTAGACAGTATTCTACCAAGAGTCTCTCAGACAATTTTTACAAAAACTCTTTTTTTCCATTATGCACTGGATAATAACAGTATCAGTGTCTATGTTCTTAAAGTTCCTTTTTTTAATTTACTTTTTGGAAAAACGTTTCTCTTTGGTGGCTAGTTTCGGTGGCTTGGTGTCTTCTTATATTGGAACAAGTGTCCATTTCAATATGTAATATTGTATTTTTAAATAACCAGAATCAACAAAGCGAAGATCACTTTTAATTTGGATTCAATTCAGAAGAATAAAACCCCTTTGCGTGACACGATATGGGGAAAATAAACTATTTACAGAGGAGCCAAGGAAGAAGTTTTTCGATCAAATCTCTTCTATCAAAAGACAATGGAATATTTACCTAAAGCATCTGGGATTCATTTTTTACCTTTCCTAATATGTGGGTTTAGTGGGAGAATTGATTATGTCATTTCTTCTGTAAAGGTGAAAATCGTTTTTATAAACAACAAAGTAACTTGTGAATGAAAGAAGTAATTTACTAGAACAACGCTTGTTGATGATAATTGACATTTAGGTATAACGTCATATATGAATGATTGTATTTATGTATTTATTTGTCAAAATTGTACATACTGTTTCGCCAAAAGTAATTGTCTGTAAAAGTGCACTCTCCAGGTTTGTAGTACTATTTAGGGTTACATGGGTTGCCAATCAAGCTGCTAATCAGAATACTATTTTTTTGTATCAATGTTATAAAACTAAAAATGACAGACACTGAAGATATCATTACACTTTCTTCACCTTCCTCTTGAAATGTAAACTGTTGACTGAAAGCGCAATGCTTATGTACAGGCCCATCTGTCATGAGGAAGATTATGGTTCCATAAAGCTGATTTTTTTAAACCATTGGGACAAATAAACAGAAGGAGAACAAATGTGTCACTTCTCTTCTTTTAGAAGGAATCTCTTTGGTGAGACGTGGTTGTTAAAAGCTGATGCCCTGCCGTTTACCATTAACCTTTTCCACAATCTCAATGTAGGTAATAGTTCATGCCATTCAGAGCTCATCCCCAAGAGCCCAGTGCGACAGTCAACACGGAGACTATTCCATCTAGTAAGTAGACCAGTGGCTACTCTGGGATTTAGGAAACAGGGATTCACTTGCCCCTTGGCAGCCTCAAGGAATCATTTTAACCAGCCTCTGTATTAAAGTCTATGGGTTAAACATGCCAACAAACTCCAACTCAGGGGGGCATTCTATTAATAATGTGTTTGGCAAATTAGGACATGTTAAATCTAAGGCAAAAATGTCATTCTCCTGTTTCATCTGCATGTATCCTTTGGAATACTGCATGTTACTTTAGAAGTTTAATTGGATCAGAAAAGATTTATTCAGACATCCTTCACAGCAGCCAAGTAGATGTTGATTGCTGATCCCTGATTGTGTAAGCAAGAGACTGAGAGCTATTTAAGAGACAAAAGTTCATTTTATTATCAATCCTGATCTAGCTAAACAGATACTCACTTTTTTCTTTGTTTTCTTCAACTTATTTTAAGTTCAGGGGTACATGTGCAGGATGTGCAGGTTTATTATAAAGGAAATCGTGTGCCATGGTAGTGTGCTGCACAGATCATCCCATCACCTAGGTATTAAGCCCAGCCTCCATTAGCTATTCTTCCTGATGCACCCTCCCCTGAACCCCTCCAGACAGGCTGCAGTATGTCGTTCCCCGCCATGTGCCCATGTGTTCTCCTCATTCAGCTCCCACTTATGAGAACACGTGGTGTTTGGTTTTCTGTTCCTGTGTTAGTTTGCTGAGGATAATGGCTGCCAACTTCATTTATGTCCCGGCAAAGGACATGATCTCATTCCTTTTTATGGCTGCATAGTATTCCAGATATTCACTTCTTAATAGAAATTTAACTTTTGATTTACTCCCCATATACCTTGGAGTTCAAAAAGGTAAAGTTTATCAGGTGAGTGGAACTATGTGAATAAACAACAAAATCATAAAATATACAGATTTGTATTCCACATAACTTTTTCAAAGGACCAACATCAAGAGCAGTGATCTAAAAATATAGTCTCCAGGTTGGGCACGATGGCTCATGCCTGTAATCCCACCACTATGGGAGACCGAGGTGGTGGGTCACCTGAGGGCTAGGCGTTCAAAACCAGCCTGGCCAACTTGGTGAAACCCCGTCTCTACTAAATGTACAAAACTTAGCCGGGCAGGGTGGTACACTCCTGTAATCCCAGCTACTTGGGAGGCTGAGGCAGGAAAATCGCTTGAACCGGGAGAGGGGGGTTGCAGTGAGCCAAGATTGCACCACCGCACTCCAGCCTGGGTGACAGACCACAACTCTGTCTCAAAAATAAATAAATAAATAAACAAATAAATAAATAAAAGTATAGTCTCCAGACCAAGAGCACTAGACTCATCAGGGAACTTGCTAGAAAGGCAAATTCTCAAGTCCCTCCAGAAACTTCACCGTGTGGCTCAGCAGTCCATTTTAATGAGCCCTCTAGGTAACTCCAATGCCCGCTGGAGCTGAGAACACTGACCCAGAGCAGAGATTGGCAAACTACAGTCTGTGAACTCCATCTGGCCTGCTGTCCATAAGCTAGGAGTGGTTCCCATGAACAGCTGCAATGACTTAATGACAGCAGATGCTAACATGGAACTCCAACTAAGCAGGACGTTAGTCCAACACGAAGAATGCCATTCCTCTCATTAGTAGATGTGTATGAGCAATAAACAAAATTGTACTCAGTTATTATTTTATTTTGAATTCCATCAATACAAAAACAGGAAATTTATTTTTTCTTTTGTTATGTAATGTACTATTTTATATATATATATATATATATACACGTATATATATATATACGTATATATATATATACGTATATATATATATACGTATATATATATATATACGTATATATATATATGTATATATATATATACGTATATATATATATGTATATATATATATATACATATATATATATATATTTATTTTTTTTTTTTTTTTTTTTTTTTGAGATGGAGTCTCGCTGTGTTACCCAGGCTGGAGTGCAGTGGCGCGATCTCGGCTCACTGCAAGCTCCGCCTCCCGGGTTCACGCCATTCTCCTGCCTCAGCCTCCCGAGTAGCTGGGACTACACGCCCCGCCACCACGCCCGGCTAATTTTTTGTATTTTTAGTACAGACGGGGTTTCACTGTGTTAGCCAGGATGGTCTTGATCTCCTGACCTCGTGATCCACCCGCCTCGGCCTCCCAAAGTGCTGGGATTACAGGCGTGAGCCGCTGCGCCCGGCCAGTACTATCATATATTTTCAAGTTTGCTTCTTGACCTGAAAAGCTTAAAATATTTATTGCACTTTATAGGAAAAGTTTGTCAACCTCTGACCTAGAGAAACAGGAAAACATCTGAAAAAGGTGCTATACACAAAACGTTTCCAGTTACGGATGAAAATCACATCAGCATTGGAACTGTCTTCCCATGCAGCCAGGAAAATGACGATGTAGTCATGATAATGAATTGCATTAAAAACCAACAGCTGCATATATTTTTGAAATATTTCCTTGTTTTCTCTGAGTAATTTTTTAAAATTATAAAAGCTTGATTCTAATTGTCACAATTACCCACATCTTAATTAATATATTGCTTAAAGATGTGTGCATATTAGACCTAAAAGGGTGGGTTTCATATAGCTTGATTATCATAATTGCAAGTATTCTATTTTCTCATTTACTTAATTGATTGTCATAGATTTCCAGATGAATTCACACTGCTGGGAGAAAACTGAATACATTTTTAAGAGAAAAAACAAAAATGAACAAAAACAGAAATGGGGATATTTAAAAGAGCAATGTGCCCCACAATATAATCCATGGGAGCATGAAAAATCGCCCTCGATAAGATCTCCTTACCTCCTTGCTGGTTAAAATGGGCATTTTTGTGAAATGAAAGAGAAATGAACGAAAAAGTGTTATTGATTCAACCACATCGATAATAACGCTGGCTCCACACTCTCTTCAGCCAGAGGTGCCTAGTGCTCAAGAAAATTTTTCCATTTAGTTTACCTTCTAGAATCTATCAGTTTAGTACATTATGTCAAGTATTTGTTAGGCCTGTTGCAATGACCTCAGGCCTCACCTGGAGGGAAAATGGCACAAGAGGTAATTTATTCTCTCTCTAGGTTTATTCTAGAGTGTTTACTCAGCAGTGGCTGCCTGATACAGCAGGCTGGGCCGAGTTACATGTGGGGGTTTGTAATGAAGACTATTTTTCAGCAGAAGTGAAGATGACCTCACCAAGCATAAGGTGAGGGGGAAGAGAGCATCAGAGAATTTCTCCCATTGCAAAACCTTAAATTTTCAGTGCCCATTCTTCTGTTTTGTCATTGTTGTTGCTGAATCCTAACAATAGCCTCATGAGGTAGATGCTGCTCTTATCTCCAATTGGCAGATTAGGGAATTGAGGCAACAGAGGCTTCTGTAACTTACAGGGTGAATTCAGGCCCTCTGGCTCTAGAGGCCATGTTCATCACCAACATAGCATTTTGCTTCTCAAAAATAAGGACACATACCACGCCCCACCTCCACACTGCCCCAGGCCCCAGTTCCTGCAGAATTCAGTGTAGCTATTTTAATGTTATTCAGTTTGGAACTTTTGCCCTGTTTTTACTGAGTTATAATTTATATACTTTAAAATTCTCTTTTTAAATGTGCAGTTCTATGAGTTTTGACAAATGTGTACATTCAGGTAACAACCACCATAATAAGAAATACAACAGTTCTAGTACTTTCCCAAATTTTCTCATGACCCATTGTAATCAGCCCCCTCCCCCAGCCTCTGGCAATCACTGGTCTCTTTCCAAATTTTTATTTTACTTGAGATTTACATGTTATTTAATCATCATCTATAAGGTTTAATGTATAGAAAAAGTTGCTTCAAATAACCCATCATGACACCTTAGCATCCAACAAGGCAAAAAAATCGAAAAGAATAAAACAAGAAAACAGAAATCTTAAGAAAATAGTTAAGCAACACATAAATACAGATAAAAGATTCAGGAATTTAAAAATAAACCCCCATTCATTCAATAATATCCAAGTCTAATAAATATTAATAAGAAAGATGCCAGTCAAAAATCTACCACCTCACTCGAAATTTAGACCAGCGCACTAGGAACTTTAACAGAGTTTCTCTGCTTCAGAGCTCACATTTCTATAGAGAGAACGATCTATAAGTTCAATTATGCCTTCTTCCTTCTTGGAAGCAAAGGATCCTCTGGAGAGGTGTCCATCACTAACTAGCTCCTTAAAAAGGCAGGCCCTGTTTACACTCAAGGCTGTGGCTCCACACCTGTCATAAACCACACTCTGATGAGCTCTCCCTCTGTATCTGTTTGTGCTTTCTGACTTACTGTTGGTTTCTTCGACATATGCTAGTCCAAATTTTCTTTAGAAAAAGACAATTTCACCACTACAAGCTTCTCTTCAAACTTTATCAATAGAATCATCTGAGTTAACTTGGAAAGCATGTCATTTACAACAAAATGCCTCTCCGTCCTAGCAGGAGTTGGAGCCATAGGCAGCATAAATATGGAAGCAAAATAGTATACTGGAGCAGGAAGGACAGGATGAGGGACACACAGACGCTATAGCAATGCTTCTCAGACTGGCACATGCCAAGTAATTACCTGAGAATCTTGGTAAAATGCAGAATTGTAGTTCTGGAGTCTAACCCACAGTTCTTTCTTGTGAGCTTCCAGGCAATGCTGATGCCACTGGTGCATAGACTGTGTTTTGAGTAACAGGGCTCTGGAATTCAAGGCTAGATTCTAGACAGGGTTACTAGTTTTTTGGTTTGTTTGGTTTTGGTTTTGTTTTGAGAGAGGGTCTCCGACACCCAGGCTGGAGTGCAGTGACATGATCTTGACCTCCCAGGCTCAGGTGATTCTCCCACCTCAGCCTTCTGAGTAGCTGGGACTGCAGGCTAGAGCCACCACGCCCAGCTAATTATTTTGTATTTTTTTTTAGAGAGAGAAGGGGTTTCACCATGATGCCCAGGCTGGTCTCTAATCCTCGGCTCAAGTGATCCACCCTCCTAGACCTCCCAAAGTGCTGGGATTATAGGCGTGAGCCACCGCACCCAGCCTAGGGTTACTAGTATTCAATAAGCATCTATACCAGAGATGCTTACCATACCAGAGACTTTTACCTATATTACCTCTTTAAATATTCATAAAAACTTGTTGGAAGGGATTATGGATTAAAGTGAGGTTTGAGTCTGTAGTACAATTTTAGGTTAGAAACTCACTATTTTTATTTCTTGTATGTAGCTTTCTCTAAGACCTTATGGGAGAAGGGTGAGGTCCTGGAGGAAGCAATACATCAAAGTAACAAAAACAATGGGAAGCAAAATACCACACTATTATTTTGCTGATTCAGTACCCAGTAACCCAATATAGGATTCTATGTTAAAACCAAGTTGGAGCTTATGATGTAGCCCCAGGTCAAAGTCGGACCTGATGGCTTTATCTTCCCACCAACCACCATTTATAGTATGTGGGCATACTATATAGCACAGAAAGGAGACAGAGAGAAGTATGTAGAGCCAGGCTACGGTGCTTCTGGTACAAGACAATGGAGACAACAGGAACAGAAGGAAAGCAGCAGAGAGCCACGCAAGTATGTCATCTGCAAGAAACAGCAACCCCACATATGCATAAATGATGCCAAATTATTGTCATAGGATATGACCATTCAGATTTATAGCCAGGCGCGGTGGCTCACATCTATAATCCCAGCACTTTTGGAGGCCAAGGCAGGTGGATCACTTGAGGTCAAGAGTTCGAGACCAGCCTGGACAACGTAGTGAAACCACGTCTCTACTAAAAATACAAAATTAGCCACGTGTGGTGGTGCACACTTGTGATCCTAGCTACTCATGAGTCTGAGGAAGGAGAATCACTTGAAACCAGGAGGCAGAGGTTTCAGTGAGCCAAGATTCTGCCACTGCACTCCAGCCTGGGTGACAGAGCAAGACTCCATCTCAAAAAAAAAAAAAAGTTTATAATCTTACCTTTTCAGAGGAACATCATTAGGATGAGAGAAAGGAAGTTTTTTTGTTTTGTTTTTTGTTTTTGTTTTTTTGGCATTAATGAGAAACTAAGTAGTCCCTCCCAAACAAGGAATCCAGCATTTATTATTGTCACCATTTTGGGGTTGAAAAATCCAGAAGTCAGAGAAATCAAGAGACTTTTTCAATGTAAAAAATCAATAACTGGAAAGATACTATTCAAACCCCAGGTATTTTGACTGGAGTCCAGTCTTTTTATTTTCCATTGTGTCATATTGCTCTAAATTTTATTTGCAATTCAGAAACAAGTAGGGGCAAACCCTCCCTGGTTTTAAAGGTTAGAATCAGCAATACATCCAAGGTCAAATGAGCAGTCAGTGCTTGAAGTAACAGACAAATCTGAAAAGTCAGCAGAAAAAAAATAAGTAATCCCGAGTCCAGATATGCAGCTCAAAGAATGTGCAAATAGCTAAGACAACAGGGTCAAAACCTAGGCAAGAGTCAGATAAATAGGTTCAGAACAGGCATCAGGTTTACCTAATATCAAATGGCACAACACAGTGAACCTGATTTTTCAGGCAGAGCTCTCATCCAGGAAAACTTTCAATTACCATGAATTGGGTTGACTACAGGATCCGCAAAGGGAGGGCTGTACCTCTGCTTTGGAATCTAGACATAACCTAGATCAGATGTCGCCACAAATAAAATAAGTGTTCAACAAGAACACAAAACACACTTTACAACAGCTTTGCATGCAGTTTATTTCCAAGACAAAACGAACAAAGAGAAAATGACTCCAAAGTAACAAAGGAGAAGAATCAGCAGTAGAGACAATGAGAATTTAAGGAGACAATGAGCAAGAAGCAGGAAGACCAGGGAAGTAAGAGAGCAGAAGTAACTAATTTAGGGGGAGATGGAAGATGGGGAAAGAGCCACACCTGTTTTCAGATTATGTTGACCAATGTTTCTCTGCTTTTGCCATTGTAAAAATTATCTATCATAAATTTCAATCCACTTTCCATCAAATTATCTTTCAGTTACAGTACAAAAAAAGGTAGGGGGAGGTGTTTCCCAGAGGCAGACACCAACCCATATTTTCTCATATATCAGCTTAGTTTTTTGTGGCCTGTTTTGCTTTTCTTACATTTTCCTTATTATTATACTCAGTTGGTTCTGATTCCCATTCCAGAAACAGTACATTCTTTTGCATGAAATTTTGCAGATGTCCTACAGATTAGATCCCAGAGGTTATACATGTTCGGATTTCCAAGGGCATAATAATAAGCGAAATCCCTAATTTAAGTGAAGAAGGAGATTGTTGGAGACCTTTCTCTCTACAACATTAGAGGGCTGTTACAAACTAAAGCAATCTCACTTTAGAGTCTAGCTTTAAACTTAGTATTAAAGTCAAAATAATGAGATTCACATTAGGTTTCTGATAAACTATAAAATCAATTTCAATTGAGAAACTTGTCATTTTGCTTTTATTACCCTTGGGTACATGGCAGAATGTTGATGGAAATCTATGAAGGCATATCCATTCATTCATTCATTCATTCAGCTGTTCACTCATAAATATTCCTTGAAGGTTGACCAGGGACCAGACACAGTGTTAGCACCAAGTGTTATTATATATTTAGGAGGTGATTGTTCAATATTCTTTTCAAAGCTGAAGTTTTTTATTATAATATTCAAAATCAGAAATTGCTTCCTAGAATTCCTAATCCCTGAATGTCTTCTCAGATGATGCTTTATGCTAATAGGACTTGTGATCCCAAGTTTACCAAGCCAGAATTTTTTATAACTTGGTTGATGGAATCAACATTTTTTTTTATTTTATGTATAAACCTAATAGATTAGCATACAGGTTAAATTAGTGCCTGTTAACCAAAAAAGAAAAATAGTAACACATATTTAGTCCTATATATTTGGGTCTCCAATTACTAAACCCGTTTTCATCAAAGTAAATTGTGTTAGAGATCTAGCCCCAACCAAGAACCAATAGGTTCAATTACATTACGTGGTGATGTTTTTGTTTCTTCAAACAAATGGAAGATTATGCAGAACACTAGACAGGTTTCGTGATTTAAAATAAAAATGCACTTATGTGAAATTAAGATAAGCATATAGCACAATGAGCAATAGAATTTGTTGAAAACTTCAGGTGAGCAGATCTATCTCCGTCACCTATCCGGAGTCAACCTCTATGTCCAATCTGCACTCACAGCCATGAATGTGCAGCTGAACATGGTTGAAATCTTTAGACCTTTCAACAATTGCCCCAATAGGACTGAGGCATCTCTCACTTAGCTTTACTGAACTCCACATGAATGCTCAATAAGGGCTTGTTTAAAGTCTTCTCCCCATACAAGGTAGCAGCTCTGTGGTCTGCGATGACCTCCTCACCCCACATCCCTGTGTACCCAAATTTCATGACCCAAGTCAAATGCTATTCATTTATGAAATTCTTTATAATTCCAAGAAAGCAAGTGTGTGTGGGCACTCATATGCTATGACGGTTGTAGGGCTTCTCAACGCATTTGTTGAGGCCCCTTACTCTCTAAATACAAAGTTTACCAGATATAATGCCAAAGTCACAAAGGTCCCCTGATGTCAATCCTTTGATGTAAGGGAAGGATTTATTGAATTATTTCCCTTTATGTTTAAAGAGTTGATGAGCTCCTTTGGAATGGATCAAAGCAATGATTAGCAACCTTGGACTTTGTGGACATTACTTATCTTCTTCCAAAATCTACTTTTTGCCCCATTTTTCCATCTCAATAATTGGGCTCTCAAGTCTCAGTTGCTCAAGTTAGAACTCTGGGAATTCCTCCCACCTGCAACTGGAATCTGCTTCTACCTTACCCATAGCTAGAGTTCCTCATGAGGCCCTCTCTTTTTATTGTTAGGATTGGTTTTGATTAGTTAGTAGCCTGCTTGCTCATCTTTCTAATCCCACTTTCCCTTCTCCAATCCCTCATCCACACAGCAGCCAGAGAGGCCTTTTTAAAACAAAAACCAGACCACATCATCCCCCCACTTAAAACATTTCACTGATTTTCCAATGTAAAATCAAATACAAAATCCCTAATATGGTCTTGCATCATGGGATCTCTGATGACATCTGGGACCTCATCTCATCCCACCACACCCTCCTCATGTTCCAGCCACACTGACCCACTTCCACTTCCAGGAACTTGCCCAGCCTTCTCCTTCCTCAGCCCCTACTCTGCTCTCCTCGCATGGTCTTCTCCCTCACGGTTCTACTCCTCCTCGATTTCGAAAACTCTTCCCTGCCATCCACAATCTGGTGGAGGTGTCATTTCTCAGAGAGACTTACCCAGACTCTCCCACTTGAAATTAGTTCCTGTGTCACTCATTTGCGTAGTACCTTATTATATTCCTTTATTGCATGCACCAATATTTATAATTGTCTGTTTTAGTGTTTATTCGTTTAAAGTCTATCTCCCCCGCTAGCCCACAATCTCCATGAAGGCAGAGACCAGATCTTCTTAGCCCACATTGTATGTTCAGCACCAAACACAGAGTCAGACAAAGAAGGCACTTGTTGAATAACTAAATTAACTGTTTTCTGTTATTTCAAGAGAAATTCCAAAGTCTCAAACAGTCCTCAAAACGAAGTCAATTTTCTTGCACTCTAATTCTTTTTAATTATTCCATTCTTTAAGAGTGATAGGAAAAAAGTTGTAAGTCATGAAATCTAAGTTGTTGGAAGGGCCTTTTGTGTCTTAATTCAACAAATTCAATATCCAGATAATGGCACGTCCATCTTTGATTAGTTAACTCCAGATGCAGGGAGCTCATTCCTTCCTAAGGATATGCTTTCCCTTTATGGGTAGATCACTGGCTTTCTTCTAGCTATTACAAAATAATGTATCATTTTGACCCTTAGTCTTCTTTTTTTCCCATAAGCCCCTCCTGTGAACAGGGTCTTTTTCCCTGTTCAAAGGTTCCCCATGGCTGCACAAAAAGAACAAAGACCAAATGCCTTAATAGAGTTTACCTGGCCATTTAGGAGCTGTCCCCTGCTTTCTTCAAGTCTCTGCCATCCCTCTGTGCTCTGGCCATACTGAATACATGCTCTATCTCTCCCAGGGCTTTTCACATGTTATCCTCTCTGCTTGAAACTTTCCTCCTCCCTCCTCCTTCTTCCCTCTTCCATTCTCCCACCTCTTCACCTGGTATCTGCTTCTCAATCTTTAGTTCTTAGCTCTAAAGACCTTCCTTCTGGAAGCCCTTCCTGACACCCTCTCCGCTCATTCTAAGCTGCATTCTTTTTCTTTGCTTCCAAAGTACTCAGTCTGTCTAAATCTGATGATCACACTTCAGCTGTTTCACTACCAGATCCAGTAGAGCATGCATATATGTATGTCTCCTGTAAATGGATTTTTATTTTCTATATTGAGAAAGGATACAGCAAGTTCTTTCCATGTCCGTTGAAGTCAGTGAGTAAAAAGTTTTTGGTTTATTTTTGCTAGGTTCATATCACCCATCTTACCCTTCAATGACATCGGCTTCTAAACAATCCCTGATATGGAACTGATTAACTCTTGCAGGTCTGTTTGGCCTGTCTTTGAGTGGGGAATTGGGAGTGGTGATGCTGGAAAAAATCCTATTAAATATAATTACACATTGCAGTAAGGGATATATAGGAAAGCGCTATGGATGCTATGAAGAGATATGTTTCAGATTAAAGAGTTTGAGGTGGACTCTGAAGAAGTGATATAAAAACAATCAAATTTGGGATCCTACCTGGAGACTCAGGCTGCATGTCGCCCCAGAGGTGTGCAGATCTTTTGGTCTGGACACCATTTTTAAAATATGTGAATTTGACTGCCACCCAATCCCCTCAACATCTGAATTTCTAGCCTGCATTATAAAATTTTTTTTAATTTTTTTATTTCCATACGTTATTGGTGAACAAGTGGTGTTTTGTTACATGAGTAAGTTCTTTAGTGGTGATTTGCAAGATTTTGGTGCACCCATCACCCAAGCAGTGTACACTGAACCCAGTTTGTAGTTTTCTATCCCTCACCCCGTTCCCACCCTTTCCCCCTGAGTCCCCAAAGTCCACTGTGTCATTTCTATGCCTTTGCATACTCATAGCTTAGCTTAGCTCCAACTTATGAGTGAGAACATACGATGTTTGGTTTTCCATTCCTGAGTTACTTCACTTAGAATAATAGTCCCCAATCTCATCCAGGTTGCTGTGAATGCCATTAATTCATTCCTTTTTATGGCTAATATACCTTCATATGTGTGTGTGTGTATATATATATATATATATATATATATGAAAATCCAAATAACCTCAATGAGAAATAAAATGGGAGATATTACAACGGACACAATAGAAATACAAAAAAATCATTCAAGTCTACTATGAACACCTTTACGTGCATAAACTAGAAAATCTAGAAAAGATGAATAAATTCCTGGAAAGATAAACCCTCCTAGCTTAAATCAGGAAGAATTAGATACTCTGAACAGACCAATAACAAGCAGCAAGATTAAAGTGGTAATTAAAAAATTACCAACAAAAAAAGTCCAGGACCAGACGGATTCACAGAAGGATTCTACCAGACATTCAAAGAAGAATTAATTGTTACCAATCCTATTGACACTATTCCACAAGATAGAGAAAGAGGAAACCCTCCCTAAATCATTCTGTGAAGATAACATTCTAGATTATATATATATAATATATATTATATTATAATATATAATAAATAATATATAATTTATAAATTATAAATATAATTTATATAATACATAATACAATATTCTACCAGATATATATGTATATATATATATGTATATATATATGTGTATATATATGTGTATATATATATATACACGTATATATATATGTGTATATATATATACGTGTATATATATATATATGTATATACACACACATCAGTTTTTTTAATCCACGCTTGATTGATGGGCATTTGGGTTGGTTCCATGTTTTTGCAATTATGAATTGTGCTGCTATAAACATGAGTGTGCAAGTATCTTTTTTGTATAATGACTTCTTTTCCTCTGGATAGATACCCAGTAGTGGGATTGCTGGATCAAACAGTGGTTCTGCTTTTAATTATTTAAGGAATCTCCACACTGTTTTCCATAGTGGGTGTACTAGTTTACATTCCCACCAGCAGTGTAGAAGTGTTCTCTGTTCATCACATCCATGCCAACATCTTCTATTTTTTATTATTATTATTATGGCCATTCTTGCAGGAGTAAGGTGGTATCGCATTGTGGTTTTTGATTTGCATTTTTCTGATCATTAGTGATGTTGAGCATTTTTTCATGTTTGTTGGCCATTCAGTTATCTTCTTTTGAGAACTGTCTATTCATATCCTTAGCCCACTTTTTGATGGGGTTGTTTATTTTTTTCTTGTTGATTTGTTTGAGTACATTGTAGATTCTGGATACTACTCCTTTGTCAGATGTATAGATTGTGGAGATTTTTTTCCCATTCTGTGGGTTGTCTGTTTACTCTGCTGACTGTTCCTTTTGCCATGCAAAAGCTCTTTAGTTTAATTAAATCCCAGCAATTTATCTTTGTTTTTATCTTTATCTTTTGGGTTCTTGGTCATGAAATCCTTGCCTAAGCCAATGTCTAGAAGGGTTTTTCCAATGTTATCTTCTAGAATTTTTATAGTTTCAGGTCTTAAAGTCCTTCATCCATCTTGAGTTGATTTTTGTATAATGTGAGAGATGAGGATCCAGTTTCATTCTCCTACATGTGGCTTGCCAATTATCCCAGCACCATTTGTTGAAAAGAGTGTCTTTTCCCCACTTTATGTTTTTGTTTGCTTTGCTGAAGATCAGTTGGCTGTAAGTATTTGGGTTTCTTTCTGGGTTCTCTATTCTGTTCCATTGGTCTATGTGCCTATTTTTATACCAGTACCATGCTGTTTTGGTGACTATGGTCTTATAGTATAGTTTGTAATCAGGTAATGTGGTGCCTCCAGAATTGTTCTTTTTGCTTTGTCTTGCTTTGACTGTGCAGACTCTTTTTTGGGTCCATATGAATTTCTAGGGGTTTTTTTTTCTAATTCTGTGAAGAATGATGGTAGTATTTTGACGGGAATAGTGTTGAATTTGTAGATTGCTTTTGTCAGTATGGTCATTTTCGCAATATTGATTCTACCCATCCATGATCATGGGATGTGTTTCCATTTGTTTGTGTTATCTATGATTTCTTTCAGCAGTGTTTTATAGTTTTCCTTGTAGAGGTCTTTCACCTTCTTGGGTAGGTATATTCCTAAGTATTGTATGGTATGGTATGTTATGGTATGGTATGGTATGGTATGGTATGGTATGGTATTATTTTTATTTGCAGCTATTGTAAAAGGGGTTGAGTTCTTGATTTGATTCTCAGGTTGGTCGCTGTTAGTGTATAGAAGAGCTACTGATTCTTATACATTAATTTTGTATCCAGAAACTTTGCTGAATTCTTGTATCAGTTCTGGGAGCTTTCTGGAGGAGTATTTAGGGTTTTCTAGGTAAAGGATCATATCATCAGCAAACAGTGACAGTTTGACTTCCTCTTTACTGATTTGGATGCTGTTTATTTCTTTCTCTTGTCTGATTGCTCTGGCTAGGACTTCTAGAACTATGTTGAAGAGGAGTGGTAAGAGTTGTTCATCAGAGATATTAGTCTGTAGTTTTCTTTTTTCATTATGTCCTTTCCTGGTTTTGGTATTAGGGTGCTACTGGCTTCATAGAATGATTTAGGAAGGGTTTCCTCTTTCTCTATCTTGTGGAATAGTGTCAATAGGATTGGTACCAATTCTTCTTTGAATGTCTGGTAGAATTCTTCCGTGAATCTGTCTGGTCCTGGACTTTTTTTGTTGGTAACTTTGTAATTATCACTTTAATATCACTGCTTATTATTGGTCTGTTCAGGGTATCTAATTCTTCCTGATTTAAGCTAGGAGAGTTTATCATTCCAGGAATTTATTCATCTCTTCTAGATTTTCTAGTTTATGCATGTAAAGGTGTTCATAGTAGACTTGAATGATTTTTTTGTATTTCTATTGTGTCCATTGTAATATCTCCCATTTTGTTTTTCATTGAGATTATTTGGATTTTCTCCCTTCTTTTCTTGGTTAATCTTGCTAATGGTCTATCAATTTTATTTATCTTTTCAAAGAACCAGCTTTCTGTTTCATTTATCTTTTGTATTTTTTTGTTTGTTTCAATTTCATTTAGTTCTGCTCTGATCTTGGTTATTTCCTTTCTTCTGCTGGTTTTGGGTTTGGTTTGTTCTTGTTTCTCTAGTTCCTTGAGGTATGACCTTAGATTGTCTGTTTCTGCTCTTTCAGACTTTGGATGTAGGCGTTTAGGGCTATGAACTTTCCTCTTAGCACTGCCTTTGCTGCGTCACAGAGGTGTTGATAGGTTGTGTCACTACTGTCGTTCAGTTCGAAGAATTTTTGATTTCCATGTTGATTTCATTTTTGACACAATGATCATTCAGGAGCAGGATATTTAATTTCCATGTATTTGCATGTTTTTAAAGGCTCCTTTTGGAGTTGATTTCCAGTTTTATTCCACTGTGGTCTGAGAGAGTACCTGATACAATTTCAATTTTCTTAAATTTATTGAGGCTTGTTGTGTGTCCCTCATGTGGTCTATCTTGGAGAAAGTTCCATGTACTGTTGAATAGAATGTATACTCTGTTGTTGTTGGATGGAATGTTCTGTATGTATCTGTTAAATCCATTTGTTCCTGGATGTATTTTAAATCCATTGTTTCTTTGTTGACTTTCTGTGTTGATGACCTGTCTGCTGCAATCAGGGGAGTACTGAAGTCCCCCACTATTATTGTGTTGCTGTGTATCTCATTTCTTAGGTCTATTAGTAACTGTCTTAAATTTGGGAGCTCCAGTGTTAGGTGCATATATGTTTAGGATTGTGATATCTTCCTTTTGGATAAGGCCTTTTATCATTATATAATGTCCCTCTTTGTCTTTTTTAACTGCTGTTGCTTTAATGTTTGTTTTGCCTGATATAAGAATAGCTACTCCTGCTCACTTTTGGTGTCCATTTGCATGAAATGCCTTTTTCCACCTTTACCTTAAATTTGTGCAAGTCCTTATGTGTTAGGTGAGTGTGTGAAGGCAGCAGATGGTTGGTGAATTCTGTCTGCAATTCTGTATCTTTTAAGTGGAGGATTTAGGCCATTTGCATCCAATGTTAATACTGAGATATGAGGTACCATTCCATTCATTGTGCTATTTGTTGCCTGTGTACCTTGGTTTTTTGTTTTTAGTTTTTGTTTTTTAAATTGTACTTTTGTTGTATAGGTCCTGTGAGACTTATGCCTTAGGTTCTGTTTTGATGTACTTCCAAAATTTGTTTCAGTATTTAGAGCTCCTTTTAGCAGTTTTTGTAGTTGTGGCTTGATAGTGGCGAATTCTCTCAGCGTTTGTTTGTCTGAAAAAGATTGTATCTTTCCTTCATATATGAAGCTTAATTTCACTGGATACAAAATTCTTGGCTGATCATTGTTTTCTTTGAGAAGGCTGAAGATAGGGCCCCAATCCCTTCTATCTTACAGGGTTTCTGCTGAGAAATCTGGTGTTAATCTGATAGGTTTTCCTTTATAGGTTACCTGGTGCTTTTTTCTCAAAGTTCTTAAGATTCTTTCCTTCATCTTAACTTTAGATAACCTGATTACAATGTGTCTAGGCAATGATCTTTTTGCGATGAATTTCCCAGTTGTTCTTGTGCTTCTTGTATTTGAATATCTAGGTCTCTAGCAAGGCAGGGGAAGTTTTCCTTGATTGTTCCCCCAAATATTTTTTCCAAACTTTTAGATTTGTCTTTTTCAGGAGCACCAGTTATTCTTAGGTTTGGTCATTTAACATAATCCTAGGCTTCTTGGAGGCTTTGTTCATATTTTCTTATTCTTTTCTCTTTGTCTTTGTTGGATTGGTTAATTCGAAGACTTTGTGTTTGAGCTCTCTAAATTTCTTTCTTCTACTTGTTCAGTTCTATTGCTGAGACTTTCCAGAGCATTTTGCATTGCTATAATTGTGTCCATTGTTTCCTGAATATTTGATTGTTTTCTATTTATGCTATCTATTTCCTTGAATATTTCTCCCTTCACTTCTTGTATCAATTTTTTATTTCCTTGTATTGGGCTTTGCCTTTCTCTGGTGCCTCCCTGATTAGCTTAATAACTAACCTCCTGAATTCTTTTTCAGGTAAATCAGGGATTTCTTCTTGGTTTGGGTCCATTGCTGATGAGGTAGTGTGAATTTTGGGGGGTGTTAAAGAACCTTGTTTTGTCATATTACCAGGGTTAGTTTTCTGGTTCCTTCTCATTTGGGTAGGCTCTGTCAGAGGGAAGGTCTAGGGCTGAAGGCTGTCGTTCAGATTCTTTTGTCCCACAGGCTGTTCCCTTGATGTAGTACTCTCCCCCTTTTTCTATGGATGGGGCTTCCTGAGAGCTAAACTATAGTGATTGTTTTCTCTCTTCTGGATTGTGCCACCCAGCAAGTCTACCAGCCTCCAGGCTGGTACTGGGGGTTGTCTGCCCAGAGTCCTGTGATGTGAACTGTCTGTGGGTCTCTCAGCCATGGATGCCAGCACCTGTTCCAGTGGAGGTGGCAGAGTGGTGAAAAGGACTCTGAGTGTTCTTAGCTTTAGTAGTTTAATGCACTATTTTTGTGCTGGTTGGCCTCCTGCCAGGAAGTGGCGCTTTCCAGAGAGTATCAGCTGTGGTAGTATGGGGAGGAACAGGTGGTGGGCAGGGCCCTAGAACTCCCAAGAGTAGATGCCCTTTGTCTTCAGTAACCAGGGCAGGTAGGGAAGGACCACTGGGGTTGGGTCAAGTCTAGGCGTGTCTGAGCTCAGACTCTCCTTGGGAGGTTCTTCCTGTGTTGTGGGGATGGGGGTAAGGCCCCAGGTCAATGAAGTTATGTTCCTAGGAGGATTATGACTGCCTCTACTATGTCATGCAGGCTGTCAGGGCAGTAGGGGAAAGCCGGCAGTCACAGGCCTCACCAAGCTCCCATGTAATCCGAAGGGCCAATCTCACTCCCACCATGCCCCTGCCAACAGCACTAAGTCTGTTTCCAGGCAGTGGGTGAGCAGGGCTGAGAACTTGCCCCAGGCTACCCACCTCCCAGCTATGAAAACAAATATGGGTTTCCTTCTTCCCTCACCTATGGAGTCTGCACACCAGACTCACATCCTCCCCCGAGTTCTGGCCAGGAGGCTGCTCTATCAGTTCAAATTTTTACACGTTTAGCTGGAGATTTCCTTCTTTCTGTGGCCTTTTCCCAGCACCTCTGGCTGCCCTGCAGAAGGACCCCTGTGTGGCCAGGCAAAAACGGCTTGCTTGGGGACCTAGTGAGTTCCCAGGGCATTTCCCGCTGCTTCCTCTACCCCTGTATTTCGCTCAGCTCTCTAAATTGACTCAGTTCCAGGTAAGGTCAAAATCTTCTCCAGTAATCTAGGCCTTCAGTTCCCCCAGTGGGGTGTGTGTGTTTGGGGGTAGATGATCTCCCTTTCCCATTTCCACAGTTTGGGCTCTCACAGTATTTGTGGTGTCTCCCAGGTCCTGCAGGAGTAATACGCTTCCTTCAGGGGGTCTGTGGGTCCTCTCAGGTTTCCTGATTTACTCCTGCAGTTGAACTGGAGCAAAAATTCACAATGCAAGCCTCCACACGCTGCTCTGTCCATCCGAGTTGGAGCTGCAATCTAGTCCTGCCTCCTGTCCGCCATGATCCTCTCCAATCCTCCGCATTCTCTAGCCTGCATTATAAAATTTACATGAGTCAGCCCTGCCTGAGCACTTTGCATAATCTTAGTAGACAGGAATGAGTAGCTGCTGTGTCCTTTAGATGAGCTGTGTGTTCTCCCTGATGTCATCCACCCCAGCTCACTTGATTTATCTCCATTACCTGCCTTCCGCACAACTTTGTAAGAGATGTACCTCTACAAATGTGTCAGAGAAGAAGAGGAGTTCTCCATGTGAAGAATGGTGGGAAGAGTGTTCCAGGCTATGGAAACAGCATCTAGAGAGGTCCTGGATCAGGAAAGAGCCTAGACATACAAGGAAATGGAGGACAGACAATGTGGGTAGAGCAGAGTACACCAAAAGTGGAATTAGAGATGATGCTGGAGCAGGAGGGAAGACCAAGCCATACAAAGCCCTGTAAGTCAAATTAGTAATTTTTAGATATAAGTTTAGATCAACGGTTCTTAAAACTTAGTATGAGTAAGAACTAAAGGAAGAGAGTCTTGGAAAATGAAGATTCTGATGAAAATATTCTAATCTATCAATCTGCATTTTTAATAAGAATTCTGTTTGAGAATCTCCATTTTTAATAGAAATCTCAACTGGGTACAGACCACACTTGAAAAGCCTCTAAAGGGTTTTGAGTAGGGGAAAAACATAACTTGAGTTTTAACCACATGGAAGGCTGTGTTGAAAATGGACTCAAGTGAAGCAAATATAAAGCACTTGAGGTTTTTTTGGAGGGGTTGAGGGAGGCCTTTATTTTCCCCATTAATTTTGTTATAGTCTTGTGAAATTCTTATCAACATAAAATCCATATACAATAAAGCTGGCCCCTTTACAGTGTTCAATTCAGGCCTTTTAGTGTATTCATAAAATTGTACACTAGTCACCATTAACTAATTTCAGGACATTTCGGCACCCCTTAAAATAAAACCTCATATTCATCAGCAGTCACTGCCTCTTTTCCCCTCCTTTTGGCGTCTTTCTAAACCATGAATCTAGTTTTGGTCTCTCTGGATTTACCTATTCTGGACATTTCATATAAATGAAATCATGAAATATATGGTCTTCTGTGTCTGGCTTCTTTCACTTAGTACAATGTTTCAAGGTTTATCCATGTTGTAGCATGTAAAAAAATAATACTCCATTGTATGGATATACCACATTGGCATAAATTTTTCTTAGTATTCTCTACAAACCTTTTCAATGTCTGTAGTTTGGGTAGTGATGTGTCCCTCTTTTATTCTTAATTTTAGTAATTTATGTCTTCTCTATGGTCAGTCTAGATCAAGATTTATCAGTTTTGTTGATCTTCACAAAGAACCAAGTTTGGGCTTCATTAATTTTTCCCTATTGATTTTATTTCCCTATTTTATTAATCTTCATTTTGGTCTGTATTATTTCCACTTTTCCGTTTACTTTTGGTTTATGTTTTTGTTTTGCTGTTTTTCTAGTTTCTTATGGTAAATGTTAGATTATTAATTTTAGACCTTCTTTCTTTTCTAATACAGACAACTTTGGGCTATTTCACTTAAATGACTGTGTTAGCCACATCTCATAAATTTTTATATGTTTCATTTTCTTTTCATTCAGTTCAAAATATTTTCTAATACTTCATGATTTTTTTTCTTTGACTCATATTTTTTAGAAGTGTGTTGTTTAGTTTTTAAATATTTGATGATTTCCCAATGTTCTTTCTATTGCTGATTTCCAATTAAAATGCACTGGAATTTGTAAGTATACTTTGAATGATTTTATTTCTTTTAAATTTATTGTGATGCGTTGTTTTGTAGCCAAGTACATGATCTATCCTGAAAAATGTTTTGTGTGCTCTTGAAAATAATTACCATTTGGTTCTTTCTTATAATTTTTCTTTTTTTTATTGATATTCTTTATTTGGTATGGCATTGTTCTTTGTTTTGGTTTACTTCTTTATACATAATTTCCTTTAGTTCTTGAATATATGTATAATATTTAATAGCTGATTTAAAATCTTTGCCTAGTATATTCAACATATGGGTTTCTTTGGGGACAGTTCCTATTGACTGTTTTTATTCCTCTAAATGAGCAATACTTTCTGGTTTCTTTGCATGTGTCATAATCTTTTATTGAAGCTGGATATTTTAAATAATATACTGTGCCAACTCAATCAGATTTTCCCTTCCCCCCTTCCCCAGGGTTTGTTGTTATTGCTGTTTGTTGTGGTAGTTGTTAATATATTTGTTTGTTTAGTGGCTTTCCTGAACTAACTCTGTAAAATACTCTATTTTGTGGTTGTGTGTGGCCACTGAAGTCTCCAATCAGTGAGGTTAATGGCCAGCTAGTGATTGGACAGAGCTTCCCTTAAATGTCTTGAACCAATCAATATACTTTCTAGACTTTGTCAAGGACCTTTGTGTATGATGGGGCATGCTTTCAATGCTCTGGCAGTCAGTTTACAGCTCTGCCTTAGCCTTTACTTCCTGCTTATCGAGAGCTTCAAAGTTATCCAGAGGCGTGATCATCAGGCCTACTTGGACATGTGCATAGCCTGGTACATGTATGTGGCCCTTTAGATGCCAAGGAATATGTTGTGCTTTTTTTTTTTTTTTTTGAGATGGAGTTTTGCTCTTGTTGCCCAGGCTGGAGTGCAATGGCACGATCTCAGCTCACTGCAACCTCCGCTTCCCAGGTTCAAGCAATTCTCCTGTCTCAGCCTCCTGAGTAGCTGGGATTACATGCATGCACCACCATGCCTAGCTAATTTTTTGTCTTTTTAGTAGAGAGGGTTTCACCATGTTGATCAGGCTGTCTCGAACTCCTGACCTCAGATGATCCACCCACCTCAGCCTCCCAAAGTGCTGGGATTACAGGCATGAGCCACCACACCCAGCCATGTTGAAGCTTTTTAAAGTCTCTATGGACATTTCATTCTCAAGGTTTTCCTTTGAAGATTTTTGGTCAGACTCTTGTTAGTCCCAACTGGTAACCCTGCCTCAGGCAGCTGTGTTGTTAAGCAGTTGCTACTGATTGTCTTTGACAAATGCTCTGTAGGTAGGGCTATTTGCATAAAGTGAGAACTGTGTCAGGTCTAACTAATGCAAGCCCTGAGAATGGAGCCAGAAAGGTCAAATAGTGACAATTCTTTGGTGATTGGATATTTGGGGAGCTTCAAATTCATTTTGTCTCCTCCAGTGACTTCTAGAATGCTTGTTTCCATAGCGAACATAGTTGTGAGGATGCTGGTTTTTAAGATTACTGCAGAGCTAGGACGAAGGAGATGGGTTGAGGCTAATTAAAACCCCACAGTGCTCACTGTTCCTATCAAGAGTCAGCCATATTTCCTAAATAAACAGTCCTCAAATTGTTGCAAGCCTTTAGTTAATTTACAAAGTTCTGACAAAGTTAATTTTGACATTTAACAGCTTTTGCTAGTATTTTCATTGCTTTTATGGAGAAGCAGCTTTTCTTTTCTTTTTTTTTTTTTTCTTTTTTTGAGACAGGGTCTCACTATGTTGCCCAGGCTGGTGTGCAGTGGGCAATCATGGCTCATTGCAGCCTCAAACTCCCAGGCTCAGGTGATCCTTCTGCCTCAGCCTCCTGCAGAGCTGGGACTACAGGTATATGCAACCACGTCTTGCTAATTTTGTGAATTATTATTTTTTGTAGAGACAAGGTCATGCCATGTTGCCCAGGCTGGTCTCAAACTCCTGGGCTCAAGTTATCCTCCTACCTTGGCCTCCCAAAGTGCTTGGATTAGAGGCGTGAGTCACCACACCCAGCTGAGCAGATTTTCAGAGGTCCTTATTCCACTATTCTGGAAAATGACTGCTGCCATTTCATTGATTCATTCACTCATTCACACAGTGACTGATAAATCAATGCTTTTTCATTCAACAAATATTTATTGTTATTTGTTGTGTGTCAGAAGTATATTCATAATCTGGTTATGCAAAGATTAACAAGGTAGGGTCCCTCCCGAGGGGAGTTGAATGTATGGGAACAGAGGAAACAAAAACACTGGAAGTAAATCCTGGTGGTATAACATGATGATTTGTGTAACAGCAATATGTAAAGAATATAATGGAAGAGTAAATGGGGAGCAAGTCACTCCATGGTAGCTTTGTAGTAACCACTATAGAATGGGTAATTTCTAAGCTAAGTAAATGAGTAAAAGCTTATCAAGGAGGCTTTTTACCAATGAGTAAATGAGTAAAAGTTTATCAAGGAAGAGAGCAGATACACCAGATAGAGAGAACGGTGTGAGCAAAGACAAGAGATGAAAATGCCGTGGAAGTTCATTTGACTGAAACATCGTGTTGAAAGTTGGCTCCTGTAGAAAATAGGTAGTATTGAAAGATTTTAAAGCAGAGTAGGTAGTATGGTAGCGAAGACTGGATTAAAGAGCTATATTTGGACTCGAGTAGAATGGGTTTAGGTGGTGACTCAAGTGCAGGACCAAGAGAGCAGGTAGAACAACATTTTCAGCATTCATGTCTCAGAGTTCCTCCTTGTCAATATAATTTGTTAATATTCTTTGTGAGATAGATGAATTCATGCTTTGTACAATTGTCTAGGTGTGCTTAGTGGTCCATCACCCCAAAATCACCTAAGCTCAAGAATGCCAGAATCATATTAAACCTACAGCCAACTCAAACCCGTAAGTCTCTTTCCCATGTAAGAGCAGTTGTGGCCTAGCGCAGTGGCTCACGCCTGTAATCCTAGCACTTTGGGAGGCCAAGGCAGGTGGATCACCTGAGGTTGGGAGTTCGAGACCAGCCTGACCAACACAGAGAAACCCCGTCTCTACTAAAAATACAAAATTAGCCAGGTGTGGTGGTGCATGCCTGTAATCCCAGCTACCCAGGAGGCTGAGGCAGAAGAATCGCTTGAACCCAGGAGGTGGAGGTTGCGGTGAGCCGAGATTGTGCCACTGCACTCCAGCCTGGACAACAAGAGCGAAACTCTTGTCTCAAAAAAAAAAAAAAAAAAAAAAAAGCTGTTGTCCTGTTCCTTTGTTTCTCTTTGACTGAAAGAGTGCATGAGGAAAGACAAGACATGGAGATAGAGATGGCTGCTGAGACCATTAGATGAGCTTCACTTAAATACCATTCATTGTTAATTAACCATATGATAAATTTTTTAAAACCACCTTACAGGAAGTATGAGAAAGGCAAAACCTATTAACGCTACCATTATCATGCAGTTATTGTCCTGCACAGTCCTTTCAAATAATTTTCCTTCGTCTATTTTTATATATTAGCAACATTTTCCACACTATCTTGAATCCCATTTTACTATTTGAAGACAAAAGCATTTCATATATTGATCCACTGTTTGTATATACAGGTTGTATATCTGTTATCCAAAATGCTTCAGACCAGAAATGTTTCAAATGATGGATTTTTTTCAGATTTTGAAATATTTGCATATACATGAGATATCTTAAGGATGTAATCCAGGTGTAAATATGTAATTCATTTATGTTATATACATACCTTAAACATATAGCCTGAAGTTACCTTTATATAATATTTTTAATAATTTTGTGCACAAAGTTTGTGTACCTTCAACTATCAGAAAGCAAAGGTATCATTGTGTTAGCCACCCATTTGGACAATCTGTGGTTGTTTGGTCTCACCATCTTTCCTGACTCTGAATTGATATGCTAGCAATAAGCAATCATTTTCTTACCTTTTCACACACAAATACTTAACAATAAAAATAAGAAATACCATTAATGCAATGAAAAAAAGAATGCATTCCAGGTAACTAAGCAGCACAGTTGCATTGTCACCTGTGGTGTCATGTTAGCACTCAACAAATTTCAGATTTTGGAGCGTTTCAGATTTTGGATTTTTGGATGCTCAACCTGTATTATTATTATTATTATTATTTTGAGACGGAGTCTTGCTCTGTGGCCCAGGCTGGAATGCAGTGGCGTGGTCTCGGCTCACTGCAACCTCCGCCTCCCAGGAGATTCAAGCAATTCTCCTGTCTCAGCCTCCCGAGTAGCTGCGATTATAGGCATGTGCCACCACACCTGGCTAATTTTGTATTTTTAGTAGAGACAGGGTTTCTCCATGTTGGTCAGGCTGGTTTTCAACTCCCAACCTCAGATGATCTGCCCACCTCAGCCTCCCATAGTGCTGGGATTACAGGCGTGAGCCACCACGCCCGGCCAACCTGTATTATTTTTAGTGGATACATTATGTTTCTGCTGGGGCACATGTTATAATTTAATCAAAATGTCTACCACTATCAGATATTTCTATCAAATAAAGTGGTTTATCAGTTCAAGAACACTGAGAATCACTGGGTTAGGAAGCTATATGTTAAAACTATTTATTATTTTCCTGCTTTCAAAATAAAATCGCTACCTGCCAAACGATAGCACCAAGTTCACTGGGGATCCTTGATTAGGGAAATAAGAGTCTGCAGTTCTACTTGGAGAATATCCCTTGTGTCACAAACTAGGCTTGCCTGGTGATAGCCTGACTTAGCAAATACTGGCCTGTGGTATCCAGATAAGGCATTCTCTTCTGGCATCACAGAGATCGCTAGCATTTTCAGAATGTTCCATTGATCTCAGCTTCCCTTTTAGAGACCTAGGTGGGTCTTTATTTCTCATAGACAAAGAGGAATGCAATGCCTGTATTTGAACAGGAACATTTATGTGGCCTAGGCAGTTATTTGCCATACTTTCCTCAAGTTTATTTCATTCTGTTCCCAGAAAAACAGACCAGGGAATTGGTTAAGAGGAGTCCTGTTTATAATACACCGTGTACCCTCTTTGCAGGCAAGGTCTCATTTAATTTATTTTTAAAAGTAAGTACATGCTGGGAAGGACTGCTTTTCTAAAGCTTGGGAAATAAGAAACAATAGCAGACATTCACTTGCAGGTTTGGAAAGATAAAGAAATCAAAATACACTGCTAGCCTCATTTATTAGATAAGTGGCAGTATCTTACCTATATCAATTATCAGTCAGCCAAAAACGATGTAAATTTTATTTATCCAACTCCCATTTCTCATTAAGTTCTTCACCCTGGGGGGCACACGCAACCTCAGTTTTATGTGACTACACAAAAATCAAGCCAGAAGCTGTCTTTTCTTTTCTCTGAATAAGCTACATTTTCAAAGACACACTCCCCACACAGAGGCTTGGAGTAACCGTGGGTGCATAACCCAAAGAGAGTTTCTCTTTTGTTGAGAGGAATGGAAGAGAATCAGGTTAGGACTGAAAGGGGTCTTTGAGATCATCTAGTTCAAGGATTATCAAATGCCTTCTATTTGCCAGTGCAAACTCACTACAAAAAAAAAAAAAAAATACCACCATTGGAGCTTTTACAAACACAGATTACCACAACTCAGACCTGGGGATTCTAACAACGGGACAATGCTCATAGTTTATTCTCCTGCTCAGCCAGGTTTGAAAACCAATAAAATAGTCCAACGTTCTGATTTTACAAACGAAAAAACAGAGAGCCAGAGAAGATGACATTCAACTAGTTACTTACAGAGGCAAGATCAAAATTTCTAGCCCTAGTTTTTCCACTCTATCACACTGCCTTCCTAAAACTATAACTACATGCTAAGTGCCCTCAAAAACAATTTGAGGGTTCACCAGGTAAAATGCGAATGAGCTAAATGTTCACTCGTTTGGAGAGCAAAGGAGTGTTCTCCTAAACAAAGAAAACCCAGGTAACTGATTACTTAGAGGGAGAATGTTAGTTTCAGTGCCTTCTGCATGTGCTATGCACTCCCTTTTACCTCAGCACAGCCTCACCTACATGAGATGAAGATCCATAAGAGCAGGAGAAGTTTACTCACTTCCTTTGCAAATATTTATAAATGAATCTAAATACCTCTTATCGGACTGTGCTAGGCCTTGGAAATAGAGCTGATGAACAAAAGAGACCTAGTCTCTACCATAATGAGCTTACAGCTTAGTGGTGGTTAAAGATAATGAAGTAGGTAATTTGTAATTTGGTATGGCGAGTGTTATGATGAGGGGATTACAGGAGAAACCAAACTTTTAAAGCCTTTATATAATTACAAAGGAATGGTTTTTACCAAGAGGAATTTCCTATTGATTCAAAATCGTAGGAGAAATTAAAGATATGAATATATTCATGAAGTAGATATAATTTTAGCATTTCAAAACACCCAACCAACTGACCAATGGCTGTGGTAAAGAGGTTGGCAAATACATTCCCCCCCAAAACAACTAAATAAAGAGGTTGGCAAATAGATTCCCCCAAAAAACAACTATAATACGGGCTAAAATTCTCATAGACAACCATTTCAGAGCTCTGGTAATTGACTAAAGGTAAACAACAAATTGAGAAATGCTTATTCATAAAAGCTGCTAGAACTCTATATAAGAACACTAGGAGTCTGTGGCTTTCTTGCCTATGGTGGCTCACATTCCCTCCTTCCTTTCCCCAGCTCAGTCAGGGCAGTAATTGTGCCCGGGTGAGGCTGACCATGAAAAGTGAGAGCCTCATTGCTGGAGGGAGGATGACTTGATTTGGAGTAGAACATGGAAATCCACATCCCACTATGCCATCAGTAAAAAGTAACAGCACTGGTAATCAGTGGCTCTGCTAATGCCAAGTCAGCAACGCTGGCAGCCTAAAGTTATAGTTCCAGTTGGAAAGAATCATGTGACCAGAGGATGGTCCAGAACTTTAATAGGAAGTTATTTGAAATGAGAGTGCCACAGAGGAGCCACATAAACTCTCCACATACCTCTGGTTGACTGGAAGGATGTGTGCACTCACATGGTAGATCTGAGAGGACCTAGAAAGGAATAAAAATTGAGACTGATTAGACAACTGACTGAAATTTAAAAATACTTCCCAAGTCCACATACAGACCCATGAGCCGAGGAGGAAGAATTATAGGCTCAAAGTGTCTGAGTACAATCTCTAACAAATCATCAGCTGACCACTAAGCTATATAGATATAGATGTTACCCCTGAGAACCCTGGATGAAAAAATAACAATAACTGAGCAGAGACATCAGCAGCCACAAATCACAGGAAAGAAAGTTTCTAAAGGGCTAAATCATCCAAGCAGACAAAATATTACCATCAACAACCAGCAGGGAAAAAAAATCATCATAATCCAGCGTAGTTAAAATATTATTTATCGTGTCCAGTGTTCAGGTAAAATAATCATAAGAAATGAACAGAAATAGCCAAGTATTGCCTACAATCAGGGGAAAGGCAATCAATAGAAATTGACCCTGAGTTGCGTTAGGTGTTGGATTTAGCAGAAAGCTTCAAAGCATATAAATATAGGCAATAAATTAAAGAATTAAAGGAAAATGTGATGGCAATGGTTCTTGAATAGAAAAACTCAATATAAAATATAAAATTCTACAGTTGAAACATTAAAAAAATTAATAGCAGTTTTGAGATGGCAGAAGAAATAATGAACACTAAAATAGGTTACTCGAAATTATGTAACCTGAAGAACACAGAGAAAGATTGAAGAAAAATGTCCCTCGGAGACCTGTGGGACAACCCTACTACCATACATGAAATGGGAGTTCTACAAAGGGAGGAGAAGGGAAACCTGTTTTTAAAAATAATGGCTAAACCTTCTTAAATTTGATGAAAACAATCTACTGATCCAAGAATCTTAAAAAAAAATAGAACAAATACAAAGAGATCCACATTTAAACATCTCATAGTCAAACAGTTGAAAGACAGAGACATAGAAAAAAATCTTAAAAGGAGCAAGAGGAAACTAACTCATCACACACCAGGAACAACAGTATTGTTAATTAACGGCTGACTTCTTATCTGAAACCAGAAAGCACTGTTACAACATTCAAAATTTTTAACTGTTGGTGAATTCATCTATATTGAGCAAAACTATTCTTCAAGAATGAAAGTAAATACATTTCTGGATAAACAAAAACTGAGATATATTGCTATCAGTTCTGCCTTACAGTAAACACTGAAGTTATCTGGATTACAGGAAATAACACCAGATGTTAAGAGGATTCTACAGAAAGAAATGAAAACCGTTAACACCTTGTATTAGGTTGGCGCAAAAGTAATTGCGGTTTTTGCCATTACTTCTAAACCGAAATTACTTTTGCGCCAACCTAAAATGGCAAAAACCACAATTACTTTTGCACCAACCTAATATAAATGTTATCTTTTCTTTATGATGTTAAAAGATATGATTGCATAAATAAATAATTGTAACACTATTTTATTGGGTTTGTCACATATATTGAATTAAAATAAAGTCTTACATTTATGGTGCATTGATATTCAACAATGGTGCCAAGGTGATCTAATGGGGAAAAGACAGGTTCCCAAAACATAAAGGGTCTGCAATAGTTAGACATCCTCCTCCCCCACCAAAAAAAGAAAAGATTTTAGACTGTTACTTCACACCACACTCAAAATGGATCATAGACCTCAATGTAAAAGCCAAAAGTATAGTCTGAAAACATAAATTTCAGAATTCTCAAACTGGGATGAAACCTTGGTTTTGTCAATATGATATTGTCACTAGGGAATTTAAGAACACTCAAACCCTGTCCCCGTCAACCTGGGGAAGATATAAACACAATGAAAAATAGCTGAATAAATCAAAGCACCATTTAATAATTAACTGGGGATGGGCCCCAAATCTGAACAATGAAAACTCTAGTAAACTAGAGAGCTTGAAATTGCATTCCCCTTCTTCAATTGGTATTTTCCCATTTTAAGTGACAGATGATCTCTAAGCTGGCTTAAGAAAACAGAGAATATACTAGACTGTAAATGAAAAGTTCACAGGGGGGCCAGACCCTGTGCCTCATTCCAAAAATCTCCGCACTTTGGGAAGCTGAGATGGGCAGATCACTTGAGCCCAGGAGTTAGAGACCAGCCTGGGCAACATGGCCAAACCCTGTCTCTACAAAAAATACAAAAATTAGCCTGGCATCATGGTACACACCTGTAGTCCCAGCTACTCAGGAGGCTGAGGTGGGAGAATCACCTGGGCCCAGGAGGCAGAGGTGCAGTGAATGGAGATGGTGCCATTGTACTCCAGCCTGGGTGACAGAGTGAGATCCTGTCTCAGAAAAAGTTCACAGGGGCCTGGCTTCAGGGGTACTTTATCCTTAGCTCAATGGCACAAGACCAGGTATCTTTCCATTCATACCTTAACACAACCCTGTGTACTGGCTCTGTTCTCAAGTAGGCTGTCTCCTTGTGATTGGAAAATGCCTGCCAGAAGTTCCAACACCACATCTTACCAGCTCAAGTCTAGTGGAAAAGAGCATTTGCTTAACAGCCCTGGAAAAAAAATTACACTGGTTTCTGATCCCTGAAACGAGTGCTGCGGCCAGGCCGATGTAATGCTCTGATTGCCCAGGCTGGAGTCACATGCTCCATGAACACACAAAGAACATGAATCGAGGGTGGGGAAGAGGGTAGTTTTCCAGACACTGGGTAACTATTTCCAGAAGAGTAAATGGGTGCTAGGAGGTAAAAACAACAGAGGTCCACTATAACCCTATCTTTCTAAGCTAACACATCTCAATTTGTTTCATGCAAAATACAACTAAAAAATATTCATCAGATCCAGAGGGATAGAGAGAGAGGCAGTAGCCAAAATATACATTTAAATACCAAACTGAGAGACAGAGAGAGAGAGAGAGAAATGGAAGGCTGAATCTCTGCCCCATGCAAAGTGGGCCCTTGCCCTAATTATACCAAGCATGGGGAAGAGAAAGAAGGAAGTCCAGGAAAATTTGACAACAACCAGATGGTGGTGGCGGCCAGGTCTACTTGGAAGTAGTAGGCCCTCGAGCAGCCAATCAAGCCAGCTGCGTGGAAAGAAGAGACAGAGCAAGGTGGCAGAGCCTCCTCTCATGAGTGATTGAGTATTGGTCTTTAATATTCCAGCCAAGAGAAAGGAAGAAACAAATTAAAGAGGCACTCTCATGACCTGATCTTTCAGTATGCAGTGATTCTGCCTACTTTGAAAGGGGGCCAAGCATCTGATGAGTATCCATCTGCCTTGGAAAGGAACAAGGAGAATTCTTTTCCAAATACCTACAAATTTAGAGATGATTTCTGAAGCCATAGATGTAAGTATAGTTCTCAGGAGTGTTAACGGCAGAAAGGGGAGGAGAGGGAAGAGGAATGAAAGGAGATAGAGAGGTGTCTAGGACACATGCTGGAGGAGCCCCAGACTTTAAGAGCAGGATTTCTTTTCCTTCACAGGTTTTGATGGCTTTGGTTTTCAAAGTGTCTGAAGGTTAATACCACGCTGGACACCGTCTTCTCTTCTTCATTCCTGATTAGCCAACCACAGGGAACTTGAGCTTGCCTAGAATTGCACAGAGAAGATTTAACAAGGCCGGGCGCGGTGGCTCACGCCTGTAATCCCAGCACTTTGGAAGGCGGAGGCGGGCAGATCACAAGGTCAGGGTATCGAGACCATCCTGGCTAACATGGTGAAACCCCGTCTCTACTAAAACTACAAAAAATTAGCCGGGCATGGAGGTGGGCGCCTGTGGTCCCAGCTACTTGGGAGGCTGAGGCAGGAGAATGGTGTGAACCCGGGAGGCGGAGCTTGCAGTGAGCCAAGATTGTGCCACTGCACTCCAGCCTGGGCAACAGCGCAAGACTCCGTCTCAAAAAAAAAAAAAAAAAAAAAAAAAAGATATAACAAATGGATGAACCACCTTGTGTGTTCAAGACTGAAGCCACGGTAGCCCCTACAGCTAGTGCAGAATACTAGTTATATTTTCTGAGTTACTGAGGAAGTATTTTCTTTGAAATCTGGCTTCAGCATTACAAATCTCTTAATAATGTAAAACTTTGAGAAAGTTACCAATTAAATGCTTGCCAGAATCCTCGAAACAGATTTTCCAAGTAGGTATTATGAGAAAGCAGCTAGGTGCTGGGGATAAAGCAGCCCTAGAAAGAGAAAGGTGCTCACTCTCCTACAAGGAACAGTGTGGCAGCTAAGGGTTTAACACCAGCAAGGAGAGGGAACCTACCAGACGTGAGGCATCTGAGCTGACTGCATTTCCTAAGGGGATTCAGTGTGTGACCAGGGAGAACAGATTGGAAATGAAAACTGATTGCTTTTCAAATCCGAAGTCGACATGTAGATGAATTGTGCCGGCCTTTGGGAATCTTTTATCTGAAATCTTGGGGTGAATTATATTAAGGATAGAAAAACATGGTAAAAAGTATATTGGTGAGGAAATCATTCCTTAAAACCCCAAATCACTCACACCAGGGTTCTCATTAAAATCCTACAAAGAAGGGGCTATTATTATCTTTCCTACTTTACGGAAAGCCAAGGCACACAGACGCTAAGTAAGTTGTCTAAGGTCTAGGTAGAGGTGAAGCTAGGATTAGACCCCAGGTGGTCTTGGTGTCAGAACCAAAGCCTGAAGGCACTGTGCTAACCAAACCTGAGCTTGGTATAGGGGCTGATATCAAACCTAACTTCAGGGAGGCTGTGGACTGAGCAGACATCTGTCCACACCCTGCAAATCTCTCTTGACTGAGTACCAAGCTTGAGCACCTTGAAGCTGCTTGCCTGAGCAGTGATAGGCTGTTGGGAAAGGAGATGGGGGGCGGGATGAAGTGCCGGGGAGGAAGGACAACATCGACCCCCAGCTTTGAAGAACGGGATGCATTTCACACACAGCTCCAGAAAATCAGATCTATCTTCCTTCCAAGATCCGTTTTCCCCTCACTAAGCACACTTAAAGAGGAGAAAATAAATTCTGCCCATCGAAAAAGGGCACGCTGTAATGAAAAACAACCTTAAAGACACTTCAGCACATGAAGTCTTCGAGCTACATCACTGACAATGGTTTACAAGTTTATTTTCAATTTGAGGTTATGCTGAGCAGACATTTTGCTCCGCGCGGCAGTAATTCAGGCGCCGCGCTGCAGCGTCATCTGCTGAGCCCCCATCTGTACAGGAGTGTCTTGTCACAAACGATCAGGTGCAGATTGATCCAGACACATCATCCGCAAAATGGCCAGACAAGAAAGCTTTCAAAATTATTTTCCTCACCGTTTTTGCTAAGTACACAATTCTAAGAAAGTAGATTTCTTGGCAAATACTTTTTTCTCCCTGCAGAAGAGACCACTTTGAGCAGAGCAAAGAAAGTATGAGCTTCTAGTTCATGTTTAACTTCCAGACCTGGCATTTGCTAATTGACAAGTTATGTAAACCCTCTGAACTTGACTTTCTCATTTAGAACATGGGAAGAATACCTCATTTATAAAATGAGGCTGTGGGCAAAATTAAAGGAGATAATAGCCATTATCTTCTTATGTTTCAAAAAAAGAGAGGATATTTTGGTTCACTATTATGTCTCCAGCACTTACATAGCAAAGGCACATAGTACTTGCTTAATAAATAGGGCTGAATGAATAAATGTGTGAATAACACTACCTATGGAAACATATTTAGGGACGTATTTCTTCCTAATTATTTATCTATTTCCTATCACTTCCTAATTATTTCTTCCAAAGGAAAAAAACTAGTTATCCTTCTCGGCTCCTGTTCGTTTCTAAGATGACAGTTTTCCATGATTATTGCAGGTCTGTTTTCCTAGGAATTTCTTCAAATGTTTTGGTTTGGGTGTTTTGTTTCCCACATCCTGTGCCTTTTGCTTTATTAGTTTATTTCCTTGTCTTATAATAAATCATCTTCCTTGAGTTCCCTAAAAAGAACACATTGAAGCTAAATTCTTTCAGTAGTTTCATGTCTAAACATGTCTTTATTCTAGCCTGCTATTGATACACAATTGGATCATAATTACTTGTAATTACATAAGAGAATTCTAGGCTGAAAACTTTTCCCTTTGGAATTTTAAAAGCAATTTTCCATGACTTTCTATAAGCTAGTATTTCTTATTATAGAAAATTTGGAAATTGTGGAAAATCATAAGAAAGAAGATTAAAAGCATCAGTAAGTTTACCACCCGGAGACAATCCTATTAACATTGTAGTATATACTCCTCCAGGACACACAACACACACACATCATATTGTATATGTAATTTTACATCGTGATTTGCTTAATTTCTTATCATGCTATTTTCATGTCATTACATATAACTGAGTTACTTTCAAGGTCCTTCTCAACCCTAAGGATCGAAGATTCCATGAGTTGTTAAAGAGAGATTGTGACATATGGATGGTTTCGGTAAAAGCAGCAGATAGTTTAGGAGTTGGTTTCATTGACACAAACATGAAATAGAATTGTGGCAAAGGAAGGTAAGGTTAACTACCTGCCAAGTGCTTTTCATTTAGGGATATGGAAGGTTCTCAGAGAATCAAAGACATATTACAGATGAGGCTCAATAAATCACCTGAGTATAAACTATAGTCAGGAAAACACATTAGATTTTGAGAAAAGGACACACCTGGAACCCCTGGAAAAAAGTCATTGTGTTCAACCTTTAAAAAGAAAGAGGGCCACTTATAAGCAAAGTATTCAAGGTCCTGAATGGGAAATAGGTAATCAGTGCCAGTTTCAAACATTTCCAATTAAAGATGACAAGTGATAAGAGAAATGGCTACCCAGCTAAACACAGAGCCTTTGGTGCTGTATAAGCACATAGCCTAAGTGAGCTTCAGAAAGAAATGAAGAAGAGGAAGGTAAAGGAAAATAGAGCAATTAGCTAGGAATGGAAAGTGGTATGCAGCGATGATGGCTCCAGCTGAGGACAAAAATAAGAAGCACTTAGACAAACCTATCTTGGTGGTGCTGACTTCCTGTTATGGTCCTGGTACCAATTCACCCTCCTCAACCTTCTATTGCAATAACAATGAAAGGCTATAATGAGTTACAAAGTTGTGTCAGCACTGAAAATTAGAAATACTTATCAACATTTTGACACTCTGGAAGGAATTTCTACTAGACAAATCCCAGGTGAGGTCAAGTAGTGGAAATGACAGTGGAAAACAAATACTTTACCAGGTGAGATAGAAGAGTAGCTGCAAATTGAAGAAAGAGAGAAAGAGAGGAAAGGATGGGGAAGGAGGGAAGGAGGGAAGGAGGGGAGGATAAGGGAAGGAGAGAGACTGCTTCCTTATCTTTATCCAAATTTAGTTCCAAAAATGAATCAACAGATTTCTAGAGAGACTAGCTGGAGTTTAATTATTTTGTTCCCGGTCATCTCTTCAGCCCACAGCCATGGTATCCTACTACTGCTATAACAAATTACCAAAATGTAGCAACTTAGAATAGTACAGATGTATTATATTATCTTCCAGTTTTGTAGGTCAGAAGTCCTGACTTCTGGGTACTGGATCTTACTGGGCTAAAATTAAGGTGTTGGCAGGTCTGCATCCCTTCTGGGGACCAGTGCAGGATCAATCTCCTTGCCTTTTCCAGCTTCTAAAGGCCACCTGCATTCCACGGATCACAGTCCCCTTCCTTCGTGTTCAAAGACAGCAACAGGCCAGGCATGGTGGCTCACACCTGTAATCCCAGCACTTTGGGAGGCCAAAGTGGATGATCACTTGAGGTCAGGAGTTTGAGACCAGCGTGGCGAACACAGGGAAGCCCCATCTCCACTTAAAAAAAATACAAAATCAGCCGGGCGTAGTGGCACACATCTGTAGTCCCAGCTACTAAGGAGATTGAGGCACAAGAATCACTTGTACCCAGGATATGGAGGTTGCAGTGAGCCGAGATCGCACCACAGCACTCCAGCCTGAGTAACAGAGTGAGACGCCATCTCAAAAAAAAAAAAAAAGCAACAGTAGGTTGACTTCTGTTAAAGCAAACTAAATATGGCCTGAGAAGGACTCCCTACCTCTATATTTGAGTCCTTGCAGATGAATCATAACCTAGTTTAATAGGCAGACAACACTGAAAACCTAATTTAGGAGTATGCACCTGTAACAATGGCTGAGTCTTGGCCAATCCCAGCGGTCATACTTCAACCATTCATAGATTGCTGAGTATTCAAAATGTGTTCAAATAAGGCAAACACCAACCTGTAACCAATCCGGGGGTTTCTGCACCTGACTGCCGTTTTCTGTACATTACTTCCCTTTTTTTGTCTGTAAATTTGTTCTGACCACGAGGCATCCCCGGAGTCTCTCTGAATCTGCTGTAATTCTGGGGGCTGCTGGATGCACGAATCATTCATTGCTCAGTCTCCCTTAAATTTAATTCAGCTGCAGACTCAATTAGTCTCCTTTAAATTTAATTCAGCTGCAGTTTTTCTTTAAACACTTCTCACATTGCATCACTCTGGCCTCCTCTTCCACCTTCCTCTTCCACTTTAAAGAGCCCTCATGATTATTGTGGGCCCATCAGATAATCCAGAATAACCTCCTTGTCTTAAAGTTAACTGATTAGCAATCTTTACCTGCTACCTTCATTTCCCTTTGCCATGTAAAATAACATACAGTATTCACAAGTCCAGGATATTAGGGTCAGGATATCTTTGAAGAGGGGGCCGTCATTATTCTGCCTACTGCAGACATTAAACAGGTTTTATCAGTAAAAAGAAACATCTTGAATTCTGGGTATGGAAGCTCCAAAAAGCATCTCCTCACTATCAGATACACAGCCTCTCTCACTGGGAAGTGGGAGATTGATTACTGGGAACATAAACAACAGAACCATCTACTCATGGATTTGATTTGTTGCTTTGTTTTAAATGAATTACTAATCTATTCTTATAGTTGGAAAATAGAATACAACTACTATTGGCATATTCTTGTGCATACTGTACAGTTTATGCATATTTGGGTACACGATTACAAATATATCTATATTTTATAAATAGATTTTATATGCTTACAGAAATGTTACGTTCACAGCAAAATTGAACTTAAGGTATAGAGATTTCCCATAAACCTCCTGCCCCACCCATGCATAGCTTCCCCCATTATCGCATCTTTCATGAGAGTGGTACATTTGTTACAATTGATGAACCTACATTGACACATTATATTCACCCAAAGTCTATGGTTTACATTAGGATTCACTCATGGTGTCCTGCATTCTATGGATATTGATGAAAATATATGGACATGCATGCAATGCAAAAATACAGTGTCATACAGAGTAGTTTTACTACCCTAAAAATACTCTGTTCTCTGCCAGTTTTTCCCTCCCTACTCCCCAGTACCTGCCAACTAGTGATTTTTTACTCTCACCATAGTTTTGCCTTTTTTGGGAATGTCATGTAGTTGGAATAATATCATATGTGGGCTTTCAGATGGGCTTCTTTCACATAGCAATATGCATTTCAGTTTCCTCCATGTCTTTTCATGGCTTGATAGCTGACTTTTTTTAGTGCTGAATAATATTCAATTGCTTGGATGCATCACAGTAGATTTATTCACCTACTGATGGACATCTTGGTTTCTTCCAAGTTCTGGCAATTGTGAATGAAACTGCTGTAATTGTCCATGCGCATGTTTTTGTGTGGACGTAAATTTTCCACTCTTTTGGGTAAATACTAAGGAGTACAATGGCCGAATCTTATGGTAAGAGTATATTTAGTTTTGTAAGAAACCACCAAACTGTCTTCCAAAGTGGCTCTACAATTTTTCCTTCCCACTAGCAGTGAACAAGAGTTCCTGTTGCTCCACATCCTTGACAGCATTTGGTGTTGACAGTGTTCTGGATTTTAGCCATTCTAATAGGTGCATAGCGGTATCTCGTTGTTTTAACTTCATTTCCCCGATGACAGATGATATGGAGCATCTTTTCATCTGCTTTACTGCCATCTGTAAATCTTCTTTGGTGAAATAATTCTTAAGGTCTTTGGCCCATTTTTAAATCTTGTTGGTGTTCTTATTGTTGAGTTTGGTTTTCTGTGTATTCTTTGTTGTTGTTGTTTTTGTTTGTTTGTTTGTTTGTTTGTTTCTGGGGTCTTGCTCTCTGTTGCCCAGGCTGGAGTGCAGTGGTGCCATCTCAGCTCACTGCAACCTCAGCTTCCTGGGCTCAAGCGGCTGTCCTACCTCTGCCTCCCAAGTAGCTGGGACTACTACTTGCACCACCACACCAGGCTAACTTTTGTATTTTTAGTACAGACAGGGTTTCCGCATGTTGGCCAGGCTGGCCTTGAACTCCTGGGCTCATGCAATCAGCCCACCTGACCTCCCAAAGTACTGGAATTACAGGCATGAGCCACTGTGCCTGCCTTTATCGTTGTTTTAAGAGTTCTTTGTATATTTTGGATAATAGTCCTATATTTGATATGTCTTTTCCAAGTATTTTCTGTCATTCTATGGCTCATGTTTTCATTCTCATGACAGTGTCTTTTCCAAAGCATAAATACTTAATTTTAAGTAAGACCAGCTTATTAATTCTTTTTTTCACGGATTGTGCCTTTAATGTTGCAACTAGAGAGTCATCACCAAATCCGGGGTCCTTTAGATTTTCCCATGTTATCTTCTAAGAGTTTTACGGTTTGGGTCTAGATTCTTTTTTTTTTTTTTTGCATGTAGATGTCAATTGTTCCAGCACCAGCTGAAAATTTTATAGCCCATTTTTGACTCCTAAATTTGCATACTCTGTACCATAATTTTTACTGTGGTAAAAAAAAATGCATCAAATTTAAGTTAAGTATTTCTAAGTGTACAGTTCAGTAGTGTTAAGTATATTCACATTGTTGTATAACCAGTCTCCAGAATGTTTTCATCTTATAAAACTGAAACTCTATCCATTAAACAACAACTTCCTATTCCCCCTCCCCTCAGACCTAGGACACCATCATTCTACTTTATATTTTTATGAATTTGACTATTCTAGTGCCTTATATAAGTGGAATCATACAGTATTTGTCTTTTTGTGACTGGCATCTTTCATTTGGCATAATGTCCTCAAGGTTCATCCATGGTGTAGCATGTCAGGATTTCCTTCCTTTTTAAGGCTGACTAATATTCTACTGCATGTTTATACCACATTTAATTCATTCACTCATCCAGCAATGGACACTGGGGTTGCTTCCATCTCTTGACTATTGTGCATAGTGCTGCTGTTAATATGGACATATAACATACTGATGCTTTCATCTCATCAAGGTTATAATGTGGAGATTTTTCAATATGATGGGCAGAGAGCTTTTTGGTTTTCTTTTTTAAAAATATCGTCATCGTATTTTTTTTGTAGTTGATGGGCCACTATATAGTTGACTAATCCCATGCTAAATATATCTATGCTCTTTTTACTTAGCAGTTTTTGAAGGGAGAAAATTTGTATCCCCCCTAAATCTATTCATTTCCAAGTTTTCTAAGGAGAAATAAACAGTAAGAGATTCTCAGATATTTTAACTGAACTCTGATAAAATTAGATGCATATTCGTGTTGATCTAGAAAGAAATAAAAATACTGAATTCAAGGTTGTAGAAGTCTTGATAGCATTGAAAGTGTTTAAACAAAAGATTACATAAATATAGTTGTCATAACAAGGCTACATAACTAAACATATTTCAAAAATAGAAGTTGAAGGAGAAAATCTAATATCAGTTAATAATGATTTGAAAATGATCTGAATGAAAGAGTTCAGATTTTATAACAAACACTAGAATGTGTTAGAAAAAAAATTAGAGGAAATAAAGATTTGCTAGAGTCTTTAGCCTGTGTAAAAAAGAGTCAAAAGTCTTTATCCTTTTCTTGTTTTTGACAATTCAAGAAATATCAGTCAAAACATGTTTGACATAAAGATTACTACTAACAGAATTTAAAAGTATATGTATACATCACAAGTAATCAAAGAAAAATGATGTCTCTCTACCTGAAATCCTTAGAGGAGGAAGAAAAGGTAACAGCATTGAGAAAAATATGAAAGAAAATGAAAATAATAAGACAGATGACAAAAGAAATTCAAACATGAAAGAAGAGAAGAACACAGTACCCTCAATAAAGCCAAAGAACCCATGGAGTCAAGAGAAAAGGGTTAGGTCAAAAGAAATCTTATCTGAATAAATAAAAATTACCCAAACAGAAAAAAATAATTACAAATAGGTTAAGGAAGCTCAAAACTGCCCATGCTATCAGGCCATAAGAAAAAAAAAAAAAAAGGCAAGTGCTATATTTGAGATAGGAGACTGAGAACCATGTACTTGATGCAAGGGAACTAGGAATGGGGATTAGCACCTCCTTCAACCACATACTAGGAAAAGAGGAAGCTCAGGGACTTATTCCTGAGTGAGGCTGTGCATAAAAGTCAGACACTGAAAGATCCATAAGCTCCGTATTAAAAGTAGAGCACATAGATATAAACTGGAAGGACTCATGGTCAGTTTGGTAAAATACATATACTCCCAAAAGAAATGTGCAAAGAAAGTTATTTAAGACTCTGCTACACTTTCTGCATACAAGAAAGATGGCAGAAGTCCACTGCATTGAGAAAAACCTGGATGAAAACAAAAAAATCTCCAAAGTTAAATATTTGAAGTGTAAGACACATCTTTTAGGAAAGGACATATTTTTAGGTATCCATCTTAAGAGTGTAGAATACAATTACATAAAAGAAAGTTGGTTAATAGTATTAATATAGTTAACTTACAAGGTAGGAGAGAGGTTGTAAAATGTAAGTGAAAGGCATGATCTTTTTTTGATGATGCTATGAAAAAGACGAAAATTAATTTATTAAAAGCTGAGAATTCAATCAACGTTCATATGGAGGAGGAGAACATTCTTTGTAATCATCATATTTCAGAACTAAAGGAGACCTCAAAGGACATTCATACTACTACTGTATTAGAAAATGAAGACATAAAACAATCTATGAGAAGTAATGAAGGGGAGAAAACAAATCAGTTTTAAAAATATTTAACAGGTGTCTATTATTTCCACCCCCCCAAAGGGGAGAAGGTGGGAAAAGGGTGAGGGTTGAAAAATTACCTGTTGGGTACAATGTTCAATATTTGGGTGATGGTTATGCCAGAAGCTCAATCCTCACCATTATGCGATATACGCATGGAATAAACATGCAGATGTACCCCCTGAAACTAAAATTTAAAGTAAAATTTAAAAAAATAGTCAACAAGCAGGGTGGTGGTGTGCACCTGTAGTTCCAGCACTCAGGAAGCTGAGGTGGGAGGATTGCTTGAGCCCAGGAGCTCAAGGCTTTATTGCACCTGTGAATAACTACTGCACTCTAGCCTAGGCAACATAGCAAGACTGCATCTCTTTAAAAAAAAAAAAAAGAAAAAATAGCCAGCCCGGCATGATGGCTCATGCCTGTAATCCCAGCACTTTGGGAGGCCAAGGTGGGTGGATCACTTGAGGCCAGGAGTTCGAGACCAGCCTAGCCAACATGGTGAAACCCTGTCTCTACTGAAAATACAAAAAAAATTAGCCAGGCATGGTGGTGGGTGCCTGTAATCCCAGCTATTTGGGTGGCTGAGGCAGGAGAATCGCTTGAACCCGGGAGGCAGAGGATGCAGTGAGCTGAGATTGCGCCACTGCACTCCAGCCTGGGCAACAGAACGAGACTCTGCCTCAAAAAAAAAAAAAAAAAAAAAAAAAAAGCCAAAAGTGGTTGGTAATGTTTCATATATCCAATTTTCTCAACAGAAAGAGTAAAGCAAAGGCTTAGAGGAGTGAATTAGTTATTCTTATTTCCAAGTGAATTTATTATGTGGATAAATAGAAAATATAAATGAAGAAATTTGAGAGGAAATGAAGACCTTTTAAAAATAGGAAGTATTTTTGTTTATAGATTGCTACAAAAAAAGAAAAAGAAAAATCAGAGAGCAAACAAAAACCAAGGTTTTTACATTTAAACCCTGAAAATCAGAAGAAAAAGAATTAGGGGGCAAATAAAGAAAAGTAACTGATTTCAGATTGTATGGAAGGTGAATCTACAGATGATGTGGGAGGTTACCAGCTAGCTTCAGTGAAGAAGAAAAGGCCCAATGAGCAGGGAAGAGACCCAGCTAAACTGAGCCTGAAATGTCAATGATCTGATCTTCCAATTTGATATCTTTTTTTTCTTTTTCTTCCCCCCTAGCAATGCTCAGCAGCCCGGAAACTAAAGTAGAGAGAAATTAAGATGAGTTGCCAACATACCACTGGGATTTACCCCAGAACAGGAAGATTTCAAAATAACTTTGCCACTGCTCCCCGATGCAGCCCACTTCATTAGGGCTGTTGGATCCCCTCACCAGTATTGGTGGTTCCTTCTCTCCTGCTGCTTTGGAAACAATCAGCCTCTCAGAGGTCATCAGAATAGGCGCTGGTTCCTTGGAATAAAGACCAGGAAGCTCCCCAACCTGAAAGACCTCAGTCTCTGAAATCTCATCAGAGATTCATGAATTTAGATCTGGGAGGCAGCTTTGCCTAGCTTCACACATGCTCTTCCTACAACTTGGGAAGCTCCCTTTCCTCCCTTATCCTTCCTAGCTTAGCATGATGTCATTCCTCAAGGAAGCCATGCCTGAATTCTCTTCATATCACTGTCACAGCCATAACTCCATATCTATGTACCAATTAAACAAAATTGTGTAATTTTGCCTGATTATCAGGACAAGAACCATATATATTTGATCACTGTTGAATCTTCAATATAGAGTAAAGCACATTATAATAAATATGGTATATATCAATGAATGAACATACGATATCCTTCAGAGGAATAAGACCTTAAAGCAGTGACCCTCAAAGTGTGGTCCTTGGACTAGCAGTAACTGCATTATCTAAGAACTTGCTTCACATGGAAATTCTCAGGCCTTGTCTGAGACCTACTGAATCAGAAACTCTAGGGGTTAAGCCTAGACATCTGTGTTTTAACAAACTCCTCAGATGATTTTACTAAATGCTAAAGTTTTACAAGTACAAATTTAAAGTTAAGTCTTAATCAATTTCTGTATTAAGGCAGAGGACACAGACCAAATGCCTACAAGGATAATGAAAGTTTTATAAATGAGTGAGTATAAAGGAAACAGGTATGAAACGAGAAGGAGTGGTGGGGACTGTGGGAAAGTCCATGCTCAGCCTCAAGGGTAAACTGCTATTCTGCACTCTGAGTTCTTGTCACTGTCCCCAGGCCAAATCTTTACATTTTCTAAGAGATTCTGGATAATTGAGTTTTGATGTGACATTTACCCATTATTAATCTTGTAGAGGCTACACAAAATATATCTGTCAGCCAAACCTGTGGACAGTGCTTGCTTTAGGGTGTCATCCAGGGCATCACAGATGCTTCAGGTTTATTGGTGGGGACCCCAGGCAAGGGTCAAAATAGGAGGAGAGACAGTTACACCTTGTGCCTATTTGTTTTATTTTGTTTCTCAGGATCTGGTCCTGGTTACAAGACAAAAAAGAAGGAAGTACTTGGTTTTCTCAGCTGGGCCAGTTTCATCTCAGTCTAGCAGTAGATTTTATATAAAAACTTAATACAGTGCTTGCTCTAAGAATTTACAGGAGAATTGGTTATAGAAATTTCACAAGAGGAAGCAGTATAATAAATTTTCAACAAAATTACAGGCTTTTGCTTTGAATGTCAACTCAATGCCCAATTATACTGAGAGATGTGGAGACTAATGGTTTGCGGATGTTCATTTTGTTTTGTCAAGTTTTATTTTCAGACAGTTCTTTTCCTTTACAGGTTACGTAATTGCCCAAACCTATATGGAAATAGCTAGATCTTTAAAAACAACAACAAAACCAAAACGAGAGCAAAAAGCAAACCAGCAAATAAGTGAATACCGTGAGTGCTTTCATGCCCCTCTCAAACTCTGAAATTTCATTCCAATGAATTTCCTTTCAGCTTCAGAAACTGACAAATGAAGAATTTAATCAAAGACAAGTCCTGCCTGATATGTAAAACACAAATTGAGGGAGTTCTTCAGGAGATTGTTGCAGAGAAATAGGTTTAATTTCTTAAGAGGCTTTATAATGATAGCTTGTGTCTCCACATCAACTAGTAAAAGAACAACAAAAACTCAGAGGAATTCTAGTAAAACCCACACATAAAAACACTAATGAGACAGTTAAATTACCCATTGGAAGAGTAGAAAAGCAAATTGAGAGGTTTTTAGTCAGAGGAATGTTCATGTTGCCCAAGTAAACAAAGACTAGTGAGCGAATAAAAGGAAGAAAAAGAACTTCTCATTCTCCTGGGAACTATTCTGTAAGGAATTCTTGGAAATGAGCAGCTACAGAAACCTGCAGGTAAAATGAGGCTATATGCCTGCAAGAAAACACGCGGAACCTAGGAGAGGAGAGAGCCATTGCACCCCATTCCAGGGAGTCAGGCCCAGACTCAGGAGGAGCAAGGACAGTGACTGGGTAGGTGTCAAAGTCTTCAGGATTCCACTCAAGGAAAACCATATATCTTGTAGACCTCTGCCAGAGCACTGGGAAGAATGGTAGGTAATAAGGAGTCCTATCCTTTTTTTTTTTTTGGATGGAGTTTCGCTTTTGTCACCCAGGCTGGAGTGCAATGGTGCGATCTCAGCTCACTGCAACCTCTGCCTTCTGGGTTCAAGCAATTCTCCTGCCTCAGCCTCCCGAGTAGCTGGGATTACAGGCACCTGCCATCACACCCGGCTAATTTTTGTATTTTTAGTAGATACAGGGTTTCACAATGTTGGCCAGGCTGGTGTCAAGCTCCTGACCTCGGGTGATCCACCTGCCTCGGCCTCCCAAAGTACTGGGATTACAGGCGTGCGCAACCATGCCCAGCTGGGAGTCCTGTCCTTAATTGATGCCAGGATTTTAGTGTCAAATAATTAGAGCCTTTAAAAGGTTTTTCATTTTTAGAAAAAACATCATTTTTTGAGATTATAAAAATGATATATGTGAATATTAAAACTTCAGAAAATATAGAAAAGCACAAAGAAGAAAGTTAAAACCATCTACAATACTACCACCTAGGTATAACAACTACTAATATTGTATACACATCTTCCAGTTTTATGTAGTTATATAGGTATGATTAAAGATACGGATATTGATATTGGGATCAAACTATACAACCTATGAGGGGTCTTCAAATGCTTATGGAAAATGCATATTATAAAAATACTATGTATGGGCAGAGCATGGTGGCTCACACCTGTAATCCCAGCACTTTGGGAGGCTGAGGTGGGAGGATCACTTGAGGCCAAGATTTTGAGACCACCCTGGCCAACATGACGAAACCCCATCTCCACTAAAAATACAAAAATTAGTCAGGCGAGGTGGCGCACATCTGTAATTCCAGCTACTCGGGTGGCTGAGGCATGAGAATTGTTGAACCCAGGAGGCGGAGGGTGCAGTAAATCAAGATTGTGCCACTGCACACCAGCCTGGGTGACAGAGCAAGACTGTCTCAAAAACAAAAACAAAAACAAAAAAACACTATGCATGAATTCAAACATTTTTTTGCACCAAAATAAACTCATACTAACTTGTTATAACGTGTCTGAAGAGGATGTAGTTTGAGGCACTAAGAAGGATAAGACATCAATTTGAAAAGAGCCCCTAGCAGAGCAACATGTATTCTCCTAAAACTGAAGCAAGAACAAACATCAAATTTATGGTGAAGCTGGGCTGGAAGAATGGTGAAATCACTAATGCTTTATGAAAAGCTCATGGGGACAATACCCCCCCAACCAAAATCAGCAGTTTACAAGTGATCATTTTGAGAAGAGATGAGATCATATTGAAGATGAAGCCTGCAGCAGCAGACCATCCACATCAATTTATGACAAAAAAATTGATTTTGTTCATGCCTTAAATCAAGAAAACCAAAGATTAACAGCAGAAACAGCAGCCAACACCATAGACATCTCAATTGGTTCAGTTTACACAACTGACTGGAAAATTAAACTTGAGCACAGTTTCCACTTGATGGGTGCCAAAATTATCGTACCTAGATTAGCTGCAGACAAGTGCAGAGCTTTCAGTGAAAATTTTAAAGAGGTGGGATCAAGATTCTTAAGCATTTCTTCAAAGAATTCAACAGGAGATGGAATATGGCTTTACCAGTATGATCCTGAAGACAAAGCACAATCACAGCAGTGGCTACCAAGAGGTGGAAGTGGTCCAGGCAAAGCAAATGAAATTGGTCAAAAGCAAAGGTCATGGCAACAATTTTGGAGGATGCTCAAGGCATTTTGCTTATTGATGTTCTATAGGGCCAAAGAGCAATAACACCTGCTTATTATAAGAGTGTTTTGAGAAAATTAGCCAAAGCTTTAGCAGAAAAATGCACAAGAAAGCTACACCAGAGAGTCCTTCTCCACCACAACAATGTTCCTGCTCATTCCTCTCATCAAACAAGGGCAATTTTGTGAGAGTTTAGATGGGAAATCATTAGGCATCCACCTTACAGTCCTAATTTGGCTTCTTCTGTATTCTTTTTTGTTTCCTAATCTTTAAAAATCTGTTAAAAAGCCCATTTTTCTTCAGTCAATAATGTAAAAAAACTCCACTGATATGGTTAAATTCCCAAGACCCTCAGTTCTTTAGGGATGGACTAAATGGCTGGTATCATCACTTACAAAAGAAAGAAGAAATTAGCCAGTAGTGGTGGCACGTGCCTGTACTCCCAGCTACTCGGGAGTCTGATGTGGGAGGATCTCTTGAGCCCAGGAGGTGGAGGCTGCAGTGGATTGCATCACTGCACCCCAGCCTGGGTGACAGTGAGAACTTGTCTCAAAAAAATAATAATAAAAATAAAGGTAATTCAGGCAGATTGAAAATGAAAATGAAAGGAGAACATCAGAGCAATGCAAACAAAAAGAAAGCAAAGGTCCCAAACTTAATATCAGAAAAGGTATAATTTGGGACCAAAAGCTATAAACAAGACACAGAAGGGTTCTTTGTGTGTATTAAAAGTGCATAAGAAAATTGTAGTAAGTATGAATATCTATGAAGCAAGCAACTTGGTAGCAACTTTCATAAATCAGAAACTTCAGGAATTTAAGGAGATAAAGGCAGAAATACATAAATAAGAAGAAACTTTAATTCATTTCTCTCAGGCAATGACTAAATAAGTGGATAAAACAATAAATATTAATATCAAAATCTGTATCCTGGAAGCAGAGAATATTTCTACTTTTCAAGAATCTAAATAATATTTTTCATAAAATTTAATTAGATCATAAAGAAAAACTGTGTTCCAAAGGTAGAAATGGTATAATCACTGACCAGAAATTAATAACAATACCAGAAAACTAAAAGCCCTACTAGCTGGAAATCTACACACTGTGTCTTAACTATTGCAACAAAGAGAAACTCCAAAATGAATGTTAGAATACTTTGAAAATAATAGGAATATAAATACTCATGTCAGAATCTGTGTGATGGACTAAAGCAATATTTGGGAAAAATGCAGAGATTTCAATACTTGTATTAAGGGAAAAAAATGAAAACAAGTTCATTAAACATTCAACATAAGACTTTAGAAAAGGAGCAGTGAAATAAAACAAAGGAAAGCAGAATAAAACAATCAATACAGATGAATGTAGAAAGTAATCAATTAAGGAACAAATGAATAATAGAACTAATAAAGAAATACAAATAGGACAGGCGCTGTGGCTCACACCTGTAATCACAGCACTTTGGGAGGCCGAGGCGGGCAGATCACCTGAGATCAGGAGTTTGAGACCAGCCTGACCAATATGATGAAACCCCGTCACTACTAAAAATACAAAAATTAGCGGGGCATGGTGGCATGTGCCTGTAATCCCAGCTACTCAGGAGGCTGAGACAGGAGAATCGCTTGAACCTGGGAGGCAGAGGCTGCAGTGAGATTACGCCATTGCACTCCAGCCTGGGCAACAAGAGCAAAACTCATCTCAAAAAAAAAAAGAGAGAGAAAAGAAATACAAATGCTACTTATTTGAAAAAATACATAAACCCATAACAAATGCATTAAGAAAATAGGAGTAAGCATAAATACACAAAATAAGAAATAATGAGGAAGAAGACATTATATTTACAGAGAAAATTAAAGGAATCATGAAACGTAACTTTGCTCAATTTCAATTGTTTAAAAATTCAGATAAAATAGATAAGTTTCTAGGTAAATATAATTTACCAACACAGACTCAGGTATAGATAAAATAAATAAACATATTAATTAAATAGAACAAAATAGAAAGCCATTTCATAAAGCTTCCCTGCAGTCTCTTCCCCCCAATAAAAGCACACACACAAAGGACCAAATGGTTTTGTGGGGATTTCTGACAAATCTTCAAAGAGCAAATAATTCTGTAGCACAGGAAAAAGAGAAAAATTTTAATGTTTTCTTTATGAAGCAATAATTAATACCAAAATTCAACAAAAATTTCAAATAAAAAGTTGTACAGGCAAATCTCTCTTATGATTATCAATGCAAAATACTCTAAATAAAATATTAGCAGACTGAAGCACCCCATTAAAAGAAAACTACATACTGGCCAATTAAGATTTTTCCAGTAATGTAAGAATTTTCAGTATTAGGAAAGCTATTTATATTAATTCAGTACACAAATAGATCTAAGCAGGAGAAAAATGATATAAACACCTTCAGATTTTCTGAAAATGCATGTGAATCAGTTTCAAAGTCCATTTGTGATTTTAAAGAATCTCAATCAACTAAAAATAGCTGAATCTCTACTTGCTGAAATACTTCTTCTATCAGTAGACCAGTGAAGAAATACTAAAATCATCATTAAATTTAGAAACAAAACAAATGTTTTCATTATCATCATTATTATCTAACTTTTTTTGTAGGTATTAGACAATAAAATTAGAGATTCAAAATAAACTATATGTATAAAAACTATGTAGTAAAAGATAAAACTAAATGCAGATTATATAAATTATGCCTAGAAAACACAAGCTAATCAACAGAAAATTAGCTACAAAAATAAGAGGATTGAGTGAAGTATCAGACATAAAACTAATATACAGAAATTAACAATCTTTGGATAACAAATAAGAGCTAGGCATAAAATACAATGGAAGTAAAGATGCCATTTATAATTTTGACTTAAATTCAAAATAATTAGTAGTAAAATTAAAAATAAATGTATAAAATCTCTATGACTAGAACTTGAACATTAAGTAAAACAAGTAAAATTTTGAAATAATAATAAAGTATAACTTGTTCTTTGATAGAAATTGAACATCATAAAGATACCAATTTTCCTCTAATTAATAAATTTAATGTGATTACAATATAATTTGAGGGAGAGAAAATAAAGAATAAATGAATTTTATGAAGTTCAACTGGAAAAATGAACAAGCAAAAATATCCAAGAAAAGTCTGGGAGAAAAAAAACCAACAACACAAAGAATAGTGAGGAGCAACTAGCTCTATGAGACACATAAAGACAAAAATTATAATAATGGAAACATTATGTGATGTATGGACAGTTGAATCAAAGTGATAGAAATTCAGAAACAGAAGGCCAGGCGCGGTGGCTCATGCCTGTAATCCCAGCACTTTGGGAGGCCAAGGTGGGTGGATCACGAGATCGAGACCATCCTGGCTAACACGGTAAAACCCCGTCTCTACTAAAAAATACAAAAAAATTAGCTGGGCGTGGTGGCAGGTGCCTGTAGTCCCAGCTACTCGGGAGGCTGAGGCAAGAGAATGGTGTGAACCCGGGAGGCAGAGCTTGCAGTGAGTAGAGATTGCGCCACTGCACTCCAGCCTGGGTGACAGAGCGAGACTCCGTCTCAAAAAAAAAAAAAAGAAAAGAAAAAAGAAATTCAGAAACAGAAACTAATACATAAAGAAATTTCATATAAGAGTGGCATCTAAAATCCATGGGGAAGGAAGTTTTTAGTAAATGTCATTTAAACAACTGGTAAGCCAACTAAAAAAAAATTAGGCCTAGATTCATACCTCTTACCTTACACTAGGATACATTCAAAATCCGTCAAAGATTTAAATATAAAAATAGAAAGAAGAAGCAGCAGCTATGACCAGGCACAGTGGCTCTAACCTGTAATCTCAGCAATTTGGAAGGCTGAAGCAGGAGCATCACTTGAGCCCAGGAAGTCAAGATCAGCCTGGGCAACATAGCAAGAATCTATCTGTACAAAAAAATAGAAAAATTTAGCTAGGTGTGGTGGCAAGCCTATAGTCCCAGCTACGGGGGAGGTCAAGGCCACAGGATCAGCAGGAGGTCCAGGTGCTGTGATCATGCCACTGCCCTCTAGCCTGGGCGACACAGCAAGACCCTGTTTCAAAAACAGAAAAAGACAAAAACAAAAAAAACCTTGGAAGAGTAGGCAAAAGAGCTAATTTTCCTAACAAATAAAAAGCTCACAAATCAATTTTTTAAAAGACACAATAGGCTGTAAAGAGACTTTGCAGGAAAAAAAATTTAAGTAACTCACACGAAAAGATATTCAGAGCTGAGTGCGGTGGCTCACACCTGTAATCCCAGAGAAGGCGGCTAAGGCAGGACTGCAAGAGGCTGAGGCCAGGAGTTCCTGACCAGCCCAGGTCACATAGTGAGACCATCTATAAGTTAATTAATTAATTAATTAAGCAGTTCAACCTCACTCATAATAAGACATGAACTCTGGAGCCAGTCTTTCTAGCCGTGGTCCTAATCCTGCTTCCACGTCTTTTTTTTTTTTTTTTTTTTTTTTTGAGACGGGGTCTCGCTCTCGCCCAGGCTGGAGTGCAGTGGCACCATCTCGGCTCACTGCAAGCTCCGCCTCCCGGGTTCACGCCATTCTCCTGCCTCAGCCTCGCGAGTAGCTGGGACTACAGGCGCCCGCCACCATGCCCGGCTGATTTTTTATATTTTTAGTAGAGACGGGGTTTCACTGCGTTAGCCAGATGGTCTCGATCTCCTGACCTCGTGATCCGCCCGCCTCGGCCGCCCAAAGTGCTGGGATTACAGGCGTGAGCCACCGCGCCCGGCCCCATGTCTTTTTACTAGTTTTTTGACCATGCATAAGTTACTTAACTTTGGTGTGCTTCAGTTTTCATATCAATAAACTGAGGACAGTAAGTAGTAGAAGCTGTCTCTTCGGGTAGTTCTGAAGATTAAATGAGTTGATATTTGTTGGTATTTGTAAAATGCTTCTGACAGTTCTAGCATATGCTAAGAATAGAATACTAAGAATACTAAGCCATATAATGTTATAGAAATGAAATAAATAAGTGCAAATTAAAATTGTACTGATTTGTCATTGTTTTACCTATCAGATATGCAAAAGTGAAACCATTTCATCGTGTGTTGTGTTGGTGAAGGTCCAAGGAAACGAGCATTCTTCTACATTGCTAGACTGCATGGAAGGCAATTTAGCCATAGGCATCAAACTCAAAATTACAGGTATACATACCTGGTGGATTGTCAGTTTCACTTCTAGGAATTTATTCTACATATAGGCCCTCATAGGGCTGAAATAAGGCAAGCGCAATGGTATTTATTACAGCAATGTAAGAGCAAGTGATTAGAAACAACCTAAATATTTACCAATAGGGAATGGGTTAAATTGTTATACATCCACATACAATGCAGCCCTTAAAAATTATTTTAAAATGAAGAACATTCCTTAAAAAATTGACATGACTGAAAACCAAAGTATTTTAAATGAAAAGAACAAGAATCAGAACAATATGTATAGTCTGCTACTATTTGTGTAAAAAGGAGGAAAATAATATCTTTGCGTGTTTTCTTAAATATCGTAGAATATTTCTAGAAAAATACAAAAGAAAGTGATGACACCACTTACTGCTGGGGGAGGCAACTTTGTGCCTGGGGCACATGAGTAGGAAGGAGACAATTCACTGTGTAACAGGAGCAGATGCTGTGGTGAGCCATCACCTGCTTCAGATCAGAGGCACTCATTTCCCCACCTGCCACAAGTGTCAGGTTCTCAGCTGAGTCCCTCCCTGGGAATTGCCCTCAGCTGGCCAGGGCAGCCTGCCCTAATGAAGATGATGGGGAGAAGGAGCTATAAAGGCTGGCCCCCTTGCCTCGGGACAGGACAAATCTGAAGTACTATCTCGGCTGTAGGACTCCTCACAGGTCACAGGTTGTGCTATCAACTGAAGCCTTTGTTTTTCATTGCATCACAGTTCAGCTTTTCCTTCTGCCCAGCTCAATTTCCTTCACACCCCCTCTGATGGAGATACCCAGGGCTCTCCCCAGTAAACTTCCTACATGCAAACCTCCATTCTGTTTCCCTCCAGAACCAAACCTAAGACAATGCTCTTTTGAACCTTTTGAATTTTGAATCTTTTTTTTGAACATTTATATAAATGAATAAATAAATTTACATTAAAATTCTTTTAAGTCTTTTCCCTTTATGTTACTGACATTAATGCTTTTCCTTTTCAATGTGACAATACAGTTTCCTTTCAAAATTTGTCTTCTAATTTTATGAATGGGTTATCACGTTTGGGTTATCACGTTTGGATTTTCTTATTTTGGGGCAGCATAACTTTCAATCAGCAAAATTTGTTAGCACTGAATATGTTCAAGAGCTGTGCTGGGTATCCTAGAGTGTACAAGGAGGTAGAAAATGGACCACTGGCCTCAGGGTGGTAAAATACAGATAAAATACTGACTTGTCAAGATTATTGTTAAAATAAGGTGACTTTAAAGTACCTAATATAGGGCCCAGATTGTAACAACTGCTCCTGTTTAAAAATATAGTTGGGGAAGAAATACATATCACCTGAAAATACAGGCAGGAAATGCTAAGCACTAAATTGATAGCATCGACAATCATTACTACAGAATTCAGAGGAAGGAGATCATTTCTAGGGGAATGTGGCCATAACATATTGATTGAAGAAATAAGAACTAAAGCTAGATCCTGAAAGGTAAGTCATCTGTGGAAAGGAGTTGGAGTATCATTCCAGATAGGGAGAGCAATGGGGTGGATGCAGAAGTGAGCTGAAAATGTTTGGATATAAGCAAGGGCCCGCCTGGAGTGGAGGACATAGAGCTGGAAAGATAAATTGTGGTCAGATTAGAGAGGGCATTAAATGCCAGGCTAATGAGTTTGGGTTTTGCTCATAGGAAGCTTCTTTAGATTTATGGAAAGGATAATAGCATGATGGAAATAGTGTTTCAGATTGATGACGTTTTGGCAGCCAGCCACATAGCCTGGGGTCAGCATGAGAGGCAAGAAGGTCAGAGACTGGCTTAGGCTGTAGGCCAAGCATTAGCTAATAAGGGGACCTACTAGTGTGCTAGCAGTGAAAAGAGAATAAATAGGGGAGACTGATATGAGAAACAGAAAAGAAAGAACTGAAAAACACATAATTTTGATTAGATAGTGCTGACATGATGATGATGGGGGAGTCTTCAGAGATGAAGTACACATTTGAAGGCCTGGGTGGCTGGACAAGTCATACCACCACTGAACAAAAGCAAAGATGGAGGGCAGAGGAGAACAACATCTTAGCACTTTGGGGGAAATGTGAGTCAACTGTATTAATTCATACTAAATTTGAAGTGCAGGTGAGATAATCTAGTGGAAAAGTTCATTGTGCACTTGTAAATTCTAGCCTAGCACCACAAGGGACAACAGGGTTGGGGCTATAGAACCGAGATTCATTAGCAGATGACACCACTGGAGGTATGAGGTGAGCCAAGAGACTTCGTGTTGAGAGTGGCAATGTTTCAATGACGAACACTTGGATCATGATCATATTTATTTGAAGGAAATAGAGCTAGTGAAGAAGACAGAAACAGAAAGGTCAGAGACAGTGGATAAGAACTATTAAGAGTATGGTAGTATGAGAGCCAAATGAGTGGAGAGGGTCAGAAAGAAGGTAGGGACAGAAGATCCACATACCAGATACTGCAGAAAGGTCAAGGAGAATGAGAAATTGACAATGTCAACGGATTCAGCTCTTAGGAGATCAGTGCATTTTCTGCATATGGGTTCAGAATACCAGGAAGGCTGATTGCAGAATGGGATAGAGAAGCAGTACAAGATAGTGGCGTAAGCAGCGGGCCCTGAGATCAGACTGTGTCTTGGCCCATCTTCTGTTGCTTATAACAGAATACCTGAAACTGGGTAATCTATAGAGAAAAGAAATGTATTTCTTACAGTTACGGAGGCTATGGTGTTCAAGGTCAAGGGGGCACATCTGATGAGAGCCTTCTTGCTGATGGGGACCCTCTGCAGAGTCCCAGGGCAGCACAGAGCATCACATGGCAACGGGGCCAAGCATGCTAGTTCAGGTATCTCTTCTCCACCTTTGGTGTTTTTTTTTTTTTAAAGAAATGGGGGTCTTGCTATGTTGCCCAGGCCGGCCTCAATATCCTGGGCTCAAGGGATCCTCCCACCTCACCATCCCAAGTAGCTGGACTACAGGCAGATATCACCATACCTGGTTCTCCTCCTATGCTTATAAACGCACCCCAGTAGTTCCCCGCTTATGATAACCCATTAATCCGTGAATGGATTAGTCCATCCATGAAGACACAGTCCTTAAGACCCAATCACCTCCTTAAAAGCCCCACCTCTCAATACTGCCACATTGGGGATTAAATTTCAACATAAGTTTTGGAGGGGACAAATATTTAAACCACAGTAGACTGCCTGGGTTTCAATCCTATCTTTGCTACAAGTGTGCTTTGTGATTTGTGCAAGCTGCTTAACTCTTTTATGCCTTCATTTCTTCATTTTTAAAATGGGGATGGCAATGGTAATAATAGTACCGACCTTATAGAGATTTTGTGAGGCTAAAGGACAATGCATGCAAATTGCTTAACAGTGTAGGCACAGAGTAGGTGCTCCATATTATCAGTTCTTGTGGTTAGTATTACTTTTATTATAAGTGAATGCTTCATGGCTTTTGGCCAAGGATCTTGATAGGAAAAAGCAGAGGTAAACTAGTGGGATAGTTTGGCCTATCATCCCAGGTGGAGGTTTGTACATAGCTGGAGGCAATTGGGAAGGAGCCAAGGCAGGAGTAGAAGCTAAAGCCGCCAAGGGGGAGAAGAAATGTAAAGGAGCAAAGTCCCTGAGGGGAGGAAGAGGAGAACAGCAGTTTCAGAACTCAGGTGACTAGGGCCAGGCACTGCGGCTCACGCCTGTAATCCCAGCACTTTGGGAGGCTGAGGCAGGTGGACCGCTTGAGTCCAGGAGTTTGAGACCAACCTGGCAACGTGTCGAGACCCCATCTCTAACAAAAAATACAAAAATTAGCTGGGCGTGGTAGCATGTGCCTGTAGTCCCAGCTGCTCAGGATGCTGAGCTTGAGCCCAGGAGGCAAAGCTTGTAGTGAGCCAAGATTATGCCACTGCACTCCAGCCTAGACAACAGAGCCAGACTCTGTCTAGAAAAAAAAAGAAAACAGGTCTCAGGTGACTAATCAGTCTGGGAAAGAAGGGTCAGACACCATCTGAGACGAAAAAACAAAAAACAAACAAACAAAAAAAAACGGGAGAAGAGGATTTAGATGAAGTTGGAAATTTGAAGAGATCAGAGAGAGGACAAGTCCCAGTAAAAGAAGCAATGAGGCTATTGGCCCAAGCAAGAAGAATTGAGTGGGATGGGGTGTCTCTGCAAGCATTTGCAAAGATTCACAACAAATTCTATTTTCTTCAAGTTTAAACTGCCTTTTGAGACTTTTACTCCATCATGACTCCAAGTAGAAAGTAAAGAACAAAGGAGAGTTAAAAAACACAATCAGGAAATATTGTAGAATTAATCTAGCGCCACCCAGTAGGATTGATAGGGAGCCGCAGTGTAAATCAGCCCTCAACCCGATAACTCCACTCGCTTCCTGACGGGAGGCAAACTGAAGAGAACATGCCACAGCAGAGGCCAAGACTCCATCAAAGACCTAAGGGAACCACACAAATACCTCTCGTGAATGGTGAGCCTATGGCCTGGAAAATCTGATTTCTCAAGATCCTTTTAGATCTATGATATTAGAAAGTTTCTCTTTTCACCTAGAATACCATTCAATGCTCAGTGGTCTTCTGGGTTTAACTTCTTTAGGAAACCACAAATCATCGAAAGCAACTTTCCCTCTCAATTAAAAAAAAATCATTTTAACCAAAGTTCGCATCAGATTTGAACGAGCCAACTGAATCTGGTGGCTTGGTTCCTTGCTTCCCAAATGGTTTTTGGCCAATGGGCGGGGAGCGTACGATCATTCTCAGAAACAGTTCTAGTAGAGCCAAAGTGTCGTCCATATGTGACTTTGCCTGCCTTCTGAGTTCTCTACCCAAGATTTCTCTTGGTGCAACAGCTTCAAATATTAACCCAGAGAGGGTATAGGAATGAATCTGTTTTGCAGGGCTACAAGCCTGTTTGATCCTAAGAGAATACGGGGACTTCTGATGCTTTAAACAAGCAGAGGGAAAAATCTGATGCAGATAAAGTGCTGTGTGCCATAGCTCATTATTCTGAGCAGCATTCAGGCTGCCAGTCCATTATACTTGATTCTGTTTTTGCCATCAACAGCACTCTGGAGATGGCTTATTTGTAAAAGGAGCAGGATCTAGGATATGCATTAATTTGCAAAAGATGCCACCACACACATTCTGCAGCTAATACTGTGTTCATGAACTTTACCTGTGACTAAATACATTTCATATCTTACAGCTGAGCTTCAGTAATTGGTTTTTGCAGCCTCGAACACATCCAACAAGGAAAATATGAGAAGCCCAGATCTCTCCCTGCTTTTTTGAAATGGCTTATTGCTGCAGATGGGAAAAGCTATCTCAGCTCTGAGTTGGCAGTTCCCGAAGGTCAGATCTTAGAGAGCTGACACCTGGGAACTCAAAGGCAAGGAGCAGGTGGTTTTGGAAGAGTGAGTGACCCTGAGGGTAGACAGCTGGGGAGGAGAGAAACAAATGACAATAGAAGGGAAGTAGTGGTCAGTGAGAGGGATGACTGGAGTCCCTGCAGACATTAGCCTCACATGAGCAGTTCACAGCAGCTCAGTGTAGTTTGTTTTCCCAGGTCTAATGCAGTCATAGCGGAGCTTAATAAGCCACCAAATCATATAGCACAACCCATTCCAGACCCAACTACCATTGCAGGTTGGAGAATCATGATCATATCATGTGAGATTTGGCTGTGAAAGGAAAATGTGGTCTCATCCAGTAGATTAATTTATTCAGAGGAAAAGAAGGCTAAATGTGCAGCATGTACTTTGGCTTTGAAAGCACTGAATTATACACTTCAACAGTATGGTTCATTGGGTCCCACAATGCTAGGAGAATTAGACTAGTTGGTGTACCTCTGATATCTACATGCAAACTTGAGACCAAAATAAGCACCAGGATTCTAAAAATGCATTAGAGGGATGGGCAGATTAATCATACTTTTCCCTTTGGGGCCGTTCTAGACACAATACTGATGTAAGGAAATCTGTCTGTAATTCTCCCATCCCTTTCCTTTACCTTTCCCTCCTTTACTTGTCCAGACACTTAATGTCTGTGGCTTTTTCCCTTCCACCCGGGACTCCCCATTGTGGGCACATTGAAGTCCCCATCTTTTGCAAATCCTCTTTTCCCTGAAACTCACTTTTTAAATCATTCTATCTTATACTAATAGATAAGTGCTGATGACAAATTAATTATTTTTTGACAACTCCTTGATTATAGTACAATGTCACATACAGAAACAGGGCCAGGAAGGGGGACAGAAGGGTTATTCCCAGGACATCTTTCATCTTGAATCGTGTCATAAAGTGTGTTAGCACCATTATCCACCTCTCATTCGCTTTTCATTCTTCTGTTTTTCCTTTGTCAACCATTGAACCTACTCTGTCACGCCCCCGTGCTCGGTGCAAAGGCCCAAAGATGGAAGAGGCCGAGTCCCTCTTTTAAGCTCACAATCTGGTGGAAGAATGAGTACATAAACAATCAATTGTAATGTAGTTTAGCAGATACTAAAATAAACTGTGGTCCAAGTGCTGTGAGAGCCCCAGGAAGGGGATTTTGCCTATTGGAAGAGAAAAAGGTGTCACAGAGTTGGTAAGGTTTAAGTAAGCATTTTTTAAATGCATAGAAAATTGTCTGGTGGCAAATGGCGTTAACATAGATCCAGCAAATGTAACTCCCAATCTTTCTGGAAGAAAAATATATGGATGGCCTTTGAGCAACTGTGCCAAAGTCTTTCCTATCTATCAAGAAAGCCTGGGGATTCTAGGTCTTTAGCTACCAGGCAGATCCCCAGTGGGGAGAGAGCGCAAGACTTTGCTGGCTTCCTCGAAGTGCACAGGTATGACAGCAAATGCTTCCAAGTGTCTGCCCTGGTGACAGATTCTTCTCTACGTGATGTGTAGTCAGAAGCCCAGTAGCAACCTGGAACCAGGCACTCTTTCCCCTGCTGTTCTGCAGGTTATGAAAAAAAAGCTTCCGATTTGATTCCAAACCAATAGTCCAGAAATCCAGACTCATCACTTAAGACTTGTATTTAATTTCATTCTGTCTCCAGCACAGGAGGTCCTGATGGATTTGGGCATGTGGTGTAAATGCATAAAAAGAGAATCAGATTGATTTTGATCCAGTTCTGTTTGTTTGGGTGTCAGGTACTCTGAATAGGTATATGAAATCTATCCCTCCCTTTGCTCACACTCTTGGAAACCACTCTTCTCCAGAACTTTTGTCACTATATTTGAGATGGTAGAATGCTATGGTTAAGACTTCATGCCTTTGGAGACAGGTGACCTGGTTCAAATGCCAACTTTTCCAGTTATTCGACATATGACCTTGGCAAGTGATTTAATGTCTCTGTGCCTAAGTTCCTTTATCTATAATAAGGGGATATCAGCACTTGTCTTAAATGGTTTTTATGAGATAGTACCAGTTGTAGATAGATTACATGGTGCAATGTACATAAAAAGACTTAAAGATGTACCCAGAACATTACACATTATCTAGACATGTTAGCTATTATTACCCTTCCTATTGCCAGGCACATATTGTCCCCTTCTTACACTTCATTCCAACACTCAGGAAGGAAGGGCTATGGTAAGTGCCAAGGACCATCAAGGATATCCCTGGATATATATAGGGGCCACCCAGGGCAATGACCCCCTTGTTCCCTTCTTGGGACTGGAAGGCAGACCTTTTGGTGGGATTATAATGCAGACAGCCTGTAGGGGCAACTCTCTTTTCTCTGCTGCCTACCGAGTGGTGTAGTGTGGCCAATTGTGTCCTCTGTTCCACATGCCCTCAGCATTATGAGGTAATTGGGTCCTGGGAAAAGGAAGATGAAGCCTTCCTTTATGCTCATTGGAAAAGGCTTAAAGGGATCCTTGATGTTCCTGCATGGCCCAGGCCAACAGGCGGGAATCTGAAAATAAGCCACAAAAAGGAATGGTCTGTGTGCAGAGTTAGGGTACGCTCTGGGTTATGGCTCTCAGTAGCTATTGCTGTGTAGGTAATAGAAATTGGAACATTAATGTTTTTAATTCACTCACTTCTCCCACCCAGCACCTAACCTAGACTCTCATTAATTCTCACAGAATCTAACAGTGGCCTTACAGCTGCCCAGCTCTCCCATTGCTGGCCTCTTTCCCTTCCAGTCCACTGCCCCCATGGCTGCCAGATTGACCTTCCTGAAGAACTGCTCTGATGACTTCACTTTTCTGCCAGAAAACTTCCACTGGCCCCCAACTGGTTCATGTACCTACTGGGGCCAGCAGGTATCACAAATGAAGGAAGTGGCTACACTAAGTGAAACAGGCACCCTTGGGATCTGAAAGCCAGGAAACGTGTAACTTCTATAAGGAAATGTGCTTCTTCCCATTTATCTTGAAAACGAAGACCTTCTGGATCTACAATTGGTTTCCTGCCTTTAGTCAAGGCTTGGTACAAGAAGTAACTCACTTTCCTCTTTACTATGTAACAACCAAACGATTGTATTAATTAGCATGTTGGTTTGATCGCTGAAACAGAAATCAAAGTACAATGGCTTTCATAAGGTAGTAGAAGGTTTATTTACAATTTATATGAAGACCTATGCTGGTAGCTCGTCCTAGGGGTAGGGAGTGGGGCGGTTAGAGGGTTCTGCTCCATGCAACCAACTGGGGACCCTGGTCTTTTCTATCTTGTCCTCAGTAGTGGTTCTCAAAGTGTGATCCAGGGAGTACTCAGGGGTTTCTGAGACCCTTTCAAAGGCCTGTAAGGTCAAAATTATTGTTATAAGAATACTGAGACATTTTGGTCCTTTTCATTTTTATTCTCCCATGAGTATGCAGTAGAGAATTCCAAAGGTTCTTAAAAATAATGGGAAAACTTGAATTAGTAAGTTTTATTTCAGTATATGTGTATGTATCTCATTCATTTATTTAACCACCATCTATTAAGTACTTCTAGAAGTGCTGTTTACATTCATTCAACAGATATTGATGGCACATAATATTGGCAAAATCTAGCATGAGCTGCTTGAGGATACAGGGAAGAACAAGAGACATGGCCCCTGCCCTCAGGAAGCTAACAATCTAGTGAAAAAGCCAGATACCAAACTGCTAGGAACACAATCAATTATCTCATTATAATCATGATTATGTTCAGAAGAGGGATAGAGCTATAAGAGCAAAACACTGGGACCGGAAGAGATACTAAGATGATTGGGAGGTCTGATATTGGATGTGCCACTGCAGGAAGCTGCACAACACTGACATTAACGCTGTGAGATTCTTTTAAAACCCTCATTCTGGGACATGATTGATGGCAGCCAGTCCTATTCAGTTGCTGAGACAGAAGACCTGGGCAGACGGAGTAAGGAGCTTTCAGTGTCTCTACACCTGGCATGTTATCTTATATAGCTAGGGTGGAACATGCATCCCAGTTTGCTTGGGACATGTTTTTGCTCCCTGTCTCAGTGAGTATTACTAAAATTTAGCCTCGTAACTGTTTTGACTTAATAAGTTATATGGTTATCCTACTTATTGCTTTTACCAGATTGTTAACTAGAAAGTGATTTGAGCCAAATTATTATCGTTACATCTGTAGTGTGATGGGTCCCCCACCAAGTTACTTAAGGATGTATGTCCACTGCCTGAATTCTGAAGGCTGGGCAGTGAGCCAAGTCCAGGGTGCCCAACCGAGGAGCAGGTGTCTCTAAGAACCCAAACATCCCAGTGAGTATCTGAGAACCGATCAAGAAAAACAGTCTCATCACTCAAACACAGTAGGCAAAGAGCCAGGAAATTAATTTAAAAGCAGTTTGGAGTCGGGAGGTGGCGCAGATCTCCAGCGCTGTCCTGCCGCTATCCAGGAGTGCCATGTACATAAGTCCTGATAGACTCATCTACTCATCAAGCTGGACTTGTCTGAATCATTCTTTGGTCTCTTAGCTCCTTCCCAGTTTGCAGGGGGATGTTACAGTTCCAAGTTTTTCTTGTAGCATTGCTTTGAAACAAGGAAACTGCTGTTCAGTTTCAGAAGGTATTATGAGTTGAGTTGTGTCTCCCCACCAAAAAATATGTGGGAGTCCTAACTGTCAGTACCTCAGAATGTGAACTGAAACAGGGTTTTTATAGAGGTAATCAATGTAAAGATGAGGTCATTAGCTGGGCCTAATACAATAAGACGGATGTTTTTATAAAAAGGGTAAATTTGGGCCGGGTGCGGTGGTTCATGCCTGTAATCCCAGCACTTTGGGAGGCCGAGGTAGGCAGATCACTTGAGGTCAGGAGTTTGAGACCAGCTTGGCCAGCATAGTGAAACCCTGTCTCTACTAAAAATACAAAAATTAGCTGGGCGTGGTGGTGGGTGCCTGTAATCCCAGCTACTTGGGAGCCTGAGGCAGGACAATCACTTGAATTTGGGAGGCAAATGTTGCAGTAAGCCAAGATCTCACCACTGTACTTCAGCCGAGGCAACAGAGCAAGACTTCGTTTCCAAAAAAAAAAAAAAGGGGGGGGGGGTAGATTTGGACGTGGACACATAAACAAGGAGAAACCACATGAAAATATAGGCAAATATTGGGATGATGTATCTATAAGCCAAGGAATGCCAAAGATTGCCAGCAAACCACAAGAAACCAGGACAGAGGCGTGGAACAAATTCTCCCTCAGTCCTTGGAAGGAATCAACTCTGCCAACACCTTGATCTTGGACTTTTAGCTTCCAGAACTGTAAGGAAATTAATTTATGTTGTATAAGCCACCCAGTTTGTGGTACTTTATGGCAGCCCTAGAAAACTAATACAGAAGGTAAAGTGGCTTAAGAAAATTGCCCACTCAACTAATGAAAATGACTATGTGGCAGAAATGCATTGGTGGAGGCCAGGCTCGATGGCCCACACCTGTAATCCTGGCACTTTGGGAGGCTGAGGCAGTCAGATCATTTGAGGTCAGGAATTTGAGACCAGCCTGGTCAACATGGTGAAACCCCGTCTCTACAAAACATACAAAAAATTAACTGTACATGGTGGAGGGTGCCTATAATCCCACCTACTTGGGAGGCTGAGGCACAAGAATCACTGAAACCTGGGAGGTGGAGGCTGCAGTGAGCCGTGATTGTGCCACGGCACTCCAGCCTCAGAGACAGAGTGAGTGAGATGAAAGAAGGAAAGAAAGAGAGAGAGAGAGAGAGAGGAAAGAGAGACAGAGAAAGAGAGGAAGAAAGAAAGAAGGAAAGGAAAGTAAGAAAGAAGGAAAGAAAGAAAGAAAAGAAAGAAAGAAAGAAAAAAAGAGAAAGAAAGAAAGAAAGAAAAAGAAAGAAAGAAAAAGAAAGAAAGAAAGAAAGAAAGAAAGAAAGAAGAAAGAAAGAAAGGAAAGAAAGAAAGAAAGAAAGAAAGAAAGAAAGAAAGAAAGAAAGAAAGAAAGAAAGAAAGAAAAGAAAATGAATGCATTGGTATCCCTGCTGTCATGGTTGATTTTCTCTGCCAACTTGACTGGGTCGTGGGGTGCCCAGACATTTGGGTGCCCAGATATTTGGTCAAGTGTTATTCTGGATATGTCTGTGAGGTCGTTTCTGGGTGAGACTAACACTTGAATCAGTAGATTGAGTGAAGCAGATGCCCTCCCTAATGTGGATGGGCCTCATCCAATCAACTGGAACAGAACACAAAGGGAGTAAGGGAGAATTCACTCTCTCTGCTTGACTGCTTTCCAGCTGGGACATCGGTCTTCCTCTACCTTTGGACTCAAATGGAAACATCGGCTTTTCCTGGGTCTTGAGTTTATTGGCCTTTGGGCATAAATATACCAGCAGCTCTGCTGACTCCCAGGCCTTCGGACTCAAACTGGAAATACACCATTGCTCTCCTGATCTCCAGCCTGTTGATGCAGAAATTGGGACTTATCAGCTTCGGTAATTGCATGAGCCAATTTTATAATGAATCTCTTTATATGTTTATCTCTCTCTGTCTCTCCTACCCCCACCCCATTAGTTCTGTTTTTCTGGACAACCCTGACTAATATAACTTCCATGTTTAAAAAACAAAAACAAAAAAAGGCTGGGTGCTGTGACTCACGTCTGTAATCCCAGCACTTCGGGAGGCTGAGGCGGGTAGATCACGAGGTCAGGAGTTCGAGACCAGCCTGGTCAACATAGTGAGACCCCCCATCTCTACTAGAAATACAAAAAATTAGCCGAGTGTGGTGGCAGGTGCCTGTAATCCCAGCTACTCAGGAGGCGGAGGCAGGAGAATCGCTTGAACCCAGGAGGCAGAGGTTGCAGTGAGCCGAGATCGTGCCATCGCACTCCAGCCCAGGTGACAGTGTGAGACTCGGTCTCAAAAAGAATTAAGGCCAATAGGCTTTGTTGTCAAAAAAAGCAGCTGAGGATCATTCCACTACCAGCCATGCATATTTACACTTATGTGCATTGTTTTGCTTTTTCTCTAGCTTGCAGACTACGTATAAGTGCAGGTATTAGAAGTCTCTTTAAGAATCCATTTATCTGTGCTCAATTCCCTGTCAGGAATATAATGGCTGACATGCTAATATATTAACTGCTGTCTCACTATAAACATGTTATGCTAAACAAGTATAACAGAACTTCCAAAGGGGGATGGGAAAAACAAAAACAAACAAACAAAAAACCTCTCTCCACATCAAAATGTGCCTGGTAAAATCTTTCTTTTGCTACTTTAGAACTGTCAGTCTGCATTCATAATACCCCTTAACAAAGTATTTTTTAGGGGATTGAGCCTTGGAAAATCACAAGCCACTATAAAATGTTTACCATGTAGTCAGCTACAAAAAGCAGGTAAAGTGTCCAATGTCGTGGGCCCATTCCATGACCTGTCAATATTTGGGGCTCTGGAAGATTCACAGCTAACATGATGCATAATTGCTTGTACCCCTAAAGCTTTTACTGGTACCTTAGATGATTTCACATTTCTAGAAGTCAGCGAGTCACTGAAATAGTATCAGAGGGATAACTGTAGATAAGGCTGACACCCTGGTGAAGGCAAAGAGGAGGCAGAATGGCACCGTAAGGGAGCGTGAGCCTGCGAGTAGTTATTCAAGTTTAAGCCTTAGCTCTACCAGTAACAAGCTATGTGTGATGCAGGCAAGAAGCTTCCTTCTCTCTGGGCCCAGCTTTCTTCATATGTGGACAGACATGACTGGGGCACAGGATTTCTTAAATTTGTGACTTCTGTCGGAATGTTCTAACTCTAAGTGAAGCTGTCAGGTATTATGATGCCCTTTATTTTCAAGACCCAAGAAATGAAAAAAAAAAATTAAGAGCTTAGTCAGCCTGGCTCACACTTGTAGTCCCAGATACTTGTTAGGCTGAGGAGGGAGTATAGTTTGAGGACAGGAGTTTGAGACCAGCCTGGGCAATAGAGCAAGACCCCAGCTCAAGAAAACCTTTTTTTAAAAGACCTTGGTTTGACTCAATAATTGTACTTTTCCATCCCTTCTTTAATTCACAAATATTTGTTGGGTGTCTATTTGTTTGGTTTAGTCTCTATTCAGGTTAGGAAAACTTGATTACTATGTGAACAACCCACATTGTCTCCAAAGTTCGCTCCAACTGTGTTGGTAATTGAGATTGTGGATAGGAAATCATCTGTCTAGCTTCAGCTACATTTAAGTGGGACTCCAGAAAGACTACTTGAAGATAAACAGGTTTATGGTGCAGCGTGTACATTTTGCAATTATTTCTTTTTCTCTTGTTTCAGCTAAAACTGAATATCATGATGTTTCATGCTCCTTTTAGTTAAAGGGAGAGTTTCACTAGCTCATATTCTCTATTTCCTAAGGCTTTATATATTGGTTTCATTGTAAATATCAATAATTTCTGGTACTCCATTTGGGTGCTATAATACAAATAATTCTTGCTTACATAGTTTGTAATATAAGCAACTAAAAAAGCAAGTATCGACCAAGACATACTTGAAAATATTGTTGCAAGCTAGCAATATAATATAAGCAACTAAATATAATATATTTAGCAATATATAAGTAACTAATATAAGCAACTAAAAAAGCAAATATAATATAATATAATATTTGTAATATAAGCAACTAAAAAAGCAAATATCGACCCAGACATACTTGAAAATATTGTTGCAAGCTAGAATTGCAAGAATAATGTAGAAGTTAAAGAAGTTATTCATTTAGGATTGCAGCAGAGACAATGAGCTTAATGTCATCACTACAGAACAGTATTTCACTAGCATCTGCTTACTTTGGCCATTTGATGGAGTTTAGAATTGTACTTTTTATTTGTTGACTTTTCAGAAAAATTAGCATAGCTGCAAAATATAGGCTTCACTTTGGAGTTGTAGACTTTTGTGTCTTTAATTTTGTGGCAACATTTTTACAAAAACTATCGTAGACTGGTTTTTATGACTTTTGTTAGTAGTAAAAAAAGCATTCTCTGGCAGCTATACAGCGTAAATAGTAGCAAAAGAGGCATATGGAGGAAAGAAATTCTTTAAGAAATCATCAGATGGATCTAGGGCATTTAATGGGTCAAGAAAAAATTAAGAGAACACTTTTACTCTGTTTTTTTTTCTTGCTTGTGTGTTTATTGACTTTCTAATTCAACTCTCCTCCTGTGATACCCAATGGCATAAGTACTTATAAAGTTTACCATAAAAGCTGAACATATACTTAATTTTTAAGCCCTTGGCTCTTCTCCAGACACCCTTCCAAATCACAGAGCTCTAAGGCTGTTATGTCTCGCCCCTGTTCAATCAAAGAGAAGCATTTTTCTCAGCCATTTCCCCAATTTTTACCCAAATTATTCATTCACATCCCCAAAGGCATTTGGCAACAGAGAAATGTGATGTTCCCTCACATTAACCCATTTTAAAAACACTTAAGGAGACAACGTGAAGTCGCCTAATCCCCATATCAGTGCTGCCGACTAATGACAACTCTCTGGGTTCTTGCTTTAGAAGAGAAAACATTTGGTTCATTTTGTGAAGGAAACAAACCAAGACCTTACCTTCTCTGCATTGCCTTTTATTCTTTGAAGCTTGCAGGGACCAACAGCGAGGGTGCTTTGTTAAAAGAGAGGAGAAAGATGGCTCTAGGATTGAGCAAAAGAATTTCATTTCTCACTGGGGAAACCAGACACACCTTCCTGACTATGGACAATCTACCCTGGGCTAAATGTAAACATGTTTATTTCAAAAGAAATTAAACTTTAAAAAGCTCTTTATACTCTTCCTATATTCGTGGCATATATACCCCAAAACCTGACACCCAGCTCAAATGAGGGAGATTTCTGGTGTAAAATAATGTCTTGAAACCCTCTGTCCGCAGACAGAGTCAAGAGACCTCAGTATCCCGCCTTGGTTTTTGTGTGGAGACAATGTAACAGAGGGAAGGAGGACCTGGGTGTTATCATAGCCACTGGTTTGGGCTCTTGCTCTACCACCTCCTCACTTTGGGAGGTGGTAGAGCATATGGGTAACTCATATGGGAAGTTACCCAATGGGAGGTAACTCATATGGGAAGTTACCCAATAAGCTAATGAGGGCTATTGTGAGGATTAAGTGCAATCTTGCTTGTACAGTGCCTGGCAAGGAGTGAGCATTCAGTAAATGGTAGCTATTGTTATTTATTGTGAAAGACTTTACATCCAGAAGGGTTTTTAGGGGAATTTTCAGCATTTCTGTAAAGATTTCCCTCCATTTGGCTCAGAGGGACGTGATGCCCTCAGAGTCCTGTGTTTTCTCATTCTATCATCTCTCTCTCGTTTGCTCAAAAATCTCATATCATACCACAAATAGCCATTTGGTTTCCAGGAAAGATGGAAAGGAAATGATTTCATTAAGCTTCTCTAGCTCTATAGAGTGTGAATAACTATAACGATCACAAAATTTTAAGCCTGAGCTCTTTAATACACCACTGCTTATGCCAACCCCACAGCCTCTCACCATCATCCCAAAGCTGTTTGGTTCAGGTCTGTGATTGTATTTGAGGACACTACACAATGATGTGTTGACTCTGAAAACAGCTTGACCATCAACAATCTAACAATCATAAAATAGCCATAAAATGGTGTTTGTGTGGGCTGTAATATTGGTATTATTCATGGTGGCCAAATAAATTGTGGAAGTGCCACAGTGTTGGGCAGTGACATCTGGATAGCTAATCAGCTGGACCAGCCTGTAGAGAGCTGCATGAGAAACTGAATCATTCTTTTTAGATGAAGCAAATCGAATAAGCATTTCAGTCTCCTGGCAAGAGACACATGGAGCAATCCAGGAAATCAAATGCTCATCCCCATTGCCATTTACTCCTTTAAATAAGTTCCTGCTGGGCACATTTTGGGACATAGACTTACATATACTTGGCCAACAGATGTTATTGATTTAAGGGAGGCGGTCATTGATCTAAACAAGCTTTTCTTGGAGGGATTTTTAAAAGATCATCTCAGCAACTAAAGATTAAAATGTAAACACGGTTTTACCATTCCCATCTCTCCAGGCTGAATCCTATTCTGCTGCCTTAGGCTTTCCCACTCTGGCTTCCACCCAGGATTTCCATGGTGCCTGAAGTGGTCTGTGTTCCAAAATATCCTACATCCCTCAGACATTCTCATTCTCGTCAGGAAGCTGGTCTCTACTAGAGAGTGGAAGGCAGTGATTACCTTAAATGGATTCACAATAATGTGTTAGTAACTGACAGTCTTTAGCACCAGTACCATAGTATTTGTATTTTAAAAGAAACATCCATTAAGTCAAATAAACCCATAATTGATTAAATTTGAGGCTACACGAAAAGGAGTGTATTAGTCCGTCTTTACAGTGCTGATAAAGACATACCCGAGACTGGGAAGCAAAAGAGGTTTAATTAGACTTACAGTTCCACATGGCTGGGGAGGCCTCAGAAGGTGAAGGGCACTTCTTACCTGGCGGCAGCAAGAGAAAATGAGGAGGACGCAAAAGCGGAACCTCCTGATAAACCCATCAGATCTCATGAGACTTGTTCACTATCACGAGAATAGCATGGGAAAGACCGGCCCCCCATGATTCAATTACCTCCCCCTGGGCCCCTCCCACAACATACAGGAATTCTGGGAGCTACAATTCAAGTTGAGATTTGGGTGGCGATACAGCCAAACTGTCGCTGTTGTTTCACAGCTTTCCCTGTGTTTTTACTTAAGAAATTATTCATTTATTCATCAGTAAGTATTTACTCAGAGCCTGTAATATCCTTGTTACTGTTCTGGGAGCTTGCATACCTCAGTTGACAAAACAAAGGTCTCTAACCCTGGGGAGCAGCATGAAACAATATATATCAGACATAATCTAAGTAAATTTTATAGACTTTTAAAGACAGTGGTAAGCGCTTTGGCAAAAGAAAAAGAAGCAGAGTAAGGAGATCGAGAGTACTGGGTAGGTGGGTTGAAGGTTAGAATTTTAAATATAGAATTCAGGGAGGCCACATTGAAGAAGTAATATGTGTGCAGCGTCTTGAAGAAGGAGAGGTAATTAGCTAAGGAGATCTGGAAGAAGCCTGTCTCTGAAGAAACCATGAAAGCAGTGCTTGGTGTGTTAGAGAAACAGCAAGGAGGCCAGCACAGCTGGCGTGCAGAAGCACAGAGGAGGAGCGAGGCCATGGTGGTGACCGAGAGCCAGGGCACTTCAGGATCCTCAGCTCTCCACCCCACTTCCAGCACAGCGAAGGGGTCTTCGGCAGAAAACAAGGAGCGAAAGGGGACACAGGATTCGACTTACATGCAAGAGCTTTTTAGAGGCTACAGATGGATTGTGTTTTCTCAAAGTCAGCACAAGGTACGATGCTCCATATTCAAATAAGAAAAGGAAGTTGAAAAATTGTTGAAAAACCTACACTGCCATTGTCATGTGTTCTGAGCTAGGTGGACAACATATTTGAAGAAAACGTTATTTTGGAGAGGGCTTGGCTCTCCTTCAACCTGGATGGACCCGGGGCAAAGGGTTCCTTGGAGGCTGAATGAATACAGAATCTCAGCCTCAAACGTCTTCAGCACAGGAATGTAGAGAAAGTTCCCTGGCTCAGTCATTGTGGAAAAAATAATCATTTCTTTGCAGCTAAGGACTTCAAGGTGATTTGCTAAAACTTTAAGTTTATGCATCCAATATCTGCTTGTATACTCAGGTGTTTTTTCCAGAGCAGGTGTCTCTGGGATAACATTCTGGGGATTATCATACATTTAACATATTCTCTCTATGATTAAAAGCTTCAGAAACACGACCTCTGGCTCCACTCAGAAAGCTGTCTGATCTCATATTTGCATGATCTTTCTCCTTTAACAGAAAGGGAATTTCTTTCTGTGCAGAGCGTAAGAAATACAAGGCTGAGGGTTAGAAGCATGAGTTCCCAGGAAGACTGCCAGGAGATTAGATCGGATGATCTCTGAAATCCTGTGATCTTTTCAAAATTATGTTTAATGACTCTAAATTTGAGGGAATTAGTATAAATCAGCCATGACAATAATTAATTAATTCAACATTTATTACATAACTGTAAGCTAAGTGGTATGTGTATGGTTGTGGATAAAATAAACATGAGGTTCTTGTGTTTTCACAAGTGCCAACCTCAAATGGTCAAGGCTGTCTGGATTGCTGTAATGAAAAATACTCAGTCTCAATGAGGATTAGAACTGTGATTGATTAGCCATGTCTGCCATGAGCAAATGCAGTCTCCTTGAACAAATGGAGCATAGACAATGGTAACACTCTTCTTAAAAGGCAACACTGAGCTGCTTTCTGAAACTCAGAGGACCCTACCTGTATTACCTGTATTAGTCAGGGTTCTCTTAGAGGGACAGAACTAATAGGAATATATATATTATTAAGTATTAACTTACACATTCACAAGTTCCCACAATAGGCTGTCTGCAAGCTGAGGAGCAAGGAGAGCCAGTCTGAGTTCCCAAACTGAAGAACTTGGAATCCTATGTTTGAGAGCAGGAAGCATCCAGCATGGGAGAAAGATGTAGGCTGGGAGGCTAGGCCTGTCTCCCTCTTTCATGTTTTTCTGCCTGTTTTATAGTCGCTGGCAGCTGATTAGATTGATCCACCAGATTAAGGGTGGATCTGCCTTCCCTAGCCCACTGACTCAAATGTTAGTCTCTTTTGACAACACCCTCACAGACACACCCAGGATCATTACTTTGTATCCTTCAATCCAATCCAGTTGACACTCAGCATTAACCATCACACTACCCAATAGAGTCCAGCATTATATCATTGTTTAACAGTAAATCTCCCAGCCTGGGCAATATGGTGAAACCCCTGCTCTACAAAAAAAAAAAAAAAAAAAAATTAGCTGGGCATGGTGGCTTGCACCTGTAGTCCCAGATACTCTTGAGGCTGAGGTGGGAGGATTGCTTGAGCCCTGGAGTTTGAGGCTGCAATGAGCTGTAACTGTGCCACTGCACTCCAGCCTGGGAAACAGAGCGAGCCCCTGTCTCAAAAAAAATAAACAAATAAAAATAAGTCTCTCTTTCTGATAGAAGGCAAAGAGCTACATAAAACAAGACAGGAAGGATTTGGACTCAGAGGTAATCCCCTTATGGTAGTGAGCATTATCCAGGTAATACTTAAAGTAGTTTAACCTTCTTCTTCTATACCATTCTGGTACCAAAAAGTTCAAGGAAAAATTGACTGATCCCTAAGATAGGTCTAGTCAAGGACAAATCAACTCTTTTTCTCTTTAACCCACAGTAAAGTATCATTCCATGTTTCACAGCTCCTGGCTGATCTTTTCAGCAATTTGCTGCTTAAAGTCTACTTATCTGTCAATCACTCTTAACTTCATTTTGCACAGCTGACTGGTGCTATCACAGCATTCCTTTTATTAATGCATTTAATAGTTGTGGCTTTGAAAGGCTGCCAGCACAGAGGAACAGCTGCAAATATTACTACCCAGCCAGACTGTCCTTTTCTTGAGCTGCCTCCAACTACCATTTGCAATTTTTATAGTCTGGATTCTCTGCTGGTCTGACTGTAATCATTGGTTTTCAACAATATATTTCTCTCGGTAGATTCTTTGTTTCTTACCAGTTGTATTATTGGATTTTCCAACAAATGTTAAATAAAGGTCCATACCACATTGTTTACCATTTCAAGCTTCATATGAAATAATTCCTATAAGAAGCTTACACTATATTGGTGGATTGAAAGGCAATCAAATAGCATAATAAATAAGGGAAAATGGAGATTTAACTGGGAGACGATTTGGCGTGGTGGGAAGACACATGTAAGTTCAAATTCCAGGACTGCCATTTACTGGCTGTGTGACGATGGATAAGTTACTTAAATTCTGTGAGTCTCATTTCCTTTAGCTGTAAATTGGACACAGGAATACCTACTTTGCATAATTTAATAACAACAAAATGCATATGAAAAGCAACTGGAATATGGTAGGCACTCTGTGGTTACTATTTTTAGTAATGATAACTATCTTTTAATAGTTTTAATTAATCATTAACAATTCACAAAGGAAAATGCTAGAAATACTAGGAATATGCAGTTTCCAAGATTTGGGTTTTGACTTCAATCCTAGGAATCAACAAGAACAATATGGCTGCTTTTATCCACATGTTCAGGGTAAGTGGTGTAAACTAAAAATAAAATTCTAAGTCCCCCAACTGACCGAACCAACCATCTCTTGGCCAAGGGGATCCCAGAGTAACCTTAAAAACTGAATTCTTCGCCATAATGGTGTCAGAGGTGTTCAAACCAGAGCGACTCTATCTTGAATAGGAGCTGAATAAAATAAGGTTGAGATCACTGGGCTGCATTCCCAGGAGGTCAGACATTGTTAGTCACAGGATGGGAGAGGAGGTGGGTAAGGCCTGGTATCACAAGATAAAGGTCACAAGAACCCTGCTGACAAAACGTGATGCAGTAAAGAAGCAGGCCAAAAACCACCAAACCCAAGATGGTGACAAAAGTGACCTCTGCTCATCCTCCCTGCTCATTATATCTAATTACAATAAATTAGCATGCTAAAAAGACACACCTACCAGAGCCATGACAATTTACAAATGCCGTGGCAATGCCAAGAAGTTACCCTATATGGTCTACAAGTGGAAGGAACCCTCAATTCCAGGAATCGCCTGCCCCCGTCCTGGAAAACTCATAAATAATCTACCCTTTGTTTACCATATAATCAAGAAATAACTATGAGTATACTCAGTTGAGCAGCCCATACCACTGCTCTGCCTATGGAGTAGTCATTCTTTTATTCCTTTACTTTCTTAATAAACTTGCTTTCACTTTACTTTATGGACTTGCCCCAAATTCTTTCTTGCATGAAGTACAAGAGCCCTCTCTTGGGATCTAGACTGGACTCTTTCCAGAAGCAACAGAATCGGGGGAGTAAGACACATCTTGTTGAACCCCATCCCTTGCTAACTAAGCTGATTAGCTTCGTTAATAGCTAAGAAAGCTATTGGGCTTTCTTCCCTAAGGGCTAAACAGAAACCAGACCTTTTCAAAAGACTCCTCCTCTGATACGACCCAACCACCTGACCCTGCCTCTCCTTTTTCGCCAGATGAGAGACTACCAACCACTGAGTTGGCCAGTCCACAGAGAATGTGCAGAAAGGGTTTCCACGTCTTCGGCTTCACTTTTTGACGTCAGAGGGGTGAAAACTTCACCCTCAGATCATGTTGAGGCTGCCATTTCTTGAATATGGGTCAAATGAAGGGGCACGAAGCTCAATTGCACATGCACCTATTTCTCCTCTTATAAATATTCATAACTCCTCCTATAGCTTATTGAATATGTATATTTGGCCACCCTGTTGATTATAAATTCTTGTTCTCTTTGCCCCTCCCTTAAAGTGTCTGTTCCTGGCATCTGGCCAGAGGCTATGCTGCCTAGCCTGTGAGAAGGTCACCCTGCAGGCTGCAACCGTTTATGAGAAATAGAGCTCTCCTTTCCAAATTCATGAACCTTATCTTTCTCCAGTTGAGAGTGGGTAGGACTATTTGTCAGACTCTTTCCTCCTCACTTCTCGCTTCCTCAGTTATGCCCACTGTCTGTTCTGGCCATTCATGCCCCGATTCACAGCCACACCCAAAAGAAGGGGAAAGCTCCAAGCAAGAGGGATGGTGCCACCAATAATATCCACAAAAGCAGCCCAGATCCTGAGAGAAGGCCTTAGGGCTATGCTCACCTGGAGCCTAGAGCTGTCTGCAGATTTCTGCAGGATGAAGATGAGGCTGTCTCTTTCTCTCCCCCTCCTCCTGCCCACCAGCTTTCTTTAAGAGGCTCCAGGGGAAAAAGCAGAAAGCAATAAAGCCGCATTGTAGAGCAATGACCCTCCACCTCTTTGTAACTTCCAGTAGATTGTCCCTGACTCTCCCTGTACAATTCTTTGCTATAACAAAAGACCCTAATTAGCTGATTGGAATTTCTAAAGCCCTATTCACCAACAGCTCAACTGTTACAGCTGAATGGATGGACCAGTTCAGTCAAGCAGCAACCGGTTTACTCCTTCCTCTGCTCAATTAGGCCTCTAGAATGTTCATCTTGGAAAGGAAGTTAATAATCAACTAATTAATCCCTCTCAATCTAAAAATGAGTACACCGAGGCTTAATGAAGTAAAATGGAACTTGAGTGAGGTCACACAGTCAGCAGCAAAGCTGCAGCAGAAGACCTTCGGGTTTTACATGTTACTACCACAGAATGTAATTGGTTTATTTTTATTTAAAAAATTTTAGTTGTATTTTTTAAGTCTATTTAAGATAAAGAATCACACTGAAATGGTCCCTTTTCATACAACTATTTCTTGTTCTTTGATCTTGGGAAAATTACTTACCTTTCTAGATTTGGAAGGCATATCACAAAAGGGACTGAAGAACATAAAAGCTAGTTATAATACAAATAACAAAATAAAAAGCAAGTGCAATGAAAAGCCTATGGCACGGTGGTGGAGTGACCAGCAATAATCTTCAAGGCCTCTTCCAAGACTCTACCTAATTTTCTGCAAATAATTTTGTACCCAAAACGTTGAGTCTCTTACTCCAAAATGTATAAACTTTAGGCTCCACAAAACCTGGATTTGCCCTTTGAAAGGCAGCACGGTATAGTGGAAATTCTCTCGAGTCAGACTGAATTAGGTTCAAATCCCCTCTGCCGTTTACTAGCTGGCTGACCTTGGAGAAGTTACTTACAATCTCTGTACGTCTATTTCCTCATCTATAAAATGCAGATAGTGAAACCAGTTTCCTAAAGTTGTTGGAAAGGCTTAAGAAAGGTAATGTAGGAAAAGCTTTTGGCTTAATGTCTGGCCCACAGCAAACCTGAAGTAAAGTGTGTCTTGTCTTATATTAGGAGGTTGTCTGATATAATGATTAAGAGCATGGGCTTTGGAACCCCATAAACCTACATTCAAATTCCTGCTTCATATTGTAGTACTAATTTTGTTATCTTGGGCAGCTTAGTCTTTCCAAGACTTAGTTTTCTCCACTTTAAAATGGGAGTAATAACACTTAACTGACAGAGTTAAGATTAAATGAGATAGTATAATGTGCTTAGCAGAGTGACTGCTTTGGGCTGCAAGTAATAGCCAGAAAACATTCAAAATGGCTGAAAGCAGTGGCTTTCAAACTTTTTGGTACAACACACAGTAAGACATAGATCTTAATACTGTTCCTTAGTGCACGTATCCACATTATCACAGAACTACTGTGGGACTCAAACTCAATAATGTATAGGACCAAGCTTCATACAATGCTCTAGAATGGGAAAATAGTGTGGTGGACCTGAATTCAGCCTTTCCCAATAAGCATGAACAGCACTGGCATCTCAGTAGGCCATGTGGTTGTGCTTTTCCTCAATTCTCCATTTCATTTTGATTCACTGAGTTCCTTTTTTCCCACAGAGTGTGGAAGAGAAAAAGAAGACTTAAGTATATAAAAAACTACCTGAATGTACTCAATCTGATTCTGATCACATGTTGATTTTGAACTTAGTATTACCTAACACATCTACATCCTGCTGCTGAAATAGTTCAATACCAAATTGTTCATTTGGGTCAAGGTTGGACCACAGTATTATCTCTTCCACTTTTTGAAGAAAGGCACTATCCTACTTCTCCGATTATGGACCCATTAGTTTACTGAAGATTCTTTTTAAACAATAAGCCTGTTTCTTCTGTGATAAATTTCCTGTGTGATGTAAGCTTTTGTTTCTCAAGCCAGTACTTTACATGAGGGATAAATGCACAGTAGAAATGATTATTCTATTACTGACCTTTCATCATTCTGTACCAAATTCAATCAACAATAGCACAGGGTAGTAACTTTTAATAACATTGCTTGCCCTTTGATGAATTATGAGTTAAAGTATATGGGTTCGATAAACCTCTTCAGCTAATGATGCTTGTTTTGTAGGCTACAATTCATGTAGGGGGAAGTTTTGTGTACATTGCTTCAGTATAAGATCCTTGTTCACCTGAAGATGCTCCATTAAGACATCCATTGGTTTGTTAAAAAATGCACAGTTGTTGATAACCTGATTGTGTCCATTTTATTTCCATTGCTCTTAGAGCTTCAACTAGCCTGGGTAGATTTGGTGGGCGAGGTGCAAGATGGTAGATAAAGGGACATCACTGTTACTTGACCATGCATTTTCTCTGCAGCAAAATAGCATCAGGGCAATCACTGGGGCATTTTCGAGACCATCTTTTATGGCTTGTCTAGTGGGTTGGGAGAAGCCCTTTTCTTGGTGGTGTTTGATGTTAATTGGCAGATATTTTGTGTAGGATGTTGACAGAGTCAGTCACTTTATCATATTTTAAACACATGCTCTTCCAATCCTTTCACTTTGGATGCATTGAACATTTTAATCATACCTGGTAGTGTACACCCCAAGCTGAAAACTCCAGGAAGTACGGCATCAACATAAAGGAAATCTCTTAAAATCAAACTCATAGCACTTGATTTTTTATTTCATGCCAATACACAATGGAAATTGTCATTTGAAAACCGTTTGTTTATGGCTATTAGGCCTAGTATTAGATCTCTTGAAACTTAGAACCCTGGAAGGCATTACATACCTCCTGGTTAGAACCTTCTGGTCCTGAGGGAATATTGACATATCACCCACCTGGTGCACCACTGACACCTATCAGAATTCATAGCTAGGATCTCCTAACAAGTTGGACAATAAATGTGTGGAACACAAAAACAGGGGTATATTTAAATTGAATCTTAATTATATAAAGCCATTTTGGGATGAGCTGGAAGCATACCCTCTGTGTAAAGAATGGATAAACATCCTATTTTATACTGATAGGATTCTATGATGAACTAAATAGGCCTTGCTAAGCAACAGCTTCTCCTGTCCAATATACTTACAAGAAAAAAGAAGACCGAAGATCACTTATTATCAACTGCAAATGCTAACTTAGGCAGAAGTCCTCCGATGTTCATTGACTCATATTCATCATCTCTGTATGGACTGAATAATTTAATTACTTAATGGTAGATTCCGTTTACTAGTTCAACTTGGTGGGTTCATCAGGAAGGTATATTACTTAATACTAAACAGACCATAGGTACAGTATTTAAATGAATGAATGGCAATCCTGATGTGAAATTCTTCCATGTTAAGGTCATTGCATATAGTAGTAGATTTTTTTTTTCATGGTCATGGAGATGAGGCAGTCATCAACCATATTTATCAGCACATAAGATATATAACATATAGGTAACTTCCCAGCTTTATGAGGGAAATTTTGGGGAAAAAAATTTGTAAGAACTCTTCACCACACGATTTATAGGTTTAAAGTTCTCTAATGTTTTAAAAGCATTTAAAGTCTCCCTAAAGTTCTCTAACATGTAAAAAACAACTAAAGTCTCTTTAAATGTTTTTTACATACAGAAAACCATTTTGTTCATATAAGAACTGCATATTGGTGTTAGGCCAGGAGTGGTGGCTCACATCTCTAATCCCAGCACTTTGGGAGGCTGAGATGGGCAGATCACCTGAGGTCGGGAGTTCGAGACTAGCCTGGCCAACATAGTGAAACCCCGTCTCTACTAAAAATACAAAAATTAGCCTGGCATGGTGGCGGGTGCCTGTAATCCCAGCTACTCGGGAGGCTGAGGCAGAAGAATCGCTTGAACCTGGGAGGCGGAGGTTGCAGTGAGCTGAGATTGCGCCACTGCACTCCAGCCTGGGTGACAGAGTGAGACTCTGTTTCAAAAAACAAACCAACCAACCCTGTATATTGGAGGTAAAATGAATGAGAACTTCCTTCTATTTTACATCTTTTTGAGTTGACCACAGTATAGGCACACTAGAGGCACAATAGCTTTTGTACATGTTTAGGCATGAGATGTGGGTGCCGTGATTTTACTAAGAGGTTGTGAACCCTCCAGTTTCTCAAAGCATGTGAATCTGTCCAAATAAGTAATACCAAATATCTGTGTTTAGGGAAGCTGAACAGAATTACAACATTCAATTGTGGCATGTCATCTTTAATCAAAAGCCTGGTTAAGAAAAACAGGCACAGAGGATTTCTTGAAGGATATGTAGTCTACTCATTCCTTTAAACTTTTAGCTTTGATGATTGTTATCTTTCTAGATCAAAAGAGAGAGTCACTCCTTGGACCATGCTCCTTCAGCTCCTTGCTGACCTGCATTTCTCACCATACAGTTTAACTCTAGGCCCCTATTGAAAGATCCATAAAAGGAAATTGTCCGCAACTTGCTGTATATGTATTGTATGAAGGTTTTGAGAATTTAAAAATTTCTGAATACACAACTTCTACTTCCTAGAAGAATTTTTAAGAATTTATGCCAGAAAAAGTGTTTCTCCTAATTTAACTTTTGAAAATAAAAATCGCGTATTTTTAAGGTGTACAAATGGATGTTTTAATACAGTGAACTGCAGTCAAGCTAATTAACCTATATATTTCTTCAGTCACCATTATGTATATGGTGAGAACATTAAAATATATTCTCTTAGTAAATTTCAAGTACACATTATTAACTATACTACCCATGCTGTACATTTGATCTTTAGAACTTATTCATCCTGTATTACTGAAACTTCATACCCTTTGATAAACACGTCCCCATTTCTCCTGCCCTCCTGCCCCTCATAACTACCACTTTCTTAGATTCCACATATGAGATCATGCAGAATTTTTCTTCTGTATCTGCTTATTTCACTTAGCATAATGTCCTCCAAGTTCATCCATGCCATTGCAAGTGATGTTATTTTCTTCTTTTTAAAGGCTGAAGAGTATTCCATTGTATGTGTGTGTATAAAACAATTTCTAGGCTGAGGTGGGAGGATCGCTTGAGCCCAGGAGTTGAAGACCAGCCTGGGCAATATAGTGAAACCTTGTCTCTACAAAAAAAAAAAAAAAAAAAAAATTAAAATTAGCTGGGCCTGGTGGCACATACCTGTAGTCCCAACTACTCGGGAGGCTGAGGTGGGAGTATTGCCTGAGCCTGAGAGGTCAAGGCTGCAGTGAGCTGTGATCATGCCATTGCACTCTAGCCTGGGCAACAGAGCGAGACTCTGTCTCTTAACAAAACAACACAACAATTTCTTTATCCATTCATACATGCATGGACACTTCAGTTGTTTCCATTATCTTGGCTATTGTGCATAATGCTGCAATGAACATGAGAGTGCAGATATCTCTTCAAGATATTGATTTTTTTTTCTTTGGCTATACACCCAGAAGTGGGAGTGCTGGATTATATGTTCGTTCTATTTTTAATGTTTGAGGAACCTCCATACTGTATTCCATATGGCTGTACCAATTTACATTCCCCCAACAGGCATGTAAGTGCTCCCTTTTCTCCATATCATTGCCAGCACTTATCTTCAGGTGTGAGATGATACCTCATTGTGGTTTTGATTTGCATTTCCCTGATGATTAAATGATGTTGAGTACATTTTCATATGCTTATTGGCCAACTATATGTCTTCTTTGGGAAAATATCTATTCAAGTCCTTTGCCTATTTTTAATGTTTTGTTGTTGTTTGCTCTTGAGTTATATGAGTTCTTTATGCACTTTGGATATTAACCCCTTATCAGATATATAGTTTAAAAATATTTCCTAAGTCCATAGATTGCTTTTGCTCTTTGTCTACTATTTCCTTTGCTGTGCAGAAGCTTTTTAGTGTCATATAATCCCATTTTATTTTTGCTTTTGCTCTTTGTCTACTATTTCCTTTGCTGTGCAGAAGCTTTTTAGTGTCATATAATCCCACTTTATTTTTGCTTTTGTTGCCTGTGCTTTTGGTGTCATATCCAAAAAAGTCATTGATAAGACCAATGCCAAGGAGATTTCTTCCTGTTTTCTTCCAGGAGTTTTAGAGTTTCATGTCTTATAATGTCTTTAATCCATTTTGAGTTGATTTTAAGTTGTAAGATAAAGGTCCAATTTCATTGTTTTGCAAGTGGATATACAGTTTTCCCAACAAAATTTGCTGAAGAGACTGTCCTTTTCCCATTGTATATTTTTGGCACTCATGTCAAAAATTGCCATACATGTATGGGTTTATTTCTGGACTCTAGTCTGTTCTACTGGTCTGTTTTTATACCAGTACCATGCTATTTTGATTACTATAACTTTATAATGTAATTTAAAATCAGGAAGTGTGGTGCTTTCAGTTTTGTTCTTTTTCGTCAAGATTGCTTTGGCTATTCAGGGTCTTTTGTGGTTCCATACAAATGTTAGGATTGTTTTTCATATTTCTGTGGGTAATACAATTTAAAAATTTTGATAAGGATTATACTGAATTTGTAGATTGCTCTGCATGTTGGGAATTAAGGTAGTATGGTGGGTAGGAAGCTCTAGTCCACATCTGTGTATTCTAGCAATTATATAGGCCCTCGTGGTGATTTTTATGTACTAACTTTATCCTTGCATTCACCTTGTAAGGCAGTTCTTATTGTCCCTTCATCCTAATTTCTTTATGCATTTTTACATCTCTATCCTATTGTATGAATGTATGCAAACTACCTCAAATGCCATTAGGATGGATATGAAAATATGGGTGGAAATTTAATACAGACATTAAATGATATTTATAACCATGTCTAAATACAGATATTAAATGATATAACAATTATGACAAGGCAGTTATAAATAACTTTTTTTCTTAGTAATATATATTTGCTTTTTAAAGTATATTAAAGAGCCACCATATCTAGGGTTAGCTAGGAAAAAGCAATGGCACCATCCTGGGAGTCCACCCCTCTGAAAGATTTTTGATTAGTCTCCATGTTGCAAAGTCCTCCAGTTATTCATGTACATTTTATCCTCTTAGTAGAAGATAAGGGTCTTGTCTTTTCACCCACAAGTTGTACAGAAGAGTGTAAAGAACATGCTCTGAATGTCAGGAAGTGAGGATCCTGGGAGTTTAGCTCTGCAAGTAGTCCTGTAAAGGGCCTTGGACAAGTCATTCAACCACTCTGAGCCTCAGGGACTAACAGCATTAAAATGAATGAAGTGGTTGGAAGGAATCATTCTCTCTTGTCCCCTATAGCCCTATAGGGGTTTTAATTCGAAGACCATCTGTCTATATGGAGTAGAAATGTTTGCCTTTCATTCTCTCCTCATGCTAATTCAAGTTACTTGTCAAACCCAGTTCTCTGTACTGGATGCATGATGCCTCCTCACTCTGCCTCTAGGGCACTTTCACTAGTTAACTCTTACTAGGCATTTTATGAAAGTGCTAAATGCCATTGCAGTAATGCAGATGATATCTAAAGGAGGAAAGAAACAATGCAAAACAATCTCATTGTGCAATACACTTTTATTTTCCTTTTACCTTTGCAGTCATCTTCGAGTAATCGTTGTGTAAACAATAGAATGGAATGAAATTACATTAAATTGTATGCAAATGGCTCTAGAACACCTTAACAATTATGACAAGGCAATTATAAATAACTTTTTTTCCTTAGTAATATATATTTGCTTTTTGAAGTACATTAAAGAGCTGCCATATCTAGGGTTAGCTAGGAAAGAGCAATGGTACCATCCTGGGAGCCCACCTCCTTGAAAGATTAGACTCCAATTTTCAAAATCCTAAGGTTTACTAGTTCCATAATATACAGTCAAGCAGAGGGCTACTTGGGTTGAAAGTATTGATTCTTGAACCTTAACAGCGTTTTACCTTTTAGTCATTGCACAAAACCCTTCCAATTTTCACTCCACCTGGGTATTCTGCAAAATTTCAAGTAAAACTCAGATTCTGATATTTTCAAGTTTATCACCTTTAGAATAACAAATCCTATCACTTAAGGAGAGCCAAATCAGAGATGGGTATATAGTTAGCAATCTAACAGAATGGCAACATTTTACATAGCATTCTAAACGGTCCAATGAAGCAAAACTTAACATATGCCACCTTATATAGAGGAAATTTTAGATCTGAGACTATTCCAGAGTAAAGCAGCCTCAGGCACATTCTTAATGTGAAAGTTTGCAAGGCACCTCCCTCTCCCAAGAGACAGTCAGATTGTAAATTGGTTTTTAGGCAAACAGACTAAAAGAATAAGCATCCAAATTCCTAATTCAGTCATTTCAAAATTTAGAAGTTACAAATACTCCAAAGACAGACCCAAAACTTTTTGTTTAAATAACGAGATTAACTGCAAGAAGCATATAATCAAAACCCTTTTTTTCTTATAGCTAAGGTGTGTAATGCATAAATATATGAAAAATAAAATTCACAGTCAGTTTTAAAACTAGAATTCAAGTTTGGCTAATAAATCTTAATTTTATAAGTATATTAATTTCTAAATACAACATAAAAGAGGCAGTATTGTCAGATGTACAATTAAAGTATTATAACAGAAATAACAACAATGAAAGGAGAAATAGGCTTCTGGATAGAAAATTCCTTTTGTTGCCAATAAATAAGACCACCTGAGTGTATTTCAGATTCTTTTCACTTAAGGGATATCCAAATTGATTGCTAAGAATATTAAATAGCTTTTGGAAAAATGAGCAACAGTCGTGCAGCTGTGGCATTTGCTTGTTCTTGTACTGTGGATTGCTAGAGAATAAAGCAGAACTCGGAGTGTTGTAAGTTTTAAAAAATTATTTTTTTATCCCATTTTGTTGAAGCCGGCCTCTTCACAATCTTCTGATTTTGCTAGGAAATGGGAGTGAGGGGGTGGGAGGAAATGGGCAGAAAGAGGGAGGGTTGAAGGGAGTAGGGGTGGCGGTGGGGCATGACAGATCAGGGTGACATCAAGGGACATACATCAGCTGACACTCAACTGAGCAAACCCAATCAGCTTCACTTCATCAGGAATCTCCGACCCATCACAGCCAGAAGCCTGAAAAGGGAAAAAGAAAGCCTCAATGCTGGTTTGCTGCTGCTGCTGGTTGTTAAAGTCTTGTTCCTATGATGGCAGATCTAAGCAAAGGCACAGTTGGTATGGGACCATGTGTCCCATTTCTTCCAGAAGAGAGACGCCAGCCACTCTCTCGAATGACTACTGGAAGCTAAGTGCTGTCAGCACTGTGGCCATCATGCTATGAAGTACAGAACAGAGGTGGGAAGGGATTTGTTATCCATTAAAATACCATGCCCAGGCTGGAAGCTTTGGAACAGTCAGTGAAACACCCCTGCTAAGAAACCACAAACAAATTTTTCAAAAACTAAATAAAATTATTTTAAATATACTTTCTAACTAAATCACCTTAGTAATCATTCTGAGAACAACATGAAAATAAGCAGAAGAGATCTAACAGGTCACCCAGGAGTAATTTAGTTTTTACCAAACTCATTTCTTCTATGAAACTTGCCAGGAAAAAGTCATCACCAAGTACTGCGATGGGCTCATTAGAGAGAACTGCTATATAAATACCAGTGAATAAGTTTTACAGGGAAAGGTATTATAACAATTCTTTTCTATAAAAGAATTTTGTTTATATTTTCAGACATATTAATTGCCTAAAATTGGCAAAAATTATGGTGTGTCAAATACTTTATTTTTCTTACTTCAGAATCAGACAGAACTGGAAAAAAGCCATTGCCTTGGCCAGGCATGGCGGCTCACGCCTGTAATCCCAGCACTTTGGGGGGCCGAGGCAGGTGGATCATGAGGTCAGGAGATCGAGACCATCCTGGCCAACATGGTGAAACCCCGTCTCTACTAAAATACAAAAAATTAGCCAGGTTTGGTGGCACACACCTGTAGTGCCAGCTACTTGGGAGGCTGAGGGCTGAGGCAGGGGAATCACTTGAACCGGGGAGGCAGAGGTTGCAGTGAGCCGAGATCGTGCCACTGCACTCCAGCCTGGCGACAGAGCGAGACTCCACCTCAGAAAAAAAAAAAAAAGGAAGCCATTTCCCTTCAAACCTCTCACTGGTCCTAATTAATAAGTTATTTCGTTTTTCTTGTGACCTCTCCCCCTTGCTTGCTTTTAGACACACACACACACACACACACACACACACTCTCTCTCTCTCTCTCTCTCTCTCTCTCTCTCCCCCCCCGCCCCCTCAGATCCACCATTCTAAGCTGCCTCTCATCCTATAGTACATAAATCAGAATTGGACATTACATAAGAACAACAAGGAAGGGAGAAAAAAGTATGATGAATGACTGGGAATGGGCAATTAATTACCAAAGGATCATACAAACCTTTTCAGAGCCTAATTCCTGCTAAATTATTGTCACAACAATTAGTTTCCCATGGAAACGTGCCCTTTCCAATCACCACAATTAAGCTGCATAGCACTGCTTGTATACATTTAGAATATGTACTATACTGTTTTTTGAACTGTACTGTTCATAGTGTACTGTTTTTTGAACTGTTCAAAAAAACAGTACAGAAAACCAGCATCAACTCTAGCATTTTCTATTAAATAATCAGCTAACTATAATGTTTGTACCTTGAATATTTTCAAATGATTATCTTTAAAATAACATCCTATGTAAGTAGTTATGCTTATGTAAAAAAGTCACTAGCCTAAAGGATAAAAATATTAATCAGTATTTAAAGAAAGGAATTTACTTTGTACCTATCCAGTGATATCTCTGGTTTCATCTGACAGATAAAGATGTTCAGAGAAGTAAAATTGTCATTGTTTGTGTTGACAGGGGCGATGAGGTCTGAAATGCTCTTCTCCTTATCACTTTCAACAAAGTAGTACAGGCATAGAGGGCATTTTGGCTGAGGTATTTCTGGTGGTGTCACACTGACACTGTAATATTCACCTTCCCTATCCATTTTCTCCTTGTGTTATCACTGTTTCTTTATCTACCTTCCTAAATCATCCCTTCTCTCTCATGTGTAGCTCTTGTTAACATCATTTACTCAACCCACTGAATAATGGCAGACAACCTGTGTAATTAACAGGCAACTGACAAACATCCAAAGACAAACTATGGCTGCTGGTGGTGACAAAAAGGTCACATTGCCAAATGTGAAGTACACCAATGTACTTCAAATCTTCATCAGAAATTTGGCAATGTGAATATCAGGAGGTTAAAATGACTAGAATAAAACTACAATATCCAATAGTGGTTGAACTGACTAGAAATGAGAATATTAAATCCTTTCTTGTGAAGAGTAATGGAAATGAGAACTTACTAGAGTAGGTGATAAACCAGTGGTTACGGTGAGAACATCACAGAAGGAGTCTTCACAAAGTTCCTACCCACCCTGGGTCCTCAGTGCCTCCCATAGCTACACTGAAATGTCTGTCTCCTGGCCAGGACCTTTGGCTGTGTTTGCTTCAAGGCGCTCAGCCCTCCTTCCTCTGCTACCTGGGCTCTCACTGCTGAGTCCAGGGCTCTCTCAGCTTGCAAAGCACAAATGAGGGTGATATGCAAATGACTCTGAAATTCAGAGAAAGGAACCAATGACCCTTCAAAACAGCAATGTTCAAACTTTGGGGTCTTAGGATCTCTTGATACTCTTCAAGAATTACTGAGGACTCCAAAAAGTGTCTGCTTATGTGGGTTATATTCGTTAGACTGACTGTCTTAGAAATTAAAGCTGAGAGATTTAAAAAGTATTTTAAATATATTATTTGAAATTATGTCAAGATATTGAAGTAATAATATAAACAGTACATTTAAAAACATAAAATAGGTTTACATAAATTAATTATACTATCTTAAATTAAAACTAAAACATTTTAAAAATATTCCTTTACTAATTCATTAAACTTAACAATAATAAACTCATTACATACAAACATAAATAAAATCTTCATGGAAAATAACCATAGTTCCCCTACCCACTGCAAGAAAACTCAAAGAGTGGCCTGACTTCTACATTTCCTCTTTAATGTCTTGCTTAATAAAAGACAGCTGGATTCTCATACCTACTTCTGTATTCAATCTACTGTTTTATGCTGTTTTCCTTGAAGCACATGAAAAAAAAATCCAGCCTCATACAAATATATATGAAAGAGGGAAGAGTATTTTGATAGCTTTTCCAAATAGTTGTGGATATCATTTATTACTGCACTAGAACTTTCCAAGTGGCAATTTCTTTAATGTTAGTTGCAATGTACACTCTGAAACCACAGTATTGAAGTTTTCATACCCTGTTACCTTAAAATCTATTGGTCTACCTTGCACTTTGAGTGGATCTTTTACCCATGCATGACTTTAAGCATCACTGACTTATGCAGATCTTCTAAATGTTGACATGTTTCATTATACAATATGAACAATTCATTATACAATGTCAACAAATCATACCCATTAACATCACCCATCACCAATCTCATCAGAAAAGTCTTTAAGTACTGGGTTACTGTCAAGCTTACAGTAGCGATACAAGTTTTCCAAAATCCTATTTTTGCTTGAAAGCTTGAATTTATTATCAACAACAAATATTGTCAGATTTATTTATTTATTTATTTATTTATTTATATTTTTTGAGACAGTCTCACTCTGTCACCCAGGCTGGAGTGCAGTGGTGTGATCTCGGCTCACTGCAACCTCCGCCTCCCGGGTTCAAGCGATTCTCTTGCCTCAGCCTCTCGAGGAGCTGGGACTACAGGTGCCCGCCACCATGTCCAGGTAATTTTTTTTTTTTTGTATTTTTAGTAGAGATGAAGTTTCACCATGTTAGCCAGGATGGTCTCGATCTCCTGACCTCGTGATCCACATGCCTCGGCCTCCCAAAGTGCTGGGATTACTGGCGTGAGCCACCGCGCCCGGCCATCAGCTTTTTGTTTTTTTTTTTTTTAAGTGTCAGTCTTACTTCATTCTGAAAAAAATGTCTGCCAAATATCCGAGTCTGAAAAACCAGTTTGTCAGCTATTCTTTCAAGTAAAAATGATGTTTCATGAAGAAAGAAAAAACATGTAGGTAAGCTCAAACCAAACAATCTCACAAGTGCTCTTCCTGAAGACTGTCAATGTACACCCGTATAATGAAGGAGGGATTCCCACTTCATAGCACTGAACACTCAAAAGATGTGTCCTGTAGCTGAAATTCAATAAAGTCAATAATGTTTCCTGCCTTGTTAGGAAAATTCTCAAGTGAAATTGGCTTTGCTTTTTTACAGTGAGTGACAGTGCCTGGCTCTGAGGAACACAGTGACTATTAGTGCAGTCTGATGTTGCTGCATGTGTGCCGACATTACCAGTTTTACCCACCACGGCTTTACACCAACGTCAACACAGTGGAAAAGGCAAGTCACAAAGAGTTTTGACATCCAGGATCCCCTAGAAGGGTCTCAGGGAAACTCAGAAGTTTGAGGCCCACGCTTTGTGAGCCTCAATTTCAAAGTGAAGGAGAAGTTCAGAACACGCTACCCCAAAATATGCCACTCTTCTATTTCATGGTTTTGCGTTAAAGACACTTTAAAAAACAACAGCAGCAGATGCAGGAAGGGCCCTCTGACTTTCCTAAAAGCAGGAGTTAAAACTCCCAAGTGGAAGGTTTCCTCCCTGCACCTGGAAGAAGAAAGCTATTCTGATCACCAGAGATGGGGAGCTGAAGCCCCTGACAGACATCTACACAAACAAACCTTGTTAAACTCATCCTCGTGTTCCTAGTCACTTCTCCACGATGAACCCTCGTCCCAGCCCCCCACTGCCTTGCCCCCTTTCATCATTTATTGCTTCATCCAACTCAATATATGTGCTAAATTCTAACAGCTTCTTTGGGTCTTCATTTCTTTATGAGGCCTCTCATGTCATGTAAAACTTAGATTAAATAAATATGTATGCTTTTCTCCTGTTAATCTGTTTATGTCGGTTTACTTCCAGGCCCAGCCAAAAAACCCTAAGAAGGCAGAGATAACAGTTTGCCTCCCCTGCCAAAGGAAAATGTATACATTATCAGGGACCTAATGTGACAGCGTATGACATCATGCACGCTCTTACTCAGGGTGTATTCTGATTCCTGAACACTCCATCTCCTCACCCCTCCCGCCATGACAGCAGGTGTGGCCTGCACCCCATGGAGGAGCTGAAGTTATGGTTACCTGGCGTCACTGAAAAGGAATGCCTCCACCCCAAATGCGGGTGCATTTTGGAATCACTAGGAGAGTGTGAGGTGCCCCCACCCCCCCACCATAGAGTCTGAGAACCACTCGTCTATCCCAGTGCTTCCCAGTGTGAAACTACAAGTTTCCTTTAAAGCATTGGTTCTCAAACTTCAGCCTGCATCAGAATCACCTGGAGGGCTTGTTAAAACGGATGCCTGTGTCCCAGCCCCCAAGAGATTCTCATTCCTTAGTCCTGAGATGGGGTCTCAGAATTTACATTGTAATCCAGTTCCCAAGGGAAGCTGACACTGTCAGTCTGGGGGCCACATGTGGACAGCCACTCTTTTAGGCTGGGAGTAGGAGGCACAGAGACATGGACCTTCTGGAACTGGAAGTTTCCTTGAAGATCTTTGTCTCACTTTTCTACCCCTTCAGTAGGAGGAGAAAGTTAAAACGCTTAGGTAGTTTTTACCCAGTTTCAGGCTTGACTTTACCTGCACTTGGCAAAATGTTGCCTTAGTCATACAGCCTCCAATTATGCAGAAGCTAAGAACCTCTAAAAATAAGTCCGTTTAGTCACTGTGAAAATGCTTATGAAATTTCTATCTGCAATACATATAATGCTATTAAACTTCAGTAACTAAAGTCTATAATGCTCATGTTAATGTGTACCAATTAGATGTTAATTACATGTTCTCAAAATTTGTATTCTATCTTCAAAGGCAAATTAAGTGTATCTTATTTCATGTTTTTTCTAATGCAATTTCAAAAATTCCACATTGAAAGCAGGAAGATTCACCTACTTACAAAACTGCCAAGTAGTCCATTCAAAAATGGCTTAAAAATAAAGACCTGTCTCAAGGTTTACAACAATAAAACACTACTAAAAAAAAATACATCAAACTCAAAGCACATAATAGTTGAGCTGAAATGCCCTCTATGCCTGAACCACTTTGTTAAAAGTGAAGAGAAGAATCTGATCTCCCAGCCCCTGGCCATACCAACAATGGAAATCCTACTTATTATCTTCCCTGTGGAATGCTTCTCAGGGTTTGCTGAACACTGGAACCACCATGAAGTCCTTTTAACATTCCCAAAGCCCAGGCTGCACCAAGAGCAGTTAAATAAGAATATCTGTCGTAAGACCAGACATTAGGTCCTAAAACAGGACCCATTTCACATCTTGGGAACCCCAGGCTCTCTGGGGTTAATTTGCCCAGGATCACACAGTGGAGGCTGCAGACTCACCCCTGGTCTAGACTCAAAGCCCATGCTCTCAACAACCATTCATTCCTGGAGGCGCACCCCTGCGGCCCTAGGCATTAATTTTTTAAAGTGTCCCAGTGCTCCCCTGAGTGAAACCACTGTGCAGGGAGGTAAAGAACCACAGTATCATGACACTGCTGTTCTTTAGACAATTTTCAGGCCCCTGACGTTTTCCTTTAAAAAGTAATGAAAGGCACTGAGATGAAAATAATGATAAAAAGCTGAGAGATAAAGGGACCATGCGCAGCAGCAGCTTACGAGGAAAAACGCTGCTGAAATACTTTGATCTTTTATTCCTGAATAAAATAACCAAGTTGATGAATGAAGGTAAATACATTTGAATCTCTGCAGTTTATTGGGATGTTAGTGTCCTATGCAAGATCAGGCCAAAAACCAGTTCAAATTAGCTCTGCCAAGTGGATCTCAAACCGGCTGGCAGCTGATACCAACAAAGAAACCCTCCTGGGGCCTAACAAGGGCTGGACAGAAAGTTAAGTGACAGAAATAAGGTCCCTCCTGAGTTTGGTTTTCGTTAACCATCTTTATCTTTGGGGAGAATAAGCCATCAATTTCCATTTACTGTGAACACCACACTACTACGTTTTCAAGCTGTAATGGGAAGGAAAACACGGACTTGTTTCCAAAACTCCCCTGTGCCTGACAGGCCACTATTACTCAATCTGCTGAAGGTACAAAGGAGATTCAGTCTCAGCCAATGGAGATTCAGTCCCAGCCAATGTAAATGTACCCAGTCATCCAAAATGAGGAATCTACAAAATGACAGAAAACTGTACAGCCCTAAGGCTGCAGGGGTCTGCCTCCAAGATGAATGGCTGTTGAGAGCGTGGGCACTGAGGCTAGACCAGGGGGGAGTCTGCAGCTTCCAGACTCAGGATCTGTGTGATCGCTGTGTGATCCTGGGCAAATCCACCCCAGCGAGCCCGAGGTTCCCGAGATGTGAAATGGGCCTACTACCAGAGATAATGGTAAAGCAGGAGAGCTGGAGGAGTGGGGGCAGACCAGGCTTCATTAGCCTGTCCCGGGTGTGCGGTTTACAATAGGGCAGTGGAAACACTGTGTCTACCACATTTTGGGATTGTAGGAGGATTACTCTGGCTACAGGCACAGGGTGGTAAACAGAGCCAAAAGCTGACAAACTGGTGGCAGGAAGATTAGTTTGTGAAGATGAGAGAATCCTGCTTGGGTGCAGGAAATGGAGATGCAGGGAAGAGGACAGAATCCAGAGAGAATTTAAGAAACATATAAGCTGATTAGGAGATGAGGGAGAGTTTTACATTATTCTTATGGTTTACCTAGAGATTGTACAGCGGCTGTTTTCACAAAATCTTCGGTAGTAGGAAAGGGCCAGGGTTACTGTTCCTCTTTCATAATAAAATGAGAAAAGTCCAGCATGAGAGTTTCAAACTCTTATCTCTGTTTGCATATTACAAATTAGGAAAATGTTCTTGAGGTGGTATTAAAAAAATGAATAAAGGGACATATATTGGCTTGAAATGCTGACACAGGCTGCCATTTTCTCATCAATATACTCTCACATTAAAAAAAAAAAAAACACACACATTAAGAGGTGACAGTGTCATCCCAAACCAGAAAAGGGATTTTCCTATTTGTTAACCTAGCACTCTACATCTGAATAAAATGTTACTTTCTTATCAAAGCAAAAAGAATTCCTTCAGATATATCTTTTCTGTGAAAATCTTTGTGTTTTTCTTTTATCACACAGCCTAGCTATCTAAAATTAGATGGGAAGCAAGACCCAGGAAGTTAATTAGCACCAGGCTCACATTTACTGTAACTAATCATTTAGCATTTTTGGTCACCCACATTTTCCATTTAATTTCACAAATATAAAAAAGATCATCAATCTATGTTGTGCACAGCAAAGTGTTGGTCATCTAGATCTAAAATTGCTTCTGGGATTCTGACCAGCCTTTGATAAAATTAACTTACGATTTTTAAAATGTACCTTAATGTACTGTTCGCTAAAATTTTTTGGAAAACGGTCACTTTTGACTATCTGGACTTCTCTCCATTTCTGACCACCACCATCTTGGTCTCACAGTGACCCCAGAATGTCCGGCACTCTGTATCTCTGTGGCCACCTAGTACTTAAGTTTACAATCTACTAGTGCAGAATAACTGTTGAAATATCTCCTTTCTACAAAAATCTGTTACTGTTGATTTGAAATGTGGAAGTAAATTGTTGTGTCTTTGTCCGCCAGCCTTTGGTGAGTTGTTCTACAATTGCTTCCAATTACCTAAACCATTTCTACAACAATCAGCCTCTATTTTTAAAAGTTAGAACCACTTGGCTTTTGTCTTAGGAAAGCTTTATTAAGAGTGTTGCTTTGAATTCAGTGTAATTTTGTCTTTATGGTCAAGTTGCAATACAAACTGCAAGCAAAATGATCTAGGCTTCAAGATTCTTATATGGCCGCTCTTAGTCAAAGGTGTGACGATAAGAAAAAGCTATGCTCATAGAAGAGGACACTTCCAGTCACAATCAGAAAACGTTCCCTAACGCTGCAGAGTCAAATGCTTCCAAATGCAAAAATTGATTCTAAAAGAAAACAACAACAGCAAAATTACAGAGTAGGTTATTAAACTAGATTATTATTCCCTGCTGGCACAGCATGGCAAAATATTACCTCCTTCTTTCCATAACTTTCCACTTACCAACTTAAATGTCAATGTTTTTAAAGCTTTGGGATCATCTACAATCTTCTGTAAATTAGCAGCCACTGTAAAATATAAACGTAGAGAGAAAGTTTCCAGATTATTTCCAATAACAGTGGATTTTCACATCAATGACTCAGAAAATTTGACTAATGATGCAATAAACTGCAAAATCATTTTTCATAAACATTGCAAAGTCCATATAAATGACCAAATTACTCTCATACAGATATTTCTACAACAATTGATATCATTTCAGCAATCTTGTATCTATGCACATCTGAATTAATCACTGTATGTCAACTCTGCATTTCATATAATAAAATCTGAAATTTCTAACGGAAAGTAGAAATGATAGCAGCCCCCAGTGTTTCCGCCACTTGGCTTCTCTAAATATTCATTACTAAGAAATTTATTAGCCAGGAGAGGGCAGTACAAAACAAAGAGGAGAGGTAGTGGGGAGAAAAAAAAAACAAAAAAAAACAAAGGCTTTCTCTGGAAATAGAAGGTCAGCACATTTGAACCCCTGTCCTATAAATTCACTCAATTCTCTGAACCCATTTTTATCAAGGCAACAAAATACAGTGGATAACCTCTACAACTCAAGCGCATGTTTTAAGGCTTTCAGAGCACAGTGATCTGTCAAACCAGGGAAGTGCCACCTTGAATAATACCCAAGTTTGCTGAACAGGGTCAAGCACTAGAGTAGACGCTGTCAGTTTGGAGCTCAGTGCTGCAGATATGTTTTCAGTATTAGCTGGATTCATTGGAGATCTGTCCTTGTTCTTCACGGTGTAATGATCTATCTGATACTCCAGTAGAGAAGTCAGTTTTTTCTGCTTACTCCTCTGGCTCAGGGTACTGCTAATGAACAGAATTATCAAAAGCTAATGATGATGGAAACTTAAAACTTACTTTTTCCATGTCCACACCTGAAGTATAAAGTCCTGAAAGTCAAATAAGGGCTATTGCTTAGGGAAGGAGAAGTTACTGCTGAAGAAATTATGGGAGAATGTCGTGTTTGTCATTTTTATTTTTTTATGAGTAAAATTATCTGCTGCTTCAGTAGTTAGGTATTGAAGTTACCTGAATTTTTTAAGATAAAAAAATTTTAAGATAAAATAGTACACATACAAGTATTTTGAGAAAAGTGTTTCAAGTAGAAAAATTTAAGTAGAAAGTAGTAAGAAATCTGCGCAAGTTTTAATTTTCTCTAAGGTCGACTGACAACAACCTAGATACATGGATTTTCTGCAGATTAGTTTATTTCATTTAATCCATCAGCTGCAGAGGAGAAAAAAGAAAAATTATGTACTCAATATGGCCTATTTCTCTTTATAAACCATAATTGCAAGCATCATTTTATCTTCATTTGTTGCCCTTTTAATACTTCCATTCTGAGTGATCTGCAGTTTCATTTTTACCAACACTCCTCCCATCTGCCTCCTCTTTTTCTCCTCTTTCTTTTGCCCACATAAGCAAGCACACACATATCGGGTACACCCCAGGGCACCAATTCCAGAATAGTTATCATCGCAAAGCTTCCTGTGGCCTTTCAACAGTTTTCTGAACATATTTTAGACACTAAAATCATCAAGTCATTTATGCAAGAAACATTGGCTCATGGAGTGCAAAGCTCTGCTGTAAAATCCTGTCCACCAAAGCCAGTATTTATCATGTCAGGGCACTCTGACTACATGCAAATTACAGCAAATGAACACAGTACCCATTTTCTTAAAACATAAAAGTGTTCTAATAGTTCCTCTGATTTGGGCTGATTTCATGAGTGGCCATAAATTCTTCGTATAAATTTCAGTCCTTTCATTAGTTTCTCAGTTAATGTGGATGATTTACTGCCTTGTTCTGGGTCATCTATTTCCAGTCTGCTCTCTAATGTTCAGTCAAAAGCAGAGCTCTAGCCTACACTAATTCACAACCCTCTCTCCGGTGTACACGTATATATACAAGGGCCAATTTCCAGGGAATGTGTCAAGCAACTTGGAGACCTAAGGGCAAGATGGAGCTGCCTGCATCTTAAACAATCATCCCAGAAACCACACTCCCCAGTTGTGAATCTCACACCTCTGGGACATTAAAAATTCAAATTCTGTCTTCAGCTCAAAGTAAAAATAAGCAAAACTGGCCACTTACCTGATTACTTATCCCAGCTGCTAGGCTTATTTTCAATTTGGTTGATTCTAATTTGTTGTAAAGTGCTATAAAACACCTTCATTTAACTGACATCACATAAAATTCAGGGTGATGCTAATTTCTTTTCCAGTAGCAATGCTCATTAAAAAGATGGGTGTCACTGTTTCCTCCCATCTCCTGACTGTGCACCTGGATTTCAAAAATAAAAACGCTCCTTACCTGGAACGTGAGCTGAGAAGGAAGGGCTGGGTAGGGCTGGCTGTTGCTTTAGAGCTGCCTGAGCCTGTGCTGAGAACACTGACCTTTGTGTTGTAAGACACTCGAGTTTCTGGAAAATGTGGGACTTCTGAACCCTGCTTGCTCAGTAGCCACTGACTCATTTCAAATCCCTCTTGGTTTTCCCAAATAAAACTCATGCCCCTTGGTTTCTGCAGCAGACATTGTGCTATCTTCTTTGAACTAGTCCCTCCCTTCCCAGCCCACAATCTCTGCCATTTGGGCAAACAGGGACACCAATAATATGCACTGAGGCCCCCAGGGACTGTGGCCCTCAAGCCCTGTCACTAGGGCTTTACCAACACTCCTCCCACCCGCCTGTCCCTACAGGGTATCTTTATGTGAACAGTTAATTTTTTTTCTATTTTTTTGTTTCTCTGTATCATACTTTAGGCTTGAATACCTGTCAGGGCTGGAAGTTTCTATTTACTTTTTTTTTGTTTTGGAGAACATTTGGCCTAAGGTATGATAAGTATTGTTCTTTATGAAACTGTAACAATATCAGTAACAGCCACACGGAAAAGACGCTGATGCTCAGTACTTCCCTGAATCTAAACAGAAAGGGAAATAAGATCATCCTAGGGGTAATCCACTGGAGGCAAGGCAGCGGAGCCGACACTTTTTTGGCAAACTAAGTCAGGCATTCTCCAGACACTGTTTTCTGTATACATTCCTTGCACTATTCAAATTCTCCACATTTTTTAAAATATAATTTCAACTTTTATTTCAGATTCAGGGGTTCATATGCGGGCTTTTTACCTAGGTGTATTGTGTGATGCTGAGGTTTGGGGTATGACTGATCCTGTTACCCAAGTACTCAGCATAGTACTCAATACTTTTTCAACCTTGCCCCCCTCTCTTCTTCCCCCCTCAAGTAGGCCCTGGTGTCTGTTCCCTTCTTTGTATCCATGTGTACTCAATGTTTAGCTCTCACAAGTGAGAACATGCGGTATTTGGTTTTCTGTCCCTGTGTTAATTCACTTAGGATAACGGCCTCCAGCTGCATCCATGTCACTGCAAATGTCAAGATTTCGTTCTGTTTCATGGCTGTGTGGTTTTCCGTGCTGTATATGTACCACATTTTCTTTACCCAATCCACTGTTGACAGGCACCTGGGTTGATTCGATATCTTTGCTATTGTGAATAGTGCTGTGATGCACATACTATGCGTGTGTCTTTTTGGTAGAGCAATTTATTTTCTTTTGGATACACACCAAGTCATGGGATTGCTGGGTTAAATACTAGTTCTGTTTTAAGTTATTTGAGAAATTATTCACATTTTGACAGTTAGAAAAATAAGTTATATTACTATTTACAGTCTACGTCTATATTCTGAGTAATCAGTCAAAAGATACACTTTTTCCTGAGATACCAGCTTATTTCACAACAACCCCATGTTCTGGTAACAGTGAGTTAATTCACTTAATTCTAGCTGTTTCCAAACACAAGCTATGGGGAAAAGAGAACCAGTGAACACGGAGTCTAATGTACTACTTCCAATAGTAAGAAATTTCTAACATTAGACAAAAGCATGGTCTTGGGTTACCTGACAAGGTGATGACTTCAAAATATTGTTTTATCCAAAGAGACACCCTGAATAGATTGATGCAGAAAGGCAGCATGAGATTGCAAAGAAAGAGACAATCCAAGCTCTAAGTAAGGAGAAAAGGAGATGGTACGAGGGTAGGTTTCTTATGGATACTGCTAGAACACTAATATAAATTAAAATTTTATTTTAATTAGATTTCTTTGAAATCCAGCCACGCATACAGAAAACTTACTAACTCAGTTTGGGACAAAATAAAAGATTCACCCCATTATTTTCCCTAAATCTCCAGGCTCTTATCTTCATGGGATGCACTGTAGCACAGTGTATAAGAACCTGAATTCGTGAGCCAGGGTGCCGGGGTTCAAATCCTCCTCCTGCTCACAGCTGTGTGACCTTCCTGAACGAAGTTCACTTAGCCTCCTCTTTCTGCACAAGGCCATGCATTGGTCATTGGTGAAATGAAGATATTAATGGTGCCTCACTGATAGGGTTTGTTTTGAGGATTAATTCACACACATAAAGTGCTTAGAATAATGCTTGATGTATAGCAAGTGGTTAATAAATTATTCCTCTCTGCCCTGGACAATTGCAATATCTTATCTGGTTTACCTTGCCTTTGGTCTTACCTCCTCCGAGCCCTCTTTCTAATACTCACCAGAGTTACTGGATAACCTAGATTGAGAATTGGAGTGTGTTACCTCCTTGAGCAATGCTGTTTAACTGTTCCCATCAACTTCGGGATAAAGTCCAAATTTTTAACATGGTCAGTGAGACCCTCCATGGTCTGGCCTCGGCCAACCGCTCCAGCTTATCTTTTGCCATTTCCTACCCTGAATCCTCCCAGGAAAGGTTCCATAACTCCATTCTCCTCCAGCTCTCTACCCCTACACTCTTATCATCGTGTACTGAAATAATCTGTCACATACCTGATTTCCCCACTAGATTCAAACTCTGAAAACCCAGAAAAAATCTTATTCATCTCTGTAAAACATTCATCTTTGAAATATATCCACATACGCAGAAACGAATGACTTCTCACCACCTCCGCTGCTGCTCCCCAAGTGAGGCTACCACCAACTTGCCACTAGACTCGTCCAGTAGCCTGTGGTCTCACTGCTTCCACCCTGATCCCTCAATGGCCTAGACTTCACCCAGAGGGCAGGGGAGGCTTCTAACATGTAGGCAGACCATGTTACTTATCTATTCAAAACCCTCTGTTGGCCTTCCATCTCAGAGTAAAGCCATGGTCTCTACAATGGTCTACCAAACCCATCTGATCAGGCCTCCTGCTCCTTCTCTCCTCTTATCCCTCACCACTCTCTCCCTTGCTGCTCCTGCTCCAGCCACACAGCCTCCATGCTGACCCTGGAGCATTCAGGGCAGGGGCTTGCCCAGAACCTCTGTACCTGCCATTCCCTCTCCCGGAAATGTTCTTCCTCCATGACTCCATGACTGCCTCCCTCCCTTTCTTTCAGTTTCTGCTCAAATGTCCCTGGCTACCCTATTAACACCCCCACCATCCCGTCACTCTCTCGTTACCCAGAATTCTTCTTTCTCATAGCACTTATCACCACCTGATATGCTATATATATTTATACATTATTTCTGGATGCGGCCCTTTACCAACTCCACATACCCAGAAAATGAGCTCCAATGAATACAGGAACTGTTTTGTTCACTACTATGCTCCCAGTGCCTGACATAGACGGATATCAATCTGTGTTGAATACATGAATATATGGAAAAATGAATCTTTGTGATATCAGTGCCCAGCACAATGTCTAGTACACCGTATTTGGTAAATATCCTCAAGGCCCTCTCCCCAGGCACAAGCTCACAAAAGTTTGCATACAATTTAGAGGATTCTAAGACACTAAGAACCCCAAATTGAGACTCTCTGAAAGAAGAACTATTCCTGTTTTGGAAAGTTTCTACAAACGTTTGTCTCCTAAGCAATAATCCTATTCGTTTGCCCTGTTAAAGCAAAGTAAATACGGCCTGAGAAAGACTCCGTACTTCTATATTTGAGTCCTTGTGGATGAACTGCAACCTAACTTAATAAGCAGACAAGATTGAAAACCTAACTTAGGAGTGTGCGCCTGTAACAAGCTCAATCTCAGCAGCCATACTTCAACCAGTCATACACTGCTGAGTGTTCAAACTGTGTTCAAATAAGGCAAATGCTGAGCTGTAGCCAATCCAGTTGTTTCTGTACCTCACTTCTGATTTCTATATGTTACTTTATTTTTTTTGTCCATAAATTTGTCTGACCATAAGGCACCCCTGGAGTCTCTCTAAATCTGCTGTGATTCTAGGAGCTGCCCAATTTGTGAATCATTCATTGCTCAATTAAAGTCCTTTAAATTTAATTTGGCTGAAGTTTTTCTTTTGACAGATGGTGTCAGAAGTGGGATCTGAAGAAGAGCTTCTAATGACCCCCAGGAGCACTGAGTGAACATGCAAGGTAACTGCAGGACCCACTTGTATCCACTAATCTCTCGGAGCGGCTGGAGATAGTGGGTAAGTTCTCTCTCAGATTTTGGAGGTCCAGTGGATTTGTGTTTTGAGTTCTCTGAGTTTCTTTGAGCAAATTTCTGATCCAAACTGGGTTTGGAAGTCATGACACAAACTGGACTGGGTCTAGGAATGGATTTAATCTGGTAACTAACTGGCCTGGATCCAGTTAGAGGCCTCTTACATCTGACTAGGTCAGAAAGAAACTGGTAGCAAATGATAATATTGTAGGGGTGTAAAATTTGGCTTTTAAAATTTTGTGGGGATTTTTGTGTTCTACCCCTTTGTTTCATTTTTCTTCTGCACGTAGGTAGGAAAAAAATTATTTGCTAAGTTAATCAAGGGAACCCAAGAGAAAAGCCAATATTTTAGGTAAAAATGAGATCCTTAATTTCTGAAAAACTGAGTTCCTTCATGCTTACACATTAGGTACAGAAAGCAGTAGAGTCTTACAGAAATGGCTCTTACTAAAGGTAACTTACTGCGGAATGTTCTGAATAAACAGCAATGCATGGAAGTGCATTTAAAAATGAAAAATTAAATCTGCTAATCTTTCAGCTTAGTTACTATCCCAATACAAAGGAAAAAGACTGCAGCACCAACTGGCTGACTTTGGATAAGTAATGGGGTACATTTTACCTGAGTAAAGGAAGGGATAGGGTTAGAGGCCCTCCCCTCAGTAAAGTCTCTCTCAGTTAAAAATGGATTAAACAAGACAGGGCCCCACCAGGGGCAAGTTTGAGCCTTGCCAGTTCAATGCTGAGTGGCTGATGTCTGCGTTTTGTCTCATGTATTTTACTCTGGCCAGAACAAAAAATGTTAATTGGGTTACCCCATGCAACGCCTTGGGCAGCAACTTGCAAAATTGAGAGGCTTTTTGCCTGTGGTTGATGAAACAAACAAAAAAAAGATGATTTTCCTTTATGATGTGGCTTGGCCCCAGGGCTACAGTGTGGCAAGCAGGGTCACTAGGGCTGCTAAGGGAAAGGGAACCCAGAAGCCTGGCATGATGGCAAAAGGGTAAGAATTTCTTACCAGTCAGACTCTGGCCTCTCTCTGTGCAAACTGGTTTAATGAGTGGTAAAAGTCACTGTTTATCTCTCTTGTAAAGTTTTAATTACCACAAGAAAAGAATTCTGAGGCTGATCTTGAGCTATAGTAAATCTGGTGTATTTTGTGTGTCTTTCTGCATTGTTCTGCCATAAAGAGGGGTATCTTAGGATAAAACGTGTGCCTAGGACCTCATAAGCCTGCTGATGAAGACAGCCCAGCAAACTGGTCAGTTAGGTTCTTGGGAGCTTGATCTTGTAACCATGTGGCCTTGCTTTCTCTTTTCACAATGGCGGCCCGGGTTCAGGGTTCAATTCCTGGCTTCAGGAATGAGTACTTTCTGGCACCATAACTGTGTGGCCTTTACCATTTGTTAATTCTCTTCCCCTCCACGAACCATCTTAAATTTTCCTTTTTCTGAACACAGAAATATTGGCCATTTGGCTAGCCAGGGTTGGATAATAAAAGATTTAAAAGGACTTTTTGTAAAAAGGCGCTATAGTTGAAAGTCAGCTTAATAAAAAGTAGATATTAAAGCTTTAACAGCCTGGGACTCCTTGGGAAAAACAGGAGGTGCCAGAGACCCCATTTGGAAAAAAAATCTGTTTTCCTCATGGAACCCCAGGAATTAGATATGGATAAATCTCCCTCAAAATCTAAGGCTCTGGTCTTTTTGGGATCCAAGATCTAGTATAAAAACAAGACCCTTAATTTTTGGGCAGCTGTTTTGCCTTCCAGCTGTGCCTGCTTATTAGGCCCTAGAAACTGCATGCTTTCCTGGCCCTGTTCTTCCAAGGACTCCACCCTAAAGCCAGTAATCCAATTTAAAAAATTAAAAACTGACAAATAAAAAATTTGTCTGTGTAGTTATATGTGTTATGTGTGTAATGTTTATATAAAAGAGCTCTAATTAATTGGCTTCCAGAAAAATAAGTGCTTAAATATTTTGTCAGAAAAGTAAAAACTGTAATGTCTTAGTCCATGTAACTTTAGTAATCTTTGGGAAATAAAAACAGCTTTAAAGATTATTGGTAAAATAAAGACATTTGGACTAAATTAGGCAGGTCAGATATTAGGTTTGCTAAATGCTTTAAGGTCATAAACTGCTTCTTAGGCTTTTGAAAATTGTTCAGTTTACCTATTTTGGAGCATTAGATTCTAGATAAGGCCTGAGGACATTCAGAATTAGCCATGCCCCCTAGCTATGCAAAGAAGGTTATAAAGAAAATGGATTTTATACCAGAAAGGATTTTGTATAGTAAATTCTTGTCCTAAAGTAAAATAACTGGCTGTTTAAAAACAGGGATGTTCAGGACAAGTCAAGAAGTCCAAACATGGTCTGTGTAAGTCGTGAAAAGATTTGTGAAAGAAAATTTATGCATCAAAAGTAAATGTTGCTGAGTTACCATTATAACATATGATTGAGACTACTGAAAAAATGGTTTTACATGCAAGGTGTGTGAGGAGAATGAAATTCGTTTGTGGTAAAAGACTGTAAGATGGCATAGGAATGCAAATTTTTGCCTAATTTAGAGGGTGAAAGGATTGTTTTAAATTAAGTAAGAATAAGCTAAAGGTTTGAACAGTTATGGAAGGTCTGCAAAAATTAATCATGTAAAAAAATTCTGTGTGTGAATATATTGACTAAATTTAAAGGTGTATTTTCCGTAAACTGAACATTGAAATAAAAGCACAAACAGGATTTTCTTAAAGTACTAATATGCTCTTTAACAAAAATTTGTAAAGGGTTATAAAAGGTTTATGAGAATCTCACCTTATGGTTAAACTGATTAAGACTGGAAAGATTTGTCTATAAGGTTTTATTAAAAATTGGGGTGGACATTAATAATACACTAATGCAAGGATGAAATTTGGCTTTCTCTCTTAAACAAATTTTCATGTAATATTAAAAGATAATAAAAGATTTTTGTTTGTCTTTTGAATAAACTACTGACAAAAAAAGAAGGCAAAGAGACAGACTGTTTGAAAAGCTAAGTCTTCCCCCTATCAGTGAGTAAAAGTTTTTGCCTTTAAAAATTTTTTGAGTCATCATTTTGGCTAAATGAATGACTTATGGTAACCTGGAATTCTATTTCATAATACCAAGTGTTTTAAACCTTAATATATTTGATAGCCTTTCCAAAATCAAATTTGAGCTTCAAAACGGTCTTTTCTGACCTCTAACTTTGAGATGCTACAGAGGGCCCCTGAAGCATCTAAAAGAAAGGCAAGCAATTATTTAACATGTTTAGTTACATAGGAAGCATTGTCAAAAATTTAAAAAAAGTTTAATCTTCTTCAGGTTATATTTTAGTGAATGATATTAATATATGTTCCAAAATTGTATGGGATTTCTAAAATTCTAATATGTCTGAGTATATGCTATCAATCGTAATTATGGTTATTATGTTGTTATTGCAGACCACAGAAATAACTAAATTTGTCAACTGTGTTTTTAACTATAACTATTTAAAGTCATTTCCACGGTTAAGTGCTTAATGCTCATGCAGTTTCTGAAAACTTCACAAGCATGCAAAATGCTAGAGTATAGTGTCTTTTAGGAGGTTCACAAAAGGATGGAAAGGACCCTAAAAGCACTCTTGAATACAGGTTTCTAATAACTTTAGAATCACATCATTCAAACTGGGTAAGAATTCCTGGAATTTTAATGAAAAGACTGACTGGGTTATAAAACTGCTAACTGAAGTAGAACAAAAATTGATTTTCATGCTAAATCAGCTGATATTGAAATTGTTTAGATATACAATTTGAATGAACTCCATGGTCTAAGTCAAATTACCTATGGTAACCCATCAGTTATCAGTGCTATGTACCTAATTTGGAGAAACAACTGGTATTCAAAAGTTAATATGTCTAATGTTAATTAAGCATGGACTCATGGAGAACCATGATGGCCACCTTGTCCTTCCTGAGTCTTTAAAGCTTTTGTTATTAAAAGTTCTGCATTTTATGACTCATCATGGAAAAGACAAAATGCAAATAAATTACTCTTGGTTCACCTCAATTGAGTATTTGGTATCATATCCTAGGCAAACATGATTTCAAAGACTGACCATTTTCATTCAGTTTTTTTCAAGGATGAGAGTCTAGGCCACCCCAACCACATAACCCACTGAGACGAGCAGAGGAAATCTACAATAGAATGTAGATGATGGGGATGAGGAGTATCAGAGAGGCCTCAAGACCAGGTGTAAGGACTATAACTCACATTACTAACCTTCCCTCTTACAATTTCCCCCCAGGAAAAGAGATCAACCAATCCAGAAGAACCATTCTCAGGTGGATCCAAGTAGTGCAAAAGGTGGACTGTAGGCCGGGCACGGTGGCTCACGCCTGTAATCCTAGCACTTTGGGAGGCTGAGGTGGGCGGATCATGAGGTCAGGAGATCGAGACCATCCTGGCTAACACGGTGAAACCCCGTCTCTACTAAAACACAAAAAATCAGCCGGGCGTGGTGGTGGGTTCCTGTGGTCCCAGCTACTTGGGAGGCTTAGGCAGGAGAATGCCGCAAACCTGGGAGGCGGAGTTTGCAGTGCCATCTGCTGGCATTATTGGTGGCTGGTAACCATCAGTTTAGTTCTTCTTTGGGAATTCTCCATGACCGCAGAAAGCCGGCTTAGCCAAGGTCATGCCCTCTCTTCAAAGGACTGGTCATGATAGGAAAAAGGCCCCATCGCCTCAAGGCAGGACAACGCTAAGGGTCATCTCAGCTTCATTCCTCCCTTTGCTGAAGGAGGCATTTGCTGCAGTTCAAACACAATTACTCTATCTGCCAAATTCTGCTTCCTTTATTCCCTCACAGATACTGATCTTAAAAGAACTCCTCAAAAAACTATCTGCATACAAATCTATGGCTCTCCAAATTTTTCCTCGGAAACCCTAAGACTCTGCCTATAGGGAAGGACACAGTATAGTCACCTTAGAAGATATTTCTCATGATCAAATTTATAAAAGTGCAAATAACAAAAGAAGTGAGTATACTACAAGCAGTTTTCCTGGGATTTCACTTAGAAATAGAATTCTGGATAGTGAGAAAAAACAGTAGTTAGAAAAAATTCTAAAACTGCCTTTCCAAAAATTATTAAGAGGGAGATCTGATCTAGTCAACCCCTCCTCTTGCCTTTAGCTTTCAAGCTGCCTTAATTTTTTCTGGGCTTAGGCCAGCTAACTTTGGAAGACAGTTAGGTTATATTAATAGTTTAAATGATAACAGGCCTTCTCAAAAGCTCAACCACCTTTGTAAAACTAATGAGAGACCACCAGGCTAGGGGGAGAAGAGGAGCCTGAATTCTGGTAAGGTGCAGAAATAAATGATTGCCAGCCATGCCTGTAGATAACATCACTACTGTAGGTTGGCCTTTTGAGATTTTCAGGTTTTTTGCATGTCTGACACCCATGGCTCCACCTGGACCCGCCAACCTCTGCTCCTATGGCCCCACTCAGAAGCAAGTGAGTTCAAGAGGACAACTTTGACCCCCTATGATTTTATCTCTGCCCCAACCAATCAGCAGCAAGCACCCATTTCTACCCAACCACATCCCTTCCTCCAAACTGTCTTTGAAAAACCCCTAGCCTACAAGCCTTCAGAGAGACTGGTCTGCATAATAACTCCTTCTCCTGTGTGGCATGGCCAGCCTCATGTCAATCAAACTATTTTTTTTTACTGCAATGCTGTGGCCTTTATTTGTGCAGTGGGCAGGAAGAACCCATTGGGATGGTTACAATTCTAGGAATGTTACAGGTACTATGGATATGCAGACTTTAAGACTAAAATGTCAAACAGTCTTGAGTATTAGTATTATTTACATATAGAAGGGATGTATGAGGAATAAAGAAAACATAGAAATACACCTGCCATTCTCCTTACAGTTCAGGTAAATTCCAGTTTATTAGTATTATTTGGTCCTAGTGCAAATGTCTGATTCGGTTTGGCGTAACAAAACTGGCTGATACTGGATCTGTCCTTTAAAATATTACCATAAAATTGGTATTTTGATCCTGAATTTCCTTTAATGTGTTTAAGGTACAGTTTTATGAACTAGCTGACAGTGTGGTAATGGGAAGTGTCCAATAATCATTATGTTATGGGAAGTGTCCAATAATCATTATGTGATTATTGCTCATTTTGAAAGCAATGAAATGGTGTAATCAATAAAACTGTATCCTCATTTAGCTTACAGAGGTGATGTACTGGTAAGCTTATAGTTTAATTTCTCTTCAGAATGAGGATGAAGAAAGTAGAAATAACAATGCTGTATGGAAAATGGCTAAACTTGAAATAAAGTCATGTTTACCAGGAATACCCAGAATTCATCTGAGTTGAAGGTAAGAATTAGTTTACTTGCTTCGGAAAAAAAAAAAAAAAACAAAGGGGATTGTTGAGTGGCAGCAACAGCTGTTGAAAAGTACTTTGTTTCTTTGAAAATGAGTAAGGATTCTATAGGTGTCTTAACCAGAGGTTTTCAGTCTTGGAACCCTCTGAATTGTGGGCAAAACTTTGTGTGCACATTTCTGGGGAGAGGGTGTATGGCTGTAACTGCCCAGTGGGTTCACCCTGGCCACTGCCTAGACAGAGCCAATTTATCAAGACCAGGGGAATTGCAATGGAGAAAAGGTAATTCACAGAGTTGGCTGTGTGGGAGACGGGAGTTTTATTACTACTCAAATCAGTCTCCTACAGCATTTGGGGTTGCAGTTTTTAAGGATAATTCTGAGGAAGGGGCTTGGGAAGTGGGGAGTGCTGACTGGTTGGTTTGGAGATGGAATCATTGGGGGTTGAAGTGAGGTTGCTGTCTTCTGTTCCTGGGTGGGATCGCAAAACTCACTGAGCCAGATTACTAGTTTGGGTGATGCCAGCTGGTGCACTGAGTGCAGGGTCTGCAAAATATCTCAAGCACCGATCTTAGGTTTTACAATAGTGATGGTATTCCCAGGAGCATTTTGGGGTGGTTCAGACTCTTGGCAGACAGAGGCTGCATGGCCCCTAAACCATAATTTCTAATCTTGTAGCTAATATGTTAATCCTACAAAGGCAGATTGTTTCCCAGGCAAGAGGTGGTTTTTTGGGAGGTGCGGGGGAGAGGGCTTTAACTCTGAAACAAAATTTTCAGAGTTAAACTATAAACTAAATACCATCCCAAGGTTAATGGCCTACTCCCAGGAATAAGCAAGGACAGCTTAAAGGTTAGAAGCAAGATGGAGTCAGGTCTGATCTCTTCCACTGTCATAATTTCCTCATAATTTTTGCAAAAGTGGTTTCATGGCATTTACTGGATTATCAGTGGGGCCACGTCCTTTGAAATCTTAACAATTACTTTCCTAAATACTTCCTAACATCTTTTCTTATACTAATGTAAGCAGCTTAGGGATGAGGCTTTTTGTTTGCTTAACAGCCTTACTGAAGTATAACTAACATACCTCAAATTGCATGTTTTTCAAGTCTGAGTATGAACATGTGTACACACTCATGAAACCATCACCACAATCAAGATAATGAATATGTCCATCAGTTTTCCTGTGTCCCTTTGTAATTCCTCCCATCTTCCTCTTCCTGATCCGCTGCCTTCTCAAGGAAACCACTGATGTGTTTTCTGTCACTATAGATTAGTTTACATTTTCTAAATGCTACACAAGCAGAATCATCTAGTACATACCCATTTTATCTAGTTTCTCTCACATATCATAATTATTTTACTTAGCAATAAAAAGGAATAAATTATTGATCATGATTATTTTTTATTGAGCAATAAAAAATATGACCATGGTCCATGATGGAACATGATCGATAATTCATTCCTTTTTATTGCTAAGTAGTATTCCATTGTATGCTATACCGGTTTGTTTACATATTCACCTCTTGATGAATACTTGGGTATTTCTGAGTTCTGCTGTTACAAAAAAGCTGTTATTAACATTCATGTACAAATCTTTGTATAGATACACATTTTCTTTTTGCTTGGGTAGATACCTAGCAGTGGAATGGCTGGATCACATGATAGAAGTATTTTTAATTTTTTAAAAACTGCCAAAATGTTTTCCAGAGTGATTGTACCATTTTTACATTCCCACCGGCAGTGTATGAGAGTTCTATACATTAGAACTTACAAACTTGCTAACACTTAGTATGGTCAGTCTTTAATTCAAGCCATTCTAATAACTCTGTTGTGGTATCCTGTAATAAGTTTACTTTGCATTTCTCTAATAGAGCATCTTTTCATGCGCATATTTGGTGAAGTCTTTTTAGGGCTACTTTCTGACAATAAAGGTCTTAAACGTTCCCATAAATACAAGTATGGTTTTGCTGAATTAGGTAGAAGCCTCTTTCTAAAAAGAAACAGAAGTTTTTATTAGGAAAACACAGGTGTTTCTTAATCCGAGAGGTAAAACGTTCCAAGAGTGCCTATCAGGCATTCTTGCAGGTCATCCAGTAGATGAATAAAACATACATAGAGGCATCAGGCATAGCTCCAGCAGCATCATTCTGCATCTTGGAAAGTGTGCTAGAGCTTTTTGTACAGTTCAGAAACCCTGACTTTCTTCTACGGATTTTAAATGTGTAGGTCATGAGTTTGAAAATAATTAAATAAAGCAGAGAAGGAACTGATCACATCATGGAGGGAAGAAGTGATATGACACAGGGAATCCACCCAACTGTGATTTCTAGAGGCACAAAGCAAAGTCGTCCCAGGTCTTTTCTGCCTACAGCAAGAAGGTCTTATTTACTTATGCTACATGTCTGGATGCCAAGAGAAGAGTCTTACATCCAGGAGCACATTCTGGAAATATTAACAAGATGATATGCATATAAGCCAAAATACTCTAGGACTCTAATGACAATCTCACAACCACTGTTGAGGGGAAGGCTCACATGCAGCTAGTACTACAAATTAAAACAGTGGGCCAAATGTTCTGCAATATAGTCTATGTATAAGATCAGAAATAATTTGTGTCTCCTTCAATGCATATAATCACTTGATTAAAAAACAAACACTTATGGAAATAAGCTTCAAGCTCTCTTTACGATCTTGTCACATGAACCATGTGAATTCCAGAAAAGTTCTAATCAGTGAGAAGAAATATGCCAAAGGAAAAGAAAAGGCAACACATAACTTCCCAGGATCAACTTTTTCGTACCGTCACTCTCACTTTACTTTGATCCATTTTATAGAGAGGTGCTTTGATAGTCACCTATTAACAGGACACACACAGCTTGAGATTTAACCTAGTGGCTTCTGGACTGGGAAAAGCTTTGGAAAAGTTAAAATTAATGAGATAGTAAATCTACGGATATGAGGAATGCTACCTAAATTATGGGCCAATGCAGCCGACTGAGGCAGAGCCATCTGGCATAAGCACAAAGCCCAGGGAAACTGCAAGGACTGTGAGCCCAGCACACGGTGGCAGTCCCAAGCAGAGGCTCTCTCACACATGTGGCCAGTCATGTGGAGGAGGAGAGAGCTAAGCCTTTGTTTATGTTATGCGGCACTGCTCTGGGGAAGGACATCTACTTTACCTTCATTTCTTGTTGTTGTTTTTTTTTTTTTTTAAATGTGTAGTAATTTCCAAAGCCTTTAAAGTAAAGGTTTTATCTTCATTTCTTCTTCTTTTTTTAAATCTGTAGTAATTTCCAAAACCTTTAAAGGTTTTATCTTCATTTCTTCTTCTTCTTTTTTTTAATGTGTAGTAATTTCCAAAACCTTTAAAGTAAAGGTTTAACAGCCAGTGAAATGTACAGAGTAAGAGTGAATAATTCACTTCTTGAATAATAAGAAATCAAATCAATTCAAGGATGTGAACTAAGACTTCACACTACGTTAGGCCACAGAGTAAAAAAAAAAATGAAAGACTTGAAATCTAATCCTGTTTATAATATTTAATATGAGACTTTAGAAAATCACCTTATTTGTGCCTTAGATCAGTGAAAACTCAAAGTAGCCAGTTGTCAAAATATTCATTGCAGGTCCACGTAAGGTATGGAGTATGCACCAGAATGTAAGTCAACCATTGCTTCCTTCATTGAGAAAGTCTTGCTACCCAGAAAAAAAGACAGCTGAACTGTACAACGTGCTTAATAATGTAGCTGGTTGACAATGTGGCTCAAGCCAGTGCAGGGATCACACTGTAAGTGGCACTGCTTTAGACTTTTCTGCAAATAATATTATCCTGCTCTTCCTACTTCTCCCATTCTTGATGGATTGGTTTGGATCAAGTATAAGAAAACTGGCTGAGTATTTTATATAGTTTCTCTAACAAGGTAAAATGTTTAAAGGGAACTTTTTGCAGAAACTTCACAATCAGTGGTAGAAGAAGAGAAGAATTCTAGGAAAGTGAAAAGAACTTATGGAATACAAAAAAATCAAATGCTTCACAAAAAAGTCTCTTGTCCCGGTGTTGTGTTCAATTTAACATTTGTCTTGTATTTTACAATTTTAAACAAATTATTATTAATTGCTGCAAGAAAACAAGCTGGGATGGGTTTGGCGGACTTTTACTTTGTACCTCCAGCTTCAAATCTTATTTCACTGTGCAAAGGTCTCATTTTAACACATGATTAAATCTGAAAGATCATCCCAATAACCTTCTCCTTCCTCTACCCCTCCCACAGCCACTGCCATCATCCTTCTTCTCTGATCCAAGGTAAGTCACACCTCTCCTTGAAAGACAACCTAGAGAGATCTTGCAGATAACACAAAGGGTGGCATGGGCAGCTAACTGTTTCTAGTTAGGGTGGTGGTGGGAGAAATATTCAGTGCCGACGTCCTTGCCAGAAACTTGACATACTGGCTAGTAGAGCTGAGACCCACTAGGCAGCCTGCAAGATACAGTTCGTGGAGTCATTGTGAAATGAGAGGTTAGTAAACATCAAATCTGTATAGAAAGTCTGACCAGTCCTGCCACAGGACACAGAGAAGTCGGCTTGAACATTCTTGTTATAGGCGTCCCAATATTTGTTGTATGGTATAAGTCTACAACTATTTATTTATTTTCTTGATTAGTCATCCTTTTAGTTTGCATTAAACCCCTCTGACACCAATGAGCTTTTAAAAAGTGCATTCTAATAAAAAAAATTAAGTGCTGAATTTTTTTTCTCCAGAAAGGCATGTAACCTACATAAAATGTCTGTCAATATTTTCCACCCATCTTGGAGGCTACAGTTATAGCACTGACCCCTCCAAAAACAGGAGACACAAGTTGGCTGACGAAGCATCAGAATCTCCTTCAAGAGGCAGCACTTACTTTTGATAGGTTATTCCCTAAGAAGGTGATGTAACAGGCACAGCTGCAGGAGGTATGTTTATATCACTCTGCAAGAGGTGCCTTTTTATTCTACACTCTCAGAAATGGCCTAGTTTGGATGATAAATTGATGTGGTCACTCTACTTACAAGGGAGCTAGACTGAGGCTCCTTCACAGTAGACCCATCTGTCACCTCTAGATTCTCAGTCACTACCCAACACTGAGCTGGCATCTAATAGGCACTGATGAATTAACAAATGAAAGACCTGGGAGTACCTGGTAGCCAAGAATAGGGAGCACTTTTTCAGAAGCTGCTATTTTCCCCCCACAAAGATGAAGATAGGTAGAGCTGATCAGGGTGAAGTTATAAAAGCTTCTCTTCAGATCTCCAGCTTTCACTTTATGTTACTCACCCCATCTCACAGAAGTAATCTTCCTGACCTTATTAGATGCTTTAAAAATTCTTTCCCTTCTCAAACTAGTAAAGGCCAAGGTAGCATGAGGACAGAGACACAATCCATTTGGCTCACTGCTGTACACCCAATATTGAGCGCAGTGTCTAGCTCTTAGGAGGTGCACATAGATAATTATGGAATGGACGAATGAAAATAACCTAGCAGCATATTTTTGTTGAGGATAATATGTTAACTCTTCTAGGCATCTGCAATTAAACTTGAGCCTTAAACTCTCATTATGGTTAGAAGAATGTACTTCATAGCATAGAAATTGTAGGAAATAGGCCAGGTGCGGTGGTTCGTGACTGTAATCCCAGCACTTTGGGGGGCTGAGGCGGGTGGATCACCTGAGGTCAGAAGCTCGAGACCAGCTTGACCAAGATGGTGAAACCCTGTCTCTACTAAAAATACAAAATTAGCTGGGCGTGGTGTCACATGCCTGTAATGCCAGCTACTTGGGAGGCTGAGGCAGGAGAATCGCTTGAACCCAGATTGCGCCGTTGCACTCCAGCCTGCGCAACAAGAGTGAAACTCCATCCAAAAAAAAAAAAAAAAAGAAATGAAAGGAAGGAAGGAAGGAAGGAAGGAAGGAAGGAAGGAAATTATAGGAAATAGAAACTGGTGGTGATGAAATTATTCTCCTTTATTGGGGAAAGGAGGGATGGAGCCTCTCTCTTTTCCTAAAATTTGACTATTAAGGGTTCAGGCATGCTAGTGTGCCTTCTGATCCAGTGCACTGAATTTGAGACATCCTTACCCGTCCCTTCTGCAATGTGTCTCTCTGACACTGGACGCTGGGAATGCAGCACTCTCTGTAATGGATCACTCCTATCCTGACAGCATGCCCCAGGTCTTTCTCCCTAAACTGAAATATGGATTTAAGCTAGGTCATCCTACCTTTCTGTGCCTGCTCCCATCCCAACTTGAATACACAAAGCCTTCTAGATCCTAATTTCTGCTGTTTCCAACTCTCCAAGGGAGGTAGGCAGTAGTACTTATTCAAGATCCTTCAGATTATACATTTTATCACGAGAAAGCTTGTGAGGAAACCACAGAGAATGTGGCCCCTCTGTGCTGGGGGTCAAGATTGGGGAGGTGAGCGGGATGGCATGGTGAGTGGTTGCATAGGAGGAAACTCAAGCTGTTGCCTATTAAGATCCATGACTTACTTTTTAAGCAGATGTGTGTTCTAATACGTGGACTATGATTATTCAGTTATTAAACGAATTCTTACAAGTATATGCCATAAACTAGTGTTCCTATTAGATGCTGAGGAGATATAAACACAAGTAATGCAAATCTTGCCTTGCATCTCATACAGGCAGATTCATACACAAATGATTACAACATATTCTCATGAGTGCTGTTGGAGGGGCAGGAACAAGGTGCAACATCAGCACAGAGGCAAACCACCTGGAGAGTTCTGGGTAGGATTCGAGAGGGAGGTGACACTCAATTTACATCTTAAATGAGGAATGGGAGCTTGCTGGGTGAGTGGGAGCATTCCACGTAGCCAAAGAGCATGTGAGACACAGAGCAAGTCTGAGAGCTGCACTGAAGCGGTCCAGCATGCAGGAGCGAGGCTGAAGCTGGGCATCAGGGACAGAGATGAGGATGCTGGTAGAGGCCAATCATCTAGGCCTTATCCACCTAAAAGCACAGACATTCTATCATAGAAAAGGAGTTTTAATAGGACACTGGTTAATAATGATGTTTATACATGCTAAAAAATGTTAGTGTTTATATCAAAGTTTGGGGAGGAAAACATAAAATTTTGGCTTGGCTTTGTAAACATAAAATATTTTTAACAGTTGTGTGATTTGCTGATTGGGACTGAACATATTAATAAGTCAAATTAACTTTTAAAAATACACTTAAAATAATAAATATTTGTATTATATTATTTAGAATGTCAAATAACATTATAATAGGTCAAATTAACTTTTAAAATACATTTTCAAATGAAAAGCTTTATGCACATACAGCCAGTCTTCATGAACACCATCCACATAAAATGATGTTCTCACATAGAATGTAAAAAAAACTAATGAAGTACATTGCCAGGATTGAGACAAATTAAAGTGGACATTACAGTACCTGGCTTTACTACTCTCATGCAGGCAGCTCTGTCTCATATATTCTAAGACAACTGCCTGCATGGGGTATGGGTTTGAATGCAACTAACCATATGTAGACCTTTTTCTCTAGATGATTCATTAATTGAGAAATCACTGTATCTCACTATATTAGTTGCGCTAATTGAACAGATAAGAAATACTTTATCAGGGAATTCATTTTTCTTCCCTGATATTGTTCTCTTACCACCAGGGTAATGAAGAAGGAAGAGTTATTATTGCAAAGAAGATAAACAAACAACACTGGAAAAAACCTTTCTTCAGGGGAAGAACTTCTGAACTGATTTGTTGTTTGTGCACTTGTTTGTTTCACACAACATCGCATGAATAAAATTAGCAGTGGAAAAGCAGCTTGTAATATGTCCTGATGTTACAAGGGTCATGCCAGGGTTCCCAACTCCATCCTTTCTTCACCAAGCAGGATATCTGCACATCATCTGAGATCAAGAGGAAGTTGTTCATCCTACATTTGAGAATGTCTACAGAAGGAAGTTCCAATCTTCCTTCATTACCTATTTCCACAGTACACTGGCTACAGCTTCACTACCTGGCAGTGCATCTTAATGAAACCACTAGCCTTACTGAATTTGGTGGACACATGACATTATTTTAGGGGAAAAGTGGCCATTTATATACTAAGACACAGTCTCAAAGACTCAACATATGCATTACTATTACTAATAGTAAATAATAATAAATATTAATTTGCATGCATTAGGAAATCAAAACATTTATTCAACACCTACCACAAGCCGTAAGAAGGCATTTTAAGGAAATAAATATCCTAAAAGTTCAATAGCTTTAACAACAACCTTATACTTAAAACTCTTAGCAGCCCAAGACTGGCTGTTGTAATGGGCTGCATGTCTATCTTATTCATTAAACAAAACACGGTATTTTGGGAAGAAAGGAAATTCCGAATATGCCAAATACTTCTATCATAGTGTCCACAGTCACAGTTTTTCTAAGTCTCCACTAATATTTCTCTAGGTTGGAATTCACCTGTTATATGTACATGGCCAGCACTGCCAACTTGTACAACACAGTGATTTATTAGAAATTCCAATCTTAGTTGGGGTGGGGGAAGCAGAGACAATCTTAAACATACACTTCAGGAACACTGACTGCCCTTAATGCCAACTACAATTGTGATGATTATCAAAAAGTTTTTTTGCTTACTGTTATCAGAAATTATTTGAAAGAACGACAGGAGAAATAAGACAGCCTGCAGTGAGGATGTACTGGGCTCTAAGGACTAGAGGGGAATTAAATCATGCTGAAAAATTTTGATCCAAAGCAATCCAGGGAACAGCTACTACAATTTTTGCTTTGGTCCTTGCAATGATATCACAATTTCTAAACTTGTAGATTACCAAACTCTCAGAAATGTTTTATATTTATAAAAGGGTCACATACCACAAGTTCCTCACGTGCATATGAAACATAAAAAAAGTGTTTGACTTTCAGATTTCCATTCCTTCCCTCTTAGATAAAGAGAGAGGATACCAATTTGCTGTCTTTCAGCCTTAGATACCTGAGCACCAGAAATGGATTTAGACTTTTAAGATAAGTAACAGGTAAAAATGAGTGAAATCGATGTCACATTGATTTGGGAAATAAAAAACAGAAGGAGACAAACCAAACACTTCTGGTAAGAAAACAGACAAGAAAGGAACACCGTGAGGTCATTATGAGGTGTAGGTAGCTTCCTACCCATGTAAATAAAGCTGTTGGTTACCTTAGGGAAGGCAGCCATTTGTAGGAGGATGTGGAGAAGGCCTCATGCAGTGTGCAGTAATGAGGCTGAGTACGAAGACGAGTCACAAGCAATCAAAAGACAGAAGACGAGCCAGAAAAGAGTGCTGACTTAGGGATGATCATCAATAATGCACTAAGGAGTAAAAATCAGAAGAATGTTTGACAGCAATGAAAAGGGCCAACAAGACTGTGGGCTGTATGTGTAGTCTCCAAGAGAACAAGTTAGCACTGCTTATTCCAATGTTATTTGAGGCAGCAAGATCTCATTAACCGTGGGCAGGACTGGCTTTTCCCTCCCATTGGAAGAAATCAAATGAAAAGCTGTGATTTCTAACTACAATCAATTCATAGTTCAAAAGACTGGGCACGAGCAAAGACAATGCAGTGCCAGACCCACTGTAGTTTCCCTACAAAACTGCCACCCTCCCTTCCCCTTCCCCTTTTCTCTGGCTTATCATAATCCTATACTTTTAGAGTGTTAAGAAGAGGATTTACAGATTTAGATTAGCCAACTGTGAGAAAAGCGAGGATGCATATACTCGGAAGCTTTTTAAAACTCTGTGATAGCATCACCCCTCTTCGTAGAAACCTCTACGGTGGCAGAGTATACTTAGAAAAGTTAACTATGGAAGGCTGTAGAGTATTCATGAAAAAATAGGATATACTAATGCTGGGACAAAAATATATATATATAATACTTCTCTTTCTCACTGATGTATTCTGTTCATGGCTGTCCAATCATTTAATAAGACAGATCATTAAGATGATCCTTGAAATTCTAATCAGATCCTAGGAAGGGCATGGCAGAGGAAACCCCAGCTGGCAAAATCCTAATGTTTTAACAAAGACCATACTGTGCTAAGTTCAAAGACCAGGCCTGTACTAAGCCACCCAAGGAATAGCGAAACCTCCAAATAACCCCCAAATAACCCCATCTATCTGTGGTCCTTTTAATGAGATTTTAATTTCACTGTTGAGCAAGTCCCTGAGTTGACAGTTCCTCATTTTGACTTTGAGAAATCCTACAAACTAGAGTAATAAAGCAGTTCAGAATAAATAAAACTATTATTAATGATTAATGGTAACATATTTACTGAGATTTACTATGCAATTTATGTATCAAATTTTAATCCTTACAGCTATTCTATGAGGTTGGAACTCGTATTTGCTCCATTTGCAGAGGAAATGGAGGCACACAGAGATGAAGCAACTTGTTCAACTCACACAGCTTGGGAGGGACAGAGGCAAGATTTGAACGCAGGCAGTTTGGCTCTCTGGTGATTGTACACACAACCACAGTGCCTTCTGCCTCTCAGATAGCATTTACCTCCTTAAAATAGATTGTTACTGCTTTTAAGGCAGGTACTTAAAATAAGAATTAGGACTAGAGAGGCACTGCTGGTGCCCCTTATGCATGGAGTCCCCTCCCCTATATCAGACAGCAGGGGCCAGTGTGACGTCTATCTCATGTAAAAGCTGATTTTTTTCCTGCAAAGAAGTCGCAGGCATATATGAAGATCCCTTTGGGGACCCAAATAGTGAACCGAGAGAGAATGAAACACACATCAAAAAGCTCTCCATGTTTTCTAGCAAGACCATTTTAGACAACTGGGGCTAATGCTTCCCAACATGAAATCCCATCATCTTTCTGATCTTAGTGCCTTTCAGCCATGGTTTTTCAAACACCTCAACACTCAAGAATTTGACAGCTGGTCCCAGTTAAAGCTGTAGAAAAGCAAAGCTGTTTTGAGGATTATTTTGTTGTGGATGCTTCCATGTCTTTTATCCTGCTTTAAGAAAAAAAAAATCCTTCTTCCATAGGTGAAGGCTTTATCTTGTTAATATGAGAAAAAAAAAAGTGTTTCTGGAATCAAAGGTGGTGATAGAGCTGATTTAGTTTACATTAAATGTTCAGTTTAGAAATTTACATATAAAATTCCTGAGATCATTACCACAGTTAAACCACCTTTAAAAAATGACTGTATTTGAGTATATTCAGAAACATGCCTCTAGAAAGCATATGGAACAAAGAGGACTGAGAAGACTGGCAGCTTACCTGCCTGCTCAGAGTCATGCTTTATGGGAAGGGCAGCAACAATGATAGATCGAGAGCAATCAGTGACTGAGAGCTTCAACCAAGAGAGGTGTTGAAGGCATCCTCAAGCCCCAGACCAGAGTGCTCACCCCCACAGAACAAGGGTGAGTGGCATTCCCAGCTTACATCTCTTGCTGTTATTTTTCTTTCTCCATATAGATAGCCATTGGTTGGTACAGATGAAAGATTAGGCCAGGGTAGGGATGAGGTGGGTGATCAATGTTCCACATTCATCAGCTGCTTCAGGGCTTTAAGCTCATTCCCAGTGGTCTGTACGCACCTGGGGCATCCTTTAAGCAATAATGCTAGTCATTCCCCAAAATGAAGAATAATAAACTTCATTTTGTGAATGAAGGGGTGAATAATAAACTTCATTTGGTGAATGGGGGACTACACATGGTGGCTTCTAAAAGTCCAACACTTAGTAAGAACATCACAAAGTAGATCCTTAAGATGAACTATCATGAAAATTGTCTTCACTAAATAGCTATTCTCAGATGGAGTCCATTTTCTCCAAAGAACCAGTTGTACCTGGTTCAGGAATTTCATTTCATTTGTATGCAAGAACAAGATAAATGAAATCAAGATTTTAAATAGTCAACCAATGCTGGAAGAGAGCTGGTAAATTTGGCACCTGAGGGGTCCCAGGTGAGGACAGCCAGACAGCAGTGGGTGATAGAGTTAGCAGGGCCAAGCTGATGACTTCAACTCTAAATGCAGAATAATCAAGAAATTTAAAAAGAACATTAGGTTTGTAAGTCTTCATCCCTATTTACATATCCAGAATAAGAGATGTTTTTCCTAGAAAAGTAAAAATGAAATATCACTTAGTCCAATTAAGTGTTATTTATGTTATACACATTATAGACAGGAAATTTTAAAAATTGCAGGAAATTCTGAACTAAAAAAAGAAAACACATCAATCACCCAGTAGAAGCATAGCTAAGCCAACAGTGATAAGCAGTAAAAAAAAATCATGATTAAAGTTGTCTACCCATATGCAAAAGTGAACATATTTTTAAACTTAGTAATGGTAGATTAAAATTTCCAGTTGGCATCAGAAGAGAACTTAATGTGAGCTATAACACAAGGGCTAAAACGACCAATAATAATCATCATCATCATCTTCAAATGGTTATTAGAAACTAAACTGTAAAAAAAAAAACTTCCTGACTCAACAGATAATTCAATAAGGTGAGAAAGAAGTTCATGACACAGGTAAGGAGGACAATGAGATTTTTTCACGAATCCACATTATCAAAGATGCAGCTGCCTGGGAGAAAAAAGAAGAGCAGAAAAGCCTGCAGTGGCCTGGTACCTGATACGCAGGCTCTCCTAAGACAAATGAAGGGCGCTGTTCACAACCAAATGACATTTTGGCAAGATTATGCAGAGGATTTATTTCTGGCTGGCTGGAGGTCAGTCAAATATATATTTTTTCTATTTCCAAAGAGTCAATCTGCCATAGGTCTACAGTGTGCTGTACAAACAGATATCCAATTCTTCGTTTAGCAGAAGGTGAAATTTGGCACTGTTCTGAACAAGATATTGGCATTAGGCTTATAACGAGAAATGGTGAAATAAAAATGATGAATTAATTCTTGCCTGGGTAATGTAGTAAAAAACGATTGCACATCCAGCTTCTGGTTTCTGAGACATAACTCTAGAAGACAGAAACCTCTGGAATGCCCATCCTGCTTAATCTATAAATCTGAACAGTGCAAATGCAGAACCCCAATTTTTGCTGCTAATAAACGCCAGCAATTTGATTAAAACCCAACAGGAAAAAGAACCCACATATCTTTATAATATGTACAGTGGTATGTTTTAAGTTGTCAACAATTCATTCACTCAATAATATTTATCGGATGTCTACTAGGCACTAGTCATTATTCCAGTGCTCTAGGATTCATTGGTCAACAAATTCCTGCGTACATGGAGCTTAGTCCTGTGATAGGTGAACTCTGTCTCAGCAAAGTCACTGAATGACCCACATTTCCCCAAAATTACATTTCACCAGGCATTACTAGCCACAGTGCTCAAACAGAGCCCAAAGTGGCAAAGACACACTAGGAACCTGGACTTCAATGGGATGTCACGGTAAAATGGTGTAAATAGCTTCAATTTTAGGGACAATCCAGATTACCCAGTTGGGCAAAGTAACAAACACCCGATACACGGGAATGTTTGGCAGATACAAACACTTTTCAAAGCTTGCTAGTCTGCAAAATCCTATTCATCACAAAAATGTTGTAATGGCCAACCAAGTCACTATTGAAAGCACACATGTGCTTTCTTTCAACTTACACCCTTCCCCAGTGATAGGACTGGTCATGATAAACATCTAAATCAGACTGGAAAAACTAAGCCAAGAAGAGAACATTAAGTTGTATGCCTGTGATTGTCATTAACACTGGAATACCCAGCCCTGGGCAGCACCCTGGTACTTAAAAGGGAATGGAGGGTGACCTAAGGAGTCTGCCCAAAGAGAAGAGTAAAGGCACATGAGTTAGAGCTGTAAAATGAATTTATCTGATGGGGGTGGAAGAGGTCCTAGAGTTGGGTTAATGGGAATATTCAAGAGCAATAAGGGGACATTAGGATGACACTGTAATCATCTTTGAGCAAGAACACCCTGTGATGTTACTGCTGTTTTATTATCCAGTCCTATGAATACAGTATGTAGGTCAATGCTGCAATTGTACATTTTAGGAGGGGAGCACATACTGAGTTTAGTATTAATAAGGACTATCAATAAAGTCTTAACAAATGACCAGGGAATCCATATTAGAGACTGAATATCAGCAGGAATGACCCTCACAGTTGGCGTGGAGTCAATCCTTCTGGATATATGACTTCCCCTCCCTTAGAGGAAACGGGTTAGGACTTTATATCCTAATGATCTTGTATTAAACCTTTACCAAAACTGGACAATTAGGTGTACACTGAATTCTTCTGCTGTTCCAAGGTCTTGTCTAAGGATACTGGTGATTCCAATGAGTTATCAGGAAGACAGGAATCTTTAAAAAGCTGTAGAGCCTTACATCTACAGCCTGATCGGCTTGAACAATCATATTTGTCTTTTTGCTTACAGAAATATTCTTAAACTGCTTTTATCTAGGTCTGCGGAGATGACGTGCTCTGTTTGTAGGAAGAAAACAGGATGGCACCAGTTAGCACTAATGCACTCTAAATGAGTCTGAAGTTCAAAAGTCTTCAGGGGCCTGGGAGATAACATAACTCAGTTGGAGAAGAGGGGACAGAATTTTTGCCATTCAGGATTTTATGCCAAAAATTGTTTTCAGATCTTTGGATTTTTCCAAGACAAGCCAGAACTGGATTCTTATGTCAACTCTCCCACTTGTCAATTGTTGTCAGATAATCCCCAAATTTTGTTTGTTCAGCAGCTCCCCCAACCTGCCCCCCAACAACAACAACAAAAAAACCATTTGCAGGCAAGATCAGAGCTGTAGGCCACCAGGTTGTAACCTCTGCACTATAGCAAAAACCTGAAGAAACTGTCTGGAACTGGGGTCAGAGCAGAAAGAAGGATGTGGGATGAATTATTGACTAATGTGGTTCAGAGGCTTTGTGGTAAAACTTGAAGCTCAACAAATGTCAATTTTGGTATGCCAACAGAGGAAAAGAATTCCATAGGCAAAGAGGCACTCAATTATGAGTGCCTACGTTCATTCCTTAAGAACTGTGTTAAATTAAGACTTGAGACAGAAAATATGGGCTGAAGTAATTTTAAAACTCAGTTTTTCACAATTTGAGATTTATCTTTTTAACATATTCAAACAAAAGGAGTCATGGTTTAAAGTCAAAGAAAAACCTGTAATATATAATTAAGGTTGAATTTCTGCATACCAAATATAGTTAAGAAAATGGAACAAAACAACATAATCAGCAATGAAGCACCAAGGGTACACCAACTATAAAAGACCATTTGTCTATTAAAAATAAACACATATAGCATACATAATCCAAAATAAAATGCATAAACAATCTAGATTTTGCTTTCCTGTTAAGTAGGAGACACTCACCAATGACATGCATGCACCAATGAAAGCAAACTTTGGTTTCTTCTCTGCTTTAATATTCCTAGCTTTTGAAAATGGGCTGCAAATAGCACATCTCAATAGTACATTTGAAAGATATGCTACACTGCAGTGATGTAATATAAAAGCAACGTAATAAGTTTTCTGAAGAATCATCTGCACCCAGAATGAGCGATTTATGTAAGACATTTAAAAAGTTCTAAGACTATTTAATGGGAGTACTATAGAGCTGGCAGTGTGCATGCATTACAGCTGAAGCCCCACAATGGGCTCATGGAGACTCAGCCTTCCACCCCAATGTGCCTGTTCAGAGATGGGCATAAGCCAGTATGGACCAATCACAGGGGAGGAGAAGATTGTTGGGGACTTCCAAGAGAGAAACTTTCTTGCTCCTTATTAAGAATCACTAAAAGCCAAATGTGAATTAGGAAACATGCAGTTGGCCAGGTGTGGTGGCTCGTGCCTGTAATCCCAGCACTTTGGGAGGTCGAAGCGGGAGGATCGCTTGAGGCCAGGAGTTCAAGGAAACATGCAGCACTGTTTCACTGGCAGCCTTCTAAGACTATGAAGGGAATGAGCCTCAGGATAAAATCAACACTGTGGAGAGCCGGGCTAAGGGAAGGAAAGACCCCAGGTCCTGGCTGATACCACTGAGATGCTAAACAACCCTGAAACCTTCCTTTCCTTTGGATATCCAGTATGTGAGCTAAAGTCCTTGTTTAAACCATTTTGAACAGAGTTTTCTGTTACTTGTAGCTTAAACCACTCTAATTGAAAGTGCAGTTTCTCCTGGAGAATCATTCCAATTCTTCAAAATGTTAAGAGTCAAGTTTTACACCGTATGGTTTTCTGGTAGGCATTGACTGCATTCATATAAAAACATACAGAATTGGAAGAAAAGATTCTCTTTGTCTTCTTAAGTTTCATAAAATACTGTCACATACTAGGAATGATATATTCCATTTTGAAAGGGATGTTAATAGGCTAAGGGCAAATGGAGCAATTTTTATACCTGGGTCCAAGAGACATTTCAATGGAGTCTCCTTAAAGGAAAACTTTCTGGGTTTGCTCCAACCACTTTCATATGTCATTCTGGAATACAGTCTTATACCAACCAGTGAACAGTTTAAGTAATGTAAAGGAAGTACATATCGGTACCCAAGACACTACTACTGAGTTACAGAATTTTCCATTGTTATGAGTAAATAAAACCACCATCTCAAATATAATATAAACTTAATTGGTTCTTAATACAAAATTTATCTATAAGGATTGTTCCACCATCAATTACCATCTTCCTGGCTTCAAAGAAGTAGTAGTACTTCAAACTGAGTATACAGAAAATAATACTCATGATGTAGTTACCAGTGAAAAAGAAAAAAAATCAATACTACTGATTTTAATATGTATATACAATGCTACAATGCAAACATTTAAATATTATTTCATAGAATTTGTTTTTTGTGTGTGTGTGGAGGTGAAACTCATATAGCATAAAATCAACTCTTTTAAGTGAACAATTTAGTGGCATTTAGCATATTCAAAATGTTGTGCAACCACTACCTCTAGTCAGTTCTAAAAGATTTTCATCACCTAAAAGGAAAACTGTGTACCCAGTAAGCAGTCACTCCCCCATTCCCACCTCCTCCCAGCTCCCAGCAACCACAAATCTACTTTCTATCTCTATGGATTTAACCATTGTGGATATTTCATGTAAATGGAATCATATAATACGTGACCTTTTGTGTCTGGCTTCTTACACTTAGCATAATGCTTTCGAGGTTCATTTCATAGAATTTTAATAAACTTAAAAATTATGCCAGAAAGAGTTGGTTTTAGTTTTAGGGCTCCCTGGAGAGAAGTCTCCAGTACAGCTACAGAGACTCTGGATGGGCCCCAACAAAGTTAAATCCTTCAGGTCACAAAAATCAACTATATAAATACAGAATAACAGTAAATTGGGTAAGTAGAAGCCAGATGGAAAAATATTTTAAGAGGAGTTGCAAAGATGATGGGAGAGGTATTAAGCAACAATGAAATCTCAATGATGACTACATGAAGTCTACAGTATTTTACACTTTTCTATATATTTGATTTCATCATTAAAACATTTAAAATATATATATTATATATATATTTTTCTTTTGTTTTGTTTTTTGTTTTTGAGACAGAGTCTCGCTCTGTCACCCAGGCTGGAGTGCAGTGGTGCAATCTTGTCTCACTGCAACCTCTGCCTCCCGGGTTCAAGCGATTCTCCTGCCTCAGCCTGCTGAGTAGCTGGGACTACAGGCACACGACACCACACCCAGCTAATTTTTGTATTTTTAGTAGAGACGGGGTTTCACCATGTGGGCTAGGATGGTCTCGATCTCTTGACCTCGTGATGCACCTGCCTCGGCCTCCCAAAGTGCTGGGATTACAGGCGTGAGCCCCCGCGCCCAGCCAAAACATTTAAAATATTTTAAACAGGGTAAGTGATTTTCTTTAAGTTCAGAACAAAACAGTGTATCCAAAATTCCAATACAGTATTTTCATGAGGAGTCCCCAAGCTTTCAAACTCCCATACCACATCAGGAATTTGGAGTTTATACCTAAGAATGTGAGCACTGCCCATCAGAAGGATACAGAAAGAACAGAGAGTATCAAGAGAGAGAAGATGGAGGTGGTTTTAGAAACTATACTGCCACCCAAAAAGGTACATTAAGAAGAAGAGATTAAGTGTGGCTTTGGGATTAGGTATGTTCTACATCAGAGAGCAGAAATTAAAGGAGAATGGATTTAGGCTCGGTATAAAGCCCTTCCAAGCAGTAATTCAACAATGAACAGGTGTCTCTTACAAGGGGAAACTCTTTGGCACCAGAAATTGTCAGAGAGCTGGGTGACATGTGAAACTACCTCTCCTTCCCAGCCCTTTTGTCTGTTGCTGGTGCCAGCTTCATGTCCTGCAGCCCATGCAGACACATGGGGCCCAGGCTCAGAGGGTGCTGGGCTTTAATGCTCTGCTGTCACCGTATTGAAATTCTTAATTTTTGAAGAAGGGAATTTGTATTTTCATCTTGCACTGGGCCCTGCAAATTATGTAGCTGGTCCTGTTAATATGTACAGAAGAAATACTCTTATCTGATGAAGTGGGAGTGGTATTTGCTTGGGTAAAAGATACAGGCAGTTTAAGCAGGGAAAAATAAAACTGTGATACAAATAAAGCTTAAATTTAATCTTTTAAATTTACTATCCACTCTCGTGATGTAGGGCCAAGAACATTTAAAAAATCCTAGATTTAAAAAATGTCTCTATTTTCTCACAGTATCCTTCCAATATCTAACTTAGCAACAGTTTTTAATAATTTGCCTTTATCAAGATTTTCTAAAGCATCCTGGTTATTTTTTGCAGACACAACTCACTTTCTGAACTCATGTTTTATCAGTTTATTAAATGACACCATTATAAGAAGAAGTCTGTACAAACGAGTTTGTTAAACCTAGAACCTACCTGGCAGGGGCAGCCATGGGGCTATGAAGGAGGATGCACTAATGTGTCATCTCTCATAGCTTAGCGTCCAGCCCGCCCCCCAGGCATCACGGGTACATTCTACACAGGGAATTTAGAACATCACCTAATTCGGTGGGTCAAGTTCATGGTGGTTGGCTAGTCCTCTGTAGAAATAGAAGGCTTATTGCATTGTCTCCTGTCTGGATTGTCTTCTTGAGGCCTATAAGCATGGCTGCTCTTCCATGGGAAAGAAGTATGAGTTTACTTGAGGTAGTGTAGACTCCCCCTGAAACTGGTGGAGATTCTTGTTATCAAGTATCAAAGAAAGAGGTAAGTGTTTGGCAAAGAAACTAGAACTCAAAGAGGTAGATCACCGACTAAGGAACTGCAGAGCAAAGGGTGAGCCTGAGGAGGACAAGGGGATTTGCATTTCTCTCTCGGACTCTCCTCTTAGGTCTAGACTTTGAGGCTGGATGGTCCTCCCAGGCAGTAAGAGAGGGTCATTGCAGTTACTGGAAGCACGCAGAAAACTAAACCAGGAGGTAACCCTAGACTTACCTCCAGGCTCACTATAAGTGAACTATTTGGTTAGAATGATTTATCTAGTTGCCTACACCCTTCCGAGTGTCTGTATTTATTCTGTTGTTATTACACTACTTTCCAGCTCTCTTTGTGCCAGAGAAGTAATAGGAGAAGGTTTTCCCACTGCTAGTGTGGAGGTGGCAGAGGCAAACACAGTGAATCTTGTGGACTATAAGTAGGACAACAGTGGTTCAGTCATTCTTCCCTACGTGCAATTTCTACCTCCATTCTCTGCCAGGAATCTGGGTCTCACTGTATTTGGGGAAACTGCAGGGTGGCTTTATATTCTCTGACTGATACGGTATTTTGTAAAAGAAGCTTGATGTTTGATAGGAGGCCAGGTGAATTGATTTCAAAAGGGAAAGAGGGAAGAACTACCCCTTACTGAGTGCCTCCTGGAGGCCAGGCATCCTGCTAACCCCTTCATGTAATCCAGTAATTCTCATAACCATTCCATGAGTTAAGTGGGTCACTCTAGGGTAAGGAAGAAATTGAAGGCCTAGAGAGATGAACTAACTTCCCCAAGTCACATATCTTCACTGACAGAGCTGGGATTTGAACCTGCAGCCATCTGATTTTAAAACCTGTGTTCCTTCCCTACATCACATAGCTCTACAGCAGTTTCAGATCCTAAAAGTCTAAGAAATAAGATGGGGATATTTTTAAAAGCTAATAACAAAAAGTAATATACAATATGGAGAGTCATACAGCTCCTCAAAAGAGACACATAAAAACTGATTTTACTAACATTCATCCATAACCAACCAATCTGAAAACAGTGATTTAAAGAATTGTGGGGGATGGTATTTAATGGCGACTACAGTGCTGTATGAAAATTTCTACGCCATGAGACACAGAAAAACCGATTTTACTAAAATTCAACCATAACCAACCAATCTGAAACCAGCAATTTAACGAATTGTGGGGGATGTTATTTAATGGAGGCTATACAGTGCTGTATAATAATTTCTATGTCATTCTATGTTTTTGTTACCTCTACTCCTCAAAAGATTGGAAAGCTCTTTCCCTTAAAAGAAAGTATTACATAAAGAATAAACCCAATTAAAGGGAAGGTTAAAAAAAAATAAAGGAATGACCAGAACTATCAGATGGCTTTACCAATGCATAAACACTCCCACTCCAGAAAGCACCACTGTGGGAAAACACTGCCCCAGCCCTCTATCCGGTTCACCCGGACAAAGGTTAGCTAAACAAGAACTTACTTTACTGCACCTGCATTCTGAACATGAAACCACTTAAATGCTCACTTTAATTTAGATAATTAGAGTGTTAGTCCCTGAAAAAATATTCACTAAATTCGACTGCAATTAATGGACTTGAAATGGCAGGTTTGCTTTAGCCCAATGAACATGAATATTTTACGTATTCTGTACTCTATTATAATGATAATAGTTCTACTTTGTATGTAGTGCTACCTTAGCCCACACCATAATTTGTGTGAGAATAAGGCAATATTATGAAATGGAAATATATTTCATCTGTTTTGGGAATGTACATGAAGTGAAGGCCCTTTGGTTACCAATTAATATAAAGAAGATGCCCGTGATTAATGCCTAAGTTGGTGTTTTTTGTTTGTTTGTTTGTTTGTTTTGCCTTTTCTAGGAATCCTAATTTCCTTTTGATAAAATAATTGGATTCAGAATTACTGGAAGGTATCTCTGCAGTCCTCCTGGCCCCCAAACATTAAATTACAAATCGCTTTTCAATGTCCTTTGCACATAAATGAACCCAGAACACTGGGACATCATCTCAGCTTTTATTTCTCAAGTCCTCCAGGATGATTTGCTTGTCTATCTGTGGTTCCTACTCACCTCAGTCAAACGAAAATCAAATTCAGGCAGCAAAGGAGTCTAATGAAACGCGTCTGAAGGAAAGCATTTATTTGCCCTCTTGGAGAGGAAAAAGGCTAGAGAGGCACAAGATTTATACTTTAACTACAAAGGGACCCAATCGAGTTGAAACACTAGGATTCAGTTTTCGCAAGTCATTATGGCTAATGGCTCTTTACAAGGTCCTTTGTGATCTGGCCCCTGCCCCCTCCCCATCCTTATTCCCAATCCCACCTCCTCATTTGCCTGTTCTGGCCATACTGGTCAGCTTTTACAAAATCCATTATTTCTACACATGCCTATCTACGACTTCACTCAAATGTCTCCCTCAGAGGGGCTTCCCCTGCTCTTGAATTAGATGAAGACCCCATGTTTTTTCATTATTGTCTTTTTTTATAGCACATCATTTTTCCTTCAGAATGCTTCTCACAATTTGTAATTTCACTGACACCTGTGTACTGACTTGTCTAAGGTCTGCCTCTCGAGTTGGACTGCAAGCTTCTTGAGGGCAAGGACCCTGTTTTGTTAATCAGGTGTACTCAGCACCACAGTAGATGAGATGCTTTATTTATTTTATTTTATTTTTATCTTTTTTGAGATGGAGTCTCACTCTGTGGCCCAGGCTGGGGTGCAGTGGTGCTATCTCGGCTCATTGCAAGCTCTGCCTCCTGGGTTCACGCCATTCTCCTGACTCAGCCTCCCGAGTAGCTGGAACTACAGGCGCCTGACACCACGCCCGGCTAATTTTTTTGTATTTTTAGCAGAGATGGGGTTTCACCATGTTAGCCAGGATGGTCTCGATTTCCTGACCTCATGATCCACCCACCTCGGCCTCCCAAAGTGCTGGGATTACAGGCATGAACCACTGCGCCCGGCCCGAGATGCTTGCTTTATTTATTGAATGAATGAATGAAGTACAGTTGCTTAAGGGCCTGGATGACAAAGAGTGGTAGAAGGCTCCTCCCGCTACTTCTGCATGGAAGCAGGTACCACTCTGGCCCCACATAGGTAGTGCCCTGTGACCTTCTGGAAGCAGCACTCCCCTTGTGGGCACTGGTGTCCTCATACTGGCTGGTGATACAGGTGAGGCTTCTTCAAGCAGTCTTTTGGGCAGGGAGCTAGTGAGACCACCACATGGTAACCAGCACTGAGAAAGTCATTTAAGGACCCCTGGGACATCCCTTTGGGGACTCCCAATAATATCCCAGGGAAATACGTGTTATTACTGGCTAATCACTATTTAGCCTGCAAACAGGTGAATTGCATGGATATTTCAGATTATGCCTATAAGATTAAACTTACATTTAATTATTGCTAATTGAACACCTAAAGCCACTGTTCAGAGTTATTCTAAGTGCAGAGTTCTATATTTCTGACATAAAAAGTTCATCATGAAAAAAATATCAAAAATTAATTTCTCATACTCATTCCTTGTCTAATAAAAATTTTCATGAGCACTAAAGAAAAGAGCCAACTTTTCTTTTTCTTTTTAAAAGAAATCCTGAGAGCTCCAGCAAGCCTACAGTGCCTGAGGCTGAGAAGCCCATTAGAATAACCGATAGCATTTTTATGCTTCCCCGGAGTAATGCTGTCCAAATCATGTCCTCTAACCTGTATTCTACCTTTCTATTAGACACTGAGTTCCCCTTGTATGTCACTCTCATCTTATTACTCAATACCATGAACAAATACAAGAATTAGAGGCAAAATAGTTAGAAGGATATGTGAGGAATTGATAGTCAACCCTGAAAGGAAAGTCAGGGCAGTGGTTGAGAAATTCAGATGTCCTTTCTTGTCCTTCTGACCCTACATATCGCAGAAAGACAAGAAAGTGCAGAGCTCTGACAGCACGATCTTGACCCCAGATCTATTCAGCCAATGAAGAAATGAGCCATGAACGTGACTTTCTAAAAATCCAGTCAACAATCACAAACTGGTAAGGAGTCTCAGAAACTGTAATAAATTAGCCCTCCAAGGGGTGTATTACTGAAAAGATGCTTTGAATCTGATGGTCTGATTTTGAGTAACAAACCTCTCATCGCTGACCAAATTCTACAAGGATAAAGATTAAGGCATTAAATCCATTTCTCAAGTTTAATGGACAGCTCCCTCTTTACTTGTGTCAGAAGGGTACACTGGCCAGGCCCATGCGTTTGCACCTAAAGCTGTTCAGATGGTTTCCTGACTATGAATTCCTGCTATCTGGTTCTATAGCTCAGCAGACACAGAATCTGGCAAGAAAATTTTCTTTTATGGAATGGTTACCGTGGGTTATGCAGTATAGTGGGTGATTCTGAAAAACATTAGCCCAAGAACAAAATTGGAAAATATCACATGTATCCCCCAAATATGTGCAACTATGATGTATCAATTTGGAAACACATCAAAAAAAAAAAAAAAACAACAACAAAGGAACAAAATTGGGCACAAACGTTGATGATACAATGGGGACAGCATAAACCTGATGACAAGGACAAGTTTCTAAATCTATCGGCAGGTGACCAGTCCAGATCTCTCGTTTTAAAATGAATCTGGGGTACATGTATTTTTACACAACCTTTTGGATGCTAAACTTAAGTAGTGCAAGATTAAGAACTAGGCTTTCTTAGGATTGGCAAGAAAGTCCTCTTTTTTTAAAAAAAAAAATGATAACCTAATATAAGATGCAGGATCAAATTTAAGATTATAATTAGATATGGAGCCAAAATAGTGATTATAAGCCCACAATGAATAAAAAATATATGGATTTAGTTTTCTTCCTTAACTTTCAAATTTTTTTGATTGAGCAAACAAGGAGCGGTATTACCTGTTATATAAGAAATCATGAGGCAGTGACTTCTCTTTTATTTTAACCAATGAAGTAAAAAAACAGCAGAGAGATTTCATCTGGGACTGGGAGACTTGCCTGTCAGGCTATTAACAAGTAGACTGTTCAACAAAAGAGCCATTTAATTTAAATCCTACACACTTGGTAATGTTAGAAAAATGTAAGTCATCACAAAGACTAGGTTTCCTGCACCAAAGTAAGCCTACTTTACTTCCACTAGAAATATATTTTTGTCTTAAGTAGGGACTGATCAGAAAGTGTGGCGAGACTGAGTGTAATCTGCAAGCATATTTGATTCTGGAGTTAAAGGACAGATTAACATAAATTAAAACAAGGCAATCTAAAGTAATTGAAAAAAGCAAGACTCTACTGACTTAGTAGATATCTACAACTAATCCACTGGCAAGCTCTTGTTTCACCCAAGTGAAGTTAAGTACAGGTCTTAATTGGATTCTATCTCTGTACTAATGGTTTTAAAGAGGATATACAACTCCTAACTAAATACAAAGTAACAAAGTTAATTAGAAAATCAGGGCTTACAGTGTGGTTTACTGCTGCAATGAGTCATAATCATGTGACACAGAAACTGAGAACGTCTTTGGGGAAATTACAGATGTTATTTTATGCTAGAACTTCTTGGAAATAACATTTGCCCACATTTTGAAAGGTGGTTTTCAAACACTCCTTTTCCCCATCCCCAAATCGGAAGTTCTTTACAAATGACAGGTCTACCAACATTTCCCTGGAGAGCTGGTCATTCTATGTTAGAATCTGCAGACAGATAAGCACAGGGAGTGGCTGGGCTGGCAGAGGATTCAATCCTATGAATGGACATCACAGCTTAAGCTTCTGATTTAGTTTTCTAGGAATTCTTTTTTTTCTAGGAATTCTTTCCTCCGCTTAATTCCTCTGAGTTTGGCGCAGAGGAGTATGGGCACTCTCTTGTGCTTTTATCAGATTTAAAAAATGATATTCTGTCAAAGCAAGAATTCTATGCATTTTACTTTAGTCTGTCTTTCTTAAATAAATTGTTCTTAAATAACTTCAAAAAATATATGTAACCCTTAGGTGTGTGATCAAACTAATGCTGAATCTGTGTGCTCTGTCTGTGCTTACGTTTGTGTTCGTGTGTGTGTGCACGTGTGCTCTCACTGCACATTCATTTGGGCCTGGTTTCCCAGCACTCTGCAGAGCAAACAGCTCTTTGGATGTTTAAAGCAACACTGTGATTCTACCACCTCTCAAGAGTTCAATTGCTGAATATCTTTATTTATTTATTTTTATTTTTTTGAGATGGAGTCTCGCTCTGTCGCCCAGGCTGGAGGGCAGTGGCACAATCTTGGCTCACTGCAACCTCCGCCTCCTGGGTTGAAACGATTCTCCTGCCTCAGCCCCCTGAGTAGCTGGGATTACAGGCACACACCACCAGCTAATTTTTGTATTTTTAGTAGTGATGGGGTTTCACCATGTTGGTCAGGCTGGTCTTGAACTCCTGACCTCATGATCCGCCTGCCTTGGGCTCCCAAAGTGCTGGGATTACAGGCTTGAGCCACCACGCCTGGCCCAACTGCTGAATATCTTAATTCATCTAGAAATGGTAGTCATTCATCTGAATGGAATTAGAATTATTTTACAACACGGATGATACTTTTATATTAGATAGTCCAGCCTATCATTTGTGAATATTTAAAACATAATTTTGCCAGCTTTTAATATTAATGTCCAATTTTTCTATTTAGGGAATAAATATTATACCTCAGTAAAGATTTTTTTTAAAGAAAGAAAAGATAATTGGGAAACCAGGAGCAATGAGTTACAATCAAATAGGCTGCAGTGCCTTTTTGAAAACAGAAACCCTACGTCATATCTAACAGGTCAACATTTATTTCTGGTAAAAATATATAAGAAAAGTAATCAGCACAGCACCCCCAAAGTACTTATAGTCCTAATTCCCTAAGGTATTAAACTTAACACATAGACAACTTTTAATCAGGAATCACTCAGCTGTATTTATTGACATAATTCAACTAACCACAAGCCTGTCTAAACCCAGAAAGGGCTTAAGGAGTTTTCTTCCTTTATTCCCTGTCACCATTTCAAAATCATAGTACAGTTGTGTAATAAAGACACTATTTTAATAATGAATGCTTTTCTTCACTGAAAGTCAATATCAGTGAATATCACAGCATAATCACTGAAATGAATATGAGATGAAATATGTTCACTGTTTTCCAAGACTTTCATCGTAAAAGTGTACTGCTGCTCAGTAAATTGTGGATCACTCATAACAGACTTAAATATCCCTGACTGTAGCAGAAAGAACAGAGCACTTCGCACATCTAACCATATGCTCATGACTGAGCAGAGAGATTTTGTTGCTCCCATACTTGAGAGCCTAAGCGTACTTTGCCATTTTGTAGAGAAATAAAAGCTGAAGGCCATCTGGAGGATCCACTGCCTCCTGAGCAGCAATGTTAGTTTTAATCAAAACTGTAACTACTCATTTTGGTAAAAATTTATACCAATGCCATATATGTGGCATCTACACCATTCATACACATAAACACAATTTTTAAAAGTTAACTGGCACAGTTTTAAAACAGACTCCTAAAGACAGCAGAGAATCAAGTAAGGCAGAAAAGCAAAGGAGATTAGTGAGACTGGGAAAAAGGTATAGATGATGAAATGAGCTGAAGGCATCTCCAAAGATTATTATAAGCATAAAATAAAGTGACTATGGGCTGGGCGCGTTGGCTCACACCTGTAATCCCAGCACTTTGGGAGGCCGAGGCAGGCGGATCATGAGGTCAGGAGATCGAGACCATTCTGGGTAACAGGGCGAAACCCCGTCTCTACTAAAAATACAAAAAAATTAGCCTGACATGGTGGTGGGTGCCTGTAGTCCCAGCTACTTGGGAGGCTGAGGCAGGAGAATGGTGTGAACCTGGGAGGTGGAGCTTGCAGTCAGCCGAGATTGCACCATTGCACTCTAGCCTGGGTGACAGAGTGAGACTCCATCTCAAAAAAAAAAAAAAAAAATTAAAATATAAAAGATAAAGTGACTATGAAATTCCAGTGTGTATGAGAATCACTTGGGATACCTGTTGAAAACACAAATTTCCACACTCTATGCCCAAAAGACAGCTGATGCTATATTTCTGGGCTGGAACCCAGAAACGTGCATTTTTAATAAGCATCCCAGATAAGACAGGCATCTCACAGCTCATACTTTGAGAGACACTCAGAATACTTAACCTTAGCAAGCACTAGGGGACAGAAGGCCCTCTTTTTTTTTTTTTTTTTTTTTTTTTTGAGACAGAGTCTCGCTCTGTCGCCCAGGCTGGAGTGCAGCGGCGCGATCTCAGCTCACTGCAACCTCTGCCTCCCAGGTTCAAGCAATTCTCCTGCCTCAGCCTCCTGAGTAGCTGGGATTACAGGTGTGCCCTACCAGATGCAGCTAATTTTTGTATTTTCAGTAGAGACAAAGTTTCTCCATGTTGGCCTGGCTGGTCTCAAACTCCTGACATCAAGTGATCTACTTGCCTCAGCCTCACAGAGTGCTAGGATTACAGGTGTGAGCTACCATTCCTGGCCAGAAGGCTGTTGAGACAAACCATATTCCTTTCCCAAGAGACCAGACTCAAAAGTCATGTGACAATTCTATTTCTGAGAGAAAGGCAAGGAACGTGGGAAAACGCAGAGAGGAAAAAAAAAAAAATCAATCATAGTGAATTACTATTTCTTTTTTGGAAGATACAGCAATATTTACATTATCCAAATCATCAATTCATGCAATAATCCAGTACTGAATTTGCATATGGTATACAATGTATTCATTTATCCAACATATTTATTTATTAAATGCCTATGTGTGTCAACAATGGTAGGGATGCAATAAAATAGAAGACAAGCGTTGCCCTAAAGATGCCTTCAGCCTCCACACAAAGGAAGACAAGCACGCAGTAGTACAGCAGGATGAAAGCCATACGTCTTGAGGTGGTAAAAACATGGTTCTCTGGCATTCTAGACAAGGAAAAGCTGTCCTCCAAACTGTGCAAGGAGTGGGGTGTCAGGCAGCAGAGGAGGCTTCATGATGGTGACATGTATGGTAAGTCTTGCAGGCAGACAGGTTTTAAACATGATTCTTCATGTGCAGGAAAAGAGCATCTCATGGGGGCATGAACAATAGTCCAAAAGTCTACTGAGAGAGCTTTGGGAACATCTATCACTAAAGTAAGTTTTCCTTCCAGTGACAACTAGTCAGTGAGGCTCAAAATCCGTCAAAGGAAAACTACAGAAATGAATGCAGGCACCCAGCTCCCTTCTCAGGAAACAGAAATTCCAACATCTGGTTCTAAACTCCACTTAAAGGAAACAGACATATGTTGCTACAAAGCTAGGGAAGGGTGGTATAAAAACACAGCAAAGGGCAGTCAGTGGGCACATTTCTGAAAGGCATCTGTCAAGCAGCTTCTCTTCCGGTGTATACACACAGTCAAACCCTGGCCTCTGTATTGAGCCGTGCAGATTGAAGTTCAGCAGCTTTGTAGGAGTCGGTAAGCAGGCCACATAACTGCTTAGCCTAACATACCCACTGGTGTTCCTTCTTCTATAGCTGAGGTTCTAAAACTTACTAAACTAATTCCTCAAAAATTTATATCACAAAGTCTGGAGAGAACTTAGACCTTTTGTTTTCTTTTGTACATATGAATTTTGTGTTTTGCATTTTTCCCCCGTGCTTCCATTGCAGAGAAAACTTATTTCTTGCCGGCTGTTTTTTCACCAGAAAGCAAAGGAAACAAGGAGTTTCTCTGCTGTCTCACTATCACTCATCCTTGGGAATCCTCTGAAACAACTAGAATAGGGACTCAGATTTGGTCTCTTTCCATTTGTCAGCCAACCCAGCCAGGCAAGATAAGCAAATTTATGCATGCATGTCCTCTAGTTTTTCATCTTGCAAACTTTTTTAAACCAACACCCACCCGCGAGGCCTTGCCAATCTTATCAACGGCTATTTACACAAAGCCTAAAAATGTTTCCTGTTTCTTGCCTAAGGTAGTGCCGAGTTTAAGCACAAGTCAAGTGGGTTTATGATTTCAGTCTACAAACAGCACATTTCATTTCTGCACTGCTCTGCTTCTGCTCGAAAGCAATCACTTCATGTCACTATACTGGCCCTTCTTCAATCCAGATTCTGATTCGCGAAGGTCGGCACACTAAAAGCAGGCTACCCTGAAGCTAGGTATTGAAGACTTTTTGTAACCTGTGTTTGCCATATTCTAGTAAAACTGATAACATTCACTGCTCCATAACATATGCTATTGCTTTTTCAGCCTTTCACAATGCTGTAAGCATTTACTCCAATTCAAAAGAAAATGCTGATGGGAAAGAAACAGATTTTTAATCTATTTAAATGTTAGCTATTTTATATTATAGAAGCAGAAAAAATACACATGTAAGAAATCATTCAAACCTCTATATAAACTGGACTCTTTCTTTACACAGCTTTCCTCAGGTGAACTTATTTCATATTTGCAAACACTTTGAATTTTGCAATCTTGAAAGCAAAATTCTTAAAACACTAGAATCCTATATCTCAAAGTATCCTTTGTTTCTAAAGTAAATGTTACGATATATCTATATATATCAAAATGGGATTTGTTTATCTCTAACAAATGTTTATGGAGGGCCTACTATGTGAAATGCAGTTTGGGGCACTGGGAATGTGGCAATTAACAAAACAGATTAAAAATCCTGGCCTTAAAAAACTGATGCTCAAGGGGAAGTCCTATATAGCTGACAAAATAAATAAATGAAACATACAGGCTATTGAATGGGGAGAGATTAGGTAGAATAACAAAATAAGAAAGAGGGTAGAGAGTTGGGGATGGTGTGCGATTTTAATGAGGCTGCTCAAGACCATTTTGTGAGGTAATATTTAAGCACCAGGGGGTGGGCATATATGGCCCTAAAGAAGGAGTGTCCTGGAAGAAGAGCAAGTTCAACAGCCGGGGTGGCTGGGGTGGGGTGAGCAAGGGGAAGAGCAGGAGAAGAGACATCTGAGAAGTGAGAGGGGACACAGTGCAGAGGACTGGAAGCCATGGTGATTGTGGGTGGAGAACCACTGCAGAGTTTTGATTGAACTATGAACACAATCTGGCTTACTTTTAAAAAATCGAACTAAAAGTCACATATTATAAAGTTTGCCCCTTTAAAATGCACGATTCAGTGGTTTTTAGTAAAGTCACAAGGTTGTGCAGCCATTACTACTTCTAATTCCAGAACATTTTCATCACCCCAAAAAGAAACCCCATACTTAGTAGTCACTCCCCTGCCCCCTTCATTGCCAGCCCCTGGCAACCACTCTTCTGCTTTCTGACTCCATGGATTTGCCTACTCTGGACATTTCATATAAAGAATCACACCATATGTGGCCTTTTGCATCTGATTTACTTTACCTGGATCTCTGGCTGTTGAGATGAGGACAGGCTGAAGGGAGGCAAGTACAGAAGCTGGAATGGCAGCAAAGGGATGAATACAAGAACTCAACTGGGAGTTGAGAGGGGCTTGAAACGTGATGGGATGTGAGATGGTGAGCAAAGGCAGGATCCTGGGCACATTCAGATGAGTTGGATGTGAAGTATGAGAGAAAGAAAAGTCAAGGACAATGCCCAGGGTTTTGGCCTGAGCACCTGGAAAGGTGGAGATGATGCCTATGAAGAGTCTAAGATTCCTGGAGGGGCAGGCTGGGAAGAAACACCAGGGGCTGGATTTTGAAGCTGTGGATTAAATCTTGGATGTCTATTACATTTCCAAGTGAAGACGCTAAAAGGGGAGCTGAATATAAGTCTGGAATTCAAAATAAAAGTCTGGATCAAAGATATAAATTTGGGAGTTAAAGAGTGGAAGGTATTTAATACCACGAAACCTGATAAGATCAGCAAAGCAGCAAGTAGAGAAAGAGAAGAGATCTAAGGAAAGGGTCCTTGGACACATCAAGATTTATAGGTTAGAGAGATGAGGAGGAACCAACAAAAAAGACTGAGAAGGAAATACCAGTAAGATGGGAGAACTAGGAGAGGGTGGAGACTTAAAACCAAGTGAAAAAGCTTATCATGGAGAAGGGCATTGTCAACTACGCCCAATACTGCCAATAGGTCAAGCATGATAAGGACTGAGGATGAGCCTCAGGTTTAGGAACATGGCAGCCATTCACAGACCACGTGTCCTTTACCTTCCTTCTTTCTCCCCTCACTCCAGCCACGCCTACCTGTGCATCTGCCACTCCTTTTTGCAGGTGTGTTTTCCCCAGGTACAGCTTTGAAAAGAACAATTTGAGTGGAGTAGGAAGGTCAAAAGTCTGACTGAGGTGGATTTAAGAGACAGTGATAAGAAAGGAATCAAAGCCAGGGCAATTGTCTTTGATAAGTTTAGCTGTTAAGGGGTTGGACAGAAATAGCTGTAATGGGAGGTGGGGTAAAGACAGGGCTTTCTGAAGATAAGAGAAATAAAAACATATTCATATGCTGGTGGGACATATCTAGTAAAGAGGGAAATAGATGAGGAGGGAGGGAGTAGAGATTTGCTAGGATTGGTTAGAGGGAACAAGATCAAATACATTAGTTTGTCAAATAATCAGCAATTAAAATAGAAAACATCCACTGGTCCATGGAAAAACAAACAAGGAAAAGCTACTTTTCTCCCAGGGGACACAAGAACCACCAACATTTAAAATTACCTGGATCCACTTTTTAAGGGTGAAGGTATAAATTATATGCAAAGTGTCAACATTGGGGAGTCAACAAGACCCAAGCGCAAGGAACATTACCAGTTGCAACAGTCTAGATACTTCTTCGGACCTCAGTTTTCAGTCTACAACATAGTGATTAAAACAACCTGTCCTCTTTACCTTATAGAATTGATGTGATGATCAAATGAAATACATAAACATTGTCTGTAGACACTTAAGTGTGATGTCCATGTAAGGCATTTTTAAGTGCTACTATATCAAAGAGTTAGATATGCCTGTTCTTACTCCAACACTCTCTAAATAGAAATAATTTAGCTCCAAGAAGGGGAAAAAAGGCAAGCTGAAGAGTTTTTGGAAGAATAATTAACTAAAGCATAGAAAAAGAAAAGCTTTATGGTTATATATTGTATTTAAAATACACTCAATAAGTTGTACATGAAGTCTGCCTTAATTTCCTCCTTTTAAAAATTCAACAACAACAACAATAAAACCTTCCTAACTTTAGCTGAGCCTGGGGCAAAAAAAGAAGTGCATTAAACTTGACTGTAGGTCTGAAGCAAGGACTATGCTTAAAAGAAGATGTGACCTAATGCCTTTCCGTCAAGCTCTCTTATTTTCTGTGTTCCTAGCCACCTGCCAGGATCAACTCCAATAAAAGAACAATCTGATCCTTGGCTTCTTGCCCAATAGGAGACATTAGTAGGTGTTTCAAAGAAGTTTTTGATTATTATTTTCACTTGCTGATTAATTTTCTATTCTGGATGCTTAGCATATGGACCATAGCTCTCTTCAAGGTTTGCAGGGTCTCCTGATCTAGCCATTAATTAACTGTTCTATTTCTTCTGGTAAACTAAGACACAAAAGTGTATACTTATGTTTTCTAATGAAGGAGAGTGTTCATCTTCATCAAGGAATTGGTAATTGGTAGGTGAACATAATGAATTCTTAGACAGAATTTAAAGTAGACCCCAAAGTTGAATCAATCTTTTTTCTCAGCTTCCCTCTCACATTTGATTAGAAAATTTAGGCGAGAACTTAGCTGGCCTTAAATCTCACAAGATTGTAAAGGAAAATGTGAAAGACAAGATATATAAGGGAATACAACTCACTCCACATAAATGCACGTTAAGTCACTTTCCTTTAAAATATGTCTGTGTCCCCTCATGTATGGAGCCACTTGGCAAAGGAGTTGGAGCTTCATTGTGAAATCAATGTGTAGAGTTAATGTATAATCAGTAGGAAAAAATCTGTTTTTTTCTAATTATAAAGGTATCTTTGTATCTGCATTTATGATATATCATTTGTATGTAAATAACATACTGGATATTATGTCTTTAGTCAGAATTCTAATCTCCCACTATAAACTCAATTACTCTTATTTACATAAAATAATTCACTTTGTAATGATTTACATTCCAAAGTTACTAGGAACAAATTATTCTGATAGGTGTGTGTATCTACCTTAAACTCCCTCTCAGTCATATACTCTAGCATTATTGGGGAAGGACTTATTTTGAATAAGTTATTTTTTAAATTAAAACATATCATTTAAGGGGCTGGGAGTGGTGGCTCACGCCTGTAATCCCAGCACTCTGGGAGGCCAAGGCAGGCGGATCACTTGAGGTCAGGAGTTCGAAACCAGCCTGGCCAACATGGCAAAACCCTGTCTCTACTAAAAATACAAAAATTAGCCAGGCACGGTGGCATGCGTCTGTAGTCCCAAGCTATTTGGGAGGCTGAGGCACGAGAATTGCTTGGACACGGGAGGCGGAGGTTGCAGTGGGCCGAGATTACACCACTGCACTCCAGCCTGGGTGACAGAGTGAGACCCTGTCTCAAAAAAAACAAAACCAAAACCAAACATAAACCATATCATTTAAGGGGAGCATGTCATTTCAAAAATCAGTTTTGATTTGAATATTTTAATAAGGCATTATCATAATATATATTCCCCTAAGTAATACATTATTAGAGTTAATATAATTAATAATTAACATAATTATGAATATGCTAACTAATCTTGATTAGTTAGGGTTATTATGATTATACAGTAATACATCATAAAATCTCTATAAAGTCAGAATTTGCTGAAGAGCATGGAGCTATTCATCCTCACCCTAGGTGGAACCAGGCTACACATTTTCTCAGATGGCTATGTCTGCCTCTTAGAGCTTTTCTGCCTCCTTTGCTTTGTCAGGAGGTCTATGGGTGGTTGCTTGCTCCCATCAGCAGGCCTATGTTGAGCAGGCTCCCCTATCTCCGTGCAGCTATCTTATGATTCTAAAGGAGGTAGAAAGACCCACAGTTTCAAAGTGAAATTCTTCTGCCACAACCCAGCTGCATGGTTCTAGACACACCACTGAACCTCTTAAGGAATTCATTTCCTTATCTATACAGTGAAAGAACCGGCCTGAATGATCTTTAAGTTCCCATCCAAACCTGAGATTTTATAATGAATATTGCTGAGGGCTGAAAAAACGAATTCTAAGTTTATTAGAACTGTGTCCAAAAAGAGAATATAGAAACTCTGAGTAAGGGTCTCAGAGGTTCCCATGCTTTAGTGCACAGAATTGATAGCATCTTATTTTTGTTACATCATGGACTTTTGGGTCTTCTAAGTTCTTTGTTATATTTCCAATAAATGAGGCTCCTCATTGGATAAATCATGTCCAGATATATGAGACAGGATTACATTAAGAGCTTTTGAAAAAAAGAAAATTAAATATGATTTTTTTTTTTTGAGCCGTAGTTTCACTTTTGTTGTGCAATGGCGTGATCTCGGCTCACTGCAACCTCAGCCTCCCAGGTTCAAGCGATTCTCCTGCCTCAGCTTCTCGAGTAGTTGAGATTACGGGCGTACACCACCCATGCCTGGTTAATTTTGTATTTTTAGTAGAGGCAGGGTTTCACCAAATAGGCCATGCTGGCCTCTAACTCCTGACCTCAGGTGGTCCACCCACCTTGGCCTCCCAAAGTGCTGGGATTATAGGCATGAGTCATGGCGCCCGTCCAAATATGATTCTTAAATATACTTCTACATAAAAGATAAGAATTCAAGAAGAATTCTTCAAATATTCAGAGTGAATTATTCCTTAATGAACACTTTTGCTTCCAAACACATTTCCATTTTATATACCAACAAAATGACAGTGCATACTAAAAAACAATTTACCTATAACTACATCGTGACCATCCACCAAGCCAGCAGAGAAGAGCTCCTGAGATACACCATCTGCTGTATCTGTCCAAATGTGAAATGAATATGTATTAGTAACCATAACATAAAAATCAACAACCCAGTACAATGTAAAATATATATTTTTCATTTACTAAAATCGCCCATGAGTTTTAATTCAACAATTCAGACTCTATCAGGAGAAAATCAGAAGCAACATGAAATACATTTTGCCACGTGCCATTTGCATCTTGCTATTTATTCAACAGAAGTTATGCAAAATTATTTTTTCTATTTTTGGCGAACTAAAAAACTTGTGCCCTCTGGCTACTATCTGAATTAATCTTCAAATGCACCTCCAGAAGTTATAACTGTTCCCTATGACACTGCTTTTCTTTCCTGCCAAGGTTAATCCCACCTACCATCATCAATCCTTTTTTATCATTAGTAGCTATGGAGTGAATTACAGCAAAGGTTGAATGGGTAGCATCTGATATAACCTTGTATTTTGTACAAACAGCCTATGAGCTTGTTGGACTATTAAGATGAGCAATTTAAATGTATGCTATTAAGAAACTCCTTTAACATGACACTGATCATTTGATAGCAACAGATACATTGTCTTAGAAAAATGTGGTTGAATAAAATACCGTACTTTCTCAATGATAAGTGACAGGAGTTCGCAATCTCATAAGGATGGGACTAAAGAGGCTGCGGCAAGTGAATACAGCTGGAATTACTTAATTGAAAGGTTACGAATGAACATGATCACACTAATCTTCTATCTGAAGGCTTTGTAAAGGGAAATTGATAAATTGCAAGTTGCTCAGAAGAACTGTTATAAGCCCCCACGTTTTTACAAGGGAGCTGACTCGGTTCAAGAGAGCTGACTTGGTCCCCAGGGACTTCAGATATTCTCACAAATATTTAGAATTGTAGCTTGATAAGAAGAAACTGGCTCAGCAGGCTGTAACACTCTAGACGGGGGTTTGACAGAAATGTCTTCCAAAGTCAGGGGGCACCTGAAAGTACAGCTGCTAAATCAAATGAGCATCTAAACGAAATTGCGGTTTGTGACACCAAAAGCTGCCCTAACCATAAACTGCATTTCCTTATTTCATCTGTGCTTCAGATGTGGTGACTATGTAAGTGGGCTGGTGTGTGTGTGTGTGTGTGTGTGTGTGTGTGTGTGTGTGTGTATGTGTTTGCATATGTGCATATACATGTGAGTGTGCAGCTGGAGGTACATTTCTGTTTCACAATTCTTGAGGTTTAAAGAGCTTGCCCAGTGTCTGACACATAGTAAATACTCAATAAATGGTAACTATGATGATGATGCAGCAGCCAAAGATCATTTGAAACACACCTTACACTTTATACTTCCAGAGAAACTGTGGTATTCTGCCATTTTACTGATTCCATTTCATAATGAAGTCATAATAAAATGGAATAAAATGAAGTAAATGGCAAATAAATATATAGGAATCTTACTAAACTATAAAGTTCCATGTAAGATGAGCTTGTCTTAGGCTTTGCCCTTTTTGCCAGCAGTACAAAAAACACCTTGGCCCAGTGCAATGGCTCATATCTGTAATTCCAGCACTTTAGGAGGCCAAGGCAAGATGACTGCTTGAGCCCAGGAGTTACAGACCAGTCTGGGCAACATAGGGAGACGCCATCTCTACAAAGCGTAAAAAATTAGCTGGGCCTGGTGGCATGTACCTCTGGTCCCAGCTACTTGGGAGGCTGGGTGGAAGGATCACTTGAGCCTGGGAGGTCGAGGCTGCAGTGAACTCCAGTCAGGGTGACAGAGTGAAACCCTGTCTATTTTTTAAAAAAGAAAAGAAAAAAATAAAAAAAAAACACCTTATAAAGTCTCTTCATGATAAAATGATCCCATAATAATGGAAGTTGGGGTAGCATAATAAGAGGCTCTACTCTGAACATGATTTAGCTTTCTGAAGCTGCTAGAACATTCAGTCTCATAACTGGCATCTTCCTGGATGTTACCCAAATCTTTAGGGAAATAAGTGAACTGAATTAAAGAGCCTAACACCTAGTAGGCACTGAGCAGATAGCAGGTAGTCATTCATTATCTTTCTACTGATTGGTCATCTGCTGAAGCATCTGGATGTGTTACCCATCACTTCTAAAGTATCAGTAAGATCTTACACTTAAGTAAGGAGCTATAATCACAGAATGTAGCCAAAAATGAAATAATCAAAGCTGCACTGAGGGATAGCACTAAAACAGTACCAAAATGATTGACATTCCCAAATGATTAAAGCATACAGCATGTCCTTCTGTTTTCAGGACTCCTGGGCACCAGATGAGTCATACCAAAATGGCAAACAGGTACCGCTGGCTGATCCAAATGGGAAATATTCCATATCTGCGTGCGTGCCATTAGGCAATTATTTTGTATGCATGTAAGTAAGATACTAGTAATAGTTTAGAACAGAAGTGTGAAATAACTTATTTCATGTTTCATTAGTAATCTATTTTTCTTTAAGCTGTTTAACATCCCTGGTGCCTAAACAGGATAAATATTCATGTATTAATTTCTGGTTTCCAGAGCACATGGGGCACACTAAACACAAAGGGCTTGTCCTCAAGTGAGGAAAGAGAATATTTTACGTTATACATTTTGTGCCATATATATTTATTCACATGTATATACAGCACAAGCATAATGCATGTGAACTGCACACAGATTTACTGTAAGCAAAGTCTAGAATACAGACAGCATCAATAGTCACAGAGGTGCAGTGATATATGCACATCACTTCCTTTAACAATGGGCCTGTGCTCTGCCACCCAGTGAAGGCCGGCTGTCATTAGGCAGACAATGCCATGGGTTCTGTCTGTGCAACAGAAGCAGGGACTGTTAATCTAAATGCGGCAAAAGCGGCTGCCAAAGCCAGTGCCCATGGTCCAGTAATGCTGACAGGGCCATGTTACCCACAAAAGTCCTGAGCTCATATTCACTTCTTTGTTACCTCTTAAAATTAAAATTGATTTTCATTGCCATAGTCAATTTTAAACAATCAGATGAAAAGAAACAATCTTAAAATAAGAATCTGTTCTTTCTACTTGCTGTAATTGAAGCATTTATTACATAATTACTAGATTTTATCACAGCATGGCCTGGTCAATATTTTTATATTATGACAAAATAGATAGCTTTTTGACAACACTAGCTGGTGCTGTACAACTTCATAAACCAACTCTAAATTGTCAAAGATGGATACCTCCAGAAAGAAAGATCAATTAGCAAATCCATCAGGGCTTTATGTCCATTTATTTATTCAGACAAAGTCTCGCTCTGTCACCCAGGCTGGATCGCAGTGGCACAATCTTGACTCAATGCACTCTCTGCCTCCCAGGTTCAAGTGATTCTCTTGCCTCAGCCTCCCAAGTAGCTGGGACTACAGCTGTGCACCACCACACCCGGCTAGTTTTTGTATTTTTAGTAGATATGGGGTTTCACCATGTTGGCCAGGCTGATCTCACACTCCTAGCCTCAAGTGATCCACCCACCTCAGCCTCTCAAAGTGCTGGGATTACAGGTGTGAGCCACTGTGCCTGGCCTGTACATTTATTTTTAAAAGATACTTCATATTTTAGTTTAATTCAAATATACCAGGAATCCTGAAATCTTTGCATTTACAGAAGACTAGCATTCAGGGACCAATAAGCCTATGGCCAAGTATTGCCCAGGAATATTTTGTTTGGCTGGTGGCCTTTGTTCAAAAAAAAAAAAAAAAAAAAAAAAAACAACACTACTGAACATGGGTGAAATAAGATAGGAAATCCTCCAGTTTCCTGAAGTGCTCACCATTCACTTTGGCTTCTGTGGACATCTGAGTTTGTGTCTTCCTGCAGGTAATAACCGCAGAGGGGGTCAAAGGGTTTACTGATGGACCAGCTATCAAGCTAGAAAGTTCTTGTACTTCAGAGTTTTCAAAATTTTAGTAAACACTCCCCAATAGAGACTTCACGTAATCTGAGCTGAGATCACAGAAGCAAAGTATGTTACCTTTCTGTATGATCCCACTGCTGCTCAACCCTCATTAGGACTGTGGTATGCTTCTCATCACATTCACCATCATTTCCTTTAGGGCCTGCATTACCATAGCAATACTTATTTTCATGGTTGAGCTAATATATCTAACTTATATTGGTATGTATACTGTGCCGCATGTGTCACTGAGATTCATGTAGTCAGCTGTGGTTTGGTTTGGAATCCTTAGAAGTATCAAAAGTCCTTCCTTCTGTCTATCTCTCCTTCCTTCCTTCACTATTAAACAAAGCAGTTTTAAATAGCAGATTATAACCACATGCTTGTAATCAATTTCTGCAATGCTCTTTGAGGCAATAAAATAATAACTTCAATTAAAACTTACCTCTTCCTGGAGTAAACTCAAATCGTATGTCATTAAGTTCCTTTCTGGAGTTTCTGAAATACATAACATATAATACATTAAAGTCTAGGGAAGCAGAGTTTAGTCGAACTACATGTATTCAGATTTTCACAAGATGCTACTAACATGTGGATAACATTTTACAGTTTGAGGTTACCTCCAAGTATTTTGTTAACTGGAAAAGATAGTTATAACAGTAATAATGAAGAGATTTCTTTAATTTGATTGAATTTACCTTATATAAACATGCTTATATCACAAAATTCCAAAAACAAAATGTTCATTTTATAAAATCTGCACTAAACAGGAAACCTTAATTTTTTTTTTTTTTTTTTTTTTTTGAGACAGAGTTTCGCTCTTGTTGTCCAGGCTGGAGTGCGATGGTGTGATCTCACTGCAACCCAGGTTCAAGCTATTCTCCTGTCTCAGCCTCCTGAGTAGCTGGAATTACAGGCATGTGCCACCATGTCCGGCTAATTTTTTGTATTTTTAGTAGAGATGGGGTTTCTCCATGTTGGTGAGGCTGGTCCCAAACTCCCGACCTCAGGTGATCCCCCCAGCCTCGGCCTCCCAAAGTGCTGGGATTACAGGCATGAGCCACCACACCTGGCCAATATAATTTTATTAAAAATTTCAGAAGCCTTTAGTCTAAAATAAATGGTATCCATTTTTTTTCTTGAAAAATACTATTTTATTAAATCATTTTTAAAAGTGAAACAAACAGGGAAGACGGTCTCAGTGACAGAATTCAAGAAGCACTACACATTAAATCATGTAGCACAACACCAAGAGAAAGGTATGCATTTGGTAGTTTAAAATTTTATCTAAATTTAAAAGTTTTATATATTCAGTGGGCAATTTTGCAACATTTTGCCCCATGAATATATAAAACTTTAAGTAAATGTAAAGGCTTACACAAAACTGAAAAATATACATGTATATGCAATTTAAAAATTAAATGGCACTGGGGAGATATTAAATACATAAATATCTGAGACACAAGTTTTCCATTCAAATTAATTTTAAGAAATGATAATAAGGGGCAGTGAGCTATAATTAGAATAGTTTCAACTTCTTGTAAGAACACTAAAATATTATAAGTATCAACAGATGCTAGAATTAAGGTTAATAAAAACATCTTAAGAAATCGCAGTAGAAGCCAGGCACAGTGGCTCACGCCTGTAATCCCAGAACTTTGAGAGGCTGAGGCAGGTGGATCACTTGAGGTTAGGAGTTCGAGACCAGCCTAGCCAACATGGTGAAACCCCATCTCTACTAAAAATACAAGAATTACCCGGGAGTGGTGGCCCATCCCTGTAATCCCAGCTACTCAGGAGGCTGAGGCAGGAGAACTGGAACCCGGCAGGTATTGCAGTTAGCCAAAATCACACCACTGCATTACAGCTTGGGTGGCAGAGCAAGAGTTCATCTCATTTTTAAGAAAAGAAAGAAAAGAAAGAAAAGAAAGAAAAGAAAGAAAAGAAAGAAAGAAAGAAAGAAAGAAAGAAAGAAAGAAAGAAAGAAAGAAAGAAAGAAAGAAATTGCAGTAGGAAACATGAACTAGTATTAGCTGAGCCTCTGAAAATGTCTAAGACAGAGTCAGAGATGGCCTGAATACCCATCCCTGAACATCCTCCTGAGGAGCTGGGAAACTGAGCATTCGCACTGTAAAGCTCTGTGTAAAACCTCCTGGTCTCTGTGAACTGTGCCCAAACCACAATGAAGCTGGTCTCTGGGCCCTTTTTGGTCCACAGCCTGATTTTGGTTCTTTATGTCCTACCACATCCAACCACACTAAGAGCAAGGAGGCCCACAAGGATACACAGGGCATGGCACTTGCTGAAAGAATGCCCTTTTCCTCAGTGTCTAGAAAGCCAGCCCAAGTCTCACACCTTTCCATAAACAAAACAGGGAGAAGTAAAGGGCCAATACCTCAAGACATGTCCAAGCCCACACCGAGATATGAGAGCCTTGGACCTTGAACTTTGTATCTCCCTTCAGGTTTCCCCAACCTTGACTTTTATCACTACTCCCCTCAGGGCTAAAATGGGACCAGGGACTGCCGCAGTTCCTATAACTGTGCTTCTTTTAGGACCTGTGGAAATCTGAAAACTGTGAAAATTGTGGATCCTCACCCTAAAAGAAAGTAGATACAGCAGTCCCCCTTTATCCGTGATTTCACATTTCATGGTTTCGGTTACCCATGTCAGTATAATAAAATATTCTGAGAGAGAGAGACCACATTCACATATCCTTTATGCCATTATATTGTTGTAATTGTTCTATTTTATTATTAGTTCTTGTTGTTAACCTCTCACTGTGCCTAATTTATAAATTAAGCTTTATCATAAGTACGTATATATAGGGAAAAACATACTGCATAGATGGTTCAGTACTATCTTTGGCTTCAGTTATTCACAGTGGTTTTGAAACGTACCCTTGCGAAGATATGGAGGGATTACCGCACATAACTTATGCACAAAATTGTAGGTAACTACAGAGGATTTAGAAATCATGTTGGACCCCAGACTAAAGAACCCTGCCCTGGAGGTGGAGTGTACCATTCACAACAGTGCCTGCAGTGGGAGGATGGTTTGTGTGCTGCACTGTTTAAATAGCTTAAACTTTCTTTATATTTATTTATTTATTTTTTTGAGATGGAGTCTTGCTCTGTTGCCTGTCTCCCAGGCTGGAATGCAGTGGCAAGATCTTGGCTCACTGCAACCTCTGCCTCCCGGGTTCTAGCAATTTTCCTGCCTCAGCCTCCCGAGCAGCTGAGACTACAGGAGTGTGCTACCACGCCCAGCTAATTTTTTGTATTTTTAGTAGAGACAGGGTTTCACCATGTTGGCCAGGCTGGTCTTGAACTCCTGACCTCAAGTGATCAGCCTGCCTCAGCCTCCCAAAGTGTTGGGATTACAGGTGTAAGCCACTGCGCCTGGCAAAGTTTCTTAATAAACTACCAACGTCACCACTGCACATTTACATAGTGCTTTCATATATATTAGCAGTTCTCAAACTTTTTGGTCTTAGGACACTTTTATGTTCTTAAAAAGTAGTGAGGACCCCTAAAGAGATTTTGTTTATGTGGACTATATCTATCAAAGTTTACTATATTAGAAATTAAAATTGACAATTTAAAAAAATTTATTAATTTGAAAATGACAACCCCATTATATGTCAATATAAATTTTATATGAAAAATTACTTTCCTTTTCAAAATGAAAACAATTCAGTGAAAAAGAGTCCATTGCTTCACAGTTTTGTAAACCTCTGTAATATCAGGCTTAGGACAGCTCGAATCTTACAATTGTTTCTGCAAGCTGTTGCAATGTTGAATGTTACAGACACAGGAATTTAAAAATTCCACTGAATATGTGTGAAAGAGTGAAAAAGGCAAGTAATTTCTTGCTACTATTATAAAAATAGTTTTGACCTCATGGGCTCCCTGAAAGGGTCTCAAAGACTCCCAGGGTCACTGGACTACATTTTAAGTAACACTAATATATAAATGTATACACATACATACATATGCATGTACACATAATATACACATATATGTATATATTATATATAATTAAATGAGATTATGTATCATATATAATCATTTATTATATATCATATATAATCTCATTTAATTCCAATAATTAACCTTTGAGATATGCAAAGAGGTATTATTTGTTTTCCATTTTTTCCATGACTGTGTTCAATGGCTTCTCCAAGTTTACAAATTTAATGAATGGCAGAGTGAAGGCCAATAATTCCATACTGAAGGTACCAAATACAAACAGAAATGCTCAATTCCTTTAACTTTTAAGAGAAAGCAATGTTATTCCCCAAGATTTTGCATGTTCTCATAAAACAATCACCAAGCATTCATTTCCTTAATAGTCTTGGTTTTATGTGCTGTATATGAGCAATGATTCACTTCAAACTAAAGTAGTCCAATAACAAAACAACCATGAGGAAAGCAAGTATTTATAATGTGTTTAATAATAAAATGACAGGAAAAAAATGAGGAATTTGGTTGGACATTAATTTGTGTCATTGTTCATTTCCTCTCTTCCTTTCCATCAGTCTTATTTAAATATATTTATTCTAGTAAGGTCATGAGAAGAGAGGTGTAAGAACTGTACCCAGAATATCACTATGCATATCCTGATGCTTCAAATATTAATAACACAAAAAGTAATATCCAACACCCATAATCTCTGCCTATATCACCTGTGGTTCAAGTTATGGAGGCTGCGTAGTCAAGTCATTCTTTTTATGACTCTGAACCTAAAATACTCGCCTTTGAAAAGATCACAGTGATTGATTGTGAGTAGTAGACTTGTCCCATCAAGATGAAATATAGTTGGAAAAATGCCTAATTGGAGCGAACTACTGAAGGTCATCTTTTTATAAAGAATTAATCTTTTCAGACTCATACTTAACACCTTTAATTGAAAGTACATTTACTTTAATTGATATGGCACAGGACACTCTTGATTTCAGGGAAGCTGAAAATAGGTATGATTTAAGGCCAGAAACTAAGTCTGAGCAACTTTATAGAGGAAATGATAAAAACTTGAGAGTAACAGTTTCAACACTCGGCTGCCTTTGATAATTTTTATTAAAAATCCTTTTAATCTTAAAATAAAAACTCTTAAATTTGGTAAGGTACAGCCTCTTATAGCTCATTGCACTGAAAATGCAAATACATACAGAACTCAGAAAGGACATTTATTTTTTTTTTAAGTAGGTGATACAATCATATGGCTTAAAAATTAAAAGGTACAATAGGGCATTAAATATTCTGTGAAAATTGGCCCTCTCACTCCTGTCACCCAACTACCTGGTTGCCCTTCCAGGGGCAATCAGTGTTTTATGAATTTGGTGCATACTTCTTGAGATGTTTTATGCATGTACCAGCAAATATACATATATATTGAATACAGATGATAGCATAGTATATCCACTGTTCTGTATCTTGCCTCTCTTTTAACATAATACCATCTTGGAATTTCTCCATGTTAGTTTGTAGAGAGTTTTCTCATTCTTTTCTTTATAACTACATAGTTTTCTCTGGGATGCTACAGCCTTTTTTCACCAGTTCCCATTCTATGAACAGACTGTTTCCAATCTTTCACTATTGTAAACAGTGCTTCAATAAGTAACCTTATTCTTAGGTCATTTTGCATAAATACAAGTATAAAAATAAATGTCTAGAGGTGAATTCTTTGGTCAAAGGATATATGCATTTGTAATTTGACACACATTATGAAATTCCCCTTCATTTAAGTTGCACCCATTTATGCTCTTACCCACCATTTGTAAGCACTATTGCAGGAACTTTGAATAAATCAGAATGTATTAATAACCAGGGAGATGTGGGGACTGTGCCAGCTGGAAAGCTTCTTCCCCATCTAAAGGGGACAACCACTATTCAGTGCCTGCAGGTTATGGCCAGACAGGATTGGACTCAATGTTGCTCAATATTCAGATTTGTCAGAGAAAAAAGAAATTTGAAATTTTATATGACATTCCATAGTTTTAATTGTTGATACTAATTTTAAAATGTTCACACTAATGTGTGGGCCAGATTCAGTCTATTACCATTCATTAGTGAGGGCAAATATAAAATATAACTTCTGCTGATAGTAATAAACCGATTTCTGGGGATGAAGTTTTCTGAAATGGTAAACTTCAAAGTTCTTTTTAAGGATCTACTAAAAAGAGTCAAATAAATGATACACAGACCCACAGACTGAAGGCATGGGAGAAATTAATCATGGGAAAGAAAAATAAAGCCACAGAAACCTAACGAAAAGAAAATACAATTCATAAACTTATAAAACTGAAATTCGTTTTTTTCATTTTTTGGATTCTTTTAGAGACAAGGTCTCACTTGGTTGCCCAGGTAGTACAGTGGCACACTTGTTGCTCACTGCAGCCTCGAACTCTCGGGCTCAAGCAATCCTCCTTCCTCAGCCTCCTGAGCAGCTTAAACTATGGGCATGTGCCCCCATACCTGGCTAATTTTTTAATTTTTTGTAGAGACAAGGGTCTTGCTATGTTGCTGAGGCTGGTGTTGAACTCTGGACTCAAGTGATTCCCCCTACCTCAGGATTCCAAAGTGCTGGGATTACAGGTGTGAGCCACCATGCCCAGCCTGACTTTAAAAAAATGTTTAGTAATTGATGTTCAGTGCTGACAAACTTTTTTTTTTTTTTTTGCTATGTCTATTTAACGTGAGAAGTTCAGAGATACAGATTGGCGTGCATTAAGTTTTTCTTCTTGTTCTTTCAGTTCATCTTCAAGTGACACAACGAACAATCAAACGAGGCAGCTGGCTAAGAGGCTGGTAATGCAGAACACGAACGGACACCCATCCCTTCCCAGTGGTGGAGGTGCAGAAGGCAGGTGCGATTGAAGTATATATTTTACAGGATGTAGCTTTTATCTGCACCTCTTAATGTACCGTGTCAGGACAATCTGACAGAGTTATTGCTCCTGGAGGGCTCCAAAGCCAAAATGCCAGCTCAGAACTATTTGCATCCTTCAGCCTCACATTACCGTCTCTTAGCCCATGCCAGCAGCAGTATGAGGGCACTCACACTCTAAGACCCAGATGTGATTAAAGCGGTAGAAATCCAAAGACCACTCATTGTCAAAGAGCATCAGAAACAGTAAGTGTCACTGGCATTGTATACCCTCCACCGCAGGGATGCTCTCAAATGAAGATGAAAGGCAACTATTTCCCCGAGCTTTGAGGTTGGCAACACCACCAAGGGTCTCTGTAAGAGTGCCAGGGATAGTGTTTCCCAGGGACCCAGGAGCAGCTGCTCGCTCCTAAGCAGCAGAAGATTTCTCATCAACAGCCCTCTTCTTCCTTACTTTTACCCGAAATTCCAGGTGAAGGTGCAGCTGTTAGTGTCCAGGGAATTTCAAAGGGATACCCACACACTCAATTCCTGGACTATCTCCCCGCTATCAGGAGTAGGAAGGGGGCCTTTTAAAAAGGCTAAGCTAGGAATTGGTCAGGACATCATTTTTAGTTCAGCTTGCCTCTTGTCCTACTCTGGGCACCAAACCAAAGTCCATCCCCACAGTCTTAGGAGAAGAAATGGATGGACTGTGGCTCCCAGTGAGCTGGGCAGATACTTCTGCTTCACACGAGGAGGCCGCCTGGGGCAGGATGAGGAGATAATGTGACCCATGCAGATGGGGATCTGAGTTCAAAACCACAAACTACTTATTTGGCCTTCTGTAACCTGTTTCCTCAACTGTGAGAGGGGGAAATAATAATTCACAGCTGCTATGGTTTGAATGTCTCCCCCAAAAAGGATGTGCTGGAAACTTCATCCCTGATGTGACTGTGTTGGGAGGTAGGGCCTAATGAGAGGTGTTTAGGTCATGAGGGCGCCACCCTCACAAATGGATTAATGCCAATTCTAAAAGCGCTTGAGGCTGTGAGTTTAATCTTTTGCTCTCTCTCACCCTCTCTTTGCACTTCTGCCATGGCATGACACAGCAAGAAGACATTAAGATGGTGCAGCCCCCAACCTTAGACTTCCCAGCCTCCAGAACCAAGAGCCAATACATTGCTGGTCATTACGAATTACCCAGTCTATGGTATTTTGTTGTATCAGCACGAATGGACTAAGACAACAGCATTTCCTATCTGCTGGGACATGCTTGATGTTTTACATATGTTATCTCAGTCCAAACTCAAAGCAACTCTTAAAGCAGGAACTGCTCTTATCCTCTATTATTTTAGAGACAAGGAAACTGAGGCTTAGAAAGGATAAAGAATAGATCCAAAATCACAGTCTGAACAACAGAGCTGAACTAAAGCTGGAACTTTAAAAAATGTTACCCATTATCTTCACCAGTGCACATCCCTTACCCGCCTACTGGGTACACAGATAGTATTTGTTGAACAGATGAATGAATGCAGAGTTTACAAGTCTGGCTTTTATAAAGTGCCTCTCCCTGGCTTCTGTAATACCACCTCCTTCTGGTCTCCTCCAGTCCCCCAGCTGCCCTTTCTCTGTGTGCCCCAAACACTCCTCTACCTCTGTATGGCTGTCTCTTCAGTGTTAATGTTCCATCCCTCACCATTTCCCCTTCTCATTCTCTCCCTTGATGATTAATTCCAAATCCATAACTCAATCTCAGGTACTGCCCCAGAGCTGAAAATTCATTATCAACTACCTATATGGTATCTCTCAATGCAATGTCCAAAAAGACACCAAAAGGCACAGCATCTCCAAAACGGAATGTATCACTTTTCCTCTCAGATACATTTCCCTTCCTTAGCTCCTTATGGCAGTAAATGATAGTGATGGCCCACTATCAAGACCTGTAGGTTATACCTCTGTAAGAGTTCTCGTATCATCCGTTTCTCTCAAACTTCACTGCTACTGACCAAGGTCAGGCCACCATCGTCTACCACAGATGAGAAGAAATGACTGAATAAGTAAAGAGTATTTCACATGCACTCACATATACACACGTATACATGGCTTTTGCTAAGGCTAAAGACATACAACAGCAGGAAAAAGGGCTGTAAAAGGTTGAGGGAGCTGCTATTCAGGGAATAGTCCTTGGCAGACGAATGTGCAGCCCTCAGGGAAAATTGTTGTACTTAATGAGACATGAAAAGATTAGGCAATATGAGGATACACAGAAGGAACCTACAAATGAAGGCCAGAAATAAAAGAGCCACGAAGTGAAAGGGGCAGCTTCCTGTGGCCAAGCTGACGGCTGCTCTGAAGCAGTATCCCTGCTCATCCCGGGGCCTTCCTATGGCAGTGTCTTCACGTCAGAACTGGAGACTCCTTCGGGAATTGAAGACTGGTCAGCTGAGCCCAATTTGGAGTTAATCCACTTACCAGCAATGACATTCAGTAAGCCACTTCACCTCTCCAACATTCGGTTTCCTCTGCAGTAAAAAGGGGAAATAATGCTTCCCTCGCAGATTTAACAAGCTGTGTGAAAACACTGTATGAACTCTGTGCTACTGCTATAAGCCATTATTAGGCCTCATATTTTGAGGCACATAGAAATAGGGAGAAAAAGTCATAGTTCCAGTCATTAACAAGTTTCCGATCTTTGCAGAAAATGATGGTCAGTTTATGTAAACTACAGGGAAAAACAATGTAAGTAAGTGCTTAAAAAATACTAGTAGCGAAGGAAATCTTGAACTAATTCAGAGAAAGGTGTATTCCCCTCTCTTGGCTCTCACTCTGATCCATCCTTCACACTCCTGTCAAATTAATCTTCCTCCGAGGTAAAGGTCCAATCACAGAATCATATAATTTTACAACTGAAAGAGGCCTTAGAGGTCACCTAATCCATTTCTCTGATTCTTTAGGTGAAGAAACTGAAGCCAAGGAGATTAAGTGGCTTGTCTAAGATAACACAGCTGGTTAATTCATGCCATTCTCCATAAATCATTATTGATCACCTACTATGTGTCAGGTTTGTGCCAGGAGCCATTAACGGAAGAAATGACAACAGAACCTGGGACTCAGGACCTCTAGACCACTGCTCTTTATTCTAGACTGATGGCTCTCAAACTGCAGGCAGGGTGAGGGGAGGTGCAATCTCTAAAAGGAAGACTTTTCCCCCAGTTATACCCCTGCACTCAGTTAAGAATTGCTGCATGCAGTGAGAGGCACTATAGACGGGAAAGTGTCTTCCATGATTGATATGATGGCAGAAATTAAAATTTATATAATCAGCTCTGTAGTCAATATGACACAATGTTACCATTTAACACATTCTATGTCAGGCCCAGTGGCTCACGTCTGTAATCTCAGCACTTTGAGAAGCTGAGGAGGGAAGATCACTTGAACCCAGGAGTTTGAGACCAGCCTGGGACACACCGTGAGATCTGGTCTCTACACACACACACACAAAATTCTAGATGGTAGATACATGTGCATTTATTACTTTGCACATTCCTATATGTTGAAATGTTTTTTATAATTTTTGAAAGTATTATATACTAGAGGAAAAAAGAACCACTGAGTTTGTTGAGGTTGGAGGGTGGGTAAGGTAGGGGAAAGGAAACAGTTTGTGCCCTCTATCTGTGGCTCTAAAGGTTGAGAACCACTGCTGAACCTATCAGCACTGTGGCCCACAGCCTTGCCCGAAATCGAAGCTCTCCTGGATGTGTGTATCTCCAGCCACCATGGGCCATATGCTCCAAGGCTGTGAGAATAGTAGCTGAACCACATACTTTCCCCTCCCCTCCAAACCCTTGCCCTTACATTTAACTTACTGCAAAAGTGTCTTTTGGATCAGTGAGTCTTCTAAAAAGTGAAAATTCCTTTCAGCGTGCACCTCCACACGTGCAGAAATATGCCCCTGGCCTAGAAAATGTAGTTAGTAGCATCTGGAATTCTAGTCTGCATCAAGCCATGCAGCATCACACAGCCCCAAACCAATGTCAGATAGATCAGAAAGTCACACTGTTCCCTTTAACAACAACAAAAGCAGAGACTAAGTGATATACATACATGCATGTACACATACACATGTATGTACACACACGTACATGCACACGTGTGTGCATGAGCACACACATACACAAATACGCACAAGGTTTTCTTCAAATAAGATATCTCAACATATTTTAAAGAATTTGGCCTCACACACTGGTTAACTGCAGGTTCTTCTGCAACTGGAACCTCAGGCTTGAGACTCTTGACAGTTCCCGCTGGCTACCTGACAGCCTGAAGGACCCTTTTAGGTTTGCGGCCTGCAGGGAGCAAACAGTCTGGCTGCATAGGATTTCACACAGCTGACACCGACACTAGCAGTGCACACATGTCAGCCTTTCATGGAGAGATCTCTAATACTCAGTCCAGGGCTGACACATGAATAAATCGCATGCAGAAATATAAATAACAGACTTCTTCCCTAGCTACGAAAAAGAGTTTTCATCTAGAAGTAATCCAAACTAAGTTAAGGTGATTTTCTCTGACAGAAACCTCTGGAAAATCTCCATGCCTGCCAGGTGAAGGGCATGGCTGTTTCCTCTCCCTAACCTTACCCACTCTTCAACCTAAACAACCATGGTGGACTCTTTTTTTTTCTCTATTACATAATAGTTTCAAAAATTATAAAAAACATTTCAACATACAGGAATGTGCAAAGAGTAATACAATGAATACACATGTGCCTACCATCCAGAATTTTAAAAATGGTAATATTTTGTCATATTTACTTCAGAGCTGAATACATAAAATTTTAAGAATGTTTCACCTACACAGCACAAAGTCACTTGTGTTACATCCCAGCTATAGTAAATCAGGAGAGAACAGGTCATTGTGTAAGGGTGCTGCTTCCTGTCAAGATTATGGAACTATAATGTCACATGTAGCAAGCAGTCCTTTTCAGCATTTAGGATGTCTAGTGAATATATTTATTGAACTTATTTTCACTTATGGGGCAAAGGGGAAAAGGAGTAATCATATAAATACCAGACTCATGTTAATGGCAGGTAGGAGCAGAAACATGATAGTCTGGTCAAAGTTCACACTTTTTTGTAGCAGGAAAAAATGTTAATCATGCTCACTATGTAAGGATCTCTGTAGATCACTGTTCTTTTCAATCAACTGATACAGGACCAGCCTTCATTAACATTATTTGTGCCTTTAAGTTTAGGGTGTGGTGGGTTTTACTGCAGAGAACTCACAGACTCATCATTGTCTCTGTGATGTATACCTCTCTCCCATGCATGAGGCTCCCAAACCAACACGCTAAGTACTTTCTAACAGGAATGTAAAGGCATCTATAAGACATGAACCTAATATGTGTCCATTTGGGACCCAGACATCATGTCTTAGTAGGTGTATTTATACAAACTGAACAGTATATGGCGAGGTGGGTGGAGCTGCACACATTGGTACATTCTGAGATAAATGCATTTTTAAGACAATAGAAGTTTATATCTTTAAGGCACAAACTGTTACAAACTCTAACTATTAAGGACAATTATGGTTTTTGCCAACTAGTTATTTGGTTTAATTCTTGCAAGAAGGATGTTAAATAGTTTCAAAATTAAACTAAATATATAACTGAACATTTTGTTGTTAAAAATAACAGACATTAATTAAAAGGAATGCAGAAAGAGACATTAGTACATACTTGAGATGTCAGTTACTCCAACTGAGCACCGGATTTAGCTTTACTTGCCTGAAACTAAGGCAGAAAAGGGAAACTGTTGCATAGTATAGTTCTAACTTCATCAAAAGAGAAACATGCAAGGCAGATTTTGTTTATCTTGGCATTAATTTCAGGGAAAATTTTATTATGGAAGACCCTTTATAAGGGACACTGAGTAATGTCTTCAACTTATGTTACAAAAGACAGAAGCCTTTTTCATATAAATGTCTTCAACCATATGGTGCAAACGATGAAAGTTTTTTTCTCCCAGGTGCTGAAGACACAATATTAAATCTTGCCTGAGTGATGGCATTTCTGCTGGGAGCTGAAATAATACATCAGAAGCACATTGTTTACTGATGATTTACCTCAACAGAGGGAGCTCAAAGAACCTGGAGAAATGGATCGCCTATACACACTTCTTCCTGAGGCCCCAAAAGTGTCTTGTCAAGTGCTACAAAGGGCGATTTCATGACTGCTTTCTCCGACGGGTATTTGAAGGGGTCTGAAAGTCTATGTACTGATTAGACATAGATCTTTCCCCTTAGCTAAACCATCTGTAGGAAGCAGAAGTAACATTCTGCCATGAACATGCAGGAGACTGGCTTATGTCCTCTCTTGGAAAGCTGGTGGCTAACACCTAAGAGAGTGGGTTGCTGGATGTGGCAACTTCCAAAGGAAGTTCTGTGTCTGGCCAACACCTTGGACATGTACTCAGCTAAATCTCCCAATTTTGGGCCGGGTGCGGTGGCTCATGCCTGTAATCCAAGCACTTTGGGAGGCCGAGGTGGGCGGATCACGAGGTCAGGAGATAGAGACCATCCTGGCTAACACGGTGAAACCCCGTCTCTACTAAAAAATACAAAAAATTAGCCAGGTGTGGTGGCGGGCGCCGGTAGTCCAGCTACTCGGAAGGCTGAGGCAGGAGAATGGCATGAATCTGGGAGGCGGAGCTTTCAGTGAGCCGAAATCCAGCCACTGCACTCTAGCCTGTGTGACAGAGCGAGACTCTGTCTCAAAATAATAATAATAATCTCCCAATTTTGTTGCTTCAGAATAGGGAAGAAGTAATTTTTTTTGCTTAAAAGTTTTAAAGATGTGTGTGATTAATCAAGTGAGTTAGCCATAGAGAACCAGCATAAATCACAAAAAATATAAAGTGAGCAGACAATACATTCTTTAAACTTTAGCCAAGAAATCACAGAAATAGAAACATACTTTAATTTTCCTATTCCTGTAATTTTACTATTAATGTATATGTGTAATCGAATCCAGGGGAAATTATATTAAAGATTAGCAAATTTAAAAGGAAAATGATCACTCATCAAAGGAAAAAACTGTGAAGAACTAATTAATAAGAAGTGTTAACGCCAGTGTCCTCCAGGGTAGAAATGTAAGCAGAATCCCCCTGACTTTTCCACAGGTGGTACTGCAAGATAATTAAATTTGATGATGAATGAGATGGAGCAAGTATTTCCCCTTTTGATCCACTTCAGGTAAAAGGCCTGTAAGTAACTGCATTTACAGTCTAGGATGAATGACCCTTGGGCAGAGCCACTATAAATCCTCAAGTTCAACTTTTCTGAAATTACTTCAGCAAATGATTATTTATAAAATACATAGTTGCACAGAAAGTAACATTGTTCCTAGGCATTTGCTAGGTTGTTAATGTATATCAGAAGGAAACATCCATGCACGAGAATACATCAGGGCACACTTGCCAGGAGACCGGATGAGGACAGGACTTTTCATGCAGAATGTCTAAACAAACCAAAAATCCAAAGATTCTCTCAAGGCAAAAAGAAAGAAAAAATGCATCTGCTTGTTTTTGGAGGTTGGGGTTACATGGTTCTCCAATGACTAACACTCACAGGACTGAAACTCCTCTGGCCTGCCCTGGAGAAGAGCGGAGTGGGTGCCTGAAAGCTGAGAGCAGAGCTTGGAAAGCCCCTTTTAGGGTGACATCTCCCAGAAGGGCAAGGGTACCAGAAGGGGTATGATTTGCATGACAGTATTTAAAGAGACGACAAATACCTGACACTGTTTCCAGGTCAGTTTTTTACAAAATCTATTTTCTTTTTAAATCTGAAGATTCCCTCAAGTAAGAGAAGGGAAATCTGAAGCTCAGCCTTATCTGCTTCCCAGGGATGCCCCTTCTTAAGCCCCACTGCTGTTCTGCCCACACAACTCTTATTAACACAGAGTGGCCCTGAGAAGTGGCCACCACATGAAGCCTTTTCCCTTCTCATTTCTTATGGGCTGAACACACAGTTCAGATTCATGTTGAAAGCCTAACAGCCAGTACCTCAGAATGTGACCGTATTTGGGGACAGGGTCTTCAAAGAGGTAATTAAAGTTAAGTGAGATCATTAGGGTGGGCCCTAATCCAACAGGACAGGTGTCGTTATAAGAAGAGATTAGGACACAGACATGTGCCCGCACAGAGGAAAGATCACATAAGAACAGCAAGAAGGTCTTCTACAAGCCATAGAGAGAGACTTCAGGAGAAGCTAAACCTTTGGGCAGCTTCATCGTAGACTTCTAGGCGCCAGAACAATGAGAAAATAAACTCCTATTGTTTAAGCGACCCAGTTTGTGGTTCTTTGTTAAGGCAGCCCTAGCAAACTAATATACTATCTGATTCTGACAAATATTTAAAAGTCAACATTTGTCCCTTTGGTAAAAACTAAATTTGTTCTCGGCCTCTGGAACACTAACTTATACCACTCATTATTACAATGGTTTGGGAAGACATCATCCCTTCAACGGTTCCAAATAAAGTAAATAAAATGAAATCAATCACTTGGCATAGATACCAGCCACCCTAATTGGAAATTTCCAAGCACCTGAAGTTTGCCAAAAGTAGAAAAACCCTTGTGCTTATTCATGAAATATAGTCTTCAATGGTGCAATGTCAACTCCACCATGAAGGATATATCCAAGGACAAGACTTAAAAGCAGACTGGTATAATATGTAATCGTATTTCAAACGCTCAAAACATTTTCCTCAGTGTTTAAACACATGCCGTGTGATTATCAAATAATAAAGCTGATTTTTGTGTATGAGTCATGGAATCTGTATGATTAGAGCCATAACTCACATTTGGATGATTTGAAAAACTTGTTCTTTGAGAATGTTGAATAAGCAACACCCAGGGGTGTAACTGTACCACCAAGTTAAGGACTTAACAAGACTGTGGGGGTAATGTGTTTTCCATACCTAAGAATAACTAATGAAAAAGATACACCCAACAATTTCCTTCATAATGGTTTCTTCAATGACTGTCCTTTACCTAAACCGTTGACTTCTGACAAGTTTTTAAGACTAGCTTATCTTTCCTGACCTCTTGAGTAAAAATTTAATAAAGGATGTCAGGCTGGACAAAGACAAGTTCTCACTCTTCAGAAGTGTATATACAGTGCATCCTGCAAACAACCTGCTATTTGCCTCTTCACAGTAAAGTGACAGACGTGCTTTTCAGAAAGGAGGTACAAAAAAACAAAGCAAAACAAAAACCTAAAAAACAGTGCCCCTGCGACTGGAGAGAGGAAAGAAGCTCTGAAGGAAAAGATAAGAGGGCCCTTTCCCCGATGGGTAACATATAGGAGAGCTTTCCTCTATGTCTGAGGCAAAATAAAATAACCATTGATTCTCTGTCAACTTTAATTTAAGAAAATTACTTGGTTTAAGAAGAAGTCGAGTTGCTGAATGTTCATTTGAAAAATAAAAGGATGGTAAAGGTTAACAGTTATAAGCCTTTTTGGCAAATACACAGAATTCAAGAGATGGGTCAGAGGAGCTAAGATGTTGGGTAGTCTCTCTCCCCTAAAGAACCTGGCACAGGTCTGCCAACATAAGTACATTCCCAATAAATATTCATGAAGTTGAACTGAATCAAGGGATACAATAGTCGTCCTTACCTGATGCATGGCAGTATATTAAATGTAAGTATACTTGACAACATTTCTAGGTACGGAAGTCAGCAACCTTAACCCTTAATAAACACTCAAGTAACACCAGCAAAAAGAAAAAAAAAAAAGAGTTTCTGGGCTGAGAGCATTTGAGGTGCTTTGCAGGTCAGAGCTATGCTCAATAGAGGAAATATCGCATTAGGACAAAATCTAAGAAAGGTAAAGGGCTCTGTTCCATTGAAGAGACTTCCGGCTACGAAACTATTCCTCCTGAGCAGTGAGCCAACAGTCAACATTTGGGATGGTGGGTTCAGCTCAGACAAGACTCAATATATAGAAGCTGTGGCCTACTCTGGCCTTGGTATATGTAGCAGAGCTCTGGATGGCTACAAAAGCTTTACATTTATGGCTCTAAAACGCTGTTCCTGAGCCACCTGTGCACTGAGTTTCAGGCTGTTCTGAAGTGTACAATACACTTATTTTATTTGAACAGAGAAGGCAGGGGAGCATAACTCCTTGTAACAGCCTCTTTTCTGACTCCTTTCCTATCCTTTCATCAAGAGGAGTCAAAGGAGAGCACAAAGTACTTGGTTGCTTAGGCCGACTCAGCCTGTCCTACCTTGGTTTCTGGAGATAACATTCTGGAGTTTAAATACGGATTGTAACACTGACGAGCTATGAGACCTTGGGGCAATTTACTTAACTTTCCAAGTCTTTCTCTCTTCATCTATAAAATAAGGTAGTGACACGAACTACTTCATGGCATAACTATGAGGAGAAGGCATGGACAGTGCCTTCTGCAAGCACTCAGTATTAGTGAAAAAACATCAACAGCAATATGTATAATCTTTAGGTGTTGTGTTTTACAAGTCCAATCTTAGTCCCTGCCCTGAGATCTTTTCTGTCTCATCCCTTCACCTATCCTAAACAAGAGTGTAGGTATCAAATCCTCCACTGAGTCCTACAGCAGCTGCTAACAATGAACCCAACATACATAACAAGATTTGGGGGAGGCAGGCCCCTGCATGTCCTCAAGCGGCCCAGCATTGCTTGAGTAAACAGGCCCTGACCATGTGGAGGTGGAGACTGACACTCTGGCTTGGGGTTTGAAACAAAGAGACTGGGATTGACTTACCTTGATAATTGTCAGGGAGTGAAACAAGCCCATGAGAATCTGAGAAGTTTTCTGATAATCCAGCTAATAATTGTTGCCCTTATAAATAAATTTAAAGTAATGGCTTTGTTTGGTGAAATCAAAGAGCCAAGTTCATGTGAAGTTAGAAGATATAGAAGACTGAAACATGCTTAAAGTGTGTGATCCTGTCAAATCAGAGGAAGTCTCTGACGAAAAAAGGGATGGAAGAAAAGCACCCATTTTGCCAGTGGCTGGCCACCATTGCTGGTAACTCTCTTCCTCTGCACCAGAAGACAGAGCACACATGGCACTGATGTTACACACTCTCCAGCATTCAGGAACTCACTGGACTAAGGGATACCTGAAGGACCAGTGCTCCAAACACAGGGTGCTATTTAATTGTGGCTCTCATCATTGCTGTTATTATGGATCGGTCACGCAGAAACGCTCCTGGCAACCAGTGACAGCACAGAGCATTATGAAGATGGCCCTGCCATGTTTTGTATTCTGAACATTAAAAACCAGTTTGGCTCAACAAACGAGCAGCGGGTGCCATGCTAATTATATAACTTCTTAGAGCACTAATAGGATTTCCCACTGAGCCAACTGGGAGAAAAAAACCATAATACTCATTTTTATCTGCATCTCAGCAATAGTGACCTCCTTCAGCCTGTTGATGTGGTCATTAATAAAACATTTAAAAATGACCTGAACAGAGAAGTGAAAAGGCTTTTTACAAAAATAGAGCTTGTATCTGACTGCCAAACCGCCATGTATTTGAAAGACTTGGAACCAATATCAAAGTTGGTCGTTAATGATTTGAGGTTGGCCTGGGAACCTCCTGTATCCAGAAGGGTTGTTCATGCTTTTGACTGGTTATGAATGAAAAAAGATTTCTGCCTTTGAGGGGTTTTAAAAGATGGAAATAAGGATGTTTGTGATGGTGCTCTTGCTTTGCTTGGGACATAAAAGATGATTCAATTTCACTTCAGCACCTGACACGTCATCACCAACATGCTTGCTTACAAGTTCCTTTCAATTTTAGAATAATAATTAAAAACAAATATATAGCTACTACTTCAATTCTAAAATATCCCAAAGGGTAGTTATTAAAAGCAAATCAAAGAATTTTATCTTATTTTAGTTTTTCCTTCCCTTTCTCTAACAAAAATAACATAAGTAAAAATATATACAAACTGTACCTTTTTAAACTTCGGCAGAATGTCTAACAGGACATTTAATTAGGTAGACGTGATCAAGTCCATCTAGGAAGTAAGACATGTTACACTGATGGGTGAGTTAAAAATGAAAGAAGAAAAACCGTTCGGCTCAGATACATACAGGGCAAATACTTAGCACAAGGCAATGTGTTAGGACTCCAAAAGAGAAACCACATAGAAACAAAGTACCATACTGACTGTGCTCAGTAAGGTTATGATCAATCATGGCATTCAGAGCTGGAAGGAAACTTTGTGGGTGAGCAGGATAAGGTGAGCAAAAAGGTGTCTAATGTGCTGTCCTTAAGATAATTCTCATCTTAGCTGTTGAAATCATGAATGCCTCTTTCTTTACCTACAAAATCCCTACGCCATCACACCCTGCCACTCTCCTTCTTCAGCACCCTCTCCTCGAACATAACACATTGTAAGCACAAAGGAGACACTTATACTATAAAGCAAGCAGTAAGAGAACCAAGACTTCCCAGCCTTCACATTTCCTAAAATTAACGGGTAAATAAATGTATAACACAGCGAATACGTGAGTCTGTCAAAGATGGAGGGGAGAGGAATGACTGAGGAATTTCAATGTTACTTTGCAGATTTCTTACATTAAGTCAGACATGGCCAGATTTACCAAAGAAAAATGCATAACTCAATATATTTTTCTCTGGGATTAGCCCAAATCAGCGTGGGCGCCAATACCAAAACCACAGTACTGTGAGTCCATACAGGGAAAAAAAAAAAACTTGCTGGCCATGGTTGAAAGATGAGAAAGCTGGTGAAGAAGGCTAAGGCAGTGGGCTCCTGACCCCCAATCACTCTATTCATTTTTAACCTTTGGGAGGATATACTACAAGGACTCCATCAGAGTCAGAAACATGTCATGATGTGCCTTTGGAGGAAAACAGGTGCCACATTACTGACTGCTGCCTGGCATCACATAAACCTAATTTATCTTCATTCTGGCTCTAGGGATGAGAAAAGGATAGCAGTTCAACCGCTCTTGTAAGCTCTCTCTAGAAATGAGCTTACTGTTTTTGGGTAAGATTAAAAATGTTTATCCATATAATTAGACAATAGGTTCAGGAGTAGAGATTTTAAAGGTCGAAGGCAACACAGAGCTTCAGACTTGTCTAGATATCTCTGGCTGGATGAGGTTCAGAGGAGCAGCACCCATTGCATGCTCAGAAGTCAAGGGCTTCACTCAGATACCTGCTTCTGCTTTCTAAAAGCCAGTAAGGAAACGTAGCAACAGGATTCCTAGAGCTTAATGATAGAGCAAGGGTGAGGGTAGGCGCATGCTCCAAGTCTTTCCAGAGAGAGGTTGAGAAAGGAGAAGAGACAGAGAGACTTGTAGGAAGAGGCTGCTCCTCAGCATTTCATTATAAAGGGATAATTTGAGAGTTACTCGAAAAAGAAAATAATCACCACTGGACTTCAGCAGGTAATCACTAAGAACAAATACGTTCAGAATAACCTAATTTCTTTCTTTGCTATTATAATAAACATTTTCATTTCAAGGGAAAGCCTTAGGCTTGCTTTGTTACGACTAATGAACATTTTGGGACATGGTGTGAATTCTTTTAGAGTAAAAATAGAAAAATCAATGTCTTTTTATATAAGAGTGAGTTATTTTATTGGGCGTGGAAACCCTGTAACTACCAAAAGGTCTTTCTGTGCCCTCCCTCACTTTGTCCACCTGGGTATTTTGAGATTTGGCTCTGCAAAGATGCAAAATACAAAATTCAATCACTACTTTCTAATCTACCAATTTAAATTAGCAAAGATTACAAAATGATAAGAGGAAACCAAATGATAGCAATAATTCAGTCTATTAGAGCTTTCTTCACTGCCATCAAGAGTATACATTGATACTAGCTTTTGAGAGAGTTGTTTGGCAATGTTTCCAAATTTTTAAGAGGGTTATACCTACCCATTGACCTAATAATTCAACATCAATGATCTATGATGTGAAATAATTAGAAATCTGACAGTTATCTGTATAAGACCAGTTTTTAGGTCATTGTTTATGGTGGCGAAAATCTGGAACCAAATTAAGTCTCCAGTGATAGGAAGACACTTAAATAAACTACAGTAAAATAACCACAAGATGCAATCCTAAGTGTAAAAATTACCACAAGATACAATCATCCTAAGAAAAATAACCATAAGATGCAATCTTAAGTGTAAACAGCATGGCACAAAACTGCACATATAGTATAATGGGAACAATAAAAAATATATGCAAAGTAAAAGAAATGGAAGGAAATATGCCAAAATGTTAATTATGCTCATTCCTGAGTGATGGTCCGATGGGTAATCATTTTCTTCTTTATAACTTTCTGCATTTTCAAATTTCCTCTGATGAACATATATTACCTTCATAATGAGGGGGAAAGAGTTCCTTTAATAAGATCCACTAATATTTGAAACAGAAGCTGTGCTGTAATGACTCACCATCATTTGAGCAAAAGACTTAAAAGAAAAGGCAGAGAATTGAACTAAAACTTAAACTATGTAAATGTGTTTTGTCAGTGATTCAGACAAACAAACACACAGAGTGAAATAGGTGTGGTTTAGTTGAAAATCTGAAACATTTGGAGAAATGTTACCTATAGTTAGATAGACTAGGATACAAAGCCGAGTCTATGGTATAATTAAAAACACACATGTAAACTTGGAGAAAGTGCTTGGAAGAAAGAACAAAATGTTAATACATGTATTGCTTAGGTAGGAGACTACCTCTGAGTTTATTTTTTGCATCCCCCCAAGCCCACGAAAAAGTGTTTCTTTTATTATGACAATAAAACTTATTACAAATGTTCAGATCTTCTAACAAATGGGGTTGGCACAAGTGTGTATCTGGAAGGAAACAAAAAAACACTGACCTTTGCCTTACACCACTGCACAAAAAGTACTTAAAATATCCATAGACCTAAATGTAAAGGCTAAAATGATTTAAAAAAAAAAACCCTCAGAAGAAAACATAGGAAAAAAACGAAGAAAATCTTCGCAACCTAGAGATAGGTAAAGATTTCTTAAATAGTATACAAGAAAATACAAATCATAAAAAGATACTTTAAATTTTTTATCAAGATTTAAAACTTTTGTTCTTTAAAAGATACCATTAAGAAACCAAAATGCAAGCCACAGAGTGAGAAAAATATTTATTATCCATATGTATCTGGCAAAGGACTTACATTCAGATTATATAAAGAATTTATGTAACTCAGAAATAAGACAATCCAGTAAAATACTGAAACAAGATCTGAACAGAAGACATACATGGCTAAGAAACACATGAGAAAGGTTCAATGTCACTAATCAGAGAAATGAAAGTTAAAACTATAATAAGATACCACTACACACCTATTTAAATGGCTAAAATTAAAAAGATTGACGATACCAAGTATTAACAAGAATGTAGAGGAACTAGAATTCTCATACACTGCTGGTGGGACTGTAAAATGGAAAATCCACTTTGCAAAACTCCTTAAAAAGTTAAACACACACCTACCACCTAACCCAGCCATTGTACAACTAGAAATTTTTCAAAGAGAAATCAAAATATAGACCACTTAAAGACTATACATGAATGTTCATAGCAGCATTATTCATAACAGTAAAAACTGAAAAAAAATCCCCAAATGTCCATCATCAGGTAAGTAAACAAAATGTGGTATATCCATATTCCTCTTTAATCAAAGGGAATGCAACAAAATAGATCTCAAAATAGCTGAGTGAAAGAAGATGGACACAAATGAATACATATAAAAGTCTATAAAATTCAAGCTGATCCATAGCTTGAAAAAAGCAGATCAGGCCGGGCGCGGTGGCTCACGCCTGTAATCCCAGCACTTTGGGAGGCCGAGGCGGGTGGATCATGAGGTCAGGAGATCGAGACCATCCTGGCTAACAAGGTGAAACCCCGTCTCTACTAAAAATACAAAAAATTAGCCGGGCGCGGTGGCGGGCGCCTGTAGTCCCAGCTACTCGGGAGGCTGAGGCAGGAGAATGGCGTGAACCCGGGAAGCGGAGCTTGCAGTGAGCCGAGATTGCGCCACTGCAGTCCGCAGTCCGACCTGGGCGACAGAGCGAGACTCCGTCTCCAAAAAAAAAAAAAAAAAAAAAAAGCAGATCAGTGACTGCCTTTGCCAGAGGTGGAGGGAGGAATGGATTGCAAAAGGGACACAAGGAAACTTCTCAGGGAGAAGGAAATGTTCTGTGTCTTGATGACTGTGATAGCTTCACGGGTGTACACAGCTGTCAAAATTCATCAAACATACTGTACTAAGTGGATGCAATTTATTATATATAAATTATACTGCAATTAAGTTTATTTTAAAAATCAGAAGGCTAAAAGAAAGGTAAGAAACCTATTATTCACCACCCAGGAATTTATTTTTAGATAAAGGTATTGCTGATATATTATACAACCAAATAAGAAATGTCCCATTCAGGCACTGCCTCCCTTGGGAAGCCTCCCTGAGCCTCTCTATCCCTACCTCAGACTCCCTACCCTACTCTAGGTAGAACTCAGTACCATCTCTGGGCTCTGGTCCTCAATCATCCTGTACATTACAATGCCTGTCAACACCGCACTCCGATCTACAAATTACTCAATGACTTCCTCACAGTGAGCCGATTGTATGCTGTGGTTTTTGCCTTGTTCATCTTTATATTACTAACATTGAGAATAAAACTGTTGCTCAATATATATATATATTTGGATAAATGTACAGGTGGACAGATATAGAAAAAATAAAGGAAGAAAAAACTAACCACAAAAGGGCTGAATCAACAAGGATGCCAAAAAAATTACCATAGGTTCCAAGTATTTCTTTTTACACAAAAAAAGGAAAATATAAACCCTTAAGTTGAAAAGCGTCATAGCAGATAAATCACAAAAATTAGGTAGCTCTTGCCCTGAGTAATGGGCTTCAACAAATGCTTTTCGCTAAGTTCTCAAGTGTAATCTTCTTCATGTGGATGAAAAATGTAATACATACCTTCTTCAAAATGGGATAACTTTAGGAATTCCCTACTGGAGAAAATTACTGCCATATAACCTCACTGGACAACAGTTCAAAACATGAAATCCTTCCCAATAAATTTTTTATCCAGATTTCTTCACCTAGAATTTTAAGTGAAATATAGACTTTAATTAATAATTATATGAAGTTTCATTTTCATAAGGAAGTAATACAAGCATATGGCATCTTCATACCTTTAATTGACAAAATGTTTATATTTCTGAAACCCCAGGACTATCAAGGACTTAACCCATAACATTGAAACTATCTCTGTATATGTTTATCTTCTCTCCAAAGCTAAGGGTTCTTTTCCCTTGACACTTAATACAGCACTGCCTTGTTATAGAGTAAGCACTTAAAAAAATAGTCACTGAATTACATAAAGTGACGTTTCTCTCTTTTTTAGTACATGGAACTGTTAACCCATTAAGTTACACAGGTCCCATACTCATGCCTCTTTAAATTTTGTGCATTATGGGAATCAAGGGCACTGTGCGAGGCATGGAACATAGAGAAGTAAACAAAATAGACCTGGTCCTTGCCCACTTGGAGCTTACCGTCTAGGGAGAAGATCATGGGATCTGACCTCAGCAGGTGTGTCCAGGAGGAGCTGTGTTTTTAACAAGTTTAACATTAATATGCTAAAACTAATATTATTGCTGGTGAGAAATATTTGCTATAATTAAAAAATATGCAATCCTTCCAACTCCTAAAGTCCAACTCTTGGAGAGGTATTAATAATATTATTCTATTTATTATTATAAAATATTATTATATTATTTAAAATAATAAAAGTTCCAAAGGATACACAAGGTTTATGGGAAAGGAAGCCATTGATCACACCTACTTGAAAAGTAATTTGCCCAGGCTAATATCACTTCTCCTATACTGTATGGTTTACAAGTATGCTGTCCACTGTATATTTGGGGAAAGAATTATTGGCTCTTTAAAAAAAAAAATGCATGATCTATCCCCAAAGTTCCTTCTCTACAGTATGTCTGCAAGTGGAGGCTCGTCTGTCTAAGTGACATCAGATTTTTGAATTTTCCAATGAGAATGGTAATGCTGCTAGTTACTCATCTGATCTGTAAACCTAAGAATTCCCTTCAGTCAACATACAGCAAATGGGTACTTTAGATGGTGGTCAGAACTCCTAACTTGGACTAACTGCTATTCTTTCCCTGCTAAAAACATTTCCTTAACTTTAAGCTCAAGATCTTCTCTCAGAGTTGATCAGTGGAAAGAAAACAGACCTGAACTTGGTTTAGGCTCTGAAGAAATTACTTTATGTTGTATGCTGTAATTCAATGAAGATAAGCCCTTGACTTCTAAGGAGTGTCAATCTAAGAAAAAATAACTCAAGAACATTTTTTGCAACAGTAGGTCAAGCTCTCTGCCATGTTATCCAAGGTTCTTTATAGAAAGAACCAAGAGATAAATTCCACTTGAATTTGGTATCAAGCAAAAGCTTGCCTCGCTATATAATCTTTTAATCCTATAGGTCTACTTTTGTCAAGAGAGGAGGACTAAATAGACAACTATAATTTCCTGGTTGCTAACAAGCTGAAGGCTAAATTTTCTTCTCAGTGATTGTAATTATATCACTCTGGGTTCCCTGCCCAATTCTCTTTCCACTCTCAAGATATTTTTAAAATCTCATTTTAGCTTCATTTTACTTCACCTACTTTATGCTTTCATACTGTAAGTCACCTTAAATCTTCTCTGGAACAAGGCAAGGTAAAAATAAATCATTCATTTATATCATGTGGTTACATCAATGCTTACTCAACTTTCAGTTCCTCTAAATATTTCTAGGGTATCTCTCTGTCCATCTCTCTACGGAAAAGCCCTCCCTTTAAAAATCATCTTCATACTCAACCTAACTTTCTACTGTTACTTTGTATATTAAAAACAACAAAGAGATAGGTTATGGCACAATTCCTATTTAAGTCCGGTTAGCCCAGTTCAAAGGTAGGGGTTACAATGGAGTCTGGGCATTCCTGGAAAAACAGTAACAACAGGTTTGAAGGATCTTAATTCTATCTTCCTTCCTTCTTTTTTTTTTTTTTTTTTCTTGAGATGGAGTCTCGCTCTGTCACCCAGGCTAGATTGCAGTGGCATGATCTTGGCTCACTGCAACCTCTGCCTCTTGGGTGCAAGCAGTTCTCTGCCTCAGCCTCCCGAGTAGCTGGGATTACAGGCGCCTGCCACCATGCTCAGCTAATTTTTGTATTTTTAGTAGAGATGGGGCTTCACCATCTTGGCCAGGCTGGTCTTGAACTCCTGACCTTGTGATCCACCCATCTTGGCCTCCCAAAGTGCTGGGATTATAGGAGTGAGCCACTGCACCCAGCCACCTTCCTTCTAATTTTGGAGCTTTGCAGGGTCCATAGATGGGTTTCTGGGGATCAGTAAACCTATCTAAACCACCTGCAAAATACTATGTAAATGTTAAATATGTATTTGGTAGGGGCAGGAGGGGGAAGCTACAGGCTTAATCTGAGTTTTTAGGTCCCTAACACCCACAGTTAAGAACTATTATCTACCTGGCCCCTCCGTCCCCACCGCCCAACTTTACCCAGTCAATCTTCAACTACCTGACTGACGGCTATGAATACAAAATACAGTTCAAAGCCCACCTTTTACTCAGCAATCAGAGTATGTTTTCCTTTATCATTTAACTTGGTTTATTCATTTTATACCCCCAGAACAGTGTCTGAAACAAAGGTCAATTCAACAAATGGAATTAATTAATCTGAGGTGTTCTATTTATTACTCATTGATGGCAAAAAAAAATCACTCATCAATAACTAATAGAGGCAAGTAATCTGGAGGCTGATGATTCCTAATTTTTAAATTGAAAATAAATACAAACCCCAGTAACAGAATCAATTAAGTGTGTATATACAGCAAAAAGGCAAACAAACAACCCCCAAAATGTAGTTAAACGATATTTCCCTACTTGATTAAATCATGTTGCAGCTGCTTCTAAATTTTAAAACACAGAAGCAATGCAAATGTGAATTTTCTCTGCAAATTCTCCTTGCAGGAGTGACACAGCAAAGAGGAATATAATAGGTTACAACTAACTCAGAAGTACAACACAGGCACAATTTCTGACCACCAACAAAGATGTAGGAGGCTGCTAACACAACCATAGCCCTTTCTCAATTCTTTTCCTGGTTTCTGACCTGAACTTTGTCATTAGCACATATTACTCTGTGAAGATTTTGATCATCTCACAATTTCTGACTTCGTACTTGCAGCAGCCTTATTATGTATGCTTCAAAGCTAGAGGATTTTAATTTCCATTTTTTATTTGCACTCAGGAGGCTGCAGATTATCCAGTATAGAAATTCCCTAGAGTGAGAATCTCTTTATATAAAATAATTCCCTACACTCGCAATTCTTTATATTAGAACAATAATAGATGTAGGCATTATTATTGAGGATTTAGCTAGAGGAAAGCAACCTCTCAAATAGAACAGCACTTTATCAAAATAATTATTATTCCTTTCTCTGGGGAGGTTGTGTGAAAGCCCTTGTTCATCTCTGCAACATGTTAAAATGTATCACTTTTATATGGCTCCTTTTTTTCATGAAGTAGGCAGCAGCACAAGTAAATAACAATAGCTGACTTTTGAGAGAAAGGGGAAGATCCTTGCAATACTGTTGAGTATATCACGGGTATTGTCACTTTAACAGCAGAGATAACCTCCCTTTAAGGTAACCTTAGACTTAATGGACCTTTCTACAGTTTCAACACCAATAACATAGTAGAGATTAGGATGGAAAAATAGATATATGGTCCTTTCCTTATCACTCAATATGCAACTTGAAGTCCAAGGCCACTACGATAAGTTTGGAGTCCTTAAACATGGTGATTTACTGAACATCATAAAGTCAATTCTAGCCTAAGAGAGGTTACTGGGCATCAGCTTGATTTGTCCTTAAAGTAAGCTTGATAAAATACTGAAATATGACCCAAAGACTGTTTATAAGAAAGATGCTAACACTGAAAAGATCAGCCTCTAATAATTATCTAAGAAACAGGAAGGAAAGTATAAAAGGACCAGGAGTTTAGAAAAAGAGAAGAAGAAGATTAAAATGTACACTGCACCAAATCTACAAATACCCAAATTCATGCACTTTGTTGCACTGTGGTGAGGCAAACCCAAGGGAACCAGTGACAGCTTTTTGGGAAGGTGAGCGAAGACCTGTTTGTCTGCAGTGGAAGGAGAGGCCAACTGCATGCTGGGCAAGGGTCACAGAAGACAAATAAGATTGGGAAAGGAGACCAAGAATGTAAACCAACCAACCATGACTAAGGGCCAAACAGGTAATAATTCCAACAGACCCACTGCCAAAGACAGTGGTTAATTACATTCTCCTTTCAGGTAAGTACAGGAAAAAATGAGTAACTATACTGAAGAGGAATCAACCTGATAACAGAGAAGAGAAAGAAAAGCATTCAGTGAACAGCAAGCTCCTTGTAACTTCTGTTGAAAGTAAAGGCACAAGTCAAAAAAACAAAAAACAAACAAACAAAAAAACCAAAAAAAACCCAACATTGTTCATTTGCATCTTATAAGTGACCAAAAAAAAGTTATAAACAAGAATATAATGATGTTATTTCAAAATTTAATCTGGTTAAAAAAAAAATCAAGTTAGTCCTAAACCTGTGCCTTGGTACATTTTCACATTTCTTCTTCCATTCCTCCCACACCCTGGGTGTTTCCTCTTCTTTTAACCTGCAGAGCACAGCTAGAAGCTACACAACAGAGCTGGAAGGCATCCTCTAGAACAGAAACACTCAGGCCCCCTGCCTCACCCACCCCCACACCCCCTGCAGCAGGCCAGAGGCAGTCTTAGCCGTCCACCCCAGTTGACACTGATATTTGAAAAATGACACCATTATTCTCAATTTAATTTATTTGAACTATTCTCCACATGCTGTCTTATATGGTTATTCAATATTTTCTCTGTTTATATCCTTATTTTCTTAAACCAAAATATAAGATCTTTCAAGGACAAAGTTTATGTTTTAGAATATTCCCATGGTAACTTGCCCAGCAGGAGTTCAATAGACGTACAGAAGAATGACTGTGACAGTGGATATTAGGTGAATCTTTTCCTGTCACCCTAGCACTGTTCCTAGGATGCTAAGCTAAAAATAACCAGACATCAGCTACCCCATATTCTAAAGATTGATGCAAATATCATGCTACTCCTTTAAGGCTTATTAACAATTGGCCAAAATGGCTATGCTAGCCCCAACCACGACATCTGACTCCTCCAACTCCTATCTTTATAAAGAAAATATGGGGAAGGGGTAAAGAATGACAGGGAACCCTCACGAGTTACTGGTCTAGGGTGTGTACTGAGGCTCCCCACTACCAATACAACTGCAGGAGTCCCCCAGAGAGGCACTCCACAGGTCAAAGGAGTGGGCAAGGAGGCAAGGCTGGCATCTCATTCCCCAGATCAATACCTGCTTAGGGAGCAGACATATCGATCAACCCTACCCCTACTGCCTGAGCAAGGAAAAGAAAACTAGCAAGATGGCCAGGCATGGTGGCTCACACCTGTAATCCCAGCACTTTGGGAGGCTGAGGCGGGCGGATCACGAGGTCAGGAGATCGAGACCATCCTGGCCAACATGGTGAAACCCCGCCTTTACTAAAATACAAAAAATTAGCCGGGCGTGGTGGTGCATGCCTGTAGTCCCAGCTATGTGGGAGGCTGAGGCAGGAGAATTGCTTGAACCTGAGAGGTGGAGGTTGCAGTAAGCCAAGATCGTGCCACTGCACTCCAGCCTGGCAACAGAGGGAGACTCCTTCATCTCAAAAACAAAACAAACAAACAAACAAACAAACAAAAGAAAACTAGTGAGACACGGCAGAGTGCAGAGAAGGAGCAGCCGTTCAGCATCCACGCACACCTACCCCCGTGTCTTGGTGTGGTGAAGGGGTCACCTGGAAGGTGGCCCACATCAAGCCATCTTGCCATCACCCCACTCCTCCCAAGTGGAGGTGAGTCACTTGCTCACCTCCCTAGGTGAAAGGAAGCAGAGCTGGCCTATATCTCTTCAGAGAGTCCCACAAGGGTCACTACTGAAGAGCTGGCCTTTGGACACTGGCCTCAGAGGACACTGGCAGCCAGTTAGTTTTAGAGAAGCAGTGGCAACCAAGAGGAAAAAGCAACCCAAAAAGGGGAGAAAGGGTAACTGTGTTCCCTCCTCAGGGAGAGGGGTCAGGTGGGTGATGGGAGGGGATAAAGGTGAAACTGCATAATAAATGGAAGCTTAAACCAAACTTTTTTACATTCCAAGTGACAGGAAAATTATGGCCTAATGCCAAAGATGCCATTAAAAGATGGGAAGGGAAGATCTGACAACTCTTTAAAGGCAGTAACTAAAGAAACATAAAACTTCTGTTTTGTTTTTACCCAGCGAGTATAGATTGTACAATAAACTGATTAAAAAAGAATGAAGAAAAAACAACTTAAAAAAAAAGGAAAAAAAGAGAATGAAGCATTGTTAAATATCTTTTAGCCCTGATATTTTTTAAGTTCCCCATTTTCTTTCAGATGTTGGAGAAAAGAGGTAAAAGAGACAGAATGTTTTAAGAAATAAAAAAAAGATTCTTCTTAGCTACTTGGATATTGCTAAAAATACTCTATAAGCAAACAATACACTTCCCTGCAACAGAACAGCTAGGCTAATGTAGTCAAAAGGCCAATCTGACTAGGATCCTGTGTGATTTACAATGTTAGAGTTTAAAATGGTATAGCCATGCTGTGGTAATACACATTCATTTTAAGTGCTTTAGAGGCCTAATAATTCATTTGAACATTCTCAGAGAAAGACTTCTCTTTCGGGGGAGGGAGCAAAATGGTGCAACCAAACCATAAAAAGAGAAAGGATCAAAGGACAAAAACCCCATCAGCTTTTTGACTGAGCTGACCTTGTATCTGCTCCACAGCAAGAACTCTAGAACGAGTTCCAGACAAACGTACAAAGTTTGGTTTTACAAAATCCCCAGAGCTTCTCCATTAAGACAACAAAGGCCATTGGTGGGCATGCTGGTAAATTCTCCAAGTAGGGACTGAAAAGTCATCTTCAAGTAGCCACTGCAGCATGCTCCAAGGTAAAGGATTAATATAAACTTATGGGGACAGGAGACCAAACCTCCTCCCCAGGGCCCTCTGTGTCAGAAAGGTGGTTTGCTTTCTTACCCAGGGCAGAAGCCCTCCAATGCTTTTATGAAACAAGATGTATCTCTGCAAATAAAAATGAGTCAAAGGGTTTTAAAGAGGATTTACATTAATACTTTGTGGCCAGGTATGCTTGACAGCATCTTCCATATCCAAATTCATTAAAAACTCAACCAAAACTCATATTTCCTTTTGGAGATTAAAGTTGCTTAACTACTTACCTCACTGGGGAAACTCACTGAGCTAAGCAGATTACCAGACGACGGCACAGAGTTTTATTTTCTGAAAATTTTTTAAAAGAGTAGTTCTTATATTTGATAGTCCCATTTCTATGTGGCCCAGAGGGTGAAAGCTCAGGAGATAATCTCTAGTTATTCCATGCAGCCAAATTCTGATTAAGATCCTTATCAAGTGATGGGTTTTATTTTGCCATAGTTCCCTAAAATACAGTTATTTTCTACCTCCTTCTTGGCCTATGCTTTTTTTTTTTTTTGAGAAGGGGTCTCATTCTGTCACCCAGGCTGAAGTATAATGGCACAATCTCGGCTCACTGCAACCTCCGCCTCCCAGGTTCATGCCATTCTCCTGCCTCAGCCTCCTGAGTAGCTGGGACTACAGGCAACCGCCACCACGCCTGGCTAATTTTTTGTATTTTTAGTAGAGACGGGGTTTCACCACGTTAGCCAGGACGGTCTCGATCTCCTGACCTCGTGATCCGCCGGCCTTGGCCTCCCAAAGTGCTGGGATTACAGGTGTGAGCCACCGCGCCCGGCCCGGCCCGGCCTATGCTTTTTAAGTTCAGGTAAATTCATGTTCTTGTCTCTCATGAATATTGGACCAAACTGGGCCACTTCTAAGAGGTCATCTGCAGGCCCCAGGGACAGTACAGGACCTGGGTAAATGAAACCTGCTAGAAAACACTAACCGAACCACTCAAGCCTCCAATAATTGGCTCTTGCTTTATTCTTTCCACCACCTTTGTTGTTGACTCTTCAGGTTCTCTAGCTACCTTCTGTAATTAGCAACCCCGCCACCTGACACCAGCTACTGGCATCAAAGCTAGGCGCCATGTCCAGATGGTCATATCATCTCATTCCCCTAGCTCTGCAATGCCTCTGATGTGACCCCAGACCTTCCTTTACCCATGTAATACCCTCAACAGCGTCACACAGACTAAATGTGGTCAGCTCTGGCAAATGCCTAATGCATCATCTGGCAAATGCCTAATGCCTAATGCTATTGACGAGATGGTTTTCATCACCGTTTGCAAAAGGAACAAGTGATAGCTCTGATAACCAGTGGCCACTGAGTACCTTGTAAAACCACCAGCCCTTTGCCCAGATGCTCGTTGGATTGTCAGTTGATGTAACAGTCAAAGAAAAACAGTGTGAAATAAGCACCACACAAGACTCAGGATCTCTGAAAGTGAACTGAAGAAGATGAAGACTCCCCTGAGTTAATCAATTCTCTCCCGGCTACCACCTAACATCCAGAACACACGGCTAATGCTGGATAATGACAAGAATGGAGGCAGAGAGATAGATAAGCTCCGATTTCTGAGTGAACAAAAGTCCTGGTAATTTTCTTACCAGGTTGCCTCCTGTCACCCAAAAGATATTTTTATTACTTTCCATTGCCTAGAAAAGAAAATCCCAATTCCCTAGCACAAAATCCTTAACCAAGTATCTGCCAATCAATATTTCTGGACTTTTCTTTCATTGGAAGCTATCCAGGGCATCATTTAAATGAGGACCTACCAGGATCAGATAACACAAGTTAGAATTCCTGCTCAGGTACTAAACAGGAGTGTTTAACTCTCTAGGCAAGTAAATTAACTTTGGTGCTTTGGTTGTTTTTCATCTGTAAATGAGAATAACATTAGTATCTATTTCACAGTGTTGTCAGAAGTAAAAGAAACAAGGCAGTGGGCATTTAACACACTGCCTTGCATATGAGTAGCAAGCAGTAAATGCTATCCATAATAGTAACTATGACTCCAGCCACCAGCTGAGAACTAGCAATTCTCCTTGCCTGTGCCCTGCACTTGCCTGACTTGTGTCTGTGTTCCTACTCTTCCTTGGGAAATAACCAGATGTGTGTAAGGTGGCATTGTTTGTAATAGTGAAGCGTTAGAAACACACTACTCATGTACATTAGGAGAGAACTGGGTGTCCGATTCTAAAGGAGGGGGCTACATGGGAACTACAGATTCCAGATCTCTACTTGAAAGATTTCATAGGAAGGCACACCTTCCAAATTACCTTGTACTTTTAAGTAATCCCTCTTATCAGCTGAAAGGGATAATATGCAATTTCATACTTCCATATGATTGTCTCAAAACATAGAAGAAAATAAGCTTCACACACATCTGTATCTTCTTTGTAACATTTGGCATACACTGGGCACTCCAAAGGTGCTCCATAATGATAATCCAAGCTCATGAAAGTTCACTGCCCTACTTCAGGGAAGCCTGAATGTTAGGAATGTGACAGGCACTGCATCAGGCCCTGTAATACCAAGAAATGTGGGACCAGGAAGCAAGCATAATAAAAATTAGAAATTATATACCACAAATAAGGAGAGACACTTAAAATCTTTCTTTAGTGTCAGAATAATAGCTCCGAAATACGTCCACAGCCAAATCTCAGGAACCTGTGAATAAGTTAACTCTTCATGGCAAAAAGGGATTTGGTAGATGTAATTAAATTAAGGACCTTGTGAAGAAAGATTATTTTGGATTATCCTGGTGAGACCATCCTAATCACAAGGGTCCTTAAAAGCAGAGAAGCCTCCTGGTGGTCAGAGAAAGAGATCTTGCTTGTGTTAACAGAAGCAAGGCCAGAGAGATGTTAAGCTGCTGGCTTTGCAGATGGCAGAAGGAGCCGAGGGATGCAGGCTACCTCTACAAGCTGGAAAAGGGAAGGAAACAGACTCTCCCCAAGGGCCTCCAGAAAGGAATGCAGCCCTATAGACACCTTGATTTTAGCCCGCTGAGACTCTTCTGACCTACAGACTGGAATACAATACATCTGTGCTGCTTTAAGCCACTAAGTAAATGGTAATCTGTTATAGCAGTGATAGAAAACTAATACAAAGGCCAACCAATGAAATTCACCGGACAGCAGAGATTTCCCACAATACCATCAGTTAACAACTGTATGAATTTTACCAAGGAGAATAAAGTTTTCTAGCACTTCGGGGATTGCTAAATAAAGTTTAAATTACATTCCAAGAAGTCTGGTTTCAACAGGGAAAGAAAAGTTAATGCAAAGAAAGTCCCCAAACTGAAATATACTTGTTACCTTTCCAAGACTCAGCATCTCAAGGAAGAAATCTTACCACTCATTATCTTCAGGGATATGGTAACGGAGAACTGAAATAACTCTGCAAACAGTCTCCAGAATTATTCATCTCTGATCAAGAGGACAAGTCCTAAGAGACAACCTTCCCTAATAAAACTGGAGAGGAGAATTTTTAGAATGCTAAGAGCAGCAGGTTACCTCATCAGTAGCCAGGAAAGGTGGAATATAAAAAAGGATGAGGGAGACAGGCTCTGCACAGCGACAGGAAGGATAACTTAAAATACAAAGGCATTTGTTAAAATTTCAGGCTACTATCAGGTAAGGTATCAGGTAATTAACATTGACTTAAATGCCACCAAAAAAAAGCTGTTTAAGGTACTGACTATTTTTAAGACATTTTCTCTTCACGCCTATCTGTGTAATGACATTAAAAGGCTCATGAGAAAGAAGCAATAGTTCACAGAAGACACGAGAGTCCCCAAAACATAACCAAACAATTGGTCTACCATGCAAGACTGACTCCTGGCTACAATGCTGTGGAACTTAAGATGAGAGGAGAGCAAGGAGGCCCTCCACTCTACTCTTTTTTAATTTTTTGAGACAGGGTCTCACTTTGTTGCCCAGGCTGGTCTCAAATGCCTAGGCTCAAGCGATCCTCCTGCCTTGGTCTCCCAAAGGGCTGCAATTACAGGCACAAGCCACAGCGCCCAGCCCCCTCTACTTTACTCTTAAGGTTGATATTGGCATTTGACTCCTGGGGCTGACACTGACTAGTCTTGCGACATGGCACAATTCACCCCACTTCTCTGACCTGAGAGCTCCCCTGAAAATGCCCTGCCTCAGAGAGACAGCCATGGTAAGCTCCACAGAGGCAGGCCAGCTTCCATCCTCTAGCTGCTGATAGGTGTTTGGCTTCACTCTTCTTTTAGTGGAAAAAAAAGAATGAGGAAGACTTTTTTTTTTTTTTTAACTAGGAAACCTCTTACCAAAGAAGGCTCTGTGGATAGAAACATAGCACATCCACACTTTCAAATGTGAACGATGAGAGTTTGTCCTGAGACCTAGAGGTGGGAACTGCCAATAGACACTGTGCCAAGCCACAGTAACACAGCTGGGTCTCAATGGAGGGCAGGGAATGCTCGCGCAAGGCCCTTGTTTAGCATCCCTTCTTTTATTCTCTGACAGAGAACCTGCCTTGCAGTTCTTGCCTGCTGGACTGATCGTTTGGTCATATTTCCAGGACTCTCCACACCTTCTATGAACTTTTGCTTTATTCTCATGAATCTTTTCATGTCTTTATATAGATAAGCATGCAGAGAAAATATCTTTAAAATAGTAGGTACCTTAAAAAGTCCATTTTTGTCTTAACAGAAAAGTATTTAAAAGAACAAAATATAGGAGATTATGTCAAAAGGATTAATTTGCCTTGGAAAAAAAGCAATCTAGCAAAGGAGTATTTTCTGTATATGTTTCCACCACAATGTCAAAAATAAAGAGCTGCAAACAGCATCTTGTGAAGCATCTTGATATTGTTTGTAAAATACGCCTTTCATTAAAAATCATTCAGTTGGCACCTGTGCAGTACATATTTATTCAGGATCTGTAACATGCTAGCCATTGTGTAAGGCTCACAGAGCATAAAGGTGATCTCTCATCTCCTCCAACTGTTAGGTCCAACACAGGCTACTTCCTCTAACTCCTGGGTGCTCACAGCAAGCAGCTAAGGGAGGATTCTTTAAAGAATAAGCTTTCGAAGGAAGTATCCAAAAGAACAGCTTCAAAATGGAACCCTCTTACATTAAGAAATCATTCAGTTTTGGAGCTTCTTAGTGCAGGGACCTCGTTAAAACCCTGCTGCAAGAACTCAGCACCAACACAGAGCGAGGAAGCGGTGTCTGCTGCTACACAGATGATGACAACCTCTGCTGACCCAAGAGCCAGAACCAGCTCCTAAGTAATCCCCATGTGCTTTGATACTGGGCTTACTCAGTTCTGTATCTTCAGGCTTCTCAAAGTCTAAGAGCATTTCACTAAGGTCAAAATTCAAAGCTAACAGAGATTTTCCTACTGGGCAGTTTTCAAACACCATTCTTGTACATTTAACCTTTTATATGATACAATACTGAAAAACTGGGAACTCCCTCAATATCAAATAACACTTTTTCAGTAATATAAGTTTTGGTGCATTCAATCCAAATATAAGGAAGCCATTAAAAAGGATTCTATAGATTTGTATTCATCGATATGAAAAGGTATCCAGGACATACTACCAAAGTAAACAGAGCAGATTAGAAAACAACATATGTTGTTTTATAATAAAATAAAAAGTTTATACAATAACATTTAAAAAATTAAAAATCTACATTAACATGTATGTAGAAAAAAGTCTGGAAAAATATTTACCAAGAGGCTAATAATTATTTCTGGGTGGTGAGATTATGGATGATGTTATTTCTTTAATTTATGTTGACTTTCTGAATTTCTAAGATGACCATTTACGGCTTGAAAATACAGAATATCTTTAAAGAACTCTATGCATTCTCTGTTGCTGAAAGTATTTGTACTCACAATGTCCTCTTGCTCAGTTGTCAAGGAAAAAACAGTATTATCGCAGAATGAATGATTTTTCATGCTTCTATTTTGCTTCCCTTATACCAATTTTTTCTGAATACAAACCTTCTTTCCTTTAGCATGTTTACCAGCAGAAGGATTTTGTATATGCCAAAGGCAACACCTTACACGACCCTCTATCACCTATATGTATACTATCTCCCTATACCATATCATCAATAACATTGAATTAGTGTCAGAAGACCCAGATGCTAGCCAGCTGGAGAATTACAGCTGTGACTGCAGGAAAGCCACTTAACATCTCCAGTCTTTCTGTTTCATCTGTCAGCAGCAAATGTAGGACGAAAGGAAAAACTAAATCAAGCAAGTGATGTGACAGTGCTTGAAAAATTATTAAAACACGATAAATGCCAGTTTCTATTTGCAGCAGCATCTTTAGCATCTCCTCCAAGAAAAATATTTTCCAATATTCCTGTCATAACATTTAATGATGAGTTTGTTGGGAAACATTGTTAAAAGAATATTTATGTGAAACGTTAATGGGAAGACAGGTAAATGTAACAATCCCTAAAGTACAGGAGTTTCTGACTGCATTCAAAACAGGACTGAATAGAGCAAGGCCACAGGGTCAGGGAAGAAGAACAAGGACCAACATGTTAAACTGACCTAGCTTCAAGACCCACCTCTGCTTCTTGTGAGCTTTACGGTGTTAAACAAATTATTTCATGACTTTAAACCTTAATCTCCCACATGTGAAATTCTGGTAACAATAGGATGGATGCTATGGTGGTTTTATGATGATTAAACAAGACACAGCAAACAACGTGCTTATCATCGTGCTTGGCACATAGTAGGCATTTCATCTTTTTGAAGGATACCACTAATAAAGCCAAGATATGCATCAGGGACTCAAATTCTCAAAGAAAACAACCAAAAGAGAACACCCAAAAAATGAAGTAAAATGCCAGACATTTTTTGGATCAGAGCACTGTATTTCTATTAATTTGGTACCCACGTAATAACATATACCACTCTACTGAAAAACAAATGTCGTCTTTTCAGAAATAAGTTAAGACGGTAAACCCCTTACCAAAGACCACAGCATGACACTGACCCTGGATTCGTCCTATCCATTACTCTTCTCAAAATTTGGTTGTTGAAAAAAACAAAAAAAAAAACTCACACACACACAAAAAACAATACCACTGGTTACTATGGGAACAAGCACACCAAAGATAACATCTAAACAAAAGGGCTTTCACCTTCCTCTAACTACCCATAGCTTCTTAGTTTTATCTCTCTTCTTACTGCATTTATCACCTTCTACCTTATATTATGGTCACTTGTGCGGGATCTGATCTCTCCGCCTACATGGTAAGCTCTCTGAGTGCAGAAACCTTGCTTTATTCATTTTTGAATTTTCAACAAAGACTTGCACAAAGAAAGCAGTAAATAAGTAGTTTGCTGTGGAGGGAAAAAAGAACATGTACTAAAAAAGCACTGCATAACTGAACACTATGCCTACACTATTTAACCTTTCAGGGAAAAAATTAATCAAACCTCCCAGCCACTTGACCGGTAAGAATTATACAAATAACCCTATTTTATAGGCTAGAGAACAGTTTAAGAATTATAATTCCTCCTGAATAATGATGGAATTAGAATTCTGGCATACTCATGCTAAAACAATGGCCAACATCGTTTCTAACAGATTTAGCTTTCTTTATGAAATCATAATTTACTAAGTCTATTCTTTACAAATAGCTAAGTGCATCTTTTAATAACGAAACCAAAATAATAAATTGAAGTATGCAACAATTGTCATGCTGAGTTAAAATAAGTATCCCGTGCTAGAGATCATTTTTCCCTACCAGCAGGAAGCCACTCTGCTGATCTGGGGTCTTCAACTGGTCCCTCAAGGTCCAATGATACTGCTACATAATAACAAGGTAAATTCATGATGAGCAAATTGATGGGACATACCAGACCAGCATATCTATGTATGGCAATTGGCAGGGCTGCCTTCAGCAAAACTGTAAATGCCATCCATAGGGCTGAGCTGTCAAAGTATGAACAGCATCTAATACAAAGGAATTAATAATTTAAGTGATAGATTTACCATTTTCCAAATCACTGAGCCTGATTCTAATAAACATGTTTTGTGCCAAATGCATGACTATTTTATTTGATGAAAAATATACTAATGGAAAAATATTTGTATAATGTTTGACTCAAAACAGAAACTGTATTACCATCTACTGACAGTATATAAATTACAAGGTGGCCCACTTGGTATTTTTCTCCTGAGTTTAGCATTTAGGAGGATTTCCTTACCTTGTACGGGCTTTATGATAATTCAATTTTTTTGATATCATAGATGACATTATCATATATACTATGGACAAAAAAAATTTGCAAAAAACATAAAAGAAAAAGATAAATCTGCATTTTAACCACCTCCAGCATTTAACATTGAGCCTTAAGGTCTAATCCTGTTCTCTGATATTGCATATAACAGCAAATTAAAGCAACACTATATTTTTTTCAAGGAAGAAACTACCCTTTTGCCTCCTCAGACTTTTGCCTATGATCTCCAGGAATAAATAAATAGTGGAGAAATACACTACCTGTAGCCACAACGTATTTGTCTTTTCTCCTAGAGTGTGACATTTTGAAAAGGAAAATATTTCCCAGTTTCCTACTTACAAAATCAAGGTGAGCTTCCGGGGGGAGGGGGAGGGGCGTGCAGTGAGGAAGGAAGCCACGTTCCCAGCAGGTAGGGCCATAAAATGCTATGTCAAAAAGAAAGTCACAGTGACCTTTCCAAGAGGTGGAGAGGGCAGCCACCCACACAGCATTAGTTAAGGACTGAGGAAGGGCTGGCCTGAACTAAAGTCTCCTACCTACTAGCCTGTGGAGCATAACACACATAAATGTCACACCCAGATAGGCTCGGGGATAAGAAATGCAAGCATACTACTTCCCAATACCCGGCAGCCACGCATCACATTGAGGAGTGATTCACAGAGAGTGAGGGCATATACAAATATACGTGTATGTGTAACATATGCAGGCGTATATGTGTGTGTACATGTAGATATGTATATGTACAAATGCATTCACATATATCAGAGTCTTGAATGGAGATGGAAACAAATGAGGAAGGTGCAAAAGAGGGCATGGATTTTTAAAAATCTGATCAACACCAGCCAAAAGCAGCCTTCCAGCTCCCTATCACACAGGATGGTTTAGAGAATAGCTTGTTCAGGCCCAGAGATGATGCAAATGATCCAAAGTAGACTTCAAATGGGGAATGGGTATGAACAAATTGTGTGGCAGGGAACAATACTGGATAGTGGGTTTTTGATACTCAAAGAGCTTGTAACTTCAAAGGCTATAAAAGAAGGAAGTCAGACCTTTGAGGGGTGCTGGGGTGAGAGAAGAGGACAGGGGACTGCCACCTTGCACACAAGAGATCAGCTTGACAGCAATTCTATGACTCATATTTATTTATGACTTAAACAGTGTTTCTAAGATGGTGGCCCATGGCTATGCTCACAGAATCCTCTACAAATGTTTTATTTATTTACTTACTTTTTTGAGACAGAGTCTCGCTCTGTCGCCCAGGCTAGAGTGCAGTGGCATAATTTCTGCTCACTGCAACCTCCACCTCCCGTGTTCTAGCAATTCTCGTGCCTCAGCCTCCTGAGTAGCTGGGATTATAGCCATGTGCCACCACACTCAGCTAATTTTTGTATTTTTAGTAGAGACAGGGTTTCACCATGTTGGCCAGGCTGATCTCGAACTCCTGACCTCAAGTGATCTGCCTGCCTTGGCCTCCCAAAGTGCTGCAATTATAGGCGTGAGCCACCGCGCCTGGCCCTCTATGAATGTTTTTAAATGTTGTGTTTCCTTAATTATAATCACACGCACGTGCACACACACACACGCATGCACGCGCACACACACACAGACACTTACATGCTGGGTCATTATTAACCTCCAGTGATCCCTGTTCCAGCCTGTTAATCCTTCTGCATTTCCCTAGAAAATTTACTCTCCTGCTCTCCTACACAATTATTCTCCTCTCTTCTAAAACCTCCATCACGTTCTTTTCCTTCCACTCTCAACTAATGACATTCCCTGTTTTACTGGGAAAATAGAAACAGAAGAAGACTTCCAGGCAAGGTACAGTCTCCTTGCACCTCTACCTGCCACCCCTGCCTGCCTTCCCCTGATGGTAGCTGCACCATCCAAGAGATGACCTCTCCTTTCTCCTATCTAACAGATGTCTGGGGATCATCCCTGTTCACCCATCTGAGAACATCAGTCTGGCACTGTCCCCTCCCTCATTCAATTTTTCCTTCTCTATTGAATCATTCCCATTCACCTGTAAACATGCTTTTTTTAAAAAAAATCTTCCTTTACCCAATATTCTCATTGAGCTATCACTCCACAGTTTTGATCCCTTGTGTTGAGAATTTCTCACAAGAGTTATCTGTACTAACAAGTTATCTATTTGTTATCCCCTGTTCTCTCTTGCCAATCTCTTGAACCCAGTTGGACCAGGCTTTTGTCCCCATCACTCCACTGAAAATATTCTTGCCAAGGTCAAGCATGTGCTTCATTTTGCAAATATACTTGACCTATTGATAGCATTTGATGCAGCTTTTCACTCCTCCTTTCTTCAAACACTTCCTCTATTTGTTTTTTAGGAACATCACTCTCTCCTCTACCTCACCAGCCTCTCCTTCTCAATCAGTGGATGCTTACCTATGCAACATCTGTGACAGTACCAGCCCACTTCTCTTCTCTACCTTCACTTACTCCCTAGATGATTCCACTCATTTCATAACTTTAAATGCCATAGACACCAACTGTTCCCAAATTTACATCTCTAGCCGAGACATCTTTGAAATCATGCATCTAAATCCCTACCTGATACATCCTCACAGACAACTCACGCTTAACATGTGCAAAACTGAGTTCTTTATTCCATCCCAACCTGCAACTCAAACTCTCTTTTCCATCTCAAAAAATAGTAACTCCATTCCTCCATACTTTCAGGCCAAAACCTTGAGTAATCAAGTTCTTTCTCCCCAATCTGGAATCCAATAATTGCTTACCACTTCCGTTAATCCTCACTCTGGTCCAAGTCACATCATCGTCACTATGTCATGGCAGTAGCCTGCCTAGGGACTCTCACAGCCACCTTATATGCTCTCTACATGGTCTGTTCTCTATAAATCAATTGCAGCTCTCTGTTTAAAATTTTATTCAGATCATATCACTCTTTTGCTCACAGGCCTCCTGGTTTTCTGCCCTCTAACAGTAAAATCCAAAGTCTTCACCACAGGCTACACAGCCCTACGTGATTTGGCCCCTGCTAACTCTCTGTGCCCATGACCTTGGCTCTGCCTGCACTGGTTACCTGGCTGCTTTTCCAATTACTTATAACATGCTTCCTGCTTCAAACGTTTGCAAGTGCTGTTTGCTCGGCCTCGTGGCTTGTTTCCTCACTTCCAATAGGGGTCTGTCTGTTCAAATATTACTTTATTTGGAGAGGCCTTCTGTGGTAGGCAGAATTCTAAGATGACCCCAATAAACCCATTCCTTAGTGAACTTGCCCTGCAGCATCCTCTCCCCTTGAGTATGAACAGGACCTATAACGATAATGGGATGTCACTCCTGCGATTAAGTTATGGCACATGGCAAAGGTGAAGATGTAATTAAAGTTCCAAATCAGTTTGATTTTGAGTTCATCAAAAAGGAGATTATCCTAGGTGAGGCCTGCTTAATCAGGTGAAAAACCTTGAACAGAAAGACCGAGGCCTTGGGAGTGAGGGTGGCGTAGTGGAGATGGTCCACAGCTGCTCCTGAAAGGGCAAGAATCATGTTGTAAACTGCTTGTGGCCTATAGGAGCTCAGGGCCTCAGTCCACAACTGCAAGGACCTAAATTCTGCCAGCAGCCTAAAAAGGCTTGGGAGAGGACCATGAGTTCCGATGAGCATGCCGCAATTTCAGCCTGCGAGACACTGAGCAGACTATCCCACTCAACTGTACCCGGACTTACAACCTACAGAAACTGAGATAATAAATGGGTGCTGTTCTAAGTTGCTAAGTTTGTGATAGCTTTTCACACAGCAACAGAAATCTAATATACCTTCTATAATATAGAATACCATCCCCCTCACTTTCTATCCTCCTCACATACCTTTTCCTTCAGACAACCTGGTATATCATACAACCAATTTGAATATTTGAATTTTTCCTCTCCCTGGCTCTAGAATGTAAGCTCCTTTAGGGCAAGAAGTCTGCCTTTTCTTTTTTCTACTGGTACATTACAGCACCTGGAACAATGCCATGTACATAGTAAGTGCTCAATAAATATTTATAGAATGAATGAATGTATTTACCATTTTCGTTTACTTTAGAACACGGTGATCACAAAAAAGTAATACTGTTTAACTTAGAACTTTCAAAGGCTATTTCTCAAACTGAAGTACAAGGACATCCCCCCCCTTTCCACCCCACTCCAACAATAATTTCTCAGAGATTCATGAGTTCACAAATATGAAAAGTAATAGTCTAAATAACTAGCTTGTAAATATTTAGCGAAAAAAAAAGTACACCAACTGCTATGTACTGAATCGTGGCCCACCCTGAAAAAAATTCATATGCTGAAGCCCTAACCCTCCAAGTGATGGTATTTAGAGATGGAGCCTTTGGGAGGTAATTATGTTTAGGTGAGCTCATGAGGGTGGGACCCAAGAGACACCAGAGAGCTTGCTCTCACTCCCTCTCCACCATGTGAGGACTCAGTAAGCAGACAGACAGCTGCAAGCCAAGAAGAGAGCCCTCACCAGAAACCAGCCATGCTGACATCCCGATCTCCACAACTATGAGAAAATACATTTCTGTTGTTTCAGCCGCCTAGTCTATGGTATTTTTTTTAATGGCAACCTAACTAGACAAATGTACCAACAATTAGATATCAACAAGTGTTCACTGAAAATAAGTCATACTAAAATACATTTCTATTATTTGAAAGTGTTTCTATGTCATTAGATTCAGGAAAATGCCATTAATGTGGTACATATTAACTTCAGCAACATATATAATAGATCCCTTTATGATATCCTTTGGAATAATTGTGTTAGATGTACATTAAAAGGCATTGAATTTGTTGCTGGTTGAACAACTGTATCAAAGAACACTAGTTCATTACTGAAAGTCACTCCGACAGTGAATGGTTTCCAACAGATGTCAGAAGACTCTTCGCCCTCAAACTACTGAACACCTTAATCAATGTTTTGGATAAAGATTAAAAGGCAGGTTAATCAGATTGGCAATGGACATACATCTAAACACTAGAATATGACACACTGATGGTGATGATTGAAACACACAGTGGACAAGAAATTCATCAAAACTATCAGGTTAATTATTAGTGATAAAAGATAAATTTTATCTAGAGTTGCAGTTCAGAATTAGGCTTGGTAGCCCTTTAAAAAAATCAGCTGTTTTGTTTGGCTGCTGAGTCATGCTGAACATGTCACCCATGTGCATGGATATTTCAAAAGGCAATGAAAACTCAGGCTGATTTAGGAGAAATATAGAGTGTGGATTACAAAAAAAAAAAAAACCACATTATCTTAATACTGTATTCCAGCTGCTCAGACCACATCTGGAATCCTGTATTTAAATATGGGCACTACATACAAAAGGAACACAAAATAACCACATAAAAAGAGTTACGAGATCAAATAGGTTTTAGATTAAAGAAAGTTAAACAAATTATCTTCCTGTAGAACTTCTTAAAATATTTAATGTTAATATTCCTTATGATTTCCAAAAAAAAGTGTATGTGCGTGTGTGTGCACATGCACAGATTGATGAATAGTGTGCATTGTTTTTTAACTTATTTGAACATAGAACCCTTTCTTCCTGGAGCGTCATGTAGGACTAGTGATCTAAGCCACAAGCTTATGAAAACAACCTATACCCACAAGAGAAAATATAACAAAGGCAGATACAGACTAAATATTAATAAAGGTGAGCAACTAGGATTGCAAGAGCAATATAGAAACTGTATCATGAGAAAAAGGCTAAAGATTCTTATAGTATTTTGTCTAAGAAAAGAGAAGAACATTCCTTGCAAATATACAAATGGCTCTCAGAAAAATAAGGGAACACATTTGTCATATTGCTCTAGCACCCAGGGCAAAATAATATCTAAAGTTAAGGTTCAGTAGTACGTGTTTTGACACATTTTCCAGGAGACTTTTATGCAGACAGTCTGATATTTGCACTAAGGGGGAGAATTACAGCCCATAGGAGCCCAGAACAGAAAAGTCGGTTTAATCTTCAGGAGGAAGAACCATCAATCAATTAAGGCTTTTATTTAGTATTAAAGGGGCCATCATGGAGAAAACGTGAGCTTTAGTATGCACAGAAGCTAGGTAAACATCCAGCAGAGACACTAAAAAAAAGATTCCTGCATATATAAAGTGGGCGATTAGACTGTTGGATTCTAAAGGTCACTTCCAACACTGCATGCTCAGTGGGCTAGACTAAAACCTTGGTAGTCTTGCTCACCACTACACCTCAATGACAACATGAGCCTGGCACAGAGCTCCTGGCGCAGAGTGGGCTCCTCATAAATACGGGCTGAATTAATGAATAACTGAACAAGTAAAATATAAATGAAAGAAGTACCTCGTTCGAAAGTCAAACAAAAAGGGAATGGGCTACCTCATTCTTTAGTGATTGCTAAATTCACGAACTGTGAATAATAATCAAGGCTACTGTCAAATATAAGGAAAACAGCCTTGTGATAATTTCACTTCTTAACTCTGAATTGAATCATACCAAGGGTTACTGTGAGGTTCCTTTGACAAATACGTGAAAATGCAGACTATAAATGACCATCAGAAGTGAGGGGTGATTATGGTGCCAATGGTCTACTTAGATGGACTATGATAACTCAGAGGGGTGGAAACTAACCTTAAGGATGAGCCCACTTTTTGTAGCTACAACTCTGAAAATCCCTAGTGGCCAGAAACTAACCTTGCTGATGAACCCGCTTTTTGTAGCTACAACTCAGAAAATGCCTAGTATATGCACGTGCTTTATTTGTTTAATGGTCAGAAGAACATATGTATAACTTCTTTTAAAACATCTTCAAAGATGTGACAGTATTCTGATAGAACTGGTAAACTAAGCTGTTTATAATTCAGTTTAAACAGTTTTGTCTTGAGATATCAAATTCTTAGCAAAGAACATCACAAAGATGAACCTTTAAATAATTAAAAAAAAAATCCTTAAAACGGAAAACGCTTTCATTCACACTACTGCAGACAAAGACCATACTGTCAGGCACCATATTTGTATCCATTTCCTAGAAGACTGAGATTTCTTTCAAAATATATCTGTCATTTCTCCACAGTGGCTGATCAAACTTGCCAATGAAAAATGTTCTGAACAGGCAACCTGTAGTACAAGCATGGTTTATTTCTGTCAGAGACCGACTGCTGAAGTGTGAAAGAAACTCATTAAAAATCTCTTACTGTGATCTTACATTGTAAAAAAAAAGAAAAAGGAAAAGAAAAAAAAATCTAAGAAGGAAAAGGCAAGGAAATAAAACATAATGAAAGGTACACTGAGCCTGCAGACACACTCATATGGTGCTTTTCTTTCTTACTCTTCTTTAGCAAGCAATTAGAAGAGCACAATTAGCCCTGGGAATACAGCATACACTCATGGTTCGGGGAAATCAAATAAGCTAACGATTCTATTTTATGCTAATATTATGAAAGGTTAACGAAGGAGATTTAAAAAATTGTACTATAGGAAAAACAATGCAGAATAAACAACAGTATTATTTACCTTAATCTCAAAACGAGGTTCACGGCACAAGAAGAAGCTTCTCTGTAGTCTTCATTAGCATTGGGTGGGCCCTTTAAAAAGAAAACAGCAAACAGTGTTATAAACTGTATCAGGAAAGGAATGAATAAAATCACAATATCACTTGATTCATATAGCCATTTCTTTCTGGAAATTTCAAAACTAGATCTTTACACACGCAGGCCTTCTTTGGCATCGTAACACCTCCATGTAAAGGTTGTAATGGTGCCTAATTCCCATCACAATTGTGGATATGAATGTTTCATATGGAAAGCCTCAGTTCTAGGATGGGTATCATAAACAACTTGTATAAGCTGTAGTAAAGTCCAGCTACCTAAAATGGCACCTCACAACCCACACATAGACTGTTACTATTGAAACTTGGGGATCACAAAGGCTGGGCACCTTAAACCCTGCAATGCAGAGGAAGGCGGGGCCCAGAAGATTCAGCCACTGTTTATCTTTCCTGCCTTTCTCACCTAGAGCCCATTTTCTTGAATATTGATTATTAACCATGAATGTCTCCAATACACAGCCTCTCCCTGTTCTCAGGGAATCCCGGGACATGAGTAGACCTTATTGTTGGAGTAGAAAAAATAAGGCATTTCAGGTCAAGACTTGGCACTGCCACTGACCTGAAATGCAACCATGAGCAAGCCATTCTCTGAATAACGCCTGCCGTAAAAGGTTGCAGGGAGAATAAAATGATATAGATGAAAGTGAGTCATAAAATGCTCTACAGTACTAGTTATCCTAATCCCTGTTCCCGTTTCCTTTACTCTCTTTGCCCTCTGATCCATTATTATTCTTAACTTGCCTTTTATCATTCAACCAATCCCTACAGTTTATCTCAAGGTCTCTTACTGAGTTGCCTGATATAGTGTAAAGACCTAAACCGAATCCTGACTTGGCCTCTAACTAGTGGTGTGACTATGGGGGAGCCACTTCACCTCTGCAAGTCTTTACTCCCTCTATATATAAGCTATAAAATAAGGGCCCCGCATTAGGTATCTGACCTCAAACAGGCTTCCTGAAGCCAACAAAATCACTCTAATTATCTCTCCAATATATGGCTATTTTATAAAACACAGACCAAGTAAAACAGAAATGAATTTAAATTGAATATGCAGAGTTTGAAAGAAAGAAAATTATGATCCTGACAGTGGTGACGCTTTATAGTACAACCACTTTGAGAACAAAAGGGCTTGCCTGTTAATTATACAGCAGAACCAGAATGCAGGCCTGTGCTCTGGTTCTATGCCCCTAGGCCTTTCCCTGGATTGCTCAGCATCCCTCAACACCTCCCACCATGGCTCACAGCCACGTCTTCTGTCCCATAACTTTAATAAATATGCATTATAAATGCATGTCACAGTTACTGGACTATTATTTTTACAAGGCAAGTTGTAGAGACGAATTGGCCCATAAAATTCAATGATAACAGAATTATGAAAACAGGTTACAGAAATCCAACCAGGAGCAAAAAATAAAAGTATCAATTAACCACAATGTTCTGTGGCTGGAATATAACAGAATGGTGTCATTTTCTTTCCTTTTCTTCTTTTCCACAGTACCAGCAATTTCAGGAGCAGTCTGGTAATCAATTCTCACTCTTGAGCCTATCATTTAAAGGTTGGAGGTCCCACAAAGCACAGTCAATAGCAACCTATTTAAAAAGACAGCTTATAAGCCCTTGATTTGGAGGCACTACCTTGAAATTGTCTATCTTTCTAAAATGTTGGTTTTTTAAAGGATCTGTCTACAAAGCACCTCAAACGGAATGACTGGCAGAGAAACATACCTGAGAGTCGTGCACAGAGAGGGACTGTATTTGTTCGGGGATGGTGCTGGCACTCACTGCAATCTGTTACGAGAGCCACCGTTACAGCATTCAAGAAAGCCAAAGGGAGACACGGTGAGTGTGGTTACATTAAGTCCCAATTATCAGACCCAATAATTTCCAAACGATCATAAAGCAATATTTACCAAAGTGTGGCTCTTTGACTACCTGTGTTGGAATCACCTAGGACAAGTGTTAAAGACCCCTAGGCCCCTCCTGGCCTGTGACTCAGAATTCCACAGAGATGGAAGAGAATCTGTGTCTTTACCAAGTTCCCCAAATAACCCTCATTATACTGTTAAAGAACCACTAAGCTAAAGTGAAAAGGCATGAATTATTTGATGTTTTAAATTTGATAACCAAAAGATGTCCTAGGATAATTTTTTCTTATTGCATAATTTCATCTAAGGTTAACGGACCCTCAATGAAAAGACGTTGGGGTTAATAAAACCTGCCCCTTTAATCTAACTATGAGCAATTATTCACTGTATTTAAAAAATACATAAGGATAGTTGCATTTTTAAAAGATATTAATGCTAAAGTGATAGGTTATACTCCTCTCTCAAAGTTAGAAACCCAACTCTAAGGTTACCCCCAAATTATTTTTGCCTTGAGCTCTACTTTTGGGAACTCTGCCCTGGAGCAAAACTTGAAAGACAAAAAACAACACCAACAACAACAACAAAAAAAACCTCAAAGAGAAACAGCAATGAAAATGAACAAAAAGGTTCTCCTATTTCTAAACTTACTATCAATTCTAAATCAGAAATCATCAAAAATTATTTGTGAGAAGAGCTTTCTAAAGTTTAAGAGCATAAAATTCTTACTCTCCATGCTTCTTCCAAAATAACTATGGTGGTAGTGAAGTAATAGGGAAAAGTGTATTGATGTCTGCAATTTACTTTGAAATGCATCAAAAAGTTAAGATAGACTGAAGGATGAATAGATGGATATATATGATAGAGCAAGTACAGTAATGATGATACCTAGATTATAGGTATACGGCGTTCACTATAAAATGTTTTAATGTTGCTCTATTTATTTTTACGATAAGATGTTAGGGGAAAATGACTACGTTAGAAGAACAAAACAACCTGTATTCATTAACCAGCCAGAGGCTCTGGGCCTACTTCAAATGATCTCTTGCAAAGAATCTTTCAGGGTGATTCCACAATCTTAATTTAAATTTGTGATACAACCAAAGGCCACATCAGTACTTATAAACATTATTGTGACTTCCTTTAGTCAAAGAACTACTGTAACCTGAAAAACCTTAGTGGCATTTACTAAGAGGTGAAAACTTCTCTTTCCCCTGGGAAGACCCATCTCCTGCCCTGCACAATCATCAAGATGGAGGGCTAATCAACTAGGCGGGGGGCTGGAACCCCACACACACCCTGCAACCTTACTGTGTAGGTGTAACCCTGAATACAACGAGGGGACCACAGCCTCCACTCTGATGCACAGCAATATGGTAATTCCTCAGAAAATGTGCAGAGATGCACAGGAGAGCTGGACAGGGAGGGAATACAGTTTGGATATTTGTTCCCACCCAAATCTCATGTTGAAATGTAATCCTCAGCTGGGCACGGTGGCTCATGCCTCTAATCCCAGCACTTTGAAAGGATGAGGTGTGGGTGGGTCACTTGAGGCCAAGAGTTCGAGGCTAGCTCGGGCAACATGGCGAAACTCCATCTCTACTAAAAATACAAAAATTAGCTAGGTGTGGTGGTTTGCGCCTGTAGTCCCAGCTACTTGAGAGGCTGAGGCGCAAGAATCACTGGAACCCAGAAGGCGGAGATTGCAGTGAGCTGTGATCACACCACTGCACTCTAGCCTGAGTGACAAAGTGAGACTCTGTCTCAAAAAAAAGAAAAAAAATGTTATCTCCAATGTTGGAGGTGGAGCCTGATGGCACATGTTTGGATCATGGGGATGGATCCCTCATGAATAGCTTGGGCCATTCCCTTGGTGATAAGTGAGTTCCCACTCTGAGTTCACACGAGATTTGGTCATTTAAAAGTGTGTGGCACCTCCTTCCCACTCTCTCTGTTGCTCCTGCTTTCACCAAATTATGTGCCTGTTCTCACTTCACCTTCCACCATGAGCAAAAGCTCCCTGAGGCTTTCCCAGAAGCTGAGCAGCTGCCAGCATCAGCTTATACAGCCTGCAGAACCGTGAGTCAATTATATCTCTTTTTTTTTTCCTAAATAACCCACTCTCAGGTGGCAATGCAAGGATGGCCTAATACAGGAAGCCACCGTACAAAACATCTTCCTTGACAACGAACTGCATTCCTCCAAATGTCACCACTACAGATCCATTCTATGGGATTAGGGCATGGTCTTTTGGGTATACTCTTCTAAGTGTAAAAACTTGTAAGAAAGCTAACATATTAAGCAGCTGTCAATTTATCAGGGTTTTTCATTTCCTTTTAAACAATTTGCTATAGGATGGACATTTGAGAGAATGAGTGTTTTGATGGGAAGGTGTATTAGTCCGGTTTCATATTGCTATGAACAAATACCCAAGACTGGGTAATTTATAAAGAAAAAGGGGGTTAATAGACTCGCAGGTTCACATGGCTGGGAAGGCCTCACAATCACAGCAGAAGGCGCAGGAGGAGCAAAGGCACAGCTTACACGGTAGCAGGCAAGAGAGTGTGTGCAGGAGAACTGCCCTTTATAAAACCATCAGATCTCATGAGACTTATACACTATTACGAGAACAGTATAGGAAAACCTGCTGCTATGATTCAATTACCGCTCATCGGGTCCCTCCCATGACATGTAGGGATTATGGAAGCTACAATTCAAGATGAGATTTGGGTGAGGACACAGCCAAACCATATCAGAGGAGGAGGCAGGAACAATGGATTAATGTTGAACACCACCATGGCAATAGACCCTGATGGGGATCTAGGACAGGATAAGAGAGGAAAAGATCTCAGAATGGAGACAAGAAAGAGACAACATCTGCTTTCCAATTTTTCGTAGAGCTCTGCCTAATGAACTCCTTTCCTGTTTTCGCAAATATTATAGCTAAATGCAATGTGCTATCCTGGATTGGATCCTGGCAAAAACAAGGGACACTAGTAGGCAAACTAGTGACATGGGAACAAATTCTGGGGCTTAGTTGACAGTCACATGGCAGCGCTGGTTTCTGAGTTGTAACAAATTTGTCAGGAATACATAAGAAATCAACAGTGGGGGAGATTGCATGAGGAATATATGGGAACTCTGCACTGTCCCTGCAACGTTTCTATAAATCGAAAATTATTCCAAAATCAAAAGTTCATTTTCAGATATATTGCAGATTTCTGGATTTCTGAAAAACATACCTATCTTTTCTAACAACTGCTCAAAAGGGCAGTCACCTGCAATAACAACACCTTTTAGAAAGTGGTATCATGAAAATATCAGGTTAAAGCAGTCTGTGATGGCTAAGGATAACCATAATAAAAGTGGAGGGAGAAGTTAAATCTCTCTCTCCATCTCCATATGGGTATAGAACAAACACGTTTGACAGCTCACAGGCATTTGGAAAACATGTTTTCGTAGAAATATTTTTTTTTTCTGAGATGGAGTTTCACTCAGTCACCTAGGCTGGAGTGCAGTGGCATGATCTCAGCTCACTGCAACCTCCGCCTCCTGGGTTCAAGCGATTCTCCTGCCTCAGCCTCCTGAGTAGCTGGGATTACAGATGCACACCACCATGCTCGGCTAATTTTTTGTATTTTTAGTAGAGACAGGGTTTCACCATGTTGGCCAGGCTGGTCTTGAACTCCTGGCCTCAGGTGATCCACCCGCCTCAGCCTCCAAGTGCTGGGATTACAGGCATGAGCCACTGCGCCTGACCCACAGAAATAATTTTTAAAAGCTAACAGCAGTCTTAAATGACATGTGACAATAGCAATAAGTAATATAAGGAAAAAAATTAGTTTTCACATTGCATCTAATCTCTAATAAAATTAACTCAATTTAAATACCAAATGTATTTTCTCCTCAGAGCAAAATCCCAGAATTAGGAAACAGAAATATTTCCATAATTAGCCAAGTCTAGATTCTTGATAACAAAACTTTTCAATATACCTTTTGTGAGCCCTACTGGGCTTCAGCCAGAAACCTTTCCCACCTGCTTCATTACCCTTGATTAAATAAACACAACTTTCCCAAGGGATTTCTGAAACATTTTCTTTTTCCTTATTTTTATTTTGGAAATTTCTGATGGACATTTAAAACAAATCTTCAGGAATTTTGAGCACACCAGCTTCCTGGATTCCAGTCTGGACTTCTGGATTCCGAGGGATTTGTGCAGTTTTCCTAGCCAGTCCTTGATCCTAGCTGTGAATCAGAATCCTGAGAGCAGCTTTTTAAAAATCAGAGTTGCCTGGACATCATCCCAAATTACCAAATCAGAATCTGTGGGTTGAGTCTAGACACTGCATTTTTAAAGGTTTCCAGCCAGGGTTGTGAACTGTTTATTTTCATGTCACCTAACTGAGATGCTACTATAAAAAAGAGTGTTACTTTAATAGAAGCCTTAGCAAATGCCCTCCTCAGTTAAATGAACCCAAATGAAACTATAAATTTAAAGATAAAGTCAATTTCACTTTTTATGTAGAAAATTAGGATATAATGCAAAATTGACAGAAAGTCATAAAACATGTACTTATTATTTTTGACAAAAAGAGATTCCAAAACCACTGGTCAAAAGAAGATCAATAATGGGATAACAGTTGAAAAGTTTTATATAACCTAAGACGCTATATAAGCTAGGAAACACTACCTAAGGAAACTGTCCTTGCAAATACCACCCCTTCCCCGACCCCCAAAGAGATGAAAAGCATCCAGCTAGCGAGCTGTCTTTACTTTTATGAAATTCCCACAGTGCCTAACACAGTTCCAAGTGGAAATCAGGCACAGATTAAACATCTGTTTAATTAATATTATTAATAATAACATTTAGTCTTCACTGGCTTCCATCAACCAAGTAGAATATGATGATAAACAAATGAAACAAGGATGAGCTATCTACTTGTTATAAATTATTAATTACTAGTGGGTGACTAATACTTCGATATTTCTTTTTTTTTTTTTTAATTATACTTTAAGTTCTAGGGTACATGTGCACAACGTGCAGGTTTGTTACATAGGTATACATGTGCCATGTTGGTTTGCTGCACCCATTAACTCGTCATTTACATTAGGTATATCTCCTAATGCTATCCCTCCCCCCTCCCCCAACTCCATGACAGGCCCCAGTGTGTGATGTTCCCCATCCTGTGTCCAAGTGTTCTCATTGTTCAATTCCCACCTATAAGTGAGAACATGCGGTGTTTGGTTCTCTGTCCTTGCGATAGTTTGCTCAGAATGATGGTTTCCAGCTTCATCCATGTCCCTACAAAGGACATGAACTCATCCTTTTTTTAATACTTTGATATTTCTAAAATATCAGGTTAGGAACACAAGGCCAATTTTTCAATGTGATGGCTATGAATCTCAAGCCAGATCTGAATTCCAGGATAAGTAATGCAATTCTAAAATCTTACAGATTATACTGGAAATTCTCTTGGACTTAGGAGGATCTCCAAATACGACCCAGGATGAGGTGGATCTTCTCAATGTCCCTCTGACAAACATCCCACTCTGGCCTTCTCAGTCTTCTTTGATTAATACTGTAATACTTGGTCATTCTACCTCATACTTCCTAGGAGGTCAAATAGCCCCTCACTCATTAAGCTTTCCTAAAATATCCCTAGTTTACTGTAGCACCTTACTCTGTCTAAACATGGTACTAACAAAGCTACTTTTCTGAACTTCACCTCAATTATATGTCTTCTGATCCCTTGAATCACTTCTGACCTACTCATAAATACTATATGCCTACTCATGCACTTGTTTAATATTCGACTTGCAGTGCATACCCAATTCATGTCATCAGTGAACATGTATAGTGTCTACTAGATGCAAAAGAAACACAAACTTCCATGTTTTTCATTTTTTTCATAAAATACTATCTCAATCTTCTAGTGGCTTATAGTCAAAAACAACTGAATTGCAATGTAATGACAAACATGAAAAAGCTTATTAAAATGTAAATACTCTGGCATTTAAATGTGTTATTTGGCACAGATAAGCATTTTCACTCTCAAAGATGTTTACAGGTATAAGGTGCACTGTCAGAAGCTGTATATACTGATTGGTACAGCTATTGATAGCAACTACAAAAATTCAAAATCAGGCCGGGCACAGTGGCTCACGCTTGTAATCCCAGCACTTCTGGAGGCCGAGGCTGGCAGATCACGAGGTCAGGAGATCGAGACCACGGTGAAACCCTGTCTCTACTAAAAATACAAAAAATTAGCTAGGCATGGTGGCAGGCACCTGTAGTCCCAGCTACTGGGAGAGGCTGAGGCAGGAGAAAGGCGTGAACCCGGGAAGCACAGCTTGCAGAGAGCCGAGATTGCGCCACTGCACTCCAGCCTGGGCAACAGAGTGAGACTCCATCTCAAAAAAAAAAAAAAAAAATTCAAAATCAGCAGACACATAAAACAATCACAATTCTAAGTACCTATAATTTACTTATCTATGTGCCCCCTGAAATACATACACAAAAAAGTTAAGGGAATGGTATTTGTAATAGCAGCCTAAGTGCTCGCCAAGAAGGAAATGGTTAAATAAACAATTTTCATTCATCTAATACAATACTATGTGCTGGGAAATAAAAAAGAGGCAGATCTATAGTTCCTAAGGTGGAAAGATTGCAAAAACAATCAAGCAAGTTGCAAAAATATTTTCTAGTTTTTGTAATTCCATTCATGTTTTAAAAATGACACGCTAGATTTTTTAATGAACATATTAGTATGGAAAGAAACAGAAAAGGTCTGGAAGAAAACTCTGTTCAAACTGATGACTTCTGTGGAACAAAGTGATAGTTACAGGGGTGAAAAGGGGAGCAGGATAAAAGCGGTCTTTCAGTTTTTATTATATGTCATTCTCCTATGTTTTTCAAATCATTATTCTATGTCTCTTCTCAGTAAGGCCTATCCTGACCAACTCATCTAAAATTACAACTTCCCACCACACTCCCTGAAGCCCCCATCCCATTCTGTTTCTTTCTATCACTCCTATTCCATTGTAACAAACCACATAATTTACTTACTTATTAAGGCTATTATATATTGTTTACCTACTCCCATAAGAACGTGAGCTCCACAAGGACGGGGATTTTGCTCTGTATTTCTCACTGACGTATCCCTTAAACCTACTAAGACAGGGCACATAGTAGGGACATAATACATATTTGCTGAATAGTTACATATTTAACACTTTTTAATTTCCTTTATAATAGATAAATAAAATACTTCATGCTTTGCTTACAGAAAGCAGTTTGGGGTAGTTGGCAAATCAGAGGGACACTTTAATTAAAAGCTGAAAGGACACAGGAAGCATCACTGTAGCATCTCTTAATACAGCTCAAGATAATCAAATGTCAAGGCTGTCAAAGGAATGGGTGTCAAAAAACTAGCCTGAGAAGCTGTGCAATAGCAGGTGGGGCCTGTTATTCCTAAAATTTGGTGGAAGTGTTTACATGCAAACACATGTATCCTTTCACAGAAATAAGAGTTCTATTCATATGCTTCTTTAATTATAAATCAATATGTTAACAGACATATGGTGCTGAGAAATCAAATGAGTCTAGATGCAGTAAACCACCTATGACTTTCATATCCCATTTAAGAAGGTCAGTACTGATGCCTGAAGATCAACTCACGGCACACTACATAGTCTTTCCCTTCCTGTCTGTGCAGAAAATATTCTTGCCAAAAAGATACTGCTATTCTCCAAATAACAAATCAGCTATCAGAGCAATTTCAACAAGCACACAGTAAGAGATTATCCTAAATCCTTATGACCTGCACCCATCAGCCTTACTAGCAAGGCAGGATCCAATGGATATCGTCCAATGAAGATTTCTTGTGGTGAACAACAAATGTTTTGTGAGTCAATGATGCTACTTTAACCATGTTATGTTGTTATATTTCTCAGCAGAACTGACACTTTTAGTAAGAAATACTCTTAGAAATAGCAGAAAAGCCTAGACTCTGCACCTTAGATAAAATGAGAGAAAGGAAGGAGAAATAGAGTTCATGATACATGGTTAAGATCATTCTGAAAACTTAGCACAACATCTGTGTGGTCAATGTGTTCCACGTGGGGCTCATCACCCCTGCTCCTAACAAAGGGGGATGAGGTCTCTGATCAAAGCTTATATATATATTTTTCTGAGGTGCAGTCTGGCTCTGTCACCCAGGTTGGAGTGCAGTGGCACAATCTCAGCTCACTGCAACCTCCACTTCCCGGGTTCGAGCAATTCTCGTGCCTCAGCCTCCCGAGTACAGATGCCTGCCACCATGCCCAGCTAATTTTGTATTTTTAGTAGAGACGGGGTTTCGCCATGTTAGCCTGGCTGGTCTCGAATTCCTGACCTCACGTGATCCACCCGACTCGGCCTCCAAAAGCGCTGGGATTACAGGAGTGAGCCACCGCACCTGGCCAAAGTTTATATTTTATGTATGAAATTGAGAGGTGAATTAAATGATAAACATAGGAGAAAACAAAATCTGAAGGAGAGCTACCATGGGGAGGCAGGCAAGCTGAAAAATGCCTAGGAAAGGCCTATCCACATGGCATGCAAGATGGAGAGAGAAGGATGAGAGGAAAGAAGAGGAGAAGAAAGGGTGGCCTGTGGCTCTGCTGTCCTCCTCCTTACAAGACCCAGGCTGGCTACTGCCACTTCAAACTCCATGATGACAGGTACTACATTTAATCAAAAGGAAATGTCTGCTGATTAAAAAAAATTGGGATGGATATCATTTGTAGTCCAAAGATTTTGTTTTCTTAATGAGAATTTATTAAGGTATACATTAATTACTAGGTCTGTAAAATATTTGGAGCTATTTAAATATGCTCAAATTTCCTCTAGGAGAATTAGCAGGTCTTGTGAACTACAGTTATCATTAGGCATTAGGATAATTAATCAAATGGAGGAAGTAAATCAAATACGATCTCTTAATCAAAAGATGACCAGGCCTCAAAGGGAAGCTGTTAAAATTTTTTGAGTGCTCCTTAACCTACTAAGGTATTATTTGGAAGATTTAAAAACCAAGACCAACAGACTCAACCAAGAGTTTCTAACCATTTTAATATCTACTTTATTGCAAACAAAAAACATGGAAGACACTTTGCCTGTATGGTTACTATGTTTTCTAAAGGCAGTAATCCTAAGAGTTAAAATTAATGGATTACCTAGTCTGTGACAAGGATTCCGTGGAGGGTTTTGTGTACGGGATTTTGCCAACCCTCATGGCGACTTTCTTATAAGTACTGGGATCATCCTCATTTGACAGATGAGGAAACAGGCTCAGAAAGCAAAGTAATTTGCCCCGATTTATTCAGCCCAAAGTAACTCAGACAGAATTAGGAGCTGCAAAGTCCTCGTGCCTTTCCTTTTTCTTTCTACTCCATGAGATTTTGAAGCATCTCCCCTAAATGGATCAGACTCTGATACCACAAGAAAGGAATGAAATGGCAAAATAATAAATAAATAGCCACAGCTCACCTCTGGATTTTCTTCTTTTACTCTTCGTGACTGTAAAACAATTATGTATCCATTAATATATATACACACACACAATCACAAAAATAAAATTTACACAGATTAGCTCATCGTCAACGATGTCATTTACCTTTTCCTGAGAAAAAGCTGCTTTCCCTTCTTCGCTCTTCTCATCCATCTCGTCGTCACTCCACTCCCAGTCCCCGTCTTCGGTTTTATGAAGGTGACCACTTGACCCAGGAACTCTTCTTACCTGAATCAAAACAAGCCCACACAATTCTTCACTAGTCAAATGTGAACCATTTCACTGGTGCTGCAACTTGGGTTATACGGCATACACACCAACCTGAAAATAACCTGAGTGGCTGTGAATCCAGGGATAGCTAGCGGTTAAGATCCAAAAAGACTACACAGCCTCCAGGTTCCCAAACTCATCCTCTTTCCAAAAATGCTGTGTTTTTTGAAATGCATTACTATATACATGAAGAACAAAATATTTTGGAAGAACATTGCACATATAAGCAATTAAGGATCAAGCTCATTTTTCATGTTTACTTCAGTTAACACTTTATTAGTTGCCATATACAAAAGGCCATGTGGTAGGCATCAAATTGCCTAAGGAAGCGCATGCAAGCAACATCCTGCTGACTGAGCAAAGGCAGAGAAATCAGGAAGCCTAATGACGCATACTAGACCATGGGTATTGGCAATCTAAAAACCTAAGACAACAAAGCACACCCTTCTATTGCCACCTCACTCTCTTGCAGAACCTGACAATTATGCTTATTTCCCCAGGATTCTGCTCAACCTATTTGAACAAAACAAAACAGCACCAGACCATTCTTAACACACTTTGTAGCACTTATGAGACCTGTGAGATTGCTAGGAACACAGCTTGATAATCAGCAGCCATGCTAGTGTCTAGATTATAATCAGTCTTCCTCATTATTTCAAATTGTTTTGAGCTAGGGTAGAGATGTAATCCATAGGGCAAGCTTTCCCAAATGTCTTTGTGGTTGGAAAAGCAAAACTTTTAAAAGGACAGGATGACTGAAGTGAGCCTCTGAGACCAAAGTAATTTGCTTAAAAAATTTACTAAGATGTAATTAAACAAAGCACTGTAGCAGATGAACATGATGTGAATGCAACAGCCATGGTCCAAGGATTCAGAGAAACTTCGTGTGGAAAGGGAGCTTCCAGACAATCTAGTCCAACCTCTTCATTTTACAGATGAGGAGATGGAGGCCCAGAACGTGACCCAAGATCACACAGTAATGAAGGCAAAGCAAGGCAAGAAACAAAGCCTTAGACTCCCACTCAAATGTGACTCTCCTTATGCCACTGAACGATAACCACCAGCAAGAAGTTATCTAAAACTGTCCTTTGAAGACTGAAAGACTATGATGTGAAGAAAGCCTACTTTTTATAATAGACACTATTTAGTTGCATCACAGGAGCTTCAGTAAAACCAAGGGAAACAACACAGAACTTAAATTTAAATATTTAAGTTTAGTATACATGTCAGATCAATGCGAAGTCATAAAAAATGCATGCTAGGGGTTGGCTTTGATTTGAGGGCCTTACCATCTAGAACCTGTAAAAGTAATCCTGACCAGTTGGTCTAGAAGATTTGAGCTCCAACATAGAAAGTCAGCAAGAAAGTACAAAGTACTTTTTCATAATTGCAAATAGTTATGCTCATTTTTTTTTAAAAAAAGCTTTTTTCTCCAACCCCTACCCCCCAAATTTTTCTTTTTAACTAATTTATCTTTGAAATAGTACTTAGTAAAACCTCTTTTGGGCTTGGCATCAGATATTTCTTCCGCTTGCATTTTGAGTTGCTCTAAAAGTCTTTTCTAATGACGGTGATTTTAATGGTGCTTATAGATGTTGGCAAAGTACTATAGAAAAAATGCCAAAATGCACTTCAGCATTTGCAGAACAGATTGCTCATTTTAATGCTTGCAGAAATAGCTAAAGGAAGAGAAAATAATTTTCTGTTGACATATACAATAAAATTATTTTCTTAGCAACGCTGATCATGGTGGTAGCAACATAGAGAAACATATGTTAATGACTACATTGAAAAGGAAGAATTTAAAGCCACATCTATTACAAAACATACTGTCAACTAAGAAGTGAGAAAACAAGTAAAATTATCTATCAGACACAGAACAAAACTCTGTCTTTACTAAAATTGTAGAACCCAAGGATAGCTGATGAATTAGTATTCTTTAAGTACTCACCCAAGAGATTACACTAAGGAAATCTTCTTTTCCAGAGAGAGTCTAGATTAACATCCTAAAATTTAGTTTACGTCCTTTCCCCCTCTGGCTCTATGTTTACAAGCTCTGTCAGTTTCATTTCCACAAGCAGAATCCAACTATAAACAATAAAATGGCCCATTTTCTCCCATTTTTATTTTATTTTAGAGCCCTGGCTCTCTCTCTGTTTGTTTTATTTGCTGGAAGAGAGAAAGATAAAACAAAATGTCTAGGATTATAGCTCTAGACATTGAAAGAAATGGTGGGATGGGCCTTTAAGCAATAAACATTGGTTAAACAAATAAATATACAAATGTTGACCAAATTAAGAGAAAGAACATTCAAAAACCTATGTAGGGAATAGTATTGGTAAAATTGCCACTAGAATAAGAATACTAACTTGTCTTTGAGAATGTCCCCTCAGCTTACTCCTAGGAATAAACTTGCAGCATAATTTGAAACCCAGGTTTCATGGTGGATTTATGTGACATTGACGTCTACCAAAGGGACGGGAAATCAATTTTACAAAGTTACATCCTTGTAGGGAGTTTGTAGGGATGATGAGAAACAACTTTTATCTTTTAGAGCCATCTAAGTTTCACACAGTTTAGTAAATGGTCTTATTCGGGAATTGAATAATACCTTGCAAAGTTAAAACTTCAAAAAAAAAAAAAAAGTGCAGAAAAGCTTCCATCTTCCCCACACCCAACGATGAGAATGGAGATTATTTACCCTTGTAATTCTAATTTCATTGATTATTACATTGCTCTTGTTCTACTAAATGATTTGCTCATTTAGTAAAGCCAAGAGGTGGTAGAAAGAATTTATTCTCTATTTTCTCTGTCAGGGATTTTAAAAAATCCATTGCTTCTCAGAGAAACAAGCTCAGTTTAAGTGATACCTAAAGGAATTCATAATCTCACAAATTCTTCAGGTCATAGTTGGCAGTAGTAAGGTTAGAAAATGTTTTATATTTTCTTCTCTTTCTCTAAATGTTATTTTTAATGAAAACCCGTTAAATAAATGAACCCAAGTTCTGATTCCAAGAAAAGAAGGCAGGCTCAGCCAGATGAACAAAGGAGAAGCATGGTTCCTGGCCAGTGCTGGTGGCCACCAGGCAAGATGTAGGTGGCCACTGGGCAGGGCTAGGATGAGCAGCCACAGAGAGGAGATGGCAGCAATGTGGACAACAGTCCCTAGAGCGGTCTGACCTGTCACTCCAGTGCTGCATCTCTAAACAGGAGCTGTCTGCAAATCTGCAAATACAGTTGTACCGTCCCCATGCAACTCAAAGAAGGCACCTGGCCCCTGACACAGGAATGGGGAGGAAGGATATGAAGAACCACCAGGTAAAATTTCTACGATAGCATCCTAAATGTGTCAGAAATGCAGGTGTGTGATTCTAACACTCTACTGAACAAAAGAAGAATTTACTGACCCAAAGAAATACTGACCAAAACTTAGTAGAATTTGTCTCAATCTGGCATGTCCATCTGTCCAAAAAAAAAAAAAAAAAAGGAAAGCACCCACTAGCCTCTCCCACTGCCACATTAACTTCTCCCTGGAAATGGGATTTGGGAATCTCCTTGGAGTGATTTTTACCCCTTCGGTGGGAATCCTGCACTCAGCCTCTCCTCCACCTGCTGAACATATGGCATGCTGACTACAGTCGAAACCCAAGTGATCCAGGGAGCCCACCAGCCTCACGTCCACCTATCAAGAACCTACTGCACCAGCAGAAAGCAACACATAGTGACATTCCTGTTACCAGGCATACTACTGATGAGAAGTATAAAAAATATTTCTAATTAATTGCTGTTTATCATGTACTTGAGGCACTGCCAAGCAGACAAAAAGCCTTCTAAATCATGAAAAATTAACGAAATGTGACTCAGTAAGACGTTAGCAATAAATATTTTACTGTCTCCATAGTTTATACTCTGACACTGCTCCTCTCTGACCACCACCTCTCTCGGCACCTCCATCCTACACCTACTGCCTGGCTCCACTGTCCTCTCCAGCCTAGGTCCTCTCCTGCTCTTCCACCAGCCCCCTCCCGGCTCTACTCCTCAGCATGCAAGGCCTGGCACCCACAGCTGACTCTAGATGCTACACTTACTAGTACTCAATGTCCCCATGTCCCCTGGCCAGATGAACCTTCCTATCCAATCCACACTTGAAAAGCAAGCCCTGGGATCAGCCCCAACATGTACTCTCTAATCCTGAACTGCCAGCCAAGAAGAGCACCAGTCAAGTGCGCATGATGCCTGGTGCCACTACAGATGGCCACCGGCCACTCCTAGATGGGGCATCAGTGCTGCTACAACCCTGCCCCTCCAAGTGAAGCCCATAGACTGGGGCAACAGCAGCACCTGGGAGGGAGCTTGTTAGAAATGCAGAATCTTGGGACCCACCCTAGACCCACAAAATCAGAATCTTCCTTTTCAATAAGATCCCCCAGGGGTCATATTCTCATTCAAGTTTGAGAAACACTGTGCTAGACAACACTTTCCCTCATTGCCAGCCTAGCCCCTTGCCCCTAGCTGGTATTCATACAATGTTAGGTACTATGTTCTACGGATTTTACATGTATTAACTAATTTAATCTTCATAGTAGCTTGTGAGCTGAGAATGATTGTACTGCCCCATTTTTCAGAGGTAAAACTGTGACACATGTAACATGTGTCCATGGCCCAAGCTCATACAGCTGGGAGGTGACAATACTAGGAGATGTAAGAGCAGGAGTCAGATCCCCAACTCTCCATTCCTCTCTCTGCTACTGCAGCTTACAGTAGGGCCTCAGTTCACCAGCCCCAATCACTTAAAATAACTTCCTCTGCTACCCTGAGAGCAAGTCCATCCAATGGAGCAAAGGTGGCTCTTGTTATGTTTCAGCAAAGAGACTGGAGGCATTTTGGCCCTACAGATTGGTAGAACTTTGAACTTGAGAGAGATGATTTAGGGTATTTGGTGGAAGAAATTTCTAAGCAGCAAAGCATTCAAGAGGTGACTTGGGTGCTGTTAAAGGCATTCAGTTTTAAAAGGGAAACAGCATAAAAGTTTGGAAAATTTGCAGCCTGACGATGTGACAGAAAAGAAAATCCCAGCCTGGCACAGTGGCTTACACCTGTAATCCCAGCACTTTGGGAGGCCGAGGTGGGCAGATCACAAGGTCAGGAGACTGAGACCATCCTGGCTAACACAGTGAAACCCCGTCTCCACTAAAAATACAAAAAAATTAGCCGGGCGTGGTGGCAGGTGCCTGTAGTCCCAGCTACTCAGGAGGCTGAGGCAGGAGAATGACGTGAACCTGGGAGGCGGAGTTTGCAGTGAGCCGAGATGGCACCACTGCACTCCAGCCTGGGCGACAGAGTGAGACTCCTTCTCCAAAAAAAAAAAAATGTTAATCACCAAGACAATGGGGAAAACATCTCCAGGGCATGACAGAGAACTTTGTGGCAGCCCCTCCCCTCACAGGGCTGGAAGTTTAGCAGGAAAAAAATGGTTTCTTGGGCTGGGCCCAGGGTCCCTCTGTTGTGTGCAGTTTAGGGACTTGGTGCCTAGCATCACAGCTGCTCCAGCTGTGACTGCTCCAGCTTGACTCAAAGGAGCCAAGGTACACCTCGGGCCATTGCTTCAGAGGGTGCAAACCCCAAGGCTTGGCAGCTTCCACATGATGTTGAGCCTGTAGATGCACAGAAGTCAAGAACTGGGAACCTCTGCCTAGATTTAGGAGGATATATGGAAACACCTGGATATCAAGGCAGCAATTTGCTGCAGGGGTGGGGCTCTCATGAAGAACCTCTGCTTGGCCAGTGCAGAAGGGAAATGTGGGGTCAGAGGCCCCACACGGTCTCTATTGGGGCACTGCCTAGTGGAGCTATGATAAGAGGGCTGATGTCCTCCAGACCCCAGAATGGTAGATCCACCTACAGCTTGCACCATGGGCCTGGAAAAGCCGCAGACACTCAACGCCAGCCCATGAAAGCAGCTGGGAGGGAGGCTGTACCCTACAAAGCCACAGGGACAGAGGTGCACAAGACCATGGGAACCCATCTCTTGCATCAGCGTAACCTGGATGTGAGACATGGAGTCAAAGGAGATCATTTTGGAGCTTTAAGATTTGACTGCCTCACTGGATTTCAGATTTGGATGAGGCCTGTAGCCCCTTTGGTTTGGCCAATTTCTCCCATTTGGAACAGCTGTATTTACCCAATTCCTGTACCCCCACTGTATCTAGGAAGTAACTAACTTGCTTTTGATTCTATAAGATCATAGGTGGAAGGGACTTGCCTTGTCTCAGATGAGATGTTGGACTGTGGACTTTTGAGTTAATACTGAAATGAGTTCTGACTCATTTCAGAAGGCATGATTGATTCTGAAATGTGAGGACATGCGATTTGGGAGGGGCCAGGGGCAGAATGATATGGTTTGGCTGTGTCCGCACCCAAATCTCATCTTGAATTGTAACTCCCACAGTTCCCACATGTCACAGGAGGAACCCGGTGGGAGGTAATTGAATTATGGGGACAAGTCTTTCCTACACTGTCCTCATGACAGTGAATAGATCTCACAAGATCTGATGGTTTTAAAAAGAGAAGTTCCCCTGCACAAGCTCTCTTTGCCTACTGACATCCATGTAAGATGTGACTTGTTCCTCCTTGCTTTCTGCCATGATTGTGAGGCCTCCCTAGCCACATGGAACTATAAGCCCATTAAACCTCTATTTCTTTTGTAAATTGCCTAGTCTCGGGTATGTCTTTATCAGCAGCGCAAAAACATACTAACACATACTCACAGCCCCTATCTTCCTAATAAACTTCACACTCTCACCCTCTTTCCCTGCTGTGTGCAAAGACAATGGATTCCTTCTTTTTACAAGACCAATGCCTCTGGGAGCACTCCTCATGTATCTATTCACTTATTCCTTCCTTCAAGACACTTATAGCCAGGCCCTGCCTCCTCTACATCATCTGTAAATATGCTTAAGTCTCTCTTATACTTCTACCAAAAGAGCGCCAGGGACCCCACTGATTTTCATTCTTCCTTAAGAATTACTCCATCACTCTTCTCTTTCACTGTCAACGTTTTGCTAAAGATAGTCTCCAATTGTGGCCCTCACATCCTATCTTATCCTCACACTTTAATACCGTGCAAAAATGGTATCTGTCCCTACTAGGCCACCAATGCTATTCTCTCTCCCTTTGAGATTTAATGACTTCCTAATAGTGTAATTCAATGCTCTTCCCTGTGGCCATAACACTGTCTTGTAGACACTGCTGAACTCCATTCTTTTCCTTTAGCTCTTTCCAAATCTGTGTCCACAATATTTCTCCTCCTACCTCTCTTGTCCTTCTGTGTCCTCCAACTGTTCTTTGCTCTGCCTCCACGATAAATGTGACTGCTCCCAGCCCAGTACACATTCTCAGCTCACTAGACACTGTTGCCCTGAGTGAACACACCTTCTCCATGGCCTCCCTGACCTCATCTAAATTGAAATCCTTGGAAACTGCATTTCTTAGTCTTGTTTTCCAAGTGTTCTGTTGGATATAAACACCTTATCTGTTTTTCAAAGTTGAGTTTGCCACCCCTAACCCATTTGTTAATCCTCCATCTCCAGCCTCATTCTGACACTTCTCCAGTGTTGTCTTAGTTAATGCCTTTGAATCTCATCCCAACCCCCACTGCCATCATGTTCACCAGGGGCATGGTCATATAATGCTCCTAACATGATGCCTGCCATATAAGAAGCACTCAAAACATGACAGGTGCTATTATCATGAATATCCTCAATGCTTCTCCCAACCAAATCTATTTATCTATTTATAATCCAGCCCCAAATTATTTATTTGTTTATATATTTTCTACCACATCTCTTTAGATACCCTACAATCCAGTTATGTACATGTCACATATTTTTGTGACTCTACCATTTCCCATATGCATTACCTACATCCTTGGCCTGATCTGCCCTTCCACATTCTCCTTTTTTTTTTTTTTTTTAAGCTAAGAAGCTTTTGTCGATCCAATTGGAATTTTGCCTATACCTCTATGTCATTCTACTTTGTGTTACACTGGACATATAACATATCAAACTGTATACTCCTTCAGGGCAGAGAGCTTGTTTTAGACATTTTTTAAAAATCACTTCTTACTTCATTTGGTCAACAAAGTTTTATTGACTACCTTCGTCTACCAAGTTCTAGACCAAAGATGAATAAAACAAAATCTTACACCTTGGAGTAGTTCACAGTCCAGACAGGTGGACAGACATTTAAGCTAGAAATTTTTTTTAAAAGACATAAATACTATAAAAAAGATACAAATCATGGGAATCTGCAGAAGAGAGGATGACTGTCTATCAAGGGACAGTATGGAAGGGTAGCTGCTAGAGCATTAGCCCAGCAAGCAGAGAAAGCAAAAACTTAGCACATTCTACTGACTCATGTAATGTGGCTGGGTCACAAGATACTGGGATCTAGGGGGCTGGTTTCAGAAAATGGCTAAGAGCAAGGCTGGAAAAGTTGTGTAAAGAATCTTGTACAATCAGGAAGGCAAATTCAAAGGCCTATAGGAGGCAAGCAGAAAATGCAAAGGAAAAGCTGGCCAAGTGAGGACTTGGGTGACCTGAGGAGCACCTGTCCCACCATAAGAAGGCAACCAGCATTGACTGACGGCTGCCACAGGGAGACAGCCCCAGCATAGCCAGATCTTCTGATTCTTCTAGAGAAGTGGATAATTTGGATTTTTATGTGAATGCTCTTGACTTATTCTAATGTTAACATATCAAGTTAAAAAAAAAAAAAACTTTCTCTGTGCAGCCTAAAAATTAATGTCTTTGGGACAAATTTGGCCTGTGAGTTCACACCCCTGTTGTACACCAGCCAGAGGCTTAGAATTCAGACAATGGGAAAACATGGAAAGCTTTCAGGTGGGCATGGTGGGGGGAAGGGAGAATGAGAAAATCTGGATTTCTGAAAGCAGAGCAGAGGATGTGCTAGGACTTGAGGATAACAAAGGCCTGAAAGAAATCAGCATGTTAATCACTCCAGTCACTACTGACATGTAACTAATCACCCTAAAACTGAGTGACTTAAAGCAACAATTAGCCCTATGACAATCAGACTTGCTTCCAAGATGGCTGACAGCAAGCACGAGAGACCCCGAGTCAGGACAAGCCCTTTCTGAATGCCTGACACATAGCAACAGTGCGAGATAATGAAATGACTGTTGTTTTAAGAAGGTTGTCAGTGAGGGCTTAAAGAAAAGTGAGGGAAATGTTCCTGGAAGCTAGAGGAAAGGAGGACCCTGTTGTGCAGTGACAGAGAGTTTAGCAACACTGACATCTACAGTAAAGTGGGAAGCGGAAATGCACCTAATGAACTCAATGATCTATCTAAAGAGATTTCCAGGCAGCCACTTAAAGTGACACCTGGGTTCTGCTCACTGCCTATAAGATGTGAGCAGAGAGAGATGAGCTAAAGAATAAACTGTTAAATATAAACCTGTTTCTCATTCCCAATCTCTCCACACATCAAACAATTCTTGAGCCAAGAAATGGTTTCAGAGCAAAAATCAAACCCAGGGTGAAACTGCACAACCTTTTAAGAATTCAGAAAGGTCTAAGGTGGTGCCTTGTAGACACCTTCAAACGTACCTAACACCTTCTGAGGATCTTAATAGTTTGTGTTGCAGAACCTCTGCATTAAATAACAGGGATTCCAAGAATCACAGGGCACTGCCCCTTAGCTGTCTCACAGGGAACCCATGGTAGACAAAGCATCTTGTGGTCATGGATCTTCACTAATGGAGTGAACCCAACAAGATTCACAGAAAACCCACTACCTTTTTTGATATCGTACTACAAAATACTGCCAAGTTAGACAAAAAGAAACAGAATACAAAATAAAAAGAGGCCTTCAGATCCTAAACTTTTGCTGGCAGGAAGCAGTCTGAGAAGGCTCCTTAGCTGCAAACACTGACTCTTTCTTGTGGAAAAAGAAGGATGGCTTAAAGAACAGAACTTGAGAGGGGAGCCAAGAGCCTTAGAAAACAGCAAAACTGGACAGAACCCTGATCAAGGAGCTGGCCACCCACGCCTGGCTAGACTCCAGAACTCCCATGGACCTGTGTGCTCCCGTTTTCCCCCTTTTGGGCAAATCTTTAAGACGTGTGTATTCCTGCCGCATCCTGAGTGTATGTCCAGCAGATATTTGTCTCTTTAGTTCACAGGCTTTAAGATTGAAAAATCAAGGAGCTGTGCCCATGGCACCAGTCCTGAGGAGCCTCCTCTGCACCCAGATCTGATTTAGAGGACAAGGTCATGATTTTGAGCCTAAGCCTGGAGCTGCCACAGGATGAAACTTTTGGAGAGTCTTAAAAGCTCAAGAGCATATTTTAGACATGGAAGAGATGTAAGTTGTTGTGGCCAGAGCGTAGATAGATAGCAAATTGTTTTTTCCAAAGATGCCCATGACAATATCTCCTGCCCCACATGTCCAAGAATCTTGCCACTTCACTACCAACAGACAGAGTCCAGTGCCCTCTCCTTGAATCTGGGTGGATTTTTGCCTTACCTATAACCAACAGAAATGAGGCAGAAGTGAGGGAAGGTCAGAAAAGGTGATGCAACATCTATCTTGCTCACTGGAATACTCAACGGTTGAAGTCTTTAAGTGCCATGTAAGCATTCCAACTGCCTTCAGACCCCTGTGCTGTGAGGTAGCCCAGACTAGCCCCCAGGTGACCTGACCATCTGGCGCAGTGGCATGACACTAGAAGCTGAACAGCCTGAATCCCTGACCCACAGAAACTGGGAGACTTACTAAAGGACTGCTGCTGTCTTCAGCCATTTGGTCTAGGGTGATGTGTTGCACAGAAATGGATGATCAGGATAACGATGGTGATAAGGGATTTACTGAATGTGTTTTCATTTTGTATACTTAGTGATTCTTTGAAAATTAATAGGTCGTATTTGGCAGCCCTTGTCATACCAGATAACAGACTCTACCACACACTTTAAGTCATGTTTTCTAATTGTGTATACTCCAGGCCTCTGAACATTCAGATTTTAATTTACACTTACAAAGTATCTCCATCTGACTATGTTATTATACACTAAAATTTACCAAGAGGAAAAATGCCCATTTCTATTAATCATAGGCAAGTGGCAAGAGCTAAATATTGGACCTTTTAGTCAGTGATTCCCATTAACATTTATTTTTTGACTTCTTGGAATTTAAAGCTCTACCAGTTCTGCTAAAATTAGGCATTTCCTTTTTCTATAATGTGAAGGAATAGAACAAAAGAATGAGGATATGAAAAAGTTCTATAGGCAATTAGAAAAAAAATTCTAGAGAAACAAAGACTTTATAATTTAATAATGATAATTAAAAATACTCAGCTAGTTTGGTGAAAGACACATTTATAGCAACTTCCTTATAATGCCTGAATATTTTCTAACGGGAAGAGAAGCAAATTTGACAAACATTGCTCTTCAGATAATGAGAATGGAATACTGTAACTTTGGAAACCCAACATGAAAGGGCAATGTCTTGAAAGAGAATGTTCTGGAAGTTGGAAGGGAACTATTCTGAGGAGGCAGCACAAAGCACAGAGAAGCAATTAGATTTCTTATTCTGCATCAGTCCTATCAAACCTCCAATATGGCATTTCCCCAAGTGAGGGCAACAAAGAACAATGGCAACAGCTAAGAGCCACGAAAGCAGAATCCAATTTTGTAACTATTGTCTTTGAAAACTAAAGCTCCTGCTGGAAAGGGTGCCAAGCTGATCTGTAACTTTAGCTAATAAAGAGAACGATAGGAACACTCTGTCCTGGTAAGACAAATAGCACAGAAGAGAAAACACACATCATGTAAGACCAAAGGAAAACGCAGAAACCAAATGTTTGGCTCCAGAGCAGAGTCGAGGTTGCTTAGGATACAGCAATAAGTTAAGAGTTAGCTTACCTGCAGAAGAAAGAGGGGTGGCGAAGAGAAAGAGAAGCACACAGCCAACCAAATATGGCTCCAGGCAGGGCTGGAACCAGAAGATTTCTGACAAGCAACAGAGAAACACACTGCGATGGTCAGTTCTAGTTGTCAGGTTGACTGTGCTAGTGCCCACAGTTACTCCCTCCAACACTAAGCTAGGCATTGCTGTGAAGGCATTTGTTAGACGTGATTAAGTCCATAATTGACTTTAAGTAAAGGGAAATTATCCTTGATAATCTGGGTGGGCCTGATTCAATACGTGGAAAAGCTTTCAGAGCTGAGCTAAGGCTTCTCTGAAGAAATTCCATCTGGGGACAACAGCTTTAGCTGTGCCCTAGAGCTCCAGCTTGCTCTTCCTGACAGCCTACCCTGGGAATGTTAGGCTTGCCTAGACCGCCCCCATAAATCAAGTAAGCCAAGTCCTTGCAATGTATCTCTTTATAGGTCTCTCCTACTGGTTCTGTTTCTCCTGTTGAAGCCTGACTGATACACTAAAATCCAGCAGCCTCACTATCGGTATTTATAAACAAAAGGCAAATTAGCTAGCAGAAGAGCAATACCCCCCATAACAGAATATGTTAATGTCTCTAAGTGAAATATTAAGAGAAACTGAACTGAAAGGACAAAAAATGAAAACTAAGATGATATGAATTACCATAACTTAAGAGAGACTAAATTCTTACCTTACAAAGACACCTGAAATAAAGATCAGGGGTTAGCTACTGGTTAAACATCATTTATGTTAGGTCTAAGAAATATAATCGACACCACCCCCTTGGAAAACCTTCTGTCAAGAACTACGTCTGCTTAGGGATTAATGACCCGAGAAAAAACCTGGAAAGACACTCAAATGCACTGATTTTTGTGGAATGGAAACTCCATTCAGACTCACAAGATGTAATATAGAAAATATTCCTAATATTCTAATTTCACTAAGATATCTGATTTTTTTCAACATACAAATGTATGCAAACATTTCAGAATAACTTTTAAATGTCACTACCAAGGGGGTTCCTTCATAAAAATTATTACTAACTGCCCTAAAGATACATTTGGTCTATTACTCAGCTTACAGTTCCTGGATAAATGGCAGCAATAGGCTCTCTGAAAAAGTAGGTCAATACATAGTCAATTTTCAGTGTGGTCTCTATTATCAAGGACCAAGTCAAGTCTATCACCTGCATAGAGAGAGATATATACATGATATGCCTCTTCCATGTGAAAAAGGAGGCACAGAAATCAGTTGCTATCCTGTCCCCCAGCAGCAGAACTTCACAGTTCCTCACTGTTGATCAGAGTGTGAGTTTCAAATAGAAACATGTTTTTATTCTTCCTGGTTAGAAAATTAATTCAAATCCATATTATGGAATAGTATGTAGCCAGTAACAAGTATCAGAGACCATCAAAATATAACAAGTAGAAAAGGCTAATAGAGAACAGCATCCACCACTGTGTAAAAGAAAATGAGGAGAGGCACACATACACATTTCTAGATATGTTCGTATATGCACATAGCATTTTGGGAAGCATTTACAGGATGTGGTAATGCCTACTGGGTTGGAGACTTTTTCACCATGTTGTACACTTCAAGGAGGCCCAATAAATAACCCTCTCTCCTCCTATCACTAAACTAACTTAGAAATCAGACCAGTAAGCATAAAAGGATCAAAAATCACCCTTATTACTTATAAAGGTGATATCTGAGATTGTGGCTTAAACACTGAGTAAACAGCCTTTCTTTCTCAGTTGAGAAACTGATCTCTAGATTTCGAAGAGACTCCCCTAGGGCTCCCCAGCGATGTTAATCAGCACATTCCTCCCTCACACCGGTGGTCCTCAGTGACCAAGGGTACCTCCCTGGGTGAGCAGGCCAGCTCCAGGAGAAAGTGAGGAAGACGGAGTGGGGCCACAGTTTTGTGCCTGATTTTTCCCTCCAAATTCACTAATCAGGTAAGTTCCTAGGCAAAGAGTGTCCTAGAATGTTTTGCTAAAGGAACATCAGGAGTGGAAAAGCAACATTCTCCCTGCCTTCTTCGTCCAGTAAAGGTTTTGCATCATTTGAATTTTTATCATTATGAGTTACACTGTCAGTCAAAACAGAAGTATCTAAAAATTAAAAACATACTTCTTTTAAAAAACACAAACAACATGGAAGCAGATAAAACAGAAAGTATAAGTAACCACTTCCTGTTTCTAAACAAGGTACAAAGATGTGACTTTCAATGGAAGGATAAGTTGCCTAATAACTTTTCAAGAACTAAAAAATGAAAAATATTTCTAAAACCTCAACATGACAATATGGTCAAATCAAGAATGTCAACTTATTTTCACCTGCATTTATTGCAATACATGTTAACAACTTAGGATTTCTAACATTTTTAATAGATGTATTCTTTGAGACAGTTTCGCTCTTGTTGCCCAGGCTGGAGGGCAATGGCGCAATCTCGGCTCACCACAACCTCCGCCTCCCAGGTCCTAGCAATTCTCCTGCCTCAGCCTCCCGAGTAGCTGGGATTACAGGCGCCCGCCACCACGCCCAGCTAACTTTGTATTTTTAGCAGAGATGGGGCTTCTCCATGTTGGTCAGGCTGGTCTCGAACTCCTGACCTCAGGTGATGCACTTGCCTTGTCCTCCCAAAGGCATGAGCCACCGCACCTGGTCTAATATTTTATTTTTATGCAACAAATTCTGGAATGAAGACTCACTGTTATAATAAGCTATTTGGTTTGGTCAATGAAACTGCCATTAAGTTTTTGAATGCATAGTAATGTAAAGATATGAGTTCATGTTTATTAATACTCTGCTTTTCCATTCCTCTCCGAGGTAGCTGAGTTTGTGTTCTTCTACATTCTGTCTACAGAATAATGGATACTGTTGTTTTTGTTAAGGTGGCATTTGCTACAAAATTCCAAAGATATTGAGAAAATGTTCTAGCATATAAGAAAATTTGGAAGTGGGAAAGCATGTATCCCGAAAGTAAGATGCAGTTACATCTGTTCTGTGTCCCTATATTTAGAGTATCCTGCATTTAGTAGGGACCAAAGATACATTTGTTGAATGAATGAATGAATGAATGAATAACAATTTTCTGCTCCCTGAAGAAGGTCTTGCCAGAGCAAACCTGCACCACAAGGAAACTTCTCCCCATCTTCCCTCATGCTTTCCCCTTAGAGAGGGATGTCAGGAGCTAGTGACATTGTATCCTAGAACTGCTGAAGGGATATGAAGAAAAAGAAAAGTAAAGAGGACTCCATTAGTTTCTGAAACCCTTTAGTTCCCCATATCCAACATAACTGAAACTCGAGCAGTCAACAGAAAACCTTGCTCTGAAACTGTTCACCTCTGTGAACCAGCACTCAACACAGACACTACTAGTGCACAACAGGTACCGTAGAAATATTAGTTGAACAAGTCAAATAAATACCCTAGGCTAAAACGTAAGACACAGGAACATTCTGGGCCAAGAGTCTCACCCTGAGACTCAAAGGCATTTTACCATGTCCTCAGAAAACAACCATCTTTTGCCATCACCGGCCTTTTCGCTGTGGGGATGTGGTTAATAGTGATGAGTATAGGGAGGCTGAGGGGCTTAATTTATTCCATCTGCTTAAGCAAAGTAGCAGCTGGTGTCAAGAAAACTCTGGGCCTTCCTCTAAGTATCTTGAAGATACTGCGAGGAAAGGCATGGTTCTAAACGCCAAATAATGACAGAGCTGATGATCAAAATAGATGGGCCCATCTGCCTCTGAGATGACATATTAACATCCTATCGTGCTGGGAATAATTCAAAGAAGCAAACAGACCCATGTTGGTTCACTAAAATCATTTTCCCCTTGTAATCAACTCATTTCACTATCATGCTGTCTGCAAAGGGCAGAGACTTCAGATGTGAGGATAGAAACACAAACAGGTGCACACACACACACACACACACACACACACACACATGATACAGCACAGACTTAAACTCTGGTTTGAAAGACTGAAGGGTCTGATTCCAGCACAAGTTTAAATTGATAGGAAAGAAGAGCCAATGACTGCATCACAAGGTCCCTATGCAGAAACATGCCTCACATTTAAACTTCTACTCCATCTCCACAGCTCACTCCACCCAAGTTATCTTCTCATGTCTCTCTCATTCAAAACTCACAAAAATATAAGGAGACAAGGAATCCCCTGAATTCCCATTGGAGGCTAGAGCCTCTGAGGGAGATGAGATAGGAACTGCCAGAAAGCTGCCCCAAGTCCTGGTGGGACAGTGTTGTCATCACACAAACTGTTTAGCTGTGGTGTCAGATTCCTCAGTTATTGGGTCAGAAAGGCAGAAAGATTATCACCCTATGTGCAGAAAGACTGACAGGTGTGACACGCTGACGTTGTGTGTCAAAATGAGAGAAAAACAGACCTTCAACTTTCTCTTCTTCTTGGCTACTACATTCATTTTTGTTACCTTTTTTTTAATGAAAATGTTCATAAATGCATAAGGTGAAAATAGGATAACAAACCTCTTTTACTCACCTTCAACATTATCAACATTTTGCCAATCTGATTTTATCTATACATTCCAACTCTTTTGCTTCAGTATTTTTAAACTAAATCCCAAACATGGTATCATTTTACCTGTAAATACTTCAGTATGCTTCTCTGATAAGGACATTTAAAAACATGATCACAATATCATTTTCCCAAAGAACAAAATCACCAATAATTCCTTAGAATCTAATATCAGTCTACGTTCAATTTTGTCCTACTGTCTCAAAAATGACTTTTTCAGTTTACTTATTCAAAACTGGATCCCCCCAAAATCCAAATGTGGTCCACACTCTGAAATCTATAACCATTGTTGTCAGGGTCTCTCTTAGAGCCATCATATCCACTTAAACAAGCTCCGATTTAGATGCTGCTGTTTCAGCCAAAAGGACAGAGTAGGAACGTCAGTGTTTTCCTATTGCTAACAGAGAACACCATCTTCACAGGGATCAGACACCTGTTCCTTACATCATCAGGACAATTCTCAGTCCTCAAGGAAAGCAATAATGGAAGCTCCACTGTAAAAATGCTCCAGACAGGAGTTTTATCTCAGGGGCAATGTCTCAACTGTGATCAAATTCAATACTAAAAAGGGCCATAAATTCTATCTTGTTAATTCATTTCATACTAACAGAAGACTGCTAGAGCAGCAAAATAAATAACACAGATTTACCTGTAAATGGTTCTCAAAGACTATGTATTCTAATTCATCTATTTTCCTAACAAGGGCCAGCCACTGATTTTAAAAACAAACAAGAAATAACATAGCTGTATATGTATATTCTCACACAGTGAATAAAGATAAAATACCGTTTAAAAAATTCAAGCTTCAGAATCCATGGTAAGATAGAGGAGAACAGGTATTGAGAAAAACTGAGTTTCACAAGTAACCCAGGTCACACTGCAGGACCTAAGCTTCTTTATCTAAGGATCTAATCCTCTCATCACATCTGCTCATCGTTAGTAAAACTAGGTATATTTGAGTACCATCATTTTTTTTTCTTTTTCTACCTAATCCCAATAAGAGTCCAATGGCCGCATTGTAGATGGCTAAAAGCAGAAGGGCAAAAGGCACTCAGAAAATTCAGAACACGGAAGAGAATCAGTTCTTGAGTTAAGAGGCTGTGTGCAGGCTACGCACTCCCAGGGTACGGAATCTTTCGCACACAATGTTCTCAGCTGTCACTCCCGTGGTTGGACACACATGTTTCTCTCTCCAGGCCACCCTCTCCTGTGATTTGCAGACATGCATATTGGTCTCCTGTGCATCTCCCCCTGGAAGCCCTGCAAGAATCTCTCGCTCAACACATTCAGAATGTTCAGCATCTTTCCCAGGAAATGTTTCCTCCCATCTTCCAAACAGTCTGTAAGTCAGAAAGCAGGGAGTCAGTCTGAGCTTTTCCATAAAGCTCTCCTTATCCTTCACCATCTTCTCAAACTCCCATTCCCATGAAAACCTTTCAAGACCTAAGCTGTACTAGTCCATTCTCATACTGCTATGAAGAAATACCCAAGACTGGGTAACTCATAAAGAAAAAGAGGTTTAATGGACTCACAGTTTCACATGGCTAGGGAGGCCTCACAATCATGGCAGAAGGCGTGGGAGGAGCTAAAGCAACATCTTACATGGCAGCAGGCACATGAGCATGTGCAAGGGAACTGCCCTTTATAAAACCATCAGATCTCATGAGACTTATTCACTGTCACAAGAACAGCATGGGAAAACCCGCCCCCATGATTCAACTACCTCCCAACGGGTCCCCATGGATTATGGGAGCTACAATTCAAGATGAGATTTGGGTGGGGACACAGCCAAACCATAAGTCATGTCAACCCTGCCTCCTAAATATCTCTTCTACCTATTCTCTGCCTGCTCTGCCTTTGTTCCCACCTATCCTCACTTGCACAGCACAGTCTGCCAACTACCAGTCCACCAACCTGACCCCTGCTTCCAGTCTTATCCCTCTAAACCACAACACACTGCCACACTGCTGCCTCAGAGCTCTCTCTAAAGGCAAACTGGTCGCTGCATGTCTCTACTGAAATTCTTATCACAGCTCCTCATTTGTGGGTGGTGGGGGGAAAGCCCAATCTCCTCATCAAGACACAGGGACACTTTTTGCTCTGGCTCCTGCCCACCTCTGCATATCTTCCCTCTATTTCAATCACACAAACAATTACTCTCCAACACATTTGCAAGTACTTGCCCATGCTGGTCCCTCCACCTGAGATGGGCCTCCTTGCCTCTAGGGAAGGAAGACTACCACATATCTTACACAGGACAACTATAGGACCAAGTCCTTCACAGGGTCCTCCCCAGCCCTCCCCAGCATGCTGTGCGCCATTCCAACCCAGCATTCATCCTGATGCTCAGTGGTTGTTTCCAGGCCAAGTCCTCCCCTGATCTGTGGGGACCACTACCCTCCCAGTCATCCAGGCTCAAATTCACACTGCCAACTTTCATTCTTCTCTTGGGTTACTTACAGAGTGAGTCTTATCTCTGTAGCCTCGACACAGTCCTGGTACTTGATATATGAACAATAAATGTGCACCAAATGAAAAGTTGTCTTTGTGCATTTTCAATATTTTTCTCCCCCTCCACACTGAACTTTTGAATAGACACAGGTCTCCACTGACCTCAGAAGCCTCTGCACATCCCAAGCTATGTGTGTCTTCCTGCCCTTTACAACCAAACTTTGAAAAATCACCCACTTGCACTTCTTCATCCATTCACTCATTAATTCTGACTGTCCAACTTTTTCTCTTACTATGAAAAACAAGCTAAATCCAATGTCCTTTTGTGAGTCTTCATTTTCCTTCACCTCTCTGCAGCATTCAGAACTGCTGACCACCTTCACCTTCCTGGTTCCTGGGACAGCACTTTCTTTTCCTCCTCTCATAGTTCTCTGCATCCTCCACTTGTTCCTGTGACTGTTCCCCCAGGACTCCCCAGGGCTCCTTTGTTCTCTCTGTCATGTCCTCTGTGGCAATCTTATTACATGGCTTCCACAATCACCTCCATTGAGAAGACACCTTCAAACGGAAATCCCAATGGAACTTCCAACTCAAATGCGTCCTAATGAACTCCTGATCTTCCCTGCAAACCAGGCCCCCTCCAGTTCCCACCAGTTTCAGAAAAGGTACTACCATCCTCCTATTCATACTGCCTCAAATCCTTCCAGTTGTCTTCCCCCTTCTGTTTTGCCTTCCATGTCCAATCACTTACTAGGCTATGCCAAGTCTAGCACTTCAATGTCACTTGTCCCCTGTCCTATGCCTCTGCCACAGTTCTAGTACAGACCCCCATCACCTCAGGCCTAGCTGTCTTTAACAGCTTCTTCCAGCCTGATCTCCTCCTTCAAACTGTCCTCTACTGTTCACTCCTGAGCCAACTTCTACAGTTGCTTCTCTGCCTACAAGGCACCTGTCATGGGCTCCTTACAGCTCACAGCACCGCATCCCAACCCCATGGCTTAAGATCTAAGGCTTCCACACTCTGGACTCGATCCAGCTTTACAACCTAACTTCCTACTGCATTTTTTCATGCAAGCTTTATTCTAGCCCAGTTCTCAAATATGCTTGATCATAAAATTCACCTAGGTCATGTGTTAAAAATGCAGATTTCTGAGTTCTACCCAACACTCACTAAGGAAAGACCTCCAAAGAGGTCTAAAGAACAATCTTCAATTCTCTGATTCAATGATCTACAATTAGTCTCCCAGAACACTTTTTTTCCCCTTCAATCACAAATAAAATTGTGGCATTGAAGGGGAAAAAAAGGAAGAAAAGAACACTCAAATCCCCACTATCATCAAAAGCCTGCGCTGAATCTGCTAGCCACTCGTGTATCTCTTTCTTTTTTTTTTTTTTTTTTTTTAAGACGGAGTCTTGCTCTGTCGCCCAGGCTGGAGTGCAGTGGCGCGATCTCAGCTCACTGCAAGCTCCGCCTCCTGGGTTCACGCCATTATCCTGCTTCAGCCTCCCGGGTAGCTGGGACTACAGGGTATCTCTTTCTTTAATCACCAAACTTCCTCAGAAATCACCTATGACCTTCCTATATACATAAATGTCTACCAAGATGACGACTATGCTTTGCTTTTCTTTTGTTGAAAGACAAATCCCCAATTATGTTGACAATGAAATAAGAAAATCAATTTAGAATCTGGGACTAAGGATCTTAAATCAATAGGTGTTATTTTCCCAAGAAAAATAACTGAAGCAGAAACCTTAATATCCATATGCCTATTGCATTTTAAAAAGCATTAATTATAATATCTATATAATTGCTAAACATAGGGTTACAGTGTTCAGGTTCATGTAGTTTTATATTTTCATACCACACACACAAATATATGTTTTTGCAATCTAACTGCATTACCTATTTTAAGTTATATTGGCTGAGATTTTTTTTTCAATTTAAAATTGATTCGTGTTTATTACAGAGAATTTAGAAAATAAAGACTAGAACAAGGATGTGATTAGAATCCTTCCACTGGGTGACAGTACAGCACAGTGTTTACCAACAAAAGGCCTCTGCATGAGACTTTGACACTAAGTTCCAACCTGACTGCTTGCTAGTCATCATGACTTAACCACGAAGTCTCAGTCTCTTCACCTGTAACACACGGTGATAATACCTACCTCATCAGGTTATTATGCAGATAAATGAGATCATGTGGGTGAAACAGTCCAGTACCCACAACTTAGTATGTGTTCAACAATTGCTGATTTGTACTGAATTCTACCCTGGAAAAACAAAACCCAGGTGTCTCCTCAGCTTCAAAAACTCTCAGGGAATGAATCCCTGTGTCCTACACCCAAGTATGTGGAATTTAAGAACCTGCTGTGGACCTACCTATTTTCTTAGAAATATGCAGCTGAATATAACCATTTTTGGATATTTGAGATCATTATGTACTCTATGATAAGTGAATGGATGAAGACATCAGGCCACAATTTTTCCCTAAGCTCTCCATACAGGAAGAAAAATGTAGCATTCAGGTCATAATGGTATAATGAGATTTGAAGTATTAATGATATAATGTCTGAGTTAAAGATAAACTTCCTTATGAAACTTGTTCCATATTTATATTCTGAATTATACTGTTATAAATAGATAGGCTAAATCAATAAGCATAGAAAAAAAAACCTGCCTTTCAATGGGTATAAACGTGCCCAAAATACTATAGGGGAGAGAAGAAAACGCTATTAATTTACTGTTCTATGGCCCTTTCTTAACACATACTACTATGGGTCCTTGTCCTACTAAACTTCATTTCCTAGCACAACCCAGGGTTAAAGTTGGCAAGTACCACCAAGTATATCACTTTTACCAACACTCTGAAACAATTCAGGCAATACACCACACTTGGAGATGACTGCTTTGAAAATGCCAGAGTTCTACTACATCATGGCTGTTTTTTAGTCACTCAAATCCTTTAATATTTCAGACAGATGTGGTATGTAAAGTGCCCCTTGTGCAAATGCACAGTTGACTGTATTTGTTCATGTATCCATTTTACCAAGTCTTAGGCATTGCCACACCTTTTCATGGAGGAGCCCACCTCATTTAGGTTCTACAGGGGAGGACTTTATCTGACTTGCTCATCCCTGAATCCCCAGCACCTGGCTCACTAACTGGCCCATTCCAGGTGTTCAACTGAGACTAGTAGAATGGCTGGGCATGGTGGTTCACACCTGTAATCCCAGTACTTTGGGAGGATGAGGCAGGAGAATGGCTTGAGGCAAGGAGATTGAGACACACCTGAGCAACACAGCCAGACCTCATCTCCCCCCACACCCCATCCCACACACATAATTAGCCGTGCATGATGGTGCATGCCTGTAGTCCCAGTTACTCAGAAGGCTCAGGTGGGAGGATCCCTTGAGGCCAGGAGTGCACGCTTCAGTGAGCTATGATCATGCCACTGCATTCCAGCCTGCGTGACAGAGCAAAATCCTGTCTCAAAAACAAAAAAAAAAAAAAGAAGACGAAGAAGACTAGTGGAATAAACGGAATCAACTATTACATGCTTGAATTTATCCAAGTATATCATGTGATTGTTATAGAACATTTGACTGAATCACAGCCTTTAAAGGAACTAAAAGGTAAAAATATTTAGCAGTTATTAAATACTTCCTGTGTGCTTTTAATTTTACAAGAGCCACACAAATTGGTATTACAGATAGAGTCTGTAAAACAGAGTCTAATAGAAGCTAAATGATTTTCTAGAAGCCTCATAGCAAACGAACACTAACCCTTTCTTAGAAATCATATGGGGTAAGTGAAACAACTGTGTAAAACAATACTAAGTAATCACTAGATTTACTCTTCTTTATCATTCTTCTTTAGTCAAATATGCAATCTGGAATAGCGCCTAGCTAGTGCCTAGCATATTTTCGGCACCCAAGAAATATTTGAGGATTTTTAAAATCAAGTGCACATGTACTTTTAATAATCAAATATCTGTTGCATGGGAAGGGGGTGAGAGAAGACAACTGCAAGTGCCCATATTCTCCTTCAAGGTCAGCACAATCATTTTATACTAGCGTCCTTTACTTCCCTCTAAAGGAAGATGAGAAATCCGTATCACAAGGTGGTTTTATACCTATTGCACTTTACCATATGCTACCCTGGCCAGCTTCTTACAGCAACAAAAGAGCGGCCCCACTGCCTCCCAGATGCTGAACGTGATCAGTTATTGCACCACGTATGCCTGACTGGGATACGGTCAAAGCCACAATGTCAAGTGCAGCCCAATAAGCATCCGTGACACCCTATTGACAGGGGCTGCTTGTCCTGCCTCTCCCACACCTCCATCTGAACTGTGCTATCCCCTGCTTTTATTTTCTGCTCCCATTTTTGCCATCTGCAGCTGACTGTTGTCACTCTGCTACCAAACTCTGGGGCTCCTTTCCTCCTTTCTTTTCTTGTCTCCTCTTCCTAACATTGCCTTTAAGTCAAAAAGTGACGGCATAAGATTGTGTTTTTCAAAATAATAAAAAAAAAATCCCATCTCACACACTCTTCCAACAATGTATTAATATCATTGACACTCTACTACTGATGGGTAGAACCTATTGTTCCCTCCCCGCCAATCTGGCGAAGCCTGTAACAACACCAGAAGTGGAGCTACGTGGCTTCCAAGGCTCCGTCATACCAGGCCATAGAGCATTGCCTGGTCTCCTTAGGAAGCTCACTCTTGGAATCCAGTGACTACACTGTAAGGAGGAGAGATCATGTGGAGAGGTCAGGTGTAGGTGTCCAGCTGACATCTCAGTTGAGGTCCCAGCAAATGGCTATCTACAATTGCCTCCAGCCATGTGAGTGGCAAGCCTTGAGAAGCCACCAGTCACTCACAGGTACAACGCCATGAGAGAGCCCATGCAAAGGCTGCCCAGCTCAGCCCAGCCAAGCCCCAGAACCAAGAGAGACAATAATAAAATGGCTGTTGCTGAGCTAAGCCAATAAGTGATGGGGTGATTCATTATGCAGCAATAGATAATGATCATCAATAGTGAACTAATACATCAGAGTGTTTCTTAACATCTAGAGAGCGAAATCACCAATCCAAACACAAAAGGGGTTGTTAGGTTGAAGAGTTAACTTCTTTGTTAGCTTTTTATTAATGTTTATTACCAAGTGGCTACTTTTATGGTCCCAAGAAGAGTCCTATGGCTTCATTCCCTAACTACTTCTAAGAAAAGAAAGCTATTCTGGAAACCTGGGTATTCCTGACATCTAATTATCAGAAAGCTTAAATTTTACCATAGTATTTGTCAATAACCTCAGCTGTACCTATAGGGGACCAAACTTTTGACAATGTAAGTTAAACATACATGTTTTTCAGGTTGTGACAATTCATACACTTCTTAACACCAGTTTAGAGAAAATTAATATAATTCAAGTTATACAAAATCTTGTCAGTTTCACTGAATTGAGAATACCAGGTTGATACTGACCTTCAGAATTTCTTCATGTCACAATAATTTGGCAATGCCCATGTGCAGTGAACAAAAAAGCATGTTTTTAGCAGCATAACAAAAACATACCAGAAAAAAACCATAATAGGAGACCCAAATTTCACTTCATAGCAACAATGCAATTTCAAAAAGTTATGCCAGGCTTGCTACTGAGAAAACTCAAGAGACAAGAGTCTCCATTGCTTTTGAAATGGAGACCCATCTGTCCAGCCTATTTCAAGTGGAACAATTTGAAAGTCAAAGGGCCAAAGACAGGCCACATGGGGAAAAAAAGGAAAAAAGCAAAATGCCTGGGTAATTCTTAGCTGGGCTAATAAGTATCTCAAAAGTCAATAGCAGGCAGGGCCACGAATCAATTTTTCATACAGTTTATCATGGCTAATTACAAGTTTTGCAGACTATTTCAAGGTTTATATTGCACTCACAATTGGGAAACTTGAAAATCATTACAGCAGAAAGGCTCAAGACCAAAGGAAGGCCAATCAAAGTCAAAACGATGGAGGGTCACATTCGAAAAAAAAGTAGATGCCTTGCCAGCCTTTGTAACTGTGCTGCTGGGGGAGAGCGTGCAGATTTAGACTGCAGGGGATCTGGGTTCTAGTTTAGCCAAAGGTAACCACATGATCAGGATACGTCATTTTACCTCTCTGAGCCTCAGTGTCTTCATTTATTTATTTATTTAGTTAGTTAGTTTTAAAGATGAGGCCTGGGCTATGTTACCCAGGCTGGTCTCGAACTCCTGGGCTCAAGCGATCCTCCTGCCACGGCCTCCCAAAGTGTAGGGATTACAGGTGTGAGTCACCTCACTCAGCCTTTTCATTTGTCTAATTAAACTAAAGAGCTTCTGCATGGGAAAAGAAACTAGCATCAGAGTGAATAGGCAACCTACAGAATGGGAGAAAATTTTTGCAATCTATCCATCTGACAAAGGGCTAATATCCAGAATCTACAAAAAACTTAATGCTGGAGAGGATGTGGAGAAGTAGGAACTCTTTTACACTGTTGGTGGGAGTGTAAATTAGTTCAAGCATTGTGGAAGACAGTGTGGTGATTCCTCAAGGATCTAGAACCAGAAACACAATTTGACCCAGCAATCCCATTACTGGGTATATACCCAAAGGATTATAAATCATACTACTATAAAGACACATGCACATGTATGTTTATTGTGGCACTATTCACAATAGCAAAGACTTGGAACCAACCCAAATGCCCATCAATGACAGACTGGTTAAAGAAAATGTGGCACATATACACCATGGAATACTATGCAGCCATAAAAAGGAATGAGTTCATGTCCTTTGCAGCGACACAGATGAAGCTGGAAACCATCATTCTCAGCAAACTAACACAGGAACAGAAAACCAAACACTGCAGGTTCTCACTCATAAGTGGGAGTTGAACAATGAGAACACTTGGACACAGGGAGGGGAACATCACACACCAGGGCTTGTCGGGGGTTAGGGGCAAGGGGAGGGATAGCATTAGGAGAAATACCTAATGTAGATGATGGGTTGATGGGTGCAGCAAACCACCATGGCACATGTATACCTATGTAACAAATCTGCACGTTCTGTACATGTATCCCAGAACTTAAAGTATAATAAAAAGAAAAAGAAAAAGCCTACATTTGAGAGCTTACTTGGTATACTACTTACTGCACTACACTAAGAACTGTGCTATGTTTTTAAAAAATATATACATTGGCCAGGCGCTGTGGCTCACACCTGTAATCCCAGCACTTTGGGAGGATGAGGCAGGTGGATCACTTGAGGCCAAGAGTTCAAGACCAGACTGGCCAACATGGTGAAACCCCATCTCTACTAAACATACAAAAATTAGCCAGGCATGGTGGCGTGCACCTATAGTCCCAGCTACTCTGGAGGCTGGGACACATTAATTGCTTGAACCTGGGAGGCAGAGGCTGCAGGGGGCCGAGATCATGCCACTGCACTCCAGCCTGGGCAACCGAGCAAGACTCTGTCTCAAAAAAAATAAAAACAAAAAAATTAAAATAAAATATATACATTTTTATTGAGAGATAATCCACCGTAAAACTCAACTATGTAAAATGGGAATGTCAATTGTTAGTATATTCACAGAATTGTGCAACCATCACCACAATCAATTTTAGAACATTGCTGTCACCCCAAAAAGAAACTCCTATCCCCATTAGCAGTTATGCCCCAATTTCCCCCTACCCACCAGCCCTAGGCAACCATTAATCTACTTCTATCTCTATGGATTTGCCTGTTTTGGGTATTTCACATAAACGGAATCATCCAATATGGGTCTTTCTTTCCATTCATTAGTTGATGACAGTTGGGTTGTGTCCACTTTGGGCTACTATGGATAATACTGCCTTGAACATTCATGTACACTTTTTTTTTTTTAATGGACATAACCTTCTCATTTCTCTTCCATTTGTACCTAGAAGTAGAATTTCTGGGCCATATGCTAACCTTCTGAGGAAATGCCAGACTGTCTTCCAAAGTGGCTGCACCATTTTATACTCCCACCAGCATGGGAGGGTTCCAGTTCTTCCACATCCTCAGCAACACTTGCTTTTGTCCATCTTTTTTATTAGTGCCATCCTAGCGGGTATGAGGTAGTATCCTGTTGTGATTTTCATTTGCATTTCCCTCCCTTGCATGATCTTATGAGGTAAAAACCAATCCGTATTCCTGTTGGGTATACAAGGAAACTGGATTGGAAAGGTTCAGTGACTGATTAAAGATAAAAGTCATATGCAGATTCTGCACTCTCCAGAGCCCATTTCAATGCACAACTACAAGGTCTCACAAATTCTGAGAAGGCTGTACAAGCCAGCCCTTCAAGATTCTTCCAGCTATGACATTCTGGGACCATGAATTTATACTGTTTAAAAATCTCTTCTCAGCCAGGTGCGGTGGCTCACGCCTGTAATCCCAGCACTTTGGGAGGCCAAGGCGGGCAGATTATGAGGTAAGGAGATTGAGACCTTCCTGGCTAACACGGTGAAACCCCGTCTCTACTAAAAATACAAAAAAAATTAGTCTGTGTGGTGGTGGGCACCTGTAGTCCCAGCTACTCGGGAGGCTGAGGCAGGAGAATGGCATGAACCTGGGAGGCGGAGCTTGTAGTGAGCCGAGATTGCACCACTGCACTCCAGCCTGGGCGACAGAGCGAGAATCCGTCTCAAAAAAAAAAAAAAAAAAAAAAAAAAATCTCTTCTCTGGGTGAATTTTCTCTTTGGATTCAATATGAGGACTATTTGGACTCCTTCTGTGTAGGTTTGTGTTCCAATCACAGGGATGATGAGGCTACATCCCTGTCACACTGGCTCAGGGTCACATCTGAGGTCTACCTTGAGCAAGTATACTGAACTTAATATTTTGGCTGCACCAGAAAAAATCACCCATATTCAAGCATTCTGGACTGCTGATGATGACAATTTCATGTTTCATGTGTATTTCGTAAACTAATCTCACTCCTGGCTTTCTATTTACTTTCTTATCCTTATGTTCCTTTACCTTCCTTTTTGCATTTATCAAATAAATTTTACCCAGCTACACTGTTTGCATCTTTGTAAGCCATCTCGAATCTTTTCTGAAATAGAGTAGTAAAGAAATAAACACATCAAAATGTTTTCAAGTAGGCTTCAAAATAGCCCACAGCTGCGGACCCTTTCATTAGACTGTGTATTTTCCTAAGCAAACTATTCTCCAAGAAACAGAAAACATTGCCCTTCTTTGTACCTTAGTAGGAGGGAAAATGCTTTTATATTCTAAATTACACAAGCGTTCCAAAATAATTTGGGGAAAGAGAAAGATAGTTAGGGCCCAGCAGGATAAAGGAAGAAAGCAATGATTCTTTGCACATTCATGAATACATGGAAAGGTTATTTCTCTTAGACTATCTCTTTAACATTTTTTTTCTTTTATATATGTGTAAGATTTCTCAACACTTTTTGATGGCTGAGTGGTTGGTACCGGAGGCTATGAATACCAATTTGAATTTGACAGCTTCCTAAGAAAAAGGCTCAACATTTCTGTAAACTTTCTTCTCTTTCATAATTACTTATTTAGATCTCACAATCTGTGTATCCACACTTTAAAACAGTTCTTTCATTTCTAAGACTTTAACTTATCTAAAGAGTTAGGCACTAATGCCAAAAGTTGTATTCACTCAGACAAAAAACTATAAACCACAAATGTCAATCAGTTCAGCACTGGTTGAACTATGGTATGTGCATAGAAACAGCTACCATATAGCCATTAAGAATTATATAAAACCACACCAGCCGACATGGGGAAAGGTCTAAGAAAAGCAAGGTACCCAATAGTCAGAATAGTATAAGGTCACGTGTAAAACTGTGCACACCTATCTGGGGATATATATGTACATACATTCATAAAGAGATGGCTGAAAGGATGTGTAATGAAACACTAAGAGTAATTATTCCTGGATGGCAGTATTTGAGGGAAGGTTTACATATCTGAGCACTTTTATTTACCAGTTGATTTTTTCTCATAATAAGTATTATTTTTACCAGAAGAATAAATCTATTTTCCTCTAATCATTAGGAAAAAAAATCCCACAACATGCAAAACACTGGCCTAGTCATCAAGCAGGAACTCACAACGAGAAAAAGACATTGCCAAAGAAATCATTATTGCAAGTAGTATAAGATTGTCAAAGTGAGTACAGTGTGAATACACCACAAAAATTCAGAAAAGAAAAGCAACAGGAACTGTGAAGGTGTGAGCCCATAGGGGGAGTTACATGTGTGTATGTATGTGTGTTCACCTGCACATGCTTAGGGGTGGGTAGGATAGAAGGTATAGAATGGAATGGAACGAAAGAATATTTTCAGAAAATGAGTGTAGGGGTAAAAATCTACATCATGTTTTCCAGGGCCACTAATTAGGGCTTCATTGTAGCTGAAGCTTACCATTCTGATTGGTGAGTAGTAAGAGATGAGGGTTTTAAAAACCATGACATTCTGGAAGACAATTTGCCAGTATCTACCCAAATTACAAATGTATATACCCTTTGACCTTGCATTTCCAGTTTGAAAAAGCTAAACACATGCAAAATGACACATACACAAGAATAATTAATGAAGCAATTGTTTGTAATTGCAAACATTTGGAAACACCTAGATGTCCAACAAGGGACAGGTTAAATAAATTATAGTATATCCTACCCAGTAGTACATTAGGTAGTAACAAAAAGGAATGAGGAAATCATGTACAGATGTGGAAATATAATCAGTGGAAAAAAAGCAAGACAAAGAACTGCACAGTACATTACCTTTTGGAGTTAAAATGAATAAATACTAAGACTGTGTGTTCATATTTGAGCAGATAAACAACATGTGAAGAACAATTTCAAAAAGGTGATCCTGACAGTGGTTAGGCAGGTTGAATTTTCAAAGCACTTCTTTTTTTATAACCTCTAGCTTTTGCCTGAAAGTTTGTTAGTATGAGAATGAAAGAGAACTCAGTCCACCATACTCAGTCTGATGAACTTCACAGCTTCTCCACACTCTCCTCCAACCTAATCTTCACTGGGAACAAAAGGCCTGCGCTCTCTTAGGGACAAAATAACTCAATGATCAACAAACTCAGAACAAGCTCCAGACCATGCAGGTAACTGGAAGTCATTTGATAAAATAACAAAGTCTGTAGATCAGACACAATCTGAAAGGCAGGCTCCCTTGTTTCAGGGGGCCCACTTCAGAAAATTCCCACAGTGTGATGTTATCTAATTGGCATAGGAAGAAAGGGCCTTGTGAAAGGGAGCCTGGGCTCGAAAGTCAATTTCAAATGCAAGCTCAGGCGGACAAGGTGCAGCTGTACACCCTGGAAAATTAAAGGGAAAATGTTAAATAAGCAAACACCATTTCTTAAAGAAGCTTATATCCATAGGAAATACCAATTGTGTATTTTAGAAGGATTGCATGCACATTTAATTGAGATTTTTAAAGCCAGAGTTTCAGGATTAATAACCAAAAGGGCAAGACCTTGTGTGAAAAATGACTCCAATTCTGGGAGAAATGAAATTGGCTGTGCCCTACTGAAGGGCTATATTTATTCCAGAACTTCACTTTAGCACTGAAATTCAAGATAAGAACTCTTGTGTTCCTTAAAGAACAATGAGGGTTTCATTTAAGGCAGGGTTACCTTGCAGTCCTAGTGTACAAACCCTGAAAACAGGAATACATCATGACTCCTACATATACATTTTGAAACGAAGCCTTGCTCTGTCGCCAGACTGGAGTGCAGTGGCGCAATCTCAGCTCACTGCAAACTCCGCCTCCCAGATGCAAATGATTCTCCTGCCTCAGCCTCCTGAGTAGCTGGGACTACAGATGCGCACCACCATGCGCAGCTAATTGACTCCAGTATGTTTTTAAAGTAATGATACTCAGTCAGGAGGCAAGATTGCAACAACTGCTTCTGTACAAATCCCTGCTCTAACACTTACCAGATGTGAGCCTCTGGATAAATTACTTACATTTTATGCACCTCAGTTTTCTCATCTGCAATTCTGAGATATAACAGTATCTACCTTATAGGGATTCTGTGATGATTCAATGAAAAGATATTGATCAAGCACTTGGCGCAATCTTTGACTTAGTTTAAACTTAATAATTATTGTTATTACTTGTGTTACTGTTATAGCTATTATTCATACCTCTTCTCCTATTGGCTATATATACATATATTAAAACTAAAATTTAAAAGAACAGATTATGTACTATATTAGTTACATGTGGGGTACAGCTTCAAATATAATCCAGGCTGGGCACAGTGGCTCATTACCTATAATCCCAGCACTTTGGGAGGCCAAGGCAGGAGGATCGCTTGAGCTCAGTAGTTGGAGAACAGCCTGGGCAACATAGAGAAACCCCATCTCTACAAAATGTACCAAAAAATTAGCTGGGCGTGGTGGTGCGCATCTGTAGTCTCAGCTACTCTGGAGACTGAGGTGGAAGGGTGGTTTGAGCCCAGGAAGTCAAGGCTGCAGTGAGCCATGTTCACACCACTGCACTCCAGCCTGGGTTACAAAGTGAGAACCTGTCTCAAAGAAAAAACATTTATGTAGGCATACATATATGTCTACATAAATACGTATGTATGTATTATGTGTATATATAGTATGTGGATATAATCTAGAACTACAGGGAATACATAATATAAAACTCATTCAAGCAAAACTTGTTAATCAAAAAATGTTTTGAAGATTGCTATTTTTATAACAGACTAGTCTCCTGGAGAAGGGTGGTTGCTTCATGTCACGTAATTTTAAATTTAAAAAATCATCTCGGTTATTTTACAACAAACATCTACTTAGCATTAATGGCACTGCTTACAAAATACTTCCTGCTTTTAAAGTAATCATTGGTTAACTTCATAGCTATTAAATCGAAAGTCAGAAGGTGACTGCGATTTTATCCTCAGGTGTTATTCTCAAATATTCTCAACTTTGCTTTCTTCTGGTCCTAATTCCCATACGAATAACTTCACAACATGATGAATGGGTCTTATAAAAACCTTTAGTCTTGAATTAGAGGACTTTTCTGTAACACACCTTGATGCAGGGAAATACTTTGAAAGGTTTGGGAATTTGGAGTTTCCCAGAAGGATGTCTAACCTCACTTGTCACGTGCCTTCTTGAAAGAAGAAAATACCTCTCCTAAAAGATGTTAGGATAATTATATTTAGTGCATGACAAGCACCATTTCTGTTTGCCATCCTCTGTAAAGCACTTAAATATGGAATTAGCTCAAATATCTCTTATCAGGGAATTGCCATCACATAAAGGAAGTCTGGACTGACTCATTATTTGACGTTAAAAATATCATTTCACATCTATTTAACTTTGTAAGACACAGACCACCCCATAAATAGCCAGCCTTTTCTCTGCTTCACAGGTACACTGAAGAGTAAAATGAAAATGCATGGGAATATGACCCAAACTCTGGGACATTATGGGAAAATTTACTCATTTTCACATTCCCTATTAATTCACCAAGTGGTAATAGCTACTGTAACACTGTTCATAGTGACTGTGTCCTCTGACAACACATGTGAAAAATGTTTATAGTGTCCTAAACTTTGGGTAAAGAGCTCAAGAATCACTCACTTTATACGGACACCTGCTTTCGCATCACTAATGGCATTTACCGAGGAATCCAGTTAGTGATTCTCAACGTGTATGGTCAAATCATTTCCAAGCCAACCAAATTTTAAATGTTCTCATCCTAATTCCAAAACAACTGTTTCAAAAACCCTGGCAAAATTCTACTTACTACAGAATATGTATGACATTCTAAATTGTATACTGGAACAACAAGCTTTCTAAAATGTTTTCTGGGGTTATTAAGCCTAAAGCATAACTGCTGTAATTGTGATTACCTCTATGTCAAGAGCACAGTTTGGGAGATGTCTTGACTCGACGGTATACCAACTTGTGACAAACTTTTGAAAAACTGCCTTTCTCCAGTGTTCTCTCACTGCAGGCAAGAAACAACATAGGCTGGGTACAGTGAATGATGCCTGTAATCCCAGCACTTGGAATGGGAAGATCGCTTGAGCCCGGGAGTTCAAGATCAGCCTGGGCAACATGGCGAAACCCTGTTTCTACAAAAAATACAAAAATTAGCCGGGCGTAGTGGCATGCACCTGTAGTCCTAGCTACCTGGGAGGCTGAGGTGGCAGGATCACTTGAGACTGGGAGGTCAAGAGTGCAGTGAGCCATGACTGCACCACTGCACTCCAACCTGGGTGACGGAGCGAGACCCTGTCTCAAAATTTAAAAAAGAAAAGAAAATAAAAAAAAAAAGAAACGATGGGGTACTTTTGCTAATGTTCCAGAATTTCACAGACATGGAGTCCATAAAGGTCATTCCCCCCTTCAGCAGGCCTCTTGTTTGGTCTGTCATAGGTAAGAAATCTGTACTAAACTCACTAACCCTTCTCAATGAATCGATAAGCAATATTCACGCATATTTCAATTCATCTTGCCAACACCTCATTTCTAACATATCATCAGTTTAGAAGTGCATTTTGCATAGGAACACTATCTACTTTAATTCCAAGGGAAGTACAAACCATCACACTTCATGCTTTAAGAAAAAGACAACAAAAGCTAAATTTGCTGCACTGTAAATTTAGTGTACTAGGCACTAACTTAATCCTTGTGGAGTGTCCCATTTAATAGTCGTAACAACTCAATGTGTAGGTACTGTTACCACCCTACTTTTCAGTTGAGGAAACTGAGCTTTGAAGAGGTTAGGTACCTTGCCCTTTGTTGAACCTCTACTGAACAGAGTGTCATGACTGGAACCTTGGAAGTCTGACTCTTCATGTTGTTGCGATGTAATATTCAACATATACAAACAACATATATTTATATATGTAAGTAATGAACTGGAACAATAACACCCAACTTAAAATATTGCTACATGGCACATACCCTAGCCTCAGTCACTACCATGAATTTTGTGTTTATCATTTACCTGCTTTTAAAAAATATCATCTCAAATGTATATCCTAAAATAGGACATCACTTAGTGTTATTTTTTAGCTTTACAAAAATAGTATCACTCTGACTACAGTCTTCTATAGTTTGCTCTTTTTCACTCAGTATTACATTTCTGAAAGTCATCTATGCTGTTCATTTTCGCTGCTGTATGATACTCTAATGTGTGGATAGACAGCATTTACTCATTCTCCTCTGGGCTATTTTCTTGAGTTTATACATTGTTGTTTTGAAAATTATTGCAAACATCTGCTGGCATGGTGTGCAAAAGTTTCTCTGGATATGGATTCTCGAAGCGTAAAATTGTGGGGCTACAGGATACAGAAATAACTTTTACAGGAAGGTGCCACATTCTTGTCCAAATTGGTTGTGCCAGTTTTGCCAGTTTTCACTACTACCAGCTGTTATAAGAGATGTGACAAGTCTACATCCTGACCAAAATATGGTATTACCAGGCCTCTTAATTTTTGCTGATCAATTAGGGGTAAAATGGAACATGTTTTCTGATATACATTTTCTTAAATACTAATGATGCTGCACATCCTTTGATATAATCCTGAGCCATTCATATTTCTTCCTCAGGGAAGTACCTGTTTTTTGTGTGTTTATGTTCATTTTTCTACTGATTTGAAGAAGTTCTTTATTTCAGATGCCAATCATTTGTTGGCTGTATGCCTTAAAAATGTCTTTTCCCAGTTTGAGGTTTGTCTTTCTATTACATTAACGGTATCCTCTGATAAACAGTTGTCCTTAATTTCAATGCGTGTCACTTTAACAGTCTTTTCTTTTATAGATAGACCCTTTGACTCTTATTTAAAAATATCTGAGCTCCAAAGCAATAGGTTTTCTTTATCTAAACGATTTAAAGTTTTGCCTGTTACATTAAGTGTCTAATCTGTTAGGAATGAAGTTATATGTATGTATGCTGTGAGATTAAAATATTTATTTATTTTTGTTTATTTATTTTTGAAGACAAGGTCTTGCTCTGTCACCCAGGCTGCAGTGTAGTGGTACAATCAGATCTTACTGTAACCTAAAACTCCTGGACTCAAGCAATCCTCCTTCCTCAGCCTTCCCAGTAGCTAGGACCATAAGGATATGCCACCATGCCTGGCTAATTTTTTATTTTTATTTTTTGTAGAGATGCGGTCTCGCTATGTTGCCCAGGGTAGTTTCAAACTCCTGGCCTCAAGAGATCCTCCTGCCTTAGCCTCCCAAAGTGCTAGGACTAAAGGCATGAGTCACTGTGCCTTGCCAATAATTATTTTTCATATAGATTGTATATCTCATCTCGGAACTATTACTTAACAGAATAGTTCCTTCTTTTTTCCACACAGATCTATAATACATCCCTGTCATACATCAAGTTTTCCTTATACCTGAGGGTCTACTTCTGGGTTCTTTATTTGATTCCCTTTATCATTTGTCTATCCCTAATGTCACAATGTTTTATTGAGTTACACTGTATATTCTTGAGCCTAAAATCTTCAAATAAATTTTAGAATCAGCTTGTTGAGTTTCTCAAAAACCTTTGTGGAAAGTCTAATTTGGAACAGCATTGACTCTATCAATCAATTTGGGGATAAATGGTGTCCTTCCTATATTGAGTCTTCTTATCCATGAGCAAAGTTTTTCTGTTATTTATTAGGTTTTCTTCAATGTCTTCCAATAAATTTTATACTTTTTCTGCCTAAAATTCTTATATACCTTTTGTTAGATTTATTTAATAAAAACTACAAATAATAAAAACCTGGTCTTATAGGACTACTCATCTTTCTATTTTTTCACTTGTCTCAGTTTTGGTAAGTTATATTTTTCTTAAAATTTATCCATCTTGTCTAGACATTTGGCATACAGTAATTCATAGTTCATTATAGGGTTCTAAAAATCTCTGTTGAAGCTATAATTTATTTGCAATATCCTTTTGGTTGTTGTTTGAAATTTCACTAATTTTTGTTATTCATACCTTTATCAACTTCCTTCCACTTTCTTCAGATTAAGATTGTTCTTTTCTAATTCAAGTTAGATGTTTAGCTTGTTAATTTTCATTTTCCATCTTCCTGAAAGTTATTTTAATACAGGCCCATTAAATATAAATTTTCTCAGTTTTGTTAATCTGAAAATGTCTTTTCACTATCCTCAATCTTGAAAATTTTAACTTTTTCCCAATACTTTGAGGATATCAAGTTATTCCTCTGTTTTCAGCCACTGGTTGTTGCTACTCAGATACCTGCTGTCAGTCTAGTTATTATTACCTGATAGGTGATCTGTTTTACTTCTCTAGCTGATTTTAGGATCTTCTCTTTATTTCTGTGCTGTTGATAAAATGACCCAACTTATTTTAGTTCTCACATGTATACAGCGAGGGGAAAAATAGTCTAAAACAAGCAAAATTCATTACAAATACAGCAATTTTCTCCTTATAAATTCAAAGAAAAGTTTGCAATATCAATTTGTATTCCACTTTTCAATTCCTCTGTACTTCCTAAGGCTCTTGGAAGCTTAAATGTGATATGCAATGTAAGAGCTTTTGCTATTCTCAATTTCCACAGAAAAAAACCTGCCCACCCTCCATCTAAATACTGATAAATATAAAAACCTCACTGGATCTTTATTGGAGGAAGCTTGAAACACATCTGGCCCAACCTCCCAGTATGGACAGAATAAGTCCCATCACAGTCATTTTACCTGACCTACAACTACTCAGCAACTATTTTGGCATACACCATGTTAAGCATTGAAGAGCGAGGACCAATTAGGATGGTCCCTGCTCTTTAACTTACAATCCATTAATTCTTATTTTTATCATCTAGTTTCAGCTTAAGCAACATTTAAAGAAAAAAAAAAAAACACTGAACCAGGAGCCAAAAGTGGAAATCCAGATCTTAGTCACCTATTAAAAATCCATTCAATCTCTACAGAACTCAGTATCTCCTCTCTACTCCAAGAGGACAGGTTCAGAGCAGTGGTCTTCACACTGGACTCTTGGGACTCCTAAGGTTCTTCAAAAACCCCTCATGTGGTTTGGCTCTGCAGCCCCACTCAAATCTCATCTTGAATTGTAATCTCCACGGGTCAGCGGAGGGGGCTGGTTGGGGGTGATTGGATCATGGGGGTGGTTTCCCCCATGCTGTTCTCATGACACAGTTCTCACAATATCTAGTTGTTTGATTAAGTGTGTAGCTCTTCTCCCTTCTCTCTCTCTCCTGCTGCCATGTAAGATGCGTCTTGCTTCCCCTTCACCTTCCACCATGATTTTAAGTTTCCTGAGGCCTCCCCAGCCATGTGGAACTGTGAGTCAGTTAAACCTCTTTTCTTTATAAATTACCCAGTCTCAGGTAGTTCTTTATAGCAGTATGAAAACAAACTAATACAACCCCTATATTCAAAATTTTGAACTTCCAGTAAGATTTTTTTAATGGTTCACAGAATTTTAATACCAGCGGTTTGGACCATTGTTTTACAACCTTTGTCTACCTCATGGCGCACATAGAAAATGATATTTATACAACATACTAGAATCAAATGATGAAGTGATTCACAGCAACTGGCCCCAGAATGTCATTCATCCCAGGCCTCATCCAGCTGCCCTGAGGGATCAGGGGATTACTCTCCTGGCTCACTATACCTACTCACCGTCCACCAGTGTGCTCTGGCCACTGGGTGGGAAGCTCTGGTTGAAAGGACAAATAGGGTATCTTCCAGTTCTAGAGATCCTTTATGATTGCAGTTCCAGTCTATTTCATCTTTGCCCGGCTTCCATGATTAGAAACTCTCCTATAAAATGAGCCCTAAACTGTTTCCCAGCCCTCTTCTCCATTGTCTAAATAGAAACTCTCCACACCATTCTATGTCCATACCAGGATATGTCAAAGGCTAATTCATCCATCTTGCCTCCTCCACAAGCTAGAATGTCACATCCCCCCCTCTATTATACATCAAAGAAAGGAGCACAATGTCAATGGTAAATGAGTGCCACATTAATAATGCTAGTAAAGTCAGAGCTCTCTGGAGACAGATATGCCCACTTTAATAATGAATATAAGACCTATCAAACAATACCAAAAGAAGCCATTGTTTAAGCAGATAAATATTGCAGCTCTGTTTCACACAGTGTAACACAGCGAAGACACATGGAATATTACCAGATAAGATACATATTACATGCAACAACTAGGAAGGGCTGCTCCAGTGACATTCAGAGTGAAAAAAGAGAATTATAAATGACAGTGAGGTGGGCCAGTGGGCAAAGAGAGGAAAGTAGCTTGTGAAATATAGGCATTTTTGTTAAAGCTATATAATCACATGGCAGGACTACCAGATTTTTCTTTTTGTAAAGTGAACTTAGCAATATGGCTTCCTCTCCAACAAGGAGACAAGACACAGAGGCTGTCTCAGTCACTCGCACCACTCTCACTTGGCTTGCTTATTAAAAATGCAGAGTCCTGAATCCTGTCCCCAGACCTGTAGAATGTGAATGTCTGGTTAAAGGGCCCAGGTATCTCACAGTAAGTTTCAGAACCACTGAACTAGGCATGAAGCTTCTGTCAGGAAAAGGGGGACAGGCAAATATCTCTTGATAAGGTAAAGAGAAAAGCAGGAGAGACCCCATAGAAATAACATATCACAGAAAACGTCAGAGGAAGACGAGCTGATTCAGATGTCATTTATTACCAAAAATGTTTACTTTGTTCAAACAGATGCATTCATTGTAACTGTTTAAAAAATACACTCAATAGGCTAACTTTCTAATTTCAACTTAAAAATTCATCAGTAAATTAAGAAATCAGAAATCATACAATTAAAACAAAAATAAATGGTAGAGTTCCAAGTAAGCTTCAGTAATTCAGAGTCCTTAAGGAAACTTCTAGGACTGTGTATGTTGGCAGAAGAGCAAGAACAGTTTTATCTAAAGCATGAGGTTGTAGCTGTTGGGTTATTGTGCTCTACAGAGACAGGAAGGAAGAACGAAAGAGCAGGATGAAATTCACTAACCTTAGACAATAATTTCCTTAAGAAAATAAAAGACAATTCTCACATGACATTTAAATACTTCCTTATGCTCACTTGTATAATACACAACTCCTTCCTTACAAAATGTTCCCTGACGCACAATGAGGGAAGGGAGAAGAAGGCAAAAAAAGCATTTTTAGAATCTCTGTTATAATCTGCATAAGTGTTTTACATAAACTGTCACATTTCAACTTCATAAAAACCCTTGGAGGTTGGGAAGGTGGGGAAATCGAGGCTCAGAGAAGCCATGTGATTACATGAGGTTCAAAACCAGCCCAGGGCCAGTGAGGCTGTAATCTCAAGGTTATACGTTCTTTTTAAAAACAATGCAATGGTTCAGGAAAAAAGAAAAATAGGGTTCTCAACTCTAAAAGTTATGAATGGTTAAGATCATAGGATTATGGAAACTGCAGTGCTATCCTTGAGTGTAGGCACTGGTCATGACCAACACCTGGCACCGCATGAATGGCTGACATCGGACCTCATAACAAGCATCTACAACCAGAAGCCAGGGGATGATGAAAACGGCGTGGTCTTACTTTCAGGCAGGCAGCTGGTTTATCACTTGTTTGTTCTGGACAGAAGAGATTACAGTGACAGAGTAATGGGCAAAACACCTTGTAACACTGCACACTCGGTCTGTGTCCAAGAACAGACTGCAGAACAAAACGGCTTCAATACGTTTTACTACCAATGGCTCTCTCCTAACTAACTTTAATGGCCCCAAGAGTTCAGGACCCTAAGCTGGGATCTACATAATAGGCTCTAGGTCAATTAGCCTGAAGTACCTCGTATAATCTAATCTCTCCTAAAGTACTGAAAGTCTCAAGGTTGCAGAACCACCAGAAGATCTGGAATTCTCTCTACAAAACAGCTAACTGTAGATCTAGGAAAAAAAATGAAATAAAGTAAATGTTCATGGATAACATTCCAATGCCAAAAATAAATAATATTAAATACCATATGCTAGGCACTGAATTAAGCATATATACGCATGCACCCATGTGCATGGGTGTATACATAAGTAATGTTCTACAGATGATGGACCTGAGACTCAGGCTGGGATTTGAAACATAACACCTCCCACTTTAAACATATGTAAGGTGATATGTGTCAATAATTATAAACCATATACTCTTTGACCAAGCAATCCTGTTCCTAGGAAATAGACTAACAAAATAGGTAACATCTATGTAATAATGCAAGTACAATGATGTTCATCCCAGTGTGGTTAACGATTTCTAAATTGGCAACAATCTAGTATTTATCAAGAAAAAATTGATTCTTAATTATAGTCATTCTTGCAGAATTTCATGCAGCCATTTGATTACGCTAATCTATGTTTGTTGACATAAAAAGATGTCCAAAGGTATATCTTAAATGAAATTGCAGGTAGATTGCAGGACAATAAATATGGCATGATTCCAACTTTGTTTTCTGGAGAAATGACTCTTTGAGCTGAAACTGAGGTCTGCTCAGGATGAGAAGAGCTGACACTTCCAGGGGGAAGAGCAACATGGACAAGGGCTATGGGCAAGTGGACAATAGAGAACTGAGGGTGGAGAATGCAAGACAAGGCTGAAGAGCGAAGAAGGGACTAGACCATGCGAAGCACTGGAACCCCGGTTAAAGATTTTAGTTTTTGCCCAAGAAGAACAAGAAGCCACTGAACAGTCTCCATGTCACAGACAAGGCACTGGGGAGCTCAGCTGCCACTCAAGGTTACCCCATGAGTGGGTCGTAGAGCCAGGGCTGGCTGGAGTCTATCTCAAGAGCCAAAGCTTGGTCTTAACCTTCAAGCATAGATTTTTATGGTCCCAGCTTCCTGACCAAGAGCTACTCCTGAGCCTTTCTCTCCTTCATCTGCCTCTCACAGCTTTCCACAAAGTCACAGAGAAAGCCCACCCCTCACCCAAAACAACTTCAACTGGCCTTTTCAATCTGGGTTAAATTAAAGGCTACTGTTTGCATTTCCCAGCTCTATGATTGCTGTGAAAGTTGTACAAGGGCGCCTTAATTTTGTATATGTCTATATGTGAAGAACAAAATTAAAAGTCATTAGACACTCTTCTAAATCGGTATTTGAATGTGTCAGAAGTAATTCAATGGAAAGCTTAGAAAATTCTATATCAAAGTGCAACCTTAATCGAGTCCCTTGAATTTTAATTTGTTTTAGAACTACTGGATTTCAAAGTAAAAAAATATATTTTTAAAAACAAGGTATTTCTGGCCTTTTAAAATAAATAGAGCCCTGAATCTTTGTTAAGTCAATCAAGTTTGATTAGCCTAAAACAAGCAGACTCCCGACCCCCAACAATGATGTCTCAAACATATGTACCACACCCCCTGCTGGCCTCTCCACATTCCCTGTGATTGAATGACCACAACCTAAGAGGCCAGGGCAGAGGGGCAAACATTTGCCTTCCTCCCACAGATGATAGAACCCTTCCTTTCCCCGTGATGCATAAAAGTGCCATTACTTTCCATTTCCTTCACCTTCCCTACTCCAAAACATCTTACTCATTTTAAAGACTTGCAGGATCATGATATAAAAAGTTTAAATTATTTCTCCTAAGTGAGGAAATAAGTAAAAGGTAATCCAAAAGTGGAGCGTACTAAAACCTAATTTAAAGCTATTTTTGGAATATCTTCCTAATTAAATGCAGCTTCAGGTAACAGGAAAACGTATGTGCATCCTGGCTCAGAGAAGAAAATGACAATAGTCAATATATGCTGAGTGGTAGGGACTACATTTTTGTTGTCAAATAATACAAAGTGCATAATTCACAATTATTACCTAATAATATCTAACCATTCCATTCTATGATCATGTGGCAAAGGTGAATCAAGTTAATGGCTCACTCAAGACTCTCAACAAGTTGGTGCTAACAAAGTTGATTTTAAATTTAGGTTCGGCTAAACCCTGAGTCCCAGACTTCAAATACAAGAATACAGCACCAGCTGAAAAATATCTTAACTATTCTTCTTTAAAACTAAAAGCAGATTTCCTCTACCTCCCCTTGCACTCTCACACCAGCTCCCATGAAGACGATCCTCATCACCATCTTGCTTGCTAAACTTCAATTTGAAAAATAGTTACTAATTGACCAAAATACTATGTTGGGTACTGAGAACACAGAGATAAAAGGACACCATCCATGCTCCACAAGAATTGATAGTAGGCTACAGAAGGTAAAACTAGCAGAAAGTAAGCTATAAATGACACCAAGTGCAACAACATATTTAAGCTCAAGGTAAGGAGTAGTACAGAGAACAGACTGATGAACCTCCTGGGGTGCTGGGAGGGTAGTATCAGAAAGCTTCACAGAAAAGATGCTAGGCTGGGAGAGATACAAGTGTAGGGAGAGGCCTTCATGGTGCATGTGGGGATTTCAGGAGTGTACTGGTAGAAAAGTACAATTACCAAACACATCTAATTTGGTAAAGATGTGTTGAAGGCCGAGGTGGCCCGTGGCTGAGAGAAAGCCTGGAGACATAGACCATGGGACCCTGGAGTGATCCCTTACCTCCAAGTGATGTGCACCTCATCTTATAAGTGGCGGGAACTTGTATCTTATCCTATTAATGACAAGAAGCCATTGAGTTTTCAATCAGGGAGAAAAGACAGTACAACTATAGTAGAGTTTTGACAAGATCAAAAGGGCATTTACTGACAATATTTTATATTAGTTTTTCCGCAACTCTAGCCAAATTATTTTCCTTTCGGAAGAAAGGAAAGAAATGGTACACTAGGATTAGAGGGAGCTGAGAGGCTGAATAAAGGCCACCTACCGTAGGGAAGGTCAGCACCTAGTAGGTTACCAGGATGCTCGGGGAGCACTGCATGGACAGATGGAGGAGGAGGAGGAGGCAGTCGGGAGCTTCTCTCAGCAAGTAACACGCCACTTCAGTTCCAGAAAAGCTAGCTCATGCACGCAAGCTTTTGGGAAAAGTTAGCAAATTTCCCAAAGGCAAAAAGGAAGCACATAATATGTTTGAAGACTATCCAGACCTCACAAATCTAACTGGATGTGATTTCCAGTAACAATTAGTTTTCTACAAACTAAATTTGTAGAAACAGTATCTCTTACAATAATTTCAGAGTATGTGTCATTATTTCTAAATATCCAAAACTGGACCTCCAAGTCTGTGAAAGTTTACACAGCTCACTGTCTTTCAAGATCAATCTAAAAATAAAGACATTCTCCCTAAATGGGGATCAGCAAATTACAATTTCCAGAGTGGATCCTCTCAGCTCCCAGTCAAAGGCAACCAGAAAGGAGTCACTTTCCCAGAACATATGCTTTCAAAAAAAAAAAAAAAAAAAAACAACAACTCAATTCACCAAATGAATTGAAAGTAACTCTGTAAGATGCTTTTCCCCCTTGCTCTTTCCTCTACCCTCACCTCTGCCTAATTCACCCCCAGTGCGAACACCAGTCAAGCCACAGACACAGAGCAAAAGGAAAAAATCTACGGCTGCAAGGCTTTTTACAGACTGGTAAGCAATTCCTGTCCAGATTCTTAGTCAATGAACTGTTCTAATAGCACCCCCTAGTGACCAAAAGCTCTTTTCTGACCAAAGGAACTCTCAGTTCTCAAATAACTAAAAAGCAAAGAATTTAAAATAAAAAAGCAGTGAAAACACCAATGAGCTCACACTCTGTGAACGCCTGTCCCTGTAACAGCCCCAGTGAAATCAGTAACTTTAACCTCTCTGGCCTACTGTTCTCTCAGCTCTAAAATAGGAAAAATAATATCCTCAACCACCCTTGCCCTCCTCCCTGTGAGCATGTGAGTTCCTCAATGAGATTTATTCCCAAGGCACATGGTCGGTTTTAAGCGAGAGGATGGGAAAAGGAAACACAAAGTGGAGAGAGGACATGTGCACTCAGGCCGATGTGGATCACTGGGAGTATTTTATATTAAACCCATAATATGCACGGTAACTGCGGAAGTGGGTCCACTTCTCCTTCACTGTTATTATTGTACATGTTGACTCTCTTCTACCCGTATTTACCAAGCTCTAAGGAGAACTGCAGAAACCAAAGAATTTTCTAAAAATAGCTTGAGACCACAAAATACTGGAAGCTCTCCAATCCCATCTTCAAAATTGAGATGTTTGTTTCTGACACGAATTATGTAAAATGCAAATGGTAGATTGCTTTGATTTGCTAATAGAAAATATAACTTAAAAATAGTAATAGTGAAAAGTCGTTAAACCATCACCCTTCAATCTCCTGCCCAGTAAAGTAGCACCCTAATTGACTAAGGTGTCTCTTGTTCATGGCTCAGTAGGGACCTAACACCCCTTTGATCCCTCAACTCCAAGTCTGAGGCCTTCGACAAAGCCAAAACTTTTGCTCAGTTAGCTTTCCACAATGGCACAGACTTAAAACCCATTGCTGCCCTCTACTGGGAAAACTTGGAACAAAACTAACATCATTCCATCAAGCATTTGAAATCACTCTCTCTTCTCTGCTTTAATGATAATGCATAACCTTCGATATTTTATAAGTTAATTATAAGATTCCAGGAGGGGAAAAAAGCAATTCTGTAGAAACTCAGGGTAATTTTCCCTCTTTATCGACTAAAAGAAGAAACTAAATGGTAACAAACTGGGATACTGGCTTTGGACTGTTAGGACATGATGATGCAGTTGGCCTTGGTTAAGGCTCGACCTCCTTAGGCCTTAATTTTCAGGCCTGTACACAGAAGCATGGAAAACTAGGAGATATTTGTGGTTCTCAATTTTAAAATCCTGTAACCCTTTAGGGATAGCTTAACTCACTTTTAATAGATGGTTTTTCCTTTTCTGTTGGTATTTCAAAATATTTATAGCTTTTTAAAAATCATTCTTAATAGTCTAATGTATCTTATCCTCTGGCCTAACCTATTTAACATATCTTATACTCAGAACTTTACTGATTGTTGTATGGCTGCAGTAATTGAGATAAATGTGACGTAAGCATCTAGCAGGATGCATAAAGGTGCACAATAAATATCGTTTTTCTCTCTTCCCCCTTCACATGTCCCCCATCTACCAGCTTCATGACCTTTCCCGTAGCTGTAGCACAGATGCTATGCCCACATACCAAAGCGCTTATTCTCTATTACTCTTTGAGTTTTGCATGTCTTGTGACGTTTGTGCGTTCTTCACAGAAAGGTGAGTTTCACTGTCTGTGCTATGTCCTTGTATCATGTGCACCTGAGTGCCCACTACTGGTAGCAGTGGTTGTAATGGAAACAGCTGTTCTAGCAGCAGCAGAAATGGGAACAGCAGCAGGGGTGCCCACAGCTGTGGCAGCAATCATAAATGTTACAAAAACAATCTGGACTATAATAACTATAGTAATAAAAGCAATATATGTGATTATTAAAAAATTTTGCTATAACCTGTGCCACTTATTATTTTGTCCCAACCACTATTATATTATGTATTACCTAATTTAGTCCTCCCAAACATAGCTATTATTACCATTACCACTTCATGAGTGAGAAGCTGAGCTTCTGACGGTATCTAACAACTGTTGATGCTAACCAAACTCTCACTAGCCATCTCTCTCCCCAACATAATCTCCAAAGCCTTTTTGTCACCTCCTTCCCTCTACACTTGCTAGAACCCTGGCAAACTTCCCAGATTCCTGCAATGATGCCTGCAGCATCTCCTAGTGCCTGTAGCATCTCCTAGTGCCTGTGAATAGCACAGACATCCTCCTCACACAATTTAAATGGTGGCCGACTCACTCTGAGAATGACAAATACGCTCCCATTTTCCTGTGTACACCACTTAACTCTGCCTACCTTCTCCATCTATATTTCCTTCCTGTCCTCTCCGTTCTCTTCTTCTTCATTCTGAGGTATGATTTGGTGGAAAGAGCATAGATTGAGAATAAGAACTGGAGTTCACTCCTGCTTATTTGGCCATGTGACTTTGGGCAGGTCCTTTTCACCTCTCACATTTCCATCTGTAAAGTGTGACAGTAACACCTGCTCTACCTGTCTTCAAGAACAATTGTTTGGGACAAATATGGAAGCATAAATGAAAGTGATCTGAAAGCTGTGAAAGAATATTGGCTGTGTTTGTATTTAATTCTCACTACTCTTAGGCTCTTCACACATACACGCCCCTTCTCAGGGCAGGGAGGGTTTACTGTAGTGAAAGAAAGCCCTGGTTCTCACCCACTGCCAGCACCTTGATGGATCGGAAAAGAAAACATGAAGACAGGTGAATAGGCAATGGCAATGAACTAACTACTGTAATTATTTTCCTTCTTTCTGTAGGCATCCATAGGCTTTTCCTCCATTTCACCCAAATTAACGGCAATGCAGAAACAACCTTCAATACCCATCTGCACCCCACCCCACCTACAGGACACTCTCTTCACTCCTGATTTCACTACATACTTCTAAAATGTCCAGTCTTCCGTAGCCACAATAATCATTCTCCTTATTTACATGACAATCACACTGCCACTGCTGACTGAGCACCTGCTATGTGTCAAACACGGCACCAGACATCCTGCACAGATCATCTCTCATCCTCACAGCAACACAATGTAAGTATTGTCAGCTCTGCCTTACAGGTTAGGCTCAGAGAGATTAGGCAGCTCACCCAACAAAAGATACAGATATAGCTCTTGCTGTTTCCAGACCAGGCATAGAGACTGGGGCAGCAGGTGCACCTCCACTTCCTGCCTAAATCTGCTAGCAAAGTGGTTTGTATTGTTTTGGTTTTTGTAAAATTTTTATTTTCGTTTCAGGGGCACATGTGAAGGTTTGTTTTACAGGTAAATTACGTGTTGTGGCGGTTTGGTGTACAGATTATTTCATCACCCAGGTAATAAGTGTGGTGCCCAGTAAGTTGTTTTTCGATTCTCACCCTCTTGCTATCCTCCACCCTCAAGTAGGCCCTCATGTCTATTGTTCCCTTCTTTGTGTCCATGTTTACTCAGTGCTTAATTCCTACTTATAAGTGAGAACATGCGGCATTTGGTTTTCTGTTCTTGTGCTAGTTTGCTTAGGATAATGGTCTCCACCTCCATCCATGTTGCTGCAAAGGACATGATCTTGTTCTTTTTTATGGCTGTGTAGTATTCCATAGTGTATATGTACCACATTTTCTTTATCCAGTGTACTGTCATTTTGGGTTTGATTTTGTTTGAGATAGGGTCTTGCTCTGTTACCCAGGCTGGAGTACAGTGGTGTGACTATGGCTTACTGCAATTTCAACCTCCTGGGCTCCATCAATCCTCCCAACTCAGCCTCCTGTGTAACTGGAAGCACAGGCACACACCACCATGCCCAGCTAAATTTTTTTTTTGTAGAGACAGAATCTTGCCATGTTGCACAGGCTGGTGTTAAACTCCTGGGTTCTAGCAATCCTCCCATCTCAGCCTCTCTAAGTGCTGGGATTACAAGTGTGAGCCACCACACTCAGCCAACAAGGTGTTTTTATACACAAGATTTCTATCATTCTATCTATCAATAAAATTCCTCATTAATAGCCTATGAATGTAGAGCCATGACATAAAGTATAAATGTTTCCTTGAAAAAAGATTAATGATTCAATACAGTAAATATATTCACTTTATCTTTTAATGTTTAATGTAATCAGTGAATGTAAATAAATCCATCCTATTAAGAAGTGATACTTGTGTTTACAATAAAGAAACTGGAAGGTCCCACCTTATGCATATGATCAAAGTGAACGTTGCCAGTAAAGGAATAAATCAATACCATGTGCCTCTTAATATGATACAGAGAAGAACCCAACATCACTTCTGAGGTATGTCTATCAAAGAGTGCATAAACTGAATCTGATCATTCAGAAATATCACACAGACCTAAACGGAGGGACATTCTATAAAATAACTGGCCTATACTCTTCAAAGGAGTCACAGATGGGAAAAGAAACACTGTTCTAGATTAAAAGAGACTACAGGAGGTGTAACAACTCAATAATTCTGAACTGAATCCTGGACCAGATACATGACATGAATGGGAAAATTGGCAAATGTAGCAAAATTCAAATAAGATCTAAAAAATAATAGTATTACATCGATGTTCTTTTCCTAATTTTGAAAACTGTACTGTTGCTAGGTAAGAGAGTATCCTTGTTTTTAGGAAATATACAGTGAAGTATATTTAGAGGTAAAGGGCATTCTGTCTGCAACCTACTGTGGAATGTTTCAAAATAAAGAGTAAGAGAAAACACATACGAAAATTCTTGGCACTATTTTTCTAACTTTTTTGTAAGTCTGAAATTATTTCATAAGAAAAAGTAAAAACAAGCCAGGCACCAATGGCTCATGCCTGTAATCCCAGCACTTTTAGAGGCCCAGGTCAGAGGATCACTTAAGGTCAGGAGTTCAAGAGAGCCTGGCCAACATGGTGAAATCCCGTCTCTTCTAAAAATATAAAAATTAGCCGGGCATGGTGGCGGGCACCTGTAATCCCAGCTACTCAGGAGGCTGAGGCAGGAGAATCGCTTGAACCTGGGAAGCGGAGGTTGCAGTGAGTGGAGATCACGCCATTGCACTTCATCCAGCCTGGGCAAAAGAGCGAGATTCCATCTCAAAAAAAAAAAAAAAAAAGTTAAAAACAAACAGGACAAGTTCTCAACACTTGTAAGTATTAAATAAATGTGAATTGAAATATTCCTACCCACTGATTCCTAAGCATATCAGTGGATCCAGTGGGGCCAAGGGCCTTGGGGCCTTGGCATGAAACCAATCTCATAGCCTAATATTAGAAATTCTGGGACCCACAAATAACATCCCAGTCTTTCCACTTCACAGCGGTTCCATCCAAAGACAGCAGCGATGTGATACCCTTTACCTCCTTCTGATAATGACTAAACATTGTACTGTTTAGTTAATTGCTTACTTAATTTCATGATTAAGAAAGTTCAAGCAATAACCCTCCAGTAAATCTACTTCCAGTGAAAACACAGGCAACCATAAGAAGGGAAAGAACTGCCTATTACATGTTTCCTCTTCATTCCCTCCTATGGCCAATATGTTTTTTGGATGAGCAGTGAGCATTCAGACATTTGCATAGCTACGAGCCCCTTGCCCTCTGTCCTGCCATATGTGGGTTATATTTTTTATTTCTATTTTTTTGAGGCGGAGTCTCGATCTGTTGCCCAGGATAGAGTGCAGTGTCACGATCCTGGCTCACTGCAACCTCTGCCTCCCGGATTCAAATGATTCTCCTGCTCAGCCTCCCGAGTAGCTGGGTTTACAGGCAAGTGTCACCACGCCTGGCTAATTTTGTATTTTTAGTAGAGACAGGGTTTCACCATGTTAGCCAGGCTGGTCTTGAACTCCTGACCTCAAGTGATCCTCCCACCTCGGCCTCCCAAAGTGCTGGGATTACAGGTGTGAGCCACTGCGCCCAACCCATATGTTGGTTTTAGAAAGCCACAGAAAGCATATGAATATGAGTGTGAGTGTGGTGCCTCAAGTATGTTATCACTAACATAAAACTTAGACATCAGCCAATTCTGAGGGTTAAATGTTCCTGTAGAAGATGCACACAGATTATGAGACCATCATTCTCAGCAAACTAACACAGCAACAGAAAACCAAACACTGCATGTTCACTCATGAGTGGGAGTTGAACAATGAGAACACATGGAGACAGGGAGGGGAACATCACATACTGGGGTCTGTAGGGGGGTGGGGGACTAGGGAAGGGACAGCATTAGGAGAAATACCTAATGTAGATGATGGGTTGATGGGTGCAGCAAACCACCATGGCACATGTATACCTATGTAACAAACCTGCACGTTCTGCACATGTATCCCAGAACTTAAAGTATAATAATAAAACAAAAGAGTTGATGTGAAACATGGGTAAAAATAGCAAGATACTGTCTGTAATACAAAGAAAAGGATATAATAAGAACTGATTTTGATAATCAAAAAAAAAAAGAAGATGCACACAGCCCTAAGCATCTACATTCAATTTTAACTGAACCATTGACTCCCTTCCCCACCTAATGAATTCAGTACAGTAAAAGATGGAACACCACGTGGTTAAGCTTTCAAACCCCAAGACATGGCTGGAGACAGGTCCCTCAGAAAGTCACAGGAGAGGCAGCGATGGCTACAAAGCCTTTTATTCTCATGCACAAAGATAGTGAAAACTTGAAAAAAAAGTTATACAGCTGCACTTAGCTCTGTTCTCATGGGTCATTACTAGCATGTTCTCATTTAGAATATATAGAGTGTCTTGAGGTCCAGGAACATCCAATCTTATATTACCCTTCACCACATGCCTGGGCCCCTCAGACTAGAGCCAAAGAAAATCAAGATGATCCCTAAACAACACTGTCAGCAAAAGAACCCAGAATGGACCAAATATTCTGCCTGTAGGAAGAAAATAAATATCCTCAGTTTCTACAATTACCACACACCCAAAAAAAATGTTTTGCATACTAAATTACCAAAGAGGCCATGTCGATCTTTTTCCATTTTCTATTTTTTCGTGATTTAGAGGAGTCAATCCGGATGAAGACAAGATCACCTACCCTCGTGGAATTATGTGGCTCCCAACAAAAACATCACATTTTGGCCAAACATGAGTATGACGGGCCTCTGCTTCTCTCCTGCTAAAGGGCAGCACTGGTGGGCTCCATGGGGCTTTCTAAGAACAGCCACAATACCAGCCCCTCTTCTCCTTTAAATATGAAAATTGTTCACATTAAAGAAAAATGCACATTGAAAATTATCTCTTAATGTTGGTTAGCAGAAGAGAGGAGAAGAGAATGCTGTTTATGACAGCAAATTTCTAATCAACATGGTTGCCTCCATGCCCAAGAGCCCTGCCCACAGGCCCAGGTATCATTTAAACACTCATGTGTCAATGGACTGTCTGTTTCTCTTTGAAAAACAGCGAACTGATAAGACAAAAATCAATGGATCAACATCAACGAGTAGCCTCTGAGGAGCAATCTATACCACAGAAGCCAGAGCAAGATCAACTGGGAGGCGCCACAGTGAAGAGGAGAATGGCTGAGATCTCAATCAAGACAGTCTAAGAACAAATAAATTAACGACTCCCCTGAACCAATTCTTAAACAGAAGTTACTTAAACACTGGAACAACCTAAGACAAGCAGAGAATCCTACAATAAACGTTTTCATTTCATTGCACAGGGTGATTAAAATCACATTTACTTTCCAGCAGCCACGTCTACACGAAGTTTCCCATAAGGATGATCATGGTTGTTTATCAGAATCACAAGCCAGAGCGGGGCTTGCGGGGAGACTACCCACTATTAACAGGAATCCTAGGAACACGTGTATGCCAAGCATTGTGGGGGTTCAAATGAGTGGAAAACAGTTTCAAAGGGCTTTTCCTTGGCATGTGATCATTTGGTCAGTAAACATTTGTGGGCACTTACTATGAATGAGAAATGAGCCATGATCGATGCTGTCCCGGGCAGAGTATGTCAAAGAACCTACAGGTGAGGGGTGGAGTATAGCTGATAACCCAATTGCTCATTAAAATTAGAATTATGATCGGAAAACAGCCAATATTATGAAACTAGAGAGCCAGGATAACAGCAAAACAGGCCACTCTCTTTTCTCTAGGATGCTTAAAGAACTAATTTGCATTCTCCCTTCACTCCTATGTGACACTGAGCTGTGCGGCCACCTTGCATTTGAAGGGATGGATGATGGAACAAGACCTGAGGTTCATCTAAAAGCAAAGAGCAAGTAAATGGCAGAAGACATGGTTGAAAAATCACATCTCACGAAACTCTAGTTGCTTATTGTTTAAGATAGATGCAAACTGGGGTTTGGAATGCACAGCACACTAATATGTAATAAGTTTTTTGTTGTTGTTTGTTGTTGTTGTTGTTTTGAGACGGGGTCTTGCTCTGCCGCTAGGCTGGAGTGCAGTGGCACAATCTCGGCTCACTGCAACCTCTGATTCCCTGGTTCAAGTGATTCTCCTGCCTCAGCCTCCCGAGTAGCTGGGACTACAGGTGCCTACCACCACGCCCAGCTAATTTTTGTGTTTTTAGTAGAGATGGGGTTTCACCACATTGGCCGGGATGGTCTCGATCTCCCGACCTTGTGATTCACCTGCCTCGGCCTCCCAAAGTACTAGGATTACAGGTGTGAGCCACCACACCCGGCCAAGTAATTTTTTTCTTCAAAGAAATGAAGGTTACAGCCTGAACAGATTCTTCATTTTTTCAAATTTCAAAAAGCTCCAAAGGAAAGTATGGGTTACACAGTGGGAAGCACAGATGGTTCAGTTTGGCTGGAGGTTAGAATATAAGACTGGAAGTTGAAATAGTGCCATAAATTCGAGGCTAAGGATCTTGGTCTTTATTAGACAGGAACCATTTTTTAAATTTCTATTTTTTCATTTATTTGCTCTTCTGGTTGTTTTTGTTTAATTTTGGAAACCACTTTTGAGCAACTAAGACCAGAAAGTTAAATCTTGTTAGAAATGCCTAAGAAAGAATAGAAACGGGGAATGGAGGGAGAACAGTTAGAAATTTATTGCAATTGTCCAGTTAAAAATAGTGGAGAAAAAGGTTTCAACCAAAATTGCAGAAGGAATCATAGGGAAGATGTGGAGAGTGGTTAGATGGGGAAGACAAGGTAGGGAAGGAGGGCTCACATATAGTCCCAGGGTTCTGAGGCTGGGGGGCTCGGAAAGAAATACAGAGCACAGGAAGGTTAGGCTTGGGAGGGAAGGTGGGCCCTGTGGAGTCACTGTGATAGCGAGGCTGGCAGGCCACTTAACAAGGAGCTGGAGTGTGAGGCCAAAGCTGCAGAGAGAAAGCAGCCTAGAAAACACCTCTCAGGGACCAGCTAACAGGATGGGATCAGATGACACTTCCAGCAAAAGAAGTGTGGGCCCAAAAATAAGAAAAAGAAAAAGTCCTTTGAGGACATGTACTATATAAGCTAATGGCTTTTGAACAGCTTTCTCAACTCTGGCTGACATTTTAAATACTTGATCAAAAGACCCCACGCCAGACTCCAACACTCCTGGGAATCTCTCCAGGCATCTCTTTCAGTCTTCTGATAGGAGTCCTCAAACTCTGGTGCCCTCAAACTGAAGATTTAGCTTTTCTGTGCTTCCCCTTCAGATATTCCACTCTGATGGACTGTCTGCTCAGCGCTCCCTGTCCCCTCAGAGACCAACTGGGCTCATATCTCCAAAGTCAACACATCAATCCTCCCCAGCCACAGCGCAGAAACCAGCCCACCCCACATAATTCTTCTGGTCCAGGAGAGAAGCTCAGATACCTTCACAGAATGGGACATTTCTTAAAGTCCACTTGAAAATCTGTTTAAAACAATTCTAAAGCATCAGCTAATGCATTTTCTACAGAATATTTTAGAAAAGGCAGTATCTGGAATTTAATATTCAGCTATGTATACCTTGGCAAGATGAGATACAATCCCTAAAGCACATTTCTTTGCCATTTTTATTTACAGCACAGACAACACAGATTCATGTCAGCTTTCTCTGTAACTGTAAATGGGGGTGAAGAACCTCCTTTTTAAAATATGTGACTATATACATATTTTTAATTATAAATATCTAATATAATTTAAAAACCAAACTAAACCAAACCAGAGGTTAAATTGTATTAGGTTTCATACCACAATGAAATCTGTAATTACAAATAAATAAGTCTCTGGAAAAATACATAAATAAATAAATACATACATACATGCCATTTTAGAAATCTAAAACCTAAAATGGAAGATTGTTCAGCTAATCATTACCATAATTCAGTTAACATAAGGTAAACTAAAAAAGGGACCATAGGTCTTTCATGAGGAAAGAATGCTATCTCACAGCTATTCAAACCATTAAAAGTTGTGTTTTTTATCTTCATCGTTACAAACTTTATCTAAAAAGTGAGCATGCCTCTTCTGTAAAACCCAAAGGAAAGACGTTCAAGGATATTTTACCTCTCCAGTATTTAAACCTCATCACATCCCCTCCTTTCTGACCTTCTTTAAGCAAAGCTGATAAAGGGAAAAATGAAATCATTTGAGATTCAAATTGTTTCCACACCCAAATGTATAACAACCAGCTGAGATAACGAAAAGGCAAATGCAGTTATCTGAGTAATCACTAATGAGATATAGCGTCTGAATAGTATATCCTGCATATGTGGAAATCTTTTTCCAATTTTTCTATGGGTTTCATTTCCCTGGGGATTGGTTCCTACAGGGTCATGAAGGCTAATGGCACTTACCTTTTTGGCTCTTTGGGCTATGTCTGGTGTTCTTGTAAGCAGCTTCTCAATCAGGTACTCTCTGTTCTGCAAAACAAATATTCCCAACAGTTTAACATCAAATATGATACACATAAATACACAGTGATTTCAAAAATAGCAGATTTACTTGGGTTTTTAAGCATGTTACCTTGGCTTTCTGGAAGAATTTGCATTTTAAAAGTTCTGCTGCTGTGGGCCTGAAAGATCAATAATAAATTAGAGTTGAAACAATGACCACTTAATAAATGCACTGCCTTGATGAAACAACTTAACCTTAAGAGTATTTCTGGAAGACCAATTTTAGTAATAGCAAAACTGGGAACCAAATTAATCATAGGCTGGCACCAAATAAAATAGTGCCAATTTTCCAGTTCTTTCCAAATACCTCTACTGCAAAACACATAAACTCCTGTACATTAAGTGCTTGGGGCGTAATCAATTTTCCATCCTTCATCCTTACACTTAACTAAGTGAATTTAGTGTTTCTAAAAGGGGGCAGACTGACACATCTGTGAGCTAAATTTCTATATTTATTAAGAAACCATACAAGCTACCATATGACCCTGTCAAAGAAAGTATACTCTACTATGCTCTATGCTTCCCCAAGAGCAGCAGGTACTGCAAGGGGTCCACACATCGTGTCCACGCTCTGTTTGCCTGCTCAATAAACCTGTCTCAAGTGCATATGGACTGCTGTTTGCCAGGTGAAGGTAAATGCGATCGTGATTAATAAAATGCAAATTCATTTAGAAGCATTACCAGATGGTGTGATTATTTCCTCATGGTGTCATTCAACTTGCTTCTCTAGCCCATATTTCCTGTAAACTCTAAGTGAGGTCTGAAGGCTTCAAAGAGATTTAATTAAGCATTTGGGGCAAGAATACTTCATAGATGATGGCACACACTTCTTACAGCAGCACCTCAGAGGCAGGTCCTGTTAGGTCATTCCACTGTTAGTGATGCTAAATTTAACCATCAGTCCCCAGGCACCAAATCTCTCCCTTGCAAAGGTCATGTTTTCCCCCACTGCAATTAGCAAGTGTTCTGTTGGGTAATACTTTGACATTTTATGAATATCCTGTTCCTGAAAACCTTTCTGCTAATTGTGTTCATATCTTTGCCTTCAATAGTTATTTCATAGGAAGTAGCAGAATACTGAGTTCCTACTTCTATCTTCCTTGTTTACTGACTGACATTCTTACACAAAGAATAGCTTCCTTCATCAATAGTTCCTTCCAAAAAGGCAGCCATGAGAAAGAATCAAATAACGGGAGTATAGGGTTGCTCAGCAAGACAACTGGCCTGATCTCTTTCAGGGGGACTGAAGGAACTGTTCTAGACTCAACAGACTTTACAAAACATTAAAACCAAATGTAACACACAGCCCTGGACTGGATCCTGGGCTTGAGAAAGAAGCCACAGAGGCTATAAAGGACATTTGGGAATCATTAGAGATGTGTGAATCTGCTAAATATTAGATAATTTTAGGAACGTGCTCTTCATTTTCTTAGGTGTGGAAAATTACTGTAGTTGTGTAGGAACATGTCCTTGTTTATAAGAAATGCAAGCTAAAGTATTAAGTCTTTTACTTTCAGAGTTCAGCAAATAAAACATAGATATCACAATTATAGAAAATGTGAATACTTGTTTAATCTGGGTGATGGTATAGAAGTAAACAATGCACTACTTTTTCATCTTTTCCATATGTTTTAAATGTTTCATAATAAGATATTGGGAGAGAAAGGAGGAGGGATGCATTATTGAATATCATTAGGTATTATCTTAGGCAACAATTACCAAACGCACAAATAATATTGTAGCAGGGGGTGGGGCGGGGCAAGTTGAAAAGGAATCCTCATGCTTGACAAAATTGGAAACTGCTGCTTTGGAATCAGGAAGCTCCACTAAAATATTCCCAGGGATCAAACCCAAGCATAGAAAGAATTAGAAAATGTCATTACGTGCATCAGTACACAAACTGTGTAAGTCTACAGGGGCCCCAGAAACTATTTCTGTGCAAAGAAATTTTCTGTGTAAATCATTACTGCTTTTTTCCTCAGATTTCAAGTGGAACACTGGTTATGGGTAGGTACATGACAAAGAACCCTGGATCTCCGTATCTACCTGCTAATTGCTTTGAGTAACTAAGGGTCTAAACAACAGGTAGGCCATGAATCTGCACCTTGTTAAATAGGCCCTAGAACTAAACACTACAGTATAACTCTTTCAAATGATTCAACTTTAGTTGTTATTTTAATGTATACTCTTCCTGATCACCAGCAGATGTTTTTGCCTCTAGCTATTCCAAATTCATCCTTTCACTCTCTCAGTAAATATTAACTAAGCACCCACTGTTTGTCAGGCATTATGCTAGGTGCTAGGCATACTATAATGAAGATGGCAGACATAAATAATCCTCCAACAAGTCACAATCTAGCAGGTAAGAGCAGTGTGCTGCTCAACGGCAAGAGGGGCAGCAGCACATTCAAACACCTTGGAAGGAGAAGGGCTCCTGAGGGAACATGTAGTAGAAACACTTTACATTGGACTCAGAAATGGACCAAAATGTCATGTTTGGGAACCTCACAACATGAAACAACATTTTAAAAACTAAGAAGCATAGAAAATAACTTGGATTTTAATTTTTTTAATGTGAAAAGAACCCTAAGAAAATCAGAATGATGAAAAAACTCAAGGCCCTGGTTCTGTTTGAAGCCCTCATCATCTCTGGCTAATATAGTTAAATAAAACAGCCCCTCAGCTAGTGTCTCACTACTTCTCCCTTGCTATTTCCAACCCATCATCCACCAACCCCACTGCTTCGCAAATTAGCGTCTTAAAAAAAAAATCTGATCCTCTTTTATCTATCCTGATGCATTTCAGTGGCCTGAGACAGAAGCAAGTATTCTAGGCCCTGACTCCTCCATCCTCATCTCCCCACACCCGCCGGAGATGCCACCCTTCAACTGCAACGATGTTCTCACTCATCTCTTGATCTTTCGTGACAAAGCACACACTGCTTTTCTTGCTTCCAAATTTTTCATAACCAACTGGCACACCCTCGCTCATCAGTCAAGAGCCAATTTAAATGTCATCTTCAAAGATACCTCTCCTAGCTCCTGCAAGTAGAAGGCATTGCTCCCTAGTGGCACTCATGCACCATGCTACCCACATTCCCATCATGTATTTTTCTGTTCCTATGTCTCCCTGCCTCACTCCACTAGGATATGAGCCCTTCCAAGGCAGGGACCTCATAGAATTCCTTTGTATGTTTCCAATACCTAGCACAGAACAGAAACTGCTACAGCTCAATTTCATACTATAATCAAATATGGGGGAAAGTGATGCTGCTACACATTTGGACACAGCACTACAACTCCTGGAGCTAGATTCAGTTAGCACCAAAATCTATGCATCTGTTCAATACAGCGGGGAACAGGAGAAAGACTTAATGAAAATGAGACTCGTGCTAGCAAAAAAAGAGGACAGAGGAAGTGCCAACGTAAGGAGGCAAAGTGCCTCCCTGTCTCCTCTGCACCATCCCCCCACCAAAAATCCTCCTCCCCACACAGGAAGGGTCAAGTGTAGGATGCTGTAGAGAGAAAGCTGGGAAGTACCAGGGATACCTTGAGATACGGGGCTGGGAAAATACTTTGCCTTCTCCAGCAAGGTCATTGCCATGGTAACCAAAAATGTAAAAGGGAAAAGCATGCTGCAAAGAAAACTCCTTTCTCTGCACTCCACTCCACTCTCAGCCTTCATCAGTAAGTACAAAAACACAATAAGGTAACAAAATAGAATTGGTTTAAACAACCCGCCTTCTTTTTTTATTGGCTTAATTGTTAAGTAATAGGTAATTCCAACTTTACACAGAGAATAACTAAATAGCAGATTAGAGGTTTCTCTTTGCTCAAATCAGCTGAAGTGTTTATCACTTTGGGATAAAATCCTACATATGCCAAACTATCTCCATGAGAAAGAATGAAAGAATGGAACTGGAAGAAATTAAGAAAATGACAGAGGGGCCAGGAGCGGTGGCTCACACCTGTAATCCCAGCACTTTGGGAGGCCAGATCACTTGAGGTCAGGAGTTCAAGAACAGCCTGGCCAACATGGTGAAACCCCATCTCTGTTAAAAATACAAAAATTAGCCAGGCGTGATGGCGGGCACCTGTAATCCCAGCTACTCAGGAGGCTGAGGCAGGAGAATCACTTGAACCCAGGAGGCGGAGGTTGCAGTGAGCCGAGATCATGCCATTCCACTCCAGCCTGGGTGACAAAGCGAGACTCTGTCTAAAAAAAAAAGAAAATGACAGAGGGAAGACAGTGATAGGAAGTGTGAGAAAAGCTGAGGTCCTGCTGCCCATTTGATTTTAGGGTTTTTTTGGTTTTTATTTTCTCATTTATCTATTTTTATTTTATGCCATAGCAACTGCCAATGCCTGGCTAATGTGGAACCACCAGTACAGCCTACCTTTTAGCTGAGTACTACAGAAGAAAATTCTGCAAGCACAGTCACGTCTTACATGGCCACTAGCAAACATCAAACAATTCAGCATAATGTAAGTACAAACAGTTTTATGAGAAATGCTAAAATGTTACCAGCAACCAAAATAATGGTCCAGGCTTTGAACAATGATTCAATTTTAAATCCTTAAAAACAATGCAGCAGTCTGCAAGTAACAACATTCTCAGAAGAAAATCTCTTAAAGGATTCAGCTAATGCATATGGATGAACCAAAGTCCACTGAGACTTAAAATAATTTTCAAAAGATTCAAGATGAATATGATATAGTTTAAATAGTTCTAACAATTTGCATTAATAAGTTCCAACAGCCCTTTGACCTCAAGCAGAGCTGCTTTCCTCCCCACACCACTCCCCACAAAAGAAATATTCAAGTCATATTCCTTTCTTAAGGATTTATCAATGCAACATCATCCCCCTTGTTGCAAAAAAAAAAAAAAAAGTTGGTTCTTTTTACAGTTGCTAGCCATACAAAGCATGTAGTCTACAAGATTAAGGCTCTTTTATTTTTAAGGAATAGCAAGATGTTCTGGTATGCAAATATAAGCAACTCTCTGTCTACGTCAATGCAGAACACAGACTCAGACGAACCAAAGGTCTGCAACACCCCAGCTCCCTTTTATGAGGAAAGTCCCATGAGCTCTCATCGTTGACAAAAAAACACAGCCTACTCTCAGCGGCCTGAGAGTTGATGCATATGAGTGAATCTGTCCTGGTCACTGTTTTCTCGCAATATTTTTTCACTCATTGCTCATGAGGTACTCAGCAATACCAGGGCTTTGGCACCAGTAAACTTTCAGGTTACAGGTAGATGATCTACATTTAGGCAAGAGAAATAATAAAAATTGGCAAAAATTTTGCATTCACTCTTCAACCTACTCAAATCTGATTTCTGTTTATGAAACATTCTTCAACGGGTCCAAATCACCCCCAAATTGCAAGCTCCCAATCTCCAGTTGTTCAAGAAATGGTACTGAGTATATAATACAAACCAGACACTGGATATAAGGATAAGTGGCACAGGTTCTCCCAAAAACACTTATAAACTTTTGAGGAATTGGGGTGTGTAAATCAATAAGAGTACACAGTGTAATAAGTGCTACAAAAGACATATTTTCAACATACTGTAGTTATTGCATAAAAGTTTCAACAACTCCACTTGGTCAGAAAAAAAAAAAAGGCAAATAACGAATGGCAATCTTAATCTTGTGAGTACTTAGAGACTCCCTGGGCACTGTGCTATGAGTTTGAAGTGCCCACAGCACATTCTCTCTTCCCATCCTCACAGCGATCCTATGAAGTGGGTATTTTAAGGCCCACTGTACAGACAAGAAAGCTAAGCCATGCAGATGTTGATAAAGTAGAGCTAGGAATCCCACCCACAGGTATGTAACTCTAGGAGGATGTGGCATCTGAACCAAGCACAAAAAGAGGGATAGAAAGGGGACAGAGGAAGGGCAAGAACTCTCCAATGACAAAAGCAAAGGCAGAAAATATTCCTGGTTTCTTTTATTATTGTGCAGGAAATTCAATGTTTACTTATCAAATTAGTCATGAATTCATATGTTGAAATTGCATCCTATCTAAAAAGTAATTCAACAATGTTGCTTTTTTCCATTCTTACATTGCATAGATTTTTCCCCCCGCAAACTCAACCTACGTGTCTTTTCATTATAAGAAAGAGCTACCTGGGAAGGTGATGTGCCACTAACAGTCTATAGCTGCTTGGTATAGAGAACAATTGCACAATAGTGAGAACAAATTAAGTTACGGAGAAAATATCTAAAAGAAGACCTTAAAAGATTAATACTTTGTACATCAACAGTGTTTTTAAGAGAGTGGTCTCTGAAGGAAAGATTTGAAGATTTTGAATATATGTTATATGACGCTCTTCTAAAGGATTTTTTTTTTTTTTGGTGGAATAGAAGGAACCTGATATTTAAGCTCATATAATGAATAAAATCCGGAAAGACTTTCAAGATTATTAAGAAATAAAAATGGACCGGGTGCGGTAGCTCATGCCTGTAATCCCAGCACTTTGGGAGGCCAAGGCGGGCGAATCACGAGGTCAGGAGATCGAGATCATCTTGGCCAACAGAGTGAAACCCCGTCTCTACTAAAATACAAAAAAAATTAGCCTGGCGTGGTGACACACGCCTGTAGTCCCAACTACTCGGGAGAGTGAGGCAGGAGAATCACTTGAACCCGGGAGGTAGAGGTTGCAGTGAGCCAAGATCGCGCCACTGCACTCTAGCCCAGTGACAGAGCAAGACTCCGTCTCAAAAAAAAAAAAAAAAGAAAAGAAATAAAAAGGGTTTGTTAAATATAATGTATGTCAATCTAATTTGTTTTGACCAAATCACATACAAATCTCCTAAAGAAATACACTATTATATCATTAAGTACACTAACGATTCTACCCTACAGAACAATTTTCTTAAAAAACTGGAATTGTGTGACATTACAAATCACAACCACTAGGTGGAATCTCAATTACTGTCGTTCAAGAATCAGGAAGACCATCTATAATAACCTAGTACTAACTGGAAAGACAAGAACTTCTCTTGCTGGGCTATGAAGGATCAAATTCTGTTTTCTTGAAGATGTCAAAAAATTTTACTGGAGATGACACCAAATTCAAGGGGAAGATAAGCAAATGTTGGAAAACAAAATTAGAATCTAAGAGCATTTCACCCAAATGGAGGTTGAAGAAATAATCTCAATGAAAGATTAAAAAATTTTGGAAGGAAAACAAGCCCTATGAATCAAATATAAATAACAAATGAGATGTTTACATAGAAATAGTACACAGGTATGACAAAATAATCATCCCTTTTACAATAAATAATTCAAGATGGCTAATAGCAGTCTTCATTCCTGGCTCCATGAGAAAAGTGATTGATATGGAAAAGATTCAAGGCAAATTCAGCAAATGTAAAGGAATGAAGTGAGCAGCTACAAAGAATGGGTACAATTATGGAAACTGTGTTTAAACTAGAGAAGGCTTGCCTACTCAAACTGTAAGTTACTGTGTAAAGGCTTAACAAGTTTCATAAAAATTTAAGATCAAAATAAAGGAATCATTTCTAACAGCAGAGTCCTTCCCTGAAAAAGAAAGTTTCAGAAGAGAAGTCAGTTATTATGTTTTAAAATATAAGGATCAAATTGGATCCTCAGGTGGATTAGGATAGATAGGAACTTCTCAGAGGCCTCTCCTGGTCTATGCTAGGATAACACCACATACAACCAAGAACCCACAAAGGGACCTTACCCAGGCAAGGCCATTCACATAATTAACAATCTCCTCTAGGTGACAAAGAACAGTGGGCTCCATGATCACTAACCAGGATATTTCAAAGTCACAGAAATTAAGAAGGAAGAAAAGGAACTCAGAAAACAGACACACTACAGTGCAGGGCAATAACCCAAGAATAAATAGGAAACACTAATGTTAATTTAAAGCCATTTGCTTCTGTTTACATGATTAATCTTTTTAAGGTAAAAAATCTCCTTAATCTTCTTTACTGATAATCTTTTAAACAGCACCAACAACTTGTTCTGCAACTAACAGGAAGCTCATGCAAAATTCAATAGCTCTGCCTAGTTTAGACTGGAGCTAGCAGGATATTCAAATCCTGAGAGGTCAGTTCAACCTACACAGTGAAGAATATTAGCTCAGCTTCTGAATGCAGCACTGCCAATTTCTTTTGATTTCTGTTTTACTTCATTTCCTTTGATGACAGAGCCCACACTTAACAAGCACAGTGAATCTTGTTAACACCACAATTTTTCCTCTGCCTCTCCTTCGTTCTTCACCCACTTCTTTCCCTCTTGGACCCACACCGTCTTTCACTAACAGGTTGGAAATCTGGGGACCACAGCAGGGTTTCCCAGACAAGAAATACCTTTCCAGTGTCCTCACAAAGCCTTTCCCCATCTACAAACAAAGCTTTGTCATGGCTCAAACCAGGTCATTAACTCATCCACTAAGTTTCACTTACCTTTTGGAAGGATCTTTCTGAAGACACAGTGAAAGTAATTTTCTAAAGGACTTGCCGTACTTTTTCATCATTTCTTTATCCTCTACCCCTGTTTCCAAAGTGGGTGGATCATTTTGCAAAGTCAACATTAACACCTGCAGCAGAAACAAACATGAAGACAGAATCTCAGTATAGCAATTGCTACAATCTAGTTTTGAATTTTTCATAAAAGTGTAAAAAACCATCCTTGATTAGATACAAAGTGCTTTCCCATGATTTTAACTTTGCAGAAATTGTGTATTTAAAGTATTCATTACCACTGCAAATGTGTTCATGCCCCCTTTAACCTTTTTGTTATTCCATTGACAGAACTTACAAAACTTGCTCTATGTGTTAAGAATGATCCCGGACAGAGCTTTCTGGGAACTGGCTCGTGTACTGCCTTGAGGAGCACGTAGCTCCAGCACAGGCTAGTTGGGAAAGCGGGTGGAGGAGAAGAGAGAGGGCCAGCGAGGCAGTGACTGTTCATGTATACAGGTCATTCATAAGTAAGGAACTGCCTGTACTCAAGGCTTCTGTAACACATTACTAGCCCTAAAAATAAAACCACAACATCCCAGGAGGTAACATGATTTCCTTTAAAAAAATGAGAAAACATACAGAAAATTGCTAAAAGGCTTGGCAAAGCTGAGAGAGCAGGACACTGAAGGATAGCCAGAATATAACTGAGTTGCTAAAAACTGTCATCAAATCCAAAGTCCTTGCTGCTTTCGGAGGGGGACAAAACAAAATAAAATACAACTTTAAATCAAAACGGTAAAAATTCCACTCTTTCATACTAACTTCAAAAGTATTTGCTTTAAAAAAAAAGTGGAAAGTGTAGAAAACTACTAGCCTGTACAATCAATAAAACTCATTAATGCATAATTCAGCCTTAATTTATGCAAATGCTATACATGTCAAGCCTCTTTTCAAACACTTTCAGATGTGTGAATAGATGAAGCGTGAAAGTGACGGCTTATTGTTTGTGGAGGATAATAGCCCACAGGAGAAAGCGGGAGACTGGGAACTCTGAAGAAAAGTCCTAGAGGACGTCAGGCTGGGACAAGCAAGTGCGACTTTGAATTCAGGTGGGAAACACTGAGAAGAGGCAAAAGAAAGAAAATGAAGAAAGAAAAACTGAATAAAAGAAAAAATCCTTCAGCATTACTTCAGTGCTTTTTCTCCAAGAGGTCACTTCAATTGTTTACGCTTCAATTTTAAATTTTCTGCTAGCAAAATCCGGTATATGTACCCACACACACACAAATACACTAAAATCCTAACTATGTTAAAAAAAATTTATATATATATATATAAAAACAATAAAATGAATTACACTGAAACCTTAGTAGAGATTGTCTGGTTGATGAGATTACGGATGATTGTTTTTCTTCTTTAGTCTGAGTTGCACATCCAAACTTTCTACAATATGAGTATACTACTTCTTTTAATCAGTAAAACTCACTTTTTATTCTTGGGTTTTTAAAATAAATCCTCCCAAATTTTTCCAGTAACCATGAAACAATCATAGACCATACTCTATGTAAAATAGCATTATAATTTCACTAAACTATTTCAGCCTCAAAACAAAATCCAGTTGGGTAAATAAGCCCTGATACCACTATCTCAGAACTAAGAGAAATAATGAGGTATAAACCAGTTAAAAGAAGAGCAGAAACGTGAAAATAGCATCCTAAAAACACTGTGGCTCACTTATATCAGATCAGTTGCCAACATTACACTATAAGAGCAGGGGTAAAAATGTTGTAGTCCACTTAAAAAGAAAGAAAAAAAAAAGCTCTGAAAATCTGGGAAACCCATTTGCAGAGATGACATCACTATAATCTATTTTGAGATATTCTCTGGGAACCTGGCGTTGTTCTGCTATCAAAAGAGTAATGACCAGCATTTGTCATAGCTATCAACCTCCATCAACCAATCTGATAACATTATTTTCTTAACTCTGTGCTGAGACTATAAAGCAAGCTTCAAAGCTGGGAATTATGCTACTTTTGTCCTATTCTGTCCACTGAGAAAATCAGACAATGTTCAACTTGGCTGCGTTCCTCCATTAATTCTCCTCGGGTCTAAGAGAAGAATGAAGATGTTGAAGAGAATTAGAAAACAGATTCCGTCCAATCACATTTCAACCCCGATGTAGTATTTCCAATTGTAATTACTTTCATGGGAGGATATTTGTGATAAGGCGCTGCTCCTGTTGCTAATTCAATGGCAGTTATTCCAAAACTCCACATGTCAGCCTTGAAGTCATAGCCTCTCACCTAAGAAAGAAAGCAGGAAAAAAACACAATCATACAGCAGGCATGTTACACATCATCAAGTCCATGTCATGTCAGAAATCCACAGCTGTTGATGTATAACTTTCACGTTAGTTTGCTAATTAGCTAGCAATTGAGAATTAAATCTTAGTTACATTATGCATTCTACTAAAATGCTAGATACAAATGAAATGTTAGCATATTAATGATCTGTACGATTGTACTATGTCCATCAAAAAGTCACTTTTTTTGTTTTTTTACCTGTTCCATGACTTCAGGAGCCATCCAACATGGGGTGCCAACGAATGTTTTTCTTACTTTATTTCGGGTAACATCACCCCCTGTTGCTAGGAACGCACTTACCCCAAAATCTGAAAGGGAAAAAAAAATCACCTTTATTTTATGTAAGACATTATTGCTTATAAATTGTGATTTTTTGAGCATGTCTCTTCTTTGTGAGCTTTACAGTGGTGATGAACTATTCCAAACATGTCTACGGTGCTCTCTCAGGAAAAAAAAGGAAGACCTGCCCTCTGCTATCCCCTACACCTTGGAGAATACCATCGCTGGTAATGGGCCACAAGCCTGCCGGTCCAAAAGCTTAGCATACCAAATTAAATATAAAGGGTGTTAGCTTTTAGCTGAGGTATATAAAGATAAGATATATAAAGCCAACATGCCCGAGTATGTCCATATGCAAAAAAGCTTAGTCAGCAAAGACTGATTTTCTGGACAATTTTCATAAGTACAGAGGCAATGGATTGTACAAGTAAATAATATTTTTCTTAACTTTAACTCATTATATATAGAAGTTAATTTTATAAGAAGATGAATTAATTAGGCATACTGTACAGATTGAGCATCCGGAAATGCTTGCGACCAGAAATGTTTTAGATTTTGGATTTTTTCTCATTTTAAAATACTTGCATTATATACTAAACTAGTTAAGTACCCCTCATTCGAAAACCAGAAATCTGAAATGTACCCGTGAACATTTCCTTTGAATGTCACCTCACATTCAAAAAGTTTCAGAATTTGGAACATTTGAGATTTCACATATTCTGATTTAGGGATACTCAACCTATATATACATACAGGCACATGTGTAAAAATTCTATTTGTATGTACAGTACAGAAGGGAATGCCTGGCAATTATTAACGTACTATTCTTGCTTTCATTTTTACACAGTGGTTAAAAGTAGTTGATAAGTTAAAGTACCAATTACTCAAGACTAGTGTACCTATCAATGATAGCCAGGTCAAGGACTACTTGATAGCGAGCTGGTGGGTAGTAATAAAAACAGGTAGGCAACACATCAAAACACCACAGCGCAATGTGCAGTCTGAGCCCCTGCAAATCGCTCTCATACGCTTTTCCTTTGCGAGTCCCCCTTGTTGGCTGTCAGGGTGACAGCAATTACCAAAAAACACCCTCAAGTACAAACCAAGGTCAAAATGTATTAGCATTTGCTGTAGGCCTATAAGGTTAGTTTATGCAATTGTAACTTAATAACATTGTAACTGGTTTCCTGAGTAGAAATACATTGAATGTTGCATTTTATTTATATTTAAATTTACTCATACTCCCAACAGGATTTCAACTACAAATAAAAGGAATGAAAATTGACAAATGGAGTCTTTGTTCCAACTGCTACTCTCATGTTCATATTGAATAAAAGTATATATGTTTAAACTGCTAAATAACTTAATATGCATATATGTTTCCAACTCTAAAGCCCTTTTAATTCTTATACTGCAGCCAGAAAACTGAAGTCTTGTGAAAAGAAATCTCTGGAACCAGTCAGTCTCCTGTGGGTGGGAGAAGATACAATTCATTCTCTTAGAGAAGAGTTAGGTGAATTAAAATATTTGTAAGCATCTACTATATCTGCTGGAAAAAATATATATGATAAAACTTTGAAAGCTACTAATTTCAACTTAATTTATATTTCTAAAAAGAAGTTCAACGATGAATCCAACATTTCATTTTTATTAAAATGATTTTATAATATAATATGAAATAAATACATATCATCTATAAATTAAGGATACAGGTAAAAGCTGCTTTAAGGAAAAATTGATTATTTTAAATGCAATTGAAGCAACTCTGCACCCTAAAGTCTCTTCCTAAAAGACATAATCCAGGTAAAAATCCATAGTTAACATTAGATATATTTCCACTTCCTTAAAAATACTACCTGCTTACATTACACATTTTAAAAAGTTAGAAAACAGCCGAAAAAGATGTATAGTAGCCATTTATTATTGACAATACCCTTTCAATATATCTGTAATGATACATACATTCAGAGCCTCCACTTTGAACACTCACTTTAAAGTCATAAACAGATGGCTAAATGTCTTTAAAACTCAGAACAAAAATTTCAGGAGCAGAAAACAACAATCCTAATATCTACTCCCTCTATGACTACAGAAGAAATATACAATTTGCTCCTATGTACGGCTGATGTGTATACAGATTATATGTACTCAGTAACAGAACATTTTGAGCAAAGTACATAGTGTGCTTATGTTATATACACAAAAAATTGGTATATTATATTGAGATAGCTTGCATATGACAGTTAGAACAAGGTGGCAGAACTGTAACAGTGAAAAGCTGTCCTTGTTTCCTAAGGGGTACATCTATACAGCCAAAGGGAATGCAGCCAGATTCACTTGGGTACAAAACCACAGACATTTCTCTAGAAACACAGAATCAAAGGCTACACATAAAGTTAGCCAGTCCATCTCCCTGCCTCCAGGAATAACTGGAGGATATGGGTAAATGCTGCTTTAAGAAAAACAACAACAACAACAAATAATGCTGTCATCCTAATAACAAAAAGGGTCTAAGACCTTCTGAATCCATCCACTTCTTTGCTCCTCCACAGCCACTGCCTTCATTTAATCCACCACTACTTCTTGCTAAGATTTCTGCAGCAGCCTCCTAAGTTCCCATCTCCCTTCTTTCCCCAGATCCAGGCTCCAGCAACCAGGCCTTTCTATGTCACAGGCCTGAGCCCTCCTTAAAAGACTTTCAGGACAGGAGCGGTGGCTCATGCCTGTAACCCCAGCACTTTGGGAGGCCAATGCAAGTGGATCACGAGGTCAGGAGTTCAAGACCATCCAGGCCAACATGGTGAAACCCCATCTCTACTAAAAAAATACAAAAAATCAGCTGGGCCTGGTGGCACGCGCCTGTAGTCCCAGCAACTCTGGAGGCTGAGGCGGGGGAATCGCTTGAACCCAGGAGGCGGAGGTTGCAGTGAGCTGAGATCATGCCACTCCACTCTGGCCTGGCAAGAGAGCAAGACTTTGTCTCAAAAAAAAAAAAAAGTCTTTCAAGGCTCCCTGTCCCCTCAGGAAAAAGTCAAAATCCTTCAGCATAACACGTAAACCTATATCACTACTCTCAGATTCAGACAGTAAGCTCCAGCCTACTGAATGACTTACTTTTTATTCCCTGATCCCATCACCTCCTTGGCCTCACCAGCATTGCCCTTGCACATGATGCTTTGTCGTCTAGGTACATCAACCCTCCATGCTGAACAGGTGCACCAGCAGAAGGCTTTCTGCATGACCTTGTTAATGACACAGCATCTCCGGCACCCTGGCTCTTGGTGAGTAATTTGATGTGCATTCATCACCTTTGCGTAATTTGATTTCAGTAACATTGGTCATGGTCTAGTTTTGATGTGTGAATGCTACTAAGCCTTGAGGAGGATCTGCAGGTATGGTTATCTGATTTGGAGAGTGGCAGATCTACTAGGAAACATTACAGGACTAATGGGCAAGATCTGAGTGTTAACAGTGATTAGGCCTAAGGCTAGACTATTACCCAACTGTATGACTCCCGAAAGGGACTTAAACTTTCTGGGCCTTATTGGGCTTCTTATTTAGGCCTATTTTTATTTATTTATTTTATTTTTTTGAAACAGAGTCTCGCTCTGTCGCCCAAGGTGGAACATAGTGGCATGATCATGGCTCACTGCAGCCTCAACCTCCCATGCTCAAGCGATCCTCCTACCTCAGCCTCCCAAGCAGCTATGACTACAGGCATGTGCTACCATGCCCATCTAATTTATTTTTATTTTTTGTAGATATGGGGTCTCTCTATGTTGCCCAAGGTGTTCTCAAACTGTTGAGCTCAAGCGATCCTCCTGTCTCAGCCTCCCAACGTGCTGGAATTATAAGCATGAGCCACCATGCCGAGCCTCAATTTCTATATTACTTTCATATTTATAAGACTCATTTTTTTTTTTACCATGTATGACTATTCTTTATAACAACTGTTAGGTAGATCGATAAGCTACTCACTGCCTTTTCATAAGCAAGGCAAGCAGGCTGAGGGGATAAGCATAAATATTTTACAGTGGCAGAGATAAAATAGGAGAAGACATGTTTCTTGACTTCAACAATATTTGTCGGGCATGATAGTTCATTAGGTGGGTGCGGTGGCATGCAACTGTAATTTCAGCTACTCAGGAGGATGAAATGGGAGAATCGCTTGAGCCCAGGAGGTCGAGGACGCAGTAAGCCATGATCATGCCACTGCACTCCAGTCTAGGCAACAGAGTGAGCCCGTCTCAGAAAAAAAAAAAAAAGAATATTCCCACCTAAGTAGGATAAGATGTATAAAATCAAATACTATATTGTCTGTGTAGAAGCAGAGGAGCTATAACCATAATGGTCATAGAAGACTATCTCCAAAGTGGGTCTTGGAGCCAGCCTTCAAGATGAGGTGAAGACTTGGATGAGCAAGTCCAACAGGAAACAAATTCCAGACAAAGAAACGGCATGAGCAAAGCACAAGTGTGGAGCCAAGAAGAAAAACTGACAGCTGCAAGGGTCAAAAACTCAAAACACCTACAGCAGCCAGGCAGGAATACAATGGAGAAAAGAGGGTCCTGAAAAACAACAGCTACAGTCTCAGTGACAAGGGCCCTTGATGCTCAGTCTCTGTGACGGGAGACTTTAGGAGTGCTGGGCCCTGTGTGAAGCCCTGGAGCCCACTGTCAGCACCCTCCCACCAAGGTCCAAGGCAGGCCCCTGCTGCTTGGCACCAGAAGAAAGTTGCCATAGAGAAATGTAGACCCAGGATTGCTGGATATCCCAGTTTTCCCAAAAAAGCCAAACATTGGAATCTTTATGAAAAAGCTCCCTTTCTTACTGTAGTTGGCAACAAATTCATTTTTAAAAAAATAGAAAAGCGATTTCTCCTGCCTAATTTAGTCCGCAAAACTAAAGTCTGCCAACTGTGTGGTTATGATGTCTAAAATGTACCTAAAATACTTCAACATATGCCATGTGATATTATGTTTGTGATACCACAACCTAGGTGGTCAGCTGGCATTCTAACCAAGAATGTCCAGTGCTGGGGGGGTTCTGATAGCACTCGACTCAGGATGCCAGAGGCAGCTGCTGGAAGTATTTCTATTATCCAAATCTAAATATAGATGAGCATAAGCCAGGTGACTGATTGTCCAAAGGGGTTATTATTAGGGAAAACAGTGACCTGTTGAGAGGTATGATACATGTTAGAAATGGGCTTTCACTGCTGAAAATAAAGGTTCTTAGCACCAGAGAGTGGCTAAAATATTTTAGATATACTCCTTACTCTTGCATGAACAGAATAAAACAATCCAGTCCAGTCCAACTGTAGACTATACCCTAGCCAGTTCTGTGGATGGTTGGATTCCTAGTAGCAAGCATAAGGATAAAGCAAAAACTGCATCTGGAATCTTGGCATGTCTGCCTCTAATGAATTTTTCATTCACCTATGAGGAAAAAGAACTGGGATTTCCTTGAGCTTACAGAACAAATTGTGAGAACTGTTTAGGGGCTTGCTTGCTAATGAAGGGCAAAATTTGGTCTGAAAGTTGATTTCTCTAAAACCTGTAAGGGAAGCTGTGGGTGAGTACCCAAGCCTCACCTACCTCAAACTTCTACAGTATCTGCTATTCTCTTTGAAAAGGAACCTGAGTTGTGCATGAACAACATTGACTCTCTTTGATCAGAGAGTAACGGGATCAATGTTTGAGAGTTCAGAGCTTCCTAAAATGTAGCTACAATGAGTTAAAAGAGACACTGATGCCTAAGTGGCTGGGTGGGAGTCTGGAGCAATAGGAGCCCCCATAGCTTCAGGGGACCCTGAGAGTTCTTTCCTACAAGCAGCTTCTTTTCCACAGAGGCCATTATTTTTAAAAGCAGGGAAGTACTGGGTGAGATTGTTGAGGGGCCCAACCAACCACAGAGTCTGAGCACCAGGTAAGGGAATTTGTACCTGATTCAATTAACAGCTGTTGTTCCCTCTCTCGTTAGAGAAGAACAACATTTGGAAAAAGTGACCATGCAGGGATGTTCAAGAAAGGAAAAAGACTAGAAGCAGAGAAGACCACAACCATAGCCCAGGAGCAAAATCAACAGAGCCTGTATATGAATAGAGAGGTTGGAAATGGAGAGGATTAGACCAATTCTTAAGAAAATACGATGATTTAGTAGATATTGGAATTAAGAAAAGAGGAAGGAATAAAAAGATTAGATGACTTGCCAAGGAACACACAGCAAGTTATCGAAGGTCTGAATAAAATTCACAGTCCTTCAGAAAGGAGTCAGCCACTTAGCCCTAGTCTCCTCTTCCGGAAAGTTCAGTGTATTTTTCTTTATTGAGAAGGAAATGCAAAATGCAATAATGGGGTTAAGATTCCGCAACTCCTAAGCTCTTCTCTGAGTAAAGATCAAGTTGTGATTACCCAACACAGAAAAACTGGTTTGAGGTTCACTGGTTAATCCTAAATGTCATATTTATATCATGAAAACCTATCTCTTTATAATTTGGTTTGATTCCCAGTTGTTGTTTTTTTCTCATGAGAGACTCTCAAGACTTGACTGACAAAATTGAAATGTTCTTCTAAACACCCGGGAACATTTTCAGGGCTGCCAGCATCCGGCCTTCCCGAGTCCCACAGGTTTCCTTAAAATGTTATACCACCAACGTTGGATGATTAAAGAAGTACATTGTGACTTCAGTTATGCAAACTGTATAATAATGAGTAGAAAACAGAAGCAAATATTTTCTTAATTCTGTTGGGAACAGACTAAAGAGAGCATTTTTTTTAACCATGTATTTCCTTATTTTCATATTATTTTTGTACTAGGATGTGTGTCAGTGGTGCAGCACCTACTTATGCCCGGTACACATGGGTGTGCACAATTGTGTACATGCACGGAGTGGGTTTAGATACCACAGGCTAACAGAGTTTTGATTTAGACATAATCCTGGCCTTGCAGTGAGAGCTAACATGGGGGAATATATTAACTAAAATAGAATGACTATGACATGACCTAAACAACATAAATACAAGAAACATGCTAATGGGCCCAGTATACTACACTCAGCACTAAAAGCACCATCTTCTGCTGCTAATTCCCAGGGCCCTTTCACCCGATTTTCTTGGTGAAAGAAGAAAAACACAGACCAGGGAAAGTCAGGGCTTTAGCAGTTAGCAGTTACAGAATCAGAGGCATGCCTCTTCCAACTGCAATCCAGACTTACTTATTACATCCAGATTAATCTTCCTAAAGTGCAGTTTCTGATCATAGCACTCTCTGGTCAAAATCCTTCTCCCTCCAGGGCATTTGAGAATAACAAGAAAGCTCATCCTAGGCCATAATTCAGCATTTATATGGAAGCCAACAGGATTCTAGTATTGTTTCCTTCTGATTGCAATGCTTATTCAATTATGGTATACTTTAGCAAAGTGCTTTCGCTCCCTTAACTGACCAAATCACCATTTCTGCTTTAAGTTTATGTATAATTAAATCCAGCCTTTGGATACTAATACTTCTGTTTGTTTTCTTTTTGTTTATAGAGGAAATAGGCACAACTTTTTTCCTGGAGCCTGACCATCATCAGAATGTCACCAGACCTCTGGGCACTGAAAGCCAACTCTGAGTGCAAACTGGGAGGGCCACCCCTTCCCTCCAACCTACTAGGAAACCCTGCAATCCAAAGCAGGAGAAAGCTTTCTGCTGTCCTGACTCAAAGGAGGCAGAGGGATAACTTAAGTCTTCCAGGTGGACGTTGCGCTTCTGGGCACCTGCGCTGTGCTCAGCAGAACACAGCATAGCTCAGAGCAAGAAGAAGAGCAGAAAGCTCAGCAGGACAAGTCAAGATGCAACAAGACCGGCAGCAGCAGCCACCCACACTCACTGAGCTGGCTTCCTTCTTGAAATAATGCCACTTTGCACATAGGAGTAGTTTTCCTTCTATTATTATAGTGGTATTCCAGCACACCCACGGCCAAAGAGGCCAGATAGCAACGTGTGTGATGTAACATATGTGGCCCCTATTCAGAGGCATACTGTGGGATCCTGATTCTAGTAAGTCTGCCATCAATAATCCCTAAAACTAACAGAAAGAAGACAGGCTGCAAGGGAAGACACAGTGCATACAAAGGAGCCATGTTTCCGCTCCAAAGAGGTGCTTTAAAATTGAACAGGCCTGAATGTTAAGTCCCAATGACACTCCCTGCTCGTTTCCTTCTTTGAGCAACAGGTCCTCAAGCTTTACCATGAGGAGCTTAGAATATGATAACTTCTCAGTATCAGTTCTTGGAGCACACACTGTTGGCTGACTACCCAACATCCATATCCTGTTCTTTCCTACCAGAATCTTGATTTTGTTTGCCAGGCCTTGGGAGATTCACCTTATTGATATAAGCCAATAATGGCATATGGTTCTTTTTCACCAGTGAATGGTCTGTGGCTCTGCCCTAGTCCTGACCTGTAAGATCCAAAGGTAGTAATACAGTACAGGCCCTTGCAGTGAAGTTTTTCTCCTGAATAAAATAACCATCCTACAGGGCTCCTTTGCTCCCCATTCTCCTTCCTGTTTGAGAATGGTCATGTGAAGAGGTGATGCTGGCAGTGATGACAGCCCATGAAGATGTGATGTATGGGAGTGATACAGCCCATGCTGGCAGGTGCTGCCCAATCCCCACTGGCAGTGCAGAAGTGGAAGAAGGAAAGAGTCCATGACCTCTGTGACATCTCTAGGTCCCCTGCACCAACTATGAAACCAAATGCCCAGACTTCTTGCTACGTGAGATAATTAACGTTTCTGCTGCTTAATCTCCTTTCAGACCAGTACTCTGTTATTTGTACCCAAAGCCTTCTTAACTCTTACAGTCTCCTGCCTTTCCTCAGTCTAGCCACACTGATTCACACTTCCTGACTGCTAAGGGTTAACCATTGCATCAGAGGCCAAAGTCACTGCAATCCCCAAAAGGACTTGGTAAAAAATTAGCAAGAAAACCGTTTAGCACACAGTGCAATTTTGGATTTTAAAACAGCTCCAGTATCAAGCATGGCTTTTCATGCCAGAAGCACAAATTAAAATAAGTAAATGCAGAGGCATCTCAAGGGGGAAGAAAACATACTGCAAGAAGAATCTAATTCGCTTTTTTGCCAGTAGTTGCTGCTGGGGCTATATTTACATAAACCTACACCAAAGAAAATAGCACACTTCTAGGAAAATAGGAAACAGAAGTAAGTTCGACATCCTAGTCTAGACCCTTGTAATTCAAAGTGGGGTCCATAAACCAGACCAGCATTACCTGTGAGGCTTTAAATGCAGAATCTTGAGTCCCACTCTAGACCTACTGAATCAGAATCTGCATTGCAGCAAGATCCCCAGCTGACTTGAACGCACATCGAAGAAGAGAAGCACTACTCTAGATTACTGTCCTCCTAGCAGGCACTATGGCGTGATTCAGTGGGACTGGAAGATCTCAATGCACAGCCAACTCCACAGGTTCCTCTTTCACCTCTCAGATGAAGAGAACCATGGCAGTCGAGGAAGCGTAGCAGGAAAAAAGTAGTTAAGTGTGCATGTTCATGTATCTTATGACACAGTTAGTCCAAGGGCAATTCTAAAAACATAAATCATATCCCACACAGAATTGTCTAACCCAGCGATTCTCAACTATGTCTCATATGTGCAGTAGAATAAATTCATATACATGGCACACCTCTTTGGGAATACACAGATTTTTATGAAATCTTTGTTAAGTGCATGAAAATAATTTATAATCACAATACTTACTAACAGTTTATCAGTAACAGTTGCTCACTGCAGGTGTGATGGTACTGGGAGAGAGGCTATAGGTAAACATGATTCTTTGCACAGATTTATGTGGCACTACTCCTTTCTCTCTCATTTGTGAAAACCTCTAATGAATTGTGTAAGGGTGATATCAGGTTGGTGCAAAGGTAATTGCGGTTTTAAATTAAAAGCAATGGCAATAACCACATTACCTTTGCACCAACCTGATATCATATTATTAGAGTGATAACCTTGAATCTGCTTACCTTTTAAGCAAGTCAATAAATATGTTGGCACTTTACTATTAGTAATCAGTTATTCACACACCACTACATATTGGGACACACCACCCATCTTGCTTGGGAGAGAACCTGGTACCCCAAGAGGAACCATGTAGAACCAAAGAGGTTCTTCTGACACCCTCACTCCCACCCAATCCCTTCCCCTCACCCCACATCAGGCTCCTGGTTTTCATTTCTATTTATTCCTTCTTGAAAGCAAATGGTGCTCAATGGCCTTGTTTGGCTCTATATGCCATGGGCCCCAACCATGGCATGGTGTCCAAGTCATTCACAGTCAAAAAAACATAATCCTACAGTATTTCCTGAGTCTAGGCCCTAGAGAGTCACTTATCAAATGCTCTAGTCACTTATCAAATCCATCTTCCCTATCTATTAATGAGGGAGCAGTAGTCATAACCTTCTTTGAAACATCAGAGAATGACAGTTTCACAGCCTTTTCTGACAACAAAAGAAGAAATCATAAGACAGTCCATAAAGGTAGAGTTTCATCTTTTAAAATAAAAGAAACACAAAGAAGCAAGCCTTCCCATGACTGGGGTCTCATATGTAGACTCTTGACATTGCCATCAACCAGTTTCCTTCAAATAGGCTACATCCTTTGCACCTTCTACAAGGAATCAAATCAATTCACGATAGAAAAATTGAAAGAAAAATTCAGGCCAGGGACGGTGGCTCACTCCTGTAATCCCAGCATTTTGGGAGGCCGAGGCAGTCAGATTGCAAGGTCAGGAGATCGAGACCATCCTAGCTAACACGGTGAAACCCCATCTCTACTAAAAACACAAAAAATTAGCCAGGTGTGGTGGTGGCACGTGCCTATAGTCCCAGCTACTCGTGAGGCTGACGCAGGAGAATCGCTTGAACCCAGGAGGTGGAGGTTGCAGTGAGCCGAGATCACGCCACTGCACTCCAGCCTGGGCGACAGAGTGAGACTCGGTCTCAAAAAAAAAAAAAAAAAATTCAACAGGATTCTTGGTAAAAACACAGAAGCTGCTACTCCCTCCCCAATTCCTCAGCCATTCTCTCAATCAAGACACCACAGGCTTAAAAGGGACAAAAAGAATAAGTGGTGGTCAATGCCAATTATATTTGGCTCAAAGTTCAGTTGACTGATACAGTCAATTAGCCACAGCAGTGGAGAGGACCAGTTGAACAAAATGGCAAACCACAGATAATCTGCCCATCTATGTCAGAGCTACAGAACCCTTGCCCCAAAGCAGGTGAATTTTCAGTAAGAAGTAGAGTCACTGGTCACACCTGGAGCAGCAACAGAAGGGAAGGCTGGAGCAGGAGTCCCAGCCCAGATGTGCTGAAGGTTCCAGGCCAAGAGACAGCTTTTTCAAGAGTTCACTAGTGGTCAACTTTCTATTAAATAAGATAATTACACTGAACAAAGGAAAAACACAGATAATTCCCACACCACATATCCATTCTTCCCTGGATCCCCAATGTGGGGTGGGAGGACTATTTTTAAAGATGCTCTGGTAAAAGCAGCCACAGGACAGAGGCTTGGCTTACTCTCCTCTCTACACCCAAGACAATCCTCTGATTTGAATTCTTCAAAACAGTACTGAGAATGTCTTTAAGTGACTGCAGCTAATGAAGGGTTATTTGAACATTTTGATGCAAGATAGGTCCTTGGAGAACATCTTGTCAATCTTCCTTACTTTACAACGGAAGGAACTGAGCCCCGGCGCTCCTCAACCGTCAAAAGGCATAGAGTTAAGAAGTATATTGGTGGGGTAGGGGTGAAACCTAATGGCAAGAAGCAAAAGTGAAGTCTGAGGAGATTTGAGAGTGAAGTGCTTTTATGACTTTCAGAATGACCTTAAACAAGTCCACAATTGCTCAGCAGTCCTCAGATGCTTCATCTGAAGGAACTATTGTGCTGAACTGACAGAGTTGCTGTAAGGAGAGCACCAGGTAAGTATATTATACAGGTATTATTGTTTCCCAAGCCAAAGGCAAGCTTCTAAAGTCAGCGAGGGCTCCTGGCCGGCCATATCCGCAGAGACAGGCATGAACAACTTAGATCAAATATTAATAAGTCTAAATTTCCAATGCAATATTCATATACCTGCAGGTGATCTTTTTTAAACAAATCTTCACTCAACCAGCACTACTATCAGAAGCTTCCATTAAGCCACAATAGCCCATCTGTACATGTTAAAAATATGATCCCTATGGGAGAAGATTAAAATAACACAACTCCAGTTGCTACAAGTATTTAAGGAAACAATGCACACCATTGTTTTACAAAGTTTTCAGAAGGATTAGTTGAATCTTCAAAGAATCTGCAGATTTCCAAATCTGTGATAAAAGAAAACCTCACACTGAAAACTCCTAACATTAAAGAGTCACTGAACTATTGCTCAATATTCTTTTAATCTAAATTTACTATATAGTCAGATGTTTATTAATTCATTTGACAACTATTTGCCAAGATCTTACTAAGTGCCACTTCCAGTTCTAAGTACTGGGACTGTAGACCAGAAACCCCTGCTCTCACGGAGCTGACTTTTAAGTTGGGGCAGGAGTAAGGGGGAGAGGTAAATACAGATAAAAGCAAAATTACAAAATATAATACATAGTAGTAGTTCTCAGACTTCAGCCTGCTTCAGAACCCTTAGAGGGCTTCTTAAAACACAGATTGCTGGGCCCTACCTCTAGAGTTTCCGATTCAGAAGGTCTAGGGTAGGAGAACACAAGAGTTTGCATTTTTATCAAGTTTATGCTGCTGCTGCTGCTCTAGGAGCACACCTTGAGAGAGCCACTGATAGAGAGTACGCTGATGTGTACAATAAAGAAAACAGAGCAGGGCAGGGAATACAAAATATGGGGTGGGGGGGGGTTACAATATGAGGCCTGGAAGTCTCACTGATGTGACACTTGAGCCAAGATCTGAAGGAGGTAAGGAAAAGAGTATTCCAGAAAGAAGGAACGGCCCATGCAAAGATCCCGGGGCAGCAGCATGCAAGGTAAGGAGGCCGATTTGACTGAAGAGGAAGATGTAAGAGTTGAAATCAATGACATAATGAGGGGCCAGATCTTGTAAGGCCTCACGAGCCACCTTAAGGATTTTGACTTTCACTCTGAAATGGCAAGGGGTTGGAGGGTTTTGAGGAAAGGCATAATACAAGTCAACTTAGTTTAACAGCATTAATCCAGATGCCGTGTAGAGAACAGACCACAGAGGGGCAAAGGCAGAAGAAGAGGTCCTTTTAGGAGACCACCATAATAATCCAAACAAGAACTGATGGGTCTGTGGACCAGGATGACAGCAGGGAGCTGATGAAATATGGTCAACCATAGGATTTACTAACATATTGGATAGGATGTAGGGTCCAAGAGAACGACAAGGATCGAGGAATATCAAGATTTCTGGCCCATTCAATAGAAGAATGGTTCTCCCACTAAAAGAACTGGGAAAGACTGTGAGAAGCACAGTTCAGGAGCACAGGGGTCATAGAGTTCTCTATTAAAGTTATCCACTTGTTAGAGTTGCAAGGAAATTTGAGAGCCTAAGCACATCATTTTACAGGTGATACAAACTATGGCCAGCAAAGGGTAAGGACAGTAAGTTAATGACCACTGGGGGCCTAGACTGGCTACTGTGTCCTCAAGTGTACTACATACAATCAAGTGTTAAATCATATTCCACAGAATGTAAACACAGGTTAACACTATTTAAATGTCCTAAAAATCTGTAATCAACATATGATACATGCAGTAACTTATAAGATGTTATTGACCAAAACCTATTTACAATACATATTTAAAATTTATCCCCATTACAACCTATTCAACTAGTCCTAATGTGGATAACTTAAGTTACCCAGGTATAGGCATTCCCTTCACACTTAACACATTTTTTAAATTTATATAGTTGACTGTTTAATGTGTCACCTAAACTCCATGACAGTAGACACAATGTCTCCATTGCTTACCACTGTGTCAGCTGAGAGGACTGTGCCTAGAACATAGCAAATGCTCAATAAATACCTGTCAACTAACCACTGAGGATACACTGAAACCAAACATCTAATGTTTACCTTTTCTCCCACAGAAGGAGCAGGCTATACAAATGGAGGTTCTGGGAAAAAGAAAAATAAACGAAAAAATAAGCAAAGGACCGAATTGCTCTGCTTTCAAGTCTAAAAACTCTTATTTTAGGCAGACCTCCATAGTATTTGGTAATATGTGAAATTTAATTTAATAATGAATTGCAGGCCCTTACAGGAAGGAAAAAAGAGAGGGAAGGAGGGAGACTGAGTCCCATCTGCCTCATGCCCCCCTAGACACTCTTCTGTGAAGCTCAACCCTGTCCCCCCTGCAGCTAAACGTGCAGAGCTGAGCAAAAATTCCAGCAGGAGAGTAGAGCAAAGTGGTTCTCCTCCACCGGGTTCACCCAGTAACATTTCCTTAAGCTGTTGCTCAAACAACTGCTAGCAGCTGTTAAAGCATGAGAAGCTGCTTACAATCTCCCCAAGTATTTCTCACTGATGGTGTGCAGCTGGAATGAAAAACTCAGTTTCCAGAACTGAGTACATTCTTGGTTCATTCTAGAGCTCTTATCAAATGTTACCATTTGTCGAGATACCAAAAATCAGGGAGCCACATTAATTTACTGTCCTTATTCACTTATGCCAAAAAAAAATTCATGTATGAGAATTTTGTCGTAATTCATCAAACCATAATTCACATAGTTATAAACTGTTCCTGAAACTCAAAACAAATATTTCGGTTCACTATAAAGCACTTGCACCCCCCCCACCCCAACAGATTTTAATTTTCATGTGTATTCTATTTTCTGAGTATAACCAGTTGCCTCTTCATTCATGTTCTCTGCTTCACTCTTCCTTAACTTTAGCCTCATGGCTTGCAGGCTAGGGCAGTGCTTGTCCAAAATCAGAAGTGATATTCCCCATTAAAAACTATTTTCAGCCTTTAAAATATGCAGTAGTATACATACCTAAATATTTAAAATATTTCTGCCTCCCTCCCTGCTAAGCTGATATATTCTTACTCATTTCAACTCTCAGCTATGCCTTACATCTGTTCTCTTTGCCACCAACAGGCACATGTACTTGCATAACCTGCTGCTGAGACAGGGTGTCTCCCGTGCCTCTAGGCAGAGTGCACTGACCCAAAGTTCAGGAACACCTGCCATGTATCAGGTACCATCTGGGAATGCTGCGATGAACAACACAGTTTCTCCCTCTGGGAAGTATCCAGTCTGAAGGGAAGATGGGAAAGTAAAGGCCCAATGTCAGTGCTGTGTCATAGGCTAGCTAGAGTATGGCCAGAACCCTTGCAAACCACCAGGGTGAGGGGCTTAACCTGGTGCAGGTGGGCATGGTGGAGGAAATGATCATGAAAGGTTTCTCAAGGAAAGAATTCTTCATGAATAAGTCATGAAAAGAAGTTACTCAGGTAAGAAAGGGGAACCCTGAACAAGAAGCTATAAGCATTTCAAGTCACAGCAGAAAGCACTTGCAGACATGACCAGAAAAACAGGCAGGTCCCTCATCTGCCATTAGTAGGAAGCTGGAGCTTTATTCCATCAACAATGCTTTATTCCATCAACAATGCTTATAAACTTTATGCAAGAGGAAGATACAGTCAGATCTACACTGCAGATTCTTCACTCTGGTGATATTGAGGAAACTGATGGGAAAAAGAAAAGAGCAAAATAACACGGCAGGAGGTCAGATGGAGTGCCTAAGGCCTCGCACCTCCCTAGCCACCGTGAGCTTACCACACCCTAAGTAATTAGAGGACACCATCCCAATTTCAATACGAAAGCAATGAGTTAGCAAATTCTAAAATAAAATGTGTTTTAACTCCTTTAATGCCGCAGTATATTCTCATTACACAAACGTGCAAAATGAGGCACAGAGAAGCTAAAGCTATAACTTGGTTACACAGCTAGAAGGAGCAATGCCAGGACTGAACTATGGCTGTCTGGTGTCAGAGCCCATGCTCTGGGCCAAGGTGCTCATAAATGTGATGACATCATTTCCTGATTGGATGCCTCCGGGGCTTTCAGCGCTTTCCCACACTAATCAGAAGCTGACTCCAGCGCTGCTCGGGTGCCTTGCTCAAAGCAGCAGCCTCTCTTCCCTACAACACAAAAAATAACTCTTAAACCCCTACCCTCCCCATCAAAGTGCACTTTATGAGGGCCAAAGGCCACAGAAGGAAAATGAAAGAACCTAGCAGCTATGGGTGTAAAAACTCAACCACCTTGCCCATCTTCCTCTAGCTCCTTAATGGATAACGCCTAAGTGACAGAAGCAAGTTAAGTTTCATTGCATGTTTTCCTAGCACTTTTAGTCATGGGGTTTTCAGTGTTCAAGATGCAGATTTAAAATGAAGATGTATTCAAGGCTGATAAGGATATTATCTCCCTCCCAGTAAATAAGAGATGCTACCCAAAGTTCTACCAATGTACCTTGGACAGTGAAAAACCCAGGGCATAAGCTTGATTTGAATGGATGCACATACGTGAGGCATTTTGATGGTAACTTTCTAGAGTTCCAGGCTGCTTTCGCTCAGTACCAGTTTTTATTTCTGTTATGTAAAACCAGGGAAGGGAAATTCACATTCACACACATAAGCACTGTCTTTGTGTATTGGGCCTACTATAACAAAATACCTTAGACTGGGTGACTTAAAAACAACAAAATCTTATTTATCACAGTTCTGCAGGCTGGGAAGTCCAAGATTATGGCATCGGCAGATTCACTATCTAGTAAGGACCCGCCTTCTTGTTTATAGATGGTGCCTTCTGTTCGTGTCCTCACATGGTAGAAGGGCACGGCAGCTCTCTGGGGCCTCTTTATAAAGGCACTGGCCCTACTCATGAGGGTTTAGGCCTCATGATCTTATTACCTCCCAAAGGCCCCACCTCCTAACACCATCACATTGGTAATTAGGGTTCAACATATGAATTTGGAGGGCACACAAAATTCAAACCACAGCACACACACACCTAAAAGGCAAACGTAAGTGAAAATGAGCATGAGATCTACCTTACATAATGTAGTAGTAAGCTTCTACAAAGTTCTTTATAAATCAAAGGTGTTGAAATCAACATTTTTATAGAACATCAAGAGTAGCCACTATTTTTTTTAAATCTTAGATTAAAAAGATTAGCAGAAACCACCTCAAAGTGATCTGTTTCATATGAATTTCTGTTTGCTCAAAATAGTGTCTCTCATTAATTCTGGACAAACAGGCTTAGTCATTTGCCAAAGCACTAAGCTCTTCCTGACAATATGACAGGGCATCAAATTGGAAGATAAAATGCTATGCCGTGGGAAGAACATGACTTTCGAGTAGCCACTCCCCCTTCTATCACACAGTGCAGCAAAACCTATTACATTTTCCAAGGCATCCAAGTTGATTATCAGGAAGTTACACACACTGGACCTCTAAGCATAGAAGGTACAGTAAGAAGGAAAGCATTTTCTCTTAAACCCTGAGTAGGCTGTCCTCAGGTTCTAATTCACTACATCAAACCTGAAGTTTTCCAGTCTGAAAAGAGTGTGGTGTCATTATTGAGCTTAATTCTATACCAAATGACGCTTAGATGGCTGCTTCTCCTATGCCCTGAAACCTTACCAGGGACACCCTTGTGTTTCAGCCTGAAGGAGCAAGGAGGAAGAAGGTGCTGAATATGTTCCCTGGCCCAAAGGGGAATCGATTTATGCAGAGACACAGAAGAGCTAGTGATCGCTGGGGTATATTCCATCTGAAAGTGAGGTCATTTAAATCCAGATTTAAGGTCCTCCTCCTGGAAATCCCATAGATGTGAGTTGACAGTTTCTAGAGTCAGACTGTCCAAACCCAAAGCATGGCTACACCGCTTATTCTACGTGTGACCTGGGCAACTGACTTCCCCACTGTAATTTAGTTTCTCCTATGTAAAATGGATGCAATAGTACCTTCCTCATGGAGTTGTGCTGAGGACTGAATGAGACTCAAAGCATTCAGAATCCAAAACCTAGCCTGACACACAGGAAGCACTCAAGACACATTAGTTCCTGATTTTATACCCACGTTCAATAGAAATGTACATTCTTCCCAGAGAATTTGGACTGTGTTCAACAGAACCAGGCTCATTATCCTATCCACCACACTTCTAGCTGCATAATAAAGTGAGGGTTTCTCATGGTCTAAATCAGGCCCTTTAATCTTCTGTTTTCTGATAAAAAGTTCTGAAAAAGGGAATTTATACATATGTAAAAGTGAGTGTTTCCCCTAAAAAAAAACAAAAATCATTATGTTTTCTATTAGGATAGCAAAAATGCCCTTTCTTAAAAACAGTGCACACAATAATATTCTCAAGGTGGGCAATGTATATTACACTCAAAGAAATAAATGCAAACTTAACTTCTCCCCTGCTTAACTTTTATTTCAAACTACAGGGCCTCAGAGGCATAAAGATACAAAGGGGAAAGAGCAAAAACAGACTGGGTAAAAACAATGTATTATTTGTCCAGGTAGCAACAAAAAGGGACCGTCTCACCCCTGCCGTTGCTGAGTCTCCACATTCCACTCTTCCCCCCGATCTCGCCTGTTTCACCCACCGACAAGGATGCCAGTAAAAGACCCAGAGACTCCTGGTCCTCATTTTTGTTCAGGCAGCAACCAAGTACCTGACCAAGAAAGTCAATCTCCTATAAAATGAGGACAGCAGTAACATCTACCTTTCCAAGGAGACATTAAAAATGCTTTAAGGCAATAACCTTATATTATAGTGAACACTTTAAAAATTCAAACTTTAAATACTGTATTAGTTGGATGTTATGATCAGGTCAGAGAATATGGGAGAAATTAAATGTGAATTCTAGAAAGCGACAGTTCCAGAGATGCAGAAGCTGTACATTTAGGTGCCTGTCAAGCAGCCACCATACATCTGGGAAATGGCCATTCCAGTTTGTGTTATTACACAAGCATGAAGTCGCATACTCAAAAAGATACCAAGGAAGTCCCGGATGGCTGGAACACAAAGTCCTCAGCACATGCCAGGCATAGAAAAGGCACAGCCCTCTCTACACATCAATTCACTTAATTCCCACACCTACCCTGTGCAGGGGCTTCCTGCCTGAGCCCTTCTGAACTCAGCAGCCCGCACAGTGCAGGCACGTACTGGGTCACAACAGACTCCTCGGCAGTGAGGAAAAACCCAAAGGCCTGTGATGGAAGGAAAAAGCCAGGAAATCTTACCTCGGGGATTCTTACTGGGAAAAAGAAAAGGACAATGTGTTCCAGAAGGCTCAGGGAGAGGCTCGGATCATTAATCTGACAAGAATAATGGGATGAGATGACTGGCAGAGGACCAAGTAACAGAATAAGGCAGGGGCTGACCAGCCTTCACATTTCAAAGGCAGTTCACTGCTATTTTGACCCTTTTAGTGAGAAATCATCATTTCATCATAAAACAGAAAATTAGTTGTACTTCCTTATCATCTTAGAGCAAGATTAATGGCAAGTTAGCTTCCAAATTCCATAATTAATAAGTATTACCTTTTGATAAGTCATAAACTCTCCTCAGAGCTGAAGCTCTTGCAGGACAATTTGAGGGTCACATGATCTCCAGTCAGTGCAAGGGAGTATCACTGTGATCCTGTTAGTCGTAGTAACAGAAGTAATAGTAGTAATAGTAGCAACAGCAGTAGCAGCAGCAGCCATGGTAGAACAGCAGTTATTGATATTTACTGCTTGCCTATTATGTGTTGGCCACTGTTAAGATCACTGGACCTTGATTTCATGAAAGAAGATGAAGTAGTTTATATTTTTACCCTTCTTTAAGGAAACTGAGTCTTAAGAAGGTTTGGTAACTTGCCCAAGGTGGTACAGCTACTAAGTGGTGGCCTCAGAATTTCGATCAAGTCAGCTGACACCAGAGCCTGCACTCTGAACAACTAGACTGCTTGGGGCTGGACAGTTTGAAATCTTTGCCCACAGATGTCTCTTAGCTGTTACTTGTTTAACTGAAGTACTTTTTCAAACTGTCCTTAGCCTATGGGATAAGGTCCACTCATGAGGACAAGATATGCACACACAAAGCACTAACTCAGATGGCTCAACAACAAAATCCAGCCTCCACGATGAGGAGAGGCACCAGAGTCGGGGGGTGGGGGTGGGGGGCAGCAGATGAATCAAGAATTGCCAAAGATTGATAATTATTGAAACTAGGTGATGGGTACAAGTGGGCTCATCTTACGCGTCTCTGCAATGACAGGGTCACTCCAGTAGAGGGAATGACTGTCTAGCCAAAAAATGCCAAGAACACTCCCCCAAGAAACCATGAAAGCTAAAAGGATTGCTGAGACAGACTTTCAACGACATGGGTAAAGCAAGAGTTAATATGGGCGTGGCTACATCTTATCCCAGGCCTTTAAGGTTACTCTAGGGCCAATAACAAAATAGAGGCTTTGAACACGAAAGGTGCTCACCTGATATTGTGTGTTCATGTAAAAGACATTCATTGCATCCCCAGCCTACCAGCTTTGTCAAGAATAGCCATGTTGGGTCAGAGTTAAAAACAAAATAAGGCCCAGATTTTTAATGTTCACAATTCTTTCAGATACCTCTTAAGAAATAAATTAGTTTTTAATTGATGTGTATGATGTTTTAAATTTTCAAACCTATCGAAAAATGTTTTTACAAGTGCATTTCTTGAAGTTATATGAGTATTACCATTATAAAATGTGAAAGGTAGAAAACATAATAAAATTGAAAATAAAATTATTCTTTATCAAAAAGCTATGTACTAAAATGGCATTTTTCACAGGATGATCTAATGACTTATCAAAACAATAAGGAAAATATGTTATCCTTCGGACCCAAACATTCTGTAAATATCATTCTGAAAAGAGATTACATGCATTTATTCATTTCTCAGGAATGATTCTACATTCCTTGAAACTGTAACACTTCCGTAATCAAGTAAAAAATTTTTCTATTTATCAGCTTTACCTGCTATTTGTACTGAACCATCCTCACCCAGAAGAATATTACCAGCTTTCAAATCCCTATTAGAAAAAAAAATAGAAAATAAATTGTAGGGTACAGACTTTATAGTGTATTGATTCACTCAGGAAGATTTTAAAACATATCATACAACGCAGCTCTTTGACATAATAATTTCATAAATATTAAGATAATAGCACAGATTTTAAAAGTTATAAGGATAGGCTGGGCACAGTGGCTCACGCCTGTAATCCCAGCACTTTGGGAGGCCAAGGTGGGTGGAGCACCTGAGGTCAGGAGTTCGAGACCAGCCTGGAAAAAATGGTGAAACCCCATCTCTACTAAAAATATAAAAATTAGTTGGGCATGGTGGCAGGTGCCTGTAATCCCAGCTACTTGGGAGGCTGAGGCAGAAGAATCACTTGAACCTGGGAGGTGGAGGCTGCAGTGAGCCAACACCGTGCCACTGCACTCCAGCCTGGGCAACAAGAGTGAAACTTGGTCTCAAAAAAAAAAAAAAAAAAAAAAAAAAGGTATAAGGATCCACCTGTCACTTTATAGTTTACTCGTGGGGGAGAGTTAGGATTTTAGAAAGAAATATTTTCTATGAAATAATTATCCAAATTTAATTAAATCATCAGTAAATAGACTCTCTATTTTATGCTTCAGAGTTAGACACTGCCCATAAACTCACACTACTGTCATTCTACCAAGTATTAAAGCCCAGTCTATGTAAAGCTCCTCTACTTCCACTTAAATTTGGGATGCAATTCCAACTTAATTATCTTTCTGAAAAATGAACTTCTCTCTGGTGAGAGACTGATTATAAATACTAATTATAATAATAGATATTATATTTCTTCACCGTATAAAACCTGTGTAATCTTAGTACTTTGAAAAATGACAACTTGCAATTTATAAATTTGATTTCTAAAGTAACTTTTTTCTAATTATTGAAAAATATAGGCCAGCCACAGTGGCTCACGCCTGTAATCCTAGCACTTTGGGAGGCTAAGGTGGGCAGATCATCTGGGATCAAGAGTGTCAGTCCAGCCTGGCCAACATGGTGAACCCCATCTCTACTAAAAATACAAAAATTAGCCAGGCATGGTGCCGCATGCCTGTAATCCCAGCTACTCGGGAGGCTGAGACAGGAGAATTGCTTGAACTCGGGAGGCAGAGGTTGCAGTGAGCTGAGATCACACCATTGCACTCCAGCCTGGGCAACAGAGCAAGACTCTGTCTCAAAAAAAAAAAGAAAAAGAAAAATATAGTAGAAATAATTAAATATAAATTTCAGGGTAGGAGAATTACATTATTAGTATTACTGGTAAATGGCTATTTACTTGCAATAATTCCTAAGAGCCCAAGTAGCACTCACTCACTTGAAACATCAAGCACTCATATTCTATGTGATTTGACTATGTAAAGAATTAACATTTTATGTCACAAAAGAAGATGAGTACCTCTTCCTTCCCTCTCACCACCACATCAAAAATAATTCACATAGTACAATGTTTGGATAGTCTTGCTTGTATTAGAAAGATAGAGATGCTGTCTAGTTCAACTAGTATAATTCAAGAGTAGTTACCAAAACTGATCTTTTTAAATGAGTCCATGTAGTCCTTTTTAGATTCCACTCTTATTTCAGTGAAAGCAACTGAAGCAATCCCAAGGATACCAATATAATTCATCAAAATTTATTCTCTTGTTTCTTTCTTAAGTACTTTTTTCCCATCTATTTAGACTAAGTTAAAGTAATGTCAATACCTGCCTGCAACATGTGTTTCCTTAACATTCTTTACAAACTAGGGCTGAAGATATGAACATCTGAATTTAAACATCTCTGCAGAGGTCACACCTGTGAATCTGACCGTTTCTGTGTAGACAGTCTAAGCCTTCCAAAACCTCTTTAAGATATGAACATCTGAATTTAAACATCTCTGCAGAGGTCATACCTGTGAATCTGACCGTTTCTGTGTAGATAGTCTAAGCCTTCCAAAACCTCTTTAAGAATTGTTGCTATTATTGCCTCTTCCAGAACTCCATTCTTGTGTTCTCCTCGGTTGACAATGTATTTTATGATATCCAACATTGAACCTAAGTAGACAAACAGAAGAATTAAAACATAAGCACCTTCATCACCTTTTCAGAACAAGACTCCATTATGTATAAAATTTAATAGAAACATCAAAATATGGGCTTTATTTAATGCAAATATTCCCAAGGCAAACAAACAATTGAATGGGGGCCCCATGACCAAAAACACTAAATCCAAGTTTGCAAGAGCACTTTCAGTGTGAATTTAACGAGAAGGATTCTGGGTCAGGGACCAGAAGGCTGTTCATGGCCGTTCCATGGCTGGTTCCTTTTCTGGTTACAGTATTTCTCACAAAAATTCCTAAGAGCAACCCTCCAAAGAGGGTGCAAAAAGTCTGAACTGACAAAGAAAGGAGTATGAGGCCAGGAGAAAAGGCAGAAGTGAACTGCTGAGAGAAAAAAAACACACTCTTTGAGGACCTAAATCACAGGTGGGAGGGGGAAAGAAGTATGTTGTTTCTAGACCTCTGCTTATAACCGGAAGATTCCTTCCTGTGACACTACCTGATCTTTATTTTCTTTCCTTCTTTTTCTTTTTTTATTTGAGACAGAGTCTGCCTCTGTCATATAAGCTGGAGTGCAGTGGAGCAATCACAGCTCACTGCAGCCTCAACTTCCCAGGCTCAAGCGATCCTCCCACCTCAGCCTCCCAAGTAGCTGGGACTACAAGTACGTGCCACCACGCCTGGCTAATTTTTGTATTTTTTGTAGAGATGGGGTCTTACCACGTTGCCCATGCCGGTCTTGAACTTCTGGGCTTAAGTGATCTGCCCACCTTTGGCCTCCCAAAGTGCTGGGCTTATAGGCATAAGCCACTGAGCCTGGCTGATCTTTATTTCATTTACCTGATATATTTGAGGCACTAACACTTACAATAAACAAACAGATACCTAGTACTTTGTTACCATATACAGATTAGTATCCTTGGCACTGTGAATTCATGTTTCAACACATATTAATTAGTATTCCAAACCCCTGGGTCAGTTTAAAAGCCAAAATTACCTGGGGGTTTGACATTTCTGAAGAGTTAACAAACGGCTTACCTCAGGACCTGAATTTGGCTCTAGGCTCTTTATAATTAACTAAGAGGATTGAGCTTCCCCATCAGATACAGCTGCCTGCCCCTCATTAAGAGATTCAATGTAATGAAATAGAAGAAAACAAATGCATATTTTTCCCCAGAGGAAAAAAAAACCTCTGTTTATTTGTTGACTCTTAGATTTTTGTGTCATTTAAAAAATGATAATTCCAAAAACATTTTCTTTTTATTGTATAAGGATATACCATACCAGGCATGCATGCATTTCTGTCCTGCTAAAAGAAAAATGAACAAGAGTCCACGTCTGCCCACGTCCTTACCTGTGGAAACCTGTTTAAAATCTGTTCTTACCTAAAGCCCAGAGAGGCTAAATTGGACTCAAAAAGACAAAGAAATTTTCTGTCAGATCCTCCTCAGAAAACAGAAGATTCTCAGCTTCATAAAGCAAAAGGTAAAATCTTCAGCTTGAGCAGAGCATTTGGGACTATTCAGGGTCTCAAGTCATCAGAATTTCTCATTTCCTCAGAGTTGGTGGAACCCCACAAAAAGAGAATGCCTTAAGATCATCTTGTTGGCAAAGCGCAAGTTCCTCTGCTGAATAAAGGGGCAGTCCCAGCACTCAATACTGCAGTCCAGCTCTGGCAGGCTTCCTTTTTCTTTTCCTTTTTCTTTTTTTCTTTTTAATTAAAAACTGAAGTAGGCACTCAAGGAAACAATGACTAATAAGACTGAGGAAGACTGAAAACAGAACAGAACTAAGCTCCCCAGGGCTCCCCACCGAGACCTACACAAGCAGACCCAAGCCAATTACAATGCCTTCGTCATCTCATTTTTGGGCTTCTGCTTGATCCAAGAGAGTTTCCTTTTTAAAAAAGGAAAACATTAAAACACCTCCCTCGACATCTGCAGATTAAAATAGGCTCTATCATATAAATTCTGCTATGCTAGTTTTGGGTTGTCCAGGCACAGCAAAATGTTCTCCTCTGATCCTAAACCATACTTCATGTCTCAGAAAGATACCCAGAGAATCAAGCCCTCGAAAGAGAACACACCAGAGATGTGGGTATGCTGGGTGTTCCCAAGGAAATCACTTGGGCTTTCTAAGCTTCAGTGCCCATGTCTGCAAAACGAAGGTGTAAATACTTGCAGCACAGCATACAAATTTTTAAGTCAACAGATGTTAAAGTCACAAATTCCAGCACCAACATTTACTATGTGTGTGACCTTGGGCAAGTTGCTAAACTCCCTTGAAATTTGGTGTAATTTCTGAAAAACAGGGATGGTGACACAGGCCATTCAGGGACACTGTGAAGATTAAATGGGATAAGGTCAGTAAATTGCCTTGGACAGGATCTAGCCACAGAGTAAGTGTTCAAAAAAGGCAACGGTTATCATTATCATTCCCTCTCTGATAGTGATGTTAGAAGATTAAAAGAAATAAAATACAGGATGTGAAAGCACCTTGTAAATTAAATTGTCAATGGCTTGCATCACTGCAGGGATCTGAAGCTAGAGAGAGGAAGTGACTTTCCCTTCCCAAATGCAACAATAGGATGACAATAGTGCCATTTCTGATCAACACTGCAAGTGAATATGTAGCACACATTTCTCCCCATGTCAACTGAAACCACATTTAGTGAGCACCTACTGGGCGCCAAGTTCAATGAATTCAAAGTGCATTAGACAATCTTCACAAAGTCCACAACCTAAATATGCACTGTCCAATACTGGAGCCATACAAGGTGATTTAAATGTAAGTTAATTAAAATTGAATACTCAGTCCCTCAGTCACACTAGCCACATGTCAAGTGCTTAAGAGTCACATGGGATTAGTAAAAAGTAGATAGCAGCACCTCAGAACATTTCCATCATCACAGAACATTCTGATAAATGGCACTGAGATAATTCAGCAAACTGCAATGTGTTAAGGACCTGAACAATGTTAAAAAGAAAGGACTCAAGGAGAAAGGACTGGCTAACTTTTTTGAAGAGTAAGCGGTGACTGTGGAGAGGATGTGACCTTTTAGGCCTGAGCACATGGAAAACAAAGGAGAGATGCAAGGCTGAGAAAGAGGACAGGTCAGGGGCAAAGGCATGAGAGCACATAATACATTCCGGGGGCTGCCTCTCAGCCTAGAAGGTCGGGCATTTCATACCTGGAGAAGAGGACATACACATTCTCGGAAGTTAAGCAAAATTATGAAAAGCTTTGAAGGTCAATGTGAAGCAATCTGGACGTTATCCTCTAGGCAATGAGAAACCAAACAAACTTTCAAACACAGGAGAGAAAGGATTCAATCTAAAGTCTTCTCCAATATGCTGGTTCCAACAAAAGGAGAGAAAACAAGCAAATAAATAACAACAACAAAATCCACTTACCTCCACTTAGTAATTTCATGACCAGCCAAAGTTCATCTTTGACCACAAAAGAGGTGTAATAGGTCACTACGTTGGGATGGCTGCACTGACTCATGGCTTGAATTTCTTTCTATAAAAAGAGCAAAACATGACATAGTACCATGGGGTGAAAATTGGCAAGCAAAACACAAGTGAATCACAGTTGAGTACCTGGGTAACTTTCCTACTCGAAAGCCTACCTGAGGGGCTGCCTAAGCCATTACTTCAAAGAAGGTATATAAGGACCAATTCTCTCACCCACATTATCAACTCAGATTAGAAAGTTCTCTACAGGAGACCACAGAGCCCTGTGGACCAGCTACCAGACACAGGAACTTCAGATCACTGTTATCACCCAGATGACCCCCCAACTCTGCCAGCAGAGAGCCCTGCCACATAGGACTAAGAGCCTCATACCTGAACCGAAGGCTTGACAGGGAGATAAAAGACTGGGTGAGTTACTAGGACACCTGCATCCTGGTGCCAGCCTGAACTCTGGTGGATCTTAGCTCCTCCCTCATCCAAAAAACGACAACAAAACTGTCCCTGTTTCTCAGGACTGCTGTGATGGTAAATGAGAAAATACATTTGAAAATGCTACAGTATTATTTCCCAGCTATCTGCCACAGTAGATATTCCATTAACTAAAAAAAGGAGGTGGCAGGGAAGAGAGCGGCAGGCGAAGTAAAATAAGCTTGGGAAAGATCAGATAATATATCTCATTCTAAAAGAATCACAGGGAATATTAGTACTGTCAAAGGCTCTGAGAAGTCCTGCAGTAGATAAACTGCCATAGTTTAATCCATATTAACAGAGCAGGAAAAGAATGCTTTGTGGGTCACATCTTGGAAACACTGCTGTAGAGAATAAAATATATTTTATTCTTTGTTGTTTTATATAAAGACATAAAACAACAAAGCTGAGAAATAAAACAAAAGGAAACTTTCAATAAATCACATTTTTCTGGAATATTCAGTTTCATATTGATTTCAGTTTCTCGTTTTAAGTTATTGTCGGATGACTCCCATAAAAGCTTCAGTCTAATGTAACTCTCAATCAAAGGTACCAGACCAGTGTAACTCACTTTCAAGGTGCCATAAAAAGGACAAGAATAACCTAAATGATCAAAGAAACCTCATTTTTGCCATTATGTATTGATGAAAGAAGGGTACATTTATGCATCCTATGAATATATTCAATAATAATGAGCTTCACATTAACTCAAAGTTACCCAAGCAGAACATCTCAATTTGGACGTTATCTTTGCTTGTCCAGTACTGCCTAATCCTCATACTACTAAAAAGATCCTATATATCCGACAACTTGGCCAAAATTCTGTAATATGTAACACTCATACGTTCCTTAACATATATGTTTATTTAAAGTGCTTTTGGCTGGGGGCAGTGGCTCATACATGTAATCCCAACACTTTGGGAGGCCGCAGCAGGCGGATCACCCGAGGTCAGGAGTTCAAGACCAGCCCAGCCAACATGAGAAACATTGTCTCTACAAAAAAATTAGCTGAGTGTGGTGGTGTGCGCCTGTAGTCCCAATGACTGAGGAAGCTGAGGAACGAGAATCACTCAAACCCGGGAAGTGGAGGTTGCAGTGAGCTGAGATCGTGCCACTGGACTCCAGCCTGAGTGACAAAGCAAGATTCTGTCTCAAAAAAAAATTAAAAAATAATAAAAATGAAGTGCTTTTAACCAAAGATAAACTCCTTAGAAACTACTAATTTTTCTTTTTTCTTCTCAGTATATAACAATGATTTTCCTTCATCATTCCCCTCATCCATTTGACTGATTACAGGTTTTCTAAATCTGACACTTTTCAATTCAGCAACTCTTATCCTTTGAATAAGATCTGAAACCTGAGGTTCAGTTTCCATCTGTTTCCGGTATTAGGTTCTGATGCCATAAGACACTTCTGAAGGAGAAATGGAACACTGCCCTGGCCACTCCTATTTCAAGTCAATAGCATCTGCTCAGTGCGGGGATGGCCCACACTGAAGGTCTGTAGCATTAGGTAGGGTCCAGTTTAAACAGATGCCTAGTGTTCAAAGAAACGAGAACAATGTCTCTTAAATGCAGCTGCACTCTAAATGTAAGTGAATGCTTTTCTAGTGCTGTAACTCCAAACTTTTAAATAATTTATCAAAATGCACAAAACAACTAATGGTCATACAAAAGGAAATTCTTTTACATTGAAGGCAAGGTTGAGTCAGTCTAGAAAAACACACTTTTTAGCCCTTTGCATTTAGATGGCCAGTATCACTTCCCACCCAAAGTATCAGGTTCTCTGACTTTGCAGTGAGCGTGTGTGTGTGTGTGTGTGTGTGTGTGTGTAACTCCTTTAGAAAACCTGTAGAACCTATAGATATAACTTAGCAAATTCTATTCCTTCAAAACTCTGAGTCTTAGAGACACCATCTGGACATTAAAAGGTTCCAGAATTTAAATGAGTGGGGGATGAGGGGTCACAGATACTGCCACACCAACACAACCACAGGAGCAGTATAAGGACAGGTAAAAGAAGGGGCAGGGGGCCCAAGAGTGGCTTTCCATCAGTTTGATCACTCAACCTCACATTCTTCTTCCATGCAGCTGAGCCATCCCTCTTCACTTCTTGGCTAGGGGGGTCCATGTCCCCAACTCCTGCACCATCCATTGTCCTGCACAGCAGCTTTTCCACAAGCATTAATGCTTAAGGACATGATGAAACTCGCCTTAGGGAGAAACATCTGTAGCTCTGTCTTGAGATATGACCTATGCTATCACTGATCCCCAGGATAAGTAATATTTCCACATAGAAGAAAGTTAAAAACCTGAAAACTAGAAATCTTTCCACAAAACTATCCCCTCCATTCTTTTCAAAACAATGATGGGTGTTATTTGAAAGCTCCCTTGGTAACAATCTATTGGTTAAATTATCTAAGCTTCTCCTAATGCCCTAACCGCATTCATATGGTTAGGAAAAGACATTCATTACCAAGCATATTTGTTTGTCCCTATCCCTAAAAATGACAAAACTATTGCCTAAAGATGAACAATTTGAAAATATAAAAATGTTTTAGCTGATTCTTTCGACAGAATGAATGGGTTCTAACATCCTATTCTCTTAATTAGGTCACAACCCAAGGCAGAAGCGTGAGTTAAAGCGGTGCTTCCCTAATTTGGATGGGCATGCAGATCACCTCAGCAATTTGCTAAGATGCAGACTCCCATTCGGAAGGGCTGCAGTGCGGCCTGAGAATCTGCATTTCTAGCAGGCTTCCATGTGATGCTGATGCTGTGGGTCCAGAAACCAGACTTTGAGTGGCAAAGTGGTAGACTGAGCTTTGAAAGAAGGCAGAGAGGAAGGTTGGGGGATGTGAGAGGAGGGACACAGACGACTGCAAGGAAGCCGACAGTGTCAAAAGTGCCCAGTAGTGGGTCTGGCCGACAGTACTGCCTGGCTGAGTCTAACTGGAGGAGAGTCTAACTGGAGGAGAGGGGTAAGAAGCAAAGCTGGAAATAAGGGAGACTGTTGTACTAAAGTGGTGTGAATTTCACAAGGACAGAAAAGGGTAAAAACTTCATTGAGATTTAAAAAAGAAACGCAAGCAAACAAACAAACAAAAATCCCACGAGGTCAAAGATGGGAGAAACTACAGAACTCTGAAATGCAGGCAACACATTTGCCAAAAATATAGTCAAGGAATTGAACACAGTGGCTCCCTTGGAAACCGAGGAAATGAGACTTAGACATGTCACAAGCGCCAAACCAAGCTATGGCACAGTAGTTAATCTTCTCTGAGGCTGACAGAGCTGTTCATGCAGCTCCATCTGAAATGTATCACAAGTGAAATTTCACAAGAGTGGGAAGACCAACCTTAAAATGGGGTAGCATGGAAGATCCCCTATCCACCTGCTAGAACTGAAGTGGCAGCCACAGCAGCACCCCTCTGCAGGGAGCCATGTGCAAGAAAGACATATCAAAGAAGGACACCCACACACTGCTGTTATGCCAGCCCTGCAAAATTTGCCAAACCAGACATTACGCGCGTCATGCTAGGTGTGGTGAGGAATACAAAATAAAGTATCCTACCCTACAAATATGAGGAGTTGGGAGGAAAAAACTTCCCCTTCCCCCAAAAAATAACAGAACTGAAAATAAAAAAAGGGAAAAAAAAACTTAATTTTTTTTTTTTTAGACAATCTCATTCTGTTGTCCAGGCTGGAGTGCAATGGCGCAATCATAGCTCACAGAAGCTTTAACCTTCCTGGCTCGAGCAATCTTCACACTTCAAGCCTCCTGAGTAGCAGGGGGGATGAGCACATGCTATCACATCCAGCTAATTTTTAAAAATTTTTTGTAGAGACAGGGTCTCACTGTGTTGCCCAGGCTGGTCTCGAGCTCCCAGGCTCAAGCAATCCTCCTCCTTGGTCTCCCAAAGTGCTGAAATTACAGCTGTGAGCCACTGTACCCTGCCATAACTAAATATAATAAGAGATTTTCTCATATTGCTATATGGCCTTTCATTTCCACGCCCCCCCCACTCCCCCCTCCCCCCCACACACAAAACATTATTTCTCCTACAAATAGTACTGAGGCCAATCAGGAACTGTGACTAGCAAGGATCTGATCCTCCAGGATCTACTACTGAAGGGCCGCACTCTATGTCACAGCTGGCTTGGAAGCTTGGCCTTGCCATTTACTGGCTTGATTACCTAGGCGGGTTATCCAACAACTTTGAGCCTCAGTTTCCTTTTCTGTAAAAGGAGATTACTACTATCTACATGAGATTATTGTGAGGTAGGGGAAATGAGATGTATAAAACTCCTTGCAGAATGCCTAGCACATAACACAAATGTTCAAAGTTAATTCAGTCTGTTCAATGTCTCAGTTTCTTCGTTGCGTGTGAGCATCGCCCTAATCTCAAGTGTCCCAATTCCTGACTAAGCCTCAAAGGCACAGAGACAGACCATGGCAGCAGCCGTCACTTTTTCCAACAGAAATGTCACAGGACACATCTGTTGGCCCCACTGGCTCAAGGAGTTTGCTGTAATGCATGGATAGGTCATTTGGTCATGAATTTTTAACCTCTACATTGTCTCAACCCATGTTTTTCCTAATTTCACCCTGTATTTAATTTATACCACCTTGTCATACTTCATGTATCCTGGTAAACTGCCTCAAACTCTTTCGGAATAAGTTATCTAAATAGATACTTATGCAAAGGGTTCAGAACAAAGAGAAATAGTACAAGTTTAAAGATATAAGAATTAGGAAAAAGTTAAAACCTGATTTCTTTTGTTCCTAAGACCGTGAGATTCATAAAACACTAAAAGGAAAGAGATTTTTGTTACTGAAAGGGAAGAGTTTAAATGATTCTGAATTCAAAATATTAAACTATACTTAACCAAATTTGCGTATTTTACAACTTATGTAAATCCTAAATAAATTATTCTTTATCTGATAATGATGGCAAAATATCCTACTCAAGTACTTAGTTAAGAAATCAAACTTACTCAAGCTCCAAAATTGTATGCAGTTAAATCTGAGGAGATGCTTCTAACTTTATTCTAAAGCAATGGATCGCAACCTTGGCTGCATATTGAAATCACCTGGGGAGCTTTGACAAATACCCACACCTGAGTCCCGGCCCCAGGGAGGCTGCTGTAAATTGGTTTAGGAGACAGCCTGGGAATGAAAATTTTCAGAAGCTCCCAGGTGGTTCTAATGTGCAGCCACAGCTTAGAACCCCTACTTGCGAGCTAAGTGCTGAAATGTATTTTTCTTTCAATGAAATGGTGAGAGAAACATGTAGCTCCCAGGCACGTTTCCCCACTGCAATGTAATCTATGTATGATGTACAAATATTATCAAATAAAACATCTACTTCCAAATGCAAGAGATGACCAAATACATCTGTAAAATGTATGCAATACCCTCGAAACATTTAAAGAATTCTTTAAATGGTATAGGAGTAATCTTGTTAAATAAAAACACTTTTCAGAAAGTCTTTCTCCAGCATGCACTTCTTTTAGCAGCATTATGAAAGGTAACCTAATCAATATTCACAAATAACCGAATACTGTTAAGTAGCAGGTTTAACCAAAAACAAATTTCAGTGATTTCAAACGTCAACCAAGGCATGGAAGAACAGGATTAACAAGGTCTTAGAAGAGCAATGTATTTTTCTGGACTGTCATTTTCAATCATGAAAATGTCATTGTGAATTTTTTTATTTATATTTATATTTATTTATTCATTTTGAGATGGAGTTTTGCTCCTTGTTGCCCAGGCTAGAATGCAATGGTGAAATCTCGGCTCACTGCAACCCCTGCCTCCTGGGTTCAAGCGATTCTCCTGCCTCAGCCTCCTGAGTAGCTGGAATTACAGGTGTGTGCCACCTAATTTTTGTAGTTTTAGTAGAGATAGGGTTTCACCATTTTGGCCAGGCTGGTCTTGAACTCCTGACCTCAGGTGATCCACCTGCCTCAGCCTCCCAAAGTGCTGGGATTACAGGCGTGAGCCACCGCACCCAGTCATGAATTCTTTTAATTGCAAAAAATGATATACCATTTATACAGCAAACTCTTGCCTCCTTTATAAGAAAAGTACCAGCAGAGAAAAACCTATTCAAGGAAGTCAAACATTTTGTCTTGTACCACTTACAAATCAATCAACGAATGTCCTTTGCCACTTAACTTTACAATTATTTTCATGTGATTTGGTATCTGAGTTTAACCAAGTATAGTCCAATGGAAGGCAGGTTTACAAATGGGAACTAGGTATTTTGAAGAAAGAGAAACATTTTTAAGAAATAGAAACATTTTTAAGAAATCAGGAAAAGGAAAGCATAAATTTTGTGATAGCCTTAATTGGTGTTTGTAGAGAAGTTTTTAAAACTAGGGAGAAGCAGTTATAAAAAGTGTAAAGTGTCAGGGCAATTGAAGGTCTGGAAAATCTCTCAGAAGTAGCAGAGAAATCCCGATGGGCAAACGTCTACTTGCTAACGGAACAGAATGAATATCCCAAGGCCTACTTGCTTCGTTATAATGTCATGAAATTGCGTGCTCTGCAAAAACTGTCCTAAAAAATTAAAATTCGCTTGGAAGTGAAGAAGCCACTTATTTTTTTCAAATGAAACAAGGGGGAGAAAGCAAAAAATACAGTAGTGATATTGAAATACTATATGAAAACTCAATAGGAAGATGCCATTTTCTTTTATAGTTAGCTAAAAAAGTTATTCAACAAACAATAATGATGTCTTTTGGGCTCTAAAAGTGCTGAGGGTGCCACAGTGGAATCAGACTCACACTCAGGTATGAACAATCGCTTTTTGACCATTAAATTGTGACTGGGAATACTGAAAAAATTCAAATTGAAGATGTCATTAAAAACAGAAATAGATGGCCGGCCTGGTAGCATGCACCTGTAATGACAACTACTCACCAAGCTGAGGTAGAAGGATCACTTGAGCCCAGGAGTTCGAGGGCAGCCTGGGCAACATAGCAAGACTTCATCTCTTAAAAAAAAAAAAAAAAAAAACACCCAAGAAACCAGAAACAGAAACAGGAAGAACTTTTCTTGTCAGCCAAATTGTACTGCTGGAAACCTAGAGGCCAACTTTTACCACTGCTGCTGTATTTGGGTTCACCACCACACAGTGACAATGTAGGGTGTAATGTGTCTTCTTTTTGTGGTATCGCCTGTGGCACCCTGGATACTGTGTGCCATCTGGGGTTCTGCCAGGGAACAACCCTCCTGCAGCCTCCTCTTAATACTCTCCAACCTTCCTCCTGAGGATTCCACAGCCCTCCTTTTTCAGCAACAGCTTAATTAATTATGGAAATAACGAAACCAAAATAAGAACGACAATAACATAGGAAAGAACTAAAGCATTTGTCTCAACCTAAGCAACATTTTCCTGAAGTCTAGAAGAAAGGCAAAAGTGAGATATTTAAAAAGTGAGATGTAACTAAAATTATATTCAATCTGGGCATGTTTTCCCCATTTTCTCCTACTCTGAAAATGAGTATGTGCTGGGTCCCTGTTACTGAAAACATATAAGCCCCAAAACATAAGTGTTTTTGCAATGTTAATTTTTGCTTACTTTCTGAAAAAAAAGCATGAGAGGTTAGACATTTTAATGAGCTATTTCTAACAAATGTAGAAAACAATTAAAAGTAAATTCAATTAGTATATTTAATTAGTATCCGAATAAGCTACATAACTTTTAAATTTGATGTTCCAAAAATAAAAGTTGTTTTCTCCAACCAAATTATACATGTTCCTAAGCTAATACAACTTTAGTGCTCTAAAAATGTTAGTTTTGCATATACAGTATAGTATTTATTCTCCAATTCGTTAAGAATGTTTTTGTGCTTTCAAAATAAACAAAAATTTTCTATTTCCAATCCTGCCCTCATTTGGACTATACCTGGATAAACATAAACACCAAATTACGTGAAAATAGTTACAAAGCTAAGTTGCAAGAAAAAGATAACAGTACAAAATTTAATGGCCGAGACTTGAAATGCTCGAAATAGTACTACAAAATATATTAAAATAATTACAAAACTAAGTGGCAAGAGACAGATGACAGAACAAAACTTAATGGTTGAAACCTGAAATGCTCAAAACTATACTATATTCAGTGAAGTAGGCTTGCATGCTAATGCTATATCCTTAATATAAAAAACTCTACAACAAATAGCTAAATGCAATTTGTTACCACATACGATGAATGAGCTGGGATATGAATTATTAATGTACTAATTAGAAAATTCTTAACTTCAAAAAGAATGGAAACATACTTTCGTTGATGCGATAAAGAAAACACACACATACAAAATTATACTGTTTTAGGGTCAAATTAAAAAGATGGAAGTTTTTTAATCACTATCTTTCTAGAATAAACAAGCTTTGCAAAAGTATTAACATAATTCCATAAATTTGCTAAAACACTGCAAACAAGGTTTTGAGAGTTTCTCCCCCCCTTAAACCTCAATTAAAAGGAAGAGAAAAAAAAAACCTTCTGACTGGAGGAACTGCTCAGAGGTCACCAAATCTTTTAATTTAAAAAGGATGAGAGCAACCTGCATCAGATAATGGTTAGGAATAACAGTTCTTCTCAAATGATCATCAAGCCACGAAGATATCTAGAGCTTTATTCTCCAATAACCCACAAATCATAGCTAACTCATTTTTCTAAGGAGAGGGAGGTGACGGAGGGAGTGAACAGTAGATCAAGAGAAAGGAAAAACAACAAAACAACGCTACAGCAGAAAGCAAAATGAGGGCAGTGGCTTTGTTCTGAGGAAAAAGTTCTTGATTTTATCTATAAATATTGTCAGTGAGTTAGACCAAAATCCCTAGAGAAAGATGATACAGGAAGAAAAAAGCAGATGACAGTTGAAGACTACTGAATGACAGAGAAACTCTTTCATTATGTTCATAGGAGAAAAAAATGATACACTGTGTACCCAAATCTATGAATTTACAGTAGATTTCTGCTATCATACCGTAATGCTAAAGTGACTTGACTCTATCCTGAATTACCATGCATGATTTGCTAGTAATTAGTATTTTTATTTAAGTGAATTGAAAAGGGGGTTTTGTTAATATACTTTTAAATACATAGATTCATAGCACTTGGGTAATAAAAATAAAATTTTGCCAGAATTTGTCATCACACAAATAAGGACCAGTGGTGAAACTGATTTTTCCAGAATGAGCAGTTCTGTAGGGGAGTCAAGCAAAGAAAGCAAGTCCCCTGACCCAGGGAGTTCCTTTCCTTCTATCAAAGGATCAACATTCATCACTTTTTTATAGCCATGGTTTTCTTGAAATGACTTTGTTCACATATGGAATTCACATATGGAAATTATGGAATGAGCATTCCATAATTTCATAACGTAATCACTTAATTATTTCTTTCATTTTTTTAATGACACAAATGCTTTGCCTCGTCCCCGGGCCATGATTTCTCCTATGACTCTCCTGCCCCTGAGAATTAAACTGTAAATTTTGATGGCATTGATGTATGTGTAGGAATGAGCAAATGAGGCTGAATTTTCTGTGAATGGGTACCAAAGGCAGACTAGAAATATGAGAACTTGAGGCAATAGGAAAAAATTGAAAGGGATCTATTTAAAGTCTAAAAGTCATAAAGTCAAATAAGGTGATGAACCAAAATGTTCATCAATCCCTGAATAAAGTAGAGTAACCTGAACATCACAAAAAGTGGGGTTAGGGTAAATAGAAGGAAGGACTGTTATATTTATGGAGTTCATTTTGTCACCTGGTGATAGAGGCTGAAAAGACACATGACTTCAAGAAAAAGCACTCATGCGATGGATTTTAAGGGAAGTCAAGAGTGCCCCAGGGTAGCATCCCTAGCCTTTGAGGTTGATCACAAACCAGAGAGCCAAGCTCTAGCAGGAAACCTCAAGGCCATCTTGACACAGAATATACTAGTTTGCAAGACAATGGGTCAGACCCATTGGGCAAATCTTAAATTCCTATTGGAAAGCAGGAACTCCCTCAAGGGAATACATATTAGACAAAAGTAAACTGTCTAGTCATCTGCTAAACCATTTCTGGGCAAATAAAGACAAAAGGTCCAGAAAAACATCCCTTAGTTCAAAAATCTCACCAACCCAAAACAAAAATGAAGAGACTCATTCACTAGTCCATGGTCTCCCCCAAAAATAGGAATCCATTCTGTTTTCCCATCACCAAAGTCAGTGCCTAGCATCTAAGGGGGTTTGATAATTCTGGTGTTAACAAGTTCTGCTCTAAAACTGTAAGTATCTCCTAGAGAGCATTAAACTAGTTATAATTAGTCATTTACACCATGATGGGCTTGACAAATGTGCAGTTAACAACAAATGTGGGGTTAACAAATTTCAGAAATTACCAAAGCATCTATGTTGGCACAGTAAGGAATACAGAACAAACCAGAACATATCCTTGGCTCCTGGAAAACTAAACACTAAGATCATTATACCTTCAGAGATCAGAGTACAGTTAAAAGGCCAAACTCCAAAACATACATGAAAATTCAAAAGAATAAATAAAAAAGGATTAGATTAATTGCTATTCATATCATACCAAGAAAAACATTTATTTGGGAGTGTTCTAATCTAATTGCTGTTAAACTAAAATGAATTTTTAGTGGGCATAAAGCCTTGTACTCTCATATACACACCCAAAAGTCATCCTTTTGATGGGCTTAAGCATAATACAGAAACTCAGTAAGTATTTACCAAATAAATAAATAAATGCCTATTTGATCTGTAACTAACTTATCTTTACAGAATATTACAGTACTCATTTCAACAGTATAAATCTGAATCATCAATTATTTAGCACCAATGAGCTCATCTAACACTTCTTTTCCTCTCCTCATTCACAAAGAAGCTGACACTGTAATTAGCACTTCCCTTCAGAAATGATGACTGCTTGACTCCTTCTTCAGCAAACCCTGGATCCAGCTCTGTGACCTACAGGAAACTCAACTGACAGCCCCTACCACATAAAGAAGTCGAGTTCTGGACCAGTTGCCTAAAACTGTTGTGTGCCATCAATTCTGACCTGTGTGTGTAAATCCCCCTTTATTATGGGACAAAGGGAGTGGGGACAGGACGGGGATAGGTAGTCAGTGGGGGCTGAGCTGGGAGTCGGGGTCAGGAGGTGTTACAGTTTCATCAAGGGAGAAACATGTCCCAGTGGCCAACAAATAGTTGATAATTGTGATTTCTATGACATAACACTCTCACAAGAAGAGATCCCAGTGGCCATTGTTTCTTCTAGGAACAATGGTTTCCAGTTAACACATGGCACAGTCTGTGAGACGATGCAGTGCACTGACCTGTATATAATACACACTCATGGAATTAAAGGATTATTAGGATACCAGATGTCCAAACACTGCCAAAATGTGAGCCCTCTGAAATAATAAAAGTGCAAGCAACAGCAGTATTAGACATTGAAAAGATGACAGCAACTGTGCTCCACACGATCTCATGTGCCAATAACTGGGCCACAGAAGCCTGGCAAATCAGGCAGGCTATACTCTGTAAATTCTATTTATTTTTGTTTGAAAACGACCTGGGAGTTGTACATCCTAAAGAACCATAGCCATTTCCCCCCTCTCTAAATATATCAACACACCAAAAGGTCAAAGATTCAAGGGTAAGGAAACATCAAAGCAATAAATCAATATAAAATGAAAAATAAATAATGCAAATATATTATACTCTATTGCAACACGGGCATTAAGGAAAGAAAATAAGAATGAGAAAATAAATTAACTCCTCATAAGCAAACTCATAAATCCTAAGACCTCAGACGAATGGAGCAAAGCACAAAGCCACAAAAGCACCAGTCCTTAGATAGACAGCTCTACCTAAGTTACAAGTAGCTCCAAATGACACTGCTATGCTTACTGGTTCCAGGAAAACAAAGGAAAGAAACCAGAATGACCAGCCTCCCTGCTGACCTCCACCCAGAAGCTTACACGGTTACCATCACTGGACACTGTGGAGGAAACGCTAGCAGAGGGAAACGTGAAGGCTGTGGGCAACTGAGGGCTTGGTAGAAACCAGAGACCATAGCATCAAACCAGAAGGCAGGCTCCAGAACTGTCAGGCACAAGTACACGCAAGCCTTACACATATTCTGTATCAATATTCTGCTAATGGCAAAAAAAATGGCTGAGACCTCTAACAGAATACCACAATCAAACACAAGTATCAGCCAGGTGCGGTGGCTCACATCTGTAATCCCAGCACTGTGGGAGGCCGAGGCGGACAGATCACCTGAGGTCAGGGGTTCGAGACCAGCCTGGCCAACATGGCGAAACTCTGTCTCTACTAAAAATACAAAAATTAGCCGGGCGTGGTGGTGCATGTCTGTAATCCCAGCTACTCGGGAGGCTAAAGCAGGAGAATCGCTTGAACCCAGGAGGCGGAGGTTGCAGTGAGCCAAAACCACACTGCTACACCCCAGCCTGGGCAACAGAGTGAGACTCTGTCTCAAAAAAATACAAAAAACAAAAACACAACTATCACTGGCAAATTCTTGAGTGATACATCCAAACAGTACATATATTTAAATGCACACTCCAAATTTTTTTTTTAAATGTTAAAGTACACTTATGCATAGCCACAGAATTTCAGGATTCCTAAAGGGATCTTAGAAGAAAACTTCCAATTCAACTCTTTTTAAATCGCGCAGAGCTGTTGTGTAACTCTACTAAAGTGAAAACAAGTTTAGTGGCAGAAGCAGGACCCAACTCTCCCCACAGTTTATAAAATGCGTTTTCCAACTCAGAGAAAGTGACCTTGAAAACTGGTTGGGTGACAAAGGCACAATATTACTGGTCACTAAGATAGCAAGCAACAGACAAGTAGCATGCAGCAGGAATTTCAGTAAGAGCAAAGCACAGCTGAAATTTCAAGGCCGTTAAAAGCCTTGAATGTATGCAAATTTCAAAAATTAACATTAAATTGTGGAAGCCCTGGTTCTCTTCTGAGTTTTAGCCGGCAATCCATTGCTTCAATAAAACCCAATGAAATCTATGCATTGTGTAGCCTAATTTAAAATGTAAGGCCAAACAGATCTGGAAAAGTACAGCTTTATCCTTGTACTTAATTTATACTATAGTGTACTGTAATTAAGCCTAAAATAAAAGCTATATTCTGAGTAAAGACAAAAAGCTGTTGTTAATGACATTCCATTCTCAATGTAGACTGTAACAAAAGGCTTCTTCATTTGCAGCCAACTGTCATTATACTTTGTAGCTTGTATGGAGCTACTGGACTAATATTTGTACTGGGATTAGTGTGGGGATAACCAATCAGTTAACTCCTCCACTGCAGTTTTCTATTATCCTCAAATAAATGGCCAAAAGGGAAAAAAAGAAAATTGGCCGGTAGAACAACAACGATATTTATGAGATTAAACCCTCAAACCCTTCACAGTTTGCCGGGCAACTAATAACCATTTGCCAAGCTGTTCATTTAATAATGAGTCAGCTAAGCCAAAAGCAAATGTTCCTTCAACCAACCATTGCTACTATAGTCATATCCACACTGACAAGCTCCAATTATTTATATAAAGTACTCATTTAGAATAAGAAGTACAAATTGCCACGTTAAGAAAAACAAACTCCTCTCATTAGCCAAATGCAAGCTACAGAGCATTTAAAAAAAAAATAACTCAAATTTGTGTGATGCTATAATTTATGAAAGCTAAAATGACCAACAAATAGTTTGGGGGACAACTTCCATTTGTGTCACACATTCTAGATGGAGGGCCAGAAGCTCACCATCCAAAACTGCAGTCAGTAATCCTGTCATGTTAGGTCACGCCACAGTGTGTGCCCTTGATACAGCAAGTGGAGTGCCAACGCTGAGGCCATTCTCACCTTGGGATTATTCGAACTGAGCAAAATACTGTTTCTCAAAGCAAGGGAAGGTGTTCATTATACAACACAATCATAAGGTACAGTCCCATTAATCTGGGGAGCAGGAAGTGGTAGGGGCTGCTTTCCAAGAAATGCATATGTCAAAACTGGAGATAACACCTTGCTCTTCTCCCAACCATCCCCATATACCCATAGATTAAGAAAAGCAACCAGCAGGTATTCCCTGCACTGTTACTTACTAATAGTTCATCCATACTGGTCTGGCATTTTTCCAAGTTGATCCGTTTTATTGCTACACGTTCTTGCCTGGGTTTGCATAGGGCTGCCTGAACCACAGCAGTAGCTCCACTGCCTGCAATGAAATAAAAACAACATCAGCGATCAAATGGCACACTGTGAGGTTACTATCTGTAACTATTTTCCTAAAGATCAATTTTTTTAAACTCTTCTACTCAGCGTATTCAGAACATTACCATTTGACATCTTTTTTTTAAAGAGTTTCTTAAATCCTAAAATAATTATCTGGAGGAGAAAAAAAAAACTGCATTTTCCAGACAATGTATGTCTGAGGACACAGGGGACAAGGGACATGAGCATCTACATACAACCTTGCATGAAAGCCATTTCCATCCTCAGTTCCTGGTATTTTCTAGCTTGAGTGCCTTTAAAATATCTCAAGCTCTTCTTCCACCTCAGCCCAAACCAAACCACTCTGGTCTAAGCTACTTCAAGGCTTTCATGAGAAGCTGAGATAATTGATGTTTGAACACTCTTTGGGCTTATTTCTTCAGAGCTTGCTCCACAATGAGAAAAACAAGAATCAACCCTAGTATTCTCATGTTGAAAGCACAACTTTCAAGGATGCCAAGCAAAATGATGCAAATGTGTAATTACAAAAGCTCTTGACATTCATATAAATTTTCTATTTCTAAGGTTTCATGATCATTAGCTAATGCACTCAGACTCCTAAGAGACAGAGTCATGTCATTATCCATATTTTATAAGAGCAAAATGTAGACATGTAATGATTTGCGGCAGAGCACAAAAGAACTCCTAATCGGCTTTATACTCCATAGGGGCAAAAAGGTTTTCAGGTTAAGGCATCTCAATTCTGCAAATAACACCAAAACTGCCATTCTCATCACATAAATCCTCTACCACTGCAAGATAGCCAACAACAGAAACAGCCTGCACTCAGGATTGTGCAAAGGTGGTCAGAGGTGACAATCTTTCTCCCTAAAGTTTTTCTTCAGGTAATACTTCTCAAATGATTCATCAAATAGCATCATAAAAGGGAAAGCAGGGGAGTATTTGGCAACAAGAGAGATCAGTATTAGCCTTCCTAATTTATGTGATAGAAAGGCATGACATTTCTAGTGCGAATCAGGGCTTTCCCACCCCAAGGAAGGGCCCAAATGGGTGTTTACAGGGGTGAAGCTCTGCCCTTTCTTCCGCCCTGTGGCCTCATCATCAGGTTTGGCCCCCGACTTGGCAACCCCAGCAGATCACCCTACTCCTCCAAACCCAGGTCTCCAACTTAAAGACTACCATTCCAGGGAAGCCCAATTTGTGTTCACTGGGAAAGAAAATCCACACACACATACTGACCACCCACTGCACAGTAGACACTTGACTCCTTATGAGCCTGTACATTTTTATTACTAGCCTCATTTTACATGGGAGAAAACCGGGACTCAGAAAACTTGCCCAAGGTCACATAGAGCTAATAAGTACCTGAGCCAGTATCAGCATCACGCCTGCCAGACTCCGAGATGTGTGCTTTTGTTCTACTTCCCACAAGCCAGAGCACATGCTTCCCTTCCTCACTTGTTTTGGCCTTGCTAGGAAAAAACTTTCTTCCATCCTATATGGTTCAACAGAAGACAAACAACCCAGACCAGGGTCTGCATGAGCCTCATTTGCTAGAGCTGTTTGGGAAGAGAGTGCTATGGACAGGTTGCTTCAAAGGGCCTTCCTCTCCCTAATCTCACTGCTCATCCATCAGCTGCTACCCCATTGGCTGCTACTCCAGGTCCCACTAGTTTGGCTTCACTGGCCCTGCAGATCACAGCCCACTGGGTTCAATCCAGAATGGTCCAGATGGCAGAGCCAAACAATACAAAAAGTCTGCTGATAGCAAAGTATATTTTCCAGTCTCCGGAACAAGACACTATCACTGAAGGGAGCCACAGAGAAAGTGCTATGCAGCTGGTTAGCACTGGGCCTGGTACCCAGCAGAGAAATCAACTAACATCTTTAGCTGCTGGTGGGAAACCATCCTCAGCTCTACCTGCAATAAATCTCCCCCCAGCTCAGCTTCTCCATCCTTAATCTACATTCCAGAACATTCACAAATCAAGGAGTTTCAAAAACAGGAAAGAATAAATTAATTCCCAGAAAGGACAAAACAAGCGTATGTAATACAGAGATACCTCTCATAGTTAAGTCCTTGACAGTAAAAGTCTCCTAACCTCCAAGGAACAAAAAATAAGAATTCTAAAAACATGGAGGGGTAGGTGGTGAGAAAAATCTTTTATTAAAGCTTTACAGCTAGAGAATTGTTACTGCTTTACAACTACAGCTAACTAAGGAACGACTGGCTACTTCTCATCTCTAGACAGAATTATGAAGCTTTGTGACCTGAGATCATTGTCACAACATGGATGGATTTAACCATTCATTAAACAGTTTGGGAGATTCTACTCTAAATCCAAAGATTTCCCTTCAACTATAGAAGAGACCAAGAACAAAGTTAAAGGTGGAAAGGCACCTTAGAGAGCATCAAGTCCAACCCACCCCCTCACTTTATGAATGAGAAAACAGGGTCCTGTGAAGGATAGGGATGTGTTTCCTGCAGCAATTGGAAAGCACAGGATTAGGACCCTAGGCATACTTATTCCTTATCTACCATTCTGTGCACCAGGTTGGTGTTTTTTCAAATTGCCAGTGAGGATCCACTGGTCACAAAATCAACTAACTGGGTGGAGGCCAGCATTGTTTAAGGGAAGCATCAGAATGTAATAAGGGTAAAAACTGCTTTATGAAACTTTTGTTTCACTTACGCCCAAGCTTTAGTATGACATGTTTTACTGTAAGTGATGATCAAAAGTTTGGAGTCTGCTAGTACTAGATTAGGATTCCCAGGATTAGAGTAAATCCATGCTTTGAAAGGAAAGGAGGTGACCTAACTGCATAATTCTAAAGGACATTTAGAAATAATACCAACACTGTCTTGCTTTAAGGGTTTTTATGCACTTTGCTGATTAGTTTAAGAGGAAGCTAAAAAATGTGGGGCTTGTAAATACAGGAACTGGACAAGTGTTAGCAACATGAAATAAAATAAGAGCAATTACTATGCTGAACAGCACCTTGTATTTATTTTGAACAATATATGATACTGACACATGACTCATTAACATTAGTAGCATATTTTCAATGAAGTATCATGCACCCCTTTTGGAATAAGAGTTCTTAACATTTTATGAATTTCTCATTTTATTCCTGACTCCTATTTCAAGTGCAATAAATCATTCAATAGGATTATGGCCTGTATGCACATATGCACAAGTTAAGTGGGCACGGCTTTAAATCTTTTCAGTTCACTCTTTTAAGTCACTCTATCTCAATTCACTTTTGCTAAGTAATTCCCGACTAAGAACAGCTACTTGGAAGTTTTAGATAGTGATTATGTCAATGGCAATCAGAGGTAAGAGATTGCTCACGTTCATTACCATGATGCAGATTTTTCCTTTAGTTGACACCTCTTCTCATTTTCCCCTCTGTACTGCTGCTGGTATTAAGGTAAATAACCAGAACACTGCATACCTGCATTTTATACTTTCAGTTATCCAAAGAAATATTTCATGGAAATATAATTTAGTATTCTAACTTTGCATTTCACTAAGGTCTATGTGAAATTAACATGAAAAACTACAGTGTTTATTTTGCAAAAATCACTACTATTGTCAAATGCAGTTTCAACAGTATGTTCAAAGTCCCTACTCCCATGACTCACACAATAACTTCCTCTTTGCATTTAGTGCATTTAGTGCAAAAAAGCAGCAAAAAGATATTTGCTTATATTAATTCATCAACAAACAGTAATTAAATCCCTGCCATGTAGCAGGCAGTTCACTAGATAATAAAGTGCCAAAGGTGACCATTCCTGCTTCAAGTGGAATAAATCCTTCTATAGGATCACTTCCTCTGCAGAAGTTAACAGGGATGACTAAAATGCTGTTGTGGACTGAATGTCTGTGTTCCCCTAAAATGTCTTTGTTGAAGCCCTAATCCCCAATGTGACTATATTTAGAGATACAGTTAACAGATAATTACCACCTTTATGGAGGTAATTAAAGGTTAAATGAGGTCATCAGGACAGAGCCCTGGTCCAATAGGATTAGTATCCTTACAAAAAGAGACAATAGAGAGCTTACTTTCCCTCTCTGTCCTATGAGGACACAGCAAGAAGGTGCCTGTTTACAAGCCAGCAAGAGAGCCCACCAGAAACTGAAGTGGTCAGCACATTGATCTGGACTTCCTAGACTCCAGAACTGTGAGAAATACATTTCTGTTGTTTAAGCCACTCAGTATATGGTATTTTGTTACAACAGCCCAAGCAGACTAATACAAAAGCCTTGAAATGTCTGTTCAAAGTCATTCTTCCACTAACACCTATGGCAGAGAATGCCATACTAATTAGAAGTTCTTAGAAGCTTCCTGATTAAGTCAACAGCAAATGGCAAGATTCAACTGAAAGGCCTCTGGTAGCTCATTGTAGTTCCCATCTTAGGTTAGTAGGAGCCTTGAAAAGAAGGTTAGACAGGGATTCTATCCAAACGTGGTATTGATTCCCTCTGTGACTTTCGACCTAACTGCTATCTAGACTTCAGCTTCCTTAATGGGCATAATAAAATACACCTTTAAGGCTTCATAACATAATATATTTCACATCCCTGGAAAACATCAACTCAATAAATGTTAGGCTCTCTCTCTGGGACTCATTTCTCCATCTGTGACATAAAGGAGGTAAACTATATCTACTGTTTATATGGCACCCAAGGGAAAAGAGGGCAAAGTGGCTCAGGGTCAGAACTGAGTTTCATTTTGCTTAGCACCAGGAAGATTAGACTGGTTTAAAAGAGAGGCTAGGAGAGCTAAATTTGGAAACCAAAGAACTAAATGATTTCTAAAGTCTGATACAGCATGATGAGCATAAGAGTTTAAAATATAAGAGACAATCCAATTCAGAAACAGCTGTGAATTAATATTCCATAGCAAAGATTGTCATGTATAATGCACTTTGATATCTAACCTTAAAAAGTTATTTTAAGGCCGGGCATGGTGGCTCACGCCTGTAATCCCAGCACTTTGGGAGGCCAAGGCAGGTGGATCACAAGGTCAGGAATTTGAGACCAGCCTGACCAGCATGGTGAAACCCCGTCTCTACTAAAAATACAAAAATTAGCCAGGCATGGTGGTGCATACCTGTAATCCCAGCTACTCAGGAGGGTGAGGTGGGAGAATCACTTGAACCCGGAAGGTAGAGGCTGCAGTGAGCTGAGATCATGCCACTGCACTCCAGCCTGGGTGACAGAGTGAGACTCCATCTCAAAAAAAAAAAAAAGTTATTTTAAAATATCTATGTCAATCCAGATTGCATGGGTTCATATCCCAGACCTGCCACATACTAACTGCTTATGCTTGGATGACTTGCCTAACTTCTTCATGCCTCAGTTTCCTCATTGGTAAGACGGCAATAATGCTACTTCACTCATAGAGTGGTTGTGAGGATTAAATGAGTTAACACAAAAAAAGTCTTTGAAACTGTGCCTAGCACATAGTAAGCACTAATTAAATCTTAGCTAGCGTTGCTCCTTAGGGAAATCCCCCCAGGTCAACTGGTGTCCTGTCAATCTGTCATTTTAATACCACGTAATATTTCATAGTATTAATGTACCATAATTTATTCAGCCCTCCTTCTGTTGATGAGTATCCCCTTTATTTCTAGTTTTCATCCCCATATGAACAATGTAGCAATAAACATCTAGTACTTTTTTTAAAAAAATTAGTCCATAAGAACTTTACGTTAAAGTTAAGACGTCAATTGTCCAGTAACCCCTTCCCATAAATGGCAAGATTTTTTTCAAGGCATCACATTAGCCTGTAACATTAGTTATGGCCCCTGGAAGGAAGTTCTAATCACCATATTATATTTAAATGAGAAGCACAAAGTTGGAACTTTAATAAGAGTTTGACCATCTCTTAGCACGTGCAAGAACTCCTTAAGTATGCTCAGCTGTCCTTTGCCAGTGAACAGAGTCAAGAGTGGGCTCAGGCTTTCTTTTTAGAGGTGCTAGCTGGTGATGGATAGTAAACAAAACAAATGGCTTTGGTTCAGCTGATTTATTCTAATCCTGCCTTTCCCCAGCTTACTCTTTGAGCTCTATTTATATCATGTGTCCAACCTCAAAGCCCACAGGCCAGTCAGTCACATGAGGACCAGAAGCTGGCCAGGAGAGGACTTGGATGAATGGACACACATGTGAGCTCTACAGGAGTACAAGTGCCACTCTGCTTCAGCCAACTGTCACCATCTGAGATCGCTGACCTGGCATAGCAAGACAGTCAGAATTTTGCAGAAAGGCTGAAAATCCAGAATTCTGTGTGACATCTCCTAATACAATAAGGTTGACGATTAATTTTTTAATTATAAAAGCATTGTGAGTCTAATAAAAGTTCACCACAGACTGTTATTTTGCCTGAGTGTGTTACTGCTATTCGCCTTCAAAGGTACACCCTTCCTTACTTGATGGTCCCAATTTTAAGTTATTAGATTGCAAGTGTGAAATTGCCATTTTTCTACATCAAAAATGTTCATGTCATATGGTTCAACATAGTATGAGCATGTACTCGGCACATTGACCCAAACTGATCTGCTACATGTCACCATCCTCCTCGTCTTACTATTTCACACAGAAAGAAAACCTTATCACAGCGACTCTTCTGTCATCTGGTGCATTCTATGTGGCAGGAACATGTGCACAGTGCAATCTCAAGTCAAAGACAAAGAACAGTAACGGTGAGACACACACAACTTGCCCTACGCATTAATTTATAAAACAGACGCTCCTGCTGGCCTGTCTGGATAACAGTGCACAAACCGCTCGCCTCCACTGAGCCCAGTGCAGCAAGACCATGTTTCTCAAGGCAGCTACAAACTGGTGACCCTCCTAAGTGACCTGGCTTGTGTCACCACCAAGCTGACTGAGTTTTGTCCTTCTGCCTCCGTCAAAAGAACAAGTTAGTAGAGCCTCCTTCCAGGGTTGCTGGAAAAGATTTAGAGCTTACCAAAAAAATAAAATAAAATAAAACATAAAAAGCAAACAGTAGGATGAGGTGGATTAATGGCCACTCAGTGAAATGTACTTATGTTTCACCACTGACCTGGATAAACTATCTTACCTGAGAAAGCCTGTTAAAACATTTAGAGGTCTCAGACCTCACTGAAGACAAGCAGCCCTTGTATATAACTCATCAAGAACCATCTGATAATACCACAGAAAAATAAAAAGTAGTCCTCGGTTCTGATTTTAAAAGAGATAGAGGAATCAAACCAGAACAAATGTAAATAAACTCACCTTGGACCACAAGCTACATCTCAAGCAACAACTAAAAAAAAAAAACCAAAAAACCCTACAGTGAGTACACTTACTGAACATGCAGAAAGTATGTGGATTGGGATACCTAATATAAAGAAATTCAATAATTTACAAATTGTAATAACTTTCAATGATAATGAAAATTATTATTAGGGAGTCTAGGTAAATTCAAGCCAGCCACCAGATGAGTTGCATGTGTGAGATAAGGAGCTAAAAAAGAACAGACTCTAATTTCCATCTAATTCAACGTGATTAATATTGGAATTTACTTCTAGGCATTTTTGTTTTCTTAATGAAACACAATAGATTTTTTTAAAAATCACTCTGGGAATATGATTGCTTGCCGGTTTAAAAACAAAAACATTTAACATTAGTCTCAAGAGCACTTACTCAGAGGTTCAGCCCCTCAAAGCTAAAACTCTATTGTAGGATTTTAGTCCTAATATTGATACTGACGAACATGCAACCTGGAGTAAAACACATAACCTTTCTGCCAGTGAAGCTGTTTACCTTCTAAGAAAAAGATTACTTCATTTTGATGGGGAGTATAGGGAGAAGAGAGGACAACCTAGCCCGCCCGAGCTATGAATGAATCACTTGAGATGTTGCCTTCTTGAACAACTCCAAGGAGAATTAGTCACTTCCTCACCATTCCCAGGCAGGGACTCTCTACCTACTTCATCCTAGAACTTCTATGCTTGTGGAGCGGTCTCCTCCGGCCTTATTATTCCTAGAATCAGCCCTTCCACCTAGACCACTGCCTGGAACACAGGAGGCCTCCAAGAGTGTTGGCTAAGTGAATGGAATGCACATCAGCCCATCACTGGGGAAGACACCCGCAGACAAGGCAGATGAAGTGTGCTCCAAGTTGGGTCTACACAGAGGAGAGCAGGCACTGGTGGGCTATATAACCTAAAGCAAGGGGAAGAGCACTTTTATTCAATGTGTTATCTCTAAGTAGGTCGCTGTGGGGGATGTGGCAGTTAACTTCAAGGTACAAGCCTAGGGAAGCTCTCTGCCTTCAGGCATTTCTGATTTGCAGAACATCCAGTTCAATTCTAAAGTCAGGTCTCATAGGAGAGCTCATTCTGAAGAGCAATGTTCCATCCGAATTTCAATTTTTAAAAACTGAATCCACTGGCCCCTGCTCAGCATGTAGGGCCACACGAAATGTGGCAGGCTAATATAAACTAGGGACTTCAATAATTCTATGTGAGCATAGAGAGATGATATAAAACACTAAACAACAACATGAAGGACAGACAAGAGCCCACAACAGCCCTCGAAATCCATGTCAGGGAACACTGCATCAGGCACTAGACTGTAGGCTGGACACACTCCTACTGAGAAAATCTGACTTTTATAGTCAGTAAACGGTCACTTTGAAGTCCTTGCCCCTTGCAAACTCAAAGTCCAACGATCTGGCAATATTGAAAAACTTCCTGTTCTGCTTGGAAGGGATAATCCACCTCCTCCCAGCAAAACCCACTTGTTTTACTGATTAAATCAACCAAATGGAAGCCAAACATTCCACAAAGAAATGTCTATTGCTATTCACACAGATAAACGGATACACCCACTGGCAAGGCCAAAAGGTACAAGTGTCCTGGTTTGAATATGTATGCTGTGGTGGTGGCTTCTGATTCCTTACTGCTTCAACCTCAAGCCACCTGTAAATGGGAAGGGCTCTATATGCAAAAAGAAGAGCCAGTCCCTACTTCCAGGTCAGTCCCACTCCATCCCTTCTTTGCAGCTATAGGCACGTTGGCTTTGCATAAATAAGAAAAAGGAATCCCTCTGACTGGACACAACGGAGTGCAGGGCCTGACATGCGGACAATACCCAGTTAGGGGGAAAAGCTCTTTTCTCCCAGCTAATTGCATCAGAGCTTGTGGGCTAAACAAGGGTTGGATTTTCAGCCTCCAGGGGCAATATACAACCTTGGTGGTCTTCAATCAAAGGTTATTAGCATATCCACAGCCCACGCCCTATTAAAAAAAAAATTAAAATTGGTGTCTAAGCCCCAGTACAACAACTCCAGAGTCAAGAAATAACCCCATGGGAAGGCCCTGGATTTGGGCAGATTTTTTCAAAGCCTCAGGAAGAGGATAACTACACATCAGCCACACCTAAGATGTCTGTTTAAAAAGCAGATTCTTAACCCTATATCCAACCTACTGAATCACAATTATTGCAACTGGAGGCCTGGGATCTGCATTTTTAATTAGCTTCTCCAGCAATTCACCCATATCCTTAGATTTGAGAACCATGGTTCCCTCCTGCGTATCAGCTTCTCTCGCCACACCTCTGCCAGGATTCTAGGGCTTGGGGAAATTAATCAGTCAGGGGCTATTAGGAAAATGGAAGCAATACTATGTAATGCGACATATTATTTAATACGAAGATCTTATTCAACAGGTGCTAGAGAATGGAAAAGACTGAGTTAACACAGAGTTACTCAGGAAGCTGTAGGAAGCAGCTACCACTCCTTGGGTAGGACTGTAGGAATCAAAGGGAGGAGGTGGTGGTTATTAGACTCTACACATTTAGGAGGAAACCTACAGGGCTGGGACCCTGACCTCTGAAGAGGAGCCCTTTCTGAAGGTCTACATGGGACTGGGATGGCATCTCAGGGGGTGGCAGAAGGCTGGTTCCAAGAGGTAGAAGGAAACTGGAAATGGAAACCAATTACTGCTGGCAGAGGGAAAGACCCTTTCCGAAGCTAAGCTGACAAGAACAGTAACAGGATGAAGCGTGTCCCTTCTCCCTCCCACAGCCTTCCAAAATTCCCCTGGTGCCCCCATTAGCACAGCTTAACAGGGAAACAGCAGGCAAAGAAGGAACATGGAAGGAGGTCTGCTGACTACCAACCCAACACCACAAGCAGATTCTAGGAAGGTCTATCTGGAGCTTAGAGGAAATCACTTAATAAGGAGCCAAGGGAGTGTGACCTCCACCAGCTCCAAAACGAGGCTGGGGCTTTTCCAAGCTCCATTAACAATAGCCAGGCTTTTAAAAAAAATTCTCATTTCACTCTGTTTTCCAACACAATTCCTAAAATGATCCTTTTTAATATCTAACACTTTCCAAATGTTCGCTCTGTACTTCCAAACCCCGCCCCATTCCACCCCAATCTACTTCCTCTGGATTGAGTGATGGTTATGACGGAGGGTCTGGGGTCACACAGCCCCAAGCTATGTGACCTTGGGCAAGCTGCCTGTGTGCTTTGTGCTGCACATTGCTCAACTACAAAAAGCAAATGACAATAGCATCTACCTCACAGGAGGGCTGTAAATATTAAATGAGACTATACATGTAAACATAATAATATAAATGTACATGTCTAGCACTGAAGTGTTTAAGAATGTTGACTGTTGGGGTTAATAGTATCCACATGATTATCCCAGACACCTGGATAGAAACTAGAACCAGGTCCACTACAACCTTTTGAGAAAATGCCTACTTATCCCCACCTCCCTATGATCAGCTCTGCTCCCACTCAGCCCCAGCTCCTGCCAGCTTCCTATTAACTCCCCCTCTTCAAATCCCACTCCTGAGGGCCAGCACTGACAACTTTTATATGGTAATGATTGGGCACAGAGAAAATTATGCCAGGAAAGTGACTCACTGTTCAAGATACAATTAGCCCCACTTCTCAGGTAATTAAACAGCCCTGGCTACCACATCCATGATGCAGCAAGTAACTAAAACATTTCTCCTACTCACAGACACAGGAAAAGAAAATCCATTCACTTTAATGCCACCTCTCCATCTGATCTGATTGCACTTATAACCCAACTCCTGCTTTTCCTGTCTCCTCTGACAACCTGAGGCCCTCCCCTAAGTTACAACCGCAATACAGGAAGTCAGGTCACCCTCTGCATGGTAGAAGTCTTTCTTCCCCCCCCTCTTCACACACTCTCACCCAGAAGCAGGGGCATGATGCCATAGTCTGAAATGATGGCAGAAAATAAGAGCCACAAGGGAAGAGGATATGAACTGCAGGAACACAAATGTCCAGTGCAGTGAAAAGTAGTGTCTTGGCAACCCCAGGGGGCCCTGAGAACATCATTGAGTGAGAAGGAAAATTAAGACACACCCTCATGAAGGGCACGGAACACCTGCTAAGCCCCGGTGGAAGCAGCAGCATGCTGCAGTCTCTGCCTCCAGCAGCCCCAGCCCAGAGTTTCTCCTAAGTGAGGCCACCTGCAGATCCCACAATACCATGAGTCGGAGCCTGGCAGGACATCAGGAGAATGTTCCCTCCTTTAGTCTTGGGGCTGGGGGCTAAGGTGTTAGGACTGTGTTGTATTGAAAGATGTGGAGACAACATAAGGGGTCACCTGGGTGTGCTGTGAAAACGTTGCTGCTTATTTAGTTAGTATGGGACAGGGGTGAGTTCTACATTTCTCAAGCTCCCAGGTGATGTGATGCTGCTGGTCCATGGGCCACATTTTCAGTTGCTACCACAGAGGTGGCATAACTTCCCTAAATTATCCCCGAAGGGGCCAGGTACCCACCTCCTAATAAGGGAATCGAGTTTAGGCCCCCATGGAAGGAACTGGAAAGGAGGCCTGAAGCATGGAAAAGCAGATGCCTCGGCGTCAGGGACAAGAGGTGCCAGCCTGGGAAGGGTCTCGCCCGCCTGCAAGCATCCAGAAGGAGCAGATCCACTCCAAAGAATAATAATTCAGAAATGTATGTGTATCGGGCTATTCAAAAATGAAGATTTGGCCTAGCATGGTGACTCATGCCTGTAATCCCAGCACTTTGGGAGGCCGACATAGGCAGATCACTTGAGGTCAGGAGTTCAAGACCAGCCTGGCCAATACAGCGAAACCCCTTCTCTATTTAAAAAATAAAAATAAAAATTAGCTGGGCATGGTGGTGCAGGCATGTAGTCTCAGCTACTCGGAAGGCAGAGGTGGGAGGATAGCTTGAACTTGGGTGGCAGAGGTTGCAGTGAGCCAAGATCACGCCACTGCACTCCAGCCTGGGCAACAGAGCGAGACTCTGTCTCAAAATAAATTAATTAATTAAAGTAAAATAAAAACAAAAATGAAGATTCAACATTCCCTCTATCTCATAACATGTAAGTTTATTATTTGATTTTTTGGGTGGGTTTTTCAGAAATTCACTACAAATGAAAGATGAAGACAATGCCTGCCTTAGTAGAAATTAGTACAAAAGGCATAATTAAATTTCAGAATTATTTCCAGCACCTAGGATTGAAATTAAGTTGGACTTTATTTATCTGGAAATTTATTTTATTAATCCAGAAAACATGATACCTCAAACATTATGGGTAAAGATATAAACAAAGCTGAACAGCCAGCTGATTGCATCTGCTGTTATTCAACTTATGTTGAGCCTCCAGTCATACTCACATTAAATAAACTTTATAACGCTATGTCTAAATTCAACCTATACAAGTTACTGGGTATGATATTATAAGAAAGAAAACCATTACAAGTATTGATTTTTTTTTAATTGAAACTACTTTCTCACAGCCTGAGGCCCAGGTCCCCAGATGTATGACACATCTCTAACTAGAAGCAGATGGAGAGCTGCTTAGGATAGCATGAGTTTCAATATGACTTACAGTCACACATTTACATTTTTTTTAACAGCTAGGCTGATTAGATTGATAAGTACTTGTTAAATTGACATTTTCACAGATGAACTTTATTTCCTCTCTCTTTCATTTACTCAAATGATAGGAAGTATTCACTTTTACATCCTCGTTGTCAAGTTTTTGTAACTAACGTTTCTACCTTGAACTCTAAGCTCTCAGAAGACATAACCTGGGCAACAAAATGAGACCCCGTCCCTACAAAAATTTTTTTAAAAATTAGCCAGGCATGGTGGCACATACCTGTAGTCCTAGCTACTTGGAAGGCTGTGGTGGGAAGATCGCTTGAGCAGAGGAAGTTGAGGTTGCAGTGAGCCACGATGGCACTACTGCACTCCAGCCTGGGCAACAGAGCAAGACCATGTCTCAAAACAAAACCACCAAAAGACAGTTACCTACCATTGATTTGCCTCATTTGCTGCCAAGATAATTCTCCTGCACATAATTTAATAAAGTCTGGTCGGTGGCCATGCTTTTCAGTTTCAACTCTAAGCTGTAGCCTACTAGCTACAGTATGTGAATGAAAATCCTGTAAAAGCCCAAAATTCAGATTCAATCTCTGTAAAAGCCCAAGATTCAGATTCAGTCTCCTGATGTGTCAATTAGCTGCACTTTGTTACATGCCAAAGATAATACTTAAGTCCATCCAGTTAGAGTAACAAGAACAAAATGAATGGATGAGTGTAAGAATTCCACCACTATTGGCTGCGCGAGGTGGCTCACGCCTGTAATCTCAGCACTTTGGGAGGCCTAGGTCGGTAGATCATCTGAGGTCAAGAGTTCAAGACCAGCCTGGCCAACACGGCAAAACCCCATCTCTACTAAAAATCAAAAAATTAGATGGGCGTGGTGGCGGGCACCTGTAATCCCAGCTACTCAGGAGGCTGAGGCAGGAGAATTGCTTGAACCTGGGAGGTGGAGATTGCAGTGGGCCAAGATCGTGCCATTGCACTCCAGCCTGGGCTACAAGAGCAAAACTCCATTTCAAAAGGAAAAGAAAGGAATTCTACCACTATAAATGGGAATGGAGTGGGAAGAAGTTATCAAACACATATGATCTACTGATTATGTGTAATAATTATAATAATGCCTTCCTCACACTAAGAATAATAGCATCTTGGAGTTGCAAAGAACCTCAATTTATGGTTTACATGATCACCTCAATTTACATCTTATACAATAATGAAGAATATGTACTTGTTTATTCATTGAACATATTTCACTGAGCTTCTAGTATGTGCCATGTGCTATTTAGGGTGGTAGAAAGGAAGCTCAGAGCAAAAAGTATCTGCCTTCCTAGAGTTTACATTTTATGTGAGAGGGGATATGGATTTAAAAGTATCATAAATGGCTGGGTGTGGTGGCTCACGCCTGTAATCCCAACACTTTGGGAGGCCAAGGCAGGTGAATCACCTGAGGTCAGGAGTTCAAGACCAGGCTGGCCAACATGGTGAAACACCATCTCTACTAAAAATACAAAAAATTAGCAGGGCGGATGCCTGTAATCCCAGCTACTCGGGAGGCTGAGGCAGAAGAATTGCTTGAACCTGGGAGGCAGAGGTTGCAGTGACCTGTGATCATGCCACTGCACTCCAGAGCAAGACTCTGTCTCAAAAACAAAAGGGTAATATAAATAATTTCAGATTGCAGTTAAGTGCTATGACAAAAATAAAATTGGTGGGGACAATACTTGAGCTATGGTGGTCAGAGAAGCCTCTCTCAGGTGGTGACATGTGGGCTGACAAGAAGGGGCTGACCATGCAAAGATCTGAGCATTCTAAGATGAAGGGCAGAATGGGCAAAAGGCCTCAGATAGGAATGATTTTGGAGAGCTCAAGGGACAAAGACAGAGGCGGTGTGGCTGGTGCTTGTCAGCTAAGAGGCAGGTGGAAAGAGGTGGTAGGGCAGGTTGGCAGGAGACTAAACACAGGGAAAGAGTCCTGTAGACCAAGGTGAGTACTTGAAAGGATTTTGAAAAAAAGAATTACAGAATCTGGCTTACATTGTACAAAGGTCACTCTGGCTGCTATGTGTAGATAAGATTGTACGCAGGGCAAGAGCAGGTACAGCCTGGTTGGTTAGGGTGTTGCTGTAGATGTGCGGGCATGAATCAACGATGGCAAGTGCTAGGGTAGACAAAGTAGAGAAGAAGAAAAGTAAAGTGGCTGGATTTGAGAATATATTTGGACGTAGAGCCACAGGACTTGCTGATAGATTGGAAGTTAAATGCAAAGGAGGAGACATTTAGGTACTGAAACTAAATATGTAATCGCCTCTACTATAATCATCACTCCATTTTATAATGAACGGCCTTGATTCTCTCTTCATCCATCCCAAAACCCTGCCAACGCTGGCCCATCCACCAGAATATGTTCTGCATGCTCCAGATGTCAATTTGAAAGCCTTGGGCTGCCACATATTGTTCAATGAACCTCCAACATCAGGAACAAGGAAAGGTGAGGATGCAGGGGAAGGAACAATAAAAACCGAGAAGGGGATGTGCTTCCCGTGTTCAAGAGATATTTCAGGGGGAAAGAACTGTCCAATCATATCTTACAAATGGGTATTCATGTGTACTGCCCTCCTATAAAGAAATGTTACGTATAACTAAAAAATATATATGTAAATATCCAGTATTTGTAGGTATTCTTTCCATTCAACTCTTTTCCTTGTAAAGGCTTAAAAGAAATAATTAACTTGTTCCTTAAAATTAAACCATACTGGCCGGGTGCAATGGCTCACGCCTATAATCCCAGCACTTTGGGAGGCTGAGGTGGCCGGATCACCTGAGGTCAGGAGTTTGAGACCACCCTGGCCAACATGGTGAAACCCCATCTCTACTAAAAATACAAAAAAATTAGCCAGGCATGGTGGTGGGTGCCTGTAATCCCATCTACTTGGGAGGCTGAGGCAGGAGAATCACTTGAACCCAGGAGGTAGAGGGTGCAGTGAGCCGAGACTGTGCCATTGCACTCCAGCCTGGGCAAAAAGAACGAAACTCGGTCTCAAAAAAAAAAAAAAAGTAAAAATAAAACCATACTAAACAACAATGACAAAAAGTGTATTAGAAATCCCATTGCCCAAACACAACTATTTTCATGATGCATATTCCATTGCAATCTTTACTCACACACACACGCACATGAATGTACTCACATTTATAGCCACAATAATTATGACTTTCAATTCTGCTATTGTCACTGAGAATTAGATCCCAAACACTTTTCATGTTTCTAAAACCTATTAATAATTACATTAATTGTGGTACAACATCCCAACATGTTATTGAACCATAAACTATTGCCTTTAGCCCTAAGACTGAGCACTTGAATTCTCCTTTATCTCAGTGTCGTGTAATAATTTCAAAGGGATAACCCAACTTTGGTGTAAATTAAAGCTAAAACAATGTCAAGTTTGTAAGCTTCAAGTGTCTTGAAAAGTTGCTGTATTTGGCAACTCATTACATTGCTTATAAAATCATTCACCTGTCAATGACTTCCCAAACCAAGTAAGTAAAAAAGAAATACATAGATTTCATTTAGGAATTATTTACCGATGATACTAGAATGACTCACAAAGCACAGTAGGAAATCATCTGAATCTGATCTAAACCAGAGTGTGTGCATTTGTCCTCACTGGCAAATCAAATACGGACTTAGCACATCGCACTCACTGGCACTGTAACTTCACCGAAGACTCAGCGTTCACTAGGTGGCTAAGTGCTATTGGCAAGAGTTCACAGATGAAACACTTCAAGAGACAACTCTCTGAATGTTTTAAGGATAGTTTTACATTAAAACAGTTTACTATATTTAAACATGTTTGAGTAAATTTAGAACTGTATCTATAACATACAGATAAATGTTACAGGGAGAGAGATTACTATACTGTATTCTAAAGGTGTCTTTCATTTAAGGCTTGCTAACTCCTCAATGCACATCTAAAAAAGTTTCATATGCTTATGCAATTGCTAGTTTCCCTGATGTCTCCAGATTCTTTGCTATGGCATCATATTTTGGGCAATGCTAAAAGTAGCAGGGGGCGGGGGAAACTTCAGGGACTTCAGGCTTCAGGCAATGTTTAAAAGAAAAATCCTATATTCCTTATACCCTGATACTTAGGGGGTTACACCATTCGGTGGACATGAGTTAAAACCACTGAGGTTTGCTCTCAGCTTCAAAAGAAAGCCAGCAGCAGCCTCTCTATGAAAACTCTCAAACAGCCCTGGAGCAGCACGTCACCTCTTCCCTGTTTTTATTTGCTAACCTTAACTTGTGAGTCCCAACCTTTTAGGAGAACATCTGAAGAAGAAAAAGAAGTGGCTATCTACAGATCAGACACCATCACAGGAGAAACTGGACTCCATCCTGGAAAACTGGGAAAATCGTTCCGTTTTGCAAAATTGTATTGTATTTCACAGCCACAAATGAAGAAGTGCCACTTCAAGGAATTCCATGATAAATTACTTTGTAAAAGGAAATGGTAATCCTGCATTTTAACTTTTTTTTTTTTTTTAGACAGAGTCTCGCTCTGTTGCCGAGACTGGAGTGCAGTGGCACGATCTCGGCTCACTGCAACCTTTGCCTCCCAGGTTCAAGCGATTCTGCCGAGTAGCTGGGATTACAGGTACACGCCACCATGCCCAGATAATTTTTGTGTTTTTAGTAGAGATGGGGTTTCACCATGTTGATCAGGCTGGTCTCAAACTCCTGACCTTGTGATCCGCCCACCTCGGCCTCCCAAAGTGCTGGGATTACAGGCGTGAGCCACCGTGCCTGGCCATATTTTAACATTTATATCATGCAGATTTTCACATCTTTTGGCAAGGCTTACATTGAAAAAAGAGCCCAAAAGGACATCCAAATTCTTTGGACAACAGGTCTTCAGCCATATCAAATATTGCTTGAAATAATTAAGCTGTCAGCAAAGCCTTGGAAATATCTGGGCTATAAGAGTATCTGGAACTCATATTTGATTTCAAGATAGTATCTGACCTGAATCACAATCTCTCACATTCTCCAGCAACAACCAGAACGACCAAATAGGGCCAACAAAATAATGTTCCGTTTTCCATTCACCTTCATCTCTCTCTTGAACATTAAAGTAACATTTTCATGAACTTTTAAAATCTATGCATCAAAACCTATACATCAAAACACATGAGAAGTGGGAAAGGCTACAAGTGATTAGACAAAAACATCCATGGAAATATTAAATGCCATGAAATTAGCCTTAGGGATCAGCACATGTTAAACTTACAAGACACATACATGCCAAACTACTATCTTACTTCACTCTCAACCCTAAAAGAAGCATATTCCAAGGAAACCACCAGTTAAAATTGAAACTTAAGCTGGGCATGGTGACTCACAACTGTAATCCCGGCACTTTGGGAGGCTGAGGCAGGTGGATTGCTTGAAACCAGGAGTTCAAGACCAGCCTGCCCAGCATGGTGAAACCCCATCTCTACTAAAAATACAAAAAAAAAATAAAAAATTAGCCAGGTGTGGTGGCATGCGCCTGTAACCCCAGCTACTTGGGAGGCTGAGGCACCAGAATCATTTGAACCCAGGAGGCAGAGGTTGCAGTGAGCCAAGATCATACCACTGTACTCCAGCCCGGAAAACAGAGCAAGACTCTGTCTCAAAACATAAAAATAAAATAAAATAAAATAAAATAAAATAAAATGGGAACTTAAAAATCTATTCTGTTAAACACGTTCTCATTTTTCACTACCATTTAACCATTACATGTTTACCTTTTATTTTTGTTTCAGTTTATAAAGAATTATATGGTCTTTAGTTTTATTTTTATGAAATCCACAGAAATGTCCACCTGCCAATGGGCTCAGGGGCCCATCATCATCAGACAGAACACTCTCCTATTATTAACTCAGGTACATTAAGACTTATTTGACAGACATCTTAAATGCAGGGGTGGAAAAATCAGCAACCCAGAACAACCTAGCTCTTGGGTTCACATTTTTCATCTAAGGTTTACATTCACAGCTTAGAACTCATTAAATTCAACCGACAGGACTTTAAAGGAAGTTCTCATGGCAGAAAATTGCCAACAAGGAGTTCAAACTTAAAGGCACATCTCATATGGTTTACATTTTCCAACTACACTCCCCAGTGGACTTTTAATTTCTGCCTCACACTTTCATTTATTAAGTATATGATGGGACATTCCTTCCGAGATTTTCTTTTTAAATATTTAAATTCGCAGCCCACGCTGCAGAGGCCAAACCATAGCTGGCAGTGAGACACTGTGTCTGGCAGAAAGGTGTGGGTAGAGCATGTCCCACAGAAAAAGACCTCTGAGAACACACGCAGACCCAGCATAGAGAAGCACTGATGCATATTTATGGGCAGGCCTGGGCCATTTATTTTGTCCCTATGTCAGGAAATTACAAACATTCATTTCAGGAGCTAGCAAGCTCTGGCCATCATGGGTCAGTGAGCCGGCCTCACACCCCTCAAACCACAGCTGCAAAAAGAAACTCCTTAAAATCACAAAGCAGTCAATATTATAGATTGCCAGGCATAATTCAATGAAAGAAGAGATAAACTAGACACAAATAATTTACGAGTAGAAGGAATGCGGCCATTTTTCATCCCATTCCTAAAGGAATTCAGTTTAGAGCTAGGAGGGATCCTGTCCATGTTTCACTTCTGGTTCCCAAACCCTTCCAAGACCCACTGAGAATCAAAACCACCCCCCTTCTAATCTGCCCTTCCTCACCCCAAGTCACAATTCCCTCAGCCAATGAACAAGGAGATTTCTCTACCCTGAGTTCCTAAGCTGGTTCCCAAAAGACTTCTTAGGACACTGAGTCAAAATAATGTTGAAGGAGACAATCCAATAAAAAGATATCTCTAGTTGTCATTAAAAGCAAGAACAAAGAACAGCTTTGTCCTGCTTGAAAGAGCTCTGAAAGATTATTCTCTGTCAGTGAGCCCAGAGAAACAGAAAACAACGAGCCAGAGCTGGGGCTTCCTGAGAAGTTTGGGCCCCCCGCCCCCGCTACATGCTCACCTGGTTGCCATAAGGCCAGGATTTCTCCAAGTGTTATCTGTGGACCACCTGCATCAGAACCAACTGGGTTACTGTGACAAAGACAAATTCCCAGACTCAGCCAAACTTCCTAAACAGAATGTCTAGGGATGCAACCTGAGGACATACAAGTATAACAAGCTCCCAGGAACTCTTCTGCACAGTAACATTTGAAAAACCATCATCAAATTCAAACTATACTTTTATATTTCCCAGAGTTCTATTTTCTCCAACAGAAATCATGGCTACAGTACAGTAAAACACAAAGTCCCTTCTTACACGTGCTACTTATTGTTAGTACAGACACATTCACTTTATACTCCTGACAACCCTATGAAGTATTTTAACCCCATTTTATGTCTGAGAAAACTAAGGCCCAAAGTCACACTTTTCTTAAGTGGCAGAAGAAAGATTTGTTTCCAGGTCTCTCTGACATGAAAAAGTTTTACTTCCACATGACTCCCTCTAACAAGCAGGAGACATAACTGCTTCTTGCTTTCCAAGTGGTCATTTACAGATGGTTGGTCATGATGCTCTGTCCAACCCCAGCCCAAAGATAACGACTTCCCTCATTTGCAGCAGCGACCAAACTGCTAGAATGCTGTGCCTGGATTGGATCACTACAACTTCAGAAACATAATATGTGAAGAATCTGGGAAACATCTAGAGAGATTAAAAAAAAAAAGAGAGTAAAGAGGCTGTAAAACAATAAATTTTAAAAGTGAACTGAGACGAAGCTGGGAGAGTATGATCATATGCAGAGTATGGTAAGTGTGCATTTCCATTTGCCCTTAAGAGCAACAAACGGAAGCATGCAGGACTCAAGTCAGATATACTGATGAGTGCAATGCTGCCATGGAGGTTACAGAATGCTATTGACAGGAAGACTTTCAACAGAGCACCTCTATCAGTAGAACAGCGTTTCTCCACCTTGGCAATACGGACATTTTGAGCAGGATAATTCTTCGTTGTGAGGTACTGTCCTGTGTCCTGAAGATGTTTAGAGCATCCCCGGCCGTAGCATTTCCCCACATCTCCCCAGGCGCAGTAACCAAAAATGTCTCCAGACACTGGAAACTGTTTCAGAGGCTCAGGGAAGAGAGGAAAAAATCTCCCTCAGCTGAGGACCACAGCTCTAAGAGTTAGAGGGGTTCTGCCTGAAAGAAGAAAGAGAAAGGGGAGTGGGGTAAAGGAAGAACCAGACATCCTTTCGACCCATTAAGGTCCTGGCTAGCTCAGTCATGGAGAACTAAAACTGCCTGAAGGAAACATGGAAGAACATGGATTATCCAAAAACAAAATAATCTGCCTAAAATGTCCAAGAATCAACTGCCCTCAGGAAAAGAAAAAAAAGAAAAGATGAAGACAAAAGAAAAAAAAAACAGGATCATTTTGCCTTGGTCATATAAAGTTGGGGCTCCACAGACACCCACTCCTAGGAAGGTGCTTTATCCAAGGTAGAGTTTACGAGAAAGAACATGTCAGAGTTGTCACCAGCGTCAGAGATGAGTCTTGTTTTTTTTGAGACGGAGTCTCGCTCTGTCACCCAGGCTGGAGTACAGTGGTACAATCTCGGCTCTCTGCAACCTCCGCCTCCTGGGTTCAAGCAATTCTCCTGTCTCAGCCTCCCAAGTAGCTGGGACTACAGGAGCCAGCCACCGTGCCCCACTAATTTTTTGTATTTTTAGTAGAGACGGGGTTTCACCATACTGGTCAGGCTGGTCTTGAACTCTTGACCTCAGGTGATCCACCCACCTCGGCCTCCCGAAGTGCTGGGATTACAGGCGTGAGCCACCGCACCCAGCCAGAGCTGAGTCGTCTTATCACTTAAAATGGTGTTGACGTGATACTGAGACTGAACACCCTGGAATGTGAAACATGGGAAAAGAAAGGGGGAAAAACACAGAGGCTCCTCTATCTTAAGGGCCTCCAGCCACTTGAAAACACAGTTAAGATTATAAGGTTTGAAGAATGGATATGTGTTCTTGAAATGTTTGTGAAAGGCACCAGGTGCTAGCTGGCAAAGTAGAACAACTACAGGGATTCTGAGGGTTTAACAGGGACAGTCTACTTGTCAAGGGACATTTACTAAATGCCTAAATACACAAGGTGCTATGCTGGGAACTGCACATAAAGCGAGGTCACCCTACCTTGCCGCACCCCGTGGGACAGGCACCTTAAGGCACCTTTAAAAGGAGGTGGTAGAGAGATACAAGCACGGGTTTCCTCAGCCCACCAAGGTTATCCCACCACCTCACTCCCCATCCTCCACCAACCATTGCCAATACAAAGGAAAGAATCTGTCATTCACATAGGAAGACCCGGTAAACTGGCGGGAAATCTAGCCACATCAGAAACAAGAGTCAAGTTACAGACGAGACCAACAGTCCCTCAACCCCTGCCCAGGGAAGGCAAGACCTGGATCCACAGGACATTTAGGACTGAACTGTCCCACTGGTAGGCTGGAGGAAACGATTCTGAAGTGCTTTTCCTGCCAACAAGTCAATCCATGTTCACAACCTACCAAGCATTGAGGTCTCTAGCAGTGAGGAAAGCTACAGAAAGTATGATTTTCTTTCTGCAGCTTTTTCTTTCCCTCTAAAGATTTTCCTTGTCCCCATGCTAGAGTCTGAATTAGGCATAACAGCAGGTAAAAAGGAGATGATCGTTTTTAATGGTTCTTTTGTGCTATCTCAAATGCTAATAATGCATACATTTAACTCTATTCCAAGGCAAATTTTAAATCCCTGGATGTCCTTTTTCACTACACCCAACAAAATACTCTCCGCAAGTTCCCTGGGCTGTCAGTTGTATATCCTCAGAGAATACGAATTCCTTTGTATACTGGTGTAAACCAAAAACAATTAAGAAGGCAAACCAGCTTGGTTAAACATAATACACTGCATTGAAATTTACTTTGAAATGTACGGAAAAACAAACAAGATGGATCAATGGATGAATAGAGGGGGTGGAGAGATGAACAGGTAAGTGATAAAGCAAGTATGGTAAATATTAATGGTAGAATATAGGTGATGGAGAGATGGGTATTCAGTACCAATTTTAACTTTGCTGCATGTTTGAAAATTTTTAATGAAAATGTTGAAAGCAATTTTTAAATAACACTGCATTCATTTTAGAATGAGAAAATGAATAATATATTAAATTAAAACCAGTTATAAAACATTATGTACAACTTAATTGCAAATTTGTGAGTATACAGGAAACACCAAAATATTAAGTGTGGTTATCTTTTGAAGATACCACTATGAGTGACTTTTACTTTCTTCTTTGTCCTTTTCTGTATTTTCCAATTTTTCTTCAATGAGCATATATTGAATTGCAACTAAAAAATTACTTTATAATATTAAATCTTAAAAAAATAAAATTTCTGAAGCCAAATCTAAATTACTTGCTATGGAAAATTATTTTATATATGGGCTGGCACAGTGGCTCATGCCTATAATCCCAACACTTTGGGAGGCTGAGGAAGGTGGGGAGGGACGGGGATTGCTTGAGGCCAGGAGTTCAAGACCAGCCTGGTCAGTATAGCAAGACCTCAACTCTACAAAAAATAAAATAAAATTAGCCGGGTGTGGTGGCACGTCTCTGTAGTCTCAAGTACTCGGGAGGCTAAGGTGGGAGAATAGCTTGAGCCCAGGAGTTCAAGGCTGCAGTAAGCCATGATGGTACACTCCAACCTGGGCAAGATGGCAAGACCCTGTCTCAACAAAATAAAAAATAATTTAAAAATAAAGAAAATTATATCAATTATAATACATTATAACGAATTTTTTGTATATGAATTCAACTCCCTTAGTGGCAAATTTTTGAAAAAGTGTCTCAGTAGAACACAATCCTATAATCCCTTATCTTGGCAATTAAGGCAAGAAAAACAACGAAATGTGTTTTAGCAATCAGTTCCCTTTAAACAGATTTTCAAATCAAAGCCCCCAATTCATATAACTCTACTAGTCCTATAATATTCATCTGGTCTACCACCAAAGCATAGCATATTCTCTGTAGTTACCACAATCGCTGACAGCAATGTCCTCATGAGGGCCTCCTTTTGCCTCCACATAGGCCCACAGCTGGCATATCTATCCACATCCAGTGCATACAGTACAATTCCTACCTTTCTAGCACAAGCACAGAAAAACACCTGATGAGTCAAGTGTTGCAGCAGAAACAAGATCCAGACTCTTTTTCTTTTCTTTCTTTTTTTTTTTTTTTGAGACGGGGTTTCTTTCTTGTTGCCCAGGCTGGAGTGCAATGGCGCGATCTCAGCTCACCGCAACCTGCGCCTCCTGGATTCAAGTGATTCTCCTGCCTCAGCCTCCCAAGTCATTGGGATTACAAGCGTCCGCCACCACACCCAGCTAATTTTCGTTATTTTTATTAGAGACGGGGTTTTGCCATGTTGGCCAGGCTGGTTCCAACTCCCGAGCTCAGGTGATCTGCCTGCCTCGGCCTCCCAAAGTGCTGGGATTACAGGCATGAGCCACCACGCCCGGCTGAGATCTAGACTCTTGATTCCCTGTGTGACTTTGGGCAGATCACATAATCCCTAAATATAAAATGGGAGTACTTTTCTCAGCATAGTACATCCTTTAACATTTTATGGTGTTATGGATCTAGAAAACAGACACCCAATATTCCACTCACTTCTGGCAGAGAATTAAAGAAATGAAAAAATAAGGACTTCTTAAAAGGGTATTTTTACGGGTCCGGTATTCAAAGACAGTGATCAATTTCAAGTGATTAAGGAAGAGAAAGCTCACACACATCTTCATGCTTCTTATAATACCCTGAGAACACAGGCAGGAAGACTAATGGAAACCTCCATTAAAACAAGCTGGGTTCACAATATGAACACAACTCCAGGTAAACCCATTCACTGTACAAGACTCCAATTTCAGGTGAGATTCATTTATACCCCTCTTTTGCCTTATCAGGCATAGCTTTACACATGCAGAACCAATCCTAAAGTTGTGAACCTTGCAAGCAGCTGAGCATAAAGATATGAAAGCTACCTTTTCAGCAGTATAAATGACCAAGATCACACTAAGGTCTCCTCTGAGTTCTGGTAAACTGCTACCCTATGATAGTGACTGTCTTTTATAACATTTGCATTATTTTTATTATTTCTTTAATTCTCCTTTTTTGTTGTTGCATTACAGTTTCAATTACATAAACACTGAGAAACATACACACACCCTAACGAGGGAAGTAACTGAATACTATTCCGAGGGTAGTTATATTTCCAGCTTATGAGAATTCACTCAACCAGGTGGACTGCTTTATAAATATACGATAGGCCTCCACCCTTATGTCTCATTTTGACTCAATTCAACTTTGAGTACATATTATTTGCACCACCTAAATGAAGGCAATGCAGAAGATACAGCAATGAAGAAAGGATATCCACTGCCCTATGGGATGTACTCAAGTATATTCACACACAAAGAATACGAAATGTCAGAGGAGATATAAAGTGATTTCTGAGTTCCATGGAGTAAATCATATCCACAGCCTTGGTGAAATACAAAAAAAATTTTAAAGCTATCATGAAAAAATTATTTGAGATGAGCCTTGAAATGAACATGACAATGATGCTAATGGTTAACTAAAATTTACTGAGCAATAAAAACATACCAGGTACCGTGTCTGTTGTTTTTGCATAAATTACAAGTATTTAGCCTCGTGTTACAGATAAGGACAGTGAGGTTTGGACAGTGATTTTTCCAACGTCAAAGAGCTAATCACAGGAATGAGATCCCAACTGAGGTCGGTCTACTCCCAAAGTCCACACCTTAATAAGCAAAAGTGGAGGGAAGAGTAAACTGGAAGAATAGCTGAGAAGGAAGAACAGTAGTGGGAAAGGCAAGATCAGAGAGGAAGAACCAAGGCAGTAAAACCCACAGAAACTGGCTCATTATTTGACTCAGCAGGCTCCTTCTCCGGAGATGTTCTGGGGATAGGAGCAGAAATATGGTCATACATTCCAATGTCAAGGTCATGTAATGAACACTCCTGAGAAAAAACGTAATAGAAAGTGTCCTCATAATGTTTAATATGTATAAGAAGATATATAAACTCTCTCCTAATCCCATTGAGATTTAAAATTAGGCATTTTCACCAGCTTATCACCTAAGCTCTGGCCAATACAACCTGTCACCAACAAGATTTAAGGATCTGCTAACCTATTGGACTATATAACCCTAAAATGATCAAGTGAAAGTACACTTTTGGAGGCAGACAATGTCCACATAGCACACAAATCAACAACAGAACCAACAGAAACTTTCTGACTTTTCTGACAGTGGCTACGACTATCCTTATATTTTTAGTCCAGGGTAGCATATTGCTTGGGTTGTGAATAAAGATACATGCAGAGACACCATTATGGAAAACTGTACCCTCCGTAATTATGTGCTTTCCCTTATGAATCCACTCCACCATTTTCTTTTCTGTACATAACATCTTTCACATTCTCATCTCTAGTTCCAATGTCTTCTCCAAGATTCCAATTCTCATTTAGACACGTGTGATAGACATTACTAGGGCTTACAAATGTCTCCTTCTTGAGCACAAAAGCACTGCACTACCCTGAAATAGGCAGGACCACGTGACTTGTTCTGGCCAGTGAAATGTGAGCAATGATGAGCACCTCTCCATCACTGAGGCGGGGAAGCCCCTGAGCAGTGCTCCCATGACTCTTCCCCTCCTGCTGCTAGAGATAACAGAGGATGGAGCCACAAGACTGAAGCTGACTGAGTTGCTGCAGGAAGGACAGCTGACTTAAGATATCTCCCACAGTCACAGGGAAGTGCAAGAGCAAGAAATACACTTGTGTTGTGCTAATCTCCTGTGATGTGGGGTTGTTTGCTACCATACCATAGCTCAGCCCAGCCTGACTGGTAGAACAAGCTTAGTGGCTATCCCAAGGATAGCACAATACCACCCAGAATCACATTCTCCACCTTCTTCCACCTAAATTCAGAGAAGCCTACAAACCTTCGATTTTGGTTAACCCTAGAATCTTAGATTCTACCCCTTTCCTTTGCACCCCTAGGCCCGTAGGAAGCAAATGCACAGAAGCAGTCTCATAAATTTTTACTGATGATGATGAAAGTCTTAAGCAAAATCAAATAACTTTTAATAAGTTAGATTTTTTTAAAGTGATGGAAAATACAGAGACCACCAGAAAAACATGTATTTTGGGGAAAAAAGCTCAACTATGAAGGTAGGTGTATTCTTAGATATATATAACTTTGAAACCTTTCTCTTACTATAAGAAACTAATGTAAGGCCTGGCGCGGTGGCTCACGCCTGTAATCCCAGCACTTTGGGAGGCGGAGGTGGGCAGATCCCCTGAGGTCAGGAGTTTGAGACTAGCCTGACCAACATGGAGAAACCCCATCTCTACTAAAAATACAAAATTAGCCGGGCACGGTGGCACATGCCCGTAATCCCAGCTACTTACTCGGTTGGCTGGGGCAGAAGAATCACTTGAACCCAGGAGGCAGAGGTTGGAGTGAGCCGAGATCGCACCACTGCACTCCAGCCTGGGGCGACAAGAGCAAAACTCTGTCTCAGAAACAAACGAAAAGAAAGAAACTAATGTAATTAGGCTGGGTGCGGAGGCTCACGCCTGTAATCCCAACAGTTTGGGAGGCCGAGGCAGGCAGATCACTTAAGGTCAGGAGTTCGAGACCAGCCTGGCCAACATGGTGAAACCCAGTCTCTATTAAAAATACAAAAACTAATCAGGCGTGGTGGCAGGCGTCTATAATCCCAGCTATCCAGGAGGCTGAAGCAAGAGAATTGCTTGAGCCTGGGAGGCAGAGGTTGCAATGAGCCAAGATCACCATTACATTCCAGCTTGGGTGACAAAGTGAGACTCTATCTCAAAAAAAAAAAAAAAATAGGAAAGAAAGGAAAGAAAGGAAGGAAGGAAGGAAGGAAGGAAGGAAGGAAGGAAGGAAGGAAGGAAGAAAGAAACTCATGTAATTAGAAAAACCTCAATTCTCACCCATGCTGCAAAAATGGCACACCAACTCTGAAGACATCCATTGATAAAATAGGCATATATGTGCTTACTTCTTTTGAGTCATACTATCACTACTGTGAACATATTGGAAACTGACACTTTTCACAAATATCACCTGCAATTTTAAAAATTAAAAGTGTAAACCCAAAGAATTGCAATGCAAATATCAAAAGTTCACCTCAAAGGTCATTTATCACCATTTTTTTCCCACCCCTTCTTGAAATGCTGGCTCAGAGAATTGCTATGAAAGAAAATATGTTGTGGTTTCATTAAAATTTCTAACTTAGAGATGTTGCAAACTTCATTATCAGTTACTGGATCATACAAGCTGCACACACATCAAGACACCTACTCCCATTAGTTAAGCAAACTATCAAACTTTGTTGTTTTGTTTTGTTTTGAGACGAAGTCTTGCTCTGTCGTCCAGGCAGGAGTGCAGTGGCATGATCTTAGCTCCCTGCAACCTCCGCCTCCTGGGTTCAAGCGATTCTCCTGCCTCAGCCTCCCTAGGAACTGGGACCACAGGCACCTGCCACCACACCCGGCTAATTTTTATATTTTTAGTACAGATGTGGTTTTGCCATGTCAGCCAGGCTGGTCTCAAACCCCCGACCTCAAATGATCCTCTCACCTCAGCCTCCCTAAGTGCTGAAATTACAGACGTGAGCCACTGCGCCCAGCCTCAAACTTTGAATAACGGATTTAAAATCTGAACAGGAAAATCTTTAATCTCCTCTTTGTTTTCAGCAGGAACACTAGAGAAGAGACAATCTACACAAAATAATATACAACTTAATTATAATTTCACTTGTCTTTCTCTGAAATAAGGCAAAAAAAATGCTCATCAAAATTTCAATGGTGAGTAGTCATTATATGGTTAAAAAGAGAAAGTATAACGTATTAGTCCGTTTTCTCTATTTACGTAATCACAATGAACAAACTGAAACTTCAGTTCCTCTAAATCCAACTTTAAAATCTTGCACCCTCAATATTCTAGGGCAAAAAAAATTATTAATTAGCTATAAATCTAGACAATAAAAATATTTTAACTTAGATCCACCCAAAAGGCAAAGAATGACTGTTATCTCTCCCACCCCATCTATCTCATCTCAAGAGTGTTACTAAATATGGATGTATTGCTCAACTTCCCTGCTCCACACAAGTATAGACTGCAACTAGAGTGACTGTTCTTCATTTCAAACACATGAGTCAAGAGGAAGTAGTAGTAATTATTTATTGGTCAGCACACATTCATCAGGTACTCACCACATATGTGCACCTGTTTATAAGGGTCATTTCTGTTCTAGAGTTTACCAGAGTTCACCAACCCTGTGAAGAGACAGGCCAGGAGTTCAGCCTTCTCAACCATGCTTTGTGCCTTCAACCTCTAAACCAGTGAGTTCTGGGTAATATTTGATGATAGGAAGTATTCCTGCCTTAAAGATGGGACTTTATATCTGCATCTGCCTTCCAATTTATTCTTATATTTTAATTTTACTTAGTTGTGGGTAGCAAACATACTGTCTACTTGATAAAGCATCATCAACGCCCTGTCTTACGTCTCTGAGGAGCTCATGAGAGGAATCTGTACTAGTCACTGTGCAAGAGTGGAAAATAATCTGTCAGTGTAGCTGTGTGCAAACACCTCCTCTTTCTGCACAGGGCGTTCATGTATAAATTCCTATGCCTGGTTCTGAAAGCAAAATTCTGACACAAACACTCACTGGTTCTCTTATTAACTAAGTCTATACCATAATCAGGGTGTGCATACCAGCTGCTGGGAATGGAGAGGTGGTGGTTAACTGCCCCACTCTGTCACAGTTACTTTCAAAAATGACTTACTGATCATTATTCGTTTTAGTTCCACAGAAAGAATGAGACATCTCAGTTGAAACTAATACCCAAAAGGAACCTGAATGGCACCTTTAAAAAATATCTCATCCAGTCATCCAGAACCTTTGTTTCTCTCACTTTAGAAGAGGTGAAAGAAGAAAGCTTGAGTCGTAAATTGAAGACCTTCCTGTTACCTTCCTTTTACAGAAACAAAAGCAGCTTGTCAGGCAAAGATTATCTGAATACCTTGTGCTTAACAAACAGACCAGACGAATATATTCGTTCAGTGGAGTGTTTGCGTAAGGAAGCTACTGAAACTTACTGTTCTTGAGAATGTTTCCTCCCCATCTCACCTGCAGGGAAAGAGCACCGACTTCCTCCCTAACCTTAAGTACAGACCAATAAGCCCTCCTGAACAAGCCTTCATTCATGAAGTTGTCTGTTCTGACCCACCTCTCCACATTGCCTTGGCCAACTCTCCTGACCCTGTGCTCCTGGGAAAATTACTCAACCTCTCTGAGCCATGTGAGATGTGAAAAACCTCAGTTAAATGTCTGAAAAGGGCTCACTGGTATAACCTGATAACTGTTTAGAGCATGCCTCAAAGAGCACTAAGTTGCAAAGAAGAACTCATTCCATGCTCCATGACTAACCTTAAACCAGGCATTCACAACTTGAAATGTGTTCATAGCATAGCCCTGTAAACTTCAGGTAAAGGTCACATTTCAGACCTTTTTTGTAAACAGTAAATTATAATAGTAAGTTACACGTGAAGACACTGTCCTTACAACACATCATATCATGACCAGTACAGCCTAAGGGTCCTCCGATCATCCTCTCCCTCCTGGGTTCCTTGTAAATGTTCCCAGTGTTACTGGTTTGGTATATCTCTTTCTGGTCCTTTTTCCTAGCCATTTATACATACATCCTTGAAACCACAAAAAAGATAAAGCAGAAGAGTATAGACTCCAGGATAGCCATTATGGAGGAGAATCTGCCTCTGCCAATATTTAGTCATATTAAGTACATAAATATCCCATGATCCATTCATCCTGTTGGATGTGTCTCCCAGTGACTCGACCCACAGATCCATGAGTGCATGTTCACAGATGTTCCCTGCAACGCTGTGTGTGGAAACTGGGAGTTGCAAGAAGAGATAAGGAAACCCATGGTGACAGCAAATGTCTAACAAGGTAGATAGATGGATTAATCATAAGAACATAGCGCTGAATTTAGAAAGTGAGAAATACTAAGTGCTAGAGCACAAAACTATTTGTGTAGATTTAAAAACACACAAATCTCATCTGCCATAATAACCACATACCTCAAATGATTGCCATGAGTAGGGTAAAACATGAAAATAGTCCCTGTCATGTGTTAAGCACTTAGTAAATATTCACTATTGTTAGATAAAAAGATGTTCACAGTATACTATAAACTTTCTATTACAAAACTTCATTTATGATATCGTCCTTTCTCAAGTGCTTTTTTCCTATTAAAAAAAAATATATAGAGGACCAGCCTGGGCAAAATAGCAAAACCCTGTCTCTACAAAAAACAAAAACATTAGGCGGGCATCGTGATGTGTGCCTGTATTCCCAGCTACTCGGGAGGCTGAGGTGGGAGGATCACCTGAGCCCAGGAGGTGGAGGTTGCAGTGAGCCAAGATCACACCACTGCACTCCAGCTTAGCCTGGGTGACAAAAGCCAGCCATATTTAAAAAAAAAAAAAAAAAAAAGTGTAAGACAAACTGGAACACCATGTGAAAAACTGCATAGAGCAGTTAACCTTGGGGGGAATGTTTATATGTTTTTAGCTTATTTTCCTTGCTTGCTCATATTTCTATAATGAATATATATGACTTTAGAATTTTCTTTAATCCTTAATGTTCCTTTCAATATGGTTTCTGACAAACAAAAATTAGAAACATCCTAAAAATCCATCAAAGGCTAAGTAGTTCAATTATGGTATATACGAATAGTAGAATATTCTATAGCCACTTTTTATCAACCTGATAAACAGTATAATGTTGTGTGGAAAAAGGCAGGCTCTGAAATCGCCCACGTGAAGACCTGAGAGGCCGGTGGACAACAGTGGTGGAGCAGCATGGACTCTAGAGCCAGCCTGCCCACCTCCACATCCTAAGCTGTCATGCAATCCCAGGCAAGTCACTCGGCATCCCTGAGCCTCAAGCCTCATCTGCAGAACAGGGTGATGACGGTGCCTGCCTAGTGGGGTTGCTGTAAGCAAATGTGAAAGATGTCAAAAATAACAACAACAACAACAAAAAAAAAACACAAGGTCCACTAAAAAGTGGGTACATTTTATCTACGTAAATTAGATCTCAATAAAGATTGATTTGAAAATACATGCATGCGAAAGATCACATATTGTTTAATTCCATTTATATTCTGGATAGTGTATCCAGAATAGGTAAATCACATACTGTTTAATTCCATTTGTATTCTGGATATGACGTATATCCAGAACAGGTGGTCGCCAGGGGCTGGGAGAAGGGAAAATGGAAAGTAACTGTTTCATGGTATGGGGAATGGTGGAAATGTTTTGGAACTAGACAGAGGTGATGGTTAAACAACGTCGTGAATGTACTAAATGCCACTGAATTGTTAATCTTAAATGGATAATTTTATGTTATGTGGATTACACCTCAGAAAAAGAAGCATGTAAAATAATAACATGTTTTACAAGAATATATACAAAGGATATACATAAATATTCAAAAGGTTGACTAAGGGGGAAAGGCACGAGTAAGGGAATAAGGATAAAAGAAAGTCAAGAAATAATGTTGTACAGGGTAATTCTGAAAAAGGTCCTGCCCAGACCACTGATAACTGTGTGCCACGAACTGAGGTAAGATTTTCCTCTACACTGGAAATCCAAAAGAGTGTATTGGTTTGCTGCCCCTTTTTGGTAGCAACTCTATTCTTCATTTTGTCATTTGCTGTTTTTACCCAGTAGTATATCTCTTGGAGCTCTCTTCATGTTAGTACATACCATCTTTTATCAGTCTCTTTTACAGCTCTAGGGATGTACCATGATCCATGTGTTTTCAACACCGTATTTGCGCTGACCTTATATAATATGCCAACGAATGAAGGTTTCACAATGAAGGATCAAAAATGGCTTGCAACAGTGTGTGCCAAACAAAAAGCCCTTTTCTGAAATAAGTTTAAATTGTAGAGTTGTTTTTTATGCATCCTTCATAGCCAGACTGCTCCCACAAACCACTGGCATTACCAAATGGCCAGGACTCCAATCATACTCTCCCCCCATTTCCACATCCTCCAAACTGAGGTTGATTTAATTTGATTTTACAGGGGAGAAAAAAAACGTTAGCTGGATAAGAGTTCATTGTGTGGTTCTTTGCTCCAAGATGACCCTTCCGTAAGCCCCGTGACCACCTGGCCTGGCTGTTTGGTATTAAGTTTAAAAGCCTGGAATTAGTTCAGAGAATACACAGGGCGTTAGCAATAAATAAGTTCATGAAGCTCTCCTTGGACCTTCTGACTCCTCCAGCTACCATGCTAAAAACTCTACTTTTGCTGGATCTGTTTCCCAAATCCCAAACATCAACATGTCACCTGCTCAAATACAGTGTATCTAACAGAGTTCTCTGAGACTTTTTCATCAAAATAAACTAAAAGGCTGCCCTTTCTAATAATTAGTCACGAATGTCAGTTGCCTCAAGGTGACACAGGAGAAACAAATCTGACGTGTAAAGGAACAGCAGCTGGAAATAATCAGACAAGAGGAAAGGGGGAAAAAATGGAAATATTCCTTTCTGGGCTAGGTGAGGAACTGTATTTTAGAAAACCTAAAATAGCCTTTTATCAGAGCTGGGATAAAGGTCATCACCATGGACCATGGTACTGGGGTAGAGGACAAAGCCACCTCTCAAGTGCACCTCACCCTGCTCTCTAGGGACTGACCAGAGAGTGGGGTCTGTGAAGGTGCCAAGGATGCTCTAGCATCTCTAAGGACTGGGCAGTTATGCAATACATTTATGTTTTTGCATAGCATCCCTCCCACAGGGCATTCCAATAAGCTTGACAAAGGAAATCTTTCATGTATTGGGTAAAAGCAATGTGAGGAGAAACCTCACATTGGTGGAAGAGAGACAGGAAACAGAGTTCAGATATGGATAGGCCTCCCGTGCTTCCTCCTTAGGCCTGCAAACCCCAACCCAATATGAAGGGCAATGGGAGAAATGGGCAAGGTGACCTGACCAGAGGTACATGGAAGGTAAGGACTGAGTCAAATCAGAGGGAGACAGATGAAGGCTTCCTGTCTCCCAGAGAAGGTACGTCCTCACTCTTGGCAAAGGCAGAATCATCTTCTGTCAATCGACTTGAGGTTGGTTTGGGTTTTTGTTTTGTTTTGAGGCCAGCTATTTATTCTACTTGCTAAATAAGAAACACAAGTAGCAAAATATTTTCCTAATTTACGACTTAGCAGCCTAATTTATTTTGACAGAAACAGAAGCACGCCTGCACACCAAGGCAAAAGTTGTGTTTGGCTGTTTGAAGATCTCCTTGGCATTCCTGCAGGAAATTCCTAGGTTTGGACAGTCCAGGAGAAGGGGCTAAATGTCTTTTTTCAGTGACGTGAGTCATCTAATGAAGTGGCAAATCGCCATCCTCAGCTTGAGCAAACCTGACAGAAATACGAGTTTTTAGGCAAAGAAACGTTGTTATAAGCCACCTTCAAAAGAAGACATTATTCGTGTGCTTTCAACTTTCTAAAGCCAAGGCTAATGCCACCGCCACACCTCTTAGGCATGGATGATCTCATGAACAGCAGCGGACTTTCATCTCCTGAGAGGTCTTGGTCACCGGCTCTGTGCCAGGCACTCCCCAGCTTGGTGACTACCTGCATACCTGCCCCTTTCCCATACCAGGAAGCTTTACCCAACCAACCCGCTAGGAACAAGGCTTTTTTAAAAGCCAGCCCAGGAGCCCAGAGGGGCGCTGGTTGGAATATGGTGAGCTCTAGTCCTAGGTTCTCAGCAGAAGCAGACATGCTCTGTTGGGAAAAGAAGACTGCTCAGACCTGCCAGGGTTGTATTTCCACAAGCCATTATCCTATGATGTGAATAAACTCACAACACGAAAATCAGTGATTACGTGTTTCTCTGCAGCTCTACCTGTGTCTTCAAAAGCATCCCACTCTCCCATGTTATTGAAGAACATTCCACCAAGGGTGCCTAGAAAGTAATGAGTCTGAATTCCTTAAGTCACACAGGGAACATGTTCCATTACAGATCCACCTGGTAGAATTTCCTATGGACCTTCATTATTGGAGGAGGAGATTCAGATTCAGCATGAATTAGAAAACCCCAATTTCTATCAATCAGAAAAAGGCCAGTATCCGGATGCAGGACGGGGAATACTCTGTTTCTTTATCGTAACCTTTATTACCTTCCTATACCACAGAAATATAGATCTGGAAAAATCAAAGAATCATATAAACTGACATTTCAGAATATTTTTATGTGAGGATCACAGATTATCCGATCCTTGGCCCCACTTCCCACAAAAGAAAAAAGATATACAGTTGCCCCTCAGTATTCGTGGGGGATTGGTACCAAAATTCATGGATGCTCAAGAACCCTGTATAAAATGATGTAGTATTTGCATATAACCTATGCATATCTTCCTGTATACTTTAATCATGTCTAGAGTAATACCTAAGACAAAGTAAATGCTATGTAAACAGATGTTATACTATAACATTTAGGAAATAATGGCAAGAAAAAAAGTCTGTACATGTTCAGTACAGATGCAATCATCCATTTTTTTCCAAGTATTTTCAATCTACATTTAACTGAATCCACAAATGCAGAAGCCATGGACATGGAGGACTGACTGTAGACATATTTAATAGTCAAAGCCAGCCCTAGAAACATAGTCTCCTATGGAGGGGAGGAAGAAAAAAGCATAACTACTAATTCTAAGATCACGTCCATGTTATCATGATTTAGACAGAAATAGCCTCCTAGCAGTAAATCACTAAAAGTCTCTTTATTTTGAAAGTACTAAGATATGTAGGATCATATAAACATCTTTTAACACCATGTCATCATTAAGGAGGCAATAAATGGAAATTACTGGCATAACTTTTGCTAAAGGGAATTGTAATGGAGAAAGAATTTAAACAGAACTAGACCACATAAATTGGAAGAGAGTTCCCAGATAACCCCACACTCTAACAAAGCTTCTCTACTCTGAAACATCGGCACTGCAGCTGTCACTTGCCAAGGCCCATGGGACAGCAGAGGTGAATGTACAAATTAGACAAGTAACTTGTAAAGAACCACAAAAGCTCAGAAAATTCCCCAAAAGAATATCTTGGGAAAGTTCACTTTCGCAGTGTTCAACATGTATGATCTTTTCCGCTAAGCTGACTGGACAAAGTCCTATCATCAAAAATAGTGACCGTAGGGCACAGCACCATGCATACCAGGGTCAGGTCATAGGACAGCGGTATTTGCGTCAACTGCTCTCCCACTTCTCCTAGCCAAACGCTCAACCAAGGTAGGCTTGCTAGAGCAAGGGCCAAGTCACCTAAAGAACATGACTGTCCTGAGAGAAACTCCTGTGATTTTGTCTGAGTAAAAAGGCTCAGAGACAAAATCGAAACAGTGTCACATCTTTCCAAAAGTAATTCCAGCCATAGAGAACAAACAGAAGAACACAGAATACACTCCTCCTCCACCCCCAAAAAAATCAAGTGTTAAGAAATAAAAGCAGATTCCAAAAGCTCTAGACTCTGAAAAAGACGTGGGGAAAGCCTCAATTAAACACAGAGAAAGCTATTAGGAGAATCAAAAGATTGACAGAAGTTCATGCATCCATTCAACAAATAACAACCAGCTCCCAACTAGTGGTACGAACCGTGTTAAATCTTACTACATAAAACTCAGGACAGGCATGCTTTTTATTCTTCAGGAACTTAAAAAGCTACCAGACGAAATAAGCTATAATTATGCCCAAGCTGCTACATTACACAGCTACAGGTCATTTTCCCTAAGAATCATATGAATCAAGAATTTGGGGTGGGCATTTAGGTGGAACCTTGAAAGATTCACATAATTTGTATATTAAGGAAGAAAAAGTGAGATGATAGCACTCTAAAAAGTAGGCAGAGGGTCAGGCGCGGTGGCTCATGCCTGTAATCCCAGCTACTCGGGAGGCTGAGGCAGGAGAATCGCTTGAACTCAGGAGGTGGAGGTTGCAGTGAGCCAAGATTGAGCCACTGCACTCCAGCCTGGGTGACAGAGTGAGACTCTTGTTTCAAAAAAAAAAAAAATCTTCAGATATTTTCGGTGTGTTCAGATACTTTCCACATACACTTAACTCTCAATTTATTGCTCAAAAGCCTAGCAGAATACAGATAAGTCAGGCACTATGGGGACTTCCTACCCTGGACGGAAGAGGTCTCTATCTCTGTCCACTTCCTCAGGGAGAAGGAGGCTTTTCTGTGACTTCTTTTACTTCCTTGCCTCCTACTAAATCATAGAGAGTTGTGTGTAGGTCTCCTCTATCCCTCTACTGTCCAAACCCAATGCCAGTCAGACAGATGCCCTTAGCTAAAGAAAAAGAAAACATATCTAACCCATTCCTGACTTTTTCTCCAAGTGGTCTGGGGCAAGCAAGCACTCCTCTCAATGCAACAAAACTCTGGTCTCACAATTGCTCTCCTACCAATCTCAGTGTTGTCTAATGGTCCAGGTTTAGAAACTAAAAAAGCCATTTATTAGAATCACCATTTAAAAAGACGAGACAGTGTTCACAACTTGATAGATGCCTTCCAGGCCCTGACAAGTTACCTTGATATTAAAAAGGAGACGTCAAGTTCCTTTAACCTACTTTTCTTGCTTTTTTTTTTTTTTTTGCAAATTTTGATTTACAAGTTTACTTTAAACTTTATCATCCAAGCATTATCTGCTCATCTTACTATAGAATGCACCTTGAAACATAATGGTATGCTATGAGGTACTGTCCAAGGAAAGAGATGGAGAGCCTTCCTTTGCTTGAGTATTTGAATAATGATGATAATCAAAGTTGTTCTTTAACAAATTTTAATGTGAATAATATATACATTTATAAATAGAGATAAAGGTCTCACTATGTTGCCTAGGCTGGTCTTAAACTGCTGACCTCAAGCAATCCTCCTGCCTCAGCCTCCGAAGTGCTGGGATCACAAGCATGTGCCAATAATGAAAGGAAACTAAACAACTCAATTCGCAACAGCAACAAATGCCCAACAAAGCTGAGAACTTCTCTGCTGAGAAGCAACACACATGTACTGAATATGCTGTTGGTTTATCTAGTGAGAGTTCTCCTGGGGCAAAGAGAAAACCACTCTAAGCAGCACAGCATAATGGTTAAGAGGGGATTTACAGACTCTGGAGAGTGAGAAACTCAATTTGACCCTAGCAAATATTTTAAATCTTTGGCTTCATTTTCTTCATTGGCTTGATATCAATCTTAAATGAGATGTGCATGTAAAAAGTACTTGGCAGAGCAGCGATTAATAGAGCACTGATAGGTGAAAGAGATGACTAACATGGATACAGCTCTCCTCTCCCAAAGAGATGACATGTATAGTCAACGCCAAAAGAGATGTCAAAATCAAAGGCAAGTCATTTCAATTGCATCAAGAAAAATATTCCATAAAATCAAAGGCAATATTTCTAGGGAAATTTTGGTTCCTAACAGTTCTCCATTAAATGCTTGCTTAGTTTCTTCTGGATGCAATAAAAACTTTTTCTCAAAGATAATACAATTGAACATGTGTCCGACTGAGGAGATTAAGATTATACACACTGCCCTCACTTTCAGTTAAATACCACCTTCAATTAAATCTAGGCTGCATTGCAGGGGTCATTTTTTTAAAAGTGAGTCACTTCATTTAGTATTTTTCCAGTAAAAGGTGGAAATCTTTGGCTTCGAATGCTGATCTAGGAGACAGAGTCAGAAATAATGGTGATTCCTCTTGTTTCCTGGGTTGGTTTCTTTTGCATTGCAGTAATTCATTTACTTGGTTAAGTCATACTGAACTGCTGGTGATTTCAGAAGAGGCAGGCAAGTGAACACATGAGCAGGATGATAGGAAGTAAAAAATTCCACTATCACTAGGATACCTTTGTTCAAAGGCACAACTCGATTAAGTTCACATCCTGTGGTCATTTGTCGAGTTCTTAGAACAATGGTAAATTTAGTTGCTGGGTACAACAAAAAAACCATTGTTTCTTTTCGTTATTTCTCTTCCTTGTTGAAAGTTTAAACATTGATTGTCTCAGAGTCCAGAGTTTACATACAAGCTAGAACATTATGTTAATACATGCGTGTCAAAAAACAAATACACACACACTTACATGTATATTCAGTTAGTGTTAGCATTTAACCATGTTTGTATAGGCAGCACTAAACTTCAAAAACTTTTTATGAACAAAATGGCAAAGTTGTATGAAAACATTAGTCCTGTCTCTCACTACTAGTCTATCTTGGAACAAGACAACTAGTCCGCAAGACAGAATAGATGGCTGGAATTTCCAAGTTGGAATTGAAATCCCTTCCTTTAGGATCAACAGTACAACTATATAACATGCTACTGATGAAAGACAGGAGGACTTTGGAGATGGAACGATTAGTTACCACACCTCCACCAGAGAATTACCTCAAAGGGTATAATCATTTCCCTGTTTGTTTCTCTCCTGCAGACTTTCCAAGTTCCTCAAGGTCAGACCGTAAAGGGCACTTCTTCTTTGGATCACCAAGATGTAGCAACGCTGGCACTCACCGGGGCGCAACAAAGACCGAATAAAGAGATGGAGGATAATTAACCCATCGTCTGATCAAGAAAAAGCAGGGAGATTTAAATTCTGACCTTCAGCCAGCTCACAGTTGCTCAGGTCTTTCTAAAGAATAGACTCTCCACTCTTCCCACCCTGTTTCACGATTTAATAAGTATGGTTCCACTTTCTCTAACATGGAAGGAAGAACTTTCCTAACCCACATGGCACCTTGAACTACCAGCCAGGAGATGACAGGCATGTTTATAGAGTAGTGTATTTGCATCTTTTTTCCTTCTTTTAAATATCTAACAGTCTGCTGTTTTGGCTGAATATTCCAGTCTGGTTTCAATGGTGGGGAGCACATGAGCGAAACCCTACAGTGTTTTCACTTGGTGTAGGAATCTCTCTCCCTGCTATAATGAACTGTGAGTCCACTGCCAGAATTCCTCTGTGCTCTTTTCAGCTGTCAGCACTTTAGCATTAATGCTAATAACTTTTCTAAACCTCCCAATGTCCCCATCATTGCTCTGGAGAGATGACAGGCCATGAGGATTGCTGCTTTATGCAACTTATTTTATCAATTGCATTTTTAGGTACTTTGCGTGATGGAAGAAAGAACGAGAGGAGTAGTAAGAGGGTATTTTTAGAAGATTCCTCATCTCCTCATATCTTCTGAGCCTTTTTACCAATGTAGTAGCATTAATTATTTTGAAGACACATAAAAAGTGGTTTGGAAAGTAAGCATTTCCATTCATGATTTCCCTGTATGTGAAATGTTTAAGTGCTTAAGCTACCATAAGATTAATCCCTTTTTAACACCACAAATAAAACCAGTTAGAGGATAAATAGGTAAAAAGTAATCACTAAAATATAAGGTTTGAAAAGAGAACTTTTATCTATCTTAATTACCCTATAGGAGGTGCTTAACTAATGTTTATTGCATGACGGTGAATTCTCTAGTCAGTGAATTCTCAATTAGCCATACCAATGGAGGGGTACACTGATGTGGAAAATATAAATAACAAGAGACTTCACACATTGAGTTCTTTCCATGTAAAACAGAGACAATAATACCTGTCCATTGGGTTGTTGTATGGACTAAATGAGCTAAATATGAAATGCATTTAGCCCAGGAGCTGACAAGTAATAACAACTCCTCAGTGCTAACTGCTATTATCATAATCATCATTGTCATTTACTATGTATTGCACATTCATGATCTTTAATCCTTAAAACAACTCTGCAAGGCCAATATGATGGTCCAGATTTGGTGCTGAAACACCACAAAACACACTGAGCCAAGTAACTGGCTCTCAGTCATAAAGCTAGCAAATGATGCCACTGGGCTCTGAACCAGGGTCTGCCTGGAGTTTCCTCCAATTGCCAAGTGATGCTACTTTAAAAATAGGGACCTTTCTTCTAGAAATTCACTTCTTGGCCAGGCGCAGTGGCTCATGCCTATAATCTCAGCACTTTGGGAGGCTGAGGTAGGCAGATCACTTGAGGTCAGGAGTTCAAGACCAGCCTGGCCAACATGGTGAAACCCCGTCTTTACTAAAAATACTAAAAAATTAGCCGGGTGTGGTGGCACGTGACTGTAATCCCAGCTAATCGGGAGGGCGAGGCAGGAGAATTGCTTGAACCAGGAGGCAGAAGTTGTGGTGAGCCGAGATTGCGCCACTGCACTCCAGTCTGGGTGACAGAGTGAGACTCCGTCTCAAAAAAAAAAAAAAAAAAAGAAAAGAAAATTCACTTCTTATCCTGAAGTTTGAGAATCATAAAGCTAGGTCAGACAGCAAAAGTGAAGGAGGCAAAGAGGACCATAGCAAGGGTGACAGCTTTGCAAACAGCCAAGACTAGGTTCAGATCCAGCTGCGTGACCTTCAACTGACTGTGATCATCCAAGTCTCTGCCTCCTGATTTGTAAAACTGAGATAATCACACCAACCCTCGCAGGAATGAGGAACGGATCAGGCATCAAGTATGCTGAGTAATTGGTCCAGTCCTTGGCACACGGCAGGTGCTCCATAAATGTTTGTATCAGAATTATCTGGTCGACTTGAATTGCTTTTAAAAGTCCTCCTGGTATGGAGGAAAAAATCCCTCCCAGAATTTTGACTTTGAATATTTTTTCTAAAGGTTGCTCTACCTCAAAACGTAAAGTAAAATTCTCCCCAGAGTCAAATTACTTCTATTACACATAATTTTTCTTTTGTCATGTATTACTTTACACACATAAACACACAAATATATCTTTTGCCTCTGTAAACATAAAGAAAAAAAGATTATATATAGTCATATGTTCTATATATAATCATATTCACATAAACTTTGGCACTTATAAGGGGAGAAAGAAAAGAGTAATGAAAATTAAACCAAAATAGAAAAGAATAGGAAATTCTTAAACTAAAAAAACAAACAACAAAAAAAAATCGCTTTCTTAGAGCACTGTTATGCTACAAGATAACTGATGAAGAGGCTCTATACATACATATGTACTGATAATAATGCTGATAATAATGCTTATAAAGACCCATCAGCATTCAAATAAAAAAGGATAAACAAGGGGACACAGTCAAAGGGAATATGGTTCAACTGTTTATTTAAATCTGGTAATCAGATAAACCATCAATCTATAACAAAATAACAGTAGGAAAATTCATTTCATTATTGCATGAAATGAAAACCAAAAGAAAGCGCATTTACAAATGCACACTAAGCCAGGCATTAGGTGATTTTCAACTCCTCACCAAAGCAATCAAATAGAGATTAACATACCTGTCAGCTGAAACCAGGCTGTCAAAATGAAAGCCTTAAATTACACATGTCCTTAACAAAAAGGATTTAAGAGATTTTTCTCCTAACTAATAAGGAGCACTGCATAGTTTTTAATAAAACAATAATGTTTAATTTTGCTTATGTGCTAAAAAGGCATTTTTAAGGAGATTAAAACGCAGATTCAAGACCACCAGAAGAAACTTTCCAACATGAAATCAGACCATTTGGTCATCTCTTCTGAGTACGTTGTTCATTTGTCTTTTACCCAGCAACAATTCCTGCAAAATGATAATCAAAACAGCCTTTTGGTAAACAGGAGCTTAAACACTGTCTCTCAAATCAGATTACATTTCAAGTGATCTGAAACTAAGACAGCACTTCATGAACATGGTTCTCATTTTAAAAAGTCACAGGGAAACTGCCCTTTGAGGTTCTGAGGGACACAGACACCAAAGTTTAGGACTCAGCAGTTCATGATCACTGACATATCCAACCCTCTAGCCATCGTTTTGAAAGTGAAGCAGAATGGGGTTCAGGAGGAAGAGAACAGGGCAAAAAGGGATACTTAATAGTGACCCTGAAGAGGAAAACAAAGCAACCTTGAGAAATCTTCCAGGGGATATTAACAAACTTGCATCTCTGAAACACTGGACCACCAAATACATCATAAAATTTGGGAGGATCAGATTCTCTTCTCAATATCCATGGAGAAGATACTGCTGATAAAACTATCAAATACATCATAAAATTTGGGAGGATCAGATTCTCTTCTCAATATCCATGGAGAAGATACTGCTGATAAAACTATTGACATAGGAAAGTTAGTTCCTCAAAGAGTATCAGGTTCCAGGTATATTTTTCAGAATTTTATCACCATTACATAAACAGGATGAACTACTTCATAGTACTTTAAATCCAGCAGAAAAGGCAAGACCAGACCATATCTCAGGATTCGGGTATCATTATTTCAGAATTTAAGACAATTTATAACTGAAACTGGGCATAAGATTTCCCAATTTACAATCCATAAGGGAAAAGGGAGGTTCTTCCTAGGGAAGAAAGTTATTTATTGACTCAAAACAATAAACTGCTCTTTAAACACATTGTAAGTATATATTTTAACAAAGAAAGTACATTAGATCAGGATTACATTTTGCTGATTAGGGTGACATGTCGTCTCTGTCTCGTGACCAGTTACTTACCTAAGAGCAGTATTACATAAAACACTCACTAGTGGTGCCTGCCACACTTGTGATTCCTTCCCAGGCAGGAACTTCCGATGCTACACCCTTCTCCAAGGAGGGTGTCTGAGTTTAGGGCAGTCAGGTGTTCTATGAAGGGACTCACTAAAAACTAGATTCTCAATCTTTGGGATTAAGATTGGGAAATACAGACAGAATCCAGCAATTAGCAGCCATAGTTGCGGCTAACAGGGAAAGAAGAGAGAAGCTGGATGGGCCATAAGGAGCTATGAGTGAGCCAAAATTCTGACTAAGTAGAAACAACATGACAGAGAAGACATGCACAGATAGTAGGTAAGAAAGCCAGGTAAAAACAGCCAGAGAAGCAGGTGGGCATGAGCAAAGCAAACACATGCTGATTGGCCGGTTACACTAAGGTTAGAGGATCCAGAATAGTGAGGATCCAAAGTTTCCTGCTGCTGAGGTCTTATCCACTTCCCAGTCCATATGCAGACATTTCACTGCAATTCCCAAGACCGAGACCCTCAACTTTTCCAGGATGCTAGAAAACCCAGGATTATGGATGAGATTCCTGTCCCCCTATTCCCACATCTACCTTTATAAAGAATGCCCCATTATTTGGGTAATTTTAGTGAGTCCCTGTTCCTTACAACCTAAAGGGCAGATTAACCAATTTTGTTATATTCTATAATCCAGACTGCTCACCAACTCAAAAAAATCTTTCCATAAATTTGCTCATACAAATAAACTTCATCACACTTCATTTTTTAGACCATAAGTGATGCAACTTTCATTCCCTAAACTGAGGCAATAATTTTTTCTTTTCCAATCCACAATTACCCAACCATCCCACCCCACCTCACCCCACCCACCATTTTCTCCTGACCTTAGATATTTTAGGTCTGGGTCAAATCGGGAATAAGGCAAGATGCCTTCTCACTATAACTCCCTCTTACCTTTAAGGTCAGTAATGGGAGCAAATAAGCTAGCATTTAATTAGTACAACTGGAAGAAATTGTCACAGTATCTATCAAAAGTATAAATGCAATACCACTGGCCCTGGCCATCTGAAATTCTGGATATCTATCCCACAGAAATAATAAAAACTTGGAAACAATCAATAAGTTCATCAATAAAGGAATTAGTTAAGTAAATTCAGCTGCACTCATAGAATAGCAATGGATCCAGAATACACATTTTTAAAGGAGGTGGATCTCTGAGAAATAGCCTGGAATGACAGCTGTGAATATTTATAATGTGTATACTTTACTAAAAATATTTACAGAAAATATACAGAAGTAAAATACCCAAGTAATATATATATATTACTTTGAAGAAGTAAAATTTACAGATTGCAGAACAATACGTATAGTTTCCACATTACATGTAAAATTATTACATTTTGGAAAAATCTTTATGTAGATGTATACATAGAAAAACATCTGCAAGGATACACACCAAACTGGCCATACAGGCCATCTCTGGGCAATGAAAGTTGGGAGTTATTTTCATCTACTTGATTCATAAATATTATACATTTGTAACTTAAAAAACATTTAAAATAAAGACTAGTCATGCCAAAAGCTATTTTGTCCTTTTGTTCTAAATACTATAAAATCCTTAAAATTTAGCGGACCACAAAATTCAACATTCATATCATCAAATTAAATTCCTATTCATTTCTCCCACATCCGCATGAAATCACACAGCTAGTTCTACAAAAAGATACCACATATTTAATTCATCTAGAAAATCCTCATGCTGCCAGCTCTAGGTTTCATACGAAGTCACTATGAAATCCAAAAGTCACTACTCTGTTCAAACACATCCACAAACAGTAAGAAAGTTACTGACTCTTAACTTCTCTCTGTGCCAGAACTTTTTGTAAAACAATTTTTCTTTTTTATTTATTTATTTTTTTGAGACGGAGTCTCACAGTGCAGTGGCACAATCTCAGCTCACTGCAAGCTCCACCTCCCAGGTTCACGCCATTCTCCTGCCTCAGCCTCCCGAGTAGCTGAGACTACAGGCACCCACCACCACTCTCGGCTAATTTTTTGTATTTTTAGTAGAGATGGGGTTTCACCGTGTTAGCCAGGATGGTCTTGATCTCCTGACCTAATGATCCGCCCTCCTCAGCCTCCCAAAGTGCTGGGATTACAGGCGTGAGCCACCGCGCCTGGCCAAAACGATTTTTCTACCAATCAACGAAGTGCCAAATATCAGAATAAGGTGATCCAATAGTATCTAGAAGACAAAAGGCAAAGTATAATAGATACTCCTAAGAAATCTAAGTCGTAACACAGACATTAAGAGTAGATTGTATTAGATGTATTCCGTGATTCTGAAAACATTTAAGTATGAGAAAAAATACACTTAACACACTTTGCAGTAATCATAAGGCATGCTTGTCAGTGTATGCCAAAATCTCAAGAAATAAAATCACTTTTGCCAAGCAAGTATTAATCTAAGACTAGTTTATTTTACTTGCCGTAACAAATTAAATGTGAAAGTACTGGGAATACAAAAAAGGTAGACATTTCTAAAAATATCAATTTACACTTTTTTTTTTAAAGTTCTATGCCATGTAAATATATACTCCTACATCAAAATTCAAACAGTGTCTAGCCTTGGGTGATGAGGTTACTTTTCCTCCTTTTCACTCATCAGTGTTGTATAAATTTTCTACAATGACCTTATATTATTGTTTGTATAATATTTGAGAAGTATAAAATAGGGCCAGGATCAGCGGCTCACACCTGTAATCCCAGCACTTTGGGAGGCTGAGGCAGGTAGATCACCTGAGGTCAGGGGTTTGAGACCAGCCTGACCAACATGGTGAAACCCCATCTCTATTAAAAATACAAAATTAGCCTAGTGTGGTGGTACATGCCTGTAATCTCAGCTGCTTGGGAGGCTGAGGCAGGAGAATCACTTGAACCAGGAGGCAGAGGTTGCAGTGAGCCGAGATTGCGCCATTGCACTCCAGCCTGGACAAGAGTGAAACTCCATCTCAAATAAATAAATTAATTAAATAAGCTTGGAATTTTTAATAACCTCAGAGATCCAGATAACATCTTTTTCTCAGTGCTTTTTCCTTACATGAGAAAGGAACTCAGGCCAGCCACAGGAAGGACACTCCACAATTCTAATCCCACGTCCAGACCTGTCTTCCAATGTAATAAACAGGTCACTTAGCCTTTAAATCTCTAACTTTATAAAGATAACATTTAGCCCTCTTCCCACATCTAAAAGCATATAATATTTTATGATAAGGGCTTTTACCAGACTTTACAACTTAATAAAAGGTAAAATAGGCCAGGCGTGGTGGCTCACACCTGTAATATCAACACTTTGGGAGGTCAAGGCGGGTGGATCACAAGGTCAGGAGTTTGAGACCAGCCTGGCCAAGATATCAGCCTGGCCAATATGGTGAAACCCATCTCTACTAAAAATACAAAAATTAGCCAGGTGTAGTGGCAGGTGCCTTATAATCCCAGCTACTCCAGAGGCTGAGGCAGGAGAACTGCTTGAACCCAGGAGGCGGAGGTTGCAGTAAGCTGACATTGCACCATTGCATTCCAGCCTGGGTGACAGAGCAAGACTCTGACTCAAAAAAAAAAAAAAATTAAAAGGTATAACAGTACATCTCCCTTCCTTCTATTATTTCTAAACAAAACAAAAAAAACTAAAACAAGAACTAAAAAAAATGAAGAGAGGCAAACTCTGTAATTCTGTCAGTAACTATTACAAAGCTTCTAATATTTCTATCCTAATAGGCTAGCAATTCTTTTTGAAAAACTGTGAAACGGGGAATAAAATATTGCTGGATTGACTTCAAAGTAAAGAAACTTTCTTAATTAAGCAAAAATCTACCTTTAAATTGAGTGATGCACAGATAACGTGTTATTTTTCGGGCTGTGACAAATCTAGCTCATGACTTGTAGGTGGCAGGAGAAACAAATACATATGCATGCAAACAATCTATGTTTTTAATGTGGTGTTGAGTTTTAAGAAAGTCAGTCTGGAATAAAACACCTCAAGGCTAAAAAAGGATCAGCATTACACACACACACCCTCCCTCCCCTTCAAATATCACATTGGAATCAACATCTTTAGATTGTTTAGCAAGCGATATACTCCTGAAGCCACTTCTACAGCAAAAATCACTCTGATGCTTAGTTCATACAGCAAATTAGTCTATGAAACCTATAATCAATGGCACTATAACAACGAGAGTGTACACAAGGGTAGTTGGGTAATAGTTTCCCCTAATACGTGTGAAAAACAAAAGTTAGATGAATGACAAATATTGTATATTCATCTTCCTTGTGCTAAATTGAGCTGCTGTGGCAAGGAATTTGCAAAATGGCAATAAGAATTCCTTCCATCCTTGTATATATATCCCTCTGCCATGGGATTTTACCACTCCTCCCAAAAAGTAGAAAAATCTATCTCCTTTCCCTTTGAATTTGGGCTGGCCTTGTGATATGCTTTAACCCAAGGAATGTGGCAGAGTGGCATTGTGTGACTTTCCAAGACTAGGCCTCAAGAGTCTTTGCAGCTTCCACTCCCACTATCTTAGAACACTGCTGCAGCCAAGAAACAAAGTACAGGCAAGTTTCTTCCAGGATGAGAAATCAGTGGAAAGTGAGGGCCAGCCAACAGCCACCACCAACCACCCAACACGCGAGCGAGACCATCTTAAAAGAGCCCCAGCCAAGCTGACCATGGGTCTGACCCCAAACTGAAGAAATGCCCAGCCCAGCCAAACCCAAATTGCTAACTTGTATTATAAGCAAGTACAATGGTCCTTACCTTAAGCCACTAAGTTTTGGGATGCTTTGTTACACAGCTATAGATAGCTGATACAGGGAATGTCAGAATCCATGATGAGAGAACCGAGCCTTTCAGTCTGTCAGAGGCACCCTCGCTGGCAAAACTTCAAAAGAGGCACCTACCTCAACAAGAGGCTGCTGCTGAATCATCCTTGGAAAAATTACACTCTCCCTATCAAGTCCCTTGCCTTGACCCCTTGTCAAGTCCTGCAAATTGTAAACTTGGAAATGCCCCCAAGTTCTTATTCTCCCCCTTTCTCAGACCTGCTCAGGTTTGAGGTCTCTTGCTGCTGTGTAGTAGTCTTTGCTTCGGAATGAGCCCGTCCATTTTCTCCCTGGCTTCACAGACCTGACTACAGAATCCCACCCACCACCCTACCAGACTCCTCTCAGCTACCATCAGCTTTTACTTTTGCAATCCCTACCTCTATGCCAACAGCTCACTGTAATCTCCAACCAAGTCCTAGTCTTATCACTTCTATGAAATAGTGATCCAGAATTTACTACAAATAATAGTAAACAAAACTGATGGTAAACAACTAACAGCACTGTCATGCTAAAGAGTCATTTTGTAAGGTTACATACTTATTCCAATACAAATACCACTGCTTAAAACATTTTTGGAAGTATTTTAAAAGCAAATTAATGTCACTTTAGAAAATTAGTCTCATTTCTTCATAGGAGGACTGACAGAAATGGCTAAGTTTTTTGCTGCTGTTGTTTTTTACCAGAAAATAACCACCACCTTTGTTAACATAATAACAACAGAAAGGATTTCCAATTTCTCAGGAGGAAAATAACATGACACCAGCACAAGTGTTAAAAGATGTTAAATGGTTAAGTGTTAAATGGCTACATTTCTTATTCTGATAGCTTCCCACCACACACCGAAGGTTCCTCAAGGACAGCTGCCACCAGAGCTGCTGCAAGAACATGTTTTTCACTGGGTGTAGCTTCACAGTCAACTCCTCAAGCAGAAGACTAAAATATTATTTCTTTTTAGAAGATCTTGGTTGAGGGAGAACATATCAATATGGAGAACAGATCTTTGCTTCTCGAATTCAAGAAAAACCACTAACTAATCTATCAATTTTTCTCTGATACAGTGTGCCAGAGTGCTCTGTGAAGAATCCTTTTCCATCCCTACCACGTGTCTGGGTGAAGGGAGAGGAGGGGTGGCAAAGTGCCAGTATACTAGCAGGCACTCCTGGTGATGCTCTGGGCTCCGCTCCCTCTCTGCTGGTAATAGTAGGCATCTTTTCTGGCAGCTGCAGCAGCTTGATGTGGGGGGAGGAAGGGGCCACCCACCAATCACCTCTTCTTGTAGCCATATTTTTTGCATTCACAGAAGAGATCTGTCTTAGAGCTCCTCAAATTGACAATCTTTGGCAGCCATCTCTATTCTCCTGGATGGTGCACTCCTTACAATAATAGGCATCAGAGACTCCAGGACCTCCAGAGACCACACAGTGCCCCTGGTAAGATCCACAGTTACACTCATCACATCACCAGAGTGCAGGGACGCACACAGGAGTCACAAATCACACACTTGCTGTCACGTTTTTCACATAGTCTTCCGATGGCAACATAAGCCTGCTTGCGGCAAAAGATCTAAGTTTTCATTTAATATAAAATGTAGCTATAAAGTAAAAATGGACACCCTCCCACACATCCCCCTGAAGGAAAGAACACTTTCTGTACATAAAAATTCTGATATGATTAATTGAAGGTCAGTCATACCTCATAAAGATCATCTTTCCTATTTTTGTCACTCCCTTTCTTCCAGGTAGCTCCAAAAGACAAGGAAATATTTAATTTTAAACAACTACATATGGCTAAAAATAATTTCATTTTTTAATATGATAGACGAACAAAACGAGCATCCAACTGTAACTTTTACCTGTCCTAGTCACTGGAACTTCAATTATCCTCCTTTTCCATAAAGACTGTTTAAGCAAAAATATGTTACAAAGCTGCCTATATTATCTATTTCCAATGGGCTTTAAGGAACAGGACATGAAGGCCAGGCGCAGTGGCTCACTCCTGTAATCCCAGCACTTTGGGAAGCCGAGGCAGGCAAATCACGAGGTCAGGAGTTTCAGACCAGCCTGGCCAACATGGTGAAATCCCGTCTCTACTAAAAATACAAAAAATTAGCTGGACGTAGTGGCAGGTGCCTGTAATCCCAGCTACTCAGGAGGCTGAGGCAGGAGAATCACTTGAACCCAGGAGGCGGAGGTTGCAGCGAGCCGAGATCGCGCCATTGCACTCCAGCCTGGGCGACAGAGTGAGATGCTGTCTCAAAAAAAAAAAGAACAGGACATGAAATTATAGCCTTCAGAAAGTCTTGCAGCATTTATGAAGACAATCACAAAAACGGCTATAGATGAACTGAGAGGCTCATCATCTCTTGGCCCTAGAGATCAGAGATCGTCACTTTTTAAACAACTGATGGGTATTTACTTTACTAAACACTCTAGCCCCGATCTTGACTTATGCCAAAAATATTACTATTCTTACGTTCATCCTAATGATCACATTTTGAAACTACACAGAAACACTTTTCCCTAGTCCTATTTCAGCCACCCGACTCCTCAGGAAAGGTGCCACATTAAAAATGTTTCCACAACAACTTGTGTTTAAGGTCAGGCACTGGGTTTCAGACTTCAGAAACTTGAAAGGGCATATACAAGGAAAAATTTTAAAGGGATTACATAGTAAAACATTCTCTGTTACAGCTCCGGTCACTCAAGGGACACTAAATGTGAGAAAGTACACACTGTTCCTGAGTTGCCCAAAATTAAACCCACTTAATCTCCCTACACAGATTTTTTTCCCACCCCTCAGTCATTAATTCCTTCTCCCAAAAGAGCAGGTATCCTACCCAAATAGTGCTTGCTGAGTTAGAATTTCTATTAAGGAACTGGCTTAAATGATGTTTTACTTGCTTTGTGATCTGTAACTTAGGATAAACTATTAATCCTTGACTCACTCAAATCCCAAAATGTTTCTAACTCAAAGGAAAAGAGGGACTATGATTCAAATTCACCGTTTAAGTGACTGAAATTAATTTTGGTACTATTTTTCCTAATTAGGGTTAATTTCAGAACTTCTTTGTAATTTCATTTTTTAAACCTTATAATCAGTCCCTTCTTCATAACATAAGACAAACTGAAGTGATTCTGACTACGATATCCAACCAAAAGACTCTAAAATGATCTTTTTTAAGATATGACACATTATGATATTTCTGAAAATATTGGGTTTCATTTGGACAGAATCTGTGTTTAGTCATCACAAGAACATTTCCAAAATGAGGTAAGTCAGTAAGATAAAAACTTATATTTCAAAACTATTTTCCTAAGTCGACAGGGGTATCTGTTTCACCACACACAAGAATACTCTTCTTCTGAAGAGATGAATTGACTAGCTTGCAAATAGGTACAGAGTGAAAACAAAACATTTTTTAAAAATCAGGTGATGCCTGTCTCCTTTTTGTACTAAGTCAGTGGCAATACCTTTGCATGTTATTAAAAGGTGGCCTCACACTACTTACAGCCATCATAACAGTATTTAGCCAGTCTTTGAACATTTCCGAGAAATTACCATCCAGCACCACCCCATGTAACTTTCTGTGATGAGGGAAACAGTCTATATCTGCACTAGCCTGTAAGGCAGTCGTAGCCACAGTTCATTATTGAGCACTTGAAATGTGGCCAGTGTAACCGAAGGACTGTACCCTATTTCTTTAACTTTACTTAATTAATTTAAATGTAAATAGCCACATATGGTTAGTGGCTACCAAGCTGGACAGTGTGGTGCTAGCCCCTTTCTTCTGGGAACACTGCTGCTGCTCTGATTGTTATAAAATATCAGCCCCGCATAAGGGACCACCTCTCTCCAACTAATGATCAGTCATGGTGTATGTCTATTTCACGTACTTTTCTTCAACCCTCAACTTCCTGTTCCTCCACCTTACTTTACAACACACACCCACCTCCACCTCACTGACAGATTATAACCAAAGATTAAAAACATAATCTACTGTAATAGACCAGGCAAAAGGTGATGGCTGAAATGAAGACATTGTATATTTACATATAACCTGGTTACATGTTACATAAACATGCCCTGATGAAGAAATAAATATAAGTAAATAAAAATCATTTTAATGCCCCTAAAGACATAAGATTTTTACTGATTCCTACATATTTTTACTCTATTTATTTATTCAGACATATTTTTACTCTATTGAGTCATAGGCCAGATGCAGTGGCTCATGCCTGTAGTCCCAGTACCTTGGGAGGCCAAGGCAGGAGAATCACTTGAGACCAGGAGTTTCAGACTAGCCTGGGCAACATAGTAAGATTCCATCTCTAACAAAAAAAAAAAAAATTTTAGTAGTACCTTAAAATTTATTGAGTCAATAATTTTTTTTTTTTTTTTGAAACAGAGTCTCACTCTGTTACCCAGGCTGGAGTGCAGCGGCGTGATCTTGGCTCACTGCAACCACCGCTTCTCGGGTTCAGGCAATTCTTCTGCTTCAGCCTCCCGAGTAGCTGGGATTACAGGCATGTGCCACCATGCCCAGCTAATCATTCTGTATTTTTAGTAGAGACGGGGTTTCACCATATTGGCAAGGCTGGTCTCGAACTCCTGACCTTGGGATCTGCCTGTCTCAGCCTCCTGAAGTGCTGGGACTACAGGCGTCCCTGAGCCACCACGGCCGGCCCGAGTCAATAATATTTCTAACATCTGCCTTTCCACCAACAAGGAAACAATGTGATATAAGTGGAAGAAAATACTGAATTAGGGCAGAATCACGAGCCTGGGATTTTTTTTTTTTTAATTATTATTATACTTTAAGTTTTAGGGTACATGTGTACAATGTGCAGGTTACATATGTATACATGTGCCATGTTGGTGTGCTGCGCCCAGTAACTCGTCATTTAACATTAGGTATTAGGTATTTCTCCTAATGCTATCCCTCCCCCCTCCCCCCACCCCACAACAGGCCCCAGAGTGTGATGTTCCCCTTCCTGTGTCCATGTGTTCTCATTGTTCAATTCCCACCTATGAGTGAGAACATGCGGTGTTTGATTTTTTGTCCCTGCAATAGTTTGCTGAGAATGATGGTTTCCAGCTTCATCCATGTCCCTACAAAGGACATGAACTCATCCTTTTTTATGACTGCATAGTATTCCATGGTGTATATGTGCCACATTTTCTTAATCCAGTCTATCATTGTTGGACATCTGGGTTGGTTCCAAGTCTTTGCTACTGTGAATAGTGCCACAATAAACATACGTGTGCATGTGTCTTTATAGCAGAATGATTTATAATCCTTTGGGTATATACCCAGTAATGGAATGGCTGGGTCAAATGGTATTTCTAGTTCTAGATCCCTGAGGAATCGCCACACTGACTTCCACAATGGTTGAACTAGTTTACAGTCCCACCAACAGTGTAAAAGTGTTCCTATTTCTCCACATCCTCTCCAGCACCTGTTGTTTCCTGACTTTTTAATGATCACCATTCTAACTGGTGTGAGATGGTATCTCATTGTGGTTTTCATTTGCATTTCTCTGATAGCCAGCGATGATGAGCATTTTTTCATGTGTCTTTTGGCTGCATAAATGTCTTCTTTTGAGAAGTGTCTGTTCATATCCTTCGCCCACTTTTTGATGGGGTTGTTTTTTTCTTGTAAATTTGTTGGAGTTCATTGTAGATTCTGGATATTAGCCCTTTGTCAGATGAGTAGATTGCAAAAATTTTCTCCCATTCTGTAGGTTGCCTGTTCACTCTGATGGTGGTTTCTTTTGCTGTGCAGAAGCTGTTTAGTTTAATTACATCCCATTTGTCAATTTTGGCTTTTGTTGCCATTGCTTTTGGTGTTTTAGACATGAAGTCCTTGCCCATGCCTATGTCCTGAATGGTATTGCCTAGGTTTTCTTCTAGGGTTTTTATGGTTTTAGGTCTAACATGTAAGTCTTTAATCCATCTTGAATTAATCGTATAAGGCGTAAGGAAGGGATCCAGTTTCAGCTTTCTACATATGGCTAGCCAGTTTTCCCAGTACCATTTATTAAATAGGGAATCATTTCCCCATTGCTTGTTTTTGTCAGGTTTGTCAAAGATCAGATGGTTGTAGATATGCGGCATTATTTCTGAGGGCTCTGTTCTGTTCCATTGGTCTATATCTCTGTTTTGGTACCAGTACCATGCTGTTTTGGTTACTGTAGCCTTGTAGGATAGTTTGAAGTCAGGTAGTGTGATGCCTCCAGCTTTGTTCTTTTGTCTTAGGATTGACTTGGCAATGCGGGCTTTTTGGTTCCATATGAACTTTAAAGTAGTTTTTTCCAATTCTGTGAAGAAAGTCATTGGTAGCTTGATGGGGATGGCATTGAATCTATAAATTACTTTGGGCAGTATGGCCATTTTCACGATATTGATTCTTCCTATCCATGAGCATGGAATGTTCTTCCATTTCTTTGTATCCTCTTTTATTCATTGAGCAGTGGTTTGTAGTTCTCCTTGAAGAGGTCCTTCACATCCCTTGTAAGCTGGATTCCTAGGTATTTTATTCTCTTTGAAGCAATTGTGGATGGAGTTCACTCATGATTTGGCTCTCTGTTTGTCTGTTATTGGTGTATAAGAATGCTTGTGATTTTTGCACATTGATTTTGTATCCTGAGACTTTGCTGAAGTTGCCTATCAGCTTAAGGAGATTTTGGGCTGAGACAATGGGGTTTTCTAGATACACAGTCATGTCATCTGCAAACAGGGACAATTTGACTTCCTCTTTTCCTAACTGAATACCCTTTATTTCCTTCTCCTGCCTGATTGCCCTGGCCAGAACTTCCAACACTATGTTGAATAGGAGTGGTGAGAGAGTGCATCCCTGTCTTGTGCCAGTTTTCAAAGGGAATGCTTCCAGTTTTTGCCCATTCAGTATGATATTGGCTGTGGGTCTGTCATAGATAGCTCTTATTATTTTGAGATACGTCCCATCAATACCTAATTTATTGAGAGTTTTTAGCATGAAGGGTTGGAGCCTGGGATTCTAAGGACTTTGGGACCATAGGCAAGTTTCTTCAACTTTGGCCATTAGAGAGTTTTCAGTTACAAGACAAAGCAGCTGGGATGGATTTTTTTTCCTTTGGTCTCTTCTAAAATTAAATTTCCTAATTCTCTCTATATTCTTGTACCACTTCTCACTTAGGAACTCACTTATAAAAACCAGCCATGACCTGCCATTCCTTCCCCAGGAAACCCCGTCTGCTGCTCCTCTTCCTTTGCTTTCTTGAGTCACCCCATAATTAAACAAACAGAGATAGTGACATTGCCTGAGAGAAAGAAAGAGAACCAGATGATTCAAATTAAAATCTAAGCTACACAGGATAGGTCAATAGGCACCAACCTACCCAAAATGTAATCCTTTTTCAATCCCCAGACTAAACAGAGTAGGAAATAAAGCAGTTGGAATACCCTTAGTACAAACTCTGGTTCAAACTGATGCAACCAGTTCAAAACAAAATCATTACTTCTTCTAAGACCCCAACCATCCACAGAATGATTATGAGAAGTCTCACAACTGTCACAGGTCACTGGCTCCAAAATACTCCCTGAATGAAGATCTATCATTCACAGGGCAGAAAGTCATCCACCTCTACTTTCCATCTAGTTTTTTCTGACAAATAGCTCCAGTGGTAACTAAAAGTTAGAAACCTAAACCCATAAATGTCAATAAAATGTATATTTTTTACCTAAGGGAAGAATCACATGAGCACCCCCAATACTAGGCTTCTGAGAGTTATACTAAATGCCACTTACCTGGAAGAAGTTTGAAAATAAAGTCAGGGATAATATGAATGTAGAGGTCTCTACCATTTCTATCTTAAAATGTTTTCCCATATATCAAAATACACAATCAGTTTAAAAGGTCAATTAATCTCAATCCTCAATGTCCAAGAAGTTTCTTAAAGCTAAGCCAGAGTTTATTCTCAAATAACTGTTTGGCAAGTGAGAAGAAATGTGAAACATATCATTTACTCACATCGGATTCCAAAGTATTTATCTAAATCGACTCTAGAAATAAAGTATGCCAATCCATTCTCTAAAGGATTTTTCTCTTCTGCTTTTCAGTTAAGCCAAGTCTGAAATGACTTTTTAATTAATATATTGAATTCTTGTCTAGTATCAAAAACTTGGCCAATTGATGGCAGATAGGGAAAAAAGAAACACTTGAATCACTTCAACTAAGAGCTGTTTTGGTATAATCTAAACACAACTATCCTAGAGGAAAACGTATGACTTCACATGATTACATGGAGAATTTTATTTAAATAGGAAAAAAAAACTTTCCCAAAAAGTACACTGTAAAGGAATTATAACATCTATTAGAATGACCCGGTTCTATGGTCTTAGCAGGTACCACAGCCATCCTATCATGTCAGTCCCTTATAAGTTATAAAAATAGAACTCCTGCCATCCTAACAACCTTTGAAAGCCACTTGTTCTGCAATTCTGCTCCTGTGTTTCACCTGCATCCCTGATCGTCTCCAGCAGCCCTGATTCCTACACAGGAAGAGGCTCCACAGAACTTCAAGGTGAGTGTTATATATAAATACATGAACAGCAAGAGAGAGAGATCACTGATATACAAAAGAAAAGAAAGCTCTAGAGCTTTTGAAGGGCAGTGTGGGACTTCCCCACTCCACCCTACAATGTCTACGGATGCCAGAACTGTGGCAGGGAGCTCTGGGTCCTTTAATCCAGCCAGAAAGGCCACCTCTCAGTCCTAAGACCTCAGGAGAGCCAGGCCTCTGCCTGCCTACCTCCACAACACAGGCAGGTGGACGCACTCAAAGTGCTTACTCTTGATCTGTGAGGATTAATGAGCTAATTTCTACAGAGCCCTTTAAGCTGATTGGCCCAAACGCAACTAAATAAACCCCATCATTAACCACGGGCAAGATCAAATCCTCAGGATCCAGTGAGGCAAATTTTTAGACGTCAGGCAATGTTCCTCCTCCACAAGGTGAGGAAGGAGTATTTATCCCCAAAACTCAGAACTTCATCCAGAAAACATTTATTAAATATCTATTATGACATGCAGGGTAGGGAGATGAGAGACCCTGTCCTCAAGGAAGACTTAACAGTCTAGAGCCAGGCTGGCAAGGAAAATACAATTTGCAGATAGTGTGACAACTGCCAGGGAGCGAAAGACCCAACAGAGCCTGAAGGGCAAGGGGGGAGGGGGGCTCTAGAGGCAGAGATTGTTTGTGTGACAAGAAATCACTTGTTCAGGGTATGAGAAGAGAGGCCCAGTCAGGGTGCTGGTTACATGGTGTGTTCAATTCATGAACATGCACCAAGATATACATTTTTTATATGTACACTTTTCCACATGCATATTATACTTCAATAAGGGCAATATTTAAAAGAAAAGACAGAGCTCTTTGCTACATAGATGAAAAATGGAAGGGAAGGGTCTTGGAATGGTGTTCCAAGCAGAGGGAAATCTTGCCTAGAAGAGGCATTTCAGCAACTGCAAAAGGTTCCCACTGGCTGGAGAGTCTGTCCTGAGACTGGAAATTACAAGATGTGGCTGAAAAGGGAGGCAAGAGACAATTCCCAAAAGACCTTAAACACTGTGCTTCAAATTAAGTCTTGAGGGTGACGGGAGAGCTACTAAAGGCATTTCAGCCTGGGAGCAACGTGATCAAGAATTTTGGTATAGCAGTATCTTTCTGGTAGCAATGCACACTACAGCCAGAAACAAGAATGGAAAAAAGGAACCTGGTTAGGAAATTATTACAATAATCCAAATAAGAATCGATAAGGGCCTGAACTAAACCAGTGGTGGCTGACATGAAGAGTCAGAGTCAAATCAAAGAAGATCTCAAGGAGGTGGAGTATTTAGGACTTGGTGACCAAACAGATGTGAGAGATGGACAAAGACAGGAAAGTATAGGATGGCCAGCAGGTTTTGCCCTTGAGGGCTCTAAAGATGATGAATATAGAAGAAACAAGATTAGGACTGAGGCCAGGGTGGAGAGACAATGAGTTTAACTGTATGAAGTTCCTGTGAAACATTCAAACGAAGACATTAAAAAGGTAGTCCAAACACTGGTATACAGTCAGGAAGACCCTCAGCATTTGATGTGGTAATTGAAGCTTCAGACAGACAGAGATGTGGATCTGGGGCAGGCAAGGGAGTACAGGAAGTCCAGAAGGAAGGCATGGCATGGAAGCTCAAGCAAATGCCTTTCCAAAAGGAGAATGAAAGATGGCACCTAACCCTGCAGAGAGCAGAGAAAAGGACTGCAGTGTCCACTGGCTCTGGCCACAGAAGAGTCACAGTGATTTCAGAGAGTAACTTGGGTTTCTTAGGGAAAGGGCAGAAGCCAGACTGCAGTGGGCTGAGAGGGAATGGGAGGTTCCTTCCAACAATTTAGCAGTGAAAGGAAGAAACGAGATAACCGAGTAGCCAGAGGAGAAAGAAGTAGGGAGAGTGTTTTGTTTTGTTCTCTTTTGTCATTTAAACATAAGAGACAGGCTTGAGAATATTTATAAACTGAGGGAAAAGCAAAGAGGGAAAGAAGGAGACAGGGAAGCAATGGTGATGACTTTATCTGAAAATGAAGGCCTCTGTCCTCGCACTGGCTGGGACACACAGGGAGCGTTTCTTTTAGTCAGCAGCATTTCCTGCCAGCATGGCAGCCTCCGGGCAAACTCAGAGGTGGAGGAAAAGTGCAGTCCTAGCAGGTTGTTCTCGGAGCCCTCTCATAATGGGCTGCTCCTCTTCAGCAACCTTCCCGCAGGATGCTCTCATCACTTGTCAGAGGGCCATTTGGCACCTAAACCCCTGAGCTGTCCAAATTGCCAGGAGCTCCACAGGTCTCTTCAGTTTCCTCCCACAGCAGTGGAGGTGCAAGGGGAAGCCAGATCCCCAGGGGCCTCTCCCCTTGTAAGCCCCTTCCAGCAGCCCAGCACAAGAGTGGGAATAGGGAACAACCTCTCTTTCCCACTTCCTCCCTGCTAGAAACATAGCACAGAAATCTTCAAGCCACTCCAGAATCCTGCCAAAGATAGGACTGTGTTCTCTCCTGATAACTTGCATCTGATTAGCAAATGAAGTCTATAGAAGTTATGGCTAAGACTAATTGAAAGCATGCTGTGTGCCAGGCACGATTCTCAGTGCTTTACATTCTCTCATTCCTCACAACCCTATTTTTATCATCCCTATGTTACCAATGAGGAAACTGAGTGCAGACACATCTAAGTCATTTGCTCAAGGTCGCAGCGTCAGTGACCGCCATTGCAGGACATGAAACAGGCCAGGCTGTCAGACTCCAGAGCCGGCACTGCTGCAACTTATTTTCAAACACCATCACAAAATGTACTATACAATAAACCATAAAAGTCAGGGAAGAATTCATAATATCACTAGTTAAAAATCAAATGCATAAATAAAGGATTGCAGTCACTTTACCACAGTTTCAAGAGAGATCTTGAGATCTCTCCCCCCAGCCCCATGACAGCACATTTAAAAGAGTATTTATCTTGTAAATATAATTAATGCTACTGAATTGCACACTTTAAGAACGGTTAAAATGGTACAATTTTTGTTGTGTATATTTTACCACAATAAAAATAATACAAAAGAGGCCGGGCACAGTGACTCACGCTGTAATCCCAGCAACTTGGGAGGCTGAGGCAGGCGGGTTACTTCAGACCAGGAGTTTGTGACCAGCCTGGCCAACATGGTGAAACCCTGTTTCTATCAAAAAATACAAAAATTAGCCAGGCCTGTAATACTAGCTACTCGGGAGGCTGAGGCAGGAGAACTGCTTGGACCTAGGAGGCAGAGGCTGCAGTGAACTGAGATGGCGCCACTGCAATCTAGCCCAGGCAACAGAGCAAGACTCTTACAAAAAAAAAAAAAAATATATATATATATATATATATATATATATATATATAAAGAGGCCAGGCACAGTGGCTCACGCCTGTAATCCCAACACATTGGGAAGCCAAGGCCGGAGCATCGCTGAGCGGAGGAGTTCAAGAGCAGCTTGGGCAACATAGTGAGACCCCCATTTCTTAAAAATAAAAAAAGAAAAAAAAAATTAGGCAGGCATGATGGTTTGCACCTATAGACCCAGCTACTCAGGAGGCTGATGTGGGAAGATCACTTGAGCCCAAGAGTTCGAGGCTGCAGTGAGGTATGATTGCACCACTGCACTCTAGCCTGGGTGACAGAGTGAGACCCTTTATCAAAAAAAAAAAAATACAAAATACAAAAGAACATTTCTATATACATTTTTCTATTTATTAAAAAAGAAAGTGAAATGAAATGAAAATCAAAGCCCTGTCTTGAGACAAAGCATTTCAGACATCATTTAGTATTTTAAAAACAACAACAAACAAACTAATCAAGATCAAAGAACCCACTGCAGCAGCAAGGCAGCCTGGTATAAAGGTCTGGGAGATCAGAACACACTCAGTGCTCCGGCTCCCTTACCCTAGCGCCAGCGAAGGTACCACTGTCCTCAAACTGCCTCTAGGATATCTATAAAAACCAATTCTAACCCCCAAACCATAGAAATCCACAGAAACTCTGAGAGCACAGAGCAAAGTGGGAATGCCCAGGGCTATTTACAATCTCATTTTACAAGAGGCTGTTGCTCCTTAAAGACCTGGCCATATGTGCTATTACCTGGACCTGAGTAAAACGCACCTGAATGGATAAACAATGCCTCACAGGAGAGAAATAAAGCATTCAAAGGAACCCTCTGTCAAACCATGTCCAGGATTCTAGAACTCAAATTCTTCGTGTTGACTAAGATGGCAATTTGTTACTTTTAGGTCATTCTAAATGACCACCCGGGACAAAAGTGAAGCAATGCTGAGAAATCTAGTATAAAACTACATAAAGAAAGGTGCATCCTGCAAAAACCCTAAGAAAATCAAACAAACTCCTGCTGAGGCAGGAGTCTAGGGTTTCTCAGAAGAAATTCAGCAAAGATAACAACATTGCTGGAATCACCTAATTCAAATACAGAAATTAGTACTTCAATGACTACAATTCTTTGAATGAGAAGTTCATTGAGGCTGCTCCATTCCATTACGGATGGCCAAGTAAACACTTATATGATTCACTTTCATTCCCTGTTTAGCAAATCTAGGTAATATTATTAACACCCCCAACAAATAAACTAAGTTTTCAACTGGCATAGCTTTAAGTGCCCCTTATACTTCTAAAGGTAGGGGTACCTACTTTTGGGGGCTCAACTCACCCCCAAATTCCTTCTTTAGAGAGGTAAGGAACAAAGATTAACAAGGCTGAAGAGTATAAACAGGTCGGAAAGCCTCCAAAAAGACAGAAATATTTGAAATCTACTAAGACAAGGATATCAATGTCTGGAAGAAGGAATTTAATAATTTCCAACATTTTTAACCCCTCTGTAAATATAAAGCTCCCTCCCATCGATTTTACATCATTTCCAGGTCATGAATAAACTTATGAACCAGAATACTCCTAAGAGCATTACAATTTCTCCACTGACGTTTTAAAACACAAGAACAACAATACAATAAAGAGAAAACTTTATTTTTAGGTTTGCAAAATCCTGTGTTTATTTTTCTAAAACTGAAGTCAAACAACTGAACCTGCTTTGTTTGGATTTTAGTAAACTTATTCTCTCTTAATCCTGGGGGACCAAACTCTGCCCAGAAGGAAATGAAGAAAAAGTCCTCCGTGCCCGTGCCATGCTGGAAAGTTAAAACACGGTGCCTCCTTTGGTTTTCTGTTCAGGCACATCTGAGCCTCCTGCTGCTGGTCACGGTTCACACTGCTGGAGTCATATCATATGACACCTGCCGTATGGCGGGTAGAAGCAAAGGCTGTCAACTGGCATTCATGTTGAAACTGGTTCAGTGTTTGAACTGCTAACTTCTGCGTGTAATGTTTAAGCAAAAGTGCTTAACCACAAGTTCAGTCTTAATCTCTCAACTAGCATTAAACCCTAAATGGAAACAGGTTTGTAATTCCTTATAAACATTAAGCCCTTGCGAAAAACCTATTCCAGCAATTTGATTTTTCAATAACAGGGCCTCCACACAGGCCAACTCTTTCTCTTTTAGTTGGGAAAATATGAGATAAACTTTAAATGTAGAAAAGCCCTTCCCACAATGCAAATGCGCAAAAGTCAGGGTAGAATAAGCAGGTGTTTTTGTTCTCAAATTCCTCAGGTAAATTTCTTTTTTTCCACTAAACTGACCAACCATAATTAACACTGCTGGGACTGCAAACAGAAAGAAGTCCTGCCATTAATCCCACTCAACTTAAACTAAGATTTTATTAGTTCACAAAAAAATACTGTTTTCAAAAGGCAACGTTTGTATTTTAACCCTAATAATTGACCAAGTAGGTATATAAATTGATTATAACTTCTCCCAATCCTATGGACTCTATGGAGAATTATGTGGCAGATACCATTATTCAACTTTTATGGCCCACCTCTTCCTGTCAGAGTTCACAGCTGGTTAGTGAAGGCAACAGTGGAAATAATTAAGCACCTTACAAACTCAGACTTAAAACCCAGCTCAACTACGACCTCTACTAAGAAATACTCTGCTTCCTTCTCTTTCCTGGCAGTCACTCCCTCCTTCGGGCTCTCCCAGTACTTACTCATCACATCCTATAGGATCCTTTCCCTATGTCTCCTAACAACTTAGGGCAGGGATCACTTTTGTTAATTTCTATATTGCTAGCAAGTGGGGCAATGCTTGGGACACAGCAGGCCTTCAGATCTTGTTGCGCAAATAACAACTATGAGGTTACATGCTATGAGGTCTGTAAAAAGAGGGGCAGAAGAAACCACGGCATTTTGCCTTGAAAGAAGCAGAAGGCTTTTCAAGGAATATTCACACTCACCTTGGAAGCGGAGTGAGATTTAGTACACAAAGATGGGCACTCACAGGAGGGAAGAGCCTCTGCAAGGCAGCAAAGAATGGAAGACCAGATGTGCGGAAGACAGCGGTGTATTCAGGAAGCAATCACTGAAGAGTAGACAATGGGAGGAGGCAGGCAGGTTGAGGGTACAGGGCCTATATGCCAGGTTAAAGAGGTTTCCATGGAATATTCCAGGCTTTGAGAAGCCCCTGAAGCTATTTCAGGCAGTGACATGAAGACTCATCCCTTTAGAGTCTTTGGTCAAAAATTATGAAAGATCTGGGTTTTCAAAGAATTTTGTCTACAGATGCCTATTATAGGTTATCTGAAGCTTGTATATATCCTAGGTTACGGACCTGCCCAACATTTTCTCACATATTTTTATGTATATATTTATATATATATTTCCGTCTATGCTGTTTTATTCCCCAATAGCAGGTGATAAAGGCTCATTTAAACACCTAGTGAAATTTTTATATCTGTTTTAATTTTTTTAAAAGGAGGTGAAGAATTTTTTGAAGTGAAAGTTAGAAAAAATACTTAAGATAAATATTCTGAACTCCTTTTTCATCGCTGTACTTATATACCAAGATTCTGGAAAGGCAACATCCCATCCCTGCGTCAGTAAGGTTAGACGCTGAGGGCCCACTTAACCTGGAGGCTTCCCTAAGTGACAAGACTCTCAAACTGGATGATCCAATAGGGAAGGTTCTAAGTCAAGGGACAAAACAAATCTCCTGGCCCTTCAAGTGCTTGGCCCAAGGAAAAGTAACGCCGAGCCCTGCGACTCTGCCAGGTATTTAAAAATGTAAGATAAGGTGATATTTGTGAGCCGGCCAGAAGGCAACGAAAGGCAGAGAGCAGATCACCGGCAGCCTCGGATTTCACTCTTGCAGCTCGGCCTGAAACAGAGGGAAGCATCGGCCCGGTGCAGGGCAGGAGGCCAGGGCACCCGCTTTCCCCGGGGAGCCGGACTGGGCGGCAGGCGGCGCACCCTGGCACGGAGGGAGGCGGGTACCCGGGCGCGCCGAGTGGCGCGGAGAGCCGGGCTGCAAGGCGGGCGTGGAGTGGCGGCTGTCAGGAAGAGAGGCCAGCATCCTCCCCGGCCTCAGAAAAGCACTGGGGCCTCCGCGGCTTCTACGTGGCCCCGTTACCCACGACGAGAGGGTCACGACGGGAGGCAGAGGAGCGGCTGCGCCCGCAGAGTCCCCCAGGACGCGGCCCCCGGGGCCCTGGAAACCCAGGGCGGGGCCCCCGCAACCACACCCCACCCGCGGCTGCCTGTCCGCGTGGCCACCGGCCACGGGCTGCGGTCCCGGCACGCGGGGGGAGGAAGATGCGGCGGCGCCGCCTGGTCCTCCGCTCCACCGCCCCGGCGATCCCTGAGATAAAAGTTTGCAGCATGCGGCTCGTCTGCAGTGCGAGTCACATCCGCCGCGCCGCCTCCTGCAGCACCAACGCTCATAGAACGAACAAATACATTAAAAATTAAAAAAAAAAAAAAAAAAAAAAAAAAAACTGTTGAAGCCAGTAGGCCCCGAAGCCGGCCTCTCTGCCTCCAGGGCGTGCATGCAGGCTAGCCCAGCATCCCGCGCCCCCTCCCGCCCGGCCTCGGCGCCCGGCCTGTGCCGGCCCCGCCGCGCCCGCCGCACTGACCGATAACCTCCTGCAGCTCGTACGCGTCCCTGCAGATGGGCCAGCCGACAGCCTGTGCCGCCGGGGCCGGGGCCGGGGCCGGGGCCGCGGGAGCTGCCGGGGCCGGCGCTGCTGTCGCGGCCGCCGGGGCCGCCGCCGCCGCCGCTGTCACCGGGGCCGCCTGCTGGGGAAGCTGGACGTGCACGGGCGAGCCGCTCGGCTCCGCCATGATGCTGCGGAGGAGAGCAGGAGGACGCGCCGGCCGACGGACGACCTTCCACTTGAAACTTCCTTTGCCTCGCCGCCGACACCTCTCGGCCGGCGCACGCCCTCCCCGCCCGCCGCCGCCGCCGCCGTCCCCGCCGAAGCCAGCTAGGAGGGGAGGGAGCAAGGGAGGCCGAGCTGGGCGGAGGGAGGAGGCAGCGCCGGCGGAGGCGGGGAAGGGAGGAGGCGGCGGCCGCTGCGCTCGCCGCGCGCCCAGAGCCTAGCGCGCGCTGTTCTCCGCCTCGGCGAGGGGAACCGCCGCCCCCCCTCTCCGCCGCCCCCTCCCGCTCCCGCTCCGCTGGCGGCCGGGGAAGTTCCCACCAAAGGAGTCAGGCCGCTTTGTGTGTGCTTTCGGGGCCACCGGCCCTGGTTCTCCTCCTCCCTCCCTGCTCGCCCTGCGCCTTGGCCCCAGACGATCAGGCTTGCCGGAGGACGCCCCCTGGGGACCCCGAGGGCGGGGTCGTTGAACGGCCGCCAGGTTCTCACATTCAGAATTCTCCTGCCACCAAAGAGAACCTGAAGTTCATTTACAAGTTGACGAGCGGGATACCTACATGGTGTCCCTTTGCAAGACGCCAGTTAGAAAATAACCCAAGTTGTAAGTTTCCGGCGCTTTACTTGCCGGTATCCCTTTCCCACCTTGCCTAATCTAATCGCAGTCCTTCTAGTTTTTCTTAGTAAATGAAACTTGATTCCTTAGGTCTCTGGCTGTTCAGACTTCATTTTTTCCAAGCCGCCTGGATCCCAGGGAGGCGATTTAAGGGGCTGTGGAATTAGAATAAGACATGCAGGAGAGGTTTAGAAAGTTTGCTCAAATTCTACACCCTTAATAATTGCCACGTTAGCCCGTGAGGACACTGAGGCCAGACATCAGGCGTTTCTTTAAGAGCGTATACTTGGTGGGGAAATAATTTATTGGGGCATGAATAAACTGTGTTGGAAGCTTTTAATTGCTGTTTTTTCAACACCCCAAAAATAACCTCGTCTGTAAAACTGCTATGGTAAAACCATAGGTTTTCCTAATTATAGGTGTCATATTTAACAGTGAATGTTCTCTGTGTTCCCTCCGTGGAGGTGACCAGGATCCACCGTTCTTGTCTCCAACTGAAACGGGGCAGTAAACCAATAGTATTGGTCGTTTGGCCAAGATGATCTTGTCTGGTTCTCATTGCTAGGACTGCTGAAGAAATAGGTAAGAATAATGAGGATGTAATAAAAACTCTAGGGATATCATGATTTTGTCTCCCGAGTGTATGTACAGAAATCTCACTAAAATTTTTGAAAGATTATTCAGAAGAAGCCCAGAAATTTATTAGGAAAGTTAGTTGTCTAATCAAAACATTGATGTCCACTGAAGATGAGGGCACTTAATCTCTTGGAGCATTACAAAAGTTGGAGTAAAGCAGCTACCTCGCTCTGGTCTTGAAGCAGAAGTTCATGCTGAACTAAGTGTACATTCTTTGATGCGGAGGACTTCAAAAACTGTGTCTTGTCATGTCTGTCAAGAAACAGAGCCCTTCATAAACAAATTCTAGGCCTCTGAGGAACAGGGGAGCTCTTTATACCAAGCCATGGCTGCTGACCTCTTCAAGTGCTGCCTCCACCCTACCCCAAAGAACTTTTAAGGACTGTTTTTAAAGGAAAAGAAAAATGATCAAATGAATATGACTTCCATTTTGTCATATGAATTTCTATTTTTGACTTTCAAACCATGAAGTGGGATTATGAAGACCAGGAATGTTCTTGGGACTTAGTAGGAAAACATGATGCCGTCAAGATCAATATCACAGAATTGAATCAAACACAGATCAATTAGTCTCCCACAAAAAGCAACTGTTCCCCAGTCACAGACTACATGTCGGTCTCTAGTCAACCGCTTTCCAAATGGCTACCAGGATGAAGACTTGCTTGAGTGGATGACTCAGTGCACATCCATCATTTCTACAGTAAATCGGTTTAAAGAAGAATGTCCCCTGGCATTGCTCTTTGGCATCATTTTTATAAATGAAGAACAGAATATGAATAATATTTTAAAATTATACAAAAGCATTAGAGTTAATGTTTCTGTAAACAATTGGGTAAAATGGTACTTAAAACTTAGAAATATATGTTTTTTAGAAGTATTCAACTGATATGCACTTTTCCCGGAAAATCCATTACTAAATTTAAATTGAAAGATGGGGATGGAGGCGGGTGCCTTTAAAATATAAACAAGGTTTATTTCAATGCATAAAGAGTACATTCAGTGAGCGATGTTAAAAATAGAAAGGAAAAATAAGGGTCTAAATGTTTTTAAAGTGTATCCAACTGCCTCATGATGTGTCAGGGTTTCTCAATCTCAGCGCTGTTTTGTGTCAGATAGTTCTCTTCGTTGTAGAGGTCTGTTCTCCTGTGGTATGGTCTGAATGTTTCTGTCCCCCCAAAATTCATATGTTGACACTTAATCGGCAGTGGAATAGTATTAAGAGCCTTTAGCAGGAGATTGGGTCATGAGGACAGAGCCCTCCTGAGTTAGATTAGTGCCCTTATAAATGAGGCCGGAAGGAGCTTGATGAGGATGCAGCTAGAGGCATTAGCTATGAAGTAGAGGGCAAGCCCTCAGTAAATACCTAATTTGCTGGCACCTTGATCTTGGACTTTCAGCCTCCAGAACTGTAAAAATGAATTTCCGTTGTTTGTCAGCTACCCAGTCTAAGGTATTTTGTCATACCAGCCAGAGCAGACAAAGGCACCCTGGCCTCTATGCACTAGATGCCAGTGGCAACCCTGCTGCTGACATTGTGACTATCAACAATGCCTCCAGACATTGCCAAATGTCCCCTGGAGGGTAAATAATGCTTTAGATGAAGTAAGTATACATTTTCATTTTATAAACAGATTATTGCAGTGGTTATTTGTATTACAAAGAGGTTTCGTAGAGTTCCATTATTTATTCATAAACCCTTTGAACATCTAAGAGAGGATGTGTAGTGAAGTGGCCAACGCCTTGAAGAAAGAAAGTACTGGATTCAAATCTGGACTTCGATGTTTTGTTTTGTTTTTTGAGACAGAGTCTCGCTCTTGTTGCCCATGCTGGAGTGCAGTGGCACAATCTCAGCTCACTGCAACCTCCACCTCCCAGGTTCAAGCGATTCTCTTGCCTCAGCCTCCCAAGTAGCTGGTACTACAGGTGCCCACCACCACGCCCAGCTAATTTTTGTATTTTTATTTATTTTTTTGTTTTTGTTTTTGAGACAGAGTCTCGCTGTGTCACCCAGGCTGGAGTGCAGTGGCGTGATCTCAGCTCACTGCAAGCTCTGCCTTCTGGGTTCACGCCATTCTCCTGCCTCAGCCTCCTGAGTAGCTGGGACTACAGGCACCCGCCACCACGCCTGGCTAATTTTTTTGTGTTTTTAGGAGAGACGGGGGTTTCACCGTGTTAGCCAGGATGGTCTCGATCTCCTGACCTTGTGATCCACCCGCCTCGGCCTCCCAAAGTACTGGGATTACAGGCGTGAGCCATTGCGCCTGGCCTATTTTTGTATTTTTAGTAGAGACGGGGTTTCGTGTTGTATTTTTTTGAGACAGAGTCTTACTCTTGTCACCCAGGCTGGAGTGCAATGGCACGATCTCGGCTCACTGCAACCTCTGCCTCCAGGGTTCAAGGTATTCTCCTGCCTTAGCCTCCTGAATAGCTGAGATTACAGGTGTGTGCCACCACACCAGCTAATTTTGTGTTTTTAGTAAAGATAGGATTTCACCATGTTGGCCAGGTTGGTCTCACACTCCTGACCTCTCAGGTGATCCACCCACCTTGGCTTCCCAAAGTGCTTGGATTACAGGCGTGAGCCACTGTGCCCAGCTCAACAGTTTTTCTAGAGACAAGGTCTTGCTCTGTCACCCAAGCTGGAGTGCAGTGGCATGATCATGGCTCACCGCAGCCTCGAGCTCCTGGGCACAAGCAATCCATCTTCCTCAGCCTCCCAAGTATCTGGAATTACAGGTGTGTGCCACCATGCCCAGCTAATTTGTATTTAATTTTGGAGAAGCAGGGTTTTGCTATGTTGCCCAGGATGGTCTTGAACTTCCTGGTCTCAGGTGATCCACCTCAGCCTTCCAAAGTGATGAGATTATAGTGTGAGCCACCATGCCTAGCCTCATTTTTTTTAAGTCTCTGCCTTTGGACTTACTTCACTCTCTGAGTCTCAGTTTTCTCCTGTGCAAAAATCAGTACAATAATAGCTTCCACATGGGTTGTTATAATGGCTTAGGATAATGGATGACACATAATAGAAGTTTAACAAAATGGAAACCACCACCACCATCATCATCATTATTCCTGTCTGCCAAGATTTGTAGCAAAATATGTAGTGCAAAGATATATAATTACAAGAATGAACTTTGCAGAATATAAGCTCCCTGAGGGCAGGATTTTTTGTTCCTTTGGTTTACTGCTGTATCCCAGTACCTAGAAAAACACCTGGCACAGAGGACACTCAGTAAATATTTGTTAAATGTTAATGTAACACTTTTTAAATACATAAAACATACTTTTAAGCATCAGAATGAGTCAGCACTGGCAAGGGTGGATTTTATAGGAGGAAATTGGAGGCAAGGAGACCTATTTGGAAGCCATTGCAATAGTCAAGTTAGAGAAATGTAAATATTAGCTATTATATTGAGGATAATGATGAGGAAAGTGGCTTTAAAAATTATTTATGGAGCAGAGAAATAGAACTTGACGACAGACAGATAAGATTCTTTTAAAAGTCAAATTGCCCCAATGCATTAAAAAAGTGGATGTGCACAAATGCAATTTATAAAATGTTTTAGAAATGCATCCGTGGGAGAAGTGAGAGGTTGTCTTGACAGATGATGATTTTCCCATGGCTAAAATGTAATCTAACACAAAAGCACCATCATTGCATGGTGGAAAATAGTCAGGTATCCTAAGGTCTGAAGAAAATCGATCACCGTCATTTGTCATGGCCAACTCTTTCATACCCACTATTTTGGTAACTCTGAGTGAAAAGTTGTGAAAGAGCTGGACTTGGGTTATAATAATTGTTTCCAAAGACAAAGATCAAACTTTTTTTGAATGAGGGTAATGGTAGGGCATGATGGAAAGGGCATGGCTGAATTGAAATCCCTGTACTACACTTTCTAGCTGGTAGTCTAAATTTTCTGAGCCTCTGTTTTCTTAAAATTGGGACAATTAGCCCAGGACTGTAAGAGCTATGTAAGAATTAAATGAGCTAGTATGGGCAACACGCCTGACCCACACACACGTTGTAGTGGTACAGTGGATGGCTCCGGAATTTCTGACTAGGAGGGCCCAGGGGTAGTAGTCTCAGGGGAAGGTAGGTATTAAGGTTGAATCATGTCCCCTAAAAGAGTTGAAGTCCTAAGCTCAGGTAGTTGGGAATGTGAACTTATTTGGAAATAGAGTATTTGCAGAGGCAAAGACTGGATTAGTCTGGGCCCTAATGCAATGACTGGTATCCTTATAATAAAAGAGGAAATTTGGACACAGAGACAAATAGAAACACATACACACACACACACAAGGAGAATGCCATGTGTTGATGGAGGCAGAGATTGGAGTGATGTGTCTACAAGTCAAGAATGCCAAAAATAGCAGGCAATCACCAGAAGCTAGGAAAGAAACAAGGAACAGATTTTCCCTCAGAGCCTCCCATAAGAAATCAACCCTGCCAAGGGTTAATTTTGGCCAGCTAGCCTCCAGATTGTGAAAGCATAAACTTCTGTTGTTTTAAGCCCCCCAGTATGTGTATTGGTTACAGCAGCCTGTCAACCTAAATAACAAACACAGAAGGAGACTTTAAAAGAAAATGATGCTTATTTTGGAATAGGGTTCTTGTACATAGTAAACTGTGGGTATTCAGGGAGATAAAAGTTTTTTGTTTGTTTGTTTGTTTGTTTGTTTTAAAATGAGGAGTCAATAATTGTTTTCAGATAATTATCCTTGGCTACAAAGATGAATAACAGGGGTAATACCAGTCTGAGGTTGGACAGTTGTTGGGCAGTTGTTGGGCAGACGTCCTCACAGAAGTATTGTGTGCCTATATGTGTGCGTATAAAGTTGCAATGGCCTTTTTGCAAGGTTGTGGTTTTTGCAGCCTTTTGTGCATGAGAGCCCTCCCTTCCTGTCCTTCTCAGTTCTACTTGTCAGGGTTTTTGCCACAACTCCATTTTGATTCTGACAACTTTCAGAAGCCTTAGGAAACTAGACAGTGGAATTATGGGATTTGCTCTTTAGCCAGTTGCATTTTATTTGAACTGGCTTTAGCAATGAGCACTAATGAAAATTAGCCACTGCTGGCTGGGTGCAGTGGCTCATGCCTATGATCCCAACACTTTGGATCACCTGAGGTCAGGAGTTTCAGACCAGCCTGGCCAACATGGCGAAACCCCGTCTCTACTAAAAATAAAAAAATTAGCCGGGCATGGTGGTGGACGCCTATAATAGTCCAGCTACTTGGGAGGCGGAGGCAGGAGAATCGCTTGAACCCAGGAGGCGGAGGTTGCAGTGAGCCGAAATCATGCCGCTGCGCTCCAGCCTGGGTGACAGAGTGAGACTCCATCTCAAAAAAAAGAAAAAAAAAACGAAAATTAGCCACTGCTTTAGAACCGACTGTCTACCAAAGCCGTGGACTTTACAGCTTGCTTTTAATATTATTGTAAATGAGAAGAAAACTGCAAACATAGTAACTATCTGAATGAATTCTCAGCAGTGACAGCAAATGTCCATCTGAAAAATGCATTTGAAAATGTATGACCCTTTCCGACTTTGAAGACCAAGCCATCTCGCACTGAACATAATAACAGAAGTGTCATGTGCCTTCCACTGACACAACTAATGCTATTACCCAAAGTCCAGAGCTGGTGTAACTCAATTTTATTAGGATTAGCACAATTTAGTGTTCAGGTGTCATTACTACCTATTTCCCAACAATAAACAGAAAGAGGATTTATTTTAGATTGAATTATTGCAGAGACATTGCATTTTAAATTCATCACATGGATTTAATGGGTTAAATTTATAAGAATTATAACTTCCAGACATGTTTTCATTTATTTCCCAACCAGCTATTGAAATTGACTTTCTATTGCATTTTATATTACATACAAAATAGCTCTGGTGACAGTTAATGTCTTTTTATTAATGTCAGAAGTTTCTGACCCTGATTTGGGTACTGATAGAGTACTCACTAGAAGCCCTACTATCTCTACCCATAGGGGAAGACTTCCATATTTAGCAAGGATTGCCCTTGGCTAAAACACCAGAGGGCATTATAGTCATCTACATGGCATACATATTTCTTTCATGCTGTCATCTGTCTAAAGCCTGATAGTCCCGTCCCAGGCAGAATGACATAAAAATGTAATTTAAAGCAATTGATTTTTTAGTGCAATCTCTGTTGAAGAACCACTTCAAGAGGAATCCATTCATTACACATGAAACAGCAGTTTCTGAAAATATTTTGTTTATCCCTCTCACCTTCAGATTCTTACAAATACCAAGGATGTCTGAAAGCCTTTTACTTCTTTTCTATTCAAAAAACTTCCCACCAAAACCACCATAAGCCCTAAACACTCTTCTATCTCTGCCCCGGGCCTCCCCTGCCAGGCTCAGATCTTCATCTGGAGAGACATCTTGGGTTGTATGTATTCTGAAAAATAAAGGAGAGCCAGGGACTGGCCTGGCTTATTAAAAAGGATGTATGTAGTAAAACACAATTTAACTAATTAATATTCATTCATTCTATAAATACATTCTTAAGGATTAAGTGTGTGGCACTTTGCCAACTGCTGTGGGTAAAATAGGCAAAAGGATCTCAGCCCTTAAGAACTCTATATAACTTAGTGAAACTCCACTTTATCCAGTGTCGAGGCTTCTGGAGCTCCAAAACATGTGAATAACACTTAAACTAGCGAGAGTGGGCCAGGTGAGGTGGCTCACGCCTGTAATCTTAGCACTTTGGGAGGCCGAAGCAGGCGGATCGCTTGCGGTCAGGAGTTCGAGACCAGCCTGGCCAACATGGCGAAACTCCATCTCTGCTAAAAATACAAAAATTAGCCAGAAATCTCTTGAACCCAGGAGGTGGAGGTTGCAGTGAGCTGAGATCGTGTCACTGCACTCCAGCATGGCTGACAGAGTGAGACTCCACCTCAAAAAAAAAGAAAACAAAAACAAAAACAAAACTAGGGAGAATCGTCCAAACCAGAGGTAACAGAGATGTATTATGATGGGTCAGGTTTACTGGTCAAAATAACTTCTTTTACTATCGATTGACAAAGTCTTTAAAACAAACAAACAAACCCAGGTCCTTCTGGTACTAAAGTCAAGAAAAAAAATGGCAGGGCATGGCAAGAAAATAAAAATGAAAACCAGAGAAAAGAGAGAGCAGAAGGAGAGGCAGCAAGAGATAAGAGTGAGAGGCAGACAACTTTGGCATTTAGCACTTAGGAAAGGACAGCAGAAATGGCCTTGAGGAGAGAAAAGAATTGGAGTGGAAGGAAGTTCAGTATCAGGGGCCAGATCCGCATCAAAGGAGACACAGTCCAGGTGCATGCACATATGTCTACACAGCGTGACTAGTGGGACCATGTCACACCAAAGAGTCTTGGCCCAGTAAGGCACATTGTCCTGCCAGAAAGCTAGTCCCGCACTGCCAGACCTTCCTGTTGTTTCAAGAGAAGCCAACAAATCTGATTTCATGTGAAATTTCTCAGCTTTAAAATATTGGCCCATCTTTATAAAATACTGTACAGAATCTGATACCATACACTTAATGTTTAAAAACAAGAGAACAACACTAAATGTAGTCTTTGAATAAATATTTAGTGAAAAGTGATTGGAATGATAAATTCCAAATCCAGTTGTTACCCCTGGAGAGGGAGGGAGAGAAGGAAGGAAGGGGAAAGGTACACAAAGGGCTTCTATTGCATCTATGTTGTTTTATTACTTTAATAAAAATGTGTAAGAAATAGAGCAAAATAATAAGATTTGTTAGACTGGATGGTAGGTGTGTGAGTTTTTATGACATTATTCCCACTGTTCTGTAGGTTTGAAATATTTCACAATCTAAAAACAATAATACTTTGCAGGACAAACAAAACGTTTGTAGTCCACATCAGGCTTGTGGAGCACTATTTGCAGACTTTGCACAGCATGTTTTAATGGGCATAGAGCCCATACTTACATCAGACCAGGAAGAACAGCCTTTTGCTTGTCCCCAGAGTAAGGCGCAGGTGATCCAGGTGTTCTTCAGCCTAGCTGAGTATCAGAGTCACCTGTGCAGCTTGTCAACAATTCTTATTCCTGGGTCTCACCTGCATTCTACCAAACTATAGTCTGCAGGTAGAAGTCAGGCATCCAGGTGACCCAAAAGTTTAGCCAGAGTTGAAAATAACTATGGTAGCCCTGAGAACATCACTGTGACACATGAAAGCCACACCAACTAGCAAAGCACAGGGGTCAGAGAGCTCCCAAGAGGGTGGCAATTTTAAAAGGCTCAATGGTCATGGTGGCTTTCCTGAATTAGACATAACAAATGACAATTAAAGCAAAATGACAAAAAGAAGTAAACCTGTGATGGTTAATAGTGAGTGTCAACTTGATTGGATTGAAGGATACAAAGTGTTGATATTGAGTATGTCTGTGAGTGTGTTGCCAAAGGAGATTAACATTTGAGTCAATGGGCTGGGAAAAGCAGACCCACCCTTAATCTAGGTAGGTACAATCTAACCAGCTGCCAGTGAGGCTAGAATATAAGCAGGCAGAAAAATGTGAAATGAGAGACTGGCCTAGCCTCCCGCCCACATCTTTCTCCCATGCTGGATGCTTCCTGCCCTCGAACATCGGACTCCAAGTTCTTCAGTTTTGGGACTTGGACTGGCTCTCCTTGGTCCTCAGCCTGCAGATGGCCTATTGTGGAACCTTGTGATCATGTGAATTAATAATAAACTCCCCTTTATATATACACACACACACACACACACACACACACACACACACACACACACATATATATATATATTTCATTAGCTCTGTCCCTCTAGAGAATCCTAATACAGATTTTGATACCAGGAATGGTTCTAGAGGAACAGAATATTAATGATGGAGTTCTTTCATTGGATTTTGGGTTTCTGGAGTTGGCTGCTTAATATGATTAGACCCAGAAATGCTACAGACTCTACTTCTAATAGTATGGAGAACACTGATAGTCCTTGGTGTGAACTGCTTAGAGAGTTATGCAATATAAATGCATTTGACACTCCTGATTCATTGCTCGTGAGAGGCAAGGAGTTTAGTGACTCTTTACTTAATACCTTTGACCATATGTGGTGAACCAAGGAACATAATGAAGCTGGTTGGTTGCTCCTAAGTTCAATGGACAATGTGATGAAAGAAAATGATGAACTCATGGATTCTATCTCCCAGCTTCAGAAGCAGATACTGAGCCTCAAATCTGCTAAGAATGCCCTGAGTGAGAGTCTTATCTTCTGTAGAGAAAGAGCTGAAATTGTGGAAAAACAAACACAAGAGCCCTTATCATGCGAGTGGCTGACTTGGAATGAAAGGTACATGCACAGCCTCGCTTGGTGTCTACTGTTAAAGTGAGGGCATTGATCAGAAAATAATGGGACCCTGCAACTTGGAAGGGAACATGTGGGAGGACCCTGATGAAGCTGGGGACACTGATTTTGAGTTAGTAAACTCTGATGAACCGTTTATTTTGTTTATTTATTTATTTATTTATTTATTTAATTTTTGTTTATTTTTTTGGAGATGGAGTCTCACTCTGTCGCCCAGGCTGGAGTGCAATGCCACAATCTTGGCTCACTGCAACTTCTGCCTCCCAGGTTCATGTGCTTCTCCTGCCTCAGCCTCCTGGGTAGCTGAGATCATAGGCACCCACCACCACGCCTGGCTAATTTTTGTATTGTTAGTAGAGAAGGGGTTTCATCATGTTGGCCAGGCTGGTCTTGAACTCCTGACCTCAAATGATCACCTGCCTCAGCCTCCTAAAGTGCCGCGATTACAGGCATGAGCCACCGCACCTGTCGTGATTAATCTTTTTTTGCCAGAAGGAAGAGCTTCCCCATCCCCAGTAGTGGCAACATCCCCTCCCCCACCCATTCTGCCATCAGCCTTTCCACCTTTGTCTGAGGAGATAAACCCTGCCTGCCTAAGGCAACAGTGATGGCCTTCCCTGAGGCAGTTGCCAGGCAAGATAATGTTGATTCTCCTCAGGAGCCACTCCCAACACCCCTGTTTGCTTATAGACCTATAACTAGACTAAAGCCCTGGTGGGCCCCTAGAGGTGAGATTGAGATTGTGACCCATGAGGAGGTGTGCTACACTGGAAAAGAAAGGCTTGAATTTTCTAATTTATATAAACAGAAATCTGGAGAATGGTCATGGGACTGGATATTAAGGGCGTGGTATAATGGTGGAAGGAACGTAGAGTTGAATCAGGCTGAATTTATTGATTTGGGTCCACCTAAGTAGAGACTCTGCATTTAATGTTGCAGCTTGGGGAGTTAAAAAAGGTTCTAACAGTTTATTTGCTTGGCTAGCTAAAATATGGATTAAAAGATGGCCCACTGTGAACGAGCTGGAAATGCCTCATCTCTCTTGGCTTAATGTAGAGGAAGGGATCCAAAGGCTTAAGGAGATTGGGATGGTGGAGTGGATTAGTCACTTTAGACCTACTCATCCTAGCTGGGAAGGTCCAGAAGATATACCCTTGACCAATACCTTGTGAAATAGATTTGTGAGGGCAGCACCTGCATCTTTGAAGAGCCCTGTAATTGCTCTTCTCTGTATGACAGATCTAACAGTGGGAACCACAGTCACTCAACTACAAAATTTAAATACAATGAGAATGATTGGATCCCAAGGTGTCAGGGGCCAAGTGGAGACACTCAACCATCAAAGGCAAGGTGGGCATAGCTATCAAAATGGACAGCAGAGGCAAAGCAGCCATCAGCATAGTCTGAGTTGTGTAGAGCTCTGGCGTTGGCTAATTAATCACATTATACCTAGAAATGAAACTGATAGGAAGCCTACTGCATTCCTACTTAATTTATATGAGCAGAAAACTTCTAGGTGGAATGGACAAGAGACTAATTTGAATTATAAAAACAGAGAATGATGGCCCCTCAGTCAATTTCAGGACTTGAGCCAGTTTACAGACCCAGAACCCCTTGACTGAAGGGGAGGCTGGGCCCCCTTGAGGAAGGACCCCACTGCATTACCAACAATTTATGCAGTGAATCTTTCTCCCATCCTCCCCCAGGTAGACTTTTGGCCTTTTACCAGGGTAACTGTGCATTGCGGAAAGGGAAATTATCAGACATTTTGGAGACTACTGGACACTGGCTCTGAACTAACATTGATTCCAGGGGACCCAAAACGTTACTGTGGTCCTCCAGTTAAAGTAGGGGCTTATGGAAGTCAGGTAATTAATGGAGTTTTAGCTCAGGTCCGACTTACAGTGGGTCCATTGGGTCCCTGCACTCATCCTGTGGTCATTTCCCCAGTGCCAGAATGCATAATTGGCAGAGACATACTAAGCAGCTGGCAGAACCCCCACATTGGCTCCCTGACTGGTAGGGTGAGTGCCATTATGGTGGGTTGCATCCCTGGAGGGATTGCAGCGATTAGTGTCACCAGCAAGGACTTGAAAGATGCAGGGGTGGTGATTCCCACTACATCCCCATTCAACTGTCCCATTTGGCCTGTGCAGAAGACAGATGGATCTTGGAGAATGACAGCGGCTTATCATAAGTTTAACCAAGTTGTTACTCCAATTGCAGCTGCTGTACCAGGTGCGGTTTCATTGCTTGAGCAAATTAACACATCTCCTGGTACCTGGCATGCAGCCATTGACTTGGAAAATGCCTTTTTCTCCATTCCTGTCCGTAAGGCCCACCAGAAGCAATTTGCCTTCAGCTGGCAAGGCCAGCAGTATACCTTTACTCTCCTACCTCAGGGGTATGTCAACTCTCCAGCTTTGTGTCATAATCTTATTTGGAGAGACCTTGGCCACTTTTTGCTTCTGCAAGATATCACACTGGTCCTTTACATTGATGACATTTTGCTGATTGGATCCAGTAAGCAAGAAGTAGCAGACCCACTGGACTTATTGGTGAGACATTTGCATGCAAAAGGATGGGAAATAAATCCAACTAAAATTCAGGGAACTTCTACCTCAGTAAAATTTCTAGGGGTCCAGTGGTGTGGGGCCAGTTGAGACATTCCTTCTAAGATGAAGGATAAGTTGCTGCATCTGGCCCTTCCTACAACCAAGAAAGAGGCACAATGCCTAGTGGGCCTATTAGGATTTTGAAGGCAACACATTCCTCATTTGAGTGTGTTACTCTGGCCCATTTATTGAGTGACCTGAAAGGCTGCCAGTTTTGAGTGGGGTCCAGAACAGGAGAATGCTCTGCTACAGGTCCAGGCTGCTGTGCAAGCTGCTCTGCCACTTGGGCCATATGACCCACCAGATCCAATGGTGCTTGAGGTGTCAGTGGCAGATAGGAAAGCTCTTTGGAGCCCTTGGCAGGCCCCCATAGGTGAATCACAGCAAAGGCCTCTAGGATTTTAGAGCAAGGCCCTGCCATCTTCTGCAGATAACTACTCTCCTTTTGAGAGACAGCTCTGCCTGTTACTGGGCTTTGGTGGACACGGAACGTTTGACTATGGATCATCAAGTCACCATTGGACCTGAACTGCCTATCATGAACTGGGTGCTTTTTGACCCATCTAGCCATAAAGTGGGTCATGGACAGCAGCATTCCATCATCAAATGGAAGTGGTATATACGTGATCAGGCTTGAGCAGGTCCTGAAGGCACAAGTAAGTTACATGAGGAAGTGGCTCAAATGCCCATGGTTTCCACTCCTGCCATCCTGCCTTCTCTCCCCCAGCCTGCGCAGATGGCCTCATAGGGAGTTCCCTATGATCAATTGACAGAGGAAGAGAAGACTAGGGCCTGGTTCACAGATGGCTCTGCACAATATGCAGGCACCACCTGAAAGTGGACAGCTGCAGCACTACAGCCCCTTTCTAGGACATTCCTGAAGGACAGCGGTGAAGGGAACTCTTCCCAGTGGGCAGAACTTTGAGCAGTGCACCTGATTGTGCACTTTGCATGGAAGGAGAAATGGCCAGATGTGCAATTATATACTGATTCATAGGCTGTAGCCAATGGTTTGGCTGGATGGTCAGGGACTTGGAAGAAGCATGATTGGAAAATTGGTGACAAAGAAATTTGGGGAAAAGTTATGTGGATGGACCTCTCTGAGTGGTCAAAAACTGTAAAGATATTGTATCGCATGTGAGTGCTCACCAAAGGGTGACCTCAGCAGAGGAGGATTTTAATAATCAAGTGGATAGGATGACCCGTTTGGTGGATACCACTCAGCCTCTTTCCCCAGTCACCCCTGTCATCTCCCAGTGGGCCCATGAACAAAGTGGCCGTGGTGGCAGGGATGGAGGTTACACATGAGCTCAGCAACATGGATTTCCACTCACCAAGGCTGAGCTGGCTACGGCCACTGCTGAGTGCCCAGTTTGCCAGCAGCAGAGACCAACATCAAGCCCTCCACATGGCACCATTCCTCGAGGTGATCAGCCAGCTACCTGGTTGGAAAGGGCAGAGGTTTGTCCTCATTGGAATAGACACTTACTCCGGATATGAGTTTGCCTATCCTGCACACAAAGCTTCTGCCAAGACCACCATCCCTGGACTCACGGAATGCCTTATCCACCATCATGGTATTCCACACAGCATTGCCTCTGACCAAGGCACTCACTTTATGGCTAAAGAAGTGAGGCAGTGAGCTAATGCTCATGGACTTCACTGGTCTTACCATGTTCCCCATCATCCTGAAGCAACTGGATTGATAGAATGGTGGAATGGCCTTTTGAAGTCACAATTACAGTGCCAACTAGGTGACAGTACTTTGCAGGGCTGGAGCAAAGTTCTCCAGAAGGTCGTGTATGCTCTGAATCAGCGTCCAATATATGGTACTGTTTCTGCCATAGCCAGGATTCACGGGTCCAGGAATCAAGGGGTGGAAGTGGAAGTGGCACCAACTCACCGTCACCCCTAGTGACCCACTAGCAAAATTTTTGCTTCCTGTTCCCATGACACTACATTCTGCTGGCTTAGAGGTCTTAGTTCCAGAGGGAGGAATGCTGCCACCAGGAGACACAACAATGATTCCATTAAACTGGAAGTTAAGATTGCCACCTGGACACTTTGGGCCCCTCCTACCTTTAAGTCAACAGGCTAAGAAGGGAGTTACAGTGTTGGCTGGGGTGATTGACCCAGACAATCAAGATGAAATCAGTCCACTACTCCATAATGAAGGTAAGGAACAGTATGCATGGAATATAGGAGATCCATTAGGGCATATTACCATTCCCTGCAATTAAGGTCAATGGGAAACTATAACAGCCCAATCCAGGCAGGACTACAAATGTCCCAGACCCTTCAGGAATGAAGGTCTGGGTCACTCCACTAGGAGAAAAATCATGACCTGCTGAGGTGCTTGCTGAGGGCAAAAGGAATACAGAATGGGTAGTAGAAGAAGGTAGTCATCAGCACCAGCTACAACCACGTGACCAGCTGCAGAACCAAGGACTGTAATTGTCATGAGTATTTCCTCCTTCTTTTATTAAAAACATGTTTGTGCATGTATAAACTTGTACCAAGAAAATAGCTTTTTATTTCCTTTCTCCTTTATCATGTGACATAAGATTTATTGACTTCACATCAGCATTTAAGTATTGTTAACTTCATGTAATAGTATTTAGGTTAGGGACTGGTGCGTTTCCAGTTGTACGAAGCGTAATTGTATTATGTTAGGTGTAATTATGACCTTATTATTGTCTTTATTTTAAGATTATGTATGATCTCAGGAGATTTGTATGGGTTCAAGTTGACATGCGGTGGACTTGTGATGGTTAATATTGAGTGTCAACTTTATTGGATTCAAGGATACAAAGTATTGATCCTGGGTGTGTCTGTGAGGGTGTTGCCAAAAGAGATTAACATTTGAGTTAGTGGGCTGGGAAAGGCAGAACCACACTTAATCTGGTGGGCACAATCTAAGCAGCTGCCAGCATAGCTGGAATACAAGCAGACAGAAAAATGTGAAATGAGAGGCTGGCCTAGCCTCCCAGCCTACATCTTTCTCCCATGCTGGATGCTTCCTGCCCTCGAACATCAGACTCTAAGTCTTGAACATCAGACTCTAAGTCTTCAGTTTTGGAACTCAGACTGGCTCTCCTTGGTCCTCAGCCTGCAGATGGCCTATTGTGGGACATTGTGATCATGGGAGTTAATACTTAATAAACTCCCCTTTATATATATACATACACATATATATTCCATTAGTTCTGTTCCTCTAGAGAACCCTGACTAATACAAAGCCTTTTTGAAATAAAAATGTGAAATAACTATTTGTTTAAAAGACTTTCATTTTTTTAGAGCAGTTTCAGTTTCACAGCAAAATTGAGAGGAAGGTACAGAGGTAACCCATATCTCCCCTGCCCTGACACATGCACAGCCTCTCCCATTATCAACATCTCCCACCTGAGTGATATGTTTGTTACAATCAATGAACTTACATCACATTGTTATCATCCAAAGTGAAAATTCTGTGTATGACGTTATAATGGTGGCTACATCTCATTATACGTTTATTTAAACTCATAGAATGTACAATACCAAGAGGAAACCCTAATGTAAACTATTTTTTATTTTTATTAAATTTTTGTTCTTTTGAGATGGAGTCTTGCTCTGTTGCCCGGGCTGGAGTGCAGTGGCATGATCTCGGCTCACTGCAACCTCCGCCTCCTGGGTTCAAGCAATTCTCCTGCCTCAGCCTTTCAAGTAGCTGGGATTAGAGGCACCACCATGCCCAGTTAATTTTTTGTATTTTTAGTAGAGATGGGGTTTCACTATGTTGGCCAGGCTGATCTTGAACTCCTGACCTCGTGATCCGCCCACCTCAGCCTCCCAAAGTGCTGGGGTTACAGATGAGAGCCACCGTGCCCGTCCTAATGTAAACTATTTTTTTCATCAAAATGGTTAGGATGAAATAATATTTAGTGCATTATTTTAAAGAAACAAACTCTTCATCTACCAACTACCATGTGTAAGCTTTCTGCATGGGAGTGGGGAGTGATGGAAAAATGAATGAGACAATGTCCCTACCCTCAAAGGAGCTTGACATCTAATGGGGCAAACAGACATGTAAACAGATAATTTGTGTCCTGGGGATAAGAAAAAAATTGCCATATGCATAAGATTACCATTTTGTCTTGAAGACTCCAAAACTAGAAATTCAAGTTATTTGTCCAAAAGGTCCTATTTCAACCATTCTCTCATGGCCTGGGCTGGGTAAAGAGACCACTGAAGTCAGCAGAAAAGAGCAGACTGGGATGGAAGAGCCACTGAAAACAGTTTAGACTTTATACAGTGTTAATCTAAGAAGGATTCTAAAATGATGCATTTTGGGAGAATGTTCTTGCCTTAATCAGCTTTATCCACAAAAATTAAGCTTTTTTTAATATAAAGGTTTTATTTTCTTTTAAAGGAGCCATCAATGTGATTTTGTCTTTGGGAACCCCACATGTGAATGAATCACCGAATGAATGAATGAAATTTTAATCCTTATAACAAAGATAAGGCTGGATCCTAATATATTGCTTTAGGATGATTTTCAGGAAGCTCTACAATTCCAAGCATTTCCTCTCACAACAATTTAATAAAAATAGTTAGAGTTTATGGAGATATTGTGGTAAGTATTTTAGATATGTTGTCTCACTGGACACTCACCTACAACCAGATGATGGAGATTACATTATGTATATTTTTAACAGATGGAGAAACTGAATTTCACAATCGGTTAAGTGATTTAAACAGAAACTTAATGTTGGTTCACCTGCAGCAGAGCCAGGATTCAAATCTGCTCTAACTCTGCACAGCACTTCTCTATCTCTTCACAAAGGCATATGCATTTGTTATTTAAAATTAAACATTTTAACCAAATTGTATTAATTTAATTAAATTATTAAAATGACTACTGATGTGCTATGCAGTTCAATGCCATCTAAAGCCAGGAAGTAAGGCTACCGATAGCCAGAAAACAATCTCCAAGAATGAAGTATTCTTTTTTAAAACAATTTGTTGGTGATTGTCAGTTTAGAGATAAATGTTCCATATGTGCCTCTGTTTCTCCATCAAAATATTTTAAAAGTTAGCTCCAAAACTACCTTTATACACCCTTCACAATACTCTGTGAACCATAGTCACTGTTAATCTGTGTTTTAAAAGTGCTAAAGTAACTGTTAATTTGAATAATCAATATAAATAGTGTATTAGTTTGCCCCCCCCCGCCAAAATCAAGTACAAGCTACGTGACAGTATTTCATGGTTCATTAGCTAAATGGAACAGTTAATTCGGTCAAATAGTGAATAATCTTTAAATCAAGCCTTCTTCAAATACAAAGGATAGTGGCATATATAAGAATTCAAGAAAATGGAAAAGGCCAGGTAATACTATAGAACTTTGAAATATCTTTCAACAGATAACCCAACAATTTTTTCATATTTATTAACTTAGATTTTAAAAAATTACATAAAAACATGAAAGTCAATTTTGAAAAAAAGCTATTTTTCCGTGTTATTTTTAAGTCATGAATGCACACATTATTTGCATATTGACAATTGTAGCAGGCTTACTCTTTTGTGTTCCTATGGCAGGGCTGTTAAAGTAGATCAGTCCCTGCCTTATCTAGCTGTATGCATAAAGAAAGAACATTATTTATTCATCTCTCATGAACATTTTTGGCCCATCTTCTAGTTCCCATAGATGTTGTATGAATTTAACTCTGCATGTGAGATATTTGCTGCACTAAAAGAAAGACTTATGGAGGTAAGATCATGTGAACAAAAAGAAATTTTGGGCACCATTTTTTGTTGTTGTTTTCTTTAGTTTTTGAGGCAGGGTCTCATTCTGTCACCCCAGCTGGAGTGCAGTATTGCAATCACAGCTCACTGCAGCCTCAACATCCAGGGATCAAGTGATCCTCCCACCTCAGCCTCCCAAGTAGCTGGGTCTACAGGTGAATGACACCACACCTGGCTAATTTTATTTATTTATTTATTTATTTATTTTGAGACGGAGTCTTGCTCTGTCACCAGGCTGAAGTGCAGTGGCACAATCTCAGTTCACTGCAACCTCTGACTCCCTGGTTCAAGCAATTTGCCTGCCTCAGCCTACCGAGTAGCTGGGTTTACAGGCATGCACCACCACACGCAGCTAATTTTTGTATTTTTAGTAGAGATGGGGTTTCACCATGTTGGCCAGGATGGTCTCAATCTCCTGACCTCATGATCTGCCCACTTCAGCCTCCCAAAGTGCTAGGATTACAAGCGTGAGCCACCATGCCCTGCCCATTTATTTTATTTTTTGTAGAGACAGGGTCTCACCATGGTAACCAGGCTGGTCTCAAACCCCTGGGCTCAATTTATCCTCCTGCCTTGGCCTCCCAAAGTGCTGGAATTATAGGCATGAGCCACTGTGCCTGGACTATCTTTTAAAAGACAGAAAGAATGTTTACTATGAGGTGGAAAGCAGTATGCCAGTAGTCCAAAGGGTTGATAATCTACTGAAAGAATTAGAGATTTGTTCTTTCAAATAAGCCATTAACCATGGGAGTACTGGCTAATGACAAATTTAGAGTAAGAGTTTCTTTTTTTTTTTTTTGAGACAGTCTCACTCTGTCGCCAGGCTGGAGTACAGTGGCATGATCTCGGCTCACTGCAACCTCTGCCTCCCGGGTTCAGGCGATTCTCCTGCCTCAGTCACCCAAGCAGCTGGGACTACAGGTGCGTGCCACCATGCCCAGTTAAGTTTTTGTATTTTTAGTAGAGACAGGATTTCACCGTGTTAGCCAGGATGGTCTGCATCTCCTGACCTTGTGATCCGCCCATCTCGGCCTCTCAAAATGCTGGGATTAGAGACGTGAGCCACCGCGCCTGGCCAAGAGTTTCATAAAAATTACTTTCTTTTTAAGTATTTATTACATATACTGTAATAAAAATTAAAGGTAGAAAAGAGTATAGGGTAAAAATTAATAATCTCTCTTCATCCCTTATCTTCCAGCCACCTGGTTCTTTCTCCTAGAAGTAACTACTATTATCCCATTCTTGCATCCTTCAAGAGATACTCTATGCATATACAATTACGTTCATATTTTTTCTATACTAATAGTAATATATTATACATACTGACACATAGCCCATTTTTTTAACATAATTATTGTCTTTAAAAAGGTTTCATGGAGTCCTAGGTTTTTTAACCCAATTCTACACTGTCCATGTTTCCTTTTTTAAAAACTGAAGTATAATTTACTTTCACTAGCATCACAGATCCAGTTTGATATATTTTGACAAATGAATACACAGGTGTAACCAATGTCCAAAGCAAGATATAGAACATTTCAGAACTTTCTATTATTTTAAGAGCTAATTAATATTCCATTTATTTAGCCAAATCTGTTTTAATGGACTCTTGCTGTTACAAACAGGGTTGCAATGAATATGTACACATATGATATTGAGTATGTCTAAGTATACCTATGGGAAAATTCCTAGCAGTAGGATTGCTGGATCAAAGAGTATGTGCATTTTTAATTCAGAAGGAGAGTGGCAAAGTTCTTACTATAGGGGGTGTACTAATTTACACTCCTATCAATTTACAAAGGTTTCTTTTACAGCATACCACAGTCTTTTTTTTTTTTTTTTTTGAGGCAGAGTCTCGCTCTGTTGCCCAGGCTGGAGTGCAGTGGTGCGATCTCAGCTCGCTGCAAGCTCTGCCTTCCAGGTTCACGCCATTCTCCTGCCTCAGCCCCCTGAGTAGCTGGGACTACAGGCACCCGCCACCACGCCCGGCTAATTTTTTGTGTTTTTAGTAGAGACGGGGTTTCACCATGTTAGCCAGGATGGTCTCGATCTCCTGACCTTGTGGTCCGCCCACCTCAGCCTCAGTTTTTAAACTTCTTGACTTTTGCCCATTTGGGAGGAGGAAAAAAATGTGATTGGAGCTTGATTTTTGTTTCTCTCATTCAGAAGGAAGCTGAGAATCTTTTCTTGTGTTTAAAAGCCATGAAGCGGCTTCATTTTGAAGGAAAATTTGAGGAAAAGCAAAGGTATTATGAAGACTGTGTGGTGCATGTGGAGCAATGAGCAGAAAGAGAGATGGCTTGACATTTATTCTAAACTTTCAAGAGAAACTGGACAAAGTAATATGGTTTTGAGTACAATAGAAACCCGGAGAAACTTGATATTTTCAGCATGACCTGAAAAGATTCCAAAATCTTGAATAAAAAACTCCTCCAAGAACCTAAAGATCTCAGGAAGTATGCCTATCCAAATCTCAAGGGAAGCCAATATTAATTTGTTTCTTCAACATAAATGGTATTGTCCATGCTAAATTAATCCATAAGGTCAAATAGTCAGGCTCATTATGCAGGAATTCTAAAACATTTGTGGGATTGTGTGCAGCACAAATGATTACTTGATTATTCATTTTATTCACTACAGACCCTTTAGTCCTCTCCAAAATCTGAAAGTCCTTTAATCTCCTATAATAAATACCTCCCCTTTTAACTAGCTAAAATAGATCCTGTTCTTTGCAAAACTCCAACAATATATTTTTATACACTTTTTCCTTGAGTATTAAACTTCAGATTTTGCTTTTTATCATGGGTAAAAGAAAATGCTTCCCAATGTAAAACATACATCTTTCTTACCCAGTACTTCTGAAATCTCAACAGTTTCGTTTCCAATTGCTACTTCTGGGTCTATCAGTAAAGCCCTAATTAGACATAGCTGGAGGGAAGAGAGCTAACAGTTATTGAAAAACTACTGTATATAATTAGATAGAGCTGGGGGGAAGAGAGCTAATATTTATTGAAAAACTATATATGAGCGACTTTATTAATTAGGCAAGTACAACATGCTATCTGCATTTAACAGGTTAGAAAGCTGAGGCCCAGAAAAGAGAAATAACTTTAACAATATTTGTAGCTAATAAGTGAGAGTCTAATCAGTTTAACAGTAATGTTCTTTCCATTGTTCTACTGTTCCAAGAAATACTCTATTGGAGTGGGAGAGGGTAGTTGAAAGATTTTTAAGTATCCCTGATTGACAGATTAACATGGTATAAATGTTGTAATTATCCAGCAATAAAACCCAATTTAAAATAAAAACTTCAAAATCTAAGGGAGCATTGTTCTATTTAAGTAAGTCACATTGGGAACTATGTAGTTATTTTAAGTATTGCCCCAAGTATTTTGAATCTTTTCTGTCAGAATTGCCCTTAGAACGGGAGTCACACTCTTGAATATCCTCGATGGTGAGTTTTCTTTTCTTTTCCAGTTGCTTTTTTTCTTTTAGAAAATCAGAATGGCTCTGATTTTAAGGACCAGCCCAAAGTTGTTCACAGCAAAGTGTAGTGAATAAAAATGAGTAATCAAGCAATTATTTGTGCTGCACCCAATCTCACAAATGTTTTAGAATTTTTGCATAGTGGGGGGTTGGGGGTGAGGGGAGGGAACTCAGAGGATAGGTCAATAGGTGCAGCAAACCACCATGGCACACGTATACCTATGTAACAAACCTGCGCATTCTGCACATGTATCCCGTTTTTGTTTTATTTTTAAGAAGAAAAAAAGAAATAAAAAAAATTTTGCATAATAAGCTGGACTGTTTGACCTTGTGGATCAATTCAGCGTGAACAATATGATTTCTGTTGAGAAAATGAATTGGTTAATCTTAAATCACATCCAGAATCCTAGCTGTAAGAGAGTCTGGGAAGTGTAGTTACTAGTTTTCCAGCCTTGTCAGGTTCATGATTATGCCAAATGTCATGTTCAGGGTCAGGTTCCAGCCCATGCTGAGGTTCAAGAGAGTGGGTGGATGAGCAGAAAGAACACTCAGGGGTCGTGGGCAGGTGAAAGATGATTTTATTCAGCAGCAGCTCTCATCAACAGATTTCTCATACTGTCTGCCCTGTCATGGCTACTTAGTCTGGTGGCCCCCACATGTAGCTGCACAGCTGGCTCTCCCTTGCCTTCAGGGTCAGCAGCTTAACTCTTTCTCTCTCTGGGCACAAGTGACCTGAGCTGTGTCCTGGCTCCCCTCTGTCTATCTGCAAAGATAGACAGGTTTGGCTCTCTCTCTCTGGGCACCAGTGCACCTGCATAGTATCGAGAGGGCAATTATGCCTTTTACAGACAATAGTGGCTTAGGCCAAGTGGTAGCCTTCCCATTATGGCTAAATGGCTGTGATAACAAGTGGAGTTATATGCCTGTACTTTAAACTCGCTAAGTCACGCAGGATGTAAACATCCTACCTTGGTCTATCCTTGACCAAAGCACGGCCATATTCCTTACAAGCCTCCGCAGTACAGGAAGATGGGATAAATATGAAGCACCAATCTACCATATCTACTATAGATTGTTCTTGAAATTCTTCCTTTTATTCAGAAATTACCATTTTAGAATTATTAAATCACTCACTTAATTTCCTCAACCCCAGTTATCACATCTGTATGAAACTATGATTGTATATGATCTCCAAGGTACACTCTAGATTTAAAATTCTGGATTTTTCAATCATTTTAACTATGTATAAACCTGTACATACATATTTTTCTACGTGTATGTATCCACATAGTTTTCTAGACATTCTCGAGAAAGGATACTAGTTTAGAATTCTACAGCGTTTCTATGCTAACATTTTCAATTGGCTAGAGTTTAAAGATGTGCATAGAGTATATTAACTCTTAGGAAGGGGAGAATTTGTGTAGGGATGTGTGGTGTGTGTGTATACATGCCCATGTGTGTAAATGTATTGTGCATGTAAATTCATTCAGCCAGCTAAATTTTCTAATGATCAGAATTCCACATGACTAGGGAAAAATAAACTGGCAGAAATTCAATACAAATATTAGAGACTGACAATGAATCGGACTATACTTGAAGTTTTTGTTTGGTTTTGAATTCTTACATTTGCTTCCTACATTTCTTTTTTTTTTCTAAAATGAATCAGGCCCATTAAACTTCACATGACTAAGGTTTTCCAGATCTAAAAATGAAATAGTAAGTTGTGTCTTGCCATGTTGAATAACTATTATAAAAGTATACATTTGTGGGCTGGGCGCAGTGGCTCACGCCTGTAATCCCAGCACTTTGGGAGGCTGAGGCAGGCGGATCACGAGGTCAAGAGATCAAGACCATCCTGGCCAACATGGTGAAGCCCTGTCTTTACTAAAAATTTAAAAAATTAGCTGGGTGTGGTGGCACATGCCTGTAGTCCCAGCTACTTGGGAGGCTGAGGCAGGAGAATCGCTTGAACCCGGGAGGTGGAGGTTGCAGTGAGCCGAGATTCCACCACTGCCCTCTAACCTGGAGACAGAGTAAGACTCCGTCTCAAAAAAAAAAAGTACACATTTGTATTATTAGCTTGGTAATTAATTATATATAAATTGGTTGATTACTTATAATTTTACCACTAATTTTATTTTTATACCAGGCAGGGATCTTTGCATACAATTTATTTCCTTAACATTTGGTATATTATCTGTCTATATAATACAAGGACTAGTGTTTGATGTAATGGATTTGCAAAAATGGCCACAAATTTTTCCATACTCCATATCTAAGTCTTTTCATGATGTAACGTTTCAGCTCCTCCCATTAATAGGTGGAGTTTCTTTTCCTACTACTGGGATCTGGACTAGTCTTGTGACTTGCCTTGGCTAATGGAATGCTACAGAAACAATACCTGCCAGTTTCAAGCCTGAACTTCAAGAGCCTTGCACATGTCCCCTAGCTCTTTCGTAAACTTGATGAGTGACAATGTACACAGCCTGCTAGAGATCAGAAACAACATGGAAGAGTGCCAAGACACTTTAGCCAACAACGAGCCATTCCTAGTCAACCCAGAAACTGATCACAGTCATGTAAATTAGCCCAGCTGAGACCAGAAGAACCACCCAGCTCAGCCTAGCCCACATTACTGACCCACAGAATCATGAATTAAATAAATGGTTATTATTTTAAAGACTATGTATTGGGGTGACTTGTTATACAGCTAACTACTAGTCTCAGTTAACTTTCTTTAAATTTTCTGACTCCTACAAAAATTTGAGTTATTTACTTTCAAGAATAGCACTCTATTTTCTACTCAAAATTAATGTATGTTAATTATAGAAAATTTGAATAGTACTGAAATGCAGGAAGAGGAATAAAAATAGTATATGGTATACTACTGTAAAATAACCTTAATAAAATTTTAGTTTATCTGTTACCAGTACATTTTCTAAATATAGAAACATTTTTATATAATTTGATATATTTGCTTTCTTTCTTTTTTTATTATTATTTCTTTTCTTTTTTTTTTTTCTGAGACTGAGTCTCCCCTTGTCGCCCAGGCTGGAGTGCAGTGGTGTGATCTCAGCTCACTGCAAGCTCCGCCTCCCGAGTTCACGCCATTCTCCTGTCTCAGCCTCCCGAGTAGATGGGACTACAGGTGCCCGCCACCACGCCCGGCTAATTTTTTGTATTTTTTAGTAGAGACAGGGTTTCACCGCGTTAGCCAGGATGGTCTCCATCTCCTGACCTCGTGATCCGCCCACCTCAGCCTCCCAAAGTGCTGGGATTATAGGCGTGAGCCATCGCACCCGACCTCTTTTCTTTTCTTTTTTTTTTTTGAGACAGAGTCTTACTCTGTCACCCAGGCTGGAGTGCAGTGGCATGATCTCCGTTCACTGCAACCTCTGCCTCCCAGGCTGAAGCGATTCTCATACCTCAGCCTCCCCAGTAGTTGGGATTCCAGGCGTGTGCCACTGCACCTGGCTAATTTTTAAAAATTTTTTAGTAGAGACAGGGTTTCAGCATGTTGACCAGGCTGGTCTCAAACTCCTGGCCTCAAGTGATCTATCTGCCACCATGGCCTCCCAAAGTGCTGGGATTGCAGGTGTGAGTCACTGCGCCCGTGCAATTTGATGTATTCACTTTTTAAATAAAATTTTTATTTTAAAACATCCCTGAACATGTTTCCTTGCAATTGATGTTCTACAATTTTAAAAATGTTTGCTTCGTATTCCATCTTACATTAACTTTAAAATATTGTCAATTTAAAAAATCAATTCCAATTAATTGATATTATGAATAATGACATAATAAACATATTTGCACATTAACATTCCCATTAATAAGTGTATAACAGTGCCCATTTCACTGAGTCCTAGCCACTACTATATATTTACATTGAAAACAAACCAACTTTCCTGCCCTGATAGGCAAAAAAAAAAAACTAACTGTGCATGCATATAATTAATTAGAGTTCAATATTTAAGATTTTTAAGGTGAAATTTACAATGAAATACCCAAATCTTACGTGTATCATTCTATAAGTTTTTAACATGTAAACCCGAACCTCTATTAAGTTATAAAACATTACTATGAACCCCAGAAAATGCCTTCCTTCCCTTCTCAGTCAACACTTACCTTGCCCTTCAGAGGCAACCACTCTTCTAGTTTTCTCCATCATGGATTTTACCTGTTCTAGAAGTTTATGAAAATGGAATTATATGTAGTCTTTTGTTAAAAACATCTTTCACTCAGCATAATGTTTTTGAAATTTATCCATACTGTTGCATCTAGGAGCAGTTTCTTTCATTTTTTTACCAAGTAGTATTCCATTCTATGAATATACCACAGTAGGTTCAGCCATTCTTTTGCTGATGAACACCTGGGCTGTTTCTAGTTTTTGGCTATTGCAAATAAAGCTGTTATGAATGTTCTGGTACAATTGTCTTTTTTGTTCACATATGCTTTCATTTTTCTTAGGTAAACACCTAGGAGTAAAATTATTAGGCTCTTGGGTAGGTATATGTTAAGTTTTGCAGTGAATTGCCAAGACTTTTTAAAATGGTTGTACAATTTTATAGTCCCACCAAGAGTACATGAGAATTATGGTTACTCCACATCTTAGCCAGCATTTAGCACTGTCAGTCTTTTTAATTTTAGCCATTGTGGAGATGCATAGCCAGTCTACTTTTTAATTAATGAATATTGGGAATGTTTAACATAGTCATTTATATATAGCTCAAAATTTGAAAGGTGCAAAGACTATACAAGTAAAAGGTGAGTCTCTATCCTAGCCATTACTTTGCCACCCGGTTTTTGTATATACTTCTAGAGATAGTCTATGCATATTAAATACATACAAGTATGAATTCCTTTTAAAGATATTTTCACACAAAACCGTATCTTGTTTTTTAACCTAACAATATTTCAGTTATTATTTCATCTCAGTATACACAGTATTTAACCAGCTCTGTTTCCCTGCACTTAGATTGTTCCTAGTCTTTTGTTATCATAAAAAATGCTGCAAAAGATTTTCCATATGTGTGTGTAAATACAAAATTTTATATGTGAAAGTATATCTTTATGTAAACTCTTAAAAATGAAGATTGGCGAGTGTGATAGTTTTATATGTCACTTGGCTAGGCTATAGTATCCAGTTATTTAATCAAATCTAGGTATGCTATTAAGATATTACGGTTAATATTTACAATCGGTTGACTTTAAGCAAAGATTACCCTTAAAAATATGGATGGGTCTCATCTAATCTGTTGAAGGCCTTAACAGCAAACACTAAGGTTTTCAGAAAAAGGATGACTTCTTCCCCAACACTGTAGCATTAACTCCTGCCTGAATTCTCAGCCTGCTGGCCTGCCCCACATATTTTAGACTTGCCAGACCCTACAATCATCTGCACCAATCCCTTAAAATAACACTCTTTATACATGTATTCCATTGAGTCTGTTTCTCTGGAGAAGGCTGACTGACTGATAGCATTGAATTAAAGAGGATGAGTGTTTTAAATTTTTATGGATATTGCCATATAGTCTTCTAGAGAACTATTTATACATTACAAATAATATTTTAATGTTTCTGTTCCTTCTACATATTCACCAACATAGTGTGATACCAAACTTTCTCTCATCTGATAAGTTTAAGACAGTATCTTATTTTAACTTTAATTTGCATTTTCATCCATTAAATAATTTAATGTTTTAGTCTTTTTATTTTGTGTGATAGGAGACAGGAACATAATTTTATTTCTCACATAATAGATAATATAACCCATTATCCCTGTGCCATGGAGTCAGTAAATGATATTTTTTCTCATTCTAAAATGCCACCATTGTCATGTACTAAAAATATACTTATGAGTATTTGGGATATCCCTTTATACACATATTACTGGGTCAAAGCATATGAAGAGTGCCATTTATTGACTAGGCTGCTCATTCCCTACTAGTTTGAAATGCTTCTTTTTTCATACATTAAATTATATGTATATATATATATATCTGATTCTATATATTTGAATATACTTGTATATATACAAATATTTGTATATACTTGTATATATACAAATATTTGTATATACTTGTATATATACAAATATTTGTATATACTTGTATATATACAAATATTGTATATACTTGTATATATACAAATATTTGTGTATATACTTTTATATATACAAATAATGTATTCTATATATTTTCCATTTTGTTCTATTGTTTTGCCCTCCTATTGTGGTTTGACTACTGCAATGTTTTATTTTCCTTCTCTTTTTTTGTGCATATAATATATGGTAAACCAAGATCTCAGTTTTCTCCCCAAAATTTTCATAGGTATTTTTGCTCATCGATGAACTTTAAGATTGTTTTATGTATTTTTAAAATTAAATTTTGGTTCAATGTCACTAATTACCTAGATTAGACTTTGGAAAATTGGCATATTTATAGTGCTAGGTTTTTCCCCAGTTTTCACATGATTTTTTTTTCTTTTTGAGACAAGGTCTCATTCTGTCACCCAGGCTTGAGTACAGTGGCATATTCACAGATCACTGCAGCCTCGACCTCCCAGGCTCAAGTGATCCTCCCACCACAGCCTCCCAAGTAGTTCAGACTACAGGCATCTGCCACTACACATGGCTAATTTTTGTTTTGTATTGTTTTGTTTTGTGTTTTATAGAAATGGGATTTCCTCATGTTGCCCAGGCTGGTCTTGAACTCCTGAGCTCAAGAGATCTGCCCACCTCAGCCTTCTTTGGGCCAGGATTACAGGTGTGAGCCATCATGCCCAGCCTTACATGATTCTTTAAGCAAGTTTATTTCTCTAAAAATAGGACAATCATATGATTTATAAATAATGACAAATTTACGCCATCCTTTCTAGTATTTATCATATTTACTTTGATTTGGAGACAAATTGCATTGGCTAACTCTGAAAAGACAATAGTAAAAAATAATGATTGTATTGATATCTTGCTTGTGATTTAATGAGAATGTGTCTAATTTTCCCATATCAAGAATAATGTCAGTTGGTAGTTATGAATAAATAAATACTTGTATGTATGGGGGTATAGGAAATAATTTATTCTTAAGAATGTAAGAAAGTTTTTATTTCATAAATATGTAAATATTCCATTTTATTTTACTAATGCTGACTTCTGTATTCAGCTCTAATGTTTTCTCATATACAAGGATTATGAGGGAAGCAAGGTGGATTTTTAAAACTTAGTGTGTTTACATTGTTCAAGCAAGGTGGATTTTTAAAACTTAAGATTATTTATATTGCTCAAGCCCATCTACTACAACAATGCTTCTTTTAGCACTTAAAAATCACCCAGAGTGCTTATTAGAACACAGGTTCCTGTCCCCTCATCTCCTGAAATTCTTGTTCATTAGGTCTGGGTTGGGGCTCAAGTGCTGCGTTTCAGACAAACTTTCAGGTGATGGTGCTGCTACTGGTCTATAGACAAACTTTAAATGGCACTGTACTAATTAACAGGTGACTCACTCAAGGTGCTCTTGAGCAAGCCGACCCAGAATGTCTCTATGACTTGTCATCTAAGCCTTCCTCATCTCATTTCACCTGCTGCTCTATTCAAAAGCCTCCTATATTTCACTAAAATCCTCCGTCTTAGTGAATCCTTCCATAAAACACATAATTAGCACTTACATCATGCACATATACTTTTTTTCATTTTAATATGTTACATGGATAAAAGCCTCCTTGATCAGCAGTAGTAGGATCTTCTTGGTAGTTCTAATCACTGGTATTTAGGCAACAAGTATCAGTACCTTACGGGTACCTCAACATGCCTTCTCTTTTTCTTTCACAATAATAAAATATTTGGCTGAGTCCATGGAAGTCAGAAATAAATAGAACATTTTTGAGCCTCCATTGCAGCTAAGATTAGTTCTGTCATCAGTGGGATTTAGGAGGAGGTAGAGTATGGCACTTTCCAGGAACCTTCCTTACCAGACAGCTCCCAAACACCCATTGTCTCCCATTCTCCCTTTCCTCCATTTGGTGGCTTGGCATGAGTTACCATACCTGGCACCATAAAGTTAAGGCCACACACAAGAAGTAAGTAGAAGGAGTCCAGGTCCCTGTCACCATGGAAAGCCTTGCCATGGAAAGCTCTGGACCACCTGTCTAGAGCTCTACAAGAAAGAAGTACTCATTTCTCTCCTGTTTAGCTGATTGTTAGTTCGGGTTTTCTGTCATTTGCAGCTGAACCTAATCTTTTTTTGTTTGTCTTGTTTTGTTTTGTTTTGTTTGTTTGTTTTTGAGATGGAGTCTCACTCTGTCGCCCAGGCTGGAGAGCAGTGGCTCAATCGATCTCAGCTCACTGCAAACTCCGCTTCCCAGGTTCAAGCGATTCTCCTGTCTCAGCCTCCCGAGTAGTTGGAACTACAGGCATGCACCACCACGCCTGGCTAATTTCTTTGTATCTTTAGTAGAGACAGGGTTTCCCCATGTTGGTCAGGCTGGTCTCCAACTCCTGACCTCAAATGATCCGCCTGCCTGGGCCTTCCGAAGTGCTGGGATTACAGGCATGAGTCACCCCGCCCAGCCAGCTGAACCTAATCTTAACTAAATCAGTGGGGCAATTAGAAGAGGTATCTAAAAAGTTAAGTCTCAGCAAAGGAACCCTTTGTTCCAACCTGACGAACTCCAACAGTCTCGTTTGTGTGGTTACAGGATTGTAAACATTTAGATCCTGTCAATGCCTTAAAACATCTAATTGACCAAGACATGCTCTCATAAATCCACTAATTTAGTACATTCTGTTTCTGTTGCCACATAGTACATAATATGCTTGTGTACATAATTACATAATTAAATGCTTATAAACCCTCTGAGCAAATACATTTATGTGCTTATCATTAACCTAAAACATTTCTCTCCTGATAGGTATTACTCATCATTTCCACATCTGTTACATGATTCTTTTTAAATTTCTTCCCTTACCGTATTCCTCCCCCACCAAAAAACTAAAAGAATCATGTAGACATTTATGGCCGTATTTCTATATATTTAAGTTCAATCTCATCATGTCCTCTCTCAATTTTTTCACAATTTGTGATTATTAAATAACATATTGACCAAGAATTCATATTCAAAGGAAATGAATACTCAGTAGAGTATAATTGTGTGTGTGTGTGTGTGTGTGTGTGTGTGTGTGTGAATAAAAAAATGATAGACTTCAGGTTACGATTTGATCAGAAGCTTTGAAAAGAGAATAATCTGTAGATATAAGTACTTAAGTGATAAGTTGAAATTGTTCTTACTTTTTATTTCCATTTTGGTGACCACGGAGATACTATAAGCAAAGAACACCATCAGAGATTAGCTATGGGTAGCAGTGATATTATTTGGTCTTAAATCTACATATTCTCTGTTTTTTGTTAGCATTATAATCAGTTCCTGTTTTTATGTTTCATGATAAAGGCAAGTGGATTTTTGTAATACTTAACTATTTATTATAAAGTTTTTGCTGTGTCTCCCCAGACTGGACCATTTATCCATGAAGCTTGAGTGACTAGAAGGCTTGTTAGACTTGTTCATTATAGGAAAATGTGCTTGCTCACTTGTCATTAAATGTATCAGTTGTGTGCTAAAGCCTACTCACACCAGCCTGCAAAAGCCAGTGAGGAATATATCTTCCCAACTCTGCTTTCAGTGACTTCATGTTATTTGCTTGAAATAAGCCAGAGTAGGAATATTATTGACACCACCAAAATAGGCAAATGCTAAAAATCACAGCTCTTTTCTTACCCTAGAGAGCTGGTTGTAAAATATTTACCAGCACATTACTAAAATATTTGTTTTAAGAAATTTAATCTGCTCACTTAAGTTGTAAATGAACTCACTAAATTTGTGTTAATTAATTTACCGTTCTATCTACTATGTATTTCTTATTAAGCATGGAACATTTTGATTCACTCTTATACATATGGAAAAATTGAACTCTGGCAGAGTTTATTCAAAAATTTGTCTTTGTACTTATACTTGCTTTTTCAGTTTCTCTCTTTTCTTATTTAATTTTTGTCCACTCGATATATAAAAACAGATGGAGGTATGTTTAAATATTCCCACTAATGGTTTTGTCAGTTTCATATTTTAAAGTTATATCATTTAGCTTATAGAAATTAATACTGTATTTCTGTTGTGTATTCTACCCTTAATATAAAATGATTCTTTGTTCCATTTAATGATCTTTTTCTCAATTTCTAGTTTGATAATAATAATGGCACTTTTCCTTTGTTTTACTCTCACACATAACTTTATTTTTACCTTTTTATTAACAAGTTATACTTGGACATGATTTTTTGACTCAATATGAAGATCTTTATTATTTAACTTCAAGTTACTTGTATTTATTAAGGAATGGATATACATGGTTTCCCTTCTTTTTTTATATATTTTATGCTTTCTTGCTGTTTTTTTAAAAATTATTTACTATGTTGTGTTAGGATCCTTGCTTTTTTCCCCTTTTGGTGATTTGACATTTTTATTTTGTTAATGGTTAAACTACACTGTCCATATTTCAATTTTTTTATTATGGACCAATCTTTGATTGCCTAGAATAATTTTAAGAAGTATATGTGATAAATTAGAAAATTTTTTGCAGCTAACGCTACAAAATATGATTCCCTCTCCAATATAGGGTTGCCAGCAATTAGGTAGCAAAACACTCACAGCCCAATTAATAAACAGGCATAGGATATGAACAGAAAGAAATACAAATGATCTTTAAACTTATGACAACATATTTACCTTTCTTTTTTTGCTTTTTGAGACAGGGGCTTGCTATGTTGCCCAGGCTGGAGTGCAATGGCTATTCACAGGTGTGATCATAGCACACTATCACCTCCAACTCCTGGCTTTAAGTGATCCTCTCACCTTATCCTCCTGAGTAGCTAGGACTACAGGCAGGGGCTAGTGCTCTGGCATCTAACCTTTTTTTTTTTTTCATCATTTTGAATTTGTCTTTTTAAGTTCTGGGAAAATTTCTTGAACATGTTTCCTAATTCCCTGAATCAAAGTTTTATCATATTTCATTTGCTTTTATTTCTTCTTATTGTTTATAATTTAGGAGCTGTGATTTGCATTTCCAAGAGCTCTTTCCTACTCTCAATTATTTTCCTTTTCATGGTTATGTGTCATAGTTTTATCAATGTATTGTCTTTATCAGTCTTGTTGAAAGCATACATTAGAAGTTTCCAAACTTCTTATTTCTTCAGGAACAACTTACTGTGATGATTCAGATTGGCTGCAGCTGTTCAAAATGTTATATATGTTTCTATATCTGATGATTTTCTCCCATCATCCTAAAGAGATTCTAGTTATACCGCTAATCACAATAGCTAGTGTTTATTGTGCATTTATTATAAGACAAGATTTGTGCTAAAGGATCCACACATGCCATTTAAGTAATCTTCACAACAGCTAGAAGTAATCTTCACAACAGCTGGATGCTAAATATTACTATCCTCATGTCCTAAGGGTACTACAAGTTCTCCACCCTTTCACAAGAATAAGATTACTTCACAGAGTATTCTGGGCACCGCCCAATCTACCCACCTGCAAGAAATGAACTACTGAACTGAAAGGAGAGTGCTTCATTTCTTGCAGGTGGGTAGATTGGGATGTGCATTTCCCCCACCTGTGCAGAAGATCTATTTTTCCCAGCTACTACCTCCAAGCCAAAAGTGTTCTGGTATCCACAGCTATAGTTCAGTTAGCTTTAGCTTTGCTTTGGTAGTTCTACTTTGGTCTTCCAGATAATGCCAGCCACAGTAAGTAACCTTTACATGTCCTTCAGAGACTTACGTTTAAAAGGCAATACTACATGTTTACCAAGCTTAAGCTGTAAATGAACTCCCTGAATTTGTGTTAATTAATTTACCATTCTATCTACTACGTATTTCCTATTAAGCATGGAACATTTTGATTGGCTCTTACACATGTTTACCAAACTTATATGAGCTCCATAAATAATTCGTATCAGTCAGGTGTTGGAACCAATTCTGCCTCGTCTATGTGGATTTCTGTTGCAAAGTCTTAGATCTAGAACACGTCATGTTATAGTCATTGTGTTTTTCACATGGCTTAGAGGTCCAAATTCCCTGGAAATATAGTGAAACAGAGGGAGCTATGGCAGGATATTTGTATACTATGTCCCTGCAGCAGCATGAAGATAGCTGGGCCACTATCCCATTTCTTTGCCTCACACAGTTGCCTTCATTAGCAGTAAGCCATAGTGGGGTCCCTACTCTTTTCCTGACGCTGCTATCCTTACCATGTGTAAACCTAAATGCAAGCTACAATGGGGGATGAACCAACTGGGCAGGTGTTTGAGCTACCAATATATAAGGGGGTAACATATCTACCACTGCATAACAGATCACCCCAAAACTTAGTGGCTAAAAATCATAGTTATTTACTATTGTTTATGTGCCTTCTGGGTAGTGGGGTTGGTATCTACGCTGGGTTAGATGGCTGGCTCTGTTAATTTTGGCTGGGTTTGCTCTTAAGCCTGTGGATCAGCTGATGGGGCAACTTTGCTCCACTTGTTTCTTATTCTCTTTGGCCCAGTGGGCTAGCAGGGTGAAGGCAGAAATGCAAAAGGAAATGCAGAAAGATTCATGGTCTCCTATGGCCTAAGCTCAGAACAGGCACACTGCACTCTGCCCAAGTATCACTCGCCACAAGTCCTATAATTAGTTCAAAATCAAGGGAAGGGAAGACAGTCCACTGACATCAAGGGTTTGAAAAGAATGTAGTTGCAGGACGTGGTAAGGAATTGAGATCAATAATACAATCTAATCCAGGAAATGCATTTACCAAGACCTCCTTTAAAAGGAGTATTGTATGTGTTTGGAAGGAATTCTTTGTTAAGAAACGTAAAGTTTGAGATAAAATCCCCAAAGGATTTGTATGTTTAAAACCAGTTGATCACGGGCAGAGCGCGGTGGCTCACGTCTGTAATCCCAGCACTTTGGGAGGCCAAGGCAGGTGGATTACGAGGTCAGGAGTTCAAGACCAGCCTGGCCAAGATGGTGAAACCCCAACTCTACTAAAAATACAAAAAAAAAAAAAAAAAAAATTAGCCAGGCGCGGTGGCAGGTGCCTGTAATACCAGCTACTTGGGAGGCTGAGGCAGGAGAATCCCTTGAACCTGGGCAGCAGAGGTTGCAGTGAGCTGAGATCTCGCCACTGCACTCCAGCCTGGGCGACAGAGTGAGACTCTGTCTCAAACAACAACAACAACAAAAACTAGTTGATCACTAAACTACTGTTCAAGGAATAACGTTAGGTTAACCAAGGCACTTTGTTTTACGGAGCAGGATATGTGAATTTGGACCAGAGCCAAATGCTTGGGAGGAGAGAAAAGGGACTTCGGGCTGCTACCATTCTCTGTCTTTTATTCACGGGGTGTTTACTCTCTTCTATAAATAGATGCTTAATAGAAATTCAGTTTAACGGGGCAGCATATTTCCGCACAGCCAAGGGCACCTGCATATTCTGTTCCAGACCTAGCTAGAGGAAAACTCCCTGTAGAACGTGCTGGACTCATCTGGGCCCACACAGACTTCCTGAAACCCCTCTTGCCTCCAGCCCTTCCTGCGTGGAGTGGGGAATGTCAGTGTTGTTCTTGAAGGACACACTCTTATTTACTTTCAAGTTAAACTTGTTTTTCACATGTGGTGTGCATTGAGTTGGGACAGCCCTACCCACAATTGTGTGGCACCTGCAGTCTATTTTGTGGAAATTTCTCAAAGTCTGTACAACAGATAGGTTTTTTGTTTTGCTATGTAATCCACGTGGTAACTGATGTTTCAGCCTAAGTTTAACCTGGAAAGAGAAACCTCCTGAATATTTAGACTAGAGCATCTTTAATGCAGAGAATTGTCTACCCACAGAAATAAAAAAGCTAAGATGTCAAAATGTGGCCATTAAAGCAACCTAAATATTAGCAACATCAGGAAGCCTCTACCATGCTCAAGCTGGAGGGACGGAAGGAGGAGGGGGTAGTATAGGGGTGACTGCTGTCACGCTGGGCCTGATTACCTGGATCCCTCCTTCCCCTCCCCCTGCAGCTGCTGGAAGAGAACTTCCCAAGGCAGAGGGAGCCTGGCTTCTCTAGTGCCTCCCACTGGCTGAACCCGGCTGTAAACAGCAGCCATGGAGCCTGGGAAATTGGGTTTATAGCCACCCCCGTTCAGTACCCAAAAAGAGTGGGAAGACGTTAAAGGAAGTATTTGCAGGCAAACAGGCCCACAGCTGGCAAGCTCCTTCTCCCCATCTGAAGAACTTTTAAAAACCTAGTGCCCTCCCCAAGATTTATATGAATGAGGAGACTGGTTTGGCTCCAAACTCCCTTCCACTGAATACGTCAGGTTTAAGGATCATCTCAGCATCATAAAGGTGCTATTCTTATTAACCCAGATAAAAACTTTTCTTAATTTTCACTAAACAAAACAAAATAAAAAAGAAAACTTACAGGACATTCATGAGCATATCTGACTCTATGAAGGTATACAGGAACAAAGAGATTTGCATTAAGAGTAATACAAACACTTTTCAAATGCTATCAGACAATCTTGTGCTTAAAAAAAAAAAGTCCCACTGTCATTTCTGCAGATTGGGCTCCTATTTTCTTCCATCTCATTCAACCTTCATCTCTATTCTCTCTCTCTCTCTCTTTTTTTCTTCATCTTCACTTTGCTGCATTCCTCACAAGGTCAAAAAATTAAAAAAAAAACAACAGCCGTAGTTACTGCCTCCCCTGACCCCTTGTCTTTGTGTGTTTGTGTGTGTGTTTTAGCTCTCTTAAATCTCTCCTCCCAACTGAGTCCCCAGACTGATCTTTGCACATCCAAGGCCTTGGGCTGAAGTTTTGAAAATGATATTGGAAGGTTCTCATAAGGGCAGAATGGTTAGGGAGATCCTCTGTCCCCACTGGCCCTGGAGAGCCATATCCTGCCTGGTTTAACATTTATCTCTGATTTTTCATTTTCAATGAAGCATTTTTACTAAAGTTGCATGATAATAAGCCAGGACAGGGTTGGTAGACGCTTATCATGCACATCCAACTTCTACGTGAGAGTTACATGTACAGCAAGCAGAGTTCTCACTTCTCTGTGTGGTTAAGTCTGAAAGATGACTAGTAGTAATCTTCCAGACCCTTCCTGCAGGCAGTGTAACAATCATCTCCTTTAAACAACAACATGCTGGGTGCTCACTGATACAAGGAAGCTTATCCTGACATAAGTGACTAGTACAAGAAGCGAATGCTCCTTTCCTCTAGTGGACATGAGAAAACTATCCAAAACTGCAGTCAGTCACCTGGTGTTCCAGCTGGTTGCGCTATCTGCCGCTTGCCAGATGCATAAAGCTACCAGGAGATTAGTTGGTGGGACTGGTAGGAAATAGGGGAAATTATGGTTTAGGTGTACATGAAATATCTGTGGGAAATTGAGGCTGAGCATTCTTACTGTAGAATGTCCTAGGTAATCTGAACAATCTTTCTCTAGTATAACCCTTTGTTTTATTGTTTCATAACCCATTTTATTTTTCAATAAAAGCTTTCAGGCTGGGCGTGGTGGCTCACGCCTGTAATCCCAGCACTTTGGGAGGCCGAGGTGGGCAGGTCACCTGAGGTCAGGAGTTCAAGACCAGCCTGGCCAACATGGTGAAACACTGTCTCTACTAAAAATACAAAAATTAGCCAGGTGTGTGACGCACACCTGAAATCCCAGCTACTCAGGAGGCTGAGGCAGGAGAATCCTTGAACCCTGGAGGGGGAGGATGCAGTGAGCCAAGATCACACCACTGCTCTCCAGCCTGGGTGGCAACAGCGAAATTCCATCTTAAAGGAAAAAAAAAAAAAGCTTTCAATAGCAATTACATTTTAAAAATGAATATGTATGTTTTGGATAATTTTACTTAACATTTCTCCTCCCTTTCTTTTCTTTTTTTTTTTTTTTTTTTGGAGACGGAGTCTCGCTCTGTCACCCAGGCTGGAGTGCACTGGCACGATCTCTGCTCACTGCAACCTCCGCCTCCTGGGTTCAAGCGATTCTCCTGCCTCAGCATCCTGAGTAGCTGGGACAACAGGCGCCCATCACCACGCCCAGCTAAGTTTTGTATTTTTGGTAGAGAAGAGGTTTCACCATATTGGCTGGTCTCAAACTCCTGACCTTGTGATCTGCCTGCCTTGGCCTCCCAAATTGCTGGGATTACAGACGTGAGCTACCACGCCTGGCCTCCTCCCTTTCTTTACGTTCTCCCTTTCTTAACAAATTATCTCCAAAAATAATTCTTAAAAAAAAAGTCTAATCTAGTTGTGTTTTGGCTTTATTATTTACCTAGAGGCAGTGAGGAGTGTTAATTAACCAAACGAGCCTCCTCCCTTGAGTTTGCTCAGCAAATCTAGAGCCATAGAGAATTAAGCAACTACAACTGTGTGAAGCCAGCGAATTTCTGCCAGACATTTTTACAAGTCATTATAGATTTTTAAAGGCCTCTATTATTTGCTTTTGTATTCTAAGGCTAGAAAACCAAGTTCGTGCGACTCTCCAATGCACTACCTATAGTTTGGGTGAATTCCTCTCTGCTCAAGAACCCCCAAATTTGACAGCTTCTGGCCTGCTAAGGAGTAAGCTTGCGTACTACCTGTGAGGCTGGGATCTTGAAAGCCATAGAATAAGACCAAGCCAGTTTTCCTGGAAGGGCTTTTACAGCATTGATTCCACATAAAAGTACAACTCTGGTTCCTTAATGGTGAGCTTGTTACGCTTGAGTGCAGAGAATTAGTCACAAGTATGGTACATCAGGTTTAGCCTTAGTTGCACAAATAATGTTCCATTTTTTCTCTAGCAAAGGCAAGAGACATTCTCACTGAACATATGCAAATAACCATATTGCCATGAAAAATAAGAATGCTCAGTAAGAGTATTTGCTTCTTTTGAATATGCTTTCTTATTTAGCCAAACAGAAAGTTACAGATAAAATAAGAAGAAAGAAAAGGGACTTCCATGTATACATATGAGCAGAATATAGAACATACATATAATGCCAATAACATTTCCAATAAACCCAGTACAAGTAAACATCTCTATCGGTTCATGCTATTCTATGTAATTAATTCTTATACCCCTGGATTTTGAATCATTAGTCTGCCACCTGCTTCTGGGCTAAAAAGAATCCTGGAAATGTCAACTCAGTCCTAGGGTATAGTCTGAAAGTTGTCTGTCTTGTCAGCTCAAAAGCCAGCAGCCAGAGGCTTATTTTTGAAGGGTGTGGCCCTTCACATGAGGCTCGACACTGCTTTATTGAAGACCCAATTTTCATCTCATAGCTTGTGGCAGAACCTTCAGGACAGCATTAGGGGACAAGAGAACTACTTGTAATGGCACAACTAATTGGTTGTTGTTAATTTATTACAATAACCAGTACAATTAGAATGGAGGAGAATGTCCTTTATTGCAGTTACTATTACTGTTACATAAGGAAGTGATCATTATGTCTCCTGAAGATAAAAATATATCATGGACAGTGAAGGCATTGATACTTTTCCAGGGCTTTCTTTTTCTTTCTGGAAAGTGCACAATCTCTGAAACATTTATATTAAACACATTTTACCAATATTAAGTATCTTGTGATTTGACAACTCTGTTCATGAAATTCTTAGGGCAATTTTGAGTTAATTAAGCAACATGGCCTAGCATGGTGGTGCACACCTGTAGTCCCAGCTACTTAGGAGGCTGGAAGGATCACTTGAACCTAGGAGTATGAATCCAGCTTTGGCACATAGCAAGACCCCATCTCTTGGGGGAGGGGGGAAAATAAAAGCAACAGAAGATAAATATGGAGTATAAAATGAGCCTAAATGTTGACAATATTCTTCTTTTCATAAGATGAAAGAACAAATCTTTGTGATTTTCCACAGTCCCTTCTTTGGGAGATCTCAAAGATAGTTTTGGGTGAAAAAGACATCCTAAAAAAAATGTGGAGTTTCTTGTATGTTTTTGTTTTCTGAGTTTATTTTTTTATTTTTCAAAATTTTTTTTTTTTTTGAGACAGAGTCTCTCTCTGTTGCCCAGGCTGGAGTGCAGTGGCACGATCTCAGCTCACTGCAACCTCTGCCTCCTGGGTTCAAGTGATTCTTGTGTCTCAGCCTCCCAAGTGGCTGGGACTAGGGGTGTGTGTCATGATACCCAGCTAATTTTTTTGTATTTTTGGTAGAAATGGGGTTTCACCATGTTGGGCAGGCTGGTCTTGAACTCCTGACCTCTAGCGATCTGCTGGCCTCAGCCTCCCAAAGTGCTGAGATTACAGGCGTGAGCCACTACACCCAGCCTGTTTTCTGAGTTTAGAGTCTGATCTTGGGAAGGCAAAAATCAAAAGAGTTATCATAAACTTGGTCACTTGACTTACCTAAGATTACGGGAGTCTGAGAACAATAGCTTGAAACTGCAGCCCACCCCAGGAGTCCGCTCTGTTGCCCAGGCTGGAGTGCAGCGGTGGGATTTTGGCTCACTGCAACCTCTGCCTCCCGGGTTCAAGCGATTCTCCTGCCTCAGCCTCCCAAGTAGCTGGGATTACAGGCACACACCACCATGCCTGGCTAATTATTTTTTTGTACTTTTAGTAGAGACGGGGTTTTACCATGTTGGTGAGGCTGGTCTCAAACTCCTGACCTCAGGTAATCCACCTGCCTTGACCTCCCAAAGTGCTAGGATTACAGGAGTGAGCCACCACATCTGGCTAAAAGCACAGTTTTTAACTACCAAAGTACAAAATAGAGCTTTTAAAAAATTCATCGGCACCCTTGACACGAACATGCGTATAAGGACCTTGAAGGAAAATTGACAAGAACTGAGGGAAAGTGGATGGATAGTGGAAGGCATTGAAGAGGAATGTCCCTGGGATTGAGTGAGTGTCATGAGTATCTGTTACATTTATCTAGCACCCCGCCCCCCATCCCCTGAACAATTGCAAGCTTCCAGTCATGTGAGTTTTCTAATTTTTCTACATTTAATCATTTCTGAAACAAGGTGCTGTCCTTATACGATGCTACCTTCCTGGTCAAGTTTGGTCTGGAGTAGGCACCTAGTCAAAGCTGCCTCAATTATAATTTCATGTCCCTTTGGGCACAGGTAACTGGACCAGGTCCCAAAGTCCTCAAGAATTTCCAGTTAAAACTCAGAGAGCTTTAAGTTTGTATTTCCATGGTGGAAGATACAAGATACAATATTAGGGAAACTGCGATGCACTCTTCCTCTAATGGAGAGAAAGTCAGTGCTCTACGTCAGAGAATAAAACCAATACTCAGAGAAGCAAAAATGGATGACAAAATGTCTTGGTTGGGGGACTTCCTTGTACATTTGTTCCTGAGGCCCAGCTACATCAGTGAATATCATGTGTTTGTGCCGGTTTAAACCTCCTTTAGGTTTCATGAACCAATAATTTCCCCTTTGAGCTTAAACTAGGTTTTTGTCACTTGCAGAGAACTACAAAAGGCACACTGCCTATTTTACAGATTACGTAGGATCACCTTGTTTAAAAATTTGAGTTTCAGACCACACACGGCGGCTCACGTCTATATTCCCAGCACTTTGGGAGGCCAAGGTGGGTCGATCACCTGAGGTCAGGAGTTTGAGACTAGCCTGGCCAACATAGTGAAACCCCGTCTCTACTAAAAATACAAAAATTAGCTGGGTGTGGTGGCCCACGCCTGTAGTCCCAGCTACTCAGGAGGCTGAGGTAGGAGAATCACTTGAACCTGGGAGGCAGAGGTTGCAGGGAGCCAAGATCATGCCACTGCACTCCAGCCAAGGTGACAAAGCAAGACTCTGTCTCAAAAAAAAAAAAAAAAAAAATTGAGTTTCAATTATTATTACACAATTTAGGCATCTCAGCTTCTCTTTATGACCTGCATGTTTCTAAAAGTCATACCTTTAAATTAGAATGCTATTTCTGTTAAATGACTATCATGTTTGTGAAAAAGCTTATTTAAAAATTCATTGGAAATTTACAAATGAAATAGTGAAGTGGCTTATGGCATTCTTGTTCCCTCACGTGAAAGAGTCAGAGAATGTGCGTCATCACACAACTACCATAAAAACGGGCTATGCTGGGTTATAAAACAATGTTGTCAACACTTTAAGCCAGGTTTGCATGTCAGAGTGTCTGTCAGTTGAAAATCCTATAAACATTTTTCATAGAGAATTAGTTCTAAGGACATCTCTGTTAAAATATTTCTCTTCTTATTTGTTCACTTTATTTTCTTTATCGTCGCGATTCCTTATTTAAGGACAGGTGACAGGACTTCATGAAGACCTGTTAATAGAATATTATCTTGGTATATGGGGAAGAATATATGATATTTGGAATAGAGGGTGTCTGTGAAGAGTAACGTTAGAATTTGGTTTAAAGAGTTTAAGGAGATGCACCCTTTTGAATTTCTAAATTCGAATTCCTCAGTCTCTTGGGTACTCTGTGAAGCTAATTTATTATGAACGATGGACAGAGCTCCCATTTCCGGGTGCCCTCTTCACGGCAGTGACCAGGGAAGAACATAAATGGTCGGACAGTGCTGCTAAGATGAGGTCGCAGCACAAAAAGTCCCATTCCTCAGGCTGGCTCAACTCCAGCAATAGAGATGAGTCCCAGGGGTTCCTGCATGGTCCCCAGCCAGTAAGCTTTTGCCAGGACTTTCCTAAAGATGCTGTGAGATTTTTTGACACTGAGTAAATAATAAAGAGTAAAGAAATAACTTATTAAATAAAGATGATTGCATTCCTATTACAGGCCTCATGTTAAATCGGAATTGGAGAAAACCCTGTTGGCAGATAGAAAACTTTAAAATCTATTTCATTCCTGTTTTCCCTTTTCCTTTTCTTTTCTTTTTTTTTTTTTTTTTTTTTTTTTTGAGACAGAGTCTCGCTCTGTCACCCAGGCTGGAGTGCAGTGGCGCGATCTCTGTTCACTGCAAGCTCCTCCTCCTGGGTTCATGCCATTCTCCTGCCTCAGCCTCCCAAGTAGCTGGGACTACAGGCACCTGCCACCAAACCCGGCTAATTTTTTTGTATTTTTAGTACAGACAGTGTTTCACCATGTCAGCCAGGATGGTCTCGATCTCTTGACCTCGTGATCCGCCCACCTCGGCCTCCCAAAGTGCTGGGATTACAGGCGTGAGCCACCGTGCCCGGCCCTCTTTTTCTTTGTCCTAACTACAGATTTGCAGAATCCCTGAGAGACTGTAACTACCTATGGCTCTTCTCCCCCTATTAATATTTTTTTAATCTAAAACCAGGGAACCATGAGATATTTGAAGTGGTTGGAGTGACCTCATTGACAGAAGTGTGCATCCCTGAGTTCCATAAAAATGCTTAGAGCCCCCCAAAAATCAGTCATCACCAGCCTTCCCCTCCCTCTATTATTCGTTATGAGATTTAGGGTGATAAGCTGACTGGTTTCAGAAGGAGCCTGAAGAAAATATGGTGCTATTTGGTAGGTACTCATCTATAACGTTGTTACAGAAGCTTTCACTTTTGAGTCAGGCTTGGTGTGCTCTTTGGGTCGATAACATTTCAACAACCTTGTATGAGTGCAAGAAATGCCCAGCATCTCTTTCCAGGGTCTCTGAAAGATCATGACCTCAGAGCAAGGGACCATGATGTTGGTAATATCTTTAGTGGCTTAACCAAAATTTGTATATTTAATCTTTAATAATTGGGACGCTATGTGTTCATATACATTCTATGAAATGTCTTATTATTAAGAAACATCTGTCATATTAATTCCAAATAGAAGCAATCTAAATGTAAAATGTGATAAATACTAGCTTTTATATCTAAACTTCCATAAGTAAAACTTACTGTTCTTTTGGAGGTGAGAATTATAGTATTGGCATATTGGTAGCTTTTAAATCAGGATTTTAGTGTATGTCACTGTTTTTTATTATTATTTTTATTATACTTTAAGTTCTGGGATACATGCACAGAACGTACAGGTTTGCTACATAGGTATACATGTGCCATGGTGGTTTGCTGCACCCATCAACCCATCATTTACATTAGGTATTTCTCCTAATGCTATCCCTCCCCTTGCCCCCCTCTTCCCAACAGGCCCCGGTGTGTGATGTTCCCCTTCCTGTGTCCATGTGTTCTCATTGTTCAACTCCCACTTATGAGTGAGAACCTGCAGTGTTTGGTTTTCTGTTCTTGTGTTAGTTTGCTGAGAATGATGGTTTCCAGCTTCATCCGTGTCCCTGCAAAGGACATGATCTCATTCTTTTTTATGGCTGCATAGTATTCCATGGTGTGTATGTGCCACATTTTCTTCATCCAGTCTATCATTGATGGGCATTTGGGTTGGTTCCAAGTTTTTGCTGTTATGAATAACTGTAATAAACAGATGTGTGCATGTGTCTTTATAGCAGAATGACTTATAATCCTTTGGGTATATGCCTAGTAATGGGATTGCTGGGTCAAATGGTATTTCTGGTTCTAGATCCTTAAGGAATTGCCACACTGTCTTCCACAATGGTTGAACTAATTTACACTCCCACCGACATGTCACTGTTATTTTTATCAACTCAGTGCTACGATTATGCACCGTATCCCTTCTACATTTAAGGCAGTTTGTTTCATGGTGAGATTGCTGTTTTGATCCTTGGTATCATCCTTAACCCAAACAGAAGTGACTTCTGAGTGTTCTGTTGTTTTCAATTTTCTGATTAACAGAAAAATACCATATGAGTATTATCTTTGGCTTTTACTTCTATGCATTCACGTGTTTAGTTAACTTGTTATGCTTTAATGGCAGGACATCAGAGAGTTTCACATGTGCATTGACATAAGTATTGCATTTCATATTAAGAAGCCAAGTTCAATAAATACAAATTAAGTTTCAGTGGATTCAACTTCATTTTCGGATTGAAAAATAAACGAATAGTCTGTGAGAAAAGAGGTAACTACAGTTCAAAAGATTAGAAAAAATATGTTCTATGTTAAAACATTTCTGGAGATGATTTTAATTATCTCTGTGAGTTCCTTTTGACCTCCAGAATCTTGTCTTCAGGGACATAAACATTTCCTGCCAATGCGCAGTACTATGGATGTGGAAGGTATAGCTGTCTTTTTAGGTCTTTGTTGTTTCTCAGTTACTTATAAATAATTTTCTGGTATCTTTCACCTAAAATGAAGGTTCTAAAAATCTGTCACATTGATAAGGCCTGAAATGTCCTGATTTTTTTCAATAAAATTATACCAGCTTGTCTACTTGTTGCTTGTTTCTTTTTCATGAAATTAGAAGAAATAAGATATAGACAACTTACAATCTGCTATTTAGCCTTTTGGATGTGTGTAGATGTTTCATTTAATTGTGTGTTATATTAAGACACTTTACTAAATTTTCTCTTTGCATTTCCTTTTCAATTCACTCTGCTTATAAATCCAAGTTATTTATTATATAAGGCCTCAAATATCCTAAAAGCAAACAAAAATATTAAAAAAATGTGGTATCACTTTATTATCATTTCTTATAGGATTATTTGCCTTTTATCATTATTAAGAAATATGAGTTCTTATTTTTTTAAGTAATTACATCATTCATTCTAAAATGGCATCCCTTTTGTTTGCATAACAAACTATCTCAAAATTTCATGGCTTAAGACAAAAACTGTTTCATTACATCTTGTGATTTTGGGGGTCACAAACTTGGGCAGTTTGGCTGGGTGATTCTTCTGTTCCACATGGTGTCAATGAAGGTCATTCAGTGGTGTTGAGTTGATGGTCCGAGGGTCCTAGACTGCTTCACTTATATAACTGGTGTCTTGGCTCAGCTGGAACTGTTGACCGGAGTACCTATGTGTGGCCTTACCAACGCCTCAGCATAGTTGGTCTTTACTCATGGCTGCTCTGAGAGCAAGTGTTCCATTGATCAAGACAGAAGCTCTGAGATTTCATGAGATGGCAATGGAAGTAACACAGCCTCACATCTGACCTCTATTGGTTGAAGCAGTTACAAGCTCATTCAGATTCAAGTGGAGGGGACACAGATGCCATTACTCCATAGAAGGGCTGTCCGATAATTTGCATTCATGTTTTGAAATGGCCAAACCATTCCCTCTAATGTCTAAAATATTTTTTCTCTTCCACATAGACTCCTAGAAATGGTGCAGTTCTATGAAATCGTTTGGCTTTAAATTCACTTATGGTGGAGTTTTTAATTTCATGACATATATATTTTCCCCTAGTATTTCTTGCCTGAAAGAAGAGTGCCAGTATCTGTGTTTATAACATATAAAGCTGGAAATAATAAGAACTCTCTTCAGAGGGAAGTAATTCATCCAATAGTGGACTTTATGTTCTATTTCCATGATAAAATACAGATTTCCTTTAAAAGCCAAAAAATATAAAAATATAATTCCAGCTTATTAAAAGTAATAGCCTAAGAAAAGCATAGAAGTAGAATATCCTCACAGTCCTGGTTTTTAATTTTATTGCAAATATAAATATTGTCTACTTGAAAACATTTCGTCTCAGCATCTCTCTACAAATAACCAAGCAAGCATTGATTGACAGATTAGGCTTACTAATATTGCCTTCCCTTTTCCTAAGTGAGCTGTTCTACTTACATTTTTGACAGTTGAAAATGACTGCTTGCCAACATTGTCAATGATATGTTGAGTAAGAAATTGTGTTCTTCTATATCATTTTCTAACCTCCCATTTTTCTTTTCTTTTTCTCTTCACATTCGTTGTTCTTATTGAGATGAAATGATCACAAATGGTTAGAAATTGTCTGTTTTCCCTTGATCAGGTCCATTTATCCTGTGCTTAGTTTTTCTAAATGTATTTTTTTAAGAACATAAAAGATGGTATGACTCTGCTTGCCAGTCCCCACAATGACACTGTCCTTTCCTATCTAATCAGCTCTGCCACTGACAATCCCACCCATTCCACAGAGCCTGAGCCCCATCACCCTTACTCTATTTGGAAGAAGAGCCATAGAACATCATCACAACATTCTGGCAACAGAGAACCAGGTGGCCCTCTGGGACATGATGCAGGATTCCAAATGCTGAATTATAGCAGAGTATTGTGGTAGAGTGAACCCTGAACTGGAATCCAGGATGCTTGGCTTATCATCCTGAGAAAATACCTGAAGATAATATTACTCCTTTGTCTCAATCCCTGTGGTTCATGGGGGACTGGAGTCATCCATCTCTTAGATCCAGAGTTAGGCCCTGGCTTGGCTAAGCAGCATATCTCATGCCCCTGGCACAGTTCAAGGGTAAGCATATTCCCAGTAAATATAATAAAAATTAGACTTTGGACTTTTGCTACAACTACATAAAAAGAAGTAATTTCTCTCTACTGAGATTGTTAAACAAAATATAAATCTTGAGCTTCTGGTGGCCATATTTGCCATCACTAAAGAAAACCTGCTATGAATGAAGTCAATCAGAAGAAGGCAGAGGTAACAAAAAGATACATTATTCATTTAATTGAGCACTGCCTGAATTCAGAACTACTCCCTTGACTTTTCAGTTGTAGTCTATACTTGTACACTTTGATTCCATTTGTAAGTAATTCTTAAACAGGCAAAACTCACTCATAGTGATAGGAATTAGATCAGTGTTTGCCAGAAGTAGTGAGAGGTTATTTACAGGAAAGATGTACAGCACGATTTTATAAAAAAACAGTTGACTGCATACATATAAGTCTGATTCTGGACTCTCTATTCCATCCAAAGGATCTATATATCTATCCTTACATCAATACTATACTATCTTGATTACTGTAGCTCTAAAATGTCTTGAAATCACATAGCATAAGTCCTATATCAGTTCTTTTGAAAATTATTTTGGCAATTCTAGGTGCTTTGGATTTCTGTAAAAATTTTAGAATCACCTTGTCAATTTGGAGAGAATTGACTTTTTTTTTTTTTTTTTTTTTTTTTTTGAGATGAAGTCTTGCTCTGTTACCCAGGCTGGAGTGCAGTGGCATAATCTCGGCTCACTGCAACCTCTGCCTCCCGGGTTCAAGCAATTCTTGTGCCTCAGCCTCCCAAGTAGCTGGGATTACAGGCATGCACCACCATACCTGGCTAATTTTTGTAATTTTAATGGAGACAGGGTTTCATCATGTTGGCCATGCTGGTCTTGAACTCCTGGCCTCAAGTGATACACCTGCCTTGGCTTCCCAAAGTGCTGAGATTATAGGCAGGAGCCACTGTGCCCAGCCTGAAGACAATTGACATCCTAGCAATATTGAGTCTTCCAATCCATAACCCATAGTATTACCTCCCCATTTATTTAGTCTTTAGTTTCTTTTGGCAATATTTTGTAGTTTTCAGTACACTGATCTTGCACATATTTTTAGTAAATGCACTCCAATTATTTTAGGGTTTTGATGCTACTGTAAATGATACCTTGTAAAATTTCAAATTTCAGGTATTTGTTGCTAGTATATAGAAATACAGTTGATTTTCTTATATTGATATTGTCCTGCAACAATGCTGATTTCATTTATTAATGCTGTCTGTGATAAAGATACTCTTCTTTCTTTTAATATGTATGTTTTTAAATTTTTCTTGGCTTCAGTACAACATTGAATAGAAATAGTGAGGACAGATATATTTGCCTTGTTCTTGATCCTAGGAGGAAAGTGTTCAGTATTTCGCCATTAATTATGTTGTTAGCTGTAGAGTTTTCAGATAACTTTTATTAAATTGAGGAAAATTCCTTTTATTCCTGGTTTGCAAAGAATTTTTGGGTTTTGTTGTTGTTGTTTTATCATGTTTTGTTTTATTTTATCATAAATGGGTATTGAATTTTATCAAGTACCTTTCCTGGATATGTTGAAATAAACATATAGTTTTTCTCCTTTATGTGTCAATATGGTGACTTATATTGGTTTTTTAACATGTCTAAATACTAAATTATATATTTTATTACATATTTAATAATCCTCCATTATATATTTTCTTAAAGCAAGGACATTATAACTATAGTACAGTTACCAAAATTAGGAAACTAATATTGATAATAACATGTAACTTACATGCCTTAGTAAATTTCTGTGTTGTCCTTTTCAGTGTCTGCGTTTCAATCCAAGATTACATTTTGTATTGATTTATGTCTTCTTAGTCTCCTTTAACCTCTAATAGTTCTATAGTCTTTGTTTTTTTGTCTTTGACACTTTCAAAGTGTATTGAGCATTATTAGTCATTTTTTAAAATGTCTCTCAATTTGGATTTGTCTGATGTTTCCTCATGATTTGATCAGTAAGCATTTTTGGCAGAATGTCAAAGAAGGAATGTTATGTCCGTCTCAGTCATTGTTTCAGGAGGCACAAGATATCAATTTGTCCTATTAATGGTGATACCCCTGATCACTGCTAGGTTTCTCCACTCTAAATTTCTGGCTTCCCCTATGTGATTAATTTGTGTCTTATAGGAAAGGTACTCTGAGACTCTGTAAATATCCTGTTTCTCACCATGCTTTTGCCCACAAATTTTATCATCCATTGATAATTATTGCCTGAAAAAATTATTACTGTGATGGCTGTCAATTGATTATTTTCTAATTCCACTATTCCTTCTACATTTATTACAGTATTTGGTATTCTACCATAAGAGAGAGCTTTCCCTTCTTTCTTGTTTTATTTTAATTCATACACACATATATCGAATACAATATCTTATTTGGGTAGTTTCCATTGCCCTGTCTTCAAGTTCACTTATTCTTTTCTTTTTTTGCAGCATCCAATATATAATAGTAAATCCATCTGGTGAGTTTTTCATTTTGGATATTTTAACTTTCAACTTTAGAAATTTGACTAGGCGAATTTTTATAGTGTCCATGTCTTTCCTCATCCTATACATGCATTTCTTAAATTTTGAATTATGTTAATTCTACTGATTTGAAGTCACTTTCTATTCATTTCATTGTCTCTGTTACTTCTGGGTCTGATTCTATTCACTGATTTTCTCCTGGTTATGGGTCACATTTTCCTGCTTCCTTACAGTTCCCAGTAAGTTTTTATCTTATGCCTTCTATTATGAATGTCATCTTATTGAGTGTAAGAATTTTCTCTTTGTTTGAAGGTTAGGTTTTCATCCTTATGAATAGTTAATTTATTGCAGAGTCTCTTGATCTTTTTTTTTTTTTTTTAAGAGACAGGGTCTCACTATGTTGCCCACACTAGACTTGAACTCCTGAGCTCAAGTAGTCAACCTGCCACAGCCTCCTGATCTCTTGATCCTTTTTTTTTGTTCTTGTTTTTGTTTTGAGATGGAGTCGCACTCTGTCACCCAGGCTGGAGTGCAATGGCGTGATCTCGGCTCACTGCCACCTCCGCCTCCCAGGTTAAAGCAGTTGTCCCTGCCTCAGCCTCCCGAGTAGCTGTAATTACAGGCGCCCGCCAACACACCCAGCTAATTTTTTTCTATTATTTAGTAGAGACAGGGTTCCACCATGTTGGCCAGGCTGGTCTTGAACTCCTGACCTCAGGTGATCCGCCCACCTTGGCCTCCCAAAGTGCTGGGATTACAGGCGTGAGCCACCGTGCCCTGCCCTTCTTGATCCTTTTGAGGTCTGTTTTAAAGCTTTAGTAGGGCAAGTGTATAGTAACCTATACTATAGAGGTTATTTCCCCTGGTCTTAAAGCAAGGCCTTCCTGGAGTCTCTGCTAAATGTCCAGTTGTTCAAGGAGGTCTCTCCAGTCTGGCTCAAGCACAGATCTTGAATGTCTTTCAGTCCTGTGGAAACTTTAGTGGTTTTTCAATTTAAAGTTCCCCGGTAGTTCTCTTTGCCTGGCCTCAGTGAGTCTCACTCTGTGCATGCACACATTAATGTTCAGCCAAGATTCAAAGGGACTGCTCTGAAGCTTTCTGGAGATTTTATTCTGTGTAGTTGCATGCCACAAATTCCTGCCACTTCAGCCTCCCTAAAATCTGTCTTTTTAGCTCAGTGAGACCCTGTGCTTTGCTTCAGTTTGCACTCTCTGTAAGAGGGCCTGGAGGGTGCCTCTACGTGACAAATCTAGGTAATGTAGGATTTACCTTGCTTGTTTTCCTTCTTTCAGGGATACTGGTCCTGTGCTGCCTGCAGTCCGGTATCTGAAGACAGTTGTTTCAGATCCTTCCCCCAGTTTTCTAGTGTTTTACCACAGGAGAACTAGTCTAGTACCAACACTCTGTCATGGCAAACAGCATAAATTCTAAGGTTGTTAATTTTTAAAACAGAAATAATTTTTCCAAGAGATATCTTATAACTTAAAAGAGTATTTTAAAATGATTTTTAGATTACCGAAGGGATATTGAGGTAAACAAAAAATATATGTGAGAAATCTCCAAGGTATTTAAATGTGGCTACCTTCATGCAGGTCAATGAAAAACAAAACTTTAAGACCCGAGTAGTAATTATGAGCTCATATCAACATTTTTCATTTAGTGTCTTTACTTTTGTTTTTTTGTTTTTTTTTTTTTAGATGGAGTCTCTCTCTGTCACCCACGCGATCTCGGTTCACTGCCACCTTCACCTCTTGGGTTCAAGCAATTCTCCTGCCTCAGCCTCCTGAGTAGCTGAGATTACAGGCACCCACCACCATCCCCGGCTATTTTTTTTGTATTTTTAGTAGAGAGGGGGTTTCACCATGTTGGCCAGGCTGGTCTCAAAGTCCTGACCTCAGGTGATCCACTCACCTTGGCCTCCCAAAGTGCTGGGATTACAGGTGTGAGCCGCCACACCCAGCCTCTCTCTCCCATTTTTAGGTCTACCTTCATCCTCCAAAGATAAGTCATTCATTTGCAAAATATTTTTCTTCTAAAAAGAAATTATTCCTTGAAGGGGTTTATATTTGATTTAAGATAGTTATTTGGAAAATGTTTAAATACACAAAATATGTCTTTCAAAATTCTTTAAGTGGAAATTGTATTAGCTAGATAATTACATGAGTTCAAATAAATGTAAAATCTTTTCAGCTTCACTCTATCAATCTAATAATACTAGCAATAGTAATCACAATAATACCTAATATAGACTCTACCTGTGCCAGGGAGCCAAAATGCCTTACATATGTTAACTTGTTTAGTAAATGATATGGTTTGGCTCTGTGTCCCCACCCAAATCTCATCTCGAATTGTAATTCCCACTTGTAGAGGGAGGCACCTGGTGGGAAGCGATTGTACCATGGGGGCAATTTCTCCCATGCTGTTCTGATAGTAAGGGAGCTCTCAGGAGATCTGATGGTTTAAAAGTAGCAGATTCCCCTGTGCACTTCCGCTCTCCTGCCACTGTGTAAGACGTGCCTTGCTTCCCCTTTGCCTTGCACCATGAGTGTAAGTTTCCTGAGGCCTCCCCAGACATGTGGAACTGTGAGTCAATTAAACCTCCTTTCTTTATAAATTACCTAGTTTTAGGTTGTGTCTTGATTGCAGTGTGACAACAGACTAACACAATACGCCCATGAGGTAGATATTATAATTTATTCACTCCACAGATGAAGAAAGAGAGCTGCAGAAAGATTAGGTAATTTTCCCAAGGTCACACAGCTAGAATGACTCTAATGTATTCAGAATAAATTTTGAAGAAGGTGCCTCTGTCCTAGCCAAAAATAAGACTTTATTAGATGATGTAATCATTTAAATTTACAATCCTTTTTGATTGCTGGCTCAAGTCCCAAACTCATAATCATGCGTAAGGAAAATCTTGCCAGATTAAGTCAACTGAATCATTGCCTGCATTCATTGTATAAGACTCGTATCATAAATATCTTGTAACCAAGACCAGAATTTAGGAGGAAAGTGGCCATTCACATCCCTGGTGTTACTTGGATTGAAAAACTCTATGTCTCTTTTGCTAGCATCACAATAGTTTCACTTAAGACATCGTTCTTGTCTATTTAAATAAAACTAACATTCTGGGTTGTTTTGCTAAAAGAGATTTTATATTTTTTTTTTTACGGGGTTGAAGGTTGAGAGACTTGGAAAGTGACTATGTTTTGAACTCTTGGTGGGAGACAGAACTTTCTTTCAGCACATAAAATCAATCATAGAATTTGATGTATGTGGCCAGGCACGGTGGCTCACGCCTGTAATCCTAGCACTTTGGGAGGCCGAGGCAGGTGGATCACAAGGTCAGGAGTTCGACACCAGCCTGGCCAATATGGTCAAACCCTGTCTCTACTAAAAACACAAAAATTAGCCAGGGGTGGTGGGCACGCGCCTGTAGTCCCAGCTACTTGGGAGGCTGAGGCAGAATAATTGCTTGAACCTGGGAGGCAGAGATTGCAGTGAGCCGAGATCCTGCCACTGCACTCCAGCCTGGGTGACAGAGCAAGACTCTGTCTCAAAAAAAAAAAAAAAAAAAAGAATTTAATGTGTGTTAAAAGCCCTCAGAGGACAATTGCTCATTTTATGTGGTTGAGAATCTACTGATGAAGATAGAAAGTAGCAGCTAACAGAGGAGAAGAAAGTGTTCATTGAAACGCAGGCATGCTAGTTGCAGAAAAGGGTGACCCAGTGTACTCACACCTTCCCCACTTGGCGCAGCCTGAGTGGGTGAAATCCCTTAGGAGCCGAGCTGTGGTACATTAGCAAGATCTATGAATGAGTTCTTCCAGCAACAGCAGAGACACTACAGACCTGATTTGTCAGGAATACCTAAGGGCATCTCTGTAGCGGCCTGAAACCCAGGGGTATGTGTGGGGTAGTCAGCACTAATTCCTCAGGAATTCTCTTTCCTCTGAGTCCCTGGCTGGCATGGCTGAGAACATATATTGATTACATCAGAACTGAAATGCACTATTGCCTGAGCAACGTGGCCTGAAATGATGGTACAATTATATCTCCTCCGGGTGGGATGATACCCACTAAGCTTGTCTCTTTTAGAGCCTCTAAGCATTGAAAACAAATTGGTACCCTTTTTCCAACACATATGTCTAAAAATAAAAATGATATTCAGCCAGAACATACAAATTTTACATTTAGGGGAAAATAAACGGTTTCTTTCTGGATTTCAAGATGGCAATGTTCTGATAAATTCATTGAAGTGGAACCTAGCTTCCTCTCTCTCTCTCTCTCTTTGATGCCCCATGCATGCATTTAGTCTGCCCATCCAGTGATCCAGCAAAGCCCAACAGCCAGCTCAAGTATGCAAATTTTCTTCATATCTCACCTTTATTTTAGTTTTGAATTTACTTATCAGATATTCTCAATAGTACACAAAATTGAATTGTTGTGTGAATATGTAGATATAGCTGAGATAATAATGCTTACTTTTGTAAATTCTGGGGAAAAACTTAAGATTTAAAAGAATTTCTGTAGCTGTTTTGGCTTTTATCTTCATCAATGTCCTGTAACTAAAACCAGGATTTAGATGTCAGAGCAATAATAGGGTGGGGTGGAGTGAGGCTCAGCACACCTGACCTGAAAACATATATTGATAAGCTTTTCTTCTGGGAAACCAGAGAATTGAACAGTTCAAATTTTTGATATAGCACTGGGGAGGAAAATATCTAGTAGTGACCCATAACAGATAGGCTACAGAGAATTGGAAAACATTATAGTAGAAGAGTAAGGAAGCAGTGAAACATTATTCATATTATACAAATCTGATGCATTTGTAAATTGTGACATGATTTATCTGTATGTAGAAATGAACATAATTTTATAATTATAAAATAAAGGAGTCAAATTTCTAAGAAGAGCAAGTAAAATGAAATGAGTCAAATATTTCAGAACACTATCATTTAAAAAGCCATTTTATGACAATAATGGAAATATTTTAAATTAATAGTACTATTTTCAAAAATCTAAGTCAAGAAAAAAATTCTCATTGCAATTTTGAAGGTGGGTTAACTCATTTGAAAGTGGAACTATTTTTTGCCATGAATGTTAACACATATACAAAGTCTGTTACGCATAGAACCACATAGAGAAATCAGTTATTTGCAATGCAAATCAAACCTACCTAAATGAACTGAAAAACCTCATTTAGAACTTGGTAAACAAAAAAGTCAATATTTACAAATGTGCTATTTATGTTAAGATCTTATAGATGTGAAAATTGCTAATAAAAATTATGACTTACTGGAATTTAAATATATCTTTCAAATTTTACTGCTTACTCAAAAAGTATTTTAAAGTTAACTGTACTCTTTTAATCCCTGAATAAAATTTTCTTGCCCGGGCGCAGTGGTTCACGCGTGTAATACCAGCACTATGGGAGGCCGAGGTGTGTGGATCACTTGAGGTCAGGAGTTTGAGATCAGCCTGGCCAACACAGTGAAACCCCATCTCTACTAAAAATACAAAAATTACTGGGCAACGGAGCAAGACTCCATCTCAAAAAAAAAAAAATACAAAAATTAGCTGGGTGTGGTGGCGGGCACCTGTGATCCCAGCTACTTGGGAGGCTGCAGCAAACATGGGAGTGCAGCTATCTCTTCAATATCCTCGTTTCCCTCATTTGGGTATATACCCAGCAGCAGGATTGCTGGGTCATATGATAGCTCTATTTTTAGTTTTTAGAGGAACCTCCAAACTCTTCTCCATAGTGGTTGTGCTAATTTATGTCACCACAGTGTACGAAGATTCCCTTTTCTCCACATCTCGCCAGCCTTTGTTATTGTCTGTCTTTTGGACAAAAGCTATTTTATTTGGGGTGAGATAATATCTCACTGTAGTTTTGATTTGCATTTCTCTGATGATGTTGAGTACCTTTTCATATGTCTGTATGTCATTTGTATGTCTTCCTTTGAGAGATGTCTATTCAAATCTTTGGCCCATTTTAAAAATCAGATTATTATATTTTTTCCTATAGAGTTGTTTTAGCTCCTTATATATTCTGGTTGTTAATCCCTTGTCAAATGAGTAGTTTGCAAATATTTTCTCCCATTCTGTGGGTTGTCTCTTTACTTTGTTGATTGTTTCCTTTGCTGTGCAAAAGTTTTTTAACTTGATGTGATCCCATTTGTCCATTTTGCTTTGGTTGCCTGTGCATGTGGGGAATTACTTCAGAATTTTTTTCCCAGTCCAATGTCCTGGAGAGTTTCTAAAATGTTTTCTTGTAGTAGTTTCATAGTTTGAGGTATTAGAGTTAAATCTTTATGATGGTTAATATTGAGTGTCAACTTGATTGGATTGAAGGATGCAAAGTATTGTTGCTGGGTGTGTCTGTCAGGGTGTTGCCAAAGGAAATTAACATTTGAGTTAGTGGACAGGGAGAGGCAGACTCACCCTCATTCTGGGTGGACACCATCTAATCAGCTGCCAGAGCAGCTAGAATAAAGCAGGCAGGAGAAGATGGAAGAGCAGGCTTGCTGAGTTTTCCGGCCTTCACATTTCTCTCATGCTGGATCCTTCCTGCCCTCGAACATCAGACTCCAAGTTCTTCAGCTTTTGAACTCTTAGACTTACACCAGTGATTTGCTAGGGGCTTTCAGCCTTTGGCCACAGACTGAAGGCTGGACTGTCAGCTTTCCTACTTGTGAGGTTTTGGGACTCGGACTGATCCACCACTGGCTTCCTTGCTCCTCAACTCACAGACAGCCTATTGTGAGACTTTACCTTGTGATTGTGTGAGTCAATTCTCCTTAATAAACTCCCTTTCATATATGCATGTATCCTATTCTGTCTCTCTAGAGAACCCTAATACAGTTATTAATCCATTTTGATTTGATTTTTGTGTATTTTGAGAGATAGGGGCCTAGTGTTTTCATTCTTTTTCATATGGATACCCAGTTTTCCCAGCACCATTTATTGAAGAGACTGTCCTTTCCCCAATGTATGTTCTTGGCACCTTTGTTGAAAATGAGTTCACCGTAGGGGTGTGGATATTTTTTTCCAGATTCTGTATTCTGTTCCATTGGTCCATGTGTCTGTTTTATGACAATACCCTTCTGTTTTGTTTACTATATAGCTCTGTAGTATAATTTGAAGTCAGGTAATATGATTCCCCCAGTTTGTTCTTTGTGCTTTGGGTAACTTTGGCTATTCTGGGTCTTTTGTGGTTCCATATAAATTTTAGGATTTTTTTTTTCTATTTCTTTGAAGAATGTCATTGGTATTTTGCTAGGGATTGCATTGAATCTGTAGATTGCTTTGGGTAGTATGAACATTTTAACAATATTCATTCTTCTAATCCATGGACATGGAATATCTTTTCAAGGTCCTCTTCAATTTCTTTCATCAGAGTTTTATAGTTTTCATTGTAGAGAATTTTCACTTCTTTGGTTAATTCCTAGGTATTGTATTTTATTTGTAGCTATTGTAAATGGGATGACCATCTTGATTTCTTTTTCAGATTGTTCACTATTGGCATATAGAAATGCTACGGATTTTTGTATGTTGATTTTGTATCCTTCAACTTTATTGAATTTGTTGATCAGTTCTAAGAGTTTTTTGGTAGAGTCTTTAGGTTTTTCCAAATATGAGATGATATCATCTGTGAACAAGGATAATTTGACTTCTTCCTTTCCAATTTGAATGCTTTTTTTTTTTTTTTAAGACGGAGTCTCACTCTGTCACCCAGGTAATCTCGACTCACTGCAACCTCCACCTCCCGAGTTCAAGTGATTCTCCTGCCTCAGCCTCCTGAGTAGCTGGGATTACAGGTGCGTGCCACCACACCTGGCTAATTTTTATACTTGGATGCTCTTTATTTCTTTTTCTTGTCTAATTGCTCTAGCTAGGATTTCCAGTACTATGTTGAATAACAGTGGTAAAAGTGGGCAACCTTGCTGTATTCCTGAGTTTAGAAGAGAAGCTTCCAGTTTTTCCTCATTCAATATGATACTAGCTGTGGGTCTGTTGTATATGGTTTCTATTATGTTGAGGCATGTTCCATCTATACTCAGATTTTTGAGGGGTTTTACCATGAAGGGCTGTTGAATTTTATCAAATGCTTTTTCAGCATGAATTGAAATGATTATATTGATTTGTACTTCATTCTGTTGATATGATGTATCACACTGATTGATTTGCATATGTTGAACCATATTTTATCCCTGGGATAAATCCCACTTGGTCATGATGAATGATGTTTTCAATGTATTGTTGAATTTGGTTTGCTAGTATTTTGTTGAAGATTTCTCCATCGATATTCACTGAATATATTGGCCTGTAGTTTTCTTTTCTTGATATGGTATCAGGGTAATACCATCTTCATAGAATGAGTTTGGAAGTATTCTCTCCTCTATTTTTCAGAATAGTTTGAGTAGGATTGATATTAGTTCTTCATTAAATGTTTGGTAGAATTCAGTAGTGAAGCCATCAGGTCTTGGGGCTTTTCTTTACCGGAAGACTTTTAATTACGGCTTTGATCTTGTTACTTGTTATTGGTCTGTTTGGGTTTTGGATTTCTTCATGGTTCAATCTCGGTAGGTTTTATGCATCTAGGAATTTATCCGTTTCCTCTAGATTTTCCAATTTATTGGCATATAGTTGCTCGTAGTAGCCACTAATGATACTTTAAATTTCTACAGTATCAGTTGTAATGTCTCCCTTTTCATCTCTGATTTTATTTGAGTCTTCTCTGTTTTTGTTTTTTCTTTGTTAGTCTGGCTAAAGATTTGTCAATTTTGTTTATCTTTTCAAAAAAACAGCTTTTTGTTTCATTGATCTTTTATATTGTTTCTTCATTTCAAATTCATTTATTTCTACTCTGATCTTTATTATTTTTTTCACCTAATTTTTGGTTTTGTTTGCTCTTGCTTTTCTAGTTCTTTAATATGCACCATTAGGTTGCTTATTTAAATTTCCTCTTTTTTGATGTAGGTGCTTAGAGCTATAAATCTTTCTCTTAGCACTGCTTTTGCTGTATCCTATAGGCTTTAGTATATTGTGTTTCCATTATTGTTTGTTTCAAGAAATTTTTCCATTTCCTTCTTAATTTCTTCATTGACCCACTGGTCATTCAGGAGCATATTGTTTAATTCCCATGTGTTCATATAGTTTACAAAATTCCTCTTGTTGTTGATTTCTAGTTTCATTCCATTGTGGCCAGAGAAGAGGCTTGATATTATTTCAATTTTTTGAATGTTTTAAGACTTGTTTTGTGACCTAATATATGGTCTATTCTTGAGAATAATCCATGTGCCTGAGGAGAAGAATGTGTATTCTATAACTATTGGCTGAAATATTCTGTAAATATCTATTAGGTCTATTTGTTCTATAGTGCATATTAAGTCTGATGTTTCTTTGTTGATTTTTTCTGTCTGAAAGAGCTGTCTAATGCTGAAAATGGGGTGTTAAAGTCTCCAACTATTATCGTATTGAGGTGTATTTCTTCAGCTCTAATAATATTTGCTTTATATATCTGGGAACTCCAGTGCTGAGTGCATGCATATTTACAATTGTTATATCCTCTTGCTGGGTTGACCCCTTTATCATTATAATGGCCTTCTTTGTCTCTTCTTACTGTTTTGTTTTTGAAATCTATTTTATCTGATATAAGTATAGCTACTCCTGCCTCTTTTTTTGGTTTCTATTGACATGGAATATTTTTTTTCATCCCTTTATTTTCAGTCTATGTTTATCTTTATAGGTGAAGTGTGTTTCTTGTAGGCAACAGATCATGGGGTCTTTTTCTCATTCATTCAGCTACTCTGTGCCTTTTAGTTGGAGAGTTTAGTCCATTTACATTCAATGTTATTATTGATAAGTAGGGACCTACTTTTGTCATTTTGTTATTTGTTTTCTGATTGTTTTGTGGTCTTTTCTTCCTTCTTCCCTTCCTTCTTGTGAAGGTGATGTTCTCTGGTGATAGGATTTAACTTCTTGCTTTTTCTGTGTGTGTGTATCCATTGTATGGTTTTCAGTTAGAGGTTACCATGAGACTTGCAAATACTATCTTATAACCCATTATTTTAAACTGATGGCAGCTTAACATTTATTGTATAAACAAATAAGCAAAAACCAAAACAAAACAAAGCAGAAACTCAGTACTTTAACTTCATCCCCCGACGTTTTAGTTCTTTGCTGTTTCTCTTTAGGTCTTATTATGTCTTGAAAAGTTGTTGTAGTTATTATTTTTTATTCGTTCATCATTTAGTCTTTCTACTTAGGAGTAGTTTATACACAAGTACAGTATTATAATATTCTGTATTTTTCTTTTTAACTTTCTTTCTTTTTTTCTTTTTTTTTTTTGAGACAGAGTCTTGCTCTGTTGCCAAGGCTGGAGTGCAGTGGCATGATCTCAGCTCACTGCAACCTCTGCCTCCTAGGTTAAGCAGTTCTCCTGCCTCTCGAGTAGCTGGGAGTACAGGCATGTGCCACCATGCCCAGCTAATTTTTTGTATTTTTAGTAGAGACAGGGTTTCACCGTGTTAGCCAGGATGGTCTTGATCTCCTGACCTTGTGATCTACCCGCCTTGACGTGCCAAAGTGCTGGGATTATAGGCATAAGCCACCATGCTTGGCCTGTATTTTTCTTTAAGCTTAATATTACCGGTATGTTTTGTACCTTCAGATTTTGTTTGTTTGCTTGTTTTGAGACAGGGTCTTACTCTGTCACCCAGGCTTGAGTGCAGTGGTGTGATTATAGTTCACTGCAGCCTTGACCTGCTGGGCTTAAGTGATCTTCCCACCTCAGCCTCTTGAGTAGCAGGGACCACAGGCACACACCACCACACCCAGCTAATTTTTGTATTTCTTGAAGAGATCGGGTTTTGTCATGCTGCCCAGGCTGGTTTCAAACTCCTGTTCTCAAGCAATCCACCCACCTTGGCCTCCCAAAGTATTGGGATTACAGGTATGAGCCACTGTGCCTTACCCAGATGATTTCTTATTGCTCATTGACATTTCTTTTTTTTCACATTGAAGACCTCCCTTTACCATTTCTTATAGGATAGTTCTGGTTTTGATGAAATCCTTCAGGTTCTGTTTGTCTGGCAAGGTCTTCATTTCTCCTTCATGTTTGAAGGATATTTTCACCAGATATACTATTCTAGGATAAAAGGTTTTTTTCTTTAGTGCTTTAAGTATATTATGTCACTCTTTCCTGGCCTATAAAGTTTTCACTGAAAAGTCTGATGCCAGATGTATTGGAGCTCCATTGTATGTTGATTCTTTTCTCTTGCTGCTTTTAGGATCCTTTCTTTATCCTTGACTTTGGGAGTTTGATTCTTAAATGCCTTGAGGTAATCTTCTTTGGGTCAAATGGTGTTTTATAACCTTCTTGCACTTGAATGTTGATATCTTTCTCTAGGTTTGGGAAATTCTTTGATATTATTCCTTTGAATAAACTTTCTATCCCTTCCTCTTTCTCTACCTCCTCTTTAAGCCCAACAACTCTTAGATTTGTCCTTTTGAGGCTATTTTCTAGACCTAGTAGGCATGCTTCATTCTTTTTTATTCTTTTTTTCTTTTGTCTCCTCTGACTGTGTATTTTCAAATGGTCTGCCTTCAAGCTCACTAATTCTTTCTTCTTCTTGATCAATTCTGCTATTAAGAGACCTGATGCATTCTTCAGTATGTCAGTTGCATTTTTCAGCTCCAGAATTTCTGCTTGATTCTTTTCAATTATTTTAATCTCTTTGTGAAATTTATCTGATAGAATTCTGAATTCCTTCTCTGTGTCATCTTGAATTTCATTGTATTTCTCCAAAATAGAAATTTTGAACTCTCTGAAAGGCCATATATCTTCGGTTCTCCAGAATTTGTCCCTGGTGGCTTATTTAGTTTGTTTGGTGAGGTCCTATTTTCCTGGATGGTCTTGATGCTTGTGGATGTTTTTAAGTGTCAGTTAGGTATTTATTGAAGTCTTCACAGTCTGGGCTTGTTTGTGTCTGTCTTCTTGGCAAGGCTTTCCAGGTACTCAGAGCAACTTGGTCCCCAACCCCAATAACACTATGGTTCCTGCAGACTCACAGAGGTACCACATTGGTGACCTTGGATAAAATTCAGAAGAATAATCTGGATTACCATGCAGAGACTTTTGTTTTCTTCCCTGACTCTTTCCCAAACAAATGGAGTCTCTCTCTTTCTCTATCTCTGTGCTGAGCCACTTGAAACCGTAGGTGTGGTGATATAAGCACCCCTGTTGCCACCACTGCTGGGACTGTACTTTGTCAGACCTGAAGCCAGCACAGCACCGAGGTTACCCAAGGCCCACTGTAACCACTGCCTGGCTACCACCTAAGTTCACTCAAGGCCCCAGGGCTCTGTAATCAGCAGGTGGTAAAGCCAGCCAGGTTTGTGCCCTTCCCTTAAAGGCAACAAGTTCCTCAAGGCCCTGGGCAGGTCCAGAGCTGTTGTCTGAGAGCCAGAGATTGGAGTAAAAAACCTTAGGATTTTGCCTGATGTTCTTTTTTACTGCAGCTAAGCTGGCACTCAAACCAGAAGAGAAAATCCTTCTTGCTCTTCCTTCCCCTTTCCACAGGCAGAGGAGCATCTCCCTGTGGCCACTGCCACCACAGGCCCAGAGGTGAGGGGTGTATTCTCCCACACCACTGCAGATGTTCACTTAAAGCCCAAGGGCTCTTCAGTCAGTTTGTAGTGAATGCTACGAGGACCAGGACTCATCCTTCAGGGTAGTAGGCTACCCTCATGCCCTGGGCAGGCCCTAAAATGCTATCCAAGAGCCTAGGCCTGGACTCGAGGACTGCAAGAGCCTGCTTGTTGCTCTACCCCACTGTGGCTGTGCTGGTACCCAAGGTACAAGACAAAGTCCCTTTTACTTTCCCTCTGCTTTTCTCAAATGGAAGGAGTCTAAAGGAGTTTTTCACTGTAGCTGTCACACCTGGAAATGTGCCACGTCACACCTGAACTCAGCACATTCTCAAAGCCCAAGGCCCACAGTGTACTACTTGGGTGTTGCTGCTGGTTATTCAGGACCCAAGGGCTCTTTAGTCAGCAGGTGATTAATCCTTCCAGGACTGAGTCCTTCCCTTCAAGGCAAGGGGTTCCCATTTTTCCAGTGGGTTCCCAGAGTGTGTCTATAAATGTCCATGATCCAGGGTCTGGAATGGGGGGATACCTCATAACTCTGCCCAGTGCTCTATCTTACTGTGGCTGAGCTAGTATCCAAGATACAAGATGAAGTCCTGTTTACTCTTTTATTTCCTCCCCTTAAGCAAAAGGAAGGAGTCACTTTCATTGCTGTGAGCTGCACTGCTTAGGGTTGAAGAAAGAGTGGCACAAGCACTCTTTTAGCTGTTCCAGCTGGTGAGGTACCAGGTCACCCTAGTCCTCTTCTCTGAGCCCAGCTCAACACTAGGAGTTGCTTAGGAATTGCAGGCCTCATGTCCTAGACTGTCTTTCAAGTTTACCTAAGACCCAAGAGCACTTTGGCCTGCGGTGGCAAGGCTTGCCAAGAAACTCAAGTTCTGACCACCAGATGGGCAATTCCCCTCTGGCTAGGTCTGGTCCAAATGTCCCATCCTTGATCAGGTGCTGGCTGAACCCAGCATGGTTTTGTTTTCCTCTATGACAGGGCAGCAGTGAGTTCAATGTAAAGTCCTCCAAGTGCACAGACTCTCCACCCTGCACAGCTGCTGCCCAGGGATGGGGGAGGGGTGGTGTTGGTGATTCAAGACTGTCTCTCCAACTCTCTTTAATGCCTCTTTTGGTGATATGATATTAAAACCAGGTACTATGATTTCTCACCTGATTTTTGGCTCTTGTGACAGTGCTTTTCTGTGTGCAGATAGTTGTTAAAATGTGGTGTTCCTGCAGAGGAGACAAAGGGCATAGGCTTCTATTCTGCCAGCTTTTTCTGCCTCCTGGAGTATTTCTAAATGTGGGCTATTTATACAAAAGCTCCGGGGTGAGCTATTAGACTACAGCTGCCTATGTTCTTTATCTGTGCTGTTTAATATGGTAGCCACTAGCCACATGTGTTGAACACTTGAAATGTGGCACATGTAACTGGGAAACTGAAAATTAAATTTTACTTAATTTTAAGTAATTTCAATTTTACTTAATTTTAAATAATTTAAATTTAAATAGCACATGTGGCTAGTAACTACTGTATTGGGCAGATAGAGTATTGGCCTTAATTATTCCTTAAGAAAGAAATTAACCAAACTTCATTTCTAGAATGAATCTTTTTTCCTGAACTCTGAGTTTAAATGTCAGTTTAATAGACTCCTCTTTAAAAAAACAAAACAAAGCAAAACACTCCATCTGGCATTTTTTAAAAAAACTAAAAAGATGTGTTTTTGTTCTTTTATCAAAACAAAAGCTTGCTATAAACTTGAGAACCAGATATTTTTGCTGGATGAGCCTAACCCATCAGCCATTCCCCCTTCCACAGTGTGGCTTTTATAAGTTAAACATTTGCAGTGGTAACATAAATAATTTCTCTCCAAAATTAACACACACTGAATTTTGAGTGCAGAGAGACAGTCTCCACACTCCACCCCTCCTTAACCCATCTTTCTGTCAACATGACCTGTCTCACAGAGCTGTTCCATGAATTGATTCATTTATGAAATGTGCTTTTTTTGCCCTTAAAAAGAAGACCTTACTGTGTATAGAAATTGAAAATTAAAAATAAATGTGAACTCACTTGGTTTCTTCAGACTATCTCTTTGATAACTTGCCTTCAACTAAAACAGGACTGAGTTTGGTTAATAGTCTTATCCAACAGACTCTGGTTTTTGTCTCATCCCAAAAGCTAAATATATATATAAAGCTCAATCATCTTTATAGGAGATACTTTAATTTACCACAGAGCCACAGTTTTACCCACAGTTATTTTTAGAAGCACACTCATATTGGACAATTGTATTCTCTGCCACAAGAACTAAAGTTAGGTGCCAAAGATTCGTTTTTCTTCTCTGACACTCACTGGGCACACATTCTCTAAAATTATTTTTTGAATGTCTGACCACTCAGAAATAAATCCAATGGCCAAATATAATTTTGAGGTAATTGAAGTGAATCTGGAAAGAAAAATGATTCGTTTTTGATTCTGTGATAAAAAGGCTAAGATATTTCATTTGGAAAATAACATATTTAGGAAGTCTAATTTGTACAACTTGTAATAAAAAGGTCTTTTAATAAACAATTGACATACCTGGGTTTTAGTAAACATACTTTAAAAACCGAGTCTGGAAGAACATGTTTGAAAAGAATTACAATTTAAATTTAGTTAGTGGTTTGTACAATGAAGTATTTTCCACTCCGATGAAAACTTACAGCTAACTTAAAAAAGAATATGATATTTTCCCCCAGACTCTCTAATATAGCGGTTTGAGAGATTTGTCACGAGTGTAACAATAATTTATTCAAGAATACAAAGCCTATGCAAGTCTATATATAGTCTAGAAAAGTATCATGCAAAATCATGTTTAATTTAAAATGCCTGCTACTGAAGAAGGAAAGTCATATATCAGAAATGTACCAAGGGGATATGTGAGTAAACAAGTGCTATGAAATTCAGGCCGATGCCTTAGGAGTTTTCTCCTGTGAGTTTGAATATTAAAAAGAATTATGCACTGAAGGAAGTATATTTGTTCCAAAAGTTAATAACAGTGCGTGACTGGCTTGGTCTCTAAGTCCAAAATAAGATCGATTAAATCTTTCATCCATACAATATGGGTAAGGACAAGTGCATGAGAAACACATAGATATACATTATTTATTTCTATTGTACTTAGCACAGTGGGATCTGTGCCCTTTAAAAATTAACTACTTAGACACTGAGGTGGGTAATTTGAAGTCAGTGATGGATTTCTTTTACAGTATGTTTCCTGTCTTCACCAAAGAAGTGATAGGAATAAAGGAACTCAAATAATAGCAAGAATTTTGCCTAAGGGGTAAAATAAGCTTCCTAAATGAAGGAATGAGGTATGAAAACAATTCCCTGATAATTAGTACAATCTCTTTTCCTAAAATATTTTAAAAATAGGGTATTCCTCATTTATCTGGTAGTAGTGTCTTAAATGTAGCTTCTTTGGAAATAGGGGCCCTACCTCAACTAAGGCTGTGAGTTGCCTGCATGTGCCCATTAAGTCTGGGATACAGCTGTTTCTTTCTATCCATGCATATTAGTACTGTGTACCTTGCTTTGCAACTGAGGCAAAAGAGCTCCATATTCATTTGTTGGATCAAATGAATGAATGCAGAAACAAAGAAGTTAGTTTTTATTGCTACATAACAAAAATACCCCATATTTAGCAGCTTAAAACACAAACATTTACTATCTCATAGTTTGTGTGGGTCAGGAATTCAGGAGTGGCTTAGCTGGGTGGTTCTAGCTCAAGGTACATCATGACATTGTAGTCAAGGTGTTGGGCTGCCGTCATCTGAAGGCTTGAGTGGGGCTCTAGGATCAGCCTCAAGATGGCAGACTCATGTGGCTCTAGGCAGGAGGCCTCAGTGTTTTCTGGTAATTGGCAGGAAACTTCATTCATGAGCATCCTCACCACATGTAGCAAGCTTCCTCTAGAGCAAGTGATCCACAAGAGCAAGTTAGAAGACATAATGTGTTTTATGACCTAGTCTCGGAAGTCATGCTCTGTCATTTTGCAACATTCTTTTGGTTATGCAAGTAAGCCCTGTTCAGTGTGGGAGTGGACTGACCACACAAGGGGTATGAATACCAGGAGGTGGGGATCTTTGGTTTTCTTGGAGTCTGGCTACCATAGAAGGGTTATTAGAACTGCCAATAAAGTTATATGTTATAGGTCTATAGTGAATCTCAGCTTGAAAGTGAGTTATAAGTTGTGTGCTTATCTGTTAGATGAATCCTTTCCCACCCACTATCTTGGCTGCCTTTCCTTTTCCATCCTGGATGTGGCTCTAGGCAAATTTGTGAAGTTGCTACTCAGTATCTTCCTTTACATGCTTTAATTTGGCATACAGATCCCTTTCTCCCCCATCACTGAAGGCATTCCATGGCAACGCTCCTCTTATAGATTCTTTCTACCAAAATGTACTTGTTCTTTCATTTTTCAAGGCAGCTAATCAAATCTCTATTTCTGATTAATAGGTACAAATAAGCTAATGTGCTATACCATCCAGTAACCGAAGAGCCATTTTAAGGAATGTCATGAGGATGGACTGTGAAGTTAGGCTGTCTGTGTTCAAATGACCTCTCTAGCTGTATAGTTGCTATGTCTTTCATGCAAGTTTCTTAAATTATTTTTGCTTTGTCTGTAAAATAGATGTGATCATAGAAGCTATATGGTAGGCTCTGATCAAGCCTATTGCATTGAAACCTCAAGTAAGCCCAATGATATAGTAAGAAACAGAACACAGGAGTATGTAAATGTGGCCCAATAAGAATTTTCTCCTATAGTGTTGAAGTGGGCCCTGGAGAGCTGATAGGGCCCCTCCCACAGCTGAAATGGTATGAAGATAGTGAGCCTGTAATTCTGGGTCTCTCTGACTTTGTGAAGTTTTTACGTTGTTCAAACTGAATGTACTTCTTTATTCTAGAAACAAAAAAATGTACCCCAAAGTCAAGTCCACTTACGTCCTCCGCATGCCTTTTTGGTGGTTTGATTCCTATTTTATCTTTGTGGATAGAGCCTTGTTTATAGTCCTTGATAATTCCATGGGCTGAGCAATGCTCAAAAATGTCATAACACACATGGAGTGATGAAGGTCATAGTTGTAGAGGGGGTGGAGCAATACCCAGAGATTTATCTTGGGAGCATGCAAATCTCTAAAGAATCTCAGTGGAGCAAGACCCACTGTGCATGACTAGCTTATGACAAGGGTCTCAAGAGGCATTGAGGTAGTTGGAAGCATACACTAAGGTCTTTCAACTGTAGGAGTGTGGGAACCACAGGGACACTTATTAAGGAGCAGGAGGTATACACAATGAAGAAAGAGGTGGAGATCTCAAAATCAGATGTATCTGGAATTAAGCCAGAGGAAGTGGAACTGTGTGAGGAAAAATGAGAAGGAGTCAGAATGTCAGAGTAGAGGAGTAAAGGGTGAGCCCAGAAGCAAATGGATCATGCTTAGAACATGAACTTGTCCTTAGAACAGGAAGGCAGGAGAGCAGATCACAGGGTGAGAAAAGAAACCACATTGCCAAGTGCCAGCCAGAGTAGCCAAATTTGGACCTTCTGCTGCTCAAAGTGGCTGTCCTTGCTCAAGCCGCGTAATAAAGAGGGTTTAACAGATGGGATAGGTGGAGGAGTTGTAGGAGGAAGTTTATAAGAGGAGGATCTTTTTTACCCTGAAGGCAGCCCTCTGTAGATAGTTGACTACTCATCCTGATGTAGTTTTGGCCCTGTTTCTCCCTTGCATTTCCATTAAACATTACTTCAGTCCAGCTACTGCCCTTGCCAGAATCTCAGATATGACATCATGTTACTGCTTCTGTCACCATGGGATTCTGAAAATATTTATTTGCAGCCCTCAGAGATGGAACATAAAATCAATAAACATTAGGCTCCATTACAGTCTCTGAAATATGTCACCATAAGAAATATGTGAAGAATTTGCTTTTTATTAAAGACAATGGAGAGAGTTAGACTATAGACTGGGTATTAGATAATATTAAGTAATAATTGTTCATCTTTTTAGGCATGACAATGATATTGTGGTTACCTTGGAAAATATTATTTGTGTCTGAAGTTCTAGAGGCCTAGTCTAGTGTCTGGATGCAATTTCACTAGAAGATCCCCATTTTGTAATTGTATTAGTCTGAAAACAGTCTGCTACTATAATTGAATATCACAGACTGGGTAATTTATAAAGAAAAGAAGTTTATTAGACTCCCAGTTCTGGAGGATAGGAAGTCCAAGATGAATGGTCTCCATCCAGTGAGGGCTTTCTTGCTGCCTCATAACATGGTGGAAGGGCAAGCGAGCACATGGAAGACAGGGAGTGTGATGGGGGGCTACACTTATCCCTTTATCAGGAGCCCATTTCTATGATATGTAACCCACTCCTGCAATAATAGTATTAATCCTTTCACGAGGGCAGAACCCTCATGACCTAACCACCTCTCAAAGGTCTCACCTCTCAATACTGTTACAATGCCAATTAAATTTCAACTTGAGTTTTAGTGGGGACATTAAAACCATAGCAGTAATGATTTTTGTCTGCAAATTCTTTCCTGTGGAGGTGACACCATATGTTTGACACCCTCATACCAGCATAGCCCTCATCCGTATCCACTTATCTTGTCCTGCCTCACCCTCTAACTATCAAGATCTTGCCAACCTTCTAACTTCTGATGCTATTATCTGATGACGGCATTGTTTCACTCCTTAGACCTGAAATTGGGCACTATATTTCTGGCTTCAACAATTTTCTTCCTCCTCAACTATAATATAAGCTCCCCTTCTGCCTAAATGACATGTTTTCCTAACATATTATCTTTGGATCTCACATCTTGGTTGTGTGTATGTAGTGTCCTTGATGGATTTGTCACTAACATGAGATTAGATCTTCATATTAATTACCATGTTGCCTTCCCTGAAATCTGTCTGAAACATGTCAGCTTCTTTTTTCTTATTTCAAAGTCCATGTCCCTCTTTGGACCACTCACTATGTTTGTTTTCTAGCTGAAGGATGCTTCCTATACTTACTGGTTGAGCAGAAATGACTGACATGCACTGAATCCAATGAATGACCAAACTTATGCTAGCTTGGAAAGTCAGCCCCATTCACATCTCTTTAACAACTTGTCAGTCACGTAACCTCAGATTCCCACTTGTATATTCTGGCTTTGTATATTATCAAATTATGCCATAACTCCTACCAAATGCTTTTATAATTTACTGTCTAATAGAGTATACTTCATGGAGTACCTGGTTTGGTAAACTTTTGATCCTTATAAATCCATGACTTAAACTTCCAAATTCCAACATAAAATTCAAGGAGTTATCTAAATCAATCACTTACATCAAGTGTAGCAAATCCTTTACCTTGTTATTAAACAGCATCAGGGCTCACAGCATGATACCCCCAAAGTGTGGCACCTTGGCATGCTGAGTACTTTGAACTGAAGGATACTGGAAGGACCTCAGAAACAAGGTATCTTTGATCTTCTGTCATCCTCCTGTTTTCCACCCCTCTTTCTTCCTGGAAGCGAGACATAGGAACCAGATTCCTCTTCCCCATTGTAGGATATAGAAACCAGAATTCTCCTCCCCCAGAGCAAGCCATAAAGCTTAGAAAGGTCACTCTCTCCCTTCTCCTTTCTCTCTCTCTCTCTTTTTTCATTATTTTATTTATTATTATTATTATTTTTTGAGACAGAGTCTTTCTCTGTCACTCAGGCAGAAGTGCAGTGGCGCTGTCTCAGCTCACTGTAACCTCCGCCTTCTGGGCTCAAGCAATTCTCCTGCCTCAGCATCCTGAGTAGCTGGGATTACAGGCACATGCCACCATGCCTGGCTACTTTTGGTATTTTTAGTAGACACAGGGTTTTCCTATGTTTTCCTGGCTGGTCTTAAACTCCTGACCTCAAGTGATCCGCCCGTCTGGGCCTCCCAAAGTGCTGGGATTACAGGCATGAGCTACAGCAGCCAGCCCCTCCTTTCTCTATTGAAGACCCTCATTCCAGAGGGCTTCTGCCCCCTACCCAGGAGGAAGGAATGCTACACAGAGAGGCCAAGATGAATCTGGACAGGCCTTTCTGGGTTTCCCCTCTCAGTCTGTTACCATTAGATCACACCCTTCTCTCCAACCACATTTCTACAAGGCTGTCCATCCTTCATCAAACCTATGTATAAAAACAGACAGTTTTCCCTGGGTCTTTGGGTCTTCATTTCGGAAGGTTCCCATGTCATGTAAAACATTAATTAAATATGTTTGTTATGCTTCTCTCTTGTTAACCTGTCTTTCTTATAGGAGTGTTGGCCTTGACCCTTATGACGGGTGAGGAAGGTATCACACCTTTCTGCCTCTACAGTAGTAAACTCAGAAACACAACAGCATTTTGGAGTAAGTAGTGACATTTCTAGGAGTTGCTATAATTTATATTGACAACTTGCATTTGTTCTTCATTTGGCCAGATCTCAAGCAGTACCTGTGGTTTCATTCAATTCCAGGCTCACCCTCATGTTGTATCCTGGGTCTCCTTGGTTCAGTGAATGGTGATCTTTGGAGTAACACAAACTGAGGCCCAGGGAAAAAGAAAACTCGTACTCATTTTTAGGAACCCAGGGAATGGCTTATATTTGACCCTAACTGAATTCAATTACAAATATTTACCAAGTTTATTTGGTCTATAACTTACTTTACTAGATGCTACAATACTGGAAGATATTTTTTTAAATACGAGAAACAGTCTTTATCCTCAGAGAGCTTTCACTTAATAAAAACTTACACATATAATTATAGCACAACAGAGAAAGGTAAGAGGTCTAAAAGAGCCCAAAAAGGCCCCAAGGGGTTTGAAGAAAGGAGACATTTAGGCAGCTGAGTAGAAGGAGGATGGTGTGAGGCTGTGTTTAGCATAGGCCTACAATAGTAAATGCAATTTTAATGGAAGCACTAGGAGAGGGAAGGGTGTTTTCTAGGCCAGGTATTGGCAAACTTTTTCTGTAAAGAGCCAGATAATAAATATTTTAAGGTTTATGGCTCACATTCAGTCTCTGTTGCATATTCTTATTTTGCTCCTCTTCTACCTCTTCCACTTTCTTCATCTTTTAAACAGGTAAAAACCATTCATAGCCTATGGATTGTACAAAAACAGTCTGCAGATCAAATCCCACTGGACATAGTTTGCTGACCCCTGTTTCAGGCAGTATGAGCAAAAATGAGGATGTGGAAAGCTCTAGTGTGTTTCCTTTGGCTGAAGTCAGTAAAAGTTTTGGGGGAGTGTGCTGGGGATAATATTGGAAAAATTGGTTAAAGCTCAATTACGCAGATACCAGTGTAAGTATATCAGGCAAGAGAGAGTAGCTGAAGGTTTCTAAGCAAGGAAAATATGACAGAGCTTCAATTTAGGAAGATTAATTTGATGAGCGTATGTAAGAGGGAATATATGGGACATGCTGGTGGGGGCAGTACACAGGGAAAAACAAAAATGGTCTGAAGCCTAGGCGCAGTGGCTTATGCTTGTAATCCCAGCACTTTGTGAGACCAAGGTGGGTGGATCACCTGAGGTCAGGAGTTTAAGACCAGACTGGCCAACATGGTGAAACCCCATGTCTACTAAAAATACAATTATTAGCTGGGTGTGGTGGCGTGTGCCTGTAGTCCCAGCTACTCGGGAGGCAGAGGCAGGAGAATCGCTTGAACCTGGGAGATGGAGGTTGCCATGAGCAGAGATTGTGCCACTGTACTCCAGCCTGGGCAACAGAGCAGGACTCTATCTCAAAAAAAAAAAATGTGGTCTAAGTTAGAATGATTGTTATGGTAATTGAAAGGTAGAGACAGGGAAAGGGACCAGGTGCCTTCTTATTAATATTAAAGAAAGATGTAAGCATATTGTTATGAAAAGTACATTTGCATTTGCAAAGCAGGGCACATGAATGCAAGGAACCAAATGAATCACCAATACAGTCATTAGTAAAACTAGATTTCACAATGTCACTGTCAAGTTTTAACTTCACAAACTGGAATTATGATTCTCAGGCTGCTGGAATGCAGCAAGTTGACACCTGGCCCAGTAAGAGTCTCTCTGAATCCTCCTATTTGATGATCAACACAGGATTTATTACAGGACTGTTTGTCATCAGAGATGGCCATGTCTCAAGGGAAAAGCAGATGAGAATGATGTATACAAAAAGATTTGGAGGGAGAAAGAAATTCAAATTATTTCTTAAATAGGAAAAAGAAAACAACTCAAGTTAACATTATTGGAATTAATTCACAAAGTTAACAAACTTATGTTCTCTTTTGCAAAACTGCATAGAAAGAATGAATACAAATTGAGACCTTGCAAGAAGGTCTGATATCTTCAAAGGACAATCTGTCAATCCCAGTGTTCTTGGAGTCACCCATTTTCCCTTCTAGAAGGAAAAGAAACCAGTGCCAGTGCTGTTCTGTTATCACCTATATTGTGGTAGAGAGAGCATACCTCAAAGTTTGAAGCTTTGGCATGCTGACTACTTTGAATGAAAAGAAATTGGAAGGCCTTAGAAGCTGCCTTAGAATCAAAAAACTTTCTAATCTTCTCGTTTCCTCCCCCACCCCAAGCACAGGGAGGGGATCTCTCTGGAATTTTTTTAATCTAAGGAAATTTCTTTCCAAAAGAAATGCAATTGTCTTAAGACCCTCTCCCTAGTAATCTTGTCAAATAACCAGGAAAAATTCACCACCAGAGAAGAGAAGAAACTATTAATAACAGTTGTCCACACACCCTGGCAGACTTTTCATTTATTTTTCTAAGAGAAGGTTTGAAAGATTATCTGGGAGACTTTATCTATATAATAAGACACCCTTTGTTCACAGTGCAGTTCTGCCCCCCACCTTCCCATAACTTGCCAGTCTCATTTAGTTTATTAGAAGAATCATTTCCAAGACAACATCTGCCTCTTGAGTCCATTCATTCTTTCTAAAAGTTATTTATTACCTTTTAAAATTGCCACATTTCCCTCTTTTCTCTCTCTTCTATTGTAATTACCCAATGGGTTCTTTTTGCCTGCTGCACAGACAGATAGAGTCAAATTTACTGAAGAAGCAATATTGCTGCAGAGAAAGAGTTTAATGGAGGGTCAGCCATGTGGAAGACAGAAGTTTATTATCCAAATCGGCTTCCCTGAAAATTCAGAGGCTAGGGTTTTTCAAGGATAGTTTGGTGGGTAGGGGTCTAGGGGGTAGGAAATGATGATTGGTTGGGTTGGGGATGGAATCATAGGAGGCTGAAGCTGTCTTCTTGTACTGAATCAATTCCTGGGTGGGATCAGAAGACCAAATAAGCCAGTTTCTTGGTATGGGTTACCAGTATGGGTGGCAAAAGCTGTTCCATCAGAATGCAGTGTCTGAAAAATACCTCAAACACCAATTTTAGGTTTTAAAATAGTGATGCTATCTACAGAAACAGTTGGGGAGGTTACAAATCTTGTGACCTCTGGCAACAATGGCTGATTATCCTTTAACTACACCCGTATTTTAGCAGAGTTCAGGCCATTCCCATAATCCTAGTCTTGTAGCCTTTCATTGGTTTTATAAAGGTGGTTTTGGTCCCCAAACAAGAAGGGGGCAGTTTTGGGAAGGGCTATTATCATCCTTGCTTTAAGGTTAAACTAAAAACTAAATCCCTCCCCAAGTTAGTTTGATCTACGCCCAGGAATGAATAAGAACAGCTTGGAGGTTAGAAGCAAGATGGGGTCGGCTATGTCAGATTTCTCTGTCACAATATTATGAAGGCGGTGACAATATGAAGAGGGTATTTAAGCCTCAATAATCTGGCCCTTCTCTGAGTCTCATATTTGCAAGGCTTCTGTGTCCATGTACATCCACAAATTTGTATTTAAAATTATGCTACACTTTTTTTTTCTTTGATGCATGACAGGAAGCTGTTTTCAGTAAATGAAACCCAAACTACTCAGTCCAGGTTTTTTTCCCATTAATCTGCCTATTTTGAGTTCATTTTCAGCAAACCTTCAGAAGGCAGAGGAGAAGCTTTCCCTTGATCCCTACATCTGCAGTAAACACCCATGGCCCCTCCTTTGTACAACTCCAAACTTGGCTTTGAATCAGACAGCTCCCCAGGCAGAATACTCTCCATCAACAGCAGAAAGAACTTCAAGAGAATATTGGAGGTGGGTGGGGAGGGTGAAAGGAGAGCCTTAAAGCGATATAAATGTAATTATGAAAATAGTTATATTAAAAAGATCAACAGAAACTAGTAAGTGGTCTGAATATTCTAGTGTACATTTCACACCGTTTTCTAGAAGCTAGAAATTAGTCTTCAGGGACATAAACCAGAGTAGTTTCCTAGAAGGTTCCAAATGATTATTGGCGGTTGTGATCACAGTCTGTAAACACTGGGAGATTGTCCTCCTCATGAGCATCTTGGCCTGAAGATTTGAAACATTTTCTTAGACTAAAAAGTTCCCTGCCCCCCACCTGCACTGACTAGTTGTGAATTTCATTTAGTGAACAGCTTTCTTTCATACATCAAAGAAAAACATGGTAGCATAATTTTAAATATGATTGCCTTTTCATTTAGCCTACATAGCTAAAAATAGCCAACTTTAAAAAACAAACATGTTTTTCCTATCACTGTTTTCAGCCTTCAAATTTGCAGCAACACTATAAACTCATCCCAAATGCAGAGATCTCAAAGAATTATGCCTTTTTAAAGGAATAATAATACCCACTTTCAATACTGAACATATTGGAAATCACATATAATGATTGATGGAGGAAAATTTGTGCTTGTAGCCTAAAGGGTAAAATTTTCCACAGTCTTCCCAATTCTACTGTTTCCATTCAAAGAAACTCACTGCAAACTGGTATATTCATTATTCTCTACTGAGTACACTTAGCCACCGATTACATGAAAATGTGTTATAAAAAATAATTGCTTTTCATCCTCATTAACCAACTATTAGGAAGAAGGATGGAAAATCATTCAGCATTTCATTAATTCTAAAACAGTATTTCTAATGAATCCTCTTATGGAGTTATGTGTAGAAAAGCATTTCCCTCCCTGTTTGCTAGTGAATTAGGCAACACTTGAACATAAAGATAGATATTCCCATTACGAACACATTACAGCATTCCCTATGGGATACGGAGACTCTTCAGCATCTCGGGGAAAAATGAAATCTCACTTTCCCACTGTTTGTTCTCACAGGCTTTGTAGCAAGTCTAACTGAACCTAGCCGACCCTCCTACACGAAATTTACTACTTATTCCTTTTTGAGTCATCGCAAGGAAGCTGCCCCATCGTTTTAGATTACGTGTGTCATAAAGCTTGAAAGGAAAAGGAAGTGCTCCCAGACATCTCCATAAACCCACAGGGAATGCGCCAAAGAACAAAAGGCTCGCACCTGTGTTTTAGTTCTCTCCTTTCCCTCTGGTGGATGCAGGGAAGGATCTGTCTTCTCCACCCTACTCCTCATCTGTTGCTACAGCTGAGCCTCACTCATTTCCTGAAATGAACATTCATCTGGGTGCTACCTAATTGACTTTCACACCGTTTCACACTATCCACCTTTGGTTCAGGGGTGGTAAATCACGGCTGCATTTCTGTCGGAAGTGTCTTGTTATCCTTATCGATAACTTGGGAGTATATTAAAAATATGGAGCTTCAGCAGGTCTGAAGGGACCAGGGCTATAGTTTGAGTTCCTCAGCTGCCTTTTAAATCCAGTAGCGGTAAATCAAATCTACTCAGATCAATAAAATTTAGTCGTTACCAGTTATGTGCAAGACACAGAGGAGTTAGTGCAGGATAAATGGCCAAATGGCTCATAGAAAAGGAACCATCCAGCTAGGCGCAGTAGCTTATGTCTATAATCCCAGCACTTTGGGAGGCTAAGGTGGGAGAATCGCTTGAACTCAGGAGTTTCAGACTAACATAGTAAGAGCCTGTCTCCACAAAAATAAAAAAAATAGCTGGGTGTGGTGGCACATGCCTGTAGTCCCAGCTACTTGGGAGGCTGAGGTGAGAGGATTGCTAAAGCCCAGGAAGTTGAGGCTGCAGTGAGTGTGTCCCTGCACCCCAGCCTGGCTGATAATGTGAAACCTTGTCTCAAAAAAAAAAAAAGGGTAGGGGGACGCATCTGTGTCCAAAGCTGGGAAAGGGATTTCTAACAGGAAATTCTGCAGTGGCTGTATGAATAAGGTAGCAAACGACTTGGGGCTTGGAGGCCACACAGGATCTGAATGGGCAGAAAGGGAGAGTAATCCCTGGCAGGCGGAGATAATATGAGAAGAAATTCAGCTGGCAGTAAGAGAAGTGTTTGGGGACGACTATTACAAGTAGTTTGGCTACCAGAATCACCTGAAGGCTTATTAAAAACAACTGGCTGGTCCTCCTCGCTGCCTCCACCCTCAAGGTTTCTAATGAAATAGGTCTGCTTTTTTTTGAGACGGCGCCTGGCTCTGTGGCCCAGGCTGGAGTGCAATGGTGTCATCTTGGCTCACTGCAACCTCTGCTTCCCAGGTTCAAGCGATTCTCCTGCCTCAGGCTCCCAAGTAGCTGGGATTACAGGCACCCACCACCACGCCCAGCTAATTTTTTGTATTTTTAGTAGAGACAGGGTTTCGCTATGTTGGCCAGGCTGGTCTCAAACTCCTGACCTTGTGATCCCCCTGCCTCAACCTCCCAAAGTGCTGGGATTAGAGGCATGAGCCACTGTGCCTGGCCAGGTCTGCATTTCTAACAGACCATACTTTGAGAACCCTAGGCAAGAATGTAGCATTTCTAGGAAGATGAGACTGAGAAGATGAATGGAGCCTCCTCATGGTGAATAGCTCTGAAAGTCATGCTAAAGAGTTTTGGTTTTACTGTTTAGGCTGTGAAAACTGCGAATGGATTTTAAAGAAAGTGGGGTAGATTTGAGAAATGAGAGAGGTGTTTTAGGGAGGACACTCTGACCCTGGTGCTGAGAATAACCTGGAAAAGGATAAGATTCAAAGGAGATTTTGTAGTGGGCAAGACCCAAGATTTTAGATCCTTAACATGGATGTGGAAAAAGGACTAGCCAAAGAAAAAAAATGGTGCAAAACCCCACTTGTTTTATTCTCCTTTAAACTAAAATAAATTTAAACAAATATCTATACAGGATTTGACAAAACAACTAGCAAAGCCTCTAAACTAGTGGCTATCAAAATTTAGGGCAAGAAGCTTACTAGAGAAGCTTGTTAAAAATATACAATGTCTTCTAGGTTTATACCCAAAATAAATGAAAAGGATGCTAACAGATATTTGTACACCCATTTTCGCAGCAGCATTATTCACAATAGCCAACATATGGAGATAACCTGAATGTCCACTGATGGATGAATGGATAAACACAACGTGGTATATACATATAATGGAATATTATTCAGCCTTACAAAGGAAGAAAAATTTGACACATGCTACAGTTTGGATGAGCCTTGAAAACATTATGTTAAGTGAAATAAGCCAGACACAAAAGAACAAATAGTGTATGAGTGGCATGGTGGCTCACGCCTGTAATCCCAAAACTTTGGGAGTCTGAGGTGGGAGGATCACTTGAGCTTAGGAGTTTGAGACCAGCTGGGACAATATAGTGAGACCTCATCTCTACAAAACAAAAATTAAAAACTAGCTGAGCATGGTGGTGCACACCTGTAGTCCCAGCTACTAGGGAGGCTGAGGTGGGAGGATCCCTTGAGCCTAGTGGATAGAGATAGCAGTGAGATGAGATCGCACCACTGCCACTCTAGCCTGGCTGACAGAGCAAGACTCTATCTCAAGAAAAAAAAAAATGGTAAATTTTTTGTTATGTATACTTTACCACAATAAAAAGAAAAGCAAATTCTTGAAGCAGCCCTCCAGCTAGAGAATGCAATTCAGTTGGTCTACGTGGGGTCCAGGGATCTGCACTTTAATATCTAGCCCAGGGCATTCCAAAGATGTTAGAGGACAAACAACTCTATCTCAGCTCTAGGGAAAAATAGCCCTCTGAAGTAAAGTCTTTCGTGAGACAGGAAGTAAGATTTTGCTTAATAGGAGAGTTTTCCAGGTACCACTTAGATCAGTACCTACCCAAGACCATATGTTCATGACATTGCTGTAACTGCAAGAAAGCCTAACAGAAGCCCTCATCTGGGGCTCTGTACACTCTTTAAAGACAGCTACATGAGAGAGTCTACTCTCCTGCAATTCTTGCATTGGATGTTTTCTGTAATAATTACTAGAAGCAGAAGTAGAAAGAGCAACTTAAACACAGAAAGTGAACTTTGTGTAGTTGAAGCAGAATGCCTGAATTTTATGACTTGAACTTTGTACAATTATTGACTGACTGAGAGCTCTCTACAATAAGTATTAGTTAATGTGAAGCAGGAAATAGTCCTGCAGAAAACGAAAGAGACTAGAGATGAGGATAATGGGGGTTGAAGAGGCGGAAGCAGGATAACAAATGTGAACAAGGGTCTGCATTAGGACCTTAAGTGGAGATATCATGTCAGCTGCTCTCTGATGGTTTAACCTTGGAGACCGCAGAGGTTATTCCTCCAGAGCTTAAACTTGTGTATTACATAATTCTAGTATATTTATTTCTGTGAACTCTTTTGGAACTGAGAATTATAAGATCAAGTATATGTGACTCTCTAGTCACTCCAAGTAGAAATTTAGGGAGCATGACTCCAACCTCTAATGAAACCAGAAAGGTAGGAATAAAAAAAAAAAGTCACTTAATATGCAAATTATTGATACATGGCAATAAAACAAAATGAGTTTTAAGGTATTTTTAAAACTAGGAATGTGATATAGAGGTGGTGGGATAGTAAATTTTATGTGTCAACTGGGCTGGACCATGGGGTACCCAGATATTTGGTCAAACATTCTTCTGAGTATTTCTGTGAGGGTTTTTGGATGAACTTAACATTTACATTGGTGGACTTTGATTAGAACAGATTGTGGGTGGGCTTTATCCAGTAAGTTGAAGTCCTGAGTGGAACCAAAAAATGGCCTCCCTGAGCAAGCGGGGATTTTCCTTTGGACTTCATCTACAACCAGCTCTTCCTGGTTCTACAGGAAGTAGATCAGACTTCATCTACATCAGCTCTTCCTGGTTCTACAGCAGCCTACCGGCCTTTGGATTCGAACTGGACACAGGTTCTCCTGGATCTCCAACCTGCCAGCCACTTTGCAGATATTGGACTTGCCAGTCTCCATAACCACATGACCCAATTCCTTATAATAAATCCCTTTCTCTCTCTTCATACATATATATATACACATATATACATGCTATTGGCTTTGTTTCTCTGGAGTATCCTGACTAATATAGGTGGTAGATGAGATCTTTAAGTGTTTAAGTAAGGGGAGGAAAAACATGATCATAGTGATTTTCAAACAGGTCACAGATTTGTTGACATTCTTATCAAAAGGTGACAAGTATGTCATCACCTGTTGAATCTTGGTGGGCTTGTGACTGCTTGGATCAAAAAGTATGACAGAAGTGGGACTGTGAAACTTCTGAGGCTATATCATAAAAGTCATGCAGCTTTCACCTTGTTCAATGAACACATACTCTTGGAGCCCTGAGGGGCCATGTATAAATGCTGAATACAGTGCTTTTTCTGGAGGGGCTCAAAGATGGCTGACTAGAGACATTTTGTACTCACCTCTTCTACTAAGAAGAACCAAAATTGTGAGATTATTACACTTGGAATAGATCATCCAAGAGAGAACACTAGAATTCAATGGAAAAGTGACAGGAACTACCTAAAGCAAGAAAGGAGAAGAAAGTGAAGCAATCTGCTGAACTGGAATTGGCTAGAAGCTGAGAGAGACTCCTCAATGTGGAGAAAGGGTAAATGAGAGATTCTCAGTGGTCTACATTTCTGCTTTGGACTTTTGCAATCCTAGCCATGGGAAATCCCCTAGACTCTTGTAAGCCCTGAAACTAACATATGGAGCTGCCAGGAGATTGTATGATGGCATTGCTCCTGGCTCCTGGGTCAGGGTGGGGTGCTTGCATTGGGTCCCACACACTCTCTGAGACATAAGCAGCTCCAGCAAGGTGTCATTTTAGAGCCCTACCTCCAGTGGGCTGTGTACTATCCAGGGGCCCAACAGCGCTAGATCTGAGGAACAAGTGAAGCATGGGCTGCTGCCCCCAAGGCCTAGGCATAAGCAACTGCAAGCTACAACACCCACAACTGAGATGTGAGTGAGGCACTGGCTTCTGCAGCAAGTGTTGAAGTGCAGGCACTGCTGGCATGAATGGTGTGTGCATTCTCCACCTGCTGGCCTACGCTACTCACCACTGAAGGCAGCACTACCCTCCCCAGTGGCAGGGCAGCAGTGCAGTCATTTGTGGTCCATACCAGACCATTCTGCCAGTAGCCTGGGCATTGCTCTGCCCCAGCCTACCATGGCTGGTGCCTGCACACACAATCAGAGAGCCTGAGGACAAGCCCATCTGGCTGAGCTTAGATCCCCCAACACACTGTGCCAGAGCACACAATCCAGGGACCAGGGTGTTGTCCACGCCAGTCCACATAACTGGAACAAGAACACTCCTCACTAAACCCCAAGTTTGGACCTACTCACTGAGCCACTAACACTATAGCTGGCACCTGCCTGCATGTGCTACCTGTGGGCCCAAAGACTGGTCTGCCCAGCCCATCTCAGCCACTGACAACACTATCACACACAGCTTGGGACCCAGTGGTCATCATACCACTGCTACTGTCATTGTCACACCATCCTGGCTGCCAAAGGGCTAAAGAACCACCCCCACCTGCCTGGTCCACTGCTACCACTACCAGCATCCAAGTAAGCCACATGGAGGCCAAAAATTGGGCTGCCTTGGTCCACTAATATAAGTGCCAGTATATGCAGCCCTGGGATCCAGGAACAGGTGCATTCAACCCACCACTGCCACCCCTGGGGCTCAAAGACTGGCCTACCTGCTGTCCCAGGCCCCAGCAAAACTTTACCACAGTCTCCAGTAATAACTGCACCCTAAGCCATGGAGGAAATTATAGATACTACTAATACTGTTTACAGCTGAAGAAATCATACAGAGACTAAACTACTGCACACACCAAGAATCAAAGACAGTGTGTTACCCAACCAACATCATGGATACATCTTCAGGAAAAAGTCCTCCCCCATGAAAGCAAATTCAAAAAAATTGGAAGAAGCAACTGTTACACCAAATGTGCAGATATCAATATAAGGACACAGGAACCAAAAAGCAAGAAAATATGACACTTCCAAAGGAACACAATAATTCTTTAGCAACAGATCCCAATCAAAAAGAAATTAATAAATCCCAGAAAAAGAATTCAAATGATTGATTCTAAAGTAGGTCAGTGATATACAAGAGAATTCTGAAAAACAATACAAAGAAATCAGAAAAAGAGTTCAGGATATAAATGAGAAATTAACCAAAGAGATCATAAGAAAAGAACCAAACAGAAATTCTGGGCCACTCATGGTGGCTCATGCCTATAATCCCGGCACTTTTGGAGGCTGAGGTGGGCAGATCTGTTGAGCCCAGGAGTTTGAGGCCAGCCTGGGCAACATGGTGAAACCACATCTCTACAAAAAATACAAAAATTAGCTGGGCATGGTGGTGCACACCTGTGGTCCCAGGTGAGCTACTTGGGAGGCTGAGGTGGGTGGGTCACTTGAGCCTGGGATGTTGAAGCTGTAGTGAGCTGTGACCATGCCACTGCACTCCAGCTAGGGCAACAGAGCGAGACCTTGTCTCAAAAGATAAAAATAAAAAATAAAAAACCTAATTTTGCAACTGTGAAATTCATTGAATAAAATACAAAATATGTTTGAAAGTTTTGACAATAGACCAGATCAAGCAGAAGAATCTCAGAACTTAAAGAGAAGTCTTTTTAAATGACCCAGTTAGACAAATAAATAAATAAATAAATAAATAAATAAGCAAAGCCTCATGACATATTGGACACAATAAAGCAACCAAATATTCTAATCATCAGGGTTCTCCAGAATTTGAAGAGAGAATGAAAGGCTAGAAAACCTACCTAATTAAATGAAAAGTTCCTAAGCCTAGCAAAAGATTTATATATCCAGATCAGAAGGCTCTGAGATCCCTAAACAGATACAATGCAAAAAGTAATCTCCACAGCACATTATAGTCAAACTGTTTAAAGTCAATCACAAAGAGAACATCTCAAAAAATGGCAGGAGAAAAAAGCATCTAGTCACCCATAAAGGAATCCCCATCAGACTTAACAGTGGATTTCTCAGCAGAAACTGTACAGGCCAGGAGAGAATAGGGTAATATATTCAAAGTACTGAAAGAAACTGTCAGCCAAAGATACTATATCCAGCAAATTTATCTTTCATAAATGAAGGAGAAATACAGTCTTTCTCAGACAAGCAAAAGCTGAGGAAATTCATTGCCACCAGACTGGCCCTAAAAGAAATGCTCAAGGACAGTGCTAAACCTGTAAGTGAAAGACTGATATTTACCATCATGAAAAAAGCATGAAAGTATAAAACTCACTGGTAAAGCAAACACACATATGAGTAAGATAATGGACTCAAATGGTACCACTACAGAAAACCACTAAATCACAATGGCAATAAGAGAAAAAGAAAGTAACAGAGAATATATAAAGCAACCAGAAAATAATTAACAATATGACAGGAAAAAAACCTCATATCTCAATAATAACCATAAATATAAATGGATTAAATTCCTCACTTAAAAGATATAGACAGCTGAGTGGATTTTTTTAAAGATGTAACTATATGCTGCCTACAAGAAACACACTTGTAAAGACACATACAGACTGAAAGTAAAGGGATGGAAAAAGATATTCTGTGCAAATGGAAACCAAAAGTAAGCAGGAGTAGCTATACTTATACCAGAGAAAACAGACTTTAAGTCAAGAAGGTTTAAAAAAACAGACAAAGAAGCTTATTGTATAATGATCAAGGGATCAATCCAGAGGATATAACAATTCTAAATAAATACATACTCAACACTGGAGTACCCAGATTCATACCCCACTCTCAGCAATAAACGGTTCATCTAGACAGAAAGCAAAGAAATATTGAATTTAAACTAGACTTGAGGCAAAATGGACCTAACAGACATTTACAGAACATCCTATTTAACAACCACAGAATATATATTCTTTTCATCAGCACGTGAAATATTCATCAGGAAAGACTATATGTTAGGCCAAAAAATACGTCTCAACAAATTTTTAAAAATTGAAATCATATCCAGTGTCTTTTCAGACCACAACAGAATAAAAGCAAAACTTGGCCGGGTGCGGTGGCTCACGCCTGTAATCCCAGTACTTTGGGAGGCTGAGGCGGGCAGATCACGACGTGGTCAGGAGATCGAGACCATCCTGGCTAACATGGTGAAACCCCGTCTCTACTAAAAAAAATACAAAAAGCCGGGCGTGGTGGTGGGCGCCTGTAGTCCCAGCTACTCAGGAGACTGAGGCAGGAGAATGGTGTGAACCCAGGAGGCAGAGCTTGCAGTGAGCCGAGATCGCGGCGACAGAGCAAGGCCCCGTCTCAAAAACAAAACAAAACAAAAAACTAAAACTCAATAATACCATGAAGAACTCTAGAAATTATACAAACACATGGAAATTAAATAACATGTTCCTGAATGACCATTGGGTTGATGAAGATACTAAGATGGAAATTAAAAAAAGTATTGAAACAAATGAAAATGTTTGGTATGAAACACTACATACCCAAATCTGTGGGATGCAGTAAAAGCAGTGCTAAGAAGGAAGTTTAGGCCAGGCACGGTGGCTCATGCCTGTAATCCCAGCACTTTGGGAGTCCAAGGCAGGCGGATCACGAGGTCAGGCATTCGAGACCAGCCTGGCCAATATGGTGAAGCCCTGTCTCTGCTAAAAATACAAAAATTAGCTGGGCATGGTGACACACACCTATAGTCTCAGCTACTCAGGAGGCTGAGGCAGGAGAATCACCTGAAGTCAGGAGGCGGAGGTTGCAGTGAGCCGAGATTGCACCGTTACACTCCAGCCTGGGCCACAGAGCCAGACTCTGTCTCAAAAAATAAATAAATAAATAAAAGTTTATAGCAATAAACACCTACATCAAAAAAGTAGAAAGATCACAAGTTAATAACCTAATAATACAGCTTAAAGAACTAGAAAAGCAAGAACAAACCAAACTCTAAATTAGCAGAAGAAAGAAAATAATAAAGATCACAGCAAAACTAAATAAGAGACTAAAAAAACAATCAAATGATCAATGAGATGAAAAGGTGATTATTCAAAAAGATAAAATTGATAAACCAGTAGCCAGCTTAACCAAGAAAAGAAGAAAGAAGATCCAAATAAGCAAAATCAGAAATGAAAAAGGAGACATTACAACTGATATCACAAGGATACAAAGGATCATTGGAGACAATTATGAACATCTATATGCTAACAAACTGGAAAACCTAGAGGAAATTGATAAATTCCTGGAAACATGCAAGCCACTAAGACTGAATCAGGAAGAAATAGAAAACCTGAACATACAAATAATGAGTAGTGAGCTTGAATCAGTAATAAAAAGTCTCCCAACAAAGAAAAGCCCAGGACCAAATGGATTCATAGTTGAATTCTATCAAACATATAAATAACCAATACTAATCTTCCTGATACTATTCCAAAAAATTAAAGCAGAGGGAATTCTCCCTAACTTATTCTATGAGGTCAGTATCACTGTGATGCCAAAATGAGAAAAGGTCACAACAAAAAAAGAAAACTACAAACTAATATCCCTGATGAACATAGATTCAAAAATCCTCAACAAAATACTAGCAAACTAAATCTTAAAACAGACCAGGTGTTGTAGCTCACACCTGTAATTCCAACCCTTTGGGAGGGTTGGCTTGAGTCCAGGAGTTCAAGATTGGCCTGGGCAACCTAGTGAGACCCCCATCTCTACTAAAAGTAAAACAATTAGCCGAGTGTGGTGGTGCAAGCCTGTAGTCCTAGCTACTTTGGAGACTGAGGCAGGAGGATTGCTTGAGGCCAGGAATTTGAGGTTTCAGTGAAGTATATGACACCACTGCACTCCAGCCTGGGTGACAGCAAGAACATTTCTTTAAAAAATGAAGAAAAAGCTAAAAATATAATTACCATTTGATTTAGCAATCCCATTACTGAGTACATACCCAAAGTAAAAGAAATCAGTATATCAAAGGCTACCTGCAATTGCACGTTTATTGCAGCAGCTAAGCTATGGGACTGACCTACGGGTCTGTCAATGGATGAATGGATAAAGAAAATGTGAGATAGATACATATATACCATGAAATACTATTCAGCCATAAAAAAGAATGAAATCATGTTAATTTGCAGCAACATGGGTGGAACTAAAGGTCATTACCTTAAGTGAAATAAACCAGGCACAGAAAGACCAATATTGCATGTTCCACTCATATGTGGGAGCTAAAAAAATTGTTCTCATGGTGACAGAAAATAGAATGATAGTAGGGATAGGGGAACATGTGAGGGTGGGAGAGGGGGAATGAATAGAGGTTGGTCAATGGGTACAAACAAACAGTTAGATAGAAGATCTAAGTTCCTTTTTTTTTTTTTTGAGATGGAATCTCACTCTTGTCGCCCAGGCTGGAGTACAGTGGTGTGATCTCAGCTCACTGTAACCTCCACCTCCTGGGTTCAAGCGATTCTCCTGCCTCGGCCTCCCAAATAGCTGGGATTACAGGTGCGTGCCACTACACTCAGCTAATTTTTTGTATTTTTAGTAGAGATGTGGTTTCACCATGTTGGCCTGGCTGTTCTCGAACTCCTGACATCAGGTGATCTGCCCGCCTCGGCCTCCCAAAGTGCTGGGATTACAGGTGTAAGCCAGTGCGCCCGGCCAGAAGATGTAAGTTCTAATATTTGATAGCGGATTAGGGTATCTACAGTTAAAAACAATATATTGTATATTTCAAAATAGCTAGAAGAGAGGACTTGAAATGTGTTACCAACACATAGAAATAATATCCAAGGTGATGGATACCCCAAATACCCTATTTGGTTATTATACATTCTATGCATGTAACAAATAGTCATATGTAGCCCATAAATATGTAAAATATTACGTATCAATAAAATAAAAAAAAAGAATTTTGAGCATTTGGAGGCTGCTGTAATATAAGGAAGCCCCAGCCGTGTCAAGAGGCTCTCTGACGACAGCCTCAGCTGGACCCAGGCTTCTAGTCATCCTGGCTGAGATGCCATGTGTGAGAGTGAACAGGCTTGTGGATGATTCCAGCTCCCCATTATAAGAGTCTTTTCAGCTGAGGCCACAGACATTGCAAAGAGGGAAAAGTCATCCTTGCTGAACGGTTTTTGAATTCCTGATCCGCAGAATTCATGAACTTCACAAAATCATTTAAAACTTTAAAATCAAATTATTTCTTATTTGCAGTGACTTTTCTACCTTAGGAATCTGTAAGGATATAATCATTGCAGAGGAGGAGAGAAACTTAATCTTTAATACATATTTGTTAGTTTTTAGTAAACTCTATATAGTTAATTTCAAAGAATGTGTTTTTGTTTTTCCTCAACTTTTCCTTTTTTTGTATTTATAAAACACAGAATTTTAAGAATGCATACAATTACTACCAAGGAGAACTAGCTGAATTATTGTGGACCTTAACTGTATTTGAAAGTACGATCAAATGCTATTGCCTGTTTATCTGATTGGGTGGAAGAAGTGAGCATATATTTTTAGTGAGGTTTTATAAACCCCAATGATCGAAGTACTACTTTCAGGTAACAAGAAAAATCATTAATATTGTTCAGTGCAAGAATTATTAAGTCTCATTTTATGCAGTTATGTGGCTCAAAATAAGAGAAAAATTACTCTTTAAAAACATATTTTAGAGGCTGGGCGCGGTGGCTCATGCTTGTATTCTAGCACTTTGGGAGGCCAAGGTGGATAGATTGCCTGAGCTCAGGAATTCAAGACCAGCCTGGGCAACACGGCAAAATCTTGTCTCTACTAAAACACAAAAAATTAGCCGGGTGTGGCAGCGTGCGTGTGTGGTCCCAGCTACTCTGGAGGCTGAAGCAGGAGAATTGCTTGAACCTGGGAGGCGGAGGTTGCAGTGAGCTGAGATCACGCCACTGCACTCCAGCCTGGGTGACAAGTAAGACTCTGTCTCAAAATAAATAAATAGATAAATTTTTAAAAAGCATATTTTAGCTACTGTGATAAAGTATAGTTATATCACAATCAGTGATCTATAAAGGGTTTCCTTGAAATTGAGTTGATTCAACCAAGTTAATGAAGTTCTTATAGTGTCTTTTACTCTACTAGGTCATGTGATGAACATCTAAAAAGTTAATGTATATACAGCCTGACTTTGTGAATCTTCTAGTCTCGTAAACACAGTAATATTTGCTTACTTGAAACAACTAGGTAGTAGTGCTTGGTGGGAAAGGTACATTCACGTGAAAATCCAGGAGAATTACCCCTAAGTCTCCAGAGTCTTCATGCTGGAAATAAATAATTCCCTAAGTGTGAGATATGCATGATTTCATTTCTTTTTCTAAGGAGTTCTAATGTTTTAAATGTGGCAAGCTCCTTGCTGTATTTTCAACTTGGTTTGTAACAAAACAAGGACAAGCGAAACAAAACAAAAACCAAACTCTTCACAGAACTGGCATGTATTGGATCTGGAATCTCGGACTGGCTAATTTTATATTACTTTTAAATGTTATTAGACTTGTGTCTTGCTGTAATTAAACATTTTATGAAAACGAGTATAGTAGATTAGTAAACAAAATAATCCAGGCTGGCTGCACAAAAACTTTTATTTTTTCTTAGTTCCATTTAATACTGTGAACTAAACTAGTCTTTCTCCCTTCCTGCTCTTCATATAAATAACTTGATCCCTTGAGATCTCAGTGGCCTGCACTTCTCTGTTTCATGTCTCACACACTGCTGAGACTTTCAGAAGCAAGGAGATGCTCAGAGAGGACAAAAGAAACTTGGATTTTGGTAACAAAATCACATTCAACTTTGTAACATATGAACTCTACGTTGTGAAGGATATAAAAAGACTAAGTATAATTGTTGCCTTCAATACACTAGTAATTTAAAAGAATTAGTAGTAATATATAAATATTCCAAGTCTTATAAATATGATTGATTGATTGATTGATTTTGAGACAGAGTCTTGCTCTGTCCCCCAAGCTGGAGTGCAATGGCGTGATCTCGGCTCCCTGCAACCTCCCCCTCCGGGGTTCAAGCGATTCTCCTGCCTCAGCCTCCTGAGTAGCTGGTATTACAGGTGCCCGCCACTATAACCTGGCTAATTTATTTTAATAAGCTTATTGGAACTCACAGATCTTAATATTGTTCCCCTAATCTTTATACAGTGCCCCATGCCTGTACGCTCTCTGCCTCCCTCCTCCTCCTCACTCCAAGCTGGCATCCTGATTGGTTCTACCTTGAGCTGAGCTCAGTCTCTAACAGTTCCTCACCTGCATGGCCAGGAAGTGCAGCAACTGGCTTAGCCCCACCTTCTGGCCGGCTTGTGTTAACTGCATATCCAGAGTCTGAGGAAATGCGAGTGCCAGGTAACCTTGAGTCATCTTTTTAGCTTTTTCCTCCTTAGTGGTCGGCCTGAGAATTTACCTAAAAGACCAATCTCCCGTTAGGTCTATAGAGCTTCCTGAACCTCACCAGCCTTATCAAAGCAGGATTGGGCTTGGATTCCTGTCTCTTGCCAGTTAACCCCTGTTTCAATTATCTATTGCTACATAACCTACTGCCCCCAAATGCAGTGGCTTCAGATGGTTTCTTCACTCGCATGTCCATTACCTTGGTGTCCCTTGGCTCCTCTCCCTCTCACTCTCTCAACCTAGGCTCACCCTTCAGCACCTAGTCACAGCTTGGTCTTATGCATGAAGGTCTCAGAGTAGGTGGATTTATTGCATGGTCCCTGGCTTCTTCAGAGAATGTTCTAAGAGACAGAATTTGGAAGTTGTGAGTCTTGTAAGGCCTGGGCTCAGAAACTGACACAACATCACTTCTGAAAAATTCTATTGGTCACAGAGTCTGCCCCAGTTTCAAGGGGAGGGGACAAAGACTCCATCTCTTCATGGGAGGATTGTCAGAGTTTCAGGCTATCTCTAATGTGCAATTACCCCTTTTCCTAAAGTCCCTGTGACTTCAACCACTGGTCAGAGTCCTGCTGTGGTTGACTGAATCATTAGGAGCAACTTGATGGAGCTGAACCTGATCCATTTGTGTTCATGCCGCAGCATCTACCAGATCATGCGCCAGTGCCGATGACTTCTGAACCCTTTCTCATGAGCTTCTGCTTTTGGGTCCTGAGCTTGGCCTTCACAAATGCCCTTCCTGGGAGCAGCATCTGTGACCAGCTGTAGTAGTCAGGGTTCTCCAGAGAAAAAGAACCAATTATGTGTGTGTGTGTGTATTTGTATGTATATTATGATAATTACTATTATAAAGAATTGGCTCATGTGATTATGGAGGCAGTCAAGTCTCAAGATCTGCATGGCAGGTCCACTAGAAACCCAGGAGAGCTGATGGTCTAGTTCCAGTCCACATCTGAAGGCCTGAGAATCAGGACAGTAGATGGTGGACTTTCTGTCAAAGGCCAGCAGGCTTGAGAGTCCAGAAGAGCTAATGTTTCTGTTCAAGTCCAAAGGCAGGAAAAAAGCTGATGTCCTGGTTGAAATGGACTCAGGCAGAAGGATTTCTCTCTTACTCAGGGCAGGGTCAGCCTTCTGTTCTATTCAAACCATCACCTGATTGTAAGAAGCCATCTTAGGGAAGGCAACCTGCTTTATTCTCTCTTCTGATTTAATCTCATCTCAAAACACCCTCACAGAAATACCTAGAATTGTATTTGACAAAGTATCTGGGCACACTGTGGCCCAGTCACATTGACACATAAAATTTACCATCACCAGTTCAGTTTCCCCAGCCCTGCATCCTTTCAAGAATTTCAAGAATTCTTTCCTCGCCTCACTCTCTCATGACAAAGCCTACTCCATAACAAGAGCTGCAGTGTCTGAGTTCTAAGAGAGCCACTTCCTTAAAATGTGTCACCTCTTCAAACAGTGGTCCCATTGCTGTATGGCTTATAATTTGTTTATGAGGACAGTTACTTAATAGGCAAACCAGGCACATAACAGGTGACAGAAGCACGGGCATCTCCACGTGTAGATATGCATTAGATGGCTGTGCAGGGAACCACTGTGGTGTTTGCAGGAAAAAGAACTATGAGATTTCAATGACTACAAAATGCTAACATTTGTCTAGTGCTTTATATTTTACAAACAACTTTCATATACTTTACCCCTGTAGTCCTTGTGATCCTTATAGTTGGTATTATTGTTATAAATGCTGCTTTGGAAAAGATAATATTAATAATACAGTGCTAATGATTGGCCTGCATGGTCTCCTTTATTTGCACAACTATTACTCATTTATTTATGTTCATTCATTTATTCCACAAATATCTATTGAGTGCTGTGTGCTGGAGATAAACTGATGAGAGAAAACAGATGTGTCTGCTCTCATGGAACACATGGTCTATTATAGAAGAATGCTGTTAATTAAATAATCTCACAAATCAATATAAATTTGGAACTGTGATCAGTGCCCTGAGAGTGAACATAGTGGCATGAAAGGGACATTTGGCCTCATCACTGAGGAAGTGTCAACTTAATTGATCCAGGAAAAAAGGGCATTCACCAGAGTAAAGGATGGAGGAAGGGCCCCATGTTCCACGGGGAGGGAATGGCTCTTTTGCAAGAGCCCTGTGGTAGGAGAGGATGCTTCCAAGAACTGAAAGAAGGCCAGTGTGCCTGCAGCACAAGCCCAGTGGGGTAGGCTCTGTTATTTGCACAAATCCTATTTTGCAGATGAAGAAAATGAAGAGTAGGTTTCTGGTCTTTGCTTGTCTGGTAATACAGCCAGGCAGCAGCTAACCAGATCTTGAACAGATTCCTGCTCATTCCTCAGCTCCTGTTCCTCCCTGGATGGTTTGCTGTTGGAGACAGATCAGTTTTAGCATTGTTTTCAAGGAGGATAAAAATGGAGCATGACCAGGGGAGGAAAAATACATCCAGGCAAAGGGTATCACTGTTGCAGTATTCGTAAAAAAAACACGAGCTGGGAATTTTAAGTAAGGGAGCTGAGCTCCTGTGGAGAGTTTGAAGAATGGGTGGCTAAGATCAAAGCAGCCAAAAATAAGGGAGGTGGTTGTATTCTGTGATTAGGATTCTGGGTTTGAAATAATTGTGGGTCAATCAGTTAATTAATACAACCACAGCAAAAGATGATGCTAGTGTTTGAGCAGTCTCATTGTCACACTTTTCTTCCCGAATGGTCTTTAGAAATAAGATCAATTTTCATCTGAATAAAGCAGCTTCACTTTTATCCTCTCTGGAGGGTAGGGTTGAAGGGACACATGGACTTCTCAAATTCCTAGTGATTCGTAAAGCAGTAGGTCTCCTAAATGTGTGGTGAAATACAGTGCTGGGCAGAGTGAGACTCAACTCAAATGTTCTTTGCCTCTCAGATGGAAGAGAATGTTTTGCACCAAACACTTTCCAGAAATCACTACAGGCTAAAGAAAGGCTTTGCTCAAGGGGAAGTACTAGTGTGTGCATGAAGGATATGAAGAATGCTGATATTTTAAGGCAAAAGATAAATCTCAGGAAATGAATATATTTGGAAGTTTTATATTAAGATTTTATTATATAAATGTGCCCAGTGGACACAAAACCCAGGTCATGCTTACACTCAGGTAAAACTAGGGAGACACGTTGTGCCCCTAGCAGAAAATCTGAAATGTCAAAGCAGATGCTCCGGACACTCTTGTAAAAAGACTGTGGAATGAATGACTGAGAGAAGTCTTATCGCTGCTACTATGTGAAGACCTAGCTCAGAGCATCAGAACAATGGTGTGTGCCCAATATAGAAGAGAAACAGGCACTTCATTAAGCAGAATCTGGAAAGTGTCATCTTTAAAAGGATACAGGTAGTTTCCTGGGGAGCCATTCCGACTTGAGCTGAGTTTTAGACCTATTAAGTCTACAAAGAGACTGACCTTTATTCTCTAGGTTCTTAGGGATTTAGGAAATGGGAAGAACTAACAAGAGGAATAAAGCTCCTAAAAGTGCTGGTTAAGCTGCATATCTCCAGACTATTCCAATCCCGCTGGATGGAGGCCCTGGAAACAGAGACAGCCTGAAAATATGAATTCTTTTTTTTTTTTTTTTTTTTTGAGACAGCGTCTTGCTCTGTTGCCCGGGCTGGAGTGCAGTGGTGCAATCTCGGCTCCTGCAAGCTCTGCTTCCCGGGTTCACGCCATTCTCCTGCCTCAGCCTCCCAAGTTACTGGGACTACCAGATGCCCGCCACCATGCCCGGCTAATTTTTGTATTTTTAGTAGAGACAGGGTTTCACCATGTTAGCCAGGACGGTCTCGATCTCCTGACCTCGTGATCTACCCGTCTCAGCCTCCCAAAGTGCTTGGATTAGAGGCATGAGCCACCATGCCTGGCCGAAAATATGAATTCTCAATAATGTACTTCCCAGGGCCCAGTAAAGGATCTAGGCAGTGAATAAAAATTAAAAGAAAAATGCCCACATCTGACTGCAATCATATGAGTCACCCCAAGTGAGATCCACCCAGCTAAACCCAGTCAATCCACAGAATTTATAGGGATTATAATAAATTGTTGTTTTAATCCACTAAATTTGGAGTAGTTTGTTATGCAGGAATATGAGAACTAAAACACATCCCCAAAGCTCAAAAAGGGTGTTCCTGATTGGCAGGCAACTCTTTTAAATCTGGATCCAGGTGCCTTCCATCTGTGGCCTCACCATCTTCAATACCTGGTTTCCAAGATCACTGTGGAAAAGAGAAGAACATAAAGGATAATGCATGGGAGCTCTCTGTGTAACAGGTCAGGAAATGGGATCTACCACTTCTACTCACATTTTATTGGCCAGATCCATTCACATGGTTACACCTAACTGCAAGGAAGGCTGAAAATGTAGTCCAGCTGTGGGTTTAATGAACAGCCAGTTAGTCTCATGAACTAATGTTCCTCTTAAGCCTCTTTCTTATTGGGTGTGGGGTAGAAACCATGGAACTGGACAAATATCAATATGTCAATCTCTTCTGATTCAAACAGTCCTTTTACATTGTATTCCCTTTCCTTTCTCCTGTTCCTCACCAAAATGGTATCTGGGTGTTCGGGGCAAGGGAATAGGTAACACTGTGGCTTGAGAATAAGGGTGTCTTGAATCAGCACATGTGGGTTCTAGGGAGACTTCCCGTTTTGCACTTGATTTTCTGATCCTTATTCTCTGCATAGAGTATGGTCCTGTTTGGCATTTATGGATGCCATGTCTCAACCTCAGCTGAAGTTGATGGCTTGGCTCATCTCTGCCTTTGGCAGCCTCGTGGCACCTGGTACCACTTGGTACCTGGCAGTTCAGTGACCCTTTTGGTACTTCTGTGTCCCTTCAGTAGGGACACAATGGAACTTCTTCCCCCCCCACACCACACCAGCATTCTGCTTATAGGCTTTGGAGAATATGGAGTCCTTTGGCTTGGATCCATCAGCTTGAACCTGATATATGAAGAACAGTGGCAGCCCAGTATGGCTTAGGAGGAAACTGAAAAGAAATAAAAGCATAAGCCATTAGATCTCAATCCTTCTCCTTCAAGCAGCCAGCATGGTTAAGTGACAGAGGACAGGGTCTCCTTTCCTATGGATCCTATCATACTTCTTGGAACTATAGTATATAATATTTACATAATCAGAATACATTTTTTGAGATTGGATTTTACATTTTTTGAAAATTTAAATTTTTTGACAAAGTACATAAGACATTTTGTCAAAAATTTAAATTTTTTGACAAATCACACGACATATCTATAGAAAAGTACAAATTTAAACTGAATAATTTAAAAATTATTAATATGACTAACATTTAAAAGAAAGAGGTAGAGATAGCACAAGTATGGTAAACTTGGCCAGGTGTGGTGGCTCACGCCTGTAATACCAGCACTTCGGGAGGCCAAGGTGGGTGGATCACCTGAGGTCAGGAGTTCGAGACCAGCCTGGCCAACATGGTGAAACCCTGTCTGTACTGAAAATAAAAAAAATTAGCTGGACGTGGTGCGGGCACCTGTAATCCCAGCTACTTGGGAGGCTGAGGCAGGAGAATTGCTTGAACCTGGGAGGCGGAGGTTGCAGCGAGCCGAGATTGTGGCACTGCACTCTAGGCTGGGCAATGGAGTGAGACTCCCTCTCAAAAAAAAAAAAAAAAAAAGTATGGTAAACTCAGCTGTCATCGAGGCAAGACAACAGATACTTTCTAAAACAGATAAATCAAGAACTATATGTATTTAAAGTTGAAATGTTAAGTACTAGAAGAAAAACACGAAAGCAACAATAGCAACATCGCAACTCTGGGGAATGGAAGTTGGAATGGAGGGTGAGAGAAAGGGATACTTAAATTTCCATTTCAGAATTCCTGTGCATTACATTTGAGTAAATTTTAAAACTCAGATACAGAGAATACTTTAACTAGTATTAAATACTGCACTAATATTAAATCTTAAAATAGAGACATCCTCATCAATAAGAAAATGCTTACCTAATATATATTTATTAAATTTCATATAGATCTTAGAAAAATGAAGTACATGTAAAGATGTGGACATTATGGAAGGATATCCATGATGTAGCATTAGGTGACAGAAGTGATTTGTAGAGCAATATGGTTAGAATGCCCTTTTATGTCAAAATTTTCATGTTCACATATACAGTTACATGTCACATATGTAAGTACACATTTGTGGATGCAAGAAAAACTGTATAGGGATGTGTCCCCAAACACTTTGGAATGTAGAGAAGGAAAGATTTTTGTGTTTCACACTTACCTGCTTTTTTTTTTAACTTTAAAAAAAAAGCAGCATGCATGTTCTAGTCGTTATTAATGATAAAGTTATAATTTAGAATGTGAGTTTGCATTATGGCACTTTCTCTTACCAGCTGTGTAATAAGGGGAGAGTCATGCTACCTACCCCTTTGCACCTCAGTTTCCCCATCTTTACACAGAAGAACTCGCATCCATTGCACTGTGGTATGTGTAGATGAAATGTTCCAAAGGAAATGCACCAATGTATCCTAGCAGCTTGTAGGGATTTGATACAAATTATATCCTTTCCTCTTTCTCCTTTCAGAATGAGAAATGGCAGCCAGGGTGACTCAGGAAGAGGGTTGGGTGGAGGGTGGAAAGTGAAGGGTGGAGGGCGGAGGAATGATTCAGACAGACACTATTTAAAAACAGCCCTCAGATGCACTAGGACGAAGCCATCTCCAGCTCCAAGATAACAACCCTCCCCTTTCCTACAATTTTCTTCCAGTTCCCACCCCAATCCTTTCTCTCCTAGGCACCTCTTAATATCTGTTTTAACCCAGCTTTATCCGTATAAAATGTTCGGAGGTTATTAAAATGTTCCAAGATAGAAACAGCCTCCTTTTTTCCTGCCCCTAAGTCATCACGCTACTTACTGTTGAGTACCTGATGCACTAAGTTCCTGAAGAGTAGAGTTCTGGCCAGGTGTGGTGGCTCACACCTGTAATCCCAGCAGTTTGGGAGGCCAAGGCAGGTGGATTACCTGAGGTCAGGAGTTCGAGACCACCCTGGCCAACATGGCGAAACCCCATCTTTACTAAAAATACAGAAACACCTGTAGTCCCAGCTACTTGGAAGGCTGGGGCAGGAGAATCGCTTGAACCCAGTAGGTGGAGGTTGTGGTGAGCCAGGATGGTGCCACTGCATTCCAGCCTGGGCAACAGGGTGAGACTGCATCTGAAAATAAAAAAAGTAGAGCTCTGTTTTGTGATTTTTTTCCTCCAGGGCCTAACACAATGACTAACACATGGTACTTAATGTGTACTGAATAACTCCAGAAAAACCTTTCTTGGTTCTTTCCATACCATTCCCATTACTCTTATGCCAGGATCACAGTTAATTAATTAATTAGATTAATTAACCCCCAAACCAAAAAAAAAAACAACCATTTTCAAGGAAGTAATACATGTAAAATAGCTGATACTTATTTGCTTACTAACACAAATGCACAAATTGGTGGAAGTTCAGACTGAGGTACTGGTTTAGTGGAAGGAGGAAAACAGAATACTTCCAGTCACTGGATTTTTCTAAGTGCTGGCTACTTTAAGTCAAACTACTCAGATGTCTAGGATCTGGCTTTCGTTGACTGTTCTGAAGGGTCTTTGTTAGTTGTACGTCAGTGGAAAAGAGACTGAGATGATGGTATTTGGTTGGGATGCAGCAGTCTCAACAACCCAATCCAGTCCTACCTCAACCATGTGTCACACTCCTAGCCGCAGCTGCCCATGGAACAGAGAGCAAAGCCAGGCCATTGCATGCATTTTATTGCCATGAGGATTTCATCGCCATCCTCAACACAGATCCCAGCTGAGCTATTCTGGACCATGTTGATGATGCTTTGTGCCAAGGGTAGACATAGACTGAAGGAGGTGTGCACCACGGAAAGTAGGCTGGCAACTTCTTCTAAAACAGCTTCCAATTCTCTGTGCTCCAGCTTTCACCAATCCAGTGTTGAGGAACAGACAGCCTCTCAAGCAGATGCAGCCCTTCCCCAACAACCCACCATCCTCAGGACTCCTCTTTGGAGAAGCAGCAAGGGAAGAGGTAGTGCAAGGAGAGTGGTGAGGAGTAGCTAGAGGCTCACAGCTTCTTAGCTGGGACCTCCGGAGTCCTCCTGGGTGATGGTTGCTAGAGAAGTGAGCGGCAAGGTGGGGGACTTAGTCTCCTGGTTTTTAAATCCCAGGTTCTTCTGAGGAACCCCAGAACAACTTCCTGCTGTCTCTAATTCCTCCTCCCTACAGCTGACTTTGGAATTGCTTGGCTTGGCGTTGTTGACATGATAATAATTATAGTCATTTTCATTAATTGCTCCCTATTAGAGCCTAATTGCCATGGAGTACAATAAAATTATGCACATCATTCAATGTGCCATATTAACTTCAGATTTTATTCCATTATAACAGTAGATTTGGTTCACTTTTACATATTACTGCTCACACGACTTAGTTATATACACTTTTTTTTTTTTGATAGACAAAAACAAACCTATTTCAAGTAGCCAAATCAGTGTAACCAGCAGGGGAGCCTCACGGGGGACTGGGACTAAGAAAAGGGAAGTTGTCTTTTTTCTGTGCTTCCCCTTTGTTCTTTTCTCTTTCTTCTGGTTATCTTTTTCTGCCTCTCCATGCACGTGGCAGCACATGCTCTTCCACAGTGGGCTCCTGATGTTTGATGACCTCCATTCAAGTGACAAGCCTAGACTGATGGCTATTTTCATTCTGCTTCCAAATTCCCAGGAGAAAGTGTCCAAGTAACTCAGCTTGGTTGATTATTTCTGATTCAATCAAGTGTGGTCAATAGGATGGCATGACAGTTCAAGAATTTCAGGGGCTCCCAACCTACGGGTGGTTGGGTGTGTGAGGGTGGTGGTAGAGAAGATCTCCAGTTTGCAGGGGTCCCCATGGTTGCGGACCTGTACCAGTCTGTGGCCTGTTAGGAATGGGATTGTACAGCAGTAGGTGAGCGGCTGGTGAGAATGAGCATTACTGCCTCTGAGCTCTGCCTCCTGTCAGATCAGCAAGTGACATTAGATTCTCATAGGAGCGTGAACCCTATTGTGAACTGTGCATGCGAGGGATCTAGGTTGCACACTCCTTATGAGAATCTAATGCCTGATGATCTGAGGTGGAACAGTTTCATCCTGAAACCACTCCCACCCCGACCCCCTGCCTGGTCTGTGGAAAAATTGTCTTCCACAAAGATGGTCCCTCGTGCCAAAAAAAGTTGGGGACTGCTGCTTTGAGGCTTTCTGTAAGGTGGGGGGTAATAATGCAGAGAACCTGTCTCTTGGGGTGGTGGTGAGTGCTGCAACTGGCATTATTCACAGGGTACTTTGCACAGTGCTGGCACATAGAAATCACTGAATATAATGTTTACCATTATTGCTGTTATTATTATCTCTTTGGGTCCTTAAAACATTTTTTCAGGATTTTTAGGTGGGTATTATTTCAAAATCCATAAAATACACCTAAAGATTTATATGAGAAGAATCCAAAAATCTCAGGGAAATCATATGAAAGAAATTATTTGTTTTCCTCAAATCTCTGAACGACAGTTTAAACATTTTCACACACTAGATCTAATTTTGGAGAGCTTGGAAACCTGGCCTGTAAGATTTCACTAATCCAGGAGGGGGCAGGCTTCCCAAACACAAATGTCCTCTGCTGAGGAGCCGTGGCTCCAGGAGAAACAAAGGCGCGTCGGTGAGAGCCGTTTCAGAAATCTAGTATTACCTTCAAAAAAATGTAAGAAATCAAAAGCAACTGGCCTAGAAGAATCCCTGGCTGTGTCATCCAGAGGCACCTTGTCACCTGCCAGGCCAGGTCGGCTGTAAGCTTGTGAAGTAAGCAAAAGAAATTTCCCGTGTCCCCACCCACTCCTATCTTTGCTTTTGTTTCTGGTCCTCTGCCCGCTTCCTGCCTGTGCCTTCCTCATTAGTCTTTGTTCCCCTCTCCCATGACAATCTATCTTTGGGAAAAATAACTGTGATTTAAATGTTTATAGAAGTAAGGATCCTAGGAATATTAGGTCGCTTCAAACACTTTCAAGCGCGTGATAGTCACTAACAAGGGAACTAGCCCTACCAGGACTAGTATTAAGAGAGATGGAGGATTCGTGGCTTAAAGCAAGGGCATTGAAGGTAGATAGGGCTGGGTTTCAATCCTGGCTTTGGTGATAACACATTGCCAGCTCTGTGACCACTTCCCAGCTCCTTTACCCTGGGTAAGTTACTAAGCCTCTTTCTCCTCATGTGTAGAAGGAGGGTAGTGTTAGAACCTATCCCAGGATTTCCTCAGGATTAAAAAGGAGTGTGCATGTCTAGTACATAGTATTTGGCACATAAGACATATCAACTGTAGTTGTTATTATAATAAAAGTTTTATTATAGTGATATGACGTTAATAAATTATTACAGTAATATAATTTTTTATTACTTTGGTTTTTTTTTATCATGGTCCTATTTTATACCACACATTAGACAATTTCTGGTGTATTACCTTTAGGTCTGAACTGGAGGAAAAGGATACATTTTAAATGAAACATGACATGTTAGAACACAGAAAAAAATGAGCGGGATGAAGTTTCTGGAAACTCCTATAAAAATTTGTTGAAAGAGTTGTGGTCATTGGAACTGAAAAGTATGAGAATAAGAGCTTAAGAGCATGCATCTTGAAATGCAGGAACGGCTGGAGGGAATCCCGAGGGGCCTGGACAACCCTAATCCTCTAGATCAGGAAGGTTTTGCCCTTGTTTCTGTTAGTTGCCCAAGGGGAATTACTGCCCCCACCTCAGTTTATGTTTATTTCTCAGTTTAGAGGTTTTCAGAACCAATGGAATGACAGACCCATGATTACAAACTCTCAAGGGAAACTTTTCCCCTAGAGCCCAGACCACTGAGATAGAAAATCACCTTTATTGTCTCCCTGAGCCGATGGGTGCATTTCCTGATTCATTCCCTCACTCTGAGTATAGCCCTTCTGAAGACCAGGATTTCTGCAGGGGTTGCAGTTCCAACACCCAGCATTCTGTATCTCCAGGCCTCACATTCTGCCCTGGCCTGAGCATTCTAATCCAAGCCTCTAGGTGGCCAAGCCAGGCAACTCCCACCCTGAGTGGCTCTAGCATACATGCACGTACTCACTGCTCTGATTTTTCCTTCTCACTTCATCTTTGACTCCAGGAACTTTCTTTACTTTCTTCCAGCATTCAGCCATGTCTTAAAGGAGACTTGTTTTACTGGATCCAGAATTTCTGATTATTGTGGAGCTACATGGTTTTTGGATTGTTTAGTTGACCATACACCTAGAGGCAGAAATTAGTTTAAAAATAATTAAACAATTAAATACAAAATTTAATCACATTTAAAGGGAAGTTGGGAGTTCCTGAGGGGTAGATTTAAGCTATTAAAGGAAGCTGCTAAAGAGAGCTGCGGAATGGTGAGGTCCAGTCAGCGTGGGTATTGGGTGGCTCTATTATGCCATCATGGCGACTGTCACATTAAATAATTCTGAAGCTGAAAGAATTTAAGGGAATGTTTGACCTGCCCCACAGTATATGTATTTAAGACTTAATAGGCCATAGGGAAAGTCAGCAAATGTTCAGGAGAGTCTTTTTCTGAAAAAATGTTCCCACCTAAGGGATTAAGGACCTCCTGTAAGGAAGGCTGGGCTCAGGGAACTATCCCACACCCTTAAATCTGTTTCTTTGTGCTTGTGGGGCAAGAATAAGCTAAGAGCACCAGAGTTGTCATTAGGATCAACGGAATATATTGGTTGGAAAAAAGGAATACTCAAAATGCTGCTTCCCCTTCCTTCACATTCTGGTCATTCAGGTAGTCTTTTTAGTTCTGTAATACTTTACAGCGAGAGTTTCTCTCTCATATACATTTTCTTTGTCACAAAAGCCGTGTGAAATAGACAGAGATTATTGTCTCCATAGCAATTTGTTCAAGGACACACAAGAGTAAGTGGACAAAATAGGACTTGACTTTCTGTCTTTAGGTTGGATCATGGGATGCCAATTCTTTTGTATGAATTGCACTCATTCTCAAGTCTCTGACATGTCAGGGAGAACTTTGGTCGTCTCTTTTGGAGGCTGTTGGTCTCTAGTACAGATTCTCTGCTCTTACTTGGTTTGTTTGATTCTAAAGATGTCTTACTTGGCTTCTCTGATTCTAAATTATCTTTGAGAAGAGAATATGGTGACTCTTCATTCCACTCTATGACCCAAATCCTATGCCTTTGGTTATCTCCTACTAGATTATAACCACAATCAGTTATACATGAATCACCAAACTAACTCAGCACACACATATTATGTAACACAATAGCTCCTACAGACAAACTGTGGCTTGGGACCATTATTTTAGATCCTGTTATCCAGGTAAGTATAGTAGGTCGCAAATGTTAGTGGTCAACCAATTAGACTGGAACAGTAATCATTACAGCAGGTCAAAAGTCTTGAGACCCTTTAAATGCAGGTATGTAAAGCAGCATTGAACGGGAACACTTAAATTTCTTTCCATCCTCTAACTATGCTCCAATCTCAAGTAACTTTGCTCTTTCATCATAGAGGATGGAATATGATGTGAAGACATAAGGGGTTGCCCTAGTCATTTGCCATAGTCTTTTTCTGAGGTTACTTCTCTCTATAGAATAGAAAGTGCTGGCTCTATACTATTTTACACTGTTTTGAATTCGTTTCTTCCCTGTTGGCTTTACCTGAAGGTTGTGTGTGCCATGGGATCACTAACCTTAAGCTCAGCCTGGCTAGTGGGAACATTCACTGAAGACACAACATCAGGCTGTTTTTACCAGTTGATCACATTTATTTTTTGTCACAAACATCATTACATACTTCCCCCTAGAAGCCAAAGAAAAACATTATCATAACCAGAAATAATTAGAAAAAGCACAGAATAAAAGAGGCAGTTCTGGTTACAAAGACAACAACCAATGCCAACAAATATTGTCAATACCCCTTTCATCTCCCTGGCCTTGGTTATAAAAATATGATGGTACTATAAAGTGCTAAAAATCACTAATGACATTGGAAACTCTCATCTATTAAAGCAAATGCAAGATGGAATATACTTATTGTAGGAAATAAAGAGGTTTGTTAACAACAACAACAACAACAACAACTCATGACTTTGGGAACAGTCATGTGTTAAAGACGCGAATTCCAGGATCTCAGTCATTTCCTCTCAGTGAAACATTATCAGAGACAAACAGAAAATCAATAAAAGATTTAAGTCTCATAGAGTTTGTGTAAATATTGTAGAAATGACTTTCACAAGAGTGATAAGCACAGCCTTATCACATTTAATTCAGCTGAGAAGTCCAACTAAAACATAAAACTCTAATTACCCCCTCTGATGGCCAGCAGTTTTATAACAATGAAAGTAGCTGGATTTATACTGTATAAGCCAGCACTTGAGCACTCATCCATGCAGCCTTGCCACCTCAACAGGTTGCCAGCACCTGCCTTCCCACTCCTCTGATGCCAAGTAAAAGTGAAGTTTGCTTGTGACGCTCCGAGATTCCTGAATTCATCCCTATTCTCAAAGGAAACTTTTCAATCTCATTCAGACACTTCCCAGCTCTCAAAAAAGACAAGGAAACTAATTTCTACCAAAGTGTGAAACTAGTGATAGTTTAACATGCACCTCTTTATTTAACATGTACCTCCTTATTTTTCCTAGAAGAGTTGCAATTTAACAGGAATCAAAATTCTAACCTACAAGCAGAGCAGAACTGTGTTTATTGTGTGCTATCTTTTGGTTAAGGAACTATATAATTGTATTTGCTTATATTTTCAAAAATTAACAATGAAAGGATGAGACAAAATCTGACAAAAACAATTACCTCTTATATAGGGAGGGAGGAAATGGGGTAGAAAGCACATGAAAGCAATCCTTTTCTGGATTTACTTTGTTTTGTGCTTTTTACTTTAAAACAGAGGTGTGTGCTGGCCAGGCGCGGTGGCTCACGCCTGTAATCCCAGCACTTTGCGAGGCCGAGATGGGCGGATCACGAGGTCAGGAGATCGAGACCATCCTGGCTAACACGGTGAAACCCCATCTCTACTAAAAATACAAAAGAAATTAGCCGGGCATAGTGGCGGACGCCTGTCGTCCCAGCTGCTTGGAAGGCTGAGGCAGGAGAATGGTGTGAACCTGGGAGGCGGAGCTTGCAGCGAGGCCACTGCGCTCCAGCTTGGGCGACAGAGTGAGACTCCGTCTCAAAAAAAAAAAAAAAAAAAAAAAAAAACAACCACTTTGGGAATCATATGTAATAATTTAGAAAAAGAAGGCTACAACATGACCACATGCTATTTATCTGAGGAATCCAAGAATTTAACATTTGAAAATCAACTTAATGTAATTCACCATATAAACAGACCAAATAGGCACAGAAAAGCATTTGACAAAACATGACATCTGTTTCTCATTAAAAATCTCTCAGCAAATTTGGATAAGAAGGGAATGTCTTTAACCTGATAAAGGGAATCTATGAAATAAACTATAGCCATACATCATACTTAATGATGAAATACTGAATACTCTCCCACTAAGGTCAGGACCAAGACAAGAATGTCTGCTCTCACCACTTCTATTTAAGTGTGCTTGAGACTCTAGCTTGGGCAATAATGAAAAAAAAAAAAAAAGAAAAAAGAATAACAGATGTTCAGATTGGAAAGGAAGAAGTAAAACTCCCTTTATTCCCAGATAATGTGATAGCTTACATAGGAAATCTGAGCAAATCTTAAAAAGCTCCTAAAACTAATAAATGAGCAAGGTTGCTGGATACAGGATCAGCAAGCAAGAATCAGTTGCGTTTCTATGTACCTGCAACAAACTATCAGAAATTTAAATAAAACAATGCTGCTTACAGTAGCATAAAAATATGATACATAGATGTAAATTTGACAAGATATGTGCAAGACCTATATGCTGAAAGCTACAAAACATTGCCAAAATAAATTAAAGCAGATCTAAATAAATAAAGATATCATGGTATTGAAGACTTGATATTGCTAAGTTAAAATTATCCTCAAATTGGTCTATAGATTAAACACAATCTCAATCAAAATCTTGGCACACTTTTTTGGTACAAATTGACAAGCTGATTCTGACATTTATATGGCTATACCAAGGACCTAGACTAGTTAAAACAATTTTGAAAAGAAGGAAAAAGTTGAGAACACTAAAAATTACCTGATTTCAAAGTTTATAAAGCTACAGCAAGATACTGTGGTACTGGAGTCAAGTTAGACAAGTAGACCAAGGGAACAGAATAGAGTCCTGAAACAGACCCAAACATAAATGAAAACTTGGTTGTTGACAAAGTTTAAAGCCCAGTTCTTGGACAAAAATGTAGCCTTTCAACAAATGGTTCTGGAAAAAAGGGAATATCTATGTGCAAAATAAATGAACTTTGATCCACATGTTGTACCATATACAAAAATTAACTCAAAGTGAACAATAGACCTAAGTGTAAAATCCAAAAACTATAATACTTCTAGAAGAAAACATATGATAACATTTTTGCAGCCTTGGGTTAAGCAAAGATTTCTTGCACAAAATACCAAAAGCACATACTGGGTGAAAATATTTGCAAATCATGTATCTGATAAATAACTTTTATCAAAAATATCTAAAAACTCTCAAAATTCAACAATAGGAGAAAAAAACAAATGAAAAAGGAAGAAAATTTAAATAGACACTTCACCAAAGAAAGTATATTGGTAGCAAATAAGCACAGGAAAAGATGTTCAACATCTGTAGTTATTATGGAAATGCAAATTCAAACTATCATGGATATCACCACATATCCATTAAATTAACAAAATTAGAAAGACTGACCACACCAAATATTGAGGAGGATGTGGAGAAACCCAAACTCTCATATACTGCAAGTACTTAAAATGTAAAATTTGAAAAATTTTGACTTATGCATATACCCACAAAATTGTCACAACAATCAAGATAGTGAACACATCTGTCATTCCCAAAAGTTTACTCATAATCCCATTTGTAATTCTCCCCTCCCACCATTTCCTGTTGCCCCCTTTCCCTTAGTCCCCAGGCAACCACAGAAGCCACAGATCCTTTCTCTGTTACTATAGTTTAGTTTTTTTATACCTTTACATACATAAAATTGTATAGTATGTATGCTTTTTGTCTTACCTATTTCACTGGTGATAAATTTTGAGATTCATCCGTGTCGTTGTGTGTATGAATAGTTCACTTCTTTTCATTGCTGAGTAATATTCCATTGTATGGATATACCACAATTTGTTTATTCATTCTGTGTTGATGGACATTTGAGTAATTTCTACCTTTAGCTATTACAAATAAAGCTACCATGAACATTCTTATATGACATATGCCTTTCTTTCTTTGAATAAATACCTGGGTGTAGAAAGTCTTATCATATGGTAGGGGTATATTTAATGTTTTGTGGAAGTCCTAAGCTATTTGAAAACCTTAAAGACCTATTGAGGTAAGGATCATTTCTCTTAGAGATGAGGAAATTTGAGTCTCAGAAAAGTCATGTTGATTTACCCAGTGTCTCTCTGCTAGTGAGTAGTACAACCAACTGCAACTGAGTTTGGAATAAACTTAATTCTTCTGATTCTACAGCCAGGAGATGCTTCCATCAGCCCATAGACATTCCTAAAAACCTAGTCTCACCACTAATAATGCCAGGATTTATACACTGTTAGTACAGAAATAGGAACTTGGAGACCTCCTGTTAAGAGAGTGCTTCAAAAATTAATTCTATGAAACATTAGTCTAACAAGATGATGTGTGACACAAGTGTTTGATGGTCAAGGAAGCCTGGGAAGGCTGCACCCGTTAGCCCCCTTGTATAAATACATCATGTTAGAATATGACAGATATGAGAAATTCTATAGCAACAAGTTCATTTATATTTGTTTAATCAAGTACATCCTAACCATATTTGAACTTAGAACTTGTTTTTTCACCTACAACTTTTTACTAGATATTATAAACTTTATAATAAAAATGTGTTATGTGTGTAATTAACGAAATTTGAATTAAGACTTGTCAGGTCTGGATAACAGCACAGCCTCCTTTTACTTTTCTCTCTCAGCATCATGAAAGATACAAGTAGAACGACAAGTCTTAAAAAAGTAAAATTTGGCACCAGGCATCAAATTGCAACTTCTTTATAGATTGCCTAGATATCAGAATAAAATCATTTAATTCTTATATTGAAGCAAAACCTACTGGGGCTTATTCATTTCAAGCTGAGTTCTTTGACATATTGAAATTCACTGGAAGAAAAAACAATCTTTATTCTAAGCCTTTTCAAAGTTGGTGAACAAAGAAAGCCATATCCAAGTTGTGAGTACATCTCTTCTCTTCAGCTGTGTAGATTATGCGGCCTCATGCAATTAAGTTAAGTGGAAGTAGTTAAGAACAATTTGTTGATCTTCATGGCCTTTTGTCTGTAGGAAACAGATTCTATTCAAAACCACATGTCTAGACCACATTTATGCCTTAGAAACAAGGCACCAAATTTTGATCCAGACTGCCTAGGTTACCTCTTGAACCTACTGATATCTTTATTTTGTGTGTAATTTTTTTCCCCTTTAGTAGAGCAGTGTGCCCCAAATCAGAATGGTGAGTGTTGCAAATTCTAGAGAGCATAGGTTGCCAATTCTTCCTTTCCACTCACACTGTCAATGACTGTTCAGCATGATGAAGAGGCAGGAAGAAGAATTGGGAGAAGGCTATGCAGAAACTCCCTATGCAGGTTATTCTCCATCTTCAAACACATTCTCTGTCTTCTCCATCTCTTCAGGGCCTACGGAGGCTCCATCACTCTGGTTCTCTTGCCCTCTGGCTTCTGATTGGGATTAGCCAATGGTGAGCACCATGAGGTCCTGAATCTTGCCCCTCTTCCACCACCCCTTGCACCCTCTTTGCCTGTTTGTTCTTGGCTAGGGCTCTGCTCTCAGCCATGGCTCCAGCCAGGCACCCCCTCCCTCCCACAGCTCTGCAGCTGTGCTCAAGATCGGCTCAATTCTCCTCCCCTAGTCCCTTTAGGTTTCATGATGGTAAAGGCTGCCCAGTGCTGCCAATCCTTGGTGCTTCACTCTCCTTGTTTTCCTCTTGACTCTGCTCCCACCTCTGTGAATAGTCCCTTTGTTAAACTTCTACTCATTACCCCTTTGAGTGTGCCAGGTGTTTCCTGCCAGTATTGTCACATGTACCCGTGTTCTAATGTTAAAATTCCAACCAAATCACTTAATTTATATTATAGTTGAAAGTTGTGATATGAGGCTTTCAAATTAGATGTCTTGCTTTGAAAGGGGGAATTTCTAGAAAATGTATTTTAAAATGAGTGAGGGTATTTTATGCTAAAATGGTGAATCCTAACTTTTTTCTCAGTAGGTGGAGGAAAGCATTTTAGCTACTTAAGACTGGCTGACAAAAGTGTGTCTTCTCTCTTTTTTACTTTTCATACTCACAAGAAGTTCTAGGACTTGCTGGCCCCAACTCAGGCCATCTTCTCACCCTGCACCCAGACTTGTGACTCCTCTGGATAAAGGACAAAGTCGATTTGCTTTCCTTGCTTTTAAACCATAGCTGCTAAATTGAGGGAAGTCAAATGATCTGGTGCTGTAACATTCCACATCTCCTTCCAAATTCTTTTTCTTCTTTACCCCCTATTTTCTTCCCCACCTTGTTCTATTTCCTACAAAATGGCTTTTGTTCCTTCTCCCCTTCTTTCCCTTTGTTATGTGATGACCCATGTCCCAAGGCTGACTCTCAGCCACTTGTGAGGTGCATCACAGTGACTAGCATAACTGATGGGAGCCAGAGTTCTCAAGCTTGCAAATATTTTACTTAAAAAGATACATGTGAATGGATTCAAGGTTACTCCGCAGAATAACAACTCTCAATAATCTAAAATCCACAGTGCTTGGCCAGGTGCGGTGGTTCACTCTTGTAATCCCAGCACTTTGGGAAGCTGCGGTGGGCAGATCGCTTGAGCCTGGGAGTTTGAGACCAGCCTGGGCAACACGGGGAGGCCCTGTCTCTACAAAAAATAAAAATAGCTGAGTATGGTGGCATGTGCCTGTAGTCCCAGCTGCTTGTGGGACTGAGGTGGGAGGATCACTTGAGCTGGGGAGGTCAAGGCTGCAGTGAGCTGTGATCCTGCCACTGCACTCCAGCCTAGGCAACAGAGTGACCCTGTGTCAAATAATAATAATAATAATAATAATAAAATCCATAATGCTTTATTGAGTGGGAGAAAGAATGGAATGATTGCTAATGTATCAGAAACTACACATAGCTGATAGTCTTGCCTGTCTATTACTGATCTACATTTAATAGCTCCGGCCATTAAAAATCATTGTAGCACTTTATTTCTGCACACACAAATTGTTTTTGACTCATTAAAATCTGGACATGCCTGTGGGAGTGTTGCAGATTTAAATATCATTTATCAAGTAAGCTGTCGTACAAAAAAGGTTGAGCACAGCTGCTCCAGGGAAAAACTAAGAGAAATCCCATTACTGTGGGGAAATCCCCAATGGAAATCCTATATGGCTTGAGAAAGAAACTCTCAATTGTAATAATTACATTATTATATTTGTGGATCTTGAATGAGTCTTATCCATTAAAGATTGTTTCCCCCTTCAGCATCATTTTTATTAAAATCTTTTTTTCCCAGCATCATCACCTTTTTTTTTTTTTTTTTTTTTTTGAGACAGGGTCTCGCTTTGTTGCCCAGGCTGGAGTGCCGTAGTGCAATCATGGCTTACTGCAGTCTTGAACTTCTGGGATGAAGAGATCCTCCCACCTCAGCCTCCTGAATATTTGGGATTACAGGCATGAGCCACCACGCCCAGCCCAATTTGTTTTTTAACAACAAATTTAGGGAATATTAAAATTGTCTTTTCACAGGCAGAACTATTTTCAATATGTTCAAGCAGAACTCTCAGTCCTAAGTTAAAGGCAGTCACATAACTGGGTTCCAAACTGCAGCAAATGATTCTGTTTTCAGCACAAGATGACACCAGGTGTTGCAGTTTTGAAAAGAGATTTGTCAGGGCCTGGCTTGACCAGCTGCTGCAGGGGCCTGGGAGGAGTTGGCTCTGCAAGGAAGGGCCTTACTGGGGAGAGTCAGCTGGGTGGGCTCCATTGAGCAGCAGACTCTGGGAAGGGGTCTCCTGTGGCAGGCAGAATCCTGTGTCCAGTGGGCCACATTACAGATTGGAGGGCGTTGTTGAGAACAGCAATTTACATCAGAGAGGACCAGCAGAGCTCATCCCCACAGAAGCACTGCTATGGGAAATTGGAAACAGGCTGCTGGGAAGCTAATGGACCTGGCAGCACAGGGCATACTGTCTTCCAGCAGCTGAGTCTCGGGTGCAAATGCCACATCCAGGAGCATCTGGTAAGGAAAAGGCAGGGCCAGTCCTAAAGGTACTGGCACCAGGCAAGTCAATCAGGTGCAAGAACGGGAAGATACTCATTTGCAGAACTGGGTGAAAAATGAGAATCAAGGCTCAGAAGTGACCCTTTATTGAGGCATTAACCAAAAAAATTTAAAAAATTTTTTTAGTAGAAATGAAGTCTCATTATGTTGCCCAGGCCAGTCTCAAACTCCTGAGCTCAAGAGATCCTCCTTCCTTGGCCTCACACAGTGCTGGGATTACAGGGATGGGCCACCACACCTAGCTTGAACCTTTTCGTGAAAGTGAAACTGAGTGCAGAGTCAGAGAAGCAGTAGAACTAGCAATGCAAAATCCAGAGTTTCAGGATAGAGTTTATTAATCTCTTACACTTAAAGACTTACCTGACTTTTTAAAAATGTGGGCTGGATCTTCAGCCTACAGAAACCTCTCTCGGCACTCAAAAGAGAGAGAGAGAGAGAGAGGAGAGAGAAAGTTAAAAAAAAAAAAAATTGGTTCCCTGAACTTGTCTATGACACATAGTGTTAGTCAAGATTCTTGGAGGCAACTGACAGAAATCCAATTAAAATTAGCTTTAAGAAACTACAATGAAAATAATTTACTTGCTCATGTAACTGGAAAGTACAAGGGTGGAGCTGCCAATTACAAACAAGGGCTCAAATGCTGTTTCCTGGGCTCTTTCCTCATCTTTCTCTTTACTGTTTTCTGCTTGTGTTGGGTTGGTAAATGTTTAACAACTAAGTCTCTGGGGGAAAATGTATGTACGTACATACATACACAAAGTTATTATAAATTTTACTAATATGAGGAATGTATAGCACAATTTACAAAGAATAATATCTAATACTCTAAGTAAATTTGATACAGCTAACTTATTCTCATTGGATACTTTTGTTTATTTTTGCTCAACTCTTGTATCTATAAACAAATATGGTTGTTATTGAAAAACCAGTATAATTCTGACTTGAATGTTAGTGGATATTTTCATTTACAAGAAAGACAATGCTATGTACTAAACTGTGTCCCCCTCAAATTTATTTGCTGAAGCCCTAACCCCTAAGGAGACTGTATTTGTAGATAGGGCCTATAAGGAGGTAATTAAGTTAAAGGTAGTCATAAAAGTGGGGCCCTAATCTGATAGAACTGGTGGCCTTAAAAGAAGTGGAAGAGGGAGAGAGAATTCTCAGACTCGAAGAAGTCATCTAAGTACACAATGAGATGGAGACCACCTACAATCCAAGAGAGAAGACCTTAGAATGAAACCTACCTTTCTGCACTGTGGTCTTGGACAGAACCATGAGAAATAAATTTCTGTAGTTTGGGCCATCCAGTCTATGATATTTTGTTATGGCCCACAGAGACTCACACAGATAAAAAAGAAAGTGAAACAATAAAGATATATAGGGGAACTTTACTTTTTTTGCAAAGACTAATGCTCAACCAGATAATAGTTTTTGGATAATAGAAGATTTTCTTTCTTTTTTGTTCTATTTATGTAGCATCTTTAGAGATGATACATTTTAAAGTTTAATCTGCATTATTAACAATTTTTCCATCACTGTTAACTTTAGATAGGGGATTGGCAAAATGACCTGTGGTCCTAATCTGGCTTGCTGTCTGTTGTAAATAAAGTTTTATCGGAACACAGCCACAATGGCTTTGTGTATGTATTGTCTATAGCTACATTTGCACTGCAATGGCACAGTTGAGTAGTTCTGACAGAGACTATATGACCTGAAAACCCTGAAATGTTTATTGTCTGGTCCTTTACAAAAAGAGCTTGTGGATCTTTGGTTTAGAAAACCAACAAAATAATAAATTAAGCCTTGTAGTGTTTGAAAATTTTCATGGTATAAATATTCCCACTATGGGTAATTTCAAGCTGCCAGTGTAAATGCCACTGAACACAGAACTGGGAAAAAATGTGCAGTAAAACACCATTATGTAGCATTTCCACCAAAATACTATAAAAGTTCCAAAAAAAACTTTTTTTTTTTGTTTTATAACAAAAGGCATAACTAACCCCAGGAACATAGATAATAATAAAATGCAGTCAAATAGTTAGGAAATGAGTTTTGAATATGTACCATCTTTGTTTTTATTATAATTTATTTAATTGTAAGTTTATATAATTTGCTTTTTAATCATGGTTGTCTTTAATGACCGGCTCACAAAATTTCCTGAAAATTTAACAGGTGATGCTCGTGAGCCAATATGAGCTGGCTTCAGCACACCACCATCTTGGCTTCTCCAGGCATGTTGACCTCACTCTCCTTTGCTGGCAACAGGCTCCTTATGGCCAGAAAGTTTATGGCTGGCTGCCCCAAGCCTACATCTTATAGCCTATAATAACAATGATGAAAAACTCTGGAGCCTTTAATATCCATAAGTCACATTCAGTGCCTGGCGCAATCACTCTGGAGAATAGGCTAGAGTGAGTACAATGACAGATAATCTCACCAGGACTACATGGAATGGGAGAGGGGCTGTTCCTTTCTTATAGAGTGGCTGTGGGTATATAAAAATTGACTAAATTAGTTCCTAGCAATCCTACTTGCCCAACTCTAAATGCTTGTCAATGTTGAAATGAGGTACAAAGAATTAAATGCAACACCCCAATGAATTGTGATCATGGTAAAGCACAGTTGAGACAAGTACTGCCCTGGATGTGGACATCAGTATTCCATTAATGTACCTTTCAAGTGCATTGATCCCCTCTCACTGCAAATAAAATGTATTCATCTTTTTAATCTCATCCATGTTTACATTCTAGCCAATGTAAACACCTAGCATTTTTTCATGAGACCTGCTCTTAAGATATTTTTACACGATCTGTATTTGAAAAAAATGTATTTTTTCTAGCCTCAATGTGAGACTTTATGTTTTTTTCTTAGTTGTTATTTATTTCAGCCCACTTTACCAATCAGTTGAGACATTTTAATATTTTGATTCTACTGTCTGCAATATTGGCTATTCCCACCAGCTTTATTTTGCTTGTATATTACAGTTCTTTATGCTTTCCATGTTTTTATCCCAGTCATTGTTAAACTTAAAAACAAAATAGAATAAATTCCTTTGAGATACCACTAGACGCTTCTTTTCACATTGGCATCCAACCATTAAGTAGTTCTCTTTCACGGTGAAACCAGTGCAAATCCAGCCCATGTGCAATTATTGGGCATGAGCTCTGTTTGCTGCGCGAAGGAAGGATCAATGTCTTAAGCCAATTATACTTCATTCTTTGAATAATAGTCTAGAGAAACTATTACACAATTAATATGATTAGGGTTTTATTTTTTGGGAAAAGAATAACATCAATTTATGATGTTGACTATCGTTCTAAAGTAGGTCATAGTAAGATCTGTAAACCCCTTTTCCAGAAGACAAACATCCATATGTTGCAAAAATAGAAGAGACTGTATAATGATTGCCACATTTCTATGAGACATTCCTTTGTCTAGAATTTACACTGATTTGTGGTTTAATAAAGCACAGTGAGGGACCTTCCCATTGAAACTATCTAAAATGACTTGTGATAGGTGGTGATGTCTCCACAGCCCATCATTTCTGCCCTAGGGCTCTTAATAAAAGAGGTCAAACACCTTGATTTCTTGCACAGTCACTTCACCATGGCCGTGGAGTTCTTGTGTGTTTGTGTGTGGTGGGGGAGGAGTTGGGAGTGGAGATGCAATCTGGAAGACCACTCCCTACCCACTTCCAACTCCTCCCCTCACCACACATAGGAATTTCTCATAGAAATATGGCAATCATTATATGGGGTCTGGGGGTATCTCTCATCTTGACCAAGCTCTAAAACAATGTAGGCCCCAGGATAGGACTAATTTTTCTCCTGGTTGTATGCTGTGTTCAATGGTCCTCTGCTGAGATGGCAGGTGCCTTGTGTCTAGCTTGCTGTTAAGGGAGGAGTACAAGGCAACAATTATGGGGGTTGGGGGGTTGAGGTGGGGAGACACCAGAGTTAAAGTATCAAATTGGTATCTTGCCCTATCAGATTGTAGGCTGATTCTTATTTCCCTATCAAGATTGTGTCACTTTTTGGTGCCCTTCATTTTGTGTCCCTGCTTGCATTTTTTTTTCAGATAGCTTGTCAAAAACAGAACTCTTCAGAGTATCTATGTACGTGCATTGGTCTCTATATTGGCTTTCCATTTTCTTTCTACTTGAGATCATTTATGATGATCTTGTCAACATTTTGCTTTGTAGAACCTCCAATCTTTTTTTAGCCATATTCCTTCTTAGTCTCAGGCAATGGATCGTGCCTCCATTTCTTTTAAACATCCTTTGAGCTACTTCCCCAGGGAAGTCCCAGGAAATGTCTACCCACCAAAAATTCCTCCCCGTTCCTTAACATTATGTGACAGGGTCATTTTTCCTCATGGCTTCTGTCTCTTCCATACCCCCAGCCAGTCTTTTATGCTGGCCAGAACCATGTTTGGCATAGCTGTTTTTCTCACTGTTTTCCCTACTTTAATGGAGGACAAATTGTCAATAAACTAAGCCAAGGATTTAATAGATACTCCCCTGTGGGAAGAATGGCACTTCTAGCAGAAGTATGAATTGCCAGCCCTCCATTACTAAATATAACCTTGCCACAATGTCCTTCTGAATTTTACACAGAGTTTTATACCTTCTTGACATACTTCTTCCATTAGATTGATTTTCTGACCTAGATTTCCCTTCTAATGCCCCATTCCGCTTGACAGTTCTATCCTTTTGGGACTCCGTAACACCAATAGTATCACACATACTTTACTCCGTGGAAAGGTCAAGCTCATTTTCTTTATTTAACCAGGTGGATTCTATGAAACTTATTTATTTCTATATGTCCAGCATTAACAAAGTACCTAGCACATGATAAATAGTCAATAAGAGCAAATTGAATAAAAATAAGATGGTATAGATGCATATGAAAACTTAACTATTTTTGAAAACTCTTCCCCTAGCTGTATTTTCTTGAGAATAATTGGGCTCCTTTTTTTTGCTATTGTTCTTTTCTCTGTATGTCACAGACTTATGTTTAATGGGTTTTAGATCCTAGAACTTGAGTTTGCAGGCCGAATATGTGCTATGTGGGCTTACTAGGATTCAGAATTACCTTCTTGCTCTCTCTCAAAGAACAATATAGCATTGAGACTTGGTAAGCCATAAATAGAAAGCAAAGGGTGAAATTTCATTGTAAAACAGCAAAAAGAATCAGAATTCCCTTTATTCTTTTAGGGCAAAAGATCACTTCTTGCATTATTTGAAGGTGTCACATGAGAGACTTGCCTGCTTTTCAGAAGGCGGTATTGCATATTTGGGGCCGAAAGAAACAGGAGAGCAGAGGGGAAAGAGAAGTTTGAAAGCTCAGAGGTTTTATTCTAAGGTATAAGCAAGCTACTGTGGATGGTGTTCCTAAGAGAAACCCTCAAATAGCTTTTATAGGCAAACCAAGAAAAACTTAATTGAACATCCTAGAGAGTTGATTTTTCCCACCTACAGAGATAAAAATGACATTGCAATGCAGAGGATAGGGCAAATCTTGGTTTAGGTTAAAAAAAGAGTAGTTAAGTCCTAAGAGAAAGGTCATATTTTAAAATAGGTTGAAGAATAAAAGAAAGACTGAAAAAAATGGAAATATGGCAAGTACTTGGGCAGGTGAACATGTTAAGAATACAATTTGTGGAGAGGGCACACTACTTCTTTCTTGCTCCTCATTAGCACATTGTGGGATCAACTGTCCTGAAGAGTGACATATTTTTACAGACCAATTTTCCAGGAAAGCATTTGGTTTCCGTGCAAATAAATTAACGAATAAATTACTGGAAATACTTAAAAGGAAATCTCATGTGATTCAGAGTGAACTTAGAGATTCTTAAATGAAGAAACATCACCATTGTGCCCATGCCAAGAGGGTGATAAGGATTATTCCTCTTTCTTCAACAATTTCTCTTTCACTTCCTGATTTCAGTGGTCATTGGCAGGGTGCAGTCTTTGCCTGTTGCTCTTCTCTCTTAACACACTTTATTTATTTATTCATTTTTGGTTTATTTTATTTTATTTTTTTTTGTAAAGACAGGGTCTCACTATGTTCCCAGTGATGGTCTCAAACCCCTGGCCTCAAGTGATTCTCCCGCCTCGGCCTCCCAAAGCACTGGGATTACAGGCATGAACCACCATGCCCAGATCACACTTAATTTTAGAAGGCTCACTGTTGCCCATAAACTTTAGCACCCACCCCCTCTGTATAGATGACACCCAAGTCATTAACTCTAGTCAAGACTCACTGTCACCACTTCCATCCCCATCACTGGATAATTCCACTTCAACATTGTGCCATGACCTCAGACTCCTCCACCAAAGTCACCATGTGCTCACAGCACATCCTACCATGTGAGCTTGCTCTCTGGCAGGTAGGGGAGACATCTAGAAGTAAATTGGTACACAAGGGACAGAGAGAAGACTTTGCCAGTTGCAGGCAGGGATGTATGTGACACATGCAAGAATCTTCCTTTCTGCCTGGGAACAACTGCCTGTTCTGGCCTCTAATCCTGAGCCTTGGTGCAATTTCACCTTCCTGACTCTGATCTACTGGTTTCCCTTCTTACTTTGAGGACTGAACTCTGGCCTGTGTCCCTAGAATTAGCCCATTAGTCTGGCTCCTAATCCACATTTTGCTCATAAATCAGTAAGCTACCATTTGTATGAAAAAAAGAGTGTACATGACTATAATTATAAGACACTTCTAGAAGGATACATGAGACATTAGTAAAAGTTGTTGCTTCTGAAGAAATAAATTAGGTAGCTGGGGGCAAGGGGAGAGAGACTTACCTGTCAAGTAAACCTTACTCTTTCTCTCTCTCTCTCTCCATATATACATATGTATATATATACACATATATATACACATATATATATACACATATATATATATACACATATATATACATATACACACATAAACATACATATATACACACACGTATATATATAAATTTTAAATTTTCATTTAAAAATTAAATGAAAAAGTATGCTGATCATCCTATGTTCTGTCAAAAAATATTTATTGATCATCTACATGCCAAACACTGTTGAATAAATAATGCTCTCCTAGTTATTATTCTAGTAAATAGAAATAGTTGATAAACAAGTAGATGAGAAGCTAATTTCACCACCTCACACTCATCAGGATGGCTACTATTAAAAAAAAAACAGAACTAAATAAATGTTGAGAAGGATGTGGAGAAATCAAAACCGTAATGCACTGATGGGAATGTAAAATGCTGCAGTAGTGTGAAGGCTCCTCAAAACATTAAAAATAGAATTACCATATGATCCAACAATTCAACGTCTGAGTATATACTCAAAAGAATTGAAAGTAGAGCCTCAAAGGGATATTTGTACACCTATGTTTATGGCAGCATTATTCACAATAGCCAAAGGTGAAAGCAGCCCAAATGTTTATTGGCGGGTGAATGGATGAACAAAATGTGGTGCATACATACCATGGAACACAATCCAGTCTTGAAGGCAATTCTGGCACCTGCTGCAACATGGTGCACCTCAAGGACATCATGCTAAGTGAAGTAAGCCAGTCACAAAAAGAAAAATATCACATGATTCCACTTACATGAGGTACCTAGAGCAGCCAAATCCATAAAGACAAAAAGTATAGGAGTGGTTGCTAGGGGCTAGAAGGATTGGGAAATGGGGAGTTTTTGTTTAACGGGCACACAGTTTTGCAAGATGAAGAGTTCTCGAGATGGATGGTGGTGATGGTTGCGTAACAATGTGAATGTACTTATTGCCACTGAACCGTACACTCAGTTTTTCTTTCAGAGACAAGGTCTCACTCTGTTGCTCAGACTGGGGTGCAGAGGCACAATCATGGCTGACTGCAGCCTCAACCTCCTAGGTGCAAGCCGTCCTCCTACCTCAGCTACCTTAGCCTCCTGAACAGCTGGGCTCACAGGTGCATGCCACTGTGCCTGGCTAATTAAAATTTTATTTTTTGTATAGATGGGCTCTTGCCATGTTGCTCAGGCTGGTCTTGAACTCCTGGGCTCAAGCATTCCACCTGCTTTGACCTCCCAAAATGCTGGGATTACAGGTGTGAGCTACCACTGGCCTAAACTGTACTCTTAAAATACTTAAGATGGTATATTCTAAAAAAAGTAATAAGCTAATTTTAAAGACAGTAAGTAGTTTGAGGAGAATAAACAAAGGTGACAGGACAGAGTGTAATGGGCTGGGCTATAAAGAGTGAGCAGAAGAGGCATCCTGAGGAGCTGGCATCTGAATGGGACCAGGAATAATGGGAATGAGCTGGCAAGAAGGTCCCGGGATGCAGAGGGCACAGCCGTGTAAAGACCCCCAGGTGGGAGAGAGCTTTCGTGTGCTGCAGCAACAGAAAGAAGGTCTGTGCAGCTGACACGTGCTGTAGGAGGCAGGGGAGGCAGAGCGTGTCCTTGCACAGGGGCAGTAAGCAGCAGTGCCACTCTACAGTTCAAGTCAGCCAGCCATTGGTGTGAACAGACCACTCTGTCTCTTTCTTATGGCGCAATTCTAATTACTCTTCTAATTATTCTTATTACCCTACCCTCTCTTTTAAGAGCCAAGATTGAAGTTTCTTTCGGATGAGATTTCTCAGGAGTGTCAAAGTAGGAAAGTATGGAAGCCTGAGGCCTGGGATGATCCCAAATGTCCAGAAATACAGGCATGTGCACCAATCCAACTAGGTTCTGATATCAGAAAACCAGCTTTGGAGTTTAGGCCCAGTTAAATCTGACTTTAAACATCCTTCACATCTTTGAAGCTCGGTTTCTCCATCTGTCAGATGGGAATCACGAGAATGTCTTCCTCACTGTGTTGCCGTGAAAATCATGTTAATCGTGGATAACTAATTGTAAACTAGTGTTATTTACACATTAGTTGGTATCATGCCACTGATTTTCTGGCTCTGTGGTGCTGCACTTTCCAGTGGTTCTAGCAATCTCAGAGATTATCAAAATAAAATTCAGGGCCTGGCATGGGGCTCACACCTGTAATCTCAGGACTTTGGGAGGCCGAGGCAGGCAGGTTGCTTGAGTCCAGGAATGCCAGACCAGCCTAGGCAACATGGTAAAACCCTGTCTCTACACAAAATACAAAAATTAGCCAGGCATGGTGGCACACAGCTGTAGTCCCAGCTACTCAGGAGGCTGAGTTAGGAGGATCACCTGAGCCTGGGAAGTCAAGGCTGGAGTGACCCATGATTGCATCACTGCACTCCAGCCTGGGTAGCACAGTGAGGCCTTTTCTCAAAAAAGAAAAGAAAAATTAAGGAACATTTTTGAAACAAAAGATGCAATGTGTGGGTTTGGAGAGTCCATGGCGAGGAGGAATGGCATGACATAAAATACTGACTCTGGCAACTCTAGAAAGATGCAGTGCTTGGACCTTCCTAGAGCAGGAGAGTCTTCCTGGAGCAGACCCTGGGAGCACACACAGCAGCGATGATGAAAGCCAGTGTGCCTGCCTGGTACAGCATCCTGAGATCATAGTGTACGGAAACCTGGGTCTCCACTTTTCTATGATTGTTGGTGACAGAGAAGAGAAAGACTTAAAAGAAAACAGCTGTTGAGGTGGCTTGAGTTCATTCAGAGAATAAATTTTAAATGTCCCAAAGAACTTCATAGATGAACTGAACTGAGAAATATTAAGTAGGATGAATGGAAAACTCCCTTTAATCATGAACATTTTGACCACAGAATCATAATGTGCTTTGAGATTGGGCCGTGCTTTGGCAATCTTTCAACATATTGCAAATGATATTCTCAAATGCTGTCTTTCCCCCTACCTAGGTAGCTGTTTGAACTTTGTACAGCATGAGCAAGTTATCATAAGACACATCTAAAATATTATCTGTGGAAAAATTTGCTTTGAGTAAAGCGTGGTTGGATACAGGGAGAACAACTTGTGTAAAGGATCCCTTCAAACAATGCATGTGGCTGCACATAGCTGATTCCTAATTAGAATGTAAATTCCACAAGGCAGGGACCATGTCTAGTTGGTCACGTTGTATCTCCAGGGCTTGTCAAGTGTCTGGCATATAGCAAGTTATCAATATTTTTGCAATAATAGATGAGTGAATAAATTAATGTTGTGGGTCTATCAGCAATTTCTCATCTTTGCCAACTTTAATGAAGAGCGATTTTTCTTTCCAAAATGGTAGTTCCAGTCATGAATCTATTGAATACACTGAATCATTTCAAAGGATGTTTGTTACTTTAATAGCACTTAATCAGGAAGCCGCCTCAGGGATTTTTGGGTTGCAAGGGAGAGGCTGAGTGCTGTGGGGAGGTGTAATAGTCTGATATTCCAACCCTCTTCCATCAGAAGAGCTGTTTTCAATTGCTTTGCACACTGGGAATCTCTTCAACTTTTAATTTAAAAGATTTTGACCACTAAAATAAAAATGTGAAAAACTTCTTTAGGTCACTGACACCAAATGATTTAATAGGACCATAAGCAAATAAATACTTAATAAGAACCCTTGTAAGATGATGCATACATATATTTATATGGGAAACTGTGCAGCATTTTCTAAAACTTTCCTGCATCCCCCTTTTTTAAAAGGAACTTCGAACGACCAGATTACCTGATTGCACTCTGCTGACCCCTGGGAATTTTCTGGAGTTTTCTCTATTACTTCCCCCAATAGGTCCTTTCCATCAAAAAATAACCTGTCATGAGTTCTCATTCCCTTATGAGCTACTCTTTATCTGATAACCATGAATGGTAATAGGTTTAACTAGTACCACTAAATGTGCTAGTGGTCCAAAAACAACATCTTTACCAGAAAGCCCGTAAGAAGCAGTTCTTCTAAACCTGAGTCAGAAAAATATATGGGGCCAGTAGCTTTTCAGAGCTCTGAAATCATTCCAGTTGGTTAGTTGCTTAGAGTACACAGGGATAGCCTAAACTATGAAGCAATAATCTTCAAGGAATTACACTTCTATATATACCTGACCCCTCTAACTACTCTACCATTGGAAGGAAAATGTTCTAATTAGAAATCTTTTGTACAAGTACATTCTCTCCTGTGGATTAAACCATTCCCTACATTTCTTTCTAAGATAAGCAGACCCACCTACTAACATTATGATTATTTCTGCCCAGATTATATAGTTCAGAAAAGGGTCTTCATAAAGTTTCCCAGGAAACTAAAATGTTGGCGAGATATCATTGGGAACAACATGAAAACGGTAGGCGGTGGGAGGAGGTGGAGAGAGAATTTTTAACAGGTTTTCAATGTACTCAAAATAATACCCACTATACAGCTAACATTTTGTGAAGTTTGAAAAATAATCCACACAAGAGAAATGGTTAGAAACACACAAGGTGAAGGCAAATGCGAAATACTGCCAAGCAAAGGAGGCTGGCTGAACCCAGAAAACAGTAACACACAGACTCTGAGATATGAACCAGTGGAGCTAAATAGTAATTAGTGACTGGATATTGTGCAAAGACTTAATTAATATTCCTGTATTACAAAAGAGCACCTGCAAGGCATTGCACACTCAACCCGCTAATGAGCATGAATTCATGTTGGCCTAGTAAAAGAGTAAGAGAAATTGCTCCTGTCATTTGCTTTTAAGGTGGGTTGACAAATGAATGCTATGTTGTCTTTTTTTTTTTTTTTCCTAGCTGGGTGATTTCCCAGGCCTGTTAATCACATTCATCCTTGTAGATAGCATCTCTGACTCTAGAGGTTATCATCAGTATTTTTCTGTGAAGTATTTTACAAATCAGGGCAAGTAGATTTAATATTATTTCAACAAAAACTGAGGATCCTTTCACAGTGCAGGAAAAATTTCCTGACAATTAACATTTACAGGTAGTTGAACAAAAATCCATTGATCATGAATTTGTTTTCAAATACAAGACACACTTGAAGTAGAAATCATCCTTTTATTTATCATTGGTGTCAAGGTTTAAAGGCATCAAAAGCCATGTATATTTAATGCAAACATTAATTTTTTTTTAAATTAGACTACAGAGTTTATTCAGATTTTACTACTTTTTCCATCTATGTCTGTTCCAGGATCCCATTCAGGTTACCACATTGCATTTAGTCATCATGTCTCCTTTGAATCCTCCAATCTGCTATAGTTTCTCAGCTTTTTCTTGTTTTAATTTAATGCACATACTAAAATTTGGTAAATTATCATTAAAAAGTTATCAACTTTGTTATTTATTTTTAATGGGCTTTGTTGTCATATGTTTAGCTACACTTAGCATAGTGTCTATTTTTAACAAGTGAGAAAATGGGTTAAATGTTAACCATAACTGTATCGAACAACATTTTGTCAAATAAAAAAAAATGTAACTATTGTAGAAAAAAGCCATGGTGGTGAAAAGAAAGGAGATACAGAGGACTACAAATTCACTTATCTCCAAAATTAGCTTGGATTTGAAATAAACATTGTTTTTGTTTTAAAAAAAAAAAAGGCAACAAAAAGTAATCATCTAATAATCTAATCTACTTGGCTTAAACATTGCACTCTGTCTGAACCTTTGTGGGAATTATTTCTGCCTATAAATAAACTATTAAACTATTAAGAACAAGAACTTCAGCCGGGCATGGTGGCTCACGCCTGTAATCCCAGCGCTTTGGGAGGTTGAGGTGGGCAGATCACAAGGTCAGGAGTTCGAGACCAACCTGGTCAACATGGTGAAACCCGTGTCTACTAAAAATACAAAAAATTAGCCAGATGTGGTGGCAGGTGCCTGTAGTCCCAACTACTCAGGAGACTGAGGCAGGAGAATTGCTTAAACCTGGGAGGCAGAGGTTGTAGTGAGCTGAGACCACACCACTGCACTCCAGCCTGGGCAACAGAGTGAGACTCCATCTCAAAAATAAAAAAGAATAACAAGGACTTCCACTAGAAAAATTATATTCTTAATAACGTTGTTTTTCAGATAGTGTGGTAGACAGAACAATGGACTTCCAAAGATGGCTATGTGCCAATCTCTAGAATCTGTGAATATATTACCTTTCATGGAAAAAAGGACTTTGTAGATATTATTAAATTAAGAGTCATGAGATGGGGAGATTATCCTCCATCATCCAGGTGAGCCCAGTGTAATGTCAAGGGTTACTGAAATAGAGAGGCAAGAAGATCCAAGTCAGAAAAAGGGAGGTGATGACAGAAGCAGAGGTTGGAGTCATGCATTCTGAAGAGGGAGTAAGGGGTCATGATTCTAGGATTACAGGTGGCCTCTAGAGGCTAGACAAGGCAAGGAAGCAGAGTTTCCCCTGCAGCTTCTAGGAGAAACACAAACCTGACAACACCTTGATTTTAACCCAATAAGACTCATTTTGGACTTCTGAACTCCAGAATCATAAGGGAATATGTTTGTATTGTTTAAAGCCACTAAAGTTGTGGCAAATTTTACAGCAGCATTAGGAAACACACAGCTTACGAAAAACAAAAATTATCTCCTGAGAGAGAGGTAGAGCAAGATGGCAGAATAGAAGGCTTCACCAATCATGCCCCTGCCACAAGGACACCAATTTAACAACGATCTACACAAAAAACTACCTTCGTAAGAACCAAAAATCAGGTACCAGGTCAGCCACAGTGGGACAGAGCACCAAACAGCTCCTTGGGGGTCCCCAGTTCCAGGCCTTGGGCTCTTGGACAGCATTTCTGTATCTGCTGTGTGTGGTACAGAGGGGAGCCCATTGCCCTGAAGGGTGAGTCCCAGGCAGCATTCAACATAAATTGACTGAAGAGCCCTTGGGCCTAAAAGGACCATCTGCAGTAGCCTGGTAGTACTCTCGTGGGCCTGTGGTGGTGATGGCCGTGGGGTGAAGCTCCTCTGCCTGTGAAAAGCAGAAGGAAGAACAAAAAGTTCTTCCTCATGATTTGAGTGCCAGCTTAGCCACCATACAATGGAACACCAGGTAGACTTCTAAGCCTTTTTACTCCAGTCCCTGGCTCTCTGACGGCACCTCTGGACCTACCTGGGGCCTAAGGGAACTTGCCACCCTTAAGAGAGAGACTCAAGCTTGGCTGGCTTGTCATCTGCTAATTGTAGAGCCTCAGGGCCTTGAGAGAAAATAGGCAGTAGCCAGGAAGTGGTTACAGTGCACTTTGGGCAAGACCTAGTACTCTGCTGGCTTCGGGTCTCACCCAGCACAGTCCCAGTGGTAGTGGCTGCAGGTGTGCCTGTGTCACCCCACCCCCAACTCCAGAACAGAGGAAGAGAGACTGTTTGTTTGGTAGAAAGTAAGGAAAGAGAACAAGAGTCTCTGCCTGATAATTCAGAACATTTTTCTGGATTTTATCCAAGATGATCAAGGTAGTACCTTAAGGAGTCTGCAAGAACCACAGCATTATTGAGCTTGGGGTGCTCTCAAGTGCAGATATGGCTTAGATCACAATATCTTTCAAGCTGTGGAAAGCCTTCTCAAGAAAGGCAGACACAAACAAGCCCAGGCTGTGAAGACTACAATAAATATCGAACTCTTCAATGCCCAGGCACAGACAAACATCTATAAGGATCAAGACAACCCAGGAAATCATGACCTTACCAAATGAACTAAATAAGACACCAGGGACTAATCCTGGAGAAACAGAGATATGCGACCTTTCAGGCAGAGAATTCAAAATAAGTGTTTTGAGGAAACTCAAATTCAAGGTAACACAGACAAGGAAATTCAGAATTCTGTGAGATAAACTTAACAAAGTGATTGACATCATTTAAAAGAATGATGCAGAAATTATGGAGTTGAAGAATGCAATTGACATACTGAAGAGTGCATCAGAGTCTTCTAATAGCAGAATTGATCAAGCAGAAGAAAGAATTAGTGAACTTGAAGACAGGCTATTTGAAAATACACGATCAGAGGAGACAAAAGAAAAAAGAGTGAAAAACAATAAAGCATGCCTACAAGATCTAGAAAACAGCTTCTAAAGGGCAAATCTAAGAGTTTTTGGCTTTAAAGAGGAGATAGAGAGATGGGGTAGAAAGTTTATTCAAAGACATAATATCAGAGAACTTCCCGAATCTAGAGAAAGATATCAATATCAAAGTACAAGGAGGTTATAGAATACCAAGCAGATTTAACCCAAAAAAGATTACCTTAAGATATTTAATAATCAAACTCCCAAAGGTAAAAGATAAAGGATGCTAAAAGCAGCAAAAGAAAAGAAATTACATACAATGGAGCTCTAATACATCTGGCCCCAGACTTTTCAGTGGAAACTTTACAGGACAGGAGAGAGTGGCATAACATATTTAAAAGCTGAAGGAAAAAAAAAATTCACCCTATAATAATATATTTGGTGAAAATATCCTTCAAACATGAAGGAGAGTTAAAGACCTTACCACATAAACAAAAGCTGAGGGATTTTATCAACATCAGAGCTGTCCTACAGGAAATGCTATAGGGAGTACTTGAATCAGAAAGAAAAGGACATTAATGAGCGATAAGAAATCATCTGAAGGTGCAAAACTCACTGGTAATAGTAAGAACACAGAAAATCACAGAATATTATAACACTGTAACTGTGCTGTGTAAGCTTATCTTAAGTAGAAAGACTAAATGATGATATAATCAAAAGTAGTAACTACAACAACTTATCAAGATATGGATAGTAAAATAAGATAGCAATAGAAATAACAAAAAGTTTAATAAAAGTTGGAGGACAAAGTTAAGGTGCAGAGTTTTTATTAGATTTCTTTTTCCTTGTTTGTTTATGCACAGTGTTAAGTTGTTGTATCGGCTTATAATGGGTTATAAGATAGTATCTGCAAGCCTTGTGGTAACCTCAAATCAAAAAACATAAAATGGGTACAAAAAAATAAAAAGCAATAAATTAAATCATACCAAGAGAGAAAATCATTTTCACTGAAAAGAAGACAGGAAGGAAGGAAAGAAGGAAGAGAAGACCACAAAACAACAAGACAACTAATAAAACATGGCAGGGGCAAGTTCTTACCTATCAATAATAACATTGAATGTAAATGGACTAAATTCTCCAATCAAAAGACACAGAGTGATTGCATGGATTAAAAAACAAGACCCGGTGATCTGTTCCCTACAAGAAACACACTTCACCTATAAAGACACATATAGACTGAAAATAAAGGCATATAAAAAAAGATATTCCATGCCAATGGAAACAAAAAAAGATCGGGGTAGCTGTAATTAGACAAAATATCTGTCAAGACAAAAACTATAGGAGACAAAGAAGGTCATTATGTAATGATAAAGGGGTCAATTTAACAAGAGGATATAACAACTGTAAATATATATGCACTAAATACAGAAGCACACAGTTATATAAAGCAAATATTGTTAGAGCTAAAGAGAGACCGCAAGACAATAATAGCTGGAGATAACACCCCACTTTCAGTGTTGGACAGAACTGCTGGATAGAATATTAACAAAGAAACATCTGATTTAATGTGTGCTATGGACCAAATGGACCTAATACATATTTACAGAACATTTCACCCAACAGCTGCAGAATACACATCCTCCTCAGCAAATGGATTATTCTCAAGGATAGACCATATGTTAGGTCACAAAACAAGTCTTAAAACATTTAAAAAATTAAATTAGTTCAACCATTGTGGAAGACAGTGTGGCGATTCCTCAAGGATCTAGAACTAGAAACACCATTTGACCCAGCGATCCCATTACTGGGTATATACCCAAAGGATTATAAATCATGCTACTATAAAGACACATGCACACGTACGTTTATTGTGGCACTATTCACAATAGCAAAGACTTGGAGCCAACCCAAATGTCCATCAATGATAGACTGGATTAAGAAAATGTGGCACATATACAGCATGGAATACTATGCAGCCATAAAAAATGATGAGTTCATGTCCTTTGTAGGGGCATGGATGAAGGTGGAAAACATCATTCTCAGTAAACTATCACAAGGACAGAAAACCAAACACTGCATGTTGTCATTCATAGGTGGGAGTTGGACAATGAGAACACATGGACTCAGGGCGGGGAACATCACACACTGGGGCCTGTTGGGGGGTGGGGGGTTGGGGGAGGGATAGCATTAGGAGAAATACCTAATGTAAATGACAAATTGATGGGTGCAGCAAACCAACATTGCACACGTATACCTATGTAACAAACCTGCACATTGTGCATGTGTACCCTAGAACTTAAAGTTTAAAAAAAATTTTAAAAATTGAAATAATATCAATTCTCTTTGGCCACAATGGAATGAAACCAAAAATCAACAAAAGGAATTTTGGAAACTATACAAACACATGGAAATTAAACAATATGCTCCTGAATGACCAGTGGGTCAATAAAGAAATTAAGAAGGAAATTGAAAATTTTCTTGAAAAAAAGATAATGAAAACACAACATACTAAAAGATAAATTTATAACTATAAGCATCTAAATCAAAAGAGAAGAACTTCAAATAAACAACCTAACAATGCATATTAAAGAACTAGAAAAGCCAGAGCAAACAAAACCAAGAATTAGTAGAAGAAAAGAAATCATAAAGATCAAAGTAGAAATAAATGAATTTGAAATGAAACAATACAAAAGGTCAGTGAAAAAAAAACCTGGGTTTTTGAAAAGATAAACAAAATTGATAAACATTTAGCCAATATAATAAAGAAAAAAGCAGAGAAGACTCAAATAAATAAAATCAGAGATGAAAAAGGAAACATTACAACTGATACTGCATACATTCAAAGCACCACTAGAGGCTACTACTATGAGCAACTATAAGCCAATAAATTGGAAAATCTAGATGAAATGGATAAGTTCCTAAACACATACAACCTACTAAGATTGAACCATGAAGATATCCAAAACCTGAACAGACCAATAACAAGTAATGAGATTGAAGCCATGATAAAAAGTCTCCCAGTAAAGAAAATCCCAAGATCTAATGGCTTCACTGTTGAATTCTACCAAACATTTAAAGAACTAATACCAATCCTACTCACACTATTTGAAAAATAGAGGAGGAGAGAATACTTTCAAACTCATTATATCATAACAATATTAACCTGATACCAAAACCAGACAGACACACATCAAAAAAGAAAACAATAAGCCAATATCACTGATGAATATTGACAAAAAAATCCTCAATAAAATGCTATCAAATTGAATTCAACAACATGTTAAAAAGATCATTCACCATAACCAAGTGTGATTTATCCTTGGGATGCAAGGATTGTTTAACATATGCAAATCAATCAATGTGATACATCATATCAACAGAATGAAGGAAAAAAATTTGATCATTTTAATTCAGCTGAAAAAGCATTTGATAAAATTCAACATTCCTTCATGATAAAAACCCTCAAAAAACTGGTTATAGATGGAACATGTCTCAACATAACAAAAACCATATATAACACACCCATAGCTAGTAGCATACTGAAGTGGGGAAGAGGGACTGAAAACCTTTCCTCTAAGATTGGGAACATGACAAGAATCCCCACTTTCACCACTGTGACTAAACATAGTACTGGAAGTCCTAGCTAGAACAATCAGACAAGAGAAAAAAAAAAGAGCATTGAAACTGGAAAAGAAGAAGTCAAATTATCCTTGTTTTCAGATAATATGACCTTATATTTGGAAAGACCTAAAAGCTCCACCACAAAACTCTTAGAACTGATAAACAAATTCAATAAAGTTGAAGGATACAAAATCAACATACAAAAATCTATAGCATTTCTATATACTAACAGTGAACAATCTGAAAAAGAAATCAAGAAAGCAATCCCATTTACAATAGCTACAAATAAAATACAATACCTAGGAATTAACCAAAGAAATAAAAGATATCTACAATGAAAACTATAAAATGCTGATGCAAGAAATTGAAGAACACACACAGATAAAATGGAAATATACTTCATATTCATGGATTAGAAGAATCAATATTGATAAAATGTCCATACTACCCAAAGCAATCTACAGATTCAATGCAATCCCTATCAAAATACTAATGACACTCTTCACAGAAGTAGAAAAAGAAATCCTAAAATTTATAAGGAACCAAAAAAGACCCGGAATAGGCAAAGCTATCCTAAGTAAAAAGAATAAAACTGGAAGAATCGCATTACCTCACTTCGAAGTATATTACAGAGCTACAGCAACCAAAACAGCATGGTACTGGCATAAAAACAGACACATAGACCAGTGGAACAGAATAGAGAACCCAATAAATTCATTCATCTACAGTTAACTCATTTTTTTACAAAGTTGCCAAGAACATACATTAGGGAAAGGACAGTTTCTTCAACAAATGGTGCTGGTGCTGGGAAAACCGGATATCCATATATAAAAGAATGAAATTAGGCTCCTATTTCTCACTGTATACAAAAAATCAAATCAAAATCGGTTAAAGGTTTAACTCTAATACCTGAAATTATGAAACAACTGTAAGAAAACACTGAAGAAACTCTCCAGGACATTGGACTGGGCAAAGATTTCTTGAGTAATACCCCATAAGCACAGGCAACCAAAGCAAAAATGGACAAATGAGATTACATCAAATTAAAAAGCTTCTGCACAGCAAAGGAAATGATCAACAAAGGGAAGAGAGAAAATATTTGCAAACTACCTATCTGACAAGGGCTAAGTAACCAGACTATGTAAGGAGCTCAAACAACTCTACAAGAGAAAATCTAATAATCCAGTTGCAAAGTATCTGAATAGACATTTCTCAAAAGAAGACATACAAATGCCAATAGGTATATGAAAATGTTCTCAACATTATTGATCATCAGAGAAATACAAATCAAAACTACAATGAGATATTATCTCATTCCAGTTAAAATGGCTTTTACCTAAAAGTCAGGCAATAACAACAGCTGGCGAGAATGTGGAGAAAAGGGTACCTTTGTACACTGCTGGTACGAATGTAAATTGGTACAATCACCATGGAGAACAGGCTGGAGATTCCTCAAGAAACTAAAAATAGAGCTACCATAGGATCCAGCAATCCCACTCCTAGGTATATACCCAAAAGAAGGGAAATCAGTATATCAAAGAGATATCTGCACTCCCATATTTGTTGCAGCACTATTCACAAGAGCCAATTTTTTGAAGCAACTTAAGTGTCCACCAACAGATAAACGGATAAAGAATATGTGGTGCATATACACAATGGAGTACTATTCAGCTATTAAAAAATGAGACCCTGTCATTTGCAAAAACATGGATGGAACTGGAGGTCACTATGTTAAGTGAAATAAGCCAGGCATAGAAAGACAAACATTGTAAGTTCTCACTTTTTTATGGGAGCTAAAAATTAAAGTAATTGAACTCCTGGAGATAGAGAGTAGAAGGATGGTTACCAGAGGCTGGGAAACGTAGTGGGGTTTTGTGGGGGAAGACCAGAAGGGATGATTAATGGTTACGAAAAACAGAAAGAATGAATAAGATGTAACATTTGCTAGGACAATAGGGTTACTATAGTCAACAACAATTTAATTGTACATTTTCAAATAACTAAAAGATTATAATTGGATTGTGTGTAACACAAAGAATAGATATTTGATGTGATGGATACCCTATTTACCCAGATGTGATTATAACACATTGCATGCCCATATCAAAATATCTCATGTATAAATATATTTATCATTCTATAAATATATACACCTACTAAGTAACCACAAAAATTAAAAAATGAAAAAACAAAGCCAAACAAATTATCTTCTTATTCCCACCCCCCCACTGAGAGTCAACAGCAAATTCTGCTGTGTTCTTATTTCTATACATATTCACAAACACACAACTTGAAGCAATGGGGCTACCTTTTGGACTACTGTTCTCTCTAACTTGATTTTTTTTTAACTTAACATTGTGTCATTGACAATTTTCTAAAGCCTGCATATGAATTTTCACCTTTAACTTTTGTGGCAATGAGGACAGGTATTGTTGAATAGTTTGTTTTAATGTAGCCAATCCAATTGGTGTTATTTAAGGTGACCTTTTCCCCATTTTTTATACTACTATAGTCAACATTTGATGAACATCCTTACACATCAACAATGCTCTGAACCAAAAAGTTCAAGTGAAATGCAGTGGAAAAACCTTATGGCCTCTTTAAAAATGTTCTGTGACTATTCAGACTGCTACTGGGATGTATTTGTACTGGCTTTTTGTTGGTGACCTTTGAGTAATTTTTGGCCTTCTCTTTATTTCTTCTTTAATAAATATGTTATGTTTTAGGGTGCCTTTGAGATGATGCCTTAAAATTTTACACAAACTCCCAAGTGTATCAGTCAGGATTCTTGATAGCAAAAACAGAAACTTACTGGTTACATGGAAAATAATTTAGTCACAGGATATTGGATAGCTTAAAGAATGGCCAGCAGAGCTGAAAAGCCTACTGGGAAACCACTCAGCTAGCACCCAGCTATAATCAAAACTGGTCCCTCACTGACTTCATTGCTGAGCACTTATCACTAGTCTATGCACTGACATCAAACTCACACCATTGCCACTTTCTGCCCACAAGGCTTCCTCTCTGCTCTTTCCAGTCCCACCTCCAAGAAATGGGCAAGGCTGCGAAAGCCACTGCCTCCACAGCAAGCCTTCTCTGTTTCCACTGTTTTCGGTCACCCACTCCGCTTTAAAATCTGGAGTGGGGTTGGGGGAAGTGGCTCATGCCCATTGCATTAGTCCATTCTCACACTGCTATACAGATACCTTGAGACTGGGTAATTTATAAAGAAAGGAAGTTTAATTGGCTCACAGTTCTACATGGCTGGGGAGGCCTCAGAAAACTTACAATCGTGGTGGAAGGTGAAGGGGAAGCAAAGCACGTTTTACATGGCAGCAGGTGAGAGAGAGAGTGAAGGTGAAAAGCCACACACTTATCAAATAATCAGATCTTGTGAAAATTCTTTTTCTTTTTCTTTCCTTTATTTTTTTTTTTCAGATGGAGTTTCGCTCTTTTGCCCAGGCTGGAATGAAGTGGCACGATCCCAGCCCACTGCAACCTCTGCCTCCCAGGTTCACGTGATTCTCCTGCCTCAGCCTCCCAAGTAGCTGGGATTATAGGTGCCTGACACCACTCCTGGCTAATTTTTTTTTTTTTTTTTGGTATTTTTAATAGAGATGGGGTTTTGCCATGTTGGCCAGGCTGGTCTTGAACTCCTGGCCTCAGGTGATCCACTCGCCTCAGCCTCCCAAAGTTGTGGGATTACAGACGTGAGCCACCACACCTGGCTGAGATCTTGTGAAAGTTTTATCACGAGAACAGCGAGGTGGAAGTCTACCCCCATGATTCAATCATCTCACACCAGGCCACTCCCCCAACATGTGGGGATTATGATTCAAGATGAGATTTGAGTGGGGACTCAGAACCAAACCATATCACCTGTTAATCTCAGCACTTTTGGGAAGGCTGAGCTGCGAGGATTGCTTGAGCCCAGGAGTTTGAGACCAGGCTTTGCAACGTGAGATCCCATCTGTACAAAAGATTAAAAAAAAAATAAATTAGACTGTCATGGTGGCGGATGCCTGTAGTCCCAGCTACACATGAGGCTGAAATGGGAGGATCACTCGAGCTTAGGAGGTCCAGGTTGCAGTGAGCCATGATCACACCACTGTACTCCAACCTGGGTGGCAGAGTGAGACTTTCTCAAAAAATAAAATAAATATATAAATAAAATCTGGAGCAGGTGTGTCTCAGTGGCTAACCCTCAATTATGGCCATGGCCCTACATACAAGGGAGCTGGGAACAAGAGTCTTGTGCATTTTCAGCTCCTACAGTAGGAAATAGACTCTGTCTTCCATGAACCCTCAAAGGGAAGAAGTCTCCAAAGACAGAAATGGGTATTCATATGATAGGCGGACAAAAATAATTATATATGTCCACTACATCGGATAGTGAATCTTTAGTTTCTTAACTTTTTCTCCAAAAAACTAATGGGTAGTCTTGGTTGAAACTGCCCTTATCTTTCTTGGACTAACATTAGAAGCTATGGTGAGTCAAGGGAACCAGGAAACACATTTAAATACAAAAGGCACCATCAGCACTTTTTTAAATGTTAATTTACTGCATGTTTCAGATGACAACTCTAAATTTAAGAAAAAATTGTGTATTCACAGATGAGCTGAAATGCTGTCTTAAATTGGATTCAAAATTATATGGAAGGGTATTAAGAACGTGAGGTATAAATAAAACAAGATTGGCCATGCATTGATAGGGGTTGAAGCTGGATGATGAGTTCTGAGGGTTAAAGTACTCTCTCTAATTTTGTATTTATTTGAAAATTTCCATAAAAGAATGAAGAAGAAATTGTATAAAGTCATATTTATTCAGGAATATCTCTCAATAATTTCATCCCTTTAGGAAAGCAAAGAAATTTCAAATGGTTTCCAATGAAGAGTTCAGCCAGATCATCTCCATAGGCATCTTGCCTGTCATGACTAAAGAACCACTTTGCTCCCACTTAGCAAATGATTCAGTGAGCTTGGTTACTCCCTGTGCCTGGTTTTTCTACATAATTTAAAAAGAAAATGTACCTTTAGCTTCTGAAGGAAACAAATTCCACAGATTGACTTTCTGTCATTTAAATTCATATCATCAATCTCAAAATTTTGATCAACATAGTTAAGTCTTCAGTTTTTTTTTAAAGAAAAATTTCCTTCAAAAACTGTACTCACAATACAGCAAAAACCATTCTAAAAGGGAAGTCTGTAGCAACAAATGCTTACATCATAGAAGAAGGAAGACCTCAAATAAAAAAATCTAACATTGCACCTCAAGGAACTAGAAAAACAAATAAAAAATAAACTCAAAATGAATAGAAGGAAGGAAATAATGAAGATAAGTGCAGAAATAAATGAAATAGAGACTGAAAAATACAAAAGATCAATGAAACGTACAATTTTTTTTTTAAAGATAAAATCTACAAATCTTTAGCTGGAATAATTAAGGGGAAAAGTGAGAAGACTCAAATCAATAAAATCAGAGATGAAAAGGAGACATTATAACTGATGCCACAGAAACACAAAGGATCATAAGAGAGTAAAATGAACAATTATATGCCAACAAATTGGATAACCTACAAGAAATGGGTAAGTTTCTGAACACATACAACCTGCAAATATTAAACCATGAAGAAATAAAAAATCTGAACAGGCCAATAACAAGTAATAATACTGAATCAGTAATAAAGTCTCTCATCAAAGAAAAGCCCAGGAGCTGATGGCTTCACTGCTGAATTTTACCAAACATTTAAAGAACTAATACCAATTCTACTCAAACTATTCCAAAAAATTAAAGAGGAGCAATACTTCCAAACTCATTCTGTGGGCCAGCATTACCCTGATAACAAAACCAGATAAGGATACAACAAGAAAATAAAACTACAGGTTAATATTCCTGATGAACATAGATGTGAAAATCCTCAATAAAATACTAGCAAACCAAATTCAATAGCATGTTTAGAGGCAGATGGATCACAAGGTCAGGAGATCGAGACCATCCTGGCTAACAAGGTGAAACCCCGTCTCTACTAAAAATACAAAAAGAAATCAGCCGGGCGTGGTGGTGGGTGCCTGTAGTCCCAGCTACTCGGGAGGCTGAGGCAGGAGAATGGCGTGAACCCGGGAGGCGGAGCTTGCAGTGAGCAGAGATCGCGCCACTGCACTCCAGCCTGGGCGACAGAGCGAGACTCCATGTCAAAAAAAAAAAAAAAAAAAAAAGATCATTCACCATGATCAAGTGGGATTCATCTGAGGGATGCAATGATAGTTCAACATGTGAAAATCAATAAATATGACACATCACATTAACGGAATGAAAGACAAAAACCATATGATCATTTCAATAGATGCAGAAAAAGCATGTGACAAAATTCGACATCACTCCGTGATGAAAACACTCAACAAATTAGGTATGGGAGGAATGTATCTCAACACAATAAAACTCATATATGACAAACCCACAACTAATATCATACTGAATGGAGAAAAGTTGAAAGCTTTTCCTCAAAGATCTGGAGCAAGACAAGGATGCCCACTTTTGCCACTTCTATTCAACGTAGTCCTGGAAGTCCTGGTCAGAGCAATCAGGCAAGAGAAAGAAATATAAGGCATCCAAATTGAAAAGGAAGAAGCTAAATTGTCCCTGTTTGCAGACAACATGATCTTATATACAGAAAACCCTAAAACCCCACTAAAAATATATTAGAAATAATCAATTTAGTAGAGTTGCTGGATACAAAATCAACATACAAAAATCAGTAGCATTTCTATACTCTAACAGTGAACTATCTGAAAAAGAAGTCAAGAAAGCAATCTCACTTACAATAGCCAAAAAAGTAAAATACTTAGGAATAAATTTACCCAAGGAGGTAAAATATCTCCACACTGAAAACTATAAACTATTGATGAAATAAATTGAAAAAGACACAAATAAATGGAAAAATATTTTATCTTCATGGATTGGAAGAATTACTATCATTAAAATGTTCACACTACTCAAAGCAATCTACAGATTCAAGGCAATCCCTATCAAAATATCAATAATATTCTTCACAGAAATAGAATGAACAATCCTAAAGTTCCCATGGAACCACAAAAGTCCTGTAATAAGCAAGGCAATCTTGAGCAAAAAGAACAAAACTGGATGCCTTACACTACCTGACTTCAAGATGTACTACAAAGCTATCATAACCAAAAATAGCATGGTACTGGCATAAAAACAGACACATAGACCAATGGAACGAATAGAGTGCCCAGAAATTAATCTGTGCATCTACATCCAACTCATCTTTGACAAACGTGCCAAGAACACACAATGGAGAAAGGACACTCTCTTCAATAGTATTGGGAAAACTGGATATTTACATGCAGAAGAATGTTATTTCTCACCATATGCAAAAATCAATTCAAAATGAATTAAAGACTTAAATTTAAGACACAAGCCTATGAAACTTTTAGAAGAAAATATAGGGGAAAATCTCCATGACATAGGTCTGGGCAAAGACTTTTTGGATAAGACCTCAAAAGTACAGGCAAGATTTGCAGCTCTGACTTGGCTGGACAGAGCAGCATGTGGAGGCTGGCATCATGGTTTTTCTCTCAAACGACTGCAGGAATAAATCAGGAAACCTGACAGGACCCACAGACCCTCCAAAAGAAGTGGGTTGCTCCTGAAGGACCTGGGAGACACCCCAAGCACTGTACTGGTATCCATGGCTGAGAGACCTACAGACGTTTCACATCACAGGATTCTGCAGACAATCCCCAGTACAAGCCCAGAGTGTGGTAGACTTGCTGGGTGGCTAGATCCAGAAGAGAGATAACAATCACTATAGCTCAGCTCTCAGGAAGCCACATCCATAGTAAAAGGGGGAGAGTACTACACCAAGGGAACACCCCACAGGACAAAAGAATCTGAACAACAGCCTTCAGCCCTAGACCTTCCCTCTGATAGAGCCTACCCAAATGAGAAGAAACCAGAAAACCAACTCTGGTAATATGACAAAACAAGGCTCATAAACAGCCCCCCAAAATCACACTAGCTCACCAGCAGTGGACCCAAACCAAGAAGTCCCTGATTGACCTGAAAAGAATTCAGGAGGTTAGTTATTCAACTAATCAGGGAGGCTCCAGAGAAAAGTGAAGCCCAATGTAAGGAAATAAAAAAAAAGATACAAGAAATGAAGGAATAAATATTCAAGGAAATAGACAGCATAAATAAGAAACAATCAAAACTTCAGGAAACAATGGACACACTTATAGAAATGCAAAATGCTCTGGAAAGTCTCAGCAATAAAATCGAACAATTAGAAGAAAGAACAAAAGAGCTTGAAGACAAGGCCTTTGAATTATCCCAGTCCAACAAAGACAAAGAAAAAATAAGAAAGTATAAACAAAGCCTCCAGGAAGTCTGGGGTTATGTTAAACAACCAAACCTAGGAATAATTAGTGTTCTGAGGAAGAAGAGAAATCTAAAAGTTTGGAAAACATATTTAGGGGAATAACTGAGGAAAACTTCCCCCGCCTTGCTAGAGACCTAGACATCCAAATACAAAAAGCACAAAGAACACCTGGGAAATGCATAGAAAAAATCATCACCTAGGCACGTTGTTGTCAGGTTATTCAAAGTTAAGATGAAGGAAAGAATCTTAAGAGCTGTAAGACACAAGCACCAGATAACCTATAAAGGAAAACCTATCAGATTAACAGCAGGTTTCTCAGCAGAAACCCTACAAGCTAGAAGGAATTTGGGCCCTATCTTCAGCCTCCTCAAACAAAACAATTATCAGCCAAGAATTTTGTACCCAGAGAAACTAAGCATCATATATGAAGGAAAGATACAGTCTTTTTCAGACAAACAATGCTAAGAAAATTCTCCACTACTAAGTTACCACTACAAGAACTGCTAAAAGGAGCTCTAAATCTTGAAACAAATCCTAGAAACACATCAAAACAGAACCCCTTTAAAGCATAAATCTCACAGGACTTATAAAATGAAAATACAATTAAAAAACAAACAAAAAAAAGAAAAACCAAGGTATACAGGCAACAAACAGCATGACGAATGGAATGGTACCTCACATCTCAATACTAACATTGAAAGTAAATGGCCTTATGCTCCACTTAAAAGATACAGAATTGCAGAATGGATAAGAACTCACCAACTAACTAAGTGGTACATTCAAGAGACTCACATAACACAAAAGGACTCACATAAACTTAAGGTAAAGGAGTGGAAAAAGACATTTCATACAAAGCGACACCAAAAGTGGGTCAGGAGTAGCAATTCTTGTATCAGACAAAACAAACTTTAAAGCAACAGCAGTTAAAAAAGACAAAGAGGGACATTATATAACGATAAAAGGCTTTGTCCAACAGGAAAATATCACAACCCTAAACATATATGCATCTTACACGGGAGCTCCCAAATTTATAAAACAATTACTAATAGACCAAAGAAATGAGGTAGACAGCAACACAATAATAGTGGGGGACTTCAGTACTCCACTGATAGCACTAGACAGGTCATCAAGACAGAAAGTCAACAAAGAAACAATGGATTTAAAATATATCCAGGAACAAATGGATTTAACAGATACATACGGAACATTCCATCCAACAACCACAGAGTATACATTCTGTTCAATAGCACGTGGAACTTTCTCCAAGATAGACCATATGATAGGCCACACAAGCCTCAATAAATTTAAGAAAAGTGAAATTATATCAAGTACTCTCTCAGACCACAATGGAATAAAACTGGAAATCAACTCCAAAAGGAACCTGCAAAACCATACAAATACATGGAAATTAAATACATGGAAATTAAATAAATGATGAATGATCATTGCGTCAAAAATGAAATCAAGACGGGAATTTAAAAATTCTTCGAACTGAATGACAATGGTGACCCAACCTATCAAAACCTCTGGGATACAGCAAAGGCCATACTAAGAGGAAAGTTCATAGCCCTAAATGCCTACATCAAAAAGTCTGAAAGAGCACAGACAATCTAAGCTTACACCCCAAGGAACTGGAGAAACAAGAATGAATGAAACTCAAATCCAGTAGAAGAAAGGAAACAACCAAGATCAGAGCATAAATACATGAAATTGAAACATAAAAAAGATAAATTAAATAAAAAGCTGGTTGTTTGAAAAGATTAATAAAATTGATAGACCATTAGCAAGATTAACCAAGAAGAGAGAAAATCCAAATAAGCACAATTAGAAACAAAACGGGAGATATTACAGCTGACACCACAGAAATACAAAAGATCATTCAAGGCTACTATGAACACCTTTATGTGCATAAACTAGAAAACCTAGAAGAGATGGATAAATTCCTGGAAAGATACAACCCTCCTAGCTTAAATCAGGAAGAATTAAATACCCTGAACAGACCAATAACAAGCAGTGAGATTGAAATGGTAATTTAAAAATTACCAACAAAAAAAAGTCCAGGACCAGGTGGATTCACAGCAGAATTCTACCAGACATTAAAGGAAGAATTGGTACCAATCCTATTGACACTATTCCACAAGATAAAGAAAGAGGGAACCCTCCCTAAATCATTCTGTGAAGCCAGTGTTACCCTAATACCTAAACCAGGAAAGGACATAACCAAAAAAGAAAACTACAGAGCAATATCCCTGATGAACACAGATGCTAAAATCCTTAACAAAATACTAATTAACTGAATCCAACAATATATTAAAAAGATAATCCACCATGATCAAGTGGGTTTCATACCAGGGATGCAGGGATGGTTTAACATATGCAAGTCAATAAAAGTGATACACCACATAAACAGAATTAAAAACAAAAGTTACATGATCATATCAATAGATGCAGAAAAAGCATTCAACAAAATCCAGCATCCCTTTATGATTAAAACTCTCAGCAAAATCGGCCATACAAGGGACATAACCTCAATGCAATAAAAGCCATCTATGACAAACCCACAGCCAACATTATACTGAATGGGGAAAAGTTGAAAGCATTCCCTCTGTGAACTGGAACAAGCCAAGGATGCCCACTGTCATGACTCCTCTTCAACACAGTTCTGGAAGTCCTAGCCAGAGCAATCAGACAAGAGAAAGAAATAAAGGGCATCCAAATCAGTAAAGAGGAAGTCAGACTGTCGCTGTTTGCTGATAATGTGATTGTTTACCTAGAAAACCCTAAAGATTCCTCCAGAAAGATCATAGATCTGATACAAGAATTCAGCAAAGTTTCTGGATATAAAATTAATGCACACAAATCCATAGCTCTTCTATACATCAGTAGCAACCAAGCTGAGAATCAAATCAAGAACTCCACCCCTTTTACAATAGCTGCAAAAATAATAATAAAATACTTCAGAGTATACCTAACCAAGGAGGGAAAAGACCTCTCCAAGGAAAACTACAAAACACTGCTGAAAGAAATCATAGATGACGCAAACAAATGGAAACACATCCCATGCTCATGGATGGGTAGAATCAATATTTTGAAAATGACCATACTGCCAAAAGCAATCTGCATATTCAATGCAATCCCCATCAAAATACCACCATCATTCTTCACAGAATTAGAAAAAATAATCCTAAAATTCATATGGAACCAAAAAAGGGCCTGCATAGCCAAGTAAGACTAAGCAAAAAGAACAAATCTGGAGGCATCACATTACCTGATTTCACACTACACTATAAGGCCATAGTCACCAAAACAGCATGGTAGTGGTATAAAAATAGGCACATAGACCAATGGAACAGAATAGAGAACCCAGAAATAAACCCAAATACTTACGGCCAACTGATCTTCGAGAAAGCAAACAAAAACATGAAGTGGGGAAAGGACACCCTTTTCAACAAATGATGCTGGGATAACTGGCTAGCCACATGTAGGGGAATGAAACTGGACCCTCATCTCTCACCTTATACAAAAATCAACTCAAGATGAATTAAAGACTTAAACCTAAGACCTGAAACTATAAAAATTCTAGAAGATAACATTGGAAAAACCCTTCTAGACATTAGCTTAGGCAAGGATTTCATGACCAAGAACCCAAAAGTAAATGCAATAAAAACAAAGATAAATAGTTGGGACGTAATTCAACTAAAAAGCTTTCGTCTGGCAAAAGGAACAATCAGCAAAGTAAACAGACAACCCACAGAGTGGGAAAAAATCTTCACAATCTATATATCTGACAAAGGACTAATATCCAGAATCTACAACGAACTCAAATAGATCAGCAAGTAAAACCAAACAATTCCATCAAAACGTGAGCCAAGGACATGAATAGACAATTCTTAAAAGAAGATATCTAAATGGCCAACAAACATATGAAAAAATGCTCAACATCACTAATAATCAGGGAAATCCAAATCAAAACCAAAAAACTGTAGAGATTCCTTAAAGAACTAAAAGTAGAACTATCATTTGATCCAGCAATCCCATTACTGGGTATCTACCCAGAGGAAAAGAAGTCATTATATGAGAAAGATACTTGCACACACATGTTTATAACAGCACAATTCACAATTGCAAAAACATGGAACCAACCCAAATTCCTATCAATCAATGAGTGGATAAAGAAACCGTGGTGTATATATATATATACGTGTGTGTGTATATATATATATATATATATATATATATATATATATATATATATACACGTATATATATATACACGTATATATATATATACACATATATATATATATACACGTGTATATATATATACACGTGTGTATATATATGATGGAATACTACTTAGCCATAAAAGGAATGAATGAATGGCATTACAGAGACATGGATGAGATTGGAGACCATTATTCTAAGTGAAGTAACTCAGGAATGGAAAACAAAACATCATATGTTCTCACTCATAAGTGGGAGCTGAGCCATGAGAATGCAAAGGCATAAGAATGACACAATGGACTCTGGGGACTCAGGGGGAAAGGGTGAGAAGGGGGTGAGGGACAAAAGACTACAAATGGGGGGCAGTGTATACTGCTCGGGTGATGGGTGCATCAAAATCTCACAAATCACTAAAGAACTTACTCACGTAACCAAAAAATACCTGTTCCCCAATAACCTATGGAAATAATTTTTTTTAAGTACGGGTAATAAAAGCAAAAATAGACAAATGGGATTACATTGGGCTACAAAGCTCCTGCATGGCAAAGGAATGATCAATAGAGTGAAGAGACAACCCATGATTGGGAGAATGTATTTGCAAATCCTACATCTAGTAAGAGGCTCATATCCAAAATATACAAGGAACTCAAACTACTCAACAAGAAGAAAACAAATAATCCTATTAAAAATTAGGCAAAGAACTTGAAGAGATAGCTTTCAAAATAAGACACACAAATGGCCAACAGACAAATAAAAAGTGCTCAACATCCCTAATCATGAGAGAAGTGAAAATTAGGACTACAATGAGCTAATAATGCCTCACACCTGTTAGACTGGCTATCATCAAAAAGATGAAAGATAACACGTGTTGCCAAGAATATGGAGAAATGGGAAACTTTGTACATTGTTGGTCAGAATTAAATTAGTACAGCCATTTTGGAAAACAGTAGGAAAGCCCCTTAAAGAACTAAAAATAAAATTAATTACCATAGGATCCAGCAACTCCACCAATGAGTATATATCCAAAAGAATTGAAATTAGTATGCCATAGTGATGTCTGAGCTCCCATGTTTATTACAGCATTATTCACAATAGCCAAGATATGGAAACAACCTAAGTGTCTATCACTGGATGAATGAATTTTAGAAATGTGGCATATATACACAATAGATTATTCATCCATAAAATAACCAGGAAATTCTATCATTTGTGACAACATGGATGAAACTAGAGGCCATTAAGTGAAATAAGCTAGGCACCAAAAGACAAATACCACATTCTCTCTTATGGTATGAGTTCACACTCGTATTATGTGAACTCTAACAAAAGCTAGCCTCATGGAAGCCGAGAGTAGAACAGTGGTTACCGGAGGCTAGGAGGGAGGGTTAAAAAAATGGAAGAGGGGATGTTGGTCAATGGGTACAAAGTTTCTATTACATAGGAGGAATAAGATATGGTGTTCTATTGCACAGTAGAGTGACTATAGGTAATAACAATGTATTATGTATTTCAAAATAGCTAGAAGATAGGATTTTGAATAATTTCACTAGAAAGAAATGATAAATCTTAGGCTGGGCATGGTGGCTCACGCCTTTAATCCCACACTTTGGGAGGCCGAGGTGGGTGGATCACCTGAGGTCAGGAATTGGAGACCAGCCTGACCAACACGGAGAAGTCTCTACTAAAAATACAAAATTAGCCAGGCATGGTGGCACACACCTATAATCCCAGCTACTTCGGAGGCTGAGGCAGGAGAATTGCTTGAATCCGGGAGGTGGAGTTTGCAGTGAGCCGAGATCACCCATTACACTCCAGCCTGGGCAACAAGAGTGAAACTCCGTCTTGAAAAAAAAAAAAAAGATAACTCTTTGGGGTGATAAATATACTAATTACCTAATTTGATAATTACAAAATGTATGTACGTATCAAAACATCACATTGTAGCCCATAAATATGTATAATTACTATTTATCAATTAAAAATTAAAAATTAAACTAAAAAAAAAACAGTACTCCTGAAACACAGTTTTCTCTACTCTTATCTATTTCAATGCCCATTCCAACAATACCTGTACCTGGATAACTATTAATTTTAAGTATTCTTTATGGGGAAAATATCCAAGTTTTCTACTCGTTTCTCTGTTTCAGTTCAGATACGATTGCAAAAGAATTAATGTATTTCTTGTAATGATTCTTGTCTTTCTAGTTCAGAGATTTTATAACCTGCTAGAGAAATGAACATTCTGTCTTTCTGATTTTGGTTTGAAATTTGACATACACTTTTGCCAGGAGAAAATCTTTTATACATGTCAAAGGAGGAAAAGAAGTAGTTCAATCCTCTTGTGTTTTCTTTGAAGAAAGAAGGAAAGGTTTAATTTGGACAGGTATGATGCTCATAGAAATTCTGATAAAAGAATTCATCAGTGGACAGAAAGTGAACACACTTTCAAAATTTCAGTACTGTTTCTTGGCTTCATTATTAATAGACTTTCCATTTGATTGAGAAGGGGATACGCAGTTAAGAATATAACATTTTTGAAGTAACACTGTAAAAGGGTGAAGTGAATCCTCAAAACTGCATTTTTTTTTTTAAAGCAGGAAGGAAAAGGAATATACAAAAATAACTTGCAAAAATGATGTCTCCATGTATGGTTATCCAAAAATGTCCTATATTCACAAAATAATAAGTATTTCAAAAGGCTCCACCTTACATCAGTTGTTCTGGAGGAAGAAGGCTAGAAATGTGGTTGTTCTCTGGTATGTAGATTTTCCCTTAAGACTGAACTGGTTTGTACTCAAAGGCGGAGCTGCTAAAATAATGGAAAATTAAAATGGGAAAGAAGAGGAGAGAATCCAGAAATGTTGCAAGGTGGTAAAGGGGACATGGAAAAAGCTTGCCAATATTTTAAGCTCTGAATTTAGTTTAAAATGAATCTAAAGGTATTTTAAAAATTAAAAGAGGTCACAACAAAAAAATAAGCAGTTTGGACAGATGGGAAACAGAATTGAGCTAATTCCATTTTGACCTCCAAGACAGCAAAGATATAGCGACAAAGAGATGAGCACTAGAATCAGACATATCTGACTCCAACAGTTGCTGGCTATGTAATCTTGTGCAAATTATTCAACCGTTTAGCATTTTTGATTTACTTATCTATAAAATGGAAAGAATAACTTTGCCTATGTTACGTGACTTTTTTGAAGATTATATGTAATAATGTTTAGGTTTGTTAAAGTGCTTAGAAGAATGTTCAGAGTAAAGGCTCAAGAGAGATTAGCTACTTTATTTATATATAATTATTCTTTCTAGCCTGTGCACTGGTCTCTTATTGTTCCTTGCACAAGCCAGATATACTTCTGCCTCAGGGTATTTGTACAGTATGTTCCCTCCGTAATTTTTTCCCTCCAGATGTTCCTGTGGTTCACTCTCTCAGAACTCTCACATCCTTATTCAAATGTCACCTGACTATCCTATTTAAAAATGCAAACATACCATTCTCTTTTCTCACTCTATTTTCTCCTCACCAGAAGTATGTCTGCAAGGGCAAGGATTTTTATCTGATTAATTTTGTTGATGTATGCATAGCGTCTGAAACAAAGCCTAGCACATAGAAGGTGCTTGATAAATTATTATTAATAGAGTGGTCAACTTTGTCAAATAATGCTATCATCAAAATGAAATACTGCTTCACTGGCTTTTCCCATTCCATTGGCTTTTGGAGACTTAATTTTCCTTCAAGTTTCCCTTTTTTTTTTTTTTTTGAGACGGAGTCTCCCTCTGTCACCAGGCTGGAGTGCAGTGATGCCATCTTGGCTCACTGCAACTTCTGCCTCCCATGTTCAAGCAATTCCCCTGCCTCAGCCTCCCAAGTAGCTGGGACTATAGGCGCATGCCACTACGCCCAGCTAATTTTTTTTTTTTTTAATTTTAGTAGAGATGGGGTTTCACCACGTTAGCCAGGATGGTCTCAATCTCCTGACCTCGTGATCCACCCACCTCGGCTTCCCAAAGTGCTGGGATTACAGGCGTGAGCCATCGCACCCGGCCTCAAGTTTGCTTTTAATGTTTATTTTAGCTCTGTTGTATCTGTATTTTCTCACAAATTGAGTGCAAAATATGCTATTCATCTTCTTAAGTCATCATACCTCATTCATCCCCTAGTAGGCTACCATTTTTCAATAACCATTCATTAACTTTATTTAGCTTCTGAATTGATTACTAAGCAAAAACAGTTGTTGCTTTTCTATGGCAAGAGAATTAAGATAAGCCAAGTCAGGCCAAGCGTGGTGGTTTATATCTGTAATCTCAGCTCTTTAGGAGGCTGAGGCAGGAAGATTACTTGAAGCCAGGAGTTCAAGACCAGCCTGGGCAACACAGTGAGTCCCCATCTCTACAAAAAAGTCAAAAAATTAGCCAAGCATAGTTGTATGCACGTGTAGTCCTAGCTACCTGGGAGGCTGAGGTGAAAGGATCGCTTAAGCCCAGGAGTTCAGGGCTGCATGAGCTATGATTACGCCACTGCTCTCCAGCCTGAACAACACAGTGAGACCCTGTCAATTAAAAAAAAAAAAAAGATAAGCAAGTCAACGGGAATCCATCTGTCTATTGCCAGCCTCTCTTTGCTGCCAAGAGAACCCCAACTTTCTAACTGTACAATTCAAGAAACAGGCAATATAGACAAAACACATCCATTTAAAAAACTGGATTAGAGAAAAGGGCAAAAAGGGTGGGGGAAGGGGACAAGATGTAATTATAATAGGACAATCACAATTGTCAACCATATTCTGATTATTTATGTCCCAGAAATCATACCTAACACTAAAAATACATTACATTATTTTATTTAAAAATCTTCACAACAGTACATTTTAAAATAAAGACTGTAATTGTATTGCTTGTAACTCAAAGCATAAATGCTTGAAAGAATGGATACCCCATTCTCCATGATGTGTTTATTTTATATTGCATGCCTGTATCAAAACATCTCATGTACCCCCAAATATATACACCTACTATGTATCCACAAAAATTAAAAATAAAAAAGTTTAAAAAATCACAACACTATGATAGGGTACTATTGTTATTACCAGTTGATGGATAAAGTGGTGAAGCCTGGAAAATTTGAGGAACTTGTTTAAGGTCATATGGCTGCAAGATGGAGAATCAGGATGTAAACCTTAAGCTCTCTGACCCCTGAACCCATGCCTGACCACCATACTATACTAATGCCTTGGAAGGTTGGAAAGGTGAGAATAAGCTATCCTGAAGGGGAGAGCTAGGAGAAGGTATTATTCCACCTCAGACAATTTTATTTCAACAATAGCAAAAGCGCTGGTAGTTTTACAATCCCTCCGTCATAAGTGTTTGTGGAGATTCTACAAAGTATAAGGCAGTGAGAAGGGCTCTGAATGGGCACAAAAGCATATTAGACATGGTTCTTGTCCTCAAATTGGAGAAATAAAACACAGACAATAAAAGATGATGATTGAAAAGAAATATTAACAGTTTAATTCATTAGAGCAAGAGTTGGGGAACTTTTTCTATAAGCAGCCAGATAGTAAATATTTTAGGCTTTGTATGTGTCACAATGACTTACCTCTGCCATTGAAGCACAAATGCAGCTATAGACAAAACATAAAGAATGTGGCTGTGTTCCAATAAAACTTTATTTATAAAAACAGTTAATGGGCTGCATGCCATGGTTGTTTTGCCAACCCTTTTGTTGGGTTGGCAAAACTCTGAGACAATACATGGTATATTTCTGAATGAGATTTTGGGACATTAGGTGCACTGGTAAGAGATAGGAGAAGAAAGTGGAGTCAAGGAAGAAGTAAAGAGGAAGGGACAAGGAAGGAGAAGGAGAAGCAGGAGACAGTAGTGTCATGGCAACCTAAGAAAAGGGATGGTGTGATTATGAAGTTTCCAAGGATGGTGAAGACTTCAGGTGGGCCTCAAAGGACGAGTAGGATTTTTGGAAAATGGGAAAATTATAAGAAAGACATCACTTAGGTTTATGATCCATCAGGTATCAAGGTTTTTTGGATGAATCTGGAAAATAAAGATTTATGGAGAGGAGGATGGTTTTGTGTGGAAGGAAAGCTGGCACTAGAAATTCTGCATTTGAAAGCGATTAGTGCAAATACTTGCAGCTACAATGCCTCTTCCTCCAAGATGGCGCAAGGCCTTTCTCATTGCTCCAACTCAGGCATGCCTGACTCTTTTGTCCACCCCATCTAACCTTGTGTGGAGCTTTCTTCTCCCTGCTGCCTTAGATTAAGTGACAAACATTCCTCTCACTTCATTTGCTGTATCTTAGAGCAATCAACTTTACTTAGGCTATATTTTAGACAAATTCATGTTTCTTACTAGCCAGTGGGTTTTCTTGCCCTCAGTTTTTTTATTCCTTTGATTTTTCAATTTCTCTGAAGGAAAACACAGCCAAAATAAATTATACTCTTCGGTTTCTGCTTTTTGTGGTTATTTCATTCACAAGCAGTAATTTGATACAATTACAGAATGTTAGCCCCTGAAAGGCTTCTAAGATCATTTAGTTTAACTCATTCATCTTACATTAAAAATGAGGCCCAGAGCAGAAGGGACTTTCCAAAGCCTCATAATTCTTACCACTTAGGACAGTCTTTTAAAAAAACTTTTTAATTAACCTTTTTTATTGGAAAATATAACACAATTACATGCTCTAATAAAACAAAGGTAAGCATAATAATTACTGACCAGACTGAACATCACTAGAGCAAAAATAGAGTAATGCTGGGCCCTTTCCAAATTACTCCCAACTTCCTGAAGCAAACATGGGCTTGACTTTTTAAAATTGTGGTAAAATATACATAACATCAACTTTACCATTTTAACCATTTTTAAGTGTACAATTCAGTAGCATTAAGTCTATTCACATGGTTGTGCAGGCATCACCACTATTCACCTCCAGAGCTTTTTCATCATCCCAAACTGAAGCTTTGCACCCGTTAAACTCTAACTCTTCATATATTCTTGATTAAGAATTTCCCAGATAGAGTTCTTGTCTTTCCAAAGATAAAAAAAAAATTTTAAGGCAACATAGTGATTTGTGCATGTATTAGTTGAAGGGAAAAAGGTGAGAATAGAAAGAAGCTACTTGATAATTCTTTATAATGGCAAAAACCGCAATTACTTTTGCACCAACCTAATAATATTTAAAAGGATTTTCAACATCTGTGGCAGCCTTACAAGAGAATTAGGGCTGGAACTGATAACCACTTTCGTGTTAAAAGACACAGAAAATAACCTAAATGCCTAGCATTTGGAAGTGCCAATAAAGTCCCTTTTCAGGAACTCTGTAGAATCAGAGCACGTGCTACAGAACACATTCTACCAACCCCTAAGGCTTCCTCTCTGGGACCCAAAGTCGAGAGCCATAATCCCTCAGTAACTGATTCCAAACAAACTACAGAATAATATGTTTTACAATTTAAAAACATGACTTGTAGCCCTAGCTTTTCAACCTTTTATTACTCTTCGTAATGGAATGTTCATAGCTCCCCCATCTGAGTGGTTTCTCATCACAGATAATAATTGCTATTTTTCTCTTGCCAACTGCATAAATAATGGAATCTTTTCTCCTATTTACAGAGTTCAAGAGCAGAGAAGGGCCCAGACATGTTAGGGAGAATTCCAGGAGGTACAAGTTGAGAGAGGAAGTAGGTAGAGGCTGGCAGCAAATACCATCCTTCTCTCACCCCCTTCCTCCTCCAGAACATGTGCCTTCAGGGGAAACCAAGTTACAGTTTATATCAAAGGAATACTCTCAACAGAGAGAATACCCAAGTGCATGATCATATTCGTATACTCCTATTTGTCTTAGATATAATTGCATGTGTGCTCAAGTGAATACAAAGATTCAAAGTACCAGTGATGCTATTATCAAGACAACTCCATTCTGAGTTGCATTAATTAAACCAGGGCCACAAACATAACAAAAAAATGAAAAGCCAAAGCCAATTAAAAGCCACTCCTATCCTGCCTTAAGGGACTATGTCCCTGTGTTGTTCTACTCTGAAAAATACAGCCTTCTCCTTCTCAGGTATCTGAGGTTTCAGTAATCTCTAGGCTGAATTAGTTTGACTGCATCTGAATGCCTAAAAAAATAGAAATTAGCTATATTTTTAAAGGAGTCTCCATTCATCTGTTGACCTCCAGAAAACACTTGGAGTTAGCACCTTCTTTATTAGTAACATTACATTTGAAATTGTTTTGAAATAAAAAACATCTCTTCCGTTCTCCTGTTTCACCCTTATCGTCATCCCCAAGACATATTCCTCCTATACTGCTCATGTTCTGTCAGACTCCAAGTCATATTGCCTTTACTTCTTTTTTTTTTCTGTCTCAACTTTTATTTTAGGTTTAGGGGTTACATGTGCAGGTTTGTTACATGCAGATTGCGTGTCAATGAGATTTGGTGTATGAATAATCCTGTCACCCAAGTAGTGAGCATAGTAGCCAAGAGGTAGTTTTTCAACCCACGCCCTTCTCCTACTCTTCCACCTCAAGTAGTCCCCACTATCTATTGTTCTCATCTTTGTGTCCATGCGTATTCATTGTGCACCTTCTGTTTATAAGTGAGAACATGTGGGATTTGGTTTTTCCTTCCTGTGTTAATTTAGTTAGGATAATGGCCTCCAGCTGCATCCACGTTGCTGCAAAGGACATGATTTTGTTTTTATAATTGCATAGTATTCCATTGTATATGTGTATCACATATTCTTTATCCAGTCCACTGTTGATGGGCATCTAGGTTGATTCCATGTCTTTGCTATTGTGAATAGTGCTGCAATGAATATATGGGTGCATGTGTCTTTTTAGTAGGACAACGTATATTCCTTTGGGTATATACCAGTAGTGGGATTGCTGGGTCAAATGGTAGTTCTAAGTTCTTTGAGGAATCTCCATACTGCTTTCCACAGTACCTGAACAAATTGACTTTCCCATGAACAGTGTGTAAATGTTCCTTTTCTCCACAAGCTTGCCAACATCTGTTGTTTTCTGACTTTTTAATCATAGCCATTCTGACTCATCTGAGATGGTATCTCATCATGGTTTTGATTAGCATTTTTTCTAATGATTAGTGGTAATATTTTATTCATATGTATTTAGCTCCATGTACGTCTTTTGAGAAGTGACTCTTCATGTCCTTTGCCCATTTTAAAATTGGATTATTTGCTTTTTGTTTGTTGAATTGTTTAAGTTCCTTATAGATTCTGGATATTAGACCTTTGTCATATGCATAGTTTGTGGCTAATTTCTCCCATTCTGTACATTGTCTGTTTACTCTGTTGAGAGTTTCTTTTGCTGTGCCAAAGTTCTTTAGTTTAATTAGGGCCTCTTTGTCAATTCCTGTTTTTGTTACAATTGCTTTTGCCACAATCTTCATCATGAAATCTTTGCCAGGACCTATGTCCAGATGGTATTTCCTGTTTTCTTCTAGGGCTTTTACAGTTTAAAAGGTCTTACATTTGAATCTTTAATCTATCTTGAGTTAATTTTTATACATGATAAAAAGAATGGGTCCAGTTTCAATCTTCTGCATATGACTAGCCAGTTATCCCAGCAGCATTTATTGAATAGGGAATCATTTCCCCAGTGCTTGTTATTGTCAACTTTGTCGAAGATCAGGTGGTTATAGGTGTGTGACTTTATTTCCAGGTTCTCTATTCTGTTCCATTGGTCTATGTGTCTGTTTTTGTACCAGTGTACTGCTGTTTTGATTACTGTATAGTTCTAAGTCAGGTAGTATGATGCCTCTTGGCTTTTCTTTGCTTAGAATTGCTTTGGTGATTTAGGCTCTTTTTTGGTTTTACATGCATTTTAAAATAGTTTTTTCTAAGTCTATAAAAAATGACATTGGTAGCTTGTTAGGAATAGCATTAAATCTGTAAATTTCTTTGAGCAGTATGTCCATTTTAACAATATTGATTTTTCCTATCCATGAGCATGGAATGATTCTTTATTTTGTATCATCACTGATTTCTTTTGTATGTTATTTCATTCATTTCAGCCCTGATTTTGGTCATTTCTTTTCTTCTGCTAGCTTTGGGGATGTTTTTTTCTTGTTTTTCTAGTTCTTCTAGGTGTAATGTTACATTGTTAATTTTAGATCTTTCTAAATTCTTGATGTAGGTGCTTAGTGCTATAAATTTTCCAATTAACATTGCTTTAGCTATGCCACAAAAATTCCACCATGTTGTAGCTCCGTTTTCATTAGTTTTAAAGAATTTTTTGATTTCTGCCTTAATTTTGTTCCTTACCCAAAAGTCATTGAGAAGCAGGTTTTTTAACTTCCATGTAATTGTGTAGTTTTGAGAGATCTTCTTGGTATTGATTTCTATTTGTATTCAACTATGTTTCCAGAAAGTAGTTGGTATGAGTTCAGTTTTTAAAAATTTATTGAGATGTACTTTATGGCTGAGCATGTGGTCAATCTTAGAGTATGTGCCATATGCAGATAAGAAAAATCTTTATTCTGTTGTTGGATGGAGTGTTCTGTAGATGTTTATTACGTCCAGTTGGTCAAGTGTCAAGTTTAAGTGCAGGGTACCTTTGTTAGATTTTTGCCTCAATGATCTAACACTATCAATGGGGTATTGAAATCTCCCTCTATTCTTGTGCAGTTATCTAAATCTCTTAGTAGATCTCTATGACCTTGTTTTATGAATCTGGGTGTTCCAATGTTAGATGCATATATATTTAGGCTAGTTAAGTCTTCTTGTTGAACATTTTATAATTATGTAATGCCTTTTTTTGGGTCCTTTTTTGACCATTGTTGGTTTAAAGTCCGTTTTATCTGACATAAGAATGGCAACTCCTGCTCCTTTTGGTTATCCATTTGCCTGATAGATCTTTCTCCACTGCTTTACTTTGAGCCTATGGGTGTTGTTACTTGAGAGATGGGTCTCCTGAAGACAGCAGACAGTTAGGTCTTGCTTCCTTCTCCATCTTGCCACTCTATGCTTTTTAAGTAGGGCGTGTAGCCCATTTACATTCAAGGTCAATATTTATATGTGAAGATTTGATCCTGTCATTGTGTTGTTAGCTGGCTGTCATGTAGTCTTGATTGTATGATTGTTTTACAGTAACAATGGGCTATGTTCTTAGGTGTGTTTTCATGGTAGCAGGTATCATTCTTTCGTTTCCATGTTTAACATTCCCTTTAGGACCTCTTCTAAGACAGGTCTAATGATAATGAATTCCCATAGCATTTGCTTGTCTGAAAAGGATTTTACTTCTTCTCCTGTAAAGGTTAGTTTGGTGGATAAGCAATTCGTGATTGGGATTTCTTTTCTTTAAAAATGCTGAAAATAGGCCCCCAATCTCCTCTGGATTGTAAGGTTTCTGCTGAAAGCTTCAATGTTAGCCTGATAGAGTTCCCTTAAGTGACCTACCTCTTCTCTCTAACTGCCTTTAAGATTTTTTTCTTTCATGTTAACCTTGGAGAATCTGATGACTATGCATCTTGGGGATGGTCATCCTGTATAGTATCTCACAGGGGTTCTCTGAATTTCTTTAATTTTCATGTTGACTTCTCTAGCAAGATTGGGGAAAATTTTGTGGACTATATCCTCAAATATGTTTACCAAGTGGCTTGGTCTTCTTTTTCAGGAATGCCAATGAGTCATAGTTTTGGTCTCTACATAATCCCATATTTCTTGGAGGTTTTGTTCATTTTTAAAAAGCATTTTTCTTTATTTTTGTCTGCCTAAGTTGCTTCAAAGGAGCAGTCTTTAAGCTCTGAGATTCCTTCGTCTGCTTGGTATATTCTCTTGTTAATGCTTCCAGTTGTATTACAAAATTCCTATAGTGAAGTTTTCATGTCCAGAAGTTCAGTTTGGTTCTTTCTTAACATGGCTATGTTGTCTTTCAACTCTTGGATCATTTACTGTTTTCCTTGGATTGGGTTTCAACCTCTCTTGTATCTCATTAGGCTCCCTTGCCATCCAGATTCTGAATTCTATGTCTGACATTTTTTATCTGCTTAAGAACCATTGCTGGGAAGCTACTGTGATCATTTGGAGGGAAAAGGACACTCTGGCTTTTAGAGTTTCTGGAGTTCTCACACTAGTTCTTTCTCCTCTGTGAGGGCTGATGTACCTTTATCCTTTGAAGTTGTTATCCTTTGGATGGTGCCTTCTATTTTTGTGATCTTTATAGTCCTTGAGTGTTTGAATGTGGGGCAAGTCAGGTATAGCGAAAAGGCTTCATTTCTGGATGCCTTTAGAGACCCAAAGCTCAGCTTTGCATTTCTGGCCTGTGTAGTTTTTAACACAAGGGGGCTGGAACTGAGCCTATGGTTTTTTCTTTTGGCCCCTTGAGGTCAAGCACTAGCTGTGCTGGAGTCGGCCAAGGTACTCCCAGACTGCTGGCAACAGTGCTCTGTTGGGGACTGCAGTCAAATGCACTCCAGTGGGGCAGGGTGGGGGTCATGAGTGAACATGCTATGGCAGGGGTTGTCAGTAAAAGTGCTCTGGTAGGGCAGCAGGGGCTGCTGGGAACAGTGCTCAGCACGATGACTGAATCTATGCTGTGAGCTAGCACAGCCTGGCAGGCGCTCTAGGAGGGACCAGCAGACAGGGGGGCAGGCAGATCAGACTCAGCCCATTCCCACAGGAAAGACAGCCCTGCTCTCTTCACGTCTAGCACATAATAAAGACCAAGGCCACCTAGAGGAGTTTGGAGAACCTTGGGGGATGTGCATTTATGGCCATGTTCTGCTGCAGCTGTCCCTGCACCAAACCACCTGGGCTTTGTGTAGATTCAAGCTCAGTCTCTGCTTACTCTCCAGGCAGTGCCCCCTGCCAACTCAAATGTCCACTGGGGTCATGGGATTTCCTGTAGCTAGGATCCCAGAGGTCTGTGGTGTCAGTGGGATGCTCCATATTTATTTCACTTGCCCCTTCTTTGGGAGCCGTTCAAGGTCAGGAACAAGTCCTGGTGCTCAGCAACCCCATGCAGAATTCCCAGCTTCCTCCACCTTCAACCCTGGTGTCTGCATCATTTCTCTCTCCACTCTTAGTACATTGTCTCTGAAGATCTATTTGGAGTATGTCATTCGGCTCAATATTCTGATCTCTCTCAGTGGGAGAAATTCTTCCTGGCTGTGTCTAGATGGCCACCTTGTCCCAAGTTTCACCTTTACTTCTTCAAAGACTTGCATTTTCTCTCCTTTTTATTCCCACTGCCACACCCCTTTTATTCATTTGTCCCACTGTAATAACCTCCTGCTTCTTATCTCTTTATTTTTCAGTCCTTATCAGACTTCTTTATTATCAGTTTTCTTCCCTTGGGAAAACCAAACAACCTAAACTCATAATTGTGTTTTCTTTAAGCCTTTCCACTTGTAAAACTTGTTCTTAAGCCAGCCTTCTCTTAGCAATTCCAGATTCCATCATTATTATTATCATCATCATTATCATCACCACCCTTGTTAATTTTTCCTTATATGACTCAGTTTTTGGCCACTTAAACTAGCAAAGAATCAATTTGTAATATAGTTTTCCAACTTGATACTGATGAATTATGGCTCCAAACCCCCTTTCTGAGAAGGAATAAAAATATATAAGAAAAATCTGAAGTGCAACAGAGGTGATGAAAAGCATCTACATTGTGAGAATGAGATTTATTTTTTTGCAGGCACAATAATCAGCATGTGGCTAACTCAAGATCTGATGGAAAGAGACAGATCCAGTGATATTTGAAAAGAGGTCTGTTAGAATGAGACTCCCATGTTTTTTTTTTTTTAACATGGGTTCCAATAACCTTCTCTTTTTAATTCATTGTTGTAGTCAGAATCTTTAAACTGTAGTTTGCCTCTCTTGTTTCAAAATCTCAGACTTTGCCAAAAGTGTGAAGGGAAAAAGGCATCTATGATATGGCAATATGATTCATCAAGAATAACAACTAAGCCACCGTCCTTCACACATTTGGTGATCAGACTTTGAGTACTCTGGGGTAGTTCTTTATTTTCCTGCATGTTGTGAGTTTTTGACATGTATATAATTTCTATTTCAAGAGGCAGAGAAATGCTGAATTTTATAGACAATTCATTAATTCTCAATGAATTTTCTTTTTCATTATAGAAAATGCTTAATTCTCAATGGTCTTAATTTTCAAATATATGTGATTATTTTCTCTATATAGCAGGCAGAGTGATCTTTTAAAAACAGAAAGCCTGTTTCTGTCAAATCCTGTCAAATCCCCCTTGATTGACGCCTCAAGACGGTAAACTACAGGAACCCAATGGCCTGGGCTTTCTTTAATACATGCTGCCTCTTCTCCTTACCCTAGCTACTGTGATACTCCTTTACTTCCCCCAAAGGGGCAGACCTCAGAACTCCTGCACACACCATTCCTCTTGTATAACTCATGACTTAGCTAATATCTACTCAAACTCAGCTAAAATATTACTCCTTCAAAGTGGTCTTCCCTGACATGCTCTTTCCAATTAAAAGCACTATACCTATATTGTCTCATTCCAGCTTATACTCTTTCTTCAAATCCCTTAACAAAATTGGTAATTGTATAGTACACTGTATGATTCTTTGATCAATGTCTATCTCCTTGTATCAGATTTGATGAGAGAGGTAGAACCACCCTACTCTCTTGATATATATCTAGAGATTATAGGGATTAAACCTTATGCCACTGGGTGTGCTGGTGAAGAAATCTATGGAAGGCTGTTGCCTTGCCTCTGGTGGTGAGCCTGAGGTCTCCATGGGTCAGCAGAACTGGCAGTCAGGAGGAAATTTAGGCATGAAGTTGGGGAGACCAAGGGCAAGCAGGAACCCAGGAGGAGACTGAAACCCACTCCTATCTCTCATTATCTGCAACCTTGATGGGGAAAATCTGCAGAAGAATCAGGTGGCCTTCACCATGGAAATGCACATATATCTGCTCACCACCAGAGGCAAGGAGTGGGACTAAGAGAAGCTGAAGGAGGAGATCAGGCAGAAACTGGAGGGGATGCTGGCCAGCTGCCCCATTACCAACGAGGTGACCCAGCAGCTCAGTGACAATGTGTATGAGCTGCAGCAGCCCCTGGTACCCAGTACTGACTTTCAGTGCTGTTGCTTCCCTTCCCTTTACCTTCCAAATCTCAAACTGATGTACCTTGTGATCATCAGGAAACCAAAATTATACATGAAAGAAAGTTCTGAGAAATATGGTTTCATCTTAGCTAAGATAACACAGTACAAAACTATCCCTTTCCTTCTTAGTCTCTCAAGTCCCTGACGGCAGGGAATATATTCTCTTTATGTATTTATATGCCCAGCACCTAGAATAGCTTTCAACACATTGTAAGTCCTCTATAAGTTGTAATTCAAAGGACGAATTTTTTAATAAACAAATTCTCTTTTTTTGTAAGAGACAGTCTCACTCTGTTCCCCAGGCTGGAGTGCAGTGTTGTGATCATAGCTTACTACAGCCTCAAACTCATGGGTTCAAGGGATCCTCCTGTCTCAGCCTCCTGAATAGCTGCGTTTACAGGCATGAGCCACTGTGCCCAGTTCAAATTCTATTTTTGCCTATGAACAAAGTTAATTTATTCATTAAAAATTACCCTTTGAATGGAAACTTACTGAGCACTCGATTATAAATTCTAAATTGTAAAATTGACAAACTTTGAATATGATACTATATTATCAGTGCATTTTATAGATTTAACCACTGTTGGTAGCCTAATAATTGGTGCAAACAAATTTGTAAGTACCTTAAATTATTTTTGAGTATAAATACAGTAAAGTAAAATTAATTAATTTTAAAATGTCACTATAGGCAAAATGTAACTGTTCCTTTTCTTCATTATGAGATATATATTTTTAAGAAATCAGAAAAATATGTCTTGACAATTCCTTGGAACCTTTTTTTTAAAGATGTAATTGATGGCAAATAATGAGATTACCTTTAGTATCCTGTTAAACACTGGAACTCACCTAAGCTTCAGCAACTGTGTTGAAAGTTAGGAATCTTTGGTGGGAAAGGAGAATCAGAAAAACAGGAATTGTTCACTCCTGTTCATAGAGTTTCTCGGCCCTTCCAAAGAGCTGGGATGTGAAAAACTACCTTCCTATATTTGATTATGGAAATCCCCAGGGAAGTGGAGTTCCCCACCCAGAACTGACCTTTAGCATGTCTTATCTTTGGTCTTGAAAAGTTGGCATTTGGCAGCTCTCGGGTAACAAACTGTGCCTCATTGTGCTTTGGTTTAGAGGACTTGTTTAAGCCAGTGACTATACATTTTCTTTTGGATGAAAACTATAAGAAAATACTCTCTGGATAATACATTTATTTGAGTAACACTTGGTTTCTAATTTTAGAAAATGCCCCACTTTTTTATGATGTGCTAGGGCAGTGGATGAGGAGGAGAATCACGTGGAATTTATCTAGTCTTAAGGACTTCAAACATACCCTTTGGCATGTCAGTTCAAGCAGGTAAAGATATTTTGAGAAAAACAACGGAGTAAGTAAGGGACATTGGGTTGTTGTAGGAGCATTAGGAAAGTTTTAAACCGAGAAAGACCCTGGCACATTACCAGATTTCAAATTGCTATTTATTTATGTGTTCCACAAATACTTTTAAAGCTTTCTATTATATATGAGGGGGTCTTTAAATAGTTCATGGGAAATGAATATTATGAAAAAAATAATGCACGGATTTTAATTTTTTTTGCAACAAAATAAACTCATACTAACTTGCTATAGCATGGCTAAAGAGAATCTAGTTTTAGGCACTAAGAAGGTTAAGATATTACTTTTAAAAGAGCCCTTATCAGAGAAACATGAATTCTGCTAAACTTGAAGAACAAACATCAAGAACAAACATCAAATTTATGGTGAAGCTTGGGTGGAAGAATAGTTAAATTATTGATGCTTTACAAAAACGTTATGGGAACAATGTTCCAAATAAATCAGCAGATTACAAATGAATAATTTTAAGACGGGATGAGATGATGTTGAAGATAAAGTGCACAATGGCAGACCATCCACATCAATTTACAAAGAAAAGATCTTGTCCACGACTTAGGTGAAGAGAGCCAACTATTAATAGCAGAAATAAAAGCCAACATTATAGACATCTCAACTTGTTCAGCTTACACAAGTCTGACTGAAAAATTAAAGTTGAGCCAACTTTCCAGTTGACGAGTGCCAAAATCATTGCATCCAGATTAGCTGCAGACAAGAGTAGAGCTTTCAAAGGAAATTTTAAACAAGTGGGATCAAGATCTTCAAGCATTTATTTGAAGAATTGTAACAGGGAATGGAACATGGCTTTACCAGTATAATCCTGAAGAAAAAGCACAATCAGAGCAATGGCTACCAAGCGGTGGAAGTGGTTCAGTCAAAGCAAAAGTGGACCAGTTAACATTAAAGGTCACGGCAAAAGTTTTTTGAATGTTCAAGGCATTTGCTTGTTGACTTTCTAAAGTGCCAATGAACGATAACATCTGCTAATTATGAGAGTGTTTTGAGAAAGTTAGCCATACTTTAGCAGAAAAATGCCTGGAAAGTTTCACTGTAGAGTCCTTGCCCACTACAATAATGCTCCTACTTACTCCTCTCATTAAACAAACACAATTTTACCATAGCTTCGATGGGAAATCATTAGGCATCCACCTTATAGTCCTGATTTGGCTCCTTTGGACTTCATTTTATTATCAAATCTTTAAAAGGCACCCATTTTTCTTCAGTTAATAATGGATTAAACTTGACGAACTTATGTTGACAAATGAAGTTCATTTTTTTATTTTAATTCAATTTATTAATTTAATTTAATTTTGAGATAAGATCTCACTCTGTCACCCAGGCTGGAGTGCAGTGGTGCAAACACGGCTCACTGTAACCTCCACGACTTGAATTCAGGTGATCCTCCTACCTTAGCCTCCTGAATATCTGGGATCACCAGCATGCACCACCACACTTGGCTAATTTTTTTTTTAATTATACTTTAAGATCTGGGATACATGTGCAGAACATGCAGATTTGTTACATAGGTATACACGTGCCATGGTGGTTTGCTGCACCCAACAACCTATCATCTATATTAGGTATTTCTCCTAATGCTATCCTTCCTCTACCCCCCAACCCCCCGACAGGCCCCAGTGTGTGATGTTCCCCTCCCTGTGTCCATGTGTTCTCATTGTTCAACTCCCACTTATGAGTGAGAACATGTGGTGTTTGGTTTTCTGTTCCTGTGTTAGTTTGCTGAGAATGATGGTTTCCAGCTTCATCCATGTCCCTGCAAAGGATATGAAATCACCCTTTTTTATGGCTGCATAGTATTCCATGGTGTATATGTGCCACGTTTTCTTTATACAGTCTATCACTGATGGGCATTTGGGTTGTTCCACGTCTTTGCTATTGTAAATAGTGCTGCAATAAACCATACATGTGCATGTGTCTTGATAGTAGAATGATTTATAATCCTTTGGGTATATACCCAGTAATGGGATTGCTGGGTCAAATGGTATTTCTGGTTCTAGATCCTTGAGGAATCACCATACTGTCTTCCACAATGGTTGAACTAATTTACACTCCCAACAACAGTGTAAAAGTGTTCCTATTTCTCCATATCCTCTCCAGCATCTGTTGTTGCCTGACTTTTTTTTTTTTTTTTGGAGACGGAGTCTTGCTCTGTCACCCAGGCTGGAGTGCAGTGGCACGATCTTGGCTCACTGCAACTTCTGCCTCCCAGGTTCAAGTGATACTCCTGCCTCAGCCTCTCAAGTAGATGGGACTACGAGCGCACGCTGCCACGCCCAGATAATTTTTTGTAATTTAGTAGAGACAGGGTTTCACCGTGTTGCCCAGGCTGGTCTCGAGCTCATGAGCTCAGGCAATCCACCCACCTCAGCCTTCCAATGTGCTAGATTTACAGGCATGAGCCACTGTGCCCAGCCTGTTTCCTGACATTTTAATGATCACCATTCTAAGTGGTGTGAGATGGTATCTCATTGTGGTTTTGATTTTCAGTTCTCTAATGACCAGTGATGATGAGCTTTTTTTCATATGTTTCTTGGCCACATAAATGTCTTCTTTTGAAAAGTGTCTGTTCATATACTTTGCCCACTTTCTGATAGGGTTGTTTTTTTCTTGTAAATTTAAGTTCCTTGTAGATTCTGAATATTAGCCCTTTGTCAGATGGATAGATTGCAAACATTTTCTCCCATTCTGTAGGTTGCCTGTTCACAGCTTTTGCTGTGCAGAAGCTCTATAGTTTAATTAGATCCCGTTTGTCACTTTTAGCTTTTGTTGCCATTGTTTTTGGTGTTTTAGTCATGAAGTCTTTGGCCTTGCCTATGTACTGAAGGTATTGCCTAGGTTTTCTTCTATGGTATTTATGGTTTTAAGTTTTACATTTAAGTCTTTAATCCATCTTCAGTTAATTTTTGTATAAGGTATAAGGAAGGGGTCCAGTTTTAGTGTTCTGCATATGACTAGCCAGTTTTCCCCACACCATTTATTAAACAGAGAATCCTTTCCCCATTGCTTATTTTTGTCAGGTTTGTCAAAGACCAGATGGTTGTAGATGTGTGGTGTTATTTCTGAGGCCTCTGTTCTGTTCCATTGGTCTATATATCTGTTTTGGTACCAGTACCATGCTGTTTTGGTTACTGTAGCCTTGTAGTATAGTTTGAAGTCAGGTAGCATGATGTCTCCAGCATTGTACTTTTTGCTTAGGATTATCTTGGCTATATGGGCTCTTTTTTGGTTCCATATGAAATTTAATGTAGTTTTTTCTAATTCTGTGAAGAAAGTAAATGGTAGCTGGATGAGGATAGCATTGAATCTATAAATTACTTTGGGCAGTGTGTCCATTTTCATGATATTGATCCTTCCTATCCATGAGCATGGAATGTTTTTCCATTTGTTTGTGTCCTCTCTTATTTCCTTGAGCAGTGGTTTGTAGTTCTCTTTCAAGAGGTCCTTCACATCCCTTGTAAGTTGGATTCCTAGGTATTTTATTCTCTTTGTAGCAATTGTGAATGGGAGTTCACTCATGATTTGGCTTTCTGTCTATTATTGGTGTATAGAAATGCTTGTGATTTTTGCACATTGATTTTGTATCCTGAGACTTTGCTGAAGGTGCTTAAGAGTTTAAGGAGATTTTGGGCTGAGATGATGGGGTTTTCTAAATATACAATCATGTCATCTGCAAATAGACAATTTGATTTCCTCTATTCCTATTTGAATACTCTTTATTTCTTTCTCTTGCCTGATTGCCCTGGCCAGAACTTCCAATACTATGTTGAATAGGAGTGATGAGAGAGGGCATCTTTGTCTTATGCTGGTTTTCAAAGGGAATGCTTCCAGCTTTTGTCCATTCAGTATGATATTGGCTGTGGGTCTGTCATAAATAGCTCTTATTATTTTGAGATACGTTCCATCCATACCTAGTTTACTGAGAGTTCTTATTATGAAGGGGTGCTGAATTTTATTGAAGGCCTTTTCTGCATCTATTGAGATAATCATGTGGTTTTTATCATTGGTTCTGTTTATGTGATGGATTACGTTTATTGATTTGCGTATGTTAAGCCAGCCTTGCACCCCAAGGATGAAGCTGACTTGATCGTGGTGGATAAGCTTTTTGATGTGCTGCTGGATTTGGTTTGCCAGTATTTTATTGAGGATTTTCGCATTGATGTTCATCAGGGATATTGGCCTGAAATTTTCTTTTGTTGTGTCTCTGCCAAGTATTGGTATCAAGATGATGCTGGCTTCATAAAGTGAGTTAGGGAGGATTCTGTGTTTGGAATAGTTTCAGAAGCAATGGTACCAGCTCCTCTTTGTACTTCTGGTGGAATTTGGCTGTGAATCTGTCTGGTCCTGGGCTTTTTTTGGTTGGTAGGCTATTAATTACTGCCTCAATTTCAGAACTTGTTATTGGTCTATTCAGGGATTCGACTTCTTCCTGGTTTAGTCTTGCAAGGGTGTATGTGTCCAGGAATTTATCCATTTCTTCTAGATTTTCTAGTTTTATTTTGCATAGAGGTGTTTGTAGTATTCTTTGATGGTAGTTTGTATTTCTGTGGGATCAGTGGTGATATCCCCTTTATCAGTTTTTATTGTGCCTATTTTATTCTTCTTTCTTTTCTTCTTTATTAGTCTGGCTCGCAGTCTATCTATTTTGTTAATCTTTTCAAAAAACCACCTCCTGGATTCATTTATTTTTTGAAGGGTTTTTCATGTCTCTATCTCCTTCAGTTCTGCTCTGATCTTAGTTATTTCTTGTCTTCTGCTAGCTTTTAAATTTGTTTGCTCTTGCTTCTCTAGTTCTTTTAAATTATTTTTTAATAATTTTAAAATTATATTAAAAGTAATTATTTTAAAAATTATTTTAAATTACTTCCAAGTATGTGGTCAATTTTAGAATAAGTGCGATGTGGTGCTGAGAAGAATATATATTCTGTTAATTTGGGGTGGAGAGTTCTGTAGATGTCTATTAGGCCCACTTGGTCCAGAGTTGAGTTCATGTCCTGAATACCCTTGTTAATTTTCTGTCTCTTTGATGTGTCTAATATTGACAGTGGGGTGTTAAAGTCGCCCACTATTATCGTGTGATAGGTGTCTAAGAACTTGCTTTATGAATCTGGGTGCTCCTGTATTGGGTGCATATATATTTAGGATAGTTGGCTCTTCTTGTTGAATTGATCCCTTTACCATTATGTAATGCCCTTCATTGTCTTTTTTGATCTTTGTTGGTTTAAGGTCTGTTTTATCAGAGACTAGGATTGCAACCCCTGCTTTTTTTTTGCTTTCCATTTGCTTGGTAAATATTCCTCCATCCCTTATTCTGAGCCTATGTATGTCTTTGCACAGAGATGGGTTTTCCGAATACAGCACACCAATGGGTCTTGACTCTTTATCCAAGTTGCCAGTTTCTCTTTTTTTTTTTTTTTTTTTTTTTTGAGACAGAGTCTCACTCTGTCACCCAGGCTGGAGTGCAGTGGTGCAATCTCGGCTCACTGCAAGCTCCACCTCCCGGGTTCACGCCATTCTCCTGCCTCAGCCTCCCGAGTAGCTGGGACTACAGGCACCCGCCACTATGCCCGGCTAATTTTTTGTATTGTTAGTAGAGACAGGGTTTCACTGTGTTAGATGGTCTTGATCTCCTGACCTTGTGATCTGCCCACCTCGGCCTCCCAAAGTGCTGGGATTACAGGCGTGAGCCACCACGCCCGGCCCAGTCTCTCTTAATTGGGGCATTTAGCCCATTTACATTTAAGATTAATTCTATTATGTGTGAATTTGATCCTGTCATTATCATGCTAGCTGGTTATTTTGTCCATTAGTTGATGCAGTTTCTTCATAGTGTCGATGGTCTTTTCAATTTGGTATGTTTTTGCAGTGGCTGGTGCCGGTTTTTCCTTTCCATTTTTAGTGCTTCCTTCAGGAGCTCTTGTAAGGCAGGCCTGGTGGTGACGAAATCTCTCAGCATTTGCTTGTCTGTAAAGGATTTTATTTCTCCTTCACTTTTGAAGCTTAGTTTGGCTGGATATGAAATTCTGGATTGAAAATTCTTTTCTTTAAGAATGTTGAATATTAGCCCCCACTCTCTTCTCGCTTGTAGGGTTTCTGCAGAGAGATCCACTGTTAGTCTGATGGGCTTCCCTTTGAGGGTAACCCGACCTTTCTCTCTGGCTGCCCTTAACAGTTTTTCCTTCATTTCAACCTTGGTGAATCTGACGATTATGTGTCTTGGGGTTGCTCTTCTTGAGGAGTATCTCTGTGGTGTTCTCTGCATTTCCTGAATTTGAATGTTAGCCGTTCTTGCTAGGCTGGGGATGTTCTCCTGGGTAATATCCTGAAGAGTGTTTTCCAACTTGGTTCCATTCTCCCTGTCACTTTCAGGTACTCTAATCAAATGTAGGTTTGGTCTTTTCACATAGTACCATATTTCTTGGAGGCTTTGTCCGTTCCTTTTCATTCTTTTTTCTCTAATCTTGTCTTCATGCTTTATTTCATTAATTTGGTCTTCAAACTCTGATATCCTTTCGTTCACTTGATCGATTCGGCTATTGATACTTGTGTATGCTTCACTAAGTACTCATGCTGTGTTTTTCAGCTCCATCAGGTCATTTATGTTCTTCTCTAAACTGGTTATTCTAGTTAGCAATTCCTCTAACCTTTTTTCAACGTTCTTAGCTTGCTTGCATTGAGTTAGAACATGCTCCTTTAGCTTGGAGGAGTTTGTTATTACCCACCTTCTGAAGCCTACTTCTGTCAATTTATCAAACATTCTCAGTTTTGTTTTTTTCCCTTGCTGGCAAGGAGTTGTGATTCTTTGGAGGAGAAGAGGCGTTTTGGTTTTTGGAATTTTCTGCCTTTTTGCACTGGTTTTTCCCCATCGTTGTGGATTTACCTACCTTTGGTCTTTGACATTAGTGACCTGCAGATGGGGTTTTTGTGTGGATGTCCTTTTTGTTGATGTTGATGCTATTCTTTTCTGTTTGTTAGTTTTCCTTCTGTCAGGCCCCGCTGCTGCAGGTCTGCTGGTGTTTGCTGGAGGTCCACTCCAGACACGTTTGCCTGGGTATCACCAGTGGAGGTTGCAGAGCAGCAAAGATTGCTGCCGGTTCCTTCCTCTGGAAGCTTTGTCGCAGAGGGGCACCTGCCAGATGCCAGCCAGAGCTCTCCTGAATGAGCTGTCTGTCGACCCCTGCTGGGAGGTGTCTCCCAGTCAGGATACACGGGGGTCAGGGACCCACTTGAGGAGGCAGTCTGTCCCTTAGGAGAGCTTGAGCACTGTGCTGGGAGATCTGCTGCTCTCTTCAGAGCCAGTAGGCAGGAACATTTAAGTCTGCTGAAGCTGTGCCCACAGCCACCCCTTCCCCCCAGGTGCTCTGTCCCAGGGAGATGGGAGTTTTATTTATAAGCCCCTGACTGGGGCTGCTGCCTTTCTTTCAGAGATACCCTGCCCAGAGAGGAGGAATCTAGAGAGGCAGTCTGGCTACAGCGGCTTTGCTGAGCTGCGGTGGGCTGTGCCCAGTTCAAACTTCCCAGTGGCTTTGTTTACACTGTAGGGGGGAACCACCTCCTTCTCAAGCCTCAGTAATGGCAGACGCCCCTCCCCCAACCAAGCTCAAGCATCCCAGGTTGACTTCAGACTGCTGTGCTCGCAGTGAGAATTTCAAGCCAGTGGATCTTAGTTGCTGGGCTTCATGGGGGTGGGATCTGCAGAACTAGAACACTTGGCTCCCTGGCTTCAGCCCCCTTTCCAGTGGAATGAATGGTTCTGTCTCACTGGTGCTCCAGGTGCCACTGGGGTTTGAAAAAAAACTCCTGCAGCTAGCTCAGTGTCTGCCTAAATGGCCACCCAGTTTTGTGGTTCAAACCCAGGGCCCTGGTGGTGTAGGCACCTAAGGGAATCTCCTGGTCTATGGGCTGCGAAGACTGTGGGAAAAGCGTAGCATCTGGGCCAGAATGCACTGTTCCTCACAGCACAGTCCCTCACAGCCTCCCTTGGCTAGGGGAGGGAGTTCCCCGACCCCTTGCACTTCCTGTGTGAGGTGATGCCCCACCCTGCTTCTGCTCACCCTCCATGGGCTGCACCCACTGTCTAACCAGTCCCAATGAGATGAGCTGGATACCTCAGTTGGAAATGGCAAAATCACCCACCTTCTGTGTTGATCTTGCTGGGAGCTGCAGACTGGAGCTGTTCCTATTTGGCCATCTTGCCTGGATCTACTTTTAATTCAATTTTCCTAGAAACTTCAATTTGAAATTTCCTCATACTGTTCACAGGTTAGGCACTAAGATTATAGCAGTGAATTAAATAGATGGAATCCCCTGTTGTTATGAAACTTAAAGCCTAGTTGATAACTCAGTCAATAAACAACTTTCCAGATAAGTGTATAATTATAATACAGGATGCTATAAGAGGGTTTAAAAGGGATCTAATTTAGGCTGGAGTGTGGAGAAGTTCTCCTTGAAGAAATGATATTTTATTTATTTTCTCAGATCCTTAATAAGTCAAAGTAGCAAAATTAAAGGCAAATATTTAAATGGAACACAGTCAGGCACTGCTTTTAATTGTGTAATAAACAAGACAGATGCAAACTTTCTAAATAAATCGTAAGCAAATTGAATCTAACATGTGCTGATGATAAGGTACTATATATTCCAGAAATAAAATAATGATCAGTAGCAGAAATCTATGTACTATCAATATTGTTCATGAAATTAGTTGATTTTTCAAATGATTATTTCAATGGCTATAGAAAAAACATTCTATAAGGCACACCGTATAGTCTGTTCTCACGCTGCTAATAAAGACATACCAGAGATTGGGTAATTTATAAAGCAAAAGAGGGTTAATGTACTCACAGTTCCACATGGCTAGGGAGGCCTTATAATCTTGGCAGGAAGCAAAGTAGGAGCAAAGGCACATCTTACATGGTGGCAGGCAAGAGAGCATGTGCATGGGAACTGCCGTTTATAAAACCATCAGATCTCATGAGACTCATTTACTATCATGAGAACAGCTCAGGAAAAACCTGTCTCCATGATTAAATTACTTCTTGCTGGGTCCCTGCCACAGCACATGGGGATTATGGGAGCTAATTTAAAGATGAGATTTGGGTGGGGACACAGCCAAACCATATCATTTCACCCCTGACCCCTCCCAAATCTCATATGCTTACATTTCAATCCCAATCATGCCTTCACAACAGTACCCAAAGTCTTAACTCATTTCAGCATTAACTGAAAAGTCCAAGTTCAAAGTCTCATCTAAGACAAGGCAAGTCCCTTCTACCTATGAGCCTGTAAAATCAAAAGCAAGTTAATTACTTCCTAGATACAATGGGGGTTTAGGCGTTGGGCAAATACACCTGCTCCAAATGGGATAAACTGGCCAAAACAAAGGGGCCACAGGTCCCATGCGAGTCCAAAACCCAATAGGGCAGTCATTAAACCTTAAAGTTCCAAAATGATCTCACCTCCTTTGACTCCATGTCTCACATCCAGGTCACACTGATGCAAGAGGTGAGCTCCAGTGGCCTTGGGCATCTCTGCCCCTGTGGCTTTGCCACAGACCCCTTCCCAGCTGCTTTCAGGGGCTGGTGTTGAGTGTATGCAGCTTTTCCAGGCATATGGTGCAAGCTGTTTGTGGATCTACCATTTTGGGGTCTGGAGGATGGTGGCTGTCTTCTCACAGCTCCACTAGGCAGTGCTCCAGTGGGGACTCTGTGTGGGGGCTCTGACTCTACATTTCCCTTCCACACTGCCCTAGCAGAGGTTCTCCATGAGAGCTCCACTCCTGCAGCACACCTCTGCCTGGACATGCAGGCATTTCCATACATTTTTCTGAAATCAAGGCAGAGATTCCCAAACCTCAATTCTTGAATTCTGTATACTTGCAGGCTCAACACCATGTGGAAGCTACCAAGACCTGGGGCTTACATCCTCTGAACCCATGGCATGAGCTGTACCTTGGACCTTTTTAGCCAGAGCTGGAGTGGCTGGGATTCAGGGCACCAAGTCCCAAGGCTGCACACAGCAGGGGGACTGTGGACCTGGCCCAAGGAACCATTTTTCCCTCCTAAACCTCTGGGCCTGTGATGAGAGGGGCTGCCACAAAGATCTTTGACATGTGCTGGAGATGTTTTCCCCATTGTCTTGGCGATTAGCATTTGGCTCCTCACTACTCATGCAAATTTCTGCCACAGGCTTGAATTTCTCCTCAGAAAATAGGTTTTTCTTTTCTACTGCATCATCAGCCTGCAAATTTTTCAAACTTTTATGCTCTGCTTCCTCTTGAATGCTTTGCTGCTTAGAAATTTCTTCTGCCAGATACCCTAAATCATCTCTCTCAAGTTCAAAGTTTCACAGATCTCTAGGGCAGGGGCAAAATGCCGCCAGTCTCTTTCTATAGCAAGAGAGACCTTTATTCCAATTCCCAACAAGTTCCTTATCTCCAACTGAGACCACCTTAGCCTGGACTTTATTGTTTGTATCACTATCAGTACTTTGGTCAAAGCCATTCAACAAGCTTCTAGGAAGTTCCAAGCTTTTCCACATCTTCCTGTCTTCTGAGTCCTCCAAGTACCTAAGAAGTTATAAACTTTCCCACATTTTCGTATCTTCTTCTGAGCCCTCCAAATTGTTCCAACCTCTGCCTGTAACCCAGTTCCAAAGTCACTTCCACATTTTCAGTTATCTTTACACCAGTACCCAACTGTACTGGTACCAATTTACCGTATTAGTCTATTCTCACACTGCTAATAAATACATACCAGAGTCTAGGTAATTTATAAAGGAAACAGGTTTAACGGACTCACCGTTTCATGTGGCTGGGGAGGCCTCATAATCGTGGCAGAAGGTAAAGATGGAGCAAAGGTATGTCTTATGTGGCTGCAGGCAAAAGAGCATGTTCCCTGTATAAAACCATCAGATCTTGTGAGACTTATTCACTATCACAAGAACAGCTGGGGAAAAACCTGTCCCCATGATTTAATTACCTCCCAGCAGGACCCCCCCATGACATGTGGGGATTATGGGAGCTGCAATTTAAGATAGGATTTGGGTGGACATAGCCAAACCATATCACACACTTACTCATGAAAAGAATTTTTTTTAGCAGATTAGGAAAATAAGAAAATCCCTTAACCTAATAAGAGAAGAATATTTTTTAAAAATCCTTCAGCAAATAGATTTAATGATAAAACTTTTAAAGTATTTCCATTAGAGTGAGGAGACCATAACTTTTCAATACTGTCCTAGGAGTCCTAGTCAATGTAGAAAATAAGCAGTAAAAATATTAGAGAATGTATCAGTTAGACTAAGCATTATTCAATTTATTGTGGTTTGGAAATTTAAAAGTTAACCACATTGTTCATTTCTGAAAGAGACAAAGTTGTCATTATGTGCAAATGATATGATAATCTTATCAAGAGTCAGGACAAGAAGTGGAAAAACTATTTTAATGAATAAGATAACTCAGCAAAATTTTCTCAGTGAGGCCAGATGTGGTGACTCATGCCTATAATCCTAGCACTTTGGGAAGCCAAAGTGGGAGAATCACTTGAGCCCAGGACTTCAAGACCAACCTGGGCAACACAGTAAGACCCCATCTCTAAAAAACAAAAACAAACCAAAAAAAAGTTTTTAATTAGCCAGTCATGTTGGTGAGTACCGGAGGTCCCAGCTACTTGGGAGGCTGAAGTGAGAGGATCCTTTAAGCCCAGGAGGTTGAGGCTGCTGTGAGCCATAATTTTGCCACTGTACTCCAGCCTGGGTGAGAGAGCGAGACCCTGTCTCAAAACTTAAAACATAAAAAATAAATTAAAAAAAAATCGATAGTATTTTTATACCAATTTCTTTACACCAAATCATTCCAAAGAGCAGCACAAAGTATAAAATGCCAAGAAATTAATTTTTCAAAAGTTGGATTTTTATAGGAAAATTATAAACTTTTTTAGAGGACATATTAAGACAACTTGAATAAATAAAACTGAAAGGACATATTATTATTTAAAATATCTTCTCAATTTAATCAATAAATTCAATATACTCCAATAAAAATTACAAAATAATTTTTCAGAAATTTTGACAAGCTAATTCCAGAATTCATAAAGAAGAGTCAAAGTACATGAATAGTCAAGGCAATTTTTGAATAAGAAATGTAACAGTTACGTATTTCTTAAATAAAACAAAAACCATCAATTAAAAGGAAAAATATATGATAAGTTGGACTATGCTAAAATTAAAATGTCCACATAGTTAAATACACTATGAAAAAAGTTGAAAGAAAAGCAAACGACTGGGAAAAGTATTTTTAGCACAATAATTAGCAAAGGATTAATATTCACGTCATGTATATAGAAGTCCTACAGATTAATTTTAAAAGGACAATAGAAACTGGAGCAGAAACTGGTATGACGCTTTGGAATATGACATGGTAGCATCTAGTAAACGTAAAAATATACATATCCTGTAATCCATTAATTCTATGTCTCAGTACACTCTCTAGAAAAACACAGATATTACAAAAAGGAGAAACATCAAGGATATTCATGGAAGCACTGTTAACAGTAAATAAGTGGAAAAACCTTAATGACCATCAATGAGGGAATGAAGGGATGAAATGTATTATATCCATGCAATTTAATATTCAGTGGTAGTTTAAAAGGTCTTTAACTTTATAAATATTAATATGAATAGACACCAAAAGCAATGCTGAAAAAGAAAGGCAAGATAGAGATTGATACATTCAAGATGATGCTGTTTATGTATATTAACCATATATAAAAGAAAATATGACCGGGCGCGGTGGCTCACGCCTGTAATCCCAGCACTTTGAGGCCGAGGCAGTTGGATCACTTGAGGTCAGGAGTTTGAGACCAGCCTGGCCAACATGGCAAAACCCTGTCTCTACTAAAAATACAAAAATTAGCCAGGCATGGTGGCAGGCACCTGTAATCCCAGCTACTTGAGGGGCTGAAGCAGGAGAATTGCCTGAACCTGGGAGGCAGATGTTGCAGTGAGCGGAGATCGTGCCACTGCACTCCAGCCTGGCTACAGAGCAAGAATCCATCTCAAAAAAAAAAGAAAAGAAAAGAAAAAAAGAAAGAAAAAAAAAGAAAATATTACATGTATTTTTATCTTATGCATAGCATTAAAATGCAGACATAGTATATATGTGTACATAAGTATCGGTACACATATCTATATTTAGATATATGTAAAACTACATGGAGATTAATGTAATTCTCTTGCAGAATAGACTGGAAGAAAACAGACAACACTTCAAACACACAAGTAGAGAAGGGTGTGGAAAGTGGGGAGGGAATAATCCTGGAGATAGGGTTTAAAGAACACTGATCTATATATGTAGTGTGTTATTTCTTAAATAAATAAAAGATTAAGAGCCAATGAGACAACATATTTATTGATTGATTGATTGATTTATAGAGACAGGGTCTCGCTTTATTACCCAGGCTGGAGTACAGTGGTGCAGTCATAGCTCACTGCAGTCTTACACTCCTGCATTCAAGCAATCCTCCCAACTCAGCCTCCCAAAGTGCTGGGATTATAGGCGTGAGGTACCATGCCAGGTCCCAGGACAAAATATTTAAAATGTGTAATTCAAAATAGCCAAATAAGACATCTGCTTTATTACTCTTTGTAACTTTTTCCCTTTGAATCTCTCACAGGTAAGCAAAGTTTTAAAAAGGTACTTATAAATTGCTTTCATACAATGTACATATGCAGATCAAATGCCCAAAGTGTCTTTAGAATTTTCTTTTCTAAAAGGTCTCTGATTAGAATAATCAGATCACTTTTCTGAACAGGACTGGTTAGGTATGGAAAGAAAAACAGAAGAGAGGGTCTGAAAGCCAAGTTCATTGTGGGGAATTCTTTGAGTTCTTTTAGAAAGACTTGATTCTGGTTGTGGTGGGGGTGGAAGGGTGGGTAGGAGAGAGGATAGAGAAAAATTACCCCGAGAGACTCCTTCCTGCAACTCCTCAGACTCTTCCAGCTAACAGAGCATGGGCATGATGCATTAGTGAGCTGAGAGTAAATAGCAAATGAAGCAGAGGTGCCAGTTCCCTTGAGGCTTAGGTAAGACGTCAGTGGTAAGAAAATACTACATTCTTTTTGTGTAAGAGGCCAAAAAGGTGAAAATCTCTGGTAAGGCATAATAACAGTAGAAGAGGGAAAGACTAAAGTTCATCTCTCCTGAAATTTATCTTCTGTTATGCCAGTCCATGCTAACTTCAAATTCTGAGTAGCAATAGTGCTCATCATATATTGTCATATTATTATAGAGCCACTCAGAAAACAAGAGAAATTTGGGCCGCCTCTTTTTTTTTTTTCCTGAGGCTCTAGCATATTAAAAATGATGAAATAGCAAAATAGACCTACAATGATTATATATTGTTTACAATTAACAGTAGGCTTTTGATACAAATTATAATAAAGTAAGTATGCTAGTCATCAGCTACAAATCATGAAAGATATGAAATCATAGTAGACATATGAAAGACAAAAATGTAAATTTCTATGATGAATATGTTTGTCTTTTAATCCTGTCATTATCTTTGTGGTTGTATGTAATGCCGCAATAAAAGATCAGGCTAAAAATCTATGAGTTCTTTGTGAATAAGAAGTCAGGGCCAAACAGTCTTCCTTTGCCATCTCTCCTGCCCTCCTTGTTTTAAGTTCTGCTCATGGGGGTTTCCAACCAGACTATAGCCCAGTTTAAAGGAATGACTGTGTCTTATGAGTTGTGGGGCAAGAGGTTGAGGGGAACAAGAGTGTGACTTTGGTTGGATTTGTAGTGGAATGGCACATACCACAAGTCAACAGGATGGAAGAGGCAAGTTCAGAGAGGATGACGTAAAGCAGGGAAGGGTAGGAAGATGCCATGAGTTCGGGCAGGTGAGATGCTCAGAGCAGACCCTTGTCCCTGGTCTATCCACCCTGGACTGAGCCTGGCAGCCCACAGAACTGAGATAGGAATTGGCAGTCGTAGTCTCCAAGACAACAGGCCACATGACCCCACTGATAAGACAGGAGACAGTAAACAACAGGTCACAAGCCCCTGCTGCTAAGAGGATAACAATAAAGAAACCAGGCCGGGGGCAGTGGCTCATACCTGTAATCCCAGCACTTAGGGAGGCTGAGGCAGGCAGATCACGAGGTCAGGAGTTCAAGACCAGCCTGACCAACATGGTGAAACCTCATCTCTATTAAAAATACAAAAATTAGCTGGGCATGGTGGTGCACACCTGTAGTCCCAGCTATTTGGGAGGTTGAGGCGGAAGAATCGCTTGAACCTGGGAGGTAGAGGTTGCAGTGAGTCAAGATCTCACCACTGCACTCTAGCCTGGGCAACAGAGCAAGACTCTGTCTCAACAATAAATAAATAAATAAATAAATAAATAAATAAATAAATAAACCATCTAGAACCAAGGTGGAGTGAAAGTGACCTTCACTATTCATTATCCATGAATTATAATTCACTAGCATGCTAAAAAACGCTCCCATCAGTGCCATGACAGTGTACAGTTGCCATGGCAACACTCAGAAGTTACCCTGAATGGTCTAAACTGGGGAGAAAACCCCAGTTCTGGGAGTTCCCTGCCCCTTTTACAAAAAACTCATGCATAATCAATCCCTTATTCAGCATATAATCAAGAAATAATCACAAATATAACAAGTGAGCAGCCCACAATGCTATTCTGCCTATGGGGTAACCCTACTTTGCTTATGGAGCAGTCTTCCCTTTGTTCCTTTATTTCATTCAACTTCCTCTTGCTTTTTTTCTGTCAGATCGCTTTTGACTTCTTTCTTGTGTGAAGCCAAGCACACAAAGTCCCCCAGACTGAACCCTACTTTTGGATGTGCAGAAGGGATGGGTTGGCTGAACTTTTCAACTCCCTTCTCTATTCAATTCATGATCTCATCGCCATGTTTCATTCTCATATTTCACTTCTTTAAGGGCTTTTCTACTAAGTCTTAAAAATCATTATGTTAACATATACTTTGAGAAATTGTTGGAATAATCGCCATTTGGTGGGAATATGTTCAGAGAGAGTGGTGGCTTCCCCCATGACCCTTCCATACCTGGAAACACACACCCTGCCATCAAACTGAGCTTCTGACTTAATGTCTGGGGAAGGCAGCTGACAGGGATCTGGTACTTAAATTGATAGAGGAGGACCTAGAATGTGGAAGAGTGAAGGAATTAGGAGTTCTGGACAAGTAGAGACAAAATCCCAAGGCATAGAATTCTGTGAACAATGGAATGAGGGTCTAGGCATGGGCACCAGCAGGACAGGGTGCAGCTTGACACTTAGCAGGGTTTCCCTGCATCCCTACAGCTCAGTCCAGAGGTGGTCCAGATGTGATGCAGGTGGAGCAATCATATAATTCCCATAATGTACATGTCTTATGAACTCATCCAAATCAGAAAATACTCTGCCTGCCTGACTGTAGTTCTCTATAAATGAAAAAAAGTGTTATTAAAAGGATTATAAAACTCTAAAAAGTCAGAGCCTACAGTCTCTGTGCATAAGTAAAACCATTAGATAATCTGGGTGAGAGATCTTTATGGCCATTTGTCATTTGATGATATTTTCTTCACCTGTAAACCCACAACGATACACTGTTACTAAGAGAGGATGAAACAGAAAGGCCTGGAACATTCCATTCCCAAGAGATAATTTATCTAAGTTTTAACAAAGAGAAAGAAAATCAAAGCATAAAATGTTCTCCAGTTTTGGTCTTTTGCACAGTCAAGAGAGGCATTACATACTTACTACTTTGTTATTAAAAATAGAGACTACTCTCCTCCCAATGTCCCAAATGAGAAGAGGAAAGTTGGAACTGGATGCCATCAATAGGTTGAGAGACCAGTCACATCAAGGAAGAGAAGAGGGACCAATTTATGTTGGCAACATTTAACTTTGATGAGCCTCTTTTTGTCAGCCTCTTCTAACTTGGGGAGGCGGGAGAGGGGAGGAAAATGGCAGAGAGAGAAGCGAAGTGGGGGAAGGCCGTCTAGAAATCTAGAAGAGAAAAAGTTTACCTGTAAAAAGAAAGCCAATGTGGATTATAATTTAACATAATCTTAAAAAGAAAATAAAGAGACTTCAACAAAAGTCAAAGCAAACCATTTTAATCAATTTGAACCCCAGTAGGAAGAGGGTAGTTTCCCTTGGCCTTTGGCTAAAAAGTCTACTTAAAAAGCTGGTAGTCCATGGGCGCCTGTAATCCCAGCTACTCAGGAGGCTGAGGCAGGAGAATCATTTGAGCCTGGGAGACAGAGGTTGCAGTGAGCTGAGATTATGCCATTGCACTCCAGCCTGGGTGACAAGGTGAGATTCTGTTTCAAAAAAAAAAAAAAAAAAAAAAGCTGGTAGTCCAAAAGGAAGGCTATGTTAGCAGGGAACATTGCTGCACAATCAGAGGAGTTAGTTTTTAGTCAGAGTTTACCAGAAAATCCCCAGGAAGTCTGAAGTTTCTTCCTCTGTGTCATTTTGAGTTGCTGTCATCTGTCCCTAACCCCATTCAGATTAGTCAGTGTGAAAGTATTTGAAGGTATTTCTGCCATTAATTTTAATTCATTTCTAATTTTTTTAAAAAAATTCATAAACTAAAAATAATAGCAAGTCCAATGATATTAAAAGCTTAAATGTTTTTCTAAGATGATGATTCCTTATAAAAGGAAAAATTCCTTAAAGAGCTGTGTTTAAGAATTCATGAGATCAGCTGATCTTTTATCAAGTCACACATTTGTTTCTATCAAACCATTAAGACTATGTGTAATGTCAAAATCATTAAATTCCAAAAATTATTGTGGAAACTCTTCTCCACATTATTTTATTATTATTATTTCTACAAATTATTGTGTAAACTGTCCATCCAAGGTGACTACGGACAGAAAGGAAGTGGATGTGATAAAATATCAATGTACTGATACATTGAATTTAAAGTCAGAGAGGGTTCTTGATGGAAAGGACTGCATAAATCAATGAGATCTGTGGTTCTCAACTCTGGTTGCATAATAGAATCACCTATATAATGGTATTTCAGTTTTATGTTTCAACTCAGCGTTTTAAGGATATATTCTTGATTATTTCTTCTATTTGAAATCTTCTTATCTACACCTCCCATTTTTACCACCACTGCCAAATTTAGCCATGAGAACACCTATACTTCTTACGAGTGATTTTTATTCTCTCTCTTGCTTGAGATCAATTTTTCTCCAATCTCTTTATATTTTCATTTGAACACCTACAGAATTTTTTAAGACTCTTCTCGACTGCATGAATTTGAATGCTAAAATATTTATGGTTTCTAATGCAGAATGTAATTAAAGACAGTCTACATTTGTCTTCTTTTTAAAGGTTAATACGTTTGTTATAAAATAATTTAAAATATTAAAACATGAAAAGTATAAAAACCATAATGATAATACACAGAATAGGAAATGTATTTATCACACATACAAGAAAATGTTGAAGAAAGTGCAAAATTATTTGTATATATTCTTGTGTATCAAGGTTTAAGGACTTTTAAATGTATCATATCTAATGAAATGAAATAAACATTTTCAGGACTTTTGGGAAGGACTGTAGATTATTACCACACTTTGAAATATAATTTGATAATATATATTATCAAAGCCTTAAATACTTTCATTTCTAAAACCTGGCATTAAGAAAAAAGTCAGCCATCTCTCTGTGTCTCTGTCTTTCCTTTATGAATTTCTGCTCCTTTGTCCTAATACCAATGACTTTGGGTATCTGTATTAGTCTGTTCTTATGCTGCTAATAAAGACATACCCAAGACTGGTTAATTTGTAAAGGAAAGAGATTTAATTGACTCACAGTTCAGCATTGCTGAGGAGGCCTCAGGAAACTTACAATCACGGAGGAAGAGGAAGAAAACACATCCTTCTTCACACAGCAGCAGCAAGGAGAAGTGCTGAGCAAAAGGGGGAAAGCCCCTTATAAGACCATCAGATCTCATGAGAACTCACTATCATAACAGTATGGGGAAAACCACCCCTATGATTCAATTATCTCCACCTGGACCTGCCTTTGACACGTGGGGATTATTACAATTCAAGGTGAGACTTTGGTGGGGACACAGAGCCAAACCTTATCAGTATCCTATTTAGGATTCCATTACATGTTTTATAATTTTTTTCCAGTTTCCATATTAAATCACTTTTGAAAGTACATACATCTTCTGACTCTTCATCAAGGACTAATCCCTACTTCCATAGGCTGCAAAGTGAGGATCATAACAATACCTTCTTCACAGTATTATGTAAATTAAATACATTTTCATGTGAAAGGCTGGGATTGACTAACTGTTGGAAGATTTCTGGAGTTCATTTTGTAATTGAAGCCAAGCTCTTGATTGCCTGTGAGGCTGATATGATGTGGGTGATCACATTACATTTCTGGTTTGTTTCTCAAATTTCATCACATTGCTGTGAAAAGTTACCATGGATATGTCAGGTTTTGAGCATGCTGTGCTGCTGGGAGCTTGGTGGAGACCTTCTGGAGTAGATAAAATGGAGGAAGGTCAAGGTGAAAAGCTATGGTCTTAAGGGGAGGCATTTCCCCATTTCTGCCCATTTTTGCTAGGAATGGATGCCAGCCTCACAAGGTAGCCAACTGAACTGGAGCAGTTAGTTACCCTTCCATTTGGGGGCTGGTGTTGTGAAGATCATCCCAAGCAAGAAGGAACTGCTGAACTGTGAACTTCTGTTTTCTACAAATCATCAAAATTTTTAAGTCTTATTTGCCTTACCCCACGCTTTGCTAGTGTTCTGGGTTGAGGCGGATTTGTTTCATCACAAAGAACCTATAGAGACATAATGTTTCTTTTTATCTTTCCCAGGTTAGCACGTTTTAACTTAGTTCAGTTGACATAGGGTTATTTTTAAGAAGAAACTTCAATTGGCAACTAGGAGGGGAAAAAAAAAAACCAGAACAGACTGGTTTACAGTTTCTTTTAAGATATGTTCCCTCCCTTCCTAACTTTCTTCCTTCCTCTTTTTCTTCCTTTAATTTTTTTTCTGATTCTTTTTTCATTTAATAAATTTCTTGAGCACTGTGCTGGTCAGTGGGGAGTCAAGGATAAATAAGAGGCATGATTTTCTTCCTCTAATTTAGCTACAATTTACTTTCTCTCTGAGATCAATACTTTTTCTTTTTTGTTTTATATTATACAATGAGAGACGGCCCCTCTTACTTTATATTCCTTGAACAATAAGGACCCCTAAACATTACACATCTAAAATGATATATTAACACCGGATTTTTTTTCAGTAAGGAAAAAAACAATTTCCCTAGTAACCAGCTTGCTATAGTCTCTTAGGAAGTTCAGCTATGATTGCTGAATGCTCAAATCTGTCTTATTCTTCTTAAAGTATCCAGGCCATTTTTTTCAGTATGAGAAATTTAATGATGCTTTAAAAATAATTTTTAAAAACAGCTAACCAGCAGGGCATGGTGGTGCGTGCCTGTAGTCCCAACAACACAGGAGGCTGAGGCGGGAGAATCTCTTGAGCCCGGGAGCTGGAGGTCAGCCTGAGCAACATAGCAAGCCTCAAACTCCTAGAAGCCTCAAACTCCTGGGCTCAAGCGATCCTCCCACCTCAGCCTCCTGAGTAGCTGTTACTACAGTTGTGTGCGACCACACCACACTAATTTTTAAATTTTGTGTAGAGACCAAATCTCACTGTGTAATGGTTTTTCTTTTTAAAGTCTTGGTGCCACCAGGCCTGGAGCACTCCACGCTCCAGGAATCCTAGATTGGTAAGGAATTAATCCATTGGTTACACTTGCCTCAACCTATTGTTCTCTCAAGTCTCCAGCCTCACAAACTGTATCAGTAGTTGATTGGGTCTCTGCCTCCTCTTTGGGCGTCAGGTTTCAGGTGTATGGCTTGAAATGAGCTTACTTCTTAATAAATCACCCTTCTTCTCATTGACACCTCACCCTAGCTCCAAAACCTGCTCTCCCCTGTGATCTGCCCCACTACTGATAAGCTCTCTGCTGGCACTAACTTTAGGTCATTCTCCAGGCCATATGGACATGGCATTCCAGGAAAAGGGGAGATGTGAGCTGGGGGCACGTGAGTGTAGACTAGCACAGTGTGTCCAGGTAATGGCATGGGTTAGTGTGATTGGAGCTAAGGTCTGTGCAGGGGGCATAGGAGGACACTAGGCTAAGAAGGAAAGTTTGGCCCAGATTGAATGGGCCTTCTCATTACATTAGACTTGATCCAGTACTCAGTGCAGAGCCACTAACAGGTTTAGGGGAGGTGAGTGAGTTAACCCTATTCCTGTTTTAGGAAGAGGACTTCAGTGTAGGCATGAAGGGGTACTGGAGGATGAGACTGCAGGAGACAGGGCAGCTCTTTACAGGAGGTTTGCCTTAATCCAACAGAAAATAGTAAAGGGTGGACTCAGACCTGGCAGTGGAATGAAGAGATAAGGAAGATGGGAGAGATTGTTTCAGAAATAAAACTGATACAACGTTTTGATTAATTGGATGTAAGTTAGAAGGAGCAGGGAAAGTCAAAGTAGAGGTCTTCTTAAACATATATGGAGAAGTTTGTGCCAGTAACTGAGTGAGAAATAGAAAAGGTAAAGCAGGTTGGGGAGAAGAAGATCAGTTCTGTTCTAAACATGCTGTTTGAGGCCTGAAAGGAGAAGCTAAATGCGTATCAGATAGACAGGAGAAGCTCTGGGAGTTAGTCATAGAATTTACAAGAAACATCAAGAGTTGTTGCAGATTGGTCCAAGTCAAACCAAAGAGGAAACTGAACTTAGAGAGTGAGAGAAAGGTAGCAGGACTTAAGGATGTGATAAATAACTGGCTTTCAACACTCACCGAACATCTAAGTCACTTGGGAGGCTTTAGAATATTAGTAATTTCATTGAGATACAATTTATATAGCACAGAATTCACCTGTTTAAACTTTAGAATTCACGGTTTTTAGTATATTCAAAATTGTGCAACCATCACCACCACTTAATTTTAGAAGATTTTTGTCACCCCAAAAAGAAACCCTATGTCCATCAGCCATCACTCCCTATTCCCCGCAATGAACTTAAAAAAGAAGAAGGTTGCTACTGGAAGGGTATGGTAAAGCTCACAGTCTCACAAAGAGCTGAATTACCAGGCCTTAGGAAGAGCAGAAAATACTCCAGCTCTGGGAGTCCCAGCAGAAGAAACTGAGAGGCTTTTTCTTCCCAGTGATGCTGATTGATGACTCAGCATTCACGTCTTCTCTCCTATGTGTCTCTGCTCAGTGGTCAAATTCCAGAGAAGGAAACTCAAAACGACCTCTGGTCAGGGAAGCTAGTCAGAGAAATCAAACAACAACAATGAAAAACCAGATGTCTAACCACATTGTTGGTCTGGAGAAAGCTGCATCTGCGAAGACTCTATATTGTCTCCAGTTGAGAGTGAATGTAAAGTGAGGAAACAGTACATGAAGGCTTACTCTTCAACAAGTCTATACCAAGGGAAAAAAAAGTAAAGCAATTGTGCACAGTGACGTCCTGGGCTGAAATATTTCTCCCACCCCAGCCTTCTGAGTAGTTGGGACTACAGGTGCACACCACCACACCTGGCTAATTTTTTTAAAAAATATTTTTTGTAGAGATAGGGTCTCCCTATGTTTCCCAGGCTGGTCTTGAACCCCTGGATTCAAGTGATTCTCCTGCCTTGACCTCTCAAAGTGCTGGGATTACAGGTGTGAGCCATTGTGCCTGATATTTGTTTGTTTTTAAGATATGATGTCCTTGAATATGTTCATAGGCAGGGAGACCTGGGGGAGAGGGGAGGGAATTAATGGAGCAAGTTACAGAAGAAGGCAGGTAGGGCTGATATTAGTGGCAGAGGAGGAGGGGTTAGCTTTGGAATGTAGGAGGCACACTTTTCCAAATAGATGGAGATTTGCAGGGTAAGGGGAAAGGAGGGATCTGCAAACTGATGGCCTGTATTTCTCAGGGAAATAAAAGACAAAGTGATGTGTAGATTGAGGGTCCAGGGAGTGAGGACTTGAGGTGAGTGGTGAGTCTGTGACTCCTGCTGCAGGGTCAGGTTCACTAACGGCAGCAGAGCAGTGGAGTGGTCCAGTCAAGCTTGACGCCAATGGATTGCTTTTTGTTCCTTTTTCCTTCCATTGCTGATTTTTTTTTTCTTTACATTTTAATGTTTATTTATCTCTCTCTCAAAGAGTGAACTAGAGAAAAAAAAAAGGGAAAGCAAATGTTAGAGGTTAAACTGAATGGACCACATCATAAAGTTTCTGCTCAAGCTTTGGTGGGGTGAGGATGAAGCGGACACAAAAATAGCTTGTTATTATTGGACTCCACTTACCCTTGTTTCTCCATCATAACCTCTAGTCCACGGATGTTGGTTTGTCTTACTACTCTAGAGGACTTGGAGCCCTTGGTTCAGAAGATGAGGCAAGAGTGCAGTAGATTCCTTCAGGTGTAACTTTACTGCACAAGGGTGCACCAAATAGGCAGCACCTGAGTACCTGGTACCACCAAGGTTGTTCCAAGGAAGGTAGTTTATATCACTTCAAGGCAGGGTTGTTGGGACAACCAAGCAAAAATGGCTTAAAGACTATACTTACCTTCCATAACTGCAAGGGGCATCCGTGGCGAACCAAAAGATCTCTCAGTTGAAGACCAGGTGACCCCAGATGAGATGTCAATCAAGATCTACCCCCTCTGAGTTCTTTAAAAATGGAACCTCCATTCTTGACTTCATAATGGCTTTATTGCAAACTTCACAGACCTTCCTGCTAGCACAGCGCTAAAAAAGAGCATCATTTCAGACTGCATTCTGATTGGGAGAAACAATCAGGAATTAGATTAGGCAGAACTGAGTTAGAACCCCTATCCCACCACTTCCTAACTGGGTGCCATTGGGCAAATTACTTACTCTCTCAGATCCTATGTCTTTGTATTTAAAGGATAATTTTAAGATGAAATTAAATATCCTGGTGAAAGCATTAAATAAGGAGTCTGGTACATGTTAGGTGGGCAACAAGTGCTGGAAATAATGGATCATGATATTTAATTTAAAGTTGTAGGTGGTGGGGGGGTGATTGTTAAAATAATGTAAAAGACACTTGTGAAATTTCTCTGTGGATACAGTGTAATACAAATTCAAAGTAAAAAGGAGTTAGTCCCATTACCAGAAAGAATACAAAAACAAGCAGCAACAAAAGCAACAAACAAAAAACAAAAAGACTCCTGGTAATTCATAAACACAGATGTGTTATCTTAAAGACTGGGATTCAAATTGCCAAGGACATTATTTTTTGATAAAGCAGTGCAAGTGAATACGAAAGATATGCAAATACCCCTGTCAAGCAGCTCAGAGCTACCTCCTAGCACTGTCGTCAAACCCTCCGTAACTCCCCAGTGCTGTTCCTGCCCTTTCCAGTCTTGTCTTTCACCGACTCCCCTTGACCTTTCAGCTCTGGTGAACTTGGATTCCTAACCTTGCATTTGTTTTCCCCAGTTCAGCATTCTTAATATTGTCATTCCATATGTGTCTCTCGAAATCCTTCTCCTATCCCTACCTACAACCCTACCAACTTTCTCATCCTTCAAGACTTGATCAAATCTCCCCTCCTCTAAAGCCTCCTCAGAATCATCACTTTCTGCTCCGAAATCCCAAGGTACTTCTCTTCTGTAGAACTAATTTGGCCAGCTAATTAGAGTGGGCATGTGTCATTCTTTTAGGCTGCTCCACATCTGAAGCCCTTTCCTAAGTTTGAGGGAAGCAGAACCTGCCTATGGAAGCTGAAGAAGCTTGAACATTTTCCCAGCCTCCCCTGCAGTTAAGACAAGGGCACGTGACAGAAGCTGAGCCAATCAGATGCATTCACCCCACTTGGTTGTGGACGCCAGGGATGTGGAGAAGCAGAGACCCAGCAGTCCTGAGGCAGTTGAGGGTGATGCCTGTGGAGCTGCGTTTGGTTTCCTGAGTCAATGACGGCAGAAAGTCTAGCAGTAGTGGCAACTAGGCACACTGATTGGTCTGTGCTCTGTGGTAGGAGTGGCGAAGTCTTCACCAAACTTCATGGTATGATATGGGGCATTACTTATGGCTACTTATCCCCAAGACTGATTCTCCAGCTTTGCTGAAGGTTTAGGGCCAAAAATAGGAGATTTCAGCATAGTAACTGCTTAAAATGCAATACAAGACCACTCTGGGAATTTCTTACTGCTTGTCTTTTTAGAAACTTGCCTCCAGCCGTGGTTAGTGGGCCTTCTTTCTTCCTAGGTCGTGCCCACAGAGGAATTTATAGCAATATTTTTGGATGTTGCAATGTTTGGGAGTCAATGCTGACATTTGGGAGAGAGCAGAGATACTAGTTTTCCTGCAATGTACAGGACAGCCACACACAATGAAAAATTATCTGTCATCTCCTGTCGTTTTCAAATGTCCCCAGGTTAAAAAAAACACTGTTTATAATTATCTGAGTCTAGAATCTGACTCTGTTTTACATACAAAGACAAAATATTTGGGACTTTTTGAGGGAAGACTGCATTTGGTTTGGAACTCCCTCAAGGGTCTTTGCTATTTAGAGATGTCACATCTTTAAAGATGGCAACAGTGCATGTGGTGTTGTCAAGGCAACACCTGAGGTTCAGAGCTTGAGTGTTACCCTCTTCATTTTCCAGATTCTGTGAGTCCCACAAGCATCTTACTCCTTCATTGTGTATTTTGTAGTGTCCTCCTGGCCAAACACTTGTATATGGTAGACATATTTTTATGTATTCCTCAAATTGCTTCCCTTTTATTTCTCCTTTATATTACCATTAGGAAAGTATATTCAATTTTTTAAGTTCATTTAAATTTTATTTCAAGATAGTCATGGTGACAGTCTAAATTACTTGTTATAAAAATGAACAAGTACCATGACCATGACCCTAAAGCCTTCTCTTATTTTCCCACAGTCTTTCAGCCTATCCCCTCCCAAACCTGTTTGTTACTAAAGATCCATCAGTGTGGAATTTTCAACGTCATTCAATTTTTTAAGATAACATACTTTCCTTCCTGTTAGTTATATACATAAATGCCCTCAGAAAATGACTCTATTCTCACAACCATAACATCTTGGGTTAATATTGATTGAAAATTCAATGGCACCTTTCAAATGCTGATGAGAGGGGTTTTAAAACTATCAACTCTCAGGCTCCTGGGAACTCAGTTTCTCTCTAAGCTTTATTGGGTGTAAAAAGCATATAGTGAGGCAATCCACACTCTGCTCTAAATGGCCATGTGAGGGAAGAAAGCTTTGCTTTATCTCTCTGAATACTTAGAAGGATTTAAATATAAATTAGCACAAGATTTGAAAAAGAGAAAAGAAGTACCATCATACTCTATTTTTTCAGTTACCAATCATCAAATTACAGTTGGTGAACTTTTGGGCAGTGTGAGCTACTTGGCCTGATGGTGAGAACACAAAAAGACTCCCCAGGACAAGGTGTCCTCAGCCAGCTCATGTGCAGATTGCAGATGGAGCCTCAGTGCCCAGACAACAGTGCCTAAAGGCTTTCTTACTGGTTTCAGGCCTCCTCTTGAATGACAGTCATTCTGAGGATGACATTTTAGGGTTAGAATGCTCCTTGACTTTAAAAAACAAACAAACAAACTGAACCTTATCATATTTTACTAGTGGTCCTTGGCTGGTGACAATCTTCGTACTACATGTTTTTGCTGGAAATCAAAGTGCGTTAGTCAAATGCCCTTTCAAAACCCTATTATCTCAGCATGCAAAGCCAGCATCTGAGGATTTTCCACATTGAATCGACCGGTGTGTACTAAAAGATGTATGTATAGAAAAGGGGAGCTATGGTTTTAAAGAAGACTGAGTTTTCATCATTTTGAAACTGTATAAATTAACATGAGTTTCAAATCAACAGTCTGCAATTTTGATTTTATCAACTCAAGAATCCTTGACAGAAGATCTATGGGAGTGACATAAAATGTTCTGGAGATTTTAATCAAGATGAGATAATGCATATAAAAGTGAACAGTGAAGTCCCACAAAAAGTATTTTAGGATATGTTACTAATTTTCGTAGTCTCCAGGGCAATGTTTAATACAAATTTGCAAACAATACAATAAATATACTCTGAAGCTGGATTCTCATAGTTTAACAGCTGCTCATTGCAAAAAAGAAAAAACTGAAAATAATGGGCAACTTTTTAGAACATTCATTAATAACTTTTCTTTTAAAAAATGGATTTTACCTGTTTTATTTTGAGTCAACCAGATATAATCTGAGTGACCAAAAGGAATAGTTGACCAAAAAGAATAGTATTTTTTTTCCAAATATGTCACCTTTATATGCTGGAAATATTTGCTCAAGATGTGATTCAACTGTCTGCCACACTGGAGAGCTTTAAAGAATCCTTTTACATTGAAGTGTCAATTATTTCTCTGTTCTTTTCAGGCAGCTGAGTACCCTCTCATCATTGTCAGTTCATCTCATTTTCATTTTTTAAATGCTAACCAAGAAAGTGGCCGGGTGCTTTGTCTCTGTCTCCTTGTTTTCACAGCCCCCAGTGCAGTCTTTCTTTTTTGTCCTTGTCAGTTTCATAACTTTGACCTCAAGGATGTTTTTCAGCCCACAGAGCAACTTGCAGCTTCCCGGGCTCTGCTGTGCAAAAATGCTTTTCGTTTTGTGAGAACTACCTGTGCCTTGATGTGGTAGAGATACTTCTCTTCTAGAAATTCAGCATGGCACAATAACTTGTTTTCTTGACTTTCACACTGACTCAGGCATTTATTAGGCATAGTACTCTAGCAATGTTGGGAAATACATAGAAGAGTTCCCCCATTTCTTGAGAAACGTACATAAAATAAGATGGAAATAACACGTGCTGAATGCTATAGAACTGCTCCATCCAATAGAATAATTGCCAGTTAATTGGTTATTGAGCATTTGAAATGAGGTCTGAATTGAGATGCACCATTAATTGTAAAATACACATTGGATTTCAAAGATTTACTGAAAAAAATGCAAAGCATCTCAATTTTAAAATACTGATTACATGTTAATGTGATAATATTTTGGATATGTTGGGTTAAGTAATAAGCATATATTAAAATTAATTTCACCTGTTTCATTTTACTTTTTTTGCGTGGCTACTAGAAATTCAAAATTGCATCTTTGGCTCACATTATTTCTATTAGGCAGCATTGTTATAGAAGTTTAGAGAGGAGTGGGGGAGTATGTCCTGTATATGTGGTAGGGCAGACACAGAGAGGCATGGTGGACAGAAAGCCATCTGAGAGGAGGTGACACTGGAGCTAAGCATTGAATGGTGGCAGCCTCTAGACACACAGAGTGGAGAAGGGATCTCAGCCAGCAGCAGAGAGGCAATGCTGTGTAGTGGGCAAGGCAGGCTTTGGATGACATCTCAACTCTTATGATAAATTAGTACAGTGCCTAGAACAAGAAAAAGCACTTAATAAGCGGTATCTAATTTTACTAGGATGTGAACGTCAGCAAGGTTAAAGGATGATTTAAGGGATGTTAAAATGACATCTAACCTAAAAGTCATTTCCTTAGCTACCATGCCAGAGACACCACCACCAAAGCCTTTCCTCTCCTTTCACATCACTGCTTATAAAATAATGGCTTATAATCTGAATGAATCCCAGATTCTACACAGTACATATTCATAAGCAGAGGAAAAAAACTATACTTCCCAATTGATTTTCATTGTCCTTGTTCCATAAGTGACTTTCTAACATTTGATAACCTTTTTTTTTGCATGTGGAAATAAAAGGTTAGAAGTAAAAATGGACCATTATCTTTCCTTTTCTGATTGAAATCCTTAATCACTGTGAACCTCCCCAAAATATTCAATGGTCCACATGTATCCACATCAAAATTATGGATGGCTCTGGAAACTAGACCAAACTCTGAGGATGACAGAGTGGCAATTACCAAGTGACACAAGACAAGCTTGGCATATGGCCAAGTTCCCTGGCATTTGGCCAAGTTCCCATTAAAGCCATATGGATTTACAGAAGGGCTTTATGGCATGCTGATATCTTACTGAAATATTCCAGGAAACTAATATTAGATCAGCACGATAGGTTACTTGGAGGGTAACTGACTGGAGAGATCATTATAATTTCATACAGAAGTGAGCTTCTGTTAAAGACTGGTGCATGCCACCGGATGGTGGGCTAAGAGTTGTGAGGCCCCCAGACATGATAGTGGCCCCAAACAAATATATTCTCTCTTCTATCCTGAGGTTCTGGTTACAGGAGCTTTAAGATGACCTTTTCTAAAGGAGTGAAAACAAAGTCTACACATGACTGTTGATTCAAGCACAAACCCCACAGGCAACTATCTACTAACTTGGTTTCTCTTCCATTTCAACTTCTCTTTTCCCCAGTTATCTGTTAAGAGAGCCAGAAAAGGGTATATATTGACAGCCCCCATTCACCTCCAAGTTTTACCTTTAGTAGCTGCCTTTATAATAATAATAATATCTAACATTACTGAGCACTTACATATACTATTTGTTCAATCCTCATAATACCACCATGCATTAGATATGGTTTAATTTATTAAATTATTTACTAAATATAAATTTATTTATTACTTTATTAGCTCTTACGGCTTCTGTGAGTCAGGAATTCAGATGAAACATAAGAAGTATAATTTATCTCTGCCCCATGAGGTCTGGCTCAGCTGGAGAACTTGAAGACTGCAAAGTTCTGAAGGCTCATTCACTCACGTCTGGTGGTTGACGCTGGCTATCAGCTATGGGTCTAGGTGGGGATATCAGTTGGAACACCCACATGTGGCCTCTCCATGTGGCCTGGGCTTCCTCACACCATAGTGACTGGGTTTCAATGGCAAATGTGTGTGAGTGTGTGTGTGTGTGTGTGAGAGAGAGAGAGAGAGAGAAAGTACCACGCAGAAGCCCTGGCTGGAAGTCATCACTTCTGCCACATCCTTTTATTGAGCCAGTTTCAAAGTTCAGCCCAGATTCAAGGGAAAGGAATACAGACCCCATCTCTTGATGAAGGAATATCAACATCAGTTCATGAGACTAGCATGTGGCACGAAATATATATTGGTGCAGCTGTCTTTTGGAAAATATAAACTGCCACACACTTGTGTTTTATAGATGAAACACCAGAGGCTTAAAGAGTATAAATAAATTGCTTGTGATTATGCAACTGGTAAAAAGAAAAGCCAAGATAGGAATCTACTGGTTTCCAGAATCCATGCTTTAAAAAAAAATCAGTGTTATACTATATCCCACCCCAAATTCTTTCCAGCTTTAAATTTTTAAAGAAATGATAAATTTAAAATAATAGATTTCAGTTTCTATTATAGAAAGTATGCCACAGACTTCATAAACCTGGAGTGGGGGTGGTAATACAAGATCACGATTATTTTAATGTCCAAATTACAAGAGCTGAAACCTCTAATAATTCAAGTCCTTGATCTTACTGTTTTCCCTAAAATTTCTTTCTCACTATTTCTATAGCTCCTAAAGAGGTGTGTCTTATGTGCCTACAAACCTATCTGTCCTTTGCGAGACAGATACCCTGACTTTGTTTCCTCTGCCAATGGTGGGACTTCTGAGATCATCAGTGACAAGGGAGCTGGGTCTTCTCGCTACAGGAGCAGCTGGGGGAGCCAGAGGAGAACTGGTTTTGCACAAAGATAGGAACAAAGACACACATACCAACTCTAAACCACACTTTGTCTTGTCACCTAGGCAGAGAAGTAGCATTGCCTTTCCCAGAGAATGACAGGGTCCATGGAAGCTGATCCTTCCATTTCATTTCCACGTCATTCTCATTTCCTTTCACTGATGCTAATTTCTGTCTTTTTTTTAAAAAAAAAAAAAAAAAAAAAAAAAAAAGCAGCTGCCGGATGCGGCGGCTCACGCCTGTAATCCCAGCACTTTGGGAGGCCGAAGTGGGCAGATCATGAGGTTGGAAGATCGAGACCATCCTGGCTAACACGGTGAAACCCTGTCTCTAATAAAAATACAAAAAACTAGCCAGGCATGGTGGCGGGTGCCTGTAGTCCCAGGTACTCAGGAGGCTGAGGCAGGAGAATGGCGTGAACCCGGGAGGCGGAGCTTTCAGTGAGCTGAGATCATGCCACTGCACTCCAGCCTGGGCGACAGAGCAAGACTCTGTTTCAAAAAAAAAAAAAAAAAACGCAAATGAATCCACCCCATCCTATCCTTATGCTATCTAGGACAGGCCATAATTCAGCCTGGGTGTCCAAACTTACTTCTACAAGGGTTAGGAAGACTTATGTTTTTCCTTTCCACCAAAAAACTGCAACAAAGTCTACAGGGAAAGCTCAGCTCATAACACAAGAACTTATGTACCAAACATAACCTCTGACTTCCAGGGTTAAACACGGGTCTTCTGGTTATAGGTGACCTCACTTTGCTGCCAAAACAATGGGTGCACGTTTCCTTTTCATTTGGATGTCTCAAAGAACAGTGAGGTAGTTTTCCCTAAACAAAAGAGGAGTTAACTCAAAAACAAATTCTCTTTTTGTACACTGCTCAAAGCTGTGAAAAAAAAGTTTTCCCAGGCTTCTTTCTACTTTAGTGAGATAACAAGGCCACAGCTTCAGAACTCTTTGCAAGAAGAAAAATTCTTGCTAAGATGTAGCTCAAATATGGGAGCCCAGCTGTGGGGGAGGTAGCAGAAGACTCTACATTCCACAGCTGGCCTTTCCCTCATGGGATTAGGATACTACTAGTAATAGTAGTGATAGTAATAATGAGGAGGAGGAGAAGGAGGAGGGGAAAAGGGAGAAGGAGAAGGTGCAGGAGGAGAGAAGTAACATGCATTGAATTCTTTCTAAGTGCTGAACACAGTGCTAAATGCTTTCATCTAGTTTCAACAGCTAGATGAGGTAGATACCGTTAGGCATGTGTATGAAAAGATGCCGTTTTTTTCAGATAAGGAAACTCAGGTTTAAAGATGTTGACAGTTGAGAGTTGTCCAAGTCCACACAGCTTGTAAGACGTGAAGTTGGGATTTATTAATAGACCCAATTTATTAATAGACCCTATTTATTAATAGACTCCTGAACTCTTCTATAGTTTATATCAACTGTCTCCAGCTTCAAATTAGCTGTTAGCTGTTGTTTTCCTAAGAAATCCAATTAGTCCAAACTTTATTAAACACTCACTGTGTGCACAAATCCACACTAGGACCTGGGATGATAGAAATGGAATAAGATCCTGTTCCTGCTTGAGGAAGCCAGCGGTTCAATAGAGAAGACAACATGCATGGTAGGGAGGGCTCTTAGGGTTCTCTGGGATCACCAAGTAGGGAGGGATTACTTCTAACCCTGATGTGATCTAGGGGAAATTCTAGAATGTGGTTTTTGCAATGGAAATAACTTATAAATACAATTTTGATAGGTAGAAAAGAAAAAAGGGAAAGACATTCTAAACGGAGAAATCATATTAAGAAAAAAGAAGACAAATGGTCTGTTAAAATGCATGGTATGGAGAGAAGAAGGTTGAATTGTCAGGAGATGGATAGAAAGTTAGGTGGTTTGGGTGAGAGCCTCAAAAGATGGATCAGGAAAGAGAGAAGGGAAGCCAGTTGTGGTGGGCCCCGCTTGTCCAAAAGGAGTTTGGATTTGTCCTGTGGACAGGGAGAGCCATTCAGAGGCTTTTGTGCAGAGGAGTGGCAGAATTATCTAGGTGTTTTCAATACCACGTAGCTCCTGTAACCCCTCTAGTGGACAGGATTTTTGGATCCACCTTGCATACTTCCAAGCTGGTTGGGGCACCCCAAAGGGAGGGCCAGACTCATCTTTCACCTCCAGTGCTCTATTTTGTTTCCTTGGGTTGGATTTTTAGTGGCATTGGCTTTCATGTGGCTCTCACGTTACTTAGGTATACTCCAACGGTGGGGAAAAAGGCTGAGATCTGTGCTTACATTCTCAACCAGAGGCCAGATGGTGACCACTGGCAGCCATTCTCAGGGAAGGCAAAGGTTTCCAAGAGGGGAGAAAGTATGTGGGAGAAGAGCAAATCCACTACAGTCCTGAAAGTGACCGGGGAGAGGGAAGGGCGCGGAGAAGGGTTATTTCACAGTTATAGCCTTTTCCTGGCCTCTTCAATTACATTTGCTTATCTTTGTATTTTTAGCTTTATACAATTGAAATAATTTCTCTTTATGGAAAGCCTAAGACATGACATTTTTCCAAATGATTTGTTATTCTTTTTTGATACTGTAGAGGTCTTCTTCACTGAGATCTATGAAGAGACTCATCCTTGTTAAGTAGCCTTTGTGAGAATGGTCTGGAGTCCAGAAAAGTAATCGCTGCAATGCCCATATAATCTCTACCTTGGCTAACCTTGTAAAGCCTGAGCAGACGCCTCTGTCTGTGCTGCCGACTAGATTAGAGTAGGTGGAATCAGATATTGCGAGAAAATAAAGCAGGCTTTCTACCTCAGTGAAAATTTCTCTTTTCAAACTGACAACAGCCTATAAACTGTCTAATTCCATGTGGGCTGCCATGCTTACCCTCAGGCGCTGAGTAGCTCTGGTGTGCAGCTTAAAAGTTAGTCCACCGGTCAAAACAGTTACTGGTTGACTGCTGAATTAGGGGGGTTATAGAAGGCATAGAAAACCATATCCTCATGTTTAAGTAAGTTAAGAGGTAATACCTACATGCAAACCTATGCAAACTGTTCACCAAGCCTGTAGAAGAAACACTTTGACATTGTTTGGAAGAAGAGAGTAACTGGAGTGCAACTATGACTTCTGTACATTAGGAGGCAGGTCGGCCCAGGGGCCAGGGTAGACACCTGCACAGGGCATTTGGCCTAGACTTCCTAAGCGTACCACGTGCCTCAGGTGTAGACATTTGACCCTACCAATGTAGGTCAAAATGGAATGGGTCCTAGAACTCCCGAGAGTCACTGACAGCTCTAGAGGGAGAAGACATTCCTTATCAGCCTGAAGTGTATGTGCTAGTCTATACTACCCATTGTGCTCTATAATTCATGTGTTTTAAATAGATTTCATAATTGTCTGATGATGGCACAATTATATTGCATTGTGTTTGTGTGTGTGAATGTTAATTAGGAAGTTTCTAAAATGGCCAGCTTGTAATTCTGTAGAGCCATTTTGTTATTATTTATTTTAATATACCAGGAGCCTCAAAGAATTAAAGTATGTTATCAGCAGCAAATCTGTACAGGTCTGCAGCAACCTCTATTCTTGCCTCCTCAGAAGAAAGAATTTAACTGAGGGGTGTAAGGCAGAAGGAGAGAACAAGGCAAGTTTTAGAGCAGGAGTGAAAGTTTATTTAAAAAATTAGAGCAGGAATGAAAGGAAGTACATTTGGAAGACAGCCAAGCTGGTGACTGGAGAGATCAAGTGTGCAGTTTGACTTTTGACTTGAGGTTTTATATGTTGGCATGTTTCCGGGGTCTTGCATTCCTTTTCCTGTGATTCTTTCCTTGAGGTGGGCTATCCGCGTGTGCAGTGGCTTGCTAGCACTTGGGAGAGGAGCATGTGCAGTGCTGGAGTTGTACACATCCTCACTTGAGGTGTTCTTCCCCTACCAGCCAAATGTCCCTAGAAGGTCAAATGCCAGTTAAACTCTACCATTTTGCCTCTTAATCGGCATGCTTGAGCTCTCTGGCCCAACTCCGGAGATCTTATTGGGAAGCTGCTGATCACCAGTTTCGGGTTTTTTCTATCTATTAGGAGATTGCCTTTCCCTGGCACTGGCTGCAACCAATTATTATTTTAGAGAAACAGTGTAACAGCCACCTGACCATCACCTGATAGTTGCCTGACATTCCTGGTGGTGGTGGGGAGCGTTCTCTTGCCCTGCTCATGCCTGACTAGGTACCTACAAATGCAGCCTCACTTGACCTCCCTGCACTCTGAATATAAGGAAGTTATGGAGCATCCTCAACTTGTCTACTCAGTCCCAGCCATAGAGGAAAACACCTCCAGGTTTGGAAAACTGGCGTGCATTAACATGAATTATATGTGTGTCAGTACTTAAGCTTGCCCATTTTAGGTCCTGCTGACTGAGCTGTCCATCTTTCCCTGAAGCAGTCTATAGCATTTTCTTTTCTTTTTTTAGTAATAAAAATTTTAAATATTTTATTAAAGAGACAGGTCTTGCTATGTTTTCCAGGATGTAGTGCAGTAGCTATTCACAGGCACAGTCCCACTGCTGATCAGCCGGTGTATTAGTCCATTCCTGCACTGCTATAAAGACATACCTGAGACTGGGTAATTTATAAAGAAAAGAGGTTAATTGGCTCATGGTTCTGCAGGTTGTACAGTTTTCTCCTTCTGGGAGGGCCTCAAGAAACTTACAATCATGGTGCAAGGTGAAGGGGAAGCAAGCATATCTTACATGGCAGGAACAGGAGGAAGATAGACAGGAGAAGGTGCTACACAGTTTTAAACAACAAGATTTTATGAGAACTCTATCATGAGACAGCACTAGGGGAATGATGGTAAACCATTAGAAACTGCCCCTATGATTCAATCACCTCCCACCAGGCCCCGCCTCCAACACTGGGGATTACAATTTGACATGAGATTTTGGTGGGAATTCAGAGCCAAACCATATCAGCAGAGGAGTTTTGACCTGCTCTATTTCCAGCCTGGGCCAGTTCACCCGTCCTCTGGCAACCTGGTGGTCCCCCATTCCAGGGAGTTTACCATATTGGAAGCAAGCTTAATGCAGACACCTGATCAGCATAGCACCCTGATCAGCATAGCACCCTACATCCCAGGACTCCTGGGCTCAACTAATCCCCCTGCCTTGGCCTCCTGAGTAGCTGGGATTACAGTTGCATACCACCAAACCCAGCTTTGTAGAATTGTCCTTCTTAAAGCATTTAAGGGGTAGTCTATGAGCACTCGTTAAATCTACCAAAAATGAGAAGGTTCTGTGTGGAGACAGCACACATGAGGGTTGAGCTGAGAAGATTCCAGCCTAGGAAAATGAGTAACACTGCAAGTGTTGTTAGCTAATCCTGCCACATGCTCAACTTCGACTACACTTTGACTGATTCTGGCCCAACTCACCTAAGATGGCCAGTTTTAGTGCGAAAGTTTGCCTGTGTACGTGTGACTTTGGGTCCACACACAGTTATTCTGATTAAATACCTGAGGCCCGTGTTGCCTACACAGGATATCCAGCCACTGTCCTAGCTCAGCTTCCAGAATAAATCTTTATTGATTGTTAGAAAAAAGTAAGTTTGACATAAAAAACCTCCCAATAACCCTGCATTTCACTCGTTTAACAATGATTAACTGAACAGCCCCAGCTGCCAAGGGCTGCCCAAGGCATGGGGTAGAACAGTGACCAGGACAGGCCCTGCTGTCCCCAAGCCCACATGCTGTGGTGGGAAGACAAGAACAAACAAGTAAATAACTAAACCCACAAGAAGATTTCAGATGGCCATGAGCTATGTGAAGAAAATAACATGGGGTAATTTGATAGATTAGGTAGCAACTTTAGATTATATGGTCAGAGTTTGCCGCCAGAGGAAGTGATGTTTGAGCCCATGACTTGTACCTACATTTAGAGCTGAACATTTAGAGCTTTTTATTGTGTCCCATAACTATATAGAGCTCCCTGATGCAAGAATTCCAGAAGAAACAATAGTTACCTGGGTAATACTCAAGTCTCTTACTTAAGATAAATACTCTCATATATGCTTAATTATCTCTGAGTCCAACCAATATCCTCCGAGAATGTTTGATTTTTTCTTCTGTGGACAGGGCAGGCTACTTGCTTGTGGGGAAGTGTCAGGGTTGGCTGGCTGCTCCTGCTGGTTGGAGATTAGTTAGAATTGCCTGGTGTTAATTACAACTTTTTCCTTCCCTTCATTTTTATTGCTATAAAGACCTTTTTTTCTGGAAGGTTCTTTTATTTGAGGTATGATGAGATCAATGAAACCGATTTTGCAAACCACCAGTGGAGATTTGTCTCACTGTTTTATTGTGACATCTAAAGTCCTTTTCTCTTTTGCCACTGCCCTGTAGTCAATAAGTGGAAGAAATACTTTCAAAGTGGCTGCTGACTTAGTATCAATGTGTGGCCCACTGGTACTTAAAGATGCAGGGCATTTCCAAGCTTTCCATAAGGGAATAATTAAACCACCGCAGGTAACAAAGAATTAATTTTGAAGTATATTAAGCACCCTTAATTAGCACATTTGAGTTTCGTTTCCCCACAGGGAAAATATTCTCATGGTAACTTGCCATGTCAGAGCTTCTAAAACTTCTCCCTAAACTTATGGCTGAAGCCAGTTTTACTATGCAAATAAGGACTGCAAAAACCTTTTAAGCCAAATCATTCATAAGCATTTAAGAAGCTCCGGGGCCTCTGGATTTTGTTAATAATTCTGTGGCAATCACTGGGGAAGTCTTCTGAATATATAGCTGGTAAATTCAGAGTGCCTAAACCTAATAACCCACATCTGTGCAGAGTTTTGAAAGCTTGTTTTTTTCCCCAAATCCTGATTATGCTGTATTTTAATGGCATTTTAAAGTTTAAGTGAAATTAGAGATCATAAAAATGCCAGACAAATAGATACATCTCAGCTTAGACACATCCATCACATGGAGTTGATCGTTTACAACATCACATGCAATTAGGGCAGCACAAGGTATTATAGTTTATGGGTCTCAGATTCAATTAAATGAGATCAATTAATCCTTTGGCATATTTACGATATGATTCTCCTATTAAAGTATCTATGCTACATTGAATTTAATTTAACAATGAAAGTGGGCTAATCTGTTTGGCTATTATGTAGATTAATATATTTTTTAATTTTAGGGGAAGACTTTAAAAATTATATGTGCTTTTCAAATATGAGCACGTAGAGATTACTTTCATATGTGTTAATGATTGCCAGCTAATGATTATTTTAGACTTAGAAATGAACATTTGCCTAAGATGCACTTCTGAAGGCAACATTAATGATGAACAATTACTGCAAGGGAAAGTTACCTTTGAGATTCTACTCTCTTGGATCCACACGAGAATGAGCTTGAACTCTATCAACCATTGAGGGAAAGGAAGAATATAGTCTTTTGATTTAGCATCACTGGTTCTCAGACTGTGCAGAGTGATTTCTGCTGTTGAACTTCTCATGATTAAAAATAGCACAGAAATGTTCAAAGTGCAAGGAAGGGAAGCTGGCAAGTAACAGGTACTGCCAATACAACTATATGGCCTGAACCCTTTAATTTTTTTCCCCCACTGAGATCCTGTAGGCAGCTAAGAATGTATGATAGGGCCTTTTGGATGCTTTAGGACTTGATGTAGGATAAAGAAAAAAGTGACTTATTTCTTTGGCTTTTAAAATTTCTCTAAGTTTTGAGCATGCTTCTGTCTGAGAGTAACTGCCTCCTGCTTTGTCTTTTCTTTCTCCATGTTTTCGTTTCATCTTTGTTTCATCTGCCCTCTAAGAGAGGAGAAACATAGGACAGAAGATGTCCTAAAGTATTAGTGCATTGCCCAGTTTGTGTTATTGGAGATTTGTGTTACTGGAAATTTTTGGGTAGCAGCAGAACAGGGCAGAAAAGGGCAAGAGGCTAGGCCATGTGTGCAATGCCAAGAAGTGTGATACCATGGGGATCTAGGCTTATAAGCAAACCTGCCACTAGGTAGAGACAGTAGGCAATAAAGGTTCTGGAATGCCAGGGTAAGCCTTTGGTATGATTATACAAGCAATCAGAGGGCAAGAGGCAGACATATGTAAGGCAAGATGGTTTAAGCATGAAACAGTAGACAGTGCCCTGATGAAGACATCTTAGAAATGGGGATACTTCTGCCTCAGCTACATATCTTTTCATAGAATTTTGGTTGGACTATACAATCTAAAACAGCAGGCACTGTGTCTCTTTTGCTCAGTATTATATGTTTAACTCTTGGCATTGAGCTTCATAAATATTTGTTGAATGAATGAATGAATTCTGAGACTGAAGTCCATCCTAGCACTGCAGCCCAGGATCTGTAGGTGAAACACAACTCCTCCTCCTCTTCCTCTGCATCTTCCTTTTTCCTCCTCCTTCTCATCATCAAAATGACTGAAGCCACTTTTTACTGAACACTGATCACGTACCAGATGTTACACTATGTGCTTTACGTTCATTATCTTATTTGAAACTTACAACAATTCTACCGGGTAGGTGCTGTTTTCTTTGAACCTCTTTAATAGGGATTGAGGCATAGAGATTTTCACCTACCAATGGTCACATAACTAGTGACTAGGGGCCCTTACTCCAAACACAGGCATTTGACTTGAGAACCCATGCTTTCAACTGTTAAATTATACTGTGTTCTCTGTTAGCCACAGCACCAAGATACGAATCCATTTAAATTGAGATTTCTCAGTAGCTGTTTTGAATATCCATGTCCCACTTTGAAGTTAGACCTGGCCTTGTTAATTGCTTTGGCCAATAAAATGTGAACAGGAGAAGCAATGTCACTTATGGGTAGAAGCTTTAAGCACCAGTACATGATTTATCATGCTTCTTGTTTCTATAATGGTAATCATGAAAGTGCATCCTGAGATGATAGAGTTTTTGCCACCCTGAATCTCTGATTGATTAAAATGAGACCCCTGATGATCTACACTGGACATGTAGTATGAATGAGAAATAACCTTTTCATGCATCAAGCCAGAGAAAGTTTGTTTTTTTCAATTCTGTGGCATAGCAGTGCTTATTCTGATATAGATGTTCCTCATTTTTGCCCCCTTCAAATAATCTAAATTTGTTCCAGAGATGCCTACTCAAGGACATTAGTCATTCTCTAAGGATATAAATGTGTGTTGAAAGAATTTGTTTAAAATTACTCAAAGATCCCATATGAACTTACAAATTAAGTCATTATATGATGCTATTACATAAGGGTATAAAATAATCTTAAAATATAATTTTAATCTCATTAAAATAATCCATTTTGGTTACCTTCAAATGATAGATCAATAATAGTTTAATAGTATTTCTTTGTACTGCTTCCTGTATCTCCTTTTTTATTGTATTTTCTTGCATGCTTTTATTTTTCTTTTAGGCTCTTAATCTCCTCCCTTTTGAGATGGTTAATGAAAAGTCTCCGAGGATGAGAAAAGCATCCCTAGAATAAAATTGCTGAACAGGATCAACTTCAAAAGCATGCAGATTAAAATTTCCACATCATGGGCACATGAAAAAGGAAATTATTAGGGTACATGTCTTCCTCCCAACAGAAGGAGTTCCAGATTCTGTTTGGTATTCCTGCCCTCCTTTCCATGGTGTTTTTTTTTTTTTTTTTTTTTTGAGACGGAGTCTCACTCTGTCGCCCAGACTGGAGTGCAGTGGCATGATCTCGGCTCACTGCAAACTCCGCCTCCTGGGTTCACGCCATTCTCCTGCCTTAGCCTCCGGAGTAGCTGGGACTACAGGTGCCCGCCACCACGCCTGGCTAATTTTTTGTATTTTTTAGTAGAGACGGGGTTTCACTGTGTTAGCCAGGATGCTCTCGATCTCCTGACCTTGTGATCCACCTGCCTTGGCCTCCCAAAGTGCTGGGACTACAGGCATGAGCCACTGTGCCCGGCCTCCATGGTGTTTTACATTAACTCCAAAATATTAAAGGGAACTTAGTTGACGTCTATTTCCAAGTCACTTTTACAAAGGAATACCTCTTCCCCTACATGTCTAACAGTTAAACCTCTACCTCAACACTTCACATGACAGGACATTTACTGGTTGATGTAGCTGCTGACTCATTTTTGGCCAGCTTTGCACATTTCTTCTATGAAGATAAAATTAGCCTTTTAGTTACATCAGCAAATTGTCCTAAAGTCTGCCCTCTCCACCTATAGAGACTAGGTAAAATTGCACCCCCCAAGAGACCTTACAATATTGGAACACACATATCAGGTCTCCCAAGAATCTTTTATTCTCTAGTTTCTTCCACGGTTCCCAGGATAACTGGAATACAGCTGTCCCTGTGGATCCCACCTATTCCTTACACATGGCTCAAATTCAGTTTCTTGGTCTCCTGAGATTCAAAATCCAGCTCTATAATTTTTCTAATTTTCTTCAGGTTACATTCTCTTAATTTGCTTGTTTGTATAAACTGCCAATATCAAAACCCAGTCTCTTTACAGGTTTCCACAAAATGACACTGGATCTAAGCAGTTTGTGTTTAAGATGTTTATAGTAGCTTTGTGGCAAAAACATCCTGAGGAATCGCACAGTAGATGCATGGGCTTCTGAAACCTCCCTCCATCCCCTTATCTCTCCCTTCCTTACTTCGTTCCTCACTTTCTCTGCCCAGTAAAAGCTAATTCTATTCATCTCAGAAATAACAGTCACTCATTCCCAGATTTAAAAGGCTCAGCCTACCTTAAAGGCAGATTATTTCAACAAAGTCTGGGTCTTCTTTTCCTAAAACAATGAAATGTTCACCAATTTGTTACAATACATAATAACAATAACTTCCTCCTTTTAAATGTTAAACATGTTACATTATCTCATTTAATCTTACTTTAAGCCCAGGTGGTAACAATATGATTCCCTAGGTTTCAAGAGCTGGAGTAGTTTTTATAAGGAAAAATACATTACTACTGGCAAAATCCGGCCCTTAAACCTACATTTTCTTTTTAACTCCAAAGTTGGTACTCTTAACATGGTTACTAAACATCTCCTCAGGATTTCCATATCCCTCACCATTGTGATTGTTATTCATTGGATAAATTCCATTCAAACAAAAAGTGTTCCTTTAAAAATGTGGCCTCCTAAATGAATATAGTCTTTAGCCATGAACACAAGGAAGTAACTGAAGTTTGCAAACACTGGCCAATAGATAAAAAGAAGGAAGAAGAAACGAGAATTTGAATCCCTGTAAAATCTTCAGTTCATGAATATTTTCTTTTACCTGGCCTGTTTAATTTATTTTGTTTCCTGTCTGGCTCCTGAAGTCATCTGAGTTTGCAATCCCTACTTTTAAATAACATGGCACATTCTTGGCTTCCAAGGATTTGATAGTTACAGTTATAATCCTTCCCGAGCAACCCAATAGGTCTATGACTTACGGTAACTTCTAACCTTGCTGTGGAATGAATATGAATTGCCTGTCCTCTAAAACTACTGATTGGCATAAAGTAATTCAGCAAATGAGTGCACCTAGAAAACTACCCAGCTTCTACATATGACATGACCTTTCTATTCTCTATTTGTCTTTACATTTTTTATTCTATACAGAAAACTATATGCTATAAGGTCATTCATGTTCTGTAGAATTCATGAAGATCTTAAAACTTCAGAAGTTTCCACTTTTCTCTGAATCAACACTGCTGATTGATGATTTCTATGATGCCTATCTGTTAAAAAATTTTTCAAGACTGGGAGCAGTGGCTCACACCTGTAATCCCAGCACTTTGGGAGGCCAAGGCAGGCATATTACCTGAGGTCAGGAGTTTGAGACCAGCCTGGACAACATGGTGAAACCCCATTCTACTAACAATGCAAAAATTAGCTGGGCATGGTGGCAGGCACTTGTAACCCCAACTACTTGGGAGGCTGAGGCAGGAGAACTGCTTGAACCTGGGAGGCAGAGATTGCATTGAGCCAAGATTCCATCATTGCAAAAAACAACAACAACAACAACAACAACAAAAAACAAAAAAACCAAACCAAAAAACATTCAAGTATAACTGACCAAAAATAGCACAAAATTCATCCGAACTCACTAGGCAAATGGTTGATAATTCTGCAGGCAAGTTAGGCTTTTGTTGTTGTTGTTGTTCAGAGGCAAGGATTCCCTGGGTGACATGGAGTATAACTCAGAGATATTTCTAATGTCTTCATGTAGGAGTGATTAGTCAAATACATAGTGCTGTGATTTGTTCAAGGTGATGATACCAGACGTGAATCCTGTCGTTGAATTCTAGATCCATCTATCCAACACAAAAATACTATTCCTATTTTATAATTTGAAAACTAAGATGATTTTGCTGGGCTTTGCAAGATCATTGTCTTTATTAACAGATTTTCTCATAGTCATAGGTGTGAAAAATAGAATGGGTCATTCTGTGAGGTAGTGAGCTTCTTGCCATCAGAGATGTTTAGTCATAGCTCAGATGATCACAAAAGATGAATTGTACTCATTGGTATATGAGGTCCCTTCCAGTCCTGAAATTCTTTTTCTATATAAAGTCAATAATTTCAAGCAATATTTCAGGTTATTTACTCTTCCCATAAATTGGCCAGATAATTGCTTTTCTGTTTCTCTTTGATTATAAAAACCTTTGCATAATGGAAAGTAGAACTTAGGCATTCTGGCTCATAAATCTAAATGTGTCCCCAAAAGTTTGTGTGTTGGAAATTTGATTGCCATTGTGGCAATATTAAGAGATGGACCTTTAAGAGATGAACAGGCCATGAGGGCTCTGCCCTCAACTGGATTAATGCTGTTGTCTTGGGCATGGATTAGTTATTGCCAAAAGTGGATTCGTGATTTTAAAAAGGGGTAAGTTCAGCCCCATTCATCTCTCTCTGTCTTCATATGTGCTTGCTTGTCATGTGATCCCTTCTGCCATGCGATGACCCTCACCAGATGCCAGTGCCATGCTCTTGGATTTCCTAGCTTCCAGAACCATGAGCCAAATAAACTTCTTTTCTTGATAAATTACCCAGTCTTTGGTATTATGTTATAGCAGCAGGAAACAGAAAAAGACACCTGCCCCCTAAATGCTATTTACCTATATGTATATGCAGAGAATGCCATCATTGCTGATTATGTCTAGCAGGTGGTTGAACATATGCATAAAGTTACAGATATATAACTAGGTGAATTTAATCTCTAACTGGATAGCCCACAGTCAGATCAACCTAGCTGTTTCTCACTTTTCTTTGGTAGTCTTGCAACACATTTGGCCTGGTTAAAATTTTAATGTGATTCTAACACAACATTAGTAGGTTGAAGAAAGTTGCAAGGGGAACATTAACATTTAAATAGATTTTGATTATTAGAGAGAAGTCAGAAAATCTAGCCAGAGATTTGGTTTAGTTAGAAATACCAGAGTAATTGATGGCTGTCAGTATTAGAAAAGATTTTCCAGAGGTAGAAACTGTCAAGATAAAGGAGGGAGGAGAAAGATCTTCAACATCTGACATGGTTGTATGAAAGAATGCGAGCATAGGAGGGAGCAAGTCCTGCTGGAGAACTTCCAGCAATAACATGTACTCAATTCCCGTCTGGGTTACAGACCTTAACTCAGCCTAACTCCAATGCTGTGAGTTAAATACTCATTTCCTTATGTTAAGATGGCAGGAGAGGCTGCGTTTTCTGCACTGCTATCAGTGATCTTCATATTGTGGGGCTAAATCCTCCTTATTTCTTGCCCAAACTAGTCCTCCCCACCTCCCACTCAATATTGTATAAATGAAAACTCAAGAGATTAGTACATGGACCACAAAAATGAGTGTAGATTTAAGACAGTTTTGCCAACCACAGCAAGGAGGTTTTACACTTATGAAAAACAACTGTACAAATAAAATTTAGCAATATTTCCATATTATTCTCAGTGACAACCAGGTTCCTTTAAAATCAATGAATTGTGTGTTTAAACTGAGTGCTTACCTTTAGTATTTTCCTGGTGTTTTAAGCAACAAATAACTTTTATTTGTATATATTTTTAAAACCTACAATAGTTGAGTGTGTATTATGTACCAGGCATCATGCTTATTGCTATGATCAGAGATAAAATACAGTTCTCACTAAATAAACAGAAGTATTCCTTTGCCTCATCCTAAAGGCCATTTTTAATCTGGAGTGCCAGCAATGTTTTGTTTATTGTCCTTCAGCAAATCTTCCTCACTTTCTACCTTTGATCATGCCTTTTCAAATCTTACTTATTCTTTAAAGTCTGATTCATTTTTGTGTCTTCCTTGAAGTTCCCTTGATCTCTTCAAAACAGAATGTCTCCTTCCTCCTTTGAGCAGGAAGCGCTTCTTGTCTGCAGTATTTGCACACTTGTCACATACTGTTGAGGGCCATCTTCAGTGGTGTTGGCATGTATTGTTATCTAGCTTTTCATGTGAGCACATCCTGCTCCCCAAATAGCTTTTATGTTCTTTTTGTAGAACAAGTACTATATAGATTTGTGTTATGCAACCCATAGTGGAAATTCATCCAAACTGCTGGCTGATCTCCTGCATCTAAAAAGTGGAGACTGCAGCTGGGCGCGGTGGTTCACGCCTGTAATCCTAGCACTTTGGGAGGCCGAGGCGGGCAGATCACGAGGTCAGGAGTTTGAGACCAGCCTGACTAACATGGTGAAACCCTGTCTCTACTAAAAATACAAAAATTAGCCAGGTGTGGTGGCACGTGCCTGTAATCCCAGCTATTCAGGAGGCTGAGGCAGGAGAACCACCTGGGAGGTGGAGGTTGCAGTAAGCCGAGATTGCGCCACTGCACTCCAGCCTGGGCAGAGCGAGATTCTGTCTCAAAACAAAACAAAACAAAACAAACAAAAAAAAGTGGAGACTGCTTACAATGTGAACTCAAATTAAGACCTGGGTGTGGACCTGAGAATGAGAGATAAAGCTCAGCTTTGTTGATATTTTCCAGTTGCTTGGAAATCAGGGTGTATTCTCAGGTGATGTTTTCTATTCAGAAAACAAAGCATGCTTTCCTAATATGCAGTGTAACTGGTGTCACTTCCCCTGAACACATTTTTTTTTCTCCCCTTTTCTCTTGCCTTGTCCCTTTACCGACCAGCTACTTACTTTCTCACTGGGCTACATATTAGTCTGATGCATAAATTGTATTTTGGTTTCCTGGGGCACCAATTAGAAGTCTTTCCTGTACATTTACAAAGTAGCTTTCTTGAGAGGTATGCTGTGCTATCCCCCTCCTGTGACTAACTTCCCTGGGGCCTCAGCTGAGCTCAGGATAGCGTTAAAGACATGTACTCTTGCTGTGCACAGTGGTATGCACCTGTGGTCCAGCTATTTGGGAAGGAGGCTGAGGCAGGAGGACTGCCTGAGCCCAGGAGTTCTGGGCTATAGTGCACTATGCCAAATGGGTGTCTGCACTAAGTTCAGAATCAATATGGTGACCTCCCAGGAGCAGGGGATTACCAGGTTGCCTAAGGAGGGGTGAACTGACCCAGACTGGAAACTGATCAGGTCAAAGCTCCCATGCTCATCAGTAGTGGGACTGCACTCCAGCCTAGGCAACATAGTGAGACCCCATCTCTTAAAAAAAAAGACATGTGCTCTTAGAGTAATGTCTTGGATAGTGGGATTTTTTTGCAAACTGAAATAGCAGCAACTCAACCCAAAAGCAGAATTTATCAAGCTATGAGGCTGTTTCACAGAACCTAAGGATGAGAAGGTAGTTGGCCCCTAGGTATTAAATGGAACCTGGAGCTCCAATGCCAACAGGACTCCCTGTGTGTCTCTTACCTTTAACTCTGCAGGTCTTAACTCTACAGGTCTGCTTTATTTTTTTTCTCTTGTTGTAGACTAGCTTCTGCTTTTTCTAGCTGTGTAATGAAGCAAGGGGGCCAACAGCTTCTGAGTTGGAATCCTTGAATCTAAGCATCCAGAGAAAGACAGTCTTGACCCGACTCACAACACCGGAGTAAGGCTTTTATTGCCATGTTAGGCCAATTGTCCATCCCTGGATCAATAAAATGTGATCATATTTGGAATGATAGTTTACTCTAATATGTTTCTGGGGTAAACGTTTAGATGCAAAGTGGTAGGAAGGGGCATTGGCTGGAGGAGTTCTACTAGACAGATGAGGAGTAGGTGTTTGCTGAACTGTACATGGGTATAGAGAAGAATAGTTTACAAGCCCTTTCTCATATGTTATCTTATGTGAGCCTCATGACAGTCAGTGACAGAGGCAAGACAGGTACTGTTGATGCACAAATCACACAGGAGGGTATTAACACGCTCTTAGAAACAAAGGAACTTATGGAAGATTCATAGAAAGTACTAAATCCTCCTTTTACTGTCCAACAAAACTCACCCTTCAAAATGTTCCTGAAATCCCACCACCTTCTCAAAGTTGATGAATGGGAGAGCCACATTATCTTAGTTTAGCTCCTATTAGTTTAGCTTCTAAGTTCCAGGGAAGTGTAGTTTCAGGGAAGCAGGAATGAGAGAAAAGGAGAGTGAGATGAGAAAGAGGAGAGGAAATATAAGGGGGTGAATTACTGAGTGGGTCACAATCTTGAAATAAAATGATGAGTTTATATCAGGGGGTGAGTTACTGAGTGGGTCACAATCTTGAAATAAAATGATGGGTTTGTAGCAGGGGGTATTTTCAGAGAGGCTGTTTGAAGCCATTGTGTGTGTCCGAGGGGTGGGGAGGAAAGGAATAAAAATGTACTTACTGTCTTCATTGCCCATGATCAAAGTCAGATCCCAGGGCATTAACTCACCAACAGTATTATACATGCTTGGGGACATAGAAGGAGCTGCTGGAGAGCACAGAAGCCATGGAGTAGGAAGCAAGGTACTATCAGGTCATACAGGAAGGAGTGACATGAGAAACCAGGGGTAGTCACAGAAGAAGTCTGGCTGGCCCAGAAGGCCAGGCTCTGACATGTCATGACATGTCATGACATGACTTTCGGACACAAAGTTGGTGAGAGGTCTTAACAAACCTCTGTCTATGGCCTACGAGAATGCAGCTGGTGCCAAGGCATGTTCCAGTGTTACTGAGAAGCTCACCACATGGTCTAGAGTGGTGATGGCGACTTCTACTCCCAAATGAAGACTCACTTCAATGACACCTCACCTCCCTCACCCCAGAATTGACCAATTCCTTCTTTATGCCCACACTATTCTACACACGAGTCTAACATGGATATATAAATATTTAACACAATTATTCAGATTTTTTTTCTTCTCCTTGAGAAGACTTTTTGGGGTTGGAGTAATGTTGATTCATTTATTCAGTAGTTTATTGAGTATCTACAATGTGCCGGGCAGTTTTTTTTTTTAAGTGCTAGGAATAGAACAGTTGATAAAATAAATACAAATCTTTTAACTTTCTGAAGCTTACATTTTAGTGCATGTCTGTGTGGATGATTGATGAAGATATAGGTACAATATATCTTGTGTTGACGGTGGTAAGTGTCTTGGAGAAAAACAAAGCAAGATAGGAAGAGTGGTGGTGGGGATTGAGGGATGTAGATTAACTAGGGTGGCCAGGGAAGGCTTCAGGGAGAAAATGACATCAGTACAGAGCAAACATGGATGTTCGTGTAAAAAGAGTTCCAGGGACAGAGAAGAGCAAGCACAAAGGCTCTAAGACATAGCTGGTGTGTCCCAGTAAGGGCAGGGTGGCCAGTGTGGACTCAGGCAGAGTGAAGGAGAGAGAAGAGTAAATAAGTCAGAGTTAATACGGAACCAAATATCACAGGTCATTGGAATAATTTGGCTTTCACTTGGGAGGGATGAGGAAGAAGCAGGGTTTTCACCCCAGGGGTGATCTGACAAATTTGCATAGGATCACACTGGCTGAGAATAGACTGTAGAGGGGCAAAGGGTGAAACTGGGAGTTGGGAGGTTACTGGAGTAATGTGAATTAGAAGTATTGGTTGTTTGGACCAAGATGGTAGCAGGGGAGGTGGTGAGAGATGGTGAGATTATGGTTTTAAAATGGTGCTGATGGGATTTGGGATGGATTGGAAAGGAGGTATGAGAGAAAGAGAGAAGGGGAAAAAATGACTCCACATTTTTGGCTTGAGCCAAGACTACAGGAGGAAGAGATTTCAAGGGGAAGATTAATAGTTTGGTCATGAGATAGCTTTTAGACATCTGAGTGGTGGTGTTAAATTGCCAGTGGATTTAAGAGTCAGAAGGTCAGGAAAAAGTTCATGGCTAGAGATATAAATATGGGAGCTATTAGCATGACATTGGAGGGCATACAGATGTCATTAAAAGCCACGAGACTGGATAAAATCACCAAATGAATACATTCAGATAGAAAAGTGAAGAGGAAAAAAGACTGACTCCTAGGCCACTATAACTTCTAGGGGTTAGAAAAGTGAGGAGTAACCAGGAAGGAGACTGAGAAGAAATGGCCATGAAGGAGGAAGAAACCCAGAAGAGTGAGGTTTCTGGAAGCCAAGTCAAGAATGTTTTAAGACACACGACCTGACAACTGGGCCAAATGCTACTGACAGAGGTGTTGTGAACTGCTATGAACTGAATGTGTGTGTCCCCCAAAATTCATATGCTGAAATCCTAGTTCCCAATGTGATAGTATTCAGAGACAGAGTCTTTGGGAGGTAATTAGCTAATGAGGGTAGAACCTTCATGAATGGGATTAGTGCCCTTATAAGAAGATAGGGCACTAATCTGTGTTTCCTCTTTCTGTGCTCTCTGCCATGTGAGGATACACAAGAAAACAGCTGTTTTCAAACCAGGAAGAGGATCCTTGCCAGACACTGGATCTGCCTGCATGTTGATCTTGGACTTCCCTGCCTCCAGAACCGTGAGGAATAAATTCTGCTGTTTAAGCCACCTAGTCTAAGCAGCCTGGACTAAGATAAGAACTGACCTTTGTGTTTAGCAGCATGAAGATCACAGGTGACCTTGGGCAGTTTCAATGCAGCAGAGGAGACAAATGTCCAAATGGAAGTTCAAAAGAAAATGAGGGGAGAGAAATTGGAAGCACCAGTATAGGCCATTCTTCAGTTTCACTTTCAAGAGATAGAGTGGAAAGAGGGGAGGGAAGAGTAAAAGAAACTCCCTCTCTCTGTGTGTGTGTGTGTGTGTGTGTGTGCGGTTATATGCCCACTGGAAAGGTTTAGTATAGCCTACTGGCAGCACCAGGCAGAAAATGAATGTGAGAAAAATGAACAAAAATGCCCCAGAACCATGTATACATGGGCCATGGAATGAATTCACACATGGCTCCTGTATCAATGGGGAAATGCATTGCGGGAGGGAAGGTGCCTGGGTTAGGCCTCACAGGCCTAATGCCTTAAAGGTTTTAGATTCAAAAGGCAGAAATAATGAGCCTGCCGAGTAGCACAGTGGAGGTTCTCATGATGTGCCAGGTCAAAATGTGGTCTAGCAGCCTTTTCAGAGAGGTTAGTTGAGAGGGGTGGTTTTACAGAACGCTGCAGTTGCTATCATCATCATCATCATCATCATCATCGTCATCAAGTAGCAATTAATAATCAAATAGCAATTAAGTGCCTAATTTTTTGTACCACCTCATAAATCAATATAGGGGGGCTTGTTCCCTGGGGGAGCTACTTTGATGAGAAGCAGCAGTATAAAAGACCGGAAAGTCAAAGATTGGGGAAAGGCAGGCGTGGGGCAGAGGCAGAAGGCTCTTGCCAAACCATCCTGCCTCAGTTCCTGATTTTTCACCCTGCCTCTCCAAGCGCGGGAGTGGAGGATCCTTTCCCTCCCACTTCCTCCTTTGCTCTTTACCCCTCCCCCTCCCCCCCCCTTTTTTTTTTTTTGCTGTCCTCCTGGAGCAGGGCTGGTTCTGAAGCTTGGCGGCAGCCCCTACCTGCTGACCCACCGCCTCCGGGCGCACGGGAAGAGGACTGAGAGCCCTGAAACCCCAGCGGGGCAGGAGCCAGCATTCTGAGCATGTGCGAGCCAGCCAGGGGGCTAGGGCGGATTTGGGGGGTCGACTTTAGGTCGTCGCCCTAAGCGCAAAGCGAAAGAGCGGTGAGAGCAGGGGCGGGCGACACTCCCCGGAGCGGTGCCCCTGCGCCCAGGGCGCAGCGACTGCGCCCTGCCCTGCGGGTGTGGGCGAGTTGGCCGCGTGTGTGCCTCGCTGTTTGACGCGAAGACGAGCCAATCAGGGCGGGCGGCCCGAGCTGCCATGTGACGGGCAAGGCGGCCCCTTTCCCCAGCGCGGCCAGAGGGAGGAGAGAACCGGGGCTCGCCGCGAGCCTTCGAGAGCAGCGGCCGCGGAGGAGGCGGCGGCGGCGGGCGGGAGCAGCGGCGGCGGCGGCACAGGCTCGGGGCCAGCCGGGCGCGCATCCCCGGGCGCCCTGCGCGGTGGAGAGCTTGGCGGGCTGCGGGTGCCGCAGGACAGGAGTGGACAAAGCAAGATGGCAGGGATCTTAGCCTGGTTCTGGAACGAGAGGTTTTGGCTCCCGCACAATGTCACCTGGGCGGACCTGAAGAACACGGAGGAGGCCACCTTCCCGCAGGCTGAGGACCTCTATCTCGCTTTTCCCCTGGCCTTCTGTATCTTCATGGTGCGGCTCATCTTCGAGAGGTAAGAAGGGCTGAAGCCCCTCCTCCCCTCCCCCTGCGCACACACACGCGCGCACACACTCGCGCGCTCTCTGGCGCACGCCCCCGCGCCCCCAACGCTCGCGTTCACGCCTCCCAACCTTTGTGTTCGGGGAGGGGTTGCTGACCCCCCTGCCCCGCTGGCTTTCTGGGAGCCAGAAAGGGTCTGGCTTGCCACGGATTTCCTCCCGGGCGCCGGGGAGGAGCCGCGGAGCGTTAGGGTCGCCCCCTGCCCTCCTCCTGGGCCCTGCTCTCCTCCCGGCAAGGGCAGGCGAACAAAGGTGAGCGGTGGTCGGGCTCAGGACCCGCCGCATTCCGCGGGGCTCGCCCCTCTCCGCCGGCGCGCCACGCAAGGCTGCCAGGCAGGGCTTCCCGCCGGGGCCCGCGCCACCCACCTGACAGCCAGGAACGTTCCGGACGCGCGGCCCGGAGGGAGGAGGAACCGCGCACACTTCAATCTTTATGCTCCGGCACACGGATTGTAGGGGTTGTGCTTCAAAAGAATTCGCCAGGGACTTCCTGGCTTCTGGTCGCTGTTTGGTTTTTATCCGTGAAACTATCAGGCCCACAGTCCTGGCAAATAGGGGATAATAGCATTTCAGGTTATTAGCGGTTTCTTTAAAAGAGGATGTGACAGGACGGGTCCACATCCTGCAAAATGGTGATATTAAACTGATAACCCTGTCCTGTGAATAATCATAAACTTCTTTTTTGGTACTCGAAGGCACTTAAAATTTTGAGGAATTGTCATGCAATTGTATAGTTCCTCGGTTTGGTTGGATATCTCCATTGTGTCACATACAAACTTGTGTTATTCTCATGGAATTCGTTTTCGTCGCGAAACTAGATTGTGCCTGCCATGCATTCTCTGGGTGCTACTGAAAGAAAACCAGGACAGCAGCACACTTTTTTTTTCGTAACAGAAAATATTATCTTCCCCTTTCTTGTACCCTCCCCTTCCTCTGCCCAATTCATCAGTAAAGGCTGAATTTCTTAGATCACAAAGTAGAGTTTAGATTGCATTTCTCGCTTCCACTCCGCCTTTCTTCCCCGCCTTCAACTCACCTTGGTTTTGTTTCTTAAGCTTTTGCTGGTACCTCATTTGCTGTTCCTCTTTGCCTGAAAACGACTGTTGAGGGTGGCAGAACGCGTCTTTTGAGTCATTTGCTGCTGGACGAGGCAACAAAGCTTCATGGGGACAAAAAGTATCTTTTGTCTCAGGAAGGTATATTTTTCACCGGACAGTATTGTTGCTTGAAAACGAAGTCAGCTGTTCGCCTGCAGAAATTGACATGCACAAAGCAACAGACTTTAAGACCTATGTTTAAATTATTGGAATCTAATACAGATGTGTCATTGATCCTATACAAAAAAGGATCAAAAAAGTCACAGCAGTGCTGTGAAAAAATGGGTGTGTTTGCAGGTGTAGAGTTACCTCTAGAGCAAATGTTTGGTTACAGAAAATATGAACTCTATACAGTTTTGCAGGCTCTCCAAAAACAAGCAGACTCAGGGATAGCAGGTTTGCTCTATGTTGGCACATAGTAGGGGATCTACACACAATTGCTGAATTATGATAAATTGTGTCTGATAAATTCTGGCTGGGCTCACTTTTAGATAGATAATGCATTTGAAAGAGATGTGCAGTCTTATGTGTTGGAGAACAAAAGCATGATCTGTGCACAAACAGCCGAATTTTCCTGACATCCTCCTTCTCTATGCTGATTCCAGGCTGTTCACTGTGTTTAAAAAAATTAAGTTGTTAGAATGGAGATGGCTTTGTACTTAGATTGTCTCTGCCTCTAAAAAGATAAACACTAATGTGATAGTTGAAAACTGGAAGTTCATTTTTCCTCTTTCTAAACATTTTTTATTTTCTTTCTTTTTTTCCATAATCCCATGACTCGACTTAGAGTTTACATAGAGGGGTGAGCTGCTTTCAATTGTCAGTCACAGCAAATGTCCTCATATTGATATAAAGTGAGTTGGTCAGTTTCCTTCAGGCCATTGATCTAAGTAGAAGAGATTTAATGGCCTGTATGGAAAGTGAAAGTTTATGGTTAATGTTCAGAATAATAATCCAATATGGCACATATGTCACAGAATGCTACTGACTTTTGGAAGACTATCTACTTTGTTTCTTCCTATGATAGCTCTGTCTTTAACCATTCAGACCTTCTCAATTCTCTGAAAATCCACAATTTAGTTGTATCTAGAGTTAGAAGTTCTGCATGTTTCTCCTCTTCTCAAACCTAAATGACATATTCTGGGATCCAACCTGTGACCTTCATCTCAGTAGCATCCATCAAGGGCCTGAATCAATAAAACAGAACCATTCAGTATTATCACTGCTACAACTCACATTCAATGGCCTTCTAGCATTTTGTATATACATCCTTTTCTTTTGCAGTATTCTATAATGTATACGATGATTTTAAAAGCCTGTTGTGAATCCCTTTGTAGAATGAAATGCTTTTGTAATAGGAATAATTCTCTCAAGATTCTTCTCTTTGTATGCTTTGTCATTTATTTCAAAGCTGAGACCATACCTAAGAAATACCCGATTATCCAAGTCTTTATTTTACATTAAGTGAAGTCAGTAATGTCCTTGTTGAGGCTAAAATCGTGAATTTGAATGCCTTCTTCTCAGTCTTAGGTATTTCTCTCTACTAAGAGAAACATCAAAGAATTGACTGAAATGGGCTTTGCCCAGTTAAACAGTCCTTTCTTTTTATTTTCATCCCGGCTGTTGTGGTGTGGATAGTGGAGGCATTGGTAGCCAGAACATGTCACTTTATGACAGCATATGGACAGCAATATGGAAGCCCAGCATGGTTGGTAAAAAATGGGGCAGCCTAAGGTCAATGACTTTTGGCTGAGTCTGTGAAGATCTCAAAGCTTGGTGGTTTTTAGCATAGCCTTTATACCATACTTAACTCCGGGTAAGGACCAGGACCACTGTAGCGACCAATTGATTGACAGAGTAAAGTATGTGGGTTTTTTTTTTTCCCCCAACTGGGCTGATTCTCTTAGAATAAAAATTGTATACCATTATATTATGTTAACTTGATCACAAAGAACAAAATGTTATTTATTAATAATATAGCATTGTCATCTGTTTGATGAATTTTCTTGATTTAATGCTTGTTTAGATTCAGTAAGCCATTCTCAGGAACTATAATAAATGCTTCTTCCAACTTCACTTTTTCAAAAATGTGTTTTGCTGTGGTATTTATAAATGTGGAAATTGTGCTGAATCTCTTTAGAAATAAAAATTCTTTGAGTTATTGTTACAAATGTTAACTTTAATGCTGTGGATTTAGGAGAGATGCAGGAAGTATAGATCGGGAATCAGAACACTCAAATTCTAGTCAAAACTTACACTGGGGCAGCCTCCTAATTTATCTCTGTTTATTTTCTCATTTATGTGTTGAGGCAAATGGCCTTTGTAACTTATTGTTTTCACCCTCCTGATTCTTTGATTCCTGTGGATCATCTGTGCTTGAAAATTACTAATTATTATCTGATGAAACTTTGAAGCGGCTGAATGTCTTTTTTTTTTCTTTTCTTTTTTTTTGAGACATGTTCTCCCTCCATCACCCATGCTGGAGTGCAGTGGCATGATCATGGCTCACTGCAACCTCCACCTCCTGGGCTCAAGCAGTCCTCTCACCTCAGCCTCACGAGTAGCTAGGACCACAGGTGCATGCTACCAGGCCTAGCTAATTTTTTGTAATTTTTTGTAGAGATGGGGTCTCCCTGTGTTTCCCAGGCTTGTCTCAAACTCCTGAGCTCAAGTGACCCGCCCACCTTGGCCTCCCAAAGTGCTGGGATTATAGGTGTGAGCCCCTGCACCTGGTCAAGAGATTTTTTTTTTCCACAGAAATATTGTAGTCAATGGTTTTGTTTCTTGTATTTTTCAGCTGTGTTTTGAGTCAAAAGAATCATTTGGGCTGTTATCATTTATGCTCCAAAAAGCTACAGTATTTCAGAATAACCAACAAAGATTCTATAGAGAAAGCAATTGTTCCGTTTCCTTAGACCTCTTTTAGGTAGAACCCAGAGTAGGCCTGGCACCTCTTGTGATGACTGGGTAAGAATGAGAAGCTAATTCCTGCCAGATTGGCTCTCAAAATGCTAGGCTATGTGAGGAGTGTCATCCTTTGGGAGGCTGACAGCAAAGTCTGGCTTCACTCACTCAGCCCAAGAATGATCTGCTGTCCCAAACCTTCAAGAAACGACAGGGTCTCAGTTGTGTCTGAGGGAATGTCTGGCCAGCAGGCTTTTTCTTTTAGATTTATTGTCCACTAGCCTTGGGTGAGGCCTTCTAGGATAGTTGAGAGAGCGAGAGAGAGAGAGAGTGTGAGAGCGTGTTCCTGGTTGCTGGTACTTAGGGGGAAAGGAGGGGAGTGAGTGAATGACTACTAGGAAACAGTGGGGGTATCAGGTGAGGTTCATTACTGAAGGAATTTGTTCCTCAGTGTTCCTATAGTGTACCTTGTAATGAAGAGACTGATCTGATATATTTTAAAAGACTGTTTGGGAACAACTTGCATACAACCATGGTTTTCTCATGCAATCAGTGCTGGATGTTAAACCCTATAAGTGTTCCTTATTTAGCTTGTTAAGTTATATGGCAATATTCACATTAAAACTATGGATACCTGCTTTGCCAGAGACTAGTGTGTGAGGCAAGAGTGGGCTTCAGGCCGGGTGCAGTGGCTTATGTGGGAGGATCACATGGGCCCAGGGAGGCTGAGGCTGCAGTGAGCTGTGATTGCGCTACTACACTCTAGCCTGGGCAACAGAGTGAGACCCTGTCTCAAAAAAAAAAAAAAAAAAAAAAGTGGTCTGCAGACATAAATAGCTTCTCATAGTTTCTGAATGACAGTGGATGTTTTGTTGGAGAACAACCTAAAATCAGAGGGTTGGCATTCTTTGCAGAACTTAGTACAGTTTTCTCATCTAGTAAAATAAAAAGTTTTGAATTTACACAGTGAAGTAGTTTGGCTATTTGTTATAGGTTAATTTATGGGTAAAAGGCATAACATTACTGTTAAGGGGCAGTGCCTTAGAATGGTGGAGGAGGTAGGTGAGATAACTTTAAATTATCACCATGATGTAATGTCATCTAGGATTATGAAATTAATACCCTGAGTTCACTTATGACTTCTCTGTTGAAAATATTTGAATTCTCTATGGACAGGGCTAGTTTTCTCTTGGATTCCTGGTTGTAAAGTGTTTCAGAAGTGGTTGCTCTTCTGTGATGGGGAAGGACAGGTGGCAGCAGAGGGAAAATGGGATTTCAGGTGAGTTTCCTCCATCAGCATACCAGTTCCATGGCTTTGTCAGACATTGCTGCACCATCCTCAGGCTGCCCTCTTGTATTTTACTAACTTGATTAAACCTTGTTGGTGAACACTAGAACCTAGGCCCATGTTGTATATTAAAAGTTTCAAATGTTATTGCATACACTTACATTTCTTCCTCTTACCACCAGGTGAAACCAGATTTTTTATTTATTTCTTACATAGTCGGGACTTTCAAAATTTTATTATTTTTTTTCCTTGCTCATCTTCTTTTGATTAATTTCTTAAACACTTTTGAATCAGAATACTGGAGTTCCAGATTGTATGTCTAGTTGTGTCACTTAATTTTTCTTAGGAACCATTTTTTCATTTCGTTTTTTTTAAAGGTAAACAGGATTGCCTCGTATAGCACAGTGATCCTTTCATATTAGCAATGCCTTGAGAATCTTTATTCTTAGGATTTTATTCTTTGGTTTCTTCCCCCTGGCCACCTTTTAAAAATGATTTCATAAGTTTTTTTTGGTCTCTCTTTCCTGACACCATAATCTTTATTGACATCTATACTGTAGCATGATTGAACACAAAAGGATGATTCTTTTATTTATTTACTTGTTTTTTGGGACAGGGCTTCACTCCGTTGTCCAGGCTTGAGTGCAGTGCCATAACCTTAGCTCACTACAGCCTTGAGGCTCAAACAACCCTCCTACCTCATCCTCCCAGTAGCTAGGACTACAGGTGGGTGCCACCATGCCTGGCTAATTTTTAATTTTTTTTTGGTAGAGATGGGGTCTTGCTTTGTTGTCCAGGCTAGTCTCCTGGCCTCAAGTGATCCTCCCATTTCGACCTCCCAAAGCACTGGGATTACATGTGTGAGTCACTGCAGCTGGTCAGGGTGATTCTTGCAATGTCTTTTTGGGGTTTCTTGTTACTAATGCTGTGGATGATTGGATGCATGGTCTGAAGCTATGACTTGGTGCTTACCATTTATTTTGTTTGATGTTTGACTATTTTGAATGACTGCCATTTTTAATGAACAACTTTTAAAATTTTGAAAACAATAGTAACAACTAATATTTATTCCTTAATGAGTTTTTTACTTTACGTGGTTACTTTATTTAATCCTCTGTCAGGCCCTGTAAGGTGGATACTAATTTTTCCCCATTTTATGGATGAAATTTAGGATTGAGAATTTAGGAAATACACTTAACTTTATATAACTTAAAATAGCAGTGTAGGAATTTGGAACTAGGTTTCTTGATCTAACAATTTTGGTGTCTCCTATTTTAAAGTAAATATCATTCAATCATACTGTATATATATGGTTTTATATTTAGCCTTTTGCCATTTAATGATATAATCTGAATACTTTCCATGTAATTGAACTTATTCAAAAATATTTTTAATGACTATAAGCTATTCTACACTGTGGTTATACCATAATTTACTTAACCAGTGTTCATGTTTTTGTTCGATATTTAGGCCATTTCCAGTTTATATAAGTCTTTTAATTCTTGATGATTTCCTAAGGAATGTTTCCTAGAGGTGGCATTTCTGAGCCCAAAAGGATAAATGTTTTAGTGTTCTTGATGGATACAAATTGCCAAATTGTTGTCCAGAAAGATTATACCCATTCGTATTTCCTTATCAGAATATAGATTATTATCATTGGAAAAAATCTGGAGGCTGAGCACAGTGGCTCATGCCTGTAATCCCAGCACTTTGGGAGGCTGAGGAGGTTGGATTGCTTGAGCCCAGGAATTTGAGACCAGCTGCGGCAACATGGCAAAACCCCGTCTTTACAAAAAAATACAAAAATTAACTAGGTGTGGTGTTGCTCACCTGTAGTCCTAGCTACCTGGGAGGCTGAGGTGGGAGGATCACTCGAGCTTGGGAAGTGGAGGTTGTAGTGAGCTGAGATCACGCCACTGCACTCCAATCTGGGCGCCAGACCAAGATCCTGTCTCAAAACAAAAAAATTTTTTGCTTTGAATTGAAAGAAATGTTACTGTTATAATGTGTGTTCTTATATTGCTTATGATAAACTTATTTCAGATATTAATAATTGGTATTTAATTTTCTGTGAATTCAGGTATATTTTCATATGGGGATGAGGAGATGTAGTTTTTATCTTTTTTCTGTAAGAAATTGGTGGCCTTCAGGTTTTTTCTTACTTCTTAATGTGGAGTGGTCTTATCGTGGTCTTTTTCTCTGGTCACATATTTATACTTTTTGTGTGTGTGTGTGTGTGTGTGTGTGTGTGTGTGTGTGACAAGGGTCTCACTCTGTTCCCCAGGCTGGAGTGCAGTGGTGTGATCTCAGCTACTGCAACCTCTGACTCCCAGGTTCAAGTGATTCTCATGCCTCAGCCCCCCAAGTAGCTGGGATTATGTATTTTTAATAGAGATGGGGTTTCACCATGTTGGCCGGGCTAGTTTCGAACTCTTGATCTCAAGTGACCTGCTCGCCTTGGCCTCCCAAAGTGCTGGGATTAGAGGCATAAGCCACCGCACCTGGCCTTATACTCTTTTATTTATTTCTTCCTCCCGACTCTTCCCCACATGCTAAGTCACTATCATCAGGAAGGGAGCTTCTCAGATTTTAAATAGTGGAAGGAATACACTCAAGAGGATGATGAAGTAACTGATATTAACACTTTATTATGGAGAGTGAGGCAGAGAGAAAGGGCTGGGAGGAAGACTGAGGCATCAAGATTGAATGGGTCTTTATGAGGGAAAGAGGGATAGAGCCTAAATTAAAAAAAAAAAAAACTACTCTACTCCTGTAATGGATTATCTAAATTCTGGGTGAGTGAGACCCCATGTCAAAAAAACCAAACAAACAAAAAAAGACTTATTATTAGACTAATCACTAGGGAACTACAAATCAAAACCACTATGAGATACGCATTAGGATGGCTGCTATCAAAACAAAGAAACAAACAGAATAACACGTGTTGGCTAGGGTGAGGACAAATTGGATCTGTTGTGCACTGTTGGTGGGAATGTAAAATGGTGCAACTGCTATGGAGGTTCCTCGAAAAATTAAAAATAGAATTGCCATATGATACAGCAATTTTACCTCTAGGGGTGTACACCCAAAAGATTTGAAGTCAGGGTCTCAGAGATATATTTGTACACCCATGTTCATCATTCACAATAGCCAAAAGGTGGGAGCAACCAAAGTGTCTATTGATATGTGAACAGCTAAACAAAATGTGGCATATACATATGTCTCCATTTGTTTGGGCTGGTACAACAAAATACTGTAGACTGGATAATTCATAAGCAAGAGAAATTTATTGCTCACAGTTTTGGAGGCTGGAGAGTCCAAGATCAAGGTGTGAACAGATTTACTATCTGGTTAGGGCCCACTTTCTGGGTCACAGATGGCACTTTCTTACTGTATTCTCACATCACGGAAGGGGCGAGGTGGCTCTGGGGCCACTTCACTAAGGTCACTAATCCTATTCATGAGGGTTCAACCCTTGTGACCTAATCACCTCCCACAGGCCCCACCTCCTAACACCATCACACTTAGTTATTAGGTTTCAACGTGAATTTTGGGGGGACACAAACATTCAGACCATAGCAACATACAATAGAATATTATTCATCTTTTAAAAGGAAGGAATTTCTGCTACAGCATGAATGAGCTTTGAAGACATGCTTAGTGAAATAAGACAGTCACAAAAAGACAAATACTGTAGGATCCTACTTATATAAGGTACCTAGAGTAGTCAGATTCATAGACACAGGTAGTGGAGTGATGACTGCAAGGTGCTGGAGGTTGGTGCAGAGTTTCAGTTTTGCAAGATGGAAAGAGTCCTGCATGGTGGTCTTGGTTGCACAACAATGTGAATGTACTTAATGACATAGAACAGTGCACTTAACAATGGTTATGATGGTAAGTGTTATGCTATGTGTATTTTACCACAATTAAAAAAAATAGAAGATTTGCTGACTTGAAAGGTCACTAGAAATTACTGCCTTCATTTTCTTGGCTTGACATTTTTCTAGTTAGGAACAAACATCCCAGTTCTGTTTATCTCAGTTTCATCAAGCACTGCTTTTTTTTTTTTTTAACTGCTTAATTCCCCTCAAATCTAGGAGAGCGCCTCTTCTTTCCAGAATCGTCTGGCATAGGTGGGTGGGAGGTGAGGGGTGATAGAAGGAAGGTTTTTAAACCCAGAGAGCTCTTAAGTATCCCGTTTTTTTAGAAGGCACTTGAACTGAGCATATCATTTCAAGTCCATTTGTTAATATGACAACTTAATAATAGTAAACTGGCTGCATGTGTAGAAGAGGAGAGCAAAGTGTCTGTAGAAAAGCACATTGCATAGTTTCGGAGGAGTCTAGGATTAAAGTCAAGTCACCCTGGTAAGTACACAATCCATTTAAAGCAAACCAGGATAATGAGATAAAACTCTCCTTAGCAGCCTAGGCCACAGGTATATCCTATGGAAGCTCTGGGTGAGTGAAGATCAGATTTCATCTTCCTCCCTAGCTTTCAGTTTAATTTTCCATGCATTTTACAAGCAAATGATTCAAACACTTGAGTATTTAAAGATGATTTTTCTCAAATGCTGCATATTATAAAAACAATCTGATTAGAAGCAGTCAGGTACATATTATTCAACAGTAGTTTTTGAAGTTTAATGTTTGGTCATTGTACAAAATACTGTTTTCCGTAATTCATCTGTAAGAATGTTTTGGGCAGTGCTGTTTTTCTTCTTTCTTCTTTTAAAGAAGAACTTCCTTTTTCTCTCTACTGGTCTTCAAAGTGGGCTTCTCTTGGACCACTCCTGCCTTCTATTCCTACTTTTGCTTTTACTATTATAACTTAGAATTCGGTTGTGGGGCTTGTTTTTGACAAGGCTGAGGTTAGAGATACACAAATGGTTTTTAATTGCAGGAGAGATGCATTCCTTCACTAGGTAACCTTTTGCACACAGTGACCTAAGAATAACATTTGTTTGTAACTCGCCATTGTCTACATAAATGTCACATCTTATCTTTGAGGTTTTCAGGTTACAAAGCTACTGTTGCTCTCCTGAAGCTGTGATTAAGATTGTATTTTCTTTCTTTCCTTTCCTCGATTCCTCCCCCACCTTCCTTCCCTCTCTTCTTCCTTTGTCACTTCCTCCTTTCTTATTATTACTGATACAGACCCTTTCTTAAAGACACGGGGAAGTCTTTGAGAGAAGAGGAGCAGCATAGAGTTAAGAGTGGGGGAGGGTGTTTAGAAAACCATCTAAAATCTTGTCCAGGGACACAGTTTGGCAAGTATCAGAGTAAAAGCTGCCAGCTAGTCTAAGTGGCTCTGTAGATCTTGTTTTAATAGCTCACCATTTCAAAGCAGAATAAAGTGACTTGGTGGTTTAAGCAGTGGCAGTTTTGCACACAATAGCTTGAGTGAAGAAAAACTGAGAATGAAGCAATCAGTCATTTGGGCATTATGGAAAATGGGAGACTAAAAGGGCTTTGTATGTCAGTGGGTGTGTGTACATCTTTGCATGGATAGACTTGATAACAGTATATTTAAATTGTGTTGCTCTTTTGTATATCTATTGCAATTAATAGACATGTATATTTATTTCTAGCTAGAATTGAAAGGAAAATGGGTGGGATATCAGAAAGATTACAGAATTCAGGTTTAAATTCAAACAGTGCTGTTTATCACCTGTGCAGTAATAGACAACATATTCTCTCAAATTTGGTGTCCTCTCTTGTAAAATGGAGAATATGCCACTTTGCAGTATTGAGCACTCTCTGCAAAAATGTACATAAGGGGATTCAATGAAACCTGGTTCGTAAAAATACACGTTGTGTAGAAAATAATTGATACCAGAGTACAGTATTGAGTACCTGCTTGAGAAATACTGTTCTGTAATTTGATTTTCTAAAATAAAATAAATGGGTATATGTGTGGGGGGGCCCAAGGACATGGGGTCATGGTACAACTTGTGGAAGCAGTAGGGCCTGTTTACATAGTTGATGCTGGACCTGGAGGATTTACTTGTTCTATTGAAGAGTAAATATTTAGAGTTTTAGACAGGCCCTGAAACCCCAATCTTTTCAGCATTGTGCCAGTTTAGGGAGGGAGGATGCTTTTAAGCCTTTTCTTCTCAACAGTTAATGATGTGGGTTGTATACTGGGGACCTGTGGAAAACCATTTCTAATGGTGGAGTGTTAAACAAGTGGGGGGCCGCTGTGTGCCACTGAGAGCCTGGCCTCTGCTCTGGCTTCTGTGCCTTTGGAGAGAGACCCCCATCCCCAAAGATGGTCTCCCTCTGGGTGGAGTTTTCTCTGGAAGCTGCCTTTCAGTGATATGCAGATATCTCCACCTACTTCCCCTGGTCTAGCCCCAGTGATAGTTGTTTATTGCACGCAGTCTCAAGGGAAAATTGATTGGGTATTTGACCACTGGTAAGGGCACACATCAAGTTTGGCATTTATATTGACTTAAGACCTGGGCTGTGTTTTGGCCCTGCCACTTGCTAGCTACTGGTCTAGGGGCAAATTACTTAACCTCTGCAAGCTCAGTTTTCATGTGAAACTCATAGGGTTGCTGTGAGGATTAAATGAGATAATATTTGCATTGTGTTTAGGGCAATGCCTAGCTCAGTGAAATAGTGATTACTTGTTCTTCAGGTTTATTCACACACACAATCACTTTCTGAGTGTTTGTTGAAACTCTTATTTTCAGAAATGGGACTTCACTGGCCTTACCTTTACATCATAGACATTTACCATAGACCTCTTTCCTGCATAGATCCCCATTTTCCCTAGTTAGGGCTGTCTGTGTACAGAGTTTTACTTTCCCTATTCTCTTTTCCCTTCTCTCTCTTTTTTTCCTCTGAGGAAGATGTTGATTCTTCTTCTTGTAGCTGGCAGAAAACACCCCTAGCAGCTTAGTGAGGAATGGGGCTTTGTCCACTTCACACTCATGTAATCACTTTGCTGAGGGTGTACATTAATATTTAGACAGCTCAGAAACATTTTTCCTAATAAGAGCCTCCCAGAAATAGGACAGCCTCAAGACAGACATTTATTGATTTCTTTCAGAATTTTAAGCCTAGTGGATTATCTTAATTTGATCCTTAAGAAAAAAGAAATTCAGTCTAGTGACATTGGGATCACATTTATGAAAATGGAAACATTCAAAATTAGCTGAAAATAATATATGTATGTATTTTTTTTCTTTAAGAGAAATAAACCTGCACCCCCAAATTGGAACTTCCATTGGTGTGAATGTGACGAACCTAGGCTGACTAAATTAATTCAGAAGGAATTTGCACCTGCTTTCAACTATAGGCACTTTTCCAGCTCTGCATAGTTTAAATATAATTTGTAAGTAGTTAGCCATGTAAATAATTTAACAAACCTGCTCATTTCTTAAGGCTTTGTTAGAGACATCTTAGGGTGATGAAAGGGGACATTTGTGGTGGGTTGTCTATTAAATGAGGAAGTAAGGCAAAGATGAAACCACAATGCTGTATAACGACAAATTACCAAAAATTGCCCCTGTTTTAATTCAGTCATCATTTAGGGTCATAGACTTTCTACTGAAAATGGAAATTGAAACTTAGTGATTCAGAGATCTACAAGTCCACTGTGGGTCAGACAACAGTGGTGTCCTGAAGTGGGGAATGGTGGGAGTGATCTGCTTTGGGTACACGCAGTAAGGTGATGTATTAGCTGTAGAGAATTAAAAAAAATTGGTTAAAAGTTAGTCTTTTATTGGCACCATGTGAAGCCAGTTATTAACACAGAATTGATAGAAGTGATAAAATACTCCTCCCTACCAGGGTACACTGTTCCTACCCACCCCCACAACTGCAATACCACTGTCAGACACTGTTTCATGGCACAGGTGACCAGAAGACCACACTTTGAGAAATACTGGCAGAGATAAAAATACTACTCCACCTCCCACTTTGGATATGAAGATACGCAGCCTAAAGAGATGAATGAAGTGACTTGTGCTCTGCCACTCACTCAGGTCCTGGCAGAGCCTGGCTGACCTGGAACCCTAGCAGTGCCATTATAGAGTAACCATTTCATCCTGATTTGAGATTGTCTCAGGAAATGCCATTTCAGGGAAAATTGAAACAGCTGGTCACTCTACCTGACTGCTCAGCCTATTAAACCCATCCTGAGGTCAGGACAGTAACTCATGCCTGTAATCTCAGCACTTTGGGAGGACTGCTTGAGCCTGGGAGTTTGAGACCAACCTGAGCAACCTAGTGAGACCCTGCCAACTCTACCAAAAAAAAAAAAAAAAAAAAATTAGCTGGGCGTGGTGGTATGCACCTGGAGCCCCAGCTACCCCAGAGGCTGAGATGGGAGGATCGCTTGAGCTCAGGAGGTCCAGGCTGCAATGAACTATGATTGCACCATAAGAAATGGCTTCTCTGTCTCGCCCTAAGGGTGACTTAGAGTGTTTGTGGGAAGAAGCTTCCTTGGTGACTGAGGGGTGTTGCCTGCCCCCACTGTCCCTGTGCCACATTTCATGGCTTTTTAAAAAGGTGATTAAAAGGCTCCCCATTAAGTGTGGGTTGGAGCTTCTGAGGGCAGAACTGTGTCTGTAGATAGCCAGGGTCAGTTCCTGGTGTGCTAATTCATCCTTAGCATGCCTGTGTTACTGAGACCATAAACTTTTTTGTTTTCCTTCTGCCTTCACCCAGTGTGTGTTAAGTCTTGCTTGTTAAGCTCCCACACTTAAATGGCTGCTTGCAGAATTGCAAAGGGACTAGGGAGAGAACAAAAACAGATATGCAGGTGGTGGTTGTTAACCAGACAGGATTTCTAAGGAGGGTTCAGGCAGTCAAGTGGTTTTGTGTATGTGTTTTATGTTCATAGTTTTGAGTTTTACAATGTGTGAAGCTTACTTTTGCTAGCATTAGGTATAGTTTATTTGAAAGAATGAGGCTCCTGAAATAAACATGCCAGTAAACTATATCTTAGAGTTTAATGAGAACAGTGCTAGGAAATTCCAGCTCCTCCCAAGGCTGCCTCGCTCAGAGGCAGGCGTTAGCTGTGGGTCTCTAAGCTTTAAACAGGCTTACCAGTGTCAATACTTGTGATGTCCCTGCCCCAGGCTGTCCACACCTGGTTAGTGTCAAGCCATCTAAGATTGGGCAGAAGGCAAGTAAACCAATTTAGGACCATGGCTTACCGCTTATTTGACTGCTGAATCCTATTTGCCTAGTGCTTTCACATCTTCTTACCTTCCCCTCTTTGCCAGAACCTACTCTGTCTTAAAAATGTCCTGGGTAAAAGGAATCTCCTCATTGGGAAGGGGATCCCTTTTACCTTTTGGCCCTGAGCCCTGGTTACCAGATGGTCTGTTGTTCTCACATTTCCCAGGGTAATAATGAATTTGGGGCAAATCCACTTGCATATATAATAAGAGCTTTCACCTCAACTTTTGCTACACTTTCAATGTTATTTATTACATACTACTTTTTAGTTTTTTGGCATTTAAAAACTATGTAATAGCATAAAATAAATGTTCTTTCTGTTCTCAAAGATAACGTCATGGTTTTAGGCTGTTTTTCTGATTTCTAAAAAGGAAATAAATTTGAGTTATTTGGTTCCACAATTTAAAACAACTGTTTATTTTTTGGTAAGCTGTTTCCCCCTTTTTCAGAGTTAAAGATGAGACAAAAATACTGCATTTAAAGCAGAACCAGACCTGGGTAGCCGCTCTCTCCGTCAATCGCCATTCCACTTGCCAGCCAATAACTAATTCTTTATTCAGGGGTCAAATATAAGGAATTTCTTTCCTTTCAGATTGTCTAAAGCTTTTCTAAATTGAATGCGCTTAGCTGCTAGAAACTTCCACCTTACTTTAAAAGCCAATCTAAGAGTCCGGCTGCTGCTCTGAATGAGAACTGCCAAAGTAAGTAAATAGTATATGATTATATATTTTGGGTGTTGAGAAGAGGTTACACTTATCTTTGCAGGTAAAGTTGAACATAGTCTTTTTGTTTCTGAGGCCCAGTTCGAATCTGTGGAGAGAGGGAGAGATGTAGATGAGAGTGTGAGTGCAGACGCTGATTGACCCATGTGTGCACAATGAAAGGGAGCATAGATTCCTGAGTTGGGCTTAAAATTCCATCTTGGAGAAACGCTGATTCAGTCACCATTATACCCTAGTGGGTATTAGCTCTAAACCCCAGCACTCAAACTTGCTTAGCAAATGTTCATATGGCATTGTTAGAAAAATGCTATTTTTTTCTAAAGCAGACTTTTTATTCTCCCTGTATAGCATTCATACTGAAACACGCATAAAAGTATACCTTCTTGTACAGCTCATTGAATTATCACAGCAAAGTGAATACACCATGTGTTCATTAATCAGAACAGAGATCAAGGATCAGAACATTACTGGTACCCCAGAAGCTTTAAAAACCGTTTGCAGTATGAAGAGGAAAGGCCTAATTTATGCAGCAAAACTCACTATTCCACTTAAGGAATAGTAGGTTCCTTATAGAGGACGACAGAAGCTCTGGTACTTGTCATTACCAATAGAACCTTCTTTCTTTGTGTTAAGTCTGTGCTCATGCTTAGATATGTGTGTGTGTGTTTATGTACAAAATCTGATTGGTATTTGGCCATCGAATTTAATAAAGAAATTACTGAAAAAGGAATGGGAAGAGGATGTCAGAATGTGAGAAAGTAAGAGAAAGGCCATAGTCAGAACATCCATTTTCTTTTCCACCTTATTTGATTAATATACTGTTTTATAAGGATAGGCGCTAGTAAAGAGACAAAAATACAGTATCTTTACATCTTTTTCTTTTTAAAAGATAAACAGATTAAGGATGTTAAATAGGATAGGTGTATAAGTTTGTTGACAAACTGGATCTTGTTCCTTGAATATAGATGGTCTCACTCAATTTGTCATTTGAGACAATGGAAACAAAGGTATCCGATACTTTGGATTTGAAAAAACCAGATATTTTGAACACAAAATATTGGTTTGTGACATTGGAATACTTTGTTTTGCAAATAATGTCTTTAAAACTTGCAGTGCTTGCATTTGAAACATTATGCTCACCTTAAAAACGTATCTTTTCATCTCAATTTTTCTTATTTAAGCTTTTTGTTCTGTCTTTGGATCTATCTTTTGTTCCTTTTATCCTTCTCTTCTTCAGGAATATCAGTTATACATATGTTAGATTTCCTTTGTCTGCCTTTCATGTCTATCATCTTGTCTATAATCATTTTAATATTATTAGTTTTTTCCATGTGGTTTTATTAATTTTTTTCACACCTGCCTACCATGTATCTTTTCACTCATGTTTGTTTAAGTTTTTTCTTTTGTTCTTAATGTTTCTGTAATCTTAAAAAAATTTACCCTTTTATTGTGCTGCTATCTCTGTTTGCATTTTTTTCAGTTTTATAATCACTTTACTAAGTCCTAGTATCTCTACAAAAAGGGCACAACAACATTCTTCCAAATTATTCATGTTTAAGATGATTGTTTTTTCAGGCTACTTTTAAATGGAAATTCTGAATTCTTTTCGGTTTTCCTAGAAATGTAATGACACAATATATAATAAATCTTAGTGCATTATTGTGTCAGCAGTAACCGTTTGTTAGTTTCTAGGGCATTAATTTTAATTTGTGGATTAAAAAATGTTTCATTATCTAACATTAATGCTACAAAATTGTGTTTGAAATATTTAGAATATGATACCTCTTGATTTAACAGTTATTTTAAAAATTACTAATGATATGTCTATAGTCTCATTAGGAAACTCCCCATACACGAAAAAAATAAAAAAATAAAAAAACACACAGCCAGTTCTCCATTTTCACTGTTTCTTCTATCTCACTTTCTTCCCTGATGTGTCCAGTATTAGTAGTTGATATACATGTCCTTTTGGACCTTTTTCAATGATTTGTCTACATATGTATGTATATGGAAAGATAAAGTTTGTTTAAAACATGAATGATGCCAGGTGTGGTGGCACGCACCTGTAGTCCCAGCTACTCAAGAGGCTGAGGCAGGAGGACTGTTTGAGGCTAGGAGTTGAAAGCTGCAGTGAGCTATGATTGCACCTGTGAATCTGTACTCCAGCTTGATCAACACAGCAAGATCATGTCTCTCAAAAAAACAAAAGAAAATATGAATGGTATATTCTGAGTCTTGCTCTGAAACTTATTTGTCTTTTTTCCACGTAAGGCCATGTCTTGGGGATTTTCCAATGTTGGTGAATGTAGAGCCATTTTCTTTTTAATGTGATGGCACAGCATCCCGTTATGTGGGTGTTTCCTAGTTGATTTAACGGCTTTTCCATAAATGCTATAGGAAACAATGCAGTAACTTCATTCCTATACAGACTTCTTTGCATTTAGGTGTTTTTGCATTTAGGTGTTTTTCCCTAAACTGACATAAAGAAGTAGAATTGCTGGATCAGAGAATGTGCAGAGTTAAAATTTTGATAAATGCATTGAAAACCTTTCAAGAAAAATTATACCAATTGACATCCCTACCAACGCAGTATGAGGAAATGCATTCCTCGTGTCCTCCCAACCATGACTTATCCTGCAGCAAATAGAATGTAATTTTGGTAAACTTAATCTATAAAGAAAACAACTATTTTAACATGATGACTTTTCCAAAGAACAGAAGGTTGGGATGCTGGTTAGGAAGGAAATTTAATAATACCATAACAAGACATTTTGCCACTCTTTCTTTAAAGAAATGGGAATGATAATCATAAAATACAGTGAGAAATTCAAGTTTATACTTTGAACTTTGCAACATCTATTGCAAACATTTATTTAACAAACATATTTCACCCTTCCCAACTCATTGCCTTAGGGTTACTTAGCTAACAGGAATGGTGAGTGTTGTGTTATATTCCTTTACAACAAATAAAAGTCAACCATAAGTTACCTTGAACAAGAAATCAGTAATGAAGAATATCTGTCCTTGTATGGGGCTTCCTAATAATTTATTATCAGAAGAATTACCTTATGATTAAGCTATTCTGATGGTAGAAACATTTTCATTCAGCATGTAAACAAGCAACAAGTAACCAAGATTCAGCAACAACTATGAACTGAGAACTCAAAAAGACTTTAAATCTAGAACTACGTTGTTCTTCAGTACAGTTGATTGCCTGTCCCACCCTACCTTTTAGTCATCATATTATCTCATCGTGCTTGTCTACTTGGGAAAAGTTATTTTTTTATACCAATAGGATGGCATGTATTAACATTTTTTGACTTTTATGAAAATGTTCAAATATAGAGAAAAGCTAAAAAAAAGTGCCACGAACACTCATATTCTTGCCACCAGAATTCAATGATTATTAACATTTTATCATATTTTTTCTGTAGCATGCAAAGTAAATCGCAGCTATTATGACGCATCACCAATGAGTAGTTGAGCACGGATCTTTAAAAAGCCATCCTAGACTGTCTCTAAGAATAAAGACATTCTAGGATGGCTTTTTAAAAGTAACTTTTTGAAAAGCAATTTTATATCGTGGGATTTATTTTTTCTCATAAAAATGTACAGCTTCAAAGTGGTAGAGAACTTACTGCGTATGGATTTGGTGAAATGACAGGGTAGAATCAATGATTAAATTTAATGGATGTATAAACAATAAGGCTAGCAGTAATAGTTTAGTGAAAAAGGAGTGATTATATATAATATTTTTATTGGTATTTTATGGAAATTGTATCCAAGGGTTTGAATTGGGAAACCGTTAAGTTTACTAGAAGTAGCTAGTTTCTTAATAATATTTCTTGGTTTTAGAAAATTGATATAAAGCACATTGGCTCATAGGTCAGGCTGTTAGGCTTAGTTACAGCAGGCAAACTTTCTCAAGATTATTGGCTCCTGCCCCAGTGTGGTAGTGTTTGTGTTCTGTGGGTCGTGTTTGGTCTTGCAACATGGTGGCTTCAAGGCTTAGAATCAGACATTTGTTAATGTCGAATACAACTACCCTCTCACATGCAAGTCCGGGCTCACTGTTTTTGTTAGCTAGGTAAGCCTAAGGCACTAAGTTGGAAAAGGTTCAAATATATGACATATGTTTATGAAATAAATGATCACAATAGATGAAGGGTTCAAAATTACAAACTAAAATAAACTTGTGTATTATTACTATTGTTTCTCTTTCTGAGGTACAGAGAAAGAGTTGCAAAAGAGGTTAGCCTATCTTCTCAAACCAGTTGTTGGACAGAACAAGGAATGGCAGCTTCCAGCCAGTACATTAATTATGCTCCTCTCTGGCATCCTCTTTTTTTTTTTTAATCACCCTTTTATCACCTTGCTCTGTGTAATTCTTTGAGAAGGAAGCTAATAAAGAAAAAAAAATCAATGCATGCATATTGTAAAAAAGTATCAAACAATAAAATAGGGTATACCATGAAAGATAAAACTCTCTCCTCAGAGACAACCATTTGCAACTGCCTTCTGGAATATTTTCTATGCATGTTCAAGTATATATGTCTTAGGGTTGTGTCTTAGGGTTCTCCAGAGAAAACCAATAGGATGGATGGATAGATAGATGATAGATAGATAAATATGTTAGATAGATTAGATAGGAGATTTATTAGAGGAATTGGCTCACATGATCTTGGTGGCTGAGACGTCCTGCAATAGGCTGTCTGTAAGCTGGAGTCCCTGCAGCATCAGTACCTTGGCTCAGTCTAAGTGAAAAGGCCTGAGAACGTAGTAGGGACTGCTTTTGTAAGTCCTGGAGTCCCAAGGCTGGAGAGCCTGGGGTCCTGATGTCCAGAGGCGGGAGGAGAAGAGTGTGTGCTAGCTCCAGGAGAGACAGGAAATCCTTTTCCTCTGTTTTTTTTCTATCCAAGACCCCAGGCAATTGGATAGTGTCTGCCCATATTGAGGGCAGATCTTCCCCATTTAATTTGCTCAGAGTCACATACTAATCTCCTCTGGAAACACAGTCATATACATACCCCAAAATAATGCTTTACCAGTTCTCTAGGTATGCCTTAATCCAGTGAAGTTGACACCCAAAATTAACCATCACAGGTTGCTATGACAAAATACCATAGACTGGTGGCGTAAACAACAGAAATTTATTTTTCATGGTTCTGGAGACAAGCCTAAGATCAAGGCACCAGCAGATGCAGTGTCTGGTGAGGCACCTCTTCCTGGTTTGCAGAGGCTCTTTGTCTTTTTTTTTGTATACTCACATGGTAGAGTGAGGGAGGAAAGGAATGAGGGAGAGACAGAGAGAGAGAGAGAGAGAGAGAGAGAGAGAGAGAGAGAGAGAGAGTCTCATAGGGCACTAATTCCATTCATGGTTGGTTCCACCCTTGTAATTGCTTCTCAAGGCCCTACACCCTAGTTCCATCACACTGGGGTTGTAGGCCTCAACATGCAAGTTTGGGGGGACATAAACATTCAGTCCATAGCCATGTGTCTCTACATTTTATTTAACACAACTATATAAGCTCATTTGCACTTTGTTTTTCACTTACTATATCTTGAACATCTTTTTATGGAAATATTGAAAAGTCAACTTTTTTCTAGTAAATGGTTGTGCAGAATTTTTAACATTTTATATAGCATATAAAATGCATATATTTATCATAATTTAACCACTCCCCTATCAGTGCTTCTTGAGATCATTTCCAATCATATGCTATTAAAAGCAATGTCACAGTGGCAACTTTTGTACGTCTTTCTTTCTTTCCATGTGAATTACCTTAAATTTCTATTAGTGTGAAGTGGCTGGGTCTGTTTGAATTTTGATAGATATTGGAGAATTGTCCCCTTAGGGGATTGTACGTGTTTATATATTTCTGCTCACTGAAGGAAAGTTTCTAACAGTATGATTGAACTTGCAAACGCTTGCCAATTGACTGTGTGAAAAATGGTATTATTTTAACTTGCGCTTTTTAAAAGTGAAGTTAAGCACATTTTTATATGTTTTAAAGCCACTTGTATTTAGTTTTCCACGAATTAATGTTTTTGTCTTTTTTGGGAGTGTTTATTGTTTTATAAAGGCTTCCTATGCAAAAAGAAAGAAATATGCTCTTTTTCATGTATACTGAGAATATTTGCTTATGTGCTTTGTCTTTTGACTTCATGATATTTTTCCCTGGCTGAAGGTTTCAAGTTTTATGTAGTCTGATCATTCAGGGTTTTTTTTTTTGTTTGTTTGCTTTGTTTTGTTTTTTCCTTAGAGTACTTTCTCTTGAACTAGTCAGTTTCCCCAGAGAACAGCTTTTCTCTAGCCTGCTTGATGGTTATAAGCCTGCTGCCACTGTTCTGAGAGCTGAGCAGTGAGATGAAGATTTATCTTAATCCTGTTTTGGTCACTGTACTCAGTGTCCCAAAAGCCAGGTCCTCTGTGATTCAACCTTCCCAGGAGTAAACCACCCCTCTCTGCTGGGGCTGGGGAGAGCAGTCACCTGGTTTCGGGGACCCAATCTGGAGGTGTTCATGTTCCTTGTACAGACTTTGGACCAGTATCCTGTTCCAGCTGAACTTTACACCCTGACCTCCAGAGGTATCTGGTGCCTACAGTTGTCAAACATTTCTGGCATTCTCTAGTCTAAAGCCTCTCTACTCAAAGTGTGAACCATAGACCATCAGCCTCTGCCCCATCACCAGGGAGCTTGTTAGAAATGCAGCACTTCAGGCTCCACCCCAGATCTGTTGACTTGGAATCTGGGCATCACCAGGTGATTCTCGTGCATGTGAAAGTGTAAGACATCTTTCTTTGATTTCCATCCCTGGAGACTTTTATCACTGGAGCTGGTTAGGCTTCAGCTATCTCCACTTGGCTTAATCAGTTACCCTGGCCCTTCTGTCTTGGGTGACATCTCTTATTTGTTATCATCATCATTAGTCCTTTTAGAATTTTACCCTGTTTAATTTAATCTTTAGTGACTTAGGTCTCAAGAGGTCTTGGAGATAAAAACATTTACTTTATTTATTATGTTTAACAAAAATTCTCTCTGAATATTTCATTATGTTTTTTGTTAAATTTTTGAGCCATCTTGAATTAATTTTGGTGTGAGAGATGAGAACTTCGTTAATTTTGGTGTCAGAAATGGGAACTCCAGATTTTGTTTTCTTCCCCCAGTTGGCTGGCAAATAGTCCTAACATCATTTACTAAATAATCCATATTTTTTTCTCTGATTTGAAGTGCTACCTCGATCATATTCTAAATTTCTACCATATGATGACAATTTTAATTATTGTAACTTTATAATTTATCTTACTAGTTAGTACTAATTTCTATTCATTTTTAGAGACAGAGTTTAAAACTCTGAGTTAAAATAAATGACTTCTGTATTTCCCATTTATTTTCATCTGTATTTTTATTTATTCCATTTTATGTTTACTTGTTCAAAATGATAGGGTCATTGACATATTTTCATTTCTAACTAGATTTTTAAATATAGCAAGTAGATATGCATGTGTGTGTGTATATATAATGTTTAAATTACAGACTTTATTTTCTTTTTTCACATATGACAAATTTGAAGCCATTCCTAGGAGAATCCATTTCTTTCTATCTTTTGGGAAGGGCACAATGTAAGTACTGTTAAATGCAATAGAAAGTTTAATGCATGCTTATGGTATGGCAGGCAGGTTGAGTGTTGCGATCACTTGTGCCCAAGCCTGAGATGTTAAATACCCTTTCTTTTTTATTTTGTTTTGTTTTTTGAGACAGAGTTTTGCTCTTGTTGCCCAGGCTGGAGTGCAATGGCGCGATCTCGGCTCACTGCAACCTCCTCCTCCTGTGTTTAAGTGATTCTCCTGCCTCAGCCTCCTGAGTAGCTGGGATTACAGGCATGTGCCACCACACCCAGCTAATTTTGTATTTTCAGTAGAGACGGGGTTTCTCCATGTTGGTCAGGCTGGTCTCGAACTTCCGACCTAAGGTGATCTGCCCGCCTCGGTCTCCCAAAGTTCTGAGATTACAGGCATGAGCCACGAATCCCGGCCTTAATACCTTTTCTGGTCTTTACTAGCGTGCCTGTCCTAAGCAAAGGTCTTACATTTGAATTCTTCCACCACCATTTGTTAGAGCTGTGATGCTGGGTAAGCTAAAGAACCACTCTGATCCTGTGAAATGGTGATCATTTTTTCCTTTCAAATAGTGAGGATTGGAATTAAGGCAGTAAAGTGCTTAACTGGATCCCTGGCCCATAGTAGGTAGCAGCGACTGGGTTTTGCTTCTTTAAACTTGTGAGAGAAATGGATATGGATGAGTCTTTGAGTCCTTTAATCAGCAGGGCACTAAGTTGTTCATCTAGATATGCCAGTGGAGTAAAAGTATAGGGAGTCTTCCCCAATGTCTTTGCCTTAGCATACGTAATTGACTTTCAGTTGTCCACACAAATGGAGAGGAGAAATGGCAGAGTAAATAACAATAGATAATGTGTTAAACCTTTATATGTCTTTATATGTCTAGGAATTAATCTGACAAATACTTTTGCAGAATATAATAATAAAATTTCATAGCTGGAAGAGAACTTTGAAATTATAAAACCTCTTAATGTTAGAGATGAAAAAAACAGACCTAGAGAGTTAATGACTCATCCAAGATCATACAGTGGTGTGATCTTAGTGGCAGAGCTAGCATCAGAAACGCATATGTTAATTCCAAGTTCCGGGTTCTTTATTTACCGTTTAAGGTTATGTTTGCTTTAAGTGCATATCTAGAGCCACTAATGTGTCTGAGAACTGGCATCTGGGACCTCAGCCTAGTGTAGGAAAAAGAACATATGAGCTTGGAGGAATAGAAATGCTTTTGAACTTCTGCTGAGTTTTTTTGAAGCCAGATATTAGGGTTTGAGCCACTAAATTTAGGGTGAAAACCTAGAACTGGGGAAAGTTATGTGAAATAGAGTAGACATATATCTAAGTCAGAATAAGAGGGAAATGTTGGAACCCTCAGACAAGCCAGAGTCTGTTGAGGACATAAATTGTGGATAGAAGTCTTGAGTAGCATGGGGAGTCCATGTTAGAAAGATAGCCGGGAATTAGGGGCACGCTTCTATCATGGGCTAGAAGTCCAGGCTTACTGGTGCTATGTAGAGAAAGCATGCAGGAAATGAAACATCACTCTGAAAGTTGCTGGGCACCAACCTGGGCTTGACTCGCAGAGAGGCATCTGCAGAGGATCCTTGAGGAGCTTGTGGTTTGAAAGAGGGACAGTTGGCCAGGCTGGCCGGGCGCAGTGGCTCACGCCTGTAATCCCAACACTTTGGGAGGCTGAGGTGGGCGGATCATGAAGTCAGGAGATCGAGACCATCCTGGCTAACATGGTGTAACCCCGTCTCAACTAAAAATACAAAAAATTTGTCAGGCGTGGTGGCTGGCACCTGTAGTCCCACCTACTCTGGAGGCTGAGGCAGGAGAATGATGTGAACCTGGAGGCGGAGCTTGCAGTGAGCTGAGACTGTGCCACTGCACTCCAGCCTGGGCAACAGAGGGAGACTCCGTCTCAAAAAAAAACGGACAGTTACAGGTCATCAGCCGCAAGCTGACTTTGCAACTGAGCAACTTTTTTTTGCCTGTGCTCAGAAAGTTTCTGATTTCCTGGTCAAGTCGGATCATTTGCAGCTGATTGGGGCTTCTAGGTGTAAACACTGAATAGAGTGAATAAAGTAATTGCTGGGTAATTCCTGACCCGTCTTCATTAGCTCCAGATCTGAAGCTGGCCTTTAGAATATCATAAAGCTCTTCAATGCCCAATGTTTCTTTTGACTTTAGTATTGAGAAATAAATGCTTAATCTGTTATGTAAGTAGGAATAACGTTGAAATCATGGCTTAGCTGAAAGACCAGTTGTTTCTCCCAAATGTGGGTTTACTTATTGAGCTAAGAAATCATTCCTATGTAAATATGAACATCTATTATCCTCTTGTGTCTTGATGAATTTGAAATAGTACCAGCATGAATACATTTGATTTAGGAGTAGTTTTGGTTTAGAAGTTATTTCCCTTTAGAAAACAGCAATTTAAGCTTAGGTTGAATTTTTGAATAACTTCAGAGGAAATCTTTAAAAACATTTTTCAAAGACTTTCAACAGTTCTGTTATGGAACCCTTATAAATCCAGTAAATATGAACAATTTTGATTTGTAGAATTTGTAGTTAGAGCACAAGTGCTGAAATAAATTATGGCATTTAAACTTGAATCATAGTCTTTTAGGGAAAAAATTAAATGAGGTTTTAAATTTGGACTTGGATGAATCTTGAATGATGATGGTTAGTGGACCTTAGAAACTAAAATAGGTTTTCTTGAGTTTATCTTGATTTAATTGAAATGAATTTAAATGCATGCTAATTTCCCATTTACTAGCTGGATTAAAATCAGTTATGGTGGACTAGATCAATGGACTTGGAAGTTCGTGGAACAAAGCCACTAAAAGACAAGTGAGTGAGTCTGTGCAGTTGTTGAAGCCATTAGCTCTTGTGGGTTGTGTAGCCATAGAAGCTAAAGTAACCTCTCACCATGTGCCTCTCACCTAGTTCAGGAATGTTGGCTTCCCAGAAAATGCACAGTACAAGTTGTGCCTTCAGCTTTCTCACACAATGAGGCATATTATGAGTGGTCTTGCTTCTGTTCTGCTGTAGTGCATAATTCATGCAAAAAATTTGATTTCAACTGCGTCAGCTTCAAAGGGCTGCAATCAGGCATCTATCTGGAAGGATTTGCTAAGAGAAAAGTTTCTGTTTTCCATTTATACAACTGGGGGACTCACATTATCTTTGATTAGTGCAGTGGCACGGAGCTGAAGGCAGTTTTTCAGTTTGCAGGCTTATTTTTAAGCCTTTTGTTTTCCTTGAATTTCTAGAAGCTCTGCAGGATGAAGGCTGTGTACATTTGATAGAATTATTGGGTTTATCTTTGTAAGAGCTCATCTCTAAATCGAAATAAAAACTAAGTGTCTAATGATTGGAATAGCTGCTAATAAAATAGCCATCTCTTAAGTACTGGTGGTTTAATCTCTTGTAAATTCCATCATAGCCCAAAAGATAATGAGTTCATGTCTCTTGCATGTGATAGTCTGGACAGTATAAAAAGTCTGAAGGCAGGAGTAAAGAGAAACAGTAATAGGTTTAAAAATGCCCAGTTGATAATGGCAGTAGTGTTTTAATAGCTGTAGTGGTGGTGGTGTCAGTATCAAAGATTATGGTTAACATTTATTGTAGCTGTGCTACTGCCACTCACTATTCTTAGAGCCTTACATAGACTATCTCATTTAATCCTCACATAAAGTCTGTGAAGTAGGTACTATTTTTACTTCTTTTTTTATAGATGTGGAGATTAGGCTCATGGAGGTATAATAACTCGTCCACGATTACATAGCTATTTTTTTTTTTTCTGAAGACGCTTATAGCACTTTGCTTGGAGTGTAGAGTGGAAGCTCTGTGTGCTTATTGGTTGACTCATCTTGGACTGGATACTGGTTACTGGTTACTCAAAATTCCGAGTTTCAGCTTTCTTCTGTGCAAAATGGGAGGTTGAGGGAGGGCCAATCTCTTTCTAGAGGGAGTCTTTGAATTTTTTGTTTTTAACCGAGAAAACAGACTTGGTTCAGAGTTGGCATCAAATATGTGTCTTTTTCCTGACTTAAAGGAAGACTTGAATGTCCTGCCCTTGCATGGTAGGGAAGCAGGGATCAAGAGATGAAATACTTAACTAGCTGTTCTAATATTATGAGCACGAGGAGCTCCCTGGAGCCAGACTTCACCAAAAATTTAGTCCAGTCAACTTTGAATCCCTGGGGATTGAAGTAACGCTTCATATTCTCTCACAGTGGAATAGAATGCACCTTCTTTGTAAAAATAAATGAATAACTAGGCGTATTGGAACTTAATGAGAAAATATTTATGAACATCTCGAACAGTGGCTCTTAAATTTCACTGGGCATCAGAGTCACCTGGAGAGCTCATGAGACCAGAAGGCTGGGTCCCACCTCCAGAATTTCTGAATCAGTAGATTTGGATTTGAATTGCATTTTTAACAAGTTCCCTGGTTATGCTGATGTTGCTAGTCCAGGGACCACACTTTGAGAACTACTGGTATAGAATATCTCTGTGTATTCAAAATATTGTACCAGTATGTTCAAAGCTAAAAGGTAGACTGTGCTTATTAAAAGCACAATCAAGAGGAAGTTCTACATGTCACTGAATACAACAAAAATGCTGTTGTTTTTAGTACCTATTTTTTTCTTTTTCTTTTTCTTTTTTCTGTTTTTTTTTTTTTTTTTTTTTTTTTTTTTTTGAGACGGAGCTTCACTCCTGTTGCCCAGGCTAAAGGACAATGGCGTGATCTCAGCTTACCACAGCCTCCACCTCCCGGGTTCAAGTAATTCTCCTGCCTCAGCCTCCCGAGTAGCTGGGATTATAGGCATTCACCTCCATGCCCGGCTAATTTTGTATTTTTAGTAGAGACGGGGTTTCTCCATGTTGGTCAGGCTGGTCTCGAACTCCCGACCTCAGGTGATCCACTTGCCTTGGCCTCCCAAAGTGTTGGGATTACAGGCGTTGAGCCACTGTGCTTCGCTTTGTTTTTTTTTTCCAAATCTTGAGGAGGGAAGAAAGTAACTGTCTACTGTAACCACACTGGTAAGGTGACATGTACCTTCATAGACACATAATCATTAAGTGTCCTGAACTGAGTGCTCTTCCTGTTTAACAGCTGGAAATGCTGAACTGCTTGTTGATGGTGTTTTGTAGGGAGAATTTATGCTCACTTGTGTTTTAACGTAAGTATGTATGGGTTTTTTTCCCTTCAGATTAGAACAGGGGCTTTAGTGTCTTTTTCATTCCAAATTTTTCTCATTAGAGGCATTTAGCATTTAAGTCCTGATATGTTGGTATTTTCAGCCTTGTGAATACTCATTGGAAGCTGCCCTGGGTCCAGCTTTAAGGGGATGTGAAGAGGGCTGTTTCCACAGGTAAATCCCTGGGGACTGAAATAACGCTTCATATTCTCTCATAGTGGAACAGAATGTACCTTCTTTATGAAAATAAACAAATGAATAACTAGGCATATTGGAAGTTAATGAGAAAAGAAGGCATAGAAAATGTAGGCAGGCTCTCATTAGGTGGTTTTCTATTTCAGCTGTTTGCCTCATAATACAGTTCAGGCTTATGAAATTGGAGAAAATGAAAATGTCCTTTGGTGCCATTTAAAAATCTTGACCCTTAAGTAAGATACAAAAACACAAAAGGTGACACACTGCCTTGCTTTTTTTTTTTTTTAAGAAGAGTTAATAGATTATTGTTTTAATCAGTTGTAGGTTTACAGGAACATGAATGGCAAGTACAGAGTTTCCACATTACTCCCCTACACTCACATTTTCTTTTTTATTAACATCTTTTATTAGTGTACTTTTGTTGCAGTTGATGAGCCAAATGGATACATTATTATTAACTAAAGTTCATAGTTTACATAAGTATTCACTCTTTGTGTTGTACGTTCCATGAGTTTTGCAAATGTATAGTGAGGTATATCCATCATTACACTATCAGAATAGTTCTACTGCCCTAAAAACCTTCTGTTCTCCATCTATTTATCCCTTTATGCCTCCCCCCACACTGAACTTTTGGAACTACTGATCTTTTTACCATATCTATGGTTTTGTCTTTTCCAGAATTTCATTTAGTTGGAATCATACAGTGTGTAACCTTTTCAGATTTCCTTCTTTCACTTTAGCAATATGCATTTAAGGTTCTCCCATGTTTTTTCATCCATTGATAATTCATTTTGTATGGCTGAGTAATATTCCACCTTATAGATAAACAAGTCACAGTTTATTCACCTATTAAAGGACGTCTTGGTTGTGTCCAAGTTTTGGCAATTATGAATGAAGCTGCTATAAATGTTTGTGTGTAGGTTTTTGTGAACATAAGTTTTCAAACCATTTGGGTTAATACCTAGCATGATTTGGCAATCATGCAGCTTGATTGCCAGATCATATAATAAGAGTATGTTTAGTCTCATCAGAAACTGCAAAACTGTTTTCCAAACTGGTTGTACCATTTTGTATTTCCACCAACAGTGCATGAGTTTCCATTGCTTGTCATTGTCACCAGCATTTTTTGTTTTAGTATTTTAGATCTTAGCTTATTAGGTGTGCTGTGGTATCTTATCAATTTAATTTGCATTTTCTTAATGACATATGATATTGAACATCTTTTCATATGCTTACCATTTGTATGTCCTTTTTGGCAAGGTGTCTGTTTAGATTTTTTGCCCATTCTTTCTTTAACTAGGTTGTTTTCTTATTATTAAGAGTTCTTTGCATATTTTGGATACCAGGTAGTCTTTTATCAGGTACTTGTTTTGCAAAGATTTTCTCTCTTGTCCTTTTATTCTCTTTTGCATAACAAAGGTTTTAAATTTTAATGAAGATCAGCTTACTGATTTTTTTCTTTCTTGGATTATGCTTTTGGTCTTGTATATTTTAAATAGTCAAAGCCAAACTCAGGATCATGTAGATTTTCTGTTATCTTCCAGGAGTTTTATAGTTTTTGCATTCTATGTTTGGATCTGTGATCCATTTTGAGCTGATTTTTGTTAAAGGTGTCTAGATTTGGTTTTGTTTTTTTTTTTTTTGCCTATGGCTGTTTAATTGTTCCGGAACCATTTGTTGAAAAGACAATCGTTTTTCCACGGAATTGCCTTTGCTCTTTGGTCAAAGATCAGTTGACTGTATTTGTGTGGGTCTGTTTCTAGACTCTATACTGCCTTACTTTTTAACTGCAAATTTGTAGTACTTGCTTTGGGTTCCTCCTGTGTTGATCCTCCTTATCTTAATAATATAGGTCAGTGCTTATACCCATGACTACTGAAGGTTTCTTCTTGTTTGTGTAGTTAGCATTTCACTCCTCCAAACATTCCTTGTGACACAGTGAAAGGAAGGACCAGCATTTCACATCTCCTTGTCCTTATCCACTTATTCATTGCTAGCTTTCACCGCTAATGTCAAACCTATTTTAGTAAATGAATTTAATAAATTCCATATAGTCCACTTAATGATTTTTTTTTCAGTGTGACTTCCAGGAATGAACTGCATCATAAAGGTGAGGGGTGCTATATTGATAAAGCACTTTTTGTCTGTCTGTTGCCTCATTTATAAAATAGAAATAATATTCCTCTTACCTGCAGCAGAATGATTTTGTTTTTGTTTTTAAATCACATCACAAAATGTATGTTAAAACACACAAGGTGAGGAAGGGTATTGATGATCCACTTGTACTGCAGGGTGCAGTTCTTTTCTATGTCTTCATTTTATTCTTTCTCCTTATTTATCTATTCCTATAGTTTTAACTATAACTGCAGTTTTCATTGAAGACTCTGATCCATGGGTCTTAGACAACTGATGAATTTCCATTGTAGAATTTTCCTTCCCTTGCTTAATCTCCTTGTCTCTCTCCTCTACTATTTTAAAGAAATGACTGGCAGAGAGGTGGAGTGCCTCCAAGGCTGCAATTTCATAGAGAGAATATTTGGGTCAAAATATTAATTGGAAGGACATCTGTCAGGTATAACCCCCAAAACATTATTTTCATCAAGGTGTAAGACTCAGTGATCCATTTAATGCTATTGCTAATCTTTATAAGTCTCATACAATTATAAGAGGCTTATCTGTATACTGTATAACCTTATGCTTACTTTAGGCTTGCTTACCCAAAATCTACATTTAGTTGCTTCTGAAAATATATTTTTTTCTTAAGCTACTTTTATGTGTTTTCCTTAGTATTCTCTAAACCACATAAGCTATTACTTTTGATTTTTTAATTTTAATTTTTATTAAGAGACAGGATCTCATTCTGTCACCTAGGCTGGAGCACAATCATAGCTCAGCCAATCATCCTGCCTTAAACTCCTGGGTTCAACCAGTCCTCCTGCCTCAGCCTCCAGGTAGCTGGGCGACGTGTGTGCCATGACATCCAGTTAATTTTTAAATTTTTTTTTGTAGAGACAGGGTGTTGCCATGTTGCCCAGGTTGGTCTTGAACTCCTGGCCTCAAGTGATCTTCCCACCTTGGCCTCCCAAAGTACTGGGATTACAGGCATTAACCACTGCCCTGGCCCAGTTGTAACTGTTAGTGAGGATGCCATGCCATTCCTAAAGCTTATACAATCCTGTGTATATAGGAATTTAGCACCTTTGTCAAACATGCAGTGTTTTAGATCTATTTGCTATATTTTGCTTTTGTTTTTAAAATAACTGTTGCATTATATTGTCTTAGATGGTAAGTTCATAAAGTGAAGGGATATGTTGATATATTTTATAAATTGTTGATGAACACAGCTTAATACTCTGGTAATGTTTTTCTGAGTAAAGAAGGAATAGCCACTATGTATAAATATGTTAGCATAGAGGAATGAAAAATTGGGAAAAACAAGAATAGGATTTTGGATGAAATTAATATAGCCAATCTATATATTAATGTATTAATAGATTTATTTTGATTATTATATGACGTAGTTTCTTCATCCTTTACTTTTAATCTGTGTAGGACTTGTATTTAAAATGGGTTTCTTGTAGGCAGCATATAGTTGGTTCTTGTAATTTTGAAAAATCTTTTTTCATGGGTGTGTTTAGATCATTTTTGTTTAATATAGTTAGTGACATGATTGGATTTAGACACACCATTTTGTTATTTGTTTTCCGTGTATTCCCTCAGTTATTTGTTTCTTCCCCCTTTTTCTGTCTTTTGGGTTATTTGAATCTTTTTAGCATTCCCTCTTAATATTCCATATTAGCTATTTTGCTATCTTTAAAAAAATTTTTTTTTGGTGAATGCTCTGGGAGTTATAATATAATACACCAAAACTTTCACACTCTACTCAAGAGTTAATGTTATATTCTTTAAGTAAAATGTAGACTCTTTATGATAGAGTTTCCTTTATCCTTCCCCACTTACCTGTAGGTTATAATCATGATGTATATTACATCTACATACATTGAAACCCCACCAGTGTTACACATTTTGCTTTCAGCAATCATATAAATTTTAAAGAACTTAAGGGAAAGTAGTCTTCTATATTTACCGAGATATTTATTATTTCTGTTTTTTGTGAAGATTCCAATTTCTTTCTGAGGTTATTTCCCTTAAGCCTGAAGCACGCTCCTTAGCTTTTTGTAGAGCAAGTCTGCTGAAAATGAATACTTTTAATTTTCCTCCATCTAAAAATACCATTATTTAGCTTTCTTTCCTGAAGGATGTTATTGATGGATATGGAATTTTAGGTTGGTGGATTTTTTTCCTTCAGCATTTTAAAGATGTTTTTCTATTGATTTCTTGCCTGCTTGGTTTATGATGTGAAGTTTTCAGTAATTCAAACCATTCTTCCTCTGTAATAATGTGTAACTTTAGCCATTGTGAATACTTTATTTTTGCTTTTAAGCAGTTGACTAAGTGTGACTATTTTTGAGCTTATTCTGTTTGGGGTTTGTGAACTTCTTGCATTTGTAAATTTGTGTCTTTTAATGAGTGGGAAGTTTTGGGCTATTATTTCTTCAAATAGTTTCTCCACCAATTTTTTTTTTTTTTTTTCTGGAAAACCAGTGACATGAATGCTAGAACTTTGTGATATTTTCCTGCAGGTCTTTGAGGCTCAGCTCATTTGTCTCAACAAATTTTTTTTTCTTTGTTCCTCATATTGGATCATTTCACTGACTCTTCAAGTTCACTTACTCTTTCTTCGGTTATATATATATTTTGACTTGAGCTATCCCATGAATTTATTTCAGATATTATATTTTTATTTCCACAATATGCACTTGTTTTTCTAGTTTTAATTTTTCTGTTGAGAACTTCTGTCTTTCCATTCATTCCATATCACCATGGAGGATATTTATAATATTTGTCCTTTGGGTTTCTCAGAGTTGGAATCTGATTGCTTTTTTCCCTAAGAACTGATCATATTTTCCTAGTTCTTCGTATGTGGAATGATGTTGGATTGTATCCTGGACATTGTGTATGTTATGTGGTATAGATTCTGGGTCCTGTTCTAATCTTCTAAATAATGTTGATCTTTTAAAATTTCTTTTAGCAGGCAATAAACCCAGCTAGATTCAGGTTATATTTCTGTCTCACCTTCTTGTGGCAAGTGGTACTAATCTCAGTTCAGGTTTCAAAGCCTTTGTGATGCAACTCTGGGTCTGTCCCGTGTGTGCCTCTCAGGGGCAGTGGTTTCTAGACTTAGTTCAGTTCTTATAGCTGTTGCTATACTGTTCTAGATCTGTGTCATGCATGCACAGCTTAGGGTGAAGCCAGGAATTGTGCTGATTCATGTTCAGAATTAGGGGATTCGCTTCTCCATTTTCTTTCTCTCCGTGATTCCCCCATCCTCTTTGGCCTGTGAGGGCTCCTTTTCCAGGTTCCTGTGGTCATAAAGACTGGGTTTCCTGGAGTATGAGTGGCTCAGGCTGCTGTCCTGCTGCTCTGCTGTATAGTGGGGCTCTGTGACTGGGTCCTGCTCCAGGACATAGCTGCCAGAATAAAAGAAAAAACAAAACCAAACAAAACAAAACTGGAAACTCATCTCCTTGTAGATCATTTCTTTACATTTGACTCCTCCAGAATTCACCTTGTTAACATTTCAGTCCTCAGTTGTTGCTCTTTGTATTATTTTGGTAGCTGTTGAGTATCGAGCACATGCTTCTGCTAAGTTTACAGGATATGACTTTTCTCACTCAGGTCACAACCCATACTTCCCTTTGTTGCTCATCTCTGTCCCAGGCACTCAGCTCTTTTTGTGGCCAGAGCTTTTAGTTTTAAAAAGCGAGAGAGAGAGAGAGGCTCTACTGGGCTTACTATCAGAGAGGAACTGGGGCTCCCTGCTTTTCTTTTGTTTCTGCTTTACAAAGTACGTCTATACCTCAAAGGAGAGAATATATGATGATAGTGTGTATAATGTCAACAGACCTTCCCCGCAGAGTTTGCAAAGAAGATCCATATTTTGCTACCAAGTGACACTTTGACATCGGGCTAACTTAAAACAGCAATTTTCTTCTTTTCACTGTTTTGTGAGATGTACTTTGTATTCATACTTTGGGGAGGCAGGTAACATTTTCTGAGGGGAAAAACGAAAGTCCCAAAAGAACTGGGAAGCCTAGAAGCAAGGAGTGCCAAAGAGGTGAGGGAAGAGCCTCATTGTCTGCAGGCAGTTGACAGTCACGCTGAGGATGGAGTCTGTGACCTGGCTCCAGCAAACTGCCATTGTCAGCTTCTCTTTCCAAATGACTGTTTGAAAGAAAACAGGGTTACCACATCTGCAAAAGAAGAATATGAGGAAGGAAAGAGGATTAGGTTAAAAATACTTAAAACTAAGGAGTGCTTCTTCCTTTGTTCATATAGGGCTTTGCGCCCATGTTTGGCTGTTTTTCATTAAAAGCAGTCTTAGTTTTTACTTTGAACTTAATCATTTCCAAGTGACAGTCTTGGCTTCTTTATATTTGACTTTATATTTAGGAGTCAGCAAAACAACTGTAATCCTGCCACTTATCATATTAGTATATTTTCTGTGCTATTTGTTCTTTTCTAATCTTTGTTTTTTTTTCAATAATGAAAGTGATAAATGCTTATTGTAAATACTTTAAACAATAGGAAAGTAGACACAGTAAGAAAGTAGAAACTGACTCCTTAGGGTTAACTATGGAACTATGGTTAATAGTGTTCAAGTTTTCTAGCTTCTCTTTTTTTTAAAAATTATACTTTAAGCTCTGGGATACATGTGCAGAACGTGTAGGTTTGTTACATAGGTATACACGTGCCATGGTGGTTTGCTGCACCCATCAACTCATTAGGTATTTCTCCTAATGCTATCGCCTCCCCTAGCCCCTCACCCCCCAACAGGCCCAGTGTGTGTTTCCCTCCCTGTGTCCATGTGTTCTCATTGTTCAGCTGCCACTTACGAGTGAGAACATGTGGTGTTTGGTTTTCTGTTCCTGTGTTAGTTTGCTGACAATAATGGTTTCCAGCTTCATCCATGTCCCTACAAAGGACATGAACTTATCCTTTTTTATGGCTGCATAGTATTCCATGGTGTATATGTGCCACATTTTCTTTATCCAGTCTATCATTGATGGGCATTTGGGTTGGTTCCAAGTCTTTGCTATTGTGAACAGTGCCGCAGTAAACATACGTGTGCATGTGTCTTGACAGTAGAATGATTTATAATCCTTTGGGTATATACCCAGTAATGGGATTGCTGGGTCAAATGGTATTTCTAGTTCTAGATCCTTGAGGAATTGCCACACTGTCTTCCACAATGGCTGAACTAATTTACATTCCCACCAACAGCGTAAAAGCATTCCTATTCGTCCACATCCTCTCCAGCATCTGTCGTTTCCTGACTTTTTAATGATCACCATTCTAACTGGTGTGAGATGGTATCTCATTGTGGTTTTGATTTGCATTTCTCTAATGACTAGTGATGATGAGCTCTTTTTCATGTTTGTTGGCCACATAAATGTCTTCTTTTGAGAAGTGTCTGTTCATATCCTTTGCCCACTTTTTGATGGGGTTGTTTTTTTCTTGTAAATTTGTGTAAGTTTTTTGTAGATTCTGGATATTAGCCCTTTGTCAGCTGGATAGATTGCAAAAATTTTCTCCCATTCTGTAGGTTGCCTGTTTACTCTGATGATAGTTTATTTTGCAGTGCAGAAGCTCTTCAGTTTAATTAGATCCCATTTGTCGATTTTGGCTTTTGTTGCCATTGCTTTTGGTGTTTTAGTCATGAAGTCTTTGGCCATGCCTATGTCCTGAATGGTATTGCTTAGGCTTTCTTCTAAGATTTTTATGATTTTAGGTCTTACGTTTAAGTTTTCTAGTTTCTTTTATTGGGAGAGGAATATGTAGTTAAAATTATTTTGTATTAAAAAGTTTGTCCTGTCACAGTAACTTTATAGCTTAAGCATTTTCACCATTTTTATACATAATGACTCTAAATGTAATTTTGTTTTAATTTTTAAATTATGTATAGGAAACAATTGAGTGGTATACAATGAGTGTTAAAATTTCCTCTTAATCTTCTTCTTTTTACTTCTCAATGGGATCCATTAGTACTATTACTTGTTTTTAGAATGTATACTTCTGTCATTCTTTGCTCTTTCTCTGAATATGTGAAGATTATTAGAATATAAATTTTTCTCCATTTGTTACAAACTCCTTGCAAACATAATTTTTTATGCTAAATTTCTGTTCTTTTGAAACTGGATGTTTTGGTTGCATTCCATTTTCCTTATTGTACTTTTAAAATGAAAAAAAATTTTTTTTCTTTCAGATCAGCCCCAGTAGCTTCTCAGATCCACCTTATCTGAAACATCTGATCTCTCCTAGCCACTTAAATAAAGTAACTTGTGAAAACACCTAACAGGCTCTTGGAATGAAGTCATGAGATGTATGTTTATTCTTCTGCCTCCTGTCTACTCACTCTTTTAACTCCTCAGCTACCAAGGTAGGGCAGATCAACTAACTAGCCCAGGGTTGAAGAGCTAATAAACACGGAAGCTGAGGCAGTCTGAGTCCAGAGTTCAGGCTCTTAACCACTGCGCTCTATAAAAGGCACAGAGCTAAGCACTGGGAATCTACCAGGGAGCAAGACAGACCCCATCTCTGTCCTCTCTGGATCTTACCTGCTAGCCAGGAAGGACTGGTAAAGAGCAGACCATATTAACAATGTAATATGGCCTTCAGATCAACCATGATAGGAATCAATTTTAGCTGAACACCAATAACCCACATGTGTATTACAGTCTTATTGTGGGTGAGTACTTGGTATTAGGTGGTTATTGTCAAAGTGATAAGACCAGGTTCCTGCATTTGGTGAGACACCCACATAAATACAAATACCTAAACCTTTCATAATGTAACATACAGATTAATGTAATATATTAATATAATATACATTAATATATCAATATATTATATATAACATATAATGCAAAAAGATGACAATGATGACAGGTGGAAGCGATCTAGGAGAAAGTTTTTTCTAACAGCCAGACTGGTGTCAAGACTGCACAGACTAAGGATGAATTCTGCCTCTGTCTTTCACCTCTTCTTGCTAAGCCAGAAGAGCCTCCTTTCTACAATGGAATATTATTCGTTATTTTCCAGTGTTGTAGGAGGAATCGTCGAGGGCTCAGGGAATGTTTCTCTTGTCCTTCACCCTTGTGTTTGTGCAGCTGCCCCATCACTTTTCCACTGTGGCATTTTGGCAATTGTAATTACATTGTTAATATGGTCTGCTCTTTACCAGTCCTTCCTGGCTAGCAGGTAAGATCCAGAGAGGACAGAGATGGGGTCTGTCTTGCTCCCTGGTAGATTCCCAGTGCTTAGCTCTGTGCCTTTTATAGAGTGCAGTGGTTAAGAGCCCGAACTCTGGACTCAGACTGCCTCAGCTTCCGTGTTTATTAGCTCTTCGACTTTGGGCTAGTTAGTTAACCTTTCTGTGCTTCAGTTTCATCATCTGTGAAATGAGGATAAAAATGGTGTGTATCTCTTTGGGTTATGATGAGGATCAAATAAATTAGTATTTAAATTAAAACATATATCTAACACTGTAAATGCTTGTTAAATAAATAACAGTTTCTCAATATCTTCAAAGGAAAAAATAAATGGGTCTTTGTCAGCCCTTTCCAGTGAGCTGAGTGTGTCCTGCTGGCCCCCTATCGACTTCACTAGGGATGACACCATGTTCAAGAGACCGAAGAAGAGACCCAGAGCCAGCGAACGAGTCATAGAGTTGATTGAGGGGACTTATATACAGGGTGTTCCAGTGGTGGCAGGCTGGACAGGAGAACCACTACCCTTTGTTAAAAGCATGGAATATCGATAGCTTTTTCACTTAGCATTCTCCCCCTAGTGACCTCCACCTGGCAATCTTCATTTAACCCAACACAAAGGGCTTTGATTCCCTGTATGGCTTGCATTCTGTGGGGTGGGCCAGGGGTTCAGATGTTCCTTATAGATAAGGAATGAATCTCTGGGTTGGCTACTCCTGGATTCCTTAGCTTGGAACCTTGAACACACATTCTTTTTAGACCATAGGGTCATTCTGAGGGTATGTTTAAGTTATTGCTGTCAGGTGCATCTGCCATGCAGGGTAGAATATTGCAGTCCTTTGCTTTGACACATAGTTTGGCCCATGGGATGGCTGAACTCCCATGAACAAAATTGTCCTCATTGGGAACATATTAACCAAGAAACATAGCTTTATACTTGTGATAGTCTGACTCTCATGATTGTGAATTGTACCTAGTCAAAGTCATTAATAGCAGTTTATTGATAGAGCGATGGAAGCGGTGAGGAGTATGTTAAAAAATTTAACTCCTTTCTATTCTACCATTCTCCGCTGAACCTGTGCAACATTCAGTCAAAAGTAAAGTGTTTTATTTAAAGTCAAAACAATAGTCACCTGAGGTTTAAATTTTTGGGTGCTTAACAGGGATCAGAAAGACTGGTCGGAGTTGTAAAAATGCACAATGCAGTTTTCTGCTTTCAGACTGTCCCTGTCTCTCAGGTCCACTTGGTTCCATCTTTGCTTCAAAGTCTAGGTGGAGAAGCAAACGCAAACCTGTTAAGACAACTAAATGACAAAGACAACAAAACAAACAAACAAAACTTCCCAGGAGGGTGAAGGGCCAATCCTTGTAAGTCTTGAACGTGGTTGGGGCATCTAGCAGTATTTTTGCATTTGGACAATAGTGTAAAGAGCACTGAAACTTGAAAGTGAGAAAATTAAATGGCAGTTATTTCCCCAAGGTAGTGATGACTCATGTGTGCATGCTCCTTTCTAGTTTCCAGTGTATTTTCACATATAGTGTCATATCTGTCTCATTCTCCTTTCAGGGGGGGCATGATTGTTTCCATTTTGACTTTGCCCTTGTGCACCTATCTGGTACAGTGGTTATTTATGTACATTTGTCTGCTACAAAATTCAACAGGTACAAAAAGGTATTCCCCAAAACTTAAGTCTCCATCCCCACCCTGTCTCCCAACTACCCAGGTGATCTCCCTGGGGATAACCACTATTTATTTGTGTCCTTTGCAGTTACAAGCACATGCACACATGCTTTATTTGGTCCCCACTGCAACCTTGCATGCAACACAATAGATGCTGTTCTGAACTGGGTTCTTTTCACTCTTTATGTATCTTGAGGATTATCCCATGTTGGTGCACACAGACATGTGCCACATGCTATATATCAGTTGCTTAGTATTTCACTTATTCAATTAATCTCCCACTAAAGGATACTTAGGTTGTTTCTAGTATCTTCCTATACAAAGACTGTTAACAGTGAATAATCTTGTATATATATCATTTGATACCTGTACAATGACACTAGTATAGTAGTTTTAAAAGCTATTTGGTTGACAGAGAACTTGGAAGTCATGATTTTTTTTTTTTGTAGAAAAAAATGGTAACATATTGTATGTAAAACAACTAAAGATTTGAGCTAGAGTAGAGATTGCCTTATACTTAGATATAAGCGGGTGGTCTGAGTTTAAGGCGAAAATGATAGGAAGCCATCAGGCTCCATGAGAGGGGATTCTTGTCTTTTGGGTCCCCACACTATCACCAGCACCTGGGACACCCGCACACAGAGTTCAGCTCTATAATTCTGTGTCAAATTGATAGTGAGCACAACACTTTCTTACCTGCCTACTCACAGGGTTGCTGTGGGAGTCCCATGAAATTAATTTTTTTTAATAAACCTGAAAGTACAACATAGAAGATATCATCATTATTTGTAGAGTACTTATATTATGTTGCTCATCTTGTTTCTAGTAGTAGCTCTAGATTTTAAAGGAATCTCTAGCATGATCAGTGAACATGATTGATGTAGGAATTTTCTAGATTAGTTTGGGGCTTCCATTTAATTCTAAAATGAAAATTTTACTTTCAGCTTCATGCCTAACAAGCAGAGTTTGATGTACCTAGTCTAACATTTTTCTGACAATTTGCAGCCATCACTGTCAACATTGAAAAATCTGTGTTAGATAGTGAGGCTTTTAAATAATGCCATCAATATACCTGTCTCTAAAAGTCTTCTATCCATTCTGCCATTTCTAATCTAGCCTAGGCAGGAAAAGCAGACCTGGATAATTCATCACTGTGTCTCAAGTGTAAGTAAACTGCTTTGAACCACAGTTTATAGGGGGCGTGGGTAGCCTGGAAAGGATCACTCTGAAAGGAGTAGAATACTCTCTTAGAGAAAAAGAAAGTGTGGTAGACAGAAGGGATATTCAAAGTATAATGGTGGTGACTGAGTTATGTGTTAGAAACAGTTTTGTCTAGTCCGACTAGAAGGAATTAACTTGGATTTTCAAATTCAACAAATATTGACTGAGCACCTTCTGTGTGCTTCAGGCAGTTAGTAAACTATGAGAAAATAAAATGTGTCAGGTAGTGATAAATACCACAGCAATAAATAAATAAATAAATAGGGAAGGAAGGGAGAGAAAGAAGGAAAGAAAGAAAAGAAAGAAAGATAGATACCTAAGTACTTGTATGTACAGAGGAATGGGAATACCATAGGTGAGCTTGCATGTAGGTGGTCAGGGAAGAACTCCCTGGTAAGGTGACCTCTGAGCAGAGACCTGAAGGAGGTGAGGGAGCCAACAGTAAGTGCAGTGGCCCCATGGCAGTACCTGCATAATCTGTTCCAGGAAAAGGAGAGGGAGTCAGTTTGGCTGCAGCAGGGTGAGCAGGTGGAGAACAGGAGCAGGCAAAGTTGGTGACATGGTGGCTGGCTCATCACAGAGGGCCTTGGGAAGCCCTGGGAAGCCCCTGGCTTTTACTCTGAGTGACATGGGATGCCGTTAGTAGGTTTTGAGCAATTGAGTGACATGAGCTTCCTTCTTGGTTGCTGCATAGAGGGGAGATGCAGAAAAACCAGTTAGGAGACTGCTATAAAATCGAGACTGGAGATGAAGGTGGCTCTGAAATATCAGAACCTTAAGATGCTTGGGTAAGTGGAGAAGACCAGTTAGGGAGACCCTTACTAATAACAATGGAAAACAGCCATTGATCTTCAAAGGAAGACTCCTGATACCAAGCCTCCTGCATTTCTCTTCCTGATAGGCTATTCTAGCCAGCATCTTCACGGCCCTATTTCTTACCTGGCAGAAGAACCACAATGTAAAACGCTGTTATCAGTAAGCTTCAGTTTTGTAAACACCACAATCCCCAAAATAGTCATATTGCTAAAGTGTTTGCCAACATTTAAAACCCTTTTCTAAGGTTATTGATAACCTCTTTGTCGAATTTAGTGGCACTTGTTCCTTTTTAATCCCCCTCCACATCTTCTTGGACTTCTGTCATCCTAATGCTGGATTTTTATTCTCTTTCTCCTGAATCCTGGCCTTTTGGTGTGTGCTGTTGACTGAAAAAAATCACAAATCTGTAAATTTGGAAAGGAGGGCTTTATTTCTAAAAGAGGGTACCACAACCTGCAGGCAGGAAGCAGAGCCTCTGGCAGAAACTGAAAAGCAATGCTTCCAAAGAGGGGCAAAAGGAACAGGAACTTACACCAAGCAGGGTGGCCGGGTATACATATTCAGCAGGTTATGGGGGAGCTATGAATATTCACGAGAGGGTGGCCTGCACGTGTGCAGTAGGCTAACGTGTATGCAACATGTGTCCCACGTTCACCTGGGAGTGGAGACTTAACGTAAATATATTACAGTTAGGCTCTTTATATCAAAAGATGAAGCAAAGGACACAATAGCCGTTTGTGTGCATCCTCCGTAGACTGGCCAGAACCACGCCGTGGCTGGTGGTCTCTTACCAGGAAGGAGTGCTGGTCAGTCCTTGCGCTGAAACGCAGAAGGGATGGGCAGCGTCAGGTGGTTGGTCCATATCAGTGGGGATGTCTTTTGAAAGGGCTGGTTTCTATTTAGCCCGTAGGGAGGGAAGAAAGCCTAATTGTGGTTAGTGAGGAGGGGGTATAATGAGGTGTGTCTGACTTCCCCCCCACATCTCGTTATGACCGTGAACTTAGTTTTCAAGGTTACTCTGGGGTCCCCTTGGCCAAGAGGAGGTCCATTCAGTAGGGTGGTGGCTTAGCATTTTATCTTAGGTTTACATTCTCCCCCTTTTGGCTGAGATTTGTCAGAGGCAACAGTGATGGCCAAACTTATTTTCTCCTGTAACATTGCCAGAGTGATTTGGCTACCTGCCCCAGGTCCTGTCCCTTGATGGGACCCCTATGGTCAAGGGACTTAGAGCCAAAAGACCTACAGCCAATTAAATATTGTAGGCCAGACTGGAATGGAGGTGGGCAGGCACTAAGTAACCCTTAAAACTTTTTGAGCAATATAAGAGCCGAAACCAAAGCCAAAAGGCGAGGTTACGAAATGGACTTATCTATATGTTTTTCATGTTGAGCCACCATAAACTTGGTTTTAGGTACAGACTTGCAATAATTAGTTATATAGAACACAAGCATTTTGATCATCAGAAAAAGGAACAAAGTGGTGAGTTATGACATTACCACACTTACGACAAGGGTTTGCAAGGTGGATCCAAACCAATTTCCAAATATGTAGGGAGCCAGCTGTAAGATCATTGAGGGGGTCTGTAATGTGTAGTTGGTACTTCTTGTAACCCTTTGGCTTGTTTGGAAATTTTTTCTGTATGGGTTTCTACCTCACCTGGTGTTGATGTCCGTACAACAGGTGGTTTGAGTCACTGCACAGACTCCTTGTTTGGCTAGAAGAAAATCTCATGCAGCCCAGTGATCTAAAACCACTTGAGTTAAATTTCTTGGCTCAATTTTTGTGGTGCTGCAATACGTTTTGTGGTTTCATCAGCAGTTTTTCCTAGGGTGGCCAATAGATTTCTTATCATGTCTCTATTTGCATAAACCCCGTAACCGGGAACTGCTATACCCAAAAAGGCTCTGCCACCAGGTGTTTTGATATCCTCCTGGTAACTCATTTTTTAGTCTGTGGAAAGCAGGAAACCTCTCATTATTGGGCTGGATGGAGAAGGGGGCTGCTCAGTATCCCAATAAACAAGAACCTTTGTGCAGGCTGTCAGAGCAGCAGTGTGCTACCCTAGTGTGGGTGGGTCAGATCCTATGCCACTTATAAACATAATCTGGGGGATCACAAGTGATACCCCCAAGAGTATGTTCTTTGATGGACTCATTCATAGGAAGTGCCTACAATACTAAATTTAAAAATGGGTCGCTTCTCTCACAAGCTTTCCAAAATCCATTCATATGACATTTTAAATATAAGTATTGTTGGCATAATGGGGATGAAGTTTTACATTATTTGCTTGATCTAGACTGCATTTGTCTACCCAGTAGTTCATAGATTGAGAGGGTCTCAAGGTATAGAATGAATGTACAGCATTAGTAACAGGAGACAAATTAAAACAAGGGGTGGTCATATTTGGCTGTGCAAGCAATTGTACCCATAAAGTTGACAAGGAATGGAATTGGTCCAGGTAACTGGTGACATCAGGGAAATTGGAAAAGTCCATGATGGATATTATTAATGGCAGATGTTTATTGTGAATGGATTTAGGAAGCCTGTGGACATATCCAACAATCCAGTGTTTCCTCTGGTGGCAACACTTTGGGACAGTTTAACCAGAGAATTATCATGCTATTTCATATATTGGGTTAGGGGGACAATTACAAGGAGGTGGGAGAAGGCTGTTAATGCCATAAGAGCAAAGGAAGAAAGGGAAACAAACATTAAAACTATTTAAAGAATTCAAACCAAAGGAGAAACCACAGGTTCCATACAATCTCAAGGGAACTGTCAGACAAGCTTTGGGGATTATCTTTGAAGTAAAAGAGCACCTGACTTACAAGAAATGAAATAACAGTGTCCTCAGAGAAAAGGGTCATGAATCCTGTCTAATTTTGACAGTGTGTGTGTTGGAGGGAGTTTATAAGTATTTTAACTAACTGTGGGTATCTAAATGTTGGGATTTATGGGGTTGCCACAATGTGGCCTAGCATATATAGAATTCCTTTATAACAATTAAAGCGACTATAAAGTAGATGTAGGGCTAGGCATTTAGAAGATGGTGGTGGGTATTTCCCCATTTACATAAGGCAACAATAATTGTAAAAATTCCTAAACCTGAAACACCAAGTGTGATAGCCAATAGAAGGGGAGTATAAGTGTTTATCTGAATACACGCCTGGCCAGAGTCTTATGAAGGCAGTTCACTGTCGTTGTTGCCTTTTCTTTGAGCCCAAGGATGAGGCTTTGGTTAACTTGAGTTTGGTGTTAGATACCAGCATCAATATCCATGATTCAGCAGGGGTAGGTGCCATTTTCGGATGAGATATGTTTACCCAGGAGTCAACTCCCTATAAATTAACAGCACAAGGATTAGTCAACAATATTTGATAAGGCTGTTTCCAGTGGGGCTGGAGGGAGTCTTTTAACTGATACCTTTTCAAGTATACATAGTCAATAGGTTGGAGGTCGTGATGCTGCAGTTTTTGGCCTGAATGGAAGCTGTAAGAAGATTCTCCCACCTTGTGGTGGTTGATCCTTATAGCTTTTATGAGCCCCTGGCAATAAGCCAGGAGTTCCCCCTATAATGAGGTCGAAGAAATATTCCTTGGTCTGAGGGAATGGACCAACCAGTAACAATTTCAAAAGGAGAGAGTCAATGTTCTCTGGTAGGAGTGGACTGCAGAATCAGTAGTACTAGTGAAATGGCTTTAGGCCAGGACAAAATTAAAAGTTTTTGTGACTTTTGCCAGACCAGCTGTCTTTTAATGATTTCATCAATCTGCTCAACTAGCCCAGAGGACTGCAAGTGATAGGCACAGTGAAAATGCTGTAGAATGGGCCAGATTTTTCAAACTCTTTCCAGTACCTGGCTGGTGAAACGAGTTCCCCTATCACTGCAAAGTTCAAACACACCAGATAGGAATGATTTTCCTAGGTAGTATTTTGGCCGCCCGCAGACCTGTGGCTTATTGGCAAGGGAAAGCTGCAACCCAGTGAGAATACATGTCAACCATTGCAAGCACATATTTGTTTTCATACCACTATGGGATGATGGTAGCTGAATGAAATCAAGTTGCCAGATAGCAAGTGGACCACTGGGGAGTGAGAATTGGCCTGGAGGGGGCTTTAGGGACTTACCTGGGTTGTACTGGGCCAACACATTGCGAAGTTTGTATACCTGAGACACGACACTTGGGCAAAGTCCCCAATAGTTTTGTCTACCTTGTTGGATCATTTTGTCTGGATTCCAATGGGTCAGATTAAAATCTGTCTTTGCAGAGTGCTGGCTAAAATTGGATGTTCGTTTGGACCTTCCTATAATTTTGTCTCGGGGGTTGAAAGAACAATTTTGTTTTATTTACCTCCGTCTTTCAGACTCTGAAACTGTCTTTTGTGAGACAGTCAGAGTATGGAAAGGACATCTTCAGATAAGGAAGAGAACAAGGGAGAGGAGGAGTAGAGGTAGAAAGAGAGGTAGAGGGTCAAGTATCCATAAGTGGAGAAGAAGTCACTCACAGGTTATCGCTAAAGTGATAGCTTTGGCTGCTTCATCTGCAGCATGGTTGTCTTTGTTGTCCTTTGTCTTGTCAAGGGAAGGTCCCTAGACTTTGATATTGGCTAGGGCTCAAGGAGTCTGAAAGGCATCCAAGAGGGCCAAAACAAAATCTTTGTTTCTAATAGACTGTCCAGAGGAACTTAAAAATCCTCTGTCTCCAGAGCATGCCAAAATCATGAGCAACTCCAAAGGCACATCTGCTGTCTATATAAATATTAGCCATTTTATCATTGGCCAGTAGGCAGGCCCAAGTGAGGGCATGTAGTTCCCCCTGTTGGGCAGATCTGGCCCCTGGCATGGGGCCTGATTCAGTGGTCTTTATCAGAGAGACCACCACATAGCCTGCCCAATAGGAACCAGCACGGTCTCTGAGAAAAAAGATCCATCAGTGTACCAGATAAAATCTGGATTGGATAAGGGAGTCTCTTAAAAGTCCATGCAGGGTGAGAGAAGGGTGTCTTATATGGTTTGGCTCTGTGTCCCCACCCAAATCTCATCTTGAATTGTAATCCCCATAATCTCCACATGTTGAGGGAGTGACCTGGCGGGAGGGGATTGGATCATGGGGGTGGTTTCCCCCATGCTTTTCTCATAGTAGTGAGTGAGTTCTCATGAGATCTGATGGTTTTATAAGAGGCTCTTTCTCCTTTGCTCTTGCTTCTCTCTCTCGCCTGCCACCATGTAAGATGTGCCTACTTCCCCTTCTGCCATGATTCTAAGTTTCCTGAGGCCTCCCCAGCCACTGTGGAACTGTGAGTCAATTAAACCTCTTTCTTTATAAATTACCCAGCTTCAGGGAAGTTCTTTATCGCAGTGTGAAAATGGACTAATACAGTGTCTGTGAAAGCAGTAGAGTCATGGAAGATACCCTCTTCAGGTAAAGGCAAGAGGATAAGAGGGTTAAGGAGGCTGCAACAAACTATGGTTAGGTTACAAGAGGAGGAGAAGAAAAGTATCTCCTAGCAAGTTAGTTGACTGGCTGAAAGATGCTTAGTGTGGTGAGAGGTGAGAATGTGGAATACATAGTGAGAGGGAATTCCATTATTAATGTTTTGGTAGCCTTAATGAGGGTGGAAATGGCAGCAATTGCCCTCAAACAGGTGGCAGTTCTTGAGCTATGGAGTCTGCTTGTTGACTGTAATACCCACTTGGCTGCTTGCTGTTCCTGTGGGGCTGAGTTAGGGCTCTCATGGTGTTTCCTTCTGGTTTATGGACAAGAAGGGAAAAGAGGAGATCATAATTTGGCTGTCCTAGAGTGGGAGGTGAGGTGAGTTGACCTTTTGGGTCTTTGAAGGCCTGTTAGTTTTTGGGGTCCAAATAAGGGAGTCAGGGGAGGAAACTTTAAACAAAGCATATAGAAGTTGTGCCATCAAAGACAAGTTGGGGACCCAAGTTCTGCAGTATCCTGCAAGTCCAAGAAACCCTCTAAGCTGTTTCTTAGGGGTCTGGAGAGGAAAGGAAAAGAGAAGGGTCAGTATTTAAGCCTAAAGGGGTTAATGTGTGTCCAAGAAACTTAATAGAATCCAGACAAAGCTGCAGCTTGTCTTTAGAGATCTTGTGTCCCTTAAAGGCTAGCTGGTGGATCAAGTGAAGTATGTCAGTAAGACGAGTGTCTTGTGAGGCATAAAAGTAAATCATCAGGGTGGGCGTGGTGGCTCATGCCTGTAATCCCAGCACTTTGGGAGCCAAGGTAGGCAGATTGCTTGAGTTCAAGAGTCAAGACCAGCCTGGGAAACACAGGGAGACCCCATCTCTCCAAAAATTAGCTGGGTCTTTAGTGTGCATCTACCAACCGTCCCAGCTACTTGGGAGGCTGAGGCTGCAGTGAGCCAAGATTGCACCACTGCACTCCAGTCTGGGTGACAGAGTGAGATCCCATTTAAACAAAAAAAAAAAGGAAATCATCAATGCATTGTAACAGGGTAGAGTTGTGGGGGAAGATCATGCCCCTTAAATCAGCTTGTAAAATGTGAGAAAAACAAGTGAGGCAATCTGTATCCCTGGAGAAGGACTGTGCAGGTGAACTGTTTGCCTTTCCACGTGAAGGCAAAGAGAAACTGACTTCCTGGGTTGACAGGGATGCTGAAAGAGGTGCCACTGAGATCAATAGCTGAGGAACATCAAGTGTCAACAGGTGTGTTAGGATTGTATGTGGGTCTGGCGTAGTGGGGTGCTGAGGTATAACAATATTGTTAATGGCTCTTAGGTCTTGAGACCTCCATCCCTTTCCATTTGGTTTCTGGACAGGCAGTATGGGCATGCTGCAGGGGCTAGTGCAAGGGACTATGAATCCCTTGGAGAGGAAATCATTAATAATGGGCTGTCTACCAGCCAAAGCTTCAGGATTGAGGAGACCCTGCCTTACATTAGGTAGAGGTTTGTTGGGGTCTAAATGTATGGTAATAGGTGGTGCTGAGTGAATTAGACCTACATCAGTGTTAGATTTAGCCAAGTGTATCAGGCGGTTCTCTTAAAGCCAGGTGCTGAGTGGCAACTGAGTAATTAGTGACAGACAAGGGAAAGACATGTAAGGTCAATTGATACGGTTTCTGAAGGAGAGACCTGCAGAATGGTATCTCCCTAATGAGAAAAAGAAATATGAGCCTGGTCAGATGTGGTGGCTCACGCCTGTAATACCAGCACTTTGGGAGGCCAAGCGGGCTATTCCCTTGAGCCCAGGATTTAGAGAGAGAAGCCTGGGCAACATGGCAAAACTCTGTCTCTATAAAAAATGCAAAAAAAAATTAGCTGGGCATAGTGGCATGCATCTGTAGTCCCAGTTATTTGGGAGGCTGAGGTGGGAGGATTGATTGAGCCTGGGATTTCAAGGCTGCAGTGAGCTGTGATTGTGTCACTGCACTGCAGCTTGGGCAACAGAGTGAGACCCTGTTTCCAAAAAAAAAAAAAAAAAAAGAAAAAAAAAGAAATATGAGCCTGATGCTGCTCAAGGAAATCTCTCCCTATCAGATAGATAGAAGCAGAGAGAACAAGCAAGATACTGTGATACTTACAAGGGGACCCAGCAGATCAGTGATCAGTGCTGACTTAAAAGTGGTCATAGGTTGATGAGTGACCCTGACCGTTTATATGGTTTGGTTACTCCTGGATGGGGATGTATAAAAGAGTTGGAGTTAAGTACTGAAAGCATGGCCCCCAGTATCTATTAGGGCTCAGACTGTTCAATTATTAAAGATCAGTTTCTCCCAATTAAATTAATTTGTTAGAGGGAAAATTCCCCTTGTCTCCCCACAGTACCCCTATTCTTGTAATGAAGTAAGGAACTGGTCTAGTGTCAGTCTGCTTTGGGGAAATAATTGGTTTCTTCTAGCTCAATCAGGATTATTCTTTAGGAGCTGTTTTTTGTATTTATTACAATCCCATTTAAAGTGACCAGCTTCCTTGCAAAAATAATAAAGAGCATTCTTTTGTATCAGGCACTGTTGTGTCTTTTGCTCCTTAGATTGGGCCTGCTATTTGGCAGAAGGCTCCTGAGCTGCTTTATGTGTGGGGCCATGAGTTTTGCTGTTTCTTCCTGACATTTGAATGTCCTCGCTGCCTGAATATCTTTCTCCTTTTCTATTCTTTTTGAGAGGCGATCAGATATGGATGCCAATTCATGCGGCCTTCTAGAGGTCCAGTCAGCATCTTGTTGTTGAACTAGAGTTCTAAGGGTCTCTTTGAGCTGTGAAAGAAAAAGCAAATTGAAACGCTTGGCTGTGATTGTTTAAATCCTTGATGCCTGAATTCTGTCTGACAGTTTTTTTTCAAATCAATTGAGAAAATCAAAGACTGGCTCATCCCTTTTCTGAATACATCTTTGAATAGTCTTCCAGTCGACCTGATGTGGCAAAATTAACTGAGATAGTCTTAATCAGCTCTGTAATCACTTCCTCAGCCTTTTTAAGAGCCTCTTCTTCTGTAAACTAGATCAGTGTCCAGGTGTGTCCGACCCACCTGATTTATCCATTCTTTAGCTAAAATGTTTCCCGCCAACATTAAAATGAGCTGATAAACACTGGGAAGTTCTGGCTGATAGACATTTATAATTAAACTAAAATATTGTTCAGATTCAAATGAGTTTGTCTTGGGGTTTGGGAAGTTTTTGACAATAGATATGAGATCAGTTTTAGACTGAGGAGTTTTAGACTTTTGCTGCTTCTGATGCTATTAACCAAATGACACTTTTTGTCTTCATTCAAACTTCTCAGTAAAGAGAATCTGATTGGCAGGCTAGAGATGTAGTAACTTTCACAAGCAGTAAAGCATTGTGTCATTTAAAGGAGATTTGTAGCAATTAGATTGCTAACTTTCCATATTATTAAATGTTCGTGGCTTAAAAAATTTGGCCAGTTTTCATATTGATATCCTTCTCTTCAATTAAATATATGGCATAGGTTATAATAATATATATTTTCCTAGTGGATTAATTTTTAAAATGATTTCAAAACGATTTCAAACACAGAAAAGTTGCCAAGTTGAACAAAGCATTCCTGTATTCCCAGGTTCCCCAGTTATCAACATTTTACTGTATTTGTCCCATGTGTGCACTGTGTGTGTGTGTGTATGCATGTGTGTGTGTGATCTTTAGTCTGCTCCTTAACCTTATGAGAGCAAGCTGTAGACATCATGTCCCATCACTTCTAAGTGCTTCAGTATGCTTTTTTCCCTAAACAAAGATATTCTTCTATATAACCAGTATATACAACACTCCAAATCAGGAAATAAGCATTGGTACATCACTGTCATTCAGTTTATAATGTCATCATTGTGAACTCAAAAATAGGCCTTTTTCCTATCTTGTCCAGGATCCTGCCCAGGAATATATATTGCATGTAATTTTCATGTCTCTTCGAACTTCTGCATTCTGGAAAAGTTCCTTAGTCTTTCTCTGTCTTTTGTATCCTTGACAGTTTTAAAGCGCATAGGCCTTTAAGTAGGATATAGATCCTTCTGGTGTTTCCTCATGACTGGGCTCAGTTAATGCATTCTTGGTGGAATGCTCAAAAATGATGCTGTGTTCCTCTAAGAGCATTGCGTTGAAGGCACAAGATGCTGACTTGTCCTGCCATTTGGTGGTGATAATCTGGATCACCTGGTCATGCTAGTGTATGCCAGGTTTACTGTTTCCCTCTGTGTAATTGATTAGTATTTTGTGGGGAGGTCTTCCAAGGTTTTGCCAACATCTTGTTCCTTATCAAATCTCTCTCCACCCACATCCAATGACAACTTCCACCTGAATCAACTACCCTAAGATGATAGCAAAATGATGCTTTCTACTATTTTCATCATTCTTTTCACATTTATTACTTGACATTCTTTTCTGAGAAAGATCTTTCTTTCCTCTTCTCTTCCTCCCTTCCTCATTCTCTTTCTTCTCTGGGAAAGTTTTTTTTCAGATTTATAACCATTAGATATTTCAAGTTGCTAACTGTGCCTTAAGCATAGGTAATAGTATATTTAACACATACATTAAAAATGAGCTGATATGGGAGTCATGCCATCTATTCTTAGACAGTTACCTATTTAAAGTTGTATCACTGAGCATGAAGGGAGTTCTTGATTTTTTATTTGCTTTTGTCTGTCCATATTCTGTGATTGATTCTGATTCACTGCGTTCTAATTATACAGTGGAAAAGGATGATGCTGTAAGCTGGTAAATCCTTTCTCAGTAACTGATGGCCAGAGTTTGGAAAACATTGATTTACAATAGGGTTGTCTAACTCAGTGTTTGAATAAATGTATAACTTTAGGGCACCTAGTGTTGCTTCCCTGAAAGAATCAGCAAAATCTGGGTAAAATAGCAAAGCCTCCTAGGTTGAAACAGTTGGGTTGGGCTAAGTTAAAAATTGATGAATGATCTGTAAAAGGTTGGGTTAATTGCATCCTCAGGCCAACATATTCTCTTAAGTCAAGTTCACTTTCTCCCTAGATCAGGCTTGAGTGAACACTTTTATCTCTGCCTTGGAGCCACTGCCTCTCCTTTTAATCTTCCATCCTTTATTAAGCACCTTCAATGCACCCCTTCTTAAAATATTTTAGTGTCTAAAAAATGGTGAGTTCATGTCCTCTATAGGGACATGGATGAAGCTGGAAACCATCATTCTCAGCAAACTAACACAGGAACAGAAAACCAAACACCACATGTTCTCGCTCCTAAGTGGCAGCTGAACAATGGGAACACATGGACACAGGGAGGGGAACATCACACACCAGGCCCTGTCGGGGGGTGGGGGGTAGGGGAGGGGAGAGCATTAGGAGAAATACCTAATGTAGATGATGGGTTGATGGGTGCAGCAAACCACCATGGCACATGTATACCTATGTAACAAACCTGCACGTTCTGCACCTGTATCCCAGAACTTAAAGTATAATAAAAATAAATTAAATTTTAAAAAGTATCTTAGTGTCTGAAGTCAGATTACTGTTAAGTGTTTTTAGATTTGGGGGCCAATTTGTCCTTTAGGTGACTTTTTATGTCTCTTATCTATCTTGAGTTAATTGTGGAGTTTTACTTTCTAGATGGTAATTTAAGTGGTAATCCCATTTTCTCTATTGCCATAGTTTTTGTGTACTCATACTGGCTACAGAAGAGTTCAGACTAATTCATTCTTGGCAGAATCTCTCTTCTAATTTAAGGGTTGATTCTATACCCTCAGTTGACTTCTTAAAGGCCCCTGCTGATTTGACCAAATACTCCATTTATTGGACACAAATTCAAACATTCTTAAACAGTATCACCCAAAATGATGTATCCTGAATTACTTTTCATAACATGACAACAGCAGTAAAACCCATGGAGAGCAATAACCATTTTCTTTTTATTGTAAAATTACCTAAGCTAAAAATCACCTTTAAGTTAATGCCATTAAGACAACCAGTTTCATTGTTGAGCACATTGTGAATATTTACAGCCCCAATTTTCCACTTAAATTCCCCACATTTATTCCAGTTTTTATATTGAAAAACAATGGGTCTATGAATCAGGTGACATTTAGGAAGGATAGCGGTGGCCAGACCTGCATCCTGACCCTGCCTCCATCATTCAGTAGCTCTGGCACTGGGAGAAACTTGTGTTCTAGTTCTCAGTCTTCATCTATGAATGGGAATGTCGGGTTAATCATGTCTGAGGTCTAGCTCTTGTGGTCTATATATTCTAAATAATGGATGAAATTATATAATAGATGATGAATCTCAGTGTTTGTAGAGTATTTGGTATACTGGTACAGTTTAACATAAAGAAAGACTGCATTAAGGCCAGACCAGCGGCTTTCTTTCAGAAGACAACAGTAGGGTCAGGTGCAGTGGCTCACGCCTGTAATCCCAGCACTGTGGGAGGCTGAGGCAGGAGGATGACTTGAGGCTAGGAGTTTGAGACGAGCCTGATCAACACAGTCAGACTCTGTCTCTACGATAAACAAACAAACAAACACAGAAGACAGCTATGTTTAGATTTGTGTTGTTTTAGTTTCCAAACTGTTTATCTCTTTATTTCCTTATGTATAAAAAGCAGGTAACAATAACATGCCCAAAAAATATAATCACAAGAAAAATTTTAAAAATCAGTAGTATATTAGGTGCAGTACTTGATATTTTATAATAATTGGTAAAAAAAAAAAAAACCAAGTTATCTGATACATAGGATTAGATTCTTGCAAAGCCTAGAATCTGATCCCATGTATTTAAAAAAAAGCATTTTTATTCCTCCATAAGGATTAAGTGGTTTAGACAGTAGTTTTAGTCTATACATTTCAGTTAACAGAACCCAGAGGCTTGTTAGAAGATAATTTGCTGATAAAACAACAGAGCAACTTACAGTCCTGCAAGCTCCATTCATGGTAAGTGCCCTATAAACAGATGTACCATCTTTTATGTTTTATAAACAGATATTTTACCATACATTTTCTATATTCGGATGTGTTTAGATTCACAGATACCATTGTGTTGTACGGTAATGTGCTATGCAGATTTGTGTCCTAGGAGTAATAGGGCAGACCACATAGCCTAGACGTGTAGTGGACGATACCTTCCAGGTTTGTGTGAGTACACTCTGTGTTGTTTGCACGATAAAATTGCCTGACAGTGCATTTCTCAGAGCATGCCCTGATCGTTAAGTGAAGTGTGACTGTGTTGTCATCAATAAGTATTTGTTTTATAAAACCAAGAGCTATGATTACATTTCCTTTCTTGTTCAGTGTTTTTTTCTTTTTCCTGGAGTCTGTGAGTTTTTAAAATTTATATTGTTTGCTTTCTGCACCATTATCATTACTATCATCTTGGCCAACTTTTATTAAGGGCTCAATGTGCTGGGTAATTTCTAACTGTTTTACGTGCATTAACTAACTTACAATAAAATAAAGATAAAATTTTATAAAAGGTAAAATAAAATAAAATAAAGCCTTACAATAACCTTAGATGAGAAGATTGAGGAATAGAGACAAGCTAAGCAAAGTCCACAGCTATACAAACACTAAGTGGTAGAGCTGGGATTTGAACCTGTCTTGTGTGGATATAGCACCCTCACTGTTTATCACTTTGCTGTAATATCTCTCTCCACAGATTCAGAATGCTAAATTTCTCAAATCTCCTTTATTCTTGCTGCCTCTTTCCATTCTCCTGTCCCAATCTGGAGTAATTGATTTTCTGCATATGCTACACAGCCATCTTCTTAAGTCTCCATTTCTCCTTGGTTGGGTCCATTTTTTCCTCCATCCTGTACCTTCTCCTTTCATGATTTAATTCTACATTTTGTTAGAGCACATCTGTAAATAACTTCCTGGAAAAGGAAGTTTAAAAAATAAATGTCCTGGGTTTTTGTATTTTTTCCTTTTGTTTACTTTTCTTATCCATCATCTCCCATTGAATTGATAGTTTGGCTAATTGGAAGATTCTGGGCAGAAAATCATCCTCCTTCCTTTGAAACTTCGAAGCCATTGCTGTATTGTCTTTTTGCTTCCTTTGTGGCTGAGGAGAAGTCTTCCCTGTCTGATTCTCTTTCCTGTGTGTCTTATTGGTGTTCTGAAATTTCCCAGTGTTGGACAAGAGTTGGTTTTGTTTTCCATTGTGCTGAGCATTTGTGGGCCTTTTTAGGCTGAGGACTTAGAAACCTCAGCTTTGGGCTATATTCTGGTGTTAATTCTTTGAAAATGTCTTTATAATCTCTGTTCTTTTTTCTAAAAATGGACTCTTTCTAGTTTGTTGGAACTTCTCAATTAATCCTGTTTTTCTTATTTTTCCGTTTGTATTTAAAGTTTAAAAAATTTGGAGTATAATTTACATACAGTTATTCATTTTAGTGTACAGTTTTATAAGTTTTGACAAATGCATTTAGTAGTGTAACCACCACCATAATTAAGATAAAGGATTCACAATAGCCAAAAGGTAGAAGCAACCCACTTGTCTATCAGTGGATGAATGGGTATACAAAATGTGAGACATACATACCCATATGTGTGCATGCACGTGCACACACACACACACACACACACACACACAGGAATATCATTCAACCTTAAAAAGGAAGGGGATTTGAATACATGCTACAACAAGGGTTGAACCCTTAGCACGTTAGCCTAAGTGAAATAAGGCAGTCATAAAAGAAAAACTGCTGTATGATTCCACTCATATAAGGTACCTAGAATAGTCAGATTCATAGAGACAGAGAGTAGAATGCTGGGTGCCAGGAGCTAGGAGGAGAGGAAAATGGTTAGTTACTATTTAGTGGGCACAGAGTTTTCAGTTTTGCAAGGTGAAAAGAGTTCTGGAGATGGATGGTGGTGATGGTTGCTCAATAGTGTGAATAATCTTAATATCACTGAACTGTATAATTAAAAATGGTTAATACAGTAAATTTTTTGCTGTATGTATTTTACCACAATTAAAAAAAAGATATAGGACAGTCTCATCACATATCTCCCTAAATTCTTTTTCTTTCATATTTTTAAAACCACTTCATCATCTTTTTGTTGTATATCCTGAGATTTTTCTTTACTTTATTTTCCAAACCTATTGGTTTCTTGTGACATTTCAGTCATCATAATCTTTTTTAAAACTTCAAGATGTTTTAATGTATTCTGATTGTTCCTTTTTCAAAGATCCTTGCTCATCTATCATGGATGCAGTATCTTCTTGAGTCTCTATGAGAGTACCAATTAATGATTTTTTTCTACAGCTATTTTCTTTTCTTTTTTTTTTTTTTTAAAGACAGAGTCTCGCTCTGTCACCCAGGCTGGAGTGCAATGGCATGATCTTGGCTCACTGCAACCTCCGCCTCCCAGGTTCAAGCGATTCTCCTGCTTCAGCCTCCAGAGTCGCTGGGACTACAGATGCCCACCACCATGCCCAGCTAAGTTTTGTATTTTTAGTAGAGATGGGGTTTCACCATGTTGGCCAGGCTGGTCTCGAACTGCTGACCTCATGATCCTCCCACCTCGGCCTCCCAAAATGCTGGGATTACAGGTGTGAGCTGCTGCGCCTGGCCTCTACAGTTATTTTCTTCTGGGGATCATTTTATTGTTGGTTTGTACTTTTCTCTCATTTTTAATTCTGCAGTCTCTCCTCAAATATTTAGTTCTCCTTGGTTACCCTGTATATTTGAGATTGGGGCACTAAAATGTTAATTGTGAGCTGTGTGTACAAGAATGAGGTCTGCTGAGTTTTTTAGAAAACCTTTAGTTTTAGAATAGTTTTAGATTTATAGAAAATTTGTAACATTAGCACAGAGTTCCCATTTATCCTTCTAATTATTTCCTATATTGTTAACCTCTTACATTAATGTAGCCCATGTTACAATTTATGAACCAATATTGATACACTGTTATTAAATGACTTTCATACTTTATTCAGAATGTCTTAGTTTTTACCAGATGTCTTTTTTTCTGTTCCAGGGTCCCATTCAGAATACTACATTACATTTAGTCACATCATCTTAGGCTCCTCTTGGCTGTGACGTGTCTCAAACTTTTCTTGTTTATGACTTGAGCAGTTTTGAAGAGTTCTGGTCAGGTATTTTGTAGAATGTCCCTCAGTTAGGGTTTGTCTGATGTTTTCGAACCATGACTGGACTCAGATCATGGGTTTGGGGAGGAAGACCACAGAGGTGACATGCCATTCTCACTCCATCATGTCAAGGGCATATACCACCGTGGATGTTGACCCCGCTCACCTGGCTGATGCAGTGTTTGCCAGGTTTCTCTGCTCGAAAGTTAGCACCGCCTCCCTTTCCATACTACAGTCTTTGGGAAGAAATCACTATAGCAGCTGACACTTAAGGAATGGTTTCTCTTCCTTACCTTTCTTTGTCTCTTACTCTCTCTGTTTTCCCTTTTATTGTTGCTCCTGAGGCTGTTGGAACTGGTTGCGAGGTGGAGCCGGACCAGAGCTAGGGAGAGAGAGAAAAGGTCATTCTTCCAAATCTCACCACCTCCCCTCAGCTTTGCCTTCTCTTCGTCCCTATTCTGCTGCTCCCTAGGAAGTGTTATGCCCAAAATACAAAGTGAAAAAAACCCTGTGCTTGACACTACCTTGTTATGCTCAAGCACAATTTCTAAAAATTATGGAGGAAAGGGAAATAAATGATAGTAATTTACGGTGTTGTTATTTGCCATTTTCATTCTTGACCATTTCATTTGAGGAGTCTGGAAAAAATTAAATGTTTTTCTGAAAGCTTTTTGACAGTTTAGTTACGAATAGTCAGAGTCTGTCAGGCCAAATTTTAAACCCTTCTTTGCTCCCCATGGCCTTAAAAATTTCCCAAAGAAGTGTAGTCATCTGAGTACTGCTGGAAAGATAGACCTGCTCCCTCATGCCAGCCCCCTTCCTTAGTGTGTCTCTGTTCCTTCTACATTGCTGTCAGCTTCACCTCTAATATGGCTTGCTTTTCCTAGATTTAATTGGATCCAACCATCTATAATAGCCATTTATTGATTACAAGTAATTCAGGATAGGGCCAAGAAAAAGGCACAGGTGAGATACATGCTGTCAGTCCTGGGGGACCCCACCTTCCCCACCACACACTACATAAGGTTTCCTTTTTAAGCCTTAGAATATGGGACATGATTGCAAATTCAAGTGGCTTTGGGGAAGGTTTACTTATTAGCAAGAGTTCATTGCTTGCCAAATGTGCTCCTCCAAACCACTAAATCAGATGTTATAGACGAGAGAGAAGAACCTGCCTCCCTTGGGTTAGACATACTTCTTTGGGGTGTTTTTTCTTTAGAAAACAACTGCTCAGATAAAGAGGAGCAATGAGCAGTAGAAAGTGAAAATGAGTCCATTTCCAGTAGAAATTAATTTCTTTGGTGAAGATAGAGAACTTTCAAGAATGGCTATAGAATTAGAAGGGACCTGTGAGATCATCCAGTACCTTATTTTCACAGTTGAAGAAGTTGAATCATATAGTTCACTCGGCCAGCATAACAAGACTGACTTTGCAGCACCATCTGAAACAGATCAGAGCTCACCTGGGTCTTAGTTCTGAGCAACTTCCACCATGATGAGTGGGTTCCAGTAATGTATGTATCCACACATGCATATGTGTGTAATGAGAAAATAATTTCTTTGTAATTGGTTTTTGATATTGGAAGCTAGATAATAGGAATAAAATGAGATTTTAGTATTTTAGACTTTCTCCTTAACCTTTAAAATTGTTACTGCCATGAACATGGACTCATGTAATTATTTTACTGAATAGTTCAGTTGTCTATATTTTAAGAATTGCAAGAGAACATATTCCACAATTTAATCATTAAGAATGAACAATTATGTATTTTTTGCCAGTTACATGTTAACACACAAAAACATAACTGGATTGCTCAAATTAATCCCCTATGTCCAAGCCCGGCATGTAAATTAAGAAAGTAACTTTTGACCTTTTCCTTAAGTGTAATTTTGGTAATTTAACTATGTAGTCACTGTGGGAAAAAAAAAAAGGAAAATTCTTTAAACTTTAAAGATGGTCCTGGCCCAGAATCTTTGAGAACATTTGAATTCTCATCACCAAGTGGGGAGGGGAATTGATGTGGAAAGTGGGGACCACTTTAAGTTCATTGCTAAACATGCCAGCAAGATCATGATCCATTCATTTTCCTAGGCTTCTGGTTCTCAGGCTTTTGTCTCAGGAGAAAAGTAATTGGCCCTGTTAAAAGGAGACTTTGACAAGTAATTTTAAGAGGCATATTTTGAGCATTACTAGCAACAGAAGGAATGCGGTATTTTAGAAGTCAGGATCAGTGGGTTCCAACTTGCTTGTGAAATTGGGCTACTATTTTTGAAAGTACTTGTTGTGCCAAGAAGAGAATCTGTAACGAGGCAATTTTGTTGGAGAAATTGTCTGTACTGTAGCTGACACTACTCTGTAGCTTTCTGGGATCCTATCTCTGGTGACTTTTTTGAGAAGCACCAGCTCATGGAGATGACTGTCCCTTGCAGTATAAAAGAATGGAAAAGAAAGAACTCAGACCCTTTCTGTTGGACATTCTCCAAATGGAGGTGGAATGTCAGAATTCAGCAAATGTTTGTATTGACAGCTTAAGCTCCATCTTGAAATTTGGAACAATGGGCCAAGGCTTCCATTTTCAATACTTTAGTCTCCTTCTTGCAGGTAGTTTCCAGAATATTCAAAACCACTTACATTTTCCTTGATTAGAGGTTTGCCACGTGGAAATGGGATTGGTGGGCCTAGCTTGTGGGAAGAACACAGGGCTAAGATGTCATAACATCTTCCTCTGCAGTTCAGAGAACCAGACTCACCCACCATGGAATCAAGTCATAGAGTAGAACAGAACCCTATAGATCACTTAGGGGAGTTTCCAACTTCTGCTGGAACATGTCCAGAATCAGGCAGCTTAATAACAATTTTATATACTATGTAATATCATATAATAAATAATAATATTGTTATTTGATGTCAGTAATAATAAATTACAATAGTGGCTGCAATTTTTTGAGTGTATAGCGATTAAGGGAGCAGATTCTAGAGCAAGACTAAATGAATCTCAGTGCCATATTTCTTTGCCATACGACTTTGAAATCAAGTTGTTCAATCTCCCTGTGCCACAGTGCCTTCATTGATAAAATGAGAAATGTTGTAGTCAGTACCTGCCTTTTACAGTTATTTTGGGGATTAAATGAATTGCTAGGTGTAAGTTTCTTGGCGGAGCGGCTAGCCCAGAGCTGTTACGGTAAATATTCCCATATTAGAAATAAAGTAAGCTAAGAGTTGTTATTTGATATGTGACCTTAGGCCTGGAAAGAGCTGGGACTGAAAACCAAACCCGCCCATGTGTGAAGCCTCTACCTTTTCTTATGCTTTCTACATGTTGCCTCTTTGTGTCACAGCAGCCCATTTAGTTTCTGAACAATTCTTGTGGAAGTCTCTTTTTATATTCAGTTGAATTCTGGCATCTTTTAGTTTTGCACTCTTGATCACAAGTCTGTCCAAATATAGGGCTTTGTCCTAAAATGGACAAGAAAAAGTATACATTGAGGCTTTCTCCTCCCCTCATTAATGTTAGGATAATGAGCCAAATGTTTAATGGGTGTTGTTTGGACTCTGGAAATCTTATGATTTGTAGAAAAGAGGAACACCTGATTTGGAAGAGTCTTATAGGAGCCCAAATGGACCAGAACTGGGTCTCTTGTTGAAACAGTTTATTTTCTCAGGGAAGGTTACTCTTAGGAGGATGTACTGTTGGGATCAGGAGGATGATTATAAAAACAAGCAGAGGCCGGGCACAGTGGCTCATGCCTGTAATCCCAAAACTTTGGGAGGCAGAGTTGGGTGGATCACCTGAAGTCAGGAGTTCGACATCAGCCTGGACAACATGGAGAAACCCCACCTCTACTAAAAATACAAAAATTAGCTGGGCATTGTGGGGCGTGCCTGTAATCCCAGCTATTTGGGAGGCTGAGGCAGGAGAATTGCTTGAACCCAGGAAGCGGAGGTCACAGTGAGCCGAGATCATGCCACTGCACTCCAGCCTGGGCGATACAGCAAGACACTGCCTCAAAAAATAAATAAATAAATAAATAAATAAATAATAAAATAAAATAAACATTAAAAAAAAAGTAAAAACAAGTGGATGGTGTGGTTGTGGAACTAAAGCTGTCTCTACTGTTTTAAAAGGGCTATTGAAGCCTTTAATGCCTCTTGGTTTTGGCTAGTGGGGCAAAAGTAGCCTCAACTTCCATGGAAAAAAAGAGACACAGGCATCTTATCTTTTTTAACTTAAAAATCCTGCAAAATTTTTTCTTGGAACTGGAATTAATTTTAAAAAACCATAAAAATAAACTGCAGGGGTCTGAGAGTGTAAGAGGTTACTCCCTTTTTGATTATTTGTTGGAAGACAACCTCTAAAATTTTGGAGGGGAAAGTATTCCTTTCATATTTTATTTGGCGGATATATACAGATGGCACATTCCTTTTAGACTAGAGAAAAAATTAAGATGCGTGCCCTTAATCATTGAAATGGCACAATAGTGTATGATGGCGATAGAGCAGAGATTTTTCTCATGACTAATTTTGCAGTGAGTGACTGTTGTTGATTTGAAAATACATAACCGTTTTAAAGGACATTAAAGGACGTGTCATAATTTAGTCATTGTTGTTTACGTTGTTATCTTTCACTTATTTTTCATTGGGAATCTAGTTTAGGGCCCAAATCTGAAAGTAAGTTGTATTTTTCTTCCTCTGTGCTGTAAAATCGAGCTGGCTCTACTACACAACCTAACATTTGATTATAAACTGTTTTTTGGTTGTTTGGACTTGCAATTCTATAAATTCCTAGAAGGTGGGGGAATACTTTTTTATTCCTCTCTTAACAGTAGCATAGGCTCAGTGTCTTCTGAAATTGTATTTGAACTACTTATATAGGAAGATAGTCATTAAAGCACTTCACCCAAGCATAGGAAAATAGCTTTGCCTATGTGTAAGAAATGATTCTTGAAATCTATGGGATTTCTGAATATTTCATAGCTAATGCTTAAATGACTTACTCCATACTTTGCTAGAAATCTCTATGTATATGTTTGTCTTCTTCTCTTCCTGCCTCCTGCCTCTCCTTCCTCCCACTCCCTAATTTTTCCTGCCCTTATATGACTGGCGTCTCCCAGGCTCAGTTCTGGGTACTCACACAGAGCTCTCCAAGCTCTCTGACGTGATCCCTTGGTTTCAACCAATACCTCTCTGCCTAGTGTTCCTACAGCTGTGTCTGTAGGGCCTCTGATCACTTAGTCTTTTTGCAGCCACCACAGTTCCAGCTGTCACTAATACTGACACATTGAAAATGGATCTGTTTCTCTCCCTGCAGAGCTGATGTCTTTCTAAGTTGCCTTTCTCTGTTAACAGATGGGTGCATCTCTGAGGCTGACCGTTGGTATTCTCTTCCTCCTTTATGCATCTCTCCCAAGTGTCTTTGTTCCCCGTGGCCCTCCTCCCACCCACCTCCTTAGCATTTTGCACAGTCAGCAGTTCCCAACCTGGCTGCACACTGGAATTGCCCGGGGAGCTCCTGACAAAGTCAGTGCCCCGGTCCCACTTGAGTTGAGTCATAATATGTTTCAAAATCCTCCAGGAGATTGTGTTGTGGAGCAGTGTTGAGGATCACTGCTGTAGGTGTGCAATAAGGATTTTTAACTAATTGAACAGTAATTTTATGTACATCATAAATATGGGTTAATGTTTTGGTGCTGGTTGATATTCCTTAGAATGCTGGCCTTGGTAGCATTTTTCAAATTGTTTTCCTGACCATATATCATAAATTATATTGGTTCTTGGCAATACTCTGCCATATATAGAAAAATATATTGGGGAGTAGGAGATTCCTTTTTAAAGGGATGTGGTCTTAAATAAAAAAGCAATAGACATTTATGATATAATTTTCTTTTAAAAATTTTTTTAAAATCTTAGATTCAAGGGATACATGTACAGTTTTGTTGCATGGGTCTATTGTGTGATGCTGAGGTTTGGGTTTCTAATGATCTGTCACCCAAGTAATGAACATAGTACTGGATAAGTCATTTTTCAGCCCTTGCCCTCCTCCCCACCTTCCCCTTTTGGAACCCCCAGTGTTTATGGTTCCCGTCTTTGTGTTTGTGCGTACCCAATGTTTAGCTCTCACTTGCAGTATTTGCTTTTCTGAGAACATGCAGTATTTGGTTTTCTGTTTCCATGACAGTTCACTTAGGATAATGCCCTCCAGCTACATCAACGTTGCTGCAAAGGACATGATTTCATTCTTTTTTTATGGCTGTGTAGTATTCCATGGTGTATATGTATTAGGTTGGTGCAAAAGTAATTGTGGATTTTGCCATTACTTTTAATACCATATTTTCTTTTTCTAATCCACTGTTGATGGGCATCTGGGTTGATTTGTCTTTGCTATTTGACTAGTGCTGTGATGAACATACAAGTGCAGGTGTCTTTTTGGTAGATGATTTATTTTCTTTTGGGTATTTACCCAGTTATAGGATTGCTGGGTCAAATGATAATTCTATTTTTAGTTCTTTGAGAAATTTTCCACAGGCACTTTTCACATGGACTAAACTAATTTGCATCCCCAGCTATAGTGTATAAGCATTCCATTTGCTCTGCAACCTCACCAACATCTGTTAGTTTTTGATTTTTTAATAATAGCCATTGTGTCTGGTGTGAGATCTTATCTCACTGTGGTTTTTGACTTGCATTTCTCTGATGATTAGTGATGTTGAACATTTTTCATATGTTTGTTGTTGCTCATTTGTATGTCTTTTGAGAAGTGTCTGTTTATGTCCTTTGCCCACTTTTTAATAGGGTTGTTTTATTTTCTCGTTGATTCGTTTAAGTTCCTTATAGATTCTGGATATTACTCCTTTGTTGCGTGCATAGTTTGCAAATAGTTTCTCCCATTCTATAGGTTGTCTGTTTACTCTATTGATAGTTTCTTTTGCTGTGCAGAAGCTCTTTAGTTTAATTAGATCCCACTTGTCAATTTTTATTTTTGTTGCGTTTGCTTTTGAAGACTTAGTCATAAATTATTTGCCTGGACCAATGTCTTAGAAGACTTTTTCCTAGGTTTTCTTCTAGGATCTTTATAGTTTAAATTCTTACATTTAACTCTTTAACATTTACAATATCCTTTTTTTTTTTTTTTTTTTTTTTTTTTTTGAGAAGCAGTTTCACTCTGTTGCCTAGGCTGGAGTGCAGTGGTGCACCCTTAGCTCACCGCAACCTCCGCCTCCTGGGTTCAAGCGATTCTTGTGCCTCAGCCTCCTTAGTAGCTGGGATTATAGGCACGCACCAACACACCCAGCTTATTTTTGTATTATTAATAGAGAAGGGGTTTCACCATGTTGGCCAGGCTGGTCTCGAACTCCTGACCTCAAGTGATCTGCCGCCTCAGCCTCCCAAAGTGCTGGGATTACAGACGTGAGCCACCACGCTCAATTGGTATACTTTGAATTAAATACTGTAAATAAATTTTGGAAAGACTTCTATACTCTTCTCCTCCCTGCAACATTAATATTATTTGTTTGCTTTTGTTTATGAAAGCATGAAAATGCTGTATTCTATTTCTTATAGACATATACGTTTCTGTTTTTGATAGATTACTAAGTCAAGTTTGGTAGAATTGGTTTAATGATTCTACCTTCAGAGAATAAATCTGAGCTGATAGAATTTGAGACTGACAACGCCGTACAGTGATAATACTGGAAAGTAACAGAAGAGATCCCAGATGGTTTCCAAAGCTGGGGTCAGGACCAGCCTAATAAAGCCTGATAGAGTTATGTTCTGTAAGTGAAACGTTACAGTTTAATGCTCAGTGTGGGACAGTGGGGAAACCAGAGCCCTTTTTTTGTTCCTATTGATTTGACTTTTCAAATTTGACTGCATTTTTCTCTTCTCTAACAGAGAGATAACGCCTACCCTGTAAGCTTGATAGATTTGTCATGAGTTGATAGATTTGTCATGAAGATTCCATGAGATAAAGGGTGTGTCCCTGGCTTTGAAAAACTGGCCAAGTTCCAGGTGGAAGAAGAGGAGGAGGGGAGGGAGGGGGCAGAGCAGGAGATGGTGATAGTAACACAGCTGCGCCAGGCATTTCAGTGAGTTCCTAATGCAGCTTCTAGGGTGCATTTGAAATGAGGCACTTCCAGACAGACGTCTTGGGTTCTTCTCACTGAGTCAGAGGTGAAAGATGAGAAGTTGTCATGTTAAACTAATAAGTGACATTAGCAAGGCCAGAAGTTGAAAATAATTCTGCCAGTAGCTTGGGAGCTTCCCCTGCAAAGATTTCCAAGGTCTGCGAGCCAAGAGAGAGCCTTCATTTCTGACAGGAACAGTGGAAAGATCTAAATTAGAAATGGAATAGCCTTTAGAAACCTTCAGGCCCTAAGGGGCTTCACTGAGCATAATTGTCTTTGAATGGAAATATAAGTTTATAATTTGTTAGAAGCAGTTTTTCAAAAGTAAAATAGAGGCATGTAGAGGTTTTTATTGCCTTTCCACCTCCATCATTGAAAGCCTATTTTTGTAGATGTATTATCTTTAAGGTTCGTGTGCCTGGGTAGTGATTGATTTGAGAACACAGTGGGAAAATTTATTGCGCAAATGATATATTTTTGTGACTTTGTTTGGTTTTGATTCCTGGAAAATTTTACCGACTATATAGGTCTGGATATAGTTTTATAGCATTGGTCTTGAATACTCAAAATGAGTCACAAACCTATGGAAATTATAATTTACACAGATTTGGGGATCTGTGTAGTAGGCACAGGTGGTAGAGAACTGGGTGGATGCAGGTAGAGAACTGAAGAACTGCAGGTTTTTATGTGGTTTCTGATATAGCCCAGTTACTTCATTTAGGATAAACTATTGGCTATTTTGTAATTTATAAACTACCTTTTAAAGCAGGGCTCACTTAATGCTGAACATTAAAAATTTTTTTCTCTTTGTTACTGCAAGTGTAATTTCTTCTGAACAATTTTCCCTGTTATTTAAAAAATAATTTAGTTAGTAAGCTAAAAGTGTTAGCATTCATTGAAGTTAGGAATTGGCTCTTCCCTGTAACTTAGGTGAATTTTTTTTTTTTAGACAGGGTCTCGCTCTGTTGCTCAGGCTAGAGTGCAGTGGTACAATCATGGCTCACTGCAGCCTTGACCTCCCAGGCTCAAGTGATCCTCCAGTTTCATTCCCCTCCCACTGAGTAGCTGGGACTACTGGCATGTACCACTGCAACTGGCTAATTTTTAAATAATTTTTACTTTTTTGTAGAGACAGGGTCTCACTTTGTTGCCCAGGCTGGGCTCGGATTCCTGGGCTCAAGTGATCCTCAGGCCTTGGCCTCCCAAAGTGCTGAGATTACAGGTGTGAACCACTGTGCCTGGCCCCTGAAATTTTGAATAAAGGGAGAGAAAATGGTGGCAATGAGATAACAAGAACTTTTGTGTGTTTTCTAACTACTCAAGTAGATGAAACTCAATTAGATAGTTATATCTGAATAAATAGTCAAACATTTATTATGTGCCAGCAATGATACTATTGATAGCTGTATTAGTAATGCTTTTGGCTGAAAGTAACAGTACCTGATTGATACTGACTAGGTGAAAACTGATGATCTTGTATAACAGAAGCATGTAGGTCAGTTGTTCTGGTTTTGCTGCACTAGCTTTACAAAGCCATAGAGACGTAGAGCCTTTCTGCCTCTCTGCTCTACCATTTTGGGTTTTGTCCTTAAGCTTGTCACCTCTTGATCCCATTATCCCTGCTTCAAACGACATTATCTTTTACCGCAAGGAAGGAAGCAGAAGTTAAAGGCTGAGTGGAAAAATGAACAGTTGTTCTCTTATCAGGGAAGAAGATTTTTTTCAGTCCTTTCTAGTACCCCCAGTAAACTTCTCTACACCTGCTAGGGAAACAGAGAAAACAGATATTTAGAGAGTAAGAATCTGATTTTCATGATTGTCTGAGATGAATCATAATTCAGAATTACCCTTCCTAAATAAAAGGGGTGTTTTGTTTGTATGAATGAAAGAGAGGTGGTCGTTGGGTGGAAGAGCCACACTGTGTACGACAGTGGCACGTGCAGCACTTTTAGAGTAGAAAGAGCAAGCTCTGGCCATTAGGGACCCCACTACCTGCTGGTGGAGAGAAGGCCAATAACCAAATGACTATAGTGATCTGTGGAATAACTACAGTGTCAAGCAGGTGACAAATACAACACTATTATAGGAAGATTTGGAGAGAGGCGTGGAGGTTCAAGAAAATCTTGGAGAAGATATTATTTGTGATATTCACTGACATTTTCAATAGGTGTAGATGGACAGGCAGTGGCCTTTAGACCTCTGCAAAGACTGAAGCCCTGGGTTTGTATAGCAGGTGTCCTAGGAGAGTAATCAGTGGGCATATCGGGAAGTATTTGCAGCCCACACATGCCATGGTGGTTGCTGCAGTGCTGCATTAGACAGCAGTAGATGGATGAAAATATAACTTAGTGTCCTCTTCAGACTTGTCTGTTCTGTGCCAGTTGCAGTGCTGGATGCTCCTGCAAATAGACTTATCTTCTCCAGTAGACATGCTGATGTTTTTCCCCTTCATGTTCAACTCATTCAAGGGCCACCCTGGACTGCATTTAAAGTTGAATGTTGAGTTCGTGTGTGTGTCTGACATCTATTATTTGTAACCTATAGAAGCAGGTAGTGTGTTTTATGCAAAAGGAAGTCTCAAAGGACCTTGAGTCACAGCTCCAACTTTCTTAGTGTGATGTGATAATATCATGCAGTTTAATGAACTGTGGTAGGCTTAGAATGCTCATGACTTACATTAGTTTCATTTTGAATGATGTTTAATAAGCATGCCAAGTTATTTTCCATACAATTAGAGAAGTCATTGAGCTAATTTTGCTATATAGGAAGAAATTAAGGAAAAAGACGTGGTGATTGTGAAAGGAATGGAGCTAAGTCTCAGTCTTCTCTGAAGTCTCTATCCAGATAGCTCAGTGCTGCTCCATGCTGGGTCAAGCTGAAATGAGAATGGAGACTCAGATAGAGACGGAATTGAGACACCCAAGTCACCTTTCAAAAAGGGGCATTTGTGGAAAGAAAATCCGTGTAACGAAATGATAAACAATAATATTATTGTTGCTGTAGCACTCAGGGGGTTGGGATGAGATAAGCCTAGTGAATGATGTGGCTGCTAAAAACTTAGTGTCTGTAGCTCTGATCGTTGGTATTTGACTTCTAGAATGAGACAGATGATCATTTTACTCTTCTTTTAGTAAATACGGGGTTTTATGTATGTGATATGTACTTACACATCTCTCTTTAAAAAGGATTTATTTCACACAGTGACTATGCCATTATAATAGCTAATAAAATTAATTATAGTATATATTAATATATATTTTAACTATATTACTTGTGTATTATATATCTAAACTATATATCTGTGTCTATGTCTGTATCTCTAGCTATGTGGACATTTTTCCTGAAGAAAAAAAGATGCATAATATCATAGCTATTTTTGGATGTTGGAGGATTGTCATGTGGAAGAAAGTTTGTCTTTATTCCTCTTGGTAGGAAAGGCTCAGTTGGCAGAGCTATGGAGAGACATTTAGGTTCAGTTCTAAGGAAGAATTTCCTTAGGGTGGTGCCCACAGGTGCAGTGTGGGCTGCTTTAGAGAATTCCTTCATTCCTTAAGACCAGTCTGTTCAAGTCCAGGCCAAGGCAGTGGTTCTCAAGCTTCAGCATGCCTCGGGATTACCTGGAGGGCTTGTTAAACCCAGGTTGCTAGGCCCCACGCCCAGAGTTGTTGATTTAGTAGGGCTGGGACAGGTCCCCAGAATTTGTATTTTTATCTGCTTCTCAGGTGAGGCTGAGGCTGTTGGTCTGGAGACCACACCTTAAGAAACACTGGACGAAGTACAGCATCTCAAACTGCATTGTGTATGGCAGTTATTTGGGGATTTTTGTTAAAACACAAAATCTGATTTGAGTTGGCCTAGAATTGGGCCTGAGAGTCTGCATTTTTAATATATCTACCAGAAAATACCAATGCTTATGGTTCTTGGGTCACAATTCTTGTAATGGGGTAAATAATCCCTTGTCAGTGATGACGAGGCTTGAGGAAATTTAAACATTCAATGGGCTTTTGGGCCAGAGGGTATTCAAAGTCCTATACAACGGCCCGAGCCCCTGTGAAATGATTTTATTTTGGTAAGTCCCTAATGGGGACAAAGAAAAACTTGACTTTTGCCTTTCAAAAAAATTTTTATGGTAAAATGCCCTTTTCTTACAATTATCACACCATCATTACTAGCATTTTATGACCCTTCTCTGCAGGTCTTTAAATAAGAACTCATTTAAGTCACTCTATGAGCTGTTGCCCCTTAGGAAAATGCCTCATTGATTGAGTCTACCACTGAGCTTTAAATGGAAATGACCTTCATTTTAAAAATTTAATTGAGCTTTGATATTTACTTGCACATTTGGTTATTTCTCATAAATGCTCCTATCAAAGAATTTTGAGAGTTTAATACCATTATGTCCACTCAGTGTGCTTTCTAATGATGCCCCTAGGGTTGTGGCTATTTAAGGATTACAATAAATCAAGAGAATACTAATCTCTTAAAAAATAATGTGGATCTGTATCCATTGTTTGGGTAATGCAAATTTGCATTAAGAAAACAAAATGTCCCCCAAGAGGATATGCATGTTTCCTTATTAAGAGCCAAGTGAATATTTCATTCTGTTTTCTCCTATTTGCTCCTTATGAGTAAGCTGTGTTTTGCCTTTGTTAGCTTCAAAGTTTGCTCTCTAAGGCCTCTTATTTGAGCTTCTCTTTGATTTTAATCCTGTGAGTTTCCATTGCTGTTTAGGTTTTCTGGCATTGAGGGGATATTCTCCTAGAAGCACAAGCAGTTCATAGACCAACTGGAAGTACACGATGAAGAGCTCAAAAAAGAAAAGCTGGTTATTAATAGCTCTTTAACTTATTGATATGTTATTTTTCTCATACAAAGAGAAGAAAACCAGCATTTGCCTGTATATGTGCCAGGCACTTCACACCAGTGTATCATTTAATTCTTTAAACAGCCATATGGTCCAGGTGATATAACTGTATTACAGAAAAACTGACTCAGGGAGGTAAACTAACTTAATATCTCACAGCTAGTAAGTGATCAAATCAGGATTTGAACCTATGACAGCTTGCCTTTAAAGCTGTTTAGCTGCTTTTTATACAATGAGGCTTCTTAATACAAACAGTAAATTGTTTGGAATGCAGATGTTTCCACACCCTGTGCGAGTGGCCTGACAGCAGAAGGTTTTGAATGAGAGAGGGAGAAAATAAATGTCCTGGTCAGTTAGTATCTCTTTAGTTTCTTATCCAGCAGCCTTCAACAAATTCTGTATTAGCCTGTGCTATAAAAAGCAAGTGAAGATAGATGCCCAGTTGGCAGGAGCATCCCCAGATTGAAGCGTTTGAACACGTGAAGAACACTCTGTGCTGGTTATTAAGCCATTATCTCTTGGCTCCAAATCCACCCTTCATATTTTGTTTGTGACACTGGGGCTGAGGCTCTAAAACCATGTTTCTCCTTTGCCGGCTTCTTCCCTATAGTTTCTGTCAACAGAAGGTTCTAGAGGGAGGCTGCTTGGCTGGAAGAGGAAGACTGGACATGCTTATCCTGTTTGCCTCCTTTCCTGAAAGTATCCCCTTAGCATCAGTGGATTTTTCTTCTTTATTTAAAAACAGACTTTATTTTTAAGAGCAGTTTTAGGTTCACATCAAGATTGAATTAGAAAGTACAGAGATTTCCCATATCCCTGTCCCTACACATGCGTAGACTCCTTTGTTATTAACATCTGCCAGCAGAGAGTACATTTGTTGCAGTCGATTAACCTATGTCATATTATTATCACCCAAAGTCCATGGTTTACTTTAGGGTTCCTTCTTGGTGTTGTACATTCTGTGGGTTTATGCAGATTTATAATGCCATGTGTCCTAGTCCATTTTATGCTGCTGTAATAAAATACCTGACACTGGGTAGTTTGCAAAGAATTAAATTTATTTCTCACAGTTCTAGAGGCTGGGAAGTTTAAGATCAGGCAGTGGCGGGTGTGGTGGCTAGTAAGGGCCAAGTCTCTGCTTCCAAGATGGCACCTTGAAGGCTGCATCCTCTGGAGTGGAGGAATGCCGTTCTTCCCATGGCAGAAGAACAGAAGAGCAAGAGGGAGTGAACTCATTTCCTTGAGGGCCCCCCCGCCATCCATTTTTTTGGATTTAGAGTTTGGCGCTATTGCCCAGGCTAGACTTAAGTAGTAGTATCTCAGCTCACTGTACCCTCCACCTCCCAGGCTCAAGCAATCTTCCCACCTCAACCTCCCAAGTAGCTGGGACTACAGGTGTGCACCACCACACCAGGCTAATTTTTGCATTTTTTGTAGAGATGGGATTTTGCCATGTTGCCCAGCCTGGTCTCAAACTCCTGAGCTTGAGTGATCTGCCCACCTAGACCTTCCAAAAATGCTGGGATTGCAGGTGTGAGCCATCATGCCCAGCCTCCATGAGCCCTTTTTACATGACATTAACCCATTCATGAAGGTAGTGCCCTCATGACCTAAACACCTCCCATTAGTCCCCACCTTCCAACACTGTTCCATTGGGGATTGTGTTTTCAATATGTTAATTTTGAGGGACACATTCAAACCATTGCACCATGTATTTACTATTATAGTATTACAGAAGGTAGTTTCACTGCCCTAAAAATTATTTCATCAGCAGCTGTTCTACACCCAGCAGGAGTGTTTTGTTTTCAATGATTGATTCTGGTTTCTTACTTTTCCCCAGCAATCTCTTAAAGCCATCTCTAGTGGGGGGCTGCCCCCTCATCAGGGGTCTGGGTTCTTCCCCAGTCCCTACTCTTCCTCCCAGCCCTAGGGCTGGTGGCTGTTCCTACCTCCTCTGTGACATCTCAGGGTTTCCTTTGTGTCTTTTAGTACTCTAATATCAATTTAACTATTTCTTATTTTAAATTCTGTTAAAATAATTTGTGATTTCTGTTTTCCTGACTAGATCCTGACCAATACTCTTTGGGAGAGTAACCTCTAAGCTACATTGAAGCATGTACTGTGAACAGATATTGCCCAGTGCTGACATAAGGGAGTTAGGCAGAAGTTGTAGAAGAACTAGAGGTTCATAGTTTTATAGCATGAGTCACTGCTGGGATAGCATGTCAAATATGAGGGAAACAAACAGACAAACAAAAAACAGGAGAAAGCAGCCAAATGAGAGAAGCTGTGTGTTCTAGCAACAGCTTTTCTAATAGGTTTGGGAGTACTACTTTCTCTGGACCTCAGTTTCCTCACCTTTAAATCTTAGGTAATAGTGATTGTGAAGTTAAATGAAATTAAGAGAATTGAAAGTACTTGTAAAAAGTATAAGGCCTTGAATTCAAATAAACGATTGTGACAATGAAATAATATTGTAATGCCATCATCAGACTTGATCTCTGTCTATATAAAGGAGTTTGCTGGGACCATAGGGGTTGTTAAGTGATAATAGGGTGAGGGGTTATGGAGACCAAGCCATCATGAGGGCCACTCTGTCATGGCATCCATTGTGCCAGGAGCATGTGCTGTCTCATTCAACTTTACCATTTTATAGTGGACAAACTAGTTTGTTGATGTTGAGAATCAACTTTCTTAATTATTCTCCATTTCTGTCAGTGTGAAGGATTCTACTGTCATTGTCTCATTCTTTCTGTTGTTCTCAGTCATCCTCGATTGTGAAACAGGCACATGGTAAGTAGTGGTGTTAGGCTGTCAGATTCTTCTGGGGGGAGTTTTAGCATACTAAGAGACCATGAGTTTTAATGAAAACCTTTATGGAGTTGGTGACTCTGTTTTTTGAAATTCTATAAAGTCATTCTGTTATCAGTAATCCACCAGAAAAATAAAGGGCCTCATCCTCATTAAACTCTGCATATAACCAAAAGTCTTCTGTGGTAGATCAGGAGTAAAACCAGGTACCGATCATTGATGACCAAATTTTGTGGGTTTTGAGGCACCAATGGATAATCCCTTGTAGTATTAATATCTAGGCCAAAAGGAATGTTCACAGACTCATAAACATGTGTCACCAACTCAACAAAGTCAGAAATGTTAGAGGGCTCAGTCCTTGGAGCAGAATGACAGGAATCTGTATTGGCATTCATCTCTTCAGTTTTTAGTTCAAGTTACTGAAACACCAGAATCTTTTCCTCATTTGTGAAGCAGTGATGATAATATCTATTTGCTTATTCCTCAGGGACATTTTGAGGGTTGACTGAGATCAAATGTGAAAGGACTTGGTGAATTGTAAGGCACCTAGAAAATATAATGGAATTAAAGGATTAATGCATTACAGGAAGGCTTGGAATCCCACCCCCACCCCCAAGACCTGACATTTAGCTTCAGGGGCAATTTGGGGATTTCTGGACAAATCCAGCAGTCACAGGGGCCTATAAGACAGTCTGTGTAGAGGCGCTGAAGGCCTGCTTCTCGCAGCTATGTGTTTCTTGGCTGGTCATCTGAGGAAGATGAATGATAAGGGAGGCCCAGGCCCCCACACAGAGTGAGCTGCTTGAGGGCAGTGACAGGGAACGTGTCTGTAAGAGTGCCGAGGGGTATGGTTAAAGGGAATTTTGAGGCACTTCGGATTTGTGTGACATGTCAAAAGCTGACAGGCTGTGCTGGAAGCAGCAGTTAGAGATGGAGTTGCCAAATCGCATTCAGTGAGGTACAGTGGCATGGCTGACAGCAAAATTCTGTGAGGGTGCAGTTATATCCTTCCATGAGAGGGGCAGACAGTATCATTCTCCATGTGCAGAGAAGATACTGCCTTACTCAGACATTACAGATTCCCAAAAGATTCTTTGACAATTACTGTAATTTTACAAGTACCACAATACTGTGCAAATATTGGCTAACATATAGTGGTAATATCTTAAAGACTTTCTCGACAAGGGTATTTTCGTATATAAATACATACCATGCAATTGTTCTTCTACAATTTGATGTTTTTTTATATCTGGTTTTATGCAGAATACAGGAACATATGTTTCATTGTTTAAGATGAAGACATAATTTGTTTGAATTTTATGAGCTTCATCCTTTAACAGCTAGATTCTGTGTTTCTTTAATAGTTGAAGTGAACTCATAATGAAATATCTTAAGTCTAGGGTACTTTTTCCTAGAATCCTGGGAATGTGTAGCAAGGAGCGGCAGTTTTGACATTTCTCACATTACCTTGGACTTTCCAAGGATCCCAGCTCTTAGGTTTTGAATGTGATGGCCTTTTGGTCTCTGATCTGAAGTGATCAACTCCTCAGATGAGGTTGGTATGGACTAGACTGACTGACCTGTTTATTACTGCTATTTAAGATTAAGCTATGATTTTTAGAAAGTTTCTTGTGAATCGTTTTTAGCTACTACCACAAAAAGCCTTTGCCAATGGTTATTTATTAATAAAAGCAACCACTGTCTAAGGGTCTTTTCCACTTTTAAAAAATAATAAAATGAAGATAGATTCAGAAAACAATCCTTAATTAAAAAAAATTAAAGTTAGAAAAGAAAAAGATGGATGAGGAAAGGTTTATAGGATTCAGGCTGTTTATTCTGGAAGAGAGAAGAATGCAAGATGACTTAATCTGTGTTTTGAAATATTTGAGGAGGTTATAGACTGCACCATCTCTCTAGAGGACTGAGAAAAGAGGAAATGGGTTTACATTTCAGCAAGAAGGAATGACACAGGAAGAACATTTTGAGTATGATGAAAAACTAAAATAGGACACTTAGGGAAGATTAAAAAACAACTTTTTATTTTGAAATAATTATAGATTCACAGGAAATTGCAAAGAAACATACAGGGAGATTTCATGCCTAAAGGAAGTTTTTGAATGCTCTCTCTAGAGAAAAATCTGGCTTGGAGAAAGGCAGTTGGACCAAATGACATAGTAAGCTGGAAGTTTTCTGGCTCTTTCACAAATCTGTGCATCTTATGCTCTTCCCATAACATGTTTCCCATTAAAAGTCACTGACTGTCCGGGTGCGGTGGCTCACGTCTGTAATCCCAGCACTTTGGGAGGCCAAGGCGGGTGGATCACCTGAGCTCAGGAGTTTGAGACCAGCATGACCAACATGGTGAAACCCCGTCTCTACTAAAAATACAAAATTAGCCAGGCGTGGTGGCAGGTGCCTATACTTCCAGTTACTCGGGAGGCTAAGGCAGGAGAGTTGCTTGAACCTGAGAGGTGGAGGTTGCAGTGAGGCAGGATCGCTCCACTGCACTCCAGCCTGGGCAACAGAGCGAGACTCTGTCTCAAAAAAAAAAAAAAAAGGTCAGTGACCACCACAGACGAGGGCACCTTCTGATGTGTGAAAAGTATGTTTCTTGTCATGAAAATTTAAGGAGAACCAGCACTTGCTGAATATTTTCCAAATTTGGGCTCCATTGTGAGAGGTGCTCAGACAAAATTTGCCAGGTAGATTTTATTGTCTTCATTTTGTAAGCATAGTAACTAGGGTTCAGAAATATTAAACTGCTTTCCAACAATCTAGGCTCAGAGTAGGTGCACCTGGGATATGAGTTTGCACCAGAGGAATTGTTCTTTCTACTATATGATGCTACTAGAGAACAATTCATATTTTTCCTAAGAAGAAAATTGTCTTCTTACTGCACACTACTCTGCATGCCATCCTCCCCTATCTCTGTCCCATTCCAGTTGCTCCCAAGGTGCCAGTGATTTAGAAAATCCCAACATGAAACAGAGTGTAATTATGATTTTCGTTATGTAGATGAGAAAATAGAGAAGTTCTGTGGTGTCTCCAGGCCCAGGAAGAAGCAATTTCTTTTCTGGTGGCATCAGAGATTCTCTTAACTATATTTATTTAGTGTTGATAACACTTTTTTTGGAGTAATTTCATCTAGTTGCATAGTTTCATGTCTTTTGGTGTTCTCATTGCCTTGAATGCCATCCTTTTTTTTCTATCTGTACAGGTACTAAAAATGGCCTTTTATTTTTATTCCATTTGTTTTCTCCTTTGTCTCAGTCACAGTGTAGCCCTTTGCTAGAAGAGCCCCGTGGAGTTAGCTAAATTGTAGCTGTCTCAGGGCTTTCCATGTTAGATTTTTGTATCATTGAGGTTTTGAGTCTTACCTGGGATAGAGACCATCTTGTTCATCTCTATTTTTAACAATACTTACTTTTAATTTTTGGCATTAAAAATTTGAACTCTCATTTTAAGATGTTGAAAAATACAGAAAAACATTTTTTAAAGAATATAAAGTAAGCCATAATCCCATTGTTTGGCAACAAATACCGGTAACCTTTTAATATATTTTCAGTTTCTTTTATATGGCAGAAATTTATATGTAAATAAACAGTGACCAGATAGACATTGTTTTCTCTCATTTCTGAGCATTTTTTTATGTTACTAAATATTCATTGAAAGCATTTAAGTTATTTACCTTTAAAATAAATATAAAGTGTATATAAGCACAAATTTAAAGTAGTACAGAAAAGTATGAAATACACATTGTCTTAACCCTAAAAGGTTATTGCCTTTAACAGTTTCTCACTACTCTTCCTGATAACAAATTTTAAAAGTACCTACACAAGTGGAATATTATACTTGTTGTGTATCTTGCATTTTATACTTGTTGTATATCTTGCATTGATTTTCGCATGAATGTTCATCAGGGATATTGGCCTGAAATTTTCTTTTTTTGTTGTGTCTCTGCCAGGTTTTGGTATCAGGATGATGCTGGCCTCATAAAATGAGTTAGGGAGGAGTCCCTCTTTTTCTATTGTTTGGAACAGATTGGAATAGTTTGGAATAGATTGGAATAGTTTGGAATAGTTTGGAATAGACTGGAATAGTTTGGAATAGATTGGAATTGTTTGACGACTTCTTTTCCTATTTGAATACCTTTTATTTCTTTCTCTTGCCTAATTGCCATGGCCAGAACTTCTCATATTATGTTGAATAGGAGTGGTGAGAGAGGGCATCCTTGTCTTGTGCCCAAAGGGAATGCTTCCAGCTTTTGCCCATTCGGTATGATGAGTTTCTGCTGAAAGATCTGCTGTTAGTGTGGTGAGCTTCCCTTTATATGTGACCTGGCCTTTCTCCCTGGCTGCCCTTAACATTTTTTCCTTCATTTTGACCTTGGAGAATCTGACAATTATGTGTCTCAGGGTTGATCTTCTCGTGGAGTATCTTAGTGGTGTTCTCTGTATTTCCTGAATTTGCATGTTGGTCTGTCTTGCTAGGTTGGGGAAGTTATCCTGGGTAATATCCAGAAGTGTGTTTTCCAGCTTGTTTCCATTCTCCCCATGTCCTTCAGGTAGGTACTCCAGTCAATCATTGGTTCGGTCTTTTTACGAGATCCCATATTTCTTGGAGGCTTTGTTATTCCTTTTCATTCTTTATTCTCTAGTCTTGTCTGCATGCCTTATTTCAGTAGGGCGGTCTTCAAACTCTGATATGCTTTCTTCCGCTTGGTTGATTTGGCTATTGATAGTTGTGTATGCTTCACGAAGTTCTCGTGCTGTGTTTTTCAGCTCCATCAGGTCATTTATGTTCCTCTCTAAACTGGTTATTCTAGTTAGCAGCTCCTGTCACCTTTTATCAAGGTTCTTAGTTTCTTTGCATTGGGTTAGAACATGCTCCTTCAGCTCAGTGTAGTTTTTTATTACCCGTCTTCTGAAGCCTACTTCTGTCAGTTTGTCCATCTCATCCTCCGTCTAGTTCTGCACCCTTGCTGGGGCGACGTTGCGATCATTTGGAGAAGAGTCATTCAGGCTTTTTGGGTTTTCAGTGTTTTTTCCTTGATTCTTTTTCATCTTCGTGAGTTTGTCTAGTTTCGATCTTTGAACCTGCTAACCCTTGGATGCGGTTTTTGTGGGGCTTTTTTTTTTTTTTAATTGTTGATGCTGTTGTCGTTGCTTTCTGTTTGTTTTTCTTTCAATGGTCAGGTCCATTTTCTGCAGGGCTGCTGCAGTTCCCTGGGGGTTCATTTCAGGCCCTATTCATCTGGCTCGCTCCCGCGTCGGGAGATGTCACTCAAGGAGGCTGGAGAACAGCAAGGATGGGTGCCTGCTCCTTCTTCTGGTATCTCTGACTTCGAGGGGCACCAACCTCAAGCCAGTAGGATCACTCCTGTATAGGGTTCCTGACAACCCCTGTTGGACGGTCTCACCCTGTTGGGTGGCATGGGGAACAACAGGACCCGTTTAACAAAGCACTTTGTCCCTTGGTGGAAGGGGTGTGCCTCACTGTGGGGAAACACAGTCATCTGGGCTGCCCAGATTCCTCAGAACTACCAGGAGGAAAGGCTAAGTCTGCTGGTCCGCAGAGACTGCGGCCACCCCTCCCACTAGGAGATTAGGTCCAAGGAGATCCGTATTCTGTCCCTGAGCCTCTGGCTGGAGTTATTGGAGTTCCTGCAGGGAAGCCCCACCCAGTGAGGATCAGGCCTGAGGAGGCACTCTGGCTGCAGTCTGCCACAGCCGGTGTGTTGGGCTGTCGGGGACACGTCTTGGGACCAAGCCGTCCAGCCTCCCTGGCTCCAGCAGGGGAAAAGCATGGCCTGGAGCTATAGTGATAGATGCTGCCTTTCTCCTGCCCAGGGAGCTTAGCATGTTAAGCAGTGTGAGTCCCAGTGCTGGCTGCTGCCCCTCCCTTAAGGAGCTCATATGGCTTAGACAGCAGGCAGCCGCAGCTGTGGTGCTGGTCACCCTTCCCCCTGGGAGCTCAGTAGTCTTAAGCAGATTCCAGCTGAAGGGCTATTGAGAATCCGTGTGGCTCTGGAGTTGGGACGCTAGGCCCCGGTGGAATGCGTTCACGAGTGGGATCTTCTGATCCATGGGTTGCACCATTCCGTGGAAAAGGCACGGATTCCCTGGCTGGGTAGCATGTTCACTTACTGCTTCCCTTGGTTGGGGGGAGAGGGTTCTCCTGGCTCTCAGGTGGGCCGCCATACCACACTGCGCTTCCTTCCTCTCCGTGGATCATGCCAGCCTCCTAGTGAGTTCTGATGAGAGAACGTGGATACCTTGGTTGCCAGTGAAGGATTCACACGCTTACTATGGTTCTTTTTGATTGGAGCCTCAGATCGCCACTGTTTATAGTCGGCCATCTTGGCCCTGCCCAACAATGTTTTGATACCAGTTTTTTTTTTTTTTTTTTTGAATGAGGATGACCATCTTTTCATATGTCTATTGGTCATTTGTTACTTATTTCTGTATACTACCTTTTTATATCTCGTGTGCATTTTTAATTAAACTTCGACATGAGAAATTTATTGGTATTCTTATTTTTCCAAATCATTGGCTATATTTCACATTATAAAACTCAGCCTGATGGGCATGAAATGGTCTTGGTACATTTTCCTGATGTGGCTGAATATCTTGTTGTATGTTTATTGATGTTTCCATTTGTTCTTTTGAAAATTGCCTACTTAACGTCTTTTGCCCATTTTTCTGTTGATCATCAAAAATCTTTAAAAATGTGAAAATCTAGGATGTAGAAGAGTCTGGAAATTTTCATCTTCAAAACTTTATGGTTAATTTCTTGAAGCTTTAGCTAGCAAAAGTGATCCTAAATTCAAGTGGCAGAGATAATGCAGATGCAAGAATGGATAGTTATCCTATGATGACAGAGTATTTTAGTGGTCAACCTAAATAATTCAATTCTTCAGATTCACTTTTGCTTATATCGTTGATATCATAACAACATGGTGGGACTTTGATCAGAGTTCTGTACTGTCAGAAAGGGCCCAGTGGCTATTTTCTTAGAGAATAGTCCCAGTAGCAAGAAATAAGAACAACAATATAATATGAACACACGTAGAGATCTAATGTACATGAGGCCTGAGTTAACAACATTGTATTGTTTTGGAGATTTTTTAATAAAATAAATAAACCTATTTATTTTAAATAAGTAGATTCTAGCTGCTTTTGTCACACACACAGTGAGATGATAGATATATTAATCTGCTTCACTATAGTAGCCATTTTACTATATATGTATCCTATAACATGTTGCACACCTCAAATATACACAACAAAATTTATAAAACAAAAAAAGAACAACAGTGTAAGTCTTTGTAACCATTAAATACCATGCCCTACCAGGATATGTAATTTTCTGTGGGAAATATTCACAGTAGGAAAGTAAAGCAAATTATAAATATATGTAGTATGATGTAATTTTGTTTAATAAAAACATGGTAAGCAAAGTATAAAGAAAGATCTGGTAGCATGTGGGGGAGGGATAGCAGAAAAATGTTCAAATGTTAATAATGGTTATCTTTGATAGCATTCCTTGCGATTTTTAATATTATTACAAGTGCTTTTTGTTACTTTCTACACTTGATGTAATATACACTGCTTTTAAAATTCACAAAAATTACAAAAATGAAGATAGTAGAATTTTGATGGGCAATAAACATTTCTTGAGTTCTTGGAGAACATGGACTATTGTGTTATTTGTAAATGCCTTTGCTTTGTCCATAGTTCTCTTTCACCACAAGATTAATTATACCTTTATAAGCTGTGCCACCTTTTTTCCACATGGGCTTTGTTATTACTCAACAACAAAGGAAACACAAAATAAATATAAATACATGTAGTATGATGCAATTTTGTTTAATAAAAACATGGTAAGCAAAGTATAAAGAAAGAGCAAAGTGTAAAGCAAAGTATAAAGAGCAGGGCTGATACATAATAGATGCTCACTGAGTCATTTTGTAGTGACTCATTAAGCTATTTACCATTTTCCCTCTGCAGATAATTGTGCGTGAAAATCTTTACATCTGTGGCCTTTCTTCTTTGTCTGACTGATTGTGTTAGATAAATACCTCAAAGTGAGATTTCTGAGCAGAGTGTATGACCATATCACAAATATTTTAACAATGCCTCTTTAATTTACTTTTCTTATTTTAGGGAGAGTGGCTAATTTCCTCCGGTACAGCAAGTGTTGTTTTTCAGATTTTATTCTACCACATACTTTATTTTACAGTTTTTATAAAATAGCCTGCTTTAAAAAAATCAATGTATTATAGATTTTCATGTTTTGCATATTTTATGTAAATATCCTTTTCAGTAGCTATATAATATTTCAGGGGTTTCTTTGTACTCAGACATTAAACATTGGAGTCACCTTAGGGTTTATTTCTTGAATCTCCTCCCGTATTTATTTATACTCACTTCCCAGGTGATTTCCTTGTTCTTATGGGCTTTATATGTCATCTATATGTTGATGAAAATAAATTTCTATCCCTTGCCCAAGCCTAAACTTCATACTAGCATATCCAACTGCCTACTGGACATCTCCATTTATAAGCCTAGTAGCCTAATAAGCATAACCTCAGACTTACCAGGCCTCACACTGAAGTCATGAACTTCAGCCCAACCCCCATGCCAGGGCAAAACCTTGTTGTTACCTCTTATTCCTCTCTTGCCTCATCCCATCCATGTTCAGTCTGTCAGTGGATCCTGTGAGTCCAGTCTTGAGGATAGTTCCAGGATCTGATCACTTCTCACTGCCTCTTTTGCTGCCACCACCTCTGGCCTGGATAATTGCAGCAGCCTCCCAGTTAGCCTTGCTGTGTCCATCCTTGTTTTCCCCTTCTGTCTGCTCTCAACAGAGGAGCTAGTGATTCTCTTAGGACAGAATAAATCATTTAGGTTTTCTTCACATGGTCCTGAAGAAGCTTCCTACCTCACTCAGTGTAAAAACCAAAAAAAAAAAAAAAAAAGTCCCTAAAATGGCCTAGAAGGCACTGTGTGTGGCTGCCTGCTGCTCTCTGACCCCACTTCATTCCTCCTGTACTGGCTAACTCTATACTAGCCTCTCTAGCCTTCTGGATATGCCTTCAGCATCTCAATCAGACTCCTTCTCAGAGCCTTCATTCTTGGCCGCTGTTCCTTCCAGAATGTCCTTCCCCCACTTATCTTTCTAGTTTCTTTCCTTACTTCCTTCAGGGTTCTGTGTACTTTCTCATTGGGGTCTTCCCTGGCCAATCTGTTTTAAATGACAGCCCTACCTAGGTAGCCCTGTCCTTCTTAGCAGGCTGTATTTTTCTCTCTAGCACTTCTCACCATCTGGCATAGCATACACTGCTTGGTTTATTTTTAATCTCCCTCTGCTAGAATGTAAGCTCCATAAAAATGGGATTTTGTTCACTGCAGCATCCCCAACACCTAGAGCAGGGCTGATACATAATAGATGCTCACTGAGTCATTTTGTAGTGACTCATTAAGCTATTTGCCATTTTCCCTCTGCAGATAATTGTGCGTGAAAATCTTTACATCTGTGGCCTTTCTTCTTTGTCTGACAGATTGTCTTAGATAAATACCTAAAAGTGGGATTACTGAGCAGAGTGTATGACCGTATCACAAGTATTTTAACAATACCTCTTTAATTTACTTTTCTTATTTTAGGGAGTGTGGAAAATATTGTTTTTTTTTTTTTTTTTTTTTGAGACGGAGTCTCGCTCTGTCGCCCAGGCTGGAGTGCAGTGGCGGGATCTCGGCTCACTGCAAGCTCCGCCTCCCGGGTTCACGCCATTCTCCTGCCTCAGCCTCCCAAGTAGCTGGGACTACAGGCGCCCGCCACTACGCCCGGCTAATTTTTTGTATTTTTAGTAGAGACGGGGTCTCACCGTTTTAGCCGGGATGGTCTCGATCTCCTGACCTCGTGATCCGCCCGCCTCGGCCTCCCAAAGTGCTGGGATTACAGGCGTGAGCCACCGCGCCCGGCCGAAAATATTGTTTTTATTAATAGATTATGTTATGATTGATCGGATCTAAATTTTGTCTAAGCTATTTAACTACCTTTAAGACCTTGGGCACCCTCATTAACTTCTTTGAGCTTTAGTTTATATTTCTGTTAAATGAAATAAATATTTAATTGAAAGGGTTATTGTTGATCTAAAAAAGAATTAAACATTGCAAAGCTTTTGGCATATAGTATCTGTCAATAAATAGCAGTCCCCTTTCTCCATCCTGGCCTTCATTCCACTAAATATTTGTTTTCTTGAAACAGTTTTGTCTTAGGTAGGATTTAACAATATACAGTCATGCACATATGCCTGCTCACTCAGGCACATGCACATGTATATGTCTAAACATGCACCTGCATATTAGCTTTCAAAATCAGTCTATATTGTTCTGGTCAGTTTTAAATTGATAATACTTACTCTGATGCTAGCCACGGCACACCATTCCTGACGAATATTGGTAACCAAGGACGTGTTAGTAGTTCAGCAATGCGTTGACTCAGTTACCTCTCCCCACTTCTCCTTTATTGAATTTTTACTTATGCATAGGTTTTTTTCTGGCACAGTTTGGTGTGGGAATATGTTATTTCTCATAATTGGATTTAACTGTTTCATCTGTTATTAATTGGTTGTGATTAATTTCAAAGACCTTGCAAGCACTTTTGTATTTACCAATATATTTGTCATTTCTGATGCTCTATTCATTTGTAAAGATCTAAGTTTCCATCTGGTTGTGTTGCCTTTCAACCTAAAGAAGAACTTCCTTTAGCATATTTGAAATGGGAATCTGGAGGCCACAAATACCCTTAGTTTCCTTTTCACTTTCATTCTTTGAAGGATATTTTGCTGAACATAGAATTTTTGGCTGACAGTTTTTTTTTTTTCCGCTTCCAGTATAGTCATGAGCTGCATAACATTTCAGTTAATTATGGGGGGTGGAGGGTTGGAGGGGACTCTACATATACAATAGTGGTCCTATAAGATTATGATTACTGTACCTTTTCTATGTTTATTTATTTGTGAAGGAAATAGGTTTAATTGACTCACAGTTCTGCATTGCTGGGGAGGCCTCAGGAAACTTACAATCATGACTGAAGGCAAAGAAGAAGCAGGCACCTTCTTCACAAGACAGCAGGACAGATGGAGTCCTTTTCTATGTTTAGATACACAAGTACCATTCTGTTTTAATTGCCTATTCACTACAATAATGGTAATGTCCTGTACAGGTTTGTAGCCTTGGAGCAATAGGCAATACCATATATCTTAGGCGTGTAGTAGGCCATACCATCTAGGTTTGTGTAAGGACACTGTGATACTCATACAAAGACAAAACCACCTAATCATGTGATTCTCAGAATGTATCCCTATTGTTAAGTGATGCATAACTGTACTTTAAAGATGTTATTGCACTGTCGTTGAGCCTTCATAATTTCTGATGAGAAGAGCATTGTATTTCAAATTATTTTTCCCTGTATATAGTGAGCCGTTTTGTCTGGTGAATTACAATATTTTCTTTTTATCTTTGGTTTTCATCTGTTTGACTGTATTTTGTGTAGGTTTTCTTCTTTTACAGTTTACTTCTCTGTAGGGTTCTTGAGCTCCTTGAATCTGTATGTCTTAGCCTGTTTTGTGTTGCTCCAAAGGAATATCTGATGGGGCTGGGCAGTTTATAAAGAACATGTTTATTTAGCACATGATTCTGATGACTGAAAAGTTCAAGATTAGGCATCTGTATCTGGTGAGGGCCTCAGGCTGCTTCCACTCATGATGGAAGGTGAAGGGGAGCTGGCATGTGCAGAGATCACATGGCAAGAGAGGCAGGGAGAGGTGCCAGGTTCTTTTAATAAACCAGCTCTTGTGGAAACTCATAGAGCTAGAGCTCACCCACCCCTGAGGGACAGCGTCAATCCATTTATGAGGGATCTGCCTCCATGACCCGAACACCTTCCAGAAGGCCCCACCTTTCACATTGGGGATCAAGTTTCAACATGAGGTTTGGTGGGCACAGAACGCCCAGACTATAACAGTATGTTTATGTCTTTTACCAGATTTTGGAAGTTACAGACTATTATTTCTTCTAATATTGTTCCCCCTAGTTTGTCTCCTTTTTCCCTGTGACTCTAATTACCCACATGTTAGATTTTGAACAATTGTTCTACAAGTCTTCAAAGTCTGTTTATTTCTCCATTTTTTCTTTCTTTTTTTTTTTCAGATTGCATGGTTCAGGTTCACTGAATTTTTCCTTTGCATGTCTTTTCTCCTTAGAGTGGGTCATATTTTACTTGTTCTTCATCAACCTATTAGATTATGTATCCTGGGCATGGTGAGAGTTATTTTGTGGAGATGGTGGATTTTTTTACATTGCTTTCAAAAATGTTGATGTTTTGTTAATAGGCAGTTTACTTAGACTCAAATTGTAGCCTGTCATGCTTGCAGTGGACAGTGGCTTTAGTCTCAGATAAATTCTTTAAACCTTAGCTCCTATCTGCATTCAGTTTACCTTGTACATTCATGGTTCAGAAGTCAGCTAGAATCATGCTTAGTTTATATACAGAATTAGGGTTTGCTTCTTTGGCATTGTCTCTTCTATAGTTCTCTAGTCATTCTCTGATTTCCCCAGGCTTTTTTCCCTGGTTCCTGCAGCTAGAAAGAGGATGTGTTTTTCTATCAAAATTTTGCTTGCTGCTGTGTCTGTGTCTGATCTCAGGGTAGAGCTGCAGAATAAATATATAAATGAACAGAGAGGTCACTCTTTACTGGTTGCTTGCTCCAACTTGGACACTTCCCCAAAGTCAGTTTCCTTTTTTTCAGTCTCCAGAGCCCTCAGGTAGTGTTTGTTTGTTTTTGTTTGGGTGGAGAGAGTGTGGTGTTCATATGTTGTGAAATCCATTAGCTCATTCCTACACGACAAAAAGAGAATGTCCCTTTCAATTATTTTTAATTGAAATCCTTATTGAGACAGTTGTGGATTCAAATACAGTTCTAAGAAATAGTACAATGAGATCTCATGTACTCTTTACCCAGTTACCTATAATGGTAACATTTTATAAATTTCTAGTATGGTATCAGAACCAGGCTTTTGACATTGATACAATCTTCCGATCTTAATCAGATTTCCCCAGTTTTGTTAATACTTGTACTCATTTATATATGTGTGAGATTTAATTCTATACAATTTTATCACATGTGTAGGTTTGTGTAGCCACCATCACAGCATCCCAACTATTTTTGGAAAGCATAGGAAGTGTTACAGTTTGAAAGGACTGAAAGCCTCTGGCCATGCTACCCACTTGAGATGATTAAATATTTTAAAGTAGTTAGAACAATGACATATGTTTATTTTTTTTAATAACCACCTTTCCAGATTGTAAACTTCATTGAGTACAAGGTTCATTTCATGGTTTTCTTTTTTTTGGGGGGTGTTATTTTTTTTGGAGATGGAGTTGTGCTGTTGCCAAGGCTGGAGTGCAGTGGCACAATATTGGCCCACTGCAGCCTCTGCCTCCCGGGTTCAAGCGATTCTCCTGCCTCAGCTTCCAGAGTAGCTGGGATTACAGGCGTGCACCACCACACCTGGCTAATTTTGGTATTTTTAGTAGAGATGGGGTTTCACCATGTTGGCCAGGCTGGTCTTGAACTCCTGGCCTCATGTGATCTGCCTGCCTTAGCCTCCCAACACGCTGGGATTACAGGCGTGAGCCACTGTATCTGGCCCATTTTACGTTTTGACTATATCTCTCACCACACTACTGCCCAGTGCTTTCTTCCGTACTTTGTGCAGAGATGTTTACCTCATGTTTAAAATACAAATACGTGTTGCCAAATAGAATTGAAAAGTAGCAGTGTCTTAGGTTTCTTCTCTGCTTTTTAACTGAGACTAGTATTTTTCAAAGTTTACATCCTTATTATGTTTACTTTCAAATATAGTACATGAAAGTACTTTATAGATGTTTGATCTTTTGAAGGTGGTGTTGCCGCCTTTGATTAAAAAAGTAATTAGGTGAGCATTTCCTTATAGAGGTAACCATCAAAGCTTGAAAGCACATATTTCCTTTCAACTATTACATTTGTCGATGTGTTACCCCCATCCCCCATCAATCTGCTTCTATCTCTGACTCTATCTCTTTCTCTCAAAATGTTATGAAAGACAGCCTTTGTGAACTTATTTATGTTAGAACTGGCATTAAAAAAAAATCCAGTTTTTTACATGGTCTAATGGACCATGATAGTCAGTGATAAAATTATAGTAGTTGTGTCATGGATCTTATTTTGTATCTAAATATGCTCTCTGAAAAAAATGTGATTCACGCCTTTTTTTGGAGAATAAACACAAAATTTATATTTTCATATAATCAGTAATACCTATTTGATAAGAATTACATGCTCTTGTTTTTTCTTCTTTCATTTGGGGTTCACTTTTTCTGCCTATCTTATGCAATTTTAAAAAAATCTTGAAAATTAAGTGTTTGGCTCCCAGTATGGGTTATGTTGAAAAAGAGCATACCTAGTGAGGGGTTGGTAAAGCCTACGCAAGTGCTCTTTCAGGCAACTTTGACATTCTAGGGACAATAAGTATTAAAGAAGTGGCTTCTTGAGTTGGAGTGGTCAGTCTCCTACCTTCTGGGTCCCAAATGACCCTGAGTAGATGTGGATATTCAAGGAAATTAAAATGCAAAGCCCCTTTGGAAAAGATAGTAAGGGTACCTACCATTGTATTTTACTTGATGGTTTTATTCATTCATTCAACCATCAAATACTCACTGAGTACCCACAGTGTGCCAGGCATATAAATGAAAAGATGCTATGACATCGTTCAAAGAAAGATGATTTATGCACATACCTACCATGGGTCATTTAAACTTTAATGGACTTCAACATTTAAATTGAGTTAAATTCTATTAAGTTTGTCTGTTATTCTTCTCTCTCTCTCTCTCACTGTCTGTCTCTGCATCCTCAGATTTTGGGGCTTAGCCTGTCCAATGAATCAGAGTGGGGAGCTGATTATAACAATGACCCTTCTGGGAAAGAAATATACTGTCTTCTGCTTCCATTTCCCTGGAAGTAGAGGCCACTGACATCTCTGGTCCTCTCTGCAAAGTGGGGATAATGGTAATCCCGCTTCATCTGGTTGAGGGAGGATTAAATGAGATTGTGCACAGGGCTCTGGAGATGTGGACTTCGTTAAGGCCTGGTCCTGCTCTCTTGGGGGCCCCACACACAGGAGAGGGATGCACCTGTTACACCAACTCTTCTGTGGGAAGTGTGGCCACAGCATTCTGGGGGTCATTGGGTTGGATAGGGGAGCTGGAAAGGTTTGGGCCCTTAGAGAAGGCCAGGTGTGGATGAGCTTAGACCCCGATCACACTGCTGGTATGGACTCACTGTGGACCGGCACCAGGCCTGGGGTTTGAGGATGAGAGTCACCACAATTTTATGTCCACATGGGACCCTCTGCTTTTCCTTTTAACTGTGGCAAAATACCAGACGGGGGACACTTTTGTCAGTGCACGTGGTGCTGGGAACAGTTGGATGGAGGGTAAACTGGGGCAAGTGGTTACTCGACCAGATGTCCCTGGTTTTTTTCAGTGCCTATCCTGACATCTGGTCTCTTTTTTCTGCTTCTGCTTGGTATAATACTTTCACAACTTGAATACACATGGCTTGTTTCAGTGTAGCTGAGGCTGGTGAGCCGCTGGGCCCAGGAAAGTCATGGTTTGTAAATGCTATGATATGAAACCTTACCCATGGCTCCTGTCAAACATTTTAGGCAAAGAGACTCTATGATATGATTTTTAAATACATACATGTATTTGTAGAAACACATACATGTATTTGTAGAAACACACACATGTATTTGTAGAAACACATACATGTATTTGTAGAAACACATACATGTACATATATAATTATAATAATTTTTTCACATATGAGGAGATTAAGGCAGAGAGAGATTAATTCCTGTAGCTAAATCTCCATAGCCAGATAGCAGCAGAAATAATTCCCACCCTATCCTTTGGACATTGCTGTAAAAATATGTTAACAAAGCATCATATTTATTTGATAATTTTGATTATTGAAATTTGATAAGTTGTCAATTAAGTGGTATGCTGTTGCATTCATTCTTGGAATTTAAAGAAAATAGAGTTTTAAAAGTGGTTTGAAGCTTAAAAAGAGAAGGAGAGATGTATACATTATGTTGTATAACAAATACTAAAAATTTTTTTTGATTTTTTTTTTTTTGGCTGATAACAGAGGTGAGGAAGTTGAAGAGACAGTGTTGAGTAAATTTCTTGACTCCCCTACTGCCTGCCCATGCATTGTGACAGGGCACACAGAGAATGTCTGCTAACTTGTCCTCAGCACTCAACACCGTGATAGCAACAACAAAACATATTTACTGAAGACAACCAGTTGATTAAATGTCTTGACCCCCTCCTGTGTATGCACAGGCATTGTCACAGGGCATACAAAGAGGAAATGATCAGCTTCTGCATTGAGACTCAGTGCTATTTAGATGAAGAAAGAAGACTGTACTGGAACAGCAGGCTGTTACAAGGATGATGATGACAAAGTCGGAAGGGAATGTGAACACAATGTGTCAGAGGTGTGGGAAGGGGAGGATGAGGGAGGGCGGGGAGGAGTCCAACTGGAAAGACTAGAAAGAAACCATTGGAACAGTTGTGTCCTTCACACCAAATGCATTTTGTGGTCTTACTGTTTGCTTTTGCTGGACCGTATGTCTTTTCACCCCGCTCTGTTGTACCTTATGATGAGGGGCAAATAACCACAAAGCAGGAAACCTTGTCAAGGAAACAAGTTCTAGACTCTGTCTTGTGGTCATTGCCCACTAAATTCCTTCTTTCATCACTATAGCCATAGCCCCATGATTATCATTTATAGAGAAGGGCCAGAGTCGTTAGGAAAAGGTTATACTTACTGTCAAGAAGGTAGGGATGTAGGTAATGCAGCTCAGAAAATTTTACATTAAACAGAATTGAGAATGTAGAAGTTTGGGGAAAACTCCAGTTTCTAGAGGATTTATATATCGGGAAGGGGTGATTCTTCTTTCTTCCCAACTTTGTCCCAGAGAGCCCAGTGTACCAGGTATTACGGTGCATTTTCTCTGTCTTATCTTTCCTGGTTTAGGCTTGCACGTGTACAATGTTCCATTTTCCTGTTTAAATAAATTTCTTCACTTTTACTTGAAATAGGACCCAGTAGGATATTATGTGGTACTTTACATGTAAGTTTCATTGGTCCTACTTTAAAAACAAAAACCTTTGTCTACTGTTCTTTAATCTCATCAACTGTTATTAAGGAAGCTTCATCTAAGATTTAATTATGGTCTGTTTTGCATATTTATCAATTGTTGCCTTTGACCAACAGTGAATTAATTTGGGTAATACTTTCACATGATATGAAATTATCCTGTATTAGTAGAAAATATTAAATGTTACTACTGAAAATGAATATTTACAGAGTTTTATTTCTTGAGCATTTAGTCTAAAACAACTTTTAATTTTTTTTGTTTTACACAGTTTTATTAGCAATGTCCCCACACCTTTGGGGCCCCATGCACTTCACCTGCTCCCCTTCAGCACCTCATTCACACAGCAAATGCGACCAGAAAGAAGGCTCAGTCCTCCCATTCCTCTTGACGTAGGCATTGGCTTAGGATAAAAACAGTTTTGTGGATGTTCATAAACACTTGCGACTTTTCATCTTGTCTGGGACATCATGCCCTTCGACATCCTTCATTACTCTTTATGAGAAACAAGCAAATAACCACAAAGCAGAGAATTTTAAGAAGCCATGAGGGATTGGGGCTGAATTTAGCACACTTTGATTATAGAGACAAAAATTGCCAAGTTTATGACTACGGGTGGTCAAAGCGCTCTCTCTGCATGGATAATTAGATGCTTAGTAAACGTTTTCTCACAGTAAAAATATGACTATTGCTCTGTGTAAGAAGAGTATAAGTTATATTATTTTGAAATCATTGTTTTATTTCTATCTTATACACTTATATTTTCATCTCATAGTCTTTCTAGCTTTGTCTCATTAGAACTTGAGGATTGGAGGGTTTAAATGTTTTAAAAGGATTTCTTTTTTAATGTTACTGCTGGGGGCTAACAGAGAGAAAAACGGTTAAGTCTGCCTTACAGTTACTGACAGGAGTGTTGACAATGTACACCCATGAAATCCTACCAACACTTTATTGGGATAATTGAGTAATGTGTAACTGGTGGCATTAAGAATCACATAGAAAGAATAAATTCTGACCTTCTACTTTTTTCTTTTTGTAATTTTTAGATTTGTAGCCAAACCGTGCGCCATAGCCCTCAACATTCAGGCCAATGGACCACAAATTGCTCCGCCCAATGCCATTCTGGAAAAGGTCTTCACTGCAATTACAAAGGTATGATTGTCCTTTCCTGGGGTATAGATTGTCCCCGGTCACCATTCTCAGCCTGCTGTCATTCAATTTGTCCCCTTCTGGGTTTGGAGAATCAACTTTTGCCTAGCCTTATGCTGGAGAACGTGTTGTCAGAAGGAATGCAAGCGTAGTAGAAGCGGAATGAAGATGGGCTTGTCTTAGACTTGGTAGTTTACGCTCAAGTTGATTTTTAGTAGCTCACCTGAGAATAGTCTTGACTAAATAATGATTAGTCTAATTCTGTGCCTCTTTTAATCACATGTGAAGCAAGATGTGACTAGAAGCAAGATGAGGGCTGGGAGGGACTTTGTGGAGGTGACTGGGTGGAGCTGAAGAATGTGATTTATGTGTGTGCGAAAAAAGGGACCTCTTGGCTTGTAGCATTGTCCATAGATTCTAGGAGCTGTGATAAGTAGACAAATGTAAACAAAAACAACAAGAAGGCATAACTGCAGGATAAAAGATTGTACCATGAAGTTATGAAGAAGGAGGGTCAGGAGAGTCTTAAGTGAAGAGATAGGTTCACTGTGGAGAATAAAAGGGAGGAGATACTCAATCTGGTGGGAGCTGAAGCCCAAACTAGGAGTGGGAGGAAGGGAGTGGGAGAGAAGTGGGTAGAAGAGACCACGTCTCCTGCCTCTGCCCCCATCCCAAGTTCAGATCTCCTTCAGAACAAAGAGGGAGGAGAAAGCTGGAAGTCAGAAACCCTCAGTTGAAGGCCATAGGAAAATAGAGCAAATTACCGAGTTTTTATATATCTTACCTTATTCTTGTTTGGACAAGAAAGAAGAAAAGATCAGGAGAAATACAACATTCTATGAGAAGTATTGTGTGTTCATATATTAAATGGCTCATTTTCTCCCTTTCATTTTTCTGGGAGAATTACCCAGGCTTCCAAGATGTGATTTGACAGAATTAAGCAAATTCTATTTCTTTTCTTGGTATTTGTGTTTCTAGCCATTTGTACTAGCTATCTCGTCTTACAACTATTAATTCAGATATCCAAACACTTTTATCTATTTTATGGTCTTCATTTCTTCCAAAATTCTCTAGAGTTTTTCCCTCTGTCCTTTTAAAAATGTTTTTCCCTCAAAAAATTAAGAAAGTACCAGGTGTTTTTCATATCTCTGCTAGGAAGAAGAGAAGAATGAATGGAATTTTAGGAAAAGCTCTTTTGATGGTTTTTATGGGGTAATTTCAGATTGCCAGGTTCCTGTCTGAAGGGACACATATCTTACAGTATTTAAAAGAAAAAAATGTAAAGAAAAAGCTTGCATTTTCATTTAGTGTATCAAATTACTTAAGTGAAACAACTTTTTCCCTCTTAAAAAAGCAGGTGTGTAGGGACTTCTCAGGTTCATTTGTAAGTGTGATTATAACATATTTGGAGTCTCTTTGTGAACTACTCTAAGTACATTAAACATACAGTATTCTAAATGAATAATAAAATGAGGTGTTTTTTTTTTAATTTTGTTTTTTGTTTTCTCCACATTTGATGCCTCTCCTTAAAAATCCTGCAGTGGATGTTTCACTTCCCTTGCCTTATGTTTTTTACAGTTACTGGAGAAATTTCCTCCATAAAGGTAATAAAAAGATTTTGCAGCCAGGTTGACTTTTCTAAAGAATACTTGCTTTGGCTGGGCGTGGTGGCTCACGCCTGTAATGCCAGCACTTTGGGAGGCTGAGGCGGGCAGATCATGAGGTCAAGAGATCGAGACCACCTTGGCCAACATGGTGAGACCCCATCTCTACTAAAAATACAAAAATTAGCCAGGCGTGGTGGCGGGTGCCTGTAGTCCCAGCTACTCGGGAGGCTGAGGCAGGAGAATGGCTTGAACCCAGGAGGCGGAGGTTGCAGTGAGCAGAGATCACGCCACTGCACTCCAGCCTGGCAATGGAGCAAGACTCTGTCTCAAAACAAACAAACAAACAAAAACAAATACTTGCTTCTAGCTAATTTGAATGATCATATTCTTTTAGTTTCCAAGGTGATTCCTTTGGAGGTTTTTACATGATTAAAACAGAAGCGTCATGTAAAATATAAATGCAGCAAAAGTTGGAACTGTTTTCCCTTGTATTCTTTGTAGTTCTCCGGTCTTAATTGTGATATGAAATGTAACCAATCAGTTGACTGGAATAGGAGGGGCAGGACTTGGGAGAGCTTGAACAAAGTGTGCGTTTGTGTGTGTGTGTGAATGATCATCCAGTATCCTGGCCTTACCACGGTTTGAGCTGCCTTTTTGTAGAAGGGCATGATTATAATCCTTCAAGTGTGAGAGAGGTACCCTTAAAATCTCTGTATATGACTGGCTACATAGTTTGTGGGGCCCAGTACAGAATGAAAATGTGGGACCCCTTGTTCAAAAAGCACAAAAAAAGTGCCATTAAGCATACAAAAACATAAAGCTTTTTCCTTCCTCCCTCAGTCTCTCTCTACTTGTCAAGGTGTTTTTTTGTTTGTTGTTTTTGGTTTTGAGACAAGGTCTCACTCTGTTGCCAAGGCTGGAGTCTAGTGGCATAACTGTAGCACACTGCAGCCTCAAACTCCTGGGCTCAAATGATCCTCTTGCTTCAGCCTCTCAAGTAGCTGGAACTACAGGTGTGGGCCACCACACCTGGCTAATGTAAAAAATTTTTTTGGAGAGATAGGGCCTCACTATGTTGCCCAGGCTGGTCTTGAACTCCGGGCTTCAAGCAATCCTCCTGCCTCAGCCTCCCAAAGTGTTGGGATTATAGCTGTGAGCCACCATGCCTGGTCAAGGTGTTTTTTATTTGTCGTGTAATGTCATGTTCCCTAATGGCATGGGGAGACTCTTGGAGAAAGTGCAGACCCTCACAGGTAGCTGGGGGCCCCACCCTGTGACTTAGTGTGCACATGACCCACCAGCTGCCAGGTTTCCCTTTTCTCCAGCCACTGGCTGACACACTGTACCTTGGTCAGGGGAGCAGAGAAATACAGTCAGGCCTCTCTCCAGGCCCACTGCCCCAACCCATGGGTGATGAAGGACCTTCAAGTGCATTGCAACCTCTATGCCCAGATTCAGGGCTACACAAAAGGCTCAGCCCTACCGAGTCGCCCACCACATGCACTGGGGTAGCTGCCTCCATCCTCTCTGAAACTCGATCCCCCACTCTCTGTGTTTGCACTCGGCCCTCCACTGGGGGCTGAAGGCAGCAGCAGTCACTAGGAAGTGGGGAGACAGGGAGGCTGGTGAGTGCTACAAGCCAGGGGATGAGGAACTGGGCAACCACACACACATTTGGCGGAAGTGGTGGGACTGTGTATGAGCCAAGAATCCAAGCTCCTGGCACATGCTCCTTTGCCCCATTGGACTTCATTATAATAAGCACAAATTCCATGATAAAACTGTTAAGAATTTCAAGATGGTGACTGCAGGGTTTCCAACCCCAAATGTGGACCCTTCTGAATGGGGGTCCCTGTGTGACAGCACAGGTCACATGCCCTATCTGGTTCTCCTTTGTGAAATTATTAATAGCTGAAAAATTTGAACCCTTATATATTCTGTAGCAGTCTTTCCTTTTGAAGTAACACCTGTCTTCCTGTTGCCTGTCTCTCTCTCCTCCCCCATCCCCTGTCTAAAATTTTATAAACACTTTATAGAAACTACTCCTATTGTAAATGTCAATTAGAAGTCTTGGTGTTTGAGCCAGTTACACCTGGATATTTGTGTTGGAACCTCAGCTCTGCTGCGTCCCGTCATTGTGGCCTTGGGTGAGTTTCTTAACGTCCCTAGGCTGCAGATAGCTCATATGTAAAAATCTTTGAATAACCGTCTCACAGGCGTTCATGAGGGTTAAATAATCATGAAGCTCATTTGTAAAAATCTTTGAATAACCATCTCACAGGCGTTCATGAGGGTTAAATAATCATGTAAATCATTCAGTAAATGATATAGCATCTTTTGTCTCATTGGTTCCCATATTTTGATTTGCATTTAAGATTACCTGAGAGTTAAAATGTAGAGTGTTACGTCATGTTTCTATAGATTCTCCTCAACTGTATTGGAATGGGACCAAAAATTCTACAATTACGGATTGTCAGACCCATTCAAATGAACAGAATGATTATTTCTCTTTAGTGAATATTTTTGAGCTCGTGTTTCTTAACTGGTTATGTTGTTTCTTAACTGGTTATATTCAGAATTATCTGGGTAAATATGCTTTTAACTTTTGGGGATTCTCCTACCATATTATTTGTACATACCTATGATACTAACTACCTCACTTTTCTAATCAAATCAGTGCTTAAGCCATGGGGGTGAGAATATATGTCAGGTATAAAGCCAGGTTTTATGATCCAGGGAAATAATAAAATTAACTTTTGGTATGTTAGAGTAAATTTTAAAGTGATAGGCAGATTTCCTACAATTTGTTTTTCCTAATTCTCCTCAATAATCTATTTCCTTTCATTTTTATTTTATACTTTCCTTCTTTGCCTCCCAGTACTGGTTAAGATTAATGTTATTAATATTAACCTAGGTGTTTGTAATATATAAATGTTTATGTGAGTCTCCATTATTCATTTCTTTGCCTGGAAATCTTTCAAAAAAACTTACGGAGAATAATAAGGAAAGAACAATAAGAAACCCCCACCCTACATACAGAGTATACACACACACACACACACACACACACACACACACACACACACTACACACACAAACACAGAGAAAGAAAAAATGAAAGAAAATCTCACAAATGTCTTATTTGGCAAATTAGGAGATGCATATCTCTAGATTTCAAAACATATAAAGGCTACCTAGATTGGGCAGAAACCAAGTATGAGGAAGTGAAAAGCATGAAGTGTGTCTGGAGGGCCGTGTGGGGGTGGGTGTCAGGAAAGCCAGCACAAAAGCACTTCTCAAGAGTTGAGGAGACAAAAGAACCACCCACTGTTTGCAACAATAGGTGCAGGAACAGGTGAGCCAGGCTGGCAAGAGTGGAGGAGGGACACATAAAGCCACGTGGAGGGTATGTTTTCAGGAGTCCATCTCCCTTCATGGCAGCCAGACTGGAAGAGCATCCTTCCTGCTCCCCACACTGGAAGTAGCAGGTCAAGAAAATTCAACTAATTCAAAGATGATTAATAAAGAAGCAACTCACACAATATCAAAGACAATAAAAAGAAAGTATAGCAACTCCTGTTAACAAAATTTTCACTAGAATAATGAGGCTAAAGAGGCAAATGAAAACTGTGATTAAATATTTTACCATAAATTTAAAAAAATGAAGCAGTAACTCTGTGAAGGAAGATCACAGAGGAAATATAAGAACTAAAGAAAGAAATGGTTGGTCAACAAGAGGAGGTGGAATGTGAGCTGGTAGAGTTCAGAGAAAAGTACCAAATCCATCACAGAAAAAAAGACAAAATTGGGAAGAAGGCAGGAAACACTAGTCACTGCAGAAAACTCAGCAAAGAATATGGAAGATAGAAAGAATAAAACTGAATTAAATGAAAGAAACCAAAAAGAGCTACAAAATGGATATATAGGCCAAGCAGATCCAGCATCTCTGTAATAGGAATCCCTTAAGGAAAAGCAAAATAAAACAATGAATTAAAACAACTTCTGAGATATAATTCAAGATTTTTTCCTAAGATAAATGGAGGTTTATTTTAATATGTTAATAAAAATATAGTGAAAATGGGCCCAGAAAGTTCAACACTAAAACTTAACATTGTTAAAGTTGCTGGACTTGATAAGTAAAGAAATACTTCACTGAGCAGCTGGGCAAAAAATCAGATCTCTTTTTTTAGGGAAAATGTTATGTGATTGTAGGCCTTTCTATAATAACATTTTCAATATTCCCAAGGAAAATGTGAACTAAGAATTTTATATCTAGCCAAATTGTTTTTACTCTGTAAAGGTTATAGACATCATGTTAGACATCTTTGAACATGAAAAAATTTAGGGATATTATTCCATGAGTCTTTCTTGAGGAGACTCTATTAAATCATTAATTTTAGCTGACCAAGAGATCACTTGGAATGTTTGTAAGTTTTGAATATATTTAAACTGTAGTACTAAGAAAGAAATCTAAGGAATGGTGACAGACAGAATGTTAATGTTCTAGGTTCTCACAGTGTAGAAATGATACAGCAATAACTGAGTAGAAGGGGAAGAAGGTGGGAGGCAGAATCAGTTCACTGATTGCATGATCTCTAAGAGGGGAGTCAAAGCATATCAGTGAAAGCTGGCAAATCATTACAAGTATACGCATATTTAATAGTACCAGAGTAAATGCTAAGAAAGATAATATTATTGACTATTGTAGTATTGGGTGGTGGAGGAGAAGGAAATAAGGCTACTTTAATAAGGTGGAGGAAATAAGGCTACTTTAAATATTGCTCATTTGAATTATTAGAGATGGAAAAGAAAGAGTCATATGGATAACCACTAGAACAAAAATTACTCCCAAAAGGAAAAAAAAAATGTAGTGAAATGTTTTTTAAAATCATCAAAATGGAAAGTAGAACATAATTAGAAAGAATAAACTTATAATCATATTAATACACATAAATGGACTTAATTCATCTAATAAAAACTAATTCAGGCTTTGGTTATTGGTATGGGTCGAATTATTTTCTTCCCCAAAATGTATACATTGAAGTCTTGATCCCTAGTACCTCAGAATGTAACCTTATTTGGAGATAGGATCTTTACAAAGGTAAATTAGTCAAAATGGGATTATTATGGTGGGTCCTAATCCAATATGCCGGGTGTCCATATACAAACGGGACAATTGGACACAGAGATAGGCATGAGGGAAGATGCTGTGAAGAAACACAGGGAAAAGACAGCCATCTGCAAGCCAAGGAGAGAGGCCTGGTACAGATTTTTACCTCACATCCTTCAGAAGGAGCAAACCATTCAACACCTTCATCTGGGACTTAACAGCCTCCAGAACCATGAGACTATACACTTCTGTTGTTCAGGGAACTTTGTTACAGCAGCCATAGAAAAACAATGCAGTCATGAAAAAAGTATGTGAGGAGCACCTTAAGACAAAGTAGTAATAAATGTTGAAAATAAGAGCATAGGTGAAGGTATACAGGCACGTATAAATAACAAAGTAGGATTTCTAAAAGCATTAAATGAAAGGAAGAATTGACTTTTTATTGTCAGAGGATACAATTCATGATGAAGATAAAATAGTTATGAATCATATATGTATTAAATATTAGTGTGTCTGTATATTCATAAAAAGGAATTGAAGAAAAAATGGAAACACAATAGAAAGAAATTCTGATTTACCTCTGAGGCGTGATAGAGTCAGTGAGAAAATATAAAATAGAATATAGAAATTCTAAGGAGCATAATTAGGAAGATCTAAGGGGGTACATTTATAATCCTATATTCTGAATGTAGAGACTGTACTTTCTTTTCAAGTAGCTATTAAATACTTACAAAAATTGATGCTGTATTATGTTAAAAAACTATAATTTTTAAAAATTAGGCACGATTTAATACCAGAAATTAGAAAACAGAAAAATCAGAAAACAAAACCTCTTCCTCCTGAAAATTTATAAATACTGTCTTATTAACTCTTGGGTAAAATTGAAATTTCAGAATATTTAGAAAACATTGGTAATGAAAGTACTACCTTTATGTGCTATGCTGCAAAAGTGCTCATTGAAAACTCATACAGATATGAAAAAAATAGCCATTTGGTTAAACATTAGAACAAGAACAACAAAATGAATGGAGATAAGCAGAAGGAAGAAAGTAGTAACGATAAGCTAAAATCAATGAGTTAGCAAAACTATAACTATAATTTTAACTTATATAAAAAAATTAATCCCCAAATCCTACATTTATTTATTTTTGTTTTACCAAAGGCAGCTAAATCGACTAAGAAAAAAAAAGCAAGCACAAATAAACGTTATGATCAATAACCACAGAAACAGGAAAATTAAGAGAGTGGGGCAGATGTAATAGAAAAACTTGACTAAAAAATTTATTCTAGGAAAGTATAATTGACTCTGTGTGTGTGTGTGTGTGTGTGTGTGTGTGTGTGTGTGTGTGTATGTAAAGATCAAATTAAAAGAACTAAACTGCAAAAAAGTACCAGGCTCAGATGCTCTCACAAAAGATTTTGTTTTTCATTAACCCAAAGTGTTTATTGAACATGTAGGTATATATTTTTTTCTTTGCCCAGGTGATTAGCATTTTAAAGGTATGAAGGCCTAAATTCATACCTATAATATCAAAAATTATATGTGCTTTCTCTCCTTGTTTATTGTGAATATTTAAGATGTACAATACAATGTTTCAGTATATTTACACATGGTGACATGGTTACTATAGTCAAGCAAATCAATATGTCATCTCATAAAAAATTCTAACATACTCTTAACAGGAGATAATTCTCTTAAACTGTATCAAAGCATAGAAAATTAAGAAACCCATCCAGCTCTCTTTTAATGTAACAATAAGACATTAACATCAATGCCTGACAAAAATTTCAATAAAAAACAAAAGCAAGACTAGAGACCAAATTTTGTTGTTAATATTGATAAAGAAATCCTAAATAAAAAATTAGTGAACTGAACCTAGTAACACATTAAAAGAATTGTTTATAATTGGATATAAAAATCTATATAATTCATTTTATTAGTAGATCTAACGAGAAAAATACATCACACTCCATGGATGCTGAAACCTGACATCTTTTTGATTAAAATAAATTGTCTAAGTGGGGATAGGTGGTTTCTGCTACATGACAGATGTATTTGTATCATAGTCCCAAAACTTGCCCCTTACTTTCTATATCTATATTTCTGTATTGTGCCAAATTTTACATTGAACTAGCAAGAGAAAGAAAATAAAGTCATAAAAATTGGAAAGTAGGTGACAAAACTATTGCTATTGTGAAGAATTATTCATACTTCATAAAGAAGTATTTATTGAGTCTTGCTATAATCTAGGAATCAGTGAAAAAGAATACTAAAAATTTATTTTGTTTGTGGAGCCTACATTTCAGTAATATGCTATTATATTATTATGTACCTGAAAAATGAAGGGAATCTTGTGAAAAACTACCACAGATATAAAATTTTAGTACAAAGTTAATAACCAGAAACCAATAGTTTACATATATAAAAGCAAACAATAAGCATTAAAAGATCTAAGAGGCTGGGCATGGTGCTTCACACCTGTAATCTCAGCACTTTAGGAGGCTGAGGTGGGAAGACCGCTTGAGTCCAGGAGTTTGAGACCAGCCCAGGCAACATGGTGAAACCTTGTCTCTACAAAAAAAAAAAAAAAAAAAAAAAAAAAAAAGGCATGTTGTTGCACACCTGTAGTTCCAGCTACCTGGAAGGCTAAGGTGGGAGGATCACCTGAGCATGGAGAGATCCTGGCTGCAGTGAGCCGTGATGGCGCCACTGTACCCAGCCTGGGCAAGAGAGTTAGACCCTATCTCAAAAAATAAAATAAATAATAAAAGATTAAGAAAGTACCTTATTCTCAGTAGAAACCTAAAAGAATAATATAGCTAGGAATAAACATAGCAAGGTATGTGCAAGACCTGGATGAGGAAAGTTTTCAAGCACTCTTGAAGGACACAAAAGACAAATTAAATAAAGATGTTAATTCACCCTATGTTATGATCTTAATGAAATAGTATGATCTTCTTGAAAATACTAACAGGGTTCCTTGTGTGACCATTTGTTTATTTTGAAAATAGATAAGCTAATTCTGAAATTCATTTAGAAAAAGTATAAAGATTTCTGAGAAAACTAGCTGTATAGTACTGGTACTGGCGCATTAATAAATAGACCAATGGAAGAAAAGATTTGGATTTTTGATGGAAAAGATGAATGGTATATGAGTAGCCATCTGGAAACAAATAAAGTTAGATTCATTCCTCCTACTCAATACCAATATGTATTCCAAATGTACTAAAGATTTGAATATAAAAATCAAAACCCTACATTTATTAAAAGGAAACCTGGGAGAATCTTTTGAACATTGGGAATGAGGGAGGCTTTGCTAATTATGACTTCAAATGTAGAAACTATAACAGAAAAGATTGATAAATTCAAATATATTTTTATCAAATTTCTGGAAGTAAAACAAGCAAAAAACATCATAAGCAAATTCTAAAATGCAAATGACATGCTGGAAAAAAGTATGCAGCTTTTGGTACAGAGAAGGGTTTAATCACCCTAACATATGAAGATGCCTTACAAATCAACAAGGAGAATACCAAGGAATCATGAAAAAATAGGCAGTAGATATGAATATACTCTTCATAAAAAAATGGAAATACAGTTGATTTTTGAAACACATGATAAAATGCTTCTCTCATAAAAAGGAAATTGAAACTGAGATCCTGTTTTATGTATTAGACTGGAAAAAATGGAAACGTCTGATATCATAGTCTGTTGAAGAGGCTTTGGAAAATGGGCGCTCTTGCTTGTGAGTATAAATTGGTAAAATCACTAGTAAGAATAACTTTTCAATTTCAAAATTATATTACAAATGCATAGACCCCTTCGATCTACAACTTTCACTTTCAGGAACTTAGAGAGAAACATGTATAAAATGGCCCAGGTAAGGTTATTTATTGTAGCATTGTTTATAGAACAAGCTCAGAAGCTGCAAAATGTCCATTAATAGCAGAATGGATAAGTAAATTATGGTATATCTTTACAGCTCTACAAAAGAATAAGGGTGTTCTATATATAGTGAAAAGGAAATATTGCAATATACATTGTAAGGTAAAAAACCCAAAGCCCGGACAAATGTCTGTAGTATGCAACTATTTTTGTGACAAGGGGTGATATAATAATATATATTCAAGTTTGCTTATATTTGTGTAAATACTGGAAAGAAACTGATTTAGGCTGGGCGCGGTGGCTCACGCCTGTAATCCCAGCACTTTGGGAGGCCAAGGCGGGTGGATCACAAGGTCAGGAGATCGAGACCATCCTGGCTAACACAGTGAAACCCCGTCTCTACTAAAAATACAAAAAATTAGCAGGGTGTGGTGGCTGGCGCCTGTAGTCCCAGCTACTCTGGATGCTGAGGCAGGAGAATGGTGTGAACCCAGGAGGTGGAGCTTGCAGTGAGCAGAGATTGCACCACTGCACTCCAGCCTGGGCGACAGAGCAAGACTCTGTCACACACACAAAAAAGAAACTGATTTAATAATAACTATGGTTATCTGATAAGAAACTGATTTAATAATAACTGTGGTTATCTGACAAGAAGGGGAGAATAGGGATTGAAAGAGCCAGAACAAAGTTGGAAGGTGAAACTTTGGATAATTTTAAATTTTTGCACCATATGAATTTTTTCTTTATTAATAAACTAAGAAAATAAATTGAAATTAAAAATGAATTCCATTAGGATAATGGTGTAGCCAAGGTATATTGTAGGCAATGATTTTTCTCCTTCCCGTATTTTTGATTAAGAGAGACATCAAAGGTGAGTGTAGATGGTGTCATTACTACTACTAAAAAAAAAACCCCAAAAAACCCCAAAGTTGGCAAATAACGTTTATAGGCACAAGGTCAGTACATTTTGTACCCTACAGTGATTTGCTGTGTTTTCTGGGTGTGTGTCTGTTCTAGTCAGTTCTGACTGCTGTAACAGAATACTATCAACTGGGTGGCTTAAACAACAAATATTTATTTCTCACAGTTCTGGATGCTGGAAGTCTGAGATCAGCATGCAGATGTGGCTGACCTCTTGGTGAAGGTCCTCTTCCTGGTTGGCACATGGCCATCTTCTCTTGTAACCTCACATGGAACAGACTGAGAGAGACAGAGAGCATGCAAGCATGGGCAAGCTCTCTAGTGTCTCTTCTAATAACTTCTAATCTAATCCGAGAGGTTCACCCTCATGATCTCATTACCTCTCAAAGGCTCCAGCTTCTAATACCATCACAATGGGCATGTGGGTTTCAACATACAAATTTTGGGGAGCGCAGCATTCAGTCCATAGCACTGACCCCTTGAGCTGCTTGAGCTGCTTTTAGAAAGGTATCATATATATATATATATATATTTCACCCTTATTACTTGAAGTTTGGTCATTGTGCCTTCTCCTTACCCCTATTTTTCCTGATCACTTACATTAAAGCATTAGTATCAAATCAAAGAAAGATTAAATAAACATAGTTAATATTAAGCAAAGATATAATAAAGGAATGGAGGTCACGTGGCTTAGTTTTGTTGGGTAGTAGATCACCCTCATGTGATTGTTGGCTAGACATTCTCTAACACATTGAATAGAGGGGAGGGATAGTGTATTAGTCCATTTTCACACTGCTGATAAAGACAAACCTGAGAGTGGACAATTTACAACAAGAAGGAAATGTATTGGACTTACAGTTCCACATGGCTGGTGAGACTTCACAATCATGGCGGAAGGTGAAAGGCATGTCCCATATGGTGGCAGACAAAAGAGAACTTGTGCAGGGAAATTCCCCTTTTTAAAACCATCAGATCTTGTGAGACTTATTCACAATCATGAGAACAGCACAGGAAAGATCTGCCCCCATGATTTAGTACCTCCCCCGCTGGGTCCTGTGGGAATTCAAGATGAGATTTGGGTGGGGACATAGCCAAACCGTATCAGATGGGAAAGAGGAAAATTAACATTTACTGAGTTGTACATACAGTTTCACATTTGGTTCTTGTTGCAATATAATTTAGGTTGGTAAACAACCTTTTCTTTTTTACAGATGAGGAAACTGAGGCTCAGAGAGGTCAATGGAGTGAGGAATTGAACAAGTGCCTATCATTTCAGGGCCATCTCTTGCCGCTTCACCAAGTGTACTTTTTTCAAGTAATGCATAGTCTTAGTAAAAGACTCGATGTGGGATACAGTTAAAAAGGGATGACCAAGAAAACGAATAGAAGAGGAATGTGTGAAAAATGGGGACAAAGGATATGAGAAGGGGAAGAAAGATAAACTGTGTTTGATAAAAATTGTACCTTAGGCTTAAATGAGGCACTTTAGGATTTTTTTCCATGCTTTTTGTCTCTACTACATTATCCTGATATGTGATGATTGGGTAGCATTTGTTGTTGTTGTTGTTGTTGAGAAAGTGAGATATTTGAATGATACCTCTTTGCAAATTTACCTTCAATGGACTCCCTTCCTTTGAAGGCTGATGAGGCTGACTCAGTTTGTTGGATGTTCCATTGAATCTTTGTTGCCCTTAGGGAAGCACATTGCTGATGAGGAGAAGTGCAAGCATTAGAGCAAGATTCATGTTTCTAAATGTTGTTTCATGAGTAACTTCTTTTGTCCTAGTGGTTATTTTTGTTCATGCTGCTAGTGGAAGGCCTCGGTCCTCAGAGGTAAATATAGAAATCTCAGTAGCAGATAGTAAACAATAGGGGGAAAAAAACCTCTCAGATATAGACAAGGGCAGATCTGTTTATAGTGAAAATGAAAATGGATTGAAAATTATTTTTCTGGTACCTTGTTTCATAGCATCCTGATGAAAAGAGATTGGAAGGCCTCTCCAAGCAACTGGACTGGGATGTTCGAAGCATTCAGCGCTGGTTTCGACAAAGACGCAATCAGGAGAAGCCAAGCACGCTGACGAGGTTCTGTGAGAGCATGTAAGTTGCTGTTTTTCTTTTTGAAAGAAAAGACCTAAGTACTCATGCCAACCCTGAGGTGAAAAATAAAAGATCTGTGCAGGCTTCAGCAGCCCTTAAAAAGCTGCAATCTGGTGGGAAAATAGTTCAGGAAAAACACAGGAAACAGTAGTTTGTAAGAATTTGTGACTTCCCCTTTGGATACAGTAAATAAATTTCACTTCTTAATGGAGTTTCTACAAAGTAAGCATATTATAAAAGGATCTACAATGGTCTTTTTAATCAGTCATCTTTGAAATACAGCATTAAAAGTTGTTACTTTTATAGATGTGGGTAGTTTGAATTTTAGTAAAGGCAAAGGCAACTTAGGTTCTTCCTACTAATAAAAACTGAGATATTAGGATATATTATCAGAGGGTCGTGACAATCTTCTGTATTCCTGGAGATTTAAGAAATGGCTCTATTATATTTCTGGGTGAGTTTAATGAAGCATTGCTTGAAGTTGGGGGATGGAATTGAAGTCTCTTCCATCTCTGAAATGTGAACTTTATATAGTGTATAAATTATATATCAATAAGGCTGTTAAATATATTAAAGGACCCACAGAGAGCTCTTCCAGCACAGTGATATTTTGAAGTAGTGATACTTCATGCACTTACCTATAGGAAAACCAGAGAAAAATACATTGAAACATTGAGAACATCCCCAAGAAAGGGAAGACGTGCCTGGAGAGTCATTACCCTATGTGGTCTTCATCTTTTGGGTGTAACTCTTCCTATGTCTTCTAACAGTCCCTCAATTTCTTCTTTCGGGAGCTGTTTCCTGACGTCTGGTCATTTAAACAGTAGTGCTTTCGGTGTAACTCTCTTAGTTGCAGGCCCTTTCTCTTTGGGGTTGGAGCTGCATTTTCAGCTTTGGCTTTCAATTATGTGAAAAAAGTGTTTCAGTGTGAAGGGGTGACCTTCCCCTCCACACCTGTGGGTATTTCTAGTCGGGTGGGATGAGAGACTGAGAAAAGAAAGAAGACACAAAGTATAGAGAAACAACAGTGGGCCCAGGGGACCGGCACTCAGCACACCAAGGACCTGCACTGGCACCAGCCTCTGAGTTCCCTCAGTTTTTATTGATTATTATTTTCATGATTTCAGTAAAAAGGAATGTAGTAGGAGAGCAGGGTGATAATAAGGAGAAGGTCAGCAAAAAACATGTGAGCAAAAGAATCTATGTTAGAATTAAGTTCAAGGGAAGGTACTATGACTGGACATGCACGTAAGCCAGATTTATGTTTCTCTCCACCCAAACATCTCAGTGGAGTAAAGAATAACAAGGCAGCATTGCTGCAAACATGTCTCGCCTCCCACCATAGGGCAGCTTTTCTCCTATCTCAGAATTGAACAAATGTATAGTCGGGTTTTATACTGAGACATTCAGTTCCCAGGGGCAGGCAGGAGACAGTGGCCTTCCTGTATCTCCAACCTGGTGGATACAATCAGCAAAGCCCTCTCAATAAATGAACTTACTGGCAGTTTATGGGAGAAGGATTTATGTATCTGGGCTCTTGGTCAAAAGCCACAGTTGCTTCCCAGCTTGGCCCTGCCATATATCCAAAGGGCCTGGGCTCTGGTTTTGAGCCACGAGTCTGAGCAAGGGTGAAGTTGGGTCTCAGCACATGTCTACATGCTGAAAGTCATGTGCCATCTTTCCCTCCTCTGACTAACTTCTTTGGTGACTTGGTGCCAGCCCCTACTATGCTGAGTCTACTCCAGTTTCTCTCAAATACTATTGTATTTGAGATTTTAAGATAAGCATCAGTCACCTGGGGATCTTGTTAAAATGCGGAATCTGATGTACTTAGTCTGGGATGGCAGCATTTTTAACAAGTTTCTACATGATGCTGGTGCCATTGGTCTATAGGTCACACTTTGTGTAGCAAGTACTAACATTAGAGCAGTGTCTATCTCTTCTCCATGAATTCAGCAGGTCATTATGTGCATACCACAATAAATAAGACAGTCATAGTTATGATCAATTAAAAATGCTTCTAAATGATTGCTAGTGGTATGGCAATGTGGAGGCACAATGATGGGGAAGAGATGGTGCATAAAATAACATCATTTCTTCCCTCAAGAAATTTGTAATAGTGTTATGGAAATAAGACATAATATCTGAGTATGTGTAGGTCAAAGATAGATATTAGAAAATAACCAGATATGGGGCCAGGTGCAGTGGCTCACGCCTGTAATCCCAGCACTTTTGGAGGCCGAGGCGGGCGGATCATGAGGTCAGGAGATCGAGACCATCCTGGCTAAAATGGTGAAACCCCGTCTCTACTAAAAATACAAAAAATTAGCCAGATGTGGTGGCAGGCGCCTGCAGTCCCAGCTACTCGGGAGGCTGAGGCAGGAGAATGGCATGAACCCGGGAGGTGGAGCTTGCAGTGAGCCAAGATTGCACCACTGCACTCCAGCTTGGGCGACAGAGCAAGACTCCATCTCAAAAAAAGAAAATAACCAGATATGTGTGTTGTAGGATTGATATGGATAGTCAGTAAAGATTAAAGGGAAAGGATCAACTGTAGGTTGGGGTGCACGGGGGGTTTGCTGGGATTAGAACTGGGTCAATGTCAGTGGCCTTTCATCTTTCTGTTGTATGATATAGTATTGATGAAGTTTTGTTTTGAAACTCTCTTCTTCCTTGGTTTCTGAGTTGCCACTAGATTCTCCTGCCTTTCCAAGGTCTTTTGTTTGCATCATTTATTCTGTGTTTGCTGTGTGGTCTTTAATGTGTTAATGACACTCCAGATTTAGTCTTCAATCTCATTTTTCCCTTGCCCTACCTTCCATTCTGTGTGTTAAAATCATTTCCTCTCACCAGTTTCTTCCAAAGCCATGTGTACAGTGCAGATGTTTCTTCTAAGGCATCGTTCTGCGGGCTCCAACTGGCAGTTCTAATTTGCTTCCACTCCTGACTTTATTTTTCCTATTGTTTTTATGCTTCCGTTTTGTCATAGGCTGGAAACTCAAGTCAATCAGCCACTGAGTTCTATTAATTCTTTGTAAATTCGCCATTATAGCCCAATATGCTTTCATATGTCTCCTTATTTTTTTTATCTTGCATACACATAGACATTTTGTTTGCTACCAAAAATCCCAAATTATTTTTCTAAAATACTACTATCCCCATGTTGTGACACTTTAAAACTTTGGTGATTTTAAGGCAACTATAGGATAAATATTAGGTCCCTGAGCCTGATAACTAGAATCTGTCTTTTGCTTGTTTAATGTCAGTCACCCAAATGACATCTTCCTTCTAGAGGGTTGTGTTTTTACTGTCTGTGCCTTCTTCCTTCCTGCCTTGTGTATGGTGTTCCAGGCCAGGAACTTCCTCTGCCTTACCCATTTATCCCCTCACCATTCTTCAAATCCCAGGCCCTCTCTGAAGTGTGGCCTGACTATTGGGGCTGGAGTGAGCACAGCTACCCCTGCATCCTGAGAGTACTAGGAATTTAACCCTGAATCACATGCTGCCTTATGTGGTTACTTAACTTGCCTATCTATTTCAATTCCAATTCTGTGTTGCTTGAAGACCACAGGGTCACATCTTGTTCTTTCATTTCTCAACAGGACTCTGCCAAATAAATAATTTGTTATGACTGTGTGTTAAAATGGCATTGTTTTGGAAAGAGTTGCTGATCACATTTGTCACTTTGCCCCTATAAATGAGTGCCTAATATATACTGCCTTAGCATAAAATTTGTCTAGGAAAATTACCTGACTATGGAAAGCTCCATGACAATTTTAAAGACAGAAATTCAGAGGAAAGAATGGGATGGCAAAGGAGAACATTTAGAGAACACCGTGAGGGATAAAGTAGAATTATAGTGGTCTGTGTATGCAAATGTGTGTGTCATACTTACTTACCTATATAAAAAAAGATCTAGAATAGTTGTTATTAACTAAGGATGCATTTCGCAATCACCTAGTGATGTTTTCAAAATACACGTGCCCGAGCCCCATCCCAGGGTGTCAGGATGATGACTCAGGTGGAGTCTGAACATGTATATCATGGAAAAAAATGCCCCAAGTGCTTATGACACACATCCCTGGTTAAGAAGAAAGACAGTTGCTGTTCAGAAATACTAAAAGGTGAAATTAGAAAACGAGAACACAAATTTGGAGCTCGTTGCCTGAGGGTCAAAATGTAAAGGATCTATATAATTTTTCTATTATATAAGTTCCTATTTTTCAAAATATAGAATTCCTTCAGGATAATTGTATTTCATCTTTCAGCAGTGTGGAATAGCACCAGTATGCAAGCCAAACTGTGCTTGTAAGCATCTGCAGGCATGTCCAATTTCTGGCACACACATTACATGCAGATGGAATGAGTAGAAGCTGTTTAGCGAGTAAAATGCTAATACATTGACATGATTTTTTTTCTCTTGCTTGAAGTCAGTCATTCACAGTCATGTCAGTTTTGATGAATACTTCTTCCAGAAGCATTCAGATTCTTATTGGCAACTGAAATAGAGAATTTCAAGAGAGAATGAAGAATTTATAAAAATGAGATGTCATGTGAGACATTTGAGAAGCAACTGGTTCCGAATGGAAGCAGGTGCCGGTTGGGATTATGCCTTTGGGCTGGGGAAGCTGTATCATCCTTCTCTGACAATTGCATCCAAGTGGTGGGTTTTTATCACTCAGGATAATATAAAATAAATAAGATATTAAATATATTTGCTGGATGTAACAGAAGAAGCAGAGATAAGATGTCAGAATAAATGGCATTCCTTTCATTTGGACCCTGCCTGTGCTCATCATTTTTGAGTATCGTGCAGTACATTTCATAGCACAGGTCTGGGAGGAAATATAATACAGGGCTTTTATTTAAGCAGTCTCAAAGATTGGAAAGATGAATCTCCCATATGTAATCTGAAAATCTACTCAGTGATTTGAATTGGAGCTTACTCCCTATGCTGCTGAAGTTACGGAGTTTGTTGAGTAAGATGACAGCTTAAGATTCCCTTTTCTTTAGGAATTCCATTTTAGAATTGATACTGATTAAAACTTTCCCCCAATGCTGCCATATTTGTATGCTTCTGTATAGTGGCAGCAGACTCATCAAAACCTGGGACCCTTTCGAAACTGTGATTATTTCTGCAAAGAAGCCCTGTGATTTTTCTTAGTTTGTGATTCCATTGAACACGAGCTAATTCATCATTGAAAAATGAATGGGTTAACCAATTGCCTTCATGCTACTAACTTGGTCACCTTGAATCTAAATAGCAGTTTTTACAGCTGTTTATAAATTATCAGTGCTATCTTGTGACCTTCATGGAAAGTGGAGCCTAATAATTGATGACAGGGGAAGGGAAGTGAGGTCATATAGGAAACAAGCAGTTGAGTCTCTTATATTCCTTTATTTCAGATCAGTCTTTTATCTGAGGAAATAGTATGGGGAATATGTTCAACATGTTTTCATAAACAGCCACCTACTTGCAAAAAAAAAAAAACCCTGAATATTTGTAAACCATTTCCATATATTCCATACTCTGGTGATGGACAAAGTTTTGCCAGAGAGAAAATTCAATTTTGATTATTTTCTCTATCAGACCATGACATGAGCATCAGTTACAAAATTTACTGCCAAAATTCTCCTCATAATGAATGCAGTTTTTGAAGGGGGGAATAAGAAACTATTATCTTCTAGAGAAATGGCATCTTTGTTTTTTCAGTACTAGGATACATGATCAGCAATGTGTAAATGCTGATTATAAGTCTGGGGAAAAAATCATAAGATTGGTGGACAGTCTCTAGTTCTTGAAAAGTACAGGGTTGAGCTGTTTTGTTTCTGTTGTGGTGATAGTTGTGGTTATTTTCCATTAATACAAAACAGTCCCTGGTTTGGAGAACAACTTCTGTAATTCAAAGTACATTGTTATAGTCCAAGTCACTGCTCAGTGAATGTCTTGGTGTGCAAGACTATTACCTTAAACAGTTTTATATCTGTGGGTTGTATTCAGGTCAGTTTTAGCTTTGGGACAGAGGTCAGCAAACTTTTCCTATAAATGGCCATGAAATAAATATTTTAGATCATATGGACTTTGTTGCAATTACAATTCTGCTGCAGCATAAAAGCAGCCAGAGATGATGCAAATGTGCATGGCTGTGTTCCAGTAAAAGTGTATTTATGGATACTGAAATTTGAATATGTCATTTTCATGTGTTGTAAAGTATTATCTTTAAAAAATACATTACAAAAAATAAAAGCTATTCTTAACCCATGGGCCATACAAAAACAGATGGCAGGCTGGATTTGGCCCTCTAGCCATAGTTTGCAGAACCCTGCTTTAGGGTTATAATACTATTTGTGGTTCTTTCAGAGTTTCAAGGAAGAGAATATCGTCTCCTAGTGCTAGGCACAGTCATCCATTTCTCAGAGTTTTGCCATTTAATAGAAAAATGTGAATAGTTCTGTAATTGGTGTGCCTGTCTCCAGTATTCCTGGGATATGGTGCCTTGATGGTGTGCAGTTTCATTTAGCCTAGCCAGGCACTCTTCAAAGCTGTTAGTATCCTCAAGGCAGCATTGCTTTCATTACAGAAATTCTGAAGATTGATGAACCGGACTATGGACAGTCTGCTCTTTTGCCTCGAGTAAGCCTTTGAAACCTTGTCCCCCTCGTTCTATTCTAGACCTACCATCTGTGGCCGGTGAACTCAGGTTTTCCATTTAGAACAAGCCTCACACATTCCTTGATGGCATATGGCTAGGCCTCTAATGCATGTGTGTTGGCTAATTAAGGAAAAGAGATTTTTGCTAAAAATACAAGACAGGCCATACCTTGGTCAGGCTGGCTGCACATTAGCTACTGCTGTGGTCTGCCTACATTTGAGTTGTCAGTTGTTATGTAAAGTCTAAATTTCTAAAGGCTTTTTAAATAATATTTTTTTCCAATAATTTTGTTCAACATGGAATTGGATGGTAATAAAGAGGACAGAATGTAGAGGAATAACTGAATTTATTAAGGCATCATATTATTATTTAACCCAGTCTGTTATTTTTGAACCTATGTACTATTTCTTGTTGTTGCTTAATGTATTTTAAAAGTTATTTGTTTCTGATTCAGAGCAGAATCATGCAAATCCTTATAATTGATTTTGATTGTAGAGGATTTATAAAAGTCTACATAATGTTCATACAGAATTGTAGGGGGAAAGACTTCAAAGCATACCATCCAGAAATACATCCTTTATCATTTACTGCTTATACAGTGTCGTATTTTATACAGGTGCCCACACTAATGCTTACACATCATGTGTGTCTGTACTTGGCACCTGCCCTTCTTGAAATGTTTTTAATAGAACCAGCCTCATCAGAGTGCCTGAAGACGGCTGTAGAAAGGTTATGTTTTATGCTTCATCTTCAGGATCTGTAAGTCATTGACCTGTGGGCAGTAGTATAGTCACTTGTGCTGTCATATGACATATGCTGCATTCCTAAAAATGGCCACACCATGCAAAATCGCACAACAAAAGAAAATAACTTAGGGTTTGTGAGAAGAATGGGTTAGGGACACAACACTCAGAAATTTCATCAGTGACACTTTGAAAATAAGCTAGGAACCTAATAAAAACAGGAGCAGTTTTATACACATTAAATGGCTAAGAAATACATAGCTACTACAATAAATACGGCACTTGACCTTGAAATGGACCTAACATTTGCTTGTAGTGGCTGTTGCTGTGTTAGCTCAGACTGTCATAACAAAATACCGCAGACTGTGTGGCTTAACAGAAATGTATTTTCTCATAGTTCTGGAGGCTAAAAGTCCCAGGTGACATAAGTTTGGTTTCTCCAGGGCCTTCTTTCCCTGGCCTTTCCACCGTGTGTGCATATCCCTGGTGTGTCTTCCTCTTCTTATAAGAACACCAATCATATTGGAATAGAGTCCTACCCTTATGACCTAATTTAACCTGAATTACCTTATTAACAGCCTCATCTCCCAAGGCAGTCACATTGGGAGGTAGGGCTTCAACGTATGTGTTCTGGGGGCACACAATTCAGTCTGTAACAATGTCAGAAGGGTGGCAGTGAGTTACTGTGAAGTGCTGGAAGGAGGAAGATCTGAAATCAGAGGGAAAGTTGCAATGCCGGATGCGTGTGGCTCATAACTGGTGTGACTAAGGTAGCTTGGACATATTTGAAGAGAGTGTGAATGTGTGTGTGCGCGTGCACACGCGTGTGTGCATATATACTCCTAGGCCATTCAGTTCAGCCTGGTTCAGTTCTCTGTGTTCACCTAGTATTTCTGGCAGACAAAATCAGATATAAGCAAATATGAAATCCGTGTTAGGCTCACATTAGAAGACATTCACACTTTTACCACAAGCCTGGTAGCAGGACCAGTGGGTCAGTATGGTGGTGAAGGCAGTGGGCTGTGGAGCCTGGGAGTCTGCATTGGAGTCTTCTCTCTGATAAAAACCTCTCGGGTATTTGGGAGGGTTGCTGGCCACTGGATTCGTAAAATGGGCACATTAATAGTGTCTGCTTCATAGGGTTGTTGTGAAGACTAGATGAATTAATATATATAAATAAAGTGTTTAGAAAGATGTCTTGCCCATGGTATGGGGGTAGTGAGTGTCAGCTGCCTGAAGGTTGTCGGTTTCTGTTGTTACTCACTTTGGGGTATCAGGAGCAGCAGCAAATAGCTATTAGTCTGTCACAGCCATGCCCTGGCCACATGGCTTCCTCAGAGCCACAAGCATGCTACCTAAGAGAGGTGGCTCTGATGTCGATCATTTTGAGGAGGAGAGATCCAAGAAGATGCAAGGAGAGCAGATTCTCAATTTAGGACGAAGCTCTGATTCTGTGGAACCCTAAGGAGGCGGAATCCATGTGGATTCACAGGACTATCAACTTGGGCATTACTCACGCACAAGAAAAAGATGAAAAACCAACGCGAGTTCAGAGCCTCAGCACCTTTGGCTTGCTACTGTGTAGCGATGTGACAGAAGTGGATGAAGAAAGGTGTCCTACTTCAGTAGGGAGTGATGCCCACTGTGCCTCCAGAAGCCAGGACTTTTGAAGCACCACATGAGAAATGTCAGAATACACAGTGAATGTCTTTGAACTTCAGAGATTTTAAATTTACCCAGGTGATTCTGAAGAGGACACGGCTTGCCTGCACCAGGAGGGACAGAGGAACAAAGCCTGGTCCTCTGTGGTGCTGGCTTTAGTAAAGCCACCTCTGCTGGGGCCTGAACAGTCTGATCAGCCTTAGGAGGTCAGCGTGACTTCTGGGTACAGGAGTTTGCTCTTAAATGTAATATTTATTGGTTACCTCCTGTGTGCAGGAGAAGTACAAGAGGCAACTGATCTTGAACAAATTTGAGAGTGGGAATCGAATCTACCTGGTTCATGGTCTGGCTCAAGCTCTGTTACCCCTAGCAAGTCTTTTAATGTTGCCAAGCCCCAGATTTTTCTTCTGTGAAAGGAGAATAATAGCTACTATTTATAAAGTCATTTGGGATTAAGTGAGGGGATGTTTGTCTAATGTGCATCTCTCAGTGCTTGGTTCCCTTTCAAATGTGGTTGCAAAGTTGAGTAAGCAACAATTTCTGACCTTGCAGAACTCACAGGGACAATTGATTCTGCGCATTGGTAAAGTTATTTAATATCTTACAGGGAGCCATCAATTGTAATACTCAAGCAAAGTGGTTTCCTTCTAGGGCCCCTTCCTTATGGCTCCAGTTATGGGTTATTCTGGGCCTTGTGTCTTACTTTGCCATCAAGAGAATTACATTTTAGATTGTTGAAAAGGAAGCACTCTGTTACTTCCTCTTGGGAATCCCGTCTGGCTTGCCCTCTCTTGCTCTCCTTCTCTTTCATGCTTCCTTCCTCCCTCCTTTGCAGTCACTTCCCATTGTTATAGGGGTAGGTGCCTTCTGCTTGGAGCTGGAGTGTTTGATTTCCTCCTGGCTATTCGCCTTGCGGTTATTAGCTCATGGTAACCACATCCTGGCAAGGATTAAAAGAATCTTCAACCATTACTAATTTGTCTATTTGTCCTGAAACTTGGCGCATTGCACATGGCTCCTGATATTCGAATATAACACCTAGGAATGTAAGGGTGAAGGAGTTTGTGCATAAGATGGTGGTAGTGGAGGATGGGCATTTGGACTAAGTAACAGGGTATCAAGCCATTTCTCAAGTTGGAATGATTTGAGCAGATTCCAATTGACTATTGAAAGTAGGTTTGTGAGGTTTATTTGTAGGCCTTCCCACATCCAAATTCATAATAAGCCCTCCACATGATAGGAAACTTAACTAAAAGCAATTGGAGCCAACTACTTTTATTCTATTTGATTTTTAAAATTTTTGTAGGTACATAAATGGGTATATGTATTTATGGGGTATGTGAGATATTTTGACATAGGCATGCCACATGTAATAATCAGATCACAGAGTAAATGGGGTATCCATCACCTCAAGCGTTTATCCTTTGCGTTACAAACAATCCAATTATACTCTTTTAATTATTTTTAAATTTACAATTCAGTTATTATTGACTGCAAGGTGAGCTGCTGGCAAATTACTGTAGACTTGGGCACTATTTCTTATATTGCCTATTTACAATGTCCTAGCAGTGGACAAGGGAGGCTGTTTACTGCTGTTAGGGTTCAACTGTGTAGAAAAGCTAGTGTACTGTTCCATGGAGGATATACTGTGATTGAGGGGATGTTGCAGCATTAAACACTTGGTACACCATGACACACAGGCCAAGGTTAACAGCAGGATTGGCATTAGAGGCTCAAGTCTTGGCCATATTCCTTAATTCTGCAAAGTTCTCTAACTCCTGTATGCCTTTAGCCACAGTTGTAATGAAGTTGCATATTTTCAGCTTACATATTAGTATATAATAGGTTTTCTTGCAGATGTAGTGGGCATTAATGCTGGCAGGAGACTTAGACCCTGAGAAGGGAGGGGAAAGAAGTATTTATTGAGGTATTTATACAGTTCAGTTGCTGTGATGGAGCCTTTACATTTAAATAACAATCCTTTGTAATATGTTAGATATTAAAAGTTCTTCTCACCCACAAATAAAGAGAAGTAAAGAGAGGTGGAATACCTGACCCAACACCACACAGCTACTAAGCAGCAGAGCTGGGATTTGTACCCAGCTGAAGCACAATGTTAGAGAAATTCAGTAATAATATAATATTTTACGTATATATATAATATTATGTATTATATAATAGAAAATAATGTATTATTTTACTGCCTGCAGAGCAAACATGGAAAGGGGGCAGTTTGGTCTTTTATTTGCTCATGACAGCCTCCTTTCTCTTTCCTTTCCACCTCCAACTTATGAAGGGCTGGAGTTAAATTTGTTGCTTTCTCCTTGCCACCCATATTGCACTTCTAGTTGTTCTCTACTAGAGCACTTGGAGACTTGCCGTGTTCGCTGTTTGCATCCATCTCTGCTGTTTGACCGTCAATACCTTGAGTTCTGGGACTGTGTCTTATTTATCTTTTCATCCCCACCACTCAGCACAATGTCTGGTGCTTTGTAAGGCCCCCCAAAATGTCCAGTGAATGAGTCAATTAACTGGACTTCAGGGATTGAAGTGAATCTCTAGGGACTAGAGGCCTGACTCTAATTAGAGAAAGCTTGAGTTTATTCTTTCAAATGGTCCTAGGGAAGACTGAGAAGAGGAAGGAGGAGGCAGGAAAGGGTTTCTGGAGGAGGTGACACTGCTGAATTTTCAATGGTGGTTACATGGACCAAATGGAGAAAAAAGGGGTGACTGGGGCACCAAAATTTCACAGATCACCACAAAAGAACATACTCATGTACCCAGACACCACCTGTACCCCAGTAACCTATGGGGGAAAAAAAGGATAAAATCACTGTTTTCTGGTGCTCAGAGTTTAAAGAGGAATCAGGCACAATAATTTAGCAGACAGCAACAGGAGCATCTAGCTTTCCCTGGGGACAGGGCTGAGTCATCATATTGCAAATGAGTGAGTGCTTGTTGGGTAGCAAACCAGATTTGAAATCAACAAATCTAAGAATTGGTCAATGTAGAGAGCTTCTTGTGAATAAATTTTATGATAGATTTGGGGGACAGAGTTACTATTGAAGTATATAGGCTAAGTGGGTTATATTACAATTTATATTATTTTTATTTTTCAAAGGAACAGTGTTTATCTAGTGATACCCATGGGACAAGTGACCATCCTGTAGTAGGATTCTGCCAGACATTCCAACCTTGGCACATATACCATTAAGCCTTGCAGTGTTTATCATTGTTCTAGGTGCCGGGAGTCACTGAGATTGGAAATGCCTTATTTAGGACCTTTGGTGCTCATTATCAGTGGAACCCAGCTTTCATGCAGATCTGTCATGGAACCTTCTCTCAGTTCTCCTTTCCTTCTCTGTGGGTGGCTGGGGGTGGAGCAGGAGTAGGTGAGGGGTTGGAGCAGGCCCCAATAGTAGGAGTGGTTTTGGCTTGTATCAGGTCCCACTAAGTGATCTGAAGCCTGGGATATGGTTTGCAGAAAAATAGAAACTGAGTGAGAAATTCTCAGTGTATGAGGAATGTAGGCTATGTAGTATTTTATGAGAAGGTAGGAAGGGATTAAAACTGCACCTGTAGCACTAGTTGATAGGTCCAAACAGATCTCCAGAAGTAGCCAAATGCAGAATTTCTTCTAACGTTGTCCTTTAGATGTACTTTTCAGTGGACACTCGTATTTCCCTTCCATTATTCATTGAGATAGTATTGCTCTACTGTTTCCTCTCCCATTTTAGTCGGGGAAATGTGTCCAACTTGAACTAATTTCAGTTCTTACTGATTCTAGTTCTGAAATAAGACTTGAACTTATGTGCATCATTTCCACTGGATTGATTTAAAAATAAAATATTGTCTTATCTGGAATTATGAAGCGTTTACATGAATCCTGGCTAAATCTTTGGCGTATTAAAACCCAAAAGCTTCTCTTACTCCATGACAGTAAGTTGTTCTTTCTGTTTCTTTCCAATACTTACGTGGCTCAATAAGTTTTGTGTGTGTGTGTGTGTGTGTGTGTGTGTGTGTGTGTGTGTGTGTCAAGCATTTACTATCTGCTGGGTTCTGTATTTGCTGCTAGATGGGAAAACAGGATCTCTTCCCTTGATACATAAATGGTAATATCTCTTTATTTTATCATCATCCTTAGGATGAACAAACAATCCTTCATTTCCTTATCCATAAAACAAGGCGATAACCTTAAAAACCTGATAAAGTTGTTATTTAATATAGTGATTAAATAAAATGATTCGTGTAAAGCACCTACGATATTGCCAAACACATAGTCAGAGCTCAAGAAAACTAATTAATTTTGATCAATTCAATTAGTATTAAGGGCTGCCAAATGAATTGAATTCACCTACCTAATCAAATAATACCATTCTAAGCTTGCTTAATACTCTTGGGTATACATTAGTACCATGCCTTTTATCGGGGCTTTGTTTCTATTAAATCCCCAAATGTTTGAAGGTATAATTATTTGGCAGATTTGATATGATGATTTTTGTTGGAGGAGTTAAAGCTCATAGTTTTATTTTCTTCTTCTTTTCCTTCTTTAAAGAAAAGCTTCTTGTTGAGAACATGATTTTCTGGCTTTCTGACTTTTAAAGTGGCATGTAATTTGAAACTGTGGTTCCTTACTTGTCTAAACAGTAGGGTGAGGTCCTTGTGGTAGAACTGGGAGGTTTCTATCTTAGGCCAAGAGGACAGCTCTGACTGCCAGCTCTACCTGCCTGTCTCTAGCACTAACCAGCCTCCTCAGCCTCGATTTCTTGAAACTTAACCTGAGTCAAAATAGTACCTTGAATTTAAAATGGGGCCATTAGAATTGTTCAAAACACATAGAGCACTGGTGCCTTATGTATTAGTCCGTTTTCACACTGCTATAAAGATATTACTGGAGACTAGGTAATTTATAAAGAAAGGAGGTTTAATTGACTCACAGTTTCTCTTGGCTTGGGAGGCCTTAGGAAACTTACAATCATGGCAGAAGGCAAGGGAAAGCAAGGCAGGCACGTCTTACATGGTGGAAGGGGAGAGTGAGAGTGAGGAAGTGCCACTTCCTCACTCTCTTTAAAACTATCAGCTTTCGTGAGAACTCACTCACTATCAGCAAACTGCCCCCATGAACCAATTGGCTCCCACCAGATCCCTCCCTTAACATGTGGGGATTATATTCTGAGATGAGATTTGGGTGGGGACACAGAGCCAAACCATATCACCTTGTAAGCACATAATAAATGTTAGCTATTATACTAGTGATAGCACTATAGTAGCACTGTGATTGCCTCTGAAGCAAAGAAGGGCCTTCTCTGTGTGGACTCCCTTCTTGAACAAGTTTTTATTCTTTTCCTAAGAATTTTATGAGAATTTATAACAATCCATTTCTCTCTGGCTTGTGCTGTCAGGTGGGGCTGCCATGCTTCTTCTCACCCCTTGGCCTTTGCTCAAGTTCTGCCCACCTGCCCCAACCTGGGATGCCCTTCCCCTACTGTGACAAATACCTGCCTCTCCATTAAGACTCAGTTCACCTTCATTTAGGAAACCGTGGATATTTACTGGGTGACGACTCTATGCCAGGAATGGTACTTAGTGTCTAATGAAGTTGCCTTAGAGAGGAGCACAGAGCGTTTATTTGTGGTAACAGGAAGGGAGTCCAGGCAGGGACATAGGGAGGTAGAGTTAGGTAAGTCTCTCCTGGTTGTCTCCATCATCCCAGTGAAATAGGAGACAGGGACATCAGAGGAGAGCAAATCATAAGCTGTGTGGCCTCCCCTGCTCCATGAAGGACGCCTCCTACCCCCATTCTCTTTTTCCCAAGCAGAGTTGATGGTCCCCTCATTTGTGTGCCCCTTTAATAGTAATGGCAACAGCCCAATGCTCTTGCTTAACATTTCTTTTTTATCTGCAGACTGTAAATTCCTTCATGACAAAGAGCCAGTCTTATCCTTTTTTGAGAACCCAGCACCTAGGACTGATTTGCAATGTGTTTGTTTCATTTACTGCCCAAATACATTTTGAGTGCCTACTTTATGCCCAGCGGTCTTGTAAGTGCTTGGGATATGGTTTACATTTCACTGGGGAAGGACACAGTAGACAAATTCTCCCCATTATCTTCCCTTCAATTTCTTTTATATTTCTATTTCTTTCCAGATACAGTCCAATCAAGATTTGTACATTAAAGTTCTCTTAATTTTTTTGTTTTGAAACAATTTTTTTATTTTGAAAACTTATAGAGAAGTTTGAAGAATAGTATAAAGAAATCCTGTATAAACCCACCCAGATTCACCACTGTTAACATGATGCCATACTTGCTCTGATGTTTTTTCTGTTCCTTCTGTACAAGTGTGCACACACACCTATACACACATACATACATACATACACATATGTTTTTCATGAACTGTTTGAGTGGAGGCCTCAGATTACACTTTATTTTGAAGATAAATAGAATCTTCTGGGAGATTGGTTGTGTGGTATGAGAGAAAGTGAGAATTCAAGAATGACGCTTGGGTTTTAGCCTAGGCAGTTAGACAGAAGGAGTTGCCCTTGAGTGGGTTGAGGAAGCGTGAGGGAGGAGCAAACCTGGGGAGAAGTCCAGGATTTTGATTTTGGTCATGTGAATCTGGAGGTATCTATTAGATATCTATGCAGAGGAGTGCTGTAGGCAGCTGGATAGGTGAATGCACAGTTCAGGGAGGAGGTGTGGACTTGGCAGTTGTTGGTGAATAGATAGTGTGTAAAGCCTCGAGACGGTGCGAGATCTCAAAGAGAGTGAGGGTAAGTAGAGGAAACATCTGAGGATGGAGGCTTGAGACAGCCTCGTATGAGAGGTTATGGAATTGAGGAGGAGCTGATAAAGGAGGCTGTGAAGGAGATAGGTGAGTGAGGAGGCCAAGAGAAGAAGACATTCATCGTTGGCTGTGTCACTACTCACAGTCCATGTAGCAACATGCAAGTCATTCGGTGTCTGCCAAGAGCAGTTTGGGTGGAAGGTCTTAAGACAAAATGGAGGAGAGAAGTTGCAATGTGGGAACTCTCGAGAGGTTTGTTATAAAAGAGAGGTCCAGAAAAAGAGAATAGTCATTAGAGGAGGAATTTGGGGTTAAGGATTTTTTTTTAACAAGGGAAAAATGATGGCTTGTTTGTATACTGATGGGAATGATCCAGCAAAGAGGGAAAAATGGATGATGCCTGAGAGGAGAGAAATGGCAAGAGCCGAGCCTTGCCCAGGCAGGAGGCGCTGGGGTGTGGAGCACAGTCAGGAGTTGCCTTAGAGAGGAGCACGGAGCATTCATTTGTGGTAACAGGAGGGAAGTCCAGACAGGGGCATAGGGAGGCAGAGTCAGGTAAGTCTTTCCTGGTTGTCTCCATCATCCCAGTGAAATAGGAAATGGGCATCTGAGGAGAGTGAAGAGGGAGGAGGAAGTATTAGCATTTTGAGGAGTGGGGAGAAAGTGTGAAACAATTTTCTGGAGGTGTATTGATTAATTTCTTTGTTTGGCCTATCTGCATGTGGGTGGCAGATAGTGAGGGCGAGGGACACAAGTACATTGTCGTTTCTGGGGAATAAGAGGTGTAGGTGCCAGTAGGGTGCGGTCACTCACAAGTCACTATGTCCCAGTCCAAAAGCCCAGGAGTGGGGTGGAAACTTCACAGTGTGATGAATCACTATAGGAATGGGAAACTAGGTTGAAAGCAGCGTTGGGAGGTTTGGAGCCCTCGCTCAGATATTTGGTGCAGATTAGCTGCAGGCATTTGTCAGACCAGGCTGTGGAACTGATATCAACCAGTAAACTTTTTTTTTTTTTTTAATCATTTCCACATTGTTTACAGGAAGAGAGAGGGCAAGTCTCTTATGTCCCTCAGTCAGTCTGTAGCTTTTGAAGATACTGAGGATGTAAAACCAACCTATGGAGCCTACTTTGCATATGACCACCTTGAAGGAAAACGTTACCATGTTCATAAAGTACTTTTGTGTCTTTTAGTTCATTATCCAGTAAGCTGCTGAGGTAGTAAATTTTTGTTAAATTGGATGATGTTCCATTCTAAACTCCCTTCTCTCCTAAGAAATTCTGTGCCACATACTGAAGATGCTTAAGCTGCCACATGAATTTCTCTTGAGTTTTAGATGATTTGATGCATTAGATGTTTTTATTTAATTTAAGCTTTTAATTTCAGGAAGCACATCCAGATATGCCTGCAGCCAACCAGACAGTTTTCTAAAGCTGTATAAAAATAAGAGAGAAAGGAGAGAAAAGAAAAAAAGCAGCATGTTTTTATTTCTTTTCTAGTTTTTTCTCTTTATACTTTGCATATTATATCCTCATTAGGTGTTTTAGATCCAGGTTTCTTGCTTTTAAAAAAAGGTTTTACTTGGAAGACAACCAAATAAGCAAATAAAAACCGTAAGGGATGCATTGTAAAATCCTATGGGTGTAAATTTTCTTGGTGCCTAAAAAGTAATCCTCGGCCTCTGATAATTATCTCAACATTTTTTTCCTAACATTATTAAATGTCTCTGTTTACAAGATATGATTTCATGGCTGAACTCAAATCAGAGACTTATATATAAATATAATAAAGTTTTAATCTGAACAAGAACAAAATAACAATTCCTTTGGTTAAATATAATAAAGGTTTAATCTGAACAGGAACACAATAATTCCTTCGGTTATTTTTATTATGAAAATTTTGATTGCCCAAAAGAAGAGAGAATAGTATAATGAATTCCCATGTATCCATCATACAGCTTTGACAATGGTACACATTCTGCCATCTTCTTATGATATTAATTTTTAAAGGGAAAGTTGTAAAAATTATTTTGAAGACTTTGGTATAGTATATATTTCTTGGGAGGAAAAGTGGTGGTGTGATTGTCAAGGAGCCCGTGGAGTTGGGGGGGCACTGGAGAGCAGCCCTCACTTTTTTTTTATAGATAAAACATATGGGATATAGGTTCAAGGTAATGTATTTAATATGGGTTGGGGCTTTCAAATTAGAGACCTAGAGCTTGCAAAGGTGTTTTTAAAAAAATCCTGTCTCTTAGTTCTCCATGGCCTCAAGTCCACCAGAGTCACCAATACTTCTTTTCCAATTCCTTCCTTGCGTGCCATGCTCTAGTAAGAATGAACTGCTCAGAGTTATCTGTGCATTCCATCCCAGGGACCTCCACACCCCCTTTTCTTCTACGTTTGATTCTTACTCATTTCTTTGAAGTCTAGCTTAGGCACCCTTTCTCCTCTGAGATTTCTACTCATCACCCCAACCCTTGCCTGGCACAGGTATACCCACCTGGAGCTCCCATGAGAGCCCTCCCCGTCTCTGCTGTGCTCTGGATTAAGATCCAATCTGGAAACCCTGGCCTGCAGGGCTCTTCATGGTCCAGATCTGGGCTGTGGACCTGCCTGACTTCATCTCTCCCAGCTCCTCTCGCTGCGTGTCAGTGATGTCAAGGTGCTCTCTGCTTGCTGGGCTCGTTCCTGCCTCTTGGCCTTTGCGCTTGCTTTCCCATCATCCTGGAACGTTCTGCTCCACATTTTCAACTTTCTGCATCTCCCTAGTGCCCCCCAATCCATAGTCCCCTTGATAATCACAACGCCACTTTTCCGCCCAAGAAATATACTCTATGCCAACTTCTGCGCTAATCATTGTCTTAGTTTGACTCACATCCTTGCCATTTAACAAGTATTCCCAAACACTATAATTTAGTTTTGCCTATTTAAAAACCTAATACAAGTAGAATGTGCTTAGATGTGTTTCTTATAGATAACATATGGTGGGATTTTGTTTTATTCAGTCCGGACACATTTGTTTTTTTTCCACCAGATCTTATTTCATATGTGCTTAATATAATCATTTTTACATGCTTTTACATCTTCATCTTGTTTTGTGCTTTCTATTTTTGCCTATTTTATGTTCTTTCTCTCCCTTTTCTTGACTTGATTCCATTTTCCCTTTTAGTTTTGAAATTATAGACTCAATTTTTAGTTATTTTGGTGGTTATCCTAGAAATTACAACGGGTATACCTAAGTTATCAAAATCCAATGTTGACCCCTCTTTTACCCTCCTAGAAAATCCAAGGTGTTTAGAGTATTTTATTTCCATGTTCCCTCTTCTGACTTAAGTTACTTTTGTCATGCCTTTTATTCTGTATTTTTAATCTTAGAGACATTATTAACCTTAAACAACAGAGACAATTTTTTAAAGATTTGCACACATATTTACCACTTTTTTTGTTTTTAATTCATTTTTGTACCCAGACCTTCCATTTGGAATCACTTTAATTTTTGTCTGAAGATCCTTGAGGCCTGCTAGAGATGAAATCTCTTGGTTTTTGTTGTCTGAAAATGAGTTTATTTCTTCCTCATTCTTGAAGATTTTTTCTCTGAGTATAGAATTCTAGTCTAGCAGTTATTTCCTTTCAGTATAATGATTATATCATCGCACTGTCTTCTTGCTTACATGCTTGCCACAGAGAAGCCATAGTCACTCTGTCATTCCTTTGAAGATAATGCCCTTTTTATCCCTGTAGGCTTCAAGATTTTCCCCTTAGTCTTTGTCTTTCTGTATTGCAATTAAAAATATATGTATTCCTCTCGAGATTCTCTGGGCCTTCTTAAATCTATGAATCTATGGATTGCTATCTTTTTTTTTTTTTTGAGATGGAGTCTTACTCTGTCACCCAGGCTGGAGTGCAGTGGTGCAATCTTGGCTCACTGCAACCTCTGCCTCCCAGGCTCAAGCAATTCTCCTGCCTCAGCTTCCCAAGTAGCTGGGATTACAGGTGAGTGCCACTACACCTGGCTAACTTTTATATTTTTAGTAGAGACAGTGTTTCACCATGTTGGTCATGCTGGTCTTGAACTGCTGACCTGTAGTGATCCACCTGCTTTGGCCTCCCAAAGTGCTGGGATTACAGGCGTGAGCCACCATGCCTGGCCCAATTGCTATCTTTATCAGTTCTGGAAAATTCTCAGTCATTACTTCTTTAAATATTGCTGCTTCTCTACTCTCACTATTTTCGTTTTCTGTAATTACAGTTAAATGTATTTTAGATCCTCTCACTACCCTCATGAGTTCTAACTTCCCTTCCATGTTGTTCATTGTTTCTGTTTCTCTGGCCATATGTTAGATGTCATCTGACATATCTTTCAAATCACTAATTCCCTTTTAACTATTTCTGTTTATTATCTTCTCCTTCTAGTTTTTAGTTTGGTTAATATATATTTTTATTTATAAAAGTTCTGTTTCATCTTTTAAAAACCTGCTTGTTCAGTTTTCATAGTTTCCTGTTCTTTGCAGATACTTTTTATGTGGTCTTTTATTTTTTTACATAGGGGAAGCATAGTTGTTTTACAATCTGTATTTGACAGTTCCAGTATTTGCGGGTGTGTTTCTGATTCTGATTCATGGAACCTGTTTTTCCTTGTGTGCTTAATTGTGTACTACTCTTTGTTCTTAGGAAATATTAAGGAGGGAGAATCTTGAGGCCTAGGAAGATGATGATTCTCTCAGAGAGTTTATGCTTATGCTCCTGTCCGGCATGGACGATACCCCAGCCCAGGATCACCCCAGACCAAGCACATGACTTACCATGACTCCCAGGCCCACCTGGGCTAACTCCCCATGACCGTAACCACCTTGGTCATGATCACAGTTGTGGGTCTCTTACCACAACTTCTCATGGTGTTATTTTCCTTTCCCTTTTTCTCTTCTTCTGCTTAGTGTCAAGGCAACCATCCCTGAAGTTTCCCAGAATTGGGGGTAGAGGTAGGGTTTATGTATGGCACACACTCATCCTATGGATGTTATATCTTGGGGTCCCAGCTTAATATGCGCAGTGTCTTCTATAATATCCTCCACATTAGGTAGGCACTGGGCCTAGATTCTTCCCCCTTTCCTCCAGGGGCTGCCAAAACAGAAACCCAGATTAACTCATGGTGGAGATGCCTTTGGGCCAGAAGGAGCTGTGGTGTTCTACTTAGGTCTCTGGGTTCCTAGTTTCCCTTAGATTTTTATCCTGAGAGCTTCTTACTATCTTGTCACCTCTGATGCTTTTAAGGATATTTTTTAAGTTGAGAAGTTTAGTTGTTTTAAATAGAGAGCAAGGGGTTTGTCTGACTAGCCTAGCCTGCTGTGTCTGGGAAAGGAAGTATTAATAAGACCTTAAATCATTTAATAACTATCATCTAGTACTGAAAAAAAAACGCGTGCTATGCAAACATAAGGTTTCAAATGTGGTCAGTCAGGATTTTGAAAACTAGAATTTTCATACACCTTTATTTTACGTGATGCATTATTTTAATATTGATGTGAAGTTAAACAAGGTCAGTTTGACCTTGTGTCCAGTGCAATTCCCAAATTTGACTGCTGCAGTTTACTGAAATTGCATACATACAACAGCTTTAGGTGCCTGGATTCACAGTGAGCTAGTGAAATAGCTGGTGATTTCATAGTGAGCCAGTGAAATAGCCATCCTTCCCAAGCACCCACAGTGTACAGTTATGGTATAGAGGGGCCTTGATGGGCATGGCCTTTGAAAGACATGAAAGCTATAGATTAGCCTATATTGTTGTCTGGTATGTAGTAGGTAATAACTGACAAACAGACAATTGCCTAACATGTGCCAGAAAACAACATAGGCAAGGCTTGCAGTTACAAAATAATGCATAGACAAATGTACATTTAATCAAATTTGGCTGGCTTGAGGGAATGGTTGATATACACAGCACAGACTGATCAATTTGGTAGTGTTAAGCAGAAAATCGCTCTTATAGGACAAGAATCTTGTAAAATTTTGAACCTTAGAAATATGCACTAATGACAGTGTGGTGTAGGAATAGATAGTGATGGGGAGGGCGTCGAGACAGGTACAAATAAGTAGTGTGTGTTGATTGACGGGCATGTCCTTTTGGCAAAGAGAGACTCCACCAAGAAAGTGATTGGGAAATGAGCTAAGAAAAGTGTGAGAGAAGAAGACACTTCAGTTCTGACATTCAAGAAACAGCCCCACTCTGATTTGGATAGGGGCAAAGCCTAACTATAGATCATTTTTCAGCCAACTACAGAATCTTTTTAGCTTTCCTTGCTTCTTTTTCATTTGCTTTCTCTTTCGAATTTGAGGAGTAGATTGCAGTTTAACCACATGCTATGAGCTCAGGCCTCTTGGGTGGCCTCCCTGGGTCTTAGACCAAACCAGTCATTAGGCTTTTAGAGAATAATTTTAAAATGCCATCCCTTAATATTGTCAGGGTTGTTTGAACTATGAGAAGAAGATAATGAGCATGAAGCAGGACCTTTAGAGGACTAGGTTGTCTGGAGTTTGTAGTTAGTTGAAAGGCTACAGGGTCCATTTATTCCTGTAATTTTATTTGCCTTCCTGCTCTGATGTATCATTATTTGTCATCCATGGATATGGAATTCATTCTATCATTCAATAAAATGAATGCTGACTCTGTGCTGGCTGCTTTTCGAGGCCTTGTGAATATTCTCTGTTTGGCGATTATTGTAATGGCCTTTTGCCATCATGACCTGGCCTTTTGCCATCATGACAGCATCTGACATGTACTGACATGTACTGAATACTTAGAATGTACCAAGATCGCTTCCTTAGTCATCTTATTTAATCCTTCCAACACTCTCATTGGGTAGATGATTTTACCCTAATTTTCAAAAGGTTAAGCAGTTTACCCACGATAGGTAGTGAGAGTCAGGATCTGTGTGTGACTGGCCCTAATGCCTATGCTTCCTAAGTAATTTCCTAAGTAATCAAAGCTGCTTTTAAGATTAACTTTCTCCAAAGATGCAGGTATTGCTCATTCCTTTTTTATAGCTGAGTCACAGACATAATGAATACTGCCAGTGAGCTGCAGTGAAACTGTATCTTTAAAAGAAAAATGTTTTTTAGGTTTCTCAATTCCCATGTTTTTGCTGTTTGCGTGATACCCCTCTGTGGAAATTAACAAACCTTTTGCTGTTGGTTTTTCAGTAATATCTATCTACATAGAAAAACTTCACAGTGGAATCTGTTTGTGTAATATGTGTGAGAGAGAGAAAGACAGACATAATGCTGTCATGATTAGTAAGCCATGACCAAACTGTATGTGCACATACACACAGCTTCTGTGGGTCTCACTGAGACTAAATTTGGCCACACATTCCCTAATTTATTTTTACACAATTTCCCTGTTTCACTGTAGACCTTTTCCCTAACATCAGTTTATCCCAACGACTCTGTCAAAACAGATAATAGTGGGGCACCAATTACTTGGAGTTTGATAACACTATTTGAATTAAAATCTATTCACATACTTCAAGGCATCCTTTCACTGAAATTGAGAGGTACTCATTGGCAACTTGATATGGAGAATTTGGGGCAAATTCCTTTTTTAACTCTAGACATCAACAAACAAAAATGGCTGCAAGAAATTGTGGGGTTTTTTGTTTGTTTTTTGTTTTATGACACAAAGTAGTTAAGAGCAAGGCTTGGATTAGTTTCCTGTGAAATGGTTGGAGGAAGTAGAAAATATGTAAGTGAATATTATCTCTGGATTTATGGCTGCACTCATTGTCAATTTTTGAGCTCTCATTGAAAGAGATGGCAGAAAGAGTTAGCAGGATTTCATCTCCTGTCTTAAGGATTTAACAAAAAGAAATGCCAACTCCATATTTGCTGAGCTATAACAGGTGGTTGATTCTTCCAGTTGAAGTGGTACTGAGCATGCAAATGGTTTGTGTTCCTTGACCCATGTCAGGAAACACACAACTCACTGATTCTCTGGGGCCCAGCCATTGATAGAAGTGGAGATTCATGCTTACAGGCTGCTGAATGAACAGCACCTGCCTGGGCCCAGATAGAATGAGTTTAAGACCAGATTCTTGGTCACCCTCCTTCCTTCACTCATTCATCTAACAGTATTCATCAAGCACATATCATATGCTGGGCAATAGGTGCAGGAGACAGTGATGGACAAGGCATGGTGTCATTCCCCAAGGAGCTCATGTTCTACGTTCTTCTGCTATCCCTGTCTCTTCCCTGAAAAGTATGGTCTAATGATTAAATGCTCAGGCTACGAAGTCAGACAGATCTGAACTAAAGCCTTCTGCTTACCAGATGTGTGATGTTGGCCAAGCCAATTCTGCCTCAGTAAGACTCCCTTTCTTCATGTACAACATAGGTGGAAGGCAGGTCATATAGGGAAAGGTCTTTTCACCATGCCTGTGGTGTGGCAGATGCTCCATAGATGTTACCTAGCACCACTGAAGTTTTCTAATTGTTATGATTACATTCTGACCCTAGGGTTTGAGGAAAAAAGAAAAGTGTTTGAAATAAATGGGAAGAATGTGGATCATGGATATGCCAGAAGGAAGAACCAGAAGCTCATAAAGACAGAGTAGAAGTCCATCAGAAAAATAGGTGGGCTGGTCCTTCACAAATCTTGGGCCACGTCTCCCTGTGTGACATCTTTCCCCTTCCGGGCATCATTTCAACCTGATTTCTTTAAGTTCAAATGTTGCACAACTAGGGAGGGAAATGTTGCACAACTAGGGCATTTAGATTCTGCAATATACGTTATCTTGAGTGCCATCCTTGCTAATGGCAGGTTAAGATACTTTAGTTTTTTGAGACAGGGTCTTACTCTGTCACCCCAGCTGGAGTACAGTGGCATAATCACGGCTCACTGCAGCCTTGACCTCCCAGGCTCAAGTGATCCTCCCATCTCAGCCTCCCAGTTAGCTGGGACTACAGGCTTGCACCACCACACCTGGCTAATTTTTGTATTTTTTTTTTAGAGATGGAGTTTTGTGATATTGCCGGGGCTGGTAAGATACCTTTAAAAAAAAAAAAAAGGAAAAAGGAAGCTTACCATGTGTAGTGCTGTCTTTTAGATAGTCGAAGATGACACTTTGATTTACAATTAAAGAAAATCAGTACTAAAACAACGTTTCTTTCCTTTGCCCATTATAAAACACCCTTTGAAAGCATTTGTATAAAATATGCCTCATTTTTTTTTTGGTGGAAGCCATGTTATTTTCAGTGGAAATGAAGATAATTGCAAATTAGATTTTGCCCAAGTATATATAAGAGGTGTGCATTTTATTGTTTTTCCTCCTTATGTACCTTGAGGGAAGTTTCAGAAGGCTGTCCGATCTTCAAATATAGCAAAGACTGTGTTTATTGGAAATATTTTAACTGTGGAGTTACCCAACACTAGACACATAGATAAAATGATTGTTTGGGGTCCATTTTTTCATTTTATTGTCCATAAGTTTCACACGTTGTCATTGGCTTTATGGTTCTGAAATTCAGGCTTGAATTCTGTCTGTACCCCTGATAAGCACATGTCCCTGAGGAAATCCCTTAATTTTTTAAGCAAATTTCCTGTCATAAAAAGTGAGAAGAATGTTACATATTTCAGAGGGCCATTGTGAGATTTAAATAATATAAAGTGTTAAATTTCTTGGCACATTCCTTGATATATACTAGGGGTCCTTAATAAATGTTTATTGAGGTCAGGCATGGTGGCTCACGCTGGTAATTCCAACACTTTGGGATGCTGAGGTGGGCGGATTACCTGAGGTCAGGAGTTTGAGACCAGCCTGGCCAACATGGTGAAACCCTGTCTCTACTAAAAATACAAAAATTAGCTGGGCATGTTGGTGTGCGCCTGTAGTCCCAGCTATGCGGTGGGTAGGGGAGCTGAGGCATGAGAGTCCCTTGAACCTGGGAGGCAGAGATTACAATGAGCCAAGATTGTGCCAGTGCAGCTGGGCTGAGCGATAGAGCAAGACTGTCTCAAAAATAAATAAATATAAAATAAAATAAAATATAAAGTAAAACAAAATAAAAGTTTATTGAAATGGAATCATTATGTCTGGTTTCTTCATTCTCAGATGCATATTACACTTTGAGATTTGCCCCTCTGTGGATTTCATGAAATTGTGTTACAAATGACCAGGGCTGACCTGAGGAGATCATATCCTGTGGTAGTTACTGAACAGGGTAGCATACCAAGTGGTATGACATGATTATTTTGATGATGTGTTGGTTACACCAATTCAGGAGCCAGAGATGGAGTTGAAAATAAGCGCAGAGCAGTGCTGCTCCTTGCCAAGGGCCTTTGTGTAATGAAGGTTTTCTTGGCCTCTGCCTCAATGTCAAGTGATGATTGTGTTAAGTGCTTTTTCTTCTCTGTTTCCTTTGGCCAGAGGTAGTTGCTAAGTGTCAGCTCCTGGCTGTGAAAAACCGTCTTTGCCTTTCTGGAAGGAGTAGTTTGAGAAAAAAAATGCTTCAGTGAAGGCATGTGGTATACAGGCAAAGTTGGTGTGATTAATATGTAATACAATTAACATATTAATATATAATATGATTAATATATAATATAGTAAGTTTTTAAAGAAGTTGAGGGCTTTTCATTTTAATGTATGATTTTCTTAAATTGCATTTTAACAAGTAGAACATCATAATGATATAGTAGTATAACATTATTATTCTTGCCAAAATTTATTGCGCTCCTGCTCTGGGCAAGTACTGCTCTAGGTGCTTTATTATTTCATTATATTTTACAGACAGTGTTTCACTCTTGTTGTCCAGGCTGGAATGCAGTGGCGCAGTTATAGCTCACTGCAGCCTCGACCTTCTGGGCTCAGTGATCCTCCGGCCTCAGCTCAGACTGAAGATGTATGCCACCATACCTGGCTAATTTTTTTTTTTTTTTTTGGTAGAGATGGGATCTCTCTCTATGTTGCCCATGCTAGTATCGACCTCCTGGCCTTAAGTATTCCTCCTGTCTCAGCCTTCCAAAATGTTGGGATTACAGGCAAGAGCCACTGCACCTGGCCTTTTGTATTTTTAATTGTGGCAAAATAGACATAGCATAAAACTTACCGTCTTACCCATTTTTAAGTGTACAATTCAGTGGCTTCTGCGTACATTCACTGTGTTGTACAATGCAACCATCACCACCATCCATCTCTAGAACTCTTTTTATCTTGCAAAACTGAAATTTTATACCCATTAAACACTTAATTTCCCATTTTTTCCCTCTCCCAGATCCCTCATAACCCCCACTCTACTTTGTTTCTATGAATTTAATGACCGTAAGTACTTTATATAAGTGGAATCACACCGTTTTTGTCCTTTTGTAACTGCCTTATTTCACTTAGCATAATGTCCTCAAGGTTCACCCATGTTTTGGTGTCAGAATTTCCTTCTTATAGGCTGAATATTCCATTGTATGTATATACCACATTTTGTTTATGCATTTATTTGTTGATGGGCACTTGGGTTGCTTCCACCTCTTGGCTACTATGAATAATCCTCTTATGAACCTGGATGTACAAATAGTTGTTCAAGACCCTGCTTTCAGTTCTTTTGTTTGTTTGTTTGTTTGAGACAGAGTCTTGTTCTATTATGAAATGGTGGGATCTCACTCACTGCAACCTCCACCTCCCGGGTTCAAGCAATTCTTCTGCCTCAGCCTCCTGAGGAGCTGGGACTACAGGCATGTGCCACCACGCCTGGCCATTTTTTTGTATCTTTAGTAGAGACAGGGTTTTGCCATGTTGCCCAGGCTGGTCTCCAACTCCTGAGCTCAGGCAGTCTGCCTGCCTTGGCCTCCCAAAGTGCTAGGACTACAGTTGTGGGCCACCACGCACAGCCCCTGCTTAGTTCTTTTGGGTATATAGAAGTGGGATTGCTGCATCATATGGAAATTCTGTTTAACTTTTTCAAGAACCACCATATTTTTCATAGAAGCTGCACCATTTTGCATTCCCAGCAACAGTAAACAAGGGTTCCAATTTCTGTACATTCTTGCCCGTACCTTTTACTTTGTTTTTTTCCTTCCTTCCTTCCTTCTCTCTTTCTTTTGTAATAGACATCCTAATAGGTATGAGTTTCGGGCTTTATTTTAAATGTACTAGTTTATTTCATCTGTTAAATTATAAGAGGTAGATAGGTCGTGCTATCTCCATTTGAAAGAAGAGGAAACAGGTATAAAGGTGTTGGCTGCTAAGAATTGGAGCTGGTATTTGAGTCAGGTAGCATGGTTCTGGGATCTGAGCTCCTACTCCCCTTCTCTGACTGCCTCCCTCGTTATATAACAATGCAGCAAGTTCAAACAATAAAGAAATGTTTGTGAAAGCAAGTGAGCTTTTTTACCCAGTTCCAATACCATGCATGCCTTCTAATTAATCTCTGAAAATGTTGGTGTCTTTCCTTCCAAATGTTGGGTGTATTTCTAGTTTTCACATGTATTTTTTTAAATATAATTTTAAAGAGTTCATGCTTTACATTTTGTTCTAATACTACTTCTTCTACTCTGCTTAATTTATTAAAGATGTCTTTCTAGTCCACTACATATAGATGTACCTCATTCTAACTTGTGATGGCATTTGGCAGAAATTTAACTTGCTAATTATTGCTTTATTGGTATAACCATTAGAAAGAGGGCTTCAAGGAACATTCTTATGTGCATATTTTATAGTTCCTTTTTCAGAATAAATTCCAAGAAATGGTATTTCTGGGTAAAAAGGCAATGAACTTTTTTTATGTTTGAGCCTCGACTGAAAAGCTGACTCACACAGACCATGAGTTAATGAAGACCTAGCTAGACAAAAGTCCTTGGCTGCCTGAAATTCGTTAAACCAGTACAGTACCTGAGAGAAGACTCCAGAAGTGCTCAGTTGACTGATAAGAGAGGTTTCAGCTGGGCATAGCCTGCTTCAGGGAACCCAACATATCAGCTAGATGTTTGACCCACTGCATTTGTCCAGATTACCAAGTGTGTTCTTGCTGTGAAATTCCTTTCACCTGGGCAACTAGGAGAGGATATGGTCATAGCTAAAAGAAATAGAAGAGTGAAGCCTCTCCTTTGGTTTAAAGGCTGTGCTTTAATTTGATCTTTTGGCCATTTTAAACTTAGGTTCAGTAACAAATTTAAATTAGGCTATCATATAAACGATGTTATCAGAGAAAAATTACTACCAAATAAAAACGATATTTGAAATAAACTATCAGACTTATATACACGTATGTATGTATGTATTTATAAATATACATTGTGGGTAATTCTAGTGTATGTCAGGGACATGATATTCCTGTTAATGTAAGCCACTTGGAAGTGAAGTTTCAAAGTAAAATTGCTTTTTTACCACCATTATGTAAGAGTATATAAAAGTTAGAGAATTTTAGAAAATAAGTAAGACTATTTTAGTATAATTAGTGAAAGCATTTTTCAATGTATAATTTTGTTTTTTAATATAGTTGTGGGGTCATGTTACGTATACAATTTTGTCTCCTGTAAAGCACTACACTTAAATGTGTACTATTAGTGGTGGACATTGGATTAAGCATCCTATTAATACATTGATTAACTTGTGTGATCTTTACAATGCCCATCTGTGGTAGGTTCTGTTTTTGTTCTCATTTTATAGACAAGGAAACTGAGAAATAGAGAATTGGAATAACGTGCCCAAAGCCCATAGCTAGGAAGGTGAATTACCACAAACACTGAATCCAGATAATTGGTCATGTTCTCTACTTATAGAGAGACAGGTGGGATTTGCATCTTGCTGCCTCGTATGGCATTAACACCCCATGTTAGTGCCATCTCTTTGTATATGCTTGCTTCAATAGCTATATAATATTGCATCTATTGGATGGTCCCAAGGTTTATTTAACTATTATAATATTATCTAGGACTAGTCTTAATATGTCTTTTATTATTATAAATGTCATAGGGCTGTAAACACCTCTGTGTATATTTTCCCCCTGTATTCTGGACTATCCTTGTAATAGAGTCCAAGTAATTTAATTACTGGATTAAAATAACTAAACTTCTTAAAAAGATAAAGATGACTTTTAAATTATTCAAAATTCTCTACATAGTATTGTTAGTGCTATTTCTCTTTGTCTCTAGAAGATAGCCCAAATGGCTTCACCATCCACATCATGAAGTTTCATGTTGTCCCTAGACTGTTAGCTGCAGAAAATGACTGACAGAATGAGAGTTTGATAGCCAAATTGAGATTACTGGCATTTAAACAAAATCATACTTTTAAATAACTTGGGTTAATAGTGCTATCTAGCATACAATGTGTGTCTCACCCTTGAAATACTGAGTAACTAATGTTTACACAATCATTAGTTTTAACATTAGACTTAATCTTCAAGTCAACATTATTTATTCACTAAAACCTTCAATGAAGAAAATGTGTTGTTTTTCATAGTAGAGCTTCCTTTTTCACTGACATTTAAATTTTATTTTAACTATTGGCTCTTGCAGTGCCCTAGCAAAAGACTTTCTTTCACCTTCGGGGTGTTCCTTGGTTTAATTTGATTGTTATAAAGATGCATAAAAACAGATTCTAGAAATATTTTAAAGTACGGAATTCTTGATTTCTGAGGAGTATAATTCAAAAGGAAGAGTAACCTGGACCTTCTCAAACTTCGTTAGATTTTAGAGAAGGGGACTGTGGAGGGAGAAGTACAATCCCTTTCTAATGGAATAGAGTGAATCTCCGCATGGACCCTCAATGCTGGGATACCAAATAGATCAGAGCGGGGAATAGCAGGATTGAGGCATTCTTTTCATAATTGGGCCTCAGGGTGCCCAACTCTTCATTTTGTTGTGTTGCCGACTTTCAACTGAGTGTCAAAGAATTGCATATAAGACAATTCTGATGGAACTTTGGATTTAGGAGGGGGGATGAGAATAAAATAAATGCCCCAAATGGGAGGAATGTGTATTATTACATGTACTTGACTTACCAAAAGCCATAGGGCTTCAAATGGGGTGAGTGAACAATGTTTTTAAGGATATGTGAGCTTAGTGGAGGAGGTGGTGTTTCAGAAAGACTGGAGAGAGTGGACTGAATTTTGAGTAGCAGAAAATGGTGAATGGAAAGACTCTTCCAGCTGTGGGCAGAGGCACAGCCCAGGAAAGCACTGGAGAGCCTGAGCTGCCCCACTGGCTGGAGCTCAGGACGTGGGAAAGGGAGGTGAGGCTAGAGAAGCAGATGGGGCCAAGTGGGGAGGGCTCTGGAAGCCAGCAGCAGAACCTTAACCGGGGCAGCAATGGCAGTCACTGAGGGTTTTGAGCAGGAAGGGTATTTGATAGGAGATTAAATCAAGCAGGTTAACCAGCAGCATGCAGCATGGGGTGGAGGCAGGCTGTTGGTGTGGTGCCCTGCAGAATTAGCAGGAATGAAAGGCTGGGGGCAGTGGGGAGGAGCAATTTCAGGAACAGTGGAAGCTCACTGTGCCCAGTGACTAATTGGCATTTACCCCTGTGCAGCAGGGTGGAGGGGTGGATTTTCCTCAGCTGTTACGCTGCTGTGAGTTGGAAGAAGGGATTGGGAGACCATCAATATTATGACAAAAAATACCCATTCCTCTAATAACAGCTTCATGAAAGTGGCCCTTTTTGGGTGTTATTATGTATATTAGTTCCTACTGCTGTAACAACAAATGACTACAAACTTAGTGGCTTAAAATAACACAAATATATTCTCTTACCATTCTAGGGGCCAGGAGTCCAAGTGGTTTCACTGGGATAAACTCAGGGTGTCAACCTAGCTGTGTTACTTCTGCAGAAGCTGTATTACTTTACAGGAGAGTTTGTTCCCTGGCCTCTTCTAGTTTAATCTAGAGTCCACCTGGGCTTCTTGACCCTTCCTCCACTTTGAAAGCTAGCAGCATAACATCTTCCAATCTTTTTCTCTCTATGACACTCCTATTTCCTCTAATTCTGTTGCCTCCTTTTTTCCCTTATAAGAACTTCTGTGATTACATTGGGTTCACCCGAAACATCGGGATAATATCACATCTCAAAATTTTAAATTTAATCACACCAGCAAAGCCTCTTTGACCGTGTAAGGTAATATGCTTACAGGTTCTGGAGATTAGGATGTGGATATATTGGGGCCATTGCTCTGCCTGCCACATCATTTGACCACAGCTTTTTTGTCATGAGTACCTGGTGGGAATTAAAATGCCCAGTCTGCAAGTACTCTCAATTTGGAAACCGCAGTTTTCTTGATTAATCCCGTAAGTGGCAAAGTGACTTAAATAAGGGGATAAAAGAGGCATCATGTACCTGCTGTCATGATCATCACTTGCCTCTTTCCAACTTTTGAGTTTCTGTGTGTTTTGTTTTGTTTTGTTTTGTTTTGTTTGTTTTCTCCCTGTTGAGATAGTAGTCTTTCTGTGCACATAATAGAAGATATTAGCCCATTCTCTGTCACTTGTTATAAGCCGTTTAACTGTGAAGAATTTTTGACAGGTCAGGAGATTCTGGAAATTTCTTCCCCCTTTTTTAATAGTATAAAACTTTATAAAACGTCTTAACTTTTTCAAAGGTTCTAGTTTCCTTTTAGAACCTAATAAAATATTTTTCCTAGAATAACCTGTATTTATCTCCTAAGTTTGCATAAAGTTTCTAGTGTTTCATGGGAACCCTAAACTAAGTCTCCTTTGTCTTAGCACAGTAATGCCTGTTGCCAGGCAAACTTGAACCAGCCTTAACCATGACCATGAATACTCTGTTACTCTGTTTTGTGTGACAACAAGCACCAGGAATGGTATTGCTACATTGGTTTTGGTTGTACTTTCAACTTTTACCAACTATGTAATGTTTTTGTTTTATTTAAAAACTTTCAAAATTATTTTAGATCCTGTATCTTTGGGCTTATGTTAATATTCATGATTATTTCATTTCATATACAGATAACATCATGAATACTTTCCCATTAAGAGTAATTATGCTTTGTGAAAATACTATTATTATACTTATAAGAGTTATTCCTAAAGCAGAGTTTATAAAACTTCCTGAGTCCTTTATTATTAGTATCTTATGTAAATTACTTGGTGCTTCTTTGTCGAGTGACTCATTCATCAAATGAAGATACTTGTTATAATGGTTAAATTCATTCATGGGTTCATGCCTGTAATCCTAGCACTTTGGGAGGCTAAGGCAGGTGGATTGCTTGAGCCCAGGAGTTTGAGACCAGCCTGTGCAACATAGGGAGACTCCTGTCTCTACCAAAACAAATAAATTAGCCGGGCATGGTGGCATGTGCCTGTGGTCCCAGTTACTAGGGAGACTGAGGCAGGAGGATTGGTTGAGCCTGGGAGGTTGAGGTTGTGGTGAGCTGTGATCATGCCACTGCACTCCAGCCTCAATGACAGAGTGAGACCCTGTCTCAAAAAAAATTATTCATTTAAAAAATATTTACTACATGCCTGCCTGCCCCAAGCATTGTCTAGTCTCTGGGATACCTCCTTTCCACCCCAGTGTAAGTCCTGCTTACCCTTCAAAGCCCAACTCAGGTCATGTTATTACCATGAGCCCTTTCTACTATTCTTTCTCACGTGAATCTCTCCAGAGATTCTTCCCTGAGCCCCTGTGGAACTAATAATGAGCACTGCTAATTTTAGCCATTAGCCACTCTTTAGAATTATTCTCTACTTGTTTCATGTATCTTAATGTTTGTTTTTCCCCCAGCTAGACTGCCTGTGTATTCGGGCTGTGTTCAGTGAATGTATGGTGGTTTGCTGATTGATTCAAAGTGAATCTGAAGAATACACTTCCTTTCTTTGAGATTAAGAGAATTGCCTAGTGCTGTTTCAGGGCTGTGAGGATGCAGGTGCACTGGCTTGCAGCTGACTCTTAGGTACAGGAAGGCATCATGAAGGAAAGTGACCATTGTCCTCTATTGGAGTTTAGCCCTCTGTCTTGAAGAGACAGAAGCACCCTAACACTCAAAGCAGTTCATGGTTGCTTTTAAAAAAGTTTGCAGGGCCCAATTTCTGTGGCTTTTACTGGGGGAAGCATTACATAAGAGGACAAGGAGCACATGTATCCTATGCAGTGCTACAGAATAATTCCACTCCCAGCTCCTGACTTTCAGATGGTGAGATGTTTGGGAGAATATTTTCAGTCTGAAGAAAGTATTATTTATTGTTTAGTCTGAGCTTTTAGCCCACACTTCCCTTTCATGTGGTTTTTGCTTGAGAGTTCTTGGACCAAGGTTAGATTGAATGTTGAGACACTTTGGGGAGTGTAAAAATCAATGATTGAAAGAAAAGGTATAAATACCACAATTGCATTCATTCCTTTATCTCTTTATTCTCTTTTTTAATCCTGAATCTCCTTACATTGGATTATGTATAATACCAATTTTAATTGGCTGATTTTAGTGACAGCATTAAAATGTAAACTTAAATTTAAGGCTGATGGTACTTACGAAGAGTATCTCTCATTTAACATTTTCATTATACATTCAGATGTATTGCAGCAAATTGTAATGGTTTGAATTGATATCATCTTTACCTTGTCTTTATACAGACATCAAATAACATCTAATGTTTGACTCACATGAATATTGCCTTATAATTGGAAAAAAGTTATGTTGCTGTTTACATAGTTATTTAAGATTTGTGGAGATCAAAAAGAAGAATTGTATGTTTTTTTTCTTTTTGGCAGACCTTATTGTTCAATGTAAGTAGACTTAAGCGGACTTCATATTTTCTTCCAGATGTAAAGGAAAGGTGCCCAAATTGGCAAGACGTTAAAAATTATTATTAGGCCAGGCGTGGTGGCTCACGCCTGTAATTCCAGCACTTTGGGAGGCCAAGGCAGGAGGATCATGTGAGCCCAGGAGTTCAAGACCAGCCTGGGCAACAAAGCGAGACCCTGTCTCAAAAAAAAAAAAAAGGATAAAAATAAAAATTATCATTAAACTGCCAAAATTCAATATTTGTTTGTAAATGTTTATGCATCTGGCTAGTAGACTTGGATCCTAGTCATGAACCACAAAGAGAAGAGGTTCTGTGGTTATAAGATGAGTGGCTTTGGTTTTGGATCTTATTGAGGGTACCAAGTTTATTGCTGATCACAGGGTCATGTGGAATGGGACCTCAATAGGGTGGAGACCAGATTATGTGTGTGGGCGGGGGATTGGGGGGAGGGGTTGTTGTCTTCTTGGTGTAGTTTTTACTGGGCTTCCCAGCCTCCTTCCAGAAATTGTTCAGGGAAATGTAGATGAATGGCTTTGGCAGAACGTAACATGAGTGGGAAAATGTGAGATTAAAAGAAAAGCTTATATTCAGTACAGTGGCTTTTTTACTTGCCTTCATTCATTAAATCATTGTTTCAGGGCCCCATCCCCCCCCCTTTTTTTTTTTTTTTTGAGACTGAGTCTCACTCTATCATCCAAACTAGAGTGTAGTAGTGCAATCTTGGCTCACTGTAACTTCCACCTCCCTGGTTCAAGTGGTTCTCCTGCCTCAGCTTCCCGAGTAGCTGGGATTACAGGTGCGTGCCACCATACCCGGCAAATTTGTTGGTGTTTTTAATAGAGATGGGGTTTCACCATGTTGGCCAGGCTGATCATGAACGCTTGGCGTCCCAAAGTGCTGGAATTACAGGTGTGAACCACCATGCCCGGCTCCCATCCCTTTGTTGATGCACAAAATTTGGAGTTAAGAGCAAATGCTCTTAGAGTTCATGAAACTTTTTGTTTGCTCTAATATAAACTGAATTCAAGAATCCTTTTATTGTAGCAAAAGTGCATATACTCTACCTATTCTCTCTAAAAATACAATACTGTGTTCATGGCGTCTTTCCTGCTTCTTGAACTCCAATTGGTGAACATTGAAGTCAATATTCTGACTAATCTCTGACTCACTTTCACACTGCTATGAGTTTAGCTTTGTCGTGTCAGGCCCCTATTGACTTCAGTAGGGATGGCGCCAGGTTTGAGGCTGAAGAAGAGACCTGGAGCCAGTGAACAAGACATAGGGTTTTATTGGAGGGAACTTACATACAGGGACAGTCTGGTGGCAGCAGGCTTGACAGTAGAGCATTATTTATTATATAAATTGCATGCTTGTAAAAAGTATACAATTTATATAATATTTAAAGCACCCTCTAACAACCTCTGCCTGGCAACCTCCACTTAATCCAAAACAAAGAGGATCTTTCCCCTGCACACTCTCATTCCATGGACAGGCCAGGGGTTCAGATGTTCCACATAAATAAGTAATGAATCTGTCGGATGACCACTCCCGGATTCCTTAGCTCAGAACTCTGAAGACACATTCAGGTGTGTCTGCCTTACAGGGTCATTCTCAGGGTATGCTTAAGATATTGCCGTCAGGTGCATCTGCCATACAAGCTTCTACTTTTTTCAATTCCCAGATAACCATAGATGGTTGAAGGTAGGGTGCCCTTAGCTATAAGACACATCCTCCAGTTTCCCAATGATACAAAATATTCTGGGGCCACCTTGAATATGTAAAGTTTTAGAGATGAAACAATTGATATGTATATTAATAACATTAATATGTTTATTTAGACATAATGCTTTTCCTATTTACTTTCATGAAATAATTTATTCAAAGCCTGTATTTGCACCTTTGACATCATGTCTTTGTCAGAGGAGCTACCTCAGAGTCATCTAGGACAGTGTGCCAGAGTGCCTTCTCTTCCCTCCCGTCTAAATTGCATAGACTTTAATGTGTTTGGAATCCATGTAAGAAGTTATTTCTGTAAATGTTAACTCAGGCCTTAGCACTCTTTGCCTCTCTTTCAGACTTTTTTTTGTCCTTTATCTATAGGTGTATGTTGAGGATCTTCCACGTGTAACTCTTTTCTGTCCTCCCCTTAAGAGGGATCTTTAAAAGGTTTGTTTACAGTGATATCTAATACAAACAATTATGAAGTCACCACCCTAGAGATAATGCCTTAAGTATTTGTTAAATTTCTTTGCTCCCTTAGAATAGCTGCTTCCATCAGCTGACCTTCTTGAGCATCTCAAACTGGCATTGATTGAAGTTGTTTCAGATTTGAGTGTCTTCAAGGAATACTTCTTTGTTCTAAATAAAGTGCTTGAGAGAGTAGTCTATAAATAAGAGACTGTAATGACTTGAATATATGGCAACCTCGTTTTTGGGGGGAAGAGAAAACATATCTTCAGTTTATACGTGGCATAGTAATTAACCAGAGAGTTTTCTTTTTTTTTTCTTTTCCACATCTACTGGCCAAATTATTTATTTCCTTGTTATGCATTCCTATATATTTTTGATGGTAAAAAAAAATAATGGCAAGGGGCAAAAAAATAGTGGTTTACTGGAATATGGGAAATTTAAATAGCCTAATGATTATCACATGGTACTCGTAAACCCTAAATGATTAATATGTGGCAATCCAAGAATATAATGCCATCATATCTAATAAAACTACAGGATTAGTGAAAAAAAAGGTCCCAATTCCCCAACCAGTACAGAAAGAAAATTTAATAACGTAGCTTACAAGATTGTCTTCAATCTTCACTTCTGCAATATAGAGCTATCCCTTAATCTTTTTTTAATCTTAATTTGTTTAAAGTGGTGTCAAATATTGCGGTGATACAACATAGAACAATTAATATGAACATTTTCTTTTTAGAATCTGGTAAGTTTGGATAGAGTAGGTATAGAAGAATCTTACTGGAACATGGTCACAACTAATTCACCTCTCTGGAGACCTTTTCTGCCTCTCTAGCAAGAGAAACACATGTCAGAAGAGGCTCAGGAGAGGAAGCAGGCTGTGGTAATAACAGCACTTGACATTTGTGTAGCTCTGTGATTTTCAAGGAACTTTCGTGAGCATTGTTTAATTCCATCTTCACAACAATTCTGCGATGTAGGCTAGGGCATTAGAGGCATAACCTACTCTTCTGCCAACTCTGTTTTCAACATTTAAGGAAATGTTGCTTTGAAAGGTTAAGCAAATTGACTCAGGTTACCTTGCAGAGCATGGGAAAATAGGCTGCTTCTCTGGGTGGAGGAAAATTCTTGGTACAGTTGTGCTCTGTGTGGTTCTTTTCTCCCCCCAATCCTCTCACATCCTATTTCTCACTCCTTTTCCTTCCAGGGACATCTAAAACATAGTTATGAGTATATTTTTGAGGTGATTATCCTAGAAATGCTTCCCATAGTTTGTTTCTTTTTGAAGAAGGGCAGTAAATTCTTATCCTTTCTGTATTTTTCTATTTGCATTTTTTCTCTGGCCCAAAATAAGAATGCAGGTACACTTAAAGAACAAAGGAAATATCAACTCATTTTAAAACGAACATTGTCGGAGTAAATCCAACTGTGAGTGCTAGGGTTTATTATCTTGTCCTGAAAGACTTCTGAATTTAAGTAGGTTAGTAACCCCGATTAGAAAACATTGTTCTTGAGAGATAACTTCAGGAAAGAGATCATTTGTTGACATTCATTTGAGATCTGTGTAACATTTGAGAGCTTTATGTTGGTTTTATATATGCTTGAGGTTATATATATAGTTTGAGGACCATCTATCAATCCTTCCAGGTTATAAAGCACCTAATTTATTAAGAATATTGTCTTGAGCTTCACTGTGGACATTTAAATGTCACAAATATTTATGGAATTCCAAATATAAAGAGGAAGTAGGGCTGGTGATGTAGAGATGAGCTATTTGCCTTCAAGGAGGTTGATACACTAGTAGTAAGCATAAGACCAGAATGGCCTTTGATGTCAGAATCACCTGGGGGTAAAATCTGACTTCCCCTTAATAAACCTAAGAGTCATTTGACTGATGATATGGTTACAGTGATACAGTGATGCTTACCTCCTTGGGTTGTTATAGCAGCATTTGTAACTTGCACGCTGAAGGCTCTAATATATCCTGGTTTCCCTCCCCCTTCCTCCTTTCCTTTCTCTCCATGAACATTATAGGTGACAGTAGTGTCTGCTTAGTCGTGGGTAAACTATCCAACTTATTATGCTGTAAACTACCATATTTCTCTCTCTCTCTCTCTCTCTTTTTTTTTTTTTAATCGGAGTCTGGCTCTGTCGCCCAGGCTGGAGTGCAGTGGTGTGATCTTGGCTCACTGCAAGCTCCGCCTCCCAGGTTCATGCCATTCTCCAGCCACAGCCTCCTGAGTAGCTGGGACTACAGGCACCCACCACCACACCTGGCTAATTTTTTGTATTTTTAGTAGAGACGGGGTTTCACCCTGTTAGCCAGGATGGTCTCGATCTCCTGACCTAATGATCTGCCCGCCTCGCCCTCCAAAAGTGCTGGGATTACAGGCGTGAGCCACCACGCCCGGCCTGCCATACTTCTCTTAAAGCAAGAGGAAAATCCCTGAAAATCTATATCCTTGCCCCAGACCCTTTTCATATATCCCCTTAACCTAGAAGTGTTTCTGCAGTTCAACCCCTTGGCATCTCACTCACTCTGAAACCTAAAGACACCTTGATAATATTTACCTTGTGTGTTTTCCTGAGTTGTGGTTATTTGTATATTTATTCCATCTCATTTCTTGACTGGAGATTCTAGACTGTAAACATTCCTTAAAGGCATCTTTCCATTTCCTATGGTATCTAATGCAATTGCTTGTACTCATTAAATCTTAGGATTGAATTAAATTGATCTAATAGTGCCTTGGTAATGGTCACATGTAAGTGGTAGCCAAGTCTAGTTCCTACTTTTCTATGGTATTGAGCAAAGTTAACCACCACCTGATTTCTATTTACCAATAAACTACAAAATATTTTCAGTGCATCTAAAAGTATTAGATCCTAACAGACCTCATGGGTTGATGTCCACTACCCTCTAGAGCCAATGCAGAATGATTACCATAGAATCCAAGGCTTCTCTGTCAGTTTCCTCACACTCCCCACCACTCAGTACTTATTACACTTCAGCCTACGCCCTGTGATTCAACCAGGCAAATTGGATAGATGTGCACCATTTCACAAAAGTAGATAAAAATATACATTGTCAGCTGACATAACAGGTGGCTTTCTTTTACCACCTAGAATTCCATAAAAAATGTTGACACAGTCTCCCACATAAGGTCACGGCCTAATCTGGGAAACAATTTTGAACCTATCCCTGTATAATTGTGACTCTCAGTGCAACAGATCTGTTTCTCTCTGTGATGTTAACTCATGATTTAAATTAAACTTAATTTGCATTTATCAATAGTATTGCATGCTCATCTGCTGGTTGTTTGTGGACCTCTGCTTTCTGAAGACAAAGACCAATGATGAATTCTGATTAAACAGTTTCTAGCACTAGTGTTTTCATAGTCCAGCCATCTCATTTCATAGAGGAGAATGTTGAACATTCTCAGGTGGACGCCAGTTTCTTGGCCTTATCTTTTTTTTTTTTTGAGACAGTCTCGCTCTGTCGCCCAGGCTGGAGTGTAGTGGTATGATCTTGGCTCACTGCAACCTCCACATCCTGGGTTCAAGCAGTTCTTCTGCCTCAGCCTCTCGAGTACCTGGGACTACAGGCGTGTGCCACCATGCCTGGCTAATTTTTGTATTTTTAGTAGAGATAGGGTTTCACCATGTTGGCCATGTTGTTCTTGAACTCCTGACATCAGGTGATCCGCCCACCCCAGCCTCCCATAGTGCTGAGATTACAGGCATGAGCCACCTCGCCCAGCCCTCTTGGCCTTATCTTAATACCCTTAAAAAACAAATTTTATTCATAGATCTTATATTTGCATGCAGTGTTGAACTTGAAAATACAGAAGTAGAATATTTTTACATGACTTCTAGAAAAGGAAGCACAGATGAAGTAAAATTTACTGCCCTTTGAAACCACAAAAATCATAAACACCTTAAATGAAACACCAAGTCAATAAAGTTAATTTAGACAGGGTTCTGAGAGGCAGTCACTATGCTGTACACGTATTTCAGCAGTAATAGAAGAAGTGAGGGTTGCAGATAGCAAGGGTATTGCACAAATAAGCATTGGCCGATTCTTTTTTCTCTTTCTCTCTTTTAGAAGATGTAAGGGAATTGATTTTCAGTATTTTTTTCAGATCAAGTGATATTAAAAATCAGTTTAGCAAAAATTAAGGAACATATAAGTATTTAAAAAATATGTCTGAGTGCAACTAAGATAAAGATACATGAAATATTTGCCTGGTATAGGACTCTGTCTATAATTTTAGTACTTTTGCTAAATGTATAAGTACTTTAATGATGTTGGCCCATTGATAGAAGCAATAGCTTTAATCCAAGTCTTTATAGCTTTAATAAATTTTAAAAAATCACCCAGATCCACCTACCTATGTGGATAGACTTTTTACACAGGAACACGTAGTTAAATTACATTTTGGAGCAGCCAGAATTATGCAGTGTTAGTATTCAGAGAGTTTAAATGAATAATGTAGATATGTAGTTTGCTCCCAGGGAAAGAGAAGAATAATAAGTATCTATGCATGCAGAGTGGTCAGTGGGTATAAATGAACTTGAATTCATTAACCTCATGATTTGACATCAAAAACAGGGAAAAATCTGATGAAGCGAAGTTCAGGTTGGTGGTTATTTGTGTATGCATAAAGGAATGGGGTTTGGGGTTTGACCTGAGTAGCCACTCTTTGGTTCTTGGACAGTGTTTTATTCCCAGCCCCAGCCTCTCAGTCCTGAACAGGTCACCATTCAAAAATACAGGTTCCTGTAGTGCCATCATTTCAGGGAAATTCTTTGGGGGCACTGATGGAGTCTCCAAACCAGCATGAAACATGTTGCAGCTAATTTGTTCCATGAACTTAACATTTTGTGAAATGTGTAGATTATCTGCCTCTACATAGCTCAATTATCAGCATCCCTGGGTAGTGAGCCTGTAACAATGATCTTTCATTCCATGGAAGGAGAAACAGAAGCTCAGAGTTCCTGATTTCTTTATTACTCAGTTGCTGCTCCTTGGGTTTGCCCTTTAAATGTCAGGTGATGTTTGTAGCACCATGATATTTTTGCTGAGTATCTTGTCATTTTGTAAAAAGAGAAGTGGTATATGCCCCAAGGCCTCATTGGTGATGGGAAGAAATGGGACTCTCCTTTCATATTTGAACATTTCCCTTTCCAGCAGCCCCATGGAATAACCCTGAGTGACTTAGATAGCTACTTGTGCAGTGAGGGAGGTAAGTGAGGGATCTGAAAGAGCTGCTAGGCAACCCAGTGAATATTTGCAGCCTTTATGGGAAATAACTACAGAGAATGACTATCAATAGGTATGTAGGTAGATGAACATCTGGGCATTGATTCTGAAACAATTGAAAAATCAAAGGATGATTTACCTTAATAATGCCTGGATTTTACAAGAGATTTTAATGTTCATGATTAAACTGGCCGTACCAGATTTCACCGAAGCCCATTTATTGTGCATTGGCTGTAGCCTTCCCAGCAGGCATTCCAATGCTCTTTTAACATCTTTCAGATGCGGCTACAGGTGTAGCTCAGCCTCCTGGAAGGTCCTGTTCTCTCACAGCTGCCAGTGGGAGACCTGATTGTAATTATAGCTTCCATGATGCAATGTCTTTAAAACCTAAAACTATGCTACAATTGTTGGCCTAATGCCTGAAGAAACATGGCTGTTAGGAGCTTAAAGAGTCTGCTGAGGAGCCCCTTGGTCCTAAAGCCAGGTTTGTGTAAGAAATGGAGTTAGGCAGTTGAGCATAGTTTGTGGGCTGATTATGTTCTCTCTAGTCCGTAGTCTATATCCAAGTCTGTCTCTAGCTCTGAATCTCCACATCTTATTGACCTAGAGCCTGAGATCAGTAGTGAAACAATAAAAATTTTTGGTTTACTTCTGCAGTGGAATTATGGAGAACTGTTATTAGATATGATTTGATATTAAAATGAAAACGTGTTAGAAGGAAAAATGTGTTTGAGGGAGTCATTCTCAATCTGTCAGAGAAGACAAAACAAAGATTTAAATATTTTTACATTCCTTGGAGCCATCCTTAATTAAGATATACTTGATTTTAGTCCTTTTCCCTTAACCCTATTTCCTGGCTGACTTGAAAATTATAAGCAATTTCCACTGTAGGTTTTAGCTACTTGAAAGGTTATGCTTTTCAAAAACACAACTTTTGCAAGGGTATAATTCTACATTGCCACAGGAAAGTGTGTTCAAAAATATTTGTAGGGTAGGGTATGTGTGTGACAGAGACAGATTGAAGTTGAGCAGTTGTATACGTGTGTGTGTGTGTGTGTGTAGGTCAGGGGTTGGTAAACTAGGGTCAGTCAATCAAATCTGGCCTGCTGCCAGTTTTTGTATGACTTGTGAAATAAGAAGGGTGATGTGGTTTGGATCTATGTCCCCAGCCAAATCTCATGTTGAAATGTAATTCTCAATGCTGGAAGTGGGGCCTGGGGAGGTGACCGAATCCTGGGGACAGTTTCTCATGGTTTAACATCATCCCTCCTTGGTACTGTCATTGCTACAGTGAGTTCTCATGAGATCTGGTTGTTTAAGAGTATGGAGTATGTGGCACCTCCCCTCTCTCTCTCTCGCTCCTGCTTTGGCCACGTAAGATGTGCCTGCTTCCCCTTTGCCTTCTGCCATGATAGTAAGTTTTTTGAGGTCTCCCCAGAAGTAGCAGCCACTGTGCTTCCTGTACAGCCTGTAGAACCATGAGCCAATTAAACCTCTTTTCTTTATAAATTACTCAGTCTCAGGTATTTCTTTAGAGCCATGTGAGAATGGACTAATGCAGAAAATTGGTACTGAGAGTGGGGTATTGATATAAAAAATACCTGAAAATGTGGAAGCAGCTTTGGAATTGGGTAATGGGCTTCTCAGAAGAAGCCCTCCAGACTGTTCCAATGTCTGCCCATTACCCAGTTCAACAAGTCACAGGAAGATGAGGAAAGTTTGGAACTTCCTAGAGATTTGTTGAATGGTTGTGATCCAAATGCTGATAGTGATATGGACAAAGATGGCCAAACTGATGAAGTCTCAGACGGATATGAGGAACTTATTGGGAACTGGAGCAAAGGTCACTTTTGTTATTCTTTAGCAAAGAACTTTGAGGCATTGTGATGCTGCTAGGCATCTGTGGAACTTTGAACTTGAGAGTGATGGTTTAGGGTATGTGGTGGAAGAAATTTCTAAGCAGCAAAGCATTCAAGATGTAGCCTGGCTGCTTCTAACATCCTGTGCTCATATGTGTGAGCAAAGAAATGATATCCAATTGGAACTTACGTAATATTTAAAAGGGAAGCAGAGCATAAGAGTTTGGAAAATTTGCAGCCTGGCCATGTGGTAGAAAAGAAAAGCCCATATTCAGGGGAGGGATTCAAGCAGGCTGCAGAAATTTGCATAGATAAAGAGGAGCCTAGTGCTAACAGCCAAGACCATGGGGAGAAGGCCTCAGAGGCATTCATGGCACCCCCTCCCATCACAGACCAAGAGTCCTAGGAGTGGAAGAATGGTTTCCTGGGCTAGGCCCAGGACCCTGCTTCCCTGCCTTGGGACACTGCTCCCTACATCCCAGCTGCTCCAGCCATGGCTCAAAGGGGCCCAGGTACAGCTTGAGATGTTGCTTCAGGGCTGCCAGTCATAAGCCTTGGTAGCTTCCTCTTGGTGTTAAGCCTGCAGGTGCACAGAGTGTAAGAGTTAAGGCTTGGGGGCCTCCACCTAGATTTCAGAGGATGTATAGAAAAGCCTGGATGTCCAGGCAGAAGCCTGCTGCAGGGACAGAGCCCTCATGGAGAACCTGTACTAGGGCAGTGCAGAGGGGAAATGTGGGGTTAGAGCCCCCACACAGAGTCCCCACTGGGGCACTGCCTAGCATTACTGTGAGAAGAGGGCCACTGTCCTCCAGACCCAAAATGGTAGATCCACCAGCAGCTTGGACCCTGCACCTGGAAAAGCTGCAGTGCTCACTGCCAGCCCTGGAGAGCAACTATGGGGACTGAGCCCTGCAAAGCCACAAGGGGTGGAGCTGCCCAAGGAAGGCCTGGGGAACCAACTTCTTACACCAGTGTGCCCTGGATGTGAGACATGGTGTCAAAGGAGATTATTTTGGAGCTTTAAGATTTAATGACTGCCCTCCTGGGTTTCAGACTTGTATAGGGCCTGTATCCCCTTTCTTTTGGCTAATTTCTCCCTTTTGGAATGGAAGTATTTACCCAATGCCTATACCACCATTGTATCTTGGAAGTAACTAACTTGTTTTTGTTGTTGTTGGTTTTAAGTATGGAATGGTTCAAGAGTTTGTGTCTCATCCTTGTGCAGGGGCCATGCTAATGTTCTCTGGATCCTTCCTGTTTTAGTATATTTGCTGCCAAAGTGAGCACACTAAGTTGTTTTTTATTTTACAGGCTCATAGGGAGAAGGAATTAGCCTTGTCTCAGTTGAGACTTCATACTGTGGTCTTGAGTTAATGATGGAATGAATTAAGACTTTGGGGGACTGTTGGGAAGGTATGATTTTATTTTGAAATGTGAGAAAAACATGAGATTTGGAAGGGGCCAGGGGCAGGTTGATATGGTTTGGATCTCTGTACCCACCCAAATCTCATACTGATATGTAATCCCCATGCTGGAGGTGGGACCTGGTGGAAGGTGATTAGAAAATCATGGGGTTGGTTTCTCTTGGTTTAACATCATCTGCCTTGGTACTGTCATTGCAATAGTGAGTTCTCATGAGATCTGGTTGTTTAAAAGTGTGTGGCACCTTCCCCCTCTCTCTCTTGCTCCTGCTCTGGCCATGTAAGATGTGCCTGCATCCCCTTTGCCTTCTGGCATGATTGTAAGTTTCCTGAGGCCTCTCAAGAAGCAGATGCTGCTGTGGTTCCTGTACAGCCTGTAGAACCATGAGCCAATTAAACCTCTTTTCTTTATAAATTACCCAGTCTCAGTCATTTCTTTATAGCAATGCAAGAATGGACTATTACAATGGGTTTTTACATTTTTAAATGGTTATATTTTACATTTTTAAATGGTTTTTACATTTTTAAATGGTTATATAAACACTTACATAATATCCTTAGTTTTTCTTCTTGGTGCACAAATCCTAAAATGTTTACTAACTGGCCTTCTAGAAAAAATTTACTAACCCTTGGTATAGGGAATAATGTTGCAACATCTTTCCTTACTTTGATTATAAGAGATAATTCATTACTTTTTAAAAAAACTCTTTTAAGTTACTCTTCCCAGTAATCAAAACTAGTATATCTTTTTTTTGTTTGTTTATTTGTTTGAGACGGAGTCTTGCTCTGTTGCCAGGCTAGAGTGCAGTGGCATGATCTCAGCTCACTGCAACCTCCAACTCCCTGGTTCAAGCGATTCTCCTGCCTCAGCCTCCCAAGTAGCTGGGATTACAGACACATGCCACTATGCCCGGCTAATTTTTGTATTTTTAGTAGAGACGGGGTTTCACCATGTTGGCCAGGATGATCTCGATCTCCTGATCTTGTGATCCGCCTGCCTCGGCCTTCCAAAGTGCTGGGATTACAGGCGTGAGCCACTGTGCCAGGCCAAAACTAGTATATCTTAATAGAAATGTTTTATGTTTTTGCAGTCTTTTCAGGGGTTAATAAAGAAAGTATAAAAGGTTTGCTGCAAAATTTTAAATCAATCAGTAGTCATTACAATATATTTTGGAAGCATACAAAGAGAAGAGAATTACAAAATACCCTCCCCATATGAAGGAGTTGGCTCTGGGCTCACACGGAATGGAACATTACCTCAGTGTTTGCTTCTATCATGAAATATCTTGAGTATCAGTTATCTGTTCTTTAATGTATGTTCCATCCTTCTGAATGCATCAGAGAGAGAACCTCAGTTGTGAGCTGAGTTCCCTGTGGAGCAAACAGAGCAACTGTGGACAGGCCATATGCTTTCACTCCCTTGTACTCCCAGTCCCAGGCAACCACCACTAATCTATTTTCTGTCGCAATAGATTTGCCTTTTCAGAACATTTCATATAAGTGGAATCACCCAATATGTGGTATTTGTGGCTAACTTCTTCCACTTGGCATAATGCTTTTGAGTTTCATATAGCTCAGAGAATATATGAGTGCTTCATTTGAATGGATATACCTCACTTTGTTTATCCATTCACCATTGAGTGGGTATTTTTCATTGTCTTTGCTTTTTGGCTACTATGAATAATGCTGCTGTGAACATTCGGATAGAAGCCTTTGCCTGGACATGTCTTCATTTCTCTTGGGCAGCTACCTAAAAGAGAAATTGCTTACTGAGTCATATGATAAATTCACATTTAGAGATATGAAATATGAACATGAATATCTAAGAAATTATCAAACTTTCTAAGATACACCATTTCATCTTCCCACCAGCAGTGTATTGGGGTTCCAGTTTCACTGCATCCTCAAAAACATTGCTATTATCTCTTCAATTATAGCCATTCTAGTGGGGTGTGAAGTGATATCTCATTATAGATTTAATTTTTATTTCCCTGTTGAATAATGATGTTGCATTATCATTTGATTATTGGTAATTTATGTATTGGTAGATATCTGTTTAGATCTTTTGCACATTTTAAAGTTGTGTTTATTTTTGTACTATTGAGTTTTAAGAGTTCTTTATACAAATCCTTTGTGGGTTTAATGACTTGCAAACATTTTCCCCTAGTCTATGGCTTGCCTTTTATTTATGGTATCTTTTGAAGGGCAATGCATTTTGAAACATGAGTTATGAATTCATAACATAGAAGAGATTTCCAATATTTTTTTCTCATGTTGATTATTTTATTCCAAAGCTGAGATTTGTAGGAGTTTGTGGAACTCCTCCAATGAGTCAGTGTCAGGGTTGGTCACCTCTTTAGATAGTTTGAATATTTTGGATACCCACACAATGCTAGAGCTCTAGGCAGTGCCAGGTTTACCTGCTGCCTGTATCTTTTTACTTCATTTTCCATTTAGGGTGCATCTGTCAAAGGTGACTTCAAGGGCATCAGTAGGGAGAGGTTATCTTGGATGGTTGGTTCTATCTCAAGCCTAGCCTGGAAATTTCTTACTGATTGCCTCCCCACCTACCCACTGCAGTCTTAAACTCTTGGGCTCAAGGGATCCTCCCGCTTCAGCCTCCCAAGTAGCTGGGACTGTGAGTAGTCACCACCCCTGGCCTCCCTTCTTTTATAAGTTTACAAACTTTAAAAAAATCTTATGATGAAATCTTTGACAGTGGGATGGATTACATTTCCTTTTTGTTGTTTCTCAAAGTATGAACATTGATGTGCCTTTATTGTGCTTTTTACTAGAAGAGGAAAGATAAATATAAGAATATAGTTCATTCTTGATAAATGTTTCATAATGTCAAGAATCTTTTCGCTCCAAGTCCTTTTTAGGTTCAGAACAATACCAGAAAGGGCCTGGTCACCCTCAGCTCCTATGTCCATGAGCTCTTCCTCCACTGCCATGGAGTGGGGACCTTCATACCTTTAATGACAGTCCCCTGTTGAGAGCCACTGAAGCCTTGCCCATTTTTCCCTGCTCTGTGTTACCCTAAAGTCTTGAGAGGATTTGGACATTGGGAAAACTACTTAGCTCTCAGGAACTTTCTTTGAGGTTTGTATTCTGCCTTGTTCTCTTCGGCCTCTCTACTCAACCACTCTTTCCTTGCCGCTTACCCAGAGAAGGGGTGAGAAGGGACACCATCTCTGTTTTAACAGGGCTTAACAGGTTTGATGTGGAAAGACTGAGTTCTCCAGGCTTTTTTTTCCCAGTGACACTAGGGCAGGTTGACCTTGAAAATAGAGGTAACTCCAAATATTGTCACAAGCTGGGAGTGAAGACAAAAGATGTGACTGTTTTTTTTTTTTTTTTTTTTTGAGATGGCATCTCGCTATGTTGCCCAGGCTGGAGTGCAGTGGCGCGACCTCGGCTCACTGCAAGCTCTGCCTCCCGGGTTCATGCCGTTCTCCTGCTTCAGCCTCCCAAGTAGCTGGGACTACAGGCGCCCACCACCACGCCTGGTTAATTTTTTGTATTTTTAGTAGAGACGGGGTTTCACCATGTTGGCCAGGATGGTCTCGATCTCCTGACCTCATGATCCACCCACCTCGGCCTCCCAAAGTGCTGGGATTACAGGCGTGAGCCACCACTCCCGGCCGACTGATTTTTTTTAGAATAGGTAAGGCTTCCTTAGATTTACAGCTGTTGCCCATCCATCGGGAAGCAGCTTTGGAGATTAGCTTGTCAGCCCCTTGAGGGAAGGACTTTGACTTAATTCATATTTATATTCCCAGCACCTAGTAGTATGTCTTGGTATTTACTAAATCCTCGGTATATCTTAATGAATGGCCATCCAGTTGTTAGCATAATAACAAATAGAATGTATTTGATTTGATTTCATTTTTATTTGGTAGATATTTTCCAAACGGAGAACTGAGCAAAAGTTCATTAGATTATTATTTAATAATTTAATGCAAGAGTGAATTTTCCCTATGAAAATTCTATGCTTCAGGAAAGCAGACTTTCATTCTATATGGAATATAGTTTAGAGTGTAAGAAGAGTAGACCATCCCACCCATCTCTGCCACATACTATAGTTATACTGTTAAAGAGTTTAAAGCACAGGTTGTGAACTGGTAGCCCCAAGTTGAATCTAGCCTGCACGATTTGGCCTGTGTGATTTTTATTTTTTATTTATTTATTTTTTGAGTCAGAGTCTTGCCCTGCCGCCTAGGCTGGAGTGCAGTGGTGCAATCTCGGCTCACTGCAACCTCCGCCTCCCAGATTCAAGCAATTCTCATGCCTCAGCCTCCAGAGTAACTGGAACTACAGGCACACACCACCATACCTGGCTAATTTTTTGTATTTTTAGTAGAGACGAGGTTTCACCATGTTGGCCAGGCTGGTCTCGAACTCCTGACCTCAGGTGATATGCCCACCTCAGCCTCTCAAAGTACTGGGATTACAGACATGAGCCAGTGTGCCTGGCCTGATTTTTATTTTTAATAGGATTAATCACCAGCATCTAAAAAGTCTGATGTCTTATAAAACATCAGATTTTCAGCTTTCTGTGAAAAAATGGGGAAAATCTGACAACACTTGAGTTTGCATTCTTTCTTGACATTTGACCAGCCCTTATTTCAGTGGGGTATTGAAATAGCCACATTCCCCAGCATTATCAGCATAGAAACTGTGTGCCAATAACCATTCATCTCAGTACTCTGAGAGCCAAGTTTAACCAGCTCCTCAATTGCCTTAACCTGCCTAGACCCTGTAGAGATTTAAGTTTGCAACTTTTGTTTAGAGACTCAGTTTAAAGGTCTTACATGATGACTTTGAAGGTTAGATTATTTAATTTTGTGGCTATAAAATACCAGAATACAAAAAGATTTTAAAACCCATGAATAAACATACTTACTTTGTTCATCTGTACATCTTCATTGGTCGATTTATCCGTGTATCATGTCTTATTTATAACACCACATTGCCATGGAAATTCACTGCTGTACTTTTCACTTTCCAGCCCTACTAAATTTTACACTTAACATTTTCAGAGCTGCTTGTACAAAGTACAGATTTAGTTAGTAGCAATCTCAAGTGGTTTTATAATATTAAACATTAAATAACTTTAAAAATGCAAACAAGGGAAAAGTAAGAAGTCAGCCAAATCCTGACACATAAATTTAACAAAAAAGCAACACAGAGTCTCTCATTTACGTGACGTACTGCTTAACCACTTTGTAAGAATGAAGCCCTCCTTCATTCTACACTTGTGTCTTCTTCAAATCTAATAGGAGATGTCTGTCCTAGAGTCATATTGTAGTTGGTAGTTTGTCTAGCCATTGGCACTGGCCCATACTCATGAAACTTGAAGTCATTTATTGGGTGTACGTCATAAGCCAGCTATATAAAAATAGTAATGATAGTTAAGAGTTATGGAGCCCTTGCCATGTGTTGAATGCTGTTCTACATACTTTACAAGTATTGCCTCATTTAATCCTCATTCTAACCCTTTGATGTAGGTGGTTTTATTTTCATTTTGCAGATGAGAAAGAGGCATAGGGAGTGCCCAGGATCAAACAGACTGTGTGAAATTGTGGAGGAAGTCTTCATGCCCAGGCTGAGTGAACATAGCTTCCTGAGAGCCAGTCCTACGTAGAAGATTTAAGACACAGATCTTTCACTCAGAGTTGAAAATTTCCAACTGATTGTTGGTCACTTAAAGGATGACTAATAACATATGTTGTCTTAATGTTAGAACAATATCTTATGGGGATAAACACTTCTTGGGAGGTGGAGACCAGAGAAAACCGCAGGAGGATCATGAAAGGTTGAGATGGACGAAGAAGAAAACTCAGGGTTAAGGCTTTTTTGTGTTGTTTTGTTTAATTCACATATGGTGAAACAAGAATGAGATTTATCTAGTCTCCCTAAAGAGGTTATCCCAGGCTAGGCCAGAGCAACAGTTGATTAGCTTTACCCAACTAAGAAAAGGGTGGAGGCACAGAGACATCATATGGGTTGCCTATTGCAGAGATTTTGAGTTTCAGGTTGGCTGAGAATATTAAAGCACTGGGGGATTAGGAGTGTTGGCCTCTGGATATGTAAGAATTGCTCTTTGGTGACAGTGCCTTAGGCCATCTGTCTGAACAGCACTTCTTAAGATCTCAAACTCCTCTTGTTCTTTTTCTGTGTTTTGCAAGCAACCTCCTGTGTAGATTTTTCTGCAGGAGGAGTAACTCTCATTCATGTCAAAGCAAATAGTCTGGACTTTGTGACTGCTCTGTCATGATTAATCAATTGACAGCCTGGCTTACAGGTCTGGCTGTGGCACTCAGCTAATGCCAGCCTACCTCTTGAAGAAAGGTAAAGACTAGGTGTGTTGGGCTGGGGAAGAGACTGAGGGAATGGAGCAAAGGAAGTAAATGAAACGGATATTTCCAATGCAGAACTTTGAGGTTTGATGCCTGGGATAAAGGGGGGTTGAAGGCGAAGGAAGACTCAAGGACCTGGGACATTGAGTGAATAATAGTGTCCTTGACAGAGATGGAAGGAAGAAACAGTGGATTCCTGGGAGAAAGATAATATGTTTTGTTTGTTTTTGGATTTTGAGCCTCAGGTGCCGACGTTTGGGTGTCCAAATGACATTGGGTGTCCAGGGATATAGAGATGGTTAGAGGCAGTGATTGCCCAGCATACAGGGAGTGGGTGAGTTCACCTAGCAGGAGCACGTGGTGTGAAAAGAAGGCTGAGGATGGAACCCCAGGTGTCACTGGCATTGACAGACCAAGGGTGGTCTGTGCACAAGGCAAGAGAAGCAGAGGGTTGGGACAGAAAGGGAATGAGCACAGCAGCAGTGATCCAAACAAGGTGGAATGGCCAGTTGTGTCAAATATTGCAGGATCAAGATACAAGACTTAATTAATATAGGACTTGGACTCAAAATATAAGAGTTCAAGAGAACTTAACGGTCTGATTGTTTCTCCAGAAGAGACACTTAAACTTGCCCAGGATCACCCTGTGAGTATCATAGGTGTAAACACTGTTGCTACAGTGTTTCCTGCTTGGCAACCTCATGATCTCATGTTCACCCATTGTTTCATGCTGCTCATTTTCTAAGTATAGCTTTACAGTCAATATGTAATACCATGTAATAGTGGCTAGGACCAGAAATCATGATGCTCGGTTCAAGTGGGCAGCTCAGTCTCACTGTCTTCCCATGCTCTTAGTGAAAAAAGGGCCCTTGTTATTTAGAACATGAGGTGCTGCAGTATGAATATAGCTGATGTGTGAGCAACTCACAACTCTTGCAATCAGCATGCAGCTCATATGGCATCAGCCAGTCAGCTAAGAACTTCATTGTGTGCATTGTAATGGGGTTGGATTTTGTGAAATGGCTTATTTTCTTATGCAGGAGTGCAAGTTCACTGGCATTTATTGGAAAAATGTAAGCATTGACAGATTGTTAGGCTGATTATGGCCCCTTCACTGAGTGAGGAAGGAACAAGAGCATCTTCTCAAATAGAAAATACAAATTATTGGTCAGAAGTCTGTGCAACTACATTTGTTTTCAATTGGATGGGAGATCCTTGACATACATGGATTTAACTTTCATACATATGTGCATACAAACGTATGTGTATACACATATTTTCATAATATACATATGCATATGTGTGAACATATACACATGTATAAACATCTGTGTCTACACATACTTGTATTTTCTTTACAAACAACTTAAAACTCCAGGAGATGAGGCATGATTTTAAATGTCTGCATTGTGTGACTGGTATGTCAGGGCAATTGAAAGAGCCCAGCTGGCTTTCACAGCTGGGAGGCTGGTAGCCTGGGGCAAGTTCTCAGCCCTGCTTGCCCACTGCCTGGAAACAAACTTGGTGCTGTTGTGGGGTGCATGGTGGGAGTGACAGTGGCCTTTTGGGTTGTGTGGAAGCTGGGTGATGCCTGTAATTGCTGGCTTTCCCCCACTTCCCTGACCAACCTGCATGACACAGCAGAGGCAGCCATAATCTTCCTGGGAACATAACTCCATTGGCCTGGGAACCACACCCCCATCCCCCATAGCAGCTGCAGCAACTCCTGCCCAAGGAGAGTCAGAGCTCAGACGTGCCTAGCCTTGCCCCAACCTGATGGTCCTTCCTGGCTCACTCTAGTAGCTGAAGACAAGAGGCATATACTCTTGGGAGTTCTAGGTCCCCATCCACTGCCTGATGCTCCCTATATTACCACAGCTGATGCTCTCTTCAAAGCGCCACCTCCTGGTAGGAGGCCAATCAGCACAAAATAGTTCATTAAACAACCAAAACTTAAGGAACCTCACAGAGTCCATTTCACCCCCCCTGCCACCTCCTCTGGAGCTGGTACCCATAGCTGAGAAATCTGCAGATGGTTCACATCACAGGACCCAGTGTAGACAACCCCCAGCACCAGCCCAGAGCCTGGTAGACCTGCTGGGTGGCTAGATCCACAAGAGAGATGACAGTCACTACAACTTGGCTCTCAGGAAGCCACATCCCTAGGAAAAGAGGGAGAGTACTACATCAAGGGAACACCTCATGGGACAAAGAATCTGAACAGCAGCCTTGAACCCCACATCTTCCCCCTGACATAGCCCACTCAAATGAGAAGGAACCAGAAAAACAATTCTGGAAATATGACAAAACAAGTTTCTTTAACACCCCCGAAAAATCACACCAGCTCACCAGCAATGGATCCAAACCAAGAAGAAATCCCTGATTGACCTGAAAAAGAATCCAGAAAGTCAGTAATTAAGCTAATCAAGGAGGCACCAGAGAAAGGTGAAGTCCAATTTAACGAAATAAAAAAAAAATGATAGAAGAAATGAGGGAAGAAATCTTTAGTGAAATAGACAGCATAAATAAAATACAATAAAAACTTTAGGAAATACTGGATGCACGAAAGAAATGCAAAATGCTCTGGAAAGTCTCAGCAATAGAGTCGAACAAGCAGAAAAAAGAGTGTCAGAGCTTGAAGACAGGTTTTTGAATTAACACAGTCCAACAAAGACAAAGAAAAAAGACTAAGAAAAAATGAGCAAAGCCTCCCAGAAATCTGGGATTACATTAAATGACCAAACCTAAGAATAATCGGTGTTCCTGAGGAAGAAGAGAAATCTAAAAGTTTGGAAAACATATTGGGGAGAATAATCGAGGAAAACTTCCTTGGCCTTGCTAGAGCCGTAGACATCCAAATACAAGACACACAAAGAACATCTGGGAAATTCATCACAAAAAGATCATCGCCTAGGCACACTGTCATCAGGTAGTCTAAAGTTAAGACGAGGGAAAGAATCTTAAGAGCTGTGAGGCAAAAGCACCAGGTAACCTATAAAGGAAAACCTATCAGATTTACGGCAGATTTCTCAGCAGAAATCCTACAAGCTAGAAGGGATTGGAGACCTATCTTCAGCTTCCTCAAACAAAACAATTATCAGCCGAAAGTTTTGTATCCAGTGAAACTAAGCTTCACAAATGAAGGAAAGATACAGTCTTTTTCGGTCAAACAAATCCTGAGAGAATTTGCCATTACCAAGCCAGCACTTCAGGAACTGCTAAAAGGAGCTCTAAATTTTGAAACAAATTCTGGAAACACATCAAAACAGAACCTCTTTAAAGCATAAATCTCACAGGATCTATAAAACAAAAATACAATTTAGGAAAAAAAAATAAAAATCCAAGGTATACAGGCAATAAATAGCATAATGAATGCAATAGTACCTCACATCTCAATACTAACATTGAATGTAAATGGCCTAAGTGCTCCACTTAAAAGATACGGAATGGCAGAATGGAGAAGAATTCACCAACCAACTATTGCTGCCTTCAAGAGACTTACCTAATACATAAGGACTCACATAAACTTAAGGTAAAGGAGTGGAAAAAGACTTTCCATGCAAATGGACACCAAAAGCGAGCAGGAGTAGCTATTCTTATATTAGACAAAACAAACTTTAAAGCAACAGCAGTTAAAAAAGACAAAGAGGAACATTATATAATGATAAAAGGCCTTGTCCAACAGGAAAATGTCACAATTCTAAATATTTATGCACCTTACACTGGAGCTCCCAAATTTATAAACAGTTACTACTAGACCTAAGAAACGAGATAGATGGCAACACAGTAATAGTGGGGACTTCAGTACTTCACTGACAGCATTAGACAGGTCATCAAGACAGAAAGTCAACAAAGAAACAATGTATTTTTACTATACCCTGGAACAAATGGACTTAATAGATATTTACACAACATGCTACCCAACAACCACAGAATATGCATTTGATTCATCAGCACATGGAACCTTCTCCAAGACAGACCATATGATAGGCCACAAAAGTCTCAATAAATTTAAGGAAATTGAAATTATATCAAACATTCTCTGAGACCACAGCAGAATAAAAGTGGAAATCAACTCCAAAAGGAACCTTCAAAACCATGCAAATACATGGATATTAAATAACCTGCTCCTGAATGATCATTGGGTCAGAAATGAAATCAAGACGGAAATTTAAAAATTCTTCAAACTGAATGACAATAGTGGCTCAACCTGTCAAAACCTCTGGGATACAGCAAAGGTGGTGCTAAGAGGAAGGTTCATAGCCCTAAATGCCTACATCAAAAAGTCTGAAAGAGCACACACGGACATTCTGAGATCACACTTCAAGGAACTGGAGTAGCAAGAACAAACCAAACCCAAACCCAGCAGAAGAAAGGAAATAACCAGAATCAGAGCAGAACTAAATGAAATTGAAACAAAAAAAATTGCAAAAGATAAATGAAATAAAATGTTGGTTATTTGGAAAGATAAAGAAAATTAATAGACCATTAGCAAGATTAACCAAGAAAGGAAGAGAGAAAATCCAAATAAGTTCAATTAGAAATGAAACAGGAGGTATTACAACTGACACTACAGAAATACAAAAGATCATTCAAGGCTACTATAAACACCTCTACACCCGTAAACCAGAAAACCTAGAGGAGATAGATAAATTCCTGGAAAGATACAACCCTCCTAGCTTAAATCAGGAAGAATTAGACACCCTGAACGGACCAATAACAAGCAGTGAGATTCAAATGGTAATTAAAAGCTTAGCAACAAAAAAAAGTCCAAGACCAGATGGATTCACAGCTGAATTCTACCAGACATTCAAAGTACGATTGGTACCAATCCTATTGACTCTATTCCACAAGGTAGAGAAAGAAGGAATTCTCCCTAAATCATTCTGTGAAGCCAGTGTCACCCTAATACCAAAACCAAGAAAGGACATAACCAAAAAAGAAAACTACAGACCAATATCCCTGATGAACATACATGCAAAAATCCTTAACAAAGTACTAGCTAACCAAATCCAACAACATGTCAAAAAGATAATCCAGCATAATCAAGTGAGTTTCATACCAGGGATACAGGAGTGGTTTAACATACATCAGTCAATAAATGTGATACAACACATAAACAGAATAAAAACAAAAATCACACGATCATCTCAATAGACCAAGAAAAAGCATTTGACAAAATCCAGCATGGCTTTATGTTTAAAACCCTTAGCAAAATTGGCATTCAGCAGACATACCTGAATGTAAGAAAAGCCATCTATGATAAACCCAGAGCCAAAATAATACTGAATGGGGAAAAGTTGAAAGCATTCCCTCTGAAAACAGGAACAAGGCAAGGATGCCCACTTTCACCACTTCTCTTCAACATAGTACTGGAATCCAAGCCAGAGCCATCAGACAAGAGAAAGAAATAAAAGGCATCCAAATCAGTCACAAGGAAGTCAAACTGTGGCTGTTTGCTGATGATATGATTATATACCTGGAAAACCCTAAAGACTCCTCCAAAAAGCTCCTAGAACTGATAAAAAATTCAGCAAAGCTTCTGGATACAAAATTAATGTACACAAGTCAGTAACTCTCGTATACACCAACAGCGACCAAGTGGAGAATCAAATGAAGAAATCAACCCCTTTTACAGTAGCTGCAAAAAGAATAAAATACTTAGGAATATATCTAACCAAGAAGGTGAAAGACCTCTACAAGGAAAACTGCAAAACACTGCTGAAGTAAATCATAGATGACATAAGCAAATGGAAACACATCTCATGCTCATGGGTGGGTAGAATAAATATTGTGAAAATGACCATACTGCCAAAAGCAATCTACAAATTCAGTGCAATTTCCATCAAAATACTACCATCATTCTTAACAGAACTAGAAAAGCAATCCTAAAATTTATATGGAACCAAAAAAGAGCCTACATAGCCAAAGCAAGACTATGCAAAAGAACAAATCTGGAGGCTTCAAACTATACTATAAGGCCATAGTCACCAAAACAGCATGGTACTGGTATAAAAATAGATACATAGACCAATGGAACAGAACAGAGAACCAGAAATAAAGCCAAATACTTACAGCCAACTTATCTTCAACAAAGGAAACAAAAACATAAAGTGGGGAAAGGACACCCTATTCAACAAATAGTGCTGGGATAATTGGGAAGCCACATGTAGGAGAATGAAACTGGATCCTCATCTCTCATCTACAAAACTCAATTCAAGATGGATGAAGGACTTAAATCTAAGACCTGAAACTTAAAAATTCCAGAAGATAACATTGGAAAAACCCTTCTAGACATTGGCTTAAGCAAGTTTTTCATGACCAAGAACCTAAAAGCAAATGCAGAAAAAACAGAGAAATGGCTGGGACTTAATTAAACTAAAGAACTTTTGCATGGCAAAAGGAAGTCAGCAGAGTAAATAGAGCACCCACAGAGTGGGAGAAAATCTTCGCAATCTATACATCTGACAAAGGACTAACATCCAGAATCTAAAAAGAACTCAAACAAATCAGCAAGAAAAAAAAATCAAACAATCCCATCAAAAAGTGGGTTAAGGACATTAATAGAGAATTCTCAAAAGAAGATATACAAATGGCCAACAAACAGGAAAAAATGCTCAACATCACTAATGATCAGGGAAATGCAAATCAAAACCACAATGTGATACCACCTTATTCCTGCAAGAATGGCCATAATAAAATCAAAAAGTAATAGACGTTGAGATGGATGCGGTGAATAGGGAACACCTCTGCACAGCTAGTGGGAATGTAAACTATTATAGCCACTATGGTAAAGAACTAAAAGTAGAACCATTTGATCCAGCAATCCCATTACTGGGTATCTACCCAAGGAAAAGAAGTCATTATGTGAAAAAGATACTTGCACACTCATGTTTATAGCTGCACAATTCACAATTGTGAAAATGTGGAACCAGCCCAAATGCCCATCAATCAACAAAGTGGACACAGTTTATTTATCCCCTCGTTGATTGATGGGCATTTGGGCTGGTTCCACAATCCATACACACACACACACACACACACACACACACACACACACACACACACACATATTTATATATATATGATCTAATACTACTCAGCCATAAAAAGAAATGAATTAATGACATTTGCAGCAACCTGGATGAGATTGGAGACTATTATTCTAAGTGAAGTAACTCAGGAATGGAAAACCAAACATCGTATGTTCTAACTTATAAGTGGAAGCTATGCGGATGCAAAGGCATAAGAATGACACAATAGATTTTGGGGACTCAGGGAAAGGATGGGAAGGGTGTGAGGGATAAAAGACTACAAATTGGGTTCAGTGTATACTGCTTGGGTGATGGGTGCACCAAAGTCTCACAAATTACCACTAAAGAACTTACTCATGTAACCAAATAACACCTATTCCTCAAAAACCTATGAAAACAAAAAAAGTTTTTTAAAAAAGAAAAAAAGTAGAATGAGCCTTCTTAGCCAACTAGGACCCATTCCTGTTCATGTTAATTTAATTTAATTTTTTCTTCTCATCGAATTCCCCTAACAACCTTAAGAATTAGGTATTTTAGTCCCCATTGTCAGATAAAGAAACTAAAGACATTTTACTCTATTGTTAATAGATATGGATTTAGTAATAAGTGATGGATTCTACCTCATCCCTGTGGAAGTTCTGTTACTCAGTCTCGTGTTTTGTTATGAGACGTGTAGTAGAGCCTGCAGCAGAAAACTGACACCAAGCAGGGTAATAGAGAAGGGGAAATTCACCTTTTTTTTTTTTTTTTTTTTAAGACAAGGTCTTGCTCTGTTGCCCAGGCTGGATTGCAGTGGTGTGATCACAGCTCACTGCAGCCTTGACCACCTAGGCTCAAGTGATCCACCCACCTCAGCCTCCTGAGTAGCTGGGATTACAGGCACATGTCACCAAGCCAGGCTAATTTTTGTATTTTTTGCAGAGATGGGGTCTCAGTATGTTGCCCAGGCTAGTCTTGAACTCCTGGGCTCAAGCAGTCTGCCCAGCTGGGGAAATTCACTTCTTAAAATCAAATGTACATGCTTTTTGAAAACTTAAGAACTTTGGCTTTAGTTTTCTCTTTTCCTTTGCAATCACAGTATCAGTGCTGAAGAAGTGACTTTTTGTCTTCAGTCTGCTTTCAGATAAGAAAAAAATTGCATAGAGCCTTGATGTTCAAGGGACACATGACATTAGTTTGACTCTAAATAATAATAAACATTTGGCTACTTTTGCTTGAAGCACACACTAAAGAATTGTGACCTTTGCCAGTGCATGTTCCGAAGTCATATTGACTGAATTTAATTTTGGCCACAATAGATCAATATTTTATTCCCTTTTTTATCCTTACACTAGACAATTGTTAGTTGGAAAATTCTTGCTTATCTTTTTCTGATTCCCACAAATTTTGGTCATTCAAATGAGTGTAAATAGACTTTAAGCTGACAATTATAAGATTAGTGTATATTCAGGGGAATTCTAGAAGTAACGAGAGGTATTTTATAGGCAGAATTTCACCTAATAGAATGACATTGAATTTTTTGCAGATGTATTTTGAATAGATTATAGGGACTAGGGCTGATGTTGGGAAGACTAACGGGAAGGGACAGATACCATTGGTGCTGAATTCTACCTTGCTGGGTGCTTGACAAGGGTAGTCAACTTGGAGAGAAAAGAATGGATCCCAATAAAGAACAATATGGGCTAGCTGTTAATGGAGCCTATGACCAAAGCACTAAAAAACAAAATCAAAGTTAAATCTGTGAAATAGAACATAGTGGATTTAGAACTATATATGCATACAATATCTGATACACTTCCAATGGCAATTTTAGCCCTAAAAGCATGAATACAATGACAGGAAAACAGGAAAATTAATTATAATGCTTAGAAAAGGATGGTTGGAATGATGGTGTAAAGAACAAGTCATATGACGTTTCTAAGTATGAGAGAAGGCAAAGACGTAGTCATTTAATACATTCTGAGTGAGCATAATTCTTGTGTACAGAATCTTTTAATAATGAAATATTTTACAGTACAGAGAAAATGTAACAAGCACAGAGACTAATACAATAAAAACCCACCCAGTAATATTTGATGCTGTTTTAGAGGATGGAAATATTACAGAATCAGCTAAAGCTCCCCATATACCCTAGAAATGTCCAATCTTTTGGCTTCCCTGGGCCACACTGAAAGAAGAAGAATTGTCTTGGGCCACACATAAAATACACTAACACTAAGGATAGTCATTGAGCTAACAAAAAATCACAAAAAAATCTAATAATGTTTTAAGAACGTTTACAAATTTATGCTGGGCCGCATTCAAAGCCGTCCTGGCCTGCATGTGGCCTGCAGGCTGTGGTTTGGACCAGCTTGCTGTATACCTTCTCTGTTCTTTACTCTTCAAAAGTAATGTCTATCCTGAATTTAATGTTTATATTTTCTTGTTGTGTTTAAAACACTACATATATGTGTGTTTATATATATGCATATATATGAGAGACATATAGCATTCCTTTGCAAATCATCAGACTTTCCATAACTGCCTAATATATTTTTTGAATCAATGATTTAATGAAGACTCTTCTACCCAAATTAAGTTCACCTTTGACTGGAGAATGAAAAGTGAATAGGTGAATGGGTTTGACTTACCTCCAACCTCAAAGACTTTGCATTGATAATTCTGTTCCCTTTCAAACAGAAAGAGCTGAGCCTTAAGCAAATGAAGAAAACTATTTGGAGTTACAGAGTTAATTATTGATGGAGGTGGAAATAGTTTCAGGAAATGTTTGTCTTAAAGCAAGAACTCAAGTCTGCATAACCTGTCTAACGGATGAGTAACATCTTTTCCCCTAGCTATCATATTTCTTTGGACATTAGTTTCTTTAAACTAATGAAAGCTTGAAAGCTACTCTAGAAATTTAGATTTTATGTCAGAGTTTCCAAAAAGGAATCTGTCATCTCACCTTTATTTTATTGTTTAAGACATATGGGATGTTTTTGAAACTACAGTCAATTTGCTTCCTCCCCAGTTGATGAACATCTCCATTGAACTCAAGTAATAAAGTCAGTGTCTCAGTAACAGCTCGAAAAGGAGACTACTGACCTAAAAATCATGTGACAACTTTTTAACAGTGTTTACAGATGAAACCAATCAGTTAACCAAGACTTCAAGCCCATTCCTCCCTTCAGAATGTGGTGTCAGTTGAACTCATGGAAACAGTAGAATAGTGATTACCAGGGATAGGAGTGGGGGAAAGAGGGAGATGTTGGTTGAAAGATAACAAACTTGTAGTTATAAGATGAATACATTCCAGGGATCTAATATATAGCACAGTAAGGTGACCCAGGTTTAAAACTAACTAGATTATGGGAATCATTTCACCAAGTATCTGTATATGAGTTATCATGTTGTACACATTCACATCATACAATTTTCTCTTTCAGTTATACCTCAGTAAAGCAGGAAAAAAAAATGCCGTGTTACAATCTTTAGAGAGAGACACTTTGGCTAAAAGCTCATGGGACGAGAAAGAATTTTGTATCTGAATCATTAACGTGCTTGAATATGTCTGATGGCTTTGTTAGACTTATTAAATACAAAATAATTGAATATTTTGTTCCACAAATCAAAATTTCACCAATCTACCTAAACAAACAAAGGCTGAAGCTGGTGACTTTTAAGAACTTTAGATGTCAATCTGTAAAATTTGATATTTATACATTAAAGAATACTATACTCAAAAAATAGGCAGTATATCAGGTATCTGAGTTTTTTTCTGACACTTGTGGCATAGTTACCCATTTCTAGTCTTGACTTTAAGGTCACAGGACCCCAAGATGTCGATGGAGACCTGGTGTGAAAAACGGGGACACCTGTTTTCTTTCACAAAGTTACTTGTTAAATGTAGAAAAGTTTACAATTCCATGGGTCTTCTATCTGTAGAATAAGGTCATAGATGGGCTCTTAGGGACCCTACCTAGGCTGTTAAGAACAATGTCTGCTTCAAGAAAATTTAAGAGTGCAGGATTAGATGCCTCTGATTTATGTGGACAGAAATATACTGATGTTCCTGTAAAACACCTGTAAGACCGAATCGTTGCATTCAGTGAGCTGTTTTTCTGCTAGTATACATTCATGACACCAGCTCTGAATAGGATTTTAGCTAAGTCATTTCACATTGAGTGTGTGCTTTACGTTATTTAGAGAAATGAAGAGTAAACAAAGTCTTATTTGCCCTCCTACCTTAGCATAGAAAAGGAACTGAAACAGAGATGGTAGCAGCAGAGTAATGGTATTTATAGTCAAAATAAGATTTTAATTTATGTGCTAAAATTTTTAATATTTAGTAGTAAAAACCATGATCTCTGGAGTCAAATTGCTTGGATTTGAATCCCAAATTCACCATGTACTTTGGCAAGTAATTTAAACTTGCCATCTTATAGTACGATGGGAATGATAGTGGCACAGTGTATCTATCCCACAGGGTTCTTACAAAATATAGGTGAGTTAATATATGTAAGACTCTTGTGATGGTATCAGGTATAAAGTAAGTACCCATGAAATGCCAGCTGTTACTGTTTTGTAAAAATAAATAGGTGACACCCCCCACCCCAAGAGAACCTACTATAAGTAAAAGGACTTCACAAAGATGACTACTTCTATCAAACTTGAATCCACAATTACTTCATGTCCAAACTTTGTGGAAGGGAATGTGTCACATATAATACGGAAACCTCATTGGAAGGTTTTTATAAATTCCATTGTACTTGACTGGAAAACTGATAAAAATGAGTGTAATATGTCTATCTTGTAGCTTTGTTCATATCTCATGAAAGCTCTGAGTTTTGAGTGGAAAAATAGGCACTTAATCTACTTTGTTCTTAGAGGTAAAGTGATTTATGTATTTTAAAGTAACACTAGATTGAAGTCTATATTTGTTCCTAAATATATTCTGCTCATTTGTCCAACTGTATAATTTCACTTCATTTGTAATAATTTGTGAGATACAGCGCAGTGATTTATATTGTGTTAAATTTTATGAAAGAAAAATTTTAATGTCATAGGTATAAGCCATACTTCACCTCTCTTCATGGATTTGATAATAAATTAGTTAATCTTTTTATTTAGATGATGGAAAAGCTGAAATGAGAATGTCTCAATTAATAAAATCGATTTCAGAATCAAAAGAACCATATACTGATGTTTTGGTGCTCTAGCAATGTATCTTAGTTTTATACACAATAACAGTTTTTTCATTAGCTATACCATTCCAGAGTTGACTATTTTTTATTCCAAATTTCTATCAGATTGATTGATCACGTTAGAAGTTGAATTGGCAATATATGTCATCTCTCTCCCCTTTTTTGTTCATACTTGCACAGTTCCTGGAAGTAGTTGATAAATTATTCGATCTATTGTGGTGTAAATATACTTAAAAGTCAGTAAATAAAAGGATCACTCGTACTCCTAATAAAAATTTAGATGTCAGTTTAGGAACTATTCTTTGCAAGCCACTGTTTGTGGTCAGAAATGCAAAGATAAATAAAACTCAGTCTTACTCTACTTGGAACTCACAAGCAATTCAAAGGCTTGTGGCTGTAATCAAAGAGAAGGAGAGGAGGTAAAGAACAAGTCAGAATTACAGTGTTTTCCATGTTGCAGCATCCAGAAAAGGTGGCTTTATGGAACAACTAGAATTTGACATAAATCCTGAAGGAGCCACAGTGGCTCAGCAGGTAGAGAGAGGTGAGTGAGTAGGACAGAGAAAAACCCTCTGGGTAATAATTGTTAATAAGCTTAATATTGTTTTAGCTACCCTGGTATTGAAAAGAAGCGTCTTTTCGGTGCTCTTCTATCCCCAGATTTGCAAGCAGTCAGTTTTCATTCATCAGGGTAGAGACAGTTCTCAATTATGCAGCATCCACTAATATCCACCAGGTTAGAAACATCATTTTAGCTGAATACATTGTCTTCCATTTTTAGGTATAAAATCAGGAAGAAGTAGCATAGCTTAATGGTTAAGAGTTTGGATGCTGGAACCAAACAGCCTAGTTTCCAATCCTGACTTTCTCTCTTACTAGCTGTGTGGCCTTCAGCAAGTAACTAAACCCACTCTGTGCTCATTTCCTCATCAGGGAAAAAAAAATAAAGATGTTGATAATAATGCCTACCTTGTTGTGTGGAACAGTTTCATTAAATGACTTCCTATTTGTAAAGTGCTTAGAAGAACTCAGGGGATAGAGGAAGTACTATATAAAAGTTGTAAATCAAACGGCCCTCGTATGCCTGCCCTGGTCTCCCTAGAACATGTGCTGAGTCGTGCGGGGTGGTGGCTGCTCTGGATGATTCCCCTGCTTCTGCTGCCTCTGTAGTTTACAATCCCTTGCCTTTTGGGTGACACCTGGCAACAAGACCTGAGACCTCAATGCTCTGATTTCCTGCTTCAAATGCACATTTTAGTAGTCTTGATTTTAACAAAGAGCCCTGTTCAACCTTGTTGTGTAAGGACAATAAACCAGATTCAGTGGGTGGTAGTTTTTACTAGCTTCCTATTCTAATTTTCAGGTTTGAAAGATATAAAAGCCTTCCATATCCAAGCAAATGTAGTGGAACACATTGACGTCTCTAGGCAAAGCAGGGTGCTCTAATTCTGTAGAATTTGAGAGAGGGCTTTAGAGTCACTGCTAGGTTTGTGTCCCAGTTTTTCCATTTACCAGGCGTCTGGCTTTGGACAGGCTAATCCCTAGGCTTCTTTTTCCAATACTGGTCTTACAAGGTTGCTTCCTTATATGGAGTCTTTCTGGGAATTGGTGGTCCTTCTGAGCATCCTCCACAGATCGTTTAGGATTCAACTTCTGGTTCCACTAGCTAAGCCAACATTCCTCCCCTCCTGCAGCTTTCCAGGCCCTGAAACAGGGTGGTTGTCTTCACTCCAGTTTTGTGTCCCTGGGAGTTTATGCTTTACTGAACAAAATCCCTCTTTTGCCCGTTTAGTGGTACTTTCATAAAGACACAGAGGTAAATTTATGTGTTTAATTTACCTTGTTTAACCAAGAGTAATCTTTAAGTGTTTAAAGAAATAGTCTTAGTCTATTTCTGTTATCAAAAGAAGTCTTTTGAAATTTTCCCGTAAGAATGAATTTAATGCTTCCTTTCCTCGTTTTCATTAATCTAAGAATTCATCCCTTGATTATTATTGCTAAATATTTTGTATTAAATTATCCCTTAAAAACAAGAGCATTTAATTTGGCAATGAAATTTAGGGCAATGATTTATGTTGCTAACCATAGTCTTTTTATGCTAGAATTATACTTTTTGAAATATTATTTTTTGTTTGTATATTGGTGGGTCAGAATAGGCTGAAGTAATTTTTTCATAAAGGTTAATGAATAATGTATTTTTAGAGCCTCTGAATATATGAGAATACTTTTCATATATTCCTCTGCAAATGAGAGGAAGTTTGCCTGGCAGAAGCTTTCTTTGATTGAGTCTTCCCTTTCTTTTGGCACTTAATAATACAGCAGAGAACTGTAAGACCAACTGGGTATTTGTTCTTTTGATGGTGATTTGTTTTCATTTGATTTGTGTGTGTTGACTTGTTGTTTTTATGCTTGAACACTGAAGTTTTTTTTTTTTTTATTGTAAACCTAGGATTCAACATTTTTGTCAGAACATCGCTTTGAATTGATATTGTTTGGAATGCAATTTAGTTGTCTTTTTTTTCAGTTCACATTTTTTTTAGTCTTTTTGTCTTTGATTATTCTATTTTAGTTCTTGTATTTCCTCAGAAACAGCTATAATTAGATTTGTTTTCTAGTCTTCCAGATCTAGGATCTTTTTTCATCTTTGGTTCATTTCTCTGGCCTTATGGGGGTGTTTACCCTCTATGTAAATGACTTAATTTTATACTGTATGTATCTGTGTTCCTCCCCTCCAGTGGATAATAATGCTGCACTTCATTTTTCAGACTCTGTGCAATGCTCCTTTATTCCACCTATAATCTCTTTATCTTACCCGGCAGTCTTTTATTGACTTACAACTTTCTGTTTTGTTTCAAGGGGTCATATCTTCTTGTATTATATTGGCAATGCCTAAAACTTTCCTAAAAATTACTAATGATTCCTCTAGGAAGTCATTTTTAGGAGGCTGTTCTTCCTTTGAATCTTTAACATGCCGTTTTCTTTCCACATTTATTACTACTTAGTAGACCCATGCTGCCACTGAGCTGTTATTTTCATTCCCGAATTTAGAGATATTCATCTAGACCTGCTCACAGAGGGGATGTGTGGATTGCCCTCAGCCCCACTCTCTCTCCTCCTGTTTGTTAGTAAAAGTCCTCTTTTAGATCTCTGACCTTGAAGCAGGTTGATGTCTATAGACTTGGCCCCATTTTCAGTGAAAGTTTCATATAAAGCAGCTATCTCCAATAGCCTTGTTCTTTGTTGCTTTGTATGTGGATTGTCTAAGAACGCCAACCTCCAGAATGCAGTACCTTCATAGGTCATCTTGTCCCTAAATCTGCCTTTCTGTCACTGAAACTGCCAGATTTCACAGTACATCTCCTTCTTCCCAGTTGGCTTTTGAAAGTAGCCATCACTAAGATATGGGGTGGGAGATTCTGTTGCTGCCTCAAGAAATGTACGTAATCATTTGTGGTAAAGGGCAAAGTTTCCGACTGATACAGATTTTGCATTTCTATACAAGATGGCAGAAAGTGGAGACAGGGTGATATGCAGATGAAGATTTCCCTACTTCCTTCAAGGCTTGTGACTTTTCACTGTTAATCACATTTTTTACATCTAATTTCATTCTTTTTCTGTTGTAAGAACTCTTCCCTGATTCTAGCAGTAGGTTGAAGGTCATATCTTCCTTTTCATGGGTGCATGAACTTTATTATTTATCTCTTTTACAGGTATCTTAGTAGAAGATTGGGAGGGACTATATCAGGGACTGGTAGCTAGCATTTAAAACAATAACATATGAAACTCCACAACTTAAAGAAGTGCTTTTTCAAGTTGCAAGATGCTTGAAAATTTTGCTTTCTGCAGATATTTTGTGGAAATAAACTCTGCCTTGTAAATATTCATCACAAGTTGCTATTCAAATGATGGAGGCATCAGTATTCCTATAATAGAATCTATGTGTTATGAAAACTGGGTCATTTTAGTGATTAAATAAAATGTAGATACATAAATGATGGTAGGAATTCCAATGACTTCTGTAAAACTTTTTTATACATAAAAACTGCCTGATCACTACCTACTAACAAGGGTCTTAGAACTGAAACAGCTGTTATAAATAACCTAATCTCGGAGTTGCAAATTCATTTGCCTCCAGGGGCCAGACAAGGCAAATGCATGAAGTAGGCTAGTTCCATACTGGAAGGATTGGGAGGGACTAGAGAGAAGTAGAGATAATACTTGTGCTACCAAATCCTTGAGGCATCATTATAGCACAAACCCAGTCTCCCATTATAGAGATGGAACTGAGATCAAAGGATATTAACAGATTTGCCCAAAGTTAGTTGAGTCTGTCTTGACCAGAACTGGGTACATAATTTGCAGAATCCAATGCAAAATAAGATGCTGGGTCCCTTGTTCAACAACTATTAAGAATTTCAAGATGGTAACAAAGCATTAAATCAAGCATGAAGTCTTATGTGACTGCCTAAGTCACACACCCATGAAGATATCCCTGGTTTTAATTTTTGATCTAGAATTTGTACAACAAACAGAAACTTGTTATCACTCTCACCCATAACCATTGAGAGATTAGTAATGGAGATGGAGTTAAAATTAAGTTCTTAACTTTTTTTCTTTTTTTTTTGAGATGGAGTCTCACTCTGTTGCCCAGGCTGGAGTGCAGTGGTGGGATCTCGGCTCACTGCAAGCTCCACCTCCCGGGTTCACGCCATTCTCCTGCCTCAACCTCCTCAAGTAGGTGGGACTATAGACGCCCGCCACTAAGCCTGTCTAATTTTTTGTATTTTTATTAGAGACGGGATTTCACCGTGTTAACCAGGATGATCTCGATCTCCTGACCTTGTGATCCACCTGCCTCAGCCTCCCAAAGTGCTGGGATTACAGGTGTGAGCCAACACGCCCAGCCCTTAACTATTATACTACAATAAGTTAATTGTCTTTTCTTACAAGATAACTTTTTTTTTTTATGATATCAGGAATGCCATTTAGTGACATCCAGCCAACTTTTAAAGGCGTAGCTATTCATACTCGGAAGTACAAGAAATAAAATTGGGAATTTAGTACTAGAGTAAGAGTTTTTTGTAATAAGTATACACACACACACACACACACACACACGCACACATCTTATATTTTAAAAGACTTAAAACATTTCCATCATTTAAAATCAAAAGAAAACTTAAAAATTTTTCTTCATTAGAAGTGAAAGTCACAGCTAGACCATAAGTTTGGCATGGTATAAAATTGTCATTTATAGTTGTAATTTGATTTATTTAGATTCTATATGCCTTCCTTTAGCAACATCCACAAAGATGTTGATATAGTTGTTAAAAGACAAAGTGAAATTCTTACCTAATTTTAAAATATTAACTCTTTTAAAACAAATATGAACTTCAGTTAACTCCAGTTGTTAGTTTTGAATTATTTGTCTGATTCAGATATTATACCTTCATATTACCAAATCATATCCCTTCATGAGTGATAAACAAGAAGAAGTTCACATGTTGGAGAATGAGAAGATGAGCAGTTGGGCAAATATTGCAATTAACAATGAAAAAATTAAGTTATGAATATAATACTCAAAATATTTTCTATAAGCCATGTATACCAGTGTATGGCTTCAGCTAGCACTGAAATTGCTCATTAAGTTTAATCCTTAGTTGAGGTAGGGGGACAAATTTAATTTAATGAACTCTTTTCCCTCCCTTACATATTTCAGTATATGCTGTGAATATATAAACTGAATGTCACAGATTTTTTTTTAACCTTCTACAGGTGGAGATTTTCATTTTACCTTTATGTATTTACCTACGGAGTCAGATTCCTGAAAAAGGTAGGATCTCTCAAACTATTTTACATGATTCTTATGTAAGTGTATGTCTATATCCTGGTTTTTTTTTTTAATGTGTGACTGTAATAATATTTTAGGTAATCATATCAGGCTTCCTAAGAATTATTTGTGCATTTTCATTTGACTTACAAAAATATTTCGGATGTTGCTAAGTCCCATAGTCACTCCAGTGGGTTATTTATTACTTTTCAGGCATTAGGAAGCTTATAAAATCCATCTGATGCTTTGAAAGAAGTTAGAGTTTCTACATCAATCACACAATTTGAAAACATGAATTGTTGCAGCATGTATTACCACTGTACTCTTCACCAGTAGAAATAACTATATATATTATATAATATATATTATATAATATTATGTAAATATATGTAAATATATATTTATATTATATATTATATAAAAATATAATATATAATATATAATATATAAACTATATATTAATATAATATATATAAACTATTATATAAATACATATTAAATATATTATATTTTTAATATTTATATATTAAATATAATATATATTTAATATTTATATATTAAATATATAATATATTTAATATTTATATAATATATAGCATATTTTATATTTATATTATATATAACATTTTATATTTATATTTATATTTATATATATTTAATTTATATTTATATTATATTTATATTTATATTATATATAACATAATTATATATATTTTCATATTGTATATAATAAAGAAATGTATATTTGTTATATATAATATATATTATATAATTTATTATATATTATATAATATATATTATATAATATATATTATATATTATACATTTATTATGTGTTATATAATTATATATTACATATTATATATATAATATCTGTCTCTCTCTCTCTCGCCTAGTTACTAACAGGGCAGCACTAACTGCTGGTGGAAAATTTCATTTCTTTCATAAGATCATTTCCCCTGCTGTTGCTTTTACTATAATCCTGCATGAACTGAGGGACCGAAATCTATGAAAGTAATTCCTTGTGGCTGCTATAGTCTTTCCAGGTTATTTCAGTTCTTACTGGAACTACTGTCGGGTTAGACTCCTTAAATAAAACCCTGTGAAGGCCTATCTTCTCATAGTCGTACACATATTAACAATAGTGATTTGGCATAACATGGGGAATTATTTTTAAAAGTTCTCTATAGTATTAGCCTCCAAAGTGATATCAGTGTTATCTTTATTTATTACAGAATTTTTGTTAAAATTGGGAATGCACCAAATTTCATGCCTTATTAATCTTGTAAATATTGACATGGAAATTTTAAATACATTTAAGATTTTAAAATCTGGGTTATCAAATATTGTCCGCCTGTGGTGAATTCTATTATAAATAGTGGTTGTTTCCCATTATCATATTGTTTTAGAGGATTGTTTTTTACTTGTAGTCTTTTCCTTTGGTAACTGCACTTATTTTCACTTAATAAGACCATATGGCCCAGAGGCCATTTGAATCGATTTAGAAGGATGAGTTTTACTCTGTGGGGTTTCTGTGTATGAAGAAATTCTCAACTGGAGTAAATAAACATGGTTTAAACGGCTTATTTTGGAATTCTGTTCTAGTTTTCAGATTTACTTATCTAGAAAAAATAGAATGACTATAGCGCTTTTGTGCTTATAACTTTACTACCTTGGAAGAGGAAACAGCTTTGGATGGAATTTCAGCTGATGTGGAGGAGGTGTGCTTCATGGGAAGGTCGGGTTGTTAACTAAGGTCAAGGTTTGGAATTCGTGCCTGGTTCTGTTGGTGAGGGGCTTTGTTGGTGAGAAAGGAAAGAGAGGATGAGCACGTTTTTGCTCTTTTCCTTTAGGCCTGCTGGATATAGCCTCTCTAGCTCTCATACGGCAATGCGGTTATCTGTCATCAGAACAGGAAACACTTTGACGCTTAGCTCTGGTTCACTCTGTCCCTAAACAAATGGAATGGAATGAGAATAATTTTTATCCACCAGTCCTCAGTGAGTCTGCACGAGGCAGTAAGAGGAACTGTCAGTAGAGTGTTTCCTTGGAAATTATTTTTTCTTAAACTAGACCAGTTTTATGCCAATTTCCTTTCAACTGCCTCTGGTTATAACAAATGCTTTTTTTTTTTAATAAAAAAAAAAAGGAAAGGAAAGAAGAACTAGACACTGTTCTTCTTGTTGAATTAATTTGTGTGGGAATTTCTTTCTTTAATTCCATCCAAGCAGCACTCAATTTTTGATGAGCTGTGTAGTTTAGTCTTACTCATAATGCGAAGTAGAAATGCATACATAGAATTCATCTGACTGAAATAGCTTTGGAGGACTTCATAAGCCATCTTGTCCAACCCTCTCATTTCACAGCTCAGGAGGCAGAAATCCAGAAGAGGGTAGGTGGCATTCAGAAGGTCACACAGTTTATTAAAGGCTGAACCTGACAAGAAACACATGCTCCTCTTTCTTATTCCAGAGCTCTCTCCAGTTGGCAAGCCTACCCTAACTGCCCTAACCTCAGCATGATTTCTGAGTGACTTCCTTCTTTGGGTAGCAGGCTTGACCTAGCTGAATCATTATTGCTTATTTGTAGAACTTTAAATACTTCTTTTAATGTATATTTTAAAAATATTTTTATTAACTTTCTTGGAATGGACAATATGTTTGCCCAATCTAAACTGAGACAAAAAAAATTAAAGATGCTGCATCAGAAATAATCAAAACAAGGTAATTCAAATCTGTAGAATACCTTAAATTTCAGAAAATAAGAAGCACATAGTTCTATCAATACAGCATAAATTTGTCTTTGTGTTCAGATTCTTCCAAAAAGTACAGTAGGAAAATTCTCATAATACCAGTGTAGTGGATCCATTTTAAGAGGTTAGAGGCTACAGCTGCCTCTTACTTCTAGAATCAAAAATATGGATTATTACATGTGCTGTTAGAAGAATCCCTGACAGCTTGCACTGATCGGTTTTCTTCTGTCTTTAGGTCAAATGAGCCTGTTGTGTCTCATTTTCTATGGTGGTTTAATAAGCACCTATTCTACCCTAAAAAATAGGGAAGTAGACACTACAGAACAACCTTACAGACATGTTAGTGAACTATTCAGTAAAGTTACTGCTGTGTTGGTAGGAAATATTTAAGCAGTTGAAAGTAAGCCTGACAATATAATCTTATTCTATAATTGCTGTATATAAGAGAGTCTGCTCATACTTATAATTAGCAGAGTCAAATACTTTTGTTAAAGAAGACCTAGAAATACTTAAGGTGCTCTGAAGTCCTAGCAGACAGTGTACACATACAAATTAACACATTTTCCTAGGTTCTATTTTTTCTTATAAACTACATGTCTGATCATGTGGGGTTTTTGTTTGTTTGTTTGTTTGTTTTTTGAGATGGAGTCTCGCTCTGCCGCCCAGGCTGGAGTGTAGTGGTGCAATCTTGGCCCACTGCAACCTACCCCTCCTGGGTTCAAACGATTCTTGTGCCTCAGCCTCCCAAGTAGCTGGGATTATATGCCTGTGCCACCATGACAGGCTAATTTTTATATTTTTAGTACAGATGGGATTTCACCATGTTGGCCAGGCTGGTCTCGAACTCCTGACCTCAGGTGATCTGCCTGCCTCGGCCTCCCAAAGTGCTGGGATTATAGGTGTGAGCCACCACACCCGACACATGTGGTACATTTTGTATCACAATTCATTTCGCACACACGCATGTATGTAAAAGAAAAGTTACTCAAGATATACCTATGTCTAATTTCAATATCAGTCAGGGGTCCATAGGAGATAGAAACCCCAGAAGTTAATTTTAGGAGTGACTGTAATATAAAGAATCATTAACCAGAGGGAACCATCAAGCCTGTGTTGCTCAAAGTAAATTGATCTACTGTTTACTACCAGTCTGCAATGAGATAAGAAGCTTGCACCTGAATGTAAAGCAGCTCCTCCTGATTTTTGAAAAAGTCTATCTATGAAGAAAAGTTAGCTGAAAACAGTGTGCTTAGTGATCCAGTTAATTTACCTCGAGTGTAAGCTCCTTATGTTGTTGTGGACTTGTAACAGACATTTCAAGGACTGGGCCTCACCCATTAGCACCCCACTGAGGTATAGTGGAGGTAGTAATAGCAGGAAGGCACTGCCACTGTGAGGACAAGGGGATTACAGAACATAGAGGCTCAAAGGAAGAGCCATGGAGCCAGAGAAGACTTCTGACAAGGGGACACTGACCAGCTGGTGTCCCTGAGGGAGCATGAGGGGCTTGGCTCTGGGAATGTGGAAAAACTACAAATTGGAACCAGCTGCTGCTGCTGGAATGAACTGCTACTGCTGGAGTGAAGATGCACTGCTGGGTGGGTGTGGAGGCAGGGGATGAACGTGATGACAAGAACTAGAAGCAAAACAGAAAGGAGCAAGTCCCATCTTCCTCTTGCAGCCTTCCAGCCTTCCTCAAGTGCTTCTAAGAAGCTAAACTTGGCAAGGCACCAGCTCCTTAAAGCCAGCAGAAGTGCGGCTTGCACAGTCTCTGCTCTGAGACCGGCAGCAGTATCTCAATAACTAGCCCAATTGTCTCATATTGCTGCATTCTGAAATGTACTCTGATAAATCTTATTATAACCTATTTTATTACATTTTTAAAACATGAAGGTTGCCCCATTACATTGACTTCATGACTAACTGCTGGGTGAAAACTTGTGGTTGAGAGTGCCCCGTCAGACTGAGTCCTTTGCCCACTCCCTTAGACTTTCTGAATCCAACCTTAACTAAGGTGCAGCCTTTCATTCTTCATGCGGTGTTCTCAAATTCAACACACAAAGCCACGAAGTGTTCCCTGGTTTCATACTTTGAGATGTTCTCTTTTGTTTATTGCTTAGTTCGGAATCTTTCTGAAATGGGAACAAGATTGTAATTTTTTTTGCCTATTTTGAGACTGAAAATAGAATTTGTCTAGCCATTAGAATATGAGTCCATTTAAGATTTTGTTCTCTGTGTCATTTTAAAAATCTTAAAATTGCTTGGACTATGTTGCTGTTTAAGGAGGCTTTAAATTTGGTTTTAATGAAAATGACCCCCATGAAATACTTCTATAAGAAGTGCACATGATATATAATACTAACATTGGGAAGGGACCCTAAAGATCACCTATCCCAAATTTCCCATTTCAGAAAACAAAAACCAATTTCAGAAAGATGAATTGACTTGCCCGAAGCAAAACTGGAAGCCTGTTTTGCTGTCTTTGGACTGTCTAGGTTAAAAACAATAACAACAACAACAACTTAGATAAGTTTTAAAAAGCTAGCAGTTTAAGTAACTTTTTATTAGTAAATTTACCTTACTAATGAAAACTAAAAGTCACATCAGTATAGAATGATAAGTTGGAAGTCAAGATTGAGATTTCAGTCTTGACCCTGCTCATTATACTTAATGGAACCTTTGCTCTCTGAAAGCTCATTTTTCTCATCTGTAAGATGGGAAAAGAGAGGTGGTCTCTGCTGGGAATTATTTGTGTAAGTCCATTGTCATCCCTTCACATAAAAAATACTGTTCTGTTGCTGCCTCCTACTCCGTAAGACCCGTTGTCCTGGCTGTGCTTCGATGCTTACAAATAGGTAAACATCTGCAACAAAAAGATCTTGAATAACGAAAGGAAATTCTTCAGTGCTGCTGCTTATTGCATCTTCCTTTCCCTCTTCTACCTACATCTACCCTCTTGCATATGTTCTGATTCTCCTCGTCCCTTTCATTTACCCTACCTCATTTTCCTTCTGTGTTGGCTTGTGGCTGGCATTCTATCTGAGAGGGCATTCCAAGGCCAGTGAGAAACCAAGGATAATGTGACTGTGAGGCCCTGTAGAGGCCGTCAGAACGCCTGGGTTATTGAATTCTGCCATTAATCAGCTTTGTGACCTTTACGCAAGCCTCTTAATCTCTCTTGGATTTAATTGCTTCGTCTCTAAAATCAGTAATGTAGACTATCCTAACTAATGGCTTTCAGCTCATATCCCATAATTCAGTAAAGAATTTGAAATTGCTCATATGTATGGTGAGCTGGTCCCACCTCCTTGGAAGGTGGCACAGTAATGCAGAATAATCTTAAATATCTTCTTATATTTTGACCTGGCACTCCAACTCCTATGAACTTATCTTTAATAAAAAATTGCCAGGCACGGTGGCTCACGCCTGTAATCCCAGCACTTTGGGAGGCTGAAGCGCGTGGATCACGAGGTCAGGAGTTCAAGACCAGCCTGGCCAACATGGTGAAACCCTGTATCTACTGAAAATACAGAAAAAAAAAGTAGCCAGGTTTGGTGGCACACGCCTATAGTCCCAGCTACTCAGGAGGCTGAGGCAGGAGAATTGCTTGAGCCCAGTAGGCGGAGGTTGCACTGAGCTGAGATCCTGCCACTGCACTCCAGCCTGGGGCAATAGAGTGAGACGCCGTCTAAAAAAAAAGAAAAAATTACACAGGAACACTAAATATGGATGTGTGAATGTGTGAAGTTGCTTATTACAACTTGTGATAATGTGGAGGTGATGGATATTCACTAAATGTATATGAATATATACACATACATAACATAGCAAATCCAAAGCAGAACTTAATGTCTCATATTAGAAGAATATTTTAATTAAATTATCAAAGTGACAAAATGACATGCAATCTTTTTGAGAAAAACTATAACTATTCTTAAAATATTTAGTAGAATGTTACATGAAAGTAACAATCTCATGTATGTGTTTTACTGTGGTAGTAATGTAATGGATAAATCACAGCAGTAGGTAAAAATGAAGACTCCTTTTACAGGTAGAAATTTGGAGGTTTTTTTCAATATATCTTTAATACTTTATTTTCTATTAAATAAAATTAACTCTGAAATGTAGGAATTGGAATGGAAAAGACTATACATAGGATTAGGTATACCTAGGTCATAAAAGAACATGAGGTTGTGAATTTTAAAGAGGAGGAAATAAAAATTAAAAGTCGAATTCCATTTAAATGGTGAAGAAATAGAAATGTTTGGTCTGAAAAAAAAAATTCAGCTGTTTATGTTTGCCTAGTTCTCACTGTTTTGCTTTATTTATCTGCTACTTTCAACTGAACTCATACTAGCAAAGCTGAGAATCTGTGGTTGCTGCATTCTTGGTAGTTTTGGATCTCATCAGAAATCATCTCCTAATTTTCAGACTGGGTATAGAAATTCCTTTTTACACAAGTTGGTATCATTCCACAGAACAATTTTTTCTCTCCTTCTATGTTATGAATTTATTTTCTGCAATGTAACTAGCAGACCATCTATATACTATTCACATTAAGAAACTGGTTGGACTAAGAAAAATGTTTGAGGTGATGAATATCCCAGTTACCCTGATTTGACCATTGCACATCGTATCAAAAAAAAAAAGTATCAAAAATAAAACACATTACCCCCAAAACATGTACAACTACTATATATCAATTAAAATATATAAACAAAAATTCAATTCAGGGATTTTTTTTGAAGCTAATTTGGACTTTATATTTTGACATTTAAGGAAATATACTTTGACATTGTCCATTGCCCAGAATAAATTAAAAACTTTTTCAGATGATAAAGGTATTTCATCAGCACTGAGATTATTGCTTATAGCTTCTTGTTTAGTGGTATGCCATACTTTGATTTTGGTTTTATAAAATTTTCTGTAAAGAGCATTGAGAAGCCTTTCCTCATGTTGTTGCTGCATTGTGTTTAGGCTGTGTCTTGAGAGAATGGCATTTCAGATTGACAGCTTTCTTCAGGCTGTGAGGTATACAGACTTTAGGACTTCATAAAGCTGAAGTATAGATTTTTGGGGAAGATATTGGGGATTCCTTGAACTCCAAGAGCAAATGGTGGCTGCTGCATTCTGAGTTCTTGCTCTTTTGTAATTATACAAGAGTTTCTGGATTTGGTGTTTTATAAAACCATAAATCTTATTTTTTCAGCTCACTTGATAACATAGCAACTTTGTAGAAACTCTAGAAATAAAAAAAAAAGAACGCATGTCAGAGTCTACCAAAATAACACTCACTTAAATATGATTTTCATTATTAGACAGTCCCCTGAAGGCATAGACTTCTACTCAAAAGTTTAGAGTTGAACTTGACTATGAAAAACATTGGTCTAATTTATATGCTGTGACAAAACTAGCTTTACAGGCTTCCTTTGGCCGGAGGCAGTGCCTGAGAAGGGAGTTGCATTAGTATTCACCTCCTGTTTCTACCATGGGAAATAGAAAACTAGTAACTCCCAGAAGATTCAGGTAATTTGATAGGAAGTATTGATCCATGTATCAAAATCTGTACCTGCACATTCACTCTGCATTAGCTGAACCATCATCAGAGACCTCTCTGACACAGAAAGAAAAATGATTTACTGAATTTAGCGAGGAAAGCATTACTCAAGTGTGTTTTTTCTAAAATCTGAAAGCTAATGGCGTTCACATACCATGATCACCATAATAGAACATTTTCCTCATCAACAACAATAATGAAACAAACCAGATGTTCTTTACTTAAGAACAGCTTTCTGGGGGAAGTAATGAGATGTTCTACTTCTGCTTGTGAAGCCAGTGTTCTTTCCCAGCAGGGAAGGGCCTCATCTTGTCTGGGTGTGTTTGGGATGGGGGTGGGGTGCTTAGGACAAGTACTTGATGTGGAGCAGAGCAGCAGGAATTCCGATTGGACCAGCTCATGCTCTGATTATAGCTCTGTGTGTGGTTCCAGGGGAACTCTAGTTCAGGGAGTATCTGGTACTGGGTCTGCTGTCAGGTGGGACAAATGGCTTAGTGTTTGTGCTTTGTTTTGTTTATGTTTGCCTCCCTTCTCATTTATTAATGCACATGAGAATAGGCCTGCTTGACAGGGGCCGTTGCTGTCATTGCTTAGGATTTATTAGTCAAAAATCTGGTGATACTAGTTATCTTGGAATGACTATTCCAAAGCACAGACAAGGTGACCATTTTGTGCCCAAGAAATGTAGGCTTCCACAAGGAAGTGAAGAGTGAAAAGGATAAAGTAACTTTTTCCCTCATAGAAATTAATCTATATTGATAGAGGTAGTTTTACCTGAGTGGGGTAAAGAGAGACTGCTGGAGTGAGTGCTGGCAATGTTCTCGATATGGATAGTGATGTAAGTATTTACATATCTAGACATACATCAAATTTCTGTGCCCTTAGGACCGTGTACTTTACCTTAACAACTTAATAACGTCTGTTAATCCTATAGCTGCCATACAAAGCAGTCCCTGCATGTTGCTGAATGGAAATGTGGGCATAAAGCATTCAAGTAGGAAAAGCTGGGATTTAAAGGGTGTTCCATTCCTGGCTATTTCCAAAGAGCTTCTGTTCATACTGGTGGGAGATACTGATCTCTGTTCATTTGTTCATTCTTTCTTTAAGAATCTGTTGAGCACCCATCCTATGACAGCAGTGATTGTGGGCACCATGGATGAAACAGTCTGAGACACTAACCTTGTGGTGCCAAGGCTATTATTGCTCTTTTCCCTGGTATCATCAGTAACATGGGAGCCTAATTCAATTTAGCAGACATTTATTAAGCATCGATGCACAAGACATGGTGTCAGATGTAGGAAGCTATGGCTCCTGCCTTCAGGGATTTTGTAATCTAGCAGAGAAGTTAAGCTTTGTCTAAAAATACTTATATAATATGAGGCTTTGTGATAAGTGGAATGTTGCATTAAGGAGATGGGACATTTTAGCCAAAGAAGGCTGAGTTTTCCTGCTTGTCCTCATTCTAAAAGATACCTGGTGTTTGTGTGGAAAGGGCTTCCTCACTTTCCTTCTCCTTGACCTTAATATATAGTCTCTCATCTTATTAACTCATTCTGTACCACTAACCCATGTCTTGTCTGTATTCTCTTTCCATCTTCCTCCATATACCCAGAGTGGTGACTGAGTGGAGTTGGGAACTAAAGATGATGGTGGAGAGTCATTTCAGATCTTTCCTCCATCCCTTGGCCCAATCCACCCATGGATTGCTGTAAAATTACATCCTTAATCCTGGCCAGCAGAACTTAACCACCAGATGTTGATGTCACTATTCCTTCATTACCATTTAACCCTTTCACAGACGACATGATTGCTCAGACCACTTGTCCTTCCCAGCCGCCCCATTTCACCCTTCTCTGCACCACTTGCCTTACTTTCAAATACCAGATGAGTATTACTGTACCGGAAATGTCATTTTTTTAGACGTGTCTTTCAATTAAACTGATTGTAATCAGTTTAACCGATTTGTTCTTGAGAGTTCTTCCCTGGCTTCCCATAGAAACTGCACGGAACAAAGTCCCCAGCTTTTCCTCTGGACGTTAGCAACTTTGACAAAGGCAAATGAAGCATAAAACTGTCACCTAGTCTTTAGACTTCCCACTGCCCCACATATTCCTGTCCCAGGCAGCTGGATGCATGGCTTCCTCAGGGTTTGCTAATGTAGCATCACGTACATAGAATGACCGTCCTCACCTTTACCTAAAACCTACCGGCCCAGGTTCTTTGTGGATCCCCTCACCATTGAACACCTATAATGTTAAGCCCTTTAAATCTCTATTGTATAGGTTGGAAGGTTGTTTTGCATATATGTAAAGCACCTTGTTTCGTCCCTGAGCCACGAGAGGTGTTCAATAAATAGGAATTATCATTATTACCATACGGTATAATTCAGTACTTAAGTATGAAGTATCATGTCTGAGTGCTTTCATATCAAATTTATTTCCATCCAGTTTTGTAAGCTGCTCACAGCAGGGCCTCATACCCCGCATGAATCTCCTATAGCACTTGATATCCAGCCAAATAGATGGTTCATACTTGAGTAATGGAATAAAAAAAAAAAAGCCACTTTGCTATTTTGTAATAATTTTGTTAAAAATTTTTTGGGGAAAACAACTTTAATGACTAAAATCAAGTATGGTATAGTAATTAAGTGAGAATTCTCATTATCTCTTGTTACCCCATTTCCCATTACTTTGCCTTTTTAAAAAATGTATGTGGAATTAGCAGTAAAAATGATCTACTGTAGGCAGGGGGCAGTGGCACACACCATAATCCCAGGTCTTTGGGAGACTGAGGCAGGCATATCACTTGAGCCCAGGAGTTTGAGACCAACCTAGGCAATGTGACAAAACGCCGTCTCTACAAAAAAATATAAAAATTAGCCAGACACTGTGGCTGAGGCGGGCAGGTCTATTGAGCCCAGGAGGTTGAAGCAGCAGTGAGCTATGATCGTGCCACTGCACTCCAGCCTGGGAGACAGAATGAGACCCTGTCTCAAAAACACAAAAAAGATCTACCCTCAGAATGTTAGTTCTGAATAGTTGGTTAGTTGGGAATTTTCCAGTATTTTTGTCTTTTGTCTTGTGTTTAAAGGAGAGTGTGTGTGTACATACACATATACATGTGTGATCTGGTTAGTGAAGCTGTGGTGGCTGATATCCAGGGTCCCATCACTAAGAAGTGAGTGAAGGATGCTTCATGATGTCTCCATTACTACAATGTTAACAGAGTAATCAGGGAGTATCAGACTGACTCTTGGGCCCTCAAAATGGAAGATCAGGTATTCTTGCCTCTCCCTGGCACAGCACAAGCTTTCCTGGTAGTATAATGAAAGTTGCAGAATGGAGCATAACCATTTTAGCATTTCACTTGCCCTCTCTTTCCAGCGTACAGTAAAGGCCTATATTGCTTAGGAGCATTAATTGATAATATTCTAGGAATTGTGCTTATAATGACTTACATACTAGAGGACACTTAGTGAAAACAGCATAAGAAATGTATTCTGTTTCCACAGCTAATAGCCTTGTTGTGAATTGTCAGGATCTACTTTGTGGATGCATGTTCCTCTCCATAGCAGACCCTTGATTAGGGGGTTAAGAGTAAATGATGTGGTATCATAACACAGTTTCTTAATAGGATGCATGATGTTCAGTATTGGCGGAAGAGTTATATTTGGCACTAGCTATTAGATCCGAATGGGCGGAGGTAATAACTATACCGCAGTGTTCTGCCCACGTGTGTGTATGTGCATGCATCACTGCTATCTGAAGCATGAAGCAAGAACTAGCTCTGTTTACTTTGTTCCTCCTAATCACAGCCCCTTCCATCCTCACCTCAATTTTTACTTAAGCTAGTACTTGAAGCTATAAAGAAATTGATAAAGTGATACTTCGCTAATTAGTTTGATTTCTTGTGAATTATAAAAAAAACTGTAAAAACAAAATCACCAAATGCTATGGGATACAACTTGAGTGAGGCCCTATAAACCTAATTTATAATTTTGTTGTTGTTGTTGTCGGGTGGGGCTAGGCAGGAAAATGATTCCCCACTTACCTTTTCTTATTAGCCAGTTGTTTGACTTTAGAGAATGGACTCCTCTAGTTGATTTCTATGTAGTACAAGAAGTGTTGATAGCATGATGTTTTGTCAAAGACTAGCAAGATTCTGATTACTGAATGCTACCACCAAAAATGCACCATTCTATACATCACTTATTATAACTATTGTAGCCCTTTAGATGGGAGTGTAGAAACTAAAAATAGAGTTTACGTCTTGATACCAGTTGATCATTATTGCCATCTCCCTCAGGAGGGAGAATTCCTTTCCTTGCGTTTTTCGGCTCACAGTGGCTGCCTGTATTCCTTGGCTCATGGCAGCTTCTTCCATCTTCAAAATCTATCACTCTAATCTCTACTTCTGTCATCAGTTCGCCTTCTCTTTTGTAGTCAAACCTCCCTCTGTCTCCTTTCTATACGCCCGGATAATTTCTTCATCTCGAGGTCCAGAATCACATCTGCAGTTTCTTTTGCCATATAAGGTAACATTCACAAGTTCCAGAATTTAAGATGTGGATATCTTTGGGTGCCATTATTCAGCCTACCATACCATGCCGGTCTCCTACTGGTGTCTCCTGATCTCTGAGAAGGCATTCGCTAGTATATCCAGAGGGAAATGCCATTTTGTTAAGAACTGATATAGCATAAAAATCTTTCTGTGGAAAGGTCACATATTCTTTATCCTTAAACAGCTTACAGGCTAATAGGAGATATGACTTGCTTGCAAGTATTTTTGGCATCAGGCAGCACATGGTAAGTGCTGTAGTGATGATGAAAATAGATGTCTAGGATTACAGAAGGGGGAGGGAGGATTTCAGATAGGGTGCTCAGGGAAGTCTGAACTGAGCATGTGACTGAGGATGAAGGAAGCTTCAGCTCAGGAAGATGAAGAAAGGAGGTGAAGGGGAATAATAGAAAGTGGTAAGTCTGGAATGTGGGAAGAGTTGTGTTTGGGGATGGGGAAGAGAGGAGGCAGCAGATATGAGAATGATGAGAGGCAAGTGAGGCAGATGAACAAAGGTGGGGTCAAGCATTCAACTTCTGTTTAGTAGGGAAAGCATAAAGAAATGACAGATGATTGAGCTGGAGAAAGGAAAGCTGGTCACAGTGTGCAGAATGAATTAAAATTCACAAAGACTGGAGGCAAGGAGATCTGTGTTAGCCACTGCAGCAGCCATGCTCCTTGTTGTCCCTGGCATTGGTCCACATGCAGGTGAAACAGCTTCTTGTGTATCACTTGGAGATTTTGTTAGGCATACCCAAGAAAAGTCAGCTGACAGCCAGTTTCAGGCAGGTAAACCATTTCCTCCTTGTTAGGAAGACTTACCAGGCACTGAAGAGGTAAGACTGAACTTAAAAAGAGAAAGAAGAGATAAGCAACATGTTCTCAACGTATTAAAAGTAACTTCTAGGCTGGGCGCGGTGGCTCATGCCTGTAATCCCAGCACTTTGGGAGGCCAAGATGGGCAGATCACGAGGTCAGGAGTTTGAGACCAGCCTGACCAACATGGGGAAACCCCGTCTCTATTAAAAATACAAAAATTAGGCAGGCATGGTGGTGCACACTTGTAATCCCAGCTACTCAGGAGGCTGAGGCAGGAGAATTTCTTGAACCCGGGGGCGGAGGTTGCAGTGAGCCGAGATCACACCACTGCACTCCAGCCTGGGTGACAGAGCGAGACTGCATCTTAAAAAAAAAAAAAAAAAAAAAAAAAAATATATATATATATATATATATATATAGAGAGAGAGAGAGAGAGAGAGAGAGAGAGAGAGAGAGAGAGAGAGAGTAACTTCTAAAAGGGGAGAAAAGACAGAGGGGAATTTTTTAAAAGATTTATTCTGTTCTCCCTCCATCCCACCTTACCCAAGAAGAATGACTACTCACTAACTGGCAAAACTGTGGGGTTTTTTGTGATTTCCTTTTCCCACAGAGATGAGAAAGCACTTTTTCATTTAGAGTCTCTAACTTAGCAGGAGAGGGGCGAAAAGAGGTACATCCATATTTTAATGAAGATAATGAATATAGTTTTTTGAGTTTGTTTTTGGAGAGGGAGAGAAAACCCTGTTCCTTATTTTGCCTTTTTAAAAAAGTTATGCTTAGTATAAAATAAAAATAATTTTATTTAAAAAAATCTTTTAACTTATATTTTAGGTTTGGGGCTACATGTGAAGGTTTGTTACAGAGGTAAACTCATTATCACAGGGGTTTGTTGTATAGATTATTTCATCACCCAGGTATTAAGCCCAGTACCCAATAGTTATCTTTTCTGCTCCTCTCCTTCCTCCCACCCACCACCGTCAGGGAGGCCCCACTGTCTGTTGTTTCCTTCCTTGTGTTCATAAGTTGTCATCACTTAGCTTCCACCTATAAGTGAGAAGATGTGGTATTTGGTTTTCTGTTTCTGTGTTAGTTTGCTAAAGATAATGATCTCCAGGTCCATCCATATTCCCACAAAAGACATGCTCTTGTTCTTTTTTCTGGCTGCATTGTATTCCTTGGTGTATACAAACCACATTTTCTTTATCCAGTCTGTCATTGATGGCTATTTTGGTTGATTCCATGTCTTTGCTATTGCAAATAGGGCTGCAGTGAACGTTCACATGCATGTGTTTTTATGGTGGAATGATTCATATTCCTCTGGGTATATACCCAGTAATGGGATTGCTGGGTTAAATGGTAGTTCTGCTTTTAGCTGTTTGAGGAATTGCCATACTGCTTTCCACAATGGTTTAACTAATTTGCACTCCCATCAACAGTGTGTAAGTGTTCCCCTTTCTCTGAAACTTTGCCAGCATCTGTTACTTGTTGACTTTTCAAAAACAGCTATTCTGACTGGTGTGAGATGGTATCTCATCATGGTTTTTATTTGCATTTCTCTAACCATCAGCAATATTGAGCTTTTTTTTTCATATGCTTGTTGGCCACATGTGTGTCTTCTTTTGAAAAGTGCCTGTTGATTTTCTTTGCCCACTTTTTAATGGGGTTGCTTTTCTCTTGTAAATTTGTTTAATTCCTTATAGATCCTGCATATTAGACCTCTGTCAGATGCATAGTTTGCAAATATTTTCTCCCATTCTATAGGTTGTTTGTTTACTCTGCTGATATTTTCTTTTGCTGTGCAGAAGCTCTTAAGTTAATTAGATCCCACTTGTCAAGTTTTGCTTTTGTTGCGATTGCTTTTGGTATCTTCGTCATGAAATCTTTGTGTGTTCCTGTGTCCAGGATGGTATCACCTACGTTGTTTTCCAGGGTTTTTATAGTTTTGTGTTTTGCATTTAAGTCTTTAATCTATCTTGAGTTGATTTTTGTATATGGTGTAAGGAAGGGGTCCAGCTTCAGTCTTCTCTGCATATGGCTAGCCAGTTATCTCAGCACCATTTATTGAATAGGGAGTCTTTTCCCCATTGCTTGTTTTTGTCAAAGATCAGATGGTCGTAGGTGTGTGGCCTTATTTCTGGACTCTCTATTCTGTTCCATTGGTCTATGTGCCTGTTTTTGTACCAGTGCCAGGATATTTTGGTTACTGTAGCCTTGTAGTATAGTTTGAGATCAGGTTAACGTGATATCTCCAGCTTTGTTCTTTTTGCTTAGGACTGCCTTGGCTATTCAGGCTCTTTTTTGGTTTCATATGAATTTTAAAATAGCTTTTTCTAGTTCTGTGAAGAATGTCATTGATAGTTTGATAGGAATAATATTGAACCGGTAAATTGATTTGGGCAGTGCAGCCATTTTAATTATATTGATTCTTCCTATCCATGAACATAGGGTGTTTTGTTGTTTGTGTCTTCACTGATTTCTTTGAGCAATGTTTTCTAATTATGATTGTAGAGATCTTTTACCTTCCTGTATTCCTTGGTATTTTATTCTTTTTATAGCAGTTGTGAATAGGATTGCTTTTTTGATTTGGCTCTTGGCTTGACTGTTGTTGGTGTATAGGAATGCTAGTGATTTTTGTCATTGATTTTGTATCCTGAAACTTTTCTGAAGTTATCAGCTGAAAGAGCTTTTGGGCCAAGCTTTTGGGTTTTCTAGATATCGAATCATGTTGTCTGCAAACAGAGATACTTTGATGTCCTCTTTTCCTATTTGGATGCCTTTTATTTATTTCTTTTGTCTGATTGCTCTTGCGAGGACTTCTAATACTGTGTTGAATAGGAGTGGTGAGAGAGATCCTTGTCTTGTGCCAGTTTTCAAGGGGAATGCTTCCAGCTTTTGCCCATTCAGTATAATGTTGGCTGTGGGTTTGTCATAGATGGCTCTTATTATTTTTAGGTATGTTCTTTCAATACCTAGTTTACTGAGAATTTTTAACATGAAGGGTGTTGAATATTATCAGAAGCCTTTTCTGCATCTGTTTACATAATCATGTTGCTTTTGTCTTTAGTTCTGTTTATGTGATGGATCACATTTATTGATTTGCGTATGTTGAACCAACTTTGCATCCCGGGGATGAAGCCTACTTGATCATGATGGATTAGCGTTTTGAGGTGCCACTGGATTTGATTTGCACGTATTTTGTTGAGGATTTTTGTGTTGATGTTTATCAAGAATATTGGCCTGAAGTTTTCTTTTGTTGTTGTGTCTCTGCCAGGTTTTGGTATCAGGATGATTGCTGGCCTCATAGATTGACATGGGGGAAGAGTTTCTCCTCCTCGATTTTTTGGTATAGTTTCTGTAGGAACGGTACCAACTCTTCTTTGTAATCTGGTAGAATTCGGCTGTGAATCCATCAGGTCCTGGGCTTTTTGTTGTTGTTGTTGGTAGGCTATTTATTACTGATTCCATTTCAGAGCTCGTTACTGGTCTGTTCAGGAAATGAGTTTCTTTCTAGTTCAGTCTTGGCGGGTATATGTGTCCAGAAGAGATGTGTCCATCTCTTCTTGGTTTTCTAGTTTGTGTGCGCAAAGGTGTTCCTAGTAGTTTCTGATGGTTATTTTTATTTCTGTGGGGGTCAGTGGTAACATCCCCTTTGTCATTTCTAATTGTGTTTATTTGGATCTTCTCTTTTGTTTTCTTTATGAATCTAGCTAGTGGCCTGTGTATCTTATGAATTTTTTCCAAAGAACCAACTTCTGGATTTGTTGATCTTTTGAATCATTTTTCATGTCTTGATTTCCTTTAATTCAGCTCTGATTTTGGTTATTTCTTGTCTTCTGCTAGCTTTGGGGTTCATTTGTTCTTGTTCCTTTAATTCTTTCAGTTATGATGTTAGGTTGTTAATTTTAGATCTTTCCAACTTTTTGATGTGGGCATTTAGTGCTATGAGTTTCTCTCTTAACAGTGCCTTAGCAGTGTCTCAGAGATTCTGGTATGTTTTATCTTTGTTCTCATTCATTTCAAATAACTTCTTGATTTCTGCCTTAATTTCTTTATTTCCATGTAATTGCATGATTTTGAGCACTTTTCTTAGTGTTGACTTCTGTTTTTATTGCACTGTGGTCCGAGCTTATGTTTGGTATGATTTTGGTTCTTTTGCATTTAGTGAGGATTGTTGTATGACCAATTATATGGCCAACTTTAGAGTATGTGCTATGTGATGATGAGGAGAATGTATATTCTGTTGTTTTGGGGTGGAGAGTTCTGTAGAACTCTATCAGATTCATTTGGTCCAATGTTGAGTTTAGGCGCTGAATATCCTAATACAAATAATTTTAAATATACTTTAGTTGTATGGTACTTAGGGGAGAGAAGGAAACTGATTTTAGAGAAGGATGGGTCGTTAGCTGCAGCAGCCTTGGGCTTCCTCAGCATACTGCCTCAAGCTGTACTGTGCTTATTTCTAAAGTGTGATGTTTCATTGATCCTCTCCCTGGCCCTCCGAGGTCTGTGTTATTACTCCACTTAAAACAGAAGGAAACAGTCTCAGAGAGGTTATGTAACCTTAAGTGACAGAGCTGGCATCAGCCCCAGGTCGTGGGCTTCCTTATCCACATTCATCACTGTCAAATGGCCTCTCCTGGTAAAAATACTCCATCTCAGCGTGAAGTCAACCCCTAAAAAACAAACCAATTCCATGATATTGTATTACGTCTTAATGTGGATTATTTATGGCAGGAGATGGGAAAGGAATGATTTTTAAAATATTTTTAGCCTTTAAAGTATTTAATTTCTACTAAAATTATGTAGTATGCAGTGTCCAGAAATTCTCCTTCTGTATTTTTTTAACCAAGAAAAGCTTTGGCTGTACTAGAAAGAATAATATTTCACTTTGTTATGGGAAAGGTTTGCTTTATCCCCCCGTAGCAGCTCTGTTTTGCCACTGGTAGACCTAAGTGCTATCACCCCTTCCTACCTTGGCTTACCCCTCTGATTACACAAGTCTTTGTTCACATTCCATCCTCCTTTCTCTTCCCTCCCCTCCTCCCTCTGGGCTATCCCAAGTCCCTGCCCTCCCCTACCCCATCACACTCTTTCCCCCTCGTAGAGGACTCTGAAGAGTCTGTGACTGTACTTGTCACAGGGTTCCCTATTTGCTTCCCCAAACTTACTGTAAGCCCCTCAAGGATGGTTCCTGGATATCAATACTCTATAAATAGTTGAACTAGATCTGCTTTTTATCTAGGAGGTATATGATATTAAACTGATGGCATGTTAAGTAAGGTATATTGAGAATTGAGACAAATTTAACAAATAGGGGAAAAAAGAAATAGGTAAGTGAGACTTAAAAAAAACAAACACAAAAACAAAGGAGGAGCTGCTGTTCCACGTAGCAGTGCTTTACCTGTAGCTGCTCACTTGCTCCAGGTTTAATTCTGACATCAGGGGAATAGATAGCTGAAGCCAAAGAAACCTCTGTTTGGGTAGGGTCTGGTATATCCTGTTTTTTCTTTTTGCTTTCTTGCAGACACTGGAGTTGGTGTCTCATGAGAGGAGGGGAAGGACAGGAATCACAAATGCCTGAGTGTCCAACAGTCCCAGGAGGGAGCTGGAGGGAAAGGTGGCTCCACTCTGTTACTGTCTGTCCGTTCACCAGCACATCATTGACAGAGCTTGGGAATTTATTACTACAACCTTCCCTCCTGCTCTGAACATTGAGAGTGGCTCATCAATTGTTAAATCCTTTACATTTCTTTGGCCCTACCAACAAATACTGATTCCTTCTTTAAATGAAATAGCCCAACTCCTGAAGCCTCTAAATTACTACCAAATTAATTCATAGAGAGATCTTCGTGCAACTTGAAGTACTCTCCCAGCCCCCTTTGTCTATTTATTACACTCCAAAGGCAGTATCTGATTGCTTTTATCTATCTTATCTGACTTCCGGTGAATTTTTTTTTTTAAATGAAATTTGCCAGAAGTCCACTAGATCTGCGCTGGTGGCAGCTACATGGTGCATTCATATACCCCTTCAATTATTATTAAAATCTTTCACAGTATTTCTGTGCAGTTTTGAATATGCATTTTGTTTTTCCTACTGTCATACAATATTGTCTTTATAAAAGCATCAACAATTATTTGTTTTCTTATATCCCATTTTTATCAGCATTACTCTTCTTGAACAATATAGAAGTAAAAAGTTTTCCTTCTGCTTTTAGGATTGTGGAAATTCTGTCAGTTGGAGAGTGGGCAGGAGTGTGAGGGGTAGCTTTGAGGAGATTGGGTGGTGAGAGAAAGGGAAGTCAGGAGAGAAAGTTTCTAGTTATAAATGAATGAAGAGGTTTTCTTGAGGCAAACAGTAAATCTGTGCTGAAATTTTTCTTAAATGGTGATAATTAGATTTTCTAACTTTTTATATACAGGAACACTTGAGATTACAAAGGGGTGTGCAGTGATGCATGCTACAGTGGGCAGTTTGGCATAGCAATCTTAGCTCCATTTTTACCTGGGTTTTCATGTCTTGTGAAGGTAGCAGTTCCTCCTCCTTTTCTTGTTTAGTCACTAAAGAAGGATGAACCATTAGAACCAAGCCACATGTTTATTTTCCAAAGTAGTCATTTATGTTCATGTTAACTGTATCCTCTGTAGCCTTTGGGACAATTATATTACACATTAATTCTGTGAATTAAAGCAAAGGGGAAATAGAAGATTGTTTAAGTAACTGTATTAGTTCGTTTTCATACTTGCTGTAAAGAACTACCTGAGACTGGGTGATTTATAAAGAAAAGAGGTTTAATTGACTCACAGTTCCACATGGATGAGGAGGCCTCAGGAAACATACAATTATAGTTGAAGGCAAAGGAGAAGTAAGGCACATTTTACATGGTGCAGGAGAGGTGTCAGGGGGAACCGCCAGACCCTTTTGAAGCATCAGATCTCATGAGAATTCACTCAGTATCATGAGAGCAGCATGGGAGGAACCACCCCATGATCCAATCACTTCCCACCAGGTCCCTCCCTTGACATGTGGGGATTACAATTTGAGATGAGATTTGGGTGGGGACACAGAGCCAAACCATATCAGTAACTTTAATCTGAGCCAGGCCTAACATACGTAAGCCCTCATCACTTTTTCCAACTATGTATCTTTTGAAAGTGTGGCTAGTATCTCAGTTACCAGGCAGTTCATAAGGCAAGGCCCTGCTACAATAGTGATTGATAATTTATTAGCTGGTAAAGCACATGTGTGCTGTGTGTTATTGTTTACAAATCTCTTTTTCATACATTATCTCTTTCTCTCACTGCCCCCCACCCCCTTTTTTTTGGCAGCTTCACAACAACCATTACATAATTAGACCTTAAGACTTAAAAAAAAAAAAGCTTGTCAGTATTGTAAATTGCAGTCACATTTGCTGATGGGCTGTTACGACTCTAATCAAATAAGCAAACTTAGTTCAACGAAATCAGTCATTAGGGTCACTAGTGGGTCTGTGGCCAGAAGCTTCACTAATTTCATAATTTTCCCTCCCTGCTGCCAGTTGACCTCCGGATTTTTGCCTCTGTTCAAGTTGGTACTCAAAATATTGCCTCTAAAAATGGAGTACCAGCTAATGATAGGAACAAGTTTATGAATAACTCTAAGTTTAATTTCAAGAGCTAAATGTTAGTTCAGTTACTAATTTATTGCTTGATCTTAGGGATTAAGCCACGTAGCCAACACCTGAGCTGCGTTTCTTTGTTTTCAATCTGAAAACTCAAACATAAACCACATAATTCATTAATGGTTTCTAAGTCCTAAGCCCTTAGCTGCTAAATAAATAAGTAGTTTTTTTAAAGCCAAGGGAAAAAAGTGTTAAAAAAAAAAAAAAGGAAAAATTAATGAATTGTTGTTTTTTTTTTAACCTTTCCTTATATTACTTGTATTTAAAGCTTAATCGGATTTGATTATTTGCAAGTAGGAAAAATAAGAGACAAGAATAAACCAATTTATTACTACATAGTAACAACAAAAACATCCTGGGAAATCTGGCCCTTTCCCCACTAAGGAGCTTTTTGCTTCTGTCTTAAAAAAAATCACGATCTTCCTCATGCACATCTGGAAGCCTCACCAATGCACAGACACGTGCTCTTTCACATTCATTCAGTTTCATTCCTTGTAAAAGTAAATGAAGAGTCATGTTGAAGAGATAACTAGGATACCCATTTTAATTCTGTGGCAAGTTGTTGACTGTATTCTTTTTCCATAGACATATTTGTCCAACAATCAGCATTTATACGTGTTGTGTATTCAGGTACATGAAGTGAATAAAATGCACATGAAGTCTAGCTTCTCTAAAGGTAGCTGGGCAATAGTCTTATCAGGTCATTGGAAGTAGAGTAAATATGAAGCAAAGTTTCTGTTGTTGTTTTTAACAGTATTGTCATGAGTATTAAAATCACTTAAAGGTCTGCAGGTCCCTCCGAAGAAAAATAGAATATGCTGACTTTGTGTTTGTAAATGACTATTTTTCCAATTGAAACCCTGAAGGGAAGAGATTTAAACTCAGGCTGCACCCCAGTGGGCTCTCCACAGCTACCATTTCCAATGGCTGCTCCACTTTTCTTGATAGGAGTCATTTTTCAACTAGATGGCTCTGACACAGATAATGGCCATCTTGATTGCATCAGGGAACTATTCATAAAACAAGGACATTCAGGCATACCTAGAATTCTTTTTTTCCTGTAACACAATGAAGGATTCTAGTTCTCCTTTCAAAGAGATTTAAGATTTAAATACCTTATGTTAAAATTACATGACCTGAGGACATTTTCTGGTGTGCTATGTTTGTTTAATTATCTTAGATATGTGTGAGTTATTGTTTTCAATTATCTCTTCCATCCTTAGGTTTATCAGCTCCACGTGACTGCCTTTAAATCTCCATTTCTATTATTTGGCTCCCTTCATTTTTATTGCTAATCTAGGACATCTCTTGTATGGACTGCTGCAGCAGAGAAATGGTATCTGCTGCCAGCAACACTAACAACTGTGACAGTAAAATTCTGCCAAAACCAATAATGAATTGGAACTTACAAATCCCTGTCTTAGCAATATGCCCTGGGACATGGAAAATATTTCTCTTTAATAAATAGTTGGAAAATCATCTGCTTGAAAGTGCTAGTCAGATGGCCCTTTTTGGCATCATATTAATATTGGAAAGAAAGGACCTTGGGCTGAGATGATGCTGATTATCAGCCATTCTGTAATGTGTCTCCCTCAATATATAATCTTCCTAATGAATTTCAAAGTTGAAACTTTTGGTTTTAGATTACTAAGCACTTAAACTGATAAACTGAGATTCCTCATGCATCTCAGGAATCAAAAGACATCAGCACCTAGGAAAAGAAATTATAAGTTGATATAGTAATATCCTATAGAATATTAGGTAAAATGATTTAGATTTTGTTTTTAGTTATTAAAATAGGTGTTGCTAAAGTCAAGGCTATAGGTAGTGTCTGTCATGAGGGCCTGTGAGCTGACTGTATATTTTTTTAAAATGTGTGTCGTAGGCCTGGTGTGGTGGCTAATGCCTGTAATCCCAACAATTTGGGAGGCCGAGGTAGGTGGATCACCTGAGGAGTTCGAGACCAGCCTAGCCAACATGGTGAAACCCCATCTCTATTAAAAATACAATTTTAGCTGGGCATGGTAGTGTGCACCTGTGATCCTAGCTACACGGGAGGCTGAGGCACAAGAATCACTTGAACCCGGGAGGTGGAGGATGAAGTGAGCCAAGATCACACCACTGCACTCCAGCCTGGGTGACAAGAGTGAAACTCTGTCTCAAAAAAACAAAACAAAACAAAAAACCCAAAAATGTATACTGTAATTCACAAGGTAAGACCTACAGAAGCACATAGAATCTTGTTGGCCATGTTGAATCATGTTGGCCACACCAGTGCAAAACCTGCTCTAAATATTCTCTGGCCATCGGTTAATAGTAGAATTTTGTACAAAAGTAATATTTTATATCATGACTATTCGAGTCCTATTACTTGAAGATAAATGATGATCCCAATGCTTATCTCATGGTTTTATAGAACACTTAACTTTTACAACAAGGCAATATAGTCTTATTGATAATCTCAAGAACACTGTAGTAGATGAAGTACCTGAAGACCAGGAAGTTTGTTTTGACCAAGGTCTCTTCTTTATACATCTCATGTACAACCAGGACTTTAACCTAAGCCTTCTTATCCTAAGTTAGTTGCTAGGCCAGTAGAGTACAGTCATGCACAAAAGCCTTTATAAATAAGGACAGTACTTACAACTCAACAGCAAGAAAACAAATAGCCTGATTTTTAAAAGTGGGCAAAGGACCTGAACAGACATTTATCCAAAGAAGACATAAAAATGGCCAACCGACATATGAGAAGGTGCTCAATATCACTAAGCAGGGAAATATAGATTAAAACCACCGTGAGATACCACCTCACACCTCTTACGATGGCTTTTATCAAAAAGAAAAGAGAGAAATGTTGGCAAGGGTATGGAGAAAGGGAATTCTAGTACACTGGTTTGGGAATGTAGATTGGTACAGCCATTGTAGAAAACAGTGTGAAGTTTCCTAAAGAAAGTAAAAATTAAACTTCCCTATGACACAGCAATCCCTCTTCTAGGTATATATCCAAAGTAGATGAAATCACCACCTCATAAAGATACCTGCACTCCCATTCTCCTTGCAGTATTATTTACAATAGCCAAGATATGGAAACAACCTCAGTGTCTGTCAGTGGATAGATAAAGAAATGTGTATGTACACACAATGGAATATTATTCAGCCTTAAAAAGGTGATCCTGCAATTTGCCACAGCGCCAGTGGACCTGGAGGGCATTATCCTAAATGAAATAAGCCAAACACAGAAAGAAAAATACTGCATGGTCTCACTTATGTGAAATTTTAAAATAGCTCAAATATACAAATACAGAGAATAAAACAGCAGCGGGTAGGTGGGTAGGAGGAGGAAAATAGGGAGAGGTAAGTCAAAGGATACAAAGTAGCAGATATGTAGAATGAACCAGTCTAGAGACCTAATGTATAGCATGAGGACTGTAGTTATTAATAGTATATTAGGGATTTTTGTTAAATAAGTAGATCTTAGCTGCTTTTATCACATGCACAAAGAAGAAACTGTGTGAGATGATAAATATGTTAATCTGCTTCATTGTAGTAACCATTTTACTGTCTATATGTATCCCATAACATCATGTTGTAAACCTCAAATATTACATGATAAACTTACGAAAAATAAATACGGATAGTATGCATTTTGACCTTCAAGAGGAAAGCCCACATCTTTCTTTGTGGGCTTGTTGCTCTTTAGTCTTCTCAAAGCTTTCCTCCTAAATAGGTCCTAGAGGGTTAGGAAGAGATTCTGCCTGGATGGTGGCAGCCACTTATTCCAAGGAAGTCATTGATCCAATAATGTGGAACAGGCATTCCTTTATAGGGGGTTAATGTGTTACTATCTAGAAGGGGCCTAAATTAAACCTTGTCAGAAAGCAAGGCTGTTCTGTAGTAAGCTTTATAAATTTTTTGGTGAAAGTTTTGTAGCTTTTAACTGATGTGGTATGTGATATTGTGTCCGGAATTGGTGGGTTCTTGGTCTCACTGACTTCAAGAATGAAGCCGTGGACCCTCGCGGTGAGTGTTACAGCTCTTAAGGTGGCGCGTCTGGAGTCTGTCCCTTCTGATGTTCAGATGTGTTCGGAGTTTCTTCCTTCTGGTGGGTTCGTGGTCTCGCTGGCTCAGGAGTGAAGCTGCAGACCTTCGCGGTGAGTGTTACAGCTCTTAAGGTAGCGCGTCTGGAGTTGTTCTTTCCTCCCGGTGGGCTCGTGGTCTTGCTGGGCTCAGGAGTGAAGCTGCAGATCTTCGCGGTGAGTGTCACAGCTCATAAAAGCAGCGTGGACCCAAAGAGTGAGCAGTAGCAAGATTTATTGCAAAGAGCGAAAGAACAAAGCTTCCACAGTGTGGAAGGGGACCCGAGCGGGTTGCCACTGCTGGCTCGGGCAGCCTGCTTTTATTCTCTTATCTGGCCCCACCCACATCCTGCTGATTGGTAGAGCCTAGTGGCCTGTTTTGTCAGGGCGCTGATTGGTGCGTTTACAATCCCTGAGCTAGATACAAAGGTTCTCCACCTCCCCATCAGATTAGTTAGATACAGAGTTTCCACACACAGGTTCTCCAAGGCCTCACCAGAGCAGCTAGATACAGAGTGTCGATTGGTGCAGTCACAAACCTTGAGCTAAACACAGGGTGCTGATTGGTGTGTTTACAAACCTTGAGCTAGCTACAGAGTGCCGATTGGTGTATTTACAATCCTTGAGCTAGACATAAAGGTTCTCCACGTCCTCACCAGAGCAGCTAGATACCTCACCGATTGGTGCAGTCACAAACCTTGAGCTAAACACAGGGTGCTGATTGGTGTATTTATAATCCCTGAGCTAGATATAAAGACTCTCCATGTCCTCACCAGAGCAGCTAATACAGAGTGTTGATTGGTGCACTCACAAACCTTGAGCTAAACACAGGGTGCTGATTGGTGTATTTACAGTCCCTGAGCTAGATATAAAGACTCTCCACGTCCCCACCAGACTCAGGAGCCCAGCTGGCTTCACCTAGTGGATCCCGCACCGGGGCTGCAGGTGGAGCTGCCTGCCAGTCCTGCGCCATGCGCTCGCATTCCTCAGCCCTTGGGTGGTCGATGGGACTGGGCGCCGTGGAGCAGGGGGTGGAGCTCGTCGGGGAGGCTCGGGCCACACAGGAGCCCATGGAGTGGGTGGGAGGCTCAGGCATGGCAGACTGCAGGTCCCGAGCCCTGCCCCGTGGGAAGGCAGCCAAGGCCCGGCGAGAAATCAAGTGCAGCGCCTGTGGACCGGCACTGCTGGGGGACTCAGTACACCCTCCGCAGCCACTGGCCCGGGTGCTAAGTCCCCCATTGCCCGGGGCCAGCAGGGCAGGCTGGCTGCTCCGAGTGCGGGGCCCACCAAGCCCACGCCCACCCGGAACTCCAGCTGGCCCGCAAGCGCCGCACGCAGCCCCGGTTCCCGCTCGTGCCTCTCCCTCCACACCTCCCTGCAGGCTGAGGAAGTGGGCTCTGGCCTTGGCCAGCCCAGAAAGTGGCTCCCACAGTGCAGTGGGGGACTGAAGGGCTCCTCAAATGCCACCGAAGTGGGAGCCCAGGCAGGGGAGGTGCCGAGAGCAAGCGAGGGCTCTGAGGACTGCCAGCACACTGTCACCTCTCAATATAATACAATATAGTAATTAAGATAGTGTGCCAAGCCAGTGGGCTGGACTTTTGAGTCTTGGTTCTGTTGTTTACTAGATGTGTGACGTGTTGCAAATTACCTAAACTTCTCTGTGCCTCAGTTTCCTTATCTGTAAAATTAGATAATAATTGGACCTACCTAAGAGCTTTATCGTTAAGGATTCAATGAGCAATGCCTAGTCCTAGTTTATACTCAATATAAATAATAATGTAAACATAGTATCAGTAACTATACAACAGGTTTTCTCTTTTAGGGTCCTTGACGAGATCCCAAGGAAGTAGATTTCGGCTCCCCGGCCTGGTCAAATTTTGAGGCCTCTGTTGCCTTTGCGTTGTTATGATAGAACACATTCAGAGCACTTGTCTGAAATACCCTGGCTTTGTTGTGATTACTCCATTATTCTCTTTAGATTGTAGGTGATCCTCTCTAGTCTCTGCTCTGTGCCAGGCTCCTGACCCTCCACAGAAGAGGGAACTCTTTGCCAAGGCATGGGAGTCTGCACCTAGCCAGCAAAGACCATAGTCATCCCCAGCGTCAGGCGTGCTTGATGACCGAGTAAAGCCTCAGATGACAGAAAAGTCAAGCATAATTGTGTAAATAGCTAACATGGATTGAGTGTTTGCCTCCTTTGACTGGCAATATGCTAAAATTTGTATATGTATTATTCATTTATTTCTCACCAAACCCTAGGGGGCAGATAAGGAAACTGAGGCAGAAAAAAAGTCAAGTAATTCGCCTAAGTTCTTACAGCACATTATGTGATGGGGCCATCATTTGAACTCAGGCTGTCTGGTTCCAGAGCCATGCTATTAAACAGGTGTCCCAGTCTTTTACATTAGACGGGCCCCCTCAGAAATGCTTCTGTGAGTTACATTTGGCATGGTGCCATCAGCTTCTATCGGGAGCAATTATGGGAAGAAGTCTTGTGAAACCTGTCACTGGATATCGTGAGAATATCAGGATACCCTGTATCACACAGTATCCTCTTTGTGAGGACTTCTAGGAGAAATTTTTCTCAGCTCTGAATGACAAGAATAGGTAAATTCCCTGAGCAAATTGCTCTGCTTTTATTTCCTAGACATTATAAATTTTCTTCTTTACAGTTGACCACTAGAAAGCTAATAATCATATTTGTATCCCACGCTTGGTTTGTTATTACGATTTTGTCAACCTTGCCTTCAGTTTGTCACTACCTTCACTTTTCTTTTAATTCCATATTTTAAAAGTCATTTTTAAGTTAAAGTTATTAATGCATGTGGGAAAATGTTCAAATAGTTCAAAAGAACATGAAAATAACAAAAATCTCCTTTTCTCTCCCTCACACGATTTCCTACCCCTAGATTTTTCTCTCTAGAAATCTAAGCACTTCTTGTATATATAGAAATGTTTTATGCATAAACAAATATATGTATGTTATTTTAAATAATGGAATCATGCTAATACACATTGTTCATCAGATTACTTTTTTATTTTTAAATTTCTACTTTAACTAGGTAAATTATCATAAGATGTAGAAAGAAAAGAAAGGTTAAGACTAATCCCCAACCATTATTTCCCATCTCTTCAATGTATCCAGTGTTAACACTCCACATATATGTTTCCATGGTACCTTATCTTAGTTATAACACCCGTTTGATCATATTGTCTGTATTGTCTGTTTTTTGTTTTTGTTTTTTTTTTAATCACCTAAGCCATGAACTCTTTGCAAAGTTGGATGGTGGCTTGGCTTGGTCATTACAATGTCCCTGGTACCTGACACACTGACTGGCACACAGCAAGCATTCAGTATAAAATTAAGGCAATCACCCAGATGGAAGAACACATAGATGAAGAAATTAATGCCATTTTCTTTGTAGGAAACATTCCATTAAAAAGCTAAAATTGATCCTGAGTGTTGCACTATGATGCAAAATCAAGAAAACAGATTATTTTATACTAAAGAGAGGAGAAAATTCAAATGGAATACAAACGTGGAAATGTGCCTGGAGTGAGTGTATGCTTTCTGTTGCCACTATAACAGCAAGGGACATGGATCCTTAAGTGACTGTGGAATATAAATGAAAATTCTCTACATGTTTACATGGCTGGCTGAGAAATGTACTCAGCACAACGTTCAACAGATATCTATTGAGCGGCCTGTATGTAGGGGCTCTGGGTTGAGCTCTATGGGCACTGCCATCAAGTTATGCTTTCTGCCCTTAACCTTTCAAATATAAGAGAATCTAAAACCTAGCTTTACCTCCAATCTTCTGCCCTTCCCACCTCTCCAAATAAAGGAGATTCTAGAGAAACGTCTCACCTTGTTTACCATGCCATGCCTAGCTAATTATCACCTAATGAGGCATTGTTTTTTCCTGCTTTCTAACAGTCTCTCTTTGTTTATAAGGGCCCTGGTAATGTTTTCACCTAGAAGTTGTAATGCTTTGTCACAGTGATGCTTTGCCTTTTCCCAAGGGCTGAAATAGAAAAATGTTTTCACACTCTTCTAAACTCTGTAAGAAATACAGAACAAACATATGGTAAGAAAAAATTTGTTCCAAATATATTTTGACCACTACCTGTGACTTTTTAAATATGTTCACTGGAATTAAAAAAAAAAACTTAAATAACATGTCTTCTTTATGAGAAAAACAATAGCAGTGCCATCATTATCTTTGGATATCCATTTTCCTCTAAAAATTTCACACGATTTTTTTGCTATCGCATAGTCTTTTTTATTATTTTCTTTTGGCTTCAGTTTGGTTTTGAATCCTTTTGAAAGGAAAATTTGTGTCTCATTTTTTAAAGGTAAGTTTGTTGCAGTATGGAAAGAAAATATTTGGCCCAGAAGCAATTTCCATATTGATCATCTCTTTCCTAGAGTATACTTTGGATGCATTGAAATGTGATGTTTAAACATAGAGGCATGATAATGAGAAATGCCTCCTGGTTTTAATGTAACAGAACAAAGAAGTGTGCATTTTATGTGCAGACAACAAATCCTTAGGGATTACTATCTGGAGTGGCAGCGGGGAGCAGAGAGGCGGGAGGGGGTGGGGCAGTTCATACACAGCCTGGACAATCTGAGTTGCTTCTTAGCATCAGCAGTTTAGCAGTATCTGTGTCCCAGGAGGATGTACATGTGACTCAAGAAAAGGGAAAAAGAGAAGCCAAACGAAATCCAAGTATAGTTGTATCCTAAGAATGAACATGTTAGGAAAAGGCTTATTTAAACTCGCTATCATTGATGTTCCTAATTATATTTTTAAATGGAATGAAGATTAGGAAATCATTTCAATTAGGCATGTAAGATTACCTGCTAGACTAGCAGCTAGAGAATTATGAGGCCTATTAATTATAAAGAATTTCCCAAGTACCAAATGTACCATTCGTAGACAGGCTGTAATTTGTGAGTTATAGGCAATAAGTGGAAAGGAGCACAGCGATTCACATAATCACATTTTTCATCTCCGACAAAACCTTTCTCCTCATTTAAGGTTATGGGAAGACACTTTACATTTCTTATCTTCTGTTTATATTTCCTCCAGTGGTTCATTAGTAGTTCAGAGGGGTATTGTTTTCCAAGAGCAAGTTTAATGCCTGACATTTTCGCTCAAGATAGAGAAGTAGATTTTTGTCTTTCTCTCATGCATTCAGGGTAAGCAATGTAAAGTTGACAGGGGTATTTAGCTAAGAATCACTAGCACCTTTGAAAACTAGGATCCCTGGGGAGAGCCAGATACACAAAGTAACAAGATACAGAAGCATTAAAGCTGCCTGGCTCCCGGGCTCCCCACTGGGATGCAGTGCAAATGTCTGCAAGGAATGCTACTTGCAGCTGTACTGGATGGAAATGTTACACTGGTAGTGCATTTTGATAGAAACGATTCTTTCTTGTATTGCTAAGAGTCAAAGGATAATTTTTAGACAATTTATACCAAAAGATTTATGAAAGTAGATTGGCTTACAGACATATTGCAGTCTCTTTTAAATAAGAGTATTCTGTGTTCTAATAGACGGTTGACAGAGCATCAGGACAGACTATTACAATACTGAGTGTTCGGTCATAATTATCTTCAGCTGAGACCTTTGAGGCCTGGTATACCATTCAAGGCTGTCTCTTTTTTTTTTTTTTTCAAATTCTGTACAATTTCCCATTCCTATAAACCTGGCATTTGTTTTTATTTTTGCTAATTGGAATATACTTTTTCTAACCAACTTAAAAACCATTTTGGAGCCAATACATTTCACATACTTTGTTATATTTTATATTAAACAATTTCTGGATTTCATACAGTAGTCTTTTTTGGCTAGTGCAATTGCACAGTTAAATAAAATGGAGAGAGGAGGGGTTGCTGTAAAAGGAAGAGTATCACTGGTGAGGGCTGGAGACAGGCAGTGTCTGAAGGGAACAGCTGTACCTACAAAGACCCTGGAAAGGGCCAGGCACGGTGGCTCATGCCTGTAATCCCAGCACTTTGGGAGGCTAAGGTGGGTAGATCACCTGAGGTCAGGAGTTCAAGACCAGCCTGGCCAACATGGTGAAACCCCGTCTCAACTAAAAACACAAAAAAATTAGCTGGGCGTGGTGGCGGGCGGCTGTAATCCCAGCTACTTCGGGAGGCTGAGGCAGGAGAATCGCTTGAACCCGGGAGGCGGAGGTTGCAGTGAGTTAAGATCACACCATTGCACTCCAGCCTGGGCGACAAGAGCGAAACCCTGTCTCAAACAAACAAACAAACGAGCCCTGGAAAGAAAGCTAGACCCAGAGAGCTGGGGTCCAGCAGCCTAGCTTCCCACAGCGTACAATATGTGGTATAAAGTCTTTGCAGCTTCCTGCCAAACATCTTGTTGGCATATAGTAACTACTTAGTAGCTATTAAAATGATTCATCTTTGCCATGAAGAGAAGTCAGGCATAACCAAAAAATATCAAAACAAGGCTGAAGATTTTTCTTTTTATCTTATCCCAGTCATAAATGAAAGCCTGGAATCCAGTGTGAATGGAGCCTATTGTTAGACCTTTAGTATCTTGGTAAAGCTAGGACCCGCTTGAGTTCAGATCTTTAGGAGGTTTATGTTGTTTTGCATTCATTTAGCACCATGTGGTTCTCTCCCTTTGAGAACCTGATGCTTTTGAGCTACTGATTTTTCATTCTTGTTTCCAAATCACCATCCAGTTAAACACAGTGTATGTATTTTTTTCTTTTTCCAAACTTAAAAATGATAGTACTTTTAAAAATGCATTATTAGTTCAGTTGATGATTCATGCCTTTTAGATTTTTGAAATTATGTTTGATTAAAGATTATAAATTTAAAATACACAAAAGGTCATAGGAAAATATAAAGGCAGTCAAGCAGTTCAGAACTACTACTGGAATGCAGAATTTAAAAAAACTATTATAATTTTATTTTTTATTTTTTGTAAAGAGGGGTCTCACTATGTTGCCCAGGTTGGTCTTGAACTCCTGGCCTCAAGTGATCCTCTTGCCTCAGCCTCCCAGAGTGCTGGGATTATAGGCATGAGCCACAGAGCCCAGCCCCTATAATTTTAAATTCACATTTTCTATATAGAGATTTTGAAAACTAAAATTGGGTTGATTTCTTTACTATCATTCATATACATATTGTATCGTTCACATTATATTGTACTTTGCCTTTTCACTTATTATATGGTATTTGAAAATATTTTTCAACAGTTACATAAAAAACATTATGTAGATCCACCGTAGGTATTCTTGTAGTGTTATATGTAATATATACTTTAAAAAAAATCTCTAAATTTTTCTTCAGTCTTAAAATCTGTTGGAATTGGTTATGGGTGATTTTTTGTTTGTTTGTTTGTTGCTTTGTTTTTTGGTCTTTGGTAGAATTTGGGTCAGTTAAAAAAAATGGCTGCTCTTCACTGCTTTTCAGTAATATGTCAGCAACTAACATCAATTCCCTTTTCTCCCAGCAACTATATAAAAATGTTGCAAACAGAAAGGCTGCTTCTGCATTTCCATTGGAGTTCTGGGTGCTCCATTCAGCCAGATAAGTGGGATGGCCATTGTGTTTCGCCCTTCTGAACAGTTCTGAACAGCTGCTGTTACCTCTCAGAGCCCGTTCTCCTTTTCTTCTTAGCTGCACACTCAGCTGCCAACTCGACAGCCCCTGCCTTACTTGCAGCCAAGGGCTAGGATGTTTTGGTGGTGAATAACATACATGAGAAGTGTTGTGGGGAAGGCCTTCTGGGTAGTCTCCTCAGAGGCAAGCAGGAGGCCCTTCCTTATCTCTTCCTGCACCTTCCACACAGATGTGATGGCACTAGCAGCTTCCTTGGATGTTAGGGACTAAGTCTACACCTTAAGAGTGGCAGGGCAGTGAACTGGGAGGGTTACAAAAAAGGGGTCCCAATCCAGACCCCAAGAGAGTGTTCTTGGATCTTGTGCAAGAAAGAATTCAGGGTGAGTCCACAGTGCAAAGTGAAAGCAAGTTTATTAAGAATGTAAGGGAATAAAAGAATGGCTACTCCATAGACAGAGCAGCCCCAAGGGCTGCTGCTTGCCCATTTTTATGGTTACTTTTTGGTGATAGGCTAAACAAGGGGTGGATTATTCGTGGTTCCCTTTTTAGACCATATAGGGTAACTTCCTGATGTTGCCATGGCATTTGTAAACTGTCATGGTGCTGGTGGGAGTGTAGCAGTGAGGATGCCCAGAGGTCACTCTCATCACCATTTTGGCTTTGGTGGGTTTTGGCCAGCTCCTTTACTGCAAACTGTTTTATCAGCAACGTCTTTATGACCTGTATTTTGTGCTGACCTCCTATCTCATCCTGTGACTTAGAATGCCTTAACCGTCTGAGAGTGCAGCCCAGTAGGTTTCAGCCTCATTTTACCCAGCTCCTATTTAAGATGGAGTTACTCTGGTTCACACGCCTCTGACAGGAAGAACCCAGGTCCCTGATGACATCATGGTACTATGATACCTGCCCTGGATCACTGTCTCCAGGCTTTTTACAAAACAAATGAATGCCTACCTTGTCTTGAGCTTCTGTTTCTTTGAGTTTTTCTCTTCTTTGCAGCCAAATCTAACCTACACAAACACAGTTGCCACATCTTTTCTAGGATCCTTCAACAATCATATATGAGGTTTCTTGGCAGAAGTGAATGGAAAGGTAAATGAAAAGATGGTTTTTACTGGTAAACAGCCACAAATTCTACAAGTGTTCATTTTTCCTGAAGTGTATGAGTCTCTTAAGGTATTTAAATTTTAGACTTCCCATGATACTAGCTTCTGCTCTAGCATTTTATGAAAAAAAAAATAAGGAATTGAAATACGGTGGGTATAACATAAGTTATTTAAACATTTACTACCAATTACTTAAGTTTTTGCTTAGCAATAATTGTAATAAGAGGCTGCCTTTGCTGACTGAGCCAGGTAAGTGCTGTTTGTGGAAGCTCGTCCCATGGGAGATCTCATGGGACACACAGCACCCTCGGATGGTGGGAACTATTGTATCTCTCATTAACAGATGAGGAAATACTCCCCAGCCCTCCCTAGTAACCTAATCTCCCCCTTAACCTTCTCTTCATTTTCATTTTTCCAACATGCTCATCACCTTCTCTCTTACTGTATTTATCTGTTGATTTATTTTGCCTGCTCTGCACAGTAAAATAGAAGCTCTGTGAGGCCAAGTATCTTTACATGTTCACTGCTGTATACTACATACCTACAACAGTGACTGACATACAGTAGTCAGTAAACTCTCACTGAAATAAAACAAGATTATGCAACTAGTAAGTGAACGAACTACAGTTTGAGCCCAAGAGGTCTAGCTCAAGAAGTTATATACTCTGAATTATTATGGCATATTATCTTCCAAGCTGCTCACATTTTCTGTTGGCAAAGTGATGTTATTAAATAACTTGGAGGTTTTAAGAATTTTTTTAAAAAATTAGTAGACTGTGTGTGTGTGTGTGTGTGTGTGTGTGTGTGTGTGTGTAGTTTTAGGTTTAGAGAAAAATTGAATGGAAAATATGGAGTATTCCCATATACCCTTCACCCTGCCATCATCACCCCCTGACCCCTGCACTCCCCAGTTTTCCCTTTTATTTACATCTTGCATTATTAGTGGTACTTTTGTTACAGTTGATGAGCCAATATTAAAACACTATTGTTGGCTAAAGTGCATAGTTTACATTAAGGTTCACTCTTAGTGTTGTATATTCTATGGATCTGGACAAATGTATAATGACATGCATCCACCATTACACTGTCATGGAGAGTAGCATTGTTGCCTTAAAAATTTTCTTCTCTGCCTGTTCATCCCTTCCTTCCTCCCTAGACCTGGCAACCACTCATCTTCTTACTTTCTCCAAAGTTTTACCTTTTTCAGAATGTCATATAATTGGAATCATACAATATGTAGACTTTTCAGATTGGCCTCTTTCACTTAGTAGTATGCATTTAAGCTTCTTCCATGTCTGTTTTGTGGTTTGATGGCTCACTTCTTTTCTTCTTACCTCTGAATCATATTCCATTGTGTGTATATACCACAGTGTATTCATCTGACAGACATCTTGGTTGCTTCAATATTTTGGTATAAACATTTATGTGAATGTTTTCATGTGGGCGTGAGTCTTCAGTTCATTTGGATAAATACCAAGGAGTGTGATTGCTAGGTCAAACAATATTCATTTTCACTGTGTCTTTATAAAGGGCCTGCATTGAGAACCCACATTGAGAAGCAGTTTAAATTTGAGTGAGGCATGCATGAGTGGTGCCACGTTTCCTTTTTCAGGTTCTCCTCTCTTGGAGTCTCCTAAAACCATATTCCAATGCTGTGTATAAAAGGCCTGAGATATTCATAAACTAAGAAGACACTGTTTCTCAAGGGCTCAAACGAGTTCTCATGCTGTCAGCATGTCATAATATTAATAATGCATATCTTGTGTTTATATTGTGCTATATCATGCCAGTTAAGAGGTAATCTACATACATTTGATAATCTTTGTTAATTCTCACCAAAAATAAGATTTATGTCACAAAAAGCTGGCAAAAGTTTTCACATATGACATGGATAAGGCTCCTCTGTTTTCTACACTATAGCTTGTCATTATTTTATTTTTTCTTTTCATTATAAATTAAGCAAAGCAATATATTTCGGATTGGGATTTTCTGTGTTTAACAGGTGGATGTTCCATGCTGTCCTAGTGACATTTAGAAAACCTTTAAGCAGGAAAACCCCAGATCTTATCTGCCCGTGCACTTTGTCAGTTTCTTGCACAGGCGAGGGTGAACAAGTAGCACAGCATCTCAGTTCTGTTTTATAGGTAAAGTGGCCATTGTGTTCTGGTGGCTTAGAGAGGTTTCCTGTAGTGCTTTTCTTTATCCACCCAAGCCCAGCCCTGCCTCTTGAGCCTTCTTCCATGTCACACTCTCCTGCCTGCCTTTACCAAATGTGAGCTATCAATTCTGCACTCGATATGTTTTGTCACATGAAATAAAAGTTATCAGAGACTTGAGTGCATTTGTTCCTCTTTTCTTATATAAAGCTCTCTGCTTCTGTTGGCTATTAGGCGGCTTTTTTTCTATCTTTTTTTTTAAATATGTTCTCTCTAATGGATGACACTACTGCATTATTCACCCAGCCCTGACAACTCGGAGTCATCATTGATTCCTTTCTGTGTTCCAGATAAGGAAAATGGAGGAAGCAAAAATACAGGTATCGGGTGTGAGCCTCCGTTAATTAAGTATTGGTGTGCTTATCAGTTTTAATTTACTACATCCAAGATAATAGGCTAGACCTTCAAATAGTTCTGTCTAGTATGGGAGGCAGACAGGTGAACAGATATTTAAAGTAAAATGGATACATATTGTGAAAGAAATATGCATGGAGGGACCTTCTGTGAAGCTTGTTTGGGGGAACCTCTGAACAGTCATGTGTGACTTGAGCATAATATTTGTATTTGGTGGGGCCTTGTAGGCAGAGACAGAGATGTTAACAGACAAATCTGAAAAAGTAGGTGGAGGGCAGATCGTAAGTTGTAAATCGATTTGAGGTTGAAATCATGATAAGGAGCCCGGGCTTTATTGAGTAATTGGTGTGGAATCAACAGATGTTTTTCAAATGCAGAAGAACAAGTGAACCTGGATTACCAGCCTCTTTTCTGATTTTCTTCTTGACTTTGCATTGTATCCCATAGGTAATCTCAAATGTTCTTCAATGACAAAACCAAACTCATTCTCTTTCCTAACCCCATTATTCCTACTCTGATTTTCCTCATCTTATTTATGGTCTCACCATCTGCAGCAGTCACCCAAGCTAGAGATCTTGGGATCATATTTACCTCCTCTTTATCCATTATTCCATGGTCAACAAGACAGCATGTCCTAAGGAGTCCTTCTGTGAATGGAGCTTTAGTTCATTGCTTGCACTCCATTTCCAACTCTATCTTTTTTTTTTTTTTTTTCTGGAGACAGAGTCTCATTCTGTCGCCCAGGCTGGAGTTCAGTGGCATAATCTGTACTCACTGCAGCCTCTGCCTCCTGAGATCAAGCAATTCTCCTGCCTCAGTCTCACGAGTAGCTGGGATTACAGGTACCTGCCACCGTGCCCAGCCAATTATTTTTCTTAATTTTTTTAGTAGAGATGGGGTTTCACCGTGTTGGCTAGGCTGGTCCCGAACTCCTGACCTCAGGTAATCTGCCCACCTCGGCCTCCCACAGTGCTGGGATTACAGCTGTGAGCCACCATGCCAGGCTGCAACTCTAATCTTTTATCAATTTAGAAGTATTAAACTATGCTAATTATTATTTAGTATACAGAGCTCAGGTGAATTATTTTACTTTATTGCTTCAGCATATGGGGCTGAAATGTTATTAGATTTTTTTTATATGCTAGAATTATACATATGCATGACTTTTGAGATATTGGGGGAAAATGTCAGTGCATTAGAAATTCACAGGATGGGTACTGTAAACCATTGAAATCTTTATCTGACTTTGTATGTCCCTCGCTGTTCCTCTCTAGTACATTAGTTAGGATTAGGTCTGGAACACCTAACAGTCAATCAGTCATAGTGGCTTAAACAAGAAAAAAGTTTATTTCTCATGTTAAAGAAGTCTGAAGTCTGATATGATGGTTCCATTATGTTATTAAGGATATGGGGACTCTCTGTCTTTATGCTCTACCACATTGGTACACAGCTTCTATCTTCCAGATTATTTCCTGGTGCAAGATGGCTGCTGGAACTCCAGCCAGCACATCAATGAAACAATTCCCCAAAAGGAGGAAAAGGTAGATAGCTAAAAAGTTGTTATCCAGCTAAGTCATCTCTTGTTAAACAGCCTTTATGGACATTCCACACACCATTTTCACTTCATAGACCAGAACTGAGTCACAGGGCCCTATCTAACTGCAAGAAGGCTGAGAATTGTCATCTTTGCTTTTTCAGGAGACAGTATGTTCAACTTAATGTTGGGGTTCTATAATTATGGAAGAGAAGGGAGAATGATGTTGGTGTAGGCAATTAGAGGAGGAGGACAAGCAGCTCTGCTCAAGATAGATAAAGCCACCCTCTTCATACTGAGCAAAATAAACCTGTTATTACTGGTATTATTGGGTGTCTCATGTCTCAGATACCCAGGAACTTGTAAGTTAAAAAAAGTAAAAGTGATTCTCATATGACACCTTAGTTGAAAATCATTGCCCTTGTGAATTTATAGCATTTGATCAAATGTTTCCCGGGAATAACAACCACTGCATAAAGTTATATACTCGCAGGTTACTCTGAGACATAAATTAGGAGATTGTCATAAGAACTCATATATCTTAACATACACGACTGTGTCAGAAGAATGTGTTGTATAGGAACAGCAGATTTTCTTCAAAGACCAGAATGATTAGACACACTGGTCAAACATATTGAAGAATTAAGTGTTTATCATATGGGTCTTGGATGTAAAAACAGAGCTTCAGAATCCTGATTATACTATCAGTATACTCCATCGGATTCATTTTTGTATTACTTACTTTGTTGTCTTCTGTTATCAAAACATGTTGCAATTGGGGTGATCTAAAGAATAAAATCAATGACATCTATTCCTACAGTGTTTTTACTTTTAAAATTCTTGCTCTTTTTGACTTCATAAAACTTCATGGATAATCACCATGGCTATCTTATAGAGCAGAGAATTGAAATAGAAAATCACACTATTTTTTAAGCTGATAGGATGTCAATTTAAATGAAGGAGTAGTTAAGGGGTTCATGCAGAAAAACAGTCAATTTGTCTGCATTTTTTCCCTTTCATTTTCCAACTTACCAGAGAATACCAGCCTCGTGAGAAATCTGAATTCTAGTCACATCCCCTTCCCCCACCACCTAGGTCTAATTATCCCCATCCCAGAGCTCTTTCCAGGACCCATGAATTAGCAAAGACTGCACCTAAGGATGCAACTTAGCACTCACAAGGTGACACACAAACTTAGAAATGGAGAAAGCAGTGGTGAACTTTTTGCCAGTTAAAAGGCAAGTTTACCTTTTGTCTTCTCTTATTCATGCCTTCTTTCCTCTGTGTGGATGGCTTATTTATATATAAATAAAGGTAGAAACTAGAAAACGACATAGTCAAAACAGAAAAGTGAAAGTTACAATGATAGTGATTTCCTTCAGGCTTTTGCTCAAAGGTCACTACTTCAGTGATGCCTTCCTGGCTATGCTATCAATATCATCTTCCCTGCACACCCTCTGACATTTCATATGCCCCTTTCCTGCTACCTGCTGTCCTCCTTAGCTTTCATTATGTTACAAAATACTGTGTATTTTTGCTTATTTCTCTTGTTTACTGGCAGTTTCCTCCACTAGAAAATAAGTTCTGTGAGAGCAATGATTTTCTGTCTGTTTGGTTTTGTTCACTCCTAAATTCCTAGTACCTGTAACGCTGCCTGGCACAGAGCAGGTGCTGGATACATGCTTCCCCCCCCCCCCCCAGACGGAAGCTTGCTCTGTTGCCAGGCTAGAGTTCAGTGGCACAATCTCAGCTCACCACAACCTCTGCCTCCTGGGTTCAAGCGATTCTCCTGCCTCAGCCTCCCGAGTAGCTGGGACTACAGGTGCATGCCACCACACCTAGCTAATTTTTGTATTTTTTTTTTCAGTAGAGACAGGGTTTCACCATGTTGGCCAGGATGGTCTCCATCTCCTGACCTCATGATCCACCTGCCTCGGCCTCCCAAAATGCTAGGATTACAGACATGAGCCGCTGGGCCCGGCCACATGCATATTCTTGAATGAGTAAGTGAGAATACTTTAGGGACTTAATTGTGCCAGCGTTCAGTTTGATTATTTTTATACCACTTGTTAAAGTGGCGTCATTTAAATAAATATAATCTGAAGCTTAAGGAAATCCATGGTATAGCTAGTTACATCTTGTTACTATTGGAGCTTGTTATAGATGCCAATTTTCCCTATATTTAGACAGTTTTTGATTACTTCCTGTTTAGACTAACTGTAATTTTCCTCTTCTTGGGTGTCCTCTTAGTTTTTCCAGGCACAAAATTACAGTGAATCGTGAGTCTCATTATAAAACAGTTTGATATTACAATGAGTGGATTTATTTCTATCTTTGGTTAAAATTTGTTTGCTGGCACAGTAGCTACATATAATACAATCCTATTATACTGTTAGGTAAAAGATATCTGTTATTTCTATTTGCAACTCATGATATATGAAGATGGAGTCATTCTTTCAGGATGTATGTCCTAGACTCAGAAGCTAAATTGATACATTTTCACCCAGCTTATATTATAAAATATGTATTTATTGAATAGGTGACTAGTAATATTTAAGCACTCCAAACTAGGCTATTTCTATACAGTCGAAAATATTTTTATGGTGGCAAAACCCCTTCAATTAGAGTATCTTAGAAATGCTAGTTGAAGGTCTAAAATAGCATTGTCATTTAACTCAATGATGCATCTATTAAGTGGAATTACACCTTAGCTTCATATAAGTTTTCTAGATAATACTTCTCAAAGTTGATGGAACAGTGTGTCATCTCAGCTCAATTACTAAAGTTGTTTCAGTTGGAGTGAGTACAGTGTCATTGTCTCTTGCCTGTTTCCCGTTTAATGGTTGCCTCATGGATACATTCTGAATCATAGCCCTTGGAAGTATAGATTGAAGTTATGAAGTCATTTGTATACCTTGGCCTAAAGGCTGATGGCTCCAGCTCGTTTCAACTTCATGTCCTTTTCCAACATTGCCAGTTTCTAGTACAGTAATAATCTTGTTTTTCAGTTGTTTGCACAGGCAGGTTCTGAAAAGTATAGTATATATACCTGAAGAATCAGGTATTTGGCAAGTAATAAGTGAAACCCCATGAGAATATGAGCCTAACTACAAGAATGTAAACATTATTGGGCTAATATTGTAGACATCAGCGAAGTCAGAAGTTTATTAGGTGTTGGGGTAAACAAAACAAAAAAGCGTTCCAAAAATACAACAGAAGATAAAGAGAGGCCTAATTCTACTTAGTGTGTTCTACTTCATAGATATAGGTTGGTCAGTGGTAGACTGTGGCTACTTGGCCATCTAGTTTTTATTTCCAAGTAAATGGAGAAATAACTTGAGATCACATTTTCTATATCATCCTAGTTTCATTAATCACCAAGGCTTTCTGTCTCATTGTTTTTAAGAGCTCTCTTGATTCATTCAGAGAGAAGCTTTATCTTATATTCAGCAAATCTCTTCTGTATTGCTGGTTCAGCCTCTTGACATAGTTCAATTGCATTAATCTATCCTACTTGTATCTTGCAGCTCCTCCCCCAAAAAATGATTACACAATTTTGGAAGATGAGAAGCTGGGAAAACAGCAAAACAAGCTTGATTAAAATCAGAAACTGATTATCAAAGCATAACTGCCTAGAGATCAATTCCTTCCTTGTAATTAACTGAGGAACTCAAAGGATAATTTCTCTATCCTAAATCAGGAGATAAACAATAAATAAGGATGTGCTGTTTATTTGAAGGACATAGTTTGACCAGTTGTCTTATTAGTATTGAGTAATGATAAACCAAATTAAGATTTCATTCTGAATTCTAATATATGAAAGTAGCTATGAAGAGGGTGGGTATTAATTTCCTAAATTATTATCATCAAATTTTCATCAGTGTTTAATTCAGAAAATTTTATTTTTTAATACCAAACATAATATAAAACTTTAGCCTCACAGATAGAGGACACATTGAGAAGCAATTACTCACTTTATGAGTTTTACTCCAACATTACAGAATTGCACAAAATGAGCTTTTTATTGTCCTGATTACGAATAATGCCCTGATTGTGTTTAATAAAAGTGGCTTAATATTATCAGTGATTCAAAAGTCTAAATTACACTGGATAAATTGGGTTATTACCAAAAAAAAGGAAAAGGGAGGTCTCCCTATGATGTCAAGTTTCCATTCGTGGGGTCGGTCAGTACCACGGTCAGCATGACAAACCAGGATTTGTCTTTTGGGAGAAAAATGGTGGTGGTGAAATTTAGGGCTTGAAGTAATTCTAGAAATTATTTGGTCCAGCCTCTAATTTTATACATGAGCAGCCAGATGGGAGAATTGGCTTACTCAGTGTCACCCAGCTGGCTAATGGCAGACTAAGGCCTGAGAGTGGGGCTCCAGTGTCCTTTCTGGTTTGCTCCTCCCTATTCCCTGCTTTTTCAGTAATTGCAGGGATTGGGAAATTAAGGAACTTTTGTCTCTCTACTCTGGATTCCTCTGCCATTCATTCAGGAGGTGTTCACTGCTTAAATAATTTAATGTTGCCAGTATTTGGCTGCTTTGCACGTGTTTGAATTTTGTATTTTCCTGTAGCATTCTCAAATAATAACAGCACAACAACATTTTTTCTTTTAATATATTCACTTATGTAAAATATGTCTTCCATGGCCATATGCGATCATTTCTAGACAGCAGATGACTAGGAGTTTCTCCTAGGATATGAGTTTGGGAAATACAGAACTGTTAATATGTTTGGAGTCATGATTCGTACACCGTGACCTGTTACGTATGGGTTTTCAGATGTAGTAACCAGGCATAATGACAAGATAACATTTTAAAAAGCAAGTCAAATTTCATGTGCAAGAAAAGTCAAGCCGAGAGTGTCTAAGATGTTTTTGAGAGAGAGAGAGTTGGCTTTTCAACCTTTTCCTATATAATTGCTTCAAAGTGTCCTCAGGATGATGATTTTTTAGAATAGTTAGACCTTAACTCAACATAAATTCATTTTTAAAAATAGATGACTTGTGAAAATCCTGAAGGTTGATTAAGCTGTATTATCTCAAAGGCCATCCCTTTTCCTCTTCCACAGCTAAGGATTGTCTAATTAAACTTCTGTATTGCTAACCTTAACAAAAAGAGTCTTCCCACACTCAACTTGATTTGACTGGTTTTTGGCTTCTTGATACTAGTTTTGGCTTTTGGCTAGGAAGTTTGAGGGAGGGTGTACATTAATTGGGTATCGGATACTATTGATGTGACATTGCACATTCTGAATATTATTTATTTGGCAAATATATTTGAAGGAACTTACATCTTGAGAACTGGAGTTCTTGCCATATGTACCTTGAATTGGTCAGGATGAATCAGTAATGTAGCAAAGAAACTTAGCGGCACAGTGGCTTAAGGGACAGAGAAGTTCATTTCTGCCTCGTGTCACAGCCCCACTCTGAATGGCCTAGGCCAGCAGAGCAGCTCGGCTCCATGTGATATTCAGAGACGGGTTTTTTTCTTTTCTTGATTTGCCATCCTTGGGCAGTGGTTCTCAGACTTTTTGGTATCAGGAACCCTTTACTCTTGTAACAATTATACAGGATCTTAAATAGCTTTTGTTTATGTTATTGATGTTAGCTATTTGTCATATCTATTGGTATTTATTGTATAAACAATTAAAGTTGAGGAATTTACATTACCTTATTTATTTATTTATTTATTTATTTATTTATTTAGAGGCGGAGTCTTGCTGTGTCGCCAGGCTGGAGTGCAGTGGCGTAATCGGCTCACTACAACCTCCACCTCCTGGGTTCAAGCAATCCCTCTGCCTCAGCCTCCCAAGTAGTTGGGACTACAGGCGCACACCACCACACCTAGCAGATTTTTTGTATTTTAGTAGAGACGGGGTTTCACCAGGTTGGCTAAGATGGTCTCGATCTCCTGACCTTGTGATCCGCCCGCCTCAGCCTCCCAAAGTGCTGGGATTACAGGCGTGAGCCACCGCGCCCAGTTTACATTACCTTATTTAAAAATAACAACAATAGGCCGGGCATAGTGACTCATGCCTGTAATCCCAGCACTTTGGGAGGCCGAGGCAGTTAAATCATTTGAGCTCACAAGTTCAAGACCAGACTGGGCAACATGGTGAAACCCTGCCTCTACAAAAAACACAAAAAATTAGCTGGGCATGGTGGCATGCACGTGTAGTTCCAGCTACTTGGGGGGCTGAGGCAGGAGGATGGCTTGAGCCCAGGGGGCTGAGGCTGCAGTGAGCCAAGATCATGCCACTGCATTGCAGCCTGGGTGACAGAGCGAGACCCTGTCTCAAAACAAAACAAAACAAAAACCAAGGACAACAACAACAACAACAAAATAATAATAAATGTTTTACAAGGTAACATAAATGACATTTGGAAAAAAATAACTATTTTGTTTCTTTTTTTTATGAGATGGAGTCTTGCTCTGTTGCCAGGCTGGAGTGCAGTGGTGCGATCTCAGCTCACTGCAACCTCCACCTCCCGGGTTCAAGCGGTTCTCTTGCCTCAGCCTCCCAAGTAGTAGGGAATACAGATGCGAGCCACCATGCCCAGCTAATTTTTGTATTTTTAGTAGAGACAGGGTTTCACCATGTTGGCCAGGATGGTCTCAATCTCTTGACCTTGTGATCTGCCCACCTCGGCCTCCCAAAGTGCTGAGATTACAGGCGTGAGTCACTGCACTCGGCCAAAATAACCATTTTCTAAAACAAAAAATCAGAGATTTTTGCAGTTCTTCTTAATATATGGTTTAGTAGAAGACAGCTGGGTTCTTATTCCTATTTCTACATTCAGTCTGTTGTGATGTGTTGTTTTGGTTGAAGTATGTGAAGAATACCTGGACTTAAAGATATGTAGTTGGGAAAGGTAGATGTATCTTAATGTGTTTTCCAGAAAACTATAAATATTCTTCTTTGATAGTATAGCAAAAGTCAACAAGCAGTCTTTTTTTAATGTCAGTGGACTTTTTATACACAGTTAATGTTAACATCTATTAATCTCTTCCTTTGAATGGCTGTTTCACCCATACACGGTTTTTTATCATGCATTGGTCATTTGGAATTTACTGGTCCACTGATGTACGGAGATCTTGCAAGTGTTTACACATGTCATTATGGAATATTAAAAACCCACATTTGTTAATGTTTTTATTGATCCCCTCAGAAAAATTATTAGCTATTGGGAAGATGTAAGGTTCATAGTGGACTATACATGTTTTCCAAAATACTAACAATATTAACTTAAAAGCTTGAATTTTATCATTGGCAGCACATACTGTCATTTGATTTTCTTGAAGTGAAAGACTCTGTCCATTTTTGAGAAAATGTCTACAAGTACTTAATTCAGAAAAACCACACGTTGTCAGTCATACTTTTGTATCAAAATGGCGCTCTATGAAAAAGTGCCTAGTTCAGCCTGCAACTCAAATGAGAATCACACAAGTTTCTTCCCGCCTTTTTGCCCCAGAAGTGCTGCATGTGTACTTCTCATTCCATCATCTGGATGTTTACTCGAGGGTAGAGGTTTAATGAAGTTAATGACTTTTATGCTTCATCAAGGATAGTCATCAGTGAAACTTTTTCCTTCTAATCGCGACTGTCTGCTGGTGAAGAAGACAGTGTCCATGAGTAGAGTTTGGTGCCACTGTCTTGTTTCCTGCTAAGCCTCCGGCAGTTTTACGCACCATTGCTTTGTTTTTTGGGGCTTTTTTTTTTTTTTGGAGATTTTTTTTTTTTTAATTATACTTTAAGTTCTGGGATACATGTGCAGAATGTGCAGGTTCGTTACACAGGTATACATGTGCCATGGTGGTTTGCTGCACCCATCAACCCATCATCTACATTAGGTATTTCTCCTGACGCTATCCCTCCCCTTCTCCCCCACCCCCCAACAGGCCCTGGTGTGTGATGTTCCTCTCCCTGTGCCCATATGTTCTCATTGTTCAACTCCCACTTATGAGTGAGAACATGCAGTGTTTGGTTTTCTGTTCCTGTGTTAGTTTGCTGAGAATGATGGTTTCCAGCTTCATCCATGTCCCTGCAAAGGACATGAACTCACTCTTTTTTATACTGCATAGTATTCCATGGTCTATATGTGCCACATTTTCTTTATCCAGTCTAACATTGATGGGCATTTGGGTTAGCTCCAAGTCTTTGCTATTGTGAATAGTGCTGCGGTAAACATACATGTGCATGTGTCTTCATTTTTTTTATTTTTTATGAGACGGAGTTTCACTCTTGTTGCCCAGGCTGGAGTGCAATGGCGCGATCTTGGCTCACCACAACCTCCACCTCCCAGGTTCAAGTGATTCTCCTACCTCAGCCTCCCGAGTAGCTGAGATTACAGGCATGCACCACCACGCCTGGCTAATTTTCTATTTTTAGTAGAGACAGGGTTTCTCTATGTTGGTCAGGCTGGTATCAAACTCCCAACCTCAGGTGTTCTGCCCACCTCGGCCTCCCAAAGTGCTGAGATTACAGGCATGAGCCACTGTGCCCAGCCATGTGTCTTTATAGTGGAATGATTTATAATCTTTTGGGTATATTTACAAGAAAAAAACCAAACAACCCCATCAGAAAGTGGGCGAAGGATATAAACAGACACTTTTCAAAAGAAGACATTTATGCAGCCAACAAACATATGAAAAAATGCTCATCATCACTGGTCGTCAGAGAAATGCTAATCAAAACCACAATGAAATACCATCTCATGCCAGTTAGAATGGCAATCATTAAAAATTCAGGAAACAACAGGTGCTGGAGAGGATGTGGAGAAATAGGAACGCTTTTACACTGTTGGTGGGAGTGTAAATTAGTTCAACCATTGTGGAAGTCAGTGTGGCAGCACCATTGCTTTTTTACCATCAGTACAAATATCAACACAGTGACAAAGGCAAACGTCTTACTATTGTTACGAAGAGTTTTGACTTCATACCTTCCTAAATTGGATTCAGGGACCCTCAAAAATCTGCAGATGGCCCTTCGCGAATCGCTGCCTGAGGTACTGTCAGGCCTACGGGAGCTAGATTCCTGCCTCATCTGAGCTCCCACTGGCTGGAAAGGGAAATGTGGAGGAAGCACACCTGCTTCTTACTGCAAGGGGGCTGAGAAGCACTGGCTGGCTGGATCGTCAGACTTCCAGCTGAAAAACCCATTACCTTGGAACAAGGGAAGAACAAGATTTTGGTTTATTGTTTTAAGTCCATTGTTTTATTTTCATGTGTCCTCTACCTTCATAATATGTTTCTTTCCCCCCTGAGTAGTTGTTCAATGTAGGAATGAGAAGACCTGTCTGTACACAGTAATTACACTTTTACTGCCAGCTCTCCATTCCTGGTGGGGGTTGGGAGCCTTGAGGAGGTGGCGTGGCTCCAGAAGCCCTCGTAAAAATCCCTGGGAGGAACACAAAGGCTCTTTAGACAGACCTTTGTATTAGTCACTAATTGGGAAGACAATATGCATCAACTCCTTGGAATAATTGACGTTTTCATAGGATTAAAAGTAAAGAGATCCTATGATCCAGCAATCCCACTACTGGGTATGTATTCAAAGGGAAGGAAATCAGTATGTCAAAGAGATATCTGCACTCCCATGTTTATTGCAGCAACATTCAAAATAGCCAAAATATGGAATTAACCTCAGTGTCCATTGAATGAATGGATAAAGAAAATGTGGCATATATACACAATGGAATCCTATTTGGCCATGAAAAAGAATGAAATCCTGTCATTTGTAGAAATATGGATGAACCTGGAGGACATCATGTTAAGCAAAATACACCAAATACAGAATGACAAATACTGTATGATCTTATTCGTGTGGGATCTATTTTAAAAAGTTATCATAGAAGCAGAGATTACAGCAGTAGTTACCAGAGATTGGGAAGGGAGGGTGGGGAGACGTTTGTCAACAAGTGTAAAGTTACAGTTAGATGGGGGGAATAAGTTCTGGGGCTCTATTGCAAAATAGGGCAACTATGCTTAACGGTAGGATATTGTATATTACAAAATAGAAGAGAGGCTTTTGAGTGGTTTCACCACAAAGAAACAATTACATGCATGAGGTGATGGATATATGAACTACCCTAATTTGGTCATTATCCAATATCTACACGTGTTAAAACATCAAATTGTACTCCATAAGTATGTACAATTACAATGTGTCAATTAAAAAATAAAGAGACTGTATGTATATCCAGATGTGTCTATTAGGGGTTGTTAAAATAGAATTTCCCATCTTTTCTCTCTTTCTCATCTGTGGCTTCTACTCGTAATCTCGCTCTGTGTGACAAAACTGTATCTTAGTCATGAAAAACAGTTTATTTGAAAATATTGTTCAGGGAGATTAGTACCTCGCTCACACACAGATAGGACATGGTTCAGAGAGGCTTGGAATCAGGTCATTGGCCAACGCTGTCAATTCTCTTTATAGTGTTTATGAGGTTTACGATGAGCATCTCATACAGCAATGCCTGAAACTACAAGTGGGACTTATATTGTGCCTGACATCAAGAAAAGGGCCAATAAATATTAGTTTACTCTTTGGTTACTTGCCTCTTTTCACTGATCCACATTGTTCTTATTTATGAGCAATATCCTTTAAGCTGCAGCCTCCTATGTGCTTAGAAGTCTTTTTAAACGTTGATGACTGATTAGGAAAATCAATACCAAAGAGCATGAAACCGCAGGGAAGCATGATAAGCACTTCTTAAATATTGGAAGTAATTTACGAACTACGGCATTTTCAAAGAGTCTGGAGTTCTGTGGAGAGAAAGACTCACAAATGCTTAAAATCATTTTTGGAGGCAGAAAGCCAGCAAACTAGAGCCTGGAAGATTGGGCAAGAGGCAGAAAGACAGAGGGGTCTGAGTAGTTCCGGCAAGGAGATAGGAATGAATAGAACACAAAGAAGTTGGCCTGGGGAGAGCAGGGGATGCTGGCTGGGAAGAGTGGACTTAGTCGTGCACGGTCACAGTGGTCTGCCAAGCAGGCAGGAGCCTGGAAATCCAGGCACGGGCATCTCACCTTCTCAGCTGAAAATAGGGAGGAGGCATTTGAACTTTTTTCATCTGGAGAATAATGCAAGGAAAGGGATGATAAGGAAAAATGATGATGTTGGAGAAATGGCTTGGTCCATGAGCTATAGGAAAGCATAGGTTCTTCCCTCCATCTGGCAGTTCCCTTCCTCCATCTGCTCACTGACTACATTCTGTTTGTCCTCTGTCTATAACTACCCGGCCCCTCCTCATGGAGCCTTCCCCTCCCACCCCACCCTCCAAGGCTGCTGTGATTTGAATGTGTCCCCTCCAGAGTTCAGGTGTTGCCACATGATATTAAGAGGTGGGACCTGCAAGAAGAGATTAGGCCATGAGAGCTCCTTCCTCCTTAATGGGATTTAGGTCCTTATAAAAGAGGCTTCACACAGCCTTTGGGTAGCTTGCCCTTCAGCATTCTGTCATGTGAGGATGCTGCAAGAAGACCCTCACAAGACCAAATGCCAGTGCCTTGATCTTGGACTAACAGCCTCCAGAACTCTGAGGAATAAATTTCTGTTCTTTACAAGTTAGTCTGTGATATTCTGTTATAGCAGCACAAAGTGGACCAAGTGCCTTTTCATGTACTATGTCCTTAACCACTTGTGTTTATTCCTGCTGTAGCATGTAATGTAATTGTTTTGGTTACCCAGGAGATGCTAAGTTCCCTGAGAATGGAGAGCTTGTCCATTGCATCTTCATGTCCAGCCCAGTACCTGATGCATGGTAGGCACTCAATTAATACTTGAAACAATGTGTGAATGAGAAGCGTGCAGTAATAGCACAAATAGATTAAGGCCTAGGCAAATGGGTTGATAAGTAGTAAGGAAGGGACTGATGGGGATCTTGGAAGGTGAGAGCAAGTTGGGTGGGTGGCAGAATAGTTAATTATCACTCTACTGAGTGCAAGGTTTTATTCTCTGTTATTTGCTCATCTTATTTCTCTCATTCTACTTTCTCTTAATTGGGAATTTAGAATTATTAATGATTTGTTTGTAGTTGAAATATCACTGTCAACATATAAATACTCCAAAGGCAGCTATATCCTGTGCTATTAATTTCAAGTTAATTAGAATTATTGAATAATTTGAGGGTGGCAGTGTATTATTAACACTATTAACGTTGTTTATAAATATAGAGCAAATTGGGTTTTTAAAAATTATTCTCATTCTTGTTTTTATTATTTTTGATATGCAATTTTACATATTTTTGGGGTACGGTGTGATAGTTCAGTACATGTATATAATGCATAAAGATGAAACTAGGGTAATTAGCCATCTATCACCTCAGACATGTATTATTTATTTGTGTTGGGAGCATTCAAAACCCACTCTTCCAGCTAATTGAAAATACACAATAAATTGTTGTTAGTTATAGGTGCCTGACAGTACTGTAGAGTACTAGGACTGTTCTTCCTTTCTAGCTATATTTTGTATCCACTAACCAGCTTCTGGCTAACCCCCTCCCCTTACCCTGCCCATCCCCTAGTAACCACTATTCTATACTCTACTTCTATGAGATCAACTTTTTTAGCTTCTACATATGAGTGAGAACCTGAGGTACTTGTCTTTCGGTGCCTGGCTTATTTCACTTAAAAGTAATATCCTCCAAACTCATTCATATTGCTACAAATGGCAGGATTTCATTCCTTTATATGACTGAATAGTATTTCATTGTGTATACATACCATTTTTAAAATCTATTCATCTGTTGATTCCATATCTTGGCTATTGTGAATAGTGCTACAATAAACATGGGAATGCAGATATCTCTTTGACATACTGATTTTCTCTCCTTTGGATATATAACCGGTAGTTGGGTTGCTGGATCATATGGTAGTTCTATTTTTAGTTTGCCCGTGTGTTTTTTGAAATAAGACCTGTTAAAACTACATAAACTTGACTTTTTATTATCCAGATAAGACTTGTTCATTGCGGAAAAATTATAGCTATGACAATATGTAATTTAATAGTTAATATATGAACATAAGAAAAAATAAAAATCCCCTGAAATAATTATTACTCAGAGATTACCACTAAGCAATTTTGGGTAAATATATTGCCAGGCATTTTTAGTGTGTGTGTCTAAATATATATCTACTTTAAACGTAAAGTACACTGTATACCTTCTTGTAACCGGATCTTAACTTAAAATATGAATGTGCCTGTTAACATTTCCGTAGCTCATCTGGTTTTAGCATAGCGGTAGTGAGCAGTTGCATGCACCCTTGACAGTATGCCACATGACATACAAGCTGGGCCATATTTCTGCTCTTTCTCCAGAGCTGCAGAGGTCATCTAGACACAGGAAGACACAACCTAGAAAAATGGGGGAGTTAATACTACAACTCTCACAATGGGGGGTGGGAGTTGGTGGATAAATGCTGCGGCATCCCTGTCCTGTGTTGAGACAGTTACAAGATCCATGCTATGTGGTTCTGCAGGGGCTCCCCATGCAGTTGCCTGCAGCAGTAACCAGCTCATTCCTGAAAATTGTGTTGGTTTTTCTCCTTTGTCTATCTTACTTTCTCCAAAGCAGCTTACATCCGGGTCTTTATCTCAGTGACTCTTTCTAGAGAATCCCAAATTAAGAAAACGTCAACCCTGTATTATTGAACAATCCGATTTATCTTAATTTTTGTTATAAAAAGAATTATAATGGATATCTATGTATAAATTCCTCTACATATGGGTCTAGTTAATTATTTTTAAATAATAAATGCTAAGTCAAGGATATGTTTTTAATTTTTATTGTAAATAGAATTATAATAGATATCTATGTATCAGTACCTTTATATATGGATCTAGTTAATTTTTTACAATAAATGCTGGGTCAAAGATATGTACATTTTAAAGACTCTTGATATATGTTACCAAATTACCCTTTAGAAAGGTTATTCCAGTTTGCAGAGTATTGGTTTTCCTGTAAGTATATAAGTGACCTTTGGGTATGAACCTTTTTAAATATTTGTCAGACTCTCAGATAAAAAATTCTGTCTAGCTTTAATCTGTAATTTTTACATGTGCTTTTGGTCACATATTTTTGTTTGATGTGTTGCCTGTTTGTATCTTCTTCCCATTTTTCTCATTGGATATTTAAATGTTTTAATCACTTTTTATGAACTCTTTACATATTAGAAATAGTAATCCTTTATCTGTTGTCAATCATTTCTCTAAAATGTTTTTTGACTAATTTTGTGCTTCTTAATAGCCACTGTCACTGGCTTCATTGTCAGATTCTACATTGGCCTGCACATCTCTCTCCCCGTGTGTTGACATTCTCACCGTTTCCCTCCCTCTAGGTCTTTCTACCTCTTTGTCATTCATCTTTTCTTTTCTATACCTGGTCTCTTTCTCCCTAATTCCTGTTCTAAACATGGAATTGATTGGTCTCTTTTACTTTGCAGTGATTCTTGCTGGGTGTAGAGGAGAGTCCACATCAGAGAGGTGGTCTTTCAAGCGCCATATCCCCAGACTCTTGAGAATCACAGCGTTCTTACCCTGAGCTGTAGTGTGCATAGTGTACCACGGTGACTGTTAGATGTGTGTGGAGACCCTCAGCTGAAAAGAGGCAGAAGTTGAGAACTATTGGCTGAAAGGCTTAAGAAGCCATGGAAATGCCACTCACGTTTTCCATCTGCTTGTTTCTATGATAGAACCCTCTTGGAAATCCTGTGACCTGAGTGCCCATCTCCAAAAAACTCTTTCTACCTATATATACTTCACAGATCTGAAAGTTACTTACTAAATTGATTGCAGAATGTGGTAAAGGCACATGCTAGACCAGGTCTAGAGGACTAGTATCCTTTTTAAAGCCTGATCAATATGAAGGACTCTTTATGTAATGCCAGGGGGTCAAGTCCAAATTACATTTCCACATCAGGAGAACTTTCAAGGCTAATGCAGATGCCACAGGCCTCTAGGGAGGGGTTACTGCTGTGCTTGGTAGATTTATAGTCACATGTCTACTGTCCCAGGAAAGGAGGAAGGGACACCTCTTGCATTCTGGGAGTGCTCTCGGCTGCTCACCACTAATCAGGAGTTTCTTCAAGCTGAGAGACTTCTGGCTTCATTCTTTTCATCCCAAACACAATTTATTTATATCTTTGTAAAGTCACAAAATATGAAATATTTCTTTGTCTTCCGAGTTATTTTATAATGTGTATCTAATTAAAATTGTAGATTATCATCTCAAATTGATTTGATTTATATTCATTTAAATTAATAACACAGTTTCTTAAAAGAATCTTCAATATTTAGGTAACAAATTAATATAGATATTGAACATTTAAAATTACACATGAAAAGAGAAATAAGCAAAGATGTTGAGAGGCAATCACAGATCACACTTGCTATGACTGAGCTTTACAATTAGATCTCAGCTTCTCAAAACCAGGGTGGAAAAGTATTAATAACAATGGGGAAACATAATTATCACTTGGCACAAAGAAACATGCTAAGCATTAACAGAAAGGAAGTATTTCCTCCTGCCTTGGACTAAATTTTGAAGCAAAAATGTCCTGTGGAACTTAGACATTGGACTTAGGGTAAACGTTTCCAGTATAAATTCATGGAAGCATTTTTCTTATGTTTTTTTTCTTAGAGTAAATCCTCAATGTAAGCAAAAGGCATAAGGTTTAAATATAACTCAGTGAGTGTTTTCTCAGAGTAGTTTTAGTGAAAGTAGTGTCAAAGTAGTTTAAGAATCTAGGTTTTTGGTATTTTTAAACATAATCCAACTACATAGAGAACAAATGTCTGTTAGACTATATTCCTTGACTCCTAGTTGCATCAGCTGGGCTTTGTGAAAGCTAGGTAAGAGTTTTCACGGAAATAGCAAAAGATGAAATTTGCCTCAAGATGCTGATTTCGAGTAAATACCCACACACCTTTTACATCTTTGATGAGGCAACAAAATGTGTTTAATATGTTTTATGATTCTTGTTCTTTTCTTAAATCAAAATAGTTATTAATTCAAAGAAACTACTGTTTATTCAGCTGCAGATGCCTACTGGTTCTTGGAGGGAGAAAAGCACATGTATGTATGTATGTGATTTATGTTTCTATTTAACCATTGACCACTTGCCTGGTTAATCAGATATCCTTTTCTCTGGTCCTTGCTTCAAAATCGCTATCTCTTTAGGCTTTCACTAACATGATAATTGCAGATGGTAAAGTAAAGTATCAGACCTTATCTGTTTTTCTGACTTCTGTTGACAATGAAACCTCTGTAATGCAGCCAATAAAAGAAGATACTGGATGAAAGAGCAGATTTACTGACACTTAAAGATGCTTCTTTACCCTTCTCTTAAAAAAAAATCATAGAATAAATTGCACTCGATTCTTACGTGTGTGGTCAAAATGTCGATGAAGGCTTGACTTGCACCAGCGCTTCTGGCTCCTATCCTGGTGCCAGGATCAGGTTTGCTCAGGGTAAGAACAGCCACAGATGCCTCCCAAGGGAATGTTACTGATGGATATGCTTGCTGCTGAGTTATGTCTCAATTGATGCCTCTGGGAGAAGAGGCACATAAGCTAATGAAAAATCCCGTTATACATTGTGGCTTAGATTGAGAGAGTTAGAGGTAATTTCTCATCCACTGTGATATGGCCTGTCTTAGTGTTATTCAGACATTTTATAAGTCTTCTTAAATTGAAATTAGTTGACGTGTAATTTAATAGCTAATAAGCACCATTTATGAGGAGTTCTCTTATGATGCTGTTAGTCAGCTCAGACTGCTGTAACAAAATACCGCATACTAGATGGCTTGAGCAACGGAAATTTCTCATCGTTCTGGAGGCTGGAAGTTGCAGATAAGGTCTGGTAAGGATTGGCGTCTAGTGAGGGCACTCTTCCTAGTATGCAGAGAGCAACCTTCTCACTGCGGTCTTCACTTGGTCTTCCCTCTGAGCACGCGCGTGGAGAGGGAGAAATCTCTCTCTTCCTCTTCCTCTCCTTGTAACGCCACCAACCCTATTGGTTTAAGACTCTAACCTTATGACCTCGTTTTATGTTAATTACCTTCCAAAGGCCTTATCTTCAAATACAGTCATGTTAGTGATTAGGGCAGATGCAAAAAATAAATAAATGAATAAATAAAAAGACGCAATTTCTGTTAACCAAGGCAAAAAAAAAAAAAAATTAAGGAAGGAAGCCTAAGGGATCTTGTCAGTGAGATAATCATTGAGTTATGTAACAGTAAGAACTGGTTACCCATCTGGACCTGTGGATTGTTCTGTAGATTACAGGATTTGGAGGTCCTTTCTAAACCTAAAATTCAGTGTTTCTAGGTAATAGCTCATTTGGGGGAATCTATTCCAAATGCCTGTGATGTTTTTCTTTCATTACTCATTCTTCGTCACCCAGAGTACCCAGCGGAAGGCACAGTGGAAGAGCCCAGCTGGCCTAGGTTTGATTTCCACTTTCTCTACTTATCAGCTGTGTAGCCTTTAATTAATTACGGTTCCTCTCTGAGACTGTCTACAAAATAATTGATACTTACCTTGATGCATGTATTAATATTAGAATACAGGCTAAGCTACTGTATATAAAAGTAAAGCAAAACACACTAGCTTAGATATGAGAGAAATGATAGGAATTTATTTATCTCATACATACAATCCAGAGGGAAGCAGATCAGGGCTGGTGGGAGACTTCTGATACCAGACTCCATAGAAACTTCCATTTCAGGGCCAGTGGTGACTGCTTCAGTTTTCATTATCTCCCTTCAATAGGAATGGAGAAAGGGTGAGAGGAACTCATTCACACTGACCTTTTAGGGGCACCGTCCCCAAGTGACACACACAAACTTTGCTTCCACCAGAGCTTCCCACCAGAATTGTACTAGCCAAGGAGGCTGGATGAGAAGCTTATCTTTAGCTATTGCTTTACTAGCAGTGGTTCTTCTGCTTCAAATGATTCTCGCAAAGATTAGAAATAATTCATTAATTCATTTATCTATATTGAATTGTGAAATATCTTAACAAAGTATTTAGCAAGCTGCCTGATACATGGTAAATACCAAAAAGATGGAATCAGCCTTCTTACTTTTCCCTAGTACCTTACTACTTGCAAAGTGTGGTCCGTGGCCTAATAGCATGAGTATCAACTGGGAGCTTTAGAGATGCAGAATTTCATCCCCAAGCCCAGACCTCAGCCTGCATTTTAACAGTTGGTGAAGCTCTGAGCTGGCATGTTCTTTTATAAATCTTTAATGGCGTCTGCTGGCCTCTGCTGGTGACATTATCTTGATTGCTTACAATGTTGTCAGAATTAAATGAGATGACACGTGTAAAATACTTTAAATCTGTGAAATGTTTTATAACATGATTTAAGTGTACATGTGTGAGAAGGAATAATGTGAATCATAGGTTATAAGAACAACATTTATTTTCTGAGACAGGGTCTCACTCTGTTGCTCAGGCTGGAATGCCTGGCACAATCATGGCTTATTGCAGCCTTGGCCCCCACCAGGCTCAAGCAATCTTCCTACCTCAGCCTCCTGAGTAGCTGGGACTATAGGCATATGCCACCGTGCCTAGCTAGTTTTCATATTATTTGTAGAGATGAGGTCCCACTGTGTTGCCCAGGCCGGTCTTGAGCTCCTGGGCTCAAGCAGTTCTCCCACCTCATCTTCCCAAAGTGTTGGAATTGCAGGTGTGAGCCACAATGACTGACCCAAAATTTGGCTTCAGATTTTCCAACCTTGATAAACTTCCTTGATGCTGTAACGTCATGTGAAAAAGGCATTCTGTTTCTGGAGAATGTGCTTGAATTGCCATGCAACCTCCTAGGTACAGAGCTTTTATTATTAGTTAGGGCTTAACTTTCTAAATTGAGGGGTTTTAGTGTATTTTTAATCACCATTCCTCTATGATGTCTAAATATTTCATCTTTTTAAGTTCTTAATTACATTACTGTCCTATAATTTGTGTGATAGAATATATGGATTTTGACATCAAATGAATGTGGAAATGATTCTAAAAAACTGGAAAATTTTTTATCAATGGAGGCAGGAGAATCATTTGAACGCAGGAGGCAGAGGTCGCGCCACTATACTCCAGCCTGGCGACAAAGTGAGACTCCGTCTCAAAAAAAAAAAAAAAGAAGTTATGCCCAAATTATAAACAGCCAATCCAGATTCATACACCAGTGTTGAGCTATAAGAAATCAGGAGAATCAACTCATGGACTTCGGTTTTCTTATCTATAAATTGGGAAAGATATTTGTTCCACTGTCTCACAGTGTTTGGGGGGTATAACTTAATTTAAGATCCTAGAAAAATGTACTGTGCATATGGAAGGTGATATTAATACCTGACGTTGTCAGAGTGAGGGGTATATGTGAACATGCATTCTGTATGAAAGAATATATTCCTAAATGATTGGCCAGAAAACTTGTGAGCTGAACTTGGGCCCTGGTAGCTTCATCAGATTCATGGTATCCAGGTCTGTGCCCCTGCCTCCGGTGCACAGGAGCCCAAAAAGAGGCAGACACTTACACGCTGTTTCTGCAGTTCAGTCAGGCATCGGGCATGCAATGAAAGCAGATCTAGGGGATGCACATCTGATGCACACAGAGAAAAGCCTGGGTTTTAGAAGACTAATCAGCCAAGAAGCTCACAAAGGAAGGGAAGTTCTGAACGACGGATTTTTCTGCATCATTTAGAGTTATACCTTGCCCTCCTGCCTGTCACTGCAAGGGATGGGCACAGTGGCAGAGATGACTGCTGCATCCTTAGGGGCAAGCACACACATGCCCAATGGTCTTGGGACTGATAAATTTAGATGAACATGAGGCCTTGCATTTCCATTCTGTATTCCTTTTCATTAACATTCAGTAGATGAGTGCTGAACTGTGAACTTGGAAGTCTATGGTGAGAGGATAAACATGCATATGACTTAACTTTCCTTCAAGGACTTTCAGTTGAGGAGATAATCAACTTTATCAGAGAGAACGGCAATAACTAACATTTGTACTTTAAAATAGATGTTGCTGTGTTGTACCCACATTTTTTAAAACCTGCATATATATGGGTATTTAAAAGTAAATTGATCTGTATCATGTTTATATTACATAGGGACAAAAGACCAAAAATGGGCTATACATCAAAATGTTAATGGTGATGAAAATTTAAATTATTTTTATTTTTTATTCTTTATTTTTTACATCTTCCTCAATGGACACATATTGCTGACTGAACTATAAAAACACAGTAAGCCTCCCAAGTAGTTTTATGCACACGCTCTCATTTGATCTTCACAATCACTCTGTGAGGTCAATAATGAACATTGATGTTATAGATGAGAGAAATGGAGGAGACAGACAACTCAGACACTGAGGAAGTTAACTGCAGTGAAATTACATGATACAGACAGTGTTGAACAGGGAGCAAAAGGCAAAATCAGGAGCCTAATTAAGATCTCGGAAAGAAAATGAATAGTGCTTGAATGAAAGGGAAATGTAAAGATTCTGGAACATAGTTAGGTTTAGGGCAGTGCATGGCTTTGTACAGGAATCTGGCTCCCTACCTTGAGATTGGGTTTAGTTTGATCAGACTCAGAGACAGGGTGCACAGTGGTTATGTTTGGGTTTGGGACCAGAGAGTCTGAGTTTGATTTTCAACTTTGGCACTGCCTAGCTATTGAACCTAGGTAGTTATTCACAGACTCGGGGCCTCCATTTACCTATCTATAAAATAAGAAAAATACTAGTAGCTACTATAAGGATTAAATGAGTTAATATGTGTAGGAGGCTTTAAAAGTATATAGGACATAAGGAGGACTCAGCAGATATTAGCCACCTGAAGCTAATTGTCCTCATTCCTATGATACAGGGCTGATGAAGATGTTGGCAGATTAATCTTAAGAAACATATAGATGTATATCAAATGTATATAGATGTATATCAGAAAGTGCTGAGAGCTGTAGATAAGGGATGCAAAAGAATTATAACATTAATACTTCTTTTGAAATTATTTTGAAACTATGAGAAAGTTTGTGCTGGTCTTATTGGATAATTCGGCTGTCTGCTTGAATTCATACCAACCCCTCCCTGATTATTACAAATGTTTGGAATCTGTGTGTACACTTAGATTTTCCTAATCATACTGTGTCATAAGGCAAGTAATTCCTCAAATTAAGAATGATTGTTTTGTCATAAAAAGACCTGGATCACAGGTCAGGAGTTGGCATGTGCTGTGAGGGTTAGTCTTAAGTGTCCTTCTTAAGAAGTATACCTGCATGTCACTGAACCCTGGTCAAGGCATGAATAATGTCGCTTGGTAAACATTGAGTCTGAGGAGTTTCAGGGCAGTTTATACTAGCTGTCATCAATGTTTATAGATAAGAGTGAGATGGAGGATTTATATCTGGTTTCTGTGAGACCCCTGCAGGCCCCTGCTGTTGAGGCTGGTTATGTAGCAGGAATATGTCTAAGTGACCAGCAAAATAGAAAAAACACCAGCTGGAACTGCATCCCAAAAGCAGCCTAAAATACTACCAGTTGAGTTTAACTTACCAAGAGAGAATATATTGTATGATACTAGTTGCTTTAATATCCTATGCCTAGCTGTTTTAAAGTTTGTCAGTTCTCACACAGGTAAATTATTGAAATCCAAAAATATTAGGGCAAGAGCCTATTGTAAACCTTTTTTATCCTCTTATCCATGTTCTAAAATATGTAAAATATTTTTTGTCATTTTTTTCAGACCCCCTGGTTGTGGAATACGAGGCATTGCTGGTACAACTACCCCTATCAGGTAAGGAGGCATTATTGTCTGGGTTTTTACACACATTAAGTATCTACCTTCGGTCAATTTCATGGTCTCAGGCAGGCCCCAACAGGTTGGACAACCACCTTCATTTTTGGCCCCACTCCCGCTGATCAGTGCTGGACATAATCTAGTGAGGATAGTAATTTGTGCATTATTCTTAGTGAAGTTCAGAATCAAGGCCCGATTGCCCTAGCAGATGGAGTCAGCTTGGAAAGTACATTTACAAGGGAATAGGATCAATTAGTTCAACTGGTGGAAATTCCTGCTCCTAACAGCTGATCTGCTTCTAATCACTGAGGTAAGTCTGGAATCCTGTTGACATAGTGCAGACCTGCCTCAACAGCAAGTGGGAAAGATCAAGTGTGAGGCTAGAGCAGGTACACTGAGTTCAGTTCACTTTGTGACCTAGAAGCAGCCTCCAAATATGTAAATCAAGCACCATTTCCTTGAGTGCAGAAAAATGGGCTTGTACTATGACATGTGGAAGGATTATTTCTGCAACTAAAAACAGCATCATTGAAAGTGAGATTAAAATCATATCCCAGAAAGGAAGCATTTTAGATCTCTGCCCACTGGCATACCTTTGCATCTTTCCATGAATTCAGTGATATAAGCATGTGTTGTTGGGATCCCCAGATCCGTTTAAAAAGCTGGGACTTGTCTCAAAGTTTCTAGCTGGGAAATTTCTATAACTCCATGTTCAGTTGGGATATATTATGTAAGAGAAGCAAATGCAGCTAGGTATTTTGTGACAACATGAGGAGACATATTAAACATTATAATAAGCAACTTCAGGTTTTTTGTTTGGGGTTTCTTTGGGTTGTCTGTTGAGGTGTTTGGTCTTTGGGGCGTGCACAGTCCTATGGGGAGCAGGCTTGCCCTGTGTCTTCTTTGTTACACCTAGTGTCATGGCAGAGGGTGGGGACTGGCACTGGATACTCCTTGAGCTAGTTCAACGTTAAGGACACATTGAATTGGAATTCCAATTGGCATTTTCATCTCTTACGAGTGGTTTTTTCACATTAGAAAACACTATAAATAAGCAATAGAACATGGCAAGAGAGCTGAGCATTCAGAGGATATTTGATAGAGACTAAAGCAGTGTTGACACCAATAGCTTATTTTACACAATTGTAATTCTCAGGCCCAACTGCTGTTTACCGTACTTGGAACATTGTCACATAAGGCTCCTTGTGTCCTGTAATGGTATAGTGAGTAGCAAAATCCGTGTATGTCTACATTTCTGTTTATGAAAGTACACACAAGTGCCAAATGAAATGTAATACCTACTCTTCTTTTTAACTGTAATTTAGTCCAGAATAACTTTCATGTTCATGGCTGGAGCTGAGAAATTGCTTATTTCTGAGAAAATGAGTTGCTAGAGCTATGGTCTATACTGTAGCTGCAGAGGGTTTCACAGCACTGTAGATTCAACATGAAAGTTTGAGGGTCTGGGAGTTAGTAATGTTTTTAAAAAGAGGAAACACCACGTGTATGGAAGGCAAGATGCTATCTGTGGGGACTCAGATCAAGATTGTCTTCTGTATGATTCAGCATATAGCCCCCAAAATGTAGGACAAATTGATGGTTTCTCATGGGAACGGTGCATCTTTGAAAATGCTGTATAGTAATAAAGAATATTAGCTGATTTCTTTGTGTGTGGGTGGGGGGGAACTAAACAGCATATAATTATTATGTATGCAATTATAGTACTTTGTGTGTAAGCATGCCTATGTAAATATATAGATTCCTGTTCCAAGTCAGTCTCTAGCCTTAAGGGCACTTTTAAAGACCGAGCATGCTTATGAGACATATTTATGGTATCTTTAGCATATATGTTAAATTGATAATCGAACAGACATTTAGGTGAAAAAGTAGTGGTCTACTTCAATTTTATTAAGGATACACTTATTTTATATAAGTACACATATTATTTGTTACATATTAAATAATTTCATATACATGTGTATATTCTAAGTTTAAAATAATGTGAAGTTGCATTCAGTTGAACCTTGTACAGCTTGGTATAAGAAGCACAAGTTGGACATGAGATACCCTAGTTGGTGGTCATGGGGCCTCACTAGCTATGAGACCTAGGCTTAGCCTCTTAACCTGAATTAACTGACAGCAATTTCCTGTCAACTGTACAATCTAGGTCTAGAATTATAGTACTAATTTTATAGGATTTTTATGAGAATCAAAGAAATTAACATGTGAGTGAGCATTGTCAACTGCAAAGCACTCGTCGGACATAGTAATTATTATAATGGGATGAACTCTGTGGTTTCCAGATGCTCTCTGAGTTGCCCTTATAATTCCTCTGGGGCCTTTCCCCAGGTGGTGATGTGGAAGTAAGAGAATATCATTAAAACTAAAATTTACCCTTGGCTCAAAGGGTCCTGAGCCAGGGCCCGATTTTCTAAACTTCATTTCAGCCATCCATCTGCCCTGAATATCCATTCTTCATCGTTAATGCCTTCAAGTTTTACAAGGACAGTTCAGTAGGAAGTGTATTCTACTCAGGGAGATGCTGAATTCATGCTTAGGTCTCAGTTCAGGCTGCTACAAGAGAATACCCTAAGAGCTCATGTCCCTTCTTCTAAGGGCACTAACCCCATTCATGGGGGCTCCACTCTGATGGCCTAATTAGCTCCCAAAGGCCCTGCCTCCAAATACCGTCACATTGGGATTAGGCTTCATCATATGAATGTTAGGGGGACACAAACTTTCAGTCCACAGCAGTGCTCATTGTCATTTAGACTTTAGGATTGCTGGTTCTAGTATCCTGTCCCATTGTGTATTTTGTTGTCAAAGATCTATGCAGGACAACTTTTCCATGATTCCCATGCGTAGAGTGGGTGAGTGCCAGCTTCTCCTGATAGTCATTCATTATGCTGCTATTGGTGTACAAAACACTTACATTTCAATTATATTTACCATATATGGTATTGTCTTGTGTATAGGGGTATGGACTTGTTTGTGTGATGAGTTTCAAATGTTTTTCATTCATTTTAATAAAGCAAGACATTTCATTACAACTCAATATAACAATTAAAAACAACTCATCACAAATGTTTTTTGAAAACTCTCTTGTTTTTAGTGGGATTATGTGCAAAATAAATATTCCTGACTTCCACTGCCTCTCTGAGCCTCCCCCCGACCCTGAGCCTCTGAGGCAGTTAAAGCAGGTATCACTCCCATTTTACAAATAAGTAAACTAAGACCCAAGTTTTATACCTGCTGAGCTGTAGAGCTGAGACGTGATCCGATATCCTGGCTGGGTGCCTAGTCTGGTATCTCCTGGCAGCCTTCCTGTCCCTCTGATCTTTTAGTAAATATTTTTGAATAATTCTTTCTGATATTTGAAATGTACTGAACATTTTTTTCTAATAACAAAAAAAAGAGCTTTCTGATTAATGCAGAACTTAAATCTATGCCTCAGTGACCCATACAGCATTCCAGTTCCTATCACCTACTGTCTTGTCCCTATACTTGCAGCAGTTGTCCAGGGTTATTCTTTGTCTGTATTAGAATTTTTTTTCAGGTTGCTTAAGGAATCTTGCAGATACTTGTGACAAAGAATCATAAATGCTGTTGTTAAACTGAATAATGAATTGAGTCCCAAATGTTCGTGCTAATTAATGCTTTTTGAGTTGGAGATGAAATGAGAGTAATATCATCAAGCTGTGGATTAAAGTTATCCTCAAAGCCCCATCATCTACAAAAAGAATAGGACAGGAACTGCCTTTGTGCAGGTGCAAGACCATGTTACTTTTGAGCAGTGAGCTTGAGATGTCTGGGATACAAATTGGGTTCCCTATTAACTACTAATCATTCCTTTTTTTTCTTTCACCTTCAGCCACTCACAACTGACCTTCACTACTATTACATCCTGGAGCTGTCGTTTTATTGGTCTTTGATGTTTTCTCAGTTCACTGATATCAAAAGAAAGGTAAGAGCGGTTATGTCGTAAAGTGCTTGCAAGCATGCATCTTTAATGGCCCTTAGCAGGTGGGTTTAGACTCTCAAAGGCACTCACCCCTGTTCTCCTGGCAGCCCTAGGTTAGTACGACTTGCTGCGTTATTACAGAAAGTTCTCTATTTTTGTTTGTGCTGTTTTATATTTTTTTCTATTGTTTCTTCGCTCATCCCCTAAAACTCAGCTCTCTTTTCTCCATGTAATAATGTAGCAATGAATCCCCGTAGAAATGATTTTCTCTCAATCTAATTCCCAAGTTCCTCTGTTCTCCAAATTAAATAAAAAGCAAGAATTCTATTTGTAGCTCCTGGGAGAGAGTAAAGTCTCAGTGTTTCAACCCTACAGAATTAATTCCCCAATTGCAGGGTTGTCCAGTGTCAAAATATGTCTCGGAAATGCAGCATTCCTCAGTGAACTGTGATCTGGTTTCCACCTATCCCCTCCACTGTAATCACTTTTGTGTGACCCCTTACGTGTTAAATCCACTTATTCTGGCTTTCGTCCTACCAGCTTCTGGGCAGAATTGGCACTTCTAGCTCTTTACTGCTTATTTTTCTGTGACACCATATTTGGATTAATCCTTCAAAGTCACTTTGCTGTCCTTGTCTTAATGCCCCATGCTCTACATATTTGGGTGCAACAGAGTTCTGGACCTGAATTACAGGATGCCATCTCCCTGGATGATTGAGTTGATACTTCCTGACACTTCCAACCATAACCTACATGCCATGAATTCTGAAATGTTTCTCTTCTGCCCCACATTCTCTCTGGGTCCATACTTCCACATCTGTAGTCACAGATGATAGTACTGGTTGAACATCCCTAAATCTGGAAATCCAAAATGCTCTGAAATTTGATACTTTTTGAGTGTTAACATGATCCTCAAAGTAAATAAATGCTCATTGGAGCATTTTGCATTTTAGATTTTTATATTAGGGATGCAAATCTGTAAGCATAATGCAAACATTCCGAAATCCAAGGAAAACAGTTCTAATCCCAAGCATTTGGGGTAAGGGATACACAACGTATATTGTGTTATTTTTGTACATTATATCATTTAGTCCTGACAACAAATCAGAGGTCCAGTTTGATTATTTTATTATTTATGCTTATTTTATGAATGATGAAACTAAGCCTTACATACAAAGTGCTCCTGACTGAAGACATGGTCTTCTAGTCTTGTTCTTCTCCAGTAACCCTTAGAACCAAAAGTCATGTCAGCCAGGACGTTTTCCTTTGCTCTCGTTTTTGCCACTCCGTATACCTTCTTCCTTAATGTCACTGACAAACTTACAGTTCCCTCTCCTTTTGCCCACTCTATTATGTAGTCTCTTAAACAGTCTTTCTATCTAAGTAGTCATTCTTGTTTATCTGCTGCCTAAGAATTATGTTTCTAAAACCTTCAAGACAAAGTTCAAATACGTGGAGGATAAAATGCAATGTCTTAATCCAATTGAGCTAATACAAAAAAATGCCAGATTGACTGAGTGGCTTATAAAATCTATTTCTCACGGTTCTAGAAGGTGAGGTGCCCCAGATCAAGGCACCAGCAGATTCAGTGTCTGGCAACAGCCCACTTTCTCATAGATGACAACCTTCTCACTGTGTCCTCACATGGTGGAAGGGGCAAGACAGCTCTATGAGGCCTCCTTGTGAAAAGGCATGAGTCCCATTCACAAGGGCTTCTGCCAAAAGGCCCCATGTCCTAATACTATCACTTTGGGGGTTAGAGTTTCAATATATATATTTGAGAAGGACACAAGCATTTAGTCCCCAGCAAGCAAGATATGTTCGCCTTTGCACCCCCATGACTATCAGTGTAGCTGCTCATCGTGGGAATCAGTAAGTTGAGGGTAAATGAATAAGCAAAATCAGTTCCTTTACATTATGATGGAGCACAGTACTGTAATGTATCATTTCTTGGTTAAATCAGTAATCTGCTAAGTTGCAAACTGGTATCCAAGTGGCAGCTGAAAAGCGTTTAGGAGTCTGTGGGCCTACTACTACCCAAGTCCCCTGTCCCCACATATGCTCCTTCCACCATCCTACAGCAGTGGCTTACTTGGCTGGCAAAAAGCTATCTTTTCTGACTTGTATGGCTACAGGGCCCTTAATATGGTATATATCAGCTGATTCTCAGAAGTAGGTGGTCCCTGTCAAAGCGAGCTTGGGCATAACAGATGACTCTTTGACACCCGTAATTTGTGGTTCCCTTACTCATTGCACCCAACACTCCGAGTTGGTTTCTGAAATCATTTACGGACTCTTTAGTGATGGTATGTCAAGGGAATCTCTTCTGTCCTACATGAGGGAGCCTTCTTTGGTCATGTAGTGTCAATACATGTAGACTGATTATTTTCTGTGTGCCAGGTACTGTGCGAGGCTCATGTTGCATTTATTTTCTTTTTTGAGGAGACCTTTTGTCCAGGTAGTCACGTAAAACTCTTATATAACAGAGAGCTAGAACATTCTTCCTTTTTTTTTTTTTTTAACTTGGGAGAATTGATGCACAGAGTGAGTTTATGTAAGTTTCTCAAGGCCATGCAATATAGGAATGAATTAGAGGCTAGGCTTACCAAGCAGAGCCCTGTGATTCACTCTTAGATTAGACACATACATAATCCTTGCCTTGCCATGCTCCTGACATTACAGGTAGTTAGCCTTTAACAGCTCTTTGCCATTTTATCAGTCCTTCTCTTGCTTAGTGAGAACTAGAGGTGCCATCCAGAGTCAAAAGCAGGAATAGCTGTCCTTGGCTTCCAGAAGCCTAGTCCTAGTAAGACATTGCTATACCAAAAGTTACCAAGTCCCTGCACTAGCTTGAGCTTTCTCATCACATGTGGAATGTGGCTTTGCAGTGAGCCAGCAGGGCTCAAAATATCTTTATTGCTGTATTAGTTTGTTTTCGCACTGCTGTAAAGAAGTACCTGTGGCCAGGCATGGTGACTCATGGCTGTAATCCCAGCACATTAGGAGGCCGAGGTGGGTGGGTGGATCACTTGAGCTCACAAGTTCAAGACCAGCCTGAGCAACATGACGAAACCCTGTCTGTATAAAATATACAAAATTTAGCCAGATATGGTGTTGTGCACCAAGTGAGCCAAGATGGCACCGCCGCACTCCAGCCGGGGTGATAGAGCCAGACCTTGTCTCACAGGAAAAAAAAAAAAAAAAAAGAAAAAAAAAAAAAAAAAAAAGAAACACCTGAGACTGGGTAATTTATAAAGAAAAGAGGTTTGAGGTTTAATTGGCTCACGGTTCCATAGGCTGTGCAGGAAGCATGATACTGGGATCTGCTTGGCTTCTGGGGAGGCCACAGGAAACTTATAATCATAGCAGAAGGTGAAGGAGAAGCAAGGCATGTCTTACATGGTGGAGCAGAAGCAAAAGAGAGGGAAAGGTGCCACACACTTTTGAACAACTAGATCTCAAGAGAACTCACAATCCCGATGACAGCACCAATGGGGGATGGTGTTAAACGATGAGAAACCGCACCCAGGATCCAATCACCTCCCACCAGGCCCCTTCATATTTGGGGATTACATTGCAACATGAGATTTGGGAGGGGACACAGATCCAAACCATATCAATTGCTTTAAGCCAAATGACTGTTATCTCAATAATTTTCGTAGGTGAATTATTTTGGGGGATTGAAGTGTATCATTTTGTATTACTTTAACATATATAACATCAGTGGAAAACACCTGTAAAAGGGATAATTTTATAGTAAAGTTTGTGGAATTGATCCTAGGCCTGTATATATTGTCAGTGTTTAGAAATCGATTGTATATTTTTTGCTAGTCAATATGAATAGCATGTTTTAGATAGGTAGCTCCTCTTGTCTTCTGCTGGTCAGATTAGATTTGTACATTCCTGATGCAGCTGGTTTATTCTTGTTTCTTGCACAAAAATGGGAATTTGGCCGCTACCAGGCATGCTTACTCCTTGGCACAGGTTTTCATTAGGAAGGCCTTTTCCTCTGCTGCCATCTCTCATTAGGGAGCTGCAGTGCTTGCTTTTCCCCTTTGCGTCTTGCTGAATGGCCCCATGGGTCCTTGGCAGTTCCATCCTTATTCCGCCTCCATTTGGAGGACCTGCTGTTCTAGCCATTAGTGAGGATTTATGGCACATTCTGTCTGCCAGATGCACTCTCCACCTTCTGTATTGGAACTATTAACTGAACCCTCTAAAAACAGCCTGCTTCCTTATGATGGGATAGGGATGTTTGAAGACACCCATTGGCAATACAGTATGGAAATCAACTTCAGAAGACGTTCATGAGGTTGTTAATAGAAGAGTTATCACAGTGTTTCTTTGGCTCCCATATTAAATAACAATGAGTGTCAATGGCCATTTTCAAACAGGGACCAGGATTTATAAACATTGGCTCCAAATGCATGCCTCAGACTTCTAGAATCAGTACTTTAAATAGGTTTGACAATCATTTATTTTGATTTATTGGGTTCACGAATTTTTCTAAAATGGTTTTGTATTCATAAACTCTTCTTTTTTGGCACCTTTTTTTTAAATTGCTGTATTTCCATATAGAATCTGAAGTTTAAAAATGAGGGGAGAACTTTTCATCTTCATGGTGACAGAACACATTGCCTCACTTGTAATCATTTCCAGAGTTGGTACTTATTTGGTCAGTGATGAGAAATACTATTAATCTTCCCAAAGGGAAGATTAGATGAAAAATAAAAGATGTTTAAAACATCTTTTATTTCCCAAGGCTTAATTTTTGTTAAAATTGTATCCTTTAGCACCTGTTCACAATGAACATTTCTACTGCCATCTAAAATTTCCAAAGGAAGCTAATAAATATTTTTGCGTTGGAGCTCAGAACAGCTTGCTTATGTCTAAGCCCTATGTCCCTTTTAACTAAGCTGCTGTTTGGCTTCAAGGCCTGGGCCTTTGGCCAATGAGTTCTGCTCATGTTCAGAGTCCTTCTCAGGGAAGCATCCCTGGCAGAGTTCCAGGGCCCAGCTGGTGAAATCAACTTGTTGCCCTTTTGGTCTTAAACCCGAGAGAAACACTACATCTTATAAAAGATTCCTGACAGAGAGAGATATGATTAAGTCTAGCAAGAAACTTATTGATGAGCTTGTGTTAGCTCTCTGCTGACTTTTTGCGGAGAATAACTGGAGCCCATTACTGTAAGTGCTTTAGATGCCTTTGGGGGCCGTGTCATGCTCCAGATCTTGCCTGCTTCAGTTAGTTTTAGGGGAAAGGAAAATGCATGTTTTAATCTTACGAGGAAGCAGCATGGAACAGAATTACGTAAAATAATGTACGTGAAACTATGTAGTGTACGGTGCTTGACAAATAGAGCTTAGACAGTACGTGGCACATAATGACCCAGTAAGGAAAGTCAAAAAGCACCTACCATGAACACCATTGATTCATAAAGGAAAGGGCATTTTAACATAAAAGAAAGGGAGAAAGGTTACATATTGTAATAAAGGACAATCCTTTAAATTTATCATTAAGTAAAAGTCCTTATTTTTGTCATTTTGTCCTAGACTGGGGAAAACATTATGGGTGCAATATGGCTTAGAGGTTAAAAGCATGAGCTCTGGAGTTTGTCTACCTGCCCAGCACCACTCCTAATTCGATGTGACCTTGAGCAAGTTACTTTACCTTTCTGTACGTTGGTTTCCTGATCCAAAGAATGGAGTTCACATAACCTACCTTATGGGTGTGTTGTAAGTGTAAATAAGTAAATAAGTAGTACATGTACTTAGAAGAGTGCCTGGCACATCATAAATGCTCAATAAATGTAGCCTTTCCTTGTAGTCATTAAGGCACTCCAGATACTGCCAGTTCTTCACCCTCAGGCACACCAGGATTGTGCTTCTCAGCCAACCTCCTCTTTTGTGATTGGGTGGGGCCATATGACTAGTGGGCTGTGAACAATATTGATTTGAGCCGCTTCTGGGCTGGAGTATTATAGTTGCCGGCATGGACTCTCTAGGGCTCCCACTTCTAGCACAGTGATTGGTAACACTGGAGATGGGGGCTGCTCCGTCAGCCTGGGTTTCTTAGTGCCTCAGGCAAGCAGAGTCCCTGGCCCCCAACCAATGATAACATGTAATGAGTAAGAAATAAGCCTTTGTTTTAAACCACTGAGGTTTTAAGGACTTTGTAATTGCTGCATATCTTAGCTTATCCTGACTGGCACAGATGTTAATAATAATATGGCTAGTTATCATTTCCTAGGACAATATTTGGAAATAATTTGTCTAATCAGTACCTCTCAAAATATGCTCTTTGAATCCCTGACAATCTCTGAGGCCCTTTCAGGAGGTGTGCAAGGGCAAAACTGTTTTTATAATAGTGCTAAGATGTCATTTGCCTTTCTCCCAGTGTTGAAATTTTCACTGAGAATGCAGAAGTAATCATGGGCAAAATTGCTGGTGGTGGCACCAAACTACTACTAATAGTAGTCATTGTACTCTTCATGCCACATTCTTGCAGAAAGAAAAAAATGTCAGTTTCACCTGAGAATGTTCTTGATGAAGCAGTAAAAACTATAGTTGTCCCTCAGTATCCATGGGGAATTGGTTCCAGGACCACCAACCCCCGCCCCCGAGGATACCAAAATTCATGGATGCTCAAGTCTTTTATATAAAATGGTATAGTATTTGGCCAGTTGCGGTACTCCCACCTGTAATCCCAGCCCTTTGGGAGTCTGAGGCGGGCAGATTGCTTAAGCCCAGGAGTTTAAGACCTGCCTGGGCAACATAGCAAGACCCTGTTGCTAAAAAATAAAATAAAAATAATTAAAAATAAAATAAAATTGTATATTTTTGTACAACCGATGCACATCCTCCCATATACTTTAAATCATCTCTAGATTACATAATACCTAATGCCATGTAAATGCAATGTTAATAGTTATACTGTATTTCTTAGGGAATAATAACAAGAAAAAAGTCTATACATTCTATACATGTTCACAACTATCCATTTTTCTTATTCAGACACACCCATCTATTTTTATATTTATATAGATACAACCGTCCATTTTTTAAAAAGTTTTCAATTCATGGTTGAATCCATGAATGCAGAACCTATGGATAATGGGGGGCCAACAGTATTAATTTTATTAAACCTCTCTTCTTGAGTATATATTGAAAAAGAATATTGTGTGTGATGAAATTGGAAATAGGTATGCAATGGTGTCTGTCTTAAGAAAAATGCAGTTCTTTTTCTTTTGAACTGAACTTTTTTTCATAGAACCCCATTTTTACTTGAAAGAATGATAAACTGTGGTTATTCCAACTTGTGTATTTGACAGACATTGTCTAGAAAATGCACAAAATTAGCTTGTCACGTTGTTTCAAAGAAAGCAACTGACATTATTTGTGGTCAGTGATAAAACTCAAGCTTTCAAGCAAAAATTAGATTTTTGGAAAGCTTATGTGTACCAGCAGGAGCTTGACAGCCTGTCAATCCTTTACATTTCTGATGAGATTGGTAGTGATATTAACAAATGTGATTTTCAAAAATATTTTATTTAAAAAATCACTACTCAGCGAACCAATATTTTCCAGATAACTAATGCATGATGTTATAAAATCATGCATGAGTGAAAGATCCATTCACAGACCAATGGATTTTAATGTAGCAGAATATAAAAAGTTTATTGATATGATTTTAGATTCCATATTACAACCAACTTTTAAGAATATCTGACTTGACAAATTTTAGTATGGTGCCAAAGAAGAATATCCATAACTATCTGAAAGTACTATTAAGGTACTTCTTCCTTCTCCAGCTATGTATTATCGTGGTACTGGGTTTTCACCAAATACTTCAACCCAAACAACATCTGGCAACAGATTAAATGTATACACAGTTATGAGAATCCAACTCTCTAGTATTAAGCCAGACATTAAAGAGATTTGCAGTAATGGAAAACAAGGCCACTCTTCTCACCAATTTTTTTTGAAAATGTAATTTTTAGTAAAAATGTATTAACATTTAATGGAGTTTGTTTACAATAAATAAATGTGTTTTAAATATTTTTAAAAATTTCTCAGTTCCAACAGTGGGTATGTTAATACTGATAGATATAGTCCTCATAAACAAATACTCTTTGGTGTTCGCAATAATTTTTGAAGAGGAGACCAAAATGTGTGAGAATGGCTGGTCTGGAATATTCTTAAGTCTTTCCTAAAAATGTGACTCCCATACCAGGTTTTGTGGCTCATGCCTGTAATCCCAGCACTTTGGATGGACGAGGCAGGCGGATCACTTGAGGTCAGGAGTTCGAGACCAGCCTGGCCAACATGGTGAAACCCCATCTCTACTAAAAGTACAAAAAATTAGCTGGGCATGGTGGTACACACCTGTAATCCCAGCTACTCAGGAGGCTGAGGCAGGAGAATCACTTGAACCCGAGAGGCGGAGATTGCAGTGAGCCAAGATCACGCCACTGCACTCCAGCCTGGGAGACAAAGCCAGACTCCATCTCAAAAAACAAACAAACAAAAAAAAAGTGACTCCCAGGTAGTGCCTCACATTGCATCAGCATATCCTTTCTTTGCTTGAAAAGCTAAAATCACACCAGATGACATCGGATCATCCTGGCAGGGATGGGGATTGATGTAGACTTCTCTCCTTGTAACCTCACTCCTGCTACCTATAGACACAGTCAGGAGGGCCGCTTCACCTCTCTTTCACCAAGGTGCAAAGTTGCTCTTTTATGCAACTTCTCATGATTGGAATTGCAATATTCTGCCCTTGAAGTTCAGTTTCCTCTGAGGTAGATATTCCCAATCTTAGGCCTGTGTCCTGTTTCTTTCTCACTGCTGTGTCTTCAGAATATAAGCAGGGAAAAAGAGCAGCTCATTTTAATAAGCTACCATTTGTGATCAAAGCATTGCAAGCCAGTACCATGTGCAGACTGGTGGAAGAACAATAGAACTATTGTCTGGAAAAGAAGTGTTTCATGGGGTAATTTTTATGGGATTTTATTCAAAGGCTGCCTTCAGTAGTGGCTTACGCTGGCAATCAAGCATCCAAGTGCCTTGTCAAAGGAGAGGCTCTTAGACATCTTTAGATCTCATGGTCAGATAACCAGCCACTAGTCAGCCCTGGTTCTCATAGACTCAGCCACATACTGTAATTCAGGGTGCAGAAGAGTGACGACCAGGAGCCTCTTCTTCCAGTGTGCTGCAGAGGGCTGCAGCATTACAGAGAGCCACGCGGTGCTGCTGGTCTCGGGCTCTGGGCACATAAATTCGGGTCCTCAGGAGTCCCACCTCTCTCAGGAGGTCTTGGTGGCCCTTGGGAGGTTTGGTCATTCAGCTTCTCATGGGGAGTTTCTCTCAAGTCAATTCTAGGGGCCTTGGGAAAACACCCACTTTGGCCGTTTATAGCTCTGTCTCTCTCCCTGAAGTCGTGAACTCCTTCACTTTCCATCCCCATAAATATAAACAAACCCGTTCATCTGTCCTTCCCTTTGGCCTCCTGAAAAGAGGCACCCCTTCCACTCAAGGCTCACCCTTGCACCTTTGTTCTTTTTGTTTGTTTGTTTTTTGAGACGAGTCTCGCTTTGTCGCCCAGGCTCGAGTGCAGTGGCGTGATCTTGGTTCACTGCAACCTCCACCTCCCGGGTTCAAGCGATTCTCCTGCCTCAGCCTCCCAAGTAGCTGGGACTACAGGTGCGTGCCACCACACCCGGCTAATTTTTAGTAGAGACGGGCATTTCACCGTGTTAGCCAGGATGGTCTCGATCTCCTGACCTTGTGATCTGCCTGCCTCGGCCTCCCAAAATGCTGAGATTACAGGCGTGAGCCTCCGCACCCGGCCGCACCTTTGTTCTTGATCCCCATCTCTTCCTGTCTTCCAGGAGTAGACCTTGTTCTGTTTGTTAGTCTGTCACTTATATGTGTTTTCCAAAGTGTCTCCTCTTTCCTGCCTCCTTCCTCAGAGTCATTTTCCTCACACGTCCGTTTCTGAGAAGCAACCTGCTATGGTAGTTAGATACCTGAGCTCTGGAGTCACACAACTGGATTCAGAGCTGGCTTAGCCCGTCCTTACTGTGTGACTAGAGAAAATGATGTGGCATTCCCGTGCCTCAGTTTCTATGTAAAATAGAGTTTCAAAGTCATACTTGCTTTATAGGGTTGTTGTTAAGAATAAATGACAGTGTCAGAAAGAAGAGCCTTTGGCACATGAGAATTAGGCAAATCAGAGTGTAAATAGGAATTCACCAGGTAGTCAAGGTGGGATGGGGCCAGGAGCCAAAAGAGGAGAAAACGCAAGCATCACAGCCAGAAGAAAAAAAAACAAAAACAAAAACAAACCTGCATGGCCAGAGGTCTGCATAGAGACAAGAAGCAGCTTCCAGGAAATTCTGCAGCTAGAATTCTGTATGTTTGTGAGGGGTTGGGAGTAGGAAGCTCAGGCAGTTGAAGAAAGAGGAGTTAGAATGTGGAGGATAAGGCTGAGGATGATGACAAGAGTTCCCCAAACCCCTCCTGACAATTTACATGCCATCCCAACCTGGTTGACCTGAAGAAGACTTTTTCCATCTTCTATCTAAAGCACAAAATTGAGTCCCTGGTTACCCATTGTCAATTTAGGCCTCAAGACCTTTATAGTAAATGGATGATGGCTTTTGAGTCCTGGGATGTTTCTGATTTTAGTAGAACACAATCTGCCCCCTACTGATCATTCTGGATGTTTTCAGCCCGAATGGGTTTATTTGATATCATAAAGGGTATTTATGTCTCTGTTCCAGGGGTTATTGCAACAACAAAAAAAAAATGGAGAGTTAATTCTGCTAACCCTTGCATCACTTAAGACTGTTAGGTTGAGTATGTTTTAAATGTCTCAGAAGTGACCTTTCCCCATTAAAAGCTGTGCAAACTAGTGTGATTGAGCCAAGGGTAATTTAAACAGAACCCAGAAGGTGTGTCTAAAGACTTTCATCTCCAGGCACTTGTGATTTAGCAAGGCTCGTAGTGATAGAGAGCTTCTGAGGATCTAAAGTTCAATGAATAGAAAGACATATGTACAATTAAGAAAACTATCTACATCATTTGAAAGCAGAGTGTATTTGGAGAGTGTGCTTTTGATGGGGAGAGGAAGGGAGGCATGAAGGAGGACTCCAGGGCATTGGAAATCAAGCTCCATGCTCTGGCCAGGCCCATCAGAAGCTAACCAACAGCACTATCTTACTGTTTTCTATTGTGCAAATAAAATTTTATTGTGTCCTTTTCCATGGTGATAAAATAACTAAAGATTAAATATTAACTAAATAATTCACAGTAGACAAGATTATGAGTTCTTGATCTTGAAATGGGGCCATAAATGTTGCACAGGAGAAAGATTGGGTAAACTCTGCTTATACAATGGTTATTTCATTTCTATATGTTTCTAGAAGCCATAAAGTAATGGCACATCTAGCAGTAGAGAAAATAATACTGAATCCAAAGAAGCATCTTACTTTTAAAAGCTTGTGAAGTCTCCTTGGTTTTCAAATTGTTTTAAAGCTGTGGTTATACTTGATCATGAGAATTTTGATGGTTCTCTTTCTTTATAGTTTATCTGAATTTTGAGAGTAATATTGAATGGATTACATCCGGACAGCTATGAAAATTAAATCTCTTGACACATTTTTTGGTCTGACCCAAATGTGTTGAAGTTAGCCACGAGCCTATGCCATTGCCACATCTTAGATAATATGACTTTTCCAATATGATGCTTTCCCATATGTCCTTTGATGTGACTCTAAGGCAGGGCATAAAGCTTTTCTGTAAAGGACCAGGTAATAAATATTTTAATTTTTGGGGACGTGTAATCTCTGTTGCAGCTTCTCAGCTCTGCCACTATAGCAAGAAAACTGCCATAGACAATAAGAAAACAAATGGGCGTGGCTGTATTCCAATAAAACTTTATTTGCAAACCCAAATATGGCCATCTGGCCCTTTGCCTATCTTTGCTGTAAAGTAGGATAGCCTGTTGTGCATATTTGATGAACAGTGGGGATGTCAGATTTGAGAATGGCTAGTAGAGATAATTAAATCACATCAGTATACATTTTAAAAACATTTTGATAGTAACCACAGAAAATTCAACATCTTTAAACCAATTAATTTCATGGCACTTGGTGTTTTTAAAATGAAGTTTGTGTGTTACAGTTATCCCCCTCAAGGACCTAAATGTGTATACATTTAGTCCAAAGGGAGAGAAATCTATAATCTATTGGGAAAAAAGTGTTGAAGTAGATTCAATTCTAGATCTAATGTGAATGAAGTTTTATTCACAGACTGAATTTTGGAGAAGGGAATAATTGATTCCTTCCTGCCAGGACTCCTCCACCTTATAATGGAACAAACATTTCCCAAATAAGTCACAGTTCTTCATTCCTTTCCAGATTTTCCTGTAAATATTTATCTTAGGGTGCATAGGCTATACATAAGAAAAAAGTGAGTTCTAGTTAGAGTTTCGAAGAGCCTTATGTGAAATACCTTTCTTTAAATGGTCCGTTTAACCAGCTCTCTTATAGTGAGCCAAAATTCAAAGCCAGTTGAAATAGAAAAACCAAATAATTCGTGGGAGATTGTACATACATTATGTGAACTCTTCACATCATAAGTTGGTAAGAGATGGTTATGATTCTCCTCAAATTGCCTACTGGGGAGAGACCCAGAATCAACTGATTTCTGTAAATCACCCCAAATATACTTTTATTATTTAGCCATTGTCTTAAGACCCTACACAATTTTTTAGTCCTTTATTTCTTTGTTTTGTTTTTTAACCAAATTATTAAAGCTTTAGAAGTTGTACTGCTATTTATTCTAGAAACCACCATAAGACAGGACAAAGCAGCAAATTATTCTGATGTGAATTTCTGGTACTACATTTCATTTTTGCCTTAAGGACGTATTTTGTGATTTATTTGCACACATTAGTTTTAATATTAAGATTGTTAGTATACCATTTGGGGGTTTTGGTTTTCTTTGTTTAAGAGGTTTTATATATATTCATCCTGATCATCAGGACTTTACCCATCTCCAAAGGCTGAGAAGCTATTATATTTTTATATTCCCTTAATGGAAAAGCTGCTTATGATTATTCTTGGTGTATGTAAATTTTGTCTGAAATCCTCACCATCTCCATCTGTTTATTCATTCTAAAATGGAGATGGAGACTGAGTAGCTACTCTCTTTTGCATGTTGCCAAGTTACATGCTTAAAGTCCACTTCTACCGCCAGCATTCTGAGTTTTATGCCAAGGCAGAAAAATCACAAGAGAGAAAGGAAAACTGTTTGTTATTGATCCCTAAAAAGAAAAGCATGTTACTCTGTAAGAAGTCATATACATTTGTATGTGCCTTGAAATTTCAAATAAGAGTACTGTTTTTTGTTTGTTTGTTTTTTAATGAGGGGTTTCTATTATTACTGCAGTTGCCATAAAATGAAATCAGCTTTAAGCTATGCTGCTCTTCTTCTGTTTCCTAGACAGTCTGAAAATCAGTTCATTGAATAAACCTGGTGCTATTACCTGACTTCTATTCATATTAGTTAGATTACAGACTTATTAATTTTATTAAATTCAGGAAAGCTAATATGCGTCATTTGCATCGAAGGGAGAAGAGCCTTTTTTCTTGCACTTCAGAAGTATTTCATATTCCTCATGTCTGTGCACATCTAAATCAGGCTTTAATTAAAATCTTGCTCTTCTAAATTCCCTTTATAAAGAGGTTCACTAATGTTTTTCTTAATCAGTTGCAAAAATTATTCCCAGAAGACACTGCATAAAATTAATGTATTATCCAGCCAATGAGAATTTGGGGAACAGTTCCTGTTTATGTATGTGTATGTATTATTTTTAATGAAAAATGGGTGAATTTTGTTTTTGTAAAGGCATGTACATCAAGATGAATTTGTAGTGCCTCCTGAAAACAATATTATTTCAGAGATTCTCTACAGCTTGATCATTGTGAAGGGAGTTCCATTATATAGACGTTCAGATCTGTGTCTCAATGAGAGGTAGATCCCTCTGGATGTTTGGTGCTAATATTTTATTGTACATAAAATTCCCCTAGAGAACCGAATTAACGATGCTGATTTTCATTCTAACAGTTGGGGATGGAGCCCAGGTAGCTGGAATTTTACCTGTACCCAGGAATTTCTGATGTGAAAGCTACACAGAACAGACTAAGAAACTTTTCTAGGTTCCCTAAATGCTATTTGAAAATGTAATAAGGAAAAAACAGCGTTAACTTACCAGCTTTTAATACTAAAATAGATGGCTCTTCCTTGAATTCTTTTATTTGAGACTTCTAATGAAGTTTGAGTGAAGACCATGTTTGATTTTTCCCCCTTGTCTCTGATAATTAACATAGGCAAAGCTACTGAAATAAAGGTCAACATTAGGGTAAATATCAAGCAGGGAACATAGAAGGAGCCCTTGATAATGGCTGTGAGTATGTCCAGAAACAATATGGTAGAATAGCAGGAGGTTGAGGACACAAGTAAAGCACGTGTCCACGCCAGTCTGTTATGAATAAAGGCTTTGGCATCAGTCTTCAGTCTGAAGACCAATAAGAAATCACAGTCTCTCTCTTTAATTGCAGTTATAGAAAATGCAGGAAAACATTTCAACCTAAAATGCTAATGTTCTTTCAGCCATGACTGTGTCTATGTGTGCACTAATCACTTTCAGCAGTTGCAAATATAAGGATGGAAGTTTTCCACCCTGCATTGATAAAATCCAAATTGGCAATTTGTTTAAAAATGGTTATTTGGACCAGATTCAGTGCCTACTCAAAGAAATGTGTTGGGTAAGGAGGATGTTAGTAACACATAAAATAATTATTACATGGCCTTTATTAAAGGTATTTTATTATGTATAATGCGTTCTGAAGCAGAAATGTAAAAGGTGACATCCATTATTCATTCTTTTTTCATATTCATACAGATAGGACTATAATGAAAATTGGTCTTCTGCCACGGGCATAACTGTGAGTCCTTCAGTAATAAAACAAATGTTTTGTAGGACCAGGTGATTTATATGCAAAAAACATCTTTACAAAGCAAATTTTGTCTAAAAAACAAGGCTCTTGTTTTTAAAGGAGCCGTGCTGTATTGGCAAGGCCATTGGGTTGTTTACTGATGTTATATCAGATACATCTCAGGAAACTTAATTATAAAATGGTACTAATCCTCCATAAGTGTTTTAATCAATTTATATTTATTCATTTTAAAATTAAATAGAGAAAAACCCTTGTTCTCTTTCAGTGAGCCAAGAGCAATCATTCAGAGCTGAACAATAGAAAATGTGGAAAATATTGTTCTTTTTAGGTATTCAGCTGGTTAAACTTTGAAATCTGTGTATTAAGCATAGCAAATATAAACTCAGTGAATTTCTGAATTAAGCAGTGTGTGTTTTCATTTGATTATGGTTAGGAAACAGTTTAAAATATTAGTTGAAAGGTAAGCTCTACGTTAATGGATCCATTGTTTTGAAGTAGTTATTATCTGGTAGAACACTATACTCCACATGATGGAATCTAATAACAGCTTGGAGAGAACAGATTTTATCTTTCAGTGGAAAATGTTATCAGTGCAATTTTTATTGTATGTCTAAGGCATTTTGGTATTGTCTAACTTTAATGACTTAAGAAAACCTTAGGTACTAACTGCAAAGACATCAGAATTTCAGAAGTAGGTAAAACTGGTAAGTTGCACCTGTACATAATCACTTATTAAACTCAGAGTATGGTCATCATTTCTCTTCTGCCAGTGAGCTGAGAACTAGATGTAAATGTGAGTCTAGAGGAAGGAATATAGTGGTAGGTTCTTAGGCCACTGCATTCTCAATGCTCAGTTCTGCCATGGGCAGTTAGAATTAACTGTTGGAAGACGCATGTTTCCCCTGACAGTGGAATCTACCATCAATGTGTCATGCTGTTTGGAGACTAGGTTAATTGAAAATAAGAGAAATCGTTGCACTTCATTTCTTAAATTATCTGACCTCATTTAGGAAACTAATATACTGTTTATCCTAGCAGTAAATCAATATGTATGGTTGTCCATAAATGTTAGGCACTTTCCAGGGTAGAAAATAACCTCTGGACATGTTCACTAAGCTGTAGACAGAATCACTTAAGCAATTAAAGTTGTTGAAGTTGACTTTTGAAACCCCAACCTGTAGTGACATCACCAGCTACTCAGCTGCTAAATAAAGAGGGTGCATGTGTGGGCTCTCCCACACTCGCTCCCCGCCACATATACACAAATATGAAATTAGTAAAGACTTAAAGTATTACTTAATCACTGTGGCTATGAAGCCTAGAATTATAGAACTGACAGGATAAAAATAACCTGATCCAGTCTCTTAATTGTATAGATAGCCAGACTCAGTGGCTCAAGCCTGTAATCCTAGCACTTTGGGAAGCTGAGGCAGGTGCATCACTTGAGGTCAGGTGTTCGAGACCAGTCTGGCCAACATGGTGAAACCCCGTCTCAACCGAAAATACAAAAATTAGCTGGGCGTGGTGGCTCACACCTGTAATCCCAGCTACTTGGGTGGCTGAGGCACAAGAATGGCTTGAACCCAGGAGACGGAGGTTGCAGTGAGCTGAGATCCCACCATTGTACTCCAGCCTGAGTGACAGAGCGAGACTGTCTCAAAAAAAAAAAAAAAAAAGTATAGTTAGGAAATTACCCCTACCAAAAATGACAAAATTAATAAGAGTTGGATTACAAATTGGCTGTTATGAAATAGATGTTCCATAATTGTTCAAGACACCTATATTTTTCAGTAGTCTGGTCCTGTCGATAAGACCCTGGTTTTAACATTCTTGCACTTATGTTTAAAATAGAAATTGCCTTAACCACAGACAAACCAAACAAAAAAATAATAACTGAATTGGAGAATAGAAATTAGAGACAGAGGCCTCTCTGAGTTGTGGAAAGGTGGATAGGTAAGTGAGGGTCCAGGATAGGTAAGTGGGGGTCCAGAAGAAAGTGGCTGTCACCCAGTGAATCAGGAACCAGGGCAGGAGCCATGAGAGCTAAAGGGTTACAGAGGAAAAGTACAAGGCAGTTCAGAAAAAGAGACACCACTAGGGGCCTCCTCCTTCCCCTTGGGTAGAAGATTAAGTCGAATTCACAAGGAACTGAGAAGTCTACCTAATCTGGTTTCTGTTGCCTTTGTAAACCAGATGTTCAGCTTGGCTGAACATCCACCAACCTTAGCACTGTCACCCACACTGATTCTCAGAACAAACAGGAATAGTCCCAAGGGAATGTTGTAGGATGGAGTTTATGAAGACATCTGTAAGAATAAAAACCTAGCCCTGTTTCATTTTCATGACTACAAGTAGTATTAGAGAGTACTTATAAGTGCTTTGTACCTTTTCCAGTATGATAGATAAAATTAAGTCCTTACAACCCCAGAAATAATTTTATTCTTGACCCTTAACCTCCCAATTTATATCTGAATACAAATGCTACGTAGAACAGTTACATATCAGGGATTAAATAGTAGCGTGATTACTTTTTATTCAACAAAGTTAAAATATCTTTTTAAATAGTGGTAATAGATAAGAAGAAGCTACTAATTTTTACAATCTGTAATGTTGCTGCTCTGGCTTCTACACGTCTCTGCTTCTTACTTGACTCCAGCCACACTCACCTCCTCACTATTCCTTGAACACATCAGGATAGAAAGAGTGTGACGGGTAATGCCTTTGCCTTGGTTGTTTTCTCTGGCTTGAATATTTTCTCCCCATCTCTCTGTAAGACTAGCTTCCTCATCATCTTTAAGTCACCTTCTTAGAGAAGCCTGCCCTGGTCTAGCCCCTCTGTGTACTATTATAGTCTATCTCCCCCAGCAACCAGGACTCCTCACCCTTCTCATGATTGCTTCTTTTTCCCCCATAGCACATTTTTACCTTCTACTATAAGAGATCATTTACTTATATTTTTTGTCTGTTCTCCCCTACTAGATTATACAGGTTCCACAAGGGCAAAAGTAGTTGTCTAGTTTGCTTACTTATTCATCCTCAAAGCCTAGAACTGTCTAGAGCATAGTAAATGCTCAATCACTATTTTTAATGAATAAATGACCATATGAATATTGACTTTTCAAGATAAAAATTTAGGTTTACTCCCCTAGATTTAACCTACATGTTGTGCTTTTTCATAATCACGATGTGCTCATACGTCAGTTTTCGGATATGCTTTTCATTTTCTTGCTGTCTCCCCTAGAGAGAGAGAGATTCAAATAAATCTACCCTAGATGAAGAGTCTATGGGGAATAGACCTCTTCCTCCAGAGGCTTCAAATAGAGCAACATTAGGGTCAGTCTTGGCATTTAAGTCTCAAAGAAATTCAGACTTACTCTGAGAGAGATATATAGATTAGATAAAAGTATGAGTAAAAGAGACACTATATTTCTAAGCAACAGAAATTCCATATCACAACAAACCATGTCCAGATGGTCAGGAGATAATATCAGAAAAAAACAATCTTCACTGAGGCCAAGATGAGGTTCCCTTGAAGCCGACCAAAATAAGGATGGTCAATTTACTGTTATTTCTGCAAAATATATTTTTTTCTAATGTCTATGGACAGATAATGATTAAAATTCAGGGCTTCAATCCCCACCAGTATGCAGTATACCTAAGTAACAAGCATGCATATGTACCCCCCTGAATCTAACATAAAACAATTTTTAAAAATTCAGAGCTTGTTTGTGTAGGTCCTATCAGAAGAGCCAACATGGTAGGATTCTTATTTGAGTATCCCAACAGGCGTATTCTGGGAGAAGGATGCTAACACCGAGATGCACATTCCAAGAAATCTGAGATAACAGAAAACAATCACCCCCGTCTTAATCCATTTGGGCTGCTGTGGCAAAATACTGTAGATTTGGAGTCCTGTAAACAACAGAAATTGATTTCTTATAGTTCCAGAGGCTGGGAAGTCCAAGATCAAGGCTCTGGCAGATTTGGTATCTGATGAGGGCCCATTTCCTGATTCATAGATGGTGCTTCTAGCTGTGTCTTCGTATGGTGGAAGGGGCAAAGCAGTTCTCTGGGGTCCCTTTTACAAGGGCACTAACCCTATTCATGAGGGTTCTGGCCTCATGCCCTAATTACCTCCCAAATACCCCACCTCCTAATATTATCGCCTTGAGCATTAAGATTTTAACATGAATTTGGTGGGCACACAAATATTTAGACCATAGCACCACCTTAAACCTTGCTATGTGGCTTATCAACCCTTCTGTAGGCAGTGGACTGCCCAGGCTGGGAGCCATACGATGCCCTTTTCCTCTGACCTTAACCTACTGTCCCTTCATAGATGCCACACTCTGGTCAAAGACACAGCCAATACCTGCCGAAGCCCCAATCATTAGTAGTCAGAGAAGTGGTCCAGTTAAACCTGTACAGTTGCCCCAAAGATCTTCCTAAAGTTCAAATGCAAGTAGTGCCCTTCTTTTCTTGAAATTATGTAGTGATTTCTCCCTTAGCTTCAAATTATTTGGCTTGGTACAAAGCACTCTTTGTGATATGGTCTTTGTCCTGGCATTGATCGCATTCTTGGTAGTCACTGATGTCCTCCTATCTCCTGTGACCCTAAAGAAGTGCTTTGCCCTTTTTGCCATATGATGACACAGCTAGAAGTCACCATCTATGAACAAGGAAGTGGGCCCTCTCCAGATACCAAATCTGCCAGAGCCTTGATCTTGGGCTTCCACTGATCTCCTATGTGTCTCTCCCAACACGTGATGGACTCCTGGAGGATAAGAATTATACGTTATTCATACCTTATTCATCCTCAGTGCTAGGTTTGTGGAGGTTCTCAGTAAATACTGGTTCAGTGGCTGAATGGCTAAATGGAAATGTGATGTTGCTAAACTCTAATATGGATGTTTCTTCTTTCCTCAAGGACTTTGGCATTATGTTCCTGCACCACCTTGTATCTATTTTCTTGATTACCTTTTCATATGTCAACAATATGGCCCGAGTAGGAACGCTGGTCCTTTGTCTTCATGATTCAGCTGATGCTCTTCTGGAGGTAAAAGTTTTCTTTCATCTTTAAGAATACAAAATCCAAAATTTAGGAAGTCCCCAATCTCATTAGCTCTTCAGTGTTATGCTAGATGGTGCTTGGGTACAATAGTAAATAACTACATTGAAACTGCAGAGTGTTTCTTTGTAGGTTAAGCTGGTGAAAATGAGATTCTAAATTAGTATGTAAACTTTTATACAAAAAAAAAGTTGTTAATAAAATGCTGAAAACCTTTACTGTTCTATACTTAAGAAATGAATGATTTTACAAAGGAAAATCATTATTTGATTAGGTTTTGTTTTGTGTGTTGTAACTTTTACCCTGATTTATTGGGAAATTTTGTAAAACGCAGTTTAGTTACTAATGGAAACTATACATCCCAGTAAAATTAAGTAGGGGTCATTGTTTTTATTGCCAATACACATTTACCTAAGGTTTTTACAGTGGAAAGGGCATATGAATTGCAAATTTTATGTAGAAACTATGTTTTCTATATATGTAAGTATAAGGAATATCTGTGGAAATATTGGTTACATATGAATTGGTTACTATTATTTAGAATTCTTAAAGTGGTAAAATAAATAAATATGTTCTAGCATATTTCAAAAGGTAAAATCCCAAGGAAAACTGTGATGTGATATTTACTTTTAACTGTGGCTCCTGTGAAGAGTCATACTCAATAATGTTCATAATTAAAGTCTTTGCATTTTATATTAAGAAATTAATATAACTGGTCAGAATTACCTTATAAGAGTACAAAGCCTATGTAGAAATGGTTCTTACAATCTGATCTGAATTCTGATTTTTTTTTCCTTTAGGCCCACCGTTTTGCTTTAAGTGCTTTGTTTTGCCACCTTTGAAGCATTTACTATACTGTGAATGTAGACTAGACATGCCCTCAAATAATGACCTGTTATTGCAATATAAGCAGAATTCTATGCTATAAAATTTGAATCTACCATAAAGGCAATTAAGGTTTGAGGTATATACAGCACTTTGTTAAAAACTCTGGTCCTTTAGTGTTATGAAACAGAAAAATAGTCCTAATGGGCTAGGTAAGTCCAACGATAATTTGTTGCTATGATTTTTAAGTGATTCAAGCTAACCTCTATTCAGCATATTTTTTAGTAGGATAAATATAATTAGTATAAGGGCAATCCCCTGGAAATGAGTTACCATTTGGTTAAATCTTAAGTTTGCTTGAATGTAGAAATTTATGCTGCAACCTAAGGCTGTACAATCAATCCTATACAATTAGCCAACTTCATTGCCTGTGGAGATGGCTGGCATGATGTTTGGTAGTGCCATGATTCAAAAAATTTCTAATCAAGTTCCACTTGTATCCAGAAAAAAAAATTCAGAAATCTCAGTCATGTGGCTTAAAAACAAATGTTCTTCATCACCTAGATTCTCTTAAACATTATAAAGTAAATAACACGTAGAGTATTCAATTAATGAGATAGGTCACCTGTCAGCTCCTCAACATGTTATCTTATGGCCTAGACGTTTCTGAAAAGTTTGTGTTTAAAGCTTATTTACTGAATACTGGTGAAAAAATATAAAAGAAAAATTTCATGATTTACCTAGCCAGGAGAAGGTAGAAGGTACCTTTTAACATAATTTATGGTGTTACACCTGAAGTGTTCATGAAATTAAAAGCTTATAATCCTAACTTCCACCCAGTTAATAGATATTTCCCCTTAGGAATACATTCCTCTCATAGCTTTGTGCTTTATTTAAAGCTTTTAAATTATAGCCTCTGTGGATAATGTCAACAATCTTTTCAAATCTGACTCAGTTAATTTAAGTTTCCAAGAAGTAGAAAATAATGTTATAAATTCAGAAGGCATCATGAATTTATAACCCTGTGTGTAGGTGCTGTGAATTCTATGCAAAAATGTAAAAAGAGATGATTAAGCAAAATTGTTTTCAGTCTCACCTGTTTTTAGAATCATCTGTAAAAAAAGTAGATGGTAGAGAAAGGGATGTGATTTCTTCCCTAGACTAATTTATAATATAAAAAGTCTTCACTTAAATCACTGTCATAAATTATGAGAGTACTTTTCACAGACCCTTGAACATTAGTGGCTTTCATCTAAAAATGACCCATTCATGTAGTTTTGAAAATTCTACCTAAATGGATTAGTTGAAATGACATCATCTTGACACTTTCTTCATTTCTAAGTTCATGAGAGTAAGCCAGAAGAGCATCTCCCCAGAGTACTCCTTGTGCCTGTTTAAAGAAAACCTACAATTTTAAGGAGAAAGGAAGAAAAACGCAGAAAAGCTCCATATATTCTATATAAAGTTTGTGGCCCCGGTATTTGAGATTCATAAAAAGGTTTAAAGGATTGTCCAGCACTTCTGTTTGAACTGTTAGGCCAGATTTCTGTTTTGGTGTCTCTGGCTTGCTAGTATCATCTATGATGCAAGAATCTCTTATTTTTCTCTCTGTTTTTCTGAAATCAACCATACAAATGAATTTCTCAGGTTGCTGAATATTTTATTAAATCTGTAACAGTCAGGAATTCTACTTATGGCTAATGCTGCCTTTCACTCAACTTACGGGTAATTTATAAATACTGGTGCATGATGTATGACATTTCAATCGCAGGCTGAAATGCATAAAAATGCAGGCAATTTTATGCATCTGGTAAGGTATATCTTATAGGAGATTCATGCATATTGAAAGAAACTTTTTATTATCAGTTTAACTACATTAATATATCACATTCCTTTCTTTCATAGGCTGCCAAAATGGCAAATTATGCCAAGTTTCAGAAAATGTGTGATCTCCTGTTTGTTATGTTTGCCGTGGTTTTTATCACCACACGACTGGGTATATTTCCTCTCTGGTGAGTATGCCAGTCTCCTTCCTGATAGAGCCACCCTTTCCAAATAAGCTTTCTGAACCATTTTCCTTTTGAATTTTACTGTAAGTATTTACAGGTTTAAATATATTGGGGGGGAGGGGAAATACCTCAAGAAGCTGCTTGATTTCTTCTTCCAGAAGAGGGTTGCACTCTTTACTAATGATTTCCACAGGATAGTTGGAAAAGGATGTGGCTTGCATGGCTTCTGAAGCCACAGAAAGCCATCTGTCATAGAAGGCACTAGTCTAGAATATGACTCAAGAACCTCAGCTGTGAAGGTTGGAATTAAGAAAGAAACCGTGGTGTTGCAAACAAGTATATGACAGGAATCTCCTGTACCAGGGGTTCACAGAGGGTTGTCCCTGGATTAGCAGTAGCAGCATCACCTAAGAACCTGTTAGAAATGCACATTCTTGGCCCCACCCCAGGCCCACTGAGTGAGAAACTCTGGATATAAGTCCTGGCAATGTGTTTTAATAAGCCTTCCTGATGATTCTGCTGCATGTTAAAGTTTGAAAACCACTATCCTAGATAATTCTTTTCATTAGCTGTATACCTTTCTAACCAAATAGAGTCTTTGAATTATATCCAAAGTCTCTTCCAGCTTTGTGTTACTTGGCAAATAGATGCTTTTCATATTTCTTCCAACTTACTGAAGAAAAACGTTGACCAAGAGGGATTCCTGCTCCACCCCTGAAGAATTTCTTTAGGTTGACCTCAGTCCCCCAAACACCAATCTTCCTGTATGATTTTTCTACTCATTACTAAGCCTTCTAACTGTTAGATCGTCATGCCTGCTATTTCCCCACCTTGTTTCAGGTATATAAAAGAGCTTTGTCAGAGGTCTTAAGGAATTCAGGATTTACTCTGTTGAGTCACTCCCTGCACAGGTAGAGGCAGAGTCAGAAAAAGAATGTGAAGTCAGATTTTAGAAAACCTTTGCTGACTCCTGGGTCTTCATTCTAAGTACTTGCCCCCATCTGTGTGATTAGCCATCTACAACAGTAAGCTTACCAGTCTAGAATATCCATTCTTTGCCTTTTCCATATTGTTTAGGTGTGGACTTTAAAATTCCAATGAGCTGCCATTTTTTGTGTGTATTTAGTGAAAATTTACTGGTCATTTGCTGCATTACCAGCACTGAGATGGTACTGGTAATGCTGATAATTCAGTTAGACATAGGGCTGCCCTTGGGGCATTTACAGTTGAATTCCTACAGGTCCTTTTAATATTCCAGTTTATAATTTGGGGTATGGGGTGGGGGAGGCCAGAGGTTATAAATTTTTTTTCCAAACATTTACTGGACATAGGTAATATAGATGGATTATCAATATTTAAATAGTTTTGTTGCATTTACTGAGGAGCTCTGTTGGCTAAATTATACATTATAGCAGATATATTTGTGTGTGTGAAATAGTGACTCACCTGTAGAGGGTAAGGTGTAATGGAGGTAGATCAGACTTTAGTTTTAAGAAGCATTTCATAGACCTATTTCCCCTTCAAAGACTGTGCTTTAGGTAGAAGAAACAAAATTATTTCCCCTGCCTTATATTCCTTTTGTTTTCAACCCATTTCTTTGGATTCACCAACAATACCTTCCAGGTTCCTCTTGACTATATTTGAATTCATCATGAGTCATCAGAATATTGGTAATTGATGGGTTTAGTAACACTTGGCTTATTCTCTGTTATATCAGCAATCCATGGTCCTCAAAGACAGCATACACCATGATTAGCCTTTTAAGAACCATGCACTGCTCCTCCAGACTTCTCTTCCAGTCACAATACATCCTTCTAGAACAACCCTGTCCAAAAGAAATATAATGCAGGCTTTATAGTAATACAATATTTTCTAGTAGCCATACTAAAGGTTCTTTTTTTTTTAAAAGATGAAAGGTGATATCCATTTAAATAACATATTTAACTCAGTATATTCAAAATAGTATTTTTTTTTTTTTAAGACAGAGTCTTTCCCTGTCGCCCAGGCTGGAGTGCAGTGGTGTGATCTTGGATCACTGCAGTCTCTGCCTCCCAGGTTCAAGTGATTCTTCGGCCTCAAGTAGCTGAGACTACAGCACGCACCACCAGGACCGGTCTAATTTTTTTTTTTTTTTAGTAGAGACGAGGTTTCACCATGTTGGCCAAGCTGGTCTCAAACTCCTGACCTCAAGTGATCCACCCGCCTCGGCCTCCCAAAGTGCTGGGATTACAGGCATGAGCCACCGTGCCTGGCCCAAAATACTATTTTAACGTATCAACACATTAATATTAAAATGTTTTGAGTATTTACAGTCTTTTAATTTATATTAAATCTTTGAAATTCAATGTATATTTCACATTACCACACATCTAGATTTAGTTTAACTACATTTCAAGTGCTCAGTAGCCACACGTGCCTAGCTTATTGGACAGTGCATTTCCAGAAAAGAACAACTATCACAGTAACCAGATTCGACACATTTTCTGGGGTCTGAGTATCTTGATTGACATTCTTAAGTCTGCTGTTTGCTGCGTCCGTACGAGTCAGGATAGTATACTGGTTAGCTGGGACGTTTGGACCAGTGTGCATGGGTTCAAATCCTGCCTCCACTGCTTAACACCTTTGTGCTGAAGTTTCCTCATCTCTTAAATAGGAATGATGATGATGCCCACTCACAGCATTGTTGTAAACACTAAGTGATTTTATGTCTCTATAGAGCTAAGAAACATGTCAGGTTCATAGTAATTGCTATGTAAGTATTGGCTTGTTAAGTGAGATTATTTATTTAACGTGAAAAGAGAGACCTCTTAGGAAATGAGTAAGAAAAAAAGAACAGTAACTCAATAGAAGTATTTGGAGTGGCTCTGAATAGGTACGGTTCAAAAAATATAAATGACAAAATTATAGAAAGATTTAACCTCACCATAAGCAAATTGTAGCTTCCAGAAATACAGTCATGTACCATATAGCTATGCTTCGTGGCCAGTGATGGACCACATATATGGCAGTGATCCTACAAGATTATAATGGACCTAAAAAGTTCCTATGAGAACATCATAGCGCAATGCATTCATTACTGATGTATTTGTGTTGATGCTGCTGTAGACAAACCTATTGCGCTGCCAGTCACTCCTCATTCTTCCCTCGTACCATCCCCTGGCAACCACTAACCTGCTTGCTGTCTCTGTGAACTTACATTTTGTGGTCATTTTATATAAATGGTTTCATGCAATATGCGATCTTTTGTAACAGTTCTTTCAGCTTCCTGATGTTTTCAAGATTTATCCATGTTGTAGCTTGTATCAGTACTTCATTCTTTCTTATTGGTGAATAATATTTTATTGTATGGATATACCACATTTTATTTATCCATTCATGAGGTGACAGACTTCAGGATTGTTTCCATTGTTTGGCTATTATGAATAATGCTGCTATTAATGTTTGTATACAAGCTGTTGTGTGAACACACATTTTCAGTTTTCATAGGCATATGCTTAGGAATGGAATTGCTGGATTACATTGTAACTCTAACTTTTTGAGGAACTACCAAATGTTCTTTTTCTTTAGTTTTTGTTTTTGTTTTTTTTTTTGTTTAAAAAAAACCAAAAAACAAAAACTAAAGAAAAAGAACATTTGGTAGTGTTTAAAAAAAAAAAAAAAACCAACGGGGTCTTGCTCTGTTGGCCAGGCTGGGCTACAGTGATGCCATCATAGCTCATTGCAGCCTTGAACTCCTGGGCTCAAGTGATTCTCCTGCCTCAGTTTCTTGAGTAGCTAGGACTACAGGTATGTGCCACAATACCCAGCTGATTTATTTATTTATTTGTAGAGACGGGGTCTCACTGCATTGCTTAGGCTAGTCTTGAACTCCTGGCCTCAAGCAATCCTCCAGCCTAGGCTTCCCAAAGTGCTGGTATTACAGGTATGAGCCAATGCACCCAGCCCACCACACTCTTTTACAGAGTTGCAGCACTATTTTACATCTGACCAGCAATGTATGAGAGTTCTACTTTCTCTACTTCCTTGCCAACACTTACGATTTTTCATATTGTATTCATTTTAGTGAGTATTAAATGGTATCTTATTGTAGTTTTGATTTGCATTTCAAATTCTTTACCCATTTGTAATTTGGTTATTTGTCTTTTTATTGTTGTAAAAGTTTATGCACGATTATATATCTGAATGATGAACATAATAATGTATATTATATATAAAGGACTTATCCGATATATAATTTGCAAATGTTTTCTCCCTTACTGAGGGTTGTCTTTCACTTCCTTGATGATGTCCTTTGAAGCATAAAAGCGTTTAGATTTGATAAAGTTTGTCTATTTTTTCTTTTGTCACTTGTGTTTTTGATGTCGTAAGAAACCATTGTCAAATCCAAGGTCATGAAGATTTACTCCTATTTTTTTTTCCTAGGAGTTTTCTAGTTTTAACTCTTCCATTTAGGCCTATGCTGTGTTTTGGGGTGATTTTTGTGTATGGTAGAAGGTAGGTATCCAAGTTCATTCTTGTGTGTGTGGATATTCAGTCATCCCCACACCATTTCTCGATTGGCTATTGCTTTTATTATGATCATCTTCAGCACGTAACTCTAACGAAGCAAACTTGTGTTTGTCACATTCCTCATTTAATGCCCTTTACTGGCTTTCATTCATTTCCACCTCTTGGAATCACACTATATTTTATCTGTGGCCTGCTTCCTAAGTTGACTCATTCGTCCTGCCTGGGAACTCTTCATCCTGTCTAATAAGCCAGGAGGTCAGACACGTTTGCACAGCCCTTTCTCCTCTCCAAGCTGGGATGCTATCCAAGGGAGTGTTGATTATTTCTGTCCAGAGGACATCTGGGATGCAACCCTCCCACACACAGGTCACCAAAACTGATCTCTCCACTGTTCCTTCCTGATGATATCACTGTCCTCTGTGGCATCCCTGTGTAGATGGTTCCAGCCAATGCCTGGCCTTGCTGTTCCTAGGACATGGCTTACCCCAGAAAGTGCAATTTTTATATCCACTCTGTGCTGCTGTTGGCCCTGCTGACCTGTTTAATGACCCTATTTTGGAGGGGAGGATAAAGAAAGTGGCAACTCCTCCTCTTGCCCATCACTACACTGCCCACAGCCTCACCACAGAATCCCTTGCTTTGCTTTTTCTTGTTCACAGTCTTTCCAGGATTGAGAGATAAGTAGAATATGATGGGGGAAGAGACTTTTGTTGTCAAATAATTCAGCTACCACATGAATAATTCCAGTAGAAGGAAACCCTACACCTCTAAAGACAGTCCCTTCCAGTTGCACACAGTGGCCATTATTAGAGAGTTCTGCCCCAGGCTGTCATAGTTTACCTCCCAATACTTTCTGCCTTTTTCTCCTAGTTCTGACCCTGGAACGATATACAGTGTCTAATTCCTGTTCTGTACCTCAGCCCAGCCAGTATTCAAAAAACAAAAAAATCCAAAAATTCTTACTCCCCCCTTTCCTATTATCTTCATCAAGATAAACACTGTAAATTCCTTCAGTCACATTTTTCTCTGGCTTTCATGCTTGTCTTTTCTGATTCTGAATTTTATTGTATCAAATCATCTGGAACATTGCATCAGTTCTTCAAAATGTAGTTTTCTCTACCAGTTGTCTTAATAATACCTTGTTATTTTGAATCAGTACTTGTATGATTATGTCATATAATGACTGTGGAATAATCTTGTTAATACTGTTATGAGTTTCCTCCAGGTACACGTGATGGTAATCTTTGTAGAAGCATCATCTTCTCACATTTTACTAACATATGAAACTCTGAAATTGTAACTTCATAATATGACCATCCTAGAAGCCAAGATAATGTGTCTGTATTTCCTGTTCTCTGTAACAACATTCTTCTTCCGTAATTACATATCTTTTTGCTAAAACTTGAGCAAACATATGAATAGGTTTACTATATCAAGAGTCTTACTGCTTTACCAGTTTTATCAAATAATCAAATATTTAGTGGGTCTCTCAGGATTTATCTGGTAGGAATTCCTTCCTAATGTGTCCAGAATTGGTGGGTTCTTGGTCTCACTGACTTCAAGAATGAAGCCGCGGACCCTTGCGGTGAGTGTTACAGCTCTTGAGGTGGTGCATCTGGAGTCTGTCCCTTCTGATGTTTGGATGTGTTCGGAGTTTCTTCCTTCTGGTGGGTTCGTGGTCTCGCTGGCTCAGGAGTGAAGCTGCAGACCTTCGCAGTGAGTGTTACAGCTCTTAAGACGGTGCGTCTGGAGTTGTTCATTCCTCCCGGTGGGCTCGTGGTCTCGCTGGCTCAGGAGTGAAGCTGCAGACCTTTACGGTGAGTGTTACAGCTCATAAAAGCAGTGTGGACCCAAAGAGTGAGCAGTAGCAAGATTTATTGCAAAGAGCGAAAGAACAAAGCTTCCACAGTGTGGAAGGCAACCTGAGTGGGTGGCCACTGCTGGCTCGGGCAGCCTGCTTTTATTCTCTTATCTGGCCCCACCCACATCGTGCTGATTGGTAGAGCCGAGTGGTCTGTTTTGAGAGGGCGCTGATTGGTGCTTTTACAATCTCTGAGCTAGACACAAAGGTTCTCCACATCCCCACCAGATTAGCTAGATACAGAGTGCCGATTGGTGTATTTACAATCCCTGAGCTAGACATAAAGGTTCTCCAAGGCCCCACCAGAGTAGCTAGATACAGAGTGTCGATTGGTGCATTCACAAACCCTGAGCTAGACACAGGGTGCAGATTGGTGTGTTTACAAACCTTGAGTTTGAGACAGAGTGCCGATTGGTGTATTTACAATCCCTGAGCTAGACATAAAGGTTCTCCAAGGCCCCACCAGACTCAGGAGCCCAGCTGGCTTCACACAGTGGATCCCCCACCGGGGCTGCAGGTGGAGCTGCCTGCCAGTCCAGCGCCGTGTGCCTGCACTCCTCAGCCCTTGGGTGGTCGATGGGACTGGGCGCCGTGGAGCAGGGGGTGGCACTCGTCGTGGAGGCTCCGTCCCCACAGGAGCCCACGGAGGGGGTGGGAGGTTCAGGCATGGCGGGCTGCAGGTCCCAAGCCCTGCCCCATGGGAAGGCAGCTAAGGCCCAGCGAGAAATCGAGCGCAGCGCCAGTGGGCTGGCACTGCTGGGAGACCCAGTACACCCTCCGCAGCCGCTGGCCCGGGTGCTAAGCCCCTCATTGCCCAGGGCCGGCAGGGCCGGCCGGCTGCTTCAAGTGCAGGGCCCGCCAAGCCCACGCCCACCCGGAACTCCAGCTGGCCTGCAAGCGCTGCACGCAGCCCTGGTTCCCACTCATGCCTCTCCCTCCATACCTCCCTGCAAGCTGAGGGAGTGGGCTCCGGCCTTGGCCAGCCCAGAAAGGGGCTCCCACAGTGCAGTGGTGGGCTGAAGGGCTCCTCAAGTGCCGCCAAAGTGGGAGCCCAGGCACAGGAGGCGCCGAGAGCGAGCGAGGGCTGTGAGGACTGCCAGCACGCTGTCACCTCTCACTAACACATCCTTAAATAATTTGATTGTTCCTTTATTAAATGACATCTGTAGAATCAGATAGTTTCACTGTTGATACAATTAACAACAGACTTTCATATCAATATCTTTTTCAAATACATACTTATTTTTCCCAGATGGTGCTGTATGTAGTCAAGATCAAATTTTAACCAAGTCTTTATTTATCATATACTTTTAAAGATTTGGGTTTGTAGTCAGTATTCAAAAGCTTCAATGGTATATATTGGATACATGTTGCACTACTATTATCAAACGCAATCACTGGTGCCCCACCTACTTGCCATCACTCAAAGTGTTAAAAGTTTAAATATTTTCTCTTGTATTTAAATTTTTGGAAAGTCATGTCTAGTTAGCTCTCCTCAACTCAAAAATCTATGCATTGTAGCCTTGACTTTGTAGTCACACAGTCAGTGATCTGATCCTTTTTGAGAGTAAATCTACCCATCATTGTAAGCTGTTACAATTTTCATTGATCTGCATCTCTCTCTCTTATAGTCCACTTATGTGTAATCTCTACGTTCCTAACAATTTCCCGTAAAAGCTGTGGTTTTAATATGGCATAGATTGTACTCAAACTCATTGTAACATCCATCAACAGTGCCTTACAGTGGCTACTCAGTATTTGTTAAGTGAATTAGGTACTCTTTAATTATAAATGGTCTCATGTCCATTTTCTTACTTGATTTCCTTAAATCTTTGCAAAGAAAGATAGGTGCAATTTCTCCGTTAATACACAGAGAAAGGAGATTCAATTAGTCAGTGATTCACCGGGCTCTCTGGACTCTGGTCTCCTAATATCAGTTCAATTCAACAGGTGCTTACTATGTTCCATTTGTCCTTTCTACAATACAATATTCTCTTATTTAAGGCCATAAAGCATTTGATGAGATACATTTTTGGTGGTAGTTCAATAAAAAATGGTCATTTAAAAATGATTGCCTCTGTCGTTCTGCCCCAGTCAAGATAACATATTGCAAACGTTATCATCTATCAGTGATACATTAGAATCTGGTAAAGAAAGGAGAAAATTCACAAAGATGCTGAAAGAGAAGTGGCATGGTACAGTGGCTAGAAAGGCTGCTTGTTTTGAGTCACATTTCTCCTCCCACAGTGTCTGAAGACCAGATGTGTGATTTCTCTGCACCTATGTCCTCATCGGTAAAATAATGGTAAATACTCTACCTACCTTACCAAAAATGTTAAGGATCAAGTGTAATAGTATTTTACAAACTATAAAATTCTTTATAAATATTAGGCATTTTTCAAAATGTGCTGTTATTGTTAAAGATATAAATTCCCATTATAGCCAAGTGGTCAGAAGTTCTTATTATATTTTATAACCTCCTACTAGTCTATATTAAGGAATCATAACCATAGATACATCTGAAATAAAATTCTAAAATGGTCTATCCAATTATGAGGCTTAAACTGTCTCATTTTAGTGGCTTCTGTTCTCAGTACTCAGTAAGCATGTAATATTGAAACTGTACCAGTTTGCCATATTCTCACAAATCCCAAGTGAATGGGCATACCACTGTTGCCAGAACCTCTTCCCATGGCCAGTTAATGATTTTCCACATCTCCAGTCATGTCCCATGAAGTGCCAAGGCCTTGGCTACAGGAGGGTTAGAGTCAAATACGTACCTTTACTGGTCAGCTACTGTTCAGACAGAAGCATCTGCCTTCTCAGAATGTTGCTTTCTGTTGCTCTGTTCACTGAAAAGTAGGGGAATTATCTGTGGATTTGTTCTCTCTGAAGATTTCTACAATTAAAAAAAAACAAGTTGACTGGGCATGGTGACTCATGCCTGTAATCCCAGCACTTTGGGAGGCCTGAGGTGGGCAGATCACGAGGTCAAGAGTTTGAGACCAGCCTGACCAACATGGTGAAACCCCATCTCTACTAAAAATACATAAATTAGCCGGGTGTGGTGGCATGCGCCTGTAGTCCCAGCTACTCAGGAGGCTGAGGCAGGAGAATCACTAGAACCTGGGAGGCGAAGGTTGCAGTGAGCCGAGATCGCGCCACTGCACTCCTGCCTGGAGACAGAGCGAGACTCCATCTCAAAAAAAAAAAAAAAAAGTTACAGAGGAGACTCAGTCATCCTTTTACCATTTTCCATGATAAGATTTGAAATTCATCTAGACATGTAGGAGAAGATTAGCTTTTTATCTGATTTATTTTTCAAAATGTATTTTACCAAAGTGGCATGGCTTATATGCTTTTCTGAATTGTTGATAAGGAACAGATTAGTCTCAGACTTCACACATTTGAGAAACCTGACTTTTCATGCAATCCCTTGACAAATTTGCTCTGAAATTTGCCTTGGTGCTGGTCTATGTTAAATATATTAGAAAGATTTGAAGGATGAAACCTGCTATCTTTTGGGCATAAGGTATTTTGGTGTGTTTTTAGTAAGTCTTACATCTATCAGCATTGTTTAATACCTTCACAGGATGTGAAAGAGGTTAGATGGAAATAATGTGTGTTGAGATGTCTCTTTCAGATGAACATACAAATTTTAATGTAATTTCAGGATTGAAGGGCTAGACCAGAGGTCCACAAAGTATGGCCTGTAGGACAAAGCAGCCCACTGTCTGTTTGTATCAGTAAAGTTTTATTGGAACACAGCCTTGCCCATCTATTAATATTGTCTTTGGCTGCTTTATGCTACAGTGGCATGGCTGAGTAGTTGTGACAGGGTTATGGCCCAGAAAGCCTAAAGTATTTGCTCTCTGGTCTCTTGCAGAAGAGACTTGCCAACTCTCTGGCTAAGCCATTAAACATTAGTCTCGTGAGTAATAATAAGGCAGTGTGGGTGGAGTGAAGTACTGAATACATTCAGACTTGGAATAGTCTTTAAAACTGTTGTCCACGTTAGGGGAAAAAAAAAATGCAACTACTCTTTTTTTTTTTTTTTTTTTTGAGATGGAGTCTTGCTCTGTCACCCAAGCTGGAGTGCAATGGCGCGATCTCGGCTCACTGCAACCTCTGCCTCCTGGGTTCAAGTGATTCTCCTGACTCAGCCTCTCAAGTAGCTGGGATTAAAAGCACCCACCACGCCCAGCTAATTTTTGTATTTTTAGTAGAGATGGGGTTTCACCAGGCTGACCAGGCTGGTCTCGAACTCCTGACCTCAGGCAATTACTCTTAATATTGAGAAGGGAGAACAGAATATGCTCTCGATTAAGTAGGCTTTTTCCTTTTGTGACTTGAATCAACAAAAAAATGCATTGTCGCCGGCCAGTCGCAGTGGCTCATGTCTGTAATCCCAGCACTTTGGGAGGCCGAGGAGGGCAGACTACCTGAGGTCAGGAGTTTGAGACTGGCCTGGCCAACATGGTGAAACCCCATCTCTACTAAAAATACAAAAAATAGCCGGGCATGGTGGCACACGCCTCTGTAATCCCAGCTACTCGGGAGGCTGAGGCAGGATAAAATTGCCAGAACCCGGGATGCGGAGGTTGCAGTGAGCCAAGATTGTGCCACTGCACTCCAGCCTGGCCGACAGAGCGAGACTCTGTCTCAAAAAAAAAAAAAAAAAAAAAGGTGCATTGTCCTAGTAACGCTCTCTACACAGAATTAATGTCTTAAGTGTTCCTTCCCAGTCCCTGCAGAGAAGGCTTTGCTGGAGGAAGAGAAAAAATAAAAAGATTGTTTGCTCAAGGTATTACAAGATGTGTTTACCATCTAGGGAGAAAATTCAGTATGACCATTTCATCTGTTTTAAAAATATCTGAGTGTCGTAATAAAGTCTCATGCTAGGACCGAGATTTGAAAATTGTGTATTTGACCAGGCATCTCACTTACTTGAGAGAACTGATGTTTTATGGAAAGTCCTAGAGCAGATGAAGAACCGTCGTCAACTATGTTTCTATTTGCTTAGGCTGTTATACAGCACAGTTATATACCAGGCTAGTGCTCTCCATCCTCACTTCCCATCACCTCCCTGACTTTGGTCTTGGGTCTCTCCTGCCAACTTTCCACTCCCATCCATGCTGAGCTTCCTCCCAACTGTCCTAAGCTCAGCCTTGGACTGCCATGTGCCTGTCCTTTGCCTTCTTCCCTGTGTGGACCAGTACCAGAACCATCCCAGAAACCTTCCCTGCAGAATCCCAGAGTGCAGGGCTCTGTGGTGCTATCAGAGCAGGCCACGCTGGCTGTGTCCTTTAGTTGGCAGAACCTCTTCCATGCCTCTGATGGCAGTGTTGCCAAGGAGACGGAACCACAGGATCATTGGCATCCCTAGAATCCTTCTGTTCCTTGTGGGGCTATGTCTTATCATATATTATCATTTAACTTTTGATATCTTTGTGTCTTGTTTCCCAGGCAAGAGAGCAAACACTTCACAAATTCCTCATAGATAAAGAATCATTTCTTCTTTATCGATCTGCTTATCACACGTTACTGTGAGCCTGCTGTGCATCAGGCACAGTGTGGGTGTTGGGGATGTAGATATTGATTAGGTTATGTGCCCAGGAACAGCTAGCACTAAAAAACCATCAATAAATATTTGTTAAATGGAGAATGAAATTTTAGCGTTTCCCCTGCAGTTTGGCACAATGACGACTGAGACTTTGCAGCCCATGTGCGTCTTTCCTTAAGATACGGAATCGGCCCAGTCGAAGAAGACAGACAAGAGTGACTTAGTAGCTTTCAAAAGCAGGAGCATCCCAGCCACTGAATTGTTTTGATCAGATAGAAACAGATCAGATGGAAACAGTACTGCCTTTAGTAAGTTTAATAAGTCCTGCCTTTATCCACAGCTGGTCATAAAACAGAAATGCTTAGTTTATAAAGTGGATTGTCAGTGAATTGGAAATACAAGCATCAAATGTATTTAAAGAAAATCACAAAACAAGTAGGTCTACTAAAATGCAGACTCTGGCTAGCTGTGACCAGCAGCCTGGTCTGAGGCTTTGATGATTGCGTGTTGTATGTTGGCTCCTGAGTGAAGCAAAGAGAGAGGGCAGCATGGGAAGGGAAGGACAAATGAGAAATAGCAGGGGGTGGGGAATTATCTTGCCCCTTCCATGCAGTCGTCCAAGGAAGAGTTCTGGCATAAAGATTTTAAATTCTGTATGAGGGACCTGGTGAGTCATCCCCAGCCACCCTGTGGATTTCTCATCAGGCTTACTGTGTTGTCAATTAGGTGCCCAACCTCAAATTCGTAACAAGCTCCATGTCTCTCAGGGCAAGTTGCAGCTACCCAATGTAACTATCTTAAGTACTTTTTTGAAAGGACGGCATATAAACCCACTTATAATTTTCACAAACAGTTGTGTCTTAAGACTACTTTATATTCTACAGTCTGCAGCCATGCATTAAAGAGACATTGCAAAATAAATATTTAATTTGATTTGTTTGGTGACTAATACATTGTGTTGTGATCTGTGAGTTATTCCGAAGTTATGAAGAAATGTAGAATCTAGGACTCATTAAAATATTTATTAAAATTGTTCAAAAAGGCCATTGGAAACATGTTCAAAGAAATGATTCTGCATACATTCCATATAAGAATGACCAGACTGAAACAATTCCAAATGCTTTTAAATTCTGAGAGATACAGAAGTACTGTTTTAATCACTTAATATTTTTAGATGGTCTTTGTAATTGATATATAAATATAGCAAAATGCATCTAATGAAATGGAATTGTCTGTTAGCTGTAATTCTGCTACCTAGTGGTGTATGCTAATTAAATAGGGAAATATTTGGGATTGTTTCCCAAAATAACATCCAGAGAGTGCCCTGAGTCACTTCTGTTCCAAACGAGCCTCCTACCTGCTAATTCTGTCGTGCTCTGCAGTCATAACTGATGTTAATCTGAAGCAGCACAAGACTGTGAACCATCAAATAATAGTAAAATATTTTTCAGTGGCTTTTTATTATACCTTTTGACTAATAATAAATGAACAAAACAAAATAAGGAAAAATTTCTAGTTATCACTGAGTTAACCAGAGTATTTCCATTAATCAAGATTTTAGTATACCAAATTTTCTAGTTTTTATCTCATGGAAATATAAGGGTATTTTATCTTTTGTATGCTACTGAAGGGAAAACATCATCATACAGCAATGAATACTTCAAGGTGATGTTCAAGTATCATTTGACCATGGGAAGGGAGGGACAAAGGAGAAGTAGCAGGGGGTGGGGAATTATCTTGCCCCTTCCATGCAGTCATCCAAGGAAGAGTTCTGGCATAACGATTTTAAATTCTGCATGAGGGACCTGGTGAGTCATCCCCAGCCACCCTTGGGGATTTCTCATCAGGTTTACTGTGTTGTCAATTAGGTGCCCAACCTCAAATTCATAACAAACTCCTTGTCTCTTCAGTGAATTCAGAAGATACGTGAAGCACTGAAGGAATTTTTCTTTGTGTACAAGTTCCTTAAATTACTTCCCTTTCCTAGAACACTGCATTATGTTAGGAGCACAATTTGCCAAGTCAGCATGTCATGAAAAATGATCAGAACCCTTTCTTATACATTAAGTCTACAATATATCGGAGAAATAAGTCAGTTGCTTCACAAAATAGGTTAAAGCTGCTGTGAAGAGGTAGGGAAGAAACAGAGCTTGAATGTCTCTCTAAGTAATGAATTATTCATGGCACTTGACCCCCTTCTTCTTTCCTAGCCATATGATTGCATTTATTTCAAATTGTGTCTCCCCCATCCCATTAAAAAATTTAAGTAGATGTTAAATTCCCTACTCTCAGTAGCAGTCACATGGCATTTTCCTGAAGCACTGTTATAATGGAATTGTTTGGTAATCATTCCTTTCCTTGTCACGTTTCTCCACTCAAGAGTGAGTTCCAGCAGGGCTAGGACCACATCTCATTCTCCCTTTATGTGCTCAGTCCCTTGCACCTGGTGCTGGTGCCTCTTGCAGTTCATCTGTGTGATTTATTCTGCATCTTAATTTCGAATTCACCTTCATAAATGGCCCTCCCCAGACTGGTAGCTTGTTTACTTAATTCAATCTAATATAGTATAACCCTTTTTACTGTTTTCTCCCCAAATCAAGGAAAAATATTCTGAATGCCAAAGTAATACTTATTTAACTTCTCTCTTCTCCTGAGCACACATACTCTACCTAATTCTCCTCCATTCTATTATTTTCTCACCCCACATGCTGTCCCTTACAGCTGTTGTCTGGGTTGAACTCTCTTTCAGGCATAGTATGTAGGGGACTGGCCTTTGGGCAACCCATACCAGACATAACTGACTTGTGGCTTTTCTGACTCTTTCTCTCTCCCTTTTTTTAAAACTTGCTCTCTATCCATCCTTCAAAGGTTTGGGGAAGATGATGAAAGATTGCTTTATTCTGAAAATAACTACATACACAAGTAGGGTCATTGTTTATTTTTATCTTCTGGCCTGCTTTTTTTCCAGAAAGAAGTCAAATAAAGTGATGCTTGGTTGTGTGTTTACAATGCAAAGAGATAGATAAATATATATATATCAAATAGCTATATTTACGTATGTAAAAAAAAAGATACAGTGATGCCGAGTTGTGCTTAATATGATCTACATCAGATAAGTATCACACCAGTGGCTTCCATGAGTTCATGGGGCTTCTTTTCGTAATTAAATGTGGAGATATTGTCACTTGCTTCCTGCTGCAAAACAATAAAAGGAATAAAATGGAACATGTTTATCACATAAATAAGGGCCTTAATGGTTTTGAGATTTCAGACAAAACAGCTTCATTGCATTTACGTGAAAACCCAACAGTTTCATTGAAACTGTATTTTGCTGGCACTTTTTGTGCTTGTAGAGTCTTGGTACAACAAATAGGCCTTAAAACTCTCATGTTATCATTTAGAACTAGAATCAGGATACGCTTCTCTGGACCAGTATCTTGAGAACCTTGAAAAACAGCTAAGTGGATTTCCACATCACCTGAGAACAGATGGAGATTGTTTTCCCCTTAGTGAAGAGGAAAGAGAGTTAATTTTCCTTCATGTTAACACTGTTCCCAGTATGCAATGACAACTTGCTGCTCCTTATTGCTTCTACATCTGAAAACTTCTTGGCAGTACAAAGTAATGCACTTTTATTGGAGAAAAGGGAGAAAAATTTGACAGTAAGGTATGTCAGTTACTAGAGCCGTCATTTAACCAAATGCGTATCTTACAGTAGACGAGTATATAAAGTTAAGAGATAAGCAGCTCAACTCCAGCACAGGAGGAAGACTGAATAGGTTTCTAGGGAGTTTTTCCAGTCATAACAAAAGCCTCTGACAATTCTGGAAACATGATGATGGTAGAGGAGCAGGTAAAGGTTGACAAGGGTCTTGCCCAAGAATCTGGATTGCAATGGACACATGTGATAGTGATCACTTCCCATGCGTAACGTGGCTTATCGTCAGGAAAGTTTCTCAGGCCTTCTCTTGAACCCATTAGGGGGAAAAATCAGATTGCCAATACTTTGCTTCAAAATGGAGGGGTCAGCAGTATCAAATACTGCAGGGCAGATCAAGGCAAATGAAATTACCAGTCGCTGTGAAATTGTACATGTTCTCTTCTTCATCCATAAAATGGGAGAATTGGAATAAATCTCACTTGCTAAAAGTTTTAGAGCTAAAAGCTCTAAAAGTTTTATGATGTTATGCTTTGGCAATCATGAGGGGGTTGGTGACCTTCTAGTTCAAAAAAAATGTATAGAATTATCCATGCAAGGGATTCTGGTATAGGAGGTGTGGGCGGTGAGCAAAAAGAGATAGTGGACGTAGACTACTTGTTTAAAAAGCCTGCAGTGTATAGAAGGAAAAAAAAATAAGCTGACCATCAGTTATTGGCTGGGAGATGCCCAGGAAAGACATGCCTTGGCTCACACCCTGGGGCAGATTCTGAGGGCACTGCTGCTGGAGGCTTTCAGCTAACTGTGCCCATCACAGCTGAGTGACAAAATGTCTTGCAGGGAGATCTGAGCGGCACATGTCCTTGGTATAATTTATGCCACTATAAATAGGACACTAACACTGAACCATTTATGCCACTATAAATAGGAAGCTAACACTGAACCTGATGAACGAATCCATCAGGAACAAAAGACAGACAGACACGCACACACACACATGCACACGCACACATCAGCATGGCTGTATTTGGCCATCTATCAGTAGTCAACGGTTAATCAGACTGTATATTGGGAACATACATGGCTTTGTTTTCTTACAGACTTAAATTTGAAGAACAGTGATGATGAACTCATTCTATATCACTTTGGTTTAAAAGTTGCTTAGCAATGGGACAAAAACAAAAGCAACTAGGTTTATATTTAGTGCTCTATCTATATGCATCTGGAGCACATTTTGGAAATAATTCAAAAAGGCCAATTCATTTCATGCCTTCTGCTACTAAATGAATGTGGGAGTCAAGCTGCTATTTTCACAGTGCAAGACATTTATTGTTGACTTAAAAAAACTCTCCCACTTGCACATAATCACTATCCTGACAAATGACACTATAGAGTTTCAGCTCCTTAAGCATAAGGTAGAACAATCTTTAAGAAATAAATATTAGGCCACAGGAGTTAAACATAAAGTATCATCCAAGCACAGATTCAAAGCATTTAAACACATACATTATTCTCAAGTGGACCAGTTCTTCACTGAGTATGTGTTCTTTAGGTTTGCAAGACTAATCTTATGTCTCACCCCTCCTCAATTGAACAGTATTGGCACTTTGATTATTCAGTCAGTGTAGGACTTTTTAACTCCGTGCCAGGCTCATTTGCAGCTATCAGTGCTGATACAACTTCATGCCATATAATACTTTTAACAGACTACTTCCACACCCCTGCAAAAAAAAAAAAAGTTAATAAGCAACTGATCAATTAAGGTTAATGGTAGATTTAGGCCTATAAATTGTACCCATCTTAGTCATTTCTGCTTCCTAAAAATTTATACAAGAACAGTTTTTTTCTGGGGTAAGAGGGTGTGATTGACACCCTAATTCTGTTTCTTCTGTTTAGATTGTGGAAATATAATCAGACCGTTTCAGGGCTCTATGAGTGTGATCCTTGGACATGAAACAGTTTCCGAGTACAGAGTATGAAGTGCTGGTGAGCTTTTGTCACCAACAGCACTTAAGAAGTATTTTGGCCAGGTGCAGTGGCTCATGCCTACAATCCCAGCACTTTAGGAGACTGAAGAGGCAGGATGATTGCTTGAGCTCAGGAGTTCAAGACCAGCCTGGGCAACATAGTGAGGCCCCATCTCTACTAAAAATTTAAAAAAAAAAATCAGCCAGGCGTGATGTCACATACCTGTAGTCCCTGCTACTTGGGAGGCTAAGGCAGGAGGATCACTTGAGCCTGGATGATTGAGGCTGCAGTGAGCTGTAATTGTGCTACTGCACTCTGCCTAGGAGACAGAAGGAGACCCTGTCTCAAAAAAAAAAAAAAAAAAGAAAGAAAGAAATATTTTTCTAGGCAGCTGAGTGGGGTGACTCACACCTGTAATCCCAGCACTTTGGGACACTGAGGCGAAAGGACTGCTTGAGGCCAGGAGTTTAAGACTAGCCTGGGTAATAATGCAAGACCCCATGACCCCATCTCTATGAAAAACTGTAAAAATTAACCAGGCATGGTGGTGTTTTGATTTGGTATTAATTTACTCTTAGTAAACTTGATAAAATCAGCACTCTTCTCATACTTTTGTTACCATTACTGTAAGTAAGTGTAATAAGGCCTTCCTTGGTAAAGAGTTTTTGTGTATATTAAGTAAATATGCACATGAAAGTATCTCAAGGTTTAAAGCACTGTATAGCACTGTGTCTATTTCATTTGAAAACGATAGTTGATACATGTACACAATGAGGACCTTATCAGACCCAAGTGGGCTTTTTTTTTAAAAAGACAGAATCTTGCTCTGTTGCCCAGGCTGGAGTACAGTGGCACAGTCATAGCTCACTGCAGCCTCAAACTCCTGGGCTCAAGGGATCCTCCTGCCTCAGCCTCCCAAGCACGGGCACTACAGGCGTGTCCACTGTGCCCAGCTAATTAAGAAAAAAAAATGTTTTGTAGCAACAGGATCTCACCATGATTTCCAGCCTGGTCTCGGATTCCTGGCCTCAAGGATCCTCCTGCCTCAGCCTCCAGTGCCTGGCCGTAGGTGGGCCTTAGATAAGGGTACCTATGTAGAGGAGGATTCTTTGAGGGAAAAAGGCTTAAATTGAGAAACGTCTGACTGTTCAAATTAGAACAGGGAAAGTGAAGAATAATCCAGCTGCAACATTTAGTCAAAGAGAATCGTGTGATGGCTAGCATTTTCCTTCCAGGTTTTCAGATGGAGCTGATGCATGTGTAAGGACAGCCCTGGCATGGCAGGCAGTGCACGACAGGCTTGCTGGCAGCATGTCACTCATGCCTGCCCTTCCCCTTTACTCTCATGCTACCTCGCCCTCACAGAAGGTGATGAAATTCTCTTAGGCTCTCTCGCCTCTGGTCCCTGTCTGATAAATGTGTGGATCTGACTCTATTTTCGGTGGATTTGTCTAGAATTTGTGCTAAGGGGATCCGTTGGTGGCTGTACCATCTCTTTCTCTCCACCACTTTTTATCCGATCCTGTGAAGAGCTATTGCTTCCTGCTTCTGTCTACCTTGACCTCTTCCTGATAGCATGCCAGCCTCTTAAGAGGCACAAGCAATTGTGATAGAGGCCAGACTGAGGACTAGGATGACAGCATCTTCCATTAGAGCTGTACTCACTACAGTTGTGTCTGTAATACATAAGAGGGTCTCAGGAAAAACACAATGAAAACCTTTCAAGACTGATTCAATTAAGTGCCTCCCAGGAGAGACTGAGCCACCAACAATGGAAAATTCAATATTGGCTCGCAGAAAGACGCTTAGTCACATAAATGTCCTTTTTCTCTAATGTGTAAGGAAAAAATTCTGCGGCGTCCTTTTGAAAATCTGACATTTGCTTTTTTAAAAAGTGCTACCTCTTTCAAATTCTTTAATACCAGTATTCATGGGAAATTCATTAGGGGTGATGTGAAATTATAAAATGAAGGGCTGCAGTGTCTAAAACCTTTTGTTCTGATACACATTTGAAATCCTGCATGAAATTACCCATGCTTATGACTCCAGGCAGGGACCAAAAAGAAGAGTGTCTGTTGAGCTTGAAATGCGAGTGTGGATGCCAAGGATTTTGCTCTGTGTCTTTTATGTGAATAAAGAAATATAATGTGCATCTTCTTTTCAAAAACTGAATTCAATATTAAGCAGCATTCAGGGAATGAGCAGTTTTCTTTTGTCCTAAAAGTGCCATTGTAATAGTTGAACATCATATGTACAGTTTATAAACAGCTTTTGAGCTATGTATTGGGAAATATTTAGTGACAGCCATTTCTGCAGCAGGTTCACGATGGCATCAACAGGTGAATGTGAACTATTGTTATTTTCTTTAGGTGTGATAATGGCATTATGGTGAGTGTTTTTTAAGAGTTTGAAATATGTATAGATGAGATATCTGTACATATATATAGAGAGAGGTATAGATGCAAACACACTGACCATGAGTTGATTATTATTAAAGCTGCTGAAGAATGTGTATTGAATAGGTCAATTGTTATTCTATTTTCTATTTGTGGGTATATTTGAAATTTTCAGTTATAAAGGTTACACACTTAAGTGAAATAGTTTTATTTTATATACAGGGTGAGAGACTCAAATTATGAGTTAGGATTCCCTCTGTGACAAATGAAGCTGGGCGTGGTAGTCCAGGCCTTGCTTTCTGCTTACAGCTATTAGCACAGGGCTTGTTACATGTGACCAACAGGAAGAGGTGTGAATCAGCTTGGCTCTGCAATTCAGTGTTGGTGGATGGTGTGAAGATTTTAAATGACAGATGGTGGTGATTATTAAATGATAAATAATGGCAACTTACCAGGAACCAAACAGAAAATAGTCACTTTATGTTTCTGGTATGCATCTGAATTATTCTTGTTATATAATGACTTTTTTAACACTGTTGTAGATGAACAGTGCTTACGACTATGGAAGTTTGGAACTTCAGAGAATTTAAAACTCTATCATACTGTTACCTCTCATTCCTCTGATTAGAATTTACATAGATTAAGCAAGTAGTCTGTTGAGGGATAGACTTCTAAGTAAGCATAAAATGGAACATTATAACTTGGAGTTTGCATCACAGATTTTTTATAAGTTGTTGGTCAAAGAAAATGTCATGATTTTTTAAAGTACCAAATGTAAATCGTAAAAAGCTTAGGCACAGGGCTAACCAACAGGGATACAAAATGAATGTAGTACCCGTGCTCCAGAAGCTTGCAATCCAGTTCTAACATTGGGCAGCCAGCTGTAACCCACAGCAGACAGCCAGAAGTGGTAAACAGCAGTAGAAAATTTTACAGTAGAAGTTGTTTGTTTGTTTGTTTTGGGGGGTTTTTTTGAGACAGAGTCTCACTCTGTTGCCAGGCTGGAGTGCAGCGGCACTATCTCGGCTAACTGCAACCTCCACCTCCCGGCTTCAAGCAATTCTTCTGCCTCAGCCTCCCGAGTACCTGGGACTACAGGCACATGCTGCCACACCCGGCTAATTTTTTTTTTTTTTTTTTTTTTTTTTTTTGTATTTTAGTAGAGACGGGGTTTCACCATGTTTCCCAGGCTGGTCTCAAATTCCTGAGCTCGGGTAATCCGCCTGCCTCGGCCTCCCAAAGTGCTAGGATTACAGGCGTGACCCACTGCACCCAGGCTACAGTAGAAGTTTTGATGAATTCTGAGCCAGGCAGTGATGATGGTCTAACTGAGAAAATGATATTTGAGCTGGGCCTTGAAGAATGAATAAATAGTAAATGGGAAGAAGGACATCCACCCTAAGCTGACACCATGAGCAAAAGCGGAGAGGGAAGAACAGGATACAATGCAGAACAAAATCTTACTCCGGGAATAGAGTCTAAGGTTGGTCATGTGGTAAAAATTGAGTATATTAAAAATTTCCATGAAAATTCCTAAATTTACCATGTGTGCAACAAGATGATCTCACTAAGAAAGGTAAGCAAGGTCAGAACTGAGAAGAGCCAAGGGTGCAGAAGATTCATGTTCCCTATTTCAAGTGAGTTAAGAGGAGTGGCAGATGGAGTCTCCCGCGTTAAATTTATTTTTTATTTACTCTTGTTATTTTATGCTGTTATTTTATTCCATTTTATTTTTTTGCTAAGCATAAATAGTGGAATCCTCAATTATGACATGATGCAACTGACTCCACTGCCTTCTGTGGTATGAAGAAGAAAGGAACTTTTTTTTTTTTTGAGACAGAGTCTCGCTCTGTCACCCAGGCTGTAGTACAATGGCACCATCTCAGCTCACTGCACCTCTCCTGCCTCAGCCTCCCGAGTAGCTGGGATTACAGGCGCACACCTAATTTTTGTATTTTTAGTAGAGATGGGGTTTCACCAGGTTGGCGAGGCTGGTCTCGAACTCCTGACCTCAGGTGACCCATCCGCCTCGGCCTTCCAAATTACAGGCATGAGTCACTGCGCCCAGCCTGGAAAGGAACATTTAAGGGGATGTTCCTTGAGCTCTCCAGGTCCAATTAGGAGCTGATGTTGTAAAGTTCAGTATGGCAAAAAAAAGAGCAAGGGAAAAATTAGTGCTGAGTCTTTTCCAGAATTGATGCATATTTGGTGCATAATGAGAGAAAATTCCATGGATTTTTTCATTAGATACATGTTATTTAACAGCACTTCACACAAAGTTGTTACACAGCAGGTGAAAATATTCACCAAGCACAATATGAAGAAAAAATAGAAAAGAAATGACTTTACTTTCTTAACTTTTTCTATATAAATACATGCTATGTATTATCTTCAGAGTTAGAAAATATTAAGGCCATTCTAATTATAGAAAAATTCCATTTATCCTACAAATATTTGAAAACTCACTATTTGCCAAACACTACTAGGTAATTGAGACCAGGATGGGAAAGGCACACATTTCAGTCCTTGCCCTTATGAAGCTTTCTATCTAGGAGGGCAGAGACATGAATCACCTGGTTACAATGTGGTGAGCATTATGAAGACGTATCAACTGCTGTTAACATCCAACCTTTTCTGAGGGTCAGGCAATGCTTCTTCCCTGATGAATGACTTTGGAGCTGCCGTCTGAAGAATGAGTCTGGGTTAACTCAGCGCCTGGGGCATCACAGATCTACTGAGGAATTAAGAAAGGATTCTGAAATTGTTCACAGTAGTAGTCTAGTTTCTTTAAATACACATATTCTAGATTATCTGGATGACCACCTTCTGACAAAATACTGCCACATGATTTCATTGCTCATGTTGTCATTTTGTTTATGATCACTTTAAAACAAGGTCTAAATGGGGACTGGAAGCCTATGGCAGTTACTGCCTAAGTAGGAGTTGGTCATTATTTAGAGTAGAGTGGTGGTAGTGGTGGTAGACAGAAGTAAATGGCTTCCAGAGGAATTCAGGAGATGGACAGGGCATGTAGCCACATTGGTTATGGAGGGGATGGGTAAAGGAGATAGAGGTAGAGAGAGTGATGCTGCAGTTTTGACTTAAGTAACTCAGTGAGGGCTGAAGCCATGAACTGTGGTAAGGAGATGGTGGTTAACAACGTGGACTCTGGATAAACCCTGTATGCGTTCAAATTCTAGTTCTACCATTCTGTCTATATGACTGAACGAATTATCTACTCACTCTAACCTCTTACTGAGCTGCAAAATTGGGGAATAAAAGCAACAGTGTATCTCTGGAGCTATGATGATTAATAATAGCAGTGATAGTGGTGTTATTTTGAATAGGGTTTATGGGAAATATGAGTTTGATTTTGGAGTTGCCTCATAAATATCCAAGAGGAGGCACCAAGCAGGCAGTTATATGTATGGATTTGGAGAATTAAAAAAAAAAAAAAAAAAAAAAGACAAACTTAGCTAGAAAACCAGTTAGAGCAGGGGTGTCCAATCTTTTGGCTTCCCTGGGCCGCTTTGAAAGAAGAGTTGTCTTGGGCCACACAAAAAATACAATAACACTAACAATAGCTGATGAGCTTTAAAAAAAATCCCACAATGTTTTAAGAAAGTTTATGAATTTGTGTTGGGCTGCATTCAAAGCAGCCCGTGGGCCACAGGTTGGACAAGCTCGAATTAGAGAATCATGAGCATGACGTTGACTGTGTGATGAAGCATGCTGGTAATGAGACCAGAGCTCATATATATATAATAAGTAAGGAAAATGTTTATTTCAGAGCTACAGGGCCTAGCTCAGGCAGGCATGCTGTAAAGATGTGTTGCTATTCACATGAAAAGACCATAAATGTTACTGTCCACATGTGGAGAGCAGTAACAGTAGCATTCTGAGTATTGATTCCTTGGTGCAGGAGGCATGGAAATAACAGAAGTTCCAGGGTTATGCAGGTGGCATCTGAAAACATCAGTTTCAGTATAGTATTCATTTCAAAAAATGAGCATGTCGCTGGCAGCTCCATGGTCATTGAGGTCCCGCCCAACTTCAGTCAGAGTATTCAGGGGAAAAGATTTGAGCTTTGACGTGACTATTGTTTGTCTTACTCTGCAGAGAGAAAACAATCACAGTGAATGATAAAAATACATTGTGTTAACATTTCATTGGTGTTGCAGTTTGCTTCAGTTCTGCATGTTATGTTGTTCACTTTAAATGGCTTCTAAAGTCACTTTGTATTAGTCTCAATGTGATGTTTCATCCCCTTTTTTGCCTTTCTAATAACTTTATTTTCAGGAGCCTGATGTTCTTATTCTTTTTTCTGTTGCATGTCTAAAGTTTTTGCTAAAACTAAAGTCTTGGCAGTAAACAGGCCAAATACAATTATCATGGAACAGTTTACTCAAAAGTTATGCGTATGGGTATAAATATTGCAAGAGAAATGTGAGGAATAGCCCTGTTTGGTCTATGCTTGTCAATTGGTATGGCCACGAGGGACACTCTGGGCTGCTGAAGTGAGCTCTGCTGGCTGTCCTTTTGCTTGGAATGGGAATCCTCCATTATCAGCACCTATTATTTGATAAAGAGTACATAAGTGCCTTGGCAGATCCAAAGCAGGTCAAATGCATGCGATCATTGCACTTATGCTTTAAAGTGGGAGGCAGTAAGATTGTGGGCAAATATCTAAAATGAAATAGACACACAATAAAGGACAATAAAGAGGCCAGGCAGAGGGAACCACTAATACCAACACCCACAGGTGGGAATGGCCTTGGTCTAGCCCTAGAACAGAAAGATTGATGGACAGGAGGGGAGAATGTAAGCACTGAGACTGGGGAAGTACAAGAGGGAGCAGATTAGGGACTGTGTTGTGGGTCTTTGTATAAGGTGTTTGGGTTTTTATTCTAATTGCAGTGGGGGGTCATTAGAAGACTTAAGGCAGAAGAATTGATTCTAATGATTATGAGTGTCCCTGAAATTTTTCAGCATCGCTAAACAGTAGAACCAGTCCCTGCTCTCTTTTGATATTTATCTCCTCGGGATGGTTGCTTATTTGGAATTTCGATTGCCTTTCCACATGGACTGATTTTTCACTTGAATCGATATCTTAGTTAAGGAAGGTATAGTTTGCTCCAGAGCCTCACACTACTTGGGGCCGACCCTAACACTCCCAGTTAAAGAGTGATTAAGATGGAAGGATTATTGTCTATATTCATATATATATATATATGTATGTATGTGTGTGTGTATGTGTGTGTGTATATATATATGTGTGTGTGTATGTGTGTGTGTATATATATATGTGTGTGTGTATATATATATACACGTATGTATGTATACACACACACCTGATAGAAGAGGCAGCTTGAGGCAAAGCAACAATGAATTACTAGTTGGAGCTTTATATATAAGAGTTGTTTGGCTGGGCGCAGTGCTCACGCCTGTAATCCCACCACTTTGGGAGGCTGAAGCAGGCTGATCACTTGAGCCTAGGCATTCAAGACCAGCCTGAGCAACAGGGCGAAACCCTGTCTCTACAAAAAATACGAAAAATTAGCCAGGTGTGTGGCACATGCCTGTAGTCCCAGCTACTTGGGAAGCTGAGGCGAGACTGTCTCAAAAAAATAAAAAAGAGTTGCTTTTTAAAAACTTGACATGAAAATATTTTATATAACCTTCTCTAGTGTTTTAAACATAATAAGCCTGATGCTACATCTTAGGAAACTTGATGGTACTGACTGAATCTAAAGGGGAATATTTTTGTTAAGTAAAAGTCTGTAATCAACATTGCTCTCTCTTTAACAACATGGATGTTAAATGACCCAGGTCATTGTAACTGAATTATGAATCACAAACATTCACTCACTAGGTATCCAGCACAGGATCCAACTAAGTGTGTGCTTAGAACATACAGTGGGCCACAAAATTTTTAAAATATTTTTACATTTGAATAGAAATTTACTTGATTCCCCACATTCTGTCCCACCCCACCCCCCACCACCACCAAAAAAAGATAATTTTTAGGAATTGTATTGTTACTGTTTTCTTTTTTCTTTTTTTTCTTTTTTTTTTTTTTTTTTTTGAGATGGAGTCTTGCTCTGTCACCCAGGCTGGAAGGCTGGAGTGCAGTGGCGGGATCTGGGCTCACTGCAAGCTCCACCTCCTGTGTTCTCGCCATTCTCCTGCCTCAGCCTCCTGAGTAGCTGGGACTACAGGCACCCACCACCACGCCCGGCTAATTTTTTGTATTTTTAGTAGAGACGGGGTTTCACCGTGTTAGCCAGGATGGTCTCTATCTCCTGACCTCATGATCCGCCCACCTCGGCCTCCCAAAGTGCTGGGATTTACAGGTGTGAGCCACCGTTCCCGGCCTGTTACTGTTTTCTGGTTAGGAATCATTCTTTATATGAACTACATGTGGGTGGAGATAAGTACACCTTTTTTTTTTCAGGCTATCAGCTGCTACGAACACACTGCCCCCATTTTGTTGGGCTTTACTTATTGTCTGAAGGAGTTTACAAACGCATGCTTCAGACCCTCGCTTCAAAAGACAATGTCTGCAAAATCCTGGGAGGATAAGCGTAAGCTTTGAGCAGCTCTCAGTAAAGGAGGGTGAGGAAAGAGTGGTCCCTGAATTATCTATGAGTTGGGACAGTTTGGCAACCTCAAAAGTTAAGGATTTTAAAGCTTGAGGCTCTGCTGTCCTCAATAAAGTGGATAGAGGAGGAGGACAAAATTTAAAACATTGAATTTTGCCTGATAAATATCATTCAGGCACACACAATCATAAATGACCCATAATCATCATGTCTCTACTGAGAGCAGGAATGGATCAACAGAAAGTTATTCAGAATTGTTATTCAAAGTTAGAGATTTTTTAAAAATGAGTACTGATGGGAAATAGAGAACAAAAGGGGGAAAAGCTTACAGAAGTGGTTCCCAAACTTGTTTACACATTGAAATCATCTGGGGATTGTTTAAAAATTCCAATGCCCAGGCTCCACCCCAGAATAATTAAATTTTAATCTCTGGAGATATGTGGCAAGCGGCATTGCTTTTGAAGCTCCCCAGGTGATTCAAGTGAGCAGGCAGGTTGGGAACCATCAGCCTATTGAACAGGCTCTTTGAAGCATATGAGACACAGGTGGGAAGTGGAGAAACCAGATTTCTGAATTATTCAGATAAAGGGAAATGAGTTTTGCAATGGAAAGCACCATTACGAATAAAAGTTGATTTTTGAATCATCTCAGTAGACATGTTTTATGTATTATGTACATGCTCCAAAATCTCATGTTATGTTTATCAGTTTAAAAATTTTTTTTTTTTTAGACGGAGTCTTGCTCTGTCACCCAGGCTAGAGTGCAGTGGCACAGTCTCGGCTCACTGCAAGGTCCGCCTCCTGGGTTCACGCCATTCTCCTGCCTCAGCCTCCCGAGTAGCTGGGACTACAGGCGCCCACCACCACGCCTAGCTAATTTTTTGTATTTTTAGTAGAGACGGGGTTTCACCGTGTTAGCCAGGATGGTCTTGATCTCCTGACCTTGTGATCCGCCCATCTCGGCCTCCCTAAGTGCTGGGATTACAGGCGTGAACCACTGCGCCTGGCCAAATATTTTTAAAAATGTAGAACACAGCTTATATGCTTCACTCAAGACCTTCAACCCTAAAATTGGAAGGTCCAGGATAAGAGAACAAATGGAAACCCACAGACTGTATGTCTAAATGTTTGTGTTACAATTCAAACTTAACAACTATTAAATCAAGTATATTCAGACCTGGAGAAATATGCCTATATAATGATCCAGAAGTCTGGGTTCAGTGTAGAATGTCCATCTCCCCCAGAGTCCTCCCCAGAATGTGGCGCTTCAGGGAGAGTGGGCGTCCCCAGCAGGCAGCCCCTCTCTTTCTCTTCCTACCTTCAACGTCATCAAGCACTCTGAGGGGCTTATACTCACCTGTGGGGATGCCACATTCCCCTCTTAGATTAGCTGGCCTCTGGGTCACCTCCCAGGCCCATCAGTGTAAAAAATGAACTGGATATGGTGCATACCCGCATCTGGTCCTCAGAGAAGAGGCAAATGTAAACCCAGAAAGAGGGGTCAGGAATCCCCAGATTCACGTTGCCAGAGCCTGGTAGGAGGGTTGAGTGGGCTCCCAGTGGCACATCCTCTTGACCTCACATGCCCCTCACCACATGGGAGCTATGTGCCCAGAGAAAGACCAGAGCTGCCCCCTCTTGCATGGGCCCATGGAGGCCCCACCCAGCACCTTGTAGAAACACAAAGAAGTAGGTTTTAGCAACCTCACTTATAGCCAGAGACTGGAGCAGGAATGAGGTTTAGAATTACGGAATCTAAACAATTTGGGTTCTTTATGAAAGGGGTTTTCTTTTAGAATTTTATTGCTACTTATCATCAACTGCTTATTTGATAAGTTTATTATTTTACTTTATTGCCCTTGATCATGCAAGAAGATGTGCAGTCTCCACTAACAGACCTTCAGAAAAGCACACATCCCACCCCTCTGCCATCACGTTCCGAGTGTGGTCTCCATCTAAGGAAGATTTGGGTGGAGGGACATGATGAGACTCTACTGATGTCTGGTATTTTTCTGCTTGACTTTGTTTCTGTGGTACTATCTGAGTGACACACTAAGGATACTTACACATAGGAATGTTAACACCAAAACTAACAACAGGCTTAAATTCTGAGTTTTATCCCCTTGGTACACCTTGTGCAATCCTAAAGATGTTCAGCCCTGGCACTGAAGCAGCTTCCCCTCTTCTGCACCTGAGAGTTGAACACAAGTAGCTATTTCCAAACTGATTTAAAAGGGTAAAGGGTATATATATATATATATATATATATATATATATATATATATATATAAAATCATCTTTGAAAAAATGATTATATGCATTTATATAGATTTAAAGTATGTTATTTTCTCTAATTATAAGAATACATACTCATTAGAGAACATTTGGAAAATGTAGAAAACATTTTAAATCCCTGGAATCAGAAGTACCTAGTGTTAATTACCATTTTGGCATATGTTCATTTAATCGCACTTTAAATCATGTTTTATACATATGTGTGTAAAATGTCTAAAGGAAAATTGGAGATTATACTGTACGTAATTTTTAATCTAGCCTAGGCAACATAGCAAGACCTCGTCTCTATTAAAAATAAAAGTTAAAAAAATTAACCGAGCATGATGGTGCATGCCTATGGTCCCAGTTACTCAGGAGGCTGAGGTTGGAAGATCGCTTGAGCCCAGGAGGTGGAGGATTCAGTGAGCCATGATTGCACCACTGCACTCCATCCTGGGCAATGGAGTGAGACCCTGTCTCAACAAATTTTTTTTTTTTTTTAATCTTTTGTCACTTTTCATTAAGTTGTGAGAATGTTCTCATGTCACTAGATAAAAGACATGATTTTAATGTATGAATAATGTTCTACCACTATAGATATGGATTTTTAATCATTTTTTAAAACCATTAGAAATAGTATTGAGAAAGCATTCTTGAACTTAAATCTTTGTTGGTAACCTTTATTTCTTAAAAGATAGATAACCGTAAAAGTGACTTTGAAGGTAGAGAGTTATTTTAAGATATTCTGGATATATATAGCCAAATTATTTTCTATGAAGATTTCAGCTACTTGTACCCTGACAAACTATGTATTTGAGTGGTTTCATTTTATTTTTTGATAACACAGTGTTTTCTCTTTTTTATGTATATTTGATCATATAGTTTAAATATTATCTCTTTTAATTATTAGTTTCAACATTTTCAAACCCACAGAAAATTTGAAAAAATACAGTAAATATGCATATACCCCCAGTTGCACTCACCGTTAGCCCTTATGATACCAATAGCACTTCCTACACACGCTCACACATAAACACACACACACACACACGCATTTGCCAAATTATCTGAAATTAGGCTGCAGATATCATGACAGTTCAGCCCAAAGACTTCAACATGCATGTATCCTGTTTTACTTTGTATTTATTGGATTATTAATATGGGAGAACATTTTGTTCATGTTTTCATAAGCCAGTTGTATTTCTTCTGATTCTTTGCCCACTTTTCTCTTTGAATATGTTGTGATTTTCTCATCAAAATCTGTGATATCTGTGAGTGAAAGCTGCATCAGATGCTACCCAGATGCCACCTAACCTTCTGACAAGGAGCTAGGCCCTGTACACTCAGATGGCCAATGGTGTGTAGGATAAATTTCCTCTCCAATTTAAGGTATGGCCTTGGCTATTGCTCTTTCTGCAGTGAGAGTAGAAGTCTTACCTTCAGCTTGTTGACTGTAACCATTTTATTTATGATCAGGGACTATGGAAATAAGTAATTAACATTGAATGGATAAGCACAGTTAAACTCAGTATAACTGGTGGAAACACAAGAGAGTGCCTTGTCCTGTTAGTTAAATAATTTTTTAAAATTTATTTTTAGATGAAACCCCCTGAGATTCTGTATACTGTCTTTTGAGTATTGGAAAAATAATTTTTACTAAATAAAACCACCATCTCTAAAGCCACAACTTGGAAGTGTTTGCAGTGATTTCTGCAAAAGAACTCATTGTGGTCCTACTCCTGAACCTGCACGCCCCCACCGAATGGCTGGCCTGGGGACTGCTTCAGTCAAATTGTGTTTGTATTTCTTTCTTCCTCAGTAAAGCGTTGTGTGTGCCTGTCCAAGGCTTGCCAGCAAATTGGTCACATCAGGCAGATTTCCAGCCTGGCAGTTACAGGTGGAAAAGGCTTTCAGATCTCAGGCTCTGAGTTTTGCACAGGGACTTCCCTCTCCCAAGGTCTACGGCACATCTATTTGTCTTTTTATTAGTATAACATTTAATCCCAGAAATGGCGTGGTTGGGGGTGGGGGGGGGGCAGGTATTAAATGCCATGCTGAGTTTGTGCAAGGCCTGCTCTTGGTTCACAGTATAGGCACCTGCAGTGCCCCAGGGAAGCAGATCTCTTGTGTCCTTTCTGTCTGCCCTTTTCCCACCCCCTGATTCCTGCCTCCCCCATCCCTTCCTCCCCCTCTGTCTTACCATTTCCTCCTTTCCCCAAAAGACAAGGTTTGAGGTATTGTACCCATCATTTCCAGAAGCACTCTCTCTCCTATATCTTCCAAAATTATGACATAAGAAAGTAACAGAAGAGTGCAGAACCCAGGCAGATTTCACAGTCCCTAGGCAGCTATTAAGCTCTAAATATCAGGCATCTTGACAAAGACAGCTCCAAACTTGCCAACAAACCCACATTCCAGGGGCAAAGGATATCAAATATCATACTATTTGTTTAAGTTGACCCCTCTTCGCTATCTGAATCCCCACACTCATAACCATGGATGAATCTGAGTGCTGCTTCTTTTGTTCAGACGGAATTTAAAAATCAGTTTTAGAGTGAGAAATGCGCAAGCCCATCCCATATAGGCAGGTCCTTTTCCCCAACAGGTATGCCCTCCTTTTCCCTGGCCTCCTGTCTTCTCAGCACTTCCAGGGAGCCACATGCTCACTGAGAGCTGTCTCCACCCCTTATTCAACGCACCTAAAACTTGACAGTCTGAGCAGATGGGGGAAGTAGAGTGATTCCAGCAACTGTCTCCTTTTCTGGAGCAGGAAGCTGGGACTGTGGCTAAGTGAGGCTGCCCTTCTGCAGCTCTGAGAATATGGTAGCGTGCGCTACCATGCCTAGCTAATTTTTTATTTTTTGTAGAGACGGGGTCTTGCTGTGATACCTCGACTTAGGAGAGTTGGCTTTCTGGAAACTCACCTGATGCAGGGCAGGTGAGCCCCAAAGTGAGGCTTAGTCCACAAGGCTTCTTGGCTTTGCCCAGGAAAAAAATTCAAGGGCAAGCCGGAGGTAGAAGAAAACAGCTTTATTGAAGAGGCAGTGCTACAGCTCTGTGTGTGCTCCTGCAGAGCAGGGTTACCCACTAGGCAGAGAGTAGCAGCTCAGGGCAGTTTTGCAGTCATATTTATACCCACTTTTAATTACATTCACATTAAGGGGCAGTTTATGCAGAAATTTCTAGGGAAAGCGTAGTAACTTGGGTCTTCAGGTCATGGAGAGGGGCAATTAACTTCCAGGTGTTGGCTTGGCAATGGCAATGGCGAACTGACGTGGCACACTGGTGCGTGTCCTATGGAAAGCTGCTTCTGCCCTTGCCCTATTTTAGCTAGTTCTCAATTTGGTCTGGTATCTGAGCCCCACCTTCTACCTTGCATCCAGCCCTGTAAAAATCTGTTGCACTCTTTGTCCCAGTTAAGACCTTTATTGGCTTTTGTTAATGCTTGGCTGTATGTTATCATTCTCATGTGGCTTCCTCAAATTTTAATTTAAGCTAATATTTATATGATTACATACATGTTAATTATAGTTAAATACTCATTATAGAAATTTTGTAGAAAAATTAAAACCACAAAGAAGAAAAAATTTCAATCCTATAGTTCTGAGATAACCACTGTTGATTGTTTGATATCTTTGTTTCTAACATTTTATGTGTTTAAAATTACATCTTTTTTCTTTACCAAAGTAAGATCATCCTGCACATACTGCTTTTATAACTGCTTTTCTAATTTAACATTGTACTCTCAGCATTTTTCCATTTCATTAAATGTTCTTCTATAATATAATTTCATTGGCTACAGAGTATCTACCATATGAAAAAGTCATTATTTGATGCCCTATTTTAGGGCATTAATTAGGATGTTTCCAGTGGCTTGCTATTATAAATAATATTGAAATAAACATCTTCATGGACAAATTTCCTCACGGATTCCTGATTACTTCCATAGGACAAATGTTTGCAAAGAGGATCACGGTTCATTAGATGTGCACATTTTGACACGTATTGTAACATTATCAGCCAAATAGAGTGTGCCAATTTATATTCCAACCCCAGTTCCTCAAATAGATAGTAAGTTCTTTGAGGTTCACTATTATGTATCCTCCATAGTTCCTGGAAGTGTTGGGCATACAATACAAACTTAATAAAAATAAAGTTAATTCCACTTAACTTTCTTGATTACCAAATATTTAACCTGTCTCCCCCTTGCTACCTTCACTTGCTTCCATGCTATAGATGCAAAACATAGCTGTGGTCACTGAGCTAAATATTGATGATAGCAGTGACTTTGATCAAAAGCCATGTTACCTCAAAACTTATCCTAAACACAAGTAAGAGGTTATAGCAGGAAGTGTCAGGTTAAAAGAATCTGCAGGCTAGAATATGGCTGGAAACTTATTTACTGCAATACTAACAACCAGTTGTGCCAATGAGTTGATCACCTTTTCTAAAGAGAAAAGAGACTGAGGATGTGGTTTGGGGTGTGGGCTGTATCAGGTACTTTTTTATGACCCAGATATGATACCAGAAGACAGAGCACTACTGGATGAGGGGGAGGTGGGTGCAAACTCTGCTATGGGAGCCCATGCCACTTCAGTAAATAAATTAAGCTTTGTTCTCTCTTGAGGAATCTCATTCTTCCTGTTTATCCTTCTCTCTCACTGCTCCACACTTCTCTGGAGTACTTGTTTCCATGGACTATAATAATCACTGAGCAGTATTTTTTTTTTAAAGAGCAGCTGTGTTTCTCAAGCCTTGCTCTTGATCTTTATGTCCTCTTGCCAAGATAACTGCAGTGGCCTCTATGCAGTGTCTTCACACCTCCAATCTCCTCTGATGGAAACCATCCCACAGTTTCCATAACATTCTTCCTAAATCAAGGCCTTAATCTAGTTCCCCCACCCCCATTCCCAAATTTTCCAGGATTTCCTTTGTTTTCCACTGTAAGTTCAAACTTTTCTTCCCAGCAAGAAAGACCTTCCACAAAATTATGCCAACACTTCTCCTTTAACTACTGCCTTGCAGGTACCCATTCCAGCTATGCATGATCCCTTGTGTATACCCTTTGCTTTCCGGCCTGTACATGCCTTTGCTCAAAATGCTCCCTTTGCTTGGAACACCTATTATATTTAATAATTCTACCTTAGTAATCAGTGTATTTGTCTGAGTCTCCTACAGTTATTTGTAAACTCTTTGAGTGTAGGTACCTAGTCTTATCTATCTTAAAATCTCTCTCAGGGATACAATTGCATTGGTTAGGGAGGGAGTACCCAGATATCTTCATTTTAGATGTCATTTTTGTGTTTAATATTCTGGTCACAGGGAGAAAATATCTTAAGCATGTGGATTATGCCAGATGTGGTGGTGGCACAGCTGTAATTCCAGCTACTTGGGAGGCTAAGGCAGTAGGATCATTTGAGCCCAGGAGTCTGAGGCCCACCTTGGCAACAGACCCCATCTTTTAAAAAAATAAATGTGTGTGTGTGTGTGTGTGTGTGTGTGTGTGTGTGTGTATAGAGAGAGAGAGAGAGAGGCTAAGTTTGACACTGGAATGTGTCCAGCGTCACCAAGTTATATATAAAGTCCATGCCTCAAGCCTTGCATGCAAATTGAAAATTAAAGAGAGCAACATGGCAAAATGTGCTGCTGATAGCTTTCAGCTTTGCTGGATTGAACAGGAATATAAGGTAAGGCTGCAGACTCTCCTGTCTACTGCCAGGTCACACCCAGCCAGTCCTTGTGTATTCATATTCCTGGTTGCCTGGTTCCCTGTGGAAGCTGGTGATGGGGTGCGAACAAGGAGCGTGGCACGTAGCTGGCAGCTACAGTATACCTAAACTGAGGGCTTGCTAAGCGATCTCCGTAGCCATTACTATCCGACTTAAATGTCCTGCTGCTGAAAGCTGAGGTTCTGCACACCGTTCAGTGTGCTCAGGAGGCAGTGGTTTGATCTCATAAATATAGCATTTGTTCAAGGCCTTGTATCCTTCATAGATTCCTTCCCAAAGATGGGATCTTGTATGTTTTTTTCTTGTTTTCTGCTTTCTTACTTTTTCCCATACATCTAGGTGTAAAAACAAAACAAAACCTTTCCTTTGGTTTTGCTCGTTGTTAGGTTAAAAATCAGAGAAACAATGAAGACTCACCAGAGAAGAATGCATCTATACAAATGGGGTATTTTATCCATGGAGAAAACAATCAGAACAAGTGAAATTTTAAGTAAATCTGAAAACATAAAAATTCATAAGGTCGTTTATGTTAGAGTTTAAGAAACCTTTAGTAAACATCTTGTCTTAGGCTTTTATTTTGTGGATGAGGAAACAGGCTTGGAGAAATAAGATAACTCGCATCACAGAGCTAGGGAATGCAAGAACTGAGCCCAGCACCAGGTGTTTTGACTTCTAGTTCAAATGTAATACTCAATACTGTCAGTTCTCTGAGTAAGCTCACTTTCCACCCATATTCCCAGGCACAGCCATCGTATTCTATAGCAATGATTCTAGTAGTTAACATTATTTCAATTGTTGATTAAACAGAATGATATGTTTATGTTTGTCTTGATCAGTTATTATTCAGTGCATATAGTTTCATGTGTGTTATTTTTCTTTCATGCTTGTGAAGCCTGCAAGAGCAAAATTTTATCTAAATCTGCATTCACTTTCCTAAGGCTTTTTGTTGTTGTTTATTTGGGTTCTTTTCCCCCTTGATTTTGAGCATCTTACAATTCAGTTTCCACAACTCTGACTTAACTTGTGGGGCACACAGGGCGCAACTCTTTGTTAAAAGCATACTTACTGCATCTCTCTCTTGCCAACCTAAAGATAATATGATGCAGAATCTCTCTCAAGACTGCAGGCCTAGGATACATTTTTCTCTTTTTAGCAGCACTTCCAAAATTTTCAGGGATATTTTTCTAAGATAAAAGTGAAGACTTAATCTTGTCAATATTTAAATAAAAACAGACCTTTATTTTAAAGTATTGTAACACTTCCAGTAGAATCTATACATGTTTAGAATTCCATGCCAAATCACATCCTCACACACACAGCTAGCTAGAGGAGAAATTTCTTACACTCTAGGTAAGAGTAAAACACTATCTCTTATCCCCTTCCTTCCTGCCGCCCACGCCATGCCCAACTGCTCCCATCCTCCCTCTCCACCTGTGTGCAAATGGAAGGAGTTGGTGTGGCTTGATGCGGGGGCGGGGTATGGAATTTGGGGGACAGTGTCAGGACAGGGACCCCTAGAGCAGACAGCATGAGGGAAGTCAGGGCGGTGAGAAGCCAGGCATCAAATACCACTCCCCGTGTTAAGTATCAGAGTCCAGAGAGCCAGGAGGCACTATGGGTCCGTGTCTCAGAGATAAGACATGAGAGATGAGAACAAGGAAGTTGGAAGGAAGGAGGGTCTGTTTCTTGGGAACAGCAGCATACTCCTTAGCATAGGACCCACCAGCCAGTTGGTGTGTTCAAGGTGCGTGGGCCTGGATTTCTTTGAGGGTCAAAGGACATAATGCAAGTGAGTATATATACTTTACATAACTAAATAATACATAATATTCAGTTTTCAGAAATTTTTTCAGATCACAGATGAACCTATTAGTTAATACATTGCTTTAGGAAAACTGTTGCTTCCTGGATGTGGTAGAGAAGTCTCACAACCAGGCCTGCAGTGCAGATGAGGTAAGGCCTACCTGAAGCTCTGATACCCAGAGTACACACACAATGCCTAAGGTGATGTTGACTCCCTTCAAGCTAAATAAGATGGGTGGAATTTGATCCCTGAAGAGTTAAATACTGGGATTCTACCAGAGCCAAGACCCTACCAGAACCTTCTCAAGAGATTTTTAGGCAGCAGAGGGAAGCATTCTTCCTGTCTTGCCAGCCTGAACATGATCGCTTCTAAACCTCCCTTTTAGCTCTTATTTGCTAAAAATTGTTTGAAGACTATACATTCTCTGTTTGTTTTTTTGAGACAGGCCTTTGCTCTGTTGCCCAGATGGAAGTGCAGTGTAGGCTTATAGCTCACTGCAGCCTTGAACTCCTGTGCTCAAGTGATCCTCCTGCGCTCAAGTGATCTCCTGCCTCCGCCTCCTCAGTAGCTGGGACTACAGGCATGTGCTGTCACACCCGGCTAATTTTTACTTTTGTAGAGACAAGGTCCCACTATGTTGCCCAGGGTGTTCTTGAACTCCTAGGCTCACGCGATCCCACCTCAGCCTCCCAAAGCTCTGGGATTACAGGCGTGAGCCACCATGCCCAGCCCATGTTCTCTGTTTTAATGTAAATTTTAAAAGAAGGAGAGAGGGATTCCTAAAGATAATATGTTTTGGTTAGAAACAACAAAACCTCTGTCTTGTGACCTTGGATAATTAAATACTGTTTTAGGATCTTGGTCTCCTGACCAAAAAGTTGATATTGTATCTGATCTGCTAACTTTACAGTTAATAATGAGACTGAATCTAATAAACATGAAGTCTTTGAACATCTTCCAAACAGAAGGAAATATTACTATGGCTCTAGCTCTCTTAAATGCTTCAATGGACTAGTTAGGAACATATTTTACTCATGCTTTCTAGTCATCTCTAGGGATCCTCATTTTAAATCTCCATGTGTGTGACTCTCAGCATGGAGGCATAAAGATGGATACTGTGTGCCTCATTTCCTTCTCTAGGGAATGTGCAAAACCACATCACTCCTGTGGGCTGTGATCAGTGCAATAACCATGCCCCCACCCCACTGCAGGCCCCTCTGGCTTAAGAACCTATCCCACCCATAGGTTGCTATTTAAATTGTTAAAATGAGAAAATACAAATTGTCCCAGCCTCAGCAACTACCCAAATAGGAAGCCAAAATGGAAGCTATTCCCAAGAAGCAGGTAACTATAGCAGCCTTTCTGTGTTTCTGCTGTAAATAGCCATCCTGTAAACAGGCTCCTTCTGCCAGGCAGCTAGCAATTCCCTCTCTACTTGTCAGTGGAGTCCCTCAGAGATGAGTTCAGTGAATTATCAGAATGACCAAGATTTTCTACTTTAACTGAGTTAATTGATTAGACCCAGAAACTTTGAAGCTAAAACAATCTCACAACCAGAGCCTCACATTGGTATGTGTTTGGTCTCTGTTTTTCTCACCTCTGCAAAACATACCATTGAAATCTCTAAGGGAAGGGGAAAAGGAGAAAAAGGTAAGGAAGCCCATGGTAATCTGACAGCATTCCCCACTTGGGCCCAGGAGCACTTGGCCTGCCATTGGCCTTGCTAGGAGTGATCCTACAATGGAAATGAGCAAACCTAGCCCTTCAGGGAGGAGCACACAAATGTAGGGAGGTTTCAGAGCCATTTCTGCCATCCTGCCTCTATGAGGATGGGAGGCTGGTTTTATACTCTTTTAGAAAACTGGAAAAGTAAGTCCCTGGAATCTCAGTCTTTCTTAGGTTTCTACCTGCCTAGCAGGAGTCAGCCTTATCTATCCTTTTCTTAAAGTAGGGGATATTTAGAGATACACATCTGCCTCAGTCCTTTCAAAGAGAAAAGCAAAGAAAAGGGCACAGGGCTGGCACTCCCATTTCCCAGTTGAATTTAAAAAGATCTTTGGTTTTGTGTCTTGAATATTTTGTGTACATGACAAAGTAGTAATGAAAGGAATTATATAATTTTCAGTAATGGAGACAATTCTGTTGGGATTTAAGGGTCAAGTGGGGTGGGCCAAAGTGGGGAAACCACATAAATAAAACCAAATGGGTTATTTAAGCAGGCAGGGCCTGGCATATGGCTACCAGAAACCAGCTTATGAGCCCAAGGGATAACACATTGCAGGGAATTACAGGCCAAAGGGAAAGATCTGCAGAAATGCTGAACAGAGATATTGATGTGTGTCCTCCATCATAATGTGGGGACGGATCGGCTCTGAGCATAAGCCTGGGTGAAGAACGGAGAAAGGGATGGGAGAGCCTGACAGCCTAGACCAGCAGACAGGTAGCTTCAAGTCTCAGTGTCCCCCACCAACGCGATCTGACTTGGGGAATGTTATTTACATCCCTGTGCTTCCATGTCCTCATATGAAAAATAGGGATAATAACAGGACACACTGTGGAAAAAAAAGAAATAGAAGTTATCCCATAGGCTTTATTTCATGAGAATTAAATGAGTTAACATACAAAACCTAAGCGCAGTTCCTAACACATAGTTAATGTTCAATAAGTATTAACTAGTATTAATGTTGCTATATGAGGATCTTACAGAGATGTTGAATGGGCAAAATGAAGCAATATATGTAACATATTTGGCACAGTGCTTAACACGTAGTAATTACTCAAGGAAGAGACGTTATAGAGAACCAAGCAAAAGTCTCTCTTATGTACACATAGGCAACAAAGAGCTAACTAGAGGGCTGAAAACAAGCATGTTGGAATCAGGATACATCCCGAAGGACACAGCCTTGCCTGGAAGGACTCAGATTGGGAGGTCAGGAGCGTAGGTAAGTAGACCAGGCAGTGGCAGAATTAAGAATGCAGGCAGACATACAGCAAATAGGGCAGCAACTACTTTTGGAGGAAAAAAAAAAAAAAAAACATCTGCCCCAGCCAGGAAGTCACCAATTACAAACTTCCTGTGATAAGAGACCAGTTCCTAAGTCTGGCCTGGCTATGACCTAAAAGTAAAAATAAATTCACTGGCCCCATGTCCTGTTGGCTAAGAATACAGATAGAACTATAACGTGCACTGCTAAATGAAAGAGAGATTATTTGTCCATGTTCAAGTTCAGATTCCTGTCCAGGGATAAAGAAATGACTTCTGGCCAGGCATGGTGGCTCATGCCTGTAATCCCAACACTTTAGGAGGCCAAGGTGGGAGAATCACTTGAGCTCAGGAGTGCAAGACCAGCCTGGGCAACTTAGTGAGACCCTGTCTCTACAAAAAAATTAAGAAAATAGTAACTTCCATGTTTGCTACAGATTAATAGATTAGTGACTAATAATTAGGCACCCATGCCGCAAGCTACCCAGAAGCTGTCCTCCCAAAACTGGGAACTTGATATCAACACCAGTATTGTGGAGAATGTAAGCTACAGCCGGGGTGCAGTCTTGTTAAAAGGAAGGAAATTGGAAACATCGTTCTCAGCCTTGTAATAGCCTTGATGTTGACCAAGATGTTATTTAAGCCTGGAGCTTTTATTACCTTAGGAAAACCAGCACAACGAGGGTTGCTTGTAATCATGACTTAATTACCCGACTTTCAGGTTTTAAATGCCCACTTTTTTTGTTCGGAGTGAATTTTAAATGCATTTCTATCAGCATCTACTTTAAAATGGACAAAACGTGCTAGCAGATTAGTCATCTTAGGTAGAATCTACTTTCATTTATGTTTTGTGTAGGTCAAATGAACATCCATGCCAGAGAAACGCACATCATGAAATACACTGAGGTCTGTCTGGGAAAGCAAAGTCAAGACCATTCAAAAGCTCTGAAGTAAACCACACCCTAATTTTGACCACAAAGTTCATTTTACTTTTCAAGGTATCGTCACTGACATTCTGTAGCACTCCTTAAAGTGAAGCCCTGACTCTGTTCCTTAGAGAAGAAATCTTGGCTCTGGATATTTGACTTGGGTCTAATTATTATTGTGGGTTTTTTTAGAGATCATTCCAAAAACATACAACCCAAGGCTCAGATAGAACTCTTTGGTTAAGGTAGGGGAGGAGCGGCGGAGGCAAATTTGCGGTTACTTGACATGGCCAAGGGCCATGGTATCATCAAAAACATGCACCTGTAACCCATTCATACGGTAAGATCACCTGGGCCATTGTTATCGTCTTATTACCATTATGTGCTGCTGCCTATATGTCACTGGAGTATTTAAGATGTACAGGTCTGAAAGAATGTTCATCTAATTTTACATATTACGGAGAATGGATTTAAACTCTTACTTGGAAGTCGCATGAGAATGGGGAAATTGAGCATTGGAGGTAGGTTTTTTGGAGTAAGATGCCAGTGAAGGTCTTTTTACACTGCGCTCTGTGACATTATGAGACTGCAGTCCTCAGGTTGCAGGGTAAAGCATAATGCTTTAAGTCACAGTGATGCTTAGAATGCGAATCGGTACGGCCTTAAGTATCTTCTTTAAGACTCCCTTGTGTTTGCCTCACAAAAAAAAAGATTGTGAACTGTTCTGCATGAATGTATGCATCCCACACACACATATCCCTTATGTCTATGATGATCAAAGTTAAGATGAAGAACCCATAAAAGATAAGAATGAGCTGAAGTAACTACAGGGCATGGCCAAATTAAATCTTAGATTCATTAAAATCACCCACCAAGGCTAAGATATTGGGGTGGTCACAGGTGTATCAGGGCATCAGCAGTGAAATGCATGGAGCACAGCTTTGCCCTGTAGGTGCATTTCTGTCAAATGCAGGATGAAAAAAGGTCAGACTGATGCCTCTTCATTCATTTGATGGGATGCCCATTCATTTGATGGGATTTTTAGAATGAGGGGTATAACCTGTAGATCAAGTGTTTTCTGTACTGGGACTCACCCTTGGCAAAAGGTTTGGGCAGAACAAACCCGCGTGAGTATGTACTGTTCATGCATGATATGCCATCTAGTGGTTAAGTGAGCCTAACATGAATGAAAAGAAAAATGGTCTCAGGTCCCTTCTGCCTCTATACTCTCCATTAGACAACAGTAGAGGTTCGATGCTATTATTTGGAAAGAAAAGAATTTATTTTCTTAGAAGCCATAGGTTGAATACAAATTCATCTGTGACCACCCCAATTGCTTAGCCTTGGTGGGTGATTTTAATGAATCATAAGATTTAATTTGGCCATGCCCTGTACTTACTTTAGCTCATTCTTACCTTTTATGGGTTCTTTATCTTAACTTTGATTATCATAGAACTATTATACAGTTCTTTATTATGTGTGTGGGGGATAAACACATTTATGCAGAACAGTTTACAACTGTTTTTGTGAAGCAAAAACAAAGTAGTCTTAAATAAGATACTTAAGGCCATACCCCTTTGCATCTAAGCATCTAAGGAGAACCCTGATATTATAGTAATTATTAAAGCCAAAAGCTGTACGTTGTGTGTGTTTTTTTTTGTACATATGTGTTTTGTTTGGCCCACAGGGTACTGTCTTCCATTTTATTTTATTGGCGTATAATTCCTATATACAATATAGTGCAAAAAATCTTTAGTATATGGCTCGATAAATTTGTATGTATGTATAACCCACGTGATCATCACCCAGATCAAGATACAGAAGTGTCCAGCCTCCCTCAGATCCCCCCAACCCCAGTCAGTCCTCCCTCAAAGACAACCACTGTATTAGTCAGGATTCCCTAGAGAGACAGAACTAATAGGAGGTATATACAGGAGTTTATTAAGTATTAACTTACACGATCACAAGGTCCCACAGTAGGCTGGCTGCAAGCTTGAGGAGCAAGGAGAGCCAGTCCGAGTCTCAAAACTGAAGAACTCGGAGTCTGATGTTTGAGGACAAGAAGCATCCAGCACGGGAGAAAGATGTGGGCTGGGAGACTAGGCCAGTCTCGCGTTTCCCATGTTTCTGCCTGCTTTATATTTGCCGGCAGCTGATTAGATTGTGCCCACCAGATTAAGGGTGGGTCAGCCTTCCTCAGCCCGCTGTCAAATGTTAATCTCCTTTGGCAATACCCTCACAGACCCAGGATAAATACTTTGCATCCTTCAATCCAATCAAGTTGACACTCAGTATTAACTATCACAACCACTGTCCTGAACTCTGTCACCATAGGTTCATGATGGCATCATTAAAGTACATACTCCTGAAGTACCTCCCAGAAATAAGATTCTATAGTCACCATTTTAATAGTTTGCCCAAAAAAAGAACAGTTTCCTCAATTGTAACATTCTTGGGCCAAACAAAGGCTCTTTCCTGGGTTTACTGTTTGTTTATTTATTTATTTATTTATTTATTTATTTTTTTGAGACGGAGTCTTGCTCTGTCGCCCAGGCTGGAGTGCAGTGGCGCGATCTCGGCTCACTGCAAGCTCCGCCTCCCGGGTTCACGCCATTCTCCTGCCTCAGCCTCCCGCGTAGCTGGGACTACAGGCGCCCGCCACCACGCCCGGCTAATTTTTTGTGTGTTTTTAGTAGAGACGGGGTTTCACTGTGTTAGCCAGGATGGTCTCGATCTCCTGACCTCGTGATCCGCCCGCCTCGGCCTCCCAAAGTGCTGGGATTATAGGCGTGAGCCACCGCGCCCGGCCGGGTTTACTGTTTATTAGAGTCCAGGTGTCATATGTTCTCTCTGTTCCCTAGTATAAATTCCTACTATATTGTTTTTCTTACCATGCTTCTCACTGAGAGATATATCCGTTTGGTGCACTGATTGTATTTTCTCAAGTGTCTCTACAGGAAGCCAAGTCGATTTTCAAAGAAAATCCCATTACTTTTGAGCAGCATCTCAAAAGTAATCAGAGGTGCCACTGATTGTCATGGCAAAGCCTATAAATCCTGATGCAGTGTTTCAGAAATTAATGTGAATGCCATGTCGCCAACGACTGTTCTGACATCCTGTTCAAATTAAGCCAAGCGGTAGCATCAGTCCTAGCATCACAATGGCGAGAAAGCTTCTCAGTCTATAATCCAGCAAAGGTTAACTTATAATGAATGGCATAATGCAGTCATTGTTGCTATTTACACAGAACCTCTTTCTGTTCAAAGGGAACTAAAGTTTCTCTGAATATCAATATGTGTAGTATGTCAAGAAGCAGAGCTAGTTTTGAAATAAAATTATTCTTATTATTCCAGAGCTTTCTTCTTCATATTTATTGGATTGTTGGATTAGCAAACACGTGGTCAATCAACAAACGTGTCTAGCCAGCATGTTACTTCCAGGTGTCTTGCAGGGTGCTGGAGATAGAAAAGTGTAAGGTGTGTGAGTCCTCCCACACCACCACAGAGTTGAGCCTTGTTGTCCCCCTGGCCTGCAAACTGATGTTTAAAGAGATAACTGCTTCTTCGGATAATAAACAAGGCAGGAATATAGGCATTATCCTAATTTAGTCATTTTTACAAATTACTTGTATTTATTAATAAATATTTATTAATAATTTCTGGAAAACCAAGCACCACATGTTCTCACTCATAAGTGGGAGTTGAACAATGAGAACACAGGGACACAGGGAGGGGAACATCACACACTGGGGCCTGTCAGGGGGTCAGGGGCAAAGGAAGGAGAGCATTAGGACAAATACCTAGTACATGTGGGGCTTAAAACCTGGATGACGGGTGAATGAGTGCAGCAAACCACCATGGCACATGTATACCTGTGTTACAAACCTGCACATTCTGCATATGTATCCCAGAACTTAAATTATAGTAAATAAATTTTTAAAATGCAAAAAAAAATAGTTTCTGGAATAAGAATGAAAACTAATTTTTTAATTTTTAATGTTTCCTGTTATGGGACATTTTGGTTGTTTGCTGTTTTTAAAATACTTATAGATATTTTATGTCTATGTATTTGAAATTAAGTCTCTGACTCCCTGCCATGCTCAATGGCTGGAGCTTCCAGAATAGTGTTAAATAATAATGGTTATACTGGCTTTCCGTGGTTTTCCTGATTTTAAAGGAAGTAACTCTGGTGTTTATTAATATGCTGATTTGAAAGGGTTACAAAAATCATACTAAGTCCTTTGTATTCTAATTGTTAAACATCAATAATGAGGAATTAAACATTACCAAATGTCTTTGATGCTGTTGAAATCATTCCATTTATACCAATTTGGCCTATGTATATAATATATTAATAGATTTCCTAATATTTTCCCCCTTCCCCAGAGTGAATACAACTATTTCATGAGGTATTATTCTTTTAATGACTTGTAAAATTCAAATCATTAAACTCTATCCTATTGTTTTTAGAATTTTAACATATGTGTATTATGTATTACTCTTTAAAGACAACTACTATGGCAGGGTTGAAGACAAACTGTTAGTCTCATTCTAGTCTATAAATAGGAGTTGCAGAAATCGGGGGTGGGGAAGAACCTATTTGTCTATTTTATTTTTCATTGTCCTTTTTCCTTTATTTTTTTGAGACAAGGTCTCTCACTCTTGTCGCCCAGGCTGGAGTGCAGTGGCACAATCATAGCTTCACTGTAACCTGCAACTCCTGCTCAAGTGATCCTCCTGCCTCAGCCTTTTGAGCAGCTGGAACTGCAGGCATGTGCCACCATACATGGTTAATTTTTATTTTATTTATATGGAGATAGGGTCTCACTCTGTTGCCTGGGCTGGTTTCAAACTCCTGGGCTCAAGCAATCCTCCTACCTCAGCCCCCCCAAAGTGCTGGGATTACAGGAGTGAGGCAGTGCCTAGCCTCTCCTTTTTTCTTTTTTCTTTATCTCTTATTCCAGCTGCAATAATTGTTTCTCTCTCTCTCTCTCTTTTTTTTTTTTTTTTTTTGAGACAGAGTCTCACTGTATCACCCCAGCTGGAGTGTAGTGGTACGATCTTGGCTCACTGCAACCTCTGCCTACTGGGTTCAAGCAATTCTCCTGCTGTAGCCTCCTGAGTAGCTGGGACTACAACAGGCACACACCAGCACACTCGGCTGATTTTTTATTTTTTATTTTTTTTGTATTTTTAGTAGAGACAGGGTTTCAGCATCTTGGCCAGGCTGATCTTGAACTCCTGACCTCAGGTGATCCACCCATCTCAGCCTCCCAAAGTGCTGGGATTACAGGCGTGAGCCATCGTGCCTGGCCTGTTTTTTTCTTTTCTAATTCACAAAGTACTTTTCTAACCTCTCTTAAAGCTCTCATCACAATTTATTTTATTTAAATTATCTATTTGTCTTATGTTTTTATATGAGTGGTCTGTGTCTTAAATTCGAGAGTTTTCTCTCCCTTCCCTTTAGCCAGTAAGTGTTATCCACCTAGCCTCTCCTGTAGAATCAGATTGTCCCAGCAAAGTGCTGCAGTGGCAGGCGGTAGAAATGCACTTAGGTGAGTTTTCTTGTGTGTCTCCAAACCATCCCTGGGGTAAGCTGAGGAGGAGAGCAGAGAGTAAGAATGATTCCAAAATTATGCAGGTGCTGTGCTTCTCTGTGGCAGCAGTATGAGTCCAGATGACATGAGTCAATTTCCAAGTGCTTAAGAGCAGACACAGGCAGGGACCAGAGCAAAGCACTAAAACCAGCCTTTTATGTATCTACTCCAGGTGGCTGTTCCATTCTAGTTCTGATGGTAGATTACAGAGAGAACCAGTTACCTCAAATAATTTTTCCTAATTCAAATACATACTCTTACGTACTCTTAAAACTAAATACATTCATTGTTCTCTATTTTTTTTATTTTTTATTTTTGAGATGGAGTCTTGCTCTGTTGCCCAGGCTGGAGTGCAGTGGCACGATCTCTGCTCACTGCAAGCCCCACCTCCCAGGTTCACACCATTCTCCTGCCTCAGCCTCCCTAGTAGCTGGGACTACAGGTGCCCGCCACCACACCCGGCTAATTTTTTGTATTTTTAATAGAGACGGCGTTGCACCATGTTAGCCAGGATGGTCTCAATCTCCTGACCTCGTGATCCGCCCACCTCGGCCTCCCAAAGTGCTGGGATTACAGGCATGAGCCACGGCACCCAGACTGCATTCATTGTTCTGTAATCATTTTTGTCAAAAATCCTTCCAATACTCATTTCAAGGCATCATCAAAATGATGTATTTCAATTATCAGTGCTTTTCCAGGGGAAGCCTTACAAAATTAAGGACCCTCTAATGACTCTCCTACTAGATATAAGCCTAGGTCTCACTCATATTCTCACTTCCACTGTGTTTTTCCCTGTGCTAGGCATATGGCTTGTACTTAAGTAATGTTTAGGAGTTAATCTCTTTTTTTGCAGTGTATTGGCATTGAATGGCATTCTTCGCGCTTATTTAAAGCCCAAAAGCAACTTCAAAGATCATACAGGCCTTTTTACAAGTAGATATGAATCACAACCAAAAAATGAATGAAAATTAATGAAAGAAATGATGGCAAAAGTGAAGGGGGAAACATATGATCCAACAATTCCACTTCTGGGTATATGCCCGAAAGATACATACTCAGAGCGATATTTGTGGACCCGTGTTCATAGTAGCATTATTTGCAATGGCCAAAAGGTAGAAGCAACCCAAGTTCCCTTTCAATGGATGAATGGATAAAATATGACTTATACGTATTATAATTCAGCCTTAAAAAGGAAGGAAATTCTGACACATGCCACAACATGGATGAACCTTGAAGATGAAACAAGCCTGTCACAAAAGGACAAATACTATATGAATCTACTTTTATGCGGTGCCTAAAGTAGTCAAATTCACAGAGACAGGAAGGAGAATGGTGGTTGATGCAGGCTGGAAGAATGGGTGCCGAATCTTGGTTTTGAAAGATGAAAAGTGTGCTGAGCATGTATGGCAGTGATGGTTACACAACAATGTGAATGTACTTAAAGCCAGTGAACCGTACACTTAAAAAAGTCAAGATGGTAAATTTTATGTTATATTTATTTTATCATTTTTAAAGAAGTGAATAGGGAAAAATATATTAATTAACCTAAAACCAAATGAAAGTCACACCATCAGGGTAATTCTTCAGGAAATGACATTTCTAAGTACCTGGCAAGCTTTCACACCATCCTGCCAGAGAGGGGGTAGTTGGGAGATATTGTTGACCTTGTGCTTTAATGCAGTGACTAGAGTTCCTTGGAAAGCAAAGGAAAATGCCACATTCACTAATCACCTCCTTCTTTTCCTTAGGGTGTTAAATACCACATTATTTGAAAGCTGGGAGATCGTTGGACCTTACCCTTCCTGGTGGGTTTTTAACCTACTGCTATTGCTAGTACAAGGGTTGAACTGCTTCTGGTCTTACTTGATTGTGAAAATAGCTTGCAAAGCTGTTTCAAGAGGCAAGGTAAGCTACAACTCACTTTTTCCAATATGTCTTAAAAAATTTTGTTTTTGTAATTTCTCTGGATCAACTATTTACTATTCCATATTTCATCAAAATTGGTAGTATTTCTTCAGAATTGAGCAAAAATTGAGTCATTTCCTTTTCTAGTTCATTTTTTAAGTCTTCAGTGTTCCTTTGCTGGCGATGGCACCCAATGATATGCATTTGTAATTTTAGACTTAATAATATATTATTTGTTGTGTTCGCTCTCCCTCTTCCTGTCAACCTTGGACCTCCTCTGATTATATTTATACTGAACAGAAATTTAATCACTTCTTTCCTTTTATGAGAAGGGTCGCTTGGTGCTGTATGCCGGTTTAAACAAACCTTTCTTTCAAACTGAAAAACAAATCTGTTCATGACTTCCAACAAGATTTAGTTAAATCTTTTTGGTTAAAAGTGGACTTGAGGTTGATTCGAATAAAGCTTCCTAAGCCTCAGCCCCAACCCTGTGTGTAGAGCAGAGACTTTTCCAGATCATTCTCTGTGACATTTTCTTACTTGTTTGTTCTCTTCCTTCTGCTACCCTGGAAGGCTGGGAAGTGGAACCCTTTACATGTAAGTTTCTCCTCCTCTCTCTCTATCCCTGTCCTGAGTGCCTCTTGCCTGTTGGAGGGGCACTCAGATGCTTTTGTTTCCACGCATATTGTTCTGTCTAACCTATTGGCACTGTCTAGAGGCTTCATGTGAGCTGTAGCTCTGTGAACTGCAAGAGACACTAGAGACAGCTCTGTTAGGGCCCTTTGGTGTGAGCTTGTATTCTGCTAAATGTTGCATGATCCAACAGAGAAGAAGAATTTCTTTCACTACCCCCTCTCTGACAGGATGGTGTGAAAGCTTGCCAGGTACTTGCCAGGTTTAATGTGTTGGCTAAAAGACAGAAATAGACCAAAGTAAAGTAGGAGAAACAGAACTAGTTGGAGGGGGAGAGGATCAACACATTGCAGAATGGAGGCCTGAGCATCAGCTGTGGGCCTGACCTGCCTGGGGCCATATGGCAGCACCTGACCACTCTGACTCATCAAGGTCAACAGGGCTGGCCTGTTCTGCAGGGGAAGTCGGGGCATCTAGTCGTGTACTATGAAGCCACTTCTCAGCACCAGCTCTAGTAGAAATCCTAATTATTTTGATCAATTAATTGTTCAGAAGCTAAAGTTCATTTTTCTCTGTGACCTCTCACTCTTTGTAATGAACATGTATTTCTATTTTAAAATCTCCTTGTCCTCATTTGGATACAAATTTAATCAACATGCACAAAACTGTCAATATGATAACAATAACTAAATATGCAAGAATGCTGCTTAGATTACTTGTGTCCTTAATTGCATTGCTATTTCTACCAGACTTGTTGCCTGCTCTTCAACTTATTCCTTCTACTTTATGAAGAGAGATGATGATTAATTTTATTCTAGATCTCAGGCTTCAGAATATCTTAGCTGCCCTTGCGGCTCTCACCTGGGATAGTAAGATTCATCTTGACCATGAGTTATTTTCCTCTGGGCTATTTTGAGATATTCTAAATTGTCCTTTCTTTGAAGGTAACATAAGTATAGATTTTTCTAAGTGCAATTTAAAAAATCTGACTGAGCATGCAAATGTAAATTAATCACTTTGTAAAACTGGAGTTTTCTATTTATGACTAATGGACTTAACAACATAGTGGAACTTTACTATAATGCTGGCTTTGTGACTCACAATGTTTAAGTTCAATTATCTTTAGCCATTTTGGAGTCTTAGTATTTAAATCTTTTTGGAGATGGCCTGTGTGAGTTCAGTCCCATCTCAACGGGTATTGGAGTGAGGTTCACTTTTATGATATTTACTTCATCACCACTGGTTGGCATAAAGCAGTAGTTCTCAGCTTTCAAGTTCTCCTGACCCCACCCACCTGAGAGAGAGGACGTTCTCCCACAGGAACTGTAGTTTCTCAAGTTGGGAGAGGTGGAGGGAGTCCAGGATTCTCATGTTAGAGTGTAGTGGTAACATAGACAGGATGTGATGTGGGAAAGCGCCAGTTAATTCTGCCATACCTCCCAGGAGACTTTGCCACCTCCCCAGCCCACCCCCTAGAGAATCACAGGAGGACCAGATTGGGAAAATTCCTATGAAGGGAGGCCACCAGGTCTCTTTTGTCACACCACTGAAAAATATAAGTAAGCAGTGATGAGTTACTCAAGAATCTTAAGGCCTTCTGGGTAAAAATGCTTACCATAATTTAGACTTACAGAATAGGAGGTTCAAACTATTTTTATCTTAAAAGCAGTATTTTCTTAATTTCCCCCAAAAACTACTTCCTTGCTAAATAGTAGGATTTTTCTCATCGTTTATGGTAATGTATAGATTTACATCTTCTCACCTTATTTTGACCTCCATGTGACTTAGTGAGATTGAATGGAGGATTGAAGAGACTTGGCAGGATGGGAGCCAGTTTTTTTTGTTTTGTTTTGTTTTGTTTTTTTTTTTAAGACAGTTTCACTCATTGCTCTGGCTGGAGTGCAATGGCGCGATCTTGGCTCACCGCAACCTCCACTTCCTGGGCTCAAGCAATTCTCCTGCCTCAGCCTCCAGAGTAGCTGAGATTACAGACATGCGCCACCACACCCGGCTAATTTTTTTTTTTTTTTAAGTTGAGACTGGGCTTCTCCATGTTGGTCAGTCTGGCCTTGAACTCCTGACCTCAGGTGATCCACCCACCTCAGGCTCCCAAAGTGCTGGGATTATAGGCATGAGCCACCTCGCCTGGCTGGGAGCCAGTTCTTGATGATCTAGTCAGTGGATTTTCCTCAGGAAATATTTCAAGCTTCACCCCGCCCAGCAGGTTCTTAAGATGCCTCCTGGCCAGGCACGGTGTCTCACACCTGTAATCCCAACACTTCGGGAGGTCAAGGCAGGTGGATCACCTGAGGTCAGGAGTTCCAGACCAGCCTGGCCAACATAGTGAAACCCTGTCTCTACTAAAAATACAAAAATTAGCTGGGCATGGTGGCTCATGCCTGTAATCCTAGCTACTCGGGAGGCTAAGGCAGGAGAATTGCCTGAACCCAGGAGGCGGAGGTTGCAGTGAGTTGGATCGCACCAGTGCACTCCAGCCTGGGCAACAGAGCAAGACTCTGACTCAAAAAAAAAAAAAAAAAAGAAAAGAAAAAAAAAATGCTTCCTGCTGTCATTTGTTGTGTGACATACAGAACAAAATTCCTAATTAATTATAGCATACAAAAAATAGAAATGTAATCATAAAACAATGCATGAAAAAGCCAAATAGGAATTTTTTTTTTTCAGTGTTCTGAGTTAGTGACTATCTCCATTGCTATGGTTAATTGAGAGCTGATTTTAAATTATTCTCAAGGAGAATGTGATCATCAATGAGTAAATTGATCCATTTGTACCAAATTCCTATGACGCCATTCCAGTGACACAGTATGCTACTTTTTGATTACAAGTGGGATTCATGGTCTAGTATGTTCTCAATATGGAAAGATACCTTAAAGAAGTCAAGAAGTCTAGCCCTCCATGATACTTACATTCCTTCATAAATGACTTTGTCGCCTACATTTTATCTCTCCAATGAAGGGGAACTTATTGCTCTGGCAATGTTCTCATCCTCTTCAGTTTTTTAACATTGGGATCTGTTTCCCCTTGTGTATGACTGCATGTGCTTCTAGCATGCCATACCTTGATGATTTCTTAGGTGCTGGTTATACTCACCTGCTTCTACTCCACAGGTGTCCAAGGATGATCGAAGTGATATTGAGTCTAGCTCAGATGAGGAGGACTCAGAACCTCCGGGAAAGAATCCCCACACTGCGACAACCACCAATGGGACCAGTGGTACCAACGGGTATCTCCTGACTGGCTCCTGCTCCATGGATGATTAATTACTCAAAACTACAAGTCCCAAGCAAAGTGAACTATTTGTTCCTGGAAGTATTTAATAAGTTGCAAATGCAGTTCCTTTCATAATATCTCAGCACCAGAAACAAAAATTAAGATTATCAAAGCATTTTGAATAGTGCACTGCCATGTGTCCTGTCTGTGAATGAAGAAGAATTACCATTCTCTCTTTGTAGGCATGCTGTATGTAATTGACACAAGGGAACAGTATTTGCATTTGTACTGTCTTAGAATATTATTTATTTTTTTGTATTTGTAAATCTGTGGACAAAAGAGGGTTTCCTCACTCCTTTTACTCACTGGGCTCATGACAGTGAAGGAGATGCTCCATCTGCTTCTCCCCCTTTCTCTTGCTGTAGTCCAATGTGCTATGAGCATCAGCTTACTTTGTCACTTAGAGCAAGCAAAACCCAGTGCAAGAGTCTCGTTCAGCTCTAAATAGGTTTGCTTTCTTTTAGTTACAGTGCCCATTTTGAAATTGCCTATACAGTCTTAGTGACCATTTAAACCGGACGAACTAGGTGTTTAATTTTCACTCTTCATGTTCAATTAGCAGTTCAAATTAAAGAAGATGGTTATTGGAGAACTTTTTTGAATGGTTTTGTATTAAATTGCTTTGAAATAGATTTCATTTCTTGTGCACACAGCCAAGATTTCTTCAATGGGTGTGAGCTAGTTGAGGGTTAACCTTGTAGGTTGCAGAGTGTATTTGTTTGTTTGTTTGTTTTTCTCTGTGATGAGGTCAGTGCTCTGATTTTGAAGGAGGATATTCACTGAAGCTCATAGTTATAAACAAGGAAATCACTGTTAAGAATGGGAATTTGTCCTGTGTTCTGGGAATAACATAAAGAGAGCAACTGATTTCAGCCAGGTTTTGCCACTACCCTATAATTAGTGCAGTCTTATGTTATAAAAGAAAGAAGTTAACTATATTTGGGGACAAAAAAATATTTCAAGAGTTGATAAAGATTACCTGTGCAGTGCAGAGCACTTTAATGCAACCAGCTTTCAAGAAAAAGCCCTATCTAGTACTTGATGTTGATGTTTTTATTTTGCTGAGCAAAATAAAGCCAATGGGAGAAAGACTATTTTACCCTTTGCTTTTCTCCTTAAACGTAATCCAGATGACTTTCCTGTTACTAAACACTGAGCAGCATTACACTACAATGCTTCTTTGGTTTCCAGGAATTTTTTTCAAATGGGGCTGTTTCTGGAAAAATGAAAAATTCTATTGGACAATGGCAATATCAACAATGAGGAAAATTACTGAAGAATAAGTTTCCATAAGTCTCCTACATAGCAGTGTTATTTATGTACAGATAAGAAAACCATATGTCAGCCAAAGATTTTATCTCTTCTTCTAACTTTTAGTAAGAGGAAAAAGGGATTATAAAACCCTTCATAAATCAAGAAGGCCATCACTTAGAACGAACCCCAAACAAAAATGCCATAATATAAATGTGTGAATCAGGGCTGTGAAGACAACAGCAGAAATGCTAACAAGCGTGCAGAAACACCAGAGAGTGCGTATCCTGCTCAGAACCATTCACATTTAATTCAATTCTTGGAAAAAATTAAAGCTTTTTGCCCACAATTTGCAATCTGTGGGTTAATAGTTAAAAGAATGTTCCCAACCAAAAAATTCTTACCGTAATATTATATCTTGCCCTACTTATTTACAAAATAATATGTTTCTGTTATGGTCCTTAGTAATAATTGAAGAGGCTTAGAAATACATCTGCTTGTTTATTGAGAAAACGATGCAAATAATTCTGCTTTTAGAGCCTTGTTATTTTATTTCACAAAACAGGCATATGTCTAGGAGTGTAATTTGTGGATGGTTGAGTTTGTAAGAACAATCATAAAAGGACTTGTTAGTCTCCAGAACATCTGCTAAAATGCAAGTATATGTATAAGGTAATAGCATATTACAGCTGAAAATTTTGAGAAGGTAAAAGTTTCTTAATTAAAATATGAACATATTTAGCTTGCTTTAGTGTCTGGGGCAAGTCCTCTCAATGGCTAAAATTAACTTTAGAGATCCATGTGTTCAGGTTTAGATCATATGACACTCGAGCACAGAAGAATAATTTCAAGGAGGTCATCTTGTAAATTAAAGGTTTAGAAGAATTGCATAAAACGTAGTAAATGGGGTCTGTCATTAGCAAAGGCAAATCTAAGCAATCATTTTTCCCCCCAGAAGTTACTTAGAAGGAGAACTGGGAACACTTGGGGTCTCTCTAACTGATGGCATTCACTTCACACAGTCGTCTATGTTATCCAGAGATTTTTATTTCATTTTACATTTTAGGGCACAGTTCTTTGGGGCTAATTAAAATGGGGTTTGCAGGCTTTTTATGGTGAAGAATAATATATCTCTGTCTATAGCTTTCCCATGGTAGCCTGATAAGGCTGAGAGAGAAAAATATGTGCAGTATCTCATCCTCCCCCTGTACCAGGCCATAGCTTTGAAGTGTATTTTGTAAATTCAACTATAGGTTAGTCAGAATGCTGTTTTTCGTTAATTAACTTAGCCTGTGTTGATATCTCCTCCTTCCTGGTCACATTCAAACCTTCCCAGAGTACAAAGGGGTATGTAGAAAGGATTCCAGAAGAAGTAATACTTTATTCTCTAATGTTAATAGCTTTTCTGGATCTCTTAGTAGGGGGAAAGTAGAAAATCGAGTAGAATTTGGCCTCAGGTCAATAAATGATATAAAAACATGTGTTCTATTTATGTATATATATGTATGTTTCTCCAAAAAGTGATAAAACCAAAATATCACTGACTCATCCCTACCCATATTCTTTTCATAAAACCCACTCACCAGGTACAATAGAAACTTCCCTCCTTGTTTGTCAGCCTCCTGTTCATGTTCCCCACACACCTGAAGGTGGTAGAATCTTTTCAGCCTCTTAGCCAGTGAGCTAAATATGGCTAAGCACAGGTCATAAGAGCACCTAAGGCCAGCATATAAGCCAACTACAGTTCACCTTTCCAAATTTGGTCCTATGGATGTTGAGCATAGGGAAGCAACTCTCAGTATTTTGGATTATTCAAGTGTATGTGGTAAAAATGCAGATGATTGCTGCTTTACCCCAGGGTTTATTAGCATCCTACTTCTGCTGGGCTGCATCATTATATAATGCCACAGGCATCTAGTCAAGGTAAAGAAGCCAGAAAGGTTAGGCAAGAAGTGAGATAAAATCAGATCACCTTTGATCAAAATGGTTGGTGAACCTCCACATGTCCAGTTCTGTTGCCAAACTTTCCATTCAGAGTATTTGGTGGAGTTTGAATTTGAGCAAACTAAATGCCTTCATCTTAGGTAGAAAGGGCCTGAATCTTCCATTTTATATTCAAACCTCATTGTTATTTGGCCTAAGTAAAAAGTCAGATTTCATTTCCATTTACCTGAGTTCGCTTTAAAGAGCTTTTCAAAGAGAGCTTTATAGACACCCACAATTGTCCCCAATCTCTTCATGATGTTGCATTAATAGTTGTTTTTGTCCCTTTCTTGGAAATGTTAATGCCAAAGTTGCCTGAACATTGGGCGGTTTTCTTAATTTGAAGTATAAAAATTATAAAGAGTAATTCCAAAGGTATTAAAAGATTGTTTAACAGTATGTGTGGTGATGTCATTATCTCCAGAGAGGCTTCAAGAAATCCTTTGGAAATAAAAAGTTAAATGTTTACATTTCATGTGGTATTTCAGGTCTTCAGGTTCTGATTAGCTTACTTTTTTCCTTTGTCTTTGGCTGATTTCTGCTTTGTAGATAAATAATAATAGCCCTGAGATGTTTCTAACATTTAAATAAGAAAAAAATCAAATCGAAGTCAGCCTGCTGGAAAAGTGATCACATGGCAGTTGCAGTAACTTGTATGGAAAGAGAAAATGCAATGAGCCCAGTTACTGCACTTGCCACTACCATGCTGTCCATGGAAGGAATAATCAGCAGTTCAGTTGTCACAAGCCGCCCTTGAAGAAAACGCAGCAAAATATTTTAAAATGAAGATATTGCAGTCCCCAGAGCCAGTGAAGGTTTCTTTTGGTAAAATGAAATTGTGCCATTGTCAAAGTACCCCGTAGTGATGAGCACTGACTGGTTCACTGGCCACATTTTAGTTCTTCATAATAATAGGCCACAAAAGGGCTCTGTGGTTTGCCTCCATGTGCACTGGCCCCTCCCCACCCCTAGGGGGCACTCAGTAGCTGCTGAGAAGGCCTGTCCACGAGGCTGTTGGAACCCCTCCAATAAATACTTAGAGGTAGTGTATCTGATGCTTGTTTTCGTGGAGAAAATTGTATTGGAGAACTTAAAACATCACGAATATTTTTAATAGGATCCGCAGACACCCAAAGGAGAAGCTTGGTCTTTTCCAGGTATTTCCAACTTGAGTTCAACCCAAAGCCTTTGAAAGGAATGCATTACCACATGACCACATGCTGAGACCCCATGGGGTCTAACACGGGACCTAAGAAAGTCTCTGCAGCCAGATAGTACATGGTGTCTCCACAAAACTAGGCATTCTGGAGATTGCCCAGAAAGGGATGTGAGGGGACCGTTAAGATCTGTCTTGCTTATCTCATGCACTCACATTCCTTCAGCCTCCTGGAGTTCCTGATAAAAGGAAGCCAGGGTGTGGACATTTTTTAGCTATTGATTTCCCAATAGCTTGTGGATCAGTTGTACACCCACACTTCCTTCTCTGCCTAATTCCGTTTTTCTGGAAAAAGTAGTATGCCCATGTATGTGTGTTTTTCTTAACACAGGTCCATGAAAGTTTGGCTTCCTGGTTTGATGTCTGTTGCGTGGCCTGGAAACCAGGGAGCAGCAACTATTGAGATGGTTTCTGTGTTCAGTGAAAAATTCTATTTCATTGAGACAATTTTTTCTTTATCCACAGTAATTTTTTGACACTGTCATCATGAAACTACCCTTAGGAAAATAAGATTACCTGCAAAAAAAAAAAAGAAATGAGTTATGGAATAGGAACAGTTATGTGATGATTCTGAAACTTTAACTTAGAGCTTCATTACTTTAAGAATGGAAAACAACCTCTGAGTTTGATTTCCCAAAGTTTCATAAAGCCCCTAAGCTCATGATTTTCATCAACTCTTTGCCCACATAGTCATTTACCTCCACAGCCGTTTGTTGTCATAGAAGGGGTGGTGGTGTTTGGATTTGATTTTTTTCAACTTGCAGTGAGAAATAGGATAGGTGACAAAACCTTACTTGTTTTCTTAAGACAATTCAGTGCTTGAGCATCTCTGTCAGAAATGGAATGAAATACTGTTAGCCAATTAGAATTATTTTATGTATTGTTATTGTGTTTTGCTGATTTTTATATGAAAATATAATTATTCATTCTTGATCTCTGGAAGCAATCATTATTATGAGGATCATTTTACTTTGGAAACACTTTCATAATAAAGATAAGTATTAAGAGTGCAGTGTAAGTGCCCTTTACTGTAAATGCTAACCAGCTCGTGTGGGTAAAACATCACATCTCACCTGATGAGGTTAATAAAGGCTCACATCATCCCAGTAGATTGTTACAAGCCTCGTCAACTCCCAGTATCATTGTGATCATTGAGAAAGTAATGTTACGTTAACTTGGATAGACTGTAGTATCTCTTTGAAAATTAAGATTAAAACCTCAATGCTAAATTTTATGTAGCACTTTATTCTGGAAAACATGGTTTATAGAGATCATCTGAAATATATCAGGTTATGCTTATTTTTAAAAAAATTTTAAAAGAGGCACCTAGGATAAACACCCAAAGCACAACACAAAACTTCCCTTCTCTGTGTATGCACCCCTCATCGGAGTTTGGCCCACATCATCTTCTCTTGGTTTGTACCTCACTTTGCTAGAACTTCTCTCCATCTTTCTCTGTCTTTCCTGTGAAATACCTCTCTCAATCTGCTCTTCTGCTCTAAGCTTAGGTCTTCTAGTACTCAAAAGCCGTAAAAATAGCACTGAAATTCAACCAGACACCCCACCACTATCACAAGTATTATAAAAAATAAAGCAGATACCCTATTAAAATCTTATAAACATTATAACCACCCCCAACAATAGAATAACTCATGCTGATTTCAAGCATGAGTTATTCTAATAAGTTAAACCACCAACATTCCTCTGAGACACAAAAATACAGACTATGAAAAAATATACTTTTTTGGAATCCATGAATTCTTCAGTTCTACAAAACATAGCATAATCTAATGCTATAAGCATCTGTCTTAGTCTGCTTTCTGCTGCTGTAACAGAATACCACACACTGGGTAATTTATAAAGAATGGAAGTTTATTGGGCTCATGGTTCTGGAGGCTGGGAAGTCCAAGAGCATGGTGCTGGAAACTGGTGAAGGTCATCACATGGCAGAAGGTGCCACATGGGAGAGCAAGCATGCTAGACAGAGGAAACTGAGCCAAACTCATCCTTTCATCACTCCTGAAATAAAAGCATTAATTCATGCATAAGGACAAGGTCCTACCTTAAAACTTGAGTTTTGGAGAGGACATTCGAACTATAGCAGTATCTCTCCCAAGTAGCCAAAATGCAACTCCCTTTTCTCTAGGCCCCATTGCTTACTACTGGGGCTGCCATATCCAACCTAAGCATCTGTTATTCCTGCCTCCTAATTCTGTTTCCACCAGCCGTGCTCTTGCTTCAGTGGGAACAGTGGCAACAATGCTAACAACATTGAGAGATGATAGGACAACAAAGGGGGAGAGCTGTGTACCAAGAACTACTGGGATGCTGGGTGGTCCCTCAGAACCAATTAGCACAGTAACTGGATCCTGGGACCCACACCCTTAATTATTCTCAAAGTGCTGGAGCACAAAGAAACAAAAGTTATATTATTCCTAAACATTAAAATTTTAAATTTTTTAATTAAAAAAAAAATTAAGGACAGGGTTTCTCTCAGTTGCCCAGGCTGGAGTGCAGTGTTGCGATCATAGCTTGCTACAGCCACAAACTCCTGGGCGCAAGCAATCCCCCCAAGCTCAGCCTCCCAAGTCGCTGGGACTAGAGGCACACACCACCAAACCCAGTTAATTTTTTAAATTTTTCATAGTGGTGAAGTCTTGCTGTGTTGCCCAGGCTGATCTCAAACTCCTGACCTCAAGCAATCCTCTCACCTTGGCCTTGATGTGCTGGGATTACAGGCATGAGCTACTGCACCCAGCCTGAAATTTAAAAATTATATAAAGTCTGCCTTAGCCAAGGTCCAGGTGGGAAACAGTCACTGTCAGATGGTTAAGTTGAAGAAACTTTAATAAAAGGATGACTTTACAGAGGCATGGGCTGGATTACATCAAACAAGGGAGAGTGAGGCACCCAGAGGCTAACAAGTATGGGAAGCCTTTACCACCCCTGGGTTGTAACCAGAGGCCAGTGAGAGGGGCTAGTATGGAAGAGAGGCCACTCTTTGGGGGCTACAAACCTGGATGGAAAGAAAATACCCCAATGTCTCTCTCTTCCTGCCTTGTTATACCACGCATTGGCTGGACTCAGCAGAAAGCTGACAGTGCGGAGCCTGGGGGACGTAGGCTACAGGGTTCAGCCTCCCATGGTGCACAGCAACAATAGATGCGGGAGAGCAAACCAAATAAGCAGCATAAAGCCAGTATTCCTAGAGCCTCCCATAGAGTCTGGCATGTAATAGGACACAAGAAATGTTTGTCGAAGAAACAAATGAACCCAGTTACGAGAGAACTAGTAAGATGGGAGCTGTTAGCAATTAACATTCCATCTATTAGGAAACAAGCAGGAGACAGTACTTTGTCTCCAACTCTTTCTGAACTCAGGATTTCCCTGTGTGGGTTCCGCTTCTCTCACTGGTGCCTCAGGCACAGAAGCTGAGGGGCTTTATGGCAGGCTTGGATAAGGGGATTTGACACCAGCATCCCAAGTCCAGGCATCACGGGAGGGAGATGCAGGACTGAGACTAGAGAAGTGGCTAGAAACAAGCTAAGAGGAACTGAAGAGAGAGGACATGAAGAACTAGAGAATGAATGAAACAGTTGTGAAACAAGGCAAGAAGGTCTATGCTCCAGCATTCATGACTAAGTTTTGAAGCACATCTTCAGGTAAGAAGTTTATTTTTTTTTAACTTACTGAATAATATAAAATATCTGCAGAGCCAAAAATAAACAGCAAAGGCTCAGTTCCCTGGCTGCGTAATTCAATCACTCAAAAATACTTATAGAGAGCCCACTAGGTGCCAGGAATTATTGTAGACACTAAGGACAGAATGATAAATAAGACAGATAAGTTCCTACTTCTATGGAACTTACAATAAAGGGAAGCAAAAAACAAATAAACAAGGAGCTGCACATCATATATCATCAGGGAAATGCAAATTAAAACATCAATGGGATACTACTACAAATGTCACAGAGTGGCCAAATTCCAGAACACTAACAACACCAAATGTTAACAAGCATGTAGGGGAACTCTGTTGATTGCTGGTGGAAATGCAAATGGTTCACACACTTTAGAAGACAGTTTGGCAGTTTCTTGTAAAATTAAACATACTCTTCCCGTATGATCCAGCAATCATACTCCTTGGAGTTTACCTGAAGGAGTTGAAAATTTATGTCTGCACAAAAACCCATACATGGATGAAATTTATACATACATAGCAGCTTTATTCATAGTTGCCAAAACGTGGAAGCAACCAAGTTGTCCTTCGGTAGGTGAATGGATAAGCAAACTGTGGTACATCCAGATAATGGGATATTATTCAGTACCAAAAAGAAATGAGCTATCAAGCCACAGAAAATATATGGGGAAACTTAAATACATGTTACCTAGTGAAACAGCCAATCTGAAAAGGTTATGTACTATATGATTCCAACTATATGACATTCTGGAAAAGACAAAACTGTGGAGACAGTGAAAAGATCAGTGGTGGCCAAGGGTTGCAGGCGAGAGAGGGATGAATAAACAGAATAGATTTTTAGGGCCAGGAAACTACTATATATGATACTTTAATAGTGGATACATGTCATTATACATTTGTCCAAACCCATAAAATGTACACCACCAAGAGTGAACCCTCATGTAAACTGTGGACTCTGGATGATAATTATGTGTCAATGGAGGATCATCAGTTATAACAAATGTACCGCTAGTGGGTGATGTTGATAATGGGGGAGGCTATGCAAGTGTGGGGGCACGAGGGTTATGGGAAATTTCTGTACCTTCCTCTCAATTTTGCAGTGAACCTAAAACTGCTCTAAAATAATAAAGTCTATTTTAAAAAATAAACAAGGAATATTAGTTTGCTAGGGCTGCCATTACAAAATACCACAGACTGGGTGGCTCAGAACCATGAGAAAATAAATTCAAGAACAAAGTGTATCTTCTCACAGTTCTGGAGGCTAGAAGTCCAAGATCAAGGTGCTGTCAGGATTGATGTCTCCTGAGGCCTCTCTTCCTGGCTTACAGATGGCTCCTTCTTACTTTGTCTTTCCTCTGTATATGTCTGTATCCTAATCTCTTCTTCTGAGGAATCTAGTCATACTGGATTGGGGCCCAGCCATATGACCTCATTTTACCTTAATCACCTCTTTAAAAGCCCTACATCCAAATATTGTCACCTCCTGAAGCAATAGAGGTTAAGGTTTCAACAAGAATTTGGAGGAAGACACAATTCAGCCCTTAAAACAAGGCAATTTCACATAGTGACAAAGTGATATGGTACGGCTGAGCTCCCCACTAAACCCCACCCTTAAGCCTGGAACCTCGGCCCTAAGTAAAAACAGCTGACCCCATTTTTCCGCCCAAATGTTGTTTTTTTCGCCTGCCATGCCCTTATCCTGTGCCCATAAAAGGACTCAGCTGGCAGAGCAACACAAGCAGCTGAGCGTTGAGGATACAAGCTGCTGAGTGTCGGGGATACAGGTGGCTGAGTGGTAAGCAGAGAAGCAGCAACAAGAGTGTTGGAGACTACAGATAGATGCGACTAACTTCAGACGGTGCAGCTTCAAGGAAAGATCACCTTCTTTCTGCACCATCCCCTTTCCAACTCCCCATCCCACTGAGAGCCACTTTTATCGACCAATAAAATCCTCTGCGCATACACCGCCCTTCAATCCATTTATATGACCTGATTCTGCCTGGATGCCGGACAAGAACCAGGGTGCCAAGAGGACAGGGACTCGGATGCCACTGCAGGGCCCACACAAAGCCTGTTTTTGCCAGAGAGGAGCAACCAGCTAGTTCCAGCATTCAGCAGGCTGAGTGAAACAAGCCACGCCAGTTCCTGCCCAAAAAGGGGGTCAATGTCAAGGGAACAATCCCATCTCAAAAGGACAAAAGTAATGAAGAAATAAGGGGATTTCATGGTGATTGCCAGGGCTCTTCAGATTGGGTGGTTAAAGGCACCTTATGGACAGGTGATCTGAGCTAAGACCTTACTGACAGGAGCAGCCAGTGGGGAAATCTTGCATAGGAGCAATCCAGACAGAGGCAGTGGGAACCTGAAAGAGAAAGGCTGCAAGGTGGGACTATGCTTCTAAATTCAAGGAATAACAAGAAGGCCAGTGTGGATGAAGCATAATGAACAAAAGGAAGGCGCAGGCCATAAGACTGAAAAGTTAGCAAGGGACAGATCATATAGGGCCCATATCCTATTCCCGTGGTAAGGAGGGCAAGTTTTAGGCTAAGAGTAGTGGGAAACATTTCAGGGATTTGAGAAGGGAGTAGCGTAATCTTATTGGTTGTCATCTTTAATAAGAGAAAGGACATGAGCTAAACAATGGAACAAATACAAATTTGTATGTATAACTGGAAAAAGCCTTCTCAAACTCCTAGTGTGTCAGTAGTGTCTGCATTGCGCGACAAGGCAGGAAGATGGGCACATGGCCATGGGAGGATATAAAGGATTACATATTACTGAAGATTTAACCCCCAAGCAAGAAAGTCAAAGTCCTGATGGAGAATGAGAGGTGGAAGGTTTTGCTGTAAGTATGCTGAGATCTGGGACAGGAAATGCCTCCAGGTCACTTCAAGGAAAGCAACTTGAAAAAAATATGAGAAACTGGCAATCATCAGCCAGAGGAGATCCTTAGGTAGGAAGGCAAACTTCCTGACTAAAGGCAGTTCTTTTCCATTGTTTTGTTAACAACTTTCTGTATGTAGTTCAAAGGCACCTAGTGGACTGTGGATTGATGGATGAGACCAATTTCCGTAGCACCTCTCTGGAGCAGGAGAGAAGCCAAAAATGACAACTCACTGTTTGTAGATTTCACAACTGCTAGTTGTGACCCTGCCTAGCTTAGCATCACATCACTACCCAGGGAGGTGAGATAGAGAAGAGAATCAACCTTGTTTTCCTACTGTGTGTCAGGCATAATGCTGGGTGCAAAACTGCCTCAGTCAAGCCACTTATCCCCTGAAATGTAGATACATTTTATTCTTGTTATTCATGATAGTTACGTTCCAAAAAGTCACTGGAAGCGCTGAATTGGCCAATGCTGGATCATTACTCCTAGGAGAAATACAGGGTTAGGTTTCCGGGACCCTCTGGTCACATTTCATCAACTGATTAATACGTAACCTTGCTTTATGTGTATTTGTTTAAAGACTTCCTATTTAATCTCTATTATTAGTTAACTACCATTGAACTCATAGCCAACTGCACTATAACTCATTCCTGAATGAAGCTTATCAACACATGCATTCTTGTAACTGCCCAGTGGGTTCTCCTTGCCAGCTGCCCAGATACAGCTGATTTATCAAGATAAAGGAATTGCAATTGAGAAAGAGTTTAATTCACACAGAGTTGGCTGAATGGAAGACTGGAGTATTATTATGCAAATCAGTCTTCCTGAAAATTCAGAGGCTAGGGTTTTTTCAAGAATAATTTGGTGGGCCAGAGAGTGGGTGCTGCTGATGGGTTTGTGATGCAATCATAGAGGTGTGGAAAATGGTCCTTGTGAGTGCTCAATTCACTTCTGGGTAGGGACACCACCTGGGTGGGGCCACAGGCAGGTTCAGGTGGAGACATTGGTCATCAGAAATGCAAAAACCTGAAAAGACATCACAAAAGGCCAATCTTAGGTTCTATAAGACAGATGTTATCTGCAAGAGTAATTGGGGAAGTTGCAAATCTTCTGGAGGTTACTCCAGAATAATGGTTTATAATCCTTTATGTCTACACCTTAGCAGAATTTAGGCTCCTCTCATTCTCCTAACCTGGTGGTCTTTCATTAGCTTTACAAAGGGTGGTTTAGTTTTGGGGAATGGCTATTATTTAAACTATAAACTAAATGTTCCCAAGGTTAGCTTGTCCCAAGCCCAAGGAATGATTTAGGGCAGTTTGGAGGTTAAAAGCAAGATGAGGGTTAGTTAGATCAGATTTCTTTCACTGTTGTAATTTTCTCACTGTTATTTTGCAAAGGTGGTTTCATTTTCTCCATAAGGCATATCACAGCTTTCTTACAATTAAGCACCCTAGACAGCACTTTAGCACTACACGTGGGCGCCACTTTAAACAGCAAAATCACCAACAAAACGCACAAAGATGCAAAAGTTGTGTCACTAGACAGACTACAAAAAGGAAATTATTTGTTTACAGCATGAGTTGAATGAAGAAGGCAGAATGGCGCCTTGTTCAGCCGCAGCTGAGAATGTGTGCATCGAGTGACTCAAAATTTTCACCATAGATGACTATAAAAGCTGCATGTATTCATCAGGGTTCTCCAGAGAAGCAGAACTGTTACAGTATGTAGCTAGTCAGTCATGAGCAGGGCAGAAGAGGGCCACCCCTGAACCAGGAATGTCAGGCGACTATCAGGTGATAGTCAGGTGGTTGTTACACTGTTTCTCTAAAATAATAATTGGTCAACATGGTGTCAAGGAAAGGCAGTCTCCCAACAGATAGAAAAAAACCTGAAACTGGTTATCAGCAGCTTCCCAATAAGATCTCAGGAGTTGGGTGAGTGGGCTCAAGCATGCTTATTAAGAGGCAAAATTGTGAAGTTTAACTGTTAAATGTCCTTCTAGGAGCATTCAACTGGTAAGGGAAGAAGGCCTCAAGTGAGCATGCATACAACTCCAATAAACACACTGCAAGTGCAGCCCCACCCAAGTGCTAGCAGGCACTACGCATGCAGACAGCCCACCTCAAGGGAAGAATCGGGAGAAGGGATGCAAGACCTCGGAAGTATGCCAACATACAAAACCCCAAGTCAAAGGTCAGACCAGGCACTTGATCTCTCAAGTTGCCCGCTTGGCCATCTTCCAAGTAACTTTCATTCTTGCGCTAAAACTTTTAAATAAACTTCACTCCTGCTCTAAAAAACTTGCCTTGGTCTTTCATTCTGCCTTATGCCCCCGCAGTCAAATTCTTTCTTCTGAGAAGGCAAGAATTGAGGGTGCTGCAGGCCTGTACAGATTTGCCGACAGTAACAGAACCAATAAAATACGTGTGTGTGTGTGTGTGTGTGTGTGTGTGTGTGTGTGTGTGCAGAGAGAAGGAGAGAAAGGGAGGGAAGGAGAGAGAGATTTATTATGGGGATTGGTTCACACCAAGATGATGGAGGCCGAGAAGTCCCAAGATCTTCGGTTACAAACTGTAAAACCAGGAGAGTTGATGGTACAGTTCCAGTCTAAGTCCAAAGACCTGAGAGGTAGGAGAGCTGTTGGTGTACTTTCCAGTCCCAGTTTGGTTCTAAGGGCAGGAGAAGACCAATGTCCCAGCTCAAAGACAGTCAAGTAGAGAGAGACCAAATTCTTCCTTTCTCAGACTTTCTTGTTCAATTCAAGCCTTTAAGAATTAAATGAGGCCCACTCACACTGGGAAGGACAATCTACTTTACTCAGCCTACAGATTCAAATGTTAATCTCATTCAAAGACATCTTCACAGATACACCAAGAATATAGCTTAACTAAAGCACCCTGTATGTAACCTAAGCACCCTGTAGCCTAAGCACCCTGTAGCCCAGTTAAAATTGACACATAAAATTAACCATCACAGGCTTTGAGTATTGATTCTTGGTTTGCAAATAAATTTTAGAGAGTAGGTGAATTCACAAATATGGAATCCAGCAATCATAAGGATCAAGAGTATCATCATTCATCAGTGGTGTGATGGAAGCAGCTCATACCAGCTTGCATGGGCTGATTGTTATATTTTCTGAAATTTTGCAAGCTGATCATTAAACAGCCATTTTAAAAAATTAAATAAACTTACAAATTAAAATTATATTTTAAAATATAGGTAATATGACCAGGCACAGTGGCTCTCACCTGTAATCCCAGCACTTTGGGAGGCCGAGGCAGAAGGATTGCTTAAGCCCAGGGGTTGGAGACTAGCCTGTACAACATGGTGAAACCCTGTCTCTATCAAAAAAAAAAAAAAAAAAAAATTAGCTAGTCATGGTGGCACACACCTGTAGTCCTAGTTACTTGGGAGGCTGAGATGGGAGGATTGCTTGAGCCTGGGAGGTCAAGGCTGCAGTGAGGTGTGATTACACCACTGCACTCCAGCTTGGGCACAGAGCGAGACCCTGTCTCAAAAAAATACATATTTACAGGTAATAAATACCCAAAAACATCAACTTTAATGATTTCCCTACATTCAACTATCTATGCTCTTGAAGTTATTTACATCTATTGTATTTGTATGAGGGATACAAGTGTGTATTTGTATGTGCTGTTGTGCATTTCTTCACAAATCTGTGTTCAGGGACATTACTTTCCTAGACCATGTATTTAATAACTGTATAATTAGCAACAAAAGCTGCAAATTAGGGCTTTCTTATTTATTTATTTATTCATTTATGATGAGCCAGTTGGCAAACACTCCCCAGCACAGTAAAGATTTGACCCCAGACCGGAGTGATTCCAAAACTTACACGTACTCATTCTGGTTCATTACACAGATTCCAGTGTTTGCATTTGTTTCTGAAGATGTGGGCTGCCAAGATTTCTACTGCATTTCAAATTCTCCATTGGCTTTTTTTTTTAATCTACCTCCGTTAATTTTTCTTACAGATCTAGTTTTTCCTCCTGTAGTTTTCATCTCTATCTTCCCTCTTTTTGGCGTCATATTGTATAGTCCTTTCAACTATATTGGAAGCTTTTCTTGGGGAAGACCCCCAATAAATCAAATACATCAATAACTGAACTCAATTTTTCAAGTTCACTGTATCAGTCTAATTCACAAAGGGCACATCTCCTTCCTCAGTCTAACCCTGGGAACTTGCAAGGGCAAACATAACCCAGAACACAGGTTCAAAAAGAACCAGTACAAGCAATTCAGTCATTCAATACATTGCAGACTGAAGAATGGAAGCGATCTAGGTAGTAACGCTAGTTTTTTAGGGATCTGGGTTTTAAGAATGGGCTGAAAGACTCATAGGGAAAAAGTCCCAGGGGTGGGTAGTAGGTGAGGGATGAAATGCTACAAAGCGAGTTTATTTTCTGTAACTTGAGTTATAGGAAATAAAAGAGCAGTTCCCAGCCCTCCTCTTTTTGAGTCATAGCTGTTAATTTGATTCATCAGGACTGAACTCTTGGCTCTGGCCAAAGTTCCTGACCCAGAGTGCTAGTTACTGTCTGGCAAGCCATCAAGCAATCCTATGTTAGATTTCAGACTAATTGGAGCTATGTCACCAAAGATGAGTTCAAAAGGGTCCCTAGAGTTTTTAAGAGCAAAGAGTATTGTTTTTCTCTCAGCTGAGGGTACTAGATGGTACATAGAACTGAGCCCTGATGTACTACACTTCTAGTGCTGCCATTTCTTAGTTGTATCACTTAGAAGTCATTTCTGAGGAGTTATAAAATAGTTTGCACTATGCTAACCAGTAGTTTACACTATGCTACATGTACCAAATTGTTTACCCACAGAGCCAGAACACTAATGAAAGCAGTAAAATGCACATCAACATTAAGTCAATAAATGTATTGAGCACCAATCGTTCGAGACATTATGTTAGGCTTTGTGAGGAGTATGAGGAAGTCAGGGGCAAAGCTGCTGCATTGAAGGGGGTCTCAATACAGTTAGGGAGGTAGGCCACAGGCAGAAGTTATTAGCTCTAAAGATTTTTTTTTTTTTTTAAGACAGAGTCTCACTCTGTTGCCCAGGCTGGAGTGCAGTGGCACGGGATCTCAGCTCACTGCAACCTCTGCCTCCCAGGTTCAAGTGATTCTCGTGCCTCAGCCTCCTGAGTAGCTGGAATTACAGGTGCATGCCACCACACCCAGCTAATTTTTTTGTATTTTTAGTAGAGATGGGGTTTCACCATATTGGCCAGGCTGGTCTTGAACTCCTGGCCTCAAGTGATCCACCTGCCTCGGCCTCCCAAAGTGCTAGGATTACAGGCATAAGCCACTGCACACGGCCAGCAAAAGGCTTTTAAAAATAAAAATAAAATCTATAGATATAAGACATTGGTATCATCGTTATATCAAATATGTTGTGAGAATAGTAATTGCCAGAAAAGTTCAGAGGAGAGAGAGGTTGTGTTATAGTAGTCAGGCAGACATCAGCAGGCCAGGAGAGGGCTGCACGCCCAACCAGGAATGTCAGACGACCATCAAGTGATGGTCAGGTGGTTGTTACACTGTTACAATCATTATTTCTCTAAAACAATAATTAGTCACAGCCAGCACGAGGGAAAGGCAATCTCCCGACAGACAGAAAAAACCTGAAACTGGTTATCAGCAGCGTCCCAATAAGATCTCAGGTGTTAGGTAAGTGGGCTCAAGCATGCGCACTATGAGGCAAAATGGGGGAGTTTAACTGGTATATGACCTTCCTCTAGGAACGTTAGATTGGTAATAGAAGAACGTCTCAAGTGAGCATGCGTATAACTCCCGTAAACACACTGCGCATGCAGCCCTTCCCAAGCACTGGTAGGGCACTGGGCATGCAGACAGCCCACCAGAAGGGAAGAATCAGGAGAAAAGGGATGCAAGATCCCAGAGGTATGCCAATATATAAAACCCTAAGGCAAAGGTCAAGCCAGCCACTTGATCCCTCAAGTGGCCAGCTTGGCCCTCCTCGAAGTGTACTTTACTTCCTTTCGTTCCTGCCCTAAAACCTTTTAGTAAACTTTCACTCTTGCTCTAAAACTTGCCTCAGTCTCTCAGTCTGCCTTATTTTTCCTCGGTCAAATTCTTCCCTGCCTCCCCCCTCCTCCAGAGTAGCTGGGACTACAGGCGCCCGCCATCACACCTGGCTAATTTTTTGTATTTTTAGTAGAGACGGGGTTTCACCATGTTGTTCAGGCTGGTCTCGAATGCCTGACCTCAAGTGATCCACCTGCCTCAACCTTCCAAAGTTCTGGGATTACAGGCGTGAGCCACCACACCCGGCCCCAAATTCTTTCTTCTAAGGAGCTAAGAATTGAGTTCGCTGCGGACCCATAAGGATTCGCTGCTCGTAACAGCTGCTTCTGGGATCAGGTAAGAAAAGGTTTCAAGCAGAAAGCTAGGAAGAATGAATAGTATTTGAATGAGTCAAGTGGAAAGAGGAAAGGCATTTGAGACAAAGGGCATAGCGTGAAGCAGTGAGGCAGCCTCCACCCCACTTCCTACCACCTGTTCTCCCCCTTAGTGGCCTGACCTTGACCTTCCACTCCATCCTCATCCCTCCCCATGGGCACTGTCTCAGAATGTGCCATGCCTGTGACAGCTCCAGGACTCTGGCCATACTGCTTACACTGCCACAGAGACCTCTTTCCTCTTCTTCTTCATGTCGCTAACTCTTACTTGGCCTTGAAGACTAATTTGTGTTAGAAGTTAGTCTTCCCAGAAAGCCTTAGCCTTTGGGAATTTGGTGCTCTTCCTTGAGAAGAAAAGGTACAACCATTTAACTCCATCAGAACACTTATCACACGGCCTTCCCCACTGGACTCAATGGAAGCATCTTGAGGGCAAAGGCCTTACCTTTTATAGCTGATCCTTATCAGCCACAGTGTCCACTACACAGCAGGTGCCCAATAAATTCCTGTAGAATGAATATGCATTTACAGAAAGAGGAGCTGTGAGAAGATGCCTCAGTTTTTGGAAAGGAAAAATGGGTTGATTTTTACATTTTGAATTTAAGCTGATGAGAGTCCTTTCATGTGGACATGTCTAACAAAAATTGGAAGTAGAAGACTGAAACTGGAGGCTGTTGTGATTTTCATTTTTTTTAATTTTTTTCAGATAAACTGAAGCACAAGAGGGTAAAAACTTTGTCCTTGGTCTTACAGCCAGAAAGTGGTGATGCAAAGAACTTAGTCCAAGCTTTGATCTGTTCTGCACTGCCTGCCAAAGCAGAACCTTGAGAAATACCCATGTTTGGGGGATGAGAAGAAGAAGATAAATCAGCAAAGAAAATAGTGATAAGAAAGGTAAGTGATAAGAAAAAAAAAATGATGTAAATAGTAACGATGACAGCCAGGCTTGGTGGTTTATACCTGTAATTCAAGCACATTGGGAGGCCAAGGCAGGAGAAATGCTTGAGCCCAGGAGTTCAAGGCTGCAGTGAGCTATGATGGTGCCACTTGCACTCCAGCCAGAGTGACAGAGTAAGATCCTACCTCAAAAAAAAAAAAAAAAAGATGATGATATTGATGACTTTTTCTTCTTCCTTTTTCTTTTTCCATTCCTTTCCCTTCTCTTCCTGAACTGTTCAGTCCCTAAACCTCAAATAGGACAGAGCAGAGCAGATATCTCTGCTAGGTGAGGGAATCACTGTGGCCCGGAGTGGAATGATGGGAGCCAAATTGGGCATGGAGATGTCTGCCCAGGAGGACAGTGCAGCTGGCAGAATCGTAGCCCAAGGTGGGGGTGAAGAGGAATCCACACAAGGTGGGAGTGAGGAGTTGGAGGAGGAAGCATGAAGAATCAAAGCCCAAGCAGGGTGATGAGGCCATCCCTGCAGAGGGGCAGCCTGGCATGAGAAGCCAGAGCATGGAAAGTCAGAGTGGAAGCAGTGGGAGATGGGTTACATAGGGGAGGATTGATCAAAGGCGTAAATATATTAACAATAAGGGGAGCCAGTTTCTCACTGCTGGAAAAGGGAGGTGTAAATATGGAGGAAGAGAAAACCGAATGAACTTAGTAGTATTGGATTAAAATTGTAAGTATCCATGTATGGTTTTTAATAAGTAGATATCAAAATGAACACAGATGTTAAGTGTGTATATGCATTTACCTGTGAGTATGTGTGCGTATACACACACACAGATAAAAAGATAGATAGATAGATAGATAGATAGATAGATAGATAGATAGATGATAGATATTTCATAACTGTCCACCTCAGAGCCTAGAGTCAATGCCTCCTCAGTAGCTCCTCCTGAGCACACCTAGCACCCCAGGTCTTGGTTTCTAAATCCATCCTAAACCCATTCTCCACTAAAGGAACCAGGGCTCCTTGAAGAAGTAGCTGAACCAAGAGGTGGGCAGGGAAAGCAAAGGCTGGGTGTGGAACATCTTTTTGGGCCAGAAAGCAAAGTAGTACTTAAAGAATGATGGGAAAATGTTATGAGGACATAGAACCAACTAAAATCTAGGATATTTTGTGCCTTAAAATTAATAAGCTGGTGTATTAGTTTGTTCTCACGCTGCTAATGAAGACATACCTGAGACTGGGTAATGTATAAAGGAAAGAGGTTTAATAGGCTCACAGTTCCACATGGATGGGGAGACCTCATAACCATGGCCGAAGGCAAAAGGCATATCTTACGTGGCTGCAGGCAAGAGGGCTTGTATAGGGGAACTCCCCTTTATAAAACCATCAGATCTCATGAGACTTATTCACTGTCATGAGAACAGCACAAGAAGCACCTGCCCCAATAACTCAATTAACTCCCACTGGGTCCCTCCCACAACATGTGGAGATTGTTACAATTCAAGGTGAGATTTGGGTGGGGACAGAGATCCAAACCGTATCAGCTGGAGTGTGCCTCCTATTGATTAAACAAGTCATGAGCCCAGCCCAGATTCAAAAAGAGGGTATGAAGTGGAGGTGCGGTTAATTGGGAGGCTACTACTATCACAACCAATGCCATGGAAAATCAAATATATTAGGAAAAGTAGAAGTTGCTAGTAACCTTGGGAAGCTGAAACTGCTTAAAGTAGCTGGTACAAACTGAAAGTCAGACCGAGAAACAAAGGGCCTTCAAGAAGCTTTCTGAACCATTCTGCCAGCTCTGAGCGTATTTTCTGAACCAGTACTTGGAAAAACTGGTCTCATAAAAGAGCTTATGAGAGCAGAACCACCTCACTGGGGCACCCACAGGCCGTGGGAAATATGATGCTTTCTTAATGCCGCTGGTTTTTAGTCAGGCCACAGTGAGAAGGAACAGTCCTAACAGGCCCCCAGCCAGATCGAGTTAGCTCATTCTTGTTTTAGTCAAGCAGTAAAATTTGCTAATGTTCTACTTTAAGTGCTTTCTCCAAAGACATCGCTCTTTGCCTCGTGTGTTGAACCATCATTCAGTGAGTATATTTCATGGAAAATATGATTGATTGTCTTTTGTAGCAATAATAACATGCTATGGCAACTTTGCCATAAAGATAATACTAGTAATAAATTATAATGCATTGAATAAAATGGGAAACTATGAGTTCATATGATAAAATTAATATATAATAAACTGAAAATGTGATGAGGAGAAAGGTGTTTGCCTAGTTTCAAGGTGTACGTCACCACAAAATATTTACTAACTTCAAAGGTTAAAGTAGTGACTCTACAGCGAAGCAGCCTGGCAGACACCATCCTAATCAGGTGAACACCATCAGTAATGGGGCAAATGAAATGAGTCACGTGAATGAATGCAATAAAGATCACAGCATCACTTCTGTGATTTTCCTGCCAAAGATACGAAACCTGAATCTGATCATGAGCAAACATCAGATAAGTCCAAATTGAAGGACGTTACATAAAATAATTAACTGGTCATCTTCAAGTCTGTCAATGGCAGGAAAGCCAAGGAGGAGCTAAGAACTGTTCCAGAGTGGAAACTAAAGAAACATAGTGACTGAATGCCAGGCACAATACTGAACTGGATCCTGTTGCTATGGGGAACTTAGGCAGGACAATTGGTGGAACTCAGGGTTAGATAGTAGTGATGAATCCATTTCAATTTCCTGCTTTTGATGGTTGTATTTTGGTTTTGTTGGAGAACATCCTTGTTTGAAGGAAATGCACACTAAAATATTAGAAGGTGAAGGAGCATTAGATTGGCAACTTATTCAGGACAGAAGGAAAAAAATCCTTGTAACGAACTTGCAATTTGTTTGTAACTTTGAGAGTATTTTTAATCAATATATTTGTTTTCTTTTTTTAAATTTTATTATTATTACACTTTAAGTTTTAGGGTACATGTCACAATGTGCAGGTTTGTTACCTATGTATACATGTGCCATGTTGGTGTGCTGCACCCATTAACTCATCATTTAACATTAGGTATATCTCCTAATGCTATCCCTCCCTGCTTTCCCCACCCCACAACAGTCCCCAGTGTGTGATGTTCCCCTTCCTCTGTCCATGTGTTCTCATTGTTCAATTCCCACCTGTGAGTGAGAACATGCGGTGTTTGGTTTTTTGTCCTTGCAATAGTTTGCTGAGAATGATGGTTTCCAGTTTCATCCATGTCCCTATAAAGGACATGAACTCATCCCTTTTTATGGCTGCATAGTATTCCATGGTGTATATGTGCCACATTTTCTTAATCCAGTCTATCATTGTTGGACATTTGGGTTGGTTCCAAGTCTTTGCTATTGTGAATAGTGCCACAATAAACATACGTGTGCTTTGTGTTTATAGCAGCATGATTTATAATCCTTTGGGTATATACCCAGTAATGGCATGGCTGGGTCAAATAGTATTTCTAGTTCTAGATCCCTGAGGAATTGCCACACTGTCTTCCACAATGGTTGAACTAGTTTACAGTCCCACCAACAGTGTAAAAGTGTTCCTATTTCTCCACATCCTCTCCAGCACCTGTTGTTTCCTGACTTTTTAATGATCACCATTCTAACTGGTGTGAGATGGTATCTCATTGTGGTTTTGATTTGCATTTCTCTGATGGCCAGTGACGGTTTTTTTCATGTGTTTTTTGGCTGCATAAATGTCTTCTTTTGACAAGTGTCTGTTCATATCCTTCACCCACTTTTTGATGGGGTTGTTCTTTTCTTGTAAATTTGTTTGAGTTCATTATAGATTCTGGATATTAGCCCTTCGTCAGATGAGTAGGTGGCAAAAATTTTCTCCCATTGTGTAGGTTGCCTGTTCACTCTGATGGTAGTTTCTTTTGCTGTGCAGAAGCTCTTGAGTTTAATTAGATCCCATTTGTCAATTTTGGCTTTTGTTGCCATTGCTTTTGGTGTTTTAGACATGAAGTCCTTGCCCATGCCTATGTCCTGAATGGTATTGCCTAGGTTTTCTTCTAGGGTTTTTATGGTTTTAGGTCTAACATGTAAGTCTTTAATCCATCTTGAATTAATTTTTGTAAATATATTTGTTTTCAAAATCTTAATGTCCTAAGTAAAATTTTCAGATCTCTAGATGCAAAATGTTTATTCTTTTAAAATGAGGATGCCATCTATGACTTTCAAGAGTCATAAAGTGTTACAAGTGACTCAAATTATCAAAGGAAAAATTTAGTGAAAGAAAAAAATGCATTAAATAAAACTTCTTGAGAATTCTAAATTGTTTGGTGTAGTCATGTGAGTTTTGTAAGTTTTTGAATTAGAATAGTTTTATTTTTTAGTGTTTTGTATGTATAATATAAAATTATCTTTATTTTATTTTATTTTTTGAGATGGAGTCCCGCTCTGTCACCCAGGCTGGAGTGCAGTGGTGCGATCTTGACTCACTGCAACCTCTGTCTCCCGGATTCAAGTAATTCTTCTGCCTCAGGCTCCTGAGTAGCTGGGACTACAGGTGCTTAACACCACACTCAGCTAATTTTTTGTTTGTTTGTTTGTTTTGTTTTGTTTTTTGTATTTTTAGTAGAGACACAGTTTTCGCCATGTTGCTCAGGCTAGTCTGAACTCCTGACCTCAGGTGATCCACCTGCCTCGGCCTCCGAAAGTGCTGGGATTATAGCCAGCATACCTGGCCATAAAATTATCTTTAATATCTTTATTCTGCAAAAAATAAAGTGATCCCAATAACAGTAATAATAGTAAATGTTTATTAAACAGTCGTTATGTATACTCTGCTGTGAAATATATGGTATTACTTCCATTTACATAACAGGAAACTGAAACTCAAAGGGGCTAAGAAATTTCTCCCAAAGTTAGCATACTAATTTGTAGTGTGGCCAACTTTTGACTTTTCAACACTCCAAAGCCTATATCATTAACTCCTGTTCTTTAGTCCCTCCCATGGAAGCCATAGAGAATGGAATTTTGAGGAAGATACCAGAAACTTGGGCTTCGTTCTAGATTCCTCCCACTCCCTCATTACTTATCCTTAATCCAGTCCATCACCCAGTCTTGCTGGTTCCATTTTAAAACTCTACCACTGCCACCTGGGTTAGTTAAGGCCTCACCATTTTTCTCCTGGTTCCTGGCAACAGCCTCCCCACTCTTCCTAATCCTTATCTCAGTTCTCTTTAGAGTTTCTACACTACCATCAGAATGAAGAGTCTAAAACTAAAATCTAAATATTGGCCAGGCGCCATGGCTCACACCTGTAATCCCAGCACTTTGGAAGGCTGAGGTGGGTGGATTGCTTGAGCCCAGGAGCTTTGAAACCAGCCTGGGCAATATGGTGAAACCTCATCTCTACAAAAAATAAAAAATAAATTAGCTGGGCCCGGTGGCACACACCTTTAGCTCTAACTGCTTGGAAGGCTGAGGCGGGAAGATTGCTTGAGTTTGGGAGGCAGAGGTTGCAGTGAGCCAAGATCGTGTCACTGCACTCCAGCCTGAGTGACAGAGTGAGACCCTGTCTCAAAAAAGAAAACAAAACAAAATCTAAATATCACAAATATGCGTAAGTTCCTATGTGGAGAGAAAAAAGACCCTTTTGTGACTCTATTTACCTTTTGGTTAAAGTTAAAACATGGCACTGGAGTCATCCCATTATCTGGCCTCTGAGTATCTTCCAAGCCTCATGAACTATAAGGTCCCATGCAAACTGTGTGCTCAAAGCATTCTTGAGAGATTTATAATTTTCTGGATACAACAGAATAGTTTCTGTTACGTAAACACAGCTGATACATGCATATCAAGTGTCAGCAAGTGTGACTATCTCTTACCAGCATTTTCTGTGTTTCCCTTCATTCCCAACTAGGCTGAGTTGGATACCTCTTTGTAATTCCCATTACATTTCTGTAAAGACCTCTTCTATATCATATCTTCATAATCTGTCTATCATATCTATCATAATCTTCATAATCTGTCATAGAGTAATATAACCTTCCTTCATCAAACTGCTGTCCTTGAAAGAAGGGATTGGCACTTGTTCCTCCTTGGATCTCTCGTTAATGCCTGGAACAAAGATGGTGCTTCATAAGACATCCCGGAATGAATGAGTGAATGGATGAATACACATGAATGAATTATCAATTGTGTAAAATGCTACAGAGAGGCAAAATGAAAGAACTCGTGTTTTTCAGTAGAACCATTTCAGAAGAGTTGTGAGAGGAGCTGACTTACAGATTAAAGAATTTGAGTAAGAAGACAAAAGGGATGATTTTTTTTTTTTTTTTGAGATGGAGTCTCGCTCTGTTGCCCAGGCTGGAGTGCAGTGGCACGATCTCAGCTCACTGCAAGCTCCGCCTCCCAGGTTCGCACCATTCTCCTGCCTCAGCCTCCTGAGTAGCTGGGACTACAGGTGCCCGCCACCGCGCCTGGCTAATTTTTTGTGTTTTTACTAGAGACGGGGTTTCACTGTGTTAGCCAGGATGGTCTTGATCTCCTGACCTTGTGATCCACCTGCCTCGGCCTCCCAAAGTGCTAGGCTTACAGGCGTGAGCTACCACGCCCAGCCCAGCGGATGATTTTTAACAAGTACTCAGAGGGCTGTTTGACTGAACCTAAGTTCGAGTGGACAGGGTGCCCTCAGTCTCAGGGGTGTAAAATGGCTTAAAAAAATTAACATATACTTTTTAAAAAATTCATATGGGATCTTACCATGTTGCCTAGGCAGGTCTCAAACTCCTGGGCTCAAGGGATCCTCCTGCCTCAGCCTCCTGAGTAGCTGGGATTGCAGGTGTGCCACTGCACCTGGCTCTTAGTAAATACTTTTTAACAGGTATTGCAGGCACAGCATATAAAATTTCAAAAGTGCAAAAGGAAATCCAGTAAAGAGTAAAGCTCTATCACTTCCCACACCCATCCACCAGCCTCTCAGTTGCTGTCACAGGAAAAAATCACAATAAATAACCATTTGGCATGCTTTTGTTTCTTCTCTAAGACTCCATCTCCATAACCTGGCAATGATTTATAGGAAATAACTATAAATCCATTACTTATAAAGTGTAGAGGGGACCAAGGTGGAAAAGATGAATAAATCCCACTGTTGGCACTTTATTTACATATGCAGAAATGCCCAACTCATAATGTGCCCTGGAGACTAAAACGACTCTATACTAGACATTCTAGTGTACATTTAAATTGAGATTTGTAAGACTGATTGCAGATGAGCTTAATGGAAGTAATGGCACATAAATATTAACACAGGTGATTAAATGAAGATATAATGTAATTTGAACAAATCTGCATTTGTAAAATGTCCTTGTTCTCATGCTTTCCTTTGGAAGTTAAAGCCATAGATCACAGCTATAGGATGACTTGACTGTTAATTAGTTGTCCATTAGTCTTCATTTCCTAGGGCTTATTGTGGGAAAGTAAATTTATACTAACTTGTTTTATGCAAACTAATCTATTTGGTTTCCTCTTCTTTCTCCATTAACACCTGGAGTTTTAAAATTATATGAAATTTGGACATGCATAATAAAAATTAAACCCTATTACACTGACTATAAGACAGTTTTGCATGTATATAATAAGTTAATTATGACCATTTGGGCTCAGATTTAAAAATTAAGTAATTTCAATGAAGTGTTATGAGGCAAAAAGCTTATTTTGTGCAATTTTTACAACCACAAAGTAATTAGTACAAACAGCATAAAAGTTACCTTAGATGCTACAAATTAGGCTGGCTATTAACAATAACAGCATTAGTGTTTGTCCCCACTGCTTCTGCCACAGTTTAAAGTACTCATAAGTGCTTCTAAGTTGGATAGTTTTTTTTCTTCCATCCTGAGGCTGTGGGCAAAGGCCGAAACCCTTAAAAAATTTTTTTTAAAATATGTGCATTAAGGCAAGGCTTCAGAAATGTATCTTTCAGCTTTGGAGAGATATGGAAATTAAGAAAACTAATCACTGCAATGATCCCAGACTGAAAATAAGAGTAACTTAATCAGAATGAGATTGCTTCTACACTTCCATCTGAGGGTGATTGGTGGAAGTGATGTCATGTATGGTAAACACTGCCATGGCACTCATGTGCATGCAGTGACAACAGGGAACGCTGCTGCTCCTGTCAGCTCAAACAGGCCAAGGACTAGGCGTCGTCCAGGACTCAGAACCGGGAGTTGGCCTTCGGAAGACATGTTAAGGTGTGTCAAGACGTGTCACCCATGTCATAGCTAGTCCTAGGAAGAAAGTGCTCTTGAAGATGTGGCCTGCTGACAGCTAGCTGCTCCCACCTGACCCCTTAACCGCTGGACCCCAGCAGCTTGGCTAAGTACTCCTGCTCACTTGGTCTTCAATACCAGCGGGCCAGCTGCCCCAAGCCCAGGGGCTGTCCCTTTACGGTCATCTTGCTGTGAATATAGCAAAAATTCTCTTAGATGTTCTTGGCAAACTTGTCAGAACTCTGCTCATTCTAGACTCCAGCTCTCCCAAACTTATTCTTAACATTAGGGCACTCTTCGATTTTATTCTCAGTCCCAAGACTCTCCTTACCTCATCTGTTTATATCTTTTAACCAACAAACCTCCAAGAAAGTTCTCTAAGTGGCCCCTTGGGATTCTTGCGGAATCCTACTTCGTTTCCTGCTTGTCAAGGCCATTTTAATCAGTGTCAGAGCCTCCCAAGTGCATTGGAGCCATTTCCCATTTTAGAGTTCCTGCCCAGAAGGTCACACTTATCTTCTGTCTCAGTGTTTTGAACTCTGCTTCCTGATAGCTGAGGATATGGGCCTACCCGTAAACAATATCCCCTGCCTTGCCAAAAAAGAGAAACTTGCGAATGAAGTCACTCTCTCAGTATTTAATTCAATCAAATGAAAGCAATTATTTATTGAACACTTACTTTGCTCCAGATACTTGGCTATGAGGAGCTCACTGAGTACTGTGGGAGGCAGACCATTGAACTCATACTTTTCTTTTCTTTCTTTCTTTTTCTTTTTTCTTTTTTTTTTTTTTTTTTTTTTGGAGACAAGGTCTCTCTCTGTCACCCAGGCTGGATGGAGTGTGGTGGCATGAACACGGCTTATTGCAGCCTCGATTTCCCCAAGCTCAGGTGATCCTCCCACCTCAGCCTCCTGAATAGCTGGGACTACAGGTACGTACCACCATGCCTGACTAGTTTTTTTATTTTTTATTTTTGGTAGAGATGGGGTTTTACCATGTTGCCCAGGCTGGTCTTGAACTCCTGGGCTCAAGCAACCCTTCTGCTACAGCCTCCCAAAGTATTGAGATAACAGGCATGAGCTGCCACACCCAGCCTAAACTAATACTTTCAACACAATAAGATAAACAAAGTAAAAGAGGTGTGTGCAATGGATAGCAGTAGTACAAAGGCAAGAGTTCACTCTCTCTGGGGAAAGCAACACAAGCTAGACTTTGGAAATAAGTAAAAGTCAGCTGGGCCAACATAAAGCTATAAGGACTTCCCACTGGAAGGGACAGCATAAGCAAAATCCTAGAGATACAAAAATAACATGTCATCATCTCAACTGTCAGTTCTTTTTTTAAAATTAAAGTTAGCATAAGTGTTAACCTTAAATTTTTTTTTTTTTTAATGTTGCTTGGTGTGGTGGTTCACTTCTGTAATCCCAGCACTTTGGGAGGCCAAGACAGATGAATCGCTGGAGTTCAGGAGTTTGAGACAAGCTTGGGCAACATGGTGAGACCCTGTCTCTACCTTGTGCCTCTGTTGCCCTGTGGGTATTATAAGGATCAAAATAATACATATCTACCTCAAATGATAACTGTGATGATTAAATAAGTTAATAAGTCATCCCGCAGTATCCATGGGGCATTGGTTTCAGGATACCCCCTCATATCAAAATCCAAAGATATTCAAGTCCCTTATATAAAATAGTGTCATATTTGCATATAACCTACACACATCCTCCCATGTACTTTAAATCATCTCTAGGTAACTCATAATACCTAATGCTATGTAAACGTTATATAAATAGTCATAAATACTTATTTGTATTTTTATTGTTATTTTTAAAATTATTATTTTCAATCTACAGATGCAGAACCCAGGGATATGGAGAGCCAATTGTATTTGTAAAACACTTAGAATGGTGCCTGACACGTGGTATGTCCTTTAAATGTGGGCTCATATTACCATAAAGTATTTAACTAGGTCTCAATTGATGATGTTCATGCTGTTGCCAATTCTTTGCACGCTTTGGCTACTAAAGAAACTTCCAAGGCAAGTTTTGAATTGCCATGAGCTTCTATTACATTTGGGCTCCTTTTTCTTACTAGCTTACCAACACCCAATATTTGTTTGTGAATACTTCATAAATGCGTACTCATGTTGTTAACTCCCCTTAGAGGCAGCACAAAATGTCAAAGTTGGAGTCCAGCAGAGCAGCTTCCAGGCCAGACCCTGGAAGGGAATCCGTTGCAGGTTTTCTTTCTGCAGAGAGGCCATACCAGGAAGGCACATGCTGAGCAGAGACTGAGAAAGAAAGCAGGAAGATTAGGATAGGAGAGGTCAGACAGTAAATCTAACCGGAAGCCAGGCTGGAAAGCAGCCAGAGTATGAGTGCGGGTCAGAAATGTAGGACCAGAGACGAATCTGAGAACAGAGAACTCAAAAGGACTCTTTGTGCATTAAAATTTTCAGAAAGTGTGAATGGCATACCTTCTTGGAGGAGATGCTTCGATCGATCGATCGATCGATAGATAGATAGACAGACAGACAGACAGACAGAAGATAGTTCTTGAGAGAAGAAAAATGGCTTAGAGCAGTCTGAGCTATATGAGGTATGCAAAATTTATCAGGCCCAGAGAGGGGAGTATGGGGCTCAAGTCTTGCTCTGCCTCCTTGAACCCACACCTAGAAGCAATCATGTAAAGGCATCTTGTTCCTGACTAGCTGCCTCATCTGCTATCTTTATGGTCCTGGAATTTGTGATTCACAGAACAGTGTAGAGCCAATCAACAGCTTGTGTTATTTTCATGGAAATTCTTGGCAAACAACTCAGGAGCTTCCTCTTCCTCTTCTTTTCCTTTGAAAACCTACTTGTACCTGCTGCTAACCAGAGCGTATACTCAGGGCCACTTGAAACTATGCTCTTGGGTTGCAGCCCTCAAGCTTGGCCCAAGTAAATGCTCTACTTATATTAAGTTGGCCTCAGTTGTTCTTTCCTTTAGGTTCACATTCTCATCAACCTGTAGGTACAAATGAGGTTGTTAATATTAATTCCAAAACTACAAGATTCTTTGCTCCTCTTACTCACATGGGAACTCAGTCTCCTCCTCCCAAAGTCCCCTTGGGCCATTTTTGGGGACTGGAGGAATTCTCACATGCTCGGGGACAAATGTGCTCACTGTGGTCTGCTCTATCCTTCTCATCAAGATGCCTCACCTACCTGAGCCTCAGTGGCTGAAGACAACTTAGCAGGTTCTCCCTGCTGCTGCCTCCTCACAACCCATATCCAGGAGAGGTGCTTTTTGCTGTGCTCCTTAGCAGAGTATGTGTAGGGTGGAATGTGGGGTCAGAGGAGAGAACAGCCCTTATCCGTCTAGAGTCTTTTATGATTTAGGTCCTCTTATTTCTCTTCCTAACGCCAGTCTGCTGAGGTTCAAAACGTGTCACCCCAGGCTGGATTGGGGAGAGGGAAAGAAAGACATATACCAGCCACCTGCTCCTTGTCCTTGCTGCTTTATCTCTAGTCATTCAAGAACAAATATTAAGCAGCCATTGTAGTAAATTGAATGGAAAACTAACTCCAATTGTCTGCCCCTCTCTGTCTCTATGCCCTTTGCAATGGGACACTAAGTTCCTCCTATTATGAAGTGGAAGCTCTCCTCACCCCTTTAATCTGGGCTGGCCCATGACTGGCTTTGATCAGCTGGATGTGGCTGAAATGATGGGATGTCCATATTAAGCTGTACCTCCAGAGGCCTCGAGCTCTTCCACTCACTCTTGTGGCTCCTCTGCCATACCCTGAGAAGAGCCTGGTTAGACTACCAGCTGATGAAATACGGCCTCAGCCAACAGCTAGCTCCCAGCCAGCCCCCTGCCCAGAAAAGCCCAGATGCATGGCTCTGCCAAGCCCTGTGTAGATGACCTGCTTTTACATGAGTGAGGTCAGGGGACACCTGAAGATCCATCCAGCTAAACTACAGATTTGTGAACCAAATAAAGTCTCTGTCATTTGAAGCCACTGGGTTTCTGTTTGTTACACAGCATTATTGTGACAAAGGATAAACGATACCAACCTATTTCTGACCTCCAAAATCAAGGCTTTTTGCACATTCAAACATTCCTCCGAGAAGCTCAACAAATAGCCAAGTTCTAATTCTCAGTCTGGATTCAGCTGGGATGCCCTGCTGCCCTTACAACGGCCCAGTGGCAGACAGGAGCAAGATGGAAGGATTTTAATTCAGCAGATGTCCAGGAGGTCTGAGGGAAAGCTAGTCAGCCCACTGGGAATGGCACACATGAGGAGTTTGGGGATAGGAGTGCCCTACCAATCTATAATTCGTATACAAAGATCACAGTAGGCTTTGTGTGACAGCACTTCTTATGGAAACTGGCAAGGGAGGCCAATTTCCTCAGTTTGGACTCAGTTGGGACTGAAATGAAACACAGAACAGCAAGAAAAATGGGGCAGGAATCACAGAGAAAACATTGAGCTGTCCCAAGTCCTGGAATGGTGGCTCCGGACAAGTTTATCTAAAATCTCTGAGGGCAGAGAAGCCCCCTCAAGTGGGAATTTGAGTTACATGTTATTAACCTCAGTCTATATCCTGTCTCTAAATTTCTTTTAAAAAAAAAACAAAAAAAGAGATGGGGTGTTGCTATGTTGACCAGGCTGGTCTCGAACTCCTGGCCTCAAGCAGTCTTCCCATCTCAGCCTCCCAAAGTGCTAAGATTACAGGTGTGTGCCACTGTGCCTTACCTAAATTTCTTTTATTATACAGAGTTGCTTTGTCTAATTCTAGCCCTGTGGTAGCTACCCAAGATTGTTGTAACCTCCAGTGATCAAGTTCTTTGGATAAGCAAAGAGGGAGGGCATTAAGTGTGTGGAAAAGACCCCTCCTCTCCACTCTTGTTGCAAGGCAAGTTCTTTTCCTTAATTGTCCCCTGACTCTTCTACGTTGTTTCTGGAAGCTTTTTTTTTTTTTTTTTAGAAGTAGAGTCTCACTCTATTGCCCAGCTTTGAACCCCTAGACCCAAGAAATCCTTCTGCCTCAACCTCTTGAGTAGCTGGGACTACAGGCACATACCACCACATCCTAATTAAAAAAAAAAAATTATAGAGATAGGAATCTCCTGCTATATTGCCCAGGCTGCTCTCAAACTCCTGGCCTCAAGTGACCCTCTAGGCTCGGCCTCCCAAAGTGCTTGGATTACATGCATGAGCCACTGCAACTGGCTTATTTCTAGGGACTTTGAATGGAGCCTGCACACCAGGGGCAGGTGAATGGAGGCTGAGTCAGCCAGTCAGGTGAAAACTGAATGCTTTTAAACTCTGAAGTGTTCCACTGGACTGTGTTGATGGAGCTCCTTTCAAACTGGGGCCTGCCCTTGCCTGCCAGTCAAACAGAACTGTCCACAGTCTAGCAAATGGCTGTCGTACATCAATAGGCCATTCATTGGAAATCTAATGATTGGCAACTGGGACCACAGGTACAGGGAATGCAATAGAACTCAAGCTGTGGTTGAGTTCTTGTTCTGTCTATCCTTTTGAGTGATGAAAAATGAGGCCAGATCTAGGCAATTTTTTCTTTACATTGAAAGCTTAGCCTCTTGATCCTGTTGGGGCTGGAGCGAGTGTGGAGTTAGGCTCAGAGAAGTGGTTAATGTACGCTTTGCTCCTGATAGCTGTTTCTGAACATTCTATAGTTATAGTTCTATAGGTGTAGGTTCCTAGTTGTTTGGTGTCTGGCCCTGTGGGATTTAGGGGGTGGGGGAATATGGGCTTGGTATTTGAGAACTGGGTAACAGAGATGGTGGGGAGGTTTGGGCTCTGGATTTGTTGGTTTGCATATTAAAGGAGTGCTCACAGGCCAGTTGTTTGCTCTCTCTAGGAATTAGCTAACCCTCAGAGAGGCAGTCTGTCTCCAAGTCCATGAGGTCCCCAAAGGTCAAAGCATCATACAATACAGAAAATAAAAAGCATGATTAATACTGCAGGCTGAGAGGATATGTGTTCCTGCACTGTCAGACCAAGCGCAAGAATTGTTGGAGACATGTTACAGCTTCTCTGCCTTCTCTCAATGTTACGCTGTTCAGGACTCAGGATCCTGCCCTCTGAGGGTTTACAGAAGTCATTCTCACTATCTCACACTGGCCGTCTTGACCCAGAGCAGTTCTTTACTTTCTCGGGACACAAACGGGATGAAAGTCCAGGGCTGGGACTTCCTCCTTGGAATGTTTGACAAGGACTGACGTACTCTAGGCCCTTTGAATCCCGGAAGTCCAGGACACACCCAACCTTGATTACAGTGTCCAGAATGCTGGAGCGTAGGTGAAAGGACAAAAGCCAGACACATTTCAACATGAGGGACCCACTGACAGATTGTCCGGTGAGTAGCTCAGTGTGGTTTGTGTGCCTGCGTGTGAGGAGGGTGGAGGGTGGATTTGTATATTAATGGATTTTAACTTAAGAAATTTGAGACACTCAGAAACCAAACACATTTAGATATTGGCTGTGGTGCAAAAGTTTGTGGTTTTTCTTTGGTTCAGTTTAAAAACAGAGCTTTTTCTAGGAAATGACAGGGCAGGTAATTGTCATCTTTCCTTCTCATATTCTTGGAAAAAGTTTTGAGAGAGTAAAGCCTCATATTTGGATCCAGATGGTGGCTGTTTGGAAAACATTCTTAAGACATACACCCATGGTGCCAACATCATGTGTGGTGTGGATACAAAAACACACAGAATGTCTGCAGCCAATTTTTGGCTCTGAGAATAAAGTGAGGGAGGAGAGTTTTTGTGCCTTTTCACCCTCATTTTTTGGAGTCAAGGATCACAAGTCCTGCAGGAGGAAGGATAGACTCCCCACTCTGCCTGGCCTGCAGTGGCTCTCAGACTGGTTTAGCAGCATGTTTGTTCCATGTTTGTTCGTTTTGGTAATGTTTGGAGCACTACCAAAAATATAAGTTTGGTCAGAAGTCCAAAGACATTGTGAGGTCTCCGGCGGCAATAGCAGAGATGTAATTTAGGAGATAAGAAGCAACTAAAATAAAGGGGGGGATATGTTTACTTTGAAAATAAAGTAATTAAGGAGGGTCAGTGTTTTATCCCAACACATGGGGCTGAAAAGCTAAGATTGGTGACATCATAAGCAGGAGGTTGCAGTCATCCTTCATGTATTGATAACACAAACTGTGGGGCGGCAGATAAATGGGCGCTGAGATAAAGTCATAAAGAAAAAGATCAGCAGAGGATTATTGATTTCCTTTTTGTTTATTCAATGGATAAGAAAAGCACATGGTTGGAAAAAATGGAACTATAGTTACTATTGCAGAAAATCAGATGAGCTAAATGAGATGAACTCATAAATGACTAGTAATTTTAATAATGACAACATAGTAGCCAATTCTGCCTAATTTTCCTTTTTTTAAATACAGAAATAATTTGTGCTTAATGTAGAAACAAATTCCAATGATATGGTTATATATAGATTTTTAAGAGTGAAACTTCCCCCTTTAATTACTTCAATCTCAGTGTTCTCTCCATTGTTAATTGTGAATAATTTTTAAGAAGTCTTTTATCATTTATTTTTCTCTCCTTGAGGTTGCTCCCTGACTAAACTGTTAAATCCTCTCCTGTCTCAACACTCCTACCTCAATGTTTTTGTATAGGGGCGGCAGGCCAGGACAGGGATGGGGTAAGTGGCAGCAAAATCTTGGCACTAATAGTAACCAAAGAAGAAAATTAACACCAGGGAAGGGTGCAATGGACAGAAGACAGGGAAATGGTGGGCAGCTTTAATTAAGTTTAAAAAGAGAAGAAGAAATAAATCCATAAAAAAGAAACTGAAGGTCTAACATCCTTTTTGTAGACAGCAAAGTCAAGTCTTCAGACGTGGAGAAATGTTTTCTTTCAGCAGCCCCCAAGGCAACCCATAACCACACTTCTGTGTCTGCTTAAAGCTCCACTCCCTGGCATGCTGAATAGTTCCTTGTGCTATGCTGGGCCAAGGACTCCTGTCCTTGTCTAAAACTTTGAAGGTCATCTGTATGGGCTCATTGCCACCAAAAGTATCCGGGAGTCATGGGGAGGGCGGATATCCCTTCAGCCTGGGTTTCCAAACCCTCTAAACTCACAGAACATTTATTTATTTGCAATTGTTTCATCTTAATCAAGTGTTCAAGTTGATTTCCTGGCACATTCTTAGCTTGTACTTGGGGAACAATGCTATGTGAAGATGAATCTGCGGTTTGGGAACAAAATAAGACAAGGAAATGGATTGCAAATGAGTGCCTCATGAAACATTTAGGTAGTTTTATAAAAGAACCCAAAGCTTTAACCACCTGCAAAATGTCCCCTTCCATGAGTCCCTAGAGTTGCACAGAGCACAGTTCATAAAGTATTAGCTTAGCTACTGTTCTTAACCGGGCCCACACCAATGTACCCATGTATGGAACTCAGTGGGTTGCATGAACTTCAGTGAAAAAAAATCTCTATTTGTACTAATTTCTAACTGAAATTTAGAATTTTATTCAATCCAGAATATAGGCAACAAGCCCCAATACTATTAGTCATATCTGTATAGTGTCTGTGACTTTGTAACCAATAAAAATCAGAAATTTTATGATAACATTACAGTTGTTGCACATATCTAGAAATATTTACATTCACCCTGACTTCAAAATGTTGGTAATACTTAAGATATGTAATTTAGTATGTTAATAAAAAAGCACATAATATCATAATTTTAAAAATACATTCTAAAAAATATATAATTCATTTCCTTTTTAACCCTACGCTACTTAAAAATGTTATTCTGAATCAAATAGGTTTCATGAGACTACAAAAAGGGCTCATGGTACGAAAAAATTTAAAAATCTCTTTTAGATCAAGCTCTAATGGGCAAAATAGACTGACAGCTGGGCCTTTCAACCTCAAAGAGCAAGGTCAGTGTTTGAGTTCAAATTGTTGCCAGGGTGGCATAAGATTGCCTAAATGCTGTGTAGGATTAATCTTGAGAGTGTCAGAACTTATTTGAAAAAGATATCTGTAAGATATCTTTAAAGTTCTGTTTTTGACAAGGAAAAGAATTGGCTCTGGGCCTTGATGTTTCATTGCCTATGAAGGTTTAGGTTTAGCTCTTAAACCTAAAAATATGTCTAGGGAACTCATCTTCAAATCCATGTGCAAGAAAGGCGAAGTAAGATCCAATTATCTCTAAGGGAAAGAATCCAATCATAAGAAAGTATTAATAGCACCTTCCTATCAAACAATCACATAGAAATCAAGGACAAGTAACAAGCTGTAGCCAAATTTTTGCTTTTTACACACTCATACAGTATCCAGGAAGGGGTCTGTCAAAGCAAGTCTTCTGGGCGCCACACAGTCAGCCCCTCCCCGCATGTCATCGGCCATTGAAATGGCACCAGGCTGCTCCTCAGGTTGGTAACCTGGCTCAGATGCCAACCTGAGCTTCCCATCTTGGTGGCTTAGCCTGGATATCAGACAATGACTGTCACTAACTCAGATGGTGCCGGTGCCATGGTCCGTAGCTCCTAGGAGAATCTGACTCGCTGCAAAAATACAGAAGGAGGCTGCATATGGCATGGGTGTCACGTGGCCCACAGCCTCCCCAGTGTGCATCAGTGAGATGTGTAACATGCCATTCCACATTTCTTGGACCTCTGTTTCCTTGTGTGTAAAGTAAAAGGAGGAAAGGATGGAGTAGACTATGCTCTTTAATGTTCCATATCCCGTAATCTATGACAGTCTGCCACAGGGATTCCAAATACTACGCAGATGGTGAACAAGTACATGGAATCCCTTCAGAGAGGGGCAGTGCTTTGAAACATCACCCCCAGTGAATCAGAACTCACATGATATCAGTAGCACAGTGCCTGGCGTAGTAAAGGCAGTCAGCAAAGTTCATTGTGTTAAATTTAAGGGGAATATCATGGTTTCTTTAACACTGTGAGGATCATCACTAATCAAAAAAAATCCTTCTGTACTAGCATCAATAAAAATAAATTTTTCTATAACTTTTTCTAGAACTAAATTTAACCCTCTTAATCATTCAAGCAGAAAGAGCAGGTGGGCCAAGCTTGATATAGGCACTTTATAATCTTTACAAGTCGCCTGTCTAAACATTTCATGTGCTGACTGGCTGGATTACTAAATGTTTTTTGTAATGGCTATATTTATCAACAGAATTTGCTTACAAGTGCTGGGAAGAAACATTTTCCTAATGGCCGAATGGGAAATGTCTGTCAAATAGACCAGTTGTCTATTTGAGAAGGGGTTATTATTTTTTTAGGGGCTCAGGAAGATCCCAGGTATTCCACTACCAGACTGAAATCCCTTTATCAGGGGAGAAAAACCTCATCGTGTTTTTTTCCCCAATAATTAATGGTCCCCAGGAGAAGCAGCATATTAATATGAATTCATATGGAGATGTAGAATCAATAGTAGATTATTCCCTGGAATGAATATTTGATAGGGGGTTAGGATATTTAAAAGCTCAATGGGTAGGAAAAGAACACCAAAATTGCCTTCCACCTGACTGCACTTCTTCTCAGCAAGCTCTTCTTCTTGTGCTGGTTAATGACATCAAGAAGCCAGCTGTATTGCACATAACACTTAAAGGCTACTATAACTTGGAGTAAACTTACTGTGATTATACAGATTAGCCATTTATAAATGTATTTGTTTCTGATGGATTCTCTAATTGATTTTCATACCTAACATTTCTAATCACAACTCTGTCTCTAACTAATTAGGTTATCCTTATCTCTTTGGGTCTTAACTGTAAATAAGGGAATTAGACTTTGGTGGCTTGCAAACTGTGCTCCATGGAACCCTTTCAGAGTCCTCTCTGGTGGGTGGGAGTGTGGTGAGGTAGGAGTGAGACAACCAAAACTAAAGTCAAGTGATTTCACCCCCACAAAGCAGGTAAGTTCCAAGATTTTCTGAACACACACACACACATACATACACACACACACAGAGAGAGAGAGAACTATATGGTCTCTGGAAGTCTGCTGTAGCATTTAAGTGGGTCTGCTTTTCACAGTTTTTGTCTCCAAGTCTCAGTAGATGGTACATAATGAAAAGTACAGAATGATTGATTCTAAATAAGGGTTTATGCTGGGATAATGAAAATATTCTTAGCAAATCTTTTATTTATTGATGTCACCTTTATCTCAATCTGGATCAAGGTTTGTTGGGGGAATTTTTGGCGTATAGTATATAGGATCAAGGGTAAAGATTCTCTCCATTGCTCTTGTAAGCACATCTCTTATCTGATCGCTAAATTAACAACAAGTATGAAGATCTTCTCAACTTGCATGTGCCTGGGCATACTGGCGTTTGAGGTTTGAGGGTGGGTTACAGGTGTACCTTAGACACAAATCCTCTGCACCGTTGAATTGGCAGAGTATGGCTGGGAGCGAGGTACGAGGCAAAGCCATGGGCCAGTTCCCTCTTCCTGGAACAATTTTGTCCATTTACCACACTCTACCAGTACAAATATTTGCTATGTGCACCATTTTGGGACAAAAGTTAGAAAGTACTGGTCTATGAAATGACAGAAAATCATCTTCCAAAATCTAGACCTGGTAGCCCATGGGTCAATGGAAGCCATAGACTGTGCTTTGGTCCAGCAGCCCCTTACTTTAAGAGGTTGAATGTGAATGCCTTTGCCACAGGCTTCACCACTGCCACTGAAGGCAATTGAGTTTTCAATCACTGGCTTATAAACTTTCAGCATGGCCTAGCCTCCTAAAACTAGTTCCCTTGAGACAGTATTTAAAAATGTGTCTTAGGGAGTTTTGATGGCTTGATAAGTTTAGGAAATGCAGCAGCCCCTGTAACCCAAGCACATAGAAAAATTCTCAACTGGTTCTACTCATTTCTACATTGGTTATGAGCAGAGTTTTCTCTACATGCCCCCATTCCACGCTTGATGTCCAGGGTCCCTTGTTCTCTCCCATAGGTAACTTCTATGTGCAGACTATCCTGTGGTGATGGTGGACTGGTAGGGCCTTTCCCTTAGGACATTTCATCTCAGAGTCCCTTCCTTCCACTCCTGCTTCCCCTAATGGGAGGTTCTTTTTCTCCTTCCCACTCTAAATCCCTCGAATCCATCTCTCTGCTTTCTTTTCTCCCATCCTCAGCCCCAGCTTTATAGTGTGTTTGAGAGCAGAAGAATTTACTCCGTAAACATGCATCCAGGTCTTTCTCTCTTGCACAAGGCCCCATGGCTTTTTGTTGAGTCTTTGTTTCTGCTTTGCTGTGGGCTGGAGAGAAGTCAATAAGACAATACATAAAAATCCATAGCTTAATACTGTGAGATATTTCTAAATAAATCAAATAAGAAAGCCACAGGACCTATAAAGAAAATCATAAAATTTTATTGAACATAAAATAAAATTTGAACAAATGCAAAAACTTACTATGTCCTTGGATAGAAAGTCTAAACACCATTAAAAAGTCAATTTTCCCAAATTGATACATGTATGTAATACAATTCCAATTAGGATCCCAACGGGGATTTAAAAAGAAATGTAATTAGACAAATGTTCATATGTTAGAATAAATGCCTCAGAATAGCCAAATAAATTATGAAAAGGAAAAAAATAGTTGTTTAAAGAGAAAGCAGAAGCAAAGTGTTAAAATCTCTATAACTTAGGTAGTGAGTACATAATGTGTATTATTATTTTCTGTATCATTATGTTATGAAACATAAAAGTGTTTCATAATTCAAAGCAAAAAGACCCTGTATGAGTTAGAACTATGTTCAGCTGCATATTAGAAAAACCCCAAATACATATGTCTTTAGAAAACAACATTGTATTTTTCTTACACATAAAATAAATCCAAAAGTAGAGAGTTGAGGGCTCGTGTGGTGTTCTTCACAGCCATCAGGGACCCAGGCTCTTTTTCTCTTTCCACTCTGTGATCTTAATGCATTATGTCCAATCTCAATACCACTTTATGGCTTTGGCCTTCATTTTCAAGTCCAGAAGGAAGAAAAGAGGGCAAACAAGCCTTTACTGAAACCTCATACAAAACCTTCCCTCACATCTCCTTGGATAGCTTTCAGTCACATGGTTATAGATCAAAGGGGGAGGGAGGCTGAGAAATGACCTTATTTCAGGAGTATGTACCCCACTAAACATTTAGGCATTTTCTTCTCATGACACTGAGGTGTGTTTCATGGGATGCTATTAAGTATTATAGAAGAAAACAAAAGGCTTAGGGAGAAATCTAGTGGAAATGTTTAGGTAACATAGGAGTAAACAAAGAGGTTAAACAAGTTTCTTTACTGCAGGTCTTCTCACAATTTGAAAATACTCCCTTAAACTTTCCCAGTGTGCTGTAAGGGTAGGAAGGAGGCCTTAATAGTATCAGACCATTCATATATGGTCTGATAATAATAAATATATTATTATATTATTTTATTAAAATATTTATATATTAAATATAAAAAATAAATAATAAAAATAATAAAAAGTTAGTTTTATTGGAAGTAAAAATTAGAAAGCTTGATTGCCAAATAGTGATTTTACTTTCATGACTGACAGGAGGATTATTTTTCCTTCATGAGAGAGGCTACAAATTGGAACCTCACTACAAGTGTGTTTTGTTTACACTGCAGAGAGGTTTTTAATTTGTGAATTGTTTGCTACCATTAAAAAAAAATCATGTTTCGGATGCAAATCCTGATTTCAGCTTTTTTGGACAAAGTGGGAGATCTGGCTTTCCTGGGCCACATTCCAGGTGGCAGTGATGGGCCAGAATGGTTCTAGCAGCTGCCTCACCAGTTCACGGTCCTCACCCTCCTCCTCACTCATTCAGGTGCCTGACTGGTGCCAGCAGCCACAGGATTTTACAAACTCTGCTTTAGAAATTAGCAATTTCCTCATTAAAGCTTTGCACCCTCACCACTCTCCTTGTATCCCAAGCAGTTTCAAGTCCTATCACAGCTTTCTGTGTTAAATTCACAGGAAAGTTAAACTACTGCATAAGGGTAAATGGATATGGTAAGACTGTTCCTGTATCCTAGGCGTTGGTTTGTTCCATCCCCAAAGGTAGGGACCTGGATTACCTCATTTCTTTAGGTCTTTCCTCCTCTGTCACCCTATGTCCTTAGTTTGATACTCTGCTAAGCACCACATACCAAGTGCTTTGTTGACTGAATGGCTTTCTGGGCCCTGAGGGGTTGTGTGTTTGTGAATGTGCCTGCTGCAATAGGAGGCACTCAGTAAATGTGAATTTCCTTCCTTTTTCCCTTCTCAATATGGTGCCCAACTGAATGCTGGCGATATTTGAACACTGGAATAGGCTGGCTCATTGTATGAGCAAAGAACAGCACAGCCCTCAATCCATACTGAATTTGGGTCCTCTTATGTAAAATCTCATTTTGAAAAATGCAGTCTGCTGTTGCACCTCCCAGATGGAAACCATGAGAGAGTGTGTCTGGGATATTCCATCATCTAATTCACTTGCTCTGTGTCAGAAAAAGCTGCAGAATCAATTGACATTTAGCTTCTCTGTTTGGGCACTTAAAATCTGTTGTCATCAATGTCTACATTTATAGTTTCCAGGAAGACATTGTGGAGTTCTAAATCAAATGACAAAAACTTTTACTGGAAATTCTCGTGTCCGCAGGATAAATTCAAATATACATGAATTTATAAAGGGTAATTAATAAATTTATAACAGTTTGGTTTAACCAAAATGTTCAACTCATTGCGATAACATTTTTCTTACTGGAATTAAATGAGACAGAGGACTAGGACAAAGTTTTCTTACCAGGTTATTTACTGACAGTTTCATATCTCAGACAAGAAAGGCTCACTCTAATGGCTCATGGTTTGTCATGAGCCCCAGAAATATTATTTTGAAGTTTATATGTGCAGGAGGGGCATAAAATAGTTACGTGGTGTCCTTCAGAATGTATTTTTTTGTCCTTCCTGGGAACAATAGGGGTGACAGGAAACCAGACTCCAAATGCACCCCACTGCTGAATTGTTTGCATTTGGCCAAGGGGAGAAATAGATCAGCTTCATTTTTGAAAAGTTCTCCTGGGTCTTTCATATCCAGGTAGAAGAGACTTCATCTTTATTTTAAGAACTCATCCAAAAGGTATAAATGCCTGTAGCTGCACGATCCTTTATAATGACAGTCATAGTTATAGTAGTTTTCTGAATTTATAGGTGCTCTATCTTCGGAGTTGCTCGTAATCTTCCTGTTCATTGTTTTTTTGTTATTGTTCTTGTTTTTCAGTATAATAAAGTATACAAGAACCTAAAGGAGTTTTCTCAAAATGGAGAGAATTTCTGCAAACAGGTCACATCTGTTCTTCAGCAAAGGTACAAAATGCACGTTTGCAATAAATGGTTCTTCCTCTTTAGTTGTAGCAAGTGATATGACTGGAGGAGTGATTACAAGCTGTCCTACTTTCCAGAATGTGGTGTTATATTTTGGTACTCGAGAGATTGCTTGAAGAGTGATTCTCCCCTATTGCACATTTATCAACTGGATGCCATAAAAATCAAGAAACAGCAGGAAGTAATTCAGCTTAGGAAGGCTCAGTCAAGTCTCTTCTGATTCCTCAGACTGGGTTTATTACCCTCTCCTGGGGCCCACTGTTGGATCTGATGCATAGTCTCATTATTGTACTTTTCACACCGACAGCAATTATTTACATTTTTCTCTCCCCTCGAAGGGCAGAGGCAGTCTTACTCATCATTGTATGCTGACCTCTTAGAGCCTGGCCTTTTGATTTCCTTAGTCACTGTCAGGTGGATGAATGAAAAGTCACCATTTTCAGCATCGTCTTCTTAGTACTAGGTATGATCATGTGTAAAGCTTTTCACTGTGCTGAAATGAGCACATTTAACTCAGTCAAGAAAGTTATGAAAGCCCTGCTTGAAATGAGAAAACCCAAGGAGTGAATTTGGTTATAAGGGACCTTTTAGGCCTTTTCCCTACTTCTAGATAGCTCCGTAATAAGCAACTCTAAAGAGACCTTCAGAAGACTGTTAAAACCATTTCAAATTTAAAATAATGAATGTGTGCCATAAGACCAAAGATGCCATGGATTGGTTGCATCCTGAATTAGTAGGTTGTAGGGGAGAAAACATAATTTCTTTTCTGTCGCTTTTCAAGTTCTTAGTTGAGATACTCTTCTGAAAACGAGTTAGATTAACAAAAGAAAAACAAGCAGAAACTTATTAATACATGCTATACCCATCACATGGGAGAGGCCTTAGTTCAAAAGTATTTCTCTCTCAAGGCAGTGGCTTAGGGGTCATGCTTAAATAGTATTTCACCAAAGAGCCAGAAATCCTAACAGGGACAAAGAAGATAGCATCTTTGGGCTTCCAAAAGGCAGGAAAATGTGGGAAGGTAAATATACGGGAAGAGTAAAGTCTGCTCCTAGATCCTCTGGCACCACCATCTCTGAGCAGATAAGCAAGTGTTGGACTGTCTTTAGGTGGGAAAGGCAGAGAGAGGGGCAGAGTGTGTCCCTTTGTTTTAACCTTTTTTAAACTCAACAACCCGCAGCATTTTTGAGAGGAATGTTTTGGCTTCCTTCAAGGTCAAGACAAAAGGAAAACATTAGCTTTATCAGCACCAAATAAATGGGGCCAAAGAAAGATATGAGCGAGCTGAAACAGACTTTTATAAAGAACAAAACCAGATTTATCAAAAGGAGTCAAAAAGAGAAACATTTTAAATATGAAGTAACTTCTATCCTAACAGCCAAATTGCTCTGGTTCCATGACAGAGAAAGCGGGAGGTGCCATCTGAGAGGGAATTTCTTCTGTAAGAAAATATTGTTATCAGTCCCAAAGGAAATTATTTAAAATAAGACCCATTATTTGTATGACTCCTATGAATTCAACTCATTACCCAGATTAGAAAGCCACCTTCTGCCTGCAGAGCAGGAAGAATCTATGCATGTATCAGCCAGGCATGTAACGTGGGTTGTAGTCATCTGGGCATTAATTATTTGGTGTCTGAGAGTTCAAAATTAGTGCCTGGTAGAGAGCTGTGAAGATAGAAGACAGGCAATAGATGATGCCTGCTGCTAAACAGACTCAACAGTGAACTGAAAAACTCTGAGGGAGTCTCTGCTTGAAGCCTGTCTCACTGTTTTTCTTTTTTCTAGATCACTCCATATCCCCACCTTGCCACCGACATCTACTTTCTTCATACAGCAGAGCCTTCATTTCTTATTTTTGTTTTCTTGAAGTCTCTTCCTAGGGCTGCCATCTGCCCTGGACCTATTAATGTGTGAAACCCTCCATTCACTTATTCTAGAGTGACAAACATATCCAGTGGGGAAGAAACACTTGGGTAGCTAAAGTTATCTCCCCTCATAGCTTTACATCCTTATAGAGAAGAATTTAGAATTTGAACATCTCAAGAGTCTACTGGTTAGCAAAATTACAAAGCACATTCCTGCACAAAAACAGTATAGTATGAGTACAAAGAACAGATCTAATATTTTACCTAGATCAAAAAAATTATGCTACATATTAGGTCATTTATGTAATAAATGCTTTTCTGAACATTTTCTAAGCTAAACTTTTACAATTAAATTATTTCCCCTTAGCCAAGAAGCCATTTTTAAAGTTGCTTTGTATTGATTCCTGGTAAATGTACATTTGCGGTGTCTCCTCGTCTTGAGCTTTCAAGTTTCCTCCCCTTGCTCAGCTTTTAGATCATGTAGTTAACCTGAAGGATGCTTGTCCACACTAAAAGAGATGGCATTTGGGGAGAACTGTTTTCTAATGGACACAAATATTCTATTAATCTATGAATTTGTGGCACATTGTATACTTTTAGACAGCATTTCTGTGTATTAGCAGGCAAAGATACAGGCCACTTCACTTCTCAGGGCTGGATCATTTCTCTCCCACACAGTGACGTGATTCTGAGGTCACTCCCTCTTCCTAGTGTGTTTGAACTGAGTCAACAATTATGTTGGTTATGGTTGTTAAACCATATCAACAAGGATGGATGGTCACAGCATGGCTGGGATTACATTTGCCTTGACTCTCCCCATTCTGTGAAGTCAGAAATTCCTCCTCTAGATATACATTGGATAGAAGGCAGATTCCCACCAGCTATCTAGAAATGCGCCTTGCCCTTATTTTCCTCTTAAAGGTGGGCTTATTACATGTGAACCAATGGTAATCTTCCCTTGTATTAGAAAAATACCTGGAAAGCCATTACTCTTCAAAAGAAACTATCTTGTTACTTAAGGTTACAGACAAGTAATGGGAAACCCAATAAGACAAGTAAAATGGTAGTCTTGGAATATATTCAGTAGGCATTTCCATTGAGGGTTATGACAGACAATGATGAAGGCAAATCTGTGGCCAGCATAATTCAAGATACAGTGAAGGAGGACATGGGGTTTTGAATGAGGGGTACCTGCCACCTAAAATGCATTCAGTAAATACTTGCAGACTGAATAAATAAATAAATGGGCTGGGTGCAGTGGCTCATGCCTGTAATCCTAGCATTTTGGGAGGCCAAGATGGGAGGATTGCTTGAGGCCAGGAGTTTGAGACCAGCCTGTTCAACAAAGCACAACCCATCTCTATTTTCATAAACAAATTTTTTTAAATAAATGAAAGATAGTTAAGGGTTTTTAAAAATTATTATATCTACATTATGAGAAGAAGGCCTTTATTGTCCTTGGAGGTATGCATTTCCAGACCCCTTACTTAAGAGCTCCTGGAATGTGGTTCTGCTTGACAGAGTTCTGTATTAGCACTTGGATACCAGAGGCAGCACCACAATCAAGCTGCCAGGCCAGAGAATGTTTCCTTTCCAAACTCAGCTGCCCTCTTGCACTTAATCTAATTGGGTAGTGATAGAAAAGTACAGTTGTTACTAAAACACTCTTTTGCCTGGATATTCTGCAATTCATGGTCATGCTTAGCTTCTTTTATCCAATTAGCTACCTCAGCTTCTTTTTTTGCAGTAGCAAACAGATTTAGCCAGAGAAACATAGCAGCTCCTAGAATGCCTAATGCCAAAGTTATCAGATTCACTTTAATACAATTACAGATCAGATTTAAAGAGACAAAGGTACATTCTCAGAAACACTTTGTGAATGTTTGGCTTCCTGCATCCTCAGAGCTAATGTTTAAACAGGCTTTGACTGGAAAATCAATTGTTCCTCTGTAAGGGAGTTTAAGATCTGGTTTTCAAATGCCAAGAACTGCTGCTCTGGACATTAAAAAGAAAAGAATAAAAGAAGGAGGTATAGTTGACCACTTGTTCAATCCATGATTCATTGCGGACACTGTCAACAAAGCAATAAAAAATTGAAATTAAATATTTGAAAAATAATCTACTCTACCATCATCCTGGGTGACCTTAACTCCCACAGCTTTAGCTCTCTTGCATATTGATGATTTACAAATGTGCAGTACTAGGAACATGTCTAAACTGAACTTCAAACCATATATATCACAGTATATTGGACATCTCCACCTGGAAGTCCCATGGAACCACAAAGTCAATATGTCTAAAACAGGGTTTATCCACTCTTCTCCAAAGCTGGTCCTCCTTCTGGGAACCACTGCCCAGCCAATCAAGCTCAATGCCTGGGACCATCTGTATCCATGATTCTGTCCATCTCAACTCATGACCAAGACCATATTTCTCTCTTTGAAACCCCTTTGAGATCCACAGCTTTCTTTTTATTTTATGGCCTCTTCCACTGTTCTGGCAAAACTCTCTTAAACTATTCTGCCTAGAAGTGCTGCCTTATAGCCGTGGAGTTTGTATGCTGTACAAAGGCACATGGCTGAGTGAGATGAATGGAGGCAGAAATCTAATCCACTCTTACCCCTTAAGCCTTTTACTCTGACAGAGCTGTGCCCCTTTAGAAGACCCCGTTTCCAATCCAAGCAAAGTTTCCTGAACTTGTGGGCCAGCTGAGGCCCTGTGCCTGTCTTTAACGCGCCTTTCACTCTGTAGCCATGACCCTGTTTAAGACGCTTCAAAGACTCCTATGACCTTTAGGATAAAATTTAGCCCTCATCATTTTATAAAAGGGCCTTCGAGAGCTGAACTCTGCCTTCCTGTTTACTTTCTCTCTTTCCGTCTCCCCATGATCCCTGCCTCTCTCCTTACTGGGCCACTTGCAATCCCACCCCATTTGCACCCCACTCACACTCCTGCATCACCACCACCACCACCACACGTGGGTCCCTGCATTTGCACAGGCTGTATTGCCTGCCTGGTAGATGTTTCATCACCTTCATTGCCTGGCTCCATTCAACACATTCTTTAAGATCCAGTCATCCCACTGTGGCAGGCCTTCCTTAACTCCAGTCTCCAGTCTCAAAAAAATGTTCCTCAGTTCTATGTGTAGAATTAGTGCTTGCATCTGTTGTAGCTCTTACACCCTGCACTGTAATTCTCTGTTCACTTGCCTGTCTCTTTCCCTAGAGGCTGAACTCCTTGAGGGTCTTTGTGTCCCACGTGACTAGCATGGGCTTGGCACTGAGTAGGCATTCAATAGATGCTCACTGAGTAAATGAAGGCACTCATGTTTGAGTGACTCTGCCTTGAAGGCACTCATAACGTTAATGAAGATCAAGTTAGGCTATTTTTGAGGAGTCATAAGTGGGTATGTCAAAAACATTTACTGGCATAATATGTAGCATATTATTTTGAAGAAAAGCTAGAAAAAATAAAATCACAGGAGAGACCACTTATTCAGTACAACCCATAGACCAGCCACTGTGTTAAGTGTGTCTTATACTTGATCTCTTTAATTATCTCACAACCCACAGCGTACATACTTCTCTCCATTTCTGATTTACAGATGGGGATATGGAAAAGATGATACATTTGGATTCCTACCCAGCTCAACCCAGGCTCAGTGCCAGGGTATCCCCAAGTGGATAGGCAGTTTTGGGCACTGCCCTGGGTGACCCAACATGCTCAGGGAGTCCTGGTTCAGCCTCCTTTGCAGAGTCTTAGGGTCCTCTATGGAAAGGGACAGCAGCAGTCATGAAGCCCAGTGGCTTTCAAACCTTATAGCTCAAGGGGTTTGTGGGGAGCCCACAGGGGCTACCTCAGGGGGTGAGGAGGAGGTTAAGTGGGCAGGGCTCTGCTTCCTCCTCATTCCTTCTCCCTTTTAATCAGATCAATTTGACTGGTATTTATATGATACAGTGGAATTCTGCATAAAATTTTGTTTCCCTGCTGAAAAGCTTGGAAAACTGCCTTTCTTGTCCACTTTACCTGAATTCCCTCACCACAATACTCCCTGTCCTCCCCTACCCCACACACAAATGCACTAAGCTTAGGAATGAATGCACACTTTAGGCTCTGAAGTTCTAGAGCTGCCATTGCTTACGTTTTCCCTGGGCCAGAGTGAGCCGGGGCTCAGTGAGACTCCCAAACTAGACCCTCAAGAAGGGCATCATTCAGGTCTTATCCTCCTATTTCAGCATTTTTTATACTGTTCTCAGGAAGCAGAATTAAGACAATCGATAATGCTGCAGTGGGCTAGCAAGTGAGCCAGCCACTCCAATGACAGAGCTTCAATATGAAAATGTCTTTCAAGTTGCCGGTAATGAACTTTAAATACAATCTGTAAGAGGAGCTTGTGATGGTCTTTCAAAAGACATACCAATGAAGTTTGGATAGAAAATATCAGCACATCCACCCCCAAACTGGAAGCTGGTGCTGGTCCTAAGTAGGAACTTAAAAGATGGGTGATATCCCAACAGAAGAATTTGAGGTTATTAAAATTCCTTCTTAATTTATAATGAAGGGAGGACTCTGTCACCTGCTTCTTTCAAGCATGAGAAGGGCTTAGCTCTATTTTATTATTTTATGTTTTTTAGAGATGGGGTTCTCATTCTGCTGCTCAGGCTGGAGTGCAGTGGTGCAATTATAGCTTGCTGCAGCCTCAGACTCCTGTGCTCGCGAACTCCTCTCGCCTCAGCCTCTCAAGTAGCTAGGACTGCAGGTGTGTGCCACTGCTCTGGGCTAATTTTAAACAAATTTTTTGTAGAAATGGGATCTTGATATGTTGCCTAGGCTGGTCTCAAACTCTTGGTCTTAATGATTCTCCTACCTCGGCCTCTGGAGTAGATGGGATTAGAGGTGCAAGTCACTGCTCCTGGCCTTAACTCCATTTTAATTAATTCCTCATAGACACAGGGGGCAACTACAGTTTGTTTTTTAAACTACTTTTCATTATCTTAGTTTTACAAAAGCAGGATAGTCTAATATTGATTACATGGTCACATATTCTTACATTTTAATTAGCGCTTTATCTAAAATATTGAATCTGAAATCACATATTTTCCATCTCTCTTTTCTTTCAAAAATATAATTTATTTTAAAATCTAAGTCAAACATTGGTCTTTGACTTATCAATTGGCCTTCATTATTACTAATGAAAATATATTGACCAGCCTTGCATGCTGAGAGAAAATTAGAATGTAAAGGGATTAAAAGTCAGTGCATGTCACTTCCTTGGTCCAGAACCTTTTTTAGCATATTAAAAAATTTTTTTAATTTTTAATTTTTGTGGGTATATAGTAGGTGTATATATTTACAGGGCAGGGTCCAGAATCTTTAAAACCACTGGAATATTCTGAGATCGGGTTGCCTATCAAAATATATATGCATCACCAATTTCACACAGGCCAAGACAATTGCTTGGAGAAGGCATTTTAAGTTGTATTAGCTATGGTGGCAGTAGAATGGAAAGAAAAAAATGCAAAAGGGCTAGAGAATTAAGCACAATGTCTTTACAAGCTTGTTTCTGACTATTTTAATGAGGGAATGAAAATTTCACATCTCAGTGTGAGATTAGCTCTGCTCTCTCTACTCCCCTTGCATGTGGTACTTTTTCAGCTTGAACCGAGATAAAGCACCTCCCTTTGAGAGATGAGAAGAAATCATTCTAAGTGGGGTGTGCCTTGCTGCCTCTGCCTTGGGAAAACATCCAGGTCATTTCATTTCTATTTAGCAGGAATCCTGAAAGGATACATATACTGCCTCATTAGACCGGAAGCATGGAAGAGCCGTGGAAGTGTGCACGGAAAAGCATGGAAGTGTTTGTTTCCATTTGCAAACATTCTGACTTACAAAAATAACAGCTTTCTTCACGCTTGCCACTTGGAACATGGCTTCTTATAAAGGAGCGATTCTCTCAGGGGAAGAATTTAACCGTTAACATCTGTTGAGATAAAAGCCGTTCAGCGCTAGAGGCCTGGGAGAGGTTTCGTTATAACTGTGCAGAAAGAGTGCACAGTGACACTGTCCCACACCCATCTCCCCATCACATTTCATTTCCTTCTGTCTTGCAGAGTAATTTGCTCAGGTTCCCAAAATGGTCATTAGGATTTAAAATGCAAGAGTAGATGATTGCAGCCTGCTTTGCTTGGTTGATTTGAATGCTAGTTCTAAACCCTTCGGGGTCATCAATAAGTTGCAGGCAGAGAAAGGGTACAATCGTGCTGTTCAGAGAGGCAACATCCAACTCACTCCAGCCCAGAGGGCTAGCTCGGTGACATTTGCTGTCAGAGTCCCCATCCTTCCCACTTTGCCAGACCCTCAACATCCCCACTCCCTATCCCCCAAATGCCTTGCAACTGCACAGATGCCTTTGGAACAGGCCTGGAAGCTCGTTATGTCTGCTCTGAGGCTGCTGTGAATTGGGACTCCAGCTATTCAGCCTCCAGGAGCTGTGCTGATTCAGAACACTGCAATTAAAGGTGAAGTGAGAGGCGGTATCAATTTTTGAAAGCCCTTTTGTTCCACTTCTCCCACAATTCTCCATCTGCAATCTCTTCCCCAAAACTTCAGAGGTAGGAAAGAGGTGTGGTTAAGCAGGCAGTTCCCCAGCCAGACTGCCCAGGGCTGGAATCCAAGTCTGTGACCATCACTTCCTTCCTATGTGCCCTCAGGCTAGTGACTGACCCAACTCTCTGTGCCTTGGTGTTCCGTTCCATGAAATGGGTAGAGAGAGTATACCTGCCTCATGGGTTATCAGGGATTAAATGAGGAAATATACCTATAACACCCAGAATGACGCCTGGCACGTTGTAAGTGCCCAGTAAGTGTTGGATGTTCCTGTTTCTTGCCTAGGGAGAACACAGGTCAAGCATCAGCATGTCACAAAGGTAAGGCAACACCTTTGTCAGGAGACCACTGTCTGGACAGTCTCTTTAGGTGCAATATACAGGAACTTTTAACCTGTATACCATGCTATAAACCCACAAATCTGCCCTGCTGAAGATTTCTAAGGTACTTGTCTGTAAAGAGAAGACTCCCAACACAAGAAGTGCTGTGTGGTAGTTGAACCTCTTTAGGCTGGTTTCCTACCATGCTCAAGAGAAAGCCGGCAGAAACACTGGGGCACAGGAGAAAAGCTGGCCAAAAAAAAAAAAAGCCCCAAATCACCTCAAAGTGAACAAGGACCCCTTTTTCATACCACCAAAGCCCAACTTTTTTTTCCTCAAGTGGAATAAACTTAACAACATAAAGGAAAGCAGCACTTCTTTTTGGTGTCCTTTTTAGGTCTGCTTAGCCTCAGAGACACCTTGTACAGTCTGCAAGAACATTCTGAAAGTAGAATTGAATTCTGAGGAAGAGGCTGTGACTGACAGTGTTACCTTTCCTGTTAAAAACCATTCAGGATTGTTCTGGAGCCAACGGACAAGAAAACGGGATTCTTCCTCCCACACCATCCCCACTGCTGTGTATTTCTTCTGGATACACAATAATCATATTAGAAGAATTAATATTTATTAAGGATGATTTTTGTGCCTAGCACTGAGCTGAACATTATAAAAAGCATTATCCTATTTAATGCTCTTTGTGCTGCTTCCAAGAAAGAATACAATGCTGGAAAGAAAAGACCTAAAAAGCCCTCTGGTTAGCTTTCCTGGACTCAGAAGGGTTTATGTGTCTAGGTATTTCAAGTGCTTGACAGCAGTGTGCTCTAACATCGGGGCTGAGCACCCAAACCAGAGAGACTGCATTTAAACAGCTTGTTAATTTACAGTTCTCAAAAGTGGTGAGGTGAGAACAAACCTATGGCAGAGACCAGTAAGAATTCCAACCAAGACCTGGTGGGAAGTCCATTCACTTATTCATTCATTCATTTGTGACATACATACTGAGTGCCTGTTATGTGCCAAGCACTCTTCTAGGCCTAGGGATATAGCAATGAACAAAGCCATTCTTGACCCTTATGAAACTGTTCACATCCGAGGGGTGTTCACCAGAGTAAACTAAAACATTATAATGTGATACAAGATACAGTAAGACATAAATAAAACTGTAAGGGGAGAGTGGCGAGGATCCTTTTTTAGACGGGGCAAACCTCTGAGGCAGTGATGTTCGAGCAGCTCCTGTTGGGGATGACACAAAGGAGAATACCACGTGGTTATGTAGCAGAAGCTCTCGGCAGAGGCCACAGCAAGTGCAAAGGCCCTGAGGCAGGATGGCAGTTGGCCACTGAATAGGAGTAGAATCAGCCAAGTGGTGCCTGGCAGGAAGGGAAATCGGAGAGGCTGCCGGAGTCAGATCATGCAGAGCTTTGCAGGTCAGCAGCAATCGTTCCAGACATTGAACCCCTAGTAGACTTGGGCTCTCAACACATTTTAATTTTCATAAAACCCTCTTTAAGTAGGTCATGTAACTTCTTTTTAACAGTACCTGAAGCCACCCCCACTGAATGGTAGAGATCTCCTGGGGTTCCAGAGCATCTGAGTTCATCAAGGGTGATGGTCTCTCCCAGCTGGCTGTTAACCAGCACTCTTTTTCTCTCCTCTCCATCAACTGGGACATATTCCTAGAGCAGAGAAATCTATTTTTAAGTGCGATGAGATATTTATTGACTGGCTTCATTGTCTCAAAATACTTGCCTTAGCCTTTCCTTATGCCTGGGCAAATTCTGACACCAAATGGTTGTTTTCTGCAGCTAGGCCTTAGCATACATCCTGCAATGACTTTCTTACAAAAAGTGGTAAAAACAACTTAAAGCACAGCTGTACTAAGAGAAAAAAAAAATGAATAGTAATTTAGCAATAGATCAATAGCCCATCATCTCTGAATTTCATTTTATAGAAGAGGGCTGTCTTTCTTTGCTCAGTCTATGCCACGGAGTTAATTTGTGTGAAAACACGCAGGTATTAGACTAGTTATTAGAGAGCTCTGCCCAAATGAAATAACATAATAAATAATTCTAAAATATAATAAAAATGGATTAACAGACTGAAAAATGCAATGAAAACTCTTAGGATCTATATTAAAAAGGAAAACATAATATAAATTGAACTTAATTCCCTACATTTTTATTCTCTATAGTCAAAAGTGATATGAAGATGCCCTCATTTTAGCTATAGATGGGTCTGTAAATAGGACATGGTAAAATAGGTTTAAGATGAGAATGATTCAATCTATCCAAAAGAACCAAGGGGTTTGCTTTTGGAGGGCATGCCCAGACTTCCTACTGAGCCTTGTGCTGCAAAGAAAGTAATAGAAATTCATTTTCTAAATCTGGTGTTGGCTACCACTGCCGATTCCCATTAGAAAGTTCTGCTTGGTTAATCCAATCATAATTTATTTTATTGCCAACGATTATAATCTAGAGCTAATCTGATTAGTGCTAATATCCCGAGATCAGTAGGACAGTTTTCTGTTCCTTACTAGTTGTATTACTTTTGTTTTTGTTTTTGTTTTTGTTTGAGATGGAGTTTTGCTCTGTCGCCCAGGCTAGCGTGCAGTGGCGCAATCTTGGCTCACTGCAACCTCCACCTCCTGGGTTCAAGAGATTCTCCTGCCTCAGCCTCCTGAATAGCTGGGACTACAGGCGTGAGCCACCACACCTGGCTAATTTTTTGTATTTTTAGTAGAGACGGGGTTTCACTGTGTTAGCCAGGATGGTCTCGATCTCCTGACCTTGTGATCCGCCCACCTCGGCCTCCCAAAATGCTAGGATTACAGGCGTGAGCCACCGCGCCCGGCCAGTTGCATTAGTTTTTAGGGCTGTCATAACAAAGTACCACAGAATGAGTGGCTTAAACAACAGAAGTGTGTTGTCTCACAGTTCTGCAGGCTGGCAGTCAGAGGTGCGTTCTGAGGGCTGTGAGGGAAAATTTGTTCTGTGCCTCTGTCCTGGCTCCTGATGATTTGCTGGCAATCTTTGGCATTCTTTGGCTTGTAGATGCACCACTCAGATCTATGCCTTCATGTTCACATGGCTTTTTCTCTGTGTACATGTCTGTTTATGTCCAAATTTTCTCTTTATATGGGACACATCCACTATAGGGTTTGGGCCCACCCTGATGACCTCATCTTAACTTGATCATCATCTGCAAAGACCCTATTCCCATATGAGGTCACATTCACAGGCACTGGGGAGTAGGACTTCAACTTCTTCTTGGGAGACACAATTCAACCCATTAGCATGATGTAAAAGAAGCTTAGTTAAAAACTCTTCCTTTGGGCTGGGCACAGTGGCTCACGCCTGTAATCCCAGCACTTTGGGAGGCCTAGACGGGTGGGTCACCTGAGGTCAGGCGTTTGAGACCAGCTGAACAGCATGCTGAAACCTCATTTCTACTAAAAATACAAAATTAGCCGGGCATTGTGGTACGTGCCTGTAATCCCAGCTACTTGAGAGGCTAAGGCAAAAGAATCACTTGAACCTGGGAGGTGGAGGTTACAGTGAGCCAAGATTGTGCCATTGCACTCCAGCCTGGGCAACAAGAGGGAAACTCCATCTCAAAACAAAAAACAAAAAAACAAAAACAGAAACCTCTGTCTTTTTAGGATCCTCTTGGATACCCTTCAGGATTATGCTTAAGGACAAAAGGATCCTTGTAGTAAACAAATCATCTCTTCTTTACGTAGGCATTACATTTTCAGCCTGATCTCTCCTTCTTGCATACATGTGTGCATGTGTGCATCTGTGTGTATGTTTGGTTTGCTTGATTTCCAGCCAGCATAATCAATTTTTTTTTTTTTGAGATGGAGTCTCGCTTTGTCACCCAGGCTGGAGTGCAGTGGCACAATCTCAGCTCATTGTAACATCCTCTTCCCATGCTCAAGCGATTCTCGCACCTCAGCCTCCCAAGTAGCTGGGATTATAGGCGCCTGCCACCACGCCTGGCTAATTTTTGTATTTTTAGTAGAGACTGGGTTTCACCATGTTGGCCAGGCTGGTCTTGAACTCCTGGCCTCAAGTGATCTGCCTGCCTTGGCCTCCCAAAGTGCTGGGATTATAGGTGTGAGCCACTGTGCCCAGCCCAGTACATCCTATTTAACTAGTCCTTTTCTAACAGGGCAAACCTGGAAATTAGCTATGCCAAAGGACTTCAGAAACTGGCAAGCAAGCTGAGCAAAGCATTACAGAACACGAGAAAAAGGTAAGTATTGTGGCAGAGGTAAGGCAAAATCAACCCTTTTTTTATTTGTTTTTTGTTTGTTTGTTTGTTTGTTTTTTGAGACAGGGTCTTGCTCTGTTACCTGGGTTAGAGTGCAGTGGCACAATCACAGCTCACTGCACCCTCAATCCCCCAGGCTCAGGTGATCCTCCCACCCAGCCTCCCATATAGAGTAGCTGGGACCATGCCCTAAATTTGTTTTGTGTTGGGACAGGGTCTTACTATGTTGCCCAGGCTGGTCTTGAACTCCTGGGCTCAAGTAATCCTCCTGCCTTGGCCTTCCAAAGTTCTGGGATTACATGTGTGAGCCACCACACCCAGCAAAATCATTCTTAAAAATAGTAAAAAGTGACATGTTCCATTCCAGCTTCCTCTTCTAAACATGGCAAGTACATAACATCAAGCATGGCTTCCAGTTCTTGGGCACTTACTGTGTGCATGCACTGTGTTAATGCTTTACTGATACTCCCATTTAATCCTCATAAGAACCCTTGAGAGGTCTTGTTATCCCTGTTTACAGATAAGGACTTGAGACAGAAAGTTCAAGATACTTCCCCCAATCACCCAGATCATGAGTTGCATAGCTGGATTCTTCCTCAGTGTTTATGACTCCTAAGGCCACATTCATAATAGGCCTTGGTAATGATATTTAACTTGGGAAGTGGTGTTGTTAAAGTCAGGTTGTCTTGGAGTCAGGAAGTGTAAATCCTATATTTTCTCTACTCTATGGCTTTTGACAAGTAACCTGGCCTCTGTGTGCCTTTATTTCTTCCTCTGTTGGACAGAGTAATAATATGTGCTCTATTGTGTGTGTGTGGGCATATTAAATGAGATCATGTGTGTGGAGAGCTTAGCACATTAGGTACTGAAAGGTATTGGTTCACATTCTTTTCAATATATTGCAGCACTAAGAATGAAGTAGATTCCTTTATTAGGGGGAGAGAAGAAAGATATTGGTATACCAAAGATAGTTCATTCGTGGTAATTTGCTACAAAGATTCTTGACTAATGCATGCAGACGTGCCCTTGAACTGACAGTGCCATTGTAGAGGTCTCTTTTGATGATGAAAGAGATAAGAAGGGGAAAGGAAAAAAAGAAGGCTTCTGGAGCTCAAATTTCCACTCTTCTTTAGGCATCAGCCATAATAACAAATGGTGGCTTTGAAAGTGCTCTTTTAGCTTTATTTTTATTTTTAGGACAGTATTTTAGTAGACTACAGTGAAGCCAGTATAGCACAGTGGTTGAGTATAGATACACTGCCCAGGTTTAAATTCTAACTCTACCACTTAACAGGTGAGTGACCTAGGAAAATTTATCTTACCTCTCAAGATCTCTTTAAAGTAAAAGTAAAGCCTATCTCTTATGGTTGCTGTGAGAATTAAATACGGTAATATAAGACGTGTGCTTAGCAGAGTACCTGGCAGGGAACGAAAGCTCTGTGAATGTCCATTACGTTTTTGATTCGAATTGCCTCCTAAGGAATGAGGGGTGTAGGGGTGTGTGTATTGTGTTACAGCTCTGTCATCCAGCAGAATACTACCAAAGAGTTGGCAGGTCCAGAATGTTAGGCCAACTGGGATTAGTACAGTATTTAACAGTAAACATTAGAGAATTTTTATCCATACCGAAATCTGTGTTAGGTACTACAGATATCCTGTTACTTCATTACTTCTAATTCTTTCTCTCTTTCTTTCTTTCCTTTCTTTCTCTTCCCTCCCTTCCTCCCTTGCTTCCTTCGTTCCTTCTCTTTCCATTTTTACCCTGTCTTTTCACAGGTGTTGACCAAGTTACTTCTACTTTAAAAGATCAGTTAAGTGAGGGCCAGAGATTCTTCCAAGGTCATGCAGAAAACAAAGGGGGAGCATCTCCATTCAGACACAGACTGAGGCCACATGCTTGGTTCCTGTCCTGAGACCCAGCTCCTCCAAGGGGCAAATGTCAGATGCTCTACCCAGAAATGTGCCTGACTTCATTTTTTAAAAATCAGCTCTACTGAGTTTTAATTTACATGCAATAATAAGCACCCATTTTAAGCATATGATTTGATCAGTTTTGACATATGTAAATACCCTGTGTAGCCACCACTAAAATCAAAACATAGACATTTTCATCATGCCAAAAGATTTATCATGCCTGTTTGCACTCCTTCCCACCCAACTCCAAGCAACCACTGACCTGCTTCCTGTCAATAGAGATTCATTTAGTGTTTTCTGGAATCTCCTGTAATTGTAAGTATATAGCAGGTATGCTCTTGTGCCTAAGCTTGTATCTGGCTTTGGATGTGCAGAAAATCTGGCATCTTTTGGTCTAGTTCTCTTATTCTTAGACTGCAGGATGCAAACTAAGGCATTTGGAGGCAAAACCTCTGTACCATTCTGATTAAGGCAAGGATGCAGATCCACCCCCTTCCTCTTCATCAAAATCTACACAGGCCTCTGTACCTGGGGTTTCTTGATGTGATTGGACTTACTATCCTGACTGTTGAAGGCAGACTACATGGGGCCACTGTGGAAGAAAAATGACATCACACTCCCTAATCCTCCCGCTATGCCATGAGGGACTGGGTAGCATTATCCTTTGTGTTAAAGTGAGATACTGCTCATGGGACCATTAACTATCTGAGCTGTTGTCCTCAAACCCAGCAGGGAACAGGAACTGGACTCCAACCCCAAGAGCAGCAGCAGGACATGAACAGGGCTCTCAAGCCCTTTATCACTTAACTTTTCTGAGTCTCAGTTTTTTCATATCTATGTGTCCTATGACCAACCTGTTCTCATCCTTGGCTATTTTATTTCCCCTATTTTATTTTATTTTCATTACTTATTTTTTTCTTTTTGGTGGGGAGAGGGGCTCAGGGGATACGGTCTTGCTCTGTTGCCCAGGCTGGAGTACAGTGGCATGATCATAGCTCACTGTAGCTTCCTGGGCTCAAGCAATCCTCCTACCTTGGCCTCCCTAGTAGCTAGGACTATGGGCGTGCATCACCACACCTGGCTAATTTTAAAAAGTTTTTCGTAGAGAAAAGGTCTCGCTGTGTGTGTTGCACAGGCTAGTTTTGAACCTGTGGCCTCAAGTGATCATCCCACCTCAGCCTCCTAAAGTGCTGGGATTTACAGGCACTTTAGGAGGCTGAGGCAGTGCCACCACACCTGGCCATTTCCTCTATTTTATACAGATATGAAATAGGAAATGAAAATCTAAATGAAAAATAACTGGGAAAAAAGCAGTATATATAATGAGTATAGTGCAAATAAATGTATTGGCAGAATGTAATCTCATAGAGAAATTGAAATAAGGTTAGGGAAGTGAATGCAATTGTTGAATGTGGTGAATCAGATGCGATGCTGTATTTCTAGCCAGCACATCCTATTTCCTAGGAAAATGACACTCACCTTTGTTCCCCACTTTTTTTTGCCTTTAGTTGTGTTAGCAGTGCCTGGGCCTGGGCCTCAGAGGGAATGAAATCCACAGCGGACCTGCATCAGTGAGTTCTCCCACCCTGGCCTTTCTCCAACTCCAAAGGGAATCAAATATTTAAAGTGGGTTTGCTACAAATATTCCACTTCCAACTTGCACTGAATAGGTGTTCCATAACACACTATTTTATTTCCCCAGAAAGTAATTTGGAAAGTAGATGTAAACGCTGATATTATGCTTATGTGTCTTTTATGTTTTATTTCCAGAAAACTTGGCAAAGCAATTGAATTGGAAGCAATAAAACCGACTTATCAAGTCCTAAATGTACAAGAGAAGAAGAGAAAATCAGTGAGTCCAAACCTTTCTTTACTCTTCCTGTTTAAAGCAAGATTCCTGTGTTTAGCCCAGAAAAGGAAAAGGTGATCTGAAAGTGGTACCAAGTTTCAGGAATTTATCCTAAAAATAAAATAAATACTTTTATTTATTTTAAAATAAATGAATAATAAAAAACACAAATCCAAGATTTATGTACAAGGATGTTTGTTAGAGCATTGCTTATAATAGTGAAAAACTGGAAACTACTGAAGCATTCAAAATAAATTGTGATAAATTCAAGCAATAGAATAATTTGCAATGATTCAAAATCTTATTGTAGAAGAATTTAATCACATGGGGATTTTTTTCACAGTATACTGCTAAATAAAGCAGAATGAAAAAGTCTAATTTATACAATCTCAACTTTATAAAATGAATATGTATATATATGTATAGAAAAAGCTGGAAGAAGCTTCTCAAAATGTTAATAAGAATGATCTTTAGATGGTGAAATTGGAGGTTATTTTTATTTCATTTTTATACTTTTTTGCATTTTTAAAATAATTTTATTCTATTTATAAATAAGAGAATGATAAGCACAATTTTTACAAAGATGCTTTCTACGCTTATTAGCTTGGTATTATGTAAAGGTAATAATGAGTACAATCCTCAAATGTCCTAAAAATTACAGAAAGATAATTAAACAATCCTTTCAGGGGCACCTGGTCCTCTAATAGCCGATCCTCTACTCTTTCTCTGTGCCTTTCCTTCTAGAACAGTTTTTCTTTCTTTCCTTCCCTCCCTCCCTCCCTTCCTTTCTTCCTTCCTTCTCTTTCTTTTTTTTTCTCTCTCTCCCTTTCTTTCTTTTTTTGACGGAGTTTTGCTCTTGTCACCCAGGCTGGAGTGCAATGGCGTCATCTTGGCTCACTGCAACCTCCACCTCCTGGGTTCAAGTGACTTGCCTGCCTCAGCCTCTCGAGTAGCTGACATTACAGGTGCCTGCCACCACGCCTGGCTAATTTTTGTATTTTTAGTAGAGACCAGGGATCGCTATGTTGGTCAGGCTTGTCTCCAACTCCTGACCTCAGGTGATCCGCCCATCTTGGCCTCCCAAAGTGCTGGGATTACAGGCATGAGCCACTGCCCTCGGCCTAGAACAGTTTCATTTGTGTTCCTTTTTCTTTTTCGTTGTGTATTATTCAGTAGTTAAGCACTTTATACTCTACTTCCAGGCAACATAATTGGGTGTTTAATAAACACTGCTTGGCTCTGATAGGGGTGGGGTTATGGTCACTGTTTGTTTCATGACCAGGTGCAGGTAAGATGTTTGTAAGCTGTGGTAGGTGGTCCCTGTGAAGGGAAGGGGCAGTGGTTAAGGGGGAGTTTCAAGGGAATACAGTCAGATAAAGCACATCCTCAGTGGCAAGTCAGAAGGATGAGGAGAGGTGTGAAAGTTCTGATGGAGGAGAAATGATTTTTAAAAATTTTATTCAAACTCATTAAGCTGGGTCAGGAAGTGGAATTGATGTTTGTATGTACATAGGTATATTTTACCAGAATGGATGCTCTATTCAGAGTTTCGGGTGATGGACAGAACTTGATAGGAATTGCTAGCAAGCAATATAACCTTCTGCCTTTGCAAGCCAACTTAATAAAAACCAATTACTAGTCTATATTTCGTTGATTACAAAATATTTTTCACACTGCATAATAATATGATAGTCATTAGCATTTCTTTAGTATTTACCATAAATGAGGCACAGTGCTGTGACAGTTAATCACAGTGCTTTAGTTAATGGATGTCATGAGCACCCCCGAAATGCTTGTCCTGTTTTTCTTCTTTTCTGCATTGCCCCTCTCCACTGCACCCCACCACCCCACTCCACTCTCTCACAAAATATAAAAGATTAGATTTTATTTTCTAAAGTGACCTTGTTCCACATTCCAGACACATATGTGAAATCAAAAGTGGCATAGTACATGAAATATTTTCATTATGTCTGTTACAATGAACCATATACTCTAAATTTAACCAACTGGAAAAAAATGAAAGTGTAGCATTCGCTAGATCTCAGAGTGGTTGAATAACGGCTGATCTGCTGGGTCTGTGTTCCAGGGAAAAACATTCTGCTGTAACTTACATCAGATCTCCCTGGGAAGTTGTCTAGATCATTTTCATCATTATTATTACTGTCTCTTTGGCTGTTTAAAAGCAAGGGAAAAAGTTAATTATGATTAAGAGTTCAATATCTTTGAAATTAAAGCAATATTCACTTCAGGGGTAATGGAGACACACAGTAAAACTGGCAGTTAGGACTGTTACCAGTTTTCATAGTGTTGAGGTTTTTGCTGCATGGATTGACGTGGAAGATGATGTGATGGGACTAGCAACAATATCAGCTCATGCAAGGGCCTGTTACACATGATTGCACATGTTTACATGCTTTTTACATTCTTATAGATTAGAAATAATTATTTTACCAAGTCCTGTTACTTGACACAGGGATAAGATAATTTGGCTAATATGTCCATTGTAAGATCTTGAAATTCCCATGAATTGTAATAGTGATTGATAAGCTAGTACTGTGACTGTCTTAGTTCAGGCTGCTCTAACAAAGTACCATAAACTGGATAGCTTATAAATAATAGGAATTTATTTCTTACAGTTCTGGAGGCTGGGAAGTCCAAGAGCAAGGCACCCACACATTAGCTGTGTGATGAGGGCCCACTTCCTGGTTCATCAGTGGCTATTTACTCACTGTAACCTCAGATGGCAGAAGGGGCTAGGCAGCTCTTGGGGTCTCTTTTATAAGGGCACTAATCTCATTCATGGGGGCTCCACCCTCATGAACTAATCATTTCTCAGAGCCTCCACCTCCAAATACCATCACATTGAGGGAATAGGTTTCAATCGATACATTTTAGGGGCACGAACATTTAGTCTATTACAGCAACTAAACAAGAAGAAAGCAAAGCTTTGTTTCCTTTTTCCTTTTTCAATAGCTTGACAATGAAGTTGAAAAGACAGCAAATCTTGTCATTAGCAACTGGAATCAGCAAATTAAGGCAAGTATCCACAAATACCATTTGTGTAAACTCAGTTTTTAGAATTGAAGTGTTTTGCTTTCATACAAATGCGATGACATGTTCTAGCATTAGTACTTCTAAGTGCTAACTGAAGAGAAAAATGTTTCCTTACCTGGTTGTTACACAGATATATTTTTCACCAAACCAATGGAAGTGCATGGCTCTAACTATGATTATTTAGCACTTATTATGTGCTAAGTGCTATATATTTATGTATTTAATCATCACAACAACCCAATGTCATATGTCATTGTGCATTGCCCCATTTTACAGATTGGGCAATGGAGACACAGAGAGTTTCAGTAATTTTCCCAAGGATACAGAGCTGGTTAATGGTTGAACCAATGGTTGTCACAAGTTGGGTTCCAGGGTCACTGCTCTTAATCATTCCATTATACTGACTACCTTTCTGTATAATTTGTAACTTACAGAATATGATAAACACCACCTGGGTTTTGTTTTTTTCATTTGTAGAAAGGTGTTAGTGATCTCTACATCATTAGTGAGAGTGGCCCAGTGAGGGGTGGGTAGTGATATGTAAAAGGGGATGCGTATATCAATTTCATGAGTATGTGGGGTCCACTTTTTGTGCACAACACTATTCTAAGACATAATTTTTTTCAAGTAATTTAAAATTTAGTTGGCTAGATGACGTGTGCAGGAAATAGGGAATACATTCTAGGAGGAATTACGATCTGGCGTGGGAAGCTAGAGCATATCTGTATGAGTTCTTAAGCAGAGAAAATAACAGATGGGATCCATATGCACAGAAGATTATTCTAGAACAATGTAGTATAGGAGGAATTCATTTCAGGTAGAAAGGACTAGCAGTAAATCTACTAACAAGATTCAATGAACCCCTCTGAGAAGACTTGTTCTCTAAGTGTTGAAATCCTTTTTCATCTCCAAAGCGTTAGTGCCCACAGAGAACCTTTACAAGTAAACAGCCACTGATGCCAAATAACTAGAGACAGACGCACTCAGAGACAGGCAAACTTGGTGTTACTTCCAAAGCTTCTGCCAAAACTGAGGACTGACTCCATAAGACCAAGGACATTAATAAAAAGTGTTTGATGTAAGTGAATTTCTGTATCCACAGTAGTTACAATGGTAAAAGGATGCTCATGAGAATCACTTTTATAAAAAGTAAAGTCCCAGAAACAGTATCCAGTCATTTGCTTTTTAGTTTTGCCATGGATTTTATGAGTTTTCTTTAAAAGGAATTGTTTTGTATTTTTTTTAAAGAAATAGAGACAGGGTCTTGCTATGTTGCCCAGGCTGATCCCGAACTCCTGGGCACAAGGGATCTGCCCACCTTGGCTTCCTAAAGTGTAGGGATTACAGGGATGAGCCACTACACCTGGCCTTTAAAAGGATTTGTTTTTAAAAATCCATTTTCTTTTAATATTCAGCTTTCACAGGAATTCAGTACAATGAATCAAAAGCCAGAAATAATGCTGAGAGGCTGCAATTGCTCCCAAGAAAAAACATCTTTTATCATTTCCCAGTTTCTATCAAGTCATTTTTTTAAATAAAAGATTTCATTTTTTTAAATAAAGAGTGACAGCGAAATTAGAGAACATAAAATTATTGGGCTATAATAATTTTCTCCCCAGTTACAATTCAAGGGATTCAGCATGTCAGTAATGAAGTAGTCTATTTGGGAGACTCTAATGAAAAGCCTTAAAGGACCAAATATTCATGCGTCACACTCTCATTTCCCAGCAGGCATGTGGCTGACGGGAGGTGGAGAAAGAGGGCCATGAGCTTATTTCTTTAATTTTCCTTTGCAGAGGCTTCCCACGTTTAGAGGGAGGCAGAAGGCTTTGCCTTTGATTCCCAAGCTAAAAAGCCAAGGAAGAGAGACCTCTCCTTTACTATCTGGTTTGACAGTCCTTGCAACCTTGAGGCAAAAAGCCAAAGTCTTTCAATCAGCCTACTTCCTGAACAGGCTAAATCCAACTTAAACCAAATTCTGTTTGCATAATTTATCTCTGGAGCATCATCTTCAGTTAAATTCAACCATGTAGACTAGGAAATTATCCCCTAAATCCTAACCCACTCCAAAGGGTCAGCATGAACAGGGTAGGGAGACTCTTGAGTGCTCCTTCCTTCCCTACTTCTTTCTACTTCTCCAACTCCAGCAAGTGCAGGGCATTTCACAAGATGCCAGACAAATGCCCAACTCTCAGGCTTGGCCATCAGGGAGCAGAATTGTGACCCTTGCTGCACGTTTTAAGAGAACATCTTAAAACAATCTCAAATCGTGGCCTAGGTTGATGTAAAGAATGATGCAGGCAGTCTTCTGTGTTTGCTGTGATATCTTCTGTGGTAAAGCCATTATGCTCACTAGAACATTATTTTGGAGGCTTGCAGGCCTTTGATGATTTAGCAAAATTCAAAATCCTCTTGAGGGTACCCGATATAATGAAAAAGTATGCAGGAGTTCTCCGGACAAAGTGTTAGCTGCTCTGATGTTTTAGGTACATTTTGAAGTGAGGATGGGAATGAAGAACTAAAAGTACACATTTTTGTTTCAGCCTTTGGAGGATTCTAGGATACATAATTGTTAAAGCTAGCACATGAATGTGCTTTGTTCCAAAAGAGGAGAGTTTTCTCTTGGCATCAGCCTCTGCTCCTTTTTTTCTTGTTTGTATGTTTTTTACTCTAGGCCAAGAAGAAATTAATGGTTAGTACCAAGAAACATGAAGCACTTTTCCAGCTTGTAGAAAGCTCCAAGCAATCTATGACTGAGAAGGAGAAGCGGAAGGTAAGCTGTCATGGCTGGCTGGGCGCATGTGCCATAGAGAGGGATGGACTTGCTGCCCTTAGCTACGAACACAAGAGAACGGGTTGATTCCTCCTTCTCTGTGGGATTCCTGCAGAGATGTAGCTTGACAGAGCATAAAAGGGGATTCCAAATCATTACTGGCGTGCGCGCGCGCGCGCGCGCACACACACACACACACACACACACACACACACACCACATACATTTTAAACTTTATTTTAATTCTTTTAAATAGAAGGGATCTCACTGTGCTGCCCAGGCTGGCATCAAAGTCCTAGGCTCAAGGGATCCTCCCACCTCAGCCTCTCAAGTAGCTGGGACTACAGGAGCATGCTACTTTGCCTGGACCACATGTATTTTTAAAAAATATTATTGACAGATGACAAATGAGACCAATGATGCCCACATTTTTTTAAAGGAAACTCTATTAATATCTTAAAAAAACCTCTCAGCTAATACCCCAAATAAGTAAAAATAAATACTATATATATGTTGTTTGTTACATATAGTACTTTATGTATTATGTTAATATGTTATGAACATTATAAAGCATAAAAGTAGAAATGTTTCCAGGATGAAATAAAGATGAAATAATATTTTAAATGATTAGCAAACCATGATGTCTTTAGATAATCATTAAGTAATGTTTTCAGGAAAAATGTATACTTGGAGCAAGGTTCAGCCTTAACTATAGTAAATTTAAATGCATATTTCGAATAGTCTTCTTGATAATTTTTTTTTTTCTTGAGACAGAGTCTCACTCTGTGGCCCAGGCTGGAGGGCAGTGGTGCAATCTTGGCTCATTGCATCCTCCCACTCCAGGCTTCAAGCAATTATCCCACCCCAGCCTCCCAAGTAGCTGGGACTACAGGTGTGCACCACCATGCTCGGCTAATTTTTTTTTGCATTTTTAGTAGAGGCGAGGTGTCACCATGTTGGCCAGGCTGGTCTCGAACTCCTGACCTCAAGTGATCTTCCTGCCTTAGCCTCTCAAAGTGCTGGGATTATAGGCATGAGCCACCGCCCCTGGCCAGCCTTCTCGATAATGTAATTTGTTCATCAAATTTTTTGTCAGATCTCATTTCAGTGTTTGCCCTTTCATGTGGGTAGTAACAAACTCACAACCAGGAGAGGTGGCAGCATCAGCTTGGACATTTTGCTGTGGATTCTTTGTGGTTAAATTGTTGGTAGTAACATCAATCCACAGGTTCTTGGCAGAAATCCTCTAAGATATTTGTGCATTTTGTGTATGTTAACCTAACTGGAGCCAGAAAATGTCTGTAAAATCACATGGCCCAGGTATATGTCAATGGCCACATGTCCCAGATGCTGGAAGGGAAAACACAGTGAGGGCCTAGGGCAGCTTTTCAGGTTGCAGAATCCCCACCCTTCCCCCAGGCCATATCAGAATCCACAACTGTCCATGTGTGAGCACCAGTGTAGACTCATATATTAAATAAGAGTAAGCTTGACAACTGTGTTTTCAGGCAAAATGAACACGAATAATATTGGGGTACAGGAACAAAATGAACATTTTCTGCTTACACCCCAATAGATTATCTTGCACCCCTCTTGTGGTATGTGTCCCAGATTGAAAACCTTTGAAATAGTCGATATCTTCTACAAAAGATGAGTCTCCACTAAGGAAATGCAACCAGCACCACTGCAAACCCCTTACAAAGGAAGAGAAAATTGTCATCACCAGTAGCTCTTTCATCTGAAGAAATATCCATTGAATAACTTAAATTCATTGTTAGCAAGATTTTACAAGACTCTTATTTCTTTCCATGTCAGTCTTCACAGTTGGAAATGATCATAACAAGTATTGAATAATGAGGCAGCTTCCGAAGAGGCGAACCCAGTCTGTTAAAATACTCAGTGCCAGGACCTGCCTAGGCATTCTGAGTGCTCATTAGAAGCTATTCTTTATTGATGTCATGCAATAATAAAGAAAAAAGCATGGCAGCTAAGTGGTGAATTTCCTCTTCCTACCCCCATCAGCAGCTTCCCTGGGAAGTAAAGATCCACAGTGCTCTCTCCTCTCCTCCAGCTGGTAACCATAACCTTGGCTGTTACTCTGTCATACACCCATGCCATCTTCACTGCTTAATCTGGCAGCTTTTGTTAATCCTGAAGCTGAACACCCAAGCGGGGGGCATTCATTTTCTCATCTCACATAGAAGCGCTCATGATCACCTGAGCTGATGCTCTGTGCTGCTCAGCAAATTCTTCCTGGTTTCCTGCTCAGCAGTCTTGATTCCCACCAGAAGCTGATCTAAACCTCCGTTCTCCTCACACCTCCATCCACACACTCCTGGCACAGTATCTTGCCTCCTACCTCACAGAGTAAATAGAAGTCAGCACAGCCACCTGCCTACTGAAGTAATAGCATTTACATATCTGCAATGGAGAGGCCAGTTCTGCATCCTGTGCTCTAATCTCATCCCATTCTGCCTCCCAGAGGCCCTCTCTTGATTATCCCATATTTCCCATATCTTGGACAGCCCACTCCCTAATGATTCCTCCCCACCAGCCTTCTATAACTCCCCCTGTCTTATAGTCTGTTCAGGCTGCTATAACCAAGTTCCATAGATGGAGGTGGCTTCAACAGCAGACATTCTGGAAGTGTGGGATCAGGTGCTATCTGGTGAGGCTTCCTCTTTCAGGTTGCAGACCGGCTACTTCTCATTGCATTCTCACGTGGTGGAAAGAGAGCAAGGAAGCTCCCTGGGGCCTCTTCTATAAGGGCAGTAATCCCATTCATGAGGGTTCCACCCTCATGGCCTAATCTGGTGGGAGGGCACAAATAGTCTATTGCATCTTCCTCCCATCTTGCAAGAGTAAAGAAAGTTACAGGAACACTTATTTATGGGGTCTCACATTCCTCTCCAGATATTGTCATGTCTCCTTTTTACAATACATCTTTTTTTTTTATAATACACTTTTTTAACATCTTTTTTTTTTTTTTTTTTTTTTTTTTTGAGATGGAGTCTTGCTGTGTCGCCCAGGCTGGAGTGCAGTGGCGCGATCTCGGCTTACTGCAAGCTCCGCCTTCTGGGTTCATGACATTCTCCTGCCTCAGCCTCCCGAGTAGCTGGGACTACAGGCCCCGCCACCACACCCAGCTAATTTTTTATATTTTTTAGTAGAGATGGGATTTCACCGAGTTAGCTAGGATAGTCTCGATCTCCTGACTTCGTGATCCGCCCGCCTCGGCCTCCCAAAGTGCTGGGATTACAGGCGTGAGCCACCGCGCCCGGTCACAATATATCTTAGTGAAAGGGGTATCTATCTGCTCTGTTTCCACTTCCTCATCTTCTGTTCACTCTTCAAATCACCCTAATCAAGCTTTCCCCATCTTTCCACTAAGAGTGTTCTTGCCATCGAAAACAATGTCTTCTCATTGCTAAAGCTAACAGGTACTTTCCAAGTCTTACCTTAGTTAACTTCTCGGAAGTATTAAGCATTGTTTATTTCCCGTTTCTAGAAACATTCTCTTCTTTTCACTTTAGTAACAACTAATGCTTTTATTTTCCTCCTACTTTCTGTAAATTTTAAATTAGATTTCTTTATGGGCTCCCTTTTTTGGCCTGATCTTTATATATTGCAGTTTCTGAAGATTTCTCTTCTGGGCCTCACTCTATTCTCTTCACCATTGTCTCTCCAGTGTCTGATACAGTACTCTTGATATCAGGTACTCGATAAATAATACATACTCAATAAGTATATTCTCAAGGATTCAACTACAGTATCTATGCTGGCAATACCCAAATTTATATCTCCAGTCCAAACCAGTCTGTAAACTGCTTTCTGACTCCTTAAACTCAATATCCAAAATCCAACCATCACTTTTTTTCTACCAAAGATAATCTTTATTCCTGTGTTCTCTGTGTCTTTGAATATCATCACCCACCTATCCTCCCAATTCTAACTCAAACCAGATCCTTCAGTGGCACAGTCTCAGCTCACTGCAACCTCTGCCTTCCAGTTTCAAGTGATCCTCCTTCCTCAGCCTCCCAAGTAGCTGGGAGTACAGGCGTGCGCCATCACATCTGGCTAATTTTTGTATTTTTAGTAGAGATGGGGTTTTGCCATGTTGGCCAGGCTGGTCTCGAACTCCAAACATCAAGTGATCCGCCCGCCTTGGCCTCCCAAAATACTGGGATTACAGGCGCGAGCCACCGTGCCCAGCCCCAAATACTTCTTGAATATCTTTGCTTTTGTCTATCTCCACTGCTGACATCCTCTCTCAGGCCGCAATCATCTTTTGCTTGGTTTTTTGTAACCAACAAATCAGTCTCTTTGCTTTCAGTGTTGCCTGTTCCTATCTATTCCCCATGTACAAGCCAAGCTGACTTTTCTTAAACTCGAATCTGAGCATATCATTCCTTTTGAAAGCCTTCAAAGGCTTCCCAATGACTTCAGAATAAATAAAAAAAACTCTTTTTTTTTTTTTTTGAGACGGAGTTTTGCTCTTGTTGCCCAGGCTGGAGTGCAATGGTGCAATCTGGGCCGACTGCAACCTCTGCCTCCCAAGTTCAACAATTCTGCCTTAGCCTCCCAAGTAGCTGGGATTACAGGCACTCACCACCATGCCCAGCTAATTTTTTGTATTTTTAGTAGAGACAGGTTTTCACCATGTTGGCCAGGCTGTTCTCGAACTCCTGACCACAGGTGATCTGCCCGACTTGGCCTCCCAAAGTGCTGGGATTACGGGCGTGAACCACCACACCCAGCCAGGAAAAACTCTTTCATGTGGCCTGTAAGACCCTTCCTGACTTGAACCTTGCCAATCTCTTCAACATCACCTCTCCCCATTCTCCGTCGTAAGCTGTGTGATCCAACTTCACCAAAAAATATCTTTCTGTATCCTGCCATACTATTTTGCCTCACCAACTCCTACTTTCATTTTAGTTTTATTCATATGGAGATCGATTTTTGAGCACTTACTATGAGCCAAATTATAGCTTAAATGTCATTTTAATTTCAAGGCTAGTTTAGATGCCTCTCTTGATGTCCTTCCAGTGGTACCTACATAACTCTATCAGCACACAAGATGGTAATGGTCTGTGGGTCCCTGACTAGAGAGGGAGCCTGTCTTGTTCCATTTTCTATTCCTAAAGCCTTGCACATGACACACGGAAGGCCCTCAATGTCTGGTGAATAAATGAATGCGATGTTTGTTCCAAGAGCAAAAAAAGGGACGAAAGGAAAAGAAGTCAATCTTTGACAAATTTTAGTAAAGGTTTCTGAGAAGTTCCTTAAGTAAGAATACAGGAGTCTACAGCCGGGCGCAGTGGCTCAGGCCTATAATCCCAGCACTTCGGGAGGCTGAGGTGGGCAGATTACCTGAGGTCAGGAGTTCAAGACCAGCCTGGCCAAGATGGTGAAATCCTGGGCGTGGTGGCACATGCCTGTAATCCCAGCTACTCGGGAGGCTGAGGCAGGCGAATCGCTTGAACCTGAGAGGCGGAGGTTGTAGTGAGCTGAGATCGCACCACTGTACTCCAGCCTGGCCGACCAGAGAGACTCCGTCTCAAAAAAAAAAAAAAAAATATATATATATATATATATATGTGTGTGTGTGTGTGTGTATGAGTATACATTCTTCTTTCATATATATACTTGAACTATCTGCTGTAAATTTGCTGAGCAGAAAATTCTAGTCCACAGCTCTATAGTGCAGGCTGATGAATATTAATGGTGATCTCAAAAGCAACTCAGTTCTCATTCCTGGGGTGCTGAGCATTCTCAATAAGAATCCGAGGACAATGATTTAGCAGAGTATAACCATGACTCTCTTTGAGTCCTTGCATTGAACTGTTGCCAGGTTAATGTTCACAAGCTTGAGTTTCTACAGACACATGTGGTTCATTAAACTTGGTACAAAACCAGATATGTCAGCTGGGCGCGGTGGCTCACGCCTGTAATCCCAGCACTTTGGGAGGCTGAAACGGGCGGATCACGAGGTCAGGAGATCGAGACCATCCGGGCTAACATGGTGAAACCCCGTCTCTACTAAAAATACAAAAAATTAGCCGGGCGTGGTGGCAGGCACCTGTAGTCCCAGCTACTCAGGAGGCTGAGGCAGGAGAATGGCGTGAACCCCGGAGGCGGAGCTTGCAGTGAGCTGAGATCGTGCCACTGCACTCCAGCCTGGGGGACAGGGCGAGACTCCATCTCAAAAAAAAAAAAAAAAAAAAAACAAAAAAACAGATATGTCCTGTGTAGGTCATGCATCAGAGCTGGGGGACAGTTGTATAGCCTTAGTATCAATTGGAATAATAAAGTGAATGGTATTAACGTTCAACATTTTGGATGAATGTTTTTCATGATTGTAAGGTTAGTCAAAATGCCCTTAAATAGAGAGAGTCCATTTTAACAGCCTTTGTCTCTGTCCTTGAAACTCCTAAACTACTAAGTCCGGGGGGATCTTTGATGTTTTTTAAAGAATGGTTTGAAGACCATTTGCATCAGAACGATCTGGGGAGCTATAGTCAAAACTCAGATTTTCTAATCCCACTACAGATGTATGAAATAAGTATTGCTACTTGTAGAATTCTGGAATTTGTAATTTTTACAAGCATTTCAGGTCATTTCTAAATAGAGTAAAGTTGGAGAATCGGCTGGGTGCGATGGCCCACACTCATGATCCTAAAATTTTGGGAGGCTGAGGTAGACAGATCGCTTGAGCCCAGGAGTTGGAGACCAGACTGGGCAACATGGTGAAACCCCACCTCTGCAAAAAATATAAAAACTAGTCCCAGCTACTTGGGAGGCTGAGATGGGAGCATTGCTTGAACCCGGGACAAGGAGGTTGCAGTGAGCCAGTGAGCCATGATTCTGTCACTGAACTCCAGCCTGGGTGACAGAGCCAGACCCTGTCTCCAAAAAAAAAAAAAAAAAAAAAAAAAAGAAAAGAAAAAGAAAGATATTGAATGCTTTAAATATATATATATAAAGTTGGAGAATAATTCATGCAATCCAACTTCTTTGTTTTTCAGAAACATGAAATTACTTGTCTGGGCATTTTGAGAGTCAGTTTCAGCTACCCTGGCCCAGGGAGTTTTATATTACTGTACACTGATTTTCCAGAAGATTTAGTAATCAGAATGACAAATTTTGGTGATGGGCAAGAGGGGGGCTCTTTGTAAGGGAGCAGATCATTGGGGAGCAGGATGAGAGGAAACCATCTTATCAAGCTGTCCATAACTTGCAGTGAACATTGGGCATGTATCTCAGGCTTTTCACTGGCAATAATTACACTCGCTAAATTTTGAGTGCTATGCCAGGTGTTGGGCAGTGTGCCATTTGCCTTATCTGTGTTACCTATGTCAGGGCCAAGGGAAATCTTCCCTTTTGCCCCTGAAGTTTGGCTGAAAATCACTGACAAGAGACAGATGAATAGGAGAAAAGGCATACAAATGTATTTGATCATAGTTTTATGTGACATGGGAGCCTTCAGAACGAAGTTCCAAATATACAGGGGAACTTGTCTATGTTTATGCTTAGGTTTAACAAAATACGGACATCCATGTACAAATATTATGTACAAAAGGGGTGTAATCTAATGCTAATAGACTGTGTGGGGAAACCCAGTAAGGCTGTCTTTCTGGAGTCTTCTTGGCCTCTCTGTGCAGCCTTCCTTCCTGCTGGGAATGGGGCAGGATCCTCTCTGGAATAGGGGTCTTATGATCTACAGTCAGACAAGGTAGGTCAGATAATTTCTTTATGGACAGTTTTTACACAGAAAGGCAGGGGAAAGTGAGACTAATATTTTTAGATTTTATGGCTGGCTTTGGAGAAAAGAGGTTCTGGTTTCTGTGACCTTCTTTGGGGAAGAGGGATTCTGGTTTCTACCAATAGCCTCAGGGGAGAATGGGAGTGAGAGACAGGAGGGCAGAAGAAGGTCAGAGAGAAACTTTTACTTCTGAGGCTGCTTCTGAGGCCTTGATTTTGTGGTATTGTTTTCTGAGTCCCAAGATGTGCCTGAATTCTCAAAGCAACCCGGTATGTATTAATTACCTATCCCCATCACAGAGATGAGAAAACTGTGGCTCAGTAAGGTTAAGTAACTTGTTTGCAGCTAGGACCAGGACTCTTATCCTGGAAGTTTGATTCCAAAGCTCTACTTCTGGGTTTATATAGTAAAAGTAAAATAATATCGCTAGATAGGACAGTAGCCAGACTCATTCTAAAAATTAGTTCTAAAAATTGTATGATTCCACAAGTCTCTACCTAACCTGGTAAGAAGTGCAGGAGCCCAAAAGATTTACCAGATAAGACTATGGGATTCATTGGCCAATTGCAATCTTGACCTGTACTGTCAATTCTCAAAAGCTGTGTTGTTTGACCTTCTCCTTGACTGTGTGAGTGTAGACAAATCACTTCCTATTTAAGGGTCTCAATCTCCTCATGTGTAAAATTGGGGGAATCATACTGGAAGGCCCTTGGGTTTCCTTTAGGTTTGGCCATGCCTTTTTTTCTTATAAAGATCTTTCATTTTGTCAACTATAGTCACTGTTTATGACTCTACGTGAGAGGTGAGAAACATATCATTGAGCCACATATAATTATTACTATGGAATTACAAAGGGCTTTCAAAAATGTGTTAGTAAATGTGTGACATTGATGTTTTACATTAGCTCCTCAATAAACTGACAAAATCAACTGAAAAGTTGGAAAAGGAAGATGAAAATTACTACCAAAAAAACATGGCGGGTTATTCTACCAGACTGAAATGGGAAAACACACTAGAGAACTGCTACCAGGTAAGTTATATATTCACATTTTTTTCTTCTTCTGTGGAGCTTTGTGTGACCTTGAAGATGGAGGTCAGATTACAGTGACAAGACCTGCCCTCTGTCTTAGCTATGAGCATCACACATATTGTGACTTCAGACAAACCACATTTCCTCTCATTGTTTCAGTTTCTCCATGGATACAATTACCAGTGACAATTTATTGAATTTCACTGGCCAGAGTTTCTGCTCCTAATTCTTAGTGGACAGGATAGCACCCAGCTAACTTCAAAAAGTGCTGTCAAAGTGAAGCGTAAATTAAGGCTTAAGTGTTAGGTGCTTCAAAATTAGTTTTAGGCATGAGTGATGACTCATACAGTGATCGCTTATGGAGGTCAGGCATCGTGTTAGGCACTGGAGATACAGAGCATTGAATAAAGTAACATCTCAATGCTTGAGATGTGTACATCTCAGTGGCAAAAGTAGACACATAAAGAAGGAATTGTGGCAAATTATCTGATAATAATGGGCAAAATATGTCAGCAAGCACATCACAAAAGGAGAAATCAAAATCATCGATAAGCCTATGAAACAATGCTAGATTATTTGGCAAAAATTAGAACTTGACAATATCAAGTGTTGGTAAGGATGTTAGGAAACAAGAATTATTGTACCCCTGTAGGGGGAATAATTTAATGATATTTAGTGAAACTAAAATAAGCATGTACTTACTGCAGCAGTTCCCTTTTTAGGCATATATCCTACAGAAAAATGTACATTTGTACTCCAAGAGTGATGCACAAGAATGTTTATGGGAGAATTGTTTATAATTGCATGTGAGAAAAAACTGTACGCAATCTTCATATCCATCAAGAGAAGAATTACTCTTCAAATATGCTCGCATTTGGAAAGTGAACTAATATCCATCAATGAAAAGTTAATTAAAACTATATTTAAACATGAATTAACCTCGAAAAACATGATGTTGAGGAAAAGAAATATACCACTTACACAATCTGTGTAAATCAACATTCTTTTAAACTCATGCGCAAACTATACTGAGTTTATATGTGTGTGTTTGTAAACTTATACATGGGGACTGTCCCTGTGTTCAGTGACAGAAATGGAGCCCATGGTGGGAATACAACAGAACTGCCAGAAACAGCCACGCAGCTTATGCACGGCCCCTGGTGAAGCAGTACAACCCCAGGCTCTACATAAATATGACCAAATTAAATAACTATCAATTCTGGAGAGTAAGAACATGAATATTTTGGTTTTATTTTTCCCCACCTGTTTTAAGTTTAAAAAAAAAATGTTTAAAGCAGATACAATTGGAGAAAGCCATGATCTGATGGCCAGCCTGGAACAAGTACTTGGTGCTCAGTGCTCCTCTTTTAGGCTGTGCTAAGCACATTCATGTGTTTCTGTTTTGTATTAATCATGACATTATGAGAACATTGAGGCTGGAAAGATGAAGCAATGAGCCTGAGATGGTTTAAGATTCAGCCTGGGCGGCACGCCTGTAATCCCAGCACTTTGGGAGGCAGAGGCGGGCGGATCAAGAGGTCAGGAGATCGAGACCATCCTGGCTAACACGGCGAAACCCCGTCTCTACTAAAAATAGAAAAAATTAGCCGCGCGTGGTGGCGGGCGCCTGTTGTCCCAGCTACTCGGGAGGCTGAGGCAGGAGAATGGCGTGAACCCGGGAGGCAGAGCTTGCAGTGAGCCGAGATCATGCCACTGCACACTAGCCTAGGCGACAGAGCAAGACTCCGTCTCAAAAAGAAAAAAAAAAAAAGATTCAGCCTGGACCTCTGCATTATGCTCCTGCCCCATTGAAAACTGGGAGAGCAAAGGCTATATGGCAGGCGGAAACCCAACGGCTGCATTTACATCTCTTGCAATTCAACCACTCAGAGCAGGATAGATGCAGAATTAGAGAAGAAAGGGGAAATTAAAGGAGAGATGAAAACTTGGGTCAAAGAGGGGAACAAATGAGAAAAAATTCCTTAATTTACACCTTTGAACATAAGCTCCGGGTACTCTCTTGGTTTATGCTAGATAGATTTTAGATGAAGGTGATGAGAAAAGGTCAGGGATTTAAATTCTAACTTGATTCATTTGAAATCTGGCTCTGCAACCTGGGCTCTGATCTTGCCTCACCTCACCTCATCACTTCCTGATGAAGCCGTGGTCTTTCCACTGAGGTCAGCTTCCTTGGATGGCCCTGTTAGGAGATGGGAGAGACATTTCTGCTCCCACTCCATCTTCCAGGCACCCACCCTTCAAGGGCTATGAGAAAAATATTTCACCTCAGTGTCTCTATCCTCATCACCCTTCTACCTACATCGCAGCAATGGGAGATAAATGGGTCCTACCTGGTGTAGCTGATAACTAGCTTGCCTTCTTCAATATATGTTAGGGAAGGCTATGATTATCTTCATTATCAGAAGCTCTTGCTACGCCTCTCCTTCATCTCAGTTTCCTTTCCTCCTGTTAAGATCCTCTACATGTTTCCCCTACAACCACCACTCCCCCTTCTCAGCATTCCCAGTGTTTATGTTGAAGCATCATGGAAATTATCTCTTTTCTTACAGTCTTCCTGATGGTAACAAGGTATACATTCATTTACATTTCAAAAGGCATCTTTCAACTTCAGCTCTAAAAATATTTAAGACCTAGTTTTAGTTTTTTTCTTCCTTTTTTTTTTTTTTTTTGTTAGAATCCAAGTCACATGGAATATCTACTCATCATAATGTCCTTGAGGAAGAGCATTTTCTTTCTCCCCTCTTGTATCCTGGATTTTTGCTACCTCTATGCTGGAGGCCACCAGTGTTTCAGTCCGTGTCCTTTTTAGTTCATACAGCTTCTCCTACCCCACCTTCCTCTGAGTTCTCTCCTGCCTCCTGAGAGCCATCTCAAGCCCATTAGCCACAACGTGAGACGACTTCTGTCCAGTCACTCTTGCTTCACTTGAACCCTCAATAATGATGCCCTTAGTTGGTATTTCCTGGGCTTGTGTATACTCAGTCTATACCAGAAGGTCATTGACTCACATATTACTCTATGTATGCCATATTTTGTGTATGTTTATGGCACTCAAGTGTCAAATGTTAGATTCATGAAGACATATAACAAAAACAGCCTGAATTGACTCAAAGAGGAATTTTATTATAAGTGTGAGAGATGGAAATGGGACAGTTAGGGTCTCTCAGTTTCATTTTTTCTCCATTCTTTCACCATTCTTCTGTACAAATTGAATATAAAAATTCATTTTAGGGTCCTACGAAGTGTTCTCTTATTCCTTTTTACTCTACAGGTTGGATGTACAAATTCCTTCAGAGAACATGCATTGAACTACATTCAAGGCAGTGTAGTAGATACTGTGAGAAATATTGTAAAGCCTCAAATGTGACTATAAGTAATGAAACCAATTCCACAAACCACATGTCAAAATTAGTCTTATTACTTCACAATCATACTGTATTCTAGCCACATCCCACCCTCCAAGAAGAAACACTTCAGATGATAGAAATAACCTATATTTTTCACAATAATAACCATACTACCAAGAATTACAAAGAATCAAATGCTTGGTACTGAAGTACTTACTCAAGGAATTATTTTTAAAAGCCATCTGCAATATGTGTCAAGAGCCTTAAAAATATTCCCTTTCTCAACCAGTGTTCCTCCTCTAAATCCCAGAACACAGAAAATGATTCGAGTGGCTGCTTTCTCAGTTCTCCCAAGGATGGCACTTGAGTAGTCCCACTCTAGATGAGACGAATGACAACTCATTACATAAAATGGACGCCTCAGGACAGTAGGGCTTCATTCTTTCCTAGGACTCTGTTGAAAAAGGTAATTTCCTTTCTATAAAAGTGTCTTGAGGAAGTAGCTGACAAACCAGACACAGATTTCTATTTGAAACATGTTAAAGGCAGCAAACATCCCAAATGTCCAACATTAAAGGGATGACTAAGTGAATAAACACGCCTGCACCATGGATGCTTATGAAATAATTAAAGTGGTATTTTCAGAGACTAATGGCACGGGAAACTGTTCACATGTACGGTTAAGTGGAAAAAACAGAATTTCAAATTTGAATAATTTGATAGATAACTAGAAGATAAAATCATACATATACACATACCTAGACTGAAATATATCAATATGTTAATAGCAGTCACTTCTGGGTGGAAGAATTATGATTTTAAAATGTATTTTTTGTGGGCCTCTGTGGCCCTAGGACAATGTCTCAAAGCGCCTGGGGTGCTTAAAAGTCAGATTCCTGATCACCTCCCTAGACCTGGGAGCCTCTGAATCAATCAGAGCCTCTGAATGATTATAAAGAGGGGTCTAGATATTCTAAAGTTTGAGAGTCCCTGCTCTAGAAAGAGCATATTTCTTTTATCAGTTCTATGAGAGTCATTTAAATGAAAACAAAATCCCTTTGACTTCTTCCTGTAGTACCAGCCCAAAGGCTAGGACAGCAAGAACTGGAAGGAACGAATGAAGAACAAATTGTCATGATGCTTGGGCCCCAGACAGGCTCTAAATCTGCTGAAATCTGAATCTTTCTGGATAACTCCTTGACCACACTTTGTTCATATATACTATTGTGGAACCTCAAGAGGACAGTTTGAGGTCCTCCAGAGTATCTTGCTTCTCTACCACCTATTTTATATAAAAAGAACAAGATAATAAAAAGCAAAAAATCATTAGATATGGATCTCTCCTTTGCACAGTGGAATTTATTTCCTCCTCTTCTTATGAGCAAACATAGATCATTTTAATGATTTCCCTGAAATGTAATTAAAATCTGTTAAGCATTACCATGTCACTAAGGAACACTGGTTATTCTAGTCTCAGATTGATGCTAGTGGTTCAGCACTTGTCAAAGTAAAGAAACACCTGCCCACTAGGGATGCAATATGTTCTAAAACCTGGCTTTTATTTTCTCTTCTCTCTTGCTCATAGGCTAAAACAGAAGAGCTGATTTCTAGATCTTTTTCTATAGGGTAAGGACTTCTTCTTTTTGAAGATTGTCACATAGGAGATCCAAACAACTGAGCAGAATTTGTTTTACGTATTTGTTATGAGGCATATCGATTCTGCCTTTTAAGAAGCAAAACATTTGATAGGCTATTCTGTGTCTTTAATCCTTTATCTGGGAGACAGAAGGGCAGACGGCCACATTCAAATGACTGGTGCCTGCAATTTTGTGAAAGCCTCAGGGGACTGCCAGCGTAAACCAATCCATTTGACTCCCATTGACATATGAAAATTGGGCAGCTTCAGAGGCAACTAAGAAGATTGCCATGGGGGCGTGGCTCCAGGCTTCCAATCCAAATGTCAGGACACTTGATACAAAAGCTAAAGTTGCATGTGATTGGCACAGATGTTCATAGTTACTGCCTGAGCCTTTTACTACTTTCATTTGCAAGCAGTGTTCAAATGACTATATACCAAAAAACAAAATGTGGTATATGCATACCATGGAATATTATTCAGCCAAAAAGGAAGGGAATTCTGGCACATGCTACAACATGGATGAACCTTGCAGACATTATGCTAAGTGAAATAGCCAGATGCAAAAGAACAAGTAGTGTATGATTCCTCTTGTAAGAGGTATCAAGAGTAGTTAAATTTGTAGAGACAGAAAGTAGAATGGTGGTTGCCAGGGGATGCAGAGCGTAGGAAATGAGAAGTCGTTGTTTCATGGGTACGGTTTACTTTTGCAAGATGAAAAAAGTTTTAGAGATGAATTATGGTGGTGTTTGCATAATAATGTGAATGCACTTAATGACACTGAAATGGATGCCTAAGGTGGATAAAATGGCATGTCATATTATGTAAATTTTACCATAATTAAAAGTATAAAGAAATTTAAAATAATTTTAATCACCATATACCATAGATGAATTAACAACACAGGGATATAGAGGAATACCATACTGAATCAGGCCAATGGGCTCCTGTAGGAATTTCAAGAGGTGAGCAAGGAGAACCCAGTGATCTTTGTGACTCTCCATTCTCACCTCTCTTGCACTGCCAAGGGCCTTGAGACATACCCATCTTTCTTCTTCCCTATGGTCGTGTTACCCACCAACTTCTCCAAAGCCTTGTTCATGAAAGATGATTGCTGGTGCTCTTTGTGGGATGCAGGAGTTGGGATGGTGGGTATGAGAGCAACTGAGCTGGACTTCCCTGGATAAAAGGATGAATGCCCAGGCCTTGTATTTTTTCTTTCTTTCTTTCTCTTTCTTCTTTTCTTTTTTTTGAGATGGAATCTCACTCTTTTGCACAGGCTGGAGTGCAGTGGCATGATCTCAGCTCACTGCAACCACCACCTCCCAGGTCCAAGCGATTCTCCTGCCTCAGCCTCCTGAGTAGCTGGGACGACAGGCGCCCGCCACCAGGCCTGGCTAATTTTTGTATTTTTAGTAGAGACGGGGTTTTGCCACGTTGGGCAGGCTGGCCTTGAACTCCTGACCTCAGGTAGTTCACCCGTCTCGGCCTCCCAAAATGCTGGGATTATAGGCATGAGCCACCGCACCTAGCCAGGCCTTGTTTTTACAAAAAAAAAAAAAAAAAAAGATGGGAAGAATTTTGTCTTGGACACCTGCCATCTCCATCAAAGCCCAAAGTCCCCTGGGCACATACCCAGCAGCCTTACACTGCCCCCACATGGCCTTGGAGTCTCCCTGAATACTCTGCCTGAGCCAGCCTTCTCTAAGAATGCTTAGTTGCTAAAGCTTTCTGCCCCCTGTAAAACCACCAGTCAGCAACTCAGTTGGCATGGGTCCAATAAGTAACATTTTCTCATTTTTTTTTTTTTTTTGAGACAGTTTCACTTTTGTCACCCAGGCTGGAGTGCAGTAGCATGATCTCGGCTCACTGCAAACTTCACCTCCTGGGTTCAGGCAATTCTGCCTCAACCTCCTGAGTAGCTGGGATTACAGGCGTGTGCCACCATGCCTGGCTAATTTTTGTATTTTTAGTAGAGATAAGGTTTCACCATGTTGGCTGGGCTGGTCTCAAACTCCTGACCTCAGGTGATCCTCCCACCCTGGCCTCCCAACGTGCTGGGATTATAGGCATGAGCCACTGTGCCCGGCCTCTAAAATGTTAATAGCTAACAAAGCAAATGTGATTCCCCTCACTTTCTTATTTACCCTTCCTACCTAAAAGTCATAAGTCTAATAATGAAACTTCTGTCATCTCACACAAAATAAAGAGGCTATGTGTCTACCTGCAAACAGCGGACTCTGACTCCCAGGCCTAATTTTAGGCAGAATTATAAATTGGTCAGACTTTGGGATTCTTCTCTTGTCAAATAACCTCCTTAAACAGAGAATTTGTGGCCTGTCATTCTCTTCCCTGCAGACTAGCAGAACGCCTTGAATGTACTATAAACAATTCTAAAACTATTGGGTGTCTCAATGCATTTCCAAGACATGGATATGGGCTTTCCTGGGCTTCACCCTCTGGAATTCTTCCCAATTTTTTTTTTTTTTTTTTTGTAAAAACAAGGCCTGGCTAGGCGCGGTGGCTCATGCCTGTAATCCTAGCACTTTGGGAGGCCAAGACAGGTGGACCATCTGAGGTCAGGAGTTCAAGGCCAGCCTGCCCAACATGGTGAAACCCCATCTCTACTGAAATTCTCTGGAATTCTCTGGAATCCATGATTGTGTCTCAAATGCTTCCTTTTCTTCTTTTCTCCCCCTTCCTCATAAACTTAGGTAACCCACAGCATCTGCCTATATGCCTTTTGGGTCAAAAGAGCCTGGGGAAAGTGTGTGAGTGATTTAAGATACCAAGACACATTCCTTCCTGGAAATCTCCCTCCACTATGGTTTGGATATGACATAGTCAAGAGGCTAATCATGAGACTTTGTTCAGTCTGTCTTCAGGTGTGTCAGTGTTTGATGAGTGACTTCCATTTTGCATAACAACTGGCTGATCTTACCCCAATTTTCATTCTTTTCAGAGCATTCTGGAGCTGGAGAAGGAAAGAATTCAACTTTTATGCAATAACTTAAACCAGTACAGCCAACATATTTCTCTTTTTGGCCAAACCCTGACCACAGTGAGTAGAGATGATCTCTCCATTTCTGGTATGCCTGGTAAGAAGGGGCAGAAACCTTTCTTCGACAACCTTATTCTGTTCCCCTTGGCATTGCAGTGCCACACGCAGATTCACTGTGCCATCAGCAAGATTGACATTGAAAAAGATATCCAGGCTGTAATGGAAGAAACTGCAATTTTATCTACAGAAAACAAATCTGAGTTCCTGTTAACGGATTACTTTGTGAGTATGAAATGGAAAAAAAAAGTTACATTAATGGAGAATCTTAGGTACTGAGGGACTTACATTGAAAAAATTGAAAGCAAATATCATGTTTTATCAATGAAAATGATTTCTCATACCCCATATAAATTTAAAAAACCCAGCATTCTAGTTTACAAACTGTACAATGGAAACATGTCTTTGGTATTTTCTAGAAGTAAAGAAAGTCAAGCAGGGTTTTAAACAGAATCTTCATATTCGGTCTTCTATAAAAGTAGTGCCAGGCAGACATGTTTCAATGACCTATAATTAATCACTGTATATCACGTGGTGCTTAAATTGGTTGTCTGCACAAATTGCTGTGCAACAAATTACCGCTCCCCACCCCCACCAAAATAATGGCTTAAAACAAACATGTATTATCTCATAGTTTATGTGGGTCAGGAATTCAGTTGTGTCTTAGCCAGGTGTCTCTGAACCCCTCCCAAGGCTGCAATCAAGGTATCAGGTTGGGCTGCAGACATCTCCAGGCTCTTCCTCCAGAAGACTCACTTCCAAGCTGACTCACAGGGCTGTTGGCAGGCCTCCAGTCCTCGCTGCTGTTGGTTGGAGATATCATTTTCTTGCCATGTGGGTCTCTCCATGTCTCAGCCTACTCCCCGCAAAATGAGTGATCAAGACAGACAGAGCCAGAGTGCCCAAGAAATTATAATCTCTTGTAAGCTAATCTCAGAAGTGACATCTCATCATATTCTATTTGCTAGAAGCAAGTCAGTAAGTGCAGCCCATACTCAAAGGTGGGTGTGAGGGAAGATCACCCAAAGGCATGGGTTCTAGGAAGTGGGAGTCACTATCAGTATTTTTCATGGTCCCTTCTCTTGAAAACCTTGGACCAGATTATCGGAGGCTTATTTTGAGGGTACTTGAGTGATTCTACTGTGGGTGTTTTTGCTGAAAACTGGTCAGTGTCCCTGGTGAGAGCCCAAGCACGTTGCCCCTTTGCTATATTGGGGCAAATTATTTGTCCTTCTGGGTCAAGCCTCAAAGATTTTGGCCTCTGCTCCCCTCTTGATATTCTTAATTGTAGTGTTCTAGGAACTGATTATTAATTACCAAAACCTGCAGAAAGAATTCTGATAGCGTTTCCCTGGGTCCTCTGCCATATTTTATTCAGGATTTCAAGCTCCAGATTAGGGGTGTCACTCTTCTCCGATATGGAGAACAAGCCCACTGGTCATGTCCTCCATAGGATTAGAAGTACAGCCAAAGCTGACCTCCCTGGACCTCTGATCAGGCAACAAGACGGTAGAAGGCAGAGGTGGTTAGATCAGGCACTGCAGTAAACCCTGATTGGCTTTCCCTTTCCCCACCCTTCAGACAGCAGCAAATGACCAGCTATTTTTTACTGAGTCTTTTTTTTCCTACCTTGGCAAAGGAGAAGTATATTAGCAATATCAATGTCTGTTCAATGCAGAAACAAGGTAGAAATGGAAGTGGAAATGATTTGATTACATGGGGAAAGCGCTTTTTTTCTTTCAAATAATGTAGGCAGGGCCTGAGATGGAAAAATGTACAATAAAATAAATCTATTTTCTTACAAAGAATAATAAAAATGCCCCTATCAAATAACTTGTCAATAAAATGAGGATTATTCTTGAAAATTTGACTAGGGTTCTACCAAAGTGTAAGGAGGCAGCCATGATGACTTCTCATTTATTGGCATGTTCAGGGAAATTTTTGGTTTCTATAAAACTTCACTGTGTCAGAACTCACAACCATGAATCTGTTGTCTAAGAGAAAGGACTGTGTCTCAAAATGAGTGAATAGTATTTTCTTGACATCTTTAAGGCAAAGCACCCCAATGTCTGACTTTATAGTCATTGTCAATAAGTGTAGGCTGGTTTTTATCCAGTGTTATGAAATTTACATGGACCAGGGACAACAAAGAGACCAATCTGAGTGCAAAACTTGGAGGGCTTGGTGACCTGGTGAAAATATTTGTAAGGTTACCATAAATGCCATGTTCAAAAGATTGTTATCTGTAATTTTATACGCCTCCTCCAGTACTGACCTTCTTTCTAACAAATCTTTAGAAGAGAAGGACAAATGTTAAGAGTTAAATGATGGCAATATACCCCATCCTGAAATTGACCCAGGAGCAATCTATCCCTGGAAATACATGTTTAAACAATAGATGTCCCCAGACAAACCAAGGGAAGCCTTGGACTGGTATGGGAGCTATGTTATGACTTGCATTCCTTCAACAGGGAAGGACTAATGGTTTTAGTTAGGTGTCTTAGCAGTTTAGTCAGAGTTTACTTGGGGGTGTGATGTCAGCTTGCGCCTCAGCTGTGGGATGACATGTGAAGGAGTGGTAGAGCATTTGGGGTCAACTTGGGCCTTCTTTTATCTGTGTCACAGGTAAAATGAGGAAAATAAAACCAACCATTGAGTTGTAGGAGTTGCATGTAATAAATAATATAAAGAAATATTTATTTATTTGAGACGGAGTCTCGCTCTGTGGCCCAGGCTGGAGTGTAGTGGCACAATGTCAGCTCACTGCAACCTCTGCCTCCCGGGTCCAAGTGATTCTCCTGCCCCAGCCTCCCAAGTAGCTGTGATTACAGGTGCACACCACCACGCCCGGCTAATTTTTTGTATTTTTAGTAGACAGAGGGTTTCACCATGTTGGCCAGGCTGGTCTCGAACTCCTGACCTCAAGTGATCCACCCACCTTGGCCTCCCAAAGTGCTGGGATTACAGGTGGGAACCACCACACCTGGCCCAGAATATAAAGACACTTTTGTAATGTGCAATGAAAAATATGTAAATAAAATATTTTTATCTGTATATGTTTTTATAGAGGCTATTCCCTTTGCTCTAAATCCTCACACTTCTTGTTTGTGAAGCTCCATCTAAAGGTAATCTCTCAGCCGGGATCCTAATTTTTCTCCTTCCTTATCAGCGAAGCCTGCATCCTCCCCTCCCACCTTGAGTCATTAGTTTCCCGTCTTTCTCCATGGGTTTCTGTCCCTCTGCCACTCATGTTTAGCAACCTCCTCACTCCAACTCTACCATCCTATTCTTTTTTATTCAATCCTTGAAATAATGCATGTGAAAGCTCAGATATCATGAATGATTCCTCATAGCCTATGTGATAAAATTCCTACATCAGCCCTAAAATCTAGCCTCAACTCCCTGAACAATTTTTTCTTCCCCTATTTTTTTGCTCATGCAACAGGTGTCTTTATTGTTCCTGACACATTTCCCACAGTCCTCCCCCAGCCCTTTGCTCCCGCCATTTTTCCTGCCTGGAGTGCCCTTTGCCATCTTTCCTTGACTAGACAGTTACGTCTTCTTGCCTCCTCGAAGCTGTCAGCTGCCTGCACTCGTGGTGTCTGTAGCATTCGTGAATGCATGTGGTCTTGTATTGCTAGTTTCTTTAATGTTATGCTTCAAGGCCTAACTAAATCATAAACCCATTCTGGAAAGAGCATATGTGTTTTAGCTCACATCTTCCCAGTACTGAGCCAACACAGAACTCAGTCAAAATGTCTTCCACTCCTGAGGCAGTCATAGCCTGAAACACATACATGATATTACATTTGGGCCATTAAAGGACTCTAACTTGAACAAAAGTAAATAAGGAAGCAGTAAGTATACAACAAATAGATTTATCAAGAAAATGAAATAGCTATAGCAAGGGTCCATCCTCAAAGAACAATCTGCTCTATTAAAAAGTGCTCGGCCATGTGACTTAAAAGTTGTGAACAAGACAATATTTTCTTATTCATCAGGTCTCGAACAGGTAGAACAATGTGTGTAAAACTAAAGATTATCCTGCTTAAAAATTTTGTTTTATTTTATAAAGTTAAAATTAAATGCAGCCAGTGGAAGTATCAGAATGGACAGGGAATAGCAACTCTTACTTCTTCCCCCTTGTTAGACATCCTTCTTTTTTCCTAAAGGAAGAAGATCCTAACAGTGCAATGGATAAAGAGAGACGAAAGTCTTTACTAAAACCAAAATTATTGAGACTGCAGAGAGACATTGAAAAAGCCTCAAAAGACAAGGAAGGTGTGTAACCATCTCTTTGAATGGCCAGAAAAGGGACCATATGATGCTCAGAGGTTTCATTCAGAGTTAGGATTGATCTGCTTTTGCTATTTGGCAGGGGTCTTCTCATTTAAAGAACCATATATCAAACTTCAGTTGTGTGAACAAAAAAAAAAAAAGTAGAAGAAAAAAGAAAGCCAAAAAAAAAAAAAAAAGGAAAATCACATTTTGGTCTATTTATGAAACCTATATAAGTATTATACTACTATTTTCAGAAATGTAGCATTTTAACTGTGTTTCTGAAATTGGCTAGAATGAGAGATAATGTGTTTGGTTTAAAACATGGTCAACCAACTGTGCATGAGAGTTTTGGATGAGTTTTTTGGTTTGTTTCTTTTGACTTTTGAAACAATGTAAAAACCTTTCAAATTAAATTCTGTACGTAGAAGTTAGGCATGTCAGACTGTGAAGCAGCTCTAAAGCAACAAGGATGACAAAAACGACTCCACATTTGTGACTCTGATGTCTACCTAGTAACTTGTTTTATATGGACCACGATAACTCATTGCAATGGAATACTAGAGAGCAAATTCAAGATAGAAAACATTTAGTGATGTGAATACCATAACGAGGAAGAAGCCAACGTTGGGTAACTGTTAGCAATTGCTAGAATGGGTCGACTGAAAGAATTTCAAAATCTCATCTGGAAAAATAACAATCAAGATGCTTTAAGCACCAGCACTTCTCAAATTTCATTAAGTGAAGAGAAAGGTAAACAGTTCATTTATCATTCAGTCAAATTTATTAAGAACTACCTGCAGAGACTCCCTCAGCCATTTAAGAAACCCTACTGGTGGCTGGGTGCTGTGGCTCACGCCTATAATCCTAACACTTTGGGAAGCCAAGGCGGGTGGATCACAAGGTCAGGCGCTGGAGACCAGTTTGGCCAACATGATGAAACTGTGTCTCTACTAAAAATACGAAAATTAGCCGGACATGGTGGCATACACCTGTAATCCCAGCTACTCAAGAGGCTGAGGGAGGAGAATTGTTTGAACTTGGGAGGCAGAGGTTGCAGTGAGCCGAGATCGCGCCACTGCACTCCAGCCTGGGTGACAGAGCAAGACTCCGTCTTAAAAAAAAAAATCTCACTGGTATCACTTCTAGGCTCCCTTTGAGAGCGACCGACTCCTGGCTGTGTCCCACTGAGACAGTGTGAAAGGTGACTGAGAACATGATTTCATTTTCAGGCCTGGAACGAATGCTTAAAACGTACTCCAGCACCTCCTCCTTCTCTGATGCAAAGAGCCAGAAAGACACAGCAGCGTTAATGGATGAGGTAAATGTTTGCCGAGTGCATTTCCTAGATGTAGTGATGAAAAGGGTTATTTTTAGAATACTTGTTTCTGGTCCACTTGGCCTTGTTTGCCTTTCCTTTCTCATGACATAGAACAATCTAGTGGGGGAGCTTATAGGGTCAGCTTCATAAGTCATTTGAGGGATCTGGAAAAATACAACTACCTAGAAATGTTTGCTTTGGTGTCCTAGGAAAAGAATTGTGTCTAAAATAGTATTCTCCAAACAGAGTCGTTCTTTAAGGGCCTAGAAACCATGTGCACTTTAACCCAGTTAAGAAAAGCGACAGGAAACAAAGGATCTGCATTCAGAAAGGCCTGTATTTAGATTTAGCTCTGCTGTTTACAGGGACCTGGGTCAACTTTAGTTTTCTCATCCGCAAAATGGGGATATTGGTACTTTACCTCATGGGGCTTTTGTGAGGGTGAAATATTATTTAGTAAATACCAGCACAATGCTCACAGGAGGAGCTCAAAAACTAGTAATTTTTATTAAGGTGGTATTTTCCATTCATCCCTCTGCTGATCTCAGGGTTATCGGAGAATAACAGGGGAAAGGAAAGACGTGGTTGCAGAGGGAATAGGGCAGTCTGGTGTGTGAGGCAAAATCTGGGGAAACCAGGAGCAACTTTGAGGGCAAAGTTCTTTAAGGGTGGGAATTGGGGTGGGGAGATGGTAGAAGAGGCAGGGAGGTGGGCCTCCTGGCCTTTGTGCTGAGTGTGTGAACTCTAGCCCCATAGACATTCGTGGGGATTGATGGACATTTTGGCCACTTCAGAGGAAGGGAAAGGGATAGTTAACAAAAAGCTGATGAATTTTACACAGGAATAAAAATGAACAGATATATAGCACCAGTGTGCAACATATGGGTTTCTGCTGTGATTAGAGATCATGAGTGGACTGGGGTTAATCTGAGAATCATTTAAGGAGATAAATTTTTTAGCAATGTTTTGAAGGTACAGGAATCTGGGCGTTTTGTTTTTCTTGCTTATAGCCTAACTTTCTTGTGAAGGTAGGTACTTGATAATTGTACCCAGATTGGCAATTTCAATAGTTCTTTGGTGAAAGAAGACAGATGCAGTGAGGTATCGCTGACCTAGTTTTTAGATAGGCTTTCTTGAGTAAGGTGCTGTTGCAGAAACAAGCCTAACACTTCTTGTAAAAGAAAATAGCCTGCATTGTGTGCACTGGGTAACAGAGGTCTAACATACCTGCAATGACCCGTGGCTACAGTTTTTATGAAATTATAAAACAGACTGTAGGACATTTTCTGTGACCGCACAAGCTGTTTAGTTAACTACTGATGCCATTGGGTTATACATCTATTCCTTTGGCTGTCCTTGCACAGAATTTTGTCATTGTCATTACCAGCATACATGTATTAGGATCATCTGGGTCCTCTCACCTGAAGCACACAGTGGAGGACACAAGGAGGGAGAGCATCTGACCTTGGAACTTCCAATGTTTATGATCTGGTGAAGGAGCAACTATGAACCTTTAAGTGAGGAATGCCAAATATCCACATGATTTCATTACGCATGCTCTGCATCTGGGTAGACAGAAACTAGTGATACTGGTAGATTTTGTGTCACCCACGGAAGGTTTCTAGGATGAGGAAACTTTTATTTACATTCTTCCTTATTTCATTATATCTTGGTCCTTGAAGTGCCATGTTTGAATCAAGAATGTTCACAAGCAGTGTCATAAGAAAAATTGTTGAGAAAACTGGAGGCACTTAGATTAAATACTGTCTTTAGAGACCAGAAAGAGGGCCACATAGAAGAAGAACTAGATGTGCTCTATGAGACTATCAAGTGAAGGTCTAATGGTAGAAAGCATGGGGGAGCTTTTAGTTTTGTCTTAGGTAAGCCTGCCCCACAATGCAGTGGATTCCTCCAACGATTAGAGACTTTCTCCATCAATTGGATGTCTTCTGTCCATGGCTGTGACACCCTGGCAGGGATATTAGGGTTGGGAATTCCCATGCTGGAGGTGTGGGGGAGAGAGGGATAATGGTGAGGAGGGGGCTGGATAAGCAAGACCCTTCCAATGCTTAGATTCTGTTATTTAATTCACCCTGGCTGGACCCAGCCTGACAAGGTAATTATAAAGTTTCTAGTTCAAGGTCATATCAAGAACAGACAGAGACTAGGAGTGTATCTTTAGCTTGACTTATTATGTTTATACTCAAATGCCCTAAAATATTGTTCCCAGTTTCCAGAAGTATTCCTGTAAACTTTGTGGGTAATATAAGACCTCACCTTATCAAAGAACAAACAAACCTCACATTCAATTTCATTTGCGTCTATTGATGTTAATTCAATTCTGTTCACAATATTTAGCACTGATGGCTCACCTTCTTCGCAGACCACCAAAAATCTACCTTCTACAATCAACACTTATCCCCTTTCTTGTCCCTCAGCAGAAAATTGAGTAAAACCTCTTCATTGCCATAAAATACTAATATATTACCAAGGTTTCCTGTTCACCCCCAGAGTACAGAATGAGACACACTCAACAACTAAAACCTCCCTCTAAACTGCTTAAAGAGTTTATTCCTCCATTTTTTTTTCCTTCGGCATTTTCTGTGAATATCTGTATGAGTTAAATGCGTACTTTTCTAACCTTTGTTATTTTGAAAGTTATTCTGATATTCCTATCCAGTTGTGCCTCATTTACTAGAAATTTGCTCACATGGCCAAATGATGTATCCACAGAACAATTTGAAACTAGACCTTTTGGAAGCGAACTCCTACAAACTGTCATCAATGTTAGCAGAACTTGAGCAAAGACCTCAACCCAGCCATCCTTGTAGTAATTCCATCTTCAGGTGGAGGGAAAAGGTAACATTTAAGGAGACTGGTTGTAATTTCTTGATTGGGCCTGCTGGGTGGAGTGGCTTAAAGTAGCATCAGGGCAAAAAAGGTGTTAGGAATTCTATGTGATATTAATATTCATGCAGTTAGTTAAGAAGATAAATGTTTTTATTTTTCTTTTGAGCACAATAACAAGAGCTAGACAAAACCGAATACATTCTGTGTACACCAAACTTCTATGAGAAGCTAAAAAACACTTTTGATTTCTTCTTTCTCATCATACCTGAATTTCATCCTTTGGATGTGCTTTTACAGTAAAATTTCTATTAAATTGAAATTTTAATATTCGTTCAGACCTAAATTATAAGATTTTGTGGTATGTATTAGTCTCATCTGTTTAAGATGGTGCCTAATGCAGATAATGCATCAGTACAGCTCTGAAATGCTTGTAGCTATTTTTATTACTGATCAGAAGGGGGAACTGTAATCATCTTGTGAAGGGACAGTTTTCTAAGGCTCAAGAGCTCGAAAACAATCTCAATCATTTACAGGGTTGTGATCATTTCACTTGCATTAAGCCAACTAAAGTTGTATTTGTAAAAGTAATGCTATGAATATTACTATTTGACCTAGACACATAGGTTAGAATTGGAAACACAGGCTATAAAGTATAGTAATTGTGTAATTGTGAAAATATTAAGGCTTCAACTCAAAACTGAAACACAGTAGGGCTTAGAAATCTTTGAATTATTTATACCCCTCAGTTTAAAAACTTCCAGTCCAGGCGCAGTGGCTCATGCCTGTAATCCCAGAACTTTGGGAGGCCAAGGCAGGCGGATCACCTGAGGTCAGGAGTTCGAGAGCAGCCTGGCTGACACGGTGAAACCCCGTCTCTACTAAGAATACAAAAATTAGCCAGGCATGGTGGTGGGCACCTGTAATCCCAGCTACGGGGGAGGCTGAGGCAGGAGAATCACTTGAACCCGGGAGGTGGAGGTTGTAGTGGGCCAAGATCATGCCACTGCACTCCAGCCTGGGTGACAGGGCAAGACTCTGTCTAAAAAAAAAAAAGAAAAAACAAACAGAAAAAACAACTTGAGGAAAACAGCTACAGAAGAGTTAATTTTCATGAATGTTTATGATAATCGTGTTACAAAATATGACTTTTTATGTCATTTGAACAGGAGCATACTCATAGCTATGTGAAAATATCTCGGCCTTTTTTAATGAAGAGATTAGAGAATATTGTGAGCAAGGCATCTTCTGGTGGGCAGAGCAATCCAGGTTCTTCAACTCCAGGTAATCCCATGCCCACAATCATTTTGGCCTGGGTCCTACTGGCAGGGCACATTGCTACATTTAAATTTTAGTTTCAGAGCCACTTTGACCTGTATCTGTTTAAGGAAATTTATATTTCCATTGGGACCGATTAATTTGTTAGACTCTGTAGCTTTATGTAAAAATGGGAAAAAGTTAAGAAGAGTAGAGGGTTGGGAAAGTATCCTATGAGAAGTTGCCTCAGATATCAGATGACTGGCATCCACCTTATTCAAATGGCCTGTTATTTGCCATAAACATAATCACACCTAAACCATCGTGAGGAGCTTTGTCGCTCTGTCTCCATAGCCTCCTCCAAACTCCCATAAGAAGCCTGTCCTCTCTGCGAGACACATGGTGATCCAGGTGGTTTGCCAGGGCTTGGACTCATGGCCTACAAACTCCTGTTAGCAGCCATCTGACTTCAGTCATTCATGCACCCACACACCACACTGCTCTTCATCTTTCAGCACACACACACGTGTCACTGTACCTGCATGTTCAAGTATAATTACCATAATCTTGACTATCTAGTTTTTTAAATTAGAAATTGGTTTAAAAAAAAAAAAAAGAACTTCAGTAAAACCAGGACATTATGGTTCACACAATATATTAAGGAGTCACTGTTGCATTGTTTGAGAAACAGTTCCATACACAGCTAGGGATGATGATAACATGCACATGCCCCAAATATCCCGTATTTATACCTGAATGGCAAAACTGGTGAATGTTTTCCAAAACATGCATGCAATTACTATTATTATACAATGATGTTTTTCTCTAGACTTGCTATTTCATGTATTATAATATAGTTTTTGGTTATATAACATATGCAGTCCATACATATAGAAAGTGCATCATAAGTGGTTATTGAATCAAGGAATGAACATTATATAAAATTACAAACTTTCCTTTTGAGAAAAATTTAATATATTGAAACTCTGCATCACACTGTTAAATAACCAAAGAGCTTCAGCTCATATTCATTTGCCTGCTAACACAGCATACTAATTACAGCTTTATCTATTTCAGCCCCTGGTGCAGCCCAGCTCAGCAGCAGACTTTGCAAGGCCTTGTATTCTTTTCAAGCCAGGCAAGATGATGAGTTGAATTTGGAAAAGGGTAAGAATCATTCTCAAATATTTTAATTGCCTTCCCATATTGAGATTCTTAGCATGAATAAAACCCTGTCTTAGTGTGGCAGCCTTAAGAGTTACTACCATGTCAAATCAGTTCACCCTTCTTGAAAGATAAGCACATCTAAAACAAAAGCTCGCATAATGATAATAGCTAACGCTTATTCTGTTTACTGTGTGTCAGACATTGTTGCAGGCCTATTGTCCAATTTAATATTCATGAAACCCTTGGAGGGTTTTATTGGTATTCCCATTTCATAGCAGAGGAGACTGATACACAGGAAGGTTAGGTGCTTTGGCTAATGTCACAGGCTGTGGCAACACAAGATTTGAACTTGGAAACACAGTCATGCTCCTAATCACAGTGCACACTAGGGTAGAATGTCAGTGATGGAAAGTGATTAGAGATGTACCCCACCTTTTTATTTTTTAGAAGCTAGACATTCAGGAATGTGAAGTGACCTCCTCTCTCAACTTAGTGTAAGTAAGTGCAAATTCTAGAACCTAGGTCAGCTGACTCCCAGCTTAGTGCTGGTCTCACTTACTTCTCAGAAAAGCTTTTTACAGCCAGTCTAAAGAGTGAGATCCCCTTCTTTGTGTCACAGAGTTTTACTTAACATGGAAAGGTATTACGTAGTGGCTTTATAATGTAAACCACAACATTATTAAAGAAGAAAGTCTCCAGCCTCAACCTTCTTTATGTGTCCAGTTAGAAACCATGTTTGAATGTTAGCGCTAATGCAGAGATCTGGAAACGGAAGGGTTAGTGAGAAAGAGTAACGTTATGGGAGAAAGAATATTATCCACGACAAGGACATGGCTCCCAGAGCCAATGGAAAATCAAGATACATTTTGTAGCCAAACGACAGGGACACCACACATTTGCTATTTATTGGGTGTTTCCTTTGCAGCATTTGCCAGTCATATCTCTCCAGGCAATTACTTTTCTTCCTATGTGAATAAAAGACAGACATACTTCCCAGATGCCACCTAGAACCCATGGATGCAGCATTTAAGTTACATCATTCACAATAAATTGATTATCTTGTTTTCAGTTCTCTGTTGGTTGCAAAGCCTACTTATACTTTATATTCTAAGCAGTTTCTTTAAATGAAACACGACGTTGGAGCCTTAGGGAAGCTGGCAATACAATTTGAAATCATTATTTGTTTGAATTCTTGTTAATAGATTATGTCAATTTACTGACGAGGGAGAACTTAGAGACCGAGAATAATGTCCTTTAAGAATAGTGATTTATGACTAAGAAAATGTAGAAAAGATAGAAAAGGAGTTAATAATTTCCTTTGTCTTAGAAAGAAAGTTGCTGAGGAAAAGAGTGAAAGGAAGACTGAAAAATCACCTCAGAATGATGCCAAATAAAAAGTAGCTCTTGGATCCTGACGGGGGCAGATGATCCTGAAGGGGGCAGATCTTTCTACTTTTATGACAAGAGCCATGTTTCTTGTCCAATTCTCTATGGAATTCTCTTTATTTGAATCATTGCTTTAAAAAATATTGTCTCCAAATTGATGTTGTATTAAAGTTGTCTAAGTTGTTGAATGGGGAGTTACATTTTGAATGGGGAGTTACATTTCTGTGCAAAGCTGTGAGTGAGTTAAACTTTTGGCCTGTGAAATCAGGGATAATGCAGAGACATTGTCTTGATCTTAAGAAAAGACTGTTGGTGAGACATACTTATAGCAGCCAACACGCCAAACAATCAAAAACACCAGCATGTGAAACCCTCAAAGTACGGACACCAAGAAAGAGTTTGGTGACAATCCATCAGCTACATAGAAATAGAAAGTGAGCCAGGCAGCATAAGGATATATGATCCAACGTGATCTTTTTTTATTTTTTTTTTTGAGGCAGAGTCTTGCTCTGTCACCCAGGCTGCAGTACAGTGGTGTGATCTTAGCTCACTGCAACCTCCGTCTCCTGGATTCAAGTGATTCTCCTGCCTCAGTCTCCCAAGCTCACTGCAACCTCCGTCTCCTGGATTCAAGTGATTCTCCTGCCTCAGTCTCCCAAATAGCTGGGACTACAGGCGTGTGCCACCATGCCTGGCTAATTTTTGTATTTTTAGTAGAGACGGGGTTTCACCATGTTGGCCAGGCTGGTCTCAACCTCTTGACCTCAAGTAATCTGCCTAATCTGCCCATCGCGGCCTCCCAACGTGCTGGGATTACAGCTGTCAGCCACCGTGCCTGGCTGTGATCCTGTTTTTTTTTTTCTGAGACAGAGTCTTGCCCTGTTGCTGTTGCCCAGGCTAGAGTGCAGTGGCATGATCTCAGCTCACTGCAACCTCTGCCTCCCGGGTTCAAGGATTCTCCTGCCTCAGCCTCCTGAGTAGCTGGTATTACAGGCGTGCGCCACCACACCCAGCTAATTTTTGTATTTTTAGCAGAGAAGGGGTTTCACCATGTTGGTCAGGCTGGTCTCGAAACTCCTGACCTTGTGATCCACCCACCTTGGCCTCCCAAAGTGCTGGGATTACAGGCGTCACCCACCACGCCCAGCCAATCCTGTCTTTAAGCAATTATTTTATGATATATCTCAGTTGTTCATTATCTTACTCTTTTTAGTATCCTCTGGATTATGCCTGCTTTATACACAGGTGTTCGATACATTTGGCTTCATCTGAATCAAGTGCAGAAAATGACACTACCAAGTAAATCCTTGAAGCAGAACCTCCTTAAAACTCTTATCAATCGGGCTGAGGCATGTGTTCACATCACAGAGACCCATTTGTCTAACTGTATTTTCACAGGTGACATTGTGATTATACACGAGAAAAAAGAAGGAGGATGGTGGTTTGGATCTTTGAATGGGAAAAAAGGCCATTTTCCTGCCGCTTATGTGGAGGAGTTACCTTCAAATGCTGGCAACACAGCTACAAAGGCATAAAACAAGACTCTGAACATACTACCTTCACACTCGGTAATCAACAATACAGTGTGGTTCAAATAAGAATAAAGTGCTCTTACCTTTACATGTTTTTCTTTTGAAATGGATGGAGTTCTACCTGCATGTCACAGCACTTTGCATTCATGATTATTAGCTTGAAACAGTCAGAAAAAAGATGGATGGGTGGAGACAGACAAGGAAGAGGCTCCTTGGTTCCTAGAGGAGTTTCCAAATTCTAGGAGACCCTAGAGATGATCCAGTATAACCCCTGGTGTCACAGAAACAGACGGAGTCCAAGGTGGGTTCAGCTGCTTGCCTGAAGTCAGAGTTATCTGGTAGACAACAGCAGTGGGACTTAGATGTCTTTTTCCTCTGGATTTGGGTGGCAACAGAACACAGCAGGCCTATGAGGGGGTCAAGCAGAGCCTGGGAGATGAGGAACACAGATCAATTCCAAGAAGAGAGACAGGCAATCAAGACACCAATGAGATCAACCCAAATTAGGGGATGGTAGGATATCTCTGACAAACCCACAGCCAATATCATACTGAATGGACAAAAACTGGAAGCATTCCCTTTGAAAACTGGCACAAGACAGGAATGTCCTCTCACCACTCCTATTCAACATAGTGTTAGAAGTTCTGGCCAGGGCAATCAGGCAGGAGAAGGAAATAAAGGGCATTCAATTAGGAAAAGAGGAAGTCAAATTGTCCCTGTTTGCAGATGACATGATTGTATATCTAGAAAACCCCACTGTCTCAGCCCAAAATCTCCTTAAGCTGATAAGCAACTTCAGCAAAGTCTCAAGATACAAAATCAATGTGCAAACATCACAAGCATTCTTATATACACCAATAACAGACAAACAGAGAGCCAAATCATGAGTGAACTCCCATTCACAATTGCTTCAAAGAGAATAAAATACCTAGGAATCCAACTTACAAGGGATGTGAAGGACCTCTTCAAGGAGAACTACAAACCACTGCTCAATGAAATAAAAGAGGACACAAAGAAATGGAAGAACATTCCATGCTCATGGGTAGGAAGAATCAACATTGTGAAAATGGCCATATTGCCCAAGGTAATTTATAGATTCAATGCCATCCCCATCAAGCTACCAATGACTTTCTTCACAAAATTGGAAAAAACTACTTTAAAGTTCATATGGAACCAAAAAAGAGCCCACATTGCCAAGTCAATCCTAAGCCAAAAGAACAAAGCCAGAGGCATCACGCTACCTGACTTCAAACTATCCTACAAGGCTACAGTAACCAAAACAGCATGGTACTGGTACCAAAACGGAGATAGATATAGACCAATGGAACAGAACAGAGCCCTCAGAAATAATCCCGCATATCTACAACTATCTGATCTTTGACAAACCTGACAAAAACAAGCAATGGGGAAAGGATTCCCTATTTAATAAATGGTGCTGGGAAAACTGGCTAGCCATATGTAGAAAGCTGAAACTGGATCCCTTCCTTACACCTTATACAAAAATTAATTCAAGATGGATTAAAGACTTACATGTCAGACCTAAAACCATAAAAACCCTAGAAGAAAACCTAGGCAATACCATTCAGGACATAGGCATGGGCAAGGATTTCATGTCTAAAACACCAAAAGCAATGGCAACAAAAGCCAAAATTGACAAATGGGATCTAATTAAACTAAAGAGCTTCTGCACAGCAAAAGAAACCACCATCAAAGTGAACAGGCAACCTACAGAATGGGAGAAAATTTTTGCCACCTACCATCTGACAAAGGGCTAATATCCAGAATCTACAACGAACTCAAACAAATTTACAAGAAAAAAACAACCACATCAAAAAGTGGGCGAAGGATATGAACAGACACTTGTCAAAAGAAGACATTTATGCAGCCAAAAAACACATGAAAAAATGCTCATCATCACTGGCCATCAGAGAAATGCAAATCAAAACCACAATGAGATACCATCTCACACCAGTTAGAACGGCAATCATTAAAAAGTCAGGAAACAACCCAGGTGCTGGAGAGGATGTGGAGAAATAGGAACACTTTTACACTGTTGGTGGGACTGTAAACTAGTTCAACCATTGTGGAAGTCGGTGTGGCGATTCCTCAGGGATCTAGAACTAGAAATACCATTTGACCCAGCCATCCCATTACTGAGTATATACCCAAAGGATTATAAATCATGCTGCTATAAAGACACATGCACATGTATGTTTATTGCAGCACTATTCACAATAGCAAAGACTTGGAACCAACCCAAATGTCCAACAATGATAGACTAGATTAAGAAAATGTGGCATACACTGCAAAAACATGCCAAAATGTAAAGGCCATCAAGGCTAGGAAGAAACTGCATCAACTAACGAGCAAAATAACCAGCTAACATCATAATGACAGGACCAAATTCACACATGACAATATTAACTTTAAATGTAAATGGGCTAAATGCTCCAATTAAAAGGCACAGACTGGCAAATTGGATAAAGAGTCAAGACCCATCAGTGTGCTGTATTCAGGAAACCCATCTCACATGCAGAAACACACATAGGCTCAAAATAAAGGGATGGAGGAAGATCTACCAAGCAAATGGAAAACAAAAAAAGGCAAGGATTGCAATCCTAGTCTCGAATAAAACAGACTTTAAAACAACAAAGATCAAAAGAGACAAAGAAGGCCATTACATAATGGTAAAGGGATCAATTCAACAAGAAGAACTAACTATCCTAAATATATATGCACCCAATACAGGAGCACCCAGATTCATAAAGCAAGTCCACAATAATAATGGGAGACTTTAACACCCCACTGTCAACATTAGACAGATCAACGAGACAGAAAGTTAACAAGGATATCCAGGAATTGAACTCAGCTCTGCACCAAGCAGACCTAATAGACATCTACAGAACTCTCCACCCCAAATCAACAGAATATACATTTTTTTCAGCACCACACCACACCTATTCCAAAATTGACCACATACTTGGAAGTAAAGCACTCCTCAGCAAATGTAAAAGAACAGAAATTATAACAAACTGTCTCTCAGACCACAGTGCAACCAAACTAGAACGCAGGATTAAGAAACTCACTCAAAACCACTCAACTACATGGAAACTGAACAACCTGCTCCTGAATGACTACTGGGTACATAACGAAATGAAGGCAGAAATAAAGATGTTCTTTGTAACCAATGAGAACAAAGACACAACATACCAGAATCTCTGGGACACATTCAAAGCAGTGTGTAGAGGGAAATTTATAGCACTAAATGCCCACAAGAGAAAGCAGGAAAGATCCAAAATTGACACCCTAACATCACAATTCAAAGAACTAGAAAAGCAAGAGCAAACACATTCAAAAGCTAGCAAAAGGCAAGAAATAACTAAGATCAGAGCAGAACTGAAGGAAATAGAGACACAAAAAACCCTTCAAAAAAATCAATGAATCCAGGAGCTGGCTTTTTGAAAAGATCAACAAAATTGATAGACAGCTAGCAAGACTAATTAAGAAGAAAAGAGAGAAGAATCAAATAGACGCAATAAAAAATGATAAAGGGGATATCACCACCGATCCCACAGAAATACAAACTACCATCAGAGAATACTACAAACACCTCTATGCAAATAAACTAGAAAATCTAGAAGAAATGGATAAATTCCTCGACACATACACTCTCCCAAGACTAAACAAGGAAGAAGTTGAATCTCTGAATAGGCCAATAACAGGCTCTGAAATTGAGGCAATAATTAATAGCTTACCAACCAAAAAAAGTCCAGGACCAGATGGATTCACAGCTGAATTCTACCAGAGGTACAAGGAGGAGCTGGTACCATTCCTTCTGAAACTATTCCAGTCAATAGAAAAAGAGGGAATCCTCCCTAACTCATTCTATGAGGCCAGCATCATCCTGATACCAAAGCCTGGCAGAGACACAACAAAAAAAGAGAATTTTAGACCAATATCCTTGATGAACATTGATGCAAAAATCCTCAATAAAATACTGGCAAACTGAATCCAGCAGCACATCAAAAAGCTTATCCACCATGATCAAGTGGGTTTCATCCCTGGGATGCAAGGCTGGTTCAACATACGAAAATCAATAAACGTAATCCAGCATATAAACAGAACCAAAGACAAAAACCACATAATTATCTCAATAGATGCGGAAAAGGCCTTTGACAAAATTCAACAACCCTTCATGCTAAAAACTCTCAATAAATTAGGTATTGATGGGATGTATCTCAAAATAATAAGAGCTATCTATGACAAACCCACAGCCAATATCATATGGAATGGACAAAAACTGGAAGCATTCCCTTTGAAAACCGGCACAAGACAGGGATGCCCTCTCCTACCACTCCTATTCAACATAGTGTTGGAAGTTCTGGCCAGGGCAATCAGGCAGAAGAAGGAAATAAAGGGCATTCAATTAGGAAAAGAGGAACTCAAATTGTCCCTGTTTGCAGATGACATGATTGTATATCTAGAAAACCCCATCGTCTCAGCCCAAAATCTCCTTAAGCTGATAAGCAACTTCAGCAAACTCTCAGGATGCAAAATCAATGTGCAAAAATCACAAGCATTTTTATACACCAATAACAGACAAACAGAGAGCCAAATCATGAGTGAACTCCCATTCACAATTGCTTCAAAGAGAATAAAATACCTAGGAATCCAACTTACAAGGGATGTGAAGGACCTCTTCAAGGAGAACTACAACCACTGCTCAGTGAAATAAAAGAGGACACAAAGAAATGGAAGAACATTCCATGCTCCTGGGTAGGAAGAATCAATATCATGAAAATGGCCATGTTGCCCAAGGTAATTTATAGATTCAATGCCATCCCCATCAAGCTACCAATGACTTTCTTCACAGAATTGGAAAAAACTACTTTAAAGTTCATATGGAACCAAAAAAGAGCCCGCATTGCCAAGTCAATCCTAAGCCAAAAGAACAAAGCCAGAGGCATCACGCTACCTGACTTCAAACTATCCTACAAGGCTACAGTAACCAAAACAGCATGGTACTGGTACCAAAACAGAGATATAGACCAATGGAACAGAACAGAGCCCTCAGAAATAATCCCACATATCTACAACCATCTGATCTTTGACAAACCTGACAAAAACAAGCAATGGGGAAAGGATTCCCTATTTAATAAATGGTGCTGGGAAAACTGGCTAGCCATATGTAGAAAGCTGAAACTGGATCCCTTCCTTACACCTTATACAAAAATTAATTCAAGATGGATTAAAGACTTACATGTTAGACCTAAAACCATAAAAACCCTAGAAGAAAACCTAGGCAATACCATTCAGGACATAGGCATGGGCAAGGATTTCATGTCTAAAACACCAAAAGCAATGTCAACAAAAGCCGAAATTGACAAATGGGATCTAATTAAACTAAAGAGCTTCTGCACAGCAAAAGAAACCACCATCAGAGTGAACAGGCAACCTACAGAATGGGAGAAAATTTTTGCAACCTACTCATCTGACAAAGGGCTAATATCCAGAATCTACAATGAACTCAAACAAATTTACAAGAAAAAAACAAACAACCCCATCAAAAAGTGGGCGAAGGATATGAACAGACACTTGTCAAAAGAAGACATTTATGCAGCCAAAATCACATGAAAAAATGCTCATCATCACTGGCCATCAGAGAAATGCAAATCAAAACCACAATGAGATACCATCTCACACCAGTTAGAATGGCAATCATTAAAAAGTCAGAAAACAACAGGTGCTGGAGAGGATGTGGAGAAATAGGAACACTTTTACACTGTTGGTGGGACTGTAAACTAGTTCAACCATTGTGGAAGTTGGTGTGGCGATTCCTCAGGGACCTAGAACTAGAAATACCATTTGACCCAGCCCTCCCATTATTGGGTATATACCCAAGGGATTATAAATCATGCTGCTATAAAGACACATGCACACGTATGTTTATTTCGGCACTATTCACAATAGCAAAGACTTGGAACCAACCCAAATGTCCAACAATGATAGACTGGATTAAGAAAATGTGGCACATATACACCATGGAATACTATGCAGCCATAAAAAAGGATGAGTTCATGTCCTTTGTAGGAACATGGATGAAGCTGGAAACCATCATTCTCAGCAAACTATCGAAAGGACAAAAAACCAAACACCACATATTCTCACTCCTAGGTGGGAATTGAACAATGAGAACACATGGACACAGGAAGGGGAACATCACACAACGGGGACTGTTGTGGGTTGGGGGAGGGGGGAGGGATAGCATTAGGAGATATACCTAATGAAATGACGAGTTAATGGGTGCAGCACACCAATATGGCACATGTATACATATGTAACAAACCTGCACATTGTGCACATGTACCCTAAAACTTAAAGTATAATAATAATAAAAACAAGAAAAAAAGAGATATGTAATAGAGAAGAAAAATAAACCGTTTTTATATACACTATTTGTATGTTAATTATAAACCGTGGCAGTAAAAGCTTTCCGAACATTGGCAAGAAAAGCTGAAAAATTGTTGGTCTTCCTTACATTCTCTTGAAATTCTGCTAGGCCCTCAAGATGAGGGGCACTATCTGACACTAGAAAAAAAAAAAAAAGAAATCAAAGACAATTAGAATGAGTTTTTTTATGGCACAGAAGTATTTCTAATCTAGATGCTCTCATCTGGTTTGAATGTCAATTCCATCTTAATGAAATTCTTTGAGCAAAAAAGGATACACTTGATTTTCCTATGCCAAATATCTTTTGGACCTTTCCTTCGTTTAATCTCTAAATATTCAAATCTTAAGTACTATAATCTTGCTTTAAATTTAAACAGATGGCACTGAAGGATCGAAGAGTTTAGTGACACAGAATGACCCTGCCCATCATCTTAAACTTATATATTTTGTTTTAACTATTTAAACTTTTTTTAAAAACTGTTAAGTCATTTTTATCTGCAACACTTTGGTCTGACTGACTTTTCATTTCTGACCACTGGAATTAAAAAAAAAAAAGGAACAATTTTCTTTTTTTTTGAGACAGATTCTTGATTTGTCACCAAGCCTGGAAGTACAGTGGTGAGATCCCAGCTCACTGCAAACTGCCTCCTGGCTTCAAGCAATTCTTTTGCCTCAGCTTTCTGAGTAGCTGGGATTAAAGGTAACATGTCCAGCTAACTTTTGTATTTTCAGTAGAGGCAGGGTTTCACCATGTTACCCAGGCTAGTCTTGAATTCCTGACCTCAAGTGATCCGCCTGCCTCTGCCTCCCAAAGTGCTGGGATTACAGGCGTAAGCCACCATGCCCAGCCTGAAAAAAGAACAGTTTTCAATGCCCAGCCTTAATAACTTACAATTATGAAAGAAATATCTAGAATTTTCCAAGTGAAATGGCAGGCATTAGAAAATGTGGTTGCTATTCCAAGAGTGGTATTTACAGGGGCTATTAATCAAATGAGACTCAAAGTCACGAATAACAGTATTGTCCTTGTATGTAGTTGTACCAGCTGGTACACTGGGACAAGTCTCCAGTGAAGGTGGTCAAAGGAAAAGAAATTCACCCATTATCAGATTTCCAGCTCTCTTGTACAGATTGCTTAGGAAACAAGGTCCATGACCACAGCAGAGAAACAACAGCAAAGGGCATCTGGTCCAAAATGTATCCTGTATATTCTATTTTAATATACTATCATGTACTATCAGATTATACCATAAGAGAATATCCAATTTAGAGAAAATTGAAAAGCTAAATAAGAGGTTTTTGGGGCTTGCTTTTTAAAATCTAGCACTAATTAGATTGGAAGATATTTATCTAGAGAGAAAAAAACCCAAACATCTGTATAAGAAATCAGATTCTCAAAATATAAATTCCCCAGAAATAGGAACTGAGTCACCAGGGCACAGCGCTGTGCCAGCTCAGCAGTTCACCTGAGTGTCTGTCAGCTACAAAGGCTTTAAGATGATAGCATAGGTGTAATGAGCTGAGAACCATTTTTATGAATTCCAATAAATTAAGGATTACTTGTACAGGGGCATTAGAAGAATAAACAAGAGATAAATATATTTCTATTCTCTTCTTGTTCACATTATTATCAATGATATATATTCCTTATAAATCAAAGGCCTTTTGGCCAGCTGCAGAATCAGTAACTAACCTTTATTATCAATGTGTGAGATTTGCAGGATTCGTATTTCAAAAATTATTTTTGGGAAAATAAATTGTTAAATTCTGGTGACTTTACATTTGATTTTAAAATCATCTACTTGGATAAATTCTAATATTCACATTTAAGCAGCCATTTTCTTTAAAGCTTCACCTTTTAAAAAAGTTATCTAAAAGGACAATTCATATTTGCACATAAATGCAATGATCTTTGTTTTTAGATTGTTCAGACACTGTGGCACTGTGCCATCCTGAAGAGATGCTACTTATTAAGGATCTTAGACAGTATCTATAAATCAAGACTATATTCACTTCCTTTAGAAGACTATACTCCAAGAAGCAAGACTGAAAAAGGAAGCAATAGAGTCTGGAGCTATTACTTTCCTCCATATTACTTTATATGCTGATTGAAATAACATTTTGGAACGCCAATCTTAAATACCAGTTAGGAGATATTAGTACATACCTTCATAGTCCCTTGCTTCATTGAGATGTAAGGAAAACATAAATGGGCTCTCAGGATTCTTAGGGTCAATATTAGTGAAAATAAACTGCAATTTCTCACCTGAAAAGAGATTAAACTATTTAGTGTGTCAAAGCTTTCAATGGAGATACCCTTTCTTACTCCATCTTTGATCAATATCTGCACTGCTAAGTATATACAGTCATGTAACCAACATTTCCAAATGCAGAAGTTACAAATTCGTTTTAAAATATATTATAGTTTCAATATGACATCAAAAATACAGTCAACAAAAGAAAAACTAGATAAATTGGACTTTGTTAAAATTAAAAACTTTTGTCCTTCAAAGAACACTATCAAGAGAAGGAAAAGACAACCTAAAGAATGGGAGAAAATATTTGCAATCATTTATCTGATAAAGGTTGAATACATAGAATGTATTTAGAACTCCTGCAACTAAAAACCACCCAATTCAATAATGGGCAAAAAATCTGAAAGGACATTTCTCCAAAGAATATATAAAAATGGCCATTAAGTCCACAAAAAGATGCTCAACATCATTAGTCATTATGTAAATGCAAGCCGAAACTACAATGAGATACCATTTCATACCCAGTAGGATGGCAAATAAATAAATGGAAAATAACAGTGTTGGTGAGGATGTGGAGAAACTGGAACCCTAGCACATTGCTGGTAGAAATGTAAAATGGTACAGCCACTGTGAAAAACAGTTTGGCAGATCCTCAAAAAGTTTAAATACAGAATTACAATATGACCCAGCAATTCCACTCCTAAGTATAGAGCTGAAAGAATTGAAAACGGAGACTCAAGTAGATAACTGTATGCCAATGTTCATAGCAGCATTATTCATAGTAGCCAAAAAGTGGAAATAACCCAGTGCCCACCAACAGATGAATGGATATAGTACACACATACAATGGAACATTGTTCAGCCATAAAATGGAATGAACTTGGCTGCTGTGGTCTTTTTTATGATTCACTAGGAGAACTCATAGGATTCACTCAGCAGCATATGGCCATACTCAGGGCTATGATTTATTACAGCAAAAGGATATAGCGAAATCAGCAAAGGGAAAAGGTACATGGAGTAAAGTCCAAGGAGAACCAGGCATAAGCGTCCAGAACCTCTAATGAGCTTCCTGGTAGACAACACTTCACGTGTGTTGTCACAATTTGATGCTGAAGGAATTAGCACATCCTGTTTGACTCTACTGGGTTAGCACTCTTGAAAGCTTGTGCCAGGTTTCCTGTAGACTTTGCCCCACGTGCTATTGTTTCTTTGCTGATTCTGTTCTGTATCCTTTTGCTGCAGTAAATCTTAGCTATGAATATGACTATATGCTAATTCCTTCTAGTGAATCACCAAACCTGAGAGTGATCTTGGGAAGCCCAGACACAACAGACATTGCCATACATTAGCGATGTACATGTGATATACATGCAACAGGCATCAAAATATTCATGTGTTTTAGCCTACTAATTCCTCTCTGGGAAACAATTCTATGAAAAACCATGCAAAGAAAATGGGAAAGTCTATGCTCACTGGTTTACAATAGTCCCCCTTTATCCACCAGGGAGAAATATGTTCCAAGACCCCAACAGATGCCTGAAACCGTAGATAGTAGCAAACACTATGTAAACAGATGCTCCTTGACTTACAATGGCATTATGTGCCAATAAACACATCAAAAGTCAAAAACATTGTAAGGCAAAAATGCATTTAACACCCTGATAAACTGATTATAAAGTCAAAAAATTGTAAGTTGAACTATCATAAGTCAGGGACTGTCCATACTATGTATTTTCCTATACATTCATACCTATGATAAAGTTTATGTTGTAAATTAGGCACAGAAAGAGATTAACAACAACTAATAATAAAACAGAACAATTACAACAACGTACTGTAATAAAAGTTATATTAATGTAGCTTCTCTCCCTCTCACAATATCTTATTGTACCATACTCATCCATTTAATATCATCAGACCACGGTTGAACATGGGTAACAGAAACCGTGAATAAGTGGGGATGACTGTATTTCTAAAACTGAAAAAAATGGCAGAATCCAAATGTTGGTAGAAGCAAAATATGTGCTAAACAATAGGTAAATGGTTGAATAAATTATGCTATATTAATAGAATGAATTATTACATCACTACTTAAAAATTACCATTATGAAGACTATAGCAACTGAGGAAATGCTCAGAATACAATGCTGATAGGAAGAACAAAAATTATTTGCATGTTGACAATCATGCCAAAAATACATTTATTAAAATACCGAATGATAAATAACTACAGCATCAGTAGCTACATTAGAATAATTTAAAAATTGTAATTTTTTCCTATTTTCTAAAAAGTTAATGTGGTCATTATTTTAGTTGAAAATATTTTTAAAATTTTCCTCTACTTAAGAAAAGACATACTTTTGTAATCTCCTATATTTTATTTATATTAACAAACTTACCATAAATTTTTCGAATTTCTAGTCCAAGTCGATCTTTATACAAGTCTGCAGATTTCTGCAGCCTTTTCAACCTCTCTGCATTCGCTTTATTAGCAGTAGAAATAGCTGATTAAAAAACACACACAATATTAAATGTTTTAAATAATAGCAAATTAATGCTCACTGAGTTAATTTTTTAAACTTAAAATCAACTATAAAATGATGCCAAGCCTATAAATCTGCTTCCATTTATTGTTTCTATATCTACCAGTTGGCTAAAAGAAGCTTCTGTTCATTCAAGTTGGAAGGAAAAACTGCTCAGGAAAATGTATACAGATAGTGAGAAGAATAAGCCTTGTCTTACTTTATTATGTAGTAGCATAAGTAAATAGGCCAGGGATTTGTATGGCTGGCATAGAAATAGACTTCATTTATACTACTGTGCTTTTTTTCTAGATAACCAATTGCTTCATGGGAAAATGTTCTCTTCCTTTAACATAACTATTTCTTATGAGAGGTCAGCCTTATTTCATGCTAGTTTAGTTTTTTCTTTTTTTTTTTTTTAAGTTAGCACAATAGTCCCTAAATATACTTTAAAGTAGCACAATAGTCCCTAAGTAATGAGAAAAATAATTTCACAATTTAGACTTGGATAAGAACTCCACAAGAAAAAGCATTTACAAAACAAACTTTGCTATTTTCAGATTTGAAGAATAGACTACCTAGTTTGTGAGCAAACAAGGCTCCTTTCTAAAAGATGCATTCATTTGAATATGAAAGTTCTTTATACATAAGAGATTTTGCAGCATAAAAAGAACGCTTAACATTACCTGGCAGAGAATGTATGGTCAATAAATATTTGTTGCATAAAGTACACTATGGCTTGTCCAAAGCAAATTTTATTTAGGGACACCATTTCTCACTCTGCTTAATTAAAACCTCCTATCAATTTCATTATTACTGATTATATTAAAAATAACAAGAGAAGGCCCTTTAAGTAAGACAAAAGAAAATAAAACCCAGTTAGTTAACTTTAATGACATCTTGCAGAGATGAGTGGCTGGTTATGCCCTGGGGTACTGTAATCCATTTTTAGCAATGAACTGGAACAGGCAAGATGTACTTAATAAAGGTGAACCGTCACCACTTTCCATTTTAGATCAGTATGTTTATAAGAGGAAACTTACTTTCCTTCTTCCTAGAATATTCTTCCTTAAGATCCTGGATATTTGCAGTCAGTACTTCCAATTCCTGCTTTTTGCCTTTTACTTCAGCAATCAATTTTAACAAGTTATCCTTTTTTTCTTGAATGAGCTTATTTTGCCTGCTGATCTCTGTAAGAAGCACAAGGTATTAGCTAGAATATGCTTGGCTCTCTGACATGTATCTAAGAAAAGGCCAAAGTTTACTGACTTTCATAAAGATTAATAAAGAATGTTTTGACTGATAAGCATTTTCTAATGATTCAAAATTATAAAAGACAAAAAAGAAAAAAAACCTAATCTATTCTTTCCTACTTACTCATCTTTAAAAAAAATGAGACAGAAAAGCTTCTTAAAATGAGAATACCAAATTAAATCAAGAAACAGAAAATCAAAAGATCATGACCCTTGCAGCTCCCCACTCCAAATAAGCACAGAAATAAAAACTACCAACAAAGATAACTAAACTCTATTATTTATTTTATTTTTATATTTTTTTGAAACAGGGTCTCACTGTTGCCCAGGCTGGAATACAGTGGCACAATCACTACTCATTGCAGCCTCCCACCTTAGCATCCCTAGTACCTGGGACTACAGGCACACACCACATCACGCCTGGCTGATTTTTAAATTTTTTTGTCTCACTATGTTGCCCAGGCTAGTCTCAAACTCTTAGGCTCAAGCAATCCTCCTACCTCAGCCTCTCAAAGTGCTGGGATTACCAGTGCAAGCCACCACGCCTGGCCAACAACCAAACTCTAGAAGATGGTTTTAAACAGTGCTTTGAGGAAAAGCCTCACTCTAATGCTATATAAATTATTCCGGAACATACCAAAAGACAGAAATAAGTGAAGGAAGACAGGTGGGCAGGCAAAGCTTACAATGTAAGCATAATTCTAAAGCTAAAACAAAAAATTAAAGATAGCACTGGCCCTCTGCCCACAACTATATAAACTAATCTCACTTAAAAACATAGGTGCAAAGATGCTCAATAAAATATTAAGTTACATTAAAAATAATCCACTAAGAGCAAATATAGTTTATACCAAGGATTTTACATAGTGAAGGTGTAATATTAGGAAAATCCATCACATGAATAAGAATTGAAGAGACATTTCATATGAATTCAGCATCCACTCCTGACTATTCTTAACTATAAATGGAAGGACATTTAACATGATAGAAACAAATCAAAAACCTTTCAAATCTCATCATATATATTTGGCATTTCCAAAAGGAATAAAATAGATGCCAGTTAGCACTGTTATTTAATATTTCCCTAGAAGTTTCTGGCCAAGACAAGATATTTAGCTGGTAAAACTATAAGGAAAAAACAAGAACTATTTTTCATTATATGTAGACAATAGACATCTATCTAGAATACTCAGAAAAATCTACTGAAAACCTATCAGAATTTGTGGTACTACACCCCAAAAAAATCAATAGTTTTTGTACATAACACCAGTGATTAATACATAGGTAAGAATAGATGTTTATACTAATATTAATAGCTGCAATATTCGTTTTTGTTCTTTGTTTTTATTGGTTTTATTAGTTTTTGCTATTCTGTGCTATTTTTAAGTACTGGCATACGTTGGAGATATTGCAAGTTCTATTCCAGATCACTGTGATAAAGCGAATATTGCCATAAAGCAAGTCACACAAATGTTTTGGTTTCCCAGTACATAGAAAAGTTATTTTACACTATATTGTAGTCTATTAAGCGTGCAATAGCATTATGGCTAAAAAACAAATGTACATATCTTAATTAAAAATATTTTATTGCTAAAATATGCTAATAATCATCTGAGCCTTCAGCAAGTCCTAAACTTTTGCAGGGGGAGGGTCTTGCCTTGATGTTGATGGCTGCTGACTGATCAGAGTGGTAGCTGCTGAAGGTTGGGGTGGCTGTGGCAATTTATTATAATAGGACAACAATAAAGTTTGCTGCATTAATCAACTCTTTCATGAAAGATTTCTCTGCAGCATACAATGATGTTTGACAGCATTTACCCCTGGTAGAACTGTTTTCAAAATTGGAGTCAGTCTTCTCAAACCCTGCGCTACTTTATCAACTAAGTTTATATAATAGTCTAAATCCTTTGTTGTCAGTTAAACAATGTTCACAGCATCTTCACCAGGAGTGGATTCCATTCCATAAAACCACTTTCTTTGCTTATCCATAAGAAGCAACTCCTTATCCATTCAAGTTTTATCTGAGATGGCAGCAATTCGGTCACATCTTCAGGCTCCACTTCTAAATCTAGGTCTCTTGTGATTTCTACCACATCTGTAGTTACTTTCTCCATTGAAGTCTTGAACCTCTCAAAGTCATCCATGAGGGTTAAAATCAACTTCTTCCAAGCTCTTGTTCATGTTGATATTTTGACCTCTTCCTGTGAATCACGAATGTTCTATGGCATCTAGAATGGTGAATCCTTTCTCTGGAAGGTTTTCAATTTATTTTGCCCAGATCTATCAGAGTTAATCACTATTTGGGTAGCTATAACCTTATTTCTTAAATAATGAGACATGAAAGTCAAAACTACCCCTTGATCCATGGGCTGCAGAATGGATGTTGTCTTAGTAGGCATGAAAACAACACTAATCTCCATCAGCGCTCTTGAGTGACCAGATGCACTGTTAATGAGCAGAAATATTTTGAAAGCCATCTTTTTTCCTGAGTAGAAGGCCTCAACAGTGGGCCTAAAATATTCAGTAAACTATGCTATACACACATGTGCTGTCATCTAGGCTTTGCTATTCCATTTATAGAACATAGGCAGAGTAGATTTAGTATAATTCTTAAGGGCCCTAGGATTTGGGGAATGGCAAGTGAGCACAGGCTTCAACTTAAAGTCACCAGGTGCATTAGTCACTAAAGAGTCAGCCTGTCTTTGAAGCTTCAAAGCAGGCCTTGACTTCTCTCTAGCTATGAAAGTCCTAGATGGCATCTTCTTCCAATAGAAAACTGCTTTTTCATCTACATCAAAAATCCGTTCTTTAATGATCTGTTCATTCAATGATCTTAGCTAGATAACTTGCTGTAGCTTCTACATTAGCACTTCTGCTTCATCTTGCATTTTTATTTTATGGAGGCAGCTGCTTTCCTTAAACCTCAAGAACCAACTTCTGCTAGCTTCAAACTTTTCTTCTGAAACTTCCTCATCTTTCTCAAGCCTTCACAGAATTGAAGAGGGCTAGAGTCTTACCCTGAATTAGGCTTTTGCTTAAGGGAATGTTGTGGTTTGTTTGCTCTTCTATTAAGGCCACTAAAATTTTCTCTAACAATAAGGCTGTTTCTCTTTCTTATCATTCGTGTGTTCACTGAATTAGCACTTTTGCTAATTGGCGCAAGAGGCCAAGCTTTCAGCCTATCTCAGCTTTTGACACACTTTCCCACTAAGCTTAATCATTTCTAGCTTTTGATTTAAAGTGAGAGACCTATGACTCCTTCTTTCAGTTGAACAATTAGAGGTCACTATAGGGTTATTAATTGGCCTAATTTCAATACTGGAGACTAGGGAGGCCCAAGGAGAGGAAGAATGACAGGAATGGCTGGTCAGCAGAGCAGTCAGAAGTCATTCAACATTTATCCATTAAGTTTGTCATCTTATATGGGTGTCATTCATGGCACTTAAAACAATTACAATAGTAACGTCAAAGATCACTGATCATAGAGCACCACAAGAAATATAATAATGACAAGTTTGAAATCTTGTGAGAATTACCAACATGTGACAGATACGAAGTCACCACATGCTGATGGAAAAATGGTGCCCACAGACTTGCTTGACACATGGTTGCCATTAACCTTTAATTTGTAAAAATTGCAATATCTGTAAAGTGCAATAAAGTGAAGTGCAATAAAACAAGGTATCCATGTACCAAAATACTGGCCTTTTACATCTGTCTCACATATTGGCCAGCACCTCATTACTCCTTCTTGGCTTTAATCTCTCTACCTTCCCTGCCTTCCCCATGTCCCTGTCACTCTCTGTACAAGTTCTTCTTGCCCTAGCCCTCTTAAACACTCAGCTTCTGCAACTACCCACCCCTTTCTCACACACATGCTCAAAATAAAAACAACAATGCCTGTGCATAAACCTGGCCAAACCTCTCTGCTGGGAAAGGAGTAACCCTGGCAGGACCACTTCTTCCTCTGTTTGTTGGAAGAAAGATACAACCGCTGCTACTTGGGGCCCATTGCACAGAGATGGTGTCCCCAAAATGCCAATCAGGGGGCTAGACAAAGCAGGAAGGCACAAAAAGCATAAGAGCTCTAGGGCAGAGGCTACTGAGGTCAAATAAGCAGAGCCAGTAGAGCTCAAGTGGTGCTTTATAATGTGCTTATGAATTTCTGAATTAAAGATTTAGTTTTACTAATACTTAAATGAAATCTAAACACTTTAAAATCGAATGCCAATTAATGCCAGTAGTCTAGAATTGTATCAAATAAACCAAACTATCTATACTGTCATTTAATTCCAGTATCATAATTACAAGTAAATATGTGCTCCAAGGATGAGTAATCTTTTTCTCAAAGTTAAACAAGTTAGTCCATCACTGAATTTATGAAGACTTTAAATACCATAAATCTTCAAAAGAGAAATACACTATGATATGTTTCCCAAATTGAAGTGAGCATGGAATTCTCAGTGCTTGAACAACATCTCTCAAGACAAGCATTCCTCAGGCAACAGGAAAATCTCGTTTACAGAGGTAACAAACAGAAAATTCAGAATCAACCTAGATCAAGAAATATGTAGGCTCTGTTTGAAAAAAACTGCAAAGCTTGTCTGAGACACATATTTGATCTGGATATATGAAGAGATATTTTATGCTTCTAAATATTATAAAAGATATGCCAAACAAACGTTGGCAGTTAGGAAGTTAATATGATAAATGAAATATCAAATCAATGTTCAAGAGGTAGATTATTCTCTAAACAGTGCCGAAATCCAAAATAAATTCTTTAGTCTTTTACTACTTTTTTAAAAGAAGAGGAAAAACACTCAGCAGTTCAGTAACTTGCCCAAAGCTGTATTTGCTAGGCTAAAATAAATAATAAGGGCCAGGCATGGCGGCTCACGCCTGTAATCCCTGCACTTTGCAACGCTCAGGCTGGCGGATCATGAGGTCAGGAGATCGAGACCATCCTGGCCAACATGGTGAAACCTCGTCTCTGCTAAAAATACAAAAATGAGCTGGGCGTGGTGGCGTGTGCCTGTAATTCCAGCTACTAGGGAGGCTGAGGCAGAATAGCTTGAACCAGGGAGTCGGAGGTTGCAGTGAGCTGCGATCACGCCACTGCACTCCAGCCTGGTGACAGGGCGAGACCCTGTCTCAAAAATAAATAAATAAATAAATAAACAGACAGACAGACTGCATTCAAACTCAGGTCTTGACTTCAAAGGCAATGCTTTGCCCATTAAATTATCCTCCTCCAACAATGGGTTACCATTTTAATCTCAAGAGGAAGACACAAATACAAATTCCTAAGAAAAAAACAGACAAAGGGATAAACAGATGAAACACAGAATGCAGATGGCTAATAAATATGAAAGATAATTTAACCTCAGATTAATCACAGAAATGCAAGTAAAACAGTAAGATTTCAATTTTCATTTATTACAACAATGTTTACAGAAATAATTACTAATATTGAGAGGAATGCAAAATGCTAGGGTCCTTCTAGAAAATATTTTTGACATTGTAAAATAAAAGAGCCTTAAAAATATTTACCTCCTTTGACCCAGCAATTTCATTTTTACAAAGTTACCCTAGGGAAATAGGATACGTGCAAATATTTATATATAAAAATTATTTTTCAGTATTTATAATGAAAAACTGAAAACATCTTCAATGGCTAACAAGCAAATGATTTTTAAAATATGGTATATCGATAAGATGGAATGTATTTTCAAAACAATTTAGCAATGTGGGAAAATATTCTCAAAGTTGAAAAAAAAAGATAGTTATATAGATACCATGAATATAATTACGTTAAAAACCTACATAGCTCATGAAAAACAAAAGCTAGAAAGTTGTTTTGTTAAATATGGTTCTCAACATTACAGGTGATATTTTTTGCTTTTCTGTATGTTCTAAGAATATGAACATGATCATATATTACGTCAAGTATAATTTAAAAATAAACATCTTACTAGAAAGAAAAATGCTACTATTTAAAGAAAAAAATTAAGTAGAATTGTACTACACAAGAAATTCAGATTGAAAGTCAAAGGTCTCAAGTCTGATTCAGCTTATCAGTTCTTACCCAAAGATCTCGGTCAAAATCACGACTTCTGAAACTCTTTTGCTCATTTGTAAAATGGGGATAACATTGGCTACCTCATTCACTGGGGTTAGAGTATCCAGTAATAATAATACAAAAACTTTTAAACTAGTGACACATAAATACCACATATGAGAGTGTTTTTATTATAACATTTGAAGAACTGTGTGATTTGTGGCCAATACAAATATAGGAGTCCTCGATGCTGTATGACCATTTTTTTTTCTTTTTTTTTTTTTGAGATGGAGTCTCGCTCTGTCGCCAGGCTGCAGTGCAGTGGTGCAATCTCAGCTCACTGCAACCTCCGCCTCCTGGGTTCAAGCAATTCTCCTGCTTCAGCCCCCTGAGCAGACAGGACTACAGGCACTCACCACCACGCCCAGCTAATTTTTATATTTTTAGTGGAGATGGGGTTTCACCATGTTGGCCAGGATGGTCTTGATCTTTTGACCTCGTGATCCGCCTGCCTCGGCCTCCCAAATTGCTAGGACTACAGGTGTGAGCCACTGCACCTGGCCTGCTGTGTGACTATTATTACATGTGTACATAGCAGGCTGTCTTATTCCCAGGACCGACATTTCAAACTTTCACTCCTACACACCAGAGGAACCCTTCTTTGCATTTTCACTCCAATGCACGTCAGTATAGCACAATGGAAAGAGCACAGACACTATCATTGTGATCCTAGATCCTCTATTTACCTTAGGCAAGTTTCTTAACCTCAGTGAGCTTCAATTTCCTCATCTGTAAAACAGGGATAATCTCTGTCTTAGACAGACTTCAGGATTTATAATAATGTAAAAGCCTGCCCATAGTAAATACCTCTCACTTTCAATAGATGATCTTCCTTCTTGTGATAATTAGAATTTATGGCTCCAGAACTTTAGGCTATTTTGTTCTCTGCAGTATCTTCCTAGAAGATTACCTGGTATACAGCAGTAGCTCAACAAGTATTTGGTCAGTGAATGAATTCCTTCCATCTTTCTTGTTCCCAAAATATCTATCTCAATCTTTACCTTACTGGATCTACCTGTGACTTACAGTGTTAACAACACCCTTTATTATTTCTCTCCTCTTTTAGTTTTGGTGACCTTCTCTCTTACTTCCTCTGTTCTCCAATTACGAATTCTGTCTTTCCTGGTCGTTTCCATTTAACTCTCTCAAATTGGAGAGGAAATGTAATGCTCTGAAGATGAGTAAGGCTTCTGGAGTTAATCTGATGATCTGGGGCAAATCATAATCTCTCTGGGACTGCAATATCAGAAAAGTAGGAATAATAATAATAAATGATACCAACCCTGGAGAACTATCATGAGGACTGAAGGAGGTGGTCAATGTAAGGCATTTAGCACAGTACCTGGCACACAGTAATGAGTAAATAAATATTATTACTAACCAAGGCTACCTTCTTTCACTCTACATATTCTTCCACAGCTTCAACCCCCTAAATACACTAAAGACTCACAAATCCCTATCTTCAGCAAAGACCACTTTTCTGGCTGGCTTCCAGATGAATATATCCATTGCCTATCAGATATCGCCACCTGAAGACTTGCTGCACAATAAACTCAGCATATTCACCCAACATGTTTAAAATTGAACCCACATATGTTTCCTTCCCACCTATAAAAACATGCTCCTCCTCTCTTTCAATCCCTCACTTAGTAAATGCATCACCACTGATTCATACTCCATGTCAGAAGGAATCATCCTAGACCACAGCATACTCTCACCTTCAGGCCCACAGTCTTGAGTCTAACTCTTCAGACCTGTCACTGGTCCAAGCCATACTCATTATGTGCCTGTACTATTACACTAAATTTTTCCTTTAACTGGTCTCTTTATGGACAACAATCTCACTCCCCTCCTGTTTATTGTGCATGATTACTAGATTGCTTCTTCTGGCATATAAATCCAATATCATTTTCCAGGTTGAAATCCTGTAGCAACTCTTTATCTCCTGAAAAACAAAGTCTAACCCCCTTTGCACAACATGGAATGTCCATCATCTGGCCAACGAGTTCTTCCAGCCACTTCTCCACCACTCCCCATCCACAGGGTACTCTAGCCATCCCAGAACTTAACAAGCTCTCATGTTCCTGCCATATTCCATGTGCTGTTCCCTCTTCCCAGAATGTAATGCTGACTCTGTTGAACATCCCTAACCCTCCTTTATGTGATTTTCTCCAAAGTAGTGTGGTATAATCAGACCGCAGGTTCAAATCATATTTCTGTTCATTATCAGCTATCTGACCTTGAGAAAGTTGCTTAACCTCTCTGTGCTTATTTTGTCATAAAAAAGCAGTATCTATACCTCTTAGGGTTGTTGTGAGGATTCATGAGTCAATATATGCAAAGAGCTTAGAACAGGGCTTAGCACATGGTATACAAGGTAATGGTTAGCTATTAAATATCCTGCATTCCTCACTGGAAGAACCAAACCCTCCAGATTCTATCCTCACACAGCATCTATTACATTATTCTAACAACGAATACAATCTTTTTTTTTTTTTTTTTTTTGGAGACAGGGTCTCACTCTGTCGCCCAGGCTGGAGTGAAGTGGCATGATCACGGCTCACTGTAACCTCAATCTCCTGGGCTCAAGCGATCCTCCTGTCTCAGCCTCCTGAGTAGCTGGGACTACAGGTGCCCACCACCACACCTGGCTAATTTTTCCTTAATTTTTATTGAGACAAGGTCTCACTATATTGCCCAGGCTGGTCTTGAACTCCTGGACTCAGGCAATCCTCCTGCCTCAGCCTCCCAAAGTGCTGGGATTACTTTGGCTTGAGCCATCGAGCCTGGAACAATATATTTTAATTGTGGTTTCCCTATCTATATCCCCCACAATATTGTGAGTAGATTATACTTTATGCACTGTTGTCTCCTTAGTGGTGGGCAATAGCAGTCATATGTTCATTGAATTAATTAAACTTGAGTAAACTGTATTTCTGTTCAAGTATAAACTGATTTCTTTTTTTTTTTTTGAGATGGAGTCTTGCTCTGTCGCCCAGGCTGCAGTGCAGTGGCGCGATCTGGGCTCACTGCAAGCTCCGCCTCCCAGGTTCACGCCATTCTCCTGCCTCAGCCTCCAGAGTAGCTGGGACCATAGGCGCCGGCCACCAGGCCCAGCTAATTTTTTGTATTTTTAGTAGAGACAAGGTTTCACCGTGTTAGCCAGGATGGTCTTGATCTCCTGACCTCGTGATCCGCCCGCCTCAGCCTCCCAAAGTGCTGGGATTACAGGCGTGAACCACCCCGCCCGGCCAAGTATAAACTGATTTTTAAAAGAAAAATATTGATAATGCTTTTAGATTTTAGACTATATAGAGCATAACTTCATACTATAGATAATCTTTAAGAGCACAGTTTGAGACTCACAGCAGTAAAACTGACAGTTCCAAACTTAATTTTCTAATGCCTAGGGATCCTACAAAGAAGTTTTAAAGAACCCAAACTCAATATCACTCTTTCACACACACATGCAAACAAAAGTGGTTTTCTTTTTTGCTTATGGTTACAGAGGGAATGAGAGAAGCAGTGAAGGGCATGGAAGCTTCAGGGCAGATTAGAAAGTAAACATGGGTAGGCCGGTTGCAGTGGCTCATGCCTGTAATCCCAGCACTTTGGGAGGCCAAGGTGGGCAGATCACCTAAGGTCAGGAGATTGAGACCATCCTGGCTAACACGGTGAAACCCCATCTCTACTAAAAATACAAAAAATTAGTGGTGCGTGGTGGTGCGCACCTGTAGTCTCAGCTACTTGGGAGGCTGAGGCAGGAGAATCACTTGAACCCAGAAGGCAAAGGTTGCAGTGAGCCGAGATCATGCCACTGCACTCCAGCCTGGGCAACAGAGCGAGACTCCATCTCAAAAAAAAAAAAAGAAAGAAAGAAAATAAAGAAAGAAAGTAAACATGGGTAAAAGTGTAGCAAATAACCTACTGGGGTAACAAAGTCAAATGCCTTCATGGGCCACACAATGAGTAAAGTGGGTAAGTCAAGGCTACCCATTTTGCAAATGAAAGAACATATGCCCCATGTAAGGACATTCTAGTCTAATATTGTTTAAAACATGGTGCCTTTAAACCAAGTATCTCTAGTGGAATTTGAACTGTGGACACATGTTTGTGTCCTGTGTGTAAGAATTCAGTAAAAACTACTGGTTTACTCTGGACAACCTGGAGAGTAGTAGAAATAAGATGGCAAGAATAGTAGTAAAAATATGGAGAAAAACACTGTCAGAGTACTAACAGAGCTGAGAGAACTCTAGCTTTTCAATCCCCAGGCTGTGATTTCCAACGTGAAAACAAACTCATCTTTTAAAAAATACTGGCATTTATACCTTAACACTGACAAATCTCACAAGTATAGTGCTGAGTGAAAAAATGGACAGAAGACATACAAGAGAATGCCATTTATATAACATTCAAAAACACAATACTAGAGGCCAGGCATGGTGGCTCACACCCGAAATCCTAGCACTTTGGGCAGCCAAAGTGAGCGGACTGCTTGAGCCCAGGAGTTTAAGACCAGCCTGCACAATATGGTGAAACCCCATCTCTACAAAAAATATGAAATTAGCCAGGCATGCTGGTGTGCACCAGTGGTCCCAGCTACTTAGGGGGTGAAGTGGGAGTATCACTTGAGCCGAGGAGGTCGAGGCTGAAATGAGCCTAGATCATGCCACTGCACCCCAGCCTGGCTGACAAAGTGAGACTCTGTCACCAGGCACGGTGGCTCACGCCTGTAATCCCAGCACTTTGGGAGGCTGAGGCAGGCAGATCACGAGGTCAGGAGATTGAGACCGTCTTGGCTAACACAGTGAAACCCTGTCTGTACTAAAAATACAAAAAATTAGCCAGGCGTGGTTGCAGGCGCCTGTAGTCCCAGCTACTTGGGAGGCTGAGGCAGGAGAGTGGCGTGAACCCAGGAGGCGGAGCTTGCAGTGAGCCAAGATCGCGCCACTGCACTCCAGCCTGGGCAACAGAGCGAGACTCTGTCTCAAAGTGAGACCCTGTCTCAAAAAATGACACAAAAAACCCCCACAATACTAAACAATATATTGATAGGTTAGTTGTGGAAGGTGGGAGAAGGTGTAACATAGGATGTTCTTTCTTAAACTGTATAGTATGTCAATGTTTATTCCTATATATAAGCACATGTATATGTGTTAATGTGTATGTATTTGTGTGTGTATGTGTCTATATATATGTATATATATATATTTTAATTTTTAATTTTTTTTTTAAATCTTTTGTAGAGACAGGGTTTCACCATGTTGCTTGGGCTGGTCTTCAACTCCTGAGCTCGAGGGATCCACCCAACTTGGCCTCCCAAAGTGTTGGGATTACAGGCATGAGCCACTACATGTACGTGTGTGTGTGTGTGTGTGTGTGTGTGTGTGTGTATATATATATATATACACACACACATATATATGTATATATATACACATATATGTATATATATACACATATATATACATATATATATACACATATATATACATATATATATACACATATATATACATATATATACACATATATATATACACACACACAACATATACACACTTGTGTACACAAAATACATTGTCTTACTTGTATGAGAGATTTCATGATAAAGATGTTTTATCTAAAAAAAACCCCATGATTTATACTTTTTCACATACGATTTTGATATTCCAGAAACATCTCAACCATTCGTTCTTCTTCCTTTAATTTCACAGACAGCTTTTCTGAAAGAGAAATTGAACTTTCAATTCAGCTGCAATAACACTAAAAAATAAACTAGAACAGCAAAACCAGCATGTTACAAGTTAACACTAGGTACCTGCAAATGCTTTGATGGAATCCTTGTAGGTATCTCTTAGTCCCGCCATCTGACAGGAGGTGTCCGTACTTTTGAATTTATTCCAAAATTCATTTATGCTTTTATCGAAAAGTGCCAGTTCGTCCTCTACCATTATGTAGGACAATGCTAAAAACAGAATACATATTGCATTTTTTAAGTTACTGAAATCAAATCACCCACATATTCCAATCGGGTATACAGTATTTTGGCAATTTGTCCTTTGCTAGAAAATAGCAACTTATCTTTAATTCTAGGTATTCAAGGGTAGATCAAGCCACCTGGGCTTAACTGTTGTTAACGTGCAGCAATAATTCAGGACACCTTTACCTCCTAGCAGCTTGTTAGTAGGTAAGTGTAACTGCACAGGACACTCACACGCACTATGACCCTGGGTCCATTTTCTCACAAGTAAAACTGTTGACTTCTGAAACCCCTGATCCAACTCTAACCCTTTCTGAACAGAGATCATCAGGATAGCCAGGTGGCCGGCACCCTCCCATAGAATAAGACCCCACACATCTATCCTGTCTCTCTCCTCCACCTCAGAACAGTAAAAGTTAACAGTAAAATAGGGACTAAGGTGGGAGTTTAGTAGGTTCCGTCGAGGATGTATACAAGTCACCTCGGGCCTCAGTATCCTCTGTAAAAGGAGGTCCTGGGAGAATCCTGGACCCACCAGTACTCTGCGACGCTAAAACCTTCCCAGGAGGACCAAAGATACCTCCTGCAGTGAAACCCAGAACGCTTTGGGTTCGCAGCTGCCCACCCCACCAGGCTGTGAGGCCCAAACAGCAACAAGATGCGCATTTCACAAACGCCGCCGCAAATACACACATCCCGCCCTCAAATTCACTTTCCCTTATTGCGACAGGGGGGCCAAGGAGCCCAGCTCGGCGCCCAACTCCCTTACCTTCGCAGGCAGGCCTGAGTCCCGCCGCCTTCCCCACACCAGATCCGCGCCCACTCTAGCCAACAGCCGGACTCTAGGCTCAGCTCCCGCAGCCCCGCCAACTTTCCGATTTCAAACCTAGTGCACTTCCCGCCACCCGCCTCCAGGCGCAGGCTGGCCTTCTGATTGGCCGATAGCGCAGGCTCTCCTTGACAGGATTGGTTGAACTCACCCTTGGATTCTCGAGGGGAAAATGGGGGAACAGGGCATTCTGGGATTCGTAGTTCTTTTCTGAACAACAGCCAGAGTCTCCGCTGTGACCCGAAAGTATTAATAGCACCCGAAGGGCTCGCCCACGACAAGTCATTTATCGGCTTCAAATAAAGGTTTCTGGAACAAATACAGATATTGACCTTTAATCGTATCTTTTGCAACAAATACATCCTCTTCTTTGTATTCACCTTGTAAAGTTGACTTCAATTGTGAGTGGGCAGAAACATTCAGATGGTCCTCAGAATAGGTTTTTACTGCTTACAAAAATATTCCTTCTTTTCTACTCCCCCAGCTTCTCTAACAATGTTTTTGAGGCCTAATAGAACACTATGTTACTATCTTGCAGAAGTGGAAGAAACTAGAGCACTATCAAAATCACCTGCTATTTCCTTGAGGACAGGAATGAGGCACAAGGTATTCAACTAGGATTTGCCAGAGTAGACAAGCTGCAGGGAATCAGCGTTGTCCAGAAACTCTGAAAGGTGACATAGATTCGGTATTTGAATCCTTCTTGGTAAAGCTGAGGAAGAAAGAAAACTAGGGAAAGAACCTAGAGAATATGCTTTCTGAAGAATGGAAAATAAAGTTGGCTAAAATAATGAAGTCAAAGTTATTATTTTAATCTTAGACTATGATATGTTTGTGAAAATAAAGCCTCTTATTATACACCAAAAGGTCTTTACTATACTAGTTTCTTTTCATTTTCATCAACAATACAAACACCAACAAGAAGTAAATATGTAAAAAACATTCTCAGAGGACCAGATATTAGCCATTCTTTATCCAAGAACTAAATTAAGACCTATGAAATCAGGACAAGTTATTATGAATATTTAACACTTCACAATATACCCAAAAGTCACCTTGCAGCCTAGAGACTGCTATTAATACAGTTAGACATAGAGTTTACTATGATAAATCTCCTTTCATTTGCAAATATTTTCCCAAGAACTTCTAATTTTATATATCTGATACTATTTACCTTAAAGCAAAATTTTATGAGTTGAGCATCTCAGAATTTCAGCTGATTGAGTGCTGGTACTCATTTTTAGGGTTTTCTCAGTACCAAATTAGTGAAGACAGTATTTAAGAAGATTCATGGAAGAGGGCTGATTTGGTACCATGTTGATGAATTCCTCACTGGGTTTATACACTGGTCTTTATCAGACTGTTCAGTGAAGATTCTTGCTCTCTTTGGGTCTTCAGCTGAGGGGAGTGATTGCCCTACCAATGTGCTGTTTTTAGGGCAGCCTCAGGTTGTCTATTGTTTTTTATTCTGTGAGTGCTCCTCCCCAACCAGGATGTGAGGAAGAAGTTTGTCGTTTGTCAAAATTTTCATTTCTGAAAGACTGGCTGAATAATTTCTCTCTAATCCCCAAGGATAGCTAGAGACAACCAGCTCTTCTTTCTGCTCAGTACACAGAATAGGGCCTTCAGCTTTCTCAGCATTAAAAAGGGGAAAACAGACCCCCCGACCCATTATCATTCACACAACTCCACCATGACCACCACCACCATACTTACATACCTTTCATTTCAAACCAACCAGGGTTTATTGAGTTTCTATTTTGTGCCAGGTACTGAGCTGAGCACTGCCTTCTCTGGGATATACGGTCTGTGACCCAGGGTTGGGTTTCTGCAGGGTGGGGAATAGAAAGATGCCACATGTTCCCAGGCTGGAGGTGTTTCTGGATGGTGGTTATAGTCTTGCTCAGATTGAATGCTCCATTGCTCCTCCCCTGAAAACTTAATTCTTTCTCCAAAGGGTGAATGATAATGGCGTATAAGGATAAAAGATCATTGTCCTCTATTACACATACACTTGCTGGGTAGATACTTTGCATCTTGGGGGGCAGAGCTAAAGATAGGAATGATCGTGAATAATGCCATGGTTTAGACTATAAGTTCCCCACCTGTAAGTATAAGGTTCTCTTTACGACATTCACATTTATGCTGACATTCACATTTATATTTTCAACATCCATTCACTGAGAAAATTGAAAAATTAAAAGTTACTATGAATTCAAAAGAGGAGTCTCTTCTTGCAGATTCCAGGTTGAGGACCTACAATATTGAAAATGAAAAGATTCTTGAACAGAAACTTTCAATCTTCTAGATTTCTGAATGGCCTGTGTCAAACACTGCAATAGATGATTTAAGAAAGCAAGTTTTCTGACAATTGCTATAAAGTACAGTATACAAAGTGGAGTCAATGCCAGGTTACACTTGGACTCTTTCATCTCCTTCCTAGAATTAAAAAAATAAAATAAAATGGAGGAAGGGCTGGGACCTTGTATCAGTCTGTTCTCACATTGCTATAAAGAAACACCTGAGACTGGGTAATTTATAAAGAAAAGAGGTTTAATTGGCTCATGGTCTGCAAGCTGTACAGGAAGAAGAGCAGCATCTGCTTCTAGGGAGGCTTCAGGAAACTTCCAATCATGGCAGAAGGCGAATGGGGAGAAGGTACTTCATGTGCCAAAGCAGGAGCAAGAGAGGTCAGGAGGAGGGGGAGGTGCCACACATTTTTAAATGACCAGATCTCATGAGAACTCACTCACTGTTACAAAGACAGTACCAAGAGGATGGTATTAAACCATTCATAAGAAATCCACCCTCATGATCCAATCCCCTCCCACCACTATGCTGGAGGTCTGATGTGGTTTGGATCTGTGTGGTAGAAGGAAGTCACCAAATTTTATCCCCCAAAAAGAAACTATAAAACTGGACCAAATTATCAAAAACAACAATTTAAGTGACCTGGAAGTTGACTAACAGATTGCAGCAAACTAAGAAGCATTTATTCATGAGAAACTACTCAAAAACATTATGCTAAGTGAAAGAATCCGGGTGCAAAAGACTACATATACTATGATTTAATTTACATAAAATAACCAGAAAAGGCAGATTCCCAGACACAGAGAGCAGTTCAGTTTTTGCATCGGGCTGGGAGCAGACCCAGGCACTGACTGCCAACATGCATGAAGGAACTTTCTGGGGTGCTGGAGATGTTCTGAAACTGGTTTTTGTCAATTACTGGCAACTTTATAAATATACTAAATATAATGAGGAATTATATACTATAATTTATAGTATATAAATTATAACTCAATAAAAGTATTAAAATTAAAAATAAAAGATGAAGGATATCAGAGCTTCAGAGGAAAAAAGACTACATTTCCCAAGCACTGAGAAAACATTCAATATAGTCAGAAAAATATCCAGGTTATTTTTATTATGGTAAAATACTCATAACATAAAATTTACCATCTTAACCATTTTTAAGTGTACAGTAAAAGGATGTTGAGTGTATTCACAGCATTATGGAACCATCACCGCTATTCATCTCCAGAACTCTTTTTATTAAAAACTCTGCCCATCAAATAACAAATCTGTCTTTCCTCCCCTCACACCTTGGCAACCACCATTCTACTTTCTGTCTCTATGAATCTGACTACTCTAGGTACAATTTTTAAATTGTCTCATAAATGTCAAAAATGAGGATTTCTTTTACAGCTTTTAAATACATTAATCAATTAATGTTAATGTCTTTAGGTGTGATAATGGTATTATCTCATTTATATTCTTGAATATTTTTTCCCTTTCATCCTACAGTTTGCATTTCTAAATTCTACTCATATCTCAAGGCCCAGCCACTTGCCATCTCCTCCACAAAAGCTCCCTAATCTCACAGACTGAAAGTTGTCTGCCTTTCCTTTTTTCCATTCACCCTATCTGTTCACCTCTAAGGACACAATGGTATGTGATTTATGTAAATATCATATCTTCCCTACTAGACCACAAGCTTCTTGAGGTCTGATCTATCTCTGTCCTGTGTGGTACTCGTAAGAGTCAGTGTCTAGACTTATGCTTCTCAAAAGTGAGAGGTTCTCCACCCAGCAACATCACCATTATCTGGGAACTTAGAAATACAAAGTCTCAGACCCCACTCTATTTTTAGTGAATCAAAGATTAGGAGTCCCTGAAATCTGTGTTTTAACAAGCCCTTCAGGGGAGTTGGATGAATATTAAAGTTTGAGAGCCACTGCTTTACACAATTTCTCTACACAGTACTTTTTAAGTCATCTATAAAAATGAACACAGCTATACAATATATTAACTCTACTTTGAAGAAAGTTAATAGTACTGCTCAATAGGCAACTCTGTTGGGTCCTTTGGTAATCCAAGAAAAAGTGTATAGATGTATAGGTCATGATCATTTCTAGAGAAAAGTAGCTAAGAAGACTAATGGAGGGGGGTACTTCAAAGAGCTGTAGCAGGGCCATTTATAACAGTGTCATTATGGACTGCCAATATTCCTGGGATGCTAGCCAGACTGAAGGTAATGATTTTCTGAAAGTCACTAGGGTCTAAATTCCATCTGAAATAAATCCATTTTAAATTGCAAGGTGACACTGGAGAGATCTCAAATAGTTTATTTTAGAAAAGGCAGATAAGTTTGTGGTAAAAGGATAATGACCATGCAGAGACATTAAAGGTCAATGCCTACAAAATATATTGTTGTTTACTGCCACCTCATAAGTAACACAAGCTAAAGTCAAATATCTCTGAATGGTGTTGAATTGTAGCAAGCACTATAATCCAGACATGAATGGTTCAATAAGAAATATCTTGTGGTTATATAATATTTGATGTGGTGAAACATATTGGAGAAATTCTATCCTCTGTCCCACTATGTAATACATGTAGGGATTTACTGTAAATCAAAATCTCAGAAAAATTTAAATGAATCGGAATGAGAACATTCTAGAAAGAACTGGAAGTATTCAACTACAGGGATGAACTAAAAAACAAGGCAGCAGCATAGGGTTGGGGGACCGACTATAGCAGTAACATATTTAAGAAATAAACAGTCATTAAGAGGAAGGACGTCATTAAGACAAGAAACTCATGCTGGGGTGGATGGAGTTATGAAGATATCTCTGAGGAAACTGGGGAAATGGGAGGATCCTGGGTATAGGCCCCACGGATAGCGCATGGGATTCCAGTGAACCTCACGCTGTACTTAATTTGCTTGGGATTCCATTGAGAATCTGGTGAAAATTGTGGCTTCTTCCAACAGATACGTACAAGCACAAACATTTTGCACGCAATTTTAGGAAGTTCGCTGACCCCTAAATAAATCAATTTGCGTTATAGACTGCCTGGTGACTGAAGAGATCTGGCTAAGGTTAGACCCCAAAGCACAGACTCATAAAGATTTCTTCCACTCCAAAAGTGCTTTTTCTAACACAGCAGAGTTCAAGTCCTTGAACACTTGGAGGGATCAAATGGAGAGTTCTACTATAGCAGGAAGAAAAGGAGGTGATCCAGTCAGGAATGGTGGCTGGCTGTATAATTTTTGAAAACCATCTCCTAATGTGTAGGGCATTTGGCTGGATTCCCAGATGCAATAGTGAGCAATTCAGACTTGTCTCTGCTCTGTTGGAGTTGACAGTGACCAATTAAAACACTTAGATGACTAAATATTAGTATGAAAAAAGGGGAGCCAGGATAGAGGAAAAAAGAGAGTGAGAGGTGGGGTGGGGGGAGAAGAAAAGAGAGGAGAGAACAGAGAGAGTGGGGTAGAGGCAGAGATGTCAGAGTACAAAAGAGAAGCAACATAAGAATTGTGTATAAGAGCAAAATTGTATCACTTTACCCTACTTCTACTCTGATCAAGAATGTCAGAGCTTGAATTCAGTTCCACATTTACAGACTATTTGGCAAAATAGGAATAACTAATATTAATTATAGCTAGTATTTTTTGAGTATTTACCATGTGCCTTAAAAAAAGATAATAAAAAGGAGATCTAAAAGGAAGAATATGGAAACAGACCACGCCTGCATCCATGGGAAAGAGTGGAATAATACAGAACCCCAAATAAGGCAAATGAAAAAAAAATGACTTAAGGTAGAAGTTGAGAAAGTGGTACAAGAAGAGGCCAGCTCTGCACAGGAGGTACAGGAGGGGTACCTTTCAAGGGAATGATGAATGAAGACAGCGCTTCTAAAAATTAATGTGTATAGAAACCATGTGGAAACCTTACTAAAACGCTTTCTGGATTTAATTTCCAAAATGTCTCATTCTGTGATCTGGAGTGGGCCTGGAAATTGCATGCAGGTGACAGGAGGAAGGTGGTCCACAGGTCACACTTTAGGAAAGACAACTTCAAAAAGAGGATGAGTCAGGTGGATCTACCCTCTTTTGGATCTTGGTCTGGGTAGGTTGAATGTGACTTTGTTCCATCATTTGGTAAACTGATTTTGGACAGATCTTAAACTCTAACAACCTTGGCTTTGAAATGACCCAGCTTGTCAGGCAGGCTGTGTCATTGGAGGGAAGAGCTCCACTGGAAGATTACTAGTGTCAGAAAGAACCAACTTCCTCTATCTCCCTACTGCTGGGGCCCACATAGGATACAGGAACATCCCCACCCTAAGCCGTGGCAACTCGAGTGGCAGACGGTAGATGAGGAGGACTAAAGAAATGTGTAGAAAGAGATTTCCCACAGGAACAAATCATAAAATACATGTAAGTGCTGGGAAGAATAGCTCACCAGTATAATGGATCAAGTGGTGTTTTCACTTCTTTCGTTTTTAAAATTTTGTATGAATCACATCTTAATTTTAATTTTGTTGTATAGTTATGTAAAATATTTACATGGTTTCAAAGTCACATCTATAAAATAAGTATGTTCAAAGAAGTCTACTTTTTAACCCTGTTCCCTCTACTCTCTTCTCTTCTTTCCTTTACAGAATTTAAAAATATATTTATTTTATATATAATAAATATATAAATTTATTACATATAATAAATATATCTATTACATATAATAAATATATCTATTACATATAATAAATATCTATTACATATAATAAATATTTATTTATTACATATATATTTTTATATAAATATAAATATATAAAAATAGATATATATTTATTATGTATTTTTATATATAAATAAATTATATAATTTATTACATGTGATAAATATATATAATTTATTACATGCAATAAATTATATAATTTATTACATGTGATAAATTATATAATTTATCACATGTAATAAATGTATATAAAATAAATATATACTAAATAGAGGTGGGGTATTGCTTCGTTTCCCAGGTGGTCTCAAGCTCCTGGCTTCAAGTGATCCTCCCACTATGGCTTCCCAAAGTGCTGGGATTACAGATGTGAGGTACCATGCTTGGCCAAAATATTTTTTAATTGTTTATTCTTCTATTTAATCATAAGCAGATGTGTGTGTTTGTGTGTGTGTACATATATGTGTATATATGTGTGTGTATATATGTTATATATGTATATATAATTGTATATATACATATATGCACACACACACAAAGGGCTAATATATGTATATATACATATACACACATCTGCATACATATTTATATATGTATGTACACACACACACATATACACATACAAATATATTAGCCCTTTCTAGAATACACATTATATATATTTTCTCCACCTTAAATACACTTTCTTGACATTGCCACTATATAACATGATCTCTGTGGAGAAATGCATTTTGAGTTTGCACTAACCAAATAACATAGTTTTAAAACACAGGCTCTTTATAATTTAGTACTCATATCAACTTTGTTCAATAATTCATTCACTCAATAAACATTTACTAAATAACTATGATGGGCCCAGGGGCAGTTCCAGGTTTTGTGAAATCTAAAGCCCCTGTTAAATGGCTTTATATAGGCCCCTCTATAAAGCCCCTGTTATATAGGCCCTCTCTTTAATAAAAAGAAAATAAACTCGTGAATGCACTCTAAACTATCAGTAACCACCTGCCTTTTTTTTTTGACAGAGTCTCACTCTGTAGACCAGGCTGGAGTGCAGTGGCACGATCTTGGCTCACTGCAACCTCTACCTCCCGGGTTTCAAGCGATTCTCCTGCCTCAGCCTCCCGAGTAGCTGGGACTACAGTAGCCCACCACAATGCCCAGCTAATTTTTGTATTTTTTTTTTAGTAGAGATGGTGTTTTACCATGTTGGCCAGGCTGGTCTTAAACTCCTGACCTCAAGTGATCCGCCCACCTCGGCCTCCCAAAGTGCTGGGATTACAGGCGTGAGCCACTGCGCCCGGCCCAACCTACCATCTTAGGCGCCCGTGCGAACTTTTCCAGCTTCATGGGTAATTGGCTTCTACACGGGCCTGTTATGGGAACTGTGCTTGTGGCTGTTGCACAAAGTGGACAGGACCCCTTGTTTTATGGAGCTTATACTGTAGTACAGGAGAGAGATGCTAAATATATACACTTGTCATAAATATATAATTATAAATTGTGTTTAACTCCCGGTTATGGGCTGAACTGTATTCCCTCAAATTCATGTTGAAGTCCTAAGCCCCAGTACCTCCCAAAATGACTGTGTTTGGTGATAGGGTCTTTAAAGGGGTGATTAAGTTAAAATGAGGTCATTAGTATCTTCCTTAATCCAATAAGACTGGTATCCTTATAAAAAGAGGAGATTAGAACACACCCATATAGCGGGGAAGACCATGTGAAGACATAGAGAGTAGACAGTCATCTGCAAGCCAAGGACAGAGGCTCAGAAGAAATCAACGCCACCGACGCGTTGATTCAGACTCCTAGTTTCCTATATTTCTGTTGTGTAAGCCACCCAGTCTGGTATTTTGTTATAGCAGCCCTAGCAGACTCAAACAACCCCCTAGGAGAAAAGAGTGTGTGAGAGAAAGTATTGTCAGAGGAGTGGTGAGGATGCTGGTCAGAGAAGGCATCACCGATGGATGCATAGAAGCTAAGATATGAAAAGACTAAAAATGATGAACTACGAGGAATAAGCAGATTAGCAGATGCTGTTAAAGGGTGAAAGAAATCAAGATGCTTTTGCTTCACTTAATTATCCCACAGTCTACAGAACCAGGTAGTTCTCGAGAGAAAATCTTTCTAAATTAACTACCATAGATGAAAGGCTAATCACAGACTCTGAGGTGCTGAAGAGCAGGAAGTTTAATTTTTAAGTGGAAGACAAAATGTATTTGATATCATTCACATCCTGATTTAAGGATAAGACATTTCTGAAGAAAATGAGTATTATGAATTACGTAGATCAAACACTTTTTAGAAAAAGAATAAAGGGAAGTTATGCTCTTCCTCATGGCTCATTAAAGAGATTATGGAAATTACAGAACCTGAATATGCAAAACAAAGAAAAGCCAGAAGCATAGACTCTAATTAGTCAAGGATAATTCCTTATATGAATTGCCTTAGTGCAATGATTCTAAGCCCCTTATACCACATTGGAACCACTTGAGAAGTATTTTAATAATACCAATGCCCAAATTCCATTACCAGAAATATAACTGATCTCAGGTGGAACACAGTTATGGCAATTTAAAAAGCACCCCAAAAGATGTTAATGGTCAGTCAATGCATTTCTTCCAGGTAAGGTACCAATAGACACTGAAGCCCAGTAACAATGGTGCTGTTAAATGATGGGACACAAAACTCGAAGAGAAGTTCAAAGTGATAGTTATAGCCTGTGAAGGACTCTAGTGAAGTCTTTTGTCTTTACTTAGGCCATGGTAAGCAAAGACAAAAATCTGAATGACAAAATAACAAGTAAGGTTACCTAGATCCATCCCTGGCCACCTTGTGAGGCTTTGTTGCTTTCCCACTAATCCTAGACACAATCCAGCTCTCTAAACCCAACATCTCTCTGACTTAGATCCATAGCCTCTTTGTGCTACCCTTCTGTTCATTCTCAGTCTACCCTGGTCCATAGTCCAGGGTCCAGTCGTAGTCTATAGTCCAGGACCAGAGTCCTGGTCTATAGTCTAGTCATAGTCCACAGCCGTAGATTATGGACCTATGACTTAGATCCACAGCCTCTTTGCGCTACCCTTCTGTTCATTCTTAGCATTTGTTTGGTGCTTTCCACTTCTGTTTAACACTCTGTTCTCAACAAACCATTTTCCTGATTGGTCAAAAGCCCTTTGATGTCTATTCCTATCTTTGTCACATGAATCATTCCCTATTCCTCTCAACTGTATTCTCTAGTTAATAAAAGATACAATTTGATCCTAACACATTTCTATTATCCAAATGACTTTCATTTCTGCTTTCTTGTCTTATAGTCAAAAAACAACACATTTCTTTCCCTGTTCCATATATATTCTATCATTCTCTTGGATAAAGAAAATTGAACTATTCTTATTTTAAATCAGTGATCAGAACATAATCTGTCATATCATATATTTTTCATACCCAGATATTTATTCAACCATTTTCCTCAAAGACCCAATAAAATAGAGAGCCACAGCCTATCTTAAATTAAAATGCAGGGCTTTATGGGCTATTTGACATGCAATAATTATTTGCAAAGTCTTTTCACCAAACATAGAAATTGCTAATGTCTGACCTTGGAGGAAATGAACTGTACAAAAAATTTCAAGCAAACATGATCCAACTGTTCGCACAAAAGGGAGGTTGCATAAGAAATTCATTGTGTTTCTATCCAAATTTCCCCCTCGAATTGCCACAGATCAGCATGTACTTCACTCTTTGCCACCAATTAAAATCATAAATAGATGAGCTATTCAGCAGAGGAGGGCTGGTGTGCCCTCTCCACAGATGGTCAGCATCACATGTTGCAGTAATGGCTCGACATGCCACAAAGGCACAGTATAAAAACGGTGGGAATCAGAGCACTTCAGCTCCAATTGCTCTATGTTTAGAATTGCCTCTTTTTCAAGATGGATTTCCTTCACAGGAATGGAGTGCTCATAATTCAGCATTTGCAGAAGGACTACCGAGCTTACTACACTTTTCTAAATTTTATGTCCAATGTTGGAGACCCCAGGAATATCTTTTTCATTTATTTTCCACTTTGTTTTCAATTTAATCAGACAGTTGGAACCAAGATGATATGGGTAGCAGTCATTGGGGATTGGTTAAATCTTATATTTAAATGGTAAGATTTCTGTTTTATTTCATTTTTTCCTAAGATTTATCCTTAAATTTGTGACTTCGGCATAATGATCACATTTCAGATGTATATCGTTTTACTTGGAAAATCTTTCAAAAATACCAGGTAACTTGAAACACCAGATTCATAAGTAGAACTTTTAAAAGGCACAGAAATGTATATATATGTTTTTGTTTTTTTTTTTTTTTTGAGACAGAGTTTTGCCCTTGTTGCCCAGGATGGAGTGCAATGGCGTGATCTCGGCTCACTGCAACCTCTGCCTCCCAGGTTCAAGCAATTCTCTCACCTCAGCCTCCCGAGTAGCTGGGATTACAGGCATGTGCCACCACACCCAGCTAATTTTGTATTTTTAGTAGAGACAGGGTTTCTCTATGTTGGTCAGGCTGGTCTCTAACTCCCGACCTCAGGTGATCCACCGACTTCGGCTTCCTAAAGTGCTGGGATTACAGGTGTGAGCCACCACGCCAGGCCAGAAATGTGTACTTTAATGACTTATAAGTAATTCCCAAACCCCTGTAACACATATTCTGTGATTAAGAATTACTTACATGAGCAGCGTGATAATGAACAAATTGATAATTCTAGGGACAAATTTTGATATTTCCAGTCTAAGTATCCAAAGCACCCATAAGACATTCCCTGCAAGGGAAAAAAGCCCCCATGTTCATGGGAAACCAGGGTGCCAAAATACCAAATGGCTACCACCTTTAATAATGTGTGAGAGACCAAGACCTAAGTTTTTTCAAAGTCTCTTAATCATGAACTTTCACAATTAACCCTGCGCTTGAGTCATTTTTTATAGGAAAGAATTGCTAATCTCCAATTAAATAATAGCTGTGTATTTAAATATATATGCATGTTTATAATTCTTTAAATACAGGATATTATTTGGTCATCGACCTTACTGGTGGGTCCAAGAAACTCAGATTTACCCAAATCACTCAAGTCCATGCCTTGAACAGTTCCCTACTACATGTGAAACAGGTCCAGGTAAGCTATTACAGCAGGCTCCAGTTACTGAAGATCTTCCAATAGAGAATCATTACACAGGGTTATCATCTAGGAACTGATATTATATAGGGTAGTAAAGAAAATCTCATGAGTGAGGATGCTAAAACTTCATAACAATCAAAATTACTAATGAGGAAGCAAAGCAAAAAAAATACTCAAATTCCATTTTGTTATTTATGAAAGGGTAGATTGGGAGAAAACTCCCCCAGTGATTAAATATTTGGTGTTTACTTTTCAGAAGAATATAATGACTTGATACTAAAACAAGAAACAGTTAACTAGAACAAATTCTCAAGGAACTAGACTAAGATCTTAGAAATGTTGGTTAATCTGCTGCTAAGCAACTTTCAAAGTTACTATAGGTCTTCCGAGTATCTCACGAATGAGGGAGGAGTAGACAAGTCTTCTGTAAGAAAGGTAAGGACTTCTCAATGTTACTATAGCCAGTAAAGACTATTTCTAACCCTAGAACAATCTCTTTAAAACATATTTTTTCTCTGTACACAAGTAGGCTTCTTGGGCCACTTCTTTTTTATTCTAGGTAAGATTCTGTATGAGTATAAAATCTTTATTGTGATAGTTGATTCTAAGACTGTTTTAAAAAGTTTTTTGAAACATATATTTAAAAATTACATTTTAATTTATAAGAATGTGTTATATTGTACCTCATCATTTTACATAGCATAACATTCTCGCCAGTTGACATCCTTCGAAACTAACTTTGAGTAAAGGGTAGTAGAGAATGTGTAAATTCTTAATGAGTGTTCTGAATATGTCTTTTTTGTTCCCATAGAAGTATACATACATCTGTTATATCGCTTATTACACTAAATGATATTAACTAATTCTTTATATATCCGATTGCCTAGACTGGGTGTTCCATCAGGGGAGGGATGATGCATAGTTTATCTTTGTGAAACCAAAGTGTGATAAATGGATGAATGGTTGGATGGGTAACATTTGAGACCACCGAAATGTTATCGTGGTCAATTCCAGTCCTTTCCGGCATGTGTTCCACCTTATAAGACATTTTCTGGAAAGAGAGAGAGAGAAAAGAAAGAAAGACTGCATCTCTCGGGGAGATTTACAATTTTTTAAGGCATAGTTTTTAAAAGGCTCTGAAAATTCCTGCAGATAAGAAATAGGTCTGTCTTTGTTTAACAAATAAGAGACTGGTATTTAATTTGAATGAACTACCAGGTGAAAAATCGAGGAGGACATTTAAGGAAACTAATAAAAAATTCAGTAGCATGGAAAAGGCATTCTGGAAGTAGAAAGGCTTTTTCTGCTAGGATTAATGCCGTCTTTATAGCTTCTCCTCATCCTCTGTTTTAAAACAAAGATTCTCACTGCAGTGGCCACAAGATAGGCATAGAAGTAGCTGCTAGTACACAGCAGTCATTTGTAAGTCAATCAGCAAATCACTGGCATAGCAATGATATCCTTTAGAGTTTGACTTCTCAGCCCAAGGAAAATAAGCCAACTGAAGATCCAATACAAGCATTAGGGTGGTGCAAAAGTAATTGCGGTTTTTGCCATTACTTTCAATGGCAAAAACCGCAATTACTCTTGCATTAACCTAATACTTTTGCTTGTCAATTAAAAACAACCAAATATTGAAGAATGAGTAGGGCTGTGGCAGATTTGGGTGCAACTGCCTGAGTTCTTAATTAGCCTTGAGTATATTGATTTCTGGAATTCAATGAACCTGAAAATCTGGGAAAAAAATTTTTTGAGACAGTGTTTCTCAGGCTCAATTTAACTCAATTTTTCTTATTTCTACCCACTTCTAAACATTACATATAGCCTGTGTCTTGTCTTTTTTTCTGAGTTACTCATAATTTTCATGGGGAATATGCTATTCTATTATTCATTTCTGATCTTGATAGTTAACCACTTTTCAAATGGACGGACACTTTGTTGTTGCAGGAAGTCCATCTGGCCATGCAATGGGCGCATCCTGTGTCTGGTATGTCATGGTAACCGCTGCCCTGAGCCACACTGTCTGTGGGATGGATAAGTTCTCTATCACTCTGCACAGGTCAGCTTTGCTGCAGTTTCTGTAGCACTGGAATATGACAGTTTTTAATACAGAAAGTCTTGTCTAAAAATTAATTTTAGTGCAGTTTTAGTCAATGAATAAAATGTGCTTATTCTATTCTTTCATAGACAAAATAACAAAATGAATAGAAAACTAATATTTTGCTTTAAGATAATAGCCTAATTAGCTCATAGCTATTTCCACTTTTCAAGTTGGAAATGTTTAACTGATTAATGACTTGCTAAATGTGCCTCTGGGTTTCCAAAATGCAATAATTATTTTGATAACTCATAAATAAGTCGTCTAAAATTATACAGCATAAGGAAACATTTTTGCATGCACATTCCCTTGCTTTAAAATTAACTGGAAGTTTTGAGAATCATCATTCTCCTTGACTGCATCAGTTTATTCAGTAAAATTATGCTTCCTTCTTCGAATAGCCAATGCTTTTGATTTCAGTAACATATATTCCAGCTTTATAGAGAGCACAAACTTTTTAATTAAAAACATTCTGGAAGCAAACTTAAATTTGAATGTTAGTAGATTTAATGTTAGTAGGTTTCTTAATGTTTAGAAAGATCTAGAACTTAAAGGTTACTCACAGTTGCTTAGAAATTGGGTTGTTTCCTTCTCTTCTTTCCTGAAATACTTTGTCATTAAAACAATCCTGAGTACCAATTTAGCCATAAATTAGGTGACTTGAAATTAGATTTGCAAGTTAACCTTAAAAAAATACTGTAACATATGCCATTATTAAAAAGTTTTCTAAAATAAAAAAAGTCAAGATCTATCACATATTCCACTTGTTAGAGTAGTATTGGATAATATAAAAAACAAACAACTAAAGGAATTTGGGTGTCTTAAAAGTTTATTCTAATGAGACTGTGACCTGTATGCCTTAATGTATTTATTGCCCAACCCAAAACAACAACATAAAAAGGTGCTATAATGTAAAAAAGTTAGCATTTTCTATTTACAGACAATTTTCAAAGTAGGAATCTAGGTCAGTTTCACCTTTTCTCTATACTGTATTCCTGCCTCCAATGACCAAACCTGAAAAAATATGTTTCTTCTAAGAAAAAAATTCTCATAACTCCTTTTTAGTTTTTATAACTGCAGTATTTTCTTCATCTATAAAATTTTACTGAGTGTGTGCTTCTTACCTTTACATTACCAAATTCTTGTTTATTCTTCTTCCACATTGGTATCCCACTTACTTCTTCTTTCAAAGCCTCATTTCTCTGTGTTCCTTAGCATTTATATAACCAAATTTCAGTCTGATTATCAGGAACAAACCATTCAAGGATTCCTAGAACTCAATACTGCTAACACTTTTTTTTTTCAATGACATGCATTGCTTGGATTTTAATATTTTTTTATGTTTTTTGTGCATTGCTGTTTTTAATCCAAAGTGTATAACCTATAGGTCAATTCCCCTGTTCTCTATTTTCTGTGTCTCAAAAAAAAAAAAACAAACAAAACAAAACCCAAAACAAAAGAAAAAAAAAAAACAAGAAACAAGGACTTTTGAAAATCTGTGCAATTAAACCCAATGAAAAAATTTGCCCCAGATGGAATGCTCATGCGCTTTTCATCTGGATGGTAGCTGCGTTTCTACTGAGTTTTCCTCAAGCAAAGAAAGGTTGAGAGAGGAGGCACATAGGGCAGGGCGTGAAAATATATATGGTTCATTCTTGATCATTCTGGATATTAGTAATTCCCCCAAACTTGAATTTCCCCTACTCCATTAAAACAGTTATTCTTATTTAATGGATGTCAAAATGACTTCCTTTTTAACATTTATTAAATCTCAGTATATAGCACTGGTTAAATTTAATGCATTGAGAAATGTAGAAATCTCTGTTAAAACTTCTCAAATCCTATGGGGTATGTGGAAACAACATTTTGAAAAAAAAGATTCTAGAATCATGATGCTATGTCACAGTTAGAAGATTCTTCTGAGAAGGATCATCTGATGTCACCCCCTCTAATTTTGAGTGATCCAGTTTCTTTGCTTTTTATGCTTGTATCTATTCTTCCATCGTAGACTGACCTGGTCATTTCTTTGGAGTGTTTTTTGGTTGATTCAAATCAGTGTCTGCATCTCCAGAGTATTCATAGCAACACATTTTCCTCATCAAGTTATTCTTGGAGTAATTGGTGGTAAATATGATCACTTACCTTTAGCTGTGTCCTTTGAAAGCTTTAGTTTCATTATGTTTAAGGGTATCAGATTGTCCCCGGTAATCAACTTTCCAATTTCAGAGGTAATTCTGTGAAGTCACTGATACTAAATGCTACCCCGGGAGCTGACGTGGTACAACACACCTCTCATAGCCTCCATGTACAAAGTGGCACAATCTCAGTGGCGTAAATGCACAATTGCTTCATGAGGTAGGCTTTTCTGAAGTGAAATTAGAGCTAAGTCTAACTCCCAAACCATCACTTCAGACAGTGTGCTTGTGTCTTGCGTGAGGGAACTTAATGACTCTGAGCCCTGCACACTGTGCCATTCTCTCTGAAACATGTGAAGTGACTATTACATGATTACGGACTCCATTTAGTAGCTGCTTTGTATTCCTGAAGCAGTGTTCACCATGACTCAGTTTCCATTGTTCAGCACCACCTTACCTTTCAAAGGCTAATTGGCTATGGCAATTGAAATGTTAATTGCAAGTACCTAGATCAGTGCTCTGTCTAAAAAGCGGGTTGTCAGTCAGTGCCACCAACTCCAGAACGATCCTTCTGGACTAGTATGAATAATGAAAACACCGTGGGCAAACCTGCATTTTTAGTTACTGCCTAAAAAAGGCTTTGGAAAATGGATAGAACCTCTGTGTCTAATGCCCTTTGTCATTGAAAACTGTGGCAAATCTTTAATGCAGAGAGGAATGATCCTCGAGGGGCTCAAGGGCACACAGTCATTGTCAGTGTCTCTTTCCAATCCTCAGGCATGCTGGTGGCAGAGGCCTTTGAACACACTCCAGGCATCCAAACGGCCAGTCTGGGCACATACCTGAAGACCAACCTCTTTCTCTTCCTGTTTGCAGTTGGCTTTTACCTGCTTCTTAGGGTGCTCAACATTGACCTGCTGTGGTCCGTGCCCATAGCCAAAAAGTGGTGTGCTAACCCCGACTGGATCCACATTGACACCACGCCTTTTGCTGGACTCGTGAGAAACCTTGGGGTCCTCTTTGGCTTGGGCTTTGCAATCAACTCAGAGATGTTCCTCCTGAGCTGCCGAGGGGGAAATAACTACACACTGAGCTTCCGGTTGCTCTGTGCCTTGACCTCATTGACAATACTGCAGCTCTACCATTTCCTCCAGATCCCGACTCACGAAGAGCATTTATTTTATGTGCTGTCTTTTTGTAAAAGTGCATCCATTCCCCTAACTGTGGTTGCTTTCATTCCCTACTCTGTTCATATGTTAATGAAACAAAGCGGAAAGAAGAGTCAGTAGAGTGGTGCCTAGAGTTAGTGCTCTGTGTCACAGATCACCCTTCTCCATCCACCAGTAGAGCCACAGAGTAGGCACAGACCAGAGGCTTCTAATCCGACTTCACAGAATAGCGGCACAGGCCCCATTCCCCATAGAGATGTTTAGTTTGGCCTTCGCACTGGTCTTTTTTTTTAATCCTTCAGTTACCAATATTTAGATACAAGAATATTTGACATAAAAATCGGAAGTTCTGTATTTCTTGAAAAATCTGATAGTATGACAACACAGAGCCTGCATCCCCAGCTGGAGACAACTGACCAGAGCTGCATACTAACAGTCCCCAGTAGGAGGCAAGGACTCCATTTTCTCACAGTCTTCAGCATCCCAGCAGGAGCCCCACTATGATTCCTTTATCTTCTTAAGGCCAGGCTGCATCTGATTCCTGTTGACATTTTAGTGGGGACCACAGCCATATCCAGTTTCAGTTTTCAGATGAGGAAATGGAAGCCTATTTAGGTAAAAGAACTTGCCTGGAGTCACGCCACCTTCAGAGCAGGAATTAGAACCCAAGGCTTCTGACACATATCCCCATTACACTGTGTGTTTGAGTGTGCACACATGCACATGCTTTTTGTTTGTATGTTTCCTTTTTAGAACCAGGGACTTGCTCTGTTGCCCAGGCTGGAGTGCAGTGGTGGATAGCGGCTCACTGCAGCCTCAAACTCCTGGCTCAAATGATCCTCCCTCCTCAGCCTCCCATTAGCTAAGACTACAGGTGTGCACCACCATGCCTGGCTAATTTTTGAATATTTTTTAGAGCCAGCTTCTTACTATATTTGCCCAGGCTGGTCTTGAACTCCTGGCCTCAAGGAGTTCCCTTGAGGATGTTCCACCCATGTCAGCCTCCCACAGTGCTGGGATTGCAGGCTTGAGCCATTGTATTAATAGTTGGCCTACACTGTCTTTTGTTTCTTCATTTACAAGAGGTAAAAATCAGTAAGAATGAATGCTTTCATTTAGATTCTATGATGACTGCCATATAAATCAGCTACCTTTTCAGAAATGACATTGAAATACTGCATCCTCTTTGACTTATACCCCACACATACATGCAGGGTCTAGGTGGGACCAACAGTGGCTCCAGATGTATATACACACGGGTCCAGGGACAACAGAACAGGCCAGGCTACAGTATGGACTTGAACCTCTGCTTCACTTCTGGTCTCTGTTTTACAGTAGTGCTCACCAATATTTCAATAAATTCTACTGAACTTACTCTAATAGAACATTATTCAACCCCCAAAGACTTATCTCTTCACTATGACATCTCCATACTTTATTTTTAGGAGACAGACTTTCAAAACCAGAGAAATCAGGTGCCTTCCTCAAGGTCATGCTCCAACCCAGGCCAACTATTAAATGCTTGCATCTGTTAGCTGGATTAGTCTCTATGTATACTGAACTGTGATGAAAATCTATAGCTTTGTTTTAGAAAATTATTGTTGATGGACTATTAATATTATATTAACAATTTCTCAGTAAGTGTGTTTTTTCCTCATTGAATCTAGGAATGCTGGGCTTTAAGTTGATAACTGTGTCATTTCAATCAAGTACAAGGATTTTGAGGCAGATTTTGCTAGATATCTTAGTAATCCCCCACAATGTTTTATGTAACTCTTCTCAGAATATCAATACATTAATTATTTTAGATGACATATTAAATAATCTATGAATATTAATGAAAACAATACAGTTGAAGTGAGTGTTGTTTAACATGATAGTAGCTGAGGATAACAAACCTCAAAAAATCAAAGTATTAATTACTCCTTTCCAAGTATATGTATAGAGCATGTGTCATTGCTTTTATAAAACGCACTTAATAGCTTTCTTTCTAAAAGGCAACTGAACTTTCTAAAAGGTAAATAAACTGAACTTGATATTAGTGGTTCGGTGATTCCAAAGCAAAAAGCTGAGGGATTAAGAAAGAATAGCTTAAGAATGAAATTTGTCTCATGTTGCTGGGACATTTGGGATGAAAGAAGTAGAGAAGAATGATTCTTCAGGTGATGACCGTTGCTCATTGGTTCAGTCCCACCCTATGTCCCACCATGCTGTACCTTTAGATGCCTTCACATTTCATGATACATTTGTGTCATTACATCTTCCACACATCAGAGATCTCATTCCTGTCTAAAAGCCCTTTGCCAAATTTCACATAAGATAATGTTAGTCTTGAAGGATTCTGGTACATCCCCTTCATCCTAGTACAATCTCAGCCTGCTTTCAGCAAGGCCTGAGGAAACCGGCATTAATAGCCAGGGAATTCTGCAGCAATGATTGACTCTACCATAAATCCGTTCTCCGTTTCCATGGAGAAAGCTATCTTCAGCCACCCCATGGTGCTGTCTGTTGGGCAACACATTACCCTCAGAGGGGACTGGGATGAAGTGTGGGCTTGTTTTCTATAATTAATCCCCAAGAACTCTGCCCCTATCTTCCATAAAAACCCCAGAGTCCCCATGGGAGTAGATTTCCCTCTTTATTCTAGTTGAAGTCTCCTGGAGGGATCCATATGGTGGTAAATTGTTTTTGCAATTGAAACGCCTTAGGCAGCAAGAGGAATCGTTTTTCACAGCCTTGGAGAAAATGCCTGCCCTTAATAATGATGGAAAAGACTCTTCTGTTTCCAATTTATTTGTCAGAAGTAAGTGGAATTGAGCTCATTAAATACTGTTACTATAACCATATATTCAAAATGTCTACCTATCTACATATTCAGGAGAAAAATGTCAATACCATGAGCTTTTAGGATGAGAAAATCTAGACAAGAAAATCTGACTCAAGAGAAAATCTGACTCAAGAAACTGTCCAATCAAACCTACATTTGGAAAAAAAATACAAAATAATTTATTATTGCTGAAACTAGCTATCAGGAAGAATATTAGTTCCTTTCCTTTGACAACCTATTGATTGGACATCTGCCTAAGAAGGTTAAGTTGGTGCCTTCTTTAGACATATTTCATTATAAAACAGATGGTGATTAAAAGAATTGTTATAAGATGTCCTTGAAACTAAAAGTCAAATGTTGAAATGCTTTACATTTTTTCAAAATTTTTAAATAAATTCAAGATCAAATTGGTACATACATACAAAAATCTTGGTTTAAGAAAAAGTCAAGTGACTTGGTTCTAAAAATGAGATTCTTTTCTTAAGTATTTTAAAACTGTATATTCCAGCACTCTTCAATTGAACTTTTACAGTGATGGAGATGTTCTCTATCTGTGCTGTCCAATATAGTAGCCACTGGCCACAGATGTTTATTGAGCTCTTGAAATGTAGCTGATGCAACTGAGGAAGTGCATTTTTTTTTTTTTTGAGACGGAGTCTCGCTCTGTTGCCCAGGCTGGAGTGCAGTGGCGCGATCTCGGTTCACTGCAAGCTCTGCCTCCTGGGTTCATGCCATTCTCCTGCCTCAGCCTCCGGAGTAGCTGGGACTATAGGCACCTGCCACCACACCTGGCTAATTTTTTTGTATTTTTAATAGAGACAGGGTTTCTCCGTGTTAGCCAGGATGGTCTCGATCTCCTGACCTCGTGACCCGCCCGCCTCAGCCTCCCAAAGTGCTGGGATTACAGGCGTGAGCCACCAAGCCCTGCCGGAAATGCATTTTTAACCTTCATTTACTTTTAATTTACATTTCAATAGCCATGTGTGTCTAGTGGCTACTGAATTGGACAGCACAAATCAAGTCTCACAGTGATTTTCCTTGAAAATAAAACCCAAGTATTTTGTATATTGTCACTTTTGCCATGTTCCTGTGAGACAACATGAATCAGCGTTAACGGCTCTAAGAAGTTAACAGATATTGCTGCATTTTCCAAAGGGACCCTCTGCAGACCTGGATTCTCTCTCTGCAGCTCCCTTCTCTCTCATTCTGTCCTGTGAGCAATAGCCGCCTTGGTGTCCCTGGACTCTCAGCTCTGTTGCCTGGAATCAGAGAGTCTGGGTTCACCCTCCCTGCACCATGTTCTGGAAACCCTCTAAGGTACACAATACTAGCGGGGAGCTTTACCCAGTCCATGACCACATTCTGGATGGCTGGTTGGCTTTCTGACGAAGCCTCCCTGCTTCTCTGGGTCTAGCACACATCAATGCCCAACACCTGTACTTCTGTGGCTATTCATAAAGTCTTCCAAAAAGGACCGCTCGTGTCCAGTTGCCCCTGAGGATTTTGCCCTCATTGATGGGCTGTCCTAGGCACTTTGGAAATGGCAAACAGCTTCTAGGATGAATTTCTAGATCTCAATATTGCCAGGAAACTAAAATGGGGGTCTAACTTTTCCCCTCCCCTTACTTCGAATGCTTTCAGATGGTGATTTCACTCTGAAGGTAATGTGGTGCCATTTGCCAATTGTTAAAAGTCTATTTTTTTAAAGTTAACAGTAGAAAAGATCTATAAGAAGCAACGACTCCAGAAATTTCTGCCAAATGACAGAAATTCACGAGAAGATTCTAAGACTTAGAAGTGCTTCATTTTCGGCTCTGTAAAGGACGAATGCAGTTTATGCCAAATTTGAGGCAGGTCTGGTGTGGAGTACTAATTACTGTCTGCTATCCTTTGAGGGAGAGCACAGTAATGACTCAGATGAAATCACTTCTCATTTCTTTTGGCAGCATAGAAGTAATTGCTCTAAAGGAGGGGAAAAGCTTCAACGATTAAGGTTATAAAAGTTAGCATAAAACCGATTGTCTTCTGTTCTGAATTTTTAAATTTCTTAGTTTTTCTTTTTTTCTAATGTTTTGCCATGTGATTTCTGAAGAGAATCTGTCCTCAGTTCAAAAACCATGATATTTCCCCAAAGAACAATATGTTCTGAAGGAGCTGCCAGGACAGGGGCAGGTAATGAGTGAAGGCAGCAGCTGCGGTCCCGCCGAACGGGACTCCTGGCGCAGCGCGGGGAGGAACGTAGGCGCTGGCAGCACAGCAGCCCGTTTCTGGCGCTGGCCAAGTGGAAACTGAAGCGGCCTCCCTGGGAGGATCTGGGTGCGCTGCAGGGGGAGCAGGCCATCTGTGTGCCTGGAAAAGAAACCCAGCACTACCGAAGACAAAGAAGAGCTTCTTTACTCTCGCACTCACCTACCCCTGTACGTCAACTGAGCCGATCACACTCTAATTCCTGTTCAAAGAGTTGGCTTTTTCCAGGATTCAGGCTTTGTCTGATGAACAGCATGGACCGGATTGTCATCTGTGCTCATACATCCTGCTGCTAATAGAAGATGGGCACTATCTTCCACCCGCCCCGCCCCGCCCCGCCCCCTTGCCTCCAGGCTCAGTAATTCTGCATCAAAAACATTTCTACATAATCATTCCTTTCTTTTTTTTTTTAAGCAATTGTTCAAATAAAAAAATGGTAGAGCTCTTGCTATATTTCTAGATGAAAACTGCATTGACTTAACAAAATAAAAATAAATGTTCCTGTCTGAGTTTTGGAGATGTGTGTGTGTGTGTGTGTGTGTGCGTGTGTGTGTGTATCTTATTCTCTTAGCTTTGGAATGCTGATGCCCTGCTCACCCTGGCCAAGCAAGAGGTTGCGCCACAGGTCCACATGTGGATCCCAGAGGAAGTCAGAATGCAGGTAGGCAGGTGCCAGGAAATTCAAAGGCAGATCGATGTACAAAGGCCTTCGTGGAGTTTAGCAACCAGCATCCTGGACTGGAGTCATCAGAACTACATTCTAGCCTGGCCCTGCATCTAACCACTAAAACTCCAGAAGGCCATTTAGTGTTGGTGGCCTCAGTTTACCCAGTTCTCAACTGAGGAGTTTAGTATGGGGTTAAAATGGAAGGTTCATTCACGGTGTGATATTCTTCAACTCTGAGGGTCTCATTCAGTCCAACATATTGTGCTTTGTCTCTCCAACCAGCTCCTCTATTTTGTTTGCTCTTTGTGAAGCACTATCTTCACAGAAGGCTTTCAGATGTATTGTTAATTTTTTTGTGAAGTGGAGCAAGAAGGTGATAAGACCCTGGCTAATGTGTTTTGATACTGTTTTAATTTTAGTTACATGCAATGAACAAGGCTATAACTTCTACAAAGCACTCTGTTTTGAAATGTGCTACTTTATTAAACAATTTTGGACCAGTCTTTAAAACATTCGATTCTAATTAGAATCTGAATTTTATAGCAATAAAAAAGTACATGGAGAGATAATTTAACTGATGTTATGGGGCAAAATTATTAACGTGAGAATAGCCATAGACTTCCTGCTATGCTATCTTGCAACAGAAATCCTATAATTAAATTCCAACTCCAGTTCCCCTTTCTCAACATCCTAAAGAAGAAATTCTTGCTGGAAGAGATACTAAGCAGATCACATAATAATAGGCTGAATGAGAAGAAAGGAAGGAGAGGGAAACTTGGCTTTGTGGGAGGTAAGGTTGGAGAGCTTACATGACGGAGCTGAATGAGGAAAGTGACTAGAGTTTTGACACAGCATTTTAGTAAGTTTATTGTGGAGTAATTACGGATTTCTCAAAGACATAAAGATAAAATTTACTTTTTAATTTTTTATGGCTGTTGAAATGTGCTTCCTGAATGAAACACAACTCTGACACCAAGTTACATGATGCCAGGCTTTTTGAGGATGAACAAAATTAGAAATCCAGATCCAAAAAGCTTCTAAAATCTCCACGGACTTAACTAGGGCCCTTTCTGTCCATGCTTGTCTTTTAACTCACCCACCCACCAGACCAGAATGTATTAAATGCCTTCAGCTGCTGGAGATGCAAGGGTGAGTTCAATATAGGCTCTTCCCTGGGGGGAGGCCTCCATTGATTCTGGGCTCACTTGCAACAGATCTGGGTGGACTCCAGGGATACCTCTGGCCTGTGGACTTGAAGAATTGGTTTGTGACTATTTCCAGCTATAAATTAACTGGGAACTTTACTCCCCATTTCTTCTAACCCATCCTTTTTCAAATTCATCCTTTCTTGAACCACTTTTTCTTCCCACCTCTGGCATATCCTGTCAAAGGGATCTAGATTGTTCCCAGTCTAACATCAATTTTATCACGTGAAAGGATGAGAAAGCATATTCAAAAAACACTAAGTGCCTAAAGTAAAAGCTTCCTTCATTTAAAGCAGGGCATGTGCAATGTTCCAGGAAAGAAAGAGCTGCCAGGACACCCATCCAGTGATATCGTCTTTCCATGGCAGTGATACTAGGTAAAAAAGACCGATTCCTCCTTTCACTGAATATTTTTGGAATATCTCTAGATATAATGATCATATTTGAAGATCATTTAAGAATGCATTAATACTTCAATATTGTGTTATTTTCTTTATACTTACATTTCAGGATTTTTATTAATAAAGATCTATTGAGTAAGATTGTATTAATTTTTAGTTAACAGCAACAACAACAACAACAAACACAATTACAAAAAAACTACTTCAGTGGCTTAAACAAGTGAGAGGTGTCTTTTTCTTCTGTAACAAGATGGGTGAAGGCAGGCAACCCAGGCTGAAGTAGCTGCACAAAGGATGTTCAGGAATCAGGCTGAATATCTTCCTGCTCTGCCATCTGTGGTGTGTGGCTTTTGTCCAAGTGATCACAGCATGGCTGCTGTGCATTCAGGAAAGAAGAAAGGGGGAAGAGACTCAGGTTTTCTTTTACCCAGGCTTTATTCAGAAAGGGACAGCCTGCATAGGGCCTTGTGCCTATATTTCATTGACAAGACAATGTCACCTGGCCTTCATCTAGCTGCAAGGGAGTCTAGGAAGGTAAATATTTTGCTTTCCAGCCTCTGTAATAGAGGAAAGCAAAAGAAAAGCGTGTCGGATTGGGTGTCAAGAGAGACAACACCTGCCATAGTGACTTATCACCTACATAACAATGAATGCAACACTCAGCTGCATCTCTCCCTGCAGCCTGCCAAACTATTTTGCAGTAACATGCTAAAACCATGAAGGCAAAATGCTTTATGAACATTATCAGGAAGTATATTTCAATGATTAAATTTTCACCTTCCAAGAAATGTTATTGAAACTCTGCTCATTTCTTACTTTGATTCTATACTTGAGATATGAAAAAGAAACCAAATACCACAAAGGTTTTATCTTTTTTGGTAATCTTGTATAATAATCATAGGCACTTGTTCTCTGTCACCCTTAGCGAACATTTCCATTTCTATCTCCAGCTCTTCTGCTATCTCCAGCTCTCCTGTTCTCACATTTATTTTGTATTTGAGAGCAGGAGCTGTACCTGAATTACAGGAAGGAGGAAATTGCCAATTCACCAGCTGGCTCTGTATTTTTTCTTTTTACATAACACATTCTGTCCTAACTCCAATTTATTGGGTTGAGTAGTTGCATTCGGATAGCCACATGCCAATCACGAGTACCCTGATTACTCATTATGAGCCTCAGGATACCATACAACTCGCTAATGAGCACATTATAATGCTGGCCAGTGCTAATTAGATGATAATCATGTGCATTGCTTTATTTACAGTCTGCTATTTAAATTAATTGGGCATTTAATTGAACCCAGTGTGAAAGAAATTGGAAATGGGTTTAGAGGTTCACTGAGTTACTTTCACCTGCCGTCTCACATGCAGGTGAGATCATTTACTTGATCTGTAAATTTAGAGCAAATCCAAGTGGACACAGTGCTCATTTTATGATGGTACACATGTATATGTAAATTTCTCTCCAAGTGTGTTTGAAAACAACCAAATTCTTAATTTTGTATTTCCTCTAACATCCTTTTGTGCCTTGATTATGGAGAGATTTTGCATGCATAAGAAATATTTAATAAATCAAACCCTTAGTTGGAAATATGAGGTGGGATCCTAAACCAACATGATGAAACTGTTCTGATATTTTCTTACGATAAGAAACTGATATTTAATTATTGAATAAATATATGGCAAACTATACCTAATTATGATCCTATGTATTTTACACTTTCAGAATATAGTATTAAAATATTCCAGGACCTACATTTTAAAATGAGTGTATAATTGCCAAAAATTATAGGCACGGGGGCAGCACCAAATTCAAAGAATCTTTTCATTGAAATAATTTCCTAAGGGCACATGTAGAGTACATTTAGAGTAACTATATAAAAAAGAGTTTTTGGACAAAAAAACTAGAGGCCAATTTTTCTACCTTTTTTTTTCTCAAACAGTAGCATTTCTAATATATGGGCATCTCTTTCATGCAATTTTGAAATGGACCAAAATTAACTGAGAGCCTGTTTTCAAAATAAGTTGGAAGATGTGCTGCTTCAACTTTTCCTAAGAATTGTTCACAGAAAAAAATCATAAATGGTTCTTACAGATCAACTGGAAGAAAACTTGTTTTGGGAAGAGGTCCTCAGGAAGCTTAGCTAATATGACCATTTTTAATATCATACTGTATTTTGTTACACTAAACAATCTTAGTTATTTCACTTTTGTCAACTCACACTGGTGAATCAAATAAAATGTATGATGTAAAGCATTTTAACCACTTCTGATACAGGCCAGTGTAGCTCTATGACTTCTGACATCAAAATGATTTGTTTGATTCCCCAAAGGTCTTTCTTGCATCCAAACTGACATCCTGCAAAACTGAAGTTTTGCAAAGTTTCTGAGTACAGTGTAAGGACACATTCCAATGGAGAAGCTGGGCTCATGTTTTTATAAGACTAGAATTGTAGAGACAACTGAGATTCAGACTAGAGAATTCATGAACCTGATATTCTAATTCTGTGTTGTCCAACATAGTAGCCACTAGTGGCTCTTGAGAACAGACGTTGACATAAGGCTGATTTGAGCTAACATGTGCTGTAAATGTAAATGCACCTCAGATTCTGAATATTTAGTAGATAATGTAAAAATCTCAGGATATTTTTGATTACATGTTGTGATGGCAATATTTTGGATATGTTGGGTTGAATAAAATATACAATTAGCATAAATTTCACCTGTTTTTTTTCCACTTTTTTATGTGACTAGAAAATTTAAAATTACCTATGTGGCTCACATTAGTGGCCCATATTATATTTCTGTTGAAAGGCACTGCTCTGACCCACGGAAAGAATGGGCGTTTTCCACTTTTATTCCTTACGTGGGGGCTGACAAGTTATAAACTACCTGTGTGACTTTGAGAAGACTATTCAACAAGATGTATTGAGGTAGAACTTTATGCCAAGTACCGAGTAAAGCACTGGGGACATTAAGATGAACTAGGCAGTCTCTGCCCTCAAAGACCATCAATAGACATTTTAGTATATGCAGGGAGTTCTGGTCACACAGAGGACAAATGGCTGGAAATAAAAGTTACCAAAATTTGGCAGAAATTCTTCCAGATATCTTTTTATGCATACAAGTATGTACAAGCACACACCAAACACAGATACACACATAACAGATGCATGCATGTATGAGTGTGTGTGCATAGATGATTAGACAGATAGATAGCATCATACCATCTTTGATGATCAGAAATGGTTTTTTTCTGCACAATATAACATGGGCATTGCTCCACAAAAAACAATAAATGTAAGTCAACATCATTATTTTGGCTTCATGAAAAACATCATTGCATATATGTACCGAAACTTATTTGACCTTTACCCCATCGTCTTATTTATAGATTTGAGATTTTTTCCAAATGATTGTGAACAATGCAGGAAGAGAAAAGTGTGCTCACTTTTTGTGATTAGAAGTTTAAAATATATTCTGATAAATGGGATCTCTGGTGAATCTATTTCTGGACTCCCTTCTGTTCTGGTGATGTATCTTTCAAATCTATAATAGTTTCAGTATCTATTGTTTTAATTTTTGTAACTGTACTGCATTTCTATCCCCTTTTCATCTTAAACTTTATTTTTTTCAATGAAAGATATATATGTACATAAATCTTTTAGCAGTTTCTTTCAGTATTCACCTTCATCTTTTACAATAAGATGTTTTTATTGTAAAACATCTTATTTGTTTAAATGTTTAACTGTTTAGTTTCCATTATGAAATATGAGGACCACAAGGATCCAGTTCTTTTTTTACCCATGTCCTATCCCATCCCAACCTACCCCACATATTTTCTTGTTCCTTTCATAATCTATCTATAATTCTGCTTTAGATCAGTATTAAGCTTTTACATTGATGTGACTTTGTAAATAACATTCTCAGATGAGTCATAAGGTAAAATAAAAATATATTTTCTTTTTGTGTAACTTTTCTTTCCACCTAGAGCTAATAGCTAAAAATCTCCAATCTCACTCTCTTTGTCTTCTATTACGCATTGCTAACTTACCCTCAAACTCTAGCAGGGGGTTCTGTCTTCTCTCAGCATTCAAACCCACCAGGCATTCTAGCAGCACCATGTTTTTCTGGGGGACATTCCTCTCAGAACCCATTTCCCTGCCTCAATCTAGCTGACTACTTCCTCTGGGTACAGCACACCTGTAATCCTGGGATCTCCTTCCTAATCATCCTGGAGATTCCCAGCACCTCATTCTTGAGTTAGGTCATCTGTTCTTACATCCCATATCTTCCTATTTTTTTTATCTGTGACCTTATTTTTTAAAAAAAAAGCCCCCTTTTGTGGCTTTCTGAGAAAAGATGGGGAGTAGAGGTGTTGAGACCTGCATGACTGAGAATGTCTTTAGACCTCTCTCATTCTTGAGAATAGCTTTGCTACATATAGAATGATTCCCCTTAGAATTTTGAAGGCAAATCTTTATGAATTTTAGTTTCATTGTCAAGAGGTCCTATGTCATTATAGTTCTTTTGTGTGTGTGTGTGTTTTGTTTTGTTTTTTGGTTTTTTGGTTTTGTTTTTTTTTGAGACAAGGTCTTGCTCTGTTGCCCAGGCTGGAGGGCAGTGGCGCGATGTTGGGTCACTGCAGCCTCAACCACCTGAACTCAAGCAATCACCCCACTTCAGCTTCCCGAGTGGCTCATGCCACCATGCCTGGCTAATTTTTGCTTTTCTTTTTTTGTTAGAAATGGGGTTTCGCCAGGTTGCCCAGGCTGGTCTTGTACTCCTGGGCTCAAGCAATCCTCTTGCCTCGGCCTCCTAAAGTGCTGGGATTACAGGCATGAGCCACTGTGCCCAGTCACATGATTATAATTCTTTATCGATTATATGTCACACATTCCTCCTTCTCTCCTGGAAAATATTCTCCTTTTCCCTCATTTTCTAAAATTTCATACTGTGCCCAAATAGGATTTTTATTTATTATATTCAGTATTGGGTGAACTCTTTCAGCTTGGAAATTCATATTCTTCAATTGTAGGAAATGATCTTAGACTATTTTTTAAAATAGTCTAAATTTATTTTTTTAAATAAACTCTCTTGAACTAGACTATTGACTAATTATTGCACCACCTGAATTGTTACCCTCAATTTTTTCTTTTCTTATTTTTTCCTACTTTTCATCTCTATCTTTTTGTTTTACTTTCAGAGAAATTTCCCCAACTTTATCTTCCAATCCTTCTATTTTTTTTTTTTCCTGTTAACTTTTATTAACTGGGGTTATAAGGAGAGTCTGGTCACAACACACATTATGAAAACATTAGGAAATTACAGAAGGACTTGCAATAAGTTTAAACAGAACAAATTAAGCCAACCCCTTGGTCATCTGAGAAACAATAAGGTAAAATTGCAGAGACCAAATCTTTGTCAGCGATAAAGGATACAGAATAAAAACGTAGACATCATCGCCCCCTGGTGTTGTAAAATAAACATGCAATGTTATTTATTTATTCATTTTTGAAGTTGTAATCTTCTCCTTTGTCACTGAGCCTCAATTATTTCCCCAATTTCAAGCCCTCTTTAGACAATCTTTTCCCTGTCATCAATAACTTTCAAGTATCTTATTTGAAAATATAATTTGTACTAATTCCTCTTTCAGACTCCATAAATTCCTTTCCAGGAAACTGGCCACCTCCCAGCACAAGAGCCTATGCTCTTGCTCTTTGAAATGCAAACCAAAACAAGAGCTTTAGTCTTTCATCAAAATTAGAGGATTAGCATGCATTTATTGCAAACCTTAATTTCCTCTAAAAGGCATCTTTACTCTGCAACTTACTCGTCATTGCCATTTTTCATAACCAGAATGCATTCCTTCACCGTCTGCCTCCTGACTTGGCAACCATCAAGAATTCTGGCCTGACCAGTTAACTTGCTAAACCATCTTTGCTGTTATATACCAGGAAACACTGGAAAAGAGACATAAATAATATACCTCCATATCCTAGTGTCCTGGCTTAATTTATAGGCAGAATTTCGTTTGTTGGCTAAGGGAAGAAAAACCATCTACGTAGAGTGAGCTTGGGAGGAAGCTGGAGTAGGGAGAAAACATGATGGCAGGATAGGTTGGTGGGAACCGTGGGTGCAGTCCTGCTCCCAAGGTTTTCATTTCTGTGACAAGAGCTCTTTTTTGTATGTTCACTTTTATTGATTCCTGTTTTTATTTAAATAGATGGAAATATGTTCTCTTGACCCATTGAACACATTTATTACCATTTTTTGAGTGTTTTTCTAATCACTGCATTGGCTCTGTTACTTCTAATTTCCTTTCTCCAGCTGCCCTATTGTTGCTTTTGCTTTATATGTTAAAATACTTCCTCAGTGTCTGGTGGTCCTTGGAAGTCAATTCCCATGCAAGGAGGAGACACCAAAAAGCCTGGGGAAGCTCTGATCGAGTGGGTGCTTGTTGGTTGACAGGTGGGCTTCATAGAAGGGTAATACGGCTGGAAAATTTTCTTAGGATTCCAAGGACGGAGTCCTTGACCTCTTTTCTTTTTCTTTTTCTTTTTTTTTTTTTTTCGCTCTGTCGCCCAGGCTGGAGTGCAGTGGCGCGATCTCGGCTCACTGCAAGCTCCACCTCCCGGGTTCACGCCATTCTCCTGCCTCAGCCTCCTGAGTAGCTGGGACTACAGGCGCCCGCCACCACGCCCGGCTAATTTTTTTGTATTTTTAGTAGAGACGGGGTTTCACCATGTTAGCCAGGATGGTCTCAATCTCTCGACCTCATGATCCGCCCGCCTTGGCCTCCCAAAGTGCTGGGATTACAGGAGTGAGCCACAGCGCCTGGCCCGACCTCTTTTCTAAGATTGGCCAATTTCCCCAGAAAATCATTCTTCAATCTCCTGCCAGAAGAGAGGGGCTGGGAGTTCTTCTGTTCATACACAGCTTTACATTCAATCCCCCTGTCTCTTGTATGTTAGCTGCCCCTTCAACTTCATCTTGTGTCTCTAAGTGCAAACCTCCCTGTGAGCCTCCTCAGAGAGGGAGTATGCAGTTTCTCGCTGGAACTGGGGAAAGGCAGCCATCCTGCTGCAGGCGGGGCTCTGCAATTCTGTTTCCATACAGGCTTTTGGTCCATTCTTCTGTCTTCAGTCCCTCTGTCCCCTTGTCTCCTCCTTCCAGAAGGATCCAGTGTTTTTACATCTTGAAACTTTCTAGGGGTCTGTGGTACAAAACAGGATGTTTCTAGGCTCCCCCAACTAACAGGTTACATTTTTGTTTTCTCTCATCTTGTAACTCTATTATCAATTGTCCATTTGCTTTCTGGCTCCCAAGATTTTGCAGGTGGCATCACTGTGTTTTCTTCATTCTTGTAGATTCCTGCCGCCTTTAGTTCTATGTCATTCTGTGGTGTTTTGAGGGAGCAGGGGCAAATGAGTGCTTTTCTGCCATATTTACTTGCTTTTTTGTATAAAACCTTATGAAACTACAGCAAAGTAAAATGCGCTATTTTCATTTCATGAATATAATTTCACAGAAACTAAAAACAACAATCAGTATGCAGGGAGGTGCTGAGGAGTAAAAGGCCTGGGAGAGAGTCCCTGCTCCAGCCACACTGGTAGGTCCTCACAGTAATGGTAGCATCACCACCCCTACACTCACTCTGAAGTTAAAGCATAAATCAACAGCCCTAACTGGAAAGCTCATGCTAATACTTTCCCTTTCTGCCTCCCTCAGCCTGAGAGCATCCACCCTTTCCCTATCCTTAGCCTTAGAGATGAAGGAAGCTGGTTTCACTTGAAAGACAAATTTAGTTAAGAAACACAGCTGGTCTTCAGTCCTTCTGTTCTTTTCAAATCTGACCTTGGTCTAGCTCAAGAAACGTTTGTTGATTGCCTGTTATAGACCCGCCTCTGTGTACACCGAGGGTTCAAAAATGAAAGACAGTTCTCTGCCCTTGAGGAGTTCAAAGTGTCACTTACTCCCTGATGTCTCACTAATTCCCACATATTAATCAGGACTGGCTCCTGCACAGAGAAGCACTGAGTGGTGGCTGAGCTGCCACTTGACATTGGGTTTTCCCTCATATGGACCCTAGTTTCTTTCATTTTCTGTATACACATCTAAAGCAGAATTATTATGGAAGGCCATTAGAAATTAGCTTGGATTCCGATGTAGGAAAATGACTGTAAAAGTAAAATATTAACATTCTTCTTTAAAGAAAAAACAATCCCAGCAATCCCTCCTGCTGGGATTGTTTTTTTCTTTAAAAACAACCCCTGTAACTGGTGCGTCATGTGTGTCTGAGATTCTTGCATTGGGTCAACTGATGGGGGATCCAGTGGTGACTAGTTTGTAGTAGGCTCCTTTTTGGGCCATCAGTTCTTCATGGGTCCCCTTTTCAATCACCACCCCCTGTGCCATGACAGCAATGATATCCGCGTTCTGGATGGTGGACAAGCGATGGGCAATGACAATGCAGGTCCGACCCTCTCTGGCTTTGTCTAGAGCAACCTGCACCGTCTGCAAAGAGAAGATGGAAAGTTGATGCAAAGATGCATGATTGCTCCCCAGCCCACCATCATGAGAGTTCAGTTAACACGACCTGAATAACAATCCTATACTTGACGGCAAACCCAAAGGCTCAACATAAGAGAGGATTAAGCAAGTATTCCCTGAATGCAATGCATCAGTGATTTCAATGGCAGTGCACTGGCTGAGAAATTTCAGTGGAGCAAGAAGGAAGCAAACTATGAAGTCCCTACATAATTTTACAATATTTGATGGTCTAGTTTCCTGAAATGAAATGAAGAAAACAACGGAGGGTAGCAGTTAAGTGGCCATTCCTGATACTGCTCTTCATTGAAGACATTTTAGCTCTCTCCAAAATGGAATCCCGATTGTTATGGCATTAATTATACATTTTAAATTTCATAATTGTGTTTTGCTCAATTGCATCTTCTTTCATGCAAACCACACATCAGATATCACCTCTTTCTTTGTGTTGCATGTGGCCTACCTTCTCTGTCACATAACTTTAGAACTATAAAATATAACAGATAATCTAGATTATTTTACTTTATTCAAGAAAGGTGATTATTTGCCTTTGGAAAAAAATGTCACTTAGCCTAAAGAATCTTAAAAACAATTCTTATTTTAAAGGTAAAATATTTTTTTTGAAGCAATCTTATATTAAATCACTTGCTCTAGATAATTGTCTTTTGGTTCCACAAAGTATTGCCAATTTCTACTGTTAACGAATCAGAAAATTGAAAATAGTGCCATTTTATTAAGGACAAATTTTACAGCAAAAGACTTATTTGTAATGATCTAAGACTTTAGAAATTCAACACTTACCTTTTCACTTTCTGTGTCTAAGGCAGAAGTGGCTTCATCTAGTAGCAAGATTTTAGGATCTCGTACAATGGCCCGAGCAATAGCAATGCGTTGTTTCTCCCCTCTAGAGAGTTGAGACCCCTGGGACCCAACGTTAGTTTCATATTTCTGAAAAAAAGTATGATAAGTTTGAGAAATAGAAACAGTTATTGCTCCTGTGCTGTACTGAACTCATGTCAAGGTCTCCTCTGTAATTTAAATTATTTGTTTGTTGAACTAGGGAACAGTGAGTGAGTCCTCCTATAGGATGGAGGATGTCAAATCCACTTAGGAATATAAGAAAAATATGGAATTTGTGACATTTGATGTGGGAAGCAAGGGGACATTATTCCTCATTTCTGCATTTCTTTTAGGTTTATATTTTCAATCTCCTTCTCCCTGTGTCCACATAAGAGCCCATATATGAGATCCTCCTTGATTTGAGACTCTCTGATTCTAGATTCTTATCTGGAAAAATCCTTCCAATATGGACTAATCCCAAGAATGGAAATGTCTTTTGCGAGATCTTCTGGTCCATTGCTGTATTAGGGAGGCAGCATTCTGGAACACAGGCTTTGGTTAGAAGCTCCACTCTGCTGCTTACTAGCTTGTGTTCATGAACAAATTATTTAAATTTTTTTGAGCTGGCTAGGCATCTGAGGTGCAGTATTAACACTTACTTCACATATTTATTGTGAGTTTTAGAGAAAATTAGGAAGAAAAAATCACTCATGCCTGGCATGGCTACATAAAAATTAGTTAACATTCATAGAGTGTTTACCATAGAGGTATTGTGCTAACTATTCTAGCTAGGGTATCATTTAATATTCACAGAAACCATACCCACACTATTTTTTAGATTACAAAACTTAGGCACAGGGAGGTAAGAAAATGGTGCGAGGACAAGTAACAAGCAGTGAAAGTGAAATCTGAATCCAGATGAAAGTGAATCTTGCTCTCCTCTAAGTCCTTGCCTTGACTACTTCTCTTCCTTGCCTTCCACAACACGAGCTGTTTCCTTTCCCTGCTTCCCTTGCCTCCTGAGGAATGCTCCTTTAAGCCAGGTGAGACCCATGAAAACCTGCTTTGTCTTTGTGGAGACAAAGTGCTCAGAGAAGGGTGCCACGGGCAAGTCTGTATGAGGACAATGCAGTAAACCAGCTCCATGACAGTGCCTTGCCCAACATGAGTAGCTATTCAATAAGGGTTTGTGGGATAAATGAATCTTCCAGGAGACACACAATCTTTGCTTTTGATCTCTGGATTCAGCAAATAGTAATTTCCATGTGCTTATAGATTGGGCTAACAGGTAAGAACTGGGCCAAGAGCCTAAAACTTAGGAGACTTTGTGAAAAGAGCAAACAAAAAGCCTTCCACAAACCCACAAAATTTATAAACATAATCACTTATAAAGAAAAACAATTTTCCCAGGGATATTTTTAAAAAGTAAGTAGAGAAGGTTAAAGGTAAAATTTGGCCCTACAATTTGGTTTCCATGTTGTAATTTTTCTTGTGATCAAAACTAAGAGGGACTTTTGGTGGATGGAAAAATGCAGAGTCAATATTGCGCGAAATCTGGACTTGGGTTTGGCAAAGTAAGAGACAGTAAGGCAGGTGTAACTTACCCACCACCCACGGTACACATTGCCAAGTAATGAAATAATGATGATGGCAGTAATACCAGTGGCCGCTTTCATTGTGTGGCTATTAAGTGTGTTTTCTTCATTTTAACGTTATTTTCTTGCATTTTGCAGATGAAATAGACAATCTCAGAAAGGATAATTGTCCCAAAGCTATGAAGCTACTAAGTGGCAAAGCTTGGATGCAAGCCCAGGTCAGCTCCAAATCTCAGGTGTTTCCCCACTATGCTAAACTAAAGCTCAATGTACAAAAAAATTCAACAAAAATAGCATCCATTGCATTGGGCAATACAATACTTTCCAAAATTAAAGAGTATGTTGATGAAGGATATTTCTTTTGCTTAAAAAACTAAGACAGTCCAGGGGCACTGTGAAATAAATTGCATATCCTTTGACCTTCTAGAGCCACAATCATAATACAGATTGAATATTTCTTATCAGAAATGCTTGGGACCAGAAACGTTTCAGATTCTGGATTTTTTCAGATTTTGGAATATCTGCATATAATGAGATACCCTGGGGATAGGACTCAAGTCTAACCACAAAATTCCTGTTTCTTATCTACTTTATACACATAGCCCAGAAGTAAATTCCTATAATATTTTTAATAATTTTGTACATGAAACAAAGTTTTGACTGCATTTTGACTGTGACCCATCACATGAGGTCAAGTGTGAAATTTTCCACCTGTGGAATCATGTTGGCATTCAAAAATTTTTGAATTTTGGAACATTTTGGATTTGGGATTTTCAGATTAGGGATGCTCAACCTGTACACTCTGGTCATTCTACTTCTCCCCATCCTTGTCTCTCATAGGGAATGGCTCTGACTTCGTACTCACCTCTGGGAGTGACATGACAAAATCATGCAGCTGAGCCTGTTTTGCAGCTGCTATGACTCTTTCCATGGGAATTTCTTTGGTGTTGTCTCCATACTTGATATTGTCCATTATGCTACAGGCAAACAACACTGGTTCCTGGGAAACAATTCCAATGTTTGAGCGGAGGAACTGGACATTTACTTTTTTGCTGTCATGACCATCTATCATCTGCCAATAGAGGAGATGACAGGTCATTAGGTTTTTAGAATTCCAGCAGTGAGGAAAGTTCATATTCTAGCATTAGGTGTTATGCAGGACATTTGGTTTGCTTAACAGACTAACAATCCCAAGGCTAAAATTATGGAATAAATTATGTTGCCTTTGACCTCTGGATGTAATGTCTATCAGGAGTGGCATCCATGTTAACACTAATCAGACTATGGTCCTATTTATTTCCTGAACTCTGGCTCTACAGGTGGGGCAAACGAGAAAGACGCTCAGGTATTCAGGTAAGAAACAACGTCCCCTTACTTTGGTGCAGCACACTCTCTACAAATATACAGGGTTGCTCTATTTTGAGACTCATGAGTTATGGAAAGGATTTTTCTCTGTGAAGCTTTTGGGCAATATAAGGGTCAAACCTGTTTTCTTGATTTTACTAACACCATTCTCTGCATAACTGAGATAATAAAACCAAGTAAAAAAGGAATACATTTATTCACTTAGTCAATCAACAAACATATATTTGAATCACCTGCCACAAAGCACCATCCTAAGCCATCTATGTCTGCTACGTAAAGAAAATATAATCTCTGTTTCCTAGGAACTCACAGTCTAGTTAGGCAGTTAAGTCCAGGTACTTGAATATCTACCACATGAGCTGATTCACTAAAGAGTCCTAGAATATTAAAGGCACAGATGCCTAACGTGCTACTATAAAGTATTTGGCCCTATTATTTCAGAAAAAAATTGTGATAAATGGTATGAACAGATTATATTTAAGATAATTTCTAAGTAATGGAAAAAGCAAACACTATTAGAAAAAATATAAAGCATTTCTCAATAACAATTAGCCCTGGCTTATCTTGCTCTACTCATTTTCCATAGCACTTAAGTCTGCAAAACACAATTTAATAATTAAACACTCAGGCTGTTTGCTCATTCTTCTAAATGTGCTACATTGTAAGCTCCTAGAAGGCAGAAGACATGCTTCATGGTCCTTAGACTCTCCCACAGGGACTCATGCAGTAACAGGCACATCATAGGTATCCAAATAAATGTTGAAAATATTGAACGCCTACATTTGGTAGATTAAGAGCAAAGAGGACTTTGAAAAAAAAACATAAAAAGTGGTAGGTTTTCTGCTTAAAATGTTTGTAGAAATGTTTTACGATGTTGTAACAAAATATACTGTGCCTATGAAATGCAAGAAGTCATAATGATTTCCTTATTGGCCTTGCTTTCGACCTGTGACCAGAACATTCACTGGGCATATTCAGAGAAATATACTTAATGTACATGTTAATGTTGGAAAAGTAAATATGAGGGATTCAGTTTCCTGTACCTTGCATAGTTCACAATCTATGTTGGCTGCAGGCATGCCAGAAGTGACATTTTGGAAAATTGAACCCTCTGACTTATCAGAATTATACCTCTGGTTACAATGGGCTTTCTAGGTTTATTGGTTACCAAATACTTTCAAACAAATTTACAATCTTTATACCTCAACTTAATAACAGAAGGGATTATAAATTATAGGCAATCAATACTTAGTCCTTATTTTTATAACTTCCTGGATTCTGTCAATTTCTGTTTGCTTGTTTCCTTGCTTTGCTTTATACAAGGAAATCTTTAGTTGCCTTTTTCAAAATTTTCTTAGCATTTCTCTTCATAATGTTATACTCTTCATAATAGTATATTACATTAAAGATTATACTATTCAGGGAAGTCAGAAAGGCCACTTTCAAAATATAGGGATTAAACAATTAATCAAGTATGAAGCAAAACAAAACATTTTCAGACCCATATCTATGAACTATTTCTTAGAAATTTGCTTTTGGATGAGCTCCAACAAAAGGGGGTAAAAACTAGAAAAAGGAATGTATGGGAACTACGAAATAATGGATCTAATCCAAGGAAATATCACAGGGAACTCACAGGATGATGACTGTTCAACAGGCAAACGTTGCGAGTGACAGAAATGAGGGAAGAGATGGCCTGACAGAGACATTGGAAGAACACAAAGGTTTTCATGAAGACAAAGAATGCAAGAAAAAAAGAAACCTTTCAGAAAAACAATCAAAAAAATATAATGTAAATGTAACTCACTATTTGACTGAAGGATGAACAATATTTACATAATCATTAAAAAAGCTGTCAATTGATTTTCAACTTTTAGAATCAACTTAGAGTGAAGGCAGGAAAGATAATGTTATAAACAGAATGTGCTCTGAATTCTTGATAAAAGTGCAGTTAGAACTTAAGAGGTAAAAGAAGTAAGAGGTGAAAAGAGTAAGAGGTGAAAATAAAGGTAGGATTGCTAACATTTTTCTTTTAGAAAGTGAGAATTCAAGAGGAACTATCTACAGGTGGTGGAAGAGCAACGGAAGCAGATCAGAAGTTTACAAATTTATAAATAGAAGGCCTAAAAAATGATATAACTATATTGGGAGGAGGTAGGCAAAAGGAGGGAGTGGTGAGAGTAAGTAGATTTTTATCTCTTGAGAATAAATCACAGAGAGTCTAAATTTGTTAAATCATGAAATAGCATGAGCATATTATTTAAAGACATAAAAGTCACCATTGGGAGATCAAAAAACATCAAGTGGTCAAAAATAGTTGCCTTTGAGCAGAGAAATGTGGAGTGGGAGTGTAAGCATAAAGCAGGGGGGTGGCTTTTTATTATAAATATTTATTATTTGATTTTGTGACCTTCTGCATATATTACTTTTAAAGAAAGAAAAAAAGGACAGAAAAGAGAAAGAAATGTTATGAAAAATAAATACCAAAGCTATTCACCAAAATTTCAAATATCCTTGCTAAAGATTTATGGTACATGGCTCTCAATCTGAGTTCCTTGCGTTATTTAGATTTCAGCTTCTTGAACAAGGATTGTCTTAGATCTTTTCATGCTAACTCTCCTTTCTTGCTCATTTATCATTATTTCCCTTATCACTCTACTTTTTCCATTCCTGGTCATTAGTTTCCTGATTAGTCTGCACTTTCTGCTCCATTTACGGGTAAGTGAGTGCTTCTATTAAATACACTCATCTCCAGCTTTGCAGTGTGCCCAGTTTTCTTTGCCTAACTGGTCAGCAGGCCATCTGGAACTGGGGAAAATCTGACATTAGAAATTGTGAGGTAGAATCAGGTGAAGCAGCAAATGACTGGGACTGGAAAATATGCATGGGGTAAGTGCCTTAGGCAAGCATTTTAAAGTGAGTCTGGCAAAGCAAAAACTTGAAGCCCACTTTTAGGGGTTGGAAATACTCTGCAGAAGGCAAAATTCTCAAAAAGGTTGCGTGGCTTACCACCTTCCCTTGATCAGGATCATAGAAACGTTCCAACAGCTGAATGCTAGTGCTTTTGCCACATCCACTGCTCCCAACAAACGCCAGTGTCTGCCCTGGACTAATCGACACTGAGAGACCATTCAGAACTTGCGAGTCAGGTCGAGAAGGATATGTAAATTTACAATCAACAAAATCAATCTTCCCCTGGAAGTTGTCCTGTGGATGGGAGGATCAAAATTAGAGATGCTCTTACTGAAGCCTAGAATATTGAAAACACACCTAAATCTTGAGTTTAAAATCCCTGCTTGAGATACCTTCAAACCATGCTGCCAAAGTGCAAAGTATAAAGACAGCAACTTAATAAAAGGACATTCCATTTTGTGTTCTGAAAGATGTAGTATAAAGGAAGGCTTGGGCAACGAAATTAAAGACATTTGACTCCCCCTATTCCCAGTCTAACATAAGGGGATTTTCTTGCCATCTATTCCTGACATTCTGAATAGAAGAGAATAGCTGGAAGATATGACATCACAGAAGCCAGTAACTGTCCAAACCCTATAGCTTTGTTCTCCTAAAGACTAAAAATAATGTTACACTTAAAACGACCTAGAAAGAAAGTTACCTGAGGTCTGTACTGCAAAGGTGAATACTTTCTATTGTACTTTGGTGTGCTTAAAACTCTAACTTATAAAATCTAGAAATGGATAGACATTTAATAGACCACACAGAAACTTTACATTTACTGAACTGAAGGAGAAATTTTACCAATTTAGAAAGATTACAGAATTTAGCTTAGCTTTACTAGTGTTTAGGTTTGCTTTGCTTTCTGGAACATACTAAAATTTTCAAAAATAGGTAGAGAAGATTTACAAATACCTATCTATCAATTAGAAGAACAGATATTTTGTTGAGATTGAATTAATTTTCAGGACATCCACATAAGCTAAAACTTGAATCAAGATGAACATGAATTAAATCAATGTTATTGGACAGGAAGAAGTGATTTTTCTACATTCTGTATCAGAACATCAATAGAAAACACAGTGGTTAGGTAGATCTCAGAGGACAACTGGCTTCATTCATTTGGGAACTAAGTGTATTTTATATTACACAGAATTTAGCATTCACTGAATGTCATCACCTTGTTCAAATGCCAGCTTTAGGAATAATTTTTGATGCTAATTTACTTTATTCCTTTGTATTTATAAATCTACTGTTTGTCTTCTCCAAGTATGTATGAATGAACCCATATACAGCAGGAATTTAGAAGCCAAGTGGTATTGTATGGCCATCCCTAATGGCTGTCCTGCACACACATACGCACAACCTTACCCCTCATCAATACTTACACATTTTATTTATTTATTTATTTTATTAGACTTTAAGTTCTGGGGTAGATGTGTAGAATGTGCAGGCTTGTTATATAGGTATACACGTGTCATGGTGGTTTGCTGCACCCATCAACCTGTCATCTACATTAGGTATTTCTCCTAATGCTATCCCTCCCCTACCCCACACCATCCCCTGACAGGCCCCGGTGTGTGATGTTCCCCACCCTGTGTCCATGTGTTCTGTTTGTTCAACTCCCACTTATGAGTGAGAACATGTGGTGTTTGGTTTTCTGTTCTTGTGTTAGTTTGCTGAGAATGATGGTTTCCAGCTTCATCCCTGTCCCTGCAAAGGACATGAACTCATCCTTTTTTATGGCTGCATAGTATTCCAACACTTACCCATTTTTCACCTGCAGTATTGTATACACTGATTGGGGGTTGTCGGTCCAGCAGTTGAAAAAAGCGTGCAGCTGATATTTTAGCTTTTGCATAACTTGGGGTGTAAGAGAAGGCTCTTCCAAGAGCTGTTGCACTCAGTACAACTGCAGAGATCACCCTGTAACCAGACAGACACACAGGAAGAGAGCAGGGTGGCGTGGTTGGTGTGATGACCTGAAGGCAGAAGTTTGGGGATCTAGCCCTGGTTCTGCCAGGAAAGGACCAAATATCCTTGAGCAAGTCACTTCAGACTTGTCTGGAAATGGAGAGGGTGGTGTTTAAGGGACTGGCAGTTTTCAAACTGTGTTCTATGAAAAAGGAGTAAGAAGAGGACTGAACAAGCATGAAGGGGGGAGAGCTCAGACCTCCAAACCTTTATTTGACCACAATAGCTTCCTTTAAGAAAATTGTTGGCCAGGCGCGGTGGCTCACTCCTGTAATCCCAGCACCTTGGGAGGCCGAGGCGGGCGGATCACGAGGTCAGAAGATCGAGACCATCCTGGCTAACACGGTGAAACCCCGTCTCTACTAAAAATACAAAAAATTAGCTGGGCGTGGTGGTGGTCGCCTGTGGTCCCAGCTACTCGGGAGGCTGAGGCAGGAGAATGGTATGAACCTGGGAGGCAGAGCTTGCAGTGAGCCAAGATCGCGCCACTGCACTCCAGCCTGGGTGACAGAGCAAGACTCCGTCTCAAAAAAAAAAAAAAAGAAAAGAAAATTGTTTGAGGGGGAAAAAGACTTCTGAAAAAATTTTTTTAAAAGAAAAAGCAGGCTTGAAAGATCACCAGATTGAGTTGATTTTTCTAGAATTCTAACAGTTATTGAATCTATAATAGGTATATAAAAGATAATGATTGATGATATAAGCATCATTTTTGCACCAGGCATGTATATAATTTATGCTTCAGAGAGCAAGACAGATGCAATTGCCTGTCTCCTTCTACTTGTCTTAGCCTCTAACTATAGTCAACATGTACTTAATTAACGAAAGAGTGAATGAATAAATGAATGATAAATATAATGAGAGATAACTTTGTTGCTGTAGAGATTATGATGTGAGTAGTAGCCCCCAAAGCTGCTCACCTGCACTGTCATGCACAGAGGGTCTGCCTGGGATGGGGATAGGGATAAGGGATGTGTCTTTGTGTGTCACACTGCTCAGTTCATAAGCAGGAATTGTTTTAGGCCAGAATTGCAAATCTGAACATCCCCGGGAGCCCAGTTTAAAGCCTAAGGGAATGAAAAGCACTTGAAATGAAATGGAAAATGGTGGAAGATGACGTTCCAATTTTTAAAGTGAAGCCAGAAATTGGAAGTTTTCTGTAGTTCCACTTTTTGTTTTGTTTTGAGATGGAGTCTCACTCTGTCACCCAGGCTGGAGTGTAGTGGCATGATCTCAGCTCACTGTAGCCTCTGCCTCCTGGGTTCAAGCGATTCTCCTTTCTCCTGCCTCAGCCTCCCAAGTAGCTGGGATTACAGGCACACATCACCATACCTGGCTAATTTTTGTATTTTTTTGTAGAGATGAGGTTTCGCCATGTTGGCCAGGCTGGTCTTGAACTCCTGACCTCAAGTGATCCACCCGCCTCGGCCTGAGGTGCTGAGATTACAGGCATGAGCCACCGCACCCAGCCTGTAGCCCCAGATTTTTACATGTTGGCAAAAAAATATTCTAAATTATTCTAAAATTATTCTAAATTATTCTAAAATTATTCTAAAACCTTAATATAAACTAAATAAAAATAAGCCAATGGTTTGTGTTTTCTAATTTAGACTAGTAGCTTTAAATATGCAAAGATTTAGAAAAGAGACACTTTCCTAGCTGGGTGGGTGTAGTGGAGTGGGAGAGAAGTGCTGAAAGAGATACCAGGTGAGAAGGCGGGACTCATGGCTAGAGAAGGAAACCCAAGAACCGATTCCTATAGGACCACTTTTCCTAATGCCCTCCAAACCTTTCTCAGACCATCTCCACCCTTACCCCCCGACTCGCCCATATACATGTGTACCTCGTTCCCCAGTACCCTGACACCCTTAGGCTTTCACCTCTGGAAATGTGAGAAATTGGACTAAAAGCTAATCTTATTAGAAAAGCAGGCTTTGGCTATACGAATGGAACATCCTTCACCTGTATGGCCCATGCTGTCTCTGCCTAGGAGGAGTCAGTTGGGAGGAGTCAGCCCTCTTTGCAAGAGAGGAGTTCAAACAAAACAGTTCTCTATGAACCATCTTAGCCAAGACCTCTAGATTTTCTCAGCATTAACATGTGTGGCAGATTGTTTATAAACAACGATCATATTAATTCACACTTTCATGCATCCCTTTGCAACATGGCTTTTTTACTCCTCTCATCAAAAAGTGGATTCTATTTTTTTCTATTCCTTAAACCTGGGCTTGATGGTATGACTTTCTTTGGCCAAACAGAAAATTAGAAAGTTTCTTTGCGTGGAGAGACTTGAAAAGTACTTGCACAGTGGGGCTTGCCCTCTTTTGTGGCACTTGGAACTCTGAGGCCATAATATGAAGAAAAGAAGCTCATCTGCTAGACAGGCCATGTGGAGACAGAAGAATACACAGAAGCCTGACTGAGTCAGCCCAGGTCAGAAGAACCGCCCTGATGACCCACAGAATCTTGAGAAATAATTAATCCCAGCTATTGTAAGACACCAAGCTTGGGATGGTTTGCTAAGCAGCAAAAAGCTAACTGACAGAACCAGGCTATTCCTTCCTTGTGTGTTGATCTTTTCTCACCTTGGCTAGATATTCCTCACCTGAACACATAGCTGAAATGGAGCCCCTCATTGGAGATTAAGTAACCTCCATATCTGTAGGAAGCAGAATTCGCAATAAACATGATGCACTGGGCAAAGGCAAAGCAGAATCCGTAAATATTGGCTTTCTGAATGGCTGTCTTGAAGGGCTTCTCCAGCTCAGTCTCAAGTGCTTCAATGAACCGCCTCTCCTTTCCAATTCCAGCAACAGTGCGGATGTTACTGAGGGCTTCATTTGTAATCTGAAGATTGAAAAAGAGTCTTAGGAATACAAGGGCAGAAATAACTCCTTTCGTGACATTTCAGTGGCTGCCTGGATTAGATGGTGCAAATGGCAGAATGTGGTACAAATCAGAGAATGCATCATCTGGGAATACAAAGACGTGGCTGGAGATCAACCCAACTGGACCACGAGACAATTTTTCAGTTAAATTCAAGTTTCCCTTAATTCTTATACTTGAGAAGTGTTTATGCTACCATCCCTCATTTACCCCCCAAGGACAAGATATTAATTAGAACACACTTTAAAATGTGTAGCTAAAACCTAAGTGTATCCAAAACCTAAACTGTAGTTCATAATTCTGGTTGGGAAAGACACTTGCCCCAAGCCTGGGGGACTCTAAAGTATGAAGAGCAAAGGCATGTGCCATTAAAACCATCATAGCTCCTGTGTGTGTGGAAAGCATGGCTCAGGGGAACCATTAAATTGCAAAAGCTTCACGGCCAGAAAACTGAACTATCCACCCCTGCAAATGAGAGTACACCAAATTGGAATGTGGAATGAATCACTATGCGAGAGGAAATTGAACAGGCAATCCTGTGTTCACTCCGCTATTTCTCCACACTGGCTCATACTCAGAGTCTCGGAGCTTTATTGCCTCAGCCTTTGCGCCAAGCACGCATAGAAAGGGTGGTGGAAGGTTCTTAAGTGTGCCTGTCTTGTGGGCTGACAGCTTCCTTCAGTCTCTTCGTACTACTCGTTTTTAACAGTTTGTCTGATAGCCACTCAGCCATGAGGAATGGGAAAATTAGATCTGCAAGATTACCTGTCCCACCATCTCCAGGGCCTGCTTATCTCGAGAGGCAAATCCTGTCAACATCCTGGTCTGTGTGGCTCCTGATAAAGCCAAGAAGGGGAAGAAGCACAAGATGACCAGGCTCAGCTTCCAGCTAAAGGAGAAGGCAATGATCATGGCCACAGTGACGTTAGTGAAGGAATTGACTATCATCCCGATCTGAGAGCCGGCAGCCTGCAAACCAAAAAGCAATCAACCCGTCTCAGACACACAGTCGCTTTTACCAATTACCATTACACAAAAAGGTCAGACCTTTTATAAAGTTGTGATAAAATATACATAACAATATATATCATTTTAACCATTCTTAAGTGTACAATTCAGTGGCATTTCACAATGTTTTGTAACCATCACACATCTATACCTAAAGCTTTTAAAATCATGTCCAACAAAAACTCTGTATCCATTAAACAATAACCTCCCTTTCTTCTCTCTCCCCCAAGCTCTTGGTGACTTCTATTCTAACTCTCTGTCTGTATAAATTTGCCTACCCTAGGTATCTCTAGAAGTAGAATCATACAATATTTTTCCTTCTGTGTCTGGCTTATTTTGCTAAGCATAATGTTTTCAAGCTTCAGGCATGTTGTAGCAGGTATACAAATTTCATTCCTTTTTATTTTTATTTTTTGTTTATTTTATTTTATTTTGAGACAAGGTCTCACTCTGTCACCCAGGCTGGAGGGCAGTGGCATAATTATGGCTCACTGTAGCCTTGACCTCCTGGACTCAAGCAGCCCTCCTGCCCCAGCATGCTAAGTAGCTGGGACCACAGATGCATGCCACTACACCTGCTAATTTTTTAATCTTAGTAGAAATGAGGTCTCACTATGTTGCCCAGGCTGGTCTTAAACTCCTAAGCTCAAGTGATCCTCCCACCTTGGCCTCCCATAGTGCTGGGATTGCAGGCACGAGCCATCACACCTAGCTTCATTCCCTTTTAAAACTGAATATTCCATTGTATGTGTATATCACATTTTGTATATCCATTCATCCATTGATGGACACTGGGGTTATTTCCAACTTTTGGCTATTGTGAATAATGCTGCTATGAACACTGGTGTATAAGCACCTTTCAAGTCCCTGCTTTCAATTCTTTTGGATATAGACCTAGGAGTGGAATTGCTGGGTCATATGGTAGTCCCCTGTTCAAAAAGTTAAGTTCTTTTAAATGATTAAGTTCTTTTAAATGATGAGCTCACATAACGTATCTGAAGGCTGAATTAATTAAAAGGTTCTTTATTCATAGCTTATCCGAAGTTCATTTATTGACTAATCTCATTTTAAGAGTGTCAGTGCTAGAGCAGTCTGTCTGAGATTAATGCAGCCCTAAACATGGGCTACACATGTGTCAAGTACTGATGCATTTGGCTTGTTTGAAGATATCCAGCCATTGGGCTTGAGGTAATATTACTTATTCAATGAAGATTAATGCTTGCTCTATAATTATATTTTTGAAGTTGATACAAGACTATTATAAGATACCACTTTGATTCTCATTGAAGTTAGCCTGCTCGTTGGTACAAAGTTACATGCTGCTGTAATACACAGCTATTTAGTCAATGCAGATGGACAAAATGGATTCAGTCCCAATATAGATGGAGAATGGACCACTGTGGTAATTATATCTATACTAATCAGAGTATCCAATGGTTCCAAATCGTCGTTTCAGTTGCAGCTAGGCAGGTACGACCAAAGCTTGGCACACTCTGTAGAAAATACTTGGGTGAGGACAATTACATCACTTCTTTTTAAAATTGTAGAAACACATTTTTATTTAAGACAAAAAAATGTAAAACGACAAAAGGTAACCTGTTAGTAACCATTCGATGCTAAGGCACTGTTATTCAGGAATAATTTGCATCTTTATACTGAATTGAAGACACAAATGGAATATAAAATTGTGTCCCAAAGCATTCCCATGTGTTAGTGCTGACTTCCTTGGAGACTAACAGGCTAAATCAAGAATTTCTCATTTGTACACCCACGTTCAGAGCAGAATTAATCACAACAGCCAAACAACCTGAATGTCCACAGACAGATGAATGAATAAAGAAAACATGATATATCCATAAAATAAACATCCATAAAAATGTAGCTCTGACACATACTATAGCATAGAGAAACTTCAAAAACATCATGTTATGTGAAATAAGCCAGACATAAAAGGATAAATTCATATGATTCCACTTAGATGAGGTACATAGAGTAGTCAGGTTCATAGACACAGAAAGTAAAATGGTGGTTGCTGGGGCTGAGGGGAGGGAGAGCAGGATGGGGAGTTGCCGTTTCAAGGGTACAGAATTTCTCTTTGGAACGGTAAAACATTTCTAGAGATGAATAGTGGTGATGGTTACATAACAATGTAAATGTACTTAATGCCATTCAGCTGTACACTTAAAGATGGTTAAAGTAGTAAATTTTGTGTTACAAATATTTTACCACAATTTTTTTTAAAAAAGAATTTTTGGTTGGCAAGGACTGTCAGGCATTACAGAGGACTTGAAAAGCAACTTTGCAGCTCTTTGGGATGTCGTTATTTTGTTTCCTTTTACATTTTATTCAATTGGTATTTTTTTAAAAATTGAAAATAATACAACCTAAGACACAAACAAAACATAGATACATATTTAACAATATATACATATATTTTAATTTTTTTCTTTACAAAAAGGGCTCATACTCTACATATTACTTTGTACTTTGACTTTTTTTCACTTATCAATGGTACATAACTATCCTTCCAGATCAATATATAGGAACACTTTAAAAAATAGCTGTGCAATATTCCTTAGTATAAATGTATCATAATTGATTCAACTCTTTTTCTGTTGATGGATATTTGGGTAGTTTCCAGGGAATTTTATTAATTTTTTGGTTAATATAAAAAATGATAAATATCCTTGAACACACATTCTTACACAATAGGAGGGAATTCACTCATCAGAATTCTGTTCAAAGAGTATATAATTAAAAAAGAAAAAGAATTTCTGGTTGGCAAGGACTGTCAGGCATTACACAATACTTGAAAAGCAACTCTAAAGTTTTTGGGGGGATATCATTATTTACTATTACTCTCCAAAACATTTGCTTACTATTATTTACTATTACTCTCCAAAAAACATTGAAAAACTTTGTACATTGTATGAAAGTGTCAGTTATTCCCCATCCTCATGAATATCGTTCATGATGGTTTTAGGAACACTACACATAATATGGTTATATTAGGGATATTAATATTTATTATAAATGCTTTTCTAGTTTATCATTTGTTTATATAAAAGTTTTGAATTTATGAAGTCCAACATGTCTACTTTGTAGTTTTGAGTTTTTGTCTTGCTTGAGAGAATCACCTCTACTACCACTCTTATTTCTCAATGAGCTCTAGCTAATATAATAAGAAAATAAAATGAGTATAAATATAAAAAAAGAAAAGAAAAGACAAAATGATCTTTTTTGCATTTTTTGCTTAGCAGATATTGTGATTTTTACTAATGGAAGGTTTGTGGCAACCCTGTATATGCAGAGCAATTCTATTGGTGCCATTTTTCCAATGGTATGTGTTCATTTTATGTTTCTGCATCACATTTTAGTAATTCTCAAAATATTCAAACTTTTTCATTATTATATCTGTTATGGTGATCTGTGATCAGTGATCTTTGGCATTATTATTGCCATCGTTTTAGAGCACCACGAACCACGCCAATATAAGACTGAAAACTTATTCAATAAATGTGTTTGTTCTGACTGCTCCACTGACTGGTCATTCTGTCTCTCTCTCTTTCTATCCTCAGACCTCCCTATTACCTGAGACACAATAATATTGAAATTAGGCCAACTAATAACGCTACCTTGGCCTCTAAGTGTTCAAGTGAAATAAAGTCACACATCTCTCACTTTAAATCAAAAGCTAGAAATGACTAAGCTCAGTGAGGAAGGTGTGTTGAAGGCTGAGATAGGCTAAAAGTTAGGCCTCATTTTAGCCTCATTTAGTCCTGAGATAGGACTAAATAAATAGTCAAGCTGTGAATGCAGAAAAAAAAAGTTCTTGAAGGAAATTAAAAGTGCTATTCTAGTGAACACACAAATAATAAGAAAGTGAAGTGAACCAGCTTTATTGATGATATGAAGAAAGTTTGAATGGTCTGGAGACAAGATCAAACCTGCTACAACATTGCCTTAAGCCAAACCTAATTCAGAACAAGGCCCTAACTCTCTTCAATTCTAGTAAGGCTGAGAGAAGTGAGGAAGCTTTGGGAGAAAAGTTGCTTTATGAGGTTTAAGGAAAAAAGCATCTCCACAATGTAAAAGTGCAAGGTGAAGCAGCAGTGCTAATGTAGAAGCTGCCACAAGTTCTCCAGAAGATCTAGCTAAGGTCATTGATAAAGGTGGCTACACCAAATAACATATTTTCCGTGTTGACCAAACAGCTTTCTATTGGAGGAAGATGCCATCTAGGACTTTCATATCTAGAGAGGAGAAGTCAATGCCTGACTTCAAACTTACGAAAAATAGGCTGACTCTCTTGTTAGGGGATAATGCAGCTGATGACTTTAAGTTGAAGCTTACCATTCCAAAAATTCTAGGCCCCTAAGAGGCATGCTAAATCTCCTCTGCCTATGTTCTATAAATAGAATAATAAAGGCTGGATGACAGCACATCTGTTGAAAACACAGTTTTTTGAATATTTTAAGCCACTGTTGACACCTACTGTTCAGGAAAAAATACAGCTTTCAAAAATATTAGTGCTCATTGACAACGCACCTAGTCACCCAGGTGCTCTGACGGAGATGTACAAGGAGATGAATGTTGTTGTGCTTGTTAACCCAACATGAATTCTGCTGCCCATGGGTCAGGGAGTAATTTTCACTTTGAAGTCTTTTTATTTAAGAAGTAACATTTTACAAGGCTACATCTGCCATAGTTATTCCTCTGAGGGAACTGGGCAAAGTAAATTGAAAACCCTCTGGAAAGGATTCACCATTCTAGATGCCATTAAGAACATGTACCCTAGAACTTACAGTGTATATATAGATATACACTTTATATGTATATATATATTTATGAAAGAACATTTGTGATTCATGGGAGGAGGTCAGAATATCCACATAAATAGGTGCTTGAAAGAAGTTGATTCCAACCCTCACAGATGACTTTGAGAGTTCAAGACTTCAGAGGGAGTAACTGCAGATGTCATGAAAATAGCAAGATAACTAGAATTAGAAGTGGAGTCTGAAGATGTGCTGCATTAAATTGCTGCAATCTCATGATAAAACTTGAATGGATAAGCAGTTGCTTCTTATGGATAAGCAAACTGGTTTCTTGAGATGAAATCCACTCCTGGTGAAAATGCTATGTTAATAAAAGTAGCAGCAGGGTTTAAGAGAACTCAATCCAATTTTGAAAGACATTCTACTGTGGGTAAAATACTATCAATCAGCATTACATGCTACAAATAAATCTTTCATGAGAGGAAGAGTCAATTGATGAGGCAAACTTCACAGTTGTCTTATAAGATATTGCCAGTCTAACCTTCAGCAACCACCACCGTGGTCAGTCAGTTGCTATTAATAAATTAAGATATGTACATTGTTTATTTTTAGACATAAAGCTATTGCATAGTTAGTAGAATACAGTATAGTGTAAACACAACTTTTATATGCACTAGGAAGTGAAAAAATTAGTGTGACATGCTTTATTGCAATATTCTCTTTATTGCGGTGGTCTGAAACCAAACCTGTAATATTTCAGAACTATATCTGGTATTTTATTATATACCTAGAAAACCCAGTAGACTATTAAATTTCTAAAATTATAACTTATAAGAGAGCTTGGAAAGTCCTTAAGATAAGTATACAAAAACTAACAGCTTTCATCTCAACTCATTTACAGATATAATTGAGAAAAAGATCTCATTCAAAATAGTGGAAAAAATACATGAGAAAAAGTGAGCAAGATAGTGGGACATATAACTATGAATCTTGCTAAAAACTAGAGTCTTGTTTGTATGTCTCTCAGGAAAATTTAGTATCCCCACAATAGCAATCCTACTGTGTATGTATGTGTGCATATGAATTTCACCAGAATAAAAATAAATTTTTAGAAGAAGTTAAAATGAGTGTAAAATGTATTAAAATAATTAACATCCAGAAATAGATAAGAGAATTTCGAAGAGGAAAAATTAGTGTGCAGGGATTTGCCTTACCAGATACTAAAATGTATCAAGTTATAAGAATTAAAACAAAGGGTGCAAAAAAAAAAATAGAAAGAATTAATAAGACATACTATTTGATAGCACAATAGAATGACTATAATAAATAATTTAATTGTACACTTAAAAATAACTAAGAGTGTAATTGGATTGTTTGTAACACAAAGGATAAGTGCTTGAGGGAATGGATACCTCATTCTTCATAATGCACTTACTTCACATTGCATGCTTGTATCAAAACCTCTCATGTACCCCATAAATATATACACCTACTTGGTATCTATCTACAAAAATTAAAAAAAATTATCAACTAAAACAATAAGGTTTTAAATAGAATAAGTCAAATTGATCAATTCAGACTAGAGAATCTCCAAAGTTAGTTCTAAGTATATATGGGAAGTTAATATTCACAATGGGAGGAAACATTTCAAACCAGTAGAAAATGTAATCTATATTTAAAAAATATTTTTGAAATATTTTCTATCCAACTTCAAGAAAACAAAGCCAAATCTACCTCACACTAATCTTAAGATAAGTTTGACCTGGGCTAGCAATCTTATTTTTTAAAAAACAACAAAAGTATTAGAAAAATTCTGAGAAAATCCTCTTTTTAAAAAGATAAGTGTTTTTAAGATAATTAGATGCTACTCTCTGAATTCTAGTGATAGCAAATAACCTTCAAAAGCTCCTTGCAGATTGAAGGCCACAAAAATAGAAGAGATAAGATTATGACTTATTTATTTAGCCTAAATTCAAGAGTAAAGGGAGTAGACTACAGTACTCCAATGATGAGAGTGAAATTGGAACAAAGTTTCTTTAAGCAGTTATGCAATGCATATCAAAATCTTCCAAAATGATTATACACTGATTGAGTGATTACATTTTGAGAACTAAGAAAATAATCAAGGATGTGGCAAGCTCGATATAAAATGATATAAATTGCTTATAAGGAGGAGAAAAACCTAGGGGAAAAACGTAACTAGAGAATCCTTTAAGACATGACAGTAGATGAGAATGAAGTATTGTGCACTCATTAAAAATCTACTGTAGAAGAATACATAATTATGAAAATATGTTCACCTTAGATTATTTCAGGGGAAACAAGAAAGACTGCAACACATATGTAGAGTGTAACCCTAAGTCTATGGGAAACACATGTGCTTCCAGAAAAAGCCTAGATGAATTGAAAGTGGCCTATTTATAGGGATTTCCCCCTAAGTGAAAGGATTCCATGATCCGTTGAAATTCTGCCATATCATTTTTGGTATTTTTGGTTAAACTGTCTAGGAGTTGAGACTACAGTACAGCACTATCAGTCCAGTGAGTTTTTTCTTCTAAGAGCCTCACAGACCATAGTTCAGTTTTAAAATTGTACTTAAAATTTTTTTCCTTTGGTTTTGTTTTTTAAAGAATTTATTAACATATTATTTCTTTTTAAAAATAATTTTAAATTAGGGTTTTTTAAAAAATTTTCACAGAAAGTGGGTAGAGATGTTGGAAGGGCAATTTGGCTCTCTTCACTTTAATCCAAACACCTGGTTTTGTAAAAGTCTAGCCTCATCATATGTGTAAGCCCCTTGAACAAGGCTGTAGGTTTTGGGGTTTACACACCACAGCTCTGTCTACCTTAATCAGAAAGTCAGCTCTTCGACGCCTTCAAGATTCTAGATAAAAATCGTTTATTTCTTTCCCTCAGTTTCCTGACTGGGCTCCTCCAGAGGCTGCCCAGGACAGCTTCTCTGTTCATAAGGCTAAACCACACTCTGGGGTCCTGTGTGAGTAAGGAGACTTCCTTGCCCTGTTCACCCACCCCCTGGGGGGCAGTATTGAATCTTGTTGAAGCTGAGTCTCTGGGCCTGAAAACAGACTCAGAAATGTTCCTAAGTTAGACTCAGAGGAAATCCAAAACCCTGACAGATTTTGGTGCATGCCATATATTGATTCTGGGCACTGCCTGGGAGACACTGTGCTTTAGCTGCTGTTTGTCAGTGTTAGAAGCAGTGGAAAATGTGGCTTTAGGATATCCCAATCCCACTGGTCCCTATTCCATAGAAAACATGCAGGTGATTGTCAGAATGCTCTAATGAAAGAATGCCAATGCAGTTAATATACTTCTATTTCCCCTCCCATAGCTCACCCCTTGAACTTGGGAAGCATCTGTAGCAAGTCTTGTTGTCAATGCTCCAGGGCTATTTCTGAGGTCATCAAACCAGGCAATATCTTGCCCCAGCATTGCCCTGAAACCAAATTTACGTAGCCTTTTTGTTAGGAGCTCCCCAGATTTAGCAAAGGCATATCCCTAAAACATGAAGAGGGAGATGTTAGAGAAATTTTAATGAGAAAAAAGGAAAAATAACTAAATCACTTACTGAAAAATAACATTTCTTACCTGTAGAAATTGGGTGAAAAGAGATACACAGCCCATTGCTACAAAAAGTAGGCACACACCATTGATCTGTGACCTTTGTTCCTCTTTATCAGGAATTGAAAAAGTCTTGGAAAGATAGTAAACAAGAAAGTAACTTTATTATAAATAGAAAAATAAATCTATTTACATGTTTAAAATGAATTTTTCTTACCATGTCATTATATATCTGTCCAAATTCATAAAATATACAACACCAAGAGTGAACCCTAATGTAAGCTGTGGATCTGTGATAATGATGTGTCAATGTATGTTCATTAATTGTAGGAAATGTATCATTCTGGTGGGAGATGTTGATAATGGGGGAGGTTATGCGTGTAGGGTGGTAGGGGGTATATGGGAAATCTCTGTACCTTCCTCTAATTTTGCTGTAAACCTAAAAGTGCTCTAAAAAATAAAGTCTTTTAAATAATGGTTCCACTTTAAACATGCTAGTAATTAAACGAAAGTTAGCTAAGAATATGATGACGATGTACTACAGTCCTCTGTGGGGCGGAAAACCTGGTGAATGAAAACCAATGGTGATGACTTACAGAATTTTTGTCTTGTTATTTTGCCTTTTTAGGCAATTGTGTTGGTTTTTCATCAACACAGATGAAAAGGATGATAAAATGATTAAAACATTTAAGTAATAAAACTGAGAAAGAAGGAAGAAAGGAAGGAAGGAAAGGAAGGAGGGACAGAAGAAGGAAGAGAGGACGGAAGGGAAGAAGGAAGAAAGGAAGCAAAGAGGGAGGGAAGGAGAGAGGGAGTTATGAAGGAAAAAGGGAAGGAAGGGAGGGAGGGAGGGAATCGAGATCTGGAAATGTTGTCTGGGACAAAACTCAAAGTTGTATTAATATTTTGACCGATATCTTTCTCTATTACTAAATGAAAGAAAATATGACTTTCACTCAGGTAATTTGCCGGTTAATTAGTTTTATAGACTATACAGCATTAAAAAAGAAACTATCAAAGCATTGACTGGAATTGCCTTAGGAGAGAAAAAAATTTCATTCATCTGATATTGAGGTTGTTGCCTCTAACTCACCAGAAGCTGAAACATTCCCCCACCCCCTAAAAAACTACGGCCATTGTGAGTGGGAGTTTTTAGTGTATAATGCTTAGTAAACTACACTCAAACGTATTCTGAATTTACAGACATCTGTTCAAGTAACTGAGGATCTTGTTACAATAAGAAAAATGAAAGAACATACTCCAATGACATTGCCTTGTGGTGAAATGGATTTTGTGCATAACAGAACCTTTGTAATTTAGGCCAGGTGAGGGAACTGGGAAGGTCAGAAGTATGCATTAGAGAGCTATACAATACATCTTTATTCATTTTCCTGAATTAATTTGAGTCATTAAAACAGTGTCAACAAATAGTTGTTCAAAGGAGACCATTTATTCAAAAATATTTACTAAGTAGCTATTATTTGCCAAATAAATCTCCTTGGAAACAATATGTGCTACTCCATTAACAAATCCTTTTTTTTGTAAAGCAAAAGTAACCCGTTCAAATTATGGCAAATTACAAAGTGAGTAGGAGGGGTTCTAAATTAATGAGATTTTACTGTTTGTAGGATGAAGTTTCTAGGGCCTTCATGGTGCTCAATACTGGTAAAAGTGGGTTCAGAAAGTAGCACAGTAATTCTTCCCAGCATAGCATAACTCGTAAGTTTACAGAGTCTAAAAATTCAAAAATTTAAAGATAAATATTTTTAAAATTACTGTGCAAATACCCTGAAACCCCAAACTGCGATGCCACAATTCCCATTCCTCCTTAAGGTCACCTTTTATAATGATGGTCTATAGAACAGCAGATTTTCCCATTTAACTCTTATAGATGGAAAATAAAGCCCCAAACATCAAGTTGTTTGTTCAAGTTCATTAAGCTAGTGGTTATTACTAGATAAGAAAATGCCTGTTTTTTGGCTTCTGGTGCAGTGGTTTTCTATTGGGTATGCTCTTTTAGCTTTTTGTATTACTTACCTTCTCAGTGTTAAAAAAAGAAAGAGCATTTAGCTAATGTTAAAATTCATACAACTGTCCAATTCAAGGTTGGGCATCTCTCTATCCATAATCTTTTTTCACAAAATTCTGCTCCACGAGTTCTTTGTATATTCTTATTGTTGAAATGCAACTCCAAGGGCTATCCATCCATAGATTCCTCTGTTCCTTTACTAGTTGTAGTTTTGGCACACATCTTTGCTATTTTTGTAATGGTAAGTTTGTTGAAGGAGAAAACTAACATTCATTAACCTTTTGCTATGTGCCACATGTCAAATGCGTAGATTAACCTGCTGTAACTTAAATTAGGAATTATGATTCTCAAAACAACCCAGTGAGGTAGATTTTCTTGCTCCTTATACAGATGAGGAAATTTATCAAGGATAAATCACTCACCTAAATATATACAGATAGTACAGAGTAGAGACCTACTACAAATCCAGAGCTGGCGACTCTCACATCCATTTTTTTTTTTCCCCAGCATGCTACATCCCAAGTGCTGTGCTTGGAACATTGGCACATTTTCCAAGTCAAATGGACACAGGGAAAGTGAAGCAGACAAATTACGCCTTACATGTATATTGAGGCTTAGCTAGATTGGCAACTGGGCTCCTAATAAGGCCCAATCATTTGCTGGGTCCATTCCCACAGTGTGGTCTCAATACAACAAATGTGCATATTGTGCCCTTTAGGTATGTCAGAAGGAAAATAGAGCAACTATAAATAGACTCACAATTATACCCTGTGAGAAGAAAGCATCATGAGTTTACTAATGAACACATGATAATTATGCAAAGAGACAACCTACTCTACCAGAGAGGAAAAATAGTGGTTTGTTCGGCATCATTCTCTTAGCAAATATAACCCTGTGAGAACAAGAACGACGAGTAGACTTTGGATTTCATCACCTAGATGCTGCCTACTCTGGTCCTGCAGCCCTTAAGTCTCTAAGTCCATCTTAAGGTTTCTGGTTGTCACCAGAAGAAACACAGAGAATATTGTCACCACCAATGACCAAGCAGGTGCTCAAGAAGGACAGCAATTATAGTTGAATCTCTTTTTTTTTTTAACTTAGCCATTTCATGGACCACTAGAGCTGGAAGATATCTTAGAGATCATCTTTTAAATCCTGCATTTTGTAGGAAATGGAGACCGGGAGAAGAGGTATGACATGATCCCAGGGCACACAGGATGTGGTAAGTAACTAGAAGAGCCAGTTTCAGAAGAAAGATCTCCTGACAGGAAAGTCAGAACTCTCCACAGCAGCTCATATGCACAGTTTAGGTGGAGATGGGTGAGGATATTCTTTACTCTGCTTTTATAAGAGGTAAAGAAATAATCAGCAAAGAAGCTGACATTTTGGATTTCTTTTAAAAAGCAAACATCCAGGACACAGGCTTGGATTCTTTCTGATCCAACCCTATTCCCTACACCTTCTACACTAACATCATTGCCCAGTGAAATGCACTTCCCCAGCTTCTCCCTACTAGAATGTCAGCTTTGTGCAAGCAACACACAAACACACAATGATTTTCTTGTCCTCCACTCTATGCCCAACATTAGTTACAATGCCTGGAAAACTATAGGTGGTAAATATCTGTTGAATGATGAGTGGGTTTTTTTTTGTTGATGTTATCTTCCTCACAGACTGAAAACTCCACTAGGGAAAGCATCATAACCGATATGCATTCCCCAGTCCACAGCACCATGTCTGGGGAAGACAATCAATACAGATCTGTCGAGGGAATAAAAGATGATTCATTTTATATTTGGATATTGTACCTACTAGGAAATCAAGAAATATAAATTATTTCAAAGATTTTCAGCATAAAAGTTTATGGCACCATATAACTAGAAATTCAGTTAATCAAAGTTGAGTGTTTCCGATTCTCTACCTTTCTGAAATTAATGTGATTTCTTCACTTACCACAAGGGGGCAATGCGAAAACTACAGTGGTGGCTGGGGCCCTCCTTACACGATGGACTTGATTTTGTTTGTGGATTATCCAGGTTTTTCTGTACAACTCATGCTTGTGGGGTCATTTTTACGGTCAGGAGAGGTGATGTGAGAGAAAGAAATGGAGTAGGGAACTAAAATGTAAGCTTTTATCATTTAATAAGCTCTGACAATGTGATATGTTGGCAAATTCTATAGACTAGGATTCGGTAAACCTGGGCCCTAGTCCTGGCCCCATCACCTTGTACAAGTTGACAGTTCTAGGTTTCCTTCCTTGTGGACCTCAAAGGATTTATGTGTATATATGTGTGTGTGAATTTCAGCCAAGAAAACATGATCACATTTTTTTAAACTGCTTTTTTAAAATTAACTTTTTAAAATTTTTGTATATTTAGGGGGTACAAGCACAGATTTCTTACATGCATATTGAAGTCTGGGCTTTTAGTGCACCCATCACCTGAATAGTGAACATTGTACCCAATAGGCAATTTTTCAACCTTCATCTCCCTCCCATCCTCCCAACTTTTGGAGTCTTTAGTGTCTATTATTCCACCCTGTATGTCTATGTTTACCCATTGTTTAGCTCTCACTTTTAAGTGAGAACATGTGGCATCTGATTTTTTGTTTCTGAATTTTTTCACTTAGGGTAATGTCCTCCAGTTCTGTCCATGTTGCTGCAAAAGACATGATTTCATCCTTTTTATGGCTGAGTAGTATTCCATGGTATATCGTATTTTCTTTATCCAATCCTCTGTTGATAAAAATTTAGATTGATTCTGTGTCTTTGCTATTGTGAATAGTGTGACAATAAACATATGAGTGCAGGTATCTTTTTGACATAATGACTTCTTTCCCTTTGTATATGCCCATATGATGGCTAATACTGAGTGACAACTTGATTGAAGAATACAAAGTATTGATCCCCTGGGTGAGTCTGTGAGGGTGTCGACAAAGGAGATTAACATTTGAATCAGCAGTATGGGGAAGGCAGACCCACCCTTAATCTGGTGGGCACAATTTAATCAGCTCTCAGTGAATATAAAGCAAGAAGAAAAAAATGTAAACGAGCAAGACTGGCCTAGCCTCCCAGCCTACATCTTTCTCTCCTGCTGTATTCTTCCTGCCCTCAAACATCAAACTCAAAGTTCTTCAGTTTTTAGACTCAGACTGGCCTTCCTTGCCCCTCAAGCTTGCAGACAGCCTATTGTGGGACCTTGTGATCATGTGTAAGTTAATACTTAATAAACTCCTATATATATATAAAATGATATATATCCTATTACTCCCATATATATATATACACACACACACACACACACACACACACAAAATAGGATATATATCCTATAAACGCCTATAAATATGTATATATATGTGTATATGTGTGTGTGTATACATATATGGATATATATCCTATTAGTTCTGTCCCTCTAGAGAACGCTGTCCCTAATACAGCCCAGTAGTGGGATTACTGGATGAAATGGTAGTTCCATATTTAGTTCTTTGAGAAATCTCCATTCTGTTTTCCATAAAGGTTGTACTAATTTACATTCTCACCAGCAGTATATAAGCATTCTTTTTTCTCCACATCTTTGCTAACATCTGTTGTTTTTATACTTTTTAAAGATAGCTGTTCTGACTGTTGTAAAATGGTATCTCTTTGTGGTTTTAATTTACATGTCTATGATGATTAGTGATGTTGAGCATTTTTTTAATGTTTGTTGGCTGCTTGTATGTCTTCTTTTGAAAAATATCTGCTCATGTCCTTCACCTACCTTTTAATGAAATTATTTGGTTGTTGCTTGAGTTGAGTTCCCTATAGATTCTGAATATTAGCCCTTTGTTGGATGTAATGTTTGTAAATATTTTCTCCAATTGTGTAAGTTGTTTGTTTACTCTGTTGACTGCTTCTTTTGCTGTGCAAAAGCTTTTTAGCTTAATTTATTCCCATTTGTCTATTTTTGTTTTGGTTGTGTTTGCTTTTGAGGACTTTGAATTAAATTCTTTGCCTAAGCAAATGTCCAGAAGAGTTTTTCCTAGGTTTTCTTCTAGTATTTTTATAGTTTCAGGTCTATGTTTAGGTGTTCTATCTATCTTGTGTTAATTTTGTAAGTGGTGAGAGGTATGGGTCTAATTTCTTTCTTCTGCATACTGCTATCCAATTTTTCCAGCACCTTTTATTGAGTAGGGTGTCACTTCTTCAATGAATATTTTTGTTGACTTTTTCAAAGATAACTTGGTTTTAGGTATGTGGCTTTGTTTCTGGGTTCTCTATTCTGTTCCATTGATCTATGTGTCTATTTGTATACCTTGGTAGAATAATTTAGTCAGCCAAATAATATGATACCTTTAGCTTTGTTCCTTTTGCTTAGGATTGCTTTGGCTATTAGGGCTCTTTTTTTTAGTTCCATGTGAATTTTAAAATTGTTTTTTTCTAATTCTGTGAAAAATGACATTGGTAATTTGATAGTGATTGCATTGAATCAGTGGATTGGTTTGGGAAGTATGGTCATTTTAATGTTATTAATTCTTCCAATCCATGAGCATGGGATGTTTTTCCTTTTGTTTGTGGCATCTATGATTTCTTTTATCAGTGTTTTGTGGTCCTCCTTAGGGAGATCTTTCACCTCTTTGCTTAAATATATTCCTAAGTATTTTTTTTGTAGCTATTGTAAATGGGATTAACTTCATGATTTGGCCCTCAACTAGATCAATATTGGTGTATAGAAACACTATTGATTTCTGTAAATTAATTTTGTATCCTGAAAGTTTACTGAATTCACTTACTAAATTTAAGAGTTTTTGGTGAAGTCTTTAGGGTATTCTATAAATAATATGATTTCATCAGTAAACAGGGATAATTTGGCTTCCTCTTTTCTAATTTGCATGCCTTTTATTTTTTTTCTCTTGCCTGATTGCTCTGGCAAGGACTTCCAGTACTATGTTAAATAAGAGTGGTGAAAATTGGCATCCTTATCTTGTCCCAGTTCTTAGAATTCTTTCAACTTTTCCCCATTAAGTATGATATTTGCTGTTGGTTTGTATGGCTTTTATTATGTCGAAGTATGTTCCTTCTATGCCTAGTTTATTGAGAATATTTATCAAGAAGGGATGATGAATTTTGTTGAATGTTTTTTCTGCATCTATTGAAATGATAATTTTTTCCCTTAATATTGTTTATGTGATATATCATGTTTATTGCTTTGCATATGTTGAACCATCCTTGCATGCCTTGTATAAATCCCACCTGATCATGGTGTGTTATCTTTTTGATGTGCTCTTGGATTCAGTTATTTTGTTAAGGATTTTTACATCTATGTTCATCAGAGATATTGGTCTGTAGTTTTCTGTTTTTGTGATGTCCTAGTCTGGTTTTGGTATCAGGTGATATTGGCCTTGTAGAATGAGTTAGGGAGAATTCCCTCCTCTGATTTCTAAAATAGTTTCAGGAGGATTGGTATTAGCTCTCTGCCTGTTTGGTAGAATTCAGCTATGAATCCTTCTGGTCCTGGGCTTTTATTTTTTTTTGTTAGGAAATTTTTTATTACTGACTCAGTCTTGCTACTCATTATTAGTCTGTTCAGGTTTTCTATTTCTTCCTGATTTAATCTTGGTAGGTTGCACGCTTCCAGGAATTTATCTATTTCCTCTAAGTTTTCCAGTGTAGGTTTTCATAATAGTCTGTGATAATCTTTTGTATTTCTGTGGTATCTGTTATAATATCTTCTTTTTCATTTTTGATTGAGTTTATTTGGATTTTCTCTCTTTTTGATTAGCTAGCAGTTTATCAATTTTATCTTTTCAAAGAAACAATTTTTTGTTTCATTGCTCCTTTGTTTTTTTTTTTTTGTTTGTTTCTATTTTGTATAGTTCTGCTCTGGTCTTTGTTATTTCTTTTCTTTTGCTAACTTTGGGTTTGGTTTGTTCTTTTTCTAGTTTCTTGAAGTGCAATGATAGATTGTTAATTTGTGATCTTTCTACTTTTTTATGTAGGCATTTAATGCTATCAACTTCCCTCTTAGCACTGCTTTTGCTGTATCTCACAGGTTTTGGTATGTTGTGTTTTCATTTTCATTCATTTCAAAAAATTTTCTAATTTCCATCTTAATTTCTTCATTGACCCAGTGATTATTCAAGAGTATGCTGTTTAATTTCCATGTATTTGTATAGTTTCCAAACTTCTTCTTAGTATTGATTTCTAGTTTTATTTCACTGTGGCCTGAGAAGATACTTGATATGGCTTCAGTTTTTAAAAAATTCATTAAGACTTGTTTTGTGGCCTAATATCTGATCTATCTTGCAAAATGTTCCATATCCTGAGGAAAAGACTGTACATTCTGTAGTTGTTGGGTAGAATGTTCTGTAAATGTCTGTTAAGTTTGATATAAAATCCAGTTTATGTCCAATGTTTGTTTGCTGATTTTCTGACATGATGATCTGGCTAGTGTGTGAGTGGCATGTTAAATTCCCCCACTATTATTGCATTGCCCTATCTTTCTTTAGTTTTGCTTATATTTGTTTTGTGAATTTGGGTGCTCTGATGTTGAGTTCATATATATTTAGAATTGTTATAACGTTTTGTTGAATTTATCATTACATAATTATCTTGTCTTTTTTTTTTTTTACTATTTTTGATTTAAAGTGTTTTATCTGATATAAGTGTGGCTACTTTTGCTCAACTTTGGTTTCCATTTGCATGGAATATCTTTTTACGCCCCATTACTCTCAGTCTATATGTGTCTTTATAGGTAAGGTGAGTTTCTTATAGTCAGCATTTAGTTGGATTATTTTTTTAATCCATTCTTCCAATATGTATTTAATAGTGGACATTTAATCCATTTACATTTGTGAAAGGAAAATATGGGCCCCCAAAATCACTAAGCTAAAGAGAAAAGTCAAATCGGGAACTGCTTAGGGCAAACCTGCGTCCCATTCTATTCAAAGTCACCCCTTTGCTCACTGAGATAAAGGGATGCCTGATTGCCTCCTTTGGAGAGGCTAATCAGAAGCTCAAAAGAATGTAACCATTTGTCTCTTATCTACCTATGACCTGGAAGACCCCTCTCTGCTTTGGCTTGTCCTGCCTTTCCAGACCAAACCAATGTTCACCTTACATATGTTGATTGATGTCTCGTGTCTCCCTAAAATGTATACAACCAAACTGTGCTCTGACTGCCTTGGGCACATGTTGTCAGGACTTCCAGAGGCTGTGTCATGGGTGCACATCCTCAACCTTGGCAAAATAAACTTTCTAAATTAACTGGGACCTGTCTCAGATTTTTGGGAGTCACACATTCAAGGTTAATATTGATATGTGAGGCTTTGTTCCTGTCATATTGCTGATTGTTTTCAAGTTATTTTATAAATTGTTTCCCTCTTTTTCTGTTTTTTTTGTCTTTGTAGTTTGATGAAATTCTGTTATGCCATTTTATTTTTTTCTCTTCTTCCTTGTGTGATTATTTTATATGAACTGTGAGTTTTATATTTCAATGTGTTGTTGTGATGGTGAGCAATGACCTTTTGTTTCCATGTTTAAGACCCCTTTGAGCATTTCCTGTAGGTCCAATCTAGTGGTGATAATTTTTCTAAATGTTTCCTTGTCTGGGAAGAACTTTATCTCTCCTTCACTTATGAAGCTTATTCTGGCAGGACACAAAATTCTTGGCTGACAGTTTTTTTTTTCCTTTCAGCACTTTGAAAATGCCATCTCTTTCTCTTCTGGCCTGTAAGGTTTCTGCTGAAAAGTCTGCTATTAGTCTGATGGGGTTTCCTTTATAGATGAGTAGATGCTTTACTCTTGCTAATTTAAAAATTCTTTCTTTTACTTTGACTTTAGACATTCTGAACATAATATATAATGGTGAATTCCTTTTTGTAATGTGTTTGCCTGGGGAATCACTGGACTTCTGAACTGGTTGTCTAACAGTCTTGACAGACTTGGGAGGTTGTTATTGATGATTTTTTAAAATATGTTTTCTAAACCTTTTGATCTCTCTTCCCTTTCAGGATACTGATAATTCATAAGTTCAGTTGCTTTATTTAGTCCATGTTCAGTCCCTTTACTTAGTCCTAGACATCTCAAAGGCTTTGTTCATTCTTTTTATTCTTTTTTCCTTATTTTTGTCTGACTGGATTATTTCAAAAGACATGTGTTCAAGTTCTGAAATTCTTATCTCTGCTTGGTCTAGTATATGATTTAAGCTTTAAAGTGTATGTTGTATTTCCTTCAATGAATTTTTGAGTTCCAGAATTTCTGCTTATTTTTTTAAAATGCTATTTATCTCCTTGGTAAATTTCTCATTCATATCCTGAATTGATTTCTGATTTCTTTGTATTGGTTTTCAGATTTCTCTTGCATTTTACTATCTTTAAAAATCAATATTTTAAATTATTTACCCGGCATTTCAAGAAATTCTTTTTCATTGGTATCTCTATTAAACTGTTCTCACACTGCTATTCCTGACACTGGGTAATTTATGAAGAAAAGAGGTTTAATTGACTCACAGTTCCACATGGCTGAGGAGATCTCAAAAAACTTACAATCACGGTGGAAAGAACAGAGGAAGCAAGCAGATCTTCATATGACCAAAGCAGGAGGAAGAAAGAGTGAAGGGGGAAGCGCTACACACTTTTATCAGATTTTGTGAGAACTTACTCACTATTATGAGAACAGCAAGGGGGAAATCTCCTCCCATGATCTAGTCACCTTCCACCAGTTCCCTTCTTCAACATGTGGGGATTACAGTTTGACACGAGATTTGGGTGGGGACACAGAGCCAAACCATATCATTCCGCCCCTGACCCCTCCAAAAACTCATGTCCTTCTTACATTTCAAAACACAGTCATGCCTTCTCAACAGTCCCCTAAGTCTTAACTCATTTAAGCATTAACTCAAAAGTCTAAGTCCAAAGTCTCATATGAGACAAGGCAAGTCCCTTACAACTATGAGCCTGTAAAATCAAAAATAAGTTTGTTACTTCCCAGATAAAATGGGGGTACAAGCATTGGGTAAATCCTTCTGTTCTAAAAGGGAGAAATTGGCCAAAACAAAGGTGCTCCAGGCCACATGCAGGTCCAAAACCCAGCATGGCAGTCGTTAAATCTTAAAGCTCCAAAATAATCTTTTTTGACACCTTGTCTCACATCCAGGCCACACTGATGCTGAGATTGAGTAATTTATGAAGAAAAAAGGTTTAATTGGTTCACAGTTCCACATGGCTGAGGAGGTCTCAGGAAACTTACAATCATGGCAGAAGGTGAAGGGGAAGCAAGGCATGTCTTCACATGGCCAAACCAGGAGGAAGAGAGAGCGAAAGGGGAAGACTACAAAGTTTTAAACAACCAGATCTCGTGAGAACTCACTCACTATCACAAGAATAGCAAGGGGGAAATCCACCCACCCATGATCCAATTACCTCCCACCAGGTTCTTCCTTCAACATGTGGGGATTACAATTTGGCATGAGATTTGGGTGGGGACACAAAGCCACACCATTATTGGTTGCTGGACACTTGTTGTGGTCCTTTGGTGGTGTCATATTTCCATGCTTTTTCATGTTTCCTATGTTCTTCCATTGATATCTGTATATCTGATGTATCAGTTGCTTGTTCCAATTTTTGAATTTGCTTTTGTAGGGGAGATTTTTAAAAAATACTTTGGCTTTGATTTTGGGTTCATGCAGTAGTGTGATCTTTGTATGATACTACTCTGAGTCTGTTCATGACTCAGTCTCAACAGTAGACCACAACAGCATGGCAGGGATCCTCCCGGGGGTGATGGGATTATCTAGTCTCCCCTCTCTCTCCTTGAAGCAGTGCAGAGGCAGTGCATGTTTGTATATTCCTGGTATCTAGGCCCTCAAAATGATGCCTGACAGAGGCTGCTCCAGGATTGGATGCCTGTGTGATTCTGTGTGGGTTTCCCTTTTGGAGTAACATCTCCGTGGAATCTTTAGGCAGCTCTTCATGTCAGGGAAAAGGCCCTAGTGGGTCAAGGATTTACCCCATAGCCAAGATTGTGAAAGCCCATTTTGGAGCCCTGGATGTTTCTCTCTTACTGTTTGCCCATATCCAAAAGCCTCTTGTGGCTCTCAGGCAGTCCCCAACTGGGTAAGCTGCCTTAGATCCTCTCCTTTCTTATTTCTGGTGCTTCCCATCCCTTGTTTGATGAATCCTAATGTTCTAGCCCAGATAATCTGTTCCAAATGTAAGTATCTACCTACTATTCTGATTCCTCTTCATGGAGAAGGCACATACTACCTGCATCTAGTCAGCTGTCTTTCAGTACTGTTTCCATGATCAAATTTTGATAACTAATCTTGCAATGACAAGATTTTACTAGAACCTGGCTCTACAGTTACACTGGCTGGATTTGAATCCCAACTCCACCACTTGCTAGCCTAAGCTCTCTGTGCCTTGGTTTGCTCCTTTGTAAAATAGAAATAACAAGAATACCTACCTTAGACGGTTGTTAGTAAACTTAAATGAACTATTGTACATAAAATGCTTAGATATTGCCTGATACATGTTCATAGTTATTATGATGATTACAGCAATCAAGTCAGATAGAGAACATAAGAAATTCTAGGAAGTGAAAAATTGGAATAAGCTTAGTTTTCAATCATGCCTTATTTTACTTCTGTCTTTCTTTTTCTGCTTCCTATCCACATTACTATTTCAATAGTGCAATCCGTGGAGAATTATACATCAAACACTAACACCTGCTATATAAGTCAAACTTTGTACCTCTGCTGTTCAGCAAGATCAAAATTTCCCTAAAAGCCTTTTGTATTATTCAGTGAATCCACTTTGCATTTTGATTAGGTTTGATATACATTACTAGAAAAATTGCCCACTTCTAACACAAAATTTTCAGTGACAGTACCATTTTCTTTTTTATAGGTACAATGACTGTCTGAGTGCCCTGCGAGCCCAAATGAGAGTTCTCAGCTTTGCCTTCTTACCCTCTGTGTGATGGAGGCTTAGGAAATTTTTCATTCTTTAGAGATGAGAAAAATGAACTAACAGAAAAGAGCTAAATACATGAAAACAAAGAGCGGACTTATCAAAATAATAAAATAAAAGGTATGAGAAGAAGAAAGCTAGTCCAGCTGTGTACTTACCCCAAGAATCTGGCTGAATAAAAAGGCATACAAGGGTGTGACTGTCCCGTTCACAGCTGCACCCACAGACCCTACCAGCATGTAGGGCCATTCTGGAGCACTGAATTTCAGAATCCTCCTAACTGGGGCAGGTTCAACTTCTTCCTGCACAGGAATGTCCTTGTCCTTGAGCAGAGAGAGGGTTATATTAATCATCTAAATGTACTCAAGACATTTTGCAGCAGATCCTTTGGCATTCACAGATTTAAGAGTCATAGTTTGATTAGTTATGAGTGACCTCAAATGTCTATGGGATATGGTTGTTTGTTATTTTTTGAGGAATCGTTTTGAACAAAACTATTGCTGTGGCTTGAATAAAAACTGAACTGAGGGAATACGCATTTGAAGGTGAGCTTATAGTTCTTATTTCATGATTACATGTGTATTAACTCTCAGAGAGTAATAAATATGTTGGATCTTGGAGAAAAATAACTCCCATTAAAAAAAGAAAACCTTTGCTACGGTTGTATTTATACCGGTGAGGACTGGTGAAATTTTCAATTTTTTAAAATAAATGTCAAGGTTCTATAATATAGTAACTGGCTAAAGCTGTAAGGTAGGCCAGTATATATGAAATAAGACAAAATAATTTTTAAAATACATTAAGTGGTGTCAACAGTTATCATTGAGATGTTTTCAGTAAGGTTTTCCTTAATCAGTACCCAGAGGTAAGTAGTACTGCATTTGGATTTCTAAATTGCACATTTTCATCACACAGAGTGGACATTAATCAGCATTTCTCTTTAGTTGCCATTAAGTCAGAGCTAGCAGTTTTTTATCTTCTCAAAGGCAAATATTATACATGGACCTCCGTTGTCTTTTTTGGCCATCGTTTTTCCTTGCTATGGATACTACTCAAGTTTGGTCTTAAGCGTAATTAATTCATTAATTTGTTAAATTTATTACCCACTTTGAGAAAGGATTTTAGGTAGCTTATATAGATTTGTATTGATTTTTAAAAGCTTTTCTATTGACATTTACCAAAAATATATACAGCAAATCGACTATAAAGCTTAATTAGTGCTCTCTTTCATTAACACAGTAATTTATCTTTTAGGGAGCAGGATGGCAGGGATAGACAACAGCAAGGATCTTCAAAAATTTTCCCTTTGCTTACAAAGTCAAAGACCACATTCATTTTAAATGAAAGTCTGTGTCATGTCCATTTCATTACAGTTGCAAGTCAAATAAAATGAGGGAAGGCAACTTGGACTGGTGATGAATTTGGTACTACCTCCACTTCAAGTTCTCTCTTGGCCTGCTCTCACCATTTGTACTTTGTCATTACTGCTCACTCATGCAGCAGGTCCTTCTGTTCAATTATTTCACCTGTGACAGCTTACTAGCTCTAGGCAACCTATGCCAGAAAGGAATAAGGGTACCTGGGAAAGCATGAGTGTAATAGGCATAGAAAAAATGGAGCTCTTGGAAAAGCCCAACGTGGCCACCCGTAAAGTGTATTACTAAGTGCTCTAGCTCTCTGGACCTCAGTTATTTCATCCTTAAAACGAGAGACTTGGACTAAGTAATTCTGGGGAAACAATCTCTCTGAGTCTCCCATGTTTATGCACATCTTGTGAACAGAGGCATTGATTACCTTCATTCGGGTTATTTTTTCAAGGGTATTTGTATAGCAAACAGTTTTGGAGGACAAAGAAGATGTCTTCATCCCAAGTGAAGTGCAAACCTTACTGCCCCCATCTGCCCATTATGAAAGAGTCAGGCTCCTCAAGCCCAGGTTTCCTCTCGTTTAAAACACCCACTTCATTTGTTGGTATCATCTGGCCCTCTTTGCATTGCCTTGTGGGAACTGGGGGTTGGGTTGGGGAGCCAGTGCAAATGCTGAACACTGGCTACTGCTATTGCTATGAATAATAAAGTCCTTTGTCTCTGGTTCAGGGTACTCGTGTGACAGAGCAAGACTGCATCTCCAAAAAAAAAAAAAAAAAAAAAAAAACCCGAATATGAACACTGTGATTCAGGATGCTCATGTATTCTGCCAGCATCATGAAATTGTGTGAGACTAACTGAATGCTTGCAATAGAGCAAAATATTTCACCCCTTCTCTGTTCTAGAGAGTGGTTGGTATCCAGATCTGGATGCTCTCAGATTCATGTGGGTTGATGATTAAAAAACCAGATTCCTGTATCCTGTCACGAGAATTCCAATTTAGTAGGCCTAACTGTGAATCTCTGTCTTAAAAAATACTCATCAGGTAATTCTGGTAACCAAAGTTCAGTATGTGAGAACTCCAAGGCTCCTCTCACCACTAAATGGCTAGGATTCTATAATGTATGTTTTAGATGTGTCAGCTGTGCTGTACGTACCATCAAAGGGTAGGCTTTGGAACTTGTGAAGACTATTAGCACTCACTAAATTCTGCCAGCTTCCTTGTGACATTAAATACCAGCATTTTCTGGAACGATTGCCCCACAGGATGGTCCACCCACAGCCTGACATGATAGAAATTTTCCCAACCTTCTGATACCTGAAGTTATCCTTAACTCTAAACAACAACACTTAGGACATTTCAAAGCGATACAAAGTAATTCTTGTCTAGTGGTTTTCATTCCAAGAGACACTAACAAGAAATACGAATTAATTAAAATAATTTTCTTTGGTTCCTCTATACTAAAAGTTTGACTTTAAAGTTTGACCCCCCCGAAAAAATGCAACTGTCCAGCTTGAATGATGCAAAAACTAGAAAATCTGTCCCTAAATATTGGACTTTTTATTGCATTTTATTTGATATCTCCACTAAAAGAACAGGAGAGGAATAAAAGAAAACAATACAAAAAATAATTAAAGTCATTCTGTAAAGAAATATTTTTCTCTCTGATTTTGCAAAATTAAACATAAAGAGAAGATTATAAATTAACAACAAATCTCACAGACAGGTAAAATTATAAAATTTATATGTGTTTCCTTGTACTTCTATTGTAGCACTGGCAGGTTGCACAGCACTTTTAAAAAAAATCATATGTAAAGAAATGCCTGTCAGCAGCTCCATAGTAGGGAGAGTAACAATAGCTCTTGTTCATTTTTGCATCCCCAGTGTGATACCTGGCACTTCACAGTGTACAATCGATGTTTATGGGATAAAAGAATGAATGAAACTTTTATGTCCATGCTGCATACATGCAACAAGAGATTTATTTAAAATTGCTCATCTACTATGATGCATTCATAGTTCAATGCTAGACACTGGGCTTTTCTGTTTCCTTTCTTACATCTTCTGTGTAGGCCAGAGGAAAAATAACCTCCGACTTAAATCTTAGGTCTTGCTTTCTATACTTTGTTACACTAATTTCTGCCTTCCATTCAGTAGAGGTTCCCTGCCCTAATAATAACTTTAAGATTTGATGATAAAAAGTGGTAACTATGACAAAGGAGCAGAGATTTTTCAAATGAACTAATACTGATAGCCATTTTTATGGGTCCCATCTCTGTCTTATCTTAACCAATGCCTAAATCCTATCACATAAGTTATCTGTGATGCAGTTATGGGTGTCTAATATTTGATCCTGACTTGATCTCATACATGTTCTGCCTTGTGTTTTAGTTTCACCAAAAGAGATTGCCTAAATATTAGAGACTAAAACCTTTAGCCTGTGGGTTTCCCTAATCCTAAACTTAATGTTGTCAACATTGTAACTAACATCTGACCCCGTTTACAGGAGCTAAGAGTACTGCTTGGAGAGCAAGGATAAATGGGTATAGTCTCATCTCTGTCACCAACTAACCATGAGACCTTGGGTGAAAGCACAGACTTCTCAGGAAATGGTTCTAAGTTTTAGAGTCAATACTCCACAAGACCACAAGGTGGCGATAACTCCTTTGTGTGAATCGACCTTTAGCACCGTAAGAGAGTATTTCCCAATCTACAGAAAGTAAGGTTAGGCCTTTTCCATCAACATGAGAAAAAGAAAGGATTTCACCAATGCTTGGGCTTGTGGAATTTAGTTAAGTATTAAAATACTTTAAAATACCAAAACAGAGCAACATTTTACCATATAATGTTACTTGAGATTAGAAATTTCATAAGTCAAATTTTATTAACCCTTTTCCATTATTTTCTTTTCAAAAATCATTAATTTTTTAAACCTAAAGGACTAACAAAATTATCGTACAAACCAGTGGTATTATTATGAGACCTTTTCCCCTTGGAGCTTTAGTATAATCACATTGGCTCTCCTATCATTTTTTCTCTCTTCTTCCTTTCTATCTCCCTTAACTAGAGAGAACGTAAAGTCACATCTTTTAAAACGTATGCTGGCCTACATATAACTGAGTTTAATTGTTCTATTCTAAATGTATAATGCTGACTAGTAGAACATAATATGAAACATTTTAATCTCTGTAAAACTAGACCGTATATTAGATTTAGATTTCCTTTTAGTTAAATGGTTCCCTCCTGAATTGTTCCTGCATCAAGAGAACTCTATGGGAATCTGATCTCCAGATGTCCAGGGAATCTGATGGTCCCCTACACCTACGCTAGGTCCTCTACCAGCTTGAACAACAACAATGAAAAAGTCAGATTTTCCTTCCCTCCCTCCCTTCTTTCCATCCTTTCTTACTTTTACTTTTATTGTCAAATATCTACCCAGAAACTAGAAAAAATTAAAATGCAAAAATTAAATATGATTGGTATTGTTATGGTTCAATAGAAATGTCAATGTAGTGTTTGGTTCTTTCTCCCCTGAAGCTCTATTAAACTCCTGCTCTTATATAATACATCTTATAGTTATCTGGGACAGCACCATGGACTCAATGAAATAGCTATTTCTAGAACTAGAAGAGAGGTTGAGTCTTTAGTGGCAGGATGCAGTAAGAAACTATGCTTGCTAAATGTGTTTTCTCTCACTGTGATTCATCCTGCTGCTCCTGAGAAAAAGTCTTCCATGGAATTTATTTAAAGCCTGTGTTAGAAATTGAGACCTCTGTTTATTCAGTATTAATACATTAAAAACAAAAGAGAACCCAATCACTCCCTTGTCATTTTCATACGGTCATAAAGAGTACTCTACTTTATTCCAAATTTGTCCATTATGAATCAATGTTTGTAATTACTGCCTAGTGGATTCACGTGTTGGAATTTTATTTAAGACAATTTGAAATTATATCATGCATAATGGATGTGCTTGTAATTTAAAAATTCTCTGACTTATTTGCTTTGATAAATCTTGCAGTTGGGGTTTTATTTTATTGTAGAAATTCATGTTTTCATTCTAATTTTTAAAATCTCCTGATGCCTTACTAAGTGCAAGGCACTGGGTTAGGTAACCAAGTTGATTCAAACACAAATAAGGTGTATCACTAACTTTCAGAGGCTTATAATTTAGAAAGGGGATAAGTCAACATGACTTTGATTAAGGCTCAATAAGAAAATTGCCATGAAAATTTTCTAACGAAGGGTGGTAGGGGAATGAACGTAAAAGTATCAGGGCTGACATGTAACGTGCAGTAATGAGGAAAGGCTTGGAGGAGAATGGGTGGTCTGTTTATGTGAAAATTAGACAATGTCTACAACAGCAGGACACCTGCATCCTTAGGAAGAAATTGTGTATTGCTATACATGTTGTTTGCTTTCCTAGCTCTTTAATTTTATGCTACCTTGAATTATGTTAAAATTGATAGTATTATTTTAAATGTATCTTAAAACCATTATAAAAATTGTATGAAATCAACAAATGTCTGTGAAACCTAATTGGCCTCCATTAATTCAAATATTTTGATAACTTGTAATAAGGGCTAGCCTATTCAAACACTTTTGTTGATCAAGGTATTTTTGCCAAAATTATTGTAATTTAAGAAAGAAATTTTAAAATTTGAGAAAAAAGCTTTCAGGTATTCTTAACAACTTTTATAAAAGGATTTCTACATATGAGCAAATAATCTGCTAAATATCTAGAATTCACACATTCTGTGTTTGTTAGAATAGTTTGTCTAAGACAATTAACCCTCCGAAGTCCAGTTTTCATTACCTTGTATTCTTAAAAATAATCAATTAACTAATCTGCATTAAAAATATTGTGTAAAACTTAGAGTTTTCATTAGGTCTTAATGCTCTGTCTTTTAGTCTGACTTGAAACACTGCTAGATATATACCTAGAAAACTCATATTCTCAGGCTTAAAGGGTACCCAACAGTCCCCAGGAGAGACTTCTTCCATTCCCCCCCATAAGCAGTTGGTGCCTGACCTTTCTATCTTCTTCATAGGTAGACTTATGATCTACAACAGCTAATGGAGGTTCGTGCACCAGGTAAGAAAGCTGAGACTTGGAGCGTTGCCGGATGGAAGCCCTGTAAATAAACAGAAAGATGAAACAGTGTAGACTGTGGCCAGATTGGAGCAGGATCAACTGGTGTCCAAGTTTACATTTCATATGTCAAATAAATAGAAATGTTTGGTAGGTCACATGGTAACCAGGAAAGGGAGCTTGCAGGTTAGGTTTGACAGAGCTAATCTTAGGGCAGAGCTAATCAGGTTGATTGCTCTGGGCCCTAAACTCTTGCAAGTGTTGGACCCAGATTCAGAGTGTAGTCAGGGAGGGAGAAAGAGAAAGGGAGCAAAGCTGTCCTACCAGTTCATCAAAAAACCACCTAAGGCTCAAATACTTTCCAAACCCACATGGTTCTGCTAATTGCTGCCTTGGCAACAGTCTATTTCCTTTACTTTCCTTCTGGCTTAGATTGTGGTCTTGATATCTTTCTCTCATACCTGATGTGTTCACTTTAGCATGGTTACAAATGATATGAGGAAATAGGGCCTCTGATGAGATTTTCTCCAGGCTATATACTACCCTGCATTCAGACATGCATGAATGAGTATCTTGTTGAAATATAATTTAGCTCAATGTGTTCATTCATTTATTCATTAATTCAACAGAAGCTTATTGGGCATCTACAACTTACAAACCAATGCCAGGTGATGTTGGGGACACAAAGACTAGCCAATAACAGATTTCTCCTTCAAAAAATTTAAACCTTATAGAAGAGGCCTGTACCACACCCTAAGGTAAAGAAGAATGTGGTAAGTGCTATTAGGCAGGTTTGAATAAAGAGTATGGAAAGTCAAAGGAAAAAGAAATGTATGGCAGGTGTTACCAAGGCAAGATTCATGGATGAGATGGCTAAGGTAGGATATGGGGATTTGTAGACTATAGAAAAGAGCATTTCTGACTGAGAGAATGTATAAACATAAGCATGGAGACAGGGGAGGACAGGGTTGCTTGCTGAATATACTGAGTACATGACAAGCATGGGAAGTGATTGGTTCAGACTCCACCCTCCTCTTCCCTCCCCCAGACTCCTGGGAAGGAGGCCCCCATTCTCCTCTAGGTTAATCTTAAAGTATTTAGTGCTGGGAGCTGTTGACAATTATGTTGAGACCTTCAAAAAAAGAAGCTTTCTGAAAAATGAAGCCAACAGTGAAATAGTAGAGCTGAGAAAGGAAGAGAGAGAAACTATTTTCTAGCTTGGACATATCACTGAAGCTCTAGCCTTGCCTGAAGCCAAAGCATCTTTGGAATATTTAGTTATATGAGCTGATTCTGTCTCTCTAAAGGTAAATCCAAGTTGGGTTAGGTTTTCAGTCATTTGTAAACAGTCTTAATGGTTAAGAGGCAATGCTGAAGACTGTGTTTTAGAAAGAATCACCTGAAGTAAATGGTGTAAAGAGAGAGATGTGAGTGATGAGGAGACCTGCATCAACTGTTTTAGTGCCATCTAGATGAATCCATTCACATATCTTTCTCTACCATTTTGCATCCAAGTGAAATTTCACCAAAACAAATATCAAGGTGGTGCCTGCCTACTATATGCTCATCTAGCCTTCCAGAGAAGGCAGTAATGTATCAACTGAGTTGCTCCAATTTGTTCCCATTTTCTGTTAATGGCACTTCCATCCTCTTAGTCACCCAGGTTCAACACCATGCAGTTTCCTCAAGCCCTCCCTCTTCCTTGCTCTTGCACATTCAGACTCTTGCCAAGACTCATTATGACCAGGCATTAAACCACTCCTCAACGCTACTCCCTGCCACCAAACTTCTGGGACACCTCCAGAGACTCCCTCCCACCTAGCCTGAAACTACACAGCAATGAAGTCATTTCTCCCAGTTAGGTAACAGAGGTCAGGATGTCTTCTCCAGAAGGTGTGCAGAATAGGCTTGTGTCAGCTGGTGAGAACAAGGTGCTTGATAGGAGGAGACTTAAGGTCAAGGACCTAAAAAGCAAATGCAGAGCAATGGATGCCAAGGTAGGAGTTTGTGGAGCAGGAGAGGCCATCAACATATGACTGACTACCTTCCAGTTCTGAGTATGGGAAGACCTATGTCCTTGGCCCCTTGGATATCTACTTTATATTTTTTAAGTCTCTCTCTTTCACCATTCTCCAGATCATTCGAGCTGTCTAGCCTAGGCTGTCATGAGGCCATGGGCAGTGCATGTGCTAGGCAGGTTTACCTCTCTCATCCACTAGAAACACCATCCCTTTTCAGAAACTGACAACATCTGTCTCTCCCCTTCTCTGAAGCTGTGTACCACTTCTCACTGCAAATAAAAACAACTAACTTGGGGGACTAAATACTATCTTTCTCAACATTATTATTTAGGAAATTTGTGGCTGTTATGTATTAAATTGTTCTTGAATTTAAAATATATTGCTGAAAAGGAACTTAGCCATCAGAAAAACTGAAACCAAAGAAACAAGATACATATTAACACTTCATTTAGTCATCTTTTAACGACAACAAGAAAAATCCGTCAGCATGTACAATGAGATATTTTAACAGACTTTCATACTCAAATGTACAAATCTTTCTCTGCAGGAGGTTAATAGCTACTTTCTGTGTGTAGATCGTATTTCTGGATTTCTCATCCTAATCACCAAAATGTAACATTTGTGAGAAATTATAGCCAAATTAATGTTCACATTAAAATGGTTAACTAGTTCTAATAATAAACTGCAAATAAACTACTTAACATGAGTAGAATTTTGTTTGTCTGAAGAGTTAAGAAAATATTTATTTTCTTGTTGGCCTGATCATAAGAAACATGTCCACTTTGCAACCTTTAACCTAGTGACCAAAAGAGATGCCTAGTCATTCTCTGGGTTTAAGAAGTTAGTTGATATTTTCAGGTTGTGATTCTAATGACTTGAATGATTTAAATTTAGTATCGAATCAGAAAAGCATGACTAAACTTACTACCAGGTGCCTATAACATTGTTTTATACCTTTTACATGACAGAGTAATGTGAAGCTATTGCTTTGTTATTTGCCAAATTCAGTAAATTCAGTCAAACTAGCATTTCTTAAAATTTGTTTGAATAAACTTGTTCTCAAGAAGAAAGATAGGAAAACCCAAGTCTGAAAATTCAAACTGATAAGGAAAAGATATACTAGGGCCTGAAGTATTTATCTACATCTGAAAATAAATACACTACTTTTTGTGAGCTATTCTTTGAATATTTAAATGAATAAATCTGCGTTTGAACTACTTGGAATTGTTAGCTGAATGTTTTAAGGCTCTTTAACAACTTTTCAATAAATAATTATCCATCTTGAATGAGCAAGTCTTATCTCTGCGACTTTGCACAGCCTTGCATTAAATGTCCTAGAAATGGAAATGGCAATCATAGAGATATTGCTACCATCTCATTGCCTTTTAAAAATCTTCTGACTTAAGAAAAAAAAATCTTGAATAACAGTTATAAATATAGACAAACACTCCTGGGCAGAATTCTTCTTAATACAGACTTGTAACATCAGAGGAGCAGTTTTATTGAAACTCTTAAACCAGGATGAAAGACTAAAGTGTGTAGTCTCACTAATAGCATACTCCAAAAATATATTTTGAAAGTAAACAGCTTTATATTGATCCAGGGAAAAATAAATAGCTCTTATTTAGGAAAATTATTTTTAAGTGCTAAAAAATTACATTTCTTACTTCATCTAGTTATGGAATGATTTGACTTCAGATGGGTTACTCTGGGAGCAGAAGTGTTTGTAATTCAGTTGCAGCTCAGTAGATTAAAGAGTGGAGCTAAAGGCATGAATTTGACCTTCACGTAAGACAGTGTTTCATACCACAGTTAGCTTGGAGCAGAGGAACACTAAACACAGATTTTTTTTAAAAGAAGTCCCCTTTCTAAGCTCAATACACAACAATTTTAACCATAAAGCATCTCCATTGTAACCCTTATCCCCAAGAAGATGAGAAGCTAACCAAAAACCCATGAATTGGGGAGAGAAATGTCAATATAGCAACCAAGGATCACTTGCATGTTCATATTTGACAAGACCTGGCAGTCTACTCAGAGTTTCCTTGTTGTACCTGAGATATTCTCTGAGGATTAGGACTACAGAGGACTCCTCAGAATATTTGGAAAGCTTGTAATCTGCCCCATGGCTTGAGCTTACCTTAAACTATCCTGGTAGCTCCCTCTGCTAAAGGTCCTCGCAAGCATGTCATCTTCAGTTGCATCTACTCAACACAGCATGAGCAATTTTTTAGTATATACAATAAACAGAACCATATCCAAGTAGAATTCTTTACTATGTTTGCTTAGAATATAATTACTATGTCAAATGCCAAAACATTCTGTTAACTTTATTGCAATAAATAAAACTCGGGACTTGTCCTGCAGATTCTAATAAAAAATTTCAAAATACTCAGCAAGACTGAGTCATTTAAACCATACAATAGCTTGTTACCTCTACAGAAACAGGTATTTTTTTTTAGCATAAATCATAAAAAGTTTAAGAGAAGTCCATCAGAAGTAGCAAAAAAAAAATGATAGAAACACTAAACTTTTCAAAAGTCTATTCAGAATAACCCTCCTATGTTAAATGTATATAGTAGTTACACCTAATGGAGTGAAATGGTGGAGAAAGTTTAGAGTGGTTGGTTAATTTAGATTGAGGTAACCACCAAGTCTGAAAATTCAGACTGATAAAAAAGAAGGTGCACTAGAACCTGAAGTATCTATCTACATTTGAAAATAAGTATTATACTTTCTTGTCATTGATTAATTCACTCAGCCAATAAGCATGAAGCTTCTACTGCGTGCGGAACACACTCTAGGAAGCCTCTTCTATTTGCGCAGGGTTAAAAAAAAAAAAAAAGGGGGGGATGGAATTGAAAGTTAGAAGCCTTGGTTTTAGTGCTGTAACTTGATCAGATAGCTTAGCTTCCTGAGCTTCAGTTGTTTCCTTTACCATCTATATAACGCCTGCCAGAGTTGTTGGGAGAACAGTGAGTATTGAAATACATAGAAAACCGTAAAGCACTATAGACATTAACTATTTAATATAACATACAAGTATAGGGAAAAAGCACTTGCCCTTTATGTCCTCTTCATTAAGAGCTTGATTTCCCTGGCTTTGCAAAGTCACTAGAGTGAAGTAAACACCTTTCCTTTCCAGTAATTCTTCATGGGTCCCTCTTTCCACTGCAGTGCCATGTTCAAAACCAATGATGGTATCTGCAGCTCTGACCGTAGACAAGCGATGAGCAACTGAAATGATTGTGTGCCCATGCTGAATCTGTAAGAATGTACAGTGCACCATTAAACAAAACTGTGAGACAGAGCTGACACTGACCTTTGCATCATTTCAGAATCCATAGGAAAGTTAGATCCTTGGTCCCTGGGAATATTCTTAAATAGGCTGTGCAGACATTAGAAAAGGCCAGCACATTTTCTTGCAGCCATAAACCCCAACACACACTGGCCCTGTTGCTGCCATTAATCAACAGCTAAAAACAATTTTTTAGGTAACTTAAAAAATATCATAAGCTAGTCTTAACAAGATTTAAACTTTTACATGTGTAGCTTTTGGAAACAAATTACAACTTTCTTCTGTTCAACTGTGAGGAAGATTGTAGTCAGCTAATATTTTCTAAACAATCAGACTAGATGCATGAACCCATGTAGTATCAACTACTCCCATCCCTCCCACCCCACAAGGAGCTGCCTTTCCTGCAGCAGCACAAGCATTTCCACATGGACCTGTAAAATGGACTAAGACTTCCACAAACCTTACTCAGCACTTCTTGCACCATGGCTTCACTCTCATTGTCCAGAGCTGAGGTGGCCATGTCCAAAAGCAGAATCTTGGGATTTCGGATGAGGGCTCTGGCGATAGCTACCCTTTGTTTCTGGCCACCACTCATCTGGCCTCCTCCTTCTCCAACAAGGGTGTCAAATTGCTAGATGGAAGGTGACACCAGTCATGAAGGGAAAAGAATTTGATGGCTTCTGACAGTGATCCACTATAATGTCCTTTCTGTCATAGTTTTCTTCTCAAGCACGAATTTTCACTGCTCCGACTTCCACTGAAAGAAATATCCCTTCCCCAGACGGGTTATTGTCTAATCAATATTTATGTGTGAAATAAAGGAATTGATTTATGCTTTTATTCCAGGGTTTACTGGGCTGTGTAAATATTCCTCTTTAGCTCAACTTCAAATAAGATTTTTCAACCAAAATAAAAATTGGTCACGGTCCTAAATATCTATCTCAGAGGATTAAAGCACAGAGCAAATCCGTGTCTCTTTGCTCCTGTTAGACAACACAGCAAAATATAATGCAAAGGCTGTTTTTACATTATGAATAAAAGGTCAAACTAGCTTTATAAGGATTATCATTGACAAAAGATGGTTACTGATTATCTCACAGGCCTAGCACAACATTGGAATCTAATAATTAGGTGTTAGTGGTCAGACACTTATCTTGCTTATTACTAACCAACATGAATTGAGCCCCTACTATGAATAAAGCATGGTTCTGAGCTTTTTACACATAACATCTCTTTTAGTTCTCATAGATACCTTATGAGGCAAGTGCTGCTATTTGCAACTGATGAATAAGGAAACACTGGGCCCAAAGTAACTTGAGAAAGTTTGTAAAGCTTGTAAATAGAGAAGCTGGGATTTGTATCAAGGCAATCTGATTCTAAAGCTTTATACTCTTTAACTACTAGGCTATATCATAGCCACAGCTGCAATCCTATTCATAAAGAGAATTTAGAAGGCTGAAAGGGAAGTGTTCAAGATCACTGACTCTTCTGAAGGCAGATCACCTCAGTATGAACCTTGTCTTTACCATTTACTTGTTGTATAATCTTGAGCAAGCTATTTGACCTCTCAGAACCTCAGTTTTCTATCTTTAGATGGAGCTAATAATATTAGTTGCTCAACAGGGTTGTTGTGAGGGTTTAATGAGTTAATAGGTGTGAAGTGCTTAGAACAGTGCCTGGTATGTAGTAAGAACCGTATACGTGTTAACCCTTTATAATAACTCTTCTTTGACTTAGCAGGCCATCGGTGGCAAAATCCATTGAAGTATAATGCTGAGGAGTTGGTTTTTGTAGTTGTTGTTGCTTAGAATGGAGATATACAATGAATTGTTTTTGACACAATATTAGCTGCCTAAGCACAAGAAAATTATGAGTAGCTGTCATGAGATTATTGTGCAAGTTATTGCCACATGACATTTAGCATCTGCTTAGACAAATGCTTAATAAAAGGAATAAGGACATTGGATCTATGTCAAAGGAGTTTTAAAAAAGATAGTTCCCCAGTTTGGTAGATGTTTAATATATTACCAACAAAGTGAGCTTTTCAAAAGAAAACCTCCTTTTTTGATAGATTTGAACACATAAACAATGTGTTTTCAGATGAAAGGAAACACTCATGGTACTTTTTCAGGCATGAAACTAAAACATGGCTTAAGAATTTAATGACTTGGGAATCATACGAGAAGAAATGTGTATAATTGTGCAACTTTTTTTCCTTCTATGACCTCTTAGTTTCTCCCAGGAATGTATGGCTAGGGGTACCTGTGGCAGGTCCATGATGAAGTTGTAGGCATTGGCCTCCTTGGCAGCTTGGACTATGTCTTCCATTGTTGCATCTTCTCTGCCATAGCGAATATTTTCTGCAATGGTGGTAGAGAACAGAACTGGCTCTTGCTCCACTATCCCAATCTGATCTCTAAGCCACTGAATGTTAAGAGAGCGAATGTCATGGCCATCCACGGTCACCTAGAGAGCATGGGCACAACATCACAACTTTTGGAATCTTTCAGGGTTCTGAATCATAATATTATGTCATACTTGACCAATGGGCAGAAAAAATAGAGGCCAATAAGATTCTAATGGAAACAATTCCTCTTGAAATGTGGTTCTTTATATAAGGATGATAACATGTAATTGAAATCAAGTATAGCTGCAGAACAATTCATTGTGGAAACATAAATGATGTAAATAAAGTTCACTTAATTTAACACCATTGGCCCAGGAATGGACAAATTTTTGATTCCAGTAAAGAGTAGAGACAGTTATTCACTACGTTTTAAATATTTTTATATCTTTTGACTTTTGACAAAAATGGACTCAAAAGATATAATAAAAATAAACAATGATCCCTATCTTGTATATATGATTTATAGTAAGTCTTACTTTCTGGCCAGATTCATCAAATAACACTTTGCTGTTAAAAAGCAAGTGAAACTATCAGTGGGAGCAAATAAAAATCACTATTAGTAAAAATGTAAAAATCTTACATCAAGAAACTATGATTTCTATATATTCAGAGTGCAGTTATGGTGGTAGGTAGTAAAGAATACCCAATCAGAGATGAGATGTCTGTGAAAAAGGAAAACTCTGTTATGTTTGCCATGCCTGTGTAATACTATATGCATGATAGAGAACTCATTTTGTTGAAGCCATTAAATAGTTAAACGATTCCATCTCAAGGCATCAAGGAGATGCTGACAAGAATAATTTTGAGACAGAGTGAAAAGAGCATGGGCTTTGGAACCCAACACACCTGGATTCAATCCTGACTTGGTCATTTACCTGATGAATGACCCTAGACAAGTTTCCATCTCTCTGACTCTCTGCTTCCTTGTTTGTCAAATGGGCCTATGTACCTTTGGGGGTCATTGTGACAATAAGTAATCATTTTAATAAAGTATCTGACACATAATATGTGATAAATAAATGGCAATTACTAATACTCATTTTTCTTAGTTTCTTAGGACTGCTCTCTCTTAATTTCAAGCCCTGTTATTATTCCTATATTTAGTGTCTGGAGAACTTAAGGACACAATAATATTTTCGTTATAATACAAAGAAAAAAGTGGAATAGACAGTTCACTGAAGAGGCAGCAATAGCATTTTAAATGTACAGTTATGCATAGCTAAGCGACGGGGATACGTTCTGAGAAATGTGTCCTTAGGTGGTTTCATCACTGGCAAACATCACAGTGTAGTTACACAAATTTAGATGGTATATATATATTTCCAAATGTCCTAGCACCATTACTAAATATCAATCATTTCTCTTAACTTGATCTGCAATGCCAACATCAAGTGACATATATCAGATTTCTATACATGTTCCATTATAATCTTATGGAACCACCATCATATATGAAATCAATCACTGACTGAAATGTTGCTATGCCACATCTGACTGTATCTGCACATTCAGTTACATTATACAGTGAATGGAATTGACTGGTTATTCACTGAACACTGTTACCATGTAGGAAGCGTGTCCCATCAATTCAGTAACAAATCATTAAGTTAACTATGCATGCCAGGACAGTCTCAATGTATGCTACACCTTTCTGTTTGATCAATATACTGCCATTTGCACTTTACTGTCCCCATGTATTGAGGAGTTTCTGGAAGACACCCACCATTCCTTCACAGGGGTCATAGAATCGCTGAATGAGTTGCAGTGCTGTACTTTTTCCAGCTCCACTGGGTCCTACCAGAGCTGTCATTTCCCCTGGTTTAATGACCATGTTGAGGTCATTTAGAATCTGGAGAAGAAAGAAAACAGCAAAGTTCAGATTGTCACTGTTTACCAAATCAAACAATTAGGCTACAGGTGCAGATGCTTTGTGTTGATACTCGGTGTCTGTGTGTGCGTTTATGTATGCCCCCAAAGCAACGTCCACTGAAATCCATCAAAAACCAGTAAAAGGAAACATTGGCAAGGATGAGGTTTTGGCATTTAGCACATTACTTAATTATTTAACTGAGAGCCATGACCAAGAAGTAAAATGATGCACATTAACACAGGTGAAGTAAATAAGACATGTTAACTTTTAAAATTATGTCCCAAAATCTGATTTAAAATACTCCTGACATACTAGGATAAGGAGACTATGCCAATTAGTTAAAGAAAAAAAATCCATTAAGTTAGAAATATAGTACTAATTTACTGATCATGGATTAACAGTAAGGAAATTTGCGGATTTTAAGCCGTCCGTCATGTGTATGGTGTATGAACATACCATTTGAATAAACTTACTTAATAAATATACACGGTGTGTTTGCTACGTAGAGGCTGAATGCTGGCTAGTAGGTCTTGCGAGGAAAGAATGAGAAGCTAATTCATAACTATCTGTCAATATTTTCACCAATTAAGAGGTGATTTTTGTACTGATTATGGAAAATGTGGTTTGGGGTCCTCTGTGTCACAAAACCTCACGCCTTTCATTTCACACTAGGAGTCAAACTTGCAAATACATTTTCACTTACTGGCCTGTATTGGACTGTAAGCTCCCAGAGCAAGCAGGCATCAAATGTGCTTTTTTATCATTATAGCACCAGTACAATGTGGCACACAGAGGGTTAAAAACATACTCGTACTATGAATAAATACATATAGGTTTAAGTAAGAAGATTTTATTTCACTATTAAAAGTAATGGCAAAAACCTCAATTACTCTCCACCATTGTAATATAAGTTTTAGCTATCCATTCAAAAATATTTACTGAGTGTGTATTACTTTGTAATTCATAGCTTACAAAGCACCTTTACATATGTTATAACATTTGATGTTTAGGTACATATGTAATAGATAATAAAAATATACTTTATGTAATCAGAATATATATTTACTTATGTTTTATATATTTATGTATATAATGAAGGTAAATAGAGATATACACTTATATTTGTACATTTGTTATATATATTTATAGATATATTTACCTACATACTGATAATGTAGGTATGTATATATAGATATAAAATATAGATAAATATATAAATATTTTTATATTTAAATATTTATAGATAAATGTATAAACAAATATTTTTATATTTAAATATTTATAGATAAATATATAATAAATATTTTTATATTTATTTATAGATAAATATATAATAAATATTTTTATATTTAAATATTTATAGATAAATATATAAATATTTAAATATTTTTATATTTAAATATTTATAGATAAATATATGAATATTTAAATATTTTTATATTTAAATATTTATAGATAAATATATAAATATATAAATATTTTTATATTTATAGATAAATATATAAATATATAAATATTTTTATATTTATAGATAAATATATAAATATATAAATATTTTTATATTTATAGATAAATATATAAATATATAAATATTTTTATATTTATAGATAAATATATAAATATATAAATATTTTTATATTTATAGATAAATATATAAATATTTTTATATTTATAGATAAATATATAAATACATAAATATTTTTATATTTATAGATAAATATATAAATACATAAATATTTTTATATTTAAATATTTATAGATAAATATATATTTACATATATATGTATTATATATTACAAATATTATATTATATAAATATTTACCTGCATTTTATATATATGTTTACCTTCTCTCTGTATATATTCATATATTCAAAGAGAGAATGATATATATATCATATATATATCACAGATATATGATATATATATCACATATATATCATATATATCACATATATATATGATAGGTATGTGGTGTCAGAATTAAGTTAGGCTAACAAAATGGGATTTAGTTCTGTGCAGATAACAGAAATATTAAGAGAGAGTGGCTAGAGATACTCTGTTGAAAATGAGGAATAAGTCTAATTTCAAAGCCAATTTATTCAGGGGTAGTAGATCCTAATTTTCTTGTAGAGTAAATTGCCTGTAAAGATAATTTAAAGGCAGGAAATAATTTTTTTCACCATGTGCCCTGAACAAGACACGTGAGCATAATATCACAAGGATACCTTCCTATAAGGGCTGATGCAGTGACCTAGTGAATTTACAGATGGGAAGTAAAAACCTACATAATGGCAGCTTTCCTTTGCCACTTCATACCCTATACTCAGTGTCTTCCACTTTCTGCAGTCTCTGCGAAGGTTGGGAAGAACCTGTGCTTCCTGATTGTTGTAATTGCCTTGTCATTTATCTAGCACTTGCATGGAAAGACAGGACCTGCCACTCATTTCAACAGAGCGTCATACAGTTCATTTAGCCTGAATGTACTGCCAGACTGTGTCCCAACCAGGGGATTTGCACATTATGGTTATCACAAAGGAATGTGGTCTGTTGCCTGAGATAAGCCAACACCCGAGGATACTTTCAGAGAAAGACACCTCCATTCCCTATTACTGGAAACAGAGTCAGGCTTCAGAAAATGAGCAATTTGTGGTTATGCAAATAAATCATCGAAGAAGAAAACATTTACTATTCTGGGGAACAGACCAGCACTCACCTTCACCTCTGGTCTGGAAGGATAATGGAAGGTCACATTATGGAATTCAATTTCACCCTTGATTCGATCCAACTTGTAACCATCTTCTGACATGCAGTCAATGATGGGTTTCTGGAGTGAAATACAAAAGGGACACAGTGTAAACTCAAACTAAGATGCACAACTCAATTCAAATTGTAAATTCAAATAAACATCTTTGGCGTATCTCTGCAATGTTTTATCTGGTTGTTGCTCTGTTTTATGAGTAAATTCAAATGAAGATGTATACATTTATTGTGCCTCTTAGTTTGCATGTATCTTAATTTGAATTTACTTAGAACAACAACCAGATAAAACATTGCAGAGATACGCCAAAGATGTGTACTCATTAAACGTTTATTAATAATAGTGAGAATAATCACTACTTCTTGAGCTATTACTGAGATATTATATATTAACATAATACATATTTAATTAATTTATTTAATTGTTATTATTTATCATGTTGTTACTGAGATATTATATAATATGTGCCATTATATAATAATACATATATAATACATATGTTGTATTAATATTATAAATGTATAACATATGTTAACAATATTATTATATATTATATATTACTAAGATAATATAGGAGACAATGTACTAGGTGTTTTTATACTTTTATTTACATAATTGTCACCGTCACCAAACTAGACTGGTGATATGCCCATTTTCAGTTGAAGAAGTGGAGGAATTGCAGAAAGATTAAGTTTCTAAGACCAGGCAACTAGTCAACCAATCGGGGGTCCGAGGGTATTCTTTTGAGTATCCATGGTAGATGATGATTAAAACTGAGTGTTCCTAAATGATGTGTTCAAATGCTACCAACTTTCAATTGTTGTCCTGAATTTCACCTCTTCTGCTAGCAACAAGCCCAATCTAGAATTTAACCACTCTGGTTAATCAGAGAAAAGTGAGGGCCTCTTCCTGCTACCAGAACACTCCAGCATCATCTTCTTCCCTTGTCCATAACTAGTGATGGAAATTCATCACTGTATTAGTCCATTTTCACACCGCTATAAAGAATACCTGAGACTGGGTAATTTAGAAAGAAAAGAGTTTTAATTGATTCATAGTTCCAAATGGCTGGGGAGGCCTCAGGAAACTTACAACCATGGTTGAAGGCAAAGGGGAAGCAAAGCATGTCTTACATGGTGGCAGGAGAGAGCGCATAGGGGAAACTGCCACTTTAAAACCGTCAGATCTCATGAGAACTCCCTCACTATCACAAGAACAGCATGGGGGAAAATGCTCCTGTGATCCAATGACTTCCCACCAGGTCTGTCCCTCGACACATGGGGATTACAGTTCAAGATAAGATTTGGGTGGGGACATAAAGCCAAACCATATCAATCACTTTAGCTCTATTGAGGAGTATAATGTAATCTACCTCCTTACTGGGTTGCTAATAAAGGTAAGAAATAATTTTTAAATGCCTTAATTTTTTAGTTTCAGGGCACTTTTAGAGTCATCATCTTATTTGAGCATATAACAATCTTAAGAAAGAGGTAGAATTTGAATAAATTGACTTTTTTTTTTTTTTTTTTTTTTTTTTTTTCAGAGACAGGGTTTCACTCTGTCACCCAGGCCAGAGTGCAGTAGTGTGATCATAGCTCACTGCATCTTCAAACTCCTGGGCTTAGGCCATCCTCCCATATCAGCCTCCTGACTAGCTGGGACTATAGGCATGTGCCACCACACCCGGCTACTTTTTAAATTTTTTGTAGAGACAGGGTTGCCCAGGCTTGTCTCAAACTCCTGGGCTCAAGCTATCCTCCCGACTTGGCCTCCCAAAGTGCTGGGATTACAGGTGTGAGCCACCATGCCTGGCCATCAATGAACATTTTTATGTGGTTTTTAACAATCTCTCTGTACTCCAATATATGAAACCCCAAATTATAAAACAGATAAAGCAATGAGTCACTTCCTTAATAGGTTACAACTTCACTGTTTGGCGAAAGAGTATCAAACAGCGGACAGTGAACCAAACAGGTTCAGGGAGCCCGCAAATCACCTCTGGATTTCCAGGGCTTGCTTTGGACTCAGCTCAGGGCATTTTTTTTTTTTAAAGAGAAAGAACAACAGATTGCCAACTTCCCCTTCTGTTCTTGGTTTTCTGTTTGTTTGTTTTTTGAGACACGTTCTCACTCTGTTGCCCAGGCTGGAGAGCAGTGGCGCAATCATGGCTCACTGCAGCCTCGGCCACCCTGGGCTCAGGTGATCCTCCCACCTCAGCCTCTTGAATAGCTGGGACTACAGGCACATGCCATCTTGACTGGCTAATTTTTGTGTTCTTAGTAGAGACAGGTTTTCACCATGTTTCCCAGGCTGGTCTTGAACTCCTGGGCTCAGGTGACGCGCCCACCTTGGCCTCCCAAAGTATTGGGATTACAGGCAAGAGCCACCATGCCTGGCCTGTTCTTGGATTTTGACTCCCTAGCTTGGCCTCCAGTGTGCTTCCATAGACTAACCAGTAAAATCCCTTTTTGCCATATTTAGAAGATAAGCGAATTTTATGGACATGGTCTTGAAGTCCTGCATGGTAGGCCCTTCCCATGCCTCCAGCCTCTGCCCCTTGTTCACTCTATTCAGTTGCACTGGGCTTGTTTCAGCTTCTTTAAATCAGCAGCCTTTTCCAACTTGGGGGCCTCTCTTCCATGAATGCCCTCCCTGCTCTTACTTCCCACGCCCCACCTCCTCCAATCCTCATTTGTATGGCTGACTTTTCTTCAGTTCTCCACTCAAATGCTACCTCCTCAGAGATACTGCCACCACCACCCAATTTAAAGACTCTTTCTCCCACCCCAGTCGCTGTCACATTGCCCTATTTTATTTCCTTTATTTACTTACCACTCTCTGCTATTGTCTTATCTTTGAATGTGCATACTTCTTTACTGCCTGTCCTCTCCCAGCATGAGTAAAGAACAGGGGTCTTACTTGTTCTAGTTCCCTGTTGCATTCACTCCCTTGAGGCAGGAGAATCGCTTGAACCTGGGAGGAGGGGGTTGCAGTGAGCCGAGATTGTGCCACTGCACTCCAGCCTGGGCAACAAGAGCGAAACTCCATCTCAAAAAAAAAAAAAAAAAAAAAAAAAAAGAATTGGCACCAGCACATGATAGCATTTAATAAGTGTTGCTGAATTAAGGGCCTTGCGATAGCTTCTTATATTTTTAACTTTAAGGTAAATTCTTCAGGAGTTCATTCTGTGCCCCACCCCCCAGCCCCCACCTGTTAATGGCCTTTACTTTTGGCTTATACATACCCTGTCTATTGTCTCAAAAATGCTGGTGGCTGCTGCACGTCCAGTTGCAAAGGCTTCCAAACAAGGAGAGGCATTGCCAAGATTTAAAGCTCCTACTATGACACTGAGGAAAATCTGAAATGAAAAGAGAGAGATTTTTCATGTGTTTTTGTTAATGTGTAAATAGTAATTACTATCATTTGGGTCTTCCATGTTAACGCAGAGAGTTATCAGAAATTCTCTTCTGTGGGTTCAAAAGCTAGCTCTTTGGCTGTTTGGAAATACCCAAAATAATTTTTGTTCTGTAAAGCATCTCCAAGTTTTCCACTGTTATGATTTAAAATACCACTTTATTTTTTTACTGAATATTACTCTTCTACAAAGTAGAACTGTCTTGAAATGAGTAAGAAGTCTAAGCAAGGTAGCCTGTAGACCCAAAGTGGACTTGAATAGTGATTTGATAATTGAATTCATTATATAATCAGCCTTATAGTGATTTTCTGGTTAAAGGGTTGCCAAAAACAATACAGACACTAAGATCAGCCTGACTATTCTAGAGGCTGGTACATGCAAAACCAACCTGCTACTGTTGTTACCGCTATACTAATGCTACTATTCCAGTAGTCACTGGGCTAACTACTGCAACTACTATGAATAACAGTAATAATAACAATAATAACAGGTATGTTTCTAAGTGTTTTATCTGTATTATTTCATTTTATCTTTACAACAGAAGAGTGAACAGACAGGTATGGAGGCTCCCAATTTGCACTAGGTTACAACATGTCATAAGTAGTAGAGCAGAATTTGAATCCAGGCTTTTGACTGCCATTCTACCTAGCTCCCAGACTCACCTGTTGCTGGCTATATGCAGGTGGAGTGGTCAGGTTCCTGTGCAGACTTGGGGCAGCTGTTCTTTGACTTACCAATGCAGTCATCTCATTACCTTAGGGGAAGGCTACCTGATCATGCCCAGATGTTCCTACCAAATAGCACTCTGTTTTTATTATCAGCACTGTTTATAAAGGTAAGGAAGAGACAATGAGGCAAATCCTCAAGTTGGCCTCCAGAAGGAATACCAGTCTCCTCCTCTCTACCCTGTCAACCAAAGAATGGTCCTACTCTTGTGACTCGCATAGAGGATGTTTCATTGGCCACAGTCTATTGCCAAGCCAAAGAGTGGCCCTGCATGAATGTAGTCTTTTTCAGGTGATCAAATGATCCTGGTCTGTGATGGTTTCTATAGGCCAGACCCTTCCCATTTGTTGTATCACATTGAGGCAAATTGCCTGAGTCTCTCCTGCTTCTCTTTCTTCCTTGTGGCTGGAGTGTCTGAACCATGGAAAGTGTCAGAGCCTCTCAGCCATGTCTCTCCCTCTTCAGTAACCTCTTCATTCCACACATTAGGATGATTAACAGGGCCAGGGCTGCCATACATGGGTGGTGGGTTAGTCCACTCACGCTTTCTCCCTAGAATCCCAGCCTATGCATAGGGACAAAAATTATCTCTTCATTTCCTTGTCCTCAATTATGGCAGGTGGTTCCTCCCATAGGCAGATTATGTAATCTTTCAAGCCCCCATTTCTTCATCTGCAACACAGGGATAATGATAGCATATATTTCATAGGATTATTACAGGATCAAATGAGATAATGTGTGTAAAGATGATTAATCCAGTGCTAGTCTCTTCAATGGTAGTAATGATGTTGGTGATGATGATGCTGACAGTGAAGAAAGTATTGAGGTCCCACACTTAGGAGGCGGTAAAGGAAGCAGATAGAACACTTCTTATGGTCCAATTTAGTTTAAGACCACACACGTCAGAGGTCTTCCTACCTCAGCAAAGGAACCTTCCATTTGCCCTAGATCCGGGGCCAGCAAACATTTTCTGAAAAAGGGCCAAATAAATATTTTAGGCTTTTCAGGCCATATGGGCTCTGAAGTAATTACTCAGTTCTGCCATGTAGTATAAAAGCAGCCATAGACATATGTAAATAAGTGACTGTGGCTCTGTCCCAGTAAAATGTTATTTATAAAAACAGGCAGTGAGCTGGATTTGGCCTGTCGACCATAGTTTGCTGACTCCTGGCTGACTGGAGGCCTAAATTGAAGTTTGGGGTCCAACTCTTTGAATGGCTCTCTGGATGGGGAGGAGTGAGTGAGACAGGACAAAAGCACATTCCCAAATCATCACAGTAGCTAGCAACATCCCAATAAGCCATCATTTGTCACTCAACATCATATTCTTTAGCCCTGTGAACAGCAGAAGTAGTGTAGACAGAGAGATGGGAAGGGAGACTGCTGTGGAACAATTAAGCTATGGGTGTGCTGGAGAAAAAGGGGTCCATGGCCCCTGGGAAGACAGAGTCAGAGGCAGGAAAACAGTGGTTAATAGGTAGGCCTCAAAGTCAGGGAGACCTGAGTTCAAATCCCTCTCAATATTTCTTGACTTCATGGCTTCAATTTCATTTTTAAGTGGTAGTATAATGACACCAATTACGGAATGAGATTGAGAGCATTACATGCAGTAATTTTATTACATAATACGTCACTCAGTGCTTGACACTTTGTATATACTGAATGAATGTCACGCTCCATTATGTGTTTATTTTTATTAATGAATTCTGAAACTCAGGAAGGTCATGAAAGAACAACCTTCTGCACCATTCAGGTCCCCTTCATCTTTCCCTACCAGACCACAGAGTGCATTTTTTCTCTGTGCACAAGTGATACTAATTACAGTCACTTATGTGAACTACTTACCATTTATGCCCAATTACCATGCAGCCAGTAACGATTTTGTGTATCACAAAACGTACTGGATTAACCAAACCGTTAATTAGTTTTGTGGATTAAAACACTCAACTCAGCCCATGCACACTCAGCCTTCATAGTTTGCTGCTCAGAAGTGTGGCCAAGACCTGAGAGAGAGAGCGAGCGAGAGAGAGAGAGAGAAGAGAGAGAGAGAGCAAGGAATATAGTGTTAAAGGATGCATTTCATCTTCCCAAAGGAAATTTTCTCTTAAGATATAAGCAGAGGCTTACAGAAAGACGTTGGGAGTAACAGGTTAATAATCAGTTGATTAAAATGTTAGAGACCCATAGTATGCCATGTCTGCACATAGCAAGGACTCAAGAAATATTGGTTGAAAGAATAAATTATTTACAAAAGTAGAGTAGCTCACTGTACAATGGGCAGGAAATTTAAAGATGAGAGACATAAAATTGGATTCCTACTACAGAGAGTTACCAAAGGGATTTTTATTCAAGTGCTTCCAGTTGGTATTGTGTATTATTTGATTTTCAATTTACCAATTCACTTTTCCCTCTGAACCATTATTATTGTATACCTCTATCCTCTCCTTGTAGGCATGGAACAAAAGGAAAAATAAGTTTTCTCAATGCTTGTCTTCTTGCATAGCAAGTATGTATAAGCAGCTAGGACTAAAGCCAACTACTGATATCCCTATTTTGGTAAATGTCAAAGTTCTTAGGAGGAATTGGATCAATAAAGACAAGGGACTATAGTTAAAATCTGGACCTGCAATACTTCAGTGGCTTTTCCAATCTGTAAAAACTGTATCTAAGTTGTTAAGAAGTGGTTAAATTATAAAATTGGTAACACTTCCCATCCATACTATCTCTTTAAAGTTTACAAAACACATTAACCTGTATTATCATATTTATTTTCTTTAACAAAGTTCAAAAGATGTCAGCTGTTCATGCTGCCAAGATAAACTGAATTGAAAAAGTTGTTCTTTGTGTATTATCATGTTCTTAATGAAATAAAGTCCGTGGTTTGGAATGATTATGGTTTGACCTCTGATAATCACTTCCATTTGCAAATCAAAATCCTACTCAATTTTCCCTGGCAATGTATTTATCTTAAAGCAGTAGATTTTGAATTTTAAGCTCTCAGCTAGCAAATTTCTGGTATACAAGGTTTTGATATTTTTCATTGTTTGCTCTATCCGGAATCTGGAGCTAAAAAATTTTACTTAAGAATTTGATATAAAACGACTCCCTATTTACTTGCAGGGCAAATGAAACAGATATTTCATTTTTTGTTTCCCTGACCTCGTAGATTTTACTGTCTGAGGGTAGAAACGGGTGGGCACAAGTGTAAATAAATGCAAATATTCCATATCACAAAAGTGCTTTGAAAAAAAAGTACAGCAGATCACAAAAGAGAATGAAAAATGGGTGAGTGTAAAAGGCCTGACTGGGAAAGTGGCATTTAGCTGAGAATTCAAACAATGATCAGAGTCCAGTTGCAACAAGAGAGAGCCATAAGCTAAGGAGGAAAGGCCTTGGGAGAGGGAGCAGGATAAGAAGCCTTCCTGGACCCCCGCCACACCTGGTTATCCTGCTATTCACTGTCAAGGTTCTCTGTCCTCTATAGCATGTCTCTATTTGTCTGTATTCATTTACATGGTTACTTATTTATTGCTTGTCTTCTCCATTAAAGTGTAAATCCCATCAAGGCAAAAAAACAAAAACAAAAACAAAACCACATTTCCGTTGCTCACTGTTGAATCCCCTGCATTTTCTAAGTGTCTGGCACATAGTAGATGCTGAATAATTACTTATTGAATGAATAACTGTAAAGACAATGAAAATTAAAGGCATTAGCTACTTTAGCACAAGTGAGCAATAAAGTACATTTGTAGCACCTGTTCAGTTAAGGCTGTTATTGACCTGGCATTTTAGTAACTCATTATGTTTCACAAGTACATTTATTAGTATATATCTTGGACTATCATAAAGCTCAGTTATACGAGCTGTTAATTTTTAGCTGAGAGATCACTGAGTTTCCATTTTCATGGCATATTTTCTTTTTGGACTCAGTCAGAAAATCATCATTTCATAGCTATAAAGTGTTCAGTTAATTTGAAATTATTAAATTGCTGGTCTTATCAATTCAAATGTTTAGCATCCCTTTACTATAAAATATATAAGTATTATTTGTTTCTCTATAAAATTTCTAGAAGATAACATTGGAAAAGCCCTTCTAGACTTTGGCCTAGGCAAAGATTTCATGACCAAGAACCCAAAAGCAAATGCAATAAAAACAAAGATAAATAGGTGAGACTTAATTAAACTAAAGAGGTTTTTCACAGCATAAGGAACAGTCAGCGAGTAAACAGACAACCCACAGGATGGGAGAAAATCTTCACAATCTACACATCTGACAAAGGACTAATATCCGGAATCTACAATAAACTCAGAAAGTGAGCTAAGGACATGAATAGACAATTCTCAGAAGAAGATACACAAATGGCCAACAAACATATGAAAAAAATGCTCAACATCACTAATGATCAGGGAAATACAAATCAAAACCACAATGTGATACCACCTTAATCTTGCAAGAATGGCTATAATAAAAAAATCAAAACATAATAGATGTTGGCATGGATGTAGTGAAAAGGAACACTTCTACACTGTTGGTGGGAATGTAAACTAGTACAACAACTATGGAAAACAGTATGGAAATTCCTTAAAGAACTGAACATAGAACTACCATTTGATCCAGCAATCCCACTACTGGGTATCTACCCAGAGGAAAAGAAGTCGTTATACAAAAGAGATACTTGCACACGCATGTTTATAGCAGCACAATTTACAATTGCAAAACTGTGGAACTAGCCCAAATGCCCATCAATCAACAAGTGGATAAAGAAACTGTGATATATATATAACATATATGTATATATATACACAGATACATATAATTACATATATATATGGCAGAATACTACTCAGCAATAAAAGGAATGAATTAATGGCATTCACAGCAACCTGGATGGGATTGGAGACTGTTATTCTAAGTAAAGTAACTCAGGAATGGAAAACCAAATATTGCATGTTCTCACTCATAAGTGGGAGCTAAGCTATGAGGATGCAAAGGCATAAGAATGATACAATGGACTTTGGGGACTCAGCGGAAAAGGGTACGAAGGCAGTGAAGGATAAAAGACCAGAGCTTGGATTCAGTGTATACTGCTTGGGTGATGGGTGCACCAAAATCTCACAAATCACCACTAAAGGACTTACTCATGTAACTAAATACCACCTGTTTCCCAAAAAAATTATGGAAATAAAAAAAAATTTAAGGTATTACTTGTTTCCACAGACAGACTCCATAAAATCATTGATGCTTTTTTCCTGAAGGCACCAAAGTAATAAACAAAATATCTAATCCATGGACTTTTCTGAGATACCAGAAGGAAATGCTATGTCTCGGTCAATAAGTCCAAGGTACCTGGACAAGGGTTCCTGGTGTATATTCTCCTTCATCCAGGACAAGTGTGGAGCCGTACCAGAAGGCCAGTGCATAACACAAAAAGATGAGACACCACACGAATCCAGTAAAGAATCCCATCACTATTCCTTTTCTAATTCCCCAACGCTGGGCGAACACAAGATTTTTCTCATACCTGTGAAGACAAAATGCTTGAGTCAATTTCGGCAGAAACAGCTCAAGTTATAATGTTTAAAACAGGCCGTGATGCAGTGGTTTTACAAAATGATCATAAAATCATCGCAAACACAGAGCAGCTTCAGGGAGAAAAATCTCCAATAACCTTTATGTAGTTTTTTAAAGTTTGTTTTAACCTGACAATGAAACATGTTGAAAGGGCGATACTTAACAGAGCTGCCTGATTGCTGCTTGGATTGCATAGTGAGGTAAGCTTGGCCCCAAGAGAAAAGAATTTTCAACATAAATATATGAACAAGAGAGATCTAGTATTATGTTTGAAGTGTTTCCTTGAGTCACATGACATGTCCTTATCAGAAAATAATGCAACTGGCTCCAAATAAGCAGACCAGACTTTTTGTTTCCAGCTCCCCAGGCTTGGAACTAGTGTTTGCACCAACTCATCTATAACTCACCCATCTGCCCTGTGGCTGAGACGCTGTGTTGTGACACACTGGTCAGGTTCACAGCCATGAGACATGGATAACTGAAACTATGTGGAAGTCCAATGCAAGGAATAGGTTTCAGTAATTCCATGATCTAGCCATTAACAATGGGCTTTGTCTCATATATAGCTCAGGCATTCTGAAACTGCCTTCCTACATCTCAGGAATTGAATTCATGGAGAACTTTTAACCTTTTGCAGGACACAAACTGAAGGTCTATCCTATGTTTGTTACCATTTTTAAAACACTACACTGTCTCTTTTATTGACAATAAAAGATAATGTCTTTCATGGTGGAAGAAATATGCTACTGAAATTTTTTACAAGAAATAAGGAACCTCACTCCACAAACCAAAAGAAGTGGGGAAAAGACGATAATAAGAGGTTGTAAATCCTATTCTCTTTTTTACTTGATGGATTTGGTAGCAACTGAGAATAACACCATCTTACCAAATCTACAACACATAAAGTAAGAGTTGCTATTCAGTTGGTAGCTATTTTATAAAAATCAAAGCATGGCACGTAGTAAGTACTCAATAAATACCAGATAAATTAAAGAATAAACAAAATTACATTTTGGACAACTGTATTATTTTGGCCATTTGGGTTTTTCTTTTCACTGGGAGTTAATCTCTAGAATAATGCTCTATAACTTTTCAACACTAATTTGTTTTTTGAGACAGGGTCTCACTCCATCATTCAGGCTGGAGTGCAGTAGCATGATCACAGCTCGCTGTAACCTCAAACTCCCCAGAATCAGGTGATCCTCCCACCTCAGCCTCCCAAGTAGCTGGGACTACAGGTGTACACCACCATGTCTGGTTAATTTCTGTATTTTTTTGTAGAGATGAGGTTTTGCCATGTTGCCCAGGCTGGTCTCAAACTCCTGGCCTCAAGCAATCCACCTGCCTTGGCCTTCCAAAGTGCTGGGATTACAGGTGTGAGCCACTGTGCCCAGCCTGTTTGACCAAATAGAAATCTTATCAGACTTTATAAAGAACATGTAGCACAGTACCTGAATAAAGTGTGTTTAATTAAAAAGGTGTTCAATAAAAATGTGTGAAATAGCATTTTGAATCATGCTGGCATTTCTTTATTATTTTTTAATTGACAAAACTTACATATATTTATGGTATACAACATGATGGTTTGAAGTATGTATAAATTGTGGAATGGCTAAATCAAGATAATTAACATGCATTACCTCACATACTTATATTGTGTGTGTGTGTGTGATGAGAACACTTAAAAATCTATTCTTAGCAATTTTCAAGTATGCAATGTGATGTTATTAACCATAGTCACCATGTTAACAACACATTTCTTGACTTTATAAACTGCCTCTTAAATGTGAATAAGGAAGGGTTTCTTTTAGATCACCATGAACTAAATTAAAACAACTACAATTAGATAATTAATGTCATTATTTTTAAAATATCTCAAACTACCCCTGTTTAACTGAAATTTTGAATCCTTTGACCAACGTCTCCCCAGTTCTCGCCTGCCCCCTCCCACCTCAAAGTCCCTGGTAACCACTGTTCTGCTCTCTGCTTCTGTGAGTTCAACTCTGTCAGTGAGATCATGGGGTATTTTTCTGTGCCTGGCTTATTTCACTTAACATAATGTCCTCCAGGTTCATCGTGTTGCTGCAAATAACAGTATTTTCTTCTTTTTAAAGGCTGAATAGTATTCTATTGAATATGGCATGTAAATTTACACACACATTTTCTTCATTCACTTGTCTGTTAATGGGTGCTTAGGTTGATTCCATACCTTGGCTATTGTGAATAATGTTGCAGTGAATGTAAGAGTACAGTTTTCTCTTGACATAGTGATTTCATTTCCTTTGGATATATACCCAGTAGTGGGGATGCTGGATCATATGGTAGTTCTGTTTTCCATTTTTTGATGAATCTCCATACTCTTTGGCTGTACTGATTTACTTTCCCACCAAAAGCGATCCGTGTAACAGTGTTTCATTTTCCCCATATGCTTGCCAACACTTGATATCTTTCTTCTTTTTATAATGGCCATTCTTACAGGTATAAGATGATATCTCATTGTGGTTTTGACTTGTGTTTCCTTGATGATTAGTGATGTGTGACATCTTTTCACATGCCTGTTGTATGTTTCTTTTTGTACGTTTCTATTTGTATGTTTTCTTCTGAGAAATGTCTATTCAGGTCTTTTGACCACTTTTTAATCAGGTTGTTTTCTTGTCATTGAGTTGTTTGTGTTTCTTATATGTATTGGATATTAACCCCTTATCAGATGTATGGGTTACAAATATTTTCTCTCATTCTATAAATTGCCTCTTCACTCTGTTGATTGCTTCCTTTTTGAAGCTTTTTAGTTTGATGTAATCCCATCTGTCTATTTTTGCTTTTGTTACCTGTCCTTTTGGGGTTGTGTCAAAAAAATCATTGCCTAGACCAATGTCATAGAGCTTCTTCCCTATGCTTTCTTCTAGTAGTTTTTCAGTTTTATATCCTACATTTAAAACTTTAATCCATTTTGAGTTGATATTTGTGTATAGTGTGAGGTAAGGATCAAATTTCATTCTTCTGCATGTGGATATCCAGTTTCCCCAACATCGTTTATTGAAGAGACTGCCCTTTCCTCATGGTGTGTTGTTGGTCTCTTTATTGAAAATCAATGGACTATAAATGCATGGACTTCTTTCTGGGCTCTCCATTCTTTTTCACTGGTCTATGTGTCTGTTTCTATGCCAGTACCATGCTGTTTTTATTACTATAGTAATCAAATAATCTAATAATGATCTATTACTTTGTAGTAGATTTTGAGATCAGGTAACGTGATGCCTCCAGCTTTGTTCTTCTTGTTCAGGATTTTTGCTATTCAAGGTCTTTTGTGGTTGCTAAGAAGTGGCAAGAATGGGCATTTTTGTCTTGTTCCTGATCTTAGGGGGAAAAGCTTTCAAATTCTCACCCTTGAGTATGATTTAGCTGTGGGCTTGTCATATGTTACCTTTATTGTATTGAGGTACATTCTTTTTATACCTAATTTGTTGAGAGTTTCTGTCAGGAAAGGATATTGAATTTTGTTAAATGCTTTTTCAGCATCTATTGAGATAACCATATGGTTTTTGTCTTTCATTCTGTTAATGTGGTATATTACATTTATTGACATGCCTATGTTGAACCATCCTTACATCCTAGGGATAAATCTCACTTGATCATGGTGAATGATTCTTTTAATGTGCTATTCAATTTGGTTTACTAGTATTTTTGTTGAGCATTTTCACGTCCATGTTTATCATGGATATTGGCCTTTGATTTTCTTGTAGTATCCTTTTCTGGCTTTGGTATCAAGGTAATATTGGCCTTGTAAAATGAGTGTGAAGTATTCCCTCCGCTTTAATTTTGTGGAAGAATTTGAGGAGGACTGGTACTAGTTTTTCTTTAAATGTCTGGTAAAATTCAGCAATGAAGCTATCAGGTCCTGGGCTTTTCTTTCATGGGAGACTTTTTATTACTGATTCAATCTCCTTACTCATTATTGGTATGTTCAGATTTATTTCTCTTTATTTCTCCGTGATTCAACCTTGGCAGGTTGTATTTTTATAGGAATTTATCCATTTCTTCTAGGTCATCCAATTTGTTGGCGTTTGTTTTTAGTAATCTCTTATGATCTTCTGTATTTCTGTGGTATCAGTTGTAATGTCTCATGTAGGCTTTTCTTTAATGACAGCAAACAGCATTATAGACTGATATGAGGTATAATATTTATACATACATACCATCAGAGTTTGAAATAAATATCTACCCTGAGCTGGCTTTCTAAAAATTGCCAACTGCAACATCTTTAAAAACATACTGCTAAAGGCTTGGGACTTCTTATAGTACCTAAATTACCAACCTAAATTACTCTGCTTAGCTCCCTCTTGAACAAGTACTTCCTCTGGAGGCCACAGACCAAGGTGGGTCTGCCGCTTTGCACAAACTGAGAGACTCAGGGTACTATGCTGATTGATGAAATTAAGGAAAGAATCAGATTCCAATTAACCAACCTTTCAACCTCTCTTTTCTCACCACCAAAAGCAGCCACTGTTCTCATTGATGAAATGACTTCATCAGCCACCACCCCTGCTTTGGCATAGGCCTTCAGCTCATAGTCCGTAAACTTGGACACACTCTAAAAATCAAAAAGAAGAAAAGAAAATGTGAAGTCCAAGAAATTAGGTAAGTCAGTCTGTCATTCAGATTCATTTAACATGTGGCATGGGTTTAATACAATATTAGATTCTCACTGTAACATCATTGACAGGAGGAAGAAATCTGGTCCAAATTTGGTCTATGGTAAGCTTCATCCAGGGTTGTCTGGTTGTTGATATATCAAAATGACCCTACTAAAAGTAAGAACCTCCTCAAAGAATAAATTCCAAATAGGACATTCTGTAAGACTAAAGTGTTTCAGTCATTATACTAATAAAGTGTTAAGTTAGACCATGTCATAGTTCATTGCTATTAGCCAATGGCCATTGCATAATTTATAGACAAACGCCAGAGACACATGCAGATATCATGATTGGGTATAATATATGACATATAACATATAAAGTATAGGCATGATGTTGAAAGACGATTTCAGATGATTCCAGAAAAGAAAGTCCATTTTCACTCAGTTGGAGACGCTCAACTATGTAGTTTTGATTTTTACAAAAGGAAATGAAAAGACATCTGTACTTAACAGTAGACACATTACTTTTTCTAAAACTGACTTGGATTGAGTCCTAGTCAAAATGAACCCCCAAAGAAAACCCTGGCACAGATTAATAAATAAGAAGAGGAAAAAACACATATTGCGGAAGATCAACTAGCTCAGAAATATAAAAATATATATAATACCCAGATTAAGGGAGTTTATCTTCCAGTAGTTTTTCCAAACTTTTAGCAGCAAAACTCTTATCAAAATCTTAGATGGAATTCTAAGATGTAAATTAAGTAAGTATTCATAGTAGTTTTTAAAAACAATATATTAATTTCATCAGTGTACATTTTATAAAACATGTGAATTAAACATGTAACAGTAAGGAAAGTGAGGCTTTTTTTTTTTTTTTTTAAAGAGACGGGTTCTTGTTCTGTTGCCCAGGCTGGAATGCAGTGGCATGATCCTAGCTCACTGCAGTCTCAAACTCCTGTACTCAAGCATTTCACTGGCCTCAGCCTCCTGGGTATCCGAGACTATAGGCACATGCCACCATGCCTGGCTATTTAAAAAAAATTTTTTTTTTTTTTTTTGTAGAGATGGGATCTCACTGTGTTACCAAGACTGGAAGCTGTTTTTATTAACATTAAAATTTACATTTGAGCCTAGTGAAGTTGCTTGTATAGTTTGTTGTATAGTTGCTTGTAGAAGTTTGTTGTATAAGGACAAGCATACACAGACTTGAAAGCAAGACAAGACATGTGCAGACCTACAACATTCCAAATCAGTGACGAGTTTATGAGAAGCTAGAAATGGGTACTGAGATGACTAGAGAAACTAAGCGTTAGAGCTGTTTAAAACCAAGTGAACTGGGCTATATGTTAACCTCCAACATGTTGAAATGTGGCCTATGATCCACGTGAGTGTGTATATTACTTTATCACAGGTTTGAAGAAAGAGATTAGTGTATTCAGAAAAAAAATGAAAAAATGTTTGCAAAACCCCTGAAGCTCTTCTGTGGAAGTTGAGGGTTCTCTGGAGTATAGTTGGAAAGTGGTTAGTAGGAAAGACTGCCGTAAAACTTGAATGATATAGTGGATTGAAAAACATATACATCTCTCTTTAGCAATTGATTCTGTGCCCGACACGGCTTAAATGCATAACGTGGATTATTCCCTGAATCATCATAATGTTTTTGGGAGGTATTATCCCTATTTTAAAGACAAGGAAACTGAGGTTTTCAGGGGTTAAATGGATTTTTCCTGAGTCACACAACCTGTTAGCGGTACAGCCAAGTGGTGACCTAATGAAATGGAGCGAGCTCTTTGCTATTGTCACTTTAAACCATTTTCTATTTTATCTGGGAAATGTTTGAATAATGTAGACACTGTGAGAATATTTTGCTATTGAGCAATAGGAAGTTGGTACCTATTGCTCAACGATGTGTGAGGGTGTATGCAGTTTTTCAGTTAAATTCTATTCTCATTTATAGCACAGTTTTAGTATGCCTGATTCCATAACGTGCTATCTAATGTGGCTGCTCTAATAATAATTTCTCAGTCCTTGGGAGTGTTTTTAGCTGATGTGACCCGAAATTCCTATTCCTATATGTTGTCCAGGCCTCAATTCCTGGGGAACCGAGACAGTGACTGGGATAACTCTTGGAATGGGTCAGATCACCTCTCTCTGAAAGAGGTTATCTGAAAGATAAGATGAAATGGAGAACACAGTTGTGATTGCAGAAATCCTTCTTGTGTGCTTGTTAATGCTCTTTGTCTGTTGTGCCTTTTCAGGGAAGTGCCCAAGCTTGGGAGGACATGGAGAACAATAGGCATATTGGAGAGTGAGTGGGGTTTGGAGTCAGAGCCCCTTAGACTTGAATCCTACTCTGCCAGCTGTGCAGTCCCAGACAAATCCCCTTACCTTTCTGAGCCTAGTTTCTTATATTTAAAATGATGTTAGTGCTCACTTTATAAGATTGTTGTAAAGATTAGAGATAATGACTATTAAGCTCCTAGTAGTGCCTAGAGAAACAGTGAATGCTCAATAAATGTAATTGCTGTTAATAAAACAATATTTACCTATTAAAACATCATTAATCCCTATTCGATGAAATGTCATTTGACACTGGGGAGTAATCTAACAAACTACATGAAGATAGTGATAATTATGTTGCTAACTGTACTCAGGAAAAGGGACTCAAGCTTCACATTTTTGGCTGTTTATGAAGGCAAATGTCTTCCCATGGAGAGATGCAAAAAGACATTCTTACCAGACCAATGGTGGCTGCTCCAATCCCAATGAGAGGGCTGACAGAAATAATAACCAAGGTCAGTTTCCAACCCCTGAAAAATCCCAACAGGAAACCACAGATGGTCGAGGTCATGCGCTGAATGAAAAGGGCCATTTGGTCAGCTATGGCATCATTGATTTTATTAATATCACTAGAAACCAGAAAGATTTTGGTCACTAAAACTGAATTTGATCATTCAAATATCTTGCTGAAAGTCTCAGTCTTTCCCTTTTAAACATTCCCATCTCTCTATCCCTATCACCCTTGGATAGCATTAACAGCCTCTCAGATCTTGGAAAATTTGCTGCACCTTGGGATGTTATCAAGCCTCTTTCCTGATAGCCAATCAATTTTGTTCTTAATCTAGGTTTCCCAGCTGGTACTCAGTGTTGATAAAGGCTTTTGGAAACCATCTTATTTGTCTTTTTCTTTTACATAGCTAATATCCTTGCTCTGTCTTGCAAAGCTTTTCTTTCTTCATGCCTGCTGAATCCTTTCAGCCTCAAGGTTCTAGTCACATACCTTCTCGTGCATCAATCTTGTATAATCCCCCAAGAAGAAGTAACACCTTTCTCCCTGTGTTTCCGTAACACTGTAATTAATCCTTGTGCATTTGTATGTGTGTGGAATTATTGCATTCTGCATATAGGCAGTATAGAGTAGTGGTGAAGAGTGCAGATTCTGGAGCCAGACTAGGAATTTGAATACAGACTCTTGTTGGGCAAGTTACTTAACCTTTTTGTGGCTCAATTTTCTTGTCTGTAAAATAAGAACAATAATAGAACCTACCCCAATGGGTAATAATGAGGATTAAAGTAGCGAATATATGTAAAGCCTATAGGACAGCGCCTATCATATAATAAACAATATGTGTTAGTTCTGATTATTTGCTTGCATTTCTTATTTCCCCTACGAGGCTGTAAGTTCCTCAAGAGCACAAGTGCAAGGCAATTGCTCCAGAATATTTATTGAATATAATTATATTAAATTCATATTCCTGAGAACATTTCCTTAATCTCTTGTCCAGTTGGAGTGAAGAGAGCTTGGAACTAAACAGCAAGAAAGAACCTAAGACATCACCCAGGTATTAGGCCATTGTGTTCCAGCAGGGTTAGATAACTGCTCAAGGTCACAGTAAGGAGCAGAGTAAGTGCCGGAAGTCAGGGGTCCTGAATTTCAGTGTGCTTTATCTACACTGTAGAGTGACTGTCTTTCAGGGGACCTCAAAATTCAGTTCAATAGGGTTCGACCAATTCTAATTCCTCTCATTTAGAATTCCTGGGTGGCTGTTAATGACCTAAACTAGGTGTAAACTGGATTTAAATCCAGTTACACCTGGACAGCTAAATAACCTTTTTAACTGTCTTCTATAATATTTCCTTTCTAATATTTTAATTAAGGTCTACACACCAAATTGCAGTACCTTGGGTTTCAATTTTTAATGTCCATATTTGACAGTGTATTACTTATGAAAAAGCCATGCCACATATGAAAGCCCAATTTAAGAGATGAAACATAGGAAAACTGAAAATATTTTTAAATTTTTATTTAATTTAGAAACAAGGGTTTTATTATCCAAAAATCACACACTAAAATACTGTTTTACCAGCTACTTACTCAGAGAATCTTGTATTCAGCTCCCCCACTGAATTGCAGTCAAACCACCCTATTTCCATTCTCATTATTCTCCTAAAGTAAAATTTTCTCATTTTCTGTATCTGACGAGCTGCGGCAATGACCCAAAAGCATATCTGGAAATGGACAAAGGAATGTTTAGCATTGCAATGTTTGAAATATTTGTTAATTTCTTTTTTCAGAAGAAAGTACTTTCAATACAACAGTTGAGAAAAGGGGGAAAGTAATTCAGAAAATGCCTCTTCTTGGGAACTAAGATGTGAGCTCTGTCATCTGCTGCTAAAAGTGGAGGTAAACAGAACCTTCAGCAGGGTAGCCTGAGATTTGGGTTTGAATCCAGCTCTGACACTTAAGCAGGCCCATGTCTTCTGGACTTTACCCTACAGAGCTTCACTTTCCCCATGTGTGAAAGAAGGCTCACAGCACCAAAAATAAGGCATTATTGTTCTTAAATAACTATTTTTAATGCCATTTCTGAGTGAATTTCCTCCCGGAAAGACCTGCCTAGAAGCATTCATGCATAGTTTTCAGGCAATAATTTTCAAGAAATGTAAAACAAAAATTATGACATCAGCAAAAATCTAATCTGCTGATAGATTTTCCCTAACTAAAAAAAAAAAAAAAAAAAAAAAAGCCTGTCATTAAAATTCCCAATGCCTAAATGGGAAAAAATGATTCATTTCTCTTTACAAACAGCACTGTGTGGAATTCTTGAATGAATGGGAAGGAATTCATTATTTTTCTACAAAAGAAGGCAAAAGATAAAATATTTTTCTTTCTTAATAAGAGTTAAGTACCTCCAAGCCCTTCCAACACTTAAATCTAAAATATGCTCTAGATTCAGCCTTTCAGAATTTGGGTTGGAATGCAGTTTGTTGAGACTTTAGCAATGCGAGAAAAAGAAAGTAAATTTTGCTTTCCTCTATCTCCCCCTGCCCCACATTCTTCAAGCTACTCAACTGCCCCCTACAAACACACCTGCAAATGTCCATTTCTGGATATAGAAGAGAGGATGAAGTAGGGAAAGGCAGGGGGAGGACAGGACATTACAACTACGAGTCTATTATGCATCTCTCTGGACAGCCACTTGTATCCTCCTAAGTTTCCATCTGAGAGAAGAATCCCTCTCCATTCTCTCATGTCCTCTGGAAACAGACTGTAGTTCTTAGGGCTTCTGATTAGCTTAAAGAGTGGCAACACATTGCATCTCATTGTAGTGTCTTTGAGGTCAGATATTGATCTATAAATTATACGGAGGAGCTACTAACTTGAATATATCCTGTGATAAGTACTGCGACAGCAATTCCAGCATAGTAACTGGCAAATTTGATCATTTCGCTCTCGATGTTCAGCAACCTTCAAAAGAGGGAAAAGAATGTTCAGACTTGCAAGTAGGATCAAGCCACCAGAGATTACATTTGTGGATATAGAGGGATTTAAAAAATATATATATTTTAAATATATATATAATATATAATAAATATACTATATATAGTATATTTCTATTAGACATGAGTAAGACATTTTATCTATGCAAAATTATAATAAATCCAACCAAATTTCTAAACAGACCTCATGGTACCAATCACAGAAAATATGCATATCCCCTTCATTTTTATAGGCAGAGATGCTAGGACTATGAAATAATTAATTAGCAGTTGTTGGAAGCCAGGGTACCCTAAATGGCAGCCCAGGGCTTGGTCCACTTTAGTCTCTTCCATGCATACTCATCATGCAGTGATAGAGCAATCACAGGCAAGAAAGATTTTCAAAAGCCAGACAGGCTGTCTGAAAAGAAACTGATAGAACGATGTGTGCTGTAAATCAGGAGGCTTACTGTTACCTCTTCTAGGAATGCTAGCCAGCTTTTCAACTTCTCTATCTCAGAGTGACACTGAAAAATGTGCCTGTTATCTTCCCATGGGAGAGAAAAGCATTTTATTAGCCCTGTCTTTTTGCTGACTACAGCCTAAGTTCATTCACCAGGACAATTTCTAAGGTTGAAGCCAAAGACACTTGTGGGAAATAGCAAGAAGAAAAATAGCAAAGAAAAATACTTTGGCATTTTTCCCAGCAGCACTACCATGTTGCTGCACAGGGTTTGGGATTGGCAGTGCCAGGGAGTGGAGGAAAAAAAAATTCTGAAATTGCTTTTATGAATGAAGGCATTCCATAATTAGAAAATTAACATATTGGTTGATGACAGTTATGATCTTCAGGGACAAGTTAAATGGTATAGAGTCTACTTTAGAGAATCAGCAAGCAGCCTCTTCAGCATGGGTTCTTCATCCTACATCCTTTCCGCTCTCTGTCAGCCTTCTTTTTGTGGCTTGAGCTTGATTTTTTTTCTCTATTGAACTCAGGTCAAGCATTGCAACATAATTCATTTAATACAGAATAAACTGCACTATTAGTCAATATCTTTATTGAATATATTTATATTGAGTACATTTATGCTTGTCTTGCTAGTAGATTGCAAGCTACTCAAGGTCAAGGGCTGGGCTTACACTGCTTGGTCACTCTGCCTGAAATCAATAAATGTTTCCTGATTTTGCTTTGACTTTCAAAATACTAATTAGGAAGGGAAATAACTGCTGTGGTCAACCCTTCTGACAACCTCAAAACCAGCTAAGGTCTCTTGTGCTCACCACATTCCCAGTCTTTCATGATGACTAAGAAGAACCCTGAGATGAACAAGAACTAGAAAATCATAAACTTATCGATGAATATCCACAATCAGAGGCTCTTATAAAAGCTAAATATCTCTGAACAGAGAGTATACTATATTATTATAAGTAAAAGCTTTCTAAGGTATACATGAGTCAATTCTCTTCATTTTCAGCTTGTTTTGGGGTGTCCCAAACCAGAAAACTATAAGCATTTGTCCAAACATTTTACTTAGAGAATAGTAGTTAACAGAGGCTGGGAAGAGCAGTGGAGGGGGAGGGATGGGGAGAGGTTGGTCAACAGGTACAAAGTTACTGTTCAGGAATAAGTTCTGGTACTACATTGCATAGTAGGTGACTATAATAGTTAACAATAATACATTGACTATTTCAAAAGAGCTAGAAGAGAGGATTTTGAATGTCCTCACCACAACGACATGATAAATGTCTTAGGTGATGGAAATGCTAATTATTCGATTTGATCATTACACATTGTATACATGCATCAAAACATCACACTATATCCCATAAATATGTATACTTATGTGACAATTAAAATGATAACAATAAATAACTTAAATTTCCTGTGGTGTCTTTATTCTACAAGCACTGTAAGCGGAAGTGATGAAGCGACTGTCATTAAAAATGCCAGTTTACAAACATATGTGGATTAAGGGTGTTGGGCACTGGCCCAGCTCTGGGATTTTCTGGAACAAAGGTCAAGATAATTCTATCACTGCTGGATGGTGCAGATAAAGATATATGCAGTTTATCACTCTCTTCACTCCTGCGGTGTCTCTGAAATGAGTGGTTAACTCATTTTTATTTTATTCTGGGAAGAAGAGGTGATTAAGGCTTTAGAGAACTTGATAATATTTCTGGAACAACAGAAAAAACCTATCAGAAAAACTGACAGGAAGGAAAAGAGCAGGCCTGGCTTTGCTCCCTTGACTGCATACCAAGGTCTTTATTGCCTGAATGTTGGGAACACTTGTCATCATAAAACCCCAGGAAGGATTCTATAAAGTGTGCAGGTGATTTGGACCACAGAATGGCATTTTTTTAACAGCAAAAACAGACCTGAATCTACTTGAATGAATTAAGATTCCCCATTTGTTGAATAGCAAAGAAGGGAGAGAGATGACATTAGAGGAAAAAAGATAAAGAGACGTTTTACAAATTATTATGACATGAGGACTTATTTTGCTTTTTTGTTTCTTTTTACCTTGTTTTGGAAACTTTTTACCTTTTTTTTTTTCATTTTACCTTGTTTTGTCATTCAATTTACACATCAAGCTTACAGATTTACTAAAGCCATATCTTGCAAATATCTTGCAAAACTGTAGTACAATATCACACCCAGGATATTGACAGTGATATAATCAAGATCAGAACATTCTCATCATCTCAAGACTCCCTCATATTGTCCTTTTATATCTCCACATGCTTCTATCCAATCCCCATATCCTCCTTAGCCCCAGCTACAACCAGTCTGTTTTCTTTTGCTGTAATTTTGTCATTTCAAGAATGTCATATAAATGGATCTCACAGTGTAGAACCTTTTGGGGTTGGCTTTTTTCCACTTAGCATAATTCTTTCAAGTTTCATCATTAACAGTTCATTCCTATTTATTAAGGAGGATTCCATATAATATAGATAGATGGATCACAGTTTGTTTAACCACTCATCCTTTGGAGGATATCTGGGCTGTTTCCAATTTTTATCTATTACAAATTAAGCAGCTATCAACATTTGTGTATAGGTTTTTATGTGAGCATAAGTTTTCATTTCTCTGGAATAAATCCCCAAGAGTAGAAATGCTGAGTCATATGGTAGTTGAGTGTTTAGAATTTTTTTAATTACTAAACTGTTTTCCAGGATAGCTATGACATGGTTTGAATGGCATGAGTGATGGTAGAGTGATCCAATTCTTCCACATCTTCATCAACATTTAGGGTTATCACTATTTTTAATTTTAGCCATTCCAATAAGTCTATAGTAATATCTCATTTTGATTTAATTTGCATTTCTCTATTGATGTTGTTTAACATATTTCATGTGCTCATTTGCCATCTTTTGTCCTTACTCATGTCTTTTTCCCATCTTTGAACTGAAATTTGCTATTGTTATTTTAACACTGAGTTTTGAGAATTTTTTATATATTCGGGATCCTAGTCCTTTTTTGGATATACAAGTTGCAAATATGTTCTCCCAGTCAGTAGCTTGTCTTTTCATTCTCTTAACAGGATCTTTTACAAAGTTTTTAATTTTATTGAAGTCCAATTTATCAAATTTTCCCTTTATGAATTGTGCTTTTGGTGTCATCTACATGCTCTGTCCAGCCCTAGAACATGAAAATGGTCTCTTCCATATTTTTCTAAAAGTTTAGTTTTATTTGTTACATATAAGTCCATGATTCATTTAAGAAAATTTTTGTGTAATTTCATTTTTTTGCCCTATGGATGTCCAGCTGCTCCACAGCCATTTGATAAAAAGCTTATCTTTCCCCCACTGAATTGTTTTTCCACTTTTGTCAAAAATCAATTGGACATATTTGTGTGGGTCTATTTCTGAGTTCTCCATTCTGTTCCATTGGTCTATATATCTGTCCTCTGTCAATGCCACACAGCCTTGACTGCATTAGCTATATAATATGTCTTGAAATTGGGTAGATTGATTCTTCTCACTTTATTATTCTTTTTCAAAATTATTTTAGCTATTCCAGTTTTTTTACATTTTCATAAACATTTTAGGGTAATCTTTTCTATATCTACAAAAAATCTTGCTTATATTTTGATATATTAGGGCTTAAATATGTCATTTTCTTTCTTGTTTTCTATTTGTTCTCTCTGTTATTTCTGTGTTTGCTTTCTCTTACCTTCCTATGGGCTGCTTGAACATTTTTTTAGAATTCAATTTTGATTTATCTATAGCGTTTTTAAGTGTCTCTCTTTGTATAGCTTTTTAAGTGGTTGCTCTAGGAAATACATTATAGATACATCACTTTTCACAGTCTACTAGTGCTGTCATTTTACCAATTCAAGTGAAATATATAAAGATTACCTCCCATTACATACCTCTACTCTCCTTCGTTAATAAGTGTCTTATCTATTTCCAAATTAAACACACATCAGACAGTGTCAGAGTAGGATCATATCACAGTGTTAGAGTTTCTACCATAAAACATAATTCAGAAAGCTTAAGAGAAGGAAGGTCTATTGCATTTACTCATAGTTTTGTTACTACGCACTCCCTTCCTGATGTCTAGGACTTCTTTTATTATTTCCTTTCTGCTTAAAGAACATTCCTTAGCCATTCTTTTGGGGTAAGTCAGCTGGCAACAAATTCTCTTGATTTATTTCATCTGAAAATGTCTTGATTTCCCCTTCCATGGCGGTGGTGGTAATGTTTTGACTCTGTCACCCCAACCCAGCAGGTAAGGGGAGAGGTGCCTTACTATAGTGGGGATGAGTCAGGCCTCCCACATATTCTCCATTGACACCATGGGGGTGAGTGAGGGGGTGGCACAAGAGGGGCTTATTACCACCTAGCAAGTGTGGAAGAGTCTATGCTCCCAAATCAACATTCGCTGGCATGGGTGAGAGTGAGGTCACCGTTTTCTTCTGTGGTGTTTGGCTAGAGTAGAGCAATTATTGCTTAGAAGTTTTCTACTAGGCTTTCTCTTTCTGACCCACTATCTAGAAAAAGCAGGATTTTGTTGAGTCTTTTTGGTCTGCACTCATTGGGGTTTCCAGTTTGCCAGCTTTTCTAACACTTAATCTAGTACATATCAGGCATAAGATACCCAGGGAACTTATCAACATGTTATTACTTGGCTCCTGAGGGCTCTAGCCAGTTGACTTTTTCCCCCCACTTTTCAGGATGTTATGTTTGTTTTACATATAATGGATTAAACAATACAATCAAAAGACAGAGATTGTCAGATTGCATTAAATAAAACAAGATCCAACTATGTACTGTCTACAGGAGACACACTTTAGATCCAAAGATACAAACAGGTTGAAACAAAAAGATAGAAAAACAAAATCATTTCAAAAAGCAACCGTAAGAACCCAGGAGTGGCTATACTAATATCAGACAAAATGGACTTTAAAAACTTGTTACTAGAGATAAAAATCATTTTGTAAAGATAAAAGGGTCAATCCATCGTGAAGTGATAACATTTATGGAGATATATGCACCTAAAAAAAGAGCCTCCAAAACACATGAAGCAAAGTCTGGTTATTATAAAAAAGAAGGATGACATCAAGTGATGGCAAGAATGTGGAAAAAAGGGAACACTTGTACACTGTTGGTGGGAATGTAAATTAGTACAGTCATTATGGAAATATGTATGTAGGTTCCTCAAAAAGTTAGAAATAGAACTGCTATATAACCTAGCAATCCTATACTGGGTATATATCCAAGGAAAATGAAACCAATATATCAAAAAGATATCTACGCTCCCATGCACACTGCAGCATTACTCACAATAGCCACCTATGTGTCCATCAACAAATGAATGGATAAAGAAAATGTGGTACATATAGATAATGGAATATTATTCAGCCTTTTAAAAAAATCCTGTCCTTTGCAACAACACAGATGCACCTCGAGTATATCATGTTAAGTGAAATAAGCCAGGCACAGAAAGACAAATACAGTGTAATCTCACTTAAATGTGACATCTAAAAAATTTGAATTCATAGAAGCAGAGAGTAAAATGGTAGTTACTAAGGGCTAGAGGTGGGGAGATTAGGGAGATGGTTAAAAAATACAAAATTTCAATTAGGAGGAATAAGTTCAAGAAATTTACTGGGCTGACTATAGTTAGTAACAATGTTTTGTATGCTTGAAAATTATTGAAAGAGTAGATTTTTATTTTTTTTGTTTTATAATGTACATTTTATTATTTTTAAAAAATTTTAATTTTTATTTCAATAGGTTTTTGGGGAACAGGTGGTGTTGGGTTACATGAATAAGTTCTTTGATGGTGATTTCTGAGATTTTAGAATGGTGCACCCATCATCCAAGCAGTGTACACTGCATCCAGTGTGTAGTCTTTTATTCCTCACCACCCACCCTTTCCTCCAAGTCCCCAAAGTCCAATGTATCATTCTCATGCCTTTGTGTCCTCATAGCTTAGCTCGTACATATGAGTGAGAACATACACCGTTTAGTTTTCCATTCCTGAGTTACTTCACTTAGAATAATAGTCTCCAATTCCATCCAGGTTGCTGCAAATGCCATTATTGCATTCCTTTTTATGGCTGAGTAGTATTCCATGGTGCGTGTGTGTGTGTGTGTGTGTGTGTGCATATATATATATATGCACACACACAAAAACATATTAAAATGTAATATATAGTAATATAAAATGTAATATATATTACATATATATCATATCTGTATCATACGTAATATATATATTACATTTTCCTTATCCACTCGTTGATTGATGGGCCTTTGGGCTGGTTCCATATTTTTGCAATTGCAAATTCTGCTGCTATACACATACATATACAAGTATCTTTTTTGTATAATGACTTATTTTCCTCTGGGTACATGCCTATTAATAGTAGTGGGATTACTGGATCAAACGGTAGATCTACGTTTACTTCTTTAAGGAATCACACACTGTTTTCCATAGTGGTTGTACTAGTTTACATTCCCACCAATGGTGTAAAAGTGTTCCCTTTTCACCACATTCATGCCAACATCTATTCTTTTTTGATTTTTTGATTATAGCCATTCTTGCAGGAGTGAGATGATAACACACTGTGGTTTTGATTTGCATTTCCCTGATTTGCTTGGTAGTGGCAAGTTCCCTCAGCATTTGTTTGTCTGGAAAAGACTATATCTTTCCTTCATTTATGAAGTTAAGTGCCATTGGATACAAAATTCTTGGCTGATAATTGTTTTGGTTAATGAGGCTAAAAATAGGACCCCAATCCCTTCTAGCTTGTAGGGTTTCTGCTGAGAAGTCTGTTTTTATTCTGATAGGTTTTCCTTTATAGGTTACCTGGTGCTTTTGCCTCACAGCTCTTAAGATTCTTTCCTTCATCTTGACTTTAGATAATCTGATGACTATGTGCCTAGGTGATGATCTTTTTGCAATGAATTTCCCAGGTGTTCTTTGATCTTCTCGTATTTGGATGTCTACATCCCTAGACAAAAGATCTTCCTTCAGCAAGGCCAGGGAAGTTTTCCTCAATTATTCCTTCAGATATATTTTCCAAACTTTTAGATTTCTCTTCTTCCTCGAGAACACCAATTATTCTTAGGTTTGGTCATTTAACATAGTCCCAGACTTCTTGGAAGCTTTGTTCATTTTTTAAATTCTTTTTTCTTTGTCTTTGATGGATTAATTTGAAACCCATGTCTTCAAACTCTGAAGTTTCTTTCTTCTGTTTATTTGATTCTATTGCTGAGACGTTCCAGTACATTATGCATTTCTCTAAGTGTGTCCTTGATTTCCAGAAGTTGTGGTTGTTTTTTTATTTATGCTATCTATTTAACTGAAGAATTTTCCTTTCATATCCTGTATCATGTTTTTTATTTCCTTCAGTTGGACTTAACCTTTCTCTGGTGCCTCCTTGATTAGCTTAATAATCAACCTTCTAAAGTCTTTTTCTGGCAATTCAGAGATTTCATCTTGGTTTAGATCCATTGCTGGTGAGCTGGTATGATCTTTTCAGGGTGTTAAAGAACCTTGCTTTTCTGGTTCTCTCTTATTTGGGTAGACTATGTCAGAGGGAAGATCTGGGATTCATAGGCTGCTGTTCAGATTCTTTTGTCTCATGGTGTGCTTCCTTGGTGTGGTGTTCTCTCCCTTCCCCTATGAATGGGGCTTCCGGTAAGCTAAACTGTAGTGATTGTTTTTGCTCTTCTGGGTCTAGCCACCCAGCAAAGTTACCAGGCTCTGGGCTGGTACTGGCAAGAGTCTGCAAAGAGTCCTGTGATGTGATCTGTCTTCAGTTCTTGCAGCTGTGGATAACAGCACCTGCACCTGGTGGAGGCAGCAGGGGAGTGAAGTGGGCTCCGTGAAGGTCCTCTGTTGTGTTTTTATTTAGTGTGTTGGTTTTATGTTGGTTGGCCTCTAGCTAGGAGGTGGCACTTTCAAGAGTGCATCAGCTATGGTCCTATAGGGAGAATGCAAAGTTGCCCTCAGGACACCTGGTTATCTATTCAGGTTTCCCAAGCAGTGGGCAGGGCCACAGAGTTCCCAAGAGAATTGGGCCTTTGTCTTTGGCTACCAGGGCAGGTAGAGAAAGACCACCATGTAGGGGCAGGGATAGGCGCCTCTGAGCTCAGCCTCTCCTTGGGCGGGGCTTGCTGCAGCTGCTGTGGGGGATGGGGGTGTGGTTCTCAGTCCAATGGAGTTATGTTCCCAGGAGGATTATGGCTGCCTCTGCTAAGTCATACAGGTCACTAGGGAAGTGGGGGAAAGCTGGCAGTTACAGGCCTTAACCTGCTCCCACTCAGCCCGCAGTACTAGAGGTTAATCTCATGCCCACCGTGCCCCCAACAACAGCACTGAATCTATTTCCAGGCAGCCAGTGACCAGGGCTGAAAATTTGCCCCAGACCACAAGCCTCCCCATTGAGAAAGCAAGCGGACACACAGTTTTTTGGCATCCCAGGAAGCCTGAAGCCAAGAGTAGATTTTTAGTGTTCTTACAACAAAAAAAGATAAGTGTGTGAGGTAGTAAATATGTTAATTAGCTCAATTTAGCCATTCCACAATGTATACATATTTCAAAACATCATGCTGCACACCATAAATATATATAATTTTTATGTGCCAAATTAAAAAATATTTTTAAAGACATAGAAAATCTGAGTGGACCTATAACAACTAAAGAGATTGAATCAGCAATCAAAAACTTTCAACAACAAAGAGTCTAAGATGAGATGACTTCACTGAAGAATTCTACAAAGCATTTAAAGAACTAATACCAATTCTTCACAAACTCTTCAAAAAACAGAATGGAAGGGAACACTGCCAAACTATCAGGCCAGAATTATCCGATACCAAAAGCAGGCAAAGACATTATAAGAGAAGAAAACTCTTATATATTATATCTCTTATTAATATAGACACAAAAATCTTCACTAAATACAAACAAGTTGAATCCTGCAGCATAGTAAAATGATTACTCATTATTACCTGGTGGGATTTATTCCAGGAGTGCAAAGGTAATTGAACATATGAATATACATTGATGTAATATACCATATCAATATTATAATGGGCAAAACTGCATGATCATCTTAATAGATGTAGATGAAGCACATGACTCAATTCATGACTTAATGATTAGAACACTCTACAAACTAGGATTAGAAGGGAATTCCTCAACATAATAAAGGACACTTGTGAAAAAGTCATAGCTAATGCCATACTTAATGGTGAAAGACTAAATGCTTTCCCCCTAAGATAGGAATAAGACAAGGATGTGTGCTCTCACCACTTCTACTCAACATTGTACTGGAGGTTTGGGCCAAAACAATTAGGCAATAAGATAAAATAAAATAAAATAAAATAAAATAAAAAAGGCAGCTAGATTGGAAAGGAAAATGTATAGTTATTTCTATTTGCAGATGATATGGTCTTGTATAAAAAATCCTAAAGAGCCCACTAAAAAACTATTGAACTCATAAGTAGTTCAGCTAGGTTTAGGATAAAAGATCAATATACAAAAAAAGTTGTATTTTGCGATAGTAGCAATGGGCAAACTGAAAATAAAATTAAGAAAACAATTCCATTTATGATAACATCAAAAATAATAAAATACGTAGCAATCAATTTAACAAAAAATTGCAAAATATTCTGAAAGCTATAAAACCTTGTTGAAATAAATTAAAGCAGACGCAAATAAGTGGATCACGAATCAGAAGACTTAATATTGTTAAGACGGCAATATTCCTTAAACTGATCTACAGAGTCAATGCAATTCCTAGCATTCTAGCTGACTTCTTTGCAGAAGTTAAACAATTTATATGAAAATCCAAGAGACCCAGAATAGACAATCCCTAGTAGTAGAATCACACTTCTTGATTTCAAAACTTACTATAAAACTACGGTAATCAAAACAGTGTGTTACTGGCATAAAGATAGATGTGTAGGTCAATGGAATAGCATTGAGAGTCCACAAATAAACCCTCTTAATTACAGTAAATTGATTTTGATAAGGATTCTGAGATTAATCAATGGGGAAAAAATAGTTGTTCCACAAATGATGCTGGAACAACTGGCTATCCATGCAGATAGGAATCAATTTGGACCCCTAATTCACCCCTACAAAAATTTACTCAAAGTGGATCGTAGACTAACCGTGAGTGTATTAGTTCATCTCACACTGCTATAAAGAAATACCTGAGACTGGGTAACTTATAAAGAAAAGAGGTTTAGTTGGGTCACAATTCTGCAGGCTGTACAGGAAGGATTAGAGCATCTGCTAAGTTTCTGGGAAGGCCTTAGGAAATTTACACTCATACTGAAAGATGAAGGGGAAGCTGGCACTTCACATGGCCAGAGCCATTAAAAGAAAACAAGTGTAATGTTCACGACCTTGGATTTGGCAATAGTTTCTTAGATATGACACCAATTCAGAAGCAACAAAAGAATAAACTAGACATCACCAAAATTAAACACTTTAGTGGTTCAAAGGTAATTATCAAGACCTTGGATTTGGCAATGGTTTCTTAGATATGACACCAATTCAGAAGCAACAAAAGAACAAACTAGACATCACCAAAATTAAACACTTCAGTGCTTCAAAGATAATTATCAAGAAGTTAGAAAGACAACCCAAAGAATGAGAGAAATTGCTTGCAAATTGTATCTCTGATAAGGAACTTATATCTAGAATATATAAAGAATTCCTACAACTCAATAATCAGTAGACATATATCCCAGTTTTAAAAAGGGCTGAATACATATTTTGTTATATTATTTATTTCCAAATGAAAGATCTGAATAGATATTTTTCTGAAGAAGATGTGCAAATGGCCAACAAGCACCTAAAAAGAAGCCAAACATCACTGGTCCTCAGAGAAATGCAAATCAAAACCACAATGAGATTCCACTTCCTGCTCCCTAGGATGGCTATTGTATTGGTTTCCTATGACTGCTGTAACAATTACCACAATTAAAACAAGAGAGATGTATCCCCTCACATGCCCAAAATCAGCTTCGCTGGGTGGAAATCAAGGTGCTGACAGGGCTGTGTTCCCTCCTAAGGCCCTAAGAGAGAAATTTCCCCCTGCTTCTTCCAGCTCTTGATAGCTGCTGACACTCCTCGGCTGTGGCAATGTCATTCCATTCTTTTTTTCTGTAGTCACCTTGCCTCTACTCTTCTCTCTACAGGCAAATCCCCCTCTGCCTTCTTCTTAGCAACCATCCCTTTTAAGAACACACATGACTGCATTTAGGGCCCACCTGGATAATCCAGGATAGTCTCCCCCATCTCGATATTGTTAACTGAATCACGTCTGCATAGACCCTTTTCCCATACAAGGTAACATTCACAGGTTCTAGGGATAAGGACCTGGATATCTTTGGGGGTCATTATTCTACCTATGAGAGATATCACAGATGCTAAATAACAAGTGCTGGTGAGGATGTGGAGAAATTAGAACCCTCATACACTGTTAGCAGAAATGTAAATGGTGCAGCCACTGTGGAAAATAGTCTGGCAGTTCCTAGAATAGTTAAACATAGAGTTACCATGTGATACAGCAATTCCACACTTAGACATGTACCCAAGAGAAATGAAGACATGTCCACACAAAAATCTGTATACAAATGTTCACAGCAGAATTATTTGTAATAGCTCAAAAGTGGGAACAATCCAAATGTCCATCAACTGATGAACAGATACATAACATGTATTATATCCATATAACGAAATATTATTTAGCAATAAAAATACATGTGGATGAACTGCAAAAAACACATGCTTAAGTTAAAGAAGCCAATCTCAAAGGATCACATATTATATGATATTATTAATATGACATGTTCAGAATAGGCAAATCTACAGTCAGAAAGCAGATTAGTGTTGCCTAGGGATAGGGAGGAGGATGAGGTACTAGAAAGTGATGGCCGAGGGGCAAGGGGTTTCTTTTTCTAGTAATGAAAATGTTTTAAAATTCTAGAAATACCATTTGACCCAGCCATCCCATTACTGGGTATATACCCAAAGGATTATAAATCATGCTGCTATAAGGATACATGCACACGTATGTTTATTGTGGCACTATTCACAATAGCAAAGACTTGGAACCAACCCAAATGTCCAACAGTGATAGACTGGATTAAGAAAATGTGGCACATATACACCATGGAATACTATGCAGCCATAAAAAATGATGAGTTCATGTCCTTTGTAGGGACATGGATGAAACTGGAAACCATCATTCTCAGCAAACTATCGCGAGGACAAAAAACCAAACACTACATGTTCTCACTCATAGGTGGGAATTGAACAATGAGAACACATGGACACAGGAAGGGGAACATCACACACTGGGGCCTGTTGTGGGGTGGGGGGAGGGGGGAGGGATAGCATCAGGAGAAATACCTAATGTTAAATGACGAGTTGATGGGTGCAGCACACCAACATGGTACATGTGTATATATGTAGCAAACCTGCACATTGTGCACATGTACCCTAAAACTTAAAGTATAATTAAAAAAAAGGAAAAAAAAGAAAATGTTCTAAAATTGACTGTGGCAGTGAATGCACAACTCTGTAAATATACTAAAAAACATCTAATTGTACACTTCGAGTGGGTGAATTTTATAGTATGTGAATTGTATCTCAACAAAGCCATTACAAAAGTATATAGCCTAAACTGTCTAGCTACAAAATAGTGCTTGCTTATACAAACTGAATATATATTGCTAAGAACATAGACTGAAATCCAAGTGAAAGGACAGGCCTAGATTTCTGCATTGATTTATCTGTATGAGAGGAAGTGAAGACTTGAGCTCCCCAATGCCCGCAGTAGTAATCAGCCTCCAAAAAGCCCCTAAAATTCTCATCTGGCAATATTCACACTTGTTTAGACTCCTTCCAAATTACACCAGGGTTGGTTTCTGTGACCCATAGAATATGGCAGAAATTACAGTATGTCTCTTCTACAATTAAGTTACACGAGACTTTGTGGCTTCCATTTGAGTGTTTACACTTTAATTGGATAAAAGAAAATAAAATGAAATTGCAACTGTGGTATTTTAACTTCCTATTCCTTCATCTGCTTTCATTTTTTTATCTATTATTCGACTGTTCTGACCAGAAATTCTGATAAGCTAATCAAGAGACCTGACACTCTGTAATCCTTATCAGTGTAATTCACTGACAGCCATCTGGAAGGCTTTAACTTAAAAATTCCATCTACTAGATTACAATTGACATGTGGAAACCAATATAATAAAATAGTAAAACCAGCTCCTGTCATTACACACACATGCTTTTGTTGCTAAAATTATTGGGTTGTCTTGTATATTCTAAGGCTAATACATCTATTGTAATAAAAGGAGAAACTGTACTTTTAATGATATACTTTTTCCACGAAAGAAACCTGCAAACAGTTTGGGCGACTTTGGAGGTATATAAACTACTTACAGGTAGAAAAATGTCCTCTCTTTTCTCCTCTGTCCCACCCAAGTCATAAGATCGCGGTGATCTTACCATAAAACAGCTAAACAAACATGTTATTCAGAATAGAACAAATAGTATTCATGTCAATGATCACAATAACTCACGATGACAGTATTTAACTCATCAAGGAGTTCCTGGTAAAGAAATGCCTAGAAAGGTATAGTCTATACAATTTCAGCTATCTGTATGAATTTTTTTAAAAAGAAAAGGACAAATGTCCATTCACATTTGGTATTACGTGAATTCAGCCAAAGCCAGTGGACTTCTGAAAGCCTCAGTTTGTATTCTTTGCTCGCCTTCAGGTATGTGATCCAGTAACAATGAAGACAGTGAGTAATGAGTGGCCACAGAGAATTCCTTTTTAATAGATGGCTATGATGCAAATGTTGAAAGTAGATTCATTCTTTAATTCATTGGATAAATATTCATAAGCACCTAGTATCATGTATATGCCTCAAATTTTGGCTCCTCTCACATTTATTTCCAAATTTTAAGGCATGATAAGATATACTTGAGGACCTTTTCCTCAAAAACTTATCCTCATAAGTGTTATCCGTGGCTTGGGTCAATTTACATCACACATAGGTCTGAATGCATTTTTTTCTCCAAGGGGAGAATGATTAATCTTATGTTTTGTGGTCAAACCCCTCTGTAAAAAGCAGTTCACTTCTGTCCTCCCGCATAAATGAAGGATTTCAAAGACTTTTGTTGAACTCAATCTCTCTTTTATACAAATTGCTCTGAGTTTGTCAAATGAAAAGAAACTTCCAATTTTAGAAAAGAAACATACATATTTAGACATTAGGGAACTTATATAGAATAAGTAGGCTTGTTGTTTATAAAGAATAATTCACATTGTATATTATCCTGTGTTTTCTGTCAGGTACCTCCAAGTCTGTCACTGCATATGTTTTTAAATGATCATTGACTGAATGATGGCTTACTAGGCTTAAGCTTCACACAGATAGGGATCATGACTCTTTTGGTTTTTCTGAGATGGGGTCTCATTCTGTCACCCATGTAATCACAGCCAACTGCAGCCACAAACACCCAGACCCAAGTGATCTTCCCATCTCAGCCTCTCAAGTAGCTGGGATGACAGGGGCACACCACAAAGCCAAGCTATTTTTTAAAAAAATTTTTGTAGAGACAGGGTCTCACTATGTTGCCCAGGCTTGTCTCGAACTTCTGGGCTCAAACAATCCTCCTGTCTCACCCTCCCAGAGTGTTACGATTACAGGCATGAGCCACCATACCTGGCTAGGACCATGCTCTTAAGACAACTGTGTCCTTGATGCTTTCATGAGTTCCTGGTATATTTGATGTTTAAAAAAATTTTGGTTGAATGAGTAAATGAATGAAAGACCCTAAGAGAGATAATATTATGGAAGAGTGTCAATGATTTAGAAGGACTCATTCATAGTCTGGAATCAAGCCTATAGAAAATTTCAAAAATGAAGGTGAAAACTATAAATTCCTCTGAGGGAGCCATTCCTAGTGTCTTTCTAGCCAAGATGTGCCCCACCCTTGATTCTTGAACCTGAATATGTGGGTTCCTATGTGCAAATAAGCTGTTCTGAACTTGAGCCAGCATGAGGCACACTGCAAAGGCCATGCTATGACAGTGAGTCAGCCCTGAGTACACGACAGACTCACTGATTACAAGGTGGCCTGTCAGGCTTATCACAAAGAAAACAGTAGCATAGTGACTGTGTCTGTGTGAGTTCTGGCTACTTCTGCGTGGTTGCCTCTGATCACAGCACTGCCCTAGTTTTCTCACGCCTGTAATCTCAGCACTTTGGGAGGCTGAGGCAGGCAGATGACCTGAGGAGATTGAGACCAGCCTGTCCAAAATGGTGAAACCCCATCTCTACTAAAAATACAAAATTTAGCTGGGCATAGTGGCGGGCGCCTGTAATCCCAGCTACTCAGGAGGCTGAGTCATGAGAATCACTTGAACCCAAGAGGCAGAGGCTGCAGTGAGCCAAGATCACACCACTGTACTCCAGCCTGGGCAAAAAAGGAGACTCCATCTTAAAAAAAAAAAAAAAAGAAAAAAGAAAAAAACAAACTCAACTACTGGTTGAGACTAGTGTACCTTACTCAAAGTAATGCAGCCTGTTCATGAAATTCCCATTACAGATGGAAGGGTTAAGATCAAGTGGATCACCAGCCACAGCCACAAAGCTAAGGGGCAGAGGGGAGTTGGTGGGGGGGAAAAATAGAACTCTTGGAGATGATACTCAAGTAAAATTCATGGGTCACCTCCCTAGTGACGTTAAGTATTGGTAGTGTCATGCTCAAGCCTATACTCAATAAAGTGGTAACATTTTGGCAATGTATTTGGTGAGTGACTTTCAATCCTGTTTCTATTAAGATTTTAAAACATAGTAAGATAGAAGGAAACTTGAGGCAGAGTAATTTCTAGAAATATGGGTAAACTCATGTTTCTATTCTCTTTGTGTTAGATACCACTCCAGCTCAGCCAGTAAAATCCCCTCTATACATTTTGAATTACAATTTAAGATATGAGCAAAAAAGTAAAAAATTAAAAACAAAAACAACCTACCCACAACGTGTTCCATTTGTCATGTTCTGGTTGAGGGAACTGTTAGTCCATACAATGGTGTTATTCACACATGCTTTTCCTGGAATCTGGAGTTCTTGTAACTCAACGTCGTAGTCAATAAAAACATCTGTCATTGTGCCAAAAATGAGTAGCACGCCTGGCTGGGCTATTCCATGGAGAAATGCACACAAACTTCCCACAAACATCAGCCAAATGTCAGTTGATGAAGAAAACCGAAACTTGAAAAACAAAGGGTTCAGAGATCATCTATGGGTGAAGAGCAGGAGAGGTAGGAGGACTACTTAATTTAGTTACTAGATTCTCATGAATAGTACTCAACACCAAATTTCATGGGAATCACCTTAATTGAGTGGCAGAGTTCGTATACTAATTATATTGAAATAAACGGCACGGTACATCAATTATCTAAAACATTAGACTCTTACATTGTTAGATCATGTTATAAATTTCCTGCTCTCTGAATTCATTCTGTTTATTTCAGGAGCTGACTTTCGTTTTTAGCTACTCATCTACAACTTAGGGGAAAATAATCACTGTCATTGATGCCATTGCCAAGTAGATAAACTGTGTGGGGCATTGAGAAATACTATAAATTGTTTTGTTGAACTGATAGTGACTATGAAGAATGCCAATTTCTGCCTAGAAATGCCTCCATCCTGAGAAAATTTGGAGTAAACACCTATACTTTAAAATTTCTAAAGATTTGTCATAAGAATAAATATATATATGTGATTGTTGTGATGACTTTCCTTACAAATATGATAACCATGGGCTTAGTGATAATTTTCCAAGACATTTTTCTGATCTATTGGATAGGATTTGTATGCTTTATGAGCAATATATTTCTAATAGTTATTCAGCATGTTATCACATAGGCAAAGCCTATGACTGAAAAAGTGATCACTGAAGTTAAAAACCTGCCAATATGACTAAAGATTTAACACTCCCCTCATGATCTAAACAATTTATAGCTGCACACCCACTGCCATAAATCAACACAGTTTTATTACCAATTGAAAGAAGCCAACTCTAACGCCATCACCTTTCTTCTCATCTTGTAACCTGATGAGAAAAACATAAGGATTTAAAGACCACCCTTTCCAATACAATGGGAAATTCTCCCTAGGTGGTGATTTTATGAGTTATTCTTTAGTAAGAAAGAAAATCCCCACTGGCTGGAAAATTCTGGCCAAACCTAGTATCTTAAACACAAGCTTTATTCTTCTAGATTTCCCTCTTCTAGAGATTTCAGTATAGCTCAATCTCAGGTTCACTAGCGATTCACAGAGATGAACACCTGAGAGGTATGGAGAGAAAGTAAAAAGTCCTCTATACTCCCAGTTATACCAACAAATAACTCTTTGCCCTCAGTCATGACCCTCAATCTATTTGTGACTGCATTTCCTCATGGGTAAGTTGAAGTGGTTGGATTAGCTAATTTTAAAGCTTCCTCATGCTTAAAAATATTACAACTACATTAAATAATGTTGATAATGATGAAAAATTCAAGAACATGCCCACACTTTTCATAGAATCATATTTCCTTAATATTTCCCATTCATTTCATTTCCCATAAGGCCATGTTTAACCTGTATTTGACCTCTTCAACTTCGGGGATCTTGACTTAACCTGAGTCACGCAGTCCATGAATACACCCTGGACCTTGCTGTCACCAGGAACTACTGTCTGACATGTTTAACTCCTTGGCACTCTGTGACTGCCCATGTACCTCATTTTCTCGCTTCCTTCCTCCTTCCACACCTATTTGTCAACCTCACTTGAGCCATGCAGTCCTTTAAATCCTTCATTTCCTTCCATTGCTAAACCCCATTAAGATTTTGCTTCCTTCCCCATGCAGCCAAGGTCCCTCTGCCAGGCATTTGAACCACACTCTCACCATCATCCTCAATTATTTTCTCTACATCATCCTTGTAAACTTCATCCTGCATCCATCCAGCTGTTTGCCCTCTTCTCCTTAAGCCAGGCTGCTGGGCCTGCTGGACACAACCTCACCACCTTGTGAATGGATACCAACACAGGCAGAGTCTAGTACTCAGCTGCCCTAAGCTTCCCTTCTGGCCCAGAAAAGAATCCTAAATTTTTTCTGAGACTCCCCACGGTCTGGCCCTTGGCTCTCTGACCTCACCTCCTCCAACTATATTCTAGTTCTCAACACCCCACTTGCCTGGCCTCTTGCTGACCTTTGTCCATGCCCAACTGTTCCCACCTCTGGGTGCGGGCACCTGCTACTCCTTCTCCCCAGGTGCATTTTCTTTAGGTAACCACAGGGACAGCTCCATCACCTCCGCTAGACCTTCCTTTGAAATCACCTACTCAACAGAGTCTTGCCTGGCCAAAGTCTTTAAAATTTCAACCCCACCCCCCACGCACCATTTCATAGCTCCATTTCCAGTTTATTTTTCCTTCTCAGAAAGAAAGTGATAGATTATCACTAGCTACCATGCTATACATTTGATTTATTTACAATGTTTATTATATCTCCCTCACTAAAATGTAAACTCCTCAAGGGCCAACATTTTTGCCTATTTTGTTCTTTTCTATACCCGCAGCACCTACAATAGTGTCTGATACCAAATAGACACTCAATATTTGCAAAACGAATGAATTAATGGAGTGAATGTGTGCTCTCCAGCTCAACATGCAATGCACACTTCATTTCTCTGCGGATTGCTCCCATTCTTCTCAGCAGCTCTGGCAAAATTTGCTGTGATCTTCTCATTCCATGCTCACCTCCTCTAAAAACAAAGCAACTCATTCAACTTCCTACTCATCCTCTCCTTGCCATTCATCTACATCCACACCCATTTTTTAAACTTCCCACGCAATAAGAAACGTGTGGCTCTCAGAGGCCCAGGCTGACCTGACCACTCCCAGCCCAAAGCTAATCTTACCACTCCCACTTCCTCCCTCTGCTGTGAATTACTTAAAATTTCTAAAATACCTTTAACCCTTCCGTTTCCACCACCTCCACTTCAGGAACTTACCTGATGCCTCACTTCTGTCTTCTAAATTAGACCTCATCTAATCCCGCCTTCATACCAGACTGTGATTAGCTGATATGTGTTCTATATGAGAATTCAAAATCTTTAGCTGAACAGAAATATGCAATAATGACACTTTAGGTCTCTACTCTTTGCCTGTGGCAAGAATTTGGGGTTTAGAGACCTCTCCAATGCCCATGAAATTATACTTGTTGTTCAACTTTTCCTCCTCCCTCTTAGGTCAGGAGTTCTGTGCCATTCCTGAATACAGAGGGGACATTTGAACCTAACCTAGAAGGGATATTCCAAAAGGTTTTTAAAATCAAATTATAGTAATATTTTAAAGAGAAAAAGAATGGATTGTATATATTATTTTATATGAAGTGCAATGTGCATGAAAGTATTCTCTGCTTTGTGCCTTTGATATGAATATTATGGAGTTATTCTAGAAAAGATGCTGCATTGTTGAAATCAGTCACTTACCTTGATTTCTTATCATTATTATCTGTCAGAAAAAAAAATCAACGCAAAAAAGCAGTTAATAATAATGACAAAATGCAACGCAGTCATTAAGAAATTTGCTCTAGAAAAATATTCCTATAAATTACCTTTATTCATGGAATATTAGCAAATGACTATTTGCCTTTTCTTTCTTCCTGCTCATATTGTCTCTCTCTATCTTTCTACACACACACACACACACACACACACACACACACACACACACACGAAGACACTCGTTTAGGGTCCAGGAGTGCTGCTACCTTTACTCATTTATGGACTTTTCTTCAGGACATGAAATATTTGCATCATCTGAATATCAAATGGACAGCAACTTTTTGAACTACAAAATAAAATTGATATTTATTTATTGTCTGGTTCTTTAAAAGCATCAGAATTTATCTGTTTAAAATATAGACCACAAATTAACAATAAGATGTTAATAACAAGATGTCATTAACACTTCTACACTAGTAGAAGCCATAGGATTGAGACCACATACTGTTTTCCCCAGTGTAGGTCAGAATAGATGCAGGGCAGGAGGTGAAAGTCAGTGATTATAGCCAGGGGTGTAAGGAAGCCACTAGGGAGCTTTGTCATTCAACACTATCATGCCTGTTTACTCTTATTAAAGTAAAGAAGCATGATAATGTTGACAGACGGCAATATCTTGGGCTTGGGAATCAAACACAACTGGATTAGAATTATGGTTCCATTAATTTTACTCATGAGTTCCTTGCCAAGTTTCAAAAACATATCCAAGTCTCAGTTTTGTCATCTGTAAAATGTAAAATCATAGGGTTAGAAAACAATAGCTTAGAACCATCTGAGCCCAGGACATCCCAGGTGCTAGTGCTATAGGCCCCCTCCACATGATCTCATTCTGGTCTGCAGAGTCTGGGCACAGTTCTTCCTAAGGAGGAGCGCTCACTCAATTATGATTAATAATAACAATACAGGACTAAAGGTAGTCATAACAGCCACCACTGGAACAACCCTACTCTATCTAGGAAAGGTGTTGGTGAGAGATGCTTTCATTTACACACACTTGGTGTGTTCTTACCTAGTGCTTTCAGATATTACGTTACATGGATTCTAGGGAGAGCCACACAGTTGTGTATAAGAATCACACACAATGATACTTCTACCTACTGTTGCTGATTTTTTTCTGCTCCTTGAAACTTGACCAGCTTGTCCTACTTTTGTTCTCACCTCTCCTTGTACAAGATGCAGTGAGGGAAAAAAGCCACTCACATGATTTATCTGACTCAAAACCATCATTCTCCTCTCCAAATTTCTTTATACTTCGAAGAATTACTGAGTCAGACATGGTAATTGCAACCCACAGCCAACGACCCTATAAAATAAAATAAAAGAATCATTGCAATTATTATCTCTTCTTTCTTCTTTAATCAAAGTAGCCAAACGAAAGAACAATTTGGTTCAAGAAATAATCTTTACTAATCAATCTCAGACAAAAGTTTTAAAATCGGTTAATAACTCCCTGAAAGAGCCTAATTATCAGGAAAGATAAGCCACAGTCATTGATAAAGGTTTTCTCTAGTTGTTACATGGATGGTTGTTTTTTATAGCTTAATTATAGGAAAGATAAAGCAAAACCATTGATAAATTTTCCTCTAGTTGTTGGATGGATGGTTATTCTTTCTGCTTATCTGTGCTTTATTTATTTTTAATGAGAAAACATTAAAACCATGAGAAAGGCAAACCAACTGGTGATATTCTTGAGTCACTGTAGTTGATGAACGACACCCACATACTGTTGGGTAACCTTCAGTGTTCCTTTGTAAATGCAACCTCAAGGTAAGGTGAGTCAAGCTTGGATCAAAGGAACAGAAGGAAGACATTTTCTAAATAAAATGTAAATGTCGACAGAGTCATGATTAGTCTTATTCACAGTGGAAAAATTAGTTTATAGAGGGTACAGGCTGAGAATTCCAGGATATAGACACTCGATTCAGCATGAAGTTTATGCTTCACTAACTTTCTCTGCTTCAAATATATAGCAATGGTGGATAACATGTTTTTAAAAAGAGATACAGTCAGACTCAAATAAATAAAAATAAACATCTTCAGGAACCAGAAATGGCAGAGAAGTACCGAAGAGTAAGCAGAGCACAGAAGCAGCTGGTATTTTCCCCTCAGCGTCTGGATGCTGACGAGTGTGAGAGTTTAGCTGGCGAGAGGACTGTAAGTGCCCCAAATCAAACAGGGGGCTAGAGACCATCTCTTCGCTTGGAGCCAGAGGAGCTAATGTGGGCCCCATGCACTGCTGAGAAGACCCTGAGGAAACTGCTGGCCACCATTGAAGCATCTATTCCTTATGATGAAATGCAGACCCATGGAGGTCACAGGAGGAGACCGTGATATGTATTACATACATATATACACACATGTACAAATAAAAGAGAGAAAGGGGGAGTTATGAAAATCTTCTAAATTCACCTAATTGGAATCCCAGAAGCAGAGAGTGGAGAATGACAGAAGTGTAATAATTAAAGAGATAATTGCTAAGAATTTTCCAGAAGCAATTACCTGATTCTTCAAATTAACAGTAGACACCAAGAATTGATTGGAATAGATATCAGTCAAAACTTAGATACATTATATAGAAATGTCCCTCAGTATATGCAGGAGATTGGTTCTAGCACTCCCATGTATACCAAAATTTGCATATACCAAAATCCAGGTATACACAAGTCCTACAGTTGGCTTGCAGAACTTGTGCATAGGAAAAATTGGCTCTACATATCCACTGGTTTTGCATCCTGAGAATACTATATTTTTCATCTGAGATTGGTTGAAAACAATCCCCATACAAGTGGACCTCCACAGTTGCAACCTGTGTTGTTCAAGAATCAAACTGTAGTAAAGCATCAAGAATAAACAAAATCCATCCTAAACACTGTGAAAGGGGAAAATGCATATTCAAATATAAAGAACAGACTGACAGAAGTTTTCTCATCAGCAATAGAGGCTAGAAAACAGTGGCGTAATGTCTTCAAAGTGATGAGAAAAAAAAGTAATCTTTAACTTAGAATTTTACACTGAGCCAAAAAATTATTCAGCATCTTTACAGACATTCAAAGTCAGAGGGTTTACACTTACAGACCTGCATAAAACAACAACTAGAGGATGTGCCTTAGCCAGAAGGAGTATCCAGAAGGGAGCCATGAAAGAGAGAAACAAGGGTGAGCACAAGAGTTAACAAAATATGTCAGGACGGCCAATCAAATATTGATACCAAGTATAACCTTTTATATTTCAAAAGAACATAATTAAAACTCTACACAGTATGTAGATATGAGTGTAACTTGAACACAAGATAAGGTGTTCGATATGCAGATAAAGTATGTTAAGTTCATTGTTATGACAATCTGAGGACATTGTTTTATAATTATAATTAAATACATATTTATACAACTATAATTAAATATATGTTTGATTAAACCAAAGGAAATTGCCAATATTTAACCATTTTTTAATTACAAAGTTCAACTAATATCTGAACAAAGTTCAACCAATATCTGAAAATTTTAAGAAAAAGCAATGAAAAAGTACCAGTAAAATCTATAGTTTCTAAATAAGCAAAGGATTAAAAACTAAGTATGTAGAAAATGTCATCAATCCAACAAAAGTTAAAAAAAACTAAAGAAACTAAAAAAAGCATAACAAACAGAAAACATAAATGAATATTATTGAAAATAGTCCAAACGGTTCAGTAATTACGGTAAATGTATGTAGATTGAAGTACTGATACATGCTACACAGATGAACCTCAAAATCATGCTACGTGAAAGAAGACGGTCTCAAAAGACCACATACTGTATGATTCCATTTACATGAAATGTCCAAGATAGGCAAATCTATAGGGACAGAAAATAAATAAGTGGTTGCCTAATGCTGGGGTAGGGGTAGGGGTGGGAGGGGAATGAGGAGTGACTGGTAACAGATATAAGGTTTCTTTTGGGGATGAAGAAAATGTTCTAAAGTTAGATTATGGTGATGGTCGCACAACTCTGTTAATATATTGAAAACCATTGAATACTTTACATAGGTGAACTCTGTGATATGTAAATTATACCCTCAAAAGGCTGTTTTTTAAAAAAAGACAGGTCAGTTTATTGAATTTTTTAAAGTCAAGACATACACTTTTTTTTTTTTTCTGAGACCAAGTCTTGCTCTGTTGCCCAGGCTGGAGTACAGTGGCTCAATCTTGGCTCACTGCAACCTCCACCTCTTGGGTTCATGTGATTCTCCTGCCTCAGCCTCCTGAGTAGCTGGGATTACGGGTATGAGCCACCATGCCTGGATCATTTTTGTATTTTTAGTAGAGATGGAGTTTCACCATATTGGCCAGGCTGGTCTCAAACTCCTGGCCTCTGATTATCTGTCTGCCTTAGCCTCCCAAAGTGCTGAGATTACAGGCATGAGCCACCACACCCAGCCAATCCAGACATATACTTATTATAAATGAAATAATTTATAAAATCATAAAAATGGTCCAAAATTAAAGGGTGAAAAGGATACGTCATGCAAATACTGATGTCTCAAAGCTGTTATGTTAATGTCAGAAAAATAGAATCCATGTTCAAAACAATAATGGATATAATAAAGGACATATAATAATTAAAAGTACAATCCAGCTAGAAGACAAATCAATTATTGGATTGTATATACCCAGCAACCTAACACAACATAGCCTGCAACTGTAATGAAAAATTTAAACACAACTTTATTAGAAACTGATAAACAGACAAAAAATTAGAAAACATAAAAGCTTTTCAAATAAAAAATAAGTAATTTTATGTAATTTACTACATAAAATTTTTCTTAAAATTTGGTTGAACATTGTTCATATATTAGTTGAACTTTCTAAGTAAAAAAAGATTAAATGTTGGCAATTTCATTTGATTTAATCAAATATATATTTAATTATAATTGTAACACAATGTCGATAGATTTTCATGACAAATTTCATTACTATGGAACCTGCAACCAAGACATTTTTCAATTACATTTGGCATTTTTATAAAACTTACCCATTAATAAGCCATAAAAAATTTCTACAAATGAAAAACTATGTATTTCTCTATATTGTTGTTATTCTTAAGGGTGTATATTCTGACAATGCAATTAAATAAAAACTAAAAAATTAAACACTAGTAAAACACACACACATATACTCAGTAAAATTGTGTGTGTTACAAACTTTAAAATACATATGCAGATAAATATGGGTTAAGGATGAAATCATGACAGAAATAGAAAATATTTAAAATATGGTGATAAATATGTAAAATCTTGTGGGCTACAGCTAAAAAGATACTTCAAGATTTATTTATAAAGATAAATGCATTTTGCTTTTAAGAGATTAATGAATGAATTATGTTCTAATCAAGAACCTAAAAAATGCAAGATTTATAAGATAGAAAACAAAATAAAATGAAAAACAGTAGAAAGGATATATCAATTCAAAAGTTGTTTTTTGAAAACTAAAAACATGCAAGTCAATAAGACTGTTGAAGAAAAGAGATATAAATCACAAATACTAATTGAAAATGGGAAAGGTAAAATAAATAAAGTTTTAAATCATAAGCAAATACTAAGTAATTTCATGGTAGTAAATTTGAAAACCAGGTTAAGATTAATTTTCTAGAAAAATATGAGTTATCAAAATTTGTTTATAAAGGAATAGAAAACTTAAAAAGTAATGGCTATTAAAATATTGATTCAATATTCAAAAGTCTCCCACCTCAAAAAACAACAGGGCTAGATAATGTTACAGGCAAATTTTACCAAAACTTCAAACAGTAGATAATTCTAATCTTATATAAATAGTTTTGGTGAAAAGAAAAATAAGAAAAGCTACCCAAATCATTTTATAAAGCAAGTATAATTTTGACATCAAAACAAAGAAGGATAAAAATAGGCTTATAATTACTTCTGAAAACAGATTTTAAAATGATAAATAAAATATGTTAAACATAATTCAGCAGTTTATGAAAAAAATGAAGCAATGTTGATCCCAGGAATGCAATGATTATTTAAGGTAAAAAATAATTAATCATTTTCATAAATGCAAAAAGTATTCAGTAAAAATCATTATCCATTCCTGTTTTGAAAACCTATAAAATTAAAAAAAAATCATTATTTTGCAACCCTAATGAATAAATTTGGGGTAATGATCAGCAGTGAATACTAAAACTATTCATTGAAATATTGGCAAAGATGAAATATCCAGTAGTACAAAGTGTTGTTAAGATGTGGAGGAAAGAGTCCTTTCATGCACAGCTAATGAGAATATAAATTGACTGAATGACTTTGGATAGCAATTTGGAAATATCTAGCAAGGCTAAACATGTTAATACCCCAGATCCCAGAATATCCTTCTCTGGTATTTTCCTCAACAATTTAAAAAATAATTAACAATGAAATGGCATTTAATACGTGGCAGGCACTGTTCTAAATGCTTTATACATGCTATGCCATAAAACCTCCCAACAGCCTCCTGAGATGGGTATTATGACTATCCCCGTTTTCCAGATAAGGGCACTAAAGTATGAAGGACTAAGTCACAAGCTCAAGAGCACAAGTTAGTAAGTGATACAGCCGAGATTGAAACTCAGAAAATGCATGCAGAGATATGTGTAAGCTTGTTTATTGCAGTACTTCTTTGGAAACAAAAAGCTAGGAGAAAATACAAATGAACAAGAGATTGATTCAATAATCTATAGAATAGACACACAGTGGAATATTATCTAGCCATTAAAATCAATGAATTGGCATGGATAAATCTCAACAAACGTAAGTTTAAACAAACAAGACAAAGTTTCAGAATGATACTGTATGATACCATTTATGTAAATTGTGTTACCTGCAAATCACTATTTGTAATGTTCGTAGATATATAGATACGCAGTAGAAATATAAAGACTTACCTGAAACTGATAAGCACTGAATTAACGATAGTGGTTACCTCTGAGGAAAAGAAGTGGAATGAGACTGGGGAGGGGCTCAGAGGGCCCCTGAACTGTATCTGCATGTTTTAATTTCTTAAAACAAAAAGTTCCAGCAAGTATGGCATAGGGTTTAAGATACGATAAAGTTGGAAGGAGGTAACTTGGTGTTCATTAAGTTTTTCTCTTTTTTTTCCTGTGGCTTTAAAATATTTCATGATATGGATACAGGGAGCACAGGGAGGGGAACAACACACACTGGGGCCTATTGGGGGAGGGCAGTGGGGAGAGCATTAGGAAAAATAGCTAACGCATGCCGGGCTTAATACCTAGGTGATGGATTGATAGGTGCAGCAAACCACCATGGCACACGTTTACCTATGTAACAAACCTGCACATCTGGCATGTGTACCCCAGAACTTAAAATAAAATAAAATAAAACTTAAAAAAGAACATATGGAAAGCTGGATAATGCCACAAAAGGGTTAATGTTAGCAAGCTTGGGATGGAGGCACTATGCACCATCATCATGTATTTTTCCATCTTAAGCAGCATACCACTCCTAAATAAAACAAAATCATTTTGCAGAAAATAAAACACTTCATGACAGAAAATAATTTTTTTCTTAACCCTGGTGAATCTCTTTTAATTAAACAAATTAGAGCAGTTTTGATTTTATAGAAAAATTGTGAAGATGGTACAAAATTCCCATGTACCCCACACCCAGTTATTAATGTCTTACATTATTAGTATTAATGTCTTACATTAGTATTAACGTACCAATGTGCACTGTAAATGTCTTGCATTAGTATTAATGAACCAATATTGATACATTATTATTAGCTAGAGTGCATAATTTATTCAAATTCCCTTATTTTTCACCTAATTCCTTTTCTGTTCCAGGATTCCATCTAGGATACCAAGTTTATAATGTTATATTAAGTTGTCATATCTTGTTAAGCAACTCTTGGCTATGACAATTTCTCATACTTTCCTTGTTTTTAATGACCTTGGCAGTTTTGAGGAGTACTCATCACTTATTTTGTAGAATGTCCCTTAATAGCATATTAAGAAGTAGAGTAAGAAATATTATTTAATTAAGTAGTTTATGAGGCTGGTTTAAAATATACTAAAGGAACCAGATTCAAAGTTATTTTATTCAAGAACAAAATTTGCTCACTATAGCAGTATTATATTCAGAGACTGTAACATTTGCCGGTTACACAATTTTTGAAGTTTTAACCAAATTTTTTTTTCAAAAAAACAGAGAGACTCTTTAATAATGAGAAAATAATAAACAACATTTAACCACAGATGTGTTATTGCATTTCCTAATTTTAAAATACAATATTAAAAAAATTTAGTCTCCATTTATTTTTTCCCTTGGCTTAGCTCTCCATTTAAAAAGATTTCTTTCCACTGGTGTGCAAATACCTCGTAGTATTTAGAGGACAGTGGTGTAGTGTCTTGCCCACGAAATTTGGAGTCTCTCAGATCCTGATACACCTGTTGCTTCACTCTACGTAGTTGGATTTATTTTAAAATCTCTCTCCACGTCCTGATTTCTCCATCTTTCATGTCAGGAAGTGGTGGTGATGGTGGTAAAATCCACCTTGCAGGACTGGTGTGAAGATGAAATGAAACTGTATCTCTACAGCAGCCAGCAAAAGGGAGATAGCAGCTGAAGTTCCCTTTGCCCTTCAAGCTTAAAGACCGAGTCCTCCCTACCTGATCCTCCACCCCATCTGCCCTTCCAGGGTCATTTGTAGTAATCTGTCCTCCATTAAGCACAGGAATACTAATCCACTAACCTATTCTCTTTACTTTCCTTCTGTGTCCCCTTGTCAATTCCATACATTAGGTTTCAATTGCTTACATTTTGCTTCTTTCCGAATACCCCTACAAATAGTTTTTGTGGTTTCTATTTTACTGTTAAAAGTTACATTCTAAAAGGCAAAAATCCATTAAATCATGCGTCTCTATGCCCACAGCATTGTCAATGCCCCTCAGTCAGTGAGCACCAAGAATACATCTGTAGCTAAACAAGTCGTGTTTGCTACTCATTGCACCAAGGGTGAACACACTGTCAGGGGCTGTGGGGCATCTCAGTAAAATGGTGTTAGAAAGAACCTGTTACAGAACTCGGGCTTTAGTCAGATGATTTGGGGAAGGATCTAATGTAGTGGGTATTTGTTCTAAATTGGATGCTGTTAAAAAGCTGGGACTATGTTATGACTAGATAAAGAAATAACAGCCATTCATTTAGCAAGGTGTTTGGTATTTTGTGGGTTGCACAGTGACCTTGATTTTGCCTTTGCTGAGAACAAAGTATAAATTGACCTTGCATTGACTCAAAGTAACTTTGAGGTTGGTACTCTGTGAGATTGTTTATGTCTAATAAGAGAATAACATGGCTTAGGTGTGAGTACCAGGCCAGCTATGAAATGGAACAGGGTGTTCTTTTGTTTGTTTTCTTTGTTTGTTTTCTTTCTCAGCATCAAGTGCATCACTCTGAACTTTGGTAGTCCACTGTTCTTTTTTGACATGCCAAGGAGCTATACTTCAAAAGATGTATACTCTCTAGGGCTAAAGGCATGCACTGGTTGTTCAGTCAGAAATGGAAGCTAGTCCCTTTATCTTTGGGCAGCTTAGAAACGGCTGTGATGATTTTTGAAGGCCATTGTGCTGAAAATCTTAATTACTTGCATGTACCCACAAAAACACTGGGAATTTTATAACACTAAGTTTGGGAAAGTACACTGAAAAACCGAAATTTCTAGAAAGAATGAAGGCCTTGCCTGTGATATTTGCCACAAAAGAGGTTTTCAGAATTGAATATTAGATGAATTGCCATGTATCATTATGAATGTAGAATATATATCTGATATATATTATTAGACCATGTTTTCTTCCACTGGCAAATTATTTTTTTTATCAGATGAGATGTTGGGAAACCCATACATCAGATGCTGGAGGACATGGCTGCCAGTCTCTGAAACCCTGGAAATGCAGTGGGAATCTAGTTTTTGGTGATAAACATATTTGTTTTGCAGGTTCTTGAGAGTGTACCTCCTCCTCATTTGGCACTTTCTATGATTTAAGAGTACCATGGTGTTTTGCCACATTATTTTTCCTCACTGATTACAAGTAGATATAATGTCACCTAGTTCTACTGTCTCGGCCATTAGCTGTAACACTTTTTTAGCACCTAACCTAATAACTTGATTTGAGTTTCATACATTGAAGGAGGCTTTAATTAGGGTTTCTTAACAAATTTACAATAACAAAATTTTACTTAAACTAACACAAGAAAACTCAGAGTTGAAAATAACATCCAATGCTATTTCATTTTTACTGTGCACTTTAACATATTAAATTATTTTAACCTCCCCAAAATCTCTTCAGGAACAGACTGAGAATTTTCAAGGCATTCCAGAAAAATGTATTTTCCAATAAACTTAAGGGAATCTAAGAGTAAAAAGCAGGAAATCGAGATGTCTAAGCACTAGTTGGCAGACTTTGGACACCTAATCATAGAATCCCCCAAGAATTCTTAATTGTCCACACCAACTCCAGTGTTCCTCTCTGCTAAGTGACATGTGGTCTATAACCTGCACACTATATGCGCTTCTGTTTAACTATTCAGGGTTGAAGTTTTCTCTTGATAAAATGTGTAATCTTATCAACACAGATACGCACATTAGAGAACAGTCTCCTGACAATTACTGGTAAAAACATATCAAAGATGTTTCTATCTTACACTCTAACAACAGCATTCTGAAAGACCTCACTGCTGGGGAGGAGGGGATGGGGAAGAGAGACCATCAGCTAGATGGTCACTTGAGAGAACCTAGTACTTTGACTGACCTTAAAAATGGGCCTGAATGAGTAGTACCACAAAGGTCCTGAGGCTGTCAAAATTGGAGGAGATACAGGGTTCTACAAGCCATGCCAGAAAGAAATCAAAGATCCTGAGAGCATAAAATGTCAGTGCCCACTACTTGCCACTACAGCAAGGCTGCTAGTGTGAACTGGTGGGGATGTCAGCCTGGAGCAACAGATGGACAGGCTGATCTTCACCAATGGCTGGGATCAATACTAGCAATTGGCTATTGGTATTGTAGAAGAATTGAAGAAAAAAAAAGGGTCAGGGTTGAGAAAAGGTGTCTCCAGAGCTGAATCCTTCTGGGCTGAAAGATACCATTACCATCCTATTTTATAAATACAGTTTTATGGGAACACAGTCATACCCTTTCATTTTCTATTATCTTTGGCTGCTTCTGTGCTACAGTGACAGAATGTATGGCCCTTTCTCTCTCCCATACCTAAAATATTCACTATACAGCTCTTTGCAGAAAATGTCAATCCCTGTACTGTGAGATCAGTTCAGGGCAGCCTGAGGCCCAGGAAGAAATCTCTGAGGACCTGATTTACCTACCCTAAAAATTGTGTGGAGCACCAGCCCTCCAGCCAGCCCTACCCTCATGGAACTTACAATGTGGCAGGGAAGGCAGACATTATCTGGGAAATTAGGCGTCAAGCAGGATGGCAGTGAGGAAAGGGGAAATACAGGCATCTCCTGGGCCCTGATGCAGAGGAGCTGCCTTGTCTAGAGAGCTGGAGAAGGCTCTGGAGCAAGTGCTTAGCATGAGATGTTGAAGATGAGAGCAAGTTTTCCATGGGAAGAGGAGAGGGAAGAGCAGTCCAGGCAGGGAAGGACACATGCAAAGGCCCAGATGCAAGAGACAGGGCAGCCGGGTCCAAGGCTGAAGGAGCCCAGTGAATCTCAGGGAGGCGGATGGGCAACTCGGGAGGATGTGGCTGGTTGATCCTTCAGGGCCTCATGATCCTTACCACTGAGAACTTGGGACCTTATCCTAAAGGCCATGGGAAGCTAATGAAGTCTTTTAGGCAAGAAAGGATATGATCAAATTTATACTTAAAAAAAGTTACCCTGATAAGGCTTGGGACTTGGAGCCCACACCCACAGAGGTTAGGAAATGGGTTTGAGAAGAATAGAGATCCCACCAGACCAAGAGGCAGAGATGGCTCTGTCTGTGTTCTAGGGTTTTGCATTTTCTCTGCAGAGATTTGTTCCACTTTCCATTTAATTTCCACCCAAATGCTATTTTTTGAAACATGTTGACCTTTTCTAGACTTAATTAAGGAAAAAGAGCTTTTTCCACATTCAGGCCAAGATGGTAAGAAGAATCTAAATGTCCTCAAAGCCATTGAGGAGCTGAGGACAGTGAGGGGAACCAAGCCAGGCCCGGGAGTGGAGAGCACCCGCCCCCACCATGCCCCACATCACACTGTGAATATTCTGATCATGTGAGGGTCCCTCCACGGCTTTTCTCTTGTGAAGTCTTGCCCTCTGTAAAGACTTTCAAGACCCCAGCGCCACAAACTCCCCCTTCACAGAGCTGCTCAGAGAGAACAGAACTGCCCCTGCTCCTCTTCAATTTGGATGTCCTTTCTAAACTACAGTTTTCTTTTCTTTCTTTTTTTTTTTTTTAAAGCCCTTAAAACGTCTTTCACTGCTGACATTTAAAAATGTAGGTAGGATACTTTTGTTATTATCAGCTCAGCAAATGATTTCTTTATCTAAAAGATTATTAGAGAAGGAAAGAAACATTTAATATATGCTAAGAAACAAAGAAAATAGAAAGGCATTATTTTCCAGATAAGCTCACTGTCGGTTGATGCTGTGTGTCAACACTGTGGGTGACCCAGTCTGGGAATAGACTAAAATGAGGCCCTTCCAGCCCTGAGGGCTATGGCTGATAGGGAAGGGAAATAAATACACGGTGATCCCATTGGCCACGTAAGTCCTTTCTTCAGAGGCACCGTTGAGGTAGAGGACTAAAGAATTGCTTAGGAAGAAAACAGAATGTAACACCAAAGTTAACTGCCACAGCGATTCTTTGTCTCTAAATGTACAGTTCTTTCCTCTTTTTTTTTTTTTTTTTTTTTTTTTTTTGAGAGGAGTCTCGCTCTGTCGCCCAGGCCGGACTGCGGACTGCAGTGGCGCAATCTCGGCTCACTGCAAGCTCCGCTTCCCGGGTTCACGCCATTCTCCTGCCTCAGCCTCCCGAGTAGCTGGGACTACAGGCGCCCGCCACCGCGCCCGGCTAATTTTTTGTATTTTTAGTAGAGACGGGGTTTCACCGTGTTAGCCAGGATGGTCTCGATCTCTTGACCTCATGATCCACCCGCCTCGGCCTCCCAAAGTGCTGAGATTACAGGCGTGAGCCACCGCGCCCGGCCAGTTCTTTCCTCTTGACCAAGCAAAACACAACTCCAGTATTTGATTTCTGCAATGAAACTTGGGCATTTTATGGCAATTGTAGCATCTTTTAAAACCACAAAATGGGCATTTTCCCCCTAAATAGCTTCTTAATCCATTTTTAGGAGTCATCCCCTAATATTTGTCACCATTATTCTTGGTACTAGGAAACAAAAATTATTCAAGGGGCTTGCAATCTAGAGTGGGGTGGAGTGTAAACAGAAGCTCCTAGACAGGGAAATGGAGGCTTCAACCAGAGACAATCACAGTGTTACAGAGCACAGCAGGGGGAACCAAGGTGAGGGGGGTGAGCAGTGAGGGGACGAGGTTGCCCACAGAAAAGAACTTCTATTAAACAACAGCTCATAAATAAGTTATCACTTCAAATGTTTAATAAAAACCACTACTAACTCCTAATATTAAAAAGTTTTAGGTATAACCACTATAATTTGTCTCTAACATCTCTAAAAAGCTATTCCCCCTCAAAATGTTGACAAATACTGTCTTTTATTCCCAGTCTGAAGTGTGAATAATATTTGATCTCTGTGCTCAAGCCATTAGCAATATGTGACTCCCACTGGCTTGGGTGACCTAAAAACTGAAATTAGATCCTAGAAACAAACTTTCTCCCCTCTAAACATGCATCCACAGCTCATTTTTTTTTGCATCTATATTTTTGAAAACCGGGACAATGAAGAAATGAGTACGGTGTTGGAGAAAAGATAAAGTCGGTGTAGTTCTGCATTAAACCAGCTTTCAAGGGTAGAATTTGTGATCATTGAATCTGTGATTATCAGAGCAAACAGAATTGTGCTTTCACAAAGCCAAGTTAAAAAAGAAGCCCACTGGTATTTTTACTTTGAGCAGATTATTCAATCTATTCGGCCATTTGTACCACACACCCATGTACACCACTCTCTCTCTCTCTAAGAGATTGATACATGAAATAGCATTGCTATAAAGAAGACAGCAACCAAGAGTCATCTGTATTGTATACAATGTTGTGAAATCATTAATGCATCCTGTAAGTTTCTATCCAAGTATTGTAGCGTTGTTTACACTGGACAAGAGACCAATGTTTAATAAACCAGAAACACTCCACTCCACAAAGTAAGAGTTAAAGGGAAGAGGGAATGGATTTGCAGAGACAAGTATAAGTTACTTACCTGTGAATATGAATTTGAGGAAGCCAGAGGAAATAATGGACTCCACTGTGGAGAGTTAAAAGGTTTCACAACCTTTTCCAACCTCGGTTTTCATCATTCTAAAGCACTGAACAGAATTCAAACTTTTTCAAGAACATTATCTATTTGCCTAAGGATCAATGTCCCTAAGGGCAGCCCAAGCACAGTTCAGTGACATACGAGAAACATACTCAGAGCAATAACCCCAAACACAGAGTGTGCTTGGGAAACCCTCTGAGGGTGTCAACAGGCCTTGGAAATTGCTGATTCACCTTGGAACGAGAGGCAAATTGAGCAGAGTGGGCCCAGCAAGAGCCCTGGAATTCAGGCTATCCCAACCCTTATTTTTTACAGGCCTGTAGTTGTGAAAAGTTACTTAAAAACATAACAAGACAAAAAAAAAAAATACCTTTAAACTTTCCCCCTCAATATAAAAGATTGCTCTTGGAAAATCCCTGGTTGCAGGATCCAGATGCTCCTGGCCCAGCTATAGAGTTTTGTGGAGACAAATACCCTAAAAGAACATTTGAAACAGCCTTGCTCAAAAGTCTGAGTGCACAGACAACTCTTGCACCCTGGCATGGACACACCAGATGAAGCTCTGTATAAGCAAAGATGAACGATTTTCTAAAGGTTCAAATGAACAGGTCTTGAGTCAAATAAGCATGTGGAGCTCCTCCAATATATTTGTGCTGCCTCTTCCTCTCCCTTCTTGTGAATCTTTCCATTTTTCCTACAATGTTCTTATTTTTTCTCCTTTGCCTGAGCTTACTTTTCCCTAAATGCCTCTCACTCCAGCCTTCAGCAATGAATAATAATAGGCAACATTGGTCAAGACTTGGTTGGGTGCCTGGCCCACTTCAAAAATGTTATTTGTATCACCTCATTTGGGCCTCTCAACAGCCCTAGGAGTTGGGTGCTATCATGTCATTTCTATTTTATAGTTGGGGAAACTGAAGCACAGAGAGGTTAAATAATCCTCCTAAGGTGTAACAACTAGTAGATGTGAAGCCACATGCCAGTCTGTGCTAACCTTCTTCCACTCTGTGCTCTGAAATGCAATTGATGGGCCAGTGCTTCTTAATTTGCAGAAATTAAACTGTAAGATCAAATTTTCTCAATTTTAGGTTTCTCTGTCATAAATTTTTTATTAAAATTCAGCATCCACCATTTTTTCTCTATTGGAATTTATGTATAAGATGGTTTATGACTTAGCCCATAAAACCCAAAATTATAACATATAATTTTATATGTTATTATATGTTCAAATCTCAAATATATCAAGGTCAGCAAAGAAAAGCAAGATTTCTAGATGTTTCCTCTATGCAAACTGAATGGGTTGACTTCTGAGTTGACGCAAATGTAGTAATATTGGATTTGGCACCAATTAGGACCCAGGAAAAAAATTTTGCTTCACACAAAACCAAAAAGGCAACACAGCTATGGGGCTGTAGCTTTGATTGGGAAAAGATTCCCAATAGAATTTTGCTACCTTTGCTGTGCTGAAGTTATTGACAGCAGTCAAAGGGTAAAAATGCCAAGAGAAATTTGTCAACTCAGGACTATAGCTGATCTGCTCACAGGTCCAAGGGTCCTAAGACTTTCCTTCTGGTGCCATGAAGATCCAAGGGAAGATAAAAGCATAGAGTTTTAGAGCTAGAAACAACATTGTAAATATTGATATATCATCCAACAACTTCATCTTATAGATGAGAAAAGTGAAGACAGAGTGGCCATCTGTCCAGGGCCCTGGAGAGTTCAGGGTGTCTTCCTCTGCACCCTCATGCTGGCCAGACACATCTGGGCAGTGTGAGTACTGAGTTGATCGTGCTTAATTCACTTCAGCTATAAGCTTGTCTTCTTTATGGTTCACGGTCTGAAAATAGGTAGGGTTGTGGTCCCTACAGTCACCCAATTAAAATACCGGCTCTTTTTGAATGTTTATGTGCCAAACACTGTTCTCAGTTCTGGGATTCAGGAATGAATAAGACAGACGAGAATCTCTGCCTCAGGAATCTTACATTCTGGGGGCAGGGAGGGGGCAGTATAGAGAGGAGACAAAGAAGTAACACATACAATACATCAGATGGTGTAAATGGTATGGAGAAAAGCATTGCAGGAAAGGGATATGATAGGGAGTGTGTGTACGTATGCTGTGTGAGAGAGAGAGTGTGTTTGTGTATGTGTGTGTGTCAGTTAGCGTGTGAGGGGAGAAGGATGTTGCCATTTTTAACTGGGTTTTATGGAAGGGCCCACTGAGATGGTGACATATGAGGAATGACCTGAGGGAGGTAAAGGAACAAGTACATGGGTATCTGGGGAAACCACATGGGCAAAGCTCTGGGCAGGAGCATGCCTGGTGTATGTAAGGAAGCTGAACCTGGAGTGGAGTAAGCAAGACTGAAGTCAGCTGGGGATTATGTCAGTGTGGCGGGAATCATGGAGTGCCATGAGCTCACAGGGCAGTGGCTCTGAAAGTGTGACTACTGGACCAGCAGCAGCCTCCTCATTACCCAGTAGGAATGTATGTTCTTGGTCCTTTCCTGAGACCTACTGAATCAGAAACTCTGGGAGTGGGGCCCAATGAGCTGAAGCTTGAGGACCACTCCTGTAGAGCCTTGGAGGTCACTGTGGACCAATTTGGAACCTGTTTCAAAACCTTAGCAAAAATGTCTCAGAGAAAGCTCTAAACCACAATGGTAGAATTCAGCCAATAGTTGTTTAAAAAATATTGAAGATTGCACTATGGAAGAGATAAAAGAAGTTGCCATTATTTTACTCTTTGAATCATTCAAAAACTGATTGAGTATCTTCTTTTTACAAGACACTATGTCAAATGTTACGCTGGCTACCAAGTTGTACACATTACAGTTAGTGTCCTTGAGAAAGTTTTAACCTTAAAAGGATAATAAAGCTTAGTATATAAACCAAGTAAGAATAAAAAAGAAGAACAGCAAATGTTATAATGTTTGATGCAGACCTTAAGTATTTAAAAAGTGACCCATCAGTATGGATTCTCAAAGAAGGAAGGACTTGAGTTATATCTCAAAGTATGAGAGGGACCAGGTCATAAATACAGCATGAGTGCACACAGGCAACATTGAAAGGACCAAGATGGCTGCTGAGAGAAGAGGCAAAAAGTGGCTTGTAAATTTGCTTAAGTAGGTGAAGAAAGACAAAGAAGGGCTTTCAGTGCCAGTAGGATGAGTTGCATGCAGTCTAAGATAAGAACTTCTGTTCACGGCCACCCAGGGCCAGTGTTTACAAAGCTGAGCCACAAGAAGGATGGGTTAGGCAGGAAGTCTTGCACATGCACACCAATCACAGAAGCTGGTTATTACCACCCTGAAAATCAATATAAATTGTGTAAAGCCAGCATGAGTCAGTTAACACAATATAATTGGCTATGTTTTTTTGTGGCATAGAGACTAGCAGAGAGAAAAATGTCTAAATTAGAGCTTTCTTAGGTAGCTTATGTATTTTTAAAGCAAGCTGTGTGGAAGGACACAATTTCTGTAGTTTAGTTGACTGCAGAGGGAGGCAGAATGGTATAGTGAAAAGAGCACAGGCTTGTGAAGTCACAAAGAACTGGCTTTAGATCCTGGTTTTGCCACTTACTTGTTGGATGATTTGGTTAAGGTAGTGATACTTGCTAATTATTTCCCCTCATGTGAAGTCCAGTAGGCCTTGAATAAGGGGAAATCGGTGTTGGGCAAAGGTGCTCTGCTCCATGCAGTCATTCAGAGACCCAGGCTGACAGAAGCTCTACCATCCTCAACATGTGGCTTTTAAGGTCTCCTTGGACATGGACATGTATCCATCACACAGGGAAGAGAAAATATGGAGCATTTTGTATGGAAAGTTCCTGTGGGCCAATCCTGGAAGTGGCATCCATTACTTCTACTCAGATTCCACTGGAGAGGACTGTGCCACATAACCACACCTAACTGCAAGAAAGATTGGAAGATAAGGTCAGGCTGTGTGTCTGGGAGGTTTAGTTAAAAGTTAACCAATCTCAAGAGATGGTCTTTGAAATCACAAAGGTTTGTGTTCACTTACTAGCTATCTAACTTTGGACAAGTTACTTAATCTCCATTAGCCTCAGTTTCTTCATCTGTAAAATGGGAGTGAGAATACCACCTGCACAGGATGATGAGGCCTGCCTGAACTTCCCTGTGCCATAGATTCTGGATTGGGAGTTCCTCCCCCAAGTAGCCATTTAATTGAATTGTGTATATTTTTTTACCTACCAAAATTAGTGTATTCCTAATTTTGTCATGTACACATGTAGAAAAGACTGGAAGAAGTACAATATAAAAAGTGCTTATCTGTAGGTTATGCAAATGTGAATGAGGGTGGTTTTCATTTTCTTCCTCATGCTTTTCTGCATCTTCTAAATTATATACAATAAGGGTAAACTATTTTTTAAACATATAAGTTATTAAATGAAAATAATGAATATGACAAAGGAAATATCAATAATAATGCATAATAAAATTTTATTAATGATTTTTAGAAATACATAGAGAGTACAACTATGTGGGTGTTCTCCAAATATTAGCTGTAGTTCAGTCATTGCTTTTTTTCTGGGAAAACTCTGACTTCTGCAGAAGGGATGGGGCCGTCATCTGGACATCACAAGCAAAGTTTCTGTGGATTCAAAGCCCATTAAGAACTTGCTTTATCCTAACACAGACCAGCCCTGTGTCATGGTACCTGATGCTCCTGCTCAGTGGTGTGCCCTGAATGTCCTGAACCTGGAGGTAGATCCACCCTATCCCAGCTCTCTGCCTCATCTGGCTCTCCCAAAAGCTGGCTATCACTGATCCCCTTTGGCTCAGTGCCTAGTTTGCTCCACCTCCACATCATGTCTGGGTAGGGCTCCTGGAATTCCTTCAGGCCTCACTTGTGGGCCATTTAGAGTAAAATAGTGGGCACATACAACACTTCATTATGGTCTTCAAACCATGTTTCCTTTAAGATGATCTTAAGGACGAAAGTAAGAAATAGTGAGTTGAGTAAGTCCAATGTATTATTAAATGTTTTATGCTCCCTCTGTAGAATTAATAACGCCAAATAAGACTAATTACAATCCTAGCAAGTTGTCATTTATAGTTATCTAAATGAAATACATTGATCTCCACAGCACTCAGTACTTGGTTAGAATTTATATTTTTGGTTCTCCCTCTAATGAGGAAAACCAGCACAAAAAATATGGACTTCATTCATAAGCAAATCTTTTCTGATGTTTTTGAGTGCGGTAGTTCTTGTCTTTCCCTGAAGGCTCATTATTGTGCATAAAGTTATAAAAATTATAAGGGTACCTTTATAATTGCCAAATGAAAAGAAATAGGTGAAATAAATAAAGAAGAGGAATCAGAGAGAATTCTGCTACAGAACAAAAGTCAATTATAAGTAATTGTGCCTGCAGTGTTGAATACTCATTTGAACTGTAGAATTTATCACTCGCAAGGGGCAAGTCTGCCTGGGGGTATGGGTAGATTGGATTTTCATGTCTTGGCTTTATCCAGGACACCTCCCTTCTTAAAGTCATGTTTCAGTCGTGGAAACTATTCCTTTGTTGAGGTGGAAGAGGAGGTGATAAGAAGTGGGTGCTTGTTAATAGTCAAGCATAGGTCACAGTGATCTATGTCAAGTGGTTATAAGTAAGCTGTGGGTGGTGCCTACTACTCCCTAGCTTAAAGCAAGGCAATTCATACTCAATGCAACATGCTTAGGTAATAAGAAACTAGTTTCACCAAATTAGTCAACACATCTTTGGTCAGCAATCTAGTTGCCTCATGAAATCAAGATTCAGTTCTCTATATGAGCTTTTCGATCTAAGTAAATGTTGTTATAAATGTCGTTAAACTAATATTTTTATCTTTGAAGGGGAAAAAAGGAAGGCAGACATATTATTTTTATTGTTATGTTTCATATGGCTGTTCATAACTTTCCAGTTCCACCCTTACTAACCCTGGGTGACTCCTCACGACTCCAGGAAACTTAGGTTGTGAAACACTGCTCTGAAGCCATAAGCTGTCTAGACCTGGGCCACTAATTCATTGCTTCTCACTGACTAGGCACACATTTGGGGGTGACAATTTTAAAAAACAATGATTAAGAACAGTTAACTACAGGGACCCTGAGTTTGGGCACCAAACCTCAAACTGAGGTAGGACAAAATGGCTCTAGGCTAGTGCTTTATACATAGTAACTTATTTATTCTCTTCAAGATAATAACTCATCTCTCCGGTTAATGAGAAAACTGAGATTCAGAGGTTAAATAATTTACTTGTCCAAAGATGCACGTGTGATAAGTAGGATTTAAGCCCAAGCCCACAGGGCTCCAAACATATACCCCCTCCACAAAGCCAAGTTGCTCCTTAAAGACCTTTGCCAATTGCCTTACTCTATCTTGTCTGACAGTCACTATTTGATGTTAGTACTTTCTTCCTTACTAACAAAACCCTAAGTTTGGAAAGAAACACATTCAGGGAAGGTGGGCTCCAGGCCTAGCCCCAGCTCCAAAGTCTAAATCAGTCATGGTCATTCCATTCCCCTACTCCTTTTGATAGAATGGAGTTAAGACATGTGACCCAGTTCTGTTCAGTGAAATATAAGAAGAAAATCTGTGGAGATCCTTCTGGGAAATTTTTTTTTTCTGACGAAAAGATGGCATTTTAACAAGAGAAGTTATTTTGCCCTTAGATTTTTTTTTCTGTTTTCAACACTCATGTGTGAGAATGTGATATCAAGAGATGCAGCAGCCATTTGGTGACCATGAGGTGGCATACCAAATAATGGAGAGCCACATGCTGAGAATGGCAGGATGGAGAGAGACAAAGAACCTGAGCCTTGGTGGTATGACTGAACCAGTGAACAAACCTTCTAACCAAAGACCTCCAGGTTTTATGCAATGCAAAATAATGAAGTCGTCATTACTGAGATGGTCTTTTATATGCCAATTGATATCTCTTACATTTCTAGATAGCTTCAGAAATTAAATTGCATTATTACTTTGCAAAAAGGTATAGACAAACGCACACACACACACAATTTCATATATTCTGAAGATTTTATTATAGGGAATTGAGAAAATGACACAAGAAAGGAAAAAAAAAAAAAAAGGAAGTCCAGCTAAGAAAACTGAGAAAAGGAAAGAACAGTACAACTAAGTGATTCTTCAATGACTCATCTCAAATCTTCATTCCGATGACTTCTCAAGGCTTCGCTGAGTGATCCCTCACCCAAATGATTATTGACTTCCCTCTCCTCCCTCACCCCAGATTTCTCATGTGTCACTGCCAATTCAAATTCATGGCTAAAGCACTAATCTCTTTCCACACCTCTACTTCCTGGAATCCTTTCTTGTTATCAGTCTTATATCTATGCCCAATTCAGCCAGCCATTGGGGTAATGAACTTTCCATTCTAGAACCACAGTCCAATTTGCCTGTTACCTCACTGAGAAGGCTCTGGGGCTCTGACAAACACTGCTGTGAGTTTCCTGAAACCTACTTTTTTTTTTTTTTTTTTTTTTTTTTTTAACTTTTATTTCAGGCTCAGGAGTACCTGTGCAGGCTTGTTATATAGGCAAACTCCTGTCATGAGGATTTGATGTACAGATTATTTCATGACCCAGGTACTAAGCCTAGTAACTCAATAGTTAATTTTTCTGCTCCTCTCCCTCCCCCCATCCTCCACCCTCCAATGGGCCCCCAGTGTCTGTTGTTCCCCTCTTTGTGTCCATGAGTTCTCATCATTTAGTTCACACTTACTGGAAACCTCCTTTGGCCACATTTTGACACTATGTCAGGAGAGGTTGGATCCTCCAACCCCTGCCGAGATCACTGCAGATACTTAGAGCCTGGATAAGATGATCAACAGTGCTTTAAATAGCTTATATTTTAAAAAGCTGTGCTGAATGTTTTGCAGGCCACTGAGGTGCGGACATGGTTTTATATCAGTGAGATCACAGGTGAGCAAGGTGTTATTGGCTATAATGTTTGAAAATCAGCCTTTAACATCTGATTATATTTGACTTCTTATTTGAGTGTCCTTGGACCATGTGTGATCAGACTGCTATGTGAATAAAATAAGATAATGTATAAATTTTCTATAACTTCTTCATGCATAAAATCCTATTAACATTGCTGATATTTCCTACTATACCCTAAATTCCCAAACATTCAAGTTTAAATTTTTCACTTTAAAATACTGGTAAAAATTCACAGCACTACTAAGTTTGACATCCTTCCTCATAACTTTCAATGTTGGTTGCTTTTTTTTTTTTTTTTTTTTTTTTTTTGAGACAAGGGTCTCACTCTGTCACCCAGGCTGGAGTGCAGTGGCCCAATCTGTGCTCCCTGCAGCCTTGACCTCCAAGGCTCAACCGATCCTCCCACCTCAGTCTCCCAGGTAACTGGGACTACAGGCATGCACCACCACACCTGGTTAATTTTTATATTTTTTGTAGAGACGGGGTTTTGCCATGTTGCCCAGGCTGGCCTCAAACTCCTGGGCTCAAGCAATCCACCCGCCTTGGCCTTCCAAAGTGCTGGGATTACAGGAGTGAGCCACTGGTTCTTAATTATCATCTTTTAAGTCTCTAAGCCCCTAAACTCCTTACAGCTTTCAACTCTTGAGACTCACTTCCTCTTTTTTTCACACTTCCACTGTCTTGACATTTTTTATTTCTCCTTGCAAGGGCCTGCAGCTGTGTTTTTTGATTTTTTTTTAAATCAGTAAGTCTGGTGATAACGAGGAATGGGGAATCAAGGATGACCCCAAAATTCCTAGAGAACCACTGGATGGGTAGAAGTGTTATTTATTAAGATAGGAACGAACTGAGAAAAAAAATAATTGCAAAAGTAAAACTAAGCGTTCAGTTTTTAAATTCATTTATTTTAAGATAGTACGAGATCTCTAAGCAGAAATGTGGTATAGCAATTGGGTCTGGAACTCAACAAGTAACAATAGACTGGGGATATCAATTATGGAGTCATTGGGGTGTCTACAGTATTTATAGGCTTAAGAGACTATAATATCTTCTAGGAGAATATAGAATGAGAAGAAATTCTATAATTGATCCCTGAAGGACTCCACCATTTAGGGCTGGGCCAAAGAAGGGGGAATCCATAAAAAAGGTTTAAAAATTGGCTTATAGAAAAGCAGAATAAAAACCAGAAGAGCTTCTAGTAATTAATTCTGGAAGGTAAGTTTTTCAGATAGTTCATCTTTTCAGCATATCTGAGAGCCAGACATTGAGCCAGAAAAAAAAAACCTCACCATTATTCTCTACAATCATCAAAGAAGAAACTATACTAGAAGAAATTAAACTAAATTAGTAGTTTTGGATCAATCTGGTATCCAAATGAAGACATAGAAAAGGGATTCAAACATCATTGAAGTGGCTTGGTAACATCATTAAAGATGGCAGAGTAGGGACCTTAAGGGGCCTGTGCCTCCCCAGAAAACCAAAAATATGGGAAAAACTGTCAAGATCATCCTTATTGGAACTGTGGAAGATAGGAAAAAGGTTTACAGCAACCAAGAGAGGTCACTAACCAAAGAAAGGTCACTAAGACACAGTAAGAGAGCTTTGTGGCATTTTAATTTACCCTTTCCCCACCCACCTCCTTGGCTTGATGGTAATCTTGAAGATGGCAGCCTGAATCCCCAGTATAAATATATGGTCCTGAAGGACGTAGAGAAAACCTTGTTCCCAAGGAATCACATTTGTTTTGATCCAACTTGGGGTTTCCTGAAGAACTGACACAATGGACCTGCCTTTCTATTGCCTAACTTGGAACCCTTTCAGAGTTGAGGACATTCTTCAAAAACATTGAAAGATAAATGAACAAGCAGCTACCACCTGAGACAAAAATCAAGAATTGAAGCAAACAATAGACATGACAAAAGCTGGGTAGGAAAAGCTGGGGAGTGAGACTCTTTGGGGAATAAGGGATTTGAAATGCTTCTTTGAGCACTAGGCAATCTAGAAAGTCACATGTATACCCAAGGCAGGATGTATGCACAGAAAAGACCATAAGTTTTCACTTCTAGCTGATCTTGTGGTTTAGCATAAGCAAGAAATAAACACTAATTCATGGTTGTAAACAGCCTGGCTAAGCATTCAGGAGTGTCCAACACAGCCAATCAGAAAAGATCTGCAGATTAATTTCTTTTTTTGACATCTAGGTAAATCTCTGTCAAACAGCTGGCTGGCTATTAAGCTGAGAAAAAAAACCAGAAACTTCAGGGATCAACAAAGAAGATCCCAGAAAAATAGCTTAGGAAAGTCACTAAACAAAAGAACTATTACCCTCAATAAGAAAGACAAAAAAATTTCTACACTGAGAAGACAGTATGATTTTCAAAGTTATCAAATTATAAAGTTCAAAATATCCAATTTTCAACTAAAAACTACAAAGCATGCATATAATAAGAAAATATGACCCAGTCTAAGGAAAAAAGAAATTAACAGAATCTGTCCTTGAGGAAACCCAGACATTGGGTTTACTAGATAAAATCTTTAAATCAACTGTCAACTGTCTGTAAAGTGCTTAAGAGCTAAAGAAAGCCATAAACAAACAAAAAAAGGAAACCAAAAGAACAATGTCTCAGCAAGTAGACGATATCAATAAAAAGAAGAAATTATAAAAACAAACCAAATAGAAATTTTGGAGCTGAAAAGTTTAAATAACAGAAATAAAAAGTCATCATGACAGTATATCTCAGCTGTCAGAAGAATCAGCAAACTTGAACATAAGTCAAATTGAAATTATTTACTTAGGCCAGGTGCAGTAGCTCACGCCTGCAATCCCAGCACTTGGGGAGGTTGGGGTGAGAGAATCACTTGAAGCCAAGAGTTCAAAACCAGCATGGACAATATAGCAAAACCCTATCTCTACAAAAAAAGAAAAAGAAAAGGAAAAAAATACACTTTCAGGAGCAGAAAAAAAGGGTGAATAGAAATGAACAGAGTCTAAGAAACATGTGAGACACCTTCAAATATACCAATATGCACATAATGGGAGTTTCAGGAGAAAAGAAAAAGGGGCAGAAAGAATATTTGAAAATATAATGGCTGAAAACTTTCCAAATTTGAAGAACAATGTGAATCTACACATCCAAGAAGCTGAACTGACTCTAAGAAAAATAAATGTAAAGAGGTTCCACACCAAGACACACTATAATCATACAACTGTTGGGAGACAAAGACGAAGACAGACTCTTGAAAGCACCAAGAGACATACGATTCATTGCATACAAGGAATCTCAATCAGATTAACATCTGGCTTCTCAGCAGAAACCATGAAGGCCAGAAGGTAGTGAAATGACATTTAAAGTGCTGATTAAAAAAACAAACCAACAAACAAACTTATCAACAAAGAATGCTATACCTGGCAAAACTATCATTCAAAAATGAAGGCAAAATCAAGATATGCCGCGAGAAACGAAAGCTGATGAAGTTGGTTGCTAGAAGAATTGCCCTACATGACTGCCCAGGACTAAATGGCTTCACTGGTGAATGCTATTAAACATTTAAAGAGTTAATAACAATCCTTCTTAATTTCTTTCTGAAAAAGAAAAGAGAAAAGAATATTCCCTAATTCATTCTATGAGGTCAATATTGCCCTGATACCAAAGCCACTTTCCTTAGGAAGATGAAAGCAAAAATTTCCAATAAAAGACTAGAAAACTGAAATCAGCAGCATGTTAAAAGGCTTATATATCATGATTAACAGGGTTTTATCCCAGGAATGCAAGGTTGGTTCAACATACAAAAATCAATCAACGTAGTTGATATGGTTTGGCTGTGTCCCCACACAAACCTCAAATTGAATTGTATCTCCCAGAATTCCTACATGTTGTGGGGGGAACCCACAAGGAGGTAATTGAAACATGGGGGCCAGTCTTTCCCATGCTATTCTTATGATAGTGAATAAGTCTCATGAGATCTGATGGGTTTATCAAGGATTTCCACTTTTGCTTCATCATTTTTTCTCTTGCAGCCACCATGTAAGAAGTGCCTTTTGCCTCCCACCATGATTCTGAGGCCTTCCCAGCCATGTGGAACTGTAAGTCCAATTAAACCTCTTTTTCTTCCCAGTCTCAGGTATGTCTTTATCAGCAGCATGAAAACAGACCAATATAGTAAATTCATTTCAAGAGTGGTGTGTTGCTGAAAAGATACCCAAAAATGTGGAAGCAACTTTGGAACTGGGTAACAGGCAGTGGTTGGAACAGTTTGGAGGGCTCAGAAGAAGACAGGAAAATGTGGGAAAATTTGGAACTTCCTAGAGACTTGTTGAATGGCTTTTCCCAAAATGCTGATATTTATGTGAACAATAAGGTCCAGGCTGAGGTGATCTCAGATGATGAGGAACTTGTTGGGAATTGGAGCAAAGTTGACTCTTGTTATGTTTTAGCAAAGAGACTGGTGGCATTTTACTCCTGCCCTAGAGATTTGTGGAACTTTGAACTTGAGAGAGATGATTTAGGGTAGCTGGCAGAAGAAATTTCTAAGCAGCAAAGCATTCAAGACATGACTTGGGTGCAGTTAAAGGCATTCAGTTTTATAAGAGAAGCAGAGCATCAAAGTTTGGGAAATTTGCATCCTGACTATGCGATAGAAAAGGAAACCCCATTTTCTGAGGAGAAATTCAAGCCAGCTGCAGAAATTTGCATAAGTAGCAAGGAGCCTAATGTTAATCCCCAAGACCATGGGGAAAATGTCTCCAGGCCATGTCAGAGACCTTCATGGCAGCCCCTCCCATTACAGGCCCAAAGGCCTCAAAGGCCCAAAAGGAAAAAGCTGTTTTGTGGGCCAGGCTCAGGTTCCCCATGCTGTGTGCAGCCTAGGAACTCTGTGCCCTGTGTCCCAGCTGCTCCAGCCATGGCTGAAAGGGACCAATGTACAGCTCAGGCTGTGGATTCAGAGGGTAGAAACCCCAAGTCTTGGGAGCCTCCATGTGGTGTTGAGCCTGTGGGTGCACAGAAGCCAAGAATTGAGTTTTGGAAACCTCTGCCTAGATTTCAGAAGATATATGGAAATGCCTGGATGCCCAGGCAAAAGTTTGCTGCAGGGGTGGGGCCCTCATGGAGAACATCTGCTAGGTCCATGTAGAAGGAAAATGTGGGGTGGGAGCCCCCACACAGAGTCCCTACTGGGGCACTGCCTAGTAGAGCTGTGAGTAGAGGCCCACCATCCTCCAGATCCTGGAATGGTAGATCCACTGACAGCTTGCACCATGCACCTAAAAATGCCACAGACACTCAACACCAGCCCATGAAAGCAGCCGGGAGGGAGGTTGTACCCTGCAAAGCCATAGGAGTAGAGCTGCCCAACACCATGTGAACCCACCTCTTGCATCAGCATGACCTGGATGTGAGACCTGGAGTTAAAGGAGATCATTTTGGAGCTTTAAAATTTGGCTGCCCAGCCGGATTTTGGACTTGCATGAGCCCTGTAACCCCTTTGTTTTAGCCAATTTCTCCCATTTGGAATGGCTGTATTTATCCAATATCTGTACCCTCTTTGTATCTTGGAAGTAACTAGCTTGCTTTTAATTTACAGGCTCATAGACAAAAGAGACTTGCCTTGTCTCAGATGAAACTTTGGACTGTGGACTTCTGGGTTAATGCTAGAACAAGTTAAGACTTTGGGGGGCTGTTGGGAAAGAATGATTGGTTTTGAAATGTGAGGACGTGAGATTTGGACAGGCCAGGAGTGAAATTATATGGTTTGGCTGTGTCCCCACCCAAATCTCAAATTGAATTGTATCTCCCAGAATTCCCACGTGTTGAGGAAGGGACCCAGGAGGAGGTAATTGAATCATGGGGGCCAGTCTTTCCCCTGCTATTCTCATGATGGTGAATAAGTCTCACGAGATCTGATGGGTTTATCAAGGGTTTCCACTTTTGCTTCATCATTTTTTCTCTTGCTGCTGGCATGTAAAAAGTGCCTTTGGCCTCCCGCCATGATTCTGAGGCCTCCCCAGCCATGTGGAACTATAAGTCCAATTAAACCTCTTTTTCTTCCCAGTCTCAGGTATGTCTTTATCAGCAGCACAAAAACAGAGGAATACAGCAGTATACCAGATTAATAAAATGAAGGAGAAAAAAAAATCACACAATCATTTCAATTGATGCAGAAAAAAACATTTCACAAAATCCAACATCTTTTAATGATTTTTAAAAAAACACAACAAAATAGGAAAAGAAAAGAGCCTCCTCAACATGATAAAGGGCATTTATAAAAACCCCACAGCTAACGCTATACTCAATGGTGAAAGTTTTTCCCTGTGATCAGGAACATGACAAGCATGCTGTCATTTGCTATTTCTATTCAACATTGTACTAGAAATTCTAGGGCAATTAGACAAGAAAAACAAATAAAATACATCCAAATTGGAAATGAAGAGGTAAAAATATATTTATTTGTAGATCTCATGGACTTATATAGAAAATCCAAAGTCACCCATAAAAAATTGTTATAGCTAAGAAACAAGTTTTGCAAAATTGCAGAATACAAAAGTAACATGCAAAAAAAAATCAGTTGTATTTCTACACACTAGCAATGATCAATCCAAAATGAAAATTTAAAAACAATTCCATTTATAACAGCATCAAAAAGAAAACACTTAAGAATAAATTTAACATAGGAAGTACAAGATTTGTACACTGAAAACTACAAATAATTGCTGTAAGAAATTAAATGAGACACAAATAAATGGAAAGACGTTCTGTGTTCGTAGATTGTAAAACTTAATATTATTAAGATGAAAATACCCCTCAAAGTGATCCCCAGATTCAATGCAATCCCTATCAAAATCTCAACAGCCACTTATTTTTAGAAATAGAAAAAGCTGAGCCTAAAATTTATATGAAATCTCAAGGTGCCCAGAATAACCAAAACAATCTTGAAAAAGAGTAAAGTTTGAGGACTCACGCTTTCTGATTTCAAAACTTACTACAGAGCTATGATAATCAAAACAGTGTGTTACTGGCACAAGTATGGATATATAGATCAATGGAATAAAACTGAGAGTTCAGAAATAAACTCAGGGGAGGCAGCAGAGAAAGATGGCCAAATAGAAGCCTCCACTAATCATCCTTCCTGCAGGGAATACTAAATTGAACAACTGTCCACACACAAAAAAAAAACTTGATAAAAACTGAAAATCAGGTGCGTGATCACAGTGCCAGGTTTTAACTTCATATCACTGAAAGAGGCACTGAAGAAAGTAGGAAAGAGAGACTTGAATTACCAATTCCACCCCTCCCCCATCATCTTGGGAGCAGCTGTGTGGCACAGAGAGAGAATCTGAGAATCTGTATGCTTGGGAGAGGGAGAGCACAGTGACTGTGGGACTTTGCATTGAAACTCAGTGCTTCCCTGTCACAGTGGAAAGCAACACTGGGAAAAACTCAGCTTGTGTCCATGGAGAGAGCAGTTAGAGCAGACCTAGCCAGAGGGCAATCACCCATCCCAGAGGTTAGAACCTGAATTCCAACGAGCCTTGCCACTTACAGGCTAAAGTGCTCTAGGGTCCTATCCAAACTTAAAAGGCAATATAGGCCACAAGGCTGAAATTCCTGGGCAAGTCCTGGTGCTGTGCTGGGCTCAGAGCCAGTAGACGTGGGGGGCACGTGACCCAGTGAGATGACAATTCTAGACACACCCTGGGCCAGAAGGGAACTGCTTCCTTGATGGGAAGGATCCAATCCTGGCAGGATTTATCATCTGATGACTAAAGTGCCCTTGGGACCTGAATAATCAGGAGTGATACCCAGGTAGTACTCACCATGGGCCTTTGGTGAGACTCAGGGATGTGCTGGCTTCAGTTGTGACCCAGCATATTCCCAGTTGTGGTGGCTATGGGCAGAGACTCTTTGTACTTGATAAAAGGGATAGAAGAGTTAAGGGGACTTTGCTTGCAACTTAGGTACCAGTTCAGCCACCGTGAGGTAGAGCACCAGGTGAACTCTTGGAGTCCCCAGTTCCAGGGCTTGGCTCTTGAACAACATTTCTGGACTGGCTTTGGGTTAGAGGGGAGCCCATTGCTCTGAAGGGAGAGTCCCAGGCCTTTATAGCATTCACTACAAGCTGACTTAAGAGCCCTTGGGCTTTGAATGAACATTGGTGGTAGCCAGGCAGTACTCAGCAAGGGCACAGGGTGGTGGTGACCATGGGGAGAGACTGTTCTGTTTGTGGAAAAGGGAAGGAAGAAAGGGAAGGACTTTGTCTTGTGGCTTGGATGACAGCTCAGCTGCAGAATACACCACCAGGCAGATTCCTAAGGTTTCTGACTCCAGGCCCTGGCTCCCAGATGGCATCTCTGGACTCACCCAGGATCAGAGGAACTCTCTGCTCTGAAGGAAAGAAAACAATCTGGCTGGTTTCACCACCTGCTGACTGTATAGCCCTAGGTCCTTGAGAAAACATAGGCAGTAGCCTGACGGTGGTTAACAAGGGCCTTGGAGACCCAGTGCTGTGCTGGCTTCAGGTCTGACTCAATGCAGTCCCAGTGGTGGTGGCCTCAGAGGTGCTTGTGTCACCCTTCCTCCAGCTCCAGGTGGCTCAGCACAGAGAGAGGACTCTAGGAGAAAGTAAGGGAAGAGAACAAGAGTCTCTGCCTGGCAATCCAGTAAGTTCTTCTGGATCTTATCCAGAACACCAAGATGGCACTTCTATGAGCCTACAAGAAACACAGCATTACTGAGCTTGGGGTGCCCGCCTGATGAAGTTACAGCTGCAGGGACCAGAAGCTTAGGTCACAACACTCAGTACCTGGACAGCCTTCCCAAGAAGGGCAGGTACAAACAAGCCCAGACTGTGAAGACTACAATGAATACCTAACTCTTTAATGCCCAGACACCAACAAATATCCACAAGCATCAAGACCACCTAGAAAAACATGACCTCAGCAAGTTAACTAAATAAGGCACCAGGACCAATCCTGGAGAGACAGGGATATGTGACCTTTAAGACAGAGAATTCAAAATAGCTGTTATGTGGAAACTTAATGAAATTTAAGATAACACAGAGAAGGAATTCAGAATCCTATTAGATAAATTCAACAAAGAGACTGAAATAATTAAAAAGAATCAAACAGAAATCCTGGAAATGCAATTTACACACTGAAGAATGTGTCAGTCTCTTACCAGCAGAATTGATTAAGCAGAAGAATTAGTAAGCTTGAAGAAAGGCTATTTAAAAATACACAGTAGAGGAGACAAAAGAAAAAATAATAAAAAGGATGAAGCATGTCTACAAGATCTACAAGATCTAGAAATAACCTCAAAAGGGCAAATCTAAGAGTTATTGGCTTTTTGGGGGTAGAGAGAGAGACAGATGGGGTAGCAAGTTTATTCAACAGAGAACTTTCCAAACCTAGAAAAAGATACCAATATTCAAGTACAGGACAGTTAGAGAATGCTAAGCAGATTTAACCCAAAGAAGACTACCTCAAGCCATTTATTAATCAAGTTCCCAAAGGTCAAGTATAAAGAAAAGATCCAAAAAGCAGCAAGAGAAAAGAACAAATAACATAAAATGGAGCTCCAATATGTCTGTCAGCAGACTTTTCAGGGGTTACTTTACAGGTCAGGACAGCATGGCAAGACTTACTTAATGTGCTGAGGCAAGGAACCGTTTATCCTAGAATAGTATATACTGTGAAAATATCCTTCAAACATGAAGGAGAAATAAAGACTTTCCTAGACAAACAAAAGATGAGGGATTTCATCTACATCAGACCTGTCCTATAAGAAATGCTAAAAGGAGTCCTTCAGTCTGAAAGAAAAGGACATTAATGAACAATAAGAAATCATCTGAAGTTGTAAAACTCACCAACAATAATAAGTACACAGAAAAACACAGAATATTATAACACTGTAATTGTGGGGTATAAAATACTCATATCTTGAGTAGAAAGAAAGATGAACGGATCAAAAATAATAACTACAGCTTTCCAAGACAGTACAATAAGTATAAATAGAAACAACAAAAAGTTTAAAAGCAGAGGGATGAAATTAAAATGTAGAATTTGTATTAGTTTTCTCTTTGCTTGTTTGTTTACGCAATCACTGTTAAGTTGTCATCAGTTTAAAATAATGGGTTGTAAGATATTATTTGCAAGCCTCAGGGTAACCTCAAATAAAAAAAAAACGTACAACAGACACACACAAAAAACAAAAAGCAAGAAATTAAAACATACCACCAGAGAAAATTAGCTTCACTAAAAGGAAGACAGGAAAGAAGGAAGAGAACACTACAAATCAACCAGAAAACAGAAAGAAACTCAGACATTTATGGCCAACTGATTTTTGACAAGAGCGCCAAGATCATTCAACAGGGAAATAATAGACTTTCCAACAAAATGGTGCTGGGACTAGTGGATATCCACAAGTTAAAAAAATGAAGTTGGACCACCTATCTCACACTATATACAAAAATTAACTCAAAATAGATCAAAGACCTAAATCTAAGAGCCAAAATGATAAAACTCAGAAGAAAATATATGGGCAAATCTTTATGACCTCAGTTTGGCAGTGGTTCTTAAATATGACACCAAAAGCACAAGCAACAAAAGAAGGAAGATAAAAATCGGACTTCATCAAAATTTGAAACTTTTTTGCATCAAAGGATACTGTCAAGAGAGTAAAAAACAACCTATAGAATAGAAGAAAATACTTGCAAATCAAATATCTGATAAGGCTCTGGTGTCCAGAATATATAAACAGGGTGTTCAGCATTAGGGAAGTGCAAATCAAAACCACAGTGAGATATCACTTTACACCCACTAGGATGCCCAAAGTTAAAAAAAATATAGGTAATAACAAGGGTTGACAAGGATATGGAGAAATTGAAACCTTCATGCATTGCTGGTGGGAATTTAAAATGGTACAGCTGTCTGTTATGAAAAACAGTTTGACAGTTCCTCAATAAGTTAAACATATAATTTCCATATGACCCAGCAATTTCACTCCTAGAGGACATAACCAAAAGAATTGAAAATAGACATTCAAACAAAAATGTGTATGTGTATGTTCATGGCAACTGTATTCATAATAGTCAAAAGCAACCCAAATGTTCATCAGCAGATGAGTAGTTAACCAAAATGTGGCATACAATGGAACATTATTCAACTATAAAAGAAATAAAGTACTGATATATGCTACAACATAAATAAACGTTGAAATATAATTATGTTAAGTGAAAAAAGCTAGACAGAAAAGACCACTTGTTGCATGGTTCCATTCTCTTAATGAAATATCCAGAATGGCATATCCACAGGGAAAGAAGAGATTATTGTTTGCCAGAGATGGAGGGGAGAAGAGAATAGAGAGTGACCGCTTAATGGATGGAGGGTTTTCATTTAGGATAATGAAAAATTTCTGGAACCAGAGAGTGGTAATTATTGCACAATATTGTGAACACACTTAATATCTTTAAATCATGCACCTTAAAATTTTAAATGGTAAATTTTATGTTATGTGTATTTTGCCACACAAAACAAAGAATAGAAACAACTATTCAAATGAACAAAAAGCACCTCCAAGGTAAATTTATATGCTTTATCTAATTGTAAACATTATTTCTAGACTCATCACTTCTACTCATGCAAAGATGACTAAGCAGGAATAAAACAACAAAATATGACGCATACACACAATGATTAATGACAAAAAGGGAAGGTCGTACTTACACTTGAGGTACTCTTGTGGGTTAAATTGTCCTCTCCAACCCCAATTTCTATCTAGAAGCTTCAGGATGTGATTGCATTTGGAGATAGTTCCTTTAAAGGCAGTGACTAAGTTAAAATGAGGCTGTTAGAGTAGGCCTTAATCCAATTTGACTGGTATCCTTGTAAGAAGAGGCATCCTTGTGAGGCATCCTAGCTCACGAAAGACAGTAGGAATGTGCGTTCACAGAGGAAAGACCATGTGAGGACCCAGTGAGAAGGCAGTCATCTACAAGGCAAGGTGAGGCCTCAGAAGAAACTACACCAGCCACCACCCTGATCTCAGACTTCCAGCCTCCAGAATGGTGAGAAAATAAATTTGTGTTGTTTAAGCTATCTTGTCTGTAGTCTTTTATCATGGCAGACCTAATACACTGCTAACAAGTACACAGGCCTAAAAGTGACTAAAATTGACACCAAAAAAAAATTTAGAAAACTGTTTGGCAAACTGAATAGGAAGCAGAGGCATATAAAATAAATGAAATAGGAGTAAAAGACAGGAGGAGAGAAAATCATTATGTGAAAAGATCATAGAAGGAAATAAGGAAGGAGAACAGAAAACTAAAAATGCATTACCATAACAGAATTGAAATCTTCACTATAAACAGTAAACAACAAGCAAACATAAGAAATGGAATCTGTGACATGATATATAAATGTGAGAATTCTTCCAAACTGTAGAACATAAAAATTAGAAAATGATGAAGTAGAGATTATCAATTTAAATTACAGAAAACGGAGACCTACAAGAAGTGCGAAGCTTCCTGAAGAAGTAACAAAGCCAATAAAATTGAACTAATAATCATTTAGTAAATTAACTTTCTGAGTAGAAAAATTTCAAAGTATAAAGATTAAAGGTCAACATAAACAGAACCACCCTTGGTTAATTTCTGGTAAAAATTTCAAATCACAAAAATAGAGAAAAAATTCGGAAAATATTTAAGACAAAAAATGTTCACCTTTGAAATGATCACTTACCATGTTTGACAGTTGTTTAAAAAATTACTGGTGCTATTCTGTTAAAAACTTGATAGTCACGATTAAATAATTTTTCAATTTTTTGTAAATATAGAACACTGTCTTTGCCTAGGGAATCACTAAACATTTGCTTTTTTTATTGTTTAAGCAAATAAACAGTTGCTTGCTGCAGAAAAAATGAGAGTTTTTAATACCAAAGAAATTGAGAAATGATATTTTATATCTTTAGAATCCACATTAAATGACCTGTTAATTACAAAAGACTAATAAAACACCCACTGGCAGATATAGTCAGTTACTAAGCACTCTTAGTGTCATTTTTCAACTTGGAATTGCAAATGACCCCAAAATAACTATGTATAAACATAAGAATTTGCTATATAAGCTTGTATCAATTAGCTTTTGCTGTATAACACACTACCCTAAAGCTTCACTGCTTTAAACAACAACCATTTTACTTGCTGATGTAGAGGAGAAATAATATCTTTTCCTCACCCATCACGAATTTTTATCCCTTTCTCTTGTTAACATGTCTGTTGTTACACGGGAGACCCAAAGAGAAAACCTAAAGACCCAAGGAAAACTGTATTTTTATGGGCAGTGGTGCAGAAGTGTGACTGGAGGACAAAACGGTGTGATCTAATGGTAATAAGCTAGGGGAACTTGACAAGGCCTGTTCAGATTCTTCTTGCACTTCAGGTATAGAACAGGACCCCTCTGGAATGAGGGTCTTATAACCTACTTTCCGGGAATGTAGGTCAGAGAATTCTTTTATGACTTGCTTCAAGAGAGAAAGGTTGGAGAAGGATCGAGAGTAACCTGCCTGATTGTGCAGTTTTCTCAGTTTCCTCCAGCTTAACATACTCCGTATGCCAAGGTGCCGTATTTTGGGTACCATGCTCTGATCCTCAACACTGACAATTCTGCAGGCTAAGAACTGAAGTGACCCAGGCTGGGTGTGGTGACTCACACCTGTAATCCTTGCACTTTGGGAGGCCAAGGAGGGTGGATTGCCTGAGCTCAGGAGTTCAAGACCAGCTTGGGTGACATGGCAAAACCCCGTATCTACTAAAAATACAAAAAATTAGCTGGGCATGGTGGAGTGTGCCTGTAATCCCAGCTACTCAGGAGGCTGAAGCACGAGAACTACTCGAACTCAGGAGGTGAAGGTTGCGGTGAGCCGAGATCATGCCACTGCACTCCAGCCTGGGTAACAGGGGGAGACTCCATCTCAAAAAACAAACAAACAAAAAAAGAATTGAAGTGACCTCAAATGGAAGTCTTACCAAGTACCATATATGTGTCTGCAATCATTGGGCAGCTCAACTGGGCTGAATGGTCTGAAGTGGTTTGGTGTTGGTGTTTGAAGCCACAGGTCTCCAGCAAGCCAGCCCAGACTTCTTTATATGGTGGTAGCATTCCAAGAGGGCAAGCCCTATTGTGCTTTTTTAAGTCTGTGCTTAAATCTTATATGCTGATGTCCCATTGTCCAAAACAAGTAACACTGCCAAACACAGAGCCAATGTGGGAATGAACTACAGATAAGGGCAAGGATATAAAGAGATTTGTGCATTGCAAAAACAATCTACTACAAACTGCATCCATATAAACATGCTTAAAGGGTACAAATTTTAGGAATTCATTGTCAGGAAACAATTACACATAAACAAAATGTTCATTCAAAGATATTCTTCAAAGTATTATTCATAATGATGACAAATTAGAAACAATCTAAATGCCCAATTATAGGACGTTAGCCAAGCAAGCTCATATGATTAACTATGATACAACCATTTTTCAAAAACCACTGGATAAAGGTATATGTATTGATATAAGAAAGTGTTTGGGATAAGCTTATGAAAATTTTTGAATTTTTATTTATCTTATTTTTTTAACTTTTATTTATTTATTATTATTTTATTTTGAGATGGAGTCTCACTGTCTCATCCAAGTTGGAGTGCAGTGGCACAATCTCAGCTCACTGCAACCTTTGTCTTCTAGGTTCAAGTGATTCTCCTGCCTCAGCCTCCCAAGTAGCTGGGATTACAGATGCATGCCACTGTGCCCAGCTAATTTTTGTATTTTTAGAAGAGACGGGTTCCACCATGTTAGCCAGGCTGGTCTTGAACTCCTGACCTCAGGTGATCCACCCACCTTGGCCTCCCAAAGCACTGAAATTACAGGCGTGAGCCACCACGTCCAGCCCGTAATTTTTTTTTAAAGAAATCAGCCTACAATACATACAGTATTTTTGTAAAAAGAAAATATGTTAAGGGCAGTTAGAGAGAAAGGCCAGGTCACCTACAAAGGGAAGCCTATCAGACTAACAGCAGACATCTCAGCAGACCTCTTAGTGGAAACCCTACAAGCCAGAAGAGATTGGGGACCAATATTCAACATTCTTAAAGAAAACGTATTGCAAACCAGAATTTCATATCTGGCAAAACTAAGCTTCATAAGTGAAGGAGAAATAAGATCCTTTCAAACAAGTAAATGCTGAGGAAATTTCTTACTACCAGACCTGTCTTATAAGAACTCCTGAAGGAAGCACTAAATATGGAAAGGAAAGAGCATTACCAGCACTACAAAAACACACTAAGTACACAGACCAGTGACACTATAAAGCAACCATATAAACAAGTCTGCAAAATAACTAGCTAGCATCATGATAACAGGATCAAATCCACACATAACAATACTAGTCTTAAACCTTTAGTAAATGAGCTAAATGCCGCAATTAAAAGACAGAGTGGCAATCTAGACAAAAAAAACAAGACCCATTGGTATGCTGTTTTCAAGAGACCCATCCCACGTGCAATGACACACATAGGCTCAAAATAAAGGGATGGAGGAAAACTTACCAAGCAAATGGAAAGCAGAAAAAAGCAGGGGTTGGAATCCTAGTTTCTGACAAAACAGACTTTAAACCAGCAAAGATCAAAAAAGACAAAGAAAGGCATTACACAATGGTAAAGAGTTCAATTTAACAAGAGCTAACTATCCTAAATATATATGCACCCATCATAGGAGAACCCAGATTCATAAAGCAAGTTCTTAGAGACCTTCAAAGAAACTTAGACTCCCACACAATAATGGTGGGAGACTTTAACACTCCATTGACAATATTAGACAGATCATCAAGATGGAAAATTAACAAAGATATTCAGGACCTGAACTCAGCTCTGGATCAAATGGACCTGACAGATATCTACAGAACTCTTCACCTAAAAACAACAGCATATATACTCTTCTCCTTGCCACATGGCACTTACTCTAAGATCTATCACATGATCTGAAGTAAAACACTCCTCAGCAAAGGCAAAAGAACTGAAATCATAGCAAACCATCTCTCAGACCAAGGCACAATCAAATTAGAACTAAGATTAAGAAACTCACTCAAAACCACACAACAACATGGAAATTGAACAATCTGCCTCTGAATTACTCCTGGGTAAATAATGAAATTAAGGCAGAGATCAAGAAGTTCTTTAAAACCAATGAGAACAAAGAGACAGTGTACTAGAATCTCTGGGATGCAGCTAAAGCAGTGTTAAGAGGGAAATTTATAGCACTAAATGCCCACATCAAAAAGATAGGAAGGCCAGGCATGGTGGCTCATGCCTGTAATTCCAGCACTTTGGGAGGCCAAGGCAGGCGGATCACAAGCTCAAGAGATTGAGACCATCCTGGCTAACATGGGGAAAGCCCATCTCTACTAAAAATACAAAAAAATTGGCCGGGATGGTGGTAGGCGCCTGTAGTCCCAGCTACTCGGGAGGCTGAGGCAGGATAATGGCGTGAACCCTTGAGGCGGAGCTTGCAGTGAGCCGAGATCACACCACTGCCCTCCAGCCTGGGCAACAGAGCAAGACTCCGTCTCAAAAACAAAAAAAAAGATAGAAAGATCTCAAATTGACACCCTAACATCACAACTAAAAGAACTAGAGAATCAAGAGCTAGCAAACCTGAAAGCTAACAGAAAAGAAATAGCCAAGATGAGAGTGGAACAGAAAGAGATAGAGACACAAAAACTCCCTTCAAAAATATAATCAATGAATCTAGGGGCTGATTTTTGAAAAAATTAATAAGATAGACCACTAGCTAGATTAATAAAAAAGAAAAGAGAGATGAATCAAATAGACACAATAAAAATGATAAAGGGGATATCACCACTGACCCCACAGAAATACAAACAACCATCAGAGAATACTATGAACACTTCTATGCAAATAAACTAGAAAATCTAGAAGAAATGGATAAATTCCTGGACACATTCATCCTCCCAAGACTAAACCAGGAAGAAGCTGAATCCCTGAACAGACCAATAACAAGTTCTGAAATTGAGGCAGTAATATATAGGTTACCAGCCAAAAAAAGCCCAGAACCAGACAGCTGAAGCCTACCAGAGGTACAGAGGGGAGCTGGTACCATTTCTTCTAAAACTATTCCAAACAATTAAAAAGGACAGACTTCTCCCTAACTCATTTTATGAGGCCAGCATCATCCTGACACAAAAGCCTGGCATACATACAAAAAAAAAAAAGATTCAGGCCAATATCCCTGATGAACATTGATGCAGAAATCCTCAATAAAATACTAGCAAACCAATTCCAGCAGCACATGAAAAAGCTTATCCACCAGGATCAAGTAGGTTTCATCCCCAGGATGTAAGGCTAGTTCAATATATGCAAATCAATAAACATAATTCATCACACAAACAGAACTAAAGACAAAAACCGCATGATTATCTCAACAGACACAGAAAAGGCGTTTGATAAAATTCAACATCCTTTCATGTTAAAAGCTCTCAAGAAACTAGGTATTGATGGAACATATCTCAAAATAATAAGAGTCTTTTATGACAAACCCACAGCCAATATCATACTGAATGAGCAAAAGCTGGAAGCATTCCCCTTGAAAACCAGCACAAGACAAGAATGCCCCCTCTCACTATGCCTATTCACCATAGTACTGGAAGTTCTGGCCAGGGCAATCAGGCAGGAGAAAGAAATAAAGCATACTCAAATCAGAAGAGAAAGAGTCAAACTCTTTGCAGATGACACAATCCTATATCTAGAAAAGCCCATCATCTCAGCCCCCAAAACTCCTTAAGCTGATAAGCAAATTCAGCAAAGTCTCGGGATACAAAATCAATGTGCAAAAATCACAAGCATTCCTATACACCAACAATGGGCAAGCAGAGAGCCAAATCATGAATGAACTCCCATTCATAATTGTTCACAAAGAGAATGAAATACCTAGGAATACAGCTAGGGAAGTGAAGAACCTCTTCAAGGAGAACTACGAATCACAGCTCATGCAATTAAGAGAGGACAGAAACAAATAGAAAAATATTCCATGTTCATGGATAGGAAGAATCAATATCGTAAAAATGGCCATACTGTCCGAAGTAATTTATAGATTCAATGTTGTTCCCATTAAATTACTATTGACGTTCTTTACAGAATTAGAAAAAAATACTTTAAAATTCATATGGAAATAAAAAAGAGCCCGTATAGCAAAGACAATCCTAAGCCAAAAGAACAAAGCTGGAAGCATCATGTTCCAGGGCTTCAAGCTATACTACAAGGCTACAGTAAACAAAACAGTATGGCACTGGCACAAAAACAGACACATAGACCAACGGAACAGAATAGATATCTCAGAAATAAGACTGCACATCTACAACTGTCTGATCTTCAACCCAGACAAAAACAAGCAATGAGAAAAGGATTCCCTATTTAATAAATGGTGCCAGGAAAACTGGCTAGCTATATGCAGAAAATTGAAACTGGACCCCTTCCTTACACCTTATACAAAAATTACCTCAAGAGGGATAAAAGACTTAAGTGTAAAACCCAAAACTATGAAAACCCTAGAAGAAAATCAAGGCAATACCATTCAGGACATGGGCACACACAAAGATTTCATGATGAAAATGTCAAAAGCAATTGCAACAAAAGCAAAAATTGACAAATGGGATCTAAACTAAAGAGCTTCTGCACAGCAAAAGAAACTATCATCAGAGCAAACAAGCAGCCTACAGAATGGGAGAAAATTTTTGCAATCTATCCATCTGACAAAGGTCTAATATCCAGAATCTACAAGGAACTTAAACTTATTTACAAGAAAACAACAAAACAACTCCATTAAAAAGTGGACAAAGGACATGAGCAGACACTTCTCAAAAGAAGACATTTATGCAGCCAACAAACATATGGAAAAAAGCTCAACATCACTGATCATTAGAGAAATGCAAATCAAAACCACAATGAGATGCCATCTCACACCAGTCAGAAGGGCGATTATTACAAAGCCAAGGAACGACAGATGCTGGTGAGGCTGTGGAGAAACAGGGGCACTTTTACACGTTGGTGGGAATGTAAATTAGTTCAATCATTGTGGAAGACAGTGTGGCAATTCTTCAAAGACCTATAACCAGAAATACCATTTGACCCAGCAATCCTATTACTGGCTATATACCCAAAGGAATATAAGTCATTCTATTATAAAGATACATGCATGCGTATGTTCATTGCAGCACTATTTACAATAGCAAAGACATGGAATCAACACAAATGTCCATCAATGATAGACTGGATAAAGAAAATTTGGTACATATACACCATGAAATACTATGTAGCCATAAAAAGGAATAAGATCACGTCCTTTGCAGGGACATGGATGGAGCTGGAAGCCATTATCCTCAGCAAATTAACATGGACAGAAAACCAAACATGGCAAGTACTCAATTATAAATGGGAGCTGAACAATGAAAACAGATGGACCCAGGGAGGGGAACAACACACAATGGGGCCTGTTGAAAGGTTGCAGGGAGGGAGAGCATCAGGAAAAATAGCTAATGCATGCGGGGCTTAATACCTAGTTGAAGGGCTGACAGGTGCAGCAAACCACCATGGCACATATTTACCAGTGTAACAAACCTGCACATCCTGCACATGTATCCTGGAACTTAAAATTAAACTTAATTTAATTAAAAAAAAAAAAAGAAAGGAAACCAGCACAAGACAAGGTTGCCATCTCCCACCATGTCTATTCAACATAGTATTGGAAGTTCTGGCCAAAGCAAATAGGCAAGAGAAAGAAATCAAAAGCATTTAAATAGGAAGAGAAAAAACCAAACTAACCCTGTTTGCAGATTACATGATTCTATATCTAGAAAACTCCATTGTCTCAGCCCAAAAGCTTCTTAAGCTGATAAGCAACTTCAGCAAAGTCTCAGAATACAAAATCAATGTGCAAAATTTGCTAGAATTTCTATACACCCGCAACAGTCAAGCCAAGAGCCAAATCACAAATGAACTCTCATTTACAATTGCCACAAATACAATAAAATACCTAGGAATACAGGTAACTAGGGAGGTGAAAGATCTCTATAAAGAGAACTACAAAGCACTGCTCAAAGAAATCAGAGATGACACAAATAAATGGAAAAACATTCCATGCTTATGGATAGGAAGCATCAATATCATGAAAATGGCCATACTACCCAAAGCAATTTATAGATTCAGTGCTACTCCCATCAAACTACCATTAATATTCTTCATAGAACTAGAAAAAAACTATTTTAAAATTCCTAGGGAACCAAAAAAGAGCCCAAGTAGCCCAGGCAATCCTAAGCAAAAGAAACAAAGCTAGAGGCATCACACTACCTGACCTCAAACTATACCACAGGGCTACAGTAACCAAAACAGCATGGTACTGGTACAAGAACAGACACATAGACCAACGGAACAGAATAGAGAACCAAGAAATAAGACCGCACACTTACAACTATCTGATCTTTTACAACCCTGACAAAAAAAATCAATGGGGAGAGAATTCCCTATTCAATAAATAGTGTTGGGATAAATGGCTAGCCATATGCAGAAGATTGAAACCCCTTGCTTACCCTATATGCAAAAATTAACTCATGATGAATTAAAGACTTAAATGTAAAACCCAAAACTATAAAAACCCTGGAAGACAACCTAGACACTACCATTCAGGACATAGGCATGGGCAAAGATTTCATTACAAAGACACCAGGAGCAATTACAACAAAAGCAAAAATTGACAAATGGGATCTAATTAAACGAAAGAGCTTCTGCACAACAAAAGAAACTATCAACAGAGTAAACAGACAACCTACAGAATGGGAGAAATTTTTTTTTAAATTTTATTATTATTATACTTTAAGTTTTAGGGTACATGTGCACAACATGCCGGTTTGTTACATATGTATACATGTGCTATGTTGGTGTGCTGCACCCATTAACTCGTCATCTACATTAGGTATATCTCCTAATGCTATCCCTCCCCCCTCCCCCCACCCCACAACAGGCCCCAGTGTGTGTTGTCCCCCTTCCTGTGTCCATGTGTTCTCATTGTTCAGTTCCCACCTATGAGTGAGAACATGCGGTGTTTGGTTTTTTGTCCTTGCGATAGTTTGCTGAGAATGATGGTTTCCAGCTTCATCCATGTCCCTACAAAGGACATGAACTCATCATTTTTTATGGCTGCATAGTATTCCATGGTGTATATGTGCCGCATTTTCTTAATCCAGTCTATCATTGTTGGACATTTGAGTTGGTTCCAAGTTTTTGCTATTGTGAATAGTGCTGCAATAAACATATGCGTGCATGTGTCTTTATAGCAGCATGATTTATAATCCTTTGGGTATATACCCAGTAATGGAATGGCTGGGTCAAATGGTATTTCTAGTTCTAGATCCCTAAGGAATCACCACACTGACTTCCACAATGGTTGAACTAGTTTACAGTCCCACCAACAGTGTAAAACTGTTCCTATTTCTCCACATCCTCTCCAGCACCTGTTGTTTCCTGACTTTTTAATGATCACCATTCTAACTGGTGTGAGATGGTATCTCATTGTGGTTTTGATTTGCATTTCTCTGATGGCCAGTGATGATGAGCATTTTTTCATGTGTCTTTTGGCTGCATAAATGTCTTCTTTTGAGAAGTGTCTGTTCATATCCTTCACCCACTGTTTGATGGGGTTGTTTGTTTTTTTCTTGTAAATTTGTTTGAGTTCATTGTAGATTCTGGATATTAGCCCTTTGTCAGATGAGCAGGTTGCAAAAATTTTCTCAGAATGGGAGAAATTTTTTGCAAACTACACATCTGACAAAGGTCTAATATCTAGCATCTATAAGGAACCTAGATAAGTTTACAAGGAGAAAACAACCCCATTAAACAGTGGGCAAAGGACATGAACAGACACTTCTCAAAAGAAGACATACATGCGACCAACAAACATTTGAAAAAAAGCTCAACATCACTGACCATGAAAGAAATGCAAATCAAAACCACAATGAGATGCCATCTCACATCAGTCAGAATGTCTATTATTAAAAAGTCAAAAATATTAATAACAGATGGTGGTGAGGTTGTGGAGAAAAAGGAATGCTTATACATTGTTGGTGGGAGTGTAAAATAGTTCAACCATGTGGAATACAGTGTGGCAATTCCTCAAAAACCTAAAGACAGAAATACCATTTGACCCAGCAATCCCATTACTGGTTTTATTCCCAAAGGAATATAAGTCATTCTGTTATAAAGATACATGCACGTATATGTTCATTGCAGCACCGTTCACAATAGTAAAGACATGGAATCAACCTAAATGCCCATCACTGATAGACTGGATAAAGAAAATATGGTACATATCCATCACAGAGTACTATGCAGCCATAAAAAGAACGAGATCATGCCCTTTGCAAGAACATGGATAGAGCTGGAGGCCATTATCCTTAGCAAACTAATGCAGAAACAGAAAAACAAATACCACATGTTCTCACTTATAAGTGGGAGCTAAATGATGAGAACACATGAACACATAGAGGGGAACAACACACACTGGGGCCTATCATAGGGTGGAGGATGGGAGGAGGGAGAGAATCAGGAAAAATAACTAATGGATACTAGGCTTAATACCGGGATGATAAAATAATCTGTAAACAAATTCCCATGACACAAGTTTATCTACATAACAAACCTGCACACGTACCCCTGAACTTAAAATAAATGTATATAAAAAAAAGGAAGGTCACAGTTCCCTTATGAAAGAAAAATTATACATGTATATATATGTAGAGAGAGAGAGAAAGAAATATCACAGAGAATAAAAGATTAAATGGATGTATTCTAAATTGTAATCGTGATTAATTGTAACAATATGGATTCTGAAGTAAGACAGATCTAAGTCTGAATAAGTTAATTTGATCAGTTATTTAACCCTTCTGAGTCTGTTTTCTCTGCTATAAATTGGAGCCGAAACAACAGCATGGGGTTGTCGTGCTAATTAAATGAGATAATACTTGCAGAGTAGTACTTGGCAAACAAAATTAAAGATTGTTAGTATTACTCTGATTTGATAAATAAGGAGTACTTTTTCTTCTTTTTGTTTATTTCCCATTTTTGTTAGATGAGACTGAATCATTTCACTTGGTAAAAAAAAAAACTAACTAAAAAGAATAGTACAGAACATTTCCTGGGATTATTGACCCTGGAGATTTTGTTTAAATAAGCCTCCATACAGATGGACAGAGCCAAAACCACAGTGCTACAGCTCTAATTCAGCAAGGAAAGGCTCTCCTTCCTTTGAGAGGAGTTGGAAAAACAGGTCCCCCTGCACAGGGAAAACTCAGAAGGAAGTTCCAGGAGGAAGTTCTCCTGGTACATTGTGAAGATACAAGAACAGAGTTCATGTGGGACATTTACTTAACAAATGCTTGGTATCACACAGAGTGCCACTGATAGCTGGAAAATTAACCTGTGTTAGGCCAGATCTACTTCACTACAGGCCATTTTCTACAGCCAATCGACTTCAACAGGGTAGTTATAATGATATGTCCTTTATTTTTGGAAGTTTCATTAACATTACCATTCCCAGGATGTGATGTGTAAGGGAAGAAAAACTTCTTTCCTCATTCGTTGCCAGGTTCATGGCTAAGGCCCCATGACAAAAATCAAATTAACAAGAGAAAAGCATACAAGTTTATTTAATAAATGTTTTACGTGACACAGGAGACTTCATAAATAAAGATCTGGAGATCCAGGTAAACCTGTGTGTTTTTATGCTAGGAAGAGTGGATAGTTGTGCAGAAGTATGATTAGCTAGAGCGGCTATGAGCTAATGGTAATAAACAGGGAGATTTAGCAAGGCTTGTTTGTTCAGATTCTTCTGTTTTTGTGTCTTCAGAGATAGGCTCATTTCTTTCCTCCAGGTACAGGGAGGGCACCACTGGAATGAGTGTCTTATGACCTACTTCAGGGGAAGGTCAGCTACATTTTATGACCTGCTTCAAGAAAGAAGGGGCAAGGGTGAACGTGACATACTGCTTCTGCCATTTCCTTAAATGCTAAGATTCCATATTTTGGGGTAATGTGTCCCAAACCCCATCAATTTTGCACTCCAATTAGTTTATAGGCAGTTTGCCTTCAAACTAATAATTTACATTTAAAAATAAACAACTACCATAAAGTCAAGTTTACGTTCTTGTAGTCGAGTAGGACAGTAACATGATATTCAGAAAAGCACAAAGGGGGATGGTCTTTCACAAATTTCAGTAAACATAACAGTGTCAATAAAGCTTGCAAACTAAATGAATCCAGTGTATCTAGAGAATAAAGATATTTAGGTGTAAAACCATCAACTGTTCCAGATATTGCAAGCTTGTTGAGGGCCAAGTTAGTGTCCTATATTATTTATATTTCCAAAAACACCTGGCAAAGTATTTTGCACAAGACATACCTGGGACCTGATTGGTTTTGTTGATTACTATCCAAAATACTTGTGTTGACATTTGCGAGGTAGTATTGCCTTGCAAATACAGGCTCAACTCCATAACCACAAGGAGAGCATTTGAAGCATTTTAAAAAATAGCAATGAGGTATCTACTTTTTTAACACCGTATGGCAAAGGAACAGTGAACATTTGAATGGGTATTCAGCAGTGTAAAACGCTGACAGCAAAACTATACCTTCCATTGAGTTGGCAGCTCATTCTTAAGAAGATATTCATCCCGGCACAGGTATCGGACCTGAAGTTAATCTCAGTGTATCCCCCTCTTCCTCTACAATGCAGTTTTTAACTCTAACTCAGGAGAATGTTTAAGTCAGGAGAATTTTAAAAAATATCAAAATCAGTCTTTTAAATTTCTTTTAAAAATATGTGCATATTTATAAAATATTCTGTATAAATAATAAAGTGTGGTCATGTTTTTTTTTTTTTTGGAGACGGAGTCTCTCTTTGTCACCCAGGCTGGAATGCAGTGGCGCTATCTCGGCTCACTGCAAGCTCCGCCTCCAGGGTTCACGCCATTCTCCTGCCTCAGCCTCCCAGGTAGCTGGGACTACAGGCGCCCGCCACCACGCCTGGCTAATTTTATATTTTCAGTAGAGACGGGGTTTCATCGTGTTAGCCAGGATGGTCTCCATCTCCTGACCTCGTGATCCCCCCGCCTCGGCCTCCCAAAGTGCTGCGATTACAGGCATGAGCCACCGCGCCTGGCCCGGTCATGTTATATTTTAAGTTTTTATAATTGAATACTTAAAACATACATAAAAGTAGACAGAATAGTATCATGAATGCCCATGTACATATCGCCAGCCCCACCAACAACCCATAGGTCATCCTGCCCTGTCCACACCTTTACCCATTCCTTACAGTCCTGTATTATTTTGAAATAAATCCCAGATATTATATATTTCATTCATTAATACTTAGGTTAATTAGGTAATTGACCTAAAATATAAAAACTCTTTTATAAATAACCATATTATCATCATATCTGAAAAATTAATAATTCCTTAATTATCAAATATCCATTATTTAAATTTATAATTGTGTCATAAATATTGTCATAAATAGATTTGCTGTTTTAAAGCTTGTTCCTTCATTTTCTCTGTTTTGTTTTAGATAAACATTGTCATAAATAGATTTGTTGTTTTAAAGCTTGTTCCTTCATTTTCTCTGATTGTTTTGTTTTAGATTCAGAGGTTACTTATGCTTGTTTGTTACATGGATGTTACATGTGTAATGGGGGATATTGGACTTCTAGTGTACTCATCACCCATATACTGAACACTGTACTCAAAAGGTAATTTTTCAACCCTCATCCCCCTCCAACCTCCCCCCTTTTGGAGTCTGCAGCGTCTATTATGTCCACCTGTGTCCATGTGTACCCATGGCTTAGCTGCCACTTATAGGTGAGAACGTGCCGTATTCCCTCTCCATTTTGTGTGTGTAATTTATTTCTATTGAATAAATCAATTTGTTTGTATTTCAGATTCCCCTGCTGGTTTGATGATTAGAGAATAGTTGCACTTGTTTCCTTTATTCTCTGTTTTCCCTGTGAATTGGTCATTGGATATAAAGGCCCCATTCAATTCAGGATTTTTTGTTTTGGGGTTTTTTGGTGGGGGAAAGGCAGGATATTTTCTTGCTTTCATTGTGTCAGATCCTATCATTTTCAGTGCAGTTTTTAAAAGCTAACTTTTCTATTTTCTCTTACCTCATCCTTGCCTTTGTTTTGCCCACACCTTCTATCTGCAAGTAACCCATATTAAAAACAGAGTGCATACCCTTTCATATTTTTCTCCATATTCACATAGGTATCTTTACATATGTACACAGAGTTTGCTTTACAAAAATGAGGTCATGGAAAGCCTTCCAAGTCAAATAGTAGAGCTCGAGTTTGTTCTATTTAGTGGCTGCAAAATAATATTCCACTGTGCATATGTACCACAATTTATTCAGTTATCTCACTACTAGTGGGCACTTGCTTTGCTCCCAGTTCTTTTTGCCCCATCCTGTTCATATACACTTATATACATTTATATAGGATAGAATCCTAGGAGCAGGATTTTTGTCTCAAATAGTAGCTTTTTATTTTAACAGATTTTTTTTCTGGACAGCTTTCAAAAAAGGCTGTAGCAATTCACATATCCATCAGCAAAGGATAAGATCGCCCTTTCCCCCACAATCTTAAATAGTCTCAAGGAGCCAGCAAGAATCAGGGGTTCTCCAAGGAGAGGGGAAAGTCTATGAGATTCCTTACTCAGCAATAAATGAGCTAACAGTGAATTATTCCTCAATAGAAAGGCCCCTTTCTATTCATCTTTGGATCTTTTTAGCCAAATAGGCCTCACACAGAACCAAAGCCCAGAACAACCCAAAACAGGGTCTGAAGTCCAGAACAACCCAAAACAAAGTCCAGAACAAGCCAAACAGGATCTGAAGACAGTTGTCTCTAACTCACTCCTCCCCACTTCATGAATCCCCGTGAGTTCTTTCCCACTGGATAGTACTTGCATATTACACAATCAGCTGCATCTAGCATCTGCTCTTAATTTCATTTGATATTTTATCATCTCAGTTAAGATTCTGGGAAAAAGAAGTTGCCTTCTTTTTGAAAGGGATTGAAAGAAACTAGGAAACTTGGCAGGAAGATCATTCTTAAGCCAGGAAAAAAATTTTTAATGCTCACATGTGAACATGTGATGGTCATACCAGAAGGAGCACCCACCTCCCTCCCTCTGTGACAGACACATTTTCTTAGCCTTCACCTTTCCTTCTTTCAAGTTGCTGAAAATCCACAGTGTTTCTGTTCATTTGTTACTTTCATTCTCACCTATCTTCTCTCTTGCTCCATCTACCAGAACAATAATTCCCCATATAATACTTCTCACTTCACTTTTCAACGCAGGACCTCTTGTTGGGTAAGCTAAAAGGATATGTGCTCTGTAAATAAGAAAAATCTTTATTCAAAGAATCTATCAAATGTTCCCATGACTCCATCTCTATTTGTATATCTAAAGATTGCATAGTAGAGAAAAACAAAAGATTAGCCCTGCTTCATCTTACAGCTGGGAGAGTCATGAAAGGCCAAATGGGTAACAAAGCTCCTGGTTTTGACCAAGCCTAGCCAAAGAAGCTACTCAAATGTCAAAGGCATTGTTTGTATAAAAAGGGAACCAAAGTACAGGTTCCCTTTACAGTAGAAATAAGAGAACTCCCTGTTGACAAAGGGAGGAGGAAGAAAATATAAAGTACACTTTTAAAACATGAAGTCTTCATAGCAGCTTATAGTCGTTCAGAGAAACATGTTCCACTGAGAATGACTTGAGAGAGAGGATTACATCATTATGCCAGAAGGAAGAAGCCACTGTGCATGCTCTATCACCAGCCTCACCCTCCTGGTCAGCCTTACAAGAGTGACACTGGATATACTCCAGAAGTTGGACCCACCACAGCCTGCACACTGGAGTAAGTGCTTTCCTCCAGTTGAAGCTCATCTTAGAATGATCTGTGACTTAGACCATCCCCAGAATGGTGTAGTTGCAGGAAGCCTAACGTATGTCTCCTGAGACAGCCTCAGATCTGAGTTTCCTCCTTATGTTTTGGTATTTGGAAAGGGGTGGAGAAGATACTCTTGGGTAGAAGTATGGGAGGCATACAGATTCAGAAGAAAAAGGATAACTCTATCTTTAGTGTGTTGTCTGTGGTGGCATCTAGCCTTACCACTGTATACTTACATTCCACCTACAAACATTAAAATAAAATGCACAGTGCACTCCTTTGTTTTAAAAAGGAACTAGGAAAAAACTCAAATGGCAATTTGGTTCCAGATTTTTTTTTTAATGTGATCTTTGATCTGAAGTCAATGTAGGATGAGTTCTGAACAAAGTAGCACTTTCAAAGGTTGTATATTAAAGAGGTGAAATGAAAGACAACTTGGCACTTGAGATATGAATTTGAATGTGTATATGGTTACAGTCTGGATAAGACACTGCTAACATGACTTCATTAACTGATCGCCTATGTGGGACCATTGGACAAGGAGAGGGGGTGTTCTGGCTGTGGTGCCATATACTGAAACTGAACCCATGAGTTGGGCCCACAGGAATTGAGGGACAAGCCAGATAGATGGCAAGAATTCTAATTTCCAATATGCAAATCAGTCTAAACATTTGACTTTTTTTAAGTCTATTTGGAAAGTTTTTGAAACACGGCTGCACTAGGCGAGTTCATTAAGTAGCAAAATTTTAACTATTGTTATAACTTTTTCTTTGCCCTTTTCAGTTAACACTGCATGACCACCCAGGTGCATGAGGCTCTCTTCTCCTCTTAGTGACAATAACAGGCTCACAGGAAGGGTTCAGTATTAATTATTTATACCTTACTTCATGTGGCTCTAAGTCAATGTATTGTCTATGAGGTTTTATATTTAAGCCATACTTATGAAATGCTAAAGAGGAAAAAGCATATTTAGCACATTTGGGGCACCCTAAATGTGAACCTGAGTAAATTTCAGTTTGTTTGTTTGTTTGTTTTTGTTTGTTTTGAGACGGAGTCTCACGCTGTTACCCAGGCTGGAGGGCAATGGCGCGATCTTGGCTCACACGCAACTTGGCCTCCCAGATTCAAGAGATTCTGTCTTAGCTTACCAAGTTGCTGGGATTACAGGTGCCCACCACCATGCCTGGCTAATTTTTTGTATTTTTAGTAGAGATGGGGTTTCACGATGTTGGCCAGGCTAGTCTCAAACTTCTGACCTCAAGTGATCCGCCCGCTTTGGCCTCCCAAAGTGGGTTTGTTGTTCTTTTAAAGAAAAAAGACCACTACTTATTTTAAAGGGTGATAGCAGTGTCCTGACTCTACCTAGACAGATATGTTCATTCATGTGCTCATTCCAGTTGAACCATAATAACTGCAATTTTCAAAGGAGGAATACAGAGTCTGGGAAATCAGAAGAGTATAGCAACAAACTGGTATACGAGGAAACTGAAAATGAAAAATCAGCAAAGTGGTATTTGTACCTGCCTGAGTGGCTACAGTGGTGAAGGTGAAGGGTGGCAGGCTAGATTAGCACCATCTCCTCCCCTCCTCGCCTGCGGCCTCAGTACTTTCCACTGTGGTCCCAGGATACGCCAGGTCAACTGTGATCAACTCTGACACAGACAAACTCTGGGAGGGGAGGAGGCATCCTTTCCTATTCTCAGCGGTCTCAGTTCCAGAGACCACTTTAGTAAGCTCTCCTTGTCATACCTTAAAACATAAATTAAGACCCATAAGTAATTCCAAAACCTCATTTTATTATGTTGTTTTTATCTCCTTGCTCGCCCATCTTAAAAAAAATGGTAACACCAATCTCAGAGACTGATTTCTCCTACTTATTCTCTTAGGAGGGAAGGAGTGTTAAATAAGCCAAGGCATGCTAACAGGAAGGAAAAAATGGAGATTATGAAGAATAATCACAATTTGAAAACTATTAAAACCACGCACCAGGCAGTTTACAAAATATTTATTTCTTTGTTATATTATTTCTGCTGCTGAATTTGGTCAAGAGATTGTACTAATCATAAAATGAATGTTATTGATCATTTTAAAGTCTCTTCTAAAAGTAGCTAAATTTATACTGCTGATTCCTTTTGAAACATGCGACCTACAGCTTCTTGGCTTTTATGAGCTATTCAAGAGATATTTAGTCATCACGTTGTGTCACAATGGGAGTGACTCACAGAGCAAGGAGAGAACCTGAGGATTCCTCACACATGTAGTACTCAGAGCTCTACGGAAACCCAGGCACCTCGACCTCAAGAGGATCAGCCTGGCCAGGGTGGCACAACTCTTCCTTCCCCGTGCACAGCAGGAAAGCTGCCATCAGCTGAGCAAGTCCACCAACAGTTTCTGTGTCCCACTTCATCTTTAATAAGGTAACTGATGACAGTTTTGTCATTTATTCTTTTATTTATCAAGTCAATCTAAACTTTCTTTGATTTTCCTCACTCTTGCAGAATGAATCGGTGGTCTTTCAAGCTGTGGTCAATGTTGCTACTTCTTTTAATGTAACACATTAGAACCCAGTGATGGGAGCTGGGTCCATCTCACCATAGAAATGACCTCGGTGTGACCTGGGATCTTGCCTTGAACTCCTCCAGGACTCTCTTTGAATGTCCTTTAGCACCCTAGTGTCCCAATTCAATTCATATTTTATTTTCTCTGTGCCTTCTTGACACTATCTGTGAATCTTATGATTAATTGGAAACTGGAGGGGGAAGTCTCCAAAAAGCACAGGATTCTTAGATGAGTTTCTTACTGAAGCAGCAGATTCTCTGTCAACTGCAGGTCTGATCTGTTTGTCTGTCCGCTTTATCAATATTATCAGATGTAAGTTTACATGAATACACACACATATTCACTAAACTGAGGGGAAAAAATGCCTTGTAGGTCATAAAAAAGCAGGGAAATTCCCAACAATTCATATTTGATCCCTGGATCCAGGGGTGGCAGCAATAAGCCTGCTTTAGATATTTACTCCCCATTTTATGATCCGGTGGTTTGGTTTTTCAAATGATGATATGGCTCCTTTCGCAATGACTTGATGTTTAGGAGGTGTGCTTCAATAAATACATTTTAAAATCAACAATCAAGTTAGAGTTGTACAAATGGCTCTGAAATGTCCCACTACACTGTTAGACCAAGGGCACAGATTGTGCTTCTGTACTATTTATCCTAGTATCCCTCGGCATATATTAACTGCTCTAAAAATCTCCTTGGCTACACGCTGCATCAAATCAAAGTTAAATGTTATACCACCTTTCTATTCTATTTTTAATATTCAAAGAGGGTGCTCAGATTTTAGAACAAATTTCAATGTTTAAGTACACACAAAAAAATCATTAACTCATATATTTCAAGAGTAGGAAATGGGAACTGGTGTTAAAACTCTTATAACAAATGTCACTGTCTTAAGGGACAGTGTTTAAAAACGCATACCTGGCCGGGCGCGGTGGCTCATGCCTGTAATCCCAGCACTTTGGGAGGCCGAGGCCGGCGGATCACAAGGTCAGGAGATCGAGACCATCCTGGCTAACACGGTGAAACCTGGTCTCTACTAAAAATACAAAAAATTAGCTAGGCGTGGCAGCGTGCGCCTGTAGTCCCAGCTACTTGGGAGGCTGAGGCAGGAGAATGGTGTGAACCCGGGAGGTGGAGCTTGCAGTGAGCTGAGATCACGCCACTGCACTCCAGCCTGGGCGACAGAGCGAGACTCCGTCTCAAAAAAAAAAAACAACAACAACAAAAAACTCAGACCTTTTCTTCTGCTCAAAGATCACTGTGGCTGAAATATACTGAAGTTTTAAACACACTTTTGGAACCTATACATATGTTCTATGTTCTAAGCTTTCCTTAAAGCCTTGTGACTACAAATGATAACTGTACACAACATATAATCTTTCCCAGATAGCAATTGTTATGCAGTGACCATAAATAAAGTAATCATAGCTTTAACAATAATTTGTAACCTGCTAATACTGTCAGGAAACATTGTCAAAATAATAAACCTAGGAGGGACTTGGGATAATTAATGAATAGTTAGGGATGTGATGGTGAATTATAATTTAAACGTTTTGAAGGAAGGCAAAAGAAAATCAGAGATGCTTTTATCCTTAGAACTAAAAATGCAAAATGTAAATCCAGCAGATCTTCCCTATTTGAGGCAGTTGGTACACCTCTGCTAGGAGGGAGGGAAGCTACATCCTGAGGAGGCTGTCTGAGTGAATCTGTAGTGGAAGTACACACGAACTCCATGCCTCGCTGTCCCAGTACCCAAAGCACAGTCTGGCTGCCAAGGATTACCTCCTGCCCTCAGGGAAGCAGGAATCAAGGGCAAATGTAACTAACCAGAGGAGGAGCTTCTTCATCCATTGAGTAAGGGAACTTACCCTCCCACGACGATAAATACCAACTCAACTATATCATCAGCAGCATAATAATTATTATAATTGTTATTTCAGTCAGACTCTCAAAAAAGCATTCGTTGCTTAATGCAAGCACATTTAATGTAGGGTCCCTTGGTGCCATTAAAAAATTTTTTTTTCAGATTTCTGGGTGGACCATTTGAACACATTTCTCACAGAAACATAATTTTTTAGTTTATGTCAATAGGTTCCAGTGTTCATTTTTTTTTAAGTGTGGAAGAAATCTCTAAAAGCCACCTGGGTTTTTTTTTTTTTTTTAAACAAAACAAAACAAAAACCAGTTTTTTTTTACTTCAATGAAAAGGAAAAAATGAAAAAGGAATGTTGTGTTAAGTCAACCGGGTTTACAATATTCAAATATACAAGAGGCATACATGTTCAGTGGCTTTCAGTATTCAGAAAGCCATGCAAGAGAACTCCAAAAAGAGAATACTTTAGAAAATCATTGCTCAATGTTTTCTATTTGATGTATTTTGGTAAACAACATAGTTGTTGATTCAACTTGGGCCACAATTGCAACACATTGGAAGTAAATAAAGATTCTACAAACTCCTGACAGTGTGGTTGACTAGCTTTGGTATCGCTTTCTAAAAGGAAACACTTCATGAAGTTATGTGGAAATAAAATCAACTGGTCTGGGAGGAACTATCTAGAAAGAACTCTACATTGCTTATAAAAAGTATACCTCACAATAATATTGAGATATTTTCTGTTCTTTTTTTTAAACTGTGTCATTTATTTTTAAGAAACAGAGGAAGGTGAATAAGAGAAGTGAAATTAAATAATCCTATTTTAACTTTTTTACTAGGAAAACAAACTCAGGAAGAAAAAGAAAAGCAGAAGTGATCAAGGAGAGCGCTCGAGTTGCAATATTTTCCTTTGGCTGCTGACAGGCAGTTACTATAAAGCATTGTGCATGGTGTATGAAAGACAAAACTAGTTCTCCTTTCTTGGTTTCTTTTGAATCTTTGTGATATGGTAGAGAAAGTTTGATAAAGTGTTCTTGTGCCTGCTGTCGACTGATAATGTGTTCATCTCTTTGCAGTTCTTCCTTCTCTTTCACACAGTTTAGAGTTCAGAGAGTTTTAGTTCTGGTCACTCTCTGGCAAGTGACCATAGTTATGACCTCTACTCTACACCAGAAATATCTTGACAATTACATGAGATAAATATTACATAAACACTTCCCAAAACTTTGTAATGTTATCAAAATTGGAAGTGTGAATATTATGTATTATTATAATTGCTATCATCCTTTTGCCCCAGCGATTCAGAGGTCTCAAAGATTAATCCAATTATCACTAGAACTCTGGAGCTACAGTGGAGACTTCCTTCTTTCCTTCCTTTTTTCCTTCTTTGCTGTACAACATTTACTAAACATCAACATAATGCCAAGTATCATACAAGGAACTGGTAATGTAGAGAAGTATATGCAGAGCCCAGAGTTGAGTGGGAATACAGACTGCAGTGGTAGAACAGAATGGTCTGGGTATCAGTCCCGGAATTGCCACTACAACTGTAGCTGGAGCCAATTAAACAGAGCTTCTGAATGTGTTTCCTCCTCTATACAGTGAAGATAATTTTGTCGTAAGGTGTAAATAAGATAAATATTTATAGATCCTAGGAAACGGCCTACAACATGTTAGGCACTCAATGAACCATAGCAGTTATTATCATTCCTCCCTGACTTGGTCAACCAGGAACTTGAGAATCATAGATTTGCTAGGAGGATATTTTGAATTCTGTAGGGTCAGTTGGCCACCCACCAAAGGGTACCCCCAGAGGAGCTGGGGGTCAACAGCATGGGGTAAACCTTGAGGGAGGGAACAGATGGGAGGTGATTGGATGAAGAGATTTGGGTGAGGACACAGAGCCAAACCATATCAGCCTCTTATCCTCCTGATGACAAAAAGACATTTTAAAATATTTATATAGAGGGAAATTAATGCTTGCAGCAGCAGGATATGAGTAATTTTTATAAGTAACCCAACTTTTCCATGAGGCCATTAAAAAAAGAAACTCATCAATGTGATACTACCAAGGAACCAATGACTAAGTTTCCAGAAAAGTAGTTCTAGTGCTATGATATTCTGGACTCCCAACACTAGGAAGTTCTAGAACAGTGGTTCTAAACTGGGGGATATTTTGTCCTCCAGGGGACATTTGGCATTATCTGGAGACATTTTTGGTTTTCACAACTTGGGGAGGGGTGCTACTGCTGACTAGAGAGTAGAGGCCAGAGATGCCACTAAACATGCTAAATGCACAGGACTGACCCCACAACAAATAATTACCTGGCCCAAAATATCAAAATTACTCAGTTAGAGGAATCAATGCCTAAATATGAGCAATACATAGAGCAGACTGCCTCATAAAGTGAAAGTGATTCACCCTGCCATGAAGATAACAAAGTTCTTACTGTAACGGCAGACATTAGGTCACTTCACCCAGTACTCTCCAAGGTAGATGTTGTATTTCTACTTTACAGGTAGGAAAATGGAGGCTAAGAAAAGTTAATTTGTCCGAGGGCCCTCTGATGATAGTGAAACTGGGATGGAACCTCTGCCTGCTTGCTTCTGAGGTCTGGGCTCCTAACTACTGCTCTACTGCCTCGAGCCAAGAGATTTACGCCCTATTAAGCAATTTGTTGTGCGATAAATTGGAAGACACAGCAGATAAGCAAACAACTCAAGCAACCAGGTCAGTTCCTGGAGTTTCTGAATTGTTGGGACCAAGGGGCCGTGCAGAGGTAACCACAGCTGGCGTAGTGTGGTTGAGGTAGCCCTATTAGCCTTTTAGTTGCTGTTACTAATTTATTTCTCAGTGGTCAATGAACCAATTGGCCATCAATCAGCTTTGTGTATAGGTCATGTTCCCATGGCTCTGACCCAGGTTGCTGCTCAGAGTTGGCATCGTGGCTAAAATATTACTAGAGGTCAAAGATATGTGTGTGTTTGTGGTTGATTTAGTCGAGTGATCTAGAGGAATCTGAACCAGCATTTCTGGGCAATAATACTTGAGTTAAGGAGAGTGTAGCAAAACTCTAGGTTAGCATTGGCAGTCCCTAGGATTCAGACTGTAGGCCTAAATGACCCTCAGTCCAGAGCTGTACCTAATGAGGACAATACATTTTAATGTGAGTCCATTCTTAACAGCAAAATTTCCTCTTTGCTTGTCACCAGGGAAAAATGGGTTTGCATAGAAAAGGTGGAGATTGAGGGGGAAGCAGAATGGACAAGGAGTAAAGAGGGAATCCAACTACTTAGATTTGAGCTTTCGTTCTTCTTTGGTAGTTGTAGAGGTGAGCTTACCAAAGCATAGATGACAGGCAATGTGGTATACAAGTTACTACACTCCAAAAGTCTGGGGTTCTTACTTATTTTGTGCATGACATCCAAAGTAGCCTAATAAAATCTTTTCACAGAAAAAAAAGCTTTACTTTCCTTTGCCAAATTTTTAACTTTTTATTCTGAAATAATTTCAGAATTATTGAAAAATTTAGAGACTAGGACAACCCAGATTCCTCAAATATTAACACTTTACCACATCTGCCTTCTCATTCCTCTCTATATACATAGGTGCATGTGTGGTTTTAATGTTTATTTATATACATATCATTATTATTTTCTTAACTGTTTGAGAGTAAGTTGAAGACATGATGCTCCTTACTCTTTAAATACTTCAGTGTGTATTTCCTAAAAAGCAGGCCATGTTCTACATCATCACAGTATAATTATCAAAATTGGGAAATTAATATTAATGCAATACTATTTATCAAATTTTAAGATCTTATTCAAATTTCACTTGCTGGCCTAATAATGTTCTTTCTGAAAAAAGAAAAAAAAATTTTGATCCAGGATCACATATTGCATTTGGTTGTTGTATCTCGTTGGTCTCCTTTGATCTGAAATGGTCCTCAGTATTTCTTTTACTTCATGACTTTGATGTTTTTGAAGAGTACAGCCATATATTTAGAAGCACTGGAAGATGTTTCCCCATGCATAATTAGCTTTGGATGCTCCACAGAAGAGCTGTTGTGTCCTTCCCTGTGTGCCATCTCAGGGGGCATGCGATGTTGGTTTGTTCCATAACTAGTGATGTGAATCCTTATCACTTGGTTAAGGTGGTATCCGTCAGATTTCTCCACTATAAAATTACCATTATTCTCTCTTTAATTTGAAAGTATATGACAGGGAGATTCTTTGAGATTCTATAATGACTGTCTGTCATCGGAATTTGACCCACTAGTTTTAGCATCCATTGATCATTCCTGCCTGAAACCATTGTTGCTATGTCAGTTGCCAAATGGTGATATTCTAATTCCATCATTCGTCTGACACTTATTAGATGGCATATTAATTCTAAGGAAAAATTTCCATTTATCCTTATTTATTGATTGATTTACTTCAGAATGGATTCATGAATTCATATCTGATTTAATGAGTTATTACCCATTATCACTATTGGCTTTGATGCTCAAATTGTCTCTTACTTCGCCAGTGGGAGCCCCTTCCAGCTGACATCTATGTACTAGTGATGTATCTCCAGCATTCGTTGAGCACTTACTTACTTGTAGCATAAGATGCTCCAGGCTTATTTTGTACATTCGCCTCCAAGCTCAGCCCTGATGTTAGCTTTTCCAAAGAACATGAACACAATGTTTAGAAATTGGTTTCTGAGCCCTTGGTATGTTCATTGTTGTTGGAGTGTCATTGTTTCTAGCTCATCGGGTAGATCTAGAAAGTTACCTATCCATTTTTGTATTTACTGACTCATATTAAAAACCAGGAGTTCATACTGATTCTTCCAACTATAATCCCACTCCACAGAGTTCATTCCAGCCTCTCCTTTTTCATATTTGCTACTCCTCCTTCTGACAGTGTGAAGCCTGGCTTCCATCATCCACAGCTTAGTTACAGTTGACCCTTAAACAACACAGGGATTGGGGCGCCAGTGCCCCATTCAGTCGAAAATTCATGTATAACTTTTGACTCCCTCAAAACTTAACTCACAGCCTACTGTTGACCAGAAGCCTTACCAAAAACATAGTCAATTAACACATATTTTGTATATGTATTATATACTGTACTCTTATAAACTAGAGAAAAGAAAATATTATTAAGAAAAGCATAAGGAAGATAAAATATACTTACTGTTTTTTAAGTGGAAGTGGATCATCATAATGGTCTTCACCCTTACCATCTTCATGTTGAGTAGGCTGAGGAGGAAAAAAGAAGAGAGGTTGGTCTTATTGTTTCAGGGGTGGCAGAGGCTGAAGAAAATAAGACATAAGTGGATCCAGGCAGTTTGGATCCAATATGGGATCCAACAGCCCACGTTGTTCAGATGTCAGCTGTGCTTATTTTCTCAATCAAATAATTTGAAATAATAGGGTTGTCTGTTTTCTAGCTCTGGTGGAGGCTTGGATTTTATGTGATTCTATTTGTTCTTCTCTTTGAATTGTGCATAGTTTTTGGAGTACGTCCTAGGAAATTTGGATTGACATGACTGTCACTACTACAGCTACCTCAGAAGTGAGAATAACTTTTTTAACACTTGAAGTGAAATACATAGTATTACAAAAGAAAACTACTGTATTGAAATACATCCAAATATTTATAAGTTTATTTTATTAACATGGTGGCAGGAACAATAACCACCATAATTTTGAAGTAGTAATCAGCATTAATCATATTTTGAGATAATTCCAACAAATGCAATGTAACATGAAAATATTTATTATTTCTATTGGTAACAAAATCACAGGCAATACAAATACTACTGCGGTTTGTTGTTTCTTCCGTAATTGAAGATTGTGCTAAACTTCAATTACAGTTCAGGAAAAAAAAAAAGATGGGATCTTTTTCCCATCCAAATGTAGAAACCCCTGAATTCTATCCACAGACTCTCTCAAAGTTCTAATGGCACCCTTTTGTCTGAGAAGCTTTCATAGATGCCCAAATCATCCATCCAACTGAATTCAATCCCTTAGGGGCTGGTAACCCAGTTTCATGCACAGGAACATGCATGAAACATACCCTCCTTGTGGCTTCCCTTCCCCCATTCCCTCATCTACTTTCCCCTCTGGGACCTTGTGTCAGTTATTATACTATAACAGAGGAGGTTATGAGGGGAGATGACTCTGTAGCCACAACTATTTCAGATGTCAGATGTTGCTTTTGGCCAGTGGACTTTTATCCCTGCCTCTCAGCAATCATGGACAAGATGTGAAGTGTCGACCTTATCAACTCAGCTTGTCAGCTTGGACACTTCTCAGCCCAGCCCAGAGTGGAGTGCTCCAGTCCCCAGAGCCCCTCATCTGTCTCCTATAGTGGAAGGACACAGCACTCTAGTCCCAGTGACCTTGGCAAATCACTTTGTTGCTTTGAGCCAGTTTCTAAGGCAAATAATATGCCCTCTCTAACTCAAAACGCTATTGAGAGGACAAAATGAGACCTGTGTGTGAAAGCACAGCATAGAGTGCCTTACTAATGTATGACATTATTTTACTGTGACTCCCTCGTGCATGCCCCTGGTAAAAATGACAACACAAAAACTTCCAACTCTCTGCTCTAGAGAACATAAAACCCCACAAATATTTGTCTTCTTCAAATAATTCCCCTGGGAGTTTAGACTGCAATGAAAGCTGCAGAATCCATTCAGAAAATATATTAAACATTTCGCCTTTCGGTGATTATTTACTGAAGCCAGATTTGAGCAAAACGCTATATTAGTTGAATTTGTAGATACAAAATTTCCTTAAAAGGTTTAAACATGTAATTTTGCAAGAGTTAGTTATACCACTTCCCCTCCCATAATTATACATTTATAATGTATTTGAGAACGGGAAATCTTGCTACATGGACATTGATTTGCAACAAATTATAACTCTTACACAGAAAAGAGTTGGAAAAACTATACCAAATTATTAAGCCATGGTAATCTAAAAAGTTGACTACTTCAGAAATAGCTGTAGCTATACCACAAGAATCAAGTAGGTTCTCCAAACATATTTTTATATTCCTCTGACTTAATTTTTATCAACTGACTTTTTTTTTTTTTTTTTTTTTTTTTTGTGACAGAGTCTTGCACTGTCGCCAGGGCTGGAGTGCAATGGCATGATCTCGGCTCACTACAACCTCCACCTTCTGGGTTCACGATTCTCCTGCCTGATTCTCCTGCCTGATTCTCCAGCCCTAGCCTCCTGAGTAGCTGGGATTACAGGCACCCTCCACCACACCCAGCTAATTTTTTGTATTTTTAGTAGAGATGGGGTTTCACTATGTTGGCCAGACTGGTCTCAAACTCCAGACCTTGTGATCTGCCCCCCTCTGCCTCCCAAAGTGCTGGGATTACAGGAGTGAGCCACCAGGCCCGGCTGAACTGACAATTCTTTTATCATTTTTTTTTTCTTTAGCTATAGATCTTCTGGGGGAAGAAAGATAAAAGCAGAGCCCGAAATTTTCTTGAGAAGTGAAGAAGACATTACATTGATTTTTTTTAATCTGAAATAGTCTGTTTCTCAAACAGCAGTAAAAATAGTGTGTGTGTGTCTGTGTGTGTGGTGTTTAAAATTCTGTGTGTATGTTTATATTTCTTGATCTAGAAAGAAAACTTTACAAATACAGAAGAAAATGGGGAAAATGCACTAAAATATTGAATCAAGTGTTATAATCATTACTATCTTCTTTTTTTCTATGTTTTTTCTTGAGGATAAATTACTTTTACAAGCAGAAAAAAATAAATGATTTTTGAAAAGGATTCGAAGGAAAAATTAGGAAATAATTGTAAGAAAATAAAGTCCAGGCTGGGCGTGGTGGCTCACGCCTGTAATCCCCGCACTTTGGGAGGCCGAGGCAGGTGGATCACCTGAGGCCAGGAGTTCAAGACAAGCCTGGCCAACATGGAGAAACCCCACCTCTACTAAAAATACAAAAATTAGCCGGGTGCCTGTAATGGTGGCAGGTGCTTGTAATCCCAGCTACTCAGGAAGCTGAGGCATGAAAATCTCTTGAACCCAGGAGGTGGAGGTTGCAATGAGCCGAGATTGCACCACTGCACTCCAGCCTGGGCGACAACAGCGAAATTCCATCTGAAAGAAAGAAAGAAAGAAAGAAAGAGAGAGAGAGAGGGAGGGAGGGAGGGAGGGAGGGGGAGAGAGAGAGAGAGAGAGAGAGAGAGAGAGAGAGAGAGAGAGAGAGAGAGAGAGAGAGAGAGAGAAAGAAAGAAAGAAAGAAAGAAAGAAAGAAAGAAAGAAAGAAAGAAAGAAAGAAAGAAAGAAAGAAAATAAAGTCCAAAGTCTATAAACTCGCTTGGCCTCTCAGTTCCTTTTTGAACTCAGTGTCCAGGAACAGCCATGATTCCAAAAGCACCCACAAGTTCTGAACTTCAACTCAGGGCCTATTGATTGTCCTCTGTGAGGCATTTTAAAGCCCCTCTGGAGTCTCAGGGTGGGTCAAGATTAAGGGCAAAGATATTGCGTGGACACAGGAGGAAGCTTTTTGGGTCATGGAGGAAGAAAATAAGGTCTTTCCCACATGTGGTTCTCTCTTTAGCCCCTCTCCCTTCCACAGGCTCAGAGAGCCAACACAGACCTGCTCCTCTGTGGGGAGGGAGCTGATGATCTCATTCTCTTGGGCTGCCCCATCACTGAGTGTGGAGGGCTGGGCCCATGGTACTCAGACCTGAGGCAGCTGGCCATACAGCCTTGGCACCCAGGCATAAACCTCAGGTTCTTGTTCACTTCCTCTTTCTGGATGGCTTGCTTTTCTCTGGCACCAGTACCCCATGGTAAGAGTAATATATGCTGAGGGGAAACGCAGATGCAGGCTTCTGAAGAAAAAGGAAAGAAAGCCCTCTACCTGCCTGATTTTAGGCCCTAGGCTACCTCTAGCCCTGACAAAATTAATTTTCCAAGTAGTTCTGCTGCACATATGGTCAAAGCTTCCGTTTTACAGCATACATTTGCTTGGCTTTATCCTTTGTCCATGTGATTTTTTTCTCACAGGAGACTGGTGTTCACAGAAGACAGAATTTGGGGATGTGGGAGTCTGGTTTGGGACATGGTGCATTGGCCAGCATTTCCCTCTCAGTCACTTCCCATTTATCTTGCCCTTTCTTGGTGAACTCACTTGTTGCCTCCCACTTTAATACTCATCTGCATTGGGGTGTAATGATCTCAGAGTTGGGTTGAAGATTGACATTAACCCATTTAAAATAAGAAAATGGAAGCCAAGTTGGGAATATCTTAGTGGCAACAAAAAATGCTCTTCTTCTCCTGACAGTTTGAAGATAATTGGGAGTCTGACAGAACAATTAAAATTGAATTATTGTTTCTAATAGATTTTAAGCCCATTCTGCAGTGGAATTTCATGAACTAGCAAGAGGTAAGATTTTACTGTGAGGGTCTGTCTTCCTGATAGACGAGTTCACTCCTGAGATTAATACCATCACTCCACATAGCTCCAGCTGGCCGTGGCAACTCAATGGCTTGTGTCAATTTTGCCATGGCTCCCCTCTCCCTCTCTTCCATTTAATTTCTCTGAATACTCCTTGGTTAGTTTTTGCATTACTTTAGAGGAACGATTTATCATTTAGATGGCCATCTTCCCAACAAACAACCAAATAAGAGTTATTGTTTCTTTAACTTTCTATTTATCCACACTAATGCATTAAAATATCTCAAATTCATCAGTCCTGGGTTATAATGCCTTGGTAGTTCTAATTTGAATTTTCTTTTTCACTTTGAACACTCAGGACACCATCTTCTTGTATTATACAAGAAAGGAGTGTACCTATCACACACAGGGGGAAAAATGCTCTTTTGGGTGCTAGGCCTCCTAATCCTCTGTGGTTTTCTGTGGACTCGTAAAGGAAAACTAAAGATTGAAGACATCACTGATAAGTACATTTTTATCACTGGATGTGACTCGGGCTTTGGAAACTTGGCAGCCAGAACTTTTGATAAAAAGGGATTTCATGTAATCGCTGCCTGTCTGACTGAATCAGGATCAACAGCTTTAAAGGCAGAAACCTCAGAGAGACTTCGTACTGTGCTTCTGGATGTGACCGACCCAGAGAATGTCAAGAGGACTGCCCAGTGGGTGAAGAACCAAGTTGGGGAGAAAGGTGAGAGACATGGAAGTGGGTAGGATGGGACAGGGATAGGGGATAGGGAGGTAACCAAAGCTAAATAAAACATGCTCAAGTTTTAAATGGCCTTTCGAGAAAATGTTTCCTAAATACCGGCTGTGTACTTCTCTAATCTTAGGATAGCTTCTGAGTAGTTCCAAGTACAGGCTGTCTGTGTGCATGAGAAACACAGCCCAGAAGACCCTTGGGCCTAAGTCTCAGTGGGTGAATTCAGGGCTGAGATGAAAGTATTGACTTTCCATGGTCTTCTCCTGTAAAGGGCTATTCTCCCCTGCCCCATATACAGCAAAGGAATTTAGACTAAAATGTACAGGAGAATATGGGGGCAATTCCCAAATTGCCATCTGGATACCTGGCACCCACTTCTCCCTGCAAAATGATTCTAAAGCTCACACATTTTCAATGGGCAAGGTTGAAAATGGCCTGAGAATTTGAGTATGAGTGTCTTACATAGTTAAGGTAGAGTAGTGAGCCTTTGGATGTCCATTCTGCAATAGATTCTGCTATGGTGACTGTATTCTGAACTAGAAGAATTTTTATTGGCTTTGAATGAAGTGTGAAACATTCTCATGGATTAAGATGTTAGGATTCACAAAGGAAAAAACAAATGTTTGCGATTTTTTTTCTAGCACATCTTGATCATGTAGCTGAGACTCTGAAGCTCAAAAGCAATGATTTGATAAGGCTTCGATTTTTAACACTTGAATTCCAACACCTTTAAAAATACTAAATGTTTCCCATTTTAAACAAGCCAAGTGAATGACTGAATTCTTAACCAAAAATAAATGTGAAGTAGATTGATATCACTCTTTGTCCATACAGAACATTATATAAATATTCTCTGGCCTTACTATCTAGCAAGGCAGGAAAAATAGATCAATTTGTTCTCACTCATAGGTGGGAATTGAACAATGAGAACACATGGACACAGGAAGGGGAACATCACACATCGGGGCCTGTTGTGGGGTGGGGGGAGGGGGGAGGGATAGCATTAGGAGATATATCTAACGTTAAATGACGTGTTAATGGGAGCAGCACACCAACATGGCACATGTATACATATGTAACAAACTGCATGTTGTGCACATGTACCCTAAAACTTAAAGTATAATAAGAAAAATAGATCAATTTACTCTACATCTGAGATTAAAAAGCAGAAAGACTCACTCACAGAGTTTCAGTATTTGACATTCAGAACCAGAAATAGAGTAACAGCGAGAACTTGAACTATTTCAGTTTAGCCTCCCACCCTCTCTGCTATCACTTCCCAAAACTGCGAAGTATTTCAGAGTAGGAAAATGACTTCAAGGAGGAAATGGCACCATTGTGCAAAGCAGGGGCTGTATTTTCATCAAAGGTGGCAAATAAGTACTGTCTTACCACACCTCTTTTCCTTCCTCTCTGTTCTAGGTCTCTGGGGTCTGATCAATAATGCTGGTGTTCCCGGCGTGCTGGCTCCCACTGACTGGCTGACACTAGAGGACTACAGAGAACCTATTGAAGTGAACCTGTTTGGACTCATCAGTGTGACACTAAATATGCTTCCTTTGGTCAAGAAAGCTCAAGGGAGAGTTATTAATGTCTCCAGTGTTGGAGGTCGCCTTGCAATCGTTGGAGGGGGCTATACTCCATCCAAATATGCAGTGGAAGGTTTCAATGACAGCTTAAGGTAAATCAAATTAATCAACTTATTAGGAAACAATAGCTGCAAACGTTTACTGAATGCTTATGTACAAGACATCCTATTTAGTACCTTTCAAAAAGTCTACCATATTTATCTCTAATTTTTGTGGGTACATAGTAGGTATATATATTTATGGTTATATGAGATATTTTGATATAAGTATACAATGCATAGTAATTACATCAAGGTAAGTGGAGTATCCATCACCTCAAGCATTTATCCTTTCTTTGTGTTACAAAAAATCCAATTATACTCTTTGAGTTATTTTTAAATCTGTGATAAATTGTTGACTGTAGTCACCCTGTTGTGCTATCAAATACTAGATCTTATTCATTCCATCTAGTTATATTTCTATATTTCTGTACCCCCTAACCATTCCCTCTCACCCCCACTACCCTCTCAAGCATCTAGTAACTATCTCTCTACTTTCTGTCTCCATGAGTTTGTTTTAATTTTTAGCTCTCACAAATAAGTGAGAACATGGGAACTTCGTTTTTCTGTGCCTGGCTTGTTTTACTTAACATAATGACCACCAGTTCCATCCAAGTTGTTGCAAATGACAGGATCTCATTCTTTTTTATGGCTCAATAGTACTCCATTGTATATATATACTGCATTTTCCTTATTCATTTTTCTATTGATGGACATTTAGGTTGCTTCCAAATTTTAGCTGTTGTGAACAGTGCTACAACGAACATGATAGTGTAGATATCTCTTTGATATGTTTATTTCCTTTCTTTTGGGTATATACCCAGCAGCGGTATTGCTGGATCATATGGTAGCTCAATTTTTAGTTTTTTGAGAAACCTCCAAACTGTTTTCCATAGTGGTTGTACTAATTTACATTCCCACCAATAGTGTACGAGGATTCCCTTTTCTCACATCATCATCAGCATTTGTTATTGCCTGTCTTTTGTAAATATGCCATTTTAACTGGGGTAAGGTAATATTTCATTGTACTTTTGATTTGCATTTTTCTGATGATCAATGATGTTGAGCACCTTTCATATACCTATTTTCCACTTGTATGTCTTTTCAGAAATATCTACTCAGATCTTTTGCCCATTATAAATTGGATTATTAGACTTTTCCCCATAGAGTTAAGTTCCTTATATATTCTGATTTTTAATTCCTTGTCAGATGGGTAGCTTTCAAATATTTTCTCCCATTCTATGTGTTGTCTTTTCACTTTTTTGATTGTTTCCTTTGCTGTGCAGAAGCTTTTCAAATTGATGTAATCCCATTTGTCCATTTTTGCTTTAGTTGCCTGTGTTTGTGGCATATTACTCAAGAAATCTTTGCCCAGCTAATTGTCCTGGAGAGTTACTCCAATGTTTTCTTGTAGTAGTTTCAGAGTTTGAGGTCTTAGATTTAAGTCTTTAATCCATTTTGATATGATTTTTGTATATGGTAAGAGATTTTGTATATGCACAAGAGATTCTTCTGCATGTGGACATCCAGTTTTCCTAGCATCATTTATTGAAAAGACTATCCTTTCCCCAATACATGTTCTTGACACCTTTGTCAAAAACGAATCATTGTAGATGTATGGATTTGTTTCTGGGTTCTCTGTCCTGTTCCATTGGTCTATGTGTCCATTTTTATACCAGTACCATGCTGTTTTGTTTACTATAGCTTTATAGAAAATTTGAAGTCATGTAATGTGATTCCTCCAGTTTTGTATTTGTCCAGGGTGTCTTTGGCTACTCTGGGTCTTTTGTGTTTCTATATAAATTTTAGGATTGTTTTTTCTATTTCTGTAAAGAATGTCATTGGTATTTTGATAGGAATTGCATTGAATCTGTAGATTGCTATTGGTATTGTGCACATTTTAATAATACTGATTCTTCCAATCCATGAACATGGAATACCTTTCCACTTTTTGTATCCTCTTCAATTTCTTTTATCAATGTTTTATAGTTTTTATTGCAGAGAGCTCTCATTTCTTTAAGTTAACTCCTAGGCATTTTATTTTATTTTTAACTTGTAAATGGAATTAATTCCTTGATTTCTTTTTTGGATTGTTTGCTGTTGGCATACAGAAATTGTTTGCTGTTGGCAATAGAAATCTTTTTTGGATTGTTTGCTGTTAGCTACTGATTTTTGTATGTTGATTTTGTATCCTGCAACTTTACTGAATTTATTTGTTCTAATAGTTTTTATGTGTGTGGAGTCTTTAGGTTTTTCCAAATATAAGATCATATCATCTGCAAACAAGGATAATTTGACTTCCTCCTTTCCAAATTGGGTTGGAGCTCCATTGTATGTTATTTGTTTTTGAGGAATCTCCAAACAAATATTGCTGCTTTTAAGATCCTTTCTTTATACTTGACCTTTGGGAGCTTGATTAATAAATGCCTTGTGGTAGTCTTCTTTGGGTTAAATCTGCTTAGTGTTCTATAACTTTCTTGTACTTGGATATTGGTGTCTTCCTCTAGGTTTGGGAAGTTCTCTGTTGAATGAACTTTCTACCCCATCTCTCTCTCTCTCTCCCTCCTCTATAAAGCCAGTAACTCAGATTTGCCCTTTTGAGGCTATTTTTTAGATTCTGTAGCTATGCCTCATTCTTTTTTTTTTCTTTTGTCTCCTCTGACTGTGTGTTTTCAAATAGCCTGTCTTCAAGCTTACTAATTTTTTTATTTTGCTTGATCAATTCTGCTGGTAAGAGACTGACTCATTCTTTATTATGTGAATTGCATTTTTCAAATCCAGGATTCCTGCTTGATTCTTTTTAATTATTTGTCTCGTTGTCAAATTTATCTGATAGGATTCTGAATTCCTTCTTTGTGTTATCTTGAATTTCACTGAGTTTCCTCAAAACAGCTATTTTGAATTCTCTGTCTGAAAGGTCTCATGTCTCTGTCTCACCAGGATTGGTCTCTTGTGTCTTATTTCATTCATTTGGTGAGGTCCTGTTTTTCTGGGTGGTCTTGATGCTTGTGGATTTTTTTTTTTTATGTCTGTGCATTGAAGAGTTAGGTATTTATTGCAGTCTTCACAGTCTGGGCTTGTTTGTACTCATCCTTCTGGGGAAGTCTTTCCAGGTATTTGAAGGGACTTGGCTGTTGTGATCTAACTTTTTAGTTCCTGAAGCCATATCTTCATTAGGGGGCAACCCAAGCCCAGTAAGACCGTGCCTCTTGTAGGCTCATAGAGGTACCACCTTGATGGTCTTGGATAAGATCCAGAAGAATTATCTGGTTTACCAGGAAAAGACTCTTGTTCTCTTCCCTTACTTTCTCCCAAACAAGTGGAGCTTCTGTCTATATACTGAGCTGCCTAGAGCTGGTGGAAGAGTGACACAAGCACTCCTGACCACCATCATTGGGACTGCACTGAGTCAGACCCAAGGCCCTCTGTAATATTGCCTGGCTACTGCCTATGTTTACTCAAAGCCCTGAGGCTCTACAATTAGCAGGTGGTGAAGCCAGCCAATAAGACTTGTGTCCTTCCCTTCGGGGTGGCAAGTTCTCCCTACCCTTGGGTGAGGTGTCCAGAGATGCCATGTGGAAGCCAGGGGCTGGAGTCAGAAACTTTAGGAATCTACCTGGTAATCTATTCTACTGTGGTTGAGCCAGCATCCAAACCACAATACAAAGTCTTTCCCACTTTTCCCTCCCCTTTTCACAAGCAGAGGAGTCTCTCACCATAGCTACTACCACCTCAGGCCTGCGGGAAGTATTGCCTGGCTATGACCAATGTTTACTCAAAGCCCAAGGGCTCTTCAATCAGCTTGTGGTCAATGTTGTTAGGGTTGAGACTCTCATTTCAGGGCACTGGGCTCCCCTCTGGCCCAGGATAGGTTGAGAAATGCCATCTAAGAGCCAAGGCCTGGAATTGGAGACGCTAAGTGCCCACTTGGTGCTCTACCCCACTGTAGTCAAACCAAGCTGGCACCTAAGCTGCAAGACAACATCTCCTTTACTCTTCCGTCTCCTTTTCTGAAGCACAAGGAGTCTCCCCCTATAGCCATCATAGCTGGGAATGTCCTAGGTCACACCTGAGGCCAGCATGTCTCTGAGTCTCACCCAAGGCCCATGGTGAGTACCTTGGGTATTGCTCCTGATTTTTCAGGGCCCAAGGGCTCTTTAGTCAGCAGGTAATGAATTTTGCTAGGACTAATTTCTTCCCTTCAAGGCAGTGGGTTTCCTTCTGGCTCAGGACAAGTCTAGAAATGTTGTCCAGGAGGTAGGGCCTGGAATAGGGGCCTCAGGACTCTACCTGGTGCCCTATCCTACTGTGGCTAAGCTGTTATCCAAGTCACAAGACAAAGTCCTCTTTATTCTCCCCTTACCTCTCCTCAAGCAAAGGGAAGGAGTCTCTCCAAGAGCTGTGGGCTGCGCGGTCTGGGGCTGGGGGAGGGGTAGCACAAGCACTCTCCTGGCTGCCCAAGCTGGCATCTTACTAGGTTGCTTGCCCCCCAAGTCCACTGTCTCCGAGCACAGCACCAGGACTTGCCCAGGAATTGCAATCCTTGTGACCTGGACTGCCTTTGAAGTTTATTTAGAACCCCACAGCACGTTAGCCCACACTGTTGAGGCTTGCTGGCACTCAGGTTCCAGCTACTGAAATGGGCAATTCCTCCTCCGGCTAGGGCTGGTTTGAATGCTCCCTCTATGGGTGCTGGCTGAGTTCTGCCTGGTGTTGCTTTCCACTGTGACAGGGCAGCACTGAGTTCCAATGCAAAGTCCCACAATCACTGTGCTCTCCCTCCCACCCCAAGTACGCAGATTCTGCCTCCATGCCACAGAGTTGCTGCTGGTCTATGGAGGAGGAGTAGCATCAACAATTCAAGACTGTCTTTCCTACCCTCTTCAGGGCCTCTTTCAGTGATATGAAGTTAAAGTGATATAAAGTTAGGGACTGTGATCACTCATCTGATTTTTGGTTTTATGAAGGTTTTTTTGCATGAATAGTTGTTTAATTTGGTGTTCCTGTGGGGAGGATGATCAATGAAGGCTTCTATTTGGCCATCCTGCTCCACCTCTACCCTATTTAGTACTTTAAGTTATTCCCAGTGTATAGATGATGCCACTAAAACTAAAAGAGTTTAATTAATTTGCGCAAGGTCACCCAGCTGGTAAGTGGCAGAACTGAGATTTGAACCCAAGTTTAACTCCTTTTTACTTTTTGCCTTAATACATGATGCTCAGAGTGGCAGCGAATTTATATTCAACTGGTCAGTTTGTCAGATATTTAGGGAATCATATAGAAAGGCTAGATCAGAATAGGCTTCTCCATTGGTTTACTGTCAGTTGCAGACACAACAGTACCACCCTATTTAAACCTTCAGTAGAAAACCATTAGTTCTTAAATAGCTTCTCCAAGCATGCTGTCCAAGCTTTATAGCTTCATTCCGTGGGAGAGACTGGGGGAAGTGTGCTTAATCCATCTTACCTGGAACCAGAACTTATCACCATCAGTTCAAATCCCCTAAAGTACAAGTGGTTCTTTCAGTCAAGATTCTGGCAGGAAATGGTGGCACATTAAAACTGGGTAAAAGGCAGAGAGTATGCTTAAAGGACTTATAAACATGTGTGAGGTATCTACTGAAATCTCAAAGGATACAATCTAGGGGCTAATGACAGTAGGTGTATTTCTCTTCAGAGGACTGAAGGGACAAGGAGACAGGGCAGTTTCCAGAACCTGGAGACGCAGAGGCTGTTGTTTTCAGTTAAGGGATAAAAATAACCAGTGTTGACACCACAGGAGGATAACTACTCTGACCCCCTCACCTCTTTCCTGATCCCCCACTGGCACTTTCAATAGACTGAACTCAACAGAAGCCAGAGTATACTTAGTGCAGGTAAGATTCCCAGGATATGATGCAGACAGAGGGTGGAGGAAAGGACTAGAGAAGCAAGCGGAAGATATTCAGCTGAGTGGTGCCACAATAGGCAAGTGAGAAGACAAAGTTAGTTATAGTTTTTCCTTTGATTCATCCATTTATTTATTTGACTATTATTTGTTGAAGGCATATGTTAGAGTTTATGATTTATACCATGGACCTAGGTTTAGTTTACTAATAAAAGGTTAAAATTACTCCACTGAAATTAATAAAGATAGAGCAACTTCATTTTGCCATTTGATCAGGTTGCCAAGTTTGATTCTCCTAGGAAATAAGCACAAAAATATTGGAACAATTCTTCCAAAAAACTAATGTGCATTTGAATCACCTGGGGATCTTTTCAAAATGCAGATTTTGATTAAGTGGATCTGGAGAGGAGCCTGAGACCCTGCATTTCTAACAAGCTCCAGGTGCTGCCCATGGTTCAGGGATCACACTTTGAGTAGCAAGGTCATAAAAAAACCTCCATTGGTCTCTTTGGTTGACCTTTGTTTCCACTCTACAACCAGCAGTATCATAATAAAATTGTAGTATATGTAATTAGAGATTTACTCACTTTTAAAAAAGATTTCAACTGAAGGGTTTGTGAGCTTTGCCATGCAGGTATGCCATGCCTAATAGTAATCAATAAAGAGTATTTTTCTTAAATGAATCATGGAACTAGTATTTTAAATGGTGTTATGTAGGTGCGCCACAATCCAGTGTCAGCGTCACAATTTCTATATATAGGAGGGTTTAGGGGCAGCAGTCCATTTGAGAGAGGGTTGGGGCTCCTTAAAACTGTATTTTCCCAGCATGCATACTGATTTAATATGGTTTTTACTTACCTGGTAAGCTTAGTTGGAGGGCGTAAGGCCACTTGTCCCTAGTACGTTATTTTTATGAGTGGGTGGGGAGAAAAGTCTTCCTAAATAGCCTCTTGGCACTGCTACTTCCACAATCTAGAGGAAATTGGGCAACAGGTGAATAAAACAAAAGTAAGTTGGGAAATAATCTTTTTTAATTTTAGTACAAGTCATATACCTTACAGAATATTTCAAGGTCAAGCTAACTTGCATTTTTAGTAAAATATATTTCAAACTTTACAATAATAACGTTGCTAGAAAGCAGAACCTAAGAAAAAATAAATTACATTTTAAGTCCACTAATAGAGCTTTTAAAAATCTTATGGTGAAGAGTTTTATAAAATGAATAAATACTTCCTTATATTATATATTCCTGGTAGGAAAATAAATCAAATTTAGGAAACGACTATTCATATACTGGTTTGCTGTACAGGTGGTCCCTGACTTGCAATGTTAAACATGACTTTTCAACTTTACAATGGTGTGAAAGTGAGATGCATGCATTACAAACTTTTCTTAGAATTTGGAATTTTGATCTTTTACCAGCAGCAATATGTACAATACTCTCTCGCGATGCTGTGCAGTGGCAGTAAACCCCAGCTCCCCGTCAGCCGTTGCAATCACAGGGCAAAGAACTGCTATGCTGCAGGGCACTGTGTGGCCAGATGATTTTGCCCCATTGTGGGCCAATGTAAGTGTCCTGAGGACGTTTAATGTAGGCTAGGCTAAGCCATGATGTTTGACAGGTTAGGTATATTAGATGCATTTTTTGACATAGGATATTTTCAACTTACAATGAGTTTATCAGGATGTGACCCCACAGGAACATCTGTATATTGGTTTGCTTTAAAGAAAGGGGCACCATGATTCCTGTAAAACCTTGATGCCTAGGGAATGAGTAGGCTTTTAGTTTTCTGCTGCAGCATGATATAAAATAAAATAAAATAAAATAAAATAAAATAAAATAAAATAAAATAAAATAAAATAAAATAAAATAAAATAAAACTTGCTCAACAGCATAGGGAGCAGGTTAGTCACATCAGGGATTATCGTATTGTGTCCTTCAGCACATCCTCATTTGTGCTGCAATCTCCTTATGTTGCTAGAATGGAGGTGAACTTGTCCATCCAGGCTATCATTAGTTCATTTCACCATAAGGTGGTTTAAGTACTGATAAGAAACCTGTTCATAACCTGAATGTCCACTTAGTCAATGATGAGAGCGTGGAGAACACTCTAGGAAGAACAACAGTGGACTGGGGGTGGTGTCCACCCAGATCCCTTTCCTGTCCTGCCGTTAACTAGTCCTCACTTCACCACTCTGAACCTCAGTTTCCTCACTTGCAAAATGAAAGGGAGAGAGAATAAGATATTTCTTTCAAATGCACCCAAATCTGTGATTCCATGAAAAGATTCGTGAGAAAATAGTCACTCAAATAGCAAATATTTTCTAAACAAACCCGGATTAAACATCTTCAATGGGTTCTTTTCACAGACGGGACATGAAAGCTTTTGGTGTGCACGTCTCATGCATTGAACCAGGATTGTTCAAAACAAACTTGGCAGATCCAGTAAAGGTAATTGAAAAAAAACTCGCCATTTGGGAGCAGCTGTCTCCAGACATCAAACAACAATATGGAGAAGGTTACATTGAAAAAAGTGAGTTTCCGGGCGGTGCCAATGTCCTCTAGAATTCTTTGTCCTGAACAGCATGAAGGAGATTCAAATACAGATGAAATAACAAGGTTCTGAGTAATACCCCAATAAGGATCTTAACCATGGATCAGGGATCTCCTATTAATTTCAGTGTCATCTCTTGCTTCTGTTTATAAACATTTACTGAGCAATTACAAACTGCCAAGTTATCTGCTAAGTGTCTTATGAATTATATTATTTACTCCTCAAAAACTATTAGAGTAATGAGCAGAGGCTTGAGAAAGTGAAATGTCCTGCTCAAGATTACACAACACCTCCTAGTCATGCCTGGACCTGAGCCCAGGAAGGCAAGTCGAGCCACGGTCTTCACCTTTGCCATACCTCCTCTTTTCCTCAAGCACCAGCTGTACACTTGGCATTAAGGATTTATGGTGGTTACAAAAGATGGAAAAGGTTCAGCCTCTGACCTTTAGTTTACAACCTAGTTGACAACAAGAAGTAACCAAGCGAGAATGTAAAACAATGAAATAATGTAGCACACAATAAAATTAATCCTTTACTTCTTAGGTGTAATCTAACAGCCCAGAAATGGTGCTAGATGGTGTGGTTTCTAATTCCCCAGGGAATTTAGACCAGGAAAAGAGCATGGCTGGTTAAGCCCTAATGGGGCAGGTCAGGTTTGAATAAGAGGAAAGGACAGGAAATAATTACTTGGGTGGAAACTTTCTGGAGCAGGAACACATGGAGGAGAAGATGGAAGACACCAGGAGCCTTCCTGGTCAAGAGATTGAGTCAGAGATGGGAGAATAATAATAAAGATGACATAATGACAACTAACAAATAGTAAATATTTACTATGTACTTGTCACCATTCTAAGTGCTTTACAGGGACACTCATTTAAAATCCCCCAAAAAACTCTTATTATCGTCTTCATTTTATAGAAATAGAGGCATAGAGAATAACTTACCAAAATTGTACCACCAGTAAGTGGAAGAGCTAGATTTGGACCCAGGCAGCCTGACCGTGCCATTTATGCTTGGCCATGGCACTATAATGTGAACAAGGCATTAAGGACTTTGGTTACACTCCTGTTATCAGGCTTTCCCCTCCGCCACAAACTTCTTGGGTCGGTTAAAGTTTACTTGATATTCCTCAAGTACTCACTGACCTCCTGCTTTGAGTTGAGCAGGGTTCCACCTAACTATGGGTAGTTCTTTCCCTCCAAACTGTGCTCAGGCCTCTTAATCAGTGGACTTGGTAAGACTGTCAACTGTGGCAAGGTTCATGGTCAGGAGTTTTCAAGGCAGAGCTGAAAGCCAAGTCAGACCCACCTGGAGAGGTTTTTAAAATGACTGACTCCTCCAACCACCATTACCCTAAACACACACACACGCACACACACACACATGCACACACACAGAGGTACACACATTATCTATATATCAACTGAAATGTCTGGTCTTACAAACATCTTAGTGCTGACATGCCACTATAGGTTTAGAGCCACTGCCATCAAATACTCTACTTTTCAGTTCCTGACTCTGAAGGTTCTATGTAGGTTCCATCTAAGATGGAACTTAATACTTCAGAAACAAAACCCCTCATTTAAAAGAGCTTTCTCTGTTTGATATTGATACCGATACTTTTTAAATGCCTTTGAATATATCACTGACTTCCATCTCCAATTATTTTTGGCTTGGTTCCTGGTTCATGTGTTCTGTCTCAGAAATACCAAAAGGCATTGAGCTCAGTTTTACACTGGTTGTTCTCACTAGAGTTTTCAAGTCAGGACTTGGAGATCAGCCAAAGTCACGGTCCCAAAGTAGACCACAAATTGAAGGTCATCTTTTCTTAATTTCCCAAGCTGGGATAGTAGGAGTTTAAAATAGCCACTAAGACTTATTAGGTTCTTTGAACAACTTGTGGCCAGTGGGACTTGAAGTTGAAAGAAAGATCTAACATCATAGACTTTCCCTTGAGAAGACACAGCTCAGGTATGGTTTAAAAGTATGTGAGAATCATATGATAGCTCTACTTTGAATTTGGGGGGGAAATCTCTATGCCATTTTCCATAATGACTGTACTAATTTACATTCTCACAAACAGTATACAAGAGGTTTTCTCCATGCCCTTGTCAATACTTGTTATCTTTTGTCTTTTGATAGTAGCCATTCTAACAAATGTGAGGTGATATCTCATTTTGGTTTTAATTTGCATTTCCCTGATGATTAGTGGTGACAAACATTTTTTTCATATACCTGTTGGCCATTTGTATCTTCTTTTGAGAAAAGTCTGTTCAGATTCTCTTCCCATTTTTAATCAGGTTATTTCTTTTCTTGCTGTTGAGTTTCTTATACATTTTGGATATTAACTGTGCCTAAGATATAAAGTTTGCAAATATTTTTTCCCATTCTGTATGTTTTCTCTTCACTCTTTCAACTGTTTCCTTTGCTGTGCAGAAGCTTTTTAGTTGGATACAGTCCCACTTATCTAGTTTTGCTGTTGTTTAGCTTTGTGTTTTTGGGGTCATATCCAAAGAAATCATTGCCCAGACCAATGTCAAGAAGTATTTCCTTTATGTTTTCTTCTAGTAGTTTTTTTTTTTTTTTAATAGAGATGAGGTCACACTATGGTGCCCAGGATGGTCTTGAACTCCCTGGGATCAAGTGATCTTCCCACCTCAGCCTCCCAAAGTGCTGTAATTACAGGTGTGAGCCACCATGCCAGGCCTCTTTTGGCAGTTTTATAATTTCAGGTCTATGTTTAAGTCTTCAATCCATTTTAAGTTGATTTTTTTATATGGTGTAAGATTCAGTTTCATTCTTCTTCATGTGGATATACTGTTTTCCCAATACCATGTATTGAAAAGACTGGGGTTGTAATCCACCACTAATCCCTTGTAAAATCCCTGCCTCTCTAAAGGTATCTTCGCTCATTATTCAAACATCTCATTTGCATGAGAACTGGGATCCTTTTAGCTTCCTGAGTCAGTACATTTGGGGATGATTCTCTCTTTATTTACAGATTATAGAAGCCTATACAAGTATACAAGTGCACAATTACATCCACACATGCATGCACATACATGCACAAGCACATGTGCAACCCACATTTTCTCTAGACACATAATCCCCTAAAACAAATTAGAAATCAAACATACAACTTTCTAGGCTTAGGGGCCTCATGGGCTTTATGAAGTATCGTTTCCTCATTGCTCTAAAGCACTGAGGGATCAAAGTTTGATCCCTGGACCAGCAGCATCAGCATCATCTGGAAATTTGTTAGAAATGCTCATTCTTGGGCCCCACCTCATACCTCAGTCAGAAACTCTGGAGGTGGAACCGAGAAACCTGGGTTTTAATGAGCTCTCTAGAAGAATCTGCTGCCAACCCAATCTTGAGAGCTGCTGGTCTAAAGAAAGCATTGCAATATCATTTTCTGAGGAATAGATAGTAAATCCTCAAAATGAGCCTCAATTATAATGGACAATTCAGAATAAATCCCCTTGTATCCATCCTCCCCTTTGCACCCTAGACTTCCACTCTGCTTTCCCCTTCTACCAAAGAGTAAATGTACTTTTGTCTCTTTTTAGGTCTAGACAAACTGAAAGGCAATAAATCCTATGTGAACATGGACCTCTCTCCGGTGGTAGAGTGCATGGACCACGCTCTAACAAGTCTCTTCCCTAAGACTCATTATGCCGCTGGAAAAGATGCCAAAATTTTCTGGATACCTCTGTCTCACATGCCAGCAGCTTTGCAAGACTTTTTATTGTTGAAACAGAAAGCAGAGCTGGCTAATCCCAAGGCAGTGTGACTCAGCTAACCACAAATGTCTCCTCCAGGCTATGAAATTGGCCGATTTCAAGAACACATCTCCTTTTCAACCCCATTCCTTATCTGCTCCAACCTGGACTCATTTAGATCGTGCTTATTTGGATTGCAAAAGGGAGTCCCACCATCGCTGGTGGTATCCCAGGGTCCCTGCTCAAGTTTTCTTTGAAAAGGAGGGCTGGAATGGTACATCACATAGGCAAGTCCTGCCCTGTATTTAGGCTTTGCCTGCTTGGTGTGATGTAAGGGAAATTGAAAGACTTGCCCATTCAAAATGATCTTTACCGTGGCCTGCCCCATGCTTATGGTCCCCAGCATTTACAGTAACTTGTGAATGTTAAGTATCATCTCTTATCTAAATATTAAAAGATAAGTCAAACATTTTCATGAGTGGATAGACATGTTCTGTTACCTTGCTGAGGATGACTCTGAAGGACCAAAGCTCAGTTCTGATAAGCTTTGAAAAGGACAGGAAAAGGGAGGGTGATCAAGCATTGTGTGACACGGGTATAAGCTAAAGGCAGCAGTAAAACACTAGATAGAACTGCAAACAGAAGGAAAGAAAAAGATAGGAAAAGGAATAAGAGGACTGCAACAAAAGAATATATACCTAAATATATATATATGAAGAGAGACTCCCCAACACTCAGACAAGCCTTCCTAGAGGGAGCTATGGAGGTGAACATCCTATTCAAGCCCCTAAGAACATTGATGCACACAGTTTTCTGGTGGAAAGATGTAATGACATAGTAACTAATCATTCCAAAAGAAGAATAATGTTACATTTGGTTGGTTTATTCTGATGATTGTAAAAGTAACAAGACCCAGACCATGTGGCACAACTTACACCTGAGATGGCTGGAAATCTTGCATTTGAAGGGTCTTTGAAGCCCCATGAAGATATAGAGCTAAATAAAAAGGCTCTCTTTAGTCTACAGTTACAGTGGGATTAGATCTGCATCTTGCTTATATTCATGTTTCTAAATTGAATAGACCCTGGGCCCACACCCCATCCAAAAGAAAGAGTTCCCTAAACAGACGTTTCCCGATTCCAATAGCCAATACTGCTCGCAAAGGTTTGTAGACTATTTACAAGAAGAAGCCTGCAGTGGCAGAATGCAACATGTTTTGCTTAATAATATGGTGTAAACAGCCAGAGAGATTAGCTAATGCACATGTGCAAGTGTGCACGTGCACACACACACAGAGGCATATACACACATGCTTAACATATTGCAAAGAAAGTCTGCCTGTAATCCCAGCAGGTCAAGGCAGAAGGATCGCTTGAGCCCAGGAGTTCAAAACCAGCTTGGGCAATATAGTGAAATCTTGTCTCTACAAAAACTAAAGAGTTAGCTTGGCATGGTAGTGTACATCTGTAGTCCCAGCTACTTGGGAGACTGAGGCAGAGGATCACTTGAGCCAGGAGGTTGAGGCTGCATTGAGCTGTGATCATGCCACTGCACTCCAGCCTGGAAGACGGAGCAAGACCTTGTCTCAAAAAAAGAAAAGAAAAGAAAAGAAAAAATATTTAATATCTGCTGCTTGAAACCATGTCCGTTTGAAGGTATTAGTAATTCTATTCATTTTTAATCACCTTTCCAGAAATATCTGCTTATGAGGTAATTTTCTCCTTTCAAGTTTACAACATATTGGTGAGTGAAAAATCAAATTACAAATGGTGTCAATCCACTTAGATATACATTTCATAATTTTGAAGAAGGATATACTCATCATTTTTGCATCAAAATGAAAAAAAAATCACAGCAAGAATGAGATGGAAGAATTCTCGGGCAAAGTTAACTAACCTGCCTGCCTGTGAGGTCATCCCCATCTTGGACCTAGCCCCAGAGACAGCTCACTTGTAGATCTCTGGTTTCTTCTTGTTGCAGTTAACCACCCCATAGTCTGTTCTTGGAGGTAAAGTTCACCAATGTTGTCTGCTGGGGCCCCTCCTCACCTTGAATTCACATCTTGGCTTCATTTCACTGCTTTAGAATTCTTGACAAGCTGCTCCCTGACTTTCCAGACCTCCCAGGGCTACCAAGATGTTTAGACTCTGAAGGAACTTTCTTTGCCAAGCTTCTAACCATTTCAGTCATATTCTTGGGCCTACCTGATTGTGTTCTTTCTTTTGTTTTGCCTAGACCTGAGTTCTTTGTTCTTTCCTTCCAGTAGCTACAATTTGGTAACTCCCTGTTTCATCCAACTAAAAAATTCTCTCCTTAAAACAAATGTCACCAGGTGTGATATTACTCCAAAATAATACCAAATATATTCACCTAAGCAATTTTTAAAGGTTTTTAAAATACATGAGAAGGTGGGGTGTTGGGGGCATAGAGGCATAAGTCTCTACAGAGGCACAAGATGTGTGGTAGGGAGAAAGGGGGGACGAGGATATCAGACAGTCACTATATCAGGCATCTTGGGCATGGGTTCCTAGACTTCTCTCTGTCTTACCATAATCACTTCTAATTCTCTGTTCTTTTGGGGAAAATACCTATCAAATTTTTATCTGTAAATATTTGAAGAGACATATTTTGACTACGATGGACATTCTTCTAAGTATTGGCCTATAATAAGGAACATGATGGATGTGAGGCCTTCCTTCCTAGAGCCTTTTGGAAATAATCCAAATCTAAGGCCAATACTCAGGAAGCCTTAGAGGACCTTCTCCAGGAATGCACGGCCAAGATGAACGGAGATGTTGTCCTCCACCACATCTAGCTTGAAGGATTCTTCCTCACTTAGTTTAGAGAGACCAAGAGAACCTCCCAAACCCTCCCTCTGACCTGATCCAAAAATCCAAGTGTGTCCTTCATCTGGGCATCCACAATATATTCAAATCTGGAGTTTTTATCTTCCCTGCCCCACAGATGTTTTCCCAGTCCAGCACCAACTACTGTCAATTTAATCTCCATAGGGATCTGGAGTCTGTCTACCTTTCTTCATCTCCAGTGCAATCACCTGTTCAAGCTACCCTCATCTCTTGTTTCTACCACAGCATATCCACCTTGTGCACCATCATTGATTTCTCTTCATTGTAGTCAGAATTGTTCATAATTAACATCTAATCATTCTACTCCTTCTGTCGTTGCTTTCTTAAAATCTTTTCAAAGTGTTCCTGTTGCACTTTGGCTGAAGACTAAAATGATTATGTGAACCCTGCTGCCACCATACTCCTCATTAGCCTCATTTTATAGCACTGTTCTCTTCACTTGGCCACCTCTGCAGCTTTCCCATGCCTCTCTCTGGAAAGTTCCATCTTACCTGGTTTTCTAGTTTCTTTGTCCTACAGATCTCAACCACGTTCTCAGGGAAGCCTGCACAATTTCAAATTCTGACCACCACCTCTTTATCCAGTTAGGTTCCCATCTTGTACACTCTCACTGTGCCCTGTAATTTTCTTCAGGAATCTCATCACAGTCTGTAATTGTATATGCATATGGTTAGTTAATATAGGTCTCCTGTATCATATCATAAGCTCCATAAAATCATGAATAATGATGCTTTGCTTATCTTTGTATCTCCTTACCTAGGACATCGCTGGCACACAGATCAATGTTCAATACATGTTTGTTGAATGAACACAAAAATTAGTCTATATTAGCCTTTCTAACTAAGGGTCAATTTATTACTCAAGATCAAGCTGGTCGGGTGCAGTGGCTCAGGCCTGTAATCCCAATATTTTGGGGGGGCCAACGCGGGAGAATCAGTTCCAGAGCAGCCTGGACAACACAGGGAGGCCCCATCTCTACAAAAACAAATTAAAAATATAAAAATTAGCTGAGCATGCTGGCATGTGCCTGTAGTCCTAGCTACAGTCTGAGGCAAGAGGGTATCTTGAGCCCAGGAGACTGAGGCTGCAGTGAGCTATGATTGCACCACTATAGTCCAGCCTGGGCAACAGAGCAAAACTCTGTCCCTAAAACATGAAAAATAATACGTTTTTTCAAAAAGATCAAGCTTGCTGATCCCAATAGTTGTGCTGTCAGTGTGCCAGTTCAGTCAAAGTCTTATAACTTCCTTGAGCATTTCAGGTCTTCCTGAAGGCTCCCCAGCTCTGGCTCTGCTCTCAGCCAGATACTGAGCAGTGTTACTGTAGTGATTTCCCACCACCTATTGCAAAGGAGGCTGCCTCCATGCCAAGCCATCCTGGGCCCAGTAGGCACAGAACTAAAAGAGCACCAGGGATCATTGAGTCTATTTCTCTGCTTACAGGCAGGACATGTCTAAGCCATCCAGCCTGAAGAGAATCTCTTCTAGTTAGAATCTCTCCAGAAACTCTATAACTTCTGTTATCTTAGGGTAGACCAATACTTAATGACCAATATTTCACCCTGACCAATAGTTAATGAGAAAAATTTCCAGGAAACTTCTTTAAAAAATGATCAATTTTGGCTCTTCTGCACACTATTAATCCCAGTAGTTTTCAAGAACACAAGACATCACAGTCCCATCAATGTGGAGGAAAAGCTAAACATTCTCAAAATGAAAAACATTTTTTATATTTATGACAACTCAATCTAAGCCATAGTTTATAAGGACAAAGCTGACCAAGAGTTTTGTGAGTCTTTGCAAGGTGAAAAATAAGATAATTTGATATTCCTAATGCTAACATTCTTCCTCAACTCTGCAATTCATTTTTCAAAAAGAAAATATAATTTCCATCCTAGTAGATGAGGTACTAATACAGCCAGAGCTTTAGTACAGATTCTGGTTTAGTAGTATTTCCAAGCATCTTTCTTTTTTTTTCTTCTATTTTCTTTTTTGCATATAACACCTGCTCAAGCAGGAACCAGATCACAGTTCTTGCCTGATTAGTCCCTAGAAATAGCAATCCAGCCTAAAATAGTTCAGGCGAGAGCAACAGAGCATTCTCTCATTCTACAACTAGCAACTCTCCTGAACTGCTCCATTTTACTTCCTTTTGAGAAACTGGAAACAGAAAGTATTCTGCTATGAATACATAGTTTAAGTTCTGGGCAAAAACCATCTATCCCCGTATGTAGATAAAATATTTACTTACTGTGTTCTGGGTCTGTTTTCTCCTAGGTATGGCAACCGTAACTTGAGTATAATGCCACCCAATTAATGTTGATGCCTGAATTATGAACCAGGTAATCCAAACAACCTGACTTGCCATGGGCATAATAGGAGAAATAGTCATAATGATTGCTTAATACTTAAGTATAGGTCAGATTTTAAATACACTTTACTGTCTATTACATGAATGATTTCACGTAACCCTAATCATATCTCACTTACGTGTGTTTTTTAGAGATGGAGAAGTGAAATCACAGAGAGACAAGCAACTTCCTAAGGTTACACTGCTAGTGAGTGTGGGCCAGGGTTCAAGCCCAGGCAGCTTGATGTTGGAGCCGATGCTCAGAACCACCATGCTGTATTATTAAAAAGGATTTGAGGCCAGGCGCGGTGGCTCATGCCTGTAATCCCAGCACTTTGGGAAGCCAAGGTGGGTGGATCACCTGAGGTCAGGAGTTTGAGACCAGCCTGGCCAACATGGCAAAACTCTGTCTTTATTAAAAGTACAAAAATTAGCCAGGCGTGGTGACGGGTGCCTAAAAAAAGAATTTGAGTCTTAGACAGTATTTCCCTAAACTTTGATTCTGGTTCAACAAAAAACAAGACTGTTATTAAATTAATCTAGCATTAGTCTTACCTGGCCAATAACCAATTATGCATAAGAGTGATGCATAATTTTGAGCAATATACAAAGATATACCCCTTTTAGTTTTCCTGTATTCTATTTTCAAAATTTTCTCACTCATGATGACATAATAAAGGCACTTAAACATCATTCCCTAGATCCTTAAAGTTTTCTAACTAGATTTCTGGATTTTCTTTCTTTTTTTCTCTTTTTCAATCTTCTTTCTTCTTTTGTTGTTATGGATTTTGTCCATTTGTTGTTGTTAGTTGTTTCAGGAATTTATTTGCAATCACTTTTTGCTAATTTCAATAAAGGCCTTAGATCAACTGTTCTGACCCAAGATCAACACTACACATCTTCCAGCTTTTAAGATGAGACAAAAGAAAAAGAACAGAAGTCTGGGGTCCCACACATACTATGTTTCCAGATGACTGTATTTTTTTCAACAAATAGTGGGACAAACTATGCTGGTCCTTGTGGCTAGGGCCAGTCCTGGGAACACTAATGAGAGAAATGAGGGGACCTTAGCTGGAATGAGGTCAGGGCCTCCTGGCACTACCACACTGCAATCTCAAAAAAAAAAAAAAAAAAAAACAGTAAGTGGCTGGACTTTCTCATTTGGCTGGAAGAGGTCATATAGCTCATAATCTGTCTCACAGAGACACTTCCACTAAGAACATTCCCAAGATGACAAGTTTCTGCTCCAATACCACTAAAGAATGGACGGTCACCATCTTCCAATTTACCCTGTTGATTAGCTTTAGTTACTAGAACATTCTTTATAATTTTTCACCCAAAATTTCTCAGTGTGGATGAGGGGAGAAATGGCTATTGTTTCTGCTGCCATCATGATGATAATGGTTCACATTCACTGAGCCTTTAAAATGAGCCAGAATCTACCCAGAACACTATCTATGCACTTTCTCATGAAGTCTTTACAACTTTTGCACAACAGGTGCATTTATTGTCCCATTTTACAAATGAGGATTCTAAAATTCAAGATTCTTTCATCTCTAGTAATCTAAGATTCCTAAATGCCCACTTGATAAAATGCTCATTCCCAAAAATAAATATACAAGAAAAGCATAATTAGACAATGGATTTTAAAAGCCAAAATTCTTCATTAAAGTTCTTTCTGAACTCTGGAGCCACTGTAAATGAGAAACTCTAAAGCTCTGGGTGCTGAAAGCAGAAGTCAAGCCTCCTGGCCAGTCATCCCCAAGCACTTTCCCCATGCCTTCAGACCTTGAGAGAAATGATGGACAGTGTGTGCAGGCTCTTTCCACGTTCCTTCCACTCGCTCCAACCCCTGCTGCAAACACCCTTTTAAGAAATTAGACTTTTTTTCGTGAACAGAAATACATGCAGTTACCTTCATGCTTTACAAATGTCAATGCTCATTCTGAATGAAATAAACAAAAGTGTTCTGGTCAGAAAACCCTCCAAGCGCCCAAATGTTCTTTGGACCCCCTCCCAATTGGCCATTCTTTCACCTCCAAGGTGGAATGGAATCTGATCTGAGTCCTGTCCCTGCAAGGAGCATTTTTATCACTGACTTAGATGAAAACAAAGGCAGGTTTTGTTAACTCACCAGGGAAATACATGAGAAGACAGAATCTGGGTCTAAAATGCTGCTATGAGTTCTAACCATGGACTAACAGGATGAAATGGTACAGGGAAAGGTGCAAGGCTCTGTTTTGCTTCCAAAAAAGCAAACATGGGATTCAAAGCCACACTGTGAAAATAATTGAGGTATTTTATGCAAAAATCAGTTCCAAATGAATCAATGATGTAATATGACAGTGTGACTTAACTACTCCCCGCTTACCTCCAAAAGGAAAAAAAGGAAATCATGCTCTGATCTCATCCTAAATTTTAAATTTACAACATATAGAGTAAGGTTGGTAATGGTTATGTCTCCTCCCAGCTGCTCAGGGCTCTGGTAAAACTTGCCTTCACTGTTGGGAACTCTACACTTATAGAGCAACAGACACTTTGGAGTGGGCGGCAGGAGAGCAGATTATCTGAAGTCCAGGTTAGCAGAAGGCGCTGGGCTTGTTTGCTTGGAAGAGACTGAGGGAAGACAGTACGGCCCACTTAAAGGGGCCTCCCTGAGAACAGGAATTAAACTCATATCAGAGGGCACAGAGTGGCAGAGCCAGAGTCATGGGTGGAAGTTACACAGAGTTCAAGTTCAGCACCATAGAGGGGATTTTTGTACCACTAGGAGTTGGATCAAAGGGCAGCTGCCATTGGCAGGCAAGCACAGGAAGGACCACCCTTGGAATGGGGATGCCGGAGAAGGGAGTCAAGCAATATGGGGTTGCATTTGCTGACTTGGATGACATTTGAGGATTCTATGGCTGGACAGGGTCTTTCTTCAAATATGGTACATACCAGCATAAAGAGACCTAACCTTTCTAATCACTAAAACCGTGGGATGTAACAAGCCAAATATCTCTTGCTTCAGTTTTCATGAGGCCTGGAATTTCATTTCTTCAAGACTTGAAAGAAGCGCCTTAGCTTCTGATGAGGAGAAAGGAGGCAGCTGCTGAAAGGAGAGGGAATACACATCAAGATCAACTAAAGCTAAATTTCAGATCTTGCCCAGAAGCAGCCCCGAGGATTAGCACAGCGAAAAGGAGGCTGGAAGGATTCTTGGGGCAACCTGCAACCTGGGCATCCATAGCTAGTTTAATTGTGTGGGGGTGCAGTTGTCAGAAACATGTGCTCACTTCTTAAAACAGGTGTTATTAATGGATCCAGTATAAATTGAACAACAAAACTAGGAAAGAATATACAGTGAAATCTTAGTCTTCCTCTTCCCAGGCCTCTGGTCCCTAGCTAGGACTTTCTCCTGTGTCATTGCTGAGATGCATATATATAGACAATGTATAGATAACCTTTTCACATACTTTTTACACAAACGGTAGCATAGCTAGACTCCACATTTTCTCTACCTTGCTCTAAAACGTTCAAATTTTAATGAACAAAAGACTAGGAATCCTAAAAATAATGTTCACAGTCATCATTTTCAAATCTGGCCCTCCTTAGGCAATAGATGGCTATGATTCCATCAGTTTTACTTCTTCAGTGCCTGACTTAACCAACATATTGTCAACGAAGTAACAAATACAGACAGGCTCTCTAAAAGAAAATGATGTTTATTTGGGAGTAGGGCATTGCAACGGGAATGCAGGTGCCATAGTAAACTATGTGTGCATTCAGGGAGGTAAAAAAAAAAAAAAAAAGACAAGGAGTTTTAAAGGAAAAAATGAGAAGGATACATAATTATTTTGAAATGATTACCTTTGGCTACAAAGATCAATAACAAGGGTGATCAATAACAAGGTCTGCCAGTCTGAGGTTGGGCAGACAGTTCCTGGGAAGATGTCTTTGCAGAAGTATTTTTTGTGTAAGGTTGTGATGGCCTTTGTGCAAGGTTGTGGTTGTTGCAGTCTTTTATGTTAGACTTTTTTAAAATCAGGCATGCAAACATGAGAACTCTCTCTTCACAGCCTTCATAGCTCTATTTGTGAGGGTTTTTTTTTTTTTTTAACACAAGTGACTCCATTTTGGTTGTGACAACTTCACAACATGAAGTCATTCAATATCGATGCTGTTATTCCTTCATTAAATACATCTTGAAGTTAATATTCCCTATGCTCTTGTTTCCTCTCTAATTTATTGCAGCAATTATATTTACCCTGGATAAAATAAGAAAAAAGATAATTGTATTGACTGTAAGCAATTCTTATGAGTGTAATGCCATTTATCAACAATAGCATTTATAAGTGGAATCACCAATCCATTAATAAATCATTCTGAAGGTAAGTTACTCCTCTAAGTAAAGTTAATTAATTATTTCAGGCAACTATTTAGAAAATATGACCTTCCCTTTGCTGATCTAATTCCTGAAGAGTGTTTGATTTACTAAGAGTCAGTTCCATGATACCAGCAGTCAAGGCTTCTAAAAGTAAGACATTGATTGAAACTTTCCCTTTATTTATTTCTTAAACCTGTTCTGTTTTTTAAATGAGTACCAGAGATCCACTTACTTGACTATTTGCAAAAAGTAGCAAATGAGGCATTAACAAAGTTGCCCTGTCTGATTCTAAAACCTAAACCTCTTTGACAGTTCGCTGTTAAGTAAACCACTTCCCTGCTGTGAGGAAATGGAGTCATCACACTCATTATTACCTTGAAATGACAGGGGAGCTGTTATGGGTTGAAATATATCACCCCAGCAAAAAATATATGTTGGAGTCCTAACCCCTACTACCTCAGAATGTGACCTTATTTGGAGACAGCCTCTTTACAGAGGTAATCAAGTTAAAATGAGGTCATTAGTGTGGACCCTAATCCAATATGACATATGCCCTTATAAAAAGGAAAATTTGGACACAGACACATAGGGGGAAGATAACATGAAGAGACGCATGAGAAGATAGCCATCTGCAAGCCAAGGACAGAGGCCTGGAACAGATCCTTCCCTCACAGCCCTCAAAGGAACCAACCTGCCAACACCTTGATTTCTGAATTTTAGCTTCCAGGAGTGTGAGACAACATTTTTCTGTTGTTTAAGCCCCACACTCTGTGATCCTTCATTATGGAGCCATGCGATGATGGGGCTATGGCATTGGCTTGGCAGCATGATGGAGTGAAACACTCCTCAGGAGTTCATCTAGCCCATCTTCTTGCCTCTGAGCATCTTTCCTGGATGAGTACTTTAAAAAAATGGTGAGAAATCTGTCTAGAAGTGCCTCATAGGTGGTCAAGAACAGAGACTCTTGGATCGAGCTCCTGGGGTCAAAACCCATCTTTGCCCTTAGCATTGGCTTGACCATTGGCATATTACTTAATTTCTCTTAGTTTTCTCATCTGTATAATGGGGGTGGGTGTACCTTGGACAGTTACAAGAATTAAACAAGTAAATGCATGTCAAATACAGCATAGTGCTTTTAATGTATTGTAGCTATGAGTATTATTCATTTTGTTGGCACTTTTTCAAATTAGCTTAGGTTCATGGCAGAACCTAGCTATAAGTTGGCCCGCACCTTGATCTGTTATTTGAATGGATTGGCCAAGGTCGAAGACAAGGACAAGAGCAACACTCTGACTTTTGTTCTTCCCTATTGTATAAGTTAGGTGTAACGAGAAGAGATCCTCAGCAGAACACTCAGAATGATGAGAGGAGATCTGAGACCTGTGGGGAAAACAACCACAACAAACATCCATTCATCACCATTTTCTCAGCACCATTGTGGGGAGTCCTACCCATGGCTACAGAGGAATGGCCCAAGATGGAAGCCTGGCCTGGCAATGCCTTCAGTTACCAGAAGGATGTTACTATACATAGTGGCAAAGTTGCAAGGCCCTTCAGGTCGCCAACACTCCTCCTAATTTCAAAGAAATTACCAGCAGGTAATTTCAAAGAAAAGGGAATAGAGGCCCTGAAAGGTGAGGAGACTTAAATAATACTATGTCAGATTCAGGACAGAGCAAGAGTTGGATACGAAGAAATGGGCTTCCTCTATTGCGGGAAAGATAAGAGAGTTCAGTTACACAGCAGGAAATCTGACCCCAGAGACTGACCAGAATAGAGAACTAAGGGCATGACACCCTCAGCCCTGTAAAGTTGTAGAAATAAGATGATAATGATGATGATAATGGTTATTACCAAATGTTGAGCAACTGTTCAATAACAGCACTAATTGTGTGTTCATTGGCTAATTGTTAATTAAACTGTGTTAACTGTTTTGCATGCGTGGTTACCTCATTTAATCTTTCTACAACAACCTTGCAAGACTATGAAGAGGAGCAGAGCTCAGATAGGGTATGAAACTTATCCAGAATCTCAGAGCTTAAGGGATAGCAGTTGGGACCACCAACCTCTACTTCAGACAGCCTCCTGCAGGCAGCAACCAGCAACAGATGCCGCTAAGGGCCCTTCTGGCTCTGTGGTTGTATGTTTTTAGAATATCTAAGTCACAGCCATGAGAAGTTTTATCTTTTATCAGTGAAGTCAATTCACTTGGTCATATAGAGTTTTGAACTATGAAAACTATTATTATAAAAAATAATTACCACAATCACTTTGGAGAAAGAACAAGTTCTCATACCAAATCTTTGATGAATTTGCGTCTGATGTTTTCTGTTTTTTTATTTTCTAGAGACAGGTTCTTGCTATGTTGCTTAGGCTGGTCTCTAACTCCTAGGCTCAAGTAATCCTGCCACCTCAGTTTGCAGGCAGCTGGGACTATAGGTATGCACCATCCCCGGCTTGCATCTGGCATTGATTGTTTCTGTGTTACCATAAACTTGCAGAAATACTTGCTTTTCCGCAAGGTAATGATAGCAGCACTTTCCCTTGCACTTTTCTAGCACAGTGTAATGAAATGCAATAGAAACCACAGGAAATACTGTGGTCAGGTTTTGAACCTGAGCTATCACCCTCAACCTGAACACTGTGACAAAGGTACTGTGAATTTTTTTTTAAAAGGGAGGTGACATAGTGAGGAGGTCCTGGTCCTTTTTTAGTGTCAAATCAGCCTGGGCATGATGAGAAACACCATTGGAGGAAGACTGAGGTACCTGACTCATGGCTGTTGGTTACCAATGCCTCCACTTAAACCCAAACTAAGAAAAAAACAGGGGGACCCCACCTAGGAGGCCCTCTCAGCTCCCAGAAGCAGTCTGATGGAGAAGGGATGTGATAGGAGGCCTGCCCTTGTGAGAACTGACATATTTCCTACACTTAGCATTTTATTTGGCTCCAAGTTAGGTGACAAGCAGATCCTAAGTGCCTTCTGTTTTCAAAGCCAAGTAGAGATTGCATAACATCTCTATATCTTATCCCTAGATGGTTAAAGTACCGATTGCTCTCTCATTTCAGCAGGAAGTGAAGTAAGACCACCTACATTTCTGTAAATTGCCAAGGAAGCTTGCAAAAGGTACAGTATGTACCCAAAATAAGTTCATACAGAAAGAAAGTGTGAATGAATAACAGCAGAAAGATATATCCTTTGTTGGATACATTTTATGTAGATATGTGCTATATGCATCATCTAATATAATCTTCTCAACGACCTTATGTGGTAAGTGCCACAATGATGCCTCATTTTACAGATGGAAAAAATAGAGATGTGAGAGAGGTAAGTGTTGTGCCCAAAGACACACAGATGCATATGTACACAGGGGACTAAACTGGGACTCAGCTGTCTGCCTTGTCAGACACTTGTGGGCCTCTCCATCAACCTGTCTCTTCCCACACACAAAGCGACTTTTCAAAATGACCTATTCACATGTTCTAATTCACTTCCCTTTCTTGTAAGCATTTAAGCCTGCAGCAAAAGCAGCTGTCTGTCAACTATTTTCTTTTTTTGGGTAAGCCCACATTTACCTGTGCTACCTATGTTACCAAGAATCCCTCTTTTCTCCTTCCATAGTAAAAATAGAAGACAGAAGAGTATTTTCTAATTAATCCCAACTCTTCTGCAATAGAAAAGTGGCCCCAAAGAAGTTGAAAGGAAAAGAAAATTGAAAGCTAAAAGGTTTTGAGATTTGTTAGGAAAACATTTTGACATTACACTGGAGTGGGTCACTGCGAAAACTGATCCACGACTTTTAGTGAAGCTAGAAGCAAGACATGGCTTGTCCTGGTCTGGAGGTTCTGTGCCAGCCATCCCAGGGAAGGTAGACCCCTATTAGTGAGTCACCTCACTCGGCCCGATTGGCAGCCCAGGCTCCAAGGCTACAGCCTAACAGTTTCTCGTAATTGTCAAAGAGCAAATGGCCACATCTAAGCTGGAAATGGTTGCATGAGCTATTTTAGGGTAAACCTTAAGATTTACTTTGAAAAATCCATTAAAACATCCAAAAACACACCAAAAAAAATCCTCTCTATATTTTTATAGACAGACATGGCATATTCATGAACACAGCCCATGGAAGCAGTTTCAGATTTCGGATGAGAGACAGCCAACAGGCAGAGGGGTCTAACGTTTGCTGAGAGTGGCAGGCACTTCACAGATGCTGTCTTTACTCTCACAGGATTCTCCTTATCACCCTGAAATAACACTTATTCCTGCCACCATTTTGAAATTATCGCCATCAATAAGGTTAAGTGCTTAGTGCAGGGTCACGCTACTGGTTAATGGCTAAGTTAGGAGTTGAACCCTAGTCTCTTTAACTCCCAAATCCAACCTCTTTCCACTGCGTGAACTTGGTCTCCTCTGAATATTCGGTGGGTAAAGAAGTCCTGGACACAGATCACTCTCCCTCCCAGTGGTTGTGGTCTGGATGCAGCTTCCAGGGGACTGGACAAGCTGCTTCCTGAGCGGGCTCCCCCTCCCCACTTCCATCCCTCCCCGCAACACCCTGGCCCAGGGAATGAGTGAAAATCAGTTGAGATTCCTCTCCTTATTCCCGCACCTGGGCTCAATTTTTTGCCAGGATTAGAGCACGCAAGCTCAGTGCTCTCAATTGGACACTAGGGGGCGCCCTATGCCCACAAAATACCTGGGATCCCAGTAAGCGTCCCGCAGCCCCTGTTTGGTCATATTGGAAAGGAACAAGTCCGTCCTCTAAGAAGTTTCACTTAAATGGACCAAAATCTACCATGGTTTGAAAGAAACCTGGTTAAATTACTGGGATTATCTAGTAGGCAAGCTGTTTTGGACAACCTAAAGCCAACATACTCCTAGTTCAGTAGTGCTATGACAATACTGAACATATAAAAGGACAGGTCCCCACTCCACTGTCTGATGGAAAACCGCCATCCTCGCAGCCCAGCCATTGCTAAGGTCTAGGATAACCCGGAGTAACCAGAACACAGTCGATCAATGATAAACGTAATAAAAAGCCAATTGATCAAAAATACTCCAAGGTATACAAGAAAAATAGCCCCCATATCCAAAGCGCTGCCCATCTCCCGCGCCTCAGTTCGCTGCATTTGTTCACCTTTGTGGAGAGGGAACAGGCATGGGTGAAGTTGGCCACTTGGAGAAGCTGTTGTTTGTTGCACCCAGGAAGCCCAGAGAGCAGCAGAAAGAAGGAGCCGTGTGCTGTCATTTGGTGAAGCCTAGGGCAGAGGCCCCAGGTGCCCGCCTCTGCGCTGAGGCCTTTCAAAGCTGTGCTCTTGGCAACAGCCTTTGAAATAACTGGGTGCTGGCAACACAGGCTTGGCATTAATATGCAAATAAGAATACTTCAGGCTCCCACTTCATGCTTTTGGATCGTTTTAAAAATCCAGCCACTTACCATGACTAACATAAAATAAAGGGGAAAAAAAAAGTGGTACGACCTTCGCTTGGTTTCTCCCACCGACCTCCTTGTGCTGGAGCCAAGCACTTTTCAAACCAGAGAGAGATAGGGCTGGGGTCTCAACTAGAAGCAGGGACCGCTTAGGGCTAAGGATATTTTCACCTCCCCTTTCTAACAAAAGCTTTGGGATGAATAATAGGCACCACTCAGCTCCATCAATCAACCTCAGTTGCTCTATTTTCATTGCTACCGAGATGTATAAAAAGCTAAAGTTTGCTACAAAGCCCCCATCGAGGCCTTCAGGAAATCCCGGGGAAGCTTACTGCGGGGATGGCTGTGAGCTTGCCAGGCGGCGATTGTGCACATCGTTTCCTTACAGCCTCCTTCCTGCCGCTCTGCCTTCCGTGCCTCTTCCTTTGTTTGGCTGCTCGCCTGAGATGGGCCTGCAAGGAGACGCCCCAGAGGCAAGCACGTCTCTATAATAAGATGTGACGCGAGTTTGGGGAATTTGCTGGCTATACATCATTATAAAAACGAATTCTACATCATTATCCGTTGCTTTTCTGAGACAGGAACGTGAGCGGTAAGGCTCTCCTGTCCCTAGCGCTCTGAGAACAAGGGCAAGCACAGAGCAGGTGTTGACTAGCCAACCTGCCAGTGGCACTAGCAAAGTGCCCTGCCAGTGGGAGAGGGACAATCTCAATACAACCTGAATCAGCTGTCAAACTAAGCCTACTACAAACAGCTGAATGGGGAAGAAACAAACAACACTTGTTGAAGTCCTTAGAAGATGAATTACATCTGTTTCAAAATTCCTGGCACCCTCTAAGAGGAATCAGAGTTCATGGGCATTTCTTTGCCTTGGTATCCTCAGAGAGCAGGGGACTTCGAGCTTTTGCTGTAGGGATAGTGCCATGAGATGAAGAGCTGGAAACAGGGGAGAGACTATGTTTTAACTGATAGCACGGAACCAGGAAGAGGTAGCCTTGCATCAAATGGAATGGGATGACAATACTAACATGGATAAAAAAGAAACCCTCCCAGGTTCCACCTCTGCATGCTGGTAAACAATGACCTCCATGTCCCCAATCCACACTCACTCACCTGCACTCTCCATCTCCCAGCCCTTTACTCTCCTGCTCTGACCTCTGGCCTTTCCCTTCATATAAGACACAAACATGCACCTGCTGCTTCTGTGGACACTACCCCTTGATGGGGTTCAGGACATGCTACATCATGTCCATATGGCATCTTATGAGCACAGGGGTTCACACCTATAATCCCAGCACTTTGGGAGGCCAAGGTGGGAGGATCACGTGAGCCCCAGAATTTGAGACTAGCCTCGGCAACACAGTGAGACCCAGTTTCTAGAAAAAAATTTAAAAATTGGCCAGGAATGAGGGCTTGCACCTATAGTCCCAGCTACTTGAGAGGCTGAGGCAAGAGGATCCCTTGAGCCCAGGACTATGAGGCTGCAGTGAGTTATGATCATACTACTGCACTCCAGCGTGGGTGGCAGAGTGAGATTCTGTCTCTAAAAATAAATAAATGGCATCTTAGCATTTGAAAAACAACAGAAGCAAGAAGGTCACTTTCACCTCCCTGCCCCCCAGTCTCTGGAAACCTGTTATAAAACCTAGGAAGGATTTCCTGATCTCCCTCTGAAGCAGGTCATAAGACCTTCATTTGAGAGTTACCTTCCCTACACTCAGAGAAGAGTTACCAAGGACCCAGAGATGCCAAGAAGAATCTGAACAAACAGGCCTTGCTAAGCTTCCCTGGTTTATTACCATTAGATCTTATCTATTTGTTCTCCAATTATCCTTCTCCTTGGATAATCCTTCTCCACTTTCCATCAAACCTAACCATAAAAATACATGTTTCCTTGTTTCTTTGGGCCTTCATTTCTGACAGCTCCCATGTCACATAACACTTGCATTAAATAAATGTACATGCCTTTCTCTCTTGTTAACCTGCCTTTGTTATAGGGCCCTCAGTCATGAGCCTAGAGATGGGTGAGAAAAACGTTTTTCCACCCCTGCGTTCTACACAGAAACCTTCTCCAAAGGGTCAACACCTTTTAACACTTTTTGGATTTTATCTTTCCTTATTGAGATGGGGACGGATAGTAGGAGTCACATTTTTTAGGAGGGAAAAGGGAGGCCCAGGGACCAAAGGTGACCTTCCCAGGAACAATACCAGAGCAACATTGGAGCAGCAAGGTCTTCAGCCCCACGGGCTGAGGCTGTTTCCTGATTGAGCAGATGCGCCTGTGGGTTAACTACCCTTGGCCTTTGTCCTTTCTCCCCGCTCTTGCAGATGAGCTGAGTCATCTCGGTGCCTCGGCTCCTTCACTGGACAGGTACTACAACCTCAGGGAAGTAGTGTTATCAGCATCCCATTTTATAGAGGAAGGAACTGATGCATAAAACAGCCTTCCCAAGATCACACTGTGAATAAGAGGCAGAGGATTGAATAAGGAGGCTTCAATGCAGAGTCACATCTCTGCAACATGCTCCACACGGTTTCTAGGCCATCTCTGCGATTCAAGGCATGATACAATGGGAAGAGCCCCATAGTAAGGCGTAGGGGACCTAAGTCTTATTCCCAGTTGGCCAAAGATCAGTGATGTGATCTCACCAAGTTGCCTGTTTTTCTATTTCTTAAATGAGAGATGGAATTAGATCAGTGGTTTTAACTGTTTCATATAAGAAGACCCATTTTTGTCAATTCTATAGGGTACCCACACGTTGAAAACTATCATCTGTCAAAATAATTGTATTTATTGAGTAACAATTACTTTGTTTTCCTTTTTTTCATGTAATTGTAAGTAGTTTATTTTGTCAGGAGCCAGACCTTATTTTCCCACAAGTTAACATAAGTTCATGAATTACATGCAACCAAAAGTCATTGCCATTAACCCATGCAGCTTTGTAATTGGCTTTTTTTTCTTTCATTTTAAGTTCAAGGGTACATGTGCAGGTTTTTTACATAGGTAAACCTGTGTCATGGGGGTCTGTTGTATGGATCATTTCATTTGTTTTCCATTTTTAACTAATTAAGACAAATGAAAGGTATCAGTTTCAGCAAGGTCCTTTCTAACTCCTTTTTCTAGATTCCACTGTCTGTTTTTCTGTGTCACATTATTGATTACTTTTCTTTCTTCATCCTAGCCATCATATCTTTTTAAATAAGTCTACCTGTTTACTTGGTTTTGTCTATCTGGACCTCTAGAAAGTCAACCTCTATATGGGCCAGGAATTCATCTGCCTATTCATCTCTGTATCTTCCAGGTCTAGCATCAAGTACGTGATTAATTAATTTGTTAATTTGTTGAACTAAAGATTAAACTGACTTACTGGTATTGATGAGCCTGTTAGCTCCTGCTATTAAATGGTAAACACATCATTTCAATTTGGCTTTTTAAAGTATTGAAAATAACTTGAAGAACTCCAATTCTGCTTTTTAAGTCTGGAGATTCCATGTTGGAAATGACGAGATGGAATGACCTCTAAGCTCTCATCTGTTTCTGAAATTTCACAATCCAGTGGTTTCTTTTGCAAAGCTGACTGGGGAGATTCTGTGAAGGCTGGGCACTAGACAGTGTTCTTCCCCGCAGAAGCAGTTCACAGGGAGTCGAGGATGCTCAGGTGCCATCTGACTCCAGACACGGTGATCCTCAAGGCCAGGTAGCTTAACTGCACTCATAATGCAGAGACTCCTAGGCAACAAAACTTTTTTCCCCTTGCTGGTGAAAAGTCAACTTCCTGTGCCATTGCTAACCTACACCCTTTCTACTCAGTTAGTGTACAGATTATAGAAGTGTGTGACTTTCTTTTCACCCTCTCATTCAGAGAAAGATGCTTGGATATGTCCCTTTATGAAGTTAAGCATTAGTTTTGTAAGACTTCGCAAATGTTCTGGAAAGCTATGCATGTAGCTGTAAAGATGGGAGGAAGGGAGGATAGGGCAAAAAGAAGGGCTGAATTGTGGTGCAATTGCCATGGAGGCCTCAATCAATCCCATAGGACACTCTGAAGCTGGGAATGATCCTTCCGAGTTGTCCCAAACTGACATGAAGATCAAGCCATTGGCTCACCACATCAGCCTGACCTTGGCCTTGATTGCCCTCGTAGCCTAGAGTGAGGCAGCATCCTGGCTGAGGGCAAGTCCATCGAGGAGCACAGCTGTGAGCTCTCCGCAGCTGGGAGATGGGAACACAGGCCCTGGTGAGGAATCCAGAAGGAGCATCATGGTATGTCTCTAAATTTCATCTGATGCTGCTATCACGTTCTAGCATGCTTGATTTGTGAGAATTGAACAGAACAATTTGCCGAGCCAGGACTGTGTTGTATTTAGCAAAGGATGAATTAACCTACAAATAAAAATGACCTGGCCCTCCATGAACCAGGTTTTCTAACAGGGCAACCACTCCAAAAAGTAAGTACTAGAGGAGTGATGCCACCACAGGCTTGGGAGTAAAAGTCCCTCAGAATTTCCAACTGTTGGAAGAACTGGAACAAGGTTAGAAAGGAGTAGGTGATGGCACAGGTGGCTGGGGTGTAGAAGACGATGAAGACATGATACTTACAAGATGGACAGAGATGGTAACTGGGCCTCCAAGAACAACTGATGAAAACCGAATATACAGCCTTAAAATAAAATGTGGACCTAAATACCCAGAAGGACCCCACTTTGTAAGATTTTTCACAAAAATTAATATGAATGGAGTTAAGAGTTCTAATGGAGTGGTAGACCAAGAGCCATATCAGTGCTAGCAAAATGGCAGAATTCATAGAGCATCAAAGTGGTTCTGCTGGTGTGAGTTGACTGAAGGATACAAAATAAATTTAAAAAATAAGAGATACAAAGTTGTTCTGCAAGAGCTTTAGCACCTAATGATGTCTAAAGAAAATATGAAACTCCCTCAGCCACCTGAAGGACACTGTTACAGCAGTTAATCAAAAAGTAAAACCACAGGGCCTTCACCTTTTCCCTCATTCAACTGAAGCAGTCTTCATTTTCCACAGTAGTAAATTTTCTAGGTACATCTTGTAGACCTGAAAGTACTGGAAAGAAAGCTTCCATTCAAAGGAAATTTATCTTAAGATATTGTAAATGATACTAATTTTTTTGTCCATTTGAAATATATAAGTTGTGCTATAATAAATCATCATGTCAAGTGTAAATACTGTCCACGTAGTTGAGCTTCTGGCATCAAGAAAATCTATTTAAATTGATTCCTGTCATAACTGGTGGGACACATCTAACTCAGCTGTAAAAAGACACATCACACAATCACCTTGTTGCTGATGACATGGCCTGGGGTCTCTGCCTTCTCCCACTTCCCCTCCCTCTCCCCTCTCTGCAACAGCCCTCTAGCCTGAGGGCTGCTTGTTAGAGTAGACGTGATGATTTAGGGTTGCAGCCTGTGGAACTACTGCTGGGTATGTGAGGAGCTTTGCCTGCATCCCTGGTCTTTTTCTTTAAGCCTTAAATGATGCCGCTTCCAAGCCATCCTCTTGTCCCCACACTCCTCCATTCCCACCCTTGGCCAGAGCATAGATTGTAATCCCTCCGCTCGCCTGTGGTGAAGAATTCAGGGATTTCCCCATATCTTCTCTCCCCCACTTTATCGAGGGGTGCTGTTTTTTCCTCCCCCTCCTCAAGTCCCTTTTTGCACTGTCACCACCCAATACTTTCCATGACATTTCCTTGCTTTGGCCAGAAGCCAGGTAAAGTTGGAACAAGTCTCTGACCTCCCTGGTTTAGTTTTGGAACTGCATTTATTCACTTGCCACCAGCCTGGGAAGTAAATATTAGGTCCTCAGCCCTGCCACCCTCTGCTATCATCATCAGCTGATGAGTTTTTTTGGCTCAGATTTCGATAAGCTGAAAAGAACAGTCAACCAGGGTTACTCAGACCTGCCAGCTCTCAGAGTCTTTGGTGGCTAAACTTGGAGAAAGACCTCATGAAGACACTTGTAAGCACACATGATCCCTCTGAATTATTTTCTTTTGCTTTCATTTCTTCTTCAACTTTTAAAAATTGAAGAAGTTTTAAACAGGGCTCTCATCTGGTCATCCTTGCAATCCACTGGGGTCTCGTTTGGAATCTGGCAGCTGGAACATAAAGACCCTTGAATTCAGCGCATCCTTTGGTTTTGGTGGTGCTGCGTCTCAAAATCCTCAGCAGGGATTAAGAAAGCACTCAGTGTGCGCAGCAGATCCTGGAAATTGGTGGGCTTGACTTCTGGCAAAGTGCTGCATTTTTCCACTTTCTGTTCAGGACCACTAAATGCTGAAATGTGGATGCATACCAAAATAAAAGAAATTCATTGTGTACTGAAATAAAACAAAAAGCAGCCCTAGAGGAAGGTTTCCTAACACTCCTATCTCTCTCTCTCCTCCCACCACTTACCTTCTTTCTTTATCTTTTCCTCTGCTCTGTTAGTTTTATTCTTGAGCTCAGCTGTCAGAGGCAGCCTTTGATGGATGTGTGGTTGGTCCTTTCAGGCCCCCTGGAAAAGAAGGCTGAGGGGACAGGGAGGGATGAGGCTTGGATGATAAGTGAGGAAAGGAAGGGGGGAACTTAGAAGGATGGAGGGATGGGAAGGAGGGGAAGTCCTCTTTTTGAGTCAATAGAGTCAGAATCCTTTTCCTGACCAGAAGCACACATGTGATGGCTGTTTTAAGTGGAAGGAAATGACCCAGTCTTCTGAGGATACAGAATTTAAAGCTGAGTGAGGTGGTACCCAAAGTTCTGTATTGCAGAAAGGGAGGCATTCTGATCTTGCAGATGAAAGAGACATTTCTCTGATATCAAACATTAGCACAGGAAATGTGTCCTGGGTTGTTTCCATTTGTCTCTACAGACCAATTTATCACCTGAAGAATTAAACTTACATTCAATGCTAGAAAGGTCAGGGGTGGTTGAAATTGTACTGGCCCTGACTTCATGAGCTGGCTTTTCAGACCTCATAGGAACCTTGCCCATACCCCTTTAGATGGTCTCTACTTGCTTCTTCAACTCATTGACTAGTGAGCATTGCATGGCTCATGCTGGAATGCAAAGGGGAATTTATTTGTTTTCTTTTTGTGTGTGTGTAAAGTATACCAGTTATTCAGATTCCAGGGAATAGCCATTGAAGAAATCTATTCTAAATGTTTTATTTCAAGACCGACTTATTTATACAATTGTTACCAGATGGAAGGTCTTGACTGTGAGTTGTCCAGGTTCTTAGCACTTTGAACAAAGAACTGAACAAAATGCACAAAGCGACAAAAGAACGAAGTAACAAAAGCACAGATTTATTAAAGCAAAAGTACTTTTCACAGAGTAGGAGCCTGTAGGAGCTCTTGTAGGAGCGGGCTCCAGCAAGTGGTTCAAGAGCTTCCCCTCCCATTAAGATTTTTATTAAGATATTTATTAATTTTTATTTAGTTTGGTAACACCCCTAGGTGCCCTTTAGAGGCCTCCAGTTGGTCACACCCTATGAAGGATTGGCCTGTGACCAATCAGTGGCTGAAGTGGAGACTTGGCTCATGGTCAATTAGAGGCTGAAGTGGAAACTTCTGTCTTGTTATCTCAGGAGCTAGGATGTATGCTGTATGCTGCTTAATGTTGCCTAGAACTGGCTGCACCTGCTGTTCTTTTGCTTCTGCCTTAACCCTTGGTTACCCTAATTCCCAATTCTCCTGCCTCACAATGACTCACACGTTTGACAGTTACCCTTTCTCTTTCAAGGAGGCATGAGAAAACCTCTAATTAGATCCATGGAGGCTGTGGTCACAAAGAAAGCCCCCAATTCACACACAACCCGTGATTCTCAGCCTTCCTGCCCATCTTCACCCTTCCCTCAGCTTGGGGGATATCTAGGATCTCTTGAGAATCTATAAACTAAGAAGACAAAGGGGAAGAAGTTGAGGAAATCAAGAACAAGTTGGGACCACTAAGCCTACCTTTTTGACCCCATCTGTGGTGGGGGCTGGGAGTTGTGGAGTTCTGGCTCCCAGGTGATCAGGCCTTGTGGTAAGGACAAGGTCTCTGATTGTAGGGAGCCTGGCGTGGAGTCCTAGTCTCATGACTTAACCTGCTATATTCTTGGGGTATGTTATTTAATCTCTTGGCACCTAAGTTATTTTACTGAATAAAATGGAGATATGATAGTACTAGCTCTCAAGCTTAGTATGAGAACTAAAGGAAATAATGCATTCAAATGCAAGCCCCACGAGATTAGGGATGTTTATTTCATTTGCACTATAACCCCTGATGCCCACACCAGTATTCTTGGTGCTCAAATATTTGTTGAGTGAATGATGTAGGTAAACCACTTAACGTAGGGCTGGAACACAACCCATGCTCACAGCAACATAGTGGATGTTTTGCCAGAGATGCTTACTGCACTCTGCTTCTAACCTAATCCGACGTCCGCCAACAGTCCTTGTATTTGGCTCTGTCATGCAGAGTTGTGCAGGGGAACTGTGGGATCATGGTGGCAGCTAGATACTTAAGGTTGGTGCTTGGAGCCTGCTGAGGAGTGGGCCCAGCCTGGGTGGGGTGCCAAGCTGATGAATTTCACACAGCAGGGGTCCTGGAATGTTTGAAGAGAGGCTGCTGGGTGCTGGCAAAGGGGTCCATTGGGGAGCTGGCAGGAAGCCAAAGATCCAACATGCTTGGTTTGTTTCAGGAACTTTCCCAGGACTGGCCCAAGACCCAGGAAAGGAGGACGTTTTCTTTTTCTTTTTTCTGTATTCTCTTCCTTCCTGACTGTGTGACTTTCTGTTGCCAAACCACAGAACCAAGCCTCAAGCAATGAATTCTACAGCTGGGCTACATTTTGGATTGGATGTGCTCTTGTTAGCTGGAGAGAGATCTGAACTATAAGTTGACACATTGTTTCTATGAGAAATTCATTCTCAATTCCAAACAGATGATTAATGGCCAAGGTCTCAGAATGAAATCCATTCTGTCCCATGTCCTGGAATCCAGACAAATCAGGGTTTGTCTTGGTGTATGTGTGGGAGGGGCACTAGGGAGTTCTGTTTGCATAATAAAGACCTCATAGGACCCCCAGAGAGGAGTCAAGGTAGACTATGAGACAAACAGCCCCAGTGCAGAAAATTCTTAAACAGATTGGAAGGCCAAGGATACTTTAGCTCCACAACACTGCAAAAAGTGTTCCAGCAGGGGAAAAGCTCTACTAAAGAGTGTGTGTGTATGCACTGGCTTGTCTGAAGACACTCTATTGAGAGTAGCCCTCTAAGTATTGTTCAAATTCCCTCTCAGGAAGATCTTAAGCAATCCAGTGGCACCGTCCCAGGGAAGGAAGGATACAAAACCAGCAGAAAAGGCTGAGGAAAGATGTGTAGCACTAGTTAAACCCAGAGAGGGAAGTCCCCTTTCAGTCATCTCGTCAAAGATTTATCATGCTGGTGGAAGAGTTCTCTCACCTCACCAAGAGGAGCGACTTCGACATGTCAGTATTGGGGATGGGGAGAAGACTGACCATTCAGCAGCCAAGGACTGACCTGCTCACCCAAGGGGAGGAGCCCACAAGTAGTGAGCCAGGACTATGGGTGCCCACAGACTCATCACTGCCAGGAGGACACAGAACACCCACCCCACCCAGTGCCACCTGAATGTAACCCTCTTAGCTTGTATTATTTGGGAGAACTGGAGCTATTCTTATAAAAACACTCCTAGAGAGGGGCTTCAAGATGGCTGGCTAGAAGAATTTCATACCCACCTCCTGCACTTAGAAGAACCAAAATAGGGCTGGGTGCAGTGGCGGCTCACACCTGTAATCCCAGCACTTTGGGAGGCCGAGGCGAGTGGATCATGAGGTCAGGAGATCGAGACCATCCTGGCTAACATGGTGAAACCCCCTCTTTACTAAAAACACAAAAAATTAGCCGGGTGTGGTGGCGGGCGCCTGTAGTCCCAGCTACTTGGGAGGCTGAGGCAGGAGAATGGTGTGAACCCAGGAGGCGGAGCTTGCAGTGAGCCGAGATCGCGCCACTGCACTCCAGCCTGGGTGACAGAGTGAGACTCCATCTCAAAAAAAAAAAAAAAAAAAAAGAAGAAGAAGAACCAAAATAGTATATAGATAATCACACTTCAAATACATTATCCCAGAGAGAATGCTAGAATTCAACAGAGAAATGACAGGAAACATCAAAAGCAGGGGAAAAGAAGGGAGAGAGGCAGCCTGCCTGGCCAGGGGGCATGAGATGGATGTGCGTTCCCCCACTGCCAACCCAGCCTGTAGTCACTGCAGATGACTACACCCTCTTCAGTGGCAGGGCCTTAGCATCAATACTACCATTCCTCACCTGAGCACTCCACCTAGGACCTGAGGATCACCATGGCTCTCACCTTTGGGAGGCCTGAGCACAAGCTCAGCCAATCTGGCTTACCTATCTCCAACTCCAGGATACGGCACACAGCCCAGGGTCCTGGGGATTGCCCAACCCAATCCACCACCTTGAGAACCTGAACACTCCTCCCAGGGATTTGAGGTTGGACCTAAACTCCTGGCACTACCACCTCAGCTGGTGCTAACCAGCAAAGTCCACATGCAGGCCTGGAGACTGGCCTGCCCAGTCCATTGGAGCCACCACCAACATCAATGCATACTGCCTGTGACCCAGAGAATCACCTTACCTCTGCTACTGCTATCACCTATGCCATGTCAGCTGTCCAAGGTGCCTGAGAACCCACCCACTCACCTGGTCCATCGCTGCCACTACTGGAATCTAAGCAAGCCATTTGGAAGCCTAAGAATTGGCCCACCAGTAACCATGAACACAGGCACCATTGTACACCACCTTGGGGCTAAAATATAGGCATATTCAGCCCACAGCTGCCACCATTGGGGCCTGAATATTGGCACACACGGCATGCTAGTCCCCCAACACAACTTCACCACAGCCTTCAGTAATAACCACACCCTAACTCACTAAGGAAAGCACAGATACTACTATGCTGTTTACAGTCAAATAAATCATACAGAGACTACACTACAGCATGCACTCAGAATCAAAGCCAACGTATCCTACCCAAGCAACTCCATAGATGCAACTTCAGAAAAAGTCCTCCCCTGCAAAAGTAAATTCAAAAATGAGAAGAAACAACTGTTACACCAACCATCACATCAGATAGCAACATAAGGACCCAGGAAACATGAAAAAGCAAGAAAATATGACACCTCCAGAGGAACACAATAATTCTCTAGCAATAGATTTTAATCAAAAAGAAATTTTTGAAATTCCAGATAAAGAATTTTAAACATTGATTTAAAGAAGCTCAGTGAGATACAAGAGAATTCTGAAAAACAATACAAAAAAAAATCAGAAAAGAATTCAGGATATGAATGAGAAATTTAACCAAAAAATACATTTTTTAAAATAACCAAATAGAAATTCTGGAAGGGAAAAATTCATTGAAGGAAATACAAAAGCTCGCAATACATTTGAAAGCTTCAACAGTATACTAGATCAGGCAGAAGAAAGAATCTCATTATCTCAGAATCCCTTTTGAAATAATCCAGTTATGCAAAAATAAAGAAAAAAGAATTTTAAAAGAATAAACAAAATCTTTGTAATATTTGGGGCAACATAAAGCAATTTAATATTTGCATTATTGGTATCCTCAAGGGCAAAGAGACAAAGGATTAGAAAACCTATTTAATGAGTAGATGAAAACTTCCCAAGTCTAGCAAGAGATTTAGTCATTCAGTTACAGCAGACTCAGTAATCCCCAAAAACACACAAGGCAAAACAGTCTTCTCAATGGCACATTATATTCAGTCTGTTTAGAGTCAAAGGTAAAGAGTGAATACTAAATACAGCAAGAGAAAACCATCTAGTAATCTATCTAGTAACCCTCAGCAGACTAACAGCAGATGTCTCAGCAGAAACCTAACAGGCCAGAAGAGAATGGGATGGCATACTCAAAGTGCTGAAAGAAAAAAAACAAAAAAACAAAAACCTGCCAGCCGAGGATACAATTTCCAGCAAAATTGCACTTCATAAATGAAGAAGAAATAAAGTCTTTCCCACACAGCAAATGCTGAGAGAATTTGTTTACCACTAGACTGGACTGGACCTATAAGAAATACTCAAGGGAGTTCTAAACCTGGAGGTGAAAAGACAATATTTACCATCATGAAAACACACAAACATATAAAATTCACTGGTAAAGTAATCACATAAAGAAGGAAGAAAAAGGACTCAATGGTACCACTACAGAAATTCACCAAACTACAATGACAATCAATATGAGAAAAAGTAAAGAACAAAGAATATTTACAACAACCAGAAAACAACTAACAATATGACAGGAACGAATGGAGCTTCACATATCAATAATAATTTTGAACATAAAAAAATTAAATTCCGAAAATATAATGGCTGAATGGATTTAAAAACATGATCCAACTATATGTTGCTTATAAGAAACTCACTGTACCAGTAAAGACACATATAGACTGAAAGTAAAGGGATGGAAAGACATATTCCATGCAAACGGAAACCAAAAGCAAGCAGGAGTAGTTATGCTTATATCAGATAAAATAGACCTTAAGGCAAGAACAGTAAAAAACAGAAACAAAAATAAAAAACAAAGGAGGTCATTATATGTTGATAAAGGGATCAATCCAGCAAGAGGGCATAACAATTCTAAACAGACATGCATCCAACTCTGGAGCAGCCAGATTCATGAAGCAAATATTACTAGATATAAAGAGATAGAGTGCAGTACAATAATAGTGGGGGATTTCAACATCCCACTCTATTAAACAGATCATTTAGACAGAAAGTCAACAAAGAAGCATTAAATGTAAACTGGACTTTAGACCAAATGGACCTAACAGACATTTACAGAACATTCTATCCAATAATTACAGAATATACAATCTTTTCATCAATACATGGAACATTCTTCAGAATAGACCATATGTTACTCCACAAAACAAGTATCAACAAATTCTTAAAAATCAAAATTATATCAAGTATCTTCTCAGAGTACACTGGAGTAAAACTAGAAATCAGTACCAGGAGGAATTTTGGAAACTATACAAATACATGGGAATTAAATAACATGCTCCTGAGTGACCACTGGGTAAATAAAGAAATTAAGAAGGAAATAAAAACATTTCTTGAAACAAATGAAAATGGAAACACAACATATCAAAATCTGTGGGACACAGCAAAAGCAGTGTTAAAAGAGAAGTTTATAGCATTAAATGCCTACATCAAAAAGGTAGAAAAATTACAAACTAACAACCTAACAACGCACCTGAAGGAACTAGAAAAGGAAGAACAAACCAAACCCCAAATGAACAAAAGAAAAGAAATAATAAAGATCAGAACAGAACTAAATGAAATAGAGGCTTAAAGAAATACAAATCATTAACAAAATGAAAGTTGCTCTTCAAAAATATAAACAAAATGGATAAACCACTGGCAAGACTAACCAAGAAAAGACCCAAATACACAAAATCAGAAATGAAAAAGAAGACATTACAACTGATACCATAGAAATACAAAAGATCATCAGAAACTATTATGAACAACTATATGCTGACAAACTGGAAAATCTAGGAAATAGATAAATTCCTGGAAACACACTACCTACCAAGATTGTATCAGGAAGAAACAGAAAACCTGAGCAGATCAATAAAAAGTAGCAAGATTGAATCCATAATAAAAAGTCTCCCAATAAAGAAAAGTCCAGGACTGGATAGATTCACAGCTGAATTCTACCCAACGTACAAAGAAGAACTAATACCAATCCCTCTGAAATGATTCCAAAAAAGAGGGAACTCTCCCTAATTCATTCTATAAGGCCAGCATCACCCTGATCCCCAAACCAGACAAGGACACAACAAAAAAAAGAAAACCACAGACCAATATCCCTGATGAACACAGATGCAGAAATCCTCAATAAAATACTAGCAAACTGAATCCAACAGCACATTAAAAAGATAATACACCAAGATCCAGTGGGATTTACACCAGGGATGCAAAGATGGTTCAACACATGCAAATCAATAAACATGATACATCACATTAACAGAATGAATAACAAAACCATATGATCATCTCAATAGATGCAGAAAAGAACGTTGGATAAAATTCAACATCCCTTCAGAATGAAAACTCTCAACAAACTAGGAATACCTCAAAATAATAAAAAACATATATGATAAATCCACAGATAACGTTGTGCTGAATGGAGAAAAGTTGAAAGAATTTTCTCTAAGAACTGGAACAAGATAAGTATGCCCACTTTTAACCAATTCAGCATAGTACTGGAAGTCTTAGCTAGAGCAATCAGACAAGAGAAAGAAATAAAAGGCATCCAAATTGTAAAAGAGGAAGTCAAATTGTCCCTCTTTGATGATAATATGATCTTCTATCCAGAATAATCTAAAGACTCCACCAAAAAAACTCCTAGGTTTGATAAATGAATTTAATCAAGTAGCAGGATACAAAATTAACATACAAAAATCAGTAGCATTTCTATATACCAATAATGAGCTAGCCGAGAAAAAAAAATCAAGAAGGCAATAGCTACAAAAAAAATACCTAGGAATAAATTTAAGGAGGTGAAAAATCTCTACAAGAAAAACTACAAAACACTGATGAAATAAATTGAAGAGGACACAAACAAATGGCGAAATACTCCATGCTTATGGGTTGGAAGAATTAATATTGTTAAAATGACTATATTGTCCAAAGCAATATACAGAATCAACACAATCCCCATCAAAATACCAATACCATTCTTCACAGTTAGAAAAAAAATTTAAAAATGGAACCAAAAAAAAGAGCTCGAATAGCCAAGACAATCCTGAGCAAAAAGAACAAAGTTGGAGGCATTACGCTACCTGACTACAAGGCTATAGTAATCAAAATGGCATGATATTGGTATAAAAATAGACACCTAGACCAACAGAATGGAATAGAGAACCCAGAAATAAAGCCACATATTTAAGAGCCAATTGATCTTTGACAAAGCTAACAAGAACCTACACGGGGGAAAGGACATCCTCTTCAATAAATGGTGCTGGGAAAATCGGTAGCTGCATGCAGAAGAAAAAAACTGGACCCTTTTCACCATCTACAAAAATTAACTGAAAATGGATTAAACACTTAAAAGTAAGACCCAAAATTATAAAAATCCTAGAAAAAAACCTAGGGAAAACTCTCCTGGACTTTCTTATAGGCAAATAATTTATGACTAAGAACTCAAAAGCACAGGAAACAGAACCAAAAATAGACAAATGGGATTATGATAAACTAAAAAGCTTCTGCACAGCAAAGGAAACAATCAACAAAATGAAGAGACCACCTGTTAAATGGAAGAAAATTTTTGCAAACTATTCACTTGACAGGGGACTCATATCCAGAATATATACAACAAACTCAAACAACTCCTCGGGATCCTTGGAGGAATCTGGGAAAGGTATATTTATTTCAGCGGTGCCTCAGTTCCCTGTGCTGTGATGTGAATATGCACTTCCGTCTTCTCAACCTTTTCCCATTTCTATGTACAGGAGTGTTTACTGCCCTTCCTATCACCTTCAAATGACAGTAAAGCAAGACCAAACTTTTTATCATCTGCTCTTCAGCCTCATTATAGACAAGATACGTGTTAATCCTTTCAAAGGCCCAGACACAATCTTGTTCACCTCTGTAACCTCCTCCACTAAAAAAGAAAGAGCAGCCATTTCTATTTAGAATCGTCATTTTCAACCAAGGCTCTTCGTTAAATGACCCAAGGAACTTTTTAAAACACACAAATGGCTGTTCCATTTTCCCTTTACTTCATAAATGATAATAGTCATGGCTTCCATTGATTGAAGGTATATTTTATGCTGGGTGTTGGGTTACACTCCCACACTGGGGTCTCACAACCGAGCCCCCTATTTTATAGAGGCAGCAGCTGAGGCTCAGAGAGATTAACAGTGGGAAGATGGCCCATACCCTATGCTTAACGGAGCTGGCTGGGAAATTGTCCTCTTGACAAATGACTGTTAGGGGAACGCTAGTTATTAGAGAAACAGGAATATGCACCTTTCCTCCCTGCTCTGCCTTAGCCATGGACAGCATTCAAGGACTGGCTATACTGGTGGTTACCTGCGACTCTGATAACTTCTCATTTCTGGAGAGTTATTTGTTTCCTATAACTTACCCCAGAATATCATGGACACACAAAAAAATGAATGCAGAGGCTTGATTTTCAATCAAATTGCTCTGGATTCAATTCCAAGAAGGAGTGGTACAGAATTGGTGTGACTAAGAGCACTCAAAGCCTCAAGCTTTTTACACAGCAAAATACAACTGATTCATGACTGGGGCTTATGAAGCACACAGAAAACATCTGATAAAATACACATTTATTAGAACTTTTTCAGCAGCATTATTTCCAGTTGTTTATCTAATCAAAGTAATTACAGTCAGCACTCAAAATATCAGCAACAAATATTTTGAGAACTCTGGAATAAAATAATCAGTAGTATATGTTTCATTCATTCATCCATCCATCCATCCATCCATTCATTCATTGTTTAACAAATGTGCAATATTAGCACAGAGAGTCAGGTATGCTATTTGCTATGGGAAAGTGTATATTCCTGCCATGGTTCCTGTTGTGCAGACTATACCCACTATTTAAGAGGAGAGCTGGAAGCCAGGCACAGTGGCTCACGCCCGTAACCCCAACCACTCAGGAGGCTGAGGTGGGAGGATCACTTGAGCCCAGGACTTCAAGATCAGCCTTGGCAATATAGCAAGACTCCATCTCTAAAAAAAAAAAAAAAAAAAAAACCAATAAGAATTAAAGAAAAGATCTGGACTGTACAGTACATTCTAATATAAATGTACACATTTAGCCACAGGGCCTAATAAAAAGCTTAATAAGAATGGTTTCCCTTTCTATTCAGGTTCAACTTAGGAAATAAATAGTGATTATAATGATATTTTCATAGAAACAAAAACCCAGTTGAGGCTTTACTTAACTGGTATTTTTTTTTTTTGCACCTTATTTTATGAAGACACAGATTTGGTTTCAGAAATTCAGCTACTGAGCTCCAACTACTAGGGCAGGTGACCACCTTGAATGTCAGGTGAGGGGAGAAATTGCTCCAGGGTCCATCAGCAGAAGAGCTCATTTAATTAACCACAAACTCAATGCAGGACACTGGCACTTAATGATATGGGATTTCCTCATAGACATCACAAATAAAAATGTTGTCTTGGCAGCTAGTGAGAGAACACACATGAAACAGAGAGTTCTGGTTAGACAATGCCAACACACAGAAGGGCCAAACTGAATTGCTTTTCCTACCTTCTGTATTATCTGAGGAGTCTACAGTCAAGTCCAGATGTCTATACAACACATAGTGGCCCCTATCAACATAGCCATTAATCAAATTGACATGTAATATTGAACATTAATTAAGTGCTAATGTGTAAAAATGGACCCAAGAGCGGGGCCTGGATTCCTTTCCTAGATAATTTTATAGGAAATATGAGTGGTGCCTCTTCTTTAGACACGGCTAAAGGTCCCCAGTCAATTCCTTTTCTTGTTGGATCATTTACTATAATGATCACCAACCAAATCAGCAGACATCTTTATTAGCAAATTCAGTAACAGGATAATCTTTCCAAAATTTACAAATATACAATATATTTATAGTATTACCTTCAGACAACTTCAGTGCAAAGATATACATATAGTACATTGTGATAATTATTTGTAAAAATATGAGACGGCATAAGTAAAAAAAGACACACAGGATACCTCCAACTATAGGCAAACAGGGAAAAATATATTTTTTTCATAAAGTACTGAATGTTAACTTTTTTCATCTGTTTGTAAAAAATATATGTGCAAAAGTGTGTTTCTAATTATTCCCTAAATAGCTGGTATAGCTATACTTCAGAGTCTTCTTTAACAAGATTTGCGGTGTCTTTAAAAGTGTCTTCTGTTGCAGAATAGGTTGGAGTTGGGTCTCTTCTCGAAGGAGGCTTAGGCTTAGCAGGGAGCGAAGGTGATGGAGGTGGTGTCGCAGCAACACTTTCCTTTTGCTCGTTCTCCATCTAAGAATACAATGTAACAGGAATCAGCCATTTATTCCCCCAAGGTCACCATACACGGTTTTTCATAAAGAAGACTATTTGTGGCCACTCTGCTCAGAATAATCTAAGTGTGTGTCCAATTTAACCAAGCAAATAATTTCTAAGAAAAAATGTCTGTGCTAAGAAAAATTGTTAAAAATTACCTGTGCATAGATTGGATTTTCAAAGTTGGTAGTTTGTTTAGATTTTCGTTTGAAGAGATTCCATTTTGTCACCTAAATGAAAAGGGGAAAACAAAAACCTCTCAGTAATGGAATTATTTTGTGGGTTTCTTTTCCTCCTGTCTCAGTTTTAAAATTTCTTCTTACTGAAGGGTAAAGCAATTTGGGACCTGGGACCATGTGATTCAGCCCATATGGTAAATTGTTCAATTCCTCCTATGGTCCCTGAACAGTAACTGAAACTCTGGGCTCTTTTAATCGAATGGTTTTAAACACTTCTTTGACTTCAAATTTATATATTATAGAATTTGTGCCATAGTATCTACAAGCAAATCACCTGGTTACCTCAGTACAGAGAGAACACATAAAACAGACATGCACAAGATGCATCTGGAGAAAAAGAGATTTCTGGGGCTGCCTGAAAATTGGGTGGAGATGGCAAAGCCAAACTGTAACTCTTATTCCCTAAAGTAACATTCTTTGGTCAACTCAAGAGTATCCCTTCTCCCTTCATCATTCCCTCCTGTGTCACAATAATAATAACAAAAACATCTAACATTTATTGAGTGCTTACTATGTGTCAGGAACTATTCTAAGAGTTTTACAAGTTTCTGATTTTTTTTAACAAACCCCAGAGGTAGGTACACTTATTATCCTATACTTGCTGAGTCACAGCAAGATTATACAACTAACTTGCAGGTAGAAGGGCAGGTAATGATTACTCAGGGGACCCAGAGGCCCATAAACTGGAGAACCCAAAGATAATCACCCTGGACCATGGTGCGTGGCCCACGCTTTACTGAAAAGTTGCCTGTCATGCTGACTGCCAGATAAAAACCTGGTGGGAGACAAGGGAACAGACAGCCTACTCTCAACAGGAGCTGAGGGAGCCCACAGGTTTTATGGGGTGTCTCTTACTCTGTGACAGCAGGGGACCAGCCTGTGGAGGAGTGGGGAACACAGGGCTACAGAAGTAGAAGAGGTCTTCACTTTAACCCACATTCAAGTGAGAACCTGCTTTGTACATAGTGCCCCCAAGGGGAACATGAAGACATTCAGGTCAGAGCCCTGCCTCTGGGCGCTTACAGTTAAGTGGGGCGGGCCAAAGTCTCTTAGATGTCATTGCTTCAAAATGAAATGGCTAACTTGAAGTTAAGCAATTACTAACAAGAGGAAAGGGACGGTGACTTTCATTTTTGTCTCCTTGGGGGATCCTATGCATATCAATGTAACTTTTGGAAAATGATAGAACTGAATCTTTTTTTTTTTTTTTTTGAGATGAAGTCTCACTCTGTCGCCTAGGCTGGAGTGCAGTGTCACAGTCTCGGCCCACTACAACCTCTGCCTCCCGGGTTCAAGCAATCCTCCCACCTCAGCCTCCTGAATAGCTGGGACTACAGGCATATGCCACCACACTCAGCTAATTTTTGCATTTTTAGTAGAGATGGGGTTTCACTATGTTGGCCAGGTTGGTCTTGAACTCCTGATGTCATGATCCACCCACCTCGGCCTCCCAAAGAGCTGGGATTACAGGTGTGAGCCACCGTGCCCAGCCCATGTTTTTAATTGTTAGTCTTTCAACATATTTATGGATGAAAGATACATTTGTGGGACTCTGGCATATTCAAATCAACCTAGGTGATCTCACCCAAGCGCCTCTACTGCTTTTAAAGCATGCTGGCTGTTAACTCAGTGCCCAGGAGGGAAGAAATACAGTGAGATCCCTGGACATAACATGGAAGACACATTTTAGAGGGTCTCAGCCTCACTAATGTAAAAAAGTAAGAGGAGGAACCAAGGTATTACAAAAGGGAAGAGAAAGAAAGGACTACAATTGGTGAAGATCTGCTCTCCTTTGAAAGAGACTGTCAGTTTACATTTTGTTTCTGATAACAGACATGCAGATCAGAGGTTACAGCCTCCCCACCACAGTCCCCTTCCTGCACCAGCTGGGGAAAATGTCTATTTAGTGAAGAAGATCACTAGACTAGAGATGGACTGAGAAAAAATGTTGAAAATATAAAATAAATCTGGCACTAGCTTGGGGTTGACTCAGGCTTGGAGGACCAAATATATGACATTCAAGCATCCGTGTGTCTGTGGAAAATTAATCTTCAAAATCCATTTTTAATATAGCTTAAAGAAAAAATGTTTAGTCCCTTGAAAAATCTGAAACTGAAAATTCCTTTCTAGACAATATTTATGTATGTCTGTGAGTGTATGAGTGTGTGTGTGTGTGTGTGTGTGTGTGTGTGTGTGACATGAGAAGAAGAAATAAGGGAATTTGAGAAGGTGTACAGAAGCCTTGATATAGACTCTTCTCAGCATCAATTTAGGTCAAATTTTATTTTGATTTAAATCAGCAGAACAGAAACCAATGTTTAAGGTGATAATGAGACTGCCAAGTTACCAAGATATCAATGTTTATAGACTATGAAATTTGAGAAATAAAGATTGTATAAAATGGTAAAATTTCCAACTACTCTTAGACTTTCATTTCTTTACATTACTTCACAAAATTGGTCATAGAATCTTAGAACAGAGACATTCCAGATCCTAGCGGTTCTCAACCAGGAGTGAGTGCACATGTGTTGGGGAGGGGAGGTGATTTCTGGGGTCACACTGAATTAGGGGAGACACTACTGGAATTTAGTGGACAGGGACCAGAAATACTGAAATTCCCTGAGTGCATAGGACAGTTTTGTAGCACAAAGAACTGTCCCACTCAATATGCCAATAGCGCCCCCAGTGAGAAATATTATTGAGGACTCTAGCCCCAGAAGTAAAACAGTTTGTCCAGATTCAAACAGCTATATCTGGTATAGCTGCAAATGCATTCATTAAAACTAATGATATACATTAATACAGAGTTTAATATCAAATATATTTATTGAATTTCTTCCTGCAGACCAAATAGTGTACCAATTGCAAAGGACCTGCAGGCATGTTTAAGAAGCTCCATCTAGTGGCATTTTTTTCTTTCAATCTCCAGTATTAAACACCATCCCTGACACATCGAGGGGAATAACGTTAGTTAGATGATTGGTTGGCCAATAATGAATAGATGGATGATGAATGGAAAAATTAGTGCCATCTAGTGGTAAAGATCTGTAATAGCAGGAGAGCGAAGAACAGCTTGAAAGAATAAAGATGCATGCTGTAGAGAAATCACGGCACACACAGACGGATCTTTCATCTGTATCTTTGACACCGTGAAATCTTTATTCATACTGAGTCAATTTCTCAACTTAAATGTCTCTGGTCTGAAGATACTGGATCCAGAAGTCTATTTGTTCTTCTTTGTGACATGTCCTCCTATGTTACAAGGAACATTATTCCCAACTCGATGTTAGAATGTAGCTTTATTTGGTGGAAAGTTTTTCAATCTATGACTTTTTAAAAAATTATATTTATTAACTGTCAACACATCTTGAGATCTTTGAGCCTTCCAGAATCTCCCTTGTTTGCTTAAGGTTAATAAAAACCCAGTCATCCCAAAGTTTTTCCAAATCCCACATTATTTCAGGAGTCGGCAACTGTTACCTGAGTTCCATCAGCAGCTGGTGAAGTTGGGTTTGTCTCTGGAACTATCTCAGAAGGGTTTATGGGACTTCCATAATTCTTATTATCCACATTTTCAGATACAGTCACCTGTGGACATGTTAAAGGCCTTTACCCAATTTTGAAAGAATTTAGTAGTAAATAAATTTGCTGTAAAGTTTGTACCAACTCTGGCTCTTTTTGCCATCTTGTTCTCCCACAGACATCATCAGGCACCATTTTTATTGCATGACCCAGTAGGCCAGGACTAAACATCACTCCCACCGCCCCAAAATCAAGAGCAGCAACCACTAAGTCACCTCATACCTTAATCCTGGGAGGCAAATACATCCCTCACTGGTCACACTCTCACTTATTACTAGCAATTTCTACTGTATTCTCTATACCTTCTTACTCCCACTGTTGACCAAATTTTTGGATAATCATACTCTAGTTATATACTGGAAGCCAAATCCTAGAAGAACAGCAAGAATAATTCCCCAACCTCACTGATGAACTGAGAATCCTATCTTTGGATCTTAATAATTTCTTTGAATATTAATAAATCCTATCTTCGGAAATTAAGATTTCATAGTACTACTAAAAAGAGGTTGAATTTTTGAAAAGATGAGAATGATAGAATTAATAATCTTCTACGCATTTTTCTATAACATTCATACAATTCCAAGGTTCCCTTTTAAGACCAAATTACCATGAATGCATAATAAACTACAAGGTAGACAATTCACTCCTTTTCCTATATTTTCACATTCATTACTTGTTTATTCTGAAACTTGGATATGCATTTGTATACATGGCCTCATTTTATTTTAAGTGAAGATGTCAAATGAAATGTCGTATCTCTTTTATCATGTGATTAAAGTTTTCATATCTGTTTATCAGAGGATCAGGGAAAATGCTTTCAAGATTTAAACATTTCCGATCTTAAAATCACAAAATATTTGTAAAATAAACATTTCTAGTTTCTGTATTAAAATGTGCCATATCTCGAGTTCAAAAGGAGCATTAGGTGTTAACAATGACAGTTATTCATTGTCACTAAGGCCATAGTTGTTGTGACAAAGGAGATACATGTTCGCAGTTGACAAGCAGTAAAAGTGGCGCTGGGGCTATTGATGCAGACCTTATGTAAAGTTATTCCCTTCACCTATATTCCTATTTCATCTCCCAGCTCTTCTTAAAGATGACGGACTGAATCTCAAACATGCTTTCTTTACTATTCCTTTGCACCCGTCATCCCAGCCTCTCTTCACTTTCACTTAGACTGAACCTGACACCCATCAGGCTCAGCAAATTACCTGGGCTGTACTGCTGCAAAGCTTCACAGACAGCCCCCATTACTTCAGTCAAGCCCAAATTTCATCCTCATCTGTTACCTATTTCGGCATAATTCTCATAAAAACACACATGCTCTCCCTGCTGATCAAGTCTGACTAATCTCCCAAACCTCAATCCCTTCTACAAAACAACAACTCCTTTCCTTCCTAGGCATGGTTAGTGCAGTCAGAATTCTTACACAAGAGCCGGGACCGTGCCCTGTAGCCTTTCTGTCCAAACAACTTGACCTTACTGTTTTAGCCTAGCCCTCATGTCTGCGTGCAGCGGCTGCCACTGCTTTAATACTTTTAGAGGCCCTAAAAATCACAAACTATGCTCAACTCACTCTCTACAGTTCTCATAACTTCCAAAATCTATTTTCTTTCTCCCACCTGACGCATATACTGTCTGTTCCCCAGCTCCTTCAGCTGTACTCACTCTTTGTTGAGTCTCCCACAATTACCATTGTTTCTGGCCCAGACTTCAATCCAGCCTCCCACATTACTACGGATACCACACCTGACCCCCATGACTGTATCTCTCTGATCCACCTGACATTCACCCCATTTCCCCATATTTCCTTTTTTCCTGTTCCTCACCCTGAACACACTTGGTTTACTGATAGCAGTTCCACCAGGCCTAATCGCCACTCACCAGCAAAGGCAGGCTATGCTATAGTATCTTCCACATCTATCATTGAGGCTACCGCTCTGCCCCGCTCCACTACCTCTCAGCAAGCCGAACTCATTGCCTTAAGTCAAACCCTCACTCTTGCAAAGGGACTACATGTCAGTATTTATACTGACTCTATATATGCCTTCCATATCCTGCACCACCATGCAAGAGGTTTCCTCACTACACAAGGGTCCTCTATCATTAATGCGTCTTTAATAAAAACGCTTCTCAAAGCCGCTTTACTTCCAGAGGAAGCTGGAGTCATTCACTGCAAGGGCCATCAAAAAGGCATCAGATCCCATCGCTCAGGACAATGCTTATGCTGATAAATTAGCTAAAAAAGCAGCTAGCGTTCCAACTTCTGTCCCTCACAGTCAGTTTTTCTCCTTCACATTAGTCACTCCCACCTAGTCCCCCGCTGAAACTTCCACCTATCAATCTCTTCCCACACAAGGCAAATGGTTCTTAGACCAAGGAAAATATCTCCTTCCAGCCTCACAGGCCCATTCTATTCTGTCATCATTTCATAACCTCTTCCATGTAGGTTACAAGCCACTAGCCAGTCTCTTAGAACCTCTCATTTCCTTTCCATTGTGGAAATCTATCCTCAAGGAAATCACTTCTCAGTGTTCCATCTGCTATTCTACTACTCCTCAGGAATTTCTCAGGCCCCCTCCCTTCCCTACACCTCAAGCTCGGGGTTTTTCCCCCGCCCAGGACTGGCAAATTGACTTTACTCACATGCCCCAAGTCAGGAAACTAAAATACCTCTTGGTCTGGGTAGACACTTTCACAGGATAGGAAGAGGCCTTTCCCACAGGGTCTGAGAAGTCCACTGCGGTCATTTCTTCCCTTCTGTCAGACATAATTCCTCGGTTTGGCCTTCCCACCTCTATACAGTCCGACAGTGGACCGGCCTTTACTTGTCAAGTCACCCAAGCAGTTTCTCAGGCTCTTGGTATTCAGTGGAACCTTCATACCCCTTACGGTCCTCAATCTTCAAGAAAGGTAGAATGGACTAATGGTCTTTTAAAAACACACCTCACCAAGCTCAGCCACCAACTTAAAAAGGACTGGACAATACTTTTACCACTTGCCCTTCTCAGAATTCAGGCCTGTCCTCAGAATGCTACAGGGTACAGCCATTTAAGCTCCTGTATAGACGCTCCTTTTTATTAAGCCCCAGTCTCATTCCAGACACCAGACCAACTTGGACTGCACCCCAAAAAACTTGTCATCCCTACTATCTTCTGTCTAGTCATACTCCTATTCACCGTTCTCAACTACTCATAAATGCCCTGCTCTTGTTTATACCACCGGTTTACACTGTTTCTCCAAGCCGTCACAGCTGATATCTCGTGGTGCTATCCCCAAACCGCCACTCTTAACTCCCTCTTAAAGTAAATAAATAATCTTTGCTGGCAGGGCTATGCCGAACCTCCTTGGGCACTCTCTAATTAGATGTCCTGGGTCCTCCCAATTCTTAGTCCTTTAATACCTGTTTTTCTCCTTCTCTTATTCCATTTACTTTTTCAATTCATACAAAACCGTATCCAGGCCATCACCAATAATTCTACACGACAAATGTTTCTTCTAACAACCCCACAATATCACCCCTTACCACAAAATCTTCCTTCAGCTTAATCTCTCCCACTCTAGGTTCCCACACCGCCCCTAATCCCACTTGAGCAGCCCTGAGAAACACTGCGCATTATCTCTCCATGCCACCCCCCCAAAAATTTTTTTCTTTGCCCCAACACTTCAATACTATTTTATGTTATTTTTCTTATTAATATAAGAAGGCAGGAATGTCAGGCCTCTGAGCCCAAGCCAAGCCATCGCATCCCCTGTGACCTGCATGTATACACCCAGATGGCCTGAAGTAACTGAAGAATCACAAAAGAAGTGAAAATGGCCTGTTCCTGCCTTAACTGATGACATTCCACCACAAAAGAAGTGAAAATGGCCGGTCCTTGCCTTAACTGATGACATTACCTTGTGAAATTCCTTTTCCTGGCTCATCTGGCTCAAAAACTCCCCCCCACTGAGCACCTTGTGACCCCCACTCTTGCCCACCAGAGAACAACCCCCCTTTGACTGTAATTTTCCTTTACCTACCCAAATCTTATAAAACGGCCCCACCCCTATCTCCCTTCGCTGACTCTCTTTTCGGACTCAGCCCGCCTGCACCCAGGTGAAATAAATAGCCTTGTTGCTCACACACACAAAAAAAGATGACTGAGCAACAAGGCTGCAACAAGGAAATTTAGATATCTGCCCATCAACTCTAGAGACCTTTGTACTTTTCAGAAAAGTATGGCAACAGCAAGCATAAGAGGTCCCTCTCCCTTTAATCCACCTCAAACCACATGCTTGGGATAGCAGCAAGAACCAGAGAGTGGGCCCCGTCCCCAAATTCCTGTATAGTGACCTGACAATTCTCCACTCATTCATTTCACAAGTATTTGTAGAGAAGCTGTGGTGCTTCAGGCACTGTGTTTCCCAGGCCCCTGAAGGGACTCAGACCTCTCTTGCTCTGACACCACTCAAAATGAAAGGTTCTTGGCCAGCAGCCCCGGCATGGCTGCCAAACCTCCACCACTGTGCAACAGAACAGGATTCTGATTGTTTTCAGGTCTTATGTCCTTGGGTTGGTCCTGTTCCTGCAGATAGGGCAGCTGCAGCATGGACCACTCACTATGCTTCCTTCCCTTTGGAGGGAAGGTTAGGAAAATCCTAAGACATGACTCAATAGATTAAGATCCAGCGACAGCAGTAACTGAAAGAAAAGACTGTATGGTTTCTCACCTGGATTGGCTGAACCACTTTGACAGCACTGTCTCTGGCTGAGTACATTGGGTTTTCAAATATTATGGGCTGCTTCCCCATTTCCATGACAAAGTCTTCACTCTGATGGCAGAGACAGAAAGAGAGAGAGAGAGAGAGAGAGAAACAGAGAGAGAGATTACACCATACTAATCTGGTTCACACACAAAGAAAGGTGCCTTCCTCACACCTGGAGGTACGCTAGGTGCTACGTCATAAGTTACCCAAAAGAGAACTTGCAAAAAAAAAAAAAAAAAAAGGCCAGCAAAACACAAGACCTCCATATGGCAAATTATTATGCAAAGTAACATAACATGCACTAATTTACCAACTCAAGGAAATGGTAACATTCTTCTTATATCCAAATTCTCTTAAATAACTCACTTGGGAATTGGGTCTGGGCCACAGAGAAAAGGATAATGGTGGAAGAAGAAAAGAAGAATAAGGAGAGAGGGGAAGGAAAAAGAATGGATAATATAATATTCTCAGGGAAGGAAAACAATGAAAGATTTGAGGGAGAGACAAAATTCTGAAAGTGGTTTCCCAATACTGATTACAGAAAGCCCCCTCAGTGCCAAGACTGTGGCAGCCCCCTCATAAAGTATTTCATTTGGTCCTCCCAGGAGGTATTATTTTACCTGTTTTACAAATAGGGACAATGAGGGTCAGAGATATCAAGCTCCATGTCTATTGTCACATACTTAGTAGGTGGCAGAGCCGTGGTCTGGACCAACGCCAACTCTAAAATCACTGTTTATTTCATCACTATACATTGGCAGAAAAATATATGACACTAGGAAAAATATAGTTCCCTACTCCTTTTATACATATAAAAGTCATCAAATAAAAACAAAATATCATGTCCTCCTCACACACCACCCTCAAAAAAACCAGAAAGCTCTTCAATATTCAAGTTAAACTTCAGACTGTTCATGATTCCAATTCAACAGCGTGGCTTAGAGCAGGGGTAAATTCCAATGTTATTACCAATGTTTTTAGACACCTTTCAGCAACAAACCTAATGTTTCCTAACTTGTGTAGTGCAGACCTTATTCTGAGAGGCCTAATACTGTATTTCAGTCTTCTCTAGGTGAATTTTGTTCTTTATAAAAAGTATTTATTCTATAAATGACAACCTTCAAATAATCATTTTGAAACCATACTCACCATTGCCATTGACCTGTCAATAGCAGTCTCAGGTCCAAAACCAGACACTCCAATATCCATGTTAAGATCTGCCCCTGATCTGAAGGTCACCCCATTCCCATTTTCAGAGGGCTTGACGAGACTGCTTAAGCTGGAAAGAAGTAACCAAAACAGTGTCTTGTTATTTAAAACAACAACAACAAAAACAACAAATACAACCTTTCACAATAGTACCCTCTCCTCCACATTGCCAAATCTTCCTCAAATGTAATGCTCAATTCCCACTCTAAATTTACACTGTCAAATATGGTAGTAAGTTCCCTTAGCTACCTGGAAACGTTAAAGCACATTCCTGAACCATGAGATCTAAAAGAAAAAGAGTCCAGCACATAGAAGGATAAAGCCTGGGCCATCACACAGCTGCCTTTTCACTCCTCTCTGACCTGAACACCTACCAGTAGGCACAACCATTTGGACTACAAAACACAGCTTGTCACTCAGGCTTTAGAGAAGCACTTGACTAAGAAGTTGGGATTTGAAGTGACTGCTTTACATCCTCACTACTTTTTGTTTCTGTGGAATCGGTGAACTGCGTATTGTGCTTTTTTAACTTAGAAAGAAAACTAAGTCCTTCACATGGCTTCATATGAATTTCTTAGGCTTCAAACATCAACGTTCCCCATAATGAAACTGACCTTGGCAGCTTGGGCAGAGCAGGCAAAAGGGAGCCGGTCCTTCTATAGTGGAAGAATCCTGCAATTGCCAGAGCTCCAATTACGACGATCAAGAGGATTGTCAACAGCACAGCTACTGCGGCTATAGAAGAAGATAGCAGAGAGCACATCAACACATGGGAGCCCGCAATCCTGGCAGAAACTGGGGGCTAGAACCACTCCTTCAAAGACTGGGTTAAGTAGAAAAGCTGTGACAGCATTCAATGTAGGGGCCATGAGTAATTTCCAAGTTGCTCACATTCTTAAAACTTACTTGTTCCTGGAGAGATGCCTTTTGAAAACGCCATTTCACAATATTTTCCGGTGTAGCCGCTAGGACACCTGAAAGGAAAAAGCAAATCATTCACTAGCTGTTATGTTCTTAGGCTTCTACTGCATTTTTCTGAGCACATCCTGAAGTAGAGAGAGCTTTGACTGCATAAATTACATGTTGAACAGACAATGTATCCTGCATGACTTTTGTTCATTCTGCCAAGAGAAGACAAGCAGAAAGAACAGTGCTCTGATTTTAGAAATGCACTTGTAATGGAGTAGCTGTGGCACTGAGGGGGTGAGTCTGGCCACGAAAACCTATTGGTGTCTAATCTATGCAATGCTTCCTTAGAGAGTACAAATGGAAACCATGGTTATGTTTCTTTCTTTTATATGCTTTCATTAAATGCTTTTTAAAGACATCCATTTATCTTGCTCCATGTTAGAGTTTTCGCAACACAGTCATCTTCTTTCCGAATCCATCCCAGTCTTTCTGCTCATCACGAGTGCCTTGTACTAAAGCAGCCCTGCAGACAGCTCTTCTCCCACAGCCCTGTTGTAATCAACAATACCAGGTGAGTAGGAAAATGCTGCTGCCAATTCTCTAACTCCTTGCTCCCCAAAGTGTGGTCCAAGACCCTGTGGCCTACCTAGAGCTTGTTAGAAATGCAGAATCTCTGTGCGTGAGAATGGGCACTTGAACCAGATCTCCACGGGATTCTTATGCACATTCTAGTTAAAGAAGCACTGCCTCAGTTCTCTGTAGACTCCCTCAAGGGAAGGCAAGCTGGTTAAAATGTAAGAATTAGTGAACTGGTGAGGTTCCTGTATTTGTTTTCCTGGCTACTTTAAGGTCTCAAATTTCCCCAGAAGAGGCAAGGCCTATAGCTGGGACCTCAACATTCAGACTTACTTGCATTTGGGGAGGTCAGTCTCATCAAAATAGCAATTTCCTCCGTGCATGCACCTGCATGGGGGGGGCAGGTTGATAGGCAGTTCGATGGCTGCAGGAAGGGAAAGCCATGCAGGTGTTAGTCAGCTGTACTCAGCAGAGTGCCCACACCATGCAAACCGGCCCAGGTTAGGGGTGGGAGGAGGGGCAGGCCAGCCAATTAGTCTCCCTGTCAAAGCTTACCTTCCCCCTAAGTCCAGTGAGTTTCCTTAAGGTCTTGGAGAGTAACATACATTTAGTGGAAAGAAAGGGGGCAGTTTATAGAATTTTTCCCAAAAAACAATGGAGAGGTACTAGACTCTGGAGCACATATATTAATAGTTACAAGAACCTAGTGGTAAAATAATCTCTTAAAATATTCACATTCTCATTTGAAGTTTTCAGAATTCTCCTCCGTGAACCCAGTTAAAATCAAGAGTTTAATGTAGGCCCACCTTGAAACTTCAACTAAAGACACCAAAGCATCAGTAATTGATCAGTCCACAGGCAGTCACATAGCTACAGATATAGAGATATTTGATAGGCAGTTAGCTAGAGAGCTCCTGAGTTTTCAAGTCCTCCCAAACTGCCCTTACTCCAAGTCCCTGCTCCCAGCTAGGCCTGTACATACTCCCAGGATGTGCCTGATGGGGAATTAGTGCTTCAGTGTCTTTTATATTGAAGATGCTTAATAAGTATAGGTTACATGTGTATATTATTTAAAGAGTCTAGATACCCTCCTGGCTCAGTCCTTCAATCTGAGTCTCCACTCAATGTTCACTGTATCAGACAGGTCTTCCCTGAACACTATCTAAAGGACAATCCCCACTCACCCCATCCTCATCCCTCTTCCTCTGCCTTCATTTTCTCCATAGTACCACCTGAACTACCATGTATTTATTGACTTCTCTATTTATTGTCCTCTTAGAATGTAAACTCAATACACACAGGGGGTTTTGTCTGTTTTGTTCACCTCTGTTACCTCCAGCACTTAGAACAGTGCCTGGCACATAGCTGGCACTCAAGAAATCTCACTGGACTAATTGCTTAATTATTATACCAAACCGAGGCCCTATATGGAATGACTGCCATCATTCGTGTGCTTACTTCGGTTAAAGTTCTTTAAAACAAGAATCTTAATAAAATCCACTTGGCAAAAAGTTTAAATGAGAAAAGTAGTAGATGAGGTGACAACCAGGACCACACTGCTCCCACGATGTGAAATTGCAGTAAGTGGCAAAACAATCTATCCACAGCATGGAACAAATCTCAAAGCCTGAAATTGTCATTTTGTTCCAAATATGGCTCGAAATATTGGATTCCTACCAATATTTCCCCAGTAGCGTTGGGATGAGTGCAAGAGTAGGGGAAGAGGGGTGACAAGAAACAGTTTTTTCTCCCTGGATTCATTCCCTAAACCTGCCAACTCCTCAGCCTGTTTGGAATGAGTCAAAGGGTGGTTCCTGGTCTAACTGCCTGCTCCCCCTGGTGGTAGAAGGTGGTTAAGCGTTTTCCTTTCCCCATCAGCTAAAACTGGGGGAAGGCCCCAAGGATGTGAGCCATAAAATGGGCCGCTAGTGAATTGCAGGACGACTTTTTCACAGGCTTTTCCAGCACCGGATGCTAGTTAGGGACACTAGTTATTCGCCCCCATCCGGCTTATTAACTCCTTAAAAGAGTCATTGAAAAAAAGTCTTGCCAAGAATAGATCACCCACAGCGTTTGGGACTAGAATTAAACCACAGCTTCCTCATGCTGGTCTTCGTCTCCTGATAATATAAAGCACTTTTCAAAAGGTAGCCCTTTTTCAGTTGTCAAAACTGGACATGGTTCTCTACCCTGAGGAGCTACAATTAAGGTTGAGTGGATTCTGGGGCAATGGGAATCCAGCTTGAGGTAGAGGTCTTATAAAAACTCACTCTTCAAAATGTCTTTACAAAACAACACAGCAATAGATTTAGGGACACTGGATCTATATTTCTGCAGATCTTAGCAAATAATTCTCAGCAGTCACTGGAACACAGTTCTGTTTGCCCCCTAAGTCCCACTCAACTCTGTTCATACCTCCCACATCCCTTAACCCTCCTTCCAGCCATCCCCACTCTGCTGCAAAGGACCCAGCATACAGGGATTCTTCTGACTCCTGAAGGCAGCAGAGGAGTGCTCCCAGGCCCCCATAGCTGCTTGGGCAGTGCTCCTACCTGCATCACACTCAGTGGTGCTCCCCTCTATAAAGCTGGAGCCTTGGGGACAGGCACAGCTGTATCCTCCAGGTCTCAGAAGGCAGAGGTGGCTGCAGATCTGTTTGCAAAGGTTGGGCACTGGAAAGCGGGTGAGAACAGCAGTTAGGTCCTGACAGAATGAATAACCTGAATACCCAGCAACTGGAAGTGGCTCTGCCAGGTGACAGCAGAGCCTAGGCATCCTCTCAATACCTCTCGTCCACGTGTCAGCTGGCCACTCACCCTCATTTACACTATCATCTCTGCCACCACACTGCAGTGGGATAGTCCCTCTCTGGGCCCTCCAGCCAATTTCTGTACCACTCACATTTTCTATTGGCATCACTTATCTTCTCTGCTGCCCTGAGAGGTTTGGAAGGTGGGTATCTGGTTCACTGCCTAACCTCAAAATCTACTCAGTGCTAAACAACTTGAGATGGTTCAAAAGACCAGTGAGATCCACATATTATACCAAGATTTGTCACTACCCAAAACTGGACAGATCATAACATATGGTCTATCCAAAGTATACTGGATGTGATTTCCACCCCAACCCTCCAAGGAGACATTTCTTCTGGGTTTCAGTTACCTTAATTGCAAGAAAAGGGAATTTAGAGCAATGGTTCCTCATAATCACCTGGGAGCTATTCAAAACTATTGATGCCAGGCCAGGCGCGGTGGCTCACACCTGTAATCCCAGCACTTTGGGAGGCCGCTTTGGGCGGATCACGAGGTCAGGAGATCGAGACCATCCTGGCTAACACAGTGAAACCTCGTCTCTACTAAAAATACAAAAAAAAAATTAGCTGGGCGTGGTGGCGGGCACCTGTAGTCCCAGGTACTCAGGAGGCTGAGGCAGGAGAATGGTGTGAACCCAGGAGGCGGAGCTTGCAGTGAGCCGAGATTGCACCACTGCACTCCAGCCAGGGCGACAGAGCAAGATTCCGTCTCAAAAACAAAAAACAAACAAACAAAAAAACCTATTGATGCCCATTCACAGAGATTCAGATTTGAATTGGTCTGGGGTAGAGTTCAAGTATTACCATTAAAAGCTCCCTAGGTAAGTCTAGAGCCTTATTAATTCTACCTTAGCATGTATTATGATTTATCCAAGGGTTGTACTGGAGTGGATAATCTTTACATTCCTTCTCAGACTAACATTCTGTGATCCTGATTGTCTGTCATTCAAGATGTAACCACAGACAAAGCATAGCTATAAATTAGTAACACATCTTCCAAAAGCCTCCATCAATATCTGTCTCATTACCATTTCGTCGGCCCTCCAGAGTGGAGATTTTCAAACTTGAATGTGCTATCCATCACCTGGGGAATCTTGCTAAAATGCAGATTCTGATTCAGAAGGTCTGGGGTGGGCCTGAGAGACTGCATTTCTAGCCAGCTCCCATAAGGATCCCAAGACTCCTGGCCCATGGCCCACACTCTGAGTAGCAAGGGACTGGAGCAGCGGTTCTCAAAATGTGGTCACTGAACCAGCAGCATCAACGTCACAGGAGAACTAGAAATGCAAATTCTTAGGCCACCTCAGGCATATTGCATCAGAAGTGCAACAGATGGGGCCCACGAATCTATATTTAACAAGCTCTCCAGATAATTCTGAGGCATGCTCAACTTTCAGAACTCTTGGTTCAAACAGGCTGGGCTGGGGCTGTACTCCCCATCCCCACCCCCACCCCCACCCCCACTCCACCAGCACTTTCCAAAGGAGCCGCCTTCCCTGAGCATCAGCTGCCGGAGGGAGATGCTTTTCCTTCAGGGGCAGCCTCCAGACTTTCCTCTGCCTTCTCCTCAGGGTCCAGAGGCGGTAGGGAGGGGAGATAGCCTTTCCAGGTGTACTGTGCCTTCCTCTCCTACCTTTAAAATTGCCAAGTGTGAGAGCCGCAAGGGCACTTAGGACACAAAAGCTATTCTATTGGTAGGGTCTGGAGTATTCTGGAGTGTTTTGGTGATATACTTCCAAAACAAGGAAGCCATGCCCTAGAAAAGGCATTTGCCACCCCTGTCATCTCATGGGAGTCTCAGCTTTGAGTTGCAATTTTTCAAGGCTGATCAAGGTCTCAAAATATCAGCAGACTCAAGACAACCCCAGACTCCACCCATGACTCACATATGGGGACAGGAAGGGAGTAACTTGTCAAAGGCCACATATCCATAGCATTCAACCTGGGACTTTGGCATACTGAACACTGGGCCAATACAGCAAGATGCTGAGTTTTGGGTTGGATAGAATTGAACCTAAAAATTATTTCATTTCTGAGATTAAAACTCACCCATTTGTTATGTGACTTAGGCACACAAGTTACTAAATCTGTCTCGGCCTCAGTTTCTTTATTTGAGATGAGAATAAAATGTCTTTATAAGGTTTGGGAGGTCTTTATAAGGTAATTGAAGTAATAGATGGCTGAATTAACACTGAAGAGAGAATTTGACATAAGAACTTAGTAAAAGGCTATTTCCTTTCCTCACTTCCCTTTGCCTTTCATCTTGCTCCACACACTGCTGAAGGATAAATTAGCGCACAGGTAACCTGAGGAAGCAGGGCCCAGAAGTGGGAAAGTGAGACAGAGGGGAGCGGGTAGGAATGCACATGACTGGCCATTTTAAACTAAGACCTACATATCTCAGGTTGACCTGACTAGCCTAGCCTTGCAATGGGAAGGATAAGATTTCTGATGCCTATGAAACCCATTTTGTGACTTGTTAACCCAACTCACATTTAGCAGGGGACTGATGTCTGCTGGATTCTGTGGCCTAGAAGTACATATCCATCACTCCAAACAATGATGAGGGCTAATATTTTTACTTACCTGCTGATGGTTTGCATAATTTCATTTGACCACCAATTTTATCTTTCTTTGGTGAAAATGGTTAAAACGTTCCTCTCCCCCAGCAAACGTACATACACATATACCCCTTTCATGCACCAAGAGATTAGCTTGTTGTTATCTACTGCCATCTTCCAGCAATATAGCCATTATTTTGAAATAAGATTTCCAAGTAATGAGGAGCATCTTATACCAAAGTTGGTGATTACCTGACTTATTGTATCTGAGTTGATGAAAGATTCGAACTTGAGTGAGCCAAGGGTTCACTACCAGCGTTTTCTCTTTCTTTCCTTGCCCAAATTTATTTTGTTTCCATACTTCTCCCTTTTCCTTAGATATCCAGTATAACTGGTCTTCAAAGATGTCCAGGCTGTAAGGGTTCATTGCTGCTTACCCACAGGGGAAAAACAAAACAGAAGGTTATTGAAAAGAAAATACCCACTACACCCTACCGCCACTTCTAGATCTGATGTCATTCTGCTTGAATTATTCCCTCATACAATGCCTTGAAGCTCTGGGAATATTCAGGCTGACTTTAGCTACATGGGACTGTGAAAGTGTGCTGCATTAGGAGGTCAAGAAGATAGAAATTAAACCACATTGATGTATACCACCCGACACCAATCACAGGGCCCTAGCTCACTTTCAAGTTACTGATTTTACTGCATTTTTGGAAAACAATTTAAATGGCAAGATTTTATGTTTTCTTTTGAACATAAGACATCTATCTGACCAAATAGGAAAAATGTGATATGTGCTGGGTCATTGCAATTCTGCAGAGTCTGAACAACAACAACAAAAAATGTTCATCTCCTAGATATTTACAGTTGTGCATACTGGGCAATCTAGTAAAGTGAAAATGAATGTGTCCAGAAGCGGTTAGACATGAATTAACATTGGTACACATGAAACCACCTCTACTGGGGCAACCTAACAGGAAACTCAGTTATTTCAATATCTTCTGCTGAGAAGCATTTTTTTTTAAAGTTGTGTAAAAAGGACGAAAAGGATTTAATTATTGCTAATGAACTCATCTGCATTTAATTCAGCAGGTGGGAGTTGGTGGGGGTGGAGGGGTGGTATCTAAAAAACTATATAAGCCATTTCCTAAGAGCAGGGCTCCTTCTTGAGAAAACAGGCAAAGACATTAGAAATATGTTAATTATTAATTTAATATATTACTTTCTAACTAATTTCTAACCTTCCTTTGCAATGACTCTCCTATCAGTCCCATCATATTTTATGGTTTCAATAACGTCCTCCTTGAAGTCACTCCAGTAGATTCGGTCATTGTTCAAATAATCGATAGAAAGGCCAGTTGGCCAACCAAGGTCCTCGAAAACCAGGATGTTGCGGTCCTCTCCATTCATCCAGGCAGACTCGATTTTAGGTTCCTTTCCCCAGTCAGTCCAGAACATAAGCCTATAACAGAAGATTTCTTCACTGTAGCATCTCACCTGGTAAGACTTCTCCACTACAGCAGAGCACAGGGCATTACCTACAGGGAAACCAACTGTTTATCTCAGGGACCTGGGTGCTCAGTGACACCAGTTTTATATTTTACAGAAGATGGGGAGCAAAAATAGGGGCGCAAGAGCACATATGATTTATCCTTCTTGAAAACTGCACCTCCTTAATAGAAATTGGCCGAAGGATGGATATTCAGACCCTTTAAAATGCATTATGAAAGCTGTATTATGAAAGCTGTTCACTCTTCAAGAAATATTATTGAAGGCCTACTGTGTAAGAGGCACTGTTCTGTGTTTGGGATCTATCAGAGAACAAAACATACAAAGATTTCTATCTTCATGGAGCTACTCTGTTGCCCAGGCTGGAATGCAGCGACATAATCATAGCTCACTACACTCCTGGGCTCAAGCGATCCTCTCATCTCAGCCTCCTGAGTAGCTAGGACTACAGGCATGTGCCACCATGCCTGGCTAGTTTTTTGTGTTTTTAGTAGAGACGTGGTTTGACCAGTGCTGCCCAGGCTGGTCTTGAACTCCTGGACTCAAGCAATCCCCCCACTTCAGCCTCCCAAAGTGTTGGGATTACAGGAGTGAGCCACCACACCCAGCAACTCTTTTTAAATATGTCTTTTGCATCCAATTAATAATTAATTGTAGAGCAAGGGTCTATGTAAGCAAAGATGATCTCACATTGAATTACCTAGACCAGGGATTGCATGATTTCAAATACCTGGAGAGGAACAGGTATGTAAGATGAATGAGGAGAGATCCCGGTTGTAAATATCAAGTGATGCGGAGAGCAAGACCCTGTGTAAGAGCTCCTGTCAGTGCCCAGGAAGGCAGACCTACCCAGTGTAATCCGCTCCTCTGATTTCCAAAGCAAGAAATACAGGTTTTCTTTCTTTTCTTAAATTTTAAATGTCAGCACTATGTTAAAAAAAAAAAAATCTTAAAGCTCTGTGTTGTCCCAGCCAAATATGTCCTATGGGCCATATTTGGCCCACCAGCCGCTGCTTTGCAGCCTGTAGTCTAAACCAGTCATCAGGCATAGGCCAAGTTTTAAATTCTACTGACGAATGTGTGGATTTTAGACAAACTGGGCTCTGGAAAAAATGCAGCCAGGGGCCTTTAAAGTCTCAACAACTGGTAAATACCACCTTGTTTGGTTTTCATTAAAAAGGACACACATGTGAAAGAAGCTAGTCACAAAGAACCACATACTGTAGGATTCCATTTGTAGGAAATGTCCAGAATAGGCAAATCTATAGAGACAGAGAGCAGATTAGCAGGTACTGAGGGCAGGAAAATGGTGGCTCAGAGGAACAGGGTTTCTTTGTAGGGTGATGAAAATGCTTTAAAACCGATTATGATGATGGATACACAACTCTGCATATACCAAAAGCCAGTGAATTGTACACTTTAAATGGGTAAGTTGTATCATACCATACATACCATATGTGAATTATATAAGCTGTTTTCTTAAAGATAATAAGCCAGGCATGGTGGTGTGCAAGTAGAAGGCTGAGGCAGGGGACTGCTTGAGCCCAGGAGTTCAAGGCTGCAGTGAGCTATGATCATGCCACTGCACTCCAGTCTGGGTGACAGAGCAAGACCCTGTCTATATAAGTAAATTAATTAATTCAATTTAATTTAAATTAAAAAGTATTAAATACTCAAAACTAAAAAAAACAAAACGTAGGGAATGGAATGGAAAAAACACACAAAAGGTACACAGAATGATTTTTGTTTCCTCCATGACTTCGTTTATGCTATTGCCTGAGCTTCTGAACAGCCGGCCTGGCTCCTTTGCCTATCAGTACCCAAGACATCCATCTAGGTTCTATGTCAGTCCCACTTTCTCTGGGAAGTGGCCCTTCTCACTCTCACCCACATTGACCTCACATGTCACATACTTTATCACTGGTTATACTACCAGTGGATCCCAACCTTCAACATTCAGTTCAGTGCTACTTTCTCCATAGAGCTTCCCTGAACCCTTGTAAGGTAGGAGAACTATCACAGTGTTTTTCAGCAGTGTCCTCATGACAATTCTCCCTTTGTATCTTATATTATAGTCAACAGTTGCTGTCTGAAGGAGCATGGTGTTATTTTACCCATCTATGTAAATAAGGGATAGAAACCTATGACTAATTTATAGATCCTTTGTACAATTCAAATGAGTTTATATATGTAGGACACTTAGCAGAGTAGCTGGCACACAGCAAGAATAGAATAAATGTTGGCACTTCTCATTGCTGTTGCTGGTATTATCAGTAGTTATCATCTTCATCATCCTTTGGACCCACTGGCAGATCTTATACCGCAGAAGCTGTAAGAAGGTTCAACACATCATATATGCTTATGCTTATAAAACTTATGGATGATGAGCCTTTCAAATGGATCATGAAATGAGGAGGTTGTAGGTCGGGTCTGCAGGCCTTAGGCAGTGAAACCCTTTCTCACTCCTTTCTTACTTCCTATCCCTCACAGGACTACACTGAGCCATTCCAGAGAGAAAGGAATTACAAAGACTAAAATAAGAATTTCTGGCCAGGTGTGGTGGCTCACACCTGTAATCCCAGCACACTGGGAGGGCGAGGCAGATGGATCACCTGAGGTCAGGAGTTCAAGACCAGGCTGCCCAACATGGTGAAACCCTGTCTCTACTGAAAATACAAAAATTAGCCCAGTGTGGTGGTGGGTGCCTATAATCCCAGCTGCCAGGAGGCTGAGGCAGGAGAATCACTTGAATCTTGGAGACAGAGGTTGCAGTGAGCCGAGATCATGCCACTGCACTCCAGCCTGGGCAACAGAGCAACACTCCATCTCCAAAAAAATTAAAAAAAAAAAAGAATTTCTATGAAAAAAACAGTGGAGGGATATCAGAGTATGATAATAATATCAGATGAATTTAAACATTAGTTACAGAGGAAAAAATTAAACGGCACACTGGAAACAGTCACATCATTCACACCATAGAACACACTGCATCTCTTTGCTCCTAATATATTGTGTAGATAAGATATAAGCAGCAATGACTAATGCTGAGGACAAGTCCTCACTACAGGTTAATCTCATCAGTCAAGTATTTTTCATATTTCATTGCTGAGTTTCTGAGGGTATGATTTAACATATGAAATATAACAGAATTAAAGTAATAACAGCTCATAGGGTTCTACCTACAAATACTGGCATATCTACAGAGGGCTAGACTGGTCCTGCCCAAGTAGGAAAATTATTTGGGGTCATTCAAAAAACTTTTTTAAAGTGTCACTATTCTGAAGCTAAGCTAATATGTAAATACCAAGTCATTTCAGCTTAGTGATTATTCAAATAAATGTCTTGAAATGTAGAGAAAAATAACAAAACTTGTTCTCATTTACACTGAGATGATTTATAGATAAATTGCAAATTGGAATATTTATACAAATGGATAATATATATTTATACATGTGTCATTTTAAATATTTATATATTTTGGATATAAATGTTTAATTTTTAAATGAAATATGACCAAATCCCTAGCTGGATTTCAATGAATGAGTTACTTTAAAACATCCAAATGAAAGGAAAAACAATTCTGTTGAAACCTTCACTTAAAACAGTTATATCCACAAAGAACTTTAGAGTTCAGAGCTCTGATTTGGCAAGGAATCCATGTAACTAGAAAGATTCTCAGATGTGTTCTAAAGGAATTTCCCCATCAGAAATGGTTGGTTCTATATGATCTCAAGGGCATGTTATAATTCTTGAAACAGTCATAGACGCTACTCCCAAAAACTTGAAGGACAATTTCAGTTAAACTAGGAAAAAAAAATTATAAGAAACATGGAATTTGATGAGAATCCAGGGAGAAATATCTAGATGTTGAAGACTTCTCCAAGTACTTACCCTAGTTTGGGATTCACAGCAATAGCAGCTGGTTGGTCCAGGTCAGTGGAAATCAGCCACTTTCTGTACCTTCCATCAAGTTTAGCCACCTCAATGCGTTTATTCTTGACATCTGACCAGTAAATATGCCTGAATTCAGAGGGACAAAGTTAAACAACTGCAAAGCCTAGAGTAATCATTACTGGGTAAGAGGTTTGAAGATGAGAGCATTTCGTTTGGCTGGTGAGACAGCTGCTCAGATACCTATCATCAGACCATAGTCCCCCTCTCTTGGGGGAACTACAGCCAAGGGGACATGTTTGGCAGGTTACACTTGGAAGAGTAAGGAATTGAGGGGACTCCTGCCCAACAGCCAAAGCACCTGAATCACGCAGGATCCACAATGGAATTAACTCAATTCCAAAGACTAAACAGGAAAGTCAAATTTCCAATCTGTTTTAACTACAAGCCTGCTAAATACACAAGATGTGGATTGCTCGTCCCCAAGATAACTACCATAGACACAGCAGTCAGACTGGCCTCTGACTGGCATTATTATGAGACATGGGCTTCTAGGTAGAAGTCATAAGGCACGGTGGGGCTGGTGCCTTAACTCTGACTGCCCATGAGTCTGTTTCCTCCTCAGGAAAGAGCCCCGTTAGAATCAATAGGAACCTGGTGTCAGCTCAAAGATGAGTGGAAACAGCCTTTTAAAATAACAAACTCGGCAAGACTGTCCTGCCTTATTTCCACTTCTGAGGCTGCAGGTCTCAGTCTCTTACAAGCAGAAAAAGTTCCACCACTTTCTTAATTCTCTTATTCATTAAGGCTGAGAAAGAGGTAAAACTTCAAACAAGAAGACAGATCTGCCATTCCCTGGTTGGTTTTCAGAAGAGAGTGTTAATGTCTGGAGTTTTGAGTTCCTGACTCTAGCAACAGTACTCTAAGGCCCTGTTTCTTGACTGAAAATGCTAAAATGAGTCTCCTGTTAGCCTGCAGGCACAGCGGGACCCAATTAGCTTCTTCAAAGATGCTCTTCCAGGAACACCAGCCACATTTTTTAAAAGGTGAAAAAGAATTTACACTGAAAATAACTATCCATTCTCCAGGAGAGTAGTGTCTCCTGAACCTTCCCCCTCAAACATGTTTGCATTATTGGTTCATTTTCAAGGAATCATTTTCCCACCAATGTAAGTCAGTGCAAACCTCTTCCTTGAAGAATGAGCTTACTAACTTCTCCACATCCATTTGTACCTCACACACCTACCTGATGATAACCCTACTTAAGTTCTACTTAAAAACCATCCAAAATGTGTGGCTCTGGTCCCTGGGCCACTAGAAGGTCTAGAAGAACAGAAGAGACTGACACCTCTATTAACTCAATTCCAAAGACTTCTTTAGTCAAATTTCCAATCTGTTTTAACTAGAAGCCTGCTAAAAACACAAGATGTGGATTGTTCGTCCCCAAGATAACTACCATAGAAAAAAAGTTTCATCTCAACTGCTTTGCTGGGAGAATTGTGAGGCTGTCCCATTTCTTCACAAAATGAGCAGTGCTGCCATACTGAAAGTTAATTTTGGAATCCAGAACTCTGTTGGCAAGAATGCTATTCACTTATAGTAAATATAATATTCACTATTATATCCTAGATATAATATCTATATCCAGATATTGACCTGGGTGCTTTCCCAATTTTTTTCATGGCCCACAAAGAATACAGGATATGATAATGTCTCCATGACATGCTGGGGTAAGTGGAGGTAGTTGCTGGGGCTTCAGCAAGCCCAACCACTGCCCAGCTGCACCCATGGCTGAGTGTACTCATATCCAGGCCCAGACTCACTCATGGCCCATGGAGTGCAGTAGAGAACTCTAACCAGGAAAACAGAACAGGTAAGGGGGGAATGTATGGCAAATTTACCTTCCAACCCAGTCCACTGCTATTCCATCTGGCTGCATTACGTATTTCAGTTTCAGGTCAACTTCCTGCACAAGATTATTGCGGCCGGATTCAAAGTTGGGGATGTAGGCACGTTTGATAGCACCAAACCTAGAGCCCTCCCCTCGCACAGTGTAATACACAACACCTACAGAGGAAGACACACAGGTCAGTTTCATGTCAAGAGCATCAAGTAAAGGAAGAACAGGGGTCTAATCAGGTGAAGTACTGTTCGTTTATTGACATCTCTACCTCCCTCCTCACTGTTGTTATAATATGAATAATTCAATGACATCAGTATAATCAAACTTTAAAACCTATCAAACTTGAGCTATGAGCTACAAATGCTTCAACTGAGAACTTAGTGAGATTTAGTCATCTCTATTTAAAAGTGATTCATTTAAACGTATTTCAACAAAGTGCTTATTTACTCTTATTAGGATCAAGTTCTAGTTTCCAAAACAGAATGTATAGAGATAAACCAGGGCAGGCTGTTGAGAATTTGAAAGCATACTCAAGATCAGAGGCAATAAAGAAGCCATGTCAACGAGAAGTCCTATTTTATATACAGACAGAAGGATGGTGGACAGCAGGCATGTTAAAAGCATAGGAAGACTGTGACTGTAGAGGGATGCACTGGACACCTGCTGCTTTCCTAGGTATGCACCATTCTTGAAAAGTGTATTGTATTGCATGAATATGTGTGAAAATACACCAATAATAAATCCTACATTGGTATAGTTATTGATAGTTTTCAAAGCCTTTCATATCTACTATCTCATTCAATCTTCCAAACAACTCTCAGAGGTAAGCAGACAGAACAAGATTACTACTTTGATTTTGTAGAAAAAAAATTGAGATTCAGAGAATCGTTACAATTATTTAGGATCACAAAGCTAGTAGATAAGGGAGACTGGCATAAAAGATAAGTTTACAGGCACAGAAGACAAGTTTTCTGACTCCTACCCTACTGTCATCTCCCCCAACACCAGATAGAGCCATGAGAGATTCAACAATAAGCATTATTCATCTTTTTCCTTCATTCAACTAAATTTTTTGATCACCTACCACATAGAGTGTACTAGATGTTGGGTCAGCTGCTAGGCATTTAGAGATAAATTAGATTCAGTCTTTGTCCCCAAAAAGCAGATGTCTAGAGGATAGAAAGATATTATGTGGTCAACTAGCTATATAACTTAGAGTAACATGTGCCATAAAATGACATAGATTCATGGTGAGCAATCATAGAACTCTGCCAGAAGGAGTGATAGAAGTTGTCACAGAGGTGGTGACATTAAACTGGGTCTTTGAGGTCTGAGTAGAAATTTTCAAGGTGTACAATGGTAGGAAGGAACAAGATCTGCAGTATCAAGGACAAGGAAATTTCAAAATACAAGAAGATGTGAGATGGTCCAGAAAGGATAAACCCCAGTGATCGGAGGAGTTTTAGAAAGAAATCAGGAAAGCTTGGCTGGGATTCAAGGCCACGCTAAGGCATCAGGAGCATGCTGGATTGGAAGAGTTTCCTCCTCCACTAATGCAACAAAATTCACTCATTAAACAATAAATTCCTTAAAAGTCAACACCTTAAAATTCTATAAAGTCACTTAATATCAATGAAAGATGCCAAAGTTTATACTCACTGAGGCCTATGTCCTTGGGATCCCAATCATAATCAACAGCTTGGATATATTCCTCATCTTGAAGATACTCTGAGAACCTCTCAGATGAGAGATTATATTTTCGAATTCGGACATTGTCAGGCAGTAGCAACAAAGGAGAGCTACCTGTAAACAAACAAAGGGCTACTTTATCTGTTTGAATTATACTTTCCTATATAAAGTAGGATATAAAATGCACAGTATGTACCTGTCCCCTTTTTAAAGAACATGAGTTTTTATAGGAATCTGACTATCTCTGTTAATCAATAAAGCTGACTCTCCAACTGGGTTACAAAATCCGTGACTTGACATTCTCCACTTCAAGTGGAAAGCTAATATGTCTCTTAGGGACATTATCAGTTCTTTATTCTTTGTACTCAGTGGTAGTATGGAACAAAGCTAGACTGAGAACCCTACGTACAGTCCTCATTTTCACTGAATTGTTTTTATTTACTGACATCAAAACAGACTAGACTGCAGACATTCTATCTCACAGAAGAAATACTTTTATAGTCTTACTAAAAGTTTACCAGAAAAGTCTCATTCCTTACTGTTTCCTGACAGATTTTATGATTCTTTTTAGCAGGTAATCAGCTCTATGACCCAATTTAGCTCCTAGCTAATGACAAAATAAACCTAGCTTGTCCTTGATTTAATTTTTTTAACCTAAAGCAGCTACTTAATGGTGACTCATCCCAAGATGCACTGTCTAGAATTTGTTAAGTTTAATTTACTTGCATAATGTCAACTGAATCCAATTTAAGTAACTTTTAAAAGTTCATTTTATATATTTCCTCTATCTTGACATTATGTTTTATATGAATATTCCAATTTGTTTCAGTCATGTCCTTAGTTAAAGGATTTAAACATTTAAAAAATTGCTGCTTAATTACCAGACCAACTGTTCAAATGCTTTCACTCTAGTTTTCATTCACTGTCAACAGTGTTTTGAGGGTAAAATATGTAAGTATGCTAGTCAAATGTATGCTTTAAAAGCTCAATTTGTATGAAGAAATTGAACAGCCATTTTGGCCATTTACTCTTAATTTACAAAATAAAGTGCTATTTTCTTATCAAGTTCCTTAAACTCTAGTACAAACTTCAAATTCAAAATAAAGACCCATGCCTCTTAACTAGGATATGATGATTTAGATCAGGCCTCTGGAATTTGGAGTATAATACATCTGACTTACATTCTTTCTCTGTTTTATTAGGCCCGATTGTCAGACACTGGCATCAACCTAAAACGTAAAACTCATGATTGAAGTTATGACTGTGCCAGACTCCTTTCTGCCTGTGATCAGTAGTCCATGAACAATACAAAAGGGATATGTCCTTGATTTGCCCCAATTCACGAGCCCTCTTGGACTACTGGGCCTCAAATCTTATTCTCAGTGGAGTGGGAGCTAGAGGGCCTTGTTACCTTCCTTTTATTGATGACCATCCCATAGGCAAGCTTTTGTTATTGTTTGAGCCTTAAGAAAGATGACATCTTGTCCACTTTTTGAAGTTTTTATCAAGGTAGACAAGAGGCTAAATCCATTATAATAAGTAACACCTGGCTCTTGTTTTAATTGCTACATATTTGTTGGGGGATGTAGCTATTGTTTTAAGCTGGCAGGGGAGGAGAGAGAAGGAGCGACTAAAGAGGTGTTGGAAGAGAAGCAGCTGGCGAGTTTAAAAAAAAAGAAAGAAAAGAAAAACTATGAGAAGCTGAAGTTTCTTTCATCGTATAGTGTACTTAGCAGTATTTATTTCCCCAAAAGTCAATTAATCCCAACATGAACCCATCATACCCTCAGCTGCACATCGTTTTCCAGGGCGGTCACTCATAGACGTGAAGCCATCAGCACAGACACACTCATAACTTCCTTTGGTATTTCTGCAGTGCTGGGGACAAGTCCCAAATTGTTCACATTCATTGATATCTGTAGGCAAAATAAAACCAAATACGCAACATCTGTTCCCATCCATTCCTTAGAGATCTTGCTTCTGTTTAAACCCATATTCACCAGCAATGAGGACCGAGAAGGGTACAGATGAAAATAAGCAATGATACAAACATTTGTGAAACACTAAGTTTCAGATACTGTTTCACATGCTTTTCAAATATTTTCCTCGTTTAGTCTTGCCAAAAGACTTTAAGAGGTATGGACGATTAAGCCCACAGTCCCAAAGCTGATAAGCAATGGAGACAGGATTTAAACTCTATGACTCTGCAATAGCAGAGCACATTTTCCCTTTCAGAAGGCATATGTTGTGTTGTATTGTTCGGTGTCTCTTCACTTCTGCTAACCAGCTTCAGGAACAGGAGTCATTGATTTAGTTTTTCAATTGAGTTCTTAAGCTTCAAGTCCAAAAGGAACTCTTACAATCTTCTGACTATGACATATCATGAATTAGAAACAGTAAATTCAAATACTAAAAGGCACCTAAAATCATGCTCATCACTCACCATCTTGATAAGCTACCTTCTGACTCCATACCTTACAACTCATCTATGTCTGGCGTAAGTAGGTGTATAATAAATACGTGTTGGTTGTTTGACTTACAATGAAGAAAGTAAGCCTAGTTTGTTTTTTAAATTAACTTTGATTTCACACACTGGTGCAATAAGCAGCCATCATCACCAAGGCCTTCATCATTCATATCAATTCCACAGACTCTACTGAGCACACAGTATCTGACAAGCACTCAGGTAGGCACTGGTCAGATAGCATGCATGCAGGTGGGGGAAAGCAATTCTTGAGTAGTTTAATGACCTAGAACCATGAAACCATGAGTATGGTACCATTAAGGGAATTAAATAGTGATTTATTTAACAAAGGGGAGTGGGTGGAGAACCTTAGATGTAAAGTTCACCTAAACAGGAATTGGAAAAAATATACTCTACCTAGACAGGAGGTTCTGTCAAAAACATTGGTTTCGAACCCAGCTGTACAGGAGCAGATAAATCCTCCTTCATTTAATTGGGTACAATTTTGCTCGCATATATTTTCAGCACATGTTCTTTCTTTTCCTTTATCTGAAAAACAAAATCCCAGCATTACAAACCAGATCAGCCACAAATAACAGTCAAGTGGTGTATCAAAAGAAGCACCTACTCGTAACCAACTATAGGACATCTTGAGATAACCCCTTTCCATAAGCCTTGGAGAGGACAGAGGGCACTGGGGGAGTCAGGATTCCTATTTCTGATCGTGATCTGAATACCATTTAGATAAATGCATATAATGCTAAAACTTTGAGGCAATTTTCACATTATATGCAGCACTCCTAGGCTTATCCTCAGAGCATCCAATTCTGGACTGCACAACTATGAAGCCTGACACTCTACAGCTATTACCACCTGCTCTACTATCTTTAATCCTATTGCAAATAGATAGATCAATAGATAGATAGAGAGATAGATGATAGATCGATAGATAGATAACAGATAGAAATAAATAAATAAATAAATAAATAAATAAATAAATAAATAAAAGACATGGATACAGATAGGTTAGAACAAAGTTACAAATAGGAGGAAATTATAAAATTTTAAGAAGACTATAATTTCCCTAACATTGACCAATTGATTATATACACACACACACACACACACACACACACACACACACAAATATATACATGTATATCAAGTGTTGACCAGGGTGCAGTAAAATACATAGAGTTCTAAATCATACAACTGCTCTTAGAGCCATAAATTAGTACACAAGGAAAGAAATTTTGTACTATGTATGTATGCACCAAGGACTTTAAAAATATTCATACTCTTTTACCCAGTTATTCCATGTTAATGAATTTTCCCTTGAGAAGGAATATGCAGTATAATTTACGTTTAAGGATTATAAAAATATTTACAATAAGAACATTTGTTTGTAAACAACTTGAATGTATGTTCAGTGATAGGGAATAAATTATGTTATAGTATAAAAAAACTAAGACATTAATGATGCACCATTACTTTATGTAACACTAAAATTGAATATGTCTGGAACTTACGCTGACATGTTATTAATTGTAAGATATATATCTTGGTTTCAAAGATGTTAAAATATAAAAAAATACATCTTAGAAGCAATAAGTTATGATTATCTACATGATGAATTGCTATGTGATTATTAAAATTTATAGTTTCAAATGATACTTTGACATGGGAAATACCTATAATAAATTGAAAAAAAGACTGAAAAACTCCATTTAGTATAGAATATTTCTTAATTTTTCAAAATACTAAGAAATATTTCTTACATATACATATGCAAAAAAAAGATAGCAAAAGTACACCAAACTTTAAAGGTTAGTTCTCTTTTAGTGATGGGATTCAAATGATTTTTACTTTTGATTGTTATTGAACTTTCACAGTAAAAAAAAAACAAAAAAAACACAGTTTATTTTTGTAGAGCCCATATAAATGATCCCTGTTATTCTGATCCAGATGTTCCAAGACAGACTTTTAACAGCTCACACTTTACCCTAACACTTCATTGTTCATCATTGCCCCAAGATCTTGTCTCTACCAATATCTATCCAAGCCATCTGGCTTTCATCCTTGTCATTCTTATCAGTTTGCTTCTTTTATCCTCCATCTATCCCCAAACCTAGGTCTTACAGAAAAACTGGCGAAGATGAACATAGATAGTGAGTGATAATGGGGGAAAGAGAGGCAGTGGTTATCTCCATTAAGGATTTAAGCTTCATCTACCTCTCAAATAAAAAGTCTCCTGGTCATAGGCTTCTGAGTATTTTAGCCAAAGAGACTGTGGTATCTCCTGATTTAATTCTTTCAAATCAAAATAGATTTATATCTATCTGTTTTCCATAGTATGCAATGAGGTGAACTTAATCACTCTCAGAGTCCTTTAGGGTAAATGATCATATCACTATATGTGGTCTGAGTACATTAAGAACACTGGGTTTCAAAAAGAAAAATAACCAAAATAAAGTACAATGAAATTCAATGGAATGCTGCCCTTGGAGTGCAGACTTCAAAGCTGTATGCATGAAAGTCTTATAATAAAGATCCTAGCCTTTATTATAGGAGCTCTTAACAACTGTACATTGTTAAAACATCTATTTAGATTTTCTATTTTTTTCATGAGCCATTTTCAGAGTTTTGTGTCTTTCTAAGAATTTATTCACTTCACGTAAGTTGTTTGATTTATTGCCATAAAATTTGTCATAGTATTTCCTTACTGTCCTTTGAATTTCTGTGAGATTAGCAGTGATATCCCCTCTACATTGCTAAATGAATCTGACCTATGTTTATTAACTTGGATATCATTGAGCCAGTCACATAACCTCCATGGGTCTCACATGCATCACTAGACTTTGTAATTTCCTCCTAGCTCTGAAATCTATAAAGGGATTAGGGGTCCCAGGAGTCAAGAATTTCTGGACCAAGTGATCCACTAAATGAGTCACCCTTTTGTGAAGCAAGAGTCCTTAACAAGAGCAGAAACCACACGACACTGTAGGATTCTTCCTAAAATGTGAGGGCTTTCTTATCATTGTTTTCATTTGAAAATGATCACCATTTTAACCCGTATAACTGATTTCCCCAAACCCAAACATATGGCACTCTATTTATAAAAGAAATACCCTACTTTCCATTTTATGAAGAAGGAATAAGAACTACCAGAGAAACAGCAAGTCAATCTATCTTTATGATCACATAAATAATATTTGCAACCTGAGGTTAATTTCTTTCCTTTATACCTGAATGGTGCTAGAAAAAATGCTAATGTATTTTCATTCCCAAAAATTTGCCAAGACAGTAGACTTTAGGTGCTCTTACCACAAAAATAATTTTTTTAAAGATAACTATGTGAGATAACGGATATGTTAATTTGCTTGATTATAACACATCACTATATATAAGTACATCAAAATGTCATGTTGTATACCTTCAATTTTAAAAAATCGAACAATGTGTCTTAAACACTTCAGTGATGCTTTTGGAGAAGAAGAAGATGAAGGAGGAGGAGGAGAAGGAAGAAGAAGAAGGAGAAGAGGAGGAAGGAGAAAAAAGACAAAGGCAAATAAATTAACAGCACCCAAGAACTAGTATATTAAAAAAGAATTCTATGCCTCAAATTATTAGTCCAGAGAAATAAGACTGAATTCCATGTCACATATTCACTTAATATCTGAAAAGAGAAGCTGCTTCCATACCCGAATTGTTTGTGCTACTTATTTCCTTAAAAAAAAAAAAACCTGCTACTAATTAAATGCCATTTGAAAAGAAAGTACTGTAGTCTATTTTAAGCCACCTATCAGTCTCTGGGAGTCAGAACCCAAACCTGCCATTCAGTTTTGCAAATTCTATCATGTTCAGGCTTTTAAAATATTTTATCAAGTCACTTCATTCTGTCAATAACTCCAAGTCCCACAGAAAACGTATGTGAAATAAATGGCAAGCCAACTCAATATGGCTGGTTATTCATACCTCTTCGTAACTCACGCAGGAGAAAAATTGATAGAAAATCCTTTGGATGCCTCAGGAAAAAGTCAATTAGAGCCCAAGAAGTTGAAAGCACATGGAGCTCACTAGGATGACTAAGTCACAGGCTCCTAGAGTTTGGAGAAGGGCCTCCTTTTTCCTGTGAGGAAACCAAAGACTGGAGAGGTCAGTATGTGCCCAAAGTGGCACAGCTAGTGGCAGGGATCCAGAGGCCAGCCCTCCTAACCTGGACTTACATGACTGCTCCAATTCTGCCTCTGACATTCTGTGTGACCACAAGGAAGTTACTTAAGCTCTCTGAGCTTTATTACATAGACAATAACAGCAACTCAATGGGGCTAACTTGAGTAACACATTAAATAATGTATGTGAAAGCACTTTATGAGTCATAAATGGACTACAAAGGTGTGACTTAGTAACATGTCATTTTAACATTTCCATCAAAATATTGAGCTAGAATTGTTCCTTGGTTATGTTCATCATCCTTTTCCTACACAAAGTGCTCCCTCTACTTTCTTTTTTGTTTGATTGTTTGTTTGTTTGTTTGTTTTGAGACAAGGTCTTGCTTTATTGCCCAGGCTGGAGTACAGTGGCACAATCACAGCTCACTGCAGCCCCTACCTGCACTCAAGCCATCCTTCCACCTCATCCTCTTGAGTATCTGGGACTAGAGGTGCACACCACTACACCCAGCAAATTTTTGTGTATTTTGTTAAGACGGAGTTTCGCCATGCTGCCCAGGCTGTTCCTGAACTCCTGGGCTCAAGAGATTTGTCTGCCTCGGCCTCCCAAAGTGTTGGGATTACAGGCATGAGCCACTGCATCCAGCCACTCCCTCAACTTTAAAAATAAAAATAAATGTCCCTTCCCAGGTCCCCTGTGGCGTTCCCTTCTTGATCAAACACCCTCAGAAGGATTTTCAGGTACCAAGGATACTGCATTTGGCTTAAGATTTTTTTCATGTATATACTTTAAGTTCCAGGGTACATGTGCACAACGTGCAGGTTTGTTACATATGTATGCATGTGCCATGTTGGCTTGCTGCACCCATTAACTCATCATTTACATTAGGTATTTCTCCTAATGCTATCCCTCCCCCATCCTCCCACCATAATGTGCAGACTAATAAACAAAATATGTAGCCTTAAAGTGCTAAGAGGCACCCAGTGGACTGGGAAGAGGACTTGCTCTGCAGTGAAACAGACCAGAGTTCAAATCCTGAGTCAACCTCTTAATGACAGTAAGACCTGGCCAATTCGTTTAACCTCTAAGTTCGTTGCTCATTTGTACATAAGAAAGAGATAATAACATCTAACTCATAAGATTGCTACCAGGCATGTAGAATGTTTGACACAATGTCTGGTCTAGGATAAGCACTCAGTCACAGCTAGCTATGGGCTTGACTGGAATTCAAGCAAAAAGTACATTAAGGAGAAAATGTGGTCAGTGTCTACATTATGTTATTGCATGTTTTAATTAGGTAAACCTGAGTTACTACAATGAACTATAAAAACAAGTGTTTACTTACTGCAACCCAGTTCATCGGACCAGTCACCACAGTCATCGGCATCATCACACACATTGTCATGTGGAATGCAATGCCCATTGCCACACTTATATTCATATTCTGTACAAGGTTTAGGGGTCGGTTTTCTACCTGCAATGTAAAAACAAGTTAAAATCAAAACTTTTTCTTTTATGAAGCAAGATACTTCCTTCTTTGACAGAGACAGTTTGTGCTTACCAAATAAACAAGTGCTTCCCTACATTTCCCAGTCTCCCTTGCAGCTGGGTTAGGACCATGTGACCAGTTCTAGCCAACGTACTGTCAGTTGGAGGTGCCATGTGTCACTACTGGGCTGAAGCAATGAAAAGCACACGTGCCTCCTCCGTGTCTCCTGTGCTGCTGCAGCAACCTTGGAAGCCATGTGTTCCAGGCAGCACAGCTGCAAGATGCAGGAGGGCTGTGAAACCAGCGTTGGCCTTTATGAGTGCTCAATAAGGCTTCATTATGTTACACCCCTGAGATTTCAGGATATGCTGGTTGCAACAGCTAGTATTAATTACTCCGAATAACATAGAGTGATGAGGGAAGTAGAGTACTGCCATAATAAAAACATAAAATATTTGGCATTGGATTAACAGTCAGGAGGCAAGCAACAAGGACACTGATAGTGGAGGCAGGAAAGGTGGAGATCATGTTATGCAAAGTCAAAGCATTTGATAAAGCTATCACCTCGGAAAAACTGGAAGGCAGATCACATGCTTACTGAACCTGTCAATCATGGAGCGAGGTTAGAAGATAGAATGTTAGTAATGTGCATTGATTGCCATTCCTGAGTTTGGCAAGATAGTATAAGAAAGAGAGAACCTAAGGGAAGAACTGGTTACCTTACAAGCAGAAATAAAATAAAGCCCAGAAATTTGCTGTGTGAGAAAAGCCACCTGTATCTACATCCCAAACAGTAAAAGTCTGAAGTTTAAAAGGCTGTGAGACACGAAGGCCCAATAAAACCTCCTCATTGGATAAAATGACTGCCCATCTATTTTTCTACATGGATTGGATGTAAGTGACAATAAGTTCAGACAGAACTCTATGAAGGAAAGAAAGCAAAGAAAAAAGCAGATTTGAGAACTATGTCTCCAAAAGAGCACTAGGTCAGGTTACTAACTTTTAGAACAGGCTAGAAGCAAACAGATCAAATGCCTGGTATGTTTCTGAGAGAAAGATATAACCAAATAAACCAAAATACTATGACTGTTTGAGACTTGGAAAAAAAAACAAAAAACAACTCCTGGGCTCCCGACCTTCTATAAGCAAGAAGTGGGGTGAGAAAGCTGCCGTGCTGGCCCTAATGGTAGCATATTTCCCTTTCCCTCTTCATTTGCAGAGGAAAATAGACAAGAAAAAACTCTCAAAGGGTAGAGTCAGAAACAGTGAGAGACATTTTAACACAGGAGCTCCTCCCAGAGCAGAGGCATGAGCTAATCAATAAATACCCTCCACTCCCCAAAGAAGGGACCTTTACAATGTCTGCCCAGAGTGGCCATGTAATTTACTCTCCTTTCCAAGCCAGTGTGCTTTTGAAAGTGAAGGTGGTGCTATTCATAATTCCACTGGGGCAGCAGACATGAATCAGGACTGTCCTGTGCTAACATGTGTCATCCCAGCCCAGTGGGACTTCAGAATTGCTATACATTGGTGATGGCCATGAGTCTCCAATTCTTTCTTTCCAATGGGAGTGTTTATTTCTATTGTGTTGCCCCTGTTCCGCCAATACCTATCAGGCACAGAAGGCACTGATTGTTTATTAGTTTATGGGTCTCCCAACCAAGAGGAACCACATCTGGAACTGATTGAGTGGCTACTGCCCATTACCCAGAGGTCCTGGATTTCAGTTTCGGAATGGACTATGAGCTATGTCCCTTGGGAAGGGGTTAAGGGTGTTCTGTGTGTGAGAAGAAAATCATAAAGGAGTATTTAGTGACACAAGGGTAAATTGTATGAGAATGCATATTCTTGCATTTTCCAGTCTCCCTTACAGTTAGAGCAGGGCCACGTGACTGGTTCTGACCAATGGACTATGAGCAAGAGGATGTCTGTCATTTCCAGGCTCAGGAAGTTAAGAAGCTGTGTGCCTCCACCATGTTGATCTTCTCCTGCCTTGGCAACCTTGAATGTGTCCCTGATGGCATAATTATGGGATGGAGGAGGGTTGCTTGACTGTCATTAAACTTTACATGAGCAAGAAATGAACCTTTGCCATTTTAAGCCATTGAAATGTTGCAGGTTGCTTCCTGTGGTGACTGGTAGTGGTCTCCCAGACTAAAACCCTGTTCCTTGAAAAGAATAGAAGTTTATGGATTCTTTTTTCCACTCTGGGATTTGACCATGTGCTACAAATGTCTTGCTCCATTTTTTAAAAAATGGCATTTTTAGCAGGGGAAATGGAAAGAGATTTTGGGGAAGGGGGAAATCTGCTCAAATTCTTTAAAAATATTTTATTTCTGGGCTTTCATGCTTTTGCGCTATGCCTCAAATAAACATATTAATGCTATAATGTATTAATGCTATCTCTGCCAGTAATAATGATAACAGGAATACGAACTTGAAGGTTGTGGTAGTGTCAAAGTCCTCCCTGACAGTCTCCTCTGGGATGGGGGCTGGAAGTAAGCATTCTGTGGCAAAGCGTTCTAAGACCACATCAATACAAGAAATAGAAAGTGGAGAAATCAGGCATTTATCTTAATTTTCCCAGATAATGTCTTTTTGGGGAAAAAAATAATTGGAGTCGGGGAAATGATTTTCCTCACTGACATTTTCTAGGCAAATTAAATTGCCCAGAAAATTGGTCAACTTTCCCCTTCAATGGATAGATTTTAAAACATTTTGAAAGTGCAGAAAAAGTACAGCTATTTCAATGCCTCGATTGTTAAATGCAGCCAGTTTGGAACTTCTATCTTAAACTAATCTATCACTTTTCTCTTCTGGGAAATGAACTTTCATTTTCAACAAGGATATTAGATAAGCTCTGTTAACACCAGTGCTGCCTTGCTTCACATGATCTCTGCAGCTGGGCACCTGCCTAGATTAGCAATTAGCAACTCCTGAAGGCTGAAGGATGATCAAATCTCATATTTGAAAAAATAAACTATTAATTTGCGAGGTGTGGCTCAATCAGTATTTAGTGTTTGTTCTCAGTTTCTTATGAGAAAAGAGGAGGGGAAGGCTTATTAAATGTTCAAACAAAGACTGAAAAATTAATGGATTTGCCAGCATCATGCTCAAATGAGACAGGAAGAAACAGGCAGGGTTACATGTAAGCAATGCATGTGTTTGCATGGTCTTGTAAACAATTATGTCAGCAGAGATCTGCAGTCATGGGCACAACTCTATAGAACAAACTGAAATCCCAGAGGCACATTTTCCAAACTGCAGACCACTTGGGGTCCTTCCTTTTTCCTTCTCCCTTTTGACTTTTGCTTACAGTGCTCCTCTGTCTCATCAGTTCCATCTCCACAGTCATCCACACCATTGCACACCTCATGACTATAAATGCAGCGATTGTTGTCACACCGGAAACGGTTTGGTGAATTACAGGGAACATCCACTGAAAGGAAAGATAGAAAAATGAAATTACAAGTTAACAGTAGAATCTAAGTGTCAATATCTAAAATACTCCAGTGTCAGCACCAGGCTTGCTTCATTCATGCACTCATTTACTCATTTGATTAATCAATCAGCAGATACACCTTACATGTATAGTACACACCAAGGCACTGTGCTAGGCAGTAGATATGATGGGAAACAAGAAAGACACAGTCCTTGTCCTCATGGAACTTTCATTCTAGTAGAGAAACAGGCTTTTCAAATTAACCATTCAATTACAACTATGAAACATCTACTGGGGTGATCTGACTTAAGTTAGGGAGAGGAAGGCTTGGAAGAAACTTCCCATAGATTCTGAGTCAGAGAGGAGGATGGCAGGTCTCTGGACCTGAATAAAGGCCTCGGTGGCTGGAGCATGGATCGTGGAGCACAATGGTGGCTGTGAGGCTGGACAGACTGGCAGTACATGGACTCTTATCCTAACAGCCAGGAAGCCATTTGTTTGATCCTCCTGATGGCAGTTGTCATAGAGTCTCTACCGCATGAGTCTTTTATTGAAGCTTTAAATTGTGTTGGATTTTCCTTCCTGAATTCCCTCACCTCTTACATTTAAAATCGATATCTCACAATCAAACCCTGACACACTTGCTGTCCAGAGTGAGACCTCTAGCTGCTGCCTGTACAGATGTGAGGAACTCAAGGGTAGTCCCCAGGTCCCCTACTTGTTTGGTACAGGGAACATGGTTCACTATGCGTGTACCACAAATGCAGTGAACTCAACATACATGTGGTCTTCACATGTGGTCTGTCTTTCACATGGAGGATTTGGGCTGTCTGATTTTCCTTCCGCCTTGGTATCACACACAGGGATCAAGAGGAGAGACTTATAATAAGATTGGTTGAGGGGAAAGGGTCAGATCTAAGGGCTGATTCTTGGAAGTATTGTTAATAGAACTATTGCAATAATTATTTGCTGTGAAAGGCAAGTTCAATATTATAAAACAGTATTGGAAACCTTTTAATGTAGCTGTGTCTCTGACTCTCCAAAGTTTATTTTTACTAGCTATGGGCATTTTACCTTATGGAGAGAAGAGATTTCCTAAGGACTTCTTTGAAAGTTAAACATGTCTAAGATGTGTCTCAAGATTCATGAAGTTCAAAGCAAAACAAGGCTAGTTCCTAACAAGTAAAGAAAAATGTTGGGATGCAACTGTGAAATATAATGAACACTAATTAAAGTTTTCTGAGGAGAAACAAAATACTAAGATATATCATCTTCACAAGTCAAATCTCTGGGCTAAAAATGAGTAGTGATGAAGCTGGGAAAGGGGATGGAAGATGCAACGTGAACTTCCAACAGGAGTGCTTCTCCAGGTCTTGTCTCCTAGGTTAAGGGCTTTTACTTACACAAAATCCTGACACTTTAGTTTGCATCAGAATCATTTGAGGGGCCTGTTAATGTATAGATTGCTGGGCCCTTAATTTTCCCACAAAATTAAGGCCACTTTGGGGAAAGAGCTCAAAAAGCAGGGTCTTTGAGTTAATGCCTTTCCTTCCTCTACTTCTTTTGGTCTTGATTTTTAATTTCTATTTGGATAGGGTGCATCCCATGAATTTGCATTTCTAACATATTCCCAAGTGGCACTGACATTCCTAGTCCAGGTAAGACACTTTTGAGAACTATTACCCTAGAGTTCCTCCAATGACTCAAAGCATGTAGCAAAATGACTGCAACAAACTCTATTTACGTTCACTTCATTAAAATCAGTAGTTCTCAACCAGGGGACTAAACTAAAAGGCTAAGAAGCCTTTTAAAAATACGTATGTGCAGGCTTCATTCTTGGAGATTCTGCTCCATCAGGTCTAAGCCTAGGGTGAGGCCAGGGCATGTGATTTTGAAATACCCCTCCTCCTCTGCTACTGACATGTACCTGAATTGAGACTCACAAACAAGCAGGGTTTAAAATATATATATATATATATATATATATATGCATCATTCAGCAAGAGGGAATTAGATGGCCTTGAATTACCATGTTAAAAGGAAGTGACTGTAAAGATTAAGAAAGTCTTAGCATTTTCTAAAGGTGCTCCAGGAAGCTCTAGGGGTTTGGAGAGGGTACTTCAGGGGCACCCAAAGTAGGATACAGCAGGAGAGGTACAGCCTCCTCCCTACCCTTCCTCAGACTTCAACCACAACAGACCTGCCTTTATTTATGCATACTAGGTTTTCAAGCAACATTTCCCTTAAAGACATTGTTTTCTAAGGCCATAATACATTTAAAAACATGGAGGTTTTCCCAACTTTCTCAGGTTACAGAGAGAACTGAAGCTGGAAGACCCAGTGAAATAACACCAACGCTGATCCTGTGTCCATTCCTAAACAATTGTACAACTGCTCTCCAGGCTCACATGCTACACGTAAGAAACAATGAGATTTGACAGACAACACCACTCCCATTCACTCCGTTTCTCTCCCTCTTACAGCACAGGTGAAGTTCTTCATCTGAACCATCGCCACAGTCATCATCGCCATCACATTTCCAATATGGCGGGATACAAACATGGTTTTTGCATTCGAACATAGTAGCCTGGCAGTATGCACCATCAGGAAAGCGTGTGGCTGCCATGGGGGAAAAAAACATATTCAAATTATTATACAAATTGACTACTTTGGGGAAGCTTCCTGCTATTTCTCCTTTGGCTCTTGCCATTATAGCCTGCTCTTCTTTATTCATCAAGATGTATAGTGGCCTTGACCTGTCTGAAAGTTGAACGGACTATGTCTTAAGGGCAGTTGTCAGAGCCCAGTCAGTTTCCAATGGCATGAATCATCCATGGCATGGACAGCACTGGACTTAATCTCTACAGGCAAATGTCAAGACTGGTTTTACCCACATACATTTATAAAGTCTCTTTGGCAACCACATCATCAACGATAACCATCATGGATGGTTATCATGGATGATGGTTATTGTTGATGGATCAGCAATAATGATGTATAAACAGTTTGCATTGATTCAAGTGATCCATAAAGACTCAAATCTGAGTAATCATGTTGGCTTTCCAGTTTTTGTAGGGAAAAGAAAGATCAGACAGTTACTGTGTCTATGTAGAAAAGGAAGACATAAGAAACTCCATTTTGATCTCTCTCAGTCTTCTCAGTCTCTCATCCCACCTGAGGAGAAATACCTACAGGTGTGGAGGGGCTGGCCCCCTTCAAGTTTTAATCATTTTTATACTCCATCGTGTGACTGAGAAAAATTTTAATGCTATAAATTCAATATGTTCGAATACCCAACCCAAGTTCTTTATACTAATGTATTCGTTGCTTGAATATTTTTTTACCTGAAATGTTTTTTATCTAATTAATGATTTGTATAGTAGCTGATAATATATAAATACTTTGTTAGCACAGATTACTTAATATATTCTCCATTTAAAATAGCAAGGAAGTACACTTGAACGGCCATTGTGAAATGTATGATTATGATGACTTAGAACTCAGGTGAACTGATCATTATCAGTGCATGCTGAACAGACAATACTTATGGCCTTTTAATCTAAGAAGCGGCAGCGGACTGATGTCTAAACTATCATATCCATGCTCTCAGGTAAGCAGTACTACATATGTGTCTAGGGACTTACGACAATCAGCTTCATCAGACGCATCCAAACAGTCAGCGGATCCATCGCATTTCAGTTCACTGTGTACACAATGTCCACTTGTACACTGAAAATATTCAGGATGGCAGGTCCTCATCTCTGAAGAGAAAAGATTGTCATTCCGAGAAGGCCTTGTCATTTTCAGACAGATATTAGGTACCTGGAGTATAGTGGTTACTCCATCACATTCCTATCTACACCCTGTGACTGGCTCACAGCAAACCCACAACTTGTGGTTAGCAAATTAATACATTCTCAAAACTCACACTTTCCCCACTCAACATACAGAGATGGAAGTACCTAGCTCCCTAATATTAAATAATCTCCAGCTCTTAAGCTTTTCCTCAGAAATCGGAATTCCCCAATCTTCAATGTTTTCTAATTTTCCTAAGACCCAACACCAAATCAGTAAAGAGCTATAAAAATTACTTTGGGTTTAGGATTACTCTGTCAATGATCTGATCTCTACACAAGAGAGTCATAGGAGCACATGCATATTCCTTAGGGTGACTTTCCGTGGAATAGTAGCAAGATCAATGTCTTTGTTTACAAGGCTAACGCAGATTAAAATCTGCTCCTAAGAAGTGTTGATATTAAAATTAAATGTTTAAAATTCCTTGCTATTTTCCTCAATTATGACTAATCTAGACTGCTATGAGTTAAGAATAATGCATAGAAAATACAGAGCAGAAGATACTGTGTTATGCTAAGGTTTACATATTACACATATACAAAAATAATTTTCCTCTAAAAGCCTTATAAACACTAATTTGAAGCCCCTACACTGTCACAGTACAAAATTCTATGGTAAGCTTCTCAAATGACAGTTACCACAGTCCCGTTCATCTGAGTTGTCCCCACAGTCGTTGTAATGGTCACAGATCCATCGCGAGGGAATGCACTGCTGATTGACACATCGAAACTCGCTCTCTGTGCACTCCCGGGGAGCTGGAAAGGAAAGGCACCTGGCCATGAGTGTGCACCAGGAATCACATACAGGAGACATCTTGTGAGCTGACCATAGTGCCCTGGGTGCCCAGCACCCTCCTGTGTCCCAAGCCCCAGAGGTGTGCTTGGGCAAATCATTCACCCTCCAAAACTAGACCTTTCACCTTAATTTTGAGTCTGTAAAGAATGGCCTTTATTAAGAAGTTTGTCCAAAGGTGATCTGATCTCTCTTTCTCTCTTGCTCTCTCTCTCTGTTTTTTTTTTTTTTTTTTTTTTTGAAACAGGATCTTTCAACATTGCCCAGGCTGACTTTGAACTCCTGGTCTAAAGTAATCCTCCCTGCTCAGGCTCCTGCGTAGCTGGGACTGCAGGTGTGTTCCACCATGCCCAGCTTGATTTTATCTTAATTTTTTCTATTTCGTGAAACTCTAGATAACCTCTTATAGGATTCAACATTGACTTTTATTAATAAAAGACAAAATGCCAATTGGATTACCCTTTTGTATAAGTTTTTAGCTAACTGATATTTGCAGGTGTAGTCAGCTTCCTAAATCTCTCATTGCTTATCGCAAGTGGTGATCACTTTTTTCTTCCAAAAGGTAAACAAAGTTAGAATGTGTTTCATTAGTCAATTAGAAATTGACGCATATCATGGGTCAGTGATATACACTCTGGGCAGGGCTTCATTAAGCTTGTTTTCAGAACACACATTGAGTGTGTTCTGACCATCTAATTTGATATGATCTCAGCCTCTTGGCTTCCTTTCCTCAACCTCCCTATCCAATGCCTTGTAGTCAATACCTTCGACTGGGAGAGAGAAACTAAAACCTGTCCTGTTAATTAACTGTTAGCCCTCCTAAAATAGTCAACTATTCTAGGAAGGGTAATAATGCAAACACAAGTTCTCTCTCCTCTCCTATGAAGGCCATTTTGGGGAAAGAGCTTAAGAAGCAGTGTCTCTGGGTTAGCACCCTTCCTCCCTCTACTTCTCTGGTCCTGGTTTTCTATTTCTATTCTATTTATCTTATTACATTTTTCCTTTATCATAAGTCACCTCAACTTCTTTTGGAAAAAAAAGTTGGATGTAAATAAATTCAACACATAAAAGATATTCTTCAGTAAATACCTTCCTCCAAAAGCTTGATTTGAAACATCTCAGAAGGAGATGCTTATGTCTTTAGTGGAAGAGAAAGTAGAAATGTACTGACCAGCAGAAAGAAAGAGATCAGACAGCTTGATATCATCCTACCCATTGAGGATCAATGACATAGACAGTTGAATTATGGACAAAAAGCAAACATCACAGCTCTGGTGGTATATAAGGACCATAGGACTGTGAACACTCACCACAGTTTTCCTCATCTGAGTTATCTCCACAGTCATTTTGCCCATCACACTGCCAACGAAGAGGGATGCAGTGGTGATTTTTACAGCGGAAATCCCCCACAGGATGGCATGTCCTCTCCTCTGCAAAGCAGTCATTGCAAAGACTTCATAAACCATTGGCAGAGAAATGCACAAAGTAGTATTGGCTTCCTTGTGAGACAGTCTGAGAATTGTATTAGCTCACTCTTGAAGCTCCCAAAGAGAGGAATGCCAGCAACATTCATGGTCAACATTCCCTCTTTTAGCTACCCTGAGCCTATCCTACCACTTGAAACTCGATCCATTCCCATTGGTAGAAACCATGCAAAGAATGAAATGGTATCTGGTTTGTAATTTGCAACAAAGGCCTGGTATGGGAGGCTAAAATGATGCCATAATAAATAAATATTTTGATCATATTATCTTCAGTCAATTGGACTCAGTGTTCTTAAAAGAATTTAGTATCTTCCTTACTTCTCTTCCAACTAAACCCAACACACATACTCCAGATGCTTTGGTTTCAAGTTAGACTATGACTAATCTTGACAAATTCCATTAATTTATCTGGCTTTCCCATGTTACCAGAGAGACTACAGATGTCCAATAGATAACAGGGAAAATCAGAGAGACATTCAGAATATGAAAATCCCCAAATAAGAAATATCCTAATTTGGAAATATCCTTTTTAGAGATAGATACGAAGTCTTTTCTCTAACCCCTTTCCACCAATTTCAACCAATTTATAAAATTAGAGAAACAATTTAAACTTGTCAAGTATGAATAAGGATTCTACATTTGGAAGAAATTACACAAGTTTCTAACATCTTAATAACGTCTTCCTCAATGACAGCATGACTTAAAGTGCTACAAATTAAATACCCCTGGTAACCCTGCAAAATGCTACAAAAATGTAACATGTTATTAGAAGAATCAACCATTTTTTTACAGAGGTAAACAAAGAAAAGATGACATGGGAAATACACTCTCATCTCTCATCTAATAAATGGCACTTGACATGTGCACTTTCTTGTCCCTCCCTCCACTCCCCTGTGGCCCCTCCTACCACAGCCTTGCTCATCACTGTTGTCCCTGCAGTCATCTACACCATTGCACACGGCCCACTTTGGGATGCAGCGGTAATTTGTTTTGCAGCTGAATTCTGTGAAGTTGTCACAGAGATGGGCAGAGCTCACTGAAAAGGGAGGAGGCATCAAAGTCAGAACTGAAGGTACAAGAAAGCACCTTTCCATTGTCACATTGAGGTTGTGGTACTGAGGAATAACAATGACCATGTTACCAAGCAAACCGCCTCTGGCGATATGTGTCTGTTTTAGATGTGATCTGTTTACCATGAGCAGAAAAATAGTCCTAAGTTTTCTCAATATGTCAGCACCACTCATTTGTTTTACAGTATAACTTTGTGGGTGGGGTTGGGGAAGGACAGGGTTTGAAGTAAAAAACCTGGGTTGAAGTGTTAGGTCTGACACTAAACAGTAATGTAACCATCCACTTAATGTGAACCTCAGTTTCCTCATCTGTAAAATGGAATTGGTTCACACCCACCTTCCCTACCTCATAACATTTCTCTGTGGCTCAAGTGAGAAAGCAGTAGATATATAAAATATAAGTTCTTGGTATCATATTCTGGTTGGTTAGACATTCTATGTATCAAAAGGAGGTATTAGCCACTTCAGAAACAGAGTCTGGTTCCACCTGCAAGCCACACAGCTATACTCTGCCTTGCAGTGCCAGAGTTTGCAGGGAGTGCCAAGGGGGAGCATCCCATCAGCTGAAAAAGAAAGCTCCATGTCCTCTCTCAGTCCCCATGGAAGTTTCCTCGTGTCTCCCTGCTCTGGTCATGCCTTGGTCCTCCCACAGGAACTTACTGCATTCTTCAATGGGCTCATCCGAGTGGTCTCCACAATCATTATCCACATCACACTTCCAGGCCTGCGGGATGCAGCGGCCATTAGCACACCGAAACTGGCCCGGCCGGCAGGTCCTGCTGGCACAGTGGGAACTGTCTTCATCTGAGTTATCCTCACAGTCGTTAAATGTGTCACACTGCCAGGATTCTGGGATGCAACGTTTGTTGGCGCACTGCCATTCATTGGAGTCACAGTGGTGATTCTCTGAGAGCAGGGACATTTGGTTATCAGCTTGGAAGGCATCAAGAATGAAAGCTCCTAATTGACATCAGTGAATCCTGGATAGCAGGATCATGATTTCTTTTTAGAGGACTTATTTCCTAATGTACTTATCAGTCAGTACTACTACATGGAGCACTTCTTCTTTTGACTATTACTGTCTCCCAAATTCTTAAATATCTCTTTATTGCATACAGACTTAAGAGATAAGAACTGAACACCCTGACCTGTTAAGCATACCTTCCTCTGTCCCTATTCTCCTACTGGAAAATAGTCTTCAAACTTTGTGTTTGTTACTGTTATTGATGTGTTGTTTTTAGTTTGGGGGAATTTTATTTTGTGCCTATTTGATTATTTATTTATTTTCTTGAGACCAAGTGAGTGCAGTGGCACGATCTCGGCTCACTGCAGCCTCAACCTCCAGGATCAAGCTATTTTTCTACTGCAGCCTCCCAAGTAGCTGGGATTACAGGCACATGCCACCATGCCAGGCTAATTTTTTGTATTTTTTGTAGAGACAGGCTTTTGCCATGTTGCCTAGGCTGGTGTTGGACTCCTGGGCTCAAGCGATCGACCTGCCTCAGCCTCCCAAACTGTTGGGATTACAGGCATGAGCCACTGTGCTCAGTCTTTTTTTTTTTTTTTTGCCTTTTAAATGGAAACATAAATAAATATGACAACTGAGAGTCCCTGTTAAAAATGGGGGTGGAAACCTCTCGTTTCCTCCTCAATGTTAGCTCTCAAAGGGGATTCAATGCCCAGCACATGGTGAAGAGCCACCAGTAGAGACAACTTATTGTCTACTTCAACCATTTGCCTTGTAAAAACCTTAAGATTTCTAAAAAAAAAAAAAAAAAAACTTCATAAAAATAGAAAAAGGATGGAGCCTGAGTTTCCTTCTAGGACTTTGAACTGGTTTTTAGTTCATGATATTCAGGAAATACCCACAGAATCATGATCGTATACAATCAACATAGAAGTCGGAAAAAGAGGCATAAAGCGACTCAACACACCACAAAGAAGACGGTCTTCATCAGACCCATCAGGGCAATTTTGGTGAGCATTGCATAAAGTCTGCGGGCTGGTGCAGTTGCCGTCACTGCACTGGAACTGTCCCAGTCGGCAGAAGCGCTGCGGGCAAAGGGCCAGTTCATCAGAGCCATCTGAGCAGTCTTTCTGTCCATCACATTTCCACCAGATAGGAATGCACCTGCACAGAGAACATACAGCACTTCTTTAGCAAAGCACCAGGGGCAACAGTTATCTGGAGAGAAGAAGTCAACACTGAATTCCAAGAAATGACATGCATGAGCTCTCTCGTGGCCCTAGAAGAGGATCAATTAAATCTCAGTTACAATGGTGTATTTTCAGAGAAAACATAACTTGGCAAGATAGAACAGGTTTCTTAAGATCCAAATACAAACTGAAAATGTGCTCTTAATATGATGAATAAATTTCCTCCACAAAAAAAAAACAATAAACAAATAAAGAGTGGGTGTTTTGAGCTGTGTTCTAGGAGCAGTGATTGGTTGAGATTGTCTGCCAGGGTGATATAAAAGTATTGTTTGGGAAGTTGGAGGGCAATAAAAACTGTTGAGGGTCTTTCTCACGATAAATGTATGCTAGATTCTTAATCTCAGATATCTTATTTAATCACTACAATCGTCTACCTCTGCATCTTAGATGCTATGATCTGCATTAATGCCTCTCTCCATGCCACTCTCTAACTCAGGTCCCCTAGTTATCAATGGGCCTGTGGACATTGTTAAGAAAATAATCTGTGGCCATGTTTCATAGCAAACACAAATGATCAAAAATGGATTTGAATGTGTAACCCTGGATCCCCTAGCATAGGCAGCTAAGGAGCTAGGCCGGCATAGACATGGAAAAGACAGTGAAATTCTATTACTTCTAGGGACAATTTTTCAGTATGTACTTATATACACTCTGGCTCCAATACTTAAGACAATTAGAAATGAGAAATATATGGTTTGCTTCCTTTCTATGAAAGTTTGCATATATAGGCATAACAGTTTGGTTAGCAAGCTCCTTCTATTCATGGAAAATATTATCTGAAGTTGGAGGCTGAGAGTCTTGCTGTGTTCCACATGAACCAAGTTAATTAACCAAAATCTTGTCTCACTAGAAAACTCCCATCCCTTGGAGCCTTGAAGGTCAATGTCTGTCCACGGGCTAGAGAGGCACTGAGGAGAGGGGAAAGAGAGCCTTACTTTTCATTGTTAGCGCACAGGAACTGGGTGCTGGAGCACATGGGCATGCAGTAGGTGCTGCCACTCAGCTGAAGGGTGCGGAAGTCATCTGGACACTCGCAAGTGAACCCTTTTCCTCCTGGCTTGATGAGGCAGAGATGAGAACAGCCACCATTGTTGGTACCACAGGGATTGCTCACTAGTGGAAAAGGAAGAAAATATGTGTTCATTTGCTGAAAGAGAGTATCAAGCACAGATTAGCTGATTACACATCTTGACTTTAAACTCATCACCTCTTAGTAAAAAAAAAACTATCCTAGATTTATGATTTTCCCAAAAGTTCCTAAATAAAACAGATGATAGAGTTATACAAGCAACAACCCTGTGCTTTAAGAAAGCTCATTTATATGCTACCAGAAGTGAGCTATACCCACTGGTGTTTCTGACTAGAAAAGATGTGTTTCTCCAAGTCCTGGGAAAGCAGGCAGTAAACTTAGCTTATGTTCATTTGCCTAGACCTAGGTTAAAGTTTTAATTTCCAACAGATGCTATATTCATTCCCTCATTCTAAGTATACAGGTAACAAGTTTGGCCAAAAATAATGTGGATGAATAAACTGAGCAGCATCTTTACTAATTTTCCTGGTCACCACTTTGAGGTGAATATTTGCTTGAACTTCTAATAAAAATGATATGAAGAATATTAACTTCCAGAAAGAAATACTAAATTTCTTTATTTTGCTAATTCTCATTTTTCCTTAATTCCAAGTTTATCATATGTTTTAGCAAGACATCACAACAAAGCAGACCCACAAAAACCAGTCTATCCCCAAAATATATTTCAGACCTTTATCTTTATTTCAGACTCTAAATCATAAAGTTGCTTTAATTGCATAAAAGGAATATAAGTTCACAATCAAATAAAAACAAGTTCTCTTACTTAAAAAACACTAAAACGCACTGCTCTTGACATTATCTTCTAGAAGATAAGAATAATATCTAATTTATACACAATACAATATCATATGCATTTATTTAGTATTTAGTATTTAGGGCTGAAATGCCATATTTTTAATTCCTTTAAAATACTTCAGTCTTCCCATAGAAATAGATGAAGTAAATATGGCAACATGATAACTGTTAAATCTTATCAAAAACAAAGGAAAAAAAAAAAGATGATCTTGAAGAATTGAGCGAGTTTTAAGAAGATGAAGAGTTCTAGGTAGTCTTTCCCAGGGGAAGGGGGATAAACTCTAAAGATATTTGCCTACTGTCAACTTTCAGCATATGCTTTGAAGAAAACACTAACAAGTGCAACAAACTTTTTGTAAATCACGAAGTTCATGCTTAAAGACAATCATGACATGCACATAACCCAAGGCAACCTTGCCAAACCCCTCAATCACCTACTCACCAATGGGCTGCCTATATGGATGGTACACATGGATGTCAAATGGTCTGTGTGTTGTGTTCACCAGTGTCTGTCTATTTGATCCATCATATTTGTTTCCCTTTTCCACTGTCCTTGTATTCCAATCTGTCCAATAAATAGTGTCTTCAAAAATGGTAATAGCGAAAGGGTGAGGCAGTGCCCCATCATACACCGTGTGTCGATGGTGGCCCTCCAAATCAGAGTACCTGCAGCAGTAAGCAGAAACAGTTATGTGATAAAGGTAATTCCTCTCCTCTAATGTCTTGCAGGATAAAAGAATTCACAAATCAATAAAATTCTACCTCCTAGAGATAATATAAGTTCAGATCCTCAAAACTCCTAGTCTTTAATTAAAACAAAAATTAAACTTAAAGGATGAATTCAAATTGAACAAAAGATGTAGAAGTGAAAAAGCAATACTTAACAAAATAGGAATAGTGTCAGGAGTTTAAATAATCACTAATTCCTAACCACAGCTGCTTTCCTGCGGATGAAGCTGTTATAGCTGTTGTAGGTTTATGGCCTCTTATAGTGATGTTCCTCATTAAGCACCCTTTTGATATCCTGGGGTGAACACCATTCTTGTTTCTTCCAACACCATTGGAAGAAATCAGAAGATAGCAATATTATACTGGAATTCTACCTTCTCATTAACATTCCGGAGGGGACGTTATTCTAGGAGATAGTTGCATTCTCAGTATAACCTGAGGGGAACACAACTTACAGGCCTGCAGGGTTAACTTTGCAAACACCAGCAGGACATTTATTATTAATCGTGCCATGGCACCATTAGCGAATACTTTTACAGATGAATAAACCTCCAGAGAAGGTTCTCCGATTTCAAGATGTTACAAAGGATCCACAGCCAAATTCCCAAGTCCTCTCAGTTCCAAGGGCTTTCATTACTGTGGGTCTATATCAGAAATCATTTCTAAAATAGTGAAAATTTAATATTTTAAAAATTTGGAACAGATCCTAAAACTCAAACAGGAGATAGAACAAGCTAGCAACTAAGAAACCTGATAATGTTAGCCATGCAATGTTAAAAATATTTCCCAAAATATAATTTATGGTAACTTATAAAAGTCATAGGAAAACTTGAAGATGTGCTTGGCCTTTGTTGATAAGGATGCAGGTAAATGACCAGAAATTAGTCACCATCTGATTTATTTATTTATTTATTTATTTATTTATTTATTTATTTATCTAGAGATAGTCTGACTCTGTTGCCCAAGCTGGAGTACAGTTGCACAATGTTGGCTCACTGCAACCTCCTCCTCCTGGGTTCAAGTGATCCTCCCACCTCAGTCTTCTGAGTAGCTGGGACAGGCAGGTGCCAGCACATCCAGCTAATTTTTGTAATTTTTGTAGAGACAGGGTTTCGTCATGTTGCCCAAGCTGGTCTTGAACTCCTGAGTTCATGCAATCTGCCCTGCTCAGCCTCCCAAAGAGCTGGGACTATAAGTGTGAGCCACTGCACCTAGCCACCATCTGTTTTTCTAAAAAAATCATAGACCAGAAAGTAGTCCTGAGACCTTCCCTTCCAGTTCATCTGTAATCTCTGTAGAGAGATCTCAGATATCTCTATGAGTACTTTTTGTCAAGAGTAGAACTACACAGCTGGGTGCAGTGGCTCACGCCTGTAATCCCAACACTTAGGGAGGCAGAGGCAGGCAGATCACCTGAGGTCGGGAGTTCGAGACCAGCCTGACCAACATGGAGAAACCCTGTCTCTACTAAAAATACAAAATTAGCCAGGTGTGGTGGTGCACGCCTGTAATACCAGCTCCTCAGGAGGCTGAGACAGGGGAATTGCTTGAACCCAGGAGGCAGAGGTTGTGGTGAGCCGAGATCACGCCATCGCACTTCAGCCTGGGCAACAAGAGCGAATTTCCATCTCAAAAAAAAAAAGTAAGAGTAGAACTACAGGCACAGCTCCAGTGATGTGTTGGTGCATCCCAAGATGTACAAGGAATCAATTGCATGCTCTATAAAAATCTATTGCTTTATGCATCTATGAAATATATTTCTGAACACAGGCATTGCTACCTCTCCAAGAGGTAACCAATTTAACATGGCTCATGAATATTAAAGTTTCCTTTATTCCCAGATCACAGTGCCTCATATTATGATTTGACTTTTAGACTAAAATCTACTGCCTAAATTTTATAATCCATCTACGTAAATAATCTATATTAGATTTTATCAAAAAGTGAACAGAATATTGTGTAACTAGAAAATTCCTTTTTTCATCTCTAATGCTCCTGGAAACACTGTCTAAATGTATGCTGAGTGACACCTACTAAGCTTTCAAGACCAAGAATAATCTATAGGACCCAAAGAACAACAAATGTCAGTTAGAAAGTTGTTGAAGCTTCTTTGAACATCTTGATGCTTCTACTAATTCAATATAGGATTATATGGAAAGCTAACTCAGCTCTTTGATGTGCCTTTTAAGAGAGGATACACACACTGTGGGAAGGGCTAAGGGTATTACCATCAGCATATCACATCAAAATGGTATAAGTAAACTAGAAATAATATTGTACTGCTTCTAATTAAAGTTAGTCTCTACCCTAAGAGTGAGTTAATATCTGCTACGGTAAATTCTGCAATGAGAATGCTAAAGGCTACCTTAGTGTAGCAAATGAACCAGTTCAACAAGAGAAAGTACTTGGATTGATTAATTATGCCTGCCATGAGCACAGGAAGAAAGAGCACTGGCGTGTGTGCCAGGTATTCCTTCTTTTTCAGTGGCATGTCCCCAGGGAGCATGGTGTTAGAGAACTTCAAACTTTACTACACTGACTTTGGCAGCAAAATAAATATAACAGAAGAAAGGAATTTCTAAAAATAAAATAAAAAAATTTGAAATAGTTCTACTGAATGAATGGCATTTCCATGCTTCTGAGTGCAACAGGCTGTTCCTGGATCGTTATCCATAAATGCTTATGCAGAAGACAATACTATGGTCCAACTAGGCCATAACTAGCAAAATTCAATATGGGTATTGTTGTTTAATTTTTGATTAATAATGTGTATCATCTTTTTACAATGAGTATTTTTTATTGAACAGTATATTTAACACACTTAAAAATTATCCTATTACCAGAAAGATGTAAATGCCTTATCATATTGGATTAATGTTAACAGACTCTACTGCCACCTAAAACACTGCACTGCACTTAACCATAAATGTGCCAAAGTATTTTAGGGAAAGTTTTCCAGATCCTTTTATTCTTTTCCTTTTCTCAAATACTAAAATTTATTAATCATATATTTCATAGGGGAGAGCAAATTAAAGAGATAAAAAAAATTAAGATGAGTTGCACACTGAGCTGACTACCATGGGGAGAGATTATTAGCCCCATTTTCTAGATAAAAAAACAATAAGAAGTGAAAACATCAGGTCATAAACCCTGATCCATATGATTTAAAAGTTCACCCTCTTTCTACTGCACCATACCATAGAGCTCAGCAGTTTTAGTTAGAAGTGTGACTTCCCCCGAATGACTTCCAACAGACAGGCCAGTTAGACAATAGAGGGGACTAATAGACTGGAATCACAAGCTCTGATGTTTGAAATAAACAGTTACACAATTGTTTTATGCTTTTCTATGTACGTACTCTATGTAACCCAGGTGGGCATCTGCCCAGTAGAGTAGATCATTGGTGTAATCAATGGTGATGCCATTAGGCCACTCTAACTTGGTGGAGATTATCACAGACTTGTTGGTTCCATCCATGCCTACTCTCCCAATGTATGCGCGGTGACCCCAGTCTGCCCAGTAGAGGTACCTGTCAGGGCAAACACAAAGGGTCAGTCCCTGATGCCAAAAGAAGTCAGTAGCCAAAATACACACCTTTTCTCCATTTAGAGAAATGGAGTCTGCATTCTGTAGAGCAGACTGCATTCTGAATTCTTTTCTGCATTCAGAAAAGAAAGAGAGCTAACAGCAAATAATCTAAAAAAGAAAAAGGAAGGGGACAATGTACAGAAAATGCTCACAAATAAACATAGTTAACTGGATTTCAGTGGCTTTGACTTCGAGAGTCCAGTAAAGAAATCGGTTTTCTGAAACCACAGTTTTCTTTGCATGCAGCCAAAATACAGGACTTGAAAAGTGCAAAAGTGTGTCAGGGAAAAGAAAACAGAAGAGCTGATGATGATGATTTGAAGAAGCCATGCTTCTACTCATTACACTAAACAATTTACCAAGTAGGAAAAGCAGAAGACAAACCCCAGCAAGACATTGGCCTTGAGATAGTTACATGAACAGCCTTCTCGGTAACAGAGGCAGAAGAAGGAGGTGAAAGAAAAGCCCAGGATTGCAGGGAGACAATACCCATATTGAGGGTGAAGGGCAAGTCCTCTGGGATTATCAAAGCAGAAGGTGTTGTTGGCATCCACACAGTGCTGGGCCAGCATGCGGCGGTGTCCACCATTGAGGTCAGAGACAAAGAGGCCATCCAGGCGGGCATCCAACCAGTAGAGCTTTCTAAAATGGAGAGCCAGGAGTTAACCAATACAGTCACTTTGTGAAATGGTACATATTTAGCCACCCAGTTTCCTACCCAAGCTACCTGAGAATCACAGACAGTTGTTAGAAGTCACCTTTCTTCAGGCAAATGAGGGCAGGGGAAAACAGGAAGTTTGTCTTCCTGCAGTGAGGCAACAGAGGGTGCAAGACTGTGTGCAATAATTCCCACTTTAAGGTGGTGTCATGTAGAAAATACGGGGGACACACTTCATTCGACGGGTCTGGTTTTACTTTCCTCATGCAGCATAAGGCACCCTCTCCAGGCAGTGCAAAGGCTTAGCAGAACAGGGAAGCAGAGGTGAGTATCATGAATTACAGTTTAAATGGTGGAGTCAAGGAAACACACTTGTCTAAGTGTGTCATTGAAACTGCACAGAGAAACTCTGAATTATGACATTCTTAAGATAAAGATTATGACATCCTTAGGATAAAGAGACATCCCTGCCTCTGTCAGACAGGCTGTCAAAATGAGTTTCTCAACCTGAGACACATTTCACTTAATCAAACCTAAGAAGCTTTAGAAACATATTAGGATCTGTTAGAAACTGCTACCTCAAGGACATTTCTGTTATAAATGTATTTTTATTCAATAAAATTTATTTTTCTTATAAGGTAAGTGTTCTTAACCCAAGGTCTTTACCCAGAATCAGGGAAGCCAGCTTTGGTGATCTGTGTACTTTCTAAAGGGGCCCAGGGCTTTCACCAGAGTCTTATAGCATCCATAACCTTCCAAAGGGTTAAATGCACCTATAGTGAGAAGGTCATTTAGGATTTGATAATCAATTCCAACCGGAAGGAGAATGAAGGAGAATGATTTCCCTTCCAAAAGACCTGAATGCCTCTTTGCAACAAGTACGCGCTTAACCATTCATGCTGGATATCTGAATAGTTAGGACAGTAGCATCGCTTCAGGCTTCAGCAAGAAAGAATGAGTATCCATATATGTACAAGTCTTGCCAGTTAATTCACTTGGGTAAATGAGTAAATCCTGATGAATGAGATGGCTACAATCTTGGATTCCATCATGGTAGACACTAAGAACAGTGAGAATAATAGTAGCTAATTATTGAACACTTGTTAAATGCCAGGCCTCAGACCAGGGACTTTTTAAAACATTATATTATTTCAGATCACAACAGGCTTAGAAGGAGTTGCTATTATTATTCTTGTCGTATTAGTATTCCTGTTGCTATTACCATTCAAGTCCTGGCAGACTGGCTACCCCATAGGGCACTCTACTCTGTTGAGCTTACTGCTTTCCCATTAATTTCTCTTTATTCCACAGTCAAAAGACATCCTGTGAACAGATTCTTCTCAAGAAAACATGGAGAAGATATTCCGTCTCCACTACTGGAAAAATTAAGATAACTGAGAGCCAACAGTATCTTCCAATGTGCGTAATGGTGGTTTAAAAAGTTATATCAAATGCAAGGGCTTTGGAAACCAAACACCCTAATGCTGACAGCAGAAATATTTATTAATATTGGAGAAAAAAGTTGTTTCTAATTTCAGTGTAGCTAGTATCTTAGAACTGCCCCCTACCAATGTAAATGTAACTGGGCTCCATTCTGCCTTTGTGTTTTCAGGAACACTGAGCCTGGTTGTGCACCCTCCTGGACTTTCAAGAAAAGTTTACCCTACCCTCACCCAGACTTTCTTGCCCATCTTCCTCACATGTATTTAATTCTCTTCTGATAAAGAACACACCGAGATAGAGAGGAAATAGCTGAAATCCAAGAGAAACGTCATTCTAGCAGTTTCTGAGAGAGAGGGCTGAATGACAATGTCTTACAGTTCAAATATTATTTTTTCTGCAGTGGAACAAAGGATGGTGACAAGAACAGTACCATGCTCAGTTCTGTTCCTGGAAATCATTAATCACTATACTTTTTGACATGTAGGATACGTAAAACAGGAATTGATACATACAATAGGAATGCTTAGTCAACGTTTCATTTATTATCCAGCAAGCACTCAGCACCTATGTCAGGCCAGCTACTGGTCAGGGAGAACTGGGAAGCCAACTGTCCCCACCCATTTTAGGATCTTTACCCTTAAGGGAGTCAAATATAAGGATGTGGGGAAGAGCCCTCTGGAGGTCTGGGCTGACTGCAACAAGAATCTTTACAGCATACATCTTTACAGTGCCTGCAGATTGATGTCTATTGACCACAAAGCCAATTAGTTTATGCTGCCAAGAATCCGATAGATTTGATATTCAATAGAGATGTTAAGAAGTGTGGTTCATCTGGTAGTTTAGTTAAAATATCACTGGCCTGCCTTAAAGACTGTCAGTTTCCATAAGGGCAATCTCAAAACAAGAGTCTCATGTTAGCCATTCTCCAGTTTTCACGCCCAGCCCATGCTGGGAATGACTAGTATTGGTTGTTTTTTTTGTTTTGTTTGTTTTGTTTTTTTTGAGAAAGGGTCTCACTCTGTTACTCAGGCTGGAGTGCCATGCATGTTCTCAGTCCCTGCAACCTGCATCTCCTGGGCTTAAGGGATCCTCCTACCTCAGCCTCATGAGTAGCTGGGACTACAGACGAACACCACCTTTCCTGGCTAATTTTTTTCATTTTCCTTAGAGACAGATTTCGCCATGTTGCCCAGGCTGGTCTTGAACTTCTGGGCTCAAGCGATCCTCTCACCTCAGCCTCCCAAAGTTCTGAGATTACAGGCGTGAGCCACTGCCCCCGGCCAATGACAAGTATTGTAAGCAAGGCTATGTACTTCAGGAGAGCAAGGGCCATGTCTGCCTTGTTCCCCTCAAAACCCCTGCTGCTTGTCATCACGCTGGGCATGTAGGAGGGACTCAGGAAGTAACGACTGAATGCACCAATGAATGCATGAATCGTCCCTTCATATCATCTCCAGTTAAGTGAATGGCCAGCAACAGTGAACTCTCTTCCCTTGCAATTCCTCTTTCCATAAAAATGATACTATAAATTTTTAAAATAATTAGATATTCTGTTCTGAATCTATCATTTGAATATCAGATACAAAGCAGAAAATAAACCTGCAGAAACATTAAATGTATCTGCATATTAACCCAAGTTGAAAAATTAATTTCCTATCAAGATGAAAACATGGTTAGAATTTTTTAATTTTTAACTTTTAAAAAGCTCATCAGTGTTTTCTTACCTGGAAACCCAGTCTACAGCCAGACTTTCTGCAGCTGGTAGTCTGTGGTTTATGATTGTCTCCTTGTTTGTCTTATTCAGAAACATTCTCTCAATGACTTGCCTCTGTGTATCAATCCAATACAATCTCTTCTCTACTCGGTCAAAATCTAATGCCACAACATTGTCCAGTCCTTCCAAGATGAGGGAGTAAAAATAGCCATCTATAGTTAAATTTCTCAAATAGTAACGGTTGCTAAAAATGAGATAGGGTTCGATGTTACTGTTTTGCCGGCAGGTCTTTCCATCTGGTTCTCGGAGGTAGCCTGGGGCACACTTACAGATGTAGGAGCCTATTACATTCTCACACTTCTGGCTACAGACAAAAGGCATCTCTGTGCATTCATCAATATCAACACAAGTCCGCTTGTCAGACATGAGCTTGTAACCAGGACGACAGGAACAATAGAAACTGGTTAAGGTGTCTGTGCAGTTGTGATCGCAGCCACTGATTGAAGGGTCATGGCATTCATTAATGCCTGTAGGTAAAAAGCAGTTCTTAGAGATCCTAAAATATCAACGACCAACTCACTATAATGGTTCAAAGTCAACATTTCTACTAAACAGTGCCAATTCTTAATGAATCATGCTAAGACAGACAACAAAGACTTCCAAAGACTGTGGATTATTGAAAAGTCACTATTTTTCAACTTCCTCACCAACTTACTCCTTCATCAGTGGTTTCAACAACTAATACAGGAGAAATGAGAAAGAAGAGGAGAAGAAAAGAGCCTGGCCAGTGTGCTGGTCAAACAGGACTCAGGAAAAATTTTCTAAATGCTCTGATTTGTAGCATGTTCCAGTGTGACTGTTCACACCATGGTCAAGCTCAGGCTTCCAGTGTGACATCACTGAACATGGAACCACAAAGAGATACACACATTTGCCTCTCACGAGATGGCATGAGCTCAACACTAGGTGCAACACAACACTACATGTCCCTCTGGCTGGTCCTGTAACACATGGGCAACCTCACCCAAAAATGATCTACAGAGGGAGGACAGCAAGTTCTTATTAGTTCTCTACTCATCAAGGAGCAATAGATTAAAACTTCATGCATTGCAAAATCCATTATCCAAATATCAGGCCAAGCTCTTCCACTAGTTCACTGTGCACCCCCAAACAATTCGTTTCCCATCTATGGGCTACAGTCTTATTATCTGCAAAGAGAACAGGGTACAGAAGATCACTAGTACTCCTTCCAGTTGTAAGAGTGAATGTTTCATAGGTTTGGATGAGACCTACTGAGATCACTTCGTCTTCAAGCTAAAAATTTTAATTTGAATTATGTACTATTGAGGATTTAATTCTTATAGTTGAGGTAAGGCAAAATTAATTAAAATGCAATGGGAATCTATATGAATTAGGAGTAAACATAAGAAAGTTCCCTATGATTTTTGTATAAATGTATAATATAGCACATGTTTTTCTTAATTTATTAAATGGTTTTTGAAACTTTGGTAGAAATTTATAGAAGTTTTTCTTACAATAGAGCAAAAGCCAGTTTTTGGATGATTTTTAAATTTTTTTCTTTTTTTTTCTTCAACTTTTAAGTTCAGGGGTACATGTGCGGGATGTGCAAGTTTGTTATAATAGGTAAACACGTGCCATGGTGGTTTGCTGCACAGATTTTTTAATATTATGCATAGATAATCTCTTCTCCACATTTCCACAGCAGTTTCTGTCTAGCATTTAATTTTAATGTTATTTCATATAAATCTTATCTTTCATATAAGGATAAAAACTACATTACATACTTCTGGGTCAATTAGGCAAATGCTTTCAATGAGTACTGACAATGAACAAGTGGAATAAAGAAAACAAAATAAATGAAAGGATATGGTCTCTAAATTGTTATTACAGAGACAATATCAACATACATGAAACAATGGTTACAAGGATTAAACACCACAAACAGGACGAACTGCCAATATTATGGAGTTCAAGATGGTGCTAAGCAAACAATGCCCATGCTGTGGATTCTCAACTGCTTTACTTGTGGTGGTTGGGGTGAGAGAGATATTAAACTCTCCCATTCAATTACCTGAGGACAAAAATGAAGAACAGGCCAACGAGTTCTAGCAGAGGGATGCTTCAGGCAAAAAGTCATTACAAGAATTCAAAGAGAATCAACCTGGTTCCCTTCATTCTTGAGTACCTTATTTGGCAATAATGTTAAATGATGGCCTGAATATTTGCCCATCTTCTGTTCTCTCTAATGACTATCTAAGCAAAGAATTGGTCCAAAAAAATGTGTGTCCCCATCTTATATACCAAGAAACTTTGGTAACCTTTTGCTATATCAGGAATAGTGATTTTATGGTAACTTTGTAGTTAGAGGACAGGTTGGAAAGTCTAAGTCGTGAAGGGTTGAGAATCCATATTCAGTCTCCCCTGTTTCCTTTTCCCAAATCCTCTGTTGTACTCACCACAGCCTTTCTCATCGCTGTTGTCCAAACAGTCATCTAGGTGGTTGCAGAGTTTCATCATCTCGATGCAGCGCCCATTGTCACACTTGAACTCGTGAGGTGGACACGTGGGTTCTGGGGTGTGGCACAGGTGCATCAGCTCATCAGATCCGTCTCCACAGTCATTATCCTCATCACAGACGAAGGTTTTACTAATGCAGCGCCCGTTCTGACAGGTAAACTGATTCTGTTGGCAAGTCTGGTATAAGCAGCCCCTCTCGTCGCTATAGTCACCACAGTCATTGTGCCGGTCACACCTGTATCATGAGATCCAGTACCACTTTCAGAGAGGTTGGCAATAAACCTCAACTATTACCCACTTGGGGTTTTGCTTCCTTCTTTATCTACCTAAATGCCAGGTCAACCATTTCGACAAGATCACCAGTGTCCTTGATCCCCTTTCCCCCATCATCTTCGTCTACCCCACTAATCGCCAATTCTAGAAGAATCCAATATTTGGCATTCCACACAACTTCCTCAGGGGCTGGCTGCTACCATTAGAAATGCTACCATTAAATGCTACCATTTAATAGCTATAGATAATTAGTAGGTCTATAGCTATTAAAAATAATTGCATTCATTTTTTCCTTAGTTGATAAACTAATTAAATACAACTTTTGTAATTTTGGTATACATCAGATCTATGAGACAGCTTATGAACAGTGGCACTATCTATGTTCAACAGATAATGAGATAGCCAGTAGGCACTGGCAATGTACTGGGTAATCACATGATAAAAGTGCCCATACCCAAATGGAAACTCATAGGGTGAGTGCTATATATTATAAATAAGATTATTGGGTGTGTCCTCTAAGAACACATATCTTCCCACTGGAATAACGTTTACATTGTCAGTCCTGTTCCTTCCATCTTTCATTACACTCCTGCCATCTATCATGAGATGTGAGTCTTCATGGTGATGTGAATAAAGGCAAGCTAGTAGGTTAGCATGGCATACTGGCAAAGGAAGAAGGCATGCTGTAGTACTAGAAGCTATCTCGGGACCTAACATACACAGGCATCATTATAACAATATAATTTCCTGAAGTTCTGTGAGCCAAACTGGCCTTTCTTCTCCATATTACTCCAAGATCCCATAAAAGTTATGATGTCTAAAGGGGGTCTCACATATGCATCAAGGAATCTTTGATAAGAGTGAACAAAGCTAATGGTTTTGAACAATTTATCATAGAAAGCATAGGAGCGGCACATAGAGCATTACAAAATGTGAAGGCAACAACGGTGAATGTGGTCAGTTTTACAACTGACCTATAACCAGGCCTGCTAACCAGCACTGCCATCCATAAACCCAGGGCCTTGTCAACATGATTTACAGCAAAATGTGTGCATGTAATTGTGAAGAAAGCTGTGGTCAAGGCAGACTGGCTCAGCTTCATTTGGTCTCCCGGGAGCTATTTAACTCATTTCCAAATGGTTTGAAAACACCAATGTTTTCCTTTGTCTAATTTAGATCCAATGCAGGAGGAAAAACAAGTCATCAAGCAAATCACCAAGCTTTCAGACACTATTGCAAGTCAGTATTCCAGCTCATCACCAAATTGTCACCCCTCAGTCTTATCATCCATGTTTTTCAGCAGCATCAGTAGTGAGCCAAGAAAAAAAGAAGGTCAATAGGAAAAATGATCTCCTGTCCCACTGTACCAAATGGGGAGCACACTTTCTGCCAAGCAAGCAAGGAGATGCACACTAACAGCACACCTAGTAGAGGCTACTCCAGACACAGATTTTGGACTTACTTAGAAGCTGATAGCTCAGGTTTTCAAACAAACAGTATTTTTTTTTCTCTTCTACTATAGCCCTTTTCAAGGAAATTCAGAAAGCTCAAGGAAAAAAAGAAAGAGAGAGAGAAAGGGAGGGAAAGTGAAGGAAGGAACAATGGACGAACAAAGAAAGGGAGAGAGGAAATGTTACTGTGCTGTGAGATCATAGTAATGATAAAGGAAGAACCCAGAAAGCTCAGAATGGGAGGAATAAAGGAGATAACTTGGAGTCTGATCAAAATCAACACCTGCTACCATTCTTGTGCCTAGAGTCTAAGCCTAGGTATTCAGAATATATTTACATCTAAGACTAATGCTATTAGCTATTTACCAAATTCAGAAAAACTATAGAAGTGCAACACAATAGAACTCTTGAGCAGTAGGGAGAAAATATAGACAAAGATTTATCCACTTTAGGTGCAAAAAATAAAAATCTACACTTTACATTCATATTACTTAAATACAAACAAAGCATATTCTACTGCAGCTTCACTACAAAAGAAGACAGCTCCACCTCTTGAATGTCTTTGCATTGTCAGTTCACAAACTACCACCTCTCAGCAATGTCCACTCATCAGAGGATGAATCACCCACAGAGTGTATTTTCCTGATAGCATTTATCTACTTTTTAAATTACTGCTGAGTCCCTGCTCCTTCACCTCCTCCTTCTTCCTCAGGACCACCACAATAAACACACAATCGTACACCACACTGGACTCCAACGGTACATTAGCGCCTGTTGATGAGCTGCCTGCCCCTCCAGTCAATGGCCCCTGTGACTCTGCTTCTCTGATCTTGTGCCTACTTAGTATATCTTTCCCACTGTCTTCCTTCGCATGCTGTAAGGTGGCCATTCCTGATGCTCTCAATGTGCCTGTGTGTGTCCCTTAACAGTCCTTGGCACAAGCAATATCTCTTCACGGCTCCAGTTGTGCCCAAATACCTAAGACATACTTTCACCTCAGGAAGTCCTACTATGTCAAACTCACCTTCCACCTTGAGCAAGCGCCTTTCTGGACTCCCCTACTTTTGCTAATGCTCGTACTATTTTCCTAGTCAATCAGGATTGAAACTTACAAATTGTTCTTCTCCATTTCCTTCCATAATCCAAGTATTTGTTAAGTGGGATGATGAGAAGTTGGGATGTTAAGAATGTATATAAACTGTTTGAAGAGGCCCATTTGGAGAAAGAGGTAAGAAGTCAAACAATGGAACATTGCAGGAGAGGTCCCCCAAACCAGCAGGCTGTGAGCCGAATCTGTTTGATCCACACAGTGTTTTAAGAATTTTAAAATTTGTTTCCAGCATTTAAAATCAGAGTATTTCAAATGAAAATCCAGATTTCCAACTTCTGTCAAAAAGAGAGCATCAGAAAGTCTGGCCTTCCAGCCCTTCTGCATGATATTGATCAATGTCTGCATCCTTAGTTGGAGACATTGTCTCAGTTCACTCCACCTGCCTCTACTTGACTCTGAGCCTAAGAGCCAAGCTCTATTTATCATCATGCTTGTGCTGTTATTTTTCTTGTAGTAGAGAGAAGAGAGTGAAACAGTTCTTGTAATACCAATGCCTCTACTCCAAGTGGAAAACTAAGCGGGTCACCAGCTTCAAGAAAGAATTCTTATCTCAAGCCCTATCCATTCATCTCCCTGGCCCTCTGTGCAAGGCCAGATTCTGTCTTTCACAGGCCCTAGGCATTTTTGCCTTCTTGGGTTCCTTCCTCCATAAAAATATTAAAAATTATATTTAATTTTAAATTGTTAATATGGTATTATGTATTAATAATTCAAGTAACTTCTTTTCATTTTAATGCAATCATATTGGTATAAAGCCAGATATATTAATATTATATATTAAAATACTTTCTTTGATGTAAAAGTTTTTTTTCCCTTTGATTTGGAAAGGAATCCAAACATTTTCATAAGCCACTAAAAGCATCATGGGCCCTGGGCACTGTGGCCACGGGGTGCCTGATAGGTAAGTGAGCCCAGCCCCCATGGACATTTGAGGCATGCTGGGTAACTTCTGAATCCTCAATTCACCTGAATATCTTTGGGATACACAGTCCGTAACCACAGGTGAATTCATTTTCAGAGCAAGTTCTCCTGGTGCAATTCTGATTCTCATCGTAGCCGTCAGTACAATCCACATCGCCATCACAGACCCAAGACTGGGGAATGCACCTCCTGTCCGGAGGTCTGTCATTTACACAGAGAAACTCGGAATCCGAGCAGTTTTGATTCTCTGAAACCAAAGCACGCAAGAATCAGAAAGCATGAGAGCTCAGTGCAGCAGTTAATTCTCTTTGCTTTAATGTTACTTACCATTCTAAGTATGAAAGGAAATGGGAGGAAAACACGTAGACAAATTACACTGCTATTATAATAATAGATCATAATAAAAATACCTCCAAAGATTCCATTTTAATTGCTTTGGACCCTGGCTTTTTCAAAGAAATCAATACAATAAAATGTCTCATTTATTTTTCCATAAAATACATTAGAATGGTCATACTTTTTCCCTTAGGGCTTCAGAAAACCACTACCATTTTGTTAACTGGATACCGAATGCCTTATATTTTGGTAACTTTTTTTAGTTTACAAAGTATAATCACACAAGCACAATGTGAAATAGGTATTTTTACACCATTTGTATAGATGAGAAAACTGAAGCTCAAAGATGGTTAACTGGATGTCTCAAAGTCATAGAACTAGGTGAAGAGCTGGGGCTTCAAACCTAGGTCTTTCTCCTCCAAATTTAGTGCTTTTCCAACTACATTATAGCTACCACCCCAAGCAATATTGGGGTGGAGAGGAAAGGCATATGCTAACAGAGTTGTCAGAAACCATGATGCTATGAGGAAAGAGGTGAGATGCTGACATCAAATCATTAGTGTCCACAAAATAAAAGAACAGGGGTTTTATCCAGACTCATTGCAGGTGAATAGGAAACAAAAGAAAGAAGATGATGTTGGTAAAGACAGGTGAGAGAAATGCATACACCACAATCCATGTATGTGTAGCTGAAAACCACCCATGTCAGTGGATAGGGTGGATAGGGTAAATGTGGAGTTGTGACCCACCACCAAAGTCACAACACAGGAGGGTGCCATCAGATGCAAGCAGCAGGGAGCCATTGAGTCTATTGCCCTACCATAGAAAGACATTATTCTAACACCGATTAGATTAATTCTTGAACTAGCTAAGATTTCCATACCCTGTTGGTAATGAAAATGATGTTCCATTATCTACTCAAGAGGCATAACACCCCTCCCTCCATGCCGCTTTAAGGTGACAAAGGAAACCAGAGACAGTTCATTGTTATACTGTGAAGGTTGCTATTAAGAGTGGCCAACCACTGGGTGCAGTGGCTCATGCTTGTAATCCCAGCACTTTGGGAGGCCAAGGCAAGAGGACTGCTTGAGCCCAGTAGTTTGAGATTAGCCTAGCCAATATAGTGAGACTTCGTCTCTACAAAAAAAAAAGTATAAAAAATCAGCCAGGCATGGTGGTGGGCGTATGGTCCCAACTACTTGGGAGGCTGAAGTGGGAGGATCGCTTGAGCCTGGAAGGTGGAGGCTGCACTGAGCCATGATACCGCCACTGCACTCCAGCCTGGGCAACAGAGTAAGACCTTGTCAAAAAAAAAAAAAAAGAAAGAAAGAAAAGAAAAAAGAAAAGGAGACAACCAAGTATTTGTGGGTTTTTTTTTTCCCCTAGAAATGTAGGACATTATGTCCATTAGCCAAATGTAAGAGAAAGAAAGTAAACATAAAGTCATTTTTCATCACTCTGAAGCATTTAAGTGGATGATATCAAACACTCCCAGCATGGAGAAACAAAGGTAACATTCTATCAGTGTCCATTCAATTACAGAGAAATCTGCAATCATACTCTCCAAACACAGAAAAACAACTCTACTGTGTTTCCCTGGAATGTGACTCTGCAGAGGAATTAATTGGCTTCACTTACGACACTGGTGCCTTTTATCCTCGTCACTCATATCCCCACAGTCATTATCACCGTCACAGATCCATTCGCTTGGGATGCACCTCCCACCATCACACTTGAACTCATCAGCTAGGCATGTTCGCTCAGAGTGACCTGAAAAGATCAATAGCATTCTCAGTGAAAAAAAGTGGTTTACAGTCCAGGAATCTGGAGACAAGCTGGTTGTAGCATGGGTTGTCTAGAAAACCTGAAACAGAGCATTATTTAATTATATACATCTAGGGTAGTCCTCCAATAAGACTAGTACCAGCGACCAACAGTTTGAGGTAAAAGTAGTCAACTGACAGTGCAAAGCCCTAATTATCTTTGGTGACTAAAATGAGATACAATATTCCCTTATGTGTATGGTAGAGAAAGAACACTTCTTTTCCCAGGAAAGATATGAATTACCTACTATTTCACATGTTTCTATTTTAAAATCTACTTTTCATCCAAAACCATTTTGTTTTGTGCAAAGTCTCCCCTCGCCTGCACTCCCCATGCCCGCTTCCTTGCTCCCTTTCCTTCTTTCCATAACACTTAGCACCACCTTTCAACATACTAGACAATTTACTGATTGGTTGCCTGTCTCCCCTCTTTAGAATATTAGCTCCATGTGGGTAGGGATTGTTGTCTTATTCACTGACACAGCCCAAAAGTTCCTAGAACACCACTGTTCAATAAATACTGAATTAAAATAAGTCACTCTTCTACTTCAAATTAGCCATCACTGATTCAGATGCTCTAACCCTAACCCCACATGTTCCTATTTAACTAATGAAGGTGTCATAGGCTCCCAAACCCAGGGGACCCTGGAATTAGCCTAAGGCAAGAGAAAGTATAGTTGCAACTGATAAAGACACAGCCTATATCATAACAGTAACAAGAAACAGGCTCTTTCAGAAGCTGCTATGAAAAGTGTGTACATTGATCCAGACTTTTTTTTTTTTTTTTTTTTTTGGAGACAGAGTCTCACTCTGTGGCCAGGCTGGAGTGCAGTGGTGCGATCTCGGCTCACTGCAACCTCCGCCTCCCAGGTTCAAGTGATTCTCCTGCCTGAGTAGCTGGGATTACAGGCGTGTGCCACCGCGCCCGGCTAATTCTTGTGTTTTTAGTAGAGACAGGTTTCACCATGTTGGCCAGGATGGTCTCGATCTCTTGACCTTGTGATCCGCCTGCCTTGGCCTCCCAAAGCGCTAGGATTACAGGCGTGAGCCACCGCGCCTGGCCTGATCCAGATTTTTTGAAGAGACATATCTCCTTTGATACAGCAGCACCATTTCTGGACATCTAGACCATAAGGATCTTTCCACATGTGCACAAAGGATGTTCACCCTGACACTGTTTTTCATAGTGAAAAAATGGAAACAACCTAAATGTCCAACCACTAGGAAAAGGATAAAAATACATGGACCATTCGCATTTTAAAATATTCTTTGGCAGTGTACAGGAATGAGGCTGGTCTGTATTTGCTGACATGATGTTAAGCTTAAAAAATAAAAGCTAATTGCAGAAAATATGTATAGTAAGACTCCATCTGTTTTTTTAAAATCTATATATCAAGATATATAAAAGTAAAGTAAGATATATAAAAGATAAAAGTAAGTCAAATTCACACTCAACCTTTTAATAGTGATTACCTTTGAGGAGTGAGGGGATTGGAGAAGGATGAAAAAATGTAAATTTTACTTTTTTGTACATCGTATTATTTCTTTAAAATATATTTCTGAATATTATTACTTTACTACAATGAGGATATATTCATATATAGATTATGTGCTTATTTTTATTTAAATATATCAGGTCATTGGTACTCACTGCTATTACTATGGCTTTTGTTACCATAGAGAAGTTTAAAAACTCATATTAATTATTCATATATTTGAACCAATAATTCATACATTTGAAACAATCTCTAAGACTATTCTACTCATCCAGCAGTTATTAGTTATTTCCTTTACAGGTCCTCAAAACTCTATGTGCCCTTTGCTTTCTATAAAACTTTCAGTGTTGGGGAAAAAGAACTTAGTGAAGCACTCCAAATACCACTCTTCAACACAGAATTTAAACCTGAGAGAAAACTGGAATTGAAAATAGTTTGACTTCAGCTATAAAACTATACTAATGATCCTAAGAAAATATCCTGAAAATAAAATGTTTTAAATACGATGTTAATATTTACTGCAATGATATATACTATAGAGGAATAAAATAAAAGCAACCTAATGCTTAATAATAGAGGCAGTTAATTTGATGATACTATAACCACTCAATGGAATATTATAGTCATTAAAAGGCAGTATGAAGACAAGGACGAGCAAACTTTTTAACTAGATAGTAAATATTTTAGGCTTACAGGCCCTATGGTCTCTGTTGCACCTACAGGACGTGGCCATAGTAGAGGGACAGCAGCCATATGTGGCTGCATTTGAGTAAAATGCTATCTATAAAGACAGGCAACTGGCCACAGCCATAGTTTTCTGACTCCTATATAGCAATATGATTTATTGACAGGTTTTTTAAAGCAATGTAGAAGATTGTATTTTTATATTTTTACAATTATGTAAAAAATGTGCATGGATATAGATTAGAATTTGTGAAGGCAAATAGCAGCCTCCAAATGTAAACAGGGCATAACTGTCCCCAGGAATACAACCAAAGGCTCCTGCAACTTCTTGGGCCTCTTGTGCTCATAAACTGGCACAGAGAGAGAACAGGAAGAGGATGCATGCTCCTAATATACTCCTTCCCCATGTATATGACTCCAATCACTTTTAGGTCCTCTGACAGCTTTCTGGGCCAGCACTCAACCAAATTCAGAAACTTCAATTGAGAGCCAACTAAAATTAAGTTCTACCAGCTAAGCACTGTATTAGGTGCATCACCAATATAATTTCATTTTATCAGCATCAATCAGCAGCTTCCGTATCCTGATCAGCTCCCCACACAGTGCTCTCCACTAACAGGTCTTAATGAATATCCGCTGAGCGGTGTCAGCATTCCAGATGAAAGCTGGGACAGGAAGTCCAAGCATTCAGCAGCCATGACCCTGGTCTGTATTTGAAGCAGTTGGAAGAGACTGAAGTTGTCTAGCTGCATCGTGATGTTTTTCATGCTTGCTTACTCTCTTACCACAAGAGGCAGGTTCATCAGAGGCATCAAAACAATCTGTTTCTTGATCACAATACCAATGTTGAGGAATACAGCGCCCAGATGCGCATTGGAACTCACTGCTGCTGCACGTGTGAGTGGCTGCAGGAGGGAAAGAAGATAAAACCCATGAGCAAAACACAAGCATGTTCCCATCAGTCTTAACAATCTGCCTCTATCTCTGAGCTAGATAATAGTTACCAAAAAAGGAAGACTGAGCCTGGAAAATGGATGCTTGTGTAAGCTTTCTGTGGGGAGGAAGAAGTATGGGAGACAGAAGGAAGTCAATCCTGCCCCAATTCCCCAATTTGTTTTTCTAGATTCCAGAAATCAAAAAAAAAAAATTGTATTTGTTAGAAATACCAAAGAACTATCTTTGTGATAAATGAAATCACAAATTATAAGTCTTGGTTTTATTTTTTCTACTATAATGTAAGATTAAATAAATTCCATTGCAATGATAATTAAAAGCAAAACAATAATGTGATCATATCTAAGCTCGCTCCACACACAACCTTTTAGCTATGTTAGATAATAACTCTAGAAAGTTGGCAAAGTTATCTTCGTATTCATCCTTGGAATACCAGACTTTTAGTTGAGTAAGTGGGAAACTCTGCCTATGTTTGAACATTGACTCTTTTCTCCAGTAATTTTAGGTAGCTCTGGTTATATGCATTTTCCAAATTGTTATGTGGGTGCACATCTAATTAAAGTCTTGTAATTCTTCTGGTCTATAAGGCCGTTTTGCTTTGGCCCCTGATATCTGATGATTTGCCAGGGGAGAACTGACAATGGAAGCAGAGGTCCCTGAAAAGTCAGCAATAATTCCTATCTGTCTAGCCCTATCTGGTGGCTGCAACCTGAATTCTGCTTCCTTGTGCTGCTGTTATTACAACAGATTCCTCTTCCTGTGCTGTACCCTAATTTGGTGACAAATAATTATGATGCCCTTTGATTTCCTTGGGAGGGGCCAGTGACAAGAGTTTAACTACATATACACAGAACAGGGAAGTCCAATCACTAAATCCTTAAATTATGTATCTATTTACACTAATAGTCTCAAAGTTATCAAACTTAAGAAAGGCCTTTTAATTTGAGCTATAAATACAGGAAATTGTTTGAATGAACCAAATTGCTAAATACGAAATAGAGATTTCTGAAATTCCAACGTATCTAGGGGATATAAAGATACTTTCAGTTACTGGTCAGGCACGGTGGCTCATACTTGTAATCCCAGCACTTTGGGAGGCTGAGATGGGTGGATCGCTTGAGCCCAAGAGTTCCAGACCAGCCTGGGTAACACAGAGAAACCCCATATCTACAAAAAATACAAAAATTAGCTGGGCATGGTGTCACATGCACGTAATCCCAGCTACTCAGGAGGCTGAGATGGGAGGATGGCTTGAGCACAGGAGGCAGAGGCTGCGGTGAGCTGTGATCACACCACTACACTACAGCCCAGGTGACAGAGTGAGACTGTCTGAAAAAAAAATAATTTTCAGTTACTGATGGCCACTATAATAATATTAAGAGTAAATTATAAGGGCTTAACGGGCAAATTCTGCCTAAGTACATGAAGGCAAAAGGCTTTCAACACTGGGAGAAATGGCTCTCCAATAGTAGCAGATCTCTGGAAGAAATATTCAGGGTCTGGGAATTCTAGCCAGGGAACAGAGAGAAAGAGTTTCTCATACCCCTGCAATCACATATGAAAGCAACTGCCTACCACCTCTACTTAGAAGGTCAATGTGAAATGACAATTGAAATCAGCCCGAATACCCACGCTTCATATCTTTGTATTAGCTCACAACATGCATCTCTGGAACGATAGAAAGAAAGCAGTTTTATCTTACTCACTGCAATAAGTAGGGTTTTCATCACTGTTATCTCCACAGTCATTGTCTCCGTCACACAAATAAACGCGAGGAATACAAATATTTGAATTATGACATTTTGTGTATCCAGACTGGCAAGTGCGATCAGCTTGAAAAAGACAACCAGATAAATATTAGGAATATATCCACCAAATATGTATTATGAACAGTATCCGTGCTAACACATCTATTGTGGAACTCAAACCACTGGAAGGGCGGCATTTTCAAAGCCATCAGAAAGGCAGGATCCATGATACTTATGTTACCTATAGATTCTGTAGTAAAAAAACATATTTCCAGCTGATACTGGGGAGAAGGGAGAGGAGACACTGGTTTGTAACTTAAATCATCTGTTTTCATTAATTAATAGCATCAACAAGAGTTCCAACTCTTGGTAAAATAAACTATGGCATTTCCACACAATGGAGTAATATGTAGCTATTAAAGGAATAAAGAAGATTTCTATATACTGATAAGTAATGACAGTATAATCTTCAGGATATATTGTTAATAGTAAGAAAGCAAGATTCAAAACAGTAGGCTAACTTTTGTGTAAGAAAAAGGACGATATAAGTGTATGTGTGTGTGTGTAGCAAGAGAGAGATGCTTATATTAAAAACAATAACAACAAAGAAAAGATAAACTAACAAAAATTGTCATCTCTCTGGATAGACTGAGAAGAGCACAGAGGAAGCAGAAAGGAGAGGAAGAAATGAAGGACTTCTATAAATGCACCTCGTCATGTAGTTTTAACTTTGGAACTATGTATGCTATTTTGTACAAATAAAATCAATAAAATAAAATAAAATTTGGAAACAGCAATAGATAAAGCTAACTATATATCAGGTTGATAGCATAACCCTGCAGAAAAAAAAATTCCAAATATCTTTAAAGTCATACCTTTGACTGCATATCTCTAGTGGGACATAATCTAAAAAGCAAGAAGAATCTCGCACTTAGTAGACTTATTGTTAATAGTATTCTTTGAGTGGTTATAATAATGTTGAAATTATTATAGGCATTTTGAAATTACTATATAATAAAACAACTAAATGTCAAGAGAAACTATGATTTTAAGCATAAGAAGAGATGTCATTATAAAATCTAAAATGTAAACAACCTGTAATCTTAAATTTCAATGGGAAATATCAATAAAAATTTTTTCTGGCCGGGTGCAGTGGCTCACGCCTGTAATCCCAGCACTTTGGGAGGCCAAGGTGGGCGGATCATGAGGTCAGGAGATCGAGACCATCCTGGCTAACATGGTGAAACCTCGTCTCTACTAAAAAATACAAAAAATTAGCCAGGCATGGTGGCGGGTGCCTGTAGTCCCAGCTACCCGGGAGGCTGAGGCAGGAGAATGGCGTGAACCCGGGAGGCAGAGCTTGCAGTGAGCTGAGATCGCGTCACTGCACTCCAGCCTGGGCGATAGAGCAAGACTCCATCTCAAAAAAATAAAAAAATTTTTTTTCCTTAAAAACTGTATTTCCTAGCTCTGACCATTGAAAAGGACTAGAAGCAATGAAAGCTAAGTAGGAATGAGCAACTCAACCCTGTGATAATTTCTAAGTACCACAAAGGGAATGAGGTCTCCTTGGATAAGTGGCTAATTCCAGGACTGGGACAGGAAATATAAGACAAGCTTGAGCTATAAGAAGATGGATTGGGGTCATGCCAAAGAACAGAAAATTCAAGTTAAGGACTCCCATTGGCCTAAGTTTGGACAACTGGGCACCAAGAAAAAACAGTTGACAGCACTGTATTAAAACTCATCAAATACATGAAGATCAAAGAGTTCAATATAATACTAAACTAAACTAAACTAAACAAAAAGTTAATTCTCCTTTGTCACCAACTCATTACTCTGAAAATTGACAAGCAAAAGGTATTTATCCTGTAGATTCTAATTACCAACAAAAGCTGGTAAGGGAAATGTCTTCTTTATCAAACTTCAGCTAATAAATGCGGCAGGAACACTAGAATTCTAAAGAGCCCATTCATAACTCTTAAAGAAATAATGGGTTTACGGAACAACCACCGATGGATGCTAAAACCACTGGGTGAAAGGATGATGGGAGCTTCATAAGAGATGATTCAGGCTGACACCAGAATCCACTTAAAGTGGGGCAACAAAACATCATGTGCCTCATAAGGTGATGCAACAGGAAAGGCACAGCTCCACCTCTGAAATACTCTTACCCAAAGAATTGCACCTGTTATGATCAAAACTCTAGGTCTACATACCAGTTCATAGGAAATAAGAGGGATAAGATAAATTAAATGGATCAATTATGCAATTAGTCAAGTCCAGAATGTGAGATATTCTACAGGACAAATCACCTAATCTTTCTAATGAATCAATGACATTAAAAAGTGGGAAGTGTTGTGGCATAAAAGAGATTGAAGAATTATAACAATCAAAATCAGTTGTAGATCTCATCTGAACCCTAACTTGAACAGAGAACAGTAAAAATACATTTTGGGGATAAGTGACAAAATTTGAACATGGACTAGGTACTCAGGGATATTTAGTAAGCACTTTTGATTTTGCCAGGCATTATAATGGCATGGTAGTTATTTTCCAAAATGTTATCAGTGAAGTGCATGACTAGGAGTCACTTTAAAATACTAGAAAAAAGGAGAGAAAAATGAAACAAGATTGGTATTTGTTGATACTTGCTACCGCGCCTAGCCAAAAATTTACGTTTTAGATAAATACTTAGGGTTTTTATTTTTGGAAAGCCTTTTTTTTATATAATAATTTCATCTCCTGTGATCCAAGACTTCAGACCCAAAATCACAATAAGCACTTAAGATAAACTTACGGCAATTTTTCTCATCTGAAGTGTTATTATCATGGCAGTTGTCTACACCATTGCAGATAAACTCACGAGGTATGCACCTTCTGTTATTGCACATAAACTCCGTGGTGGCATTGCAGTCCCTGAACAGGCACCCTGCCTCATCACTGCCATCACCACAGTCATTGTAGTAATCACAGCGGTAAGAGTATTGGACACATCGCCCATTGGCACAGGTGAAGGCTGTCGGTGAGCAGGTGTGAAGTGCTAAGAACAGGAAAAACATGAGAACAAACCCTCTTGATTAAAACATTATCCTAATTTTTAAAAAGATACAATTAAATAAAAGAGACACTTTGAATTTACCTTCCAAGGCAAAAAACGCTGCAAAATGGACTGCATGCAAAGTGAGATAACACTTTTAATTAGTTAGATTAAGCAAAATATGTTGTATACATTTTTAAAATTGTTTTAGGCACAAATCAAGTAATTTAAGCACAAATCAAAGTCATTCTGTTTCTCTATAATCTCAATTTATCTCAATCACAAAAAGCATGCAATTATAGTTTATTTCAGGAAAATAAAAACTCCTAGCCCCTATCACAGTCTGCTAGGAAAAGGTAACCAACCTCAGAACTCCCTGAGAAAGTCCACTGTGTTTTATTCACTCTATTCAGATGGAAGCTGAGGATTGGAAGTTATTTTCATAAAATTTTTGAAATAATGACCTTTGTGCTACGAAAATTGGTAAAATGATACGTTTCCTTAGTCCCAAGCTAAGCTAGACTTAGCTTGCACCATGCCTCATGCTAAGGGATTTTTACATATTGTTTCTCTTACTCCTCGCAAGAACCCTAGTAGTAGCTCCATTTTACAGATGAGATGTCTGAGGCTTGAGATATTAAGTAACTTTCCCAGGTCTATACAGATTACAAATGCGATCACCAGGATGATGATTGTGCTTGTGCTCTTAACCACTACAGAGGTGATTTAACAGAAACAGTCTGGATTATCAGAGGAAACATTTTTCAGCTCTACCAGGATGCCTAGGCACACATTTCAAACACATTCACACATAGCAGGATTCCATACCAAACACTTGACATCAAGATGCCATTAGCTCCTACCAAAAGCGCCAAGAGTCCAACTCACCACAGACACTTTCCATCTCATCACTGCCATCCCCACAGTCGTTGTCATTATCACACTTCCACTCTTCCGAGATGCAGCGCCCATTGGAGCAGGTGAAGGAAGATGCACCACATCGTTCACCATTGTCCACAATGCAGTGCTTCCTGTTGTTGGCCAAATACCAGTTGCCCTCATGTGGACACTGGCACTCGGCACCATTTGGACCTGAAGAAAGATAATCCCAGAAGAAGTAAAAGATGGATGCAGCCACCGTTCACATTGACCCCTCCACAATAGCACTTGCAACAGCTTCTACATTAAATGCTCCCTAAGAAGCGCCATGGAAGTTCTGCCCATTAACCTTTTAACTATATTCTGAGTCACTTTTCCATCAAGAAGAGCAATCACCAATTTCTAATAAATGTGCCGATTCCTTCTAAACAACAGGAAATATCAACGACTCTTCTCAGCAAAATTTGCAAAGCAACAACATCAAAAGGCACATCTTCCCGTGAATTTGTTGTTCTTTATAAAATGCACAATGAAGCACATATGATCCCACCCGCAAATATCACCAGAAATATTTCAAACTATAAATAATACCTCTTAAGCAGAAAATGTAAATCCTTTTATAAGGAAGGCCAGCTCATTGACAGAATTCTTAGTCAAGACATGAAGTAGGGCAGCCAAGGCCTTCATCTTTCTTTCTAACTCCATCAAGCTTGTATTTAAAATGCCTTCATAGGCTGAGTGCTGTGGCTCACGCCTGTAATCCCAGCATTTTGGGAGGCCGAGGTGGGCAATCTCTTGAGGCCAAGAGTTTGAAACTAGCCTGGCCAACATGGTGAAGCCCCGTCTCTACTAAAAATACAAAAATTAGCTGGACACGTCGTGTGCCTGTAGTCCCAGCTACTAGGGAGGCTGAAGCAGGAGAATGGCATGAACCCAGGAGGTGGAGGTTGCAGTGAGCTGAGATCCCGCCACTGCACTCCAGCCTGGGCGACAGAGTGAGACTCCGTCTCAAAAATAAAATAAAAGAAAATGCTTTCATAAAAGGGCTCCATATAGATTAGAAAAGAAGCCTGCCAAGTCTTCCTCTCAAAATATAGCCCCAGGTCTGTTTCATAAATTACCCTGACATCAAGGAGAATTTGAATTTTTTCTCCTGTGAGAACTTCAGCTTTCCTTACCAATTGGTATTGTGATCATTATTCTCCATGTTCTAATTTTCATGGTCAGTGCCTTACCTGGTGCACAGATATGGCTGCAGCCCCCATTAAACTGTTCACAAGGATTGTTACACTGTTGTTTCTGGTTCTTCACAACAGTGTTGATTCCCCTGGGCTGGGAGAGCAAATTTGTGGTCATTGCAATCTGACCTGACCCGTCATATTTGTTAGCTCGGTAAATTCTTTGTGTGTACAAGTCAGTCCAGTAAATATACTGGCCATAGAGAGTCAAGCCAAAAGCATGAACGGCTGCATTGACAATGACTTCACGATCCACGCCCGTCAGAGTGCTGCGTTCAATCCTCTGCCTAAAATGAAGCAAAAAAAAATTTAGAAGTTGAAATCTCAAGTGAGTTAAGTTTTCAACTGGCAGCCCAATGCATGCGCCTCATCATTGTTTACACAAGCTGCAAACTTTCTTTTCAAATGGGGCATATGGCAGCTGGAAATGTTTCTTCTGGTGATGGGAGGTCTTGTTTGCTTATCAAACAATAGCCTATATAAAATCATTGACTTCCAAATATGAATAGTAATCCTACAAAAGGAATCAGGTTGATATTAGAAACAGGAAAACATGAAATAATCCATGTAATGCATGGAACTCAGTGTTAAGCACATAGCAGACTCTCAATAAAACAATAACTTTTCCATCCCACTTCCTTAGTGACTTTTTCAATTTGATGTTTATTGAGTACCTTGAGGTGTTTACCTAGAATAATCCAAGCTTAGACTCAAAGCATCACTGCTTTGTTTCAAATAGGAGAATAAAGAAAAGATCAGGAGGTTAGGTCTTGGCATCAAAAGACTAAAATTCCAAAGAAATATGCAAGAAAAATTAAGATTCCCGATATGTAGACACCAGCCATAATAAACAAAATCATTTCATCCCTTCAACTATTCCATTAGGATGACTGGAATGTGAGACATATGGGGGGTACTTGGAGAAGTTACATACAAAATTAGAGTTGACAAAAGGAAAATATTAAGAAATGCGCTGAGGAGAAGCTTGCCAGAGAAGAAAGGGTCTATTTGAAAAGATGACAAAAAGTCAAAGACTGAAGAAAAGAATTTTCTTTTTTTTTTTTTAAGAAAAGAATTTTCTAAAAGACATTGAATGCTAAAGCCCAGAAAAAAACATAATATCAATTGGCATTTAAAAGTCATTCAGATTTTATAGCAGTTACCTAGGGCCTGCAGAATGTAAGTTGAGTAATTTCATTTGTAATTCTAAATTGAGAAAATACATTTATAATTATAGCTGAAATTATAGATATATTTAGCAATGCATCTTTAGATGTCTTTTAGTTCATAATTATTCAATGCATGATATAGATAAATTTTCACAGTATGTTCACCAAGTTCCAATATAAACATAGTTCCTAAAACTGTGATTCTATATTCTGGCAATGTCTATCTGGCATGCTATATTTTCATCACATGATGCAAATCCCTCTTCTTTGGAAATGGAAGAAAAACCTCTTCTTAACACCCACATGAGTAACCAGAGACACCTACAGACTAGCATCCACCCAGTAGAGAAGGTCCTCTTCATAGTCCAGAGTCAGCCCACTGGGCATGACCAGACTGCTGTTCACAATGGGTACGCGGAAGTTTCCTCCCAATGTGGCTCTCTCGATTTTGGCATGTGTATCCCAGTCAGCCCAGTACAGGTACCTAGTCATACAAAAGGAGTCAATAATTAATTCACAGGGAACCTCATAGTCCTTTAAAAAAAAAAAAAAGGACAATATTCTTTAATTGCAAATTGCCAGTAACATGGCAAAAGAAACTTCATTTCTACTTACACAACTTGTCCAAAGGAGATCTAGTAAGTCAGGGTGTTGACTTCCTAGTATGTTGCCAACCTTTCTGCCATCAAAGGGAGCTATGCGCTGCACCCTCCTTCCCACGTAAAATCACTCAATATGCTTTCATTTTTGAATCTGTAGCCATAGTTTTATAAGCCCATAACACATTGGCTATCTATGAACATAATTTCAGGCCCCATTTTTTCCAGAAATAAGCAGACAGAAATATAACAAGGAAGATGATGGCATACCCTTGGCAGGGATCTAACACAATTGCTCTTGGTTTTGGAACGCGGGCTATCACAGTGCGGTTAGACCCATCTTCAGCCATGGAATTAATCATCTGGTTGAGGTAGTCACTGTAATAAATTCTTCTAGTAATCCAGTCAAAGGCAATGCCATCAGCAGTCCCTATACCTGGACACATACAGGCAGACACACACACAAGCACACACAAAGACATTAGAGTCTCATATGCATTAGAAACACTCAGTCATCCATGTGTGTTGACCCCATTGTGTCTACTTGCAGGACAAGCAGCACCTGGAGTGCACTTACCTGAAGCAATGACAGTTGGAGTATGGATCCCTGAAGACAGGGTGGCATAGGAAATCTGTCCAACTCCAGAGGCTAAATTTTGTGTGAAGTAGATTCTATCACTTACACTGTCATAGTCTAGAGACATGACAGTTCTTTCCACATTTATTGTTTGGAAAGGTGGGCTATGGTTTTCAGGGTCCAAGTGTAAGCTTCTCAAGGAATTAGACAAGGCAAAGATGAGGAAATTTTCTGTTGAAATGGCACAATTCTTGCCATCACTTTGCAGGGTCCCAAAGGCACAGTCACATTTTGGGGTGTGCAATCCAGGCAGAGCAAAGCAGAGATGAGAGCACCCACCATTGTTTTCCAAGCAAGGGTTGTTGTTGACCTCTGCTGGTGACCGGGGCTGGACTTGCTTGTCAAAGATGGTCACATCTCTTAGCCAGTTGATATTGTCTCTTATCACTGTGGGTGGCTCTGTGTTCTCTGGTTCCTTGCTGGCTTGGAAGATCTTTTTCAAATTCCTATCTACCCATATGATAGAATTTTCAAAAACAGTGATGCCATAAGGAGTTGGGTAACGACTGCCATAACGAATCACTTCAGAGTTCTCTCCATTGATACGAATCCTTGCAATTATATCTAAAGAATCATCAACCCAATAAACGTAGCCATCACTTCGGTCCACTGCCAAGCCCCGTGGTGTGACAATGCCCTCTGACACAAGCACTGTTCGATTGGTACAGTCAAGGAAAGAACGCTCAATCTTTGGTCTCTGCCCATAGTCAGCCCAGAAGAGGTATCTGTTCTTGGGATCTACAACAATATGCCTAGGCATGTCCACTGTGACTTTAAGAAGAACACGGCGGTAAGTAGTATTGATCCGCAGAACTTCTATCAGTGTTTCAGAAACAAAGGCATTGGTGAAATAAAGATTTCCTATGGGAAAAATGAAAGTGCATGCTGATCAATGGAGAACCAAGAAGAAAAAAAGGGAGAACTTTACAAATTCAGAACAAAATATATAAGGTTGAAGTCTGGGTCACTATATGTTGTCTTTTCCAAGATGATAGTGTCCCAGTCTAGGCTTAGAAAAATAAGTTCTTACTCCTAGGAATTATAGAGATTGTGTCTTCAAATTTAGAGAGAAAGTGCCTATCTTCAGCTTCTAAAGTAGATTAGAATTCATAGCAACATCATAACCCACTTTCTACTGAAAGGTATATTTTCCAGAATGTCCCTCCTTTTCTATCTGAAGCTCTAAATGCTTAATACCTACTTGAAACACTCTAAATATACATTTTCATAGCACAACTTCCATCCCAATGTGATAAAAGTAGCAAAGAGGGAGCACCAGCAGCATCTCAGGTTGTTATTAATGTTATCAAATGGTCTTTGAACTTAAGGTTAACATGAAGTTTTTCCTTAGTCTTTCTAACTAATGTAGGTGTTTTCATCCCATGGACCTTCTAAAAGTGACCAAAAGTCCATTTCCCTTTGGGCCTTATGTACATGCTAGAATAAAAAGATAACTTTATGAAGATAGTATAATAAGTAGAGAATGACCACAAATTATTGATTTCATGTAGTTGAAAGTCTGTTGTTGAACTATCAATGCTACTACCAAGACACACATATTTTGTTCCTATATCTGATTCAAACCACCTCTAGAGAAATCAGGCCAATGTGAAATATGTTACTGATACATTTTTTCATTACCTAACTCTACTTGCTATGTATGCATTTGCTCATTTCCAATCCTTTAATCCAGGGTTGGCAAACTTTTTCTGTAAAGGGCCACATAATAAATATTTTAGGCTTTGCAGAGCATATGGTTTCACAAGTACTCAACACTGCCACTGTAACATGAAAGCAGCCATAGACAATACACAAATAAATGGGCATAGCTGTGTTACAATAAAACTTTATTTACAAAAACAGGCAACAGGCTGCATTTGACGCACGGGCCATAGTTTGCTGACTACTGCTTTATCTATACCCTCAGAAATAGTAATTTCTATTCAGGAACGGGAGTTAGGAACCCAATTAAAGCTTTATTTAACCATACTTCCATATTTACTTTTTGCAATAAACTCTTATTATAGTACTTAGATTTTCATAATACATGCTTATATTTCCTTTTTTTAAATTTTTTTTTAATTCGAGACAGAGTCTCAGTCTGTCACCCAGGCTTGATGGCAGTGGCTTAATCTCGGCCCACTGCAACCTCCACCTCCCGGCTTCAAGAGATTCTCCTGCCTCAGGCTCCTGAGTAGCTGGGATTACAGGCGTACGCCACCATGCCTGGTTAATTTTTGTGTTTTTAGTAGAGATGGGGTTTCACCATGTTGGTCAGGCTGGTCTCAAACTCTTGACCTCAGGTGATCCGCCTGCCTCAGCCTCCTAAAGTGCTGGGATTACAGGCATGAGCCACTGCGCCCTGCCTACATGCTAATATTTCTAAGTGATGCCTACTCACCAAGCTTGATTCAATGATACTGATTTTATGTAGAATTGGATTATATTCCAAAACATATAATACCACTAATTATGAGTGGTATTTTTACTCAGATGAGTGATAAAAATGAGGGGTTATTCAAGCTTATGTGCATGAATAAATACAACTAAGTTAATATAATACTGGACCAGGCATTTAAAAAAATTACTAATAAAATATCTCATGATCTAAGGGATTTTTATATATGAATAAAAGGAAGCAATTAAGAATTTGGCAACTAAAATTGCTCAGCTTCAAAGCAAATGAATGCTGTTCCATAGTTTATATTTTTATATCTCTTTCTCTTGAAAATTTAGAAAATTTCTAATGCAGAAATCAGGTGCAAATCTAAGTGTAAAAAAAACAAATCCACATAATTTAATATTTTAGCCACTTTTGTCTCCAGATTATGTTAATAACAGAAGAAAATGATAAGGATTAATTTGTTATAAATCTGTAAACTGAAACACCGTATCATTTATCAAATAGACACGTAGCTTAATCTAGATTCAATGTATCTTAAATGGTCTTAATAATTGTCTAGAAAAACAAACCTGTAGCACATGGAGTTAGGCTAAACTTTCTAGCATAAAATAAGATGACAGAGATGCAAACATATTAAAATCACCATATAGCTTACATACCTGCTACCCAATCCACTGCAATACCCCGGACTCCATTTTCTCCTATTCCATGTGTCACAATGTTCATCAGAGAAGATCCATCTGGTTTAATTCTACGGATCGCATTATCAGATGCCACTGAGCTGCTAAAATCACACCAATAAATAAAGCCAGAGGACACATCCACATCCACATGCAGTGCGTTTCGTCCTGGAAGTTAAGAAAAGATCATTAAAAAATGCTGTCACTGAAATTAGAACTTTTAAATGTCTGCCCTTCCTCTCAAACCCTCATTCCCAACCCCCTGCTCTGAGCATCTCCCCATTACAAAATGAAACCCTTTTTTCCCAGTTGCAGTGAGCAGACCCACATCTTGGTTTCTACTCTTTCCCACAATAAGGAGCTCTGGCTCCCGGGAGAAATGTTGATTATAGGTTTAGGCAGGGAAGGTACGAAGTGAGTGTGAAACATCTTATTGTACCAAGAAACAAGGCATACACAGAAATATACAGGTCGCCACTTGAAGAGGTTCTCCCTGGCCAAAATGGATCCACTAAAACATCAAAAGAAGGATTACAGTAATTGACTGTAACACACTGAATTTAAAAAATAAAAATTTGAGCCCATAATAATAATAAATTATTTAAAAAGTAAACCGGGGAGACACGAAGAGCTTTCCTTTATAGAAGAATATTATCTAACAAATGTAAAGGGAATGCTAAAATAAGAAAATCACCATTTTGCAATCCTCGATTAAATAATCATTTCAAACAAGGATCATCCATGGCTGCCAAAACCAATGGGTAAAAGGTGCTTGGGAGCCAAGACATTCACAGGGCCTAAGTGTGATTGCATAGATTCCACCAAAATTAAGAAGGAAAAAAAATACAGCTTTAAAAAGCAGCAGTGTAGCAGTGACCACCTTAACCAAGTGATCAAACTCAAATGCCACTAAGAGCAGGGCAAGCTGACATTATGTTCTTCCTAATAAGATTCTGTATCAACTAACACAGCATAACCTATAAAGTATTATTGCTAAATGTATTTAACCTTGATCTAATCAAGCAATTAGACCTAACTTCCATTTCATGAGAACTGCAGGGTAAAAAATGAAAGACAGACTAAATATTCAGACAAATCCTCAGTGTGGGATTCTCAAAGACAACAGGTCTGCCTCTTTAAAACATCAATGTCATAGCAAAAAGCTAGAGGCAACTACTCCAAACTGGAAGAAACTAATGAGATATTCCCAGTGCAGTGCATGAATCTTGATTAGATCTTGGATGGAACAAAACAGCTATATATAAAATATTGTGAGGCCAACTGGAGAAATATGATTATGAATATTTCATAATGCCCTTTGAAACTGTATGCTAACATATGTAGGGGTAAAGTGGCATGGTATTAAAATTTATTTTTAAAAGGTTCATAAAAAATGAATGTGAATGCATATGCATGTACACACACACACATACAAATTGAGAGCTCAAATGTGAAGAAATGTTAACAACTGTTAAATCTTGGTAAAGGGTATAAGGATATTTCCTAAATCTTTCAACGTTTCTGTGTTTGAACATTTTTTTAATGAAAAGCTGGGAGAAAAAAACTATTGAATTTGTCATATCTGTACAAGATGATAACTTAGATCCATAACTTTTTAGATATGGAAAAACAAAGATGAGTCATGGGTCCACGTGAACATGACCATCAGGCAGGAGGACGTGTGGGACTGGAAGCTCTCTGATTCCCTTCTCCAGGTGCATTTCTGTATTTTCTGACCATCTCTACAACCCCTTCATTGACTTCATCCTTTTTTCCTTCCTTTCTACCCTCTATTTCTCTCTTTAGCCTGTGACATTCTCCTAGCGATGTTAGAAAACTCTTAGTTCCTCTTGTGCTAAGGTATACCTAAAAACCTTGGCTCATCTAGGAAGCAAGTGATCGTTTCATACATTCACAGTATGTAAGCACAAAGTGCTGCAAAAATATGATTACTAAAGAGGGACTGACACTGTGAACTCTTTTGCTTCAATTCACCAAATATATATTAATAAATCATATTTGTGGACTATTTCATTACCATATTAAATAGTAGTATACCTTCTACCATAAATCTCCATTAATAATCAGAAATAGGGCACAGTTCTTTGGAACACCAACTCTGTAGTACTTCTTGCAAACCCATCCTACATTCTATATTGCTCTGGGCCTGTGGTTCTTAGCGTGATCCATGGGCCAGCACCGTCAGCATGCCCTGGGAGCTTATTAGGAGTGCAGATTCTCTGGCCCTACCCTAGACTACAAAATCAGAAAAATCTGGGGACGAGGTCTGGAGCTGTGTTGGCGTGAGCCCTCCAGGTGATTCTGAGACACACTAAAGTTTGAAAAACACTTTAGGCTGTGCCAGTTGATTTAAAGGGAAAGGAAAGCTTCATTATGCACTGAATCCACACATGAAGAAATGTTTTCATGGCACCAGGGATTTCAACCTGGTGCCAGATGAAGTCAAATCTTACTTATATTGGAGTTGGCATACCTTGGCCTGCCACCGGCACCATGGTTTCTGAATGATCTGACAATTCCAAGCTAAAGCCTCTGATTGCAGACAGCATTGAAACAACAATGAAAGAGTTATATGGAGAGCAGGACCGATTATCAGGATTGAGTTTAAATCCAGTGGCACAGGCGCAGGAAAACAATCCTCCTGGTACAGGCAGGCAAATCTGCTGACAGGCATTCATGTTGTTGCTACAGCCATTTGAGGATTCGGCGGCATCTAAATGAAAACAAAATCCATTTGTAACTTTTGATCCTAGCTACTCGCCACCCCATCTCAAATTTCTTTAATTGGGTCACCAAATAATTTATTCTAAAAATTAATAACCAACATATAGTAGCTGAGTTAGCAATCTAAAAACAACATCGGAGAGACTAGAGCTTATACAATAACACCTAAAGGTATGAAACCAGTAACCCAACTATTGTATAATAGTTAGAGAATGGGGCTTCACTTGTTTTCTTCTACAAATCATGCGAGGATTAGGGAGGTCAGTATATAAATCTGCTCATAATTTGCCTATGAACTGGCACTTAAAATAATATGTTCAGTTACATGATCAATAATGTGATTTTTTTTAAATATATGAAATAAGATTTAAAGAATAGTCCTGGAATTAATGGCATTCCCAGTGACTTGGAAGAAACTGGAGACTATTATTCAAAGTGAAGTAACTCAGGAATGGAAAACCAAACATCGCATGTTCTCACTGGTATGTGGGAGCTAAGCTATGAGGACACAAAGGCCTAAGAATGATACAATGGACTTTGGGGACTTGGGGGAAGGGTGGGAGGGGGGCGAGGGATAAAAGACTACAAATAGGGTGCAGTGTATATTGCTCAGGTGATGGGTGCACCAAAATCTCACAAATCACCACTAAAGAACTTACTCATGTAACCAAACACCACCTGTACCCCAAAAACCTATGGAAAAATAAAAAAAAAAGAATATTCTTTATAGTAATAAAAAATTAATTTCTATTGCATGTGTTTCTTTCACATGCAGTTAAAAAAATACCTAGTGACAAACTTAGGTTATAGGACAGGAAACAAATTGTTTGATCATCTTTGGCTGAAGACGAAAGCTATAAAATACATCAAAAAATAATACCTGTATCATACCACTAATTTAAAGGGGTAAATCAGAAATTAGATTATCTTTGAAAAAAATGTTGAAATAGGCAACATCCAAAAGCATTCTTTTTAAGACTAAAAATTCCATCCCATTAGCACTTTCCCAGCAGGCATCCAACTCATATGCCCTGAGCACCTTTTATGTGCCAAGCACTATTCTAATCACCGAGTATTGAGCAGCAAACAAGACAGACAAAATGCCTGCCCGTACAGAGGTTATATTCTAATAAGTAACACAAACAATAGAAAACAGGGAGTTCTATGAAGTAAAAGCAAAGTAAGGAATTGAAAGTAATGGGAAGAGAAAGGGAATAAACTTACTCTGAAGTCAATCTGGCCTTTCAGATGCCAAATTAGCCCTTGGCACTTAACCATGTTTAAGACTTCATTATCATTTTTTAAATATTTCAGGTAACTTCAATTTGTATGCACGTGTATGTACGTGAAACTGTGTGTGGGTGTGTGCTTACAAATGTGAGTTATGTGTGAATATGCATTATACACCCATGAATGTATTTCAGTGACAAATACTTACTGCGTCTGTGATAAACTTGAAGACCCCTCAGATTTGGAACATTATCTCTCAAGACTATTTTGTTGGCCCCAGTGGCCTTATCAACTCTTTCAATGACCTCATACTGTTCATCAGTATAATAAAGGAAAGAATCATGGACTGCAATTCCCCAGGGGTGGGAAAGCTGGTGTACCAGGATCATTCGATCTGTTCCATCCACGTTTCCTCTTTCAATCTAAAGGATTGGAATTTTCATTAGTTTCATGGATTCATAGTGAAAATTTTGAACATTTAAACACTAATATTCTCCTAATTATAATGTCTCACATTTATACAGCCCTCTATCCCTTACAGAGATTTTTCACTTCTATTTTCTGATTTGATCATCACAACGACACCAAGCAGCAGGTCAGGAAAATGTCACTGTGCCCCTTTCATTGATAATGAAGACGGAGCTCACATGAGTCAGTCAACCTTTTCAGGTGGCACGGTGAAGAAAAGGGAGCTAAACCACTAGTCCCTGCATGTGATATTCTGGTCAAGGATATACTCAAACATCTAAGCGTGGGCCATTGCACAGGAGCTGACTCACCCTGAGTTTAACACCTTCACTGACAATTTCTGTAATGGAGATTGGAAATATGCCCCCAAACAACCACAGAGGACAGCAAGACAGGACAGGGCCAAAAATGGTGCCATTAAATTTGAACAGATAACAAGCTTTAATCAAAATAGCTTTGGTACACTGGAAAAGAACTACAAGAATAAAGTCCCTAAGGGAAAATGACAAGTAGTCAGCTTCTTCTGGAAGAAAAATGAAATGTAGATGTAGCTGGTTTAATTTCACTCCAAAAACCTGCCTCAAGTGCCTGCTCTGTGCCAGGATCTGGGCTGGGTATTGGCGAGAGACACAGTGTGGCTTTACTGCCATGGCTGAAAAGGGAGCCCAGCAGTTACAAGAGTGGTTATGCTGATGAAACTGATCAAAGTTCTAGAATTTAGAATATAAGAAACATGAGCCTGGAGGAGAGAGTGGAGAGAGTGGAGGCCAGGACCAGATTAGCTGAGCAACCTCACAGAAGTGTTGGGAGCTACTCCTCAGGGCAAGGCTCCAAGCTGAGCCGTGATCCAACTTGCTGACTGTGGCTTTATGAAGAAAACATGTCTCCAACATGAAAGCAGGCTTCACCACTGAAGGCCATGCCTAGTCAAGGCCAGAGAGAGGTTGCTCAGAATGGTGGAGGTGGCAGAAAAGATCTGGGCATGAGTGACAGGCTGAGGATGGATTGCAGCATTTGGTGATGATTAAACCAGGAGAGTGAAGGAGAAATAAGGGAACTACACTAGGAGAAAGGTTGGAGAGTCACACCACTAACAAGCACGTAGATTTAGAAGCTGTGCCCTGTCAGATGTGTGTACAGAAACCATACCATGTAACAAGAGCTTCCTCGTCATTGCACACATGCACCCAACTCTGCAAAGTGTTTTCACACACATCATCACTTCTTTTTAATCTCCAAAGCTTACCACCATTATAGGTCCATATTCGGAGTGAAGTTAGTACTTGTTGAACAAACAATGAACTGAAAGCCAAACCTACTGCACAATATTATGAAAAGCATCAATGTCAAGGATCTGAAGTAACTACTGTTAAATAGCAAGGAAGGGACTAGCATATATTCAGTTCAGCACCCAAAGCAATGCTTCATCAATAATTATTATTGAGCATTGTCTATGTGCTTAGCCCCAGCTCAGTGAAGGTGAAATCCTATTTCAATGAGTGAACGAGACTTTATAGTTTCTGCTTCTTATTGTAGAATATAATGAACCCAACCTTGGAGTTGAAAATCACCACTAAAGAAAGTTTCGCATGTGCATTAATCATGTTAAAATATTAGAGAAGAATGTGTAGCTACGAGGGGATGCTGAGTTCAGAACCTTGCTACGTAAATAAATAGATACATACATACATACACACACACATAGGTAGATACATAGAATATACCTATATCCTATACAGATATATAAATTCTATATTCTATATATAATAGATATATATTCTGTATTCTATAAATATATATTCTATATTCTATAATATATATTCTATATCTATATAGATCATATATAGAATCTATATAGATCATATATAGAATCTATATAGATTCTATATACCATATAGTATAGATACATACTCTATATTTTTTATATATATATTCTCTCCATATATATAGGTATATGTATATTCTCTATAATTGGAGAACCCAGAGTACTTTCAAAGAAAAACACTGAAATCACTAAACCATGAAAGAAATGGCTCTGAAATGACAAGTAAGAAATGACAAATGGAATTAATTTATCTTGAAGAAAAAAAAACGTTGGTGGGGAAATTAATAAACATTACCCTATAGGGAACTATGCACATACTATAAAGAACTGGACTTCAGCTAGGGGCGAGGTACGTGCAAGGGAGAGAAGTTATTGGGAGAAGGGGCAATGAAACACTGGTACAAGTTACCAAGTAAGATTGTTCAAGAACCACTGCCTGACAGCTCAGAACACTCAGCATCAGCTACACCAGCTCAGCATAAAGACCAAAAGACTGAAAGGGTGCTCATACCACTCCTCTTCCAGTGACTGCCCAGTAGAGTTTCTGCTCTTCGATGTCAAGAGTGACACACTCCAGGTGTTCGAGGTTCCCAGTAAAGAGAGTTTTCACAGATGTGCCATCCATGTTAGCACTGGCGATCTTGGCAGGAACCCCACTGTCAGTTCCTTGGTCTGACCAGTACAGCTTCCTACAACCATGAAAAACACCAGCATGTAACAAAACAGAAGGTGGATTTGAGTCAGTGACATAAATGACAATGTGTATTACTTGTCCTCAAGATGCTCACAATACAATGGGCAAAGGCTGAAAATCAATATCTCGTTGCATACAACGTGGAGGGGTACTTCACCAGTGTTCTACCAATGTCGGTATATTTCCTAGCTATAACTGGAGTAGAGGCCACTTAAAATGGTGTCTGGAATAAGAAGCTAGGGTATCCCACTGGCAGCTGAACTTTTAGCATGGTCAGGTGTGTGGGAAGCTTATGACAAGGAAGAAACCTACATCAATAATCCCTCCATCTTCAGTACATAGTGAAGGCCAAAGCTAATATAAAAAGCTGCCAAGTACACTCCCTGATCACTTACCAGGCCTCATTTAATTATTCCCCAAATCACCATCTACCACAAGACCGGCTACTTAATTACCTAACCTGATTTCTGTGATGAAAAATGCAAAGAATTTTGAAAACTGACACAGAAAATAGGAGAAATAATGAGTAACACTTTTCTGTGAGAGTGGAATCTCATTATCATGCTGTTATGGGGTAAGGAAGACTTCTTTTTTCTTTCTATTTCACAGCGATCAGGTACACATGAACCATAATTACCACACAGCATTGCCAAATCCATGATATATGAAAATGTATTAAAATATATTAAGGGCTGTTTTCCATTTCCACTGAAGATGTAAGTTCTAGACTTGAACCCAACTTTTAATTCCTTTTGATTGCACCTCCTTCTATATCTTCAACAGACAATTCTCCTACATTCTTTTCTGAAAAGTCCTTAAACCCCTTCATTTAAATAGTCTTTATTCACCTACCTCTTCCACCACCAAATCAATATACCCGTCCTTTGAATTTCATCTTCAACTCTAAACTTCTCCGCCTCTAAGTTCTCAAACTCTGAAATGCTCTGCTTCGACCAAAACCTCTCATTTCTTCCTTGCTTTAACTTTTCCTATTAAACTTGTTCTTTGCCCTTAAGCCCTGCCTGAGCTCCCAACCCTCCAGTTCTTCTACACCTGGACATCATATGTAACCATTTCAACAATATTCTTATTTATTCTTTTGGGTTCCCATTGTGTCTAAGCTAATCTCCAACCCTGGGTTTCTGCCCTTTTTTTTCTTTCTCCTCTCCCATTTCAGGGTACCAAGAGTTTCCTGGACATAGCACAAAACTTTCGTGAATTCTGAATTCACTAAAAATCTAAGTTCCCTAATCTAAGCTGAGGATTCTCATCCCTAGCAGACTTTATATCATGTTCCGCATATTGACTATTTCAAGTCATTCTACTTCATAAATTTCGAATTCCTTCCCCATAACTTTCACTCTCAATCAATTATTTCTTCATCCTTGATCTTTCATCTGCTGCTAAAGAATACACTCAGGTTTCTCTATTCTGAAAGACATTTTCCTGTTACATTTTGACCTACAAGTTTATCTTTCTCTAACTTTCCAATACAAAATTCTTAAAAGAGTATTCACATTTCCTCATCCTCCTTCCATTCTTTTAACTTCTACTATCTCTATTCAACATCCTCTCTTGAATATCATCAGAGACCCTGTAACTGCCTCAGCTCTTTATTAGTGATCATCCACAAAGATATTTTTCTGCAACAACTGGTTCAATAACATTTATCACAACTTTATCAAGACTTTCTCTTCACTGAGAATCCAAGATATTAGATCCTCAAGTCTCTGTCTTGTTTCTCCTCCTATGTCCTCTGACAAAATTCTAAGCTCTTCTAATTGTCTCCCAACCCAACTGGGTTGCTCTTAGTCACTTGAACAAACCCTCAATTTTCTGTCCCTTTGCTCTTGACCTTCCATCCTTCATATCGCCTGATATATCTTAAAAGCTAGCTCTGCCCAGTGAAATTCTAGGTATGCTTTAAGATCCAGTCCAAATGATATCTCTTCCACCAAGCTGAAATGTCACCTCTTTATAGCACTATCATCCCAATTTTTTTAGCCTCTCTTGTGGCTCTTAATCTTATATGAATCTGGGTTATTGTTATTTATACACAGGCCTTATCCTCCTTACTAAGCCATAAATCCTTAAGGTTGCAAATTAGGTCTTTAATCTTTGTATCCACCCTCTGAACTCCCCACCATGGCCCCATGAAAGAGACTGCCTCCACTTGCCAAAATTAATGTCTTCCTCTTCTCTCTGGGTAAATAGGTGGACTGCATGTCCTTCCGTGCAGTTAGCTGTGGCCATGTGACCCAATTCTAGCTTAAGGAGTGTGAGCAGAAGTGGCGTGCACTACTTGTAGGCCTGGCTCATAAAAACCTCCCAGCAAATTTCTGAACGTTCTTTCCTTTACTGCTCGAAAGATCTTGATACTCAGAATGACCTAGGAAGCCTCCTACTGAAGATGGCAGAGCATCCATCAGCCTGGGTCCTGAATGACTACGTAGAGTAGAGCTTCCTCCCATCTTCTGCCCAAACCCCACTGCCCATATAAAAGACAAAAAAATTTCTATTTTCTTTGAGCCATTACATATTTAGGAGTTTATTTGCTTCAACAGTTAGCTATCTTAACTAACACACCACCCAACAAAGGTACACAATGCAGAAATGTCTGATAAACGAAAAACAAATAATGAGTGAGCCTGAGTTTCAAAAGTAGAATTTCGAACCTAAGACAGTCCTTCTTCTAGAAAGAATAACTGAAAACTAGTACAAGCCAGCAGGCACAGAATAGAATGTTTGCTTCTTGTGCCCTTTAAAAATTGGATTTGGTTTCCATGTCATCCTTATTTGAAACAGAGCGCTAATACAAATTACTTCTTCAGTGCCCTTCTAGGCCTAAGAATCTGATAACTTTCAAACATTAAGCCAAAATCCACTTGGAATGATGCTACAATCTCTTTAAAAAAAAAATCAGTGTTCATATTTTACAATTTGTTATTCTGGTTTATAATATGGTATAGTAGATCAACAGAATGAAATAGCCAATCAAACAGACCGGAGGACTCCAGCCTACATCCATTAAGACCATTTTCTCCTAACTGGTCTCCCTGGCCCTGGCCTCTCTCCACATCAATCCTGACCAATTTTTCTAAAACACAAATTTGGTTCTTTCACTCCCTTCCTCAGGATTCCTTGCTAGGAAGAGAAAACCAAATACCACATGTTCTGACTTATAAGTGGGAGCTAAACATTGAGCACACATGGACATACACATGGGAACAACAGACACTGTGGACTACTAGAGAGGGGAGGAAGGGAGGAGGGCATGGGTTGAAAAACTAACTATTGGGTACTATGCTCACTATCTGGGTACAATATACCCATGTAACAAACCTGCACATGTGCCCCCTATAACTAAAATAAAAGTTGAAATTTTTTAAAAAAAATCCCTACTTGCTCCTTATCACTCAAAAGAATAAAGTTCAACTTCTTAGCATGATATTAAAGGCCCTCCTTGATTTGTCCCCAAATGACCTTATCTGTTGTATCTCCCATGTGGTCAACAGCTCCCTACTCTAAGCCTCTGGTTCCGGCTCTCCCCACAATCCTGCTAAGTGCCGCCATACTTCTGTGCCTTCATGGATCCCTTGGCCTCAAGAGTCACTGCCTGGTTGCAACCCATTCTCCACCTACTAGAAGGCTTCTCATCCTGCAAGCTCTATTGCAAATGTTACATAATCCCTTAGAGCTTTCCGTGTCCTTTCAAAGTCAGAATATATTGTCAATTCTTATAATGCTATTTTAAAATTCCTAAAATTCTTGCTTGTTTGGAATTAATTTTAAATCCAGTGTTGTTCATTTGAAGACCATAGGACAAAATACAAACAATATCCTGCACATTAAATATAGGTCAGAGCTATTTCTCTTTCTCACTGAGATCTATTATTTTTCAAATGTTGACATATGAAATCAGAAGATGTCCTAAATTTGAAATCTTCCATTTTGTCAGACCCTGACATTAACAAGAACAATGCTGCATGGAAGACACGTGCCATTTATGAATACTCACCCACGAGCAGGATCAACAGTTATGCCAATTGGAAAGCCAACTCCAAGAGCTGTCCCATCATTGGCAATCAATGTTTTTCTGTATCTGATATCTCCGTGGAGTGTCAAAACCTATAGCATAAAATCACTTATTAGAACTGACTTTCATAAGGGGAACCAAAGGAAACTGAGATGAAGGAGAACTTATGTACAAAACAAATTCCAAAGCACGATTAGGGATGGATGAGAGAGGATTTGCATGAGATTCAGATAATCTATATTGCACTTCAGGGAAATGAGGAAATTAGCTCAATAGAAAATGAGAGTAAGAGCAGCAAAATCACCTCCCAAGTTCCTACTTCCAACTCACCTAAAATTTCAGGAGGGAACATTTTTATGGATAAAAGGAAGATTCAGTTGGGAAAACATACAGAGCCACTGCCTAAAGAAACTGCAAAAATCCTTCAGGAGAGCTAAGAGAAATCTCTGGAAGACAAATGAGAACCCCACAGCTTTCCTGCACCCCACCAAGGCACTCGGTGGCCAGTTACTGCCAACACAGTTGATCAAAATAGTCCAAATTTACTCAGAGGTACAGTGAATTCTGTTCCAAGTCAACAAACTAAACTGAAACACATGAGCTGAAATCTCTGCCCTGCCAGGTCCTGACTGTACAATCTGAGGCAAATAAATTCACCTCTTTGAACTTTATCAGTCAAATATGGAAGGTCTGCGTAGACCTTACGGGACTAAGAGATAATACAGGTAAAGCAGCACACCACCCAGCACAACTATGTTCAATAAACTTCTATTGTTTAATTGGTCCATCTGTTGGTCACTTACTATATATGAGGTATTAGAGCAAGCATTATTGTATTCGATCCTCATAAACAATTCTGTGAGGTAGATCCCATTATTTTTCTCAATACAGATGGAGAAAAAGAGGCCTACAGAGGTTTAGTGGCTTTCCCAAGGCTGTCTGTGATTATTACTGTTATAATCACAGTGTTAACAGGGCCCTGATACAGCACATAGAAATATAGTTTATTGGACTAGAAAGAAGTTTCTTACAGCAATGAAGCTATTTTAATACGTACCTAAGACAGTCTAACAGACAATTAGTAAGAAATTAGAAAATGTCTGTTGATTTTTGCATTAAGGTTTTTCTATAAAATTGCTTTTCAATACAAATAGATTATTTGTGTTTCTCTGTCTCTCATACATGCGTGTGCACGTGTGTGCACGCATTCACACGCACACATACACACACACACACATATATCCTTCTTTCCCTCATTCTTTTCTCTAAATTTTTTTCTCTGCCTATTGTCTGGTATCTTTCACTCTTGCTTGGACTAAGGTAGCTTTTCTTTTCTCGGTTTGCCTCTTTCTGCTACAATCTCTCTCCTTTTCCTAAGACTAAGGATCTCTTTGGTTCACAGTTCCTTTTCTTGCTTTCTGGAATATATAGAGCTCTCTCTCACACGGCCATTCTGTAGGCTTCACTACAAAATTCAGCTATAAAATTTCTTTTAGTGGATGGGAACACAGCTACCCCTAGTGGATAATAGTTTCTTCAATGTTTCTCTTATTTTCAAGTTGGAGTTAAACACGAACTACTCTTAGGCAGGAAGGAATATTATACAGGTAAACAGAAAGTGAATACGATTCCTATTTTCTTAATTAATCCAACAATCACCTGGAAGACTTACTTACAATTTAAATGACCTAAGGGGAAACACCAGTTAAACCATTAAAAGGGCAGTTTGCCCTTGGATCATTATTCTCACAGGTCTTTCATGGATTTTCTAAAAATATTGATCATTTGAGGGAAACAGCGCTCTGTATTTACAGGATACCTCAGTGTTATGAAGTACTTTTACTTCCTCAGCCATAAACTCCACTGTACAGATGAGAAAACAGGCTCAGAGAAGTTAAGTAATTTGTCCAAGGTCGAATAGCTCATGAGTGGAGAAAATGCAGTGTTGTCCCCAGTCATAAAATGCATTTCCATGTTTCAGGGTCTTTATTCAACTGTTTTTCTCTCCTGGGACACCTTTTCCCTACGTCTTCATTTGGCAGAAATAAAAACAGTCATCCCCCTCATCCATGGGGGACAAATTCCAAGATCACCAATGGATGCCTGAAACCTCAGATAGTACTGAATGCTATATATACTATATTTTTTCCTACATATACACACCTATGACAAAGTTTAATTTATAAATTAGACATGGTAAGAGATTAACCATAATCTGAAAATAGAACAATTATAAAAATATACTGTAATAACAATTATGTGAATGTGGTCTCTCTCTCTCTCCTCCCTTTTAAATATCTTATTGTGCTGTACTCACATATTCTCAGGCCACTGCAGGTAACTGAAACCTCGGAAAGTGAAACCCTCCGATAAGCAAGGATGTATTAGTCATCTTTCAAGACTCAGCTCACAAGTAACCATGAATGGGAAATCTGCATGCTCTCTCCCCTCACTTATACCTCTGCCTCCAATCACTAGCACTTTATATTCACCGGCCTTATCACACTTATGACACTGGAGCACAGGTATTTGTTTATGTATCCATCTCACAGATATGTGAGCTACTTAAAGACAGAAAAAAAATGTTTATTCATCTTAGGATATCCAGGATCAACTGATCCATAGAAAGCATTTCCTAGTGCTCATTAAATGAATGAATAAAATGAGCAAGCAACCCAGACTCAAAGCCAGGTCTTTGGACTCCAAATCAAAATATCTTTCCTCTGTACCACACTGCATCAGGGCATAATTAGAAACTTTTGGTTCATGTGGTTAAAGTGGCCTTACCAATCCATACACACATGCACGCTCAGTTATTCTCCAACTGGCCACTACTGCATTGTACCTAACACTAATGGGAAAGACACGTTCCCTGCTTTTGGAAAACTATCAGTTTAAAAGAAGAGAACCCCATTTACTAATCAAGAGACAAAGAGATAAAATAAGAGCATATTAATTGCCATTTGGAATTAAGACAGCTTTGCACTGGGTGGACTTTAGAGAGATGTGAGTTTGGTAGTAAGGGTCTTAGGCAGTAGATGTTGCCTGTTTAATGGGAGGATGATAGTCTTAGTTGAAATCATGAAAAATATTTTCTGCCACTGTCAAAGAGGGTTAAACCAGTCTGGATTGCCGGAGTTGTAGTTTATAAAAGTGCAAAGAGAGAATACTGCTCAGGAATTAGAGCAGTGAAGCTGACCATTTAAGACATCTTCTTAGCTTCTGTGGGCCTTGGTTTCTGATGTAAAAAAATAAAAATAAAAAAAAGAGTTTGAACCAGAGGAGCCTCCAAGGGGCCCTTCATGTTAACACCTGATAATTCTACCTGGCTTGAGATACTTGTGCACACTGCAAATTTCCCTCTCATCACAAATGGCTACCAGAACTGCCTGCCCTCAGGAATGTTGTGAGGATTAAATTAGATGCTAGTGAAAGATCTTTGTAAACTCAAGCGCTGTTCCAGTGAGAGCTCTTTTCTCTGCCTGGGACACCTTTTCCCTATTTCTTCATTTGGCAGAAATAAAAACAGTCATCTGCACTCATCCATGGGGGATACATTCCAAGATCACCAAGGGATGCATGAAACCTCAGATAGTACCGAACTCTACATAGGCTGTGTTCTTAGTCTACAGAGAGTGCTTTTTAGTATAGATAGGTGCTCTAAATTAGCCAGCAGGCTGCTGTGCGCCTTGCTCATCTTCAGTATCTTTCTGAATGCTCCAGAGAAAAACCGTCTTGCCAGCTGGTGCCCACCTAAAGCAGTGGATTGTCAGGGCTCTGCTAACTATCCCCCTCCAAAAACTTCTCCTTGTTTTGGGAAGTTTCACTTTCAAAATTATTGTGAATTAATAATCCCTTCCATGTTTTACCCTTCTCTCAGAGTGGAGCAAACCAACACTAGTCAAGTTACCTCTGACTTACTTCATGTGATTTCATACCTGTGCCTCATCTAGAATTTCTTCTGGGAATTAGAGTAAAAAGAACACTTATCTTGAAGAAGAGAGTATCAAAGGAATTAGAATCAAGTTTCTACTTTCTGTTTTGCTGTTAGAAAAACTGTACTGGAGCCATAGAAAGATTTCCATCTAAGAACAGAGGCAAACTATAAATTTGGTTGAGAACTGAAATAGCATTGAAGATTAGATGAGGAAACATAGTAAAATTCTCTGCTTACCATAATCTTCCCTTTATGTTGAATTCCTTATGCAACTTTTATTTATCTTCTTATATATTATTTTGTAAATTACCTAAAACACTTTTATAGCAACAAGGTAGTATTGATAATTAGGAGGAAACAAAATAGAGCAATAGAAAGCTCAAATAATTTATTTTTGCCAGCCAGGCGTGGTGGCTCATGCCTATAATCCCAACACTTTGGGAGGTCAAGGCGGGTGGATCACTTGAGGTCAGGTGTTCAAGACCAGCCTGGCCAACATGGTGAAACCCCGTCTCTACTAAAAATACAAAAAATTAACTAGGCTTGGTGGTGCACGCCTGTAATCCCAGCTACTCGGGTGGCTGAGACAGGAGAATTGCTTGAACCCAGGAGCCAGAGGTTGCAGTGAGCCAAGGTCTTGCCACTGCACTCCAGCCTGGGCGACAGAGTGAGACTTTGTCTAAAAAAAAAATAAATAAATAAATAAAAATAAATTTAAAAAAAATTTTAAGGTGGTTTTCCTCTTTCACTTCAGAGACTTTGATAGTTAACACTAATATCTTTTCCCTTTTTCTTTTTGCTTAAAAATGATTCCAAAATCCACGTGAGATCTATTCCTGAGACTAGAGTTTACATCAATCTAAATCCAATGTTTGTGTAAGTAGTATTATGGAATCATTACCTCGATTGACTGAGTTCTAGGATTGGTAGAATAAAGGTTTCTTGAAATCCAATCTAAGGCCAGGTTCATAGAAGGCCCCACCATAGATATAGAAGCAAATACTGTCCTGTTGGTGCCATCTGTCTTCACTCTGTGAATTTCACCCTGGAAAGAAAGACAAGGGGAGGTGAGCAGTTCCAAGGCCATGGCTCCTACAAAAGAACCCTTTCTTCACTGTGGCTACTGCCAGCTGCTGTATTTCTTGAACAGTCCTTACACTCAGAGGAAAGGCAAACAAAGGTTCAGCACCACTGGGTAGGCTTCAAACGATTTTTCAGTGTGTCACAGGAATACACAAGGCTTACCATTCAGGCTATCTCCAGTACTGGCTACAGAGATAGTTCTTAACTACCACAAGCATACAAGTCATGAGAAAAACCCAAGTCACAGATGTGGATCAGAAGACCAGGAGTATATTTTGTATATAGGTGACAAACATGAAACACAAAGATTTTTCTTCTCTTCCTCCTTTATAGTCTTCTTGCTCTTTCCCTATTCTTACAGGTTTTTTCCCTGAAGGCTGAAGAAAATGACCTCTGAGGAAGAGAACTGGAGAAGTGTTCATTCTTACCCTAGAGGCAAATATTCTAAAGGATTCTAAAGGAAGGCCCCAGCACCACATCAAATGCTTTCACTAAATTCCCTTAGGGAGCTACTACTTTTATCTTGAGTTTTGATCATTTTTATATTCGTCGAATATTTTCTACTAGCTTAAGACTCCTCTAGGGGCAAGCATTGTGACTGCTGCTTCTTGGCATGTATTCTGTGGTTAGAAGCAGGTAATTCAGTGCAGGGCAAATCATAGGCACTTCTGGAAAATACTTGCTGAATGAGTAAATAATACACAATAGCTTAAATTTGTTTCTTATTCTGAAGCTAAAGAGTGTTATGATTTTTGCTCCAGGCCAAGCTCACATATATACCCCTCATTGAATCAAAAAACTTAGGGATAAATTTATTTCCACATTGTTTCCCTTTTACTCACATGACAAAAGTTTGCTTATAAGAAAACATCAGTGCAGGCAGGCTCTTCAAGAATAAATTATATACTTTGAATGTTATTCAAAACTTACTGGATTTTCAACCCAATAGATGTATTGCTCAGCATCATCAAATTCAACATCTAAACCATTCTGTATCCCTGCTATGGGGACCATAGCATCATTGCTCTTCACCTCAGGATTAAGGGAGATTCCAAAAATTATATGTTGCCTTACAGTTATTAAGAAAGGTTGATCATCTGTGAAAATAGAAGAATATCAGTCAAAATCATATCCCACTATTCCCAGACATTTAGAGTAATGGAAGGCAATAGCCTGTTACCATCATATGGGCTAAAATGACATTGCAGCATTGCAGCAATAAATATAATGTACTTCATCAGACAAGCATGGGCCTTTCCCAGGGTTTCAGTGGGCTGCTGGACCACAAGACCTCCAACCCCACATACAACGCTGTCTGGACTTTTTCAAGGCAGGTTGGTATTTATCTTACTCTTCATTAAGTCCTTACTTACACTAATAAACCACCCATGTTTGCTAAACCTCACAGACAGGAAGTTCTTCCACTTCTACACACAGACAAACCTCACTCACACTGATCTCAGGGAAAGGAGAGTTGAGTTTTGAAAAAAAAAAAGTGAAAAAAATCATTGAGACTATTCTTGTGAAAGGCAGCTTACTAGTTTTAAGAATGTTCCAAAAATAAAACAACACTACAAAGTGTTGCCTAGTATTTATTGAGACTTTAATAAATAAATCCAATGTATAATCCTATCAGTTGTTACTTGACTAGTGTCTCTCTTCCCTATAAGATTTTAACTCCCAAAGGTCAATGACTGTGTCTGATTTGCTCATTATTGTGTCCCAGGGCCTGGTACTCAGAGCCTGGCATAAAATAGTTGCCCAATAAATGTTTGATAACTAAATGGATGACCATATGACTGCATTAATGGATGAATGTATAAGTGAATAAGTAAACAGTATCTTCCAAAGTTCTCAAAACTGTCTACACATTGTAATTTAAACATTCCCATAATATCTTAAACTATCAGTTCACTTATCTCCTTAATAGATAATAAAAGTTCCTTTTTCAAAAATAATTTAATCTTTATCCTGATCCCCATCAAGAGTGGGGTTTTAAAATTCCTCTCTGAGAAAAGGAAAACTTTTGAATCTAAGTTTTGGGTTAAGATATATGTATAAGATATATCACATATTAAGACAAAGTATGAAATGATTAATCATTACACAACTTTCATAAGCTAAAAATGATGTTTTCATTATTTTTATAATCCGGGAAGCTTTCCATCTTCAGCAGGATGACTTGGTCATTTTTTCTTTACTTATTTTCACATCTCATTAGCTTTTTCTTGTTCCTATCATTTCTATTACTGAGAAATAACCCAGTCTTTATTAACCTAGGACAAATTTAAATTTAGTCTAATGTAAATTTCGCAACTATTAATGCTTTACATTTTTCAAGTACTACAATGTAGAGTCTTCCACAACAAGCCTGCAAAGTTGTTTTCAGCTGGAGCAAATGAGATTTGCAGGAGCTCTGTGACTTCTGCAGGAAACAGTAATAGGAGATGGACCCTGGCTCATTCACTTCCAGGCCCTTCTTCTCTCAGCTGCTCCACATTGCCTCTCTTCTGAACAACTGCAATTGCAATAAAAATCGCTTCTCATTGATTGAGAATATGCGCCATACTGCATGCATCAGGTAAGTATTTCCCTTAATTTATCTCCCTCAAGTTTCCTAATCTTGTTTGTTAGATAGGTCCTCCCTCAATTTGCAAATAAGACACAAAGAAATCAAGCAATTTAAACGAGGTCACACAACCAGGACTCCTGGACTCCAAAATCTACGTTTTTCATCACTACACTGCAAATACCGCAGGCCAGGTACTATTTCTTGAGTATCAAATTACCACTCATTTCATTTGGTTTAACTGCAACAGTAAAAAAAAAAAAAAAAATGCTAGATTATGAGTTTCAGCTGTACCAAGAAATTATATTGAGATGATATTTAATTATTTATTGATTATCTGTTATTAATGTTCACTGGCTCAGTAGAAACTATCTCTGTCCCAGTTTTATGGGGGACTTTAAATTTTTACTCACTTACGTAAGATCTGATCCTGCCCTTTTGAATGGGTCATCTCCCTTTGCTTAATTGGAATAATTCTCAACCAAAGCATTGTTTAGGGCCTAAAAACTTTGCATATCTCATCCATTATGCATGGGCCTTCTTGACTCTTCCATGGTGCTCTTCCCTTAAGCACCACCCGCTTCTACTGCTTCCTGGGGATCATGTCTCAAGCCCTTTATCTGATAACTGCTGATGTACTGAGAACGTTTACCACCAATGAACATTTGCAAGCAATGGACCAGAGAACAGGATCTCCTGCAATGCTGCGCTGGCTGAAACTGTGAGCATCATGGTGGGGGATGATGCCAGGGGAGTAATAGAAAGGAACTGGCCAGTAAGACAACAGGTGGCGCAGGGAGATGCCTGAAAAGTGCTATATGGGAAAGCAAAAAGAAGTGACTTCACAACACTGCACACATTTCTACGGAGCAAACGGGTAAAAATCAGAGGACTGGGGAAGTAACAAAAATGGATATTGGAGAGCTTGTCATTCACTCAACATTTACTGAGTGCCACCATGTACCACGAAGTGCCACAGGCAATAAGCATACATCTACAGACCAGGTAGAGGCTTTATCCTCAAGGAACGCAGCATCTAGAGGGCAAGACCAAGTATATGAGCCCTTACAATTATGACAATGGCATGAAGGGGTAGGCACAGAATCATCTAGGGTTGGATGGAAAGGAATTCAGGAGGTGGTGACGGTTAAGTAGGTCAGTGTGTCTCTGTCTTTTGAAGTTAAAGATCATCTCTTCATTTCTATTTTCCATGTCATAATCCCATTAATGTTAGTGTCAGCAGAGTCATGAAGACACTATAGTCAGGAATGAGAACTCAGTGTTGTAATTGAACGACAATATATATGACCCCCAAACCTAGGTCCTCCTTAAGTCATACCCTGCACAAGCTGATCAGCACTGCAGCCTTCCCTGGAGCAAGGACAAGGAGTGTTCTCTTATCTTGCACAAAATCACTGAAGCAAGTGCCTTGTGCCCCTGAGACCGAGTCAGAAGTCTATTTGTATTTGGAGTAATTTTAGGGGTGCTGAGGTGATGTTTGGCTTGAGTTTTGTTTGTTCATTTGGTTTTGGCATTGTGGGGAATATATTTTCTAAAGAATTTAAAAAGTCTCATACAGAGAAAGCACTCATTATAACATAAAATTAGAAATAAGTAGAACCATCTCATAATTCCCCTATCCAACTGTAACCACTATTGGCACTTGTGTGTTTTTGCTTCCAGAAACTTGTGTGTTTTTTAATGCATGTTTTTACAAGGCCAATATTGTGCAATATCTGCTTCTTTTACTTAACAGCATCACAGAAGCACTTCTACATATATTCCAGCCTCTTAGTAAACACTAGTTGAAAAGCTATTCAACAATCAAATCAAGTAAAATGTTTCCACCTATAAATGTTAACAAGTTTTCTAAACTTCTTGTTGGGGAAAAAAAAATGTGGAAACCTTTTTTCATTTAACATATATTGGCAATCAGTTACTCAGCTGGTGCTCTGAAACCTACTGGGAAATACTTAAAAAGTTCCACTTCGGTAAAGTCAACCCATGAGAAAACCACTAGTGGAATTATTTGTGAAACAACAAAAGGCACTATTTAAAATTAACACTTATCAATCATCATCAGAGAGTAATATTGATTACACCAACCCCCAATGTGCAATTCAACAGTCTTTGTGTGCTGAAAGAATGCTTTGTATCCGAAATGTCTACAGCCCAGTTTAATCTTCTCCTGAAAGACTCTAGGAACACACTAAATTAAACAATGTCAACGAGGATTAGGTACATAATAAGTCTCTGAGGAAAAATGGCAAGTGCCAGTCCCTCTGTGAGAATTACCAATAATTAAAATCTTTCATCATGAAAGTATCATTGCACAATATTACATGCTGATGGAATTTGATTTTCAGTAAGCCTACATCTGCATAATATCTAAACACTAAAAGTTTCCTGAATTCAGTATATATTTTCCATTCTAGATTAGGACTAAATTTCCTTCTAGATTAGGACTCTATTATCTCTTAATTTAGGAATATGTGATCATTAAACATTTAAGTTGAACTTGTCTACAGCAATTTTCATCAGTATCAAAATATATTCATTCAGTTCTCTTCACTGAGAAACGAAAGGGAACTTGGGTTTAGAGTAACTTCTTAGATTTTTAAGCAATAAGGAATTATATTTTTAAGTGTATTATATACAAGTACACACTCCAGAAGAAATCTCTTTTGTGAACTGGATGCAACTTTTCCTTCTTTTCTTACTCCCTTAAGTACTTGGTATAATCCTCCACACACTCTTCAATCGACCCAATAAAATATCTCTAGGATGAGATAAATATTAAATTGCTCAGTCACTTGTAATATCTCATACCAACACAATTCTCCTTCTTAAAGTATCAGATGGTAATAGTAACAGTACTGAAATTGGAGTCAGAAGACCCAGGCTAGAACACTCATTAACTATTGGTTATAAGAATAAAAATGAGACAATGGAGCCAGGTGCAGTGGTCCACGTCTGTAATCCCAGCACTTTGGGAGGCTAAGGCAAGTGGATGGCCTGAGGGCAGAACTTGGAGACCAGCCTGGGCAACATGGCAAAACCCGGTCTCTACAAAAAATACAAAAATTAGCCGGGTGTGGTGGCGTGCACCTATAGTCTCATCTACTCAGGAGGCTGAGGTGGGAGAATCACAGGGGCCCGGAAAGTGGAGGCTACAGTGAGCTATGATTACGCCATTGCACTACAGTCTGGGCATCAGAGCAAGACCCTGTCTCAGAAAGAAAAAAAAAAGAAAGAAAGAAAAAAGAAAAAAAAAAGAGGGAGAAAGAGACAATGGACATAAAAAATGAAGCTGTACACAAACGTTGAGAATGTTTACTTCTTAGGTGAAGAATTTGGAACTTCCCATTATCATGGCTTGTCAGAGAAGTCTAACTGTACCCAGGTGAGAGAAAATATGAGGTTACAGATTGTTCAATTACATGCACAGATAACATTAGTTCCATATACAGAAACTGTATTACAACCAAGGCACACAGTGACATCACCCCATACAACACACATCATTCTGCAGACACCTGAGGAATCAAAGGACACAGCACATGTTCAGTCGCAATTGGTTTTAGAGTTTCCACTGCTTGGCACAAACTATGACCAGCTCCATCTTCAGAGCTCACATAAGGAGCATACTATACCTCTCAAGCAATTCAGGAGATCAGGAGACAGACTCCATCCTGAAGGACAAACACAGGAGTAAAAATGAGGCCCCTGTGAGGAAAGCAGGCAGAGATGGCTGCAGCGGGAAAAGGCACATGGATTCACGGCTGCATGAGAAAGAGAAGAAAGCACCAGTAAGTGGAAAACCTCCACATTAAAATCAAAACAGAGTCATGCTCTTAGTGTCCTTCCAGAGGCCCCAGTACAGGGGGGCTTAAGTACGTTGTTACCTCTGTTGTTTTCTTTTGTTTTGTTTTCACTGAACTACTCACACTTTCAACTTCCCTAGCATCAGGCTTTCAACTTAGAATTCATAAGAGACACGAGAGAGGAGAATGACTCAAGGTTACAGATCAATCCAGTCTATAACTGGATTACGAACAAACAGCCACTGAGTAATCTGGAACTTGTAATAGAAATATGATGCCAAATAATCTGTCTCCTTACCTGACCTAAAAGAGATCTTTTTGCATTAAAAAAAAAAAAAGTTGTGTGTTTGATGTGTGACCTTGTAGTTTACCTAGAGTTTTCCAGATTTTGGTTAGATAATAATCTTTTATTTTTCTACTGATGATATCTCTGTGTGTCTCTGCACCTTGAAAATCAGGATTCTGTGTGGTCCCCACACACAGGATGTTTCCTAGATCCTATACATTTTTATTACACATACCATGTTATTAATAGATTATTAATCCATTCATTCACCAGAAAAATGGTAGGTATTCACTGTAAACCAAACACCATTCTAAGCACTGGGGACGCTATAAAAGTGGAGTATATATTCGAGCAAAAAGAAACAACTAAACTCAGAGAGAGAGAGAGAGGTTTCAGAACATGAGGGTAAAGAGCAAAAGAATTATGAGGGGGTGGCTATTTTAGGTAGAGCGGTCAATGAGGGCCTCTCTGAGAAAGTGACATTTGGGTAGAATCCTAAATAGCACGCGAAGCAACTCATGCAGAGATCTGGAAGAGAGATGTTCCAGGTAGAGGGAAGAGCTAGCGCAGAAGCTGAGAGGCAGGAGTCGCCTGCTGTGCTTTTGGACCATAATGAAATCCAATGTGGCAACAGCGAGTGGGAGAAGAGAGCAGGGAAATAGCAGCAGCCACATGCTGAAGGGTGTGAGAAACAATTGGAGAGTTTTGAGGAGAGAGGATTAAGTGAAGATTAAGTGACTTATCTCCCTCTCCCACCAGAAAGAACAGTACGGATGCCAAGTCTTTCACCTAGACACCCATACCATGCACTTTAGGACAACTCGTGCTGGCTACAGCAGAGCACCTAGAAGGCAGTGGTGCCATAATAAACTAGTCCTAAAAGTAAGCTGCTTTCAATCAGAGTGGTAGCGGTAAGAGGATCGAAGGCACTATCTGGTCTGTACTCCATTTGTCAGCTGAGGAAACGGAGACTCATGTGAGGGTCAAAGAGGTAGCAGCCAAATGCTGAAATGATATAATTCAGATGTGCTGTTATTATATCCTAGGTTTGAAATTTCCATGGTAAATAAAAGTAATGGCAATGTCAGGACTAGGGAAAGTATATAGTGGGGTGGTTTGTAAAGAGAAAAGGAAAATGTATTGTCCAAACAAATGGGTCTGTAACAGTGTGCATTTAGCATTCCCAGGGTCAGTGTTTTTCAAGCTACTCCCAGGCAGGATGTTTCTCTGTATCACTCACAATTTGGTTGTTTCGAAGGATGAACCGCAACAATCCCAAGGGGCCATTGAATATTATACATTACAACTGACTGGTTCCCTCCATGCCACTTGTTGGCTCGCATAACCCGACGAGTAGCACGGTCAGTCCAGTACACAGAGTCTTCAAAGAGAGTTAGGGCATAGGGGTGCCGTATAATCTGTGAGGCAGAAGAGAACAGTGAGACCTCATCCAAAAATCAAAGCCAAGGTGCACTGAGTCAAAGAGGATATCTGCTCAAGAAGACGGTTTCCTTTAACATGTCATTATTTAATAAAAACACAAGGAAGTCATTGTGCAAAAGAGCGGCAAAAAATACACAATTCGTCCTATATCCCACTAAACCATTCAAGAGCCTTTCACATACACGTGCCATTTACTCTTTATGTTTGCCTTGGTAATTACACTGGGCATCTATTTTACAAATGAAAACAAAACTGAAGCACAAAAAGCAAGGTGATGTATCCGGATCACCTACTAGTTAAAAGTTAGATGGAACTAGAGAGCTTAGAGACTCCTCATCTCCCACTCCCACGCCCCAGCCTTCACTCCACCATCAGCACACTTGTGCCGGCTATTTCCACGGTCTTGTGCTGCCACTCACTGATTCACATCAATCTGTTATAGTTTAGATGCATCTTTCCTTCAAGTCACAGCAACTATACAATAGCAATTTTTTCTCTTTTTTAAATTGTTTTTAATTTTTTATTTTTTATTTTACTTTAAGTTCTGGGATACATGTGCAGAACGTGCAGGTTTGTTACATAGGTATACATGTGCCATGGTGGTTTGCTGCACCCATCAACCCATCATCTAGGTTTTAACCCTCACATGCATTAGATATTTGTCCTAATGCTCTCCCTCCCCTTGCCCCCACCCACTGACAGGCCCCGGTGTGTGATGTTCCCCTCCCTGTGTCCATGTGTTCTCATTGTTCAACTCTCACTTATGAGTGACAACATGAAGTGTTTGGTTTTCTGTTCTTGTGTTAGTTTGCTGAAAATGATGGTTTCCAGCTTCATCCATATCCCTGCAAAGGACATGAACTCATTCTTTTTTATGGCTGCATAGTAGTCCATGATGTATATGTCTATCATTAATGGGCATTTGTGTTAGTTCCAAGTCTTTGCTATTGTAAATAGTGCTGCAATAACATATGAGTGCATGTGTCTTTATAGTAGAATGATTTATATTCCTTTGGGTATATACCCAGTAATGGGATTGCTGGGTCAAATGGTATTTCTGGTTCTAGATCCCTGAGGAATTGCCACACTATCTTCCACAATGGTTGAACTAATTTACACTCCCACCAACAGTGTAAAAGCATTCCTATTTTTAATGGGGGTCAATAACAGCTCTTTGATAAAATATCTATTTTCTTTATTTTCCCATTTAACTTGTGAAAATAAATTCAACAGAATTTATAGAATAAAAAATGTTATGTGAAGAACAAGACTGAGAAATATAAATCTAGTTAATTTTTGTTTTTTTTTTTTTTGAAAACAGGGTCTCACTTTGTCACCCAGGCTGGAGTGCAGTGGCACAATCACAGCTCACTACAGCCTTGACCTCCCTGGGTTCAGGCAATCCTCCCACCTCAGCCTCCCAAGTAGTTGGGACTATAGGCAAACACCCCCATGCCCAGCTAATTTTTGTATTTTTTTGTAGAAATGGGGTTTTGCCATGTTACCCAGGCTGGTCTTGAACTCCTGGGCTCAAGCGATCCACCAACCTCAGCCTCCCAAAGTGCTAGGATTACAGATGTGAGACAATGTGCCTGGCCAAGTTAAGTTATAAATTTTTGCTTGAAAAAAATTTTTTTTTTTTTTGAGATGGAGTCTCACTCTGTCACCTAGGCTGGAGTGCAGTGAGGCAATCTCAGCTCACTGCAACCTCTGCTTCCCGGGTTCAAGCAATTTTCCTGTCTCAGCTTCCCGAATAGCTGAGACTATAGGTGTGTGCTACCACACTGGCTAATTTTTGTGTTTTTAGTAGAGATGAGGTTTCACCATGTTGGCCAGGCTGGTCTCAAACTCCTGACCTCAGATGATCCACCCACCTCGGCCTCCCAAAGTGCTGGGATCACAGGCGTGAGCCACCGCGCCCGGCCACCTGACACAATTTTTAAAGGTATAGAAGCAACAGATTCACATCTGCAGCTCAACTAAATCACACGAGCTATAAAAATCCTTCCTGGATATGGCACAAGCTGACCATGAACTGGAATGAAAATATTCATTTTCCAGTTAGTCATATGGGATAGACTGCCTCTCACTGTTGCTGGTATTTCCTGGATTGATCTGACAATGTCTATGACACAAAAATTAATTTCTTAGCTTTTCTGATACTCGTCTGATTTCTACCTATCCACGACTGTAGTTTTAATTTGGTTTTCCTCACCACCAACTTACCAAATCACTGGCTATCACCTGTCTCCGATGGTGTCCATTATAATCACAAAAGTCCATGTAATCAAGATAGGAGTCCATGAAGTAGAGCAGTCTGTTGGGGTAGTCAATAGTTAAGCCGCAGGGCCAGAAGATCTTGTCCTGGACAATGACAGTGCGCATGCTGCCGTCCATGCTGGCTCGCTCGATGCGAGGGTGGTGGCCCCAGTCAGACCAGAACAGTAGATGCTCACTGGGAAAGGAAATGAGTTACCAATTGGAGGGGACGTATTTAAATATTAAAAATAACTGTCATTTTAAATAATACAACATCCTGTTTATGCCCTGCTTAAAATAAATCATCTCTGGTTCAGAATATATTCACAGAGTTTATTGTTTCCTCTAAGTGTCACAAAGTAAAACTGTCATAACACAATCACAACCCATCTGGGTATTTTTATAATGTTCATAAAACATGTAATACATAATGTCATAATGTAGTACATTATGACATTGAAATGTCTCAATGCCAATTCATGTTTGTTTATAATCCACAAATAGTTGATCTAGAAAAATCCATCTGTCCTTGTTTGTCTACCCTGTCATGTTTTTAGATAAGGAAATCAATTTATTCTTCATCAGGAATTCATCATAAATTTCAGTGGTGTGTAATACTTTACAATATCTAGGAATTCAACATCACATTGAACATAACTTGCCTAATTTACCATCCTGCAGAAAAGAATCTAAGTTATAAAATATAAGTAAATTCAGGGAAAGAAATCCTCAAAGATTTCCAAACACATGGGAGAATTTCTCTATCTTCCCTTCAGGATCAGCAGGCAAAAACTGCCTTCCTTATATGACTTAAAAGGGAGCTCTAATAAACAACATAAAACTGAAGCAGAAAAATCCAGCTTTTTTGTTGTATAATCATGAGTTATCAAAGTTACATCAAACTGGCCCCTCTATGGACTATTACTGCATGCAGTAATTAGAAACTTAATTTTTAATTATATGACATTTCAAAAATTGTATTGCCAAGCTAATAAATCAATGTGCTCTTAAAATAAAGTAAACAATCAATTGCTCTTATGTACTTTATGAAGAGGATGATTCAGATGAAGGAGAGATAGCAACACCCAGTTGGACACCTACCATGTTTAAACAAGGGATCATTTTAAATTTTGCATATCAGCAACATGCATATCAGCTACATCATGTTACTGTTGTTTTTCCCTCATCATAACCATGTCAAGGCAACATAATTTTAAAAAAAAGTCTTACTTCATTCTGGGATCTAATGCTAGTCCTCTTGGATTTGTTAGGTTTTTACTAATCAGCACAGTCCTGTGGCTCCCATCAATTTTGGAGACTTCAATTGTTTCCAGAGCATAGTCTGTCCAGTAAAGATTACGACCTACCCAATCTATTGCAATAGTTTCAGTCAAGATGATGCTACTGTCAAATACCTAAAGACAAAAGTGAATAAAGAGTGAATTCTAGAGCAAATAAATGAATGCAAACATGGATATTATATAAAAATCTAGATTAAACCATCTAACTTGTCCTATAATTACTTGTGGGGATTAGAAAATTTTGTCTCCTCATGTAGCTAACCACCAAATCAACAGCAGGGTTTTCTGAGAAAAGTATACAAGATTTTGTCACACTGAACATTCTAAGATGACTTCATTGTTTGGTTAGTGCATAGTTTCGTTTTGGTTTCAAAAGTTTTTGCAATTAAGAAAAAGCTCTATCCATTTGCTTAGTTGGCAACATTACAAAATGTTATAGTGTTTGCATGCAACGAATAATATCTCTATTAATTAAGGACCAAGAATTACAAAATAAAGTTGTAAGAGGCAGAGGAAATGTAACTATCAGGAGCCAAGAAACTGAAATTCTGGGAGATGGATTGAGAAATATCACTAAATTAAAGCTAAGAAAAGCAACCCCTTAACTTTCCTGCACTTTCCTCTGCTCTCATCCACAAGAAAAGACTGCAAAAGGAACCGTAAAGACATTGTGAGGTCTCTGCATCACCTGACCTGGAATTCAGAATCACACATCTGCATTCAGAGGCCACCCTCCTATCTAAAACAGCCATAAATTCGTAGTTATGAACACGCAAGTCTCTTGGGTATGATGTGGCCCAGAAGGTACCATGAGAGCTACCCAGATGAGGTAGGGCCTTCTCTCACTGGTGAATAACAGCAAACAGACCCAAGACAGAGGAACTAGCCAGGCCAAAGGTCAACAGAAATGTACTTACCACTCTTCTGTCCGTTCCATTTTGAAACGCACTCCAGGTTTTACCCTGAGTTGCATCAGACCAAAAGATACGACCACTAATTGAATCAAAATCAACAGCTACAATGTAAGAACCATTCTCGACCAATGAATAGATATTGTGGACCTGGGAGGTGACACTGTCGGCAATAATTTTGTTCTGACTTGCCACAAGTAACAGCAGACTCTCAGATGCTGTTCAAGAAAAAAATGCAAAAATGTCAATGATACTGGGAGAAAACACAAAACAACTCTTTAAAACTTTTGATTCAATACTTTTGGTAACAGAAAGAAGGTGTAATTCCAAACTATAGTAAGTTGGTGGGGAGGGGAGGAAGCCCCATATGAATGATTTTAATCACTTCATTCTTAACCTTAATAGTTAGCTGGTTTTCATGAGTACTTAAAATAGACTCTTTCTTGGGTTATATTTAACTGTGTTTCTAAATACTAGTCTAGAGTAAACTATGCTTACATTCTTCCTTTTACTGTATTTATTTTTGTACTTTGGTTATCTTCCTTACTATTTAATAGGTTGTAGGCTTCTGGACAGCAGGAATCATGTCTTAAATATTTCTGTTTTCTGAGGCCCTCAGCTATGGTAGAGAGTTCTAATTCTCCCAACACCCCCTCTCTTCTTTTTCTTTTTAGTAATAAAGCATGCCAAGTTTTAGCTTGGCACAGACTCTCCAGCCAGAGACATTTCTCTCCCTCCACTGAAGTTTGGAGTGACCACATGACTAAGTTCTGACCAATAGGATGTGAGTAGAAATTACGAATCAAATCTCAGGTCACATTCTAAAAAGGAAGCTGCTTGCCCTCCACTTTCTCTTTCCCCTTCCTACTTTCTAAGAGAAGCTAAAACCTGGAGCATTGGAACCCTTGATGTAAGCCACATGATGAGGATAACAGAGCAGACCCCATGCCCTGGACTCTCTGACATCCAGACTCCTACTACATGTAAAAGAAAGAAACTTTCTGTTTTTGTTTTAGCTTCCTCTATTTGGTCACTTTGAAAGTGGTCAAATCAATATCCTAATACATAGTAAAAAGCACTTTCTTATAGCAGAAATTGAATTAATACTGGTTGAATTCAATTAAGCATTATATAAAGATGCTTAAATATAGTATAGAACTCATTTTAAATTATATAAAAGCCATTTGGTATTATTTTAAATACTTTAAAAATCATTGACTTGTATATGTTTTAACCTCTATTTTCCAAAATACACCAGGATTTTAATGTGTATTACCCCATTTAATCCTCACAAAAAATTGAGGTTTAAAGAGATTGCATAATCTTTCCAGGATTCAAGTCGATCTAACTCCTAATCAACATTGTCAAATACCTACATGTGCCATTTGATTTTAAGCTCTGGGATGTGCTGATAAACTGGCTCGGGTTAGTTCAGCAATTACCTGTAACTTTGCAAGTCCTCCCATCACTTTCTAACATGTAGCCTGTATCACACGAGCACCGGAAAGAACCTCTCATATTGTAACAGTGCTGGCTACAAGAGCCTAGAATATCACATTCATCTATGTCTTCACAGGTCTTAGAATCATTGGCAAGTAAGAATCCCAATGGACATAGGCATTTAGCCCCAAAGGGCTCTTGAACACACTCGTGAGTACAACCACCATTGAAATCTGAGCAGCTGTTCCCATCTAGAAAAAAGAAAGAGAATAATGAAAAAAGAAAATCAAGAATCTTTGCTTCTTTGATTCACTCTTATGCAATATTTATTATGCAGTCTCATGCCACCTTCAATATGATGCCCAGACAAGAGCTAAGTGCAGCATGCACTTGGGTGAGTTCCACAGGCTGTTCAGGGTTTGCTCTAATTTGTCTGAGGATTTACCATCCTTCATATCCATTGGAGTATGATCACCTTCTTCACTACAACCCAATAGTATAACTCCATTTAATGCAATGAGAACCCTTGGGAAAATATTGTTGACATCAAGGAAGAAAAGTGTCATTGATAGAGCATGCAAAGACACTTAAAATTGTTTCTCGTTTTCTTCCTCTGAAATTCTACTATCTATACAGAAATGGAAGATAGACAAACATTTAAGAGAAAAGACCAGAAAATCTATGAAGTGAACAAATCAAAGGGGAAAGGTCATTGAAATATTAGAGTACACAGATCCGGTAACATATCGTCATGCCTTACTTTCAGGGCCAAAATGAAAATGCCTAAAGCCACCCTAAGACAGTTCACATGCCTGGGGATGCAAATGCCTTCTATTTCCATGTGTACTCTAACATATTTGTAAGAGTCATAACACAGAACATGCGTTAGAAAGGGAAGTAAGTTAATATAATCAGGACATTTTCAGAACAAACACAACACATATGAAATCATAAGAATCTGAAATACTTCACAATCATACCTGGCTGGGGTTCATCTGAGAGTGAGCATTGATTAAAGAGGAAAGAAAGAAATGACAGTAATTAGGATTACATGCCAATCACAGCACTTTAATCACAGCAACACAAATCCCTGGACTTCATTTTTTTGTGATAAGTTCTGATTGAAATTAGAAAATATTAAAGTTAGAAAAATTAATGAGCACATTACCAACAGAACCAAATTTAATTTGACAATCTAATGGCCTCAATTTAGTCTCATTTTTTGAAACAAAGACATAAAAAGAAGTAAAAACACATAACCAAGTACAAAGGATTTAATCAGAAAATTATCCAATGGTGATGTATTTGAATTCAATTATGGTTACCCCCTACACAGATGTGAACTCATAGAGGAACTGAAATCCTTCCTACAAAGCTACACAGTGACTGTGACAATGGTGATGCACACCAGGCTACTGTTCAGAATGAGTTTATGGCCAGTAAACTGTGGTCAGGAAACTTACTGCAAAGTGGGGACTCATCTGTCCCATTGGGGCAGTCAAAGATGCCATCACACACTACACTCAGATTCACACAGATGTTATGGCCAAGACACTGCCATTGCCAACTAGGACAGCGAAAGGGCTGAGTAGGGCAGTCCTTCTCATCACTCATATCCCCGCAGTCATTGTCCCGATCACAGAGCCATGCCCTGTGGATGCAGTTTCCGTTGTCACAGTGGAAATATGATGAAGGGCAAGTCTTGGGGACACAGGCATTGTGCTCATCAGATCCATAGAGGCAGTCTGGATGCCCATCACATTCCCAGAAGTTCGGGATGCAGATACCATCTTCTTGGCACTGAAATTCATCTGAGTGGCACATACCAGGAGGCCTGGTTGCTAGAAGGAAAACATGGGGTAAATCGGCTTGTGAATGTAATTTGTGATCCCTTTTATAGTCTAGACTCAGAGGAAATGATTTTGGATCCAATAGTAGGTTTATAGTAACAACTATGACCAAATTAATATTTAAGGCTAAATGATATAGAGTCTTCTCCCACACTCTAGTACATAGAAATATTTCTTTGTGGCAGCTAGTGGCTCTGACAACAAACGAAGTACAGAACGCACAACTGCTGACTAGCAGATGAGTACCTGTGTCAAAAGAACATCCTGTTTCCTTTTCCTGTGTTTTTAATGTACTTCCAATTGCAGATTCAATAATAAAGTTTATCTATCTTTCTATGAAAGAATCACCAGAACATTACAATAGAGCTTAAATAGCTATGATTACTTTGAACTTCATGTGTTTCATATCATGTTTGGGTGTTATTATTTTCCCTCAGATGAACTATACCTAATGAAACCATCACACACTAACTAAAGATGATGGTAAATACTCAGTTCTTTGCAAACTTTCCACTATTCATCAAGCAATCCTGGAGAGATACGTAAGAACTGCTTCCCTATTTGACAAGGGTAAACCAAAACTCTCTACCAGGGATCTCACAAGGCAACAGCAAGCCAGCGGCAATTGACAGTTTAACCTCAGCTCATCACAGAATTTTATGTTTTTAATGTGAAACAGGAAAATTAGTGATTAGTAATTTCTAGATGTTGTGCAAACTATAAAGTATATAAGCATTTTATTTAACTTTTCTTTTTAATCCATGGCTTTACACACTACCTTTCTGACGCAGGAGGAGAATTCATGAAAACTTACTTTTTTGGTCTAAAACACCATTGTTCAAACAAATGATCAACTCACTGATGAGTTTTTGCAAGTCTAAAATCCATTTAAAACAAAAAGTGGGCAAATAACAAATCATGTGAGTATAGGTTTCCAGTCTGTGAAGATTATAGATCCATCAGAATTATACTGTATGAAGTCCTACTTGAATCCTCCAACTAGAAGAAATTTCTTTTCTCTGAACCTCCATAGAATTTTATCTGTGCCATTTCTAAGACCCTTGTAACTGTCTATCTTGCTTAATTGTCTCTTGCCTTCTATAATCTCCATAGATAACATCTTAGCAGATATTCAACACATAATAGCACAAAGAATGAATTCATCAGAGTCAATACTAAACACAGCTCCATACCATTTCTACACCATGATATGACTTCTCTACTGAAACTTAAAAGAAACCAGTAAAATATCTTTATATGGAGTAGAGCCTCAAAAGTTTAAACCTACTAAAGTGGGAAGTCCTAAGAAAAACTAAAAGTGAAAACAAAAATATCTAAGAAATATTTAGCCCATCTAAGAGACTATTTGAAGTGTCCATTTATACAACCACTTGATTTGTTAATTACACATTATATGGCAATGTCTACTCAATTTTACTGTATGTTCAATACCACATTCCTTTGAGGATACTTTCCCCCAGTTTGTCTGAGTTAGGGAAAATGTGTGGCAATATCAATATCAATACTGGCAAAAATGAAATGACCCCTTTGTCTGAAACATTCTGGGTATGTGTTACTTACGACAGCCTGCTTCATCCGAGTTGTCACTGCAATCAAAAACACCATCACAACGATTTGTGACGCCAATACATTTATCCCCACTGGCACACTTGAATTGAGAAGCAGTACAGTTTAATACTAAGAATGAAAGAGAAAAGCATTAGAAATTAGCTCAGGGCTAAAATGACTAAACACTGAGATTTTTCTTTTTTGTTGTTATACTTTAAGTTCTGGAGTACATATGCAGAACATGCAGGTTTGTTACATAGGTATACACGTGCCATGGTGGTTTGCTGCACCCATCAACCCATCATCTACATTAGGTATTTCTCCTAATGCCATCCCTTCTCTAGCTCCCCACCCCCCAACAGGCCCCGGTGTGTGATGTTCCCCTCCCTGTGTCCATGTGTTAACACTGAGATTTTTCTAAATAAACATTGTGAATAAAAAAGAAGGCAATGCACTTACCACAACCAACCTCATCAGATCCATCAACACAATCCTTGTCACCATCACAGACAAACGATAGGTCAATACATCGATGATTGGGGCAATTAAACTGACTAGGTTGGCATGTCTCTGTCGAATCTAATGTCATCCGAAAACAAAACCAACAAGTTTATTTCCTGTGCAACAAGTACCAGAGCCAAACTAAAAATGGCTAAATAGCTACAGAAGTTATCTCAATTGTACATGGGTTCAAAATTCTTTTGAATCAGCCACACTATCAAAGTCAGCTAAGCAAAAGAACTCAAAACTAGGATAGGTTTTAGAATTGAGAATAAAAAGATTACAGGGCAGAGTCAGAAACTGTGATTACACCTTGGAAAATAGACCACATTCAGAAAGTGAGCATCATGTGCTTGGACTTGGACTACATTTCATGAATACTATGAAGTCCATGACTCTAGACCAAAGCCAAGCAATGGAGCCCAATCAGGCAACAAAACCAGCATGACCCACATGCCTAGTAGCAACAGTGTGTAGACAGACCCCCAAAACTGGATTTAAAAGTCTGAACAGAACAATTCTAAAAACCAGGGTCCTACCTTACTGTTAAGACCATAGCCTTGGAGTCGGATGCAGTGGCTGGCCCCACCCACAACATGAAATTATATTAAATACACACTTATAGGGTATGAAAGCTAGAAGGGATCTTAAAGCTCATCTATTCCAAATGATAGTGACTTGCCTAGTCAGGCAACCAGGACTAGAACTTAGCCCAGGGAACTTTGCTCCATCTTAAACTATTATTGAAGACATGAAATAAAACAACAAGCTAAAGGAAAGCAGAACTGGCAAGATGGAAAACAGGTGGATAAGATCAAAGGAAATTTAAATTTTCTGTGCCTCTTTATTTTGATGTCTTTTTGCTTGTACCAAATGAAAAAGAAACATCAATAGCCAAAGGTCTGGATATATCTATATGACTTTTAGTATTGTTTTAAATATATAAATAGATAGCTGAGGGATTTTCACTTTTTCAATTCCTATCTGAATTGAAATGTTTGGCATCAGAGGCAGTCCTTGCTTTGCTTCCATAGAACTCAATATTTGTAGGTGGACTCTAAGAATCCCATGTGCAGGCACGTGCCTTTGTTCTTGTAACCTATTGACACAGAGATTGACAAGTGGAATAGAAGTACTAAAGAGACAATGAAAATTGCATGAGCCTTAGAGGAAAGAATGCAAGGCCATTTGGTTGTTGAAGTCTATTTACGAGGCTGACCAACCAAGGGAAACCAGCTCAAAACTTACTGCAGTTCTTTTCATCAGATCCATCCCCACAATCATTGTCTGTGTCACAGACCCAGTTCTTTGAGATACACTGGTGATTATCACAGGTGTATTGGGTGTCAAGGCAGGAAGCAGGTGCGTGGGTGGGGCAGTTGTGCTCATCACTGCCATCCACACAGTCGTTGCGTTTGTCACAGCGCCAGTGTGCAGGAATGCACTCCCCATGGCCACAGGTGAACGCCGAAGATGAACAGGTATTATCTACAATAGTAACAAACTGGTCATGAAGACATTTGTTTTTACAGCCTTTTAAATGAGTTCTTGCCTTATAAAGGCTCAGTTCACCTTTTTTAATGGAGGCATTGTATATAATAAGGAGAAATGTTCATCAAGTGATGTCATCATCACTAACATCATTATTGGCTGGCATTTATTTGGTATTTATCATAGAAAAGGCATTTTTCTAAGTTATGCACCCACACACATCATATAAGTTCTCTTTAAATCCTCACAAGAATACTATAAAGTACATATAATTGTCTGCATTTTACAGATAAGGAAATTGAGTCTTTGAGAGATTTAGGAACCTGCCTATGATTCACGCTCTGGTTGGATTCACTCTAAAGCTCATCCTTAACTTTCAAGCTGTTACTTCCTCCAACCACAATTTCAAATTCAGACTATAGAAAGCTTGAAAATATGTCATATGAAAAGTGCAAATAGATAAAATATTAAGGTAAAATGCTGTGCTCTTAGAAACAAGAAGATAATACACAAAAAGATGAAAATTTAAAAAATTTCAGAAAAATGTACAAGTGAGCACTTTACTCTTGCAAATCTGTCACTCCTCTTTCTCTCCAAAAGAAAGGTTATTATTAGTATTAACTTCACCTTGATAGAGATTTCTGAGATTTCAACTGTCCTCTATCTTTTTTTTAATTTGAATGTAATACTTTTGCCTTCTGCAATAGTGTTTATTAGGCCCCAAACTATATAGACTAGATTACCGTCAAAAGAAGAATATAAAGGTTAAGACCACCATTTCATTGTTAATTTATTTTACTCTAACATGGGAGAAAAGGAATATAACACATGAGATTTTCCAAAGGCTATGATTGCAAGTAGTTATTCTGTGATACTATTCTCTCGGTTGCTAAATGTTAGGTCTACTTTATTTTTGGTTTTTGTTGTTGTTGTTGTTTGTTTGCTTATTTTTTTGAGGCAGGGCTTCACTCTGTTGCACAGGCTGAAGTACACGGCACAGTCTTGGCTAACTGCAGCCTCAACCTCCCCAGCTCAAACAACTCTCCCACCTCAGCCTCCCAAGTACAAATTTTTGTATTTTACAAATTTTGTGAAAATACAAAATACAAATTAGCTGGGTGTGGTGGCATGTGCCTGTAGTCCTAGCTACTTGTAATTTTGTTTTTTTTGTATTTTGTAATTTTGTATTTTGTAATAGTCCCAGCTATTTGTAATTTTATATACATATTTTTTTCTGAGCTCATCTATTTCTTTTTTATTTATTTATTATTATTATACTTTAAGTTTTAGGGTACATGTGCACAATGTGCAGGTTAGTTACATATGTATACATGTGCCATTTTATATTTTTTGTAGAGACCGGATTTCGTCATGTTTCCCAGGCTGGTCTCAAACTTCTGGACTTAAGCAATCCTCCTGTCTCGGCCTCCGATTACAGGCATGAGCCACCTTGCCTGGTCAGATCTAGTTTATTTCGATTTGACTTTTTGAGGAGTTTGCCAAGACATAATGACTGCATTGGTCCAAACAGCCAATGTCAAGGAAAAAAATTGTTGAAGATAGTCTAAATCAAGGCCAGAAACCATCCATAACATTATGAATGAAATTTCTTGCTTAGCTTCCTAAAAGCCTTCAAAGTGCATGTTAAGAATCTGAAATTCTAAAAGATATTTTTCCCATATAAATAGCCCAAGCTTTTATTTATTTTCTTTAAAGCCCACCTCTACTCTATTCATCCCAGGAAATATCGCCAGTGCATAGCTACTTACTAAGTGTGCCACATAGTTGCTCATCACTGTTATCATGACAATCATCGACTCCATCACAGAGATAGTAATTGGGCACACATCTGCCATTTTTACAGGGGAAGGAAAATAAGCCACACTGCTCTGTGGGTGGTTCATTGGTTGGGTCCCCCTCGCATGTCAAGTGATTGGAAGCCAGCCTCATTCCATAAGGGCACCCACACACTCGCTGGAAATTTGGCACCGGGAAGCAGAAGTGGCTGCAGTCACCGTTAGGATGCGTGGGTTGATTACAGGCGTTAGAACCTGCAAAAGCAAAGCCCCGAGGGAGTCAGTCATGTACATTTTCACTAGGTAGGTCACGGGTTTGATTTGTGAAGGAAAACAAACAGGACAAAACATTTTTCAGACCCAATACTAAAAAGTAGCTTCCTCTTGGAAATCAACCCGCCAAATACAACATTCCATTTAGGTATGGAAAAGTCCCAAAATGTGTTTTTCCTGACAACATGTTTAAGGCTAGCAGCATTGAACAGAGATTTCAAGTCTTACACTCTTAGATTATGTGAACGACAAGAATATAAAACTACCAGGAGCTAGACCTTTAAGTAATAAGTACTTAAAGAGAACAGGAGCCACTGTAACAAATAAATAAACCCATACAAAAAAATAAAAAAAACTGGGCAATCTCACTCACCAGTCTGGATGTTGACATCATACGATTTCAAATGCAGTATGTAAGCAATGCCACTTCGGATAACTGTCATTTCTCCACCATCTGCTTTCCTGACTCGAATAATGGCACCCAGTCTCCAGTCAGTAAAAAATAAATGCTCTGAAAAGAAACATGGGTAGATTAGTATTTTCAGTCACAGCTAACTTATAAATAAATCACTTGAGAAAATGCAATAGGCTTGAAATGCTTCTTGCAAGTACGATCATCTCCCCCATAAATATCTGTAATATGTTTCTCTAACCATTTTCCACGACTTGTTACTCCCTAGTAATGCTCTGTGGAAGTCTGTATGTTAATAATATCAGGGTTCAGGTTCAGGCAAGCACATATGGAGTTTTATGATGGCATTTAGTAGCAATTGGATTTAGTTCTGCATAGGTAATAGTGAAAATAAGAATTGGGGAATTCTTCTACAGAGCATTAAATGAGGCCTCATAGGTCTGCACCCGCTAAAGCACTCACCTGCTGAGTGCTCTTAGGCAAATACTACGCTGTGTGAAGGAGACAGTCTGAATCATTCCTGAGATCCTTCCCAGGTCAAACAGTTCATATTCTATGTTTTAATGACAGCGCTTAAATTGTAATTTTTTTCCCTTGACTTAAATAAGAAGCTGTTGAGAAGGAAAAGTACAGGTCTAGCCCAAAAAAGGAACTTTCAGTGTATGTTTGAGGATCAATAAAAATCTCAACACAAGTGTGGATTCACCTACAACCACACTACTAATGTTAGAATGATGCTCACAATGGTAAGAGAGAGGCGACATAAGATTCTAAACAACAAAAATTTAATCATGTTCACTTTACACTAACTATTGCAGCAGGAAAATAAACATATATTTTTAAAAGAAAGAATTGCATCAATGTGGATTTTCTCTTTAATGATAGTTTAACTAGAAAACCCTAATTAATCAGAAAATGTTTAAGATGTCATAAATTTTATTTGACCAATTTCCTTATCTGTGGTCTAATCAATGACCAATCAGTCATTGGACTCCCTAAATCTTTCTAGAGCCTGGCAATCCCAGTCCCACTACTAACAAAGGCATCCTCATATACTTAAATAAGTAAGGAGTTCAATAAATCTTTTAGTTCTGTGTGGTGCACAATCAAGAAGATCTAGCCCTTTAGTAAAAAGGTACACAATTTCTATGGTGTTGCACAACAAAAGAACTTTCCAAAAGAAATTCACAAAAAACAGCAATGTTGAGGGGAGGAGCCAAGATGGCCGAATAGGAACAGCTCCGGTCTACAGCTCCCAGCGTGAGCGACGCAGAAGACGGTGATTTCTGCATTTCCATCTGAGGTACCGGGTTCATCTCACTAGGGAGTGCCAGACAGTGGGCGCAGGCCAGTGTGTGTGCGCACCGTGCGCGAGCCGAAGCAGAGCGAGGCATTGCCTCACCTGGGAAGCGCAAGGGGTCAGGGAGTTCCCTTTCCGAGTCAAAGAAAGGGGTGACGGTCGCACCTGGAAAATCGGGTCACTCCCACCCGAATATTGCGCTTTTCAGACCGGCTTAAGAAACGGCGCACCACGAGACTATATCCCACACCTGGCTCGGAGGGTCCTACGCCCACGGAATCTCGCTGATTGCTAGCACAGCAGTCTGAGATCAAACTGCAAGGCGGCAACGAGGCTGGGGGAGGGGCGCCCGCCATTGCCCAGGCTTGCTTAGGTAAACAAAGCAGCCGGGAAGCTCGAACTGGGTGGAGCCCACCACAGCTCAAGGAGGCCTGCCTGCCTCTGTAGGCTCCACCTCTGGGGGCAGGGCACAGACAAACAAAAAGACAGCAGTAACCTCTGCAGACTTAAGTGTCCCTGTCTGACAGCTTTGAAGAGAGCAGTGGTTCTCCCAGCACGCAGCTGGAGATCTGAGAACGGGCAGACAGACTGCCTCCTCAAGTGGGTCCCTGACTCCTGACCCCCGAGCAGCCTAACTGGGAGGCACCCCCCAGCAGGGGCACACTGACACCTCACACGGCAGGGTATTCCAACAGACCTGCAGCTGAGGGTCCTGTCTGTTAGAAGGAAAACTAACAACCAGAAAGGACATCTACACCGAAAACCCATCTGTACATCACCATCATCAAAGACCAAAAGTAGATAAAACCACAAAGATGGGGAAAAAACAGAACAGAAAAACTGGAAACTCTAAAACGCAGAGCGCCTCTCCTCCTCCAAAGGAACGCAGTTCCTCACCAGGAACAGAACAAAGCTGGATGGAGAATGATTTTGACGAGCTGAGAGAAGAAGGCTTCAGACGATCAAATTACTCTGAGCTACGGGAGGACATTCAAACCAAAGGCAAAGAAGTTGAAAACTTTGAAAAAAATTTAGAAGAATGTATAACTAGAATAACCAATACAGAGAAGTGCTTAAAGGAGCTGATGGAGCTGAAAACCAAGGCTCGAGAACTACGTGAAGAATGCAGAAGCCTCAGGAGCCGATGTGATCAACTGGAAGTAAGGGTATCAGCAATGGAAGATGAAATGAATGAAATGAAGCGAGAAGGGAAGTTTAGAGAAAAAAGAATAAAAAGAAATGAGCAAAGCCTCCAAGAAATATGGGACTATGTGAAAAGACCAAATCTACGTCTGATTGGTGTACCTGAAAGTGATGTGGAGAATGGAACCAAGTTGGAAAACACTCTGCAGGATATTATCCAGGAGAACTTCCCCAATCTAGCAAGGCAGGCCAACGTTCAGATTCAGGAAATACAGAGAACGCCACAAAGATACTCCTCGAGAAGAGCAACTCCAAGACACATAATTGTCAGATTCACCAAAGTTGAAATGAAGGAAAAAATGTTAAGGGCAGCCAGAGAGAAAGGTCGGGTTACCCTCAAAGGAAAGCCCATCAGACTAACAGCGGATCTCTTGGCAGAAACCCTACAAGCCAGAAGAGAGTGGGGGCCAATATTCAACATTCTTAAAGAAAAGAATTTTCAACCCAGAATTTCATATCCAGCCAAACTAAGCTTCATAAGTGAAGGAGAAATAAAATACTTTATAGACAAGCAAATGTTGAGAGATTTTGTCACCACCAGGCCTGCCCTAAAAGAGCTCCTGAAGGAAGCACTAAACATGGAAAGGAACAACCGGTACCAGCCGCTGCAAAATCATGCCAAAATGTAAAGACCATCGAGACTAGGAAGAAACTGCATCAACTAATGAGCAAAATCACCAGCTAACATCATAATGACAGGATCAAATTCACACATAACAATATTAACTTTAAATATAAATGGACTAAATTCTGCAATTAAAAGACACAGACTGGCAAGTTGGATAAAGAGTCAAGACCCATCAGTGTGCTGTATTCAGGAAACCCATCTCACGTGCAGAGACACACATAGGCTCAAAATAAAAGGATGGAGGAAGATCTACCAAGCCAATGGAAAACAAAAAAAGGCAGGGGTTGCAATCCTAGTCTCTGATAAAACAGACTTTAAACCAACAAAGATCAAAAGAGACAAAGAAGGCCATTACATAATGGTAAAGGGATCAATTCAACAAGAGGAGCTAACTATCCTAAATATTTATGCACCCAATACAGGAGCACCCAGATTCATAAAGCAAGTCCTCAGTGACCTACAAAGAGTCTTAGACTCCCACACATTAATAATGGGAGACTTTAACACCCCACTGTCAACATTAGACAGATCAACGAGACAGAAAGTCAACAAGGATACCCAGGAATTGAACTCAGCTCTGCACCAAGCAGACCTAATAGACATCTACAGAACTCTCCACCCCAAATCAACAGAATATACATTTTTTTCAGCACCACACCACACCTGTTCCAAAATTGACCACATAGTTGGAAGTAAAGCTCTCCTCAGCAAATGTAAAAGAACAGAAATTATAACAAACTATCTCTCAGACCACAGTGCAATCAAACTAGAACTCAGGATTAAGAATCTCACTCAAAGCCGCTCAACTACATGGAAACTGAACAACCTGCTCCTGAATGACTACTGGGTACATAACGAAATGAAGGCAGAAATAAAGATGTTCTTTGAAACCAACGAGAACAAAGACACCACATACCAGAATCTCTGGGACGCATTCAAAGCAGTGTGTAGAGGGAAATTTATAGCACTAAATGCCTACAAGAGAAAGCAGGAAAGATCCAAAATTGACACCCTAACATCACAATTAAAAGAACTAGAAAAGCAAGAGCAAACACATTCAAAAGCTAGCAGAAGGCAAGAAATAACTAAAATCAGAGCAGAACTGAAGGAAATAGAGGCACAAAAAACCCTTCAAAAAATCAATGAATCCAGGAGCTGGTTTTTTGAAAGGATCAACAAAATTGATAGACCGCTAGCAAGACTAATAAAGAAAGAAGAGAGAAGAATCAAATAGACACAATAAAAAATGATAAAGGGGATATCACCACCGATCCCACAGAAATACAAACTACCATCAGAGAATACTACAAACACCTCTTCGCAAATAAACTAGAAAATCTAGAAGAAATGGATACATTCCTCGACACATACACTCTCCCAAGACTAAACCAGGAAGAAGTTGAATCTCTGAATAGACCAATAACAGGCTCTGAAATTGTGGCAATAATCAATAGTTTACCAACCAAAAAGAGTCCAGGACCAGATGGATTCACAGCCGAATTCTACCAGAGGTACATGGAGGAACTGGTACCATTCCTTCTGAAACTATTCCAATCAATAGAAAAAGAGGGAATCCTCCCTAACTCATTTTATGAGGCCAGCATCATTCTGATACCAAAGCCGGGCAGAGACACAACCAAAAAAGAGAATTTTAGACCAATATCCTTGATGAACATTGATGCAAAAATCCTCAATAAAATACTGGCAAACCGAATCCAGCAGCAAATCAAAAAGCTTATCCACCATGATCAAGTGGGCTTCATCCCTGGGATGCAAGGCTGGTTCAATATACGCAAATCAATAAATGTAATCCAGCATATAAACAGAGCCAAAGACAAAAACCACATGATTATCTCAATAGATGCAGAAAAAGCCTTTGACAAAATTCAACAACCCTTCATGCTAAAAACTCTCAATAAATTAGGTATTGATGGGACGTATTTCAAAATAATAAGAGCTATCTATGACAAACCCACAGCCAATATCATACTGAATGGGCAAAAACTGGAAGCATTCCCTTTGAAAACCGGCACAAGACAGGGATGCCCTCTCTCACCGCTCCTATTCAACATAGTGTTGGAAGTTCTGGCCAGGGCAATCAGGCAGGAGAAGGAAATAAAGGGTATTCAATTAGGAAAAGAGGAAGTCAAATTGTCCCTGTTTGCAGACGACATGATTGTTTATCTAGAAAACCCCATCGTCTCAGCCCAAAATCTCCTTAAGCTGATAAGCAACTTCAGCAAAGTCTCAGGATACAAAATCAATGTACAAAAATCACAAGCATTCTTATACACCAACAACAGACAAACAGAGAGCCAAATCATGGGTGAACTCCCATTCACAATTGCTTCAAAGAGAATAAAATACCTAGGAATCCAACTTACAAGGGATGTGAAGGACCTCTTCAAGGAGAACTACAAACCACTGCTCAAGGAAATAAAAGAGGAGACAAACAAATGGAAGAACATTCCATGCTCATGGGTAGGAAGAATCAATATCGTGAAAATGGCCATACTGCCCAAGGTAATTTACAGATTCAATGCCATCCCCATCAAGCTACCAATGACTTTCTTCACAGAATTGGAAAAAACTACTTTAAAGTTCATATGGAACCAAAAAAGAGCCCGCATTGCCAAGTCAATCCTAAGCCAAAAGAACAAAGCTGGAGGCATCACACTACCTGACTTCAAACTATACTACAAGGCTACAGTAACCAAAACAGCATGGTACTGGTACCAAAACAGAGATATAGATCAATGGAACAGAACAGAGCCCTCAGAAATAATGCCGCATATCTACAACTATCTGATCTTTGACAAACCTGAGAAAAACAAGCAATGGGGAAAGGATTCCCTATTTAATAAATGGTGCTGGGAAAACTGGCTAGCCATATGTAGAAAGCTGAAACTGGATCCCTTCCTTACACCTTATACAAAAATCAATTCAAGATGGATTAAAGATTTAAACGTTAAACCTAAAACCATAAAAACCCTAGAAGAAAACCTAGGCATTACCATTCAGGACATAGGCGTGGGCAAGGACTTCATGTCCAAAACACCAAAAGCAATGGCAACAAAAGACAAAATTGACAAATGGGATCTAATTAAACTAAAGAGCTTCTGCACAGCAAAAGAAACTACCATCAGAGTGAACAGGCAACCTACAACATGGGAGAAAATTTTCGCAACCTACTCATCTGACAAAGGGCTAATATCCAGAATCTACAATGAACTCAAACAAATTTACAAGAAAAAAACAAACAACCCCATCAAAAAGTGGGTGAAGGACATGAACAGACACTTCTCAAAAGAAGACATTTATGCAGCCAAAAAACACATGAAGAAATGCTCATCATCACTGGCCATCAGAGAAATGCAAATCAAAACCACTATGAGATATCATCTCACACCAGTTAGAATGGCAATCATTAAAAAGTCAGGAAACAACAGGTGCTGGAGAGGATGTGGAGAAATAGGAACACTTTTACACTGTTGGTGGGACTGTAAACTAGTTCAACCATTGTGGAAGTCAGTGTGGCGATTCCTCAGGGATCTAGAACTAGAAATACCATTTGACCCAGCCATCCCATTACTGGGTATATACCCAAATGAGTATAAATCATGCTGCTATAAAGACACATGCACACGTATGTTTATTGTGGCACTATTCACAATAGCAAAGACTTGGAACCAACCCAAATGTCCAACAATGATAGACTGGATTAAGAAAACGTGGCACATATACACCATGGAATACTATGCAGCCATAAAAAATGATGAGTTCATATCCTTTGTAGAGACATGGATGAAATTGGAAACCATCATTCTCAGTAAACTATCGCAAGAACAAAAAACCAAACACTGCATATTCTCACTCATAGGTGGGAATTGAACAATGAGATCACATGGACACAGGAAGGGGAATATCACACTCTGGGGACTGTGGTGGGGTCGGGGGAGGGGGGAGGGATAGCATTGGGAGATATACCTAATGCTAGATGACACATTAGTGGGTGCAGCGCACCAGCATGGCACATGTATACATATGTAACTAACCTGCACAATGTGCACATGTACCCTAAAACTTAGAGTATAATAAAAAAAAAAAAAAACAGCAATGTTGAAAGAAATAAATAATTATTGCTATTTTGGGAATGTTGTGTTGTCCTCATGGGTATGCATTCAAATTTTTTTCATACTGATGAAACCAAAAGATACTAAAACTACATTTTCTCGAATCCCAAAACATCCCAGCCCAGAGCAGAGAAAATTCAACTTTTTATAATGTTTCTATGTGACAGCAAATAGCATGTGTCTGACATCATTAGTGAAAAGGGAGTAAATGGATGGCAGCGGCGGGAGGGGGACGGGAGGAGTATTTATAATTAACTCATCAAAAATCTCATGAGCATTTTTTAAATACCACACACTCCTCCACAGATAAACAGACAGCAGGACAAGATATGCAATATACTTACTAACTATTCATTCCACACATACATTCTATGCATGTGAGAAAGTCTTTGATTTATAGTGAGTGTCTAGTCTTTTCAAGCACTGTGTTAATTATTCAAAGTAGGAGGTTTCAACCAGGGACACAACTAGCATATACACAGGGCTTTTGGTAGACTTAAACAAAACATGACCCCTCTAACTGGAGTAATCATGGTTTGTCAAACAGACCCAGGATAGATTTCAGTGTCTCCTCACCCTCTTGGCCTGGCATTTTTATGCAGTGCACAAGCTATACAACCATTCACAGAGCTCCTGTTTTCAAGACTAAGCAAACCACCTGTTTCATGGTACCAGGCTACATTCTTATTCCCAGAAACTCAACTCACAGCAGCATGCCTGCACTCAAATGGGGAGCTGAGAAGACAGGCAAGCACTGGCTGTGCTCATTGTGACTGTAGTTCCCCAGAATTCATGCTTCTCAGCAATCTTCACTAGTAGCATGAAATTATTTGGAAAGGTTGACGAAAAAAAATTATGTCTTGCTGTTCTTCATAAAGCATAACCTAACACTTCCATAAAACAAAGACGATGTCAGTTCTCCAACATTTTGAATAAAAAAGTTTCAAAGTCATTCAGTCAGCATATAGTTGATGAATATGTGTAATCGTTTTTTCCACAAGGATTTCTAATGAGATTCTTACAAACACTGGAGAATAATGAAATGCTACAATGATTACTATAAACAGCTCTTGCTGTTTTATTCTTGAAAATGAAGGCAGTAATTTACTGTTTCCTCACGTGATACTTGTATAACTAAGTACTTGGGATGTTGAATTGTATAATACATGTAATCTACAAAGTGCTGTACCCATATACACTGTCAACATTATACGAATATATACAAAACAAAAATCACACTCTAAAAATGAAATACACCATCAACAAACCAAATGTTTTGTCTAAATATATAGCACCATTTTAAATTTTTTCATTTTAAAGTGGCCAGCTTTTCTGGGATTGTGAAAATGCCACATGAGGATGAGTTTACTATTGTAACTTGCAATGTATAAAAACAATACATACTTTTATTGCTTTAAAACATACCTCCAAAGATGGCAAGTCCAAACGGATGTGTCATCTGCTCTATATGGCCCAGTCTTCTTCTGTCTAAACCATCAAAGGTGCTGTGCTCAATTTTATCAAAATAGGCATCTACCCAGTACAATCGTGAAGCACTAAAATAATAAAATATTTAGTTATCTCTTATCCAAAAACTATCAGAGCACCCTTTACACAAAGGGCATCCAAAAACAGTAGGGTCAGTTGACACATTTATTAAACAAAGTTTTTAAAATTTAAATTATATTCATTAAAAATTTAACAGTTTTATGTCCCCCAGAAAGAGACGGCTACTTTTCATGAAGTGGCTTTCAATCAATTGTCTTAGAAAACTTAAAATGTTGCTATCTTTGAGCCAGAAATTTTATTTTCTCCTTGTGAAATCAACAAGTTAAGAAAAACAGTGGTAGTAATCTATGTTTAAAAGGTGAAATATATTTCTTCCCTTTTTTTCTCCCATAAGTTACCTTGGCATTTCATCTTTATAAGCTTATTTACTCTATTCCTTTTCCTATATTCCTAGATAGATCATCAATTTCTTGAGAACCATAGCTTATACTTTTAAAGTCCTCCCAAAGTGCATGTAAGCAAAGGTGCATTTGTTGATTAATTGACTCCAAAGATTTCCTAAACTCAAGATGTTCCCTGTAAGAAATTACACACTGCCTACAGTTCAACAAATCTGTACCCTACTTTAAATGCTGCTTGGGACCCACCTCCCCCATCTTGAGTTTCCACTAAATCTTGTCATTCAGCTTTCTCTAGCAATTTTCTCAGAATACTCATGAATTTATTAGTTTTCACCCCAGCAGTAGCTGGCCAACTATGTTTATGTCCTTTGTGTTCTTGTTCAATATCCTTCTCCCATCACCAATTAATTATTTAAAATTCCGCGAGGGCAAGCAGTACCAGTTTCCTTACACCATCATATCACCCAACCTGCCTCATTATGTGTTCTGCAGTAAAAGAGAACTAAGTATCGGGGATGATGATTCCTACTTACGCCCAATCGATGGCCAAGCCATTGGGCCATCCAAGAGTAGTGTTTATTACAGGCAAGAGGTGAGATCCGTCACTCCATGCTCTCATAATTTTAGCAGGACGGAACCAATCAGTGAAGAATAGATACCTAGAAAAAGCAGTAGTAAATTAAGGCTGTTAACACTGGGACAAACTACATGACTTCCAGAGATTTAGAACAAACAGAGATTCTCCAGATACTGCAATTAATTTTGTTTTCTTTATATGCTATTGAACTTAACATACTTAGTGTATAACTCATGTAATTCTCAGTTAAAATTTAGTTAACATGTAACCAAAGTCACAAATACAAATGGCATTTAAATGGGCATTGAGAGAAGAGAACCACTGTCTCAGAGTTTAGGAACTAAAACTATTGTCGCCTAACATATTCTCTAACAAGACACAATTCAGGTTACCTATTAAATATTCCACGTTATTAAAATAAAATAATAAACAACGAACAGAGCAAGAAAACATTTCAATCTCTTTCTCTCTAGATTAAACATTCAGGATCCTCTAGTCATTCTTCCATAAGGAATTGATAAATTTGCAGGAAACCATTCATCTCAGATGAAGAAAGCATCCAAATCAATGCAATGCAAACAGTATCTGACCCAAGCATTTTTTTAATATTCTAAAGAGTGGGAAAAAGATAAGTCTAGAGGCAAAAAAAAACAAAAACAAAAAAAAAAAACACAAAAAAAACAAAAGAAAATAAAAAAACAACTTTTTCTCTTTTATGGGATCCAGAGGAATCAAAATTATTCTTTTCCAAAATGTAACTTTCTGAAATGTAACTACTTCATATCATTTTAAACAAAAGAGTCATCAGGAAAGGAATTCAACAGTTTTTCAAAACCAAAGGCCAAAAGTTTGAGTTAAGACAAATTCATTAAAAAACTAAACTGTTTAACTCTCTATAGGGCAATGAAATTTCTTATCAATAATAACATCAGTTTTAAAATGTGTTTCTTTTATTATCTTACAGAGAGGAAATTAAAGCAGATACTCTAGATGCAGCAAACAGACTTTTTTAGGCACACAGGCATTCCAGTCAGACAGGTCTGGAATTTGAATACTGACTGTTGCCTAATAGCTGCGGGCCCTTTCACAAGTCACTTTATCTCACTGCGCCTTAGATTCATTCTCTCTAAAATGGGTATTTACACATACCTCCTTCACAAACTAGCTTTGGAAGCTGATGAGATTATATATCTAACGGAAGAACAGGTATGGATGTTCCCTGGGTAATCAGGCATTGGTGGGTTAGCAGCCATCTTTTTTATCATTCCACTCATATACAACACATAGCTCAGATTTGTTCTAAATAAACACAGTAGCTGTTAAACATATTTAAATAAGAAAAGTAGGAACCAAAAAGGAATACTGTGAACTCTTCTGTCTTTCCTTGTCTGGCACCACCAATTATAGAATGGTAAAACATGAAACTTTGTGGTCTGAAAAACTTTTTATTCTGAAAACTACTGAATGATTAAGCAAGTTTTGCTAAGCTTTATATAAATATATTAAAGCAGGGAAAGAATTTGGGTCTTTCCTGTTAATTCTGTTGCCTATTCACTCCTTTTCTACTGAATCTATATCACATTGTTTGGTCCTCTGCAACTGTGAAAAAAACTACTCTTCAGTGAAGACTGAGAAAGCCAAAAGTTAGAAGAAATGTTTTGGGTTTAAAAACAATTTTTTTTACTCCCCCAGAATAAAGTTTTTTGGAGGAAAAAAGAAATAAAATTTAAGGTGATTTCAACTTATACAGTTCAATCTTATATTTGCTGAACTTACCTAAATCCCTAGGGCATCACTTTTCAATGACTGTAAAAGACATACAGTTTCAAGCTCTTAGGAAAACATGAACACACTTACCCGGCAAAAGGATGAACTACCACCGACCGTGGGTTATTTAAATACTGAACTACTGTGCGTCTCGTTTTATCAGCTAGCCTCATGACACTGATACTCTTGTAATGAGAGTCTGTCCAATAGAGATTCTTTGAAATCCAATCAAAAGCCAAACTTTCAACATTTTCCACCCTGTTAGCTGCGAGAATTTCTCTTCCTATAAGTTAAAATATGGACATATTTTAAGCTAAGTATATTTTGTAAGGCATCAATTTTCCTACTAATGCACACTGAAATTTTGTGTCAGAGTTAGAGCATATTTCAGGAACACATGTGGAATTCTTTAAAAAAAAAAAAAAAAAAAAACTCTGTAAGCTGCTGAGCAATAACATGAGACAAACCTAGAATCTATCCATTCCTCAAACTTTGGATCTCAAAGAGTAGATATGATACTGACAAACAGAACCAGGAATGGTATGGCCTGGATTTACTCCCATGTCCAACCTTCCAGAAAAAAATTTCTCACTGTAGAATATCTGAAGAAGAGATACCTGAGTTCACCTACTACCACCCGGAGACGGCTCTGATAAGCTGACACCACCAGGTACGACCTGAGGGTAACCCTGAGGTATCATCGCCCAACCCTCTCATCAACAGTCTTCCACAGCCACAAAGTTGCCAAGTTTTGAAAACACCAGCAGAGATACCAGAAAGGAAATCAGAACTGATTAAAAACAACAACAACAAAAAAAAAAAAACGCTTTCCTCTTTATGGAGTTATTATGCTTTCTTTTACCCTCTTTTTTCTTTTTTTCACTAAAGAAAATCTGAATCAGAATAAACAGCCATACCTCTTTCTTTTGCAGTAGGAAGAAAAAATCCTACTACTTTTTCTCTTCATTTATTCAGCAAATTGTGAAAAGAAAGTTCTCTATGTGATAGAAAGCCAACTATATATTTAGAAAACACAATATTGTTAGTAGTGTTAATAATCACAGCTTAGATTAAATGAGCACTTACTAGGTGGCAGAAACTGGACCAAGTATTCTACATGGATTCATCCATCCTCACAGCCACTCAATCAAGTAGGCATTAGTATCGTTCCTATTCTACAGATGAGAGAACCAAGTCAAAGAGAAGTTAAGCATCTGGAAAGAAGTGTGGACACCACCCTCAAGGTAATTCATAGTGAGGTGGTGAAAGAGGAGGAGGCAACTAGGCCAAGAGACAAAAATAAAAGAGTAATGAGTGCTGAGATGGAGAGATGCATAGGATGGTCTGAGAGCACAGATTCCTAATGGGCCACATGGCAAAGCAGAGGTCTGGGGTGGTTGACAGACACAGAGACTGAAAACTCTACATGTTCTAGGAGTGTGGCTGGAGGTTAATGAGTTAATGATAGAGGCTAAAAGAGAGGGAGATGTTCATGATGACCACCAGGTGGGGATGGGGCACCAAGGAAGGGGTGAGTGGTCATGCCCTTCCTCTAAGGCCTGTGAGAAGTTGGATGAAGCATCCACTTAGACATGTTGGTTTAGAGGTGATTGTAGGATATCCAGGTGACGTATCCAAAAGGCAGCTGGCACTATGGGTCTGAACCTCAGAGAGAGAACTTGCATAGAGATTTTTATCATGACCTACAGAAAGGCTTGCTTGGTCTTTCCCTCATTCCCCAGTTTAGGAGGAAAAACACTCAGTAAATGCACTATTATAAAAGTCTCCCCATAATTATTTATAGTTGCTACATAGATAGTAATCAAAGGCAGGAAAGGTGTGAAATTATTCAGAGAGAGGAGGACCAATGTTGAACAACAGATTTACAGTTTTTTATAGAACAGGAGAAAAAGAAAAGATCTCCAGGGTACACTAGAAAAAAAAAAATGATCAAGAAATAGAAGGAAATCCAGGAGTATGCTGTCATGGAAGAAAGAATATTTGAGAGAAGATGGCTGAAGTACCAAATACAGGACTGATAGGCATTATTTAATTTAGCAAGAAAGGGATTAGAGGTGACCAGGATGAGAGGGGTGTCAGCCACCTGGTGGGCAGATTGCAAGAGGTGAGTAATCAGTGAGAAATGTGGAAGAAGGGATAGGAAAGTGCAAAACAACCTTTCAAGAAACTTGACCATGAAATGCAGAGAAGGGGTTATCACTAAAGAGGAACATGGAGTGAAGGGTAAGTTGCATATTTTTTAGGATGGGAGAAACTTGAGCATATCTGATGATAGGGAAAAGTCAGTAGAAAAAGAGAATTTGGAAAAAAGAAGGTATCATTGAAGGAGGGAGTTCTCCTGAGGGCTTCATTCAGCTAATCCTGACTTTTAATATGATTTCTTTTTCTTTTTCTTTAGAGACAGGTCTTACCTAGGCTGGAGTGCAGTGGCACAGTCATAGCCCACTGCAGCCTCAAACACCTGACCTCAAGTGATCCTCCCAAGTATCTGGCACTACACCACACCACCACATTAGCTAATTTGATTTCTGACAACTCATTTCCTGCATATACTGTGTACTCATTCAAAAAAAAAAAAAAGAACAATGTAATGCCTCCCTCAACAAAGCATACAGAGTTTAACCACTGACTATGAGGAATATTTTAAAAGGTAGGTTGCCAAAAAGAGTCCAGGACCAGATGGATTCACAGCCGAATTCTACCAGAGGTACAAGGAGGAACTGGTACCATTCCTTCTGAAATGATTCCAATCAATAGAAAAAGAGGGAATCCTCCCTAACTCATTTTATGAGGCCAGCATCATCCTGATACCAAAGCCAGGCAGAGACACAACCAAAACAGAGCATTTTAGACCAATATCCTTGATGAACATTGATGCAAAGATCCTCAATAAAATACTGGCAAACCGAATCCAGCAGCACATCAAAAAGCTTATCCACCATGATCAAGTGGGCTTCATCCCTGGGATGCAAGGCTGGTTCAATATACGCAAATCAATAAATGTAATCCAGCATATAAACAGAGCCAAAGACAAAAACCACATGATTATCTCAATAGATGCAGAAAAGGCCTTTGACAAAAGTCAACAACCCTTCATGCTAAAAACTCTCAATAAACTAGGTATTGATGGGGCATATCTCAAAATAATAAGAGCTATCTATGACAAACCCACAGCCAATATCATACTGAATGGGCAAAAACTGGAAGCATTCCCTTTGAAAACTGGCACAAGACAGGGATGCCCTCTCTCACCACTCCTATTCAACATAGTGTTGGAAATTCTGGCCAGGCCAATTAGGCAGGAGAAGGAAATAAAGGGTATTCAATTAGGAAAAGAGGAAGTCAAATTGTCCCTGTTTGCAGACGACATGATGGTATATCTAGAAAACCCCATCGTCTCAGCCCAAAATCTCCTTAAGCTGATAAGCAACTTCAGCAAAGTCTCAGGATACAAAATCAATGTACAAAAATCACAAGCATTCTTATACACCAATAACAGACAAACAGAGAGCCAAATCATGAGTGAACTCCCATTCACAATTGCTTCAAAGAGAATAAAATACCTAGGAATCCAACTTACAAGGGATGTGAAGGACCTCTTCAAGAAGAACTACAAACCACTGCTCAATGAAATAAAAGAGGATACAAACAAATGGAAGAACATTCCATGCTCATGGGTAGGAAGAATCAATATCGTGAAAATGGCCATACTGCCCAAGGTAATTTATAGATTCAATGCCATCCCCATCAAGCTACCAATGACTTTCTTCACAGAATTGGAAAAAACTACTTTAAAGCTCATATGGAACCAAAAAAGAGCCCGCATCGCCAAGTCAATCCTAAGCCAAAAGAACAAAGCTGGAGGCATCACACTACCTGACTTCAAACTATCCTACAAGGCTATAGTAAGCAAAACAGCATGGTACTGGTACCAAAACACAGATATAGACCAATGGAACAGAACAGAGCCCTCAGAAATAACGCCGTATATCTACAACTATCTGATCTTTGACAAACCTGAGAAAAAAAGCAATGGGGAAAGGATTCCCTATTTAATAAATGGTGCTGGGAAAACTGGCTAGCCATATGTAGAAAGCTGAAACTGGATCCCTTCCTTACACCTTATACAAATATCAATTCAAGATGGCTTAAAGACTTAAATATTAGACCTAAAACCATAAAAACCCTAGAAGAAAACCTAGGCATTACCATTCAGGACATAGGCATGGGCAAAGACTTCATGTCTAAAACACCAAAAGCAATGGCAACAAAAGCCAAAATTGACAAATGGGATCTAATTAAACTAAAGAGCTTCTGCACAGCAAAAGAAACTACCATCACAGTGAACAGGCAACCCACAAAATGGGAGAAAATATTCGCAACCTACTCATCTGACAAAGGGCTAATATCCAGAATCTACAATGAACTCAAACAAATTTACAAGAAAAAAACAAACAACCCCATCAAAAAGTGGGCAAAGGATATGAACAGACACTTCTCAAAAGAAGACATTTATGCAGCCAAAAAACACATGAAAAAATGCTCACCATCACTGGCCATCAGAGAAATGCAAATCAAAACCACAATGAGATACCATTTCACACCAGTTAGAATGGCAATCATTAAAAAGTCAGGAAACAACAGGTGCTGGAGAGGATGTGGAGAAATAGGAACACTTTTACACTGTTGGTGGGACTGTAAACTAGTTCAACCATTGTGGAAGTCAGTGTGGCGATTCCTCAGGGATCTAGAACTAGACATACCATTTGACCCAGCCATCGCATTACTGGGTATATACCCAGAGGACTATAAATCATGCTGCTATAAAGACACATGCACACGTATGTTTATTGCGGCACTATTCACAATAGCAAAGACTTGGAACCAACCCAAATGTCCAACAATGATAGACTGGATTAAGAAAATGTGGCACATATATGCCATGGAATACTATGCAGCCATAAAAAATGATGAGTTCATGTCCTTTGTAGGGACATGGATGAAATTGGAAATCATCATTCTCAGCAAACTATCACAAGAACAAAAAACCAAACACTGCATATTCTCACTCATAGGTGGGAATTGAACAATGAGAACACATGGACACAGGAAGGGGAACATCACACTCTGGGGACTGTTGTGGGGTGGCGCGGGAGGAGGGATAGCATTGGGAGATATAACTAATGCTAGATGACGAGTTAGTGGGTGCAGCGCACCAGCATGGCACATGTATACATATGTAACTAACCTGCACATTGTACACATGTACCCTAAAACTTAAAGTATAATAATAAATAAATAAATAAAAATAAAAAAATTAAAAAAAGGTAGGTTGCTCAGCATACGAACTTGAAGTTTACCAAAAATACTATGAGAATTCCAGATCAACAAAACAGAAGGAAGCTGACCTGTGGAGGTGCCTGTGGGAGACTTGGCCTGCATGCAGCTAGAAACCCAATACTACCTTTTCCTGAGAACTAAGCTCGACTGCAGTGCTCCAAGCTCAGTGGGCCTGATTCTAAGTCCTCAAAAAAGATAATTTCTCATTCAAAATAGCAGATTGACAAACCAAACATGTTTATCTCCTCTTCCTCCGAAATTCTACTTAAAAGACAGTAAAATAACAGCAGATGAGTAATTCCAACAAATGTTTGAAAAGTAAGGTATTGGAGGAGTGATAACTCAGTTAAGAAGGGGAAAATGCTACAAACTAAGTGTCAACAGAAGAGAGACACACCCACATATGCAGAAGCCTCAGTGCACTCACACTCAGAGGCACCAGGTCCTAACAAAGGCAGGGGCGAGGAACTAAGGGGCTCAGATAAAGCAAGATAAGGAGCAATCCAATGCCTAGGTCCCTCCCAGATCCTGAGTGTCACGCCACTCCTCTATCTCCTCTAAGGGACCACAGATTTTCTCTGGAGGAGCTGAAGCAGAATGGCTATGGGTTCAAGGCACAGTCCTCAACACAGAACTGAGATGGATGTGGAACTGAGTACAGGAGGATTATAGGAATACTGAAAGGGCGCCCTCAGCTCCCTTTCCTCTGCCCACTCCCAGAACAGACCACCATCTCCCCACATCTTCCCCTTACCCCAAGAAGGAGAATGAAGGCATCTATGAAGGAGAAATTAATCACCCCCAGAACAGACCACCATCTTCCCACATCTTCCCCTTACTCCAAGAAGGAGAATGAAGGCATCTATGGAGGAGAAATTAATCACCCCCAGAACAGACCACCATCTCCCCACATCTTCCCCTTACCTCATGAAGGAAAATGGAGGCATCTATGAAGGAGAAATTGACCATCTCCAGAAAAGACTCACTAATGTTGCCTTGGGGAGCAATCTGGCAACCAAGCCACCTTCCTGCCTGAAGCTCACCAGCTGACAAGGCCTATCCACATGTACAGACTTTTGGGTCAGGTTTTATAACCTCACCCTTAATACCAAACTAGCAACTCAGACACTTGGAAAAAGCTTCCATCAAAAAGAAGAAAGTTGAAAAGAAATCAAAAGGAAAAGGAATCCAGAGAAAATGGAAACAGAGGAAGATTAATTTTTAATGTCATATCCATATCCATATCAAAGTCATATCCATAGAAATGGTACTCAGAATGGCACTGGACTCAACACTAGATATTAGACGTCACTAGAGCAATGTCTTCAAATTCCAGGTTTAAATTAACTTGCAACCTGTACCCAGCCAAACAGTCAAGATGGAGAGCAAAATAAAACACTCACAGACATTCAAAGACTCAAAATATATGCCACCTACTTATGTTTCTCAGGAAGCTATCATGTAACTTGTTTCAGCAAAATGAGGAAATAAATCTAGAAAAAGAAATAAATGGCCTGCCACAAACAGAAGTTCCAGCACAGGGGAGTGGCAAAGAGAAGTCTGTGCACCAGGCCAGAGAAAAACAAGTCCCAATTGGAACACAGGATAGGGGTCTCCAGAAAGAAAAAAAAAATTATAGATTGTTTTCTGTCTTTGTACAGGCATTTGATAGAGCTATTAGAGCATTTGGGGAAAATACATGATTGTTATATTTAAAAACTAAGCAAATGAAAATGGGGCAATTGTCAAAAATTGTCAAGAAATGTCATCCTAGAATACTAATTGGCTGAGCAGTGAACAATATTTATATTTATATTATGTTAATAATATAAACACATATGATTAATTTAACCAAAAATTATAATCTAGCTTTTTAAGGAGAATGGGGGGAGGGAAGTCAGAAGCTGGGAGAGAAGAATGATGTAAGAAAGCAAAACGCTCACCTAGAACAAGGAAGTAAATATCAAAAATGATAAATCAAGAAATAGAAGTATAAACAAAGCATTTAGAAACATGGAGACAAACAAAAGAAGAAATAGTCAAAAGAGCTGTTCCCTCCCCAGAGCAGGTCTGGATTAGGGGCAGGGGAGGGTGGGCAATATGGTTTTATATTGATAACAGATAAAATGATATCCAACATTTACTGAATATTTACTATTTTCTAGCCATTACTCTAGGTGTTTACATGCATTAGCCAAAAATTCTCTCAACAACCTTATGAGCAATATATGAACCGCATATTTTTCAGACTAGAAAATTGAGGCAAAAGGAAATTGAGTAACTTCCCCAAAGTTACAAAGCTAGGAAATGTGGGAAGCTGGAATTTGGAACCAGGCAGTGTAGCTCCTAAGCTGGCTCTCTTAGTTGGTATGTTATATTGCTTACAAATTTTATTACTATTACAAACCAAACCCTTGGCATTTACATAGTCCAGCATCCCTGAAGAGATGTCTTCCCCTTTAATCAATCTGGCTGCTTGAGTATGAAAAACAGTGTCTAGTCAATTAATCTGTTAATGGCTCTCATACACGTGACATTTCTTTTATGTTAACATTGGTCATTGTTAAAATACACACACGTTTGTAACCTTTTTTTTTTTTTTTTTTTTCCGAGATAGGGTTGCACTCTGTTGCCCAAGCTGGAGTGCAGTGGTATGGTCATAGCTCACTGCAACCTGGATCTCCTGGGCTCAAACAATCCTTCCATTGCAGCCTCCCAAGTAGTGGGGACTACAGGTACATGCCACCACATCTGGCTAATTTTTTTCTTTTTTTGGTACAAGTGGAATCTCACTATGTTGCTCAGGCTGGTCTCAAACTCCCGGCCTCAAGCAATCCTCCCGTCTCGGTTCCCAAAAATAACGTGTTTCTAAAATAAAGGAAAGGTGTTTGTTTTACCTTAATCCATAAAAAAGCAATAAATTTATTTTCTCAATCTAAAACTATTTAGGAAGCTTAGTAAAATCTCTGCTTACATAACTATCCACCCCAAATCAACAGAGTATACATTCCTCTCAGCACCACATCGCACTTATTCCAAAATTGACCACATAGTTGGAAGTAAAGCACTCCTCAGCAAATGTAAAAGAACAGAAATTATAACAAACTGTCTCTCAGACCACAAGGCAATCAAATTAGAACTCAGGATCCAGAAACTCACTCAAAACCACTCAACTACACGGAAACTGAACAACGTGCTCCTGAATGACTACTGGGTAAGCAACGAAATGAAGGCAGAAATAAAGACGTTCTGTGAAACCAATGAGACCAAAGACACAACACACCAGAATCTCTGGGACACATTTGAAGTAGGGTGTAGAAGGAAATTTATAGCACTAAATGCCCACAGGAGAAAGCAGTAGAGATCTAAAACTGACACCCTAACATCACAATTAAAAGAACTAGAGAAGCGAGAGCAAACACATTCAAAAGCTAACGGAAGGCAAGAAATAACTAAGATCATAGCAGAACTGAAGGAGATAGAGACACAAAAAACCCTTCAAAAAATCAATGAATCCAGGAGCTGGTTTTTTGAAAAAATGAACAAAATTGATAGACCGCTAGCAAGACTAATAAAGAAGAAAAGAGAGAAGAATCAACTAGACACAATAAAAAATGATAAAGGGGATATCACCACCCATCCCAAAGAAATACAAACTACCATCAGAGAATACTGTAAATACCTCTATGCAAATAAACTAGAAAATCTAGAAGAAATAGATAAATTCCTGGACACATACACCCTCCCAAGACTAAACCAGGAAGAAGCTGAATCCCTGAATAGTCCAATAACAGGTTCTGAAATTGAGGCAATAATTAATAGCCTACCAACCCAAAAAATGTCCAGGACCAGACGGATTCACAGCCGAATTCTACCAGAGGTACAAAGAGGAGCTGGTTCCATTCCTTCTGAAACTATTCCAATCAAAGCAAAAAGAGGGAATCATCCCTAATTCATTTTATGAGGCCAACATCATTCTGATACCAAAGCCTGGCAGAGACACAACAAAAAAAGAGAATTTTAGACCAATATCCCTGATGAACATTGATGCAAAAATCCTCAATAAAATACTGGCAAACCGAATCCAGGATCACATCAAAAAGCTTATCCACCATGATCAAGTGGGCTTCATCCCTGTGATGCAATGCTGGTTCAGCATACACAAATCAATAAACGTAATCCAGCATATAAACAGAACCAAAGACAAAAACCACATGATTATCTCAATAGATGCAGAAAAGGCCTTTGACAAAATTCAACAGCCCTTCATGCTAAATCAATAAACTAGGTATTGATGGGATGTATCTCAAAATAATAAGAGCTATTTATGACAAACCCACAGCCAATATCATACTGAATGGACAAAAACTGGAAGCATTCCCTTTGAAAACTGGCACAAGGCAGGGATGCCCTCTCTCGCCACTCCTACTCAGCATAGTGTTGGAAGTTCTGGCCAGGGCAATTAGTCAGGAGAAGGAAATAAAGGGTATTCAATTAGGAAAAGAGGAAGTCAAATTGTCCCTGTTTGCAGATGATATGACTGTATATTTAGAAAACCCCATCATCTCAGCCCAATATCTCCTTAAGCTGATAAGCAACTTCAGCAAAGTCTCAGGATACAAAATCAATGTGCAAAAATCACAAGCATTCCTATACACCAATAACAGACAAACAGAGAGCCAAATCATGAGTGAACTCCCATTCACAATTGCTTCAAAGAGAATAAAATACCTAGGAATCCAACTTACAAGGGATGTGAAGGACCTCTTCAAGGAGAACTACAAACCACTGCTCAGCAAAATAAAAGAGGACACAAACAAATGGAAGAACAATCCATGCTCATGGATAGGAAGAATCAATATTGTGAAAATGGCCATACTGCCCAAGGTGATTTATAGATTCAATGCCATCCCCATCAAGCTACCAATGACTTTCTTCACAGAATTGGAAAAAACTACTTTAAAGTTCATATGGAACCAAAAAAGAGCCTGCATTGCCAAGACAATCCTAAGCCAAAAGAACAAAGCTGAAGGCATCACACTACCTGACTTCAAGCTATACTACAAGGCTACAGTAACCAAAACAGCATGGTACTGGTACCAAAACAGAGATATAGACCAATGGAACAGAATAGAGTCCTCAGAAATGATATCACACATCTACAACCATCTGATCTTTGACAAACCTGACAAAAACAAGAAATGGGGAAAGGATTCCCTATTTAATAAATGGTACTGGGAAAACTGGCTAGCCATATTTAGAAAGCTGAAACTGGATCCCTTCCTTACACCTTATACAAAAATCAATTCAAGATGGATTAAAGATTTAAATGTTAGACCTAAAGCCATAAGAACCCTTAGAAGAAAACCTAGACAATACCATTCAGGCCATAGGTGTGGGCAAGGACTTCATGACTGCAACACCAAAAGCAATGGCAACAAAAGCCAAAATTGACAAATGGGATCTAATTAGACTAAAGAGCTTCTGCACAGCAAAACAAACTACCATCAGAGTGAACAGGCAACCTACAGAATAGGAGAAAATTTTTACAATCTACCCATCTTACAAAGGGCTAATATCCAGAATCTACAAAGAACTTAAACAAATTTACAAGAAAAAATCAAACAACCCCATCAAAAAGTGGGTGAAGGATATGAACAGACACTTCTCAAAAAAAGACATTTATGGAGGCAACAGACACAAGAAAAAATGCTCATCATCACTAGCCATCAGAGAAATGCAAATCAAAATCACAATGAGATACCATCTCACACCAGTTAGAATGGCGATCATTAAAAAGTCAGGAAACAACAGGTGCTGGAGAGGATGTGGAGATATAGGAACACTTTTACACTGTTGGAGGGACTGTAAACTAGTTCAACCATTGTGGAAGACAGTGTGGAGATTCCTCAGGGATCTAGAACTAGAAATAACATTTGACCCAGCCATCCCATTACTGGGCATATACCCAAAGGATTATAAATCATGCTGCTATAAAGACACATGCTCACGTATGTTTATTGCGGCACTATTCACAACAGCAAAAACTTGGAACCAACCCAAATGTTCATCAATGATAGACTGGATTAAGAAAATGTGTTACATATGCACCATGGAATACTATGCAGCCATAAAAAAGGATGAGTTCATGTTCTTTACAGGGACATGGATGAAATTGGAAATCATCATTCTCAGCAAACTATTGCAAGGACAGAAAACCAAACACCACATGTTCTCACTCACAGGTGGGAATTGAACAATGAGCACACATGGACACAGGATGGGGAACATCACACGCCAGGGCCTGTCGTGGGGTGGGGGGAGGGGGAGGGATAGCATTAGGAGATATACCTAACATAAATGACGAGTTAACGGGTGCAGCACACCAACATGGCACATGTATACATATGTAACAAACCTGCACGTTGTGCACATGTACCCTAGAACTTAAAGTAAAATAGTATAAATAAATAAATAAATAAATAAATAAATAAATAAGACTGCTTAAAAATTAGATACTGAGTTTTAATTATCAAGTTGTAAGTATCATTACAATAAACAGGCAAAACACGCATACACACACACACACACACACAAACCTTTCTCACCTGTGCCATCAATCTTTTGCTTAAAAATCATGTGTTTTGACATATCTGAAAAAAAGATAGTGCTGTCCTGGGCGTCAAAATCAATCCCGACAAAGAAAGAAGGATTCCCCGAAACTGGAACCATGACATCTTCCTGGGTAGACAAGGTGAACGGGATCCCACGAATAGCAACTTGGGATGAAAAAATGAGGAAATTCTGAACAGCTGTAGGAAGAATAACACAGCACAGTCAGTCACAGCATGGTTCTTTTCTCTCCTCCCAAATTCCAGATAAATGCATCCACAGAGCAAACTTTAAATTATAAAATATAATTCTGAAATAAATGTAAAAATAAATTTTTGGAAAGCATAGTTAGAAATAATACAGGGAAGAAAAAAAGATAAGCAACTATGAGGGAGATACAAGTATTAGAATCTTCCTTCTTCCTAAGAAATGTATCCTTAAAATGTATTTATATGAAAAATGATATCCATATGCTTAATTTATAAAATAGGAGATACATCTAATGTAATGACGAGTTAACGGGTGCAGCACACCAACATGGCACATGTATACATATGTAACAAACCTGCACATTGTGCACATGTACCCTAGAACTTAAAGTAAAATAGTATAAATAAATAAAATAAAAAGGACTGCTTAAAAATTAGATACTGAGTTTTAATTATCAAGTTATAAGTATCATTACAATAAACAGGCAAAACATGCACACACACACACACACACACACACACACACACACACACACACAGAAACCTTTCTCACCTGTGCCATCAATCTTTTGTTTAAAAATCATACAGAGCTGAACTCTATAGTAATTCCGTAACAATCCTCAAGTTGGTTTAACTTCTGCATAGAGATCTACACCAAGAACCTTACAGTAGATACCAAGATAATTAACAGCAATCAGAAATATAAAGATATAAAGGAGTGAAAGCAGGGAAGGAAGGGGAGGGATAAAGGAAATAGGTAAGAAGAAGTGATGTTTAACAGCAAAGAGGAGACTGTGACAGGATGCCAGGGAGTCAAGAAGATGAAGGAGGTATGCCCAAGACAAAGATAAAAATCGCAGTAACGGAATTTAAAAGCAAAATTATTAGACAACGCACTATTGATATAATAGTTAGAAATACATGTTGTTTTTAATGAGGGTGATTTTTCTGAATCTAAAACTACCTAAGAAGTTAACAAATGTGTCTGGGTTAGAATAAGATAATTTATATACGACGCTAGAAACCGCAACATCTGGAGAGCAAGAATTTGTCACAGGCACAGAAAGGAGAAATGTAGAAGTGAAAATAAGAAAAACAAATATTGTAGGAGTGCATTTCATCATTAGCTGGGGCCCAGGCGATGGCTTAAGTGTGAATAGATGTGTAGGAAACCAAAGAGGAAGAAAGGAAACCTTCAAGGTAAGAATGAAATCAGGAATATGGAGGCAGATACAAGAAAGTTTGAACTGAAAGGTGAAAAACTGTGTGAGTAACTGAGCCACCCCAATGCTCAGGAGTTTACTTTGGAATACAGAGAGAAAAAATAAGCCAGATAAGATTCAGATGTGATTACCTGGTTGAAAGGGGCATACGTGGTGGTCTAGGAGAAGTCAAAGTGGGGAGAAGTACAGTACTTCCCATCAAAGTTAAGGCTAACATCTAAAGTGGAAAAGGTATACATAGCATAGAAAAGAGCTCAAAGTTCAACCATATGGAATTTCAAGATCATAGTTAATAGGAGAAAAAGGCTTCAGGAAACAAAGGGGGAAGGGAACCCAAGAAAACCTTAGATGTGGGATTAAAGCAAAATCCCAAAAGACAGAAATTTACATTTTCAAACATAGTTCTGTGTATAGTAGAAGTGGTGCCTACCAAGGAAGATGCCCTGTGGGCTACAGAAAGCTTATTTGCAGTCAAGAAGTTAGACAGGGAGCTGGTCCAGTTCAAGAGTAGCAGTTAGTCTAGTTAGAGGTTTGGACACACATACACCTGTGTCACCTGCCAACAACGTCCAAAACAGACTTCTTACCAATGCAGTGGCGCTCATCTGTATCCAGTTGGAAGCCGAATGTGCACTTGCAACGGAAACCCAAACCATCATTATCTGTTCTGTGGCTGAGGACACAGACCTGCTCACAGCCCCCATTGTTATCTTTACACGGATTGGTAGCTGGAAGGAAAAATGCACAGGGTTAAATTGCAATTAGAAATGTGTAATTATCCAAGACATGAAGCCACTTCTAGCCCTTTTCACCTATAGGTGAAATAGAGTAATGGATTAGCAACGTGTTGAAAACATTACTACTGGTTACTACTGGATACATCCACATCTGGCTACACTAACCCTCCCAATTTCACTGCTGCTCTCCCATCCACTCTCCAACAGACGGTGGCAAAAAAAAAGAAAGGACTCCTACAACTTTCTCCCCAATAATTATGTCAGAGTATGTCTGCTATCCTCCATGATTAGAAATAATTGTCAAAAGAAAACCCACACTTCACTGCTTTTTTGCCATTTGTAGGATATAATAAATATTACTCACTGGATGCTTACTTTGTAAGTAAACCAACTTAACCAATAGCTCTAAGAGGTAAGTATTAGTCCTCCAATTTTACAGAGGAGAAACCAAGAATCTAAACAGTTAAATAACTTGCCCAACATTATTCAGCAGCTAAACAGCTTGACTAGGATTCAAAGCCAGATCTGATTCCAAAACCTTAAATGTCTGCAACACAAACCAGTTTATACTTCCAAAAGCCACTCTCAAAGTAGTGACCTTAGGAAGAGCACTGCCACAGCTAGAAATTTTATATCTGCTTTCAAAATTGTCTTTTTAGCCTTTGACTTATTCTTTAAAATATTCTCTTTATCTTCTCAGGTGGATTGATTTGGGGAAACAATAGGCAGATGTCATTCTGAGCCAAATAATGAAAATAGTAATTTGAGTGATCACATTGATCATTGATCTAATGGATCTAATGTGAGGGCAGGTGTGAGTTTAGTTGTGAATTGAGTGTAAAAACTATTCAAAACAGATATTTCCAAAAATGTTTTCAGATAAAATATCTATTTTTAGACAAGTTTATACTTTCCCAGGATGATGACATTGAAGGAGATTCATCTGAATGTGTCATTTCTAGTGGTTGGGCTTTTGTTAAGTTAACCTCATTACTTTGCAGTCTTTCTTCATCCTAAATAGATCCATCACTTAACATGAGTTTTAGAGCAAATCTGTTTTCCTCTAAATTATTGCTCACCAATATTAAGCTTTCTACCAACGTAGTGTAGTTTATGTTTCTTTTTCTTTGATCCACAAGCAAATACAGAAAAGAGCTATATACAGTCCTGATAGACTTATCAAAGCTCAAGCTATAACCTGGAAACATAAACAAAGCTTATGATAGGCCAGGTGCAGTGGCTTACACCTGTAATCCCAACACTTTGGGAAGCCGGGGCAGGAGGATCGCTTGAAGCCCGGAGTTCCAGAAAAGTCTGGCCAACATAGTGGAAATCCCATCTCAGAAAAAATAAAAAGAAAAAATCACGTGGTAAAATAACAGGAGAAGACTAAGCAGTGTCTGAATCAAAATATTTCTTTTTTTAAAATAAGTGACCAGCCAGAGAGACACCAAACCCAGTTGGCCTATGACAGATTAATCAGAACCAAAGAACAGGTGCCATACATATGCAACAGAGAAGAAGAAAAAAATGGCTCTGATGCTACCGAAAATGGACACTTAGACATGTCATTTTCTTCTATGGGACCTGTTTCCTTAACTGTAATATTAGAAGTTTGAAATAGATGTCTTTCCCAGTAGAATGAGGATAGGTATTTTGGTTTGGTTTGTGAGCTGCTATACCCCCAAGCATCTTTGCAGGTGCTAATAAACATCTGTTAAATAAATCTCTAAATTCCCTCTAGATTTGGCATTTAACTGTGAAATACATCAGTTTCTTCAGAATGCTCCTAACCTGCAGAACCAGTTTCAGAGAGTTTAACACTCTGGGTAACCCTTCATATACTTGAGAATGCCACCCAAATCACATAAGACCCCTCATTATTAACTTTCAAAGCTTTGAGAAAACCTTTCCACCAAGTCCGGTACCAAGCATGGTTACCACTGCTCTGAGGCTTACCATAGGGCTGTCTGAGGGAATGGTAAACAGTCACTCCATAGGGCCTCAGGGAAGCCTGGTAGTACACTTGTGGGTTGGTCTCTGTGAACTTGTTTGCCTTCAGCACGGCCATCTTTGTCCAATCTGTAAAGAACACCTGACCTTCAAATAAGCTTACTCCAAAGGGATGAGGAATGAGGGAGCCTCCATGAACTACAGTCTTCCTGTTATAAAAGACACATATATATCATACAATTTGTTAGTTTTGCTTTATTATAATTAAAGCTGTAGTTAGTTCAATTAAATGCCTGAAAAGCTAAATAATTTCTTGTCACAAATACGGAATAGATAGAAAAGATACATTTTAGATGTATACATATTTCCATCTACATATGATAGAAGGATTTTCATGTTGTCTCTTGGAAAAGACCCTTGAGACTTACATTCCAGTCCCAGTCAATCCTTTAGCTTGTCCTAGACTTTTTTGGAATTTACTGTTTCCCCTTTTGTTCTTCATTCCTTTTAGGTTGCCCCACATCTAAAAGGCTAAGATGTGAAATAGCATTTTGAATACCATAAGTGAAAGAGTATACCAAGACTTTGGAAGTCTGGGAAAAGATGCCTTTGCCAACTATTTCCCACTGCACCATTGAGCATTTCCTAGCAATTAGGGAGCAGGACAGTGAGTGGTAGGGTTCAAGCCCCAGCAAACGCCCACATCTGTTCCTGATGTCACTGTAAGGAAAGCAAGAAGCAATGCCACTACCACTCTTATGCATCTGCTTGATGGAACTATCAACTGATCATACTTGTAATGGAGGCCCAAAGCCACTTAACTGGGAAGAAAACAGAAGTAAAATTAGGCACTAAGCGAAGAGAGGAAATCAACAACGCCCCCCGTGACTATGTCTCCATAAACAATGATTCAGTTAGACTCATGAACAGAGTGAGGCAGAGGACGGTTGATATGGGAAAACTCTTATTTTCTTTATTTTGGCGTAATACAAAGACCTCAAAGAAAAATCTTAGCATCCCCTGAAAACTAAAAAGGACAATAGAGCTCTAAGAAAAGACTTGAAGATATTAAAGCTGGGAAACACACTAAAGGGGAGTAAACAAAGAAACCTAAGGTGGCAGGTTAGTGCACACTTTGAAACATTCTATAATGACATGGTACATTAAGATTAGAGAATAGTTTCTCTCTCAGTTAGCAAATTCCAAAACCCTGAATGCCACCTGCTGGCAAAGCGAGAGGCAATGACTTTATGATTTCAGCTGTACTTGTGAGCTTTAATATTTCTTTGATGTTTCTTCACAGCCAGCAAACCACTCAAATCTTTTTGAAATTCCATTGATTTTTATCTTTTATGCTTTACTTTTTTTTACTTCAGCAAAAGTTAGACTATATAATATAATGCTAAAACATCCCAAAGAGAAAAAATTTAAGCAATTTCACAATTATTTTATGTGACTTATTGGGTTAGCTAATTTTTTCATAAAATTTATTCATATTCTCCTTATGGAAGCCAGTTTCAGTGATAGGAAGTCACCATATTAATACACAATACTTCATTTAACCAAGCAGAGATTGTCCCAAGGATATATAATCCAATGGCAAACTGTGATATTATCCTTACAAAATGGAAATACAAGAGGAAACAAAACTATAATATTGCTTTCATTGAGAAAACAATAAAATCAAGTCATTGGGAAAAATTAAGTTAACCAGCCTATTTGCTGAATCCACAAAGAATAATATTTTGGGTCAAAATTTGAAGAACATGTTTTACCCAATTTTTGAAAATACCAAAAGGAGAGGATCTAAAATAATTTTTTTTACATTAAGTTGTAGTTAGCTCTAATCAGAGTAAAAAGATGAAAAAAAATATGCCATATTCAGCCAGGTGTAGTGGCTCACATCTGTAATCCCAATACTTTGGGAGGCTGAGGCAGGCGAATAACTTGAGGTTAGGAGTTTGGGACCAGCCTGGGAAACACGGTGAAATTTTATCTCTACTAAAAATACAAAAATTGCCAGGCATGGTGGTGTATGCTTGTAATCCTAGCTACTGGGGAGGTTGAAGCAGGAGAATCACTTGAACTTGGGAGGTGGAGTTTGCAGTGAACCGAGATTGCATCACTGCACTTCAGCCTGGGTGACAGAGTGAGACTCCATCTCAAAAAAAAAAAAAAAAAAAGAAAGCCATATTCTACATTCAAATATTGCTGTTTAAGTATCTTTGTATACCAGGTAAAAATACAATACAAAGAATTTCTCCTTGAAATTTGAAATATATAAGAGCAGAGTAAAATCCAATTAATTCCCAGTAGGCAACATCAAATACCTAATAAAACATGTATTTATTGGGGGAAGGTTAGAAAATTAAAAGGGAAAGTGATCTTGAGAAACAAAGCACAAATGAACTCAGGAGTGAATGAAAATAATGTGCATCATGTGGGACTAGGGGAAGAGTTGGAGAGGAGAAATCAAAGAACAAATGCTGGAGGTTATATTTAATGAGCGTTTACCTCTTGTGTTATGGGACACAAGAAAAGTTAACAAAATAGAGCAGGTCACTTCATGCAAATGTCAGTACAAAGGTCATTAAAGCTATCATGTCCACCAACAAAGCAATATTTTAATTCTGGTCCTTTGATATTTCTCTGCAGCCATTTTATGCACTTTCCCTGCAACTTATAAAGCCATAAGCCATAAAAAATACTTCTTACCTTTGAATTCCATCATAAGTTACAGTTTCAATGTAATCAAACCGAGAGTCAACCCAGTAAACACGCTTCGATATCATATCCAGAGTTACCCCAGCAGGCCATCCCAGCTTTGTTTTCACCAAGTCTTTACGGTTGCTGCCATCCATGAATGCCCTTTCCAGCTTAGGTTCCCCAGAAAGGCTCTCCCAATCTGAGAAAAATAAATAACTACAAAAGAAAAACAGAAGATGAAAGAATCTGGTATTTTACAAGTTAACCTGGGAATTTTTTTTAACAGTGTGTTTGGATCAATGGAAATTTTATCCAGCTGATTAGAGAACCACAGTATAAAACAACAGGGAAATTAAGTTGTTTTTTTTTTTTAAAGAGACTGTGGGGGTCAGTCAGGAGCATCAACAGTTCCAAATAGCAACTATTATGATGCACTAATATGGCAGTCTAAAAGTTCATATTCAGCCAGCCAGGCACAGTGGTTCATGCCTGTGGTCCTAGCACTTTGGGAGGCCAACATAGAAGGATTGCTTGAGGCCCATGTTTCAAGACCAGCCTGGGCAACATGGCAAGACCCCATCTCTACAAAAATTAAAAGATTAGCTGGGCATGATGGCACTTGCCCATAGTCTCAGCTACTCAGGAAGCTGAGGTGGGAGGATTGCTTGAGCCCAGAAGTTCAAGTCTGCGGCACGCTGTGATTGTGCTGCTGCACTCCAGCCTGGGCAACAGAGCAAGAACCTGTCTCAAAAAAAAAAAATTCATATTCACCTTCTGAACTTTCTCCTCTGTTTCCTTTATTTGTCCTTTGCTTCTCTTTTTTACACCCAGGAAAACTTACAAATACCTTTTAAAAGAAGCTATCAAGCCATTTTGCTCCTCAGTTTTCCATTCTGAGGCACAGAGAACATTTCCGTCATTTTCAAGGAAGGATAGCTGATATAATGAAGTAGAACTGAATAATCATCATTCACAAAGACTAAAATAGCCTAAAGCTTATCCAAGGGTCCTAAGACCCAATTGTGAAATTCTAGGAGAAAGCTAAGTCTCCTATAACACTTCTCAAATGTGAAGATTGGGAAATTTAAATTTAAACCTGAAGAAAAGCATTATCGGTGTTGCTGGATTGATTCAGACTGAACAACTTGTAATGAGATATTAGCATTGATATCTCAATCCCAGCCTGTATCAAGAAAGTTCTGAAAGGAATAGTTCCAACCTCCATCTTTAAAAATCTTTACAGCTAATTCATGTTAGAGTAATCATCTTAATAATAATGAAGCATAAGTGATGTTTAGTTGTAATAATATTATTAGATTGAGTTAGAACACAAAATCCAATCTCTTAGCTAGGAAAACGTGGCAAACACTAAGAATAAAATTCATAGCCCCAAAACAACAAGTATTTTTAGTACACCACTAGGTGTGTTTGGGTAACATGTCCTCAAATAGGATTATATTTAATAAACTCTCTTAAAGCTTCTATAAATAAGGGCACAAAATAGACATGGCTTCTAGAGTATACAGCCTAAAAGAAATCAGAATGAGCCTTTGATTAATCCAGTAGATGTTCAGTGTATAGAGGGAGAGAGAAAATTCTAAAAATACAGGAATCAATATGTTTTCACATCACTTACCCAACAGTTGGGTCCACGGCAATTCCTCTAGGATGCCCCAAGTTTTCAGTTATAAGGGTAACCCGATAGCTTCCATCCAAATTTACCATATCTATGCGGTTGACCTTGGTTTCCACTAGATAGATTTTATTATTAACCCAGTCCACAGCCAGGTTCTCTGGGGTTTCAACAGAAACATTGAGAACCTCTTGGATATTTAAACCATTAATGTCAACTGAAAAAACCTGAAAGAAAAACCAAAATTATTATATTTCTTCAGCATCACTAACTACGTGGTTTGTTTTGATTTTTTTTAGCTATAATCAAATCAGAAGTGCTAAAAATCTAAATTCTCAATTTTCAGAAATTTCATGCAAGTTATCATTTAAATAAATGAGAATCGTATTAATGGTATAATAAAATGTAAGAAGAAATAAATAAAATTCCATAACTCTTTAAGAGTTTCTGAAATTTATGTTTCAAAAATCTCCATTGCATTACTCCAAGATGAAATTAAACCCATCACACTTTCCAAATAAGACAGTGAAACAAAATTTGGGCCATTAAACAAAATACCGTCAATATTTGTTACTCGATCCCGAATTACAGTTCCATTTAGAAGATGCAGGTAAAAATCTGATTTTTATCATCCAGAAAAGCAGTGTGCTTTTTACATTTTAAATGATCAAATTTCAAAAATTACTACCAAATATCTATCCAGTTTTGAAAGAATGTCTACTATTTCTTTTAATTAGGCTCCTGGACTCCACTTCGAATAAAATTAAAAGTTGCTCAAGGCTAATCCATATAATAGACTGCTTTGTTTAATAGGTCACATGTAATAGTATAGCATGGAAAAGGTGCTGATTAACATAAAATATCTCAAGGGCCTTTTTTGTTAGAAAACAAAGGAACTTTCCCCTCTACTCCCTCTAAAAGTGAAAAGCTATCAACACTTTGTGCTCAGGGTTCCATTCAGCTACTGAAATTTCTATTTACCTTATTTTGCACGGTGTCTGTCCAAAAAACTCTTTGCAGGTGATAGTGGAAAGCCACACCCACGGCCACTCCACGATTCTGAGACTCCACTAGGATCCGGAAGCTCCTTCCATGAATATCACCAATTAACAAATCCCGACCATTGGAGAAGATAATGGAGGCCTCGCCAACTAAATGCGAAGAAGGAAGGCATCACCACTCCTTCAGATGAGCAAGGATGGTGAAGTAGCTTACAAATGATATGCTTTCTGCTTTTTCAAATGCTATCTTCTAGGTTGTCTTACCTGATTTTAACATAAACCTCTGAGGCAGACAGATAGCTAGCATTCTATCCATTTTACAGAAGGGCAAATTGAGGCACAAAAAGGCTTAATGAAGCGTCCAAAATCTCAGTAAGTTAGGAAGAATTTGGTAAGAATTCAAGCATTCTGGATGCTAGTCCAATGCACTTTCAATGACACTGAGGAGAGTATTTCTCAGATATTTTCGAGACTCCTTGATGGTATGGGCACCTTAGCCCCATGTGCAACTTTAGATTTTGTTAAACACAGAAGACATTTTAAAGATTACCAGGAAATCACTCTGAAAAAGATGGTAATGGTGGTTCCAAATCTGTTCTGTCTGTTTACTCGCAGGTATGCAAAATGATATATGAACAAGGTATTAATTGCAGTCTTATTGGCAATAGCAAAAGATAAGGAATGATATAAAAATTGATCAGTAGAGGACTAGTTAAACAAATTATGAACATAAAAGAAGGAATATTATGCCATTATAAAAAAATAATTAAGGCCAGGCGCAGTGGCTCACACCTGTAATCCCAGCACTTTGAGGGACTGAGGTAGGCAGATCACCTGAAGTCAGGAGTTCGAGATCAGCCTGGCCAACATGGGGAAACCCTGTTTCTACCAAAAATACAAAAATTAGCTGGGCATGGTGGCGGGGGCCTGTAATCTCAGCTACTCAGGAGGCTGAGGCAGGAGAATCGCTTGAACCCGAGAGGCGGAGATTGCAGTGAGGCAAGATCTTGCCATTGCACTCCAGCCTGGGCAACAAGAGCAAGACTCCATCTCAAAAATAAATAAATAAGGCCGGATGCGGTGGTTCATGCCTGTAATCCCAGCACTTTGGGAGGCCAAGGCAGGTAAATTATGAGGTCAGGAGATCAAGACCATCCTGGCTAACATGATGAAACCCCGTCTCTACTAAAAATACAAAAATTAGCTGGGTGTGGTGGCAGAAGCCTGTAGTCCCAGCTACTCGGGAGGCTGAGGCAGAGAATTGCCTGAACCCGGGAGGCGGAGGTTGCAGTGAGCCAAGATGGCGCCACTGCACTCCAGCCTGGGCAACAGAGCGAGACTCATTCTCAAAAATAAATAAATAAAAATAAATAAATAAATAAATAAAATAATTAAGAAATAACTTCATGTGCTGAAATGGAAAGCTCTGGAAAATATCTTCAGTACATTCACAAGATGCAGAACTGTGCATATAGTTTACTACCATATATAGATATGTAAATACAGTTAAATATCTATATTTGTATGTTCTTGTTTATTCATTAAAAAATCTCTAGAACTAAAATAAAGAAACGGCAATTACTCATAGGAAAGAGAAGGTGAAAACCATGCAGAGGGGAATAGTTATGGAGGAAGGCATTTCACTACATATCTTCTTATAATTTAAAATTTGTGAACATATAAATATGTTACCTATGCAAAAATAAACACATTGAATTGTTAAAAATCCGCTGAACCTAAAAGTTACTACACAGCAAATCAGGTATTTCTACACAAAAACAAGTAGAAAATGGGCCATTCTTCAGTCATGGGAGCAGTTAAGTTTCAGAAGACACCAAAGACACTTCAAAATCAAGTGTTAAATAACTATTGGAAAATAGGAGTTTATATTGAGACCTTCGTCCGGAGAAATCAACAGCGACAAAATGCTTTGGAGCCCTCATCTATTTTTTGCAGATTTTCTCCATGACTTTTCTCTACTACTCTGTACTACTCTCTACTTTTCATACTCTTACACTGATTCCAACAAATTACCCAGAGTTAGTGCATTCAAAAAATTGTTAATCCAAATTTAGCATGTCCATTTGGAAATATCCCTAAATTTTGCAAGAACACTGTGAAAATTATTTCTGTAGATAGTTGTCGCCTACTTTTGTGGTAGGTAATTAATTAAAAGTTAAATGTCCAAGCCAATCAAATGTAGGCATAGCATTTATTCCACAATTAAAGGTGGGTGACATGATAGCCTAGGCAAAGTAAACAATCAATCAATTAAAAAATATTAATAATGGTCACCATTAGTCGACAAATTGGTCCTTAATAATCAAAGTATGAAATTAATGTTGACCAATTTTTCTAGGCAGTAGGAGCCATCCCTGATTTGTAATGATAAAGCCCTGCCAACAACAAAAATGCTGATAATTCTGTTGTCATCAGAAGGAAGGAAAGAAGCTATTAGAATCTGTTCACTGTTCAGAGACACAGGTGTCCATAATTTACTCACAGGAATCATTAGCTTTGCAATACTGTCCACGCTCCAAGATATACCCTTCTTCACAGTGGCACAGGTGACGGCCAGGTCGGCTTTCACACTTCTGGTCACAAATTCCCCATATCTGGCAATCATCAAACTCTGCCATATGGAAAATACACATTTGTAGTCAAGGTTATCAGCATTTATTAAGCACTCTCTGACAAAAATCCTAGATAAGATGGCCAAGAATGTGGTGTTGCCCATGTCTAAATAAACACCCTCTGGAATTAGGCACAGGTTCTGAGAATTTATAACAACCATCTTCATGTAAGGAAAAAGAACATTTACATCATTTTTTAAACCTACATGAAGGATAACTTTACAGAAAATGCACAACACTTCCTGAATTCATAGCCCTATGGTACTGCATTTCATTTATTAATGTTAGTCTACAAATATATAAATTTTGGTGTAAATGTTTCCCTTCAATACTATGCTTTCCAACATGGCAGCCACTAACCCCCTGTGGCTATCTAAATGTATCTTTAGATTAATTAAAATAAAATAAAATTAATAATTTGCTTTCCTAGTCACTTGCCACATTTCAAGTGCTCAATAGCCACATATGACTAGTGGTTACAATATGACAGAGTGAAGATACACATTTACATCACTGCAGAAAGTTCTATTGGACAGCACTATTTCTGAATAAAGTAAGACCTGCCTATAGACAGCCCCTCAGGAAGAAACAAATCTATGACTGCAATAAAGTACTTGGAAAGGTCTATTTACCCAGCTGTCTTTCCTCTGATGTCAAAAAATTATAACCAAAATTAAATTGAACTTATTTTCAAGACATCAAAAATGTCTTCTCCTCTACTTATTGGTTAACTTATTATTCACTCATTTAGTAAGTGTTCATTGAAGTCCCTTACATGACAGAGCTCTGTTCATTACCAGAGAAGTCCCAGTTCTACTGTTTAAAAATAGTTCCAATATAATTGACATAAACAATAGAATATGGAGGGGAGAACACAACAAAATATTAGAAGAGTCTTTCTTAAAGACTATAAGGCTTCAGGGGTGCAGAAATTGGTACATCTGACTTTCCAAGTCCACGTCCACTCTCCATCATCCTTCACCCTCCTCGCTTCCCTGGGAGGATGACCTATACAAACTATAACAATAGAGTTCCCACACCCTCTGGTTTCAGGAAGTTCTCAAGTAGATTATAATTTCTGAAACCACTGCACTCCCAAGTCTAGAATTCTCCAGATTTCTATGATCTGATTACATTTGCAGCAACTGTCAGAGTTGTGAATTGGGTTCAACCATTCCTGCTGGGTGGCCCACCATTCCATAACCCACCAAAAGGCCAAGTTTCTTCTCTTTTCTTTTCTTTTTCTTTTTTTTCTTTTTTTTTTTTTTTTTTTTTTTTTTGAGATGGAGTCACAGTCTGTTGCCCAGGCTGGAGTGCAGTGGCACAGTCTCGGCTCACTGCAACCTCCGCCTCCCGGGTTCAAGTGATCCTTCCACCTCAGCCTACCGAGTAGCTGGAACTACAGGTGTGCGCCACCACACCTGGCTAATATTTTTGTATTTTTAGTAGAGACGGCATTTCCCCATGTTGGCCAGGCTGGTCTCAAACTCCTGATCTCAAGTAAGCAGCTTGCCTTGGCCTCCCAAAGTGATGGGACTGCAGGCGTAAGCCACCGCATCCAGCCCCAAGAAGGCTCTTCTAATGATCCCATTTTCCCTGCAGATTAAACATAACAACATGAGCCAGCATATCTTTCTTTCCAAGGACCGTGACTAACCAGAGGAAAAAAAACCCAATCCGATCTGGACACTACCAAGTGAAATGCCACATGAGGGTGTGAAATGCCCTCACTGATGAATCCCTTCTGTCCCCTTAACTCAGCCCTGAGAAAGCTCCACCTAAGGCTTTGCCTCAGCAGGAAAAAAAGTACAGGACATTCTCCCTCAAACCCCCAGAATGTCATAACTTCATTTTGAATGCAAGATCCATGAGACCACGTCTAAGGATCTGGAGTCACTCTAAGCAGAAGTTCTGATGTCAAACAGAAGGAAACCAAAGGTGGAGAAGTCATAACTAGGAATTCTCTAGCACAAATGCCCTTCCTATCACCTGCACTACAAGTGGTTTAAAGATTTGAATGAGTGGGCCAGGCACAGTGGCTCACGCCTATAATCCCAGCACTTTGGGAGGGTAAGGTGGGAGGATTGCTTGAGTCCAAGGGTTTGAGACTAGCCTGGGCAATATGGCAAGGGTTTATGTGTACTAAGAATTAAAAAAAAAAAAAAAAAAATTAGCCAGGCATGGAGGCACGTGCCTGTAGTCCCAGCTATTCGGGAGGCTGAAGTGGGAGGCTGCAGTGAGCGTGATAATGCCACTGCACTCCAGCCTGGGCGACAGTGAGACCCTATCACAAAAAAACAGGATTTGAATGAGTGTATAAAATTGCTGTCACTTTTGTGACAATAAGATTGTATCCTTGGATCACTATAGAGGAATATGAAGGTTAATTAACATCCATCAGCAGCCAGAGTGAAGACAAGAAAAATAAAAGTAGAATTGAGGGTTTTCGTGAGAGTAGAAAAGATAGTGGAAACCACACAAAACACTAAAACACTACTTTACAATCCCCCTCTCACTCCAATACCTTTATCTATTTTTCTTTCCTTTTTATTCTTTGTCTCCTCCCACCAACAAATACTGCTGTGAAAATGACTCAAAAACCCCTTTTTAACTGAGCCCCCCTTGGCCACCCTCTGATCCATCTGGCTGTGTGAAACCCCACCATGCTGAATGACCTCCCTGCCCTCACTCTGCACCACGATGTCATTCTGTCAACAAACAGCATGTCCTGTCAATCAGAAACAATGAGCCCAGTAAACTGCTTCAGCATGCCTCAGAGCTTCCACTGCCAGGTCAACACTACCAGAGGCAGATGAATGGTAGAAAGACACAAGATTTCGTGTCAGGATTATTCAATGTTATTCTTGATTACCACCGAGGTATTCACTGGGGAGCCATGTCTAAGATAATAAATGTTGCATAGGTTTCCAACACCTGAAGCCTGTGTAATGCGTCAGCCATGCAGAGGGTTATAGCCATACAGAGAGTATTTGTTGAAATGAAATGCTTGAGAGAGCAAACCAAAGCAACAATTCCCCTAAAAATTCAGCTCAGCTGAAACAAGTGTAACTGGTTTCCTAACGTCATGTATTTAAAGAGTTCTCTATAAAGAGAGAAAAATACAGTCTTCTTTGAAACAAATGTGAAATAAATGTTAACCCAGCCTCAAAACTCAGAGGCAAATGACACATTCTTGAAGGACAGCAAAGGTCACAGAAAAGGTCTCTGCAGGTGGCAGGAGGCCTCATATTCACAAAGGCCCTCAAATGTAGACTTTTGAGATTATCTCCAAATGAGGTTGTCTGTACTAAAGTCCCAGAAACGCGCTGGCGGGAATGAAAGAAGATGTCTGTTGTGGAACTTAAAATTAGTGCCCCGGTATTAGAACACACTACTTCCAATGTGTTATTAATTGTGGTATCTTCTCTGATCCTGAAATTATCCTGTGCACACATAATACTGCAATATTCTGCCTTACATTCACTAGTAGGTTAAATGCAAAATTTTATAAAACAAGAACATTGTTATGACAGCCTTTCGCTTTGTGAGAGGCTATTGAAAATTGAAGTGGCCTGAATCTCTGACATTTAGAAAACCCTAGACATTTGGAAATACAACCCAAGGCTCACCACAGACTTATATGTTGGAAAATATGGAAAATGTGTTATCTGGGCTCTAGGGTGGAACAAAAAACTGAGAACAGCTTGTGGGGCATCACAAGACTGAATTAGCGATTCTGAAAGAACAAATCACTTTTCCTGAAAGGACTTCATGGCCTATCAAGTTTCAACTGTAAGACAGCTCAGCCCCAACTCCTCTTTGGGAGTTGATAAAGGAAAAAGAGAGAAAAGCTGATGTAATACTGAGAATGTGGCTTCTGGTATTTCTATTGGAACTTCTTTTCTACTAAGAGAAAAGGAAAATGCCTAAAGAACTAAAAGGCTGGGAATGGGATTGGCAGCTGGGTAGCAGTGAGGGGGGAAAAGGAGCCTGACATTTGCTAAAGACACAGGAGTGGCCTCACACCCACAGACGAGCCCCACTCTGAGCAGAAGTGAGGCTGCCCCTTTGCGCAGGGCTGCCTGAAATCCAGGCAGGGCTCCCAGAGTCAGGTCACCACCTAACCAATAAGGGCATTCGTGTGAAAAGTATCTGTAAATTACTTGAATGCATTCCCAATATAATGGTAATGATAACAATAAAACACAAAATGTGTCCTGCAATCTTATTTAAGTCCAGTTGCAGATCATAACTTTTATTTATAAAATGTTTTAAAATGATTAGAAATTTGGGGGCCTTCTTAAATTATTCCAGAGTTCACTTAAGTCACTTGATCTTAAAGTACCTTGTTGAATATAGTTACTTAAGAGGAGCAATTAGATGGGCAACTTTGGGACGTGGTCCTGATATTAAGAACCTACAGTTACCCACTATGAACACAAGGAAAAGCTCAAATGGATTGCTTTACTGGATATAAAAATCTAATTTTTTTTGGCATATGGTAGGTAAGTGAGCCCAACGATTGTAGTTTTCAGTAACGCTGAGGAGCAGACTTTCTCAAGAATTTCAAGTTTAATTTGCAAACCAGAGTTTATTTCTGGTATCAATACATTTTTCTGTTTGCTAGCACTTCCGCTGAAGAATAATAATAATAATAATAATAAAGAAAAAAAGAAAGGCTTTTCTGGCTATGAGTAGTTGTTAAGATTAGCTGTATTTGACAAAGTATAATTATGTTGGAAGCAATGAGCTGAGACTAAAGACTGAATAACTGCATTAGGTTTATCTATATTCAATAATTTTTTCCAAATGTTACCAAATAGTTCTAAAATATTAAAATTTTAATATTTTAATATTAAAATTTTAATATTTTAATAATATTAAAATAATAATTTCAGAAGAAATACTTTTCTAGAAGCATTTCTTACACATTTCATGTTTGTTGCTATCCCAAAAGCCCTAAAGAATACCTCACATTTCTAAGGAATATCAAAAGAATATAAATATCCTGGGAAAATTCTGAATCATTTTGGAGCCCCATAGATGACTACCAAATTTTAATGAATAGTTTCAATTGCCTTCCAGATGCCTTTTCCCAACAGCAGTAAAAATAGTTTTCTTTAAACTCCCTCTGTGATCACTTCCTGCTAGTATGTTTGTTGTTCATGTATCAAAAATCAGATAGAAGGAAAAAAGATCAGAGCACCAAAAACTCACTGAGAAAACAAAAACTGATGATAGTTGGTCAAGTCTAATTCTCCCATCATAAGGCCCCGTCCTAATCACAGTGAGATATAAAGCTGGCATCAAAATCAAAAATCTCATTGGGAGAAATCATTTCTGAAGTCAGAGAGGAGAGATATGAGGAAATAGTTGGTGTACTGGTGTCTAGTTTAATGCCAGCCACCATCTGGAAGCACCATGATAAAGAATCTGCTCATCTTGAATGATAGTTCCAAGTGGATGTCACAATCAGTGGAATGAGTAGCCAGCCCAGCAAAGGCACTGGCCCACCAGTGTAGTCACCTGAGCAATGACCTGGTGATCCTCTGCTGTGTCAGGTAACAACTCTTTAGTTGTGGGATCCTGGGGATGCTTGTGCATCCTGGAGAAGAGGCCAGGGGAGCAAGGTAGCGGTGCTTGCTGGGCTCAGGCAGCAGCTATCTACCAACCTCATGGAAGTAGTTCAGTATTCAATAACCAGTATGGCTGCACCAATCCTGATGCCAAATACTTGAAAAGAAAACAGAAAAGGACTACCGCCCTCATCAAGTAATGGATAGGTTCCAGGTAGCTAGTCAACTCGCTCATGACAGAACCATTCTTTTGCCTTGTACACCACACCAAACCTTCTCAGAGTTAAAATTCCCTATTTGCCAGGTTTTCTGTGAGGTCTGGGTTGCTCTTTGTTATGACAGACCATGACGACTCTCCACAAGTGCAACCTCCTAGATGTCAGAGATCAGGGCACCCATCAGTGTACTGTAATGAAAGACAAGTAGCCGCCGCCCCCCATCACTTACCAACACAGGTACGGCTGTCATTGTGGTTGATGATATAACCTGGGGGACAAAAACACGCTCCTCCATACGGCGTCTCATGGCACTGGTACTGGCAGTTCAAGGCAGAGCACAGAGTCATACCTAAACGAAGAAAAGAACTTTGTTAAATGAATGGTGACCTCTGGACAAGACTGATTAATCTAATAGCTTCTTTTTCCATGAGTAGCAGCTCAGTAAGCATGAAGTAGATGTACAGAAAAATCTGTCACCCTTCAAAGCTTACTGCAAAACTTTGCAATAAAAGTTCAACTGAGACAGGAAGATTGCTTGAAGCCAGGAGATCAAGACCAGCCTGGGTAATGTAGCTACACCTCATATTCACAAAAAATTAAAAATAAAAGCATTAGCCAGGCACAGTGGCTCACAACTGTAATCTCAGCACTTTGGGAGGCCAAGGCAGGAGGATCACTTGAGCCCAAAAGATGGAGGCTGCAGTGAGCTATGACTGCACCACTGCACTCTAGCCTGGGTGACAGAACAAGAGGCTGCCTTGAGTGGAAACAAAAGAAAAGAAAAAGCTCCTTTTTAAAGTTATAACTATGTGCAAGTATAAGTCATTAAAAGTCTTATTTATGAAAAAAAAATCAGGTCATGCATGGGTCTATCTTTGTGTCTACATAGTAAAAAGGGCTAAGAACTCCCAAGTGACTGGAGCAAGAATAAGCCCTAGAAATATTAACTGTGGCTGGCTTCAAGAGATGGGATTTCAGGTGATTATATTTTTTTCTTTTGGTTAATTTTTATTTTCCAACTTTCATACTGTGACTACATATCTCTTATTAATTTTTAAGCTTTTTTAAATGGGCTCCCAAATGAAATAGAGAAAAAAATGCCATAGAGGTCTCTGCCTGTTTAAATATTATGTACAATTTTTGTCAGGAAACAAAAAATAACCTTGGGGTTGCAGTTACATGGGCACTTCTAGGCAATCACAAATTTAGTTAGAGTATATTATTGATGAAATCAAGGTTTTAAATGGCATTTCCTTACAGGACCATCAGCTGTCCACAGAGTTGATGGGTTGTTGGTGGGGTGAATATTCTACAGCCCCAAAAAAGGAGAAAAAAAATCCCTAGTTCCAGTCAGTTTCCTCATAAATGAATGTGGTCACACAAGACATAATCGAACAACACTGTGCATGGCCAACTCAGTTTTGCCATTGGAGAGTAACTCAAGGTACATAACCCAGGAACCAGAAGCTTTTTTTTTTTTTTTTTTTTTTTTTTTTTAGTACAGCCAGACAAGGCCTTTTTCCATAAGTATAAGCCAGGTAATAAAATCTCCAGAACATCTTTAAGGTCATCAAAATTGCCATTGAAACAATCCTCCCTGTGTGTGCGTTAGGGATTAGGAACGGGGAGTTGCTAAAAAATTGTTAGGCTCTTCCCATCAATAGATGGAGTCTATTTCTTCCATCCACTCTGGGTTTGGCCAAGTGTCTTGCTTTGGACAATAAGACTTGAGCAAACTTGGCATAAGTAGAACCTTGAAAGTACTTGAGCCCTAGGATTTGCTCTTTCAGCCTCTGGGTCAACAAGGCTAGGCTAGCCCAAGCTTTTACTGCAACATCCTGACGTGTGAGTGAGCTGATACAGGCCAGAGGAACTACCTAGCCAACCCACAGAACTGTGAGAAATAAGACACGTTTCTCAGTTTATGCCACTAAGTCTTGGGGTGCTTTGTTATGCAAATGCCAACAGATACACTGTATTTGAACGTCTGTTCTAGAAAACAGAAATATCTTTATCTGAAAGCTACCCAGGTAAATGTCTATACTCACTACAGTATTTTCCGGTACTAGTGTTGTTTTCATCTTCTCTTCCTGGGCAATCTAAAATCCCATCACAAACTTTATAAATGGAGATGCATCGTCCCGACTCTGGGCAAGACCATTCTCTTGGGGAACATTTATGAACATCATGAGGACCGCTTTCTGTGGGGGGAAAAAGAGAGAGTTACAGGCCATAGGGGAGGTACAGCCAGCTCTTTGTTAATCAGTGGTTTACAGAGGATGTAGAGCAAGTTGAACAAGAGAAATCTATAAATGATCTACATTTTACAATAAGTTAGTGATTTCTAACTCTACCACTAGTCTTTTACTGAGATTCTAAGGAGAGGCATAATGGAATTACTCCACTTTTCCTGGAAAAGGCAGCCCCCAGTAGGGTTATAAGAGGAAGAAGCAGATATGGGCCTCAATTATCGACAAACTAAATTCATGATCCCCTAAGAAAAGATGTAGTTATTTAAATCATGAATTATAGAATTAGGGCCATCAAGTTAGGTCCAGAATTACTTGAATTTGTGGTTGGGCTTTTTGATTTGCTTTGTTTATTTAGTGAAATGTCAACAGTATAAGAAAAACCATAACCCAAATGTAGAAAAACCACTTTCTGGAACATAAAAACATAAAACATAGTTTTAACAAGCATTTCCCTTATCATACCTGGGATTGGAATGGTGCAGGTAACTTGCTGTAGGGTATGGGTATTAGTAACTGCTAAATTGTTGGAGGTACTGCTGATGATATCAGCAACATAAAAGGGTCAATATCAGCAACATAAAAGGGTGAATATCACTGGCAATTTCCTTCTCACGGAATCTTTAAGCACTTCCCTGGATAGTAGCTTCTCCTACACTTACCATCCCCAGCTCCAACCCACGTGTTCCCAAGGTGGCCTCTCTTTCACCACTGAGTGTCAGTGACTCATTTGGGAATCAGAATTTACAAAACCAAAACAAAAAAATAAGCTGAACTGTTACCAAGGTTCAAAGTCATTTTTAAAGATTGTAAGGTCTAAGACAAATGACATTTTCCCTATTTTCTTTCCTTCCCCAGCCTATTAGTTTTATATAGTTTTAAATCTATTTAAAACAGGCAGTCTTACAGGGAGAAAGTCAGACTGGGGTATAGAAGAGACAGAGACTGTCCTACCTATTTTGCCTTAAAGATAGAAGGGAGAGGATTATAATTTAATCTGTATTTGTGTTCTGAATCTTCTTAGGAGAAGTTAGCGCAGTCACCTCCGTCTTCCCCACCCACTAAGTTCCTAAACAACCCCTTCAACTCCAGCCAATCCTGAGGCTTGCTTGTCACACAAAATTTCTAAAAAGGAAAGGAGAAAAAACAAGCGCTGGAAAACACTTGAAGAAAATGCTTTTCAGTAGGAATCTCTTCCCCTCCTTACCACATCCATCTTCATCTCCATTATCTTTACAGTCATCTTCTCCATCACAAACCCAGTTTTGATAAATGCATCGGCCACTGGGGCAAGTGAACTGGTAACCACCGCAGGTCGGATAGTCTGGAATAAAGCAACAGCTGCACTCCAAAGACACAAATCACCGGGAAAAACTGAAAGTGCTCTCACCTCACTGCCTAAGCAGTACTCCTAGAAATTGAAATTTCTATATCAATTTAATCCCTTAGACATCTTGACAAAAATTTTTAAAAAGGAGGAAAAAAAAGAGAGAGAAAGAAGAAGATAACAGCAGCTTTGGGTCCAGGAAATGAACTCAGGTGCCGGTTTCTGTTTTTCAAGATTAAAAATTAGATCAGCCTGGGCAACATGGTGAGACCTCATCTCTACCAAAAATACGAAAAATAAAAATAAATAGCCAAGCATGGTGGTACATGTCTGTAGTCTCAGCTACTCAGGAGGCTGAGGTGGGAGGATGGCATGAGCCTGGTGGGGGTGTGTGGAGTTGCAGTGAGCCAAGATCGCACCACTGCACTCCAGCCTGGGTGACAGAGTGAGACCCTGTCTCAAAAAAAAAAAAAAAAAAAAAAAAAATTAAAAACAAGATGGTTTGCAATGCGTTGGCACAGAACAGAAAATGCAGACAAAGATGCTGCAGACATGACAACATCCAACGTTCTCATACTTTACTACAAGCTCCGTAATTGCTAATCTATGACCAAATGATTCTGAGTCGACCATTCCATGATGTCACATTCTCTTTAATTCTCTGTCACTGAAATAAGCCCAGGTTCCAGAAAGGAAGTCAGGCATGGCTCATTGAAAATTAGGGTGATATCGAAAATATTTAACAACACCCTAAGGCATGGGTACCAACCAATCAAAAGAGGTGTGGAGGGAAATCATACATTCTAGTAAATAAATCACCACGCAAAGCTGCCAACTTACTGAACATAGTAAAACTCTTTCACAGAGTCTTCTAACTTTACTCTTTCCAAAAAACATAAGTGGAGAGGTGGCAACAATAAGAGAGGTCATTTGCATTGCAGGCAACAGCATGGACATAAAAGCAAGGTCAGCGTGAAGAAGTGGAGGCAAGAAAGCCACCTATACCACACTGAAACTTTCAGGCTGGGCGTGGTGGCTCATACCCATAATACCAGCACTTTGGGAGGCCGAGGCGGGCGGATCACTTGAGATCAGGAGTTCGAGACCAGCCTGGCCAACACGGTGAAACCCCATCTCTACTAAAAACACAAAATTAGCCAGACATGGTGGTGCATGCCTGTGATCCCAGCTATTCGGGAGGCTGAAGCAGGAGAACTGCTTGAACCCAGGAGGCGGAAGTGGCAGTAAGCCGAGATCGCGCCACTGTACTCCAGCCCAGGCAACAAAGCAAAACTCCATCTCCAAAAAAAGAAAACGAAGAAAAAGAAACTTTCCTGACCCTCCAACTTTAATGCAGCAGAAATTTCAAAGTAAAGAGGAGAGTTAGAGCCACTCCTAGGAACTTCCTTTCCCTTAAAAACACTTCTCTCATTCTACTATCAAGGTTGTCAGAGGTATGGGTCATTTGAGAATCCAGTGATACAATATATCCTGTACCCCTGGAGCCTAAGGAAAGAAGGCAAACTGTCCATCACCAGCCCTTTACATCTACACAGATCCTTGGAAAATAAAGGAGCCCAGGTCGAGCAACACCACAAAGGCTTGTGCCAAGACCCCCTAGTGACCGTCTGATTCCATCTGCCATCAAACGTAGTGACTCTTCTCCTTGAAAAAAGAGGTACATTGGTGGGGGAGCGGGGGGATAAAACAAAACAAAACCGAAACAAAACAAAACACTCCCAACAACATGACCCAGCATAAAGAAATCACCGTACTGCAAGCATGTTCGTCACTGCCGTCTTGGCAATCATTGTCATGGTCACAGACATAAGCACGAGGGATACACTCTCCATTGCCACATGAAAACTCATTGTGCAAGCATATCTCAGCTGCAACAGAAAGTTAAGAAGGGAAAGAAAAGAGAGAAGTTAACTCCATTGTAGCCATTTAATCTCAAAGGAAGAGCATCTCCAGTTTAAAAAGGGATTCTTATTAAGCAGTGGTGTGCTGGTAACTGTTTAAGAACCAGTTATCCAGGAACAAAAAGGCCCTGGTTTGTAGTGTTTGCCGATTTCCAGTGTGTAAATACTCCTACCAACGGCTGACTTCAAACTACCAACATGAATTCACTGAACCTGAACTTGGGAAGAGATGTACATATTGGCTCTCTCAAACCAGTATAAACCAGCTTCAGCACACAACTGCACATCTTGTGCACAATACTTACTGCAGTTGATTTCATCTGAGGAGTCCCTGCAATCAACTTTCCAATCACACTTCTGACTGGTGTTATAGCAGGCCCCATTGTCACAAGTAAGCTGCTCACATGTTGGGTACTCTATTGTAAAAAAAAAAAAAAAAAAAAAAAGGAAAAGGAAACAGTAAACAAACCTTAAATTTCCTTCAGCAAACATTTATTGAGTGATTACTATATGCAAGTCACTAAATGCATATATTGATACACAAAAGAAGTATGCTCCCTGGCTTCATGGAGAGTAAGGCTGGACATGGGAGACAGACATTAATCAAATAAGACACAAATGGTAAATTACAAACTGGGATAAGTGCTAATGTGGAAAGTACAGAGGACTGTGAGACTGCATAGCAGAGAGATTTGGGGGCCCAGAAAAGTATCCCCTGAAGAAGTGACTTTTGAGCCAAAAGATGAAGAATGAGAAAGAATTTAACTTTAGTTCAAAATCAAACATTCTTTTACATGATACAGATAACATCCCAGGAAACTAAAGTACCACTGCACAAGCTTGGAAAAAAGAAAGGCCATTTCTTCCACTGGCGGGTTGCAGAAAGAAAGCAGGCCTAGAGTTCAGGAGCCCTGGCGGCCCAGAGGTACCACTAAGCAGCTATTTACTGTGACTCAAGCTTCATGTCCTCTCCATGTTGCTACTTCCCTATCTGCACATTTGGATAACCTACTGCACAGGGTAGAGCGGCCTGAAAAGACCATGTCTGGTAAAGCATGTTGAAAAGCATAATGTGCTTTCAAAGCACAAATTGTTGTTGCCACGTTATGTACATATGACCACCTCACTGCTACTCACTGGACCTGGTTTTCTAGGTCACAGTTGAAAATCAGGAAGTCCCTTACAGGAATAACGTGCTATCTGTCCCTCCTCTCTACTTGCCAGACTTGGACCACCTGTCTCTCATGACTTCTTACTGGAGGCTTTATTCTGTGGATGGTTGATCTCTTTCCGCCATGACATAATGAAACTCCCTGAGATCAAGGATCCTGTCTTACTCATTTTAGAATCCCCAACAATTAGTACAGGGGTGGGACATTTCTCACTGTGCACACTTAGTACAGGGGTGGGACATTACTCTCTGTGCTTGAGAAATGTTCAATGTTGCTATTATTTATCACAGGTGAACATTTTAGTTCATTCGGCTTTTTAAAATATTTTGAAGTTCTGCCTTTTATGGCCTTTGAATACCCTCCTTTTCACAAATGTGGATATCTTCCTTGGTCTGACCATCTTCTTCATGAAAGATTATTTTTGTAGTGATTATCAGGTCATCTTCTGATTTCTTTTTAACCAAGGAAAAGGTATGTCTTAATTGACTTTGAGTCTCAATTTTGCACTTAAGAACCCAATTTGAGATTTTATAGAGATATAAATATATTGAAGATAATTCTTTGGATAGTCCCAAGTCTTTTCAAGCAGAAGCCATGCACAAAATTCTGTGCTGAAACTGTACTAAACTTGTGCCATGTTAACAACTTGCACTTTTTAAAAAAATGGACTCTCCAATGATCTTTTTTTTGGTATAGTAAAGGAATAAGCCTAACTCTTCTCATCTCCAGAGGTTCAAAGCTAGTTTATTAAGTGTCCTTAAATATCTCAATTGCCAGAGTTACATATAGTCAATCATATGTTAAAATGGAAGGCATTTTTAAATAGCTGGTTAAAATTTAAAATTTTTTCTGAATTTTATTTTGTTTTTTAATAGTCCAAAAGTGAGCCAGTGCCTAGAGTTATTGCGTCTTTCCTCGCTGAGATGATATGCCTTACAAATGTGCCTTCAAATGAGTCACACAACTCTCCCTTCAAGTGATGTTTATTAATTCTCCCTTCAAGAGATGCAAAAGACCAGGTGAGGTCAGCAAGCAATTCCTTTGCCCCTGTGAGCCAGATAGCTCCTAGAGTCAATGTGTTATCTAGCCTTTTAAGAGCAGCAGCAAGCAGAAGAAAAACTCGTAGAAAACCCAGCTCTTTGCAATAGATAAGCTATCTGTCTGGAGGAAAATTAATCTGGGCTTGAACGGTGGCTACTTCATTTAAGGTGATAATTATAAATATAAAGAATCTGGAATAAGTGTGCTGGATGGATCTCTCGTTTTCTTCATCCTGCTTTTTGAGAGCCAGTGCCAGAAAATTGAAAGGGGAAAGATTAAAACTGTAACCACTGACATGACTACAAGTTTACTGACAAGGCCCATTCCCCACCCAACAAACAAGAAGCCCAGCTTGATATCATCAGGGAGGGTATTGTGATGGCCAGAGGTCAGCAGTTTGACTTTTGGAATGAGGAACACACAGCTTTCTTGTCTCCATCCACACTGATAAAGAATCACTCTCAATCAGCAGAGGACCCCTCTCAACCCCTGCACACCTTGATCTCTTCGGTGCATAGTTAACCTGGGATGTATACTCATAGGAAAGATTGCACAGAGCTCCCTAACTCCACCAAATACTGAAAATACCTGAAAATCTGTTTCTGAATGGTTTTCCCTCTTTGGAGACCCACACAGAGACAACAGGTCCAAACTGTCAACACTGAGCAAAGAAAGAAATGAATGGATTCTACTACCATTGCTAAAGATGTTAATGAGTTTCAATCTACTCCAGAAAACAATAATTCACAATCCTTTGAGCTTCCAACTGGGAGATATCTAAAGTCTTATTTTTTGGTTCATTTGCTTGGCAAGCCTAAGTCTAACCTTCTTCCCACAGAGCAAATCCATCATGTGGCTATAATGTCCTGCAAGAATTTAAGTATAGGGTAAAGTGCAATATGAGAGGAGACCATATATAAGAACACCAAGGAAACTCTTCCTTCTGAATTTGGTTTTAATGGAAAGATCAACAAGTAGCTATAAATTAAGCCTCAGACCTTTAAGGTTTTTTCTAACACAAAAAGGTGAGAATATCCTTCCTCATACCACTCCTTGCTTCCCCTTTCTTTACTTTCTCCCAATCCCAAATGATACATGTTCAGATTTGTTCCCCCATAATTGGGAGCTGCCCCAAAATTATGCAGACAAGAGTTTTTATATTTTTTCACTGTTAATGATTTGGTTTGAAGCAAGAAATTTCTATGCTATAGTTCTGTTTACATAATCAGGGAGGAGGGTGTAGAAATGTAGTTTGAAGATCTTGTAGACCTCTTAGAATGGAAATCATTTTAAGCAGAGTAAGATACAAATATAAGGCACTGTTCATTATTATCTTGACAGGAAGACTGCAGACATGTTTTATTCTCACAATTTGACAACATGGCTGAGGACAACATAGAAAAAACCATTATTATGAAGAAGGAATCTTAAAAGTAGGTTAGGAAACTTAAGCCAAGATTGGGAAACACACACACACACACACACACAAGAAATTACCGATACAAGTCCAGCCCAGACACCTGGGACTTTTCAAGGTCCTAGAGTCATCCTTTATAAGTTACTTTATGTTATTTCCTCTGGCTCCAAGACAGATTAATCCAGTCAATGTAATGATTTGCCAGAAAGAATCTACCAGTTTGGCCACCAGCACTTACTTCAAGCGCTACCCACAAAGTTAAACAAGCAATCATCATCATCATCATCATCATCATCATCATCATCATCAATAACATGTATTAAAAACTATGTGCCAGACATGTGTCAAAGTACTCAATATGTATAAACTCATTTCATCTTCATAACAACTTCATGAAGTAAATACTATGATGACTCCCATTTTATAGAGTAAGAACCTGAGCATTAAGAGGTTAAGGAATTTGAAAAAGGTCACATAACTGGTAAAGTTGGAGAGCCAGAATTCAAATCCAATCAACCTGGCTCCATAACCCAGGTTACTAACCACTACCACAGATACATCTACCACTTATAGGCTGCAGAGTAAGTAACAGGAAGAAGCGAAAAATTAAAGAAGAAAGAAATTGAATGAAATGGTAATAGAAAATTCTTAAAAGAGATTATGAAAAGAAAAAGAAGAAACCCAAGAGGAAGGGGGGAAGATTTTCTTTCTGCCAGTCAGTTTCCCATCCACATTAGGAAGAAGGGAAAAGTGAGGCCAACTCTAGTTTCCCACAACTTATGGCATAGTTAACAAAGTACTTCAATATGATATAATCTAGGAATTCTAGGAAACCTACACAGGAAAAATAACTTTCCAGAAGGAGTACCAGGACAAACAGGAGAGTCAATACCAAAAAACAGGCCATAAAGTTAGTCTCATGAAGGTACCACCACGACTCCCCAAACCCCCATTCCTGGTGAATTTCAAGTCCCTAAAGTGACTGCCATCATGGACTAGCTCTTAGGGAATGCAGTAATATACAAGGAAAAAAACAGAGAAGCATATCCTTCCCCAGTCCAAAAGTAATTTGAAGAAGCTTTCAATAAAAAGTTATATAAAACCAGATTTATTAAAAAAGAAATTCAGAAAGAAGAAAGAAAGAAGGAAAGAAAGAAAGAAGGAAAGAAAGAAAGAAAGAAAGAAAGAAAGAAAGAAAGAAAGAAAGAAAGAAAGAAAGAAAGAAAGAAAGAAAAAAAGAAAGAAAGAAAAAGAAAGAAAGAAAGAAATTCAGCACCTTGGAAAGAGAAAGAAAATATGGTCATCCCGAGGACTTGTAGAATTGAACTAACATCAAGTTTAGTCTGGGTGGCTTTCAGGAAGCCAAAGGAAAAAGAGAAATAAACTAAGTTATCTAGTTTTCCTTAGCTCACTCCCTTTGTACTAACTGGGTCTTAAGCCTGAGATTCCTTGCTGGTCTCTATCCACAGTGACCTAATCTTAGACCTCAACTAGAAATGTGCCTGAGAGGGTTGCTCCAAGGAGTCCAGATCCACAGCACTGCCTTCTTCCCATAACAGAGCTATCACCAAAAACTGCAAAGGAGATAAAAACTGACATAGTTCTAAATTCCTTAAAAAAAAAAAAAACTCACACAAGCTCTATTACAAAAGTGACCGAGCAACAAGATGGAAAAATGTGCATCAAATGCTCCAAGGAATAGTACAAAGAAGTAAGATGCCTTCTAAGGGGTAAACAAATGTTTATAATGTACATCATGTTTAGTGGCACGGGGCTACATGTTTTCATTGAAAGCCAGACAACACCATGGTTTCATACTTTAGTAGTTATTCCCAGGGACCCACCTGGGCAGAACAAAAGACAAAATCTAATCAAAGAGACAGGAAAACTAGCTGCACCCCAGCATTATAAGAGTAGCCACTTTCCAATCACTAGAAATGGTGTGGCTCAGCCTCCCTGCTGGAAATGTAGCCCCAAATAATTTGAATACTCATCAGCAAATCATTGCTGGATGAATGTCAATATCCTAGAAACCAGTTATTCTACAGAGTGCTGCCTTCTTCTTAATTAGAATTCTCTTGTGCTCAACATGTATTTATTGAAATCTGACTTCATAGATACTGTGCTAAGAATTAAATTAAAAGGTAAACAAAATTACAAGTGAAGTAGCAATTCCCACAGCATTTTATTAATCAATCCATACAAAAATAATTATTGCACACCTATAGTGTGCAAGGTACTAAAGAATGAAATAAAATCCCATTTCTCATGGAACAGACATTCTATTTGGGAGAGTGAAATTACAGCTATTAAAGTAAATGTCACAATGGGAAAAAAAACTTGCAAAAATAGAGCTGGGTAAAAGGTAAAGAGTAACTGTGGGGAGTAGCTCTCTGAGAAGTGATATTTGAACAAGAACCATTAGGCTTAGCATAATGGCAGTCATTGGTAGCATTGAAAGAATATTTTCAGGAGATTGGTGAAGATGAAGGACTATTTTCAGTGGGTTCTAAAAAAAGGACAATCAGTTGGATATATCACATATGTAAAAAAAATTTTTTTAAAGAAAGAAACAGGACGAGGGTAAACGGAAACAGCCATTAACGTTAATGCTAGGAAACTCTGTTGTAAAAGGGAGCAGAGTAATTGGCAACAGCTAAGAGGGATCTTAGGATCTTTTTAAAGATGGGGGATATTTATAACATCCTTGTATGATGGAAACTAAATAAAAGAGAGTTTTCTTTCCTTCCTCCAGGTTTCAGGGCTCTGAATCCTATCTCAATTGTGAGAATGCTAAAAAGGTACATCTGTGATGTGACAGGTAAGATGGGGTCCTTTGGAGAGTCGCCTGCTTCTTCTTTCTGGCTTCAGGGAGAGAGAGAATAGCAAGGGCAAGGCTCGCTGGGCAGCTTAAATGTGGAACTGAGTTTGAAGAACATGTTCTTCATGCACCCTCACAGTCCACAAAATGACTTTAACCATCTTTTTATTCCCCTCCCACTGTTCCCTCAGCTGGAGTTTCAGCAGTTAAAGATATAAAGAAAAATGTTTAAATTCTAAAGAGCAGAAAGTCAATAGAAATAAAACTTCTGGGACAAAGCAGCCCCAGTTGCAGGCAGACCAAGTACTGCTGATTACCAGCAAGAAAGCCTTCATTGTAACAGGGATTTTACCCTTTCTTTGGCATTCCTAAGTAACAAAAGAGAAGTGCTGCAAACCAACGATAATTAGCAATAGTTTTATTCACACCAAAATCATTCTAATATGGTGCTTGAAAAAGCAAAATAATCTTTTCACTTAACAGAAAAAAACTGTACTATTTTTGAGCAACTGAAAGTCACGTCAATATATTAATTGAATGACCTATAATTGCTGCATTGTTCTGATGTTTATCTTAGACCCTGCATGAGTGGTTTTTCCTTGATGCTAATCCCATTAGAAGTAAAATGGACCGCAGTTTTGAATCTCTCTGTTCCTTAAAAAAAAAAAAAAGTTAATTGACAAGCTGTTTAATATGAGATGCCATTTTACAGATGACCAGATTGAATAATAAAAGAACTAAGGGGGAAAATGAGCTTTTACCTGTTTCACAGGTTTTAATATATATATATTCAAAAATTTTTCTAAAAGGGTAAAATAACCACCAATACCTTATGCATATAAAGATGAAGCAGATAAAAAGACCAAACGCAATAAGAATCTCTCATACTATACCACATTTATCTCAAAAATAATCTTTTTGTTGAGACCCTAATATCCTCCCCTTCCTCACCATCTCGAACATTCTCTCACCTCCTCTCTCCCTGCCTGCCTCCCTGAGAGGACTCTTACACACCACTCTTTGTTCTGTAAAGGAATGCCCGGAATGGACACAAGGTACTCTGTCTTGGAGCTCAGTGTCTTGATTTTAGAAGCTTGAAAGGGTATGAACTACAACCTAGGGGTCTGGAATGACAGGCAGGGCTACAAACTACAACATCAAGCTCCCTAATCCTTTTGAATATTAGAGGGAAGAATTGAGCCCTTCTTTGGAGCTTTTCCAACATCCATTACTATTTTTAGGTGGTTTCCAGGTACCTAATATATTCATTCCTATAGGCCATTCTATTTCTGAGAAATAGAAAAACAAAAGCCCCATTCACAGGCTAATTCTAAGTTTGTCCACAAGTAATGATTTCCATGCATCGTCACTGCAGAAATAATAAAGTGTCATGTCTCATGAAGATGATTTCTGGCTAAGCCTCATTTAATCTTTGATCACATGAAAACATTCTAATTTAAAGCAACTAATAACAGCTGTTATATATCTAATGCAACATTTAAAATAACTAAGTACTGCTATGACTAAATGGATTTCAGCAATGATCATCAATGGCTACTCACATCACAGACAGCTAGCTATCCTGTGTCTCCTAATGAAAATACACAGATTTATATAAAAAGTACTCTTGCCTTCCCTTGTTTCCCCACCAAGAAAATCCTTGCACCTGTTCAGTCCCCTAAATCAGTGGTTCTCAACTGGATGATTTGGCTCCTGGAGGACATTTGACAACGTCCAGAGACATTTTGGATTGTCACGACTGGGCAATGCTACAGACATCTAGTGGATAGAGGCCAGGGATACTGTTAGACATTCTACAATGCACAAGAAAGAACTGTCCGGTCCCAAATGTCATTAGTGTGAAGGTCGAGAAACCCTGCTCCAGGTCTAGCTACTAATTGCCAAGAAATACAGAGGACAGAGAATGTGTTAAAGGACATCAGGGGACACAATGAACACAAGCCAGACTGTGGGAAACTCCAGGACAAGTGACCTGGGTTTTTTTTTTTAACAAGTAAATTGCAAGGGGTAAAGAACAGAAATAGAAGGAAACCCCATAAATTGAAAGGCTTATGAGACATATCAACTAACTTGAACATAAAGATTTTATTTGGACTTTGATTTAAATAATCAAACTATAAAAAATAACAAGATGATTGGGGAATTTTAAAAACTGACTCAATATCTGATTATTTTAAAGAAGAGTTGTTTAATTTTTAGGTGTGATAATGATATTATGATTATGTTTCAGTCCTTATATTTTAGAGATAAATACTGAAATATTTACAGGTGGAATTATACAATGTCTAAGAAATACTTCAAAATAATGGGGAGAATAAAGAGAATAAATAAAACAATATTAGTTATGAGTTCATCATTGATGTAATTGAGTGATGCATACAAAGGGGTTCACTATACACTTCATGCTTCTTTTGTATATGTTAAAAAAAACCTTCCATACTAAAAAAGGTTTAGACAATAATATGTAAAAATAATAAAATAGCTAAGTAACCTTTAAACAAAAATAAGTTATACGTTTCTATTCCTAAAGCAAAATCTTTTAAGAGCACAGGCATATGGTTTAGACCTAGGTTAAAATCCTGGCTCCCCTACTCTTACATCTTGATAATCTTTACAATCTCTGTAAAACAGAGCTGGTCCTCATACCCACCTTGCAGCATTGACGTGAAAAGTGGGTAAGGTGGTGGCTGGTGCTCGGTGACTGGCAGTTCCCTTTCCCACTTTCCACAAGAGCTTTAAACAAAGAAGGAAAACAAAATGGGATCACTCCTGCAACCCATCCCCTATACTAGCATTTTCTAAGGACTTTGATCGAGGCCATTCATTTCCTTCTTGTATATATCTGACTGTGACCAGATCAAAGCACTAACAAAAGAATAAGAAGTTTCTTTTCTACATTTCCTCTGATTTCTGAGGTTTTTTTTTTTACACTGCTCCATAAATGAAACTTAGCTATAAATAAACAAGGTAGAGGGAAATAGGAAAGAATGCCTCACTGCAAAATCCCTTACATGCATGTGATTCATTTTAGGTCACAGTGTGCCCTGAAGGGTTCATGACTTGTATGATTCCAGAAACAGTAAGCCAAATTTGGTTTTCTTTCCTTAGTGAATCATTATTTCACCAACTATTTGTACTTAAATTTTTTTAAATAAAAAAAAACTTGATTAAAAATTCCTGCCCAGATATAATAACTTACAAAGCTCATTTCCTCTGCTTCGTTCCCTTTTACAGCAGCTACTTACATATTCGTATCCTGCCAGGTTTTTGCCAGAAGGTTCATTGGCAAAGTTGTGAGCCGGTTGTATTAGTGACTTTAGTCTTGGCTGCAAACATTCTGTTTCAGCTGACTTTTATTTTCCCCAAAGTAGCAGTTCCTTTAGTCCCACTGCATTTGCAATAAAGCACTCATTTTCATCTACTTGTAAATAAGGGATAAAGACACAGACTTTTGGCTGGTGGTACAGGCCTCTGGTGGTCTCTTAACTTGTACAAGATAGGACTTTCTCCTTCTGTAAATAAAGCCCTCCATGAAGAGCAATCACCAGACTTGGAACTAGAAGACAAATTAAGCCCTATCTCTACTATACAACCTCAAACAAGTCACGCTTCTCTTTGAAGTTTTTGTTTATTCATAAGAGATTATAATAGTGCCTGCCCTATTGTCCTCATAAAGGAACCTAATAGTAACAACTAGAATTTATATAATGCTCTGAAATTTATAAAATGCTACAAAATATAACATATGGTTTATCATTATTATTAATCAAAAATATCTTCTTCATTTGCCTAAATGAAGAACCTACTGTGTGCTTTACAAAGCACTGAAAGGAGAATCTTTGACCCCTAAACTTGCTATTCTGTGGCATCCAGACACACGCTACCATCTCTAAACTTGCCAGAGTTTAGTCTAAATTCTTTGCATAATTTCCAGAGTGAAGGTAAATCCAAAGTGGAAACACTGTAATGTCTTTCAAAAAATAAAGACATATGCACATGTATGTTTATTGTAGCACTATTTATAATAGCAAAGACTTGGAACCAACCCAAATGCCTATCAATGATAGACTGGATAAAGAAAATGTAGCATATATGCACCATGGAATACTACGCAGCCCTAAAAAGGAACAAGTTCATGTCTTTTACAAGGACATGGATGAAGCTGGAAGCCATCATTCTCAGCAAACTAACACAGGAATAGAAAACCAAACGCCACATGTTCTCACTCATAAGTGGGAGTTGAACGATGAGAACACATGGATACAGAGAGGGGAACGTCACACATGTATCCCAGAACTTAAAGTAAAATTAAAAATAAATAGATAAATAAGAATATTTCAGATGAAAATTAGAACAGAACTGTACTAGGAACTCTGCTAGGAAATGGAGAGACAATGGCAAATAGCACAGACATTTCTCCCAAAGAAAAATAACATGCAAGGGAGAAAGCACTGGAGAAGGGTCGTTTTTAAAAATGCACCATGTGGTCATGGTATGGATGGAAGCATAGGTCTTGCTTTTGCACATATACAAGTATATCTTCCATGAACAGTATAGTTTGAAATGTACAGTGACTAGAAACAATTTGCTTGCCATAATCAATGTATGTTAGCTCCTACCCTAGTCACAGCACCATATTGGGAAGTTTAGCAAAATTTACACAAGATAGTTCTTTTATCAGAAAGCATAAAATAAACCATTTGTATCAAAGGAAGGAATTTAGAGACAATCCAGAGAACTAAAATTAAATCAAAATTATAAAACAATAGAGGAGATATCCCGTGAGAATAGGCTAAAACTTGAATCTTCCGTTGGAGACATAATAACTGAAAAGTTTATGATCAAGATTTCTAAGGTACACAAAAATCTGCTCACCAATTAATGGAATACTGGGATAATTTCTTGAAGTTTGAAATATAAATTTAAGAGCAAACAAAAGGAAGTACAGTCAGGAACCGCATATGGCTCTTTCGGTCAACGACAGACCGCATGGACTACATGTACTACAGTGGTCCCCTAAGATTATAATACCATATTTTTGCTGTACCTTTTCTATGTTTACATATGTTTAGCTACATAAATACTTAACATTGTGTTCCAATTGCCTGTAGTATTTAGCACGGGAACATGGTGTTCAGGTTTGTAGCCTAGGAGCAACAGTATATGCCTAGGGTATATACTGTTTACCCTAGGTGTGCAGTAGGCTATACCATCCAGGTTTGTTTAACAACACTCTATCACGTTCACACAACAACAAAATTGCCTAATAATACATTTCTCAGAATGTGTCCCCCTCATTAAATGACACATGACTATATCTTTATACAGCACATAGTAAATTTATGAAATGCAGGACTGCACGAAAAGGCCTGTCAGAAATATATGTTATATGTATATATTAAAATATATATATATTAAAAACTCAAGGAACTTCTGGAAAAATTCATAAACGCTAGACTTGTAAGAACTTTTCAGAGAAACTAGGGGCCAGACACAGTGGCTCATGCCTGTAATCCCAGCACTTTGGGAGGCCGAGGCGGGTGGATCACCTGAGGTCAGAAGTTCAACACCAGCCTGACCAACATGGTGAAATGCCATCTCTACTAAAAATACAAAAATTAGTCGGGCGTGGTGGCGCATGCCTGTAATCCCAGCTACTCGGGAGGCTGAGGCAGGAGAATCGCTTGAACCTGGGAGGTGGAGGTTGCGGTGAGCCGAGAGCATGCCATCACACTCAGCCTGGGCAACAAGAGTGAAACTCCTTCTCAAAAATAAAAAATAAAAAACAGAAAGAGAGAGAAACTGTGGTATGCCTGAGATTAAAGACAATTATATGGACTATAGGACTGACACAGCAGACTAATTCCTATCTTCTCATATCCTAACACTTCTATATAAGCCTCGAAAGAGGAAGATTGTTCTTTACTTACCTGTTACTAGATAATGAACCATGATTGCACTTTCTTATTTTGGTGTGGTAATATTTATACATTATACATAGAATACTATGATTTATATGTCTTATTTTGTGGTGATCAGTTACAAAGAGATATAGTATGCTGCTGTTATAGGAAAAGACATTTTCAAAATGTAACACTTTTCCAAAGGTAATCTGAAAAATGTTGAGTTCATAAAAGCAGGAAAACTAGTGAGAAATTTGACCTAGAAACTTACTATAGCTGTGTAATAACAGTTAAAATTTACCAAACTTGATTCTGTACTCAATGTATTTAATTATCCTTCCTTTCAGAATCTATGTTCATGTTAAAAGTTTCTTACTATAAAAAATACAGAAACTTGATGCACTAAGGCAGGACACTCTTAGAATGTCTTGTTAAAAATAGACTCTTATCAGAACATCACCCCTAATCCACAAAAGAATCTGCCAAGAGATTGCAATAACAAGAGGCATATTGTAGGCATTTATGTCCATCAACAAATCTAACAAATTGATTAAAATGCCAAAGGGACAAGGGTGAAACCAAATACAGTGCAAGGACTAAAACAGACTCACGGCAGTCATTCTCATCAGCTCCATCGGGGCAGTCTCTGACGTGGTCGCACCTGTATTCACTTGGGATACACTGACCATTGGAGCATGTTATCTGATGACTTGAGCATGTACTTTGTGCTGCGAAGAGAAAAAATTATTACTTAATTTATAATTATTGCTAGACACAGACTAATCTATTGTCATTAACAAGGATATTGGAAAGCATAAAGTTCATAGGGACACAAGGTAAAGTACCTGGCTACCACCAAGCTGAGCTTACAAAGCAAAAACAGAAGTATAATGTTATCAAAATGCCCAGAGAATAGTGTCCACACTCAAGCATGCTATGTACACAATTACGTTATCAACATGTGTAAAGAATACAATATAGATTTTAAAACTATATGGTAAAAAGTTTAATGAAATAAAAATTTTGCAAGTATAGGTATTAACCAAGGACCCCCAACCCACCCATTGAAATCCTTGTATAAACAAGAAGGAAATATACCAAAGCTTTAATAGCAGTTATTCCAGAGTGGTGTGAATATGAATATGAGTGATTTTATTTTTTTCTATATAGTTTCCTCTATTCTATAAACTGCCTACATTGACCATGTATCAATTTTATAAAGAGAAAAAAATTTAAGCTAGCTTGATTTCATCCCATGTTGATTAGTATAGGTGAAAGCAGGGCATCAGCAGTTCATGAAATTTGCCTCCGGATAAAACAGATAAAATCCAGTGAACTGATGCCCGCAAGCATGATGTGAAAGCTATCCTGTAAATCTGAGGCAGGAATTACCATAACATGGTAACATTATCTTATCCTGGGATTTTAAATTGTCTACATACAAAGAGCTTTGGGGGAAAACGTGATCATCTAAAAAATATAATATAATCCCCTAATGGAAGAAAAAAGATTTGCTCTCAATTTTTACAAAACTTCTTTTTTTTATAATTCCTTTTTTATTATTATTATTTTACTTTAAGTTCTGGGGTACATGTGCACAGCGTGCAGGTTTGTTACATATGTATACATCTGCCATGTTGGTGTGCTGCCCCCATTAACTAGTCATTTACGTTAGGTGTATCTCCTAATGTTATCCTTCCCCTCTCCCCTACCCCACGACAGGACCCAGTTTGTGATGTTCCCCATCCTGTGTCCAGGTGCTCTCATTGTTCAATTCCCACCTATGAGTGAGAACATGCGGTGTTTGGTTTTCTGTCCTTGCGATAGTTTGCTCAGAATGATCGTTTCCAGCTTCATCCATGTCCCTACAAAGGACAGGAACTCATCCTTTTTTACGGCTGCATAGTATTCCATGGTGTATATGTGCCACATTTTCTTAATCCAGTGTATCATTGATGGACTTTTGGGTTGGTCCCAAGTCTTTGCTATTGTGAATAGTGCCACAAAAAACATATGTGTGCATGTGTCTTTATAGCAGCATGATTTATAATCCTTTGGGTATATACTCAGTAATGGGATGGCTGGGTCAAATGGTATTTCTAGTTCTAGATCCTTGAGGAATCGCCACACTGTCTTCCACAATGGTTGAACTAGTTTACAGTCCCACCAACAGTGTAAAAGTGTTCCTATTTCTCCACATCCTCTCCAGCACCTGTTGTTTCTTGACTTTTTAATGATCACCATTCTAACTGGTGTGAGATGATATCTCATTGTGGTTTTGATTTGCATTTCTCTGATGCTCAGTGATGATCAGCATTTTTTCATGTGTCTGTTGGCTGCATAAATGTCTTCTTTTGAGAAGTGTCTGTTCATGTCCTTTGCCCACTTTTTGATGGGGTTGTTTGTTTTTTTCTTGTACATTTGTTTAAGTTCTTTGTAGATTCTGGATATCAGCCCTTTGTCAGATGGGTAGATTGCAAAAATTTTCTCCCATTCTATAGGTTGCCTGTTCACTCTGATGGTAGTTTCTATTGCTGTGCAGAAACTCTTTAGTTTAATGAGATCCCATTTATCAATTTTGGCTTTTGTTACCATTGCTTTTGGTGTTTTAGACATGAAGTCCTTGCCCATGTCTATGTCCTGAATGGTATTGCCTAGGTTTTCTTCTAGGGTTTTTATGGTTTTAGGTCTGACATTTAAGTCTTTAATCCATCTTGAATTAATTTTTGTATAAGGTGTAAGGAAGGGATCCAGTTTCAGCTTTCTACATATGGCTAGCCAGTTTTCCCAACACCATGTATTAAATAGGGAATCCTTTTCCCGTTTCTTGTTTTTGTCAGGTTTGTCAAAGATCAGATGGTTGTAGATGTGTGGTATTATTTCTGAGGGCTCTATTCTGTTCCATTGGTCTATATCTGTGTTTTGGTACCAGTACCATGCTGTTTTGGTTACTGTAGCCTTGTAGTATAGTTTGAAGTCAGGTAGCATGATGCCTCCAGCTTTGTTCTTTTGGCTTAGGATTGTCTTGGCAATGTGGGCTCTTTTTTGGTTCCATATGAACTTTAAAGTAGTTTTTTCCAATTCTGTGAAGAAAGTCATTGGTAGCTTGATGGGGATGGCATTGAATCTATAAATTACCTTGGGCAGTATGGCCATTTCCATGATATTGATTCTTCCTATCCATAAGCATAGAATGTTCCTTCATTTGTTTGTGTCCTCTTTTATTTCACTGAGAATGGTTTGTAGTTCTCCTTGAAGAGGTCCTTCACATCCCTTGTAAGTTGGATTCCTAGGTATTTTATTCTCTTTGAAGCAATTGTGAATGGGAATTCACTCATGATTTGGCTCTCTGTTTGTCTGTTATTGGTATATAGGAATGCTTGTGATTTTTGCACATTGATTTTGTATCCTGAGACTTTGCTGAAGTTGCTTATCAGCTTAAGGAGATTTTGGGCTGAGACGATGGGGTTTTCTAAATATACAATCATGTCATCTGCAAACGGGGACAATTTGACTTCCTCTTTTCCTAATTGGATACCCTTTATTTCTTTCTCCTGCCTGATTGCCCTGGCCAGAACTTCCAACACTATGTTGAATAAGAGTGGTGACAGTTTTCAAAGGGAATGCTCCCAGTTTTTGCCCATTCAGGATGATATTGGCTGTGGGTTTGTCATAAATAGCTCTTATTATTTTGAGATACGTCCCATTGATACCTAATTTATTGAGAGTTTTTAGCATGAAGGGCTGTTGAATTTTGTCAAAGGCCTTTTCTGCGTCTATTGAGATAATCATGTGGTTTTTGTCTTTGGTTCTGTTTATATGATGGATTACGCTTATTGATTTGCGTATGTTGAACCAGCCTTGCATCCCAGGGATGAAACCAACTTGATCATGGTGGATAAACTTTTTGATGTGCTGCTGGATTGGGTTTGCCAGTATTTCACTGAAGATTTTTGCATCGATGTTCATCAGGGCTATTGGTCTAAAATTCTCTTTTTTTGTTGTGTCTCTGCCAGGCTTTGGTATCAGGATGATGCTGGCCTCATAAAATGAATTAGGGAGGATTCCCTCTTTTTCTTTTGATTGGAAAAGTTTCAGAAGGAATGGTACCAGCTCCTCCTTGTACCTCTGGTAGAATTCGGCTGTGAATCAGTCTGGTCCTGGACTTCTTTTGGTTGGTAGCCTCTTAATTATTGCCTCAATTTCAGAGCCTGTTATTGGACTATTCAGGGATTCAACTTCTTCCTGGTTTAGTCTTGGGAGGGCGTATGTGTCAAGGAATTTATCCATTTCTTCTAGATTTTCTAGTTGATTTGCATAGAGGTTTTTATAGTATTCTCTGATGGTAGTTTGTATTTCTGAGGGATTGGTGGTGATATCCCCTTTATCATTTTTTATTGTGTCTATTTGATTCTTCTCTCTTTTTTCGTTATTAGTCTTCCTAGTGGTCTATCAATTTTGTTGATCTTTTCAAAAAACCAGCTCCTGGATTCATTGATTTTTTGAAGGGTTTTTTGTGTCTCCATCTCCTTCAGTTCTGCTCTGATCTTAGTTATTTCTTGCCTTCTGCTAGCTTTTGAATGTGTTTGCTCTGGCTTCTCTAGTTCTTTTAATTGTGATGTTAGGGTGTCAATTTTAGATCTTTCCTGCTTTCTCTTGTGGGCATTTAGTGCTATAAATTTCCCTCTACACACGCTTTAAGTGTGTCCCAGAGATTCTGGTATGTTGTGTCTTTGTTCTCATTGGTTTCAAAGAACATCTTTATTTCTGCCTTCATTTCTTTATGTACCCAGTAGTCATTCAGGAGCAGGTTGTTCAGTTTCCATGTAGTTGAGCGGTTTTGAGTGAGTTTCTTAATCCTGAGTTTTAGTTTGATTGCACTGTGGTCTGAGAGACAGTTTGTTATAATTTCTGTCCTTTTACATTTGATGGGGAGTGCTTTACTTCCAACTATGTGGTCAATATTGAAATAAGTGCAATGTGGTGCTGAGAGGAATGTATATTCTGTTGATTTGGGGTGGAGAGTTCTGTAGATGTCTATTAGGTCTGCTTGGTGCAGAGCTGAGTTCAATTCCTGGAAATCTTTGTTAACTTTCTGTCTCGTGGATCTGTCTAATGTTGACAGTGGGGTGTTAAAGTCTCCCATTATTATTGTGTGGGAGTCTAAGTGTCTTTGTAGGTCTCTAAGGACTTGCTTTATGAATCTGGGTGCTCCTGTATTGGGTGCATATATATTTAGGATAGTTAGCTCTTCTTGTTGACTGGATCCCTTTACCATTACGTAATGGCCTTCTTTGTCTCTTCTGATCTTTGTTGGTTTAAAGTCTGTTTTATCAGAGACTAGGATTGCAACCCCTGCCTTTTTTTGTGTTTTCCATTTGCTTGGTAGATCTTCCTCCATCCCTTTATTTTGAGCCTATGTGTGTCTCTGCACGTGAGATGGGTTTCCTGAATACAGCACACTGATGGGTCTTGACTCTTTATCCAATTTGCCAGTCTGTGTCTTTTAATTGGAGCATTTAGCCCATTTACATTTAAGGTTAATATTGTTATGTGTGAATTTGATCCTGTCATTATGATGTTAGCTGGTTATTTTGCTCGTTAGTTGATGCAGTTTCTTCCTAGCCTTGATGGTCTTTAGAATTTGGCATGTTTTTGCAGTGGCTGGTACCAGTTGTTCCTTTCCATGTTTAGTGCTTCCTTCAGGATTTCTTGTAAGGTAGGCCTGGTGGTGACAAAATCTCTCAGCATTTGCTTGTCTGTAAAGGATTTTATTTGTCCTTCACTTATGAAGCTTAGTTTGGCTGGATATGAAATTCTGGGTTGAAAATTCTTTTCTTTAAGAATGTTGAATATTGGCCCCCCCTCTCTTCTGGCTTGTGGAGTTTCTGCCGAGAGATCAGCTGTTAGTCTGATGGGCTTCCCTTTGTGGGTAACCCGACCTTTCTCTCTGGCTGCCCTTAACATTTTTTCCTTCATTTAAACTTTGGTGAATCTGACAATTACGTGTCTTGGAGTTGCTCTTCTCGAGGTATGTCTTTGTGGCATTCTCTGTATTTCCTGAATTTGAGTGTTGGCCTGCCTTGCTAGGTTGGGGAAGTTCTCCCGGATAATATCCTGCAGAGTGTTTTCCAACTTGGTTCCATTCTCCCCGTCACTTTCAGGTACAACAATCAGACGTAGATTTGGTCGTTTCACATAGTCCCATATTTCTTGGAGGCTTTGTTCATTTCTTTTTACTCTTTTTTCTCTAAACTGCTCTTCTCACTTCATTTCATTCATTTGATCTTCAATCACTGATACCCTTTATTCCAGTTGATCGAAACGGCTATTGACGCTTGTGCATGCATCACGTAGTTCTCATGCCATGGTTTTCAGCTCCATCAGGTCATTTAAGGTCTTCTCTATGCTGGTTATTCTAGTTAGCCATTCATCTAATCTTTTTTCAAGATTTTTAGCTTCTTTGCGATGGGTTTGAACATCCCCCTTTAGCTTGGGGAAGTTTGTTATTACCGATCGTCTGAAGCCTTCTTCTCTCAACTCTCAAAGTCACTCTCCATCCAGCTTTGTTCTGTTGCTGGTGAGGAGCTGCGTTCCTTTGAAGGAGAAGAGGTGCTCTGATTTTTAGAATTTTCAGCTTTTCTGCTCTGGTTTCTCCCCATCTTTGTGATTTTATCTACCTTTGGTCTTTGATGATGGTGATGTACAGATGGGGTCTTGGTGTAGATGCCCTTTCTGTTTGTTAGTTTTCCTTCTAACCATCAGGACCCTCAGCTGCAGGTCTGTTGGAGTTTGCTGGAGGTCCACTCCAGACCCTGTTTGCCTGGGTATCATCAGTGGAGTCTGCAGAACTGCAAATATTGCAGAACAGCAAATGTTACTTCCTGATCGTTCCTCTGGAAGCTTCGTCTCAGAGGGGCACCTGGCCGTATCCGGTGTCAGTCGGCCCCTACTGGGAGGTGTCTCCCAGTTAGGCTACTCGGGGGTCAGGGACCCACTTGAGGTAGTCTGTCCATTCTCAGATCTCAAACTCTGTGCTGGGAGATCCACTACTCTCTTCAAAGCTCAGTTGGAAATGCAGAAATCACCCGTCTTCTATGTTGCTCACGCTGGGAGCTGTAGACTGGAGCTGTTCCTATTCGGCCATCTTGGAACCTCCCTCCTCTCCCAAAGCGCTAGGATTTGAATGCCACAATACATATTGATTCATGTTTTTGTCCATTAGTGGTCCGTGGGTATCTATAAATGAAGTCTATTTTAGAGTCCATAGATATCAGCGTTCTGCAAAACTGTCAGGGATCCGAGGCTCCCAGCCTACAGAGCTTCTTTTACTTATATGTAGTATAGATATTTAGGTTCAGCAAAACTTGGTTTTCTGATAAAATTAGATCTGTTAAGGAATGTACCCCCAAAACTTAACATGAAAAACCTTTTCAAACGACAAGTAAACCTGGCACAGTGGCTCGTGCCTTTAATCCCAGCTATGGGAGATTGAGGCAAGAAGATCACTTGAGGCCAAGAATTCAAGACTAGCCTGGGCAACATAGTGAGATCCTTATATCTTAAAAGAAAAAAAAAATAAATTTAGCTGGGCACAGTGGCTCACTTCCAAGTAGCTGTAGTCGTAGCTATTTGGAAGGCTGAGGTAGGAGGATCACTTGAGCCAAAAAAAACTTCTCTTTTTATGTAGTTAGAGTGAGCTATAATCATGCCACTGCACTCCAGCCTGGGCAGCAAAGCAAGACCCCTGTCTCTAAAAAAAAAAAAATATGTAAAAGATAAGTAGACAGTGACAGTTTTCAAGGTGGTACTTGAAAATTCAAACATATAGAAATTATCATGTGATAAGATATAATAATTATAAAACCATAATTAACACCCTTCTCCATGCTTAATTGATTATATCTTCCTTGTCATTTTGTTCCTTCTTTCTGTTTAATTAGCAAAATGGTGTCTTATAATTCTGGAACAGCAAACAAAATTTTTCAAGTCAGCCTACTTCTAACACTAAATAATTTCATATTTTCTCTAAGTACCTTATACCTGTGGGTCCAATTTTACTTCTATTAATAAAGGCAGAATAGATAGATTTTTCCAGAAGGCACTTAAGTGTCTGAATTCTGCCCATGGCAGAGACACAATTTTATCTGAAAAAGGTTAAAGAGATTAATACTTCCTCATTAAATTTCCAAATAATTTATTTAAGTATATATTGCCAATTTTCACATAAAATTAAAGAACTTTCTTTTATTCCCGAGAAGGCAAGTCATGGGTTGTCTCAAACAAAATATGAAAAGAACCTGGGTCAGGTATCAGTGCTCGTTCAATTACCTTGGCTTTCTTCTTTACGTCAAGCCCAAATAATTCTAAATGTTGTGCTTAGGTTTTCAAAGGGCTTACGAAGAAGCAATTAAAAGCTCATTCAAATGTAGAGAGCAAACAAATTAAAATTATATAATTCCATCAACCTATCTAATGCTGAGATTCATCTATTCATTAATTACACAAACATCTGTTGAGGGCCTATAATGTACCACACAGTATAGCAATATGGGGATCTGCAAATGAATAAGGCACAATCCCTACCCTCAAGAAGCTCATAGTCTTCTAGGGGACACTAAGGAGTAATTAGAAAACAATTATGAAAGTGGATTATAGGCACACAGGAATGATAGAACCATCAATCCAGGAACTTAATTCACTCTGGGATGGGAGCATGGATGGGGACAGTTTCCTTGAAAAAGTGACACCTCCCTGGGTCTTAAAGAAGCAGCAGTCAGGTAGGCCAAAAGCAAAGAAGGACTGTCTAGAACCGAGCATTCAGCATTCAGCCAGCTTGCACGGAGACAAAAGGCTAGGACACAGCATGGCACACCCACAGGAACTAAAAGCACTGCTGTGCCCAAGTGGCCACTTCAAGGCAAGAATAGCAAATGATAGACATAGGAAAATAAGCACTAGTCACATCTTGGAAGCCACTGTAAACCGTGTTAGGGAATTGGAACTTTCTCCTGGAATTAATGGAGAGCTACCAAAGAATCTTAGTTAGATCAGCATCAGTGTCAGAGAGAATCTAAGGATCCACAGAACTGGAGGCAGGGAGGCCAACCCAGAGACTACTGCTGACACCCAAATGAGAGATGTTGGCAGTGGGAGCAGAAATAAAGAGATGGGTCAGACATGGTGGCTCACACCTATCATCCCAGCACTTGGGGGGCCAAGGTGGGTGGATCACTTCAGGCCAGGAGTTGGAGACCAGCCTGGGCAACATGGGAAAACCCCATCTCTACAAAAAAAAAAAAAAAAAAAAAAAATACAAAATTAGCCAGGTATGGTGCCATGCGCCCGTAGTCCCAGCTACTCTGGAGGCTGAGAAGTGGGAGGACCATTTGAGCCCAGGAGGTCAAGGCTACAGTGAGCCATGATTGCACCACTGCATTCCAGCCTGGGCAACAGAGCAAGACCCTGTCTCAAAAAAAAAAAAAATCTGTCCTTGCCAAAAAATAAAAATAAAAGAGAGAGAAATGAAGAGATTAACTTTAGAAATATTTATGAGGCAAATTAGGCAGGAGTTGGTGATTCAATGTGGGCAGTGAAAAAGAGGAAGGAATCAAGAATAACCTCCAAGTTTCTAGCGTGGGTGCCTAGGGGATTGTGATAGCCTTTTCATGTTAATTGATTATATCTTTCCTGTCACTTACAGCAATCTTTCTTCTTCATCTAATAAAATACTTTCATTATGAAATATGTTTCACAAATTCAACAAGTAAGAGAGCCTCCATCTGCCTATTTCCAATAGTTTAAGACTGATTTTGTATTTTCTGCCAGTGCCTCATAGTGGGTTAAATGCTATTTCTATTAATAAAGATAAAATATGTAGACTAGCAAATATAGAAGGAAAATCCAGTTCAGGAGGGAAGATGATTATTTTCAGTTGGGACACCTTGAGTTCAAGGCAACTTGCAGAGGTCCAAAGGTAGTTGAGTATACAAGACTCAAGTGTGGGCAAAAATCTGGGTTGTAAACACAGATTTAAGTCTCATCAGGCCACAGAGGGTCACTAAAGTCATGAGAATGGTGAGACTATCCTGAGAGTGTCCAGAATGAGAAAAGCTGCTCAGGGCAGGGCTCTGAGCAACACCAATACTCAAGGGCTGAGTAGAAGAGGAAAATAAAATGGAATGACCAAAGCAGCTCAAAAGAGAGCCAGGACTGCTGGGAGTCATGGCAGCCAAGGGAGTGGTGTCAAGAAGGAGGAATGGTCTCCAGAGTCAAGTGCAATCTAAATGCCCATCCAGTGTGAGAAGGAAGGAAAAGTGCCCATTGGCAATCAGGAGTTATCTGGTAACTTTAGTGAATACAGAGGTGGCATATTTTGTTTGTGGTTAAAAGATATCTAATGGAGAATTTTTATATCATTAAAAATGGGAGAATTGCCTCATGAAATGTATAGTCATTTAAAATGATATGCAATATTGTTTTAAAATGACTGCTATAAACTTATCTCCAGTCTCTTTTCCCAAGCAGTTGCCCTTAGTAGTTCCAATCCCCTCTGTAAAGTATTATTATTAGCAAAGGGTCATCCACCACACATTGAATCGCAAAATAAAGCTCAGCTTTCTTCCCACTCTGTGAGAGGAGTAAGAGAAAATAGACTCAAAACTATATAGCCTAAAGATGAACAACCCATCATTTATGCATTTAGTATCTATCTATTAAGAACCTCCTCTCTGCCTGAGAGAATGTCAGGCCTTCAGGATGCAAATTTTGAGACTTGAGCAGCTTTTATGCAATCAAGAAAGGCCAATAGGATAAATATGGCAGAGCAAAAAAGTGAGAAAAAGCTGGATAATATTTCTGAGCTGGGAATTAATCAACCCTGGAACAACCCTATAGTTAGGCTTCTTATTATGTGAGATAATAAATCCCCTTTTTGTTTAACTTTTTTGAGTTGTGTTTTCTTTCCTTGCAGCCAAAAACATCCACAATGATACAAGAATGATTTTAAATTATACAAATATCCTTAATAGAGAAAGGAATGGAATGATACATGTGATAGACAAATTGCTCATAGGTCGCCATCTTATATTTACCCAACATTACTTCTCATCTAAAATTATTTTCAGGCCAGTCATGGGGGGGTCATGCCTATAATCCCAACATTTTGGGAGGCCAAGGCAGGAGGATCACTTTAGCCCAGGATTCCAGACCAGCCTGGGAAACGTAACAAGATCGTGTCTCTACAAAAAATTTAAAAATTAGCTGGGCATGGTGGTGCACACCTATAGTCCCAGCTACTCAGGAGGCTTAAGCAGGAGGATTACCTGAGCCCCGGTGTTTGAGGCTGCAGTGAGCTGTGATCGCACCACTGCACTCCAGCCTGGGTGAGAGAGTGAGACCCTGACTCTAAAAATAATAATAAAATAAAAATAAATAAAATAAAATTATTGTTAGACCTATTAAAACAGTCTTTTCCAGTCTGATTCCAAAGAAATTAGAATTTAAAGGTTTTTTCCAGGTTACTGAACCAAACCCCCTCAATGTCCAGGGATGCCGCAGTTGCCAAGATCCGCTTCATCGCTACTATTTTCTTTCTTGTTCAAGCTCTCCCTATGGTGGCTGTGGCAGCAGTCACTGAAGTAACCACCAAGAAGCCCTCCAACAAACCTACCTACTTCCACTCAGTCAAAAAGAAGAGAATTTAATATTGGGGCAGAAGGAGTGGAAGGTTTGAATACAAAGTATGCCACAGAGCCAAAGGACTCATTCAGCTGTCAACCACACACATGAAGACACCCAGCTATACACTCCAATAAATATTTGGTTCCTTTCTTGAGCATAACATAATCAAAATTAAAGATTGGGAACCTATCTCACTTCCAAATTGCTGGGGTATATTCATAATTCTTCAGTACATCCGTACTTTCAATATCATCCAACCCCTGAATGAGATTGCTGGCATAGGTTCCCTTATGATTTAAGGCCCTGCTCCACATTTATAAAGAATCATCCCATTGTGTGTAACTTCTTTGCGACAGGTTGGGTTTTAGGTGTCCACAAAGCCAAAGCAAGATTCCTCTCCAAACACTTACAGCAATCTTGACGTTCATCTGAGCCATCATCACAGTCTTGATCTTGGTCACACACCCAGGAGTTGGGGATGCATTGTCCCTCACTCTGGCACTTGAAATAGCCCTGCTGGCAGGTCACAACAGCTAAAACAAACCAAAAGAGGACTCATTATGGCAATCATCCTCCCCATTATACTAGCAAGCAATGCTTGTTCCAGAAGAGTGTATCATGTAAACTCCTGCTCAATTTATTTGAAGGCAAATAGTAAACAACCCTTATACTAGAGTCTGTGGACGCCAGTCAGAGTTCACTGTCAAATAAGCTCAGCAACAGCATCACAACAAACTCATGAACCAAAGCAACTTAAAAACACAGAGAATAAAACAAACAGCACACATACACACAAAAAAATTATGATAAAGGTATTAGATTAAAAGCTTCATTCAAGTAAACATTAACTGTGAGTTACTGTTAAACTATTTGTTTCATAATAACTAATAGTAAAGTATCATGATGAACTGGAAAATTCATGAGATTTGGGAAAGAAAACCCAAAATCAAATAATTATTATTTCCATGATTTACTTCCTTTAAGATCTTTGGCAGGTTCTCTGAACCTCAATGTATGCATCATAAAATGGGGACTATACTCATCTCACTGTTTGTTGTGAAAAATAAGTTAAATAATGTATGTGAAAGCGCCATGTAATGTTACTTGCTATCACTATCGTCATTGATATTGTTGTTATTGTTATTATTTTTACAGGTCAATAAAATATAATACAGGTAACAATCTCTGAAGAGTTGTTGGCATAGCTGTTCACTTATTCCTTTACCCCAGATACACTGCCCTTGCCTTTTTGCTTTTATTGTTTAATCAAAATGAACTCAGTAAGCCCAGAGGAGGCAAATAGTTAGCACATGATTGTGTCTCTACAAATATAGTTTAGTCCCTTGTTCAAAGTGCAGTCCACAAACTAGCAGCATCAACATCATCAGGAAGTTTATAGAAACGCAGAAGCTGAGGTCCCACCTCAAAATATGGAATCTAAATTTGCACTTTAATGAGCTCCTGGGTGATCCATTTGTGCATGAGTATTTGAGGAGCACTGTACAGAACCCCATCCTTACCCTTCCTCCCATTTTCAAATGCGTTGTCATCTAAATGACACACCAAAGTTTGACTGCTATGGTATGCCATAACATGGCCAACAATTCAAAACAAAAATTTTTCACCTGCTTTCCTGATTTTTGAAAGATAACCCTCATTAGTTCACCTGCTGGGATGAAGGAAATTGCAGATGTATGATTGATCACCTATGGGAAGTTGGGAAGAGCAATGGGATCTGTGCATAGACTTACCAACTGTAAGAACTTTAATAAATGACTTAACTTCTCCGAGTCTCAATTTACTAATCTGAAACCGACCTCAGAAGATTAGTGAGAAAACTAAATGACAAAATGAATGTGAAAGTCATTTTATAATTAATTAGATTTGAAGTTTACTACATTATCGTATTTTTCAAATTTTTTAAAACTAGAATTTTTAAAAAACATAAATCACACTAACCAATTCTGTGATTTCTTTATGGTAATTGACACAAGTTATTCTACATCCTTTACATAAAAATGGACTCCTCTTTGACTTACAAATCACAGTAGTTCAGATAACATTATTTTTTGTTTGTTCTTGTGGGTACACAAAATTTACAGAGTGAATATTAGAAATAATCACCTACAGACTCCAGAAAACTGCACCCAAATATGTTTCCATATCAAAGTTGTGGTCAAGGGATAAGGGTGAGATAGAAACTGATGCTCTATCATCAATGTGAATTGAACCCCTACCTCAGAAGGGAGTGAAATTATTGTTAATGCCATCAGTTCTCTATTCAACCACACAGATCTCAAAAGACTTGGGCCCAGACCTGGCTCTGTCACTAAAAGGCATAGCTCTTCTCTTTGTTACAGCTGAAATCACCAGGAAGCACTTAGGTTACTCAAAATAGAACTTAGCCTGGCCCCTCCTCACTTACCGCAGCCAATTTCATCCGCGTCATCTGAACAGTCTTTGGTCCCATCACACCTCCAGTCTGCAGGGATGCAATGCCCACTTCCACAGCGAAAATGCGCACTGTCACATTCTGCAATAATAGACAGAAATTTTAAAAACTTATGCCATGCAGATATTTAACCGAAGAAATATAAATTTTTGATAAAATGAAAAATTATTCAACTAATTAGATAATCAAAGAAATGCAAATTAGAAAATTAGGTAAACATTCTCCCAATGATAATATAAAAATATTTATTTGAACATCCGTGGGAAGAAAGTGATTTTCATACACAGTTGATTAGTGTGTATCTTGATGGAACTCATTGGGAAAGCAGTTTGACAACACGTATCTTGCTTTTTAAAAATACTTGATCTTTAATTTAGTACTTTTACTTCAAGGATTTTTTTCCTAAGGAACTAATCAAAGAAGTAGACAAAGATTTATGTATAAAGATTTTCATCGCAACATTATTTATAACAAAGGAAGTTGCAAACCTCCTAAATGTCCAACAATAAAAGGATTAAATTTGTTTACATCTTTATATTGACATATTAGTAACTTAAAAAATGGTTATGGAGAAATTCTAAGTACTTAGAGAAATACTTATAATTTAATGTAACAAAAACAAGGACGTAAATTTTTACTGATAACAGAGTTACATATGCAAAAAAAAAAAAAGCGTAAAAAAGACCAGAATGTTAACAGTGGTTATCTCTGATTGATAACATCGTGAGTAACTTTTCATTTGCTTGACTATACTTTCTTGAGTTCCTCACCTTATTTTTTAAGTGATTTTTTATTACTAAATCATATATAGCAAGTTATGGCCTTTCATTCTTAGATTCAGACTAATATTTTGTCTTAATTTTTAAAAATTAAATTATAACTTGCCAGATCTATAAGCTCATCTCTGCAAACAATTTTTTTTAAACCAAAGAGCCAAAAACAAAACAAAACAAAATCTCTGCAGCCAACAAGAGTATACAAACTTGACACCAAAAGTTGACACCCCAAGTGGCAGTGATAGTCCCTAGTGATACTGGAAGGACAATATAACTTAAACAAGCTCACTTCACTGAACTAATATATCCTGTGATTTTCCTAGGTCTCCCCAAGGGACAAAGTTCCCCAAATACCTGGCCAGTGACCTTCCCAAGCATTATGTGCCACATAGAAAAATTTTTCAAAGAAAGCAGCCACTACCAGCCCCACTTAGAGAAGACTCAAAATTATTTTATTCTTTCACAAACCCAAGGGATAAAGGAGAAATTTTTGCAGTTGGAAGAATAATTATATCTTCCCCATGTATTTAAGCAATCATGCTAAATTACCCATTTCAATTTTTGGCTAATTAACCAAAATTAGGTAAATATACAGATCAAGTACCTACTCCTAAAATAAATAAGCAATGTGCTATCCTGATTTGTGTAAATGCAGGCATATCAACAGCATGACATAAACATAGTTAAGTGATCTATTTCTAGGGTATATAGGCTACTTTGTTCATGGAATGTTCAAATCTGATTGTCTGGTAGTGACATCCTGATTTATAATGTATGCTGCAAATGGTCAGAAACTTCGCTTGGCTAAATGGTGGTACCGAGTGGTACAGGAGTACGTACACCCAAATACCTTCTATAGACTAATGCATGATGGTGGTTGGTGGTGCAGGTCTGGGGTTGGTGGTGCAGGTCTCTTATCAACTACCTTTAAAACACAACAACCTCCCTTGCAAAAATGCCCCTAAGGAATGTACAAATTCACTCTGGAATCCCAGAACTTCTCATTGGATTTTGTTCTACAAAGCAATATTTCCATGGGAGATTAGGGGCTTTGGAGGTTTAGCTATTAACACAACATATATTAAATCACTTTTATCAATTAGGTCTATTGTTAGTAATCCAACATAATACATTTGTAAGTTCAGTACATTTGTCTCCCTTAGTATCTGAGGTTGTAAAGGTAGTATCTTCTGGTTGAAAAATTATAACAATCATAAAGAACAGTCCTCTTACAGACAGTTTCATATTGCTATGGAGAAAAGAAAAATATAAATTTAGAGACTGAGTATTTAGGAGGAAATTATCAGAACAATATATATTGCCTGTTTTGAAAATATATATAATTAATGCTATTTCTTAAGCAACTTTTATTACAAGTCCCATTTTTGAGGAGTGGGGTGGGGGGATTTGTTTGTTTTTGCCAAACTAAAATACCAAGTTAAACACATCATGAAAAGAACACAAAATAGAGACTCAAAAGTCATTTTATAAAACACTTCAAAGTCAATTATTTAAAATCACACATATGAAAAATGAAACTGATGGGGAAATGTTGCAATTAACTAATTTTTATAGGTAGTGATTTTCACACTTGATCTCCTCACTCCATTATCTAATATATCAAATCCAATTTACTCAATTTATCAACAGATCTATAATTCATTTGTCAAATTCACCTTTTCAGTAGTAACTTCGATGCCTGTTTATAACTCCCAAACGACTATTGTTTGGAAATATCTCTCCAGAAAAAACAAACTGATACTTTATCATTGCTGGGTGACCTCTCAGCCATCAGCCAAAATGCTTCACTGGCCTCAGAAGCTCATTCTCTCATAAAGGGAATATGTGTTGTTTAAAAATAAACCAAAAATAAACCACTAGTGAAAAGGTCTAGATTAGGTCTAATAACAATTGCAGGTGCCCCTTACTTCAATTAGTCTATATGCAATTTATTTTGAGTGTTTTGTTTTAAATAAGTAGCCTTTACTCACAAGCCCTCCAAAAGTTTTATCTAGATATTATCTACATTTTGTTATTTATTTGAAGATTTAAAAAAAAAAAAAGCTAAGGGGATGATTTCATACATTGGAGCCACCCACAGGGAGAAAAAAAAAATCTACATAGAACCAGCTTTAAAACTTTGTTCAGAAAATAGTCTCAAAACTGCCACATTCAACCAATCCAGTTTTAGCCAAGAAGTAATCTTGCAAATAATCATTTATGTAACTTTAAAACATTCTCCAGGAGCCTCTCTGGTTTGGGGGCTGCCTGATTAAAAAAAAAAAAAAATCCCTCTAGTAAAAACCAAGGAGGAAAGGAGGAAAATACAATCCACATTGAAATAAAAACCTTTTGTTAAGAACCAGGCAATCATCACAAAGGAACCATCGGAACCAAATGAACACCCTATCTCTCCAGCACTAGCCCCTGTCTGTCCCATCAATCAGAATAGATGGTGCAAAGATGAAAAGAAGTACTCATATAGCACTTAAATGGCACACACCATTCTAAGTGCTCTGCCAACATTAGCTCATTTAATCCTCATAATAACCCTATGAAATAGATACTGTTATTATGAATATTTTACAAATAAATAAATTGAAGCACAGAGCAATTCGGTAACTTGCCCAAGATCCAACAGCAAATATGTGCAAAGCAAGGATTTGAATCTGACAGCTCTGATTCCAGCATTCGTGCTACTTGACCACTACTCTATGTTCCCTTTCACCAAAAAAAAAAGTTTATTCCACTAAACTCAAGAATGAATGTAAAAATCTGATTTTTTTCCCCCAAAGCTGCTCTCAATTAACATTAATTGAGTTCATTATTGGGCTGGCATAGAATCCATAGTGCTTATATACTTCAGTTGGAGAAAAAGAGTAGTTTACTTGGTGACTAACATAGCATTAAAAAATTATTGGGCTTAGGAAAAATTGCAGCAATTGAAAGCAATGCAAAAAAAATTTAAGCGTTTTGAAATCGGTAGTAAAATTTTATTAGACATAGGAATAAACTTGTTTTCCAACCTCATAAAGAGCCCAAAGCTAGGGGAAAAAAAAAAAAAAAGAGTAATCCTTTCTTCATAAGTAGCCATATCCCAAGCTTCCTGGGTAAGTGTTGGACTAAGAATGTGTTAAGATAAGATATTAGAGTAACAGATAGCGCCCAGAGAAGAGGAGTCATTTGCCTGTTTGTTTTCCACAGCAAGGAACAACACTGGATTGAGAGCATTCCTCTGTGTCATTTACAGCCTCTGGCACAGCACCGGGTGCTTATGGAATAGCTAATGCATGTTCGTCAGGAAGTGTAGAATTCTCTTTGTAAAACTCAGCCTGCTGAGACCATTATATATCAGAGATATAGAAAGCTATCAGAGCAAACAATGAGACTTTAAATAGAAATTTACCATCTTAAATCCATAGAAAGAAAAATGGAATCTGGAATAATCTGAAAAAAGGGGAATATCTAGAAGTTTTTTTCAAAAAAAAAAAAAAAGAAAGAAAAAAACATTGAGTCATATTAATAGCAGTTTCATTCTTTTACCCGTTCCTTGTAAGTTTCTTTCTCCTTCCATAAATTCTATTCTTATAAGACAAAGACAAGTGGTAGTCAATGGAACATTGTCCAAAGTTAACAGAGTAAGGTAATTTCTGTGGCAAATCCTATTTCCCCGCTAGATCCTCTTAACACATGCTGGTCCTTCCAAACACTTGGTCTACCTGAGGAGGTACAGTCCTCTTTTTAAAAATTTGTATGAGTAAATCACATTTTAATAGTTCCACCTTCACTGAACTCAAAGAAACAAACAAATTTAAGAGGCAATTCCTTAACTTATCCATAATTTTTGCTTCACTTTTTCTATACTTAATTTTGATTCCTTTGGTATGGATAGACATCCTTCTGATATTCATAAGTTGGCTGACAGTTCACTACAATTCCCATACCTTGCCCACATAAACAAGGCCAGTCCCCTTTTGAAGATTTAGAGTCACCTGCTTATTTCCAAAACTTTACACTATAGTGATGATAGCCAAGGGTAACAAATTGTATGGAGCACTCTACCCTGTCTAGTGTCAAATTGATAGAATAGTCAAGGATTCAGTTAATGAAACTGAAACAAGACAGGAACAGCAAACCAACCTGCTAGTCTCTTTCTGTGCAACATTTTAACTGTCTGGTTTTCCTTACAGATCATCAAATAGGTGGCAGGAATTCTTTTGGGTTTTTTTTTTAATCCAGTTTACAAACCACTGAATAGACTGCTTTGTCCCAATTATTGATTCAGAGCCCTGATGTTTTCTTAGAGCAAAACAATACTATAAGGACATTTCAAGAAGTCAAAGATTTGGGGACAAAACCCACAATGCAAATTGATGCATTATCATGTAGACACATCATTTAAGTGCAAAAATAAATGAATAAATAAATAAGGACCAAAAGAATATGATGCCAGATTCACTAAAGCCACAAATAAATTCATAACTACTATATGCAATTGTCCTAGGATCAGTGGAAGAAAAAAGAAAAATAAGATATGGTCCTTTTTTGCTCTGCCTCTCCCTCTCCCTCTCCCTCTCCCTCTCCCTCTCCCTCCCCCTCTCCCCTCTCCCCTCTCCCCTCTCCCCTCTCCCCTCTCCCTCTCGGTCTCCCTCTCCCTCTCTTTCCACGGTCTCCCTCTGATGCCGAGCCGAAGCTGGACTGTACTGCTGCCATCTCGGCTCACTGCAACCTCCCTGCCTGATTCTCCTGCCTCAGCCTGCCGAGTGCCTGCGATTGCAGGCGCGCGCCACCACGCCTGACTGGTTTTCGTACTTTTTTGGTGGAGACGGGGTTTCACTGTGTTGGCCGGGCTGGTCTCCAGCTCCTAACCGCGAGTGATCCGCCAGCCTTGGCCTCCCGAGGTGCCGGGATTGCAGACGGAGTCTGGTTCACTCAGTGCTCAATGGTGCCCAGGCTGGAGTACAGTGGCGTGATCTCAGCTCGCTACAACCTCCATCTCCCAGCCGCCTGCCTTGGCCTCCCAAAGTGCCGAGATTGCAGCCTCTGCCCGGCCACCACCCCGTCTGGGAAGTGAGGAGCGTCTCTGCCTGGCCGCCCATCGTCTGGGACGTGAGGAGCCCCTCTGCCTGGCTGCCCAGTCTGGAAAGTGAGGAGCGTCTCTGCCCGGCCGCCATCCCATCTAGGAAGTGAGGAGCGCCTCTTCCCGGCAGCCATCCCATCTGGGAAGTGAGGAGCGTCTCTGCCCGGCCGCCCATCGTCTGAGATGTGGGGAGCGCCTCTGCCCCGCCGCCCCGTCTGGGATGTGAGGAGTGCCTCTGCCCGGCGGCGACCCCGTCTGGGAGGTGAGGAGCGTCTCTGCCCAGCCGCCCCGTCTGAGAAGTGAGGAGACCCTCCACCCAGCATCCGCCCCATCTGAGAAGTGAGGAGCCCCTCCGCCCGGCAGCCACCCCGTCTGGGAAGTGAGGAGCGTCTCCGCCCGGCAGCCGCCCAGTCCGGGAGGGAGGTGGGGGGGTCAGCCCCCCGCCCGGCCAGCCGCCCCATCCGGGAGGGAGGTGGGGGGGTCAGCCCCCCGCCCGGCCAGCCGCCCCGTCCAGGAGGGAGGTGGGGGGGTCAGCCCCCCGCCTGGCCAGCCGCCCCATCCGGGAGGGAGGTGGGGGGGTCAGCCCCACGTCCGGGAGGGAGGTGGGGGGGTCAGCCCCCCGCCCGGCCAGCCGCCCCGTCTGGGAGGGAGGTGGGGTCAGCCCCCCGCCCGGCCAGCCGCCCCATCCGGGAGGTGAGGGGCGCCTCTGCCCAGCCGCCCCTACTGGGAAGTGAGGAGCCCCTCTGCCGGGCCAGCCACCCCGTCCGGGAGGGAGGTGGGGGGATCAGCACCCCGCCCGGCCAGCCGCCCCGTCTGGGAGGGAGGTGGGGGGGTCAGCCCCCCGCCCGGCCAGCCGCCCCGTCCGGGAGGGAGGTGGGGTCAGCCCCCCGCCCGGCCAGCCGCCCCATCCGGGAGGTGAGGGGCGCCTCTGCCCAGCTGCCCCTACTGGGAAGTGAGGAGCCCCTCTGCCGGGCCAGCCACCCCGTCCGGGAGGGAGGTGGGGGGCTCAGCCCCCTCCCGGCCAGCCGACCCATCCGGGAGGGAGGTGGGGGGATCAGCACCCCGCCCGGCCAGCCGCCCCGTCCGGGAGGGAGGTGGGGGGGTCAGCCCCCCGCCCGGCCAGCCGCCCCGTCTGGGAGGTGAGGGGCGCCTCTGCCCGGCCGCCCCTACTGGGAAGTGAGGAGCCCCTCTGCCCAGCCAGCCGCCCCGTCCGGGAAGGGAGGTGGGGGGGTCAGCCCCCCGCCCGGCCAGCCGCCCCGTCCAGGAGGGAGGTGGGGGCGTCAGCCCCCCGCCCGGCCAGCCGCCCCGTCCGGGAGGGAGGTGGGGGGGTTAGCCCCACGTCCGGGAGGGAGGTGGGGGGGGGTCAGCCCCCTGCCCGGCCAGCCGCCCCGTCCGGGAGGGAGGTGGGGTCAGCCCCCCGCCCAGCCAGCCGCCCTGTCCAGGAGGTGAGGGGCGCCTCTGCCCAGCCGCCCCTACTGGGAAGTGAGGAGCCCCTCTGCCGGGCCAGCCGCCCCGTCCGGGAGGGAGGTGGGGGGGTCAGCGCCCCGCCCGGCCAGCCGCCCCGTCCGGGAGGGAGGTGGGGGGGTCAGCGCCCCGCCCGGCCAGCCGCCCCGTCCGGGAGGGAGGTGGGGGGGTCAGCCCCCCGCCCGGCCAGACGCCCCGTCCGGGAGGTGAGGGGCGCCTCTGCCCGGCCACCCCTACTAGGAAGTGAGGAGCCCCTCTGCCCAGCCACCACCTCGTCTGGGAGGTGTACCCAACAGCTCATTGAGAACGGGCCGGGATAAAAAAAAAAAAAAAAAAAAAAAGAAAAAAAAAGAAATAAATAAATAAATAAATAAAAAGATATGGTCCTTTTTTGACAGAGCCTATAAGTTTATTGGGGGCAAAAGTGATTTATATGTTATAAATTAAATATCCATGCAATAACAACAGCTGATATTGTTTACTGAGTACCTACTATGTGTTATACAATATATAAAGCTTTATACATATCCACTGGATCCTCTCAGAACTGTATGATGTGAGATTTATACTTATTTAATAGAAGGGGAACCTGAGCCTCAGTGACATTAACCAACTCCCCCAAGGGCCACAAAGGTAGAAAATGTCGAAGTCTGATTTAGCCCCAGGACCTGTGTGACTCCAGAGCCTGTACTTATTTCATCATTTCATGTCCTGCAAAGCAAATGACAGCATTTGTTCACCCAGAACTTGCCAGCAATATTTTAAGTGCTTCCCATGCATTACCTTACATATCCTCACAACAGCTTTGTGAGATGGTATCAATGGCCCCATTTCATAGATGAGGACGACAAGGCTTGAACAAATCTCACAGCTAGTAGGTAGTGGAGCACAGATTTACACTGAGGCAGTCTGATTCCAAAGCTATGCCTCTGACAACAGACAATTTGGTTCCAAATAAGCAATGGAGATAATAAAAACTAACTGACTTTGGCGAAAAAAATAACACTACAGGCCGGTGTCATCAGAGAAGTCTTCACAAAGAATTATAAGACTACACTGGGTCTTTGTGAATGAGCAGGATTTGGGAAGGTGAAGAGGGAGACCAGGCTTTGTGTGTAGGGTCAAAACAACTTGACAGGCCAGGCGTGATCACTCACGCCTGTAATCCCAGCACTTTGGGAGGCCATGCCAGGCAGATCACTTGAGGCCAGGAGTTCAAGACCAGCCTGGCCAACATGGTGAAACCTGTCTCTAAGAAAAAAAAGAACAAAAACTTGACAGAAGCTTAGCATGGGTGAGGGTCTAATAAGTATGACCCAAGCAGTGATGACCTCTTGGAGAGTGGTAGGCAACAAGGCTGAGAAGATGGAGAAAAAGAGCTTTCAGTGCCAAGCCAAAGAGTGCCTGTCAAATGAGTATGAGGGTGATTACTCAGACAATAACTGCATTAAAAGTGAAGATCACTCTGAGTAGGTAAAGCCTGAACTAGCATACAGACTTTGACCATGAAAAGAGCTTGGAGCTCCACTTCAATCCCCAGAACCTCACCCCAACCCTGAGCCCAGTGAGCAGGCTGGTAGGTGCAGGCAAGAGGCTGCTAGCAGAGAAGGGTCTCACCTTGCAGCCCCTCCAGCTGCCCCAGAAGCATCCAAAGCAGGTCCGCTTGCATGGCAAACTACGAACAGGTTCCATGAGGGAGGGGTCCCCAGTCCCTGGGCTACAAACTGGTACTGGTCCGTGGCCTGCTAGGAACCAGGCTACACAGCAGCAGGTGAGAGGCGGGTGAGTGAGCATTAGTGCCTGAGCTCCGCCTCCTGTCAGATGAGTGGCTGCATTAGATTCCCATAGGAGCACAAACCCTGTTGTAAACTGCACATGAGAGGGATCTAGGTTGTGCATTCCTTATGAGAATCTAATGCCTGATAATCTGAGGTGAAACAGTGTCATCCCGAAACCATCCCTCCCCCACCACCACCCTGCTGTCCATGGAAAAATTGTCTTCCACGAAACCAGTCCCTGGTGCCAAAAAGCTTGGGGACCGCTGCCTTAGGGCATTGCCAACAACATCCTAGTGACCAGCCCCCACCATCCTCTCCAAGCTGGATGTTTCTGAGTATCCAGGCCACAGAATCCAGTCAGCTCTCAAGATAGTTGATCTCAAAGATTACTTAAATATTTGCTTAGTAATTAAAATAAAGTGCCTTTCCAATAACCAAATGGCAGCAGAATGAGATGTACTACTTGAGCAGCCTCTCAATTCTGAGCAATGAGAGATTTAAACTGAGCCATTTATAACTGAGCTACCCTTCTCCATTTCCATTTAAACACTAGTCACCTGTCTTTCTCCCCCAAGGCTCTTACATCCCACTTGTTTTTTCATTATGCACCTCTCACCTCTACAATCAGGCAGTCCATCAGCACTACAGAACATTATAAGCAAAGCCACACTTCTCAGAGGTTCTTCAGAGGACGCTATCGCCATTTGGGGTGGGACAATTACTCATCTTGCAGAACTGTCCTGGTCAAAGCAGTATGTACATCATCCCTGACCCCCACCTGTGGAACACCAGTAGTGCTCCCCCACATCACGGTGACAAAAACACTCCCAGGCACATCTATGCCGCTTGAGAGTGGCAGTACCACCCCCAGTGGAGAACAACTCAGAACCTCTAAGCAGCTTGGACAGTCAGAGCTCAAAATTATCTTAGCCCACATGAAAGAGATCATCTAAAAAAAAAAAACATAATACATTCTTCCCTTCTAAAGATAATAAAATTTCTTAAACAGCAATCCCACTCCTTCCCACCCATCAATAAGAGCACCTAGGATTGGGCAATCTCACGCTGCAGCTGCTAGTACCAGCAACTTGAAATGAACTCCCCTGGGAGAGTGATAAAGAATCTAATTTCCAGGAAGGCCTGTTTCACCCTGGAATGCTCCATTCCATCACACGTCCACAGGTCTACCCCTTCAAGGGGAGGGGACCACACTAGAAAAACACAAGCATCTGAAATCCTCAAGTAGTTCATCATTAATGTAAAGGATTGTGGCTATGAAAAACAGTCATAAGCACCTCTGCGTTGTGGTGCAAACTTTTCCCGTCCGTATTCATTATCAGAGCAAAAAAATAATTTCTCCAAATGTCCTCTCCCCATCCCAACTGCATACATTCACAAAAAATTAAAAATATAAATTGACAATCACTTAAGCGCTCAAACATTCAAAAGAATGTCCAAGTTTTTACCAAGAACGCTGAGCAATGAAAACTTCCTGTTAGCCAGCATCAAAGCACTGAAAGTGTATTTGTACCAGTCTTTTCTGTGCTCCCCCTGAATAGCTCATGCAGTGCCTCCTCTATCAGCTAAGTCACTGAGGTTCCTGGAGAGGAACCTTCCCTACACGTGGAAGGAAACTAAGCTCAAGACTTTCTTCTCCTCTGGCCCCAATCCCCACTAGAGACTAACTGGTTATTTACATCTTTCATGGTAAAAGAGCTACACTTACAGGATGTTGAAAAGAACACTATCCAAACAGAAGAAAATTTAAGATGGCCTGCCTGCCCAGGTAAATAAGGACCCAATGAATCAAACTACTTACAAGAATAACATGCCCTTCAGCACCTCATGATTTGACACACCCTGTGCAAAAACTACAAATCATTCCCATTTCAGAGCACATTTCCAGTCCCAGTCACCCAGAGAATTCCTATACGGCTTTTTGATTAGCAATATAAATTACTGGAAAATGGTTGAGTGGAATCAAACACTAAAAAAGAAAATGGACATTCATGAGAAATAAATGACAAGAGAGACTTTAGAAAGGCAGCTTTCTTGCTTAAGGCTTTTGAATGGTGTTTCAGACTAGCATTGATAGACAGCATCAAATTAGGGTTTTCCTGATTAATTAGGTCCAAGTGTTGAACCATAAATCAAACTGACATGGATATGTTAAAGCTATAAACATCACTTTCATTTTGGTCATCTTAATAATCAGATGAGATCACCAGGTTATCAAGTGAACAATAGTTGGATACTGCAAATTATGACAATAGCAACAAGAAGAGAAGAAATTGACTCTCAATTGGTAGATTTGGTAATTCCCCATAGTCATAGGCTAAATTATTTATAACTACTAAATGGACCTTCTTGACTGAATCTTATAAACACCTTGCTGTATTCCTTCTCCCTAACTCCATATTATTTAGTTCTTGACTATCGCAATAGTAACAACAAGCTCTAAAGAAACGAGAAGAGAGAGAAGAGGCAAAAATAGGGAGAAAAAGAAAAAGGGAGACAGAGAAAAAGAGGGCAGAAAGGAGAGATGTCAAGGTTAGCAATCAGTGTCCAGACACTAAATTTCATGAGACCTAGCATCTTGCATCCTAGCCTTGGTTTAAATGACACCTGGCATCTTGCACCTTAACCTCAATTTGGTACAAAATGGCAACTCACCCTTATTTAGCTATGGCCCAAATTCAGATTGAAGCAGTATGTAATTGCTAAGTGGGTTTATAAGTCACAAGTTACATGCTAGGAACTAAATAACCTCCCATTCTAAATGTGTAAATTTTCAGAAAGTAGAGATCAGGTATATACATATATATATACACACACATACGTACATGCACATACACATATATATACATAATTTACTCTAACGAAACCAATGCTTCAACATCAATAAGCAACTCTGATGACAACTCTTATCAGAAATGTTTATGCTTGGTGATGGTGAGGCTCATTGCATTGTTATTCACACAAACACTAAACTTTATTCACAGTTCATTCGTTAGATGAATAACTGAGTTGCACACACAGGCATGCCTCGACCTTGACCATTTAGTGATGGGCATGTATGGCTTCTGCCAACAGAGTAAGAATTTTCTTAAACTATTAAGAAATATTGTGCAGCAAGAGTGCCAAAAGATTTCCAACAATAAGTTTAAAAGCCTTTTCTTGGGCAGTAAGTACTGATAATTAATCATCTAGTAAACTGAAGTCAACATTTTTAATAAAAATGTAATATGTCATTCTCTTTTTTAAAAACTGGTTTTGCTGATGTTTTACACAATATTTTTGTATTTTTCCCCTTTAGTGACAAGTTATGCCTTGGAAATGATTTTATAAGCAGAAAGTTCAAAATTCTCCTGCCACGACCTGGATATGTGAAATATAAGGAACAGAACAGATGAGACTAAGCGACCTCTGTATTCCCAGGGCCTGTTACAGGACCTCCTAGTACCCAGCCTACCCTCAATAAACGAACTATATATGATGTGTTAGAATATATGTGTGAAACTAAGATGATGTCCAAAAGATGACAAAGAGATCTACAAGGAAGGAAGGAGGGAAGGAAGAAAAGGAAGGAAGGAAGGAACGAAGGAAGGAAGGAAGGGAGGGAGGGAGGGAGGGAGGGGGCTACAAGAGTACTTCTTATCCTACAATCAAAAATTGTAATTTGTTTTATAAGCAATTTGCTAATATAGCATAATCATGATTTTAATTTCCCTATAGAGAAACAAATGTAATGCCAAATCATTGCCTTGTAAATCTGTAAAGAAGGACCTATTATATTTGCAAATACTCTCATGGTAGAATGACCTTAAATTTCCTGTGTCTCCCCTACTGGATTGCTTTTAACAGACTGAGCAAAAAGAACTTCAGAACATGCCTCACCAGCAGGTTATCTTTGCACCAGGAGTCCTTTGGCCCTGGTTTGTTATGCCTGGGCTCAAATAGCATGAGGAGGTCTCCAAACCACTTTCAGGCTCTGTCAATGTTATCACTTCACGTTATAATGTGATTGTGATGACTTGAAACAATTCAATAGCTTGTTGACACAGAATCAACAATATTACATTGTCACCAACTGATACCCACGTGTGATAAAGTGGTGTTCAGGTTTCTGCACAGACATGATGAATTTATAATGTCCCCATATTAATAGCAACATGAATAAAATTACAAGTTTATCTGCAGTGATTGCCAGAAATGGAAGGAAAAAAAGCAGGGTATATTTCCTAAGATTTTGCCTAATCTGTGTTTTAAATATCATTAGTAATTACAGTAAAAACCTTTGTCACTATTATAAATATAAAATTTTAGAATTTTAATGCTAAAAAGAAGTACGGCTTCAGTAATAAACTATACCAGAAAATATATACAATAAAATCTCTACTAACTGACACACAAATAATTAAAGCCATTTGCTTACTGGAGTTTTGTTTGTATTATACTTCTTACAAAGGCAATTAAAGAAAATAAAATGATATTAGAGTGTTGGTCAAGAATAGAGTTTTCAGTGGCCATCTCAATTCTGGGTGTTGGGTACCTATAGTTACAGTCTTGGATGAGTATGAGTGAGCTAATATGCAGAACATGGATCCATAGGCATTATAATAATTAAGTAAAATTTAAATTAAATTCAGTAAGAATGGCTAAAATAAGAATACCAATGGAAAAAGCAATCGCCAGAAAGCCAAGAGATGCATGGCTTTCAACTCTGGCAAAGCACTGACTGTCCCTGTGTCATTCCAAACTCTAAGTTCCATGAGGGCAGGAACTGTTTGTGTCTCATTTACCACTGAACCTTCACTCAATAAATATTTGTTACTGAACTGGTTTAGCTTGATGAACCTGAATTTAAACTGATACAGTATGCAGTTTTCTTACCTACAAAATTTCTGACCTGCAAAATCAGGTTACGGTGAGGATTAAAGAGGTCCCTGTAAACCTCTGGCACAATGCCTGAAGCACAGCCGTCCCTCCATGAAGGGTGGTTCCTTCCAGGGCATTCCCACTACTCATCTAATTCTAACATTCTAAGAGTTGTTCCCCTACTATCTGACTGAGAGAAAACTTTCAAAATCTAAGCCACCTTGCTTGGTAGGATGCTCAACACTGAAAGCACAGATGGTGGTGGTTGCCTCCACTGGCCCAGTCTTCGGTCAAGGGCAAGAGTGAAAATCAAGATTTATTCTGAGAAACACAGGTCAAACTAGAGTCAAAAGCAAGCTTGCTCCCAACTTGCTATTTTCTTGTTTATGCATTTTTATGTTTATTTTCTTGTTTATATATTTTTGTATTTTCCTACGATGAGCATTTTTATTATTTTGTCCATTGTAAATCATTCATATTTCAGGTGATCCTCTGGAGTTTTACATGAAATACTGTAGGTGTATAATTCCATCACCAAAAAGAAATTGATGATAAACATACAGGCTTTCCCAGAATTGACCTTAAGTCATTATACTGTACATTAAACTTGGACATCGTTATCTTTCTATCATCATAAAAGGATTTCTGTTGACCTCAACTCATGCCTTGGCATAAGCCATAGAATTAAGGACATAAAGAAATTGAGGATTAATCAACTGAAACCAAGCTAAAAAGTTTTCCATTCAAAAAGTTTGGCCAGCACAGTAGCCCATGCCTGTAACCCCAGCACTTTGGGAGGCCATAGCAGGAGGATCTCTTAAGCTCAGGAGTCTGTAATCAGCATAGACAGCAGAGAGAAATTCTGTCTCAATAGAAGAAAAAAAAAGGAAGTTCAGCGATTCTCCAGGACCCACGTTTAAAAGAATTTCAAATTTTTCCTAAAAGCATGAAAGGCCAGGTGTGGTGGATTACTCCCGTAATCCCAGCACTTTGGGAGGCCAAGGTGGGTGGATCACTTGAAGTCAGGAGTTCAAGACCAGCCTGGCCAGCATGGCAAAACCCCATCCCTACTAAAAATACAAAAAATTAGCCAGGCATGGTGGCATGCACCTGTAGTCCCAGCTACTTGGGAGGCTGAGCTGGGAGAATCTCCTGAACCCAGGAGGCAGAAGTTGCAGTGAGCCAAGATAGTGCCATTGCACTCCAGCCTGGGTGACTAAGTGAGACTTCATCTCAAAAAAAAAAAAAAAACAAGCATTAAAAGTATTCACTATCCTAATTCTCTAAACTTTCTCTTATATAACAGAAGAATGCAATAAATGCAAAAATATTATTTGACTAAAATAACATACAATAATGCCTTTCTAATTCATTCAAAGAAAAACTTTATTATCTTAAGTTGTTACCCTATTTCTGTTTGAATGAGAATAGATTTCCATAAACCTAGACATCCAGCCCCTGCAAACGAAGGAATGAGGCCAGGCGCAGTGGCTCATGCCTGTAATCCCAGCACTTTGGGAGGCTGAGGCAGTTGGATCACTGGAGGTCAGGAGTTCAACACCAGCCTGGGCAACATGGTGAAACCCCATCTGTACTGAAAATACAAAAAAATTAGCCAGGCGCGGTGGCATGCACCTGTAATCCCAGCTACTCAGGAGGCTGAGGCAGGAGAATCACTTGAAACCAGGAGGCAGAGGCTGCAGTGAGCTGAGATTGGACTACTACACCCCAGCCTGGGTGACAGAGCAAGACTCCATCACACACACACACACACACACACACACACGCACAGAGGAATGAAATACCCCATTGCCATGACCCCACTCCTATTCTTTTCCAGTAATGAAACAGAGAGACCTTACCACCCTCCAAAGTATTCTCCACTGCACAGAGCAAACACTCCAAACTAAATGCAACGCAACAAACAGGTACTGAAGCTCTGGTAGACCATTTATCTTTGTATTCTTAAGGCAGAATAACACTTGTCAGGAAACAAGCCCTCTTGTCCACAACCGTTTGGCTATCCTCAAGCAAGCCAATAAAACTATCCCATCTCCTTCCAGAAACCAAGAAACTAAAGTCAGCCAGTTCTTCCCTGGGAAGAGTTATGTTCACTCTGTTTACTATAAGCACTCAACACTTCACAAAGTTTGGTGGGTAAGGTTACAAAGAGGGAAAAGCAACTTAAACTTAAAAGGCTGTTCTGATAGTCCAGGAATGAGACGATTAGAGCCTTATCTAGTTAAATGGTCCCACCTCCGCCTGACTTCCCCCACCGCTGTCTAAAAATCCTCTCCTTCTCTCTCCCTCAGATCCCCATGACATGGCCAGAGTTTCCATGGCTCACGACCCTGACCCCAAAAATCTGCTCCCAGGTGAACTTATTCACGGGAAGGTTTGAGAGATTCTTAAAGCCTTCTACGGGTGTTTGCACTTTCAGCAGAAAACAGAAGCCCTCCAAGGAATGAATTTTCTAATTGTGGCATTTTAGGCATTCCTAATGCCTACATACCTTCCTCACTGGCTTGATGGAGCAGATTGTAGGGGAACAGAGTATCTTATCAGGGCTCCTAACATCGTACCACATAGGTTGTGGTACCATGTATAAGGCCATCTTTGCTAATGCCAGAAACCTCATCAGCAGTGAGATAGCATTTTTCCATAAAAGCACAGGCCAGCCCAAATACAGTCAAAGGGCTTTTCAGGAGAATTTGGTGACATCTCTGGATCAGTGCAATGTATTTTAGATTAATCTGGACTGAAGAAAAAGGCCCTAAGGAAATATTGCAAAAACAATGACTCCAAAGGCCTCAAGAGAATCCATTAACACGTGAACATGATTAATGAAACACTCATGTGGGTTCTGTTTAAACTGAAAGCCCTTATTCTACTATTTGTAACTCAAAGAACTCCTTCCACTGGAAACAAAAGATTCATCCATTCCACCCAAAGTGGAATATATGTGTATGCATGCATGTACATCTACATATATGCACACAAGACAGCCCAATATTACCAGGCTTACTGATCAAGAAACAGACTTGAGGCCAGGTAAGGTAGCTCACGCCTATAATCCCAACACTTTGGGAGGCTGAGGCAGGAGGATCGCTTGAGCCCAGGAGTTTGAGACCACCCTGGGCAACATAGTGAGAGCCAGTATCTACAAAAACAAAACAAATTAACCAGGTGTGATGGTGCACACCTGTAGTCCTAGCTATTCAGGAGGCTGAGGTGGGAGGATCGCTTGCGCCCGGGAGTTTGAAGCTACAGTGAGCTATGATCATGCCACTGCACTGCACTCCAGCCTGACTGACAGAGCAAACCCAGAGCAAAAGAAAGAGAAAAAGAAATGGGGGGAAGTAGGGAAGGAGGAAGAGAGGGAGTAGGGGAGGAGAGGAAAGAAAGAAAGAGAGAAAGAAAAGAAAGAAAAGAAAGGAAGAAGGAAGGAAGGAGGGAAGGGAAGGGAAGGGAGAAAGAAAAACAAAGAAAGAAAGAGAAAGAAAGAAAGAAAAAAGGAAGGAAGAAAGAAAGAAAGATAGAATGTAAGAGAGACAGAGAAAGAAAGAAGGAAAGAAAGAAGGAAAGAAAGAAAGAAAGAAAGAAAGAAAGAAAGAAAGAAAGAAAGAAAGAAAAGAAAAGAAAAGAAAAAAGGAGGAAGACGGAGGGAGGAAAGGAAGGAAGGAAGGAAGGAAAAAGACAAGACAAGACAATATGCATTCCAGAAGGCATGCTTTATAGAGTGCTCATTTGGCCATGTGTTTGTTTACCATCACTGGATTAACTCAAGAAGTTTCAATAAATTTGTCCACCTATTGATTCAACTACTGTTACATATGAAATCATTATTTCTCCAAGTATAACAGTCTGTATTTTCCTTCTTCCATTCTGCCCAGCATGTCTAAAAGTCAACAGCTTTTCCACAGAAGGTTAAGAGACAAAGTCTGAATAGCCAGATGCTGCATACTACTGGGAAACTACTATAATATTACAGAAGGGCAAGGAAGGGGAAGAGCACGCGAAGACTGCTTAGAAGCCAAGTAACTGTCCAGGGTGAAGTCCTTCTAGTCATATACTAGGGATTCAAACCACTGCTCCACCTCTTACTAACTATCTGACAGCCATTTTAATTTCTGTGCCTCAGTTTCCTCATCTAAAAACGGAGATAATAAGAGCTCTTACTCATAACATTAATATGAGGGTAGAGTGAGGATTATGGGTCTGGCATATCAGTAAGTGTTTAATAAAAATTGATTACTGATACTATTTTTAGGCCAGTGTTTTCTGATCCTTTAAACTCCAAATATTGTCTCCCTCTCAATTCTACAGGGTTTTTTTTTTGCTTCTTATATATTTGCTTATATGAGAGTTTATGTATATATATAGCTCTTCTATATTCATCATCTGCAACCCAGTTTGAAAATCTATTAAAATAACCTAATTATGTAGCTAATTCCCCCAAAAGCTAATTTAATACAGAAATTTGAGTATTTTATTATTACTTTTATTTTACATTATTACTTCTCTTCCCAACTAAATCTTTCTGATGTCTAAGATTCACAAAACAACAACATATCCATATTCAAAGTAAAACTGAACTAGAAAAATAAAACTTAATTCACAAAGTCAAGTTTATAGGCACACATCTATTCCACATGCGTTCAAAAATATATCACTACTTAGTGAAATAAATTAACTCTTTGCTAAATTATTTCTCTGGTTGATACTAGCTGTGTTTTTAAGACATTTTCAACAATTATATTTCAAGGGTGTTTAAGAAATTTAGTAATAATTAAAAAATACATGCTTAACTAAATAACACTAACCAGTTGCCTAAACATAGCTATCTTAATCCAAAGAAGTTGATAGTGACAATATTTATTGAATCACTGAGTTGTACAATATAGAATTACTAACCCCTGTTATTAGTATCTACAATTTTAAAATTCTCCTCACTTCACTCTGATAAATTTGGAAATTGTTTCTGACTTGATGATATTTTGAAAAACGCCAAGCATGGGGGAAACATAGAGACCACATCTCACAAAAGGAAAAGTCCAAAGCTTTTCAAAATGCAGACTGCTAAGGGTGTTATCACCATAGCAACCCTCAGTAAAGAGAATTCCAATATGAAGTAACCAGAGAATAAGCAATATTTTAACCTCAAAAGCACAAACTTATGGATACATCTATATGGTATGCATCTGTACTATATAAGGTCAAAGGTTAAAAGTGACCCTAAAGTCAAATTCCAGCATTCTTTTGGTGCATACGATATATCTACAATTTCTTTCCCATCTCTTAGAGTCATTTAGAGTAAGTTTTATCCTTCTTCATATAATAGTTCCTCAAATATTTGGAGAGCTAACCATTGTTCCCCTATTCTCTTGTCCAAAAGAAACATCTCCAGTTTTTCCATCATTCCCCCATAATATTGTTTCCAGTTTTCTCATCATTCTTGTTTCTCTCTTTCAAATAAGGTTCAAATTTTCTATGCCTCTCCCAAAATGTGGTATTCAAAGCTGAAGAGAAGATGTGCAGTGTCACCCGACCAGCTTTGGCCAGGAGCAGTCATGGCATACTTTAACATTCATTTGCCTCTCTCTCCTCAGTAATAGAACCCAGTGTTACTCAGGTGAACTATGTGCTGAGCTAAAAAGCTACATTTTCCAAACTTCAGCCAAATGTGATCATAGGACTAAGTCTTAATCGATGAGATCAAATGCAAGCAGTAGTGTTGTGTGGGACTTCTGGAAAGTCTCCTTTAAACAGAGAAGGCATGTCCTCCTTTCTCCTTCTGCAATCCCACTACCTGGCATAGAGAAAGGATGGCTATGGCTACAGCAGCCATTTTGGACAATGAGGTGACTTCAGGAATGGGAGTCACCAGCAGAGGACTGTGGAGCCTGTGTCTCTAATGGTATCATGGAACCACCAGACCAGCCTTCCACTGCTGGTTATGTAAGAGAGAATTAAATGTTTGTCTTGTTCAAGCCAAACAAAATCCTCTCTGCGACAGGAGCCCAGAGTAGAGCATGCCTATTACCTCCCCACCATGATGGAGTTGCTTTACTATAACACATGCTGTTCTTTTGACTTTCTATTAAACAAAAATTTCTTGAGTGCATGCTTATGCCTGACACTGTGCCAGACACAAGAGACCAGAGGAGCTAGGCATACTCTTAGCATCAGTGGTCCTGTTCTATGCCTCTCCCAAAAGGTGGTACTCTTCTAGAGGAAGAGATAAAATACATACACAAATGATTGTATCTCATGGCATGAGGAGACATGCTGTAAGAGAGGTTCAGATAACATTCAGTGGATATCAAGAAAGGTCCTGTAGAGAAAGGTGCATTTAAGCTACAGATAGATGGATCTGAGGGGAGGGGACGCCTCACAGAGGAAACAAACTAGAACTGGCACAGAAACAGGGAAGTGCAAGGCATGTCCAAGAAAAAGTCACATTCTTCATCAATGTCACTGGCACGTCTTCAAATTACAAAGATCATACGTGAGGCAGATTCTCTTTTATGTGAAGTAAAAAAAAATTAAAATTAAAATTAAAATAAATTTGCAAGATCTTTGACACCCTCTAAAGACACTAAGTGCCTCCAGAGTCAATTCAATTCCCCAGGCATTTATGGAGCACCAACTGTTTTTCCATCAAATAAGAGTTTCTTCCAATCTACAAAGGCATCCTAATTTTAAAAAAATTTCATCAAATATTTTCCATATTTTTAAAAATGCTTGGAGGCGATAACTTGTCAATATTCTACTAAACTGGCAGAAATGTTTCCAGGAGGTATATTCTGATATTTAACAAACTGTAAAGCACAAAGCAAGTGTGGTTCTCCTTTTCCTCTTATTATTAATTTAAAGTTACAAGAAAGTAAAGCATGTGGAAAAACAGAGTATTAGAGTTAAGTATGTGAGGCCCAGAGCCAAATATCCTACTCTGCCTCAGTTCACTCATTAGTAAAAAGGGAATAGTAATGGTATCTACCTCCCTGGAGTGTCACAAGAACAAATGCTATAGCTATGGTGACTATATATCAGGCATATAATAAGTTTCAGTGTATGACCGCTCTTATTACCAATAGCATCCCTTTCTGCCTCTCTATTCACTTCCTATCAACCAAGATGGGCCCTCAACAAAAGAACTATTGGCATTTAAGCCCAGACAATTCTTTGTAGTATGGAACTATCCTGTGTATTGCAACGGTTTAGCATTCCTGTCCTCTGCCCTCTAAATGCTGGCAGGGATACTCAGGCATTGTGACAATCAAAAAATGCTACTATATGTTTCCAAAGGTTCCCTGAGGGAGATGAACCAACTAGGAATCAGTGAACTAAAACAAAGAAAATGTCACACGCTATGCCCAGACAGACAGCAAGCTGGAAATTTTTCAGGCAGGAAAATTAAAAAAAAAAAAAAAGTTGAATATTTATGAATGTAATTAACATACACATACATTGAAAAGACATGTCTAATATTCCCATAAATAAAACATGCCAACTTATAAAACAAATAACAAGAATTATCAAAAACGGCAACAAATAAAAGCTTTCTCTTTGTTCCATGGTGACTCTCTCCTTTTCTCATCACTTCCAAGTGCACAAGTCTAGTTCTACCCTCATCATCTGTCACCCAGATAATCCCAGTAATCCTCTAACTTAACTAGTTCATCTGCTTTCTCTCATTGCAGCAAGTATTCTTTTTACAAAATGAAAATCTGAGCATTGTACTTCCCAGCTTACATTTCTTCAAAGGCACCAAACTTCTTAGCTTGACATACAAAATCCTCCACAGTCCACTCTCCCAACTCCTTCAAGACTCAGTTCAAATGGCAATCTGTGCGGTCTTCCTTGGCCCTTGGTCCTCTCAGGTCTAGTTGACTACATCACTGCCTTTTCTGTGCTCCCAAACTTCTATTATAGACCTCTCACCCTGTAGCACAATTGTTTATTTGCATGTCTTATTCATCTATGCATGTCAGTTCCTGATAAAAAAAAAGCTTGCAATAAACGTGTGTGAAAGAAATACATCAGTGATTATTTTAACTGTAATTATTAACCAAGTCTAGCTTGACAGCTTTCTCACCTATTGAACATCTCACTGACCTTTCTGTAGTTTCATGAAATAATAAGGAACTTTTGCAAGAGAGAAAACTCTTCATTGACTGTGATTCTTACATGCTCTGTCTAAAACCTCTCACAAAATCAAGTGCTCCTCTTCAAGTGTAGTCTTCCCTGGGCAAATCCTTCTCCTTGCCCAGAGGACACATCTGACCTCCACTCAGACCCATGCTTCCATCATTCCTGTTCTCAGAGTTACAGAGACATCATCAGCAAGTTCTGCATAAAACCAAGTTACAGAAAGCATGCACAGGACACCTAAAATGGAAACACCAGGTCCACCAACGTTTGAACTTCTTGGCAACTTTACATTTGGATCTGTGCCTTCAAGACCTGGGAGGTGAAGAACCAAACATTCTTGGGGGAAGAAAGGCAGGTGACCAGGCCTGTCTTCCAACATTTTTTTGTCTAGTAGTTTCATCTGCTTTAAAAAGCTGTATTTTTCCCCAGCAATTTCTATGGATAGAGAATTTGACAAGTGGTTTCTTTATTTCAAAAAATCACAGCATGGTGGCTGCTTTGCTGCATGACCTAACCAAGAGCTGGTCAACTATGAATGATTTAATATCAGGTTCCCTGTGGGGCCAAATGTTTACTGAATGCTCACCAAGTGCCAGGACCTTGCATGTTCACAATATCCTTTAAATATTCCCAGGTACCTATAAGGTAGAAATTACTAACACCCATTGTATAGTCCAGGAAACTGAAGCTCAGAGAGCTTCAGAGGTACACATCTGGAAAGCAGTCGAGCTAAATCTCTGAGCTGTGATTCCAGACCATGTCCCAGTACCAGAAAGGGTTTGGCCACAGGTTAACTATGTCCAGGGAAGTTGGGAAGGGGTAGTTGGGGTATGGCCAGAAAGCTTCTATAATAATAGGAAGAGCCCAGAATTTTGCTTGGCAGCCAGTGATTTAAATTTACAACAGTGGCTTCAGCTCAGTTTCACAATTTAATCTATCCTTAATACCTTAAAGGAAGCCATAGAAATTTTCTCTTTATAAAATGTGAGAATAGCATAGAATTTTTGCAAATACATAAATATTTACTAACTCCTCAAAAGTTATTCAAGATGCCAAATATCCCTTCTTGAAGAAACCATAAATAAACCTATATCATCTGTCCTACAGTGAAAATCCTCAGAGAATGCAATGGCATATTCAGGGGCATAGGATATGGTTTTATAATTTTCCAGCTCATATTTCTTTCTTTTTTTATTATTATTATACTTTAAGTTCTGGGGTACATGTGCAGAACGTGCAGGTTTGTTACATAAGCATGCACATGCCATGGTGGTTTGCTGCACCCATCAACCCGTCATCTACACTAGGTATTTCTCCTAATGCTATCCCTCCCCTAGCCCCCCAACCCCCAGCAGGCCCCAGTGTGTGATGCTCCCCTCCCTGTGTCCATGTGTTCTCATTGTTCAACTCCCACTTATGAGTGAGAACCTGTGATGTTTGGTTTTCTGTTCTTGTGTTAGTTTATCCAGCTCATATTTCATTGGAGACAAAGACATAATAAAGTTATGTAAGCAGGGAAGAGAATTTTCAATTATAAAGATTCTAAAAAGTAACAACATTTTAGTTGTATATTTGTATGGTATTTTTAATGCAATCAAGCTTTACAAATGAATGCAGTCAATATATCCCAATATTTTGTGAAATTCCCTCTAAATAGAGCATGTAAGACATCCATTAAAGTTTATTTTTAGCTAAGAGCCAAACCCTGTTTCATTTTATTATATCCCTCATCGAGTTTTAACTTAGAAAACATAAATAAAACAAGACATTAAGTGACTTAATAATAAAAGCTTATCCTAGAGTGTGTTTCAGGATTGCTTTCTACACCCACCCCCAACTACTGCTCTCACTAAATCATTCTTTCCAAATGTGCTGAGATGAAGGAGCAAAGGTGTCCTTAAGCCTGACTTTTCCTTAAAACCATATATTAAAAGTTTCCCTGGTGTGCTCCTCTCAAACTAAAACTGGCTTATGATTAAGAGCAAGAGTGGCAGGCAGTGACTGAGATGAGAAGGAAACACTCTAATTTGTCATCAAAAAAATAAATCAGAAAATAGCCTTTAATCTTAAGAGTACAATTTACTGATTTAGTCATTTATTTACAAAATTGATGGAAATTGTTAACAAGGAGTTAATTGATTTAAGTCACCTGATTACCACAGTTAATTAACCACACTGACTTAATCTTCTTTGAAAACATCAACTAATCATTTCCCAGGTGTCAAGGGGTAAATCGTTAAATAAAAAATAAACCTCTGTCCTCCTCTTCAAGAGAGATTTCTTGAGTGTGTTTTCTTTACGGATTCCAATCTAGCCACAAGCCAAGTTTGGGGAAATTTTGTTCTTATATGACTATACTGAAAGAGCTGCCTTCTTTCCAGAATTTTTTCTCCGTTATAGTAAAGGAAAGGCAGCCTTGCAAGCTTACCGTGAGTGTCATTTTGAATTACTTCAAAAATGAGCAAGGAACACTGCGTAAATAAAAATGAACAAATAAAAGGCAACAGAGACATTCATCTGGGAAGGTCAGTTTTCAAAAAAGGAACTTAAAACACACTTTATTGGGAGGGTGTGGCCACAAAGGAGTAGCACAAGGGAGTTAGTGGGGGTGATTGAACTGTTCTAATCCCGAATGAGGTTGTGGCTACACAAATATATACATGCACTAACATTTACAGAACTGTGCACACACACAGCAATTTTAGCCTATGTTAATTTTTAAAATTAAAGCACTTCATAAAGGCCGATTCTCTTTTTTACAGATAGAAAAATGGAGGTTTGACCCCTTGGCCCCACCTCAAAAGGAAAAGAGGGGGCGGTCAAAAAAAAAAAAAAAAACGAGCACTGTTAGAGAAACTCAGAAAAACATCCTACATGACTCTTGTCGTTCTTGTTCTGAGTTAGCAGAACCACTGCTTCTCTCCAAAAACAAAACAAAACAAAACAAAACAAAAGTCAATTGTCTTTGATCCACCAATGTGCCCATAGAACAGGAAGGCCCTGGAGGGAATCAAAGTCCCAGGTCACTGTGACAAGTCACACTTAGACCTCCTAAAGGGAAGAAGTAACTACAGCTTTAATAAAACTCCATCCTCTTCCTATCCCTTTCTCCTTCCTTCAATCACAGCAAAATGCTTGAAAAATAAATCTGGATTACAGTGGGATTTTGTTGCACATATTCACAATCAGCAACAACTATTAAAGACCCTTTTGATTTCCCTTACAGGGAAACGAAAGTGTTCAATACAATATGATCCTTCTTAGCCCAAGTCCCTCTTGGTGCCATGTTCTCTCGTCTGCACTGTTGGGTTTAATTATTTACAGCAAGAAGCATCTAACTTCCACTGTCTTTCAGTTAGTATGTTCAATTTTTAAACCATGCATTTTGTTTTTCACTAGAATCTTAGCTTTCAATGATTACTTAGCAAATTCTTTCAACACTTCACTGAACCAAATATTAGGGAAGAAGTAAATTCTTATATCAGAAGTGACCTTGAAAAAAAAATGCAGAATTTTGGTACATAAAAACCAATCATTTGACAATTGACTTGGGACATGTGTATATTCAATTTTATGCATTTGCAAATTCTTTTTTTATTACACAGTAACTTTAAAGAAAAACAGAGCTAGGCACAGTGGCACACACCTTAGTCCCAGCTATTCAGGAGGCTGAGGCAGGAGGGTTACTTGAGCCTAGGAGTTTGAATCCAGCCTGGGCAACATAGTGAGACCCCCATCTCTAAATTTTTTTAAAAATAGAAAAACAGGATTCCCTATTAATAGTAATCATTATGGTCTAGACAAATTATAACTGCCATGTATATTAAAATCCAAGGGTCTCTTCTCAAACTTACCAGGCACTGATGAATCCCCAAGGAATGGTTGATGGAGTCTTGCAACTGTGTTGCTTTTAACGACAACTTTTCCTTTTGTTGTAACAACTCAGTTTCAATTGCTAACTAGAGGAAGGACAGCCATACTAGAAGCTTTTAAGTTCTATCTTTGAGGCCTTCCTAATAGATCACAGCTGAAATTCCCCATAAAGCCATTCTAAGAAAAAGCACAAGCATAATAACCCTTTATTCCCCAGAAAAGGAAGTTGGCTTATTTTCAAGACTATATCACACCTCTAGTACCTTCTTTCCCTCTTTCATCCCCATTAAAACATACCAGCTTTGTGTCTCCTTCTCTCTGAACCTTGCTCTGACAAACATTTACTGTGCATTACTATCTCAACTAACTACTTTACCCTACAGGAGTGAACATTTCCACATTGTAATAGGAGTTTCAGGAGGAAAGAATGTCTTACTCCGAAGAACTGACTTTAGTAATGACAGAGCAGAGATCTTTGGCCGTAGTGAGAGATACTTTGGGACCAAGAGACCTTTAAGCACATCCAGCACATAGGAAATGTCTTCTCCATCTCTACAACAGCAGTGTTCTCCGGGAAGTAAAGAAACTCAGCTCTCACTTGGTTGTTCATTTTTTTCTTCAGTGACTTTAAATAAGAGAACTTAATAATTTTTTTCATTAGTAGTAAACAACAACAACCTCTGAAAATTTATAGATGACTGCTGTCCCTAACGGAAGGTTAAAATTGAACTCTCTGATTAGGTAAGGGTCCTTTGAATTAAAAGACACATAATTATAGAGGGAAAAAAAAAAAAGGTGTTCCCAGATAATGAAATAGTAATATAGGAGAAACCCAGCAGAGAGAAATCAATCCGTACCTAAAAAGTACAGTCTTCTAGTCTTCTAGAAGGAAGTGGAAATATACTCTGTTCAATAGTAAGTTGTTTTGGATGTGGCCTATGTTGAAGGTCTCTGTCTATACTCTGCAGTACCTAGTTACATCACGCCTAGAGCATGATAAGGCTGCAACATATATTGAATGAATGAATGAATGAATGAACTGCCAAGAGTAGCAAAAAAATGTCCAAAAGTTGGGTCGCAATGGTACCAGCCTCTGAAATGAGGTCATCTGATCATAATATGAGAAATTAAATGAGGCTTCATTTGATTACGTACAGAGGACTATCTTCCACTTGCTCCAAATTATCCATGGTGACAACATATACAAATAAGGGTTCTGGGTTCAAATGTTGGCTCTGCCACTTAGTAACTGAATTGCTTTGGGCAAATTACCTCACCTGTCATTGTCTTGGTCCTTTATCCATAAAATTTTTACTGTTACTACATAAGTAGGTAAACTAATACCTACAAAACACTTAGGCCAATGCCTGGTATAGAAAGCACTCAAATAATTTAGTCACTTTTATTGTGGCTTATTTCCCAACTTCTCTACTCATCTATGTGTGGAATTCCATCATTCTCCTGCCTCCAACCTATTTGTTACGTATGGAGTCCTCAAAAGAATGGGGACTGAGATGAGGGAGACTATGCCCAGGAGACAAGTGGCCATGGGTCCTTTTCAGCAGTCAGGGGCCCTCTTCGTCTGTGCCCATTTTTCCTTCATTCATCAGGAACAAGACCCATGAATGTCCTGACTTGACATGTGATGTTCTTTCCACCACAATCCATGCTGCCTCCCTGAGTGGAGAAACCACTCCCCTCTTCAAAGAGGGCCTTTTGTTTGATCAAGGCTGTTTTCACTGTGTCATGGTCTCAGACAGCTTTCTTTTGTGTTCTGTTTAAATACAGAATGACAGTCCACTAACACGAAGTCTAAAAACTTTGGCTTATCTTTTTGTAAAAGCTACTGTATCAAATCTGTCCTAAAAATAGCAGAATGACCCATTCTGTATGTACAGGGGAATTCTCACAGGGTAACCAAGTATCTGGGATGGAAGTTAAAAAGAAGGATGCAGATTCAACTACTCAAATGCATTGGGAATCACCAGCAGGGCGGGAGTGGGAGGCACTGGGGTGGAGAAAAGGGGGGAGTCAGATCGAGAGAAACAGCGTTGCTAAGCCACTTGCTTTGATAGAGACAGCAATTTTCCTTTTTCTCCATCAGGACCTTGACTGGGCCTCCAGGGGCCTCGAGGAATTAAGGGCTGGTAGTACCAGGGAATGGTGATGAGCTGAGGATGCCCCTTCTTAGCACCCATGGTGACATCTGTCCATTCATTTATTCAATGTATATTCATTTATTTAGCCCTTTTCTGGACACTAGGGAAAGCAATGGATAAAAGAGATGAAAATCCCTGCCCTTGTGCCATTTACATCTTAGGGAAGGGAAGATAATAAGTAAGGAAATAAACAAACAACTAACTAAGTTACATACCTTATGTCAGATGGTGGTAAGCGCAATGGAGAAAGTAAATCAGGAAAGAAGAGGTCGGGAAAGAATCAGAGAAGGCCACACTGAGAGGGTGACCTATGAGCAAAGACCTGTAGGAGGAAAGGAAGTAAGTCATGCACCATCTGAGGCAAGAGCATTTAGGAAAAAGGGGGGCAAGTGCAAAGGCCCAAAAGTGCTCACCATGTCAGGGAAAACAAGGATATCACTGTGCCTGGTGCACTGTGCATGGGGAGAGGAGAAGGAAATGAGGTCAGGGAGGTGATGTGAAGGCCAAATGGTTAGGGTCTTGTAGATCATAGTAAGGACTTGGACTTTGACTCTTCATGAGATGGGAAGCAGTGGTACACCCAGAGTTGTGCCATGCAGCTTCCCCTTATAGGAAGGACCAGCTATGAGGAAGGACTTTCTTCCTGCAATCAGCTCCTTTGGGGTCTGCCTCAGCTATAGAAAGCCACCTGCCCAAGGTCGTGTCCTTCCAGGACAGGCCACATCCAGTGATTAAGCAAGGCCATTTCAGCCTGACATAGGACACTCTAACAGGCAACTCTTGCTCCAGAGCTTCCTCTGGGTTGACCAACAGCTGCCAGAGTTCAACTTCTTCTTCTGCCCATCCTGCTTCCTCCCTTTCCCTTCACACGCATTGATCTTAATAAATATTATATACTCCAAGCTCCATCTCAGTGTCTGTTTTTGGGCAACCCAACTTGAGTATGACAGAAACCATGGGAGCTTCTGAGCAGAGGGGTGCTGTGATCTGACTGATGTTCTAAAAAAGTTGCTACAGCAAGGAAATCAGTATGGAAGCCATTGCAATCGTCGAGGCAAGAGAGGGCAGTCGGTTGAATCAGGGTGGCAGAAGTGAAGATGGTGAAAAGTAGTTGGATTCTAGATGTATTTTGAAGATCAAAACAATGGGATTTTCTAAGGAATTCTATATGGGGTAGAGGAGCAAAAGAAAAGTCAAAGTAGGATACAGTTTGAGGCTTGAGCAAGGATGAGGAAGCCATTTGCTGAGATGAGAAATTCCACATGGAAAGCAAGTTTGGACATTAGTGGAGATCAGGAGTTCAATTTCAGACATGTGAAGTCTGAGATGACTATTGGCCAGCCAGGTGGACATGTCAAATGAGCAGTTGGATATGTGGGTCTAGACTATAGGGTAGTGGTCTGGATTAGATTCATAAATTTGAAAGTTGTCAGCATGTACATGGTAAAGAAGTATATATGGAGTCCTCAAAAGTATGGGGACTGAGGCCAGGCACAGTGGTTCATGCCTGTAATTTGAGAGGCCGAGGGAGGAGGATGACTTGAGGTCAGGAGTTTGAGACCAGCCTGACCAGCATGGCAAAACCCCATCTCTACAAAAATACAAAAATTAGCCAGGCATGGTGGTGTGCACCTGTAATCCCAGTTTACTTGGGAGGCTGAGGCAGGAGAATCGCTTGAACCTGGGAGGCAGAGGTTGCAGTGAGCCAAGATCACGCCTCTGCACTCCAGCCTGGGTGACAGAGCGAGACTCCATCGCAAAAAAAAAAAAAAAAAAAAAAAGTGGGGACTCAGATGACAGAGACTATCCCCAGAGGACAAGTGGCCCTGGGTCCTTTTCAGCAGCCTGGGGCCCTCTTTGGTTGTGCCTATTTTTCCTTCTTTCTTCAGGAACAAGATCCATGAATGTCCTGACTTGACATGTGATGTTCTTTCCACCAGAGTCCATGCCGCCTCCCTGAATTGGGAAACCACTCCCTGCTTCAAAGAGGGCCATGAGACAGGATGAGGCCACCAAGGAGGCAGTGTAGCTAGAGATGAAAACAGGTCAGGGATATAGACAGGAACAAGCATGAGATACCAAGGGTAGGCCAGCAAGGAAGAAAAGAAACCAGGAGAAGGCAGTTTCTTGAAAATCTAACTAAGTGTTTCAAGGAGGAAGTCAGGATACACTGTGTGTGATGCTGCTAACCAGTTAAATAAGGACCAGAGCTGAAAATAGATCATTGGATTTAACAACATGGAAGTCATGAGTGACTTTGACCAAAAAAATATCTATCAAGGATGAGGGCTAAAGCAAAATGGCATGGATTTGAGAAAAAATTGAAAGGTAATTACAGTGGATATAGGCACATCTGTACAAGAATTTTACTGTAAAGTGGAACCGAAAAAATAGAGTGATAGTTAGAAGGTAATGTGGAACAGAGGATTTCATAAAAGAAAGAGGGGACAATTGCAGAGAGGTGAGAGGGAATGAGATCTAGAACATGAATGAAATGGTTGGACTTAAGAACTGGGAAAATTCTTCCAGAGTAATAGGAGGAAAGACAGAAGATATAAGACGAAGTTCAAATGATGATGGTTGAGTTATAGAAGTTTATGGAATTCTCTTCTGGTTGCTTCCATTTTCACAGTTTTAAAAAGCTCACTCTACATGTGAGAAGGTGATGTCAGAGGTTTGAGGAAAGAGGAGAAGATATAAGGAAGCAAGAGAGGCAATAGACAGACTAGGAAGCAAGTCCTAAGCTTGAGATTGGCTTCATGAATGTCAAGCGAGGCTAGTCAGTATAGTTGTGTTTTTCTCCTGCCATGTTTAGCTACAGAGTTGCAGATGTGGAGAACTGGATTTAACCAGGATCAGGGCCTTGCCAAGCACAACAGAGCCAGATAAAGGGGCCAAGCTGCTGAGCGCGTATGTATGCAGGGAAGTGAAATTAATGATGGCCATAAAATATAAGCTGAGGAAGTAAATAGGTGAGGGATTTGAGGGATGGTGAAGAGGCGGTAGGATCAACAAACTGTAAGTCCCAATGAGGTCAACAAAGAGTTGAGGCTGGGATACAAAGGAAATGAGCCATGAAGTTTTTCAATACTTCCATTCCAAGCATGGAACAGACAGCTTCTCTAGAAGCCAGTGGGCTGTGTCAGGGGTGTTCTGAGATGAATTCAGATTCAGGTGAGAAAAGATTAGAAGACCTGCAACAGTTATTTACCTCAATGAATCCAACGTTCTTAGGAGGGTCTGGGGGGAACTTCAAAGGTGACCAAGGTAAGAACAAAACATACAATTAAGACACAAACAGTGGCATATTTAGGGAGAGGTTCAGGACCTGCCATGCTGGCCAAAAAAGGAGGTGGCCAGGAATGAGGGTAGTACTTCATGTCACCCTCAGACTTAAAAGAGTCCTGTCCTTCTTGTTGTAGCTAGCTTGTAACATTCCCATCCAAAAGAAAGAGATTTAACAGAGTATATTTAACTGCCACTGAAGAAATTTGCAGTGGTAAGTCAGTTCACCTCTAAGTCTGTTTACAAAACTGAAAAATGAGAGGGTACCTAGATCACACGTTCCCAAAAATTGGTCCAGCCCTCAGAATCACCTTGAAACTTTTAAAAATACAGATTTTCCACATTTTCTTTATCTAGTCTATCACTGATGGGCATTTGGGTTGGTTGTGGCACATATGCACCATGGAATAATATGCAGCCATAAAAAGGAATGAGTTCATGTCATTTGCAGGGACATGAATGACGCTGGAAGCCATCATTCTCAGCAAACTAACATAGGAACAGAAAACCAAACACCGCATGTTCTCACTCATAAGTGGGAGATGAACAATGAGAACACATGGTCACAGGGGGGGGAACATCACACACAGAGAGGGGAACATCACACACCGGGGCCTGTCAGGGGGTGGGGGCCAAGGGAAGGGAGAGCATTAGGACAAATACCTAATGCATGTGAGCCTTAAAACCTAGATGAAAGGTTGATAGGTACAGCAAACCACCATGGCACATGTATACCTATGTAACAAACCTGCACATTCTGCATATGTATCCCAGAACTGAAAGTAAAATAAAATAAAATTTTTAAAAAACACAGATTTTCATACCCCTGCTTTAGTAAGGGTGAGTTTTGATTTAAGAATCTCTATACTTTTTTAAGTTCCTCAGGTGATTTTGATGATATGTCAAGTTTGGGGAGCTAGCTGACTTTGTCTAGGGTCCTTAGAAATTCTAACAATCTGTAAGTTATTGTGATGAAATAATACTTTTGAGAACATAACTAAAACCTTCTCAAAGTTGGATTCCCCCTGGATAGGATCAAGGAAACACGTAGCCCCATTTGCCCTGGCAGCCATATCAGAATCATATGGGAAGCCAGACCGCACACAAAGGTGAAACTTAGGGGGGAGTAGGGTCAAGGAAAACACAAAGAAAGAGAACTGGAGCCCTGACTGCACCTCGCCTGAACCCCACTCTGCCTCAGTATTTTTTACTCACATAAGCCAAGAAATACCCTTTATTGTGTAGGCCATTTTGAGTTGGGTTTTCTGTTTCTTGCAACAAAAAGTATTCTCCACACCCTTCCCCACATCAAAATTAAACCAGTGTGGAAGTACATGCTAGCATGTATCACCCCCCTTCTAGTGAGATTAAAATGTGGGTAGGATTGCCATATTTCTGATAAAATACTTTCATTCTTAAATTCAACTTTAAGAATTTCCTGACAAAATAAATGATTTCAGCCGGGCATGGTGGCTAGCGCCTATAATCCCAGCACTTTGGGAAGCTGAGGCGGGAGGATCACTTGAGCTCAGGGGTTTGAGGCCAGCCTGAACAACATGGAGAAACCTCATCTCTACAAAAAATATAAAAATTAACTGTGAGTGCTGGTATGTGTCTGTAGTCCCAGCTTCTTGTGGGGTTAAGCGGAGAGGATCTCTTCAGCCTGGGAAGTTGAGGCTGCAGGGAGCCATGCACTCCAGCCTGAGTGATAAAGTGAGACCCTCTCTGGCCTGGGTGATAAAGTAAGACCTTGTCTCAAAAAATAAAAATAAACGATTTTGATTTTTTCAACCTTTACTCAGGAAATTTTCTCCTTGTTAATGACATAAAAACCAAAGAACTGGGCCCAAAGTGACAAGCAAATCACTGACAGTATAAGACAGAATATTTTTATAGAGGAATCCAAGAATGTCCAGCATAACAGAAGTGTAGCTACTTTCCTTTTCGTCTTTTTCAGGTTTCCTCAACACCTTCAAAAGTACACATGCTCTTACTTAATGTGAATCAGTAGATCAGTGAGGAAAGACTTATTTTCAAAGTTACCAGGAATCTTCATGTGTTATTCGCTGATAGTACATAAATTTAAAGGAGACCTTGGATATTGCTTACAAACTTGGATCTCAAGATCTGGACAATAAATGCGCCATTGTATCCATGGTAACAGTGGCTCAACTATTCAATGCACAGAATGGTAATTACATTTCCTCCTTTCATTCATTTCTCACTGTTTCCAGTAACCTTGAGGTCAGGCATGACCTGAGGGCTAATGACCAAAAGTGAAACTTCAAATTGTCTAATCTGTCATTATCTAGGAAAGACTTACATTTCTTTGCACTGAATTTCAGTGCTATCCTAAATCAGAAGTGTCCTAATATAAAAGTTAACCATCTTATTTTTAGAATGATAATGTCTCCATTTTCTCAGCTAATGTGATTAGAGATAAGACTTAAATTAGAGACCAACAAAGTAACCATCAGCAAAGAGTACATATATCTGGCATTTCTGAATTAATCCAATAAGGTGTGATGGATACGTGTTCTACCATTTATGAAAGAAGTCCATAGATGAAGTGCTAAGGACACTCAGATGTGCACCAAGATGTGTTCTGTCTCCACAGAAGCATCTTAACCTGTCTGCAAACTCTTTAAGCTTCTTTCTCTCTACCCCATCCTTATAGCAAAGGACTAGTGCTTGGAAAACAGACAAACTCTTAGGAACATAAACATTGGAGTGAAGTAAATTGGAAAAGGAGTAGGAGCCTAAGATTCACAGAAAAATGAAATACTGCACCAGACTTAAGGGATCCTGTAGTCTGATCGCTCAGCTCATTTTCCAGAACTTTCCTGTCTATCACAAAGCTCTGCTCCAAATAAGAAAACTTTAGGATCCAAATAAACCTTCTAAAAGTCCTTCTTTCTCCTGTTCTCCTTCTAAACTTAAAGTTGCAACATGGTCACATGGGCACAGATCACCATGTCTTTTTTCTTAATGTTTCCAATACTTTATTCCTTTCAATTCTGTAAGTTACCCCAGGGCTGCCAGCTCTTGAGAAATTTCTGTAGCTTTTTCAAGTGTGTCTTCACATACAAAATGAAAATAACATCGTCAGTCAATTTTATCTGATAAGGTATACTGAACACCTGTTATTTTTGCATCCCAGCCTCTGTTCACCATTCTCCCAATAATTACCCCCATTTCTCTCTGGACTCCACCCCTTCATACATGATCTCAAAGACTGAGTATACAGCCCAAGCCTAAGCCATGGGAACACATCATGACCCGGGATTCAGTGGTTGGTTCTCCAATGAGTTTATGACCTAAGTAGAGACCCTGAGATGCAACTGAAACTTTTGCTGGGAATAGCTAAGATAAAAACTCTTTTTCTTTCCCAGTGGATGTGATCTGATAGGAGGTGGCTCCAGAGCCACTGACAGCCGCTTTACATCAAAGGAGAACATGTTTAAGAATGGAGTCATCTCAGAGCCAGGAGACGGAAAAAAGACAAGATTGGCCTGACATAGTTTGAGCCTCCATTTTATATTAGGTTGAACCAAATGAAATTGCCAATATTTGACTATTTCTGCATAGGAAAAAAAATCAATCTCAAATGGATCAACCTAATTATCTGTATCTTTTCAACTATGTATTTATTTTCTTTGAGACAGGGTCTCACTCTGTCGCTGAGGCTGGAGTGCAGTGGCATGATCACAGCTCACTGTAGCCTCGACCTCCTGGGCTCAAGCGATCATCTCACCTCAGCCTCCCAAGTAGCTGGGACCACAAGGGCACACCACCATTCCTGGCTAATTTTTTGTATTTTTTGTAGAGATGGAGTCTCACTATGTTGCCCAGGCTGGTCTCAAACTCCTAGGCTCAAGCAATCCGCTCACCTCAGACTCCCAAAGTGCTGAGATTTATAGGCATGAGCCACCACACCCAGCCTCAACTATGTATTTCAATAACCTTCCTTTTTTGCCTCAGACAGTTTAACTTAGTTTTGTGACATTCACCAACATAACAGTACTGAATAACATGTGAAGTTGTGGTAGCCACTGTAAGGATGTAACAACATGCACAGGTGCATCATTCTCAGACCCACGGTAAAGAAGATACCAAAATACTGCAACATCTTCCTCCTCTCAAGTTTGGAAAAAGTAAAATTCTCGTATTGGGTAATAATGATGAATGGAAATCTATATGAGACTTCACAGTTTATTAAACATTTCACATTCATTGCCTTTGCATAACCACCCCGTGAGGTAGATATATGTCCATTTTACAGATAAGAAAACTGCCCCAGAGCACCCAGCATGTGTGGTACTGGATTTCCCAGATAATAAATGGCAGAGGTAGGAATCAAACCAAGATCCTCCAACTTCAAAATCACAAGCCCTTCCCACTTCATCTCAAAACACTGTAACTGTCAAGAAATTACTTCGGAAACATTTGCATTAGGAACATGTGAAGAACCACAGAAATGCTCTTGACATTTCAAAACAACTACTAGCTGATCATTATCAAGAAGCATCCCAGAACTCGGATGCTGAAACATCTCCAATCTTTCTAATGCTGGTGAGATCCTGGGCAGGGTTATTAGGAATGAGTCAATGACTATTTCAGAATCTTAAATGCAAAACTGCAGTCCATTTTAATTGCGAGATATGTAGACACCTCTTTTCAGTTCTCATCTTCCTTAATGTTTCTGTAGTATTGATACTATTGACTCATCAGCACACTGTTGATATTTAATAAATATTCATGGAAAAAATAAAATAAACATTCACAGAATACACAATAGTGGTAAAAATTTTTAATTACTCAAGACTATAAAGTTAATAGGATACGATAGAACCATTTGATTTATACCAAAGGTTCCATCAAGCTTATTTTTTCCATGCTAGAATAGGGCTTCACAATTAGTATTTTTTTAGTTGCTCTAGATTCGTGCAGTCAACCTTGAGAACCCCTTTCCTATCCATTCAACACTCTTTCATAAGCACCTTCTACTTTCTTTTCTTTTTTTTTTCTTTTTTATTTATTTTTATTTTATTTTATTTTATTTTATTTTATTTTATTTTATTTTATTTTATTTTATTTTTGAGACAGATTCTTGCTCTGTCACCCAGGCTGGAGTGCAGTGGCACAATCTCAGCTCACTGCAATCCCTGCCTCCTGTGTTCAAGCAGTTCTCCTGCCTCAGCCTCCCGAGTAGCTGGGATTACAGGTGTGCGTCACCACGCCCAGCTAATTTTTGTGTTTTAAATAGAAACAGGGTTTCACCATGTTGGCCAGGCAGGTCTCGATCTCCTGACCTCATGATCCTCCCGCCTCAGCATCCCAAAGTGCTGGGATTACAGGCATGAGCCCCCACGCCCAGCTCAGCACCTTCTACTTTCTACTTACCTTGTTCTAGCTACTAGGACTTAACAGAAACTCCAAAGCCAATATGACAATGCACTTGCTTCTGATTACACAGGAAATACATCTAGGTTCCTGGTATCATTATTTTTAAATGATAATTTAAAATTTTAATTTAAATATTTTAAAAACCTTTCAGTGTTCTTACAGTGCCTGACTAGAGAACATGAACAATGATTATGACCTAATAATTACCTTTAGTAAGACTGAAAACCTAGTCTTACAGCAGCCTGCACTACAAAACCCAAAGATCTTCAGGAATGCGCTTTGATGGCTCAAGAATTTGAAAAATGGATCTGGAGGTATGGTCTTTGGGAGTAGGGGCACTGACATGGCATCAGTTCTGGACCAAGCTGAAAGCGCATGGTACATGGTTGTAATAACCTATCACAGGATTCCTCTTTGGCCAGGGACAGGTAACCCATCCAATTGTTTTTAAGATTCATCTGCTTATCAGACTGTGCCTTATCTGGCAAGTCAGGATTCCAAAAGGAATCTAGAAATCTCAACCAACCAAACAGGCTGGGGACATTCAGAAGGCATGAATCTAAAAAATGGTCCACTGCAAATTTATATCTTAGCTCTGTCACAGGCTAGATGTCCTTAGGCAAGAAACCTATTAACCGCCTTCCCTTTCATCCTCTCAGCCCCTTTCTTCTCCCTCCTGGGCTAATTGCTTATCTGTAAGAAAAAAAAAATGCAAGCAGACCAGTTGATATCTAAGGTTCCCTCTAGCTGTAAAAAGTCTGAGTTTCTATTAAAATGAGACAGGTGCATGACTGAAGGGAGTTCAGGCAGAAGTCTTATGAAGACTGGTAAAGAGAAACTTTTTCAAGTAGAGAAAGAGAAGCCAACAACTGTGAAATTAAAGCAGCAGTGAGGTTCCAGAGTTGTGATGGAATAAAAACGATACAAGTTTGCTATTGCCCCCACAATCCTTTTAAACATATAAACTTCATGTGAAGATGTAATTGTCATAAAAGCTGATACTAACTCTTAAAAACATTACCACATTTTTATTGGATTAAAGAATATAATGTTGGACCAGGTAAGGTGGCTCCTGCCTATAATGTCAGCACTTTGGGAAGCAGAGGTAGGAGGATCATTTGAGGCCAAGAGTTCAAGACCAGCCTGGGCAACACAGTGAGACCCCATTTCTATTTTTGAAAAATAAGTTTTTTTAATTAGTAAACAGAATACAACTTTGTTTAAGGCCAATACGATTTTCTCAAAAAAAAAAAAAAAAAAGAAAAAATCTTCCAATCACATGCTAGGGTCTGAGAAGTCTTCAGAGAACTGTTAGTGAAAAATGCTTAAAGAAGACTTTCCTTTGTATATTTGAAAATTGGAAATGGAAATAGGAATAGGAAGCAAAACAATATGTTACTTTAAGGGTTGATAAATATAATAAAAATATTGTATTTTTAGATTATTTTCTAGTTTATTTTCACTGTCTATATGCTTTACACCATGCTAAGCACTTGGCATATTTTATCTCTTTATGCTTACAAGATGTCATTGGGTAAATTCTCTTATTATCTTGTCAATTTTGCAGATAAGCCATCTGAGCTATGCAAAGTTGGTTGACTTTCCCAAGGTCACACAGCTAGAAAGTGGTAAAGCCAATGTTGGAACCCAACAGCTTGACTCGAGTTCAGACTCTGCAAAATGTTTTTTCTTGAAAAGCATTACACAAAAGATAAGGAAAATGCAAATAATTTTTAACAACAGATGTGGTATAATTTTTTTCAAAGACTAAACATAGAATACTCAGAGCTCTTTTTTTTCCCCTCCAATTTTTAGTGATGCGAAGTTTGCAATGGTAGCCTACCTAAAAGGTAGTGCTTAAATAAAGGCTGTTACAATCTCATTGGATTTTACTTCATATATTAAGTCAGGATCATTACAACAGGATTCTAGAAATCTCAACGTATCAGGCAGAGGACATTCAGAGGAAATGCGTCTTAAAATGATCAAGTAGGAAGACTGGGAATGGGGAGACTTGGGTTCTGGTCTTAGAAACCTGAGGAGAGATTCTGGAAAAAGATCCACAGTTATGAAGCAGCAGGTGGTACGAGTTGCATATTGCCCCTCAGCTTCTTTGGGAACCTCAAACATGGACAGTAAGTTAGGGAGCATGACATTTTTTGTACAAAAGAAAAAAGAGAAATCGGGCCAGGTGCAGTGGCTCACACCTGTAATCCTAGCACTTTGGGAGGCCTAGGCGGGCAGATCACTTGAGGTCAGGAGTTCAAGACTGGCCTGGCCAACATAGCAAAACCCTGCCTCTACTAAAAATACAAAATATTAGCTGGGCATGGTGCCCCGGGCTTGTAGTCCCAGCTACTTGGGAGGCTGAGGTGTGAGGATCGCTTGAACCTGGGAGGCAGAGGTTGCAGTGAGCCGAGATTGCACCACTGCACTCCAGCCTGGGTGACAGAGCGAGATTCTGTCTCTCTCAAAAAAAAAAAAAAAAAAAAGAGAGAGAGAGAGAGAGAAAACCAGACACTGTATACTGTAGCAATTATAGACTCTGAATTCAGAATCCCTTGAGTTTGCCATTTTCTAGCAGTATGAACTGAGACAAATTACTGAATTGTTCTGTGCCTCCACTTTCTCATCTGTAAAACAGTGATAATAAGAGTACTTACTTCCAAGGGATATTATGAAGATTAATTGAGTCAATAAGTATAAAGTGCTTAGAACAAAGCCTGCCACATATATGTGTATGCTAGGTTACTATTACTATACACATTATTATTATATATTATTATCATAGAATGGAAGATGGATGGGTGCAAAAAACTATCAAGAAGAGTAGGTATTGGTTATTTAGTGACTAAATCATCAACCCAGGAAAAAGAATATCTGTTTTGGTTGTACAAGGACATAGATGAATCAAGGTAAGATTTCCTTTTGCCAGGCACTGACAGGAACATATAGTAAATCCTATAGCTATATTTAGGACATGAGATACAACCCTAAGCATTGTGCAAACTCTGCACAATAATAATAAACCCTCTTTCTGCGTTACCAACACTGAGAAAGGGTGTTCAAAGGAAGGTTATTAATGATCTCTCCTTGCCTCTCCTGCCTTTCTGAAGACTTTTGCAAGACCTGTGGGGTTTGTTAGGGTTTCCAAACTTCTTCCCAGGAAGTCTGAAATGGGTGCTGCTAGGAGTTGCTGTATAATTACTTACTTGATTCCCTCTAAGGAGCTTACGCTAAGAATTGAGGAAAGAAAGCAGATTAACCATTTGAATACATGCCACGGCCCATCCACAAGCCCTCCCCTCACTCCTCCGTAAATGGGGGCTTCCACATTCCCCACCCATCAACCCCAATATGTGATCCAGGAAAATCAATTTATTGCTTTGGCTAATCCTACAACAATAGGGGTTTCATTTTCATTGTAGGGCAATTAAGTTGTCCGACGGGAGGGAAGGAGCAGGAGGGGAAAGGGGGGACTCTCCCATCCCCACAGACAGATTAGTCCCTGCGGTGGCAGCAGCGTCCCCTCTGTCTGTCTGGTGGTCGGTCACACGCAGCTCCCGGCTGCTACCTAGCAACGCAAAGCCAGGGGGAGAGCTCGCCGGTTCCAGCCTCCTCCTCGCCCTTCCCATTCATCCTCGGCCGGGTCTCTGTCTCTCTGTCTCTCTCTGTCTCTCTCTGTCTCTCTCTGTCTCTCTCTCTCTCTCTCTCTCTCTCCCTCTCTCTCTCTCTCTCTGTCTCTCTCCTCTCTCTCCTCTCTCTCTCTCTTCTCCCGCCCCAGTCGTTCTCTTCCCTCCTTCTTTCCTTATTCCTATTTGCTTCTCTTACGCTCTCTCCTCTTCCCTTCTTACTAGTTTTATTCTCTCCGCTTCTTTCTCCCTCTCTTTCCCTCTTCTCTGTTTCTGTTAAAACATAAACTATCGGACAACTTGAGAGAAGTTTAAAGCACTTCATACTAGAAACTTTCTGCATTCGATCCCCAAAACTCTGGCCATGCAGACGGGCCCCATTCATCAACACAAAAGCCCCCAGCTCCCAGCTGGAAAGGAAAACTTCAAGAAAAGACTCCAGTCCCTCAGCCACTCTCTCGGCCAATCCCACCTCCCGGCCTTATCTTGGCTCGTAAATGATCTGTATGGTGAGAGCGGTCTCTGGGGGTCACCGCGGGACCAAGTTTCGCCGGTGGTGGGAGGAGTGCTCTGGCCCGCGGCCCTGGGCGCGCGAAGGGATCCCGGGAGGGGCGCTGCAGGTGGAAAGCTGCGCTCTGAGCAGAGCCCGGGACCGCGCCGCCCAGCAGAGAACTCCGCTAGGGAGGGCAGGCTGCAAACGGCGGAGAACCTCGTTCTCCCGCAAAGTGCTTTCCAGGAGCATCGGACCAACGCCCGTGGGAACAAAGACAGGGTCTCCGTGGGGTGCGCTGTCACCGAAACTGGCGGGGCTGCTTTCTCAAGTTTGCTGCCGCTCAGTTCCTGGCGAGCGAAGAGGGGCGCTCCCGCTCCGGCTTCGCGAAGCAACCTGAGCGCCCCACCGGGAGCAGCTCCCGCGCCGCCGCCCGGCCCTAGCCCCTGCCCGGACGCTCTCCCCTCCGGCCTCCCGCGGACCCGACCCTGCCACAGCCGGGGAAGTGGGGGCTCCACGAGAGGCTCTGGCTGGGCTCTTACCTTGGCCACTGGCCGGCGCTAGGCAGGCGACGAGAGCCAGGAGCAGCGTGCACGCCACTGCTGCCGGCCCGCGATCCATCTCCGCGACGGTCCCCGGCCTCGCCGTTCCTTCCCCGGGAGGTGGGCGCGCGTAGCACACCGCACCGGCAGCGCCTCTGCTAGCGAACGCTCCTTTAGGTCTGCACCTCCGCCAGCTCCTAGTGGCCAAAAGCCTGCCCCCACGCCCGAGGCATCCCGTTTTCTACCCGCGCCAGTCCCCACCCTCCAGACAGTGCATAAAGCCCTTTAGACCCGACCGCCCCGGAACAAGCATGCGGGAATCCAGCGGGCAGGCCCCCTGCCGCCCGGCCCGCCCCCTGCACTTTGCAGCGCGGGGAGGAGTGGGCACTCGAACACACGCGTGCTCACACAGGGACACTCACACAGGCGTGTGCACACTCACACACGCACTCATACAGGCGCATGCACTCCTAAGTGTCACACCAACTGACACAGATTCACTCATACACGCCAGTCACACACGCGCGCACATTCCACAGTCACACTTCAACGCCGACATACACAGTCCCCTTTACGCGTGCATACAAGAGCACACTCCTGTGCGCACACTCTCACAGGCACACTCACACGTGCACACGCGCTGCCCTCGCCTCTCCGCAGGGTTTGCCCCGCACAGAAGCCGGCGAGGCGGCTCACGGGGAAATCTGCACGGACGCAGTTTTACTAAATGAGCAATGGAAAGAAATGGACGAGGAGGAAAGTCAAGAATAGAGAAGAGAAAGAAAAAATAAGAAATGGAAAAGGAAAGCACAACCAGACAAGTAAAAATGAAGGAAAGAGAAAGAAAGGGAAAGAGGCGGGGGTAGGGAAGGGAAGGAGTAAAGAGCCTGCTGGATGGAGATCTGTGACCTTCATTCCTGGCCTGATCTCTCTAGGCTCCTTCGGATATCTTGGTTTCCCCTGATAGGATACAGGCTGCTGAGATGGGGTGCTTTGTGTTTTTACAAATTAGAGAGGGAGGTGGATCTTTGTTGGGGAGGTTGGATCCTTATTTAGCAATTATTCAGCACCACATCTACAGGTGTCATGGCCAGATCGTGCTTCTTACAAGTCTGCTCATTTTGAAGCAAAATTGAAAAAGAGCGAACGTCTTCTCCATGGTTCCGGTACCCTTTTATAAGAAGGAGAAACACGAGAGGTTCAGGGAACCCCTAGCCTCCCTTCTTTGGGGCCGCTTTGGACAGGCTGGCAAGGGGCCCGGAAGCCAAAAGCACAAGTGGCCTTACACCCGCCCTCAGCGCACGTCCTCAGCCTGTACGTGACATCAGAGCCCACAGGGAGGGGTAAAAAAGGAGGGTTGATGCAAGTTATTTCCCGGTGGTGGGAACCCTGTGTGAGAAGGGGCTGTTTGCGGGCCTGAGGCCATCCCATCATCTCCAGCTCCAGCCCCTGAACCAGCGCGGCAGCTAGTCCCAGGCTCCGGATCCTGGTCCAAGAAGTCAGGAGCCCTTTCCCTCCAGCGAAGGGGCCGTGACGCATGGAGGAGACAGCCCTGAACGCACGTGGTCGCTGGACAGGTTCCCGCTGCCTCCCTTCCCCAGGGGCGAGAACCTGCCAATTACTGCCAGCCCCTTTCCCCGGGGCACAGGTCGTCCGGGGCTCTGCTGACCCCAACAGTCCGGATCGCGTAGCTTCCGTGGGCTGCAGTGGTAGGCGCAGCTTTAGGTGTGGGGGCTAGGGGAGGGAAAGGATAGGTGTTACTTTGGAAAGACAAAAAGAGATAAATAGACACAAAAAGAGAAAACTTAGGCTTAAAGAAAAAAAGGTGGAGCGGGCAGCGTTGTGGGAAAGAGTGGGAGAGATTCCTGGATTGGGAAATCCAGAGGTCTGTGCTCTGGCCAAAGTCACTGGTTCTCTATTTGCCTCCCTGCATAGTGTTGGGCGCTGTGCGGCGCGGAGGAGACAGGACTGGGGACAGGAGAGCCGGGGTCTGGGGAGGGAGGGGGCGACCGGACCGGAGCGGGAGGAGGGAGGCGGCGAGGGGGCTTGATGCTGCACTCCAGTCTTCGCGGGTGATTTATGCCGGTTCCGGGCGGCCGAGGCGATGGTACGAGACCGCGCCGGGGTCAAGCCGGTCCGACGCCCGCTGGGGCCGCGCTGCATAGTCAATGAGCGTCCCCGCACCTCCGACTTACAAAGAGCGGCCGCCGGCTGGCGGGAGGGAGGAGCGCGAGTGCGGGAGGGGCTGGGCTCCCTCCAGTGCGCCCGTGGGCGCGCAGGCGCGAGCGTGTGTGTGTGTGTGTGTGTGTGTGTGTGTGTGTGTGTGTGTGTGTGTGTGTGTGTGTGCCCTTTCACTGTAGCAGCCAGGGCTCCAAACATTCCTTTCTGTACTGAAGAGTTCCTCAATTGTTGTTGTCTTTGTGCTCCAGTGTTGCCAACTTACTGGAATTCCTGACGTGGTTGCACAGCAGGGCTCAGGCTGACCGTACTAGCCAGCTGCGTTTGTGTATGGGGCCGACCCCGCCGTTAATCCCAGAATAACGCAGAAGAGGGGAAAGGAGGGAGGGAGAACGGGAGGTAGGAGAGCAGAAAAGGGGTAGGGATGGGGGACCACCTAGCGGAGCACAGCCCATCATTCGCAGCACTCTGTATGTGGACCCACACACTTTTCCACTAGAATAACCCATTTTCTCAATGCAATCCCCAATTCGTGACGTTTGAAAACAGCCTGCACCATGCACGTGTTTATCTCTGGCATCCATACCTGAGAATGCCTGTTACTAGATTGGGGTGATTAAATCTATGGACCAGTATCTGGGAAAGCCCAGGTTAATTCAGTTGCAATTTAAGCCAGCAGTGTTTCTCTATAATGCAAAAAGATAATTTCTTTAGTTTTCACATTTCTCTCTCCATATATGTATATAGGACTTTTCAGAGCAGTCAACCGAAAGAGACAGGTGAAAGTGAAACCAAGAAGCTTCAGCACCACCATTGCCCCAGAAGCCAAGCTGAAATTTACATCATTCTTGACTCCTTCTTTTTTCCACCCCCATTGCCAATCAATCATGAAATTCTGTTACCTCAAATTTATCAATCCACTCATCAATCTAAATTATAGGGAGAGCCTTAGAATGAGCTCCTTGCTATCAGTTTTGCCCCCTCCCATCTACTTTCCATTTGGCAACCAGACAATTCAACTTGGTAGTTCTATCAAACTAGTGCTTGCAAACAGAGGTAATTACTTTTTAGAGGGTAATGAAATCAATTTAGCAGGTCAAGGCAAGAATTATATTCAAATGAAATATAACAACATAGAAACCAAAATAACTTTCATGTGGAAAAGATATGTATAACTTTATAACACTACTGTTTCTGTGTGTGTGTGTGTGTGTGTGTATGTGTGTGTTTCCTCCTGAGTGCCTCCTGAGTTTCCTCCTGAGAGCCAACTGCCCCCTGAACAGCTCCAATCCAATGTCCTAAGGCCTCAAACTCAGCAGGATGGAGCCCAAACCAATACACACACACACACACACACACACACACACACACACTGTGTCGCCATGTAAAATATATTTCTCATATGCATCTCAGCCAAAAAAGTTTAAAGTATCTCCCCACAAATTACTTATTCATTAAAAAGGGAAAAAGTGACTTTAAGCAGAAAAATATGTCAGATATTTTAATATGTTTCATTATTATTTAAATATGATAAAGTCAACAGACCAAAAGATAACTGCCATTGAAAATATAGTTTGTTATATTCACAGATCCCAAGAGAAGGAGTACACATCTTGCCTCAAGGGACCACACAGGGAAGCAGAGGGCAAGGGGAGAAGTGTGGGCAAGCTCCTTTACTATGGTTTCCACCTAAAGGAACAGACAAGGCAGAGTAAGCAGGTTTAGGACTGACTAATTTGTATTTATAAAACAAGCAGGAGGTCAAAGCAAGATGACTAATATGTCAGGCATATTAACAGATTATCTAGAACAAAGTGTATATGGCATGTGCATGCAGGACAGATGTTAAACATGAAGTTTAGGCCCAGCACAGTGGTTTATGCCTGTAATCCCAGCACATTGGGAGGTTGAGGCAGGAGAATCACTTGAGGCTTGAGCCTAGGAGTTGGAGGCTGCAGTGAGCTATGATCACATCACTGCACTCCAGTGAGAACCTGTCTCTCTCTCCCCTATATATATTAAGGCATTATATTTATAGAAGCTAGAAATGTGGTAAATACAATAGGCTCTACATTGAACCAAGGAATCAAAGTCAACACAACAATCAAAACTAATATGAGGCAAACTGACATCATGTTCCTCCTGGTGTGACACACTCTGAAGGACACAGCAGCACTTCTGTGGTATTACTGTGCATGCCCCAAATCTAAGCATGAGAAAACATCAGTCAAACCAATGTTTTCTCATTTTTTAGAATGTCCAAACTAAGGGACATTTAAGTACTAAAGTACAGTATTTGCAGTATATTTTGTATACTTCAAAAATGGCAAGGTCATAAAAGATAAAGAAAGGCTGAGATATGCAGTTTAGAAATATGCAGTGCATGACCCTAGGGTGGATCTTGGACTGGGAAAAAAGTATCTCTAGAGGATGTTATGGGGAAAATCAGATATGCATGCCCTCAGAACTCTCTTTACTTCCCTCAGCCCAGCACTTGTCACATTTGTTGTGTTCCCATGGCCTTCTCAAAATTCTTCTCCCTCTGCAACCAGAATAATCTTTTTTAGTCATTATGCCAACCATACACTTGCCTGATTACAACCTTTCAATCACTTTTCCATTTTTCCACAATAAAATGAAAAATTTTTAGCATAGCCTACAAACCCTTGCATGATTGGGCCTTTGACAATATCTCAAACTTTACTTGACAGTTCAGCCACCCTGGCCTCCACTTGGTTCTTCGAACATGTACTACGTGCTTTCGCAGCCTTGAAGGTGAGATTAAGATACGTAGGTAACCCTCCCAAGACTAAACCAGGAAGAAGTTGAATCCCTGAATAGACCAATAACAGGCTCTGAAATTGAGGCAATAATTAATAGCCTACCAACCAAAAAAAGTCCAGGACCAGATTGATTCACAGCCAAATTCTACCAGAGGTACAAGGAGGAGCTGGTACCATTCCTTCTGAAACTATTCCAATCAATAGAAAAAGAGGGAAACCTCCCTAACTCATTTTATGAGGCCAGCATCATCCTGATACCAAAACCTGGCAGAGACACAACAAAAAAAAAGAGAATTTTCGACGAATATCCCTGATGAACATTGATGCAAAAATCCTCAATAAAATTCTGGCAAACTGAATCCAGCAGCACATCAAAAAGCTTATCCACCATGATCAAGTGGACTTCATCCCTGGGATGCAAGACTGGTTCAACATACACAAATCAATAAATGTAATCCAGCATATAAACAGAACCAAAGACAAAAACCACATGATTATCTCAATAGATGCAGAAAAGGCCTTCGACAAAATTCAACAGCCCTTCATGCTAAACAATCTCAATAAATTAGGTATTGATGGGATGTATCTCAAAATAATAAGAGCTATTTATGACAAACCCACAGCCAATATCATACTGAATGGGCAAAAACTGGAAGCATTCCCTTTGAAAACTGGCACAAGACAGAATGTCCTCTCTCTCCACTCCTATTCAACATAGTGTTGGAAGTTCTGGCCAGGGCAATCAGGCAGGAGAAAGAAATAAAGGGTATTCAATTAGGAAAAGAGGAAGTCAAATTGTCCCTGTTTGCAGATGACATGATTGTATATTTAGAAAACCCCATCGTCTCAGCCCAAAATCTCCTTGAGCTGATAAGCAACGTCAGCAAAGTCTCAGGATACAAAATCAATGTGCAAAAATCACAAGCATTCCTATACATCAATAACAGACAAACAGAGAGCCAAATCATGAGTGAACGCCCATTCACAATTGCTTCAAAGAGAATAAAATACCTAGGAATGCAACTTACAAGGGATGTGAAGGACCTCTTCAAGGAGAACTACAAACCACTGCTCAATGAAATAAAAGAGGATACAAACAAATGGAAGAACATTCCATGCTCATGGGTAGGAAGAATCAATATCGTGAAAATGGCCATACTGCCCAAGGTAATTTATAGATTCAATGCCATCCCCATCAAGCTACCAATGACTTTCTTCAAAGAATTGGAAAAAACTACTTTAAAGTTCATATGGAACCAAAAAAGAGCCCACATTGCCAAGACAATCCTAAGCCAAAAGAACAAAGCTGGAGGCATCACGCTACCTGACTTCAAACTATACTACAAGGCTACAGTAACCAAAATAGCATGGTACTGGTACCAAAACAGAGATATAGACCAATGGAACAGAATAGAGCCCTCAGAAATGATACCACACATCTACAACCATCTGATCTTTGACAAACCTGAGAAAAACAAGAAATGGGGAAAGGATTCCCTATTTAATAAATGGTGCTGGGAAAACTGGCTAGCTACATGTAAAAAGCTGAAACTGGATCCCTTCCTTACACCTTATACAAAAATTAATTCAAGATGGATTAAAGACTTAAACGTTAGACCTAAAACCATAAAAACCCTAGAAGAAAACCTAGGCAGTACCATCCAGGACGTAGGCATGGGCAAGGACTTCATGTCTAATACACCAAAAGCAATGGCAACAAAAGCCAAAATTGATAAATGTGATCTAATTAAACTAAAGCGCTTCTGCACATCAAAAGAAACTACCATCAGAGTGAACAGGCAACCTACAGAACGGGGGAAAATTTTTACAATCTACCCATCTGACAAAGGGCTAATATCCAGAATCTACAAAGAACTCAAACAAACTTACAGGAAAAAAACAAACAACCCCATCAAAAAGTGGGCAAAGGACGTGAACAGACACTTCTCAAAAGAAGACATTTATGCAGCCAACAGACACATGAAAAAATGCTCATCGTCACTGGCTGTCAGAGAAATGCAAATCAAAACCACAATGAGATACCATCTCACACCAGTTAGAATGGTGATCATTAAAAAGTCAGGAAACAACAGGTGCTGGAGAGGATGTGGAGAAATAGGAACACTTTTACACTATTGGTGGGACTGTAAACTAGTTCAACCATTGTGGAAGTCAGTGTGGCGATTTCTCAAGGATCTAGAACTAGAAATACCATTTGACCCAGCCATGCCATTACTGGGTATATACCCAAAGGATTATAAATCATGCTGCTATAAAGACACATGCACACGTATGTTTACTGCAGCACTATTCACAATAGCAAAGACTTGGAACCAACCCAAATGTCCATCAATGATAAACTGGATTAAGAAAATGTGGCACATATACACCATGGAATACTATGCAGCCATAAAAAAGGATGAGTTCATGTCCTTTGTAGGGACATGGATGAAGCTGGAAACAATCACTCTCAGCAAACTGTCTCAAGGACAGAAAACCAAACACCGCATGTTCTCACTCATAGGTGGGAATTGAACAATGAGAACACATGGACACAGGAAGAGGAACATCACACAATGGGGCTTGTCGTGGGGTGGGGGGAGGGGGGAGGGATAGCATTAGGAGATATACCTAATGTAAATGATGAGTTAATGGGTGCAGCACACCAACATGGCACATGTATACATATGTAACAAACCTGCAGGTTGTGCACATGTACCCTAGAACTTAAAGTATAATTTAAAAAAAAGATACGTAGGTCAGAGAGGCAGAGGTCATGGAGTTGCCTCAGTTCCTTACGGCTCTCTAGATCTAGATCCTAACCTAGCGTATCCTTACAAAAATTCCCCCTTTTGCTTGAATAAGCTTGAATTGACCTCTGCCCTTTGTAAAACAGAGCTAGACTGAAATGATCAACAATTGCTAAGAAGACATCATAAGGCATCTCACCTACTAGTCAGCTCCAGTATTTATAATACTTTTTTCTTGAAGCCTTTTTAAAAATAGCAATAATAACTTTGGACTCACCAGCCTGAGGACCAGGTTCTGAGCCATAAATTAACAGCATATCTCTGGTGTGCAGCCAGGGCCAGGAAAGCCACAGCAAGATCTGAAAGGACAGCCAGTGCAACAGACATATTTTCCACAAACAGAAATGAAGACACCAGGTATAATATCACAAGGGAATCCTCTTGGTTTGCAAATAAAGTTATATGACAAGTCTTGGCAAAGGTTTAAAGAAACAACAGAGACTCTAACAAGTCTCACTGATTGAAAAAAAGTTAAATAAAATTAAGGCTTTCCAACAACAACAACAAAAAATCCAGGATATAAAGACACCATTGCAGGAAGACCTGGGATTCAGTTACCTGGGGCTAAGGCCATCACAAATGCTGCCATCAGTCCAGGATCACTAGCACCAGAGTCAAGACCCTGTGCAGGGAGATTTCAGAGTACACAGTAAGGAAGCCTAGGAATAAAGTTAAGAAAGTCAAAATTGTTAACCATACTACATTTAAATTCTTCTCTCTCAAGAGCAGTTTATGCCAGTAAAGATCAGTGAAAACATCTGGCTAGATGAGTCTTGATGGCCAGAAGACCAAGATGATTCCATCAGTCTCACTGTTCCTCTTTTATCTCAGAGACTGAAAAAGTGCTAAAGGTATAGAAAGACATATGATAAGGAGTAGTATATGCAGGAAGAAAACACCTTTGTTTAGTCAGAATGCACATAGGATCCTTCAAGTGAAATCAATGAGGACAATTACTTCAAGGTCACCATTACTTGTAAATCCAGTCTTTGGTGTTCACAGGTTTGGGAACGTGCACCAGAATTCAGCCAAGCTCCCTATCAAAGGAGTCAGGTCTATCTTTTTCACCACCAAATCCCCAGAACCTGGCAAAAGGCCCAATACATGGCAGGTCCTCAGTAAATGTTTGGTGAATGAATAAATGAAATAAGACAGCACAAAGTCTACATTTGGCTTTTGGCATTTCAACCAAATCAGAATCTAGATATTGAACAGACTTCACAGGATACAATTTATGCTGAAGTGATCTTGAGATCTTGAGTACCATGGAAAAACATCCTCAGGGTGTTTCAATTTGAATTTCTCCTTAGTCATACTTGCCTTCAGGACCTACAGTTAACTTTGCAACGTGAGTTGAAATAGAGCAGTGTTTCTCTAATGTCCGTAGAGGACATTTGGCAATATTTGGAGACATTTTTAATTATCACAACTGAGGAGTCCTGCTGTCAACTAGTGGGTAGAGGCCAGGGTTGCTGATAAAACATCCTGCAATGCACAGAACAGACCCCAGAACAAAGCATTATCTGCCCTCAAATTTCAATAGTGCAAGGTTAAGAATCCCTGAAATAGAACAATAGAATTTTAAATATTTTGAGAACAAAGTATTTAAGTTGGATTTCAGACCTAGAGCTCAAGAACAAAATCATAAAATGCATTTAGAAACCACTTCTGCTAATTTCCTTTTTCTAGTACTGGACAGTACAGTGGGCAAAGGACTATAATTCTGTAGATCAAAGTCCAGTCAAAAGAAACAGACATATCTCACTTTCAAGTGGGAGCTGAACAATGAGAACCCATGGACCCAGGGAGGGGAACAACACACACGGGGGCCTGGTGGGTGGTGGGGGGCAGGAGGAGGGAGGGCAACAGGATAAATAGTTAATGCAAGCTGGGCTTAATACCTAGATGATGGGTTGACAGGTGCAGCAAACCACCATGGTACACGTTTACCTATGTAACAAACCTGCACATCCTGCACATGTATCCCAGAACTTAAAACGAAATAAAAAAGAAACAGACATAAGATGCAGCATGCCAAGAAGCATTTCAAAATAGAGAAGCTGCATATTGGTTCCTACGCTTCAGTGATGTTAAAATGCAAACTAAACAAGAAAAATATTTCTTTCCCCTCTCCTCTCTGGTTGAACAACTGCTATTTCTTCCTCAAGCCCTACCTCAAATGTTTCCTCTTTGGTGGCGAAACCTCCTCCAACTCTCCCAGAGCACCTCTTTCTTTTCTATAATCCTATCCCACGAAACACTTACCTTCATTAGGATTCTCAACATGTGAAATAAATTCTTTGATTACTTTTATGTGTCCCCCAATAAACTTTGTACTTCATGGTCTTCTTTTTTAAAATAAACTTTTTAATTGTAGAATAGATTGACTGAAAATTACAAAGAGAGTCCAGAGAATTCCCATATATCCCACACCCAGTTTAGCCTATTATTAACATTTTAAATGAGTATGGTACATTTGTCACAATTAATGAGCCATTATTATGAATTAGAGCACATGGTGTGTTCAGATTTCCTTCGTTTTTTACCTAATGTACTTCTACTGTTCCAGGATCCCATCCAGGGTACCACATATATTTAGTCAGCCTATCTCCTTAAGCTTCTCTTGGCTGTGACGGTTTCTTGGGCATTCCTTGTTTTTGATGACCTTGACAGTTTTGAGGAGTACTGGTCAGGTATTTTGCATGACGACCCTTACTTGGGATTTGTCTGATGTTTTTCTCGAGATTATATTGGAGTTATGGGGCTTTGGGACAAAACCAGTAAGAGCCATTCTCCTCATATTAAATCAATGGTAGATATTATCAATATGACTTAAGTCATGATTTAGGATAAATTTATATCAACCTTGATCACCTGGCTGAAGTTGTGTTTGTCAGTTTTCTCCATTGAACAGTCACTCCGTTTTCTTCCTTTTCATTCTGTACTCTTCAGAAGGAAGCCACTATGTGCAGCCCACAGTTAAGAACTGGAGAGCTGTGCTCCTCCTCCTTGCAGACACAGTGAAGGAATTCTTCTGCATGGATAGATTTGTCTGTTTGTTCCCATTTATTTATTTATTTAATCATATATTTATGTCAACATAGAATCATGGATATGTATTATATAGTTTGGATTATAACCCAATACTACATTATTTTATTGCTCAAATTGCTATAGCCTTGGCCGTTGTGAGCTCTCTCAGTTGGCTCCTGGGTCCCTTTGACATACCCTCATTATTGTGGGGTTTGGGGGCATTTTATTTGTTTCATTGCTATTGTTTTATTTTGTATTTTAGCACTTGCTTGCTTTCCAGCACAGCAAGTTGCCCCAGGCTCATCTTCTGTATTCCCTGCACCAGTCATAAAGTCAAGATCTTCTTTTTATTCTTCATTTCACGAAGAATGAAAATAATAACCAAAATTTACTGAACATTCACTATGTGCCAAATATAAGCTAAGAATCTGGCATGCATATACTATCTGACATTAAACAAAATTCCAACTAATTAGTATGTAATCTACAGACCTTGTTTGTATTGAATTGCCTGGGGAAATATATTGCCTGGGGAAACATTTTATCCTTTAATTTTAGGATGGGAAAGCCTGCCTAAGTAAGGCATGAATGCTACAATCCAAAATGGAAAGGGTTGCTAATTTTGTCTATATAAAAATCAAATGATTATGTAAGGCAAAAAACACCATGAACAATGTTCAAGGACAAACTGAGAAAATACGTTTTACATCTATGACCAAAAAAAGGTTAATGTTTACTAATATAAATAAATTCTTAGAAACCAGTAAAAAGTTGAGTATCCCACTAGAAAAATGATCTGCAAACACAGTAGGAGCTAACATTTATGTGGTGCTTATTAGGTGCTAGACACAATTCAAAGTGCTTTATGAATATAAACTTATTTAATCCTCACAGCAACCCTATGAAGTAGGCACCGTAATTATTCCTATTTTACAGATAAGGAAACTGAGCCCAGAAATGTTGGTTGTGATTTTTCCCAAGATCACATAGCCTGTTAGCAGCAAACCTGGAATTGGAACCCAATCTGATCAGCTCCAGATTATCTAAGCTTGTACTATCCTTGAAAGTAGATCCATGGTACAAAGACTTGGATGTATGTAATTTACTGGGAAATAATTCCAAGGAGTAATAATGAAGGACCAGATAGAGTGAGATGGGGAAGAGGAAAAACTAGGTAGGAGTGCTATATTCATGACAGTTAATTTTGAAAATGCTTCTCAAAATCGTCCACTTGAGGATCATCTAGGAGTAGTATTTATTCACCAGCCCCCATCCCCTACTGGTTAGGAGTTCTCCTCAGGGCATCAATTTCTCTGTATCCTGGGGCATGCATGTGGGCTTCCTCAGCCCACCAGTGTTTACAGCACCAGGGAAGCTCTAGGGCAAAAAGTGACAGCACATCCCATGGGTACCTGGAGCATAATGCTTCCAGTATGAAGTCAGTTGAAGCCCCATTGAGGAGCCAAGTGACCAGAAGTTGTGATACTTTAATGTTCTGTGGTACTCACTGGTGGAATCATTCCACGTAGGAATCAGGATTTCAAATGCAGCAGAGCCTAAGATGTCAGGAATGAGAAGCAAATTCTTGAGCTGATGGTGGGAGGCACCAATCTTTCTTCCACTTTTGGGGACAACGTATCATATATCTACTATATGCCACATCCTAGAGGACAACACTCTAATCTCACCAGTTTTGTCCTTGAACTGGTGATTTAAATGAGAATTTATCATTCCATCTCTCTATTTATGTGGCTGTTTCTAGGAATGAGGTATAAGTAACACCAACACATTCCGAGATCATATACTGATGTTACACTTCCTTCACTGTAAATGCATTGCTTGTGAAAGCAAACTCATATTCAGAGTATTTGTCTATTCTAGTATGGACAAGTCACTTCTCCCTTCATATGGAAAGGGTCTGATGTAATCAACATTCGACCAAAAAACGGATTTTCCTGTTTCTTCTCATGTCTGCATTGGAAATTTGTCCTTTCCTGGGAATTTTTCCATTTCACCAAAATTTTCAAATATATTGCCATCAATTTGTTCATTATATTCTCTTATTATCCTTTGGGGATCTGTACGATTTATAGTATTATCTCTCTTTTCATTGGTGTATTGGCTATTTGCTGTCTTTTCTCTCTTTTCTTTAGAGTATTGTCAATTTTGTCAATCTTTTCAAAGAACCATTGTTCTCATTCAATTATATTTTTGTTTTTTGTTTTTTGAGACAGGGTCTTGCTCTGTTGCCCAGGCTGTAGTGCAGTGGCATGATCACAGCTCACTACAGCCTTGGCATCCCAAGGCTCAAGCAATCCTCCCTCCTCAGCCTCCAGAGTAGCAGGGACCACAGGTGCATGCCACCACACTCGGCTAATTTTTAAATTATTTTTGGTATAGACACAGTCTCACTATGTTGCCCAGGCTGGTCTTGAAATCCTGGGCTCAAGTGATCCTTCCACCTTGGCCTCCCAAAGTTTTGGGATTACAGTCATGAGCCACAGCACCCAGCCCTATTTTTGCTTTATATTTCATTTATACCTTTTGTTTTATTATTTCTTTCTTCCTACTTACTTGGGATTTATATACCGTCAACTCTATCTATTAAATTTTCATTTCAGTCATTACATTTTCAGGCCCAAAATTTCTATTTGAATTATTTTTAGAGAGTGCAGTTCTCTTGTGAAATTCTCCATTTTGTCATCTATTTTCTTGAACATGGCAATCATGATTATTTTACTTTTATGGGGTTTTTTTGTTTGTTTTTTAAGAGGTCGGTTCTCACCCTGTTACCCAGGCTGGAATGCAGTGGTGCAATCATAGCTCATTGTAAGCTTGAACTCCTGGTCTTAAGCGATCCTACCACCTCAGTCTCCTGAGTAGCTAGGAATACAGGCAAGCACCACCAAACCTGGCTAATTTTTTAATATGTTGTAGAGATGGGGTCTCACTATGTTGCCCAGGCTGGACTCAAACTCAATGATCCTCCCATGTCAGCCTCCCAAAGCATTGGGATTAAAGCCACGAGTCACCACCGCTGGCCTATTATGTTTATTTTAAAGTCTGTACCTGATAACTCTTGGATATGGATTGTCTCTGTCTGTTGTTTTTGTTTCTGGTCCTTTTATCCAAGGTTCTGGTATGCCTGGCAAATTTTAATTGAATAATTTCCATTGGATATGAAAAGTTATATAGGCTTTGGATGATGCTATCTTCTCTAAAGAGGATTTCTTTTTCTTCAAGCAGGCAGTTAGAATAGAGGCAAATCCTTGATCCAGTCAGAATGAGTTGTCTCAGGGCTGGGTTCCAGTCTTTGAGAGCTGAACTATTTCTGGTTTATCCTTACTCCTAGGAAACAGGTATTCAGGTATCTCAGTGGAAACATGGAATGTGGCCCAGGATTGTGTCTCTTCCTCATTAGGCTCTGAATTCCAGTGTTTAGCTCACCAGCACCATGATACTTTCGAAAGCTCTGATTAATCTTTTAACATCTTGATTTGCACATTCTATTAGTAATGTTGCTTACACATTTTAAGTTCCTTGAGGAAAAAAGTAGCAGAGAATTTTAGACTTATCTTAACTTTCTTCTCTCTCTCCTAAATCTTGGTCTCTCAAGTGCTGGATGTCTCGTTGCTTTCCAATGCCTTTATTTATTTTTTTTAATTTATTTTTTTTTTTTGATATGGAGTCTCGCTCTGTCACCCAGGCTGGAATGCAGTGACACAATCTCGGTTCACTGTACTCTGCCTCCCGGGTTCAAGCAATTCTCCTGCCTCAGCCTCCCAAGTAGCTGGGATTACAGGCGCCCGCCACCACGCCTGGCTAATTTTTGTATTTTTAGTAAAGACAAGGTTTCACCATGTTGGCCAGGCTGGTCTCAAACTCCTGACCTTAGATGATCCACCCACCTCGGCCTCCCAAAGTGCTGGGATTACAGGCGTTAGCCACCGTGCCCAGACTCCAATGCCTTCAAACAGTTCTTTTATATTTTAAATTAGTAAATATTTTTTCAGATAATTGTGGCTATTCTCTGATACTACAGCAAAACTTGATAAGTGGTAGTTTCTTAAAGGTTCATTGCAATATGGAATCTGAAACCATATCAATGAACTTTTTATCCTCAGTTATATTAAAGCCCATGGATCTATCTTTCATTTTAAATGGTTTTATAATATTATGCATTGGTCACTTGAAAATTATTAGTTTACTGTTAGCCAGTTCTTCTAAATGTTGATATATTTCATTACAGAATATTTTTGAAATCACATTTGTTAATATCATCACCAAACACAACAAAAAATTATTTAAGTATTGTGAAGCTATCACACTTCAAGTAGCAGATACGAGTTTTCCAAAATGCTAATTTATCAATTGAAAGCATAATATGTTCTGCCTAATGATTTCAATATATTCTGTTGTTACAGGAACCTCTTTAGTAACAAATATGCCAAAAACAAAACACTACTGTATTTGAATATATTGCAAGACAACATTTGGATAATGTGTCACAAAAGCTGTAAATAAAAATTTACCTAAAGTAGGCACGGTGGCTCACATCTATAATCCCAGCCACTCAGGAGGCTGAGGGGGGAGGCTCGCTTGAGCCCAAGAGTTGGAGGCTGCAGTTGAGCTATGATCGCACCACTGCACTTCAGCCTAGGCAACAGAGTGAGACCCTGTCTCTAAATAAATAAATAAATAAAATTTACCTATACTCTTCAAAATGTGTACATTCTGTCAGCATAAAAATGACAACTTTAAAGTAGTATTTAACCCTAGAAATACCGGAACCTGAAAGGCAAATTATGCTAAATAGGCCCAGGAGTTGGAGGCTGCAGTCACCTATGATGACACCACTGCACTTCAGCCTAGGTGACAGAGTGAGAGATCCTGTCTCTAAATAAATAAATAAATAACATTTACCTATACTCTTCAAAATGTGTACATTCTGTCAGCATAAAAATGACAACTTTAAAGTAATATTTAACCCTAGAAATACCTCAACCTGAAAGGCAAATTATGCTAAATAAAAAAGTTCGTTAACTATTCATATATGAACAAGAAGGAACAACAGAGAAAAGGCTTCCCATGGCTAGTGAGTGAAGACAGGAACCCAGATGAAAACCAGTCAACTGGTTTTCACTTTCTATTGTAAGTAGAGAATGGCTGCAGCTACAGAAGAAGAGAAAGACTGTTAGAACTAGAACCTTACAATTTAATACTGTTTAAAAAAACAACTTTATTTGCCTTTCATACAACCCTTATTTGTAAATTGGCTCTAACTTACTTGCCAGGTCATTTCAGTTATTAGAAATCTAAAAGGTTGGCTTATTATAAACATTAAACATTATTTTTCTCTTCATAATAATGTTTTAAAAATCAGTTTGCAAGGTAGCATATATTATATATACTATTCTGTTAAAGCACATATGTGTCGGGGGGTCTGTAGAGGGTGAGAAAGGTGTGTGGAATCAAGGCCAAAATTGTGCTCTACGTTCAATGTTCACTGAAACAGTAAGAGGCTTGCTCCAAATGGTAGACTTTGGGATGATTTTTTTAAAAACTTTTCTATATTGTTTAAATTATCTGCAGCAAACATGTTTTCTTTATGAAAAGAGAAAAAACAATTAAGCTACATTTACTGTCCATCAACTAGTTTCCAAAGTTTGTTTCATCACCTATATTACTCTTCATAGCTCAAGAACATTTAGGGAGTTTCCAATTTCCAATATTTGGGGAATTTTCAAAGTCACCAATAAGCTGGTAACACTGCCAGGACCCAAACACAGGTATTCTAAACTAGGGCTCATACTGTGTTCCTACTGGGTTTTGTTTATTTGTTTGTTTGTGGTATTTGTTTTGAGTTTGTTTTTTTCACTCCAACAGAAATCACAGTAGGGATTGACTTTTCCAGGACCCTTAAGGAATCTAAAACAAGCCCTTTCCCCAAAGTCCCTGGGTTGACATCTCATGACACCATCAAGCTTCTCTTGAAAGACCTGTAGGATGGACATTTTCCCCTTAAGATAACACCCTAAGTTTGCTAATTTGTTGTCATTTTCTGAAACCACAAGATCCTTCATTTGAATCTAGCCTATAATGAAAAAAAAATTGGGCACCTTAATGGAAGGAAAGAGTGAGAGTATTAATTCTTTTTCCCATTAGATAACAGATTGGCACTCGTCTTCAGCAATGGTGAATGCAAAAAAAATGTGAATGACAAAACCATGAAGTTCTCCATTTAGTTCTCAACAGACTACAACTGATCTTGGCCTCAAAATCCCCTTTCTTCTCTCCCCCTAGTTTATGACTGTCCTGACTCCATACTTCACAGCAATAGCAAATGTTAGTCAGCAAAGGCCCTCATCAACATGATCCAGCTTATGATTCTTCAGAAACATACTTTCAACGGGAAGAGCAAAGACTTTTTGTATGAGTAATGTCAGAATAAGTACAGAATCTGAGGTTTCTAATACATTTGCTTAGGTGTTAATATCTTTCATTCTACTTGTGTGTGCATCTTATATATTCTTCATGAGAAATAATTTATTTCTTTCAGAAAAAAAAAAACTTCTCAAAACTTTCGTAAGGCACAAAGACTTAGTTTTGTGACTCTTTACAGCGAAAACCCTGAATACGTAAAATCCTGAAGACAAGCTAGAAAGGACTTTTCAGATGGTTAAAGTTGTGATGCCCTGCATATAGCCTGTATACATTTACCAACTATCTATGTGACAGGCACAGAGGTTGGAGAAATTTGCCTATGTTTTTAAGGATTTATGACCTAATAATACAACACAGCCTGATAAATATAAGCAATGTATCCACAGAGTGTTAAAGGAGCATAAAGAGGGAACACTTAACTCTCCTTCGGGAGTAAAAAGGAAGGATTGGAGAAAAAAGTTATCTATAAACTGAATATTGAAAGGTAAATAATTAATATGGCTGACAGAGGAACAATGAATATAATAAAAGTCATTTATTTAGTGCATTATAGTTCTCGACAACTTTATTTAATAGATATTTTTATCTATCTATGATATCCTTGTCACATATTATTTATGTCAAAGTTCTTATCTTTTATATGTTTTTGGAGGCCAATGTTACAGACTCTAAAAAAAAATTTCATTGATACTTATTAGATATGTAACAGGCCCTAAAAAGTTAGGAGTCTTAGAAAATGGTAGCTCTGCAAAAAGACAGTTTAGAAACACCCTCTAAATATGTATGCACTAGGCATATTATTCAGTCCAAAATTCCCCCACCTATTCAGTAAATATTTTTTAACATTATTGGAAAATTTGAGACTCATAAAGTGATGGCTTTAATATATTATGATGATTTTAGCTTCTTACTAAATTTGGTAGATTTTCTAAACCTAGATAAAACAAAATGCAATGAATGAAATGGACAAATTCCTACAAGGACACTAACTACCAAAACTGACTCAAACAGAAATAGAAAATCTGAATAAACCTGTAACAAGTTAGGAGGGTGAACCAGTAATTAACAGCCTACCAACAGAGAAAATTCAATACTTTACTTGTGAATTCTAAGAAACATTTACAGAAAAATTAACGCCAATCATTCTCAAATGCTCCCAAAAAATTAAAGAGGAGAAAACATCTCCTAACTCATTCTGTGAGGCTAGAATTGTCACGAGACGTGAACCAGATAAGAAAAAAATACTATTAAAAAAAAGAAAATTATAGGCCAGAATGTCCCTTATGAATATAGATATAAAAATTATCCACAAAATACTAGCAAGCCAAATTTGGTAGCTTATTAAAAGGATTACATACCATGACCAGGTGGAATTTATCCCCAGAATGCAAGGGTGGCTTAACATTCAAAAATCAATCAATATAATACACCACGTTAAAAAAAGGAAGGGAGGGAAAAAAACAGCGTGATGATCTCAGTGGCTGCAAAAGAAGCATTTGACAAAATTTAACAATGTTCCATGACAAAACACTCAAGAAACTAGGAATAGAAAAGAACTTCCTCAACATGATAAAACTGATATAGGAAAAACTCACAGCTATCATCATACTCAATGGTGATAAAAACAAAAGCTTTTCCCCTAAGATCAAGAACAAGAGAAAAATGCCCACTTTCACCATTTCTATTCAACATAGTACTAGAAGTTCTCACCAGAACAATCAGGCAAGAAAAAGAAATAAGAGGCATCCCAATGGGAAAGGAACACGTAAAACAATCTCTATTCAAAGATGATATAATTCTTATGTAGAAACCCATAAAGAATACACACTCTCCCCAGGCCCCCCAACACACACACACTGTTAGAGCTAATAAACTAAGTCAGCAAAGTTGCAGAACACAAAATCAACACACAAAAATTTTTTGTATTTCTATACACTAGCAGTGAATAATCTAAAAGGAAATTAAGAAAAGAATTCTAGTTACAATTGCATCAAAAAGAATAAAATACCTAGGAATAAATTTAACCAAGGAGGCAAAAGCCTTTTATGCTGGAAACTACAAAACATTGCTGAAAAAAAAATTAAAGGAGACACAAATAAATGGAAAAACATTCTGTGTTCACGGATTACAAGACTTAATATATGGCCAGGTGTGGTGGCTCATGCCTATAATCCCAACACTGTGGGAGGCCGAGGTGGGAGGATGATTTGTGCTCAAGAGTTCAAGATCAGCCTGGGCAATATAGTGAGACTGCATCACTACATACACGAAAAAAATTTTTTTAATAAAAAAAAAAAAGCCAAGTGTGATGGTGTGCACTACTCAGGAGGTTGAGGTGGGAGGACTGCTTGAGCCTGGTGGGTGAAGATGCAGTGAGCCAAGATTGTGCCACTGCACTCCAAACTGGGTGACAGAGTGAGACCCTATCTAAGACTTAACATGGAGCCGGGCAAGGTGGCTCTCATCTATAATCCCAGCTACTTGGAAGGCTGAGGCAGAAGGACCACTTGAGCCCCGAAGTTTGAGTCTGCAGTGAGCTCTGATCATACCACTGCACTCCAGTCTGGATAACAGAGCAAGATTCCATCTCAAAAAGAAAGACAATATGGTTAAGATGACAATACTTCCCAAAGTAATCCTCAGATTCCATGTAAACCCTATCAAATGACATTTTTTGTTTTGCAGAAATACAAAAGCCAATCTTAAATTTCATATTGCAAAGGGACCCCAAATAGCCAAAACAATCTTGGAAAAGAACAAAATTGGAGGATTCACATTTCCTGATTTCAGAATTTACTACAAAGCTACAGTAATCCAAACTGCGTTTGGCATAAGTATAGACATACAGATCCATGGAAAAGCATTGGGAGTTCAGAAAGAAACCCATGCATCTATGGTCAATCAGTTTTCAACAACGGTACCATGACCATCCAATGAAGAAAGAAAAGTCTTCTCAACATATGATGATGAGACAATAATATATCTATATACAAAACAATAAAGTTGGATCCTTACTTCACGACTTCGCACCATATATGAAAATTTAAAATCGATCAAAGACCTAACATATAAAACTATAAAACTCTTAGGAAAAAACAGAGGGGCAAATCTCTATTACTTTGAATTTGGCAATGGTTTCTAAAATATGACACCAAGAGCACAGGCAACAAAAGAAAAAAATAGATAAACTGGACTTCATCAAAATTTTAAAACTTTTGTGTATCTAAGGGCACACTCAATAGAATGAACAGTTAACCCACAGAATGGGAGAAAATATTTGTAAATCATATATGTGATAAAGCTCTAGTATCCAGAAAATATAAAGAACTCCTACAACCTGACAACAAAAAGACAAAACCCAATTTAAAAGTGGACGAGAAAGCTGAGCACAGTGGCTCACACCTGTAATCCCAAAACTTTGGGAGGCTGAAGCAGGTAGATCACCTGAGGTCAGGAGTTCAAGACCAGCCTCGCCAACATGGTGAAACCCTGTCTCTACTAAAAATACAAAAAATTAGCCAGGCGTGGTGGCACACACCTGTAGTCCCAGTTACTCAGGAGGCTGAAGCAGAAGAATCACTTGAACCCAGGAGGTGGAGATTGCAGTGAGCCGAGATCACACCACTGCACTCCAGACTGGGTAAAAAGAGTGAAGCTCCAACTCAAAAAAAAAAAAAAAAAAAAAAAAAGACAAAGAATTTGAACAGACATTTATCCAAAGAAGGTATATAAATAGCCAAAAAGTACATGAAAATATACTCAATGTCGTTAGTCATTAGTGGAATGCAACTCAAAACCACAATGAGATACAACTTCACACACATTAGGATGACCATAGTAAATTAAAACCAGAAAACAATAAGTTTTGACTGGATGTGGAGAAGCTGGAATTTTTGTACATTGCTGTACAGGCACTGTCAAAAACTACCTGATGGTTTGTCAAAATGTTAAACATGGAATTATGATATCACCCAGCAATTTCACTTCTAGGAATATAAGCAAAATAATTGAAAACAGAGACTCAGGCAGATACTTATACACTGAAGTTCATTTTAGTATTATTCACAATTGCCAAAACATGGAAATATCCCATGTCAATTAACAGATGAATAAACAAAATGTTGTATGTGCATGCAATGGAATATTATTCAGCCATAAAAAGGAATGAAGCCCTGACATATGCTACAACATGAATAAACTTGTAAGACATTGTGCTAAGTGAACTATGCTAAGCAGAAAACATTATGCTAAGTCAGACACAAAAGGAGAAATATTAAATGGCTGTACTTATGTGAGATATCTAGAATAGGCAGGCCGGGTGCAGTGGCTCAGGCTGTAATCCCAACACTTCAGGAGGCTGAGGCAGGAGGATCGCATGAGCCCAGGAGTTCTAGACCAGCCTGGGCAACATGGTAAGACACTGTCTCCACAAAAAATAAAAATTAAAAGTCAGCCATGTATGGTGGTGTGTGCCTGTAGTCCCAGGGGAGGATTCAGGAGGCTGAAGTGAGAGGATCACTTGAGTCTGGAGGTCAAGGCTGCTGTGAGCTATGATCACACCACTGCACTCCAGCCTGGGTGATGGAGCAAGACTGTCTCAAAAAAAAAATAGAATAGGCAAATTCACAGACACAGAAAATAGAATGGTGGTTACCAGGGTCCATGAGGAAGGGAAAATGGGAAATTATTGCTCAATGGGTACATAGTTTTGATGATGAGAAATTCTGGAGATAGTGATGATGATTGCACCTTGGGAATATGCTTAATGCCACTGAATTGTATATTTTAAAATTGTTAAAATGACCACAATCAAAAGAAATTCAAATAACAGCAATAAAATGGAAGTCAACAATACATAGGCAGCTTCACTGCACTTTCTTTTTGTAGAAGATCTCTCTATTTGGCAATCAACATAGACTAAAAAATATCTTCAAACCTTCTCATGTTTTTTGTCTCCCTTAGGGACAAATTCTGAACTTCTTGCTCCTTTTCTGCAAACTAAGACAAACCCCTACTCACTTACTTTTCAAAAGCAAAAGTGTAATTTGAAACATTTCTACTCCAAATGAACTCAGGAGGTTTTTTGGTCAACCTCCAGGTGCAGGGATGACTACCTTACTCATTTGGCTCCTCAATGGCAATAGTATTTCAATGGGTTAACTCTTCATATAAAGAGGCACAAGCAAAATCCATTATTTCTTTTCACTTCTGCAAACTTCTTTGTATGTAGTTGAAAAAATAAAAGAATAAATGAAATGAATCATAAACACTCAAGTTTTCTGATTTTTCAGTGATGAAGGTATGGCTTTGTTTTGTTTTGGAACAGGGTCTTGCTCCATTGTCCAGGCTGAAGTACAGTGGCACAATCATAGCTTACTGCAGCCTTGACATCCTGGGCTCAAGTGATCCTCCTGCCTCAGCCTCCTGGGCAGCTGCGACAAAAGGTACACACAACCATGACTGGCAAATTTTTTTTTTTTTTTTGTAGAGCCAAGAGTCTTGCCGTGTTGTTCAGGCTGGTCTCAAACTCCTAGCCTCAAGCAATCCTCCCACCCTGGCCTCCCAAAATGCTGGGATTAGAGGTATAAGCCACCCGCGCTCGACCAGCAGGTACGTTTTCTTTTTATTCCACATCAATTCAACAAATAACAATTGACTTAGCTATGACATGAAAGGTTTTGTGGCAGGCATTGTAAGGGGTAGACACAACATTGTCTAATATGTCATTCTTGCCTTGCAGGAACTACTAATTTTAAATAGAATTCAGCAAACTATAGGCCAAATCCACCAACTTCTGGTTTTAGTACAGCCCACAAGCTAAAGATAGTTTTTACGGTTTTATATGACAGAAAAAAAATCAAAAGAACGATATTTCGTGACATGTGAAAATTGTGTGAAATTCAAATTTTAGTGTCTAAAAATCAGGTTTTATTGAGCACAGCTATACCCGTTCATTTATGCATTGACTGTGGCTGTTTTCACACTGCAACAGCAGAGTTGAGAGTTATGACAGAGACCATACAGAGACCACACAGAGACCACACAGCTTGAAATATTTACCACCAGACCACTTACAGAAAATGTTTACCAATACATAATCCAAAAGGCAAAGTGAAATAAATAGCAAATAACAGCAAATTCAGGGAGAATGGGTTAAACACCATGTGAGTGACACCCACCCTGTGCTGAGTGTTGGGTGACCACAGAGAACAGGGTGATCAAAGAAGGCATCATGAGGCTGGCCTTGGAGGATAAAGAGTTTCAGTAAGAGACAATTCAGGGGCTGGGAGCAGTGGCTCAAGCCTGTAAATCCCAGTACTTTGAAAGTACGATAAAAAAAAAAAAAAAGTTGATAAGTACCAAAAACACACACATTAAAAAAAAAAAAAAAAAAGAAAGGCCAAGGCGGGCGGATCACTTGAGGCTAGGAGTTTCAGACCAGCCTGGCCAACATGGCAAAACCCCGTCTCTACTGAAAATACAAAAATTAGCCGGGCATAGTGGTGCAAGCTTGTAATCCCCGCTACTTCGGAGGCTGAGGCATGAGAATTGCATGAACCCAGGAGGCGGAGGTTGCAGTGAGCCAAGATCATGCCACTGCACTCCAACCTGGGCAACAGAGCGAGACCTTGTCTCAAAAAAAAAAAAGAAATCAGAAAAGAAGATTCTAAATAAAGGGGAAGGTTTGCACAGAGAAAGGAGAAAGAAAAATATAAGCCAGAAAAGGCTATCAGTATAAGACACCCCAACTCTACAGTTAAAAAGAATTATTGGGAGCAAAGAATAATTTGCTCCCATTTGTTACCTGCTCTTTATTGCATGCTACAAGTCATGAATAGTCACAAACATCAAATTTTAAACACAGTAGCACTTTAATTCTCACTCAACACTATCATCTGGAATTCAGTGCATTCTAAGAATTATTAGAGCCAAGTACATTAAAAAATTGTATAATCTGAGAAATAGGGTGCACTTGGATTGAATTGATCAATAGTCATACTATCGCAATTTGAATAAAATGAATATGAACATCTATGATTTATTTCTCTTTGGGTAGATGTGCCATTCTACCCCAAAAAATGTCCAACATTGTATGTGTATATTAGTATGTCAAGTCTATACCTGTAAGTGTGGTGGCTTAAAAGGTCATTAATAAAAATGTGTCAATTCCCAGAAATCCTGTATGACTGCCAAAGTAGATGAACTGTGTCAGTAATCCAAAGGTCATAAGCCCTGCAGCTTGATGGTCACTAAGTAGTCAATTTTTTACCCCTTTGCCAAGGTGTTTTCTTAGTTTAGAACCTTCCCAGAAAATCTCTCTTAGGAGAAAGCAAGGTTCCACCCAACCCTTGGACCCTGAGATGATTAAGGTAACTGTTTTACTTGATAAACCGTGAAGGAGGTTAGAAAAGGAAATGTTTAGCTCTAGCTGCTGCCTTTGTACACATTAAAAAGGTACAGGGCTTCCTGGACAAGCCTGACTGTGCTGCTTTGCCAAAGCTGGGGTCAGGCAGCACTTCCCAAGGGAGGCTAGCTGGTGTTATGCAAAGACGGTATTTTCAACAAGTTCCTCCAAATCCTCCCAATAATGGAGCCAATGAGCCTACCACAGACAACCACCAATAAGAGCTACACTGCCCGAGTTTAAATCCCAGTTCTTTTCCCCCAGCTGTATAACCTTGGCAACACAACCTTGGTTTGTAACCTACCTGTGATTCAGTCTCTTCATCTATGAAATGGGAATAACAATAGTGTTTACCCCACATGGTTTTGATGACAATTCATATTCAGTAACAATCAGTTATTATTATTGTAGCTCCAACATGAGTGACCTAGGAAATCAAGGTACCCACTCTTTCTTCCTGTCAAGGAGTCCTTAGTGTTCCCCAAGGCCCATTTTATTAGTGACCCCATGTAACTCACCATATAGTATAAGCTTCCATTTCTGTGCAATTTCTTTGCTTACCACCCTTCATCCATTCCCATGAAGTCCTTTGTGAGATGTAATAATTTCAGCCTCAGAAAAGGTCTGCACTTTTAATTTGCAAAATGGAGGAACAAACTAGAACTCTTATTATTATAGATACCTATCTGTTACTGGATGGTCTAGCTGGAGACCATCTGAATGGTATTATATTTATAGCTGAGGTCTCCACAGTTGAGAGTGGGACTATAGATTCCCTTAGATCTTTCAAGGGTCCCAAGACCTGGAAGCACTTTTAACTAAGCTGATATTCCTCTGGCCCAAGAACTAGATAGGTGACTAGAATAAGAATCAGTGACCAAGACCACTAACTGTTAATACTCAAGAAGTCTCATAAAAACAAACCTAAAATGGTATGGAAGATTTGTTGAAGAATAGTCCATGAAAAATAAACTGTTTCAGAGGAACTTCATTAAAGATTGAGGTTTTGTACTTACTTATCAGAGAACTAATACAGTGTCTAATTTCAAACCTCTTCAGTAAAGATGTTTTTTGTTGTCTTTTTTGTGGGTTTTTTTGGACTTAGGAAGTGTCAAAGATCCATTTGGGTCAATGGGTTAATTCTGATGAAAAGAGAAGCTTCTCTTACTTGCTTTAGAAGCTTTATAGCACTATATCAGAGTAGATAATAAATAACTAATTTGTGTCTTTGGGGCTGCTGTAGACTCATCAACAAAAAAGAAAAAGAATGCTATTTCCCTGTTCCAATCTAAAAAATACAGCCAGGTCTTTGTGCTTTGAGTTTTGGGTTCCTTTGCTCAGAAGAGAGAGATAACAGTGTTCTGTGTGTTTCCTAAGCTGCCTTTTGGGAAGGCTCAGCCCATTCAAGGAAATGATATTAAAGCTTCCGTGCATCCAAGGAAAGGAGAGGTTTTGCCTAGACGCTGAAGTATTGTCGAGTCCCTGAAAGACTGGCAGAGGAGAGGAATGGGATTCTATTAGAAGTTAAGCCTACACCAGCTTCCTCAAAGTGCCCTATATGTTGAAGGGGGCTGGGCACATGGATGCTTGAGGAGGACCAGACCCTTGGGAATAGCAATGAGGCTCTCCATGGCCAAACTTGTAGAAATTAGAGATGTTCTCAGTGAAGGACACCTGGAGGTGAACAGTGAAGGGCCAGGACATGAAAAGGGCATCAAGTAGTGGGAGGAATAAACTGGTAATGGTGACCACTATGTTTCAAAGACCCAGCTCTCCTTATCATGTTTCTAAGGGTAGGGTTCTTGCACAAGCCAATGGCAGACAAATGATTTATATTGAACTGTTTATCAACCTTGGCAAATTGGAATTCAGAAGTAGATTCAATTTTATTTCAAAAAATCAAAACGAAGTGATGAATCATGATGGAAAAATCCATGCCTGTTATAGACTTTTTTACTCCTCAACAAAGTGAGAATAATAATAATAACCATATCCATCTCAAAAGTTACTGGTGTAGCAAAATGAGATATACCGTGTAGAGTAAAAAGTGCACTTCAAAGATTTCTTGTACTGTTATAGATACCCTTAGACATGGTTAGCACAGACCTTCCTTCCCTTGCTGGAGTGCTGACTAACCATTTGCCATCTCTCTCTCCTTTGCACTCAAATAAGTGAAGGTTCAGTTTATTGCAGCCAGCAAGAGTAGTTCTATGAATGTCAGGAAAAGGAGACAAACCAATGGCCGGGCTTCTGCTCTCTTGAGATTTACATTTCTCCCCCATACCAACGCCCAGTGCTAACATAAGGCTATAGAGCAGAAGCCCATATTGCTGTCCAGGCACCCTAGACCAATTAAGTCAGAGTCTCTGGGAGTAGGGCCTGAGCAGTACTAAGGTTTAACATCTTCCAGGTGATTCCAGTGTGCAGCCAGATGGAGAGCACTGACCTTGGGGATGCTATTGTTTAGGCAATGTTAATAACTTTATAGAGCTGGGCAGACAGGATGATTAAAAGAAGAACTTGAAGCAAGTTGAATTTTCAGGCAGTTGTAAGATTCGTATTGGCTTTGTTATAAATTTCATTTGTGAAATGTGTGCCTATGAAAGAGTTTTCTAGGTCAAGTCTATTTTTCTAGTCCAGGGAAGTTGACTTATCTCTTCTTGCAACAACTGCCCCTAGACCCACCAAATAAAGGATTCTTAATCCTTTCCTGTGACTTCTTTTTTGTTTTTAACATTTCTCTTATTATCCACTCTAGGAGTGGCTTCTGAAGTTATGGTGACTTTTAAGCATGATTATAGTGAATGCAGAAATCTAGCCAAACAATGTAGGAAGCTTTATTCAGCCTGAAAGCCACCACTATGACTCTTGGAAAAAATACATTGAAGGGGAAATGGTTTGAAATTCTGACTCCTAAATTAGGCACAGTGGCTCACACCTGTAATCCCAACCCTTTGGGAGGCCAAAGCAGGTGAATAACTTGAGGTCAGGAGTTCAAGACCAGCCTGGCCAATATAGTGAAACCCTGTCTCTACTAAAAATACAAAAATGAGCTGGGCAGGAGGCTGAGGCAGGAGAATCATTCAAGCCTGGGAGGCGAAGGTTGCAGTGAGCTGAGACAGCACCACTGCACTGCAGCCTGGGCAACAGAGTGAGACTCTAGTTCCAAAAAGAAAAGAAAAGAAAAACGAAATTCTGACTCCAAGACTAAGAGGGACAATTCTGAATTAATTAATTGATTGTAGCTAATCAGATAATACAGATAAATTTAGATGTGTCTAAAATATGTAAATGTACTTTTCTTTTAAGAATTTTAGTCAATGTTCTGTAACAATTTCTTAAAAGTAGCTAGATTTCTTGATTAATAAAACTTTTTGTGCCAGAAATAATTCCTCTGTCATACTCCTCACAACAGCCCTCTATGGGAGCTGTTATTGTCTTCCATTACCAAAGAGGAAGCAGTTTAAGAACATTTAAGCAATTTGCCTCAAGCTCCAAGACATAGGAAATGGCGGAACAGGGACTGAAGCCCAGATCTGTCTGATCCAAAGTCTAGACTCTTGACCATGAAGCTCTAGGGTCATTCTGGCTTTTTGAACAACTGTACGAAAAATCTTTTCCTTCCTTCAAAGTCTTATCTCACCCAACCCAATCTCTGCTTCATAGAGGAGTCTGAAACTCAACAACCTACTGGGGACCAGGATGCTAACACAAATGAGTTAATATGGGTCATACTTAAGAAAAAACTCACATTGTTCTACGTGTGTAACTTAGCCACTGCTCAGCTTCAGCCAGTTGTTGTCCTGGAAGAAATTAATTCTAGAATTACTAGTTCCCCTAATTTTGTAACAGAGGCAGACATCTGGACTTTTGTGAAAAACATCCCAACTTTTAAATGTTGGCAATAAATTTACTTGCTTTTTAAACAACATTACATGGTACAACACTGAGCAGGGTAAACTATGTGAGCCATAATTTGAGAGAAAAAAGGAAACGCATTCAGTATCTTCTGGGAGAAAATAAAGGAGACACATTCAATATCTTTTGGTTTCTGATAGATATCAGTTGGTTTAGATGCAAGTAAATGACTTTCTAGAAAACACAGTAAGGGAAAGGGGCAATGTCCACAACTCCTTGCTGGAAAAAAAGGTCAGCTCATTAACTAATCAGTCTTAGTTATACATATACCATGAAAGATAACCTTTGATGATCTTAAATCAGATTGTATGCCTTGATGACAAGGGTTAACATATAAAAATACTTTGTACCAATTACTGCTAATATCTCCTTTGGCAACAAATTCACTGCAGTGATTTAAAACTAAATCCAAATTGACTCCTTTATTTATGACAAAAGCTCTCTTATCTGCAGTGGACCAAGGAAGCATTATCAGGTTTGGAGGCAGGTTTTTGTTTTTCCCGCAGGAATGACAATGTAAATGAAAAGCCTCCCAGGTGAGTTACAGCAAAAAGGAAAAAATTCCTATTTCCTACAATCTCTTTAACTTTGGCTCTCAAATCTCTGAACTGCAGATAGGGCTGGAATGTAGAGGCATACTGGGAGTAACAGTGCCAGAATCTATTCAATGGATGTGCTTCTAGGCATATGACTTTTAAAAAGAAGTTTCCCAATATCACTCAATGGAAAAAAAGATTTATTATTTAACTTTGGGACCTCAGAATAAGTACTGAGCCAATATTTGTGTCTCTATTTCATTTATACCAGCCACTCGCATTAGTAACTATAGTATCTTAATTAGTCTCTTTTTGTTTTCTCCTGTCAGCTACATACTATTTTTGTTTGTTTGTTTGTTTGTTGTTTTCTGTTATTTTTTTAGACGGAGTGTTGCTCTGTCACCCAGGCTAGAGTGCAATGGAACAATCTTGACTCACTGCAACCTCTGCCTCCTGGGTTCAAGCAATTCTCCTGCCTCAGCCTCCCGAGTAGCCGGGACTATAGGTGCCCACCACCATGCCTGGCTATTTTTTTGTATTTTTAGTAGAGACTGGGTTTCACCATGTTAGCCAGGATGGTCTCGATCTCCTGACCTCATGATCCGCCTGCCTCGGCCTCCCAAAGTGCTGGGATTACAGATGTGAGCCACCGCGCCCAGCCAGCTACATACAATTTTTAAAACCACAGTTATCTTTGAAACTTTGTAACTTAAACTCTTTCAGATACATAGCTGCATTTGTAAAGGCATGGCTTTCAAATAATATACACTAAAAGATCAAAAGAGTGAAAGTAAAGAACAAAAATGTGTTAGAGATTCATTTTCCCTTTGGATTTATGTCTAATACAATTACTTCATTTTCAAGTTAAGGAAGAATCATACCCCTTCTATCCAAAGCAACTTTGATAGTCATTATTTTGTGTAATGCCCAATATGAAGCTTGATACACAATGAGTAGAGTGTGAGAAGGAATTGCTGAACTGTATGGCAAAGATTTTGTAAAATCTAAATTTTAAAAAATATTAGGTCTAAATATTTGCTCTTTGAATTTTTGTCTAGTTTTATTTACTCATAGGTGTTTTTTGGTCTGCCTTGAAATGCACAGAGCTGGGACCTAGGCATTTTTGCACACTTTAAATAGGGAGCCAATGGCAGTAAATGATTATATGAACCCAATTAAAATGTTGACTAGGGCTGTTGCCACTTCTTAATGTTTCAACTATGTAAGGAGAGCATTTTTCATTCCTAAAATTGACCTACATATTAAAAATAATAAATATTTTTCTTATTCCAACCAGAAAAGGAAAAGTGAAATTGAAGGAATTGTTAATACACTTCAAAAGAGTTTTTGAGCAACTCTGGATGCAAAGAAAAAAAGTAACTTCATATGGTGAGTTGTCATATTAAAAAAAGAAAAAAGCATCCAATGAATGGGAATACAGAATGCTGAGACAACTATCACAATATTTCTAGAAAGCTGATAGCTATTTTCAGATTTTCTATAATTAATTTCGGTTTTAAAAATCTATAAAACTAGAAGAGCTGCATTTACTCTGGTGGGCCATTAAGGATGCCATAGTTTCCATGGTGAAGCATTAATTGAAATTTTTAAAAGTAGAAATCATGGCAGAAGATCAAAGAATGAGAAATTGGTGGTAGGCTGTGGTCAGTTCCACATCAATAGCATGCAGCCGCCTCCTCCTTCCATTTCTAGATAAAAACCCATTAATTTCCACTCCCTTCTGTGCTAACATTCATTTCAAGAAAAACACGTTTGGACCTGCCTCGCACACACATGCCATTCACACTGTGAGGAGCAGAAGTGTAGGAACAGACTGAACATCTGAAATAGCTCTGCTCAATTCAGCTGTGCATCTGGCACCTCTGCCCCTCCTCCATCCACCTATGAGGTCTTTGCAAGAGACCTTGAGGAGGACTTATCACTCCCTTTACTGCCTGGGGTGAAAAGAAGATCAGATAACGGCACATAAAAGGTTATACAGTGGCCAAACAGGGGACAAGCATTTCTAACCCTGAGCTCATGGCAATAACCAGAAACCTACAGGTCCCTGTATTTTTCCAAATGGTTTGAACGAAAGATTCCCGTGGGGCAGATTTTTATCTGTTACATTTCTGAAATAAATTTGCTGATTTGGGAGAACCGATTTCCAGGAAGGAGTGAAAGGCCCGCAGGGCATAATTATGACCTTTCTAAAATGTGAGCCTCTGTCCTCCCACTATTTGTTTCAATCCTTCCTTTAATGTGGGTAAAACATAGCATCTCAAGGTCTTGCACAGGCATCACTTAGCCAATAGATATACTTCTAAGTGAGCTTTTAAAATTAAAGAGTAAAGCATATACACAAATCATCAAGTATAGGGTTAAACAAATTTTTCATAAATTAATCCATTTAGCCAGCGCCAGATCAAGAAACAGACCATGATCAGCATCCCAGAAACTCTCTTTTTTTAATTAATTAATATTTTTTATTATTATACTTTAAGTTCTAGGGTATATGTGCACAATGTGAAGGTTTGTTACATATGTATACATGTGCCATGTTGGTGTGCTGCACCCATTAACTCGTCATTTACATTAGGTATATCTCCTAATGCTATCCCTCCCTCCTCCCCCAACTCCACAACAGGCCCTGGTGTGTGATGTTCCCCTTCCTGTGTCCAAGTGTTCTCATTGTTGAATTCCCACCTATGAGTGAGAACATGCCCAGAAACTCTCTTCATGACCCTTTTTGTCACTCCCATCCTATCAGGGAAGCTAATATTCTGACTTCTAACCACAGAGATTCATTTTAGGAAATATAGTTTTAATGCAATTGAATTGTATCTTTTTGCATACTTAACTCCAGATAAAATCTGCAGATATGTATTGGACCAACTTAGTTGTCCCAGACATTTATTATTTGACTACTTGGCTATGCTGAATTCTGCATTGTAAATACCATTTTGGAACAAAAGACCCCAGATTTAGTCCTGTTCTGCCACTAATTAGTTGGGAGATCTGGGAAGAATCACTTCCCCATTTCGGCCCTTAAATTCCTCTTTGTAAAATAAGTACATTTAACTAGAAAAGCTATAAGCTCTCTTCTGAAAGAATATACTCTTCAGAATGGAAATATTAAGGACATATTCTTTCAATCATATGTCACTTTCAATTATATTTATATAACACCGTACCTATATACCGTTCTTCAAAGACAAATATTTATGAAGGCATTGAACATGCAGTAGTACAAGCATATTGGGGTTTTTGCCCTCATTCTGTTTCCAGTCTTGTACTAATTCAAGCAAAGAATTAATAAATGGTTAATAATGGAGCGAGGGAACCATGAGACTGAATATTTCTGGGTCATCAGATGACCTGTCTCAAAAGAACACAAACCCAAGGAAATAGAGGTGCTTACTTAACAGGGCAGCCTGCCCTATCTCTAGATTTGGAGTATCTCTACACTTTTCCTCTACTCAGTGGGAACTCTTTCTCTTCCCAAAGTACTCACTGCCCTTATCTCTCCCTAACAAAATCTGTTAAGTTTATTCTCATTAATGTGTAAATGGTTGCCAAGCCTGAATGTTCTCTTTCACAGAAGTGTTTACACTTACCAAGACATTTTGATTTTTAGAAGTGAATCTCTAGTTACAGAATTTCACATATCAGAGTCAGGGGAGTAGGTCTGCTTTTAGACAAGGAATAACTAAAGTCATCCCACACAGGTAACTATGAAAGCAACCTTTTCTCCTAATGTTGGTGCCCCTATTAATTGAGCACTTACTACGGGCCAGCTTTGTGCCAAGCCTTTTACACACATTATCTCATTTATTTCCACAGGTAGTATCATTATTGTTGTTTTTATTTCACAAATAAAGAAACTGTTAGTATCCAGCCCAAGGGAACACAACAAATAGCACTAAATCCTTCTTTGCATTTCTGAAAGGCCTATTTGACACTGGGTTTAGCAGCAGTTACCCACTAAAAGCAAAAATAGAAACTAGAGGTCAAAGCTTTCCAGCACAGTCCCAGGTAAGGAACTCATTCTTCTGGATCACTGGTGATGGAGGTCTGAGAAGCAAGGAAGCAGGCCCTTTTTTTCCTGTTGGTGGCACCTCCACCCCTCCTTTGTGCTGGACCCTTTCAGAGGCTGCATTAATGTTTTCAAAGCCTCAATAGATTACATGGCAGCCAGACTATAAAGGCCCATTGAAACACTGCTCCAGAAGGCCTGGGGAGCACCCCGCTAGGAGCCCTGACTTCACATCATTCCTAGCTAAGATGTTTTTGGAGCTTCTGAGGCCAACAGGGACCTCAGCTGCATATCAAGGCCAGCTTCTGTACATCCAATCAGGGGATAAAACATCCAACACTCATTCCCTTCTGGACACAGAGCCAGTCATTTCCCTTAACTTTTAGCGGGCAGTGCTGCAGAATCGCTCCAAAGGGGCCTGTTTTATACCATTTGTAGAATTACAAAGCCCTGAGGCTTTTTGAAAGCCCATTTACTGACCAACGGTTCTAACTACTACGCTGAGAAAGAGACCACAGCTTGGTAACAGATATCCCCCAGCACTCCACACCCAGGATGTCACTAACGATCCCCAGGGACATGAAACAAGACTCCACAAGTGCTCAAAACCAAATGAATTCAAAACCGAGGCAAAACCACCCGCAGTGCCTGGGATGGGAGGGGAAGTTGAAACCCAGCAGCAGAGTGCAACAACTCCAGAAAGCTAGGACTCATCGGCTACCTGTTGAAGGTATATCTCAACACATCATGATTACACTGGTTTTAGAAAGAGTACTGGCATTTTGTCCAGAACAGTTTGAATGTCAGTCCAACATAATGGAAGGTGAATTTGCGGCCACAGCAACATACAGTAATCATTGAGACTCATTTGGGGCATCCCTGTTTATGGGATGAGAGATTCAAGTCTAATCTACTGAATTTGGGAAAATACAAATATGCTCAATTCAGTTAAAGAGCTTAGAAGTAAATGAAATCAAATCTGCATTGTTTTAACCAAACAAGGGATTTTTAAAATTTTACTTACAAATATCCAGCTTTATCTAATTTTATGATATGTTTTCTTCGGGGCCCTTACAATGCTGTGGTGTGTCTTGGGGGCCATGATATGGCTGTGGCATGGCTAAATGGACCACCAGCTTCCAAGGAGATTTGTCAGCAAGTGTAAGATAAACAGAAGTCAGAGATATGTTCAAGAGTGTTGGAGGGGTTTGGAAGGAGGAGGAGGAGAAGGGGAATCAAAGACTTGCAGACCATGAGAGGTGAGGATGTCCAGCTCCTCTGCGTTCCATTTCCTCTAATCTGGATTGGCATGTCTGACCAAATTCTTGCCTTTGGTGCCACTTGTAAAATCCTAAAAGATGAGAACATCAGAGCACTATTTAATGTCTTTTTTTAAAGTATGGTCTCAATTCAGAATAAGGCAGATCTACATTAACTGATTCAAAGCAATGTCCAAGATACTTTATTAAATGTAAAAAAAAAAAAGTTTCAGAATGGCATGTTGACTATGCCATTTGTGTATTTAAAAACAGAGGAGCTATGTAGACATAAATGCTTATGTATGTATAGAGTATATCTAGATTCTGGAAGGATGCACTAGAGGGAGGTAATGGTAAGGGAACTGTGAGGCTGAGAAATCCCCCTATATTATATAACCTTCTGAAGTTTCACCTTTTTCCTAGTTTAAAATGGTAATCATATAATAAAACATACCATTTCACTAAAAGAGCTAGATTTTCCAGACAAATATTTGACATATGGAACTTTGAAATTTTACATAGTCAGAACTGTACAGAAATCAAGTCACAAAATAATGTCTTACACAGCTGGCCAAGCTTATCCCAGAATGATTTTTTTTTTTTTTTTTTTTGAGATAAGGTCTCACTCTTGTCACCCAGGCTGGAGTGCAGTGGTGCGATCACGGTTCACTGCAGCCTCAATCTCCTGGACTCAAGCGATCCTCCCACCTCAACCTCCTGAGTAGCTGGGATCAACAGGCCCGCGTGCCACCATGCCCGGCTAATTTTTTTTTTTTTTCTAGAGAGAGGGTCTCACTATGTTGCCCGGGCTGGTCTTGAACTCCTGGGCTCAAGTGATCCTCCTCCCTCAGTCTCCCAAAGTGCTGGGATTATAGGCATGAACCACCACACCCAGCCCAGAATAATTTTAGAACTGCAAATGTAGTGCATTTTTGTTAAAGATGTTTCTTTGGCTGCTATTTTTAGTCTTTTTTTCCTCCTCAGATTCTCTGAAGATTATAATCTTCATGGTAGTGGACTAGAAATCACAAAGATTTTAAGAGAGAAAATGTGTCCTATTAGCTATAAATAAAATCACTCTCCTAACTCTCTCCGGAGAGAATGAGAAAGAAAAGCTGGAGTCATAAAAGAGTGTTCTTTCCCTGTGACTGTGGATCAAGATTGACACCCAGTGGCCAGATACAATCCTTTTTTTCACTGACATTCTTGCTATATAATTTGACATTTCTAAAATTTCCCTTTATGTTTTAGAGGAAAAAATGATTTAAATCTGTGATGTTTACTGAAAGCGAACTGTATCTTAGACAGCCAGGTTAAATTAGTAGGTCTTGTTTCATACATAATTAACAGGTTTATTTCTGTATCCTCTCTGCTTGCATTTTTTCCTAACATTAAGAAGCAATTTTCATTCGGTTGACAAAACAATGTACACTAAGTCCTGTGGAAATGCAACTTTAAGCAAAATGAGGTACAACAGGTCTTTGAATAATGTCTTTTTTTTTTTTTTTTTTTTTTGAGATGGGAGTCTCACTAAGTTGCCCAGGCTGATCTTGAACTCCTGGCCTCAAGCAAGCCTCTTGACTCAGCCTCCTGAGAAACTAAGATTATTGGCATGAACCACCATGGCTGGCTTAGTTATAATGTCAATGAGAAAAATAAAATCGGTTTTGTTATATCTTATTTTGCTTAAAGTTGCCATTTCCAAGAACCTATTGATGACATTGAGGACTTAATGTATTCATTTTTTTTTTTCTTTTGAGACAAAGTCTCACTGTCGCCCAGGCTGGAGTACAGTGGCATGATCTCAGCTCACTGCAACCTGTGCCTCCCAGGTTCAAGCGATTCTCCTGCCTCAGCCTTCCAAGTAGCTGGGATTACAGGCATGCACCACCATGCCCAGCTAATTTTTGTATTTTTAGTAGAGACGGGGTTCCACCATGTTGGCCAGTCTGGTCTCGAACTCTTGACCTCAGGTGATCCGCCCGCCTCGGCCTCCCAAAGTACTGGGATTACAGGTGTGAGCTACTGCACCCAGCCATGATGAAGTCAATATTTTAGCAAATAAAACTAACATGTTTAACACAGATTACCAAAGAGAAAAGTCGTGAATTTAAGAATTAGACACATCAAAGTCCAAATTCTAGCTGGGCAATCTTGAGCAAGTCTCTGAATTTTACTAAATTTCAATTTCCTCCCTATCGTGAGGATTAAATGAGATGCAAATTTAAAATGCTTATCTTGGTACTTGCATGTATGTTATGAAATACACACACACACACACACACACACACACACACACACACAGATATACGTACACGTGGTAGCTATTTTCTGGTAGTTACTACCAGAAAAAGCAAGTTTGTGAAAGTCAAACCCACATGAAGAATATATCTCTTCTTGAATCAACCTTATAGTACCTAGTTTGATGGAGAAGAACAGTGACCCCAGATAATCTAAACTTATAAATAATTCAAAAGATCAAGAAGATGGCCAAACAGGAACAGCTCCCAGTGTGAGCAACGCAGAAGACGTACGATTTCTGCATTTCCAACTGAGGTACTGGGTTCATCTCACTGGGGATTGTCGGACAGTGGGTACAGGACAGTGGGTGCAGTGCACTGAGCATAAGCCGAAGCAGGGCGAGGCATCGCCTCACCCAGGAAGCACAAGGGGTCAGGGAATTCCCTTTCCTAGCCAAGGAAAGGGGTGACAGACGGCACCTGGAAAATCGGGTCCCTCCCACCCTAATACTGCGCTTTTCTGATGGTCTTAGTAAACGGCACACCGGGAGTTTATATCCCACGCCTGGCTCAGAGGGTCCTACACCCATGGAGCCTCGCTCATTGCTAGCACAGCAGTCTGAGATCAAACTGCAAGTCAGCAGCGAGGCTGCGGGAGGGGCGCTCAGAATTGCCAAGGCTTGAGTAGGTAAACAAAGCGGCTGGGAAGCTCGAACTGGGTGGAGCCCACCACAGCTCAAGGAGGCCTGTCTACCTCTATAGACTCCACCTCTGGGGGCTGGGCATAGCCAAACAAAAGGCAGCGGAAACCTCTGCAGACTTAAATGTCCCTGTCTGACAGCTTTGAAAAGAGTAGTGGTTCTCCCAGCACGCAGCTTGAGATCTGAGAACGGACAGACTGCCTCCTCAAGTAGGTCCCCGACCCCCAAGTAGCCTAACTGGGAGGCACCCCCAAGTAGGGGCAGACTGACACCTCACACGGCCGGGTACTCCTCTGAGACAAAACTTCCAGAGGAATGATCAGGCAGCAACATTTGCTGTTCACCAATATCTGCTGTTCTGCAGCCTCCGCTGCTGATACCCAGGCAAACAGGGTCTGGAGTGGACCTCCAGCAAACTCCAAAAGACCTGCAGCCGAGGGTTCTGTCTGTTAGAAGGAAAACTAACAAACAGAAATGACATCCACACCAAAAACCCATCAGTACGTCACCATCATCAAAGACCAAAGGTAGATAAAACCACAAAGATGGGGAAAAAACAGAGCAGAAAAGCTGAAAATTCTAAAAATCAGAGTGTCTCTCCTCCTCCAAAGGAACGCAGCTCCTCACCAGCAACGGAACAAACCTGGACAGAGAATGACTTTGACAAGTTGAGAGAAGGAGGCTTCAGATGATCAAACTATTCCAAGCTAAAGGAGGAAGTTCGAACCAATGGCAAACAAGTTAAAAACCTTGAAAAAAATTAGACAAATGGCTAACTAGAATAACCAATGCAGAGAAGTCCTTAAAGGACCTGATGGAGCTGAAAACCATGGCACGAGAACTACGTGACAAATGCACAAGCCTCAGTAGCTGATTCGATCAACTGGAAGAAAGGGTATCAGTGATGGAAGATGAAATGAAAGAAATGAAGCAAGAAGAGAAGTTTAGAGAAAAAGCAATAAAAAGAAACGAACAAAGCCTCCAAGAAATATGGGACTATGTGAAAAGACCAAATCTACATCTGATTGGTGTACCTGAAAGTGACGGGGAGAATGGAACCAAGTTGGAAAACACTCTGCAGGATATTATCCAGGAGAACTTCCCCAATCTAGCAAGGCAGGCCAACATTCACATTCAGGAAATACAGAGAACACCACAAAGATACTCCTCGAGAAGAGCAACTCCAAGACACATAATTGTCAGATTCAACAAAGTTGAAATGAAGAAAAAATGTTAAGGGCAGCCAGAGAGAAAGGTCGGGTTACCCACAAAGGGAAGCCCATCAGACTAACAGCTGATCTCTCGGCAGAAACTCTACAAGCCAGAAGAGAGTGGGGGCCAATATTCAACATTCTTAAAGAAAGAATTTTCAACCCAGAATTTCATATCCAGCCAAACTAAGCTTCATAAGTGAAGGACAAATAAAATCCTTTACAGACAAGCAAATGCTGAGAGATTTTGTCACCACCAGGCCTGCCCTAAAGGAGCTCCTGAAGGAAGCACTAAACATGGAAAGGAACAACTGGTACCAGCCACTGCAAAAACATGCCAAATTGTAAAGACCATCGTGGCTAGGAAGACACTGCATCAACTAACGAGCAAAATAACCAGCTAACATCATAATGACAGGATCAAATTCACACATAACAATATTAACCTTAAATGTAAATGGGCTAAATGCTCCAATTAAAAGACACAGTCTGGCAAATTGGATAAAGAGTCAAGACCCATCAGTGTGCTGTATTCAGGAAACCCATCTCACGTGCAGAGACACACATAGGCTCAAAATAAAGGGATGGAGGAAGATCTACCAAGCAAATGGAAAACAAAAAAAGGCAGGGGTTGCAATCCTAGTCTCTGATAAAACAGACTTTAAACCAACAAAGATCAAAAGAGACAAAGAAGGCCATTATATAATGGTAAAGGGATCCATTCAACAAGAAGGGCTAACTATCCTAAATATATATGCACCCAATACAGGAGCACCCAGATTCATAAAGCAAGTCCTTAGAGACCTACAAAGAGACTTAGACTCCCACACAATAATAATGGGAGACTTTAACACCCCATTGTCAACATTAGACAGATCAACGAGACAGAAAGTTAACAAGGATATCCAGGAATTGAACTCAGCTCTGCACCAAGCAGACCTAATAGACATCTACAGAACTCTCCACCCCAAATCAACAGAATATACATTCTTTTCAGCACCACACCACACCTATTCCAAAATTGACCACATAGTTGGAAGTAAAGCACTCCTCAGCAAATGTAAAAGAACAGAAATTATAACAAACTGTCTCTTAGACCACAGTGCAATCAAACTAGAACTCAGGATTCAGAAACTCACTCAAAACCGCTCAACTACATGGAAACTGAACAACCTGCTCCTGAATGACTACTGGGTATATAACAAAATGAAGGCAGAAATAAAGATGTTCTTTGAAACCAACAAGAACAAAGACACAACATACCAGAATCTCTGGGACACATTCAAAGCAGTGTGTAGAGGGAAATTTATAGCACTAAATGCCCACAAGAGAAAGCAGGAAAGATCTAAAATTGACACCCTAACATGACAATTAAAAAAACTAGAGAAGCCAGAGCAAACACATTCAAAAGCTAGCAGAAGGCAAGAAATAACTAAGATCAGAGCAGAACTGAAGGAAATAGAGACACAAAAAACCCTTCAAAAAATCAATGAATCCAGGAGCTGGTTTTTTGAAAAGATCAACAAAATTGAAAGACCACTAGAAAGACTAATAAAGAAGAAAAGGGAAAAGAATCAAATAGAAGCAATAAAAAATGATAAAGGGTATATCACCACCGATCCCACAGAAATACAAACTACCATCAGAGAATACTATAAACACCTCTATGCAAATAAACTAGAAAATCTAGAAGAAATGGATAAATTCATCGACACATACACCCTCCCACGACTAAACCAGGAAGAAGTTGAATCTCTGAATAGACCAATAACAGGCTCAGAAATTGAGGCAATAATTAATAGCTTCCAACCAAAAAAAGTCCAGGACCAGATGGATTCACAGCCAAATTCTACCAGAGGTACAAGGAGAAGCTGGTACCATTCCTTCTGAAACTATTCCAATCAATAGAGAAAGAGGGAATCCTCCCTAACTCATTTTATGAGGCCAGCATCATCCTGATACCAAAGCCTGGCAGAGACACAACAGAAAAAGAGAATTTTAGACCAATATCCCTGATGAACATCGATGCAAAAATCCTCAATAAACTACTGGCAAACCGAATCCAGCAGCACATCAAAAAGCTTATCCACTATGATCAAGTTGGTTTCATCCCTGGGATGCAAGGCTGGTTCAACATAAACAGAACCAATTACAAAAACCACATGACTATCTCACTAGATGCAGAAAAGGACTTTGACAAAATTCAAGAGCCATTCATGCTAAAAACTCTCAATAAATTAGGTATTGATGGGACATATCTCAAAATAATAAGAGCTATCTATGGCAGACCCACAGCCAATATCATACTGAATGGACAAAAACTGGACGCATTCCCTTTGAAAACTGGCACAAGACAGGGATGCCCTCTCTCACCATTCCTATTCAACATAGTGTTGGATGCCCTGGCCAGGGCAATCAGGCAGGAGAAGGAAATAAAGAGTATTCAATTAGGAAAAGAGGAAGTCAAATTGTCACTGTTTGCAGATGACATGATTGTATATCTAGAAAACCCCATCATCTCAGCCCAAAATCTCCTTAAGCTGATAAGCAACTTCAGCAAAGTCTCAGGATACAAAATCAATGTGCAAAAATCACAAGCAGTCTTATACACCAATAACAGACAAACAGAGAGCCAAATCATGAGTGAACTCCCATTCACAATTGCTTCAAAGGGAATAAAATACCTAGGAATCCAACTTACAAGGGATGTGAAGAAACTCTTCAAGGAGAACTATAAACCACTGCTCAATGAAATAAAAGAGGATACAAACAAATGGGAGAACATTCCATGCTCATGGATAGGAAGAATCAATATCATGAAAATGGCCATACTACCCAAGGTAATTTATAGATTCAATGCCATCCCCATCAAGCTACCAATGACTTTCTTCACAGAATTCAAAAAAACTACTTTGAAGTTCATATGGAACCAAAAAAGAGCCCACATTGCCAAGACAATCCTAAGTCAAAAGAACAAAGCTGGAAGCATCACACTACCTGACTTCAAACTAACCTACAAGTCTACAGTAACCAAAACAGCATGGTACTGGTACCAAAACACAGATATAGACCAATGGAACAGAACAGAGCCCTCAGAAATAATCCCACATATCTACAACCATCTGATCTTTGACAAACCTGACAAAAACAAGAAATGGGGAAAGGATTCCCTATTTCATAAATGGTACTGGGAAAACTGGCTAGCCATATGTAGAAAGCTGAAACTGGATCCCTTCCTTACACCTTATACAAAAATTAATTCAAGATGGATTGATGACTTAAATGTTAGACTGAAAACCATAAAAACCCTAGAAGAAAACCTAGGCATTACCATTCAGGACATAGGCATGGGCAAGGACTTCATGTCTAAAACACCAAAAGCAATGGCAACAAAAGCCAAAATTGACAGATGGGATCTAATTAAACTAAAGAGTTTCTGCACAGCAAAAGAAACTACCATCAGAATGAACAGGCAACCTATAGAATGGGAGAAAATTTTTGCAATCTACTCATCTGACAAAGGGCTAATATCCAGAATCTACAATGAACTAAAACAAATTTACAAGAAAAAAACAAACAATCCCATCAACAAGTGGGCAAAGGATATGAACAGACACTTCTCAAAAGAAGACATTTATGCAGCCAAAAGACACATGAAAAAATGCTCATCATCACTGGCCATCAGAGAAATGCAAATCAAAACCACAATGAGATACCATCTTACACCAGTTAGAATGGCGACCATTAAAAAGTCAGGAAACAACAGGTGCTGGAGAGGATGTGGAGAAATAGGAACACTTTTACACTGTTGGTGGGACTGTAAACTAGTTCAACCATTGTGGAAGTCAGTGTGGCGATTCCTCAGGGATCTAGAACTAGAAATACCATTTGACCCAGTCATCCCATTACTGGGTATATACCCAAAGGATTATAAATCATGCTGCCATAAAGACACGTGCACACATATGTTTATTGTGGCACTATTCACAATAGCAAAGACTTGAAACCAACCCAAATGTCCAACAGTGATAGACTGGATTAAGAAAATGTGGCACATATACACCATGGAATACTATGCAGCCATAAAAAATGATGAGTTCATGTCCTTTTTAGGGACATGGATGAAGCTGGAAACCATCATTCTCAGCAAACTTTCTCAAGGACAAAAAACCAAACACTGCATATTCTCACTCATAGGTGGGAATTGAACAATGAGAACACACAGACACAGGAAGGGGAACATCACACACTGGGGCCTGTTGTGGGAAGGAGGGAGCGGGGAGGGATAGCATTAGGAGATATACCTAATGTTAAATGACGAGTTAATGGGTGCAGCACACCAATATGGCACATGTATACATATGTAACAAACCTGCATATTGTGCACATGTACCCTAAAACTTAAAGTATAATAATAAAAAAAAAGATCAAACAATCTAAATAGAGTCATTTACACTGGATTTGTATTATGTTTTTGTTTTGTTTTGTTTTGTTTTTGAGATGGGCTCTCACTCTGTCATCCAGGCTGGAGTGCAGTAGCAAGCTCATGGCTCACTGCAGCCTAGACCTCCCGGGCTCAAGCAATCCTCCCACCTCAGCCTCCCTAGTAGTTGGGATTACAGGTATGTGCCACTACACCCGGCTAATTTTTGTATTTTTTGTAGAGAAGGGGGTTCACTGTGTTGCCGAGGCTGGTCTCAAACTCCTGGGCTCAGGTGATCCACCCACCTTGACCTCCCAAAATGCTGGGATTACGGGCATGAGGCACTGAGCCTGGCCTATTATACACTTTTAATGGCCTATTTACTGCCACAATCACTTTTTTATCAAAAATTAAAATTAGATGAAAACTCAAAGCTCTCCACATTCTTCGCCTTTCAGGAAAGAAAAAAACATGTAGTACATACCCTACAAACCTCCATATATGATGTGTGTAAATTAACTTATTTATAAATCACGTACACATGCTATTTTACTACATATTATGTACATTGTAAAATATGTCCCCAAATAGAAATTTTTCAGTATAAGATACATATAAATCAAAATGGAGGCAATTCCCTTCTCCTCCTGAATGGAGTATCTTGCACATGCCTGAGGTGGGTACCCCCTATTCTGGAAGCTATTACCCTAACAGTTATCTGACTCTCACCAGTAAATGAGAGAGAGACAAACTGGTGATCTGGCACAGTGGAAAGAGCAAGGGCTTTGATGAACCCAATCCTGCATTGGAAAACTGTGGTTTCATTAGTGCTGGCGTGACCTTGGCAAGAGTCCTAATCTTGTTGAACCTCAGGGTCCTCTTCTGTCAAAGGAGGGTGATGATACATACAAATGATATTGTCCATAAAACGCAGTGCTTGGCATGGCATTATTATTACTTAGAGCTGAAAGAAGGTTTCAAAGGTCACTTAGGGAACTACTAGAAAGATCCAGTCTCCTGGATTTTTAAAGCCACACAGCTGGCTACTGACAAATCTAGGGCCACCCTGCTCTCTTTACTGAGCTGATGGGCGGCCTCAAAAAATGTACTGTCAGACAAGGTTTCCCTGGGACTGGAAATATAAATTCCATAATGAAATTTTCCACACACGTGGTTACTCCATGTGTAGCCTATTCAGAGAAACAATTAATAGTTACACATGTATAGTTGTTACTAAATGGTTTTTAAAAACCACAAACCACAGAGAAAAATATATCCTATTACCAGTATCAAGAATTAAATATATTTTATTTTAAAATCTATACAGTGGGCAAAGCTCTGGTCCAAAAGGAATGCTACCTAGATCCTAGCCCCAACTGTGACATGGACATGTCACTTGACAACCCTATATCTTATTTTCCTCATACATTAAGTAAGAATGATATTACTTACACTCGTTGCAAGATTAGCATGCAATAATATAGGTTAGGGAAAGGATTCTACAAATAACTATCATTATCGCTATTGTCTCCCCAACAACGATCAAATTATCTCACACACACACATACACTTGAGAACCAGTGTCCTTCCAGCCCAAAGGCTAGTCACTTTAGAGAAGAGACCAAGGCTCACTCTACTAGTCCACAGGTGGTCTCAACAACAAAAAGCACGGACATTTGCTGTCTTCTCTGATCCAAAGACAGAATGTTCCCAGGCATGGACCCACCCTGAGCTATTCCTTATCAGCAGCCTTAGGACCTCTGACCTATAGACCAGGTGGATGGTTTGCTCCATCCGCCTTTGGAATTTCAGGTGGCCAGATTGCAGCATTTCCTACCTGACTAAGACAGCGTCTGCTTTGGCTCACCTGTTTGGAGCTCTAGTCCTTTACTAGGACTGATGCCCTGTTAGCTAAAAATAGGTGCCATATTTTGGGCCTACTGCTGTCCTGGGTATTTTGTATACATTATTTCCATTCCTTAAAACAACCTGTGAAGTGGTGATTATTATTTCATTTTACAGTTACAGAAACTGAGAGCCAGAGGTTAAATAGCTCCCCAAAGTCAGACAGCTAGGAAAGAAAATACTAATCTGGCTCCAAATCACATGCTCTTTCTAAAACATTTCCCACCTTGATTCCCTGTCTGATTCCTGCCTGATCTACCCTCAGATTCTGGACCCTATCTCTCTACCCTTGCAGGGGTGTTGCCAGGAACCGCTCGCTGTACTGGCATCCATTCCTGTATTCTGCTTCGAGACTCACCTACTAAATGGAGCACATTGGAGCTTACGGGAGTGTTCGGTATGACACATGCATGTACCCGGATTTACTAATTGCCTGGCAATCCCATATTGCTACACTCTTCAGGCCCAGGGCATCGTGTTGCACAGCCTTCCCGCATACACACTTCCCTTTCTCTCTCCACTCAATCTCGGTGTCCTCCTGTTTCATGCCAGCCAATGTTCTGAGGTTCCAGCATGCTTCACAGCAAAGCCTATTACCCCAGAATGATGATTTAAGGAATTGACAAATTATTTATTACTTTGGAAAACACCATATTTCATTCAGATGGATAACTGGGATTCACCATTAAGGGGGGGAAGAAAACCACAGTAGGCATCTAGGCTTGTCTTTAGAGACAAAGCAGTCATTTAGATGGAAAACATCTGTGAGTAGCAGGAGTCTTTTTAATCTCCATAGATATAAAGGAATCAGTGTGGGAGGGTATCCCCGAGCCCATTTTAAACTCAGGGACATTGATATGAAATCCCAGTAGAGGGCAATAATCCACATGAAATTTTAATGAGTTCACCCTAATTCTCCAAGTTCTGAGAAATGGAAAAAGCTCCACAATCAAGTTTTTATAGGCATTTGGAAAAGATATTTAGAAAGCACAAATTAACTATGATATCCTAAGAGGGAGTTTTGTGGATCTCACGGAATGGGAATGATGCCATACATTTTGTTACAGGTCACTTTGCTATAGACTTAAAGCCCTGACTTTAAAATAAATGCCCTGTGCTTCTCATGTGCTGGTGAACATAGTTATCTTTAGCTATAGTTCCAATTATACAAATGTATGAATCAATTTAGCAAAATTCGGACCAATAGCCAAGGTAAGCACAGGGTCTAGCAAAGTGGCTTCAACTCCTGGATTAAAAAATAAAGTATGGGCAAGTCATGGTGGTTCACGTCTGTAATCCCAGCACTTTGGGAGGCCAAGGTGGGCAGATCACTTGAGGTCAGGAGTTTAAGACCAGCCTGGCCAACATGGAGAAACCCCATCTCTACTACAAATACAAAAAAATTAGCTGGGTATGGTGGCACATGCCTGTAAACCCAGCTACTCGGAAGGCTAGGGCACAAGAATCGCTTGAACACAGGAGGCAGAGGTTGCAGTGAGCTATCACACTACTGCACTCCAGCCTGAGTGACACAGTAAGACCCTGACTCAAAAAAAAAAAAAGTGTGACTGTGTTTTCTATGAGGCATCTGTGCAGCAACTATTTAAGCAACTATTATCAAGGTTAGATGGGGGGGTAACTCTGTCCCCATCACCAAGAGAGTGTCCAGAGAAATGTGCCAGACTCTTGTGACACCTTTGCTCTCATTAGACTTTAACATGTGATCACACACCACATTTCTCTCTCCCTTCCTGTCTGAGAACTGAACAAATATCAAAAGCGGACTTAGTTTGCTGCAAAGTGATTCAGCAAGGCAAGACGGATGGGGTACGGTTATCCTTCAACAAGTAACCATGCTTCACATGTTTGGCATTGTTTTCTTCTGTGTCAAAAACTATGGTGGGGAAATGAGGAGCCAGTGGTCAAAGGTAAAAACCTTCAGTTATCAGATGAGTCCATCCTGGAGATCTCATGTAACACGGTGACAATAGTCAGCAATGCTGCATTGTATACTTGAAATTTGCTGAGAGAGCAGATCTTAAGTATTCTTACTACACACATACACAGACAAAACTATGTGAGGTGATGGATATGTTAATTAGTTTCATTGTGGAAATAATTTCAGAATATAAACATATACCGAGTCCAGGTGTGGTGGCTCACGCCTGTAATCCCAGCACTTTGGGAGGCCGAGGCGGGCGGATCACCTGAGGTCAGGAGTTTGAGACCAACCTGACCAACATGGAGAAACCCCGTCTCTACTAAAAATACAAAAAATTAGCCAGGCATGGTGGCGCATGCCTGTAATCCCAGCTGCTCGGAAGGCTGAGGCAGGAGAATCGGTTGAACCCGGGAGGCGGAGGTTGTGGTGAGCCGAGATCACGCCATTGTACTCTAGCCTGGGCAACAAGAACAAAACTCCATCTCAAAAAAAAAAAAAAGCGTATACTGAAACATCACCTTGTACATCTTGAATATATATTATTTTTATTTGTTAATTATACCTCAATAGAGCTGATGAAGAAAGGAAACTGAAGCCAAATACTTCACCATATTCATGAGGAATGGTAGTAAATGCCCATGGCAGCACTTGTGCAACAGCCAAATTGCTAAGAGAGTCTTAAAGGGTAGAGATCAGAACTAATTAGTGTCAGTGCCCTAGCAAAACAGCTGGAACCTACTCAAAACTTCAGACTTCAAAGAGGACAGAAGTTGGTTTCCACACAAGTTCCCATCAATGTTGACAGGGTCATGGATGTCACCTTATGTCAGGGCTTGTTCATGACTTACTGCTATAATATTGTGTGTTTAGAGATTTTCATGCCAAAGAACCACTCGGATTCTTCTTAATTTGCAACCAAGAAACATCAGGGGTCTTCCAGTTAAATATAGAAACTGGCCCTTACACTTTCCTAAGCCTCTAATGGAGATGATCTCTCCTTGATGTCATTATAAAGGGACTCACTCTGGATGCACTGGGGCCCAGGTATGCACAGGTGGCATTGCCTGTTGTAATTTGATGTTGCAACTCTGGTTCTTTTGTGCTCCTGTTGTCCTCTGGTTCAGTGACAGAGGGGTGGGCTGAGGGAGTCGCTGAGGGATCCCACAGTAGTTTTGCAGCCATAGGGATTATCTTGTCCCAAGCCTGTATGTTCCTTGACTTTTTTTTTCATGTTGCCCATATATGACAATTGAGATAATATATGTCAAGTGCTTATTACAGTACTTGGCACATAACTGGTCAGTAAATATTAGCTATGATTAATTATTCTTTTTTGTCTAAGAACTGTAGCTTAGGTGAGGATCAGAGCAAATCCACTGAGCTTCAAGGGAAAGAAGCAATAAATTTGATTAAAGCCTCATAACTCCATGCCAAACCTCTGCTATAATAATCACAGCTTTATGTCACTGGTTAGCAACACATGAACTGCCAGACACAACTATTTGACAATACACTGTGAACCCCAAACAAATAGGGATAGGAAGGGCAAAAGGAGACAGGGCTCATGCTTACATGTCTGAGATAAGAAATGTTTCCAAGAACTTTCTAAAAACCCTTTTGCATCCTTCATGCATCTCCTGCTTTGCTAAGTTTCATCACTAGACATTCTTTAGGGCTACAAAAACTCAGATAAGATGTTCTCAGAAGAACACTTGCCCAGTAGTGGTACCTCCACCAACGAGCTGACAACTCTGGCTTTGAACCTCTGGACCCAAAAAACTCTTGTTTCTAAGCATCTTATGTAAATTGATTTTTTCCTAATAAACTTTTCCCTTTACTCTTCCCTTACCAAATGCACTGTTACCTTGCCATTTCATGCATTCCGGATTATAATCCTTACTTCTATTCCTGAGTAAACCCAACATATTTAGGGATAGTTTTCTCTATTGTATTTTTTTTAGGTTGCCAACACTGTAAAAAGATAATTCCCCAAAAAAGGTAAAATCATACGTCCATACAGATATAAAAATGAAAATACATTAAAGATTGTAGGCTGGACACAGTGGCTCATGCCTGTAATCTCAGCACTTTGGGAGGCCAAGGTAAGCAGATTGCTTGAACCCAGAAGTTCAAGATCAGCCTGGGCAACATGATGAAAACCCATCTCTACCAAAAAATACAAAAATTAGCCAAATGTGGTGGTGCACACCTGTAGTCCCAGTTACTGGGGAGGCTGAGGTGGGAGTATCACTTGAGCCCAGAAGACAGAGGTTACAGTGAGCTGAGATGGCGTCACTGCACTTCAGCCTGGGTGACACAGTGAAACTCTGTTGCAAAAAAAAAAAGATTTTATTTAACTCAATGAAAAAATTGGAGAGATGTTATACCCTTTTTTGACTATACCCAAAGGAGAAGTCAAAAAAAGCACAAATTTATATGGAATAAAGAAATATTGAAACTAATGCACAAGTGAAGGCAAAATGAGCTTCCTCTGCAGTGGAGAGGGTAGGCAGCAGAACCTTTACTGTACAGAACAAAATTCGTGTGTCTATAGACAAGAATTATTTTGTATTGTCATTAGTTATCTACAATTTACAAACTTGAATATAGCCCCCAAAGAATCAGAACCAGATAACATGAAATGGTGTCACCTAAACAGTGCCTAGTTTTTCATCGAAGCACACATTTTTCCCTACAACACCTATATTTATATCACATTGCGATTAAGAAACTAATGGCAATTGATCTACACGGTTGTCGAAGTAAGTAGTCTGAAAGAATGGTGCAAACACCAAAGATCTTTCAAGGAGGTTGGCCAATAAGACCAAATCCAATTGTTTCAGTCTCAAATCATTAAAATGTACTTCATGTTCGGTAATAGTAATAAACACTATTATGTGTCTAAGTGTCCACGTAGTTGGTTTCAGAATGATGATTCAACCATTATATTGCATGTTCTTTTAGGAGCTACAGCCCAAAGCTGTTTATTTGAATCATTGCTCTATCTACACCTAACCTTCCATCATTTTTTTTTTACCAATGAGTAGGATCTGTGGAATTGGATAGAAAAAGAGCTCCCAGCACCTTAACTGAGATAATGATAATTCTTACATATATTGTCCCAAGTTCACGTGGCATTTAGAATTGCTATCTTGATTAGTAATAAAGATCTTCCCCTAGCATTTCCTCTAGTGCCATTTGGCTTTGATTGTTATTTAATTTCATTTTATTTTACTTGGTTTCACCAACTGAGATTTCATGAGTCTACTAAGTGAAGGAAGCATTAATTCCTCTCTAGCCACAATTGCTTCAATGGAATCAACGGATATCTCTACATCTACTTGTATAACTCAGAGACAACCTTACAAATGGCACACATACCCCCCTTCCTTGTTAACCAAAGGGAGACCAGTGGAAATAAGTGTCATGGGTCTGCCTAATAATGGTATAAGACAAAATAATATTTTTAAAATATTCAACTGACGCAGTTTTGGTGTCACAACCCCTAGTAATTCCTGGTTTCCCTGAAGCTTTCTACTTACCTAGCCTAGAACAAAGAAGACAACTGAGTTGCTTTATCAGCTCACAGAAGACACAACAGTCTGAAAGCCAAAGCCAAGGGATTGAGTTGCAAGTGCTTGAGAAAATACCGTGATGATTTTGTTTTGAATTGCAACATAATTTAACTAAAGGACTAAACATAGAGTTTTAAATTAGCAATAGCAATGGTGCAATATAGAAAGTAAGGGCAGGCCAGGCACGGTGACCCATCCCTGTAATCCAGTACTTTGGGAGGCCGAGGCAGGTGGATCACTTGAGGTCAGGAGTTCAAGACCAGCCTGGCCAATGTGGTGAAACCCCGTCTCTACCAAAAATAGAAAAAAAATAGCTGGGCATGGTGGTGCACACCTGTAATACCAGCTACTCAGGAGACTGAGGCACGAGAATCGCTTGAACCCAGGAGGTGGAGGTTGGAAGTTGCAGTGAGCCGAGATTGCGCGCCACTGCACTCCAGCCTGGGTGACAGAGTGAGACTCCGTCTCAAAAAAAAAAAAAAAAGGAGTTAAGGACAGACTGTTACCCCTTTAAGGAGGGTAAAAGACCTTCCTAGGTTGGAGGAAGAAGGGAAGTTCAAATGTAAGTAAAAGGTCTGCTTCCCAGCTCCCTCTTCCTTTCATCCTGGATGAAATTCAGAAAGTTCCAGACTTTTCTGGTCATTTCTAGATTATAAAAAGCCCAAATGGTCACATCAAGTTGCAAACAAAGTCTCAATTTGGGAAATGAATGTGTTCATTCCCAGGTATTAATAATTACCAAAACATTGGATCTGATTTCACAGTTAAATTTCACCCCCTTTCAATTGTGGTCTTTGTACGTAGGTAACCAAAGAATGGAACACAATGCTATATTCCCAGCCTAGATTTCTGCTCCTTCTCTTCTATTTGCTATCTTGCTAGCTGTGTTTTCTGACTCTTCAAGGGCCAAAGCAGAAGGAGGAAAGAAGAAAAAGGGGAGTGGGAAAAGGAGAAAGAAAGTTTTTACTTGATTGGGAATGTAATAAGATGGTCTTGGCTCTCTGGTCTGGAAGATGCCTAAAGCTTTCCCGTAAACTTGTGGTCTCTTTCATGATTCCCTTCAGAAGTCCTTACCAGGAACATTTAGTTGTGATTCTAGTTGTGGAGGACATATTTTCCTCTGGCTAGCTGCTCAGCCCTCAGCATTCCACAGTCCATTCTCTGTCTCGGATTTCCATCACCCAGTCCAGGCTTGAACAAGATTTGTAAGAGCTTCATTCAATAAAAATAAATAAATAGGCCAGGCATAGTGGTTCACATTCATAATCCCAGCACTTTGGGGGGTCAAAGCAGGAGAATCGCTTGAGCTCAGGAGTTCAAGACCAGCCAGGGCAACATAGTGAGACCTCACCCTAAAAAAAAATAAAAATAGGCGAGCATGGTGGTGCCTGCCTGTAGTCCCACTTACTCAAGAGGCTGAGATGGGAGAGTCACTTAAGCCTGAGCCGAGGAAGTTGAGGCTGCAATGAGCCAAGATAGCACCACTGCATTCCAGCCTGCGTCACAGAGCAAGGTCCTGTCTGAAAATAAATAAATAAATATTAATTACAATTTAAAAGTTGTTTGTTTGTTTGTTTGTTTAAAGAGCCCCAGGTGTGCTCTCCCTCCCAAGTGGTTGCATCTGGTCAAGGAAGCATGCATACATCTGTTGCCTCCTCCTCAGATCAGCTGAAGGGCCCACATTTCTGCCTTTTACATCTTCCAGTCAAAAGTCACCAGTTCACACTCCATATCCCCCAATCGCATAAGCCACATGTCAAGATTCCTGAGGAGTTCTTATCAGGCTTAAAATGAGGGAAAGGAAGGCAGGGAGAGCATACAACAGAGTTCTCTTCAAAGACATCCTCTATCCAATCCTCTCTTCCCATATCCAACCCTATCCTTTAGAACTTCCATATGAGAAAGGTCTAGAAATTTCCCTTGAAATTTTACAAATCCTGCTCGGCGATCACAAAATTTACTCTGGCATCTGGCATGTCATTTTAGGATCTCAGCTTGAACTTCCATTTACAGATCCTACTGCAAGTGTTTTCTACTATTAGAGGAAACAAGGACCAACTAACAAAATAAGTTCAGTTACAGAGAAGGAAAGAAAGTTAAATATTAACACATCTATGTTATGACTAAATTTTGTTTTTGTTTTTGCTTTTTTTTTTTTTTTTTTTTTTTTTTTTTAGGGATGGAGTCTCACTATGTTGCCCATGATGATCTCCAACTCCTGGGCTCCAGCGATCCTCCCACCTCAGCCTCCTGAGCAGTTGAGACTACAGGTGTGTGCCACCACACATGGCTTATGACTAAATTTTGACCCAGCTTTATTATTATTTACCCTGGGCACTGTACATACATGTAGTAGAACAGAGCCCTGAAACATGGGGAGCCTCGAAGAACCCAGGGGAAACAGAAATCAACTCTCTGACCAAGAGAGAAAAAGTAATAGAGTGAAGGGACAAATAACAAACAAGTTGGCAACAAGTTGAGCACAGCAAAAATGGCTGTTCTCTGCTCCACAATATCTGGGGTCTCAGATGGGCAGACTCAGTTGCTGGGAATGAGGCTATGGTGGGAGGGGCTGGAATCATCATCTGGAGGTGTCTTCATTCACGTCTGGCAGGTGATGCTGGCTGTCAGCCAGGACGTTAGCTGGGACTGAATACTAGAGGTGGCCTCTTCACGTGACCTGAATTCTCCCACAGCATGGTAGCTGGGAATTTGCATGATGGCTCTGGGTTCCAAAAGCTGAACTGACATCACCCTTCTTATCTAGCCTCAGAACTTGCACAGCACACACTATCACATGGTATCAAAGGAATCGCAACCAGCTTTCAAAAACCATTATTCCGTCCTTGACTATCACTTGAATACATACAGCAGTGTCTTAAGTGCACTTCTATGTTTTTGTCATCACTTCCCCATTTGAGTTTATCAGGCCAGAAAAAGAGAAGGCTTCTCTGACACTGAGCCTTCTGCTTTCCTCCTCTTCTGTCATCTCACTTGGTCAGGTACACACACAAGCACATACACATACAGTTCCACACACCACAATTTTCACAGTTTTAATTAAGCAAATCAGCTTTTTTGTTGTGCTTAAGATGCGGGAAAACTGTCAGAGTCAATTTTATCTTTGGCTGCAAAGGGAGGGAAATCTTGAATTATTCAACAAATTTAAGCTTTTGGTTTCTTCACCTTTCAGAATAACTTAGCAAGCTTTCTATCAACTCTTTTACATCAATTGATTCCATTTCTTTTTGAAACACCATTAATTTTTACACTAGCCATTTTTTCATGTCATACAGTTATATAAGCAATGTTTCAAGGTCGGTGTTCTTTATAGTCCATAACAGAAAAGTAAAATACCTAATTGATTAGCACTAAAAGAATTATTTTCTTCTTTAAAAAAATAAATTGTTAATAGCCAAGTGAATAATGACTATTGCTAAAGAAGCTGAGAAACATGTATTCATTCTGAGACATTTTTTCTTTAATCTTTGCTGGGAAGGAAACACCAGATTGTGTAGAAGCTCTTCACCAACCTTAAAAGAAAAAATCTTTTTCTGATCCTATATTTGTTTGGGTTGAGAGGCATTTATCCTGCATCCCTCTTTGATATAATGGATGCATACAAATCACTCCAGTTTTTAATAAGCCCCCTTTTGTGGCGTCTTGAGGTATATCATTTGCCGCTCCCTAATTATCAGTAGACCCTGAACCTTTTAAAACTCTGTCTTCTTGTAACAGAGGAAAGGACCCAACGCCATGCAGGATAACTACCCCACCTGCACAGCCACAAAAAAGGCAATAAGAAAACACCTAGAACATCTATTTAGTAAATTCAATAAACTATTCCGTGGTTGCTTCTATCAGGTTATGCAAGTATAATCCAGGAATTTCAACCACGTTCTTGATTAACACTAATTAACAATGCTAAACAGCATTGACAGTGAAAAGGAAGAAACATAAAATGCTCCAAGGTTATCAAGGCTGATTTGGGGTCATTTATCCCAGGGGTATAAATTGATATCTCATAGAAGAGTTTACATTTATAAGGCTGGTTTAGAAATAACTATAAGGCTGGGTGAGGTGGCTCATTCCTATAATCCCAGAACTTTGGGAGGCCAAGGCAGGTGAATCACTTGAGGTTAGGAGTTTGAGACCAGCCTGGCCAATATGGCAAAACACTGTCTCTACTAAAAATACAAAAAGTAACCGGGCATGGTGGTGCATGCCTCTAATTCCAGCTACTCAGGAGGCTGAGGCAGGAGAATCGCTTTAACCCAAAAGGCGGAGGTTGCAGTGAGGCACTGCACTCCAGCCTGGGTTATAGCATGAGACTCTGTCTAAAAAAAAAAGAAATAGCTATGATATAAAGCAGAATGTGATGGCTATGAGAGATTGCAAATGCTTTGGGGTTTAAAAACCTAAAAGCACATAGGTTAGGGGAATCATAAAAAGCTTCATAGACGTGGCTACACACAGACTTAAAAACAACTGCTTAGGGTTCTACCCTTAAATAGAAATGAATGCTGAAGATTTATCAGATATTTCTAGCTGACAACAACATGGAAGAGAGAGAACAAAAAAAGCAAACCATATGAAAGGAAAAAAATCACAGAAAATTCAGAGGGAGGGAGGAGGAGGGGGGACCTGATGCACGAAAGAAAATTTACAAAGAAAGAAAAACTTACAAAGAATAACCTCAGAGAAATAAGAGAGGGTGTGTCCTGAAAAAAAGAATAGGGGCTATGAAAACAGATAATCCAAGAATAAGAAAGAGCTCTTGGCAATTAAAAAATCTATGCATTCAGGGTGAGGTGCAGTGGCTCATACCTGTAATCCCAGTGCTTTGGGAGGCTGAGGCAGGAGGACTGCTTGAGCCCAGGAGTTCGAGGTTGCAGTGAGCTATGACAGAGCCATCCAGTGCCCTGTGTGACAGAATGAGATCCCACCTCTAAAACAAACAACAACAACAAAAACTATGCATTCAAAATTTAAAAATAAAATAGAAGGGTTAGAAAATAAAGTCTTCCCAGCATGTAGAAAGAGAGAACAGCGGAATGGATGGAGATGAAAAATACAAAAGATAACCAGATTAGAAGATCTATCCTGGTTATTGAACACATGAGTATTTTCTGAGAGCCAGGAAAGGAAAAAAAAGATTAAATGAAAGGAAAAAAGTGATAATCTAAGAAATATTTCAAGAAAACTAGTGAAGCTGAAGGACACAACTCTGTAAACTAACAGGACTCACCAAGCAAGCAGCACAATTAATTTCAAAAATTTCATTCCAATAGTTTCACACAATGACTGACTACTGAGGATAAAGTGAAAATCCTTTAAGTCTCCAGAAAAGAGAAGGTCACATACAAATGGACAGACCTGAGAAGAGCCTTGAACTTCTCAATAATGACCTTATATATAGAAGACAAAAGATCAGAAGTCTTAAACATTTTGAAAGATAATGACTTTCAACCTAGAATTTCAATCTAGAATTTTATACCTCATCAAGCTTTAGCATAGACTAAAAGCATTTGCAGATGCACAAAGACTAAACACAGAGAAAGCTAATATTGTCCAGCAAAATAAGCAAATGGATCAAGAAAAAGAGAAATCGTGCATCCCCCAAAACAGGTTGTCTAATTTAGGATGAGTCCAAGAATAGTTTCAGGATGACAGCTGACCTAGAGAGCAACTGGTTCAGAGTAAGCCTTGGAGGGCTCCAGGAAAAAGGTTCCCAGAAAAACGAATCAAGTTAGATTATCTGACATGCTCAACATTTGGAAAACAAGTGAGAGAAATTTGACAAATCTCCTGGAAAAAATTAAGGTTAAGTACTGGAAAGTATACAAGTGAAACAAATGTTGCAATCATCAAGACCAGTAAAAATAAGGACAGGCTGGGTGCGTTGGCTCACGCCTGTAATCCCAGCACTTTGGGAGGCCCAGGCGGGAGGATCACGAGGTCAGATGATCAAGACCAGCCTGGCCAAGATGGTGAAACCCCATCTCTACTAAAATTACAAAAATTAGCCGGGTGCGGTGGCAGGCACCTGTAATCCCAGCTACTCAGGGGACTGAGGCAGGAGAATCGCTTGAACCCTGGCCGGCAGAGGTTGCAGTGAGCCAAGATTGCGCCACTGCACTCCAGCCTAGGTGACAGACTTAGACTCCATCTCAAAAAAAGAAAGAAAAAAAAAAAAAAAACAAGGACAAGAAGTGTTAAAGCAAAGAAGTTAAATCATAATAAATTATTTGGCTCAGACGTGAACAACATTTATATATTCTGATAATGTTATCCGTGACTATCAATTGAACCAAAAATTGTGACATAATTCCACCATGAGGATGGAATGTTGTTTCCGTCCTTCCATCTCCTACCTTCCTCCAGCTAGATTTTATTCAGGTATCTACCATTTGCTGCCTCCCAATGTGCTTTAGGGGAGACTGATCACAACCTCAACTGATTAGTTAGTGTGCTAGATTAGGGTAAGTCCAATTAGTCCCAGTCATGACAATCCCATTCCCTTTACTTCTGATTGTTTTAGGAAAAGGCAAATGACCCAGGTCTGTTCAGGGGCTTCTTAAATATAAATGCAAGAAGAGTCATTCTCCTCTTCTTCCTCTGGATACTATCATATGCGGAAAAGACAACTTAATTTTCTGCCACCCTCTAGCAATCATGAGGGCAGTTGACCTGAAGACAAAGTCAACACCCCAAGGGTAGCAGAGTGAAGGTCAAAAGTACCTGGGTCTTGATGATGCCACTGAATTATCCAACCTTGAGAGGCACTGTCTTCAGACTAATGTTAAGGGGAGATAGTAAATTTCCTTATTAAACCAGTACAGTCAGAGTTTTCTAAAATCCTCACTTAAAAGTATTCTAACATTCTAATTGCCGGGTGTAGTCAGGTAGTAAGAGTGCTAAATACACATCTATCATAACAGAAAATATATAATGTACTATCTAAAAGTGTTAAATCTATGCTGTAAAGAGCAATATAAATCCTACATTTAGAAACACAGAGTTACATACTTACAGAAGCAGCTAAAATAGTAGGGAGTGGGTGCTTTTAAGGAGCAGGACTAAGAGTTGCAGAGAGGTGAGGTAATAATTGATTGTTTTAGTTATGGGAGTGATTACTTTGATTAAGATAAATAAGCAAGCAAATAAAAACACAAAAAGTAATTTTCCAAGGTTACTCTAAAGAAAGGTTCCCCATGTGGCTATCAAAATAGCTATTGACATCTCTCAAAAAACAAACCAGCTAGGCTTCAAAAAGCTAATAGCCTCATCATAACCATATTGATCTTACAGTGTCAGTTACCCATGGCTTAAACTGGGGAGCAACTTCAATCTTTTTACCTGCATAATGGAACCCTCAGATAATTTCAGACAAGATTAGAACAAGGTGATATGAGCACTAGGTGACGTGATGAGGTCTAGGCTGAAGTCACATGATTCTTTTTTCAAGTTATTTGGTGTCAAATTCATTCTTTTTTTTTAATCAAGAAAAATATCTTCCAGCTCTCATTTCTCTATAATTCAAATATGAAAATTTACTATCAAGGTCTCAATATGGTAAAGGGCTACCTGCAAATGAAAAAAAGATCTTTACCATCCTAGGCAACATGAGGAGACTTTGTCTCTAAAAAAAAATTTTAATTAGCTGGGTGTGGTGCCTGTAGTCCCAGCTCCTCAGGAGGCTGAGTCAGGAGAATCACTGGAGCCCAGGAGTTTGAGGCTACAGTGAGCTATGAGCATGCCATTGCATTCCAGCCTGAGCAATAGAGCGAGATCCCATCTCAAGAAGAAAAAAAGAAAGAGAGAAAGAGAGAAAGAAAGGAAGGAAGGAAGGAAGGAAGGAAGGAAGGAAGGAAGGAAGGAAAATATTTTTGACAAACTTTTATGATTTTACACCTATTGAACAACATTACAGCAACATGAAGGAAGCTGATTTTTGGTGGTCAAAGAAAATGGAAATATAAGATTTTGTAGGTGGGGCCTGGGTAATGAAGGGGGACTGTCATTCTGTCGAATATTCCAAATGACTTCAATTTATTCATCTTTTGATTTTTGACAAATTAACAATCAGATATTAAAATTAGCATATTTCAAAACAAAATTTAGTCATTGATTTCAGCCATTGGAACACCAAAATTTTTACTAAATTAAACAATGAAAATGACTGATTAAAACTGGCTCCCTTCTTGTTCCCTAATCACCTCTTGGTGAGGTAAGCCTGGATCTATTGTAGGAAGGAAGTACAGTCACTCCCTAGGGTGGAAGAGAATCAAGGCACCATGATGTTAACAGATCCTGGACCAACCGTTGATTAATAACACTTTACCCTTCCATGCCTCAGTGTCCCCATCAATAAAACTAGAGGCAATCACTTCTGACATCCAATTTTCAAATATAAGATTTAATAATTGTGTGACATTTTATAATTTGGGAACTTTTAAGTCAAATTGGAAATAGACCTGTTTGGTTTTCTTTTCAATAAGATGGCAAAAACATTTCAATGTAGAGAGATTCTGTAGGGTAGGATCTAAATATAAATCCTTTCGAAATAGAAAATGGGAGAGAAAGCCCAGATTAAACTCCTCTGCATCTTAAGTTCCAGGCTTAGAAAATAAGGACATATGGGGAAAAAGTGGTCTTAAGGAAAAAAAAAAAGTCTACCTTTTATTAGTCACTCTGCTTCATGTGCAGTTTTGTACAAGTTTGCCTGGGCCACAACACCCCAGTCTGAAAATGGCTTTGCATCAGAATGGTTCTCCAAGTCTTATGTCACCATATTGTCTTGAAAATTATGTTCTTATTCTTGGCTTTCAAATTCTCTTGAAGATTTCCTCATTATCTTTCAAAATTTCAAGAGTCACAAGACTATCTTGTAAGGAGATGCTTTCTGTCCACAGAGGAAGACTGTAGATCTGTCTGGGGTCCGTTGACACCCTGGTCTCTTCAGCCGATTCAGTATTTATAGCAGGGTCTGAGTCCATAGTAGTCTGTAAATTATTTCCTATTTATTTAGATTAAATTTATAAAGATCAATTCCTAAAACACTAAAAATGGATCCCTAAGATCTCAATGATACACAGCTTGGTATTCCCTATGGAATCCATCATAAATCCCAGAATATATTTGTGATTTGATTGTTTATGTGAATGTCATTATTTGTATTTCTCAGTACAAAAAAGAGTAGTTGATACAACAATTTATTTTCTTGCAATGAGAAAATTAAAGATGAAGGATACTTAATAAGCAAATTGTAATAGAAAGTGCTCAGGTGTTCACTTTATTATATGTTAGTTCTCAAGTGAAAAAGCAAATTTGAATACTTTCAAAGTATTCTTTTCCCTGCAGAACACTAAATTGTTAAAAACCATTTATTTTTACTTTGGAAGATTAAGCATACAACAATGACTTAAAGTTAGTAATTTCTTCTGTATTTAAATATGTCACAGACAAAAATAAAAGAATTTATTTCTTGTTTTTAGAAGTAGGGTTTTGCTATGTTGCCCAGGCTAGCCTCAAACTCCTGTGCTCAAGCGATCCTCCCACCTCACCTTCCCCAGGAGCTGGGACTGATTACAGGCACGCCGCCACTGCACCTGGCAAAAGGATTTCTTTTAAAGCCAATGCTTCTCATGTGAGCAACAGACCACAAGAAGTATACTTATTTTGAGAAGTTGCTTTCAAGTATAGCTCATCTAAGGGATACCATTCCTTAGTTACTATCTTTCTTTCCGGTCAAGAAGGCCCTGGAGCCCCTTTTTATCTCAACATCTTCACACAAGTTCTTTCAGCTGCCAGGAAAGCTTATCCCTCATCCCACCTCCCACTCATTTTCCCCTTTTTTTAATTTCAGTTCTCCTTCAGATCTCAGTTTTCTTCTCCAGAAACCCCTCCATCTCCTCCTAGACTAAAAAGTCTCCATGTTACACACTCTTAAAACACAATAGGAATCAAATAATTATTTCTGTGATTGTTTTGTTTCCCTCCACTAAACAATAAATTTCATAAGTACACAGATTGTGTATATTTGATTCAGTTTGATAGTACCTAGCACAATGCCTGGTATATTGTACCTGGTCAATAAAGAGTGAATATTAGAAAAAATGGAAACAAATGATTATTAAACATAATAAAAGATGTGTAGCCTCACTCATAAACAAAAAAATAAAAACGAAAACATCGATGAAATACTATTATTGAAAAGTTCTAAAAATTTGATAATACACTGTGTTGGCAAAACTGAGATGTGACAGGCAGCACTGTTGCGTGTAAGAGGCTGGCAGTCTCTTTGCAAGAAACTTAGCAATAATATTTCAAAATTTAAATGTGGCCAGGTGCCTGGAGGCTCATGCCTGTAAACCCAGCACTTTGGGAGGCCAAGGCAGGCAGATCACTTGAAGCCAGGAGTTTGAGATCAGCTTGGTTAAACCAAGGTGGTCTCAATGGTTAAATCCCGTCTCTACTAAAAATGCAAAAGTTAGCCAGGCATGGCGGCCCACACCTGTAATCCCAGCTACTCAGAAGACTGAGGCAGGAGAATTGCTTGAACCCACCTCCTCCGGGAGGCAGAGGTTGCAGTGAGCTGAGATCCCGCCACTGCACTCCTGCCTAGATGACAGAGCGAGAATATCTCAAAATAAATAAATAAATAAATGCATATACCCTTCCACCCAACAATTTCACATCTAACATTTTATTCTACAATTATTCTTTCATTTACATGTAAAGACACATGTAAAAAGATGTTCATAATTTTTTTGAACAGAAAAGAACCCTAAAATTATACAATAGAGACATAAATGATGGTCCAAAGTCATGTAGTAAAATATTATACATCAGTAAAAGAATGAGTTAGATATATATGTACTGAGAAAGGATGATACCCAAGACAGAGCAGCGAAGAAAATAAAATGCAAAACAATATTCATATTATATTCCCATTTGTTGTTTTTAAAGAATATATATGTGCATATAGGATATATTTGGGAACATACATAAATAAGAAACTGGTATCAGAAGTTGCCTCTGGAATGGAAAGACTGGGAAATTGAGATCTGGGACAGAAGAAAGACTTTTCTTTACAACATTCTTCTACCTTTTTGTACTGTTGGAAGTTTTTAACACATGCATTAGTACATTTTTTTAATTTTATATATTTATTTATTTATTTTTGAGACGGAGTCTTGCTCTGTCGCCCGGGCTGGAGTGCAATGGCGTGATCTCGGCTCACTGCAAGCTCCACCTCCTGGGTTCACGCCATTCTCCTGCCTCAGCCTCCCAAGTAGCTGGGACTACAGGTGCCCGCCACCACGCCTGGCTAATTTTTTGTATTTTTAGTAGAGATGGGGTTTCACCGTGTTAGTCAGGTTGGTCTTGATCTCCTGACCTCGTGATCCGCCCACCTCCGCCTCCCAAAGTGCTGGGATTACAGGCATAAGCCACCGCGCCCGGCCTAGTACATTTTTCAATACAACATATTATTTAAAAATACAGTTCTTGAAGGAATATTTTTCTAGGCTACAAGAACAGACTTTCCACTTATTTCTTTTTATCAATTTGTAATTATAAATACATAAGATGACTGAATTCTGATTCAGATTATTTTGGAGATGATCTCCTTAATGTACATTTATTATATTTCTCCATTTAGAAGAAATATTTTTTAAATATAACAAATAAAAATATATATAGCTAACAACTTTTTCTAAACAGAAATGTAGCAAACGTCTGCAAAGGAGAATCTCGCTAAAGTAGCTATATGCTGCTAACTGCCTTGATTTAATGTACAATCTAAATTTCTCTTTCTAGTGGAAGCCAATATTTACTCATTCATTTATTTATTAATTCATTTATTCATAACAATGAATGTAATTTAATTTCCATGTCCATGCATTTTATTCGGATTGTATATTTTCTCAAATAAATTCCACTGAGTTTTATCCTTAAATGTTATTAAGAAAAATAAGACTTACATGAGACAGTTGCCACTATTATCCAATTAACACACTATCATAGCTGAAGATAATATAATTTAATCAGACTACAAGTCAAAACGTGCACAACATGAAAGAGAATATCTCATATGCCTGGAATCCTACCTAGTGAGAGGACTGCTAAACATCATGGGCATTTAACTAAAACTCTGCCAAACTGAGCAAGGCTTTCAGAATGTAATTATATCTGAGCCACACCACTGTCCTACAGAATATGGTCACTTGTTACCAAATTAACATAACCTGGCATCAAGAATCTGTTATGGAGTAAGAAAAAGTCAACTCATTAAGACTTTTCCAGTTAACTACATTTCAAATAATTAATTTTTAAATAGAAGTTAAAAGGTCATCAGTATTTTAACAATACCACTAATTTTGCAAGAGGAATGCTTTTACCTAGTTTGATTTATAAGGTACTGTAGGATTTTACTTTTAGATTGTAATTTTCCCTTAAATAATATTAACATTGTAATTTCTATATAAATGTACTATTGGTCTATTTATAACCTTATATTGACATTAGTTATAAAAAATATATAATTGTTGGCCGGGCGCGGTGGCTCACGCCTGTAATCCTAGCACTTTGGGAGGCCAAGGCGGGTGGATCACAAGGTCAGGAGATCAAGACCATCCTGGCTAACACGGTGAAACCCTGTCTCTCCTGAAAATACAAAAAATTAGCCCGGCATGGTGGCAGGCGCCTGTGGTCCCAGCTACTCGGGAAGCTGAGGCAGGAGAATGGCTTGAACCCGGGAGGCAGAGCTTGCAGTGAGCCGAGATCACGCCACTGCACTCCAGCCTGGGTGACAGAGCGAGACTCCTCTCAAAAACAAACAAACAAACAAAAATTATATATATATATATACTCACATAATTGTTTAACTTTAAAAAACTGCTTTAAAATGTCTTACTGTCTGCCTAAATGAATTCATTTTAGATAGACAAGTTTTTAAAGTAGAACTGAAATAATGGTGTTCAGCTAAATAAATGAGTAGATCAGTTATCATTTTAAGCAATTAGGGATTTCGTGTGTGTGTGTGTGTGTGTGTGTGTGTGTGTGTGTGTGTGAGATTGGGTCGCCCAGGCTGGAGTGTAATGGCATGATCTCGGCTCACTGCAACCTCTGTCTCCCAGGTTCAAGCGATTCTCCTGCCTCAGCCTCCCGAAGTAGCTGGGATTACGGGCGCCCGCCACCACGCCCGGCTAATTTTTGTATTTTAGTAGAGACAAGGTTTCACCATGTTGGCCAGGCTGGTCTCGAATTCCTGACCTCAGGTGATCCGCTCGCCTCGGCCTCCCAGAGTGCTGGGATTACAGGCGTGAGCCACCGAGCCCGGCTGCAATTAGGTATTTTTTTAAAAAATCTTCTTCTTGAAAATATCCACATTCTTTCTGAGAACCATTAAGGCATAAATAGTCTGACAATTTTTCAACTCAAACCTGATACTTTTAAAAAACAAATCTTAGATCAGATGAGATAAATTAAGAGGTCACCAGACAGTTCTCAGTTGCACAACCAGGAACCTCATACTGAAACCAGCTGGAGGCGGAGCGGAGGCTGCTAAAAGCCATCTCACGTCCACATGACGCCAAATTCTACAGATTTTTCAAACGGACTCCAAGGATGGCCACACATATAAATCCAGTGAAAAAGGACGAACCTGAAGTTGCCAGTGTGAAGCCCGTGAGTGTGCAGTGAACCGCAGAGAAAGCTTCTTGGTGAGTTGAGTTTGTGGAGTGGCCCAGAGCCAGGCGGGAGCGTCAGTACCGCGCACTGTTAACAGCGGCCCGACAAACCCAGCAAATGCAGAATTGGCCAGGGGATCCCCGAAAGAACCAATCCTTCCCCAGCCCTCTCACCGAAAGCCACAGCAGGAAAAACTGGTGTCTGCTGAAATGTCAGAAGACTCACAGTTTTTCTGGAAAGTCAACCGAGGAAGAGTTTCTTCTGTGGAAACGCAAGCCAGGGCTCTGCCTCCGCCACAGGGCCCCTGCGACCCAATTCTGTTCTCACCCCCAGATTTTCTCACTCTGCCACCTGCCCATCCCCCAGGGTTCCTCCCTCCAGAAGAACAGGGTTTGCTGAAAGGCTTGGCGGTATTTCCGGGTCAGTCTCGTGTCTGGCCCCGGACACCCCCCGCATCCGACTGCCGGGCTCAGGGAAGGGGCTTCCCATGAAAGCTGGGAAAGCTGGGGCCATCTACCAGGACACACTGGGGCATGGGAGTGCAGGGGGATAAACCTGGAGCAACCCCCAGAGAGGAGGGAAAAGGCCGGAGAAAGTGGAGGTGGAGGGCAGGAGAGTACCTCCCGCACCTAAAAGGAGTCATGCCCTGGGGCCAGATGATAGCCCTGGAACTGGAGGTGGAAACCAAAAGAGACCCCACCCGAGGTTGCTGACCCCTCATCCCTAGACATCCTTCTGCACCCACTGGGGGTTCTAGGCTGTGAATGGGAAGCTGGTCCCTCCTACCAGAGAGTCCAAGTTCTGTGCTTTCCTAATGCATAGAGGAATCCTTCCTATTGGGTTTATGTGTGAGGTATAGACAGTAAACATGGTTATCAGGGGATGTCTGAAACATCATTATCCTCCAGAAAAGCTGTTTATTCCAGCACATTTGCTGCAGCGAGCCTGTAGTTCTGAATAAACTAGTCCACCTATTTCAATTTAGCGATGGGTATATAACTTAAACTTTTACACACTACACGCCAGTGAGTCGGAATAGCCACTAGGAGTTAGGAAGGGAGGTGGCTGCCGGAAAAGGGAAGGCAAGGATTTTTGCAAGCAGAGAGACGGCTGTGCCTGAACAGAAGCATCAGGGTGAAGGTGCTGAGGACCCCGTCAGGGTGGGGTGAGCCTGTTTATCACAACTTAAATATTCTCCCAGCGTCCAAGAGAACATGGGGCACACCGAGGCTCTTATTGGCTTCTCAAGGATACAACCATATGAAAGATATCTTCACATGCTGGATTTAACGGGATCACCAGTCAATAAGACTGATGCCAGCAAATGACTAGTGTCCAGAACCCTCTTGTGTTGGGTCTTAGGCTCATAATTACTAATCTGCAACAGCCCAAGGCCAGAATTTTCTTGGTCAGGGAAACTTTCAAGTTCTTTGAGGAACGTCTTCTTCACAACTGTGACAGCCTCATATTGAAAGTGGGTTCAACTCTTTCTGTGCTTATTTCATTCCAAGCAGAGCCCATTTCTGATGCCTAATAAGAACGTAATACTGAGTAACATGTTAGATAATGACATTCTTTACTTTAAGGTACTTTCCTGTCCAAAATAAATGTAAAGAGATGTATTTTGTTTTAGTCAGCAAGAGGGGTATAGCAATCAATTGGCTTTCTTTGTCAAAAACCAACTTCTGGACTAAAGCCAGAGGCTTAGTCCAGTTTAATTTAGCAGAAGCTAAATTAGAACCTTGAACTAGAGTTATAGAGTAAGTTAGTAAATCTAAACAATTATATCAGTCAAATCTAGTCAGGAAACCAAAAACCATATCAGTTGTTTCAACAGAGAGAATTTAATACAGGGAAAAATTCAAACAAATCTTGGAAGGTTGAAACAGCAAAAAGGGAAGTCTGAGGTATCATAGAGACAATAACTGCAGAAGCAGCTGCCACCTCTAAAGCTGGAGAAACAAAAGAAAGAGGTTGGAGGGGTCATTCAAACTTAAAAACTCAGAGGAGGGGGCCCAACGGATCTGGGACTCACTTCTCTGAGAAGGTGCTGCCTAGCTAGTGCTGGGACTTCCAAGGGTATGGGAATGTAGAAAGATGCTGAAAATGGGAATCAACTGCTATTCTTGGTGTTAAGTCCCAAATAATACACTAGTTACGGTTTGACTACAGTCAAAAACTATAGTCATGGTCAATTCACCATGAGAAAGGAAAGGATCCACAGGCAATATCTGCAAGAAGACGACCTTTTTTTGCACAAAGGTAAAGCCTGCAAACATGACAGGAGACTTACAACTCAGCAACAAAAAGACAAATAACCAAATTTAAAAATGGGCAAAGGATGTGAAGAGACATTTCCCCAAAGAAGATATACAAATGGCTAAAAAGCACAGGGAAAGATATTCAATATCATTGCCATCAAGGAAATGCAAATGAAAACCACAGTGAGATGCCACTACACCTACTAAGATGACTCTAATAAAAGAAAAAAAAGACAATAATAAATATTGATGAACACGTAGAGAAATTGGAACCCTCATATATGTGCTGGCGAGGCTGTAAAAGGCTGCAGCCACTATGGAAAACAGTTTGGCAGTTTCTCAATAAGTTAGTTATAGAGTTAATGTATGACCCAGCCATTGGGATTCTGAAAATGTTTTGGAATTAGTGGTGATCATTGCACAATCTGTGAATATAATAAAAGCCACTAAATTTGACACTTTAAAAGAGTAAATTTTATAGTATGGGGTATTATATATCTCATTTTAAAAATTTTAAGTAATGGGAGAGAAAAGACAAGAAAAATTATATAAAACACAGGGACAGGTTTTTGGATAAAATAATAAAAGTCCATGTATTTACGCTTGTCTTCTGTTTCTGGAACATCCTATTCAATACCATCCAATATCAAAGTGCATTTTGACTTTGTTTTGTTGTTGTTTTTTGAGACAGTCTCACTCTGTCACCCAGGCTGGAGTGCAGTAGTGCAATCTTGGCTCCCTGCAACCTCCATCTCCCGGGTTCAAGCAATTCTTGTGCCTCAGCCTCCCCAGTAGCTGGAATTACAGGCATGTACCACCATGCCCAGCTAATTTTTGTATTTTTAGTAGAGACGAGGCTTCACCATGTTGGCCAGGCTGGTCTTGAATGCCTGACATCAAGTGATCCACCCGCCTCAGCCTCCCAAAGTGCTGGGATTACAGGTGTGACCCACCACACCCAGCCACATTTTGACTTTGAGACTTGCAATTCAAAATCTGACTGACTCTATTGAGATAATCATATGGTTTTTGTCATTGGCTCTGTTTATGTGATGGGTTACATTTATTGATTTGCATATGTTGAACCAGCCTTTCATCCCAGGGATGAAGCCGGCTTGATCGTGGTAGATAAGCTTTTTGATGTGCTGCTGGATTCTGTTGGCCAGTATTTTATTGAGGATTTTCACATCGATGTTCATCAGGGATGTGTGCCTGAAATTTCCTTTTTTTGTTGTGTCTCGGCCAGGTTTTGGTATCAGGATGATGCTGGCCTCATAAAATGAGTTAGAGAGGATTCCCTCTTTTTCTATTGCTTGGAATAGTTTCAGAAGGAATGGTACCAGCTCCTCCTTGTACCTCTGGTAGAATTTGGCTCTGAATCAGTCTGGTCCTGGACTTTTTTTGGTCGGTAGGCTAAATTCAACAGCGCTTCATGCTAAAAACTCTCAATAAACTAGGTATTGATGGAATGTATCTCAAAATAAAAAGAGCTACTTATGACAAACCCACAGCCAATATCATACTGAATGGGCAAAAACTGGAAGCATTCCCTTTGAAAACTGTCACAAGACAAGGATGTCCTCTCACCACTCCTATTCAACATAGTATTGGAAGTTCTGGCCAGGGCAATCAGGCAAGAGAAAGAAAATAAGGGGTATTCAATTAGGAAAAGAGGAAGTAAAATTGTCTGTTTGCAGATGACATGATTGTATATTTAGAAAACCCCATCGTCTCAGCCCAATATCTCCTTAAGCTGATAAGCAACTCCAGCAAAGTCTTAGGATACAAAATCAATGTGCAAAAATCACAAGCTTTCCTACACACCATTAACAGACAAACAGAGAGCCAAATCCTGAGTGAACTCCCATTCACAATTGCTACAAAGAGAATAAAATACCTAGGAATACAACTTACATAGGATGTGAAGGACCTCTTCAAGGAGAACTACAAACCACTGCTCAACGAAATAAGAGAGGACACAAACAAATGGAAAAACATTCCATGCTCATGGATAGGAAAAATCAGTATCGTGAAAATGGCCACACTGCCCAAAGTAATTTATAGATTCAATGCCATCCCCATCAAGCTACCATTGACTTTCTTCACAGAATTGGAAAAAAACTACTTTAAATTTCATGTGGAACCAAAAAAGAGCCTGCATGGCCAAGACAATCCTAAGCAAAAAGAACAAAGCTGGAGGCATCACACTACCTGACTTCAAACTATACTACAAGGCTACAGTAACAAAAACAGCATGGTACTGGTACCAAAACAGATACATAGACCGATGGAACAGAACAGAGGCCTCAGAAATAATGCCACACATCTACAACTGTCTGATATTTGACAAACCTGACAAAAGCAAGGGATGGGGAAAGGATTCCCTATTTAATAAATGGTGTTGGGAAAACTGGCTAGCCATATGCAGAAAGCTGAAACTGGATCCCTTCCTTACACCTTATACAAATATTAATTCAAGATGGATTAAAGACTTAAACATAAGACCTAAAAACATAAAAACCCTAGAAGAAAACCTAGGCAATACCATTCAGGACACAGGCATGGGCAAGGACTTCATGACTACAACACCAAAAGCAATGGCAACAAAAGCCAAAATTGACAAATGGGATCTAATTAAACTAAAGCGCTTCTGCACAGCAAAAGAAACTATCATCTCAGTGAACAGGCAACCTACAGAATGGGAGAACATTTTTGCAATCTATCCATCTGACAAAGGGCTAATATCCAGAATCTATAAAGAACTTAAACAAATTTACAAGAAAAAAACAAACAACCCCATCAAAAAGTGGGTGAAAGATATGAACAGACACTTCTCAAAAGAAGACATTTATGCAGCCAACAAACATGAAAAAAAGCTCATCATCATTGGTCATTTGAGAAATGCAAATCAAAACCACAATGAGATACCATCTCACTCCACTTAGAATGGCGATCATTAAAAAGTCAGGAAACAACAGATGCTGGAGAAGATGTGGAGAAATAGGAATGCTTTTACACTGTTGGTGTGAGTGTAAATTAGTACAACCATTGTGGAAGACAGTGTGGTGATTCCTCAAGAATCTAGAACTAGAAATACCATTTGACCCAGCCATCCCATTACTGGGTATATACCCAAAGGATTATAAATCATTCTGCTATAAAGACACATGCACATGTATGTTTATTGTGGCACTGTTCACAATAGCAAAGACTTGGAACCAACCCAAATGCCCATCAATGATAGACTGGATAAAGAAAATGTGGCACATATACACCATGGAATACTATGCAGCCATCAAAAAGGATGAGTTCATGTCCTTTGAAGGGACATGGATGAAGCTGGAAACCATCATTCTCAGCAAACTAACACAAGAACAGAAAACCAAACACCACATGTTCTCACTCATAAGTGGGAGTTGAACAATGAAAACACATGGACACAGGGAGGAGAACATCACACACCAGGGCCTGTCAGGGAGTAGGGGGGCCAGGGGAGGGATAGCATCCCTCCCCTGGGTTGATGGGTTCATGGGTGCAGCAAACCACCATGGCACATGTATACCTATATAACAAGCCTGCACGTTCTGCACATGTACCCCAGAACTTAAAGTATAATAAAAAATTAAAAACTGACTGTCCAAGCCCCGCAAAGAAACATTTAAATAGTACATAGAATCCTGTCATGATTAACCTCTTGTTCACACATCCATTCCAAGAATACAAGGACAGATACCTATAAACCTTTGTGTCCCTGGCCCCTGTGACCTGTGACCCCTGCTGGCTGGGAAGGGACACTCACCTTTCTACCAGACTCCTCTTATACCCCACGTGGCATTTTTGCACCAGTCCTATACTCCTATGAGACTCCCACCAGCCCCAGGACAGACTACAGCAGCACATGAATTAGTAAGGTTATGGGCCATCTAGTCAACTGGCCTAGTTGAAGTCCACATTCTGCTATCATCAGCCCACAGAATCTTCAACCTATATCCTGCCTTGACTAGAGGAGGGCCAGAAACCTGTAGAAGAAAGGAACATCTCAGATGTAGAATTGGCATACTTTAGACACCATTATTCTTATGCTTTCTTCTTAGGGTTTTCGCCATCCATCTCTTCTTTCCTTTTACCACTGCCTTCTTCCCAGTTTATGCCTGGATTGTTGTAATTGTCTCATTTTCTGCTTATAGTCTCTCCCATTTCTAATCCTCCTACACACAAACATCAAATAGCCTGCCCAAAACATTCTCTTCTTGTCACTCCTTTGTTTGAAATCCTTCAGTACCTCCCCACTGCCAACCAAATATTCATAAAATTCAACTTTTAAATCTGTTTTTGTTTTGGTTTGGTTTTATTTTATTTCATTTTATATTATTTTATTTTATTTTATTTTGCAGACAGAGTCTCACTCTGTCAGCCAGTCTGGAGTGCAGTGGTGCAATCATGGCTCACTGCAGCCTCAACCTCCCAGGCTCAAGCAATCCTACCACCTCAGCCTCCTGAGTAGCTTGGACTACAGGTGTGTGCCCCCACACTCAGCTAATTTTTTAATTTTTTGTAGAGGCGGTGTCTCCCTATGTTGCCTAGGCTGGTCTTAAACTCCTGGACTCGAGTGATCCTCCTGCCTCAACCTTCCAAAGTGCTGGGATTGTAGGCATGAGCCTAAATCTGATTTTAGAGCCCCCTATAATCTAGCCCCAATCTATCATTCCAGATTAGCACAAATTCCCATTTGGTTACATACAGTACCCCAAGATTGCCTATTTCTGTGCTATTTGTGCCTTCTCCCCCCATAGAGAATAGAGAATTAGCCTCTAATTCTCCCTCCATTGCTGCCTACCAACATTCTTCAAGGTCCTCAAGACCTATTCTTCAAGGCCTATGTCAAATCTCAGCTTTCCAAGAAGCCTTGATTATCCCAGCTGAGATTGATCTCCCTCCTTGAAACAATGGCTATTGTCTCTGCCATTCTGCCTTTGCCTTCTTTGTAGGATAATCACTTCTGCTTCCCAGCTCCACTCTCAATTTCAGGAGGACAGTGGCGCTTTGGAGACCTTGAAGAGCTGACCAAATTCAGACTGCAGGTCCATTCTGCACAGTGATTTCAAAACTGGCAGTTAGTTGTTACCAACATTTAAAAGTTGGGAGATATCTTATAAAAATCTGGGTTTCCTGCTTCTCTTGAAAATTCAGAATATCTTGCCACACTGGGCCTACACTTCTACTTAGAATATGCTAAGGCTGAGTAGTGGCCACTCCTGAAGGTGGGGCCTCTGTTCTCCAGTTCACTAAAGTTCCTGCTTCCTGTTTTTAAACCTTGCTCTTACCTTGGAGGCATCTGAGTTTATGATCTCTGGTTCTAACACCTCTACAGAGTAAGCGGTAGGTAAATGGATGAAAGAATTTTAGGAAGGATAAATGAACAAACTAACCTAGCTTATGGCAAAATTTGCATTTTCCACAAATTTTCAGCTGGCCAAGGAGCTCAACAGCTAAATTCTCATAACTACCCACTCCCCTAATCTGTTCTTTTCTTGTCTTGAATCAAGTGCAAAAACAAATTCTGGTCAAAGCTTGAGTGGATATATAAAATGATAAAGGGGTTGATTCAACAAGGGGATATAACAATTTTAATTATTTATCCACGCAATACTGGAGCACCCAGATATGTAAAACAAATATTATTAGAGCTAAAGAGAGAAATAAGCCCCAATACAATAAGAGTTGGAAAGGTCAACACACCACTTTCAGCACTGGACAGATCTTCCAGACAGAAAATCAACAAAGAAACATCAGACTTAATCTGCACTATAGACCAAATGGACCTAATAGATGTTTACAGAACATTTCATCCAATGGCTGCAGAATACACATTCTTTTCCTCAGCACATAGGTCATTCTCAAGGATAGACCACATATTAGGTCACAAAACAAGTCTTAAAACATTCAAAAAATGAAATAATATTAAGCTTCTCTAGTCACAAAGGAATAAGACTAAAAATCAATAATAAGAGGAATTTGGGAAACTATACAAATACATGGAAATTTAACAATATGCTCCTGAATGACCAGTGGGTCAATGAAGAAATTAAGAAGAAAATTGAAAAATTGTTTGAAACAAATGATAATGGCAGCACAACATACCAAAACCTATGGAATACAGTGAAAGCAGTACTAAGAGGGAAGTTTATAGCTATCAGTGCCTACATCAAAAATGAAGAAAAACTTCAAATCAACAATCTAACAATGGATCTTTAAAAACTAGACAAGCAAGAGCAAACCAAACCCAAAATTAGTAGAAGAAAATAAATAATAAAGATCAGAGCAGATATAAATGGAATTGAAACAAAAAAGAAAATAAAAAGATCAATGAAGGCTCACACTTGTAATCTCAGCATTTTGGGAGGCCGAGGCAGTTGTATTACCTGAGGTCAGGAGTTCAAGGCCAGCCTGGTCAACATGGTGAAACCTTGTCTCTACTAAAAATATAAAATTAGCCAGGTGTGGTGGCGCATGCCTGTAATCTCAGCTACTCGGGAAGCTGAGGCAGAATTGCTAGAACCCAGGAGGCAGAGGTTACAGTGAGCCAAGATTGCACCATTGCACTCTAGCCTGGGCAACAAGAGCAAAACTCTGTCTCAAAAACAAAATATATCAATGAAAAATAAACACAAAAAGCTGGATTTTTAAAAATTAAACAAAATTGATAAACCTTTAGCAGACTAATTAAAAAAGAGAGAATAGCCAAATACATAAAATCAGAGATGAAAAAGGCAACATTACAACTGATACCCCAGAAATTTAAAGGACCATCAGTGGCTACTATGAGCAACAATATGCCAATAAATTGGAAAATCTAGAAGAAATGGACGAATTCCTAGACACAGACAACCTGCCAAGATTGAACCATGAATAAATCAAAAATCTGTACAGACCAATAACAAGTAACCAGATCAAAGTCGTAATAAAAAGTCTCTGAGTAAAGAAAAGCCCAGCACCCAATGACTTTGCTACTGAGTTCTACCAAACTTTTAAAAAAGAACTAATACCAATTCTACTCAAATTATTCTGAAAAAAATAGAAGAGAAGGGAATACTTCCAAACTCATTCTGTGAGGCCATTATTACTCTGATATCAAAACCAGACAGACACACATCACAAAAAGAAAACTACAGGCCAATATCTCTGATGAATATTGGTCAACATACACGAATCAATGTGATGCATCATATTAACAGAATGAAGAATAAAAACCATGTCATCATTTCAATTGATGTTGAAAAAGTATTTGATAAAATTCAACATCCCTTCATGAAAAAAACCCTAAAAAATACTGGGCAGAGAAGAAATATACCTCAACATAATAAAAGCCATATATGACAGATCCACAGCTAGTATCATACTGAATGGGGAAAAACTGAAAGCCTTTCCTCTAAGATCTTGAACACAGAAAGGATGCCCACTTTCACCACTATTATTCAACATAGTACTGTAAGTCCCAAATAAAGCAATTATTCAACAGAAAGAAAGGTCATCCAAAATAAGAAGTCAAATTATCCTTGTTTGCAAATGATATGATCTTATATTTGGAAAAACCTAAAGATTCCATGAAAAAAATGATTAGAACTGATAAACAAATTCAGTAAAGTTGCAGTATACAAAGCAAACATACAAAACCAGTAGCATTTCAATATGCCAACAGTGAACAATCTGAAAAAGAAATTTATAAAAGTAATCTCATTTAAAATAGCCACAAATAAAATTAAATACTTAGGAATTAACCAAAGTGAAAGATCTTTATAGCAAAAACTATAAAACACTGATTTAAAAAATTGAAGTGGACACCAAAAAAAATGAAAAGATATTCCATGTTCGTGGATTGGAAGAATCAATATTGTTAAAATGTCCATACTACCCAAAGCAATCTACAGATTCAATGCAATCCCTATCAAAATACGAATGACGTTCTTCACAAAAATAGAACAAAAAAAAATCCTAAAATTTACATGGAACCATAAAAGACCCAAAATAGCCAAAGCTATCCTAGGCAAAAAGAACAAAACTGGAGAAATTACATTATCTGACTTCAAATTATACTACACAGCTATAGTAACCAAAACAGCTGTTAAACTATTAAACTTCTACAAGAAAACATCGGGAAAACTCCAGGACATTGGTCTGGAAAAAATTTCTTGAGGAACACCCCATAAGCACAAGCAACCAAAGCAAAAAATGGACAGATGGGATCACGTCAAGTTAAAAAGCTTCTGCACAGCAAAGGAAATAGTCAACAAAATGAAGAGACAATGTACAAAATGGGAGAAAATACTTGCAAACTACCCATCTGACAAGGGATTAATAACCAGAATATATAAGGAGCTCAACTCTATAGAAAAAAAAATCTATTAATCCAATTAAAACATGGGCAAATGATTTGAATAGACATTTCTCAAAAGAAGACATGCAAATGGCAAACAGGCATATAAAAAAGTGCTCAACATCACTGATCATCAGAGAAATGCAAATCAAAACTACAATGAGATATCATCTCACCACAGTCAAAATGGCTTATATCCAAAAGACAGGCTATAACAAATGCTGGCAAGGAGGTGGAGAAAAGGGAACCCTCATACACTGTTGATGGAGAGGTAAATCAGCATAATCCTATGGAGAACAGTTTGGAGGTTCCTCAAAAAACTAAAAATTGAGCTACCACATGATCCAGCAGTCCCATTGCTGGGTATATACCCAAAGGAGAGGAAATCAGTATATCAAAGAGATATCTGCACTCTCATGTTTGTTGCACTGTTCACAATAGCCAAAATTTGAAAGAAACCTAAATGTCCATCCACAGATGAATAGAAAAAGAAAATGTGCTACTTATACATAATGGAGTACTATTCAATCATAAAAAAGAATGAGATCCTATCACTTGCAACAACGTGGATGGAACTGGAGGTCATTATGCTAAGTAAAATAAGTCAGGCACAGGAAGACAAACATCACATGTTCTCACTTATTTGTGGGATCAAAAAATCAAAATAGTTGAACTCATTTAGATAGTAGAAGAATGATTATCAGAGGCTGGAAAGGGTAGTGGGGAGGAGACTGAAGTAAAGTGGAGATGGTTAATGAGTACCAAAAAAACAGAACGAATAAAACCTAGTATTTGATAGCACAATAGGGTGACTATAGTCAATAACAATTTAATTATACATTTTTTTTGATACAGAGTCTCTCTCTGTTGCCCAGGCTGGGGTGCAGTTGCACAATCTCAGCTCACTGCAACCTCCGCCTCCTGAGTACAAGCGATTCTCCTGCCTCAGCCTCCCGAGTAGCTGGGATTACAGGCGTGTGCCGCCACCCCCGGCTAATTTTTCTATTTGTAGTAGAGATGGGGTTTCACCATGTTGGCCAGGCCGGTCTCAAACTCCTGACCTCAAGTGATCCACCCACCTCGGCCTCCCAAAGTGCTGGGATTACAGGCATGAGCCACCATGCCCAGCCTAATTATATATTTTTAAATAACTAAAAGAGTACAATTGAATTGTTTGTAATACGAAGAATAAATGCTCGAGGGGATGGAAACCCCATTTTACATGATGTGATTACTACACATTACATACCTGTATCGAAACATCTCATGTACCCCATAAATATATACACCTACTTTATACCCGCAAAAATTAAGATAGATTTTTTTAAAAAACAAAAGCTTGAGTGGAGAAAAGAGATATTTCTTTTTAATAAAAACTTCCTGTTTTCCCCCTTAGAACTCACAATGAGTATGAGGTGGCAGTCAAGAGAAAAAAAAAATCCCTGTGCTTCAGTGTCTGAAACTGGGAAAGTAAAAAATCAAGAGAGATCCATACATGCCTTTGCTTTGCTGTGCCCCTTGGTGACCCACACTGAGGCAACACATGGCTGTGGGTTTCCATTGTTAGAGTAAATGTGACCTTTCTTACACAAGGGGATTGCGGTTTTGATCAATTGAAAGGACCCCGTGGGCAGCCAGGGATCAGCATAAAGGGTGAAAGGTGAGCAATAAATATGCCAGTGCATAAACACAATTAGGTTTATAAAAAAGGCACTGAAGCAAAATGAAACATCGGGGGTTTACAAAAGTAACAGACATGTTCTGTGTTTTAGAGATGGATTGATGGCTAATTAACTGTCCAGAACCATTCTAACTCCTATACATAGGAAAACATGAGCTGAGACAAAGAATGATTGATTTTAGTGGGAAAGTCCTGTATTGTGAAATGAGAGAGAAAGGGAGGACAGGGTAAGGCAATTATTGGAAATATTGAGTTTGCACAGCTTATCTCTTTTTTTTCCTTTTTTTTATTTTCCTTTTTGAGTTTACACAGTTTAGATGTGGAATCTGGATTTTGCCAGAGACTGGGTTTTGTTGCTGCTATTGCTCTTATTGTTGTCGTTTGCGTTGTTTAAAAGTATCTTGTAGTAAGGCAATAGTTATACCTGTCATGAAGGCGTAGCTGGACCACAAGGTTTACCAGAACCTTTTGAGGTTACTGGCACTGGAATCCAAAGAAAGACAGTGTTAGTCAACTTTAATTGTATAGAGATGATCACACTATCATTAGAAGAAAGAGGAGCTTTTGCCTTTAACAGTAATTACTTTTTCCATATTTAGAGTTAAGTATTTCAGGAGCTGAGAAAGTGCCCATAATACGAACAGGCACCATCACATCTTGAAAACATAAATACTTTCTGTTTAATTCATTCTGTGTCCTGAAATAAATCGTTTCTGCCAACAGCTCCATGTGCATCCACTCTCCTAGATTTGAAACAGTCAAACCAAGGGTGTGTACACCACTGATGGATATCAGTCTAATACCAAACGTCTACATTCAAAATAAATCCTAAGCACAAATAGCAACAGGGAATTCATCACCTCTGTGGTTCTCTTCTCCTTGTACCCCACAAAGATCAATTTCTCTAACGGCAGTTACCCACTTCCTCTCACTGGGGGAGCTTCTAAGAGAGGTAAGCGAGAATACACCCAGAGGAAAAATGTGCTAAAGTCTGAAGAGAGAGAACACGTAGCCAAAGATGATAGAGGGGTCGGCAAAAAGGCAAAATGGGTTGGATGACAAAGTTTAAATTGGCAGCGAAAATTTAAGACCAAAGATAAACAAAGAACTTGCTTTTTTGAAAGCAAAAAAAACCTAGACTCTAGATTCTGTCAATTAGCGATATCAAGCTCTAGAAAAAATAACTGACTTAAACGTAAAATTGGTTAATACTTAGAAAAACTGGTGATAATTCAGAGCAAGTTTCACAAACTTTTTTCACAAACTCTTTTTTTTTTTTCTTTTGTATGTTAGGCTGTCTTCACTGTAGAGCAGGGATAGGTCAGTGATGTAAATTAGGGATTTCAGAAAGTCATGTGACAAGGTCTTTCATGATAGCCTGGTAGGCAAAATGGAGACAACTGGGCAAAGTGATAATATGGATAAGAGGCAACGTTATGAGGACAGAAAATGTGACTGACTTGTTCACCGCCATATCTCCTTTATGCTGCACAGAGCATGACACAGGCTCAAAAATGGGTCCTGATTTGGTATAGTTAGGTGCATTCACTGATGACTGAGGAGTAATACCAAAAGCACATTGTTTTCTGGATCCATGTGAACAGACTTGGTTTTATTTGCTTCCATATCTCTAGGGCATGGAGTAGGCACTTAATAAAATCTGATGACTAGGCTGGGCACGGTGGCTCATGCCTGTAATCCCAGCACTTTGGGAGGCCAAGGTGGGCAGACCGCTTGAGCCCAGAAGTTCAAGACCAGCCTGGCCAACATGGTGAAACCCCATCTCTACTTAATAAAAAAAAAATTAGCCAAGCGTGATGGCACACTCCTATAATACCAGCTATTCAGGAGGCTGAGGCATGAGAATCACTTGAACCCAGGAGGCAGAGGTTGCATTAAGCCAAGATCACACCACTGTACTCCAGCCAGGGCAACAAAGTGAGTGAGACTCTGTCTCAAAATTAATTAATTAATTAATCAATTTTAAATGTGATGAATAAATGAATAGACCTATAGATCTTTTACAACATTCGTATAAGATTTTCTTAGTCTTAACATTTTAATTGATGACTTGATTGAAGCTATATTTTTAAAAAACGAGATTGCCAGTTATTGCAATTGCACACATACTGAGACAATGTGCTTATGGATAGATAAAAATACAATGAATAAAAGGGACATAGGTCAATACCAATAAAACAAAATTTAATATCACTAAATGTATATTCAAAAATGCACAAAGAATAGGAGGGCTCCCAGCTTGAAATAGCTTACTTTTTAAAAGCTATGACAGTCACCAATACCATCAGCCCCCTGAGCCATCCAGCTATAAAACCTAGATACAGTGCATGGAGCATCTATTTAGGAACACTGCAAAATAAATGATAGCAAGAAGATTTGGAAAGGACACCAGAATTCAAAGCACCACCAAGCCAGTACTGAGTTTTCCCTTTTTTTCCCTCCTGGCCAGGACTCAGGGAAGTCTGAAACTCTGAAGTGGGCACCCAGATGTAGACAGAGAGTGCTTCAAGAAAAGCCCTCTAGTTTTGGGTCCAGGAGTGGGAAAGGAGAATTCTAACACTCATCGAGATGGGGGCAATTCATCATTTTCCTTTGTTCATTTTTCTGTCATGCCCCAGAAGCCAGACGATCCCATGACAACAGTTGCAGCAAAGACAGTGGTGGCAGCAGAGGCTGCAGGTCCCTAAAACTCTGAAGTACAGAATGTTCCTCTCTGATCAGAGGAGCTGTGGTCCCCCAAAGTGGGGCAAATCCCTGTTGGTTTTTTCTCTCTCTAGCCTCCTACTATTTGACTCTGAATACACACAGACTGGGCTAACTTAAAACTCAGTTTTTTGGGCTGGAGAACTAAAAAGATGAAGGAAACTGAAAATTCTGAGGAGAACGTAGAGAGGGAGGAGCTAGGAAGTGTGACCCAATAAAGTCGTTTCTAGGCTCTGGAGCTTATTCCTGAGTGGTGTGTGCATGAATCTGACCCTTAACAGCATATCATAGACTTTGAGAACTGAAAGGTGGGACAGACTGCAGCCCAGCTCCCAGACTGTACATTGGGTGGCACATACAAGGGACAGAAACAAGGAGCATTGCATAGGCTTTAAAAACTGAACTAACGTTGGAACCACACCCAGAGCGGATTGATCAGAAATCACAGCCTGTACGTAACTGTTTATGTTCTCAAAGGTTATGGGGCCAGGCTCTGTGGCTCATGCCTGTAATCCCAGCACTTTGGGAGGCCGAGGCCGGCGAATCATGAGGTCAAGAGATCGAGACCATCCTGGCCAACAAGGTGAAACCCCGTCTCTATTAAAAATACAAAAATTAGCTGGGCATGGTGGTGCATGCCTATAATCTCAGCTACTCGGGTGGCTGAGGCAGGAGAATCGCTTGACCCCAGGAGGCAGAGGTTGCAGTGAGCTGAGATCACGCCACTGCACTCTAGTCTGGCGACAGAGCAAGACTCCATCTCAAAAAAAAAAAAAAAAAAAAGGTTATGGTATGCTGTTGATTCTATTGATTCTTGGGGGATGAAGATTGAAGCTCCCAGTTTTAACTGTAAATTTGTCTATTGCTTTTTCAGGTTTCGTAAGTTTTTGCTTTATGTATTTTCAAGCTTTGTTGTTAGGTGTGTACACATTCAGAATTGTTATGTGTTCTTGGTGAATGGACCCCTTTTTCTTTATGTAATGCCCTCCCTCTCTGTCAGAATGCATGTAGGGCAACATAGTGAGACCTTCTCTCTTAATCAATAAATAAATTTTTAAAAAATACATGGGTGGAAAAAATGATAGCCTTAATTAAAAAAAAAAAACTTTAAAGCTAGAGTGACTATTTAATAGCAGAGAAGAATTCAGAGCAAAGACAATTACCAGGGATAAAAAGGGACATTGTCCATTAACCAAGAATATATAACCATCCTAAGTGATAATATACCTAGCAACAAAGCTTTAAAATACATGAAGCAAAAACTAACAAAACTGGAAGGAAAAATGGACAAACCCACAATTATAGTTGAAAATTTCAACTCTCCTCTTTCAGTAATCGTTAGAACAAGTAGACAGAAAATCAGCAAGGACACAGAACTGAACAATGCTATTAAAGAACTGTATCTAATCAACATTAATAGAATATTTTACCCCATAACAACATGATAGTCTTTATATAGGCACACAGAATATTCATCAAGATAGAGCATATACTAGGTCATAAAATAAACCTTATCAAAAGTAAAAGAGTTGAAATCACACAAAGTTCTTTGGCCATAAGAAAATTAAACTAAAAATCAATAATACCAAAAAAAGTTTTAAACACTTTTAAATTAAACAGTAGATCTTTAAACAACCCACAGATCAAAGAGGAAGCCTCAGGAGAAATTAGAAAATACTTTGAATTAAATGAAACATAAAATAAAATGTAAAAATTTGTGGTGTACAGGTAAAGCAGTGTTTAAAGGTGAAATTATACCCATTATGTGCTCATATTAAGAAGAAGAATGATCTCAGATCCACTAGCTAAGATTCTATTTTTAAAAACTAGAAAAAGAAGAGCAACATATGTTCAAAGCATGCAAAAGGAAGAAAATAATAAAGGTAAAAGCAGAAATCAATGAAATTAAAACTAACCAAACCAAAAAAGGGCAACTGGAAGAAAGAAGACTAGACAAAATAAAACCAAAAGCTAGTACTTTGAAAAGATCAATAAAATTTAAAATTCTCTATCAAGATCAACAAAGAAAAAAGGAGAAAAGACACACATTATCAATATCAGGAAAGAAAGATGGGATCACTATAGACCCCACAGATGTTTAAGGTATAAGGGAATGCTACCATTCTAAGCACATAAATGGAACAACAAAGATGAAATGAACCAGTTCCTTAAAACCTCAAAATACCAAAATGCAACCAAGATGAAATAGACAATCTGAATTTTTCTGTAACTATTAAAGAAATGGAACATGTCGTTGAAAACCTTCTAAAAAGAAACTTCTAGCTCACGCCTGTAATCCCAGCACTTTGGGAGGCCAAGGTGGGCAGATCACGAGGTCAGGAGATCAAGACCATCCTGGCTAACACGGTGAAACCCCGTCTCTATTAAAAATACAAAAAATTAGCCGGGCATGGTGGTGAGTGCCTGTAGTCCTAGCTACTCAGGAGGCTGAGGCAGGAGAATGGCGTGAACCCGGGAGGCGGAGCCTGCAGTGAGCCAAGATCGGGCCATTGCACTCCAGCCTGGGTGACAGAGCGAGACTCCGTCTCAAAAAAAGAAAAAAGAGAAAGAAAGAAATTTCTAGACTCAGATGGTTTCACTGGCAGATTCTATAAAACATTTAAAGAAGATATTACATCAATTCCATACAATCTCTTCCAGGAAAGAAAAGAGAAGTGAGTTCTTCTCAGCAAAGTTTATGAGGCTACTAGCATTATCCTGATAACAAAACCAGAAGATGATGATAGTACATGAAAACTATACAACAATAGCCTTAATGATGAGAGGCACAAAATATTATTGAATCTAATTCAGCAAGTATAAAACATGAAAAATATACCACAACTAAGTGGAATTTATCCTGGGAAAGCAAGGCTGGTTCAATATTTTTAAAATTAATCAGTGTAATCCACCATATCAATAGCCTAAAGAAGAAAAACCATATGATCAGATCTCGATTGCTGCAGAAAAAAAAGCATTTTCTAAAACTCAACATCCATCTCAGATAAAAATCTCAGCAAATTAGGAATAGATGGGCTTTTTCTCAATCTGATAAACAGCATTCTCAAAAAAACAAAACTACAGCTAACATCATACTTAATCATGAAGACTGAATGCTTTTCCTCTAAAGTCAAGAACAGAGCAAAGACTTTTAACACTCCAATTTAGCATTCTACTAGAACTCCGAGCCAGTAGAATAAAACAAGAAATAAATAAATTAAATTAAATGCACACAGATTGAAAGGAAGAAATAAAACTGTTTCATAAACAACGTAAAAATCCCGAGGAATTTACCCAAAAAAAAAAACCCTCCTAGATCTAAGTGAATTTAGCAAAATAGCAGGCTACAAGGATAACACATAAATATCAATTATATTTTCATTTACTAGCAATAAACAAAGGGAAACTGAAGTTTAAAACACAATACCACTTATAATATGTCCAAAAAATTATATACCTAGGTATAAATCTAACAAAAATTTTTAAAGGCTCTGTATGCTGTAAACCTCAAAGCACTGATTTTAAAATATCAAGATCTGTATGAATAGAGAGACATACCATGTTCAAGTACTGAAAGACTCAACATAATAAAGATGTCAATTGATCCATATGTTTAATGCATTCCAATCATAATCCCAGCAACATATTTGGCAGATATAGACAATCTGATTCTAATATTTATATGCAAAAGCAAAGGAACTAAAATAGCCTAAATAATTTTGAAAAGGGGGAATAAAGTTGGAAGAATCACACTACTGTATTTTAAGATGTACTACAAAGCTACACCAGCATGGCACATGTATACATATGTAACTAACCTGCACATTGTGCACATGTACCCTAAAACTTAAAGTATAATAATAATAAAATTAAATTAAATTTAAAAAAAACAAAGCTACAATAATCAAGAGAATGTAGTATTGGCAAAGGAACAGACACATAAATCAATGAAACATAATAGAGTCCAGAAACAAAACCATACATATATTAATTTTGACACACATGCAAAAGCATTTCAGTGGAGAAAGGATAGTCTTTTCAACAAATAGTGTTGGAAACATTGAGTATCCATGTGCAAGACAATGACACTCGACTCATAACTTGCACCATATATAAAAATTAACTCAAAATGGGTTATAAATCTAAATGTAAAACCCAAAGTGATACAATCTTTAGAAATATATATAAATAGAACTTCATGACCTGGGTTTAGGCAAAAAGTTCTTTGATAGGACACTAAAAATGTAATCTATGAAGGAAAATATTAATAAATTGGACTTCAAACAAATTTAAAACTTTTACTCTGCAAAAGATGTTCACTGTTAAGAGAATGAAAAAAAAGCTACAAACTGGGAGAAATTATTTGTAAATCGTATGTCTGGTAAAGGACTTCTATCCAGAATTTTTTTTAACTCTCAAAATTCATTAGTAAAAAAACAAACAGTTAAAAGATGGAAAAAGGCCTGAGGCAGTGGCTCATGCCTGTAATCCCAGCACTTTGGGAAACCCAGAGGGGAGGATCGCTTGAGCCTAGGAGTTCAAGACCAGCCTGGGTAACATAGTGAGACTCCCATCTCTACAAAAAAAAAAAAAAAAAATTTAATCAGTATGGCATGGTGGTACATGTCTGTAGTCCCAGCTACCTAGGAGGCTAAGTGGGAGGATCACTTGAGCTCGGAAGTTTGAGGGTGCAGTGAGCTATGATCACACCCCTGCACTCAGCCCTGAGCAACAGAGCAAGACTTTGTCTCTTAAAAAATAAATAAATAAAAGATGGAAAAAGATGTGTACAGATATTTCACCAAAAAGGATACACAGAAAGCAAATTAGCACAGTACAACATCTAACATCTTCAGCAATTAGGGAAATGTCGATTAAAACCAGGATGAAATATCACTAAACTCCTAGCTAAAATAAAAATTACTGACAATACCAGGTGCTGACAAGGATGCAGAACAACTAGAACAATCATGTGTTGCTGGTGGAAATTCAAAAACAGCTACTCTGAAAAATCATTTGACAATTTTTTATAAAGTTAGATATAGCCCAACAATTTCACTTCTAAGTATTTACTTTAGAGAAATGAAGACATATTCACACAAAAACTTGTACTTGACCATTTTTAGCAGTTGTATTTATAATTGCCCAAAATTGGAAACAGCTAAATGTCCTTAAACTGGTGAATGGGTAAATAAACTCTGGTACATCTACACAATGGAATACTACTCAACAATAAAAAGGAACAAACTACTGATACATGCCACAAATTGAATGAATCATAAAGGCACTATGCTGAGTAAAAGAAGCCAGTTTCACAAGGTTACTGTGATACAGTGAGAAATACATATTTGGTCTTTGTCCCTGGTTCCTGACACAGAGCTCCTAAAACTTCCTGAGTGATGGGGATGATAGGAATGTCTTTTGTCGTTCATAACAAGCCCCTTTCCACCATATTTGAGTTTATATTAATAAAGTGACTTAGTGGGCTCCTAGATAGCTTCAGGATGGGGACTGGTTGCTAGAGGAACCAATTACGTGATTACATGGTTGGGACTTTCGGCCCCATCCCCAGACCTCTAGGGAGGGGAAAGGGAATGGAGACTGAGTTAATCACCAATGGCCAATGATTTAATCGATTTTGCTTATGTTTATAGATGGAACCTCCATAAAAACACTCAACAATGGGGTTCTGAGAGCCTCCAGGTTAGTGAACACATTGAGGTGCTGGAAGGGGTGGTGCACCTGAGAGGGCCTGGAAGCTCTGCACCCCTTTGCCCTTACCACACCCCGCACATCTCTCCCATGTGGCTGATCCTGAGTTGTATCCTTTATAATAAACTGGCAACAGTAAGTAGAGCACTTTCCTGAGTTCTGTGAGCCATTCTAGCAAATTATTGAACGTGAAGAGGGGGTTTTGGGAACTCACTGACTTTATCCTCTGTCAGCCTTAAGTATGGGTGGCCCAGAGCAGAGGCTGTCTTGTGATATTACACCCTTAATGAGTAGAATCTTTTCCAACTCCAAGCATCAGTGCCTGAAGTGAATTTTAGAACACCGAGTTGGTGTCCAGAAAGTTGGGGAATTGGTTAGTGTGAGAAAAAAAAAATGCACATTAGATGTCAGAAGTGTTGTGAGTAAAAACAATTGAGAATTACATTCTGAATGATTCCATTTATGTAACATTCATGAAAAGACAAACTTTTAGTAATAGAAAACAGATTTGTAGATTCCAGGGCTAGGGGGTCCCAGGAGGCTATGACAGCAAATGTGTAGCGGGAGGGAGGTTTTTGGAGTGATGGCACTGTTCTAGGTCCTGATTACGGCAGTAGTTACACAAATCTATACATGTGTTAAGACTCATAGAATTGCACACTAAAAATGTCCCTTTTACTATATGTTAATTTTTTAACTATGTAAATATTTTAAAGATAGGACAGTTTTTGTTGAATACAGCTCAGCCGTGCCAAAAGTATGACTTAACCATCAAAAGAAACAGCTTGAGATGCATTAATGGAAGTATTCAATCCAGAACAAACAAAGCTACAGACCCACTGGACTCTAAAGTAGCCAGACTGCATCTATAATATTGTGTTTTATTTGGGACATTGATAAAAATCAACAGCATCTAAAGGAAGGTGACCAAGATGATTAGAGGATGATAGAAAGGATTAGGACTATTTAGCCTGGAGAAGAGAAGGAATGACATGGTAACTCTCCTACTATATTAGAAAAATGTCCAAGTAGTTTACTGAGGCCTATTCTGTGTTACTCTTGAGGGAAAAAACTGTGTCCCCCAGGGAGTAGTTACAAGAAGGCAGATCTCAAACCACTATACAGGAAAGCTTTCTATCAAGTTGAGAATAAATAAAACGACCTGCCTAGATAAGCAGTGAGCCTCTCGTCATTGGCTGGAAATCACTGAAAATGTTCAAGCAGACGTTAAATAACCATCTATCAAGGTTATTGTCAAAGGGATTACTTCACTGAGTAGGAGAATGATCTATTTAACCTCTAAGGTCTCCTGCAACTCCATCTCCTGTATTCTGTTATAAATGATGCTCTAAATCACCCTTACCCTATGTGTATCTCCAACTCCCTACACCTCATTACAGTGTATACAGGGCTCACAAAATCCCCATGGACTCCTGCTAACACTGACTGTCTTAAGACAGCCTTCATGGCTGCTTTAATGATTTCCAGCCAGCAATGGGGGAGAAGATATGCTGAAGAACATGGGAAAAAAACTAAAATTTCTGTAGAGAATGGATAGATAACTTTTAACCAGGATATATAGAAAATTTTTGACTCTGCTCTGTTTGATAAGTTATTGTATCAGATCCAAAATGAACTACTACGAGCCTTAAGACCTATTTCGACTTCCCTGTTCTGGCCCCTGCTCTAGTCTAGACGAGGAAACTGGGAAGCCCCATGTCCTGAAAGTTACCATATGCAAAATAATTCCCATATTCTTTCCTACTCTTTTCAGTTCTTTAAATATCACTCTTTATATTTTCCTCTCTAGTTTTCTCAGTGAATTATCTAGGCCCGGATCTTTCAAAAGTCTAACTACAAATTAGGATGAGAGGGACTAGTTAAGGTTACAGTGGACTGGATCAGGGCAGGCAAGAGGGTTAGCTTCAAGCTAACAAAAATTGGAACAAGGGGATGGCTGTGGAGATTAGTTTTCTCTGGCAGGACATGAGTCAGGGAAACTGATAAGGATTTGGATATCTGAATTTGGAAGGGCAATATTTAAAGCAGTTGATCAGGCACAGGATAGACATGATTTCAATCAGAGGTTCTGTGTCACCCCAATGCTTCTAAGAGAGATGAGTTGAACTGCCCACGTCCATGACCATCATGATGCCTTTCCGCATCAGAGCCCATGGGCCTACCTGGTTGACCCCATCCTCTTGTTGAAATTCGATTACAAATTATTTATATCATCAGATGCAACTTTACTCTTTTCAGGGTGTTAATGAAGTTATTATAGTTCCCTTTATCAAGTCCATTATTGAATTTAAGTCTGTTTGGCAGACAAAAGTAGTCTATGATATTAGAAGTCAGATTACTTATTGCAGCAGGTAATCACTGCAAGCTAGCATAGGAGGTTTCTGGAGTGTTGGTCATGTATCTTGATCTAGCTGCATTCAATTTGAAAATTCTGGTTTTTATGGTTTTTACACTTTTCTGTATTTACGTTATGCTTCAATAAAAATGTTCCAAAGATAAGAAAAAGCCGGGCTGGGCACGGTGGCTCACACCTGTAATCCCATCACTTTGTGAGGCCGAGGCGGGTGGATCACCTGAGGTCAGGAGTTCAAGACCAGCCTGGCCAACATAGTGAAACCCCGTCTCTACTAAAAAAAAGAAAATACAAATATTCAGCTGGGCATGGTGGCAGGTGCCTGTAATCCCAGCTACAATGGAGGCTGAGGCTGGAGAATTTCTTGAACCCGGGAGGCGGAGGTTGCAGTGAGCCGAGGTCATGCTACTGCACTCCAGCCTGGGCAACAAGAGCGAAACTCTGTCTCAAAAAAAAAAAGAAAAAAAAGAAAAAAGTAAAAGCCTTGGGCAGAGGCCTCCTGACACCATCTAGGTAGTGGGCAGCCAGCAATGCAATATGTAGACCTCAGCCTTCTTTCTTTCTTTTCCTGTGTGTGTGCACATCTCACACCAGCTCATTCAAATCTACACACACCCAGATACAAACAAGATCTGTTCAGAGGCTGGAGAAGCCAGAAAGGATGCTCCAAAGGGATATATCTGCCTTCTCTTCCCAACTCTGACCCAGGTGAGAATCCAGGGGTTGGCAGATGCCATGCTATAGAACAGGATTTAATATTCTGTTCCTCAGTGTTAGAAAGGCCGTCCTCATTCTCTCAGGAGAAATCCAGGTCCTCTGAGGTAGAGAAATAAGGCAACTTTAAACATCAGTTAACTAATAATACATATGTGTATATCTAGCAAAAAGGAAAGAATACATTAAAATGTCAACAGTTACTTCTGCTGAGTGATAGGATTAATTGAATTTTTTCTTTAGACTTTTCTCATTTCACTTTTATGTTTTGTATGTGATCATGTATTGTTTTAAAAAACATATAAGTGCTATAGTTAAAATTCTTTTTTTGTTTGTTTGGTTCTTTTTTTTGAGACAGAGTCTTGATCTATCGCCTAGGCTGGAGTGCAGTGGCGCGATCTCAGCTCACTTCAACCTCCACCTCCGGGTTCAAACAATTCTCCTGCCTCAGCCTCCTGAGTAGCTGGGATTACAGGCATGTGCCACCATGCCTGCCAATTTTCGTATTTTTGGTAGAGACGGGGTTTCAGTATGTTGGCCAGGCTGGTCTCGAACTCCTGACCTTGTGATCTGCCCGCCTCAGCCTCCCAAAGTGTTGGGATTATGGGCATGAGCCACTGTGCCCGGCTATAGTTAAAATTCTTATGTTCGTATAGGCCATTATTATTTTCAAACATAAGCATAAATTTTCCCAGTGGATTCTTTGTATACTTTGAATACAAGTTCTTTATCATATGTGTTTTGCAAATATTTTTTCTTAGTCTGTGTCTTGTCTTTCCATACTCTAAACAGTATCTTTTGCAGAGCAGAAGTTTTAAATTTTAATAAAATCCCACAAACCACTTTTTTCTTTCATGGATTGTACTTTTGGTGTTGCATCGAAAAACTCATCCCTACCAATTGATTCTCTGATATTATTCTCTGATATAATTGTGTTTATATCAGAGAAATAATTCTCTGATATTACTTATCTCCATTTTGCAGATGAAAAAACCAAGACTCAAAGATTAACTAACTTGACTTAGCTCAGACCTGCAGCAAGTAATAGATTTGGGACTGATTTATATTCCATTGCTTTTTCCACTATATGATGTTGCAATGCTATCTGATCCTATTATTCTTGCTTTTGTTTTCTTTGCTTTTCTTTCGTTTTTTCTTTTCTCTTTTAAAGTTGTTTTTGGCTGAGTGTGGTGGCTCAAGCCTATCATCTCAGCACTTTGGGAGGCCGAGGCAGGTGGATCACCTGAGGTCAGGTGTTCAAGACCAGCCTGGCCAACATGGCGAAATCCCATCTCTACTAAAAATACAAAAAAATTAGCCAAAATACAAAAAATTAGCCCAGCATGGTGACGGTGCCTGTAGTCCCAGCTACTCGGGAGGCTGAGACTGGAGAATCGCTTGAACCTGGGAGTCAGAGGTTGCAGTGAGCCGAGATTGCGCCACTGCACTCTAGCCTGGGTGACAGAGCGAGACTTAAGTGCTGGGATTACAGGCGTGAGCCACCATGCCCAGCCACAAAGTTGTTTTTAACATAGGATGAGCATGGTTTGCTAGAAGAAATGGCAGCTTCCAGAGAAAAAGACATTGATGAAGCTAATCCAAAGTCTATCATAACGGCATTGTTAGAAACATGCTCTAAGGTAGCAATGCTAAGGATTGTGAGAGTCCGGGGAACCAGAGGAGCATGTTATAAAAACAAGAGCTCGTTTCCCTAGACATACACATACACACAACATTTTCCATACAATTTTAGGGGTTCTGAATGTGATGGCTGCTCTTCGACACAAAATATATGCAGAATTAATTCCCCAGGTTATCTAGGGAAAATATAAAATAATGTAAGAAAATAATACCTATAAAAGCAACATCATAATTCCTGTAAATAATGAGCATTCCCTAAATTCTCTGAATTTAATGCAAAGTCTGATTAATTTGGTTCATAGTAATTTTTGTCTTCAAGTAGAGAATCCATACCCACTCTGCTTAATAGCCTCTATTCTATAAATTGGCCACAGGATGTCACTGTTGTTCTAAGGAAAAACTTGAACAGCCTACCACTCCCACAACTTCCACCTCCCACCCCTACCCCCACCCACAGTTCCCAACCTCCTTAATATAAAAGGACTAAGTAATGCCTGGGTGATGAGGAAGGGAGTGAATGAGAACATTACCTTTGCATCCCAAGAGCTTTGTTTTAGGGAAAAAAAAAAAAAAAAAAAAAGGCCAGGCACAGTAGCTCATGCCTATAATCCCAGCTCTTTGAGAGGACCAGGCGGGAGGATCACTTGAACCCAGGAGTTGGAGACCACCCTAGCAACATATTCAGATCCTCTCTACAAAAAAATTAAAAATTAGCCAGGTGTGGTGTCATGCACCTGTAGTCCCAGCTACTCAGGAGGCTGAGATGGGAGGATTGCTTAAACCCACAAAAATCAAGGCTTCAGTGAGTCATGATGGCCTCCACTGCACTCCAGCCTCGATGACAGGGCAAGACCTTGTCTCAAAATAATAATAATAAATGTAAAATGGGGGTGGAGCCAAGATGGCCGAACAGGAACAGCTCCAGTCTACAGCTCCAAGCATGAGCGATGCAGAAGATGGGTGATTTCTGCATTTCCAACTGAGGTACCGGGTTCATCTCACTGGGGAGTACCGGACAGTGGGTGCAGGATAGTGGGTGCAGCGCACCAAGCATGAGCCGAAGCAGGGCGAGGCATCACCTCACCTGGTAAGCACAAGGGGTCAGGGAATTCCCTTTCCTAGTCAAAGAAAGGGGTGACAGATGGCACCTGCAAAATCGGGTCAGTCCCACCCTAATACTGCGCTTTTCCAACAGGCTTAACAAACAGCACACCAGGAGATTATATCCTGCACATGGCTCAGAGGGTCCTAAGCCCACGGAGCCTCGCTCATTGCTAGCACAACAGTCTGAGATCAAACTGCAAGGCAGCAGCGAGGCTGGGGGAGGGGCGCCTGCCATAGCTGAGGCTTGAGTAGGTAAACAAAGCAGCTGGGAAGCTCGAACTGGGTGGAGCCCACCACAGCTCAAGGAGGCCTGTCTGCCGATGTAGGCTCCACCTCTGGGGGCAGGGCACAGACAAACCAAAGGCAGCAGTAACCTCTGCAGACTTAAATGTCCCTGTCTGACAGCTTTGAAGAGAGTAGTGGTTCTCCCAGCACGCAGCTTGAGATCTGAGAATGGGCAGACAGCCTCCTCAAGTGGGTCCCTGACCCCAAGTAGCCTAACTGGGAGGCACCGCCCAGTAGGGGCGGACTGACATCTCACATGGCCAAATACTCCTCTGAGACAAAACTTCCAGAGGAACGATCAGGCAGCAGCATTTGTGGTTCACCAATATCCGCTGTTCTGCAGCCACTGCTGCTGATACCCAGGTAAACAGGGTCTGGAGTGGACCTCCAGAAAACTCCAACAGACCTGCAGCTCAGGGTCCTGACTGTTAGAAGGAAAACTAACAAACAGAAAGGACATTCACACCAAAACCCATTTGTACGTCTCCATCATCAAAGGCCAAAGGTAGATAAAACCACAAAGATGCGGACAAAACAGAACAGAAAAACCAGAAACTCTAAAAATCAGAGTGCCTCTCCTCCTCCAAAGGAACGCAGCTCCTTACCAGCAATGAAACAAAGCTGGATGGAGAATGACTTTGACAAGTTGAGAGAGGAAGGCTTCAGAAGATCAAACTACTCCGAGCTAAAGGAGGAAATTCAAACCAATGGCAAAGAAGTTAAAAACCTTGAAAAAAAATTAGACAAATGGCTAACTAGAATCACCAATGCAGAGAAGTCATTAAAGGAACTGATGGAGCTGAAAACCACGGCACGAGAACTACGTAACAAATGCACAAGCCTCAGTAGCCAATGTGATCAACTGGAAGAAAGGGTATCAGCAATGGAAGATGAAATGAATGAAATGAAGCAAGAAGAGAAGTTTAGAGAAAAAAGAATAAAAAGAAAAAAACAAAGCCTCCAAGAAATATGGGACTATGTGAAAAGACCAAATCTACGTCTGATTGGTGTACCTGAAAGTGACAGGGAGAATGGAACCAAGTTGGAAAACACTCTGCAGGATATTATCCAGGAGAACTTCCCCAATCTAGCAAGGCAGGCCAACATTCACATTCAGGAAATACAGAGAACACCACAAAGATACTCCTCGAGAAGAGCAACTCCAAGACACATAATTGTCAGATTCAACAAAGTTGAAATGAAGGAAAAAATGTTAAGGGCAGCCAGAGAGAAAGGTCAGGTTACCCACAAATGGAAGCCCATCAGACTAACAGCTGATCTCTCAGTAGAAACTCTACAAGCCAGAAGAGAGTGGGGGCCAATATTCAACATTCTTAAAGAAAAGAATTTACAACCCAGAATTTCATATCCAGCCAAACTCAGCTTCATAAGTGAAGGACAAATAAAATACTTTACAGACAAGCAAATGCTGAGAGATTTTGTCACCACCAGGTCTGCCCTAAAAGAGCTCCTGAAGGAAGCACAAACATGGAAAGGAACAACCGGTACCAGGCACTGCAAAAACATGCCAAATTGTAAAGACCATCGAGGCTAGGAAGAAACTGCATCAACTAACGAGCAAAATAACCAGCTAACATCATAATGACAGGATCAAATTCACACATAACAATATTAGCCTTAAATGTAAATGGGCTAAATGCTCCAATTAAAAGACACAGACTGGCAAATTGGATAAAGAGTCAAGACCCATCAGTGTGCTGTATTCAGGAAACCCATCTCACGTGCAGAGACACACATAGGCTCAAAATAAAGGGATGGAGGAAGATCTACCAAGCAAATGGAAAACAAAAAAAGGCAGGGGTTGCAATCCTAGTCTCGGATAAAACAGATTTTAAACCAACAAAGATCAAAAGAGACAAAGAAGGCCATTACATAATGGTAAAGGGATCAATTCAACAAGAAGAGCTAACTATCCTAAATATATATGCACCCAATACAGGAGCACCCAGATTCATAAAGCACATTAGTGACCTACAAAGACACTTAGACTCCCACACAATAATAATAGGAGACTTTAACACCCCATTGTCAACATTAGACAGATCAATGAGACAGAAAGTTAACAAGGATATCCAGGAATTGAACTGAGCTCTGCACCAAGCAGACCTAATAGACATCTACAGAACTCTCCACCCCAAATCAACAGAATATACATTCTTTTCAGCACCACACCACACCTATTCCAAAATTGACCACATAGTTGGAAGTAAAACTCTCCTCAGCAAATGTAAAAGAACAGAAATTATAACAAACTCTCTCTCAGACCACAGGGCAATCAAACTAGAACTCAGGATTCAGAAACTCACTCAAAACCGCTCAACTACATGGAAACTGAACAACCTGCTCCTGAATGACTACTGGGTACATAACGAAATGAAGGCAGAAATAAAGATGTTCTTTGAAACCAACGAGAACAAAGACACAACATACCAGAATCTCTGGGACACATTCAAAGCAGTGTGTAGAGGGAAATTTATAGCACTAAATGCCCACAAGAGAAAGCAGGAAAGATCTAAAATTGACATCCTAACATCACAATTAAAAGAACCAGAGAAGCAAGAGCAAACACATTCAAAAGCTAGCAGAAGGCAAGAAATAACTAAGATCAGAGCAGAACTGAAGGAAATAGAGACACAAAAAACTCTTCAAAAAATCAATGAATCCAGGAGCTGGTTTTTTGAAAAGATCAACAAAATTGATAGACCACTAGCAAGACTAATTAAGAAGAAAAGAGAGAAGAATCAAATAGATGCAATAAAAAATGACAAAGGGGATATCACCACCCATCCCACAGAAATACAAACTACCATCAGAGAATACTATAAACACCTCTATGCAAATAAACTAGAAAATCTAGAAGAAATGGATAAATTCCTTGACACATACGCCCTCCCAAGACTAAACCAGGAAGAAGTTGAATCTCTGAATAGACCAATAACAGGCTTAGAAATTAAGGCAATAATTAATAGCTTACTAACCAAAAAAAGTCCAGGACCAGGTGGATTCACAGCCAAGTTCTACCAGAGGTACAAGGAGGAGCTGGTACCATTCCTTCTGAAACTATTCCAATCAATAGAAAATGAGGGATTCCTCCCTAATTCATTTTATGAGGCCAGCATCATCCTGATACCAAAGCCTGGCAGAGACACAACAAAAAAAGAGAATTTTAGACCAATATCCTTGATGAACATTGATGCAAAAATCCTCAATAAAATACTGGCAAACTGAATCCAGCAGCACATCAAAAAGCTTATCCACTATGATCAAGTTGGTTTCATCCCTGGGATGCAAGGTTGGTTCAATGTACGAAAATCAATAAACGTAATCCAGCTTATAAACAGAACCAAAGACAAAAACCACATGATTATCTCAATAGATGCAGAAAAGGCCTTTGACAAAATTCAACAATCCTTCATGCTAAAAACTCTCAATAAATTAGGTATTGATGGGACGTATCTCAAAATAATAAGAGCTATCTATGACAAACCCACAGAAAATATCATACTGAATGGACAAAAACTGGAAGCATTCCCTTTGAAAACTGGCACAAGACAGGGATGCCCTCTCTTACCACTCCTATTCAACATAGTGTTGGAAGCTCTGGCTAGTGCACTCAGGCAGGAGAAGGAAACAAAGGGCATTCAATTAGGAAAAGAAGAAGTCAAATTGTCCCTGTTTGCAGATGACATGATTGTATATCTAGAAAATCCCATCGTCTCAGCCCAAAATCTCCTTAAGCTGATAAGCAACTTCAGCAGTCTCAGGATACAAAATCAATGTGCAAAAATCACAAGCATTCCTATACACCAATAACAGACAAACAGAGAGCCAAATCATGAGTGAACGCCCATTCACAATTGCTTCAAAGAGAATAAAATACCTAGGAATGCAACTTACAAGGGATGTGAAGGACCTCTTCAAGGAGAACTACAAACCACTGCTCAATGAAATAAAAGAGGATACAAACAAATGGAAGAACATTCCATGCTCATGGATAGGAAGAATCAATATCATGAAAATGGCCATACTGCCCAAGGTAATTTATAGATTCAATGCCATCCCCATCAAGCTACCTATGACTATCCTCACGGAATTGGGAAAAACTACTTTAAAGTTCATATGCAATCAAAAAAGAGCCCACATTGCCAAGTCAATCCTAAGCCAAAAGAACAAAGCTGGAGGCATCACACTACCTGACTTCAAACTATACTACAAGGCTACAGTAACAAAAACAGCATGGTACTGGTACCAAAACAAAGATATGGACCAATGGTACAGAACAGAGCCCTCAGAAATAATGCCGCATATCTACAACCATCTGATCTTTGACAAACCTGATAAAAACAAGCAATGGGGAAAGGATTCCCTATTTAATAAATGGTGCTGGGAAAACTGGCTAGCCATATGTAGAAAGCTGAAACTGGATCCCTTCTTTACACCTTATACAAAAATTAATTCAAGATGGATTAAAGACTTAAACGTTAGACCTAAAACCATAAAAACCCTAGAAGAAAACCTAGGCATTACCATTCAGGACACAGACATGGGCAAGGACTTCATGTCTAAAACACCAAAAGCAATGGCAACAAAAGCCAAAATTGACAAATGGGATCTAATTAAACTAAAGAGCTTCTGCACAGCAAAAGAAACTACCATCAGAATGAACAGGCAACCTACAGAATGGGAGAAAATTTTTGCAATCTACTCATCTGACAAAGGGCTAATATCCAGAATCTACAATGAACTAAAACAAATTTACGAGAAAAAAAACAAACAACCCCATCAAAAAGTGGGCAAAGGATATGAACAAACACTTCTCAAAAGAAGACATTTATGCAGCCAAAAAACACATGAAAAAATGCTCATCATCACTGGCCATCAGAGAAATGCAAATCAAAACCACAATGAGATACCATCTCACACCAGTTAGAATGGCGATCATTAAAAAGTCAGGAAACAACAAGTGCTGGAGAGGATGTGGAGAAATAGGAACACTTTTACACTGTTGGTGGGACTGTAAACTAGTTCAACCATTGTGGAAGTCAGTGTGGCGATTCCTCAGGGATCTAGAACTAGAAATACCATTTGACCCAGCCATCCCATTACTGGGTATATACCCAAAGGATTATAAATCATGCTGCTATAAAGACACATGCACACACACGTATGTTTATTGCAGCACTGTTCACAATAGCAAAGACTTGGAACCAACCCAACTGTCCAACAACGATAGACTGGATTAAGAAAATGTGGCACATATACACCATGGAATACTATGCAGCCATAAAAAATGATGAGTTCATGTCCTTTGTAGGGACATGGATGAAGCTGGAAACCATCATTTTCTCAGCAAACTATCGCAAGGGCAAAAAAACAAAAACCGCATGTTCTCACTCATAGGTGGGAATTGAACAATGAGAACACATGGACACAGGAAGGGGAACATCACACAATGGGGACTGTTGTGGGGTGGGGGTAGGGGAGAGAGATAGCATTAGGAGATATACCTAATGCTAAATGATGAGTTAATGGGTGCAGCACACCAACATGGCACATGTATACATATGTAACAAACTTGCACGTTGTGCACATGTACCCTAAAACTTAACGTATAATAATAAAATAAAAAATAAATAAATGTAATAGTAACATAATACATTCCATCTGTATATTCTACAAAAAATACTGCACCAACATAATCTTTCAGAGATGCCCTTTATGTAAAAAGCACTCTTTGGGTTCCAATACCTCCTCCTAACCCAGAAGATCCACGGAAAGTCTCAACCATTCATTTACTGATTCATTAAAGATGTTTTGAACACCCACTATGTGATAGGCACTGTGCATGTCACAGTTTGCCAGGAGATTTAGCCATATCTGGTCACTCTCACAATAGCTCTGCATAATTAGTCCCCAGCTTACGGTGGCAATAGCATAGGGATTTGGTTCAGAGTCCCTAGAGAGAACCTGGTCACCCCAAACGGACTCTTGTAGTTACTCGACCTGAAAAATGTCATAATAATCCTATATCTTACAGTGCTGCCTGGGGTAATATTCATCCATCACTGCTAAGGTGGGCAGCAGTCACCTGTAAAATGTCCACCTGGCCCCGTGGCTTCTCCCTTCTGGGCACCACCAAAGTCACATCAAGATTCACATGATCGGTTTTGTTTCATAACAGTGTTTTTGAGATATAATTCACATGCCATAAAATTCACCCTTTAAAAGTAGAGAAGTCAGTAGTTTTTAGCATATTCAGAGTTGTACAATCATTGTCATTATCTAAATCTAGAACATTTTCATTACCCCAATAAGAACCCCCATACCAACTATCCCAATAAGAAACCCCATATCCTATTCTCGCCCTTTATCCAACCCCTAACTACCACCAGTCTACTTTCTGTCTGTGTGGATGTGCTTATTCTGGCCTGATATAAATGGAATCATACAACATAAACTGGTACTTATTTATTTTACTTTATTTTATTTTTGACATAGAGTCTTGCTCTGTCACCCAGGCTGGAGTGCAGTGGCACAATCGTGGCTCACTGCACTCTCAACCTCCTGGGCTCAAGTGATCCTCCCACTTCAGCCTCCCTAGTAGCTGGGACCACAGGTACCCACCAATTATTGTTTTAAATTTATTGCAGGGATGAGGTCTTGCTATGTTGCCCAGGCTTATCTTGAACTCCTGGTCTCAAGTGATCCTCCTGCCTCAGCCTCCCCAACTCAGCCTCCCAAACTGTCAGGATTACAGGCATGAGCCACTGCATTTGACTCAGCATAAACTGTTTTTAAATGACAAGGGGAAGTAATTCTGTCACGTATTTCAGGAATTCTGTCATAAGTGCCATGGCTTGATAGGGTGGGTTTCTGCTTCCAGAAAAGGGCTTCCAGAGTAGGACCTAACATATAGATCTATAAATCCTTATAATATAAATCATGAACTATCTTGGGGGAGTATTTTTTAACTTTGCTAAACAATACAGCCAAATTGAAGTGAAGTTGGTTTTGCTCAGGACAAAAGTGGCTGAAATTAATCATCTGCTAAAATCATTTTTAAAGTATATTCTGCAAGATTGTGGAGTCCGGGTACAGTGCTTGTATCTATTATTTTATATTCTAAAGTAGGAGACAAGAAAAATGAACTATAAGCTTCTGCTAGTCTACCTTAATTAATCATTAAATAAACGTCCAAATCCCACACGCAGGTACACAGAGTGAGGTGAACTGACAATAACCCAGTAACCAGCCTGGGGCTGGAGAATAACATCTACAGGGAGAACTCACACCAGCCATTGGACTAGCCATCTTCCTCCCACCAATTCCATGAGGTAGGTACTATTAAAATGAAAAAAAAAAGAAAAAAAAAAAAGAGACTCAGGGGGATTCAATAACTTAACCAAGGGAGATTGCATCCCTGGCATGTGGAAGTGTTAAGTAACGATTAAAAGCACAGAATCAGGGCCGGGCATGGTGGCTCAAGCCTATAATCCCAGCACTTTGGGAAGCTGAGGCAGGCAGATCACTTGAGGAGTTCGAGACCAGCCTGGCCAACATAGTGAAACTCCATCTCTACTAAAAATACAAAAATTAGCCAGGCATGGTGGCCAGCACCTGTAATCCCAGCTACTCTGGAGGCTGAGACAGGAGAATCGCTTGAACCCGGGAGGCGGAGGTTGCAGTGAGCCAAGATCGCACCATGGCACTCCAGCCTGGGCAACAGAGCCAGACTCTGTCTCAAAAAATAAAAATAAAAATGGTGACTGGGGAGGGCTGTGGTCTGAGCTGACCTCGTGGTGCTGCAAAATGTGGCCTCTCAGTCAGTACGCAGGCCTAAGACAGTGAGTACATTGGTGATGCCACCCTGTTCACACTTCAGGCAATGTCTTCTGCATCTTGTTTCCTCCATCCAGTAAACACAAGTACCATAGCTCCCACATGCATTGTAATACATGCATTACAAGGATGGGGGAGAAGGGTTTGAAGAGCTACTGCCTCCTGCAGCAGCTCCATTACGTCACTGTAGATACAGACTAATGAAGTTTCTCTGCTATTTTCTTAAAAAGGAAAGTAAAACCAGGTCAATGAAGTGATAACAAGAACTAATGACCAGTAAGGTGTTTCCTGCCCATATCCCAAGGCAATAAGGGCAATTAAACTGATTTATGGCAACAATAATAATGATGCTACTGTTATCACAACTGACTTTGTCAGCAATGTCTTTATTTTTAAAAGACTAAGTCCTTTCAGTCCTACAAGTCTGCCTAGATTTCTGGGTGAAGGAACTCCAGGAGGGGGGAAAAAAAGCTGTTCCCTAAAACAAAGAAAGGACAAACTTGACTTTCAAGTTTTCTTAATAAAATATGCTGTCTCTATATTTGCATAACTTCCCGTATGCCTCCTTTGAATTGTTTTGGAGAAGAATCAATAGTCAATAAAAGAAATCCTTGCTATTTGTGACCTTGGAGCTGTGGGTTGAACACATAAGTAGAAGCTCATTAACATTCCAATACCTAAAATTTGAAGCACCTGTGTATTTGAAATCTCTGTTGTTTCTCCCAATATCTAGGGCATCTGTCTGTTTATTGCAGAAAGCGTCAACCTTTGCTATTCAGTAGAATCACATATGGAGTTTTTAAAAACCATTAGTCCCCAGGTTATGTCCCTAGAGACTCTGATTCCATTGATCTGGAATGCAACCTGGGCATCAAGAATTTCAAAGAGTCCAGAGTTATAGACAACCAAATATGGAAGTTGGTACTTAGTTGGCAGTCACATGGGTCTCTGGTCCTTCCTCAGTTTCAGTGGTTCTGGAGGATGGCTCCTTACAATTTGAGGTCTCCTTTGAAGTCCCTTCACTACCAAGTAAATTTTAATTTTCAGTATGGCCCATTGTCCATAAATGTCAGACCATGCCAACCTGAGCCTTCAGGACAGGTCTCCTAAATCGACATGAATTAGTGAGAGTTACCTTTCTCACAATCTCAACAGAAATAAACCCTGATAGATACCCAAGTGTATCAGTTCATACTACATCAAATTACCATAGACTGGGTGGGTTAAACAGCAAAGATTTATTTCTCACAGTTCTAAAGACTGGGAAGTCCAAGTCTGGTGAGGTCTCACTTCCCAGTTTCCAGACAGCCATTTTCTCCTTATACCCTCACATGCTGAGAGAGAAAGCTCTGGTCCCTTCATCACCTTATAACAGCATTAACCCCATCCATGAGGGCTCCATCCCTTGACGCAATTACTTCTCAAAGATCTCACCTCCCAATACCATCACATTAAGGATTAAGATGTCAACATATGAATTTGGTTGGGGGTTCATTTGGGGAACATTTGGTCATAACACCCAGTAACAGAGATTAGCTGAATGAAGAAATAGTTTGAGTATAAACTTACAAAAAAAACTTAGTTCTGGTAATGTGCCTGTTTAAAAATTATAATGTTATGTTCAATTCTGTTGTTTTTCTTCTGTATACAATAAGCTAGAATTGTTACTTCAGTATAGTATGAAATACATAGTATGATTAAATTTTGTAATTTAGCTGTAAAGTGGTGTACTTTTTTTACTGTCACAGGAAGACTGAAATCAAATGGAAACTACCAACCAAAAAAAGAACATCTTATAAGATGATTGGACCAATGAGAAAGAATACTGAATTTAGCATAAAATTATTTCCACTTCACACAGACATTTATGAAGCATCTACTAGGTGGCTGGCACTGTGCTAAGGACTCAAGATTCAAAAATGCATTGCTTAGGGCTGACCATCTAGTGAGAGAACAGATCGTTTCAATACACTGTGATCAGTGCTCCACTAGAAAGGAACAACAGAGCAGGAACCTTGACCTCAAAAAGGAGAATAGTGAAGGGGTAGGGAAACCTAATGAAGGAAATGTCTTTGCTATATTTTAAAAGATTGTTATCCACGTGCAGTGAATAGTTTAGGTGTTTAGGGGATAGAGCCTCAGTTAAAGAATGCTTCAGCTTCCTCTAGGTTCTGAACCAGCTCAGAAGTGGACTCAGCTAGGGATCAAACTAGAGATCAAAATCTCAGCTTTATTATTGTTACCTTTGCATTAATCTAAGAGGAAGGGTGGCTTTGCCAGGAGAGGAGGGAACAGTGATGGGGGAATCCTGTGGTTTTTGGCTCCCTATCACAGTGTGCTTTCTGGAATCTACAGTTATATAAACAGAGGAGTTTGCTAAATATGTTCAAATTACTCATTATTGTTCACTGAGTGAGGCAGCTGCGTCAGCGTCCTTAAAAGACCTATGAGGAGAATATACTTTTAGTTCTCACAAATTGTAATTGGAAAAAAAAACCTTCTTTGTTTTTATTTGAACTTATATCAGAGTCAATTCTAAGTTGTATAATCTATTTGGCACACACTGATTTATGGACACTCATATTTATTATCAAACTTGGTCCTAAAAGCTAAATGGGAGATGTCTGGACTAGCTTCTTATAGAGCATAGAGACCGCACAATCACACAATAAATTTTTTAAAAAGTATTACTGCAGGGTTTATTTTGAAATTTATGTGTGTATATATATATATATACACACACACACACACACACACACACACATACACATACACATACACATACACATACACATGTATATAATACTGATCTCTATCAACCACCATGTAAATTTTTGTGGAGGGCAAGTTAGACCCAAAGGTAATCAAAGCCACAGTAAAGCCACCTCTACTAGATTATCTAAAATTAGGAGCCATGAAATTTAGTCCCTCCTTCTGATTTCTACCTGGGAAGAAACAGTCACACAAAACCTTCATGTTTATAGTAGATTTTACCTAAAGTCTTGTGAGATAAATGGAGTTTACATCACAATCCAACAGGTAATTTAAAACTGAGAATTAGATGCCCATGCCATTGAAATGACCTTCTGCCATGTATTGAAGTTGTCATTTCTATAATACTTTCAAACCTCCCACCAGGTTTCTCAGCGCTCCTCTCCCTTCCCCCAACCCCCTCAAAATGTGAGTATCCTAAAGTTATCTATAAAAGCTGATGGCCTTCCAGAAAGCATTTTTCATGCTATTTATTTTTTATTAGTACACGTAATAACATTACAGCTTACAAAATGGATTTTCTAAGCTTTACTAGTTATGTTATAATCAGTAGATACTAAAAATTCCAAGAAATAAAAAACTTTTTTCTTCTTTCTATAACCTCTCTGATCGCTAAAACTTAACCTGATGGTTAATGTACTGTAAATAGTTACAACATCATCAGATTGTTTTTGTGTTTTGGATTTGCATGAAAGAACAATAATGATGAAACCCATTCCATTCATCATGTTTGTGTTTAATACTGTGAGGAGCTGTACTTTTTATCAGCTCATTGAGCACTGAAGCTCAATTTTAGAGTACAGACCACACTGTCAGACAAAATCATAACCTTTTAAGTGTATTGCTACATACTATTAATGGCATTCTATTAAAATAACTTTGGGCATCAGAGTAGATCAAACTACTTTGCAGGTATGGGCTGAAAATGTTTATAAAATGTTTTATTAAAATGATTAATCATGGAATGTAAATAATTACAGATATTTTCATTGTTCTTTTTATACAGAAGATACACAGAAACTATGATGTAGATTAACTTAGATCAAGGCCATGCTACGTGTATAATACAGTGGTATTATGATATGGATATAAATGACTGCACTTAGTTTTGGTAGAGTGGTTGCCACGGAAATGTTTATCATTTTGTCAGTGAAGGTCAACACATGAAGGCCTGCTCATTTTTTAAGTGGAGCTTGAGGTAACTTTATAAATGTGAATTTAAAAGACAACTTGATGGTCTGATGGGTTTAGATTGGGGAGGAGGATGTATGCAGCAGAGAAGAGCATAAGGAAAGCACAAGGCACATACTGGGAATCAGGTTTAATAGTTCAGGATACCTGCCCATTGTTAAATACTGAAATGCAAGGCTAGAATTCCGGGGTAACCTGGCTTGATAATTTTATATATATTTATATTTATATTTATATATAAATATATATTTATATTTAATATATATTTATATATAAATATATTTATATTTAATATATATTTATATAAATATATTTTTATATAAATATATATTTAATATAAATATCTTTATATTTAATATATATTTAATATAAATATCTTTATATTTAATATATATTTATATATAAATATATATTTATATTTAATATATATTAATATTTAATATACGTTTATATTTAATATATATTTCTATATAAATATATTTATATTAACATATATTTATATATAAATATATTTATATTTAATATATTTACATATAAATATATTTATATGTAATATATTTACATATAAATATATTTATATTTAATATATATGCATATGTAAATATATTTATATTTAATAATATTTATATATAAATATATTTATATTTAATAATATTTATATATAAATATATTTATATTTAATATATATTAAATATATATTTATATTTAATATATATTAATATTTAATATATATTTATATTTAATATATATTATATATAAACATATATTTATATTTAATATATATTATATATAAACATATATTTATATTTAATATATATTATATATAAACATATATTTATATTTAATATATATTTATATTTAATATATTATATATAAACATATATTTATATTTAATATATATTTATATTAAATATATATTATATATAAACATATATTTATATTTAATATATATTTATATTAAATATATATTTATATTTAATATATATATATTAAATATATATTTATATTTAATATATATTTATATTAAATATATATTTATATTAAATATATTTATATTTAATATATATTTATATTAAATATATATTAAATATTTAATATATATTTATATTTAATATATACATATATATTTATATTTAATATATACATATATATTTATATTTAATATATACATATATATTTATATTTAATATATACATATATATTTATATTTAATATATAAATTTATATTTTATATATATAAAAATATATATTTATATTTAATATATATAAATATATATTTATATTTAATATATATATTTATATTGAATATATACATAAATATATATTTATATTTAATATATAAACATATATTTATATTTATATATTAAATATATATTTATATTTAATATATAAATATATATTTATATTTAATATATTTATATATACTAATATATTTATATTTAATATATTTATATATAGATATATTTATATTTAATATATTTATGTGTATTAATATATTTATATTTAATATATTTATATATTAATATATTTATATTTTATATTTATATATTAATATATTTATATTTTATATTTATATTTTATATATTTATATATTAATATATTTATATTTATATATATTTTTATATATTAATAAATTTATATTTTATATATTTATATATTAATAAATTTATATTTTATACAGTTATATAAATATATTTATATTTTATACAGTTATATAAATATATTTATATTTTATAGTTATATAAATATATTTATATTTTATACAGTTATATAAATATATTTATATTTTATACAGTTATATAAATATATTTATATTTTATACAGTTATATAAATATATTTATATTTTATACAGTTATATAAATATATTTATATTTTATACAGTTATATAAATATATTTATATTTTATACAGTTATATAAATATATTTATATTTTATACAGTTATATAAATATATTTATATTTTATACAGTTATATAAATATATTTATATTTTATACAGTTATATAAATATATTTATGTTTTATACATTTATATAAATATATTTATATTTTATACATTTGTATTTAATATATATTTATATATAAATATATTTTATATTTAATATATTTATATATAAATATATATTGATATTTAATATATATTTATATATAAATATATATTGATATTTAATATGTTTATATATAAATATATATTTATATTTAATATATATGTTTATATATCAATATATATTTATATTTAATATATATTTACATATAAATATATATTTATATTTGATATATATTTATATTTGATATATATTTTATATATATTAATATATTTACATTTGATATATATTTTATATATATTAATATATTTACATTTGATATATATTTTATATATATTAATATATTTACATTTGATATATATTTTATATATATTAATATATTTATATTTGATATATGTTTATAGATAAATATATATTTACGTTTAATATATATTTATAGATAAATATATATTTACGTTTAATATATATTTATCTATAAATATATATTTATGTTTAATATATATTTATAGATAAATATATATTTACGTTTAATATATATTTATAGATAAATATATATTTACGTTTAATATATATTTATCTATAAATATATTTACGTTTAATATATATTTATATATTAATATATTTATGTTTAATATATATTTATATATATTAATATATTTATGTTTAATATATATTTATATATTAATATATTTATGTTTAATATATTTATATATATTAATATATTTATGTTTAATATATATTTATATGTTAATATATTTAGGTATATATATATTTATATGTTAATATATATTTATATTAATATATTATATTTATATATAAAAGTATATATAATATATAAATATTATATAAATTATTATATAGTATTTTTATATATATTTATATATAAATTTTATATATTTTATATATATAAATATATATTTATATATACATTTTATATATAAATATATATTTATATATACATTATATATATAAATATATATATTTATATTTTATATATAAATATATATATTTATATATACATTTTATATATTTTATATATGTAAATATATATATAAATTTTATATATTGTATATATATTTATAAATTTTATATATATATTTATATATATAATATATATAATATATATAAATTTTATATATATTATATATATTTATATTTTATATATTATATATTTATTTATATATATTTATATGTTATATATATTTATATTTATATTTATTTTTTATTTATATATTTTATATATATATTTATATATGTATATTATATATATTATATATTATATAATATATTATATATATTATATTATATATTTATATTATATATTTATATTTATATATATTTATATATTTTATATATATATATATTTTTTAGATGGAGTCTTGCTCTGTTACCCAGACTGGAGGGCAGTGGCACTCTCTCCACTCAATGCAACCTCTACCTCTCAGGTTCAAGCAGTTCTCCTGCCTCAGACTCCCCAGTAGCTGGGATTACAGGCACACACCACCATGCTTGGCTAATTTTTGTATTTTTAGTAGAGACGAAGTTTCACTATATTGGCCAGGCTGGTCTCGAACTCCTGACCTCAAGTGATCTGCCCACCTCAGCCTCCCAAAGTGCTGGGATTACAGACATGAGCCACTGCGCCCAGCCAATAATGATAATTATAAGGAGAAATGAAACTTTCAAAGATTAAGGTCACTGAAGTATGATAAATGAAACTAGGAGTCATTGGTTTGTTTCCAGTTTACCAGATTGGAAGTCAATGGGATTGTTGTCAATGGGACTGTTGACATTGAGAAGAGAAAAGGCCTAGTTATCCCATTACTAGTAGCATCAAAATACAGGGACTGCAGCTACTATAAGGAGAAATGGGGATCTTAATAGGAAGATAGGAGGTGATAAGCGCAGAGCCTTTCTCTCTTCTCCATCCTCCCCTTGTGCCACTGCCAACCTTTTATACTAAATAACATCTCAATCTACCCAAGCAAGAATACATTGCTTTGGATATGGCACATTAAGAAAATGAACATGCTTTTACAGCATGGGACACAATTCTTAACAGCATATATTAATTGCTGATCAATTTAGTCACAAGTTGAGAATTTTGTGTGTATTGCATTCCTTTTCAGTAAATAAAACATTTCTCATTGATACGATCTCTATGATATCCAGGAACACACCCCATAGAACATCTTGTACATAAACCATAACGTTTCATTTCATTTTGCATAAGCTTGAAGTCTTTAAATGGATTCCACAACTTCTTTATAGTAAGAAAGTCTTTGTTTTTAATAAAAGAACAAAGGATTCAATAAATTCAACAATTCAGTAAACAGATTAAATATTTTAAAATAAAAATTTGTATGGTTACATTAAACTCCCTATTAGCTCCTTTTTGTATTTTAAAACAATTTGCAATAAGCACTACTCAGGAACTTGTGGCATGTATTTATTGATTGTCTTCACATAGAAGTAAAGGAATAGGTCAGAGGTAAGGTTCAGATCAAACGCTTGGAATAGCTTAAAATAACTACTTCTCCCTTTAAAGGCTTTTTGTTTAGTATCAGGTTTCTAAAGTTAGACTTGGAAAGTTGTTCCTAAATGCAATAATTTTGTCTTTAGATAGAAATACATTTCAAAAAACAAAAGCTGACGAGTGTTGGTGAGGTTGTGGAGAAATTGAAACCCTTGTACACTGTTGGTGGAAACGTAAAATGGTGCAGCCTCTATGAAAAACAGTATGGAGGGTCCTCAAAAAATTAAAAAATAGAGCTGCCATATGATCCAGCAATCCCACTTCTGGTATATATTCAAAAGAATTGAAATCAGGATCTTGAAGAGGTATTTGCATTCCCATGTTCATTGCAGCATTATTCACAACAGCCAAGATATGGCAACAACCCAATTGTTCATCAACAGATGAACAAAGAAACTGTATATACAGTCATACGGCACTTAATGGGGATACATTTTGAGAAGTGCATTGTGAGGCGATTTTGTCACGTGAACTTCATAGAGTATACTTACACAAACCTAGATAGTACAATCTTCCTATATATCTAGGGTAAATGGTATAGCCTATTGCTCCTGGATTAAAAACCTGTACAGCATGTGACTGTACTAAATAATGTAGGCAATTGTAAGTATTTATACAACTAAACATAGAAAAAATACAGTAAAAATATGATATAATCTTATGGGACCAGTCATATATGCAGTCTGTGGTTGACCAAAACATTGTTATGTGGCACATGACTGTACATACAATGAAATATTATTCAGCCCTAAAAAAGAAAAAAATCCTGCTATTTGCAACAACATGATGGACCTGGAAGACATTATGCTAAGTGAAATAAGTTACAGAATGACAAATACTGCATGATTTCTCTTACATAAGGCACCTAAAATAATCAAACATGGACTGTATGGACTATAGAGGCAGACAATAGAATGGTAGTTACCAAGGGCTGTGAGGAAGAACATACGGGGAGTTGTTCAATGGGTATAAAGTTATAGTTAAACAAGATGAGCTAGTTCCAGAGATGTGCAGTACAACATAGTGTTTATAGTTAACAATAAGGTATTGTGCATTAGAGCTGGGCATGGTGGCACATGCCTGTAGTCCCAGCTACTTAGGAGGCTGAGATAGAAGGATCACTTGATCCCAGGAGTTCAAAACTAGCTTGGACAACATAGAGAGATCCTGATTCGAAAAAAAAAAATAGATCTCTTGTTAAGTGTTCTCACCACAAAAAAAATTAAAACAAACAAAAACTACAAAGGGACACAAGGAAACTTTTGGAAGTGATGGATATGTTTATTTTCTTGGATGTGATGTTGGTAACAAAAGTGTATACATATGTCCAAACTCACCAAACTGTATACATTATGTGCAGTTTTTTGTATACCAATTATATTTCAGTAAAACTAGAAAAAAGAAATATATTTCAGTCGACATTGACTGCCAAGTTATTGAACAAAGAGCAAAATATTTGCACCAAAGGGCATTTTATATTATATAAACTCTAGATTATAGATTATTTTTAGTCTTAAGATTGTAAAATAGATTTTGGCTTACTGAATGTCTTCTAATAAGGCATGTCTGCTTGGAAGAAAGAACAGCAATTACTAGGGCATCCAACATATTGTGGGAACCCAATGAAAGGGGAAAGCTGACACCCTGGAGGAAAGGTTGTTACTATTATCTATGAACTCTCAACATTAATAAAGAAGATATCATTTTTATTTTGTTTTTCTTTTTTTATTTTTTTAAGCCCTCATCCATATGTGTTGTCAAGGGTGATCATTTTTTAAAGGAGATGGATGCAGTAAGGAGAAGAAGAAATGACTCAGTGATATAAGGCTAATAACCAGCTTTTATTCTTGTTTTGACTTGATTGTGCTTCTCTGCTATCCAGGCTAGGCACTGTCTTTCACTGAGATATAGACTCCATGAGGGCAGATGCCATGTCTGGTTTGTTCAGGAGTATTACTCCAACATTGAGCACAGAACCAGGCATGTAGCTGACCTTCAATAAATATCTCCAGAAGTATTTAAATGAACCATGCTGTTCAATGATATTAAAAAACGTAGTTTTCCTTGAAATTTGAAAGTAAAAATTTTGCCTTACACATATTATATATATTGACCCAAGACATCTTAAGAAACAAGTTTGTTTTATTTGTAGAGACCAAAACAGTGTAACTGGGATGTCCATGACCTTAAATATTTGTCTTTTCTTTGTGTTAGAACCATCCAAATTCTTTACTTTTAGCTGTTGAAATATACAATAGGCCAGGCATGGTGCCCCATGTCTACAATCCCAGCTCTTTGGGAGGCTGAGGTGGGAGGATCACTTGAGGCCAGAAGTTCAAGACCAAACTGCCCAACATAGCAAGACCCCATCTCTATTTTAAAAAAAGAAGAATAAATATACAATGGGTTATTGTAAACTATAGTCACCCTACTGATCTATCAAACACTGAGCTTTATGTCATCCATCAAACTGTATCTCCCACCCATTTTCAACCAAAATATTCAGATGATTTAAAGTGATCATTTATTAGGTTTAAATGATCTGCATAATGCCACAGCTTTTTATTTTTGTAGCCCCAATATTGTTCTGAGATAGGAGCAAAGTGTTACTAAACACTTAACAACAAAGCAGAATTTGGGAAGTAATTTTTTTAACAAATATCTTCCAATTGCTTGTTGAAATTCTTTCTTCATGAGTCCCACGTAAGTCATTCATTTATTCACTAATTCAACAAATATTTGTTGATATTCCATTAGGTCCCAGATGCTGTGCTAGATACTGGGAATACAGTTGGTAGTTTTTAACAAGTTAAATATATACCTATCACATGACCCAGCAATTTCACTTGTAGGTATTTACTCAAAAGAAATGAAAATCTATATCCCACAAAGACTTATGCATTCATGTTCTTGGCAATTTTATAATTTTATCAAGTTTTGTATGAATGTCCTTGGCAAGCTCCAGCAGAAAACTGGAAACAACCCAAATGTCCAAAAGATGAAACAAATTGTGGTATATCCATAGAATACAATACAAGACAGCAATAAAAAGAAATGAACTACTGATACATGTAACAGTATGTATAAATGTCAAAAACTTGCCAAATGAAAGAAGTCAGATACAAAACAATACATACAGTACACAATTTATTATACCACTTATATGAAATTCTAAAACACTCAAAACTATGGTATGGCAAATTTATGTTATATATGTTTTAACACAATTTAAAATATGAAAAAAATCTATAGTGATATTAATAACAAGCAAACAAGTGGTTTCCTGGGGCCTAGAACTGACTGCAGAGGAACACGAGGAAAGTTTCTGGGGTGACAGAACTGTTCTATATCTTGATTATGGGATTGATTACATAGATGCATACACTTGTCAAAACTCATCGAAGTGTACATTTAAAATAGGTACATTTGCGGCCGGGCGCGGTGGCTCACGCCTGTAATCCCAGCACTTTGGGAGGCCGAGGCGGGCGGATCACGAGGTCAGGAGATCGAGACCATCCTGACTAACACGGTGAAACCCCGTCTCTACTAAAAATACAAAAAATTAGCCGGGCGTGGTAGCAGGCGCCTGTAGTCCCAGCTACTCGGGAGGCTGAGGCAGGAGAATGGCGTGAACCCGGGAGGCGGAGCTTGCAGTGAGCCGAGATCGCGCCACTGCACTCCAGCCTGGGCGACAGAGCGAGACTCCGTCTCAAAAATAAATAAATAAATAAATAAATAAATAAATAAAAAATAAAATAGGTACATTTTATTGTATGTAAATTATACCTCAGCAAAGGTACTTGGTGAGGGGAGAGTTGAAAACCTACCAATGGGTACCATGCTCAGTGCCCAAGTGATGGGTTCAATTGTACCCCAAACCTCAGCATCACACAATATATCCTTGTAACAAACCTACACATGTACCCCCAAATCTAAAATAAGAGATGAATTTTTTAAAAAAGAAATGTGCTATCAAGCCTTGAAAAGACATGGAAGAACCTTAAATGCATATCGCTAAGTGAAAGGAGCCCATCTGGAAAAGCAACATACTATAGGATTCCAACCACATGACATTCTGTAGAAGGCAAAATATGAAGGCAGTAAAAAGATCTGTGGTTTCCGGAAGTCTAGGGGGCAGAAGGCAGGGATGAATAGGTGGGGCATAGGGGATATTTTAAGACAATGAAACTATTCTGTACAATGCAGTGATGGTGGACACAAGTCATATCATCATGTATTTGTCAAAATCCATAGACTGTAAGAAAGAAAAATATGAACCCTAATGCAAACTATGGATCTTAGTTAATAACTTATCTATATTAGTTCATCAACTATAAAAAATGTACCACACATTGCAAGATGCAAGATGCTAATCATAGAGGAGAAGCTGGGGTAGGGGAGGGGATACATGGGACTCTGTACTTTCTAGTCAATTTTTATGTAAACCTAACACTTACCTAAAAAATAAAGTTTATTTATTTATTTATTTTGAGACAGAATCTCGCCCTTTCACCCAGGCTGGAGTGCAGTGACACGATCTTGGCTCTCTGCAACCTCTGTCTCCCAGGTTCAAATGATTCTCGTGCCTCAGCTTCCAAAGTAGCTGGAATTACAGGCAGGCGCCACCACGCCTGACTAAATTTTTTTTATTATTATTTTTAGTAGAGACAGGGGTTTGCCATGTTGGCCAGGCTGGTCTTGAACTCCTGACCTCAAATGATCCACCCACCTCGGCCTCCCAAAGTGCTGGGATTACAGGCATGAGCCACCTCACCCATCCAAGTATATTATTTTTTTCTAAGTATATGAAAGTCAGTTATATGCGTATTGATGAATAATAGGTTGTCATTGTCTTCCCCCAGTCATTTCAAAGATTCTACTGTGATGCCAGTATGTTAATGCTGCTGCACAGTAAATTATCACAATCTTAGAAGTTTAAAATACACAAATATATCACCTCACAGTTTTTGTGGGTCAGGAGTGCAGACTGGGTCTCTGCTCAAGGTCTCACCCAAAGTCAAAATTCAGCCAAGAACATGATGTCATTAAACCCATTCAGGTTGCTGGCAGAATTCGGTTCCTTGTGGGTAAATGACTGGAGTTTCCATTTTCTTGCTGTCTCTCAGCTTCTAGAGGCCATTCTCAGTTCCTAGCCATGTGGCTCTCTCACAACGTGGCTTCTATTTCATCAAAGCCAGCAGGAGACTCTCTTTTAAAGGCTCACCTGATAACAGCAGGCCAGCAAGGATAATCTCTCTTTTGATTACTTTAAAGGACGTTAATCATATCTGCAAAACTACTTCACCTGTCATATAACATTACCTAATCGGAGGACTGATATCCTATCACATTCATAGATTCTTCTGCACTCAAGAAGAGGGGATTATATAAGGCATGTACACCAGGAAAGCAAGAATCTTAGGGGCTATGTAGAATTCTGCCTACCACAGTAGGCCCCTTGGCCTCCAACAATTTGTGTTCCTTCCAAAGGGGAAAAAAACTTCCTCCCTCCCAAGGTTCCCCCCATCTTCTTACAGCATCAGCTCAAAGTCCAAACTCTCATCATCTGAATTATATATATCTGGTGAAGATGAGGCTGGGTGTGATCCATTAAGCTCAGTTCTTCAAAGCACAATTCCTTTCTGTGGACTTGTGAAACTAGAGACAAGTCTGCTCCCAACACTCCATCACACAACGGTGGGACTGACATAGAATAACAGTTACAGACATACCAATACAAAAATGGCGAAAGGGAATAAGGAAATGGAAGGTAAAAATGAGTTACTGGTATATAACAATTCTGTCATTTATCTGGACAAATGTTGGATTTTTATTGATTAAGTTTTAAGATCTAGGAATAATCTTCCTTGACTTCCAACCTACCCTTTGGGCTCTTGGTTCCATTGTGAGTCATCCTTGCTTTTTCATGGAAGGTAGCACATGTTTGATTAATCTATCAGCCTGCTTCCTACCAATAGGATTTTGCTAGCTCTAAAAGCTCCTGCTTGCTCACAAGTTCCAAAGCCAATTCTACGATTTGTCCTCCCTAAAGACAGGGTCTGTCTCTGTCACCCAGGCTGGATTGTGGTGGTGCAATCAATAGCTGACTGCAGCCTCAAACTCCTGTGCTCAAGTGATCCTCCTGACTCAGCCTCCCAAGTACCTGGGACTACAGGTGCACACCAGTACCTCTGGCCCGCATTTGTATTAGTGTTTTATTGCTCCATAATAAATTATCACAAATTTAGCAGCTTAAAACAAAACAGTTATTATCTTATCATTTCTGTAGGCCAGAAGTCCAGGCAAGCTTACCTGGGTTCTCTGCTTCAGGGTCTCACCAGGCTGCAATTCAGATATTTCCTAAGGCTACAGCCTCATCTGAAGCTCAACCTGGGAAAGATCCACTTCCAGGCTCATTCAGATTGTTGGCAAATTTCAGTTCTTTGGACCTATAGGACGAAGGTCTCTGGTACTAATTCATAACATAGCGGCTGGCTTCTTTCTTTTTTTTTTTTTTTTTTTTTTGAGACAGAGTTTCACTCTTGTCACCCAGGCTGGAGTGCAATGGTGCAATCTCCACTCACTGCAACCTTCACCTCCCATGTTCAAGCAATTATCCTGTCTCAGCCTCCTGAGTAGCTGGGATTACAGGCGCCTGCCACCACACCTGGCTAATTTTTGTATTTTTAGAGGAGACAGGGTTACACCATGTTGGCCAGGCTGGTCTTGAACTCCTGACCTCAGGTGATCTACCTGCCTTGCCCTCCCAAAGTGCTGGGATTACAGGCATGACCCACCGCACCCAGCCTAGCAGCTGGCTTCTTCAAGGCAAGTGGGAGGGTCTTTCTCACCCCAGTTGGCTGAGACCAAGTCTTTTATAACATAACAGTCGTGGGAATGACATTTCATCACCTTTGATATATTCTATTGACTAGAAGCAAGTTCTCAGGTTCCAACCACACTCATGGGGAAGAGATTATACAAGGGCATGACTCATTGGAGTCCACCTTAATGTGTGTACACTCACGTTCCTTTGTCTCCATCACCCTCTTCAATCTGAGAAAAACACCTCATGGCCTTTCACATTAGTATCCCTAGTATTTGGCATATAGCCTGACCTATAGGAGCTCTAAATAATAATTCAAAGCTGCAGTTATCAAACTTTTGGTTTTGGGACCCCACTATCCTCTTAAAAACATTATTGAGGACCTAAAAGAGCTTTTGTTTACATACATTATATCTGTTAATACTGAGCGTTTTAAAACTCATTCATTCAAAAGTAAAAATCACTTATTATGTATTAACATATATAGCATTTTTAAAAAATAATTATATTTTCCAGACAATTTGTGAGAACATTGCTTTACATTTTTGCAATTTTTTTTAATGCCTGGTTTAGTAAAAGGCACCAGGATTCTCATACCTGCTTCCACATTCAATCATCATGCCTGGGTATGGTGGCTCTTACCTATAATCCTAGTGCTTTGGGAGGCTAAAGCAGGAGGATCACTTGAGGCTACGAGTTTGAGACCAGCCAGGGAAACACAGAGAGACCCTGTCTCTACAAATAAAATAAAATGAAATAAAAAATTAGCCAGGACTATGCCCGTAGTCCCAGCTACTCGGGAGGCTGAGGCGGGAGTATCACTTAAGCTCAGGAGCTTGAGATTACAGTGAGCTGTGATCGTGCCACTGTACTTCAGCCTGGGTGAATGAGACCCTGTAAGACAACAACAACAACAACAACAACAACAACAAAATCATATAGCCTCTGGAAAACTCCACTATATGTGAATGGGAGTTAAAAAGGCAAATGATGTCTTCACATTATTATGAATATAGTTTGACCTTGTGGGCCCCCTGTAGGGATCCAGATCAGTCTTTGTGAACCACTAATTTAAATAATTGTCATGCATTGAGAAAAGGGACTTTGATTCATTCAAGAAGTATTTACTGGGTCCTACTCTGTGCTGGGTATTGTTCAAAGCAGTCAACTAGATAGATCAGGTGTCTGTCCTCGGGTTGTTCACAGCAGGTGGGGCAGAAGGATCAGGGACTGCTGGAGTTGACATGTGAGCTGAGATGTGATTTGATTTGATTTGATTTGACTTTTTTTTGGAGCCAGAGTTTCGCTCTTGTTGCCCAGGCTGGAGTGCAATGGTGTGATCTCGGCTCACTGCAACCTCCGCCTCCCGGGTTCAAGTGATTCTCCTGCCTCAGGCTCCCGAGTAGCTGGGATTACAGGCGTCCACCACCGTGCCCAGCTAATTTGGGGTTTTTAGTAGAGATGGGGTTTCACCATGTTGGCCAGGCTGGTCTCGAACTCCTGACCTCAGGTGATCCGCCCACCTCGGCCTCCCAAAGTGCTGGGATTACAGGCCTGAGCCACAGCGCCCAGCCCAAGCAGAGATTTAAGTGACAAAGGGCAGGCCTATGCAGAGGTCTGGGGAAACAGTGTTCCAGGCAAAGGAAGGGGGCCCTCCAAAGTCTCTGAGCCCTGTCTGGCAAGAGAGCAGCCAGAAGTGAGGGTGGTTGGAGGTTGCAGACATAGGCAGGGCCACATTGAGCTAGGCCCAGGTAAGGAATTTGAAGCTTTAACTCTAAATTTCTTTTTTCCTCATTCTAAAACCATCCCAATAAAATTTATAAAAGTAATCAGGGAAGAAAGTGTGGGGGAGGGGACAAAAATAAACCAAGCTTGCAGCCAATTCGGCATTAATCATGAGGTCAGCTTCCTCTCTGACCTGCTTGCTCAGAGTTGTTTGGTGCCTATTGTCCTAGAATCATGCAGACCCTGTCACAAGATTATAGTTCCCTTCTATTGCTCTATAGAGAACAACTTGAACATTATGAAATACTCAGTTTTCCCTTTGAGATAGTCTTTCAGATCCTGCATACCAATGAAACTACTGCCTCAGCTGGCCTGAAGGATCCCACTGATGCCAGCTGGTCTGAGGAACCCGTGAGAAACTGATTCAGCAAAGAATGCAGCTTCCCTATCCTGATGATTTCATCTCCCTTACTCCGACCAATCAAGGACCCCAATTTTCCAGCCCCTCGCCCTCTGTGATCCTCTTAAAAACCTCAGCCCAGAACTCTTGGGAAGATAGATTCGAGGATCTCTTCCCATCTCTTTGCTAGGTGCCCTGCAATCATTAAACTCTTTCCCTGCTGCAAACTCTGCTGTCTTCGTGTAATGGGTTTGTTACTGCACAGCAGGCATACGAACCTGTTGATCCTATATCTCTATCACCTAGGCTGGAGGGCAGAGGCACGATCATAGCTCCCCGCAGCCTCCACCTCTTGGGTTCAAGAGATCCTCCCGCCTCAGCCTCCCGAGTAGTTGAGCCTGCAGGCGTGCACCACCACCCCTGGCTAATTTTGGGTTGGTTTTGTTTGTTTGTTTGTGTTTGTAGAGATGAAGTTTCGCTATGTTGCCCAGGCTAGTCTCGAATTCCTGGCCTCAAGTGATCCTCCAGCCTCGGCCTCCCAAACTGCAGGGATTACAGGCAGAAGCCACCATGCCCGGCTAATAACCTGAATCTCTTGACGGTGAAGAGAAATAAGGAGAGGGGTAAAATGGCTAAAGGATGTCTGTTTGGAGGCAAGGAAGGTCGCCCAGAGGTCAGGCACGCTCCCCTTGGCGGACACAGCTGGGCTTCTCAGAGACTCCTAAATCCTGCCTCGCATCTCAAATCGGCTTAACGACGCGAAAGAGCTGGGCGACGCGCGCGCACTCTCGCGGAAGCTTGAGTCTCGGCGCCCGCCGTAGACGTCGTGACAGAGGCGGCCCGTTGCCTTGGAGCCAGAGAGACGCAGCTAGGCCTGCACGGCTGTGGAGAGATCCTGCCACGGGCCTTGTTCACCATGTCGGTGCTGGATGCGCTTTGGGAGGATCGGGATGTCCGTTTCGACCTGTCCGCGCAGTGAGTTTCCAAGATTCCCGAGGGATCTTCAACCCTGTAGAGGGCGCCGCCGTGCGCGTTAGGGACCCGCGGGCGGAGACTGCACCTCCGCAGCTCGCGGCCCTGGTGAGGGTGGGAGGCTTGCGCCGGTCGTCCGCGCCTCGAGAGACCTCAGGCTGGTTGGGCCACTGTGGCCCTCTCGAGGCCGGCGCCGCGGCAAGAGCGCATCGGCATTACACAGTTTTGGTCCCATGCGACCTCCGGTTCCCCCATCCTGGCCCGCGGGACGGATCAGGAATGTGAACCTGAGCACGACCGGGGCCACCCGGGGCTTAGCGTCCCGTATACACCCACGTGAGCTTGGGATTTCAGTTTCATGGAAGGAACGTAGGTCAGGGACTCAGGAAACTAGGGTTCTAAAAGTAGATGTGTAATATCGACCCACAGTGTGGGCCCTTGAGCAGATGTCTTCATCATTCAAGCTAGAATCCTCATGTCTGTAAAATAAGGGAGGTGGGAGTAAGGCAGTCGTCAAAAATTACTAACCGCGCAAACTTTATGTCCTTGGTAAGCTTTCATCTAGTTATTCATATCAGTCACCAACAAGAAGGAGTCTTCTTTTGCAACCTGTTTTTGGAAATTATCATACATTAAATAGAAACCATGTTTTTGGAAAGTATCGTAAAGAAAAAGTGGTTAGAAACCTCCTACTCCAAAATCCAGGGCGGGAAATGCCGGTTGGGTTACTAAGTGTTGAGAAACGCTAAAGCTAAGATTCCTGGATTAATGGCATGGAGCTTCTTAGCTACTTCTTATCGTTCCTTATCATGGACCTCCCCTCCTTAGGTGGAATCGTTCCTTATCATGGACCTCACCTCCTTAGATGGAATCGTTCCTTATCATGGACCTCACCTCCTTAGATGGAAAAATGAAATATTGATAAATTTCTCAGGTTAAGTATAGCTAGATATCTAATGCTAACATGTTAGACCCTTTAAGAAGATGAAAGAGAAAGGAATTCGTAAAATTACGGACTGTAGTAACATATTGCGCACTTTCTATGACATTTTCTGTCATTCTTTTTTTTTTTTTTTTTTTTTTTTTTTTGAGACAGAGTTTCGCTCTTGTTGCCCAGGCTGGAGTGCAATGACGCGATCTCGGCTCACTGCGACCTCCGCCTCCCAGGTTCAAGCAATTCTCCTGCCTCAGCCTCCAGAGTAGCTGGGATTACAGGCACGCACCAACACGCCTGGCTAATTTTGTATTTTTAGTAGAGACGGGGTTTCTCCATGTTGAGGCTGGTCTCGAACTCCTGACCTCAGGTGATCCGCCCGCCTCGGCCTCCCAAAGTGCTGGGATTACAGGCGTGAGCCACTGCGCCCGGCGACATTTTCTGTCTTTCTTGTAGGGTTCTTAATCCAAACAAAAGTCCGTTTCAGTAACATTAGTAAACATTTATCCATGTTTTATTACGTGCTAGTTACTGGGCCGATAGCTAGAGACAGAAAATAATAGGAAATGATATTCATATCCCCCCGTTCTAGTGCAGGAGATACATACAGACAACCACTATAATAAATGTGGTAAATACCATTCTGAAAAAATGAGCGAAAAGCTGAGACTCATAGAAACAGAACAATTTATTCTACCTGGTGAAGTCCTTGAAGAAGAATAAATATTCATAGTATTTGAGTTGTTCCCTGAAGAATGGGCAGAGCCTTGTCAGGGTAGACAGGAGGAGAGTATTCCAGAAAAGAAGAAAAGAATTTAGCGTTAGAAGCAGTCTTGGAGCTGTAACCTCATTAGCTAAAGGCAGGGTCTGCTGCAGAGAGAGGTTGGAAGTACAAATAGATAAATTAGCCAGATTGTAACATTTTTAGCTCAGGATTTTGGACTTCAACTTCTAGGCAGCAGGAAGATATAGAAAGCTTTTAAGCAGGGAAATGATATGGTCATATCTGTATTTTCAATAGGTAGTTGAGTTGGCTTTATGAAGAGTGTATTAGAAGGCTCTTTTAGATATTTTGCTAGGTTTTTTTTTTTGGACACTGTAGAATGTATTCTGTCTGTCAGCAAGCTGCTCTTATTTCCTTTTGTCACCTGTATCTATTTGTCAAATTCCAAAGATGCTTTTCATACAGCTCTTCTTTAACCATTCCTTCTATAATTTCCTGATGTCCTTTCCTCTACTCAGAAACCTTTGGAGGTTCTCTCCTGTGCACAGGATAAGGCCTAAACCTATCAGACTGGCATTCTGAGTTCTCCATAGTCTGGTTCCTCCTTAGTTATCCAACAATATTTCTCTCACTACCTCCCAATATGGTCCTTCTTTCCAAGCTTGGCCAGCCTTCTCCCATGTCCTTACCATTTCTTATTCCTGGTCTTTAATCATGGACTCTCTTTTCTTTTCCTTTTATTTTTCAAAATTCAACACCTCCTACCAATCTGGCTTACTCCAGATGGCCCTGGTCACTCCAGGCCCCACTGATCTTCAGGTTCTTGAAGTTCTTGAAGACCTTATTTCTAAATGCATGAACATTTGGTACAGTATTATTTATGCTGTTAGCTGTTTTATGTACATATGTCTCTTTTCTCCCTAAATAGATTGCAAGCAGGTATAGTTGTAGCTATAAAATTCAAACCTTTATATTCACTTTAGGCAAATGAAAACAAGACCTGGAGAAGTCCTTATTGATTGTTTAGATTCCATTGAAGACACCAAAGGAAATAATGGAGATAGAGGTGAGTATATTTTTAAATGTATCTTATATTCCTGGTTTAATTTACAAATGTTGAATCATATTAGCTAGAGAATATATGAAACAGCATCATTTGTCAGTGTAATTGTGAGAATAGGAGAGTTAAATTCACATAAGACTTTTCTCAGATTTAAACAGAAGACAGGATAGGTATTAAACATGTAGTTTGGTCCTTCAGTAAGTCCTGGTTCTAACATCACCTTTATCCATTGTAGCTGTTAAAACTCAAGTAGACCTGTTTGCAAGGGGCATTAGTTCTGACCGTTAGATCTGTCTTCCCAAAAAAGGATATGGGGTAGTGGAATATAAGTAGGTCATAGCTGTAGTACCTGGAGCCATGCTTCCTTTTCAAAAATTCAGAAGTAATGCACCATCAATCACCTATGGTTGTCACCTAGACATGGATATGCGGAGAGCAAATTTAGTCCTGCACTGTGAAATCTATTTGTAGGTCAAGTACTAGAAAATCCTGTGAGTCTTCTCTGACTGTCACCAAGGACCAGCACAGCTGGACCCTAGAGCCCCTCCCAAACCAAATCTCCCTAAGGTTGGAACTTTTAAAAGTCCAGGCTGCCCATAGCAGCTATCTGTGGAGCCAGTGACCAGTAGGTCTTGAAAGCATCATTACTTCCAAGGAAAAAAAAATAGATGTGGAATGACAGCTTAATGTATCCAGAATATGTTTTAGTGGGAGAAGAAGTTTAGGAGGGAGGGATGTAAACCTCTTATTGGAAAGGGGTAAGAGGGGAAATAGAGCAGACTTCATTCAGGAAAGGGGGAATCAATAACTCATAGAGAAGGAACAGTAAACCTTATTAGCAGAACATGCTTACTGTAGCCCTTTGAGTGGCTGCTTGCTTCCTGAGACTTTCTTCTGACCTGCTCTGAGGTGGCATGTAGGCAGCAGGCCCTGTTGTAAGCCTGCTTCTCTGAGATTGGTTCCCCTCAGAGACCTTATTTTTAAATGCATGAACTTTTGGTACAGTATTATTTATGCTGCTGGCTCTTTTATGTACATATGTCTCGAACTCCTGACTTCAAGTGACCCACCTGTCTCGGCCTCCCAAAGTGCTGAGATTACAGGCATGAGCCACTGCTCCTGGCTAATGTACATATGTCTCTTAGTAGAGACATATTAGATGGTAAATATGTCCCTAATAGATGGCAAGTAGGTATAGTGGTAGCTATAAAATTCAGACCTTTGTATTCATTTTAGGCAAATGAAAACAAGACCTGGCGATGTCTTTATTGATTGTTTAGATTCGGTTGAAGACACCAGAGGAAATAATGGAGATAGAGGTGAGGGCAGTTCCCCTCAGAAGAAAGGCTTAGAAAGGGGCCTGCTGCCTACTTGCCACCACCTACAGGCAGATCCTTTTAGTGGCTAGGGCTCATCCTTAAAGTAATGCTTAGATCACACTTCTGAAATGCTTCCTGGTGTACATCAAGCTCAGATGAGAGTGGAGTATGAAGATCTGGCAGCAAACGAAAAGTCTTAGTTTGTGCTTTTGAGGGTGGAATAATAATCCCAACTATCAAGATGGCTGTATCTTGACGAACTCAGAATTAACTTGAGAAAGCCAATAGAAAGTCTCATACAGATTGGCAGGAACTCTTCATAAAACATTTTTCGATTCCTCAGATATTCATTGAGCGCAGAATCCTATACTAATACTTTAGAGTAGGAAGGGCAGAAAGCTTCCCTGATCAGAAATCTCCAGTGCCTGAAATCCTACTATTAATAAAAATAGGCCAACTGCAATGGCTCTTGCCTATAATTCCAGTACTTTGGGAGGCCAAGGTGGGAGGACTGCTTAAGGCCAGGAATTAGAGACCAGCCTGGCAATATAACAAGACCCTGTCTCTACAGAAAATAAAAAGAATTAGCCATGTGTGGTGTTGTGCGCCTGTGGCCCCAGCTACTGGGGAGGCTGAGGTGGGAGGATCACTTGAGCCCAGAAGGTTGAGGCTTCAGTAAGCCATGTTCATGCCACTGCACTCCAGCCTGGGTGACAGTGCAAGACCCTGTCTCAAAGTTAAAATAGAAATAACTGTGTGTGTGTGTGTGTGCACAGACCTCAAAAACCTTTTGAAATTTTACAGGAGTACGCAGCGCTTCTGGTCATTAAGGAGTTAAAAAATGGAAGGGGAATCCTGCCTTCTAGCCATCTCCCTCCCCTCCCTTTCAGCAGTTTGAAAATGACCAAGTTAAGACATTGCCAAGTTCAAGAGCCCCTTATGTTAAAACTATATCCCAGAAGATTAGCATATTTAATCCATTTTCAACTGTTAGTACCCTGACTTGAAATTATCAGATTAACTTTGCACACTGCCCATAGCTCATAGCCCAGTTATAGAGATAAAATGCTGCTTAGGTGTAAAATGGCATAAGGAAAATATAACCAATGTATCTATAATCAGAAAGTAAGTCATAGAAATGAGTTTGTAAAGAATTAAAATATTATATTAAATAGCTGTGTGAGAATAAAAGGGACAGCCATATTTCAGTGTTTGGGAGATTAGTAGAAACAGGGACAACTATACTTTGGTATTAGGCAGGGTAGAGAGGAAAGTCCATGTCTGGAACACTGGGTTTGGAGCCATAGGCTGGGGTTCTTCAGCAGAAAAGAGGTAGCATTAAAAATCCTAGAGATTGTAGGAGATATACCAAGAGCAAAGAAAAAGGCAAACAGAGGTGGTTGGTGGTTTTATATGGCAAACCCTTCCCACTCCATAATTTCTCCTGGGACCGACAGAAAAATATAAAAGAATCAATAGATGTCCTGAGCCCATAGCCCACTTGTAAAGATAAAATGTTGCCTAGGTAAAATGGCGTAAGGAAAACAGGTATATCTATATAAAAACCAAAAAAAGTTAAAAATGAGTTTGCAAAGGATTATTTTTTAAATAGCTATTATTTGGGGAATGTTTATTGACAGTCACTGTTCTGAATCTTTTATATAAATATAATCTCATTTAACAATAATAAAAACAGTAAAACAAAAAGTTTAAAGTAGATGCAGTCATATTTATTTTCAAATGAGGAAACTGAGGAATACAGAGGTTAGTTTACTTTTCCAAGGTCACGTAGCTAGGTGATGAACCTAACTGCCTACATTGATTTCTAAACTGGGAGGGTCATATTATTTTCTTCTTAAAGATTTTTAGTCCTCCCCAATTCCAATCCTAAACCCCACCCCCAACTCTACTGCCTCCATTGCTAATAGATCTAAGTCTGAATTTCTTTGTCTAGCATTAAAGAACTTCTAGTATGTCCAAAGACAACTTTTATCGCCTGTGCTGCTGTCTTCCATTTGTTCATCCAGGTCCAGCATTCTTCTCCACCCTTTTCCCCTTGCCCTGGAAAGATGACTTGTATAGAGTACATCTAAGGGTTCCTTGTATACTCTGGCTTCCAGTTGGAAGAGCCATGGCAGAAGATCAAAGGGAGGCAGGAGTTTGAGGTCTGGGTATTTATTGCCCTGGTTCCTTCCCAGTGAAGGGTTGGCTGTGTCTCTCCTCTCAAAGCAGTCAGCTCCATAGGACTCTTGTTTCTTCCAGATTTCATGAACTGCTGCTCCCTCTTTTGTAAATAAACCTCAGTTATCCTAACTTGAGTGTGCCATCTGTTTTCCGTTGGACCAATGACTGAAGGATGCTATACCTAGTCTTCTATGATCTTGTGTGAACTTTACACTCCAGCCATGCTGGATTACTTATTATTTGTCAAAGATATTCTGTAATTTTCCACAGTCTCCCTTGAGAATGCTTTCATCTTTTTTAGAGCCATGTTTGCTATCCACTTTTCACTCCAGTATTCGTACAGACCTAGTTTCTCTGATTTTAGACATTATAGAGGTTTTCAGAAATAGTATGACCTGGCTGGCTATAGATTACTCATAAAAATAATTTTATGATTGTAATTTGTTGGTGAAATAATGTGTTTAAACAAAGTGAGTCTTATTATTTCAGAATATCTCAAAGCTATGATAATATGCTGATTGTATTGTACATCTCTAATACACCTAGTATACCATTCTCAAATTTATTGTTTTTTTCTTGGAGCATCAGTAAGAGATCACTATTGTACAGGACACATTTTGAGAAATGAAGTATCTAACTTTGTATTTCAGTGTATGAACATCAGTCTGATGCTAAGATCAAAAAGTATAAAGCCTTAAATAGACTTCAGCCTGACCATAACTTCTTAGGAACAAAATAGTTTGCTCACAGCAAAATTGTGTGTATAAATATATGGTTCATTTAAATGAGAACTGCTAAGAAAGTACTCATATAGAAAGGATTAGTGTGTATGTGAGAGTTCTTTGAAAAGTGTGATTTCAGTGAATAGCTGTGTAATTATCCTATATTCATTCTCAGTTGTACACATATGACTTGCTGGGACCCAGAACAACTTCTACCAAGACAAAAAAACTAGTACACAATTCTTTCTTCAGTCAGTTTGAGTTAGAGCAAAGCTATTGGCAGAGAACATCTGTATCCCTTATATAACTGTCAAATTTTGTTTCTCTGGGATTCTGAATCATATGTTGTATACCTTATATAGGTTGGATATGCACAATATTTTCAGTTAATATATGAAAAATATCTGAGTGTTGCTTCTAATACTGGGCCAGAAGTTCCATATCCATCTCATTCAGTGCTGCAAAAATGGGTTCTTATTTAAGTTAACCTATTTTTTGTCTGTGTGCTTTTAGGTAGACTCTTGGTAACAAATTTAAGAATTCTCTGGCACTCTTTGGCATTATCAAGAGTCAATGTTTGTAAGTATCTTTGTTAGATAAGTCTGAAGAAAAAAAATCCTTTGTCAGGTGAATTTGCATGGTGCCTTTGATACCAAAGAAGTATGTAGAAATATTAATAAAAATAAAAAACCTTCAGAAATCCTAGACATCATAATGCAAACAAAATTATCCATTATTATTTTGGTTTGTCCATTTTGTGTCTTGGACATATAGAAGATTAGGGCTTTAACCTTGGTTCTTGTTTTTTGATTATTTTTGAGAACATACTATCATCCCCTGTTTTGATTAATCCCAAAGAAGGAAGAAGCTCTAATAAAAGTATAATCTTTTCATTGTGTTAAATTTTGTTTCACTTATTTTTTTAAAGTATTTTAGATTATCCAGCTAGACTTGTTCTTTTTTAGTAGTAGTGCCAAAACTTTCAGTAAATAATGCTGCAGAGGCTTTAGGGATGAAGACTTCCTTTTTCCTGTGTTATATTTTTGTTTGTTCAAGGAGACAGAATTGACCCTCTAGTTTTTTTAATTATTTAATTTATAGTTATTTCTTTAAAACTTTTAAAAGTTTATTTCTATATATGTTTAATTTTTTAAACTGTTAAAAGTTCTGTGTATACTTTTTTTTTAGAAAAGTATTTTTTCTCAGTGTACCATATCATGCTCTTTACATTCTTTGCTTTTGGATTTTAGCTGTCGGTTACAATTGCATATTGAATATTACAACAAGGACTGCTAACTCTGTAAGTCTAAAAAATCTTATTGCAATATATATATAGTAAAGAAACTAGATATTTGAGATTGATGTTTGTTTTCACTATAAAGGAGAAATTGCTCTTAAAATCTGAACTTTTAAATAAATTTGTCCTTACAGAAATTACGAGGCCAAACTGAAGCTCTCTATATACTAACAAAATGTAACAGTACTCGTTTTGAATTTATATTTACAAATTTGGTTCCTGGAAGCCCTAGACTTTTTACTTCTGTGATGGCAGTACACAGGTATAGTAATACTTTATGGATTATTGAATATTTTTTGTTTACTCTATGGTTTTAGACTGCAACAGTCCCCAACCTTTTTGGCACCAGGGACCAGTTTCATGGAAGACAGTTTTTCCACGAATTGGGTGAGGGTATGGTTTCAAGATGATTCAAGTGTATTACATTTATTGTGCACTTTATTTCTATTACTATTATATACTCACCATAATGTAGAATCAGTGGGAGCCCTGAGCTTGTTTTCCTGCAACTATATGGTCCCATCTGGGGTGATGGGAGACAATGACAGATCATCAGGCATTAAATTCTCATAAGGAGGGCACAGTCTAGATCCCTTGCATGTGCAATTCACAGTAGGGTTTGCATTCCTATGAAAATCTAATGCCGCTGCTGATCTGACAGGAGGCAGAGCTCAGCTTTGCTTGCTCACTCACCCCCCAACCACTCACCTCCTGCTGGGCAGCCTGGTTCCTAACAGGCCACTGACCAGTACCCATCTATCTGTGGCCAGGGGGTTTGGGACCCCTGTTTTAGAGAATAAAGCTTAGAAGTGTGGTACTGTCTTCCTCCAAGCTCTATTGTAAATATCAGGAAGATGTTGAGAACAACATGTTTTATTATTTAATAAACACTTTGAAGGTATTTATAAAACACATAAAACTACTGAAGATTCATTAAAAATTTCTACTGACAACCAGATTAAATTAGCTACCAAGGTAGGTAAAGTGAAATAAAGAATTCATTCAATATAGCTAAACAAGTTGCATAATTAATTAATTTAAAAGGTTATTTTTCTAGTAGGTAGAAGGCATGTTTGAGTGTTTTCCCTGAAGAGTTTTATTGGTGTTTTGGTTTGTTTTAGGTTTGTGGCCTTTTTTTATTTATTTATGTTTAAATAGAGGTAGGGTCCTGCTTTGTCACCCAGGCTGGAGTATAGTGGTGCAGTCATAACTCACTGAAGCCTCAAACTCCTGAGCTCAAATGATCTTCCTGTCCTAGCCTCCTGAGTAGCTAGAACTACAGGTGCGCACCACCATGTCCTGCTAATTTTTAAAATGTTTTTGTAGAGCCAGACGTGGTGGCGCACGTCTGTAATCCCAACACTTTGGGAGGCTGAGGTGGGTGGATCATTTGAGGTCAGGAGTTCAAGACCAGCCTGGCCAATGTGGTGAAACCCTGCCTCTACTAAAAATACAAAAAAATTAGCTGAGCATGGTGGTGCATGCCTGTAATCCCAGCTACTCTGGAGGCTGAGGCAGGAAAATTACTTGAACCAGGGAGATGGAGGTTGCAGTGAGCTGAGATCGCCGCACTGCACTCCAGCCTGGGCAACAGAGCAAGACTCTGTCTCAAAAAAAAAAAATTTTTTTTTTTTTTAGAGACGGGGTCTCACTTTGTTGTCCAAGCTGGTTTCCAACTCCTGGGCTCAAGTGATTCTCCTGCCTCAGCCTCCCAGAGTGCTGGGATTACACATGTGAGCCACTTCACCCAGGCTGTTTTGTTTTTATATTTTTTCTTCTTGTTGTTTACTAAATTCTTCTCTTTTCACTACCTCGGCTTTTTTTCTTTTTTAAACAAGCCCTAAGTGCTATGATTTTTTTTAAGCTTTGCTAAGATGACAGGATATAGACACATAGGTATGTGTATATATGTGTGTATATAATTGTTTAACTTGTATTTACCAGTGAGGTTGACATTTTTCATATATTTTTTGTATTTTTTGGCTTCTCATAAATTTCCTTTTTTTTTTTTTTTTTTTTTTTTTTTTTTTTTTTTTTTTTAGAGACAGAGTCTTGCTCTGTTGCCCAGGCTGGGGTGCAGCTGCTATCTCAGCTCACTGCAAGCTCCACCTCCCAAGTTCACCCACCATTCTCCTGCCTCAGCCTCCCGAGTAGCTGGGACTACAGGTGCCCACCACCACGCCTGGCTAATTTTTTGTATTTTTAGTGGAGACGGGGTTTCACCATGTTAGCCAGTATGGTCTTGATCTCCTGACCTCGTGATCTGCCCGCCTCAGCCTCCCAAAGGGCCGGGATTACAGGTGTGAGCCACTGGGCCCAGCCAATGAAATGTGCATTTTTTTTTTTTTTTTTTTTTTTGAGACGGAGTCTCACTTTGTCGCCCAGGCTGGAGTGCAGTGGCGCGATGGTCGGCTCACTGCAAGCTCCGCCTCCCGGGTTCACGCCATTCTCCTGCCTCAGCCTCCCGAGTAGCTGGGACTACAGGCGCCTGCCACCACGCCCGGCTAATTTTTTGTATTTTTAGTAGAGTTGGGTTTTACTGTGTTATAGAGACGGGGTTTCACTGTGTTAGTCAGGATGGTCTCGATCTCCTGACCTTGTGATCCGCCCACCTTGGCCTTCCAAAGTGCTGGGATTACAGGCGTGAGCCACCGCACCCAGCAGGAAGCTAAATTTCTTAATTATACCCTTAGCTGTCATATATATTGCAAATATTATTTTTAGTTTCCTAGTTTATTTGATTTTTAATTTTATTGATGTTTTAGTCTATATAATGGCTTAATTTTTTAATTGAGATATAATTCACATAAAATTTTACATAACAAAATTTACGATTTTAAAGTATACAGTTCAATAGTTTTAGTATATTCACAATACTGTTCAACTATTGCCAAGATCCAATTCCAGAATATTTTCATCACTCCCAAAATAAATCCCTTACCCATAGCAGTCATTTCCCATTCCCTCCACTCCACAGCCCCTGATAACCTCTAACTTACTTTGTGTCTATATGGATTTGCCTGTTCTGGAAATTTTATTTACATGGAATCATATAATATGTGGCCTTTTATGTCTGACCTCTTTCACTTACACAGTGTGTTCAAGGTCCATTCATGTTGTAGCATGTATCAGTAGTAGTAGTAGTTCATTCCTTTTTGTAGCTAAAGAATATTCCATTGTATGGGCATACCACATTTTGTTTATCCATTCATGAGTTGATGGACATTTGGGTTTTTTACTTTTTAGCCATTATGAATAATGTTACTATGAACATTTGTGTATAAGTTTTGTGTCAACATCTGTTTTCAGTTCTCTTGGGCATATACCTAAACCTTAGCTCTTTATTTCACTGAGAGAAGTACTGTGAAATGAAAAGTTCTAAATGGAATATGAAGGGAACAGAAGCTGCTTTTCTTTAATAGTATTAAAAACACTATGTGCTTCCCCCCCAAAATAATTTATAGCATAAATAGTTTCTATTTCTTCCACTGGTTAAGTATTGATGATAACAGCACTAAAGAAAATTAACATTTACAAGCAGAGTGCTAAAATTCTGCTCTTTCACAATTTAAATATTAGAAGATTAAAATAAAAATTAGAAGTTCAACAATGAATATATGAATCTGTTGTTATTAAGGCTAAGAAAACTTTACTTTTGTTAAATAGGTAACTTAGCCTGTTTTATATGAAATATTAAAATTAATCAAAAGTTAATCAGGGTTTCTGTATTATCAATAGACATTGAAAAAGTTATAAGGATTTAATTCTCTTTCCCTCCCTCCCCCTGTCCTTTTTCCTCCCTCTTTCTCCCCCTCTCCCTCCCTGTTCTTCTCTTCCTCTTTCCCCCTTCTCCCCTTAGGGTCCCTTTTGGAATCAGTACAGATTCATTCTAGTTTTCTGTATAGAGGTAGACATGAGCATGTTTTCAGGTTGCAGTGAGAAAAAGTAATTGTTTTTGTTTTGAGACAGAGTCTCGCTCTGTGGCCCAGGCTGGAGTGCAGTGGCGCAATCTCAGCTCACTGCAATGTCCACCTCCTGGTTTCAAGCAATTCTTCTGCCTCAGTCTCCCAAGTAGATGAGACTACAAGTGCACACCACCACACCCGGCTAATTCTTGTATTTTTAGTAGAGACAGGGTTTCACCATGTTGGCCAGGCTGCTCTCAAACTCCAGACTTCAAGTGATCTGCCCACCTCGGCCTCCCAAAGTGCTGGGATTACAGGTATGAACCACTGTGCCCGGCCGAGAAAAAGTATTAATAATTGGACGCCTGTTTATGTCCTTTGAAAAACAAGGAAAGGAAGAAAAGGTAGCATTTTGATAGAAAAAACAATTTCCATGTGTATTAAAAAATAGGGGCTGGGCATGGTGGCTCACGCCTGTAATCCCAGCACTTTGGGAGGCCGAGGCGGGCAGATCACGAGGTCAAGAGATCGAGGCCATCCTGGCCAACATGGTGAAACCCTGTCTCTACTAAAAATACAAAAACTAGCTGGGCATGGTGTCGTGCGCCTATAGTCCCAGCTACTCGGGAGGCTGAGGCAGGAGAATCACTTGAACCTGGGAGGCAGAGGTTGCAGTGAGCCAAGATTGCACCACTGCACTCCAGCCTGATGATAGAGTGAGACTCCATCTCAAAAAAAAAAAAAAATAGGTTATTGAGATAAAATATGTAAATAATACACTAAAATGACAAATTCTACAAAAAACTGTAATTGCCAGACCTTATTAAAAAGAAAAATATAGCTGGGTACAGTGGCACATGCCTATAGTCCCAGCTACTCTGGAAGCTGAGCCAGGAGTATCACTTGAGCCCAGGAGTTTGTGTCCGGCTTGGGCAAGGTATTGAGACTTTGTCTCTATAAGAACAATTTTTAAAAAGAAATAAAAATATTAAAATGTATCATAATTATTTGAGTAATGTTCATAAATACTAACAACTACATATTTTAGTAAGTAAACATAACCCAAGAAAATCACATTTTCAGTTTGAGTTGTCTTTTGTTTGTTCTTTTTCATAGAGCTTATGAAACTTCTAAAATGTATCGTGATTTTAAATTAAGAAGTGCACTAATTCAGAACAAGCAACTAAGACTGTTGCCACAAGAACATGTATATGATAAAATAAATGGAGTTTGGAATTTATCCAGTGATCAGGTATTGTGCAAAGAGCTAGTGAACCTTTTGGGACAGTGTTTTGGTAATCATTTTTCCATTCATCATTGGATTTATATAGTCAATTCTAATTGTTAAAATTAGCATTATAGGAAAGCGTATTACTTTTCAATAAGTACAAGTTAGGTTGATGATAACATCCCTATTTTCTTTCAATACAATGAAATATCTGATAATCCTGGAATGTCTCCTTAATTAATGAATAAAAAATTTGCGGTGCTATGCTAGGTGGTAAAGATCTAACTATGGAACAGAGTAACTCCGCTCCTATCCTTATAAAGAATACAATCTAATGTATATTCATGGGGATTATTACATATGTTTTGTTTCTCTTACTACAACTCCTTTGCCTTAACCTATCCAAGGTTTTGAATAATAATTTTAGTAAGGTCTAACATTTAGGCACTGTGTTAGGATTGATTTACATGGGATATTTAATCAGATCTCCATTTTACATTTGACAAAATACATCAAGAAGAAATTTCCCTATGGTCAGACAGTTGGTAGGTACTAATGGTTTAATGATTAGGCAGCCTGACTCCAAAGTCCAGGCTGTCACTCGTCTAATTGTACTGCCATCAATGAATGATGAAGTCATTGATACTCAATTTTGGTATTATTTGCTGCTGTAATAAGTTATTCTGGTGATTAGAAAATAAAGAATAGGTACCAAAAAAATGATCATTTCGGTATCTCATTACTGTTTTTTACAGGGCAATTTAGGAACCTTTTTTATTACCAATGTGAGAATTGTGTGGCATGCAAATATGAATGATAGTTTTAATGTCAGTATACCATATCTGCAAATTGTAAGTACATACATTTTGATGACCTTATTTTAATGTAAAATAAATATTTTTTGTTCAATAGTTAATTGGACTTTTAGATGAGTTCTTTCTCCCTTTTTTAAGTGGTAGCAGTTATTAGCTGAGAGCATATTTTAAAGATGCTGATAATTTACTATGAAATATTTCAATGTAGAAAAGATCCAATTGTACTGCATTCCAGAGAAGCAGCACCATTATCAACTTGCTATTAGAAGAGAAATATACTGGATTCTAAAAATTTAAATAGTAATACAGAGTAAGGTGTCTCTTGGATTCCATCCAGAGGGCTTTAGCTATTAAAGTTTTCTGTAACTTTTTCATGAGGCAGGTATGTGGTGCTTCCTTGGCATAGATTTAGCACACTGATCCACAGTTTTTCTTGGCTCTCTTGTCATTTTCTGCTCTAAAGCTTTTAAAAGCCAGAAGGAATTTATTAATTCTGCGAATGAACTGCTTTCATTGTATTTAGATACAGAATGTAATACAAGCTGGATTCATACCACAGGTTTAGTGAAAGGAATCAAGATGATTTTTAGTGATAATACTTTCAGCTTAAGTTCAATTAAAACTGTTAAAATCAGGCTGGGCATGGTGGCTTATTCCTGTAATCTCAGTACTTTGAGAGGCAGAGGCGGGAGGATTGCTTGAGGTCAGGAGTTCGAGACCAGCATGGGCGACATAGCTAGACTCCTTCTCTATTTAAAAAAAAAAAAAACTATGAAAATTCAAAATAAGAACTGACTATATCTGAGACCAGTTTGTTTTGGGAATAGGTAAAGATAGTTCTTTGTACTCTGCTGCTGCTATGATAAATAAGTGACTCAGTGAAACAAACTGTAAACTTCAATACACTAAATAATTTTGTTTTATATAAACTACTTATAGAATTCTAGAACAAATTAGATGGAACATAAAAATAGTTAATGAAAATCCCATGAGATTATCCTATGATAATTGCCCTTATTGTAGGATATATAGTCTTAAGACTAAGGAGTTTTATTAATATTTATTGAGTAGACAGAATGTATGTGATACCTGGAAAATACCGTTTTTAAGGAAAGAATTCCTGGCCCATGAGAAGAATAATTCTTTGCAAAATATTCCCAACCCTATTTTTGGCTAAATTGTTTGATTTCAGAGTTTCTTTAAAATTTCTGATAATTCATTCATTTTTATGCCAAATTTTGAATACCTACTCTGTGCCAAGTGCTAGAGATACAATCATGAAAATCATGAACCAGTATACAGTTCCTGCCATCAAGGGGCTTTCAGTCTGTTGGAGAAAAGCAACATATTAAACAGAAAGCCATAGAATCTCATAGGAAGAAAATTATTTCTGGCTATCAAAAGGAATATAAGAGTTTGTAATCAAGGCTGGGACAATGTAACAAAATCTAGATAGGTATTTGACAAATTGGTGTTTGTATTGCTATTGCTTTTTTATATTGCATTACATTAATGTGTTATAGCTTGCCTAACCTAACTTCTATTATGCTGAATAATTACTGAGTAGTAAACAACCTTGTGCTTTCTGTTCTTTTTGTTATTTAAGAATAGAGTTGTCAAATATGGCGTCTGGAATTAATTCAAGTGGCCCAAACAACTTGCAATCTGATATCATCACAGTCTGTCACTGCGGCAGTCATAGTCTAACTTCAGCTCTACACCTCAGCCATTACCCTGACCCCACTCCTATAGATATTTATATCAGCTTCTTGCCAGTTTCTGTCTTACCAGCCTGTGTCACCCACAGACACCTGGTTAGATTACCTATTGAAAGCCAGAGTGCCAGTGTTCTGTGATTCTTTCTTTCCTTTTTAGACAGGGGTCTCACTCTGTCACCCAGGCTAGAGTACAGTGGCATGGTCTTGGCTTACTGCAACTGCTGCCTCCCAGGCTCAGGTGATCCTCTCTCCTCAGCCTCCTGAACAGCTGGGACCACAGGCGTGCACAGCCACACCTGGCTAATTTTTTTGTAATTTTTGTAGAGACGGGGTTTCACCATGTTTCCCAGGCTGGTCTCAAATTCCTGAACTTAAGCAATCTGCCCACCTCAGCCTATATAGGCGTGAGCCCCCGCCCCTGGTCAGTGTTCTATGATTCTTAACTGGGATTGTATATACTCTTGATGGGGTGTAAAGTAGCCCAGATGAAAGGCCAGGTTTTCGTAACAATTATCATCAAAGCCTTTCTTCTTTTTCTGAGTCTCTTTCTCAAAGTTGCCTATCTGTCTAGAAGCATGGTATCCCATCATCACCTGCCAGATTACCCTTCTCTGGGCTTTTGGTCTGCTGGTCATAGTGTTAGGTCCTCCGTGATTCTCCCCTACCCTGCCAGCAGGTACATTTTGTGTGACTTCTACAGGCCCTACCTGCCATTCTGCCTCTACTCTCCCCTTCTCCCAGGCCACTGGTTTCACCATCTATCTTCCACTAACCAAGCTTAGTCCTCACATCACATTTACCAGTTGATGTTAATTACACTTAATCTATCCCAACCTTCCTTGATGTCTAGTGATAAATATTCAAACTTATTTTTAAAACTTAAATATTTTATATTAAACTTAAATAATTAAAATTATTTTTAAAACTTAGACTACAGATGGGCATGGTGTCTCACGCCTGTAATCCCAGCACTTTGGGAGGCCTAGGTGGGTGGATCACAAGGTCAGGAGATCCAGACCATCCTGACTAACACAGTGAAACCCAGTATCTACTAAAAATACAAAAAATTGGCCGGGCGCGGTGGCTCACGCCTGTAATCCCAGCACTTTGGGAGGCCGAGGCGGGCGGATCACAAGGTCAGGAGATCGAGACCATCCCGGCTAAAACGGTGAAACCCCGTCTCTACTAAAAATACAAAAAATTAGCCGGGCATAGTGGCGGGCGCCTGTAGTCCCAGCTACTTGGGAGGCTGAGGCAGGAGAATGGCGTGAACCTGGGAGGCAGAGCTTGCAGTGAGCCAAGATCACACCACTGCACTCCAGCCTGGGCAACAGAGCGAGACTCCGTCTCAAAAAAAAAAAACCTTAAATAGAATAGAGGTTCTTTTAAGAATGTAGCCATCTATGATGTAAGAAACAGAAGGCACATGTGACTTTAAAAAACTAAACTAGGCTTAGGAGCTACAAAAGGCACGGCTTACCAAAACTAAAAGATTGCTAGCCTTTTGTTTAAAAGTTCAGTCTGGGCACTGTGGCTTATGCCTGTAACCCCAGCACTTTGGGAGACCAAGAAAGGAGGATTGCTTGAAGCCAGGAGTTCAAGATCAGCCTAGGCAGCATAGTGAGACCCCTATCTCTACAAAAAAGAAAAAATTAACTGGGCATGGTGACACATGCCTGTAGTCCTAGCTAATCAGGAGGCTGAGGCAGGAGGAGGATCCCTTAGCCCAGGAGTTTGAGGCTGTGGTGTGCTATGATCACACCATTGTAGTCTGGTCTGGGTGGCTGAATGAGACCTAATTAATTTAATTGTCTCTAATTTTTAAAAATGTTTACTCCCTGGAAGTGAGAAATATTTGAGTCCGGGAATTTTGTACATATTTCAGAGATGTCTTTCTTGTATTGCCTCTTAAAAGTTTGCCACCTATTTTCAGTATGAGTCTTGTTTCTTTTACTTGATCTCTGTGGCAGTTTAATGAAGGAAGGAGGGAGAATTCTGTTCTTTAGACTATGAAAAGTAAATACTGTGTAAAGTTTAAAAACTGAGTTAAAGAGTCACTATTCAGTTAATAAAAACTTGCATGTTTTTCTTTTTCATTTTGTATCTAGCGTTCAATAAAGATTAGAGATTCAAAATTTGGTTTAGCTCTTGTCATAGAAAGCTCTCAGCAGGTAAGATCTTGTATATTTTTATTAATCTTTGATTTTTAAAACTATGTGACAGTCTAGATTTTTGGTTTTATTTATATAGTAATCAGTTTACATCTGAGAAGAATATTAGCTTTAATATGAAGTTATATATGAAGTGTTTGAAGTCATACAGAAATTGTCCCCAGAGGAAGAATCCTGCTTATATTTTTTTGTTGGACAGACATGATCATTTGTGATCATCACTTATTATTAATGACAGAATCAAGTCATTGTGCCGAGGGCTTTTCATGCATTATCTCAATCTTTACACAATCCTACGATACAGCTACTATTTTTCCCCCATTTTATAGTCAAGGGAACTGAGGCTTTGAGAAGTTAGGAACCTTGACCATGATCTCACAACTAGTAAGTGATGGGGCTAAGTTTTGATCTCAAGTCTGACTGATTTACCAAGACTGTCTTTGAGAAACACAAACATATATTTGTGTACACACACACAGTTTGAGGTCTTATATTCTCACACACAGATTATATGCTAATTATAACCTGTTATGCTCCATTATGCCAGGTTTTTGCAGAAATACATTTAAATAAAACATGCTGGTCTCATGATAGTAGGTTTCACTGGCTAAGAAAAATTTTAAATACATTTTTAAAAGTGATTTATAAAATTACTTATCATCTACATTCTAAATTTAAACATGAATGTCTGCTTACTCCTTTCTCCTGGCCTACAGCTGCCATTTATTGAGTATTTACTCTGTTCCAAGAACTATACCAAATGTCATATATATGTTTATCTTATTTTATATGACAACTGGATAACCATTTTATGGTTAGAAAATTGAGGCTTAGAAAGGTTAAGGAGGCCGGGCGCAGTGGCTCATGCTTGTAATCCCAGCACTTTGGGAGGTCGAGGCGGGCAGAGCAGGAAGTCAGGAGATCGAGACCACGGTGAAACCCTGTCTCTACTAAAAATACAAAAAATTAGCCGGGCGTGGTGGCGGGCACCTGTAGTCCCAGCTACTCCGGAGAGGCTGAGGCAGGAGAATGGCGCGAACCCGGGAGGCGGAGCTTGCAGTGAGCCGAGATCGCGCCGCTGCACTCCAGCCTGGCCGACAGAGCGAGACTCTGTCTCAAAAAAAAAAAAAAAAAAGAAAGGAAGGTTAAGGAAAGTTTCTAAGTATCCTACAGCTAGTGAATTAGTGGTAGAACCAGAATTTGAACATTAAAAGCGTGTGCTCTTAACCCAGAACATATACTCTCACCTATTACAGTATGCTACTTAGTTTTTTAACACTCCTTTCAAAACACTGTATCATGGCCCAGTTTCTTTCCTAATTCTTCAAGGAGATAGCCTCAGATGGCCCATTTCCTTTCTTCTTTTCGTGTAGTCTGTTCCTTTTCAAGGCCTAGTTCAAGAAAAACTTAGTTCCCTTGGCCTTCACAGTCTACAGTGTATTTTTTAAATCTTGAAAGGTTACCTTTGATATTTCAGATGAACTTATATTTGAATACACTTCAAAATAAGCCTGCGTTGGGGGAATGGTGTTCAGGTGAGGGCGAGGTTACAGATGAAACAGGGTTGTCCACATGTTGCTGCTTCTTGAAGCTGGATGATGGCTCCGTGGAGGCCCCCTTGTGCTCTTCTGTTTTTGTATGTGCTTGAAATTTTTCATAATAAAAAGTTTAATTGAAAAAATGAACTTACGTATTATGCTCTAAAATAAGGACAAATTGAGCTATAATTTATCTTATACTATAAATACTGTTCTTCAGACTTGTTGGGTTTTTTTTTATTATTTTTTCTCTTGTAGAGTGGTGGATATGTTCTTGGCTTTAAAATAGATCCTGTGGAAAAACTACAAGAATCAGTTAAGGAAATCAATTCACTTCACAAAGTCTATTCTGCCAGTCCCATATTTGGAGTTGATTATGAGATGGAAGAAAAGGTAATTTGTTGAGTATGTGAAATAAAGTTTGCATTGCTTTATGCAGTCTATAAAATTCAGATGTAGATACCACTGTGCACCATTTAATTTTGAACTGTTTTTAAAATGGTGAATATACAGATTCTGCTCAAGTGGGCATAGCTCCTGGATTATCACTAATTTGTACCTACCACCTGTCTTCTAAGTGGCTGCTTCATCATTCATTCCTGCCCCGCATACCTGCCCTTGTAGGTGGGCAGCCACCTGAGTAAATTTCCATGTGCAGTGCTCCTCTGATACAGACTTGAGTCTCTCACTCTGTCAGATTTTTATTTTACTTCAGCCCCCTATGAGCATGGACAAACCTTATAGTCCTCATGAATACCGTCTTCTGCCTTAGTACTCCACAATATAGCAACTCCAGGAGTAGGCTACATCAGCACGGCCTGCATCCATTCCTGTTGATCTGTACCTCTGCCATATCAGTTATGAAGTATTTTGCATATCCTGCCCACATGTCTGCTCTTTGTCTTCTTCATGATTTCTTTCCTGGTTGCTGCTACTATTCCCTGCTCTCCAGGTACATGAGCTCTCTTTTGGCTTCATTTGTCTCTCCAGCTGGGACCCTCATCATCCAGTCTATCAGTGATTTCCTCACTACCTACTCCATTAGAGGTGTCCTTACTGTCCACTCTATCACCAGTACCCTTGCTAGAGGCGCTAGCTCTGATGTACTTGCTGTCCCCTCTATTGTTGGTGCCCCCCACTGTCTGCTCTATCACTGGGACAGTCACTCACCATTCTGTCAGAGGTGCTCTTTCCATTTGCTCCACTGCCATTGCCCTTGCTGTCCTCTCTGTCCTGGTCCCATCACTGATCACTCGATTGTAGACTCCCTTGCTGTCTGTTCTTTTACTGGCACCCTCATTATGCACTCTATTGTTGGTGCCCTTGCCGTTTACTTTATAATCGGTGCCCCTGCTGGGGCTTGGCATGCTGATCCATATCACAGCCATTACTTATATCTCTTCTTCTGCTCTTGGACTACAGCATGTGACTTTAGTGAGGCCCTTGTTGCCTGGTAGTGCTCCTTGTACTTAATTTTTTCTCTCCCTGTCGAATTCCATATATTTCTCCTTCTAGCTAAAACTTGCATCTGGGTTTCTGACATTGTATTACATACACGGTATGTATTTCATCATCTGAACCATCCTTTCTTTTTCTTCCCAACATGCTCTTCTTTCAGCAGTCTCCCTTTCACTCTGCCTTCTCTGTATATTCCTTGGTAATATCACCTGCTCGTTCAGCTTCTTCAACTTGTACTTTTGTGGATGACTGTAGATCTTTCCTTCTGACCTTGACATATTCTTTCAGCTTATGGTTCCAAATACCCTTGAATATTTTCATATAGTTGAGCATCCCAAATGCTACGAGTGGAATTTCTTATTTCAGATTTATCTTAGTAATTTAAATAATTATGCAAGTCAATAAGATACACCAGGACTTGGATGAGCATCTCAAACTTGGCATACCTAAAACTGGCCTCCTCATCTTTTTCTCAAAAGCAGCAACCTGCTGATTTATTGATTTGTTTACTTATATATTTTTGGCACTGTCAAAGTCAGCTGTACTCAAAACTTTGAAGTATTCCTTCATTTTCCCATTATCTCATTTTACACTTTCAGTCATACCAGTCTCTTCCCTGTTTCTAGTTATTACTCTTCTTTGTAGAATAATGTTGCAGAACAAGCATGGTCCTTAGAACCTGACTTTCAATCCCAGTTTCATCATTTATTTGTGATCCTAGGCAAATCTGAGCTTCAGTTTTCTCAAAATTGATATAGGGCTAGCCACGGTGGCTTATGCTTGTAATCCCAGCATTTTGGAGCAGCCGAGGTGGGAGAATCACGTGAGGCCAGGAGTTTGAGACCAGCCTCAACATAATAAGACAACATAGTGACACCCTGTCTCTACTAAATTTTTTTTAAATTTTAAAAACCAGGTGTGGTGGTGCCGGCCTGTAGTCTTAACTACTCCGGAGGCTGAGATGGGAGGATTGCTTGAGGTCAGGAGTTTGAGGCTGCAGTGAGCTATGATCATGCCATTGCACTGCAGCAATGACCTATCTCTTAAAGCAAGACCTTATCTCTTAAAAAAATAAAAGAGAAAAACAGACATAATCTTTCTTACAAAGTTATTGATCATGTCCATTAAATGCCTGGCACATGGGAGATGCTTGATAGGTTAGTTGCCCTACGCATTCTCTAATTTTCGTTTGTTCTCTTCTCCTGTTCTTTGACCCCAGTATATAATAGCAGCTAGCTGTAATAGCTCACTGTCTCACCTCATGTGAGTCCCTACTCAAATGCCATCTCTTCAGGATCTTCCCTGACTATTCTTCTAAAACAGCAACTCCCATCACTTTATTCTGCTTGCTTACTTTCTCTCTCCTTCCTCCCTTCCTTTCAGAATTAATCAGCCTCCTCCACTATAAATGATCTCCCTGAAGTCAGCGATTTTTGTCTGCTTAATGGCTATATCTCCAGCAGTCAAAACTAGCACACGATAGGCTCTTAGTGAATATTCATAGTTGTTGGATGACTGTGTTAAACATCTGCTGTTTGTCATTCACTGCTCTAAGCACTTTATATGCACCATCACATTTAATCTTCCCAACAATACTGTGAGGCATATTATTATTATCCTTATCCCACAGTTAAGGAGACTGAGGCTTAGTTAATTTACTTGCACATAGTCACACAACTCTGAGCGTGGTTGAAACACTAAGGCTATCCTCAGCTTTGTTATAACTGCTTTTTGTAGGTTGAAGCATATAATAGTGTTGATATTTTATCATTTTGACTGATAAAAAATGGCAGTTTCTTTTGGTTCAACATAATATTTAGTTATCGGTCATTGTGTCTTATATTTTCCTCTACTCAGTAAATTATAAACCCTTTGTGAGTAAGGGTAGGATTTTATAACCCTTGGTACTACTGGCATAGTACCTAATATAACAAAGGGGATATTCAAACATTTGAAAAATGAACAAATAAATAAGTGTTAGTTCTACATTTTATTCTTTACCTTTAGAATATTCCATAAAAATATTAGTTCTTTTACTTTTCACAAATTCTATATAATGACTATTCTGAGGAAAACTGAACATTTGCTGTTATGCAAAACTTAGTTTTTCTAAATAATGTGAAAGAAATGTGAAAGTCAAGTCAGAGTTTTTTCTTTAAAGATATCTGAGTATCTTAAGTATGTGTAAATTTCTCTTTCTGGTTCTTTTCGTGATGCTGACTTCAGATATGAAAGTTTAGGTTTAATTGATTAGTTTTATTACTTGTTAGTTTTTTAATAAAATAACAAATTATACCGTGATTTTTATAAGACTTTAGTAGTTTGTAATTGTTATTTTAACAGTATTTGCAGTTCTCATGGTACATTTAATATTGTCTCTGATGCATTTTAACATCTGCTGATTTTCAGCCCCAGCCGCTCGAAGCTCTGACAGTCGAACAAATTCAAGATGATGTAGAAATAGACTCTGATGGTCACACGGATGCTTTTGTGGTGAGCATCACAAAGGACAGCATTAAATTTCTTAAGGATTTTATCTCAGTCTTGTTTAATAAAATAATGGTGTGTGTGAAACACCATATAACTTGAGATTTTGATGGTGTCTTAAACCTGAGTTTGAAGATAATATTTTTAGTGAGGGATTTCTTTTGTGACGATAACTTTTAAATTACCAAAATCAGAAATACTTTGAGGCCAGGTGCAGTGGCTCACACCTGTAAGCCCGGCACTTTGGAAGGCCGAGGTAGGCTGATCGCTTGAGAGGATAGGAGTTTAAGACCAACCTGGCCAACATGGCAAAAATCCATTTCTATAAAAAAAGAAAAAAAAGGAAAGAAATGCTTTGAAAACACAGTTATTCAGAGGATTTTAGGATTTTAGATATCTAAAGTTTTTTCATACTGTGAATAGAACATGTTAAATATTGTTAATTAAATTAATTTAAAATCTATACTTAATTTTTATGAAATGTTCATCTCTTAATTTATAGGGATCTTGTTTTGAAATGGACATGTATTTGAACAATAGCTTTCCTATTTCCAAATTGGTATCATTTAACTTATAGCCAAAATAATAGTGCTTTCTCCATTCTATGGCTATGAATCTGACTAGAATACCTGTCTGGTAACAAATACTTTGAAACAAAGGTGTGAAATTAGTATAAAATAATTATAAACTACTACTGCCTCAAACTGTATGCATCTGCTGACACATTGAAGTACTTGTTTTGTTTTGCCAGTATCATCTTCTAAACCAAATGTAGGGAAGAAATTGTATAGCTTCTAAGTCATTCTTTTTCTTTTCTTTTTTTCTCTTTTTTACCTGTTTCTTGCCACATGATGATTAAGTCATTCTTTTTTATCTCCTTTCAAGTTAACAGTGCTAATCATACATTACAAAGCACATTTTTTACAACTTAAGGTATAACTCTTGTAGACATGAACAGAGTGAATTCTGCTACCAGCATTGTAGAGATAGGTGAAAAAAACATTACACAGTAACAGAATGTGAAATACATTTAGTTATAAAATCATTCTGCATATTAAGTTCCTTAGCCCACTGATCTATTCGAATATTATATGTCCAGTTTGTGAAATAGAATTTTCTTTGTCTTACAGGCTTATTTTGCTGATGGCAATAAGGTAAGGACATTTATTTTACCTACAGTATATGAAAAAAGTTTCTAAATTCCAACATTTAGCATTCACAAACTTATGTGAAACCTATTTTTTTGTTTTTTTCCTCTTCCTTGCCCACCTTCTCTATTCCCATCTTATCCTCCTGTCTCCCAAAAAGCAACAAGATCGTGAACCTGTATTTTCAGAAGAACTGGGGCTTGCAATAGAGAAATTGAAGGATGGATTCACCCTACAGGGACTTTGGGAAGTAATGAGTTGATTGACCTTGAGTTGAGATGGATTTCTATTAAAGATATCTCTAGTTTAAAGATACTAGTCACCTGCCATAAGTCATGGAATAGTTTTTATATTTACAGCTTTTATATTTAAAACTTGTAAGAGTTTTTTTAATGATTGAGGAAAAAGTCATTTAGAAAACTTCAGTTTTCGGCCAGCGCGTCGAGGGAGGGGCCAGCGACACATGGCCTAGTAACCGTCCGGCCGCGGCGCTGGCTTAAGCCATGGCTGAGGGTAGCTGGATTCCTCAGGCCCGGGCGCTCCTACAGCAGTGCCTGCACGCCCGGCTGCAAATTCGCCCAGCCAATGGGGACGTTGCGGCCCAGTGGGTGGAGGTCCAAAGAGGACTGGTGATCTACGTGTGCTTTTTCAAGGGAGCTGATAAAGAACTTCTTCCCAAAATGGCCGAAGCTGGACTGTACTGCTGCCATCTCTGGCTCACTGCAACCTCCCTGCCTGATTCTCCTGCCTCAGCCTGCCGAGTGCCTGCGATTACAGGCGCGCGCCGCCACACCTGACTGGTTTTCGTATTTTTTTGGTGGAGACGGGGTTTCGCTGTGTTGGCCGGGCTGGTCTCCAGCTCCTAACCGCGAGTGATCCGCCAGCCTCGGCCTCCCGAGGTGCCGGGATTGCAGACGGAGTCTGGTTCACTTAGTGCTCAATGGTGCCCAGGCTGGAGTGCAGTGGCGTGATCTCCGCTCGCTACAACCTCCACCTCCCAGCTGCCTGCCTTGGCCTCCCGAAGTGCCAAGAGTGCAGCCTCTGCCCGGCCGCCACCCCGTCTGGGAAGTGAGGAGCGTCTCTGCCTGGCTGCCCATTGTCTGGGACGTGAGCAGCCCCTCTGCCTGGCTGCCCAGTCTGGAAAGTGAGGAGCGTCTCTGCCCGGCCGCCATCCCATCTAGGAAGTGAGGAGCGCCTCTTCCCACCCGCCATCCCATCTAGGAAGTGAGGAGCTTCTCTGCCTGGCCGCCCATCGTCTGAGATGTGGGGAGCACCTCTGCCCGGCCGCGACCCCATTTGGGAGGTGAGGAGCAACTCTGCCCAGCCGCCCCGTCTGAGAAGTGAGGAGACCCTCCGCCTGGCAACCGCCCCGTCTGATAAGTAAGGAGCCCCTCTGCCCAGCAGCCGCCCCGTCTGAGAAGTGAGGAGCCCCTCTGCCCAGCAGCCACCCTGTCTGGGAAGTGAGGAGCGTCTCCGCCCGGCAGCCACCCAGTCCGGGAGGGAGGTGGGGGGGTCAGTCCCCCGTCCGGCCAGCCGCCCCGTCCGGGAGGTGAGGGGCGCCTCTGCCCAGCTGCCCCTACTGGGAAGTGAGGAGCCCCTCTGCCCCGCCAGCCACCCCGTCCGGGAGGGAGGTGGGGGGGTCAGCCCCCCGCCCGGCCAGCCGCCCCGTCCGGGAGGGAGGTGGGGGATCAGCCCCCCGCCCGGCTAGCCGCCCCGTCCGGGAGGCGAGGGGCGCCTCTGCCCGGCTGCCCCTACTGGGAAGTGAGGAGCCCCTCTGCCCGGCCAGCCGCCCCGTCCAGGAGGGAGGTGGGGGGGTCAGCCCCCCGCCCGGCCAGCCGCCCGGTCCGGGAGGGAGGTGGGGGGGTCAGCCCCCCGCCCGGCCAGCCGCCCCGTCCGGGAGGTTAGGGGCGCCTCTGCCCGGCCGCCCCTACTGGGAAGTGAGGAGCCCCTCTGCCCGGCCACCACCCCGTCTGGGAGGTGTACCCAACAGCTCATTGAGAGCGGGCGATGATGACAGTGGCGGCTTTGTGGAGTGGAGGTGGGGGGAAGGTGGGGAAAAGATTGAGAAATCGGATGGTTGCCGTGTCTGTGTAGAAAGAAGTAGACATGGGAGACTTTTCATTTTGTTCTGTACTAAGAAAAATTCTTACCCTAAAACTTAAAGTATAATAAAAAAAAAAAAACTTCAGTTTTCTAAAAATTATATTTAAAATTGTAATCAAAATGTACCTAGTTTATAAATGTTTATTTTGTACTTAATACCTGTAAAGTCTTAGTTTTCAGACATTAAGTGACTGTATCATGTTCGGTTTAATAAAGAATTTATGCAGCACCATTTAACGTTTTGAAAGTATTATTTAAAAGAAAAAGACTATTCTTACGGAATAATCAAAATTCTGCTTTCTTAATTGTAAAAATCTGGTTTAAATATCCCATGGCTCCTGGCCAGGCATGGTGGCTCGTGCCTATAATCTCAACACTTTGGGAGGCCGAGGCAGGCAGATCACTTGAGGTCAGAAGTTTGAGACTAGCCTGGCCAACATGGTGAGACCCGTCTCTACTAAAAATATAAAAATTAGCTGGGCGTGTGGTGGGCACCTGTAGTCCCAGCTACCTGGGAGGGGCACGAGAATCACTTGGACCTGGGAGGTGGAGGCTGCAGTGAGCCAAGGATCGCACCACTGCACTCCAGCTTGGGCAACAGAGCAAGACTCCATCTCAATAAATAAATAAATAAATAATCACATAGCTCCAAATGTAAACCAACTCTAATACAAATTGTAATCCTTAAACCTGTCATTTTTGTAAAAACTAAAAATTACAACTAACTCTGGAATACATCAACCCCCCCCTTTAAAGTGCTTTGGATGCTATTTTGTAAGAATTTCAATGTAGTTTTGGCAAGAATACATTTACTTTGTAAGAAAATAGCTTTGTTTATTAACTTTCTCTTTGTATTTATTGAAACTTCTTTGAATTTTCAAAAATAGGATATTATTTTTCTCATTTCTTGGTTAGGTAAGACTTGTTGACCTCTCTAGGATCATTCGGTGTTTTTGACCACTGTTTCCGTGTAAAACACATTGTAAGGAATCTTTTTCAAATAATTGAAATTAGCCAAAGGAGCCCTCTTCTTCCAGAGGGAAAAGTATGTAAAAACATTTAAAATAAGATGCAAGTCTGTGTACAACCATAGACATACAGTACAACCAAGTGCTAACCTAAGTTTATTAAAAATCAACAAAAGCTACAAATTGGCTTCTTCATTTAAATGGAAAAGGATTTCTACATTTTAAGGGTTGGAATTATAATAAACCACCTTTAAGACGAGGGGAAAGAATGTATGAAAAATTTGTACTGGTCACAGATAAAATGCTGCCATAACTATTGTTTAAATATTGTTTTTTTCAAGCAAAAGAGACTATAAAATTGCTGACTAGTAAGGAATAATCTCAAATGTCATATGATGTTTGCATCTGACTCATTAATCTTTTCAAATGTTAGATGTTACATGTAGAGAGAAATGAGTCATTTATTGTTTAAACAAGGAAGCAGCTGTTAGTTTTTTCTGGTGTGTTAAAACCTTTAGTGGCATCTATAAATGGAAAAAGAGTCAATGAGCTCTTCTTTCAGCTGTTGTTTTAGCAGCTGACAGTACCATTGACTTCACTGTGATGTAAAATAAAAGAAAAGGCCTTTACTCATGGATAGAGACCTTGAAGTTTAAAAATACATAATTCCTTGATCTGGGGCATTCATTCATTCAACAAATACTTATAAAGCACTCACGAAACCCCTACGCTATAGCATTTGAAAAGAACAGACACTCCCACAATCCCTGTCTTCATGGAATTTGTTTTTGGGGGTATGTGTAAAAATACCAACTTTTGAAATTACAGTATTTCTACAGCCCTACTTGAGTTCAGATAATGTGACAATATGACTGTGTAATAAAGTATTTAATGGGCCCAGTGCGGTGGCTCACACGTGTAATCCCAGCAATTTGGGAGGCCGAGGCAGGCGGATCGCGAGGTCAGCAGTTCGAGACCAGCCTGGCCAACATGATGAAACCCTGTCTCTACTAAAAATACAAAAATTAGCCAGGCATGGTGGCGGGTGCCTGTAATCCCAGCTACTCGGGAGGCTGAGGCAAGAGAATTGCTTGAACCCGGGAGGCAGAAGTTGCAGTGAGCCGAGACTGCGCCATTGTACTCCAGCCTGGGTGACAGAGCGAGACTCTGTCTCAAAAATAAATAAATAAATGAAAGTATTTAATGAAGTATATTATACCATCTATATATAAACAAAGGACCGATTTTCTTTCAAATCATTACTTCTACCTCCATAATTAATATGGTATTCTATTATAATCAACAGCCTACGTTATGTCCCCAGTTATATACTCTTTAAAAAAAGGGGGGGCTGTTCTCTATGACCATTGTAGGAGTTCATCTTGATTTTGCTGTGTTTAGTGATAACATTGTTCTCATGGGGTTATATCTGTTCTATTTTTCACGTTTTATTTAATGAATGATAATTTTTGATATTTAAAATTACAGATTATCTTTTGTGATCTTATTTGAATGTGTGTGGACTTTTTCGTTCCCTAGATTGACTTTTAATTATTTTTTCTGGCTCTGTGATTCCTTTTAACCTTTTGCTTTTATTTTACCTTATTATCGTTTGCCACATTAGATCATTTGTATGACAAGGCAGGATATGAATAAATAATTTTATAATTTAATTCAATATTAATTACAGTTTTTCCATGTAAGAATAATTTGGAATGTTTTAGAAAATTAGCAATTCCTCTGCATTTCTTTTTTCAATTATCATGGCAACATTAAAGGTTTTGTAAAACTAGTACAGAAGTAAACATCTTTAAGTTTACTACTTCTAAAAGAAATATCTATATCCCACTGTTCTGAGTAGAAAGTAAAAATTTGTATGTTAACAATTATTGGAAATGAGATCTTGCTTATGAGTATTCAAATGAACACATCTCATATTCTTGACCTTTGCATCATTAATTCAGAGAGCCAAGTAGCTTGACACTAGAACATATTTAGAGGAGTGACTCATTTTTATGATTCATTTTTCTGTTAATTCAATAAACATTTTCTTGTAGTAGCCTTTATTAGTATATCTTCTAATGTGTTATGTATTTTTAAGCTTTCAACTTCACTTAAATGTCTTGTTTCTTAGCTGTTTCCCTAGTGATTAAAAGTTCCAGTTGTTACTTTCAATCTATAACAGCTGCAAGAACAACTCTTCTTTCCAAGCCAGCTCTCCTAAATTCCCGTTGTTAGAGTTGGTATCTATATTTAGCTAGTGGGATTAAATTGCAAAGGCTTCAAGCTGGGCAAAGCACACTGATCTGCCTTTTTACAGCTAGACCTGTGTGCTGCAAGGAGCTAAGGCCTTCAGTGTCCCCTTCCTTACCCAGGTTTCTCACAGAATGGATTCCCAGCGGGAACTTGCAGAGGAACTGCGGCTTTACCAATCCACCCTTCTTCAGGATGGTCTAAAAGATCTCCTGGATGAGAAAAAATTCATCGATTGCACCCTAAAAGCAGGTGACAAAAGTCTTCCTTGCCACAGATTGATTTTGTCAGCTTGTAGTCCTTACTTCCGTGAGTACTTTTTATCTGAAATTGATGAGGCGAAAAAAAAGGAGGTAGTGCTAGACAATGTGGATCCTGCTATACTTGATTTAATCATCAAATACCTGTACTCTGCCAGTATTGATCTCAATGACGGAAATGTGCAAGATATTTTTGCATTGGCCAGCCGCTTTCAGATCCCCTCAGTGTTTACTGTCTGCGTTTCTTATCTTCAGAAAAGACTTGCTCCTGGTAACTGTCTAGCCATCCTAAGATTAGGACTTCTTCTTGACTGCCCGAGACTCGCCATTTCTGCCCGTGAATTTGTGTCTGATCGCTTTGTACAGATTTGTAAGGAAGAGGACTTTATGCAACTGTCTCCACAGGAACTGATCTCAGTCATTTCAAATGACAGCCTAAATGTAGAAAAAGAAGAAGCAGTATTTGAGGCAGTGATGAAATGGGTGCGAACAGACAAGGAAAACAGGGTTAAAAACCTTAGTGAAGTGTTTGATTGTATCCGTTTTCGCCTTATGACAGAAAAATATTTTAAGGATCATGTTGAGAAAGATGATATAATTAAAAGCAACCCAGACCTCCAGAAAAAAATCAAAGTTCTAAAAGATGCTTTCGCAGGCAAACTCCCAGAACCTAGCAAAAATGCCGCGAAGACTGGGGCTGGTGAGGTGAATGGTGATGTTGGTGATGAAGATTTACTTCCTGGTTACCTGAATGACATTCCCAGGCATGGAATGTTTGTAAAAGACCTCATCCTCTTGGTTAATGACACAGCAGCAGTGGCTTATGACCCCACGGAAAATGAATGCTACCTTACTGCACTGGCTGAGCAGATTCCCAGAAATCATTCCAGCATTGTTACCCAGCAAAATCAGATATATGTGGTAGGAGGACTATATGTGGATGAAGAAAATAAGGATCAACCTCTACAGTCATACTTCTTCCAGGTAAGAAGGACTTTTTGTATATGTAGTTGCTTAAAGGGAAGGCTGTTACTCACCATCCAGTTAGCCAATTTGTGAATTATTCAAGCTGCTTGCATTTTACTCTAATTGATGTCCTATTCCAGTCCCTTGCACTTTTGCTGTATAGAGCGTTGACAGAAAAATATTTGACTGCTTTGTTAATGTGTAATAAAAAGTTTGGTGAATAATGAGGTTCTAATTCATGTTTAATGACTTAAGATGTTCTTTATACTATTTTACCAAAAATGCCTTGTTTATAGATGATCGTGACTGTAATCCCTCAAAGCCCAGTATTTTAGTAAAAACTAAATTTATTTTTTCTTAGCAGAGATGGGCTCTCACTATGTTGCCCCGGCTGGTCTCGAACTCCTGGGCTCAAGCAATACTCCCAGTTTGGCTTCCCAAAGTGCTGGGATTACCGGTGTGAGCCACCACCCCCTGCTGTAAAAACTAAATTTAATCTTGTATACTCTTACCTATTAAAAATAGTTAATGTCTTTCCCCAAATAGTTTCCCTAAATCAAAGTTCTTATCCATTATAAAGAAGTAATAATTGGTCAGATTTTCTTTTTTAATTTCTTTTTCTTCTTCATCTGCTGGCAGCTCTAAATTGGTCAGATTTTCTACCTTCTTCCAAGTTTCCCTGAACTTCATTTGAAGTTCTTGGAGGTAGCACTTCATCTCTTATTTATGGTTACTGCCTAAAATATAATTTTGTTGAAAATGAAAAAAACTTGTATATATATTCCACACACTTTGGATTATCTTCTAGGAAAAACTGTCTACACAAAAGTCGCTAATTTGAATTAATTATAGTTAGAAATTTTTATTATATCACATTTATTTGGATCAGAGATACATTTAGACATTATTAGAACTTAACAATCTGTTTTGTGAAACCACAGAATTTTCCAAGAAAATTAATTCTCCTAAACCAATATACCCTTAGTTGTTTGAAAGGAATTTGTCTTATATTATCAATGTGTTATACTTTATCAGTTTATGAAGGAGTTGGCTTAACCTTTGTCTTCCATAATGCCAATACCGAAACTTTATAGCTTACAACTGGCTCAAAAGAGTTTGTTTAGGTCATAGCTAATCATGGCTGGGGCTTATGGGCACTTTAGTTGGAAAGGCCAAAGATAAGCAAGTATACAATGTCATACCACAGTCACAGTATGCTCTCAAAGTGTGTGATATACTTTGCATTCACAAAATACTATTATACCTTTAATCAACTTTTTCTAATCTTGAAAAATGTAGTTGTGATAATACATATTAATCATGTTTCTTAATTTTCAAAGTTCCAGTGAAGAATGTTATAAGTATTTGAATGTGGGTCAGAAAATTTCCCAAGCCCTAATTTTAAAGTCAAATAAACGTCAAAAGTGGCAAAGTCAATGAAAAAGGCTATAAATACATCCAGGAAGTAAGAATGTTATAAAAACACAGATAGACAGATGACAGACATATAGGTAGATACCTACAAATGACAGATCCACGGAATAGTTGTTGCCATGGAATGATTCTCCAAAATTACTGGAGTTTTAAATTTCATTTCATATTTAATTTATTGAATATATCTATAACACGGTCCTTTTTACTTTCAAGTGTTCAGTTTAATCTTTGTCCTCTTCCAGCCTAATAAAACCCTTACTTTTACTGACGCAGCTTCTCATTTTTGGTTCAAGAAACCTACTTAATGTTCTGTATAACAGAACATTAACAATAACAGTTATACAAAGTTGGAAGGTCAGCAAAGCAAATGCCTTGCTGCTTTTAAAAGGCACTAATAGAACGGTATGCCAGGATAAAAACACTTCACCATAAAAGAGGGTTGTGACTCATCAGACAATATTTACATGAGAATTTCAGGTTTTATATTTTTCTGCTTGGTCACATCTATTTAAAATGCATTAATTTAGGAGTAATTTGACCTTTGATTGTATGCTGTAAATAGATTATGAGAATTTTTTACCTTGGTAAGGGAGGATTTTTTCCCCCACTCATTAATTTGAATTAATAGATTCATCAAATCTTTGAACAGGTCTTAAAGTAATCTAGGTCCAAACCCTAATTTTAACAATGAGGAAAGTTGAACTCAGAGAAGTTAAATAGCTTGATAGTTCCTCTATAAAAGAGACTGGTAGGTAGTCTACTGTTCCATCTGCTAGAGAAAGTGCCCTCTAACAGGTAATATGGGAAGGTAGGCAGTACTGTACAGTATGAGAGTTAAGCCCACAGGTATGGGATTATGATGGCTGCTGTTTCCATTTTTTAAAACCAACTGTGAATGTACATGGCTTGGATTTGAATATCACCTAAAAGTTCTGTGTATTTGGGAAAATTATTTAATCTTCCTGTGCCTCGGTTTCCTCATCTGTAAAATGGGGATGATAGAAATGCCTATCCTGGAGAACTAAATGAGGTTACCTGTGTAAAGCATTTAGTTCAAAGACTATGACAACAGTCAAAACCCCATAAATGTTCATTATTATTTCTACTATATTACATACCACCTTCATGATCAAAGAATTTCTTTCAAAAGTGAAAACATAAGGGATCAAAATCTAGCTGTTGAAATTAGTGAATGCAAAGCTAAGAATGCACATGTGGAGATTAAACTTCTCATGTCATCTAGTCTTAATTAGCGCTTTGTTTAACTGAGGTTACTAGACCACATATAGATAGGCTTCCACAGACACCCCTGTCTATACCACAGCCATTTGTATGCACATCTATTCTTAGTATCCAGTGAAACTGGGTTTTATTCATTTTATTTTTGCAATCTAGAAGTGGTACCAGAGAGAACAACAAATCTGCAACTGTACTCTTGCAGAAAACAGTTTTCTTGTGCCTTAGTGTGCTAAAATGAAAAGTGTAAAATATTTAAATTACCAAAAGTAAGTGATGAAACAGATGCCACCATCATCTACCCCAGGGCATGGGCACAAGGAGATTTTCCTCCTTGGGAAAATCTTAAGCTTGCAGAAGTGGTGGTGACCAAAAATGAGCAGTTACTTATTAATATAAATTTTTTAAAAAAGAGAAGAGTATTTCAAGGGACTCCCAACAACACACTAGGAAATTCACTTTAACGCCTGCCTGTATCAGGAATAATAAAGCAAAACACAGAGAACCTAAAATGTTTTTAAAGAAAGAAAAAAAGATATTGCCCAACATCCCAGTTGTTTGTGGACTGAGTGACAGGTCCAGCTGTCCCAGCTGCCGGCATGGGGAGCATGTTAAATATAGCACGCAGGGGTCATTCACATTCTGTGACCCTCCTTGTTATGACAACCTTTCTTTCCCCAGTGTCCTAAAAGTATGAGGATCTCCTGTTTCAAAGCTGAACAAGGCAATATGGGAGAAAATTTGACAAGAAACCTCACAGTTGTAATTAACCTCTGGTGATTCTATTTTATTTTTTCTTTTCTTGAAGCCTTGAAGATTTTGATATCTTTATCTGGTAGGCCAAGTAGATTTACTCATTCTTCTTGGTAATTATGAGCTACAATGTGATACTTTGGGGTTGTAGTTTTATTTACTTGTGAGATATTTGACTATCTCGATGACTTCTAAACAACATATAAAGTATAACTTTTTTTGGTGTACTTCTAATTTTTTTCTAACAGGCTCCACAATCTCTCATATATGTTTTTTTCAGCTCGATAGCATAGCATCTGAATGGGTTGGACTTCCACCTCTGCCTTCAGCCAGGTGTCTCTTCGGTCTGGGAGAGGTGGATGATAAAATCTATGTAGTTGCAGGCAAAGACCTTCAAACAGAGGCTTCGCTGGATTCAGTATTATGCTATGATCCTGTGTAAGTTGGCATGATATTCCTGTTCCCTAAGCATTCAAGTATATGCGTGCCTACAACATATTCATATTTTCAGAACCTGGAATTTACTGAAGGTATATAAATTCTGTCTCGTTTAATTTTAGGGCTGCAAAATGGAACGAAGTAAAAAAACTCCCTATCAAAGTCTATGGCCATAATGTGATTTCACATAAAGGGATGATATATTGTCTAGGAGGAAAGACAGATGACAAGTAAGTACCCTGAACTCTCATGATTTATGTCTAAATGACTTTTTATTAGAAGGGTTTCTTCCTCTTTTCTTTTCTTTTTTTTTTTTTTTGAGATGGAGCTTCACTCTTGTTGCCCAGGCTGGAGTGCAGTGGTGTGATCTCGGCTCACTGCAACCGCCGCCTCCTGGGTTCAAGCGATTCTCCTGTCTCAGCCTCCTGAGTAGCTGGGATTACAGGCATGCTCCACCACGCCTGGCTAATTTTGTATTTTTAGTAGAGACAGGGTTTCTCCATGTTGGTCAGGCTGGTCTTGAACTCCCGACCTCAGGTGATCTGCCCGCTTCAGCCTCCCAAAGTGCTAGGATTATAGGTGTGAGCCACCACGCCCGGTCTCTTCCTCTTTTCCTTTGGATCTGCACACTAAAATGGGACATGGTTCTCACCTATCATATTGTGGAGGGAAAATCTTAAAATTTCAAGTCGCTGAAGTAAACATGTAGATACTCAGCATACTGCTAGGAATGAGCCTAATACCCCAATCATAAGCATCCTTACAGTCCAGGCAGTATCTAGGAGCATAATCAAGTCCTGTATTTCACTGATTTATAATTGTATTTTACTACATTAAAACCAATGGGTTTTCTTATTCATTTAGCCATAAGTAGATAAAAATTGAAAGGTATCTTTAATGTAGTATTTAAAATATATCTTCTAAGACAACTGTGCATAAAAAATATCATGGATTTGTACTTTACATTCATAAGAGGGACTTTAGATAGGTCAGTTTGAAAGAAAAGCGTGGTGATTGAAAAGAGGGAAGTAAAAAAGACAAAATAAAAACAAAAAATTAAGGCAATTATTTCCTCAGCAGTGTTCTTCCACATATTTACTCCCTGACAGAGGTAATATTCAAAATGGCTTCCAACTGTTCAAAACTGAGCTCCCAGTAGCACCCAGTATCTTGTGAGAAAACCAGGATGAGGTTTCATATATAAACCTAACTTGATTTCCAGTCAATTCTTAAGGAACCTGTAATCAGGAAAGAGATGTTATAACCCAGAGAGAGGAGAAGTGAGCTCCGAATGCTTCAGAGACAGTCAAACCAGTATAACCTGTCTAGTAAAATAAGCATTTTCAGTTTAGATGGTGAGAACTAATATTCTGCCCCTGAAAAATCTGCCTGATTTGGCTTGTCATCATTTGCCCAGGCCATTGAATTAATAGTGATGTCCAACCCTGAAAAGGGAGCCAAAATTTAGAATTGTAAGGGCAAAGCAGGAAAGGAGAGTAAAATATAGAAATGTGTTAGATGTCAAGAACTCTATTCTGGAGTTAATGATTATTGGGTATTAGTCAATTTAAATGGTAAATATAGCACAGAAAAGGCGATTTTAAAAAGCAATGGTTTTTAAACATCTACCTGTATTCAAAGATAACATATTCTAAAATTTTTATATCCTCCCTAATCCCAGCTATTCCTATCAAATTTAAAGGAAGGTATATTATATGCTTACCTGGTGCCAGATCTTATTTTGGGCATTTTTCCTGAGTAAACTGAATGGAAAATCACTACTAAAGAGCATTCTGACTTTGGAAACACAGGAACCCTGCCAAATGATTTAAATTGTTTCCTTCAAGCAGCATTAGTAACTAGGAAATTGATATGTCAGTAAGAAGCATACAGTTCTTGTCAGTAGGAATATATCAATCTTGAGAATATGATTAACTAACACAACACTGCTTGACAAATGTCAAAGTCAAGAACTTTGAAATGAGTCATTATCTAAAAGTAAGTGCTGGGCTGGGTGCAGTGGCTCATGCCTGTAATCCCAGCACTTTGGGAGACCGAGGCAGGTGGATCACCTGAGGTCGGGAATTTGAGACCAGCCTGTCCAACGTGGAGAAACCCCGTCTCTACTAAAAATACAAAATTAACCGGGCGTGGTGCCGTTTGCCTGTAATCCCAGCTACTAGGGAGGCTGAGGCAGGAGAATCACTTGAACCCGGGAGACAGTGAGCTGATATCGCGCCACTGCACTCCAGCCTGGGCAACAAGAGCGAAACTCCGTCTCCAGAAATAAATAAATAAATAAAAGTAAGTGCTGAATTGCACCAGTTCCCACTAATGAATTTGAAGAACGTGATTTTGGATAATGTTCTTATCAAGAAGTGTTCAAATGATACCAATAGTCAAATATTAGAGGAAATGCTTCTACTCCAGATAACTGGTCTTTTACACAATTAAGAAAAAAATTGTCCTCACAAAAAAGTTAAGGTGTTTTTCATCACCAAATATATCCAGTTAATCAATTATTATTTGAAATTCTGAACTCCCATCAAATTATAGATAACTTCAAGGAACCATAAAAAACATACTAAGGGCGGGGCATGGTGGCTCACACCTGTAATCCCAGCACTTTGGGAGGCTGAGGCTGGAGGATCACTTGAGCTCAGGAATTCGAGACCAGCCTGGCCAACATGGCGAAACCCTGTCTCTACCAAGCATACAAAAAACTAGCTGGGTGTGATGGCACATGCCTGTGTTCCCAGCTACCTGGGAAGTTGAGATGGGAGGATCACTTGAGCCCTGGATGCGGAGGTTGCGGTGAGCCAAGATCGCACCACTGCACTCCAGCCTGGGTGGCAGAGTGAATAATAATTCAGATGAGTCCAGGTCTTTCTGGTAGCATTTAGCATGTAAAACTGTTGTCATGATTCATCAGCTCAGATGATTTGTTGTCTAATCCATAGTCCCAGATTTCTTAAAATGCACTGGTATGTTAGTGCTAATATAAAATAAAATGATCTATCATATAAAATTTAAAGTAGGTATATTTGCACCTAATTATTCTTTAAGTTAACTGATTCGTTCCTAGGATATTCAGATAATAAATAAACTTACCATTTGTTATTGAGGTGCAATAAAAGGTTTATGATTTTATTTTTTACTCAAATAGAGTAAAAAAACTTCAATTGAATTTAGTAGATACGATTAAAATCAGCTGTGCCTGGGGTTCTAAGCAGCTATCCAGAAGTAAAGGTACCCTATCTTCCAACAGTAAAATTAAGTTATAGTTTTGGTCCCCACATTTGGGCTTGTCCTTTGTTTAGTGGCATATGTTCAAATTAAGAATTCTTTGGAGTTTTCTGATCCTACTATATATTTTTCATGACAAGCAAAGCCAAATTATTAGTGAAGGTGCTGTCAAAAAAAGGTTCTAAAAGGAACATTTGTTTTTCTGTTTACAGAAAATGTACAAACAGGGTGTTTATCTTCAACCCCAAAAAAGGAGATTGGAAAGATCTGGCTCCAATGAAAATTCCTCGTTCCATGTTTGGAGTAGCAGTCCATAAAGGCAAAATTGTGATTGCAGGAGGTGTCACTGAAGATGGTCTTTCAGCTTCAGTTGAAGCTTTTGACCTTACAACAAATAAGTGAGTTGCCACATCTTAGTATATAGCATGTGAACAACTATACATTTTAATTGTTAACTTTGGATAAAAAGTTATCTTTCTAATTAGGATGTGGGGAGGGGAGGGTACAGAGCCACAGATTACAAAGGAAGTATTTTCATCTGGGTTTCTTTTGTTGTTACTGGATGTAAATCTTGTCTAACATTCTGATGCATTATATGTCTGTAATCTGGAACACATGACCCTTAAGTCAGTGTTGTCATGCTCTATTTGTCCTTGTTATTAACTTTGTGAATTTAGAAATGCAAAGGTAATACTTGTGAATAATTATGATTATTTTTAAGAGACAAGGTCTGGCTCTGTCACCCAGGCTGGAGTGCAGTGGCACAATCATAGCTCACTGCTGCCTCAAACTCCTGGGCTCAGGTGATCCTCTCACCTCAGGCTCCTGAGTAGCTAGGACTACCACTATGCCCAGCTAATTTTTGTTTTTGTTTTTGTTTTTGGTACAGACAGGGTCTCACTATGTTGTCCATACTGGTCTCTAACTCCTGGCCTCAAATGATCCTCTCACGGTGGCCTCCCAAAGTGCTAGGATTATAGGTGTGAGCCAGCACACCTGGCCCTGAATAATTGTCTGTGTAGATGGATATACATGTCTCTGTGGAATCATTTGATTTTAAATGTAGTTTCTTTATGAAAAGATCTTCACTTAACTTGTTAATGATTGATATCTGTAAAGTATGAATGCTTCCCAAGTTTTCATTCCTTTACGCTGTTTATAATTTTATTAAAAATTTCATTTTTAAGCTTTTATTGACTTAATGTGAAAAGATATTTGACAGCTATTCTTCATATAAAATTGGTCTTTTTAAAATTTTTGAGCTCACACATCTGGATGAGTATGTACCTTTTATATTCCTAGTTTAGCAATGAAGAAAAAAGAGAAATATTATTACTTTTTTTAGAAACATGTATGCCTGACTACAAAACAGACTTTAGTATCTGAAAATTACAAGGAACTTTTGTGGAACACTATTTAAATTATCATTAAAAATAATGTTTTCGAAGACTGTAATGTGGGTAAACACTCATGATGTAAGTTAAGAAGCAACACACAAAAATTGTAAATATCTTCTTAGTTTCATTTATATGTATGGAAGCTTAAATGTACATGCTTTTTAAAAAGATGACAAAATTACACCAAATTGTTGCTTGTGATTATGTCTGTAAGGTATGATTATGGAGATATCTGCTCTCTTGTATACCTTTCTGTACTTTCCAGATTTTCTCAAACTTTTTTTTTTTTTTTTTGAGACAGGGTCTCACTGTGTCACACAGGCTGGAGTACAGATTTTCTATAATGTACATATATTATTTTTATAATTAGAAAAAAATCGGCTAATTTTTTGTATTTTTAGTAGAGATGGGGTTTCACCATGTTGGTCAGGCTGGTCTCGAACTCCTTACCTCAGGTGATCCACCCACCTAGGCCTGCCAAAGTGCTAGGATTACAGGCATGAGCCACCGTGCCCGGCCTTAGGGTTGCCATATTGAAGGCTTTATATTTAATGAAGTTACATCTTTCAAATATTTTCTAGTAGCAAACTTAGTCATTTACTTTTAGATGCCTGTGCTCCTTGAATTTTTTTTTCCCCCCTTAAAGACAGGGTTTTGCTCTATCACCCAGGCTGGAATGCAGCAATGCGATCATAGCTCACCGCAGCCTTGACCTCAAGGGCTCAAGAGATCCTCCCAAGTAGCTGGGACTATAGGGACATACCACCAGGCCTAGCTCTGTGTGTGTGTGTGTGTGTGTGTGTGTGTGTGTGTGTGTGTGTGTGTGTGTGTGTGTAGACAGTCCATTTTGTTGCCCAGGCTGGTCTCATACTCCTTGGGCTCAAGCTATCCTCCTGCCTCAGTGTGTGTGTGTGTGTGTGTGTGTGTGTGTGTGTGTATGTGTGTGTGTGTGTGTGGAGGCAGTCCATTTTGTTGCCCAGGCTGGTCGCATACTCCTTGGGCTCAAGCAATCCTCCTGCCTCAGTCTCCCAAAGTGCTGGGATTACGGGCATGAGCCACCGAACCCAGCCGCTACTTGAATATTTATTTTTTATTTAGATGGAGTCTCGCTCTGTTGCCCAGGCTGGAGTACAGTTGCACAATCTCAGCTCACTGCAACCTCCGCCTCCCAGGTTCAAGTGATTCTCCTGCCACAGCCTCCCAAATAGCTGAAATTACAAGTGCGCGCCACCGTGCCTGGCTAATTTTTTGTATTTTTGGTAGAGGTGGGGTTTCACCATGTTGGTCAGGCTGGTCTCAAACTCCTGACCTCAGGTGATCTACCCGTCTCAGCCTCCCAAAGTGCTGGGATTACCGGCATGAGCCACCGCGCCTGGCTGCCTGGCCACTACTTGAATTTTTAAATTATTATTTCCTATAATTATTCAGTAAGTACATCTGGCATTTCTTTAAGTTTTACATTGACTATATTTTTAATGATACCTAGATGGGATGTAATGACCGAATTTCCCCAAGAAAGAAGCTCCATCAGTTTGGTCAGCCTGGCTGGATCTCTGTATGCAATTGGTGGTTTTGCTATGATTCAACTGGAGTCTAAAGAATTTGCACCCACTGAAGTCAATGACATATGGAAGTAAGTTCTCATCACTTCAATTTTCAGAATCACATATTAAATCAGATGACTGATAAACTATTTTGTAGTAAACAATAAGCCAGATTTTCCCAACATGCAAGCTACTTCTTGGTAGTAGACTAAACACTTCAAACCTAATTGAACTTCTGTACATGCCACTTACTTGAACAAGTATCTACTTCTAGTTAGCTCTGAGCCTGAGAAAGAAATCATCTGGGCAGGCCTGTTTCTTACTGTAAAATGAGAGTTGGACCTTTGATACTCTCAGTTTCATTCCAGCTCTAAGAGTATAATGCTATAGGCATCCAGTAGAGTGAAAGCCTCTTTGCTCCAGAGTAGTTTATTTCCTAACAAAACAGAGTTCTAAAAAAAATTTTATGTTTTTTACTTTTTTATTTTTATTTTTTTGAGACAGAGTTTCTGTCACCCAGGCTGGAGTACAATGGCGGGATCTCAGCTCACTGCAACCTCGGCCTCCCAGGTTCAAGTGATTCTCCTGCCTCAGCCTCCCGAGTAGCTGGGATTACAGGCATATCCACCACGCCCAGCTAATTTTTATATTTTTAGTAGAGACGGCATTTCGCCATGTTGGCCAGGCTGGTCTCGAACTCCTGACCTCAGGTGATCCACCCGCCTCAATCTCCCAAAGTGCTAGGATTACAGGCGTGAGCCACGTACCCAGCCTAAAGAAACATTTAACCTCTTGAGCTTTCCACTACTTCATTAGTTCTGTTTTCAATCTAATTTAAACAGCTTTCCAATTGTTTTAGGCTTCAGCTAATAAATGCTTTTTTAAAATGAAAAAAGTCAAAATAGCAATCCATTTTACCTGCCTGGAGGTGCCAGGCAGTTCTCCTAAGTATGACACTTGAAACTGTTACTCAATTGAACATTTTAGTGAGGCTATTAAAAAAAAAGTTTGTTTTTATTTTATTTTGAACTGAGATCGCGCCACTGCACTCCAGCCTCAGCTACAGAGCGAGTCTTAAAAGAAAAAAAAAAAAAGAAAAAAGAAACACAGAATCCCAGACCCTACTGAATGAGAATCTGTATTTTTTAACAAGATTCTTAGGTGAATTGTTTGCACATTTAAGTTTATAAGTACAGCTTTGGAAGAGTGCCATTTATACTTAATCAGTGAAGGCATACCACTAAGCCTGAGAGTGAAAAGTGGGTATTATTTGTTCTATACCTTAACCAGCAGATGCTTTATTCCCAGATGCTGAACTAAAAAGGCTGAAAAGCTGGTACCTTAACCAAACAATGATTTGTGCATTAGACATCATTTCCCCATGTTGTAATATTAACTAGCTGTGTAGAGGGCAAGAAAAAAAGTGGCTATGCAAGGAAATTAACTACTTTCCCTCCTCCCCCCAAAAAAGAGGGAGAAAGAGAAAAAAAATGAGATTTCCACGGAGCAAAGAGGCTAGAATTAGCAAAACAGTGAGATGGGGAAAAGCTGGAAGCAGTAGGAAAAAAGGATGAACTAATGAAGGCCGGGAAGGTTAGGGTTTTTTGGAAAACAGGGCCAGGTACCAAATATATAAATGGGCAGTGATTCTCAACCCTAGCTGTATGTTACAATCATCTGGGATGCTTTTAAAATATACCAGTGTCTGGGCCTTAACACAGACCAATTATATCAAAATTTCTGGAGGTAGAGTTGAGCATCCCTAGTTCCTAAAACCTTCCCAGTGATTTTTTTTTTTTTTTTTTTTTTTTTTTTTTTTGGTGAGACAGAGTCTCACTCTGTCACCCAGGCTGTAGTGCAGTGATGTGATCTTGGCTCATTGCAACCTCCAGCTCCTGGGTTCAAGCGATTCTCCTGCCTCAGGCTCTGGAGCAGCTGGGACTACAGGTGTGCACCACCATGCCCGGCTAATTTTTGTATTTTTAGTAGAGATGGGGTTTCACCATATTGGCCAGGCTGGTCTTGAACTCCTGACCTCAGGTGATCCACCCACCTCAGCCTCCCACAGTGCTGGGATTACAGGCGTCAGCCACCGAGCCCAGCCCCAGATGATTCTAATCAGCAGCCAGGGTTGAGAAACACTGATATTAAGTAATTGTGCTGTCAATCAGTGGGACCTCCCTGAAGCCCTCCTGGTTCCTAAGGGTTATCAAAAGCCATGCTGCCCCTGCAGGGAACAGTTACAGGCAGCAAAAGAAAGTACAGAATCTCCTGCTATAAAAGTGGCCCTGACATTGTTTAGGGAACCTAAAAGAGGGATCCTCTCTGATTGTGGTTTATTTTGCGATTAGAGCAGTGGTTCCCAAAGTTGCCTGCACGTTCGAATCACCAGGGTGCTTCAAAAAATATTAACACCTCTATCCCACTTATATTGACTGCAATTTAATTGGTCTGAAGTATGGCCTGGGCTTTGGAAATTTTAAAAGATCCATGGATGTTTCTATATGTGTAGACAAGTTTGGGAACCACTGGATTGGGTAAAGAGAAGAGGGGGGCATTCATCACTATCTGCTTGGCTATTTTGAGACTGGTATTTCCTAATTTGGGGTAGGATCTGGAGCATGATTCTCAAACTTTGCTGCATATTAGAAACACTTGGGGAGCTTTAAAAAATCCTGATGCCCAGGCCACCCTTCATACCAATTAACTCAATCTCTGAGAGTAGGACCTAGGCATCAGTATCTTTAACATCTCCAGCTGGTTCTATTGGCAATTAAGTTTGAGAACCTGTAATCTACTACAGTGGTTCCCAAAGCAGCATCAGCCTCACCTGGGTACTTATCAGAAAGGCAGATTCTCAGGTCTCACTTCAAATCTGTTAAATTAGAAACTCTGGGGGTGATAGGGCCAGCGATCTGTGTTTGCACAAACCCTCCAGGTGACTTAGATGTGTGTTAAAGTTGAAGGCCGCCGATCTAGAGAAACGTGGCTGCCTATTTGCCCTCAATTTCCTAGTGAACCTCCCTAACCACACATGCAGAGGTGAAAACTCTCAGTATACAACATTCTCAACATAGACCCTCTTACTATACGTAAAAAAAAAATTCCATTCTTGTATTTTTTTCTTGAAATCATTCCATTATTTAGGATTGACCAAGCTGAAAGTAAATATAACTGCCAGGAAGCAAACATTTTTAAACCTCATTTAACCTTAACCTCATATTGTTTAAATGTGGTCACTTTCTTTAGGTCATTTAAAACTATTATTTATCTCTTAATTTGTTGCCCTGAATTTTATGTAATTAAGGTTATTCCCTTTATTAGTAGCAAAATATTTTTTGTATGCTTTCCTCTACATAAAAATCAGTGCATGGTACAATTATTGAGAACTAATTTGGAACATTGATGAAATTAAGTCAGAGCATGTCTTATGTAGGTACAAGCTAATTTTAATAATTATTTTAAATCTCCATTCATCACAGAATGATTTGGGGTAAATCTTTTTTTTTTTTTTTTTTTTTTGAGATGGAGTCTTGCTGTGCAATCTTGACTCACTGCAACCTCCGCCTCCCGGGTTCAAGCAGTTCTCTTGCCTCAGCCTCCGGAGTAGCTAGGATTACAGACGCACACTACCATGCCTGGCTAATTTTTATATTTTTAGTAGAGACGGGGTTTTGCCATATTGGCCGGGCTGGTCTCAAACTCCTGATCTCAGGTGACCTGCCCCCCTCGGCCTCCCAAAGTGCTGGGATCACAGGTGTAAGCCACCACACCTGGCTGATTTGGGGTTGTCTTGTGCCAGGTCTTGACAATTTGTGGAGAGATATTAATATATTATTTGTCCTCAGATGCCTTTGAGGCTTGAGGACATTGATATGGGGGGGGGAATTAAAATGGAGTGATAATTGCTATAATACCATATAAAGGATGATATGAGAAAGAGAAAGCAACAAACTGTGCTTAAGGAAGGTGAGAAAGGTTTCAGAGAGAAGGCGGCATTTAGAAGCTTCCCACACAAAGAAAATATTCCAGGCACCAGGCAGAGCAGACATGTTCAGCACACATCGTACAAGGGAATTCAAGTTATCTGTATCTTTATAACCTTGAATATTCAGAGATGAAGACCAGTTCTTACCTAAGTCAAGTGCAAAGTCTAAGAGTAGTCCTCAAACAGAACAATAAAGGGGAAGGGGAACAAATTTTCATAAAGTGACAGCTGTGTATCAGGTGCCATGCTAGGCACTAGTGTATAGGAACAATTGAAGGCATAATTAAGTCTACCGATAGTCCCTGCTCTTCCTCAGTTCTTTCTCTTAAGCAAGAGTCTGCTTACTTTGACTCAGAGACCAGCCATCTTCATCAATTCAAAGGTGAATGAATGTTTAACTGCTTAGCTATTTATTCCTCTTCTCTGCAGTCTTTGATTCCCAGAGAATGCTGAACTGCCTAGGCATCCAGATTAAATACTGTGGCAGTAGTTCAGGCACATGCTCATCCAGACAATGCATATTTGGGAGATATTTAAGTTCTGTTCTACCAGGCAGGTGCATCTTCTTCTGAGTAAGAGCCACTAGGGTTTTTTCAAAGATCCACATTTGTATTCTGAACACAGGGAAACCTATGGAACTAAAGCTGCTTATTGATTACTTTTTTTTTCCTCCATCAGGTATGAAGATGATAAAAAAGAATGGGCTGGGATGTTGAAGGAAATACGTTATGCTTCAGGAGCTAGTTGCCTAGCAACACGTTTAAATCTCTTCAAACTGTCTAAACTGTGAACAAGGTGACAAAACATAATAGATTGGGAGGTGGTTTGTTTGGTGAATGGGGCTTTAATTTATTCTGTTTTTTAAAAGCTTGTACAGACACTCATGTAGAAATTATTCAAGAAGTTATTGTCTAAGAGATGAGCAGTAGGTAAGAAAACCTCAGTCATTGACTCTTCAATGTAATGATCAGAGTTTAAAACCATTTTCTAATAATAAATTAAATCTTCAGTTGAACAAATTATTTTGTGAATCTGTTTCACTCAATGGATTGTAAAGAAGGCTCCTAAATTTGAGTTGTTTGCTAATCATTTCATTTGCATCATTAGGGTATCCTTAAACTGATTTTCTATTACAATTGGAAGTGGAGAATATGTGCATCTACACTAAAAAAATGTTTAAGATATCAAAAACCTCTCCTCGTGCTTCAAAATGACAGGAATCCTGTGCATTATACTAAGAATTACATGCCATAAGATGACTTCAGAAATCCTACTTCAGAAGTGTAATAAATGGATGGGGAAATCGTTTGATGGGGAAAAGTCTCTTGTAAGTAAAAGTAGTCAAATTCAAATGGCCTTTTCTCTCCATTCTTTTTGCGACACTGGCGTATTATTTGTGGTTTCCAAATCAAATTTTTAAAATTTTAATTTAAAACCAGTAAATCACAGTCTTCAAGCCATTAACTACAGCATCTGTGGCAGGAGGGTGAGGGAGCACCCTTAGGAAATGGATTGATTCTTTAAACTGCTGGGACAGCAGTTGGGGTCAGTGGGTGATGTGGAGGAGGAAGTGTATTCACTGGTTTAAATTTTGGCTACACTCCATGAAAGGGCTACCTATTTGCTAAATTTCTGACAGCAAGGAAGGTGACTGTATTATTTCATTTTCTGGGATGTGATATCCTCCATTCACTGTTCCTTCTTAGTGCATATAGTAAGTTGACTCCTCAATCTGCTCATAACCATCACATTCAACTCTGTGCAAGTCATCAATTAATCATCACTTTTAGCCACACACCAACTTATGAGTCTCACATAGCTTTCATAGACATATATTTGACTTCTATCCTTACCCATATTATTTTCTGAAAAACCTGACTTGGGACTAATTTGGAACATTCATGATTATTTGTCAAGGAGTTGCATAAAGAACAGATCTAAGTGTCCATACACCTTTTTTTCTCTACCATAAATACAGAAATATATTTAACAGAAACAAGTTTTATTTTGGGTATTTAAAGTAGAATCCTGATTACTTTTCTATATTGAAAAATACTTTTCTTAAATTATAGCATGAATACAGAATCATGAAATTCCCAAAGTGGAAAATCCTACAGGTTCTTCAACAAATAAACTGTTAGGAAGAGGAAGGGGCACTTATAAAGACAGACTCAAAAGTGTAGAGGAAGAGGGGGCCACAGGGATAATGGTGTCCGGAAATGTACATCTGGGTGATAAAACTGTAAGAAGTACTTACTATAAAATCAGGATTGAGGTTAATTTTAGGGAGAGAATGCCAATCTACATAGATGTAAAATTAAGTTGTAAAAATAATGCTTCTTCCAGGGTTTGAGGATGATGATGTTCTGGAATCAGATATGGGTGATGGTTGCACAAATATACTAAAAACCACTGAATTATACACTTTTAAAGGGTGAATTTTATAGTATGGGATTTATATCTCAATAAAAAATGCTTTTGTTTATAACAATCTAAGTTATTTAGATAGAAAAATCATCAATCAAAAAATAAGAGTATCTATATAAAGAAAACCATTTGAATCAGATAGCCTAGAGCAAGGGTCCCCACCTGGGCCACATAGCAAGAGGTGAACAGTGGGCAGGCAAGTGAGCATTACCACTTGAGCTCCACCTCCTGTCAGATCAGCAGCTACCTTAGATTCTCATAGGGGGACAAACCCTATTGTGAACTGTACATGCGAGGGAACTAAGTTGCATGCTCCTTATGAGACTCTAACTAATGCCTGATGATCTGAGGGGGAACAGTTTCATCCTGAAATCATACCATCCCCCAACTGCTGTCCATGGAAGAACTGTCTTCCGCAAAAAGGTTAGGGACTGCTGGCCTAGAGAGAGTAGGAGATGTGACAGGTAAAAAGTTAGATCATGTGTAACAACTAGTGAAAGTATACCAGGGTTATTCAATCAAGATTTCCATGTACCACAAGTATATAATGACTAAATTTTTAATGATTTATATCCAAAGGAAACCCTTTATAACCCTCATCAGCCTAATCATTTTATTCTAAAGTTGCATAGTAAAATATTTTAACCTATTCAATGGTCTAGTTCTTGTTATCACTTGCTTGAGAAATGGAACACATTTCATGGAAATTAAACACTGAATTTAGCATTTCCACTAATATGACTATGAGGAAATTCAGAAAGAGGAAGAGACAATGAGAAATCTTTCACTTACTATTCTGATTTTGTTTTTCACAAAACGTTTTGTGAAGTTAATATTCCACAAAATCATTAAGTATTGGAGTTCAAATCATGCAAAGTCATTGGATATTTTAAACATGTACTTCAACTAAGCCTAAGCCAAACATCAGTGAAGCAATTTACATGCAAGACACAAATTTTAAAGCTATGCTTATGATTGAAGGCACTCCAGCTACCAACTTATTTTGAGATAGTATGAATTGAGAAGGTCATGGAGTCAGAAGATAGCCACGGTTCAGATGGTCAATTACCTCCACCACCACCAGGTGGCGTAACTGAGAGTAGTTAGGCTGTGGCCTGCTGAGCACAAAACCATCACTCTTAGAGGAAGGGTTGGGGATTATATCACACAGTAGGCCCTTAGTAACCATTTTATTGAATAAATGTGTTGTAAGACAGGGAGAAGCCATTATTCCCTCAATGTGTAGGATTACACCAGGTCAAGATGGTCCACTCAGCTACTACCCCATTTCTTTGCTTCCATTTAGGAGAAAATGTATCTCCTCCCATTTTCTCTTGAACCAGTCAGGCTTTCACATGCACCACTTCAAAACGACTATTTTCAAAGTACTAATGATTTTCATGTTGCTAAATTTAATAGCCATTTCCCATTTGTCATCTTTCCTGACCTATCAGCAGCATCTGATACAACTACTCACCTCCCCCTTGAAATGCTTTATCCACTTGGCTTCTAGGAAGTATTACTTACCTTCCTTCCTCCTACCTCATTGGCCATCCCTGCTCAGTCTCCTTTCCTGATTCCTCCTCTTCCTCTTAATCTTTTAATGTTGGGGCACTTGAAAACTCAGTCCTCAGACCTCTCCTCCATTCACACTCTTCTCTAATCTCATTTTAAGCGATTTCATCTACTCTCATGGCATTGAATACTGCTGACATTTATACATTTATATCTGGGGCCTGGACCTCTTCCCTGACCTCCAAGCTCATTTACTGAATTCTCTATTTGATATATCCACTTAGATGTTTAAAAGACATCACAAACTCAACATATCTAAAACAAACTTGTGATCAACCCCCACCACCTGCCCCCCATCTTGCTCTTCCTATAGACTATCCCCATCTTAGTTAATGCTAATGACATCCTCTTAGTTGCTTAGGACAAAAACTTAGAATTATCCTTGACTCCTATTTGTCTCATACCTCATATCCAATCAGTGAGCAAATTCTGTTGCCTTTATCTTCAACATACATCCAAAAAATCTGACTACTTCTTATTACCTCCACTGCTACCACTCTCTCCAAGCCACCATCCATTGTTGTCTGGATTATTGCAATGACCTCGTAAAGAGTTTTCTTTCTTACACATTTGCCTCATCGTAGTCTTTTCTTATCTCAACAAGGTAGCCAAAGTAACGCAGTTAAAATGTGAATTCATATCATTCCTTACTTGAAAAGCCCCCAATGGCTTCTCATCTCGCTCAGAGTAGCCAAGAGGTTGTATTTGACTCTGTTATCTCTTATCTTTTCTCTTATACACTCCCACCCCACTCCCCACTTGTTCTGCTCCAGCCACACTGGATCCTTTGTTATTCTCAAACATGCCAGGCATGTTCCCACCTTAGGACATTTGTACCTATTTTTTAATTGAGACAGGCCACTTTATTAAAATAGGTCCAAATGTAACACACGATAACATTCATTTTAAATAAAAACTACAAACATGACTTGACTTCTCCAAATATACATTCTCTCAGGTAGTCCATCCGAGCATCCTTTGTTGACAGTGCCATAGAGTTCCATTCAAACTGGGAAATCTGAAAATAAGTAATGTTGTTTGAATGAAAGTTTTAAAGCAACAACAAAAAACATTGAGGAAGACATATAAGCACTACTGATCAAAGCTGTAGGAATCCTATGAAATTAGTTTACATAAGGATAGCCTGTGAACCTCTACTGGAAGCCAAGTGGGTCCTTCTGACATTGCCTAGAATACTTTTTTCTGCTCCTTTCATCCTCCTTTTCCTACAATACCAATGATGGACATTTTTTCCTACATAGTCTTCTATATTCATACCTAGTTGTTTCCTCTGATAACTCTATCCATCTCTACAGTGCCTCTCTCCTTTGTAAGATATAGAAATCATAAGATATGGATATTCTAAAGACAATAAAATAAATGACAACTTTTATTTATTTATTTTTATGAGACAGGGTCTTGCTCTGTCACCCAGGCTGGAGTGCAGTGGGATGATCACGGCTCACTGCAGCCTCAATCTCCTAGGATCAAGCAATCCTCCCACCTCAGCCACCCAAGTAGCTACAGGCATGAGCTATTGTATCTGGCCTGTTTGAGTGATACATTTTAAAAAATATATTTAAAAAGGTAATTCTGGAACTTTCACATTAAAAGGAAGCACATGTACAGCTAGTGTCTCTGGGCTTTTTAGAGGCTGAATTACATGAGTATTTCATACCTGAATTACACGATACCCCAGAATTTCCAAATGTCGTTTTTTCATAGCAGATTTTCCTTTCATGTGAGGGATATTTCTACAAAGTGCTTTTGAATCCAAAAATTCCAAAGCAATCCTACATAAAATAAAAAAATATTTACTCCTAAAATCAGAATAAGAAACTGAATAATTACAAGCTTTTCAGAAACAAGATTGCATCTTTATAAACTAACAAAAGCCAATGAATATAAATGAGTATATCAAGTTATGTTTCTACTAAGAAATTAGTAATTGATGACAAACCTATTTAGTTACACAAAATTATTGTAAATATTTGTCTGCTTTCATCCATTTTTTTGGTCCAATATATATTTACACATGCCTACTACATGTAAACCACTGTGAGGGGTACAAATATGAAGCAACACAGCTTATAGTCTAACAGAGAACACATGATGTATAGTAAGTTACTGTAATGCAGTGTAGGAAGTGGCTAAGTGCTATGAGAAAAGTAGAGAGGTATGGGAGCGCAAAAGAAGATACTATTTTACTTCCAGTGGAGGACAATTCTTTTAGCACTTTAGTTAGGGAGATTGCTAGGCTTTGGACAGAAGAAGGGAGAACATTAAAGCAGAAAGGAGAGGAAAAGCAAAGTTACAAAGGTGGAATGCATGACATATGAGGAACAGATTCCACTACCTTCAATCCTTGATCACTGACTTCAGTATAGTACACCAAATTTAACATTTAGATATTAATACAATCTAAAACTAAGAAATAAATTACCTTTCAGCCCCTGGTGGCAGCCTTGATCCAACTATTTCGATATTTGATTCCCAGGGCATTTCTGGTAGTTGTCCCAATGCTATATTATGGCTTCCATACGGAAGAGGTTTTTTTCTTTTATCCAAGATACACTCAAAATCTTAAGGAAGCATAGAAACTGGTAGTATGAATTAGGTAAAGTCTTACAGATAAAAGTTTAAGATATATTTGAAATATATATGCATATAATATTTGTACACACACACACTCACAAAAGAATGACGAACCTCTCAGATTATCCAAGTTATTTTTATAAGATCTGGTCCAATGGCACCTCTCTTTGGAAATCAATCAATAAAAAAATCAACCAGAAGAATTACAAAACAATATTAAGTACTAGGCTACATTTAGCGCTGGGCTAGGCCAAATCACATTAAAGAGTTTCAATCTCTTTAAGGCTCTTGATTACATTTGGAGAAAGCTAAACCAACTCATCTGAAAATTAATAAAGAAAAAGATACAAGCATTTATCCTGTCTTTTCTACATGAATTGTACATAAGAGTAACTAAACAGTTGATATGGGAAAGTCCTTTTTAGACAAATTCCAGCTAATAAATGTAGAAGGCATGATAGATGTAGAATATCGCTACTTTACCACCCCTCTGAATGATGGATTTAGGCAATGAGTGATCATTAATAACTGCTAAAATCAGCAGGTGAAAAGCTGACAGGGGAACTTTCTGTTGAATGAATCAGCTGACAACATACGAACCCACTGATGAGTCTTAATGTATAAAAGACAACCAGGCCAGGCACAGTGGCTCACACCTGTAATCCCAGCATTTTGGGAGGCCGAGGCAGGCAGATTGCTTGAGCTCAGGAGTTCCAGACCAGCCTGGGCAACATGGCAAAACCCAATCTCTACAAAAAACTTAAAAAATAAGCCAGGTGTAGTGGTAGCTACTCCGGCTGAGGAGGCTGAGGTGGGCGGATCCCTTGAACCTAGGAGGTCAAGGCTGCAGTAAGCCATGCTTGTGCCACTGCACCTCAGCCTAGGCAGCAGAGCCAGACAAAAAAAAAAAAAAGGAAAGAAAGAAAAAGAAAAAGACAACCAGCCTTGTGTGCCTCCTGAGAGGATGCAGAAAGAAGTACAAGCCACTTATGAAGTTTTTGGCCAAAAAGAAAAACCTAAAAAAAAAACCTAAAATCTAATCAAATCTCTAGATATCACTAATGGTTTACAGCAAACCCAGGTTTACAGTAAAAACATTAAAAACTATCAGATGACATTTTAAATGTTATCACAGGGCTGCAATTAGAAAAGTTCGAAATGTGGAAAAAAAAAACTTATTCTCAAATTTTAAGTTAAAAAAAGAAGTAGGAAAGGAAAAGTTGAACCAAAAACTGCAAACCAACCAAGTGGAATGTTAAGATCCCAATTTGGACAAACTATAAAATAAACATAAAAGACACTTAAAACAGGAAAAGCAAAGGTATAGGGGTGCAGTGCATGAGACGTATGAGGAATAGGTTCCACTGCCTTCAATCCTTCACCATTGAGTTCATTATAGTAGGCCAAATCTAACATTTCGATAAAATGTTAAATTTTATCTAAAATTTCCCATATCTCCCTACTTATGTTACATTTCCCATAATTCCCATAAATGTTCAATTTTATCTAAAATTTCCCATATCTCTCTACTTATGTGACATTTCCCATAATTCTACTACCTTCAATCCTTGATCATTGAGTTCATTATAGTATGCCAAATCTAACATTTCAATAAAATGTTAAATTTTATCTAAAATTTCCCATCTGTCTACTTACGTTAAATTTCCCATATTGCTGAACATTTCTTAAAAGATATTAAGAAATTATTATTAATGGTTATAGGATGATAAAGATGATATTGTTGTTATGTTTTTTAAGTCATTCTTATCTTTTAAATATACTTCCTGAAATGATGTCTGTGATTTGAAAAGAATCAGATGGAACTCTGGTGAAAAACTCAGGCACTGAACCATCTTTAAATTAATTATGAAAGATGAAATATATAGAATTCATTAAGAGAATGAATTCTAGAGCCAGAATGCCAAGCTCAAATCCTGGCTCTGTCATTTGCCAGGTATATAACCTTGGGCAATCAATAATGTTTGTGGACTTTAGTCTCCTCATCTGCAAATAATTTACATACTTCATAGGGATATAAGTTTACTATATGCATACACACACACAAGTACTTACGAAGTACTTAAAATGGTGTCTAACACATAATAAGCAATATATAAAAATAAACCTATTATTGTTGTTATATGAAATTGCAGCATTGTTTGACAGATGGACATACCAGCAAAAAAATCTTACAGATTGATTAAATCATAGCATACTCAATGAAATATGCAGTAACTAAAAAAGATGTTGTATAAGCATATCTGTTGGCATAGAAAAATATTCACAACATATAAAGTTATAAACTGCTATGATCTAAATGTGTCCCCCAAAATTCATCTGTTGAAACATAATCATCAATGTGTTAATAATAATAGTGGGACCTTAGGCCAGGCGTGGTAGCTCACACCTGTTATCCTAGCACTTTAGGAGGCAGAGGCAGGAGGACTGCTTGAGCTCAGGAGTTTAAGACCAGCCTGTGCAACATGGTGAAACCCCATCTCTACAAAAAACACAAAAATTAGCCTGGTGTGGTGGTGTGTGCCTGTAGACCCAGCTACTCAGGAGGCTGAGGTGGGAGAATCACTTGAGCTCTGGAGGCAGAGGTTGCAATGAACCGTGATCATGCCACTGCACTCCTGCACTGCACTCCAACCTGGGTGACAGAACAAGACCCTTTCTCAAAAAAAAAAAAAAAAAAAAAAAAAAAAAAGAGGCAGAACCTTTAGGAGACGATTAAGTCATGAGGGCAGAGCCCTCATTAATAAGATTAGTGACCCTATAAAAGAGCATCCTCTGTTGCCTTCCTGTCCCTTCTGCCATGGGAGGACACAGCATTCAAAGTACCATCTTGGAAGCAGAGGCTAGGTCCTTAGTAGATACCAAACCTGTTGGTATCTCGAGCTTGGACTTCCTAGCCTCCAGAACTGTGAAAAATAAATTTCTGTTGTTTTTTTTTTTTCTTTTTTTTTTTTTTTTGATACAGAGTCTCACTGTCGCTCAGGTTGGAGTGCAGTGGCACGATCCCGGCTCACTGCAACCTCCGTCTCCCGGGTTCAAGCGATTCTCCTGCCTCAGCCTCAGGAGTAGCTGGGATTACAGGCGTGCGCCACCACGCCCAGCTAATTTTGTATATTTAGTAGAGATGGGGTTTCACCATGTTAGCCAGGCTGATCTCGAACTCCCAACCTCAGGTAATCCGCCCGCCTCTGTCTCCCAAAGTGCTGGGATTACAGGCGTGTGCCACTGCGCCCGGCCAAATTTCTGTTGTTTATAAATTAACCAGTCTCAGGTATTTTGTTGTAGCAGCAGAAAAGGACTAAAACACAAACACTACAGAAGAAAACCTTTTTGTCTTTTTTTTTTTTAAGTTAGGAAAACAGACACCAAAAGCAAACAGCGGCTATATCATGGGTAATTTTTCTTTTTTGTTATCTTCCTTTTCTAGTTTTTCTATGTTAAGCATGTCTCATGTAATTTTTTTTTAAGAGATGGGGTTATATTCATATTGTTCTGAAGAAAAAAAGAAAAATATTAAAAAGAGATGGCTTCTCACTATATTGCCCAGGCTGGTATCAAACTTCTGGGCTCAAGTGATCCTCCTACCTCTGTCTCTCAAAGTAGCTAGGATTACAGGCTTGCACTACCATGCCCAGCTTCAATGTTTGTTTTTTGTTTTGTTTTGTTTTGTTTTGTTTTAGAGACAGAGTCTTGCTCTGTCACTGAGGCTAGAGTGCAGTAGCGTGACTGTAACTCACTGTAGACTCAACTCCTGGGTTCAAGAGATTCTCCCACCTCAGCCTCCTAATGGGACTACAGGGGCATGCCACCATGCCTGATAATTATTTATTTATTTAGAGACAGGGTCTTACTATATTGCCCAGGCTGGTCTCAAACTCCTGAGCAATGGGACTAGAGGGGCATACCACCATGCCTGCTATTTATTTATTTATTTATTTATTTATTATTTGTTTATTTATTTATTTAGAGACAGGGTCTAACTACATTGCCCAGGCTGGTCTCAAACTCCTGAGCTCAAGCTATCCTTCCACCTCAGCCTCCCAAAGTGCTGAGACTATGTGTATGAGCATGAGCCACTGTGCCCAGCCAATTTATGGATTTTTGTCACTCATACCCAACTCAATCCTGATTAACATAAAATCAAAGGAAAGTTGTGTTTTATAGCACAAGATGAGAGCATTAATGATTATCTAGTTCACCTTCCTGCCCAGTGCAAAAATCACACACATCTATCATCTGAATACTCAGCCTCTGCCTCAACATTACTTCTTCAGAAAGCAGTCAATAATTCTCATTATACCAAGTTAAAGTCTGCTTCCTTTCATTTTTACCATTTTGTTCATCTTTGAGATAGAGATATCTAGTTCTTCTACTTAACAATCCTTCAAACATTTTAAAACATTATGGTCCCCATAAGACTTCTATTTTTCAGACTAAACATCCTTTTTTTTTTTTTCAAGTAAGATTTATTGGGCTGGGCACAGTGGCTCACACCTGTAATCCCAACACTTTGGGAGGCTAAGCTGAGGCAGGAGGATCGCTTGAGCCCAGGAGTTTGAGACCAGCAACATAGTGAGACCCTGTCTCTATAAAAAAATTAAAATAAAAATAAATTCATTGAGCACTTACTATGTTCCAAGGATAGTGTTAAATGCTTTACATGCAATATCTCAGTTAATCCTATCAAGTAGGCATTATTATCCCCATTTCACTGATGAAGAAGTTAACAAGGTTCAGAAGAACTTGCTCAAGGATTGAAATCCATGCAATCCTAGTCCTCTCTAGTTCTGTCTACGACATGATTAGACAAGATCCTTCACTATCTGTCCTCCTTTGTTTCTAGACCCTAATTGTCACTGTCTCTTAAAAAGGACAACATGCAAAAAATATATATATATATATTAAGGTGTCTAAAAAATAGAATACAATGGGATTACCAACTTTTTTGTTATTATTAACAATATAGTTTAAATAGTATTTGATTTTTGGCTACCATTTACACTGTTAGTTTATACCAAGTTTATAATCCTTTTAAATATCCTGTATATGCAGAGGTTTTCTAAACCTAAATTTAGAAAGTTTATGTTAATTATCTTGAAATTTTATCTTTTTCATTTAAGATCACCACTTGAATGTGGCAATATCTTTGAAAATTTTATATTGCCATCAACGTAAGCTAGTCCACCAGCTTTATGTGATCCACAATTCAATCAGAATGCATTCTACAACTAGACCAGTTGAGAAACAAGATTAATCAGGTTAGCATCAAGCACAGTATCTTTGGAAATCTTTATCCAGGCTGATAGACCAACTTAGTTTTTCAGATGAACTTAAAACAATGAAATAGAAATTAAAGAGTCATTTCCCTTATTTTCACACACTGAATGGAGAGGACAGAATCTTTTGAAGATCCAGAAATGTTCAGTGAATCTGAATCTGGGTTTTACTTAGAATTGGTGGAGGACTGACCTTAATTTTTTTTTTTTTTTTTCTAAAGAATAGAAAACGCTCTTGGTTATCAACACTGGGCCACGGGAACTTGAGGATTTATTCTATTGCTCTTTCTATCTCCGTTTGAAAATTTTAATAATAATAACAACTTGAAAAAAATTCAAAAAACTTTAAAAAATTCCAACTGATAAGATGATTCTATTCAAATTAGTTTGATTTTCTGAAAGTAACTAATAACCTACCCAATAACTTACCTACTTTGTGGTAATAAGGCGTAAGAACCGAGGCTTTTACACAATTGATTCCTCCTAGTACCTCTGCTAACATTTTAAAAATCTGCTGTTGTGTTCCATCCATGCCACCAATACCTTTATAAAAAAATAAATAATTAGTCTACTTAATCTTTTTTTTCTTTTTTTTTTTCCTTTGAGACGGAGTTTTCGCTCTTGTTGCCCAGGCTGGAATGCAACGGCGCGATCTCAGCTCACTGCAACCTCTGCCTCCCCAGTTCAAGCAATTCTCCTGCCTCAGCCTCCCAAGTAGCTGGGATTACAGGCATGTGCCACCACGCCCAGCTAATTTTGTATTTTTGTTAGAGATGGGGTTTCTCCATGTTGGTCAGGCTGGTCTCGAACTCCTGACCTCAGGTGATCTGCCCGCCTTTCAGCCTCCCAAAGTGCTGGGATTACAGGTGTGAGCCACCGCGCCCGGACTTAATCAGTTTTTTAATGAAAATCATCCCAGTTCTACAAACTGAAAAATAAAGATTAATAATTTCAATAAGAGCTTCAATGTAGTGTCTTATATAATGACACTAAATTCAATACAAGTTCTTTGCTCTCAACTAGGAGGGTTATGTCCCAAATATGAAGAAATTCTTATAATGTTTCACCTACAATATCTCATATAAAATATTAAACAGGTCATGGCACTCTTGGGAAGGCTCGTGTCATGTTTAAGTATAACAAGATTAACAATGTACTACCTAATAATTTACTTTAGAATCAAACTTTGCTATCTGACTAAAAGAAAACTCAAACCTTTATTATATTGTTGACAGAAGCGGTCATGAAACCATGGAATCTGAAACTCAGGGCATTCCAAGCAGACTGATCTATTTAACTCCATAAGATGAAACTGGACTCTTGCACTTCGAGATGGAGATAAAACTGAAATTAATAAAATACTAATGAATTTTGATAGCTGAGACCTAGGAAAGACAACCCATTTTTTTCACATTCATTTATCCCCACTATTAGTAGATGCTTTTATTCTAACAGTATTTAGAACTGTTTACATTTCTAATTTACAAATGTATGCTTTATATTTTTAAATTATTACATTCAGTGACATGATTAGGACCAACTCCTGCACTGTTCTCATTAATCATGAACGTTAAAAGTACATTTAAAAAATACTCCCAGCAGGGCACGGTGGCTCATGCCTGTAATCCCAACACTTTGGGAGGCTGAGGTGGGCGGATCACCTGAGGTCGGGAGTTCAAGACCAGCCTGACCAACATGGAGAAACCCCGTCTATACTAAAGGTACAAAATTAGCCAGGCATGGTGGTGCATGCCTGTAATCCCAGCTACTCAGGAGGCCAAGGCAGGAGAATCGCTTGAATCCAGAAGGTGGGGTTTTGGGTAACCAAGATCATGCCATTGCACTCCAGCCTGGGCAACAAGAGCAAAACTCCGTCTCAAAAAAAAAAAAAAAAAAAAAATACTCCCAAGATTTTTCATTCACCTAATATTCCACACTTAGGATTTTATCCTAAGGAAACAATGATTCATGTATAACAAATCATTACTTACAATGATGAGGAATTGGAAACAATCTGTGACAAATTTTATTATATCCATGTAACAGGATATTATGTAGCCAATAAAAAAAGACATCAAAAAATATTTAATAATATGGAAAATTGCTCAAAATATAGTTAGATGGAAAAAGGCAGCATATAAAAGTGAATATATAAATAATCCAAATTTTGTTTTAAAATTCATATAGGGGCCAGGTGTGGGGGCTCATGCCTGTAATCCTACCACTTTGTGAGGCCAAGGTGGGCAGATCACTTGAGGTCAGGAGTTCAACACCAACCTGGCCAACATGGTGAAACCTCGTCTCTACTGAAAACAGAAAAATTAGCCGGGCATGGTGGCACATACTTATAATCCCCGCTACTCGAGAGGCTGAAGCAGGAGGATCAATCACTTGAAATGGGAAGGTGGAGGTTGCAGTGAGCTAAGATTGAGCCACTGCACTCCAGCCTGGGAAACAGAGCAAGACTCCATCTCAAAAAAAAAAAGAAAAAGAAAAAGAAAGAAATGTAAAATAAAATAAGTCTTATAGGGACTGGGTACAGTGGCTCATGCCTGTAATCCCAACACTTTGGGAGGCCAAGGCAAGAGGATCACTTGAGGCCAGGAGTTAGAGACCAGCCTGGGCAACATAGCAAAACTCTGTCTCAAAATATAAAAATAAAAAATTTAACAAATTAAAATTAAATACAGGCTGGGTGTGGGGGCTCACACCTATAATCGCAGCATCTGGGAGGCCAAGGAGGGAGAATCACTTGAGCTCAAGAGTTTGAGACCAGCCTGGGCAATACAGTGAGATCCCAGCTCTTAAAAAAAAAAAATTAGCTGGGCATGGTGACACACGCCTGTGGTCCCAGCTACTTGGAAGGCTGAGGTGGGAGGATCACTTGATCCTGGAGTCCAAGGCTTCAGTGAGCTATGACTGCACCACTGCACTCCAGCCTGGGCAACAGAGTGAGACCCTGTCTCAAAACAAAACAAAAAAACACAGATATATAATCATTCACATAGGAGAAGGAGAAAGACAAAAAAGAAATACTCCAAAACATTAAAAGTGGTAGTTTTACTTGTTAGTAAGATGGGTAATTTTTTATTTTCTATTTTATTCCTGTGTTTTCCAAATTTCTACAATAAGCATGAATACTATTAGAAACAGAAAAAAGTTATTAACATTAAAATTCTTCAGTATAGATAGACCTGAGACTTGGATATAAAGTACAACAGATAATTAAATAAATTAAAAGATAGATACATACTTTCAAGTTGAGAATCCAATCTAGCTAAGAATTTGATGTTAAAAATTGCCTTTAGCAGATCTTCTGGAAAATATTCAAGTGTGGCCAAAGAGAAACCAAGAAACACTAATATAAAAGGATCCAATATACCTAAAAGAAAATTAAGATTTTTTTAAAGGTATAGCTGCCTCACTTATATATACACTTATAATTTATTCAGGCAAACCCAGGTTTTTAAAAAAAAGATACACAGCCTTGACAAAACTAATCTACACTGTTACAAGACAGGATAATGGTTAAGTGGTTACCTTTGGGTGTGAGCCAAGTAGGAAAAGGGGACAAGAGGAGAAGGGTACTGTGATAATACGCTGTGTCTTGATCTCAGTACTGATTCCCTAGGTGATTCAATTTGAATAAATTCACAGTATTATACTAAAGTTATACGAACATTTGTTATTACACTTTAGTAAGAAGTTTTAAAAATAGCCTTGGAAAAAGAATCCAAAACAAAAGGACAGTGGTGCATGTAAAAAGAAGTGATCCCAGTGTTGATGATAATAATACAATAGTGTTCAGAATATGTTACATACCATTCTAAACACTTTAGATATATTAACTCACTTATATCTTATATCAGTAGAAACAATTATCTCCACTTTATAAATAAGCATTAGGAAGCAGAGAGGTTAAATGACTTGCCCAAGATCAGAGTTGGCAGCGGAGAGTAGGGTTTAACCCAGAATGTCCAGCTCTGGAGCCTGGATTATTATACTATGCTGCTCTCTGGGAATCTCAGATCTCCAAGCAGAGTGTACACATGTTTGAGGCTGAGGTCTTGCCTAGCACCTGCTCCTTTACTTGTCACCCAGCAGCATGGCAGATGCCCCACAGTATAAGGCTTCAACTATTTACCTGATTTGCCTCATCCAAGAGACATTTCTAATGTGGCGGAAAGGGTCACCTAAAATGCCTGACTGGCATAGGTATTCTTACTAAGGACAGAAGAGACAACATTAAATCTTTCCTTTTCAATTTTTTCTAAGTTTATTTAATAAAGAAAGACCAGATCATAAATGAAGTTAATAGTGATGATTTCTACCAGCAAAACTAATCTGTCAAAATTCGTCTTTACTCAAAACAATGAAAATTATTACTCCATTAGTTATTTAAAATTTTACTTATAAAGTTCCCTAGGAATTTTTAAAACTTTCTCTGATTAAGTTTTAAAAACTCAAAGCTGTACTTCTCAATCTTTCTTTCCTTATACTCTTTAGCAACAAAATTTTCTAATTTCTAAGACTCTATTTGGAGAACCTGGGAAGAGATGCACTTTCATTTCCTTCTGGTTGTCAACACATGACTGAACAACCAGGAGAATACAGTCTAAGTCTCAATTTAAAGTCTCATCTTTCTACATATAGTTGTGTTACTAAAAAGGGGTATAAATGTATACCATACATGCAACACATTCATATACATATATACATACATATATCCCAGCCTCACGTTGTAGGCTGTGACACAGTAGTATCAGACATGGTTAGATGCTGTCTGGCCCATAGATCCCACAAAAATGTAGCAAAGTCCATTAGCATGATGCAGACACAATTAATATATTTATACTTGCTTCATACCAGCTTCACCAGAGGTCTAAAGATCTATATAAATCCCTAATGTAGAGCCTAACATGTTATGCTGGATATGGAAGCTCTCAGTATCTGTTGCTTGGTAGATAACTGGGTAATTCTTACTCTCCAGGCAGAGCAAAAAGATCTGAGGAAACCAGTCTCTGGCTGTCTCTCCAACTTTATCTCCTACCAACTCGGTCTCCCTCATCTACTCCTGCCACACTGAATCCACTGTTCCTGGAAAAAAACCAAACATGCTCTCACCCGAGGGCCCTTTCCAGTTCCCTTTCTTTCATCCTGGGACTCTCTTCCCTAACTCTTGACATGCATCACTCTCTCAATTCATTTAATCCATGGTTAAATGACATCTCCTCAGAGAGGCAGTCCCTGAATCCCTTATCCAAAATAGCACTCCATCTCACACTTACCATGATGCTCCAGCCTACACACTTACCCTGCTCTAATGTTCTTGAAGGTACTTATCACCATCTGACCTTAGAGCCTTGTTTATTGTTTATGTCAATCTCCCCCTAACAGAAAGTAAACTCGATCATGGTAGTTTATCTGTTTTTACTCTCTCCTGTATCTCCAGCGCCTAGAAGAATACCTGACAGTAAGTACATGGAAAGTGTTGACTGAAAAGGAACGGTTACTGAGCATTTCTCCTCTAAAGCTTCTATATCATACTGACAAGTACATAGTGTGAGTCTGAGAAGAAAAGTCTCATAAAGCTCTAATCCTTCAAGGTCAAACTGTTCCAAACACAACTCAGGACCCAAAATAAAAAGGAAAAGGAAAAGGAAAAAGAAAAAGTAATTTCCTGTCTCTGCTGTCCTCACATATTGCTTCTGCTAAGGCTAACAGCAGGAAGGACTATTTCTATTCTACTTTTTTCTAGTACTGAAATATTACCAAAAGACTTTTCTGGCCAGGTGTGGTGGCACACGCCTGTAATTCCAGCACTTGGGAGGCTAAGGTGGGAGGACCGCTTGAGCCCAGGCATTTGATATCAGCCTGGGCAACGTAGCAAGACCCCATCTCTAAATTTAAAAGATAATTTTTTTAAAGACCTTTTTAAGAGATGCAAAATAATCAGCATAAGAGCAGCAACCCTTCAAACAATTTACAAACATCTATTAAGGTTCTTAAGAAACATTTTTTTACTTTTAAAAAACAATCTGGCAAGACTCCGTCTCAAAAAGAAAACCAAAATCTAAATAGACAGAAACAATCAGACATTATGTGCCTCCAGATGTGATCTAAATATAAGGTATACAGCACTACATACAAGTTATTTTTGCTGCAAATGTTTAATCTGAACCTAACCAAGCATCTATACCTAATTTCTAGTTTACTACAAATGCAGGAGATGGAGAAGCAAGTTACAGGAAAACAATCAGACAAATCCAGAATGTGGCACAATTTATAAGAAATGGCCAATCATTTTATAAAAATAAATATCAAGCAAAAAAGATGGAGGAAAAGACATAACTACTCAATGCTGGTTGTTTAAAAAAAAGTTATAGCCAGGCACGGTGGCTCACATCTGTAATCCCAGCACTTTGGGAGGCTGAGGTGGGTGGATCACCTAAAGTCGGGAGTTCGAGACCAGCCTGACCAACATGGAGAAACCCCGTCTCTACTAAAAATACAAAATTAGCTGGGCGTAGTGGCGCATGCCTGTAATCCCAGCTACTCGGGAGACTGAGGCAGGAGAATCGCTTGAACCTGGGAGGCGGAGGTTGCAGTGAGCCGAGATTGTGCCATTACACTCCAGCCTGGGCAACAAGAGCAAAACTCTGTCTCAAAAAAAAAAGTTATAAAAGATAATTTGGTGACTCGGGAAAATTTGATTACGGACTAGGTAGTAGATGGTACTTGTTCATTTTCTTTGGTACTGGTAATGATACCAGTATTGTAGTTACATAGGAGAACGTCCTTATAACCTGAAGTACACAGAGCTGACAACTGGAAGGTTCATCATACGCATACGCGCTTGTGCACATACACAGAGCAAATGTGGCAAATGTTAATCAATACTCAATCACGACTGTGGGGCTACAGTTCATTATTATACAGTTTATTATTATACAGATGTTTGTTGTATTGTTCAATTTTTCTGTATATTTGAAAACCTGGATAACAAAAAGTTAAGAAAAAAAAAAACCAAGTCAATGCCAAGAAAAGAAAAAAAGGAAACAAAATTCTAAACTATAAGAGACTGAAGAGATAACAACCAAACACAATGAGTGAATACTGGGTGCAAAACAACTACTCTAAAATGTATTTTGGTAACACTTAGGGAGACTGAAACATGAACTGTGTATTAGATATTAGGGGACTATGATTAAGTTTCTTAGGTGTGGCAACAGTATTGTGGTGGTACAGAAGAATGTCATTATTCTTAGGAGATGTATGCTAAAGTAATTAGGGATGGAGGGTCACAATGACTACAACTTTGAAATGGCTCAGAAAAAAATAAGAGAGTCAGAGAAACAAACGGATAAGGCAAACACTGTAAAATGTTAACATTATTGAATCTACACGGTGAGTATATATGTGTTCTTTGTTTAATTCTTTATACAAGTTTGACATTTTTCATAATTAAAATGGATACAAAGTTTTTATAGGGCCGGGCGCAGTGGCTCACACCTGTAATCCCAACACTTTGGGAAGCCTTGGCGGGTGGATCACCTGAGGTCAGGAGTTCCTGACCACCCTGGCCAACATGGTGAAACCCTGTCTGTACTAAAAATGCAAAAAATTAGCCGGGTGTGGTGGCACATGCTTATAGTCCAAGCTACTGGGGTGACTGAGGCAGGAGAATCACTTGAACCCAGGAGACAGAGGTTGCAATGAGCCAAGATCGCACCACTACACTCCAGCCTGGGCGACAGAGCAAGACTCTGTCTCAAAAACAAACAAACAAACAAAAAACCTTTTTTTAGGTAGATAATTCATGTCTATTATGGTTACCCTTTAAATGAGGGACATCTCCTAGCTCAGCAGCAACAAGTATCCTCTGACTTATTCACTCAATGTATTACCAAACAATATACCTACCTAAGTAAGAATTAAGATGTTGCACGCAAGTTCCCAAAAATTCATCCCTTTGAGGTGGATCATAGTTCAATACGCTGAATGGACGAATAATAGCAGGGATTGTAAAAGGATGGATCTGTATAAAAAGAACAAAAAATTTATAGTTTAAACTTTAGGAAAATAAGACAAAATTTTAACCTAATTATTTTTTAGGAGAAATCTTTTCCTATCATCGCTACAGTTAAATAATAAATGTATCACCCTGCTTATTAATTTTTCCATCCTGCTATAATTTATTTAACCCCACCAACATTATTAATAACCCCAAAAGTGTTAATGTAACAAAAAAGAAGTAAATCAGATAATTTACAAATTTATTTTGTTAGGTGTAAAATTCTGTTCTGGCTGGGAGTGGTGGCTCATGCCTGTCATCCCAACACTTTGGATGGCTGAGGTGGGAGGATTGCTTGAGGCCAGGAGTTCGAGATTAGTCAGGGCAACATAGTGAGACCCTGTCTTTATTTAAATTTAAAATAAGTAAATAAATTCTGTTTCAGAATTCATTAGTCACTAAATTGAATAGGAAACAGTATCAGCAATTTCCATGATAATCAGTACATTTTATAGAATAATCATAATTAAAGAAGTTTCTTAAATTATAATCACTAGCATTTATTTTTCTTTCATTTGCTTTTTTATTTCATTTTTCACTCATTCATCCAATACTTAATGACTTCCAGGCACTATACTAAGCAAGTTAAGACAAACTTTTTATTTTCATTTGTGAGAAACACTGTCTTTTAAATAAAGGCCTTGCCCTGATATATTTATGATAGTGATTTTGTAAGTGAGCTGCTTCTCACATAATCCATAAAGCGGCATTTTACAAGTCCCAGAAATAAATCTGCAAGAAGATGCAATGACAGTTTAAGAATATAGTTGCCAATGGATACCTTATAATTTTCTCAGTTTTCAAGCTTATCTCACACTTTTGAATATAATTGTTTTTAAATGGTAAAAATAATACCACACGATTACAGAAATAAGAAAAAGTAAAACCAAAAATCATTCATACTCCACTGTCCTAACATGAGTATCCTCAAAGAATTGATTACTAATCTTAATACTGTAATGAACCAAAGAATGATTGCTGATCTTTCCAAATCTACAATGCCGGAATGAGAAAGTGACTTTAAGGAGAGGAACAACAAATCGCTGAAATAGAAACCAGAGTTTTCTTTGTTTTTCTTAAGAGACAGGGTCTCACTCTGTCACACAGGCTGGAGTGCAGTGGTGCAATCATAGCTCACTGAGCCTTAATTCCTGGGCTCAACCAATCCTCCCACCTCAGCCTCCCAACCGCTGGAATTACAGGCTTGAGCTACCACATCTGACCCAGAATTTATTTAATTTTTAAACCTCAAATTCCAATCCAAGTTCTCAAAGTGCCTATGATAAAAATTATGCTTGCAGAAGTTGACAACTCTATAAAATTAATGTCTACCATTTAAATTTCACCTTTTCAATCTGCTGAACAGCCACTGAGGCTATCCTATCTAGTAGCAAAGTACTGAGGTAATCAGTACTAGAAATAAAAGATGCAATCTCCCCAACATTTATGTAATTAATATCATCCATGAAATGCTGTAAAGTAGCAATCATTTCTTCAAGAAGTGACTCAGGAAACGTGTTTCCTTTGAGAGATTTAAGTTCCTTCCGTAACAGATCCAAACTGTTGCTGTGTTGTAGTCTCTGACGACCATAGTGATCTAATTTTTGAAGTAGTTTCAGTTGTTTCGCAGTCATATTATCCAAATACATGTGATCATGCTGAATCCATCTTAAAACAGATGTGGCAAAACTACTCAGGTTATTTAGGTCACACTGTGGTAAAACGGCTTCAATTCGGGATATCCCCACTTCGTCCAAGTGAGGAGAAGGGAGCAGGGAAATAGCACGGACCAGAACAGACACCTCAGTTGGTATGAAACTATTTTTCAAATAACTGCAAAATGAAAAATGAAAAGAATACATCAGCAACAAACCCAAAATATATATGTATTAAAATATGAATACATATGAGTACAATTAATAGGTAAGATGATGATTCAAAAAAACCTCTTTCAAACTATGTTTCTCCTCTAATCTCAAACCACAACAATCATCAACCACAGAAGACTTCTGTGACCAAATGTGTGGGAGTTCTTCCAAGCAGCGGATACCAACTGGGTGTCCAATTCAGTTCTGACACAATCTACCTGGGGACAGTGTCAGATCCCACAGGTTGGGAACTTGGTCTCTAAGACTAACCTCTCCCACAAAAACCCCAGACTCCACTTGCAAAAGTAGGCCTCCAGAACTTCTGAGCAACCGGCTTCAAGTTGGGTTTCCCATGACCTCCTCTTTGGGTTTGATTAATTTGCTGGAGTGATTCACAGAACTCAGGGAAGCAGTTGTTTATGTTTACAGGTTTATTATAAATGATATTATAAAGAATGCAGATGAAGGGACAGTAGGGTGAGGTATGCGGGAAGGGGTGCAGAGCTTCCATGCCCTCCCTGACCATGCCACCCTCCAGGAACCTCCACGTGTTCGGCTATCCGGAAGCAGTCCAAACCCAGTCTTCTTGGGTTTTTATGAGCTTCGTGACATCAACATTTCCTCACACAGGGTGTAGGGTGGGATCTCTCAGGGGAGCGTCTTAAGACCCACGATCAGAAAGGTGGAGGGAGATTAGAGTCCTGCTTTGGGGCAGGAGAGAGATTCTCTTTCCAGAGGCCTAACATACCCAACATTGTTAACAAAAGGCTATAGCAAGAGCTATAGAAGTTATGAACTAGTAACTAGGACAAAAGCCAATATATATAACATCACAGGTGGGCATAATACAAGTTAATTTAAGAAGAGTTAGATAGGCCAGGCACGGTGGCTCATGTCTGTAATCCCAGCACTTTGGGAGGCCAAGGACAGGGGTTCGAGACCAGTCTGGCCAACATGGTGAAACGCTGTCTCTACTAAAAACACAAAAAAATTAGCTTAGCCAGGCATGGTGATGTGCACCTGTAATCCCAGCTACTCAGGAGGTTGAGGCAGGGGAATCTCTTGAACCAGGGAGGTGGAGGTTGCAGTGAGCCAAGATCGTGCCACTGCACTCCAGCCTGGGCGACAGAGGAAGACTCCATCTCAAAAAAAAAAAAAAAAAAAAAAAAAAAAAAAAGAGTTTGATAAATTCAAAGATGACAGGTCCATAAAGGATTATTCAGGAAAGCCTAAGACTTCCTGATGCCCTCCGTCTCAAAAAAAAAAAAACAAAACAAAAACAAAAAGAAAAGAAAAGAAAAAAAAATCTTTAAGTATAGAAATAGTGGAAGGAATAAAGGAATAAAACAGGAAGACCTGTTCTGAAGCACAGGCCAAAATTTTTTATTCAAAAATAAAACCACAGTCCCAGGGAAACAAAAGGTCCATGTCAGAACAATGTTTCCAGTGCTGTCGCTGAAGAAAGAACTTGGGTTCAATTTCTGATATCACCTGTCAGGCCCTGGCATGCAGTGATCACGTAATAAAATTGGTTCCTTTTTTGTTTCCGATACACAGTCCAACATTTAAAACAAATGAATAAACAAACAACAACAAAAGAAACAGGACATAGTTGACCTCATTCTCTACTTCATTCCGAAATCCCCATGGCAAGAGTCCCACCACCAGGACAATAATTGTTAAAAAAAAAAAAAAAAATTGAAAAACTGGGGCCGGGCATGGTGGCTCACACCTTTAATTCCAGCATTTTGAGAGGCCAAGGCGGGGGATAGCTTGAGCTCAGAAGTTCGAGACTAGCCTGGCCAACATAATGAAACCCCATCTCTACTGAAAATACAAAAAATTAGCCGGGCGTGGTGGCACATGCCTGTAATCCTAGCTACTGGGGAGGCTAAGGCATGAGAATCGCTTGAACCCGGGAGGCGGAGGTTGCAGTGAGCCGAGATCACGCCACTGCACTCCAGCCTGGGTGACAGAGCAAGACTCCGCCTCAAAAAAAAAAAAAAAAAAAAAAAAACTTTAGGTATAGAAGTAGTGGAAGGAATAATACAATCTAAATTAAAACAAAATTGAGGCTGGGCGCGGTAGCTCACTCCTGTAATCCCAGCACTTTGGGAGGCCAAGGCGGGCAGATCACGAGGTCAGGAGATCGAGACCATTCTGGCTAACATGGTGAAACACCGTCTCTACTAAAAATACAAAAAAGAGTTAGCCGGGCATGGTGGTGGGTGCCTGTAGTCCCAGCTACTCAGGAGGCTGAGACAGGAGAATGGCGTGAACCCGGGAGGCGGAGCTTGCAGTGAGCCGAGATGGCACCACTGCACTCCAGCCTGGGCGACAGAGCGAGACTCCATCTCAAAAAATTAAATAAATAGCTGGGCGTGGTGGCTCACGCCTGTAATCCCATCCCTTTGGGAGGCCGAGGTGGGCGGATTACCTGAGGTCGGGAGTTCGAGACCAGCCTAACCAACATGGAAAAACCCCGTCTCTACTAAAAATACAAAAAAGTTAGCCAGGTGGGGTGGCGCATGTAATGCGCTGTAATCCCAGCTACTCGGGCGGCTGAGGCAGGAGAATCGGTTGAACCTGGGAGGCGGAGGTTGCGGTGAGCCGAGATTGTGCCACTGCACTCCAGCCTGGGCAACAAGAGCGAAACTCCATCTCAAAAAAAAATTAAAAATAAAAATAAATAAATAAATACATTGAGTTACTTTTAAAATATTTTTTAAATTAATTTTTTTCTGGAGACAGGGTCTCACTCTGTTGCCCAGGCTAGAGGGCAGTGGCGTAATATAGCTCATTGCAGCCTTGACCTCCTGGGCTCAAGTACTCCTCCTGCCTCAGCCTCTCTACACACTGGGGATATAGGTACATGCCACCACGCCCAGCTAATTTTTTGTTTTTTGTTGTGGAGACAGGGTCTTGCTTTATTGCCCAGGCTGGTCTTGAACTCCTGGGCTCAAACAATCCTCCCAGCTCAGTCTCCCAAAGTCCTGGGATTACAAGCATGAGCCACTATGCCTGGCCATTTAAAATATTTAAATTAGCATACTAAAATAATCGTAATATTAATACTCAGTGTTAGCAAGGGTGTACTGATACAGGCATTCTCATTCACTATTAGTAAACTTAAAAAGTTGGTGTAACTTCCTGGAAAGTAATTTAGCAGTACGGCTTTGAAAACTTTAAAAGTATTTTAATTTTATCATTTGACATGGTCAATCCCTGTCTGGGAAACTAACCTAATAAACTAATATAAAATCCAGGTAAAAGATGTGTGTTGTTATTCATCTTTTTTTTTCTTTTAAGAGGGAGTCTTACGATGTTTCCCAGGCTGATCTCCAACTCTTGGGCTCAAGTGATCCTCCTGCCTCGGCTTCCCAAACATAGCTGGGTGTAGCTGGGATACAGGTGCACACCACCATGCCTTATCATATTTTTTACATGGCTAAAATGTGAAAACAATCTAAATAATGAGGGGGAATAGTAATAAGTGAATTATGGTACAGTCATATGATGGGTATCAACCAGCCATTATAAAAGATTTACAAAAAGTTCTTAATGATGTAGTTCTTAATGATGTACAAGGTAAAATGGCCAAAAACAAACAAACAAAATTGTATGGTCAACTAGGAAAAAAAATACATATATGTAGTATACAACAAGGAAATAAACTATATTGTTGACAGTGGATGAATGAGTTTATGAATAATTTTTATTTTCTTCTTTATATTTTTTTCCTTTCTTTTCTTTTTTAGAGATAGGGTCTCACTCTATAGCCCAGGCTGGAGTGCTGTGGCATGATCATAGTTCACTGTAAGCTTGAGGTCCTGGGCTCAAGTGATCCTCCCGCCTCAGCCTCCTGAGTAGCTAGGACTACAGGCATGAACTACTACACCCTGCTAATTCTTTAGTTTTTTGTAGAGACAGAGGCTTGCTATGTTGAACACACCGGTCTTGAATTCCTGGCCTCAAATGATCCTCCTGCCTCAGCCTCTCAAATATACTTTTTTCTGTTTTCCAAAATTTTCAAAATGATTTTTATATATTTGGCCCAGTGCCTGACACAACCAGGCACTTAGTTAGTACTGCATATTTTATTCTTATAACCACAAAAAATTAATACACTATTTTATATTAAGAAATGAAAGCCTTCAAAAAGCTGCATCATTGTGGAGCTACCAATCTTGAGATACTTTTCTACAAATAAACCCCCAACAGATACAATTTCTCCAACCTCCACTTGGTGTTTTTCCTTGTGATACCTCCTCAATTGTCAAAGCTTAGATATTTGCGTATATTTATTTATAATACCACAACATACCCACCAGAACAGCTCAAATTAAAAAGCATGAGCACTGTCCTGGGTTATAGGGGAAAAAAAGTAAAAAAATATCGAGTGTTGGCACGGATATGGAGCAATAGGAATGTGTACATTCTGTTAGTGGGAGTAGGGATTGGTAAAACCACTTTAGAAAATGTTCAGCAGCATCTACTGAAGATGAGGACATGCATACCCTATGAACCAATGATTACACTCGCTGGCACACAGAAATGAATATGTATGTTCACTAAAAAATATACATGAATTTGTTCATAAACAGTACTGCTGATAATAACCAAAAACTGGAAATAAATCGAATATCCATCAACAATAGAATAAATAAATAAATTTTGTTATATTCTTACAAGAGAATACTATAAGACAAAAGCATAAACAAATCTCATAAACTTAGTATTGAGCAAAAGAAGCCTGACACAAAAGAAATCACACTGACCAGGCGCAGTGGCTCATGCCTGTAACCCCAGCACTTCAGGAGGCCAAGGCAGGCAGATTACTTGAGCACAGGAGTTTGGGACCAGCCTGGGCAACATGGCAAAACCCCATCTCTACTAAAAATACAAAAAGTAGCTGGGTGTGGTAGCACGTGCCTGTAGTCCCAGCTACTCAGGAGGCTGAGGCAGGAGGGTCACTTGAGGTCACTTGAGGTTGCAGTGAGCCGAGATCACGCCACTGTACTCCAGCCTGGGAAAACGAATGAGACCCTATCTCAAAAAATAAAGGAAATCATACTAATGATTCCATTTATATAAAGTATAAAGGCAAAACCAATCCATGCAGTTACAAATAGAGATAGTTAATCTTGGAGGTGAGGACAGGGTAATGAGGAAGGCAAATGTATATTTTATGTAGATTATATTTCAATAAGTTAAAAAACAACAACAGACATTATTCCAGTACATGAAAACTCTGGGTTCTTTGAGCTGTTTCAGGACCTAGGACCTATTTACATAAGAATTTATGTAAATTATTAGTTCAAATAGACTACATTCCTTCTAATATCTACTTCAGATTATCTGCACTGAAGTGGAAGAAGGTAATTCTGAAACATGAAGTGCCTATGATTTTTATATAACAACACCAAACTTTCAAATGTTAGTAACTCAAACACTTTTGATATAATTTTAAACTACAGAGATACATAAAGGCTCTCCTTACTCAGAATTTAATAAGCTTTAACATTATCATACGTGCTTCAAGTCTTTTCATAAAAGCAACAAAACATTACAGGAAAATGAAATCTTCTTTGATGCTCCCACTCCTGCTCTTATTTTTCTGTTAACATACCTAGAAGTATTCATCAGTACTGAATAATTTAATTTTTTTAAAAAACACTGCAATGTATGTTTACAGCAGCACAATTGACAACTGCAAAGATGTTAACCAACCTAAATGCCCATTGACTAATAAGTGCATAAAGAAAATGTGGTAAATATACACCATGGATATCATGGTGTATATTTAATACACCTTTAATCAGCCATTAAAAGGAACACAATAATGTCTTTTCAGCAACTTGGGTGGAGCTGAAGGCCATTATACTAAGTGAAGTAACACAGGAGGGGAAAATAAAAAATTGTATACTTTCACTTACAAGTGGGAGCTAAGCTATGAGTACGCAAAGGCATACAGAGTGATATATAATGGACGTTAGAGACTCAGAAAAGGGAGGTTGGTAGGCAAGCTAGGGACAAAAAAACAACACATTAGGTACTAAGTACATTACTCAGGTGACAGGTGCACTTAAAATCTCAGAATTCACCACTATACAATTCATCCATGTAACAAAAAACCACTTGTACCCCAAAAGCTACTGAAATATTTCTTAAAAACATAAAACATAGGCCAGGTGCAGTGGCTCATGCTTGTAATCCCAGCACTTTCGGAGGCCAAAGCAGGCGGATCACTTGAGGTCAGGAGATCAAGATAAGCCTGGCCAACATGGTGAAACCTAGTCTCTACCAAAAATACAAAAATTAGCCAGGCATGGTGCCTCATGCCTGTAATCTCAGCTACTTGGGAGGCTGACAGGAAAATCGCTTGAACCTGGGAGGCGGAGGTTGCAGTGAGCCGAGATCATGCTCTACTGCAGCCTGGGTGACAGGGCGAGACTGCATCTCAAAAAACAACAAATACAAAAATAAAAATAAATAAAAACATAAAAATATAGAAAATTTTTTAAAAGCATGCAAAAAAAAAAAAAAAAAACCCACTGTGCAGACATAAATCATGCCTGGGCTAGTGTATCATTTCTAATTTAGAACATAAAATTCATAATTGAGAGGTAGTCTATGTGAAATTCTGGACTAAATATGGAAAGGGTGAAGAAACAATAAGCATCTTATCATCTTACCATCTTAAGAAGAAAATTATTTTTCAAGAAAAAGATAAACTTTCTTATAACATCCTAATACGCTAAATTCTCATCTGATAACATGTTATTTCATATTACTCAGTTCAAAACCTTTTTAACCATAATGGCATATCACTTTATTATAATAAAAATCATTTTCAACTATATGCTTGGTCTTTCAGAAATCACAGTAAAAAATCAGGCCGGGCGCAGTGGCTCACGCCTGTAATCCCGGCACTTTGGGAGGCTGAGGCGGGCAGACCACGGGGTCAGAAGATCGAGACCATCCTGGCTAACACAGTGAAACCCCATCTCTACTAAAAAAAAAATACAAAAAATTAGCCGGGTGTGGCGGCGGGCACCTGTAGTCCCAGCTGCTCAGGAGGCTGAGGCAGGAGAATGGCGTGAACCCGGGTGGCAGAGCTTGCAGTGAGCTGAGATCGTGCCACTGCACTCCAGCCTGGGCGACAGAGCGAGACTCCATCTCAAAAAAAATAAATAAATAACGGTAAGAAATCAAACTAGATGGGCATGCTGGTTCAAGCCTGTAAAACCAGCTACTCAGGAGGCTGAGGTGGTAGGATTGCTTGAGCCCGTGAGTTTGAAGATGTGGTAAGCTATGATCATGCCACTGCACTCCAGCTTGGGCAACAAAGTGAGACCCCCATCTCTACAAAAAAAAAAAAAATTAGCCAAGTTTGGTAGCACTACTACTTGGGAGGCTGAGGCGGGAGGATCACTTCAGCCCAGGACTTCGAGGCTACAGCAAGTTATGATTGGCTGCCGTGAGCTATGATTGCACCACTGCACTCCAGCCCAGGGGACAGAGTGAGACCCTGTCTCTAAAAAAAAAAAAAAAAAAAAAAAAAAAAAAAAAAAAGATACATCTGTAGAAAATAAGGTGATTTTAAATTATAAAGGGAAAATTCTACATGAAAACACTTTTTCGCTGGGCATGGTGGCTCACATCTGTAATCCCAACACTTTGGGAGGCTCAGGCAGGTGGATCACCTGAGGTCAGGAGTTCGAAACCAGCCTGACCAATACAGTGAAATCCCATCTCTACTAAAATTACAAAAATTAACAGGGTGTGGTGGTATGTGCCTGTATTCCCAGCTACTCGGGAGGCTGAGGCAGGAGAATTGCTTGAACTGGGGAGGCGGAGGTTGCAGTGAGCCAAGATTGCTCCACTGCACTCCAGCCTGGGCAACAAAGTGAGACTCCATCTCAAAAAAAAAAAGAGGAAAAGAAAATAAAACACTTTTTCCCCAACATCACCATTATGTCTTATTCTCAAAAATTTAATAAGCCTTAAAATAGGCATGAATGCAAGACCGAAAGGCCCTAAATATGAATGCTCCCAAATGGAGTTTAACTTTCGTCAGCAGTCCCAATCTTTTCATGGTGACTCCATTTTGCAGGAAAGGAGAATGGCTTTGCTATTCATCAGTTTATTGCCATTCCTCCCCTAGGGAACTCATCACCCTGCTGGCCTCATTTCCGTTTCAAAATATACCCAGCATGGGCACTGGCAGAATGGCCACGGAGGGAGATAGTGTCTTAACATTTTTACTAATAAGCTTCACAATTTTGCCTCCATAACTTCTAGCACCACTGTACATAGTTAAACAAAACAAATATTGTGGCTAGAAAATGAAACACTAAACAAAATTTCTATTTTAATCTTACCTAAGCAGTAATTCTCTAAGTTTCGCAAAAAACTCCTTCCTTTGGAAATGCAGAAAAGTTAATTCTTGAGTTATCTTCAACAACTCTAATGGTTTATAGCCATCCAAATGTTTATGCAGAACTGAAGTAACTCTAAAAAGGATAGAGCATATATTATAACCAGTTCATTCATTTATTACACATTTACTATGGTGCTTTCACACCAGACACTCCGTTCTGTGCTGGAGAAACGGCAATGAATGAGATGAGATTCTCTATTCTTGAAGAAATGTCTCAAGGTGGCTCTAGAAATGTAAACAACTAAAACAGAATGAAGTAAAAGCAATCAATTAAGTGTGAATGAAATAACATTCACTTATCAATAGTACAAGAAGAGAAAAGCATAGTTTTTCTTCCTCAGTTAAACAAATCTCACACAGCATCAACTTCCACATCCTCCCCATAACAAAATCTTTACCAAGAGTTACCAATAATTAGCAAAACTAATTTAATTTTCTTCCGTAAATCCACTGGCCCTCAAATGAAGATGCTTAAAAGCAAAGGGAAATGCTAAGAGGCAGTAAGTTGGAAAAAAATGGGACAAAGAAATATTAAAATAAAGGAACATATAATAGGTCATGAAAAATTAGGCATGTACAATTAAGCATATGTAAAAATGTAAGTATATATTTTTTCTTCTGAAATCTCAAGTTACCAAAAAGCCAACAAATGGCAGTATGACTTCAAGGTAACATTGTGGTGTGAGACAATTCAAGTTCATATAGACATTGACTGTGCTGCAGAAACTTTCCTTTTGAAAATTACAGCCTTGGTGGTAATTTTGGGAGAACTGCTTGAGCCCAGGAGTTCAAGATCAGACTGGGCAAAATAGTAAGACCCTATCTCTACAAAAAATTTTAAAACTAAGAAAGAAAAGTAAGAAAACAAAAAGAAAAGAAAAAAATAAAAGGAGGGTCTTTATGCTCTCTATTTTACAAGGTTATGATGCTCTGCTTGAGTGTAATAGCACAAATAAAATGAAAAAGCTATAAACAATTGTCATTTCTACTTTGAAAAACAAACCAGCACTTTGGGAGGCTGAGGCGGATGGATTCCTTGAGCCCAGGAGTTGGAGACCAGCCTGGGTAACATGGCAAAACACCATGTCTACAAAAAATACAAAAATTAGTGGGCATGGCGACACGTGCCTGTAGTCCCAGGTACTCAGGAGGCTGAGATGAGAGGATCAATTGAGCCTGGGAGGTGGAGGGTGCAGTGAGTTGTGATGGCACCACTGCACTCTAGCCTCAGCAACAGAGCCATACCCTGTCTCAAAAAAAAAAAACAAAAAAAAAAACGGCCAGGCACAGTGGCTCAACACTTTGGGATGCCGAAGTGAACGGATCACTTGAGGTCAGGAGTTCAAGACCAGCCTGGAGGGCTGGGTGCGGTGGCTCAGGCCTGTAATCCCAGCACTCTGGGAGGTTGAGGTGGGTGGATCACTTGAGGTCAGGAGCTCCAGACCAGCCTGGCCAACACAGTGAAACCCCGCTTCTACTAAAAAATACAAAAATTAGCCAGGCGTGGTGGCACACGCCTGTAATCCGGGCTACTCAGGAGGCTGAGACAGGAGAATCGCTTGAACCCGTCTGGGGCAGAGGTTGCAGTGAGCCGAGATGGCACCACTGCACTCAAGCCTGGGCAACAGAGCAAGACTCTGTCTCAAAAACAAACAAACAAACAAACAAACAAAATTAGCTGGGGCATGGTGGTGGGCGCCTGTAGTCCCAGCTACTCAGGAGGCTGAGGCAAGAGAATTGCTTGAACCAGGGAAGCAGAGGTTGCAGTAAGCAGAGATAGTGCCACTGCACTCCAGCCTGGGCAACAGAGTGAGACTCTGTCTCAAAAAAACAAAAAAAAAAAGAAAAGAAAAACAAAGTAGAACATAAACAGTGGCTTAAGCATTAATTCCTTATTTCTTCAAAACAACTGGTAGATTAAAGAAGAAAACCATTTTTCCTTAGAAAAAAATAGGTGCTTGTGAATGACAACAAACTTAACGTCGTAAATTTCAGAAAAGATACCTTTTAATCAGACATGAGTTTCTGCTTTCCATATCTCCCATTGCTCCCAACACTGCCAGGGCTTGCTCGCCAGTTAGGTCCTCTGACATCAATAACATAGTTGATTTAAGTCTAGAAGCAAAAAAAAAAAAGTTTTTGGTTGAAAGACTGAAAATTAGCTTGCAATTTTTTTTAAATAACAGTTCTTGGGTAACAAATAGGAAAAAAAATATAAACAAAAACTGAATCCAATATATAATTCTAGTGTTCTCCCCACATTACTCGAATATAAAATATTACTGAATAAAGAAAAATATATTGTCTTCTTCAATGAAATTCAGGCCTCATTATAATCCAATCTTAAACTGTTTGAAAAATACAGGTAAAAGATATTTTAAGATTTTCAAATAATACAAGGTTATAATGGTTATAAAATACTATGATTCAGTGAAATTATTCAATACTAGAGAGCTAAGAAATGAACAGTTGATATTCTGACAATTTCCCAAATGTTTTAAAACTGAATAGGAACATCTAGGAGTCAATAAACCTGCATATTATCAGAAATCTCATATACTAAGCACTTGATATAACAGTATAAACTGAAAATTAACAAAGCTGGTCCATTTTGACTATGATTAGTTGTCATTTGAACTATCCAAAGTAGTGCAGTAATGTTAAGTACCATGATACGTGTATTTTTTAGAATCATTTAGAAAGCAAGCTCGAAACGTGACATCTGATAGGATAAACTAATTGTCTATTCACATGGATAACTCCATGCCATCCTTTCCACCAACCTTTTCAAAGGTTTCAAACCCAGTTTCTCCACAAACTTTTCCCAACCACTTCAGTCTATATTTTTCTCTCACTTCTGTCTGCTCACAGCACTATCCATATCACTAATTTTATTGTTTCTTCATAAACTATGTTGTTACAGTATTTACATATTTCAATTATATCTATCCTCTCAATTGCAATATAAATTCCTTGAAGACAGACTCAGTTAAACCCAACTGTTTTATTGCTTTAGCACTGAGATTTTAACAGTACTTGGTGACAAAAAACGGTTCCAATAAAGTTTGTTCGTGTGTGTGTTTCTTCGTCTGTTTTGAGATGGAGTCTCACTCTGTTGCCCAGGCTGGAGTGCAGGAGCATGATAGCTCACTGCAACCTCCGCCTCCCAGGTTCAAGCGATTCTCCTGCCTCAGCCTCCAGAGTAGCTGGGATTAGAGATGCCCACCATTGCACCTGCCATCACTCCCGGCTAATTATTTTTTGTATTTTTTTGTTTGTTTTTTGAGACAGAGTTTCGCTCCTGTTGCCCAGGCTGGAGTGCAATGGCGCAATCCTGGCTCACTGCAACCTCAGTCTCCCAGGTTCAAGCGATTCTCCTGCCTCAGCCTCCCAAGTAGCTGAGATTACAGGTGCCCACCACCACGCCCGGCTAATTTTTTATATTTTTACTAGAAACGGGGTTTCACCATGTTGGCCAGGCTGGTCTCGAACTCCTGACCTCAAGTGATCCAACCGCCTCAGCCTCCCAAGGTGCTGGGATAACAGGCATGAGCCACCACACCCGGCCCTTTTTTTTTGTATTTTTAGTAGAGTCGGGGTTTCACCATGTTGGCCAGGCTGGTCTCAAACTCCCGACTTCAAGTGATCTGCCAGCATTGGCCTCCCAAAGTGCTGAGATTACAGGTGTGAACCACCGTGCTGGGCCCCAATAGTTTTTTTTAATAATCACCTTGTTTCCATCTTGATATAGTCTTAAGATGTGCTCTTAAATTTTTTCATATAATTCAAAGTACTTTTTTTTTTTTTTTGAGTCAGAGTTTCGCTCTTGTTGCCCAGGCTGGAGTGTAATGGCGCGATCTTGGCTTACTGCAACCTGCACCTCCCGGGTTCAAGCGATTCTCCTGCCTCAGCCTCCCGAGTAGCTGGGACTACAGGCGCTGCCATCATGCCCGACTTATCTTGTATTTTTAGTAGAGACGGGGTTCCTCCATGTTGGTCTGGGTGGTCTTGAACTCCCGACCTCAGGTGATCCACCTGCCTTGGCCTCCCAAAGTGCTGGGATTACAGGCATGATCCACCGCACCCAGCCACAAAGTACTCTTAAAAAATAAAACTTTCTCCGTAAAGTTTTCCCTAACAGAGTAATGATACAGATTCCCCTATTGTGCAAGTCTTGGAACCCCTGCTTAAGTGAATCTACTAATCATACTTATGTGTTAGGACTATTATATAAAATTCTTATTTTTTTCTTTTATTTTTTCTTTTGAGACAAGGTTTCATTCTGTGCCCAGGCTGGAATTCAATGGCGCAATGTCAGTTCACTGCAGGCTCAACCTCCTTGGGCTCAGGTGATCCTCATGAGTAGCTGGGAATCTAGGTGGGCACCACCACATCTGGCTAATTTTGTATTTTTTTGTACAGACAAGGTTTCATCATCTTGCCTAGGCTGGTCTCAAATTCCTGGGATCCAGGGATCCACCTGCCTCGGCCTCCCAAAGTGATGGGATTAAAGGCGTGCAACGCCGTGCCCAGCTTGTAATTCTAAATATTTCATACAATTATGCTGGGTGGGGGAAGTTTATGTCTAGTATAAATCCAGTCACATGGCCTAGGAAGAGAAACTCTTATCTATTAACCGTATTTGTATGTTAATTTAATATTTGCTCATCATTATATTTCAAATATTACTACCTACATCAGTATCTAGCAAAACTGGAAATTCCTAAATGAGAGGCGCCACACAAAATTTGCTCAAACCTGACATGGGAACATATGCCCAGTGCATAATAAATGCTTTGATGATTATTGTGATGAAGACAGCAAAGCATAAAATGGCCCTCTGCTATGACTACTATAATTCTAAATATTCCACAGACTTACACTGGGTGGGGGAGTCTTATATGTGTAAATCCAGTCATGTAGCACAAAAGGGAGAATAAAAACACATGGCGTTTCCCCTCATTTTTTTTCATGTTGGCCCAGTATCAGAGGTTTACCTTTCAGAACACAGCAACAGACTAAGAGTTTGAGATGTAAATTAGAATAATCAGAAAAAGAATCAAGGAGCAGAGCATAAGAGATTATTTTCCCTTCCACAACCTAATAGGGTGATATTTGTACCTTCCAGAGCTGCAAGGAGACCTAAGCTTGAAGGCTCCACGTATTCACAACAAAAAAAGTAATGCATTTTAAACTGAACTTACTGTTTCTTTTCTTCAGGTCCTGCAATGGGTCCCAATGCTACAAACAATTTTACAAAGCTAGCAGGATGATTACACAGAGGAATCATTTCAGTTAGCTTCTTTTTAGCCATTATAATAAATTCAAAACTATTAAATTGTAGAAATTTGTATACACTAAGTATTTTACTGATGGAATCCAAATCAAGGTGGTCCACATTACTTAAAAATACGTTATTACATCTTTCTAATAGTGGTTGATAACGATATCTAACATTTCGAAGAAACTTTGCTATGCTTTTTGCAACGTTGACCTCAGAAGAATCTATGGTGTCAAAAAGAAGTTCTGTTTTGTTCACCAGTTGTTGTTGAAAATGTCGTGATATTAAAGAAGATATGTTGACCATCAAGACAGACAAGGAACTGAAAAAGAAAAAAGATGCAAAGATTTTTACATCAATTAAGAATGATCAATTCTTTTTTTTTTTTTTTTTTTTTTTTGTAGAAACAGAGTCTTGCTATGTTGCCAGGGCTGGTCTCAAACTCCTGGGCTTAAGCAATCCTCCCACCTCAGCCTCCCAAAGTGCTGGGATTACAGGCATGAGCCACTGCACCCAGCCACATAAGTGTATTTTTTTTAAAAAAAAGGCAAGGGGCTGGGCATGGTGGCTCATGCCTGTAATCCCAGAACTTTGGGAGGCCGAGGTGGGCAGATCACTTGTGGTCAGGAGTTTGAGACCAGCCTGGCAACATGGTGAAACCCCATCTCCACTAAAAATATAAAAATTAGCTGGATGTGGTGGCGAGCACCTGTAATCCCAGCTACTCAGGAGGCTGAGGCAGGAAAATCGCTTGAACCCAGGAGGCAGAGGTTGCATCATTGCACTCCAGTCAGGGAAACAGAGGGAGACTCCATCTCAAAAGAAAAAAAAAAAGGCAGGGAAGTAGGGTGGAGTGGGGCAAGAAGAGCAGGAAACTACTATAATTTAATTTTACCAAAGTGCTAATCACTTTGTAAATATGAGAGAAAAAGCTGTATCTGAAACGCCAAAGACAATCATAGTACTGGATTATGAAGGTTAGCATTGACAGTAAGTAATCTTATGTTAAAAACAAAACAAACCCTCAAACCACTGGTATGAAAACCAGAGAAACTCCTTAAATGTTAGTTTCAAATTAATAGTTCCTTGACATTCAGCAAATGTAACTATTAACTCTCCTTTATGAAACTGAAAAGAAAGTATTCCCAGATGGAAAGAATAAAAAAGACATAATTGTATGTAAAATTTGTGAATTTGTTTATAAATTAATTATAAATTAATCCATTATAAATTATTAATCTATTATAAATTAATTATTAATCTATTATAAATTAATTATTCATTATAAATTATTTATTAATTTATTGTAAATTATTTATTAATTTATTGTAAATTATTTATTAATTTATTGTAAATTATTTATTAATTTATTGTAAATTATTTATTAATTTATTGTAAAATAATTATTTATTAATTTATTGTAAATTATTTATTATAAATTATTTATTTATTGTAAATCAATTATTTGTTAATTTATTATAAATTAATTATTAATTTATTGTAAATTAATTATTCATTAATTTATTGTAAATTAATTATTCATTAATTTATTGTAAATTAATTATTTATTAATTTATTGTAAATTAATTATTTATTAATTTATTGTAAAATAATTATTTATTAATTTATTGTAAAATAATTATTTATTAATTTATTGTAAATTAATTATTTATTAATTTATTGTAAATTAATTATTTATTAATTTATTTTTTGGTTTTTTTGGATTTTGTTGTTGTTGTTTCAAGTTTTGTTACTGTTTTTTTTTCGTTTTTTGTTATTGTTGTTTTGAGACAGAGTCTTGCTCTGTTGCCCAGGCTGGAGTGCAGTGGCACAATCTCAGGTCACTGCAACCTCCACCTCCCAGGTTCAAGTAATTCCTGTGCCTCAGCCTCCCGAGTAGCTGGGATTACAGGCGCCCGCCACCATGCCCAGCTAATTTTGTATTTTTTGTAGAGATGGGATTTTTGCCATGTTGGCCAGGCTGGTCTCGAACTCCTGACATCAAGTGATCCACCCACTTCGGCCTCCCAAAGTGCTGGGATTACAGGTGTGATCCACCATGCCTGGCCAATGAATTCATACTTAATTTAAATACTTCTTGGGTTTACTTCATGATATAATAATAATACCTACTATCCATTACTGAGAAACTTCTATGTTCTAGATACTTATTCAGAGGCCATTTTCAGTGGGTTTCTGACTGCCTTTGTTCAGAACTATCTTTTCAAGGATGTTTGCATAGCAAACAGCCTAGGAGAATAGAGATAATGTCTCCTGTTGGAGCAGAGTAGGCATGCTTTATTATAAAAGATTCAGGTTTCCTAAGCTCAGAGCTCCTCTCCTGGATCACAACCCATTATGGGAACGAGAGCTCAGGGAATCAACACAAGAAAATTCTGGTACTCTGCTACTGCTATTGCTATAAAAAACAAAGTCCTCTCTCTGACCTCGGAGTCTCAGGCCTTCCTACGGCACACGTAGGAAAATGTGGCAGGCAAACTTAGCTTGCAAATAGGTAAAAACTCAGATCCTCCACAGACCTCAACAATATTGTATTACACTTTATGTACCTTATGTCTAATCCCCACAGCAATATTGCAAAGTAGCTATTACTATCCCTCTTTTGCAGATGAGGATAACGAACTTCCAAGAGCTTAAGTAACCTTAAGTCACATAAACTAAGAGTAGCAAATCTGACTGCATCCACATCCAAAGCCCAGGATCTTTCCACCACAACACAAGATTCCCTAAATAAATTTACCTTAAGTCCTGTGTGGTTTCCAAGTTCCTATGAACAATATCAGCTATTTTTCCCATTAATGGACTAAAATACAAATGCTGATCTGCTAGGCAAGAGGAAAATTCTGAGAGCAGTTTAATATCAAACCTATTAAAGGAAATATACAAAGGAGAACATTAGTATTTACTTTCACTTAAAACACATAATATATAGTTATAAAATTAAAAGCAATCAAAATAGTAAATTACATAAAATTTTTTTTCTAAAATGTTATTATTATAAAAGTAACATGGCAACAGTTAAAAAGTCAGATACTGTAGAAAGGTTTTGAAAGGGGGAAAATCACTAAAAATTATTTGAATGATTTACTTAATTTTTTTAGATGACAGAACAATTTTGACTCAAGGTTGCATATTAACAAATATAATGGCTGCTACTACAACAGTGCTATGAATTTTTTTAATAGGAGAAATAATCCAATTTCTTCAACAAGAAAATGGCAAGACAAAAGAGAGGAAAAAGGAACTGTTATAGATTTTATGACTTTGAATTCACTAAAAAACAAGCATAAGAAAATTCACAGCAACACATATGTAATAGCAAAACCCTGCAAAAAACCCGAATGTCCATCAAGAGTACAATGGATAAACTGCACATACTCATACAATAGAATAAAATTATGGAATCATACAACATAATGGATAAATCCTTAAAACATACTGAGCAAACTAAACTATAAGGGTACATACTATAGGATTCCATTTCTATAGAAACAATTTATGGTGTTAGAGGTCAAGATCCTTTTTGGGTGAGAGGACTAGAAGAGAACATGAAAAGAACTAATGATGTTGTTTCCTTATCTTGGTGCTGTTACATAGCAATGATCAGTATATTAAAATTCATCATGCTGTATGCTTATGACTAGTATAATTTTTATACATTATTTTTCTGTAAAGTTTATTTAAAAAGAAACAAAAAAATTTAAGAGACACAGTAATTGTGAACCTTACTCAGAAACTGATTTAAATAAACTGCCTATAAAAAGACCTTTATAAGACAATCAACAAAATTTGAACACAGACAAGGTACTAGGTAATATCGAAAATTTAAATTTATCAATTTTATTATGTTTTTAAGACACAGTGTCTCACTGTGTTGCCCAGGCTGAACTTGAACATCTAGGCTCAAGTGATCCTCCAACCTCAGCATTTTTATTAAAATTAAAAAAAAAATTTTTTTTGTGGGTACATAGTAGGTACATATATTTATGGGGTACATGAGATATTTTGATACAAGCATGCAACGCAAAATAAACACATCATGAAAAATGGAGTATCCATTCCCTCAGGCATTTATCCTTTGAGTTACAAACAATCCAATTACGTTCTAAGTTACTTTAAAATGTATAATTAAGTTATTATTGACTATAGTCACCCTGTTGTGCTGTCAAATAGTAGGTCTTATTCATTTTATTTTTTTTTACCCATTAACCATCCCCACCTCCCCCACAATCGCCCGTTACCCTTCCCAGCCTCTGGTAACCATCGTTCTGCTCTCTACGTCCATTAGTTCAATTGTTTTGATTTTTAGCTCCCACAAATGAGTGAAAGCATGCGACGTTTATCTTTCTGTGCCTGGCTTATTTCACTTAACATAATAATCTCCAGTTCCACCCATGTTGCAAATGACAGGATATCATTTTTTTTACGGCTGAATATTACCCCATTGTGTATATATACCACATTTTTCTTTTTTTTTTTTTTTTTTGAGACGCAGTTTCGCTCTTGTTGCCCCAGGCTGGAGTGCAATGGCGCGATCTCGGTTCACTGCAACCTCCGCCTCCCAGGTTCAAACAATTCTCCTGCCTCAGCCTCCCGAGTAGCTGGGATTACAGGCATGCACCACCATGCCCAGCTAATTTTGTATTTTTAGTAGAGACAGGGTTTCTCCATGTTGAGGCTGGTCTCGAACTCCTGACCTCAGGTAATCAGCCCGCCTCGGCCTCCGAAAGTGCTGGGATTACAGGCGTGAGCCACCACACCAGGCTTTTTTTTTTTTTTTTTTTTTTTTTTTTTTTGAGAGGGAGTCTCGCTCTGTCACCCAGGCTGGAGTGCAGTGGCGCGATCTCGGCTCACTGTAAGCTCCGCCTCCCGAGTTCACGCCATTCTCCTGCTTCAGCCTCAGGAGTAGCTGGGACTATAGGCGCCCGCCACCACGCCCGGCTAACTTTTTGTATTTTTAGTAGAGACGGAGTTTCACCTTGTTAGCCAGGATGGTCTCGATCTCCTGACCTCATGATCCGCCCGCCTTGTCCTCCCAAAGTGCTGGGATTACAGGCGTGAGCCACCGCGCCCAGCCACCACATTTTCTTTATCCATTCATCTGTTGATGGACACTTATGTTGCTTTCAAATCTTAGCTATTGTATACAGTGCTGCAATAAACGTAAGAGTACAGATATCTCTTCAATATATTGATTTCCTGTCTTTTGGGTATATACCCAGGCAGTGGGATTACTGGATCACATGCTAGCTCAATTTTTAGTTTTTGGGGGAACCTCCAAACTGTTCTCCATAGAGCTTATACTAATTTACATTCCCAAAAACAGTGTGCAGGGTTCCCTTTTCTCCACATCCTTGCCAGCATTTGTTATGGCATGTCTTTTGGATATAAGCCATTTTAACTGTGGTGAGATGATGTCTCATTGTAGTTTTGATTTGCATTTTTCTGATGTTGCACCTTTTCATATGCCTGTTTGCCATTTGCACGGGTCTTTTGAGAAATCTCTACTCAAATCTTTTGCCCATTTTTTGATTGGATTATTAGACTTTTTCCTAATTAGAGTTGTTTGAGCTCCTTATATATTCTGGTTATTAATCCCTTGTCAGATGGGTAGTTTGCCAATATTTTCTACCCTTCTGTGTACTCTCGCTTCACTTTGTTGATTGTATCCTTTGCTGTGCCACCTCAGCCTTCTGAGTAGCTGAAACTACAAGCGTGTGCCACCACGCCCAGCTGGTTCTATATTTTTAAAAAGTCCTTAGAGAAACATACTGAGGTATTTAAAGATGAAATGATATTATTTAAAATATACTGAAGTATACTGAGAGTGGGAGGGGATATAGATAAAACAAGACTGGCTATGTGTTGACAATTGTTGAAGCTGGAGGATGGGTACATGGGAATTCGTTGTACTACTCTTTCTCCTTTTGTAAATGTTAAAAATATTCTATAATAGAAAGTTTTTTAAAAAAAATTTGGATTTCTTGGGAGGCCAAGGTAGGAGGATTCCTTGAGCCCAGGAGTTCAAGACCAACCTGGCAACATGGCGAAATCCCATCTCTACTAAAAATATAAAAATTAGCTGGGCGTGGTGGCATCCACCTGTGGTCCCAGAAACTTGGGAGGCTGAGATAGGACGATGGCTTGAGCCTGGAAGTCTGAGGCTGCAGTGAGCCCTGGTTGTACCACTGTACTCCACCCTGGGTAACAGAGCCAAACCCTATCCCAAAAGAAAAAAATATATATGGATTTCAAATACATGTTAATTATCCTTGCCATGATTCATCATATAGTACTAATCCAGAATAATCTACCCCATTTAAATCATTACAAATTATATTTATAAAACAGGCTGGGCACAGTGGCTCACACCTGTAATCCCAGCACTTTGGGAGGCCAAGGTGGGCAGATCACGAGGTCAGGAGTTTGAGACCAGCCTGGCCAATATGGTGAAACCCTGTCTCTACTAAAAATACAAAAATTAGCTAGGTGTGGTGGCAGGTGCCTGTAGTCCCAGCTACTTGGGAGGTTGAGGCAGGACAATCACTTGAACCCAGGAGGCGGAGCTTGCAGTGAGCTGAGATCACACCACTACGCTCCCGCCTGGGCAACAGAGCGAGACTCTGTCTCAAAAAAAAAAAAACATAAGTTTATAGATATTTTAGCAAGATCATTGTACTTCTGAGTTATTTTGAAATAAAGAAAAATTTAAAAGAAATGCTTGATTCACTATAAAATACAATCATACATGTAATTTAATTAATACAGTAATTATAAAACACAAAAGACCACCTATTTTACAAGTGATTTGTTCAAGCTGCATAATACACATAACGTATCCTTGCTTTGAAGAGAAATAAAATGTTGTGACCTATTATCAACAAATCTAACCCCAAAGATCCAGTAAATAGATAATTTGTACTGTTAGCAAAAGGAATAAGATTACTCTGCTTACCCTCAATATACTTATAGGTAGAGAGTATAAAAGAAGACAGATGGGTTTAGCTAATAAGATTAACTTAAAATCACAACTTAGTAGATTAATACAGAATTTCTAAATCTGGAGAACTGTTCTGTCCCTTAATTTAATCCAGCCCATGTAATAAAGGCCTACAGAGTTTACCAATATATAAGTATTTATTATAGTTTAAGCTTTAAGAGGCAATATGTTAAAAATATTTTAAAAATCAGAATGGTCGCTCCTCTCTGTCTACAAATAAATAGCCTGTTGTTTCTCCTTCATCTTAGTCAAGACTTTCCTGTCTGGTTTCCATTTGATTTAGAGGGAGAGTTGCTCTGTAGTTTTTAATATCCTCCTATCTCTTCCTCACCCTGATTTTTTTCTTTCCTCCCTAACATTTGCCTTATTCCACTAACAATAGACTACAATCATCCAGAGTTCCTAGATTAAAAAATTCAAAGTTTTCAGAAATAGATGAAGATTTCCCAAAATGAGTCTGCTATTATCTCAGCCCTTTTATAAATAAAGAGCTTCTGATATATAATTAGAGAATAAATTTCTCTGTACTCACAAGATTTCCCATTTTTCTGAATGATTATCAAGTAAGGCAACATGCTGAAAATAGAGCTGTGTACAATATAGGAAATATATCTGAATTAATACTGTCCACAGCAGTGGACCTGAAACTCACTTTCTTTAAAAAGCTTCTAAGTCACCTATAAGCTCTGGTCATTGCCTCTCCTTAAAAATGGAGTAACAGACAAGTAGCTACAGATGCTCCTAAACAGTGTTAAATGGCCTTCCTCTCTAATAAACTAGGGTCTCTTTTTTTCTCCTTTCCTGGCTCCTGCACTTCTAGGTTTTTATTGATAGCCAATTAATCAAGAATCTTTCCTTTCTGAAGTATTCTTCTAGAAAAGAAGATTCAAAAAGGCTAGTTCATGAATAGCTGTGACTCTATCTTATTTATATTTCAACTAATTACATGTGTGGAAAAGTATACTATTCCCCACTCTTAAAGAGGAAAAATATGAAATACTTTCTTTTCTCTCTTAAAGAATACACAGCCAGGCATGGTGGCTCATGCATATAAACCCAGCACTTTGTGAGGCCAAGGAGGAAGTATTGCTTGAGCCCAAGAGTTCAAAACCAGCCTGGGCAACATGTCAAGACCCTGTCCATTAAAAAAAAAAAAAAAAAAAAAAAAAAAAGAGAGACAGAAAAAGAGAGAAGAAAAAGAAAGAAAGAAAAGAAAAGAAAAAAGAAAAGACATGGCTGGGAGCGGTGGCTCACGCCTATAATCCCAGTACTCTGGGAGGCTGAGGCAGGTGGATCACGAGGTCAGGAGTTCAAGACCAGCCTGGCCAAGATGGTGAAACCCCATCTCTACTAAAAATACAAACAATTAGCCCTGAGTCATGGTGGGTGCCTATAATCCCAGCTACTTAGGAGGCTGAGGCAGAGAATTGCTTGAACCCAGGAGGCAGAGGTTGCAGTGAGCTGAGACCACGCCACTGCACTCCAGCCTGGGCGACAGAGTGAGACTCCATCTCAAAAAAAAAAAAAAAAACAACAACACATTACACAATCAAAAACTTTAAAACTAAACTGAGTTTAAATACATTTTTTTCAGTGAAGCTTGACAGGCATCAGTTCCCTGTTCTTTCCCTTCAAGATTTCACTCTGTTAACCCTGAAAAGAATAACCCTGATCTTCAAGATGAACCCAGGGTACTTGCCTTTCTAGCCTTCTCCATGCTTCTGTAACTAGTGCTTCAACTAGCGGGTCATGGGCCTCACCAGCAAACCTTAATAAAAAAGAAAGAATCCTCCATACATAATCATTTTAAAATCATTAAAAACATATGCAATACGAATGATAATGCAAAAGTGAAACTCAAGTTATTTTCCTCTTATACAGGCAGTCCTTATTTCTGGTCCACTCTTATTTCAATATTCTGATTTTTTGGTACAGCCTAATAAACATCTATACTTTATCCCATGCCCTCTCACCCTTTTATCTGCTTATTTCAATACCCATGCTACTGACCAATGATAATGTTCAACAATATATTTATGTTAAAAGTACATATAATATGTCTTTGTTCTGATTTAAATACTTTTGATCAGGCATGGTGGCTCACACCTGTAATCCCAGCACTTTAGCAGGCTGAGGCGGGCGGATCACTTAAGGTCAGGAGTTCGAGACCAGCCTGGGCAACATGGTGAAACCCCGTCTCTACTAAAAATACAAAAATTAGCTGGGCGTGGTGGCATGTGCCTTTAATCCCAGCTACTCAGGAGGCTACGGCAGGAAAATTGCTTGAACCCTGGAGGTAGAGGTTGCAGAGAGCCGAGACTGCACCACTGCACTCCAGCCTCGGTGACAGAGTGAGACTCCACCTCATAAATAAATAAATAAAATATTTTTATAAGAAAATGTTTGTAAAAAAATTAAAAAGCTAATAGTCACCAATCACCTTATTCACAAAACTTTAAGCATCCCCTTCAAGTACCTCAGAGAAAACAACTTTGTAACCTGAGAAAGGCCACCAAAAAACATGGAATCATCCTTTTTCAGTTTAACATCAATCCCCAATATAAGCCCCAAGCCCCTTTCCTATAAATGCCAATTCTCTTACAAAAACAACTTACACGTCTCTAACTTACGTAATGCTGATATTTACAGCCATTTAAATAACCCCTGAAGGTTGGGTCATCATGTGAGAAAACTGCTCTTTTTCATCAGTGAGACTAATAAACAGATTAGGTGTAACTTTTTTGTTTTTTCCCCCTTGTACAACTGCTGAAGCCTTCATTCAGGGAACCCAGTTCTTTTGAAGGCTGGATTTCCTTGCAAACAACATATTTCTTTTTATTTTTTTTCCTTTTTTCTTTGCTCTCTTCATTTTTTCTTCACAAATCCCAAAACTGGAATGTAATATTTCTTAACATTTATCTCTGAGTTTTTCCACTGACACCAAGGAAGCCCTTCTTTACGTAATACCTATCAACCATCCACATAATTTGTATAACATTGTTATCAAATATAAATGAATCTACAAAATCATTTTATTTCTTTTTCCTTTTAAGGGCTATTATTGAGAAACAACCTATTGTACCAATACCCCCTAGAAAACATATGTGCCGTCCATTTAATTACAATAACGAGATTGCAAACAAGTTATCACAGACAAAATTTACTAATTGCTGATTGTTATTAGGCATTACTTTTTTTTTTTTTTTTTGGAGACAGCGTCTCACTCTGTCGCCCAGAATGGAGTAGAGTAGCATGATCTGTGCTCACTGCAACCTCTACCACGTGAATTCAAGAGATTCTCCTGCCTCAGCCTCCAGAGTAGCTGGGATTCCAGGTGCCTGCCATCACGCCCAGCTAATTTTTGTATTTTTAGTAGAGGCAGGGTTTCACCATGTTGGCCAGGCTGGTCTTGAACTCCTGACCTCAGGTGATCCACCCACCTCAGCCTCCCAAAGTGCTGGGATTACAAGTGTGAGTCACCACACCCGACTGGCATTAATCTTAAATCTAACTGCTTACCTACTATATCCTCATCTGCAGCCAACCACATTTTCACAAAACTCCACAATAATCCAATTTCAAATGCCCACAGTTAACAATAGTATTACAGTTGTTAAAGGAGAATTGCTTGAACCTGGGAGGCGGAGGTTGCAGTGAGCCAAGATTGTGCCACTGTACTCCAGCCTGGTGACAGAGCAAGACTCCGCCTCAAAACAAAACAAAACAAAACAAAAAAATTAGATTATCAGGAAAACTACTGGTGAAAAAAATTATTTTTCATTTTGAAGAGATTTTTAGACCTGGCACAGTGGCTCACGCCTGTAATCCCAGCATTTTGGGAGGCCGAGGCATGCGGATCACAAGGTCAGGAGATCAAGACCATCCTGGCTAACATGGTGAAACCCCGTCTCTACTAAAAATACAAAAAAATTAGCCGGGCGTGGTGGCAGGCGCCTGTAGTCCCATTGACTCGGAAGGCTGAGGCAGGAGAATGGCGTGAACCTGGGAGGCAGAGCTTGCAGTGAGCCGAGATCATGCCACTGCACTCCAGCCTGGGCGACAGAGACTCCTCAAAAATAAATAAATAAAATGAAAATAAAGAGATTTTTAGAAAATTAAAATGTAAACTATATAATCATTCCATAAAATATAAAAGTAAATTACTTACTGTTGTGTGACGTATAACACATTCACCAGGGTATCGTCATTCATTAATTTGAATTTATTTGTAGCTAAATTATGAAGAGTAAGAAATTGAGGATGGTCTCTGACATACTCAGCATTTTTTAACAGGCTGGTCTTCTGCTTTTGAAGCTTCCAAAGCATATCAAATGCACATCCCACTTGCTTTTCTGAAAGTATGGCTTTGTTTCTTTCAATAAAACCAAACATTTGCTCCTCATCTGTACACTTATTCATCTGAATAATTAGTGGTTCACAACTGATGGGTCGAAATTGAAACACTCTCCAGGAGAATGGACAAATAGCTCTTAGACGAAGCATATTTGTAACCAATGACTCTAGGAAAACAGGTGTTTTTTTCATTTATATCACAAGTTTTCTTAGGTAAACAAAACCATCTGCAACTAGTCGTCAGGTGCAATAAGCAGGGATACAAATAACAGTTTTTCCTTCATGTATTTTGCTTCCATTACAATGACTGTAAACGCATTCCAATGTACAGCTTCTATAAAAGAATTGGTTTAACATGGTTATGCTTACATCATTAATATCAAAATGATTCCAAAATTCAAATTAAAGTAATACATTTTTTCTGCATTAACTAAAGACTTTTTCTTAGTCTAAACCAGATAGCAGAATTTGATCAAAAAATAAATGTCCAGAAAAAGGGGCTTCTTTCTGCACCCCATTTTAAAAGTGTTTTAAATCTGACATTTACATAAAGTTTTCAAATTTACCATAAAAGGAAAAAAAAAGCCCACAAACTCAGAGCTGTCTTTTCGAAAAAGAGGAAAATTGTTTAAAATAAATAATCACCTTCAAAGTTTCTAAAAAGTGTAGGCATTAATTCAGAGCCATATATATTTATACATACATATATATATACTTTTTTTTTTTAATTTTTCAGAAGTATGGTCTCAGGTTTATTTGCTTTCAGGATAATTTCTTGCCCCTTTTTCTTGTGCCCTTAAAGAGCTCAAATAATTCCTTTCTTTAGAAAATAAATAAATAAAAGAAGTCATATAATTTAATCATTACTGGCCTTGGATAGGTTTTAACCAATGAACGACACAATTAAAGCACCAATCAAGAAATACTAAGAAATTAAGTAATGTTTCAAGTCATGCTGAAACAATAAAAGAACTAAAGATAATTATGAAAAAAGAATAATTTGTTTTAAAAATATGCTATAAATGTTTACATTTATAATTGAGAAGTAATGGTTAGAAAAGCAGGGACTAAAGTCATATAATCTAATATTTCTGCAACATGTTACCATTTACAAAGAACGTTTGAAACACATTATCTCATTAAATTCTCTCAGCTAACCTTCCAGGTTGATATTATTTCCATTTTACAGATAAGGCAAAATAGGTTCAAAAAGGTTTAAAAAATCCTTCTAGTACTAGTGAAGCAGGGACTACAACTCAGTTCTTTCCACTTGAACAGCTTCATTACACAAACAAATCAACGCTGTATCACTAAATTCATGTCTCAGACCCCTCTCTACGGCTATGCCAAACAGTCTGTTCACAAGAAAAAACGACGCGACAGTACAGGCTATTTTGTGGCAAGCAGTACAGCATCCTGACCTAAGCTGACCTGGGTCACAAACCTGCACAAGAAAACCCTGCACAAATCAAAGGTATCCTCAAGATACTATATTCATCCACTGAGCTGCTCAAAGTGGAGGCAGCTCAATGGTTAGCATAGAAAGGTGTCGAGTCCCCAGCTTTGCCCCAGCTGAATGACCTTAAGGAAGGAACTTAACTACAGGAAGGGCCTTGGGACCCTAAGGGGTATCTTCTGCGCCGGGCATAAAGGAGAGCTAAACAAATGAGTGAATGAATGGGGTCTCAGCCCTGCCCTAGTCCATCCGCACTTCAGAGAACCCAATATCCCGAAGGAAGCCTCCGTATCTCAACTGAACCCTATGTCCCCAGCCCGAAAACGTGCTGGGTGGGAAAAGAAAAATAGCCGCTGCCACACAGTCCCGACTTGCCAGCAAGGTTTTCCCTCAGCGCGCCGCAAATTTTCTGGAGGATCCTGGGGTTATGAAAGCTCAGAAGTCAGGGTTATTCCTGGTCCCAACACGGAACGAAACAGGCTCGGATGTCTCGCCCAACCCTCATATCTCAGGGTTTATAACCTTTCTTCGAGAGACATGACCTTTCCCATGAGACCTTGCCCCCAAACCAGGAAAAAATGCCCGGCAGGCGCAGCGTGCACTGCGGAAGTCACGCACTACATATCCCAGGGTGGGTCGCGGCGAGGTGGGTGAAATGGACGTCGCTCACGCATTTTGGGGGAATTCTGGGCATTGTAGTTCCTCATTGAGGGAGGCTCTAGCGCAGTACACAGCTTAAGCTGTTGAAGAAGATATAGGTCGTTTAGGTGATTCTCTACTATCTAAGGTTGTTCTCCTAGTCCTTGGAAGTCTACTACTTTTATAATATACACAAAAATATACTTAGGAAAATGAAATTTAAAAATGTAAACATGGAAAAGACACGTACAGATTTTTCTTATTATTTTTTAGCATATACGAAATAACTCTGTCGAGTAACTTTGAAAGTATGCAAACTCATACTCTCAGTTTCTGCACTTATGTCGTGGATAGGTACCAGTTCTCAGACCATATTTTTTTTTTACTTACCATGGTATTTTAATAGTCCCAAGATTTGACACTTGACACTTAAAAAAAAAATACCACTAATAAATAACCAAAGTGGAATGCTTACCAAAGTTACAACAGACATAATTTTCAGCTGATAATCACTACAACAAAGTAAGGCTCTAAAGGTACCAAACTGATATTTGTTGGAATATGCTGTGCAACTTTCTTTTTTTTATTTTATTTATTTATTTTTTTTATTGATCATTCTTGGGTGTTTCTCGCAGAGGGGGATTTGGCAGGGTCGTAGGACAATAGTGGAGGGAAGGTCAGCAGATAAACAAGTGAACAAAGGTCTCTGGTTTTCCTAGGCAGAGGACCCTGCGGCCTTCTGCAGTGTTTGTGTCCCTGAGTACTTGAGATTAGGGAGTGGTGATGACTCTTAAGGAGCATGCTGCCTTCAACCATCTGTTTAACAAAGCACATCTTGCACCGCCCTTAATCCATTTAACCCTGAGTGGACACAGCACATGTTTCAGAGAGCACAGGGTTGGGGGTAAGGTCATAGATCAACAGGATAAGAATTTTTCTTAGTACAGAACAAAATGAAAAGTCTCCCATGTCTACTTCTTTCTACACAGACACAGCAACTTTCCGATTTCTCAATCTTTTCCCCACCTTTCCCCCTTTTCTATTCCATAAAACCGCCATTGTCATCATGGCCCGTTCTCAATGAGCTGTTGGGTACACCTCCCAGACGGGGTGGTGGCCGGGCAGAGGGGCTCCTCACTTCCCAGTAGGGGTGGCCGGGCAGAGGCGCCCCTCACCTCCCGGACAGGGCGGCTGGCGGGGCGGGGGGCTGACCCCCCCACCTCCCTCCCGGACGGGGCGGCTGGCCGGGCGGGGGGCTGACCCCCCCACCTCCCTCCCGGGCAGGTCGGCTGGCCGGGCGGGGGGCTGACCGCCCCCACCTCCCTCCCGGGCGGGGCGGCTGGCTGGGCGGGGAGCTGACCGCCCCCACCTCCCTCCCGGACGGGGCGGCTGGCCGGGCGGGGGGCTGACCCCCCCACCTCCCTCCCGGGCGGGGCGGCTGGCCTGGCGGGGGCTGACCCCCACCTCCCTCCCGGAGAGGGTGGCTGCCGGGTGGAGACGCTCCTCACTTCCCTGACGGGGCGGCTGCTGGGCGGAGGGGCTCCTCACTTCTCAGACGGGGCGGCTGCCGGGCGGAGGGTCTCCTCACTTCTCAGACGGGGCGGCCGGGCAGAGACGGTCCTCACTTCCCAGACGGGGTCGCGGCCGGGCAGAGGTGCTCCTCACATCCCAGACGGGGCGGTGGGGCAGAGGCGCTCCCCACATCTCAGACGATGGGCGGCTGGGCAGAGACGCTCCTCACTTCCTAGATGGGATGGCGGCCAGGCAGAGACGCTCCTCACTTCCCAAACGGGGTGGCGGCCGGGCAGAGGCTGCAATCTCGGCACTTTGGGAGGCCAAGGCAGGCGGCTGGGAGGTGGAGGTTGTAGCGAGCCGAGATCACGCCACTGCACTTCAGCCTGGGCACCATTGAGCACTGAGTGAACGAGACTCCGTCTGCAATCCCGGCACCTCGGGAGGCCAAGGCTGGCGGATCACTCGCGGTTAGGAGCTGGAGACCAGCCCCGCCAACACAGCAAAACCCCATCTCCACCAAAAAAATACGAAAACCAGTCAGGCGTGGCAGCGCGCAGGCACTTGGCAGGCTGAGGCAGGAGAATCAGGCAGGGAGGTTGCAGTGAGCCGAGATGGCAGCAGCACAGTCCAGCTTCGGCTCGGCATCAGAGGGAGACCGTGGAAAGAGAGGGAGAGGGAGACCGTGAGGGAGAGGGAGAGGGAGACCGTGGGGAGAGGGAGAGGGAGAGGGAGAGGGGGCAACTTTCTTATTGTGTGGGTTACAGAGGAGACTCTTGGTTTATGTGGTCATGGTTATTGTCATAAAACCAGTTTTAGCACAATTTTCTTTTCTTTTCTTTTTTGAGACAGGGTCTCACTCTGTCTCCCAGGTTGGAGTGCAGTAGTGCAATCTCCGCTCACTACAACCTCCGCCTCTTGGGTATAAGCGATTCTCCTGCCTCAACCTCCCGAGTAGCTGGGACTACAGGTGCACACCACCATAGCTGGCTAACTTTTTGTAGTTTTGGTAGCGACAGGGTTTCCCCACGTTGCCCAGGGTGGTCTCGAACTCCTGGGCCCAAGCAATCCACCCACCTCAGCCTCCCAAAGTGCTTGGGATTAGAGGCATGAACCACCTTGCCCAGCCTAAATTTTCAATAGTTCTGACAGTCTATGCAAAATGTTGAGGCATGCTCACACTGGAAAAAAATTAAAACTTGAAGACTTCCTTCTAGAATGTCCAGTAACCAATATATATTTATTCTGACATTTCTGAAAACAGAGCAAAACGAAATTGAATAGGTGCTGGCATTCATCTGATGTATCAGGTTTATTTTATGACTGACTAGTCTTAATACTCCTAGATGTCGGGGTGTATAGGCAGCAGAACATTTTAAATTTGTTCAAGTAGAATATGGGAAAAATTAGAGTCAAATGAGAATACATTTTTTGTCTACTGTCAGTAACCTTCAATTAACCATGAAGACATAGGGAATGAATGGTTAAGCCATCAAAACTAAAATAGTTGTTTGTTTGTTTTTTCGAGATGGAGTCTCAGTCTGTCACCCAGCCTGGAGGGCAGTGGCCCAATCTCAGCACACTGCAATCTCCACCTCCTGGGTTCAAGCAATTCTTCTGCCTCAACCTCCCAAGTAGCTGGGACTACAGGCATGCACCACCATGCCCAGCTAATTTTTGTATTTTTAGTAGAGAAGGTGTTTCACCATGTTGGTCAAGCTGGTCTCAAACTCCTGACCTCAAGTGATCCCCCAGCCTTGGCCTCTCAAAGTACTTGGATGACAGGCGTGAGCCACTGCACCTGGCCTGATTGGATTTCTTCACTAAAAACTTGATTGGTCATTTGACTTCCTTTATCAGGAGGCTGCTAAGACATAGAAAGTCTCTGATAGCTGGGTCTTAAAAAAAAAAGAAAAAAGAAAAAAAGAAGTTAACTTTCGTTTCAAGTCTTGTAAAATTTCCTAGCTTTCTTAGGTTGCCAATATTTACATTGGGGAATACGGTCTACTTCACTTTTTGGTTTGGAGATGAACATTTACTCATTAAAAAATTGTTTCCCTCAACCAAAGAGCCGTGGTTTTGAGATCTGATACCAATGATGTCCTCGTGAGTTTTATTGCTCTTCTTCTCAAGTTTTTTTTCTCAATTAAAGGTACAGCCAATCCCATGGCTTGCTTGGTGATTTGTAGCATCTCTGCAATGCACCAAGGGGTATTTTTTCCATCATCTTCGGGATTGCGAATTATAGATCTCAATGTGTGGAAATAGCCACCTGCTTCTTGATGTCTGCAGTGCAATCGCAAGAGCAATAGGTTCAGGACCTATTCCTATGTTTTCTAGGTCTTCTAGACTTAGCCACTGACACTGGTTTACTTTATCAACTTCATCCTCTTAAGAGGTCACAAAGTAGGCAGAGTTAGAAAGCAGCAACAGCACATCACATCTCTGTGAGTAGCACCAAGGAGGGTGCACTCTGAAAACTGTTGCTTTAGCCAAGCCATAAAAATTACAACACAGGCTGGGTGTGGTGGCTCACGCCTGTAATCCCAGCACTTTGGGAGGCTGAGGTGGATGGATCACAAGGCCAGGAGTTTGAGACCAGCCTGGTCAATATGGTGAAACCCCATCTCTACTAAAAAAAATACAAAAATTAGCCGGGCATGGTAGTGCATGCCTGAAGTCCCAGCTACTTGGGAGGCTGAAGCAGAAGAATCAATTGAACCCGGGAGGCGGAGGTTGCAGTGAGCCGAGATGGCACCATTGCACTCCAGCCTGGGCGACAGAGCAAGACTCTGTCTCAACAACGACAACAAAAAAATTACACCACAATACATTTTAATATGAAATAAATTCTACTCCTACTAATTAGTGTTACTTTCATCTTAGCTTCCAATTTTTGCATTAATATTTACATCAGCCAGGCCAGGAACCGTGGCTCACACCTGTAATCCCAGCAGTTTGGGAGGCTGAAGCAGGCAGATCACCTGAGGTTGGGAGTTCTAGACCAGCCTGGCCAACACGGCAAAACCCTGTCTCTACTGAAAAATACAAAAAAAAAAAAAAATTAGCCGGGAGTGGTGACACGCACCTGTAGTCCCAGCTACTCAGGAGGCTAAGGCAGAAGAATCGCTTGAACCTGGGAGGCGGAGGTTGCAGTGAGCCGAGATTGCACCACTGCACTTCAGCCTGGGCAACAGAGTGAGACTCTGTCTCAAAAAAAAAAAAAAATTACATCAGTCAAACATGATCCTTAGTCAAAAATATGTCATTAACAAAAAGCACTTGGCACTTAACAGATGGTTGAAAAATGTCACCCTCCCCATCCTCATTTTTTCTAAAATCTTAGCTGCGGTAAATACTTAATTGTCCTCCCCATCCACCTTTCAGGGGGTGGGAGGTAAATCACATTTAATGTGAACAAGAGACAAAAAGAAAAACCCTTTAGGTACCTGCCTACCCCCCACGTTTGCCACTCCAAAGGAAAAGCTGCTCTATTCAGTTTTGTTTTCCCACCACTGAGGCAAGCCCTCCTTCCACACTATGAAGACATAAATTACCAACACCAGGTGAAGCCCGACCACTGCAATAATGGCCACTAAAAGGCACTGTCTTCACGGGACATTAACATCAGACTTTGGAGAAGTAATCTACAGGAAAAATGTAACCCCACAGAAATATTAACCATAAACCCCGCAAAAAGGAAAAAAAATCTTGAAAGTCATGGCCAGAATGCCAACAGAGTTGGGCTCCACGGCAGTGACTGCATGATTGGCAGAGCCTGTGGGAGTCCACCATTATCAGTCAGTCTGTCCAGTGGTCCATGCCTCAGAGCTCAGACAACTGCCTGCACCCAACCTCATGCCTGTAGCAAATGATGCCAATGCAGCAAACGCAATTGGGCAGCTGGGACACGTCTAGCTTCTGGATGCTCACTTCCTGACAGTTGGCAGCCCACACTTTTTTTTTTTTAAACAGCTTTACTGAGATTTCATTTACGTCCCATAAAATTCACCCATTTAAAGTGTACAATTCAATGGCTTTTTAGTATATTCACAGAGTTGAGAAGCTATCACTCACATTTAGAACATTTTCATAACTCCAAAAAGAAACCCTGTAACCATTAGCAGTCACTCCCCATGTCTCCCTCACCCCCTCCTGTCCTCCAATACTTTAGACAACCACTAATCCCAGACAATAATTTTATACAGCACTGATTTGGGTTGCTTGGAACTAGATCAACTGATAATAGATCTGAGATGAAGGTAATCTGAATGCACAGCATAGAAGGGGTTTTCAAACAAATGTAAGAAAAACATAGAGATGAAACAGCATGATCCAAGTCATTGCCTTCCAGTCAAAAAACACCAGGAACACATATAGTTAAACAAAGTTGGGTTTATTGACTGGTTGCAATGAAGTAGGCTGTACCCTAAGAGGTGTCTCCATAAGAAGGTGTTAGAAAGTTGTCATTATAGCATATAGTCTTGGCCAGGCACAGTGGCTTACACCCATAATCCCAGCACTTTGGGAGACTGAGACAGGCAGATCACTTGAGGTCAGGAGTTCGAGACCACCTTGGCCAACATGGTGAAACCCCATCTCTACTAAAAATACGAAAATTAGCCAAGCATGGAGGCACATGCTTATAATCCCAGCTACTTGGGAGGCTGAGGTGGGAGGATCACTTGAATCCGGGAGGCAGAGGTTGCAATAAGCCAAGATTGCACCACTGCACTCCAGCCTGGGCAACAGAGCGAGACTCTGTCTCGAAAAAAAAAATTTTTTTTAGCCTTGTGTTAAGTGATTTTGGAGAGTTTTAGAGTGGTTTCTCTAGATTGGATGCTGTGAGTAAGCAAGGGTAATTCTATTCTAATAATCTTGATCTAGAAGGCAGGAAGAATGAACTGAGGTTAAAGCTGTAATTGATAAAGAAACAGCAGCCATTCATATTAGCAAGGATAGATGGATATTTCGTCTTTTTTTTTTTTTTTTTTTTGAGACAGAGTCTCACTCTGTCACCCAGGCTGGAGTGCAATGGCACGATCTCAGCTCAATGCAAGCTCCACCTCCCAGGTTCACACCATTCTCCTGCCTCAGCCTCCCAAGTAGCTGGGACTACAGGCGCCTGCCACCACACCTGGCTAATTTTTTGTATTTTTAGTAGAGACAGGGTTTCACCGTGTTAGCCAGGATGGTCTTGATCTTCTGACCTTGTGATCCGCCTGACTTGGCCTCCCAAAGTGCTGGGATTACAGGCGTGAGCCACCATGCCCGGCCGATGTTTGGTCGTTTTTACAGTTTGTACAATGTTCTTGTTTTTGTCTGAAACAAGATTATGGAAGTGTCTGGTTTTTTCCTTGATCCATCACAATCAGAGAATGGCATGCTTTTAAAAAAAACTAAACATATTATTGGTGATACAGTAGACAACTATTAATAGAACAAACAACAGTTTGTTGTTGATCTATGGGTAGAAACAAAAAGTTTTATTACTCTAAAGCAAAAGTCACAGGTAAAGTAAAGGTTAATTGCAGTAGCCCAGCCAACCTACCTCCCTTCTTCTGGTATCAAATCCCATTCCTCATACTACAATGACTGAAGTGATCCAGGCTAGGCCAAATCTAATACTTTAGGCTCACAGCCTATTAGATTGGTAGTGGTATCTGGTGTAACAAATAAAGCCAAACATCAGTGATTTAACCCACATAATTTGATTTATCAGTCACACCACATTCCAATGTGGATATCCCTAGTCAGTGGAAGAGGACTTTTCTCCAAACAGAGATTCAGGGAAGTAGACCTTTTCCATAGGCCCTTCCCCAGGGCCTTAAAACATTCTGGTTCAGCTGACAAAACAGGAAGAGAGGGAATGGAGAAGGCATAGCACTTCACAAACATTTTGGCCTGGATGTCCGCTCACTTTCCACTGACACAAAGTATATTTTATTTATTTTATATTTTATTTTATTTTATTTTATTTTATTTATTTTGACATGGAGTCTTGCTCTGTCACCCAGGCTAGAGTGCAGTGGTGCAATCTTGGCTCACTGCAACCTCCACCTCCTGGGTTCAAGCGATTCTCCTGCCTCAGCCTCCCAAGTAGCTGGGATTACAGGTGCCCACCACTGTGCCCGGCTAATTTTTGTATTTTTAGTAGAGCTGGAGTTTCACCATCTTGGCCAGGCTGGTCTCAAACTCCTGACCTCGTGATCCACCCATCTCAGCCTCCAAAAGTGCTGGGATTACAGGCATGAGCCACCACGCCCGGCCCCAAAAAGCATTTTTAAATCCTTACCTATGGGATAATAAATGTTGTTTCAAGCCACTAAGATACAAGGGGACAGCTAAAAAATGTAGTTCTTAGCAGAACAGACACTTTCCAGTGACACCCCCTACTATGTAAGTGGGAGTACAAATTTTGGAGCTGTTACTGCTATGTTAGTAAAATACTTCTCTGGCATTTGATGATTCGGGCTGGCAGAAACTCAGATCCTTATGATGTGAGGTCATCACTGGGTGAGGTGGTACATACCTGTAGTCCCAGCTACTCTGGAGACTAAGGTGGGAGAATCGCTTGACTCCAGGAGTTCAAGTCCATCCTGAGCAACATAATGAGACCCTGTCTCTAGAAAAAAAGAAAAAAAATGAAGCTATGTAGAATTAGACAAGTGAAAAGTTCCGTGATAATCAGTCTATTCTTTCTTCTCTGTGTCAGTTATCCCTTGCTGTGTGACAAAATCATCCCAAAACTTAGTGGCTTAAACAACACTTATTTATATATATATACACATATATACACACACACGTACATATATGTGTGTGTATATATATGTATATATACACATATATAGTATATGTATACATACACACACTAGGATAATAAATATATATATAAATATATATAAGGAAACTATAGGATAACAAATGTTGTTTATTATATACACTATACATACAGTATCCTTCCATTTATTTATTTTTATTTAAGTTGTGGGGTACATATGCAGGTTTGTTACAGAGGTAAACTTGTGTAATGGGGGTTTGTTGTACAGAATATTTCATCACCTAGGTATTAAGTCTAGGACCCATTAGTTATTTTTCCTGATCCTCTCCCTCCTCCCACTGTCTACACTCTGATAGGCCCCAGTGTGTATTGTGCCCCTCTATGTCTTCATGTGTTCTCATCATTTAGCTCCCACTTATAAGTGAGAACATGTGGTACTTGGTTTTCTGTTTCTGCATTAGTTTGCTAAGGATAATGGTCTCCAGCTCCATCCATGTTCCTGCGAAGGGCATGAGATCATTCTTTTTCATGGCTGCATAGTATTCCATGGAGTATATGTACCACATTTTCTTTATCAAGTCTACCATTGATGGACATTTAGGTTGACTCCATGTCTTCGCTATTGTGAATAGTGTGGCAATGAACATACATATGTGTATGTCTTTATAACAGAACAACTTATATTCCTTTGGGTATATACCCAGTAATGTGATTGCTGGGTCAAATGGTATTTCTGCCTCTAGGTCTTTGAGGAATCGCCACGCTGTCTTCCACAATAGTTGAATTCATTTAAACTCCCACCAGCACTGTAAAATGTTCCTTTTTCTCCACAACCTCACCAGCACCTGTTATTTTTTGACTTTTTAATAATAGCCATTCTGACTGGTATGAGATAGTATCTCACTGCGGTTTTGATTTGCATTTTTCTGATGATTGGTGGTGTTGAGCTTTTTCATTATGATTGTTGGCTGCAAGTATGTCTTCTTTCGAAAAGCGTTGGCCGGGCGTGGTGGCTCACACCTGTAATCCCGGCACTTTGGGAGGCCAAGGAGGACGGATCACCTGAGGTTGGGAGTTTGAGACCAGCCTGACCTACATGGAGAAACCCTGTCTCTACTAAAAATACAAAAAATTAGCCAGGCCAGTCTGTGGCCCAGGGGTTGGGGACCCCTGTTTTAAGGTATTGCAGAATTGTCCCCTCCACACACAGCGAAGTGTAAATCCGTTTAATCTCTGAACTATCTAAAGATGAATATGCTGCTGCTCTCCTGCAATAAAGGGCAATGACTTAAAAGAGGTGGGGGTGGAGAGGCAGAAATGTCCTCTGTTTTACTGCTGTGTAAAACTGGTCACGCCCCTTAGAAGCACCACCACATGCCTAACTGTTGTTGATAATTAATTTACCTGATGCAAGTGAGTGAAAAATTTAAATGATCATAATTTACGTTGCCTTTAAACGACAGAACAATTTAAGTCCTCTAGTTAGCTAGTTCCTTTAAAACACACCCCACATCCCTACCAGAATCACTGCCCATCCCCCCCCACCCCCCCGCCCAAACAGCAATGGTTATTTATTTCTAACATAATCCGGGGACCCTTGCCCCTTAAAATAATTAAATAATATATGCCATATTTTCTCTAGAAGGCACTAGATTTGGCATCAAAAGACTTGCTTTGGCATTCAAGAACAGTGTGTTTGAGGAGGAGGCGTTTATCTTCCCTGAGCCTCAATTTCTTTATCTGTAAAACAACAAAGAACATCAAAGCTCTTTGTAATTTCTTCCTCTTTCCTCAAATAACACTTTGCTCATTACTGCGTTTTTAGAACTTATATCCTAGCGTTAAGTGGAAGCTTAACTGGAAGCTCCATGAAGGTAGGCCTTCCTTTCTGATAACCTAGCGTAAGATCAATAAATGTTTATTAAATGAGGCACTTTACTTCACAAAGGATATGGCATTTTAACGGTTACAAGCGTTCCCAGTCAACGCATCCACAAAGCATTAGGCCACCTATAAACTAGGAATTTAAAAGGCACCAAAATCCTAGAAGTCCTAGGAGGGCGTGGTGACGCAAGCAGGTGAACGCTGGCCGATGCTGACAACCCACTCCTGACGCGCTTCCGGTGCGACGCTGTCTCTCCATGCCAGGACTGAGTTGTGGGGGAGGGAGGCGGTTAGCGGGCTTTAGCGCCTTTTCTGGCGGCGGTAGATTTGAAGCGCTTCAAAGGACCGGACCCAGAGAAGAGGAAAACTCTACCGGTGCAGGTAAGTGGTATGAGGCTCAAGTTGTTCTGGCGGCGTCATTTCAGCAGTCCCTGCGTACGAAAGCGGGAAGGGCCTGGGAAGAGGGGCGGAGCCGGCGCGGCTGACCGGGTTGGGTTTACCGTCTTTCCCTCGAGGTATCGGGGCTGCTTGGGCCCAGAGGAAGTCCCTGAGGACCGCAGCAGTGCCTTTGCCGCTGTTGCAGAAGGAGAAGGCTTGCAGTCGAGCCCCGGGGCCTGGGGACGGTCCTTCCTCTGCCAGCCCCCGCCCTCCCCACTCAGGCGCACACCTCCCTCACTGACGCATTTTGCCGCACAAGCTGTAACATGGCGGCAGCGACTGCGGCCTGAACTCTAGGGAGCCGGGTTGATTTTTAAAGCTTCAAAATCCTAAGACTCAGCACTGTTGCGGGGTAGGTGGCGGGACTGGTGGGGAAGGGGGAGACAGCCTGACGTCCTGTCAGGCTAGGGTTGGAGAGTGACGGGCGAAGAGCCTGAATCACAGGGATTAAAATTGAAGACTAGCTTTCCTCCTCTTTCGACCTTTTCCTCTCACAGCACAGTGGCTGTCGTGCAGTTAAGTGGCAGAGGCCACTTTGTTAAGCATTTTTCTAAAACTCAAGTCCAGGGTCTTGAGCTCTCGCGAAGTTCCCCCGTGTTTCGGAGGAGCTGTGAGCTGCGCAGGCCTTTTAGGAGGAGATAATTACTCTTTAGGAGGAAGATGATGATTTCGGGGCTCAGTATGCCTGAAGGGGAAGTATGCTAATTTGGTTCTTGGTTAGTCTTTTTTTTTGAGACGGAGTCTCGCTCTGTCGCCTAGGCTGGAATGCAGTGGCGCGATCTTGGCTCACTGCAACCTCCGCCTCCTGGGTTCAAGTGATTCTTCTGCCTCAGCCTCCCAAGTAGCTGGGACTACAGGCACGTGCCACCATGCCCGGCTAATTTTTTGTGTTTTTAGTAGAGACGGGTTTTCACCGTGTTAGCCAGGATGGTCGATCTCCTGACCTCGTGATCCGCCCACCTCGGCCTCCCAAAGTGCTGGGATTACAGGCGAGAGCCACCGCGCACGGCCAGCTCATGTTTAGTCTTAAGGAGCAAAGTCTAGATGTGCTGGCAAGGAGTATGCACAATCGTTTTGGAAATGCTATAAAAGCACCATTTTGTGCATTGATTTTAATTTCTTTCCACGATAGCCCTTTCTGTGTGTAACCAACATTTTGCAGTAGTGAACACAAATACAAAAGTATTTGCTTTTATAGTTTGGTACTAACATAGTTGTCCAAAGAACAATTAGATGTTTTAGAAATTAGGGGGGCCTGATATTAACTTTCAGTAGTTAAAACCAGGAAAAAAGAGTGAGTGTGTGTGTGTGTCGGTCACACACACGTTTTTGTCTTTGTGTATTCCCATTTGGTAACAGGATGGCCGGTAATTGCTACTTTGTAACAATGACGGGTGGGGGGGTGAACATTTTATAAATTTTGAAATCGTGCTATAAAATCCAGAAAAGATACATTTAGAATGGCTGCTTCTCTCCTGTTTTTAATATATCCTGAAAATTTACCCGTTTTAGCACTCCCCTTTTTTTTATGTTAACGAGTTGGGACAGAATTATTTCTGTAACAAATTACATGGTTCTGTGTCTTAAACAAGAGTTCATTGTACATTGTTTGACTATTTCTTTATGATTCAGAATTATTGATGCTCTGAGATCCTATAGGGTCTTGTAGTAGGATTCTGCGCATTTGAATTGTTGGTTTCCTTTTTAAGGCTTTTCTAGGCAGTCAGTTGTCAGGAGTGCTCCTGCTGTCAGGAGTGTATAAGTATGTAAACTTCTTAGGTTAGAAAAATTTGGACTTTCTGGCCCAATTATCTTTCTGAGCTTCAGTTTCTTCACCTACCTGCAAAATGACATTTTGATCTCCACCTTCCATCAACTGTGGGCTTGAAAATTAAATACTCAGCTTTGTTAAAATTGTGTGTGAAGTTGGCTTTCATTAACTCAGTGGTTCCTTTATGGGTGAAGAGTGTTCATTACATTTATTTTTAACCATATAGTCGATTTACTGTGGTGCTTATTATTGTGGTCTTGCAGTATTGGTGACTTCTACATATTTTTGATATTTTGCCTTAAATTAGATTTTCTGTGAGGCAGCATCCTCTTCTTTATACAAAGGGAAAGTGGAAGCCATTCATAATAAAGTACTTCTGTTAGGACACTATCTGGGGTTAATTCTTTAAATAGTAGTTGCCCCTTTAGTTAGGCTTTTTTCCTTCCTATTAGTTTATAAATAGAGTATTTAAACATAATTATAACATGTTGTCTATTTTTAGAATCCCAGTGTACTAAGATGTCATGAAGGAATACATAGATAATTAATGCAAGTGACCTGAAGAGTTTGTTGCAAGTCTTTCTGTTGCATTGTGGCATTGCATGCTTTTTGCTTTTATTTATTTATTTTTTTCAGACAGAGTCTTGCTCTGTCGCCCAGGCTGGAGTGCAGTGGCATGATCTCAGCTCACTGCAACCTCCACCTCCTGAGCTCAAGGGATTCTCACGCCTCAGCCTCCCTAGTAGCTGGGAGTACAGGTGCCTGCCACCACACCGGGTAATTTTTATATTTTTAGTAGAGAAGGGGTTTCACCATGTTGGCTACGCTGGTCTCAAATTCCTGACCTCAAGTAATCCATCCGCCTCCGCCTCCCAAAGTGCTGGGATTACAGGCGTGAGCCACTGTGCACTGTGCCCAGCCTGACTTTTGCTTTTTTTTTTGAGACAGAGTCTCGCTGTCTTGCCCATACTGGAGTGCAGTGGCGTGATCTCGGCTCACTGCAACCTCCGCCTCCCGGGTTCAAGCAATTCTTCTGCCTCAGCTTCCTGAGTAGCTGGGATTACAGGCATGTGCCACCACACCCAGCTGATTTTTGTATTTTTTATAGAGATGGGGTTTCACCATGTTGGTTAGGCTGGTCCCAAACTCCTGACCTCATGATCTGCCCACCTTGGCCTCCCAAAGTGCTAGTATTACAGGCGTGAGCCACCGTGCCCAGACCTTTTTGCTTTTAATGTTAGGACTAAACTTCAATTTTCATGTTGCTTAAGTGTCGGTGATTTTCCCTGGTTTAATGCATAAATGGTCACCATAAGAACTCGGTATTTTTATTTCTGTAGGGAAAAACTTGCATCCTGAAATTTACTACAGACAGTATTCAGAGAAAACTGCTGTTATTGGGAGTTTGTACTTCTAGCAGCAGACAAGAAAACTTTTGAACTTTGTTTTAGAATAATGGCTTAAAATGATCACACGCTTACTGAAATTTGATTATATAACACTTATAAACACCAATCTTTTATATTAAAATGATTATTTTAAAAACATGAATGATGGCCGGGGGTGGTGGCTCACACCTGAAATCCCAGCACTTTGGGAGGCCGAGGCGGGTGGATCACCTGAGGTCGGGAGTTCCAGACCAGCCTGACCAACATGGAGAAACCCCGTCTCTCCGTTTCTACTTAGAATACAAAAATTAGCTGGGCATTGGTGGTGCATGCCTGTAATCCCAACTACTCGGGAGGCTGAGGCAGGAGAATCGCTTGAACCCGGGAGGTGGAGGTTGCAGTGATCCGAGATCACGCCATTGCACTCCAGCCTGGGAAACGAGCGAAACTCCATCTCAAAAAATTAAAAATAAAAATAAAAATATGAATGATTCCTTAACTCGTTTTAAAAATGAACGAAGCATATTCGTGTGTGTGTGTGTATATACTAAGCTCTTGTTAATTATTGTATACATTTTAGCTTATAATTAAACCATTGAATCATGGTTATATGGTGAAAAGTAATATTAAGCCATTATGTGGAATATTTGTGAGTAAACTAGTTTTTACCGTGAAATTGTAGAAAGTACTAAATCAGAACTTTTGCTTTTTTCCATTTGTGAGCTTGAGCCACTCATTTCATCTCTTTTGTCCTCTTGTTCTTGATCTATAAAATCAGAAGATTGGATCAGGTTATCTCTTAGAGTTCCTTGAAACTCCAAATGTTCTTATTTTTTTACGTAGGAATTACTGGATTGAATAATGGGGTTAGAACTGTGTGTATATATGTATATATCTTTGAAAACTGGGGGTAAATCTTTTTTCTTTTTTGTTTTTGGTTTTGGTAAATTTATTATTATAAGAACTTAGATCAGGCGGAGTGCAGTGGCTCACGCCTGTAATCCCGACACTTTGGGAGGCCGAGGTGGGTGGATCACCTGAGGTCGGAGCTTGAGACCAGCCTGAGGAACATGAAGAAACCCTGTCTCTACTAAAAATACAAATTTAGCCGGGCATGGTGGCGCATGCCTGTAATCCCAGCTACTCGGAGGCTGAGGCAGGAGAATCGCTTGAACCCAGGAGGCGGAGGTTGCAGTGAGCCAAGATCGCACCATTGCACTTCAGCCTGGGCACAAGAACGAAACTCCCTCTCAAAAAAAAAAAAAAAAAAAAAAAAACCTTAGATAATTGCAAGTACAACATTAAGAGTATTAGCCGTGAGTTCCCAGTTAGTATTTGCTTTTGTAGTTTGGTAGTGACAAAGATGTATTATATTTTTATGTCTCTCAGATCGTATATATAGTAAGTGCGTAATATCCTTATTTAACACTGAATTAGGCAACATTATGGGTTATCTCTGTAAGTTTTCTAGAGGATTTAAGAATTTCAGAAGTGTCTATACTCTGCTAATCATGTTGCTACCAGTGCAGTGGTTTGCATCAGGGTGGTTTGTGTCCATCAGAAACATCAGTGGAAGGGACACTACATGAAATAGCATAATTGTCTGTCTTGACACCTCAGAATGTTAGCTTGTTTCTACTTTATTCATTAGCAACTTGGCATTTGTAAATATACTCAAATGTTTTTGATGCGGTGCATTTTCGTTTCTCATTTGATCTATATGAACTACATTAAGAGTAGGCTAAAGAGGCTGGTAGGAATGTTAAATTACTTTCCTTGAAAGTAATATTAAAGATCTGCTATAGTTTTAATTAATTTAACTTACATGATTTCACTTAAGAGGTGGAAATCTTATATATAAATTGTCTCCTGTTTCATCAAATTTAGCAGATAAGAATAATCCTTTCTTTCTTGGTTGTAAACTGAAGTGGATTCTGGTTTTGGGGTTTTTTTGGGGGGGGTTGTTTTTTTGGGAAACAAAACACTTCCTAGTAGATCTAGGGAATGGGTTCTGTTTCAGTTGTGGAGGAGGCAGAGAGGATGATTACTGGTGGTAGGTTCTGGGAGAATTTACTGACTACAGATATATGTTAGCAGTATCCCCATTTAAGAAGCTAGCAGTCCGGGTGCAGTGGCCCCATGCCTGTAATCCCAACACTTTGGGAGGCTGAGGCAGGCGGATCACCTGCGATTGGGAGTTTGAGACCAGTCTGACCAACATGGAGAAACCCCGTCTCTACTAAAAATACAAAATTAGCCGGGTGTGCTGGCGCATTCCAGTAATCCCAGCTACTCGGGAGGCTGAGGCAGGAGAATCTCTTGAACCTGGGAGGCAGAAGTTGTGGTGAGCTGAGATTGCACCATTGCACTCCAGCCTGGGCAACAAGAAAGAGCGAAACTCTGTCTCAACAACGACAACAACCAAAAAAAAAAAAGAAAAGAAAAGAAAAAGGAAGCAAGCAGTACATGTTTAAGAGGATAGGCACTGGATTATAATAGAGTCTAGTTCTGTTCATGCCTCAATTAACATTCTTTTTATTTGATAACGTCACTGTGTTTGGTGTTGAAGATACAAAGGTTTCGAATTGTTGGAGTTTATGATAAAAGAGTAACATTTAACAAGGGAGGATCATTTAAACCTTAGAAAGTCAGGGCCTGGAGCAGTGGCTCAAGCCTGTAACGCCAGCACTTTGGGAGGCCGAGGCAGGCGGATCACCAGGTCAGGAGATCGAGACCATCCTAGCTAACACGGTGAAACCCCATCTCTACTAAAAAAATACAAAAAATTAGCCGGGCGTGGTGGCGGGTGCCTGTAGTCCCAGCTACTCGGGAGGCTGAGGCAGAAGAATGGCGTGAACCCGGGAGGCGGAGCTTGCAGTGAGCCAGAGGTCACGCCACTGCACTCCAGCCTGGGTGACAGAGGGAGGCTCCCTCTCAGAAAAACAAACAAACAAACAGACCTTAGAGAGTCAGCGTGAAGTTCCCAGAGAGTGAACTCTGGCTAACTAATTATCTGGCTAATTTGCATCTTAAAAGGACACACGGGAATCAGTGAGGAGAATCCTAAGGGTCAGAGACTTGCTTGGCATCTTAATCGTTAAAAATAATTTACTCAGACTAGGCAATATATCCACAAAAAAATTTTTAAAAATTAGCTGGAGGTGGTGGCTCACGCCTTTAGTCCCAGCTACTCGGGAGGCTGAGGTAGGAGGATTGCTTGAGCCACTGCGTTCCAGGCTGCGGTGAGCTGTGATCTTACCACTGTGCTCCAGCCTGAGCGGCATAGCGAGACCCTGTCTCTAAAAATAGAAATAATTTACTTTGTATTTTTTCTAGATTAGAAACTCGGTGCTATGCTGACTTCCTCATAATGTGTGAAACTTCCAAATAACTTTAAAATATAATAAAGTTACCATATGCCTACTTATAAATGCCATGTCCGCTACTATATATTTTAATAATTAGTTGCCTATATTTTTGTCCTGTTTTTCATTTAGTCATGTTATTTTAGGATTAATATGGAAAATAGTTTATGTATGAAACTACAAGGATAAATTTTTTTACACATGAACTGGTTACCTCTTACTGATTTTTTTATGAAATGTGTTTGTTGCAGAAGTTTATAAATGATAGCACTGTGATATTTTTAAATTGTATTACCTTATTATTGAAATACAAAAGTGACTATATTGTTGATAAATATTAAAAATAACTTTAATCACCTGCATAGGAAAAACAAGAATATAATAAAAGTATTAAAAGCTATAGCTAAGTTTTAGAATTTTGTGCATTTTGTATGATTAATTTTTTTCAGTGAGCTTATTAGCTTTATTGCTTATCTTATTAAAAATGTGTTTTCATTATGATGAAAAAAGTAGATTCAGTATATTATACTTAAATTTCTGAAGGAGTCAAGCAGGTGAGGTAAGTACATGAGGTCAAGTAGACAATAAATTTTAACAGCTAATAAGCAATAGCTAGAATTAGGTCAAACTAGAACATATATATGTCATCTGTTGGGAGCAGACTATGCTGATTGCTGTGTAGAAATGGGGCACAGTGCCACATATTGTGATTTTTTTTTTTCCAAGAAAAATTTGTCTGGATTTTAGCTGTAGTTCATACTAAACAAATTTGCAGCAAACAAATCACCCACAGATTACTACTACACTGAAAATTTTGATTATATTCTAGTATTTTTAGGCAATTCATGATTTTTTTTTTTTTTTTTTTTTTTTTGAACAGAGTCTCACTCTGTTGGCCAGGCTGGAGTGTAGTGGCATGATGACTGCTCGCTGCAACCTCAACTTCCTGGGCTCAAATGATCCTCCCACCGCAGCCTCCCAAGTAGCTGGGACCACAGGCCTGGGTCATCACACCCAGCTAATTGTCATTTTTTTTTTAATAGAGATGGGGTCTTGCTGTTGCCCAGGCTGGTCATGGATATTTTATTTAAAATTGTAAGGGCTTAATTTTCCCCTGAATCATGTTTTTGGTATCTCCTAGCATTATTTTTTCTCTTTACTTTTACTTGAAAAAAAATGAAAAATTGACCAGATGTTTGTCTTACTGCATCTGGTTTCAGATGTCTTTTTTCTTTTTTTTTTTTTTTTTTTGAGATGGAGTCTCGCTCTGTCACCCAGGCTGGAGTGCAGTGGCGCGAACTCTGCTCACTGCAAGCTCCGCCTCCCGGGTTCACGCCATTCTCCTGCCTCAGCCTCCAGAGTAGCTGGGACTACAGGCGCCCACCACCACGCCCAACTAATTTTTTGTATTTTTAGGGGAGACGGGGTTTCACCATGTTAGCCAGGATGGTCTCAATCTCCTGGCCTTGTGATCCGCACGCCTCGGCCTCCCAGAGTGCTGGGATTATAGGCGTGAGCCACCGTGCCTGGCTCAGATTTCTTTTTTCTAATAGAGATGCGTTCTCATTATGTTGACCAGGCTGGTCTTGAACTCCTGGGCTCAAGTGATCCTCCTCCCTTCGCCCCTCAAAGTGCTGGGATTACGGGTGTGAACCACCGTGATTTCAGGTATTATTTAATAATCGAGGAAATCATAATTATAGAGGAAATAGGATATACTGTTTCTGATTAGTAATTAGTAACTTTTTATAATGATTAGTAATTAGTAGCATTTCAGTAATGTTAGCGACACAGCATGTGAGCCATCTTTTGTTGTCACCATTGTTTTTCATTAGCTGCTAATATTAAAACATTTACATATTCAAGGGATTTGTGTAGTAATTTTAATAGTAATTTGCTGCCTTTCATCTTTCTTGCATTTGAGGCATATGTGATTTGTCATTTCAGGAAAACTAATCAATTTCTATGAAGAGTGTATCCTTGAGTGATAGACTCTGAATACATCTTATAGCCATTTCCACACATGTACATTATAATGTTAGAAGACTGTGTGTGTATATATATATATATATCTTAGGAATTTTTTCTTTATAATAGCAGTACATTTATTATTTATTTTATTTATTTATTTATTTATTTTGAGACAGAGTCTTGCTCTTGTCGTCCAGGGTGGAGTGCAATGGCACAATCTCAGCTCACTGCAACCTCTGCCTCCTGGGCTCAAGTGATTCTCCTGCCTCAGCCTCCCAAGTAACTGGAATTACAGACACCCACCACCATGCCCGGCTATTTTTTTGTATTTTTAGTAGAGATGGGGTTTCACCACATTGGTCAGGCTGGTCATGAACTCCTGACCTCAGGTGATCTACCCGCCTTGGCCTCCCAAAGTAGCAGTACATTTATTAAAGAAAACTAGAAAGAAGTAGTGAGGCAAAAGCCCTCTCCAGTCTTACAGACACACACAATAATGATTTATTTCCTTTCACTCTTTTTTTGTCTTCTTGTAAGTCTTTGCCTGAGCTTGAAGGTCGGGAGTAGTTTACACAATCATCATTATGTTGCATATGCTGCTTTATATCTTTTTTTTTTTTTTTTTTTGAGACGGAGTCTCATTCTGTCACCCAGGTTGGAGTGCAGTGGCGTGATCTCGGCTCACTGCAAGCTTCACCTCCCAGGTTCACGCCATTCTCCTGCCTCAGCCTCCAGGTGGGACTACAGGCGCCCGCCACCATGCCCGGCTAATTTTTTTTTTTTTTTGTATTTTTAGTAGAGACGGGGTTTCACCATGTTAGCCAGGATGATCTCGATCTCCTGACCTTGTGATCTGCCTGCCTCGGGCTCCCAAAGTGCTGCGATTACAGGTGTGAGCCACCACGCCCGGCCCACTGTTTTATATCTTGATTATTTTTCCAAATTATTAATCTTCATAAGCATTGCTTTAATTATTGTTGAACCAGAGACAATTTCACTTTTTTGTGATATTATGATAGGTTGCTTTTGATTATATGTTGCTAAAAAGAGCACCAGCGTAGCCAACTTTATACCTGAAGGCTTTCTGAATTTAGAGTAGTTCCTCATAATAGATTTCCAACAGTTGAATTTTACTGGTTCAAAGTATAAACACTTATGAATTTCTCATATTCTTAAATTTCAAAGGAGTTGTATATGATCACTAGTAGTAGTATAAATTCCTGTTTCCATTTGTACATGTGTTGAGAGTTATTCTTTTAAAAGATCTTTGCTGTTGATAGGCAAAAAAAAAAAAACGCATTTTATTAGTACTTTTTTAAAAATAATTGTTTCCTGATTACGAAATTGAAGAAAAATTGGAAAACAAATACATTAAAAATTACCCTTAAACCCATGGCCCACACATGATGATTGCTAACATTATGGTGTAAATCCTGTCTTTTTAATGTGCTTACTGATACGTGTGAAATTGGGATTTTATAGTCTGTATTGTTTACTAACTTGCTTTTTTCACCTGGTATGACTATTTTGTCATTCATGAACAATCTGGTAATTTTTCTTCTTCAGTTTTACTCTTTCTTTTCTTTTTTTTTTTTTTTTTTTTTGAGACAGAGTCTCTGTCACCCAGGCTGGAGTGCAGTGGCACAATCTCGGCTCACTGCAATCTCCACCTCCTGGGTTTAAGAGATTCTCCTGTCCCAGCCTCCCAAGTAGCTGGGATTACAGGTGCACATCACTACGCTCAGCTAATTTTTTTGTATTTTTTAGTGGAGACGGAATTTCACCATGTTGGGCTGGCTAGTCTTGAACTCCTGACCTCAAGTGATGCCTTGGCCTCCCAAAGTGCTGGGACTACAGGCGTGAGACACCATGCCTGGCAGTTTTATTTTATTTTATTTTATTTTGAGATGGAGTCTCACTCTGTTGCCCAAGCTGGAGTGCAGTGGCATGATCTCAGCTCACTACAACCTCCGCCTCCCGGGTTCAAGCGATTCTCCTGCCTCAGCCTCCTGAGTAACTGGGATTACAGGTGCCCACCACCTCATGCAGCTCATTTCTGTATTTTTAGTAGAGATGGAGTTTGCCATGTTGGCCAGGCTGTTCTCGAACTCTTGACCTCAGGTGGTCCACCCGCCTCAGAGTGCTGGGATTATAGGCGTGAGCCACTGCGCCTGGCCTATTCATTTTTATAGTAAGTTTTTTCAGTGTCTTAAAAGTTACCCTTTTCTTAATTTTTAATTTTTGTGGGTACATAGTAGGTATATTTATGGGTTACGTGAGATATTTTGATACAGGCATGCAATGCATAATGATCACGTTAGACTGAATGAAGTATCCGTCTTCTCAAGCATTTATCCTTTTTGTTACAAACAATCCAGTTATACTCTTTATTTTTAAATATACAATTAAATTTTTTTTGAGTATCGTTAGTCACCCCATTGTGCTAGCAAACACTAGGTTTTATTGATTCTTAACTATTTTTTTGCACCCATTAACCATCCTCACTTCCAGTCCCCATTACCCTCTCAAGTGTCTAGTAACAGTCTCTCTACTCTCTTATCTCCAAGAGTTCAATTGTTTAAATTTTTAGCTCCCACAAATAAGTGAGAACATGTGAAGTTTGTCCTTCTGTGCCTGGCTTATTTTACTTACTATAATGACCTTCCAGTTCCATCCATGTTGTTACAAATAACAGGATCTTATTCTTTTTAATGGTTAAATAGTACTCCGTTGTGTATATGTATCACAGTTTTTTGTTTTGTTTTGTTTTTTGCTTTTGAGACTGAGTTTCGCTCTTGTTGCCCAGGCTGGAGTGCAGTGGCGCGATCTTGGCTCACTGCAAGCTCTGCCTCCCGGGTTCAAGCGATTCTCCTGCCTCAGCCTTCCCGAGTAGCTGGGATTACAGGCGTGTGCCACTACGCCCGGCTAATTTTGTATTTTTAGTAGAGATGGGGTTTCTCCATGTTGGTCAGGCTGGTCTTGAACTCCTGACCTCAGATGATCCACCCGCCTCGGCCTCCCAAAGTGCTGGGATTACAGGCCTGAGCCACTGCGCCCGGCCTTTTTGTTTGTTTTTTTGAGACGGAGTCTCACTCTTGCCCAGGCTGGAGTGCAGTGGCGCGATCTTGGCTCACTGCAACCTCTGTCTGCCCTCTGGGTTCCAGAAATTTTCCTGCCTCAGCCTCCCAGGTAGCTGGGATTACAGGCACACGCCATCATGCCCTGTGAATTTTTGTATTTTTAGTAGAGATGGGGTTTCATCATGTTGGCCAGGCTGGTCTGGAACTCCTGACCTCAAGTGATCCCCCTGCCTCAGCCTCCCAAAGTGCTGGGATTACAGGCGTGAGCCTTCGCACCCGGCCGAAAATTGTGTTTTGAGTGGCCTAAACCCCTAGATCCCAGGGAAACTTTGGCCTTAGGGAAAAGCAGATGGTGCCAGAAGTAATGCCAGCAGAAAGCTCACCTCACCTCCTTTAGACTGCTCAGTGAGGCAGGAAAGCGGAGAACTTTCTTGTAACACTCAGCAGCCTGAAGGGCCTCACTCCCCATGAAACCTAAAGAAAATTGAAGACTTGAAGGCTCCAGGAGTCACCTAATGCAGCAGTCCCCCAACAGTGTCTGCCTTTGGAGCCACGCAACCAGCACTAATATCTCTCCTGGTCCATTTTTTTTTCTGAGACGGAGTCTTACTCTGTTGCCTGGGCTGGAGTGTTGTGGCGCAATCTCAGCTCACTGCAACCTCTGCTTCCCGGGTTTAAGCGATTCTCCTGCCTCAGCCTCCTGAGAGTAGCTGGGACTACAGGCATGCGCCATTACGCTCAGCTCACTTTTGTGTTTTTAGTAGAGACAGGATTTCACCATGTTGGCCAGGGTGGTCTTGAACTCCTGACCTCAGGTAATCTGCCCACCTTCGCCTCCCAAAGTGCTGAGATTACAGGCGGGAGCCACCACACCCAGCCCACATATTCTTTATCTGGTAATCTGTTGATAGATACTTAAGTTACTTCCAAATCTTGGATATTGTAAATAGTGCTGCAATAAACATAGGAGTGAAGATATCTCCTTGATATATGATTTCCTTTCTTTTGAGTGTATACCTAGGAGTGGGATATGTTATAATAATTTTTAATAGATAATATATTCATGTGGTATAAAATTGAAAATATGAGGTTATAAAGTGAAAAATCTTAGCCCTCTTTTCCAGTTACCCATTTTCTCTCTCCCTAGATGCCTTTTTGTTAAGCAAATACATACTTGTAAAATTTAATTTAATTTTGTTTTTGGAGATGGTCTGAGGCTGGAGTGCAGTGATGCTACCATAGCTCACTGCAGCCTCAAAATCCTCGGCTGAAAGAGTCCTCCCACCTGATCCTCCTGAGTAGCTAGGACTGCAGGTGCACGTCACCATGCCTGGCCCCACTTTCGTTTTTCTCTCGTTTTTCTTTTTTCCTTTTCTTTTCTTTTTTTTTTTTTTGAGACAGAGTCTCACTCTGTCACCCAGGCTGGAGTGCACTGGTGCAATTTTGGCTCACCACAACCTCCGCATCCTGAGTTCAAGCAATTCTGTGCCTCAACCTCCCGAGTAGCTGGGACTACAGGCGTGCGCCACCACATCCAGCTAATTATTTATATTTTTAGTAAAGACATGGTTTCGCCATGTTGGCCAGGCTGCTCTCAAACTCCTGATCTCAGGTGATCCACTTGCCTTGACCTCCCAAAGTGCTGGGATTACAAGCATGAGCCACCACGCCCAGCTCTCTCTTCTTTTAAAAATATACAAAGACAGTATATCCTACACACTTCTGTACCTTGCTTGTTTGTTTGTTTGTTTGTTTGTTTGTTTGTTTGTTTGAAATAGAAACAAAGTTCTCCCTATGTTTCCCAGCCTGGTGTTTCAATCCTTCTGCCTCAGCCTTCCTAAGTGCTGGGATTATAAGCATGAGCCACCATGCCTGGGCAACCTTTTTTTTTTTTTTGATACAGGGTCCCACTCTGTCGCCCAATCTGGAGTGCCATGGCACAATCTCAGCTCACTGCAACCTCCGCATCCTGGGCCCAAATGATCCTCCTGCCTCAGCCTCCCAGGTAGCTGGGACTACAGGCATGCATCACTATGCCCAGCTAATTTTTATATTTTCTGTAGAGACGGTTTTGCCATGTTGCCCAGGCTGGTCTCAAACTCCTGGACTCAAGCAATCCACCTGTCTCAGCCTTCTAAAGTGTAAGCCACTGCATCTAGCCTTTTATTTTCTTTTTCTTTTTTTTGGAGAGGTAGTCTTGCTCTGTCGCCCAGGCTGGAGTGCAGTGGCGCGATCTTGGCCCACTGCAAGCTCTGCCTCCCGGGTTCACACCTTTCTCCTGCCTCAGCCTCCTGAGTAGCTGGGACTACAGGCGCCTGCCACCACACCCGGCTAATTTTTTTGTATTTTTAGGGGAGACGGGGTTTCACCGTGTTAGCCAGGATGGTCTCGATCTCCTGACCTTGTGATCCACCCAAAGCGGCCTCCCAAAATGTTGGGATTACAGGCATGAGCCACCGCGCCTGGCTTATTTTCTTTTTCATTTAACAAAATAAGTTAACATTTACAGATTTTAGGAAATAGTTCTCCCTATCTTGGAGACAGCAGTAAATGAACAGATTTCTCATTCTTTCTAATAGCTTTGTACTTTCTACAGGTATACAGTGGTATACCTGATTTATATTTATTAAATTATTTTGTATTATATATCAAATTATATATACATTTATCAAAGTATTATAAATATTTATATTTATATAAATACAGGTAAATATTTATATGTATATAAATACAGGTAAATATATTTATATAAATACAGGTAAATATATTTATGTAAATATAGGTAAATATTTATATTTATATAAATACAGGTTTATATTTCTATAACCTGTTCCTCCTTTATGGACATTTAGGTTTACAGCCTTTTACTACTACAAATTATGGTACATTGAATAACCTTGCACATATCTTATTTTGCGAATGTGTAAGGATGTACATAAAGTAAATTCCTAGAAGTGGAATTACTGAGTCAGAGAGTCTTAAATGCATTTGTAATATGGATATTTGTTGTCAAATTGGCAATCAAGTAATTCTATCAGTTTATCCCTTTACCAGCAGCAACAATAAATGAGGTCATTTTTTATTTTTGTCAATCCAATTGGTGAAAAAATGTTACGTTTGTAATTTTAATATGTAAGATTATGATTTCTCATAGATAGTATTTCATTTCATGGGGGTATTTTTTAAGTAATTCTTACTACTGTACAATTATCTTTTTTCATGTGGCATTTAACACATTTTTTCATGTTATTTTAAAAAGCTTATTTTCTTAGGCAGTCCATCACAAACTAATTTACTTAACTATTGTGTTAGACATTTAAGTTGTTTGTGCTTACTGTTATTTAAAAAAAAACCCAAGGACTATTTTATTTTAAATGGTTGCCTTTACAGATATTCCAGTACATAGAATTAGTAAAATGTTAAAAGGTACAATGAATATGAATATATTCAAGATTCTTGGCCTGTAATGCCAAGTTGCTTATCAAAACTGCTGGTGCCTTTTATGTTTTTTTTTGTTATTTCACTTTTTGTGAATTCTCTGCTCATACACCCTTAGGTGTCCTTTGAGCTTTAATTTGATAGACAGACAGTGAAAGGTTTTGGTTGTCACAGTGACTGATATTTAATAGGGCAAGGGTTGCTTAAGGTTCTGCAGTGAGTTGGATAACCCTACTCAATGAATTGCCCTAGTGCCCCCATTCCTAAGCACTGCTTAAGAAAATTAATATTCTCAGCAACTATGACAATGTATTTTCCCCAATTTTTTTCTTTTTAATTTCACATAGACAAATAGAAATAATTTTTTTCATAAGTTCAAATCTGTTTATCTCCATTATTTACTTCATTAGTGAATCTAAAAAGCTGTTTCATATCCAGGGTTCAGGTAAATATTCGCAAGTACTTTTCTTAGTTTCTATTTTGTGGGGAGGTACACATTTTGTGAGAGGAAAAAAAAATTTTTTTTTTTTTTTTGAAACGGGGTCTCACTGTCACCCAGGCTGGAGTACAGTGGCTTGATCTTGGCTCACTGCAACCTCCGCCTCCCTGGCTCAAGTGATCTTTCCACCTCAGCGTCTCCAGTAGCTGGGGCTACAGGCATGTGCCACCATGCCTGTCTAATTTTTGTATTTTTTGTGGAGACAGGGTTTTGCCATGTTGCCCAGGCTGGTCTCGAACAGCTGGACTTAAGCAATCTGCCTGCTTCAGCCCCCCAAAGGGCCGGGATTACAGGTGTGAGCCACTGCTCCCAGCCTCCTAAGCTCTTTACATGTTAAACAGCAGCACTAGTTGAGTACCTCTTACCCAAAATGCTTTGGACCATATTATTGCGGATTTCTGACTTTTTCAGATTTTGGAATGTTTGCAATATACTTACCAGTTAAACCTTCCAATTCTGAAAATCCAAAATGCTCCAATGAGCATTTCCTTTGGGTGTCTTTTTGGCACTCAGAAAATTTCAGATTTGGGGTTTTCAGATTTAGGATGCTCAATCATGATGTAGTAATCATGACAGTGAGACACTTTAAAAATGTCATTGAAAAACAAAAACAAAAATAAGAAAAAAGAAAAAAATATATAATTGAAGATTTAAATTACATGCTTACCTGAGTTTCTTTCATAAGTCTGCTGTATACAACCTAGGAAATGCAAAAACTAAAATAAAAATCACCTATAACTCATTTACTTAGAGATAGACTCAATATTTTCATTTATTTCCTATTTTGTTTTACTGTGCAGATACATTTTAAACTTTTATGAATTTTAAGTTGAAAAACTAATACATGAACATATTCTTATTGCAAAAATTCAAACCTTATACGTAAAGCTGAAGGCCCCCAATGACTTCCATTCCTAGACTCAGTCCCTTTTGCAGAGATTCTGTGAGGAGTTTGGTATATATAGTATTTTCAAGATCTCTCTTTGTAGAAATAGGGTATTGTTTTATGGTGTTAAAAGAAATACTTATGTACAATTTACTTTTTTGTTTCTTTTGAACTAAACAGTAGGTTTCTTGGCTTGTGTTACAATGAAACTGCCATATAGTATTAAATAGCATTTTATACCGTAATTTGTTCAGTTTCTCCCCATTGTAAGATATTTTGAGTGTTTCCATTTTTTTGTTGTTGTTACTGCAATTTTACATTCTCACTTATGCCTATCCTCTCACATTTATTCATTCATTTAATAAACACTGATTTCTTGTCATATGCCAAGCACTGTTTGAGCAGTAAGAATAAGACTGAAAATTCAGGTTTATCACATCATGGAACTTATATTCTAGTGAGAGAAGATGGATATAAAAATTGAATATCAATTAGCAATAAATGCTTGGAAGAAAAATAAAGCAGAATAAGAGGATGTAAAGTGTTAGGAGGATGAGAGCTCCTTTCTTGAATACAGTAGACTAGGAATGGGCCTCTATAAGAAGGTGATACTTGAGCAACAAAGGGATGAACCATGTGAAGATGGTTTGAGAGCATTCCAGGTGGAGAGAACAGCAAATGTAAAGGACCTGATGAAAGAGTAGGCTGTTGGGTGGCAGGGGGAACAAGCAGGATACCAATGTAGCTGAAATAAAGTTGAGGAAAATATTAGAAGATGTTAGGAAATGAAAGTTGAGGAAAATGCCTAGAGGTGAACAGGAGCTAAAATATTTAGAGCCGTATAATTGAAATTACAGTAGCCACAAGCCACATGTGCTTTTTGAGCACTTGAAATGTGGCTAGTCTACATTGAGATATGCTTCAAGGATAAAATATACACTGGATTTCCAAAGACTTGTACAAAAAAAAAAAACTCAGTAACATTTTTGTTTAGTATATTTTGAAGTGGTAATAGTTTGGTTGTACAAGTTGAACATCACTAATCTGAAAATCTGAGGTCCAAAATGTAAACTTTCTGAGCATCACAATTGAAAATTTCACACATAAGTACTTAATACAAACTTTGTTTCATGCACAAAATTATTTTTTAAGTTGTATAAAATTACACATACAATTCAGGCTGTATGCATAAGGTATGTTTGAAATATAAATGAATTTTGTGTTTAAACTGTGTCCCATCCCCAGGATATCTCGTGTATGATAATATTCCAAAATTCAAAAAAAAAATCTGAAACACTTCTGGTCCCAAGCATTTCCTATAAAGGATATTCAATCTGTACATACTGAGTTAAATAGAATATATTAAAATTAGCCTGGTTTTTGTTTGATTGTTTGAGTCTCGCTCTGTCCCCCAGGCTGGAGTGCAGTGGTGCAGTCTTGGCTCACTGCAACCTCTACCTCCCGGGCTCAAGCAATTCTCCTGCCTCAGCCTCCTGAGTAGCTGGGATTACAGGCACCCGCCACCACAGCCGGCTAATTTTTGCATTTTTAATAGAGATAGGGTTTCACTATGTTGGTCAGGCTGGTCTCGAACTCCTGACCCTGATCCGCCCGCCTCAGCCCCCCAAAGTGCTGGGATTACAGGCGTGAGCCACCGCACCCGGCCCAAAATTAGCCTGTTTTTGTTTGTCAAAATGTGGCTACTGAAAAATTTTATACCTGGGTGGCTCATGTTTTTATTGAGCAGTGCTGGTCTAGAGCCTTAAAATCCATGCTAAAACTTTTCAGATGAATAGTAAGACAGTTTTAGGCAGGGGAAGGATATGATAAGGTTTGTGTTTTAAAAGAATCATTCCACTCTGGCTATTTTGTGCAGAAGAGGCAGTACAGAATTAAGAGTAAAATAAGAGAAACCAGTTAGGAGGCTATTGGAATAGCCTAGATAAGAAATGATAATGGTAAAGGTAATGAGAACTTTTGGGATAGTTTTTGAAGCTAGAGCCAAATTACCTTCCTAATGGTTTGGATAATGAGGTATGAGGGAAAGTGGAACCGAAGATGACCCCCAGGTTTTCAGCCTCAGCAGCTGGCTTGGACAATGATAATGTTTACTGAGTATTCAAGGGAATGGAGGTAGAAGAATAAAGAGTTTTGTCTTAGATATATTAATTATTTTTAATAAAGTAAATTTTTATTGAAATATAACATAGCGTACATAGCATATGAAACTGTCATTTTTAGAGTCCATCATTTTGGATACTATTTACACTTAGTGCCTTTGTTTCTTCTACGGGTAAGTATCATCTTCCACCAAGTATTACGATTCAGCATTTTAAGTCCTTAAAATAAAATGCCTTATCAAAATAATGTCTGTTAAATAATAGCTTTCTGTTATGGAAATAAAGCTGTTACACAGAGTATCTCTTTGGTATTTTTTGTGTCTATACCAGCATATCAGTAAAGGCTGTTGCTCAGAATCAGCAAGTACCCTCATATGTAAAATTGAATGTGCTTTTACTCAAAATGTAAATCTACCACATATACTATTTAACAATAGTTAAATAGTATATTAACTATATACTATTTAACAATAGTTAAATAGTATATTAACTATATACTATTCTTTTTCTTCTTACATGATTTTTGCTTCTTAAAAATCTCACATTTTAATCAGAACTCTCATTTTTGTTTTCTAGGAGCACAGGGATCAGTTGTCCTTGTTTTTTTTTGGTCTTTTCTTCATTTGAAGGTAATCTGCTTATTGAGTTCACTAATCATACAGAGTAAATACAATTTTCTGTTTGAGCTATTAATCTGTATTCCGGTTGATAAATAGAAAGTTGATTACATAATAATGGTTAAGGCTTAACTTTCAAGTCTTTTCTAATTGCTTCACAAAATGCAATCTAATCTCTAAAAAGAAAGCACTAATAATCCATGTGATTTACCTCATAGAAATAAATATCAAAATAAATTCAAACTATATTTCTAATATTGTTTCACAGAATTTTTTTTCCAGAAATTTGTGAAAGATCTTTGCTATTTTAGTCTGCTTGTCTGAAACTGTATTTTACTCACAGATTAAGTATTGGAGCCATGGGAATAAAGGTTCAACGTCCTCGATGTTTTTTTGACATTGCCATTAACAATCAACCTGGTAAGAATATTAGTTGACATTTATAAATGGGTGTTTAATATTTTAAATTAGTAAAGAAGTTTAACCAACTACCTTCTTTTTCAGCTGGAAGAGTTGTCTTTGAATTATTTTCTGATGTGTGCCCCAAAACATGCGAGAACTTTCGTTGTCTTTGTACAGGTTTGTTCACATTTTCAACTGCCCTAATAGTAGTCTCAGTTGACTATGGCTTGCTTGCTTGCTTGGTTTTTTTTTTTTTTTTTTTTTTTTTTTTGAGACAGGATCTTGCAACGTTGTCCAACTGGACTAGAACTCCTGGGCTCATCAATCCTTACACATAAGCGTCCTCAGCTGGGATACAGGTGTGAGCTACCACACCTGGCATAGCTTGCTTTAATTTTTTATTTACTCTATTTTAGATTTCTCCATGCATATTACTTTTCTCTTAACATGAAGATTACACAGCAGTGACTAGGGCGTGAAAGTAATTCTTAGAAATATTATGGCTGGGCAGCCAGGCGCAGTGGCTCATGTCTGTAATCCCAGCACTCTGGGAGGCCGAGGGGGGTGGCTCACGAGGTCAGGAGTTCCAGACGAGCCTGGCCAAGATGGTGAAACCCCATCTCTACTAAAAATACAAAAATTAGCCAAATGTGGTGGCGCACGCCTGTAGTCCCAGCTATTTGGGAGGCTGAGGAAGGAGAATCACTTGAACCCGAGAGGCAGAGGTTGCGGTGAGCCGAGATCGTGCCATTGCACTCCAGCCTGAGCTAGAAGAGCGAGACTCCATCTAAAAAAAAAAAAAGAAAGAAATATTATGGCTGGGCACGGTGTGGCTGGGCATGGTGGCTCACACCTGTAATCCCAGCACTTTGGGGGGCCGAGGTGGGTGGATCACTTGAGGTCAGTAGTTCAAGACAATCCTGTCCAACATGGTGAAACCCCATCTCTACTAAAAATGCAAATAATCGGCCAGGCGTGGTGGCTCACGCCTGTAACCCCAGCACTTTGGAAGGCCAAGGCAGGCAGATCACCTGATGTCAGGAGCTTGAGACCAGCCTGGCAAACATAGTGAAACCTCATCTCTACTGAAAAAATAAAAATTAGCCAGGCGTGGTAGTGGGTGCCTGTAATCCCAGCTACTCGGGAGGCTCAGACAGGAGAATCACTTGAACCCTAGATGGAGGTTGCAGTGAGCCAAGATCGCACCATTGCTCTCCAGCCTGGGCAACAAGAGTGAAACTCTGTCTCAAAAAAATAAATAACAAAAAATCAGCTGGGTATGGTGGTGTGTGCCTGTAGTCCCAGCTACTCTGGAGGATGAGGCGGGAGATTCGCTTGAGCCCAGGAGGCGGAGGTGGCAGTGAGCCAAGATCACTCCACTGCACTCCAGCCTGGGCGACAAGAGTGAGATCCTGTCTCAATTAAAAAAATAGAGGCCAAGTGTGGTGGCCCATGCCTGTAATCCCAGCAGTTTGGGAGGCCGAGGTGGGTGGATCACTTGAGGTCAGGAATTTTGAGACCAGCCTGGCCAACATGGTGAAATTCAGTCTCTACGAAAAAAAAAATTAGCCGGGTGTGGTGACAGGTGCCTGTAATCCCAGCCACTCAGGAGGCTGAGGCAGGAGAATCACTTGAACCCAGGAGGCGCAGGTTGCAGTGAGCCAAGATCGTGCCACCGCACTGTAGCCTGGGTGACAGAGCTAGACTCTGTCTCAAAAAAAAACCTAAAACCAAACATTAGTTGTAAAGGTATATTATTTGAGAGTGATTTCTACATTCTCCAGAAATAACGTGGGTGATTTTTTAAATGAATTTTTAAAAAAAAATTCCTGAAAGGAATGAAAATATGATTTTAAGTCTGCAGGGTTCAAGAGGGGCATATTTTACATTTATTTTGCTTTCATACTACTTTGATTTCCTTTCTATTAAATGTCCTATTTTTTTATCTCTATAGGTGAAAAGGGGACCGGGAAATCAACTCAGAAACCATTACATTATAAGAGTTGTCTCTTTCACAGAGTTGTCAAGGATTTTATGGTTCAAGGTGGTGACTTCAGTGAAGGTGAGACTTGGAAAAATCATGTATTATTTTCTGTTAAATATCACAGATCTCAAAGTTAGACAAGTCCCTAGAAGTTTTAGTCCAATATTCTTGTCACTCTCACTCCATTTAATCTTTGGTCAATTAGAAGTACTCATAGAAATATGTAAAAGAAGGAAGCTCATAGGCTGGGTGCGGTGGCTCACGCCTGTAATCCCAGCACTTTGGGAGGCCGAGGTGGGCGGATCACGAGGTCAGTAGTTCGAGACCAGCCTGGCCAACATGGTGAAACCCTGCCTCTACTAAAAATAGAAAAATTTGCTGGGCATGATGGCACGTGGCTGTAGTCCCAGCTACTTGAGAGGCTGAGGCAGGAGAATGGCTTGAACCCGAAAGGTGGAAGTTGCGGTGAGCTGAGATTGTGCCACTGCACTCCGGCCTGAATGACAGAGCAAGACTCTGTCTCAAAAAAAAAAAAAAAAAGAAGGAAGCTCATAGAAAATAATTTTGCCTTTGACACATGAATTTCAGAAATAGGCTTCTGGATACAAAACAACACTGCATTCATCTCAGTAATCTGTCAAGTGTTTCTGTTTGATTTTGTCACAAGTGGTAATCCTTACTACAATAAAAATTTTTACTTTTTTATTGTAAAAATATCAAAACTATAGTTTTAAAAAACTTTGAAAAAATGTTAACCTGTTGCAAGACCTGCATAATCATAATTAGAATCTGAAAGTTCTTTTTTAAAATATATTTTAATAGTCTTCGTCACATTCTTGCTATCATAGCATAGGGGAAAGAAAGTAATTTGGGACCTTGTCGTTATTGACATTAATATCTTTTATGATTTGCTGCAATCTTCGAATATTGTTAATTCAAAATTATTCAAAAATCTACTTTACAAGAAGTATTTTGTTTAGGTATCACCTTTGAGGAGCTTACTGAGAGTTATAAGAGTATGTTTTTCATTTTTAGGAAATGGACGAGGAGGGGAATCTATCTATGGAGGATTTTTTGAAGGTAAAAATGTTTACATTTATATTATGTTTTAAATATTTTGTCTTTTATTCTATTTTATTCTCTATGGAATCAATAACATTATTCATTAAAGGGTATACTAATGTCTAGCTGCCTTCAACTAATCTGAAGGTTAATTTTCTGGTAAAAAAAATTGCTTTTTATACAGATGGGTATTTTTTCTTCTTAGGACATTTTTACAACATGATTTGAAAGGGTTTCAATGATCTGTACTTAATTCTTAGAATTTTAATGATAGAATAGGAACTTCCGTAGGTCAATCTTAACTTTTATTAAAGGAGATTCAGCAATATTTCTTACAACATCCAAATTTTAGGTCATTTTTTCTATGAACATTTTTAAAAAATCTTTGATATTCTAAAATTTGACTATAATATTTTCCAAAAATTTAAGTTTTCTTGCTGGAATTTTTTTGTTGATGTGAAGACCATTTGGAAAATGGTCTATAAGCATATTTAATGTGGAAATAATTTAATATTTTTCATCCTTCACTTTTGACATTTAGTGAAATGTTGTTTAAAATTCTACATGATTTGTTCTTAATATTCTAACCCAAGATTGGAAAACAAATTCCTCCTTTTGCGGTAAGTGATGCTATGGCAGAGGTTAAGTTAATGAGTCCAGACTAAATAATACTCTGTGTGCTCAGAAATGAAACAGATGAAATGTAAAAGAATCTAATCTGGACTGTCTCACTCTTTTTTTTAAGAGATGGGATCTCACTGTGTTGCCCGGGCTGGAATGCAGTGGCTTTTCATGGGTGTGATCATAGTGCACTTTAGGTTCAAGCTCCTGAGCTCCAGTGATCCTCCTGCTTCAACCTGCTGAGTAGCTAGGACTACAGCCACACTACTGTGCTCAGCTGTTTCTTGCTTTTTAAAGATAGTTTCATTTTTTTATTTAAATAAAGTGGTGTTATCTTTTCCAAAAATTGTGAAGGACAAATATAAATGGAAAGGAAGGGGATTGAGATAATATTTGGGTTTTATAAGCAAATAATAGAAAATTAATAATATTTGAATCTTAAAAAGATGAGAGGGGAGGCTGGGCACGGTGGCTCATGCCTGTAATCCCAGCACTTTGGGAGGCCGAGGCGGGCGGATCACGATGTCAGGAAATTGAGACCATCCTGGCTAACACGGTGAAATGCCGTCTCTACTAAAAATACAAAAATTAGCTGGGCGTGGTGATGGGCGCCTGTAGTCCCAGCTACTCAGGAGGCTGAGGCAGGAGAATGGCGTGAACCCAGGAGGTGGAGCTTAACAGTGAGCCGAGATTGGGCCACTGCACTCCAGCCTGGGCAACAGAGCGAGACTCCATCTCAAAAAAAAAGATGAGAGGGGAAATTGATTCATATTTGATTCTCTTCTTTCATAACCTAACTTTATTATCTAAGTAAGTTGTGTGTGGCACTAAATAATACATCAGATATGAATAGAAGTGAAGATGAAATTTTTTTGGAGGTTATATCTATAATGTAACTGAAAACTTTACTTCTCTATAGACGAGAGTTTCGCTGTTAAACACAACAAAGAATTTCTCTTGTCAATGGCCAACAGAGGGAAGGATACAAATGGTTCACAGTTCTTCATGTAAGTATTTATTATCTGATGATTTAAAACATCCCATTTTTGGGCCGGGCACGGTGGCTCATGCCTGTAATCCCAGGACTTTGGGAGGCTGAGGCGGGCGGATCACGAGGTCAGGAGATCGAGACCATCCTGGCTAACACGGTGAAACCCCGTCTCTACTAAAAAATACAAAAAAATTAGCTGGGCATGGTGTCGGACGCCTGTAGTCCCAGCTACTTGGGAGGCTGAAGCAGGAGAATGGCGTGAACCCGGGAGGGGGAGCTTACAGTGAGCTGAGATTGCGCCACTGCACTCCAGCCTGGGTGACAGAGCAAGACTGTCTCAAAAAAAAAAAAAAAAAAATCCCGTTTTTGGTCTGTCATTTCTCTGTGTGCCTGCCATTGATTACTAATAAATAGGAGAGGAATCTATGAGGGACGGAATTGTTGAAGGAAGGGGAACAAATAATTGATTTTTTTGTTGTTGTTTTTGAGACAAGGTCTTGCTCTGTCACCCAGGCGAGTGCAGTGTTGCAATCATGGCTCACCACAGCCTCGACCTCCCTGGCTCAAGCAATCCTCTACACCTCAGCCTTTCAAGTAGATGGGACTACAGGTGTGTGCCACCACACCTGGCTAATTTTTTAATTTTTTTGTAGAGACGGGGTCTCCCTGTGTTGCCCAGGCTGGACTCCAGGCTGGGATTACACATGTGAGCTATGGCACCTGGCCAAAATTGTTGAAGAGGGAAAATTGTTATAGAGGGGAAGTTAAATTGTTCTGCTAATGTTTTGAAATAATGGAGACTTGTCAAGAGAACACAGGAGCCAGGTTAAAGGTTTCCCACTAGCCAAATTAGGATAATTTCAGCATCAAAATAAGTAACAGTAATATCAGTTTATGGTCAAATAGGAACCAGCAGTCTACACTGATATAAATAAATGATTAAATAATGAGAGAGAAGGGAAGCTGTTCCCTTATTAGAATGTCAACTAATAAATTTAAACGGAATGGTGGAGTTAGAAAAGTCACCATTTTGTAATCATCACAGTAATGACTGACCCAGGCAAGAATCTTCTATTGATGCTAAATTTAGAGGGGTGATTTCAGTGAGAAACTAGATGTTTACAGAGTATTTCTCCGTAAATTACTTAATTACAAAGAATAAAATGCAGTCAGTTCTCACTATTCATAGATTCTGTCTTTGTGAATTCACCTTCTCACTAAAATTTATTTGTAACCTCCAAATGCTAAGGATTTCCAATTCCAACTACAAAAAAAATTATGACCAGGCCTGTTGTCAGTAATGCCTGTTTTTAAAATCCTATCTTATGGGTATAGGTTTGTTCTGTTCGGTAGCCTTGAAATCTCTTGTTCTGTGAGGAATTTAATCTGTCAGTACCATGTGGATTATTCTGTCATTTCCCTATTCTGTATTTGTTAACTGTTCAACAGTGAGAAATCTGGCGCCTGATTATCTTCAACATTTCTGTTCTTTATTGATTCCTAGAATGAACAGTTGCCATCCCATACTGCTGTAAAGAAAGACCAACTAACTAGAGTTCACTATTTCTTTATCCTTATTTTCGTTTTTAGACTGAGTGTAGGTAGTTAAACACCAAGTTTAAAAGTGACTTAAATTAGTTCTTTTTTGGTTTGGCTTTGTGATTCACTCAAAATGTGTTAGGTTTATTCCTTTCTGGTTATATTTCATTTTGTTCTCCTTCCTACCTAGTTTTGATATTTTTTTTTTGCATTTTTTTAAGTTTATGAAATAGTAACATTTCCAAAGTCAAAACAAAAAGAATACTGTGAAGTGTCTCTCCCACCCAACCCTTCCACTCCATTCCCATTTCCTTTTTTTTTTCACCCCAGTTCCATCTATACATGTTAATAACCAACCTAATTTCCAGTTTATCTTCCTGTATTTCTGTTTGTAAACATAAGCAAATACATGTATACATTTTCTCACTTTCCCTTTCTTACACCGTAGATGGCATACCATGTATACTGTTTCACTCTTCACTTAACAGTATATCCTTAAAATACTCCATAACAGTTTATAGAGATCATTCTTATTCTTTTTTGCAGCTGCATAGTACTCTATTGTTTGTGTATACCATAGTTTATTCAACCAATTGCACATAATGTGGATCTCTGATTTTCTTTTTAAACAAAACAACTTATGGCTGGGTGCAGTGGCTCATGCCTGTAATCCCAACACTTTGGGAAGCCGAGGTGGCGGGTGGATCACTTGAGGTTAGGTGTTCGAGACCAGCCTGGCCAACATGGTGAAACCCAGTCTCTACTAAAATACAAAAATTAGCTGGGTGTGCTTGCGGGCGCATGTAATCCCAGCCACTCGGGAGGCTGAGGCAGGAAGGTGGAGGTTGCAGTGAGCCAGGGTCGTGCCACTACACTCCAGCCTGGGCTACAGAGCAAGACTCCATCTCAGAAACAAACAAATAAAACAACTTATAATTACCTCTTCATTGTAAAAAAAGAAAAAGAAAAAAAGAAAGAAAACACAGATAAGACACACACACAAAAATCCCATTCCCAGAGCATCTTTCTGTGCATTAAAAATGTTTGTAGAGTGTCGTTCTATAGTCAACTTTTGGCTATAATATAAATCTCTGCACATCACTAAATATTAGCTTTTTAATGGCTACATGTTAATCTCTTGCTTGAAAGTACTGTGCATTATTAATCTTATTTTGGGACATTTGGTTTGCTTCCTGTTTTTCAAACTGCTCCAATGAACATTGTTGTGCCTATCATTTGATGCAGTTTTAATATTTAAGAAGTTTACTTAATGAACTATTTACACATTTTTAAGCCTTTTCATATATATTGTTATGTTGATTTTCAAAAGGAAAGGATAGTTTACTGTAGCACCAGTAGTATGTAAATGCTAATTTCACCACATTCTCAACAGAGTATTATAATTTATTTTCCTCTTTTAAATAAAATCTTTCCTGCACTAACCAAAACTCCTATGTTAAGTTCATATAATCCTTCATATATATATTCTCAGAATCTTCCCTCTAAATGTTTGTTACTCCTTATATCTTCCTATTTCGTAGGTAACCCTTCTTCTGTGTTCTGTTTTTTAAAGGAAATAACTTCAATTTTTAGAGAGCTTCAGTCTTAAAAAAAATTTTTTTGTACTATAACATATAGAAGATTTGCCATTTTAACCATTTGTAAGTGTACAATTCAGTCTTGTTTATAGCTATTTATTTATTTATTTATTTGAGACAGAGTCTTGCTCTGTTGCCCAAGCTAGAGTGCAGTGGCACAATCATAGCTCACTGCGGCCTCAAACTCCTAGGCTCAAGTGATCCTACCGCCTCAGCCTCCCAAAGTGCTGGGGTTATAGGTGTGAGCCACTGGGCCTAGTGAGTCATGTGTATTCACAGTGTTGTACAACCATCACCACTATTTCCAGAATTGTTTCATTGTTGCAGAGACTCTGTACCATTTCCCCTTTCCCCCAATCCCTGGTAACCTCTATGAATTTGCCTGTTCCGCATATTTTATTTAAGTGGAATTCCACAATTTTTGTCCTTTTGTATCTGGCTTGTTTCACTTAAAAATGTTTCCAAGGTTTATTTATATTGTAACATGTATCAGAACTCCATTTTTTTTTTTTTTTTTTTTTTGAGACAGAATCTTGCTCTGTTGCCCAGCCTGGAGTGCAGTGGCAGAATCTCGGCTCACTGCAAGCTCCACCTCCCGGGTTCACGCCATTCTCCTGCCTCAGCCTCCCCAGTAGCTGGGACTACAGGCGCCTGTCACCACGCCTGGCTAATTTTTGTATTTTTAGTAGAGACGGGGTTTCACCGTGTTAGCCAGGATGGTCTCGATCTCCTGACCCCATGATCCACCCGCCTTGGCCTCCCAAACTGCTGGGATTACAGACGTGAGCCACTGCACCTGGCATGAAGTCCATTTTTTATGGCTGTGTAATATTCCACTATATGTATATACCACATTTTTTGATTCATCTGTTAGTGGACATTTGACTTGTTTTCACATTTTGGCTATTGTGAATACTGCTGCAGTGAGCATTGGCATTTGAGTTTCTTTTTTTAGTTCTTTTGAATATATACCTAGGAGTGAATTGGTGGGTTATATGCTAATACTCTGTTTAGCTTTGTGAGGAACTTCCATACTGTTTTCCATAGTGGTTGCACCATTCTACATTCCCGTTAGCAATGTACAGGAGTTATTTATTTTTCCACATCCTTGCCCAGCACACTTATTTGCCACACTATGTGTATCTGTAAATTACCATGAAAGCACCACAAGCTGTAATTTTTTAATTTTGGGATTACAAATAAGTTTTAGTGAGCAGGCAGACTTGCAAATAAAGTTATCAGTGAAGTGAGGATCAACTATATCTAAATGCAAATCATATATATGCATTGTGACTATAACATGTTATATGAATACACATAGTGTACACCTAGGTTTTTACATTTCTAGGTGATTTTAGTGAGTTGAAGTGAGCATAGTGTCACAATGAGGAAACAATAGCAGGTCATTAATTTTATAATTAGGTAAACCTAAAAATTCAGCTATATGTTATAATTTTTTCAGTGGTATTGTACATGCTTTCACCAAAGATTAGCATAAATTATGCTCCTTTTTTCGAATTTCTAATAGCTTTTTGATAAGGTTTTTTAAAAATAAAAAATCTTATAAAATGCTAATCTTTAATTTTCATACCAGTGTTTTTAGTACGTATTCAAGTAGCAACCTTTTTACCTACATAGCTTTAAGGTTGATGGTGGGGAGTGGGATTTTTTAAAAATAATTTCGTTTGCCAAAAAATGCTTATTTTAATTTTTTTTCCCAACTCCTAATCCAGATCTCTTGCAGCTAATTAAAAAACTTGTAAACTCTCAGCGGGGCAATGACTCATACTTGTAATCCCAGCACTTTGAAAGGTCAAAGTGGGAGGATCGCTTGAACCCAGGTTTGAGACCAGCCTGGGCAACATAGTGAGACCTGTCTCTACAAAAAATACAAAAATTAGCCAGGCATGCTGGCATGCACCTATAGTCCCAGCTACTTGGGATGCTGAGGCAGGAGGATAGCTTGAGCCCAGAATGTTCAGGATGCAGTGAACCAAGGTTGTGCCAGTGCACTGCAGCCTGGACAACAGCATGAGACCCTGTCTCCAAATCAAAAAAATAAAAACAAAAAAAACTTGTAAACACGATATGAACCATTTCTGTTCAAGTCCAACAGTATATGTCTGAGGATCATAAGAATATAGCCCGTGCTTAACTGTTTAAAATGTTAAGATTGAAAAGCATTATTGTTAAACTCAAACACTGGTGGAATTGTTTCATAAATTTTGATATGTCTACATGTAGAACATTATACAATTATGACTATTCAGTAAGAACTCAAGTGCAAGAAACATGAATGGTTAGAAATAACACTGAAATGTCTATTTTAGTTACATAAAAGTTTTCAGCAGTAAGTAGATATTGCTTTTATAATTAGAACAAGTTTGATAAATACATTATGTGGAAAGCATTTTGCCTTCTGTTCTACTTAAGATTGAGGTAATATGATTATATTAAGATAGCAGTTGATGTCTTTGTTTTCAACTTTGTTTCCAATACAGTTATTTTCTTTTTCTTTTTAGAGATGCTAACTTTGTTTTTCTCTGACTTTGTTTTTATTCTTCTATCTGATGATTTCCAAAAGAACAACGAAACCAACTCCTCATTTAGATGGGTAAATATTATTTTATTTATTTTACAACCTGTTTTAAATTAACCTTGAAATAAAAAGCTTTTATTTAATAATTTTTTACTTGACACTTTAGGCATCATGTTGTTTTTGGACAAGTAATCTCTGGTCAAGAAGTTGTAAGAGAGATTGAAAACCAGAAAACAGATGCAGCTAGCAAACCGTTTGCGGAGGTACGGATACTCAGTTGTGGAGAGCTGATTCCCAAATCTAAAGGTAAAAAGGAAGTACATATTTCTGAGAATACTTACACATACAAAATAAGCAGAGATACTCTAAATAGTTGACATGAAATTCATACTCAAGCTGAAAGAAAAATGAGGTTTTTGTTTTAAAATGTATTTCTGTGCTTTTATTTTTTACTTTTTTAAGTTGACAAAACTTGTGTATACTTACTGTGAACAATATGATGTTTTGAAGTATGTATATGTTGTGGAATGGCTAAATTGAGCTAATTAACATTTATTGCCTCACATAATTACCCCTTTTTGTGGTGAGAAGAACACTTAAAATCTTAGTGGTTTTGGGTTTTTTTTTTGTTGTTTGTTTGTTTGTTTTGAGACAGAGTCTCACTCTGTCACCCAGGCTGGAGTGCAGTGGCATGATCTTGGCTCACTGCAACCTCCGTCTCCCGGGTTGAAGCAATTCTCCTGCCTTAGCCTCCCAAGTAGCTGGGACTACAAGCGCCCACCACCACACCCAGCTAACTTCTGTATTTTTAGTGGAGATGGGGTTTCACCATATTGGCCAGGCTGGTCTCGAACTCCTGACTTTGTGATCCGCCTGCCTTGGCCCCCCAAAGTGCTGGGATTACAGGTGTGAGCCACTGCACCTGGCCAGTGATTTTCAAGAATACAGTACATTGTTATTAGCTATAGTCATCATGTTATACAGTAGAATTCTTGAACTCATTCCTCTGAGCTAACTGAAATTTTATATCCTTTACCAACATTTGTCCAACACATTTCCTTCTCTAATCCCATGGGAACCACCATTCTTCTCTGTACTTCTGTGACTTCAACGTTTTTAGATTCCACATGTAAGTGAGTTCATATGGTATTCGTCCTTTTGTGCCTGGCCTATTTCATATAACATAACTTCCTCTGGGTTCATTCATGTTGCTCCAGATGACAGGCTGAATAGTATTCCATTGTGTATATAAACCACATTTTTAAAAAATCCGTTCATCTGTTGGTGGAAACAGGTTGATTCAGTATCTTAGCTATTGTGAATAATGCAGCAGTGAACATGAGAGTGAGATATCTCTTCAACACACTGATCTCATTTCCTTTGGATATATACCCAGTAGTGGGATTTCTGGATCATATAGAAGTTCTATTTTTAATTTTATTATTATACTTTAAGTTCTGGGATACATGTGCAGAACATGCCGGTTTATTACATAGGTATACACATGCCATGGTGATTTGCTGAACCCATCAGCCCGTCATCTACATTAGGTATTTCTGCTAATGCTATCCCTCCCCTAGACCCCCTACCTGCAGACAGACCCTGGTGTGTGATGTTCCTCTCCGTGTGTACATGTGTTCTCATTGTTCAACTTCCACTTTTGAGTGAGAACATGCAGTGTTTGGTTTTCTGTTCCTGTGTTAGTTTGCTGAGAATGATGGTTTCCAGCTTAATCCATGTCCCTGAAAAGGACATGAACTCATCCTTTTTTATGGCTGCATAGTATTCCATGGTGTATATGTGCCACATTTTCTTTATCCTGTCTATCATTGATGGGCATATGGGTTGGTTCCAGGTCTTTGTATTTTGAATAGTGCTGCAGTAAACATATGTGTGCATGTGTCTTTATAGAAGAATGATTTATAATCTTTTGGGTATATACCTAGTAATGGGATTGCTGTGCCAAATGGTATTTCTGGTTCTAGATCCTTGAGGAATCGCCACACTGTCTTCTACAATGGTTGAACTAATTTACACTCCCACCAACAGTATAACAGTGTTCCTATTTCTCCACATCCTCTCCGGCATCTGTTGTTTCCTGACTTTTTAATCACCATTCTAACTGGCGTGAGATGGTATCTCATTGTGGTTTTGATTTGCTTTTCTCTAATGACCAGTGATGATGAGCTTTTTTCTTTTCATGTTTGTTGGCCACATAAATGTCTTCTTTTGAGAAGTGTCTGTTCGTATCCTTTGCCCGCTTTTTGATGGGGTGGTTTGTTTTTTTCTTGTAAATTTGTTTAAGTTCTTTATAGATTCTGGATATTAGCCCTTTGTCAGATGGATAGATAGCAAAAATGTTCTCCCATTCTATAGGTTGCCTGTTCACTCTGATGATAGTTTCTTTTGCTGTGCAGAAGCTCTTTAGTTTAATTAAATCCCATTTGTCAATTTTGGCTTTTGTTGCCATTGTTTTTGGTGTTTTAGTCATGAATTCTTTGCCCATGCCTGTGTCCTGAATGGTATTGCCTAGGTTTTATTCTAGGGTTTTTATGGTTTTAGGTCTTATGTTTAAGTCTTTAATCTATCTCTTGAGTTAATTTTTGTGTTAATTTTTGTATAAGGTGTAAGGAAGGGGTCCAGTTTCAGTTTTCTGCATATGGCTAGCCAGTTTCCTAACACCATTTACTAAATAGGAATCCTTTCCCTATTTCTTGTTTTTGTCAGGTTTGTCAAAGATCAGATGGTTGTAGATGTGTGGCGTTATTTCTGAGGCCTCTGTTCTGTTCCATTGGTCTATATATCCATTTTGGTACCAGTACCATGCTGTTTTGGTTACTGTAGCCTTGCAGTATAGTTTGAAGTCAGGTAGTATGATGCCTCCAACTTTGTTCCTTTTCCTTAGGATTGTCTTGGCTATACAGGCTCTTTTTTGGTTCCATATGAAATTTAAAGCAGTTTTTTTCTGATTCTGTGAAGAAAGTCAGTTGTAGCTTGATGGAGATAGCATTGAATCTATAAATTACTTTGGGCAGTATGGCCATTTTTACGATATTGATTCTCCCTATCCATGAGCATGGAATGTTTTTCCATTTGTGTCCTCTCTTATTTCCTTGAGCAGTGGTTTGTAGTTCTCCTTGAAGAGGTCCTTCACATCCCGTGTAAGTTGTGTTCCTAGGTTTTTTATTCTCTTTGTAGCAATTGAGAATGGGAGTTCACTCATGATTTGACTCTCTGTCTGTTATTGGTGTATAGGAATGCTTGTGATTTTTGCACATTGATTTTGTATCCGGAGACTTTGCTGAAGTTGCTTATCAGCTTAAGGAGATATGGGGCTGAGACGATGGGGTTTTCTAAATATACAATCATGTCATCTGCAAACAGAGACAATTTGACTTCCTCTCTTCCTATGTGAATACCCTTTATTTCTTTCTCTTGCCTGATTGCCCTGGCCAGAACTTTCAATACTATGTTGAATAGAAGAGGTGAGAGTGGGCATCCTTGTCTTGTGCCAGTTTTCAAAGGGAACGCTTCCAGCTTTTGTCCATTCAGTATGTATTAGCTGTGGGTTTGTCATAAATAGTTCTTATTATTTTGAGATGTGTTCCCTCAATACCTAGTTTATTGAGAGTTTTTAGCATGAAGAGCTGTTGAATTTTATCAAAGGCCTTTTCCACATCTATTGAGATAATTGTGTGGTTTTTGTCACTGGTTCTGTTTATGTGATAGATTACGTTTATTGATTTATGTATGTTGAACCATTCTTGCATCCCAGAGGTGAAGCTGACTTAATCGTGGTGGATAAGCTTTCTGATGTGCTGCTGGATTTGATTTGCCAGTATTTTATTGAGGATTTTCCCATCAATGTTCATCAGGGATATTGGCCTGAAATTTTCTTTTTTTGTTGTGTCTCTGCCAGGCTTTGGTATCAGGATGATGCTGGCCTCATAAAATGAGTTAGGGAGGAGTCCCCCTTTTTCTATTGTTTGGAATAGTTTCAGAAGGAATGGTACCAGCTCCTCTTTGTACCTCTGGTAGAATTTAGCTGTGAATCCATCTGGTCCTGGGCTTTTTTTGGTTGGTAGTCTGTTAATTACTGCCTCAATTTCAGCACTTGTTATTGGTCTATTCAGGGATTCGACTTCTTCCTGGTTTAGTCTTGGAAGGGTGTATGTGTCTAGGAATTTATCCATTTCTTCTAGATTTTCTAGTGTATTTGTGTAGAGGTGTTCATAGTATTCTCTGATGGTAGTCTGTATTTCTATGGGATCAGTGGTGATCTCCCCTTTATCATTTTTTATTGTGTCTATTTGATTCTTCTCTCTTTTCTTCTTTGTCTGGCTAGCAGACATCTGGCCAGAATCTATTTTGTTAAACTTTTCAAAAGACCAGCTTCTGGATTCATTGATTTTTTTTTTTTTAAAGGGTTTTTTGTTTCTCTTATTTCCTTCGGTTCTGCTCTGATCTTAGGTATTTCTCGTCTTCTGCTAGCTTCTGCTAGCTTTTGAAATTTGTTTGCTCTTGCTTCTCTAGTTCTTTTAATTGTGATGTTAGGGTGTCCATTTTAGATCTTTCCTGCTTTCTCTTGTGGGCATTTAGTGCTATAAATTTCCCTCGAAACACTACTTTAGCTGTGTCCCAGAGATTCTGGTACGTTGTGTCTTTGTTCTCATTGGTTTCAAAGAACTTAAAATAATTTCGTTATTTACCCAGTAGTCATTTAGGAGCAGGTTGTTCAGTTTCCATGTAATTGTGCAGTTTTGAGTGAGTTTCTTAATCTTGAGTTCCAATTTGATTGCACTGTGGTCTGAGAGACTTGACTGTTAGGATTTCCATTCTTTTGCACTTGATGAGGAGTGTTTTACTTCCAATTATGTGGTCAATTTTAGAATAAGTGCACTGTGGTGCTGAGAAGAATGTATATTCTGTTGATTTGGGGTGGAGAGTTCTGTAGATGTCTATTAGGTCCACTTGGACCAGAGCTGAGTTGAAATCCTGAATATCCTTGTTAATTTTCTGTCTCATTGATCTGTCTAATATTGACAGTGGGGTGTTAAAGTCTCCCATTATTATTGTGTGGGAGTCTAAGTCTCTTTGTAGGTCTCTAAGAACTTGCTTTATGAATCTGGGTGCTCCTGTATTGGTGCATATATATTTAGGATAGTTAGCTCTTCTTATTGCATTAATCCCTTTACCATTATGTAATGCCCTCTTTCTGTTTTTGATTTTTTGAGGAGACTTCATTCGGTTTTCTAATAATGGCTGTACCGATTTACATTCCCACCAACAGTTTACAAGAGTGTCCTTTTCTTCACATCCTCTCCCTTGTTTTCTTTTTTTTTTATAATAGCCATTGTAACAGGTGTGAAGTGCTATCTCAGTGTAGTTTTAATTTGCATTCCTTTGATGTTTAGTGACATTGAGCATTTTTGCCATATACCTGTTGGCCATTTGTATGTCTTCGTTTGAGAAATATCTCTTCAGATTCTTTTCCCATTTTTAAATCAGGTTGTTTTCTTGCTGATGAGTTGTTTGCATTCCTTATATATTTTGGATATTAACCCGTTGTCAGATGTATGGTTTGCAAATATTTTCTCCCATTCCAGAGGTTGTATCTTCACTCTGTTGATTGTTTCTTTGGCTGTGCAGAACCCTGTTAGTTTGATGTTATCCCATTTGTCTTATTTTTGCTTTTTGTTGCCTGTGGTTTTGGGGTCATATCCAGAAAAATCATTGCCCAAACCAATGTCATGGAGCTTTTTCCGTGTGTTTTCTTTTAGTGGTTTTACAGTTGCAAGTCTTATGTTTAAGTCATTAAACCATTTTTAGTTGATTTTTATATGCATTATAAGGGTCTGATTTTATTTTTTTACATGTGGATATCTAGTTGTTCCAACACCGTTTATTGAAGAGACTGTCCTTTCCCCATTGTGTGTTCTTGGCAATTTTGTTTTTTTAACTGTTTTATCCTACTTCTCATTTTCTTCATTTACCATGAAGTCAGTTAACTTTTTCTGATTATTAATTTGCAATAATTTGCCCTTTTGCTTCCACTGAGTTTTTGTTGTTGTTGTTTTTTGTTTGTTTTTTAACTGTAGTTGTCTAAATAACCTAGTAAATAAATACTCTGGAGGAAGAGACTCTGGGGCTAGATGGCAATTCAAGAGAGGAAGATAGATTAGGAAACTTTAAGGGAATAAATTATTTTTTCTTTAAGCACTACTTAGATTCAGAAGCATCCAACATGTTTGAGAAACTTCTTTTATTTAGACGAGACCATTTGATGCTGACATGACTAATTTGATATATTGTCTGAAATGGTAAGAACTTTAAATATTTTAAGTCTTTATATTTGAAATATGTGGCTGATACTATTTTATTACAGATAATGGGCTTGACATTCTAAAAGTAATGGAGTGAGATTACCTTCAAACCTGTATAGAAAGTAGTAAAACCTTAAACTGACTCTGTTCTTACTAATCTAGGGAATAATAATATCAGTAATTAGTTTCTTAGAGTTAGCACATGTGAGAGTCATCTGTAATGCTTTCTGATTCTCACAGTAACTCTATAGTATTACATATCCCTATTTTACAGACAAAGATAGTCAAGAAGATTAAGTTCTTTACTGTGTCAGGAAAAGAGACCTCAAACCCAAGTTCGAGAATTAGAACTTTTTCTGTTATATGTTACTGACTCATTAAAGTTTAAATGTCCTTAAAATTTCTTAAGAATTGCCCTAAGTAGATGATTCTCATCTCACCTTCTAGGTACACTGATTTCCTCTATAATATTTAGAAACAGGTACATTTTGTTTTGTTTTAATTTTAAAACATCCGAGATGGGCATGGAGAAGGCAAAATGATTATTTAAAAAAATTTTTTTTGTCTGCATTCCATTTTGAGTCTGCTAATTTTATTTTCTTCCATGTGATGTCAAATAAATATTCACAGGTAAGTTATTGCAATAAATTATTGCAGATGTATGCTTCAGCTCATGGGATTTCTTGATGTACATGAGACTGGCTATCCTTATTTACAAACAACAGGTGTAATGTATGCCTTTTTTCTTGAAGATTCAGTAAAAAACAAGATGTTGAGAATCTTTGAGTAATATTCTACAAATGCAATTATTTACATTAAAAAATACTAAAAATAAAAAAAATCTGTAATGATGTTTGTTACTCTAAACCCTGAACCTACTGATGTTTAAACTTTAGAGTGTTTTTAGTACAGTAGGAATATTTTAGGTTAAGGCATTATTCTTCCCAAGTCATCTAGAAAATCTTCATCATTTATTCTCTACTTGACAACTAATTTTTTTTTTTTTTAATATTTTAGTCTTTAAGGACACTTGTGTTAGGATCTGTTGCCTCCTTATAAAAGTTAAGTGGCCAGGCACGGTGGCTGACACCTGTAATCCCAGCACTTTGTGAGACTGAAGCAGGAGGATCGCTTGAGCCCAGGAGTTTCAGACCAGCCTGGGCAACATTGTGGGACTCTTCCCTACCAAAAAAAAAAAAAATTTTTTTTTAATTAACCATGTGTAGTCCCTGCTACTTGGGAGGCTGAGGCAGGAGGATCACTTGAGCCCAGGAGTTGAAGGCTATAGCCTGGGTGACACAACAAGGCCCCATCTCTAAAAAATATATAAATAAATAAAGTTAAGGATGCTGCGTGGTTTATATGTTCAGAAAGAGATTGAGGTAATAAAAGAGTTTTTGGCCAGGCTCTGGCTTACGCCTGTAATCCCAACACCTTGGGAGGCCGAGGTGGACGGATCACTTGAGGTCAGGAGGTCGAGACCAGCCTGGCCAACATGGTGAAACCCTGTCTCTACTAAAAATAAAAAAAAAGAAGTTTGCATTTTAAACCATAAACAGTAATCATAGACTCTCTAATAAATTTGTTGTAAAGATTCTTTTGGTACTAAAAGGGCAGTACTTGAATATTTGCCTAAAGGAGGAAGTAAATGAATGTAGCTCTTTATATATTACTTACATCTTTATAATGCATTGTCATCTGAAGAAATAAATGATGGTTTTGCCCATGCCATTGGGGCCAGGAAGTTGTGCTAAAAGTTGATGTAACATCCAACTGTATGTCCCTCAAACTCATGCTAACCTAGCATACCTTGCCCTTATCAGTTTCAGCAATCTGAGATTTGGCCCTTTATTAATATGTATCTGCCCAGGAGTTTCTAAAAGGTCAGATTTGTTTTGAGCCAGACTTCCAATGGCTACTCTGTTCTGAATCACACTGTGAAAAGAGGAAAAGATCTTTAGTTTGAAAACACACACTTGGGCCCCTGTTATTCCATAATCCTTCAGTTACCATTCAGAACATTGGTCAGAGTAGATTTTGTCATGCATCTTACATATAAGCAGAGCTATATCTTACATCCACTTAGTAAGTTTGATGGCCTTCTTAATTAATTGGGAACAGTCAAAAAGCATTGTAACACTGTGGTATTTATCATCATTATATTTAAAACCTTGTATGAGAGATTTACACCTGTTTTTTTTAACTTCCTGAAAGAAAACAAAAAGACTTCTGAAGAAATCTGACAGTCTTGGTCCATCTATATGTGTTCTTGGGGAGTCTGGGCAATCAATCTTCCTGGGCCTTTCTCTCTTTGCAATTTTGAGATTGGAGATCCTTCTTTTTGTGACTATTTGAGTGTGCCAGAGAAAATTCAAAGTCAAGGAGAAAAACCTTCCAGCAGATGCAGAGATGGAACACTGGAAGCTAATAAAAGCTGCATCCCCTGTAGAGGCTCAGCAAAGGGCTGTCAAAAGTCAGAGTGGAGGATAGAACACAGACCAGTACCTTGATTAAGATATTTCCTAGTTTTTCAGGAGCTGACGTGACCTCAGATCATGCTGTTCAATTCAGAGTTCACTGCAGTTGTTAACCCATTTATGCCGGAGGTTGCAAGTTTTTTGTGTGAAAAATCAGATCTTGGCAATGACCTTGAGAAGTAGGATATACATAACTCCCACAAGCTTAGCGTACCAATAATGAAACTAAGAGATGAGAGGATTGCTATGTTACATAGTACACAGAAACACAAGAACAGAGTTGTGGCAACATGGCGGTAAGTAGTTGTATGAGAAGAAATGGGAGGAGGCAGATTGCCTGACAATACAGAACAAATAGCACAATAGAGGAAGCAGCTGGTGAATCTTGTACTCAGGAGACAAGTGAAGAGGAACACTAGAGATTCATTTCTATGGTGACAGGGTCCCATTTCAGTGTCCTTATTCTGAAAGTAATTTTGGCACTTTTATTGGAAAATAGTGAGATGTTAAACTTAGAAACGGTTTAGGAGATGCAACCCATAATGTGAAATGAAATTGTCTAAAGACCATTTTAGGAATACTTTTGTTCTTTATTTCAAATCTTATTTTGATGGTGATTTCAGAATTTCCTTCATTTTCAAGATTTCAAGTGAAATTTATTGGTGTAAAATCTGTGGGTCTCAAATAAAAAACAAAGCAGCATTTTGTTACCTTAGGTTTTTACAAATAAAATATTCTGGAGTTATTTCTGGTTTTGTTTTGTTTTTTTGAGACTGTCTTGTTCTGTTGCCAGGCTGGAGTGCAGTGGTGCAGTCATAGTTCACTGCAACCTCGAACTCCTGGGTTCAGTCAATTCTCCCACCTCAGCCTTCCAAATAGCTGGGACTACAGGTGTGCATTGCCACACCTGGCTAATTTTTGTATTTTTGGTGGAGACAAGGTCTCGCTATGTTGCCCAGGCAGGTCTCAAATTCCTGGTTCAAGCGATCCTTCTAACTTGACCTACCAAAGTGCTGGGATTACAGATATGAGCTATGGAATTTGGTTTTTAACCTTAATATTATACTAGTAAGTTAAATGACTAATTGATAAGGTTACATCACACCATACCCCCAAGTAAAGGTCAGTGAAGAAGTTTGGGAAATCATTCTACTTAATAATAAGCAAACTGCGTAATCTAAACTAATTAACCAGAAATGGCCCAAGTTGAAAGTGTTATTACTCTTTGTAATTCTTTTTCATCCACTATGATTCTTAACTTGCATTGTGGTTTTTGCTTTTAGTGCTATTTCATTTTACCTTAACGATACTTACATGCCATTAAAAGAAACGCTGAAATCAATTTTGTGTAAGTAGTTAGGAAGTAGGGTTTTGTTTGTTTGTTTTTGAGATGGAGTCTCGCTCTGTCACCCAGGCTGGAGTGCAGTGGTGCGTTCTCGGCTCACTGCAAGCTCCACCTCCCTGGTTCACGCGATTCTCCTGCCTCAGCCTCCTGAGTAGCTAGGACTACAGGCGCCCACCACCACGCCCGGCTAATTTCTTTTTGTATTTTTAGTAGAGATGGGGTTTCACCATGTTAGCCAGGATGGTCTTGATCTTCTGACTTCGTGATCCGCCCACCTCGGCCTCCCAGAGTGCTGGGATTACAGGCATGAGCCACCGCGCCCAGCCGGAAGTAGGTTTTTTGAAGAGTCAGCTGAAAACAACTGTTGCCGTATTCGGAATTTAAAATTTTAATTTGAAAATATTATAACTGAGAAATTATTGTATATATTTATGGTATACAGCGTGATGTTATGATACATGTATACAATGCAGAATGATTAAATCAAGCTATTTAACATAGCTGTCACCTCAAATACTATTTTTGTGGTCAGAAATTTGAAATTTATTATCTCAGGAATTTTGAAATGTACAATACATTATTATTAACTGTTCTCACCATGCTATGAAAATAGATCTCAACAAACTTATTCTTCCTGTCTTAACTGAAACTTTGTACCCTAGTTTTAAAAATTTAATACATTTATTTGGTTCGAAATTCAGAAAGTATAAAATGATAATCTGTGAAAATCTCTTTCCATGAGTTTCCATTCTCACATTTTGTACATTATTCCACGTGTGTGTGAATGTTGATCTTGTAGAATGAATTTCCTAGAAATGGAATTGCCAGTTTGCAGAGGTCATGCATTTGTAATTTGGTAGACACTGCTACCAGAATATAAGAGGATAAGTTGCCCTACACCCTGTATAAAACTACGTATTATTGTAAACTCTTTCACCTTTGCCAGCCTAATGGATTTTTTTTTTAACAAATGCTAGTTTCAATTAGCATTTCTCTGAGGAGTGTGATGTTAGTGTCTCCTTAAGAGCTATTTATGTTTCTTTTTATATGAACCGATTGTTGATTCCTTTACCGCCTATTATTTACCATTCTTTTATTCTTCCTTTCTGAAGTTCAAGCCTCCTCCTGCTATTTCCTTTCTCTTTGGAGAACTTCCTTTAACCAATTTTTTTTTTTAAGGTTAGGTCTACTGGTGACAAAATTATTCTAGTTTTCTGAAAATGTCTTTATTTCATCAGGGTTTAGGGGATGGTTTCAGGATGAAACTGTTCCACCTCAGATCATCAGGCATAAGCGTTTAATAAGGAGTGCTCAGCCTAGATCCCTCGTATGCACAGTTCACAATAGGGTTTGTGCTCCTCTGAAAATCTAATGCTGTCACTGATCTGACAGGAGGTGGAGCTCCAGTGGTAAGGCTTGCTTGCCTGCCACTCACCTTCTGCTGTGTGACCTGGTTCCTAACAGGCCACGGATCAGTACCAGGGACCATGGCTCTTCATCTCCATGTTCTGACATTATGTTGACTATGTATATTGGTATACTGTTCAGTTAAATAATACTTGTGACTTTGAGAAGGATACAGTTTCAATCATATTCTCAATATGCCTTAATCATATTTTAAAATTTAGGTTAACACACATTCTGAAACTCAAGCCACAGTCTTACAGAATCAATATTGATATTGTGATATCTCCCAATTTTTTGCCTTTTTACCCTTCTGTCCTTTAATGCCATCTCTTTCTCAATTATTTTCTCTCATTTTTTTTCTGAGCAGACTTATACAAAAAGGAACATAAATTAAATTTGCCAAATATCAAAAGAGAGGAACTTTTTATTTTTTATTTTTTTGGAACGGAGTCTCAATCTGTCTCCCAGGCTGGAGTGCAGTGACGCAATCTCAGCTCACTGCAACCTCCGCCTCCCAGTTCAAGAGATTCTCTGCCTCAGCCTCCCGAGTAGCTGGGATTACAGATACCCTCTACCATACTCAGCTAATTTTTGTATTTTTAGTAGAGACGGGTTCACCATGTGGGCCAGGCTGGTCTCGAACTCCTGACTTCAGGTGTTCTGCCTGCTTTGGCCTTCCAAAGTGCTGGGATTATAGGCGTGAGCCACCACTCTCCACTGAACTTTTTAATCTTAGAGCTTTTTTATTTGTTAAATCAGGACGGAGTCTCACTCTGTTGCCCAGGCTGGAGTGCAGTGGTGCAATCTCGGCTCACTGCAACCTCTGCCTCCTAGGTTCAAGTGATTCTCATGCCTTAGCCTTCTGAGTAGCTGGAACTACAGGCGCCCATCACCATGCCTGGTTAATTTTTGTATCTCTAGTGGAGGCGGGGTTTCACCATGTTGGCCAGGCTGGTCTCGAACCCCTGGCTTCAAGTGATCTGCCTGCTTTGGTGTCCCAAAGTGCTAGGATTACAGGTGTGAGCCACCACCATGCCTGGCCTATTTTCCTCTTATAGTTAATGTTTTCTGATTCTTGAGCAGATTATATTCCTATAAAAACAGTTATAAATCTCTTTCTGGCCTTCCATTTCATTTATTTACTTTGAGGAGGAGTCTTGCTTTGTCTCCCAGGCTGGATTGCAGTGGTGCAATCTTGGCTTACTGCAATCTCCACCTTTGGGGTTCAAGCGATTCTCGTACCTCAGCCTCCCTAGTAGCTGGGATTACGCGTGTGCACCACCACACTTGGCTAATTTTTGTATTTTTAGTAGAGACAGTTTTGCCATGTTGGCCAGGCTGGTCTCGAACTCCTGACCTCAACCGATCCACTAGCCTTGGCCTCCCAAAGTGGTGGGATTACAGGCATGAGCCACTGCACCCAGACTTTTCATTTTATCATGTTATCTTGCTTCACTAGAATGTTTTCTTCAAAAGTGATATGTAAATTAAATAATTGTTTATGAAATGTATTTAATACACTTGGTAAGTGGGCTTGCTGTTGTGTGGTATGGTGTTTTGTTGTTGTTGTTTTGGAGACAGGTTCTCACTCTGTTCCCCAGGCTAGAATGCAGTGGTGCGATCATGGCTCACTGCAGCCTCGACCTCCCAGGCTTAAGTGATTCTCCCTGCTCAGCCTCCCAAAGTGCTGGAATTACAGGCGTGAGAAGCCATGCCCCTAGCCAGTGGGCTTGCTTTTTTTTTTTTTTTTTTTTTAATTTCAAACACTAAATGGGCTTGCTTTTAAAGTAAATCAACTGTGATGTATTTCTCATAGGAAAGAATCTCAGTGCAAAATAAATAGAAATCAGACTGGTGATTAAAGCTTTTTTAATTGTGGGGTAAAGAGTTACCATATTTTAACAAGTATATTTTATGTTTAAGTGTAGTATTTTTATTTTGCTTGCACAATTTTATGTTTTTATTTCATTGTGAATTTATTTTCTGTGTTAGATTTCCTTAAAATTTGATTTTTTCCCCCTGCATATCCCTCAGGTTTATTAGTTTAGCATATATAAGTAGATTTTTCAGGTTATATGTTTTTTCATACCCACTCTGTCTCACCAGCAGCATAGGTATTGGATTCAGGTTAACAGTTGGGCTCGTGAGACAAAATTAGCTTCACCAGGCACTAAGATTACTTACCCTTAAGAAAGGATATAGGGCAGGAAACGGCATGGCTGGTACATCAACAGCATAGAGGCACTGTCATGATTTCCAGGCACAGCTTGCGTATATCCCAAACATCTCACACTTGATAATGTACCTGTTCCTTAGAAACATAACTGGGTAAGGAAGGATTATCTTAGTTCAGTGAAGCCATTACATCTACGGTCTCTTCAGCTTTTATACCTTGTTCCCATTCTCAAGTGCAGCAACATCTCATCAGTACTGGAAAAGCAGTCTGCACAGTGAACCAGAAGTCCTTGGTCAAGTACAAGTAACTTCAGCCAGATTTTCATGTATCTTGGGTTTAGTATATTCCTGTAAATTATCAGTTACAAATTTCAAGGATGATTCAGGCACAGCAGCACATGTGCCTGTAGTCCTAGCTACTCAGGAGACTGAGAGAAAGAGGATTACTAGAGCCCAGGAGTTTGAGGCCAGCCTGTGCAACATAGCAAGACCCCATCTTCATAAATAAACAAGGTTAGGCATGGTAGCCCACACCTGTAATCCCAACACTTACGGAGGTTGAGACAGGAAGATCCCTTGAGCCCAGGAGTTCGAGACTAGCCTAGGCAACATGGGGAGAACTTGTCTCTACAAAAATAAAAATTAAAAAAATTAGCAGGGCATGGTGGCATACACCTGTGTTTCCAGTTACTCAGGAGGCCGAGACAGAAGTATCACTTGAGCCCGGAAGGTCAAGACTGCAGTGAGCTATGGTCTGCACTCTAGCCTGGGCAACAGAGCAAGACCCTGTCTCCAAAAAAAAAAAAAAAAAAAAAAAAAAAAAGGCAAGGATAAATTTTCCAAATACCAAATCTTCAGATGTTCCTGAGGCTAAGGTGGGGCTAAAGGAAAGGTCACAAATCAGCTGTTAACCCTTTCAACTAAGGTTCTGTAACCAAACAACCAACAGATAATCCAAAGATATATTTTCTTTGTTTTCCTTGACTTTTTATTGTGGAACATACTAATTTATACACAAGTGAATAAAATAATATAACACTTTTTCTTTAGCTAGCTTCAGGAGTTTATTTATGGCCAATCTTGTTTTACCCATCACTAGCCACTTTTCCCTTTCCTATTATTTTGAAACAAATTCCAGGCATAATATTTTATCAATAAATGTTATTTCTAAAAGATGATTCTTAAAAACAGTACCATAATGATACACACATACACATTCCTAAATACTAAAAATCCTGACAGTGTTCAGATTGTAATTGTTTCATTAATGTTAATTAATTTTTTGCTGTGTGAATCAATCCAAATGAAGTTCAGACATTGAAATTGGTCTTGTAAGTTGTGTTTTGTTTCTTAATAAATTCCCTCACCATCTTGTTTTATGTTTCCTTGAAATGTATTTCTCAGAAAAGGTAGGTCATTTGTCATGTAGCATTTTCTATAATTGAACATACTGGATTTTACTAATTGAGTCCTTACTGTGTTATGTAATGTTGATCAGATGCAGTTGTGACTTGAAATTCCTTTTAATGAAAACAGGAGTCACACAGGACAAGTTGTCTCTGTGTTTTGCAGCAGCCATGGGTTATCAGTGCCTCACAAGAAGTTGTAAAACGATATTTTAACACTATAATTTCTTTTTCATTTATTCCTGGAATGCTTCTGACAAAGAGCTATTTCCCTTCATTCATTTCATTAGCCAGTGGTGCAGTTTGTACCACAAAGGCAAGATAAATGCTTTATACTTTATGAGTATCACTGTGAACTAATGTATTTCTAATATAATCTGATATATCTCAATTTATTGTAGTTCTCATGTATATATCAATATTGTCCCATCTTTGGCCCCAGTTAGCCTCTTCAAATCCACCATGATTTGAATGAGTATACCTTTAGATGGGTCAAGCTCCTCCCAATTTGTAGTATCTTCTTCTAATTCTTGTTATGTTACACCTTCTAGCTTCACTTATTTATATTAATTGATCCTTTAAACTCTGAGTTTTTTTTTTTTTACCCTTTTTAAAGTTACTGCTTCCTTAACTGAAATAAAATTTCAATTTAAAATGACTTTTTGTAGAGTCCCCAAAACATTCTATTCATCATGGGCAATTGACTTCCCTCTGTTATGAGTCTCCTCTTGAGCTAAATTTCTTAATTATTAGAAGACTGCTTGGGCACTGAAATATAAGCCCATGCCAGTGAAATCCATTTCTTATCTCTCCATGTTGCTGTAAAGCAGTTTTTCTGTTATTTCCCTGCACTAGTTCTGCCAATCTTGATAATAAGAGGGAAAGTGGAAAACTACAAGATTAGAACATGGGACTCTTCATTGTTATTCTGTGCTTTTAAAAAAAATTCTTATTCAGATGTTTGTTAACATTAGTTTAGCATTTTAGACTCACCTATTTTTTAAAGTTCTTTGGATTAATAGATAAAACTTTGACCAGTGAATTCTGGAGATCTGGACTCTAATCCTGAGTCTTGACTCCTTTCCTGTACTTCCCAGTTCACATAGCTGGATGATCTAAGTGCTAAATACTGAACTTAGTGAGAATCTGCAGAAAATTTAAATCTCCTTCCACAAAGTTTGTCTAAAAATTGTTGATCAAAACCTTTTTGTTTTTATTAAAGTTAAGAAAGAAGAAAAGAAAAGGCATAAATCATCATCATCTTCCTCCTCCTCATCTAGTGACTCAGATAGCTCAAGTGATTCTCAGTCCTCTTCTGATTCCTCTGATTCCGAAAGTGCTACTGAAGAGAAATCAAAGAAAAGAAAAAAGAAACATCGGAAAAATTCCCGAAAACACAAGAAAGAAAAGAAAAAGCGAAAGAAAAGCAAGAAGAGGTCTTAATTTTACTTTTCTAATGCTAGCTTTATATTCTGATTTCCTTTCTGTAAATCTGTTAGGATTTTGGGTCAATTATATGAAACTGTTAAAATAGTGAGAAATATAGCATGGAGCGTAGGACTTTTGATATTCCACAGTCTATAGATTAAATTTTGGGTACGTTCATTTTCTTTTGAAAGAAAACCTATCAGTTCATTTTTTTGTGTACTCAATGAAATAATACAGCTTTGGTGTTACAGATTTGTGTGTTTTATAGGAGGATTATGGGATTTATGAAAATTGCAGAAAACCACCAGTTGTTTTTCCTATTTTCAGTAGCAGTCCCCTTTGCTCTTACGATAGCATAAGGATAGAAAGCAGATAATGTCAGTGTATTTTACTTTCTTTTCCATTTTGCTTGAAATAATCTGTGTTTGTACTAAAACTTGTCTTCATCTGCCTATGGCTCAAATGCAGTTAATTTCTTTACCCATGTTTTAAAGTATTTTAAATTTATCAGAGTGCATTGCTCACATAGTTTCATATTTTTTATCCATTTTGTAGGAAAATATTTTTTGAGAGTGTGATAATCGAAACGTTTTGTTTTGTTTGTTTTTTGATTGGTTAGTTGGTTTGTCAGAGGAATAGAAGATTTTTCCCATGCGATCACATCTTTGGTAAGGACAGGATGTTTATATTATAGTGATATAAAGGAAAGAAATACCAACAATTGGATACTTCCGTAAGGACATAATAACCAACTGTAACTTGTTTTGTGTGTTTCTGTCTGTTAAGTGCATCTAGTGAGAGTGAAGCTGAAAATCTTGAAGCACAACCCCAGTCTACTGTCCGTCCAGAAGAGATCCCTCCTATACCTGAAAATAGATTCCTAATGAGAAAAAGTCCTCCTAAAGCTGATGAGAAGGAAAGGAAAAACAGAGAGAGAGAAAGGGAAAGAGAGTGGTATGTGAATATGTATATTTTGCCTTACATGGTTTACCATAGAACTTTTCTTTTTAAAAAGTTATTTATTTTAAACAAGATTTAATTGGTGACCTTGTCCCAAGATTGAAATCTTTTTTATAAAATGTTCTTCCGCAAAGTTCTTTTTTGCCAACCACATAACTAGAAAGGGAAATTGACTTAAATTACAAGTAGGTTCTGAAGTAAAGTTACACATAATAAACACTAATACAAAAAAGAGATGTTAAGCAGCATTCCAAGCCAATAACAAGATACTCTTTAACCAGTAAAACAAGATAGTGTTTTATAGTGTTATTTGTGTACAGTAAACTCTTAAGCAAGTAAGAATCTTGGTTTTTCAGTTTGTCTAATAGGAAAAACTGCTGTTTTCCTTACTTGGTTTACAACATTGTAATAAAAATTGATGTCATGTTCAAATCCTGAAAAAAGTTTACTACATAAATCTACATTATTAATATCTGTAATGCTAATGGTTCTTTATCAGTCATTTTAATAACTATGTCCAGGCTGGGCGCAGTGGCTCACGCCTGTAATCCCAGCACTTTGGGAGGCTGAGGCGGGCAGATCACGAGGTCAGGAGATGGAGACCATCCTGGCTAACATGGTGAAACCCCATCTCTACTAAAAATACAAAAAATTAGCCGGGTGTGGTGGCGGGTGCCTGTAGTCCCAGCTACTCAGGAGGCTGAGGCAGGAGAATGGCATAAGTAAACCTGGGAGGCGGAGCTTGCAGTGAGCCGAGATCACGGCACTGCACTCCAGCCTGGGTGACAGAGTGAGACTCCGTCTCAAAAATAATAATAATAATAATAACTATGTCCAAAAGTAGAAAAAGGAATATTGAAATATTTTTCTTAGTTATGATCAGAAATACATTGTCATAATACAAGTAATAAAATTCTTGGCCAGGCATAGTGGCTCACACCTATAATCCCAGCACTTTGGGAGGCCAAGGTGGGCAGATCACTTGAGCCACCATGCCCAGCTAATTTTTTGTATTTTTAGTAGAGACTGGGTTTTACTGTGTTAGCCAGGATGGTCTCCATCTCCTGACCTCATGATCCGCCCACCTCGGCCTCCCAAAGTGCTGGGATTACAGGCATGAGCCACCGCACCCGGCCCAGATTCATTTTTATTAAAGTAACATGTCTGGCCAACAAAAGTTTTTAAAAAAATGTGTTAACTTTCTGTTTGCTTCCTTCTAGTAATCCACCTAACTCCCAGCCTGCTTCATACCAGAGACGACTTTTAGTTACTAGATCTGGCAGGAAAATTAAAGGAAGAGGACCAAGGGTAGGTGATTCTTTCCCCAGAGATCTTCACAATATTGCATTTGTCTTCCTTAAATAATTTTAGGGTGTTTCTTAAATATTATTTTAATGTGCAAGTAACTAAAATTTAGGGGAGATGCAGGCATTGAATTATATATTCTCTTTCTTAAGCAGCTTCTGTATGTTGGTACTTCCCAACAGAAAATCCATGAGATATGAATAGATTTTACATTTACATGGTATAAAATGGGATCGAGGTCTTTCTTGTCTCCCGTGTTTCTTGGCAATCACTGTATCTCTATTCTTGTTAAAAATAAATAAAAATTAACCCTATTCTTGTATTTTATTCTTTTTTTATTTACTAGAGTGTCCTCATCAGAATTTAAATATCTTGTGCTTTCAAAACTTTATAGAAACTTGGCTATACTTTCCTGTCTTATGTCTTCACTTCCTACTTATTCCTCAAGCATTTTAGTTGTCTTCCACTACCGTTGTTCTGCTGAAAACAGCACTTGATACATAATCAGCTCCATGTCACAAATTCCAGTGGATTCTTTTCAGTCTTCATCTTACTTAATCTTGCTCCTTGTAATATTCTTTCCACCCCCCCCTTTTTTTTTTTTGAGATGGAGTCTCAGTTTGTTGCCCAGACTGGAGTGCAGTGGCATGATCTCGGCTCACTTTAACCTCTGCCTCCCAGGTTCAAGCAGTCCTGCCTCAGCTCCCCCTAGTAGCTGGGATTACAGGCACATGCCACCATGCCCGGCTAATTTTTGTATTTTTAGTAGATACAAGGTTTCACCATGTTGGCCAGGCTGGTCTCAAAACTCCTGACCTCAGGTGATCCACCTGCCTGAGACAGGGTCTCATTTTCACCCAGGCTGGAGTGCAGTGGTACAATCAAGGATCACTGCAGCCTCAACCTTCCAGTCTCAAGCAATCCTCCCACCTCACCCTCCCAAGTAGCTGGGACTACAGGTGTGCATCACCACATCTGGCTAATTTTTGTATTTTTTTGTAAAAATGGGGTTTCGTCATGTTGCCCAGACTGGTCTTGAACTCCTGAGCTCAAGCGATCTGCCTGCCTCAGCCTCCCAAAGTCCTAGAATTACAGGCGTGAGCCACCGTGTCCACCCATTTACCTAACCTTTAAATACTGTAGTACCTCAGGGTTCCCATTCAAATCTTCTCACACTGCATATACTCCTTGAGCAATCTCATGACTCCCATGGCTGGTAACTGTCAAATTTTTATCGGCATTTTTCAGCTCCAAAGACTCATTTGACTAATGAGTACCTCAAACTTGGCTTTTACAAAGTTGAGCACAAGCTCTTCCTCTTCAAATCTGAACCTTCTTTAGGTTACTGATTTTAGTGACGGGCACCACCACCTGTGCAGTTCCTTCCCAAGAATAATCTGATTCTCCCCTTTCAGTTTATACCTTAACTATGCAAGTAACTTAACTATGGTAAGATACATGAATATATCTTACCCATCACCGAATACTGTCATTTCTGCCTCCTAAATATTCAGAAATTCATGTGTTTCAAGCTTTACCCCTGCCATGTTAATTCAACTCCATCATATTGTCTGAGCTGTAAATTTTGATAGTTCTCAATTTTTTTAAATCTCAGTACCTCTTTCATGTTAAAAATTACTGAGGACCCAAAAGAACTTCTGTTGGTGTGGGTTATATCTATCAATATTTACTCTTTCAGGAATTAGTACTGAGAAATACTTGAAACATAAGAATATATAAGCACACATTCCATTAGCTGTGAAAGTAATGATATCAAAACATGTAAACTGAATAACACTATTGTATGATAATGAAATAATGAAAATGGAACAGGCAAATATTGTGATATTATTATGAAAATAGTTTTGACCCCGAGTCTTTAGATCCTAGATCCCACTTTGAGATTCACTGTCTGATCTTTTTTTTAAAATAGTAGCCAGAATTGTCATTTAAAAATGAAAGTCTGATTTTTGTGCCACTCCTTTACCATTGATCTTAGGGTAAATCCAAAATAACTACAATGGCCTATGACACTACACAAAACCTAGTCCTTGCTTACCTCATCAATGTTATGTAGTACTACTTTCCCTTGCAGTTTTTAGATTTGGCCATGTTTGGTCTGTCTTCTCATCATTTCTAAAGCATGCTATGTTTCTTCTTAACTCAGAACCTTCCTGTCAGCATCTTTTCCCTTTTCCTTTTATACCCATTCTATTATAGCTGCATATATGTTTAACATATGTGATTATATGTTCATTCACATGCTCTCCAAGTCCTGTAGAATATGAGTTCCAGGAAAGCACACTCATATATCTTGGCTCACTGATGTTCTCTCAGTATGTAATAAGAGTGTTTGGTCATCCTAAGGGTTGAATAAGTGAACATCTACACATTTACTCTGTTTTCCCCATAATATGAGAAATATTTGCTTTGAAACATTAAGTATATATAACATTTAGATTGGAACTTGGCAACTTATGAGTTGCTCTAGCATTACTTGGTTAGGACTCTTCCATGGAGAAGACGTATGGCTAGCAGCTAAAGTTTTTGTGATTAATGTTTCTTGGAATTTGCAACATGACAACTTAAGTTTCTCTGCCTCATTGATTTCCTATATGAAAATTGGGAAATTTTAGTAATTTTCAGGGTATAGAAATATCAGACGTTTTATTTTAACCTGGAAACATATACTTTTAAGCTACTGTTTCAATGCTTTTTATATTTTTTTTATTTTGTACCCCTTACTACCTCCTGACCCTCACCCCAGTACTTCCCTCCCTCCCAGCACCCATGCGAGTCCCTCTATACTTCTATACATTAATTTTTCCCTATTTTAATTTTCTTTAGCGTTATCGAACTCCTTCCAGATCCAGATCAAGGGATCGTTTCAGACGTAGTGAGACTCCTCCACATTGGAGGCAAGAGATGCAGAGAGCTCAAAGAATGAGGGTATCAAGTGGTGAAAGATGGATCAAGGGGGATAAGTAAGATTTAACTATTATTATTTCAAATGTAATGATAAGTGTTTGCTTTTACTATTATACATAAAGTTATTGTCATTTTAGTTATTGCTGAATACCTTAAGAAAAGTAGAATATCATTTTAGCTAATAATATCTACAGTTCTTTTCCTAATAACATTTCCCCAATTCTTTTTCTTATTTTTTAGGAGTGAGTTGAATGAAATAAAAGAAAATCAGAGAAGTCCAGTTAGAGTAAAAGAGAGAAAAATAACAGATCACAGGAATGTATCTGAGAGTCCAAACAGAAAAAATGAAAAGGAGAAGAAAGTTAAAGACCATAAATCTAACAGCAAAGAGAGAGACATCAGAAGAAATTCAGAAAAAGATGACAAGTATAAAAACAAAGTGAAGAAAAGGGCCAAATCTAAAAGTAGGAGTAAGAGCAAAGAGAAATCAAAGAGTAAAGAAAGAGATTCAAAACATAATAGAAATGAAGAAAAGAGGATGAGGTCAAGGAGTAAAGGAAGGGATCATGAAAATGTTAAAGAAAAAGAAAAGCAGTCTGATTCTAAAGGAAAAGATCAGGAAAGGAGTAGAAGTAAAGAGAAGTCTAAACAGTTAGAATCAAAGAGTAATGAGCATGATCACAGTAAAAGTAAGGAAAAGGATAGACGCGCACAATCCAGGAGTAGAGAATGTGATATAACTAAAGGTAAACACAGTTATAATAGCAGAACAAGAGAACGAAGCAGAAGTAGGGACAGAAGCAGAAGAGTGCGATCAAGAACCCATGACAGAGATCGCAGCAGAAGCAAGGAGTACCATAGATACAGAGAACAGGAATACAGGAGAAGAGGACGGTCACGAAGCCGAGAGAGAAGAACACCACCAGGAAGATCAAGAAGTAAAGATAGGAGGAGAAGGAGGAGAGACTCACGGAGCTCAGAGAGAGAAGAAAGTCAAAGCAGAAACAAAGACAAATACAGAAACCAAGAGAGTAAGAGCTCACACAGAAAAGAAAATTCTGAGAGTGAGAAAAGAATGTACTCTAAAAGTCGTGATCATAATAGCTCAAATAACAGCAGGGAAAAAAAGGCTGATAGAGATCAAAGTCCCTTCTCAAAAATAAAACAAAGCAGTCAGGACAATGAATTAAAGTCCTCCATGTTGAAAAATAAGGAGGATGAGAAGATCAGATCCTCAGTGGAAAAAGAAAACCAAAAATCAAAAGGTCAAGAAAATGACCATGTACATGAAAAAAATAAAAAATTTGATCATGAATCAAGCCCTGGAACAGATGAAGACAAAAGCGGATGAGTGAGTTATATAAACTTACTTCCATTCTGTTTCGGATTTTAAGTTTGAGAGACTTGCTAATGAATCTCCTTTATGTTGTTTTCCTTTTCATTGTTTTTGGATTGTTTTATGTTTGTCCTTTTTTTTCTTAATGTGGATTTCATTGAGTTGATTTTTTGATAATCTGCAATCTGGATAATTTGTACTGCTAAAGTTTTAATAAACTCGACATGAGAAAAACACTTTGGTGTAGTACTGTGTGCTGTGTTTAACTATTTTATGTATGCATTACTGTGTTGCAACAATTAGCCAATAGCATCCTAATTTGTTTAGTCAGCCATTTGGAATGGTTGCAATGCATTGTTGCAAAAGCTTGTGTTTCTCATGATTAAAGTAACTTTAGAAGCCACTAGAAGACATCTTGTATAGATTTTCTGATTGCGTTATAAATAGAGGTTTGCAGCGGTTTCTTTTAATTACACAGAAGCAGGGTCCTAATAACCTGAGATCTTAAATCATCACTTTTGATTTTATAGTAATTTGTGCTTTAAAATAGATGTATTTATATTGCACTTCATACTCTATTCTTTATAGTTCGAGCCATAGCTTGTTTCCTATTAATGCTTTTCCTGTCTAGTTGTGTTTTACTTAACTGCCTATAAAAATCGTAAGAGTAATTTTTTTCAGTTGATGTACTGATTGAGCTTGAGTTGCTGTTATACAGCATTTGACAGGAACTATACCTTGGAAAATCAGATTGTGATTCTCAGTTCTGTGTTGCTTTTGGTTTGAAGAGTTTTGGGAACGTTTTAATTATTAATTACCCTTCTCTAAACTTTAAAAAAAAAAAAGCTTTTCTCATTAAAACATACCATTTGTGCAGGTCCTTAAGCTATACAGATTCTAAAAATTGTTAGTATTGAGACATTAACTTCTAAGATTTCTCTTTTTTGGCCTCCAACCTATATAGAATTGAGTGTTAACTCTGCATGGATTTTGTTTGTTTTAATTGAACTGACTTCTCTAACTCTCATAGCTGTGAGTTCCAAATGGCAAGAAAATGCATCTTTTCTATATATGTATCACGATAGGCTATAGCATGTTTATGACTCTGGTTTCTTTCTCTTCAGGTGGTTTTATACCATTACTGTTAATGTTATTTTAACTTGGCATGTATAACATTGCCATATAGAGTAGAGTAGAAAGTTGCAAATTTTGATAGTTTACAGAGTTAAACACTAAACATATCCAAAGTCCATTTAGAGTTTTGGGTGTTGTATTTTGCCATTTTTGTGATGTGTGGCCTTTTATTCTGTAATCTCTTCTAAATAAAACATTGAACATCCAGCAAACATAAAACCTGCCTCATTTGAAAAGGAATTTCAAAATTCCAATTAATAGGATTCTCTAGAGAGTTTTGTACTTTAATATTTGTCAGTGTAGTGTCAACTCTGTTACCAAGGTAGCTTCTTGGTAAATCCAGTAGCTACTCAATGCTATTTGTACTGAATAAAGCAATTATTAACATGATACTTCCCACTATTGATTAATGCAATATTGATATATTTGGCGTTGTGGTAGCTGTTGCAGAATGAATAGTGTAATGACCATAAGATTGCTTGGAAAATTGTAATACAGATATCCACAATGAATTCTTTCCAAAATTTTTTTTTCCGATGATAAAAGTAGTAGATGTTTATTATAAAATCCAAGGTGATTGATTCCTTAGAGACTGACCACAAACCCACATTAGGGATAATTGAGTCTGAGTGCCCAAGCTATATAACGTTATGTAGTTTAAGCAAGTTATTGTTTGTCTTAATTTCAGTTAACTGCATTTTAAAATTGTTGTTATAAACTATTTGAGCTTTAAGAAAGGTGCTATTTAAGAAAGGATTTCTAATAACAGTTAAATATTTTTTTTAAGTCCATGCTAAGTAAAAATTCTTACATGTTGTCTGATCCCAGAGCTTTATCTACTAAAAATTATACATAAGGATTTCCAAATCTTAGAGTTTCAAAAAGTAACCATAGGGAAAAAAATTGTAGTAATTTCTATAGGCAATATTCTGTTTGGGTTATCAAAAGAGCAACTCCATGCTCCGCATTATTTATAGTCCTTATTTTAAAGTTTTATTAGCTCTCTTTACAGAACAGATGTGAAGGAGTTGAGAGGACAATCAACTAGATTTTATTTTTAGAATATAAAGAACATTTTTAAAATGATTAAACAGCATTAACTGTACCTCAGGATCTGCGCATGCATCTGAATAGCACACGGCTCAAATGGTCCTTTCCTTTTGTTACATTTAGTAGTTGTGCCATCTTTAGTTTTTGCTTTGAACATTGTTTTCCTAAAAGTCAACTATTACTTTCCCATCAAGTTGGTTTTATAGTTATGTCTAAATTTATGGTTCATGTCAAAGTATTTTTGACTTAATATCCTTTTAAAAATATTTAAACTGATTTATTGCTCAATTGGTGATAGCTGAGAAAATTTTTTCAATATGTAGAATTTTCATGGTTATTTTGTATGAATTATTTTTCTGGGTAAGCCATCTGCCACAGAAATTGACACTATGGTGAGATTAATGTTAATGAAATGAGCAGTAGAGAAGCTACTGGATTGCTTTAAAACATTCTTTGATTAAATTACTACATAGTTGGTAAGTTCATAGTTTTAAGTTACTTAATTGAAGCCCTCAGAAGTTGCAAAGAATTTATCTGATAAATCTGCCTTTGCACAAATGTGATACTGATGCATGGACGGCTTTGCGGAATGACCTTTGATATTTGTGCCTAGTGGAAGGTATGGAGCTAAACAATTAAAGAACTCTTCATTATGGATAGGCACATATTGGATCTCTGGTATTTTGGGTAGTGGTATTAACTTGACAATTCTAATTTATTTTAGTTAGTATATGTAGCAAGTTAGTATGTTTGTTAGTAGTTTATTGTACTTCATTCCAGTTGGTAATATAGTTTTCATCACACTAAACTTTTTATACTAAATTTCTGTAGAAGCTTGTTGGGTTTGCCTTCACCAGAAGGTACTTTAAATACCTACCATAGCTGATTTGTTATAAAGAAACAAAATGGGTGTTCTTCTGTTTCCTTTTGATTATGTTTACTGTAATTATTTCATTTTGGATTTATACATTTACAATTGAATAAGGATTATAGGTTGATAAGCTGTTTATTGTGAAAAGATGTGTTTTGTTACAAATACTTGTTTTAAAAATTAATAAGCCCCCAGGAAGTACAGCATTGACTGGCACAACTGCCCATAGTGAGCTTCCCAACTAACTGCCTTCAGTGGATTCGGGCAAGTGCAAAGTCTTTGGCCTATTGTGTGACAAAGAGGTATATATTAAAGGAAAAGAAAAATGACATGAATAAGAAAATTCCGTCAACAAGGTTGGAGTAGGGAGTTGTTGAGGGGTTTAGTTTGTTTTAAAAGGTATGTGAGGGAGTGGTGGGGTGGATTTGTGTTTCTGACTTTTTTTCTTTAAGCAAATTCCATATGTTACCAAAAGCACATGCTGTATATTTTCTTCCCCTTTTGTGTGTATATAGTATTTTGAAAGATAAATGAATTGGGTATTTGTATGTGGGATGTACAAAATTGTGGCCGCTCTCTTTGTGGAAGGAAAAAACATAAATGAAGTTAATGCACTTCTTTTCCTAGCCCAAAAGTCACTGTGATTATATTTTTTTAATGAAGTTTAGAAAAAAAGCTGTTGTCTTCTCAATTGTAAAATTAGTTTCAAAATGCTGCTTCTCTTATCATTAGTCTAGTAATTGTTGAACTTTTCTGCAAACTGCATTTTACAAAATTGAAACTTGGAAGCTGTATTAACTTTTATAGTTAAACATTGTATTAAATAAACTATACTATAATAAACAGTTTGGTTTTGTATTTTTTAAATTGTATTATCCAGCCTTTTAAAAATTAAAAGCTAAATAATGAAAATAAACCAATTAAAACATACTTTTACTCTCAGATATACAGGTATTTACATTATGAAAAAACTGAACAAAGTTTTAACAATACTGAGCTTTAAGAATTTAGCCAGCAGGGAAAATTTCCAGGTTTGAGAATGTTCTAATGTAAATATTTAATCATAATACTTCAGATTGTAGTGTGTCTTTTGCCCAGCAAACTTTCAAGGTTAAGCTCGGAATTTGTATTACTGTCTACTAGATCACTACCATTTGCTTCTTAAGTCCTCCGCATTTTTTTCAGCATTAGGATCACTGTAATAGATCCTGTGCCTATAACAGAGTGGTGAAGTCATGTAAACATAAATGTTAATTGAATTCTGTAAAACATTACCTAGTTTGGGGGCTGTTTTTTCTTACATTAGACATGTAGGGAAAATGCACTTAGTTGAGAGTGCGTCATTGAAAATATATGCCTAGTTATACTGAATATTGACAATGAAAGGTATATACCTAGGTAAAAACCTTCTGAACATTCAGTAGTTTGTATGTGTTAACACGTGAATATTATTAAACTCCCAAAATCTGGAGTGTTCTTAAAAGCTTTATCCAAGAAAATGTATAAAATGCAAGTGCAACAAATGAACTGCAAACTGTGCATTAAAATAACTTCAGGCATCAATTCGCTTTTTCTATTTACTTCCTAGGTTTCTTTCCTAAACATATTTCCTTACCTGATAACTTTGTTATCATAATTTTGTTTCATAATTTTTACATTTCCCCACTCCCATCAAAGTCCTCTCAGTAATCAGAATGCCTTGTTCCAATTTATGTCTTTGCCACAGATTTTATCTATGAGTTTCTCTTATCAAATTAGCAGATTAGAGTAGTTGCGTTTCCACTGCTGTGCTTCAGTTCTTTTCATTGAATTATTTTGTGATTAACATTGTGTAGCCTTACCTTTCTTCTCAGTATACTCTAGTAGAAAGCCCAGCCCAATTTAAAGTAAAATAAATTGTATATATAAGGCAGAAAAACTAGTAATGTCTGGTGTTTTATGTTATCCTTCACTCAAACTAAGTTGGTTGTATAACACTTTTATGTAATTAACCGTTACGTAGAAACTTATTTCCTGTTTTATAATATGGGGGAAGATAGCTGTCTAAAATTACTAATTACCACTATATATTGTATTTATGTAATTTAAAGGAAAGGATATATGGCAGAAGTTCCCAGACTTTCTTGGTTCACTTTACCTGTGTCTCAGTAATTTTAACATGGTGTTATCCCTGCGCCAGAATAAATACCTAACAGATCGGTTTATTAAAAGGCCAGGAGCACACCTATAATCCCATAACTGGGAGGCTGAGGCAGGAGGATTGCTTGAGTCCAAGAGCTTGAGGCTGCAGTGAGTTGTGATTGTGCCACTGCACTCCAACCTGGGCCACAGAGTGAGACCCAGTCTCTAATAAAAAATAAATAAAAAGTTCACATAGCTAAAGTATATCTAACAACTTAGCCATTTGAAATTTTAAAAAATATTTTTACAGTTCCATTCTTAACCACAATTAGTTACTAATGGAATGTGTGCAAATGTTGGTCACAGCACAACTTCTCAAACCTCAAAATCAGATCACACACCATCCTCTACTATAATACATTGATTTTGTGCAATATATGAGTTTTATCCCATCAGCTGCTGAAAATTCAGCTTTACAAACAGGATATCATCAAAAGGCACAGTGCATTTAATATGTTGAACTACCTCAAGCTAGTCTTACAGATGTCAGGTAATTTGTTTCAAAAATTTGTGAGTTCACTGTGGTTCCTCAGTATGCCTTGGCACACAATTTGGCAATCAGTAGATAGTGTTGTTTTAAATAACCAGCTATTTTACTCCTTTAAAACAGTTCATTTTTTAAAACCCGAGGTCCATAAACCCACAAACAGTAACTCAGAATGATGGTTGCCTACAGAATCTGCCATTTTAAAAAAGTACAACCCAGGTATACTAAGCCACAATCTTAGATGTATGTTAGTCACTGTGCTGTGCAGTCTATTAGAGGGCATTGTGGAAGTCCTTAAAACTGTATGCACAATTGTAGAGTATATGTGTATGTGTACCTTACTGCTGAAAAAGCCACTAAGTTTTATCAGATTCCAAGAGGCTCATGACATAAGTAATGTTTGCTCTAAGATTTGGTCTCTTATAGAATGATACACTGAACAATTTACACCTTTACCCAGCATTCCCCTGTGTAGGAATCTATCTCAAAGGTTAACTGACAAAAATATGAAAAAAAAAAAAAAAAAAGGCAGCTGTTAATTACAGAATTTATAATAGCTGAAGACTGGAAACCACACAAATATCTATTGGTATGCCACTGGTTGAATAAACGGGTACACCCTTGCAAGAGAATACTATGTCAGTTGGAAAAGAAGATATTTATATCTGCTGTGTTGTGTCTCTAAGCTATATTAAGTGAAAAGAACGAAGTTATTTTGTGTAAGTAAAATATATGTGTATTTGCTTTTAAAGAGAAATAAGCAAAGGATACAACAGTGAAATGGCAACCTAAGGAAGGAAAAGTATTTGCAAATCATTTATCTGAAAAGGGATCAATCTAGAATACATAATAACTACAACTCAACAACAAAACAAATAACATGAAAAAAATGGGCAAAGGACTTGGAACAGATATTTCTCCAAAGATGATAGACAAATGGCCAGCAAGCATATGAAAAAACGTTCAACGTCACTAATCCTTAGGGAATGCAAATCAAAATCACAATGAGATATCATCTCACAGCCACTCAGGATGTCTACTGTCAAAAAAACATGTTGGTGAGGATGTGCACCTTGTGCACTGTTGGAAATGTAAAAGGGTTCAGCTGCTATGGAGAAAAGTATGAGTTTCTAAAAATTTAGAATTATATGATTCAGCAATTCTACTTCTGGGTATATATCCAAAAGAATGGAAAGGATCTTAGAGCTATTTGTACGTCCATGTTTAAAGCAGCATTATTCACAATAGCCAAGAGGTGGAAGCAACCCAAGTGTCCATTCATGAAGGAATGAATAAACAAAATGTGATATACATACAATGGAGTATTCAGCTTTAAAAAGGAAGAAAACTGACATAAACTACAACATGGATGAACCTTGAGGACCGTACACTAAATGAAATAGTCACAAAAGGACCTATACTGTAGTGGTCAAAATTCACAGAAACAGAATGGTGTTTCCCAGTAGCTGAGGGGAGGGGGAAATGGAGACTAGTTGTTTTATACAGAGTTTCAATTGTGCAAGATGAAAAAATTCTGCAGATTGTTCAGCAATATGAAGATACTTAACACTATTGAACGATATACTTAGAAATGGTTAAGACATTAAATTAGGTGTTCTGTGTTTTTTACCTAAGAAATGAAAAAAAAAATTAAACAGTGGGGGAATGCAGTTCACAAAATCACACAAAATTCAGTGGTACTAAGTACATTCACAGTATCGTGTAGTCATGACCATTATCTAGTTCCAGAAGTTTTTGGTGCTCCACCTGGAAACCCCCTACTCATGAAGCAGTCACTCCCCATTCCCCTTCCCCACAGCCCCTGGTAACTGCTAATCTGCTTTGTCTCTTTGGAAACAAGTTTTGTTGTCTAAAGTTGGCAAAACTACATGTAGAATTATTTTAAGTGACCTCAAAACATGATAATGTGTACATGTCTAGTAAGATATACTCTATAAAATAAACCACAAAGAAGTCTTCATTCAATAATCCTATTGTTAGTGTAATAATGCTGGTAATGTTATCTGATACTAACTGCTGAAGGACAAAGCAAATAAGCATATGAATTTCTGCTGAAGAGAAATATATCAAGGAGAATATTATTCAGCCATAAACCAAAATGAGGCACTGATAAATGGCACAACATGAATGAACCTTGAAAATATGCTAAGTGAAATAAGCCAGACACAAGGCCACAGTATGATTCTGTTTATTCAAAATACCCAGTATAGGCAAAGCAGATAAAGTTACCAGGAGCTGTGGGGAAGGGGAATGGGGAGTGACTGCTTAATGAATGGGTATGGGGTTTCTAGTAAGAGCACTGAAAAATTCTGGAACTACACAATGGTCATGGCTACACAATATTTTGAATGTACTTAATACCACTGAATGTACATTTAAAAAGTAAACTTGTGTATTTTACCACAGTTAAAAAAAGGAATCTCAAAATTGGGGTTTTATATATACCCAAAAGAAATACTGAGAACAATCAATTAAATCAGACATAATTGTACTTAGATGAAGAACAGCTTTATTAACTGAAATCCATTTATATTTGAAGCTCATATATGCTACAACTTAGTCTTCTCAATGTTAAAAATAATTTTTTTCTACCATGTAAAACCTAGCCTTCTCTTTGACTTTTGAAAATTATATTTTGGTCCCTGAGAGTTATAAAAAGGGAGCTGGACTCCAGTAACATCATTTGCCTGATAGCTGGGTCTTAATCCACCTCTGTCCACAAACACTGGTCCACGGCCACCTCCAGGTCCTTCCTGTACAGCTTTTACAAGAGGGTAAATATATTTATTTGTTGTTTCCGATTCAAGTTCAATTACCTCTCTGGCATAGTCCTGAAATTCTTTCTCCTTTTCAGCCACAAGAGCTTCAGTAAGTCTGCAATAATCTAATTCTGCTTGTTTTGCTTGCTTTGCATTAAACTTATTTTTGGCCTATTTGGGAAAGAAAGGAAATTTAACTTAATATTGGTTAAGAACATGAACTTTCTAAATATACATAGCATTTGAAAATGTAGGTATAATTTTCTAAACTCATTGATACTTTACAAGTTCTGATTTAACAACTATATACTATCATTTATTTCAGAATCTTTCCTATCATGCTCAAAGTGGTGGTGCAATGAAACCTTTATTAATAGCCTTATGTGATACATTTGCAAATAGCACAGTGAAATAGCGAAAATTATGAAATTTAGATAAAACTCAGGTAACTGAGTTTAGAGTCCTGTTTCAATCACAAGATGTGAACTTTGGTGGTTTAGAATGCACACCCACCATTGTCTCTAACCATCCACTATTCTGGAGGAATTCACTCAACTCTACTGTGCTGGGTCAGCCCAATATACTATGTCCCCAGCCACATAAGATTAAATCAGCAGTGAATATCTGGACTAAAACCATTTACATTATCTATTTCCCGAAAATTTAAAATTGGAACAGTGAGTGACATTTATCAATGTAGGTTGAGAAGGCACTGAGTGGAATAAGTAGGCAATTTGCCAAAAGCCAATTTACCAATATTTTATACAAATTTTGTCGTTTAATTCTTTATATTAATTTACATTGGATGAGATTCTTTTTATGGCTTTTCTGTGATGCTCTGGTTGGCAACTTCTCATTTTGTATTCTCTGTGGCATTTTAAGAAATGTTGAGTTTATTTTTTAAAATAACAGTTACTTTGACTACTTAGGAATATATTTAATATTCATAAAAATATTTCTCAAAATCCAAAATGTTGGCATAAAATAGTAACCCAAACCTGATATCTATCATAAATTTAAATTTTTGATGGAATAGAGCAACCATATTAGTGTGAAATATCAAATTTTTCATTATTGAGTGCTACAATTCAAAATTCAGTTTACATACTATTTGTGAAATTGGGGATAAAATGCCAGAGTTTTAAAAAGTAGAAAATGACAATAAGATTGGAGAAAAAGTCAAAAAAAAGCTAAAATCGATCTCTAATCGAAGGTAAAATGCTAATATTTGGGAACTTAATAAGCAGCAATTTGGATATGTTTAGTAAATGTAGAAAAATATTGAGGGAACAGAAAGAACCACTTGAAGCACAGAAAGGAAGTGACAATGGAAGGAAAGAATTACTATAATGGAACATATGATTGGTACCTCACATTTGATATGCATTAAGCATAAATATATAAAGAAAAAGTTCCAAAAAATTAAGTTTAAAATCCTAAAAAACGCTAACAGATGAAGGTAAAGTACCTTCGAAGTACATTTGGAAGATAATAGCTAATTAACTGTCTGAAAACTGGAAAATAAGGCAAAAAAAATCAAGTATTCTGTTTTTTTCTTTAAAAATTGTACCTAAGAGGAACCAAGTATTTGATCAAGAAAACTTCTTAAAGACTTCAACAAGTAAATCAGAAGGATTCCAAATACTGATCTTATTTGATCGTGATTGAAACAACAAACTATTTTGGCACCTGGCCAAAAATTTAAAACTTTTATACATCAAAGATACTATCAATGGAGTAAAAAGGTAACTCATGGGATGGAAGAAGACATTTCCAAATCATGTATCTGATAAGAGATTTAATACACAGAGTATTTTTAAAACTTCTAAAACCCAACAACAAAAAATCCAATTCAAAAATGGAGGCCGGGCACAGTGGCTCATGCGTAGTCGTAGCACTTTGGGAGGCCGAAGCCAAGGTGGGCACTTCAGGTCAGGAGTTCGAGACCAGCCTGGACAACATGGTGAAACCCCATCTCTACTAAAAATACAAAAATTAGCCCAGCGTGGTGGTGGGCACCTGTAATCCCAGCTACTTGGGAGGCTGAGGCAGGAGAATTGCTTGAACCCTGGAGGCAGAGGTTGCACTGAGCCGAGAGTGGGTATCATGCCACTGCACTCCAGCCTGGGCAACAGAGCAAAACTCTGTCTCAAAAAAAAAAAAAAAAAAAAAAAAAAAAGTGAAAACCAAACAGAAAAGGACAAATATTGTCTGATTCCATTTATGAGGTACCTAGAATAATCAAATCCATTGAGATAGTAAAACAGAGGTTACTCAGACTGGAGAAAAGAGGGGATAGGGAGTTACTGTTTAACATGTACAGAGTTTTAGTACAGGATGATGAAAAACCCTGGAGATGTATAGTGGCCATGATCAATGTGAATGTACTCAATGCCTCTGAACTGTACACTTAACCATGCTTAAAATGGTACTTTTTATGTTATGTATATTTTACCACAATAAAAATCAATTTTAAAAAACTCAGCACTAAGAAAACAACCCAATTAAAAATTGGCAACACTCTTAAATAGACACTTCACAAAAGAAGGTATGCAGATGGCTAGCAAGGATGTGAAAAAAATGTCCATTATCTTTGGTCATTAGAGAAATGTAAAATAAAGCCATAAGATATCACTATACTAGAATAGTTAAAATTAAGGGATGACTATCAAGTGTTGATGAGTATGTGGAGTAAGTTGTGCTTGCATACATTGCTGGTAGGAATGGAAAATGGTACAACCATTTCAAAAACAGGTTTTAGTTACAAATGATTGGATGCTAGGTCCTCTACACATCTTTTAAAATCTGATATCTCCATTCCTCAAATCTGAAACCTATGAGATCGCAATCAACATAGTCTCTGAGATATGGGAAAAAAGTAAAACAAGATGAACATTATGGCCTCCACATGCATTTGTATTTTCTTTAATATTTACTGAAGTATAATAGACACTAAAGAAGGATAAACATTCATTTAAAAGATAAAACTCACATGGGAACTTCACTGGAGATAGAAACAAACCTCACATTTTTAATACATTTTATTGTGTCATAACCATAATGACCATTTTTTTCTTACCTGATGAAACTGCTTGGGAGTAGAAAACTAGCATGAATTCTGTATTATATACTTATTACTAACATAATTATAAACATTCAGGAGTAATTACCATTTGCTGAATATGGGCATCTTGAACCTCTTGATGTTCTTTATCAGCTTTGCATTTTTTCTCCTTTTCATGTTCCCAGAAAATCTGATCTGCTTTCATGACAGCCAGCAATTGTTCTTTAGCCTCTATTTTTCTTTGTCTTTCTTCTTCCTCTTTATTTTTCATCTAGATGTTTAAAGGCAAAGGAAACATATAAAACCAGTTATAGCAACCAGTCTTGTCTGAAAAGGCACAGAGTCAGAGAGTTGAAGCAGAGGAGAGTCAGCCAGGAGCAATGCAGGAGCAGAAAAGTGCATGCACCTGGGGTGGTTCCCATGCGGCCAGTTTACTTTGGTTTTGTTCTATTTCCTGAATATCAGAAAATACCCAAGTGCTATAGGACAATCCTTATTGGCTTGAAAAAGATGAAAAGCAAGATCTTCTCAAGGAAGGGAAATATATGTAAGTAAAAAATTAATTGCTCCAGCCATACTTGGTGGCTCAACACCTGTAATCTCAGCACTTTGGGAGGCCGAGGTGGGCGGATCACCTCGGGAGGTCAGGAGTTCGAGACCAGCCTGACCAACATGGAGAAACGCTGTCTCTACTAAAAATACAAAATTAGCCAGTCATGGTGGCGCATGCCTGTAATCTCAGCTACTCTGGAGACTGAGGCAGGAGAATTGCTTGAACCCAGGAGGCGAAGGTTGAGGTGAGCTGAGATCGCACCACTGCACTCTAGCCTGGGCAAAACTCTGTCTCAAAAAAAAAAAAATTGCTCCAATGTGTATAAACTATCCAAATTAAATGTTATGACAGTCATGTAAGATATGTTTTAAAATATTAAGAAACAGAAATGTATAATTTTTACATGGTTTGTCTTTAAAACCTACAAATGAAAAGTATAACAAATAACCTTTGCGTTTCAGATGGTTCTGAAACAGAAGAGATTATTACTTTGCATCTATAAATATCTTTTTTGTAACTGTCGTGTCATCTTTGTTAGGAAGTAAACATTGTCCAATTTCAAAAATACAGGAAGATAATTCATACATTGTTTTTAATATCTTGGCTAGTTTTTGGTTAGAGAGGCAGATGAGATGGAAAACACAGTGGAAAGGTCCTAACTCTGTCTTTCTATTTTTATTTTCATAATTGAATTGTTTACCACAATGGCTCGATATTCTGCAATTGTTTTTAATTCTGCTTTGTTTTTTTCATCTTTTTCTCTTTCTCTTTTTTCCCATTCAGCCTCAGCTTCTGCAATATCTCTAGCAATAATCATATCTTCATTGTCAAGTTTCTCTTTCAACAGTTCACTCAGGAAGTTATGTATTCTTTCTCTTCGTTTCTCCATAAGCCTATAACAAAATAACCATACTCGTCAAATCTTCATGAACACATGTCCAATGGAGCCAACATAATTTAATTAGGGAATCTGAGATATTTTGCAGTCTCTTACAAAACTAACAGGAGCCCCATTGCTCCTTACATATATTATTTTAAGTGGACATTATTTTTTAACTATAAAGTAACATATATTCTAAAATCCAAAGACAGTAATATGTATAATCTGTGTGTGTGTGTGTGTGTGTGTGTGTGTGTGTGTGTTTAAGAAATAAGATCTTAAAATTATCTACACTGAAAAATATTTTAGGCCAGGTGTGGTAGCTCATGCCTGTAATCCCAACACTTTGGGAGGCTGAGGTGGTAGGATCGCTTGAGCCCAGGAGTTAAGAGACCAGCCTGGGCAAGATGGCAAGACCCCATCTCCACAAATTTTTTAAGCTGGGCGTGGTGGCTCATACCTGTAATCCCAGCACTTTGGGAGGCTGAGGCGAGCACATCACGAGGTCAGGAGTTCGAGACTAGCCTGACCAACATGGTGAAACCCTGTCTCCACTAAAAATACAAAAATTAGCCGGGCGTGGTGGCAGGCGCCTGTAATCCCAGCTACTCAGGAGGCTGAGGCATGAGAATCGCTTGAACCTAGGAGGCGTAGGTTGCAGTCAGCCGAGATCACACCACTGCACTCCAGCCTGGGCGACAGAGCAAGACTCTGTCTGAAAAAAAAAAAAAAAAAATTTAGCCAAGCGCAGTGGCACGGACCTGTAGTCCCAGCTACTCAGGAGGCTGAGGCAGGAGGACTGCTTGAGCCCAGGGGTTCAAGGTGGCAGTGAGCTATGTACCACTGTACTCCAGCCTGAGTGACAGAGTGAGACTCTATTAAAAAAAAAGAAAAAAAATTTTTTTTGAGACTGAGTCTCACTGTCACCCAGGCTGGAGTGCAGTGGCACAATCTTGGCTCACTGCAACCTCCACCTCCTGGGTTCAAGCGATTCTCCTGCCTCAGCCCAGCTAGTTTTTTTATTTTTAGTAGAGAGGGAGTTTCACCATGTACCCAGGCTGGTCTTGAACTCTTGACCTCAAGTGATCCGCCCGCCTCAGCCTCCCAAAATGCTGGGATTACAGGTGTGAGCCACTGCACCTGGCCACAGAAAATATTTCAATATTTTATCAGACTACCCTGCTTACTCTATCATTGGAGGCTGAGGCTATAAAAGGCCTTTATTTAAATAAAATCAAGGAAATAATCTAATAAAAGTTATCAAAATCCTAAATATCCATCCCCTCACAATACTCTGTCTGGAATTTATTCACAGCACTTTTTTAACTTGATCTGTTTAAATTTCTCCCTTTACACTATAAGGTTCCTTTTTTTTTTTTTTTTTTAAGAGACAGGATTTTGCTATGCTGGCCAGGCTGGTCTCAAACTCCTGGCCTCAAGCAATCCTCCTACTTTGGCCTCTCAAATTCACTATGAGATTCCTCAGGTCAGAAATTGAATGGGTCCTCTCTCTAGTTAAGAGCCTAAGCATGTGCCTGGTACATCATAAGAATACATCTTGTTAAATTAGGGCATTTTTATTTATGAAATTGCATAAAAAATAATTTTGTTGTGACAAATTCACTTAGTGAATTGGCAAAGCAGCATGTGAGAAATGATGAGAAAGGATACAGTGCATACTCCAAGGAAATTACAATTTAAAGTGGAGAAAAGACATTTATGCAAATGTCTTTATAGTTATAGAAGACAAAAGATAATAAATGCCATGAGAAAGCTAGAAAATGATATGGACAAATGAGAAAAAAAGAAAGCCTTCAGAGAAAAGGTGACATTTCTGGTAGAATTCCAAAAAATAGTATTTTAAACAGTTTTATTGATTGCTTACTATGCTCCTGACACTATTCCCGGTGCTGGGGACAGACATAACAGTGAACAAAAACATTAGAAGTTGGGCATGGTGGTGCGCACCTTTAGTCCCAACTACTCAAGAGGCTAAGATAGAAGGATCCCTTGAGGCTATGAGGTTGAGGCTACAGGGCACTGTGATCACGCCTGTGAATGGTCATTGTCCTCCACCCTGGGCAACATAGCAAGACCTCATCTCTAAAAAAAAGTTTTAATAAAAATAAAAATCTCTGCCCTCATGGGGCTTTCATGATTGCTGGAGGAGAGGGACAGTAAACAAAATAAATAGTTTTAAAAAATAGCCGGGCGCAGTGGCTCACGCCTGTAATCCCAGCACTTTGGGAGGCCGAGGCGGGCGGATCACGAGGTCAGGAGATCGAGACCATCCTGGCTAACACGGTGAAACCCCGTCTCTACTAAAAATTACAAAAAAAAAACTAGCCGGGCCTGGTGGCGGGCTCCTGTAGTCCCAACTACTTGGGAGGCTGAGGCAGGAGAATGGCGTGAACCCGGGAGGTGGAGCTTGCAGTAAGCCGAGATCGCGCCACTGCACTCCAGCCTGGGCGACAGAGCAAGACTCCGTCTCAAAAAAAAAAAAAAAAAAAAAAAAAAAAAAATATATATATATATATATATATATATATATATATATATGTATGTGTGTATATATATGTATGTATATATATATAGTGCTATATATCAAGCAACGAGGGCGAGGAAAGCAGGTAAAGTGATAAGCAATTGGGGAGGGGGTATAATTTTAAATAAAGTAGTCAGAGAAAGCCTCAATGAGAAGGTAATATTTAAGTACAGATCTGAAAGAGTTAAGAAAGCAAGTTACGTGCTCTCTGGAGGTGAGCATTCCTTAGAGCAGGCAGAGGCCAGTCCAGTGCAGGTGAGAAGAGGGAGAGGAGGGAATAGTAAGAGAAGAGGTCTGAGGGATAAGGCTGGGAGGGATGAGCTGGGAAGATGGAAATTTGGGTAGGTGGAGAGCCTTATGGGCCATTGTAAAGACTAAGTGAGATGTGAAGCCATCAGAGGATTTTGCACAAGGGGAAAGCATGATTTAGACAGAAACCCCCTGTACTGCAATCTGGCCTCCTACTCTTACCTCTACACCCCATACCAAACTGCTCACTAATATAAGCAATGTCCTCTAAATCTGATGAATACTTCATTTTAAAAATTGTACTTAATCCCATTACGACCTAATACTGATGACTGCTCCCTTCTTACTGAGAGTCTTCTCTCTGATGTTTCCCTGGTTTTCCTCCAATCTCTGGAAACTATTTATTGGTCTTCGTGTTATCTTCTTTTTCCATTTGACTTTTAAATGGAGTTCCCTAGGGACTATGCCACCTTCATTTCTTACCTACTCACCCTAGGTGAGCTCATCTGTATCGACAACTCCAACTACCACTTATATACCAATGACTCACAAAGCCATCTTCAGCTCATACTTCCTCTGGGATGGCAGATCAGCATTTCTGACCATCTACAAGATGATGTCCTCACACCCACGTCCCAAACTGAAATCAAGTCACTGAATGCTCTAGTCATATATAAAATAAGATCTCTGTTCCTAAAGACTACTGTCATAATAATCATAAAATCATAATAATTTCAGATAGTACTTTATTATACACATTATTAAAGCCTACCTGTGTGTTTCAGCCTCTTTTTCTTTCCCCATTTGTATAAGACGCTTTTTTGCTTTGATGAATTTTCTCATCTTTTCATCTTCTTCCTCTTGCTGCTGCTGTTCTACAGCTTTGATAATATGTTTATCCTGCATATGTTCCTTGGGGGAAAAATTGTATATATTAACTTATCACAAAGAAAAATATCTTTCAACATATCAGTAGCTAACAAGAACCTGTCAAATGGTCACAGCTTCTGACCCAGTTATTTCTCTCCTGGAAATTTTATCCCAAAGAGATGATCAGAGAAGTGCATAAAGGTTTATGTGTCATGTAATTTATCTCAAAGTTATTTATAATAGCAAAAAAATGGAAACAACCTCTAAATATTCAATCATAGAGAATAATCATTGAGAATATAGTTAAATAAATCATACTCTCAATTACATGAGATGTGATTCAAATAATATAATCAATAAGTAGGTGGGGGAAAGCAGAATATGTAACATTACATAGTATATTCCAATTTCACAAATACATGTAAGTACAACTTTATAATGTATAAATGACTGGAAGAAATGTGTCAAATGTTAACAGTAGTTATCCCTGGGGTATGAGATAATAGGTAACTTTTATATCTTCTTAATGCTTTTCTGTATTTCTCTTCAAGTATCTCATGTCTTTAAAGTATACAATTTAAAATAATTGTATAAGAAAAAATACACCAAATATATATATATAATATAAAGTTCATTTAATGTTTGAATAGTCATATGGTTCAAAAACCAAAAATGTTTTTTTACATACACAGTGTAGCGAGCGTCCTTCCACTCCATCCACTATGTCTCTTCCTAATCCTCCCTCCAGACTCAAATCACTATTGCTAGTTTCTTGTCCAAACTTTGCTTTTGCATACATATAAGAAAAAACAGATATGTATTCTAACAAAAATTGTAAAAGTAGGTCACTAGTATTTAAAACAAAAAGTAAAATCTGTTCATATTAGCATATGTTCTATGATCTCAGCCTGAGTTAGCCATCATAAAAACAGATGCCATTGAGCACAATAGCCTGAATATATAGATATATTAGTATATTCTGTTATTTAGACAGGGTGTCTGTTGCCCAGGGTGCAGTGGCATGATCACAGCTCATGAAAGCCTTGAACTCTGGGGCTCAAGGGAAACTCCCACCTCAGCCACCAGAGTAGCTGGGGCTACAGGCACGAGCCACCGTGCCTGGCATATTCTGTTATTATGTAAGTAGAAACCAATTCAAGGTAAAAGTTGTTAGGGGCATCACTTAATCTTCCAATATATTTATAACTCAGGGTCTACTATGTGCCCAGCACTCTTAACTAATCTCCTATTTTATGGGTTAATTTTAAAAGCCTGTAATCTGGATAGGAAATATATTGGTCAATATGATCAATATGAAAAACTAAAGCAAACAGCAAACTGTTAAAAGTGTTTTGGATAATTCCTTACATGTTTTATTTTGCTGTTTTCTCCAAGTTTATTCTAATATTCACAAAGACTTTTTATAATACAAAAAATACAGATTTGATTAACACAGAGTTAATTCTCATTTTTCAATATTGAAAGCTTAAGCTCAAGGTCATATAGCCAGTAAATGGCAGAGTTAGCATTAAAAACTAGGTCTGTCCTACTCCAAGCCTACTTGGAGACATAAAAATTATTCCACCCCTTAACCAATAATCAGATTTTAATGAAAACAATAACAACATTTCAAGTAAAAGTCTTAGGAATTAAAATTTTCATAGCTAAAATAAAAAAATTAATAGAAGACTTAGAATACAAAGTTGAAACTCAGTAGAACAAAAAGAAAACGGCAGAAACAATTAGTTGCCTAAGCTTCGTTAGCAGCAGGACCCAGATTTTATTCAGGGTAGAAATATGCTCAGCTGAAAGACTACATGTGCAGCTTTCTTTTCAGCCAGGTGTAACAAAATTATGACCAATGAGATTCAGGGAAAACTGTTAAGTGGGACTTCTTGGAAAATTCCTTAAAAGGAGAACAGCCTGGGCAACATACCAGAACCATCTCTACAAAAAAGACCACAAAAATTAGACAGGTATGGCAGCACATGCCTGTAGTCCCAGCTACCAGGCAGGCTGAGGTGGGAGGATCACTTAAGCCCAGGAAGTCAAGGCTGCAGTGAGCCAACATCGTGCCACTGCACTCCAGCCTGGGAAACAGAGTGAGACCCTGTCTCAAAAAAAGAGGAAGAGGAAGAAGAGGAAGAAGAAGAAGGAGGAGAAGGAGAAGAGAGGAAGAGGAGGAAAAAGGAAGAAGAAAGAGGAAAGAGGAGGAAGAGGAGGAGGAGGATGAAGTAGAGAAGGAGGAGGACGAGGAAGAGAAGGAAGAGGAGGAAGATGAAGTAGAGAAGGAGGAGGAGGAGAAGGTGGTGGAGAAGGAGGTGCGGGAGGAGGAGGAGGAGGAGGAGGAGAAGGAGACAGGAAATAGAGTACTCCCTTTTGACCTTCATCCTTTCTTCTTTCTTGCTATCCAGAATGTGGAGATGAGGGCTAAAACTCCAGCAGCTATTCAGGGCCATGAGGCAAACTTGAGAACAGATGCCATCTATGTACAAAGAATAACAGAGTAGACCGGGCGTGGTGACTCACACCTGTAATCCCAGCACTTTGGGAGGCTGAGGCAGGCAGATCACCTGAGGTCAGGAGTTCAAGACCAGCCTGGCCAACATGGTGAAAACCCATCTCTACTAAAAACACAAAAATTAGTGGGGTATGGCGGTGGGTGCCTGTAATCCCAGCTACTTGGGAGGCTGAGGCAGGGAGAATTGCTTGAACCTGGGAGGCAGAGGTTGCAGTGAGCTGAGATCATGCCACTGCACTCCAGCCTGGGTGACAGAATAAGACTCCATCTCAAAAAAAAAAAAAAAAAAAAAAAGAACAGAGTAAAAAAAAAAGAGAAGAAGGTGTCGAAGGTGTCTTAGTCCCTGTTAATTCTATAGCTGCCATTACCAGACACCCCTGCACTTTAAACCTGTATATTATTTTGGGTTTTCTATCACATGCATTTAAGCCTTCTCTTAACTAATGAGAAAAGATTCTTAGACATTAGAGCATTATTTCAAAAAATCCAATGTCTATCAGAGGGATTCTAGAACAATAGAAAGATAAAATGGGAGGGGACAAAATTATCTAAGAAATAAAACAATAAAAGTTCTCAGGATGAAAGAAATATGTTTACAGAATAAAAGCATCAACTGAATGCCCAGAAAAATGAATGAAGGCACATAATTCAAGGCACATCTGTAAAATTTTGGAGCACCAGAGATAAAGACAGGACCCTAAAACCATTCGGACAGAAAGAAGAAAAAGAAAAAAAGAAAAATGGCTGGGCACAGTGGCTCATGCTTGTAATCACAGCACTTCAGGAGGCCAAGGCGGACAGATCACTTGAGGCCAAGAGTTCGAGACCAGCCTAGTCAACATGGCGAAACCCTGTCTCTATTAAAAGTACAAAAATTAGCCGGGTATGTGGCACATGCCTGTAATCCCAGCTACTCGGGAGGCTGAGGCACAGGAAGTGCTTAAGCCCAGGAGGCAGAGGTTGCAGCAGTGAGCCAAGATCATGCCACTGCACTCCAGCCAGGGAGGCAGGGTGAAACTGTCTCAAAACAAAATGAAACAAAAAAAAAATAAGAAAGAAAAGTAAAAATGATTACATATGTCAGATGAAGATCATCAATGGCATCATACTTTTCAGTAGCAATACTGGATGCCAGAGGAATATGAAACAATTAATACAAAATTCTGAATTCTGAACCCAGAATTCTATAACCAATCAAACTGTAAATCATGCATGACTTTAAAAGATAAGCTTTTCATACTATCATACTTGTCCTTAAAAAATAATAAAATAAATAAAAATGAGTAAAAAATAAACTTTTCAGATAATTAAAAAATTTTACCTCTCATACACCCATTCTTAAGGAAGCTATTCAAAGGTGTATTATAGCAAGACGAGGGAGTAAATCAAGAAAGAAAAAGACATAAGCTTCAGGAAATCAGAGATTTAGCCCTAGAAAGTAATATTCTATGCACACATCACAGTTTTTAATGTTAACAAAGGTGAAACACATAACATACACCCTTACAAAAAAGGTCAAAATGTAAAATTAAAACTTTAAACTCTTAAAAACTACAAAAAAGTTTGTGTTGGCTACCATTTGTACAACATATTTAAACATTTTCATTTTGTGGCAGCACATGAAAAAAGTGATAGTAGAAAATAAAGTCATTGGGGGTTTTCAAATAGCAGAATTGGCAGTTTTGCCATGTAGGAGAAGCAAATAAATATTAGTTTCCCCAAAATTCACATTTGAAAATATTTAGATAAAAGTCACAGAATTTTTCTCAGTAGAGACCCCAATAATTAGCTGCTGTAGGTTACCTGTTTGAAAGGACAATATCTCTTTAGAGTATAACTTTACTAATTTGGGTATAGAGAAGAAGTCTTAGGAATAAGAACATGATCTTAAAGGAGAGAAGAGGAACAGAGGAAGACATAAAAGCAAGAAAAATGTCATGGTAATTGCAATCACTAAAAAACTGTATTCTCAGTCAGTGCAGAATACTGTCTTCTGTCTACAACAGGTGCTTATTCCCGAACTGTTATTGCATCATGGATTTAATTTGCTTGGAGTTAGTCTGATCATTCAAATGTTTTATTGTGTACCGGAGAGCATTTAGAAGATATTTTACACTATTAGGAGGTTGGTCCTTAAGAACTCTGATACAGGCCAGTTGTGGTAGCTCATGTCTATAATCCCAGAACCATGGGAGGCCAAGGCAGGAGGACTGCTTGACCTCAGGAGTTGGAGACCAGCCTAGGAAACATAGCCCATCTCTATAAAAAATTTTTTAAAGTAGCCAGGCATAGTGGTGTATGCCTAGTCCCATCTACTCAGAATGCTAAGGTGGGAGAATCACTTAAGCCTGGGAAGTCAAGGCTTCAGTGAGCCGTGATCATGCCACTGCACTCCAGCCTGGGCAACAGAGCAAGACCCTATCTCAAAAAATAAAATAAATAAAAAATCAGGAAGATATGTTACCTTTGTCCACCAGATTGGGCTTTAAAAAAAAGAACTTGGTACAACCTTTCATACCAAGTTTGGAAGTTTTGGCAAATGCTCCCACTGAATATACTTAATCATAGAGTCTTATGATACCTACTGTATTAGTCCATTCTCAAATTACTATAAAGAACTACCTGAAACTGGGTAATTTATGAAGAAAAGAGGTTTAAATAGGCTCAAAGTTCCACAGGTTGTACAGGAAGCATGGCTGGGAGGCCTCAGGAAACTTAACAATCATGGCATAAGGCAAAGAGGAAGTAAGCATGTCTTCAAATGATGGTAAGACAGAGAGAGTGTGAAGGGGGAAGTGCTACACACTTTTAAACAACAAAATCTCATGAGAATTCACTCACAAGACAGCACTAGGAGGATGGTGTTAAACCATTAGAAACCACCCCCGATGATCTAATCACTTCCCATCAGGACCCACCTCCAACACTTGGGATCACAATTCAACAAGGGATTTGGGTGGCAATACAGAGCCAAACCATATCATTCTGCTCTTAACCCCTCCCAAATCTCATGTCCTTCTCATATTTCAAAACCAATTATGCCTTCCCAACAGTCCCCAAAGTCTTAACTCATTCCAGCATTAACTCAAAAGTTTCTTTACTGGAAGACTTTTTATTATGGCTTCAATCTCATCCCTTGTTATTGGTCTGTTCAGGTTTTGGATTTCTTCATGGTTCAATCTTGATAGGTTGTATGTGTCTAGGAACTTATCCATGTATTCTTGATTGTCCAATTTATTGACATATAGTTGCTCATACTAGCCTCTAATGATCTTTTGAATTTCTGCAGCATCAGTTGTAATGTCTCATTTTTCATCTCTGAGTTTTTTTATTCAGGTCTTCTCTTTTTTTCTTAATCTGGCTAGAGGTTTGTAAATTTTGTTTATCTTTAAAAAAAAAAAGACAACTTTTCTGGCTGGGCACGGTGGCTCATGCCTGCAATCCTAGCACTTTGGGAGTCCAAGGCGAGCAGATCACAAGGTCAGGAGTTCAAGACCAGCCTGGCCAACATGGTGAAATCTTGTCTCTACTAAAAAAAATACAAAAATTAGCTGAGCGTGGTGGTGCGTGCCTGTAATCCTAGCTACTCAGGAGGCTGAGACAGAAGAATTGCTTGAACCCAGGAGGCAGAGGTTGCAGTGAGCTGAGATCACACCATTGCACTCCAACCTGGTTGACAGAGCAAGACTCTGTCTCAAAAAAAAAAAAATCAACTTTTCATTTCACTGTTTTTTTTTGTTTTGTTTTGTTTCTTTCCATTTCATTTATTTCTGCTCTGATCTTTATTATTTATTTTCTTCTACTAATTTTGCACTTGGTTTGTGTCTAGGGATTTTGGGTTTGGTTTGCTCTTGCTTTTCTAGTTCTTTAAGATGCCTCATTAGGTTGCTTATTTTATATATATATATATATTTTTTTTTTTTTCTTTGAGACAGAGTCTTGCTCTATTGCCCAGGCTGGAGTGCAGTGGCACGATCTTGACTCACTGCAACCTCCACTTAGGGCTCAAGCAATCCTCCAGCCTCAGCCTCCTGAGTAGCTGGGACCACAGGCGTGCACCACCCTGCCTGGCTATTTTTTGTATTTTTTGTGGAGACAGGGTTTCACCATGTTGGCCAGGCTGGTCTCGAACTCCTGAGCTCAAAGAGATCTGCCTGCCTTAGCCTCCCAAAGTGCTAGGATTATAGGCATGAGCCACTACGCCTGGCCTGATGGTACATTATTAATCCTTATACAACTCAATGTTCTTCTATAATAGCTGAAATCATTCTGTATAGCAGGATTTGTCATCCTGAGTTCATCAAACCAGAGTGTGAAATGAAGAACTTCTGAAAACTCTTTAGCAGAAGCCTGTTCTTGCACTAGATGCTGGGTGGGAGAATATGGCGTACTTGTCAAGGCTCCCTGAAGACCTTTTAATGCTGCTTCTAACCGCTGAGACAATTCATAAAATTTCTTTAATTTGCCTCCCAGTGGAACAAATGCACCCCATGCCTTCTCTTGCAACTTCTCATCTGCTGGCTGCTGGATTACCTCTTGTATTTCATGGTCATCTCCTCTGTATGACTGTAAGTCCTCCAAGATGCCGTTTGCATCTTTTAATACTACATTCACCTAATTAATTATAAATTTCCTTTTCAGATTCTGTAGGCTGGGCATTTTCAGGCACTGCTTGTAATTCTATCCTTATCCTTTTATCCTCCTCTTGAACCTCCAAGCACTCTCAGCCCCTCTCCTCTGCCCTCCAGGGGCTGAGCTGCACAGACAGCTCCTCAGCAGTGCTAGGGGAAGCCCCAGGCCTGGAGCTAGAGAGCAGTGGCACTGGGACGAGAAGACCCTTCAAACATGCCCCTGTGGTGAACTGCGACAAAAATATTACCATTTGTGGAGCACATATTAATGGCACAACAGACACCAAACATAAATCACCCCATTCATTCCTCACAACTCTCAAGAAAATATATTCATTGTTTTAAAATCTCATTTTCTCTTCTCTCTTTCTTGTTCATGCATGAGAGCACATGCACATAAAACCACAGCAAATATAGCTATCCCAAAAGGATGCACTCCCTTAGAAACCCAACTTAATAGCAACTTGTTTTCTACTCCACTTTTTTTTAAATATTAAAAGTTAGGCATTTGCAGGCACAGAAAGACAAATATATTATGTTCTCACTCATTATGTGTGAGCTAAAAAGTGATCTAGTGGAGGCAGGGACTAGAATGACAGTTATTCTATCAGAAGCTGGTAAGGATGTGGAGACACAGTGGGGATGTACAAACTTACAGTTAGATATAAGGAATAAGTTCTAGTGTTTGATAGCCTAGTGGGGGGACTATAGTTAACAACAATATATTGTACATTTCAAAATAACTAGAAGATTTGAAATGTTCCCAACACGAAGAAATGATAAATGTTCAAGGTGACAGATAACCTAAATTCCCTTACTTGATCATTACATAATGTATGCATGGGTCAAAATACCACATGTACTCCATAAACATGTACAAATATATTATGTATCAATTTTAAAAGTTGGGCATTTGACTTTGAACCTTTTTGGAACTTTTGCCCTTTCAACTTACAAGAAACCGTCTCCTGCTTTCATGCATCTCTTCTCTTTTCTTTTCTAGTTTTTTTCTCATTTCAATTTCATATAATGCATTCTGTCGCTTTATTTCCTCAGCATCTTTTTCTTCATATTTTTTCCTTCTTTCCTCTTCTTCCTCATGTTCCTTTATTCTAAAGCAAAAACATAATTATAATTGAGAACAAAGCAGAAAAATAGGTTATATTTTTAAGAAATGAATTCAATTCCAACCTGGAATGAGTTGAAGCTGCAAGGAAAAATCTGTGAATTTCTTTGGGGGAAAAGAACAGACATTAAATAGCAGTGACTAAAACTAATCCAATCTTGGTTAACCTAGAATTGGCAATACTTTCCTTGCTTCAAAATTTATTTCATTACTCACCCAAGTAAGTGTTCTTTTCCTTTAGAAAGAACCAGTTAATGGGATGACAGTAAGAAGAAATGGTGACATTATTTTACAGAAAGGTTCCTAATCCCTAGTGCTTCCCAACTTCAGCCCTAGATGATGCTACATAAGCCATGGGCCTAGCCTCTCAAGGAATGCAGTTTGATGGAATGAAAGGAAGAAAGGTCTCCTTACTCAACTGACCACTTGGGTTGTAATTCTTTCTGTAGCCAGTATTGACTAGCTGATAATTTCTTCTGAATTGTGAGCCTCCCTGGCTATCTTTCAGAACACATGTGTGAGTTCCTCAGAGATCCCTGAGGGTCCTCCTCACTGCAGAGCCCTGATCTGAGTGATTTAGCTCCAGCTCCATCTCTTCAGCTCACCCCTAAACCCCACCACTATCGCTACCAGGAGCTCCCACACTAAGCAGTTGATTAAAGACTCCAGGTCTCAAAGGCCCTTCATCCAGCAGCCAAACCTCTGCATACTGGCAAGACAGCGCAAGTCCAAGTTGTCTCCTTGCCCATGGAAAACTCACGCATCCTTGCTAGCCAATCAACAATATACAGGCTTTCTCACTACTCTATCTGCCCTCTCTCTCTTTTTTTTTTTTTTCCTGAAAAGGTAGGCATAGGGCAGGTCGACAACCCACCTAAATAGATGAATGTCTGAGGAATAAACCTTTCTTTCTTTAAAAAAATTTTTTTCTATAGAAATGGGGTCTTGCTATGTTGCCCAGGCTGGTCTCAAACTCCTGGACTGAAGCAATCCTCCCGCCTAAGCCTCCCAAAGTGTTGGGATTACAGGCATGAGCCAATGTACCCAGCCAACCTTTCTTTCATATGCACCCAATCGAGAAAACATTTTTTACTGGAGTCCCCTCACTCAGGTTCAGGGAAGGGAAAATTCCCTTCCCCTATGCCATGGAGGACTGTACAGTTAAGTGAGCCAACAAGTTCACTTTGTTACTGTTAAGCCAATTCAGGACAGGAGATTCCTACTTGATTCATCTGTGCAGAATAATAAGCTTTAGAGTCAGATTCACTCTCTTTAGGAGGAGGTAAGAAAAAGATCACTGTTGGCCAATGCTAAACCAGGTTTACGATTGCCCTAAAAATAATAATAAAAAAAAAAAACCAAGCTTCCAGAATTTTGTTAGAATTATTTAATATTTTATATCTACCAATCTCCTAGAAGCAAACTCACAAGTCAACAATCAAGATTTGAAGAACATGTCTGGGCGCAGTGGCTCACGCCTGTAATCCCAGCACTTTGGGAGGCCAAGGCGGGCGGATCACCTGAGGTCAGGAGTTTGAGACCAGCCTGGCCAACATAATGAAACCCCAACTCTACTAAAAAAAAAAAAAAAAAAAAAATTTGGCCGGATGTGGTGGTGCCCACCTGTAGACCCAGCTACTTGGGAGGCTGAGGCAGGAAATTGCTTGAACCTGGGTGGCAGAGATTGCAGAGACCTGAGATCACGCCACTGCACTCTGGCCTGAGTGGGAGCAAGACCCTGTCTCAAAAACAAAAAAAAAGATTTGAAGAACATTGTAAAAAGAGATTCATCCAATTCTAAGACCAGAAGCTTTCAAAGTTTTTAAATTGCTACTTTAAGGGAAAACAAGAAGATACTTTAAAATTTTTCAGCTTTAGCATTTCTTAGCAAATCTGGAAATCACTAACATTATAACTATGCATCCATTGGATAATGCATCATTTCAGCAAAAAATTTACCTATTCTAAGAATAATAACAAAAATGTCTCTAAAGTCAGTTAAAATGTAATATATTGCCAGTGACTTACATAATAATTTACAATAATTAAAAATTTAATTAGCTGTCAAAAGGGACTTTTTCCTTAGTTTGGGTAGTTTGAATAGACTTGTCATCTATATGCCATTAATTTGGTTTAATGCAAAGTTAACTTGTTGAAGTAAATTTGAGATCCTCTAGTTCAAGGAAGAAACACATAACATTCATATCATTACTTCCAGCTCCCATTCCCAAAGCAGAGTCAGCAACCAGCACAAAACTCTTTCCTGCTGATTCTTGGTCCTTCTCAAACAATGCATTGGGAAGCCTCCACCAGGCAATCAGAGTTGAATATGTCAACGCCTTGCTCTTCCTGAGTCAGCTCCTTGCTATCCTTGATTCACATTCTGAAGATTCCAAATCTGTACTTATCTAGCACAGATCTGATTCTTGGGCTTATATAGATGTTGTATAGTTCTCCTGTAAAAGCAAGAAAGACCACTACCCAAAATTTGGTTCAGATGTCCAGACTGATGACACTACATCCCAAGAAAACTTGGTAGAAAGTATTACTCACATGAGGGACTCCTGGGAAGAGCTGGGCAGGCACAAGTAGGTCTTGATTGCTTTGGACAAAGCAGAGGGAAGTGGGACTGAGGAAAAGTTTCTGAGCAGGAGGGATTTAAATTAAGCACTTGTGCCAAAAGAGGAGGAGGAGAGTTCCAGGAGCCTTCTTATCAGCCTGTACAGATGTAGGGCCAAAAGGGAAGTGAGGGTGAGGCCTAAAAAAGAAGTCAGTAGTCAAACATCCAAACTGAGTTCTCTCTCTCTATTACAACAGACAGGTTTCATTCTTTCATTTTTAAAAACTGTTTTTTGAGACTGGTCTCACTCTGTCATCCAGGCTGGAGTGTAGTGGTACAATCATAGCTCACTGCAACCTCATAGTTCACTGCAACCTCAAACTCCTGGGTTCAAGTGATCCTTCTGCCTCAGGCTCCCAAGCTGGAACTACAGGCATGCATCACCACACCCAGCTAATTCCAGCTATTTTTTTTTTTTAAGAGAGACAGAGTTGTTGCAGGGGAAGGATGGCTATCTGGGCTATTGGCATGAGGGTAAAAGAATTTGCCAAGACAATTGTAGATAAAGAAAGGCAAATTTATTAGAAAAAGTATAAAAATACGTTGCCAGTGAGGCAATGGGCAGCCTACAACAGAGAGGCTGACTACAAGGAAACAAGGCTTGCTGGAGGTTTTATAGGATAGTGTTTATGCTGTATGCTGAGGAGGGCTTTGTGCAGTACTGATAACATCAAGGTTGCAGTGAGCTTGTGGTAGTTGAGTACAGGAAGATTGTGAATTATTTGTGCAGAAGGGCTATATGTCCTGAACCAGGAAGAAAGGCAGGCTTGTAGCTTATCTGCATCTTCTTTTGGCTTTTTCTTGCTCCCACCAGCCTGACTCCTTTTCCCTAATTAGGACTCCACAGGGGACTCACTATGTTACCCAGGATGGTCTTTGAACTCCTGGGCTCAAGTGATCCTCCCTGCTTGACCTCCCCAAACTGCTAGGATGATAGGCATGAGCCACCATGCCCAGCCTACCTTGATTCTTATAAAGACAACCCACTAGGCATCATCACCTGGCTATTACACAGGTACTTTACCTTCTCTATGTCTAAAACCAAATTCATCATCCTCCTCTTCTAAACTGATCCTTTTGGTCTCTTTTCTTTATTTTGGTGAACAGTACCACCATCTTTTCAGTTACCTATGCTAGGGACTTAAGAATTATACCTAACTCTTCTCTAATCCTTAGACCTCTCATTCATTTACCTAGTATTTATTGAATTTCTACTACAATGATAAAACAGACATGGCTCACTCAAGAAGCTCGAATTCTAGTGAGGGAGACAAGAAAAAACAAACAAACAAATAAAGTACAGGCATACCTCAGAGATATTGTGGGCTTGGTTCCAAACTAGTGCAATAAAATGAATATCTCAATAAAGTAAGTCACTCAAATCTCAATAAAGTATAGTCACTCAAGCCCACAATATCTCTGAGGTATGCCTGTACTTTATTTGTTTGTTTGTTTTTGCTTGTCTCCTTCACTAGAATTCGAGCTTCTTGAGTGAGCCATGTCATCTACATCTACTGATGTAGCCATTCCATCTACTTCAGGCTTTTGAAGGCTGAAGTGGCTGTGGCAATTTATTAAAATAAGACAATGAAGTTTGCCATATTCATTGACTCTTCACAGAAGATTTCTCTGTAGTACGTAATGCTGTTGGATGGCATTTAACCCACAGTAGGACTTCTTTCAAAATTAGAGTCAATCCTCTCCACCTGCTGCTGCTTTATCAACTAAGTTTATATAATATTCTAAATCCTTTGCTGCCATTTGAATGGTTTTCACAGCATCTTCACCCACAGTAGATTCCATCTCAAGAAACCACTTTCTTTGCTCATCCGTAAGAATCAGCTTCTCATCCATTCAAGTTTTATCATGAGATTGCAGCAATTCACTCACATCTTCAGGCTCCACTTCTAATTCTAGTTATCTTGCTATTGACACCACATCTGCAGTTACTTTCTCCACTGAAGTCTTGAACCCCTCAAAGTCATCCATGAAGTTTGGAATCAACTTCTTCCAAACTCTTATTAATGTTGATATTTTAACCTTCTCCCATGAATCACAAATTTTCTTTTTTCTTTTTTTTTTTTTTTGATGGAGTTTCACTCTTGTTGCCCAGGCTGGAGTGCAATGGCGCAATCTCGGCTCACTGCAACCTCTGCCCCCCGGGTTCAAGAGATTCTCCTGCCTCAGCCTCCTGAGTAGCTAGGATTACAGGTGCCCGCCACCATGCCTGGCTAATTTTTGTATTTTTAGTACAGACAGCGTTTCACCATGTTGGCCAGGCTGGTCTCGAACTCCTGACCTCAGGTGATCCAACCACCTCGGCCTCCCAAAGTGCTGGGATTACAGGCATGAGCCACTGTGCCTGGCCCAAATGTTCTTAATGGCAACTGGAATGGTGAATCCTTTCCAGAAGGTTTTCAATTTACTTTCCCCAGATCCATTAGAGGAATCATTATCTATGGCAGCTACAGTCTTATGAAATGCATTTCTTTAACAGTAAGACTTGAAAGTCTAAATTACTCCTTGATCCATGGGCTGCAGAATGGACGTTATGTTAACAGCCATGAAAACAACATTAATCTCTTGTATATCTCCATCAGAACTTATTACTGCTCATTGACAATGACCAGGTGCATTGTCAATGAGCAGTAATATTTTGAAAGGAATATTTTTTTCTGAGCAGCAGATGTCAATAGTGGGCTTAAAATATTCAGTAAGCCTTGCTGTAAACACGTGTGATGTCATCTTAGCTTTGTAGTTCCATTTCAGAGCCCAGGCAGAGAAGATTTAACATAATTCTTAAGGGTCCTAGGATTTTTAGAATGGTAAATGAGCAATGGCTTCAACTTAAAGTCACCAGCTACATTAGCTGCTAACAAGGGAGTCAGTCTGCCCTTTGAAGCTTTAAAGCCAGGCATTGATTTCTCTTCTAGCTATGAAAGTCCTAGATGGCATTTTCTTCCAATGTAAGACTGCTTCATCTACACTGGAAATCTGTTGTTTAGTGTGGCCACCTTCATCAATGATTTTAGCCAGATCTTCTGGATAACTTGCTGCAGCTTTTACATTAGCACTTGATGCTTCACCTTGTACATTTATGTTATGGAGGCAGCTTCTTTCCTCAAACCTCATGAACCAACTTCTGCTAGCTTCAGGTTTTTCTTCTGCAGTGTCTGTACCTCTCCAGCCATCACAGACTTGAAGAGAGTTAGGACCTCATTCTGGATTAGGCTTTGGCTTAAGGGAATGTCAGGGCTGGTTTGAGCTTCTATCCAAACCATTAGAATTTTCTCCATATCAGCAGTAAGGCTGTTTGGCTCTCTTATCATTTGTTTGTTCACTAGAGTAGCACTTTTAATTTCCTTCAAGAACTTTTCCTTTCCATTCACAGCTTGGCTGTTTGGTGGAAGAGACTCAGCTTTCAGCCTATTTTGGCTTTTGACATGTCTTCCTCACTAAGTTTAATCATTTCTAGCTTTTGATTTCAAGTGAGAGACGTGCAACTCTTCCTTTCATTTGAATACTTAGAGGCTATTATAAGGTTATTAATTGGCCTGATTTCAATATTGTTGTGTCTCAGGGAAGAAGGAGGCCCAAGGAAAGAGAGAGAGATAGGAGAACAGTGCTTGGTAGAGCAGTCAGAACACACAAAATATTCCTCAATTAAGTTTGCCATCTTATATGGGTACAGTTCGTGGCACCCCAAAACATTACAATAGTAACATCAAAGATCACTGATCACAGATCACCATAATAGATACAGTAATATTGAGGAATTTGAAATACAGCGAGAGTTACCAAAATGTGACACAGAGACATAAAGTGACATGCTGTTGAACAAATGGTGCTGATAAATTCGCTCAATGCAGGGTTGCCACAAATCTTCGATTTGTAAAAAACACAATATCTGCAAAGTACAATAAAGCAAAGCACAATCAAACAAGGTATGTCTATAAATAGACAATGTAATTACAAATCGTAGTGTTTTTTAAAAAATAAGAGACTAAGTAAAAGAGTAATAATTGAGGTACTTAGATAACTTTGACCAAAGTTGAACTCTAAGACAGGAAGGCCTCTCTGAGCTGGTAAGAGGTCCACAGATGAAGAATGGAAGGGTAAAATTCCAGACCATAGAGAAAACATGAGGCAAGCAAGAGCTTGGTAGATGTTCGAGGCCCTGGAAGATCAGTATAATGGAGGCATCATAACTAAGAGGAAGGACTGGTAAGAGAGGAGGTTGCGAAGTAGGCAGGCCAGATCATACAGAGCCTTGGAGGGGATGTCAAATTTCCATTTTATTTTAAGTTGAATGGAAAGCCATTGAAGTGCTTAAGGTAGAATAATAATATGATCAATTTTCATCTTGATAAAATATCTCTGGATGATAAGTAAAGAAGAATTTGGCAAATAAATAATGTGAGGCCAATTAAGAGACTGATACAACAACCCATGTGAATACATGAGAGTGGCCTGGACTAGATGATGGCAGTAAATTCATGATTTGTTTTGGAGAAAAAAATCAACATGAATTGCTGAGAGATCTGATGTGGAAGATAAAGGAAAATGAGGAATCAAGGTGAATTATTAGGTTTCTGGTTTGAAAAACTGGTTGGATAAAGATGCCGCTGGAGGAGGCGGAGCTTGCAGTGAGACAAGATCGCACCACTGCACTCCAGTCTGGGCGACACAGCGAGACTCCGTCTTAAAAAAAAAAAAAAAAAAATGCCGCTGGAAACGCTGGAAATCAATAATTCTGTGTAGACATTTTAAGTTTGAGATACTATGAGACATTGAAATGGAGATACCATGGAAGCAGCTGGATATGTGAAGCTGGGGTTCAAAGGGATGGTCTAGACTAGAGTTATCAGATTTAGGATGGCACTTACATCTGTAAAATGGATGAGATCACTTAAGCCCTCTTCTCTCTTTCTACTCTTTCCCTAAATAATCTTTATCTAGGAAAAAGTGATGCAAACTATCCTATGACCATTTTTTCTTTTTTTGTGTGTGAAGCTGATGGGATTAACAGACAGTAATTAGTGAGTTTTTTCTTAAGCAAAGTCTATGTGTCTGTTCCTAGAGGAAGCCTTACCTATATATAGAAGAAAGAAGACCTATACAGTGTCTATAGCTACGGTGTTAAGTTTCTTTTTAATAATTATGTGTAAGATTCCTGGTCAAAATCCCTCTATTTTGGGATTTTGGTGTCACTGTGGTATCTTATTTGTCTTATCGCCGTCACACCCACTGGGCTATGAGTCACACAAAGACTCTTATACTAGTCAAAGCCCCACAGTAGCATAGGATAGATTGTTTAGAAAGCATGTGAAAATTTTCACTTTCAGGCACAGGGCCAGCAGCTGTGCAATATGTTTCAGTTTTATATTGCTGAATAACTAATTACTCTAAAACTTAATAGCTTAAAACAATGAACACTTATTATCTCATACCATTCCTGAGAGTCAGAAACCTGGGAGTGACTTAGTTGGATGGTTCTCAACTAATGTTGTAGTCAAGATGTCAGTTGAAGCAGTAGTCATCCAAGGGCTTAAATGAGCCTGGAGAATCCACTGTCACATATTTGGTGTCAGGATACCTCAGGTCCTTGCCACATGGACCTCTCCATTGATCTGCTTGAGTATCCTTACACCACAGCAGTTAGGTTCCCCAATGAGCAATCCATGGGAGACAGCAAGGAGGAAGCCACATTGCCTTTAGTATCCTAAGCTTAGATGTCACACACCATTATTTCTGACACATTCTATTTCTTGGAAATGAGTTACTATGTATAGCCACACTTAAGAGGGAGATAAATTGGGCTCCATCCTCTGAAGGAAGGAGTATCAAAGAACGTATGGAAATATTTTAAATCACCGCAAGGTAGCACTTGGTAATACAATTAATAGGGCATGCAAAAAGAGACTTGCCCCTTGGTAATCTGCAATTTCCATTTCTTTGTGATTAAAATAATTAAAATACGGTCTCTGCCCAAAGAAGACAGTCATTCCAAATTTTGGCAGGCCTTAAGGCACATGACCTACAAAAGACACCATGAGCCGATCCTAGCCTATCTCTCCAACCTTATCTTTCACAATGCCCCCTTTGTCTTTTATACTACAGCCATCTTGACTACTTGGAGTTCTCCAAATCCACCATATTCTATCCCACTCTGGGCCTTCACTTGTGCTTAAAATACCTCTACAGCCCACTTTTAGCATGGCTTATTACTATTCATTCTTTGAAATTAGGCGCAGGAACCAGTTTCTTCTGCAAAGCCTTCTCTAGACTGGGTCAGATACTCATTTTACATGCTTCCACACACCCTCTACACATATTTGCCAAAATATTTATCATTACATTCTAATTATTTGTTCCATTTCTGTACTCTCCACTCCCAGATTCTGAACTTCTTTTTGAGATGGAGTGTCGCTCTTGTTGCCCAGGCTGGAGTACAATGGCACGATCTTGGCTCACTTCAACCTTCGCCTCCCAGGTTCAAGCAATTCTCTTGCCTCAGCCTCCTGAGTAGCTAAGATTACAGGCATGTGCCACCATGCTTGGCTAATTTTGTATTTTTTTAGTAGAGACAGGGTTTCACCATGTTGGTCAAGCTGGTCTCAAACTCCTGACCTCAAGTGATCCACCCACCTCGGCCTACCAAAATGCTGGGATTGGGAGGCGTGAGCCACCGCGCCCAGCCGTGAACTTCTTAAGAAGACTACATCATATTCATCTTTGTATTCTCAATGACTAGAATAGTGCCTGGCAAAAGGAGGTTGTTCAATAAATGTTTGTATGAATGAATGAAGGAATATCCTAATGAATGAATAAATAGCCTATTTTGAAATTTTGCTCCTGAATAAACTCTTATTCAAGAAAAGGGAAAGTAACTCTCCTTTGCATCTCTTTTTTGCTACATGCTCCTCTTCCCAACTCAGGTTAATACCAGTGCTACTATTCCATTTCTATTGGTTTAAAGAGGTTTTTTATAGGTTCATCCCTATTCGTAACAGTATTTTAAAGTAACATGCATTCTGAATTCTATAAAACCCATACATGAATAAACATTAAACAGAATATAGCTTGGCGATAAGTTTGTAAACTCATACACTTAAACAAATATATAATAATAGATTTATAATTTCCTATGTTGTTTCCAACTACAGATTTGAATGTTTCTTATTAAATTTAAGCTGTAGGACTTTGGAAACAAATTGGCAACCCAGGTTCACATGTTGAACATCTCTATTAGTCAGGGGTTTTCCAGAGAAACAGAACCAAGAGGGTGTGTGTGTATGTGTGAGTTTATTTGGGAGAATTAGCTCACACTATTACAAGGCGAAGTCCCACAATAGTCTGTCTGCAAACTGAGGAAGACAGAAACCCGTAGTGTTCAGTCGGAGTCCAAAAGCCTCAAAACCAGGGAAGCTCACAGTGCAGCCTTCAGTCTGTGGCCAAAGGCCCAAGAGCCCCCAGCAAGCTGCTGGTGCAAGTCCCAGAGTCTAATGACGGAAGAACCTGGAATCTGATGTCCAAGGGCAGGAAAAGCAGAAGGAAGCATCTGGCACCAATAGATAAGGAAGCCAGAAGGCTCAGCAAGCAAGAGTAGCCTACCTTCTTCTACCTGCTTTGTTCTAGCTGTGCCGGCAGCCGACTGGATGGTGCCCACCCACCTTGAGGGTGGGTCTTCTTCTCCCAGACCACTGACTCAAATGTCTGTCTCCTCTGGTGACACCCTCACAGACACACCCAGAAACGACACTTTACCAGCCATCTAGGCATCCTTCAATCCCATCAAGTTGACATCTAATATTAACCATCACAACATCCTCCCTCTCCTAATTCCCCAAAATGCAACCAATATAAAGGAGAAATTCTATACCACTGGTCTTACCCACATAACTGAATTTTCAAGAGATTTCAAAAGAAAATAGAACAGTTGAGAGTACAGTGAGGATAGGTAACACTTGGTCACCATGCACAAGGACAAAGCCCACCATGAGAAGTAAGTAAAGGAATTTATGCTGACGTCAGAGCTTGATGAACATTTCCGAGACTGCACTGAAGATATGCCAAAGAAACAACGAAAATAAATCCTACACCAGCTTGAACCTCTAACCTACTGACACATACTACAAGGAAAAAACACGATGTGGCCCAAACACAGCCCAGATACAAAGGCTATAGGAGGATAGACAGCCTGTGAAGGTGTTAGCACTTGCCAGGTAGCTTGCTGGAAATCTGACTGCCACCTCTGAGCTGCAATATAACAAAAGAGATTTCTCAAACACAAGTGATTCACTGGTCAAAGACTTGCCTTCCTCTGCCAATGGCTTTGTCCCTAACTTGCACAAACCTTTAGATCTCTACACTGCCAAAGAAAAACATTACAATAAATCCAAAGGTTTTTCTTCCCTTGTTACTAAGGACTGAATTGAAAAATACACAATTTGGTAATATATATATATTCTGAGAACTGATGTCTGTGTCATTTAGACATAATGTGATTTTGATAAATTATATATGTGACATACAGGTATGTGAAAAAAGCATGTAATAAGACAATGCTGCTAATTCAAATTTCATTTTATAAAATGTGAGTATATATGTTCAGGAAAAAAGTCTGTGTCGCCAGATCAATGACTGCCAGAGGCTGGGAACAGGAGATAGAACTTAGAGCAAAGGGGCATGAGGGAAATTTTGGGAGTGATGGAAATGTTCCATATCTTGATTTGAGTGGTAGTTATGCAGCTATACTTTTTAAAAGGTGAATTTTACTGAATGCAAATTTTATTTCAATAAGGCTGATGCCTCCTTCATTAAAAAAAAACTCTGCATGGCTATATACCAAAACAGTAATAGTAACTTCCTTTGGTAGTTTAGATTTATTATTCAAAAAAGATTCACTCCCTTCCCCTTCCTGTCTCAATTTAATGGAAGTCTACTTCTCTGTTCCATTATTGTTGTTGGGGTTGGCCATGTGGTTGCTTTAGACTGATGGAAGGCCAAGTATACTTCCTTCTCCATTGACTTTGGGTTACGCTGTGTTTTTGCATGCTCAGGCTTGCTCTCTTGCATCTCTATCAATACCATGTGAAAAGTTTCCCCATGTGGCTGCTTCATCCTGAACCTCAGAATGTATACACATGGAGCGGATCAGAATACTCTCCACAACAATAAGCAAACCCAGCCAGTCCTACAGCTTGAAGAAAAGCTGCCCAGCTGATTCCAGCCTAGATCAGCCAACCCCCAGATGCATGAGAAGTAAACATGTTTTTTTTGCATGCCACTAGATTGTGTGGTTGTGTATTATGTTGCATTATTATGACAATAATAACCAATATACAATCTCTGGGTAAGAAAGTGATAGCGATTTTTAACCTCCTTTTTGTACTTTTTCTACTGACTAATTATTTTAGCATGTATTACTTTTATAATTAGAAAAAAGCTACATCCATTATGAGAAAACGAGAAAGGTACAAAAAGGTATTTTATGTATACATACTGTTTTAGATGATCTTTGGCAAGAGCCACCCTTTCTCTGTGTCGTTTTTCTGCTTTTTCTTGTTCTTCTTTAAAAGCTTTTTCAATGTTGAGTTTCAACTGTTCCTCCCATTTTTTATCTGATTTTATCTTACTCTTTCGGAATTCAATCTGGGCATCACGTTCTTTCATAACTCTACTAAGAAGAAGTCCCGACTACAAAAGAAAAATTATAGTACTTTAAGGAAATGATGCCTAATTATGTACAGATATGTTAAAGATATATAAAAATACAAGAAAACTCAAGTAGTACATGAAAGTTTTTCACTCTTTCTGTCTGGTAAAATTGATATTGCTTTGCATTTTCAATGGCCTTTTTTCTTTTTCCTTGTTTGTATATTTCTTCTTCCAGATCAAGAATTTGTCTTTCTGCCTCTATTTCTTCATCACGCTTCTTTTTGGCTTCAAGTTTCTGTTCTTTCATCCCCTGTAAAAAGACAAACACAATTTTTTGTTTTCATTTTTCAATTTAATTTTACTACAGTTTAACATAATAATATGATAATTTGAGCTTTTATGTTTTTATTGTATTTGTAATATTTTATTAATAAATAAAATGAGGCTACACTTATGAGCTTATTTTTTAGACCGACCTTTTTAGGTAGATAACACATTTACATGGTTCAAAATCCCAAAATATTATAGAGGTATATGAACTTCTCCTTTTGTATTAATCTGTTCTCACATTTCTATAAAGAAATACCAGAGACTGGGTAATTTATAAAGAAAAAAGATTTAATTAGCTCACAGTTCTGTAGGCTGTACAGGAAGGATGATGCTGGCATCTGCTCAGCTTCTGGAGAGGCCTTAGGAAACTTACAATTGTGGCGGAAGGCAAAGGGGGAGCAGGCATGTCATGGCCAGAGCAGAAACAAGAAAGTGAAGGCAGGAGGTGGTACACACTTTTAAATGACCACATCTCACGAGAACACAGTCACTATTTCGAGGACAGTACCAATGGGGATGGTGCTAAACCATTCATGAGAAATCTGCCCCCATGATCCACTCACCTCCCAGCAGGCCCCACCTCCAACACTGGGAATTACATTTCAATATGATATCTGAATGGAGACACACATCCAAACTATATCACCTTCCAACCCATCTGCAATCTCCTCTCATTCTAAGATAACCACTATTAGTTTCTTTTGTCTACTTCCAAAGTTCCTCTCCACAGTTACACAATAAATATATATCTCACTCCTTTTGCTCCTTTAAAAAACCAACAGTTGTATATTTTATATGCTCTTCTATAACTCTGAGGCCTTCACTCCTCATGTCATATGAGGTCTTCCTTTTCCTTATTGGTCCTATTTCCTATGTCCTAAGAAAACCTTGTTTACTCTGATATCCTGAAGATATTCTATTATTTATGTTAAAAGTTTTAGTGTTTTGCCATTTAAATTTAGGTGTTTCGTCTGGCTGAAATCCATTTTTCTGCATTCTGTACTATTGAGATGTAATTTAATCTCTTTCATATGCCAATTATCCCAGTATCAGTTGTTGAATTCCCACCCTTTCCTTTCCTATTTGCAATGAAATTTTTGTTATATGTCAAGTTCCTATATATAACATGGGTTTGTTTCTAGGTTCTCTCTTCTGACCTATTATTTTGTCATTCTCCGTGTCTATATCATAGTTTTTACTACTATGGGTTTATAGACAGTCTTGCTGGTAAGATGAATCATCATTTATTATTCATCTTTAATACCAATGGAGAGTTAAAGCGTTACATGTGCTACTTCTGTGTTACAAAAAAAAAAAAAGGATATATCCCCATCCCCTATCCCTTTATGTACCAGGGACGTTTTTAAAATCAAGTTTTCTATATTATAATTTACATGTGCCCTTATAGTGTAGAGTTTACAAATGCATACAGTCACTTACAAAATAGTTCCATCCTCCCAAAAAATCCCATCATGTCTTATAGTCAACCACTCCCCCTACCTGTAGGCCCTGGCAACCACTGATCTGTTTTCTCTCCCTATAGTTTTGCTTTTTTCAGAATGTCGTATGTTACATATATTAGTCCATCATATAATTCTTCCCTCTTTGAGAAAAGAAAGAATTAATAAATTATGACCATTGTTCCTAAAGCGAGGTACTATAAGTTTTCTATGTCCTTTCCCAAAGATAAATAATGTATACTGCAACAAAGTAAGGAAACAGGCAATGTTAAAAAGAAAAAAAAACAAGTGAGAACTCTCCAGACTGAGTTTATGCCTATCTGTAGTTTTAATAATTCTACCATAAAACAAAAATAACCCTGCCTCTCAGTGCCTCAAACAATGGAGGAAAGTAGGGTGGAGGGAGGGATTACCTTTTCCCAGCATTTCTCCCCAGGCGAGATAATAAAAGGAGTCAGGGGACACCTCCCCATTTCAAAGAAGTTTCCCATTCATGCATAAGGAGCTAAACTGGGCTACTATAACCTTCAGGCAGAGGGAGGCCAGCAGATGCACAGAGAGGAGCACAGCAAAAGCACTATGCAGTTCCAGAGAGAGGAAGAGGCAGGCAAGACAGACAAATCAGAGGCAAATGACGAGAAGCTGCCTTGGTTCTTCACAGTTTCGAGTACTCTGGCTTTCTGCGCAACCCTGCGTCATAACAATAAACAGCACGACTCTGATACTCAAACTAGATAAAGATATTTCAAGAAAACTATGGACCAATATCCCTCATGAACACAGATACAAAAATTAATAACATTTTAGCAAATTCAATCCATCAAAAGGATAATACATTAAGACCAATGGGGTTTTATCTTAGGAATGCAAGCTTGGTTGAATATTTAAAAATCAATCAGTGTAATTCACAATTTTAACAAACTAGAAAATAAGAACCTCGTGATAATCTCAATAGACATCAAAAAAAGTACTTTAAAAAATCTAACATCCATTTCTGATTTTAAAAGAACCAAAACACTCAACAATTTCGATATAGAAGGCAACTTCAACTTGATTAGGGACATCTACAAAAACCATACACTTAGCATCATACTTAAAGGTGAAAGAATGAGTACTTTTTCCCCAAAGTCAGGAATAAGGCAAGAATATCTACCTTCACTACATTTATTCAATATCATATTGGAGCTTCTAGCAAGTGCAGTAAGTCAAGAAAAAGAAACAGGCATCCAGATTGGAAAAAAAAGAATTAAAACTGTCTTTATTCTCTGATGCCATGATTGTCTATGTAGGAAATCTGATGGAATCTATCAAGAAGGGACTAGAACTAATAAGTGAGATTAGCCATGTTGCAGGATACCAGATCAATACAGGAAAAATTTACTGTATTTCTAAAGCTAACAATAGCAGATTGAAACTTTTAAAAATACCATTTACCATAATATTAAAAATATGAAATATTTAGGGATAAATCCAACGAAAGATGTATAAAACCTATATACTGAAAACTATAAAACACTGCTGACAGAAATTAAGACTTAGGCTGGGCGCGGTGGCTCACGCCTGTAATCCCAGCACTTTGGGAGGCCGAGGTGGGCGGATCATCTGAGGTCGGGAGTTCGAGACCAGCCTGACCAACATAAAGAAACCCCGTCTCTACTAAAAATACAAAATTAGCCAGGCATGGTGGCGCATGCCTGTAATCTCAGCTACTCCAGGAGACAGAGGCAGGAGAATTGCTTGAACCCGGGAGGCGGAGGTTGCAGTGAGCCGAGACCTTACCATTATACTCCAGCCTGGGCAACAAGAGCGAAACTCTGTTGCAAAAAAAAAAAAAAAAAAAAAAGAAAGAAAGAAAGAAATTAAGCCTTAAACAAATAGAGAGAATATGTTCATGGTTCAGAAGATTCAATATTGTCATAATGTAACTATCTCCAAATTGATCTAGAGATTCAACACAATCCCAATAAAAATTCCAGCTGGCTTTTTCGCATGAATTGACAAGCAGATTCTAAATTTCATAATGGCCAGGTACAGTGTCTCACGCCTGTAATCCCGGCACTTTGGGAGGCCAAGGCTGGCAGATCACTTGAAGTCAGGAGTTAGAGACCAGCCTGGCCAACATGATGAAACCCAGTCTCTACTAAAAATACAAAAATTAGCCGGGCATGATGGTGCGGGCCTGTATTCCCAGCTACTCAGGAGACTGAGGCAGGAGAATTGCTTGAACCCGGGAGGTGGAGGTTGCAGTGAGCCGAGATCACACCACTGCACTCCAGACTAGGCGACAGAGTGAGACTCCATTTCAAAAAAAATAAAAATAAAATAAAAAATTAAAATTAAAAGAATCATAAGGATGTGCAAAGGACCTAGAATAGTGAAAACAACTTTGAAAAAGAAATGATTTCAAGACCTATTATTAAATCTACAGTCATCAAGACAGTGTATTATTGGAGTAAAGACAGATAAATAGAGCAATAAAACAGAATAGATAGTGCAGAAATGTCGCCTGAATATATATACGCAAGTGGATTTTCAAGAAAAGTTCAAAGGCAATGTAGTGGATAAAGAATGGTATTTTCAATAAATTATGCAAGAACAATTGATCTTCATACACAAAAACAAAAAAAATCAATACCTCATTGCATATAAGCACATATTTAAAATGGTTCATAGACCTATACAGGAAACCAAAAAATATGTATTTCTTTCCAACTTTTATTTTAGGTTCAAAGGCTACATGCGCAGGTTTGTTACACAGGTAAATTGCAAGTCACAAGGATTTGGTGTGCAGATAATTTTGTCACCCAGGTAATCAGCATAATATCCAGTCGACATCTTCCTCCCACCCTCCTCCATCCTTAAGCAGGTGCCAGTGTCGGCTGGGCGCAGTGGCTCAGGCCTGTAATCCCAGCACTTTGGAAGCCGAGGCAGGTGGATCACGAGGTCAGGATATCAAGACCATCCTGGCTAACATGGTGAAAACCCATCTCTACAAAATAAAATACAAAAAATTAGCCAGGCATGGTTGCAGATGCCTGTAGTCCCAGCTGCTCAGGAGGCTGAGGCAGGAGAATGGCGTGAACCCTGGAGGTGGAGCTTGCAGTCAGCCGAGATTGCCCCACTGCACTCTAGCCTGGGTGACAGAACGAGACTCCATCTCAAAAAAAAAAAAAAAAAAAAAAAGGTGCCAGTGTCTACTGTTACCTTCTTTGTGTCCATGTGTACTCAGCATTTACCTCCCACCTATAAGTGAGAACATGCAGTATTTGGTGAAATCTAAAATTTTAAAACTTCTAAAAGAAAACATAGGAGAAAATCTTTGTGACATTAGATTAGGTAAAGATTTCTTGGATAAGCCACTAAAAGAATGATATATACAAGAAAAATTGATAAACCATACTTCACTAAAAGTAAAAACTTTTGCTTTTCAAAAGACACAGTAAGGAAATGAAAAGTCAAGATATAGAGTGGGAGAAAATATTTTCAAGTCAAATACCTAATAATGAATTTGTATTTGGAATATAGTTTAAAAATTATCTAAGCTCAATGACAAAACTAATTTTAAAATGGGAAAAATATTTGAATGGATACATCAACAAAGAAGATATACTGATAGAAAATAAGTTCAGGAAGAGATATTCAACATCATTTTTACTTAGAGAAATTCAAATTAAAACTATAATGAGATATTGCACACCTATTAGAATGTTTATAATTAAAAAGACCAACTATACCAAGTGTTGTTGAGGATGGAGAGGAAATAGAACTCTCAAAGATTATTATTGGGAATGCAAAATTACAACTACTTTGGATAACAGTTTGGAAGTTTCTTACAAAGTTAAATATACACCTATCATAAAAGACAGCTATTCTACACGAAGATATTTACTAAGAGAAATGGAAGCATATGTCCATACATAGACTTATAAGTGAATGTTCATAGCAGCTTTGTTTGTAATAGCCAAAAAGGGAAACAGCTCAAATGTCAACGTTTCATTGATGTCAACCATCAAAAAGTGACCAAATAAACAAACTGTGGTATATCCATACAATGGAATACGATTCAGCAATAAAAATTAACAATTGATACCCACAACATGAATGAATCTCAAAGTAATTGTGTTGAATGAAATCTGTAATAGGAAGCAGATCGGTGGTTACCTAAGGATCCAGAAGAGGAGCAGGGAGAAATAAGAGGGAACAAAACAGGTCATGAGGAAATTTTGGGGTGAAGAACATGTTCATTATCCTAATAGTAATGATGGTTTTGGGGTTTATACATATGTCAAAATTATAGGATTGTACATTTCAAATATGTCCAATTCATTGTATATCACTTATACCTAAATAACACTGTTGAAAATATGTTTCGATGCATTTTTATGAAATTTTACATGTAAAAAAATTTATAAAAAGAAGCATAAGAGTACTAAGAAACAAGAGTAAGTCTTCAGTGCATGTGTACTCCTGGATGGTTAATACTTACTGCATATGTATTAGTCCAGTGTTTTACCACTTCTTGAGATCGCAAATGCATTTCTTTCTTTGCCTTTCTTTCTGCACGGAGGCATGCTGCTTCTCTTGTCAACCTGTCAAGGCTATCTTGAATCCTTTTCCACTCATCGTGTGGAATTATGGTGACCTGCTGGAGATCTACTTTGCTAGGTAGAAGAGGCAGATAGAGAACTTGATCTTCTTCAGAGTTTCTTATTTCTAATAAATTGTAAAAAATGATTATTAAAGACTTACGGGAACAGTTTAAGTGATATTCGTCTGAGAAGTTCCGATATTGGCATGATAACTGGAAATTATTTCAAATACTTAATTTACTCTTGTTATCCTAAGAACAGCTATGATTAAGTGAAAAAAAAAATACAAAGCCTTGAAATCAGAAGGCATATATTTGAGTCCTTGCTTAATCACTTCCTTACTGTGTAAACTTGGGCAAGTCATTTAACTTTTTGGAATCTCAGTATCCTCATCTTTAAAATAGAGATCTCCTAGTAATACCCATCCCAACAGCTTGTTATAAAAGTATTTTTCAAAGTTAACAAAGTGGCAGTTTATAAATGGATAACTTTGTGGGTGGGTGTTCATCTTTTGGGGCTGTAGGCACTATGACTGACTCTACTCAACCTCTTCCCACTGAGCAGCAGCAACATAATTTGGAGAACTCACTATAGTCCCAGGGTGGGCCTAATTGGTTTAAGAACACTTGTATCTCCATTGTCAATCATTATTTCTTTAAAAAGCAAAGAAACAGGACAAAAGGTTTACTTGCAACTTTTAGAAAAGTTCTTCCTTGTTCTTCTGGGAGAGACATCCAAAAGACTCTCAAGCTAAGTTTGAACAAGGAAGAAAGACAGACAAACAGCTATGACCACAAGATAAACCAGCCTTGAATGAAGTTATTATTGCAAAGAAGCTGTTACTGCAAAGAAGAAACAATGGGAGAATCTGAGGCAATGATGATCTCTTTATTCTGCTAATCAACTCAACCTGAAGCCTGGAGTTCCTGTTATAAAGTTAAAAAATGTCCTTATTTTTGAAGATGATTGAGTTGGGTGTTCCGTTATATGAATTTAAAGCATCCTAAATGAAACAGTGGAACTCATAACAGATCTCCTTGGAAAAACGGTCCTACCCTTTTAATCGATCAAGGTTCTTAATTACTAACAGCCAAACTTACTCTAACTAATTTAGGCAGAAAAGGAATTAATTAAGGGGCATTAAGTAATGGACTCAATCTCCTAGAGAGCCATAGTCATCCTTATAAGCTATATATGCAAGACATCATACAAACCACATCATGAGGTTCCAGTGAGGGCCCATGGCAACCGGCTTTGTGTAGGCATCTCAACTTGCCCCATTTACAACTTGCCCCACTGGATACCATTTACTTGAATACTTGAATCTTCGCCACTGTTGCCTCTGAAATTGGTACTCTGTTGTTGCCATTTTCTATACACACACACACACACACAAACTGATTCAACATGCTGTTTGTTTCCTTATATTGCTCTCTTCAGAATATAAATCTGGCATATGTAAAATTGATTGGCTGAGTCTTTGTCCCATGCTTGCACTCTAACTGTAAGGGTGGCTGAAAAAGTGAATTCTGCCTTCTGTCTTAAGGAGGTAAGACATCAAAGGAAGGAAATTCACCAAAATAGGAAAGGCATTTGAACAACGATGGGTGGCCACAGGCATAACAAAGGTAGGACAGCAGAGTGGGTAAGAGTGTGGATTCTGGAGTCAGACTACCTGAACTTTTTCTGAACATACCATATATTAACTATATGAATCTAGATAAAATTATTTTACCCTTCTGAATCTGTTTCCTTAATTGCAAAATGGGGTCATTAACAGTATCTACTGTACGTAAAGAATTTAAGACTAGCGCCTGGTACATAATATGTTCTCAACAAATATTAGCTATTATTATTTTTACTATTAGTATGAGGAGAAGAATGAAACAAGTAGAGAGAAAGGCAGAAGCAAGAAAATCACGTGGTTCCAGAAAGAGAAAGATACTGAAAGAAAAGCCTTTAGGACCAAATAAAGTCTTCTTGGGGTTTAAATTAAGGCAGGTAGAGGTGAGAACTTGGTGACTAAACTAAAGTGTGAGTTTACAACCACAGGCACTATCTTGCCTACCACATACCAAACCTCTGCACGCAAAATAAAGCCAAACAAAGCTGATTTTATCATGAATCTTTAGTTGCAAAGAGTATCATCATGACTCTTTAGTTGCAAATGACTAATCTAACTCACAGCAGTTACGATAAAAAGAAGAATACTGTGTCTCCCGTATCTGGGGATTGTGGTGTAACTTGATTCAGAACACTGTTCTACTTAAGAGTCATGACCAATACATCCTTACAGCCTTGTAACAAATTTCCTTTATTTTGCCTAAACCAGCTCAGCTTGGCTTTTGTTACCTGCAATCAGAAGCTAACCAAACAACGGTCTCTAAGTTAAACCATCTGCCTTTTGATTAACAAATTGCTAGGCATGTTAATATCTTTGTCTGACCCAAGAGTCATTCTAAACTTAATTCGCTAAAATTCTAAAGAGGGTCAGTATAGCACATGGCCTATTCTGGCAGGAGCTGCTCTCCACAAAGTATACAGTGGTAAGTGGGCCTTGGCAGCGGTGGCAGGAGAGCAGGATGTTAGAAAGCTATGCAGTGCAAAGTGTGATCCCTCCTGTTTGACATCTCAAATCTTTAGTAGAGTTAACTGTTCACAGGATGTTTTATTCAAATAGATCTTTTCATGGACTCTGACACAGGAACAAACAAAGAGAACAGCCACAAATGTGGGAATAGAGTTGGGTAACCACAAAGAAAAAAAAAGCCCACAGAAAGCTTGGGAAAGGCTTTTTACTATCTCAGGCCACTGAAGTTGGGGCAAGTTCCCCATATCTTTGGAGATCAGGAGAGCCCTGGTTGAGAACAGAGCTATAGATGATTTCATATATCCCCACTTTAATCCACTGGTTGATGTAAAATTTAGCTCTTAGAGGGCAATCTTACTTCCAAGATTCCTACCCCACAGTAGCTCTCATACAATGTCAGTAGAGGCTGTTAGAGAAGTTGAAGAAGGGCAGGCCACAGTTGAATGAAGGGACATGAAAGACAGAGACAGATGGACAGAGAGAGAATATAAATAGGCAGACTCGCAAGCAGGAGAGAGGGGACAAAAGCAGTGGCAAGTTACCTAAAAGTGTCTAAAATCAGTCCATGTACCTGCCATATTGACACATTTTCCATGGATTAGATCATCTTTTTATTGAGTTATAATACACATAAAAATCCGCCACTGTAAACAGTAGCATTCAATGGTTTTTACTCTACTGTCAAAGCTGGGCAACTATCACTACTATCTAATTCAGAACACTTTCATCATTCCAGAAGGAAACTCTGTATGCATTAGCAGTCCTCTCCTCCTCATAGCTCCTGGCAACCACTAATCTACTTTCTGGCTCTACGGATTTGCCCATTGGAGACATTTCATGTGCATGGAATCATACAATATGTGGCATTTTATATCTGGCTTCTTTCACTCAAATAATGTTTTCAAGGTTCATTCACATTGTAGAATGTATCAATACTTGATTCCTTTTCGTTGTTGTTGTTGTTGTTGTTGTTGAGATGAGTCTGTCTCCATCGCCCAGGGTGGAAAGCTGTGGCACAATCTCGGTTCACTGCAACCTCCATCTCCCGGGTTCAAGCAATTCTCCTGCCTAGCCTCCCAAGTAGCTGGGACTACAGTCATGCACCACCATGCCCAGCTAATTTTTTTTGTATTTTTAGTAGACATGGAGTTTCACTGTGTTGGCCAGGCTGGTCTCAAACTCCTGGCCTCAAGTGATCCACCTGCCTTGGCCTCCCAAAGTGCTGAGATTACAGGTGTGAGCAACCATGCCTGGCCCTAATTCCTTTTTATGGCTGAGTAATATTCCATTCTATAGAAGTAGCACATTTTGTTTATCCATTCATCAGTTGATGGATATTAGGGGTGTTTCCACCATTTGACTATTATGAATAATTCTGTTATGAACATTCACAGGTTTCTGTGTGGACACATATTTTTCATTATCTTTGGTATATGCTTAGGAACAGAATTATAACTCCATATTTAACATTTTGAGAAAGTACCAAATTGTTTTTCAAAGTAGCTGTACTATTTTACATTTCCACTAACAACATACGAAGGTTTCAATTTCTCCACATCCTTCCCAACAGTTATTACTGTCCCTTTATTTTTTCACTCATCCTAGTGGGTGGGAAGTAGTATCTCACTGTAGTGTTGATTTGTATTTCTATAATAGCTAATGAAGTTGAGCATCATTTCATGTGCTTATTGGCTATTTATACATCTTGTTTGGAGAAATATCAGTTCAAATCATTTGTCCCTTTTTAAAAATGGGCTGTCTTTTTATTGTTGAGTTGTAAGAATTCTTTATAATCTGGATTATAGATCCTTAGCATATATATAATTTACAAATATCTTCTCCCATTCGGTGGATGTATTTGCACTTTTTGATAGTGTTCTTTGATGTATTAATACTAAAGTTTTTAATTTTGAGGAAGGCCAAATCTGTTTTTCTTGGGTTGATTGTGCTTTTGGTGTCATATCTAAGAAATTGTTGCCTAATCCAAGATAATAAAGATGTATGTATAAGTTTTCTTCTAATAGTTTTATAGTTCTAGCTTTTATATTTAGTTATATGATTCATTTCAAACTAATATTTGTATGTGGTGTGAGGTGTCTATAAATTTGGGAGTCAAAATTCATTATTTTGCATATGGATATCCACTTATCCCAGCACCATTTGTTAAAAATTCTACTCTTTCCCCATTGCATTAACATTCTTGTCAAAACCCACTTAGTATAGATGTATGGGTTTATTTCATTATTTCTATTACACTCATCTATATGTCTTTCCTTAAGCCAACACCACAATCTCTTGGTGACTGTAGTTTTTTTTATTGTTTTTAGAAACAGGGTCTCTCTATGTAGCCCTGGCTGGAGTGCAGTGGCTATTCATAAGCACAACCATTGTGCACTACACCCTCGAACTCCCGGTCTCAAGTGATCCTTCTGGCCACAACCACCTGAGTAGCTGGGACTATAGGTGCACATTCCCATGTCCAGCCAATGAGTGTAGCTTTGTAGTAAGTCTTAATATCATGAAGCGTGAGTCCTCCTACTTATTAATATTTCTTCAGATTCAAAATTGTTTTAGCTATTCTATTGTCCTTTTCATTTCCATATGAATTCTAAGATCAGCTTGTCAATATCAACAAAAAAGCCAAGTAGAATTTTGATAGGAATTGTGTTGAATGTGTAGATCAATTTGGGAAGTATTGCCATCTGTCTTAGTCCATTTTCTGTTGCTATAACAGAATACCTGAAACTAGATAATTTATAAAGAACAGGATTTTATTTCTTAGAATTATAGAGGCTCAGAAGTGCAAGGTTGAGGGGCTGCATTTGGTGAGGGCTTTCTTGCTGGTAAGGTCTCTCTGCAGAGTCTGGAAGTAATGCAGGGCATCATATGGCAAGGGGGCTGAGGATGCTAGCTCAGATCTCTCTTCCTCTTCTTATGAAGCCAACAGTCTCAATTCCAGCATAAGCCATTAATCCATTCACAGCAAGACCCCATTTCTAATCCATTCATGAAAGCAGATCCCTCATGACCCAATCACTTCTTAAAGGCCCCACCTCTCAATACTGTCATTTTGGGAATTAATTTTCAACATGAGTTTTGAAGGGGACAAATATTCAAACCATCTTAACAATACTAAATCTCCCAGCCCATTAACATGAAATATGTATTAGTATATTTTCATGCTGCTGATAAAGACATACCTGAGACTGGAGAGAAAAAAAGGTTTAGTTGGACTTACAGTTCCACATGGCTGGGGAGGCCTCAGAATCATGGTGAGAGGCAAAAGGCACTTCTTACATGGTGGCAGCAACAGAAAACGAGGAAGAAGCAAAAGCGGAAGTCCCTGATAATCCCATCAGATCTCATGAGACGTATTCACTATTATAAGAATGGCATGGTAAAGACCAGCCCCCATGATTCAATTACCTCTCCCTGGGTCCCTCCCACAACGTGTAGGAATTCTGGGAGATACAATTCAAGTTGAGATTTGGGTGGGGACACAGCCAAACCATATCATTCTGCCCCTGGCCCCCTCTAAATCTCATGTCCTCACATTTCAAAACCAATCATGCCTTCACAACAGTCCCCCAAAGTCTTAACTCATTTCAGCATTAACCCAAAAGTCCATAGTCCAAAGTCTCATTTGAGACAAGGCAAGTCCCTTCTGCCTATGAGCCTGTAAAATGAAAAGCAAGCTAGTTACTTCCTAGATACGATAGGGGTACAGGTATTGGGTAAATACAGCCATTCCAAATGGGAGACATTGGCCAAAACAAAGGGGCTGCAGGACCCATGCAAGTCCAAAATCCAGCAGGAATCAAATTTTAAAGCTCCAAAATGATCTCCTTTGACTCTAGGTCTCACATTCAGGTCATGCTGATGCAAAAGGTGGGGACCCATGGTCTTTGGCAGTTCTGCCCCTGTGGCCTTGCAGGGTACAGCCTCCCTCCTGGCTGCTTTCACGGACTGGCATTGAGTGTCTGCGGCTTTTCCAGGCGCATGGTGCAAGCTGTCAGTGGATCCACCATGCTGGGGTCTGAAGGACGGTGGCCCTCTTCTCACAGCTCCACTAGATAATGCCCCATTAGGGACTCTACGTGGGAGCTCCGGCCCCACAATTCCCTTCTGCATTGCCCTAGCAGAGGTTCTCCATGAGGGCCCTGCCTCTGCAGCAAACTTTTGCCTGGACATCCAGGCATTTCCATACATCTTCTGAAATCTAGGTGGAGGTTCCCAAACCTCAATTCTTGACTTCTGTGCACCTACAGGCTCAACACCATGTGGAAGCTGCCAAGGCTTGGGGCTTCCACCCTCTGAAGCCACAGCATGAGCTCTACATTGGCCCCTTTCAGCCATGGCTGGAGCAGCTGGGACACAGGGCACCAAGTCTATAGGCTGCACACAGCACAGGGACCCTGGTCCTGGCCCATAAAACCATTTTTTCCTCCTGGATCTCTGGGCCTGTGACAGGAGGGGCTGCTGTGAAGGTCTCTGACATGGCCTGGAGACATTTTCCCCATGGTCCTGGGGATTAACATTAGGCTTCTTGATGCTTATGCAGATTTCTGCAGCTGGCTTGAATTTCTCCCCAGAAAACTGGTTTTTCTTTTCTATTGCATAGTCAGGCTACAAATTTTCTGAATTTTTATGCTCTGTTTCCCTTTTGAAACTGAATGCTCTTAACAGTACCCAACTCACCTCTTGAATGCTTTGCTGCTTAGAAATTTCTTCTGCCAGATCAGGCTACAAATTTTCTGAATTTTTATGCTCTGTTTCCCTTTTAAAACTGAATGCCCTTAACAGTATCCAACTCACCTCTTGAATGCTTTGCTGCTTAGAAATTTCTTCTGCGAGGTACCCTAAATCATCTTTCTCAAAGTTCCACAAATCTCTAGGGCAGAGGTAAAATGACGCTAGTCTTTTTGCTAAAACATAGCAAGAATCACCTTTACTCCAGTTTCCAGAAAGTTCCTCATCTCCATCTGAGACCATCTCAGCCTGCATTTTATTGTCCATGTCGCTATCAGCATTTTGGTCAAAGGCATTCAACAAGTCTCTAGGAAGTTCCAAACTTTCCCACATTTTCCTGTCTTCTTCTGAGCTCTTCAAACTGTTCCAATCTCTGCCTGTTACCCAGTGCCAAAGTCACTTCCACATTTTCAGTTATCTTTTCAGCAATGCCCCACTCTGCTGGTACCAATTTACTGTATTAGTCCGTTTTCACACTGCTGATAAAGACATACCTAAGACTGGGAAAAAGAGGTTTAGTTAGACCTACAGTTCCACATGGCTGGGGAGGCCTCAGAATCATGGCAGGAGTTGAAAGACACTTCTTACATGGTGGTGGCAAGAGAAAATGAGGAAGAAGCAAAAGTGGAAATCCCTGATAAACCCATTGATCTCATAAGACTGAATTACTATCACAAGAATAGCACGGGAAAGACTGGCCCCCATGATTCAATTATCTCCCCCTGGGTCCCTCCCACAACTCATGGGAATTTTGGGAGATACAATTCAAGTTGAGATTTGGGTCAGGACACATCCAAACTATATCAAGATGTCTTTCCATTTATTTATATCTTTAATTTTTTCAATAATGTTTTGTAGTTTTTTAAAGGGTAAATTTTTGCTTATTCCTAAGTATTTTTCTTTAGAAATAAAAACTTTTCCTAAGTATTTTGGTGCTATTGTAAATGGAATTGTTTTCTTAAGTTCATCATCAGATTCTTCATTGCAAGTGTACAGAAATACCATTTTGTAAACTGATCATCTTTCAATGCCACTAAACTTTATTAGATCTTATAAATGTTTAGTACATTCTTTAGGATTTTTAATATAGAATATCATGTCATCTGTGAATATAGAAAGTTTTATTTCTTCCTTTCCAATCTGGATGGCCTTTTGTTTTGCTTGCCTAAATGCCATGGCTAGAATTTCCAGTATGATGTTAAACAGAAGTGACGAAAGCAGGCATACTTTTCTTTTCCTGATCAGGGTTTCAGTCTATCACCATTAACTATGATGTTAGCTATGGGCTTTTCATAGGTCTCCTTCATCAGGTTAAGAAAATTCCCTTCTATTCCCAGTTTGTTGTTTTTATCATAAATGGATGTTAGATTTGTCAAATGTTTTTTCTATTAGGATAATCATGTAGTTTTGTTCCTTATTCTATTTACACAGTGTACTACATTAATTGTTTTTAAACCAACCTTGCATTCTTGGGATAAATACCACTTGGTCATGGTATATAATAATTTTTTATATGTTGTTGGATTTGGTTTGCTAGTATTTTATTTAATTAATTAACTTATTTTTTGAGATGGGGTCTTACTATGTTGCCCAGGCTGGAGCGCAGTGGCTATTTACAAGTGTGACCATAGCACATTACAGCCTCAAATTCCTGGCCTCAAGTGGTCCTCCCACTTCAGCCTCCCAAGTAGCTGGGAGGTGTGTGCCACATCTAGCTCATGTGCTAAAACTATGTTGAAGATTTTTGCATCTCTATTCATAAAGGATAATGATCTATAGTTTTCTTGTGATATCTTTGTCTGATGTTGGTATCAGGGTAATACTGCCCTTATAGAATGAGCTGGAAAGTGCTCCTTCCTCTTATTTTTTAAAAAGTTTTTGAAGGATTTATGTTAATATTTCATTAAAAATTTAGTAGAATTAGCCAATGAAGCCATCTGGTACCCAGTTTTTCTTTGTGAGAATTTTTTCAATTAATAATTGAAGGTGGGATCACCTGAGGTCAGGAGTTTGAGACACGCCTGGCCAACATGGCGAAACCCCATCTCTACTAAAAGTACAAAAATTAACCAGGTGTGGTGGCGGGTGCCTGTAATCCCAGCTACTCAGGAGGCTGAGGCAGGAGAATCACTTGAACCTGGGAGGCAGAGGTTGCAGTGAGCCGAGATCATGCCACTGCACTCCAGCCTGGGTGACAAGAGCAAGACTCTGTCTCAAAAAAAAAAAAAAAAGAATTCTTGAAGACTTTTTCTTTCAGTAATTTGAATATATTAGCCTGCTGCCCCTGGACTCCATAATTTCTTATAAGAAATTTGTTGTTAATCTTATTGAGGATTACTTTTATGTAATGTCATTTCTCTTTTGTGCTTTCAAGATTTTCTCTGTCTTTAGCTTTCAACAGTTTGATCATGATGTGTACAGCTGTTGATCTCTTTGAGTTGAGTTTACCATACTTAGAGGATCACTGAGCCTTTTGATTGTGTGATGTTTTTCATCAAATTTGGAAAGCTTTTGGCCATTAATTCTTCAAATTTTTCTACCCCTTTCTCTGCTCTTTTTCTTCCAGAACTCGAGTTACATTTATGTTGGCATATTTGCTGGTGCCCTACATTTCTCTGAAGATCTGCTCATTTTTCTTCATTCTTTTATCTTTTTTTCTTTCTCATTATTCTGAGACTGAATAATCTCAATTGACTTATCTTCAAGTTCACTGATTATGTCTTCTGCAAGTTCAAATCAGCTATTGATCCCTCTAGTTAATTTTTTAATTCAGTTATTGTGCTTTTCAACTCCAACATTTCTGTTCAGTTCCTTTTTATAATTTTTTTAAATATTCATTGATATCCTCTATTTGGTAAGACAACATTCTTAATACTTTTCTATAGTTCTTTAGACTTTTGTTTTAGTTCTTTAAATATATTTACAATAGCTATAAATTTACAAAAGTTTGTATCTAGTAAATCCAACATCTGGGCTTACAACAACTGCAACTGCACAGTTTTAGGTCAGTTGGGGGGGCAGTCTCTGATTTCCTATCTTTTGTCCACCCCTACTTCTGTAGACATCCTCCCCGCCACTTCCACTCCCCCTTTCCCTCTTCCACCCATTCAACTGAGCACAAAATGGCCAGACTTCCACAGAGCCAAAAGATGATTATTGAGGATGCTTTCAACTTGGTGGAGTCCATTTCAAAGACACTTTCTATTGAAACCTTTTTCTTGTGTTTGGGTCATACTTTATTTCTTTTCATCTTTCATAATTTTTATTAAAAACTGTACATATATGTGTCAACTCTGGAAATCAGATTTCTACATACACCCAAAGTTTCTCATTCCTGCTGTTGTTGTTTGTTTCAGGACTTCTCTGAACCAATTCTGTAGTCTGTATTCTTTGTCACATGTGGCCACTGGAGTCACTGCAGTCTCTGGTTTGCTTAGTGGTCAGCTAATAACTAGACAGACATATCTTTGGATGACTGGAACTAACAAGTCTCCCAGTCTTTGCCAAAGGACTGTCTATGAGTATTAAGGCATGCCTTCAATGCTCGGGCAGGCAATTTACAACTCCATCTTAGCCTCTACTTCTTTCTTAAACAGAGTCTCAAGGTAAGTCATAGGTGAGAGGCATTTGCAGGTCTTTCCTGGGCATATACATAGCTCTATGCATGCACTTGGCCTTCTAGATTCCCAGGAATATGTCAGGAGCTTTCCAAAGCCCCCTATGGACATATCACTTCCCAACTGATCCTTTTAAGATTTTCGGTCAGCTTGTTGTTTGCCTCCCAACTGTATCACTGCCTGCCTGTTTCATGCTGTTATAACAGAATACCTGAGACTCGGTAATTCATAAGGAATAGAAATTTATTGGCTTATGGTTCTGGAGGCTGAGAAAGCTAGTATCGAGGTGCCAGCATCTGGCAGGGGCCTTCTTGCCGCATCATAACATGATGGAAGGCATTACATGGCAAAAGGGCAAAGAGAGGGCAACAGGCGCACGCACACACACACACACACACACACACACACACACACACCACACAGAGACAGAGAGAGAGAGAGAGAAAGAAGAGGGCCAACTTTCCCACTTTTATAATGAACCCATTCCCCAGATAATGGCATTAATCCCTTTACTCTGCCCTCATGGCCTATCACCTCTCATTAGTCCCTACCTTCCAACATTTTTACATTGGGGATTAAGTTCCCACACATGCCTCTGATAGCTGTGATATTTAAAATTGCCACTGAACATTTGACAAACATACTTGGTGAGTTTGAAGTCAGACTAAATAACAATAAGCCTCATGAGTGAGATTTTCCAAGGAACTATCAAACATGTCGAATAATAACAGTTGTCTGGCTTTGGAGTGGGTCAAATTCTGTTTTGTCCCCTCTACCAGTTGCTAAGTCACTATTTTTCACTGTGATTACTGTGGTTATCTAGGCTGACACGGGGCTGGGAGAAAAGTATAGGACTATGGCAAGTTAAAATGCCAAAAACCTTGCTGTTGTTACAAAAATCCAGCTGTTTTTCTTTAGTAAACACTCTACAAATTGTTGCAAGCCTTTGGTTAATTTCCAGAGTTCTGAAAAAGTCGATATTGATGATTTTTGCCACTGTTCTTGTTGATTTTATGGAGGAGAGGATTTCAGGCATAGATCCTATTTCACCATTCTGGCTGATGTCATCCCACTAAATCTTTATAAATTATTTATTTTACTAATAGCTGCACACATCTCTGAACCTCTCTCCAACTTAGCCTTCCCCTAAAAATGGAGATTAAAATTTAGCAGTGAGGCTCAGGTGGAAGCTTTTGAGCTAGTTGCCACAAAACATTATTTAACAACTATTAGGTAAATCTAAACCAGGTAGTGCAGAAATGCATATGCAGGAAAGTGAATGTGTGGGACTAATTGTGCTTTTCCAAAACTGGCCATGTTGGTACTGTTTCTTTCCTTTTACATGGCAAAAGTCCGCTGCTAACCTCATAAAACCTCCACTGCATAAATATCCACTAGTGAAGAATGACTGGCTGTCACTCTGCATCTGGTGCAGGGGGCACTATTGCTACAGAAGCTCGGGCAATGACATGAAGATACTTCAAATTGCCAAAGTTCTAGTTGTCACCATGACAACATTAATTGCTAATTTACAGACGTAAGAAACTGTTGTAGCTAGAATTGATAGAGTTCTTTAGAAGTCTATTTCTATTCCAAAATCAAATTGTTATAACAGGTCACCTGAATTACAGTACTTTATGTCACACGATTTTTTTTTAACTCTCTAAAAGCATTTGACTTAGAGAGAGACCTTATATTTACTTTAGAGAGGAGGAAATGGAGATATTTCCTTCAGAGACTTTTAGTAAAGACCAATCAGCAGGTTTGCAGAAGAGCCAAGCCTCTAAAGAGGTGACTTATATTTCCAAGAGATATTCCAATTCAATCAGTGAATAACAAACTTTAAGCGTGCGGGAAATTTAACAAAACCCAGACTCTCAGAGCTGCAACTGCGCAGTTTTAGGTCAGCTGGGGCTGGGGGTGGGGGTCTCTGATTTCCTATCTTTTCTCCACCCCTATTTCTGTAAACATTCTCCCACCCACTTCCACTCCCCGTTTCCCTCCTTCACCCATTCACCTGAGGGCAAGACGGCCTAACTTCACACAGAGCCCAAAGATGCTTATTGAGGATGCTTTCGACCTGGTGGAGTCCATTTCAAAAGGCAACTGAAGCCCTCATTCGGCATCCTCGCCTCTCACTCCATGCCGGGGGTCCAGAAACAATCCCTGTCCCTGGATAGGTCAGTTTAGCTCACCTGTACTTTCCTTCGCCCGTCCACAGCGCCGTCCAAACCGTACCAGCATCTCTGACGAGGTGTCCATGATGCTCCTAGATCTGGAAAAGTGACTGTGGCGCCAAGCGCCGCGGACGCCAGCCGGTGGAGTTGTTACTCGTACCACGCGGTTGCTTGGCAACGCCGCCGGAAGTGACGCCAGCCGTAGCCGAGGAACAAGGGAGGTGCTGCAGTTGGCGGTCGGGCTAGAGAAGAGAGGCGCCTGCGCTTGCGAGCTGGGCTTGTGAGTGGGGCTGCCGAGAGGGCAGGCGTGGGGCGAGGCCAAAGGACTGAACCCGCAGGAGCGTCACGGGCGCCGGGGCGGCTGCCGACGGCGGGACTGGGTCAGTGAGAAGCCCGTGGGCCCCCGCCCTGCCTGCTACTCCCATCCCCACCTGCGCGCTCCCCATGGGGGACGACCCCCGATTGGGTCCGATGCCTACCCTCGGGGTGGAGCCGGCAGGTGTGTGAGCGCGCGAGGCCTAGGCGTGGTGTGTGCGTCCGCAGATCTCCTCGCGGGTGGAGTGTGAGGAGCAAAGCCCTCCCTTAACTATAAAAACCCGCGGATTCGCTGACATAAACGCTGTTTTTTTAATCCTTTGGTTTCTGAGGCATGGTCAGGACTAGATGGGGCCAAGTTTTTTAAAAATAGGAATGTTAAAACGTAATGATATGCTTAGAATATTTACGTTAGGACCTTTGAGATATTTTAAATTTCTTGGTAAATACATGACCACAGAAATCTGTTAGGAGTAGCTGCGCGTTTGGTTTCAAAAGATGCTTTTCTAACACATTGATGTACAGATAACTTCATTACTAACAAGTTGGCTCTGACGTGTACACATAATGCACCAAATTGGAGTCTCTCAAAATGAAAGAACAAAAAGATTTTTAATAACGAATGTTCTAACACATAGTCGTGCTATTTTTCTTTAGGTTTTCTATCAGATGTTCCACGTAATAATGCTGGTAAGTATGGAATAATTAAGAAAATATTTGAAGACAGAAATTAGTTTGTGCACATACAGCGCTGGTAGGTTTTTGGAACTATACCTTAAAAAGTGTCAAGAACTGGGGGCCAGGCGCGGTGGCTCACGCCTGTAATCCCAGCACTTTGGGAGGCCGAGGCGGGCGGATCACGAGGTCAGGAGATCGAGACCATCCTGGCTAACACGGTGAAACCCTGTCTCTAGCAAAAATACAAAAAAATTAGCCAGGCGTGGTGGCGGGCGCCTGTAGTTCCAGGTACTCTGGAGGCTGAGGCAGGAGAATGGCGTGAACCTGGGAGGCGGAGCTTGCAGTGAGCCGACCATCGTGCCACTGCACTCCAGCCTGGGCGACAGAGCGAGACTCCGTCTCAAAAAAAAAAAAAGTTTCAAGAACTGGGAAGGAACAGAGATTTTTACCCTGTTTGCAGGCTAACTTAGCCTGGCAGTTTCATGGAAGACACAAGACTATTCATTTCAGGAATGAATTACTCCCAGCAGTAGCCAGTAAATCAGCAATTTCGCCTGAGTTCCCTAAAGCCCCAGTTCCCACAGGATAATGCAAAGTGGGCAAGAAGTCACCTAGATGTAGTGTGTGTCGAATTACAGGAAAGGAGCCCTGAGCTTAGGGAACCCAGATCTTTATCATTTGGACAAATAAGCATGTTTCTCAAGGCTGTCCAGTGTACAAACATCCTTGAGACAATAGTCTAGAGGAAAGGGCAGTCAGTAAGACATGCAGAACCACCAGAGACGCAGGGAAAATTGTCTCCCAACAACAATTTTCTGGAATTTTAACAAAATTGGTTACAAAAGTATTGAATCTCATGATTTGATGTCAGTTACTTGCCAATTTGACATGGTGGTCAGATATAATTTGACTTCAGACTCGAGATTCCAGCTCCAACCTGTGGATTGTCACAACCAAGTCAATCTAGAGTTATTTGTCCTATACCCACCACTCTTTTATTTCTTTGTTGTGAATTTAATAAGGTAGCATATGCACTCTGATCTGAAACAGAGTTTAAATTATTCTGAGAAGAAAAAAATTTTATTACAAAATTGATGTAGAAAAAGTGTGAACTACGGTTGAACCAACCATAACCATCCCACTGCACATGTAAACATTTTCTAAAACAAAAACAGGATTATACTGTACACACTATTTTGTGACTTGCTTATTTAATTTGAACTGAATATCTTGGCTTTTACTGGCTGGATATTCTGTTATTTGCTATCACATGCATATCTTACTTAATTATTTCCCAATTCTTGGATGTCTGTGTAGTTTTTAATTTTCATTATTGTGTAAAGTATGCAGGATATTGTTACACTATGGAAACATTGCAGACATACCAAATAGACATAGATTGTGCTTTTGAAGAGAACAGTTAACTTTTTGGAATTTTAACAAATTGGTTTCAAAACAGATTCACATTCTTAAAACTAAATCTTTGTTCATATTCTTAATTTTTGGAGACATTTTAATTTCTAGTACAGCACTAAATGTCTATTGACAACAGAATGTGGAACTCCTCTATTATTAAACAAGTACAAAGAAAAAATGGACTCTGAAAATCTCAATCAGCTTAACACTGATTTTATCCACTGGACAAAAACTTATTTTCACATAACATTTCTTATTTTCGACACCAAGTCGATACCAAGTGGAAAGCAAAACTTTGTTCTCCTATTGCCAAAAGATGCTTTTCTGACATTAGAAAAACAACATAATTAGAAAATACAAAAAAAAAAATTTTTTTTTTTTTGACACGGAGTCTCGCTCTGTTGCCCAGGCTAGAGTGCAGTGGCGCGATCTCGGCTCACTGCAAGCTCCGCCTCCCAGGTTCATACCATTCTCCTGCCTCAGTCTCCCAAGTAGCTAGGACTACAGGTGCCCGCCACCACGCCCAGCTAATTTTTTGTATTTTTAGTAGAGATGGGGTTTCACTGTGTTAGCCAGGATGGTCTCCATTTCCTGACCTCGTGATCCCCCGCCTCGGCCTTCCAAAGTGCTGGGATTACAGGCGTGAGCCACTGCGCCCGGCCTGAAAATACAAATGTTAAAGCTTTTAAAATACTTTTATTAATTTTAGGAGTTAAGAAGTTTCCATTATTTTGCTCCAAACCAGAAGACTCTGTTCCCTGTATATAGAATAGGAGTAATATTTGAAAACAACTGGCTGATGTTTAAAACTGAAGATTGTCATGATTGTTTATCCTAATCCCAATGCTGAAGTAAGATTGTCTTGGAAATACTAAGTTGGGTAAGTATTTTTTAAAGGTTTATGTTGAGTGGTGAGAAAATACTAACAGAAAAAGATGGGAAAATTTTAAAAGTGCACTTTCAGATCAGCAGGGGAACTATGTTACCTCAGTCTCATGCTATTTTGAGGCTAATAATTCAGGAATTTCAGTAATTTGTGGCTAATTAAGTTTAGGTTTGAGGCAGTTTTCAAACAACAGTGAGTTACATTTGAAATTTGTTTTAATTATAAATTCAGAATTCTCAAAAAGCATATTTAATTTAAAATGTGCCTAGTTACAGTACTACTGTGATTGTCAATTATGCCTTATTATTTATTACATTGTTTCTGTAGGAAAGTGAATTCTGCATTTAAATTTCAGGGAACCAGTCAGAAGCATCTGGATTAGGCATTTAGTGATACAAGGATCCAGAATAACAAAAACTATGTACCAGCCACATTCACACAACAGGTGATACCCCTATAGGTTAATTATTCTCTAGATATTCTAAATTAAGAGACACAGAATACTTAGTCTTATGTGAGTCAAGAGCTCTATTCTGTCTTCACTACTGGGTGTCTACTGTTATAAACTGGAGAATATGTGTGGTTAAATGCCATGTTTTTCATTTTTAATTGATCTTTTTCTTATTGCTGTGGTTCTTTGCCTTTTTAGGATTTCTTGTAAAAACCTCAAAATGGTTATAAAGAGTATCACAGATGTGGTGTTATGGTTAGTGTGTACTTTGAAAGTAATGAATGTTTTTATGTAATTAAATATCTTTCTGCCAAAATTACCTACTTAGTGTTATATTTTTAAACTAATGAGTAGTCATTAAATATTCTATTTTTTAACACTAGAATTTGGTACTTAAAAGCATGAAGTCTGGAATCAAATCAACCTAAGATTCCAGCTCTGGCACTTTACTAACACCTAACCACTTCAAGATCCAGCTTATATATCTTTAAGATGAGGATAATAATGATTCCTACTTAATAGGGTTGTGACAATTAAATGGTATGATATTGCAAAGTTTTTAGGTCAGTGCCTGACATATAATGACTCTCAAAATTATTATTATTATCTGTTTACACACATTAATTATATCCTTTTCTGGATATTCTATATAGTTATTTTTTATAAATAATGTTTATTCTTACCATCAGTTGACCAGCTTATTCTTTCCTTTTCTCTTGAGATTTATAATTAATCACCTTCATTATATTCTAATGAAAACAGAGACATAAGTAATTGTCACACCACAAACAGTATGATTACTCAGGTGTATTCAAATTATTTGGCACCCCAGAGCTAAACTATCTAGAGCAGCTATAAATAAACATGTGAAAACTCTTAACCAAGTTACTTCTAGTTTGGAAGAATTAAATTGGCCTCCAGTTCTCAGGTAATTTGTTTAGAATATCATATAGAGTGTCAGCAATCATTTACTTATAATATTGATATTTAGAAATTGATTTTAAGCTAAATACTTTTTTAATTTTTTTGATTTCCACCTTTTAAGTTCAGGGGTACATGTGCAGGATGTGTAGATTTGTTACATAGGTAAGTGTGTGCCCTGATGGTTTGCTGCACAGATCATCACATCACCTAGGTATTGAGCCCAGCATCCACTAGCTGTTTTCCTGATGCTCTGCCTCCTCCCACCCCCACCCTCTGACAGGTCCCAGGGTATGTTATTCCCTTCCACGTGTTCTCATGATTCAGCTCCCACTTATAAGTGAGAACACATGGTGTTTGGTTTTTCTTGTTGTTGTTCCTGTGTTAGTTTGCTGAGGATAATGGCTTCCAGATCCATCCATGTCCCTGTAAAGGACATCATCTCATTCCTTTTTATAGCTGCATAATATTCCATGGTGTATAAGTACCTCATTTTCTTTATCCAGTCTGTCATTGATGGGCATTTAGGTTGATCCCATGTCTTTGCTATTGTGAACAGTGCTGCAGTGAACATACGCTTGCATGTATCTTTATAATAGAATGATTTACATTCCTTTGGGTATATACCCAGTAATGGGATTACTGGGTCAAGTGGTATTTCTGCCTCTACGTCTTTGAGGAATCACCACACTGTCTTCCACGATGGTTGAACTAATTTAATTTACACTCCTACCAACAGTGTAAAAGTGTTCCTTTTTCTCCACAACCTTGCCAGCATCTGTTATTTTTTGGCTTTTTAATAATAGCCATTCTGACTAGTATAAGATGGTATCTCGTTGTGGCTTTAGTTTGCATTTCTCTAATGATCAGTGATGTTGAGCTTTTTTTTCATATATTTCTTGGGCACATGTATTGTCTTCTTTCCAGAATTGTCTGTTTGTGTCTTTGCCCACTTCTTAATGGGGCTGTTTGTTTTTTCTTGTAAATTTGTTTAAGTTCCTTATCAAGGAACTACATGATTCTTATCAAAAAGGATTTTGGACAGATTTTATGGGCAGAGTCTTTAACTATTTGGGAGCTAAAGGTGTAAGAGAAGATAAAATGAAAAGAGCAGTGACATCGATGCCTTTCACTTCAGGGATGGTGGAACTTTTCAACTTTATAATAGTTGCTGGATATTAGACCTTTGTCAGATGGATAAATTGCAAAAATTTTCTCCCATTCTCTAAGTTGTCTGTTTACTCTGTTGATAGTTTCTTTTGCTGTGCAGAAGCTCTTTAGTTTAATTAGATACCATTTGTCAATTTTTGCTGTTGTTGCATTTGCTTTTGGCATCTTTGTCATGAAACCTTTGCCTTTGCTGTGTCCTGAATTGTATTGCCTAGATTTTCTTCTAGGTTTTTTATAGTGTTGGGTTTTACACTTAAGTCTTTAATCCACCTTGAGTTGATTTTTGTATATGGTGTTAAGGAAGGGGTCCAGTTTGTTTTCTGCATATGGCTAGCCAGTTATCCCAGCACCATTTATTAAATAGGGAATCCTTTCCCCATTGCTTGTTTTTGTTACTAAATACCTTTTCTTAAAAAGTTATTTTACATCTTCCAAGATTTCATGTTATGTTAAATTTGTTCAGAATTTTGGTTAGTACACAGAGAGTCCTTTATACATGATCTGTTATTTAATATGAGGATTGTAAATATTTTAATCTAATAAAATAAGTGTGGTTTGATTGATAATTTAATGATAGTAAGAAATGCTTTTTTTTCTTTCTTATAAATTCTATAAGAAACACACCTCCAGGAACACAATAATACTATGAATGTCCTTTTTATATATTTTGTTTTCCACTTAAAATACTCAAATACGAACTTTGCTTCTTAGAGAAAAGTGGTTAGGTAGTGGTCTTGAAGTGCTTAATTACTTTGTTTATATTCCTCCCTTTAGCAGATTAACATTTAGTTATGTTTATTAAATAAGTATTTTAGCTAGATATGTAAACAGAGTTTGTTTAGGGAATAATATTTCTTCTTTTTCAGGGTAATCCAAATCTATTTCTGGAACCATGAAAATTTTGCTAGTTTTTGACTTTGACAATACAATCATAGATGACAATAGTGACACTTGGATTGTACAATGTGCTCCCAACAAAAAGCTTCCTATTGAACTACGTGATTCTTATCGAAAAGGATTTTGGACAGAATTTATGGGCAGAGTCTTTAAGTATTTGGGAGATAAGGGTGTAAGAGAACATGAAATGAAAAGAGCAGTGACATCATTGCCTTTCACTCCAGGGATGGTGGAACTCTTCAACTTTATAAGAAAGAATAAGGATAAATTTGACTGCATTATTATTTCAGATTCAAATTCGGTCTTCATAGATTGGGTTTTAGAAGCTGCCAGTTTTCATGACATATTTGATAAAGTGTTTACAAATCCAGCAGCTTTTAATAGCAATGGTCATCTCACTGTTGAAAATTATCATACTCATTCTTGCAATAGATGCCCAAAGAATCTTTGCAAAAAGGTAGTTTTGATAGAATTTGTAGATAAACAGTTACAACAGGGAGTGAATTATACACAAATTGTTTATATTGGTGATGGTGGAAATGATGTCTGTCCAGTCACCTTTTTAAAGAATGATGATGTTGCCATGCCACGGAAAGGATATACCTTACAGAAAACTCTTTCCAGAATGTCTCAAAATCTTGAGCCTATGGAATATTCTGTTGTAGTTTGGTCCTCAGGTGTTGATATAATTTCTCATTTACAATTTCTAATAAAGGATTAATATGTCAGCAATTGAAAAGTGTATCACTTAAGATTAGGTTCAGCAGCATAAAACTAAAACCCCAAATACCAGAGGCTTAAAAAAAAAAAAGAGAGAGAATTTTTTTTTCCTCTCACATGAAAGAATTCCAGAGGTAAGTATTTCAGGGTTGCTGTGTTAGTCTACCAACCTCAGCACTTGGCATTCAACCCATGATCCAAGGTTGCTGGTGAAGCTCTAGCCCTCACAGCAGCACTCTGGCCAGCAAGAAAGAGGGCAGTGAGAAAGTTACATCCCCTGTCTAAAGAAATTTCCCAGAAGTTGTACCCAACACTTCTATTTAAATGTCACTGGCCAAACTTAGTCATAATGCCTTACTTGTAAATAGCAAGGAAGGATGGAAAATATAGCTTTCATTCCAGGTAGTCATGTGCCCAGGAAAAGTTGGGGAAAAAAGTACAGAATTGAGTTAGGTACAGCTAGTGGTCTCCACTAAAGGTGGTTGATAGTTTATATTTTTTAATTTATTCCTGGAGCAAGTAAGCATATTTTATTCTCTTAGATATTCCTCCTTTTTTGAGACAAGGTCTCTGTCACCCAGCCTGGATTGCAGTGACTTGATCTCCGCACATTGCAGCCCCAACCGCCTGGGCTCAAGTGATGCTCGCACCTCAGCCTCCTGAGGAGCTAGGACTACAGGCTCGTGCCATCATGCCAGCTAATGTTTTGTTATTTTTTGTTAGAGATGAGGTCTCACTACTTTGCACAGATCTCAAAATCTTAGATTCAAGTGATCCTCCTGCCTTGGTTTCCCAAAGTTCTGGGATTACAGGCATGAGCCACTGTGGCCAGCCAGATATTTATTTTAAAAGTATATCCAGTAGTTACAGATCTTAAAAAATAAAGTCTGATGCTTTATTCACATAAGAATAAAAGGCTACCAAATTTATATAATATCCTCCCAAACCAGTGTATTTTAAAGATAGGGATGCAGTATCTATTGTTGAAGTTTTCATCAATTTCAGGCTTTCCGTTTGAAGTGAAGTACATATTAATGTCCTTCAGATATTCTAACTTCATATCATAGCACCATAGACAACTACAGTAGCTAGTTTAATCGGTGTGTTGTTTATATTTGGCAATGCAGTTTTGAGCAATTCAATACTGTATGTAATTTGCAGGAATACTCAGTATTTAAGACTTTCATATAGGGATATTAGCAAAATATCAACTGATCTAAAATGTTTTATAAGTCCATGCTAATTTCTAGATTGATGTTTTAGCCATAAAAATGCAGTATTTAATAATATTTTATTTTCCAAATTATGGAAAGCTTCAGAAATAGAAATATTCAATATAATTAGTACTCTCTAATCTTTTTTCTAGGTTGAAAAATCTTTGTTTTGCTTTAGGTTAGATTATGTTGAAACACATCTGTGTTTCAGATGTGTTCAGAGCTGAGGTCTCAGCTGAGGCTCCACTGAAGCAGGATTCACTTCCAAAATAACAGAGTTGTTGCCAATATTCAGTTCGTAGCAAACTACTGGAACAAGAATCTGTTTTCTTGCTGAGTGAATTTCTTGCCATGTGGCCCTCTCCAAATGCTGGACATAAAAAAGTAGGCTGAGCACAATGGCGCACACCTGTAATCCCAGCAGTTTGGGAAGCCAAAGTAGGAGGATCGCTTGAGGCCAGGAGTTCAAAACTAGCCTGGGCAATATAGGGAGACCCCCATCTCTACAATAAATAAAAATAAAAGCTTTCATTTACAATGATGGTAGACCAAGAAATTTGTCCTAGATCTTCACTGAGAACATCTAGAAAAGCTGGCAGCTGAACAAAATTTTAAAAACATCTGGGCTGGGCACGGTGGCTCACACCTTTAATCCCAGCACTTTGGGAGGCAAGGCTAGGGGATCACTTGAGCTCAGGAGTTTGAGAACAGCCTCAGCAACATAGGGAGACCCCATCTCTTAAAAAAAAAAAGATAAACTAAAAATAAATTAATTAAAAACACCTGGTTGAAGACATCAGCGAGCTGGCAACAATGAAGAATTCCTAAGGAAACAGAAACTTTGTTAGGGGAGCTGTTTTCCCTTGTGTTGGCCAATTCTGTGAGTGGTAAGTGATTGCTGAGCTGTTGAATGGCCATTTTGACAACCTTATGGGACAAGGAAGAAGGGGCCTGCACTGGTAAACCCTTTCCCTTACTTGGAGTGAGGATCCCAAATGGCTACTCATTAGGAGTAACAGTGGTCCAGAAGTAAGCAGGCCTTCAAAGGGATGGCAGCTCAGCTTCAAATACCCTCAGTTTCTGAAATTAGATTGAGGTTATCTAAGGTTTTTAGAGCTCTCAGATGCATGGCAGAAGCAAATCTACATTTGCTTTTCAGGAAGAAATTAACATCCTAGGTGTGGCAGACAGACTCTAAGGTGGCCACTATGATCCCTGTCCCCTGGTATTCCTTGTGTGGAGGGAGACTCCCATGACTTGATTCTAATCCATAGACTACCACGAAGATGATGAGATGGACATGATTACAGCAAATTCTAATGTTCATCTTATTAAGAGACTCTTGTTGACTTTGAAGAAGCAAGCTGCCATGATGTAAACCAGCCTTTGGAGAGGGCCTCATGGCAAGAAACTAAGGGTGGCCTCTAGCCAGTAGTCAGCAAGAAAACAGATCCTTGTTCTAGTAGTGTGCCAGGAACTGAAGATTGCCAACAACCTTGTTATTTTGGAAGTGAATCCTGGTTCAGTGGAGCCCTAGCTGAGACCTTAGCTCTGGCTAACACCTTGATTGCAGTCTTTTGAGACCAGGAAACAGAAAGAAGCCAGCTAATCTGTGCTTGGACTCCTGACCCACAGAACCTGTGAGATAATAAATGTGTCTTGTTCTTAACACACCAGATTTGTGGTAATATTGTTACACAGTGTAGAAAACTAACAAACTAGGCCTCAAAATAAATCTATAAACAGTTTTGCAGGTACACTGTAGAACACACAATAAAAAGTAGCCACAGAAAGAGACATGAGTGAATACCAGCAGGAGCTTCTATTTAAACATCTGTAGGGACCTCCAGATATTGGAGTTTTCAGAGACAAGCTTAAAAAAAAAAAGAAAAAGAAAATTAAACTTACAAGAATTTTGGCAAAGAACTGAAAATTATATTAAAAACAAAATGAAACAGCTAGATGGGGGGGATAAGTTCTAGCATTCTTCTGCACTGTAGGATGACTATAGTTAATAATATATATTTCCAAATAGAGGATATTGAATGTTCCCAACACAAATGAGAAATGTTTTGAGTTGAAGAATATGCTGATTTCCCTGATCTAATCACTGTGCAGTAAATGTATCAACATATCACCATATATGCCATAAATATGTACAATTATTTTGTGTCAATTTAAAAAAAATTTTAAAGGAAACACTAGAACTGAAAATTAGCATGCTTGAAATTAGGAGACTGATGGATAGAATTGACAGAACAGGCATAGCTGAAGAAAGAATTGGTGAATGAACACAAATTAGAAAAAAAAATCCAGAATGATGCAGAGAGACAAAATAATAAAAATACAAAAGTTGAGACATAGATTTAGTAAAAGATCTAACAGAGGAAATTTATGTCCCAAGAGAGGAGAGAGAAAATGAAACATAAGCAATAGTTTAAGAGATAATTATTGGCTGGGCGTGGTGGCTCATGCCTGTAATCTCAGCACTTTGGGAGGCCTAGGCAGGTGGATCACAAGGTCAGGAGATCGAGACCATCCTGGCTAACATGGTGAAACACCACCTCTACTAAAAATACAAAAAAATTAGCCAGGTATGGTGGTGGGCGCCTGTGGTCCCAGCTACTCGGGAGGCTGAGGCAGGAGAATGGTGTGAACCCGGGAGGTGGAGCTTGCTTGCAGTGAGCCGAGATTGCACCACTGCACTTCAGCCTGGGGGACAGATTGAGACTCTGTCTCAAAAAAAAGAAAAAAAAAAGATAATTATTAAAAACTTTACAAAATTGAAAGATAGATCCTGAGGCAGGACTTGGGTAAAACAAACAAACAAAAAAATACAAAAAATATATTTAAAAACTTTGTAAAAAAATTGAAAGACATCAAACTTCAGATTCAAGAACGCTTATAAACCCCAAACAGGATAAATAAAATGAAAACCACATGAAATTACACCATTGTAAAACTGCTGATAACCAAAGATGGAAAAAGTATAAAGAAGCCAAAAGAAATATTACTTTGAAAGGAGCAACAATTAAGCTAATAGCTGGCATTTTTTCTTTCTTTCTTAAATGCTTGATAGAATACAACAGTGAAACTATCCAGACCTGGAGTTTTCTCTGTTGAAAGGTTTTAACCACGAATTCCATTTCTTTTACGGATATAGGACATTGTGAAGCTTTTCTTGAGCAAGCTTTGGTAGTTTGATTGTGTTAATTATCTATTGCTACACAATAAATTATTGCAAAACTTAACAGCTTGGAAAAATAAACAGTTATCTCAGTTTCTGTGGGTCAGGAATTCAGGAGCATTTAGCTCAGTAGTTCTGGCTCAGGATCAAGAATGGGTCAAGATGTTAACTAAGGCTGAAGCCATATGAAAGCTTGACTGGGGCTAGAGTATCTGCTTCCAAGGTGGCCCACTCGTGGTTTTTGGCAAGAAGCCTCATTTCCTTATTGGCTATTGACAGGAGGCCTCAGTTTCTCACTGATAGAAAGGCTCAAGGTATTGCTGATTGGCAGAAGGCTTCATTTTCCAACTACATGGGCCTCTCCATAGTGCTGATCAAGTATCCTTAAAAAAAGAAAAGGTAGCTGTTTTCTTGCCAAGTGAGTGAGCCAAGAGAAAGGGCAAAGAAGAAACCACAGGCCAGGCGTGGTGGCTGATGCCCTTAATCCCAGCACTTTGGAAGGCCGAGGTGGGTGGATCACCTGAGCTCAGGAGTTCAAGACCAGCCTGGCCAACATGGAAACCCCATCTCTACTAAAAAGTAGCTGGGTGTGGTGGCAGGCGCTAGTAATCCCAGCTACTTGGGAGGCTGAGGCAGGAGAATCGCTTGAACCCGGGAGGCGGAGGTTGCAGTGGCCGGAGATTGTGCCTTTGCACTCCATCCTGGGCGACAAGGGCAAAACTCCGTCTTAAAAAATAATAATAAAAATTAAAAAAGAAGAAACTACAAGGCCTTTTGTTACCTATATCAGAAGTGGCAGAGGCCGGGCACGGTGGCTCAGGCCTGTAATCCCAGCACTTTGGGAGGCCGAGGCGGGCAGATCACGACCATCCTGACTTAACACGGTGAAACCCCTTCTCTACTAAAAATACAAAAAATGAGCCGGGCGTGGTGGTGGGCACCTGTAGTCCCAGCTACTCGGGTGGCTCAGGCAGGAGAATGGCGTGAACCTGGGAGGCGGAGCTTGCAGTGAGCCGAGATCGCGCCACTGCACTCCAGCCTGGGCAACAGCTTGAGACTCCGTCTCAAAAAAAAAAAAAGGTGGCACACCATTACTTCTGCCATATTCTGTTTGTTAAAATAGAACACTAGTCTAACCCACACTGAAAAAGAGGAGAATTAGACACCACCTTGGGGTGAATGAAAGTCAAAAAAATGTGTGGACATTTAAAAACCACTAGTGTCACTTGAGGACTTTGTTCATTTGGTCAAAGTAGTGAAATTTATGAGCATGTTTTTCATAATGTTCTTTTATTAACCCTTTAATTTTATAGCATATGCCTATATGCCCACTATCTAGATTCTACCATTAACATTTGACTCTTCTTGTTTTGTCATATATCTATCTATTCTATGTAGCCATCCTTTTTTTTCTTCCGCCTTTTTTACGTAAGTATTGTCTTTTCTCTTTTCTTCTTTGCTCCCCAGTTGATTAAACCAGTGTTTCTCTGGGGCTGATTGGGACTCAAGTGTCTTCCAGCTTTGTGTGAGCTCTGGGAATTGTTTAGCTTATAGTTCCGAGGGTCATTCTCTGCCCAGACTTACTGGGTTTCATCCTACACAAGTATATCTTAGTATTCAACCACAGACTCAAGGGGACATCCTCCCTTGCAGATTTCTGGAACTCTTTCTTGATTTACCTTCTTCCTTTCTGGTACTCTGCCCTGCAAATTCCAGCCACTTTTGCCTCCCCAAACTGATCTCCATTCCTTCAACTCAACAAGACTACTGTGGTCTGTTTGGGGGATCCCCCCCTCCCCGCACCTTGGGCTGGAATGTGTCTCCAGGCAAAAGTACAGGCAATTATAAGGCTCTCCTCATTTGTTTCTTCTCTCTCAGGGACCACAGTTCTGTACTGCTTGTTGACCAATGCTTGAAAACTGTTATTTCATATCTTTTGTCCAGTTTTTAAATTATTTACAGTGGGAGGATTAGTCCAGTCCCACTTCCTCCAGAAAGAGTAATTCTGGAATCTCATTTTTATTTTCTAATGCAACATAGTGGTAAGACCTCCACTCTGAATTAGAAAGACCTGAATTTGAATTCTAGCTCTGAATTGAATAAATAGCTTCTTAATATTGTGGTTTTCTTTTAAGTGGGGATAATGAAATTCCCTATCTCCTGAGATTATTGTGAAGATTTACTGAATTAGGCATTGTATTAATTTACTGTGGCTGCTGTAACAAATTACTACAAACTGGGTGACTTAAAACACAGTTTTGGAGACCAAAAGTCCAAAACAGTTTCACTGAGCTGAAATCAAGGTGTCAATAGGACCACGGTCCTTCGCGGGCCCTAGGGGGGATTCATTCCTTGCCTCTTCCACCTTCTGATGGCCACAGGCCTTTGGCTTATGGCTGCATCACTCCAATCTCTGCCTTCATAGTTACATTCTTTTCTCCTCTTCTCTCTGTATCAAATTCCCCTCTGCCCCTTTCTTATAAGGATTGCATTTAGGACCCGCCCAGATAATCTAGGATAATCCCCTCATTTTTAAGATCCTTAATCACATCTGCAACCCATTTTTCTTACAAGGCAACATTTACAAGTTTCAGGGATTAGAACATGATGTCTTTCTGTGGCCATTATTTAGCCTACTACGAGGTGATAAAGCATTTGACACACATTCACTAATAATCAAAACATTTAACAAACACTACAAGGCACCAAGGCACCAACCTATCAGATAATAATCACCAACTAATAAGAATGGATGCTGGCCACAAACCCCCCTAACAGTGCCTTTGGCTGAATAGCAGCCCTGTACTTGCCATATGCCAGCATCTCACACATCCTATACACCGAATAAATATGAGTTCATTGAGATCCGACTTAAGTCATTTCTACTACTTCTTAAATGTCTGGGCATGTTCTTTGGTCATTTATTTGCAGGGTCTTGTGTTCTGCTTCTCTATTTGTCTGAGTACTTCATATAGGGAGGATGCTAACATTCGCATATTTGTGACAAATGTTTGCATTATATTGTGTTAATATTTTCTAAATCTTATACTTGATTATATGTATCTAGATAATATGTTCTTAACCTTCATTTTTAAATATATACATTTAAATTGAGTATATGGCTTATTATCTCATTAGGTTGTATTAAACTTAATGAAATAAATATACTGATATACACTAACTAGGCTTTTTGAATGCAAGATTCTTCTTTAAATCTTTTTCTTTGCAAACAAAAGGATCTCTGTTTTCCCCAAAGATAAGCAAATTTGTCATGGCCAGTTTTTATTATGCTTAAACATGCACTTATAAAATAGAGATGTTAGAGTTAAATGTGAATTGCAAAGACTTGTTTTTTTTTTTTTTTTTTTTGGAGACAGTGTCTCTGTAGCCCAGGCTGGAGTGCAGTGATGCAATCACAGCTCACTGCAACCTCAAACTCCTGGACTTAAGCAATCTTCCAGTCTCAGCCTCCCAAGTAGCTGGGGGAATACAGGGACACACCACCATGCCCAATTTATTTATTTATTTATTTATTTAGCAGAGACAAAGTTCTCGCTATATTGCTCAGGCTAGTCTCAAACTGCTAATCTCAAGCAATCCTCCTGCCTCAGCCTCCCAAAGTGCTGGGATTACAGGTGGGCATCACTGTGCCTGGCTGAAAAGACTATTAAAGTCATGATAGGGTTGGATAGAGAAGTAGAGTATAGAAACCTCTTGTTTGTCACATGAGTCTCTTTAGGACAGTTGTAGTAGGCAGAATTCTAAAATGGTCCCCAAGACTTACCCCCACTGTACACACCCTGTTACTGTAAATTTGATGTATCTACTACCTTGACTAGGTTACGTTTTATGGCACAGTTGACCTAATTATCCAGGTGGACCTGCCCTAATCAGATGAGCCTTTTAAAAGCAAAGAATTTTCTTGGCTGGTTGCAGAAGAGAAAGTCAGAGAGTTGAAGCATATAGGCCATTGCTGGCTTAAAGATGGACGCAGGTATGTAGTAAGGAATGTGGGCAACCTCTAGGAGCTGAGAGCAGTTCCTGGATGACAGCCAGCAAGGAAACTGGGACCTCAGTCCTGCAAGGAAATGAATTCTGCCAACAACCACTTGATCTTGGAAGAGGACCTCAAGCCTCAGATGAGAAACACAGTCCAGGCTGACACCTTGATTATAGCTTGGTGAGACCTTTGAGCAGAGAGCCCAGTCACATTATGGCCTTACTTATGACCTACAGAAACTGGGAGATAATAAACTCTTGCTTTAAATTGCTACATTTGTGGCAATAGAAAACTAATATCTAATTCCATCTCTCAAGGAATAGATAGCCTAATTTCACAGGCATACTTTTTTTGTAATTATGTGTTTAGCAATTTATACTATAAAATACTGAATTGTTTTTTATCCTTCAGACTAAACACCAAGCATCATTGTGATGTGTGAAGAGATGCTAGTTAAAATGTATCTGCCCTTGAGAGTTCTAAGGGTGATCTAATTTTTCTGCAAATCTATTTTTTAATTTTTAATAATATGAATATGATTTTTTTTAAATGAAAAATTTAAAGAAATAACCACCCCACAATCATCTACCAGTGAATGGGCCAGAGAAGAGCTGCCAGACAAGATTGACTACATAATCATTAGGCCCAGAACACAGTGAAAATGCAGCATCCCTTGTTCAAAAAAATTATTAAGAATTTCAAGACACGGCAGCAGAGCATTAAACCAAGAGTGGGGTCCTTCTGAACATGGGGTCCTATGTGATGGCACAGGTCACAAAACCATGGAGCCAACCAGCTCTGTGCCCAGACCTTCTCCAGCACCTTCCAGATAAAAGCTTAACTAAGAGCTACATACTTTCCAAAGGCACCATTGCTTCTTCACTGGGTGACATTTGCAAAATAATTGCCCATAATGCCACCATCTAGGACAATGAGATCCTTTCAGAATTTTCTCCAAGCTTGTATGTGTATATGGATGTGTGTTTGTGTATGTGTCTCTTTGACACAGGTGGATTGTTCTTAACAATTGTTGTACTATTGTGTCACTTAAAATTATAGCAGGAGTATTTCTCTGTATTAATAAATAGTATTTAAGAATAAAATTTAAATATTTACATATTTCCAATCTTTTATATAAGAAAATCTCAGCAAGGTCACAGAACTAAGTAATAAAAGGATACTTCAAAAGCAGGTTATCTTGAGTCAAGATAACTAAATTCTAGTCCTAGCTCTAATAGCTAATTAGCTGTGTGACTTTTGTAAATAATTTCACTTTTCTGGAACTCATTTTATTTTCTGTAAAATGACTAGATTAATGGATTTTTATCCCCCTAAATACTTTCCAGTTCTAAAATTCTATAATTCCAGTATCATTATGGATTTGAGTGGTCTCTAGGTCTGGCTATGGCTATAAGGGGCTTTTAAAATCTATCCTTTGAATGAAACTAAGTCATTATCCAATTTTTAAGGCCTTTAGAAGGAGGTTTTTGTTTTACTGTAATTTAAAACCATTTGGGGGTCAGCCTTTGTCGTGTTCAGTGTCAGGTTCCAGCCCAACTGAGGGCTGAGGGAGTGGGTGGATGTGGGGCAGGGAGCTGGAAGAACACTCGAGAGACACCAGGTAGATGAGACATGGCCTTATTCAGCAGCCCCCACACCTGCAGCTGCATGGCCAGCTCTCCCTTGGCTTCAGGGTCAGTAGCTTAACTGTTTCTCTGGGCACAAGTGAGCCAAGCTGTGTCCTGGCTCCCCCACCGTCTGTCTGCAAAGGACGGCTCTGACTCTCTCTCCCAGTGCACCAGCACAACGTCAACAGGGCAATCATACATTTTACAGACAATAGTGGCATAGAGCCAACTGATGGCCTTCCCATGTATGGCTACATGGCTGTGATAACAAGTGGAGTTATATGCCTGCGCTCTAAACCTGCTGAGTCACACAGGATGTAAACATCCTACCTCGGCCTATCCTTAACCAAAGCACAGCCATGTTCCTTACACTCCACCCCCTAGGCCAAGGGAGACATAGGCCTTGGATACAGGTTATATGCATAAGCTTTGGGTACATAGGCTTGATATACACACACAAGGCCTTATACATAAGTTTTGGGCACACGAGTTTGATAAACAGGCTTGGCACACAGGCCTTACATTCCACCCCCTGGAATGAGGGAGTTCTTTTAGTGGGGATCCATGCACATAGGGCAGCACCCTGAACTCATAGGTCACAACAACAATACAGAGAACAACAACCTACTATAAATATTCCTGTTACGTTACCTATGATTATTAGAGCCCAGCATAGGGTAGTGCCCAGAGGCACCCACTGTCTCTGCAGAGGGTCATCAGTAAGGTGCTCAATAGCCTTAATCTCCTGTGACACCCCTTGTAAAGCTACCATTATGTTCTAGTGGATGTCAGGGATAAATGTACAAAATTGTGTCCCTCCAAGGGCACAGGTGCCACCCTGAGCAACTGTGACTATGTTTAAGGCCATCCGATTTTGCAGCACCACCTTCCTGATCTGATCAACCTCATCAGTTAGCAAAAGGAGAGCAACTCGGGTGTAATTCAGGGCCCGAGCTGTGTGCTCTGCAAGGGCTGTAACTTGCATTTCTATAGTAACGACACCTGCTCCAGGGATAGTTATTGCTAAGGGGTGGAGCCACCAGAGGGTGGCAAAAACTGGGAACGCAGTGCCTCCCAGTTATTCGGGCAACTAGGCAATGTGGGAAGCACAGTGGCAGGCACAGAAAACCACCCCCAAGTAAAACATCCAGTCCAATTGGCTGGTAGATATCGCCATTTGGTTTATGGGCCCCACAGACCCATAAACTCTCAGGGGGCACAAAGTCCATTGGAGCCCAGCCTTGGTAAGGCCGCTTGTTCCACAACACCCTTGGTGTGGTGACATGTTATGTTTGCACAAACCTCAGCAGGCCACCATCCCACAGTGACTTCACCCCAGTGCTGCTCTATGCATCGTGGTACCTGCGATGGGGGCACCACGTGTTCTCCCATTAGCCAGCCCCACCCATCATAGACACTACGAGTCAGCCAGGGGGCAGGCTTGCCATGGGTTTTGCGACACCCCCTGTCCAAAGCCTGCCGTGTTGCATCCCACCAATTGTCTGTGGAACCACAAGTTTCTAGTCGTGTCCAGTTTTTCACAGAAGCTGGGTGCATGTGCCAGGGCAAGCCATCCACAGCTGCTGCTGGAAGGGTAGTACAGATCCAACAGTTGGAGACATTGGTCACCTCAGCGTAGGTGTGGGCCCAGTCCACAATGCAGTTGGAGCATGCCAACCTACGGCCAGAATGACAAAGTAGGCACAGATACTAACAAGGGTAAATCATGTCCCTTAGGCCAAATGCAAGCCAACTTTTATCTCTAGATAACAATGTAGCTGCCAAGGGCTTCTGCCCTGGGTGATGGTACCACACCTTATCAGCTGCTTGTGGTTCTTTTGGGTCCTGTATCCATGCCAAAGTCACAAGGGAGCTCATAATAGGCCACACAGACAGTACATATGTTCCCCCCACCAGAGGAGGGTTCCTTTCCTGGCTATTCCCCTACGAACAGTCAATCATGGAGGCCACACATTAAATACCCAGGGAATAACATATAAGTCATACTGCAGACCCTCCCCCAAGGGGGCTATGATAGCCAACCATCTGCAGTGAGGGGCTTGGAGGGTCCATGGCTAACACCAGGTTTTGTTTGTTTGTTTGTTTCCCTACCTTTAGGGGCATTGGGGCAGGCAATAACAGATTGCCGTTTGTCCCCATACCTGGTTGGAGAGGGTCATCCTTCCTCTCATAGATCTGGCCACATGGCCTGGCCCTACATGGGCTGGTGACTAACTAATTCTGTAACTTTCAGGTAATTAACCACAATGTTAAGCGTTGATAAACTGCCCAGCATTGGTGTAGATTACCATGGGTGTCACCTCCTTGGTGATCCTCATCCGTGTTGCCCTGAGCTCAACTTATTAGCTACTTTGCCCACTCTTGGTATCAAACCATATAATGTCAGTAGTAGGCTGGACTGCAGCAGCAATCCAGGCAGCAGCAGTACTCTGGCTAGACCTGTCTATATATTATGCCTCATCAGGAATGGGGCCGGGGGTGCCTCAGGCTCCATGGCCTTATCTTGCATGAGGACTACAGGCCCTAAGACCTCTTGTAACTCTGCTGCTAAGGGACTTGTATTCAGTGTACTTCACTGCTCTAAGTAGGTGCCCCACTTTGATAAAGTGCTGTCCCAGTCTGTGCTGTCCCAGTCTGGAAGGGTCGCTACCCATGAACGTAGCAGCCATCCTGCTATTGGGTAAGTCATCTGCATGATGACTGTAGCCTGTTCTGCCATGCTCTTATGAGTCTGAAGGGCAGCATATGCAGTTACTAACTGCTTCCCAGTCCAGGGGGTCATTATCCATGAACATACCCATCCTGCTATTACTAACTGCTTCTCTATCAATAAAGACAAGCTCAGCTCCATAGTTGGGGCCAAAAGCCTACTGGCATACTCAAGCACTCCGTGCACTGCTATAGGCCCTAACTGAAACTATCTGTGGTCACATGCACATCTAGCCTAAATGGGCACCTCTGATCAACTACCCATAGGGCTTGTGCCTGCTAAATAGCCTGCTTGAGATAGCCAGGACAGCTGTCTCAACCTCACCATCCAATCCCAGGCAAGAGGGGCATTGTCGCTTTCAAATCTGCAAGATAATCGGAGGTTAATATGACATTATCAATAAAACGATGACACATGGTGGGGCTATGCATCTAGCCCTGCAGCAACACTGTGAAAGTCCATTGTCATCCTCCCATGAAGGCAAGCTGTTCGTGGCTCTCTGGAGCAATGTCAGTGGAGAAGAATGCATTATTCACATTCATCACAGAGTAGTACTGTCCCAGTTCCGTTGTCAAGCGGTTCATCAAATCCATGATGGAGGGTACAGCTGCATGCTGAGAGGGTGTTACTTTATTCAGTTCCCGATAATCCACTGGTATTCGCCCAGTTCCATCAGGCTTTCTGACTGGCCATACCAGGGAATTGTAGGGGCTATGGGTGCCATGCACTATTTGCACCTCCTCTAACTTCTGAATAGTCTCAGTTATGGCTGTATGCCCCCCTGACAAACAGTATTGATGAGTGGAGGTATCCTGTTGGGGTTGTGGCAGAGCTTGGGCTGGTGATGTGTATTGTCCCTGCAGTATCAGCTTTACTGCACTAACTCAGAGCCTGAATTCTCCAGCCATGGTGTGCAAGTCCAGACCATGCAAAATGTCCACTGCCAGAATATATTCAGGTATGAGAGAGACATACACAGTGTATAGGCGGAGAGCCAAGTGGCTGATGCCAAGATAAAGAGACACAGGTTTCACTTTCACTGACCAGCTTTCATAGCTGGTAATAAATGCAGCTCTGCCAGAAAACTTATCCGGGTTCCCATAAACTAGGCTGCAGTCTGCACCAGTATCTACCAGTGCTAGGACCCGCTGTGACCCACTGTACATTAGTCGGGGACCAGCGGATTACTAGCACCACATACAGCCTCTGGTTGTCTGGTTCCCCACACCGAGCTGCATATCTCAGCCAGTTCCCTAATCAAACAAGAAAGGCTCCATATCTCCGCCTGTCTGCAAACAGTCCTTGAGTTGCGGTGTCCAGGCGGGAGTGGGTTGAACAACATTGCTTCACCCCCCATTTAAGCATTCTCCGGAATTGCTGCTCTGGGGACAGTTGCCTCCAAAGAGCCAAGAGCATTCCATTGGGTTGCCTGTTAGTTTTCTCCGGAGCAACCCCAGCTGCAAGTAAATCAATCCACATCTGCATGCAGGTCACCTGCCAGGCTGCTTTTTATCACATGGGATGGTTATCTGCGGAGGGGGCACCTTCCCCTTCTTTCTGGCACGGGTTCCCCGGTCCAGCTGATGCCTTCTGCCTCCCCCAGGACTGCCATAACAGTAGTCACTTCATGTATGTGGCACCCCACATATGGGGTGAGAACAGCAGCTAGAGAGTCAAAAGCACTCGGGGGCAATGAGCCCAGCACAAGACTCCTCATGTGCGAGGTAAAGTGTTCATCATCTGGTCCCCGGGTGTTTAGATCAAACAGCCTGCTGCATACCCAGCTCTCAGAGTATCTGCACCAAATTAGTATATGACTGCCATTTACTCACAGTTTCTGGTATCTTTCTGGCGTCATTCCAAACAGTCCATATGGCTGCCATTAGCCACTCGATTAACGTGTGGTCATCCTGCCCTTGTGCTAACTGTCCACACAGCTGCAGCTGCTGATGAAGGGAGGGATGAGTTGTGATAGAATCCAGCTTCTCCCTCTCAGAGGCAGAGCAAGAAATGCTGTCAGTTCCCTAGGATACTGCCGACACTGTTTACCTAATTCCTGCAACTCAGTGGGGGTATAAACACTATAAGAGGTGTGTTCCACCACTGTGTGGCCAGGGGATAGGGGTGGGGGTCCCTGGGCTCTCCCCTGGGGTCCCATCAGCTGCTCATGGTCTATCTTCTGATGGATCACAGGGCGAGCCCGCAGCAGAGAAGCTGCCTCCTCCTCAGCATCAGACCCAATGGGAGTGTCCGGCCAGGAGGACTGGCTGAAGGTCGCGCTGACAGCTGTTGCTAACTCCTGTTCCAGGTTGTTTATCTGGGCCTCTAAGCGCCCTGCTTGCACATGGAGGTCCCTCTCCACACACCCCACCCCCCCACCCCGCCCCAGGTTTTGCTCCAAGCTGTGCATTTGGGCTCCCGGGCACTGGGCTTGTGCCTGAAAGTCCCTTACCTGTGCTGTGTCCTGCAGGGACTGAGCATGAAACTCAGTTTCTGACTGAATCAGAAACGCCCATCCGACTCTGCCGGCAAAGGTCATTCCTTCTTGGTGCTGTGAGCTTCCAGATGCTTCTCCACACTCATGGGAGACCCATTCACTGCCTCCCACGTTTCCACTGGGGCCTACCCGAGCAGCATCTCTGCCACGGGGTACCACAGCCCATGCTGTGGCCACATAGCCAACCCGGGAGCCTCAGGGGCTGAAGACCTACTCACCTCATCCTGCTGACTACACCAAGTATGCTCAGGGTTAGGTTCCAGCCCCAGCTGAGGGCTGAGGGGAGTGGGTGGATGTGGGGCAGGAAACTGGAAGAACACTAGAGAGACAGCAGGTAGATGAGACATGGCTTTATTCAGCAGCCCCCACACCTGCAGCTGCATGGCCGTCTGCAAAGACAGACAGCTCTGACTCTGTCTTTCTCTGGGTGCCAGCATGCCTGCACAGTGTCAACAGGGCATTTATAGCTTTTACAGACAATAGTGGCGTAGAGCCAAGTGATGGCCTTCCCGTGTTTTGACTACATGGCTGTGATAACAAGTGGAGTTATACGCCTGTGCTCTAAACTCACTGAGTCACACAGGATGTAAACATCCTACTTTGGCCTATCCTTGACCAAAATGCAGCCATATTTCTTACAGCCTTGTTTGCCATTTCTTATCATATTAGATTGTAGACTTGAACTTTACATATTGCTTAGTTTTCTTGTCTTTGAGGTAATTTCCTTATCTGGCACGATATTGGCTCACCGCAACCTCTGCCTCTGGGGTTCAAACGATTCTCCTGCCTCAACCTCCCAAGTAGGTGGGATTACAGGCATGCACCACCGTGCCTGGCTAATTTTTTTTATTTTTAGTAGAGACATGGTCTCTCCATGTTGGTCAGGCTGGTCTTAAACTCCCAACCTGAAGTGATCCACCCGCCTAGGCCTCCCAAATTGCTGGGATTACAGGCATGACCCACCATGCCTGGCCTATTTTTATTTTCATAACTCTCCTCTGACCTACTCACAGGTCCTCTCTGACCTTCAAAATTGTCCCTGAACCAGACAAAGTACTGTATGCAAGGGTCAAGTCACTGATTATCCTTTTCATTTTCCTCTTATAAGCATTATCTTTCTCCTCTCTTCCTTTTTTTTATTTCCCATCAATGTATTAGGATGGTATTTCTCTGGGAATCATGTTAAAATGCCAGTTCTCTTTCAATAAGCCTGGGGTGGGACTTGAGATTCTGCCTTTCTAACATATCCACAGGTTATGTTGATGCTACTCCCTGAACCACACATTCAGTAGCATAGTATATTCCAGTGAAATGTGCTTTGTTAAAAAAGTTTTTTAAATAACCTCTTTCCCACAACCCTAAGTAGTAGCAATCCACAGAATTGTGAGTGTTGTACTGGACCCGTATTAACCTAATAGTGATGGCACTGTGTTTGGGAGACAGAAGAAGAGACCCAGAGCCAGCAAACAAGACATGGGGTTTCACTGGAGGCTTACCTACAGGGGACAGTGTGCAGTGGCGGCAGGCCGGACAGGATATCTGCATAGCCCAGTGATGGCGGGCTGGGCAGAAGAACTGCAACTGCTTGCAAAACACATACAGTTTATATACCATTTTCACCTAGCACCCTCCCCCTAACAACCTCCACCTGGCAACCTCCATTTAACCCAAAACAAAGGGCCTCAATGTGGCCGGGCGCGATGGCTCATGCCTGTAATCCCAGCACTTTGGGAGGCCGAGGCAGGCAGATCACGAGGTCAGGAGATCGAGATCATCCTGGCTAACAGGGTGAAACCCCGTCTCCACTAAAAACGCAAAAAAATTAGCTGGGTGTGGTGGCGGGTGCCTGTAGTCCCAGCTACTTGGGAGGCTGAGGCAGGAGAATGGCGTGAACTCGGGAGGCGGAGCTTGCAGTGAGCCGGGATCGCGCCACTGCACTCCAGCCTGGGCGACAGAGTGAGACTCCGTCTCAAAAAAAAAAAAAAAAAAAAAAAAAAAGGATAAAAAACCAAAGGGCCTCAATGTAGTGGCAAGTTCCATGAGAGGGGCTGGGGACTCAGATGTTTCTCATAGACAAGGAATGGCTCTCCAGGTTGGCCACTCCCAGATAGCTTGGAACTTCCACGTGCATTCAGGTTCATCTGCCATAGAGGGCATTCTCAGTTATGCTTCAGTTATTGCATCAGGTATGTTTACCATACAGTGAGGTAGTGTACCCTTTTTCCAGGAATGCTCACAGGACATAACTAAATTGTGCATTGATACTACAAATACTTCATATACTTAGATGCCTCTTGATTAACTCATCCTGCTGAGTCTAGCACCATTTCCTATAAAGACATTAAGAACCTGAAAGCAATCTTGACTGGCCCATAGGTCAAGTCTGGGTGCCACTGAAATAATCTGAAAGTCAATTCAACCCTTAAAATTGAGTCCAACCATCCTGTCTAAATAAGCAGCCGAATGTGATGACTTTCAAGCTTACCTGCCACAGAATAACCTGCCAAGAATAACCTACCCCAGCTCCTGTGCCTACCCCAAAGAGGAAGTACTAGACACAGAAATAAACTGTTAGAATAGGACCTGGTATACTATGTGACTGAATGCAGGCTTTCTCAACTTTGGTACCATAGGCATTTGAGGCTAGATAATTTCTTTGGTGGAGGAGGATGGGGAAAGAGCTTCCTGTGCAGTGTAGGATATTTAGCAGCATCTCTGACCTCTACTCAATAGCAGAGCAGAGCAGTTGCTCCCCCCACCTCAAGTTATAACAACTAAAAATGTCTCCAGATACTGCCACATATCTCCTGCACAATAAAATTGCCCTTATTTGAGAACCCACTTACTTAATGCTTAAAAGTCCACTTGCGGATCAAGTGAAGTTACAGCAATTGTACATACTGTATGTATATATTAAATAATGGCTTCTCTTTCCTATAAAAAATTTTTGTTATCAAGTTCATAGCCTTGTCACAGCATAGCAATCATCATTTGAGCGTTTAACAAATATTTTTGATGCCTAACTCAGTCAAAAGTTAGGCATTTTTTTGGTAATGCCTACTTTTACTTCTTGTGCTAGATACTTCTTGTGTCAAGTACACATTAGATTACTTTCCTACCTAGGTATTATATATGTATTATGGCTACATCTATTCACTTAAATCTGCTTTTTTTTTTTTTTTTTGAGATGGAGTTTTGTTCTGTCACCCAGGCTGGAGTGCAATGGTGCAATCTCGGCTCACTGCAACCTTTGCCTCCCAGGTTCAAGCGATTCTCCTGCCTCAGCCTCCTGAGTAGCTGGGATTACAGGCCCATGCCACCACGCCTGGCTAGTTTTTGTATTTTTAGTAGAGATGGGGTTTCACCATATTGGCCAGACTGGTCTCGAACTCCTGACCTCAGGTGATCCACCCACCTTGGCCTCCCAAAGTGCTGGGATTACAGGCATGAGCCACCACGCCCAGCCTTAAATCTGCTTTTAAAAGTCTTTTGTAGCACAAGCTATAATCATATCTCTATTCTCCTTGTTTTTTAATGCTATATTTGATATCCGTTTACTTTTACAGCATTTGAATGTTTTAGATCCTGGTTGAAACTAGCCCTGAAGAAGAATTAGATATTTCTCTTTACAGTCTTACAAACTCCTTTAAGGGACAGCCGATAGATTGATGAGATGAGGTACAGATGAGGTACACCATGAGATGGGGTACAGTGACTCTGTTAATAATGTGAGCGGTGTTGGACTTTATAGCAACCTCACTACTCGATACTGGATAATGCTTTTTTTTTTTTTTTTTTTTTTTTAGAAGATGGAAGAGTCCATTATTGACCTAATAACCCCAAAGTACATCTTCAGATGAGAACAGTTGTAGAGGACATGTGGTTAATAATGAATTGACCAAACCCTTTTACCTAATACCCTACATTTTGTGTAACCTGTTGGATTTCTTTTTTAGGTGGACAGTGTGGTAGTTACGTTGTAAATAGATTTTTTTAGAGACAGGATCTCTGTCTGTCACTTAGGCTGGAGTGCAGTGATATAAACACGGCTCACTGCAGCCTCAACCTCCTGGGCTCAAGTGATCCACCCACCTCAGCCTGCTGTGTAGCTAGGACCACAGATATGTGCCACAATGCCTGACTAATTTTTTCATTTTTGTGTACAGATTTGGTCTCGTCACATAGATTTTTAGATGTGCTCTGCAGGGCATATGGAACAATATGTTCTGAGCCAAAAGCTAAATCTATTCTACTTGTTTGTGTTGTACAAAATAATGTCTGTGTGATGATGGTTCATATGGAAACAAAATATTAACATGGATGTTTCCCAAAACAGAATTCTCCAAAACTCCCATTGTTTACGGAAGATGTTACTTAGCAAAAAAAATTAGTTTCTCATTTATATCTAAATAATAAATTTTCAGTCGTGTAGCTAAACAAATACCAAAAAAATATTTACAATTAAACTAAATACTGGTTGCTGCATGGACATTTATAATCAGTGTAAAATGGAAACCTTGCTCATTCACATTTTTTCTGCCACTCTACAGTTATACTCTGGATTTTATTACATACTGCTATGGTTTGAATGTGTTCTCTCCAAAATTCAGGTGTTGAAACTCAATGGTTGATGTGATAGCATTAAGAGGGAGGGATTAGGCCTGGTGCGGTGGCTCACGCCTGTAATCCCAACGCTTTGGGAGGCCAAGGCGGGCGGATCACGAGGTCAGGAGATGGAGACCATCCTGGCTAACAGGATGAAACCCCGTCTCTACTGAAAATAGAAAAAATTAGCCGAGCGTTGTGGCAGGCGCCTGTAGTCCCAGGTACTGGGGAGGCTGAGGCAGGAGAATGGTGTGAACCCGGGAGGCGGAGCTTGCAGTGAGCCGAGATCGCGCCACTGCACTCCAGCCTGGGCAACAGAGCGAGACTCTGCCTCAAAAAAAAAAAAAAAAAAAAAAAAAAAAAAAAAAAAAAAAAAAGAGGTAGGGCTTTCAGGAAGTGATTAGGTCATGAGGGCTTCTCCACTCGTGAATGGGATTAAGGCCCTTTCAAAAGAGGTTTCACACAGCACTAAGCTAGCTTCCACCATGTAAAGGATGGCCTTCCACCTTGAGAGGACACAGCATTCCTCTCCTCTGAAGGATGTAGCAATAAGGGCCATCTCAGAAGGAGAAAGCAGCCCTCACCAGACAATCAAACCTGTCAGCACCGTGGTCTTGTACTTCTCAGTCTCCGGAACTGTGACAAAATCTATTTCTTTTCTTTTCTTTTTTTTTTTTTTGAGACGGAGTCTCGCTCTGTCACCCAGGCTGGAGTGCAGTGGCCCGATCTCGGCTCACTGCAAGCTCTGCCTCCTGGGTTCACGCCATTCTCCTGCCTCGGCCTCCCGAGTAGCTGGGACTACAGGCGCCCGCCACCGTGCCCGGCTAATTTTTGTATTTTTAGTAGAGACGGGGTTTCACCGTGTTAGCCAGGATGGTCTCGATCTCCTGACCTTGTGATCCGCCCGCCTTGGCCTCCCAAAGTGCTGGGATTACAGGCTTGAGCCACAGTGCCCCGCCAATCAATTTCTTTTCTTTATAAATTAGCCAAATTAGCCAGTCTCGGTCCTCCCCTCCCCTCCCCTCCCCTCCCCTCCCCTCCCCTTCCCTTCCTTCTCCTCCTCTCCTTTCCCTCCCTTCCCTCCCCTCCCCTCTTTTTTTTGAGATGGAGTCTTGCTCTGTTGCCCAGGCTGGATTGCAGCGGCAGGACCTTGGCTCACTGCAACCTGCGCCTCCCGGGTTCGAGCGATTCTCCTGCCTCAACCTCCCAAGTAGCTGCAACTACAGGCACACACCACCACCCCTGGCTAATTTTTTTGTATTTTTAGTAGAGATGGGGTTTCACCATGTTGGCCAGGCTGGTCTCGAACTCCTGACCTCAGGTGATCCATCCACTTCGGCCTCCCAAAGTGCTGGGATTACAGGCGTGAGCCACCACGCCTGGCCAGGTATTTTCTTATAGCAATTCCAAAAAGGACTAAGACATGTACCAAAATCACAACTCTTTTCACCACCAAATTTAAGCAATATTTTATTATCCTCAGTTCAATATGAAAGTATATTCTTTGGGGGATTTATTGACAACTTAGCTCTTTTCACATTTAAATCCAGAACACTATCGTGTTCCACAATTTTTAGTATTGAAAATACTTCATTCAACAAATATTTTTGGGTACCTACTATGTGCAAAAAACAAAATAAACTGTGGAAGTATAAGAAGTGTAGGATTATATCTTACGAAGAATGATGTCCTTCAAAGAATTTACAATTTGATTGAAGAGGTGGGATGTGAACATATATAATACATAATACCAAGATATGCTTCATAAACATCTTAGTAATCATCACACTAACAAAAGTACTTGAGAGGAAAAGATGATTACAAAGCATTGAGTTTTGTAATCAATCAGTTAATTGTAAAATAAGAGAAGCCTTATGAAAGAGGTAGACAGTGGTCCATGCCTTAAAGCAAGCTTATCCAACCCATGCCCGTGGGCTGCAAGTGGCCCAGGATTGCTTTGAATGTGGCCCAACACAAATTTGTAAATTATGTTAAAACATTATGAGAGTTATTTGCTTTTGTTTTTTTTAGCTCATCAGCTATCATTAGTGTTAGTGTATTTTCTATGTGGCCCAAGACGGTTCTTCTTCCAGTGTGACCCAGGGAACCCAAAAGATTGGACACCCCTGCCTTAAAGGATAAGAAGCATTCGGATAGATGAAAAGGACTCCACAGAACTTTCCAGATGATGGAAACAATATGAACTGAAATGGGAGTGAGCACAGATTGTTCATCAGGTAGTGATGAGGGGGCTGGCTTGATGAAGTTAAGGGTTTAAACCGGGGAGTAGCAGAATAAAGCTTTGTAAGTGGAATTTGGCCAATTTATGGTCTGGTTTGAAACCCGATTAGAGGAGTTTGAACTTTTTCTTGGTAGCACTTACGAGCAAGTAAAGGGAAGTGATATGGCCGGGCACGGTGGCTCACACCTGTAATCCCAGCACTTTGGGAGGTGGAGGCAGGTAGATCACCTGAGGTCAGGAGTTCGAGACAAGCCTGGCCAACATGGTGAAACCCCTAATTCAAAAATTAGCCAGGCGTGGTGGCGCACACTTGTAATCCCAGCACTTTGGGAAGCTGAGGCGGGAGAATCACTTGAACCCGGGAGGTGGAGGTTGCCGTGAGCTGAGATCATGCCACTGCACTCCAGCCTGGGCTACAAGAGCGACATTCTGTGTCAAAAAAAAAAAAAAAAAAAATTGGGTGGGGGGATGTGATGTGAGGAAAATGGTGTTTGGGGAGGATTAAAGATGGTATACAACTTCAGAGGGAAATAGAGAGACTGAGACAGAAACATCTTGCAGTAAACCAGATGAGAAGTGATAAAGACCTGGATAAGAGTGATATCAGAGGGAATGAAAATGAAGGGATGGATAAACCCAATGCTTTGAATTTGAAAAATGAAAAACAGCACAAAACTTTTAGACCATATGCTGCAGGAGGGCAGAGTCTGTGGATTAAGTCACTTTTGCAATTTCTTAAACAACTATGTGCCCTTGAGCAAGTTTTTAAAGAAACTGAGTCTTACTCTTAATCCAGTCGTTTTCATTTACACAACAAATATTTGTTTGTTTGTTTGTTTGTTTTTTGAGACGTAGTCTCACTCTGCTGCCCAGGCTAGAGTGCAGTGGCACGATCTCGGCTCACTGCAACCTCAACCTCCCTGGTTCAAGCGATTCTCCTGCCTCACGCCTCCCAAGTAGCTGGGACTACAGGTGCGTGCCACTAAGCCCGGCTAATTTTTTGTATTTTTAGTAGAAATGGGGTTTGACCATGTTAGCCAGGATGGTCTCGCTCTCCTGACCTCATGATCCACCCGCCTCAGCCTCCCAAAATGCTGGGATTTCAGGCATGAGCCACCATGCCCAGCCACAATATATATTTCTTGAGCATCTGTTACATGTTTTGAACTATATATAGCAATGAGGAAAACATGAAAATCACTGCTTTCACGGAGCTAACATTCTAGTGGGAGAAACGCAATAAGCAAAATACATAATATAAATGGTAATAAGTACTATGGATTAAAATAAAGCAGGGAAGGGGAATAGAGAATAGCAAATTGTAGTAGCAAAATCTTTTTTTTTTTTTTTTTTTTTTTTGAGACAGAGCCTTGCTCTGTTGCCCAGGCTGAAGTGCAGTAGTGCAGTCTTGGCTCACTGCAACCTCCACCTCCCGGGTTCAAGTGATTCTCCTGCCTCAGCCTCCTGAGTAGCTGGGACTACAGGCATGCACCACAACGCCCAGCTAATTTTTGTATTGTTAGTAGAGATGGGGTTTCACCATGTTGGCCAGGCTGGTCTTGAATTTCTGACCTCAGGTGATCCGGCCGACTCCACTTCCCAAAGCACTGGGATTACAGGCATGAGCCACCATGCCCGGCTGCAAAATCATTTTGAACACATTGGTAAAAGAAGGAATTGCTGGGAAGGTGGCATTTGAGCAAAAACCTGATGGAACCCCACAAGCACAGACAACTAAAGCAAAAATGGATAAGTGGGATCACATCAAGTTAAAAAGCTTCTGCACACCAAAGGAAACAATCAACAAAGTGAAGAGACACTCCACAGAATGGGAGAGAATATTTGCAAACTATCCATCTGACAAGAGATCAATAACCAGAATATATAAGTTGCTCAAACAACTCTATAGGAAAAAATCTAATAGTCCGATTTAAAAATGAGCAAAAGATCTGAATAGACATCTCTCAAAATGAGACATACAAATGGCAAACAGGCATATGAAAAGGTGCTCAACATCATTGATCATCAGAGAAATGCAAATCAAAACTACAATTAGGCAGGGCGGGGTGGTTCTCACCTATAATCCCAACAATTTGGGAGGCTGAGGTGGGTGGATCACTTGAGGCCAGGAGTTCAAGACCAGCCTGGCCAACATGGCGAAACCTTGTCTCTACTAAAAATACAAAAATTAGCCAGGTATGGTGGTGCATGCCTTTAGTTTCAGCTACCTGGGAGGCTGAGGTGGGAGAATCAGGGAAAATCGCCCGAGGCTATAGTCGAGGCTGAAGTTAGCTGTAATCATGCCATTGCTCTCCAGCTTGGGTGAAAGAGAAAGACCCTTTCTTTAAAAACTCTTAAAAATAGAACTACCGTGTGATCCAGCAATCCTGCTGCTGGGTACTGCTGCTGGGTATATACCCAAAAGAAAGAAATCAGTACATTAAAGAGACATCTGCACTCTCATGTTTGTTGCACCATTGTTCACAATAGCCAAGATTTGGAAGTAACCTAAGTGTCTATCTATAGATGAATGGATAAAGAAAACATGGTACATATACACAATGAAGTACTATTCAGCTGTAAAAAAGAACGAGATCCTGTCATTCGCAGCAACATGGATAGAACTGGAATGTCATTATATTAAGTGAAATAAGCCAGGCACAGAAAGACAAACATCACATGTTCTCACTTATTTGTGGGAGCTAAAAATTAAAACAATTGAGATAGAAAGTAGAAGGAAGTTTACCAGGGGCTGGGAAGGGTAGTGGGGGACTGTGGGGATGTTTAATTGGTACAAAAACTAGTTTAAAAGAATAAATAGGACCTAGTATTTGCTAGCACAACAGGGTGACTATAGCCAATAATAATTATACATTTTCAAATAACTAAAAGAGTATAATTGGATTGTTTGTAACACAAAGGATAGATGCTTGAGGTGATGGATACCCCATTTACCATGATGTGATTATTACACATTGCATGTCTGCATCAAAGTATCTCACGTACCCTATAAATATATACACGTACTATGAACCCACAAAAATTTTAAAAAGGCAGGGTGCAGTGGCTCATGCCTGTAATCCCAGCACTCTCGGAGGCCGAAGTGGGAGGATCACTGGAGGTCACATGTTCGAGACCAGCCTGACCAACATGGCAAAACCCTATCTCTACTAAAATACAACAATTAGCTGGGTGTGGTGGCATGTACCTGTAATCCCAGCTACTCGGGAGGCCTAGGCAGGAGAATCACTTGAACCTGGGAGGCAGAGGTTGCAGTGAGCTGATATCACACCATTGTACTCCAGCCTGGGTGACAGAGCAAGACTCTGTCTCAAAAAAAAAAAAAAGAAAATTAAAAAAAAAAATCCTAATGGAGGTGAGAGAGCCAGTCCTGTAGTGGTAGCTGGGAAAAGAGCAGTCCAGGCGAAAGGAATAGCTAGTAGCAAAGCCCGGAGAAAGCCCTGAGGCACCGCCTCCTGGTGAGAGGCAAAGCAGAGCTGGATGTGGGGATCCAGGAGCCTGTTATAAGTACTCTGGCTTTTACTGAATGAGCCAGGAAGTCTTTGGCGAGCTTTAATCTCTGACTTATAGAATAATATCAGTCTTTCTTGGGTTAGTTGAGCCAATGCTCTTACTTGTATTCTTTCTCCATCGCTTATAATGGAAAAAGCCCTAGTTTATTATCCTTCTGTCTTGTATTAATTTTATCTGGGATTGAGCTCTGTGGCACAGAAACATATTCTCAAATAAACTGCTATCTTTTAAATAGTAATAATACTCCCTCAAACAGTAATAGGCTAATTCCTGTTTTGGGACCAGATCAGTGGTCTTTCAAATCTAATAAGTTTGAAAAACTATGTACTCACTTCCATATTTTTAAATCGATATTGGAAACTTTTCATCACAAGTTTAAATATTTGCCAAGGTTGTAATTTCTAACATGTTATAAATAATGACTGTTAAATAATACTTTTAAATCTATTTAGTAAAAACTAAATATAGCCGTTCAAAACCACTGTCATTCATTTAAAAATACATAAACAAGTTGTTCTTTAAAAGTGGGAAATTTTTGGCTTCCTAGTACTTACCATGGTCTGTGTTCTTACGCTGACTGTATAGAAACAGGAGGCAGAGTAAACCGACCCCACATATACCTCAGCCCAGGCCCTGTGCTGCGTCTGTATTGTGAATCAGGAGACATGGAGTTCAGAAAAAAAAACTATTGGAAGTTTTTATTTTCTCATTTTTAAAATTTAGTTCTCAGTCTTCTTTCTTCTTGAGTTCGTACTTCCATTCTACTTCTCTTAGAGAAGGTTGTCCCACTGAAAATACAGGCAGTCCTCACTTTGCACAATAATACAGGACCTTCAAAATAACTGTACAAGTTGAAAATGTATAATGTGATCTAAATAATCAATGGGAAAAATTATGATTGTCCTATGACCTTTACATTTTTTTGTCACAACATTATGAACTCTCTTACTATTCGTTAAAATGTATAGGGAAATAAAGAACATGGTAAGACTGATATTTACTTAGTATACTGCAATTTAAAACATTAGAAACATTGATAAAGTGTTATGTTTCTTTGTAAACACTTAACAATAGTAGTTCGCTTAGTTTCTTGCCTTCTTGTCATAAAACTTATGATTTGGCGTACTCATCTTTCTACGCCTTGATGGACTGTCATAGTTTTACGTTTGGATCAACTTCCAATGTGTTATCCTTTGCATTTTCGATGTGGTGAAATATCTCCAAGAGTTCCTTTAATGTGAAGTTTTTTGCCAGGATCACTTCCTTTGAGACATAAGGTGACTCACTTATGTCATGAGTTCACCTGCACTAAGTTCCCTGGCTGCATATCTGAATTCTCTCCAATGGTGGTAGTGTAAACATTCCCATGGTCAGCTATTTCCTCTATAACCTCATTGTGTTCATTTCACTTTTTTTTTGTTGATTTTTTTAGACGGAGTTTTGCTCTTGTCACCCAGGCCGAAGTGCAATGGCACAATCTTGGCTCACTGCAACCTCCGCCTCCCAGGTTCAAGTGATTCTCCTGCCTCAGTCTCTGAGTAGCTGGGATTACAGGCACCCACCACTACGCCTGGCTAGTTTTTGTATTTTTAGTAGACACAGGGTTTCACCATGTTGGCCAGGCTGGTCTCGAACTCCTGACCTCAGGTGATCCGCCTACCTTGGCCTCCCAAAGTGCTGGAATTACAGGCGTAAGCCACCATGCCCAGCCATTTCACATTTTATTTGCGGTATTGTCACTTTTTATTTCCATGCCATACTTTCATCCTTGTTGGTCAATACCCTTTCTCAATCACCCATTTTTGTAAAATGTCACATGGGTTTTTTACTAGCAGACAAGGAGACAATGCAACTGCAAGCCTTACTGTCTGTATGTGAACTGACAGATGCACAGAGATCAATCACTGACAGACTTTGAAAGAAGATACATGATTGGTCACTGATCAGGATGCGCATTTGTTAATGTAGTAATTCATGGACCTGAGGAGCTAGCAGCAAATTTGTATTTTATGCAGTTACTCAGAGTTAATTTACTTCAGTAACTGAAATTTGAAACCTTGTTCTCAGGGGACAGGTGTTATTTAACTAAACCATGGTAACTAAAATTCATACATATTGGAACCATTCAAAGAAAGCATTTTTGGCCAGGCCAAAAAAAAGAAAGACTTTTCTGTATGGTTTTATACTGAATATCTTTTATTAATCTCTTAACCTTCTCTGTGACAAAAATGTGTATAAATTACAATTTGTATGTCCTTGATGGTTTTATATCTTTGGTTATTTTACAAATCCTGGTCTAATTAATATTATAATTATTATTATAATTAATTAAACATAAATATGTTTAAATCAAAAGTAAAAAATTATTAAAAATTATTTCAATCTGATGAATAGGGCTACTTTCATTTAGAGTATGAAGTCAAGTAGTGCTTACTGCTGGAATGAGACAGTATTTAGGTTCAATAATGTTCCTGCTTAACATTTCTATAGACATAATCGCTGAGAAAACATGTTCACAGAGACAAATAGGTAAGAATGAGATAAATTTTATCATAGTGGCCGGGCGCGATGGCTCATGCCTGTAATCCCAGCACTTCGGGAGGCTGAGACAGGTGGATCACCTGAGGTCAGGAGTTCAAGACCAGCCTAGCCAACATGGCAAAACCCCATCTCTACTAAAAATACAAAAATGAACTGGGCGTGGTAGCATGCACCTATAGTCCAGCTAATCAGGAGGCTGAGGGAGGAGAATCTCTTGAACCTGGGAGGCAGCAGTTGCAGTGAGCCAAGATTACACCATTGCACTCCAGCCTGGGTGACAGAGTAAGACTCCGTCTCAAAAAAAAAAAAACAAACAAAAAACCTTTTTTATAGTAATGCCATTCATTTTGTCATTCCCTCCAAATTATTTGCCAAAAATCCTCTTTCACTTTTGCTGGAAACCAGGAATTGGAAACCTGTGACTTGCAAAAGCATTTTTACCTAGTTATTAGAATGTTCACTTTCTTATTTTACAGGAAACATACCAAAAAAGGTTTTACCAAGACACATCGGCTGCAGGGCAGCCACAGATACCTGCGTTGGTTGTGTACTATACAACTCCTGAGAGCAGTGTTTACACTGTACTCTACTTAAGTTGCATGAGCTGGAATTGTGCAGTGCACAATTTGCAAAGCTGTATGTGGTAGCCTTATACATTTTACCTACTATTGTTTTTTATTTTGAGACGGAGTCTCACTCTGTCGCCCAGGCTGGAGTGCTATGGCGCAATCTTGGCTCACTGTAACCTCCGCCTCCCAGGTTCAAGAGATTCTCCTGCCTCAGCCTCCTGAGTGGCTGGGATTATAGGCGTATACCACCACACCTGGCTAATTTTTGTATTTTTAGTAGAGATGGGGTTTCACCATGTTGGTCAGGATGGTCTTAAACTCCTGACCTCATGATCTGCCTGCCTCGGTCTCCCAAAGTGCTGGGATTACAGGCGTGAGCCAATGGGCCTGGCCTTTTTTTTTTTTTTTTAACTTGGCAGCAACTTGTTTAATCCAGTATGTAAATGAAGTATACAAAATGTTCTATCTATGCCCATCATCTACACACATTGTTAATGATATCACAGCATATCAAACATTTAATGGCATGGCTGTACTTAGTGGAAAGATGTACTAATAAGGTAAAAATTATAAATAAAATCATTATTTTTAGAACTCGGAGTCCTTTGAAAGCTGAAGTGTGATGTCAATAAGTCATCTAACTCCATGCCAAGCTTAGTATCTGCCAAATCATTTATGTCTCATTTCCATGGCAGCACTTTATTTCTTTAAGACTTGGAACCACAGATGGCACATCTGTTTTCTTGAACGGTATCATTAATTTATTTGATTTATGAATGCTAATTATATGTTTCTGAATGCATCAAATCTATCAGCATTTGCAATGGTCTCTTTGATAAGCACATGGTAAAGAGGAACTATGCCAGGCAATACCCTTCAGGACCTGCTCTTCTCTTAGCAAAGTGAAGCAGTATAATAGTCTAATATGTAATATACACTGATATACACTTTTAAGTAGTAATTCACAACCAGGGAACATCACGAAATGAAAGCAAGAGTTTTAGTTGGTTCATGCAGCCATCTGAAATAACTGCATAAATGAGAATATAGTGAATTCTATTATTCATGAATCATTTATTATTACATGTAGTTATGATTCCAGAAGCCCTTACTCCAAGTTAGATGGAGCCTATATTTTTTTATACATCAAACTTGGCAAACAGTAATTATAGCTGCAAAAACAGCCATCTCTACACTTCAGTGACAAAAATGGAGAGAAGTCTCCTTCAATCAGTCACAATTGTGTCCTTGAATGGCAACAGTGACAACAGCATCACTATCAGTTATGAAGGGCAAGCTATAATTACTATTAACTATGAAGTTCATAATTTCTGAAGAAATGTTAAGAAGATGCTAATTTCCAAATTAAGGTTGTGATGCAGAATTAAGTGTAAATATTCTTTCATTATAGTAGCTAACATTTATATATCAAGTCCTAAGTGCTTCATTATTAATTTGTCTTTCCAATAACCTTAGGTTAGGTTGAGAAAGTATCCATGTTGTCTGTGTTTTACAGATCTGAAGACGAAGGATCAGAGAAGTTTAGTAATTTGTGAGAGGCTATATGTTGGATAAGTGGCAGAGATGAGCCTTAAGCCCGAAACTAAATCTCATATGCTTTCCTTTTCTAACTATACTGTTTACCAGATGTTGGGATGTTAAACTTTCATCCTTCTTCCTTTTGGGTCCAACACATTCTCTTATTTGTCCATAAGAATCACCTGCTGCCCTTGATTAGAATGCAGATCCCTAGGTCTCCACCCCGCAGACGTCTGTGCGTGGGGTGTGGTAGTTGTGGGGGCTGCATAACCAGCATCTTACATAATTCAATTAAGATGATCTGACTTGTGGAATTAAACTAAAACCCACCCACAGGAGAACCAACAGATGCTATTTATTCAGAGTTTGCTGTAGAAGGGAGTCCCACTCACCATCACTTTGTCAGAGGCTCAAAGGTGGGGCAGACGAGTGGGAAAGCTTTATAGAAGTGAAGAAAAGCCCCCGGTATGCTCTGATTGGAAGTTGTTGGCATGGGAAAGCTGCAGGTGGGCTACTAGAAGCGGGGGTATTTTATGTGATGGGTTTGCGGAACATATTTGGCTTTCTCTGGTTGGTGCAGAGGTGGAACTAGGGGTAAAAATAGGGAAGTTGCACTTTGGAAGTCCCAGGCAGGAAGATCGCTTGAGTCCAGGAGTTTGAGACCAGCCTGGGCAACATAGTGAGACCCTGTCATGAAAAAATATTTAAAATTTTTCAAAAATTGCACATCTGTAGTCGTAGGTACTTGGGAGGTTGAGGCAGAGGATCTCTTGAGACCAGGAGATCGAGGCTGCAGTGAGCTAAGATCGTGCGACTACATTCCAGGCTGGGCAACATAGCAAGACCCTGTCTCAAAAAAGAAAAAAAATAGGGAAATTGCCAGTCGTTGACTACTTCCTGACTGTTCTGGTTCAGCTGCTACCAAGGTTGTGGTCTGGCTTCCTGGGCTTCTTATGTGGTTCAGAGTTCTGTTGTCACATACTATCTGGCCATTCATGTATATTGCGTTTCTGAGACCATACTCTGGGAAACACATGGTCCTCTGGTGGTGGTGAAGGTCCCTGTGAGCTAGGGACCATCTGTCAACACTCTTATCACTACTAGTGTCTATCCCTATCAGGCACTAGAAGCACTTAATAAAATCTTGCGAATGAATGAATGAATGATATACAAAAATATTTGATACTGGCTTTAGTTGGAACAAGAAAATGAACTTTGTGTACCACATAGACATCTGTGACTAGAGTGGCCGTCACCAGAAAGGCTGCTCCTTCCAGCTGCTATGCTCTAAATACAATAACCTGAATCTTAGCACGACTGGACTTCGCCTGGACTTCGCCTTGGCCCCGGCTGCCCAAAGTTTCTCTCAAAGCTTCAGCTTAACCCCTGATGTGCTCACCAGCACCAAGGCGCCCTCCTGAGTGCTTTGCTGGGGGTGGGATGGCGTTTGTGGGAAAGGCCGGCTACTTCTGGCATTTCAACGGCGCCTCCAATCCCTGACCTTTAGTTGTGCCCCATTCTCTCCACTCTTTCCCCCTTCTCTGTCCTCACGATTGAGTCTGGGCTGGCGAAGCCTACTGAGGGAGGGGAGTGTACACACATGCACACGCGCGCGCGCGCACACACACACACACACACACACACTCATATATGGTGTTATTAATAATTCAGGACTCAGAGTTTATCTAAGAGAAGACGCTCGACCGGGTGTGAGAGAGCGCGCGGGACAGAGAGCGAGCCAAGGAAGGGGAAGGCGGCGGCGCGCGCTGTCTCCTGGGGAAGCAGTCCCACCTGCTGTGGGGGGCGCCGCTGGGGAGGGGCCGAGCCGTGCTCACGCCTGCACGCCCCGCCCCGCTCGCCGCACGGCCCGGCGACGGGGGAGTTCCCGCGAGTGGCCTCGCGCCCAGACCGTGCGGGGGGCTGTTCGGGTGGAGGCGGGGGAGCCGCCGGGACACCAAAATAGGAGCTGCTTGTGGGGTGGAGCGGCACTAGCTGGCGGCTTCCGAGCGCCTCTTCCAAAGATGGTCAGAGGGGCCGGAGGCGTCCCCGCTCCCGCTCGCTACTAGCCCGCGGGCCAGCGCCGCGTCCCGAGCCCCGGCGGGAGGTAGGTGCGGTGTGGACCCGCAGCCCGAGGCCGGCCTGCTGGGAGCGAGCGGGGCCGGGCGCGGGGAGCGGGGCCGGGCGCGGGCAGCGGGGCCGGGCGCGGGCAGCGAGGCCGCGCGGGAGAGGAGCGCAGACAATGGCCGCGCGGGCGCCGGGCCGGGCCGAACGCGTTGCGCTGGGGCTGCCTGCGGCGTCCTTCCCACACCTGCGCGGAGCGCCGGGCAGAGGGACGCGGGCACCGGGCCCGCGGGCGGCACGCGGCGCCCTCGAGTCCAGCCCCGCTCCTGGCCCCGGGGCGGGGCGGTCTCCGGGCGGGAACGTGGGCCGGGGCCCAGGCGCGGGGCGCGCGGAAACCCCTGCGGCGGGCGCGGGGGAGGGGGCGAGGGCTGCAAGGGCTGCGCCGAGCTGCCTTCCTTTCTCTCCTTCCTTAAGCGAAAGGGCTCGGGATTTCCCTTTTCCGAGACCTCTTCTTGTCCATTTATATTTCCATCATCCCTTTCTTGGCATTTCGATGTGATTTGAAAGGGAGACGAGCTTGGGGAAAAGGTTGAATTGGGGCCGAGCCGAGACAGCTGAGGTCCGGCCTCGAGTGGGGTGACCCTCGGACACTTGCCTTGCCTAGTGTGGGATCTCATCTCCGAACGCCAGGCCAGGGTAGATTGCGGTGAATGGAATAGCAAATCAGTACTCTCAAAAGGACTACTGAAAAATCCAGGAGCCTCATTTCAAGCTCCGAGCTACCCTGAATTTAAATTGACCACCATATAAATGATCAAACAGTCCATCCACATTTTGCATTTATTATTTAGATGCTGAACTTAGTCCAGTTTTGGAGTATATCCGATGATAGTCAAGTTATTTAGCGTTGATTATTTGAGAGAATGTGCAACATTGAAAACACATTTGTTATTTCATATTTATTGCAGCCATGGCTCTAAAAGGACAAGAAGATTATATTTATCTTTTCAAGGATTCAACACATCCAGTGGATTTTCTGGATGCATTCAGAACATTTTACTTGGATGGATTATTTACTGATATTACTCTTCAGTGTCCTTCAGGCATAATTTTCCATTGTCACCGAGCCGTTTTAGCTGCTTGCAGCAATTATTTTAAGGCAATGTTCACAGCTGACATGAAAGAAAAATTTAAAAATAAAATAAAACTCTCTGGCATCCACCATGATATTCTGGAAGGCCTTGTAAATTATGCATACACTTCCCAAATTGAAATAACTAAAAGAAATGTTCAAAGCCTGCTTGAGGCAGCGGATCTGCTACAGTTCCTTTCAGTAAAGAAGGCTTGTGAGCGGTTTTTGGTAAGGCACTTGGATATTGATAATTGTATTGGAATGCACTCCTTTGCAGAATTTCATGTGTGTCCAGAACTAGAGAAGGAATCTCGAAGAATTCTATGTTCAAAGTTTAAGGAAGTGTGGCAACAAGAAGAATTTCTGGAAATCAGCCTTGAAAAGTTTCTCTTTATCTTGTCCAGAAAGAATCTCAGTGTTTGGAAAGAAGAAGCTATCATAGAGCCAGTTATTAAGTGGACTGCTCATGATGTAGAAAATCGAATTGAATGCCTCTATAATCTACTGAGCTATATCAACATTGATATAGATCCAGTGTACTTAAAAACAGCCTTAGGCCTTCAAAGAAGCTGCCTGCTCACCGAAAATAAGATCCGCTCCCTAATATACAATGCCTTGAATCCCATGCATAAAGAGATTTCCCAGAGGTCCACAGCCACAATGTATATAATTGGAGGCTATTACTGGCATCCTTTATCAGAGGTTCACATATGGGATCCTTTGACAAATGTTTGGATTCAGGGAGCAGAAATACCAGATTATACCAGGGAGAGCTATGGTGTTACATGTTTAGGACCCAACATTTATGTAACTGGGGGCTACAGGACGGATAACATAGAAGCTCTTGACACAGTGTGGATCTATAACAGTGAAAGTGATGAATGGACAGAAGGTTTGCCAATGCTCAATGCCAGGTATTACCACTGTGCAGTCACCTTGGGTGGCTGTGTCTATGCTTTAGGTGGTTACAGAAAAGGGGCTCCAGCAGAAGAGGCTGAGTTCTATGATCCTTTAAAAGAGAAATGGATTCCTATTGCAAACATGATTAAAGGTAAGTGGAGATTATGTTTATTTTGTATTTTTTAGATGTCTGGAGCTAGGCCAGCAGTCTCACTTCTCTTGAATTTATCACTTTGGGATGCTATCTAGGAACTATAGTTAATTATACAAATAATGCTACACAGAATGTTCCAGATAAAAACAGTATAGCATAGTTCCCAACTTGTCTGAGAGTTATGAGAATTTATATTCAAGTCAAGGGCTAGATGAAGAGACAAATCTGGACAGTTTTTCATTTTTTCATGTTCTTAAAATTGAACCCTTTAAAATTCTGCTATTCAACTTTTTCCTCTCAAAATACGCTGATCAGCTCTCAAGAGGTCCTTCATTAAAACCTTGGAAGGTTTGGTCCCTACAGGATGTAACAAAGTACATTCTTCCAGGAACTAGAGACAACGTCTGCTTTTGCAATTCAGTCCTCTCTGAGAGGGGCAGACACCATACTCTCCCTCATGTGGCCCACAGAACCCGGCACACCCCTGGGTCTCGGTATCTGTCTGATAAACACTATTTTCTGCTGTGTTTGGCGATTTGTTTGCCTTGCTCTCCTTCTCTCCCACTGGAAAAAAAGTTAAACGGGAATCTTATTTCATTGTATTTATTCATTGGTGCTGAGGAGTTGTACAAAAACAACTGGTAGGTCGTTACCAAATTTGTATCATTTTGTCCCAAATGTTTCTTCCCAGGCTTTTCTGTTTCTTTTTTAATGCTAGTGAGAGTGTGGGAATTTGACCTGGTCTGGAAATCTGACCTGGTATGATCCTTGGATGACAGGCAGGAAGCTGAGAGGCAGAACAGTCTTGGGATCAGGCACGCTGCCTCTGAAGCTAAACTGCCTGCATCCAGATCCCTGCTTTCCTCTTACTTGCTGATGAGCTCTGGCAAATTGTTTAATCACCCTGTGCCCCCGTTTTGTCATCTGTATAATGGGGATGACAATATTACCTAGTCTCGGATCATTGAGAGGATTAAATTAATCTATGCTTGTGAAGTGCCTAGAACAGTGTCTGACACAGAGTAAGCATGCTATAAATGTTACGCATGATTGTCCTGAATGTCGGTATTGAAGGACATGTCAGCTCTTATAGAGCAGAAATTGATTTCATGTGAAGTTGTGACCACTGTCACACCAGGGTGGGAGAAGGTAGCAGAAAGCCCGGTGCTGTTGCTCCCCTGGTTTTTGTCTTTGCCTGAGTCTCACCACTACTTGCCGATTCCAGGAGGGCTCTGAATGTCCTGACCCCTCTTCTGCAAAAGAAATAAGAAAAGTCCATATATTTAAGGAGCTATTGTAAACTAGCATACATTTCTGATTCTGTTTTTTAAGGATGATATAACAGTTTCAATGGTTTTGTGGTTCAGAGTATATTTCTTTTTCTTTTTCTTTTTTTTTTTTTGAGATGGAGTCTCACTCTGTCTCCCAGGCTGGAATGCAGTGGCGTGATCTTGGCTCACTGCAACCTCTGCCTCCCGGGTTCAAGCAGTTCTCCTGCCTCAGCCTCCTGAGTAGCTGGGATTACAGGCATGTGCCACCACACCTAGGTAATTTTTGTATTTTTAGTAGAGACGGGGTTTCACCATGTTGGCCAGGCTGGTCTTGAACTCCTGACCTCAAGTGATCCCCCCACCTTGGCCTCCCAAAGTGCTGGGATTACAAGGGTGGGTTCAGAGTATATTTCTTTGAGAATGAAAGCTTATTACTTTACTGAAATTTTAAAAATTTATATTTAGAACAGTGCTTGTTGAAAAAAGATATGCTGCGATGGTGTATCTACTGTGAAACAAAAGCCATATGCATGCTTGCGTTAACCTTGAGTGGAGTAGGAGACCCTCATACCTCAAAGTCCTCCCTCACCTGCTAACTGGGTCTGAAATTCCAGTTTTATACTTTGAACTCAAAGCTTTGATTCTTGTTTATATCTAGTCATCCCAGGGAGAGGTAACACTGCCAGTTATGTGCAGTTTTGACTACTGCTTGTTTTGGTGGGTGGACTCATACAGAACTTTTTTTAAACAATTTTTAAAATTTTATTTTTAATTTTTAAAACTAGAAATGGCGGGGGGTCTCACTATGTTGCCCAGGCTGGTCTTGAACCCCTGGCCTCAAATGATTCTCCTACCTTGGCCTCCCAAAGTGCGGGGATTATAGGTGTGAACCACCACACCCAGCCATACTGAACTTTTAGATTCCCATTTTTTGGTAGAAAGGATAACATTTTTTTCAATTCGTTTTATTTTGTAGCCTTGAAGTGAAATAGCAGCTTTCTCTGGTAATAAACTTAATTTGGGTACAGTCAAATTTAAAATTTATTACCTTTTTTTGGTCCTGGACCCAAATTAAGTTCACTAATGTACAGAGAATAAATAAATACTTGGCTGTTTAGGAACTCCTGAATCTTTATTTTTTTCCATCATAACTGCTCTACTTATAAATCCACTTTTATTTTGGAATAGAAAGGAACAAGAAGATTGAACTGTATCATGCAAAATGGTGCTAGGTAAAAGTTAGTGGAAAGACAAAACCAACGTTTTCAACTAAAATGATCCTCATCATCTTTCTTCCTTTCTTCATCTTCCCTCCAAACCTATTTCCTCCCCCTCCTCCCCCTCCCCTTCCTCACCCTCCCCTCTCTTCCCCCTTCCCCTCCCTCTCCTCCCTATCTCCCTTTCATGTTTCGCCTATCTTCCTCTTTCTTCCTCCTCCTTCCCTCTCCTCCCCCTCCTCCCTCTCCTCCCCCTTCCCCTCCCCCTCCCCCTCCTCCCCTTCCCCTCCCCCATCTCCTCTCCCTCCTTCTGCCTTCTTCTTCCTCCTCCTCCTTCCCCTCCCTCTCCTTCCCCTCCTCGACTTCCCCCACCCCTCCTTGTTTTGGCATCAGTGATTCCAGTTTTTCCAGCTCAGGACCTCAAAATCGGTTTGGTTTGCCTCTGCGTCAGTCAGTCATCAAGACCTGTGTGTTTTACCTGTCTCTTTCCTCTATGCTCTTCCCTCCATACCCAAAGCCCCTTCAAAATCAGGCCCTCGAGACCGCCCACCCTGGCCAGTAACTAGATCTTTCTGGTACCTGTTCTTCCTTTGTTAGTTGCTCTATTCCTCTGTTTAAAAACCTTTAAAATCTGGCTGAATTAAATCCAGATTCTTTGTTGGGCATCAGTAAGTATCCTTTGCTACATGGCTTCAACTTACCATGCCAGCCTTAAAGTCCCATGCAACAACCCTCAATGTGCCACCTGCCCTGGTCAAACTGGGCTACTTAACATTGTCCAGTAAGCCTTTGCACTGGCTTTTCCCTCTGTCTAGAATGGCCTCCTCTCATCTATACTTGCCAACTTCCTACCATCACCCAGGTCAAATTCCACCACCACCTGCTGTGATTTCCCTCGTCAAATGCAGTGTTTTCTTGCCCTGACCATGCCCAGCAGTTCATCTGTCCCTTTTTTCATGGTGTTTCTTCCATTTTATATCTAGTGTTCTAATTACAGCCATGTGCCACTTAACAATGGGGATATGTTCTGAGAAATGTGTGATTAGGCAATTTTGTCATGTGAACGTTATACTTAAACAACAGGCTATACCATACTAATTCTACAGCCTAATACACACCTAGGCTGTGTGGTATAGCCTGTTACTCCTAGGCTTCAGACCTGTACAGCATGTTACTATACTGAATATTCTAAGCAGTATAACACAATGGTAAGTCTTTGTGTATCTAAACATAGAAACAGTACAGTAAAAATACAGCATAAAAGATAAAAATGGTAGACCTATTTGGGGCACTTACCATGAATGGAGCTTGCAGGACTGGAAGTTGTTCTGGTTGAGTCGGTGAGTAAGTGGGGAGGGATTGTGAAGGCCTAGGACATTACTGTACACTACTGTAGACTTTTTACTTTTTTTGAGACAGGGTCTTGCTCTGACACGTACGCTGGACTGCGGTGATGTAAACATAGCTCACTGCAGCCTTGACCTCCTGAGATCAAGCAATCCTCCCACCTCAGCCTCCCGAGTAGCTGGGACTACAGGCACATGCTATCACACGTGGCTACTTTTTTATTTTTTGTAGAGATGTGGTCTCACTTTGTAGTCCAAGCTGGTCTCAAACTCCTCCTGGGCTCAAGTGATCCCCTGCCTCAGCCTCCTAAACTTCTGGAATTACAGGCATTACTGTAGACTTTATATAGCTTATAAAAATACTTTCTTTTTATCCTTATTCTATAAGCTTTTTTTTTTTTTGAGACGGAGTCTCGCTCTGTCACCCAGGCTGGAGTGCAGTGGCACTGTCTTGGCTCACTGCAAGCTCAGTCTCCTGGGTTCACGCCATTCTCCTGCCTCAGCCTCCCGAGTAGCTAGGACTACAGGCGCCCACCACCACGTCCTGCTAATTTTTTGTATTTTTAGTAGAGACGGGGTTTCACCGTGTTAGCCAGGATGGTCTCAATCTCCTGACCTCGTGATCCACCCACCTTGACCTCCCAAAGTGCTGGGATTACAGGCGTGAGCCACTGCGCCCGGCCTCTATAAGCTTTTTTATATTATATATATATATATATATATATATAACTTATTTATTGATTTTTTTACTCGTTAAACTTTTTTGTTAAAAAAGTAAGACACAGACATACACATTAGCTGAGGCCTATACAGGGTCAGGATCATCAATGTCAGAGTCATCAATATCACTGTCTTCCACCTCCACATCTTGTCCCACTTGCAGGCTTTCAAGGGCAATAACAGGCATAGAGCTATCCTCTCCTATGATAATAATGCCTTCTTCTGGAATACCTCTTGAAGGACCTGCCAGAGGCGTAGATTTATTTACAACAGCATCACCAGAAACACATGAGAATGCTTTATGCCATGTCTTTAAAACAGCTACCACAGTATCACTAGGTGATAGGACATTTTCCACTCCATTATAATTTTATGGAGATCATTGTGCGTGGTGCATGGCTGTGTTTGTGTGCACGTCTCACCCTCTCTTAAGAGCACAAAGAGCCTTCCTTTTTTATTCTTTTGTCCCTTATAGCACTTAGCACAGTACCTTGCATTTTACCATCAGTAATAACAAAAACAACAATAAATTTAGCCCAGGGTTCACTGCAAAAAAGAACAAAAGATCAATCTAAAGATGTGATTTTAATTAATACGTAGGTGTGGGAAATGCTACTGCCTGTGTCTTACATGATGTTATCTACGTCATTGGTGGCCACTGTGGCTACAGAGGAAGCTGCACCTATGACAAAGTTCAGAGCTACAATTCCGATATCAACGAATGGAGCCTCATCACCTCCAGTCCACATCCAGGTAACAAAAATACTGTCTCAAATAGTGTATGTTGTGATGTAGTTTAGTAGCATAAAGGATGGCTAAAAATGGACTGGAAATAGAAAATGCTGATTTTATTGTAGACTACACATGGGTAGAATTAAAAGTCTCAAAATATTCATATATGTCCATCTAACAATAATCACAATGAGATTCTGATTGGGTCACATCTACAAATATTTTCCCTGATGTCTTTATACAATGCACATTGTAAGTCTGTGTGGTCAAAAATATTAGCGTCTTTAAAATTTTTTTCCTTTATATGCCATCTTTCATTTATGACATTAATTATATAAAATACAATGTTCATAAGTAGTTGAAAAGCACCATTCTATCAAATAGTCAGAAAGGGTACCCAGTGATTGAAGTTCAGCTAGAAATTGTTTCCTGTTTTAGAAGCATGTTCTTTCTAGGTTTCACTTACTATTAAGCACTCACTCCTACAATGTGCAGAGCCATATGTTGGCCTTACCTTAACACTCATACAGGGAACATGCTGTCTGCCCATAAGGAATGGCCTACCTTCTTGGATGTCTTCTGTTCTTTGACTTGTGTCTTTGTGAAGAGCTCAGAGGGAAGCACAAGTTTTAGTCTGTTTCAGTTATGCCATAGGTTTAAGTTGTTTTCATTAGGAAAGATTCATATCATCGTACCACCATGTTACCTTGAATCATTTTCCATAGAGCATCAGGCTTCCATGTGGGTCAGTGGAGGGGGTAGTGGAAATTCACAAGCTGGAACCATCTGAGAGGACTAGTAATACTTACCATAGATCAGGCACTGGCTAAGCACTTCATATGTGTATTACCTCAGATTCTCACTACAAGTCTGTGAGCAGGTATTGTTTGTCACCATTTTACATATTTGGAAATGGAGGCTTAGAAACAATAAGTAACTTTTCCAAGGTCACAGTTTCACAGTTTGAAAGTGGTAGACCAGGGTTCAAAATCTGACAGTCTGATTCCATAACTTGTGCTGTAGCCACTAAACAATCTGTCTCTCCTTCAGGGAGCAGACTCTCCTGCTTTCAACCAAGGCAGCTACTTCCAGCCCATACATCATCTATCCCATATGATGGTTAATCTGAAGCACACCTAAATCTGGTGCTGCATCTCCATATGCCCAGGCTTTGCATGAGAAGGAACTTTAGCCCCAGGCTTCCCTGGCTGCAAAGACACCATGGAATGGGTAAACTTCTCCCTCCTAGTAGCCCAAATGGACCATCCCAGACTCCCCACCACTTTCTGCTGTGATCAGTGAAGTTATAATGGAAAGGAATAGTAACAACTCACAGTGAGAAATAGCTAGCATTTATTCAGTCAGTGTGTGGCAGGCACAAACTATTCCAGTAATTTTACATGTATAATCTGTTTAAACCTCAAAATAATTCCATGAGCTAGGTACTGTTTTTATCACATTTTATAGGACACTGAGGGTCAAAGAGATTATATAAATTGCCCAAGGTTAGCCAGCTAGTGCTTATTAGAACTGAGGTTCAAACCTAGACAGACTGGCTTGAACTTCACTATTATCTCACCTGAACCTCATGTTACCCTTAGAAGTTAGATGTTACTCTGCCTATTTTGTGGATAAGCTTATCTTTACAAAGAAAATCCGATACATGAAAAGTCAGAATTCACAAATTAGAGGGCAGTTATTTATATTATAAATTTAATGTATATGTCATTAAGAGTTTCCCTCAAAAATAAGTTTTCCATAACAGATTTCATATAGCTTATTAACTACATGAAAAAGAGTCTGAGAGACAGTGTCACTTTGGACTTAATCCAAAGTATTAATAAGTCATGGCAAATTGAAAATCCAAAATAAATGTTAAATTATAATATAAATCAATGGTAACATAATATGCATCCACATGTAGTTTTGATTTACATTGAACTTTTTCCTGATGAAACATAAAAAACAGATTTTAAATCAGTACCTTGCATGATGTGTTCTGTTTAGCTTTCACAGTCCTTAAAATATTTTTGAACTGGCTTGTTACCAATATTTAAAATTTAAGAGAATTTCAAGTAAAAATCATTATTTCTGTCCTTTAAAAGAAAAGGGAAGACCTAGCAGCCTTGGATGTATTCCTTCTAGGCAGCAGTCACGGGAGCCAGGGGGTAGCTGTTCCCCTAAATGAGGCTTGTGTGCTCCGTTTCACCACAGTCCTTCCAATTCTCCTCACGTCACTGACCTAGGGGGCCTGTGCCGTTGTTTTTCTTGCTCCCAGCTGGCTTTGCTCAGCTAGTCTGTTAAATCCTTAAGCTCTTGAAGGCTGTGCATCTGCATCCACTGAATTATAGCAAGGTTTGTTTCTTAAGGATTTTAGCAGTACCTCCTGAGGAATTAAAATGTCATCCTTGAGTTGACTTCATAGAGATACATTGCTTACACTGAGAAGAAATGACTACTATTATTTTTTAAAGATAATATAAGTATTATATTTTATCTTAACCCCTTTAATGGGGTAGTTTGTGTAATTGGAAAACATGGGACTATAGTTGCATTGAATTCAAGGTGACATTTATTGAGACCCTACATTGGAAAAGGTAGGATTCTGATAATTATGTAAGATGATTAAGTGTTAGTCTTTACTGCCGTAGGAGCTCAGAATCCAGGAGCAAATATACATACATAATGGAAATACAGGACAGTCTCTGCTAAGTTCTGTAAAAACAAGTGCTATTGAAATTGAGAATAAAAAGAGTGTAAGTCTAATTAAGGGAAATCTGACTATCTTAGAATGCTTCCAACGGTAGGTGGTTATGAGCTGGGCCTTAAAGAATGGCCCCAAATAAGGAAGGTAGTTTTTGAGGAAGGGTTTTTCTGGCAAGAAGTCAGCCCAGTGGAGGAAGGTGGAAAGGAAAGTTTCAGGTGTATTCCATTACCTGGGAGCAGACATGAATGAATGGAATGTAAGAGGGTAGAATGGGAGATCGGATGGGAGAGTTCAGTTGGAGAGCATGTCATGGAGAGCTTTGAATGGCAGTCTGGGTAATTTTTTTTTTTTTTGAGATGGAGTCTTGCTGTGTTGCCCAGGCTGGAGTGCAGTGGTGTGATCTCGGCTAACCGCAACATCCGCATCCCAGGTTCAAGGTATTCTCCTGCCTCAACGTCCCAAGTAGCTGAGATTACAGGCGCTGCTACTTTGCCCGGCTAATTTTTCATATTTTTAGTAGAGATGGGGTTTCACCGTGTTAGCCAGGCTGGTCTCAAACTCCTGACCTTGTGATTCACCTTCCTCAGCCTCCCAAAGTGCTGGGATTACAGGCTTGAGCCACCACAACCAGCTCAGTCTGGGTAATTTTTAAAATGCAGAATCATAAAGGTTTTCGAGCAAGAGAATGATGTGTGATCAGCTCTAGGTTTTTGTTTTTTGTTTTTTTTTTTTTAAAGACAGTCTCGCTCTGTTGCTTAGGCTGGAGTGCAGTGGCACAATCTTGGGTTCAGCGATTCTTGTGTCTCAGCCTCCCAGGTAGCTGGGATTACAGGCATGCACCACCACGCCTGGCTAATTTTTGTATTTTTTTTTAGTAGAGACGGGGTTTCACTATGTTGGCCAGGCTGGTCTTGAACTCCTGGCCTAAAGTCATCCACCCGCCTCAGCCTCCCAAAGCACTGGGCCACTGCACCTGGCCCAGCTCTGGTTTTAAGAAGAGAACTCTTGGCTGGGCGCGGTGGCTCACGCCTGTAATCCCTGCACTTTGGGAGGCCAAGGTGGGCGGATCATGAGGTCAGGAGATCGAGACCATCCTGGCTAACATGGTGAAACCCCATCTCTACTAAAAATACAAAAAAATTAGCTGGGCATGGTGGCGGGCACCTGTAGTCCTAGCTACTCGGGAGGCTGAGCCAGGAGAATGGTGTGAACCCGGGAGGCAGAGCTTGCAGTGAGCTGAAGATCGTGCCCCTGCACTCCAGCCTGGGTGACAGAGTGAGACTCCGTCTCAAAAAAAAAAAAAAAAAAAAAAAAAAGGAAGAGAACTCCTTTTAGGTAGATTGGGAGAAAGACAGCAAGGGGATCTACTAACACTATTGTGTTTAACCAAGGGAGAAATGCTGAAAGCCTGAAGAAGTGGTAGGAGTAGAAAAGAGGGGCCGATGTGAGGAATGTCATAGATTCAACAGCTGATTGCTTCCTTGGCTGACAGCATACAGGAGATGAAGGAGAGAAAGGAGTTGACAGTCGTCTCAGGGTCTCTGGCCGGTTGTCTGAGAGAATGAGGTATACTGAAGGAGAAGCTGACAGGAAGGGAGAAGAGGGGAGATGATGAGCTCGATTTTATAGTTTAGAGCAAAGGAATCATTGGATAACCCAAAAGAGCTGTCCAGCAGGCAAAGGGAAATGTGGGTTTGCAGCTGAGAAGGAGGGAGGTAGCTGAATGTAGAGATCTGGGGATTGTTTGCTTGGATGGTGGCTCTGGGTATGGGGATGAATAAGATGCCTTGGTAGGGTGGGACCAGCAATACAGCTATGGGCAGAATCCTAGGAAACGGGCAGAGTTGAGGGATAAGCTGAGGAACAAGAGGGTGTGAAGAGCCGAGAGGAAGCAGTATGTGATAAAGGAGGACCTGTGGAGAGTTGTGTGAAGTGGGGAGAGAACTTTCCTGGCCCTGCCATTTATTTACCTGCCTTGCCATCGGCAAGTAGACTAAGCTCTTGGGCCTTACCTTCCAGTGAAATCAGAAAGTTAGACTACATAAACTTTACAGGCTCTTCAATGAGAAAAGATCTTAGGAAAAAAAATTGAAATCAATTCAAATGGATATTGTGGTTTTCTCTGAATCCCTCTAGCTGTTTGTTCATATCACTCATCTAACACTGAATACAGACTGCTGTGTGTTGATGTTTTATACTTCTGTGTAAACTTTTGAGCCGTGACAGATGGTGTCACTCCCATTCTTGATTATTCATTTGTTCACTCATTCATGTCTAACATATCTGCTGTGTGCATCCTACATGCTGCTATATACTCAGTGCTAGGAGCACAGTGAGCAAGGCACAGTCCCAGAGCCTCAGTGGCTTAGAGGGGTTAACTAACAAGAAAAAACGCAATTACAGCTCAGGAAGAAAAAGTTCCTATCCACAACAATAGAACATGTGTTGTATTTGAGTAAAAGAGAAAAAATGATTAGGAATCACTTTACTTAAATATTTTTACTGCTATAGGAAGACAGATGGCTTTCTTAACATATGAATCAAAAATTGGGGTGTTTTGATAAACTTCAAGTAATTTAAGAAAAGCCTAGTGAGTGATGTTGAATCACTTTTACCAACTGATAAAATATTTGAACTATCATTTTCACAATAACCATTAGTTGAATGATTCATATAATTGATATAAGCAGTGTTTCACAAGTACTTGAAACAAGTAAATCCTATAAAAATTCAACATATAAATAACTGGAAAGTAAAAAATGAGTTTTTAACAAGTAGGATAATTATTTTCTTGGATGTCAGTAACGAGAAAAATATGTGGAAATGAAGCAAAAATGCAATCTTCTAAGACTTTCCTTAGCTGTCAAAACCTAGGGAGGGCCAGGCACGGTGGCTCACGCCTGTAATCTCAGTGCATTATTTGAGTCCAGGAGTTCAAGACTAGCACCTGGGCAACATGGCAAAACCCCATCTCTATTAAAAATACAAAAATTAGCCAGGCATGGTGGTGCGCACCCGTAATCTCAGCTACAGTGCACACCTGTAATCTTGGCTACTTGGGTGGCTGAAGCATAAGAATCACTTGAACCCGGGAAGCAGAGGTTGCAGTGAGCCGAGATTGCGCCACTGCACTCCAGCCTGGGAGACAGAGCGAGACTCTGTCTCTAAAAAAAAAAAAAAAAAAACTGAGGGAGAACTTTACTGGTAAGAAGTTGTCTTCCACTCCTAAAGAGGAAATCACTTTTTTTTTTTTTTTTTTTAAGAGACAGGGTCTCACCGTGTTGCCCAGACTAGCCTTGAAGTCCTGGGCTCAAGCAATCCTCCAGCCTCAGCCTCCCCAGTAGCTAGGATTACAGGTGTGCACCACCACATTCATCTGGAAATCGCATTTCTGATTGTATTATTCTTTCTAAAGAGGGGCTTGCTTATAAGCTTTCCTTCTACGTTATAATGTGAGGACACATTGGGACACAAGCGTACAAAGTACAATTCATTCATTATTCAACACATATTTATCGAATTCTCACAAGGTGCCAGACAGTTGCCATTCTCCAATTAGGAATAGGTTAGTGAGCAGGACACAGTTCCTGTGCTGCCAGGAGGGAGAGAGAGACGATAAGAAACACACCTGGCTCACACCTGTAAGCCCTGCACTTTGAGAGGCTGAGGCAGAGGAGGATCTCTTGAGGCCAGGAGTTGTAGACCAGCCTGGGCAACAAAGGGAGACCCCATCTCTACAAAAATACAAAAATTAGCCAGTTGTGATGATGTGTACCTATAGTCCCAGCTTCTTGAGAGGCTGAGATGGGAGGATTACTTGAGCCCAGGAATTTGAGGCTATATTGAGCTATGATTGTGCCATTGCACTCCAACCTGGGTGACAGAGCAAGACCCTGTCTCTAGGAAAGAAAAGAAAAGAAACATTCCAGATAATGAGAAGTGCTATGGAGAGAATTAAAATAGGATGATGTGGTAGAGACGCCTGCCTGGCCACTTCAGGCTGGGTGGTCAGGGAATGCCCTTTGAAGAGGTGAGAGTAAGACAAGACCGGAATGACAGGAAGGACGCAGCTGTGCAGAGACCTGGGGAGAGGAGAGACTTCAAGGCAGAAGGAACAGCTCAGCGATAGTGCGCTAAATCTTTCCTTGCTTTAATTTGAATGCACTGACAAATCCTCCTCTTCCTTTGGGGCTCCAGCGAAAGGTTTTTAAGTGTAATTTTATGACTGATATTCCCAGAGAGTGAACTGACAGGCTAGGAGTGACGATAAAAGCGGGTGTGTGGAAGAAAACAGGGCAGAGACCAGGATGAGGCAAATGAGATGCTTCAGGCACAAAATGTAAGGCCATGCAGTGCAAATGACTCACAGAGTTCTGCCTCCCTGCATTTTGCACCCTAAGCACTTCGCTAGCCTCACTCTTGTCACAGCCCTGGGAAGAAGGGAGAAGTAGAGTTGTGAGATATGCTGGTGCTTTGAAGATCCAGCAGGTTTGGGTGTAGAGGGGGAGATAAAATGGAAAACATTAAAACAGCCTAGGAGGAGGACCGCCCCCCCCCCCCCCCATATACATACTTCCAGCCCCAGGACCCGGATCCCACACAGCAGCCCTCCGCCTGGGGGCACCCTTCACAGCTTCTCAGGATGATAGACTGTCATGCCCCACGAGTCTGGGTACGTTTCTTTAGCTTCTTGAGTTCATAACTGGACTGGCAGTGTGAGAAGCACACAAGGCCACCCTGTGTGGCACCTGTGACAGCAGGCATGCCAGATTGCCTGCCATTGGTTAAGGAGACAGCTGCCAAGACCTGAAGGGACACCACTGCTTATCGAGGGTATCTTTCTATAAGGATTCTACTGCTACCATCTTTTACAGATAGGTGTCAAGTAAAAGTTGTCTGTGTTGGGAAATTCCCAGAAAGGTGATCTGTTGGGTGAGTTCCTCCCTGGCCTCCTACAGAGCCAGCTAAGGACAAGCTGAAGGATAATGGCAGCATGGCAGGAACAGGCGATCTGAATTAGGTGACAGGGAATGATTTTCAGCCTCAGCGTTGCAGTATTGTGTGCCTGAATCAAAATACCACCACTCCCTATTTTTTGTGTGCTAAATTTTAAAGGATTATTACATTACCACACTGTGGAATCTCTTTTGTTTGTTATCCTTTAAAAAAATGCTGTTTTCTTTTTTTCTTTTTAAAAGAATATGGATTGTGCTCAGTTCCGTTTGAAAATAAGCTCTATCTAGTCGGCGGACAAACTACAATCACAGAATGCTATGACCCTGAACAAAATGAATGGAGAGAGATAGCTCCCATGATGGAAAGGAGGATGGAGTGCGGTGCCGTCATCATGAATGGATGTATTTATGTCACTGGAGGATACTCCTACTCAAAGGGAACGTATCTTCAGAGCATTGAGAAATATGATCCAGATCTTAATAAGTGGGAAATAGTGGGTAATCTTCCCAGTGCCATGCGGTCTCATGGGTGTGTTTGTGTGTATAATGTCTAATTGAATCTGCAGAAATGACCAAGCAATCACTTTTTTGGAGTATAGTTTTATAAAAAAAGAATGCAGGGTTTGAAGTTCCTTACCTGATAATTGTGTCTGGCACATGATAGGGGATCAGTAAATTGTAATTCCTAACCCTACTGTACTCCCAAACATGGTGATTCATGGTCAAGAAAAATCTTATATATATATATATATACACACACACATATATGTGTTCATATATATGTATACATATATATGTGTATATATACGTATGTATACATATATGTGTATATATACGTATGTATGTATACATATGTGTATATATAGTATGTATGTATACATGTATGTGTATATATACGTATGTATGTATACATATATGTGTATACATATATATGTGTGTATATATATACACATATATACGTATATATGTGTATATATATACACAGTTGAATCAGTGGGATTAATACCTATAATCTCTGGTTTTCAAAGGTAATATAGAATATTTGACACTTGGTAAAAGGTGAACTACCTTTGTAGTGAATCTTTTCCTCTTGGTAGCATCAACACTGGGGATAAATCAGAACCATTCTGTGGAATGAAATGTTTCTCAAGAGCCTATAATATAGTAGATAGTGCATATTAAGATGTCTGGCTGGGCATGGTGGCTCATGCCTGTAATCCCAGCACTTTGGGAGGCTGAGGCGGGAGGATCACTTGAGCCTAGAAGTTGGAGACTAACCTGGCGAGACCCTGTCTCAAAAAAAAAAAAAAATCAATTTAGCTAGCAGGAATTTGACATTTAAAGAGGGAATCTTCTCTACCTCTACAAAATCAACCCTTAACACTTTTTTCACCTTCAGAATTATTTAGAATGTGGATTTACTTTGTCTAGTTTTTTCCTTTATAGTGTAATTTATTGTTACTCTCTATTTACTGACTACCAGAGATATACAAAATACTGTGCAAAAGATTGTTACTGTTCAAAGAGCTTACAAACTAAATTTAAAAGAATAGCAAGTCTGAAAAATAGAAGATAGTCAAATATTTGTTTATGCTAAGAACTGTTTTTAATTTTCAGCTTTGATGTAAATTGCTAGCTTAGTTGTCTTTAGTTCAAGCATGTTAGGAAATCCTCTTTATTCTTAAATATAGATACATGTCTGCATATATGATTGAATTTTAGAGCCAGAAAGCATGTAGAGCAGTTGTGATTAGTAGAAAATACACTGACAAGAAGATATTTGCATTTATTTCCCAAAGCTGCCAGTAACTAGATTTTGTGACTTAAGTCATTTAACCTCTCCTTGATTAGAGCTTCCTGAGCCATGCACACTGGCACTGCAAATCACAGACAGGCCTAGATACAGATCCCCTCACCCCTTGCTACATCCAAAGGTGGCCTGGGTGGCTGGAGCCTCTGGGCCAGAACCACCTTTGTCCATTTTCCTCAGTGTGCCTACAGCATCGCTTTCCATGTGTGCCATAACTTGGGAATAGTTGGGATGTGTTGCTTAACTCCTTTACACCATTAGTTATCTGTGAGACCATCTATTCCACACTCTTCATTTTTTAAAAAGAGACAATAATTATTTTTAACTCACTGAAGTTTAAAACTACCTAGCATTTCTGATTAAAAAAAATTTAGAAGGAAAATTTTAATGCATTTATTTCAGATGGCGTTTTAAATAGATACAACCCTTTGGAAACACAATATGGTACTACATAGCAAGGGCTGTAAAAATGACCATATCCTTTGCCCCATAAATTCTACTTCTATACTTTTAACCTTAAAAATAATTCAGAAAAAAGATAAATGCATGAAGACATTTATGTCTGCATTCTTTATAATAACAAAAATTGGGGAAAAAAACTCCATGTCAAGAAAGTGGGATAAGAAAAATAGTGAAGTATTATACTGCCATTAAAATAATTATTTGGAAGACTGTAGAAACGTGGACATGTTTGATATGGTAAGTAAAATGAGCACAATACAAAATAGTATGCATACTATGATTGTGACTTTGTAAAATCTTTATGCATGTGGAAGGTAATCTGCAAAACAAATTCATTGTGTTAGTGTAGCGGGATATGGAATGACTTTATTTATTTAAATCTTTTCTTTAATATTACTTTGTATTTTCAATAAAAATAAATCACTGTACATAGTAAGACTGCTTGAATTTGGGCTGATTGGGTTGCAGGATAGTCTGAATTAATGAAAACAAGTGAGTTATACACTACTTCAATCTGTAATTGAATTGTAGACTATTTTATTGCTCTGAAGAACATTTAGCAATTAATGCTAGAACTAATATGCTGCTCAGTAGTGCTTTAGAGATCCACTTTATGGCATAGGTGAGAACAATTGCAGTCACCTTCCCCTCCTTTGCCAGTTTATGTAGGTCCTATGAACTCCTGAGTCAAGTCTGGCCTTCTCTGGAAAGTCTTTCCTGTTTCAGCCACAGTAAGACTCCCATTGTCACATTTAAGAATTGGTCATTTATATATGAATTGTGTATCTCTTGGCTAAGTTAGAGATTATGGACCGCATCTTATTATTGGCCTTCTCAAGATCTAGTATTTCATATGTACGTCCAGCATACAAGGACGATGATATGGATTATTTTTACAGAAAAGCATGCTGGAGGTGCTTGAAGGATCTTGAAAATAGTTTGTGATCTGAGGTATTTAATTTTCAGCTCCTATTTTCTGTTTGTTTTTTGAATTTTTATTTTTATTTTTATTTTTTTATTTTTAGTAGAGAGAGGGTTTCACCATGTTAGCCAGGCAGGTCTTGAACTCTTGACCTCAGGTGATCCGCCCATCTTGGCGTCCCAAAGTGCTAGGATTACAGGCATAAGCCACTGCACCTGGCCTCTTTTTGAATTTTTAAAATGCTGTACTTTGTGTCAAAAGCTCCTGTTTTCTGTTAGAAAACATTTTTGCTATGGATTTGTGCACAGCAAAAAGGATTACAAAGGTGTACAGGTTTGTCAACTTTTTCAAATTTGAAGTCACTGCGGTATGATGAAAAATATTTTACTAAGGCCAAACATTTTAGTAATCCCAGCCTGTAATCCCACGCCTGTAATCCCAGTACTTTGGGAGGCTGGGGTGGGAGAATTGCTTGAGGCCAGGAGTTCGAGACCAGTCTGGGAAACATAGGGAGACCTTATCTGTACAAAAAATAAAAAAAATTAGCCCAGCATGGTGCATGCCTGTAGTTCCAGCTACTTGGGAGACTGAGTAGGGAGGATCCCTTGAGCCCAGGAGTTTCAGGTTACAGAGAGCCATGATCACACTGTACTCCATCCTGAGCAACGGAGTGAGACCTTGTCTCTACAAAAAAAAAAATATATCTATCTATCTATCTATCTATATATATATATATATCTATATATATATATATCTATATATATATATCTATATATATATATCTATATATATATATATCTATATATATATCTATATATATATGTATGTATGTATGTATTTTTGTATTTTTGTCTTTCACTAAAATCAAATGCAAGCCATTGCTTTGGGAGGTCAAACATTATTTTACAAAATAGTGAAAATCATGGAGATTATTTTAAGCGTGGATTAATTAAGATGAGTTTATCCAAATTTTAGAAGCTGTTATTTCTCTTAGGTTTTATTTTCAGTGTTTTAGCTGGAACTGAAAGAGGATTAGCATCTAGGGTACTTGCTCAAAGGCACATTGCCCTATGTTTTCACATTTATATAAATAAATATCTGTAAGCCCCAACTCTCAATGTGACTATATTTGGAGATACAGCCTTTATGGAAGTAATTAAGGTTAAATGAGGTACTGAGGATAGGGCCCTGATTTAACATAAGTGTCATTATAAGAAAAGACATCTTGCTGTCTGAAAGCCAGAAGCAAGCCCTCACCAGAACCCAACCATATTGGCACCCTGATCTCAAACTTCCAGCCTCCAGAACTGTGAGAATAAAAATTGCTTGTTTGCCACCCATTATGGTAGCCCAAGCTGACTAATACAGACTGCAGAGGAGATCACCGTTTATATGATCAGTTTAGGTGCTGGATCAGCCAGTAGCAGACAGTCAGCCCTCCATCCTCCCTCCCTTCACGTATGCAAAGCAACAAAAAACACTTGTTTTATTAGTCTGAAAATGTCTGAAACTATAAATACGGCTTACATTTCTTAGGCCACAGCAGACACAGCTTGGGGCTTCTGTCTGCCTTAGAGCAGTTCTTCCAAAGGCTGTGACTGTGCTGATGCCCTAACTCTTTTTTTATGAGGCACTTACACTTGGACTATGCTATGGTTTGGATGTTTGACCTCTCCAAGTCTCATGTTGAAATTTGCTCCCCAGTGTTGGAGGTGAGACCTAATGAGAGGTGTTTGGGTCATGGGGGCAGATCCCTCATGGATAGATTAACCCCCTCCCTTGTGGGTGAGTTCTCTGTTCCAATGAGAGCTGGTTGTTAAAAAGAGCCTGGCACCTCCCTTCCTTTCTCTTCCTTTTCTTGCCATGTGATCTCTGCACACACAAGCTCCCCTTTGCTTTCCACCATGAGTGGAAGCAGGTGTGAGGCCCTCATCAGATGCAGATGCCCAATCTTGGACTTTGCAACCATCAGAATCTTGAGCTATATAAACCTTTTTTTCTTTCTTCTTTTTTTTTTTTTTGAGACGGAGTCTCGCTCTGTCACCAGGCTGGAGTGCAGTGGTGCAATCTCGGCTCACTGCAACCTCCGCCTCCCCGATTCAAGGGATTCTCCTGCCTCAGCCTCCAGAGTAGCTGGGACTAACAGATGTGCACCACCACGCCCAGCTAATTTTTGTATTTTTAGTAGAAACGGGGTTTCACCATGTTGGCTAGGATAGTCTCAATCTCTTTACCTCGTGATCCATCAGCCTTGGCCTCCTAACGTGCTGTCATGAGCCACCCCACCCGGCCTAAATAAACCTTTTTTTCTTAATAAATTATCAGTCTCTGGTATTCTTTTATAACAATACAAAATGGAATAAGACAGAAAATTGGTACTGAGGAGTGGGGTATAGCTTTAACAATACCTAAACATGAGAAAGCAGCTTTGGAACTGGGTAATGGGCTGAGGTTGGAAGAGTTTGGAGGGCTCAGAATGTAACCAGACTTAGGTTCAGCTGCTGCTGCTCAAACACCAGACATTAGAGGCTAGGATTGGTGGGAGGAAAAGCAGGTTTAATTGGAGAGCCAGCAAACTTGAGAACATAGTGAACAAGCATTCGAAAGTACCATCTTTATTTTTTTCTTCAACTTTTATTTTAAGTTCCCGGGTAGATGTGCGGATGTGCAGATTTGTTACACAGGTAAACGTGTGCCATGGTAGTTTGCTGCACAGATCATTCCATCGCCTAGGTATTAAGCCCAGCGCCCATTAGCTGTTCTTCCTGATGCTCTCCGTCCCCTCAACCCCCATCCCCACAGGCCCTAGTGTGTTGTCCCCCACCATGTGTCCATGTGTTCTTATCATTCAGCTCCCACTTAAATTGAGAACATGTGGTGTTTGCTTTTTTTGTTCCTGCATTAGTTTGCTGAGGATAATGGCTTCCAGGTTCATCCATGTCCCTGCAAAGGACATGATCTCATTTTTTATGGCTGCATAGTATTGCATGGCGTATATGTACCACATTTTCTGTATCCAGTCTATCACTGATGGGCATTTAGGTTGATTCCATGTCTTTGCTATTGTGAATAGTGCTGCAATGAAAGTACCATCTTACATTTTAAAATTTACCATAGGATTTTTAAAGGGAAACTTGGAGACATGTGGAGGTGCAGGGTACAGGGTCTGTGTGTCTTGTTCCAGTGGTTATCTTGGGTAATGCCTGTCCAGACGTCTGGTTGGCATTATCTTGACTTTGGCCTGATAATGGTGGACTAATTGTTGGTTACTCCCTCCAAATGGGAGAATTCCTCAATGAGGGCTCTGTCCCTGATTTGTTTCAAGGTTAGCCTCTGGGATTTCTCAAGCAAGAGCCTAATTAGATAAGCATACATTGTGCTGAAAGGGAGTGTCTAGAGAGGGAAGGAAGAAAAAGAAAGTGGGTGATTTTTAACACCGAGGCCCCTGGTTACAAGAAGACAAAAAGATGAGGAATTTAGAGATTGGAAATTCTAAGAGGTTGGAACTTCTTACAGATTGATTAATTGGTTATGACCAAAATGCTGATAGAAATGTAGACAGTATGTCAAATGGGGACTTTTAAAAAATTAAAAAAAATTAAAAAAAAATATAGACAGTAAAGGCCATCTTGACAAGGTCTCAGGTGGAAATGAGGAACTTACTGGGAACTGAAGCAGAGATCACCCATGTTACAGCACAGCAAAGAACTTGGCTGCATTGTGTCCATGCCCTAGGGCTTTGTGGAAGACCAAACGTAAGAGTAATGACCTAGTGTAATTGACAGAAGAAATTTCTAAGCAGCAAAGCAATCGAGAAGTGTATGATTACTTTTAACAGCATATGTTGAATTGCAGCAGCAAAGGAATGACTTAAAGGCAGAATTTATCATTAAAAGCAGAGTGTAAAATATTGGAAAATTCTCAGCCTGGTCATGTAATAGAGAAGGAAAGAGCATATTCAGGAGAGGAATCCAAGGGTCAAGCTGGAGCCACAGGTTGCTAAAGAGTTTAGGGTGACAAAAAGGGATCTAGGTACTAATAGTCAAGACAGTGGGGAAAAGGCCACAAAGGCATTTCACAAATCGAAATTTCCGCTGGGCAGCCACCCCTCCCATCACAGGCCTAGGGGTATTAGGAGGACAGATTGGTTTTGGGGAACAGGACCAGGGCACCACTGCTCCTCACTGCTTCAGGATGCTGTTCCCAGGCTGTAGCAGCTGTGGCTCAAATGACCCCAGGAACCCCAGATAAGATTGGTGCTGCTGCTCCAGAGGGCACGAGGTGGAAGCCTTGGTGATATCCACGTGGTATTAATTCTGCAGGCCCACAGAATGCAAGAGCTATGGAGATGTGGCTTCCACTTAGATTTCAGAGGATTTATTGGAAAGCCTGGGTGCCCAAGCAAAAGCCTGCGGCAGAGTCAGACCCTTCACAGCCAGCCTCTGCGAGAGTAATGCCTGGTGGATTTGCAGGAGGGCCACTGCCTTCCAGCCCCCAGAATGATAGAGCCACCAGCAGTGTGTACCTTCAGCCTGGAAAAGCCTCTGGCATTTGACTCCACCTTATGAGAGCAGCCACATGGGCTGCACCCAGAAAAGCCACAGGGATGGGTCTGCTCAAGGCCTCAGGACCCACCAGTGTGCCCAGGTTGTGGGACATAGAGGAGATTATTTTGGAGTTTTAAGATTTAATGCCTGCCCTGCTGGGTTTTGGACACGCATGGGGCCTATTACCCTTTTCTTTTCACTGATTTCTCCCATTTGACATGGGAATGTTTGACATGGGAATGCCTGTATAACCATTGTATCTTGGAATGAAATAACTTGTTTTTTATTTTACATGCTCATAGCTGAAAGGAACTGTTCTTGAATCTCAGATGAGATTTTGGACTTTGGACATTTGAGTTGGTACTGGAACAACTTAAGACATTTGGGACCGTTGAGATGGATGATTGTACTTTACATGTGGGAAGGACATCAGTTTTGGGGGCCAGGGGTGGAATGCTATGGTTTGGAAATTCTTCCCCTCCAAACCTCATGTTGAAATTTGATCCCCAGGATTGGAGATGGGGCCTAATGGGAGGTGTTTGAGTCATGGGGGCAGACCTAGAGCTGTGGTTGGCCAAGTTCCCTGCTGTTGGGACTAAGCTGGCGTGAATGAAGAGAACAGATACAGATGCCCAGTGACTGGGGATGGGGGATGATGTTAACGTCTGGTTCTAGGCCTTCCTGACACAGTTCCATTCCTGTCTTTTCCACAGTTGGATGGTGATGTGACCCAATAGATCCTTTTTTGTTTTGAATCAAGTTTCTATCTCTTGCAACGAAAAATATGCTAAGTCAAGGAAGGGCTTTGTCCCTTGTTAAAATGTAAATATTTTTGGAAAGTGTATTGTGTTTTCTATCACTTCTGTAAGAAATTACCACAAACTTAGTAGCTTAAAGTAATACAAATTTATTTTATAATTCTGCAGGATAGAAGCGTGGTACAGGATTCACCATATCAGTGTTAGGAGCCTTAATTCTCCTTTCCATGTAACCTGATACACAGATTCCAAAGATCAAGATGTAGACATCTTTAGGGGACCATTATTCTGCATACCACAGATAGTGATATATTGTCTTATCCTGACTTTCGCAATTCCATTTGATTTGAGAGGAGTTTCTGACAGAAAGAAAAAGAAAAAAACAAAAAACAATGATGGGTGTCAGGAACTCCTGAGGAGTGGAAGATAGAAAGTAGGTTTAGGAAAAAAAAAAAGAAGTTGGTGACAGGGTCATTGACTATTAGACCATTCTGCCAAGGGCTGGAAGCAAAATATAATGCAAGAGAAGTGACTAATTGTGTCAAAGATGTAGATTATCAAGAGCCCCAGGTCTTTTTGCATATTAGGAGGCCATGTAACTTGAATCTTAATTACCCTAAGCCAATCATGGATAGTCCATCCTCCTTGCCAGTGTTTGGTGGAGGAATGTATGTGAAGCAGTTCTAACCTCTAAGATATTAGAAGAAGGGTTCTAGGGGGGTGGTCCTCTACCAAAAAAAAAAAAAAAAAAAAAGGTTTTTGCTCCTAGGAGAGAGAAAGACTCAAGGTGATAAAGAGTTCATCTTTCTTGAGGCTAATATAAAAAGTTGTTTTCACATAATTTATTTGCCAATTATTATTTTGAGACAAAGTCTTGCCTGTTGCCCAGTCTGGAATGCAGTGGCCGGATCTCAGCTCACTGCAACCTCCGCCTTCTGGGTTCAAGTGATTCTCATTCCTCAGCCTCCCAAGTAGCTGGGATTACAGGTACCCCACCACCTCCAGCTAATTTTTGTATTTTTAGTAGAGATGGGATTTCACCATGTTGGCCAGGCTGGTCTCGAACTCCTGACCTCAAGTGATCTGTCTGCCTTGGCCTCCCAAAGTGCTGGAATTACAGGCATGAGCCACTGTGCCTAGCCCAATTATTATTAAATGTCAATCTATATAAGACAACCAAAGTATTTCATAATATCAAGTATTTCATAAGGTGTTTTAGCTATAGCAATTATTATTTAACAGCTAAGAAATAGAGCAGTGTAAGAAAATAATATTTATAAAGTTATGAAATATCAATACTGATATTAAGGCTTCATTAGGCCAGATGTGGTGATCACACCTATAATCCCAGCACTTTGGGAGGCCCAGGCTAGAGAATTACTTGAGGCCAGGAATTTAAGACCAGCCTGTGCAACTCTATCTCTACAAAAAAATCCAAAAAATTACCTGGGCGTGGTGACACATGCCTGTAGTCCTAGCTACTCAAGAGGTTGGGGTGGGAGGGTCACTTGAGCCTAGGAGTTTGGGGCTGCAGTGAGCTATGATCATGCCACCACACTCCAGCCTGGGTGACAGAGTGAGACCCTCTCTCTCAAAAAAAAAAAAAAAGAAAAAAAAAGCTTCATTAACTATCACAGTAGTAAATAACACAACTTACCAATGTTTCACATTTGAAAGACTCTATATGAAATTAATTCTATTGTCAAGAAATTAAATGAGAGGAATTCTCATTTTTATTGAAGGTAATAAATAAAGCATCACCTAACATTATATACTAGTCGTTTTTCTTATTTATTTATTTATTTTCTCTTGAGACGGAGTCTCGCTCTGTTGCCCAGGCTGGAGTGCAGTGGTGCGATCTCTACTCACTGCAAGCTCCACCTCCCGGGTTCACACCATTCTCCTGCCTCAGCCTCCTGAGTAGCTGGGACTACAGGAGCCCGCCACCACGCCCGGCTCATTTTTTGTATTTTTAGTAGAGACAGGGTTTCACCGTGTTAGCCAGGATGGCCTCGATCTCCTGACCTCGTGATCTGCCCGCCTTAGCCTCCCAAAGTGCTGGGTTTACAAGCGTGAGCCACCGTGTCTGGCCTTTTTTTTTTTTTTTTTTTTTTTCTGAGACGGGATTTTGCTCTTGTTGCCCAGACTGGAGTGCAGTGGCGCGATCTTGGCTCACTGCAACCTCTGCCTCCTGGGTTCAAGCGATTCTCCCGCCTCAGCCTCCTGAGTAGCTGGGATTACAGGCATGTGCCACCACGCCTGGCTAATTTTGTATTTTTAGTAGAGATGGGGTTTCTACATGTTGGTCAGGCTGGTCTCGAACGCCCGACCTCAGGTGATCTCCCCCGCCTTGGCCCCCCAAAGTGCTGGGAATACAGGTGTGAGCCACCACACCCGGCCAAGATATACTAGTCCTTTTACAAAAGAAGACATGTATGTGGCCAAAAAGCCTATGAAAAAAAGGTCGGTATCACTGATCATTAGAGAAATGCAAATCAAAACCACAGTGAGGTAATATCTCACACCAGTTAGAATAGCTATTACTAAAAAACGAAAAAAATAACAGATGCTGGTGAGGTTGTGGAGAAAGGAGAACATTTATACACTGTTAGTGGGAGTGTAAATTAGGTTCAGCCATTGTGGAAAGTAGTGTGGTGACTCCTCTAAGAGCTAAAAACAACTATCATTTGACCCAGCAGTCCCATTACTGGGTATACATATACCCAAAGGAATATAAATCATTTTACCATAAAGACACATGCCTGCAAATGTTCATTGCAGCACTATTCACAATAGTAAAGACATGGGATCAACCTAAATGTCTGTCAATGACGGATTGCAAAAAGAGAATGTGGTACACATACATCATGGGATACTATGCAACCTTAAAAAGGAGTGAGATCATGTCTTGTGGGAACATGGATGGAGCTGAAGGCTATTATTCTTAGCAAACTAATGCAGGAAGAGAAAACCAAATACTGCATGTTTTCACTTATAAATGGAAGCTAAATTCTGAGAATCCATGAACACAAGGGAGCAACAAACACTTTAGGGTGGAGGGTTGGAGGAGGGAGAGGAGCAGAAAAAATAACTATTGGGGCCAGGTGCAGTGGCTCACACCTGTGACCCCAGCATTTTGAGAGGCCAAGGCGGGTGGATCACTTGAGGTGAGGAGTTCAAGACCAGCCTGGCCAAAATGGCAAAACCCCGTCTCTACTAAAAGTATAAAAATTAGCCAGGCATGGGTGTGCATGCTTGTAATTCCAGCTACTCTGGAGGCTGAGACATGAGAATTGCTTAAACCCAGGAGGCAGAGGCTGCAGTGGGCTGAGATCATGCCACTGCACTCCAGCCTGTGCAACAGAGCGAGACTCTGCTTAAAACAAACAAAAAACACTGTTGGGTACTAGGCTTAATGCCTGGGTAATGAAATAATCTGTTCAACACACCCCCATGACACAAATTAACCTGTATATCAAACCTGCACATGTACCCCTGAACCTAAAATAAAGGTTGAAAAACAAAAACAATATAGTAGTCTTTAGTAAAATTGGGGTATATAAATTATAAAAATTCAAGAAAAGAAGAAGTTGTGACACAAATTTTATGGACTATATAGCAATGAACATAAAAATATGGCCAACAGAACTGTCTTCTTAAAATCCGGGGCATCGTCATACAGTCTTTAACTCTGAATTGAATTTCGATGTTATTTTGAAGTTGTGAGTCATAGACTGTTAAACTCGTACTGGGGCCCTCTGAGTTAAAAGATAATATTTTTGTGGGGGCCTCACTGGACGGGTGTTGAGCATCCTGCTCAAACCTCCAGTGAATATTGCAGATCCCAACTGGCCGCCTCCTAAGGGTGTTCTGAGCTGGTTTAGGAAGAGTCACTGCAAATTGTGCCACGTTGGATACACAAGATTGCCAACATTTCAACTTTTACCTTTGAAATTCAAAACAGACCACAAGATTGTATACCTACAAGTACCTACAGAGGTTCTCGTTGGGAAATCTGAAGTACCAGCACTGTATCCATCAGCCTTAATAGACTGTAGTTAATTATTACCCACTCCCCAACCTTTGTTCAGTGGCATTTAAAAGTCAGGCTGAGCATGTATAATCTGTGAACACTTTCAGCAGAGACTTGTGAAATACATCTTTCATTTGAAAGTTCACAGACAAACTTTTGTTTCTAGTTCTTTCCTGGACAGATAAATACATAAAAGTGGTACTTGTGGTTTCCCGAAGGTGTGTTTCTGCAGCCCTTCTCTAACCCTTTATAGCTTTTCCCTCCTCACACCTTGACCATCAAGGAAATGAGTCGTACCTTCTTCCCTGTCGAGAGAACACAGGCCCTCCTTGTGCGCGGGCAGACATTTGAGATTAGAGCTTTACTAGTTGTATGATTTTTTGAAAACTTTATTTACTGTTAAATATGATACGAATACAGAAATCCACATGAGACAAATGTACAGCTTGAGTTATTAAAGGGCAACTACCTTGCAACTGGCATCCATGTCAGGAGAGAATACCTTGCCAACTACCCCAGACACCCTCCACATGTATCTCCTAAACCCTTATCGATAACCTCTGTCTTCACTATGGGGATTATTTTCTTTCTCTTGGATATTATCCACCTGTATTATGAGCATCCTGTGGCTGCTGTAAAAAATTAAACTAGATGGCAACAGAAATGTGTTCTTTCAAAGTTCTGGAGCCCAGAGGTCTGAATTTGAGGTGCCAGCAGGGCTGCACCCCTGGGGGACCTAGGGAAGAATCCATTCTTTTCCAGCCTCCTGTGGTTGCTGGCATTCCTTGACTTGTGGCCACATCACTCCAATCTCTGCTCCCTGGTCACATTGTCTCCTCCTCTTCCATCTGTGTCAAATCTCCCTCTGCCTAACTCTTATAAGGACACTTGTTGTTGGATTTAGGGCCACCAGGATAATCTAGGATGACTTTCTTTTCTTTTCTTTTCTTTTTTGAGGTGGAGTCTCGCTCTGTTGCCAGGCTGGAGTGCAGTGGCAAGATCTCACCTCAATGCAACTTCCGCCTCCTGGGTTCAAGTGATTCTCGTGCCTCAGCCTCCAGAGTAGCTAGGATTACAGGCACGTGCCATCACACCCGGGTAATTTTTGTATTTTTTTTGTACAGATGGGGTTTCACCATGTTGGCCAGGATGGTCTCGATCTCCTGACCTCGTGATCCACCCGCCTTGGCCTCCCAAAGTGTTGGGATTACAGGCGTGAGCCACCACACCTGGCCTCTAGGATGATTTTCTTAAGATCCTTAATTACATCTACAAAGATCCTTTTTCCAATTAAGGTAACATTCATAGGTTCCAGGTAGTAGGACGTGGTCATATTTGCATTCAACTCACTACATCACCCAACTGTAAATCTCTAAACACTGTATTTAGCTTTGCTTTGTCTTTTAGCTCTCTTATTTTATAAATTCCTTGTCCATCTCTTCTTTATTTCAACTCCTGGCAGTGTATTTGTTGAAGAACCTTGATCATATATCCTACTTTTTCAATGTTGGTATTTTACTGATTCATGTTGTGTAGATTAGCACATTCCTCTGTTCTCTGTATGTCCTATATGTTGATACTTAGATCTAGAGGCCTAATCAGATTCAGGTTTGATTTTGTTTTTGTCAAGACTACTTCATAGGTGATGATGTGTTTGACAAAAGATACCTAACATTTGGGCCAGGTGTGGTGGCTCACGCCTGTAATCCCAGCACTTTGCGAGGCTGGGATCACTTGAGGTCAGGAATTCGAGACCATCCTGGCCAACATGGTGAAACCCCATCTCTACTAAAAATACAAAAAAATTAGCCAGGCATGGTGGCGGGCACCTGTAATCCCAGCTACTCAGTAGGCTGAGGCACAAGAATCGCTTGAACCTGGGAGGTAGAGGTTGCAGTGAGTCGAGATGGTGCCGCTGCACTCCAGCCTGGACAACAGAGTGATACTCTATCTCAAAAAAAAAAAAAAAAAAAACCTAACGTCTGGTTATCTGTGATGTTAGCAGCTGTAGATGCTCAATCCTAGATCCTTAATTCATTAAGGGTTGCAAAATGGTGATTTCCAATGCTATTGTCTCTTCCTTTTTTTTTTTTTTTTTGAGATAGAGTCTCGCTCCGTCGCCCAGGCTGGAGTGCAGTGGCACGATCTCAGCTCACTGCAAGCTCCACCTCCTGGGTTCACGCCATTCTCCTGCCTCAGCCTCCTGAGTAGCTGGGACTACAGGCGCTCGCCACCACGCCTGGCTAATTTTTTGTATTTTTAGTAGAGATGGGGTTTTACCGTGTTAGCCAGGATGGTCTTGATCTCCTGACCTCGTGATCTGCCCGCCTCGGCCTCCCAAAGTGCTGGGATTACAGGCATGAGCCACCGCGCCTGACCGCTGTTGTCTCTTCTTGGTCTATTTGTTTAAATACTTCTATAAAAAGAGACATTCCCTCATTTACTAGTTGTTTACTCAGAGTTACAGTTTGTGTAGGAAAGGCAGGTTAAATGCTTGATTCTTCCCTTTATTTACTAGTTTGCAAAATAGTTGTTAGCGTCCTCCAAAGATGATTTATTAGGTTTATTTATTTATTTTTTTGAGACAGGAAGTCTCGCTCTGTAGCTAGGCTGGAGTACAGTGGCATGATCTTGGCTCACTGCAACCTCCGCCTCCCGGGTTCAAACGACTCTCCTGCCTCAGCCTTCCGAGTAGCTGGGACTACAGGCGTGCACCACCACGCTCAGCTAATTTTTCTTGTATTTTTAGTAGAGGTGGGGTTTCACCATGTTGGCCAAGATGGTCTCAATCTCTAGACCTCGTGATCCGCCCGCCTTGGCCTCCCAAAGTGCTGGGATTACAGGTGTGAGCCACCGTGCCCGGCCGGTTAGGTTTTTAAAAAAATCATTATTTAATCATTTTTAAATCATTAATTTAAACATTTTTTTTCAGTCCACTGCAGTTACTCTTATTCATGCATGATTTATTCCATCTTGAGCCAGTGGAATCGTCTGCAGATTGTTTCCAACTACTTCAGTTAAAACCTTAATAGTTTTTGATAGCTTCTTTGCTATCTTGTATAACAAGATGCACCTGGCCCATTTTGTACAATTCCTGCGTCAAACCTGGAATGAACCATTTGTTTAAGCAGCACTAGTTTCTTTTAGTGAGAAATGGTATTTCTCATTAAAGACTATAGTCTGGATGCTAGGGATGCTTATTGCTACTGGATTGTTCATTGTCTCTAGGCCTAAAATTAAAGTACATAATAACACAGGTTGGGTGTGGTGGCTCATGCCTGTAATGTCAGCACTTTGAAAGGCCAAGGCAGGAGGGTTGCATGAGCTCAGGAATTTGAGACCAGCCTGGGCGATATAGCTCACTATAAATAATTCTAAAAATTAGAAAAAAAATACATAACACAAAAGCAGGAGAGGGGTATTAGAATTTAACATGTTTAAGGTTCTAGCATTGTCAGGGAAATGGTAAAAGCATTTTAACAACTATAGGTAGCCCTTTTTCCCACAGAAAGTATTCTGGTTCTCAAGGTCACCTGGGATATCACATTGTAACTCATTGCTTTATTCCACATCTCTCTCTCTCTCCCTCCCTCTCTCTCCCCCTCTCTCCCTCTCTCCCTCCCTCCTTCACACACACACACACACACACACACACACACACACACACACCATTCTTAGAATAACAATGCCAACATGCAGTTTGGGTATGAATTTTTAATAATTCCAGATTTTATTTTATTTATTTATTGAGTTAGTTAGTTTGTTTGTTTTGAGATAGTCTCTCTCTCTGTCGCCCAGGCTGGAGTGCAGTGGTATGATCTCGGCTCACTGCAACCTCCACCTCCCAGACTCAAGCAATTCTTGTGCCTCAGCTTCCCGAGTAGCTGGGATTATAGGCACACGCCACCATGCCTGGCTAATTTTTTGTAGAGACAGGGTTTCACAATGTTGACCAGGCTGCTTTTGAACTCCTGACCTCAAGCGACCCACCTGCCTTGGCCTCCCAAAGTGCTAGGATTGCAGGCGTGAACCACCATGACTGGCCGGATTTCTTAAACATTTTAGTCAGAAAGCAGATGAGAAGGTGAGGTTGAAACTGGCAAGCTGCCACCTGAAACTTGAGATTTTAGTAAGAAGGAAAGAATGGTATGGAATTCCAGCCAGAAATACTAAACATACATTAAAAGTAGGAAAGTTTAGAGCATTTTGTTCTTCATAAAATTTTTTAAAGGGTTGAATTAATATTTTATTGTCATTTATAATCAGATGGCAGTATAGTCTCCATACTTATTGTAAATAAAAAAAATTACAAGTTTTAAATAGCCAATGGCTGGTTATATTTTCAGAGAACATGATTAGATTGATTAATGGTTGCTTCAAGTTTTTTCTTATTAGCTCCAGATAATTCAACCACATTTTGTCTCTTTTTAAAAAATTGTAAGGTTGGCAGGGCATGGTGGCACATGCCTGTAATCCCGGCACTTTGGGAGGCCAAGGTGGGTGGGTCACTTGAGCTCAGAAATTCAAGACCAGCCTGGGAAATATGGCAAAACCCCATCTCTATTAAAAATACAAAAATTAGCCAGGCATGGTGGTGCACACCTGTAGTTGAAGCTACCTGGGAAGCTGAGGTGGGAGGATTGCTTAAGCCTTGGAGGCAGAGATTGTAGTGAGCCGAGATTGTGCCACTGCACTCCAGCCTGGGTGACAGAGACCCTGTGTCAAACAAAACAAAACAAAAACAAAACTGGAAGGTTAGCATGCATTTGACTTCACACTCTGAAGCAACATCCTGACAGCCATATCCATTTCAAGGAACATCATACTGGAGTACTTTTCAGAGAGGTGTCCTTCATAATTTCTGAAAGTCTTTGAAACATGATCTTTGTTAGAACTTCCTTCTGCTTTTCTCTTCCCCAATTCCTAGTATAAGGCATTTATTCTCAGAGGTTCAGCTTTTAGAAAGGCTCTTCCATGTAACATTTTTGCTTGTCAACATGTTAGGAGGTCCAATCAACACACACACACAAAAGAAAAGTATTTTCCAGTATTTTTAACACAAAGTTATTGGTTTGAAAACATGCCTATTCCCTTTTATATCTGCTTTTGAAAGAAGTTAGGAAGACAAGGTAATGGAGCCCATAACCTTTGTCTTCTTGAACAAGAAGAAACTTGTCTAAGAAAGTTTGGGGCAGGAATTGCACACAGTTAAGAAGCCCCATGAATCCAAACATTTACTCAGCCTCACTAAAATGACAGCATACAACTGGTTTATGAAATTATTAGAGCTGCTGAAGGGTTCAGAAGTGGACTCCGGGGCGGCCAGCTGGGCTCAGAGTGGAGCAGGGTCAGGATGGACGAGGACATGCTGACCACCCTGAAGACCCTCATCTTCTTGAGAGTGGGGTGGGCAAGTCCCCCCTGCTCTTGAGGTTCACAGATGATACTTTTGATCCAGAACTTGCAGCAACAATAGCATGATGTGACTGCAAATAGTATGATTAGAATGTATGCCAGGTGAAACAAAGGGATCACTGTCATAGAAGTTGCCTCAAATTGCAGTTGTCTGGAAAGCAATGTGAAGTGGACCACCTGCCAAAAAAAAAAAAATACTCAGCGAGCACCAAGCAAGTTTTGGGGGCTCCCCAAAACCAGTGAAGACTTCAACTAAAAGTAGAATGTCAAAGCACTGTAATATGATAAGAAACCAAACCCCAAAATTAAACACGAAGATCAGTGTCTGTGCTGAACAGCCCCATCTGGTGGACACAGGATTTGTGTTACCGACCTGAATGTTACCAAGAATTCACGATTCCTGGCATCCGTCGGTGTTAATTTAAAAGAGTTGGATTAAGTGACAAATACAGTAAAGCAAACCCGGCTTTGAGGCAAGGACCCCTTGAAGTAGTCATGCGGTGCTTTTGTTACGGTTCTGGGAACAAGTCTTCCTCATCCCTCCCACCTTCTCTTGGCCTCCTTGTAAACCTGAACCGCCAGGTACCTCAATTTTCTTCATGACCAGACTGTTGTTAATATTGTTAAATTGGTGGAGGAAATGGGTGAGCCACTGCTTGCTCTGCACGTTGTCCTCCGGTGCTGGGTCTTCAGGTAGTACAGCAGCTGCATGGCTTTGGCCTGCAGAAGTAACTGGCCCATTCCCAAGCTGTCCCCCAAGATGTGTCTTCCAAAGAAGCCGGTCAGGAAGACAAGATGCCCGCTGTGGTTGTAGATGGGGAAGGTGATGCTGCTCAGGTCAAGCGTTTTGTCCACCTGCCAGGCATCCAGGAGCGGGTTGGGGGGCACACAGAGCGTCTGGTGCCTCAGGGACACCTGCTGGTACTGGATGTGGCTTCCGTTTCCCCTTGGGACCTGCAGATCCTGCATCAGGCTGCCCAATTTACCAACTTCGGCAAAGGTATCTGGTTCCAGCTATAAGTCGCTGTGGGAGACCACCAAAATGGAGGCGAAATTGGCCTCGGGGCGCCTCCTGGAGAAGCGGTAGGAGTCGGTGGTGGTGAAATGGCCCCGCATGAAGCCCACTCAGCCTTGGCCGGGCTCCCCTGGGCGCACGGCTCCTCCAGACCTTCTTCGTCCTCGGGCAGGTAAAGGAAGCCGGAGCCCAGCGCGGCCGGCAGCATCATGGGCGCCAGAGGAAGATCGGGGTGCCCACCACCACCCCAGCCACTGGAAGGCGCGGGACAGCGGCCCTTTCAGGCGGTCGGCTTGGCAGTCGCGGGCAGACGGCTACGGATTCGGGGTTTCGCCCCAGCAGGGGTGCGTCCTTCCAACCCACGCCGGGGTGGCTGCGGCCCCTTATCCAGCAACGATCGCCGCTCCGAGGGCTGCCCTGACGCCCAGACCGGCCTCGATTCGGTCCTTGGTCCCACCCCGGGACCTCCACCGACCCGGACCCAGACCTCGAGCTGCGCCGTCTGGCCCCGGCCCGGCTCCGGCTTCCCCTCCGACTCTGACTGACCCCGCTCGGACTCCCGGTCCGACTCCGGGTAGTCGCCCAGTCCCTCTTCCTGGGCGCCAACTTCAGCTCCCGTTTCGCCCCAGGCTCGGGTCCGGCTGCCCCACGACCTTAGAGGAACAGAAACTCATTTCCAGGAAGCACAGGCGGGACGGCAGGTGAAAAAGCCGCTGCGGGGAGCAGATCTCCGCCCCACCCGACGGTTTCCTGGAGGCATTCTAGGGGAGTCTGAGCTCTGGCGGCGCGCCCCGACCCGGAGGCGGCGTTGGGAGCACGTGGCTGGCCCGGATGCCCAACAAATCTTAAATGTGTTTGAGGCGTGCCTGGGCTCTCAGGGGTTCAGCAAACACAAGGAACGCTTCTTCAGGGCCATCAGATGTGTGCTTATCCTACGGGACTCGCAATTTATTGGGAGAATTTGGTGTTTCTCTCATACACAAATAACATAGAAATTCCACATGTCCTGAGTGACAGATATTACCTTTCTTGGGGTTCACCCAGTAGCAGTTTCAGGTAACGCTTTTGTGAACTTGATACACTTAACTTAGTTATTATTTTTATTCTCTATCCACAAATGTAACATGTACATACATTCTCCTTGTGAAGAAGTATAGAATGAAAAGTGGGGAAAAAGATCTAAACCTCTTTATCCCATTCCTCTTAAAGGAAATGTTAAAAAGTGGGTCTACATACTTACAAGCCCTTTCTATGCAATACATGCATATCAAAGATATAGCAAATATACCTTTTTCATAAATATTGTACTATTCATGTTATGCAGATTATATTTTTCATCTACGGTGGCAGAGGATTTGAACATGTCAGTGCATATAAATTTATTTTATTTTTTAACTGCTCTATACTTTTCCAATGTGTAGATGAAACATAATTTCACCAGAATCTTATTGATGGACTCATAGATTGTTTAGTCATTTGCTTTTATAAATAGTGCTCAGTGAATGAATGTCTTTTATTTAACCTATACACAGGAACCATATCTGTGAGATAATTTTTTAGAGTGGATTCACTAGGCCAAAGGATAGTTTCCTTTTAAAGTTTTAGAGCTATTGAGAAATTAAAATCCAAAGAAGTTTTATTAATTTATACCCTCATAAGCAATATATGAATTTGCCTTAGCCTATCCCACAGTGTCAGCAAAGTGTTTGGTTTGTGCCACTGGTATCTTACTTTGGTTTAATTTTGAATGTATTGCTTAGCATCCTCATCTTTCTGAGTGAACTATCTTATCTTTTGTGTGCCTATTCCATTCAGAAGTTTTCCCTATGGATTGCTGAGATTTTCTTCTTGGTTTATAGGAACCATTTATATTTTTTAAAAATGACCACCTTTCTTGTGATCAGAGTTACAAGCTTCTCCCCATTCTGCTCACTGCCATGGCTTATTTTTATAGTTCAATTAACTAATAATTTTATGAGTTCCAAGTTTTTTGTCATAATACTTTTTTTTGTGATTATAAAAAAAGTTACTAGAAAATTTAAACCAAAGTTGTGACCAATAGAAATGATCATTACTGGCTGGGTGTGATGGCTCATGCCTGTAATCTCAGCATTTTGAGAGGCCAAGTCAGGAGGATTACTTGAGGCCAGGATTTTGACGCCAGGCTGGGCAATATAATGAGATCCCATCCTTAAAAAAAAAAAATTTAGTAGACTGGGCTCAGTGGCTCACACCTGTAATCTCAGCACTTTGGGAGACCAAGGCGGGCAGATCACCTGAGGTCAGGAGTTTGAGACCAGCCTGGCCAACAGAGGAAACCCCATCTCTACTAAAAATACAAAAATTAGCTGGGCGTGGTGGTGCATGCCTGTAATCCCAGCTACTCGGGAGGCTGAGGCAGGAGAATCGCTTGAACCCTGGAGGCGGAGGTTGCAGTGAGCTGAGATTGCACCACTGCACTCCAGCCTGGGTGACAGAGCAAGACTCCACCTCAAAAAAAAAAAAAAATTAAACATTAGCCAGGTGTGATGGTGCACACCTGTAGTCCTAGCTACTCAGGAGGCTGAGGTGGGAGGATTACGTGAGCTCAGGAGGTGTAGGCTGCAGTGAGCTATGATTGTGCCACTGCACTCCAGCGTGGGTGACAGAGCAAGACCTTCTCTCTAAAAAAAAGAAAGAAAGAAAGAAAGGAAATGAAAGAAAGCAGAAATTATCATTACTGTCTTGGCTGGATACAACTGTAGTCTTCAAGTGTATTTTGTAGCTTTCTATTCCCTATTTGAGTTTTTCATCTTGCGTAGCTGTAATATATTTAAAAGTAGTTCTAACTGGACATCTTTCCATAGTGACATCCACCTTCTGTGAAGCTCTGTGCTTTTATTCCATAAATTTTAAAGAAGTTATTGGCCATTACAATGGATGAAATGAAACTTTGAAATTTTTTTTCAATGAGGAAGCTCAAAGTTTGACAAGAAAACGACTGCAAAAATATAACAAAACATCTGTGGAAGTTGCACAGCATCCTGGCTCATAAAATCAGGATCGGAAACCATCAGTCTCCTTCCCGTTTCTGTTTCCTTTCTTGTCTGTAAAGACCAAATATTTAGGTCAGGCACAGTGGCTCATGGCTAGTCACCATTTTGGGAGGCCCAAATGCGTGGATTGCTTGAGGCCAGGATTTCAAGACCAGCCTGGACAACAGGGGAAAACCCTGTCTGTACAAACAATACAAAAAATTAGCCAGGCATGGTGGCGTGTACCTGTAGTTCCAGCTACTTGGGAGGCTGAGGTGGGAGGATCAACTGAGCCTAGGAGGTTGAGGCTACAGTGAGCCGAGATCACACCACTGCACTCCAGCCTGGGTGACAAAGCAATACCCTGTCTCAAAAACAACAACAACAACAAAACAACCCCAAACATTTAGAAGAATTTAAGATGAGGGAAAGGAGAGCCACTCGCCCAGTTCTCCAGTGGCCTAGTGTCCCTAACTTGTAGAGCAGCTTTACTTCCAGTCTTGGGGCTACTTTGCAGTCAGTTCTTTGATTAGAGAAGCACCTTGCACTTTACCAGGCTTTCCTTATGAGCAGATAGTTACAGGTTAGTCTATAAGACATTATGATCATGTCACTCCTCTGTTCACATCCCTGCGATGACTCCACATTTCACTCAGAGCTAAAGTCAAAGTCCTTACAATTATATGCATGGGTGCTACAATGACTCACACAAAGATGGACAGCCATAGGCCTGGGTGAAAGCTCAGAGAGTCTGGTTTCAAACAGGAAGATGGGAGCAATGGATACTGTGACAATTGACAGTCTCTGCCAGACATTAAAATGCTATGAAGCCACTATAATTAAAATTCTGGGCCGGGCACGGTGGCTCACACCTGTAATCCCAGCACTTCGGGAGGCCAAGGCAAGCAGATCACTTGAGGTCAGGAGTTCGAGACCAGCCTGTCCTACATGACAAAACCCCATCTCCACTAAAAATACAAAAATTAGCCAGGCGTGGTGGTGCACGCCTGTAGTCCCAGCTACTTGGGAGGCTGAGGCAGGAGAATCACTTGAATCCATGAGGCGGGGGTTGCAGTGAGCCAAGATCGCACTACTCCACTTACAGCCTGGGCAACAGAGTGAGACTCTGTCTCAAAAATAAAATAAAATTCTGCTGTGTTATATTTCAAAATAATGTAAGAAAATTCAAGAAAAACCTCTGGGGTAGTGAGACATGAATAGACCAAGGATAATTGAAAAACATTTATCTAATGCTAACTTTTCTTATATGCCTGGGTGCATATTCATGGAAGGAGTGTAAATTGACACATTTCTGGTGAACAACTGAGAAAAATATATTACAATTACCAATTGAAGACCGTTTTGAACATGAGAGTATTTTGTTAGGGCGGGAATGTTTCTTGATGTGTACTTCCAGGCTGAAGTAGCTCTCCTGGTTTAATGCTGCTGGCCTCTCTTCTCCTCCTCACTTGCTTCTCCCTAAGAAAGGAGGGGTGACTCCTCTAATTGTTAAATTTGTAAAGAATAAACTGGGAAGGCCGCATTCAGCCCATCATCTTCCTAAAACCTGCATGGGGAGACCTATGTTTGAAGAACATTGCCTATGATTAAATGGAAAGAGATCCAGAATTGGGAAGCTCTCTTATCTGCAAATGTAAGCAACATGCTTCAACATCAGCTGTCACCAGTAATGAAGTGACATTTTAATCACCTGTCTGCCTCTTTTGTCTTATTTCCTAATTGGCTTAGAATTTGGGTGAGGATGAGGAGTGTCATTTATTGCTATAAGATCCAAACACACATCTACGGGTTTATCCTACAGACATACTTACATATGTATGAAGTTACATGTGTACAAGGTTATTCATTGTAGCACTGTTTATAATACCAAAAGACTGAGAGCAATCTGAATGTCCATAGAGAGGATTATTTAAATAAGACACTGTTGCACAATGGACTACTATGCAGCCAAAAATATTAGTAAGCTCCAAGATATATTAAAAAAACAGAATCACAAAACAAAAGGTACAGAATTGTGAGTATAGTATGCTATAAATTGTGCAAGAAAAAGAAAAATATATAAATATCTGCTAATACCTTCATAGCATATTTCAGAAATAATATATAAGAAATTGGTCAGTTTATTTATTTTATTTTGCCTCCAGGGAAGAAAACTTGGTACGTAGGAGCATTTTCTATTTGATACTCCCTAAAGTCACAGAAATCATGGGTGAGTGCAAATTCAGAGCAGAAATCCTGTGTCTGAAAGTACTATTAAGTACCTGTATCTTTCAAATCTTGTTAGTAGATGGTTACAAATTAATTACTCAATCTTTCTGTCAAATCAAAATGCATTTGTACTTATTTAGCTAAGGTGTAAAGTGAAGTGATTATTATAATTTTACTTTTTTTAAAACTTAATTATGTTTCATTAAATTAGCATATAATTGAGTATCTAAATGAAACTTTCAGATAAATAGAATAAAAACAGAGGTACAAGGAGAGTTGCAGTACATGGCAAGTTTCATCGTGAAAAGTTTTTTATTTGCCTTATTTTCATTTACTCAAAAAAATACTTATTGAGAGCCTCCTCTGTGCCTTGCTTTAAAAACTCTGGGAAAATGGGAGCAAGACACTCTCTTTTCTTAGTATGGCCTACTCTAGTAGGGGACACAGATAACAAGTAAACAAGCAGGCCAGGCGCAGTAGCTCACACCTGTGATCCCAGCACTTTGGAAGGCCAAGGCAGGCAGATCACCTGAGGCCAGGAGTTCGAGACCAGCCTGGCCAACATGGTGAAACCCCATGTCTAGTAAAAATACAAAAAAATTATCCAAACATGGTGGCACACACCTGTAGTCCCAGCTACTTGGGAGGCTGAGGCATGAGATCGCCTAAACCCAGGAGGTGGAGGTTGCAGTGAGCCAATATTGTGCCACTACAACTCCAGCCTGGGTGACAGAGGAGACCCTATCTTAAAAAGAAAAAAAAGTAAGCAGTAAGCTAATTTTTTAAGTGATAGTACTAAAAGACAATAACACAGAGCTATGACAATACAGAGTGGCTAAAATGGGAGAGGAGGAAGGATTATTTTTTCCCAGTTGATTTTCGGGGACAGATACAATTTATTAAAGAAGCATGTATGATATGCCCCCCGTGCCTACTCCTGTTGTGGGCACTGGGCATAAAGCAACATAGAAGGTTAAATCTTTGCTCTCAAGAAGCTTAAGACATTCCATTGATACAGACTGACAATAAACAAACAAGCAAATTGATATTTAATATGCAGAGTCAGATTTACTGTGATACCCCAGGGAGGGCTGGTAATTGCTGAGGGCCATAGAATGTTCTAGGTGGCAAGTGGAAGCCAGGTTGCAACAACTACACATTTTTACATAAGCATTTCTAGTAAATTGCCTAAATAAATCCTAGAAGGAAGAACTGAAGCTCCAAGACTCCAGCAATTTATGATTTATTTTCACATTAATATTCACTTTCATACTTAATTTTTATTTATTTTTATTTTTTTATTTTGTTTTTGAGACGGAGGCTTGCTCTCGCCCAGGCTGGAGTACAGTGGCGTGATCTCGGCTCCACTGCAAGCTCCGCCTCCCAGGTTCACGCCATTCTCCTGCCTCAGCCTCCCAAGTAGCTGGGACTACAGGCGCCTGCTACCATGCCTGGCTAATTCACCGTGTTAGCCAGGATGGTCTCGATCTCATGACCTCGTGATCTGCCCGTCTCGGCCTCCCAAAGTGCTGGGATTACAGGCGTGAGCCACCGCGCCCAGCTCATACTTAATTTTTAATTGCAATTTTTATATTTTGTTTCTTTAAAAAATGCCCCCCCATTATAAAAACTTCAGGCCCCACAAAATTTGTATGTTCCCATAATAAGATATCAGGTGGTAACAAGTTTGTTTTTTGTTTTTTGTTTTTTGTTTTTTTTGAGATGGAGTCTCGCTTTGTCCCCAGGCTGGAGTGCAGCGGTGCTATCTCAGCTCACTGCAACCTCCACCTCCCGGGTTCAAGTGATTCTCCTAACTCAGCCTCCCAAATAGCTGGGACTACAGGCGCTCACCACCATGCACAGCTAATTTTTGTGTTTTTAGTAGAGAGGGGGTTTCACCATGTTGGCCAGGATGGCCTCGATCTCTTGACCTCGTGATTCCGCCCACCTCAGCCTCCCAAATTGTTGGGATTACAGGCGTGAGCCACCATGTCTGGCTGGTAACAAGTTTTATGAAAAAAAATCAGAATGAAGGTGATGGAGTAAAATCGTTGTGGGGGAGGTACTATTAATATAAGGTGGTCAGCTACGACCTCTCTAATAGATGATGTTTGTGCTGAGCCCTGAAGAAGCAAGCTATAACCTTGGAAACAGTAGGTACAAAGGCCCTGAGGCATGTGTACTGTGAAGCCATCTATAGACTTATTATCTAAGAGGATGTTCCCTAGGCTAAATTAATTCTTTTAGAATATTTTATATCTCCAAAATCAAGGATCAGTTATATTAATAAATACATACACTTATTAAGCTACCCATTTATAAGAAATATAAAAGGTGCATTTTCATGAAAATAGGTTCATTTTCTTCAGATGAGGCTGGAATTTAGGATTGTACACAGTCTACAGGCTGACTCCTGCATTCACCCTTGTCTTCTACAGTGATACTCCTGAAATCCTAAAATGATTAAGTTCTGTTTCTATCAGTTGGCCCTCCTAACACTCTGCCTCTAAGAACCAGAACAAACCACTTTGCATTTTCTGCGAGTCATGCACTGTTTAGACACTAAGGAGGCCTGAGCAGGAAGAATCTGCCGGTTGATAACTCTTAGCTCTGTTTTTAGAATAAACACACCCATTTAATGAAAACAGTGTGTGCACTGAGTGTTATTTTAAGGGAAACAGAACAGAAAGGAGAGATGGGAGAAAACCAAAAGAGATCAAAAGGCTATTAACCAACCTGGAATTAATAATATACTTTTTAAAAAAGTTTCAACCAGAGTATCCTGTTTCTTTGCTGTCTACCTCCTATTTAAAAAATGGTCATGACAGAGAAGCATGATGAATTTAACTAGACTACAAGTGTACTGAGGCAGAAGGCAGAGCCTAAGTTTTATTTACTTTTGGATCTTTAGGGCGAAGCACATGGTAAGCACACCATACATATTTGTGCAATTAGGAATTCATGTTAAACTGTGTGATAGCAACCATAATTATTCTACACCATGTGGTGATAACATGGGTTTCATTTTATATATGGATTTCTCATTGTTTTTCCAAGGCCTGCCCACAAAAAAAACCACAAGAAGATGAGGTGAAAAATTCCTAGGCCCTGCCGTGCAGCCACAGAAAATAGGAACCTGCCTGACTGTGGACATCAAATGAATTTCAAGGCCTGGAACCTGGATAGCATGGTTCACTGAGTCTAAGAATGAATCACCTTATATGGTAGTATAAGTTGTTTCTGAGCTGATATAACTGGGAATATAGAAGGCAGGGAGCCTGTCATTCTCTGCCTCTTTGACCTAGTAGATAGTTTGCTGTGCAGAGCTGGCAAGAATGCAAACTTTATGTGTATTCTGGGACATACAAGGGAGGCAATGGGAAGCAACATTTATCCTTCTGCATCTCTATCTTGTTTATATTCTTTGCTCTGCTTCTTAGTTCATCCAAAACTAAACCAAAGTAAAATCAACTTGAATGAAATCCAAGTCTTTATTCTCTCCATTCCCCAAACCTAGGCCAGATTCTATGGTCTGATTTTCAGCTTACATTCTATTGTCCAGCTCTGTTTTTACAGTAAACACACACATTTAATAAAAGGTGACAATTTGTGCACAGCGAGTATTATTTTAAGGGAAGCTATGGGAATATACTATTGGCCTCAAAGAGCTGACTTTCTACTGAGGCAGATAAAAAGTGTAAAAACCACTACTATCTCTAAAGTCAAGACAAAGTTAGAGGGTCTAAGACCTATGGTAAACTAGAGGATGTTCAATCCAATAGATGTAATAGTGTAGAAATAGGCCTTTTCAAATCATATATATATATATATTTTATTTGTTTGTTTATTTGTTTGTTTTTGAGATGCAGTCTCGCTCTGTCACCCAGGCTAGAGTACAGTACACGATCTCAGCTCACTGTAACCTTCAGCTGCCGGGTTCAAGCAATTCTCCTGTCTCATCCTCCTGAGTAGCTGGGATTACAGGCGCATGCCACCATGCCCAAGTAATTTTTGTAGTTTTAGCAGAGACAGAGTTTCACCATATTGATCAGGCTGGTCTCGAACTCCTGAACTCAGGTGATCCACCCACTTCGGCCTCCCAAAGTGCTGGGATTACAGGCACTTATATTTTTTAATAGGATTTTAAAACACAACAAAAGATTCCCCAGTTTAACTCCAGACCTTCTCTGAGCCTGCGGCAGAGCAGCTAAACACTGGAACAGTGCCTTAAATTTCTGGTATGGAATTCTTTTTTTTTTTTTTTTTTTTTGAGACGGAGTCTCACTCTGTCGCCAGGTATAGTGCAGTGGCGCGATCTTGGCTCACTGCAACCTCTGGCTCCCTGGTTCAAGCGATTCTCCTGACTCAGCTTCCCAAGTAGCTGGGATTACAGGCACACACAACCAGGCCCAGCTAATTTTTGTATTGTTAGTAGAGACGGGGTTTCGCTGTGTTGGCCAGGATGGTCTCGATCTCCTGACCTCGTGATCCGCCAGCCTCGGCCTCCCAAAGTGCTGAGATTACAGCCATGAGCCACAGTGCCAGGCCTCACATCATCACTTTCAAACTATCCTCCTTCCTCAAAAGCCCCACCTCTTTGTGTCTACATTCTAATGATCACCCAGTCACACCCCTCATTCACTGAAGACTTGACTCCTAGCTCACTGTCTTCCTCTTCATCCTGACTGGCGTCCTCATTTTTATCCAGATAGCCTCCCATCTGACACCTGGGGTCCTCAACCCACCAACCTCACTGCTTTTTTTTTTTTTTTTTTTTTTTTTTTTTTTTTTTTTTTTAACTCTTATGTCTATTCTGTGTTCATTCTCTCCCTTATCCACCTTTGATGTCCTGGTCGTCATTATGAAAAGCAATTGTACTTCTTTTATATTCACTTGCCCATCTGAGTATAACTTCTCTGGGCCTGCACCAGAGCAGCCAAACACTGGCACAGTGCTTTAAATTTCTGACCACAAAGCTGAAACACTCTATATCTGCTCCATAATCCTAAAAGGTTTTCCTAGTAAGATTAATATTTTGCTCTCTGAGTCAACTATTTTATATCTTTTTTTTCCTAAAAATTTCAACCTTCCTCTTTTTTTCCTTTCCTTTTTTTCCCTTTCTTTTTCTAAGATAAATACTGTAGAACATAAACCCTTCCTCATTGGCCCCACTCTCACATACTTTACTGAAAAAACATAAGCAACTAAACAGGAACTCTATTCTTCTAACCACCAAATCTTTCTACACTTGTGTCAATATTTCCTGTTCTCCCACTTGTTGTAATTCAAATGCCATCGCCCTATCGAAGCAGTCATGCTCTGGATTCTATCTTCTCTTATTTTCTCAAGGACATCACTCTTGCAATTGTCCCCGCTCTCATAGATCACCAGTTTCTCCCTTTATTATGTGGAATTTGCAATTCTTAAACTACCATCTTTTTTTTTTTTTTTTTGAGATGGAGTCTTGCTCTGTCACCCATGTTGGAATACAGTGGTGCAATCTTGGCTCACTGAAACCTCCGCCTCCAGGATTCAAGAGATTCTCCTGCGTCAGCCTCCTGAGTAGTTGAGACTACAGCACATGCCACCACATCTGGCTAAGTTTTTGTATTTTTGTATTTTTAGTAGAGTAGAGGGTTTCCCCATATTTGTTAGGCTGGTCTTGAACTCCTGACCTCAGGTGATCCACCCGCCTTGGCCTTCCAAAGTGCTGGGATTACAGGTGCACATCACCATGCCTGGCCTTAAACTATCATCCTTTAAAAAACCCTATTGGTGAAAAGATCCTCCGTTCCAGCTGGGCGCGGTGGCTCACACCTGCAATCCCAGTACTTTGGGAGGCCGAAGCAGGCAGATCACTTGAGGTCAGGAGTTCAAGACCAGCCTAGCCTGAAATAAAATACAAAAATTAGCCAGGTGTGGTGGCAGGCACCTGTAATGCCAGCTACTCGGGAGGCTGAGGCAGTAGAATTGCTTGAACCTGTGAGGCAGAGGCTGCAGTGAGCTGAGATCGTGCCACTGCACTCCAGCCTGGGCGACAGAGTGAGACTTCGTATCAAAAAAAAAAAAAAAAAAAAAAAAGATCCTCAGTTCCCTTTGGGAGGCCATCAACAAGGAGGGAGAAGGGAAGATACTTGAGCTCAGGAGTTCAAGACCAGCCTGGCCAACACAGCAAGATCCCATCTTTATTTTTAAAAATAAATAAACCTCAGTTGTCCTTAGATACCCTTCCAGGAACATCTCATTTCTTTGCTTCCCTTTATAGAAAAACTTATTGAAAGAATTGTTAACCCCACACTGTTCCACCTACTCCGGGCTTCCACCCTCATCACATCACTGAAACTACTGTTATCAGGTCATCTGTGACTTACATGTTGCCAAATTCAGTAGATACTTCTTTTTCCTCATTTTGCCTGAGTCTTGTGCAAACTGATCTGATCCACTTTGACCCTTCTCAATTATTAGCTTCTTTTTGTAGGTATCAGTAGCCTCCAGTACATGTAGGTAAATGAGGGCTATGGGTCTCTTTTGATTCTGAGCTGGGTACTTTATGAAGAACATTTTAGCAAACTACTAATTAGCCTCCCTTATAAACATAAAATCTTGAATTTTTCATTCTTCCAATTTATGTCTTCCCCCAGAAACACTGATTCCAATGATTCATTCTGAGGTTCTGGCTACTGCTACCCCAAATTCCCGAATTAGCGCCCTATTTCCACTGTGTCACCATACTTCACCATATACTTCTCCACTGCAAGTGGAGATGTACTACTAAAACCTTTGATTTTTCTACCTTGTTGACTGTTCTAAAAATGATTGGTTTTCAAGAAGAGTTATCACTTAGAATCTGTCATCTATAAATGATTATTGATTTTGATGATTTCTGAAGAATGAATTAATTGTTGTGATAGTGTATGATTGTCTGCTGCCCTACTCCACTGGCTGAGAGACCCATCAGTATCTAAGAGAACTTATCAGTTCAGTAGGGTCAGGGCTCTATTACCTTCTTAGATGGTGCTATTTAGTGCCATGCTTAGCACTGTTGGACTTGCAGCCAAACTAATTGGTTACTCTTGAACAATATTAAGAAACCAACTCATTATTCTAAAAATTGGCGAAGGGAGAAAATCAAGCACTTATCTTCTTTTACTTGTATGTACATCAAGGAAACCAAATTGTGAATATGGTACTTTTTTTTTTTTTTATGAGAGAGGGTCTTGCTTTCTCACCAAGGCTGGAGTGCAATGTGCAATGGCCTGTTCACACACACACTGCCTGGGCTCAATTGATCCTCCCACTTCAGCCTCCCGGGTAGCTGGAACTACAGATGCTTGCCACCATGCTCAGCATTTTTTTTTTTTTTTGTATTTTTTTGTAGAGATGGGGGTTTCACCATGTTGCCCAGGCTGGTCTCGAACTCCTGTAGTCAAGTGATCCACCCGTCTTGGCCTCCCAAAGTGCTGGGATTATAGGTGTGAGCCACCGCACCCAGTCAATTTTTTTTTTTTTTTTTTTTTTTTTTTTTGAGACAGAGTCTCACTGTCACCCAGGCTGGAGTGCAGTGGTGCAATCTTGGCTCACCACAACCTCTGCCTCCCGGGTCAAGCGATTCTCCTACCTCAGCCTCCTGAGTAGCTGAGATTACAGGTGCACACCAACACCACCACGCCAGGCTGATTTTTGTCTTTTTACTAGAGACAGGGTTTCACCATGTTGGTCAGGCTGGTCTCGAACTCCTGACCTCATGATCTGCCCACCTCTGCCTCCAAAAGTGCTGGGATTATAGGCGTGAGCCACCGCGCCCCACCCCAATTTTTTTTTTTTTAACCGAAGAACTCCAGCTAGTGAATGCAGAAGAAATGACAGACTATTACTATTTTGACACTTGAATGAAATAATGGATCTAGGCAATGATTATTGATAGCTGCTGAAATCATTAGGTGAGAGGCTGATGAGGAACTTTATAATGATGGATCAGGCTGACAACACTTGAACCCACCGATTAATTTTAATATTCCAAAAAGAGAGGCAAACAGACATTATGTACTTACTGGTGTGATGCAATAAGAACACAGCATCGCCTATGAAGCACTCTTCCAAAAATATCTAGCCTAAATCTTATCAAGCCTCTAGACCTAATTTTCAGTTTATGTGAAATACACAAGATGGAGAAATGTGTTAAATAACACCTCAGGATACAATTAATCAAATCTGGAAAGTAACAAATTCTATAGGGAAAATGACTTGATTTCATCAACAAATAAATGGCAAGAAAAGCAGAAGAAACTATAGGTTGAAAGAAATTTAAGAGCCATTGTATATCACAATGCAACATGTGAATAGCATTTGGATCCTGATTTGCGTAATGCAACTTAAAAAATATTTATAAGACAATAAAAAATTTAAATACTGACTGGATATTTGATGACTGAGTAATTTTGTTAATTTGTTGGGTATGATAATGGTAAATATGGTTATATATTTTTAAAAAGAGTCCTTATTCTTAAAGATACGTAGATAAGACTTTGTAGATTAAATCAATATGTCTGTCATTTGCTCTAAAATAATCTTATGAGGGCTTTGGGAAGTGGTTTGGCATGTAGATAAAATAAGACTGCACATATGCTGATGCATGTGGAAGGTGGATGATGGCTATTCAGAGGGTTATTATACTATTTATATTACACTTTTTACTTTTGAAGTATGCTTGAAAATTTCTATAATAAAAAGAAAACAAGCAAGAAAAAAAAAATCCAAACTCGAAACCAAAAAGCTTGCAACCCTCTGAGCTCTCCCCTTAAGAATTCTTTCCAGGCCAGGCACAGTGGCTCACGCCTGTAATCCCAACACTTTGGGAGGCTGAGGCGAGTGGATCACCTGAGGCCAGGAGTTCGAGACCAGCCTGACCAACATGGAGAAACCCCATCTCTACTAAAAACACAAAAAAATTCACCGGGCGTGGTGGCACGTGTCTGTAATCCCAGCTACTCGGGAGGCTGAGGCAGGAGAATTGCTTGAACCGGGGAGACGGAGGTTGTGGTGAGCCAAGATTGCGCCATTGCACTCTAGCCTGGGCAACAAGAGCGAAACTCCGTTTCCAAAAAAAAAAGAAAAAAGAATTCTTTCCAAAGTCTATGAATGGTTTATTTTTGGACCCCTGATTCTCTCAAAATTCCCATGGCTTTTTCAAGTTAGCGTATTGCTTCATTTCTGTTTTTGAGTGATGAGGGTAGAATTATTTCCTCTGGGATTTTCCTACTAATTGCAGTCAGTAATGCTTACCAATGTATGGATTAAGGCTTTCCTCCCAGTAGGAGGTGCTACCTCAAAGTATGGTGGCAGCTTAGCCTTTAGAGTAAGTGCCAAAGGCCTTCCAGTGCTGCTCCAGTCTCCACACTGCTTTCCTGGGACCTCTGCATCACAGTGACATTTTTAGAATAGATTTGCTTCTGGAATAATTTTCCACCAATTTGCTGCCAAAATTGTGTGGGCCAGATTTCCTCCAGACTACAATTTACCCATCTCAGCTGGTTCTGCTTTTTTCCCCTTCTTTCCTTAATGAGGTTTGTAGACTCTTTTAAATATTCCTGGTTTGACATGGTGGCTCACACCTGTAATCCCAGCACTTTGGGAGGCTGAGGCAGGAGGATTGGTTGAGGCCAGGTGTTCGAGACTAGCTTGGGCAACATGGCAAGACCCTGTCTCTACAAAAAAATACAAAAATTAGCCAGGTGAGGTGGTCTGAACCTGTGGTCCCAGCTACTCAGGAAGCTGAGGGTGGGATGGTCACTTGAGCTCAGGAAGTTAAGGCTACAGCAAGCTATGATTGTGCCACTGCACTCCAGCCTGGATGACAGAATGAGACCCTGTCATATGTGTGTTTATGTTTGTGTGTGTTGGACTTGCATATATATATCAAACATGCACGCCAGTCTTCTACCCTAGGGAGAGTGCTTCATGTTCTTATTTCATTGCCATTGCTGTTACTGTTGAAGTTTGCCCAGCCCTGTTTCTTTAGTGTGTATTCTGAACGAGGTCACATCAGAATTTGTGGGTCATGGTGTTAAATGCAATTTGGGGAAAGAGGGACTCTTTGGGAAAAATAATACCAAATTATGGATACAAAATTAGGCAGGAGGCCAGGCGTGGTGGCTCACGCCTGTAATCCCAGTACTTTCAGAGGCTGAGGTGGGCTGATCACCTGAGGTCAGGAATTCAAGACCAGCCTGTCCAACATGGTGAAACCCCGTCTCTACTAAAAATACAAAAATTAGCTGGGCATGGTGTGGCATGCCTGTAGTCCCAGTATTGAGGAGGCTGAGGCAAGAGAATCGCCTGAACCCGGGAGACAGAGGTTGCAGTGAGATCGCGCCATTGCACTCCAGCCTGGGTAACAGAACGAGACTGTCTCAAAAAAAAAAAAAAAAAATAGGAAAATGAATATATATTTAGAATAAATAGGTAAATCACAACAAAGGCAAATAGCACAAGCATCACAAAATCCAGGACAAAAAACTACTTGAACGTAATTAACTGCCAGAAACCTTCCCATATTTTTCCCTACATTCTTTAGCCACATAGACTTTGGTTACTCTTCAATTTTGTAACATTTTTTACAGAGAGAGTATTTTCAATGGAGAGGGTGTAAGGATAATTTACTTTTTTCTGGAATAATTAGAATTCCTCTAGAAAGTTTTTTTTAAATTATTGGTTGTTTAGAAAAGTGTCAGCTTAATAAGTTGTTATTGGTGATGTCTTACAAATATGTAAGAGTTCCCTGGTGGTCTAGTGGCTAGAAAAAATTTAAAAAAGAAAAAATATATTTAAGAGTATTACAAATTTGAGGACACTTTTGTAAGTCTTTTTCACATATGAGTGGTAAGATTTCAGGATGTGTAAGTGTACTTCAGGGCACTCATTAAACAGTTTGTCATCAATGTCATTAAAATGGTGTATCATGGGCCAGGCGCGGTGGCTCACGCCTATAATCCCAGCACTTTGGGAGGCCAAGGTGGGCAGATCACGAGGTCAGGAGATCGAGACCATCCTGGCTAATATGGTGAAACCCCGTGTCTACTAAAAATACAAAAATTAGCCGGCCGTGGTTGTGGGCACCTGTAGTACCAGCTACTCGGGAGGCTGAGGCAGGAGAATGGCGTGAACCCGGGAGGTGGAGCTTGCAGTGAGCCGAGATTGCACCACTGCACTCCAGCCTGAGTGACAGAGCGAGACTCCGTCTCAAAAAAAAAAAAAAAAAAAAAAGGTGTATTATGATTTTATGATTTTAGGTTGTATTTGTTGATGTCATTGTTTTCTTTTTTTTTTTTTTTTTTTGAAATGGAGCCTTGCTCTGTCACCCAGGCTGGAGTGCAATGGTGTGACCTCAGGTCACTGCAACCTCCACCTCCCTGGTTCAAGTGATTCTTCTGCCTCAGCCTCCCGAGTAGCTCAGACTACAGGTGGGCACCACCTCTCCCAGCTAATTTTTGTATTTTTTTTTAGTAGAGACGGGGTTTCGCCATATTGGCCAGGCTGGTCTTGAACTCATGATCTGCCTGCCTCGGCCTCCCAAAGTGCTGGGATTACAGGTGTGAGCCACCACACCCGGCCAATCTCATTATTTTCTTTTTTTTTTTTTTTTTTTTTTTAAATTTATTTTTTTATTGATAATTCTTGGGTGTTTCTCACAGAGGGGGATTTGGCAGGGTCATGGGACAATAGTGGAGGGAAGGTCAGCAGATAAACAAGTGAACAAAGGTCTCTGGTTTTCCTAGGCAGAGGACCCTGCGGCCTTCCGCAGTGTTTGTGTCCCTGATTACTTGAGATTAGGGATTGGTGATGACTCTTAACGAGCATGCTGCCTTCAAGCATCTGTTTAACAAAGCACATCTTGCACCGCCCTTAATCCATTTAACCCTGAGTGGACACAGCACATGTTTCAGAGAGCACAGGGTTGGGGGTAAGGTCACAGATCAACAGGATCCCAAGGCAGAGGAATTTTTCTTAGTGCAGAACAAAATGAAAAGTCTCCCATGTCTACTTCTTTCTACACAGACACGGCAACCATCCGATTTCTCAATCTTTTCCCCACCTTTCCCGCCTTTCTATTCCACAAAGCCGCCATTGTCATCCTGGCCCGTTCTCAATGAGCTGTTGGGCACACCTCCCAGACGGGGTGGTGGCCGGGCAGAGGGGCTCCTCACTTCCCAGTAGGGGCGGCCGGGCAGAGGTGCCCCTCACCTCCCGGACGGGGCGGCTGGCCGGGCAGGGGGGCTGACCCCCCCCACCTCCCTCCCGGACGGGGGCGGCTGGCCGGGCAGGGGGGCTGACCCCCCCACCTCCCTCGCGGATGGGGCGGCTGGCCGGGCAGAGGGGCTCCTCACTTCCCAGTAGGGGCGGCCGGGCAGAGGCGCCCCTCACCTCCCGGACGGGGCGGCTGGCCGGGGCAGGGGGGCTGACCCCCCCCACCTCCCTCCCGGACGGGGCGGCTGGCCGGGCGGGGGGCTGACCCCCCGACCTCCCTCGCGGACGGGGCGGCTGGCCGGGCAGAGGGGCTCCTCACTTCCCAGTAGGGGCGGCCGGGCAAAAGCGCCCCTCACCTCCCGGACGGGGCGGCTGGCCGGGCAGGGGGGCTGACCCCCCCCACCTCCCTCCCGGACGGGGCGGCTGGCCGGGCGGGGGGCCGACACCCCCACCTCCCTCCCGGACGGGGCGGCTGGCCGGGCGGGGGGCCGACCCCCCCACCTCCCTCCCGGACGGGGCGGCTGGCCGGGCAGAGGGGCTCCTCACTTCCCAGTAGGGGCGGCCGGGCAGAGGCGCCCCTCACCTCCCAGACGGGGCGGCTGGCCGGGCGGAGGGCTGACCCCCCCACCTCCCTCCCGGACGGGGCGGCTGGCCGGGCAGAGGGGCTCCTCACTTCCCAGTAGGGGCGGCCGGGCAGAGGCGCCCCATCACCTCCCGGACCGGGCGGCTGGCCGGGCGGGGGGCATGACCCCCCCACCTCCCTCCCGGATGGCACGGCTGGCCGGGCGGGGGGCTGACCCCCCACCTCCCTCCCGGATGGGGCGGCTGGCCGGGCGGGGGGGCTGACCCCCCCCACCTCCCTCCCGGACGGGGTGGCTGCCGGGCGGAGACGCTCCTCACTTCCCAGATGGGGTGGCTGCTGGGCGGAGAGGCTCCTCACTTCTCAGACGGGGCAGCTGCCGGGCGAAGGGGCTCCTCACTTCTCAGACGGGGTGGTTGCCAGGCAGAGGGTCTCCTCACTTCTCAGACGGGGCGGCCGGGCAGAGACGCTCCTCACCTCCCAGACGGGGTCTCGGCCGGGCAGAGGCGCTCCTCACATCCCAGATGGGGCGGTGGGGCAGAGGCGCTCCCCACATCTCAGACGATGGGCGGCCGGGCAGAGACGCTCCTCACTTCCTAGATGTGATGGCGGCTGGGAAGAGGCGCTCCTCACTTCCTAGATGGGATGGCGGCCGGGCGGAGACGCTGCTCACTTCCCAGACTGGGCGGCTGGGCAGAGGGGCTCCTCACATCCCAGACGATGGGCGGCCAGGCAGAGACACTCCTCACTTCCCAGACGGGGTGGCGGCCGGGCAGAGGCTGCAATCTCGGCACTTTGGGAGGCCAAGGCAGGTGGCTGGGAGGTGGAGGTTGTAGTGAGCCGAGATCACGCCACTGCACTCCAGCCTGGGCACCATTGAGCACTGAGTGAACGAGACTCCGTCTGCAATCCCGGCACCTCGGGAGGCCGAGGTTGGCGGATCACTCGCGGTTAGGGGCTGGAGACCGGCCCGGCCAACACAGCGAAACCCCGTCTCCACCAAAACCAGTCAGGCGTGGCGGCGCGTGCCTGCAATCGCAGGCACTCGGCAGGCTGAGGCAGGAGAATCAGGCAGGGAGGTTGCAGTGAGCCGAGATGGCAGCAGTACAGTCCAGCTTCGGCTCCGCATGAGAGGGAGACCGTGGGGAGAGGGAGAGGGAGGGGGAGGGGGAGGGGGAGGGGGAGGGGGAGGGGAGGGGGAGAGGGAGAGGGAGAGGGAGAGGGAGAGGGAGAGGTCATTATTTTCAAATAATAAAAAATTTTAATTTTTTCCAATATATTCTTATGAATTGCTCCACTTTGTTATTTGGATTATACACTATCCAAGAAGCTTATTCATTTCTTTTTTGAAATTTATTTATTCTTAATGAATCACTGATATTGGTATGATTTGAAAACTTCTCTCTTATAATTTGCTTCTTGAATACAGAATAATCACTGATTTTGTCATTCATGTTTATGACTTTAGCTTCATATTCTATTAATTTTATCTGTTTTTTTCAGTTCTTAAACTAGGAACTGTAATTTCTTCACATCTTATTAAAATGTTTAAAAATGCCTGCTCAAATTACATTTATAGTGGTTTATTCTCAATTCAACTTCTTTTTAGACAGAAACTCAAAATACTTGTGTCACTTCAGCACCATTGAACACTGGGGAAGTGGAATGGAGGGAGATTTGAAATGGAAGAACAACAGTTGTTTGATGATTTTGGTTAAAATATCTTTTACAAATTTAACAAAACCATATGACCTTATGAACACATTATTAGGATCCCTCCCAGGTCCTTGGAAAGGGCCAATATAATGGAGGGGTCCTGAAGCTTAAACTTTGTTGGCTTCACTGCAAACCCTTCTCTGATCTTGAGTACGTAACACACATCCACTCTTCCTCTTTTTGGACTAAGTGTTTTCCTGTGTTTTGTGTGCTAGATCTTCTTTTTCTCCTCCAGATACATTCTCCACCAGCTCCTTCTCTACCAGGAGGCTGATCTACGCAGAGGAGAGCACTAACAACAGAGTGGGGGAGGGGGGCATTCACTCCAGCCTTCATTCCCCTGGCTCCATTCCTGCAGGGTTGGCATGGCTTGGATGCATCCTCAGGGACCTCTCCGTACAGTCGTCTTTCTCACCAGTGACTAGCTCCTCCTTTCGCTCCGCCACCCTCCCCTTGGGATGGTAATGGAGCCCTCAATATTACTAACTTTGGGGTACCACAGTATCCCTCAGAATTTACTTATGCCCTTCCCACACCTTTGTAAAAAGTAGTTTATTACATTTTCCTGCTGCCAGACGATCATGGTAGCACATACCTGTAATCCCAGCTAGTCAGGAGGCTGAGGAGGGAGGATCCATAGAGCCCAAGAGTTTGAGACCCCATCTCAAAAAAAAAAAAAATCTTGCTGAGACTCTGATACAGTTTGTAACATCAACCTTGTGTAGGCAGTAACTTCACTGTACATTTAACTTCCTCTAAAATCATTTTTAATTACTGTCTTTATTTTCAAGGGATCAGCATAGTCTTACCCCTAAGGTGGATATGATCAAAGGAGAATTATCTTCTATCTGCTTAGTACCTGGATTTTTTATGTGGCTATTTTCATTTCTTTAAAAAAATCTCATTCTAGGCAGGGCACAGTAGCTCACACCTGTAATCCCAGCACTTTGGAAGACCAAGGTGGGAGGATTGCTTGAGGCCAGGAGTTCATGACCAGCCTGAGCAATACAGTGAGACTCTGTCTCTACAAAAGAATTTAAAAATTATCTGGGTATGTGTGGTAGCATGAGCCTTGTAGTCCCAGCTACTCTGGAGGCTAACTAAGATGGGAGGATCACCTGAGCCCAGGAGTTCAAGGCTGCAGGAAGCCATGATCATACCACTGCACTCCAACCTGGGCAACAGAGCTAGACCTTGTTTCAAAAAAAAAAAAAAAGCTATTTTTTAAAATTTGGATAACCATTCTAGAATTAGAATTAGACGTGGTAACAATCTTTTCAACAAATTTTGCTGGAGCAATTATTGTTCATCCATATAGAAAAAGAAGGAACTTTGCCATCTGCCTTATATTATGCCCCAAAATTAATTTAACATGAATCATACAACTAAATGTGAAAATAAAACAATACAGATTCTAAAAGAAATTAGGGGAGAATATCTCTGAACATTTGGAGTAGGCAATGATTTTTTAAATGCAACATAAAAAGCACTAATTATCCAAAGATACCAATAGGAGAGTGAAAAAGAAAGCCGTAGACTGGGGGGAAGAAATCCACAATTCCTACATCTGATGTAACCTTCATATCCAGATTCATATAAAGAATCCTAATTGATAAAATTGGAAGAATTGATAAAATTGGTAATCCTAATTGATAAAATTGGAAGCATCCTAATTTATAAAAATCCTAATTGATAAAATTGGTAAAAATTAATTAAAAACACACACTTTTTTTTTTTAAGAGACACATCTGGCTAATTTTTAAATTATTTTTTGTAGATTCAAGGTCTGGGTCTCACTATGTTGCCCGGGCTGGTCTCAAACTCCTGGCCTCCCAAAGTGCTGGGATTACAGTCGTGAGCCACCGCTTCTGGCCAACTCTCACAATCTTTAAATGGGCAAGGCCCTGAACAAAGGAGGACATCAAATGGCAAATGTGCATCTGAAAAGGTGCTTAACATTGTAAATCAAGGAAATGCAAATTAAAGGCGCAATGAGATACCACCACACCACCATGTGGCCAAAATTTAAGAGAATGACAGACCGGCTGCCCCGCCTCTGGCAGGGGTCCCTGGTGCGGGCGGGGAATGTCCCCGACGGAGCTTGATGAGAGGCGCACGCTGCTGGCAGGGCACCGCTGTGTGAGCTGGGACTGGCTCGCAGCCCTCCGAGATGGCCCAGCAGTCGGACAAGGCCGTGAAGTGCTGCGCCCTGGAGGAGATTCAAAGCACAATCATAGCAAAAGCACCTGGGTGTACGATTTGACCAAATTCCTGGCAGAGCATCCTGGTGGGAAAGAAGTCTTAAGGGAATAAGCTGGAGAGATGCTACTGAAAACTTTGAGGATGTCGGGCACTCTACAGATGCCAGAGAATTCTCCAAATCATAAATCATTGGGGTTTCATCTGGATGACAGATAAAGTTAACTAAGCCTTCAGAATTTTTTTTTTTTTTTTGAGACGGAGTCTCACTCTGTTGCCCAGGCGGGAGTGCAATGGCACGATCTCAGCTCACCGCGACCTCCGCCTCCCAGGTTCAAGCGATTCCCCTGCCTCAGCCTCTCGAGTAGCTGGGATTACAGGTGCGCACCACCATGCCTGGCTAATTTTTGTATTTTTTAGTAGAGACTGGGTTTCACCATGTTGGTCAGGCTGGTCTCGAACTCCTGACCTCGTGATCCGCCCACCTTGGCCTCCCAAAGTGCTAGGATTACAAGCGTGAGCTACTGCGCCCAGCCTTTTTTTTTTTTTTTTTTTCCTTCAAGAGATGGTTTAGCTCTATGTTGTCCAGGCTGGTTTCCAACTCCTGAGCTCAAGGGATCCCCCTGAGTGGTTGGGACTACTGGCATGCACCACTGGAAACCCTTATTACTACTGTTGACTTTAATTCCAGTTAGTGGACTAGTTGAGTGATCCCAGCCATCTCAGCACTGGCCAAAGCCTTCCTGTGTTACCTCTACATGTAGGCAGGAGACTAAATAGCTTTTCAGAAGCCAATGAAAGAAAAGACTGCTTCGGATTAGGGAGAAAGAAGCCAGTGTTAATTAACTATTTCAACTGTCAGCAGCCTTCATCTGAAAGAATAATTTTTAATGTGTCTCTCTTTCCTCCTACACTAGAAACAGGAGTAATTGTTCGATTCTTTCTAAAACTTTTCTTTCTTTTCTTTTCTTTTTTTTTTTTTTTAGACGGAGTCTCGCTCTCGCCCAGGCTGGAGTGCAGTGGCGCGATCTCGGGTCACTGCAAGCTCCGCCTCCCAGGTTCACGCCATTCTCCTGCCTCAGCCTCCCGAGTAGCTGGGACTACAGGCGCCCACTACCATGCCTGGCTAGTTTTTTTGTATTTTTAGTAGAGACTGGGTTTCACCGTGTTAGCCAGGATGATCTGAATCTCCTGACCTCGTGATCCGCCCGCCTCGGCCTCCCAAAGTGCTGGGATTACAGGCGTGAGCCACCGCGCCCGGCCTTTCTAAAACTTTTCAAGTGTGCATTTTTATTCACCAACTTTATTTTGTGTCTTCACTACGTAGTTTACTTATTGTAAGCATGTACTTATTGTAAGCATGTACTTATTTTGTCTCTTCGCTACGTAGTTTACTTATTGTAAGCATGAGCTTTTAATATTAATATTATATGTGGCTTAGAGTGGAATAATGGACACTGGAGATTACAAAAGGTGGGAGGGTGAGAGCAGGGGTGAGGACTGAAAAATTACCTATTGGGTACAATGTTCACTATTTAGGTGATGGATGCACTAAAAGCCCAGGCTTCACCGCTACGTAATATGTACATGTTGCACTGGTACTCCCTAAATATATAAAAATAAAAATTAAAATAAAAAAATAATATCTGGCTTTAAAACATGACAGTGCATTGTCCAGAATGTTTAGCAACTACATTGCTGGTGTGAGTGAAAAATGATATGACCACTTTGGAAAGCTGTTTAGCAATATATATTAGAGCTAAACACACGCCTGCCCTGTGACCCATAATTTCATTCTTAGGCATACACCTAACAGAAATGAGTGCAGAAGACATGGAGAAGAACGTTCAGAATAGCTTTATTCATAACAGCAAAAAACTAGAAACAACAAAATGGTCAGAAACAGAAGAATGGGCCAGACGTCGTGGCTCACTCCTGTAATCCCAGCACTTTGGGAGGCCAAGGTGGATGGATCCCTTGAGGTCAGAAGTTTGAAACAAGCCTGGCCAACATGGCAAAACCCTGTCTCTACTTAAAACAGTACAAAAATTAGCCATGCATGGTGGCAGGCACCTATAATCCCAGCTACTTGGGATATTGAGGCACGAGAATCACTTGAACCCAGGGGGGTAGAGGTTGCGGTGAGCCGAGATTGCGCCACTGCACTCTAGCCTGTGCAACAGAGTGAGCCTCTGTCTCAAAAAAAGGAAAAGAAATGGAAGAATGGATAAATCAGTTGTGGTATGTGCGTATACCACATGTTGTGGACTGTTTGTAGTTCCCCAAAATTCATACATTGACATCCTAACCTCCAGTGGGATGGTATTAGGAAGTGGGGCCTTTGGGAGGTAATAAGATCATGATGGTAGAATTCTACCTCATGAATGGGATTTAGTGCCTTGTAAGAAGAGACTGGAGAGTTTACTTCCTTTCTGCTTTTCACCATGTAAGGATACATGAAGAAGATGGCCATCTGCAAACCAGGAAGCAGGTCATCATGAGACACCAGATCTAACAGCATCTTGATCTTGGACTTCTCAGCCTTCAAAACTGCGAGCAATAAATTTCTGTTGTTTAAGACACCCAGTCTATGATATTTTGTTATAGCTGTCCAAACTGAGACCCAGATATATACATACTACATGACCTAGAACAGGCAAAGCTAATCAATGGTAGTTACTTTTAAGGAGGGTATTGACTGAGAGAGGAGCCCAAAGGAACTTTCTGGAGTGCTGAAATGTTCTATATCTCAATCTGGATGGTAATTACAAGGTGGTGTTCACTTGTGAAACTTCATTGAGCACTTAAAATTCATGCACCTTATAGTTTGTGTGATATAATTCAATTAAAAAAATGTTTAGCCCCCAAAGGCCCTTCTTTTCTCTTTATCTGTCACAGTTATTTTATTTTACATGAAGTCTTGGTAAAGAATCTGTGCTGTTTTATCAACTTCCATGTACTGTCTTCTATAGAAGATCTACTTATCATTTTATGCATGCTGATCTCGTCCACTTGCCAAATATAGCAAATTGACCCAAGTAAATTTGGCTGTTCACAATTATTAGATAATTTAGAGGATAGTGGAGGTCACCAATTGTTAGACATAGGGGTGGGCTCTAGGTCTCCCCTTAATAACCTCACTTTCATATGACTTATTACAATGAAGGAAGTTTTTGTAGACAAGATTCACCTTCAAACATCTATTAGCAAGAAAACACAAAAGTAGTCCTACAATCTATTCCCAAAATTCAGGGAGACCCTAGATTTCTGGCTTTTAGGCAATCTGATATTCATCTTGCGCGCGCGCGTGCGCGCGCACACACACACACACACACACACACAGAAATAGAAAAACTTAGCAAGCCTAGCAGCCTTCAGAGTGGTACTCTTGGCCTGGAGTTTTGATTTAGTTGAGTTTTCTGCCCCTTAGTGATGAATTCTCTCAATTGCCCTAACCAAAAGTCTAAAATATTATAATCATCTGCCTTGAATAATTTTTCATGGATTTTTTTCCCCCTCGCATTTAAAGTCCAGGTTAGAATGATAAGTCCATTCTACGAAGCCATCAGAGTTGGTATGGAACTACAGGATGTTGGGACTTGGCTTCCTTCTATCTTGCTGCTTTGCCACACCTATGGTGTTTCCTTCATTTGCTTGGTCCAGTTTTGCTCATCATCCACATCTAGCTAGTTGAAGAAAAGAGAAAGTGAGGTAAGAGAATAAATTCATTGCATTTAAGAATTACCTGGAAGTTGCACACATCACTTCCACTCATGTCTCATAGGCCAGACATTGTCTTACTAAGCTTCAAGGAAGGCTGGAAAAATGTAGTTTTTATTTCTGATTGGCCATACATTTTGTTGAAAGCCACAGGTGATTTTATTATTATATAGGAAGGAGAGAGCCAAGAGATAAGTGACAGTATCTGCCACAATGACAAAATTGGTTTAGGTCAGCTTGCAAATCTTCTGTCTTAGTCTGTTTTGTGTTGCTATAAATGAATACCCGAGGCTGGATAATTTTTTTTAAAAGAGGTTTATTTGGCTCACAATTTCGCAGGCTGTACAAGAAGCATGACACCCACCAGCATCTTCTTGGCTCCCAGTAAGGGCTTTTCTGCTGAGTCAAACATGGTGGAAAAGGTCAAAGAGAAGCAGGCATGTGTGAAGAAAGACCAAATCTGAGGGGCACCCTGGTATAACAACCCATTGTTTCATAACAACCCATTCTCATGGGAACTAACCCATTCCTCTGAGAGCCAATCAGAAGGGAAAGTTACTGGCTACTACAAGAACAGCACCAAGCCACTCATAAGGGATCCATCCTCATGACCCATACACAATCCATAGCATCTTCTCAGCAATATGTACTCAGTTGGTCCCTCCTTCCTTGAAACATTCCACTCTTTAGCTTCTATGGTGCCATATTTTCATAGCACCTCTCAGGGTCTGCTTATTCTAGCTGCTGTACAGGCTTCTCTTCTTTTATTCATTATCCAAAAAATTCGAATGCTAGAGGGGTCAGTCTGGGATCCTCCCATCTTTGTTGTCTATACTCTTTTTAGGAGAGCTCATATAATGACATGACTTAAAATGTCTGCTATATACTAATAGTTCCAAAATTTATATCTTTAACCCTGACTTCTTCAAACTCATACCAACTGCCTACTTGACATCTTTACCTTGATGTCTAATAAGCATTTCAACCTGAAACTGAGGGCTAACCTGATTTGGCCCACCAAACTTAACTTGTCTCATTTGTTTTTAGTTAATTTTAAAAGCTACATATTTAATAGCTAAAAGTCATGTAGCTAAGCAATATATACATAAAATTCCATTAGCTTCCTTACAGATTACATATCTGAGATATAGGTCACCATGGTAATGGTTGCTTGTTTTTCAGGAACTTAGAGTTAGCTCTTGTCCAGCTTAAGCCAGCTGAGACCAACAACTCTTCAACTGGGCCTGCATGAGTGTCCAATGGGTGACCTTTTGGCATCACAGGACCAAGAGCTCCACCCTCAGATCATGCTAAAGCTGCAATTTTGTGGACATGTGTCCTATGAAGAGCTATGAAGCTTGACTATGCTTGTGCACAGCACCAGTTGCCTCACTGTTTCTTACCCCAATTACCTTTCCCCATGCCTCAGACCACCTTGCTCCTTTATCCCGTAAATACCCTAAAACCCCATCTTTGGGAGCTGGATTTGAGATCTGTTCTCCTGTCTCCTCACTTGGCTGCTTCATGAATAAACCCTTTCTCTGCAGCAAAATTTGATGTCTCAGTGATTGGGCATATTGTGCAACAGGCAGAACAAGCCCAATTCAGTAACAAAACCAAATCTTCAAAATAGAGCAATGCTATTACCCTAGACTAAATGTTCTTAATATGAGGCTGGGAGCAGTAACCAGCCTCATAATTAAGAAGCTGTTTCGAAATGTAGGTGGGATTTTTCATTGTCACAGTGACTGGGGGTTGCTACTTATATTTCTTCTGAAATCTCTTTTTAAACTCAGCATTATGTTTGTGAAATTTATCAATGTCAATTCATGTAGATCTAGTTTATTTTTCTCACTGTATAGAATTTCATTATTTAATTATATCACAATTTAATTTAGTTACCCATTCTTTTGTGGTGAACATTTAGTTGATTTCCAGTTCCCTAAATTTACAAACCATATTGCTATGAATATTCTTTTTTTTTTTTTTTTTTTTTTAGCGACGGAGTCTTGCTCTGTCATCCAGGCTGGAGTGCAGTGGCATGATCTTGGCTCACTGCAATCTCCGCCTCCCAGGTTCAAGCAAGTCTCCTGCCTCAGCCTCCCAAGTAGCTGGGATTACAGGCACGTGCCACCATGCCTGGCTAATTTTCGTATTTTTAGTAGAGACGGGGTTTCACCATGTTGGCCAGGCTGGTCTCAAACTCTTGACCTTGTGATCTACTCTCCTCAGCCTCCCAAAGTGCTGGGATTACAGGCATGAGCCACTGCACCCCGCCCGAATATGCTTGAACATGTTTTCTTGTGTACAGATGTGAACATTGCTCTAGAGTATAATCTTTTTTTTTTTAATGAGACAGAGTCTTACTCTTGTCGCCCAGGCTGGAGTGCAATGGCGCGATCTTGACTCTCTGCAACCTCCACCTCCCAGGTTCAAGCAATTCTCCTGCTTCAGCCTCCCTAGTAGCTGGGATTACAGGCATGCACCACCATGCCTGGCTAATTTTTGTATTTTTAGTAGAAACAGGGTTTCACCATGTTGGCCAGGCTGGGAGTATATTCTTTAGAGTGGACTTTCTGCACCATCAGCTATGCACATCTTAAACTTTAATAGATATTATCAATTTGTTCTCAAAGTAATTGTACTAAGTGTATACCCAGAAAGATGGTCTTTTAGTGTACTGACTTACAAAGTTATGCTATGAGAGATGGATACCAGTATGAGAGAGAGTCCTCTCCTAGGTACTGTAAATGAAACATGAAGCTTCCTGGTCTGCCGCCAGGAATTCATTTTCCTCAGAGGGTGTGTCTGCATGGAACTCTGCTTCTGGAAGGGAACGAGGGAGAAAAAGAAAAGATAAGAAAAGGGTTGGACATGGTGGCTCATGCCTGTAATCCCAGCACTTTAGGAGGCTGAGGCGGGTGGATCACCTGAGGCCAGGAGTTCGAGACCAACCTGGCCAACATGGCGAAGCGCTGACTCTACTAAAAATAAAAAAATTAGCCAGGCATGGTGGCGGGCGCCTGTAATCCCAGCTACTCAGGAGGCTGAGGCAGGAGAATCACTTGAACCTGGGAGGCAGAGGTTGCAGTGAGCCGAGGTGGTGCCACTGCGCTCCAGCCTGGGCGACAGAGGGAGACTGTCTAAAAAAAAAGAAGAAGAAAGAAAAAGATAAAAAAGAAAAGACAAGAAAGGGAGAGCAAAGGACCAGGGACCTGATGAGAACATGAAATAAATGTTTTTTTTGCCGGTGTGACTTCTGATAATAGGCTGTACTGCAGTTCTGCCCAGATGTTGTGGGACATGAAGAAGCAGTTATATTTGTTTAGGTGGCTCTGTCTCTAGGCAGATTCTGACTCTTCTTTCTATTCCCAGTGTTAAGCCTCCATACCAGGACATTAACAGGCATGTAATAAACAGTTAGCTGAATGGATGAATGAGAGTACCCTGACACTGATATTATTTGTTCTGTTAAATACATATATTCTCACTGACTTGATCAAAACAAGAATTAAGGTTTCAATTGTGTCTGGCATAAAATAGAGAGTAGATAAATATTCTTTGAGTGGATAAAAGATAATCTAATTAATTTGAATTTAAACTACCTGAGCACAACCCTGTTAAATATGTTTTTTCTCATTGGCCTTAAGAAAAGAAAAAAGAGCCCAGAGCAGTTTGAACTATGTGAGGTATGCGGAATTTATCAGGCACAGAGAGATATGAGTTTGGGACTTCAGTCATGTCCCTACACCCCTGTATTAGTTAGTTCTCATACTGCAATAAAGACATACCCAAGACTCGGTAATTCATAAAGAAAAGAGGTTTAATTGACTCATAGTTCCGCATGTCTGGGGAGACCTCAGGAAATTTACAATCATGGTGGAAGGGGAAGAGGCATGTCTTACACAGTGGCAGGTGAGAGGGAGCGAGCAAGAGCAGGGAAAACTGCCCTATAAAACCACCAGGAGAACAGCATGGGGGAAACCATCCCCATGATCCAGTCACCTCCCACCCTGTGTGTGGTTCCTCCCCTCCACACTTGGGGATTATGGGGATTACAATTCGAGATGAGATTTGTGTGGGGACACAGAACCAAACTATATCAGTCGCCATGCTTGGGGGGCAATTGTTTCAAGTCACTTTGTCCCTTACTACCTGCTTCATCCATTTTCATGTTCTTCGAATTTGTGATACAAAGAAGAATGTATAGCCAATCAATAGCTTGTTATTGTAATGTAAGTTATCGGTAAACAATTTAGGAACTGCCTCTTCTTTTTTCTTTAAAAGCTACTTGTAAGTGCTGCTAATCAGAGCATATATTCAGGGCAATTTGAATCCATGCTCTCATGTGGCAGTCCTCAAACTTGGCTCAAATAAACTGTCTACTTATATTAATTTTGCCTCAGTTTTTCCCTTTAGGTTGACAATATTGCATCAAGTTGAATACTCACAGCAATTGTATGAACTAGGTAGTATTTATTACCGGCCCTATTTATACCTGAGGAACAGAGAAGTTGAACAACTTGTCCAAGATCACAGTTTCACAGCAGGAGGACCATTATTTGAAGCAGGCAGTCTGATTCCAGACACCCAGTTTTTACACGCTGTACTGTATTGTTTTCAAAACTCTAAGATTTCATGGATCTTTGATTTTTTTTTTAAATTTCACTTGTCCTTTTTTTTTTTTTGAGAACTACTACAACACGATGTGTGTGTGTATTCACACACATTTTTGGAAAATATCTGAAAAAAAACCCAAAGCACTTCACATGAATGGAGGGCCAAAGGAAGGGCTGGGGTACAGACGCCGTCCAGAAATACTTAAAAATAAATGTTTATACTAACACAAACTAGCAGCCATTCCCCTACAACCTGGAGTACTTTTTAACCCAATCTGTTTGGGATTGAGGGCGGGACTCCAGGGTCCCTGGGAGGCCCCGGCAGCCGCGCATGCTCAGAGCACAGGGACCGCTCCACCTCGTCCGTGGCCCTGCCCACCCAGGCCGCAAGAGCTGCCGGGACGGTCCCCATCTTCTTGGAGCGCTTTAGGCTGGCCGGCGGCGCTGGGAGGTGGAGTCGTTGCTGTTGCTGTTTGTGAGCCTGTGGCGCGGCTTCTGTGGGCCGGAACCTTAAAGGTGAGTAACTCTCGGTGGCTAATGAGAAGCTACAAAAGGGTCCGCTTTGCTGGTGCGCGACTGCGCGTTTCCGTTCTTTACTGCTTCTCGCGGCGTCCGTCCGCCCCTCGCCTTCCTCACGTTCAGGCCGAGCGCCGCGTGGGCCGCAGCCGGAGGCGGCGGAGCCGAGGGGGCGCGGGCGGCGGCGAGGCTGCCCCCGCGAGGAATGCGGGATCCTGGGGTTCCCCGCACGTGGCTGGTGCCCAGGCAGTTCCGCGGTTGCTTAGAGACGGGACTGTGGCTGCCCTCATCCCCATTGCGTCTTTTTTTTTTTTTTTTTTTTTTACCTCCACCGCCTTCTAGTCTCACCGAAGGCTTGTGGCCATCTCTGTAAAGTTTCTGGGGAGGTGGGCACGGGGTAAACGCCGGAGGGTTCTGTGGAGCCTATGGGACTGACTGGAGGCCAAAGAACTTTGGGCCGCAGATGTACACCAGCGTCACTCTTTTGGTCTGTTAGGGCCTTCATCGCTCACATCAGGTTTCAGTGTGAAACGGGAAAACGTGGGTAATATTTCATTTACAGTCGTACATTCTGGAAAAGTATCTGATGAAACGCAGTTCCAAAATTAGGCCAAATAGGTTTTGCAGGGTCTAAATAGTTATTTTATTTCATCGTTTGCTTTGTAGGGGGCCCTAGATCACGGTAGTAACTTAGGAGTGTAGATTGTGATAGACAAGACAATGCATAAAATTGAGTAATTTCTCTAGGGGGATGTGGATCACACAGTACCCCGTTGCAAGTGCTTCCTATGTGTATCCATGGTATCGAATGCAATTGCAGTGTGTCAGGGGATGCTTCCAGGAAGTGTACCTACATCAGTTCATAACTAGAGTCAACTAATGGCAATATTCTCGATGATTTGTTCACATAACTTTTGTACAGTTGGGATGACTGGGTGGCTTAGTAGAGTCCTGGAGGCAAGTACTTTGTAAGTAGAAGACTTGGTTTGTAATTTCTAGCAAACTAATAGCACAGCTTCCTTTTTTCATTGCAGTGCTAATGTCAGGAATACGAAACAGGAAACTGGCTATCCAATGTATTAGTAAATTAGTAGGCATACTCCCCAGTTTAATGTTGTGTTAGTATGACCACATTCTCCCATTTTTGTTTTCGTATGTTCCTTAGCATAGAGTATCTAAGGAACTGTAACATTTTTCACCTTAAAGTTATGATGTCTAACTTGGTAACAAGGTTTGGGTAAGTCAGTTGTGACTACATTTTAAAAGAAATGAGGCCGGGCGCGGTGGCTCACACCTGTAATCCCAGCACTTTGGGAGGCCGAGGCGGGTGGATCGCCAGAGGTCAGGAGTTCAAGACCAGTCTGACCAACATGGTGAAACCCCGTCTCTACTAAAAATACAAAAATTAGTCAGCCGCAGCCGTGGTGGTGGGCGCCTGTAATCCCAGCTACTCAGGAGGCGAAGGCGGAATCGCTGGAACCTGGGAGGCAGAGGTTGCAGTGAGCCGAGATCGCACCATTGCACTCCAGCCTGGGCAACAAAAGCGAGACTCCGTCTCAAAAAAAAAAAAAAAAAAAGAGGTGAACCCATACCAAACAAATGCACAGAGAGCCATGGTAATATACAGATAGATAGTTATCTGTTTAAAACTGGAAATGGTTGGTAAGTGATTGGAGTTTTTTTCCCTAAAGCTTGCTTGACCAGCTAAGTGAAGATAAACAGTTTCTTGTTATAGAAGATGGGGTAGTGATTTACTGAAAGACAAGTTTTTTATAGTTTTTAGATTTTTTCATCACTTATTCCAAAGTGTTGCTTTGTTGAGATATTTGAGAACTGAGTAAAGAAACTGAACCCGTGAAAATAGAAATTCTTGATTTTTTAAGAAAACGGGATATTAATACTTTGTAAACATTATCTTTCTATTCTTGAGTTTTATATAAAAAATAACTTTATGCTAATTTGGGAAATTTTACAGATAGCCGCAATGGCTGAAAATGGTGATAATGAAAAGATGGCTGCCCTGGAGGCCAAAATCTGTCATCAAATTGAGGTATGATTCCTGTGCTATAAACTGCAAAAACAAGTTCCTTGAAAGAAAATACAGAAAGAACATTTAATTCTAGTACATGGACATATTCAACATTTGGTTTGCCTTTGATTCTTAGATGAACATATAATAGCATACAGTTTTATATTGGTGGAGCCAGGTTGTGAAACTTAAGATGTACAAACATTTCAAAAGGTAACACTATAAACTAGAGTTACTTAATCTTTTTAAAATTTTAGTTTCATAGTCTCATATAAAATTTTAGCTTCATAGTCTCATATAAAATGAGAATAATAGTAGTTCCCTCCTCATAAGGTAGTTTGGAGGATTAGTGAATATAATGTTAAGTACTTAGAAGAATTCCTGACACATAAGTAACATAAAAGTCCTTGGTAAAGTACCTTCCCTGTTAAATAACACTATATTTTTGATGATCTTAGTTTTTTTCTGCCCAGTCAGTTCTCAGCTATTGTAACTTTAATATAGTTTTTTTTTTTTTTTTTTTTTTTGAGATGGAGTCTCACTCTGTTGGCCACGCTGGAGTGCAGTGGCACTATCCTGGCTCACTACAACAGTATTGGCTCACTGCAGCCTCTGCCTCCTGGGTTCAAATGATTCTCCTGCCTCAGCCTCCCAAATAGCTGGGACTACAGGAGCACGCCACCACACCTGGCTAATTTTTGTATTTTTAGTAGCGACAGGGTTTCACCATGTTGGCCAGGCTGGTCTCGAACTCCAGACCTCAGGTGATCTGCCCACCTCAGCCTCCCAAAGTGCTGGGATTACAGGTGTGAGCCACTGTGCCCAGCCAGTAACTTTAATATAGTATCTGTTTTCAAAACCCTCTTAGCATTTTTTCAAATTTAGGTATTATGTTTATGTTAACGTAATACCTCAAGTGATCCGTAGTACCTTTGCAGTACTGATGCAGGAGGATGGCTTGAGTCCAGGAGTTAGAGACCAGCCTGGGCAACATGATGAGGCCCCATCTCTACAAAAAAATTTTAAAAATTAGCTGAGTGTGTTAGCAGTTTACCTGTAGTCCTAGCTACTTGGGAAGCTGAGGTGGGAGGATTGATGGAGCCCAGAAGGTAGAGGCTGCAGTGGCTGTGATCATACCACTGCACTCCAGCCTGGATGACAGAGCGAGACACTGTTTCAGGGGGCGAGGGGAAGAAACTTGAGAGTCTTCGTGAGCATACTCTGGCTGGGGAGGCTGCCTGATTTGCAAATCGTTCTTTGTTCAATTAAACTCAAAAAGAAAAAAACCTTAAAATCTTTACAATATCGATAATGGTTGCATGGGAAATTATCTCTAAACTTAGGTTCTTGCTAAGAACCCCTCAGATCATATTGTTTGGTGTGGGGTTTTTCTGCAATTCTCAGAACTGCTTTTTTTTTTTTTTTAAGCTGCACGTCTCTGCATTTAAAATGTCTCATGTTCCTTTTTTTGGTATTAATTTCTTTATGACTATGAGGAGAAAAATTAGAAATTATTCATTCTGTGTTTAATACTTAGAACAATACTAAGATGTATATAGAAAAGGTTGTATCTCTCCCACAACCTGCTAACTCTCAAATCCTACTCTTCTGAGGTTATCAAGGTTAAAAGCTTTTGACACTTTGCTTCATGCTCATACTAATTTTTTTAGTGGACCTTATATTTTACAACAGTTCTAGGTTTACAGCAAAATTGAGCAGAAGGTACAGAGATTTTCCATATATCCCCTGCCTCCACACAAGCATAGTGCCTTCACCTTTTAAAACATCCCCCACCAGAGTGGTACATTTCTAACAATTTTATTTCCTTCCCTTTCCCCCGCTAAATATAGGATGCATTTTTGTGGAGAAAAGTTTTGTAATCAATAATCTTTTCATTCTCCTCTTTAATATGAAGGATGTTTCTAATTTTTTTAGCTGTAATCATTCTTTGACAAATATTCTTATATATAAATCTTAGTAAACATGTTTATTGATTTCTTCAAGGAAAATTCTTAGAAGGAGCCATACTGGCTCAAGGATTATGCACATTTAAAAAACACTGATAATTGTCAGTTTACATCTACCTGAATGGCTAGTTCTCTGTGTTCAAGTCAATACTAGGTAGTCTTGGTTTTCTTTCTAATCTTAGCCAGTTTGTTAGGTGAAAAATGCTGTCTCGTTGCTTTAAATTGTATTTCTTTGATTAACAATGAAATGAGGTTGGATTTTTTTTTTAGTTTACAGTACATTATTTATTTATTTATTTTTTGTGATGGAGTCTCACTCTTGTCTCCCAGGCTGGAGTGCAGAGTGCAGTGGCGTGATCTTGGCTCACCACAACCTCCACCTTCCAGGTTCCTCAGCTTCCCAAGTAGCTAGGATTATAGGTGCACACCACCATGCCCGGCTAATTTTTGTATTTTTAGTGGAGACGGGGTTTCACCATGTTGGTCAGGCTGGTTTCGAACTCCTGACCTCGGGTGATCCACCTGCTTCGGCCACCCAAAGTGCTGGGATTACAGGCATGAGCTATTGCGCTTGGCCTATTTTTTATAATTTTTAAAAAAATCATTAGCTGGGCATGGTGGCATGTGCTTGTCGTCCTAGTTACTTGGAAGGCTGAGGAGGAAGATCAATTGAGCCCGGGAGTTTCAGGCTGCAGTGAGCTGTGGTTGCACCACTGCATTCCAGTCTGGGCAACAAAGCAAGACCCGATCCCTGAAAAATAGTGTCTTTTTTTTTTTTAAGACAGAGAGACAGTATTGCTCTCCTCTCAGGCTGGAGTACAGTGGCGGTGATCTCAGCTCACTGCAACCTCCACCTCCCGGGTTCAAGCTAGTCTTGTGCCTCAGCCATCCGAGTAGTTGGGATTACAGGCGTGCACCACCATGTGTGGCTAATTTTTGTATTTTTAGTAGAGTCAGGGTTTCACCACTTTGGCCAGTCTGTTGTCGAACTTCTGGCCTCAAGAAATTGACCCGCCTCAGCCTCCCAAAGTGCTGGGATTATGGGCTTGGGCCACCGTGCGAGGCCAATAAAATATCCTTTAACTGTTTTCTATTAGGGTGTTCTCTTTTTACCCTTCTTCTTTGTTTGTAAGAATTCTTGACAAAATTTGTTTGTCTTTTACTTTTTATGTTACTTCTGGCATTCCAAATAGTCATACTTGGGTTTTTCCTTGGCTTGTATATTGAGAGTTCCTCTATGCTTAAATTTGAGAAACATTTACTTTAACTTTTTTTTTTTTTTTTTTTTTTGAGGCAGCGTCTTACTTTGTTGCCCAGGCTGGAGTACAGTGGCACAATTATGCCTCACTGCAGCTTCAACCTGCCAGGCTTAAGCAATCCTCCCACTTCAGCTTCCTGAGCTGGGACTAGAGGCACGTACCTCTATTTCTTATTTATTTTATTTATTTATTTATTTTTTGGAGAGCTGGGGTCTTGCCATGTTGCCCAGGCTGGTCTTGAACTCCTAGACTCAAGCAATGCACCCACCTCAGCCTCCTAAAGTGCTGGGATTAGGCATGAACCACCACTCCTGGCCCCCCACCCCCTTTTTTGAGATGGAGTCTCACTCTTTTGTCAGGCTGGAATGCAGTGGCACAATCTTGGCTCACTGCAGCCTCTGCCTCCCGGTTTCAAATGATTCTTCTGCCCCAGCCCCCTGAGTAGCTGGGACTACAGGTGTGTGCCACTATGTGCAGCTAATTTTTGTATTTTTAGTAGAGACGGGGTTTGACCATGTCGGCCAGGGTGGTCTCAATCTCTTGACCTCCCAAAGTGCAGGGATTACAGGCGTGCGGCACCGTGCCTGGCCCCGTCCCTTATTTTTTAATTTTAAAAAATTAGAAGGGCAGGTGTGGTGGCTCATGCCTGCAATCCCAGCACTTTGGGAGGCCGAGGTGGGCAGATCGCTTGAGATCAGGAGTTCAAGGCCAACATGGTAAAACCCTGTCTCTACTAAAAATAACAAAAATTCGCTGGGCGTGGTGGTACATGCCTGTAATCCCAGCTACTCAGGAGGCTGAGGCAGGAGAATCACTTGAACCTGGGAAGCGGAGGTTGCGGCAAGCTGAGTTCATGCCACTGCACTCCAGCCTGAGCGACAGAGTAAGACTCTGTCTCAAAAAAAAATAAGAATTGAGTGATTAACCAATTTCTTCCAGTTCTTTTTATTTAACCATCTGTTCTTTCCACACTGATTTGCAAGAGCCTTTTCATATAATCTTTAAATATATTCTTCTTTAAGGTTTTCTAGTCTATTGACACATCTGTTACACTATTTTAGTAATTGACATTTTAGTTTTATCTTTTTGCTAATTTGTAAACATTATTGTATATTTGGGGAAAGTGTTTTGCCTTTTGTAACTTATGTATTTTTAAATAACAGAACTTGGTACTGTAGAGTAATGTCAGGATTGGAGTCCATATTATACAGTGTTCTGAAATACATTGTAATTATCTCACAGTATTATTTTGGCGACTTCAATTTGCCACGGGACAAGTTTCTAAAGGAACAGATAAAACTGGATGAAGGCTGGGTACCTTTGGAGATAATGATAAAATTCAACAGGTAACAAGCTTTTAAAAATAATCTTTAGGTTTTCTGTTTACAATGAGTGCTACTGCTGAGTCTTATGTTTTTATATGTACTCTTCAGGTTGAACCGTCTAACAACAGACTTTAATGTAATTGTGGAAGCATTGAGCAAATCCAAGGCAGAACTCATGGAAATCAGTGAAGATAAAACTAAAATCAGAAGGTCTCCAAGCAAACCCCTACCTGAAGTGACTGATGAGTATAAAAATGATGTAAAAAACAGATCTGTTTATATTGTAAGTGGGCCTGTAATGCATTTAAATATCTTACATTTATTTAGAAAGTAAAGTACGGAAGAATAAGGGCTCAGGAATCACAGCCTCACTAATTACTGTATGTCCTTTCGTAATATTCTTAACCTAAGTTTCTTTTGTTTTGTTTTGTTTTGAGACAGTCTCATCCTGTTGCTCACGTTGGAGTGCAGTGGTGTGATCATGGCCCACTGCAGTCTTGACCTCCTGGGCTCAAGTGATCCTCCCACCTCAGCCTCCTGAGTAGCTGGGACTACAGGTGCATGCTACCATGCCTGGCAAAAAATTTTTTGTAGAGACGGGTCTTCCTGTGTTGCCCAGGCTGGTGTCAATCTCCTGGGCTCAAGTGATCCAATCACCTTGACCTCCCAAAGTGCTGGGATTACAGGTGTGAGCCACCATGCCTAGTCCTAAGTTTTATCTTCATAAACGTGGATATTTTCTACCTTGTAGAACTGTTGTGAGAATTAAATGAAAAAAAATATATATACCATTGGATGAAATCTTTGACATATTCTAAGCACCTATTGCCTATTAGCTGTTCTTATTTATCAGCAGCTAAACTTGATTGCAGTTTTCTTTAGTGTATTTTTAAATAGTTTTTTATTACGGAAAATTTCAGATACATATATAAATAGATTCAATAATGTACCATCACCAGCTTTAGTAGTTAATAACAGAACATGCAAATCATCTTGTTTTATTTCTGCTTCAACTGAATTATTTTGAAGCAAATACCAGATGAATCACTTTTATTGTACTGGAGAGTAGTGGCTCCTAAACAAGGCTGTTAAGTGATTAACAAAGAGAAATAGAGATAGATAGGTATATCCTGGGTTCATTTCAAGAAAAAATGAATCAAATTCTCTCCAATTGTTTATCTGAGAAGTCATTATTTGTTATTTGTACATTTCTTCCCACTCTTCACAGAAAGGCTTCCCAACTGATGCAACTCTTGATGACATAAAAGAATGGTTAGAAGATAAAGGTCAAGTACTAAATATTCAGATGAGAAGAACATTGCATAAAGCATTTAAGGTATGATAATACAGACTTTTTCTAGTTTTAAAATATATGGGACATAACTTAAAAAAATATTTTCCTTCCTTTTTACAGGGATCAATTTTTGTTGTGTTTGATAGCATTGAATCTGCTAAGAAATTTGTAGAGACCCCTGGCCAGAAGTACAAAGAAACAGACCTGCTAATACTTTTCAAGTAAGTCTTTTTGCTGATGTTTCTCCTGGCCTTTTACTTATATGGACACACACTAGGGTAAGGAGCATGGAAGTAGTATCCCCTGAAAGGCCAATATTCTTAGTATCTTTAGATGACCTTTGAGAAATGCTTGATATTTGTTCAGTGAGAACTATAGTCTTTTGAGACTATAAGAAAAGTGTTCATTAGTACCTTTTCACTGTTAACAATTTTTTTTTCTTTTTCTTTTTTTTTTGAGACAAGTTTCACTCTTGTCACCCAGGCTGGAGTGCAGTGGTGTGATCTTGGCTCCCTGCAACCTCTGCTTCCTGGGTTCAAGCGATTCTCCTGCCTCAGCCTCCTGAGTAGCTGGGACTACAGGCGCGTGCCACCTCGTCCACCTAATTTTTGTATTTTTAGTAGAGATGGAGTTTCACCATGTTGGCCAGGCTGGTCTTGAACTCCTGACTTCAGATCATCCGCCTGCCTTGGCCTCCCAAAGTGTTGGGACTACAGGCGTGAGCCACTGCGCCCAGCCACTGTTAGCCATTATTAAAGGAGGTTATGTTTTAATACTGATTTTGCATCTAAAACTTTTGATCAGGCTGGGTATTAAAATTTGGTCTTTTGTGTGTTTGGAAAATATATCAATGCAGTTTTCATCTTATTTTTCATAGCCTATATGTCTTTTTTTTTTTTTTTTTTTTTTTACAGTACAAAGGATTTGAGATTTGGGTCACATTCTTTGTGAATGTGTGTCTGTCTAAGTGTCTAAAAATGGGGATGAACCAGAGCATTTTCATGATAAAATTAGGTGTAGGGCCATAGTTCCCTACTTTAGAAGACTGTGCATTAGTCTTCTAAATGGTATATACTAAACTTGATTGACTTAGAGATGCACTGTGATGGGTCATAGTATCAGTGTTAAATCCTCAAAAATTATTTAACATGATTTTCATATGTTATTGTTGGATCTTGGGGATTTTAGAATTTTCTCCTTTTGTGGAATTAACACTATAGAAAACTGCAATATTATTTGCATGACTTCTGATACACTTTTTTCCCTATACATGAATGATAAATGGAAATCAACATGAAATTGCTAATGGATAGGGGGTTTCTTTTTGGGGTCATGAAAATGTTCTGAAATTAGTAGTGATGGTTGTACAACTGAATATACTAAAAAACATTCAAGGTACACTTTAAAAGAGTGAATTTTGTGGCACATGGATTTTTTCCTCAGTAAAGCTGTTATATAAAAAAACATGAGAGAGTAAATTCCTTGGCATATTTTGAATTTTTAGTTGATGATTATGTTGATAGTAAGCGTGTGCAACATTCATTGCTGTGCCATGTCTTAAGTTATTCAAAATAATCTGCAGTCTTAACTTTGTTCTCGTGAACTTAGCCTCTGTACTGTGTGTTCTTTAGGGACGATTACTTTGCCAAAAAAAATGAAGAAAGAAAACAAAATAAAGTGGAAGCTAAATTAAGAGCTAAACAGTAAGTATGTTGAACTAATCACGACATAATTTGAATTCCTTAAAGCTCTGACAGAAATATAGCTGGTGAGCTCTGAAATAGTGGCAGTAGACCTTTCTCTTTGCTAGTGAAACACTGAGATCTTAAGCTGCCTTGACAATCTCAGGGCCAAATTGCATTGCAGTCTAGCATTGGACGATCAAAAAAACCTAAGGACTTCTGGCTTTGGTTAAGTAAGTTTAGTGATCATGATTGGTTAACTTTATTAGGACTTAATTTTCTTATATAGTAAATAGAAGTATGTTATAATTATATTTTTATTTGTAGGGAGCAAGAAGCAAAACAAAAGTTAGAAGAAGATGCTGAAATGGTAAGTATATATTACTGCTATCTAGTACATCTGTAATTCGAAGTTAAATGAATAGCTTTTAAGTCTGAGGACTTTTTCAAGAAAATACGTAAGCAAAGCTATCTATAGTTGTTATTGCATTAAGTAATACATCAGGTATTATATTGAGGGAAAAGAGAAAACTAAGGATAGGAAATATGTTCTAAAATATGGAAAAGGCCGGGTGCAGTGGCCCACGCCTGTAATCCCAGCACTTTGGAAGGCCGAGGCGGGCAGATCAGTTGAGGCACGGAGTTCGAGACCAGCCTGGCCAATATGGTGAAACCCCATCTTGACTAAAAATACAAAAATTAGCCAGGCGTGGTGGTGCATGCCTGTAATCCCAGCTATGTGGGAGGCTGAGGCAGGAGAATCACTTGAACCCAGGAGGCGGAGGTTGCAGTGAACCAAGATCATGCCACTGCAGTCCAGCCTGGGTGACAGAGTGAGACCCTGTTTAAAAATAAAAAATATAATAAAACACAGGAAAATATATTTTGAAATATTCAGAAAAAGTTCATTTATGCCTAGAACTTATTTTTATGAGAAAATGTCCTATAACTTCTAAAGATTCTAATCATAGGTTAATACTAACATGACTTTTATTTTTGACTTAATAAGATACTGATGTGTATTTCCATTTAGAAAGTTACAGGTAAAAATTTTTATTTGGGGAAAATAATGACTATAAAATTTTTTTTTTTCTTTTTTTGAGACCGAGTCTCACTGTTGCCCAGGCTGGAGTGCAGTGGCGCGATCTCGGCTCACTGCAAGCTCCACCTCCCAGATTCATGCCATTCTTCTGCCTCAGCCTCCCGAGTAGCTGGGACTACAGGCGCCTGCCACCACGTCCGGCTAATTTTTTGTATTTTTTTTTAGCAGAGACGGGGTTTCACCATGTTAGCCAGGATGCTCTCGATCTCTTGACCTGGTGATCCGCCTGCCTCGGCCTCCCAAAGTGCTGGGATTACAGGTGTCAGCCACTGCGCCCGGCCTAAAAATTTTTTAAAGTATGATAAATACTGCCTAGAATTATTTTCCAAGATAGTTTAATAGCCAGATTTATGTAGTTTATAACTAATTAAATACCAGTTGTATAAGAGATCAAATAATATTGAAAGCCATTTTGGAATAAAGGATGACAAAGGAAAACACCAACACTATGAAACTACTTTATTTATTTATTATTATTATTATTTTTTGAGATGGAGTTTCGCTCTTGCTGCCCCGGCGGAAGAAACTACTTTAAAATAGCATTTTGGTTTCTAGTCTTTTTCTTGTATAGCTATAAGGTGGTGTGAGTCATTTCTGGTCTGTTGTTGCTTTTAAGAAACTTTTTGATCACTTTGTATATTTTTATAGAAATCTCTAGAAGAAAAGATTGGATGCTTGCTGAAATTTTCGGGTGATTTAGATGATCAGACCTGTAGAGAAGATTTACACATACTTTTCTCAAATCATGGTGAAATAAAATGGATAGACTTCGTCAGAGGAGCAAAAGAGGTTTGGATACATCCCTATCCTTTTTAGCAATCAGTTTGAAAATCTGTAGAAACTTAGACAAAATTAGTAGAAAGTAATTTTAAAAATTGTGTTTATTAAATTAGTTTCTACTTGATCATTTGTTATTGCCACTAGATGTGATGTCTGATATTTTCTGAATTATACTAAATTAGTTTCTACTTGATCATTTACTTTGTTGTTATTGTCACTATATGTGATGTCTGATAGTTTCTGAATTATACTATGAATAACTGTTCATACTGATGATTGCAGTTTTACTTCTGTAGCATTCCTTTTCTACTGTTCAGTAAAATTCATTCAAACTGGTAAAGACATGGAAGGTTTGCAGGGTAGAAAAAATTACTTTGGACAAAGAAATTAATTGTGGGACTAAAAACCAAGGGTATGGCTTTTGTTTTCTGTCTCTGGTATAGGGGATAATTCTATTTAAAGAAAAAGCCAAGGAAGCATTGGGTAAAGCCAAAGATGCAAATAATGGTAACCTACAATTAAGGAACAAAGAAGTGACTTGGGAAGTACTAGAAGGAGAGGTGGAAAAAGAAGCACTGAAGAAAATAATAGAAGACCAACAAGAATCCCTAAACAAATGGAAGTCAAAAGGTCATTTATTCTGATTTTTCTTTAACAGTTTGGTTGTTGAACCCATTTACTTGAGCAAAAACTTTAATCAGTGTTCAAAAACATTGACAAGAGACTTAAAAAAAGTTCTTTACAGAGTGCTCAATTGTGTCTCTACAGGTCGTAGATTTAAAGGAAAAGGAAAGGGTAATAAAGCTGCCCAGCCTGGGTCTGGTAAAGGAAAAGTACAGTTTCAGGGCAAGAAAACGAAATTTGCTAGTGATGATGAACATGATGAACATGATGAAAATGGTGCAACTGGTAAGTTTTTTTTAAGTCCTTTGGTAGTTTCATGAGAAAATTTCTACTTCCATAAATAAATGATTTGCCAGAGAGAATAGGGATTTGGCTTTTCAACTCCTGGATAAGTGCCATTCTTGGATTATTAACGATTTACCTCGGTTATGCTGTTGTATAAGTCAGGGACAGGATATTTGGAAGATGAATCTAGAGGTCAGGTCTGTACTAAGAGAAAAGCCTTTTCTCATTGGTGCAAGGAAGTTGTTGCATCTTTTTCAACAGTATCATTATTAGTAATTGTGCTCAGTATTAAACTAGAGCAGTACTTACGTTGAATTTAACAAAAATTAATTGTTACGTTATAGGACCTGTGAAAAGAGCAAGAGAAGAAACAGACAAAGAAGAACCTGCATCCAAACAACAGAAAACAGAAAATGGTGCTGGAGACCAGTAGTTTAGTAAACCAATTTTTTATTCATTTTAAATAGGTTTTAAACGACTTTTGTTTGCGGGGCTTTTAAAAGGAAAACCGAATTAGGTCCACTTCAATGTCCACCTGTGAGAAAGGAAAAATTTTTTTGTTGTTTAACTTGTCTTTTTGTTATGCAAATGAGATTTCTTTGAATGTATTGTTCTGTTTGTGTTATTTCAGATGATTCAAATATCAAAAGGAAGATTCTTCCATTAAATTGCCTTTGTAATATGAGAATGTATTAGTACAAACTAACTAATAAAATATATACTATATGAAAAGAGCAAAAACAGTTTTTGATTTTTTTTTTCTTTTTGTACCCAAAGCATTTAGGAAAGAACTAGAATATTAGCTATTGACGATGGGCCTTTCCCACAGGCCATTTATGGTGTCTCCTAGGCTGGCTTTGTATATTTACACAGGAAAGTTGGTAACACTAGAAATAATTACTTGTCACAAAGCTTTCCTTTTTTTTTCTTTTTCGAGACTGAGTCTCACTCTTATCGCGCAGGCTGGAGTTCAGTGGGGCAATCTCAGCTCACTGCAACCTCTGCCTCCTGAGTTCAAGCGATTCTCTTGCCTCAGCCTCCCGAGTAGCTGGGATTACAGGCATGAACCACCACATCCGGCCCAGAAAGCTTTTCAATACCGAATGTAGACCAGCCAAAATCAAGAGACTTACTGATTTCTTTTTGTGAAACTTGTATGATGCTGGCAGGTCATATCGAAGTTCTGTAAAACAAAAGCCACCTAAGGATAAAATTGTATTTCCAAGCGTTTACCACCCTTGACTAAACAACAACAACAACAAAAACTAAGAAAAGTGTTAAGTGCTGGTAAGCTGAACATTTTAGAACCTTTAACTTATCCAAGTAGTGACTTCTGTATTCCTAGCATTAGCCATGGCAGCTTGGCATTTCTGTTATTATGGCCATTTATACTGAAATTTGAGGTTATAAGTGATGAGTTTAGAAGGATAAACAGTGGACGAAAAAGTAAATCCTATGAAAATGATGGTACCTTTCTATTTTTAATTTCCTAATAGTCTATAGCTAACTTAATCTCATAACCATATTTATTTCAAAATTTTCTTACCCAGAGTTTAATAATGGTACTAAGTACCCATTTTCCTCCTAAGCTCTAAAACGAAAACCAGTTTTTCATATTTCTTCCTTCTAAAGAATAATGTAGATTCTCCAAACTCTTTACTACTGATCTATTTTAGAGGGATGGCAGTGAGTCTACTACTCCTGTATGTCACAGCTTTCAAGTTTTAATGTGCAATCAAATCACCTGGGGATCTTGTTGAAATGCAGATTCTAGTTCAGTAGGTCTGGGTGGAGTCTGAAATTCTTTTTTTTTTTTTTTTTTAAGACGGAGTCTCGCTCTGTTGCTCAGGCTGGAGTGCAGTGGCGCGATCTGGGCTCACTGCAAGCTCCACCTCCCGGGTTCATGCCATTCTCCTGCCTCAGCCTCCCAAGTAGCTGGGATTACAGGTGCCTGCCACCACACCCAGCTAATTTTTTGGTATTTTTTAGTAGAGACAGGGTTTCACTATGTTAGCCAGGATGGTCTTGATCTCCTGACCTCAAGATCTGCCCACCTCAGCCTCCCAAAGTGTTGGGATTACAGGTGTCAGCCACCACGCCCGGCCTGAAATTCTTTATTTCTAACAAGGAAATCTCAGGGATTTTAATGCTGATGGTCTGAGGGCCACATTTGGAGGAACAAGCCTCTGGCTTGGTATAGTACTGGGACTGTTCTAAGGTGTTCCGTACTGCATATAATACCTAAAACTGGCCGGGCGCGGTGGCTCACACCTCTAATCCCAGCACTTTGGGAGGCCAAGGCGGGCGGATGACCTGAGGTGAAGAGTTCAAGACCAGCCTGACCAACATTGTGAAACCTCATCTCTACTAAAAATAATAATAATAAAAAAAACAGCTGGACGTGGTGGTGCGCCTGTAGTCCCAGCTAGTTGGGGAGACTGAGGCAGGAGAAGAATCCCTTGAACCCAGGAGGTGGAGGTTGCAGTGAGCCAAGATCGTGCTGCTGCACTCCAGCCTGGGCAACAGAGGGAGACTCCATCTCAAACAACAAAAAAACACCCCTACTGAAAATAACAGGAAGACGAACAGAAGTGTATATTACATTATTATTATGAACAGTAATATATCTAGCTGTATGTTTAACACTACAGTGGCAATTCATTGTTAGTTTATTATTGTGAAAAAACATGTTCCCTTATTGCACTCTTATTTCAGGCTTAGATTATAATTAGCTTCTAGTTATATGCTTTTCCTGTTTTGATGTTTGTGACTATTACCCAATTTAGTAATAAAAATGTATCAAACATGATTTACTCATAGATATTTAGAAGAAAAAGATAAATGTTATTTGATTCCAGGGGTAATTAGAGAATGAAATTAGAGGCTGGGCTCAGTGGCTCACACCTGTAATCCCAGCACTTTGGGAGGCCGAGGCTGGAGGATCACTGAGGTCAGGAGTTCAAGACCAGCCCTGCCAACGTGGTGAAACCCTGTCTCTACTAAAGATTAAAAAATTAGCCGGGCGTGGTAGTGCATGCCTGTAGTCCCAACTATTTGGGAGACTGAGGCAAGAGCATCGCTTGAACCCGGGAGGTGGAGGTTGCCACTGCACTCCAGCCTGGGTAACAGAGCAAGGCTTTGTCTCAAAAAAAAAAAAAGAAAAAAGAAAATGAAATTAGATTATCTAGGAATAATGTGGTGGCATTTTCTATGAATGAATTTCAAACCAAGATCTGACCAACTCCAAGCCCACTTTTTTTTTTTTTTTTGAGATGGAATCTCACTCTGTTGCTTAGGCTAGAGAGCAGTGGCGCGATCTCAGCTCACTGCAAGCTCCGCCTCCCAGGTTCACACCATTCTTCTGCCTCAGCCTCCTGAATAGCTGGGACTACAGGTGCCTGCCACCACACCTGGCTAATTTTTTTGTATTTTTAGTAGAGACGGGGTTTCACCATGTTAGCCAGGATAGTCTCAATTTCCTGACCTCGTGATCCGCCTGCCTCAGCCTCCCAAAGTGCTGGGATTACAGGCGTGAGCTACCGCGCCCGGCCCACTTTTTTTTTTCATTTGTTTGTTTTTGTTTTTTTGAGACTGAGTCTCCTCTGTCATCCAGGCTGAAGAACAGTGGTGCGATCTCGGCTCACTGCAACCTCTGCCTCTGGGACTCAAGCGATTCTCCCGCCTCAGTCTCCCAAGTAGCTGAGATTACACGTGTGCGCCACCATGCCTGGCTAATTTTTTATATTTTTAGTAGAGATGGGGTTTCACCATGTTGGCCAGGCTGGTCTTGAGCTCCAAACCTCAGGTGATCTGCCCACCTTGGCCTCCCAAAGTGCTAGGATTACAGGCGTGAGCCACCACACCTGGCCCCCAGCCCATGTTTTTAGCCATTGTGCTGCTATACAGTGTTCTGCCTGAGTCTGGAGTGACCAAATACCTGAGTGCTATTAGAAATTTTCAGTAAATCGCATAAATTAGGACAGTCTCAGGCTAAGTGTTCATTCTGCTTTTACTCCATTTCCAATCTATTACCAATCATGCACATTTTGCCACACTGTAAAGCATAGTTTATCTTCTCAGCACCTGCATGAAAATTTTGGTTGGGCGAATACATGTTGGCCCTTTTGGATATTAGGATTGAGATTTGTCTTACCTGCTATAATATCTATCTTGATTTTCCATTCTGCAGCTTTCTTTTGAACATGCTGAACATAAATAATATGTTGTTATGAGCTGATTTTTAAATAATGATTTTTTAAAATTGCTTTTTACTAATACTTGAGATTGAGTTTTTAAGCTTAAAATTTCATTAGAATCTAGACCCTTATAAAAATTTCAATTGAATGGATAGTATTCTGAAAATAATAAATCAATTTCAATACATTTAACAATCTGAACCAAATCACACAATAAATCCAAGTGATAGAAAGCTACTCATGCACCACATAATGCCATTTGGGGTTATCTAGGGACTGCATATATTTTGGTAGTCCCATAAAATTATAAATGGAGCTGAAAAATTGCTATTGCCTAATGATGTAGCTATCTTGACATCACAGCACAACACATTACCTTCTTGGTGTTTATATATGTTTAGATCAAAAGAATACCATTGTGTTACAATTGCCTGTAGTATTCAATACAGTAATAGGTTGACAGGTTTGTAGCCTAGGAACAACAGACTATAACCACAGAGCCTCGGTGGTCCACTCTATGTTTGCACAATGATGAAATCACCTCAGAATGCATTAGTCAGAACATATCCCTGTTGTTAAAGGATGCATGACTATTTCAGAAATCTATCAAAGATGTGTAATGTTCTCATATGGTTTCTGTAGCATTATTTCATTGATATATACAGCTAGCTAGCCTAGAAACCATTTGGCAGAGATATAGGTACATGGGGAATTCAGTTCATGCAGTAAAACTGAGTTTTATAAAATTCATGTTATGCCAAGACTATACTTTCAGGGATCATTTCTATAGTTCGTTACTAGAGAAGTTTCTCCGAAAGTGTAGAGCACTGTATCATGAAAATGGCCATACTACCCAAGGTAATTTATAGATTCAATGCTATCACCATCAAGCGACCACTGACTTTCTTCACAGAATTGGAAAAAACTACTTTAAATTTCATATGGAACCAAAAGAGCCCACATAGCCAAGACAATCCTAAGCAAAAAGAACAAAGCTGGAAGCACCATGCTACCTGACTTCAAACTATACTACAAAGCTACAGTAACCAAAATAGCATGGTACTGGTACCAAAACAGATATATAGACCAATGGAACAGAACAGAGGCCTCAGAAATAACACCACACATCTACAACCATCTGATCTTTGACAAACCTGACAAAAACAAGCAATGGGAAAAGGATTCCCTATTTAATAAATGGTGCTGGGAAAACTGGCTAGCCATATGCAGAAAACTGAAACTGGATCCGTTCCTTACACCTTACATGAAAATTAACTCAAGATGGATTAAAAATCTAAATGTAAGACCTAAAAACTCTAGAAGAAAACCTAGGCAATACCATTCAGGACATAGGCATGGGCAAAGATTTCATGACCAAAACACCAAAAGCAATGGCAACAAAGCCAAAATTGATAAATGGGATCTAATTAAACTAAAGAGCTTCTGCACAGCAAAAGAAACTATCATGAAAGTGAACAGGCAGCCTACAGAATGGGAGAACATTTTTGCAATCTATCCATCTGACAAAGGGCTAATATCCAGAATCTATAAACAACTGAAACAAATTTACAAGAAAAAAAAACCCATCAAAAAAGTGGGCAAAAGATATGAACAGACACTTCCCAAAAGAAGACATTTATGCAGCCAACAGACATATGAAAAAATGCTCATCATCAGTGGTCATCAGAGAAATGCAAATCAAAACCACAATGAGATACCATCTCATACCAGTTAGAATGGCAATCATTAAAAAGTCAGGAAACAACAGATGCTGGAGAGGATGTGGAGAAATAGGAATGCTTTTACACTGTTAGGAGTGTAAATTAGTTCAACCATTGTGGAAGACAGTGTGGAGATTCTTCAACGATCTAGAACTAGAAATACCATTTGACCCAGCCATCCCATGACTGGGTATATACCCAAAGGGTTATAAATCATGCTGCTATAAAGACACATGCACATGTATGTTTACTGCGGCACTATTCACAATAGCAAAGACTTGGAACCAACTCAAATGTCCATCGATAATAGACTGGATAAAGAAAATGTGGCACATATACACCATGGAATACTATGCAGCCATAAAAAAGGATGAGTTCATGGGATGAAGCTGGAAACCATCATTCTCAGCAAACTATCACAAGGACAGAAAACCAAACACCGCATGTTCTCACTCATAAGTGGGAGTTGAACAACGAGAACACATGGACACAGGGAGGGGAACATAACACACGGGGGCCTGTTGGGGGGTGGGGGGCTGGCGGAGAGATAGCATTAGGAGAAATACCTAATGTAAATGACAAGTTGATGGGTGCAGCAAACCAACATGGCACATGTCTACGTATGTAACCTGCATGTTGTGCACATGTACCCTAGAACTTAAAGTATAATTAAAAAAAAAATTCATGTTATGCCAAGCTGTGCAGAAAAGAGTTCACAGCAGGCCTGGCTGCTTATCCTTAGAAAGGCCTGCTTAGTTTGGCCCTTGTCTGGAGACTGGGAACTTAGATTTTGGGAAGCCTCCCACTCCCTACTCCCTTAATAATAGTGACTGACTGTGCCTAACACTGTTTATGCTGAACACCTGTTTTCCTACTGGGAGTCTAGAATTTGGGTATGTGTCAGAAAGGGAATTGCCTACATGATCAGTCCCTAATAAAAGCCCTGGGCACTGAGTCTCTAATGAGCTTCCCTGGTTGGCAATGTTTCACATGTGTTATCAATAATTCATGCTGGGAAAATTAATTGTGTCCTGTGTTATTCTACTGGCAGAAGACTCCAGAAGCCTGGCCCTGGTTTACCCCATTCTCTGCCTAATGCACCTTTCTCCTTGCTGATTTTGCTCTATATCCTTTCACTGTAATACATCATAGCCATGAATAAGACTAGATGCTGAGTCCTGTGAGATTTCCTAGTGAATCATCAAACCTGAGGGTGTTCTTGGGGACACAGGTTTGGATACCAATGTTTACTGGTGTTTGCTTTCATATATAGTGAGTGAGGATTTATTTACTAGCTATGTTGTGTCCTGTTGCTTGCCTACATGTACCACTACTTATTATTAGCAGTATAGTTCTTTTTAGCTGTTATATTTTATGCTTTTTAAAAGGTTATCACATTACCATGTAACTAGAATGTATTATTTCCAACTGGGTTCTTACGTACTGTATTTACATGAATTAAGTATTTTTCCTACAAAAGCACTTTAAAATCTTTGAATACATGTATGATTTAAATAATAATAGCTAACACATAGCAATTACACATGTCAGACACTGATCTAAGTGCTTTGTAAATATTAACTCATGTAATCCTCACAATTCTTATGAAGTACAATTGGTACTCTCAGTCCCTTACACTTAGAGTACAGGTGAGGATAGTATAGATGACAAAAGCTCAATTACCTTGATGATGAAACTCAATTACCTTGACCAAGAAAACAGCTGGGAGGCAGCAGAACTTGGATCTGAACCCAGAGAATCTGGTCTGGCTTCAGAATCTCTGTTCCTAACTATTGTGTTATACTGACACTAAAAAAATGTACTGCCCCTTCCCCCAGTTTCCTGGACTACAACTTATACACCTCTCCATGTGTTATATGCTGCAAAAGTAAGAATAGGTGATTTCTGAACTCAGATCTGTTTAGCTCCAGGCTCAAGTGTTCTGAAAACCTGGCCTTACTGCCTCCCTTAAGTACATCAGGCCACACCGGGACAATGGGACAAAAGGGATCAACTAAGACTTACTCAGAGAAACCAAAACATACAGTAATCCTAGTTACAACACACTTTTCTACTCCTGAGTTATAGTCTCTCCTCTGGCAACAGTTCCTGTCTGAAAAAAATCTTTGAGGAAATAAGTCTTATAGCCTGGAAAAAGGCCAATCAGATGCTAGCTGGTTAAGTGGAAAATTTAAGTTTCACATGTCAAAATGGTCAGGAGAAATAGATACTGTGGTATCTAGTATTCACAGCAAATCCTAAAAACACTGTCATGAATTTAAAAATCAATGCCACAGAATATCAGATGATTTGAACTTACTTCTCTAGTTGAGGATTTGTGTAAGGAATATACTGCTGTTCTTGCCATTTCCAAAGCAGTCTTTAGAAAAGCCATATCTGTCCCTGTGAAGAGTAGAAAAAAAGCTCCTATTTACCTCTTCTCAAAACAGAAGATTAAGTTAGTAGGATTTAGAAATATTTTCTTCCAAACTTCAAAATAGCCACCTTGAAATCTTTTAGCAATAAGGGTACAAATAAACTATCAAAATATTATTTTAAGGCTGGTAGAATAAAACCAGAATTATACTGTCTTGGTTAAATAAGGATAAAGTAAAAATTTTAATATTATATTCCAACATTAATGACTTCAAAAAGGGGAGAAGGAAATGCATAGAGTACTATTCAGAATCATCTTGGTGGGGGCAGGGTACTTTTTAAACTATGCATGTCTTTTTTTTTTTTGTTTCGCTCTTGTTGCCCAGGCTGGAGTGCAATAGCATGATCTCAGCTCACCGCAACCTCCGCCTCCCGGATTCAAGTGATTCTCCTGCCTCAGCCTCCCTAGTGGCTGGGATTACAGGCATGTGCCACCATGCCTGGCTCATTTTGTATTTTTAGTAGAGACGGGGTTTCTCCATGTTGGTCAGGCTGGTCTCAAACTCCCGACCTCAGGTAATCCACCCACCTCAGCCTCCAAAGTGCTGGGATTATAGGCGTGAGCCACCACGCCCGGCCAAACTATGCATGTCTTTTCCTACCCTCACTGACTTCCTAACCTCCTTGCCCACAGTACACACAAAATTAACAGCCACGGTGAGTCACTGTTACTGATGGGCACATGTAGAAACCCTTGGGTCTGTTAAGACATTAAAAAACAGATTCTGAAAGTATAAAATTCTTTCTATGTTTCGTATTCATTCATAAGGGTTAGGCAAATTATTCCTGAAAGCAAATGGGAGATATACAATAAATGACATGACTATCTTTGTTTACTTAATACAAATTTGTAAAAATGAAAGTTGAAAAACTCAGTTTCTTAGCCATGCATTAAACAAATTGAAATGTAAATTATAAGAACTATACAAATAAGAGATTGGTTTACTTAATGAAGAGTAATAACATCACTTAGCCTTGGTTTATTTAATGAAGAGTGATAAAATCACTTAGCCCAAACAGTGATAAAAATGGTTTTTATTTTTGTTTAATTTTTTCTAGACAGGGTCTTGCTGTTACCAAGGCTGGAGTGCAGTGGCACATTCATGGCTCATCGCAGCCCCGAATACCTGAGCTCAGGTGATCCTCCCACCTCAACCTTCTGAGTAGCTAGGACTATAGGTGCACCACCACACTTGGGAAATTAAAATTTGTGTGTGTGTGTGTGTGTGTGTGGGTAGAGGCAGGGTCTAACTATGTTGCCCGGGATGGCTACCAATTCCTGGCCCCAAATGATCCTCCTGTATCAGCCTCGCAAAGCACTGGCATTACACGCCTGAGCCACTGCGCCTGGCCTTAAAAATGGTTTTAAAATCTTTTCTATAAATATACCAATATACCCGATTCTTGTTACAAACCTTTATTATTTTTGGTCCCAAAGGGAGGATTCATAATTACTGTATCGAATGACTTGGACATTCTGTTAGATAATAAGCACACATCACATTGAACCATGTCAATATTTGTTAACTCAAACTCTTCTGCATTCCTATTAAATATTTCCAATGCGTCTTCATCTATGTCAAATCCAACACACAACCTATAAATACAAAACACATACAAAGAGTGGCGACTTATAGCTCCCAAGTAAAAACAAAACCAAAATTAGCTGTTTTTTTTTTAAACCATATATCTTTTTAACCCAATTAGCAAAGTAAGAGTGAGTGTTTTCTTCTTTTTTTTTTTCTTTTTTCAGACAGGATCTTGCTGTGCCACCCAGGTGAGTGTAGTGGTGCCATCTTGCACTGCTCAAGCAATCCTCCCACCTCAGCCTCCCAAGTAGCTGGGACCACAGGCGCACACCACCACATCCAGCTAATTTTTGTATTTTTTGTAGACATGGGATTTCACCATGTTGCCCAGGCTGGTCTCAAACTCCTGGGCTCAAGTAATCTGTCCACCTTGGCCTCCCAAAGTGTTGGGATTACAGGCATGAGCCACTGTGCCCAGTCAAGTGTAACAGCATAATTTCCAAACCCGGCAGGGGTTGGAAACTCAGGTTTGTATAAAAGGAACTGCTGCTTTCACCATTTTTATTTAATTTTTGTAGTTTGTTTAGATCTTCTGCCCATTCAAAATGTATTCAGTATCAGATTTTTGCTCCCTATATCTCATTCTGTGGAGTCTCATAAATATAATTCAGTTAATCCCATTGATGCTCCTTATTAAAGCCACCCAATACCCAAATAGCATATATTGCATTACGTACCCTGCTCCTAACATTGCAGTTCCGATGCTAAGTACTCCACAACCACATCCTAGATCTGCAACGACTTTATTTTCAATGTCATCATAAGTGTTATGGATTGTATAGAGCATACATGCTAAAAAATAAAAAAAAAAAGAATAAGTAAGCAAGCCGGTGACTAAAATCTAATTTGTGCAAATGACTCTTTCTAAAATAATTTCTTGTGTTGCATTACTTAGTCCTCCCCAAATGCCATTCCAGATTATTTTTGTAAAAGATAAGGGGTAATGATTTGGTATGTAGTAAGAGGCACCATAAAGGAAGCTAATACCCACCAGTGTTTCTCAAAAAATAGTCTCTGCTAGCAATGCCAAGAATGACAAAACTGTGCCCAGTCTCTGAGGTAAAATAAAAAAAAGTCAAAACGTTTAGTTTTTCCTCAGCTTGTTAAAAACATTGCCATATACTCATATCGGTTCTTTCTTTGATGCTGAAATATTTTTAAGAAAGAATGGTAAGAGTAAATAGTTTTTAAAAAAATCCTTTTTTGTCAACATAAATTTGGCAACTCTATCAATTTCCAAAATTGTTTTGAAATTTTACTTATCTGTGAAATCTATAAGACTAGGAACCACTATCAAACAAGCATTAGCATCACAAAGACATAGAATCTTTTTTTTTCTTTTTTTTTTAAACACAGGTTCTCACTATATTGCCCACGCTGCTCTCGAACTCCAGGGCTCAAGTGATCCTCCCGCCCCGGCTTTCCAAAGTGTTGGGATTACAGACATGAGCCACTGTGCCTAGCCACAGAACTTTGTTTTAACAAGTTTGTCACCAGAACACAAGCACCATAAGCTCCACAATGTAGCCTTTAGACACATATACTCATGATCTACAGACATATATATTCATAATCTACAAATGAGACCTGATAATAGAACTACTGGGTGTTAGATACACACTGAAGGTCAAACATGAATACCACCACCACCGATATTTCCCTGAAGATATCTGAACCCAGCAAGGACTGTTGGCCACTGATTCCTGCGGATCCAGAAGTTTTTTGTTGTTTTTTTTCAGAGACAGGGTCTATCTCTATCACCCAGGCTGGGGTGCAGTGGCGGATCAGAGCTCACTGCAGCCTGAAATTCCAGGGCTCAAGCAATTCTCCTGCCTTAGTATCAGCAGCTGGGACTATAGGCACATACTACCACACTAGGCTAATTTTTTTTTTTTAAGAGCTGGGGTCTCACTGTATTGCCCAGGCTGATCTTGAACTCCTGGGCTCGTCATCCTCTTGCCTTGGCCTCCCAAAGTGCTGGGATTATAGGGGTGAGTCACTGTACTTGGCCAGATTGTTATTATTTTTTAAACTGGATTCCACTAAAAAAACCTACAGTCAGAAGACTAGTAAGTCATTATTTGAGAAAACTGGTCTTAACCTAGACACAGTAGTTTTGTGTGAATTTTTGGTTGGAATCATGACAGTATCTTGGAGTTAAGTGTAAATACACATGTATTCTCCTTGACTTTCATTGACAACTTAGAAACAACTATTTTGGAACTGGAAAAAACTCCTTGCAGGTACTCTCAGAAAATTAATTTTCCTAAGGAGCCAGCCTCAGTGGCTCATGCCTGTAATCTCAGCACTTCTTGAGGCCCCAGTGGGAAGATCGCTTCAGCCCAGGAGTCTGAGACCATCTTGGGCAACATAGCAAGACGCTGTCTCTACAAAAAATAAAAAATATTAGCCAGGCATGACGGTGCATGCCTGTAGTCCCAGCTACTCGGGAGGCTTAGGTAGGAGGATCACTTGAGTCCTGGAGGTCAAGGCTGCAGTTGCCGTGATCATGCCACTGCACTCCAGCCTGGGTGACAGAGTGAGACCCTTATCTCAAAAAATAATAATAATAAAATTTTTTTCCCCTAAGGTTTCCCAATGACTTCGGTAACATAAATATATGTTGTCCTGTATTCTCTCTTGTACTCCCAGTATCAATATCTGGCATGAAGCAACAATGCTAATGCTCAGAAAATCTGTTAAAATATGCATGCTCATCTTTACACAGCACATACTCTGATTTTGTTAAACTATCATTCCACTATCAACTCTGGTATTCATTTCTAGGGCAGAGTATATAGCACAAGAATCCTTGCGTAGGCAATTAGTAGCAATGGGAAACTGATCCTTATTTAGTAAATGTTTACTGAGCTCCTAAATAGTACCAGCGACTCTTCTGGGCACTGGGAATTCAAGTATGAACAAGTCTAACAAATTCCTTGTCCTCAGAGATTGTAATGTGAGAAGAGAAAAAAACACATTAAAAAGATGTCTGGCAGTGTTAAGGGATATGCAGAAAACTAGACAGTAAAATGATAGTGTGTATGTCTGTGGAGGGTGTGCCTTGAGCTGCAGTGTCAAGGAAGGCCTCTCTAACGCGACAGGTGATCTTAGGGCAGAATTTCTCTAGACATTCTCTGTATCCAAATAACTGTTCTATTTTTATCACAGAGTAGACTGGACTAACGCCGAAAGCCGGGGCGTGGTGAACCAGCCGCCCTACCTGCAATGTGCGGCCTGGTAGGATACTGTTCCAGAAGTAGCTTGGGCTTTTCAAATCCATCCACTTGTTGCAGGCGACTCTCTAGTTCCTTAAGCCTTACTTTCTTCATTTTGTTTTAAAGTATGGACTCGTAGGGTTTGAAGGCACAGGATCTGCGGAGAAATCTATTGAACTGGGATCTTGTTTCCTCCCTACCCCCAACCTTCTCCCTTTTTCAGCACCGCTGGCCGGACCCGAAGACGCGCCCTAAGGAGACGCCCGGACGCAGGGCACGGGGCGAGCCTCTGACCCACCTCCCGGCTAACCCAAGCCGCCCCAGGAGACGGCGGCGGCGCACTGCTGGAGCAGCCTCAGGATCCCTCGCGCCACGACCACGCACCTCTGGAGGCGACCCGCACCTCGGCCGGTGCCGGAAGCGCCAGGCCGCACGCGCGCACGCGTTCGCCGCCCAGCGGCCCGGCGCCGAGCTGCAGCGTTTATCTTGAGCCGGGGTTCCGCTGGCCACCTGGGGGCCTCATTGCCCCATCCCCTCCGCCTGCAAAGCCTGCGCTACTTGCTGACCCACCGCCAGTCCTCGCCGCCTGTCGCGTGCTCATTACCCTCTAGTTTGCCATGAGTACCTGCGGGCCCTCAAAGGATGGGGAAAGACAGAGTGAAAGGGATGCGGGAGAGAAAGTCACAGTCACTTTGTTGTATGGCCCAGAGTGACTCTTCTTGTTTCCCAAGTCTCGGCTCAAAAAGTAGCGATCTCCATTCACCTTTACCTCCTTCTCCATTCTCATGCCTTATTTTATTGTAACTTTGTTTCCCAATTTTTAGGTCATTTGTGTCACTTGCAATTCTCACAGGAGTGGTGATGTCAAAGAAACCCAAAGAAGAGATAGTGGAGAGGCAGGGCGCGGCGGCTCACGCCTGTAATCCCAGCACTTTGGGAGGCCGAGGTGGGTGGATCACGAGGTCAGGAGATTGAGACCATCCTGGCTAACACGGTGAAACCCTGTCCCTACTAAAATTACAAAAAAATTAGCCGGGCTTGGTGGCGGGCGCCTGTAGTCCCAGTTACTCGGGAGGCTGAGGCAGGAGAATGGCGTGAACCCGGAAGGCGGAGCTTGTAGTGAGCCGAGATCAAGCTACTGCACTCCAGCCTGGGAGACAGAGCGAGACTCCGTCTCAAAAAAAAAAAGACAGTGGAAATGAAAATAAAAGAATAGGTAGTGGTGTCAAATACTGGAAAGAGGTCGGGCTTCATAAAGTAGGAGCAGAAATTAAGTTGTAGCAGATTGTGGAGCGAATGGAAATTTAGGAAGAAGAAAGAGTAAATGTGAACAATTAAACGTGGCCCCGGAAGCGGTGGCTCACCCCTGTGATCCCAACATTTTGGGAGGCCGAGATGGGCGGATTGCTTGAGACGGGAGTTTGAGACCAGCCTGGGCAACATAAGGAGACCCTGTCTCTACTAAAAATACAAAAATTAGCTGGGTCTGATGACGCGAGCCTGTGGTCCCAGCTGCTCGGGTGGCTGGGGTGGGAAAATCGCTTGAGCCCGGGAGGCAAAGCTTCCAGTGATCTGAAATTGCGCCACTGCACTCCAGTCTGGTCGACAGTGAGACCCTGTCTCAAAAAAAAAAAAAAAAAAAAGAAAGAAGAAAAGAAAGAGAAAGAGAAAGGTGGCCTACGAAAAGAATGGTTGGATGCTTAGTAATGGGGGAAGCTTTATTATTTTTTCAATTATTTTTAAGACAGGAGGAGACAAATTCTGACAAGAATTGAGCTAATAGAAAGAGAGGGGTTAAAAATGCAAGAGGATATTGGATGGAGTTGGGATCCTGAGAAGGCAGGATCCAGTGGTTAAGTAAAAGGATTGCAGGATTGCGTTTAAGCCTGTGGATGGACACCTCTTTGCATTATTATAGGAAGAAGAAAAAGAGTGAATGGACGATGACGAAGTAGAGAAGTGTCTGAGGCTGCTACTTCTAGGAATAGCAGAATTCAAAGTTATCTGTTATGAGAATCAAATGAGTTAAAACATACAAAGTTTTAGCATGTAAAGTTAATACATAAAGTTTTATTTAGTTTATAATTTAGTGATTCGTAAAATTATTGAGCAAATTTAACTTATCACTGTTATATGATGATCGTGACATACTTAACTCATGTAGAAGACCAGGAATAACCTGTTTTAATTATGTTTCATTCATTTCAAACACAAGGTTATGGATTGGAAACACTCCTGTTCTTCTTTGTTGTTGTTGTTGTTGTTGTTGTTTTTAGAGACGGAGTCTCGCTTTGTCACCCAGGCTGGAGTGCAGTGGCGCGATCTCGGCTCACTACAACCCCCGCCTCCTGGGTTCAAGTGATTCTCCTGCCTCAGCCTCCGGAGTAGCTGGGATTACAGGCGTGCGCCACCATGCCCGGCTAATTTTTGTATTTTTAGTAGAGACAGGGTTTCACCATGTCAGCCAGGCTGATCTCAAACTCCTCACCTCAAGTAATCCGCCTGCCTCGGCCTCCCAAAGTGCTGGGATTACAGGCGTGAGCCACCGCGCCTGGCCTTCTGTTCTTCTTTGGATTGCTTTTCCTACAGTTTTTGTTTTCCTTAAGTTGGGGTTTCATTCTGTCGCCCGCTGGACTTTGATAACAGTAGGAATGTACATCTCAGACAAAATGCAGATGCCTAAAGTACATCTGAAAGATGATGTGAATAATTCCTGTAGTCTATGCAAATAAAGAAATAATTGCCCTTATTAAAGATTTCCTATAAGGTGAGTACTTTATTTCAGTAGCTCTTAACTTAGAAAGTTGGGAGCCTAGCTTGGTCCACAGGCGCCCAGGAGAGAGGGGCGGGAGGAAGGCTCTGCAGCCCGAGGGGGCGTGTGTAGGGGCGGGGCTGCGGGCGGAGGAGCGCGGACGCTCCGGGTATCGCGAGAGTTGGGCGGGCCGAGCAATCGCAGCAGTCTATTCCCTCACTCTCCCTGGAGGAGCCGCTGGCCCTGGACTCTCCAAATTCTGAGCTCTCATCATGGCGGCGGCGGCCGCGGCGGCCGTCGGGGGCCAGCAGCCGTCACAGCCCGAGCTGCCCGCGCCGGGGCTGGCCCTAGACAAGGCGGCCACCGCCGCGCACCTCAAGGCGGCCCTCAGCCGGCCGGACAACCGCGCAGGTGCTGAGGAGCTGCAGGCGCTGCTGGAGCGGGTGCTGAGCGCCGAGCGGCCGCTGGCCGCGGCTGCCGGCGGCGAGGACGCGGCGGCGGCCGGAGGCGGGGGCGGTCCGGGGGCGGCCGAGGAGGAGGCCCTGGAGTGGTGTAAGTGCCTTCTGGCGGGCGGCGGCGGCTACGACGAGTTCTGCGCGGCGGTGCGGGCCTACGATCCCGCGGCGCTCTGCGGCCTGGTCTGGACAGCCAACTTCGTGGCCTACCGCTGCCGGACGTGCGGCATCTCGCCCTGCATGTCGCTGTGCGCCGAGTGCTTCCACCAGGGCGACCACACCGGACACGACTTCAACATGTTCCGCAGCCAGGCCGGGGGCGCCTGCGACTGCGGGGACAGCAACGTGATGCGGGAGAGCGGGTGAGTGGAGCCCTCCCCGCGGGCGAGGCGACCCTGGGCCGGGGACGTCGCGGGAGGGCCTGGAGCGGAGCACTGGGAGCCCACTCTGAGCTGTCAAGGGGAGGGTGCGGGGGAGGGTGCAGCCACAGGGGGATGGAGGTGACTGAGCTGTCAGCGGTGGAAAGGGGGTGGGGAGGAGAAGGAGGGGAGAGGAGAGCGGAGAGCATGTTTAGGAAACCGGGCTGTGAATTTTGGGGAAGCCAGGGTGGGTAAATGATAGCGAGAAAAGAGCCAGTGTATGGGGTAGGAGGGGAGTGAGGGGAAATGATTTTTGGGGAAGCTCGTGTCGAGCTGTCAAGTGTGTACTTGTTGGGAAAGGCTGTAAAGCCTGGTTCTTGGGAAGAGACTTAGGTTGTGATTTGGATTGGCTGGGAGGGGATGTTATTGGGGACCGTATTGGCTCGCGGGATGATGAGAGCTGGGGAGGTGGTCTTGTACGTGCAGGGAAGGACGCTTGAGGAAAAGGTCTTCTGAACTGCCAGTGTGTCTGTCACTGTGAGAGAAGGAGCTCTTGAGGGTTGAGGGAGGAGGGAAGGGGAGGGGCCTGCATGAAAAGTGACTGTTGAGCTGTCAGTGGATTATTTGGTATGCTGGAATGACATTTAGAATTGGGCTACTGAGCAGTCAGTTACAGAATACCCTCCATACCAGGAGAACAAACAAAATACTGAGCGAACCAGGAATCAAGTGTTAGGTCTTCTCCAGTTAAGGGCACTTTGTTCACTCACTGATACGTGAACCTCTGTCTAAAAGGAGACAACAAATGCCCTTTTGACAGAAGCGATGCATCAGATGTTGGGACTTATGAGAAAAGACATTTCAGAGTTTGCAGTGAGTTACAGAGAGTTGGTACATGTAGGGTCGTGGCTTGGAACATGATGTCAATGTCAGGGACAGTCTGAGAAAAAAGGAAAAAGTGAAAGGGGCGATTTTGGATGGGCAGTAGTTGAAAGAATATTAGCAACTACAGGTTGCTATCAGTTATTAAACTTCTTCAATTTTCAGGTCTTAGGATTAATGACAGAGTACAATCTTTTTATAAATGGTCACCTTTTTCTTCGGAGTACTTGTAAGGTTACTGTTACTCCAAAATGTTTGTACCTACTATGTGCAAGCAAGGCTTCTTGGATATTAAAAATGAATGAAACATTGACCAACCCCTTACTCTACTTGCACTGGAGTAGAAAGTAATAAATTCCTTAAACAATAACTTGGTAGCTAGAGGAGGGAGATGAGGTTTCTGTGCAGAGGGAGTAAGAAAAAGTCTTCAGAAAGGAGGTATTTTGAATTTGCTAATAATAATAACAACATAATTGCAGCTAACATTTGAGTTTTTTTTTTTTTTTTTTGAGACGGAGTTTCTCTCTTGTTGCCCAAGCTGGAGTGCAATGGCGCGACCTCGGCTCACTGAAACCTCCGCCCCCTGGGTTCAAGCGATTCTCCTGCCTCAGCCTCCCAAGTAGCTGGGATTACAGTCATGCACTACCACGCCTGGCTAATTTTGTATTTTTTTAGTAGAGACAGGGTTTCTCCATGTCGGTCAGGCTAGTCCCGAACTCCCGACCTCAGGTGATCCGCCCGCGTCGGCCTCCCAAGTGCTGGGATTACAGGCGTGAGCCACCGCGCCCGGCCAACATTTGAGTTCTTGAACTGTATGTCTGATACTTTAAAAGTACTTTTTAAAATTTAATATTTGAATAGGTAAAATATATAGCTAAAAAGTACACACACACACACACACACACACACACACACACACACACGGAAGTTTTTCTCACATCTAGTCTTCTATCTGTCCAGTTCCTTCCCGCTTAGTTTCTCTTGGTGCAGAACAAGCAAAGATGTTTCCTAGTTTTTCAGTCTCTTTTTATGCAAAGGGTTACATACTTTCCACTGTTCTACATCTTGCATTTTTTGGTTATCTTAGATGTATTTTTCCTATTAAAAAATCAGTGTCGTCATTCTATTTTTTTAAAAAAACTGCTGCATAGTGTTCCATGTTTTCAATTTGCCATTCTTTAATTTCTTTTTTTATTTTTATTTTTATTTTTTGTGCGTGTGAATTTGCCATTCTTGATTTAATGTCTCTTCATGGGCATTTGGCTTTCCAGTATAAAATTAAAAACGTGGTGTATCTGTCTTTTCCCCACCTGGTCAAGAGAGTCAGTGGGATAAATTCTCAAAAGTGTGATTTCCAAATTGCCCTCCCTAAGGCTTAGTACTAATTACTCTGTGAGACTGCCTGTTTTCCAACAGCCTCATCAACAGAGTAGTAGTAAAATTTTGGACTTTTATCTATTTGGTTAAAAGTGGCCAAATTCTAGCTGTTTTATGTGATTTAACTTATTTATTCTTTGACTCTGAGATTATTACTTTTATTATTCTCATTGTACAGAAGAGGAAAGTAGGGCAGAGTTAAAAACCTTGCTCAAGTTCACACAGGCAGTAAGCTAGGCATGCTGGCTCCAGGGCTCTGGAGCCAGACTAATCAACCATTTCTCTTTACTGCCCCTACTAAATAGCATTCTTACTGGTTTTTCTTTTCAATTCTATGTTTTATCTTTTTTTTTTTCCTTAATATGCTATTCTTATTTGGGCCTTTGTTTCTTTCTTTTTAAACTTTTTTTGTTTGTTTTGTTTTAAAGAGGCACATCAAAACAGGAGTTGGAGCAATCCTTTACTGATATTTAGACATTTTTACTTCTTGGACTGGGTTAGCATTTAGGAAAGCCTCCAGAGAACCTGAAGGTAGGAAATAACACTGATTCTTTCCTGACTTTTGGAATACAGTGGTAATTATCAGGTTGTCGTGGATGAGATGGAAGTCTGATCGCTTGTGATGCTTCAGTGTACTACCAGAAATATGTCAGTGAGTTTCTTTGAAGGTATTCATACAGTTTTAGGGCATCCAGGCTATAGACAGTCAACATCCTAACCTCATGGTATTTGCTTTTACTGGTGTCTCATAGGTAAGTATTATTTTCCCAGTCTGGCAACCCTCTATGAGTTGGTACATTATATATATATATATATATATTTTTTTTTTTTTTTTTTTTTTTTTTTTGAGAGAGAGAGTTTTGCTCTTGTTGCCCAGGCTGGATTGCAGTGGCACGATCTTGGCTCACCGCAACCTCTGCCTCCCGGGTTCAAGTGATTCTCTACCTCAGCCTTCCAAATAGCTGGGATTACAGGGATGCGCCACCACACCCGGCTAATTTTTTTTTTTTCTTGTGTTTTTAGTAAAGACAGGGTTTCTCCATGTTGGTCAGGCTGGTCTTGAACTCCTGACCTTAGGTGATCCACCCGCCTCGGCCTCCCAAAGTGCTGGGATTACAGGCATGAGCCACCACACCCGGCCGGATACATAATATTTAAAGATTTATTATTATCTTTGTCTGAAACCAGAGCTATTGCCTGTATGTGTCAGCAGTTGCCATGTCCAGTTTCATAAAGGGCAAGATTGAACAATAAACAGTATTGTGGCCATGCAATTACTCTGAATTTTTTCTAACTGCTTGGATTGGATAGAGTAATTTTCCTGGGCTATACAGCTAATTTACTGCCTCAAGAGAAATAGGTGATGTTGACCAGCTCTGCAACCTAAAAGACTGCCTCTGGAACCTTTTTAGAACTGGAAATCATCAACAGCTTGTAACAGTGTTCTCATGGGCAAAGCTGGACTACACTGGCATGAACAGAATGTTTGAACTTTTCTAAGTTTTTGGTATTTTAAAAACCCCTTTAGATTGCCAAAGATTGAATGTGTGTTGATTTTGGGGTTTTTATTCTAACTGCCATAAGTTTGTAAATTTCATGGTTTAGTCACTTTTAGAGGAAGGATTCCTTTTTTTCAGCTGTATTTGTGCTCTTAGTAAATGAGAATAAATCTTTCTGTGCCATAATCCTTTTCACCAGTGTCTGACTGTTGCCTGTAGGATGTTCTTGATTGGAGATGGAGAAGAATCTTGAATCTATCACAGCTGTATTTATATTTAATTTTCAAATTAGCAATTATAGAACTGTGGGGAGGATTTAGTTATTTTTGACTGAGTAGTATTGATATAATCAATGTGGCAGTATTAGCAGATATACAAACCAAAGGAAGAAAACAATTGAGGATTCATTTGTGGGATGAAATCACAAAGGCTATGGAAATTGTGTGCTAATAACTGTATGTGGCTGGGCGCGGTGGCTCACGCCTGCAATCCCAGCACTTTGGGAGGCCGAGGTGGGCAGATCACGAAGTCAGGAGATTGAGATCATCCTGGCTAACATGGTGAAACCCCGTCTCTACTAAAAATACAAAAAATTAGTCAGGCGTGGTGGTGGGTGCCTGTAGTCCCAGCTACTCGGGAGGCTGAGGCAGGAGAATGGCGTGAACCCGGGAGGCGGAGCTTGGAGTGAGCTTGGAGTGAGCTTGGAGTGAGATCCCGCCACTGCACTCCAGCCTGGGCGACAGAGCGTGACTCTGTCTCAGGAAAAAAAACAAAAAAACTGTATGTATAACTACAGTTTTGCCACTAGTGAGTAAGTGCAGTCATTGTCAGAAATGCTTTATGGGGGCCGGGCGTGGTGGCTCACACCTGTAATCCCAGCACTTTGGGAGGCCGAGGCAGGCGGATCACCTTAAGTCGGGAGTTCAAGACCAGCCTGACCACATGGAGAAACCCCATCTCTACTAAAAATACAAAATTATCTGGGCATGATGGTGCATGCCTGTAATCCCAGCTACTCTGGAGGCTGAGACAGGAGAATTGCTTGAACCCAGGAGGCGGAGGTTACAGTGAGCCAAGATCATGCCATTGCACTCCAGCCTGGGCAACAAGAGTGAAACTCCATCTGGAAAAAAAAAAAATGCTTTATGGGTGGATGAACTCAAAACAAAATAACCTGTAATGGAAAGTCTAAAATACACTCGTTCCTCAGTATATGGTATACATAGGAGACTGGTTCCAGAATACCCACCTCCCACCCACTCTTCAGGGTATACTGAAATGCTGCTTATATGAAAAGTCTGCCCTTCATGTATGTGAGTGTCAGATCCCATGAATTCTGCATTTTTGATCCATGTTTAGTTAAAAAAATCCTTGTATAAGTGGACCCTTGTAGTTCAAACTAGTGTTGTTCAAGGGTCAACTGTAATGTCTGACTAGCTGGTTTTGGGCTCTGATGGGATACTAACTGGAAACTGGGATTTTAAACATTTAGTTCTCAAATTTTGGTGCAGAGAATGAGGAGTTTCATGTTCTGTCCTATATTACAGATATTTTTGTCTCCTTGCTTGTTCTTCCTCACATATTCTAAGCTCCTTAAAAGATAAGGACCACATTTTGCTATTAGCCAGAGGCCAGCACCTACTAAGTCTCTTGTACTTAGGAGGTGTCAGTAATTTTGAATTAAATTGGATAAAAAAGTGGCTGCTATACCCAAAAAGTTACTGTAAGATTACATTGCTTTAGTTACTCATGAGGTGGCATTGATTATTAAATCCATAGCAGCTTTTTTCAGAGTGCTTTCATTCTTTTTTTAGTTTCAGAAGTAATACACATTGATTATAACATAAAAATAAGTGGATAAAGTAAAAAGTAAAGGTGCCTTTCTCCATCCTACCCCTCAGTAAGAAATTTCCTTTTCTTTTAAGGTTACTTATGTGTTTAAAAGAGATTAGTTATAATTTATCCAGCATTTCTAGATTTTTTTTTTTTTTAGTGACAGGTTCTCGCAGTGTCTCCCAGGCTGGAGTGCAGTGGTGTGATATCACAGCTCACTGCAGCCTCTACCTCCCAGGCTCAAGTGATCTCCCACCTCACCCTCCCAAGTAGCTGTGACTGTAGGCGCACACCACCACACACAGCTAAATTTCTTTTTGTATTTTTTGTAGAGATGGTATTTCACCATGTTGGCCAGGCTGGTCTTGAACTCCTGGCTTCAAGCAGTCTACCTGCCTCAGCCTCCCAAAGAGCTGGGATTATAGGCGTGAGCCACAGTGTGGTGCCTGGCCTGTGTTGTGGGAGGTTTTTAGGTTTTCTGATCTGTGGTAGCCAGAAATTGAACCACGTGAATGTCTGGTTGAATAGTGTTACTCTCTTCAGTAGCTTGCTTTTTTCCCCTTAACATATTTATGGATACTATCTCAAAAGTAGAACTGCTTCATTTTTAAAGTTAAATAGTATTTCATTGTATTTCCATGTTTTTGTAATGTACTATGATTTTTGCGGTCAGTCCCTACTGATAGACATTTAAATTGTTTCCAGACTTGGGCTGTTGTAAACATTGTTGCAGTCAGTATTCTTGTATACACTTGTTCATATGTGTGTGAGCTTATGTATGAGGATACATTCCTAGAAGTTATATCTTGGTTGAAGGAAATTTGCAAATTCAACTTTGATAGAACCCTCCAAAGAAATTAATTTACATTCCTGCCAACAATGTATGAAACAATTTGTTTCCCCATATTCTGGCAGTATATATGGTGGTATCAGTGTTTCTGATCTTTGCTGCTCTCATAAGTGAAAAGTTATATCCCATTTCATCTGTTATCTCCCTGTCCCACTGCTTTTTCGTCCCAGCCAGGACTATTTTGAAGCAAATATCAGATACCTTATAATTTAATTTAAAAATATTTGAGTATGCATCTCAGTAAAGAGATGTGAACTCTAAAACATAACTCAAATGTCCATCAGCAGATGAATGGGTAAGCAATATGTGGAATATACGTACAATGGAATATTTAACCTTAAAAAGTAATAAAATTCTGACACATTAGAATGTTACAATGTAGATAAACCTTGAAGACCTTATGCCAAATGAAATAGGCCCAGCACAAAAGAACAAATGCTTGTATGCTTCGGTCTATATGAAGTGCCCGGAATAGTCAAATTCATACAGACAGAAAGTAGAATAGTGATTATCAGAGGCCAAGGGAAGGGGAGATTGGGGAGTTATTTTTTTAACAGGTACAGAGTTTCAGTTTGGGAAGATGAAAAAGTCCTTGAGATCGATGGTTGTGATGGTTGCAAAACAATGTGAATGTACTTAATGCCACTAAAACTGTACACTTAAGATGTTTTAAATGGTAAATTTTATGTTATTTATATTTTACCACAATTAAAAAATAATGTCAGGTATGGTGGCTCGCACCTGTAGTCCCAGCTACTCCCGAGGCTGAGTTGGGAGTATTGCTTGAGGCTGGGAGTAAGAGGCTGCAGTGGATTATGATCACACCTGGGAATAGTCACTGCACTCCAGCCTCAGCAACATGAAGTGACCTCATCTCTTGAAAAGAAAGCAAAAAACAAACAACTCCCCCAAAACCACAATACCAATACTACACCTAAAATATTCATATTTTGTTTGTTTGTTTGTTTTGATATGGAGTCTCACTCTGTTGCCAGGCTGGAGTGCAGTTGCATGATCTCGGCTCACTGCAACCTCTGCCTCCTGAGTTCAAGCGGTTCTCCTGTCTCAGCCTCCCTAGTAGCAGGGACTACAGGTGCATGCCACCATGCCCAGCTAATTTTTGTATTTTTAGTAGAGGTGGGGTTTCACCATATTGGTCAGGCTGGTCTGGAACTCCTGACCTCAGGCAATCCACCTGCCTTGGCCTCCCAAAGTGCTGGGATTACAGGCGTGAGCCACCGTGCGTGGCCTAATTTTTAAATCATTATAAAACTCAGTTAAAACTATTTTCAATTATGAAACAATTTGAATTTACAGAAAAGTACAAAAGTAGTATAACAGATACCTTTGTACTTACCATTGAGATGAATAGATATTAACCTTTTGCCATGTTTGCTCTAGAGTTGCTTTTAGTCAAAAAACCAAAGAAAGGTCAACCCACCTTTCCCTTTCTCTTTTCCTCTCCAGACGTTAACCATTTTCCTGAAATTCCTGTGTGCACTGTCTCTCTCTCTCTCTCTCTCTCTCTCTCTCTCTCTCTCTCTCTCTCTCTCTATATATATATATATATATATATATTTTTTTTTTTTTTTTTTTTTTTTTTGAGATGGAAACTCGCTCTGTCCCCATCAGACTCAGGCTGGAGTGCAATGGTGCGATCTCGGCTCACTGCAACCTCCGCCTCCTGAGTTCAAGCAATTCTCCTGCCTCAGCCGCCTGAGTAGCTGGGATTACAGGCGGCCGCCACCATGCCTAGCTAATTTTCATATTTTTAGTAGAGATGGGGGTTTCACCATATTGGCCAGGCTGGTCTCGAACTCCTGACCTCCGGTGATCTTCCCGCCTCAGCCTCCCAGAGTGCTGGAATTACAGGCATGGGCTACCACGCCTGGCCCCACCAGGAATTTGAGGTCTTGTTTTTCTGCTTATTGAAACTTGGTGTTAATGAGAACACATGGACACCACGAAGGGAACAACACACACAGGGGCCTGTTGGGTCGGGGGCAGGGAGAGGGAGAGCATCAGAAAAAATAGCTAATGCATGCTGGGCTTCATACCTAGTTGATGAGTTGATAGGTGCAGCAAACCACCACAGCAACCATTTACCTATGTAACCTGTACATCCTGCACATGTAATTCAGAACTTAAAAAAAAAAAAACCAAAAGACACTTGGTGTTATATATATAAATTTATAATATTTTACCAATCTGTTGGATACAAACATCTTTTTAAAATTTATATTTTCTTGACTAGTAAAGTTGAACATCTTTTCATATGTTTTGGGGCCATTTGGGCTTCTTTCTTGGTGAACTGCTGGTTCATATTATTTGCCTGTTTTGTTTTTCTGTTTTACTGAGTTTTAAGAATGCTGTACATACTCTAGATGCTGATCCTTTGTTGTATAAATACTTAATTTCATCTTCTAGTTTGTGTCTTGTCTTTTTACCTTGAAATATATAATTTTGTTGTAAACGATTTTAAATTAAAAATGTAGTTTTTCTTCTACAGTTTGTATTATTTGTATCTTGTTAAAGAAATCTTCTTCACCTTGGTTTAAAAAAATGCTTATATGTTTTCTACTGAAAGATTTAAGGTTTTTCATTGTACACTTAGGTCTTTTGTCCATCTGGAATTTATTTTTACATGTAGTATGAGATTGAGGTCTGTATTAGTCTGTTTTCGCACTGCTATAAAGAACTGCCTGAACGGGCCCGGAGGCTCACGCCTGTAATCCCAGCACTTTGGGAAGCCGAGGCAGGTGAATCACCTGAGGTCGGGAGTTCGAGACCAGCCTGACCAACATGGAGAAACCCCATCTCTACTAAAAATACAAAATTAGCCGGGTGTGGTGGCGTGTGGCTGTAATCCCAGCTTCTCGGGAGGCTGAGGCAAGAGAATTGCTTGAACCTGGGAGGCAGAGGTTGCGGTGAGCCGCGATCACGCCATTGCACTCCAGCCTGGGCAACAAGAGGAAATCTCCGTCTCAAAAAGAAAAGGAAAAAGAACGGCTGGAGACTGGGTGATTTATAAAGGAAAGAGGTTTAATTGACTCACAGTTCAGCATGGCTGGGGAGGCCTTAGGAAACGTAGAATCATGGTAGAAGGCACCTAGTCACAGAGCAGCAGGGGGGGAGAAGCGAGCAGGGGAAATGCCAGATGCTTATAAAACCATTACATCTCGTGAGAACTCACTCACTATCATGAGAACAACATAGGGCAAACCATCCCCATCATCCAGTTACCTCCACCTCATCCCACCCTTGACGTGTGGGGATTATGGGGATTACAATTCAGGATGAGATTTTGGGTGGGGACACAACCAAACCATATCATTAGATCTAATTTTATCTTTTTCAATATGAGGATTCACTTATTGAACATTTTTTTCCTCCATTGATCTATAATGTCACCTCTATCACAGACCAAACCTATGTGTGTCCTAAGTTCTCTATTGTATTGATATGTCTCTTATAACAATACCATACTACTTTATTAGAACATTAAAATGTATTTTGATATGGCAGGATTTCCTTATTATTAGTCTTCAAAAGGGTTTTTGGCTGTTCTTGGTTCCTGTTTTCATTTGAATTTCAGGAGCTTGTCAAGTTCTCTGGAAAACTTCTGTTAAGATGTTGACTGGCATCACATTAAATATGAGGAGGTTGCAGAAAGATACATGTTCAAGTATGTTCATTGTAACACTGAAATAGGGAAAAATGGAAACAGTGAGATTAGTGAACTGTAGTTTAATCATTCAATGGAATACTTTATGGCAGAATACATAAATTGCCATCCATCTTAGTCTGTTTGTGCTGCTGTTACATCAGACGGAGTAATTTAGAACAGAAATTTATTTATTCCAGTCTGGAAGCTGGGAAGTCCAAGATTAAGGCATTTGTGTGTGTGTGTGTGTGTGTGTGTGTGTGTGTGTGTGTGTGTGTGTGTGTGTGTGTGTGTCTGGTGAGGCCTTCTTGCATACTCACATGGCAGAAGCGGGGAAGAGGGCAAACAGGGCCTAAGGTAGTTCCCTCCAGCACTTGCTTAAGGCAGAGCCCTCATGACTTAATCACATCCCCAAAGGCTTCCGCCTCTTAATACCACCACAGTGGAGATTAAGTTTCAATGTGAATTTTGTAGGGGACACACGTTCAGACTGGTGCTCTGCCTCTGCCCCTCGCCCCCAAAAAGTTTATGTCCTTTTCACATACAAATACATTCATTCCATTCCAGTAACTCCAGAAGTCTTAACTTGTTCTAGCACCAGCTCAAAAGTCTAAAGTTGAGTCTCATCTAAACATCATTTCAATCAGATACGGTGAGACTCAAAGATACGCTTCATCCTGTGGCAGATTTCTCTCTAGCTGTGAACCTGTGAAGTCAAACAAGTTACCTGCTTTCAAAACACAGTGTCTACACTGTTGGTGGGAATGTAAATTATTAATAGTACAGCCACTGTGGAGAACAGTATGAGGTTCCTCAGAAAACTAAAAATAGATTACCATGTGATCCAGTAATTCCACTACTGAGTATATATCCAAAAAAAGGGAAATCAATATATGGAAAAGAGACCTGAAGTCCCATGCTTATTGCAGCACCATTCATAGTAGCCAAAATATGGAATCAACTTAAATGCCCACCAATGGAAGAATGGATAAAGAAAATGTGGTATATATGCACAATGGAATATTATTCAGCCACAAAAATAATGAAATCTTGTCATTTGTAGCAACATGGGTGGGACTGGAGGTCATTATGTTAAGTGAAATAAACCAAGGGCAGAAAGACAAATATCACATGTTCTCACTCATGTGTGGGAGTTAAAAAAGTGGATCTCATGAAGATAAAGAGTAGATTGGTGGTTACCAGAGGGAAGGGTAGAAAGGAGGAGGGGGATAAAGATAAGTTAATTAGTGGATACAAATATATGGTTTGATGGAAGAAATAAGACCTAATGTTAGATAGTATCTATCAGTAGGGTAACTGTAGTTTACAATAATCCATTGTAAATTACAAAATAGCTAGAAGAGAAGAATTTGAATGGCTGTAGCATAAAAAGACAAATATTTAAGGTAGTGGTATTCCAAGTACATTGATTTGATCTTTACAAATTATATGAATGTATTACATTATTACATGTACTCAGAAACTATGTACATCTATTATGCATCAAATAAAACACACACACACACATATAGTGCAATGGTGAGAGGCAAGCACAGATGTGTTCATTATGAAGGGAGGAACAGGCAAGAAGAGAGGAGTGACAGATCACAAGTAAGTGTAAAACTCAGTAAGGCAAACAACATTAAATCTTAAGGCTTGAGAATAATTGTCTTGCTTTCTGGACACACTGTGTTGGGGGTTGGGTCCCCAAGGTGTAAGAATTAAAGAAAGAGGAAAGAAACACGAAAGGTGGCTTGCTGGTCAAGACAGATTTATTTTAGAGAAAACAAACCTGAGAGGAACCTTCTGGCAGAGTTAGGCCCACTGTCTTACAACTAAGAGTTTTTAAGGATTCAGGGTGGGAGGCTTGGACTGCTTCTGTGTCTCTTTGTTGTGCTTATCTGGGAGGGAGAGTTGTGTGTCTGTTCCCATACTTTTTTCTGCAGCTACAGGCATACCTCCCGAGTCTGCTTTTAGCTTCCCTATCTTAGTGCACTTGAAGGGAAAGGGATGTGCTTATTAAGGCCCACTGTTTTACTGGGGCCCATTGTATGAGCCTGAAGTTTGGCAGTTACTCAAGAGACTTTCCCCCCACCTCCCTCTGGGCCTGAGCTGTCTTATCTGTGTTTTACTGTCTGCTCTTTCTGGCTGCTTGTAGTTAGCAGAGAAGTTATTTCCTTGAAATGCATGAGGCTAGAAAGGGAGCTGGAACTAAAGTGGCGGTATCTGACCGAGATGTCGGTGCTCCTGCTCTGACACAAGGCTCCTCCGGGTGGCTCCACCCCTGTAGCCTCTCTTGGGTGCAGTCCACACTGTACCTCTCACCGGTTGGAATCAGGTACCCGTGGTTCTCCCAGGCTGGAGTTGCAGGTTGGTGACTATGTGACTATGGTTCTGGGGTTTTGGGGGCAACCCTGCCCCCATAGCTCTACTGGGTGTTGCCCTTGTGGAGACTCTCTCTGGTGGACCTGCCCCTTCCCCCCACCGCGGACACCACTAGGCATTGCCTTCGTGTGGACTCTGCTGCTGACCTGCCCTGTGACAGTTCTCTGCTTGGGCCTCAGGCTCTCTGGTACATCCTTGGAAATTTAGGTGGAGGAAGCCATGCCTCCACAGCCTGCAGAGTTAGCAACATGTGGACACTGGGAAGGCTGCTTACTGCTTGTTCCTTTGGGAGTGGCAGCCTTAGCAGCATCTGGGCCCACTTGAACTACAGGTGGGGTGCAAGGAGCACTGCACTGGAATGCAGGGAGCAGAGACTTGAGGTGGTGCTGTGCAGCAAGCCCTGAGGCTCCACAGGTACCCTGGGCCCCTCCCTTGAAACAGTTCTACCCTCAAGGCCCTAGCATTCTGGACCTGTGGTGGGTATGGCTGTCTCAAAGATCTCAACAGCTTTTGGGGTCATTCTTCCACTGTCTTGACGAAACAGTCACACCTTTGCCACGCCCTTGGATTTTTTTTCTCCTAAGCATGCTTTTTTATTCTTTACCTGGCCTGGTTGAGAATTTTCCAAATCTTTACATTCTATGTCTTTTTTGATTATAAATTTCATCTTCACCTCATTGTCTCTCCTTGGATTTTACTATAAGCAGCCAAGAGAAGCCATGCAGTATCCTGAACACTTTGCTTAGAGATTTTTTTCTGCTAAATATCCTAGTTTATAGCTCTTAAATTTTGCCTTTCACAAGGTGGTAGTGAGAGGTGACAGCGTGCTGGCAGTCCTCAGAGCCCTCGCTTGCTCTCGGCACCTCCCCTGCCTGGACTCCCACTTTGGTGGCATTTGAGGAGCCCTTTAGCCCCCCCACTGCACTGTGGGAGCCCCTTTCTGGGCTGGCCAAGGCTGGAGCCCACTTCCTCAGCCTGCAGGGAGGTGTGGAGGGAGAGGCACGAGCCGGAACTGGGGCTGCGTGCGGCGCTTGCGGGCCAGCTGGAGTTCCGGGTGGGCGTGGGCTTGGTGGGCCCTGCACTCGGAGCAGCCAGCCAGCCCTGCTGGCCCCGGGCAATGGGGGACTTAGCACCCGGGCCAGTGGCTGCGGAGGGTGTACTGAGTCCCCCAGCAGTGCCGGCCCACCGGCGCTGTGCTCGATTTCTCTCCGGGCCTTGGCTGCCTTCCCGCGGGGCAGGGCTCGGGACCTGCAGCCCGCCATGCCTAAGCCTCCCACCCACTCCATGGGCTCCTGTGCGGTCTGAGCTTCCCCGACGAGCACCACCCCCTACTCCACGGTGCCCAGTCCCGTCGACCACCCAAGGGCTGAGGAATGCGAGCGCACGGCACAGGACTGGCAGGCAGCTCCACCTGTAGCCCCGGTGCGGGATCCACTAGGTGAAGCCAGCTGGGCTCCTGAGTCTGGTGGGGACGTGGAGAGTCTTTATATCTAGCTCAGGGATTGTAAATACACCAATCAGCACTCTGTGTTTAGCTCAAGGTTTGTGAGTGCACCAATCGACACTCTGTATCTAGCTGCTCTGGTGAGGACGTGGAGAACCTTTAAGTCTAGCTCAAGGTTTGTAAATACACCAATCAGCACCCTGTGTTTAGCTCAAGGTTTGTGAGTGCACCAATCGACACTCTGTATCTAGCTGCTCTCGTGGGGCCTTGGAGAACCTGTGTGTCGAAACTCTGTATCTAACTAATCTGATGGGGACGTGGAGAACCTTTGTATCTAGCTCAGGGATTGTAAACGCACCAATCAGCGCCCTGACAAAACAGGCCACTGGGCTCTACCAATCAACAGGATGTGGGTGGGGCCAGATAAGAGAATAAAAGCAGGCTGCCCTAGCCAGCATTGGCAACCCTCTCGGGTCCCCTTCCACACTGTGGAAGCTTTGTTCTTTCACTCTTTGCAATAAATCTTGCTACTGCTCACTCTTTGGGTCCACGCTGCTTTTATGAGCTGTGACACTCACCGTGAAGATCTGCAGCTTCACTCCTGAGCCCAGCGAGACCACGAGCCCGCCAGGAGGAACGAACAACTCCAGACGCGCTGCCTTAAGAGCTGTAACACTCACCGTGAAGGTCTGTAGCTTCACTCCTGAGCCAGCGAGACCACGAACCCACCAGAAGGAAGAAACTCCGAACACATCTGAACATCAGAAGGGACAGACTCCAGACACGCCACCTTAAGAGCTGTAACACCGCGAGGGTCCGCGGCTTCATTCTTGAAGTCAGTGAGACCAAGAACCCACCAATTCTGGACACAGTAGGACATGGGTACAATTCAGCCAATTTTTTTGCCATTTTGTAAAAAGAATGGTCTTTCCTCCAGTTTCTGATACGATATTCCTCATTTCTGTTTAAGAGATCATCAGAATGGCTTTTGCTATCCATATTTCTACCAACATTCCATTCTTCCTTTTAGCCCTCACTGGAACTATCCTTAATGCTTCTTTTATGGCAATCTAAGCTTTTCCTAGCATTCACTTCAAAACTACTCCAGCCTCTACCTATTACCCAGTTCAAAAGCCACTTCCACATTTTCAGGTATTTATTATAGCAACGACATCATTTCTTCGTATCAATTTCTGGCTTAGTTCATTTTGTGCTGTTATAACAAAATACCTGAGACTGAGTAATAAAGAACAGAAATTATTTCTTACAGTTTGAAGGCTGGGAAGTCCAAGATCAAAGCACTCATATTTGGGATCTGGTGAGGGCCTTCTGCTGCATCTTCACATGGTGGAAGGGGTGAAAAGAGCAAAAGGGGCAGATCTTGTGTCCTCATATGGTGGAAGAGTGGATAAGCAAAAGGGGCCTGAGCTAGTTCTGTCCAGCCCTTTTATAAGGCACTAATCCATCTGAGAGGGCAGACCCCTAATGATGTAATCACTTCCCCAAAGGCCCTGCCTCTTAATACCACCACAGTGGGGATTCAGTTACAAACCTGAGTTTTGGAGAGGTAACATATTCAAACCATAACACCATGTATGTAGTATTACACATGGAATAATTATTGACTATTGAACCAGTCTTGCATTTCTGGGATAAAATCCACGTCATGATATATTATCCTTTTATAGATTGCTGGATTTAAGTTGCTTGTATTTTGACATGAGGATTTTTGTATCTGTAGTCAAGAGGGATATTGTACTGTAGTTTTCTTCTTTTGCAATATCTCTGTCTGATTTTGGTCTCAGGGTAAAGCTGGCTTCATAAATGAGTTGGGAAGGGCACCCTCCTCTTTATTTTGTAAGAGTTTGTGTAGAATATGACATTATTCCTTTTTTAAATATCTTGATAGAGTTTGTCCGTGAAACAATCTAGGTTTGGAATATTTGTTGTTGGAAGCTTTTTAGCTGTAACATTTGTTGAATAAGGTTTTAACATACTCCATTTCTTTTCTTTTTTCTCTTTACTTTTTTTTTTTTTTTTGAGACTGAGTTTCGCTCTTTTTGCCCAGGCTGGAGTGCAATGGCGCGACCTCGGCTCATTGCAACCTCAGCCTCCTGGGTTCAGTTGATTCTCCTGCCTCACCCTCCCTAGTAGCTGGGATTACAGGTGCCTGCCACCACGCCTGGCTAATTTTTGTATTTTTAGTAGAGATAGGGTTTCACCATGTTGGCCAGGCTGGTCTCAAACTCAGGCGATCCACCCGCCTCAGCCTCCCAGAGTGCTGGGATTACAGGCGTGAGCCACTGCACCCGGCCTCATATTCGATTTCTTTAGTGACCTGTATCATTTATTCAGTACTTTTTTTTCTTTATGTGAGCTTTGACAGTTTGAATCTTTCATGAAGTTTGTCCATTTCATCTAAGTTGTTGAATTTATGGGCAGAATGTTGTTTGTACTATTTCTCCTTATTTTCTCAATGTCTGTAAAGTATGTAGTGAAACCCTCTCTCTTTTTTTTTTTTTTTTTTTGAGACAGGGTCTTACTCTGTCACCCAGGATGGAGTGCAGTGGTGCAGTCGTGGCTCACTGCAACCTCTGCCTCCTGGGTTCAAGCGATTCTTCCTCCTCAGCCTCCCCAGTAGCTGGAACTACAGGTGTGCACCACTGCGCCTAGCTAATTGTTTTGTATTTTTTGGTAGAGATGGCATTTCACCATGTTGGCCAGGCTGGTCTCTAATTCCTGACCTCAGGTGATCTGCTACGTCGGCCTCTCAAAGTGCTGGGATTACAGGTGGGAGCCATCGCGCCTGGCTGGCTTTTTATCACTTTTGTTACTTTTTCAAGGAACCAGCTTTTGGTTTTACTGATTTTTTGTTGTTGTTGTTCTCAATTTCATTGATATCTGCTCTTTATTATTTTCTTCCTTCGTTTTGTTTGAATTTAATTTCCTAGTCTTTTTATGGTTTCTTAAGGTGGCAGCTTAGATTTGTAGTCTTCTTTTCTAATAAGATATAATGCAATAAATTTCCCTCTAAGCACAGTGTACAGGCATCCCACATTTTTGATATATTTTCATTTTTATGCAGTTCAAAATATCTTCTATTTTCTGTGATCTCCTCTTTAGCCAATGGGTCATTTAGAAGTTTTGAGTTTTTTAAGGCTGGGAGTGGTGGCTTCTGCCTGTAATCCCAGCACTCTGGGAGGGTGAGGGTGGTGAATCACTTGAGCTCAGGAGCTGGAGACCAGCCTGGGCAACATGTTAAGACCTCATCTTTATAAAAACTAGAAAAATTAGCCAGGCATGGTGGCGTGTGCCTGTAGTCCCAGCTACTCAGAAAGCTGAGGTAGGAGGGTTACTTGAGTCTGGGATATAGAGGCTGCAGTGAGCCAGGATGGCGCCACTGCATTCCAGTCTGGGTGACATAGTGAGACCCCATCTCAAAAAAAAAAAAAAGAAATTTTGAGTTTTTTTTTTTTCAGATTGTGACTATTAGTAATTCCTTTCCCTCTTCGTCGTCATCGTCGTCGTCGTCGTCGTCGTCGTCGTCGTCTTCTTCTTCTTCTTCTTCTTTCTTCTTCTTCTTCTTCTTTCTTCTTTCTTCTTCTTTTTCTTTTTTTTGAGATGGGGTCTCGCTCTGTCACCTAGGCTGGAATGCAGTGGTGCACCATCTCAGCTCACTGCAGCCTCCATCTCCCGGGTTCAAGCGATTCTTGTGCCTCAGCCTCCCAAGTGGCTGGGACTACAGGCACACCACCACACCCAGATAATTTTTGTATTTTTAGTAGAGACAGGGTTTTGCCATGTTGCCCAGGCTAGTCTTGAACTGCTGGACTCAAATGATCCACCTGCCTCAGCCTCCCAGAATGCTAGGAGTACAGGTGTGAGCTACGGTGCCCAGCCAGTAATTTCTAATTTAATTCCATTATAGTGAGATAGCATACTTATATGATGTCAATTTATTTAAAATAGTTAAGGTTTCTTTTATAGCTCAGAATGTCGTCTCTCTTGGTGAATGTTCCATGTGCACTAGAAAAAAGCGCTTATTATTCTGTTGTGGGGTGTAGTGTTTTATAAATGTCAATTTAGTCAAGTTGGTTGATATTGTTGTTCAGGTCTTCTATGTTCTTACTGATTTTCTGTCTGCTTGTTTTCTTCATTACTGAGAATGGTGTTGAAGTCTCCAAATATAACCGTGGATTTGTCTCTATTTCCTTGAAGTTGTCAATTTTTGCTGCTTGTATTTTGGAGTTCTGTTGTTAGGTATACACTTAGGATTGTTATGTCTTTGTGGTGAGTTAACTTCTTTATCATTATATAATGTCCTTTTTATTCCTGGCAATATTCCTTATTCTTTAGTCTGTTTTGTCTGATATTAATGTCGTCACCCATATTTCTTTTGATTATTGTCAACATGGCATGTATTTTTAAAACTCCTTTTTTTTTAGGGGCTGGGTGCGCTGGCTCACGCCTGTAATCCCAGCACTTTGGGAGGCCAAGGTGGGTGGATCACAAGGTCAGGAGTTCGAGACCAGCCTGACCAACGTGGTGAAACTCCGTCTCTACTAAAAAGGCAAAAATTAGCCGGACGTGGTGGCATGTGCCTGTAATCCCAGCTACTTGGGAGGCTGAGGCAGGAGAATCGCTTGAACCCAGGAGGTGGAGGTTGCAGTGAGCCGAGATGGCACCACTGCACTCTAGCCTGGGCAACAGGGCAAGACTCTGTCTCAAAAAAAAAAAAAAAAAATCTTCTTTTAAAGTATTTTTTTGGAGACAGCATCTCACCCTGTCATTCAGGCTGGAGCGCAGTGGCACAATCATGGCTCACTGCAGTCTTGACTTCGTGGGCTCAGGTGATTCTCCCACTTCAGCCTCCTGAGTAACTGAGACTATAGGCATGTGCTACCACACCCAGTGAAATTTTTGTATTTTTTATATAGAGACAAGGTTTTGCCATGTTGTCCAGGCTGGTTTCAAACTCCTGGACTCATGCAATCTGCTGGCCCCTTGGCCTTTCAAAGTGCTGGGATTATAGGCGTGAGCTACCATGCCTGGCCAAAATTTTTTTTCTTTTAAACTGTTGGTGTCTTTTCTTAAACTGTGTGTGTGTGTGTGTGTGTGTGTGTGTGTGTGTGTGTGTGTGTGCGCTGGCAGTTGATCTTGTTTGGCCTTGCTATTTTAAAATCCAGTCTTAAAATCTCTGACAATGGTACTTAGTCCATTTACATTTAAAACAATTATTGATATAGTTAAATTTAAGTCCATCATCTTGTTTCCTGTTTATCCCATCTGTTCTTTGTTTGCTTTTTCTCTTTTATGCCTTCTTCAGACTTTTTAAAATGTTTCCATTTACTCTTCTTTGTTGGCTTATGAACTGTAACTCTGTTGTTATTTTATTGATCTCTTTATGGTTTATAGTATATGTCTTTCACTTATCACAGTCTACTTATACTACTTTATGTGTAGTATAGAAACCTTATAATAGTTTGCTTTTTAAATTTCCCTCTAAGCCTTTATCCTATTGTTGTCAAACATTTTACTTTTATATATTTAATAAACCCCTGAATATAATGTTATTTTTATTTACAGTCAACAATTTTAAAGAGATTTAAATAGTAACTAAAAAATCTTACCCATCTACTTACTATTTCCAGTGCTCTTTGTTTCTTTATGTAAGTTTCTATTTTTTCTAGTATTTCTTTCTAATTATTCTCCACTACTGAGGAAAGATACTACTGTGTCACCTATCTAATACCTGTTGAATTACAAGTTTTCCATCAGTTTGGCTGATGGGAACAGACACCATTCTCAACCTTACATGTGAGCATGTACTGTTTTCTAATCCTTTCAAATGTTTTTATCCCTGGCCTTTGGTAGTTTCCATACAGTTATGTGCTAATTAGTACTCTGGCAAATAGTCAAATACTCAGGAGCACTCTGTGTAGATTTCTGGGATTATTTCTCTGTGGAATTCTTTACTTTTTAGTACTCTGTCCTATAAGCTATAGCAGCATTGATTTTCCTAGATGCTTAGTTCTGTCTTCTCAGCTTCATAGAGTTTGGCCCCATTTTGATTCTCCTTCCTTTACTGTGGCCTGGAAACTCTGTCAAGGAAGTAAGCTCTGACACATATCATCACGTCACTTGCTTCCCATCTATCACAGATTATTGTCCTTCATTACCTGATGTCCAATATCTTGAAAACCATTGGTTCATTTATTTTATCTGGTTTTTTGTTTGCTTTGGATGAAGGGGTTAACCCAACGACCTGGTTATTTTTGTTTTAGATACAGATTTTATTTAATTTACTTATGTTAATAAAGTATTTTTGAAGTAAGTATAAAAGTATCATAGTTTTTTTTTTTTTTTTGCCTTTAGGGTTAAGTAGTACTTTGATTATAATAGATAGAAGAAAAAGTGGTATTGCCTGGCTTCTCTTGCAGAGAACAAATTACTTAGATGTTTAACTTAATTACGCACATATTTACAGTACAATATTAGGTTCTATATTACAGTTATATTTACTTTTTTATATTTATATTTAAGTTCACTTAGGGCAGTTACCTAAGTGAACTTTCTTTCATATATGTGCTCCCAGAAAGTCTATTGCTTTCTGCTCTATTTTTGGGAGAGGACTATCTCCTTTTGGGAAAGGACCTCACACCTGTTATATATATGAGTAATATATATGAGTAGATCTTGAAAACATGTAATGTCAAGTTTTTTAATTTTTTTTTTTTTTTGAGACAAAGAATTCTGTTGCCCAGGCTGGAGTGCAGTGGTGTGATCTCGGCTCACTGCAACCTCTGCCTCCCAGGTTCAAGTGATTTTCCTGTTTCAACCTCCTGAGTAGCTGGGATTACAGGCGCCTGCTACCACACTGTTCTGTGTGGGAAACATGCAAGGGGAGAAGAAAAGACAAACACACACAATCCCTTTAATGGTAAACAACCTTTAACCCACGTAAATGGCAATGCAGATATAATAAGCAAATAATATAAGCAAATGGATATAATAAGCAAATTGCAATGGGGAGGGGATAAGGGAAAAGATACATATATATTTATACTCACCAGACTATGGAGGATTCACCACCAGACTGGCAAGCAACAGCCTGGGCTCCAGAGTCGGCCACTTGTCCGTTCACAGATGAGGAGAGGTCTTTCATGAAGCTTTGGCGCAGCGTGGGGCCCTAGCTGTTTTTGTAACGAGTTGTTTGGCATGAGGCCCAGTCAAGAGGGCCCTGCACTACTGGGCTCAATGAACACAATAAGGTCAACTTGTTTTTGTGATTGTCTATTGTTTTTCAATAACTAACATATAGGAATAGATTGAAATAGAGATTTCTCTGAAATGGTGCTGGATGAACGCCTCAAGGGGCTCACACAACCTCTTCTGGGACTTGGTGACCATTGTTTGTGTCCACATTCAGTTGAGTTCAAATTTAATATTTAACTTTTCCTCCACACACACCTGGCTAGTTTTTCTATTTTTAGAAGAGATGGGGTTTCACCATGTTGGCCAGGCTGGTCTTGAACTCTTGACCTCAAGTGATCCACCCACCTTGACCTCCCAAAGTGTTGGGATTACAGGCATGAGCCACGGTGCCCGGCCTGATTTTTAAATTAGGAACTTTTAGCTTGTTTTTTATACAGTTGGTCAGATACTGTTAAGTCAGATAGAATTTGGATGGTATATCCCTCTCTCTAACCAAAATGCAGATTCAGTTGTTTGCTGCTTGCAGAATCCAGTCAACAAGAACAAAGTCTCGTATAAAGTAACTTTTTATTCCAAAGGTAGCTTAGGGGAAGGCTTCCTGCTTTAAGGATGCTGCTTTGCTTTTGGAGCAGAAAGGGGGAGCACTTTTAAAAGGGGGCCTAACATAAATGGCATGCAGGAGAGGAAGGAAGCAGGTGGGGATCTGCATGTTGGCTTGGTGCCTTATCTGCTGGGAGATCTAGTTGATGACTGCTGATACCTTTGTGGGCAGGATTAAGTTGTAAAAGTGGCTAAAAACCCTCCAGGTTAGTAGAGAGTTTTGTAGTGGGCACACTTTGGGTTGTAGCTGGACTGTTGTCTCTTGAGGCAGCCTTCCAGTAGGAGAGAGTTTCACAGTGGACACACTTTGGGTTGTAAGTCAACTGTTTTCTCTTGAGGCAGTCTCCTGGTGGGTGAGAGTTTGTTCTAGAGCTTTTTTTTTTTTTTTTTTTTTTTTTGAGACAGGGTCTCACTCTTTCACCCAGGCTGGAGTGCAGCAGCATGATATTGGCTTACTGCAACCTCTCCCTCCTGGGCTCAAGCAATCCTCCCACTTCAGCCTCCCAAGTGGCTGGGACTAGAGGCACACGCCACCATGCTTGGCCAATTTTAAAATTTTTTGTAGAGACAAAGTCTCACTTTATTGGCCAGGCTGGTCTTGAACTCCTTGAGTCAAGGGATCCTCCCGTCTCCTCCTACCAAAGTGGTGGGATTACAGGCATGGGCCACCGCACCCGGCCTGCTCTGGATCTTTTAAGCACATATTTAGATGAATTTGCCCTGTAAGAGTTTTAGGTGAAGGGGAAGTAAAAAGTTATAATTGAGGCCGGGCACAGTGACTCATGCCTGTAATCCCAGCGCTTTGGGAGGCCGAGGCGGGTGGATCACGAGGTCAGGAGATTGAGACCATCCTGGCTAACACGGTGAAACCCCGTTTCTACTAAAAATACAAAAAATTAGCCGGGCGTGGTGGTGGGCGCCTGTGGTGCCAGCTACTCGGGAGGCTGAGGCAGGAGAATGGCATGAACCCGGGAGGCGGAGCTTGCAGAGAGCTGAGATTGCGCCACTCCACTCCAGCCTGGGCGACAGAGAGAGACTCAGTCTCAAAAAAAAAAAAAAGTTGAATTTTAAAGGGCTAAGTAGGAAGTGGAGAACAGGGAGACATGGAGAAAAGAGAAAAACATAATAAAAAATATTTTCTTTTTCTTAGAAAAATGTGGGTACTTGGTTACATTTCTGCTTTTCTACTTTTAACTTAAATTTGGATTTTGCCTTAAAAAAATCTGATTTGACAATCCTTGTCTTTCAGTAGGTATGCTTAGACTATTCACAGTTGTTTTAATTTTTGATATGGTTTTATTAACGTCTACCACCTTGCTAATTTTTTCTTCTTCTTTTTTTTCTGAGACAGGGTCTCGTTCTGTTGCACAGGCTACAGTGCAGTGGCACGATCTTGGCTCACTGCAGCCTTGACCTCCTAAGCTCAAGTGATTATCTCACCTCAGCCTCCTGAGTAGCTAGGAACACAGGTGTGTGCCACCATGTTTGGCTAATTTTTGTATTTTTTGTATACATGGGGTTTTACCATGTTGCCTAGATTGGTCTCAAACTTCTGAGCTCAATCAAGTGATACGCCTGCCTCAACCTCCCAAAGCATTGGGATTACAGGCGTGAGCCATCGCAGATTATAGGCGTGAGCCATCTCACCCAGATGCTAATTTTCTATTTTGTGTTACTTTTTACAAACCCCTTTCCTACCCAACAGTGTTTGAGGTAGATATTATTGTCCTCGTTTTTTGGAGAAGTTAAAGATAATAGAGAATCTTACTCAATGAGTAGGTAGTTGGCCAGGCACGGTGGCTCATGCCTGTAATCCCAGCACTTTGGGAGGCTGAGGGGAGCGGATCACAAGGTCAAGAGATCAAGACCATCTTGGCCAACATGGTGAAACCCTGTCTCTACTAAAAATACAAAAACTAGTACTAGTGACTCAGGAGGCTGAGGCAGGAGAATCACTTGAACCAGGGAGGCTGAGGTTGCAGTGAGCTGAGATTGTGCCACTGCACTCCAGCCTGGTGACAGAGCAAGGCTCCGTCTCAAAAAAAAAAAAAAAAAACAACAGTTAAGTGACAGAGCTGGGGCCCAGGTCTTCTGAATTGGAGTGTGCACCGAATAAATATTGGTTTGAAATGTGAACTACTCTTTTGCTTACTGCTGAAACATTTACATGAAGACATCTTTTGAGATGTTTTCATATTGCCTGTAACTTTGTCCTCCATGGTTATTTTTTTTCCCGGTAATTGTTTATGATCAGAAGACAATGTGGTTTAATCTCTCTGGGCATTTAGACTGCCTGTTTATAGATGGGCACATAGAATTTTTAATGCTAGAGCATAATTTGGAGGTCATTTACTACCAACTCTTCATTTTATAGTTGAGGTATACCTTAAGACCTTTGGAACAGTGACTCAGATTTCTGTTTTAAACCCTTTCTTCACTAGCTAAGAGCACTGACCTCATTTGATTAAAAGATGAATGGAATAATGGATTAATTTGATAAATGAGATTAGGTAGGCTTTTGTGTTTTCTTTTCTATGGCTTTACATGCTTTTGGATCCTTTTGGAACGTGAGGTTGGCAAACTATTGCCCAAGGGTTGGCAGCTTGTTTTGGTAAATAAAATGTTATTGGAACATACCACACTAATTTATTTACTTATTGCCTATGGCGGCTTTCACTCTACAAAAACAGAATTGAGTAATTACAACAGACTGCATGGCCCTCAAAGTAGAAAATACTATCTGGCTCTTTAAGGCAAATTGAGGCTGGGCACGGTGGCTCACGCCTGTAATCCCAGCACTTTGGGAGGCCAACGCAGGCGGATCACTTGAGGTCAGGGATTTGAGACCAGGTTGACCAACGGGGTGAAGCCCTGTCTCTACTAAAAATACAAAAAAAAAAAAAAAAGCTGGGTGTGGTGGCAGATGCCTGTAATCCCAGCTATTCAGGAGGCTGAGGCCGGAGAATGGCTTGAACCCAGTGGGTGGAGGTTGCAGTGAGCGGAGATCACACCACTTCACTCCAGCCTGGGTGAAAGAGTGAGACTTCATCTCAAAAAAAAAAAAAAAAAAAAAAAAAAAACAAAACCAAACAAATTGAGTCCTTTAAGAGAGCCATAGGTTTTTATGGATATATAAATTTATGTTTTTTTCTCAACCAAATTATTAGCAAACGTGTGTATGAATAATGACTAAATTAAATAATTAACTTGAGATTTCATTCAAACCAAAACAATGAATGAATGTAAATTTTTTAATAGCTGTGTTTTGGCTTTACACACCATATGATAGCCTAAATATAACTAACACATAACTATTTGAATTCCAGTTTGAAAGGTGAGAGGGAGTAGTTACTTATGAATGCTTGAGAAAATGGTGCTGTCCTTAGCTGCAATACGGAACCCAGGATGGGAACAGGTGAATAGAGTTCATGGAGAAGAGCTGGGCAGGAGGCAGACAATTATTTAGAACTTTCAGTTTTGTCTAGTAATGACTGGTTTATCTTTTACCAGTTTATGATAAGCTATGAGCAGGATCTTTTTGTCAGGCAATTAGAAAGATGTATAGGTTCTTTCTTATAATGCAAATACTTTTTTTCTTTCTTTTCTTCCTTCTTCTTCTTTTTTCTCTTCTTCCTCTTCCTCTTTTTCTTCTTCCTCTTCTTTTTTTTTTGAGGCATAGTCTCACTCTGTTGCCCAGGCTAGAGTGCAGCGGTGTGATCTTGGCTCACTGCAGCCTCTGCCTCCCAGGTTCAAACGATTCTCCTGCTTCAGCCTCCTGAGTCACTGGGACTACAGGTGCGTATCACCACACCTGGCTATTTTTGTATTTTTAGGAGAGATTGGGTTTCACCATGTTGGCCAGGCCAGTCACCATCTCCTGACCTCGGGTGATCCACCCACCTCAGCCTCCCAAAGTGCTGGGATTATAGGAGTGAGCCATCGCCCCTGGCCCATTTTTTTCTTTATAAAGGGACTTCGTTTTTTTTTTGTTTTGTTTTTTGTTTTTTTAAATCTGCATGCATTTGTGTTTGTTGTTTATATGTGCATATGTATGTGGAAGTGAATGAGGGAGAGAAGAAAGGAAGAAAAAGCTGTTTAAAAATTCTAGTCTTGGGACTTCCTTGGGCAAACCAAACACCACATGTTCTCACTCATAAATGGGAATTTAACAGTGAGAACACATGGACACAGGGAGGGGAATATCACACACTGGGGTCTGTTGGGGTTGGGGGCAAGGGGAGGGAGAGCATTAGGACAAATACCTAATGCATGCGGGGCTTAAAACCTAGATGACGGGTTGATGTGTGCAGCAAACCACCATGGCACATGTATACCTATGTAACAAACTTGCACATTCTGCACATGTATCCCAGAATTTAAAGTATTTAAAAAAAAGTTTACAAATGTTATCTATGTATTATAATTAATAATATGAAAAATTCTTGTCAGAAATATACATTGGCAAATAGTTTTTTAATGACAATAGGAAGAAAACCTGTAAGGTAGATGTTCTTCTTTGTCTCTGAAACTGTTAATGCATTACCATAGTTTTGGAAATTATATTTCTCATCATGGACTCAATTTCCCATCCTGTAATTAGGTACTCTAAAAGAAAGAGGTTTAGGTTTTTGTAAAGTGGAACTTTAACACTGGTAATTAGAGTTAACCCTTTTTTTGTCATTGAGAAAGTGGGAAGTGATTACTTGGATTTATTTAGAATAATATTGAGTAGGAATTTTAACTTAGATTAAGAGTTTCTGTATTGATAAATCTTAAGTTTTTTTAATATTATAAACTTACATACACAGGAGAGAGTTTATAAAATGTATATGTACAGTTTAAAGAATTTCAGTACAATGGACATTCATGTACCACTATCCACCTTATGAAATACAACATAAAGTGTTGATAAGTATTTTATATTACCTTATTTCTAATCTGAAATGAATTCAAGCTAACATAGTTATAAAATCTCAGGGTAAAGAAGTTTTCTGGTTGTTTTTTTAAGACTTAAAAAAGCAATAGAGAGTATTTAAGGGATTATGTGTTGAGATTAGGAAGAGGTTAAAAAGGTTCATCTTTAATGCTGGTATTAAAATACTATATATAATAAATTCTTAAACCAAGATAATTTCTCGTTTTCATTAAAACATTGTCATTTAATGTTTTAGGACCGTGCAGCCTGGATTTTTTGAGTCAGTGCTGATTTTGATATTTTAATTGTTTCTTGAAACCATTGAAAATTATGGGAATTGCAGAATTTTTGTTATTTTGGCTAGACTACATTTTCCTCCAGGTTGACTCATCTGGGAATAATATGCAGATTCTTTCTTGGACTTTGGTTTGAGAAAATGTCTTCACGGGTATGGAGAAAAGGATGAAAAATTAAGAGATCCTGCTCTAAATCACCATTTAATTATTGGGTCAAATGGATGTAAATTTATACTTTTGATAAATTTTTGCCAGATTGTTCTCATATATAATACGCTAATTTGTACTCCTTCCATCAGTATGAGAGTATCCATTACTTTTTATTTTTTAATTTTTTAATTTTTATTTTTTTTAGTATTTATTGATCATTCTTGGGTGTTTCTCGGAGAGGGGGATTTGGCAGGGTCATAGGACAATAGTGGAGGGAAGGTCAGGAGATAAACATGTGAACAAAGGTCTCTGGTTTTCCTAGGCAGAGGGCCCTGCCGCCTTCCGCAGTGTTTGTGTCCCTGGGTACTTGAGATTAGGGAGTGGTGATGACTCTTAACGAGCATGCTGCCTTTAAGCATCTGTTTAACAAAGCACATCTTGCACCGCCCTTAATCCATTTAACCCTTAGTGGACACAGCACATGTTTCAGAGAGCACGGGGTTGGGGCAAGGCCATAGATTAACAGCATCCCAAGGCAGAAGAATTTTTCTTAGTACAGAACAAAATGGAGTCTCCTATGTCTACTTCTTTCCACACAGACACAGTAACAATCCGATCTCTCTTTCTTTTCCCCACACTTCCCCACTTTCTATTCGACAAAACCGCCATCGTCATCATGGCCCCTTCTCAGTGAGCTGTTGGGTACACCTCCCAGACGGGGTGGCGGCCAGGCAGAGGGGCTCCTCACTTCCCAGACGGGGCAGCCAGGCAGAGGCGCCCCCCACCTCCCGGACGGGGCGGCTGGCCGGGCGGGGGCTGCCCCCCACCTCCCAGATGGGGGGGCTGCCAGGCGGAGACGCTCCTCACCTGCCAGACGGGGCGGCTGCTGGGCGGAGGGGCTCCTCACTTCCCAGACGGGGCGGCTGCCGGGCGGAGGGGCTCCTCACTTCTCAGACGGGGGCAGCCGGTCAGAGACGCTCCTCACCTCCCAGACGGGGTGGCGGCGGGGCAGAGACACTCCTCAGTTCCCAGACGGGGTCGCGGCCGGGCAGAGGCGCTCCTCACATCCCAGATGGGGCGGCGGGGCAGAGGCTCTTCCCATATCCCAGACGATGGGCAGCCGGGCAGAGACGCTCCTCACTTCCTAGACGGGATGATGGCCGGGAAGAGGCACTCCTCACTTCCCAGACTGGGCAGCCGGGCAGAGGGGCTCCTCACATCCCAGACGATGGGCGGCTGCGCAGAGACGCTCCTCACTTCTTAGACGGGGTGGCGGCCGGGCAGAGGCTGCAATCTCTGCACTTTGGGAGGCCAAGGCAGGCGGCTGGGAGGTGGAGGTTGTAGCGAGCCGAGATCACGCCACTGCACTCCAGCCTGGGCAGCATTGAGCACTGAGTGAGCGAGACTCCGTCTGCAATCCCGGCACCTCGGGAGGCCGAGGCTGGCAGATCACTCGCAGTCAGGAGCTGGAGACCAGCCCGGCCAACACGGCGAAACCCCGTCTCCACCAAAAAATACAAAAACCAGTCAGGCATGGCGGCGCGCGCCTGCAATCCCAGGCACTCGGTAGGCTGAGGCAGGAGAATCAGGCAGGGAGGTTGCAATGAGCCAAGATGGCGGCAGTACAGTCCAGCCTCGGCTTGGCATCAGAGGGAGACCGTGCAAAGGGGAGAGGGAGGGGGAGGGGGAGGGGGAGCTATCCATTACTTTACTACCTGGCTAGCATAGTATGTCATCAAACTTTTGGTCTTTGCAAATATGATAGGTAGAAAAAAGGTGTTTCAGTCTAGTTTTCTTTCTTTTTTGGCCTGTGTGTTATTTAGAGGTATGTTATTTATTTAATTTCTAAATTTGGGGAATTTTTAAAGGTATCTTGTTAATGATTTCCAGCATAATTTTATTATGTTTTTTTTTTTTTTTTTTTTTTTTTTTGAGACGGAGTCTTGTTCTGTCTCCCAGGCTAGAGTGCAGTGGTGCGATCTAGGCTCACTGTAACCTCTGCCTCCTGGGTTTGAGTGATTCTTGTGCCTCAGCTTCCCGAGTAGCTGGGACTTACAGGCACGTGTCACCATGCCCAGCTAATTTTTGTATTTTTAGTAGAGATGGGGCTTCGCCACATTGGCCAGGCTTGTCTCAAACTGCTGACCCTTCAGATGATTCGCCTGCCTCAGCCTCACAAAGTGCTAATGTGAGCCACTGCGCCCGGCCCCATTGTGTTCTGAGGTCTTACTTTATGTAATGTCAGTTTTCTTAAATTTATTTATTTATTTTTTTGAGACAGAGGTTCACTCTTGTTGCCCAGGCTGGAGTGCAATTGTGCGATCTCAGCTCACTGCAACATCCGCCTCCCAAGTTCAAGCGTTCCTCCTGCCTCAGCCTCCCAAGTAGCTGGGATTACAAGTGCCTGCCACCACGTCTGACTAATGTTTTTTTTTTTTTTTATTTTTAGTAGAGGTGGGGTTTCACCATGTTGGCTAGGCTGATCTCAAACTCCTGACCTCAGGTGATCCACCTGCCTTGGCCTCCCAAAGCGCTGGGATTACAGGTGTGAGCCACTGTGCCTGGCCAAATTTAATCTATTTTTATTTTTATTTTAAGTTTGAGGCAAGATTTCACTGTTTCCCAGGCTGGAGTGCAGTGGCACTATCATGGCTCAATGCAGCGTTGACCCTCCTGAGCTAAAGTGATCCTCAGACCTCAGCCCCTCAAGTAGCTGGGACCATAGGTGTGCACCACCACGCCTGCCTAAATTTTTAAGTTACGTTTATTGAGACATATTTTATGACCAGTAGAATGAGTGTCCAGCTTTTGTAGGCTGTAGTGTTATTGTCAATTAGCTCTAGTTGGTTGATAGTGTTTTTAGGAGTTACCTATTGTTGTGTAACAAATCACTCTAAAACTGAGCAGCTTAAGACAACAGGCATTTATTATCTCATAGTTTCTATGGGCCACGAATTTGAAAGTGGCTTAGCTGGGTGGTTCTGGTATAGCATCCCTCATGAGGTTATAATAAAAATCTAAGTTGGCACTGTAATCTTCCAGAGGCTTGGTTGGGACTGGAGGATCGACTTCTAAGTGGGTTACTCACATGGCTGTTGACAAAGAGGGTCATTTTCTAACCATGTGGGCTTATCATAAGCCTGCTTGAAAAACTTCCTTTAATATTTCTTGTCACCGGGTATGATAGCAATGAAATGTCCCAGCTTTTGTTTGAAAAGCTTTTTTATTTTTATTTTTTAAGAGACTGGGTGTTGCTATGTTTTCTAGGCTGTCTTGGCCTCCCAAGTAGCTGGGACTGTAGGTATGTGCCACCACACGGGCTTGAAAGAGTTTATTTCTCCTCAGTTTTGAAGGGTATTTTCTCTGTGTGTTAAGAATTCTAGATTTTCGATGTTCTTTGTATATTACTTTTCATTTAGTACTTTATTTATTTATTTGAAATTTATTTATTTATTTTTGAGACAGAGTCTCTCTCTCTTACCCAGGCTGGAATGCAATGGGGTGATCTCAGCTCACTACAACTTTTGCCTCCCAGCTTCAAGCGATTCTCCCGCCTTAGCCTCCTGAGTAGCTGGGATTACAGGCACCCTCCACCACACCCAGCTAATTTTTGTATTTTTAGTAGATATAGGGTTTCACCATGTTGGCCAGGCTGGTCTTGAACTCCTGACCTCAAGTGATCCACTCACCTTGGCCTTGCAAATTGCTGGGATTACAGGTGTGAGGCATTGTGCCCGGCCTCATTTAGTACTTTAAATGTCTCTCCATTTTGTTCTGGCTTGCATGATTTTTTACAAAAAGTCTCCTGTTATTTGTATCTGTTCCTTTGTATATAATGAATCAGTTTCTTCTGGTTACTTTGATTATTTTCCTCCTAATCACTGGTTTTCAGCTATTTAGTTGTCATGTGCCTCACCATGGCTTTTTTTTTTTTTTTTTTTTTTGAGATGGAGTCTTGCTCTGTTGCCCAGGCTGGAGTGCAGTGGCGTGATCTCGGCTTCACTGCAAGCTCCACCATTCTCCTGCTTCAGCCTCCCAAGTAGCTGGGACCACAGGCACCCACCACCATGCCTGGCTAATTTTTTGTGTATTTGGTAGAGATGGGGTTTCACCGTGCTAGCCAGGATGGTCTCGATCTCCTGACCTCGTGATCCACCCGCCTCGGCTTCCCAGAGTGCTGGGATTATAGGCGTGACACACTGCACCTGGCCCTCAGCATGGCTCTTAAAAAAATATTTATTCTGTTTGGGGTTTGAGTATTTTGGATCTGCAATTTTAGTTTTTAACGAATTTGGAAGAATTTCAGCCACTAATTCTTCAGATTTTTTTTTGTTTCCCCTCCTCTTTTTTGGGATTCCAGTATAATGCAAGACCACCTTGTTATTATCCCACAGCTCACTGAGGTTCTGTTTACTTTTCTAGTCTCTGTGTTTTATTTTGGATAATTTTTATTGCTGTGTCATTAAATTCACTGATCTGTTTTTTCTAGTGTCATTCTACTGTTAATTCTCTCTGGTGTATTCTTCATTGCTGATATTTTATTTATTTATTTATTTATTTATTTATTTATTTTTGAGATGGAGTTTCACTTTTACTGCCTAGGCTGGAGTGCAGTCGCATGATCTTGGCTCACTGCAACCTCCGCCTCCTGGGTTCAAGCGATTCTTCTGCCTCAGGCTCCTGAGTAGCTGGGACTACAGGGGCACGCTACCACACCCGGCTAATTTTTGTATTTTTTTAGTGGAGACGGGGTTTCACCATGTTGGCCAAGATGTTCTGGATCTCCTGACCTTGTGATCCACCCGCCTCGGCCTCCCAAAGTGCTGGGATTACAGGCGTGAGCCACCGCACCTGGTCTTATTTTTTAATCTCTACAAGTTTGATACAGTTCTATTATATATCTTCTATTTCCATCATTATGCTTTCATTCCTGTCCTTTCTCTTCTTGAACAAATGGAAAATAGGTTTGTTAGTCTCATTATCTCCATCACTTTTGGGTCTATGTCTGTTAATTTTCTGCTGGTTATGGATCGTATGTTTCTGTTTTTGTTTTTTGTTTGTTTTTGCATGCCTAGAAAACATTGATTGTATGCCAGAATTTCTGCACTTTATGTTGTTGATTGTGGATTAAGTTGTCTTCCTTAGTGAGGGTTGGATTTTGTTATGGAGTGCAGATAAGTTACTTGGACTCAGGGCTTATCTTTAAGCTACATTAGTGTGGGTTCAGAGCAACCTTTAGTCTCAAGTGAATTTATCTGCACTGGTAATGCAGTGCCCTTCAGAAGATTCTACGTGATTCCCATTTATTTTGAGGTTTCGCCATTCTCGCTGTTGGGAACATGAACTAATTGTTTAAGATGAGGGAGTAAATTTGGTCCTTGCTACTCCATCTTGACAAGTTTTTCCTCAGTGTGAGTTTTTCTGTTTTTTTTTCCTCAGTATAGTTTTAATGTGTTTATTGACTGACTTGAGCATCTTTTCATATGGTTAAGAACGATTGGTATTTCCGTTTCTCATTTTCTCTTGGATTGTCTTAGGAAAAATAGCCTTGTATTAGTCAGGGTTCTCTAGAGTGACAGAACTAATAGGATATATGGATATATGAGATGGAGTTTATTAAGGAGAATTGACTCACACAATCACAAGGTAAAGTCCCACGATAGGTCATCTGCAAGTTGAGGAGCAAGGAAGCCAGTGGTGGATCAGCCCGAGTCCCAAAACCTCGAAAGTAGAGAAGCCGACACTGCAGCACTCAGTCTGTGGCCACAGGCCCGAGAGCCCCTGGCAAACCGCTGGTGTAAGTCCAAGCGTCCAAAAGCTGAATGAAGAACTTGGTATCTGATGTTCAAGGGCAGGATGCATCCAGCACGGGAGAAAGATGAAGTCTGGAAGACTCAGCAAGTCTGGTCTTACATCTTCTCCTGCCTGCTTTTTTCTAGCTGCTCTGGCAGCTAATTAGATGGTGTCCACCCAGAATGAGGGTGGGTCTGCCTCTCCCAGTCCACTGACTCAAATGTTAATCTCCTTGGGCAATACTCTCACAGATACACCCAGGAACAATACTTCGTATCCAATCAAGTTGACAGTCAATATTAACCATCACAAACTCTTTGACCAGTTATGAGTTGCAAACCTTTTTTCCTACTCGTCTTTTCAAAAACAAATGCCGGCTGGGTGTGGTGGCTCACGCCCGTAATCCCAGCACTCTGGGAGGCCGAGGCGGGTGGATCACGAGGTCAGGAGTTTGAGACCAGCCTGGCCAACATGGTGAAACCCCGTCTCTACTAAAATTACAAAAATTAGCTGGGTGTAGTGGCGGCGCCTGTAATCCTGGCTACTCGGGAGCCTGAGGCAGGAGAATCGTTGGAACCTGGGATGTGGAGGTTGCAGTGAGCCGAGATCGCGCCACTGCACTCCAGCCTGGGTGACAGAGCAAGACTCTGTCTCAAAAAAAAAAAAAAAGAAAAGAAAAAGAAAAGCCCATGGGCATTTATTTTTGTACAGAAATGTTTTCTTGTCAATTTTTATGTTTATTAATTTTATGTTTATTAATCTTTTATGTTTATGTAGTTATTAAAATCTGGTGGCTTCTAGATTTTGTCATACTTAAGCTGTCTCTTCTACACAATTATTAAGTAACTCTCCCTACACCAAGTTGCTTCTAGAACTCTAATGATTTCACATTTTACATTTACCTTTTTGATATGTTAGGAATTTATTATCAAGGTATAAGATGTGAGGAAGTTCCTCCCGCCTACCCCCAACTTTGCTGGTTTACCCAATTATCTCAGTATCATTTCTCTGATTAAGCCCTGTTTTCTGCATAGATTTGAATTTTGCCTTTATTGTAAATTCCACATGTATTTGGTTCTATTTCTGGACCCATATTATTTTTCATGTACCGTTACCATATTGTTTGTTTCTGCTTCAAGGTTTCAATGTATATTTACTGTCTTAATAGTTTAATAGATTTTCAACATCTCTATTTTTACTTTCAAGTTTTCTGATCTTATGTGCATGCCGTAATTTAATTTAAAATTTTTAGTTTTCATAAATTTTTTTTTTCTGGTACCTTAGGGCCCACTAAATAGTACTTAAACCCGTGTAGATGGAATTTAAAGTTTTTTCTTTTCGTTCTTAGAATTTATCTAACAGTTTTAGACATGGGATGGAGCTGTACTTTAGTCCTTCCTATTAGCGATGTAGAAATGTATATTTAGAAAAATGGCCCAGGAATATGTATAGGTGAATTTGGAACTGAATTTCTGATCTCCCTTTCTCTGCTTTGTAGTTTACTTAATTGTATTCATCATCATTGTCTATCTCTGTCCTACAGAATGTTAGCTTCCCAAAGGCTGGAATCAATACTTCTGATGATTTCAACTTTAAAATAAGTTTTCATCTCTGATAAAGCTACTTCACTTTTATTACTCTTGTTTTTCTGAATTTTCTTAGTGATTCTTAGTTTTCCATATGAACTTTAGAATCAGCTTGTTTATTCTTTATTGTTATTTTCACTGGATCATATTAAATATATAGATTGGTTTAGGTAGATATCATATATGTTTATGGTATGCCTTTTATGTCATTTTGGGCTTTATCCTAAATATCTTTTGATAATTTTGTTAAAATTTAGTCAAATATGTCATTTAATGTTTCTGAGATTTCCCCACCTGTCAGATGAAGGGCACAGATTATATCATCAGGGCTTTTAACATGGGGCGGGGGTATGACTCTCCAGGAATCTCCATGAATTATCCAAAATTATATGCAGAATAATGTGTATCTGTATAATTTGTTGCAAAATAATGTGTAATGTGTGTAGTAAGTTGAGAATGGGATGTTCTTGCCAAAGGCTTACTTGTAGGGGAGCTTATTATCTCACATACTTTTCAAATTCTTGAAAAATGTGGTTTCGTTATTTGAGTTGGCCTCTCCTTGCCCTCCTTCTCCCCACCAAATATCAGTAACTTGCAAATAGACCACCAGAACCCCTGCCTCTCCTTTTGTTTCCTCTCTCCTCTACTTCTCCCACAGTCCAGGAGATTTACTTTTAGTCATTTAAATTTGATTTCAGAGGAATCATAAGGAGAGTTTCTGGGGGTAATGTTCTGTTTCTTGATCTTGAATTGGCATTTACATGAGTATGTTCATTTAGTGATATTTCATTGAGTTGCATACTTAACCTTTTAGGCAATTTGTTATCGGTTATGCTTCAGTGAAAAATTTTAAAATGATGATGTCAAACAAAATTTAGAGAAGTCATTTTGTCTAGTATTTTTTTAGTTCTATTTTATCATTCTATTATTGCTGTAACATCCTTCCCCACTAAGGACTATTTAACCTTCTTAATCTTGCAAATCTATTGGGTTCCTTGAAGAAAGTTATCTGTGACCTCTGAGCTGCTAATGTGAATGTATTACTTCCTGCCTTATTTTTAATTTAGAGCTATACCAGTTGTCTAGAAAGCTCTTCTCTTGTTCACTTGGGGAGAGATTGTTAATACATGTTTATATGCAGTTTCATTTGTCAGGTCTTTGACTGATTTTACTGGTGTCTTTTGGTTAGCTCACTTGACTTACTGGTTCTACCTGTAGCCGTAGTTCATTGCTGATGAAGTGACATGAATTTTAGGATCAATTTAGGCGTTATAAATGGAGTAAATTTCTTGATGGCGGAATTGGTACAATCTAAACACACGAAGTAAAAATAGCAAACTTTCTCCCTTATCCTCCTCCAGAGCTTTGCATGCCTAGCCTACCTCCTTCATGTCATTTTGGCCTATAGCCTAAATATCACCTCTTCAGAAAGGCCTTCCCTGACAAACCCAATCTAAAGGAGCGCCATGGATACTTTTTATGTATGGTGCTGTCAAATACTTTCTTTTTCTTTTCTTTTTTTTTTGAGACAGGATCTTACTCTGTCATCCAGAATGGAGTGCAGTGGGATGATCTTGGCTCACTGCAACCTTCTGCGTACAGGTTCAAGTGATCTTCCTACGTCAGCCTCCTGGGTAGCTGGGATTATAGGTGCATGCCACCACATCTGGCTAATTTTTGTATTTTTTGTAGGGATGGGGTTTTACAGTGTTGCCCAGGCTAGAAATAATTTCATAGAATTTATTACTATCAGATATTTCCATATTCTTGTTTCTCTCTTTCCTCCTTCCTCAGAAAGTTAGCTCCATGAGGACAAGGCCTCCATATTCCCAGGACCTATGTGCCAGGCATGTAGTAGCTCTTCAAAAAAAATTTGAACAACTGGGATTATTAAATGGGTCGCAGATTATTATTTAATTGGATGCCCTTAAAATAATTTTGTTGGCCAGGCACAGTGTCTCATGCCTGTAATCCCAGCACTTTGGGAGGCCGATGCAGGCAGATCACTTGAGGTCAGGAGTTTGAGACCAGCCTGGCCAACATGGCCAGGCAAAACCCCATCTCTACTAAAAATACAAAAGAAGGCCGGGCGCGGTGGCTCACACCTGTAATCCCAGCACTTTGGGAGGCTGAGGCAGGCAGATCACGAGGTCAGGAGATTGAGACCATCCTGGCTAACACAGTGAAACCCCGTCTCTACTAAAAAAAATACAAAAAAATTAGCTGGGCATGGTGGCGGGTGCCTGTAGTCCCAGCTACTCGGAAGGCTGAGGCAGGAGAATGGCTTGAACCTGGGAGGCGGAGCTTGCAGTGAGCCAAGATCGCGCCACTGCACTCCAGCCCGGGTGACGGAGCGAGACTCCGTCTCAAAAAAAAAAAAAAAAAAAAAAAGAAAGAATTAGCTGGGTGTCATGGCACATGCCTGTAATCCCAGCTACTCTGGAGACTGAGGCAGGAGAATTGCTTGAATCCGGGAGGTGGAGGCTGTGGTGAGCCGAGATGGCACCAAGGCACTCCAGCCTGGGCAACAGAGTGAGACTCCGTCTCGAAAAAAAAATTTTTTTTTTTGTTCTACTATTAATTAAGTCTTTGTTTCAGCAAGTCTTTTTCTAAGACTTGATAAAATATTAATAGTAATTTTAAAAAAGATTTTTTTAAGAGACAGGGTCATGCTATATTGCCCAAGCTGGTCATGAATTCCTGGGCTCAGGCAATCTTCCTGCCTTGAACTGAGTATTATCAATTCTTTATTGAGCATCTGCTATGTTAAATGGTCAGTCCCCACACTATGCTTAGCCTGAATTACAAAAACCAGTATTTTTCGTCAGTCTTACAGTATATTACATCCACTTTGGACAGTTCTGCCGTACTGACACTAGTTCCCAGAGTTTGATTTTTTTACTTTTTTGACCATTAAGTTTTTAATCTCCAGTCTTCTGATACACTTCTGTAACCTCAGTCTCAAAATTACTTAGACCATTCTTGCTGTTCCTTTGGCTTAGCTACTTGGTACTCTGTTCAAATTTTTCTTTACTCCACCCAGTTGCTCTTTGGAATTGGTTTCTTTCCTGCACAAAGTGTCCAAGAGAGCTTTCTGTGTTTTCTAATCCTTTCTCTTTCTGCTTTCCAGCTCTCAATTCTTTTATTGCATCCTTCAGTTTCATGCCCAATTATGTTTTCCTATTCTTCTCTCCTGGCTTTCCTTTCATCCATTTTCTCTCCTTCACATTTATGCTTACAGGCTTTTTAATTAAGTTGTCTTTGATCACAACTAGCTCTCTAATCTGTCACACAGGCCAGATTCTCTTTTATCTTTAAAAGCTTTTACAGGCTGGGCACGGTGGCTAACGCCTGTAATCCCAGCACTTTGGGAAGCTGAGGCTGGTGCATCACCTGAGGTCAGGAGTTCGGGACCAACCTGGCCAACATGGCGAAACCCCATCTCTACTAAAAATACAAAAATGTAGATGGGCATGGTGGTGCGTGCCTGTAATCCCAGCTACTCGGGAGGTTGACTCAGGAGAATCGCTTGAACCCGGGAGGCGGAGGTTGCAGTGAGCTGGTATGGTGCCACTGCACTCCAGCCTGGGCAACAGAGCGAGACTGTGTCTCAAAAAAAAAAAAAAAAAAAAAAAAAAAAAAGCTTTTATGGGAATACAGCTTTTAAAACGTGTACTTGATTTTCTCCAGCCTGGGCAACAGAGTGAGACTGTGTCTCAAAAAAAAAAAAAAAGCAAAAAAAGCTTTTATGGAAATACAGCTTTTAAAAAGTGTACTTGATTTTATTTAGATATTGTGTGTCCTAGCTGGAAGAAGTTTTTTTGTTTTTTTGTTTTTTTTTTTGAGATGAAGTCTTGCTCTGTCATCCAGGCTGGAGTGCAGTGGCGAGATCTCAGCCCACTGCAACCTCCGCCTCCGGATTCAAGCCATTCTCCTACCTCAGCTTCCTGAATAGCTGGGATTACAGGCATACGCCACCATGTCTAGCTAATTTTTGTATTTTTAGTGGAGACAGGGTTTCACCATGTTGGCCAGGCTGGTCTTGAACTCCTGATCTCAAGTGATTCGCCCACCTCGGCCCCCCAAAGTACTGGGATTACAGGTGTGAGCAACCGTGCCCGGACTGGAAGAAGTTCTTAAATTCATTTTTTCTTTTAAATCAAGGTTTAAACCTTAAGGTGTAATGCTTCCTAACCTTTATCATAATATGGCAGATGTGGAAAATAGTATTTGGATGGGACACAGAGGCAACTGAGGAGGCTGCTCAGGCTCTGCCTGTGTGTCTGCCTTGAGGACCAAGGAAAATCCATCTCTGCACTGTAATCTGCTGACCTAACAATTGAAAGACCTACCTGAAGGGTAGATAGACTTCAGCAGAGTGTGAACATGCTAACTTTTATTTTGTATTTATGTATATATTTTCTTAAGAGTTGTAACTTTCATTAGATTCTCAAAAGGGTCCTTGAAGCAAAAAAGAATACCAATGATGTTTTAAATTGTGGAGGTAAAACCAAATGTATGGCATAACTTATTTTTTGTTTTTGGTTTAAATTTTTCCTTTTGATTACAAAGTTGTATGTATGTTTGTTATATAAAATTCAAACATTATACGTAGAATTAACGTCCTAAGTAGAAGTATATCATATCATACCCTCAGTTAATTTCTACAAAGTTTGGTATGTATTTCTGAAAATGTTTTTCTTCTTATATATATTAACATTTGTTTCCCTTCTCCAAAATAGTATTTATAGAAGAGATTAAATGTATATACAATTCATTTCTCACTTAATTTATCTTAGATATAATTATACTTCAGTGCTTATTGATCTACCTCATTTTTGTAAAAATCAAAATATGTTATGGATCTGCCATAGTTTGGTTCACTTTTCTTCTATGATTAAATGCATGCATTTTTAACTTTTTTATATTGTAAATGGAGGTATAATAAACATCTTTGCAAGCATATTTAGGAGTATTTCTGTATAATAAATTCATAGAAATGGAAATGCTAAGCTTGTGTTACGAACATTTACAATTTTAATAGATATGGTCAAGTGCCACCAAAAACTCAACCTGTTTTACACTTCCATGTATACAACAAAAATTTCTGAACATGCTTTCAACGAATTAGTAAAGGGAATCTTTCCTGATCTGCAAGATCAAAAACTGTTTTTATATTATGAAAATTTCCAAACACATGCAAAGGTAAATACAATAGGATGTTGAACCTTCCAGTGCCAATCATGCAGACTCAACATTTTTAAAGATTGTAGCCACATTTGCTTCAACTGCTTTTTTCCCTTTCGCAGAGTATTTTAAAGCAATTCCCCCAAATCGTGTTATTTTACCCAGACATGCTTCAGCATTCATCTTTAAAGAGTAGGGATTTTTTTTTCTTTTTAAGATTTTTAGTTTTTTAGTATAGAAAATTTAAAACATATATAAAAGCAGTCAGCACAATGAACCTAACTAGTATGATCTTTTTATTAGGGAAAATATCCCTTGGTGTCATTTTTGACTGAAAGACAAATTTAAATTACAATCTTTTAAATGAATTCCTTAAACATCAGAAGAGAGTACTTTATTGACTTTGATATCTATCCACATTCTTTTTCATGAACATAACAATGAAACCTCATGTATCTCTCAGTTTCAACAAGTAGCAATTCAGAGCTGCTCTTGGTAAACTCCCGCCTACTTCCCTTTATCTCACCAAATTATTTTGAAGCAGGTCCCATATATTAGAGCGTTTCATCTGTAAATCCCTGTCTCTGTCTAAAAGACAGGGAATTTACTTTTTTTAAATTTTTTATTTTTATTTAAGACAGAGTCTCATTCTGTCATCCAGGCTGGAGTGCAGTGGCGCACGATCTCAGCTCACTGCAGTCTCCACCTCCCGGGTTTAAGTGATTCTTGTGCACACCACCACGCCTGGCTAAGTTTTGTGTTTTTAGTAGAAACAGGGCTTTGCCATGTTGGCCAGGCTGGTCTTGAACTCCTGACATCAAGTGATCTGCATGCCTTGGCCTCCCAAAGTACTGGGATTATAGGCATTACAGGCATGAGCCATTGCACCCAGCTGGGAATTCACTTTTAGTGATAATCACAGTGTTGTTGTCACACCCACATAAAATAATTCCTATATCATCAAATAACCACTAACATTTTCTTGTATAACCACAATGGCATTATCACACTAATAAAATCAACTGTAATGAACTAGTACCCAGTTTATAATCAGATTCCCTCGGAAAGGAATTTCCTTTTTGAAAGACTAAAATATGCCTTTCAAAAATTCTTTTCAGAGTTGGTTTGTTAGAATTGGTTTACATATTGCATGTGCTTATTGGGTGTTTCAAGCCTCTTTTAACCTAGAGTAGCCCTGGTACCCCTTTATTCCCCTCTGTCACTGACAGGTTACAGAAACTGGGTCAGTTGTCCTGTATAATGTCTCACATTCTCCATTTGTCTATTTCCTTTTTTGTAGTGTATTTAACGTGTTCATTTATCTCCCGTACGTCTTGTAAATGGAAGTTAGCTCTGGAGACATGGTACCATTCAAGTTCAGTTTGTTTGATAAGAACATTTCATAAATGGTGTTGTGTGCTTTACTCACATCACAGTCTCTCTGCCTTTTTTTTTTTGTTTAAACTTCTGGTGATGCTAAGATTGATAAGGTTTTTTTTTTTTTTTTTTTTTTTGAGATGGAGTCTTGCTCTGTCACCTAGGCTCGAGTGCAGTGGTGCGATCTCGGCTCACTGCAACCTCTGCCTCCCGGTTTCAAGTGATTCTCCTGCCTCAGACTCCTGAGTAGCTAGGACTACAGGCATGTGCCACCATGCCTGGCTAATGTTTTGTATTTTTTAGTAGAGATGGTGCTTCACCATGTTGGCCAGGCTGGTCTCAAACTCCTGACCTCAAGCAATCCGCCCATGTCAGCCTCCTAAAGTGTTGGGATTAAGGACGTGAGCCACCTCACCCAGCAGATTGATAAGGATGTAATAGTCAGATATTTTTCTTATGTAACCACAATATTGTTATCACACCTAATAAAATTAACTGTAATGAACCAAAGAACTGTAATGAACTGTAAGTAACTGTAATGAAAATTTCCCCTCAAGCTTTCCTCTAATGGCTCAATTGCATGGGTCAGTTATTTCACTAGATATCACAAAATGGTTTCTCCAGTTATTCATTTTTTGTTTTAATAAAATTCATTGCTTTATTAGAGAAAACTGGAGCATCTTTCCATTTGTTTATTGGCTGTTTGGTACTTGTTTTGTGAATTGTTCATGACCTTGCTTGATTTTTCTGTTGAATTCCTTTATTTTTCTTATCCATTTTTGAGAGTTTGTAATCATAGCTATTAATCTTTTATCTCATTTATAAATTGTAAATATTTTTTCCAGTTTGTTACTGTCTTCTGTGTAGAAGCTTTTGATTTACATAGTCAGTTTTTTTTCTTTTGTGGCTTTTGGTTTTAAGTCTTAACTTAGGCTTTCTATATTCTGAGATAATGTAGGAAAATAGTTAATTATCTTCCAGGCTCCATTTCTTACATTTGATTTTTAATGTATTCCAGAATATATTTCGTATATAGTATAAGATAGGAATCAAATTTGCTTCCTGCATTTAAATAATAGTAAATTTTGTTCTAAAGTAGTTTATTAAGTCTTCTTTCCACTATATTGATTTGAGATGTCACATTTATCACAAATTTGTATGTTCTTTTTCTGGACTTCATTATTGTTCATTTTAAATTAAGTTTTTTTGGTAGACTGGGTCTCGCTATGTCACCTAGGCTGGTTTTGAACTCCTGGCCTCAAGTGATCCTTCAGCCTCAGCCTCCCAACATGCTGGGATTACAGGCATGAGCCACCATGTCCGGCCCATTGTGGTCCATTGATGTTAGCACATTACCACAGAATTTTAATTAAAATAATTTTATACTGTGCTTTAAGGTCCAGTTCATTATCATTAACCTTTTTTTTTCAGGCTTTAATAGTATTTTTCACAAATATGATCTTCCATTTGAACTTTAGAATTAGTTTGTGATTAATTCTATTGGGATGTAAATCTAATGGCATTAAGTCTGGGGAAACTGTCTTTTATTATTATTATTATTTTTTTTTTGAGACAGACTGTCACTTAGTCACCCAGGCTGGAGTGCAGTGGCACGGTCTTGGCTCACTGCAACCTCCGCCTCCCAGGTTCAAGCGATTCTCCTGCCTCAGCCTCCCAAGTAGCTGGGACTACAGGCATGTGCCACCATGCCTGGCTAATTTTTGTATTTTTAGTAGAGATGGGGTTTTGCCATGTTGGCCAGGCTGGTCTTGAACGCCTGACCTCAGGTGATGCACCGGCCTTGGCCTCCCAAAGTGCTGGGATTACAGGCATGAGCCACTGTGCCTGGCCAAAACTGTCTTTAAAAAAAAAAAAAAAGATCAATTTTTCTGTTTAGGAATGTTGTTTTTCTCTATTTATTCAGATCTTTTATATTTTACAGCTTAAATAGCTTCTCTTCCCTTCTACTTATTTCTAGGCATTTTACATGTTTAATGTGGTAATTATGTGTTTGGTCACAGAATAACTTATTTGTGATTATTTGGATGTTGACTATAGAATAGTTTTCTTCAGGGTGGGGCACAGTGGCTCACAATCCCAGTACTTTGGGAGGTCAAGGCTGGAGGATCGCTTGAGGCCAAGAGTTGTACATCAGCCTTGGCAATGTAGCAAGACCCTGTCTCTACAAAAAGTAAAAATAAAAAAATTAGCCAGACATAGTGGCACATGCCTGAGGCTGAGGTGGGAGGATTGCTTGAGCCCAGGACTTCCAGGATGCATGTGAGTGACAAAGCGAGACCCTGTCTTTAAGGGAAAAAAAAAAAAAAACAGTTAACTTCATTTTTGCTTAAGCATACCAATCATACTTAAAAATGAATATAGGCCAGGCACAGTGGCTCACGGGGCCGAGGCGGGCGGAGCACCTGAGGTCAGTAGTTTGAGACCAGCCTGGCCAACCAACATGGTGAAACCTCGTTTCTACTAAAAATAAAAAAAATTAGCTGGTGTGGTGGTGCACACCTGTAGTCCCAGCTACTTGGGAGGCTGAGGTGGGGGAATCGCTTGAACCTGGGAGGCAGAGGTTGCAATGAGCCGAGATTGTGCCACTGCACTCCAGCCTGGACGTCAGACCAAGACTCTCAAAAAAAAAAAAAGAATATAAACAAGATTAGAAGGAATGTATACACTTCAGTGTATAAACTTTTAAAATAAACTTCAAGGTTTTGTATCACTTACCTATTCATTAATGCAATAAGTTAGAAATAGGAAAAATGTAAATGCTTTTAAAGTGATCAACTTGTACTTAATGGTTTAAAAGAGTGGAAGTCATAAAGTGGTACCTGAAAGTAATAAATTTCAGTTAAAAAAAAGTGCCCTGTAATGAGATTTTCTTTTTGTATTCTACTTGGAGTTTAACTATTAATAGTATGGGTCTTTTCTTGGGAAAAATATACCTGAGTGCCATTTTTTGTATAAACACTGGTTTAAAATTACATTCTTTTAACCTGGTACCTTAAAAATCATAAAGGAGGATTTATTGGCCTATATTCCATTTACGAATATTGTAAATAGAAATAATATATTTTTAGCTGATTAGACATTACTGTTAATTTTTTTCTTTTTCATATTACAGGTTTTGCAAAAGGCATCAAATTAAATCAAGTTCAAATATTCCCTGTGTCCCTAAAGACTTACTGATGATGTCTGAATTTGTTCTTCCAAGATTTATATTTTGTCTTATTCAGTACTTAAGAGAAGGCTATAATGAACCAGGTATGTTTTAATCTACTTCTTGTTAGTACTCTTTTTAAATTGTAAATTTACAAAGTTTTAGTATTAATTATGAGGTGAATTTTTTTAGATATCTTTTTTTGTTTAACATTTAAAAAGAGATGACTATAAAATACGGATTGAATAGAAACACACTAAAAATTAATTATATAACCTTATATGTTGCAGTAGATGTAGTTTCGTGCTTTCTGCTTCCGGGGTCATAAATGTTTTTGATCAAACTTATTTGAGCTTTTGCAGATGAGGAAGTAACCATTTTGTGGGGTTAACGTGACTTTATTTGCAATATTATGATAAAGCAGAATTGAGAACTCCTGGAAATGTTTAAATTTAACTTAGATTTTTAGAAGATAAAATGTTTTATCAACTTTTTTTTAGAAGTCTGTATATATTTTTATTCTCTCTATATATTATATAATAACTTATGATAGGGTCAAATTGCTGACTTCCAGATTACTGGTAGAATATATGGGTGTGTAATCATCATGTTAATATTTAAAAGAGAAAATTACAGATGTTCTTCTTACTTTTTAAGATTTAATCACAATCTTGATTAACATACTTCAGTTAGGTAAATATTTGGATTTAGGTATCTATTAAAAGTTCTCAGTCTGACATTGTCAGTTACAGATATTCATTAGTAGTATGAATCAAATTTATTAACTTTTTATGATGTTTTTTACCTTTCTAATGATACTTGAATTTCTGTTCTATAAGAGATTACATTTTGCATTATTTTTAGAGGTTTAAAATTATTTAGTACTATAAATAATTTTATATTCATTTTGAAACTGTGGCACACATTTTCATCTTCTATCTCCATCCTTAAAGTGTAGGGGAATGTTATATAATGTCCTCATTTCTAAAACTGTCTTGTTATCTTTATTGTGAGCAAACCATTATACTTCCTTATTTGTACATTTTAAGCAAAAATATACAATCCTTTGTTAAGTACTTCTACTTAACAGAGTATATATCTTAAAATATAGAAAAATAAGCTGGGCATGGTGTTTCATACCTGTAATCCCAGCACTTTGAGGGGCTGAGGGAGGAGGATTGCTTGAAGCCAGGAGTTCAAGACCAGCTAGACAACATAGAGACTCTGTCTTTACAAACATTTTTAAAAGTTAGCTGGGTGTGGTGGTGGCATGTGCCTGTAGTCCTAGCTACTTGGGAGGCTGAGGCAGGAGGATCCCTTGAGCTCAGGAGTTCAAGGCTGCAGTGAGCTATGATTACATCACTACACTCCAGTCTGGGTGACAGAGTGAGAGTGTGCCCTGTGCCCCACACCGCCCCCCAAAAAAAAGAACAGAAAAAAGAATATATAAAGAAAAATATTATTTTGATTTGGTTTCAAATTACTGTCTCTTCGGAATGAAGGAACCAGTTACTAGCTGGGTTATTGAAATTGCCTTATGCATTATTTCTTATATACTAGTTAGGAGACCTTTTTGGGAATTTATGTTTTGTATTACAGGTGTCCTATTTTAGAAATAGAAATTATTTATTATGAGAACCTTAAAGCTTATCATTAGTTTAATGAAAGAGTACTTCACATGAAAGTGTCTTATATTTTTTGTTGTTGACATAACAGTTATAAAATGTAGACAACGTAAGTACATAGCTTTATAATTATCTGTTATCTGAAAACACGAAGGAAAAAATGGAAGCATTTTTTATCTAAAGATGATCTGCATGAATGTAGGTTCATGGAAGTTTCTTCCTTATATTACTACTTCTGTTCAGCATTAATTTCTGTCTGTGCAAAAAAAATTCTGCCTTTTTTTTTTTTGAGATGGAGTTTCGCTCTTATTGCCCAGGCTGGAGTGCAGTGGTGCGATGTCAGCTCACCGCAGCCTCCGCCTCCTGGGTTCAAGTGATTCTCCTGCCTCAGCCTCCCAAACAGCTGGAATTACAGGCGCCCACCACCACGCCCGGCTAATTTTTTGTATTTTTAGTAGAGATGGAGTTTTACTGTGTTGGCCAGGCTGGTCTCAAACTCCTGACCTCAGATGATCCACCGCCTTGGCCTCTGAAAGTGCTGGGACTACAGGTGTGAGCCATTGTGCCCAGCCAAAATTCTGCATTTTTGTGTAGAGATTACTGTTTAAAATTAAAGAAATTAAAGAAAGGTCTTGCAATAACCAATCCAAGGTAATGAAAACTCAGAGATCTTGTGGTTTCCCAATTTCTTTCAATTCTGTTTCTCATTCATCCAATAATCCTTATATCTGTGTTAGAGTTTGTTTCAGAGCCCTTGAAAACCAAGAGCAAACATTAATTAAACATCTACTATATTACTATATAAGTCACTGGGGAGAATATAAAGTTGAATAATATATAACATTAGCTTTACACTGAGAAAGTAGGTTTTGAGATTCTGAATAAATGTTGAATGAAATGGACATCCCCTTTCCTGGGCACACAGGTTCTCCATTACCTCTTTTATAGGTGTGGTTTTGTTCATTTGTTTGTTTTTGTTTTAAAAAAATTATGGTTAAGCTATACATCTCTTTATTCATTTCCTTCCTTTTAGACCTCGGCTTCTGTAAAACCTCTCTATATTTTTCGTCTTTAATATTCTTTTTCAGTTGTTGTCCAAGCTTTTCTTTCTCTCCATCTCTATTTGCCTGTTTTTTTTTTAGTTTTTAATACAATTATTCATATTTATGAAAAGTTATCTTTCACTTTAGTTGCTTTGACCTTCAGCTAACATGTATCTGTATTTTTGGAATATTATAGGGGATAGGTTATTTGTTATACAGGTTTAAATTTGACATAATACTCTTATACTACTCTCAATGTATTTGAATTATATCTTGTTTTATTCTAGGATGTGATCTAAACTTTTTCTTAAATACTATCTTTTTTTGAAATGATCTTATGATGACATTTATATATGTGGAAGTATAGGGCCCACAGATCAAATGCTGCTGCTTCTTTTTGTTGTTTTTGAGATGGGGTGTCACTCTGTTGCCCAGGCTGGAGTACAGTGGCATGATCTCAGTTCACTGCCACCTTCACCTCCAGGCTTAAGCCATCCTCCTGCCTCAGACTCCTGAGTAGCTGGGACTACAGGCGCGCACCACCACACTTGGTTAATTTTTTGTATTTAAATGCTTCTTACACAAATTAAGTGCTTCATATCTTAGGAGGTCATCTGTGTTTTTCCATCTACTGTTTTCCAAAGGACTGAATTCCTGAGCAAGTCTACCCTTGCTTGGCTAGGTGCTGGGCAGATACCAATTTCTAAACAGAGTTCTTGTATTGACTTTTTTGATTATAAAATACTATAATTTAAGCCATTATAATTTTAAAAGAATAAATACTGTTATTTTTAGTAAGATATTTTAAACAAAATTACCCTTATTTGATTTTTTTTCTTTTTTTCTTTTAGCAGCTGATGGACCATCAGAAAAGGACCTTAACAAAGTCCTTCAGCTTTTGGAACCTCAAATTTCCTTTTTAGAAGACCTGACTAAAATGGGAGGAGCAATGCGGTCTGTTCTTACTCAGGTTTTGACAAACCAACAAAACTACAAAGATCTGACTTCTGGTGAGTAAAATGTTAGAAGAAATTTATAGTTTTCATATCTTACTATAATGATAAGAAATTGAGTCTTTTAGAACTTAAAGGTAAATTGTAGAATTTTCATAGAATGCTAAAGCTGGAAGTTATTAAGAGAACTTCTTTTTTTTTTTTTTTTTGAGACGGAGTCTAGCTCTGTCGCCCAGGCTGGAGTGCAGTGGCGCAATCTCGGCTCACTGCAAGCTCCGCCTCCTGGGTTCACGCCATTCTGCCTCAGCCTCCCGAGTAGCTGGGACTACAGGCGCCCGCCACTACGCCCAGCTAATTTTTTGTATTTTTAGTAGAGGCGGGGTTTCACTGTGTTAGCCAGGATGGTCTCGATCTCCTGACCTCATGATCCGCCCGCCTTGGCCTTCCGAAGTGCTGGGATTACAGGCGTGAGCCACTGCGCCTGGCAAGAGAACTTCTTGTTTTATGGATGAGGAAATTGAGCCCTAGGAAAATGAAATGGCCTGTTTAAACCTCACAATTAATTTATGTTGGAGTTGGTACTGGAACCTAGGTCTCCTAACTTTTGGTGTGACATGATAATTATGCTCTGCCTCTCTTTATTGTATTGTATTGTATTGTATTGTATTGTATTGTATTTTTTTGAGACAGAGTCTTGCTCTGTTGCCCAGGCTGGAGTGCAGTGGCGTGATCTCAGCCCACTGCAACCTCTGCCTCCTGGGTTCAAGCGATTCTCCTGCCTCAGCCTCCCGAGTAGCTGGGATTACAGGTACCTGCCATCATGCCCAGCTAATTTTAATTTTTGTATTTTTGTAGAGACAGGGTTTTAACCATGTTGGCCAGGCTGGTCTTGAGCTCCTGACCTCGGGTGATCTGCCAGCCTTGGCCTCCTAAAGTGCTGAGATTACAGGCATGAGCCACCACGCCCGGCCCTACGTCTCTTTCTTTAAACGCAAGGCTGAGAAGTGATCCCCTTTCTTTAACAGTAACAACCATCATGTCTATGTTTTCACTTTTGATATTTTAAGTTTTTGTGTTGTATCGCCTAGGATTTTCTAATATACAGCTTAAGTTATAAAACTTGGAATTGTTGAATGGTGTATTGTTATACAAAACATTCATACGCCTTTCCCAAGCACTCTGCTTTCGATAACTGCATGCTTGGTATTACGAGAGCACAGACTGTCAAACCAGAAGGTGAATTCCGCTACATAATTATTATCTACCATATTACCTCTCTGACTTTCTTTACTGTAATTTTCAGGTTCCTTTAAAGTTCGGATCATGTCTTATTAATTCTTGTGCCCCACATTCCCTTGGATATTTTAGATGCCCACCTACTTTGTAGATTTCATTATTTGGTATAAACATGCTGTGTATTCTCGGATTGTTAGTGCTAAACATAAGCACAAAAGTGTTATTTGAAGCTATCTTATATTATTCATTCTAGGGCTCCCACTCCATTAGAATATTCACCTATTTATAGATACTAGTTAATGAAAAGACCATACTGAGATTTTGAATGGAATATTTTTTTCTGATTTGAAGTTTGTTTTAATTAGGTCTTGGAGAAAATGCTTGTGTAAAGAAAAGTCATGAAAAGTACCTTATAGCTTTAAAGAGCTCTGGACTTACATATCCTGAGGATAAGCTTGTATATGGTGTGCAGGAGCCATCTGCTGGTACTAGTTCTCTGGCTGTTCAAGGTTTGTCTAAATATTTAATTTGAACAGTTGTAACTTTTCTGTATTAAAACCAAAAAAACCTCTCAAACTTTACTCATTATTGAAAAAAATTATTTTGAACTAAAACAGTATTATTCTTTTTAAGAAAAGTAATAAAAGTAGTAAAAATTTAGAGGCAAAAAAGAATAGATTGACCAAAGAAGAGAATGCATTTTTCTTAAATGGAATTTGATTAGCTTATTAAGGTTCTGGTTCTAACTCATGAAAAATGTACAGTTGCTATTCAAGAGTAGCCCAAAACTTTACTGCCTCAATATTTTAGTAAACTATGGTTTAAAACTAAAAAGAGATCCTTCTGAAACACCATTTGTAATAACTGTATTAAATCTGAGTTTTCACTGGAGAATTCCTATTGAAGTATCAACCTATTAGGTCCAAACTTATTTGAGATAAATGTTGGAGGCTGGGCACGGAGGCTTATGCCTATAAATCCCAGCAGTTTGGGAGGCCGAGGTGGGTGGATCACCTGAGGTCGGGAGTTTTGAGGCCAAAATGGCCAACATGGTGAAACCTCGTCTTTACTAAAATACAAAAATTAGCTGGGCGTGCTGGCAGGCGCCTGTAAGCCCAGCTACTTGGGAAGCTGAGGCAGGAGAATTGCTTGAATCTGAGAAGTGGAGGTTGCAGTGAGGTGAGATTGCGCCACTGCACTCCAGCCTGAGCAACAGAGCGAGAATCCCGTCTCAAAAAAAAAAAAAAAAGTTGGACTTTGCCAAGATAACTGTTAGAATGAGGTGTCCTAACGTAACAAAACTTAGCTTTTTGATATTTGTATTTCTCAGAATAATTTGAAAATAAAGCAATATGTAGCAACTATGAAGGACAACTATTTTTCTTCTCCTCCAAAGGTTTCATAGGCGCAACAGGAACTTTGGGACAAGTGGATTCTTCAGATGAGGTGAGATTTAAAGTTCAAAACTTTTTAAAAAGTACAATTTTGTGCTTTTTTATACTTTTTTATTATTTTATACTTCTTTATAGTTCTGAAACTGTATAGATTTGTAGGCATTATGTAGTTTAAGTTTCTCATTCTATAGACAAGGACACTGAAGCCCATAATGGCTTCTGGGAAGCCTAGATCACACAATTACTTAGTGAGAGAACGAGGTGTGTAACTAGATTTTTACTTCTTGTTTATAATTCATTTTTCTTTTTCACAGTTTAAAAGTGGGTAGAAAGAGGTAGAGATTTCTCCTCAGAGGCTATCCCCAAATTTACCCGTATAGTTGTCATATGTACAATGAAATTATTTTTGAAAATTTCGCTAAGTTTAGGATAATTTATTAAAAGACTATGAAATGGAACTGTTTTTCTAATCGTATAATAAAGTTACATTTTACATGTCAGGGATTTTTTTTTAAAACTATGTACTGGGAAAAAGACCATCAATTTGAAATTTCAATTTTTATAGTGTTTATTAATAATAAATAGGAAAAATCATTGTTATATTTCTATATTTTATTACATAATTTATAAGAGAAAAATTGCTGTTATATTTGCTTATAATCTTGTTGCTTATTCAACTTAAATTTTATATTTCTAATACATTTAATTAAAATCTAAAAAATAAAATTACATTTAAACATATATATCTTTTTTCTTTTGGAAATTCATTTTGAGTTGATAATGTAATGTGAATTAAGCCAAATATACTCCTTTTAAAGGGATGATTTCTGTTGTGGAAGTCTTGTAATTGATTTAATACCTTAAAATTTAAATTTTATAGTTTTTCCCCTCTAAAAAGGCTTTCACACAATGTTACATTTTGTGGAGTCTCATTTTGGGCAATTTTCAAGAATTTTCATCAGATTGGAGAGGCAGTTTATTATGCTGTGTAGGAGTCTGACTCTGGAATTAGACTGCCTGGGTTTGACTTCTGGCTCCTTTACCTATTAGTAGTGTAACCTTGGGCAAGTGTCTTAACTTCTTCATGTCTACATTTCCTTATCTGTGAAATGGAGATAATAATAGTACTTATTTCATGAGAATATTATGAGGATTGAATGAGTTAACATATGTAAGCACTTACAGCCCTGGTGCCCAGCATATTGTAAACACTGTATGTGTGTTAGTTAAATAAAATAGAGTAATTTAAAAAACTTATGTAAATGGTTAGCTTATAAATTTTGCTTCTGTTTTGTAACAAAATAACTTCTGAGAATCATATTGTTACAATGACAAATGGGAAAAATTTTCTGATATTTAAAATAGACTTTCAAAAACATATAAACATTATTATTTTAACTAAACTGTAATAATTCCATTTTGAAGATAGGGGAGGGGAATGGTGGAAGTAAGACTGCTAATTCTTCGTATGCCAAAGAAGGAAGTAATTGGTAATACACATATAGTTTTAAACTGCTTATTTTGCTCTAAGAGCATTTTGTGGGGAGGTGGAATGGCCTATTAAAAGGCGAGTTCTCAGAGTAGGAGTTGACTATGAATGGGTGAATGAATGGGCACTTCTTTAGCTAAAGCCACCTGAGCAGGGGTCTTATATCTGTAGCCAGTAGGAACTTTAGACAACTATTGCATGATGAAATGGTTTGGTCATTGTTCAGAGCACTTTATTAAAATAAACATCTTGACTTGATTTAAAACAACAAAAATCTGTGGTCTTAAGTTTATATTTATGTGGTAGGTTAGAATTGTCATATTATTTTAGCATGCCTAGCATTATGTATCCAACAGGCTTGCTAACAATTCTACTTTATTTTCATGAATTGAATTTTATTTCTGGATATGTAAAAAGCTGATCTTCAACACAGATGCCTTCTCCTCTGTCTAGGACAGAAGTAACAATCATTTTTATCTTGGCCTGAACTCTCCAGATTAGCATTTGAATTTCCCGTGGAGACTTTCATTGTACACAACTGCATTGCAACAACATTCTATTTTATGGTTGGGTGCTAGAAGGACATCCTTGTGTGTGTGTTTGTGTGTGCACGTGTGTGTGTATTGAGGGGCTTTTGAATCTCTTCTAGAAGTAATTTCTAGATGATATCAGATAATTTTAAATATTGCCCCTTTTTTATTCATTACTATTGCTTCTAATCTGTCCTTTTTAGGTCCTCACTTCTGTTTCCCGCCTCCATCCTCAAGTAGGCCCCAGTGTCTGTTGTTTCTCCCTTTGTGTCGATATTTTCTCATTATTTATCTCCTACTTAAAGTGAGAATATATGGTATTTGGTTTTCTGTTCCTACATTAGTTGGCTAAGGATTATGGCCTCCTGCTCCATCCATGTTCATTTCTCTTAGATTCTGTTTCAGCAACTTCTGTGTGTAGTATGTTTTATGTAACCATTTGTTCCTTAATTATGATCATGTCTCAGTGTGAATATCATGGTAAATACTTTTTGATGTTAACAACTTTAAAATACTTTATTTCAGCCCCTAGTCTCTCATAATACATTGTTTTTGTTATAGCTGAGAAGATTTACTTTTAAAGCATGTGATGTATATTTAATACATTTAAGTAGTTTAGACCCTTTGACCTTTATTTTTTATTTATTTATTTTTTTGAGATAGAGTCTTGCTACATTGCTCAGGCTGGAGTGCAGTGGCATGATCTTGGCTCACTGCAACCTCCACCTCCCGGGTTCAAGCGATTCTCCTGCCTCAGCCTGCCGAGTAGCTGGGATTACAGGCATGCACTACCACGCCTGGCTAGTTTTGTATTTTTGGTAAAGATGGGGTTTCTCCATATTGGTCAGGCTGGTGTTGAACTCCTGACCTCAGGTGATCCGCCCACCTTGGCCTCCCAAAGTGCTGGGATTATAGGTATGAGCCACCGTGCCCAGCCCCAGAAAGCTAAACTTTTTATAGTTTATATATTGATCATATTTTCCAAAGGGATAAAAATAGGGTCATTTAGGCATTTGAAAACTTAAGAATTTGAAGTAGAGTTGTTTAGCCAGAGGTATCTACCGTATGTTTCTTTTTTTTTTTTTTGAGATAGGGTCTTGCTCTCTCAGGCTAGAGTGCAGTGATACTTTATATATATATATACACATATATACATATATAATTATATATGTATATGTATATTTATATTATATATTATATAATATATATTATATATTAATAAATTATATATAATATAATATATATGTATATTTATATTTATGTTATAATATACATATAATTATATATGTATGTATACATGTATACATATACGTATATGTGTATATGTATACATATAGGTATATGTGTACATGTATACATATAGGTATATGTATATGTATACATGTATACATATAATATAATTACATATGTATGTATACATACATATGTAATTATATTATATATGTATATGTATATTTATATAATATATAATATGTATTATATATTATACATGCATATTTATATGTATATTATATATACACATATAATATAATTATATATGTATGTATATATACACATATATATTTATATTATATATGTATATTATATACATATATTTATATTATATATGTATATATATTTATCATATTTATATGTAATATGCATGTGTAATAAATAATATACACATTTATATATGTATATTATATACATATATTTATATTGTATATGTATATATATTTATATATATTTGTATATCATATATTTATATATTGTATATTTATGTATATTATATATTTATATATTATATATGTATTATATAATATATATGTAAATATATATTATATATGTAAATATATATTATATATAAAAATATATATATATAAAATAAGGTGTTTGCTTTATGGTTTTAAACTTGTCAAGTCTTGAGTTAGAAAAGTCAGCTGGGTGTGGTGGCCCATAACTGTAATCCCAGCATTTTGGGAGGCCGAGGCGGGCAGATCACCTGAAGTCAGGAGTTTGACACCAGCCTGGCCAACATTGTGAAACCCCATCTCTACTGAAAATACAAAAATTAGCTGAACATGCTGGCACATGCATGTAATCCCAGCTACTCAGGGCACTGAGACAGGAGAACCCCTTGAACCTGGAGGCAGAAGTTGCAGAGCTGAGATTGCACCACTGCACTTCAGCCTGGGTGACAGAGTGAGACTCCATCTCAAAAAAAAGAAAAAAAAAAAGAAAAGTCATGTGATACAACAAAAACGAAATGAAAATTAGTGTCAAGCAATTCAAGGGTTATAAAAATTATGACTGCTTGAGCTAAAAGGGACTATATAATTCATCTTGTCTTTCTTATTTATGGATGAAAAAACTGAATTCCATAGAATTAACTGATTCACTCAGGCTAGTGAATGCCGTCTAGTTAGTGGTAGAGTTGAAATTGGGCACTAGTTCTTCTATCTGCTGGTCTAAGTGTTCTTTCTATAAAGTGGATAAACCATGATTGTCATTACTGTTGCTATGCAGCAAATTTGCCCAAAGCTTTATGTCTTAAAATTACCATTTTATTTTGCTCACAATTTTATGACTTAGGAACGTGAGAATGGCATCTGGGCAGTTCTTACTTTGGTCATCATATGTGGTTGCAGTTAGTTGTTGGCTGCAGCCATAGTCATCTGAGGGCTTCACACTGAGACGGAGATCTAAGATGGCTCACTCATAGGGCTGATAGTTGATGCTGACCATCCGAGAACTCAGCTGGTTGTTGATCAGTATGACGACATGTGGTTTCTCCAGCATGGTGGTCTCAAGTTGGACATCTTACATAGTAGTGACTTACTTCTCCCAGGCCAACAGCCCAAGAGTAGAAGCTGTAGAGCCTTTTCTGAGCTAGTCTTGGAAGGTATGTGGTGTCACTTCATCCTTTTTGTTATAAACGAGTTGCGAAAGTATGTCCAGATTCAGTGGGAGGTGATATAGATCCCACCTCTTGATGGGAAGAATGTCAGAGAATTTGTAAACATGTTTTAAAACTTCCACAACCAGGATATGACATTAGTCATTCTTTTCCCTGGATTCAGTTGATAATCCAATAGTGGGTAGTGATAATAGCTAAATAATGTACCAATAATTTCTTATAAATTTTCTATCTATTTTAGTGGCACTATCTCTTGGGAAAAAATACAACTGATAAAGTAATGCCATTTTAGCCAGTAATGGCTATTACAGAGTTTTAATGAAAATCAAAGCTTTCCTTAAGTATAGTAGTTACTATTGTACATCAAGAGAATAAAAACTTATATTTAGATTATAAGGTTATTTTATTTATTTTGAGACAGAGTCTTACTCTTTTGCCCAGGCTGGAGTGTAGTGGTGTGATCTTGGCTCACTGAACCTCTGCTTCCCAGGTTCAAGTGATTCTCCCGTCTCAGCCTCCCGACTAGCTGTGACTACAGGCGCGTGCCACCACACCCAGCTAATTTTTGTATTTTTAGTAGAGATGGGGTTTTGCCATGTTGGACAGGCTGGTCTTGAACTCCTGACCTCAGGTGATTCACCCACCTTGGCCTCCCAAAGTTCTGGGATTAGAGGCGTGAGCCACCGTGCCCAGCCTGTAAGGTATTTTGGAGAGCTGACTTTTTTTTTTTTTTTTTGAGACGGAGTCTTGCACTGTCGCCCAGGCTGGAGTACAGTGGCGTGATCTTGGCTCACTGCAAGTTCTGCCTCCCAGGTTCACGCCATTCTGCCTCAGCCTCCCGAGTAGCTGGGACTACAGGCACCCGCCACCACACCCGGCTAATTTTTTGTATTTTTAGTAGAGACGGGGTTTTTCCGTGTTAGCCAGGATGGTCTTGATCTCCTGACCTCGTAATCTGCCCTGGCCTCCCAAACTGCTGGGTTTACAGGCGTGAGCCATGGCTCCCAGCCAAGAGTTGACTTTTAACTTTGTAAAGCAGAAGAAAATATACTGAAATTTTATTAGTATTCATTGTAGGTTAAAGAACAAAATATATTTTTGAATTTAATTACTAATGAGGCTATGAAACTACTGTGACTCTTCCGCTAGTCTCTTTTTGGGGTTGTGTATCCTGTTTTAATCTGGTTTGTTTTTTGTTTATTAGTGGAAAACATTATTTTATTAGGACTAATGGCCTACATGGAATAAAAATTCTGTTGGTGGCTAGGCATCATAAGCAAGAAGCAATGTTAATTGAGTTTGCGCGATTTATTTGGAAAGAAAGATAAGAAGTTCCATCAACCCCTTTAAAAATGAATATGATTATTATTTAAAATTTGCTTTTACTTTTGTTCTTCTCAAAGTATTTTTTAACATATATTAAAATGGTCAAAATGCAATAATTATTATAGAATAGAATAGATTAAGGTGAAAATAGATGAAGGGATAAGATAGATGGAAAGAGGTTGATAGAGGAAGAGTACTTAAATATAGATGTTCTTGAACAAATAACTATTTTATGCCATTTAAATATTCATTAAGGCTTTTAATGTCATGTTGCATTTTACTTGGAACTGTAGGCACAAATGACATATTTGCTTTAGTATTTATATTTGAAATATAGTGAAGAGCTAGGTATGGCTTCAGGATTAGAATTTCTACACCATTACCTTATAGGCCCATGGGATTGTTAAGCAAACCCTTTTCATGATTTTATTGTTGTAATTTAAGATATCATAAAGGAAGATAGGATGAGAATAAATGGACAATGACATTTTAATTACTACTATAGAGTAGGAATTGTAACAATTAAAAGATATTTTGGCTGGGCGCAGTAGCTCATGCCTGTAATCCCAGCACTTTGGGAGGCCGAGGCGGGCGGATCACCTGAGGTTGGGAGTGCGAGACTAACCTGACCAACATGGAGAAACCCCATTTCTACTAAAAATACAAAATTAGCCAGGCGTGGTGGCACATGCCTGTAATCCTAGCTCCGGAGGTTGAGGCAGGAGGATCACTTGAACCTAGGAGGCGGAGCTTGAAGTAAACTGACATTGTGCCACTGCACTCCAGCGTGGGTGACAGAAGGAGACCCTGTCTCAAAACAGACAGAAAAAAAAAACAAAAAGAAAACATTTACATTTAGCCCTACCATCCAAAGATTATCACTGTTTATAAATTTTGCTTGTTTACTTTTCTTTTTTTCCTGTATACTCTTACATAATTGAGAAATAATCACTTTGCAAAATAAGTTACTGTGTAGATATGCTTTGAATATTCTTGTCTTTATTCAAGACACAATCCAAGTGAACAACAGCTTTCCAAAAATAATAGCAAAAGTAGGACAGTTGAAATAAAAAATCAGAGATACTTTTCATAAGTGAATAGGTAAAAGAAAAAAGGCTGGGTGCAGTGGCTCATGCCTGTAATTCCAGAACTTTGGGAGGCCGAGGTGGGCGATCCCTAGGTCAGGAGATCGAGATCAGCCTGGCCAATATGGTGAAACCCCGTCTCTACTAAAAATACAAAAATTAGCCCAGCATGATGGCACGCGTTTGTAGTCCCATCAACTGGGGAGGCTGAGGCAGGAGAATCGCTTGAACCCGGGAGGTGGAGGTTGAAGTGAGCCGAGATCGCGCCACTGCACCCCAGCCTGCGCGACAGAGTGAGACTCCGTCTCAAAAAAAAAAAAAAAAAGTTAATTTTACTTTTGGAGGCATAAGGTTTAATTTTAATTTGGTATCATAAATTACATTAATGGTAAGGGTAGGGCAGGGAATCACATAAACTGTTGGTGGGAAAGGCCTTAGAAATATTTAATGTATTTCTTTTCCAGTGCAGGAATTGATTTTACAACATTCCTGACAGTTGGTAAGCCTCTCCATAAATACTTCCAATCGTAGGGAGCTTACCTAGTTTATGAGGCAACTTATTCCCTTGATAGCTCTAATTATTAAATTCTTCTCAATATTGTGTTAAATATTGTAACTTTCGCATATTTCTTGTTTTGCCTTCTAGAAAGATTTTTATTTCCAGATGACACTTTTAAATATTTACTTTTAGATATTAATATTTTCTGTCGCGCATAGTTCTTTCTTTTCACTGTCTAGTAAACTCATTTTCTTTTAAAATCTATGTCCTCATTTAGTGCACAGTGATGGGACATCTTTTGATAAGCATACCGTGTCTTCATTAAGGCCCAAAGCTTTTTGTTATTTTTTTAGCAGCTATCCTAAATTGTTGGCAGGAGCCACAGAGGTCAAACAAAATGCCCAACATTTCCCCCTGGGCCCCACCTTACAGCTGACAAGTTAGAACTCCCTTGTAGTGTTATACTTGTGAAGTTGATTTAAAGCAAACAGTCTGATTATAGGGGCTTACATAAATCTTCAAGTTTCATCTTATTGTTATAGTCTTAAGATCTTTGTATTTCATTTTTGTAAGGTGACATATTAAATATTCCTTCTAGCCCTGTGTAGTCTGTGTTAATATTCTTTGAGTATTGTTGTAACCAGCTGTGAATTTACCTGACTTCTTTTTATGAAGCTCACATTTATGAAAAAATGTGATGAAAACTGTCTAGAAAATCCATCAAAAAAAAGAAAGGTTAATTTAGGTTGAGAAACCATCTGTAGATTTTGCAGATTGGGAGTTTGAATCTGTTTTTCTTGGATTTTCTTGTCTCATGTCTTCTTGTTTCTTTCCAAAATGTTTTGGACCTGTGTCCATATTTTGTGCCTGAAACACATGTAGCAATAGTGCCTACTTCCATGCTCAGGGTCTATTTAAGGTCTGAAAAGTTCCTGAGGGCTGTACAAATGCTGTCTGGGTTGAGATTGTATTTGATTTATTTCCTCTTGTCAGTTGGACCATCATCTTCTCTTAGGATCCTATACTGCTTCCTCAGGGACAAATGAACCTTAGCTCCACATCATGAATTTGGAGGAATGGGAAATTGTGGTTATGATAACTGTTTTGTTTTCGTTTTCCTTAATGCCTGAATTCTCTACTTTTGGGAGTTATTTCTGTTTGTTAACAGTACTGTACTTTCTAAAAATAAAAATATAGAACTTATAACTGATAATATAGTAATCTGTTATTGTTGGAACAAGTAGTATTGGAAATCAGACTTGTATTTTAAAAAGATGTTTATTAACTTAAAACTACAATCCATATTCATTGTTGAATAAGTAGAAAATAAATATTAACAAAAAGATAACATTACCTAAATCTCTATCACTTAGTGGTGACTCACTGTAAACCTCTGACATTCTTTATTTTTAAATTTTTTTCTTTTTCTTTCTTTCTTTTTTTTTTGAGACGGAGTTTTGCTCTTGTTGCCCAGGCTGGAGTGCAATGGCACGATCTTGGCTCACTGCAACCTCCCCCTCCCGGGTTCAACCTATTCTCCTGCCTTAGCCTCCCGAGTAGCTGGGATCACAGGCATGTGCCACCATGCCCAGCTAATTTTGTATTTTTAGTAGAGATGGGGTTTCTCCATGTTGGTCAGGCTGATCTCAAACTCCCGACCTCAGGTGATCCGCCCACCTCTGCCTCCCAAAGTGCTGGGATCTCAGGCATGAGCCACCACGCCCGGCAGTTTTTTCTTTTTCTTTTTCATCTGTGTTATGACTTTATTTATTTATTTATTTATTTATTTATTTATTTATTTATTTATTTTTGAGATGGAGTCTCTTTGTCGCCCAGGCTGGAGTGCAGTGGCACGATCTCGGCTCACTGCAACCTCCGCCTCCCGGGTTCAAGCAATTCTCCAGCCTCAGCCTGCCGAGTAGCTGGGATTATAGGTGCCTGCCACTACGCCCAGCTAATTTTTGTATTTTTAGTGGAGACGGGGTTTCAACATACAGGTCAGGCTGATCTCGAACTCCTGACCTCAGGTGATCCACCCACCTCAGCCTCCCAAAGTGCTGGGATTACAGGCGTGAGCCACCGCGCCTCGTCCTGTATTATGACTTTAAAATGTCTGACATTCTAACAGATTTTATGTATGTCATATTTTAATGGTTTCATGCTGTATATACTCGTGTATTACTTGCTTTTCTCACTGATGACAGTTTTGAACATCTATAAAAAGGAATATACTAACAGATTTTATTTGTGAATGTTATCAATACTTAAATAATTTCATACTGCATATGCTAAAGGTTATGATTCCACCTCACTATCCCAGCTCTCCTAAACCAGGGATGTTACATATGAATCAACAACTTCCACATTATAATGACATATTTTCCCTATTTTAAAATAGCATGCTTTAAAATTCCCTGTTTTAAAATAGCATGCTTTTCTCATTTATAATAATAGTTTTTGAACATCTGTTTGGTCACAATGAATATAGAGCTCCAGGGTTGTTTTTCTTTATATGGTACAGGTGTGCTATTATATATTTACCTAATCATCTACTATTGGAAACCAAAGACTTTTTTTTTTGCCATTATAAATAACATTGTGATGAATAGGTATGCATATAGTCCCAATTCACTTGTCTGATTATTTCTTTGGGTTAAATTCCTAGAACTGGAATTTCTGTTCCAAAGATTGCCAAATTGCCATTCAGGGAAATTTTACTACTCTATATTCTCACCATTGGTATGTAAGAGTACCTATTTTCCCACCAGCTCAGATGCAGATAATCTCCCTTCTTAGCTGTATTTGATATCTAGAATGATGTTAAGGCCAACTCAGTGGTCTGTGTTTTCAGACTTTTGTCTTTTGCCTTTGCTTATGCTGTATTCTCTTCTTGGCATGACTTTCCCCTTCTTTGCTTGGCTAATTCTACTTGTCTTTTAAGTGTATAAGGCCAGGAAATTTATAAAACTTCATATTGCCATGACCATCACTTGATCAAGGATACTGTTTTCATAGGAAGTTTATATTTGAAATTATGAAATAATTCTCACCTAGGACATAACATGTTTTTCCAAGTTTGCCTTTTCTCTCAGGTCTTGGAGAACCAGTTTCATAAATGGCTATTAGCTGAAATCTTAAATTTCTGAACCCTCTGGGCCCTGTAGTATGCTTTTACATTCCTGTGTCTGTTTTCTATCTTTTAAGGCTTCATATTTCTTTCTGGTGAATTTCTCCAGTGGCAAGCTAAGAGCGGCAGAGAGGGATTGTAGTTTGACTGTTAGTTCTGTTGCCTGGTGGATGGCCAGAGAGGCCTGGCAAAGGTGGAGATTAACAGGGAAGACATATTGAAGTGCCCAGTAAATGCTGAATGACTGAGCTAAGTAGTAGCTCTGGAAAACCCCAGAAAATGGCCCTGAGGATTGATGCTTGACGGAAACCCAAGTTAAGGCTATTATTTAGGCCAAGGAAGCTGCACCAGTAAATAGAGCTCCAGCATGAAGCTGAGGCTACTTTTCTGCTTTAGAAATTTGATGGGTGCTAATTGAGAAAAGTATCTTGGAATTTATACTACAGTTCTAACCTGCTACCAACACCATTGTTAGCACAACTGACTATATGCCACATTACCGCACCTCTTTATAATATTGGTTGGTTCATATATGTTTGGAAAATAGGGAAAATATGTCATTATAATGTGGAAGTTGTTGATTCATATGTAACATCCCTGGTTTAGGAGAGCTGGGATAGTGGGGTAGAATCATAACCTTTAGCTGGAGAGGAAAAAACTCTGAGTTCTGCTGCAAAGACAGCAGGAACCTTTTCAGCACCATACTAAGAAAATTAGAAATGAGCACCTACACTCAGGGCTTCCTCCCCAAGAGGTGCACCACTACTTTTACCTTGGTTTTACAAGAGGCGGGCTGCCTTCTTTGCTCCTCTTCCCTCTGCATTGTCATAGTTGGCTGGCTTTCTTTACTCTGTTGTACAGTGTTAACATGCTCTGATCTAGCCTTAAACCACCACATGATGTTTGCCTGGGCCTGCAAATGATCTTCCCAGGTACCAATTACTGCTTTTGTTACTTCTCTGGTTACAAACTTGAATAGGTTGTGAGTGTCCATCCCTTACCCTTTTTTTTCCCCATAAGCCTTGTTATTTTTAGTGCGAGGTTTTTCTAGGAGAGAGAGAGAGAGATATATATATATATATATATATATGTGTATATATATATATGTATATATATATGTATATATATGTATATATATCATTGAGCAGAATGTATTTCCTTTTTGGATTTTTTTTCTAAGCATATTTTAATTTGTTTTTATTATTATTTTTAACTGTCAACTCCAACTTCTAATATGTTGTATTTATTTTTCAAAATTTGATTTGTTGAACTCATTTTTTCTTAGACCCTTCAAAGCCTTTCCTCTATTCATTGTTTTAGTCCTCTCCTCTTCTCTCCTACCTTCCTATAATAATCTCTCTCATTCCACCCTTTAGCTTCTTTGTGCATTCGATGTTAATTTATAAGGTTAGGAAAATTTTTATCTTGGCATTTTGGGGTACTTAAGAGTCTTCCATTAGAAGCAGAGATTACATTTAAGAGCTCTTGTGTTTTGATATTTAGGGATATTTCACTGTATTTTAAAATCAAAATTAACACTAAAATATATATTATAGCAAATACATAGATGTTGATTAGTAGTATGTAAGCATGCATATATTATGTGTTTAATGTAATTTGTAAGCACATTTATAAAGTGTATCAATTTATGAATGTGACTGTGTATAATGCTAATATTATTTTCCTTCAGGATGATCAGGATGGTAGTCAAGGTCTGGGCAAGAGAAAAAGGGTAAAACTAAGCAGTGGCACCAAAGGTATTTGTATTTATTATTATTTTTTTCCTTGAATAAAATGCTTCTAAAAAATGCCTAATCACTAAAAATACTTGATGGGCTAGCCATACTGACATCAAAGCTGTTTGAAGGGAGGCTTATGTTATTAGATTTATCTAATAAGTCTTGGAGAAAGTATTGTTAAGCGATTACTATTGGGTTTTGTTCATTATTTTCATCATAAAATATGCATTATCATATTTGAGTCCCCCCCAAAAGGAAGTCTTTTCATTGATTGACTGATTTGGCTCCAGTGTTTTTTGTGTGAATTTGTAGTTTGGCCTAGTTCCTTTTATAATCTGGGGTATGCAATTTCTAGAGTGAAAAAAGACAAGGGAGATGACATGGTGAGAGAGAGACAGAGACACACACACACACACACACACACACAGGGAATGAACAAATAGTACTTAACACGTCATAAAGGCTCAGTAGGGACTCATGTGTTTACTCAAAGGAGAAAGTATTATAAATATGCTTTGTAGTGAGGGACTAGATTAGTAATAATAATGAGTAATATTTATTGAACCTTTTGTATGTGTTAGACATGTTAGAGATTATGGCTAATGAGAGGTAGATCCTAAATTCATATCCCAGAGCCTAAGCTTTTAACCACAATGTTTACTTGACTGTCACTAAAAGCTTTTCTAGAATACTTGCGATTAGTTGACAAGTCTGTGCTTTGGATTTTTGCCAGGGATTTTCATATCTTAACGTGTGGTTGGTTTAGAAAGTCTCCAGAGGCTAAAATGTTATTTTGATGAAAATAAATTTCTTACTTCTGCTGTTGATTAAGTGTATCTTGTGAAATATCTAGGACTGCCTAGAAAGGTGGAATATGCAGGCACTTTGAGTTGCAGGTTCCTTTTCTAAGTCTCAGTTACTATGCTGCTGCATTTAACTTGGGGGTTGCTAGGAAAGGGTATGGAATTTGATCTGCAGTCCAGGATGCACACATACAGGTATGTTCTCCTTTTTTCTGGCTCAGCAGAGAACCTGTATGTCTGAAGGAAATTAGGAACTCATATGGCCTTCTGGCTCTTTAACTTATCAGATATTAAACTGAGTCCTTGTGACACATCTGAGTTGGAGATTGTTAGGCACATAGTTGAGTTTAAGCTTTAGGGGTGCCCAGAAAATACCTGCTGTGGTGTAAGAGGTCATTGTTTTCCTTCAGCCTGGTCACACTCTGACTGAAGATACTTTTTATGCAGACTTAAGTTAAAGTGTTTTTTTCTTTGTCTGTTTTTAAATACCTGAACTTTTTTCACATGTGTGTTTGGATTGAGTGCCTTCTCTTCCTTGTAATGGTAAGAAATAGTACTGAAATTTAAAACTTCATCAGTTACCATTTTCAGTTTAAGTATGTACATGGAAGGAATGGCTTTGTGAATTAGAACCCCAGGTGTTTTCAAAAACTGACCTTATTTTGAAGATATCTGAAGTTTGGGGAATGGCTCAATTTTTGTAAGAATTTTGTTCCACAGCTTGAAAAGTGCACTGAAAAGAAAATATGTAATGGTAAGGAAGAGGCCAGACACTATGCTAACCTCATCACTGCCTGTTCTCTAAACCTGCATTTTAAGGGTGAGGAAACTGAGGCCTTGAGGGCTTTAACTATATGGCCAAGATTCCAAGATTATTGAGCTAGTGAGTTGCAGAACTTGAACTCTGCTCTCTTAATTAAAACCTTTGCTTTAGTCATGCATTTACAGTACATAATGATTCTTTAAAAATCTCTTTTTACAATTTGACTTAAGGTAGTTTACACATTGTTAAAAGTCATGTCAAGATTTAAAGATAGTCAAACATAACTAATGGAAGCATTTCTGACTACATTTTCATAATATTACACAATATAACACGTGCTTTAACATCTTGGGAGACTGACATCACCTATTTTAAGAACAACAAAGAAGACATTGCTGGAGTTTTTTTGGTCTGCAGATAAAAATATTGAATTCTACATAACTGCAACTATTTTTATTTTAGCAGAAGCCACAGCTTTCCTGGTATATTCAGGTTGTTTAATTGATTTAAAACATTGTTAATGTATATTTTCTTTTAAGTGCTTGACAATTAATAATAATTATGATGGCTTCAGGCTTTTCATTTGCCTAATGCAGGCTTGCAGAGTCATAACTATGAATTCTATGATTAATAGTACTAGTTTTATTCAGCTTTGTAAATACATTAAGAAGCACTTACCAATGAGAGCTTTCATTTTGGTAGTCTGTGAAATTATCAGTCACATTGTGTTAAGTGAATTGTGAGAATTAAATTAGGTACAGCAGTGTGCTGTGGATTATAATTTATTTTTTTCAGCACAGGGTCTCACTGTGTTACCCAGGCTGGAATGATCAGTGGCATGGTCTTGGCTCACTGCAACCTCTGCCTCCCAGGCTCAAGCGATCCAATCCTCCTGTCTCAACCTGCCGAGTAGTTGGGACTACAGGCGCATGCCACCCCACCTGGCTGATTTTCGTATTTTTTTTAGAGACAGGGTTTTGCCATGTTATCTAGGTTGGTCTCAAATTCCTGAGCTCAAGCCATGTGCCCACCTCAGCCTCCCAAAGTGCTAGGATTAAGGTGTGAGCCACTGTGCCGAGCCTATATTATAATTTTTAGTTACAAATCTTAAATTCCTGCTACCTGATTCTCTTGGGCCCTGTTTTTATTACTTTTTATCTTTGAATCTGTCAGTGAATTCTTTTGACTGTATTTTACCTCATTTCTTGCAATCTTGGTTTTTGTTTTTAAATCATTGTCATGCCCTGGAAATGATCTGTTTCAGGAAGAATAGATTTCTGTTTTATAAGTAGAAAATTCTGAGTTTTGAAAATAATTACTTAATTGCTAATAATAAAGAAATGTAGCCTGGACAACACAGCAAGACCATGTCTCTTCAAAAAATAAAAAATAAATTAGCAGGGTGTGGTCTTGCACACCTATAGTCCTAGCTATTCGGGAGGGTAAGGTGGGAGGATAACTTGAGCTGAGGAGTTTGAGGCTGCAGTGAGCTATGATTACGCCACTGCACTCTGGCCTCCAGAGTGAGACCCTGACTCTTAAGAAAAAAAAAAAAAAAAAAAAAAAAAAAGATGTATAGTGTTACAGTGTACTTGTCTTTGTATGTTAACCACTACTATATATCACTTATGTCACCACTGAAATGGAATTAGGGAGTTGGAAGATATTTTTGCCTTTCTGTAGTTAAAATCATAATATCTTCAGAAAATACGATATTTTGGTGCTGTTTTTCTTGTTATTAATGAAAAAACTGCGTTAAAGTTATATCTAATAAGGACTGATTCAAGCCTTAGTAAATGCAGTGTTTTGTAAAGAAAGTGATGACATACTGAGCTTGTTACTCATTTAGACCCATTACCTGGGGAGATGTGGTATGAACACATTATTCAATATTAGAAGAAGTATAAAGCTGGGGTAGTGTTAATTGAAAAAACTCTACAAGGTTATCCTGGAAGACACCTTGAACAGTGATGTAGTTAGGGCTGGACCTGAGGATTTTGATGCGTGTGAGATACTGTTTTTTCCAGTCTCTCATCTAAGTTTAGCCCCTGCTTAAGCAGTGTCACTGGAGCCAGTACATCATAGTTGACACTTCTTGTATCCTCTTGATGTCTTTGTGGATAATGCTTTCTTCCATTGAATACCTTTATTTAAAAAGGGCATCCATTCCCCCCATTCATTTTTCCACTTACTGCTTTATATTAAAATATATGCATTAAATTTTTTCTTATTTATATACTGTGTACATTATAGAAATCTAGCTTGTCAATATTATTGCATTATTGTAAGGATATTTTTAACTTTTAGATACTTTCCCATTTTATGGTTTATGGGTTATTAGTTATAAAATGAGATGAGCAACTTCAATCATTAACTGATAAATTTCATTTTTCATGTGCAGATCAATCCATAATGGATGTTTTGAAGCATAAAAGCTTCCTAGAAGAACTATTATTTTGGACTATAAAATATGAATTCCCTCAAAAGATGGTAACTTTCTTACTCAACATGCTTCCAGATCAAGAGTATAAGGTATCTATATATTTTCCTGCTTTTCTGAACTTAGCTTTTCTTTCTTTGCCTTTCATTATTAAATCTTTTTTTGATATATTTCTCAGGTGAAGGTTGATATAACACTATAAACAAGTGTTAGTTTCTTCTCTTGATAACACAAGTTCTTCACAAAAGGCACAGTGTCTTAGCTTTGTGGCAAAGCAGCATTACTCAGCAGAATTCCAAAGGATTGCTTTTCTGCATGGAACTTGGTCTGGAGGGAATGCTGGGGAACAAACATTGAAACCACAATTTTTATTTTGCAGAAATAAATATGTAGTTACAAATTGTTCTAAATCCTCTGAAGAAGAGTACAAGGTGCTATAAGAATGTTTAATGGGGGCAATTGAATTTAGATTGTGAGATCAGGCTGGGAAAAGCATGGGTTGAAAAGTTGCTGGTCACAACTGCTAAAGAGAGAACAGTTATTGACTCATATACAAATGTTGGCAGGTGAAGTTTCTAGTCCCAGGGGGTCAGAACCCACCTGTTACTATCTTACGGTTATGGCAAAATGACGAAGCTCGGTGTATGAAAAGAAAATAAAGCATGCTGTTATTTTTATGGTGTAGGTTAGGAGAGACACTTTGATAGTGTCATTGTTTTGTGTGTCTTTATATCTGCTAAAAAAAAAAACCAGAGAAAATGTACATGTAAAGGAAATAAGAGTAAAAATAAATACGGCTGGGCGTGGTAGCTCACGTCTGTAGTCCCAGCACTTTGGGAGGCTGAGGTGGGCAGATCACCAGAGGTCGGGAGTTTGAGATCAGTCTGGCCAAACCCCATCTCTACTGAAAATACAAAAATTAGTTGGGCGTGATGGCGTGTGCCTGTAATCCCAGCTACTTGGGAGGCTGAGGCAGGAGAATTGCTTGAACTGGGGAGGCGGAGGTTGCAGTGAGCTGAGATCATGCCATTGCACTCAGGCTTGGGGACAGAGCAAGACTCCGTTTTGGGGGAAAAAAATTTTTTTTTTTTCTTTAACCATCAAAATATTTTGCAAATGTTCCAAAAAAGTGAAAGACTACCTCACCATCGAGATTTTTTTTAAGTTATCTTGGGCATTATTATAAATTAGTAATAGCTGTAAAATGTTAACATGATATATTGAAAATGATTTTAAATTAAAAATTAAAACTAATGTGTTTTTTCCTTTCTATTAAAATGTTTACAGGTTGCTTTTACAAAAACTTTTGTTCAGCATTATGCTTTCATTATGAAAACACTGAAGAAAAGTCATGAATCAGACACAATGTCTAACAGAATTGTGCATATTAGTGTTCAGTTGTTCAGCAATGAGGAGCTAGCCAGACAGGTAACAGAAGAATGTCAGCTGCTGGATATTATGGTCACTGTGCTATTATACATGATGGAAAGTTGCCTTATTAAAAGTGAGCTACAAGGTAACTCAGAATTATATTCACTAGTTCTATTATTATCAGTATTATTATTCTAGTATTATTAGTGTACTTCATATACTTAGTAATATTACTAATAATGATACTTAGTATTATTAATCATATTCTAGTATTAGTGAACTTTGTATAACTAGTCTTGAAAACACCTTATGTTTAAAAAAATTATAAAATAATACATGTTTGTTACGGACATCTTTGAAAATTTCCAGTGAAGTTTAAAGAAAAAGTTAAAAGCACTTGTAGTTTTGTTATTCACAAATACCTGTTGTTAGCACTTTGCTATATTTCTTTTCTTTTTGTGTAATGACTATATTTATAGATACAATAAATACTTTTTAAAAAGTTGCCATAGTGTACATGTCAAAAACATGCATTTTAATAAGTGCAGGTATTAATATCATGGCTATACCATAATTTATTTAGTCATTTCCTTATTAGACATGTTTCTGCTTTTTTATCATAAATTTGCTGCTATCAGTCTTAGATATTTTTACATGCTTATACTTTTATAACTTAAAAATTGGGATAAATCTTGCCTTTACTCCCTTAGTGAGAACTTTATATTCTTCTTTTGTGCCCACTATGTGGTTGATACTCTTCAACCTGCCATAATGTTTCTGTACCTCTTCCCATTCTCATTTCTCTATAGTTACTCATCTTAACTTTACCTCCCTTAAATTCTATATATATGTATATGTGTGTATATATGTATATATGTATATACACACATATATAAATACATACATAATTTTTATTATTATTTTTTGAGACAGAGTCTTGCTCTGTACCCCAGGCTGGAGTGCAGTGGTACGATCTTGGCTTACTGCAACCTCCGCCTCCTGGGTTCAGTTCAAGCAGTTCTGCCTCAGCCTCCTGAGTAGCTGGGATAACAGGTGTACATCACCATGTCTGGCTAATTTTTGTATTTTTAGTAGAGATGGGGTTTTGCCATGGTGCCCAGGCTAGTCTTGAACTCCTGACCTCAGGTGATCCCCCTGCCTCAGCCACCCAGAGTGCTGGGATTACAGGTATGAGACACCACGCTTGGCCAATAATATATAGTATTTAAATATTTGCTATGTACCTGGTACTGTGCTGAATACTATTTATGTATTGTTTCAATTAAGCTTCTGAACAAGTCTCTGAGATTGGCATTATTATTATCCTTGCTTTAAAGATGAGTACATTGAGGCTTAGGAAAGTTAAGCAATTTGCCATAGGTTATACAGCCAGCAAATGACACAGTTAAGAAGGATTTCCTGGCTCCTAATGTCAGAACTCTTACTATTCTTAACCTTGACACAGCCAGTCCCTGTCAAAGACTCTTTGATAGGATGTGTCTTTACTTGTTGGCACTAGGAGCTAAACTTTAAAAATAACAACAAACAATACTTCAGATTAATTAAATCTTAGGACCTCTCCATTCTCTGAGGAGGAGAAATCTTATAGTTGAGCCTTGCTTTGTTCCACTCTTGCCTCTTTGTGCATATCAGCTCCTGTTTTCTCCTTATACTGATAATCTGTCTGTTCTCAGGTGTGACACCATGTCCTGAAAATTGATATGAACTCAGTGCAAGGCATAATGCGTTATATATAATAGCTAGCTAATTATGATAGCTACCATCTCTAGAGTACTCAACTATATGCTAGACTCTTTTCTCAGTACTTTATATGCATTATATCACTTAACCATCAATAATTCTTTGAAGGTATTGTCATCTCCATTTTATAGATGAGGCAGCTGAGGCATAGGGAGTTGAAGTCAATGATCTGTGATCTTACAGCTCTGAGTGGTAAGGCCGGGTTGTCTAACTTCAAAGCCTGTACTCTTTCTTACCTACTTTGTGAGTCTGCCTTCCCATTGTAGGTATAGTGGGAGCATAATACATTATTTACATTAAAGAATATACTTCTTCACCTTTTTTTTTTTTTTTTAAAGATGGAGTTTCACTCTTTTTTTTTTTTTTTTGAGACGGAGTCTCGCTCTGTCGCCCAGGCTGGGGTGCAGTGGCGCGATCTCAGCTCACTGCAAGCTCTGCCTCCCAGGTTCACGCCATTCTCCTGCCTCAGCCTCCCGAGTAGCTGGGACTACAGGCACCCACCACCACGCCCAGCTAATTTTTTGTATTTTTAGTAGAGACGGGGTTTCACCGTGTTAGCCAGGATGGTCTCGATATCCTAACCTTGTGATCCGCCTGCCTCGGCCTCCCAAAGTGCTGGGATTACAGGCGTGAGCCACCGCGCCTGGCTGGAGTTTCACTCTTGTTGCCTAGGCTGGAATGCAATGGCGTGATCTCAGCTCACTGCAACCTCCGCCTTCCAGGTTCAACTGATTCTCCTGCCTCAGCCTCCCGAGTAGCTGGGACTACAGGCGCCCGCCACCATGCCCGGCTAATTTTTTGTATTTTTAGTAGAGACAGGGTTTCACTGCATTGGCCAGGCTGGTCTTGGACTCCTGACGTCAGGTGATCCACCCACCTCGGCCTCCCAAAGTGCTGGGATTACAGGCATGAGCCACCATGCCTGGCCTACTTCTTTGCTTTTTAAAGGAAAATTTAAAAGCTGCTTTATGTTTTAGTTTTACTAACTTCATGTAATATGATCTATTCTTTCCTAGAGATTTATCTACATATATTGCTTTTTCTTTTTTCCTTTTTGAAATAGTATCTGCTGTCATTCAGCTGTATCAATGATATTCTTATATTTTATTATATATTTAAAGACAGACTTTTCACAAAAATGGTGTTTTTTTTAAATTTTTTTACTTTTTAATTATACTTTAAGGTCTGGGGTACATGTACAGAATGCGCAGGTTTGTTACCTAGGTATACATGTGCCATGGTGGTTTGCTGCACCCATCAACCTGTCATCTACATTAGGTATTTCTCCTAATGCTGTTCCTCCCCCCGCCCCTTGCCCGGCCTGGTGTGTGATGTCCGCCTCCCTGTGTCCATGTGTTCTCATTGTTCAACTCCCACTTATGAGTGAAAACATGCGGTGTTTGGTTTTCTGTCCTTGTGATAGTTTGCTGAGAATGATGGTGACCAGTTTCATCCATGTCCTGCAAAGGACATAAACTCATCCTTTTTTATGGCTGCAATAGTATTCCATGGTGTATATGTGCCACATTTTCTTTATCTAGTCCATCATTGATGGTCATTTGGGTTGGTTCCAAGTCTTTGCTATTGTGAACAGTGCCGCAATATACATGTGCATGTGTCTTTATAGCAGCATGATTTATAACCCTTTGGGTATATACCCAGTAAAGGGATTGCTGGGTCAAATGGTATTTCTAGTTCTAGATCCTTGAGGAATCGCCACACTGTCTTCCACAATGGTTGAACTAATTTACACTCCCACCAACAGTGTAAAAGCGTTCCTATTTCTCCACATCCTCTCCAGCGTCTGTGGTTTCCTGACTTTTTAATGATCGCCGTTCTGACTGGCCTGAGATGGTATCTCATTGTGGTTTTGATTTGCATTTCTCTAATGACCAGTGATGATGAGCATTTTTCATATGTCTGTTGGCTGCATAAATGTCTTCTTTTGAGAAGTGTCTGTTCATGTCCTTCACCCACTTTTTGATAGGATTGTTTTTTTCTTGTAAATTTGTTTAAGTTCTTTGTAGATTCTGGATATTAGCCCTTTGTCAGATGGATAGATTGCAAAAATGTTCTCCCATTCTGTAGGTTGCCTGTTCACTCTGGTAATAGTTTCTTTTGCTGTGCAGAAGCTCTTTAGTTTAATTAGATCCCATTTGTCAATTTTGGCTTTTGTTGCCATTGCTTTTGGTGTTTTAGTCATGCAGTCTTTGCGGCAAAATGGTGTTTTAAATTCATAATTGAGAAAACAAAATTTAGAAGTACCTGTTCTTTTAAAAGAATCTGGAGTCTCTTTTCTTCACTAGGTGATTTAGCTGTGCTTATTACATGTGGTTTGCATTTGGCCTTTAAGGGAGAATATTTGGGAACAAGATGAGTCTTAAACCTGCCTCCCTTTTTTTTTTTTAATAGCTAGCTTTCCTCACTTTTTATATTCGTATCCTTACCTACCTCATTTTAATGTTCACTCCCATTGTTCTATTGAAATCTACAAAATTGTCCATGACTCATGTAGACATAGTCCTAGTTTTCCCAGAATAGCCTTAAGTTATGCCTGTTAGTCTGACGTAGTTATTAATACAATTTCTTTTACACTCAAAAGCGTCCCAGTTTATATGATAAATTATGTGGTTTACCCTTTTTGTAAACTACATGTTGAGGAAGCCAGTGGTCATAGTTTAAACTTTACCTTGCTTGATTTTCAGTAGCATTTCACACTGTTGATTCTCTTTCTGTGGCCCAATACTCTTCTCTACTTGTCCTATCAATATTGGTGTTTCTTGGCACTTTGTCCTAGTGTCTCTGCTTTTCACACTTTTCCCATATTTTTCTGAAATCATATTATATGGTATCAGTTGCTTTTTACATATGCTTCTAATGCAGTTAGTCTTTTCTGGAAATTCTTATACAAATTGAATTTTCAACAAGCTGAAATAAAGATTGGTAAGATCTTTAAATATAATTTTTTTTTAGCAGTAAATTACATTATTTCCAGCCAAGTTCTAAAACTATCTTTGGAAGCCTTCAAACTTTGCCATACTATTTTTTCCTCTTTCAGTAGTAGCATAAGATATCATGATATATATTTACTGCTTTTCTAAAAGTATCATAAGCTTTTCCCATTTTTACACTGAGTATTAGAATAAACCTTAGCTGTACTGAACTACCCATAACTAGCCACGGATATTACAACAGGATCTCTGTACTTTCTTTTTATTTTTTAGCAGCCTCTATCTAGCCTTGTCTTGAATTGTTGTTAGATGATATTTTAAAATTTTATCTATACTTTTAATAAATACAGGAGCTGATACAATGAGAATTTGGCCACAGCGATAGCTGAAGACTAAAGGGAAAAAGCCTTATAGTAGTATGTGATTCCTACCTTCTACTTTTACTTTTTTATATTCAATTTTATACCATATGCTTTGTGGTTCCAAACATAGCTCATAATTTTTCATGTCCCAGAAATTTTAGAATTTATCTTTTGAAACAGTCTTTGTAAAGTGGAATCTAAAACCATGTGTTGTATGACATAGGAATGTCTGTAGATGCTCATAATCCCAGACTGCCTTTCCTCCCTGCATATCAAACTACTTATTGAACTATATTGTTTGGATGTCTATAAACACCTCAAACACACAGTGTCCATAGCGAAGACTCATTATTGCTCCATTAATCTGGCTGCTTTTACATTATCTTGTGTGTGTGTGTATGTACATGAGCACATGAATGTGTGTTTTGATTCCACTGTCTAACTATCTAAACAGCTGTGCAGCCTAAAAACCTAGGAGTTGTCTTTGACTTCTTTTTATTCCTTGCAGATATAGCACACATTACCAACTCTGTCCTTCAAATCTTCTGAATATCTTTACATAGCCTCTTCATCACTGCATCTTTTTGCCACCACCATAGTTCAAACCATGGCCATCTCTAAGCCTCTTATCTCTAGTTGTTGTCACTCTCCTTCAGTCACTTTTTACATTACACTTCTTATAATGTTCTCTCTCTTAAAACCCCCTAGTGGCTTTCCATTCTCTTCATGTGAACTCTAAAGTCCTGACGCTGGTTTATAAGACCCTGTAGCCTCATTTGTACCATGCATCCTCTGTATTCTTTCTTCAAGTGATTCTAACCTTTTCTTAGGTACTGCTCCTTCCGCGTATAGCACCATCTGCTCCACCATCACTAGTTTTATCTGGTTAATCCTAATTCCTGCTTTATTTTATAGGCCTCAGTTTAAACTTCACTTCCTCAGGAGAGTCTTTTTTTTTTTTTTGAGATGGAGCCTTGCTCTGTCACTTAGGCTGGAGTGCAGTGGCACAATCTCGGCTCACTGCAACCTCCGCCTCCCGGGTTCAAGTGATTCTCCTGCCTCAGCCTCCTGAGTAGTTGGGATTACAGGTGCCTGCCACCACGCCCAGCTAACTTTGTGTTTTTAGTAGAGGTGGGGGTTTTACCATGTTGGCGAGGCTGGTCTCGAACTCCTGACTTCAGGTGATTCGCCCATTTTGGCCTCCCAAAGTGCTGGGATTACAGGCGTGAGCCACCATGGCCAGCCAAGTCTTTTCTTGAATTGTAGTCTCGCTTTATTTGTTCTTATGAGTCCCTCTACTTTTCCCATTGCAGCCCTTATCACATTCTGCCTTCTTAGATGTTAATCTCCATGAAGACAGAGATCATCTAAATCTTGATTTATTTATCACTTTATTCTCAGAGATTAGTTGAAAACTTGACCCTTAGTAGGTGCTCAATAAATATTTGTTGATGAGTGAATTTAATTTTACACTGAATCATTGCTCTTTATATCTGTAATGAGGAAAGTACCAGTTTGAGTAAAAATAGAAGTCCTAATCATTTTATTTCATTAATGATTCCAAGGCGTTTTTTACAAGAACAGTAGTATTTAAGCAGTGTCATGAAAATAGTGAGTTTGATTAATTATATTCTGCTTATTCATCCTCTGGTTTCAATTATATAGAACAGTGATTCTCAATTTTTAACTTAAAAAAAATCCCAACATTCCTTAGCACTGTTGCATCAATATCAATGGCTCACTAGCTCAGAAGTGGAACAGTAGTTGTCAGTCATGGCCAGGGGTTAGTATAAATAATTTGTAAAAAGCCCCTAGTCCTTACTTCCTCATTGAGTTAGACCCTCTCTCGTCCATTGAGAAGTACTGAAAGAGAGTGTACTTAACTTCAGTGGACCCTGTTCTTAGATATTGTTAAACTTATTTAATATTTGGTAAAATAATTCTGTGGACTGAAACCTAAGTTTAATGTGTGGAAATTAAAAAGTGCAGTAGAGGCCCTCCTGACTGATGAGTATGACAGGTAGATAGGTAGTTGAATAAGTTGGTTAAAGTGAGGAATCATTTAAAAAATATGAGCCGGGTGTGGTGGCACATACTTGTAATCCCAGCTACTGAGGAGGCTGAGGTGGGAAGACTGCTTGAGCCCAGGAGTTTGAGTCCAGCGTGGGCAACATAGTGAGACCCCCATCTTTGAAAAAATATATATATACCTTAAACATTGTATTTTAACTTAAAACACAGAACTGTGTGTTCATTCTCCAGGCTTTTAACTTTGGGCAAAGTATTTTCAGGATATGATTTCCTTGACTGGAGTTCTCGCTCATCTTTTTTATAAATAGCACATCTATAAAGCATCATCTGTGGATCCAATTTTAATCTCTTTAAAATAGAGTTAGAATATAAAGCAATCTGAGTGTAAAATATACTTAGGCTTTTATGATTTTTCTGTCCCAAGGTTTTTTAGCTTTTTTTCCTGGCACTTGTTTTTATTTTATTGTCTCTCAAAAGCATATGATTCAATTTCTGTAATACCTCTCTGTGCTTTCATATGTCATTAGTTCATATACTTTTGATCTAAATTGTGTAATTATGATAAAAAGAACAATTAGCATGAATAGAAACAAAAATTGACTCTAGGTAACCATACGCCCCAGCCTGTGTACAGGGAATGAGCTATGAGCCTTGAGCATTCCATGTATTATGGGTATTAATATGTTTTACAGTGGGAATGGAAACTTCCTAGTCCAGTGAGTCAGTGAAGTTGGAATAGGTTAAAGAGAGTGAATGCATATATACTAATAATTTTTAATGATAAAGATTTCGTACAAGCCTATCCTCCCACCACCCCCAATGATGTATTTAAACTTTGAGGATTTTTTTTTCAAGGCTTAAGAAGTTGGTGTGTGTGTGTGTTTCTTTTTTTTAAATGTGTGTTTTTTATCTTTGAAATATTGTTTGCTAAAGATTGTATTGATGTATTTTTTGCATAGAAGAAAGCAATTAAATGTACATCTCTTGAAATCATACAGATTTGGTTGATAAGATGAAATGAGATTAATCTAGGGATAAAAATTTTTTATTGATTTCAACAGAAAATACTGCATTATATCATTAGAATCAAGAAAATAAGGTTTTATAAACATACAGCTACCTCAGTATCATGTCATATATTGGACATATGGTAATAATTACTATAATGATATACTAAGTACTTTTGTTAATGCTTCATGTAATTCTTTTAAGATGGATGTTTTTATTTTCTACTTTATAAATGAAGAAATTGATTCAGAGAGTGTAAATATTGTGCCTAAAGCCATATAGGTATTAAATGGAAGGCTGGGGTTTGAATTTAGGTATATCTGATTCTAAAGTATATATATTCTGTATTATTGGTTAAGCTTTTTAAAAAAATCTTATGAAATTTTTGGGTTGTGTGTGTCTTTTTTTAGATGAAGAAAATAGTTTACATGTGGTAGTGAACTGTGGAGAAGCATTACTGAAGAATAACACTTACTGGCCTCTTGTTAGTGATTTTATTAATATTCTTTCTCATCAAAGTGTGGCCAAGAGATTTTTGGAGGATCACGGTTTGTTAGTTACATGGATGAACTTTGTATCTTTCTTTCAAGGTATGAATTTTATCCCTTTGTTAATTTTTTGGTTTACAAAATTCCTAATGCTAAATTATTAAATATCAATTAAAATACAATAGCACATCATTCACGCTACACATGAAATAGCTCATTATTTTAATTGGTATTTGTAAGTACTTTAATAAATTGTTCATAAAACATACCAAGGAGTTAGGAAAAATGTCAAATGATTGAAAAAGAAACAGGAGTATAACTTTTTAAGCATTTAAACAAATTTAACTTAATTTTTTTATTTTTAGTAGAGACAGGGTCTCACTATGTTGCCCAGGCTGGTCTAGTACTCCTGGGCTCAACCAATCCATTTGCTTCAGCCTCCCAAAGTGCTGGGATTACAGGGATTAGCCACTGTGCCTGGCTTTGAAGCATTTGTAACCATTAATCTAGAAATGTGAAATCTATTGTCTGAGAAAGATTCGTAACACGTAAAGCTTTCAACTAACATCAATTAAAATTTTTTTGACTTTCTTATCAAAAGATATTCAGTTTATTACATGAGATAATTCATAAAATGTTTCTAAGAAAACCTAGTTTGTAAAAAATTCTGAAAGGACTAGATTGTTTCATTTTTAGTAATTTACTTATTTCTATATGTACTGTGTCAGTAATGCTATTTGTGTGCATAAATGTGTTTGGGACTGGGAAATGTACTTGATATTTAACATGAATGTGTGCTTCCACTTGACAAGGTTTATATCTGCTTTAATTTTTGCCAGGTATGAACTTAAACAAGCGAGAACTAAACGAGCATGTGGAATTTGAGTCTCAGACCTACTATGCTGCCTTTGCTGCTGAACTTGAGGCCTGTGCACAGCCAATGTGGGGGCTTTTATCACATTGTAAAGTTAGGGTATGTTGGAAATATTTTTGTTAATTTCTGTGTTTAAGAAAAAGACTTGTGAAAATATTGGTTTGTTCATTTGTATATAATGTGCAGTGTTTAATTTTGTTTCAAATTGAATTCAGCTTTATGAAAACTGACCTGAGACAGTAATTTTCATTCTTAGGCAGTTTGGAATTCATTATTATCAGATTTTTCCAGCCTGTTGCTATTGTGAACAGTCTTCGGAACTTCATTAGTCTCCACATTCATCTTTATTGTTTCATTTGTTATCAGTTGCCTAATGCTTCTTTCTTTCAAGGAGTAGGATAGTCCTCAATATTACACTTTCAAGATTCCAAGGACAAAACAAGTATAAATTCCACAAACCTTCCAGTGGTTGTTATATAATGTATATTATAATATATAATATTATAAGCATTGGTTTGATGGGTCTCCAGAAACCTTGGGCAGTCCAGACAAATGGAATCCCCTGACCCTATTAAACTAAAGACTTGACTAAAATTTTGATAATAGACACCATGCAGTTCCAGCCTGTTATTCTATACCAGTAATCATGCTGGACAAGATTTTGTAGTAGACATATTTTGAAGCCCTGGGTTCTAGTTTTGACTCTGCTTCTTTTTTACTTGCGTGACTTGGTCAGCTCATTTAAAAATATTTGAATTTCTCAGTCTGTTTACTGACCTTTTAAAAACAAAGTGAAAGAGAAATGGGACAGTAAAGCCTGCTCTTTGTTATTGTGAAGCTGTCTTCCATCTACCACTTAAGCGTATGTGTTTCTTTAAGTAGATTTATACTTTCTTTTGTTAGTTCAGCCATTCTCTAAATGCAGATGACTTACAGCCTTGTTACAATCTTACTAGGTTCAAATTTCTTTCTTTTTTTTTTTTTTTTTTTTTTAGAGGGAGTCTCTCTGTTGCCAGGCTGGAGTGCAGTGGCACCATCTCAGCTTACTGCAACCTCCATCTCCCAGGTTTAAGCAATTCTCCTGCCTGAGCCTCCCGAGTAGCTGGGATTACAGGTGTGCACCGGCACACCTGGCTAATTTTTGTATTTTTTGTAGAGACAGGGTTTCACCATGTTGTCCCGGTTCAAATTTCTAACAGGTCTGATTATTCATGTAGATCCCCTTGTAGGTACATGAATTTTCTCAGGTTCTGAATTAACTTTTAAAAACTATCTGTCCATATGATATTTCCTTTTGTGCCCTTTTTGTCATTTAATGGTATCTTAAATTATGTAATTGTCCATTCTGGAAACTTTCTTCCCTTGCTGTGCTAGCTGTGTTTAACCTGTAAGCAGATACTAAGAATCTTTCGTTCTAGAAATATTCCTCTCCTGCTTTTTTCCTTTATTTCTCTGTATTTTAAAAATATGGATTATTAAGGTAATTTCTTAACTGGTTTTCGTGTTTCTAGACCCTTTCTACTGTAATCTGTCTCAATACCAAAGTTACTTTTCTAAGCTCTATATATCTCCCTCTCCTTTACTTAAAAATCATTCAAGTTCTCATCAATCTACAGGATAACATCTGTTTTTCCTATAGAGACATTTAAAATTCTCCACAAGTTGCCCTCAACTTGTCTCTCATAATTCGTTATCTTTTTTTTTAATTTTTAAATTTTTTTTTATTTTTTGAGATGGAGTCTCACTCACTGTCACCCAGGCTGGAGTGCGAACTCAGCTCACTGCAACCTCTGCCTCCTGGGTTCAAGCGATTCTTCTGCCTCCACCTCCCAAGTAGCTGGGATTACAAGTGTGCACCACCATGCCTGGCTCATTTTTGTATTTTTAGTAAAGACAAGGTTTCACCATGTTGCACATACTTGTCTCAAACTCCTGACCTCAGGTGATCTGCCCACCTCAGCCTATAATTCATCTTCTTATACCCCCTCTCCCTCCATGCCTTTATTGGATTGATTATTATTCCCCAACATGCAGTGTCCTTTCTTGATTCCTGTGCTTTTGTTCAAGCTGGTCTCTTTCTTTGGCATATGGTCTTTCATTCTCTTTTGTTGGCTCAGAGTTTTTCTTGCATGAGAGTTATCTTGGAAGCTTAAAAAATATGTATGCATAAGCCCCAGTGTCAGAGGTTTTGATTCATTTGATATGCAGTGGGACCTGTGTAGTGATTCTAACCAAAATGAAGAACAATTAATGTTAACTCTTTGAAATTTTAAAGTTTTCTTAAAAAATTCTCAAGACTCAGATATATAATCTACTCATTTATTCCTCCAGTCAGGTTTGTTTTCATAGTGTACCTTGTTTAATTTCCACTGTAGCATTTATCAAGAAACTGTCATATAATATGAGGTTTGTTTGTTCATTTATTCAAAAAATATATGCCAGACATTGTTTAGATGCTTAAGTTTTTGGTACTGAACCAAATAGATATGGTTCTTGCTCTCATAGGGGAGATAAATCTTAAGTAAGTAAACACATCGATTTACTTCAGAAGCTTTTGTAAGTGCTCTTTGGGAAAATAACAGGTTGTTATGAGGGAGAGTAATGAGTATGAGGACTGAAGATTTGAGTATCAGAGAATGCGTTTATGAAGAGAGAATATGAAGGACCCAGCTCTGTGAATATTAAATTGGGGTTAGTGTTTGTCGTGGGGGAGATAAGAGGGAATAGCCTACCTTCAGTAGGAAAGTGATTGGTCCTTTTTTTTTTTTTTTTTTTTGAGACGTAGTCTTGCTCTGTCACCCAGGCTGGAATGCAGTGGCACAATCTTGGCTCACTGCAAGCTCTGCCTCCCGGGTTCACGCCATTCTCCTGCCTCAGCCTCCCGAGTAGGTGGGACTACAGGTGCCCGCCACCAAGCCCGGCCAATTTTTTGTATTTTTTTTAGTAGAAACGGGGTTTCACTGTAGCCAGGATGGTCTCAATCTCCTGACCTCGTGATCCGCCTGCCTCGGCCTCCCAAAGTGCTGGGATTACAGGCGTGAGCCACCACGCCCGGCCTTGATTGGTCCTTTTAAGGAATTTGTGGCTGGAACCACAGAGTAAACAAGTTGGAGTTGGAGAGATAGGCAGAGATCAGATTATTATTGCAGGTATTCGCAGATCATGTTAAGTACTCTTGGATTCAGTTTTAAGGAGAAGCCACTGAAGATTTTTAAGCAAGGGTTTAATGTGATCAGATTTACACTTAAAAGATCATTCTGTTCCTGGAGAAGACTGGATTTGAGCAGGAGTAGCGTGGGTGGGAAGCAGCAAGACCAGGAGTAAATAGACCAATTAAGAGGCTATGGTAAATTGATCTCACTTATATGTAGAATCTGAAAAAGTTGAGCTTATAGAAGTAGAGAGTAGAATGTTGGTTTCCAGAAGCTGGGGCTGAGGGAGTGGGAAATGGGGAGATTTTGACTAAAGGGTACAAAGTTTTAGCTAGGGAGGAGGAATAACTTTGAAATCTATTGCACAACATGGTGACTATAGTTAATAATAATGTATTTTACATTTCAGAATTGCTAAAGGAATAGATTTGTAATGCTCTCACTACAAAAAATGATAAATGTCTGAGGTGATGGATATGTTAATTAGCTTGATATACCCATCCCACAATGCATGTGTGTGTGTGTATATATATATATATATCTTGAAACATCACATTGTACCCCATAAATACATGTGTTTATTTTTTGTCAATTAAATAAAAACATGCTGTGACAATAGTCTAAACATGAAATTCAGGTAGCATATATTTGATATGTATATATTCAAAGTATATTTTGGATATTCAAGATGTATTTTTGAGGTAGAATCTACAGGCTTGGTGATGGATTGTACATTGTTGATGAGAGAGAGAGACTTTTGAGTAACTGTGTATGGAAGTGCTATTTACAAAGCTAGTAAAGACTGAGAGAATGTCAAGTTTAGAGAGATCAGAGTTAGCTTTAAATAGGTTAAGTTTGAGATGTCCGTGAAATGTCCAAGTAGAAATAGTGAATAGGCAGTTGGATATATAAGTCTCATGCTCAAAAAGTAAGTCTGGACTGAGGTTATACATTCTAGACCCTTCGGCATATAGAAGATATTTATCACCAAGGGATGGATGAGATTAAATAGGGAGAAAAGAGATGTGAACCCCGAAGAAAGAACTGACATTTAGATATTAAGGACAGGGAGAAGAGAAAAATCAGAAGAATGCCATGTCATGTATGTAAGCCCACGGAAGACCGAGCCTCAGTAAAGTGGGTTGATATGATATTGATATAAAAAGATCAATATTTTAGGAAGATTATTCTGACTACTGTGTTTAGGATGAATTTTAATTATGAGGCTGAGGTTATGTTTATCTCTTTGATAATGAAAAATCATTATTTCCGGGCAGTAGTTCATATTTCAGCTTTCAAGGCTAGAATTACAATGCAGTATGATTCACCTAATCTATGAAGTAAAGATAACAGAGAGAAAACAGGCTCCTGTTGTCCTGGCAGTATCTGAGAGAGTAACTTCTCAGTTATAGGAGCGTCTGGTTCCTAGATAAGACATTCTCTTCGTGAGCACTTACACTATGTGAGACATTGTTCTAGGCACTTTTCATATATTCTTATCTAACATTCATTGCATCTCCTATAAAGTACATGGCATCATTCTGTTCTTTCAGAGGTTAAATGACTTAAGTTCACATAGCTATAAGTAGACGCTGAATTTGAAAGCAAATTTATCTAATTTAAAAACCAATGCTATTTATCACTTTGCTGTTACTGTTTTTAAAGCCAGAATTTCCAAAGCTTTTTAGCTGCAGTGCTGTCAGGGTTTAGAAGTATAAACTAGAAGAAACACTATTATTTATAGGAAAAAATGTTATTTCTCTGTTTAAATTTTCTACTGTAAAATATAAAACTTAAGGATTAAGTAATTTAAAAGGAAACTTCACTTGATAAATTACTGTCTTTGTATGATTGCACTGAATGCTATTTGATTCTTGAAAACATTAAGGGCTAGTTAAAAAAAGTAATACTACCCAGATAGCTCAGTCAGTAGAGCATCATACTTTTAATGCTCGATTAACTAATGACATGAAGATTGGATAAGAGGATGACATGTTTCTAGAATTTTACTGATACTTGCTTTCTGAGGAGAAAAATAAGCTGCAAAATCTTCATCTGGTGGCAACTATAGGTTACTACAGACTTGATAGAAGATTAATGTGGTCTTGACTCTTCAGAGCACTTAACTATTTGTCAGACATAGTGTTAACCTATGATACAGAGCATTTTATGTACATCATTTCACTTGCCTCTTCAGAACAGTACTGGGAAGTAGGTTGTATTATGCTTATTTTTACATGTGGAGAAACTGAGACTCATAAAATTTAAGTAATTTGCTCAAGGTCATAAAACTAGTAAGTTAGCATGCATACTGACTTTTTTGGGGGTTGAGGGGTGGTAGTAGTGGGAAAATAGGAGAGAGACAATCAGAACATGATTATTAAATATGCTGTATTTGTGAATGGAATTGACTTGTCACCTTTTTAAAGAGTCTTAGTACCTACTTGTCAAATTGTTCTCCAGAAGGGTGGTACCAGTTTACACTTGCGCTAAGAGCATGTAATGGTACCTCATTGCCCAAATGCTTGATGAAATAGGAGAACTTTCGGTTTTAAAAGTTTATTTATCTGTGAGTTACCTGCTACTTTAGTTTGGTTGTGACAGATTATTTATGATAACTTATAAGTGCCATTAATTTGTTTTCAATGAGAGGTATGGAATAGAATGTATCAAATACTATTTTATAAAGACAAATCTCATATAGCATAGATTAAAACAGGATGAGAATGTTAGTAAGGTGACCAGGTAAGTGATTTCGGTCTGGATTGTGGCAATGGAAATAAGCATGAAGCTATATTATAATATCAAGCAAGAATTGACAGGACATGGAGATGAGTAAGGTGAAGGAGAAGTCAAGAATGAATGTGAGACTTTCAGCTTTTTAAAAAGGCATATTTATATAATTTACATAGGTAGCTGATGAGTTTAACTCACGTGGATTTGATGCTTTCTGCACTTACACATTATACGTGATGCCCCAAAATATCTGTTTTTAACTTAAAAAAGGAGATAAAATTCACCATTTAACCATTTTAAAGTGTATACTATTCAGTGGTTTATAGTGTATTCACAAAGTTTACCACTACTACCACTATCTAATTCCAGAGTATTTCCATCACCCCCAAAAGAAATTGCATACCTCCCAATTCCAACCTCCCCTCATCTCTTGGAAACCACTAATCTTCTTTCAACCTTTATAAATCTACCTAGTTTGGACATTTCATATAAATGGAATCCTATAATATGTGGCCTTTTGTGTCTGACTTCTTTCACTCAATGTAATGTTTTCAAGGTTCAGCTGTGTTGTAGCATGTATCAGTACTTCATTCCTTTGTCTGGCTAATATTTCATTGTATGGATATACAACATTTCATTTGTCCTTTAATCAATTGATAGATATTTGGGTTGATTCTACTTTTTGGCTGCTATGAATAATACTTCTGTGAATGTTTATATACATTTTTTGTGTGAACATATATTTTCAATTTTCTGGAAATATACATAGGAATGGAATTGCTTGGTCTTATGGTAACTCTATATTTAACTTACCAAAGAACTGCCAAGCTTTTTTTTTTCTTTTTGAGATAGGGTCTCACTGTGTTGCCCATGCTGGAGTGCAGTAGCATGATCATAGCTCATTGCATCCTTAAAATCCTGGGCTCAAGCAGCCCTTCCACCTCAGCCTCCCTCCCAAGTAGATAGGACTATAAATGCACGCCACCACTCTTGACTAATTTTAAAATTTTTTCGCAGAGACAGAGACTTGCTGTGTCCCAGCTAGTCTTGAACTCCTGGCCTCAAGTGATCCTTCTGACTTGGCCTCCCAAAGTGTTGCCATTATAGGCATGAGCCACTGTGCCCAGCTGCAAACAATTTTTCCAAGCAGCTGTACCATTTTACAGTCTCATCAGCAATATATGAGGATTCCAATTTCTCTACATCCTTCCTAACACTTTCTGTTTTATGTTTTTAAAATTACAGCCTCTCTAGTTGGTGTGAATTGGTATCTCATTGTGGCTTTGATTTGCATTTTCCTATGATGTTGAGCATCTTTGTATGTGCTTATTAGTCATTTGCGTATTTTCTTGGAAGAAATGTCTTTTTAAATCCTTTGCCTGTTTTTTTTTGTTTGTTTGTTTTTTGTTTTTTTTTTTGTTTTTGGTAAGCAAGCCTATCATTATTTCTATTTCTGTTTAATTTAGAACTCGCCTATTTTGGTGGATCTGTTTTACCACAAAACATTGTAGTTGTCTTTTACAGTACTTTTATTTCAAGTGGTACACACATCATTTCTTCTCCCAAATTCTGTTGTAAGTCAAGGTATTCACAGGTTACTTACAGTCCACATATGCTCTGCCCTTTCTTTTTAATTGTGTAAAATACATATAACATTTACCACTAACTATTTTTAGCTGTAAAATTCAGTGACTTGAAGTACATTTACAGAGTTGTACAACTGTCGCTACTATCCATGTCCAATACTTTTTTGTCAGCCCCAAAGAAACTCTGTACCCATTAAACAATGACATTAGGGAATTTATAATAAATTGGGGGGGGTGTCTCTTGAAATGGAGTCTGATTTAAATCTATTTAAAATCTATTTCTGCTTTCATTCATTTTTAGAAATGTATTGTAAAAAAGGAAGCGTATTGACTTACTTAATTTTCATATTTGTCACTGGTTGTTTATGAAGGGAGAGTTTCTTGAAATGGCAAATATAATCTTAAAATCTATACATTTTACCATTTTATATATACACAATGCATATAATTACATATAATTTAATGTTGAAAATATATGTTTATATATCATAAATTTATTATATATAACTTACTATTTTAGGAAACTCAAGAGTATACCCGAAATGTTGTTAGATATTGCCTTGAAGCTCTTCAAGACTGGTTTGATGCTATTAACTTCGTAGACGAGGTATGTATATTTTTGATGTATGTAAATTTTTTGATGTATGTAAAGACATTTAAGAAAAGTGTTAGATTTCATTTAATGTTGAAAATAATGAATACTTTTTCATAGGCGAGGGAAGGAAGTAATGAACATATTATTAGGCTTTGAAAAAGAAATCTAAAGGGGAGACTAGTTCTTTAGTTCTTTGACATTTAGGAGATTCTGGAGCGCACTAATATGTCTGCTTATTTCCTACAGAAGAGTGGCATGATTTGTTTTTCCATTATTAAGTATATGTGTCTCATTATTTCTCAGGGTGAAATAGTTTCAGTTGAATATATAAAAGTGACAATGCAAATGTGAATAGGATAGGGGAGATTAATGAAAAGGGTATCATACAACTCTATTAATTGGACAGTGTTCTGTTTGTCAGAGTAGGAAAAGATGGACTTGAACAAAGGTGATTAGTGTTAATAATGAGAAGAGCTGGCACAGGACATGGTATGTATGAATTGAACAAGTAATTGCTTTTATTCGTTGGCCAAGTTTACCATCAGAAGCTCCTTTTATTCCTCCTATGAAGTAGGGTCAGAATATGCCATATGCAAAAGAAAGACCATGTTTCAGACAGCTCACCCCCACTTTATCTGATTTCTGAACCTGGGCACACAGAACCGTTGCTGTGTGTTTGTGTGTATATGTGGAGGGCAGGCAAATTTTATCTCTTGTGTGTGTGTGTGTGTGTGTGTGTTTTTTTTCCTTTCTGTTTAAAAAATTTTTGACACAATCACAAATTTATTGAAAAGTTGAGTGGACAAAGAACTTTCTATTCTTGAACGATTTGAGAGTTCAGTTGTTGACTTGATGCCTCACTACCCCCATGCATTTCAGTGTTTCCTACAAACAAGGATATTTTCTTATATAGCCAGAATGCAACTATAAAAATCATTAATATATTATTAACATTTAATTCTTATAACTCATTCATGTTTTACCAGTTGTCCCATGATACCTTTTATAGAAAAAGGATCTGGTTCAGAATTGCATTTTGTTATCATGTCTCTAATCTCCTTCTGGGACATTTTCCCAGTCTTTCTTTGCATTTTAGGACAGTGACTTTTTTTTTTTTGAGACAGAGTCTCACTCTGTTCCCCAGGCTGGAGTGCAGTGGCACAATCTTGGCTCACTGCAACCTCTGCCTCCCAGGTTCAAACAATTCTCCTGTCTCAGCCTCCCGAGTAGCTGGGATTACAGGTATGTGCCACCGCACCCAGCTGATTTTTTTGTATTTTTAGTAGGGACGGAGTTTCACCATGTTGGCCAGGCTGGCCTGGAACTCCTGACCTCAGGTGATTCACCCGCCTCAGCCTCCCAAAGTGCTGGGATTACCAGTGTGAGCCACTGCTCCTGGCCAGGACAGTGACATTTTGAAGAATGCCTCTCAATTTGGGTTTGTTTCATGATTAGATTCAGATTATGTATCTTTTTCAGGAATATTATGGAAGTGATGTAGTCTTTTCATTGCATCCTATCTGGTAGTTTGTGATTTGTGTTCTTTACTAATGATGTTCCCTTTGATCACTTGATTAGGGTGGTACCTGCTAGACTCCTTCATCATAAAATTACCCTTTTTCTCATTTAATTAATAAAGTATTTTGTGATCCAGTTTTCAATTCATTCATTTATTTTTGTCTCTAGAGATTCATAGTTTCTATTTTATTCAATGGGTTATAAGCTATTGCTGTTACTATTTGATGCTCAGATTATTTCAGATTTGGCCAATGAGAGCCCCTTTAAGCTTAGTTTCTGCTTGTCCCATCATTTTTTGAGAACTTCCATGTTTTCTGGCCCATCAGGATGTTTCAGACTCATAGTTTCCCCACCCATTTCTGGAATCAATCATTTCTTTATGGATCCCTGGTTACTTTTAGTGTGGAACAGTATTTAGAAAAATCTAGGTGCTGCTTGTGCTCATTGCTATTGGGGTATCACTGCTCCCAGGACTTCACAGTGAACAGAGGAGTATATGTACATAAGTACATATACATATTTGCATCTATATTTTTCTGTCTATAGTGAAAGCTGTGAGTTCAAACTGATATTTTTAATTCCAGTTTAACACTGTAGGAGTTATTCTAGTTTTCTTCAACAGTGGGAAACCTGGCTTCCATTATCTTTAATATATTTACTTATCTATAAATACATATTTATGTATGACCAATCTCATATATAAATATGAGAAGCAACTCTCATCTCAGTTGCCTCTCTTTCCCCTGCATGGATGCCCTCTTTTCTCTGCTTTGACTCTGAGTCCTCATCCTATTCCCCCTTTTCCCACACGTGGACACCCTCCTCATCCTGCCTGGGCTCTGACCCCCACTTTGGACTGCCCTTCTGTGGAGAAGCCCTGTTCACCCTCTTCGTGCTTGAAACTCCCGCACCAGACTCCTCCTCTTTTTGGATGCCCTCCTCATTCTGCCTTGGCTCTGATGCCTCCTGCTCTTTGCACATGTGGATAATCTCCTTACCCAGCTTGGATTTTGATTCCCTATTCCAGGCTGGCCCCCTGTATTGTTGCCCTCCTTACCTCAGTCAGGCTTTGATTCCCCATGCCAGGTCAGTCCCCATTTGGAGGCCCTCCTCACCCAGATTGGCTCTGATGCTCTACACTGGTCTGCCCTGCTGTGTGGGTCCCCTCTGACTCTGTCCACATCTGATGCCCTATGCTAGGCCACACCCCCTATGCCTGAGCAACCCCCAACATCTCAACCCCTCAATTACCCCAGCAGTTGCCCTCCTCAGTCTGAGCTCTGACTTCCCTCTCAGTTTCCTAACCTTTAGATGCTTATTTTTACCCTGCTCCCTCTCTTTACCTCCCAGTGGCTTTAGGAATGGTTTAGGAAGGGAAGAACCCTTTGTTATCTTTAATTCTAATCCCTCCTGCCCTGAATTAATTTTTCTTTACCCCTCATTACCCCTCCCCCAACATTTGTGTCAGCTCTTAGCCTTCAACCTAGATTTTGTACATTTGGATTTTGATTCTGCCCTGACCAACTCACCTTGATTCTTTGCCTTGTCTAATTGTTGGTCTTTAGGCTTAAATTTTGTTTATGCAAATGGTAATGAGTCAGTCTTCAGAGAGAACATTGTCCAGCCTTCACGGAGCACCATCCCACTTCCAACCTGCTTCCCTCCTTCTTCACCCTGTCCAGGGTCAGTCCCTCAGCTGGAGCTTTAACTGAAGCTTTTCTCAATCCAGTTTTCTTTGGTATTTGAAACTTCAGGAATTATTGTTGAAATAGTAGCATCAGTAAGACAACAGTAAGATTGAACTGGGAGAAAATTATACACAAGAAAATGATATTTAAATTAATCATGCTTGGAATCATGAGTGTAGTGAAGGACAGTTAGAATCATGTATGACATACAGAGCAGCTGAACTCTAGGAAATAGTGTATCTGTTTTTCACACAGAAATATTTTTAGGAAGATATTGAATGTTATCAAAAATTTAAATGGATTCTTAAAAGAAGAGAAATTAAGTATAGAACTTAAAGAATCAAATAATATGTTATTTATTTATTTATTATTTTTTTCGAGATGGAGTTTTTGCTCTTGTTGCCCAGGCTGGGGTGCAATGACACAATCTTGGCTCACTGCAACCTCCACCTCCTGGGTTCAAGCGATTCTCCTGCCTCAGTCTCCTGAGTAACTGGGACTACAGGCGTGTGCCACCACACCCAGCTAATTTTTGTATTTTTAGTAGAGATGGGGTTTCACCATGTCAGCCAGGCTGGTCTCGAACTTTTGACCTCAGGTGATCCACCCACCTCGGCCTCCCAAAGTTCTGGGATGACAGGCACGAGCCACTGTGCTGGGTCCATGTCATGTTTTTATATGGTGCTTAAAGGTTTTATTATTCCTCCTTTTTTTGTCATTGGGAAGTGGAGATGCAGAGATATTAAATGACTTGCCTATTGTTATGTAGCAAGTTATGGTACTTCTGGGTCCACAGTCCTCATTTTGGAACTCCTTGTCTGGTAATGTTTTAACTGTATTGGTTGTTGGCAGTGGAAAGAGCTTTAACGTAGGCAGATCTGAGTGTAAATTGTGGCTCTGCCATAATTCAACTAGCTATGTGGCCTTGGACAGATTTTTTTAAGTTTAATTGTTAATATATTTTTACTTTTTTTTTTTTTTTAACACTGCTGAGCCTATTTCCTCATCTATTGAAGGTGATAATATTAACCAGTGAGGATTGACTAAGAGGCACATATTACATGTGTGATAAACATTAGTTCTTCTTCCATCCTTGTGGGTGGATGTCAGAAGTTATTATGGTAATCTAGTACAAATCAAGCAAATAATTTTTTTTTTTTTTTTTAAGACAGGGTCTCGCCATCTTGCCCAGGCTGGTCTTGAACACTTGGGCTCAGGTGATTCTCCTGCCTGGGCCTCCCAAAGTGTTGAGATTACAGGTGTGAGCCATTGTGCCTGGCCAATAATATGTTTTGAACTGAAGTAAGCCAGATCAAACAATCATATAGAAACAGGAGATGGAATACATTTTCCTATAAGATAGGCCATTTAAGAGTTCTTAAAAACATGAATATCATGTAGGGCAACAATTGTGAGTTTGTAGCAGGGTGGGTTTGGCTAGAGTCCTCTGGTAAGAGGAAAGTAGAACGTGCATTCATCCAGCAAATATTTATTGAATGTTTACTATGTTGTAAACATAGGGGATACAGTGATAAAACAGTCCCTGACTTAAGGAAGTGGAAAACAAGTATATGGTTAATTTGATTCCTGTGCTTCTGTAAAGTTGTGACCAGGTGCTATGTGGGACCATAAAAGGGAGCACCTGATTTAGCCTGAAGAACCCAAGAAAAGCTTCTTAGTAGAAGTGTCAACTGAGCAAAGTCTTAAAGATACAGTAATCCAGTGGGAGAAGGGATATATAGCATTTGCGGCAGGGGGAATAGTGTATACAAAGGCACAGAAGCTTAGTAAGTTAGGGATACTACCTATGGTGCATGAATTTATGTGACAGAAGATGAGGCTGGAGAGGTAAGCTCTTTCTTCTTAGGAATTGGAAGGTTATCAGGAGGCTAAAACCATAGGGAGTCATTAAAAGATTGTGAGTGGAAGAAGTTCAAGGTTAAATTAATGTTTAAGTAAGACTACCTTCTGGCAGCATATAGAGGGTAATAGGAGATATGTTAGTCAAGGTTCTTTTAATGCAAGGGGAAAAAATAATTTAAAGCAGCCTGAGTTAAAGAAGCAGTAATTTCATGTCTAAAACACCAAAAGCAATGGCAACAAAAGCCAAAATTGACAAATGGGATCTAATTAAACTAAAGAGCTTCTGGACAGCAGAAGAAACTACGATCAGAGTGAACAGGCAACCTACAGAATGGGAGAAAATTTTTGCAGTCTACTCATCTGACAAAGGTTCATCCAGAATCTACAATGAACTTAAACAAACTTACAAGAAAAAAGCAAACAACCCCATCAAAAAGTGGGCAAAGGATATGAACAGACACTTCTCAAAAGAAGACATTTATGCAGCCAAAAGACACATGAAAAAATGCTCATCATCACTGGCCATCAGAGAAATGCAAATCAAAACCACAATTAGATACCATCTCACACCAGTTAGAATGGCAGTCATTAAAAAGTCAGGAAACAACAGGTGCTGGAGAGGATGTGGAGAAATAGGAACACTTTTACACTGTTGGTGGGACTGTAAACTAGTTCAACCATTGTGGAAGTCAGTGTGGCGATTCCTCAGGGATCTAGAACTAGAAATACCATTTGACCCAGCCATCCCATGACTGGGTATATACCCAAAGGGTTATAAATCATGCCTCTATAAAGACACATGCACACGTATGTTTATAGCGGCACTATTCACAATAGCAAAGACTTGGAACCAACCCAAATGTCCAACAATGATAGAGTGGATTAAGAAAACGTGGCAGATATACGCCATGGAATATGTGTATATTCCAGCCATAAAAAATGATGAGTTCATGTCCTTTGTAGGGACATGGATGAAGCTAGAAACCATCATTCTCAGCAAACTATTGCAAGGACAAAAAACCAAACACCGCATGTTCTCACTCATAGGTGGGAATTGAACAATGAGAACACACGGACACAGGAAGGGGAACGTCACACACCAGGGCCTGTTGTGGGGTGGAGGGAGGGGAGAGGGACAGCATTAGGAGATATACCTAATGTTAAATGAAGAGTTAATGGGTGCAGCACACCAACATGGCACATGTATACATATGTAACAAACCTGCACATTGTGCACATGTACCCTAAAACTTAAAGTATAATAATAAAGTAAAAGCAGTAATTTATTATGAATACATAGGGATGTCTCAGGGTTAGGGCACCTGGACCTCAGGGATGGACTGGAAATCTGAATAGGAACTCCTGTCGCCTGCCTTTGCTTTGCCCTGAGTGTATGTGCCTCATTTTTTCTTCCCTTCCTGTGCTTTGCCTATGTGGTGAAATACTGCCTTTTTATAGTTGCCTAACGTTACCATTTCAGGCATACTCCCAGATTGTCTGTGAATGTCTCTGAATCCTAGTTCAAATTTTTTAAGAGAGAAAGTCATTGCTCAAGCGGGGGTAGATGTCCCCTGCCCTGCCTCCAGTCAAGTATGGCTACTATAAACTTGACTGTCAGGCCCCAATCTCTGTGTGTGGTTGAGGTGGCAGAGAGTGGGAGAGGGAGACACATTCTGAGAAGATGGGAAGGTTGTGAGCTAGGCAGACACCACAAAAGGTGTTTTATGCAGGATAATGGTAGAAGTAGGGGTTATCACTAAAATCTAGGCACTAGGTGTTGAGGGCCTGAGCTAAGGTTAGTTAGGTGCAGTGTAGACAGAAAGAAGAAAGTGGATTTAAGAGATACTTAAAAAATAAGTAAACATAATTTGATACCTCATCAAATATAGGAGGCTTGTGAGAAGGAGGAAGTCTACATTTCATATTTAAATTACTGGGAATCTGGAGAAGAAATATTGAGGAGGATTGAGTTTTATGGCAAAGATACTGAGTTTGGTTTGGACACGCTGTATTTGTGGTCCTATGGAATATTAAGTATTGCTGTTCAGTAGACACCTGAATGTAAGATTTGGAGTTCAGGAGTGAGATTTCCACTGAGATTTGGAACTCATCTGGGTAGAGTTAGCAGCTGAAGCTGTGAATCTGGATAAATTCACATAGAAGACTATAGAGTGAAGAATGGAATCCAAGGACTCTCAGTATATATAGGAATAGAAGAAGTGCTTATCAAGTAGCCAGTCTGTGACATTAGACAAGGAAGGAATATGGACTTTAACGTTATGGAGAATGTGAACATAGGATATGCTAAAGCCCTGAAAGATAAAATAGGGTCCATGGCTTACTAGTTAATAGCAATATGTACTGGGTACTGTGCTGTTTTACTTATTTCTCGCAGCTACTAAACTCTTTATTATTCCTACTTTAAGGATCAGACAACTTAGGCACAGAGAGGTAACTTGCCCATAGTTTTACAGCTGGGTGGTAGAACCAGGATTCTGCACTTAGGAAGCAGGCACAGTGGTTCACGCCTTTGGTCCCAGCACTTTGGGAGGCCGAGGCAGGTGGATCACTTGAGGTCAGGTGTTTGAGACCAGCCTGGGCAACATGGTGAAACCCTGTCTCTACTAAAAATACAAAAATTAGCCGGTGTGGTAATACATGCCTGTAGTCCCAGCTACTCAGGAGGCTGAGGCAGGAGAATTGCTTGAACCCGGGAGGCAGAGGTTGCAGTGAGCTGAGATCGCGCCACCGTACTCCAGTCTGGGGGACAGTGCGAGACTCAAAAAAAGGGTCTGCACCTAGGCTGGGCCTGGTGGTTCACGTCTATAATTCCAATCCTTTGGGAGGCTGAGGCGGGCAGATTGCATGAGCCCAGGAGTTCGAGAGCAGTCTGGGCAACATGGCAAAAACCCTGTCTCTACCAAAAACAGAAATTAGCCAGGCATGGTGGTGTGTGTCTGTAGTCCCAGCTGCTCAGGGGGCCGAGGAGGGAGGATGACTTGAGCCCGGGAGGTGGAGGTTGCAGCGAACTGTGATCGTGCCACCATACTCCACCCTGGGCCACAGAGTGAGACCCTGTCTATTTAAAAAAAAAAAAAAAAAAAGAGTCTGCACTTATCCACTGTGCTTAGTGCCTCAAAGGAAATTGAGGGAGATTCTGACTTAGCTAGTTAGTGTAGAATATGTTACTAAGGCGATTATGGTAATGGAGGGCAAACTTTTTAAAATTTTATTTTTAATTGTGGTAAAATACACAGAAAACATAAAATTCACTATCTTAATCATTTTTAAGTGTATAGTTCAGTAGTGTTATGTGTATTTGTATTGTCGTGCAGCCAATCTCCATAACTTTTTTATCTCATAAAATTGAAACTATACTCATTAAATAGCTACTCCCCATTTCCTCTTCCCCCAGCTTCTGGCAACCACCATTCTACTTTGTATCTCTACGAATTTGGCTGCTCTAAGAACCTCATATAGGTGGAATCATATAGTTACTGTCTTTTTGTGACTGGCTTATTTTACTTAGCATAATATCCCGAAGGTTTATTCATGTTACAGAACATTGTTAGACTTTCCTTTCTTTTTATGGAGGGCAAACTTTTATTTATTAGAACAAATTTTTATAGCCTTTACATATTGAAGAGGATATTATTATCTTACTGGTTTTGAAAAAAATAATTATTTCAGGGATGGTGACATATTTAGACTCCTTATAACCTCTATAATGTAAATTATATACATTAGCATAATTATCTGAATGTCCGGGATAAACATTTTTAACAAGAGAATATTTAATAAGAACTTAAAAAGCATTAAAAACAAACAATACCTTTTCAGTTCTTAACTCATTTGTTTAAGAAGGACAGCTGTGGTGTATTTTTGCCCTGTAGTGATTTTGTGATCCATGGGATTCACAGATTTAAAATACAGTTTTTGTAATATTTACAGGAATGCCTAAGGTCATTCACATATTTTTTATGAAGTTTTGTTATGGAGGCTGGTGCGTTTGGTACTGTTTGGAAGCATCTTATCTAACTGGTGAAGGAATCTAACGATGCCCTGCATTTATACCTCTGTTTAGGGATGTGGTCAGAGTCTTCTTACAGTTTTGAATATGACAGTGGAGTCCAGATTAGCTCCCCAGTTCACTACTTTTGAACTTTAGGAAGTTAGTTAAGTTTTCTAAGTTTGAATTTTGCTACTTGTAGAATGAGAATATTAGTAGCTCCTACCCCATAGCATTCTTCTGAGGATTAAATGTGGTAATGTGAATAAAGTGCTTAGCATGGTGACTGGCACATAGGAAGTGTTCAATGAATGTTATATGTGACTGTTATTACTGTCATGATGTTTGGTATACATGCGTTTGAAGAGTCCCAAATGGTCTACTGTAGCTGGAAATCCATTCCATCCCTTGTTTTAATAATAATTATTTGCTTTAGCTGAATTGAATTTAGGAAATATTAATCTGTACTGGATGCTTCAGAGGATTCAAAGTTGAGTAGAATACAATTTCTGCCTTCAAGAAACTTATACTTAAGTGTTTAAAATGGAAAAATTTTATCTATAGTGATTTTGGAATCTGCATCTTCTAAAATGTTAAGTTTTGAACTAAAAGTATAGGAATAAATCCAGGTGAGAGTATGGTTTAAACATTTTACAACCATCTTAAAATTTCTATAAAATAGTCTTTGACTTGTGCATTTTGTTTGTTTATTCCAGCCAGCACCTAACCAAGTCACTTTTCATCTGCCACTACATCGTTACTATGCTATGTTTTTGAGTAAGGTAAGACTGTCATTAAACAATTCTGTTCTTTTTTTTTTAATTTTCAGAAATAAGAATTGAATTAGTAACTTTTTTATTGTAATTTTTAGGCTGTGAAATGTCAAGAACTAGATTTGGATTCTGTTTTACCAGATCAGGAAATGTTAATGAAACTAATGATTCACCCACTCCAAATTCAAGTATGTATTCAGGCATTTAAAAAGTTTTGAAGTGGATTCCTTGTTTAAGTGATTCTTCCTTTATTTATATGCCTTTCATTGTTATTATAGCTGAGATGTTTGAAAACTTTTTTTAAAAAGTTGTTATTGTATTTTTGCTAGATTATGTTTAGGTATTTTTCATTTTATGAGATTTACTTTTTAGTTTTACTTTTTCCAGGAATTCTTTTCATGATATTTGCTTATGGGGTGGTATTTAACATACTATATAGCACTGTTTTGGGAGTCAGGAGATCCAAAAGATTCTAGCCTTGGTGCTACCACTGTTTTATTTTCCGCAAGGTTTAAGGTAATTCACCTCCTTGATTCTCAGTTTCCCTATCTGTATAGTGAGAGGAGAAAGAGGAGAGAAGAATTAGCTTATATAAGCACTGTGATTTCTTTTAATACCAGCAATGTAATTTGACAGGCCAGCTTTTTATATACATTAGAGGGACTTGCACTTCCATTTGTTTTTCCTGGCAATTTTAGATTTGTTAATTATTATAATATTGAACTTGAACTCTGGGTGTTAGGAAACATAAAATTATGACTGCTTGAAGCCAGGTGTGGTGGCTCACGCCTGTAATTCCAGCACTTTGGGAGGCCAAGGCGGGCAGATCACGAGGTCAAGAAATCGAGACCATCCTGGCCAACATGGTGAAACCTTGTCTCTACTGAATATACAAAAATTAGCTGGGCATGGTGGCGTGCACCTGTAGTCCCAGCTACTCGGGAGGCTGAGGCAAGAAGAATTGCTTGAACCTGGGAGACAGAGGTTGCAGTGGGCCAAGATCGCGCCACTGCACTCCAGTCTGGCGACAGAGTGAGATTCTGTTTCAAAAAAAACAAAAAAAATGATGACTGCCTAGTTTTAGTTGACACTGGACATAAATACATGAAGAATTAAATACTGATGTAGTGAGAACATTTATTCTAACCTCCAATATTTGGAAAATTAGCAGTATAGATTTAAGATTGAGTTAGGGTGAATTAAAGATGTAGAATGTATTCATTGACTTTGAACAGTTGGTTTTATTTTATGCTTATTCTAGTGTCTTTCTTTAAACATGTATATTAGGATTGTTGTTGTTGTTACTTAGGGTTTTCTTGAGGGAGAAATAGAGTGAAACATAAGCATTGATTTCTTATGAAAGATGTCAGTGAAAATCATCATAAATGTATCCAGAGGCCAACATGGAAAACCAACTCATTTGTTTAAACTCTAAAAAAGTGGCTATGTAAAAACATAATTATTGTTAAAAAAAATGTAAAAATGTATATTTCAACTGATTATCTTTAACATTGGACAGAATATCGGGCTTATACTATGATCACATCATTAAATATTTTGAAATGGTTATTTATAATATTTTGTAAAGATTGCATTTAGATAATTTATTCTTTGTCCAATTTACTTTTATTAGGCAAGTCTTGCAGAAATCCACAGCAATATGTGGGTAAGAAATGGTCTGCAAATCAAAGGACAAGCCATGACGTATGTCCAGTCTCATTTCTGTAATTCCATGATTGATCCTGACATTTACCTGTTACAGGTAAGCCAGCTAGATAATGCAGATATACTTTAGAAGTGTCTCATTTGTACCCAAGGGATTTTAATTTATAGAGGTGACTGCGTGATGACATGGAGAGGCCAATGCCATTGAAAGAATAATTTTTTACTTACATTTCCCAGGAGAAGAGGCATACCACCCAACACAAGGCTACAAGGAAAGCACCAGATTTTGGTCAAGAGGCAGAAAGGAGTGAGGGGAGAGCCTAGGCCAGAGCCTTTATTGGGGTTTCTGCAGGAAAGGCAAGGAAAGGCAAGGCAGGATTGGCTAATTTGAATAATTCCAGCAGGCTTTGAGGCATAGGGGCTGTATCTGGCTCTGCGGTACCTGGCCCTGGGTTGATTTAGGGGAGGGGAAATACTGGGTTGATGTGTGAGAGTTAGATAAAGACAGTGGTTGGCTTGCATGACAGGCATTTTCCCAAGTAAGTTGTTTAGTATGTTCAGGAATTAACTGGCTCTGGGAGGGACTATCTGTCTTCAGGTCTGTAATGCCCCTCAAGATGTCAAAACATCATAATATACAGAAAATAAAAATCATAGCCAGGCGTGGTGGCTCATGCCTGTTATCCCAGCACTCTGGGAGGCCAAGGCAGGCAGATCACTTGAGGCCAGGAGTTTGAGACCAGCCTGGCCAACACGTCGAAACCCTGTCTCTACTAAAAATACAAAAATTAGGCAGGTGTGGTGGCACACACCTGTAAATCCCAGCTACTCGGGAGACTGGGGGATGAGAATTGCTTGAGCCTGGGAGGCAGAGGTGGAGGTTGCAGTGAGCTGAGGTTGCACCAGCTTGGGTGAGAGTGAGACTCTGTCTCAAAAACAAAAAACAAAAAACAAAAAACAAAAAAAAGTATAGAAAAACATGATTAATAGAAGAAGGAAAACTGAATATTGAGAAATAAAGCATTTTGTTTTCTTTTAAAGGTTTGTGCTTCTAGACTTGACCCAGATTATTTTATTTCATCCGTCTTTGAAAGGTAGGCATAATTTTATTAAGACAGGTATTAGGAAGTGTCCAGTTAATTTTGTTTTAATTTATAAAAATATGTTTCAAATATTTCTTCTTGTAGATTTAAGGTAGTGGATTTGTTGACAATGGCATCACAACATCAAAATACAGTACTTGATGCAGAGCATGAGAGGTCGATGTTAGAAGGCGCTCTTACATTTCTTGTGATTCTTTTGAGTCTTCGTTTACATTTAGGTAAAACTCACTGATACTAATACTTATGCATTAACTGTTTTCCTCCCTTTCTCCCCCTCCCTGTGGTAGTAACTGGCTTAGGGAAAAAAGGAAAGGATGTAGATAAATGTAAACAATGTTTCAAACTCTTGATATGTTGTACTGTAGGTATACCTTTTAGAATATCCTTTGCTTAAGGGAACTGCAAACAGCAGTTAAACTGCAGTTATGTTTGGAGCATAGCTTCTTTACTCTTTAATTTGAAGCATCTTATATTTGGTAAAACAGCTTAGTAAAAAGTGTGGTAAGTTTTTTTCTTTATAATTTATGTATACTCAGATTTGTTAATTCCGTTTTTAATAATTTTAGGAATGTCTGATGATGAGATTCTCAGGGCCGAGATGGTAGCCCAGCTGTGTATGAATGACAGGACACACAGTTCATTGCTGGACCTCATATCCTTTTAAAATTTTACTTTCTGTTAGTTGCAGGATCTAAAATAAGTATTTTTTATGATTAATAGTTTATCAATTTTTTGATTAATTTTTTTTCAAAGTTGAAAAATAATATAGAAAAAGAAGAACACCAGTTGTGTGCTCAAGTATGTATTCAAGCCTGGTGACTGTTTTTTTTTTTTTTTAACCTCCTGTTATTACCTCTTGGGGAACTCTTCTTAGACTTTAGGGTAGATTTCAGGACTGAATGATGGCTTTGGCCACCCCAGCATTTAACCTCCTAGTGGACAGCATTACTGAACGTTTTATAAAAGGCAGCTAGGTCCATTTTGTCTGTGTAGCCAGGATGCAATTCATGGTTAACAGTTAAAGGTATACCTTACGATTATTATTACCAGGATTTTAAACATTTTGAGGGTTTTTCTGTAGAATTTGGTCTTAAAGGATTTTTGAATTTATAGATTTTTGTGTACAAACAGGGAACCTGTGGTTCTTTGTATAGGACTGAACATACAATGAGAATCTGATTATCTTTTTAAGTTAATGTTAATAAAATTTTACACAAAGATTATCAAGTAATTTTGTGATAAAAATTCTGGCCGAATTTAGTATTTGTATATCTTATGACTATGTTTGGAAGAATTGGCTAAACTTTTTATTTTGTGAAATAAGTCCTATTAGAATGCCTGTTTGACAACCTTGATTTTTGTAAGCAGCCTCAATTTGATACTGTCTGATGATTTCCTTCAGTCATTATGAACTATGTGTCAGTGCTATTATAGAGTAAAAACGATCTCTGTGTCTTTCAATTTTAAAGATTTATGTGCTTTAATGTGAGGAGAGAATCTTTTTGGTTTGCCTCTTTGCTTATATTTGCTTAGTATTTTTTTCTTTGGGGATGAAATTTTGTGTTTTTGGAAAAACAATCTTTGCTCATAAAAATCTTGGCTAATTTTTCACAAGTTCTTTCTGTTTTTTAAGGAAAAGTTATTTACAAAATGGTAAAAATGAAGACACATTTTTAAAAGTTTTTCTATCGTTTTCTGAAATTTGATAAATTTATTTCGGGGAAAATATACCTGGGAACTACTGCAGCATACAATTTATTAGTAGGCTCCTAGATTAAACATATTTTCAAAAATCACAATTAAAAACAGTTATTATTGATCTGTTGTATTATATAGCCCTCTTGTGGCCAGCTTTGTATATTACAACCAATTACTATTTGTCTACTTCAGCAAAATGAGAAACTAGAGTACCTTGGAAAGGCTATAAATCTGGCTTTTTGTTACTAATATTTTTTTCTTGACATATATATCATATTCCAGAAAATCCTAATCCCAAAAGTGGCATTATTCCAGGCAGTTACAGCTTTGAATCAGTTTTATCAGCTGTAGCTGATTTTAAGGCTCCTGTTTTTGAACCTGGAGGTTCTATGCAACAAGGCATGTATACTCCCAAAGGTATGTTTATATACATAAATGGACTCTTTCAAATATCAGTTCTTGAATGGTGAATTCTTCTGTGTATTAAAAGAAAATGTTTACCTTTTATTCGTTCAAGCTTTGGTTTTCTTTTCTCCATTTTGTTATAAATGTATGTCTTTATTGGTAAACAGTGATACTGCTTTCAATTACTTAGAAATCTATAGCTTTATGTTACACTAAGACTTCTTAGATGACTCTAAACTATAAAGGAAATTTATATTTGAACTCTAATTCATTTTTATAAGTGATCATAACCATAAATGAACCAGAAACTATAAAACAAAATGTATATTAAAAAATATTTTGAATGTATTTACTCTCCAAATTTGATTTTGAAACAGCAAAAGAATCCTCACGACCCAAATTTTAACTTGAAATAGTTCAAATTAAAGTCTGTATAGGCCGGGTGTGGTGGCTTATGCCTGTAATCCCAGCACTTTGGGAGGCCGAGGTGGCTGGATCACCTGAGGTCAGGAGTTCGAGACCATCCTGGCCAACATGATGAAACCCGTCTCTATTAAAAATGCAAAAAAATTAGTCAGGCATGGTGGCAGGTGCCTGTAATCCCAGCTACTCGGGAGGCTGAGGCAGGAGAATCACTTGAACCCAGGAGGTGGAGGTTATAGTGAGACCCTATCGTGGCCACTGCACTCCAGCCTAGGCAACAAGAGTGAAACTCCATCTCAAAAAAAAAAAGTCCACATAGAATGCTGATAGCACTTACTTACATTTTGAACCTATGTTAAATGCACAGAACGTTTTCCTTAAGTGGATGATTGGTTTTGGAAGGTTTCTCCCGCATAGATTCATAGTTGACATCCTTGACAGCAGCCAGAAGTAAGTGAGGTTTTGATTTACACAGTCTTTTTTTGTTTGACTTTCATATTTTCACTTCTCTAAGTGAAAATTTTGAAGGAAGTAGCAGTTACGTGCTTCTTGACTCCCTCAACACGTTGTCTAAATGAAAAACCAATGCCCATTTTGAAGTTGTAAATAATATACACTGTACTGTGTGTGTTTGGCAAAGCAGAACAGAAAAGCCTTATTTGGGATTTTTCAGGGAGTTCACAAGGAGCAAGAAAATCCAGTCTCTGGTTGGAAAGTATTCCATTAAAAGAAAAGCACAGTATTTTTTTAGTGTAGAGGATATTTTGTGTGTAAAATTAGATGAATTTGGGAGTGGAGTGGTGCTGTGGTGTAGTGCAGTGCTTATAAAAGTGTGATGTGACGATTACATCTCTGTCAGACTCACTTGCGCTCCTCATTAAGAATGCAGGCCCCTGTGTCTCACCTCCTATCTGCTATCATCAGAATCTCTGTGGGTGAAATCTGGGAATCTGCTTTTTAAAACAAGCTGTTTAGATGACTGTTCTGAACAATGCTGAGATGGAATACTGGGCATTCGGAGATTAGAGCAAGGAAATTGAGTGTCATATTTAAATACCATATGAATTATATTTGCTAGTTGTGTGGTTTAGGAAATTAGTTGTTTTTTTTTTTGTTATTTTTTTGGAGACAGAGCCTCACTTTGTCGCTCAGGCTGGAGTGCAGTGGCGCCATCATAGCTCACTGCACCCTTGACCTACTGGGCTCAAGTGGTCCTGCCACCTCAGCTTCCCCAGTAGCTGGGACCATAGACACCCACCACCATGCTGGCTAATTTTCATGTGTTTTGTAGAGACAGGGCCTTGCTGTGTTGCCCAGGCTGGTCTCGACTGTTGGGCTTAAGCAATCCTCCTGCCTCAGCCTCCTAAAGTGCTGGGATTGCAGGTGTGAACCGCCATGCCTAGCCAGTTTTTTTATCTTTGGATTTGGCTTCTTATCTGTAAAATAAGTTTTTAAACTTTTAAAAGTGGTTGAAACAAGCCTCTGGTTTCGGGGACTAAGCCTTAAGTGAATTTGTCATATTAATATAAAACCAACAAAAGCTGGCTTACTCCTGTTAAAGTGGGTGTGGGTAGTGAACCTAGCTTCTTCTCTGTCCTGCTATCTACTTGCTCCTAAAGTGGCCCCTGTTATACATCTGTGGTAATTCAGCTCCATGGAACACTGTTTGAAGCCCACTGGACTAATTAATCACTGAAGTTTTCTTCCATTGCTAAGGTTGTGCAATTCTGATAAAAGCTTTGGCATGTTAATTATGCAAAATAATAGACTTTAAAGAGAAGGACGATCAAGGCCGGGCGCAGTGGCTCACGCCTGTAATCCCAGCACTTTGGGAGGCCAAGGTGGGTGGATCACGAGGTCAGGAGATTGAGACCATCCTGGCTAACATGGTGAAACCCTGTCTCTACTAAAAATACAAAAAATTAGCCGGGCTTGGTGGCGGGCACCTGTAGTCCCAGCAACTCAGGAGGCTGAGGCAGGAGAATGGCGTGAACCTGGGAGGCGGAGCTTGCAGTGAGCCGAGATCGCGCCACTGTACTCCAGCCTGGGTGACAGAGCGAGAATCTGTCTTAAAAAAAAAAAAAAAAAAAAAAAGGACGATAAATGATTCTAGAAATACTAATAAAGATCTTTGTGAAGGACTGTCTTCAGAATTTTAAGTCATACTTCTGATACTTTAAGATGAATAGCTTGTTACATGAAACTAGGGACAGTGGTTAACAATGGTTAACAGTGTCTTGTGCTAGAAGGTTGTAATTATAGTGGATGGTTAGGGAGAAGCTTAAGCTTCTTACCATGTTTTCAAATGTTAAGAATTTTGCTAGAGAGAATGAGAGAAAAAAATCTATTAAGGAGATACTCTTAAGGCGGTGGTTTCTAAAATTATTATCTCAGTTTATCCTTTAGATTTTTGCCACATCTAAATAGCCTCTCTACTGAAATATACTTAGTATTTCACTATTTTTTAAAATGAGTTAACTTAAAAAAAACCTTGCCTCTTCCTAAGCGTGATTATTAGTGAGGTGTCATGAATTTTATTTGCAAGTTACAATTTTCTAATATACATTATACACATTAAAAATAATTACATAATTATTAAAATGAAAAGCTTTATATACTTAATACTTAAAATCATCTTGTGAACCATCAGTTGTACACATTCCACACACAAGATAGTGGTTCCTAATTATGCAGAAGGTAAGAAGACAAATTATCAGTTTTAGCAAAGGAGCAGAAAATCTTTTATAAACAAAAAAGACTTATAAAGTGGGTCTCTTCAAAATCAATAGCTCATTAATTTTTTTTTTTTTTTCTTGGAGACTGAGTCTCACTCTGTTGCCCAGGCTGGTGTGCAGTGGCGTGATCTTGGCTCACTGCAACCTTCGCCTCCTGGGTTCAAGTGTTTCTCCTGCCTCAGCCACCCGAGTAGCTGGGATTACAGGTGTGCGCCACCACGCCTGGTTAATTTTTGTATTTTTAGTAGAGACGGGGTTTCACCATGATGGCCAGGCTTGTCTCAAACTACTGACCTCAAGTGATCTGCCCACCTCAGCTGCCCAAAGTGCTGGGATTACAGGCATGAGCCACCGTGTCCAGCCTCATTAATCTTTAAATCTAGTTTTCATGTTTTTACTTTTAAGTACTTTTTTTGTTTAATACTTTTTTTGGGAAATGAGGTCTGTCTTTGTTGCCTGGGCTGGTCTCAAACTCCTGGGTTCAGGTGAGCCTCCTGCCTAAGCCTCCCAAGTAGTTGGGACTAGAGGTGTAAGGCATCATGCCCTGCTTAACTTTAAATACTCTCAGAGATCCTAACCTGCTGTGTTTCTTTCTAATTGGCACCTTACAAACAACAACAACAACAATGAAGTAAACTTTTCTGGTGAGGCATTGTTGTATTACAAAACTTTTGTTCTTTAGTGCTTGCTGAACTCAAGAGAACATTCCTGATGATGAAATTGTGATTTTTGACTTAGAAAAGTAATCATGGCATCAAGCTTCTTAAGGCAAATACTATAATCAGATTAAATTGTTCTGTGTTTTAAATGTAAAATATACTTAACAAATGTAATAAGTCAATAAATATTGATTTTATTTCTGAGAAGTCAATGTTTCTACTTTCTTTTGAATAATAGCTGAAGTCTGGGATCAAGAGTTTGACCCCGTCATGGTCATTCTTCGAACAGTTTACCGTAGAGATGTGCAGTCTGCAATGGACAGATATACTGCATTGTAAGTCCATCAAATTGATTAGCATCATAACAGTATTTTATATTTATATGGAAAAATTTCAGTGATAACACAGATATGATATGCTCTCATTAAAGTATACTTTCATTCTTTAAAGGTGAAAATAATAATTTAAGGTTTAAAAAATAATCTGGTGGAGATTTATGTTAAGATCTTTATCCAAAATTTGATGTTAATCTGATAAATTTAGAACATGATCACTAAATTAAAAAACAGAAACTTATTTAGTTGCTGTTCCATCAGTGGAATTAAAGGCTTGGTTTTGTGTTGTTCTACTTTTGAACCAGTAGGGGAGGCACAAGTTAAGAGAATAGAATTCTCTGACATCAGAGATGGTGACGGGTGTCTGTAATAAGTGAACATATTTCTGTGTTCATGACAACTGGGAAAATAGCCAAAGCAAAATTAATTTTACTTGTAAATATTTAACAAAATAGTTTACGGTATTGATGACTGCAGAAGACAAAAATTTTGAAAGATATCTTTTAAATGCAGAATTCAATTTTGTATGTTATTGTAAATTGTAGACCATTGTAAATGTATTATTTCACCTCTTTTTAAACCTTAATAGTTAATATTATATTGCCAAATATCACAAGATATCATCTTTTACTTGTGCTTTCCTACAGCTAAAGTTAAACATTTAAAAAGCAAGTTTAAATGATGCAAATGTCCTTGATTTTGAGAAAGTATTAGTACTTATCCAGATAACTATCAAAGTGAAACTTCTCTTTTGCCAAGACTTTGCAGTAATAGAAATATCTATCACAGACAAATATCTGAAGAAAATTTTTAATGTGGAATTTTAATTCACTTCCTCCCCCAAACAAAACCAAAACGATCTTTAAATCAATAACAACAACAACAACAACAACAACAACCCAGTTCAGCCATCGGCATCTCTCTCTCCGTTTCTCTAAACCCTTGGAGAAATTAGACTGAGGTTCTCTTTCTCTGGTTTCTTAACTCCCTCTTTTTCTGCTTTTCATATAGTTTTGTAAAAATGTACTTGCTTGTAGTCTTTTACTTAACTCTTAGCTCCTTGAGGGAATATATTTTTATCTCTGTATCTCGTCTACATCTTTAATACTTATCTCAATTCTGGCACTTAGTAGGTATTCATAATATATTTGTTGAATAAATAAATTTGAGTAATTCCTGTTGAAAAATTGAAAAATGAAGAAAATTGGGAAGAAGCATTTGCATGGAAAACCTTATTGAGACTTCATAAACACCAGTCTTAAATGGCTCTGCCTTTTTTTCAGGGTAGTGATGATGGTTAGTTGTTTTGAATGTATAAGAATTAAGTAAATTTTATTCTCTTTTACTTTGTAGTTACTAGAAATTTGTACTGAGATTGGGCTGAAACTTTCAAAGCTTTGAAGGAATCATTAAATAATGTAATCAATTTTAAATGGGAAATTTTATTTAACAGTACATATTTATTGAATGCTCTGCCTCGGCCTCCCAAAGTGTTGGGATTACACACATGAGCCACCGTGCCTGGCCGATTTGTTTGCTATTGATCATTTTCATCTGCTTTTTAATTTTAAGGGACAAAAAGTGGCTTAACTGATTATACTGGGAGGGATCTTTTCTTATTTGTAAGCAGGCCTTTTGGAGGTCATCTTGCAAACTAAAATGAAAAATGGTCAGATAAATTTAAACTTTTGTGTTCTCACAATTTAGCTCTGTGCCAGGCACTTTAAAGGCAATCAGTAAATATTTGTTAAACGAATGAAAAGTAGATTTCTTTCAGTTTTTGTGCTGAGAGTTTAAGTGAAAGTAAGCCGTTTGCTTTATGTGATGCTTAGATGCTTAGAATTTTAGGCTCTTATTGCTGGAAAAGGCCTTTAAGATCTAGTCCAGGTTTTATAAAAGCGTCTTGTGGGCCATCACTGGAAGACAGAGTTGGGCAACAGCAAGAAGAGGCTTAAGCGAGTGAAAGTGGCTCATCCTGCTTCCCTCACTCCCTTCCAAATACCCCTGAGTGGGCATTCAACTCTTAAAAAGAAAACAAAAACAATACAACAACAACAAAGCAAACCAGCAGTTGGAAAACCATCCATTCATTTCAGTGTTATATTTTATATATGAAGACATTGTGGCTCAGAAAAGCTCAGTGAAAATATGTCTGTTTTTTGTTTGTTTGTTTTTGAGACAAGGTCTCACTTTGTCACCCAGGCTGGAGTGCAGTGGCGTGATCATAGCCCACTGCAGCCTCCAACTTCTGGACTCAAGTGATCTTCCCATCTTACCCCCCTGAGTAGCTAGGACTACAGGTGCACACCACCATGCCTGGCTAATTGTTTAAAAGTGTTTTGTAGAGGTGGGTTCTTGCTATATTGCGCAGGCTGGTGTTGAACTCTTAGTCTCAAGTGATCTTCCTGTCTCAGCCGCCCATAGTGCTAGGATTATAGATGTGAGCCATTGTGCCCAGTGAAATATGTCTGACAGTGGCAGTGTTGTTAGAACTATGAGCTAGGCCATTTCCAAAGATAGAAATGATTTCATAAAGCATCTGTTTTAAATTCAACTGTAAAGTACATTTTTTAAAATATGTAATTTCTTATATTTCTGTTGCCTCCTGTCTCCCATCTTGAAGGTTAATGGCTGCTGCCCCATGTTTGAAAGTATGATGTATGAGTTTATATATATCATTTTTGTCTCAAACTAGTCAATAATTACGTGTTGGTTTGAGTCACTTAAATAATTTTTTTCTGTCATGTAGCATTTCATTTGCATTATTCTATTAATGCTTTTGAAAAGAGCAGTCAAAATGATGTATTACTTGGGCCTTCAACAAATATATAACCTTTATTTTGGAACAATTTATTAATCTAGGTGCCACATATTTAGTGGCTACTGCTTAAAGCAAACAAAGAAATGAAGTAAAATTAAAAATTGCTTTTTTTATGCTAAATGAAATAGAATAGTTGAAATATTTCATCATGACTATTGGGATCATTTTGAAAATTACATTTATATGTTGTCACTGTAGTATTATATACAAACCAATTTATTTATTTTTTATTTATTTTTATTTTTTTGAGATGGAGTTTCACTTTTGTTGCCCAGGCTGGAGTACAATGGCATGATCTCGGCTCACCGCAACCTCTGCCTCCCGGATTCAAGCGATACATCCGCCTCAGCCTCCCTAGTAGCTGGGATTACAGGCATGCGCTACCATGCCCGGCTAATTTTGTATTTTCAGTAGAGATGGGGTTTCTCCATGTTGGTCAGTCTGGTCTCGAACTCCCGACCTCAGGTGATCCGCCCACCTTGGCCTCCCAAAGTGCTGGGATTACAGGCGTGAACCACCGTGCCTGGCCCAGAAACCAATTTTTTTAAATGCAAAGTTAATTTTATAGCATCTTCATAATCATAGGTACAGCATATTTCTCTGATATATTAATGATAGTTTTCTTATTTTGAAGATTTTTTTTCTTCATTCTATGTAGTATTTGTTTCCTCTAAGATGCGTTTTCTTTTTATTATTATTATTATTATTATACTTTAAGTTCTAGGGTACATGTGCACAATGTGCAGGTTTCTTACATATGTATACATGTGCCACATTGGTGTGCTGCACCCATTAACTCGTCATTTACATTAGGTATATCTCCTAATGCTATCCCTCCCCACTCCCCCCACCCCACAACAGGGCCCGGTGTGTGATGTTCCCCTTCCTGTGTCCAAGTGTTTTCATTGTTCAATTCCCACCTATGAGTGAGAACATGCGGTGTTTGGTTTTCTGTCCTTGCGACAGTTTGGTCAGAATGATGGTTTCCAGCTTCATCCATGTCCGTACAAAGGACATGAACTCATCCTTTTTTATGGCTGCATAGGATTCCACGGTGTATATGTGCCACATTTTCTTAATCCAGTCTATCATTGTTGGACATTTGGGTTGGTTCCAAGTCTTTGCTATTGTGAATGGTGCTGCAATAAACATACATGTGCATGTGTCTTTATAGCAGCATGATTTATAACCCTTTGGGTATATACCCAGTAATAGGATGGCTGGGTCAAATGGTATTTCTAGTTCTAGATCCTTGAGGAATCACCACACTGACTTCCACAATGGTTGAACTAGTTAGTGTAAAAGTGTTCCTACTTCTCCACATCCTCTCCAGCACCTGTTGTTTCCTGACTTTTTAATGATCGCCATTCTAACTGGTGTGAGATGGTATCTAATTGTGGTTTTGATTTGCATTTCTCTGATGGCCAGTGATGATGAGCATTTTTTCATATGTCTGTTGGCTGCATAAATGTCTTCTTTTGAGAAGTGTCTGTTCGTATCCTTCGCCCACTTTTTGATGGGGTTGTTTGATTTTTCCTTGTAAATTTGTTTAAGTTCTTTGTAGATTCTGGATATTAGCCCTTTGTCAGATGAGTAGATTGCAAAAATTTTCTCCCATTCTGTAAGTTGCCTGTTCACTCTGATGGTAGTTTCTTTTGCAGTGCAGAAACTCTTTAGTTTGATTAGATCCCATTTGTCAATTTTGGCTTTTGTTGCCATTGCTTTTGGTGTTTTAGACATGAAGTTCTTGCCCATGCCTGTGTCCGGAATGGTATTGCCCAGGTTTTCCTCTAGGGTTTTTATGGTTTTAGGTCTGACATTTAAGTCTTTAATCCATCTAAGATGCATTTTCTATTGTTCAGTCTCTAGCTTTCAAGTTAGAGGCATTCCCCAGATGTCTGACAATGTTGACTGCTTGTTATTAAGAGTTCTTGAGTGCATTGGTGGAACTAGTAGATTCTGAATTTTAATATAGGGTGATTTGGGTAGGCAGGTTGGTTGAGAAGCACTTGTGTTAGATCTTTCTTTTTGGCCTGGTCAGATTCCTCAGGGAAGTATCCTCAGATATTGCCCAGAAGGAAATGGTATTGGTGCTATTATTCTGTAAACGGATTGAGAGACAAGGCCTAGGGACTCTGAGTCAAATACTTATATGATGATTTTAATCTCTCATCCTCATATCCTCAATTGTACTTGCTATTTGATCCTCCCCAGAGATGAGTTCTGTAGCCAAAATTCTGTTTCAGTGGTGGAAAGGCAGTTTTCATCCGATCCTCCTTATTTTAGCCCCTTGCCTTCCCACCTCCATTTATAAAGGTATCAGGTGCTGCCAATTTTGTTGCTCATTTTTTAATTGCACTTTTTATTATTGAGTTTTAAGACCTCTTCATATATTCTGAATACTAGACTTATCAGTTATATGATTTGCAAATATTTTCTTTCTCCTTTTTTTTTTTTTTTGAGACACTGTCACTCTGTTGCCCAGGCTGGTGGCATGATCACAGTTCTCTGCAGCCTTGGGCCTTCCCAGGCTCATGTGGTCCTGATTGGCTTCCCGAGTAGCTGGGACTACAGACATACGCCATCACACATGGCTAATTTTTGAATTTTTTGTAGAGATGGGGTCTCTACATGTGTTGCCCAGGCTGGTTTGATCTCTGCAGCTTAAGTGATCTGCCTGCCTCAGCCTCCCAAAGTGTTAGGATAACAGGCATGAGCCATTGTGCCCGGTCTGTAAATGTTTTCTGTCATTCTGTGGATTGTCTTTTTCACTTACTTGAAAGTGTTCTTTGGGTCACAAATGTTTTAAATTTTGATGAATTCCAATTTTTTTCTTTAATTTTCCTGTTTGTTGCCTAAATTAATTTAATTTTCCTTCTGTTGCCTAAATCAAGGTCACAGATACCTAAACCTATGTTTTTCCCCAAGAGTTTTATGCCTAAAAATATAAAACTAAAGCTGAAGCTTTTACATCAAATTCTCTGGTCGATTTTGAGTTAGTTTTTATGTATGCTGTGAGGTAGTGGTCCAACTTAATTCTTATTCATGTGGTGTTCCTTTGAGTTTTAATAGACCTTGCCTGTTCAACAACCTGGGCCTCATACATCTTTTTTTGTGGATAACTTAAAACTACACATTCACTTTCTTTAAAGGTTTTAGGCTTGCTTAGGTTATTTCTTGAAAAAAATTACTAAGTTATATTTTTCTAAGAAATCTTTATTTTACGTTTATATTTAATGATTAAAAAAATCTTCCTTGTGTTTTTATTCCTATTATTTATTTGTGTTTGCTATTTCTTATTTTGAATTAGGTGTCATATGAGATGATTATCAGTTTTACTATGTTTTCTAAGAACCAAGTTTTGATTGTCTCTCTCCTCCCACCCCCATTTTCTATTTCATTCTTATTCTTTTTTCCTCTATTACTTATTAACTTTTTTTTTTTTTTGAGATGGAGTCTCGCCCTGTTGCCCAGGCTGGAGTGCAGTGGCAGGATCTCTGCTCACTGCAAGCTCCATCTCCCAGGTTCATGCCATTCTCCTGCCTCAGCCTCCTGAGTAGCTGGGACTACAGGCGCCTGCCACCACGCCCGGCTAATTTTTTGTATTTTTTTTTTTTTTAGTAGAGACAGGCCTTCACCATGTTAGCCAGGATGGTCTCGATCTCCTGACCTCGTGATCCGCCCACCTCAGTCTCCCAAAGTGCTGGGATTACAGGTGTGAGCCATCGTGCCAGGCCTTTTTTTTTCCTTTTTTGAGACAGTCTCACTCTGTCTTCCAGGCTGGTGTGTAGTGGTGCAATCTTGGCTCACTGTAGCCTTTAACTCCTGGGCTCAAGCGATCTTCCCACCTCAGCCTCCTGAGTAGCTGGGATTACAGGGGTGCATCACCATGCTTGGCTAATTTTTGTATTTTTTGTAAAGACAGGGTTTCATCATGTTGCCCAGGCTGGTCTTGAACTACTGAGCTCAAAGTGATCTGCTTGCCTTGGCCTCCCAAAGTGCTGAGATTACAGGTGTGAGCCACTATGCCAGGCCATTATTATCTTCTTTCAATTTAGTTTGGATTGTCTTTTTTCCTTTTCTTGGATACTTGGTCATTGCTGTTGTTTCAGTGCATTTGGTTTTCATTTTTAATTACTCCCTTTTAATTTTTATTGTTATAGATTTTAAAAATATTTTTAATTGATATATCTTAGCCTTAACATTACCTTTTACACAGTATTTGAAGATACTTCTCTGATAGTTTCATACATGTATACAATGTGTAATGATCAAATCAGGGAAATTGGGATATTCATCACCTCAAACATTTATCTTCTTTTTATGTTGGGAACATTACAGTTCTTCTAGCTATTTTGAAATATAAAATACATTATTATTAACTATAATTTGGATGCTTAGTTGTTGATTTTTTAACAAATGTATGGATTTTAAGGCTATGTATTTCCTTCTAAGTACTACTTTAGTTGTGGCCCACAACTTTTTCTATATAGTTTAGGCTTTAAATTTTTCTGTTATGATTTTTAATGGCTTCTGAATTTCTAAGAGCATAGCGCCTTAAAATGTCTGCATGTCTGGAGTTTTGAGTTATATTTTTAAGTTGGTTTCTAGTTTTATTTGCTATGTGACAAGTGAATGTGGTTCATGTATCTGTTTTTTTGATATTTTTGAGATTTACTTTGCATTCTACATAGTCAATTTTTATAAATATTCTAAGCGCTGTTAAAATTATGTGTATTCACTACTTGTTGCATGTTGCCTTTGCCCATGCTTCTTAATTGTGTTGTTAAAAATCTTAAAACTGTTTACCAATGTTTTTCTGGCTCTCATTTAGATAAGTATGTTAATATCCTTTACTATGGTTGTAGATTTGTCGTTTTCTCTGTGTAATTCCCTCAAAATTTGCCTTTTGTATTATGAGGCTGCTATTACAGTTGTCCCCTCTTATCTGTGGTTTAGTTTTCTGTACTTTCAGTTACCTGTAGCCAATGGCTGTCCGAAAATATTAAATGGAAAATTCCAGAAATAAGTAATTTATAGATTTTAAATTATATGCCATTATAAGCAGGATGATGAATTCTTGTGCCATCCTGCTCTGTCCCACCTGGAATATGGATTGTTCCTTAGTCCAGTGTACCATGCTGTATATACTACTCACTTGTTAGTTATTGACATTGTCTGCTCCTGACATCCAGCCATCACATTGTCATGGCCTGATGATTCAGGATCACCTGAAGCAGATATTCCTCCTTCTGATGACATGTTGTTAGAAGGTCATTAGTAGCCCGATACCATGTCACAGTGCTTACCATCATTCACTTCACTTCATCTCATCACATAGGCATTTTATCATCTCATATCATCCCAAGAATAACAGGAGTGAGTATAGTACAATGGTCCCCCTCTTATCCTCAGGACATGTTCCAAGACCCACAGTGGATGCCTGAAATGAGGGATGGTATCCAAACCCTATATATACTATGTTTTTCTCCTACAATACATACCTATGATAAAGCTTAATTTATAAATTAGAGATAGTGAGAGATTAACAGTAATAACTAAAGATAAAATAAAACAATTATAACAATACTCCGAATGGCATCCAATTGAAAACCTGTGAATTATTTCTGGAGATTTTCATTTAATATTTTCTGACCATGGTTGACCATGGGTAACTGAAACTGTGGAAAGTGAAACTAGGTATAAGGGGGACTACTATACATAAGGTATTTTGAGAGAGAAAGCATGTACACATTCACCTAACTTTTATTACAGTATATTGCTGTAATCTATTATCACTTACTGTTGTTAATCTCTTACTGTGTCTAATTTATAAATTAACCTTTATCATAGGTATGTATGTGTAGGAAAACATAGTATGTAGAGAGTTTGTTATTATCCATATTTTCAGGCATCTACTGGGGGCTTTGGAACGTGTTCCCTGAAGATAAGAGGGGACTACTGTATTTGCATACAAGTTCATAATTATCTTCTTGGGGAACTTGTTCTTACATCCCAGAAGAGACAGACAAGCTAATTCATTCTCCTTGTGAGTTACTCTTTCAGTGAGGGTAAAGCCTGTCAAGGGTCTCAGCTTTAGATGGGATATCAGTTCTATCTCTGAGCCTTGTGTGAGCCCAACATACCTTGTGATCTGTTTGCTCAAGGACTTTAAAACCACTGGCACAGTGTTAGTGCTTGTCATTAATTCCTTCTTTTTTTCTGGTAACTGGAGAATTCCACTTTTGTGTGAGCTCAAATACGCATTCAAAAGATTACATTTATATTTTATCCAGCTTTTCCAACCATTCGTAGTGGGAGAATTTTCAGGTCGTCTATTTTGCTTAATCGTTACAGCTGGAAATTTCCTTGCTGAGTACTTCATGTGTATTCTTTCTGTTCATTTCTCTTTGTTAGCACTTTAAAGTTTATATATTTTTTAATTTTCAGCTTAGCTCTCTTTACTCATCTTTAGCCATTAGGAAAAGAAATAGTAATGTTCATTGTGTAGAGAATAGATACCTCTTTGGCATTTTAAGCAATTTGATTAAAAATAGCACTGCATAAAATATTGTGACAGAAATTGGTGTCTATAAATTACATTTAAACCACAGTTTGATTTTGAGGCTATCATCTAATTCTAGTTTTGTTTTATTTTTACAGTTTAAAACAGAGTGGAAAATTTCCTGGAAATCCCTGGCCTCCATATAAGAAAAGGACATCACTCCATCCTAGCTATAAAGGTCTTATGAGACTTTTGCACTGTAAAACTTTACACATTGTGCTATTCACTCTGCTTTACAAGGTACAGTAGTAATTTGAATAGAAAGACTAAGCTTAGAATTTATTTTCAAATAATAATCCTAAAGGATAATATTTACATAAAAGTACCACTTATAAAGCAAAGTGTATTTATGCATTTAAGATGTATGAAGATATGTTATAATCACATGTATTTGAAATCCAAGTTGAACATAACAGAATAGCTACAGCATTCTTTGTGAGAAACTATTTATCTTATCTAGCTACCGATAAAAGTATTTATTTATGGATTCTGTAGAACAGTAAGTGAAATACCGTGGAACTACAGGAGGTGTGGAATGAGCTACAGGGACCAAACAACCATCAGAACCCACTAAAATGACAAAACTAGAATGGCAGTTATGTGAGGCAGTGAATCTTAGGTTGGGGGGTTCTTTTTGCTTTTTCCCTCTAATCAGGAAAGTGACGTGGAAGGATTTGAGTGTGGTTTCTATGTGGCAAGATCAAAAATTGTTTTTGATAAACATTTTAGGAACTAACAAGATGATGCTTTTACTTGCTTGTTATCTAAAATTTGTTTTATTTTGGGATCTTCTCACGTAAGACAGATTTATTTGACTAACATTAATTGTGTACTCAAAAACTTGTGTGAAGCATAATATTGTATAGTATGTATGTGTGTATATAATAGGGATTTTTATAATCTCATCTGCATGAAAGATGAAAGAAGGCTGGGCGCGGTGGCTCACGCCTGTAATCCCAGCACTTTGGGAGGCTGAGGTGGGCAGATCACGAGGTCAGGAGTTCGAGACCAGCCTGGCCAACATGGTGAAACCCTGTCTCTACTAAAAATACAAAAATTAGGTGGGTGTGGTGGTGGGCGCCTGTAATCCCAGCTTCTCAGGAGGCCAAGGCAGGAGAATTGCTTGAACCCGGGAGGTGGAGGTTGCAGTGAGCCCAGATTGTGCCACTGCACTCCAGCCTGGGTGACAGAGCAGGACTCCAACTTGGAGGGGGAAGAAAGATGAAAGAAAAAAGAAAATAACTATACTCATGTAGATAATATAACTATATAGACATGATAAATGTTATGCAGGTAGATACAAAGAAAACCTATTGTTCTTCTTCCTAATTAGAATTTGAAAAATTAAAAATTAAAAGAAATTCAAAGAAAAATGAGAATATTTGTTATACAAATTTCCAATTACTATGTACAATCATTTAACACATTATTTAAGAAAGTATGTATTTAGTTAGGTAGGAATTTTATTTTTTTTCTTAATCTTATAATGAAATAGTACTTTTAAATTTCTATACTTCTCTTCCTTTCAACCCTACCCGTGACCAATTTTTCAGTGTACTTGTTTCTAAAGTTTTCCTGTTACGATTTTGGACAGGTGCCTCAAAAAACACCTTGGGTGGTTTATTTTCATTAACTTCCAAGAGGGTTATTCAGTAATTGATTTAAAATGCTCTTTTTCTTTATTAAAAAATGTAGAATATCTTTTTGTACTGAAAAGATATTTGTATTTGTTTTACAAATAATGGACAGTCTTTGAATGTTTACTTAGTGCCAGATTTTGTTTGAAATGCTTTATATATACTTGTAGACATTATTTTGTTTAAGCTAGCAAAAATCCTTATAAGTGAAAGTTCTGTTATTATTCTCCTTTTTCAGATATGAAATTGAGTTTTAGAAGTTAAATAACTAGTTCAGATGGGGAAGCTAAGTACTGTTATAAGTAATAATTAATAAGTGACAAGTAATTCATGAAAAATTAAGGAAGCCTTATGGCAAATTATTTATTATGCTCTTTCAAGTTATATTTTTCAATTTTTTGTATGCTAAATGTACAAATAGTATTTTATGAAAAATAAAAAGACAATGTTTTAGTTGTTACAAGACTATTATAAATGAATTTTTCTCAACTTTAAAATAACTTTCTTGATTTTACTACTAGTAATAATAAAGTTCTCCATTGACATTGCGTTGGCAAGTCAACTTTTTAAAAATCAATTTTAGTAAACCACCTTTATCTTCTGACATGTTTAATGTCAAAATAAAACTCCCTGGAAACATCATTTTTATTTCTTTTTTTTTTTTGAAGTACCTAATAGAGGGATGTTTTCCTCTTTAGCTCTGAAGTTACTCAATTAAAGCTGTAATCCCACAAGCTGTGAAGTGAAAATTTAATTGAATTTAGCTGGTAATGTTTTATTTATCAAGAGGAGATAGTATAGTAATGATAGTCAGTGGCCTGGGGGTCTGAGGTCTGTGTTCTAGTGTTGCTTACACTAGCTAGCTGGTTGTGTGGCTGAGCCTTGGTTTTCTCTCCATAACATAGTGGATCAGAAAGGATGACTTCTGTGGTCTCCCAGCCTTCAGTCTCCTCCTGCTGCTGCCTCTGCTCCTCACATCATTGGCACCACCCACTCACTATTTGTTGAACACCCATTGCTAGACACTATACAAAGCAAATGACAGATATTAACTCATGCAATCCTTACAACAATTCTGGGCTATAATTTCAGTTTTATTTTTCTTTCTTTTAGTTTTTTTTTTTTTGGTTGGGGATGGGACAAGTGAAAGGGCTAGGAGGGGCTCTATAATTCCAATTTTAGAGATAAGAAAACTAAGACCAGAGTCTGTTGCTGAAGGTCAACTAGGAATAGACAGAAATTTGTTTAAAAATCTGTTTTTTAAAAGGTTTTGAATGCCTATGCTCTTCACCACTGTGCCACACAACAGATGAATATAGAAGCCCTCTGAATAGTCAGAAAAACATGAGAGAGTCAGTGACTTGAAAGTCTCTCTATTCTTTAATTGTGGTAGGTTAGGTCTTAAGCAATTAAGACCTCCTTTCCAAGTCCCCTCAGCCATCTGGGCAGCTTCTGTGAGGCTCAGCTTATCCTGTCCTCTTTTTTGCTCTCTGCTATCTCGCCCACAATTAAAACTGCTGCTGCCTACAGAATTTCTTCCTTTCATCCTTTCCATCATTTGGCCAGATGACTTTTATAATGAGGACAAGATGATATCTGCCAGGCCATTTTGTTACTTGTGGTATTTTAGGTATCTTCTGGTTAGTGGTCTGTTATATCATATTGAATGAGTGATTGGTGTAGGTAGCCCAGAAATCCTGTGTAAGATGTATAAGGCTTGTATTGAGTAATCTATAGGTCAGATGTATCAAATTTTCCTCAGAGAAGCCTTTTTACTAACCACTTGCATTCCTTCTACCTTTCTCCTCCATATAAATCCCACACTGACATACATAAGAATGTAGCTACTCAAAATACTCAGAGGCTCAGAACTTTAATTTTAGAGACATATTTTTAAGAACATTAATGTACCATAAACATTTATTGTGCTGCCAGTTATATGCCAGGTGCTGTGCTAAACACATTTGCATGGATTATCCTATTTGGTAAACTTATTTATCTGATGGCCTTGTCATCAAGAGAAGAGTGTCAGCAAATTAGGATATAAAAATATTCTTATTAAATTATTTTATTAAATACTTATATTCGTATGAATTTTTTTAGTGGACTCTGACATACCTTTAGAAAATTTGTGAACTGGTATTTCTAGATATTAAAGTACTTTTCGTCTAGAACAGTAAAATATTTTTGGATCTCTAAATGAAATACCTTTTGTGGAAAAAAGTAATTATGAGGCATTTTCTTCCCTTTTTAAAGATTTTGATGGATCATCAAAATCTGTCAGAACATGTACTCTGCATGGTTTTATATCTGATTGAATTAGGACTTGAAAATTCTGCTGAAGAAGAATCAGATGAAGAGGTAAGTAGTTTTTATAATTTAAAATTTTTAGATAGGCAGCCCCTATCTGGCTCCAACCAATTGTTGCCAAACCAGGCATGTTATACTTTTCCTAGTTATGACATACCTTAGGAAAATGTATTTGTGAATTCATCTTGAGGTGTATTTATGTTTTCATCAGACTCATAAGATCTTTTAAAGAACTACTAGAAAAGGCCCTTTGGGATCTTCAAATACGTACAGTTTTTTAGGGCCTTCATTGATACATTAAATTCTATTATGGAATTATTGAATTTGAAATTTGTAATTCCTATCACAAAAATTAAGAAAAATGTTTAATGCATTTTTGGTGTTATGCTAAGAAAATTGATTATTGGCAAACAATTACCAGTAATCAATAAATAACCAGTAAAACTGAAGTTAGGACTTAGCTCCAAAAATTCTAATAATTTGATTAGGGATTATTTTTGAGTAACAAATTCTTCCTGTAAAGGTTTGAAGGTAATGGCATGAATATTGTTATATGGGAGAATGTTTAAAGTACTTAAAAGTTGTTACTTTGTTTCAGGACTTTAGAAGTATTGTGTCCATAAAAGCAATTGTTACTACAAATTAGTTTTACTAATGTGTAAGATTCTCCTCATCTCTTCCCTCCTAAATGACAAAATATAACACAGCATAATAATAGCAAAAACAAGTTAAAGAAACCACTTTGTAGTTCTTTGTAGTCCAAGTTGAATCAACATATGTTCTTTCATAGATTTTAAAAGGTTATAAAGATTCCTCTATGATTAGTGATACCTTTGGTTGATTTTTCAATTTCCTCCCAATTTGTCCAAATTAGCATTATTTGTATTACTAATGGGTGAGGATGAATATTCTGTAATGTTCAGTATTCTAGATTGAAAAATGTATTTAAAAATGTATTTTAAATCAGGAATTTAGCTGATTCCATTGGACATACCCATATTAGTATTGAGATATTCCTGCATTTTTTGTTTGAATTTGGTTTTATTATTTAAATTTATTCACTTTATAATTTGTGGATGAGACAATAAGGGATTCAGGATTATGATAGGCAGTGGATGATTTTGGGGGGCTTGTTACATCTCCATTGTACCTTGGACGTGATGTGGCAAGACTTGATATTCATTTTTTTTTTTATTTTAGGCATCAGTGGGTGGACCAGAACGTTGTCATGACAGTTGGTTTCCTGGCAGTAACTTAGTGTCAAACATGCGACACTTTATAAACTATGTTAGAGTAAGAGTTCCAGAGACTGCTCCTGAAGTAAAGAGAGACTCACCTGCAAGTACTAGCTCTGATAACTTGGGTTCTTTACAAGTAAGTGTAAATGTAAGAAAGAAAATAAGAAAAAGCTTTATGTTATGTATGTTATGTTGGGATATACTGTTCCTATAATATCCAAAAGAAAAAAAAATGTGGTTGTAGATAACTTTAAATTGTCTTTTATTTCCTCTGATATATCTATGTAACTTCTACCTTACCAGTCTTTTTCCCTTAATCTGCCAGAGTTCACGACGGCCTAAAGTTCTTCAAAGAGAGGTAGATGTGTATGATATTTTCATTAACTAGCAACATGGCTTTAACTGGAAATGGGGAAAAACCGCTTTGAAGTATTTGTGTGTGTATGGGTGTTTAATTAATATGGTTAAATTTAAAAGAAGGTTTCTTGGATTTATGTGTGTTTTTTTTTTTTGACAAAGTGATTTAAGCTTAATATTAAAGAAAATTTATATTATTGAGCTTAAAAATAATACTGAGTATAATAGTGTATTTTTCTTATTAGTGTTCGAAGTATTTTGGACCAATTATAGGTAGCATATTTGAGTCTCTTTACATTCATCATTGCCACTGTATTACTAACATCTTAAAAATGACTTGGATATTTTCTAAATTAAAATAAATTTAATTGCTAGCAGCATGCTCATTTGCAAATAACTTTTTTTTTGCTTCTATGGCAATTAACTTTGATAAAATAAGCCTATAAAGTCTTAAATTCTGTATATTATGGCTTTGGACTCATTTTGAAAATCAGCGCTCTCATTGCATGTAAGTTAACTTTTAAAAAGCAGTAATGAAAAATCTTGAAATGACATTGTAAGTAAGTAAACTTAAGCAGTTTTAGTCTCCACAACCTAGATTTTCGTGAGTAGAGAACATTGAATCAGACATTTCTTCTAGTAGAGTCTATTTGTAGGAGCTTTCTTGGTCTTTGACAACGTGTTTTCACTGTAAGCAAAAACTGGAAACTCTGTAAGAGGCTTTTGCCTCTAATGCTGGTAGAGAGTACTTTAAAAAACAGCTTGGATGTTAAAAAATAGTGTATACTGTCATTTAACTCACAAAAGCTCAACTGATATTACAGCATCCTTTCTATGCTCGCTTTTAAAAAATAAATTCATTAAACTGACTCATATCTTAATTAAAAGATGTTTTCTGAGAGCCCTGGTGCAGTTTGATTGCTTTAGCAAAAAAGCTTTTTAGGAGATGAATTATTGAGGAAAATACTTAGTTTAAAAAAAAAACTGTTCAAAAAACAAATCATAGTCCTTGACCCACAAACCAAAAACAAATCAAAAACAAATCACAAATCACAGTTTTAATTTCATATTAAAATTTAATAAAACAAATTAAATTTCATATTAAAATATGAAAGTTTGATTTTTCATCCTTATATTTCAATTTAGTAACTTTAAGCATTTATGTTAGAATTTTCAAACTTTAAAGTTCCTTAAAAGTGAAATTAATTACTAGTTCAGATTTATTAGCTTAGAAAATTTTTTTAAAAACTAATTTATAATTTTCTTAACTGGAAACTTTAGCAGTCTTCCAGAAGTTAGTAAGGAGTATCCTATTCTTCATGAATGTTGACCAGAACAGCTTTTCCTCTTTTAAAGTAATGAATAATTTAGTTTATGATTCTCTTTAATATGGCTGTAGATACTACTTAAGCTTTGTCTGTTTTCAGAAGGTTGAAAAGGAGATGTTACTGCTGATGATCTCCTCCTTATTACTGTTTCTAGATTGAGTGGGATTAAATATATTTGAGAGAGAGGTCAAGGGAGAAATTTATTTAAAGAGCAAATCTATTGAATAAATCTTTGTATGAAACTGAGCATTCCCTTTAGAAAATATAGTACTAATATGTTTTTAAAATGATGCTAAATAACTTCTCTTGATTTTTCTTTGTTTCTCTTTGTTAATGGTAGAATTCTGGTACAGCTCAAGTTTTCAGTTTAGTAGCAGAACGTAGAAAGAAATTTCAGGAAATCATCAATCGCAGTAGCAGTGAAGCAAATCAGGTGGTTCGTCCCAAAACTTCAAGTAAATGGTCTGCTCCTGGTTCAGCTCCACAGTTAACTACAGCCATTTTGGAAATTAAAGAAAGCATATTGTCTTTGCTAATTAAACTTCACCACAAACTCTCAGGAAAACAAAACTCCTACTATCCTCCTTGGCTTGATGACATAGAAATTTTAATCCAACCAGAAATTCCTAAATACAGTCATGGAGATGGTATAACTGCCGTGGAAAGAATTTTACTAAAAGCTGCATCGCAAAGTAGAATGAACAAACGCATCATTGAAGAGATATGTAGAAAAGTGACCCCTCCTGTACCACCTAAAAAAGTCACTGCAGCAGAGAAGAAAACATTGGACAAAGAAGAAAGGTAATTTTTATTTTTAATGTTTTAAACGTGTGTATAGTTGAAAATTTGATATTTTCTTCCTTTTGGTCATTTGAGGATAATCACCTGGATGTTTAACAGGAACAGTCATAGCTGATTAGTTTGTAACATAAATGGAATGGAGCATAGTCAGTGCTTGTACATGTGATGTATTGAGTTTATTGATGGACAGGTGAGACTTTCTGACCCCAATGTAAAATTACTACCTTAAACCTGTGTGTCTCTTTGGAAAAATTGCTACTGCTTTTATTGCTGTAGGGATCTAATAATTCTCTTACTGTTAAAGTTGAACTGTTCAGCTTTAAATGAGAATATTAAAAATATTTAAAATATTTCTCAAAATAAAAATCCAACTGCTTTAGTTTCTTTTGGTCTTTTCTAATCTTTATTAATATATGATTGCTGATTTTTAAAAAGTGATGTTTTAAAACACATTCTGACTAACTTATGCTTCTAGCTTTTGGATCTTTAGGTTGCTTATAATTTGTTGTTAAATTATATTTATAAACTTTTTTTTCATCTTTTGACTTTCTTGAAAAAAAAATGGGATTTTTTTAAAATCTCAAGATATATACTATGTTATGTGGGGTTTGTGGGTCAAGGACTATGAGCATGGTTTGGTTCTTTTTTTTAGTGGTACATTGTTTGCCAGAAGAGTTGTGTTACTGTGCATTGTCACAAATTGTTTCCCAAGAGCCTTGTCAACATTGCTGACCCTGCTGTCATAAACATGACAAGGTGAATCTTGAGAGATTGAAACTCTGCATAATTGTCAAACTCTTGGAAAGGGTTCAGTGTTTATTAAAGAAAAAAAAAAAGAGCATGCCTTCTAATGAGTGTACACAGGCTAAAAGACCCAGGACATTTAAAAAAAAGATTTCAGATCAAATTCAAGATAGTCATTGCTCACTTCTCTGAGGTTATAAATAATATTCATTGTTTTAATTTCTTTATTATTTAAGACAAATTTGTCTACCAAAGCAACAATTATAGGGGAAGGGTACACATTTCCCGTTAGGGAGGGTCCAAAGAGATCACATCAATATTATCTTAATTTAAGAACCTAGGACCTTTATCATCTCAATCTGTTTTATATAGGTAAAAATCATTGTCAACAGAGTTATCTGGACTACTGTTGTGAGCAGTATGACTAATACATTATTTAGCAGTTTGAAGTGTACTTTAGAGGTATTTTCTGGATAATTTCATCTTCTTAGTTACTTTTAAAATTAAATATAGGCAGTTATGGGTTAAATGATCAGTGGAAGCAAGCCTAAGATGGATCTTACTTGATTGATCCGTTTCTCATTCATTGGGTGTCAGTCAAGCAGTTTTCTAGACATATCTGTGTCTGGTGTTGGACTTCCTGACCTCGAGGAATTGATACTATAATGGAGAGACAGACTGGTAAACAGATAGTTTGTTAGTAGTGTTAACATAGTGTAACAGATACTATCTTAGGTACACAGGGTGTTAATGGGAGTAGTAGGACATAAGGCTAAGAAGGTAACCATGTATCGTTAACTCGCACAGGGTATAAATGGTTACAGGGAAACTGTGGAAGGATTTTAAGTGAGGAATAATATATAGGGTAATTACATGAGGGTAGATTAGAGTGGGGTAAGACTGGAAATTGGGAGAGCAAGCTACTTAGTCATCTAGTGGGGCAGGTGTGGTAAGGGTCTGAACTAAGACAGTGATGATAATAAAGAGAGGAGGAGATGTGTATGAGATATTTAGCAGGTACAAGTTGTTAGACTCAGTCATCAGGTTGATGTGAGAAATGAGGGAGATGTCTTGAATGGTGCCCTGATTTCTGACTTGAATAATGTTCCTTTTACCAAGATAATGGAGTGTAGGAGGGGTCCCAGGCTCATTAGTAAAAGTGATCTGTTCAGTTCTGGACGCTACTAAGTTTAAGAGGGACACCCAGGTGAAGGTGTCCAGTCAGATATAGGGTTTAAAACTTAAGGGAGAATTCTTAGAGCTACAGATTTGAGCAGCTAGGTAGTAGTAAATCCTTGTATATGGGAGAAGGTTTACAGTAAGAAAATGAGAAGACTGAATGTAGAACTTAAGGGAAAAACATTAAAGGGAATGACTGAGGAAGGGGTACCTACAAAGGTGACTGACGAAGGGATGGCTGAGCAGAGTAAGAGAAAAACTGGGGTGAGTGGCATTAGAGAAGTCACAAGAGGAAGTTCAGAAAGCAAGAAACTTATCAAAATTGTTAAGTGCTACAGGAGTTCAATAAGATTGGCCATCCTATTTGATTTGTTAGTTAGGAGGTCATCCGTTGGTACCTGTATAAGGAGCAATTTTAGTCACATATATAGTTACACTACATCTCTGATGTAATTAAAAGTTTGTTGGGAGGCCGAGGTGAGTGGATCACAAGGTCAGGAGATCAAGACCATCCTGGCCAACATGGTGAAACCTCGTCTCTACTAAAAACATAAAAATTAGCTGGGCGTGGTGGCGTGTGCCTGTAGTCCCAGCTACTAGGGAGGCTGAGGCAGGAGAATTGCTTGAACCTGGGAGACAGAGGTTGCAGTGAGCTGAGATCGCGCTGCTGCACTCCAGCCTGGCGACAGAATGAGACTCCATCTCAAAAAAAAAAGTTTGTTATAAAAAATTTATATTAATATATGCAAAAGCTTATGGTAGATTAAGAATTTAGGAGAATTCCTAAATTGGAGTTATAAAGAACTAACACAAAATTTGTTTCCGTGGGAGAAAGGACATTCAGTAACATATAATTCAGATGACCATTCATTAAGTTTGAATTAGTAATAGCCTAGAATGTAATAAATCTACTGACAAAATTAGAAGGTTGAAAATGAGGTAAGATTGTTATTTTTGTTAATTAGTGGTCTCTCTTAGTGGTCAGATCCTTCTTTCTGTTATATAATAGTATATCCTTTTATTTTGAAAGAAGATAAACAGTGAATCAAAATCTGTTTTTCTTGATTAAGGGAATTTTGTAATTATTACTAATAATGTGATACTGGAGGACATAGTTTAGATGCTGCTTTTACAAAGGCCCTGATGCTATTGTAATAAATAATATTCTAAAAATTTTAAAGGCTTTCTTTGTGATAGGTTTTGTTTTCTTTGAACAATGATGGTATTGACAAGGACTTGAAACTAATTTTGTAGCAGACAGCTAAGGATTAAGATGACTCTATTTGGATCTCACCGTGCTTCTCACATTTGTCTTTCCTCTGGTTTCGTTTTGGATTTTCATAATAAAGGCAGAACAGTTCATAAACACTTAATGAGGATCCATTTCCAAGTACTTCACCTTTAGACAAACTCAGCATCACTTTCATAATAGATTAACTTAATAGAAAACAAGATGCAAGCAGAAAACATTAGATGGTTGTAATAAAATGCAGCTTCAATGTCTTTAACCCAGGAGTTAATGGAAAATTTTTGAGTTGTCCTGAATCTGCCAGAACTTGTATATGTTCTTGTTAATGGCCTTTATTTACATTTATGCCCATTTAGAAAAGCAATAATCTCGATTAAGAAAACATTCACAACAATGACATCCCATTTCTGGTTAGTATAGAAACCTGCTATAGAAATGCATTTTAGTATTAGTGTCAAGCAGTTACATTTGAGGTTTTCTTATGTTTAATAGATTTTTAAAAAGTACACTCTATGGACATATGTATTCTAATTGTAAGTGTACATGTTTAAAGGTGAGCTGTAGAGTGAGTGGCATTAATTAAAGAAGTATGGCAAAACTTACAGATTTACGAACTAGTGATTCAGAAGACCAAAAATGTAGTCTGTCAATGCTGTTGTTGCTCATAGCATTTTTGGAGGTCACTTAGAGTGCTTTGAGCATCTAGAGCACATTTTTCTTTGCTTCCATTTCTTCCATTGTGGCAAATATTTGTCCTTTGAGGATGGATTTAATTTTAAAAAGCTTTTTATTTTGAAGTAATCTTAAACTTACATAAATGGTTCAGGAAGTTCTTTGTACCCTCAACTATCAGAATTAGCAGATTGATAGTGGTATTTGAGTATGATTTAGATCCCAAGTTTTGATAGTTGTCCCAATAATGTTTGATTTGTCTTGTCTTGTCTTGTCTTGTCTTGTCTTGTCTTGTCTTGTCTTGTCTTGTCTTGTCTTCTCTTCTTAATTCATTTCTTTTCTTTTCTTTGAGACAGGGTCTTGCTCTGTCACTCAGGCTGGAGTATAGTGGTATGATCACGGCTCACTGCAGCCTTGACCTCCTAGGCTCAAGTGATTCTCCCGCCTCAGCCTCCTGAACAGCTGGGACTACAGGTGTGTGCCACCATGCCTGGCTAATTTTTAAAAATTATTTGTAGAGATGAGGTCTTGCTATGTTGCCCAGGCTGGTCTCAAACTCCTGGGCTCAAGTGATCCCCCCGCCTCAGCCCCACAAAGTGGTGTGATAACAGGCATGAGCCGCTGCTCCTAGCCCCCAATAATATTTCTTTTGTTACTTACCTTTTTTTTTTTTTTTTCGTTTTTGAGACAGAGTCTCTTTCTGTCACCCAGGCTGGAGAGCAGTGGCGCGATCTCAGCTCACTGCAACCTCTGCCTCCTAGGTTCAAACAGTTCTCTGCCTCAGCCTCCCGAGTAGCTGGGATTACAGGTGCTTGCCACCATGCCCGGCTAATTTTTGTATTTTTAGTAGAGACAGGGTTTCACCATGTTGGCCAGGCTGGTCTTGAACTCCTGACCTTGTGATCCACCCGTCTCGGCATCCCAAAGTGCTGGGATTACAGGCGTGAGGCACTGTGCCCAGCCAGTAATATTTCTTATAGCAGAAAGATCCAGTTCATAATCACTCCTTGCATTTAGTTGTCATGCCTCTTTGTTCTCCTTCAATATGGAAGTTTTTGTTTTCATAACCTTGGCACTTTTAAAGATTATGAAGCAGTAGTAACATTGTAGAATATCCCTTAATTTGGGATTGTCTGTTTTCCCTTTATGTTTTGACTCAGTTTATACAACTTTGGCAGGAATGTAAATGAAGTGTTGCTGTTTTCTTTTCATTGTATCCCACAAGCTGTTATATGATTTCAATTTGTTTCATCACTGGTGATTAACTTTGATCATGTCTGCCAGACTTCTTCACAGTCAAATTACCTTTCCCACCCCACTTTACAATTAATACGTAATTTGTGGAGAGATACTATGAGATATTGTAATATCCCAATTCATATCAACTTTATATTCATTTATTTTTATCAGTGTGGACTCATGGGTTCCTATTTTATTTTATGGGTTATAATCTCATATGCTTGTTATTAATTTTGGTGCTCAAATTATTACAGATTTGGCCACTAGGAGTCATGTCAAGCTGGTTTCCGGGTCCTTTTGATCTATTCCCATCATTCTTTGAGCATATTCCTATTTTCTGGGGCAATAAGATGTTCCAGGCTTGGCCAGGTGTCGTGACTCACACCTGTAATCCCAGCACTTTGGGAGGCTGAGGCGGGCAGATCACCTGAGGTCAGGAGTTCGAGATCAGCCTGGCCAATGTGGAGAAACCCTGTCTCTACTAAAAATACAAAAATTAGTTGGGCATGGTGGTGCGTGCCTGTAATCCCGGCTACTCAAGAGGCTGAAGCATGAGAATTGCTTGAACCTGGGAGGCAGAGGTTGCAGTGACCTTAGATCGTGCCACTGCACTCCAGCTTGGGCCATAGAGTGAGACTCCATCTCAAAAAAAAAAAAAAAAAAGATGTTGCAGGCTTATCCTGTACTTGGAGTCAGCCATTTCTCCAAGGAGTCCTGGTTGCTTTTAGGAGAGAATGGTATTTAGAAACCCCAGTCCATGTGTTTATTCTAATGAAGTATAGCTGTCTCAGGCCCTCTTAGGACAGAGCTGGGGAAAATTGTGTGTGTGTTTCTTTGTTTGTCTGTGTTTGTGTTGGAAGGTAGTGTGAGAGAGGAAGGGAGAAATTTATATTTAGTTTTATGTCTGACTTTATGTACTGAAAACTGTGAGTTCACTCTGATACTTTCAATTCCAATCCATCCCTCTAGGAGTCATTCTTGTTTTCTCTCTTTCTCAGTTTCCAGAGTAACTCTGTAACTCTCTACTTCTGCAGTGAGATACCTGACACCTATAACTCTCTCTCTCTCTCTCTCTCTATCTGTGTATCTATCTATCTGGATAGATATATTTAACTTTTTTAGTTAAAAATTACATATATTTAACTAAAATGTTATATATATATATATAACTTTTTTAAAAATCAACTCCCTTATATATAACCACTTTCTTCTAATCTTTTACCATACAAATGCCCTCCCGTGCCAGGTTGTCGAGTCCTGACACTCTGTGCTAGGACATGTTCAGAAAGGGAAGAGAGGGGATGGGTAGATTTAATTTTTTGAAATGGCCAACATCATTGAGAGTTAACTTTGATGAATAAGTTGAGTGATCAACCTGGATAATAATATTTTGGCTCAAAAACAGTATAAAAGAATTGTTGTTATAAAATAATAAGGCGAGTTTTTTATGTGGATCCTAAATTATCTGTAAATGTTAGAAAAGGAGTGTTAACAATTTTTTGAATATTATTGGCAAAAATATGTAACTTCTCATGGTAAAGTGGACCACAGAACTTGACTTTGTAGTTGCTCCTGATTATCCCCACTAATTTCATGGGAGCAAATGTGTGGATAATTTAAAAATTACTGTATTTCATTCTTCTGAATTTTGTATGTTATATCCTTGAATCATATCAGATTAATAGAAAAATACTTTTAGGTTTCCCATAACAGTGATTGCATAGACTCTCAGTTTAACATAATGCTTTGACTTCTATACTGTATAGATATAATAAATGGTCATTAAAGAAACTGCTGTAGTATACTCTGTCCATTATGTTCTCATGTCTTCTGTATTATGGGTATGACACAAAGGACATCAGTTCCTCTTTGAGTTTTGTTCAAGTAAAAATTTATCTCTTCCGTGAACTAACATATAATTTACCTTTTCTAACCTTTCATTTTTTCTTCTTCCTCTCCTTCACTTCTTGTTTAAATTATTAATTTAACTTTTCCTTACTGGGAGTGAAACTTTATGCTTACTAGTATTGTTAGCATCACATAATCTGAAGAAACCTGTCTCCTTTCTTTATTAGTTGACTTATTTTCCTATTCTTATGTTATGGTAACACTGTATTGGTGGATTTTTTTTTTTTGGCAACCAGTTGCAATTAAAATATTCTTTGGATGTCCATCAGTGATAGACTGGATTAAGAAAATGTGGCACATATACACTGTGGAATACTATGCAGCCATAAAAAAGGATGAGTTCATGTCCTTCGTAGGGACATGGATGAAGCTGGAAACCGTCATTCTGACCAAACTGTCACAAAGACAAAAAACCAAACACTGCATGTTCTCACTCATAGGTGGGAATTGAACAGTGAGAACACTTGGACACAGGAAGGGGAACATCACACACCAGGGCCTGTCGTGGGGTCGGGGGAGGGGGGAGGGAAAGCATTAGGAGATATACCTAATGTAAATGACGAGTTAATGGGTGCAGCACACCAACATGGCACATGTATACATATGTAAGAAACCTGTACATTGTGCACATGTACCCTAGAACTTAAAGTATAATAAAATAAAATTAGCCGTTAAGCTACAAAAAGAAAAAAAATATTCTTTGGAAGTAGATAAGGCATACATAATAAATATAATATAGTGAATTAATCCAAGGGAATATTTAGGGCTTTGTAATACAGTTTTATTCTTATGTTGTGTTTGAGACTCCTTCACATTCTTTTACTTTATACAAAATAAACCAAACTTGAAATATGTCCTAGTAGAAACGGGGAAACTTACTGGCTTCTGTTCATTCTCTGTTAGGAGAGGCCTATTCTTAGGGTAACAGTAAATATGACTATTCCTATCTTTTAGACTTTGTTTATATCTAAACATCATAGCTTCTTCTAGCAATCAGTTTACTGTTATTTGTGCCTGGGATTAAATTGTTAGTCTCTTGCTAAAAAAATATGTTCTTGGTCTTGCTACCTTCTGACGTATACTTAGGAACTTGTGTTATTGGAAATCCAAATATTCTATCTACCTTAATTATTATTTCACATTTTAAAGTACATCTTGGCTTTTATTTTTATCTATTAAACCAGTGAGTTTGTAACCTTTTAAAATTAGTAGAATCCTTTTAAGGACAATCAAGTATTAGAAGAAATTTAATACATAATACAGAAAATAGATTGTTCTCACCTGTGTGCCAGGGGCTTTTCATACATTATATACTCCTGAAATATAGTAGCTAGGTCTTAAGCGCATCTGATACTTAAAACTTTATTTCTGTTTAATCTAGGCGACAGAAGGCTAGAGAGAGGCAGCAGAAATTGCTTGCGGAGTTTGCTTCACGACAGAAAAGCTTTATGGAAACTGCAATGGATGTTGGTAAGTCAAAATTATTAGTTTAGAACTCTCATAATTATACTTATTACTTTAGGGATGATGTAGTCCAGTCTTTTACTAATTTAAAACATTACACACTTTTGATTTCTAGTGTTTATTTGGTCCTTAAACAATATAGTGATGGAAGATCAGACTTTTATTATAGACTTTTATTATATTCTGTTGTTAGTAGCTGTAATTGTTAGGAAGTTCTTCCTGATGGTAGCAATATAGTATGCTCCTTTTGTTCTCTTCTGTTAAACGGTCTTTAGATTTGTGAGATCCATCAATGTACATTTACTTGTCTTGATCTTTTTCTGTGAAATTATCTTAAAATCCTTAAAATAGTTTCAAATGCTTCTAGTGCCTCTTTCTGGTATCCCTTCATTATTTCTTAAAATCAGGTGAACTTCTCATTTCCATTAAGATTAGCATTAGAATTTATACAGTGAGAGAGGATACCATGTTTCTGTATGATAGTAGCCTTTTACACACATTGGAGAAATAGATTAAATCTCAGTGTCAGTCTTTAGTTAACCAGGGTATTCCCTTCCCTGACTATTTCTTCCATTCCAGCAAATTTTTTTCTTTGATTTTTAGAAAAAATTGTGGAAAGAAAATAAAGTCATGCATTTAGTTAAAATACACACATATATGCATTCAAGCAGGCATGTACATTTTCATGCATTTTTGTTTACCTAAACTCATAACCAACTTCCTGAAGAAATGTATAGCGATCAGTTCAGATTTAGCCTAATGGGTTCTAAACCATCTAGTGTAGTTAATGTTCAGGATATAACTTTGACAGAAAGAATACAGATTGAGCACCCCTAATCTGAAAATCTGAAAATCTGAAATCTAAAATGTACCAAAATTCAAAACTTTCTGAGCATTGACTTTCCACTTGTGGCATCATGCCACAAGTGGAAAGTTTTTAACTTAAGATTCGTCTTTTGAGTTCCTTTTCTGGCAATTGTTGATTTCCTTTTCATTTGGGTCTGTTACTGGAGAGCTATGAAGTTCAAAATCTCTATTAGGTTTTTCCAGAGGGACAGAAATGGTAGGATATGTATATATGAAAGGGAGTTTACTAGGGAGAATTGGCTTATGTAATTACAAAGATGACATCCCATGATCAGCCATCTGCAAGCTGGGGGATGAGAAAAGCTAGTACCATAGTTCATTCCAAGTCTAAAACCCTCAAAACCAGAGAAGCTGAAAGTACAGTACCCGGTCTGAGGCTGAAGGCTGAAAACCCCCAAGAGGCCATTGTTACAGGTCTGAAAGACCAAAGGCCAATTTATCCATTTCTTTTAGGTTTTCCAACTGGTTGGCATATAGTTGTGGCATGATGCCACAAGTGGAAAGTTTCACACTTGACCTCTTGTGATGGGTTGCAGTCAAAACTATATTTCATTTACAAAATTATTTAAAATGTTGCATAAGGCTGGGTGCGGTGGCTCACATCTGTAATCCCAGCACTTTGGGAGGCCGAGGTGGGTGGATCACTTGAGGTCAGGAGTTTGAGACCAGCCTGACCAACATGGTGAAACCCGTCTCTACTAAAAATACAAAAAAATTAGCTGGGCTTGGTGGTGCACACCTGTAATCCCAGCTACTCAGGAGGCTGAGGCAGGAGAATTGCTTGAACCAGGAGACAGGTTTCAGTGAGCCAAGATCATGCCATTGCACTGCAGCCTGGGTGACAAGAGCAAAAAAAAAAAAAAAAAAAAGATTGTATAAAATCACCGTAGCCTGTATGCATAAAGTATGTATGAAACGTAAATGAATTTTGTGTTTAGACTTGGGTTCCAGCCCCAAGATATCTCTTTATATCTATGTAAATATTCTGAAATCTGAAAAAAACTGAAATCTGAAACACTAATGGTCCCAAGCGTTTCAGATAAGGGATACTTAACCTGTACTGAAATTCTGTTTATGGAATTTATTTAGCATCAGTTGACTTTATCATATGAAAGAAGAGGGTTTAGTTTATTGACACTACTTTCCCTTTCTCTCTCTCTTCTTTACAAAAATTGATAATTATATTTTTGTTTTTTTACATGTTTAATATAATTACAATATTTACGTATCGTTCTATTGTAGTAGTCAGTATCTTGATACCGCTTCATATAAAATGAACTAATAAGCACCCCATCCTTCCTTTCCTCTTTTACCTCTTGCCTTTTTTCAGATACTTTTAAACTTTTAAATTGTCAAAGTTGCTGACATTTTGTTTTGCAGTCACATTAATGTCTTCCATATGAAGACATTAAAACAATGAAGAGTTTGTATTAGTATGACTTTTTGAATGCTGTTGAGTACAAGACTAGATAATGTGCTACATAATGGTTCTACATCGACTGTTTTTGAGTCCAGTGGCTCAACTCCTGGACCCCTTCAAAGAGACTATCTTTAGTACGTAGCCTCTTTTCTTCCAGTCCCTTGATTGCTAAACCCATACCACCTCTTATTTGTTTCTATATGGACCATGACTTTGTTATGTTGCCTTTTGTTTTCCTTGAAGTTCCCCAACTGTCTTTTTAAAATTTTATTTTTAAAATTTTATTGTAGCAAGAACCAATGTGCCTTTATGATATCTCTATTATTCTATCTACTCAATCATACAGTAGTCTTTTGCATGGAATTCTTTTCCAATGGACCAGTTCTTTTCCAATCTGGTCCATTTGTTCTCCAGGCATGCCTTATAGCTATTACCTTAGGATTTTCCCCTTTTGGGATTGATAATAGAGATTCTTACATATTAACGTCATCTTTTTAAAAAATCTTATTTTATTGGGGTACCAATTCAAGTATATATATACATTTTTTTTCTTTTTTAAGAGTCAAGGTATTGCTATGTTACCCAGGCTGGATTTGAACTCCTGAGCTCAAGCAGACCTCCCACCTCAGCCTACCTAGTATCTGGGACTATAGGCATGCACTGCCATGCCTGGTTCAGATCTTAATAATGCATGTTTGGTAGCTAAACCGTCTGATTCTTTATTTCTGGAAGGGACTTTAGTCTACTCTCACACTTGATTGTTCATTTAGATGGATATAGAATTCCAGGTTGATAAACATTTTCTGTCACAACTTTACAACTGAAGGCATTGCCCTTTTGTCTTTTACCGTTCATTTGATAAAAAGTCTGGTGGTAATCTAATTCTTACACCTTTGTAGGTGAGCATTTTTTCCTTTCCTGTGACACATTTGTGATTATCTGATCCTTAGAGATCTGAAGTTTTATCATTTGTATCTATGAGATCTTTTCCCATCCTCCTTAGTGCTCAATGAGCCTTTTCAGTCTGAAGATTCATATCTCTGAAACTATGAGAATTTTTTCCCATGTTTTTTTTTTTTTTTTGATAACTGGTATAGTCATCCTCCGAGATGGTTCTGAATGATCCCTGTCTCCTGGTCCTGATGCCCTGTGTAGTCTTCTACATAGAAGTGCATGACCTATATGGCAGAAGTGAAGGTATATTGTTTCTCATATTAGGTAATGAAAGACGTTGTGGCTTCTGTCTTTGTTACTTTTTCTCTCTCTTGGATTACTCATTCTGGTGGAAGCCAGCTGCCATGTCATGAGTATCCCTGCGGAGGCCCATGTGAGTGAGGAACTGAGGCTTCTTGCCCCAACAGTCGTGTGAGTGAGCTTGGTTGTGAAACTTCCTGTCCCAGTTAAGCTTTTATTTAATTTTGTTATTTTTTTTCTTAAAAATTTTTTTTTTTAATTAAAGAGACAAGGTACTTTCTGTATTGCTCAGGTTGGTCTGGCCTTAAAGCAATCCTTCTGCCTCGGCCTCCCAAAGTCCAGGATTACAGGTGTGAGCCACTGCACCTGGTGCCAGTTAAGCCTTTAAATGACTGCAGGTTTGACAGCAATTTCAGGAGAGCTCCTTAGACAGAACCATACCACTAAGCTGCTCCCAGATGCCTGACCCTCAGAAACGGTTTGAGATAATTCTTTTTAAGCCACTGAGCATCAGGGTATTTTGTTATACAGCAATACTTTCCTTCTTACATTTTATTCTCTTTTGGGACTCGTAATTGGATGTTGGATCTCCTAGATTGATCTTTTAATTTTTTAATGTGTTTTATCTTTTATATCATTTGTTCTTTTTGTTTTACATACATAGAGATTTCCTCTCTTCAGTATCTTGTTCTTACTATGTGTATAGAATTTTCTCTAAAAATCTTTCTGAAAGAGTTTAGGGTGTTTCTTTTTTTTCTTTATCTGTTTTTCTAAATTATCCTTCTAAATTGCTTGAAAAACTTATGTTAGTCTTTCATGTTGCTAGTTTTCCTCATTTGCCTGATGATTCTTGATTGTCCTGGAGAGGTGGTCTGGGTAGCTCTTGTGGGTTTATTTTACTGAGGTGTAAAGAGGTTTGGTCCTAGTAATTGTCTCTAGTCTGTGTACATGGGTAAAGTGTGTTGACTGTCAGATTTGGATTAGGGTTGGGAGAAGGGCTGACTGCTCTAGGTCAGAGCGCCCAGATGCTAACATTCACGTTAGAAGCCCCAGTTTTCTCTAAGCTGCTTGTTCAGTTTCTTTGGATAAGAATAGGCTGGTTTTTGTTGTTGTGGATGATCCGTTTTTTCTGTGAGGTAAATGCCAAGCCCCCTGGATGCTCTGTTTAGTCAGAGTTGGGGAAGGAATTGGGGTGCTATGTAGTGAAGTCTGTATACAGTCCTTCAAATAATTATTCTGTTTTCAGAGTCATTTTATACTTATGGCTCCTGTCTTCTGCCTCATGTGCTGATTCTGAGCCCAGAGTTGACATTCTAATGGATAGATCAATTCTTCCTTTTCTGTAACTTTCCGATATCACATATCTTTTCTCTGTCATCATGTCTCTTTCTCCTCCAGTCTCAGAAATGTTATTGACATCTCTTATTTGCTGGTGAAATTCTCTCCTACCACTTCATCCTTTTTCTATATTCTGTGGGAATATTTCTTCATTTTTTTTTCTATCTTTATTTCAGTAGGAGTTTTTTAAAAAAGAATGCGGGACAAAAGCAGATATTTAGCCTGTAATCTTGAGTTAAATACTTAATATGTATTATTTCAGTGTATAAAGTTAATTTTTTATAACAAAAGCACTAAATTTTTTATTAAAAGTTAGAAAACACAAATAATAAAAAATAAGAACTAATATATTTTTACTACCAGATTTCCTAACCTAGGTTATACCCTTACAAGACTTTTTCTAAGTACATATGCATATAAATGCATTTTTTACCAAAATGAGGTTTTACAATGCTATTTTTTTCTTATGAAAAATTCCAAACATAGAGGAAAGCTGACAGAATAGTGTTGTGAACACCCATATACCAATATAACCATCACCTTGTTAACATTGTTCTGTATTTGTTCTCTTGCTTTCTCTCTACTAAATGAAGTAAGTTGCAGACCTTACTGCTAAATACTTTTAACATGCATGCCTTAGGATTGAGAATCTTCTCTTACACAATCACAGTACATCATACCTAAGAAAATTACTTTCCTACAAAACAAAGAAAATAGCTTCAGAATATCTAACTCAGTACTATGTTAAACAATGAAATTATTGAATAAAACTTTTAAATTTCTTAAATTTAAAAAAAATGTTTAAAAAGTATAACAAATTTTAAATTGTTTACAGATTATTTTGTCCTCATTGCATCCCACCAAAGATATATAGTCAAAGTTTTGTGCTCTGAAGTTACTTAAGAGCAGTCCTTTTTTTGTCAGGTGATGTAACTAGTCTGATGTACAGTTTTAGTTCACCCATGTCAGTATGTTTGCAATTTTAAGAACTAAGAGAAAAGCTTAATTAATACTTTAAGAAATTGTTTTTATTTGCTACTTTCCACTCACAAGTGAGACAAAACAAAAACAATTTTCTGAGGAATCAATTAAGCAACGTACCCAGAGCAGATTGGGTGGTATTGCCTTGAATAAGAGAATGGTCACCTTATCCTCTGAGGAAACTGGAGGGAAGGAGGAAAGAATGGATGGAGATAGAGGTAAGTTCCACTGGCTTTAAGGGAAATGGGAAGCTCAGGCAGATGACGTTTGATTGCTTTAGTTTTCAGGGTTAGGTAAAAGGTGAGTTCTGGGTGAAAAAGAATGTGACCTGAAGTTTGGAATTGCTGAGGAGAGTGGGAGACATTGGTCATGAAAGCTGACTATAAATAAAGATTGATAAACAATGCTTACAGCTCAGTTATAGTCAAGATCATAGATTTGAATGTCATAAGTGCAAAGTTATTGACTCCATGTCCTAATTTTTGGAAGGTTTGACCTCTTTTGGCAGTAGCCAGGGCACAGGAAGAACAATTGAGGGATCAGGCAAATATGATTGCTAGCAAACAGAGGCAGTTCACAGAAGTCTTCAGGATAATGAGCTCTACTTTCTCCCAGTCTCGGTTCTTGTATGCTGCAGTGGTGACAGGTGAGGCAATAAAGATTTACGGGCATTTCATTTGTTTATGTTGGCCATGGCCACACCACTAGGATTCCAGATCACACTGATTCTGTATTCCCTTTATTTATAACAGTCTCTTTCCAGAGATATCTGACCCCAAAAAGCCTGTTTGAGACCCCATTTTCACCCATTGCTCAAGATAAAACTTGCAAAGTCACATGTTGTTCTGCTTTTAATGACTATTTACATGTCACTTTTTGTACTATAGTATTATTAACACACGAAGCAGGGCCTATACCTGAAGTAGTATTAATACTTGGCAGCAGTACTGATACAATTTAACCTTAGCCAGATCCTCTCCCTCATTTGTCAAATTCCTTTTTTTGTGTGTCTTATTTCATATCTGTGTTGTAAGGACATAAATAATCTGTATAGTAGTATCTCCTTATCACTGGGGATCTGTTCCAAGGCCCCCAGAGGATGGCTGAAACTAACCATGGGTAGTATCAAACCCCATATATACTGTTTTTTTCCTATACATGATAAAGTTTATAAATTAAGCACAGTAAGAGATTAGCAACACAATAATAAAATAGAACAATTACAACAGTATGCCAGCATCACTGCTCTTATACTTTGGGGCCATTATTAAGTAAAATAAGTGTTACTTGAACACAAGCATTGGGATATTACAGCAGTTGATCTGATAACAGAAATGGATATGCTGGACAAAGGGATGATTCACATCCTGGACAGGACCAAATGGGACAGTATGAGATTTCATCACGCTACTCAAAATGGTGCATAGTTTAAAATTTTTGAATTGTTTATTTCCGAAATTTTCCATTTAATATTTTCTGACCATGGTTGACCACAGGTAACTGAAACCATGGAAAGTGAAATCCTAGATAAGGGGAGACTACTGTAGTTGCTCCTTTTTATTGTGTCTATATCTTTGTATATAACAAAAATTCTAATGTAGAAGCATAACATACAAAATATTTCAAATTTATAACATACAGTATGTTATAAATCCTCTAATCAAATATAGTACATTATTAGGTAGTTTAAGTATGAAAACTTTTCTCTCTGAATGCAACACATTTCTACTGTGATTAGCACTCTTGCCTATCTGTTTAATGCCTTTCTCTAGTTATCAAGTTTCCTACATGAAGAGGCAGTATTACTTCTGCATTTCCTTTCATCCTTCTTTCTTGATCATTATCCTCCCCACCACCTTTTTTAATTTTTACTAGCCATCTATGTGTAGGAGTCAAGGTGTTAGATTATAACCTTGATCCATTAAGATTTGTCCGGTTTGTCAGATAGGTATAGCTGAAATGCAACAGAATTACGTTCCCAGTGAGAGTTCAGGTACTTAATAAAGAATAAGAATTTATTTGGGAATTACTTTCTGTTATTAAACATATTACATTTTAATTGTAAAATTTATACAGTACAGAAAAGCCTCAAGAAGGAACAATTTTATCCCTGATCCCACTATCCAAATAACATGTACACTACTGATTATACTATATAGCACAATTTTATGCCATGCCTTTTTACCCAATATTTTAGTGTAAGAATTTCCCTACATTATTATTGAAAGCTTCTTGTAACTATTAAAGTCTGTACTTCTTTGGGGAAGCAGTATAGTGTAGTGGTTGTGAGCATGGACTCTGGAGCCTGACTGGGTTTATAGCTCAGCCACACTCCATTGCCTCGAGTAATTTACTTAACTTCTCTCTACCTCGTTTTCACATTGTTACAAAGGAATTTTTATACTACCTCATAGGGTTGAGAGGGTCAAATGTACGTACATTTAAAATGCTTAGAATAGAATGGTACATAATAAGCATTATATAAACGTTGGCTATTGCTGTCATCATTTTTATTCTACAGCTTGCTTAATCATTCACCCACAAGTGGACTGTGTAGGGTTTTTTTTTCTAATATTAATGATAATAAACATTATGTACATACAGTTTTTCCTCTATTTTTGGTCTGGGTCCAAGAGTATGAATTTTGGTGGTTGATCATGATGAGGATGAAACATATTTTTGTATGTTAACTGTGTACTCAGCACTGTGATAATACATTCTGTATATTGCATTTTGTCTTGACACATCCATGAGATAGGTAGTATTATCCCACATACAGATGCCTAGGCTTAGAGAGATTAAGTAAATTTGAGGTTATACAGTAGTAAGTGTGGAACAAGAGCTATTAATCAAGAAGTTTTGCATGCTCTTTACTATTTCTTCATATTAAAGCAAATTGAGGAGAGTATGCCCCCCCCACCCCCCTACAGGGTATGCGCCCCCCGCCCCCCCCCACACACAGTTGGTAGCCTATAGATAGGAAGGGATAGATATGAGATCAATTGCAAAATAAGAATTAATAGACCTGATGGTTGGTTGAGTGCTTCAGGCACAGGATAGAAGTGATATTCTGAGTGTTGGGAAAAGTTTTATTTTTTTATTTTTAAAAAACAGAGTGAAAACACTCCATTTCCAATAGACACAGCAAAAATCCTTGCTGTGACTCTACCACTCTTGTGTGGTTGTACAGTCAGTCCCACCTAAATCGTAGGAATTGAAAAGGGTGGTGAAGGAGTGATTTTTGTCAACAAAAATTGAGGCCTGTTGTTTGTTATCAGAAAGGACAATAGCTACTGGGTGGATAAGAACAGCATCTTACATTAAGATTTCCTTTGGAAAGTAGGAGAGTCTGAGCTGAGAGCAGCCACATTGCAGGATTTGGTTGACTTTTATTGTTGTTATAGATGGAAGGAGTTGTTTTATTTAATAATACAGTTTAATTTGTGATTTGTCCTTTTATTTTTAACAGTATAAGCAAATACCTATATATTTGCTTTGTGTGCTACCATTTATATAAGAAGTAGGGCTGGAGATATGAATATATCTTCTTATATAAATATATATAATTATGTATATTGAGATATAAAATATTTAATTTTTCCTAGAGTCCCTTTCTTAGGTAAGTGTATACCTTTCTTAGGTAACACATATGTACACTTTCCCTACCTTGCTTTTTCACTTAATGTCATATCCAGGAGATCCTACCATGCAGTGTGTAGAGATACTCTTCATTCTTTTAAAAAAATTTAATATTTACAAAAATTTATACATAATAACTACATATTTATGAGGCACATGTGATATTTTGATACATGAATATGGTGTGTAATGATCAAATCAGGGTAATTAGGATGTCTGTCAGCTCAAACATTTATCATTTCTTTGTGTTAGGAACATTTCAAATCTTTTAGTTATTTTTAAATACATAATTAATTATTGTTAACTATCGTTACCCAACTGTGCTATCAAACACTATTCCTTCTATAACTGTATGTTTGTACGCATTAACCAACCTCTCTTCATATCCTCCTCCCCAACCCTTCCCAGCGTCTGGTAACCATCATTTTGCTGTCTACTTTCACAGGATTCACTTTTTAAATTCCCACATACGAGTAAGAAAAAGTGATATTTGTCTTTCTGTGCCTCGCTTGTTTCACTTAACATAATGACTTCCAGTTCCATCCATGTTGCTGTAAATGACAGGATTTCACTCTTTTTATGGCTAAATAATGTTCCATTCTATACACACACACACCCACCACATTTTCTTTGTTCATCTGTTGATAGAAACTTAGGGTGCTGTCTTCACTATTGTGATAACAATAAACATGGACACGCAGCTGGCTCTTCAATATACTGATTTCTTTTCTTTTGAATATATACCCAGCACTTGGATTGCTGGGTCATTTGGTAGATCTATTTTTACTTTTCTGAGGAACCTCCATACTGTTTTTCATAGTTGCTATACTAATTTACATTCTTACTAGTAGTATACAAGCATGCCCTTTCTCTACATCCTTGCCAGCATCTGTGATTGTTTTCTTTTTGATAATAGCTATTTTAACTGGGGTGAGATGGATGATATCTTGTTGCAGTTTTGATTTGTATTCCCAGAGGATTAATCATGTTGACCTTTTTGTTTTTTATATGCCTGTTTGGCCATTTGTATGTCTTTTTTGAGAAATGACTTATCAGATAATTTGTCCATTTTCAAATTGGATTATTTTCTGCTATTAACTTGTTTGAGTTTCTTCTGTATTCTAGTTATTAATCCTTTGTCCCATGGATAGTTTACAGATATTTTCTCTCATACTGTAGGTTGTCTCTTCACTCTGTTGATTGTTTTCTTTGCTGTACAAAAGCTTTCTAGCTGATATAACCCCATTTATCTATTTTTGCTTTTGTTGCTTGTACTTTTGATGTCGTACACAAAAAAATCTTTACTCAGACCAACGCTTTAAGCATTTCCACAGTGGTTTCTTCTAGTAATTTCATGATTTGAGGTATTAGAAAGTCTTTAATCCATTTGGATTTGATTTTTGAATATATTGAGAGATAAGGGTCTAGTTTCATTTTTCTGCTTACAGATACTTGGTTTTCCAAACATCATTTATTGAAGAGACTGTCTTTTCCCCAGCACTGAATGTTTTTGGTACCTTTGTTGAAAATCAGTTGGCTGTAAATATGTGTATTTATTTCTGTGTTCTCTATTCTGTTCCATTTGTGTCTTTTTTTTTTTTTTTTGTTAGATGGATTCTTGCTCTGTTACCCAGGCTGGAGTTCAGTGGTGCAATCTCGGCTCACTGCAAGCTCCACTTCCCAGGTTCATGCCATTCTCCTGCCTCAGCCTCCCAAGCAGCTGGGACAACAGGCGCCTGCCACCATGCCCGGCTAATTTTTTTATATTTTTAGTAGAGATGGGGTTTCACTGTGTTAGCCAGGATGGTCTCCATCTCCTGACCTCGTGATCCGCCCACCTCCGCCTCCCAAAGTGCTGGGATTACAGGCATGAGCCACCACGCCCGGCCTGTGTCTGTTTTTTATGCCAGTACCATGCTATTTTGATTAATATAGCTTTGTAGTATATTTTGATGTCAGGAAGTATGATGCCTCCAGCTTTTTTTTTTTTTTTTTTTTGGCTCAGGATTGCTTTGGCTATTCAGGATGTTTTGTGGTTCCATATCATATGAATTTTTCTATCTCTTTTTCTACCTCTGTGAAGAATGTCATTGGTATTGATAGGGGATTGCATTGTGTAGATCACTTTTGGTAGTGTGGTCATTTTCACAGTATTCTTCCAATCCATGACATGAGATGTCTGTCCATTTTTTGGTGATGACTTCAATTTCTTTCATCAGTGTTTTATAGTTTTCCTTGTAGGAGCTTTTACCTCCTTGGTTAAACTTGTTCCTAGGTTTTTTTTTTTTTTTTTTTGTAGCTGTTGTGAGTTTTTTTCTTGATTTCTTTTTCTGCTAGTTTATTATTGATGTATAGAAACACTACTGATTTTTTTTTATTATACTTTAAGTTCTAGGGTACATGTGCACATTGTGCAGGTTAGTTACATATGTATACATTGTGTCATGCTGGTGCGCTGCACCCACTAACTCGTCATCTAGCATTAGGTATATCTCCCAATGCTATCCCTCCCCCCTCCCCCCACCCCACAACAGTCCCCAGAGTGTGATGTTCCCCTTCCTGTGTCCATGTGTTCTCATTGTTCAATTCCCACCTATGAGTGAGAATATGCAGTGTTTGGTTTTTTGTTCTTGCAATAGTTTGCTGAGAATGATGATTTCCAATTTCATCCATGTCCCTACAAAGGACACGAACTCATCATTTTTTATGGCTGCATAGTATTCCATGGTGTATATGTGCCACATTTTCTTAATCCAGTCTATCATTGTTGGACATTTGGGTTGGTTCCAAGTCTTTGCTATTGTGAATAATGCCGCAGTAAACATACGTGTGCATGTGTCTTTATAGCAGCATGATTTATAGTCCTTTGGGTATATACCCAGTAATGGGATGGCTGGGTCAAATGGTATTTCCAGTTCTAGATCCCTGAGGAATCGCCACACTGACTTCCACAGTGGTTGAACTAGTTTACAGTCCCACCAACAGTGTAAAAGTGTTCCTATTTCTCCACATCCTCTCCAGCACCTGTTGTTTTCTGACTTTTTAATGATTGCCATTCTAACTGGTGTGAGATGGTATCTCATTGTGGTTTTGATTTGCATTTCTCTGATGGCTGGTGATGATGAGCATTTTTTCATGTGTTTTTTGGCTGCATAAATGTCTTCTTTTGAGAAGTGTCTGTTCACGTCCTTCGCCCACTTTTTGATGGGGTTGTTTGTTTTTTTCTTGTGAATTTGTTTGAGTTCATGGTAGATTATGGATATTAGCCCTTTGTCAGGTGAGTAGGTTGCGAAAATTTTCTCCCATTCTGTAGGTTGCCTGTTCACTCTGATGGTAGTTTCTTTTGCTGTGCAGAAGCTCTTTAGTTTGATTAGATCCCATTTGTCAATTTTGGCTTTTGTTGCCATTGCTTTTGGTGTTTTAGACATGAAGTCCTTGCCCATGCCTATGTCCTGAATGGTAATGCCTAGGTTTTCTTCTAGGGTTTTTATGGTTTTAGGTCTAACGTTTAAGTCTTTAATCCATCTTGAATTGATTTTTGTATAAGGTGTAAGGAAGGGATCCAGTTTCAGCTTTCTACATATGGCTAGCCAATTTTCCCAGCACCATTTATTAAATAGGGAATCCTTTCCCCATTGCTTGTTTTTCTCAGGTTTGTCAAAGATCAGATAGTTGTAGATATGCAGCGTTGTTTCTGAGGGCTCTGTTCTGTTCCATTGATCTATATCTCTGTTTTGGTACCAGTACCATGCTGTTTTGGTTACTGTAGCCAACATACCAGAATCTCTGGGATGCATTCGAAGCAGTGTGTAGAGGGAAATTTATAGCACTAAATGCCCTCAGGAGAAAGCAGGAAAGATCCAAAATTGACACCCTAACATTCACAATTAAAAGAACTAGAAAAGCAAGAGCATACACATTCAAAAGCTAACAGAAGGCAAGAAATAACTAAAATCAGAGCAGAACTGAAGGAAATAGAGACACAAAAAACCCTTCAAAAAATTAATGAATCCAGGAGCTGGTTTTTTGAAAGGATCAACAAAATTGATAGACCACTAGCAAGACTAATAAAGAAGAAAAGAGAGAAGAATCAAATAGACGCAGTAAAAAATGATAAAGGGGATATCACCACCGATCCCACAGAAATACAAACTACCATCAGAGAATACTAAACACCTCTAAGCAAATAAACTAGAAAATCCAGAAGAAATTGATAAATTCCTCGACACATACACTCTCCCAAGACTAAACCAGGAAGAAGTTGAATCTCTGAATAGACCAATAACAGGAGCTGCAATTGTGGCAATAATCAATAGTTTACCAACCAAAAAGAGTCCAGGACCAGATGGATTCACAGCCGAATTCTACCAGAGGTACAAGGAGGAACTGGTACCATTCCTTCTGAAACTATTCCAATCAATAGAAAAAGAGGGAATCCTCCCTAACTCTTTTTATGAGGCCAGCATCATTCTGATACCAAAGCCAGGCAGAGACGCAACAAAAAAAGAGAATTTTAGATCAATATCCTTGATGAACATTGATGCAAAAATCCTCAATAAAATACTGGCAAAACGAATCCAGCAGCACATCAAAAAGCTTATTCACCATGATCAAGTGGGTTTCATCCCTGGGATGCAAGGCTGGTTCAATATATGCAAATCAATAAATGTAATCCAGCGTATAAGCAGAGCCAAAGACAAAAACCACATGATTATCTCAATAGATGCAGAAAAAGCCTTTGACAAAATTCAACAACCCTTCATGCTAAAAACTCTCAATAAATTAGGTATTGATGGGACGTATCTCAAAATAATAAGAAATATCTATGACAAACCCACAGCCAATATCATACTGAATGAGCAAAAACTGGAAGCATTCCCTTTGAAAACTGGCACAAGACAGGGATGCCCTCTCTCACCACTTCTATTCAACATAGTGTTGGAAGTTCTGGCCAGGGCAATTAGGCAGGAGAAGGAAATAAAGGGTATTCAATTAGGAAAAGAGGAAGTCAAATTGTCCCTGTTTGCAGATGACATGATTGTATATCTAGAAAACCCCATTGTCTCAGCCCAAAATCTCCTTAAGCTGATAAGCAACTTCAGCAAAGTCTCAGGATACAAAATCAATGTACAAAAATCACAAGCATTCTTATACACCAACAACAGACAAACAGAGAGCCAAATCATGAGTGAACTCCCATTCACAATTGCTTCCAAGAGAATAAAATACCTAGGAATCCAACTTACAAGGGATGTGAAGTACTTCTTCAAGGAGAACTACAAACCACTGCTCAAGGAAATAAAAGAGGATACAAACAAATGGAAGAACATTCCATGCTCATGGGTAGGAAGAATCAGTATTGTGAAAATGGCCATACTGCCCAAGGCAATTTACAGATTCAATGCCATCCCCATCAAGCTACCAATGCCTTTCTTCACAGAATTGGAAAAAACTACTTTAAAGTTCATATGGAACCAAAAAAGAGCCCGCATCGCCAAGTCAATCCTAAGCCAAAAGAACAAAGCTGGAGGCATCACACTACCTGACTTCAAACTATACTAGAAACACTACTGATTTTTCTATGTTAATTTTGTATCCTGAAGCTTTACTGAATTTGCTTATCAGTTCTAAGAGTTTCTTGGCAAAGCTTTTAGGATTTTCTATATGTAAAGTCAAGTCATTTGCACTTAGTGACAATTTGACTTCCTCCTTTTCCATTTGGATGCCCATTATTTCTCTTGCCTAAATGCTCTGGCTAAGACTTTCAGTTCTGTGTTGGAAAAGAGTGGTGAGAGTGGGCATCCTTGTCTTGTTCCAGTTCTTGGAGGAAAAGCTTTCAGCTTTTCCTTATTCAGTATAATGTTAGCTCTGGACTTGTCATATACAGTCATCATTGTGTTGACATACCTCCATCTATACCTAGTTTGTTGAGGGTTATCATGAAGGGATGTTGAATTTTGTCAAATGCTTTTTCTGCATCTTTTGAGATGATTGTATAATTTTTGTCCTTCATTGTGTTGCTGTGATGTATCACGTTTATTGATTTGCATATGTTTAACAATTCTTGCATCCTTGGAATAAATCACATTTGATCATGGTGAGTGATCTTTTAGCTTTCTAGTATGTGTTAAGGATTTTTTGCATCTGTGTTCATCAGGGATATTGGCTTATAGTTTTTTTGTTATGTCTTTGTCTGGTTTTTGTATCATGGTAATGCTTGCCTTGTAGAATGAGTTCAGAATAATTCCCTTCTTATTTTTCTGGAAGAGTTTGAGAAGAATTGGTACTGGTTCTTTAACATTTTGGCAGAATTTAGCAGTGAAGTCATGTGGTCCTGGGCTTTTCTTTGATGGGAGACTTTTTATTACTGATTCAATCTCATTACTCAATATTTATCTGTTCAGATTTTTAATTTCTTCTTGGTTCAATTTTGGTAGGTTGTATGTGTCCAGGAATTTATCCATTTCTTTCAGGTTTTCCAATTGGTTGGCATATAGTTGTTCATAATAGTCTCTAATGACCCTTTGTATTTCCGTGGCATCGTTTGTAATGTTTCTTATTCATTTCTGATTTTATTTTGAGTCTTTTCTCATTTTTCCTTGGTTAGTATAGCTAATGGTTTGTCAATTTTATCTTTTCACAAAACCAGCCTTTCGTTTCATTGATCTTTTGCATTTTTTAACTCTCAATTTTATTTATTTCAGCTCTGATCTTTATTATTTCCTTCCTCTTGCTAATTTTAAGTTTGGTTTATTTTTGCTTTTCTGGTTCCTTGAGATACATTATTAGGTTGTTTATTTGAAATCTTTCTACTTTTTCAATGTAGGTGTTTATTGCTATAAACTTCCTTTTAATTCTACTTTTGCTGTATCCTATAGGTTTTGGTATGTTGTGTTTCTATTTTCATTTGTTTCAAGAAACTTTTAAATTTCTTTCTTAAGGCTGGGCATGGTGGCTCTTGCCTGTGATCCCAGCACTTTGGGAGTCCAAGCGGGTGGATTGCTTTAGTCCAGGAGTTCAGAACCAGCCTGCACAACATGGCAAAACCCCAAAATACAAAAATTAGCCTGGTGTGGTGGTGCATGCCTGTAGTACAGCTACTTGAGAGGCTGAGGTGGGAGGATTGCTTGATCCCGGGAGGTGGAGGTTGCAGTAAGCAGAGATCATGCCACTGTACTCCAGCCTGGATGACAGAGTGAGACCCTGTCTCAAAAAAACAACAACAAAAATTCCCTCTTAATTTCTTCCTTGATCCATTGGTTGTTCAGGAACATGTTATTTAATTTCCATGTATTTGTACAGTTTCAAAAGTTCCTCGTTATTAATTTCCAGTTATATTCCATTGTGGTCAGAAAATAAACTTGATCTGATTTAAATTCCATTAAGTTTGTTGTGACTTGTTTTTTGGCCTAACGTGATCTATCCTGGAAAATGTTCCATGTGCTAATGAAAAGAATGTGTATTCTGCTGCTTTTGTTGAAATGTTCTGTAAAAGTCTGTTAGGTCTATTTGGCTTAAAGTGCAGTTTAAATTCAGTGTTTCTTTGTTGATTTTCTGTTTAGATGATTTGTCTAGTACTGAGAGTGGGCTGTTGCCAACGATTATTGTATTGGAGTCTGTCTCTTCCTTGATATCTAATATTTGCTTTGTGTATTTGGGTGCTCTGGCATTGAGTGCATATGTATTTAGAATTGTTGTATCCTCTTGTCTGGGTGTGGTACCTTGTGTCTGTAGTCTCAGCTACCCAGGAGGCTGAGATGGGAGGATTACATGAGGCTAGGAGTTCAAGACTGCAGTATGCTATGATTGTATCTGGGCAAGAGAGCAGCAAGACTCTGTCTCTAAAAAAACAAACAGGAATTCAGAATTCCTTTTTGGATCTGCAATTATCTGGATCTGCATATATCTGGATCTGCAATTAAAAACATATATATATATATATATATATTCTCTTTTTGAACTGATCTCTTTATCATTATATAATGACCATTTTTTTCTCTTTTTACAGTTTTGGACTTAAAGCCTGTTTTATCTGCATGTTTTTCTTTTTCATTTGCTTGAAATTTTTTTTTTAATTCCTTTACTTTCAGTTTATATGTGTTTTTACTGGCAAAGTGAATTTCTTGTAGGCAGCATATAGTTGGGCCACTTTTTTTTTTTAAATCCATACAGGCAGTGTGTATGCTTTAAGTGGAGAATTTAATTGGTTTACATTCAAGTTTATTATTGATAGATGAGGGCTTTTTGTTGTTGTTAATTGTTTTCTGGTTGTGTATCCTTTGTTCCTTTCTTCCTCTCTTATTGTTTATCATTGTGTTTTAGTGATTTTCTGTAGTGATAATGTTTGATTTTTTTTTTTATTTCTACTATGTGTATCTGGTCTGCCAGTGAGTTTTATACTTTTTCATTTTTTCATGATGGTGATTATTGCATTTTTGTTTCCACATGCAGGACTCTCCTGAGCATTTCTTGTAAGTTTGGTCTAGTGGTGATGAATTCCCTCAGTTTCTCCTTGTCTAGGAGAGACTTTATTTCTCCATTATTTCTGTAGGATAGCTTTGCTGGGTGTAGTATTTTTGGTAGGCAATTCTTTTCTTTCAAAATTTCAGAACTTTGAAAATATCTATTTTTTACTGGCCTATAAGGTTTTTGCTGAGAAATCTGTTCTTAGTCTAATGGGGATTCCCTTATATGTAACTTGATGCTTTTCTCTTGCTGTTTTTAGAATTGTCTCTGTCTTTCACTTTTTACAATTTGACTTTGTTTGCCTTGGGGAGGACCTTTTTGAGTCTAATCTATTTGAGAACTTTTGAGCTTCTTGGATCTAGATGTCCATATTTCTTCCCAGGCTTGGGAATTTTTCAGGTGTTACTGGTTTTCTATGCCATTTTTATCTCTTCTTAATTGTTCACTTAATGGTGTTCCATAAATCTTATAGGCTTTTTTCACTCTTGTATTCTTTTCCCCCTCAAGTAATTTTAAATGACTTATCTTCACGTTCAGAGATTCCTTTTTCTACTTGATCAAGTCTGCTGTTGAAGCTTTCTGTGGTATTTTTTTGTTTGATTTATTCAGCTGTTTGTTTGGTTCAACTCTTTTGGATTTTTGTTTGGTTCTTTTTCATGATATCTGTCTCTTTGTTGAATTTCTTATGCATAAGAAATTTTCCTGATTCTATTGAATTATATATCTGTATTTTCTTGTATCTAATTGAGTTTCCTTAAAATTCGTCTTTTGAATTTTTTTTCCTGGCAATTTGTTGATTTCCTTTTCATTTGGGTCTGTTACTAGAGAGATACGAAGTTCAAAATCTATATTAGGTTTTTCCAGAGGGACAGAAATGGTAGGATATGTATATATGAAAGGGAGTTTACTGGGGAGAATTGGCTTACATAATTACAAAGGTGACATCCCATGATCGGCCATCTGCAAGCCGGGGGATGAGAAAAGCTAGTACCATGGTTCATTCCAAGTCTAAAACCCTCAAAACCAGAGAAGCTGACAGTACAGTACCCGGTCTGAGACTGAAGGCCTGCAAACCCCCAAGAGTCTTTTGTTACAGGTCCCAAAGCCCAAAGGCCAAAGAACCTGTGTCAAATGTCCAAGGGCAGGAGGAGAAAAGGTGTTCTGCTCTGGGAGGGAGAGAGAGAGAGGAAACCAAGCAAGCTGAATATCACCCTTCTGCCTGCTTTGTTCTAGCTTTACCCACAGTCTGTTGGATAGTGCTCGCCCACAATGATGGCAGATGTTCCTCTTTCATTCACTGACTCACATGTCATTCTCCTCTGGAAAACCCTCACAGACACACCCAGAAACAATGTTCCACCAGCCATCTAGGCATCCCTCAATGCAGTCAAATTGACACCTCGTATTAGCCATCAGTTCATTTTGTCGTGTCATATTTCCTTGCTTTTTCATGTTTCTTATGTCACTGCATTGATATCTGTACATCTTGTGGAATTGTTGTGTCTTCTGAACTTCCTAGATTGGCTTTTGTAGAGAATGATTCACCTGCAGTTGAATCTTAGTGTGCTGGCTGGGAAAGATGTGGTGACTCTGTTTCTGGGTGGGTATAGTGGTATAACTTCCATGCAGCTTCTCTGGTGGTGTTCAACATCAGCAATAACTGTGGCCTAGGCTATAGAAGTTTGTGGTAGCAGCAGTGGTGACATAGGCTGTTAATGTCCTTGGTGGCAAGGCCTTTTGGGCTCCGCCTATTCTCATTTTCTCCACAGTGGGGAGACTTACCCAAGGGGATCCCTCTTGGTGTCATGTCTTTCATGGACTGTGAGTACCAGTAGCAGCGCTGGGTTCCAGGTGCAGGTGCTTGGAGGGGCTGTGGGGCCTGGGTTTCATGAACCTATTATGGCACTTGGGTCTTGGCGTGACATTTTGCTCTCTGTTGTAGGGGTAGATTTAGGTTGCCACAGAGTCAGGATCTGTGACTCTGAGGCACCTTCTAGCAGCTTGGATTCAGGGAGTTGGGTTGTTTACCCCGGGGGAACAGGTCACATCTTGCCTCTGGGGAAGAAAGGGTGCTCCTGAGGTTTGAGCCCAGGGTGCAGGGTATAGCCACTATTTGGGAGTCTGAGCCAGTAGGGCTTAGTAGCAGCCATGTCCCTGGGGATGTAGTACTGTGTAGTGGTTACCTTAGACCCTGTGATGGTGGGGCTTGGCAGTATCCCAGACTCTGTGATCCCAGGTGCAGTGTCAGCAAGTATGTCAGAATGGCCAAATACAGATGTCATTTGGGCCCTTGAGGGTTATGGAGCAGCACAGCAGGGAGTCCACTCCCCATGGAGAAGGGTGTCTCAGCAGCTCAGACTCTAGGGGCTAGTCTAGCTCCAGGGAAGCAAGTTACTAGAGTTGTTTGACCTGTATGGAGGAATGTCTCAGCTCAGCCACTGCTCTGTTTTCCTGGGATGAGGGGTGTTATATCGGCCTAGCCCTAGGCTCTGTAGCTCAGCCAGGGCATCAGTTCCCCAGGAGGTATTGTACTGTTAAGAGAATGAAATGATAAGCCATAGACTGAGAGGAAATATTTGCAAAACACACATCTGATAAAGGACTGGTATTCAAAAGATATAAATAATTCAACAATAAGAAAACAAATAACCTAGTTTTTAAAATGAGCAGAAGATCTGAACAGACACCTTACAAAGAAGATGCAAGAATGGTAAATAAGTATGTCAAAAGATGCTCAGCATCATTATCATTAGGGAAATGCAGAGTAAAACAACAGTGAGATACCACTACATGGCTATGGCGAAATCCTGAAATCTGACACTACCAATTTTTTGTGAGAATACAGAGCAGTGGGAACTCTAATTCATTGATGGTTGCAATTCAAAATGGTACGGCTGCTTTGGAAGAGTCTGGCATTTTCCTGTAAAGCTAAGCTTAATCTTACCATATGATCCATCACTTGTGCTCTTAGATATTTATTTAACTGATTAAAAAACTTATTTCCACACAAAAAATCTTCATACTTATTTTTATAGCAACTTTATTTATAATTGCTCAGAATTGGAAGCAGCTAAGATGTCCTTCCATAGATGAATGGATAAAGAAACTGTGGCACATACGTATAATGAAATACCGTCCAGCAATAAAAAGGAATGAACTATTAAGCCACATGAAGACATGGATGAATCTTAAATACATACCGCTTAGTGAAAGTAGCCAATCTGAAAATATTACATACTGTGTGTTTCCAGTTATATGACATTCTGGAAAATGCAAAACTAGAGACAGTAAATAGATCACTGGTTGTCAGGGTTGAGGCACAGGTGAATAAATGAAACATGGGAGTTTTTTTAGAGCATTGAAATTATTCTGTGTGACACAGTAAAGTTCGATATGTAACACTGTTAAAACCCTTAGAACTTTATAGCAGAAAGAGTGAATCTTTAAAGTATGTATATTTTAAAAAATCATTTAGGAGTTGGGGTGATCCCAGGATGGAATGCAGACTATGACAGGAGAATATAACTGTATTACAGATGTATGAACTTGTGATGTATGAAACAACCTCACTGAAAAGAGTAGGGGGAAAGGTGCTGGCTACCTAACTTTGGAAATAAATAGCAACAATAAGACTAAAGGCAAAAGAAACTGTGTATAACCAGTGAATAAAAGTTTCCCCATGGCATCATGAGTTAACAATTCTGAAACCACTATACGTATATACTGAGGTTGAACAATTAAGTAAATGAATGGCAGATGATGAGAGCTGGATTTCTCGCCGTTGGAGTAAGAAGTTACAGATAAGGGGAGAAGGCTAGAATGATTCATGTGATAATAATGGATTAGAGTTGGAGACATTAGTATGAACTCATGTTTAGACAGCTCTAGATAAAGATGGAATTATATATGTATAAATACAGGCATATGCATATGCATGAGTTAGTGTACAGACACGTAGTCCCTTCTTTTGTCAGCTGAAAGGGCCTAGAAGCAAGGACATCCCAGTAGAAACTGGAATGGGGAGTTATATTCCACCTCCTTGAGGGTAAAGGCACTATATAAAATATTTGGCATTCTTCTGCTAAGGAAACTTATCTGTGTTCCCTTGTTTATTTGTTCGTTCATTTATATTAGTATGTACTCATGGATATTTCCCAGGTACAAGCACACCCATTGCCCAGATCTTGGTTTCTTTTTTTTTTTAATTATACTTTAAGTTTTAGGGTACATGTGCACAAAGTGCAGGTTAGTTACATACGAATACATGTGCCATGCTGGTGTGCTGCACCCATTAACTCATCATTTAGCATTAGGTATATCTCCTAATGCTATCCCTCCCCCCTCCCCCCTCCCCCCGATCTTGGTTTCTAATACAGTCCCCTCCTCCCTTGCTGAAAAGAGGAACTAGGGTCCTTGGAGGCATGGTTGATTTTTAAGAACTGGGGCAGGGAACATGCAGGGTGGATCTGGTGTATCTCATAGGGCCAGAAAGTAGAGGGGTACTCAAAAACAAACAACCCCCACCCCCTCTAGTGATGATATGGGCTGGGGCTATGTCAAGGGGCACAGGAGTCAACTGAGAGTTTCCAGTGGCCAAAGCTGGAACAATTTGAGCAACAAAGTAAAGTATAATGCATTATAACCCTGAGTATAAAAGAAATATCAATGAGTATATACTAGTATAAATGATTGAATAAATAAGGTAGCATAGAGAAGTTTCCTATGCAGAAGAATACCTAGTATTTTATGTAGAGCCTTTACCCTCAAGGAGGTGGAATATAACTCCCCACTCCTTAAGTGTGAGCTGCATGTAATGGCTTCTTGGTGTGGAAAGGGGGAAAAGAGTTATTTTACAGTAGAGAAACTTGGGAAACATCTTAACCAGGTGATCAAGGTCAGCATCAGCAGTGGTAATTCATGTTAATATTATGTACCCTTGATATGATGTGATGAGAATGATGCTTCTGTGATCTTCCTCTCTAAAATCGATAACCTTAGACTAATCATGAGAAAAACATCAGACAAATCATAATTGAGGACTGTTATGCAAATACCTGGATACTACTCCTCAAAACTGTCAAGTTCATCAAAGCAAGGAAACAAGGAAAGTCTGAGAAACTGTCACAGTTTCTTCTTAGAAGAACATAAGGAGACATAACAACTAAATGTAATGTGGTATCCTGGGATGGAAAAAGGACATTGGATAAAAATGAAGGAAGCCTGAAAAAAGTTGGACTTTAGTTAATTTGTCAATATTGTATCAATAAAAATTAATATATATTCATTAATTCTAACAGTCATACCATGCTAATGTAAAGTTTAAGATGAAACTGTGGGGGGGAGGGTACATGTAGTATCTGCAAATCTAAAACTATTATAAAATGGGAAGATTATTTTTTAAAAAAGAAAGCGAATACTCTATACACCAACTAAAAAAAGAGGAAAGCAAGAATGATAATAAAAATGATGACTAATTGAAGATAATACTGTAAATCCTTATCAAAATTAATGATAGTGTGCAGTGGGAGTTTTGCAGTATTGGCACTTATCTGAGGGAAGTCAGACTTCTTAGCAGAAATCAGGGAACTCTGGTAGTGTACTTAGTTTATGAATAGTAACTCACCTGCTAGGTTAGTAGCAAGTACTTCTCAGTTGTTTTTAAAAATTAAATTGTGTTAAAAAATTTAAAATTTTCTATTAATGTATGCAATAAAAATTCTCTGTGCCTGCCACTGGGCTGCAAACCAGCTACTTGTGTTTTGCAGTTGCTTATTCCTCTTTCAAATAAAAATGTATTTCACATGATTTTGAGGGCACCGAATACATCATCCCTATATCATTTCCCCATCCTTCCATTCAGCCACAAAACCCACAAACATGAAAGCAAAACATGAAGCAAGAAGATTTTTGATTGTTCTATAAATACTTATTTTAGTTTAAATTAATCTAATTAATTTATAAATATAAAGGTTAAGAAAGGCAAAGGCTATTTTGTAATTAAAGATTAATTTTATATTAAAATAGGCTCTAACTATTTTTAACAAATATTAGAACAGGAAATTTTATGTAACAGTGTAAACTCTTGAAGTAGAACTGTGGTATTTGTGAATATGGAAGCTTTTCACTCTGATGATGTTAAATTAATGGTTGTAAAATAAGTAGATATTAAAGATAAAAATCATTTTGGAAAATGATTTTTTTAATTCCTTAGACTAGAAAATATTCCAGACGGAAACACCTTTATTACTTTAAATATTAGTTTTCATGACTCATCTTGGTAAGGCAAAGTACTTCAATTCTTTTGAGTTTCTATATTATAATTAACATACAGTAGAATTATTATATTAGTTAGCAATTGTTGTGTAACTAGCTGTCCCCCAAAATTTAGTGATTTAAAAAAACAACCCCTAGTTAGTTTTCATCAGTCAATGAGAAGACTCAGTGGTTCTGTTGTGAACCAAACTTTTCTGGAGAAGGCTTAGCTGATCTCATCACCCACAGACCCATGGGCTGAATTGTGGGTCTGTGATCTGCTGATTGGTTAACAGGGGGCTGCCATGAGCTGGTGAGACAACTTATGTGTGTTCCATTTGGTCTCTCCTCCTCTGGCAAGGTAGCCCACCTTGACTTATTCTCATGGAGATGGTAGAGTTGAGAGAGTGAGAGCGAGAGAGAGAAACTATGCAAGGTGGAGTTGAGAGTGAGAGCAAGAGAGAGAAACTGTGCAAGGTGGAGTTGAGAGTGAGAGCAGGAGAGAGAAACTATGCAAGATCACCTGAGGCCTAGTTTTGGAAGGCATATTGTTGTTTTTGCCACATTCTCTCTCCTTTTTTTTTTTTTTTTTTTTTTGAGATGGAGTCTCACTCATTCTGTCACCCAGGCTGTAGTATGGTGGTGTGATCTTGGCTCACTGTAGCCTCCGCCTCCCAAGTTCAAGTGATTCTCTTGTCTCAGCCTCCTGAGTAGCTGGGATTACAGGCACGCATCACCACACCCAGCCAATTTTTGTATTTTTAGTAGAGATGGGGTTTTGCCATGTTGTCCAGGCTGGTCTTGAGCTCCTGGCCTCAGGCAATCCACCTGCCTCGGCCTCCCAAAAGTGCTGAGATTATAGGTGTGAGCCACTGCGCCCATCCTCCACATTCTCTTCATTAAAACAAGTCAAGGCCAGCTGATATTCAAGGAGTGGGGAAATAAACTCTCTCTTGATGGGAGGAATTACAGTATCACATTGTGAAGAGCATGGATACAGGGAGGAGTGGAGAATTGGGGCCATCTTGCGGTCATTTGGCTAAGTGTAATAGCATTCAGAAGAATCAGCTGCTTCATTCAGATAGATTCTTTTCTGTTCATGTAAAACCAAACAGATAAATTAACTATTGCTTTAGTTATCTTTTTTGTATTTATTGTAATAATATCAATTATGGTAATTTAAGTAGTACTTTTGTTCTAAAAGGGCAAATGTGAATTTTATACAGAAACCCTTTGAATTTGAATTGAACTGAAAGTTAAAGTAGAACTTAAGAATTCCAGGGTTATTTGGTAGCAAGAATATTTTCATTATTAGTCTCTAGTAACACTTGGATTTGTCATCTTTGACTATTACTCTATCAGTTTTGCATCTTTTATTCATTTAATTTACCTAGATTGTAAATCATTGTAATTTTTTCATTGCCTCAATTTGCATGGCACATCATTTAGATTTTTTTTTTAGTGTGGAAAATATGTGCAGATATTGATGTGTGCATTAAGTACCTTTATTATAATACTTGTTACAGAATATACCAAGTTACTCATTTAGAGTAGGGGTTTTTAAAAGAAACCTTTTTATTGAAATATACTCATAATGCATGTTTCAGGATTTTAGAGCTCTTTGAGTTTTAACAAACAGATTGTGACTGTATAACTGAATCCAGATTGAGAAACCAGCATCCAAATTGAGAAATAAAAATTACTAGCATCCCATAAGCTCCCTTCATGGTCTCTTTCTGTCACTGCTTCTTCCAAGAGTAACCAGTATCATTACTTGTGACTCTGTATATTAGTTTTTCATGCTTTTGTTCTTTAACAATTTACATACAGTATGTACTTTTTTGGGGCCTGTCTTCTTTCAGAATAGGTTATTTATTTTTTCATATCTCACAGATAAGTGAGAAACTATAATCACATTTAAATACAGCATTTAATTTGGACACAGATCCTTTTTAAATCTTACTAAAAATGTCAGAATTTGGTACTGGAATGATAGAATCAACCATATATTACCAATAACATTTTAATTCAACATAGGATATAAAAAGCTGTGACTTTTCCTCCTCTTTTCAGAAATAAACCATGATCCTAGTTTCTTGAAGAAAAAAAGGGACATTGGTGTCTGTAATTTTTAAAGTCAGATTTCAAATAAAAAGTACTCTGCATGAAAATGAGTTCACCTATTTTATTTTCATGCCATTGGTACTGTATCACCATTGAAGATTGTCATTGAAGTTTCTTTTAAAAACTAGAAAAGATGACTTAGCAGCATCTTGGATAATGTATTTTGGCATCAGGGTTTCCTTGAGGTTTTCAAGTCGATTGTACCAAGACTTATTAAAAAAAAAAAGATCTTTATGTGTGAGATAGGGTCAATGAAATTGTATTTCTTTGGCACTTAACACGAGACTGAGTTATTTCACTGTACTTTGTCAGGTATCTCTGTGTTCTCCTTTGCACTTGAGAGCAGACAATTTCTTTTTTCTGCATGGTTTTCTCTTCTCTTTTCTCCCTAAGACCCAAAGTAGTCTCATATCAACTCTTTTCTTTTTTTTTTTTTTTTTTTCTGAGACGTAGTTTCACTCTTGTTGCCCAGGCTGGAGTGCAGTGGTGCGATCTCGGCTAACTGCAACCTCTGCCTCCTGGGTTCAAGTGATTTTCCTGCCTTAGCCTTCCAAGTAGCCAGGATTACAGGTGCCTGCCACCATGCCTGCCCAATTTTTTGTATTTTTAGTAGAGACAGGGTTTCACTATGTTGGCCAGGCTTGGTCTCAAACTCCTGACCTCAGGTGATCCGCCCGCCTCAGCCTCCCAAAGTGCTGGGATTATAGGCATGAGCCACCATGCCCGGCCTCATATCAACTCTTAATGGCTTCTGGTACTTTTTTCTTTTGAAATCTTCTTTTCATTTTGACCTACTAGTGTATTTTCCTAGACATTGTGATTTTTGGTTTGATTCTATTCAGGTACTGTTTTTGTTTTTGTTTTTGTTTGCTAATTTCTTTGTGGCATCTTTTTATTTCCATTAATACTAGGCATTACCCAAAGTTCTATTTTAGGTTACTGTCCCTTTTCCTCTCAGTCATTCTTCATAAGTATCAGATGTGTGTATATCTGCATGAATTCTTATTTTAAAATATCTAAACTTGACTTTTTTCTCATTTCTGACGTGTATTTTTACATATTTACTTAGATGTGCCTCCATCTTTTAAACATTTCATAAAGCACTTCTGCTTCCCTGTTCTTCCCAGTCTCTTCCACCTATTTCTTTGTCACCAGTGGCAGCATCACTTATCTTCGTGAATTTAAGTGTCTTTATCTGTAAATAATTATTAACTCAATATTTTATTTTTTGCTATTAGTAACATTATATCACCAGAGGATTACTGCTATTTTTGATGAGTTCTGCTTTATTCATATATAATATGGTCATATCTTTATGATTTCCCTACATTAAAAAACATATTGATAGCTACTATTTCTGAGATATAATCACTAGAATTGAGAGTGAGAAAGAAATAGTTTTTTTCTCTTTTATATTCTAGTAAATACTACCATATTTTCCCAAGAGCTGTCATGTTGTTGTGAATAACCCCTTAGGTGCCTCAAGGAAAATTAAAACAAACATCTCCCTTCTTTCTGTAACATGTTATTTTAAAATATTTCTCTTTTGATACAAATATCTTTGCCTCTATGTTTTCTGTATCTATTTTATATTTGAATGATACAACATTAGAAGTGTATTTAACCATATTTTAGTTTAAATCTTTCATTATTAAAGTCTTTGCATTATTTTATCTGTCTAAATATTTTACTTGAGTAAGGTTATTTTTTCCACAGTTTTATTACTGTATACTTTATTGATATTGAAGCTAAAAATTGTTTGAACTTGATTTTTCTCTCACACTTTCATTGAAGAGAGATTTTCCTCCTAAGGAATTAAAGAGATGTAACTTTTTTCCCTCAGATTCTCCTGAGAATGATATTCCTATGGAGATCACCACGGCAGAACCACAGGTTTCCGAGGCAGTATATGACTGTGTTATTTGTGGACAGAGTGGCCCCTCCTCTGAAGATCGACCTACTGGATTAGTTGTACTGTTACAAGCATCCTCAGGTAAAATCAAAGTAATTTTTTCATGGGAACATTTTAGAGCTGAAGTATATACAACAGATTAATAAATATCTGTATTAAATGAAAATTATATCTTTGTCTACTTATAACTAGGCAAGGGTCAGTTTAGATCCAAATAACAAAGATTCTTTATCGGTTATATCTTATTTTCCTGGACATGAGTGTTAGAAGAAACTCCTAACAGAGATCTTGCTGTATGGTTTCACAATTTTTTTCTTTAAAGTGTGATGGTATATTACCAATGCTAGGTGGCCAATAACTGCGTTCAGCTTTCTTGGTAATTATAATTGTTCTGGCCGGGTGTGGTGCCTTGCATCTGTAATTCCAGCACTTTGGGAGGCTGAGGTGGGCAGATCACCTGAGGTCAGGAATTCAATACTAGCCTACATGGCCAACATGGTGAAACCCCGTCTCTACTAAAAATATAAAATATTGGCCGGTGTGGTGGAGGGCGCCTGTAATCCCAGCTATTTGGGAGCCTGAGGCAGGAGAATCGCTGGAACCTGGGAGGCAGAGGTTGCAGTGAGCTGAGATTGTACCACTGCACTCCAGCCTGGGTGACAGAGCAAGACTCTGTCTCAAAAAAAAAAAAAAAACAAAAAAAAAACAAAAACAATTGTTCTAAAATCTGGGAAACTCCTTAGCCCATAAATATTGTCAGTTTTTAATTACACAAGGCATATTTAGACAGCTCTGCCTTTATTTGTTCAAACAGTCTGTGAATTGGTATGTTTAGCAGTCTATAGTTTTAAACTATATAATTTTATTATAAATTATAAATATAATTTTAAAAGTTTGAAGGATTTGTCTGAATGGTGTCCATTGTCTTCCATAATGAAGTATTTTTGAGGGTAGTGATAATTCTTGTACAATCTAGTCACAATAAATTTAATCCTTTTCCAACAAGAGTATGTGTAAAATAAAGAGAAAAAAAATTCTTACATATTTCTCCAGAGGATTATTTTCTAGGGTGTTAACTCTCTGAATTAGTAGGGTAAAGTGGAAAGAGTTAGATATTAGAAACTCCCCTGAATTCAAATATGGTATTGGTTTACTTACTGTGGCCAAATATGTTTTTTTCTTTTATGTAGAGAGCTCATATTGACTTTAGAGGATTTTTGTATTGGTTAAGCAATGTAATATAAACAAAAAGAATCCAATATGATGCCTAGTAAATTCGTTTCTTCTGTTACTCTTCTTGCCTAAAATGAATTGATTTGGGAAATCTTGATTTAGTGGGACATTGAAGTAGAGCTGTCCAAATCAGAAATGCTTACTGAAAGGGAAATGTGTGGAAGTATTAACTACTTTTACAGCTACTTTTCCTTTTTACTACTCTTAGGAAAGCAGTTTATTAGATTATTGCCAATTGACTTTCAACTTCGTGATTAAATACTATATAGTTATCAATGTAATGATTTGTTTTATTCATTAATTTATTTCATAGATATTTATTGAGCTCCTAGGTGTCAGGCACTGTTCTAGTAAGAGACAAAACAAAATCCCTGCTCCAGTGAAACTTATGTTCTTGTTTTAAGCTTTTATTTGTTCATTATTTTATGTTTTTAAGTTTATTTGGTCTGTTACTTTTTAAAGTCTCTTTTAAACAATTGTATATGCTAGCTAGACCAATAAATATTAAACAATTCCACTATACTGTAGCTGCCTTATCCCTTAGAGATAGAAGGAAAAAAATAAGAAACTAATATTGCCAGGACACAGTGGTTCACGCCTGTAATTCCAGCATTTTGGGAAGCCAAGGTGGGAGGATTGCTTGAGTCTAGGAGTTCAAGACCAGCCTGGGCAACACAGTAAGACCCTGTCTCTACAAAAAGTAAAATTAGACAGGTGTGGTGATGTGCACCTGTGGTCCCAGCTACTCAAGAGGCCAAGGTGGGAGGATTGCCTGAGCCCAAGAGGTCGAGGTTGCAGTGAGCTGAGATTGCACTCTAGCCTGCGTGATAGAGTAAGACCCTATCTTTAAAAAAATTAAAAAAGAAAAAAAGAAACTGACATTAAAGAGTATTAAAACTCAGGAATAATTTTAGTATAATAGGTGAATTCTCTAGCTGTTTCCTTCTTTACCATCTAAGCCTTATCCACCCATTGATACTTTCCCCCTTTTACCCCTTTTTTCTCTGGGCTGCTTTATTTTGATTCATTTCTTCTCTTTTAGATTTGAATATGGAAAATTTTTAACAGTATGCTAAGGAGATGTGCAAAGTGAACCCCCATGTCCCCATCTATCTTCAACAGTGATTAATTTCTGGCTAATTTTATTTCATTTGTTCCCTCCTTATTAGAATTATTTCGAAGCAGATTTTAGACATCATATAATTTCATCTGTAAAAAATTCAGTGTTTCTGTTAAAAAGAAAGGTCTTGTTTTTTAAACATAACCACAGTCAGTCCTAAATAAATTCTTCAGTATCATCAAACATCTAGTCAGTGTTTAAAATTTTCCCATTGTCTCTATTTATTTATTTATTTTGCTTAATTTATTTATAGTTGCAGTATTCCTTTGTGGTCTTTTAATTAATAGATCCACTCTCCCTCTATCTTTACCCCCTCCTCCCATCATTTTACTTTTTTAAAGAAATTGGATCATTGAAAACCAATTTGGATTTTTCAGAATGTTGCTGTGATGTTTAACATATTCCTCTGTTCCCTCTGTTTTCTCTCTGTGAGATTAGTAGGAAGTGATGATTACTGCCTAAATCCATCAGTTGATCAGAGATTACAAATCTCTTTCATGTTTTTTGTTGTTGTTTATTAGCTGACATATACTTCTATAAAAGAAATTTCACTTCATCACCTATTTTTTGTTGCTCTGAGATACAGATTACACAGGAAAGGCAGGGTAGACATAGTATTCTTTCCTTTTATTTACAGGTGCTCAAAATATTGAGATAGTGGGGTTTAAAAATCATTTTCTAAAGATAATTAGTACTTTCAGGTATCATTAGTGAACTGTTTTTAATCATTATGAACTCTATTAATAACTCTATAGTTACTTTCTTGTTGATGCTCGTGTTCTTCCATCTTTGTTCACTGAGAGCTTATTCGAGTTGTCTCCTGAGTTCTTTTGATACAAGGCTAGAGTAGTAAGTAGCCTTGGGTCTTTCTACATTTTTTGGTGTGGCAAGTTACAATAAATTTATCTTACACATTTCCTGCCCTGAAATCAGCAATCTCTCAAAGAAGCATTAGTTCCTTTTTAGTGGGAAATGGTATTTAGAGACAAAAGTCTGGATGCTAGGTGTGCTTATTGTTCTAGATCTTTTTAGTGTTCACTGATACTTTATTGCCATGTTCTTCAAACCATGTATTAAAGAAAAGTCTCATGCTTTTAACTCTTTATTTTTATATTTGATTTATGCTAAATTACAGACTTTTGATTAGGAACCCTTCAAAACACTGCTTAATTAAGGGCCTTTAAGTACATTTATCTACATGGAAAGATATTAATTTATGTGCCATCTCATTATTGCTCAGAATGCCTGTTGTAAACATTACTGATTTGGGGAGCTTCAGTTCTCCATAGGAGAATAATACAATATTATATAGTCTTTTCATTTTACTAAACCCTACAATCTTTGCAAAGATTCAGAAAGTCCAAAGTTGCAAAGATTCAGAAAGAGCAGTTAGTTTTCATAGCACTTCAAAAATATATATAATAAAAGAAAGTAAATCCGGAAAGAACTGTATATCTAGATTTGTAAACCAAATAATAATGTTCTTGTTTGTGGAAGAGTGTAGGCATTGAGATAGAAACACAAAGGGAAGGGGGATGGAGGAGTTTTTGTATATTTCTGAAATGAAGTAGATATTTATTTAAATTTGATTGTTACAAAGTGAAGATGTTAATTCTAATCCCTGGGGTAAACACTATAAAAAAAAGTTATACACACACACACACACACACACACACACACACATAAAAGAAAAGAGAAGGGAATCAAAATTTTATACCAGAAAATTCAATTAATTACAGAAGAAGGCAGTAATCAATTAAAGAAGAAATAGAAAACAAATAGCAAAAAGGAAGAATTAATTTTTTTTTAAAGTTAATAATTACTTAAAATATAAATGCATTAAACTGCCCAGGTAAAAGGCAGAGGTTGACAGAATGAATTTTTAAAAATGTGATGCTACAAGAGATTCACTTTAGATCCAGAGACACAATAAGTTGAAAGTGAAAGGATGGGAAAAGATTCCATGCAAATAGTAACCAAAAGAGAGCTGGGGTGGTTATAGTATGAGACAAAATAAACTGTAAGTTAAGAATTGTTACAAGAGACAAAGAAGGAGATTATATATTGATAAACAGCCAATCCATCATGAAGGTATTATAAACATATATGCTCCAAACAACAGAGCCCCCAATGTAGGAAGCAAAAATGGACAGAATTGAAGGGAGAAATAGATACTTCTAAAATAATAATTGGAGACTTTATAGAACAACTAGACAGAAGATCAGAAAGGAAACTGAATACTTGAGCAACACTGTAAAACAACCAGACCTAACAGACTTATATAGAACACTCCACCCAATAACAGTGGAATATATATTTTTCTCAATGGTATATGGAACATTATCCTAGGTAGACCATATGTTAGGCCACAAAACAAGCCTCAATAACATTTTAAAAGATTGAAATTATTCAAAAAATTGTCTGTGGTCATAATGGAATGAAACTAGCTATGAATAACAAAAGGAAACCTGGGAAATTCACAAGTATGTGGAAATTAAACAACATACTCTTTATTTTATTATTATTATTTTTTTGAGATGGAGTCTCACTCTGTCATGCAGGCTGGAGTGCAGTGGCGTGGTCTCGGCTCACTGCAAGCTCCGTTTCCTGGGTTCACACCATTCTCCTGCCTCAGCTTCCCAAGTAGCTGGGACCACAGGCGCCCGCCACGATGCCTAGCTAATTTTTTGTATTTTTAGTAGAGATGGGGTTTCACTGTGTTAGCCAGGATGGTCTCGATCTCCTGACCTTGTGATCTGCCCACCTCGGCCTCCCAAAGTGTTGGGATTACAGGTGTGAGCCACCGTGCCTGGCCTAAAACAACATACTCTTAAACAACCAATGGGCCAAAGAATAAATTACAAATGAAATTAGAAAACACTTTGAGGTGAAGGAAAATGAAAATGCAACATACCCAAACCTTTAGAATGCAGTGAAAATGGGGAAATTTACAGCTGTAAATGCATACATTAAAAAAGATTCAAATAACTAAAATCAGAAATGAAATTATTGACTTTACTACAGACCTCACGGAAATAGAAAGGATTATAGGAGAATACTATGACCAATTTATGCCAAAAAATTAGATGACGTGGATTAAATGAATGATTTCCTACAAATATACAAACTACCAAATGGACCCAAGAAGTAATAAAAAGTTTGAACATATTAATAACAAAAAGATTGATTCAGTAATTTTTAAAAATCTGACAGTGAAAAGGACTGGACCAGATGGCTTCACTGGTGAATTCTATCAGTCATTTAAAGAATTAACACCAATGCTTCTCAAACTTGTCCAAAAAATAGAGGAGTGAACACTTCCCAACTTATTCAGAGGCTAGCATTCTATGAGGCTAGCTTTGATACCAAAGCCAGATAAACACAGGAAAACAGTAGACCAATATCCCTTATGAGTATACATGCAAAAATTCTCAACAAAATTCTAGCAAACTGAATGCAGCAGCATATTAAGAGGATTATGCATCATGGTAATTATATTTTAGCTGGTAGCATCTACCAGCTTTTGTCTCTTATTTCTGTTGCTGTTATAAATCCTTGCAAAACTTAAGGCCCGCAGTGATAAACCTATTATTCCCTTTTTTAAGAGCAGCTCTTCTGATGCACACATCATGACATTTTATCTGTAAATACTTTAGAATATAACTCCTAAGAACAAGGTTATTCTTTTTTAAAAATTTCTTATATATATTTTGAGACAGAGTCCCTCTCTGTTGCTCAGGCTAGAGTGCAGTGGCACGATCTCAGCTCACTGCAACCCCAGCCTCCCAGGCTCAAGCAATTCTCATGCCTTAGCCTCTTGAGTAGCTGGGATTACAGGTGTGCACCACCATACCCAGCTAAATTTTTTATTTTTATTAGAGATGGGGTTTTGTCATGTTGGCCAGGCCGGTCTTGAACTTCTGGCCTCAAGTAGTCTGTCCACCTTGGCCTCCCAAAGTGCTGGGTTTACAGGCATGAGCTACCACACCCAGCCCAAGGATATTCTTTTACATAATTATGGTACCATTATCATTCCTAAGAAATGTAACATTAGTAACATCAAATACTGTTTATATTCAGATTCTCTCAGTTGTCCCTGCAATATTTTTTGTTTCTTATTTACTTGATAAATAAAAATTGTACATATTTATGGGGTACATAAATGTGATATGATATTTTGACATGTATACATTGTGGAATGATTAAGTCAAGCTAATTAATGTATATACCACTTTACCATTAGGCTGATTAACATATACACATATACACTTATATCATTTTTTGTGGTCAGAGTCAGTAATATTTTTATAGCAGATATTTCTTGATCCACAATCGAATAAAAGATCATGTATTGTTTTTCATTATCATTTCTTGTTAGTCTCCTGTAATTTAGAACAGTTTCTCTAGCCCCTTTTTAAAGTTTCAGAGTCCAAGTTGGTTGTTCCATAGAATATCTCAGAGTCTGGATTTGTGTGATTATTTCCTTGTTACTAGATTGAAGTTAAACAGTTTTGGCAAGGGTATTATACAGGTGATGTTCCTTCCAACAGCATTACATCAGGAGGTTCACTGTGTCAATTTGTCCTATTGTGGGTGGTGCCAACTAAGTTTGATCCCTTGGGTAAGGTAGTAGGTAATCTATAGGATGATACGTTAAGACTCTACTCACCCTTTTACCCTTTTATTTGATTTTCCTTGCCTGGGTCAGTGAACGTATTGTATTATCTATTACTATTATTATTCTTTTTAATATTCAACTTTTCTCAGATTTTACCAGAACTCCAGGTCTTTATAAATCTGCTCCCTCAGTGTTTGAACACTTCCTTGCTCTTTTTAATCACACATCCTTCCGGGCTCACCTTGCACTTTTCCCCAACCCCGGACTCAGCTCTTTCTCCAAGGATCTCTTCTTCCTTTTAGTGAGAAATAGTATATTTAGAAATAAAGTTTGTGAATACTGGAGAGTTATATCATGTAGGCTTTTTCAGTGGACAGATTTAGGAACCCATCCATCCATCCATCTTGAGTTTATAATCATAGTTCAGTGTTAATTTTTTAAAGTAAATATTGGCATATGTGAAGCTTTATTTAGCCTGTAGGAGAAAACTAGAATACCACTTTTTTGAGGGGTCTTTAAAAATATTCTAATAGTGAAATAATTTGAGTTGCTTGTGGTAAATAACTCAGCTTTTCTTGGAGTTACAGGTCTATGGCACTGATTATTTTTGATTAATGAGCTTTTATCTGTTAATGTAGTTTTGGGGCAGTGCCGTGACAATGTTGAGCCAAAAAAGTTGCCGATCAGTGAAGAGGAGCAGATTTACCCTTGGGATACCTGTGCAGCCGTTCATGATGTGAGGCTTTCATTATTACAGCGTTATTTTAAGGATGTAAGTACTCTTTATAAAATAGTACTTTTGTCTGCCAAGTTGATGGTTATTTCCCTCCAGAATTTTACATGTCTTTTACCAAAATGGCATTCTGATGTTAAATTTGAAAGTTTATTAGAAAAAAATTAATATGTGGATAGAAAGAAATGGAAATCTGTTAATAAACATTTCAGGTAATAAATGTGATACCTTTGTTTTAAATGTTGTTTGTTGTGTGATACACACATTCAATTAAGTGGAATGAAGAGTACAGCAGGTCCTTAAATAACGTTGTTTCTTTCAACATTGTTTTGTTATAATGTTGATGAGAAAAAAATAAATTCCCTACTGGGGCCACTGTCAGTGGGGAATTTATGTGTTCTCCCCATGTCTTTATGGGTTTTGTCTGGGTATTCCAGTTCTTCCTACTTCTCAAAGATGTGCTGCACATTAGGTTAATTAGCATGTCTAAATTGTCCTGGTATGAGTCAGTATGGGTGTGGATGTGAGTGTGTCCTGCCATGGGATGGGGTCCTGCCCAGGGTCGATCCCTACCTTGTGCTCTGAGCTGCGGGATAGGCTCCAGCCACTTATGACTGTGAACTGGAATAAGTAGGCTGGAAAATGAATGAAATAATGAAAACATATTAATTTTTTTAATTTATAAATTTATAAAGTATATGATAAAGTAAAAATTTATAAAGTATATGATAATTATACAGCTGCATAATAACGATGTGGTATGAAAGGGCTCAGTGAACCCGCATATTTGTTATTGTTTGTTTTTAAACTGCATGGTAATAGGAAGTGCTCTTTAACGATTTTCACTTTGCAAACATTTATTCCTTAATTTAACCCATCACCACTACTACTGACAGCACTCATTGTTTTGTCAAAAATTGGGTAAATCGTTATCTTGTTTTTATTAAACTTTCTCAAATGTATGCATACTCCGCATTTATTTCAGTGTTTCGTATTAGAAATGTTTTAGGTCTTTAGAAGTTTTGATGATGTTTTTGTAATCAGAAATATACTACAGGAATTTAACTCTTGTTTATATCAATTAACCTGTGGTTAAATTAGTTTTGTTCCACATCATCTGCTTAAAGTCACAGTTTCCAAGAACCTACTGATAACATTAAAGTGAGGACTTAATGTATTAACTCTGTAGAAACTTTTATTATGGTAGGAATGTTGTATGAAGATTTTTGCCTCCCTCTTTTACTTTCATTTAAAGATATATAATAAAATTTCATTATGATACTTTTAAAATGTGAAGTAAGGATGGATTTGATTCATATCTGCTACGACTTCTTACAAACTTAGTAGTTTTTTTTCAGGCTCTGACACTCAGAAGTATCTGAAGGCCTTCAACATAAACTTTAGTAGCAGCAGCATTGTTAACGTCTTTTTAAAATTTCTGTATTCCTTTTGATGTTTCCTGAGTGGATTATCAAATGGGGTTTCCTTTCTCCTGTTGTAGTTTTTTAAATCTACTGTGTCTTGAATTAAATAAATGTAAGATATTAGCTTAAAATATAAAGTAAAACATTATTTTTAGTTAGCTATATAAGATGATTATATGGATAGATTTCCAAATAGAACTTCTTTCTTGCCCATAAATCCATTGGTTGAAGTGGAAGAAATTAGTAAGATAAGTGGAAGACAGAATACATAATCAGAATAAATAGGAACTGACCTAGTGATGATAAGAGCCAGAGTAGAGTCTGGTTCCTTAATATGCTAGGCTGACAAGAAGGTTTCTGGTGGCTTCTGCAGGAGCTGATGGACCTACAGGGAGGTATTGTGTAGAGTAGAAAGAGTCCTAGACCAGAAAAACTGGGGTTTGGTCCTGATTCTGCCATTTCTGAGCAATGTGAGCTTGGCCAAATCCCTTAAGTGGTCTGAGACTCAATTTCCTCATCTGTAAAATAGGGCTGATAATGATCTTTCATGCAGTAATCACCAGGTTAGGGTTCACTCTGCATATAGGTCACTCTGCATATAATACAGGTCAATATAAATGTAAAGTGATGTTTTAAATATTCAAGCTATCCCATTTAGGAAGGCTAGGTTAGGCCTGTTAGACAGTTTGGGTTAGGTAATAAGGGTCATGCTTCCGTATATTTTCAGAGACTTTAAAATGAAATTATGGTTATTTTGTAGCAGTCTCTGTATGTGTGTGTGTATAAATACACGTATGTGTGTACACATATTTTCACACTTTTTTCTTTGTTCTTTATTGCTTTGGACTTTTGTTTTTTTTTTTTTTTTTTTAGATAGAGTCTCACTCCATCGCCAGGCTAGAGTGCAGTGGTGCGATCTCAGCTCACTGCAACCTCTGCCTCCTGGGGCCTGGGTTCAAATGATTCCCCTGCCTCAGCCTTCCGAGTAGCTGGGACTACAGGCGCCCACCACCATGTCCGGCTAATTTTTTATATTTTTAGTAGAGACAGGGTTTCACCATGTTGGCCAGGATGGTCTCGATCTCTTGACCTCGTGATCTGCCCGCCTTGGCCTCCTAAAGTGTTGGGATTACAGGCGTGAGCCACCATGCCCGGCCTGCTTTGGATTTTTTTTTTTACAGGATACATATATTACTTTATTAATCAGAGACCAATAAATATTTTATTTTCAAGGAAAATTGGGAAACAATGCTAAGTTCTGCTTTTGCAGAAATTTACTATTTAGACTTTATTTAGACTTTATTTTTTTGTCATAACGACACAGGATTCTTTTGGTGCCACTTCACTAGGCAGAAACCTCTGTGGCTGGTGGCACCTCTGCCTGGGCTTCACTCGGGCCCACTGGGCTCACTCTACCCAGGCTGGCTGGCAGGCTGCGCTCAACTCGCTCCCCAGCCTGGATCCCGCAACCACTGCAGCTCCAAGCTCTTCCTGTGGTGGGGCCAGGTGTGCTGCAAGCAGCTTCTATGGCTGGGTGCCAGCATTCAAATGAGGGGGATGCAGTGGCACCCGAAAACTCAGAGACACCAGCAACCACAGAGCCCCAAGGGGGTGTCACAGCTTCTGCTTGGGGAGTGCTGAGGTCTGGGCCCCCAGAAGGGTCACAGCTCTTCACTCCCGTAGTCTAGTGAATGGAGGCATGTCACAACTCTTTTCATTTCCGCTACCCACAGCTCTGTGAGCCGGCCAGGAGCATGTTACAGCCCTTTTTGCTCCTGCCATTTGGTGGGTAGGTTCTTGTCCCACAACCAAGAAGAATGAAGTACATGGACACCAGAGAGTGAGCAAGGCAGAGAAGAATTTTATCAAGTGACAGAAAAGATCTCAACAACAAGAGGGGACCTGAAGTGGGTAGCCTTCTGTGTGAGAGGGGGCCTGAAAATGGGTAGCTGCCTTGTGACTGAGTCCATGGTTTTCATGGTCTCAGAATGGGGGAGTGCATGCTGAATGATCCATGTGTGGACCTGATAAAAGCACCATTTGATTTTCAAGGAAGTTCTCACTCCAGTCATGGATTCTACCTGAAACTGCAGCTCGGTTTTCAGGCTTTAAATTGTCTGTGGTTTGGAGGTTGGGTTTCACCAGGGACCTGGCCCTGTCTGTCTAGGAATTTGTCTGTCTCCTGCCACTATCAATAATCCTGGTTTTAATTTTTATCATTTTTAATTAGACCTGGCCCTGTCTGTCTAGGAATTTGTCTGTCTCCTGCCACTATCAATAATCCTGGTTTTAATTTTTATCATTTTTAATTACTTTAGAGTAAACAGGTAAAGATGAATCCCAACACCAAATAGAAAACTTTTTAAAAATTCAATCAAAATAAACCTAGACCTAAGAGCATAATAATTTTGAGGGAAGAGACGATCTAATAAATGGGAGCAAAAAGTTAGGGTATCTCTTTTTTGCAGCCAGAGTAATTATTCATTTCTAGAAAAAAAATCTTTTTTATAAAAAGTCTCCGAGCTGAAATCTGAGTTGGATTATACTCTGTTGTGTTTCTGTTAGTGATTGTGAGATTTTTATTCCTACATCATTACTTTTGTATGCTTTTATAAGACCTGTTTTATGTATATATGGCATTTTCCCTAGACTGCATACCTCTGGAGGTCCAGGGCTATGCCTCATGTTGATTCAGGGGCTAGCACATGCTATGTGTGTTGTAGATGCTTACTGGGTTTCTTCCTGAATTACTCTAAACATAAGAGTACCAGAGTGGTAGCTGGACCAGACTGTATAGAGCAGAAGAATGACTATCAGTGGGCACTGATATTGATTATAGGATTAAACTGTAGATTCTACTGTCTTCAGATTAAATGCATGCATTTTACAGAATTGACATGTAGAATATTAGTTATATAAGACAGTGCATTCACGGTAGAAACTGGAAGTGTAACACATGGGAAATATGACACAACAGAGAGAAGGAACCTGAGCTGTGGAGTCAGACAGACTTGGGTTTGAACTTATAACTTAGTGATCTTGGTAAAGTTATCATTCCTCTCTTGTAAAAAGGGATAACTCCAGCTTCTTTATGAGGTTTTAGTAATTATTGAGGTTGTGACATTTCAGTGTTAGGCACTTAGCACAGTGGTGGATACTTGAGGTCTCCCTAAAATACTAGTCTCACATTATTAAGTGTTATCCTGCATTTTTTGACTGGCAAACTCAAATGTCTAAAAGTTGTGTAGACGAATGACTCATTGTTTCCAGTTTTAAAAGCTAGCCATTTTTATTAAAAATACAGATTAATTGCCTTTTTGTAGTATAGTGCCAAAGAGAGCAGCTGGTTTATTAACGGACTACCAATCATTCTAAAATGATCTAACTCCAAAATCTGCTTCTATTTCAAGCAGCTCCAAAACATAAAACAAAGATGAGCAGGCCTCCTGTTGTTTTTCTGATTTGTAACAGTAGAAGCCTGCTCACCAGCTGTATTTGATTTATGCAGCTTCACATCTTTAAATTGGCTGGGAAGTCATTTTGTACTATGTAATACACAGTACTTTCAACTTTAGATACTCGTGAAGAGTCTTCATTTAATATCGGAACTTTGTTTACTGTCATTTAAAGATCATTGGTCATCTTACATTATAAAAATAAAATTTAAAGATTGATTCAGTTTTTTAAGCATGTAAGTACATGCTTGTTTGATGGCTCTCAAATCTTTCATCATATGTTGCCAGTCCTGTTAGATCTTGTGCCTTCATATTGCTCTGGCCCACCCATCTATTTACTACAGATTGTAGAGAATGAATTAAAGTTTGGGCCCAAATGCTATTTGACAGAGGCCAATTGATGAAAATTCTAAGAAAGAGATTTTAGGAGAATAAGTCTTCAGCCTATTTATAGATTTAGAGGGAGGAATTAGCAATGAAAGCGAAGTTGAAGATGTAAAAGAGAAAGGAAAGATGAAAGAAAGAAACTTTTAAAACAAATTTGGAGCCAGGCACGGTGGCTCATGCCTGTAATCCCAGCACTTTGGGAGGCCGAGACGGGTGGATCACTCCCTGAGGTCGGGAGTTCGAGACCAGCCTGACCAACATGGAGAAACCCTGTCTCTACTAAAAATACAAAATTAGCTGGATGTGGTGGCACATGCCTGTAATCCCAGCTACTTGGAAGGCTGAGGCAGGAGAATCACTTGAACCCGGGAGGCGGAGGTTGTGGTGAGCCGAGATTGCGCCATCGCACTCCAGCCTGGGCAACAAGAGTGAAACTTAATCTCAAAAAAAAAAACCTCAAAAAACAAAACAAAAAAAAAACAAATTTGGAAAGGATATATAGTTTGCTTATATAGTCTGGGTCCCTTCTTTATTGTATATTATATTAAGACCTTGTAAATATTAAGGCATGTTTTTGGGTTATTCTTGTGACTAGATTTGTACTTTATAAAGCTGTATGGAGGTTACATCATGGAGAGAACAAATTTGAGTTAAGGAGACGAGTTAAGAAACTGTTTAAGAACCACTTCTCCCACTCCGTGGGATATAGACTTGAATATTATGTACTGGAAATGAAGAGGAAAGACCAAAATCATGAATTATTTAGGAGACAGAATCCATATGATTTGGGAACTGATATTGTGGTATGAAGGTAAGAGTGTGATATAGAATGACTCTTGGCTTTCTGACTTGGTGACTAAATAGATTGTGGAGTTATTGAACCAAGAGGAGGGAGATGATTCATGGAGAAGATAACAATTTACGTTTTTGGCACATTGATTTTATATTGTCTGTGGGACATTAAACTGGAGATTTCTGAGTGGCATGAGTACTTGTATCTAATGGTCAGGCAAGAGATCTAAGTTTGCAGGGTAGTCAAAATTACTGCTTAAATCACTAGGAAAAATAGTTTTAATGAGAAGAGACTTGCACTGAGAATAGAACCTTGAGGATTAGAGGAATAGACATTGAAGGGGTAAGCAAAGAAAAAAAGATCCTTAGAAGGAAGGCTGAGAAAAACAGTTAAAGAGGCAGGAACGAAACCGAGAGAGTAGCATTAAACCAGAGGAAAGTAGGCGTTTCAAGAAGTAAGTTGTTAATGTCAGAAATCATAGAGAGATTCAGTACCATACTTTATCTCAGCAACAGTATAGTTCATACTGAACTATAGTGTAATATTGAGAGCATATATTTTATGGAGCGGACAAAGGCTAGTTCATAATATTTATTCTCTTTCATTATGAGTATAGAAGTTTGGGAGCTACAACTTCATGGTATTCCAATTTTAAAGATAGTGCCTGAAGACTATCTAGTCAGGCATTAATTGATATCACAAGAATAGAAACTCCACATTAATATAAAAATAGGAAATCATGCAGAGGTTTATGTGGACATACTAATATTTAAATATGTTTGTACTTCTTTAAAATTAATTGTATTTGTCTTCTTTTTATTTTGAAGAGTTCATGTCTCTTGGCAGTATCAATTGGCTGGGAAGGAGGTGTTTATGTACAAACCTGTGGTCACACATTACATATAGATTGTCATAAATCTTACATGGAATCATTACGGGTAAGTTGATTGCAAAAATTTTTTAAAGGTGCATGTATCTTTCCAGGTATTAAATCTTTTTATAGTATATACATCCCAATTCCAGCTCATCTTTTTAGGTGATTTTGATCATCGTATAAACTATCCAGTCTCACTTTAACACAGACCTGTTCAACTTCAAGGATTTTCATTTTTTAATTTCAGTTTCATTTTAGCAACTAGCCAGACGCAGTGGTTCATGCCTGTAATCCCAGCACTGTGGGAGGCCGAGATGGGCAGATCACTTGAGGTCAGGAGTTCGAGACCAGCCTGGCCAACGTGGCCACCTGGCCAACCTGGCAAAACCCTGTCTCTACTAAAAATACAAAAATTAGCCGAGCATGGTGGTGTGCACCTGTAATCCCAGCTACTTGGGAGGCTGAGGCAGGAGAATCACTTGACTCTGTGAGGCAGAGGTTGCAGTGAGCTGAGGTTGCACCACTGCACTCCAGCCTGGGCAACAGAGAGAGACTCCATCTCAAAAAAAAAAAAAAAAAAAAAAAAAAAAAAGAAAGAAAAATTTTTTTCACTTTAGCAACTGACTTTCATGGCTGCACTTTAGACTTTGCTACTCTCTCTGAAATATTAAGCTTTAATATCCTACCATGTCACCTTATGATTCTCACATAAGTTCTCTTGTCTTCACTCTCATTATTGTGATTTGCCTCTGACATCAAGATCTATAGTCCTTTAACCCTTTGAATTTTTTCCTAGTGTATTAGCTCTTTGCTATCCTCACTTTCTTGTACTATACCCATTCTATTCTTGTCAATCTCATTTAATCAGCCTCCTTTGATTTTAGACCCAGTCAGCTATCCCAGCTTGAAAAGTCATAAAACTAGGTTAATGATTATTATCACAAACTTGTGGCTTCCTATAACAGTGGCTTAGACTAGGGTTATGGGCTATAAATACTGCCTATTAATTCATTTACCTGTCTTTGATCAGTTCCCTCTCCCATTTTCCTCAGCAGCTATTCCAAACCTTTGCCTCCCCAAGATTCATTTCCTCTTAACAGATTCTGTCTCTTCCTTTGTCATTAAGAAAACAGCGTCTGTTGTCACATTCCCTTAGATTCCTATCTTGCTTTTCTGTTCCCTGATAAATGAGTCCAACATCCCAGCCAGTCTTTTCTTTGCTACTCTTTGAGGTAGTACTGTAGCCCTTCTTCTGTTCAGGAATAACTTTTCTGCCTGAGCTCTGGTAGACCTTTCTCCCCAACACCTCAGGGGCCTTAATTCATCAGTAGGTAACTTCTTTTTCTTCTGTATTTTCAGTTTTTCTGCCTCTTCTGCCCCTTCTCAGCTCATCAGGAGCTGAGTTCAAACCTCTCCCATTCAGAATCCTTCCCTGGATGTTACATTTTCTTATTTTCCTATAGCTGAAGACTTCTCTTTCTCCTTCAGTGTAACTTTTATTTTATTTATTTATTTATTTTTGAGATAGGGTCTCACTCTGTTTCCCAGGATGGAGTGCAGTGGCTCGATCATAGCTCACTGAAGCCTTACGCTCCTGAGTTCAAGCAGCACAACTTCTTAAAAGCAACTTCTTAAATACAGGTCTACTATATTCTCATGTTCCTAACTCAGAAGCAGTAGATATCTCTTTTTTCCTTCCTATTCCTCACCTCTCACTTTCAGTCCCTTACCAAAATTCTATTGATTCTGCCTTCTAAATCTCACTTGACTATATTCTACCTTCATTAATCCCACTGCTACTTTTTTGTGTATGCCTTCCTCACTCATCTTGATTATAGGAATTGCTTTCTTACTGATTTCCTTATTCCAGGTGTAACTTATTTACTACATTGAGCTTTCTAAAATTTAAATCAACAATACGTGTTGTTGGCTTAAAATCTCTTGCTGTCTTCCTCCTGATAGGATAAAGTTCACTATTCTCTGAATGGCATTCAGGTACTCCAGGATCTGGTCTTGCCCATTGCTTTAGTGTTGTCTTCCATCAGTTCAACATTAATAAGCTAATTACTAGTTCCTTAAACACATTATGCATTTTTCATATCCCTGTATTCAACTATTCCTTCAGCAATATTTATTCAGTATCTACAGTGTTCCAGATACTATGATAATCATTGTGGATACAATGGTACATAAGGCACAGTTCCTTCCCTCAATGAGTTTACTATGTATTACGTAAGAGAGACAAGCAAACAGTTACAGTACGCATGCTAAATGTTAGGTATACACAGAGTCTTTTTTTTTTCCCCTCCGAGATGGAGTCTCACTCTGTGCCCAGGCTGGAGTGCAGTGGCGCGATCTCGGCTCACTGCAAGCTCCGCCTTCCAGGTTCACGCCGTTCTCCTGCCTCAGCCTCCCGAGTGGCTGGGACTACAGGCGCCCGCCACCACGCCCGGCTAATTTTTTGTATTTTTAGCAGAGACGGGGTTTCACCATGTTAGCCAGGATGGTCTCGATCTCCTGACCTCGTGATCCATCCGCCTCAGCCTCCCAAAGTGCTAGGATTACAGGCGTGAGCCACTGTGCCTGGCCATCTGCCAGGTTCCAGAACATTTTGATGAAGTAAGGTGCTTGAGTGATGAGAGATTAGACAGGATAAGTAGTTAAGGTTTACATTGTAAGGGGCCTTCTGGTCCATTTAAAGAATTTGGACTTTATGTAGATTCCTTAGAGAAAGCCATTAAAGACTCTTAAGCAGAAATATAAAATGTCCAGAAGAGTCATTGTGACAGTTGTGGAGAAAGGGAATTGCAGAAAAGTAAGAAAAAATGTGGTGGGGGCTTGGACTTACTCATGTCTATGAAAATGGAGAGGAGAATATAGATTTGAAATATATTTAGAAGGACAATCTTCTGGAGCATGAGGGGGAAGAAGGAATCAACGTGATAGGTGATGATGACACTGAAAGATTTTGATTGGAAATAACAAAGTCTCACATTAGACATTAGACACTAGATACATTAGGTCATGTAGTGGTATGTTTGGGAGACTACTTAGGAGAGAGATGAGTAAAGGTGATAGAAGAAAGTAGCTGGAAGGATTGATGGGGTTAATTAATTATATATTTGTGATGGGAGAGGGCAGGATGCTGAAGGAGTTGCCATGAGTCTCTTCTGTCTGAGATATGAGGTATAACCTCATGCTCCTAGAGTAAAGGGGGCAGGGGTGGGGAAGGTGAGTGACTTGGCAGGTGAGGAGGTGGTTTGAAAAACCACTTTGGGGGCCAGGTACGGTGGCTCATGCCTATAATTTCAGCACTTTGGGAGGCTGAGGTGGGTGGATCACCTGAGGTCAGGAGTTCGAGACCAGCCTGGCCAACATGGCGAAACCCCATCTATACTAAAAACACAAAAATTAGCTGGGTGTGGTGGCGAGTGCCTGTAATCCCACCTACTCGGGAGGCTGAGGCAGGAGAATTGCTTAAACCCGGGAGGTGGAGGTTGCAGTGAACTGAGATTGTGCTATTGCACTCCAGCCTGGGCAACAAAAGCAAAACTCCATCTCAAAACAAACAAACAAAAAGAAAGAGAACAAGGCTGGGCATGGTGGCTCATGCCTGTAATCCCAGCACTTTGGGAGGCCGAGGCGGATGGATCACGAGGTCAGGAGATCGAGACCATCCTGGCTAACACAGTGAAACCCCGTCTCTACCAAAAATACACAAAAATTAGCCGGGCGCTGTGGCGGGTGCCTGTAGTCCCAGCTACTCAGGAGGCTGAGGCAGGAGAATGGCATGAACCCTGGAGGCGGAGTTTGCAGTCAGCTGAGATCGCGCCACTGCACTCCAGTCTGGGCAATAGAGCAAGGCTCCGTCTCAAACAAAACAAAACAAAAAAACCGGGAAAACCACTTTGGGATTGGATGAGAGAGTGCTTCCTAGGATGTAGAGAAAGAGTGCCAGGCAGTATTCAAGGACAAAGTTGAGGTTGGAAACAGTTTGTAGCAAGAAGGCATTTTATTTTTCTCTGACAACACTCAGTTTGAGTGCAGAATTGGAGACGGCATACATTGGATTAATTTAATATGAAGGCTTTGTTTGGTGTGAATGATGAAAGGACACATAGAGGGCGAGTGGGAAATGTTGCCATGAGTTTTTGAAGTGGTAGACAATGGTGTGCAGATAGGATAAGAAAAACCTGATGAACTGGGAGAAAAAGAAGGGAGTAAAGGAGGTGGAAGTTGGTAGTCAGAATATAAGATGTTTAAATTTAATATTTTCAGATCACGAGTAATTTTGAGTTATTACAGGACAAGGATGTTGTTATGGTAACAGGTGCTGGAGTAGAGTGGAGGCCAAAACTATAGGAGCTGATGAGGTTAAGGAGCTGAAGGACTAAGGTATAAGATTGGTTGTATACATATATAGTGAAACTGCATAGGAAGATGCAGGACTTGGAGTGATGAGGAAAACATATCGAGGTACCAAAGTCTTCAGTGGTTGCAGGCAGTAGGTGGCAGTGAAAAGGAAGGAAAAGGATAGTATTGCTAAATGACATGAGCCACAAAGACAAGGGAATGCAGGAGTAATGATCTGGGGCCAGCACCAGAGGGTGCTGAGATGTGAGAGATGTAGGAGGGTGAGTTGAGAGGGTTTCTGGGGGTGCTTCAGGAGAGAACCCAGCTTCAGTTACAGCAAAAAAGAGTATCTAGCATTCTTTGGAATTAAGGCTGTCAAGAAGCTTATCACAGAATGTTCTTCTGTGACCAGGACCCTTGCCCCAATTTTTTAGCACACTTTTTTGTGTATTTTTAAAACTTAGCTCACAAATCTTCTTCTCTGGAAAGGCTTCTCTGTTGTGGCATTTATCACACTAAATTTATTTGCCTGATTTTGCTTTTAAATCGTGAGTACCTTAAGAAGGAAAAATGTATCTTAACTCTTTATGCTATCACCTTGCACAGCATTTATCACATAGTAGGAGCTTAGTAAATGTTTGTAGAATTGGATTTAGGAAGATATGTTGTTACATTTTTAAGGACTTAAAAAGTTAATGTCAAAAAGTGAAAAATAGAATTCATAGTTCTCTTAGTCAAAGTACTTGAGATGCAAGATATAATGAAATGAGCACTAACTCAGTTGTCCAATCAGTTGTATTTAGCAGTTAGACCCCTTAGAAGTCACTTTTTTTGAGGCTTATTTACTCTTAAAAGCTATTTATCCTAGATCAAAGAACATGAGCATTGGGATAATCTTCCCAGTAGTCAGTTACAGATTATGAAAACAGGGGTATGGGGTAAGAGGAGGGCAACCCACTTTAATGTGGCCTGTTTTTTGAATTATTCTTTATCTTAAATCCACATTTCAGATTAATTGCACCATCACTTGAAAGTTTCATATTGAGAGAAGAGTAAGATACTTAAACAGTGTATTGGTGAGGGCAAGTGTTACGTAATTGCTATGATGTAAGAAGTGATTTGGTGAACTTTAACAGTTAAATGAAGGATTTTGTTTATTTCTTTATGACATATATTAGAGATGTCTTTTTTCTATGGTTTATTAATTTACTATAAAATGGGTGGTATAATTTTTGTTTTCTATGAATGTGTATATCACGCATCTGTATGTTTATTTCGTCTTTTAGAATGACCAGGTTCTTCAGGGCTTCTCGGTGGACAAAGGAGAATTCACGTGTCCACTCTGTAGGCAGTTTGCTAACAGTGTTCTTCCATGTTATCCTGGAAGCAATGTGGAAAATAACCCTTGGCAACGTCCTAGCAACAAAAGCATACAAGATCTCATAAAGGAAGTGGAGGAGCTGCAGGGACGACCGGGAGCTTTCCCAGTAAGCATCAGTGTAAGGCATAAATATCCTGGTTAACTCAGCTCTGATTTTCTGCTTTCATTTTAATTCAGTTTATAAATTACTCTGGACTTTTACATATTTAGTAGAAATTGCTTTTAGAGGTTTTGTTCTCTTCTATTTATACTTAAATAAAAGTAATAGAACAAATTATTATCAAAGGCTATACTTCTCTTTAGGCTAAATTCTGAGTTTTAATATACGTCTTCTAGGTCAAGAACCCCTATAGGTTTAGATGGAGTTAGCCTCTTTTAAGATGTTCAAATAGGCCAGGCACGGTGGCTCACACCTGTAATCCCAGCACTTTGGGAGGCTGAGGTGGACAGATAACTTAAGGTCAGGAGTTTGAGACCAGCCTGGCCAACATGGCAAAACCCCGTCTCTACTAAAAATACAAAAATTAGCCAGGCGTGGTGGCGCTGAGACAGACAGATCACTTAAGGTCAGGAGTTTGAAACCAGCCTGACCAACATGGCAAAACCGCATCTCTACTAAAAATACAAAAATTGGCCGGGCACAGTGGCACACACATGTAATCCCAGCTACACGGGAGGCTGAGGCAGGAGAATTGCTTAAACCCAGGAGCCGGAGGTTGCAGGGAGCTGGGATCGTGCCACTCCACTCCAGTCTAGGCAGCAGAGCGAGACTCCCTCTCAAAATAAAAAAGATGTTGAATTATTTAAAAAACAAGCTATATATACTCTGTGTGTGTGTGTGTGTGTATGTATCTCAATATAAAACACAATTTAATCACTTAAAAATATGCCCATTAGGTATATTAGGATTAAGAAGATATATTTACACAGACATGCACATGTATTTACTGTGTGTATGTGTATTCGAGAGATAAAATATTGTGTAATTGATTGAACTGTTCATCACAAGTCAGACTACTGTAGGGGGGAACTCATCTTTTATCCCATCCAGTAGGATTTGTTTGGTCTAAATTCTTAAAATATTTCACCTTCATAAAAAAAAATTTCACCTTCATTATAGATTTGTGATATGGTCTCTGAGAGAAGTGACAGCTGTGTCTGGTTTATGTAGTAAATTTGTGAAAATTGTGAATATTTGACTTTTGAAACAGAAATGCATACTTTAAACCTAGATAGATTCATCTGGCAATTCCCTTTCTCAAGCGAAGACTAATTTTAGAATTTGTGGTCTTTTTAAAATTTTATAAATCCAAATTCTTATGTGTTTAAAATATGCTTAAACTTACGGGACATTGATATTATTCTTTGAAAAATGAACTTAAATGAAAGTCAGGTTTTTTATAGACATGGAAACTTTGTTCTAACATATTATTTTAATACCATCATCTCATTGGCTTAGCATAATTTATGTGGTTAATTCATAGTTGGATTACAGTGTTACCAGTCACAATGTAGAATTAGAATAAAAGATCACTGTTTAGAGAGTATTTTTTGATTGGTTTAACTTTGTACACTAAATATATTTATAATAGATAATGTTCTGTTTTGACTTTTTAATTTTAATTTCCTACTATGTTCATATAATAAACATTCTAGTTTCAGACCATTATTAAAGAAAGTGAATATAAACTTTATATGTATGTTTGCATTTTTTTATAGTCAGAAACAAATTTAAGTAAAGAAATGGAATCTGTAATGAAAGATATAAAAAATACCACTCAGAAGAAATATAGAGACTATAGCAAGACCCCGGGCTCACCAGACAATGATTTTCTCTTTATGTACTCTGTTGCTAGGTAGGTATATATAGTGTATACTTTTTAGTTTACTTACTATTAATAGTTGATTTTATTATTTAATAAATATTTGTTTTATTTATTTAAAGGATGCATATTTTTAATATCAGTTGAAATTATGGCTAGTTTTAGTGCCTGCTAGGATAACTATAACTGTGCAGCTTTATTTCCTGAAGAGGTTTTATTTTAATGAAATATTTGCATAAATGTTACTAAACATTATAGTACATGGGGGAAAGTATGTTACTAACATTTTGGGGCAGATATGTACCTCGAACATGTGAGTATTATCTATGAGACCTGTCAAAAAGTGATAATACTGAGAACTAAAACGTTGTAATATGTTAAACACTTTGATTTATGGAAAAATAAGAACAGTAAGAAATAGAAGAACTTTGTTTTAAATAGAAACCGAAAAGATCTAGTGATAACCTAAAAGACAGGAGTTTAGAAGAATCAGATAAGGGAGAGGAAGCAAGGGATCAGGCATGTTCTAAACCTCAATTTGTAGTGAGTAAGGGGCTCAAGAAAGCTGTTAGAAGTGAATGTTTCTCATCTTTCAGATTAGGAAGGATTAGTCTAATTGTATGCAATACAGAAGCAGTAGTTCTAAATAGGAATTTTGGAAAACTTGAGTGAAAATGCAGAACCATAAAAGCAGTAAATAGAGGAAAAACAGACACAACTAAGAACTTGTAAATGCATTCTGCCAAAACTGACTCTGTACATCCTTGAATATCTTTGGAAGCATACTTTATATTTTATCTAAGTAGTATTGTAATAGGTAAGATTTAGAGAGGTAATGTGACTTGAGGTCAATACAGCAAGTCTGTGGCAGAGTAGGATCTCTTGAGTCAAGGTTTACTGTTTTTTTCAATTGCTATCTTCCTTTTTCCTCTCCTATGTTTAGCTTTTATAGGTTCTATTATGTATATAGTTGATCATGGCTATTCTCTCTGGTCCACTCCTGGAACAGAGGGTAACAAAAGAGTAAATGAACTATACATAGCCTTTGGAACCCAGGAGAAATGGAACCAGATTTAGAATAATTGCAGCAAGCAAATTAGAGCTCAAGATAAGGAACATTAGTTGGTCTGAGAATGCAAATACTGGACATGGGTTGATGTAAAAGGATTTAATGGATTGGAAAGTAACTTTGTAGTCTATATATTCCTAGCCTCTTGTTTATCTAGAATGTTTTTGGGGAAGACATAACATTTAGTATTTTGTTTCTGGAGAGTTACTAGTTACTACATTCTTGCAATAAAAGACACTATGTGAAAACAAAACAATATAATTTAACTTTGCCAGGGTGCCAAGGTTTTACAGAACTTCCATATGATATTGTGATTATAACATTGTAGACGATTGGGTTGAATATGGATCAACTCAGTTCTGTTATACATATTTATACACAATCACAGACCTACACACATTTATGTTGCTCATTTATTTATGCCTTTAATTTTATTAGAGTTGACCTTTTAAGAAAATCTTTATTGAATGGGAATAATCTGTCATTGGAATTTTCCTGTAGTATGATAAATCAAACAATTTGATTTAAATATAATTTAGTGGAAGTTTTAGATCCTTATTTCTTGGTTTAAGTTTGTAAGTAACTTACAGAAAAAAGCTTGCAGTGATAGTGGGAGACCTTCTGGATCAAGACATTTTGGTTTCTCTATTTTTTAGAGAAGCAGGGACAGATGTCGAATGCTTTACTAAGGTGTAAACGGAGAAACAGAGAAAATATACTTCCCCCATCCTTTTCTGAAACTTAATAAATTCTAAAGCAGCAAAACAATAATTCTGAAAATGAGTGTATATAACACTTTAAAACTTTATTATCTTTTGCTTGGAATTCCCCAAAATATTGCAAAGCTCTTCCAGTGAGGCGGCATTCCTTCTCTAAGTTTTACTTAGTCATTACAAAGAAAACAAAGGCTGGGCATGGTGGCTCACACCATAATCTCAGAACTTGAGAGACCAAGGCAGGAGGATTGCTTGAGACCAGGAGTTTGAGACCCGCCTGGACAACATAGTAAAACCCTATCTCTATGAAAAATAAAAAAAAATTAGCTAGGTTTGGTGGCACACATCTGTAGTCCCAGCTACTTGGGAGGCTGAGATGGGAGGATCCCTTGAGCTACAAGAAATGAGAGGTCAAGGCTATAGTGAGCTGTGATTGAGCGACTGCACTTCAGCTTGGGCAACAGAGCAAAACCCTGTCTAAAGAAATAAAAAATAAGATAAACAAATTGACTCAGAAATTAACAACATATATTGAAGGAAAAAAGTATGTTGTATTTAAATACATTGTAATTTTCTCAAAACAGGAAACCAGGCCTTTTATGCATAACATATAACTTATTTATGCATAACATATAACATTCCTAAAAGGTGAACATTAAAATATTTAGCAATATTTAAATATTTAAGTAGAATATTTAGCAATAAACTTACTTTGAATTAAGTTTTGAATTAAATGTAGTGATTTTTAAATGTATAATTCATTAGAACTTGCACATTTATTTGTATTTAGTATTAGTAACGTGAGTGGAATACAACCCTCATTTCTTAGAGCTGGATTTCTCCCTGCTGAATAAGTAATTTTGTTTGCTCTTCAGAGGGTTTGAATTTTGGATATTTAGAAACAAAGTATTTCTGGTGAGTTTTACAGCTTTTCTTTTTTTTTTTTTTTTTGTAAGACAGTACATGTCTTTTGGTTTTAAATTTTATTTGCATGGTGAAGCCTTGGAGAATTTTCTGAGGGTATCAGAGAAGAAACTGTTGGAAAATCCATTCAAATTTAAAATGATCTAAAAATTAATCAAAATCATTACATTCAAGTTTCAATATATTTCCAAAATTTTCATTTTATTACACATGTCAGTCATCTATACAGATAATGGAAACCAAATTGGGGGGAAGAAGGTTTTCTTTTTTCAATACCAATCATTATTTTGTTCTTGAAACAATGAATGACATGAATTTCAGTAACTGATTTTTCCAAGGATTTTTGGACTCAAGTTTCATATAGTCTAGAGATACTGGTGAGTAGCAGGTGGTTTGTATAGAGAAAAATGGAAAGAAAATGAAACATAAGTAACTGCAATGTAGGTGGAGAGACATCTTTAAATGGTGGGTACTCAATAGAGTGAATGTACCTTCATAGGTTACTTTGTAAACTAATCATGTTCAAAATAAAAGGGACGCTTGCTAAATACCAAATTATGAATCTTTTTAAAAAAACAAAAAATTCTTTCCTAAAACAATCCTTTTTTGGGGCTTGGTGGGGTCAATACTGGGTTTAAGGGAATGGAAGAGTTAGGAAAAGAAAGAAAATAAACTGCAAGGGCTAAAGAGAATCTTATAATTGGTTACATATCAAAAGAAAGATGTTGTCAGTTCCCATTTTTTTTCTTTTTAAGCATCTTATCAGGTACCCTGGGGATTTAGAAGCTATATTTGAAATAGTCCCTGTTCTCCATGAATTTACAGTTTAGTTGGAGAGATGGAACTAATATAACATCAATCTATATAACAGAATATAATTTGTTTTTAAAAATATCATATAGAGAAAGCACTGTAGAACTTCTAAAGGGAAGATGAGCAAATTGAAATATAAAATATGTGTAAGTCCTTCTTTCTGTCCCAGGAAAGCTTCCTGGAGAAGTTAAAAGTTGAATTGCCTCTTGTATAATATAGGCTGTGGTATGGATGAAGATACTGGTTTTTTTTTTTTTTTCCCCCTGAGAAATTGAGTAACTTGCTCAACTACTGAGTGGTAGACTCAGGCCTTGAACCTAGATCTCTTTCCAGAAGCTTTGCCCTTTTCACCAAACCAACGTGTGTTTGAGAATGTGGGGTGTGTAGTGTGTGTACACACGTTTGCTTTTCAAATTATAGTCTAAAATAGAAGTTAGTGTTGAATGGGGGGATTGAGAGGACAGCATACTTTGGTCATGCAAAAAGAAGCTGGAGCATAGTTAGAGGGGTTTTTAATGTGCACATCTAGGTGGCCACTAGGGTAGGCTTTAAACAGTCTTTCTCATCATTCTTTCAAATGTAGAGATTTTCGCCTCTTTTTTTTCTTCCAAACTAATTTGAATGTATTTGTGTTAGAAAATATAGAAAAGAGTCTGCTTTTCTTTGACAGCAAAAAGCTCGGAAAACTTCCACTCCCAGCATATCTTTATTTTTGCATCATTCATTGAGGAGGAAAGAAACATAATATTGCTGTGTGATTTTCAGCAGTCGGACATGGGACATATGACCCATTTGTGTGTTCTTTAGCATGTCTCAAAGGACCAATTTTGACATATATGAAACAAAGAAAAGTTGGTATTTAGAGCCATATTGATTTTTAAAATCCTAGATATTGCTGGATACAGTGGTGTGCGCCTATTCCTGGATACTTGGGAGGCTGAGGCAGGAGGATTGCTTGAGCACAGGAGTTCAAGTGCAACCTGGGCAACACAGCAAGACTTCATCTCTCAAAAAAAATTTTTAAGAAATGTAAAATCCTAGATATTATTACACATTAATCCTTTGGATAGGTAGTTTTTGATTTTTAATTCAGAAAGAATATTGCATAGGAGATCTTCCAGTCATAATCTGGAATAATTAATTAGATTTTACTAGTTTTTTTCGAGAATTCTTTACAATGAAATTCTTAGTAATATGTTTGTCATCCGTTATATTTGGGGATTGAGAAAACAGAATTGTTCTTATATTTATATTTTAATAAATATTTTTGCAAATATGGTGAAATGTTGACATTCTGGTTTTGACATTCATTTGTAAGTATTGTTTGTGTTTCTGGTTAGCTCTCTTAAAAGTACTATCTAGGAAATCTTAGTTTTTATAAGAGAATATAGCCATTAATTTTTTTCTACAGATTAGGCAACAGAAGATTTGTGAAAACAAAATGTATTGATCTCATTTATATTCCCTTGATGAAGGAACACATGCTGGTCTCCGCTCGCTTTCTGTCCACTAGTATGAAATCCTTGTCCCTGCTTCCTTGCTGGTAGGTTTTTAGAAGTTCAGTGAGCAATGCAAATCGCCTGAAGGGTGGAAAATTCCCTTGTCACACAGATGCCCTTATCAGCAGCAACCAGATGGAGCTCTGAGCTGGAACGTTATCGGTGTTAAATTGCTTTTTCTCCCACCCTGAGTAGAGAGGATTAAAGCATTCCTTTAGAAATGGGTGGCAAATGTACAGACTTAGGAATATTAATATTCTTTAACAATTTGCATTTATAAGTAAATACATGGAAATATAATCTCCAAAAAAGTCCATGTTCAAAATTCAGCCAAATCAGTGCAAAATGTTTTGTTTTAAATAAAATAGGATAATAGTCTTTCATGAATTCACTTGCAAAGAGTAAGCTTGAAACTGTTTTTTTTTCTTTTTTTTTTTTTTAAGTGGGAGACAGTATCTCACTATTAGGGTCAAATGCATATTAGGGTCAGTTTTGGTTGTAGAAAATAAAGGTATGTCTAAGTGTATTCATACTGTTGAAGAAAAATACAATTTAAATTATTTCTCAGAGTTGTCATTTATTTTGGCATAATTAATTGGTTCTTTTACTGTTACTGTTTTTGGGTAAATCCTTAGATTCTGCATTAGTTTGATTTTTGAAATGTTGATTTATTAAATATTGCTATTTTGTAAGCTAATAATTGCTAAATACCTTGCAATTTCAGGTCTGTATGAACAGTATTGATGGTTAGCCATATCAGTAGTTACACAGTGTATTTTAATGAAACTAGTTTTAGAAGTCCGTAAGAGAGACTGCTGTTAAATTATATGTGTTGTTCATAGCCATTTCTATATTAGTGATTTTGTTTCTTAATATTGATTTCCAGATACCATCTAACCTCCAATGAATGATAACCATTTCTCTGATAGAAAAATTGGTATGCCTTTGTGTTTTATATGGCAATAACCACCTACACAGTGGCTGACGTTGGAGTAAAAATTCTTTCTTCATATTCATATGCAGGTTTATGAAATATGTTGCAGTTTTTTTTTTTTTCTTAAGGCCTAGTTTTTAGTATGTGCCAAGAGTTGGGACTTTGCAACAATTACACCATGATGTGTGCAATTTTTTGCAGGTGTAAATATGAACATATAAGTAAGGATGGATAAATTGTTCCCTTTGTATTTCTAAATATCAGATAAATATGATTATTACTGATACAACATAAAAACTGCTTTTGCAAAAAATAAAGTTGAAGAACTTTATTTTTTAGGTTGATTCAGACATGTCAATAAAGCAGATTAATAAAGAATCTTCAGTTTAATGACTGAGATATAATGTTTTACTTACAGAACCAATTTAGAACTTGAATTGATTCATCGAGGAGGCAATTTGTGTTCAGGTGGTGCAAGCACAGCTGGCAAAAGGTCTTGTTTAAGTAAGTACTAAATACTGCTAAATTTAAAAAAAATTCTGTCATTTTTGGAAGCATTGACAGGAAAAGTGACATTTTGGTATATTTCAAATTTTGTCTGTTATATATGATCTATTTAGATAGTGATATATACTTTAAATGGCTAATCTTGTACTTGGAAGAATCATATGGATATTTAGCTCTTTCTAGATTATGATTACCTAGCACATAAATGTGATGCTAAGTGACGAGGTTTCAAAATTAAAGCACTGTATGATTCTCAGCTATAAAAAATTGTTCTTAAACTTTAATTCTCTTAAAGAATTTTTACATTGAATTAAGAAAATATTTTTATAAAGACAATATATGTTACCCACAGATTTCTATTATATTATTGCTATTAAGATATTTGTGCTATATTTTGATGTGTATATTAAAATGTATTGAAATTGCACGTTTGCTTTTATTTATATATATACTTTATGTTATAAAATGAGAATAATTCTTCAATCTTGTGTGTAAGGATATATTTGAGAGAAGTGTAATTTGTAATTTAAAGTAGATTTTTCATGAGCATGGCTTTGATGCTATCATTTTTTAGTCATTGTTTAGAGAATTAATGTGCATAGTAGGAATAATATTATTGAATATCAGCATATAGCTGATTATTTGCCCCAGATCACTGAAGTTGAAATATTACCTAATGTGATTGGTGTAGGAAATAAAACTTGTTTAAAACACATAATATATTCTTTTGAAAAATGAATATATATTCTCAAATACTAAAAAATAGTAAGTATTAAAAATTATCAATACATGTTGGTTTTTTAACAAAATATATGTTATTTCAAAAAATATGTAATTTTGAATTGATTCCAAAGCAAAGGGATGATCAAAAGCACTTTAAAATTTCTAACATAAAAGCAAACTTATGTGAAATTTTAACTTGGTTATCTTTAAAGTCTTATAAATTGCAGTAGAATTTGATATTTTCTTTTGGATTGTCACTTTATTCCTAGAACTTAAAATTTTGGAGGTTATTATTTTTATTTTTTAACCGAGTATTAGTAAAAATTGACCCCTTTATGCATTCATCTAAACCCTATTTCTATTCAGTGCTTTACTAGTATGTTTCAAAGGAAGTTGTTGATACATGGGAGTTTTAGTTTCTAATCTGTTTGAATTAATAGATATAATAATCATTTTAGTTATATAAATTATTCCTTCTTGTTAATTTGTTATTAATTGATGTTTGGCATTGGCTGATAATATTCCAGAAACTGTTGTGTTACAAAGTGTTTACTTTAGCGAAGGGTTTTCTGTTTTTAAAAATCTACTTATTTTTTTCTCTGAGGCACTTAAACTTATCTAGAGGCTTGTAAATAATGAATTTATCCAGATTCCTGAAAATAGTAATAAAATTCTAGTGGTAATCACTTTAATTACCAGAGTCAATTTTGTAATTTAAATTGTTAAATTTATACTTTCAGACTTTTGCTTCATTATTTTTCCCTTTACTAAATCAGAAATTATACTGTGCCAATATAGAAAAAGTCATGATAAAGTTTATCCTAAATGTAAGTTAATATTTCTTAGTTTTTGTATAATTTATTATTGTTCAGTTACTTATTTATCCTAATATTAATAAAAGCAGCCTGTAAGTCATATATATATATAGAATATGTTGTATATATGCAAAATCCCACTATCTTACAAGTGTATGAACTTAGTATTTGTTATTTATTCAAATAAAATTCAAACTTAAGTTGTACACCAGGACTTAAATTGATGATGATTCATGGGATCTCACTGCAAATATCTCATTTTTTTCATCTTCCAGTGCAACTTCAGTGGTATTATTAAAAAAAAAAAATCTATCTTTTTTCTAGGGAAATATCTTATTGTATTCATATTTTCCTTTTCCCATTGATTGCTCTTTATTGCTTTTTGAACATCTAATTTTTAATGTTTTTTCTTCCATAATGTTTTTGAGGAGAGTGAGAAAATGCCTCACTGATTAAGCAAATGATAAGGGAACTTTTTTCATTCTAAGAATATCACACTTTTGAAATACTGTTCTGTTACGACTTCTTGATGAAACTGAAAATTTGTCTAGTCAAGAAAACTTTTAATAAATTTTGTCTAGAGAGGATTGCGTAATGCCTGGTATATAATTACGGACACACACACACACACACACACAGACACACACACACACACACACACACACACACACACACAGGGGGAGAAGGGAAGATTGTTCTTTCTACAACAATGAAAGCAAAAAATATTAATGGCCAAATCTCTACTGAGAAATAAAATTGAAATGGAACAATGCCATTCAACTACATCTTCAAACATTTTTAAATAGTTGAGAGTAGTTAACCAGTGTCAATCAAAATAAAAGGTCAGTCCTAAAAATACGTGTCTGGGAAATTTTCCATAGTAAAAAGTTACTCAAATTAGCTCACATAGCAGCATAGTATGGTATTTTAATAATATAATATCCTACATTTGTAGTTTTAAAGTTTGTAAAGTTCTTTCACATAAATTATTTAATCTTTAGAACGACCATGTGAAATAGGTGTTATCTCTTTTTCATAGAAAAGGAATCTCAAGTTCAGAGTGATTGCCTTGCCAAGTCACACAGCTGGAAAATGTCAGAGCTTGCACTTGAGCCCAGCTCTTCTGACTCTAATTCAGTTATATAAGACATATCTCCTGCCCTTAAGTGTCCCAAAGGATGCAGAACTTTTAAGACCTTTCAGCCATTGGTTTAGTCAAAGACACTCTACTGTACAACATTGCCTTGGGATCTTTCCAGGCCCTTCTGTGCTAACTCTCCTATTTATCTTGTCTATTTTCTTTTGTCAGCCTTTCACCGTGAATCCTTTTTTGTTTGTTTGTTTTTGTTTTTGTTTTGAGCCATCTTTTCAGACATTTTTGCAAGTACTGAGTCCTTCTGCCCTGGATACCAGTTAGCTCTTCTTTATTCCTTGCCAGTTTGCTGGCTGGTTCCCCTTGCTCTTGCTATGAGCCATGTGCGTTAGTTCTCACATATAGCATAGCTGCCGATTCCTGGGTCAGAGCTCTAGCCCTCCTCCTTACCCACCAGGGAAGATCAGGCATTCAGGACCATGTATTCAGCACATGATACTGGTTCTAGAGACTGGTTCTCATCTGCTGGACTTGTATTCAGCAGATGAGACTTGTTCCAATGCCATGTCCACCAAAAACTTCGCTGATTCCAGCAGTGAATTTCCTAGAAGTTCTAGGGAATTTAGAGGTTTGTGATCATATCTATCTGCTGGAATCAGTGAAGCTTTTGGTGGACAAGGCATTTGAACAAGACTTTGAAAGATAAGTGAGGTTTAGAGTTTTTGTTACAAATTCGTATATACAGTAAGTACCACCAACTTGGTTAGCAACATATGTTGGAAAAAGCAGATGTAAAAATTAAAGGCATAACTTTTTATTAAAAATATTAAGCTTACTGTATTAATTTCTTCATTAAAGTGATTTGAAAGTAAATATGACACTCCATAAATTCTAGTGAAGTTCACATTCTTTCAGCACATTTTTGGCATGATATTCTCAGTGTATTTCTCAAGTAGAAATTGTTGAAACCATTGGCAATGCCATTTGATAAATTATTAATATTGGAGCATAATATAAAAAATTATTTCATTTGTAGGTAAACGTCTCTTCCTGTCTTTGGGTCTGAGAATTTGTCTGCTTATTACTGTCATTTAACTAAGAAACCACAGTTCATGTCTCAAATGGATTCCATGATTTTATAGAAAGATTAAAAATGAAATGTTAGTCAAGAAGAGGATAAGGCAAACTCTTGCCTTGACATTTTCATTTGGGAAGTTCTGACTTAATTTTGATGTAATCTATGATCTGATCAAGAAATTATGCATAGTCACTGCAGTAAATAATTTCTACCAGATTTGCTTTTCATAGCAAGCAACCCAGCTTAGATCTGTGCAGGCAACTTAAAATAGTTCTACTTGCTCAAAGAGTGAATTTTTGGTGAATTTAAAATTACAGAAAATTAGCCAGGTGCGGTGGCTCACTCATGTGATCCTAGCATTTTGGGAAGCTGAGGTTGGGAGGATCGCTTGAGTCCAAAAGTTGTTAACAGCCTGGGCAACATAGGGAGAACCTCATCTCTAAAAAGAAAAATAAAATTAGCTGGGTGTGGTGGCGTGTGCCTGTGGTCCCAGCTACTCAGGAGATGGAGGTGGGAGGATCGCTTAAGCCCAGAAGGTGGAGGCTGGAGTGAGGCATGATTGTGCCGTTGCACTACAGACTGGGTGACAAAGCAAGATACTGTCTCAAAAAAAAATTATAGAAAATTATTTTGACATTAATTTCTCCCTACAGTTAGGGAGCATAAAGATGTTAAACAAATAATGAGTTTTTACAAAATTACCCTTTTATTGTTGAGAGACAGGTTCTCCCTTTGTCACTCAGCTGGAGTGCAGTGGCACAATCATAGTTCACTGCAGCCTCGAACTCCTGGGCTCAAGCATTCCTTCCACCTCAGCCTCCCGAGTAGCTAGGACAGCAGACACACACCATCAGGCCCGACTAATTTTTTAATACATTTCTTTGTAGAGATGGGGTCTCACTATGTTGACCAGGCTGGTCTCAAGTTTTTGGCATCAAGCAATCCTCCCACCTTGGCCTCCCAAAGTGCTGGGATTATAGGCATGAACCACTATGCCTGGGCTAAAATTACTTTTAAGTAGTCTGGCCTTATTCTTTCACACTTAGTAGTAAAATTCTGACACTGATGGCTTATGAAGGCCTTTTTCAAATTTAAAAATACCAATTTCTGCAAGCAGATTGAACCACAATTTTGTTCAATTTTTTTTGTTACCATAAAAAAGGAAAATTTGGCCATCAAATTATTATAATGGTCAAAAGGTATAAATTAATACAAAAATGTGTAAATTGTCTCCTGAGACTAGTTATTGATCAGATTTGATGGCTAAAAGGTGATTTTGTGGTATTTGGGAATGTTTTATGTTCTGAAGAGCAAGTTGGTATGTATTTAGGGCCAACATGAAAGATACATATGTGGTGGAATAGACAACAGCAAACTAGGATCATAAGCATGTGCTTAGGCAAGACATTTTATGTTTTTGGCTTCAGTTTCCTCATCTATAAAATTAGTGTACTAGGCTGGATGCTCTGTCTCCTGACAGATGTTCATGGTTGTTAACTGTTACATGCAAAGCTCAAATCTGGAGCTTTTCCCCCCTGTTAATTAACATCATTGACATTAAGCATAAAAGGCAAATAGCTGGACTAGGAGTTATACTCTAGGAACTTTTAGAATTATACTTTATCTACAGTCATACACTGTAGAATAAATCAAAGCTTGGAGTTTTTGTTTTTCTTTTCTTTTGATACATCTTACAAATTCAGAAGATTTTGGTATTTTGTTTTATATTTTATTTTGCTCTTCATTTTAAATAGTGCATAAATAAAAAATAGAGGCTGTCAGTGAAATCACATGATAAATAGAATCAGAATCTTTGAGCTAAAAGTTACTTAGGAAATCTCCTAGTCTAAATGTTATCTAGCTCAGGCATCTTGTACCTACTATTCCAATCGTTTGCACTGTGCTTGAACACTTTCAGAGATAAGGAGTACTGTTTGAGATAGGTGAGGAGTTTGGTAAGCCTTTTAAAGGATGGTGATATTAAAAGGCAGCATAGTGTAAACTAGAGAGTGAGATTCTGTTCCTCATTAATACCCAATCAGAGGATTGTTGTAAGAATTCAATTTTATAATATATATTCTAGTTTCTATAGATTGTAAATCTCAACATTAATATTTCTCCTATTTCAACACTATAATTGTCAAATTGGGGGGTGTGTGGATAAGGAGAAGGAGCAAGATAACACTTTTTAGCTCAATTTTTGTCTTAGTCTATAACAATATACCATAGACTGGGTGGCTTATATACAACAGAAATGTATTTCTCACAGATCTGGAGGCTGGGAAGTCTAAGATCAAGGCTCCAGCAGATTTGGTGTCTGGTGAGGGCCTGCTTGCTTCCTCATACATAGCTGTCTTCTCACTGTAACCTCACGTGGTGGAAGGGGCAAGAGATCTCTCTGGGATCTCTTTTATAAGAGCACTAATCCCATTCATGAGGGCTTCCTCGTGACCTAATCACTTCTCAAAGGCCCCACCTCCTTATACTAACCTTGGGGTTAGGACTTCAACATATGAATTTTGGTGGGACATAAACATTCAGTCCATTGCAGTTTTTTTTAAGGGACTTGACAGACTTTCTTTTGACCTCTTCAGAGATGAGATTAGGAGGACAGAATGAGATTTATCCCCATGATAAAGTTTATCTTTTGAGAACAAAATACATTGTTAATTTGGAGAGGTTTAAGAATGTGGCATGAAAATTTAAGTTAGAGGAGTGGCTTTAAATTTTCTTTAAGGCCTTTCTGAAAGTGCCATGATTTGTGACTTAAGTAGCCAGGCCTTTCTGTATTTATAATTTGGGCATTCAAGAACTAAGTACCATAGATAGTAATTTTCACTATCAGGACATAGGAGTCTTTGGATCTTACTTGGCTTAGGGCGAGGCAGCTTCTTTCTTCTGCAGTTAGATAGGACAAACTCTACCCCCATTTTAAACGAGGTGCTTAAATAAGACCTGGATTCATGGAATGTGCCTCTTTAGTAAAGAGGAAGTTAGGAGTCCTAAGAACTGACCTCTCTTCCTAGGACTACCTATATGCAGAAGCAGAATTGTCCTCTCCCTGTCTCTTATCATCCCAAGCTCTGTCGGAAAGCGAAAAGGGGAGGCTTCTAGTCCCTGAAACCTTAAAGTAGAAGGTGAACAATTTGGTGAAGCTAATAATAATACTTGTGGATACTTGGGTTAACCAGAGAATTATGGCATACTGTGCCTGGGAGTGGAGACATAGGAACTCCGGGAGGCAGGAGAGGAACACAACATGGAAAGTATGAAAGTACTCAAGACAGCCTTTTTCTTCACTGTCTTCCCTTCCTCACATGGCAGAAAAAACCTCTCCAAAGGAAGCAACACTTCCCCACTCTATTCCCAAAATCCCATGTGTCCTTGTTGACTGGTGAAAACCTAGCATATAGTGCTGGAAGGAACACCGGGTTGGAGTTTGAAGGCATGGATTCTAGTGTATTTGTTATCTGTTGGACTTTGGGAACCTAACCTAACTTTTTACCTCATTGTGGAAGTGAGGATGATGGTACTTATACTGACTATCTGATATATCCATCATAGTTAATGTAATGATCAAATAGTATTAGATATATGAGCTAAAGTATCTTACATAATATGTTATTATATATAATAATAATTATTAAACTTGTCTTTTAACTCTTTAAAATTCTACCATAACTGCCACTTGATTCTCTGCCCTGCCTTGCCTGGAGTGCTTAGGAATGGGATAGGGAGAGATGAGTCAGCTCCTGTCATCCATGGCATCAACCTTCTGTCTCTTGGGAACCAGATCTACAGATGTTCCCTTCTTCTTGGACCTGTTCCCAGACCTCATTTAAAGAGCTCTTTCCCATCTCTTCATGGCTGATTTCTCAGGGACATACAGAGGAACCAGTGGAAGCTGGCTTTGATGTGAGAGGTGTATACTCACACCTATTACATTCACCTTAGGATAAGTAGGTCAGAACCATTTCCTCACTTTGATTATTCAGTTGCAGAGAAAGGGAGATTTTTTTCTCCACCCCCATGATATTTCAGAGTCATTTGGCTAGTTGAGTTTTTTTTTTTTTTTTAAGGGACAGGGTCTTGCTTTGTTACCCACGCTGGCCTCAAACTCCTGGGCTCAAATAATCCTCCCATCTCAGCCTTCTGAGTAGCTGGGACTACAGGTATGTGTCACCTTGCCTGGCTGAGGTTTTTTCCATTGACAGTGATTTAACCATTGATGACTAGACTGATAAGACTGAAGTCTTGAATACAGACCCAGTTAAGTTTACTTTAGGTGCATTTTAACAGTGGTACGATTTAAGATAGAACCAATTTATGAAAATTTTTTTTTTTTTTTTGAGACGGAGTCTCACTCTGTTGCCCAGGCTGGAGTGCAGTGGTAACATGTCGGCTCACAGCAACCTCTGTCTCCTGGGTTCAAGCAATTCTCCTGCCTCAGCCTCCAAAGTAGCTGGGATTACAGGCACCCACCACCACACCCAGCTAATTTTTGTTTTTGCTTTGTTTTGTTTTGTTTTTTTGAGACGGAGTCTTGCTCTGTCACCCAGGCTGGAGTCCAGTGGTACGGTCTTAGCTCACTGCAACCTCTGTCTCCCGGATTCAAGCGATTCTCCTGCCTCAGCCTCCCGAGTAGCTGGGATTACAGGCACCTGCCACTACACCTGGCTAATTTTTGTATTTTTAGTAGAGATGGGGTTTCACCGTCTTGAACTCCTGAACTCGTGATCCACCCACCTCGGCCTCCCAAAGTGCTGGGATTACAGGCGTAAGCCATTGTGCCCGGCCTAATTTTTGTATTTTTTAGTAGAGAAAAGGTTTCACCATGTTGGTCTCGATCTCCTGACCTCATGATCCACCCACCTTGGCCTCCCAAAGTGCTGGGATTACAGGCATGAGCCACCGCGCCTGGCAGAAAGTCTTTGGGATAACTCTTTAATGTCTTTATATCTTAATGATCAGTATGAGTATAGTAAGAAATAACCTACCAGTTTTAGATTTCTTGCATGTTTAGAAATAACTGACAGAGGGCTGAGGTGGGCAGATTACGAGGTCAGGAGATCGAGACCATCCTGGGTAACAACCTGAAACCCCGTCTCTACTAAAAATACAAAAAATTAGCCTGGTGTGGTGGTGGGAGCCTGTAATCCCAGCTACTGGGGAGGCTGAGGCAGGAGAATTGCTTGAATCCGGGAGCTGGAGTTTGCAGTGAGCTGAGATTGCGCCATTGTCCTCCATCTTGGGCGACAGTGCGAGACTCCATCTCAAAAAAAAAAAAAAAAAAAAAAGAGAAAAGAAATAACTGACAGAGGTACACAGTTTCCGGGATGGTACTGGAACATCTGTTTCAAAAGCATTTTTGAAAGATTTCAACATATGGTAACTTTGGGTTTAGTTTCTTTAAGTGGATATTCCTGAGGTCATAAAAATTGGCATAATGGTATCTGTGTGCATGTGTGTGTGTGTGGTATTCATACACATACATGTGAAACTCATATAATAAATTTGGAGTTATATTTTTATTTTATAGAGTTTTTTTATGTAAAATAGTCTTACCTTAATGTTGATAAAGGTAGAGGGATTTCTTAAACCTTACTTTTTGGTTCTAGCTAGGAGTACTTATAATTAAGTCTTAGATTTTCCTAAGGACAAACTGGTCTTTCAGTGTTGTTTTCTCAGTTTCAGTAATGATGTGTCTGTCTTGTGATGAAGCACATTATAATACTTTAGACTTGTCACAGTTGTAAAGAATTTGATTAGATTTTGCAGAAAATAGAATTTATCCCAGGTGAGTTGTCGCATGGGAACCAGCATGGGAAGAAGATGGTAGGAGCAAATAGGTCAAGCACTGCTTTAGTAGTTAGAGTTGGGGGTCAGTCTCTTTTGGGGAAGTGAAAGTAGGGCTGATTAATTGGCCTGCTTCTTGGTAACTGAACCAATGTGTCATTGCAACAGAAAGGGAAAAGTAGAAAACCATCATGAATTTTATGCTTATATTTATGATTTTTTCATAGAATTGTAGATATATAATGCTCAGACTACTTTTAAAAATCCTATTATATGTCAAGCAGTTGTGCTAGCCTAGGGGGTACAAAAATGTAAAGACACAATTGTCTTCTTCAGGGAGATCTGACCATCCAATGAGAGAGGAAAACATGAAAAATAATTACAAGACTGTGTAAGAGATGCTAAAATTGAAATAGATAGCACAAGGTATGGAGAATGCATAAAGTAAGGGGATAATCTGATCTTTCTGAGGTATCAGAGAGAACCTTACAGAGCAGCACATGAACTGGCTCTTGAAAGATGAACTGAGTTGGCCTGAAGGACAAAATGATACTATTCTAGGCTGAGAGAACAGCTTGCAAAGACATGAGACGACATGACACGTTGGGGAATACTTGGAAAGAAAAGAAGGAAGGTTAAGAAATAAACCTGAAAAAGAAAATGGACTAGCTCATAAAGGGCTTTCTATGCCTGTTCCTTCAGTGGTTCAGCAATCAATTATGAGATATTGTGAACAGATTTATTGATTAGATGGATTGGAAGGGGTGAACCAAAAGGCATACTGCTGAGTGAGCATTCTGTTGAGCAATTTAGGTGGAAAACAGTGTAGTGGCAGAGTGGTCCAGAATAGGATGGATCATAAGAGGCAGAACCAATGGGATTGGTGGAGGGCAAGGCTGTAGGAGATGACTCCCGAGTTTTTCCTTGGTTGTTTGCATGGGTAGTGGTGTCATTCACTCAAATAGCAATTATAAAAGGAAATTCACTCAAGTAAGAGTGTCATTCACTCAAATAGGAATTTTAAAAGGAAATTAACATTGGAGCTGGGCTGGGCTGTATAATCAGGTTAGTCTGGGTGTATTGATTTTGAGGTGCCTGTTGAACATCTGAAGTACCAGAGAGCCTTGTGAATTGTGAACTTAGAGGTAGAAGTGGGCTTGGGTAAAGTAGTGTGTGCAGAATGAGAGGGAAAGAGGACTAATAAAGGATGGCTTTTCCTTTTTTTTAATGAGAAATGTCACCTTTTAGGGTTCATTAGCAGAAGAAGGGCACATAAAAGTAACTGAGAAGGAACCAGAGGAAAGCCAGGAGAGAGTGGTACCAAAAATTAAGGAAAGAAGAGAGAAGAGAGTTAAGAATATATGTTAATATGTGTTTGTAGAGTGATGGTTTTATGTGGAGATCTTATGTTTCCAATGTATAATAATCTATAATTTTAGTTGTAATATCTAGTTTTAGTTGTAAAGTTTATAAATATTAAATTTATTTCATATTTGTACAAACCATGTATGTATCTGCCTGTATGTAAGCCCAACTTACAAACATACTATAGATTTATTCTATGATTATAACTATTATTACTATATAATAGACCAGAAAGATGACATTATATTTATTTTATGGACTGTAAAACTAAGGTTAGGTAATTTGTTTAAAGACACATGGCTAGTACAGACTTGGATTGAATCCAGGACTTCCTGGCTCCTCCCAGACAGTGGTGCTTCCTATACATAGATTGAAATCACAGCACGCTTATAAATGAATTTAAAGGTATTTCTCTTTTCCAAATCTTTTTATATATGTGGACCAAACTTTAGAATTTTAAAATGTGTTATACTAGGAAAGGAGTTATCCTTTTTTGTTATTGTTACTCAAAATTTTAATATGCTTTCGTGATATAATTATTTTCCAACTTTTTATATGTCATGCATGCAGTTGGTAGTTAATACATTTTTTAACTTTTGATTATGATTATAGATTCTCTTCATCCTACGTCTTTAATATTCATCTGGTATAAGACGTATTTTTGCTGCTAAATGAATATTAGAGTTCAGTCTTACTGATAAGACTAAACTTTCAAAACAATGAATAAATAACAATAAATAATGAATTTTATTAACAAATTGAAGTTGTTAAAATGGTTATTTGGTCAGTTCCCTGAGACAGAGAGAGAAGGAATCTTGTACTTTTATTTTAATCATAAACCCCCCAAAAAGTGGAGTGGTAGAAATAACTAAGAGGTGGCAAATCTTGAATCCTATTCTTAGCTTTTAGAATAACTATTAAGAGTGAGCTGGCAATATTAAATTTATTTCATATTTGTACAAACCATATATGTATCTGCCCGTATGTAAGCCCAACTTACATACTATAGATTTATTCTATAACTATTATTACTATATAATAGACCAGAAAGATGATATAATATCATTTAAATATCATTTAAAGATGATATAATATCATCTTTCTGGTCTATTATATAGTAATGGTACTTCCTTTCTCTGGACATATTTTCTTATCTATAGAATGAGGAAATGATGAAAAACTTTTCTACTAACATTTTGAAAGTCTTAAATTATGATAGGGATTAGGAAAATAGGTGAATGTAACATTATTTTCTGTGCTGGCTGTGGTTTCAATGCAAAACAGGTTAGTACAATTGCAGCTTCTATGCTTTTGATTAAATTAGGGAAACTAAGATGATCCACCTTCATCTTGGTAGGAGATATTAAAATGAGCCCTTTGATCAAGTTAATACCTATATAAAAAGAATGCAGAACTCCTCACCGTGCAGCTTGAGATAATCTTAGTATTTTTCTGTGAGAAGAATTTAGTTTTTTAAACACTTTTAGGTTTTAGTCATTAAAACACTCATTAAAAGTATAAATTATATGCTTAGTAGTCTCATATGTATAATTGAATTGAAATAAAAGAAAATTTACCAATCTTTAGTCATGTTTTTCCTCTGCTAAAACTTCCCTTGTTCTCAGTATCATCTACGAAACCAGGCTACCATAAAAACTGGAAATTTGGGAAACTTAACTTGCCTCAAAAGTGAGGGTTAATAATATTACCCGCCTAGTAGAATTTTTGTGAAAATTAATTGAGATTATCAATCAATGTAACATAATGCCTGGCACGTAATAAGTAACTAAGTCAGTAATAGAATGAAGAAATTTAAGGAAGATGTAGGCTACACATTGACTTATAAATAGGAGATGAAACAGGGTAAGGTATTTAGATTCCTCTGTTCGTTATAGAGAGATCAGATTGAAACTTACAAAAATATATTTCCTTTATCCTGCCCCATAGAGTAGAACATTTATTTTACTCAAATTACAGCTCCCATATGTTTTATAACAGCTTCCCAAAATACTATACACATACACGCATGTACACATAAACACACATGTACACCCCATACTACCCCATTTATATTGATGGATCTTGAGTAAATTAACATAAAATGTAGTTAATTTCTAGGTCTGCTGGCTCACAGCAACAAAATCTGGTCTAGTTTTAATTAGAAAATAAGTAACAATAATAGGTTTGTGTCATTCAGTTAACTTTTTTCCTAGATTTAAGAATTAATTTTAATCATATGTTAAGAAGTATCATATCTGATTTTGTAAAATATGACTTTTGATTTCCAAATATGTATGTGTGGCAGAATAATTTAATTATTGTCATAATTAAATTACTATGTGTGGCAGAATAATAATTAAATTATTATTCTGTGTGGCAGAATAATTTAATTATTGTCATTTATAACAAAAAAAGAAGGGGTGCATCAGATACAAAAGCAATACTTAGGGTTTTTTTTTTTCCCAGAATAATTTTAAACATGATATTTTCTTCTAAATGTCATGAGCAGAATTTTGTTGAAAGCCAAGATTGGTAGATTATTGTTATAATTCAGGTAGAATAAATTTAAATAGTTGGAATTGTAACAAATAATACTCTATTTCAGTTACTTTTTCTTTATGTAGAATCCAAAGATGATGAATTCACTCTTCAGTCTAAATGAGGTTTAGAGGGACATACTAGGCAAAGAAAGAACTTCACCTAACAGTGAGTTATTAGGATGTTGTGGTTCATATTACCCAGGGTAGAGGATTGAAGATAATAGTAAAGTTTGGTTAGGAAGAGAACACAATGGTGAGAAGTACAAACTGGCAAGGCTGCAGCGTAAAGTCAAGGACAAGTATGTCTGTGATAGGAGATGAGGAAAACCATTCCTGTATTAAGATTGAGTCTAAGGACAGTCCAGATTCTAGCACAGATTATTTGGATATGTATTTCAGAGGTTACCATAAAAGAGAGTGTGAAGTAATTGGGACTTAAACTTGGTGAATTTTAATTGTCAGGATGGGAAACAGATTTCCTTATGAAATAACTAGAAATTTTGTCTGAATTTTGTTCTGTAACAAATGTGTGAACTTTCTAATTACCTTTTCTTCAATTTTTTCAGATCAGCTGTTTCATGTATTAGCCTTGCACATGCGGCTTTATAGCATTGACTCTGAGTATAATCCCTGGAGAAAGCTCACCCAGTTAGAAGAGATGAATCCACAGTAAGTATAATTGAAAGACTAAAATCAATTAAAACTCTTTATGAAAAACAGGTGTTAAATATAAAAATGGAATTGAAATTTCAATATATGTGATTTTTTCACATTTTCTTTATGAAGCACAGAAATATATCATAAGAATTGAAAACAGTTTACCATTATGCTGTCTGTAAAAATTGCATACAAATTCCCACCATGTGAGAAAATCTTTTAAAGAATCCCACTGATTTTTATGCAGATTAAATAGTCAAGTGGAGGCATGTAATGGCTGGTTGTCTCTCTATTTATGTTACAATTAGTGGATTCAAGTAGCTTTAGTCTGATTCCTGCATTGTAAAGTGCCCCATCAGTCTTTCACCTAATGGTTTTAAGGACTCCTGATAATTCTTGCTAAAATCCATTATTTCATTAGGTGCTGCAAAATGGTGATTTAAAAAAATGCTTTCTTCTGATTAAATGGAATGTTTTTATAAAGAACTTTACCATATCAACTATTTGTTGACTCTGAAATACAGTTTGGCAGGATGAATACTTGATACTTTTCTGATTTATAAATTTTCAAAGTAAGGAATGGATGCCCTATTAACTTCCAACAGTGACCAATAAGTTTGGTCTTTGGTGTATTTTATGATCTCATGGATTTTATATATATTTGATGTGTTTCACTCCATTTCAATCTTTCCTCTTTTTGATACAAATTGTTCCCTTTTACTTTAGTGAGAATCTTTCCAAACTGACTTTTGTACTTTTGACATGAGCCAAGTAGTCTTTCATCATATCCTCACTTTCTGGTACAAGTTGGCCCGGGTTCGTTTTGTACATTTTCTATTTTATACTTGGAATCAGCCATTTCTCCATTTAGTTCCTTTTAATGGCAAATGGTATTTAGAGACCACAGTCTGGGTGCTAGAGGGCATACATAGCTAATAGGTTATCATTGTTTATAGGCCATTTCAGTGGACAGAGTTAGGAAATATTTTTTTAAAGGAAAAAAAGATCCTGTGTTCTTACTGGTATTTCTGATCAACATAAGATTGCACAGTTTTCATTTTATTTCTTTTTTGTTACTTGTATCTTTTTTCTCTTAAAGTCTTGATTCCTAATAATATTAACATAATTATTTGTATAACTAAAGTATAGCCTCGATTATGTTTTTAAAATACCAATATTACTACTAACCATAAATTATCTTTGTCATTAGAATATGTACTTCTAGGGATGTATAGTCAAAAACTGTGTTTTTAAATCACATAAAGTAACTTTTCCCATGTGATTATGCCATCAACTTGATTTATAGTTCAGCTCATTTCAGTTTTTTTCCTCAATATTTAAAGACTGCTTTTTTCCCCCTTGACTTATATTTTATTGTATAAAATTTATATTTTTCTGAAGTAAAAACTATATAACAAAATAAATTCATAGACATCAATCTTTCATTCCCATCCATTTGCATTTCTTTTTATGAAGTCTCTAATCTGTTGCCTATTTCAAAAAATTGGATCATTGGTCTTTTCCTTATTATTATTTTTCGGGGAGATGGGATCTCACTTTGCTGCCCAGGCTGGTCTCAAACTCCTGGCTTCAAATGATCCTCCCATCTGGGCCTCCCCAAAGTACTGAGGTTACAAGTGTGAGCCACCGTGCCTAGCCTTCCTCTTTATTTTTATTATTTGTTGTTTTAAAGACCAGATCTCCCTGTTTTGCCCAGGCTGGACTCAAACTCCTGGGCTCAAGCAATCCTCCCACCTCAGCCTCTCCCGTGTTGCTAGGATTACCGGTGCGCACCACTGCACCCAGCTTTCTCTTCATTTTTAAGATATGTTTATGTATTATGGGTATTAGTCCTTTTTGTTATAAGTTGCAATACATTTCACCAGATTGTCAAATGTCTTTTTACTTCATGTATGATTTTTTTGTCAAAGTTTTTTTAATATAGTCATATTAATCTTTTCATTTATTCTGAATTTTGAGTCACAGTTAAACACGCCTTCCTCTACTCCCTAGTTAAAAAGCATTCATCCATGTTTTCTTCTAGTATTTCTGTGGTTTTAATTTTTATGTTTAGATTTCTATTTTTTAAAATAATTTCAACTTTTATTTTAGATTCAGAGGGTACATGTGCAGGTTTGTACATGATTATATTGCAAGATGCTGAGGTTTGGGGTGTGATTGTTTTTATCATCCAGGTGTAGTGAGCATAGTACCCAATAGTTTTTCAACCCTTGCTCCCCTCCTTCCCTCTTCTAGTAGTCCTCAGTGCCTGTTGTTCCCATCTTTTGTCCATGAGTACCTAATGTTTAGCCCTCACTTATAAGTGAGAACGTGCAGTGTTTGGTTTTCTGTTCCTGCATTAATTCGCTTAGGATCATGGCCTCCAGCTGCATCCATGTTGTGACAAAGGACATAATTTCATTCTTTTTATAGCTGCATAGTAGTCCATGGTATATAGGTACTACATTTTCTTTATCCAATCCACTGTTGATGGGGACCTAGGTTTATTCCGTGTCTTTGCTGTTGTGAATAGTGCTGTGATGTACATGCAAGTACATGTGTCTTTTTGGTAGAACGATTTATTTTCTTTTGGATAGATACCCAGTAATGGGATGCTGGGTCATAGGATAGTTCTGTTTTAAGTTCTTTGAAAACATTTCTGATAAATTTGGAAAAAAAAGTGAAATTCTTTGTTTACTGATCTTGAAATATCAACAACACCCAGAGACAATGTCAAGAAAATATCTAGGAACAGAAAATATGTACTTTATGCCATCATTTGTGTAAAAAAGGGCAGGGAGAGAAAATAAATTTGTATGTGCTTGTTAAAAACAAAAACAAAAACAGTCACACATATCTGGATATTTGGATTTATAGCAGAAATGACACAAAGGAACACTGGGGGAATCATAGTCTTTATAATAAATGGTGCTGGGTTAATTGGATATTCACATGAGAAATAATTATTAATAATATTGGCCTCTACCATATGTAGACCTATTCAGATTTTGCCAGTTGTTGCAGTAAAGTACTGTGTAACAACAACAACAAAAAGATTATGCTTGCGTTTAGTTGCCATGTCTCTTTAATTTCCTTTAATCTGAAATTAAGCCTGAGTTTTTCTTTGTGCTTGATGACATTCACTTTTTTTTTTTTTTTTTTTTTTTTTTTTTTTAGTTCAGGCCAGTTATTTTGTAGCATGTCCTTTAATTTGTTTTTGTCCAGTATTTCCTAGTGATTAGATTCAGGTTATAACCTTTTGGCAGAAATGCCACAGACTAATGTGTTCCTTTTTAGTGCATAGTATGAGGAGGCACATGCTGTTGATTTATCTTGTTACTGATGATCATAACTCTGATCATTTAGCCAAGGCAGTATGTGCCAAGTTTCTGCACTGTAAAGTGATTATTTTACCCTTCGTAATTACTAAGTATCTTATAGGGAGATACTTTGAGACTATGTATGTATCTTGCTACTCTTCATAAAAACAACAAAAACAAAACTTTGTGTGTGTATTTTGTGTTTATAAACTAAATTAGCAAACTGAGTATTTTGTGTGTTGTTGCTAAGGAAAGTCATTATCCTTAGTAGTAACTAGTAATTTTCCTTTCTAGCTAGCATACTTAAGGACAAAGATGGTATACAGAGTATTCGAACACACAGCTCTTTAAGTCTAAAAGGTGTTCAGCAAACAAAAAGTTTCTAAGCCTAGTATTGACTAATTAAAAAGCTTAAAGTACAGACATAGATATTATGCTTTCTGTAATACTGATTTCTGGATTTTGTTCTTTTCAAGCCCTAATAATTAATGGACATTAGGATAGTAGTAAATGCTGTGAACACTTATATAGTACTTCATGCTAGGCATTTTGGTGCTTTGCATATATAATCTCATTTAATCGTCAATAATAACTCTATGTACTAGGTACTGTTTTATACCAGTTTTTATATATGAGGAACCCAAGTTTTAGAAAAGTCAATTAACATGATCTTTAGGCACACATAGCTGTTGAGGAACGGAGCTGAGATTTTAATCCAAATCTCTCTGATTCCAGAGCCTAAGTTTTAACTATCATTGTATGCTTCTTTTCCTAGTACTAGATCTTAGGAATTTCCGGAAAATTTGATTGGTTTTTCCACACCCACCCCCCCCCCCCCCAATATTTGCTCTCATTTTTATGGTTCGTTTATTCATTAAGTTGTAATATAAGAGTTGATTATAATATGTCATCTATATTTCATATTTATATATTTTTAAAATTGAAATATCTTTCTAGTTCCTCACCTCAACACTCTTCCAATATAAAATTCTATATCTGAGGATGTAGGTTTTTCATATATACTTTTTTCTATAATCCTATGAAAATTATTTTATTTCCTTCTAATTTTCATTGTGCTGATAATCATTTTTTATTTTTAAAAATGGAAAAACTATATTCCTATTAACTCTTCCACCCATTTCCTCTTATCCATAGAATCAACAGTTGCATTAATTTTTATAATCTGGATTTAAAAGACTATCTAAAACTTTAAGAGATAGATAAGAGATAGAAACAATTATTTTTTAAAGACTTTGGTTTGTTTTTTTTTTTAGAGCAATTTTAGATTCACAGCAAAATTAAGAGGAAGATACACAGATTTCCCATATACTCCCCACTGTAACAGATACATAGCCTTTCCCATTATCAATATCCACCACCAGTGTGGTACATTTGTTACAGCTGATGAGCCTATATTGACATACTATAATCACCCAAAGTCTGTAGTTACATTAGGGTTCACTCTTGCTGTTGAAGATTCTGTAGGTTTAGGCAAATGTGCAATGACATTTGGCCACCGTTGTAGTATCATACAAAGTAGTTTCACTGTCCTAAAAAAACCCTCTGTGCTCTACCTATTCATCCCTCCTCAGTACAACCCCTGGCAACCACTGATCTTTTTACTCTCTCCATAATTTTACCTTTTCCGGAATGTCATATAGTTAGAATCATACAATATGTAGCTTTTCACATTGGATTCTTTCATTTGGTAATATGTATTTAAGTTTCCACAATGTCTTCTCATGGCTTGATAGCTCATTTCTATATAATAGAAATAACAATCCATTGTCTGTACCACAATTAATTTATTCATCACCTATTGAAGGACATTTGGTTGCTTCGAAGTTTTGGCAATTATGAATAAAGCTGCTCTAAACATCTGTGTGCAGGTTTTTGCGTATATAAGTTTTCAGCTTTTTTGGGTAAATACTAAGGAGCATGATTACTGGATCATATAGTAATAGCATGTTTAGTTTTGTGAGAAACCACCAAACTGTTTTCCAAAATATCAGTATCATTTTGCATTCCCACCAGCAATGAATGAGAGTTCTTGTTACTCCACATCTTTGTCAACATTTGGTATTATCAGTGTTCTAGATTTTGGCCATTCTAATAGGAATGTAGTGGTATCTCATTGTTTTAATTTGCATTTCTCTGATGACATACGGTCTGGAGCATCTTTTCATATGCTTATTAAGCATCTGTATATCTTCTTTGGTGAGGTATCTGTTAATGCCGTGGTACCATTTTTTAATTGGGTTTTTTTCCTATTAGTTTTAAGAGTTCTTTATATTTATACGAGTATTTTACATATCAGTCCTTTATCAGATGTGTCTTTTGCAAATGTTTTCTCCAGGACTGTGGCTTGTCTTCTCATTGTCTTGACATTGTCTTTTGCCAAATAGAAGATTTTAATTTTAATGAAGTTCAGCTTATCAGTTATTTATTTCATGAATTATGCTTTTGGTGTTATATCTAAAAAGTCATTGCCATACCCAAGGTTATCTAGGTTTTCTCCTATAAGAATTTTATTGTTTTGTGTTTTACATTTAGGTCTGTAATCCATTTTTAGTTAATTTTTGTGAAGGGCATAGGTCTTTGTCTAAATTCATTTTTGTGCATGTGAATGTCCAGTTGTTCTAGCACCATTTGTTGAAAAGACTGTGTTTTTTCCACTGTATTGCCTTTACTCCTTTGTTAAAGTCAGTTGACTATAATTATGTGAATCTATTTCTGGGCTCTCTGTTCTGTTCCATTGATCTTATTTGTGTGCTTTTTTGCTAGTACCATATTGTCTTGATTACTGTAGCTTTATGATAAGTCTTGAAGTCAGGTAGTGTCAGTCATCTAATTTTGTTCTTCTTCGATTTTGTGTTAGCTATTCCAGCTGTTTTGCCTCTCTATATAAATTTTAAAATCAGTTTGTCAACATCTACAAAATAACTTGCTGGGATTTTGATTGAGATTGCATTGAATCTCTAGGTCAAGTAGCAAAGAACTGACATCTTGACAATATTGAGTCTTCCTACTCATGAACATGGACTATCTCTCTCCATTTATGTAGTCGTTTGATTCCATTTATCAGAGTTTTGTCATTTTCCTTAAATAGATCTTTGCATATTTTTTTGCTAGATTTATACCTAAGTATTTTATTGGGGGGGGGGTTGCTAATTTAAATGATGCTGTGTGTTTATTTTCAAATTCCAATTGTTCCTTGCCAGTATATATGAAAGTGATTGACTTCTGTATATTAATCTTGTGTCCTGTAGCCTTGTTACAATCATTTATCAGTTCCAGGAGTTTTTTGGTCAGTTTGTTCAGATTTTCTACATAGACGACCATGTAATCTGTAAACAAAGAAAGACAGTTTTATTTCTTCTCTCCCAATCTGTATAACTTTTATTTCCTTTTCTTATCTTGAGGCATTAGCTAGTACTTCCAGTATGATGTTGAAAAGAAGTGGGGAGTGGGGACATCTTTGCCTAGTTCCTGATCTTAGTGAGAACAATTATGTATTTTAAAATATTAAGCATTTTAAAAGATAGTTATCACAATGATCATATTAAACCCTGTAGTTGAAATCTTTGGTTCTCTTTTCTACAGAGGGGTGCATCAATCCATTCATTCATTCCAGTTATGGGCCAGTGATGTGCTAGGAAAGATCCATTTCTCTCTCTGTCCTTAGAATGGCTATTTTTATCTTATCAGCCAATAACTGCCAGGATTTTTTCTGATTATTATTGGGGAAAAAACTTACCAAAAAAAGTATTATCACTTAAACATTTTTTGGCTAATATGAGTGATTAAAAATGGGATCCTAAAGTAATGGAAATCTATTTGATTTCTAGCAAAGTTAAGTATTTTTATATTTATTAGCTATTTGTATACATTCTTTGTGAATGATATATTCTGGACCTCTGTCCATTTTCTGTTGGCATCTTATTGTTTAAAATTATATGAATGATTCTCCATGGTTTAAAATATTAAATCTTATTTTGTCATAGTTGTTTATAAGTGTTTTTCAAAATATGTTTGCCGTCTACTTTTGTAATTACTTTTCTTGACCCATTGAAGTTTTAAATTTTCATGTAGCCAGATCAATCAGACCTTATATTTCTTATTTTTTCCTATTACTTTCATACTTAGAATGCCCATGTCTTCCAAGAGCTGATGTATACTTTTATAACTAGTATTACAATGTGTAATCCAGTCTTAGGATTTGCAATATCTACCTATATTTTCACTTTAGAGTTTTCTCATGGGATGATTTTTAAAACTATATAACGTACTTGGAATTCATTCTCACCTGTAGTGTTAGGTGAAGATCTAAAATTTATTTGCAAATAACCAAGTAGTATTTTTAGTGATTTTATATCCTAGTTATTAAATACTAAGGGTTCCTACATTATAGGCCTGATTAGGAGCTTTCTTCTTTGTTCTATTGAGCTCCAAGCCTGTTTCTCTGACAATACCATGATGGTTTATTGTTTAGGTGATTTATTATGTCTAGTTATCGGGCTGAGTTAGGTTCCTCTCATTTCTCTTCCCCAAACTCTGACTCCCAGTTTTTCTTTGCTGTTCTCACTTATTCTCCAGAAGGTTTTTAGAACATTTTCTAAGCCCTTCCCCTCACTTATAATTTTTTTTTTGAGACAGAGTCTTGCTCTGTTACCCAGGCTGGAATGCAGTGGTGTGATCTTGGCTCACTGCAACCTCCTCCTCCTGGGTTCAAGCAATTCTTCTGACTCAGCCTCCCAAATAGCTGGGACCACAGGTGCACGCCACCATGCCAGGCTAATTTTTGTATTTTTAGTAGAGACAGGGTTTCACCATATTGGTCAGGCTGGTCTCAAACTCCTGACCTCAGGTGATCCACCCACCTTGGCCTCCCTAAGTGTTGGGATTACAGGCGTGAGCCACTGCATCTGGCCTAACTTGTAATTTTGATTATAATTATTTTAAACTCATAAATTAATCTGGGAAAGTAGTTATCTTTATAATATGCAGTTTCCTCAACTAGAAATATTCCCCATTCTTTTAATTCATTTTTTGTTTTATTCTGTTGTATGCATATTATGTTTCAGTTTTGAAACATTTGTTAATTATGCGTTCTTAGTAGTATATAATTCTTGCATACGGCAATTTGGACTGATTTTAAATAATATTGGAAGGTCACATACAATAATAAGCAAATTAATAATAGCATAAAGGAATCCACCTCTCATTTTGAGAAAGATTGCTTGTATTGTAGAAAATAGCTGTTAGCATATAATGTAAAATAAGATTCTAGTATTCTGTTAAGCACTTTAAGTTTTTCAGTTGCATATACTACCCCTATTTTATTAAACTATATTTAATTTTTTTATTTGGGAATGCTTTTCTTTTCTATACCTAAAAGCTCTGCAATTTGTTGGTCTGTAGGTTATCATGCAAGAAGTTCTCAAGCCTTTTTGATTTTTGTGCAATAAAGTACAGCTTTGCATAAGAGTGAAATTGGGCTAGCTTAAATGGATCCATAAACTTTCTTCTAATTTTAAGTGAGACTCTTTTAAACACCTGTTAAATTTAATGTAGCAGTCTGAGAATCTAAAATTATGTACCACTCGTTTATTTGTTCATTCATCCATCCCTTTTCCCATGAATATTTCATTTGTTTATCCAGCTAGTTTTATTAACTGTTTTAATCCAGGCATTGGGATATAATGATAAGCAAGATATCATTCCTGTGGAAACTTCTTCCAGGCACTAAAGATATAGAGGATGAATTAGAGGAACATAAAATTGGAGGAGATTGAATACTTAAAGGCAGTGGCCATAGGGATGGCAAAGAGGAAGTAGAGATAGAGTCATTAGGACTTAGTGCCAATTAAATACGGGGTGAGTGAGAGAAGATGGCTTTGGGATGTCCTCAAGTTCCTAGCTTATTTATTCATTATGCTTTTATTGGAGGACTATCATGTTTTAGGCATTGTTATGTTTCAGGCATTGTATAAATGCAGGAGGACGTAAGAAATAAGCCACATCAGAACTTAGATTATAGAGGGGAAAGTATTAGGTTGGTGCATTGCTTTTAGTGGCAGAAACAGCAATTACTTTGGCACCAGCATAATAGAATGGTTGTGACTGGGGTGGGAGTGTGCGTATAGAGAGAAAGATTATGGGTTCACTTTCAGGCCTGTTGAGCTGCCTGCCTGTTAGATATACAAGCGGAAGTAATGGATATTCAGATAGAGAGTTCGAGAGAGTCATTGCTGGACATACAGTCATCAGTGTATAGCTGGCAATTGAAATCATGGATTAGAAGGTCTTTCAAAAAGAGTCCTTAGTGAGAAAAGAAAGGGAGAATTGGAATCTTGAGGAATAACAGTTTGTTAGTCAGAGGAAGATGAACCTGTGAAGAAGACTAAAGTGGAGTAATCAGAGAGATAGAAGGTAACTTGGGACAGTGTTTCACAAAAGCCAAGAAAATTTTCCAGGCAGAATGTTCAGCTGTATCTAAAGTCAAGTCAAGGGTCTGTAAGATAAGGATTTAAAATGTCCACTAAATTTTGTAATTAGGAGATCATTGTTGATCATGTGAAACTATTTCTGTGGGGAATTTGAATAATAGAAATGGTGTGACCCCTACACTTTTTTTTTTTAGACCTTGGCCTTGCAGAGAGGCTAGATAAACTTGAAAGACCGTATCAGGATTCATAGCATTAATGAAGGGTTATCCTTGGAGAGGAAAACAAGTATACTAAGGAATATTTGTAGAAAATGGAGAAATTCAGAGAGCTGTCTTCCTCTGTCAGCCAAAAGTTTCTCAGCAGCAGGGGTTGATTTACTCAGCAGTGTGTTTAGTGCCTGACCTGTAGTAAGTAATTAGTAAATATTTGCTGAATGATCGAGCCTAATAAAAGAGTTGAAGAATTTTGTTCATCCCAAGTCTAAAGTGTAGCTTCAGAATTTAGCCACTTCTGGAGCTTAAGATTTACTTTTCTTCTCTGTCATTAAAAATTAAACATGTAGTCAAAAAATTAACCTTCTAAAGGCATTTAAAAAATTCTTTTAGAATAAGCTCTGCTTTATAATATAGTCTATGTTTTTCATAGTACTGCACATTCCTAAGGTTTACTACTTTGTCTTTTATAGTGTACTTTTTAAAATTTATTTTTTGTAGAGACAGGGTCTCACTGTGTTGCCCAGTTGGATCTTGAACTCCTGATTTCAAGTGATCCTCCCACCTCAGCCTCCCATGCCTATTGGGATTACAGGCATGAGACACCACATCTGGCCCTTTTATAGTGTATTTTAAGTTCTGCTTTGGTTATCTCTTTTTGAAACTTTGCAAATGTTAAAGATTTTATTTGAATTTTGTTAGTTATAAAGTTGAAACATTTTATTTTATTATTAATTTTGAGACAGAGTCTCACTTTTTCACCCAGGCTGGAGTGCAGCAGCACAATCACAGCCCGCTGCAGCCTTGACCTCCTGGGTTCAAGCAATCCTCCCACACACCACTAAGCCCTGCTAATTTTTTATATTTTTTGTAGTGGCGGGTTTTCACCATGTTGTCAATCTGGTCTCAAACTTCTGAGCTCAAGTGATCCGCCTGCCTCAGCCTCACAAAGTGCTGGGATTACAGGCATGAGCCACTGTGCTCGGCTGAAACATTTTAATAAGAGCAGTTAACCATACCTTTTCAACAGGAATTGATTTGGGAACTCTGCCTATCTCTTTTTAAAGATGTGAAAACTTACTTATTCGTTATTGCTAAGTTTGTGATAAGTATCCTATAAGCCACTCCATTTGTAGTGAAACTAATTCTTTCATTCTCTATGTAATACTTTAATTTCTGTAATCTAAGATCAGAAACACTCATAATCAAGTTAATGTATCCTAATTGTTCACTTTGATAACACAACACATTTTCTATACATTTTCTTCATGTTAGAGTCAAGAGAATATGAGTCTAAAATGTAATTTTTTTGCAAAAAATATGACTCCTAAGGTTTTTTTTTACATTTCTTCTTTGTGTATTAAAGTTTTTATTTCTGTTCCATAGATATATATGTGACATATAAAATAAATTAGAAAGAGAAGATATACAATACTATGTAAAGTGACTACATTTTTCTTTTAGGCTGGGATATGAAGAACAACAGCCTGAGGTTCCAATTCTTTATCATGATGTAACATCCCTTTTGCTCATCCAGATCTTAATGATGCCACAACCCTTACGCAAAGGTATGTCTTTATAATTCAGATTCTTTGATTATATACTATGTATTTTGAATATTCTAGAGATTATAGAGACAAATAGGCTGGGTGTGGTGGCTCATGCTTGTAATCCCCGCACTTTAGGAGGCTGAGGTGGGTGGATTGCTTGAGCACAGGAGCTCGAGACCAGCCTGGGCTATTAATATAGTGAGATGCTGTCTCAAAAAGAGAAAGAGAAGTAAATACAGCAGTAAGTATGATGGATACTTTTTGTGGTAATAACAGACATTGTTTTTTCTATTATTAGCAAATAGTAATCGTATCTAAAAAATGACAATGAAAAAGTGTTTTTTAAAATTCTTGTGGGTCTGTTCAGCTTTTTAGTCACTAAGAGGTAAAGACATGGGAAAACATTCTGAAAATGGTTTAAAAAATTGAAGTGATGATACAAATGAAAATTCGAAAAATAGAGCAAACTCTCAGCCTTAGTGCCTTTATCTATGTGCATACATATTTTGATATAGTAGTAATTGTAGAGTTATTAAAAATAGTCTCATCATTTTAAGTTAGTGTTAATATCATAACATTATTATATTAACAGCATCAGTATTATATTAGCAACATTTTAATTATTGCTCCTTGGTCTTTGTAGCTTTCACTTGAAGACAACATTTAAAATATTCAATCAGATAATTAACATCTTCTGTATTAGAAAACTAGTTTTTATTTTGTTTAACTATTACAAGTTACAGTAGAATGAACATCTATGGGTGTATAAAAGTCTTGTTCCTGGGGAAGACATTGTTTATACAAACTCCAGCTTGATCTTTGATAAATCCTTTTACCTAAGGGTGTGAAATAATCATTTAAAAATACATAGGCAAATTATGATATTTCATGCAAATTATGACATTCTGTAAAAAGTAAAACAATATCATTGATAAGCATAATATACTAGCACTGTGTGCTTCAATTAATATTTTTTAATCATGAAATTCACATAAAATAAAACTTACCATTTAAACAATTTAAAGTATACAACTGAAGTGCCATTTAGTACTGTCACAGTATTGTGTGATCATCACCATTCACACCATTAGTTAGTTCCAGAACATTTTCATCAGCCCCAAAGGAAACTCTGTGCCTATTAAGCAGTCATTTTCTTATTTTCTCCTTCTCCCAACCCCTGGAAACCACTAATCTGATTTCCTGTCTTCATGGATTTGCCTATACTGGATATTTTGTATTAATGATATTATACATTACGTTGCATTTTGTGTCTGGCTTCCTTCACTTAGCATGTTTTCAAGGTTTATCCATGTTATGGCATGTATCATTACTTCATTTATCTCGATGGCTTGGTAGTATTCCATTGTATGGATATACAACATGGTTTATCCACTTGTCAGTTGATGGACATTTGGGTTATTACCGCCTTTTGGCTATTGTGAATAGTGCTGCCATGAACATTCATATAGAAGTTTTTGTTTGAGGCCAAGTGTGATGGATCACTTGAGACCAGGAGCTCATGACCAGCCTGGCCAACATGGTGAAACCCCGTCTCTACTAAAAATACAAAAATTAGCCTGGCATGGTGGCATGCACCTGTAACCCCAGCTACTTGGGAGGCTGAGGCATGAGAACCACTTGAGCCCAGGAGGTGGAGGTTGCAGTGAGCTGAGATTGCGCCACTGCACTCTAGCCTGGGTGACAGAATGATACTCTGCCTCAAAAAAAAAAAAAAAAAAAAGTTTTTGAACACTTTTTTTTTTTTGTGGGGGATGTATAGCTAGAAGTGGAATTGCTGGATCATATGGTAATTCTGTTTAACTTCTTCAGGTAATTATATATTTAACTGCAAAACTTCAGATATTTTTGAATGTTACTTTTTTGGGGGGTTAGACTGTGTCTGCTAATTTAATCATTTGTGTTTATAGAGTTTAAAAACCTGTTAAGTAGTCTTATTAAAATTAATCTCTTTGTAAAATTAGTTTCAAATTCTTTAGGCTTTTTGTGTCACTTTGGTTAGTTTTTCTTAATCTAGGGAAACAGTTGCCTTGGATCATGCTGGTTTACTCCTGATTGTGCTCTTCTAATTATATTAGTAGTATTACGTTTTGAAATATTTTAAAAATTACTTTATGTCTTCAAAATATTTAAGTGTGTTAAATATACCTTTTACTTATGAGTTATTACATAAACCTGAAAAGGTAAAAGAGAAGGAAACTTGACATAGAGAAGATTGTCTCTCTGTCACTATTTAATCTATATTAATCAATATTTAATCTAAAGAGAAAAATATTTTAGTTAAGAGTAAAGGACCTGTTGTGTCAGTGTCTGAGAGCTGTAGCTGGTGCATCACCCTCGTTGTCAGAAGTTACTGTTGGCACTGGCTTTCAACAGAAGACGAAGTTCATGCTCAAAGAGGATGCAATACATGAAATTAACCAAACTTACTGAATTTAATTCAGTAGAAACAGAGTTTAAAAACTATATCATAAAGTGAGTCAAGAAAATTGATCTTAGTAATGGTTAAATAAATAGAATAAATTCAGGAAATCATCAATGTAAAAATGTATAATATTGTTAATAATCATGCCTTAAAGTAATATCATTAAAGAAGAGTTTCTTGGACAAATTTAATAAGCAAATTCAATAAATTCATTGCTTGATTCAGTTCAAGAAATACTTAATAAGTACCTACTGTGTACCAGGTTGCTATGCTTCTTTGCCAAGTGCTGGACACACAAAGATGACCAAAACATGTACTTCACCCTTGGGGAGCCAAATAGCTAGGTATTTAGCAGTCATTAAATTTACCTGTAGTTAGAATTGCTTTTAAAACTTGTGCTTTATATTATTTCTTAAAATTTTACAATAATTCAAGATTGGATTATCTTGATATTAGATTATACTGCTGTCGAACACATTGTGTAATATTTTGCTAGCTGTCATTGTGGTGATGAATTCCTCTTAGAATTTAGGGTCAGAGAAAAAAATGCCATTCCTTATTAATTTTTTTAGTCTTTCACACTTTGAGAACTGGATAGAGGCCTTTAATTCCTAGGAAGTTCAGAGCTTAATTACATTAATTTTCCACAGAGGTTTTTTTTGAGGGGAGGTGGAGAGTTGGGGAGATAAGGAGTTATTAATATAAATTTTTCTTCTCCACTCCCTTTTGATGTAAGAGTTAATAGTGGTCTTTATTGGGACAGTGTTATTATAAACTATTTTTATTGTAAGAATATGTATTTGTGTAACTGTTTAAGTTATTGTTTGTTATTAGAAGAGAAAAGCAGAGGAAGGAAATTTTACTGTTTAGACTTACTAGAACGTTAAATGCTTCCCATGGTTTTATCTGAAAAATAGATGGATGCAGAAACCTAGCTATATACCTCTTAAATCTTTTAATGCTTAGCATTGTTTTCAGGTTGAAAGACCTTTTTATGCCAATTATCTCATCAGAAGCTCAAATTAAATATATTAAAGACAAGTTTTTTTCTTTGATCTCTTATGTCCTTGCATCTTATGTTTCATAATACCCATCACATCACTGGCCTCTAAAGAATAAACTCGGAAGTAACTTCTGACATCACTGTTTTCAGGTATTCATATTTAGTTCTTTATGTACAAGGGGAAAGAAGATTTATAACTTAGGATCAGATTTGGCTATATAATATAAAGAAGAAACCAAATTAACACAGTAGCTTAAATAAGATACTACTTGTTTTTCTTTCATGTAGAAAGAAGTGTGAAAGTAGGCAGGCCGGACACTTCTACTTCACAGCACCAGATTCTTTATGGTATGGCCCTCATCTCCCTGTGCCAAGGTAGCTGCTAAGAGTTCTAGCCATCACAGTCTAGTTTAAGGCAGCAGGATGAGAGTTAAGAGAGGAACTTCACCTTCTTTTTTAAGAAGCCCTCTTAGATGATTCACACAAAATTTACAATTATTATCTCCTTAGATGATTCACACAAAATTTACAATTATTATCTCTCAGGCTAAAATTCTTTCTTATTTTTGAGCCTCCAGGGTTTAAGACATAAAATCATCATCCTTTATAGGGAGTGTATTAGTTCATTTTCATGCTGATAATAAAGACACATCTGAGACTGGGCAATTTAAAAAAGAAAGAGGTTTAATGGACTCACAGTTCCATATGGCTGGGAGGTCTCACAATCATGGCAGAAGGCAAAAGGCACGTCTTACATGGTAGCAGACAAGAGAAGAGAATGATAGCCAAGTGAAAGGGGTTTCCCTGCATGAAACCATTAGATCTCATGAGACTTATTCACTACCATGAGAACAGGATGCGGGAACCACCCCCATGATTCAGTTATCTCCCACTGGGTCCCTCCCACAACACGAGGGAGTTAAAATTATGGGAGTTAAAATTCAAGATGAGATTTGGGTGGGGAGACAATCAGACTGTATCAGGGAGGGTCAGTTACCCAGGTTTGGATCATGTTGCTGTTCTTGAGGAGCTTCACAAATCTGTTCTTAACCATGCTGTATAGAATACAGACTCCCAAGATTCTATAGAGCATTTGGGACCAGTGATTATAGAATATCCCTGCTTCCAAGATCCCATAAGCAGGGCCCAGAAAAGAGAGCTTGAATCCTGCTTATTATTTTCCATTGACTTGAAGAAAGAAAATATCTCAGTTTTGCTTTGTTATAAACCAAGGGCTTAAAAAACTATTTATTTACAAGCATACATAACAGTAAAGAGCAGAGTTTCATGAACCCCCATATCAACTCATGGCCAGTCTTGTTTCATTTATACCCTCACTTATTCCCTCCTCCCTCCCACCTGTGGTTATTTTGAAGCGAATTCCAGACCACATATCATTTTATCTCTATAGTCTTCAGTATGTATCTCTAAAAGATAAGGATTCTTAAAATAATTTTAAAAAATCGTGAACACAATTAAAAATGAACAGTTATGCCTAAATATCAGTAAATATCCCATCAGTGTTCAAATTCCATAGTTGCTTCTTGTAAATTTTTTTTTTTTTTTTTTTTTTTGGAGACAGTTTCTCTCTCGCCTAGGCTGGAATGCAGTGGCACGATCTCAGCTCACTGCAACCTCTGCCTCCTGGGTTCAAGCGATTCCCCTGCCTCAGCTTCCCAAGTAGCTAGGATTACAGGCGCCTGCTACCACACCTGGCTAATTTTTGTATTTTTAGTAGAGACAGGGTTTCACCATGTTGGCCAGACTGGTCTGAATATCCTGACCTTGTGATCCACCTGCCTCGGCCTCCTAAACTGCTGAGACTACAAGTGTGAGCCACTGTGCCCAGCCTGTAAATTATTTTTAAATATTATTTGGTTTATTTGGCTTAGGATCCAAAAAAGATCCATACATTGGATTTGGTTGTTATAGTTCTTTTAAATCTGTGGGTTGCCTCCCTCCTCCTACCTCCTTGCATTTTATTTGTTGAAGAATCTGAGTCTTTTTCCCTTTAGAACTTACCATAGTCTCTATTTTGCTACTTGTACCCCCAACAATATCATATAATAACATGATCTTCTGTCCCTGTGTGTGTCCTACAGACTGGCAGATAGATTTAGATGGAATCAGTTTCTTATTTCTTTTTACAAAAATACTTCATGGATAATGTTAAATACTTTTTTATCAGGAGATATAATTTCCAGTTGTTCCTCTTTATGTGACAGTAGAAGCTATTGATTATTCTCTAGATTTATTCCTTAATTATTTCATTTCTTAAGTGGAATTCATAAAACTAAAATTTTTTCCTATTTTTCCTATTTGTTTACACATTGGTAAAGTTGATATAGGAAAGGCAGGTTAAATGCTTGATTTTGTACCAGTTTTCAGAAAAATGACTTTTTTTTTTAGCATTCTCCAAAGATGATTGCTTTTTTCCCAGTATTATGAATTCTTGGATTTTAATATATTTAGTGTCCTTCAGTCCCATAGTAAAATAATAACTGTTTAAATACTTCAGGTTGGCTTGTATCCTATTGATGTAACCCCAACAGTCTTTGATAGCCTCTTCAGACCAAAGCTTTATTTTTTTTATTTTTTGGGGAGACAGTCTTGTTCTGTTGCCCAGGCTGGAGTACAGTGGTACAGTCATAACTCACTGCAGCCTTGACCTCCTGGGCTCAAGCAGTCCTCCTGCCTCAGACTCCCCATGTAGTTGGGACCACAGGTGCACACCACCACATTTGGCTAATTTTATTTTTTGTAGAGACGGTGGCGGTGTCGGGGGGGGGGTCTCACTTTGTTGCCCAGGCTGGTCTCGAACTCTGGGCTCAAGGAATCCACCTGCCTTGGCCTCCCAAGGTGCTGGAATTACAGGCATGAGCCACTGTGCTGGCCTAAGACCAAGGCTTTTTAGTATGTGGTTCCAGAGTTCATTAATAGGCTTTAAGAAATCCTAAAATGGTAAGGAAAAAATTGTACATATATGTGCATTTTTTTCTGAGTAGTTTCACAGCTTTTACCAGATTTTCAAAAGGATTTTGACCTCTAAAATTTAATTACTTATATATTATCCTGGGGACTCCTGGCCATATACAAATATATTTTGTAGAATCAGCAGATTACAGTGGGATGAGAAATGAGAAGGAAGTGAGAGAATTGAGACAGTGAACAGAGAGATCTTTCAAGAGAGAATGGAGGAGGAGAACAGAAGCCATACGTGATGTACAGTAGTCCCCCCTTACCCATGGTTGCACTTTCTGTGGTTTTTGTTACCAGTGGTCAACTTTGGTCCAAAAAGAGTAAATGGAAAATTCCAGAAATAAATAATTTATACATTTTAAGTTGCATGCCATTCTGAGTAGTACACTGAAATCTCATGCTGTCTTGTCCCTTTCTCCCTGGGAAATGAAGTCATCCCTTTGTCCAGTATATCCACACTGTAGATGCTACCCACCCATTAGTCATTTAGTGGCCATGTGGGCTATCAGAACAACTGTCGTGGTATCACAGTGCTTGTGTTCAAGTAACTCTTATTTTACTTAATAATGGCCCCAAAGCACAAGACTAGTGATGGTGGCGAGAAATAAAAATAAAATCTTAAGCTCCTCAACTGAACAGATGTTATTAAAGAATGATCTTTTGTTTCTTGTTTTCTAGAGCTGGCTTCTGCTTACTCCTTAGAAAATAATTCAGGTTAAAGGTTGATAAGGGAGGGGCACACTGAGGTGTGAACGATATTCTTTAGGATCATTGTGAGGATCATTCTTTAATCACATTTAGCCAATCATCTGGGGTTGCAACTGAACTCCCCTGTCCCTCTTTGCAATTTTACAATACACCCCTTCCCCAAAGCTGACCAGCATCTCTGGACTAGTTTTGGCCGATTCATGGAGGAAGTTCAGTGAGGGTTTTTGTGTCTTCTACTCTACCTTCTAGTGTCAGAGGGTCAAAACCTCACTCTGGCATCATGCTGTTGCCACCATTTTTTGAACACGCAACCCATGAAGAGGCATGAAGCTAAATTGCTCATGTGCGTGTTTCTCCTTTCATAAATACTCATGACTCTTCCTATAGCTTATTGAACGTGTACACTTAGCCACCCTATTTAGCATAAATTCCTGACCTTCCTCAAAGGACTTGCTCTTGGCTTATGCTAGAGGCTGTGATTCCCAGCTTGCTGATGGCTAGCCTGCAGGATGCAACCTTTTATGAGAAATAAAGCCCTCGTTTCCAAATTCGTAAACCTTGTGTTTCTTAAGTTGACACTGGCAATTTGGATACGCCAAAGAGAAACTAAAGTTTTTTCTTTTAAGTGAAAAGGTGAAAATTCCTTACTTAAAAAGGAAAGGAAAAAAATTGTATGCTGAGGTTACTAAGATCTTTGGTAAGAATGAGTCTTCTATCCATGAAATTATGAAGAAGGAAAAACAAATTTGTGCTAGTTTCACAATCACACCTTAAATAGTAAAAGTTATGGCCATAGTACAGTAAATAATTTTGAGAGATCAGATTTTCATAATTTTTATTATAATTGTTCTATATTATTGTTAATGTCTTATTGTGTCTAATTTATAAATTAAACTTTATCATAGGTATGTATGTACAGTTGACCCTTGAACAACACAGAGGCTAAGGGTGTGGTCCCCCTTTACTTCTCCACTTCCCACCCCACTCCACCATGCAGTTGAATCCACTGCACATATTTTTTGATTTCCCAAAAACTTAGCTACTAATAGCCTATTGCTGACCAGAAGCCTTACCAATAACACTGTCAATTAACACATAATTTATGTTATATGTATTACGTACTTTATTCTCACAATGTAAGGCTAGAGAAAAGAAAACATTATTAAGAAAATTATAAGAGAGAAAATATATTTACTATTCATTAAGTGGAAGTGGATCATCATAAAAGTATTCATCCTTGTCATCTTCATGTTGAATAGGCTAAGGAAGAGGAAGGGTTGATCTTGCTGTCTCAGGGGTGGCAAAAGTGGAAGAAAATCCTTGTATGAGTAGACCTGCACAGTTCAAACCCATCTTGTTACATAGTACTGCAGATGTAGGATTCAGAACTATCCGCAGTTTCAGACATCCCCTGGGGTCTTGGAGTGTATCTCCTGAGGATAAGGGGGGGATTACTATTTCAAAGGGGTTATTTTTTGTTTTTAAGATAGGAGAATTGTGAGCATCTTTAAGTGTTTGCCATTTATCCATTCTTTACTTAATAACTCATGATGGTCCTTTACCTTGTGTTGCCCTTTCTAGAAGCCTTTCTATTGGATATCCTTTTTCTCATTGCCATAATAACTTCTCCGTGATTCTGTTTTGATACTTGTCTGACTTGTCTGATTTTCTTTACTATCGCCCTCTCCAGACTGTCAGTTCCTCCAAGACTAGCAGCACTATCTATCCTAATGCCCACTTGGTACATCATATGTTCAGTAAATGCTTTGGGGATACAGTGGATGTGTTAAAAACACAATACTCTTATTTTATGGTAAATTGCTTATTTTCCATTTTAAAATTCAAGAAAGCTATTACTTTCATTTGAATCTTTAACACTTATATTGTGATCACTTCTATATAATGTTTTTTGAGAATGTTGGCAGTTTATTGGACCCAAAATTCAATTGCCTGAAGTATACCCAAAGGACCAGCATTTACTACCCTATTAGTTGTTAGACGGACTTGGTATCTTTTCTTGGTTCTATGTTGACTAAGGCAAATGAAGTCTTTTTAAACCGTTTGGATTCTTCACTCATCAGAGAGAAAATAGACTTGAGTTTTTCACACAGAAAAGAACATCACAAATTGATTTTTCTTGTAGACTAGACTTTTTGGAGAGGGTCAGAGCACATGTAGTTAGTAACTCCAAATCATAAAAGGTAAGACTGAGAAGATTTGACATCTGCATGTGGTATATGCAAAGTGCTTTATGGAAGCAGTGGAATAGTATTTTTACAAAAAATTATCATGGTGATAGGAACAGAATAAAATGTCTGATACCTTCTTCAGATCATGTCCTGTTTACCTGTGTGCTCTTCCCCTAGGGATTTTGTTATTTTAGATATACTCTACCTTGTCTTAAAAGAAACTACAGGTAGTTTGCTTCTAAGGCATTTCAAGTAAGTATTGATCTTCCTTTGTTCGTCCTCAGGTATTTTGATAGTTTTTTTTGTTGTTATTGTAGTTTTTAAACACATTGACTTAGATTAGATGTCCAATCCTTTTTTGTTCTTTTTAAATGTTGATAATTGTATTTGAAGGACTTTGTTTTCTGTTTTAATGTTGGTAGTTAGCAGCCTGTTGACCTAATATAAACCTCATGTGAGAGATTCCTTGTTTCTTGTAGGTCCCTAAAAGATGTTGGTGTTACACATGGCAAGCATTCAATAAATAAACATCTGTTAAATGAACAAGTGAATATGAGAACTTAAGCCTTGACTTTAAATTGCCAGTTAATCATCCATTGGTATCCATGGGAGATTGGTTCCACGACCCCCTGCCAATTCCAAAATGCACAGATACTCAAGTCCCTTACATAAAATGGTGTAGTATTTGCATATAACCTACACATATCTTCTCATATACTTTAAATCATCTCTAGATTACTTAGTACAATATAAATGTTATATAAATAGTTGTTATACTGTATTTTTTAGGGCATAATGAGAAGGGCAAAAGTCTGTACATGTTCAGTACAGACACAACCATCTATTTTTTTTTTCCAAATACTTTTGAGCCATGATTGGCTGAATCCATGGATGAGGAGCCCACAGGTACAAAGAGCTGACTGTATTTTTTTAAATGATGATAATCAAGACAGACAAATGGACTAAAACCAGAAATTAGTACTTTTCTACAATGAAAAGCTAAAACTATAGTGGCTATCATTTCTTTTAGTACATTACTTCTATTTTATTTATTTTATTATTATTATTTTTGAGACAGAATTTCACTCTTGTTGCCCAGGCTGGAGTGCAATGGCACCATTATCAGCTCACTGCAAACGCCATCTCTTGGGTTCAAGTGATTTTCCTGCCTCAGCCTTCCAAGTAGCTGGGCTTACAGGCACCCGCCACCACGCCCGACTAATTTTTTGTATTTTTAGTTGAGACGAGGTTTCACCATGTTGGCCAGGCTGGTCTCAAACTCCTGACCTCAGGTGATTCACACACCTTGGCCCCCAAAGTGCTGGGATTACAGGCGTGAGCCACCGCGCCCGGCCACATCACTTCTTTTTAGTAAAAGAAAAAATATATGTATGTATAGTTTAAGAAGAAGCTATATGTCAGTGGTGTTTCTACACAATATAAATGACTTTCTGGTTAGGATGTTTTTGTTTGTACTTAATAGACAAATTCTGTAATGTCTGTCACTTATTAAAATATTTCATTAAATGATGGAATATTTTTCTTGACTTTGACGGCACCATCCTTTCCTAGTTCTTCTACTGTCTCATTTCCTACTCATTTTCAGGCTCTTTTTAAATGAATTGTTCTTTATTTACTGTCCTCTTCCTTCACAATTTTATCTTTTTTCCCATAGCTTTAACTATACCTATTATCTGATGATTCCCAAATCTCTAGCTTTAGACTACAACTCCCCAGTGAGTTCCAGACTTGAATTTTTAGACATGCCTCAAACTCAGTATATATAATGTTAATTTTCTACCTATCCAAGCCTGCTCTCATCCTCTGTTTTACATTTTAGTCAATGCTGCTACGTCTATGAGATACCACCATCACCCTCTACCTCCAAAGGTCCATGAAATCCTATAATTTCTGTCATCTAAATATTTCTCTAATATGACTCATTCTGATTGTTGACTCATTGTTTTTCCTTAGTTCTGGGCATCCTGAAACTGTATGGAGGTTCCTCAAAAAACTAAAATAGAACTACTGTATCATCCAGTAGTCCCACTTCTGGGTGTACATCCTAAGGAAGTAAAATCAGTATCTCAAAGAGACATCTGCACTCCACTCCCATGTTCATTATGGCTTTAATCACAATAGCCAAGATATGGAAACCACCTAAGTGTCTGTCAATGGATGAATAAAGATAATGTGGCATATAAGTACACTGGGACGTTATTTAGCCTTAAAAAAGAAGGAAATCTTGCCATTTGCGACAGCATGGATGAACCCATAGGACATTATGCTAAATGAAATAAGCCACAAAAAGAGAAATACTGCATGATCTCACTTATATGTGGAATCTAAACAAGTCAAAATAGAGAGTAGGAGGGTGGTTCACATGGGACAGGGAGGTGGGGAAAATGGGGAGATGTTGGTCAACGGGTGTGTACTTTCAGTTATAAGATGAATAAGTTCTGGAGATCTAATATACAACATGATGACTATAGCTGTAATATTCTCTTGTATACTTAAAATGCACTAAGCAAAGAGATCTTAAGTATTCTCAGTGCACACACATACACACAGACACATGTAACCATATGGGATGATGAATATGTTAGTTAACTTGATGTGACCATCATTTCACAGTGTATGCTTATATCAAAACTACATTGTCTACCTTCAATAATATAATTTTTGTCAATTATACCTCAGTAAAGCTGGAGGAAAAATAAAAGATCATTCTGGCTGGAATAAGGAAAGTAGATTGCAGGGGGCTGAGAGGTGATACAGATAAACTACTGTGCTGGAAAGAATTAACATAGAAGGCCTGACTGCTGTCCTTTGAAAGGCCTGCTTGCAAGGTTAGGCCTTGACTAGCATCTGGGAACTTGGATTTCAGGAGGGGTCCCACCATTCCCAGAATTGATAAGAGTGGCACACTATGCCTAAATTGTTTGTACAAAGAGTATGGTTTATGCCGAATGTACCTGCTTTCCTCTTGAGAGTCTGGAATTTTGGTATGTACTAGGAAGAGAGTACCTGCATGACCCCAGTAAAAACCTTGGGCACTGAGTCTCTAATGAGATACCCTGGTATCCATTTCCTACGTGCCATCACAGCTGGTTGTTGCTGGGGGAGTTTAGCACATCCTGTGTGGTTCTACTGGAAGAAGACTCTGGAAGTTTCCTCTGGACTTCACCCAATGTGCCTTTTTTCCCTTTGCTGATTTTAACTTTTATCCTTTTGCAGTCATAAGTCATAACAGCTATGAGTATGACTCTGTACTCAGTCTTTTAAGTCCTCCTAGTGAATCATCAAACCTGGCAGTGGTCTTGGGGACCCCCAACACAGCCACTTTAGCTGGGATTATAGGTCTAGGCAAGAAAGGATGGAAGTCTAGTCCAGGGTGTTGAAACTGACGAGAAATATTTAAAAAGTAGAATTAACAGGACTTGGTGATTATTTTAATGGGGAAATTGTCAAGAATATCTGCAAGTTTTTGACTCCAGCAACTGATTAAATGGTAGTATCCATTTACTAGGGGAGGAGTATAATATAATAGAAGGAACACTGAACCTGAAGAAAAATGATCTATATGGATTCAAGTTCAGACCTGGGTGCTTATTAGCTTTGATATCACAAGCACATCTTTCTGAAGCTCAGTTATCCTGTTGAGACTGTTTTGAGGATTGAATGAGACACTTGAAGAAAATTGCTAAGTTATTAGGTAAATATAAATGTTAATTATCAGTATTAAAGCTTCCATTTATTAAGTACCTAATATGTGCCAGAAGCTACCAGGCACTTTACATATTGTTACTACTATTTCATATTGCTAAGTTTTTTATTTTTATTTTTATCTTTATTTGAGACAGGCTCTCACTCCATTGCCCAGGCTGGAGTTAAGTGGAGTGATCTTGGATTACTATAGCCTTCCCTTCTGAGCTCAAGTGATCCTCTGCCTCCCAAGTAGCTAGGATGACAGGTGCTTGTCACCACACCCAGCTTTTTTTTTTTTTTTGGAGACAGAGTCTCACACTGTTGCCTGGGCTGGAGTGCAATGCCAGAATCTTGGCTCACTGCAACCTCCGCCTCCCGGGTTCAAGCGATTCTCCTGCCTCAGCCTCCCAAGTAGCTGATATTACAGGCACCCGCCACCATGCCTGGCTTATTTTTTGTATTTTTTAGTAGAGACAGGGTTTCACTATGTTGGCCAGGCTGGTCTCAAACTCCTGACCTTGTGATCCGCCCACCTCAGCCTCCCAAAGTGCTGGGATTACAGGCGTGAGCCACCGCCCCTGGCCACACCCAGCTATTTTTAAAAATTTTTGTAGAGAGGGGGTCTGTGTTGCCCAGGCTTATTGCTATAGTTTTCATTAAATTCTGAAGCCAAATTAGTAACCTAAACATCAAGATTTTTTTTAACTTTGTAAGATTTATATCATATTCCATATAATACTATCCTTATTAAGATGTGCATCATATAGGGGTAGATGATGTGTTGGTTTTAAACATTGAGACTCCCAAACGTTGTTATTGAGCATGTGAAGCCCAGGAAGGGCATTTGCCAGGGTTCCACAGCTATTCCAAGGTTGAATGGCATTAGCACTCTGGTCTTCTGAAAGAGAGCACCCTTTCCACTATGCTGAGTACTTCTCATTTATATGTTCTTTGGATGAATAGAGGAATTTTGCTTTCATAATTTCAGATCTGTTGGGCAGCAAATATAATAGTACATTATAATTTCAGACTCTCATGTCTCTAACCCCAGCTCTTTGGGAGGCTGCAGTGGGAGGATTGCTTGAGCCCAAGGAATTTGAGACTAGCCTGGGCAACATAGGGAGGCCCCATCTCTACAAAAAATAAAAAGCTAATCAGGCGTAGTGGCACATGCCTGTAGTCCCAGCTACTGTTGGGCGGGGCAGATTACAGGCTGAGATGAGAGGATCGCTTGAGCTTGGGAGGTCGAGGCTTCAGTAAACTGTGATCATGCCACTGTACTCCAGGCACCACACTGCCTGGGTGACAGACTGAGACCTCGTCTCAAAAACAAACAAAAAAACTATTAAGTGTTGAAAACAAAAACCAATTACATATGCAAGGAAAGGCATATATTTGTAAAACTATGTTGAGTACAAAATATCTAGATTCCAAAGAAATAATGATTTTTTTTCTCTTGCAGACCACTTTACCTGCATTGTGAAGGTACTTTTTACCCTACTGTACACACAGGCTCTTGCAGCACTCTCAGTTAAATGCAGCGAAGAAGATAGGTCAGCCTGGAAACACGCGGGAGCTCTCAAAAAGGTTAGGCTCTTTCTAAATTTGTCATTTAGCAGGTAGGTGAAGTCATTTAAGCTGGGGATATTGAGTGAATAAGAGTAGGTGTTACAAAATGAGTTATTGGTATTTTAATTGTAAATTGAGCACCTACAGGCTAAAAAATGTTTAAAATGTTTTCACTAAACAATGAGGACTTCTATATCTGTCTCTAAACCTCATCCTTTTATCCCTTTATATTTGAGCAGTTTTGTTTTGCTTTTTCTGCAAGCCTTAAACTTAGAGAAGTTATAAAAATTGTGCTAACACAGTGAGCACATGATAAAATATCTGCAGACTTATCTATTTTATTCGCCACTTTTTCTTTTTGTCCCTATCCCCAATCACAATCCAAAGATAGCTTTTGATGCACCACTTCTAAATTTAAAATCCTAGTCTTTTCTTTCTTTTTTTTTTTTTTTTTTTTTTGTGGCAGACTCTCTGTCTGTCACCTAGGCTGGAGTGCAGTGGTACAATCTCAGCTCACTGCAACCTCTGCCTCCTGGGTTCAAGCAATTCTCCTGCCTCAGCCTTCTGAGTAGCTGGGACTATAGGCGCCTGCCACCATGCCCAGCTAATTTTTGTATTTTTAGTAGAGACAGGGTTTCACCATGTTGGCCAGGCTGGTCTTGAACTCCTGACCTTGTGATCCGCCCACCTCAGCCTCCCAAAGTGCTGGGATTACAGGCATGAGCCACCGCGCCCGGCCAGTCCTAGCCTTTTCTTAATTATGCATCTTGAAATATTACCTTTTTTCTTGTTAGAATATGTACAAGTTCTTAGGAAACTCAAAGGAACTCAGTTTAAGCTAAATTATGCAAACTATTTAGAAAAATTATGCTAAATGTAAATACTTTCAGTAGCTTGAGAACAAATGAGATACTATAGAGTTATAGAACCGAAGAACTGAGTGGTTCAGCTTAGAGACAGATAAAAGAAGAAAATTGCTTCAGTGTTTATTTGTAGAAGTTGGTAGGAAAAATAATAGGTATAGTGTAAATTGAACCTTTTGATTGGCTCACAGAGTCTTAAGGGGTTTTTAAATGTCATTAAAACTTTTTTTGTTGAAATTATATCTACTTGTATCAAAGGAGAGAAAACCAATTATAAATACATGAAATGTATTCAATATAACCTTCACTGTTATCATCAGTTTACTCTCATATCACAATTATGTGTACATTTAATATCGTATCATCACAGAGTTCACTGTGTCTTAATTATGGGTTAAGAATAATTATTTATTATGTGTCAGTTGGCCATCAAACCCAAGTACAAGGCCAATCTCCTGCTACTAAATAGAGATGTTACTTTTTTAGTCAAAACATAACTGTCTAAGCCTCAGCTTTCTCAAAGGTAAATGAAAGGTTTGGACCATATGATTTATAAGGGCACTTCTATTTCAATTCTGTTATTCTAAATTCTCAAAATTAATTTCTGTCTTTCTTGAAAGATTTTTTCCCCCTTGTTGCTGGTTAATTCTTGGACAGTTTTTCTTTTTGTAATTATCTTTAGTTTTTTCTTTTTTTTTTTTTTTTTGAGACAGGGTCTCATTGTCACCCAGGCTGTAGTGCAATGGTATGATCAGGGCTCACTGCAGCCTCAACCTCCTGGGCCCAAGGGATCCTCCCACCTCAGCCCTGACGAGTAGTTGGGGCTACAGGCTTGTGCCACCACACACAGCTGATTTTTTGTATTTTTAGTAGAGCTGGGTTTTTACCATGTTGCCCAGGCTGGTCTTGAATTCCTGGACTCAAGGTAATCCACCTGCCTTGGCCTCCCAAAGTGCTGGGATTACAGGCATGAGCCACCTTGCCTGGCCTATTTTTCCTAAATATTCTTTTAATTTTTCTGACTGCAATGTAATCTGATATTTGGATTGTTAGTGTTCAGATAGTATTCAAATGAGGTATATTAGGTTTCTGTGCTGTGTCATTATTTAAATGTTTCCTTAGTAAGCTGTCTAATCATGAAAAATAACACATTTAAGAAATTTGCTGATAAAATTTGGGTCTAACTATTTACAATTGTAAATCTATGAAGGGAGGAACATGATGTAATTTAGGTAACTGGTCCAGTTTTTTTCTGAACCTCGTAATTGTTAGTTATTTTTAAAAAACACTTAATAAAATACTTTATATGAGACAGATTCTTATCAGAACATTAATTAGAAGTATATTGGCTTATAGCCATATAAATATATATTAGTGTATTAGTTTATAGCTATATAAATATATAATTTTCTTTAGTGAAAGAAAATTAAAAATTACGATAGTCTGTAGGTTGATTTACTACGTTATTAGCTTTTTCTATAATAGACATAAACATTTAGATACATAGCAGTTTGTAAATGCCTGTAATACCAACAACTATACTGTAATACACTATTTTATGTTAGGAACTTGAGGATCTATGGATTTTGGTTTCCAAGGGGTGGTTCCTGGAACCCATCCATCATGGAAACTGGGAGACAACCATATTTATGAGTGATGAAATATACCACTGTGACCTCTGTAACTACTTAGATTTCTGCATCATTGATTACTCTTATTTTTTCACTTCCTTCTTTACGTCTTCTCTCACCCCTTTCCTTCCTTTCTTCCTTTCTTCATTGAATTTCACTTATTCGCTTCATCTCTTTAATTGCTTATGTTTGGCATACTAATTGTAATGAAAACGTATTTTTGCCAGATCTCATCTGGCCTATGGTAGTAAAAATATCGGTATTATATATTATTTGAAGGGGTGTTAATTTGATAATGAGATTTAGTTCTGAAAAAGTCATCATTCCAGTTAGTGTAACTCATACTTTTTTGGTCAATGGAATTTCTGCTAAGAGTCTTTATACTAGAATTTCTTTTCTTTTTTCTTTTTCTTTTTCTTTCCTTCCTTCCTTTTCCTTTCTTTCTTTTCTTATCTTTTCTTCCTTTTTTTTTTTTGACAGGGTCTCACTCTATCGCCCACGTTGGAGTGCAGTGGCATGATCACAGCTCACTGCAACCTCAAACTCCTGGGCTCAATTGATCCTCCCACCTCAGCCTCTGAAGTAGCTAGGACTACAGGCACACACCACCACACCTGGCTAACTTTCCCATTTTTTGTGGGGAGGAAGTCTTGCTGTGTTGCCCAGGCTGGTCTTGAACTCCAGGCCTCAAGCAATCCTCCCACCTTGGCCTCCCAAAGTGCTGGGATTACAGGCGTGAGCCACCATGCCCAGCCTACTAGAATTTCTTAGTCTGGGATCCTTGGATAGGTTTTGTTGTTTTGTTTGCTGGGGTGTGGTATCATAGCATCCAAAACATATTGAAATCAAAAACTTTAAGAAATACTGTAATTTAGACAAAGTATTCTACCCAGCACAGACTCTCTTGCATCTCTCGACCCTTGATCCTTTTTTAAATTTAACCCACATACTTTTGCCACCTCCCCCTTAGGATTCTTCTTATCTCGATTTTAGGTCTTTCATCCATGTTCTCAGAAATCATCTTTCTTAAGCTTCAAGAGCCTACTTTTTCGTTTATTCAAAGATTGCCTATATAAAATATTTTTCTTAATACTTTGTATTGTGAAGAAGTCTCAATACAAAGCAGTGAACATTACATTATATTTAACTTTCTGATATGATATAAAATTTGCCATGTGTAAAATAAGTGCTCAAAATGTATTTGTTAATAATGACTTAAAAGTCAAGTTATCACTCAGTGACTTACTTAGCTGATCTGAACAGAAATACTCTTCTGTTGTACTCTTTGAATCTTTTACTCAGAAAAGTATATTGAATTTAGGAAGCTTTTAGACTGAATTGTACATTTAGAGAAACTTAACTATGCCACATTGATTAATAAATAGCAAATCTGTGGTAGTTTGAGTTTTCTACAAATCTATGGTAGTGTTTTGAGTTTAGGTGAACTCTGCCTATTTAAGAGATAATTTACTTAAATCAATTTTAAAAACATGATACATTGCTGTTTTGATATTTAGCGAGATATTGATTCTTGTGAATTATATGTAATCTATAGGTTATTAATATTTAACACGTAATCATACTGGTGATTAATTAGGTAAGGATGGGGCAAGTCACATGATATAAGGAGAACCACCGCAGAGTCAGAGTCGTTTTTATAGTTTAGAATCAGGACATAATACTACATGGCTGAGTGAATATGGCGGAAAGCACAGGAGCAATTTAAAGATAATGCAAAGAAGTGATTATCAGAAGAGGCACACCCAAGCAAGTTCCAAGGTCCAATACTCCAAAACTTCAGTATTACCAAAATAAATTTCATCAGTTAATTAGCAGGTATTTCTTGCTCAGATTTTTGTTATGCAGAGGGATACGTGGGAAATAAAAAGCATAGTTCATGATATTTTGGAATTTACAGTCTAGTTGGAAAGAGCACAGTAACATGAACGAAACAATGAGGAACTATAGAAAGACCAAATATCATCCAATAATAAATTCTCTGATCCAAACTATCAGTGCCTTAAAAGTTTAGGTTAAACTTACATTCTGTGGTGTTTATCCCTTCCTATATTTTAGGATTTTAAAAGTATAGTTAATAAGTAGAATAAAGGACATCATAGCAGTTCTGACTTTATCCCAATTTACATTTTATGGTAATTTGCATGTTACACTTTATATTTCAGTGAATATAAAAAGAACTGCATTTCTTTATGTATAAAGATCTTATTGACATAAATTTGAATTCATAAAAAGCCATTATTTTTTCTTTCTGATAAAAATGGAAGTAGGACACTAAGATCAACTTGTAGACTGTTACTTAATGTCATTATCTGAATATTCTGTAATAAATATATTGTCCTATTTTATTTTTATAGTGTATTATTTTAATAAATCCTCAAAGACATTTGAGGGAAATTGTAAATGAAAAAAATTTGTGGTCTATATTTTTTCTATTGTATGCATATGTTATATGCATATATTATACCACTATAATGACTATATCTTTTTTAAATTTGGCTCTTTTCACATTGTAAATATTTTTCGTACAGCTTAAATTTGCCACATTCGCTGCTTAGAAAATGTTTTTTAAGTTGGTATTCCATTTTTTAGGTAACTCCCTCAGTCTTGCTGGTCATTTCTAGGTTCTTGCTGTAATAGTGCTGTACTGGATGTCTTGTACATATAGCTATTTTTTTTCTTTTGGATTATATCCCTGGAAAGAATTCCCAGGGGTGGGAATTACTTGGTCAAAAAACATGATTTACATATGTTTATTTACATATAATTATGTAATTTATATGCTGTCTTTTAAAGAAGTGTTGGAATAGCTTTGACCAACTACCCAGTTTCATTGTGAATCCAGAGGTGTACAGTTTTACCCAAATTTTGAAGAATTGAAGCTCATATGCTTGAAAAATAATATAATCACAGTTTTACTCTACTCATTAAAAATTATTTCCAATGTAAATTTTTTATAATTTTCAGTGACCAGTGTAACCAATATTTTAATTTTTTCAGAGTACATGTGATGCAGAAAAGTCTTACGAAGTATTACTGAGCTTTGTGATAAGTGAACTATTTAAAGGAAAGTTATACCATGAAGAAGGAACTCAGGAATGTGCAATGGTATGTTTCTGCAAAAATCAGATGTAGCGGTTATTTAGTAAAAAATTTACATTTTCTTGCCATTATGAATGTAATTTTTAAAAACTCTTTATTGTAGACTGACTTGTTCAAATTTTCTTTTTTAACTTTAGGTTAACCCTATTGCTTGGTCTCCTGAATCCATGGAAAAATGCTTACAGGACTTCTGCTTACCTTTTCTCAGAATCACCAGCCTTCTTCAGCACCACCTTTTTGGGGAAGATTTACCTAGCTGCCAGGTAGATAATTTGGGATATGTAAGAGGGAGCTTTTTTTTTTTTCAGATGGAGTCTCTCTCTGTTGCCCAGACTGGAGTGCAGTGGCACAATCTCGGCTTACTGCAACCTCCGCCTGCCAGGTTCAAGCAATCCTCCTCCCTCAGCCCCTCTAGTAACTGGGATTACAGGCACACACCACCAGGCCCAGCTAATTTTTGTATTTGTAGTAGAGACAGGGTTTCACCACATTGGCCAGGCTGGTCTCAAACTCCTGACCTCAGGTGATCTACCTGCCTCGGCCTCCCAAAATGCTGGAATTACAGGCATGAGCCACCGCACTAGCCAAGCCTTGTTTTTATAATAAGCTATTTTGTTTTAAATATACTGGTATGTAGTGTAGTACATATGTAACTGTCATATGACTATATGTTAATCTAGCTTAAAGGAATAAATATTTAGGATATTTACTATTTTTGTTGTATTTGTTAACATCCACCCATTTTTATGATAATATTACTAATATTGGATATTTGAGCAGCTTTGGATTAGATCAATGATGATACATTCCCAGTACTTGATGAATAGGACCATAGGATTCAGTCTTATTGACATTTGTGTCCCTAACATCGTCTGCTTTTAATATTCTTTTAAAAGTTATGTTGGTCAGAAAACCGGTTGGTTGAAGATATGACAGCATTTATAGCAGTATTCAGTTTGTAGCCAGTTGTATTAAAATGGGTGAATGAATTATCACTGGTTTAATCTATTTCATAAAACTGTGGATTGATATGAGTGGGCAAGAAAGTGACAGGGTAGGAAACCAGAAGGTAAGTAAACCCAAACTGTGCTTATAGGAATGTGATCCTGACTTATCTGCCATTCAGTTCTAGGGAATTTGATGTGGAAATTAAACATTTATCATATTTATGGCCTTTGAATCCTGAAGTACATCAGAATTAAGCAGTTTTGTGTTCCCTTTTTCTTAAGTAATTCACCATTACATTAAATAGTTTTGAATTCTTTCATTTTTATCAAGTGCTTCAAGACATATGCTGCACATTTGTCACCAAAACATTCTTTTTAGAGTTATAAGATGTTGAACAAATTCTTAGAATAATCATTCATTAGATATTTTCTTTCACAGTTTTTAAATTTTATATTTTAAAAAAGTGTGTTTCTTTCTGGCATATGGGCATCCTCAAGCATGGAGAAGAGTAACCAAACAAAATCAACTTCTTTTACCACCTGTACTTTTTTCACATTTAAAGGCCATTGGCTGTGGTTCTCTCTGTTCTTGTTACCTTATGGCTTATTTTGTCATTTGTTTTTATGAGAAAGTATTTTTTGCCCATAAGTTGGAAAGTATGTGGAGGCAGAAGTTCTTGAGCTGGGCGTTGAAAGTTGGTCTGGTGTTTGAGTGTACAGTGATGCCTGTAGTGGAATACCACACATATTTAGACCAAGAAAGAAATACATTCAATATGTTGCATAGAAAGGAACAGTGTGACATAGTGAAGAAAGAGATTAAAATATAGTTGTAATGGATCTTGAATTTCATATGAGGGAATTTGGACCATTGAAAGATGTTAGACAAAAATATGATATGATTCAAATTGTGTTTCAGGATAAAACCTCATTCTAGTATAAGACAGATTGTGAAGAATAGACAGATGGGAACAGAATAGACCAGTTAGGAAAGGACATACTGGGAATAGAAGAGGCTGGAGAGCGATTAGAGATTCAGAGATAAAATAGGATGTGACAACTAGTTGAATGTGTGAGAGTCAAGAGAAAAGGAAGAATCATACTATACTTGTTTCTTGAGACCGAGAGACATGAACTTTTAGGGAAAACTTAATAGAAGGAGGAAATACAGGGCAGATGCACAGGGGATGGAATGAAAGTACTTTGTGTATATTCAGATTGAGGGATAGTTGGACCCTTTAGGCGGACCTGTTCAACTGAAGTGAGAAAAGTGAGATCAGAGCTTTAGATAGAAATTTGTTCTCCTTTTATTTAGTTTCTGTCATCTGTGTAATCTTACTTTGTTTGTGTATACAGTAGTACCCCCTTATCTGCGATTTTGCTGTGGCTTTTGTTACCCATGGTATACTGCAATCTGAAAATATTAAATGAAAAATTCCAGAAAAAAACTATTCATAAGTTTTAAATTGCACACCATTCTGAGTAGCATGATGAAATCTCATGCTGTCTTGTTTGGGACATAAATCCTGTCTCACACTGTCCTACTAGGAACATAAATCATCTTTTTGTCCAGCATATTCATGCTGTCATCTTCCAATATATTTTTCCCACATCGATTTATTTTTCACTGATGAACATCCAGGCTGCCTCCAACTCTTTGCTTCCATGGAAAAAAATTAACTCTTGCTATGAACCTAATATGTTGTATATTGTAATATAAAGATTTCTTTAATATAAAGTTTCTCTGGGCTGTGTACCAGCTGTGGGATTGTTGGAGCCATAGGATACATTCTACCTATTTGTTTTTCTAAATGGCTGCTCAAGGCTTATATTCCCATTTGTAGTGCAAGAGGATTCTTGTTTTCCCCCATATACTTGCCAGCAGTTCTTCTTAGCCAGTGTGTAATGTTTGGCAGTCAGTTGAGTACAAAGCATATGCTTATGGTTAATTTAATTTGTATTTCTCTAATTATAAATGCAATTTCATATATTCATATACTTAGCCAGTTAAATTTCCCTCTGTATACTTTCTGTTCCTAGTCTGGCCCTTTTTAAAAATTGGGTTTCTGTGATTATCTTCATTCTGTTTTTAAGCATAGTAGATATCTTTTCACTGGCTTTGTTTAGCCATAGTGTCCTTTGTGGAATAGAAATTTTTCAGTTTAATGTTGTTAGAACGATTACCTTTTTCTTTATGACTTGTACTTTTAGAATCTTATTTTAAAAATTCTTTTCCATCATATACCCCAGAAATATACACACCTACTATGTACCCACAAAAATTAAAAATTAAAAAAAAATCCTTTTCCACCCTAAAATTATAAATTTATTTTGTATTTTCTTCTATTATTTTCATAGTTTTATCTTCACATTTAGATTTTTAATTCAGTCTGGAGTTTATTTTGTGGTGTGGTATGAGGTAAAGCTCTAATTTTTTCTCTATTTGATAAGACAGTTTTTCCAGCACTATGTACAAATTATTTATGAAATAATGTAACTTTTTTGGACTGATTTTTCATGGTATCAAGTTTTCAAATTTCTGGATTATTATATACTATTAAGCTATTTGTTTCTGTACTAGCAGCAGTTTGTTTTAATTACTGTGGTTTTATTATAGACATTATATCTGATAGTGTGAATGTCCAATTTATTCTTGACGTCTTTTTGCTTTTTCTATTTTTTTTTTTTTTTTTTTTTTGCTATATATGAGCTTTTATTCTTTTTTATTTTTTTGAGACAGAGACTCGCTTTGTCGCCCAGGCTGGAGTGCAGTGGCGCGGTCTCGGCTCACTGCAACCTCCATCTCCTGGGTTCAAGCAATTCTCCTACCTCAGCCTTCCAAGTAGCTGGGATTACAGGCATCCACCACCACACCCAGCTAATTTTTGTATTTTTAGTAGAGACAGGGCTTCACCATGTTGGCCAGGCCGGTCTCGAACTCTGGACCTCAGGCGATCTGCCCGCCTTGGCCTCCTAAAGTGCTGGGATTACAGGCGTGAGCCACCACACCCAGCCAAGCTTTTATTCTTATATACATTTTTTAATCTGTCAAGTTACTTCCCAAATCCTACAAGATTTTGGTTTGGAATTATCTTCAATTTATAGTTTTAAGACATTGAACGTGGTTTATACATTCATTTAGTCAGGTGTTTTAATACTTTTTTTGGGTGGGCGGGAGGAAGACAGTCTCACTCTGTTGCCCAGGCTGGAGTGCAGTGGCACGATCTCAGCTCACTTCAACCTCCACCTCCTGGGTTCAAGCAATTCTTGTGCCTCAGCCTCCCAAGTAGCTCGGATTACAGGTGCGCACCACCGCACCCGACTAGTTTTTTTGTATTTTTAGTGGAGACAGGATTTCACCATGTTGGTCAGGCGGGCTGGTCTCGAATTCCTGGCCTCAAGTGATCCACCCCCCTCAGCTCCCAAAGTGCTTGGATTACAACACTTTTAATAGAATTTTTTAATCGTCCAAGTAAGTCTGGAGCATTTTTTTTTATAAAGCTAATTAATTCTAGAGGCTTTATGGTTGTGATTTCTATTTAAATGATATCTTCTGTTACATTATCTGATTAATTTTTACTGGCATGTACAAATACCATTGATTTTTATATAGTTTTCTGACTGGCCACTTGCAAAGTTTTTTATTCTAATAACTTGCCTTTTTACTATTTTAGGTATTCTATATAATTATGATCATATAATCTGAAAATACTATATGTCCCATTTTAAGTCTTTATTTCTCTGTTGTCTTAGTGCACATCCAGTACTATTTTGAGCCGTGGAAGTGATAGGTAGTGCCCTACCCCACCCCCCGCAAAAAAAATGCTTCTACGTATCCCGTGCCTTTTTTTTTTTTGCTTTTATTATAAATAGAATCATTTAAGAGTTATGTTTTCTATGTGTCGCTAAAATGTAGAAACTTAATGGAATTTTTGAACATTAATCTTAGACATTTAGCTGTCCTGCTAAATTCAGTTATTCTTTCTAATAGTCTGGAGACTCTCAAGCTTAGCAGTACATTTTTTAATCAAACATTTTGTTAAGCATAGGAAATAATCAAGAATGGTAACTAGTAGATGTTCTAACACAGCAAGCTTGTTCTCCACAGTAATCTATTAGACTTCCTAATTTTGTTAAATATCTTAGTCTAGCACTATTTCTACCACCATGTTAGGACTAATGATAGTAACCTATATAGTTCCCTTATCTTTTCTCTCTTCTTAAATGAATCTGTCTCATTTATTCTCTAACTCCAGAATTCTAAATAGAGCAGCTTCACATAACTTTTAAGTTCCATAGCATTGTTTGTAAAGTAGTTTGTGTATGTGCATTTTTATTGGAAGAAAATAGTTATAAGATTCTCTGAGGGGCTCATGATTATCTAGCCCCCCCACCTCCATAAAACTTGAAGAACATTAATATATCTCCTTTTTTTCTTCTTCTGTCAAAATAATTTTCCCATGAAAAAATAATGATAGCTAGCATTTACTACACATTGACTACATGCTAAGCACTGTTTAAGTGCTTTGCATTTTAATTCATTTAAACTTCGTTATAGGCTGGGTGCAATGGCTCACGCCTGTAATCCCAGCACTTTGGGAGGCTGAGGTGGGCGATCACAAGGTCAGGAGATCGAGACCATCCTGGCTAACACGGTGAAACCCTGCCTCTACTAAAAATACAAAAATTAGCCAGGCATGGTGGCGGGTGCCTGTAGTCCCAGCTACTTGGGAGGCTGAGGCAGGAGAATGGCGTGAACCCAGGAGGCAGAGCTTGCAGTGAGCCGAGATCGCGCCACCGCACTCCAGCCTGGGCGACAGAGCGAGACTCCGTCTCTAAAATAATAATAATAATAATAATAATAATAAACTTCATTATAACTGAGAGGTAGCTATTATCCTCATTTTCCAGACAAGGAAGCAGGCGCACAGAGATGAAGTAACTTGCTCAAGATTCACACCTCGTAAGTAAAGCAGGCAGAATTTGAAAACATTTAGTTTGAACCCTGACCCTACACTGTTAACATCTGGACCCAGGCTATGCTGTTCCTTGCCACACAAAACATTTTTTGAGTTTCCTATCATAAGCTGGAAAAATGTTGCTATTTTTCTACCATTGGCAGTTCCCATCTTCCCAAGTTATTTTGTGCATTACATGTAAAATAAATTCCCTCTCTCAATAGAGCAAGAAGATATAATAATTGTAAACATATATGCACAAAATAACAGTGCCCCAAATTATATAAACAAATGACAGAATTGAAGGAAGAAACAGACAAATCTACATTATATTTGGAGACTTCAGTGTGCCTTCTTAGTAATCAATAACAAGTAGAGAGCAAATCAACTAGGATAAAAGAGACCTGAACAACACTATTATGACATAACTACATCTATAACTTCTCCAACAAACAGCAGAATATATATTATATATATACAACTACACATGGAATATCGTTCATTAGAATAAACCATGTGTCAAGCCGTAAAGTATCAATTTTCAAAGAAGTGAGTTATAAAGTGTGTTTTTTGACTACACAGAATTAAATTAGAAATTAATAACAGATAGAAAATCATCAAATCTGTGATAAGCATCATAATTCTAAGTAATTTGTGGATCAAAGCAGAAATCACAAGGAAATAATTTTTTTTTTTTTTTTTTTGAGACAGTTTCCCTCTGTTGCCCAGGCTCGAGGGCAGTGGTGTGATCTCAGCTGACTGCAACCTCTGCACCTGGGTTCAAGCAATTCTTCTCCCTCAGCCTCCTGAATAGCTGGGATTACAGGTGCCCAACACCATGCCTGGCTATCTTTTTTTATTTTTAGTAGAGATGGGGTTTCATCACGTTGGGCAGGATGGTCTTGAACTCCTGACCTCAAGTGATCCATCCACCTTGGCCTCCCAAAGTGCTAGGATTACAGGCATGAGCCACCTCACCCAGCCTAGAAAATATTTTTAACTGAGTGAAAATGTAAACACAATATACTGAAATTGTGGGATCCAGCTAAAGCAGTTCTTAGAGGCGTATTTATCACTTCAAATACTTTATTTGAAAAAAGAAGGGCCAGGCACAGTGGCTTTCGTCTGTAATCCCAGCACTTTGGGAGGCCAAGGCGGGCAGATCACGAGGTCAGGAGTTTGAGACCAGCCTGGCCAATATGGTAAAACCCCGTCTCTACTAAAATACAGAAATTAGCCGGGCATGTTGGTGTGCACCTGTAGTCCTAGCTACTCAGGAGGCTGAGGCAGGAGAATCACTTGAACTTTGGAGGCAGAAGTTGCAGTGAGCCGAGATTGTGCCACTACACTCCAGTCTGGGTGACAGAGCGAGACCCTGTCTCAAAAAAATTAAAAAATGAACGAACGCATAAAAATTAAAAAGAAGAAAGATCTAAATCATTATCTAAGTTTCTACCATATGAAGCTAGAAATAGAGCAAATTAGACCTGAAGCAAGTAAAAGAAAAGAAATAATAAAAATCAGAACAGAAATCAGTGAAGTTGTAATAGTGAAAACAGTAGAGAAAATGAATGAGTCCAAAATCTGGTTCTTTACAAAGATCAGTAAAACCCAGATGACAGGAGCTCAGCTGAGCTGGAAGAGAGCTGATTGATAAGAAAAAAAAAGGAGAGGTGGTACAAATGACCAGTATCAGGAATGAAAGGGAAGACATCCATATTGAGCCATAAGAGAATATATAGATAACATTTGCCAACAAGTTTGACAACTTAGATAAAATGGTTAAATTTCTTGAAAGATACAAATTACTAAAACTGACTCAAGAAGAAATAGAAAATCTGAATATATGTATATCAAGTAAGAATTAATTTAGTTATCAAACTTATATAATTGTTATGCATCCAGAAAAGAAATATCAAGAACTTTATACCAACAAAGATAACATTGTGGTAAACTCTGAGACATTTAAGAAAGAAATTGTACCAATACTCCTGAACCTATTTCAGAAAATAAAGGAAGAAGGAACACTTCTGAACTCAATTTATAAGGCCAGTTTTATCCTGATAGTTGAATGAGGCATTATGAAAAAAACTACAAACCCATGTCTCCCATGAACATAGAAGCAAAAGCCTTCACAAAATATTAGCAATAGAAAGGATAGTACACTATAACCAAATGGGTATTTTTCTTTTAGCTTTATTGAGGTACAAGAAATATTTGAGTTATAAATATTAAGGACAAGTAAAAATTATATATATAGTATACAATATGTAATGTTTTGATATATATGTATACATTGTATATGATGACCACAATCAGGCTAATTAACATATCCATAATCTCACATAGTTATCTGTTTTCTGATAACATTTAAGACCTACTCTGTTAGCAAATTTCAAGTATACAATACAGTATTATTAAATATAGTCATCATGCTGTACATTACCTCTCCAGAACTTATTCATCTTATAACAGAGTTTGTACCCTTTGGCCAACATCTCCCCATTTCTCCCAGACCCTGGCAACCACCGTTCTACTCTGCTTCTACTTTTTAAGATTCCAGTGTGAGATCATGCAGTATTTGTCTCTCTGTGACTGGCTTATTTCATTTAACATAATGTCCTTCAGATTCATTCATGTTGTGATAAATTGACAGCATTTCCTTCTTTTCTTAGGTTGAATAATATTTCATGTGTATACAGTCATCCATCGCTATCTGTAGGGGATTTGTTCCCCCCCCAGATACTAAGAGCCTTAGATGTTCAAGTCCCTTACATAAAATAGTGTAGTATTTGCTTATAACATATGCACACCCTCCCATATATTTTAAATCATCTCCACCTTAGATTACTTATAATACCTAATATAAATGCTATACGAATAGTTATTATATTATTTGTATTTTATTGTTATTTTTTAAAAAAATATTTTTGATGTATGGCTGGTTGAGTACATGGATATGGAACTCCTGAATACAGAGGGCTATTTCTTTATTCACTCATCCATCAATGGACACTTAGGTTGATTAATATCTTTGCTATTGTAACTAATGCTGCATTGAACATGGGCATGACCAAATGGGTTTATCCCGGAATGCACAGTTGGTTCGACAACAAAAGTCAATTAATTTAGTTCACATATTAATTGAATAAATGGGGGGGAAACCATATGATCATTTCATTTGTCAAAGAAAAGCATTTAACAAAATCTAATGTACTTTCATGGTAAAAACACTCACAAGGCTAGGAATAGAAGGGAATTTTCTCAGCCTGATAAAAGAGCATATCAAAAACTATTAGCTAACATCATGCTTAATAGTGAAAGACAGGAACAAGATTGGAACAAGACAAGGATGCCTGCTCTCACCACTTTTCAGCATTGTACTAAATTTTCTAGCAAGGCAGGTAGGCAAGAAAAAGAAAAAAAGACATCCAGATTGGAAAGGAAGAGGTAAAACAGTTCGTTTGCAAATAAAATGACCTTACCTCTAGAACACCATAAGGAATCTCCAAAGAAACCTATTAGAGCTAATAAGTTCAGCAAGGTTGTAGGATACAGATAGATGTACAAAAATTTCACTGTATTTCTATACACTAGCAGTGAGCAATCTGAAAATGAAATTAATAACATAATTCAAATTACAATGGGGTGATGAAAATATTTTGGAATTTGATACTGGCAAGGCTTGCACAATTTCATGAATATACTGAGAACCACTGAATTGTATATATTAAAAGAGTAACATTTATGGTATGTGGCTTATACCTAAAATTTTTTTCTAGCTGTGTGAAAGAAGACTTGTATCCAGAATGTGTCAAAAATTCTTTTAACTCAAGTGTAAGAAAACAAAAACCCAACACAAAAGTGGGCAAAACACTTGAATAGATACTTCTTAAGAGAATATATATGAATGGCCAACAAGTAGATGAAAAGATACTCAACATCCTTGTTCATTAGAGAAGTACCAATTAATATCACAAGTGATAATACCAAGTGTTGGCGAGGATTTGAAGTCCTAGAAATCTTATTCATTACTGATAGGAATGCAAAACGGTATAGTCAATTTGGAAAAAGTTTGGCAGTTTTTAAAAATATTAAGCATATGCTTACTATACAACCCAGCAGTTCTGCTAAGTATCAACTGGAAGAAATGAAAACATATGTCTACATTTAGACTTCTAAATGAATGTTCATAATAGCCAAATTCATAGTCAAAATCTGGAAACAACCATCAACATGTGAATGCATGAACAAAATGTGGTATAACATGAATGAGTCTCAAAATAAGTGAAAGAGGCCAGGTACATAAGATTACATCCTGTATGATTTTAATAGTAGAAATATCAGTGGCTGTTTGGGTCCAAAGAGTAGGGGCCAGGATTGGCTGCATAGGAACATAAGCAAATTTTAGGGTGTGATGGAATTATTCTAAAACTGTATTGTGATGGTGGGTGCATGACTATACATTTACCAAAATTCATTAAACTATACATAAAATGGTTGAATGTTATGGTATGTGGATTTATAGCTCAGTAAAGTTTTTTAAAATGCCTTCTTTGTTAAACTATATAAATGGAAGAATTGTAAATTTCTAGATATTTGAAAATTAACATGTTTCTCAGCCTGCATATAATTTTTCTTTTTCATCTGCATTTCTTCTTTGTAGCATATTTCAGAATTTTGTACTTAATGTGCATAATTAGTTTTGCAGACATTTGTTGAACGTCTGCTATGTGCCAAGCATTAGGAGGACAGAGTTCCTACTTCCAGAGAACTCACAGTTTTATGGAGAAGGCAAATTTGATTTTAAAGCAGTCATTAAAAAGTCAGGAAACAACAGGTGCTGGAGAGGATGTGGAGAAATAGGAACACTTTTACACTGTTGGTGGGACTGTAAACTAGTTCAACCATTGTGGAAGTCAGTGTGGCGATTCCTCAGGGATCTAGAGCTAGAAATACCATTTGACCCAGCCATCCCATTACTGGGTATATACCCAAAGGACTATAAATCATGCTGCTATAAAGACATATGCACACATATGTTTATTGCGACACTATTCACAATAGCAAAGACTTGGAACCAACCCAAATGTCCAACAATGATAGACTGGATTAAGAAAATGTGGCACATATACGCCATGGAATACTATGCAGCCATAAAAAAGGATGAGTTCATATCCTTTGTAGGGACATGGATGAAATTGGAAATCATCATTCTCAGTAAACTATCACAAGAACAAAAAACCAAACACCGCATATTCTCACTCATAGGTGGGAATTGAACAATGAGAACACAGGGACACAGGAAGGGGAACATCACACTCTGGGGACTGTTGTGGGGTAGCGGGAGGGGGGAGGGATAGCATTAGGAGATATACCTAATGCTAAATGACGAGTTAATGGGTACAGCACATCAGCATGGCACATATATACATATGTAACTAACCTGCACATTGTGCACATGTACCCTAAAACTTAAAGCATAATAATAATAAAATTTAAAAAAAGTAATAGGAACATAAATGCAAGAATAAAAGTGTTTACAAGATTTGAAGGACTAATTATATCTGAATGGAGCTGAGTGGTCTGAGGTTTCATTAAATGGTGTCAGGGAAGGCTTCCCTAGTGAGCTGGAATTTGGAGGATAATAGGAATTGATTCTGTGGACAAGGGAGAGTAGACACATTAGCTTCCTATGTGGTCTTTCGGTTAAATAAAGAGGGATTGGGGAATATATTTCTGTGTTTCCAAGACTAATAAGCTTCTTTAAATATCAACTTTTAAGATATGAATTCTTGGTCACTGATATCTCTGGTACTTTTATTAGCAAATAGAGCTTTGGATTACCTGGCTCCTAACAATTCCACCCCCCTTTTTAAAACTGATTTTGTTTCACACTCATTCAAAGTCTAGGCACATTATTTAGCACTCTCTCGTGAATTCCATGTTTTTATTATTGTTCCTTATCCACACTGACAACCTAAAAGTTTTAAACCAGAAATAACTTTCTCTTTGCCCCATATTAACATTTGCTTTCATAGAGTAGCTAGGTTCTATAGAACCATTAGATATATAACAACTCTATTTAAAAAATAAATGTATAAAAGAAGCAGATGACATTTAGGAGTTATATTTCAAAGAGATGTATTTTGGGGATATTTAGATATAACAGCTAGGAACCTTTTTCTCTCTTGTTTCTCTTACTCCCTTCACTTTTTTTCAGTTGACTCAGTTAAGAAAGTTTTCTTATTGTCTCAAAGTAATTGATGAGGGTGACCTTTTATGTAATAGGAAATGTTCTTGATGAAATATTTTCAGAATTTCCTATTTCATGTCTAAAAGGAAGAAGAAGAATTTTCAGTTCTTGCCAGCTGCCTGGGACTTCTGCCAACGTTTTACCAAACAGAACATCCATTCATCAGTGCCTCCTGTCTGGATTGGCCAGTTCCAGCATTTGATATTATAACTCAGTGGTGTTTTGAGATAAAATCATTTACTGAAAGACATGCAGAACAAGGAAAGGTATGTTAAAAGAGTTGTACTAGCTTGTCACGGTGGTGATATGCTAATAGGTAAGAGAATAATGAGGACTGTTAAATTTTAGGTCATCTGTTTTTGACAGCAATTATAAAACTTGATTAAATTGAAAAAATTGTTTACTTATGTAGATTGTATTTATAATGGAAGAAATATTTCAGCTAACAAAGGTAAGGCATTAGTCAATACTTTTAGTTTGTTTGGGGTCAGCAGATTTTTATTGAATACCTTAAGTAATCATAGGATTAGACTTGGTAGATACAAAGGAATTTTAAGGTAGACAAGGAATTTACATTTTTGTTTGAAGAACTGGCTTATATTTTTAAAACAAATTGGACTAGCAAATCTAAAAGGTCATGTCTTTAACTTTAAAATTTCTTGGGCCTATGCTACCAGCTCAGCTAGTTAAAGGGTTTGTATTGAAGATAAGTAGAGTGGGAACAGCAGTGAGTGGCTGTGTATGCCATGGTTGGAGTCTCAGAATTCTAGAACTACAGTTTTTTAAAATTGAATAATGTGATGAAAGTAGTATTTTGGGGAGTAATTCTGGTGTCTTTTTAGTGGATAAATTAAAGTAAGGATAAAGGGAAGCCAGAAAATATTTAGGTGGTGAAAAAAATCTAGACTATTTTTCTGATTGTAAAACTTGGAAAGTAACTAATGTAAGAGACATTTGAGAAAAATATAGGACTTGGTGACCAGATGTACATGACTTTAAGATCTTGAACTCCAATCATTAGGAGAGTAGTGTCTAGTATATACAGCTACAGTAGGAACATGCGGCTGCTTAAACACCATTGCTGATGCCCCATTGCCTATGGAAGAAGGTATGGACTCCTTGCATGGCACTCAAGGATCTTCACCATCTTGCTTGCCTTTCCATCTCATCGTATAGCCTCCCTCTGCCATTACCTTGCTCAAATCACAAAAGAATGTTTCATAAGTATGCTATACATTTTTAAACTTCTAGAACATTACTTATTGCTGTTACTAAAGCAACCTTCCTACCCTTCTGTTGAATTAATAATCACTGTTTGCTAAGTAACATTTACCTTTGCTAAGATAAATGTGACTTCCTCCATGAAGATTTGTCTGATAGTCCATCTTCCTTACATCCTAATCCCTTTTTTTTCTGTTGTTCTATAAGGCTGTACTTTTGTGACTTTCTCTAACAGTTGCCATGTTCATTACATTTGTTTCTTTAATGTATCTGAATGGGGGCTCCACGAAGCAGAAATTGTTCCTTATTTATCCCCGGTTTCTAGAAAGTGCCTCATATATACTAGTCACCTAATAAATATTTGTAGAACAATTAAGTTGTGGGGTGGTGTCTTTGGCAGAAATAGAACGTATTAAAGGGGAGCCAAGTTTCAGGGAAAGTGAGAATTTTAATTTTGAACATCAAAGGGACAATAAAAAATTAATATTTCAGATGAATGTGTCAGACTAGGTTTCATTTTTAAAACATTGGAGTGAATAATAAAAGATAAGCATAAGTTATAAATGTCTCTGCTTTTGTTCTTTTCCATTTTTTGCTGAAATCCTTAAAAAGATGCTATCTCATTTTATACCCTTTTTTTAAAAAAAAAGGGAAATTCAAGTTAATTGAATCTTGCATATTACATATACAAATATCTTCCTGTCTAGTAATTTCTTTATTCACAGAGCATATAGCAATAATTTGACATCATACTTTGATGTCTGAAAACCTATGCAGGATGACATGGAGTAAGAGGGGTATAATTGTAGAACCAAGGCAGGGAAAAAAGTGATGAGCACACCCAGAGTTTGTCTTCATATGAGCCATAGGTTAAAATCAAGCCTACATTTTAGATGAATGATTATTGTATGTATGCTGATGGAAAATAAGAATTTTTCATTTTAAAATATTTAATCTTTTCATATAATTAGGTGATAATTATTGTAGAGGCAGTGTAGTAGACATTTGATTAATTTATTAATTTATGCTAATGCAGAATTTTTGCCAGTTATGTAAGTACACCACCATTTGACCTGTATTCCCCCTTGTGTCCCTGCTCCACTCTTGTGTTCCTAACCCTGATCCTGACCCTAGGTCAACCAGATTCTCTTTCTCAGGAATGTTAAATCTGTATAGCGAGACTTAGCAGGGTAAATGGTGACAGGAGCTGTATAGTCCAACAGTACTACCCTTGAAAAACTGTCTGTGAATTACTACTTCTGAATTTTTTTATCAGTTAAGATTCTTTGTTTGGGAACAACAAAATCCAGTTCTGATTTAAAATAAGGAAAACCAAAGCAAACTATGACAGAAAAAAAAAAAAAAACAGGATTCATTGGAAGCATACTTGGTAACCTGCAGAATTGAAGAGCTTAACTGTCATCGCTTGGGAAGAAGAGAAACCACAAATATCTCTGCTCTGTTTTCTCTGAAGTGCTGCCACCAGATAACTAAGCCTCAACCATTTTCCTTCCTTTAATTTGCATGCTCAAGGTTCAGATTCCTGGGAGAGAGAATCTGGTTGGCCTAACTGTTGTAATACATATACCCCAGTGGTGGGGCAGGATCTTGTGTTGGGGACAGCCCCATCAGAACTGTACGGAGCAAGAAAAGGGGTTATTTTCTAAAAGAACTTATAATGTTATTAATATAAGAAAGCAGCAAAGGATGCTAGGAGGATTTAAAAAACAAACTAGTGGCCCACTACTTTCACATCTTACCTGCCTGGCTCATACACACCCTTCTTCTCATTCACAGTTTCACTTCTGCTGTTGAAAATGATGTAACCATTTTACTTATGACTGCAAATGCATCTGTGACTTTCCCAAATAAGCAACCTGATGTCACATATAGTCCTTACATCATCAGGCCTCTCTGCATCCAGTAGCTCTGAGAGATGTCCATTGTTCCTGTCATTTGTACTCACACCCAGATGGCCTGGAAAATTTTAATTAGTACCTGCTCACCCTGAATTCAATAGTAAGAGAATGAAAATGTTGCAAAGATATATGATACAGTAAGCAAGATTTGCAAGTAGTCATAAAGCTGCAGCTAATATACAGTCAAATATATATGACTTTCTTCTTTTACCATCCGTGATCCAGCACACCTCAACGGATGATTGGATTTGTTTGAGCAAGGATGTGATACCAAACTTTATTCTGAAAGGGCTGAGCTTCTGGTGATTGGTCCTGTCTTTGTTTCTATAAGGCTGTAATCATTCTGTGTTAAATTTCTGCCTTTCAAGCTTGGTCTATGGTAGGGGTGGTGGTAGGGGTTTTTAAGTTCCAAAATATTGCTCTACCAATTGTATGGCAATATTTTTATTCTTCTTGATAGTCATGGTCAATCCCTCCAGGCAATGCGATAAGCCACCCTTGTGATGTTATAAACCGTACTAGAGGTTAGACAGTACATAGCTTGTAAATCCGCAGAAGAGTCCGGAATAGCAGTGAAGCAGAAATTTAAGACCGAATTTTTTTTTCCATTTTAATGTTTACAATTTAATAAATCTCTTGATTGCAGACATGTAAGGCTGTTTGGTAGTATTCAGAAACATCACAGTAATGGCAGTTTTTTCAGTTGGTGTGTAGTCTTCAATAAATATCTATGAAAGTGCTGTCAGACCAGTAAGACTGCATTTATACATCCATCATTTTCAGGATTGTTGGTAACCACAGCCTATTTTCCCCAAATAACCTTGCCTCCTTGTGTCACAAGGCCCAACTCACATTCACCTCAGTAACAGTACCTTTGGTAATAACATCCAAAGTTATATACATTGGGAATGAGGGACTCTTCTTTACACCAAGTATTGTTAGGCAAAAGGTGGCTTTCAGTTCAGGATGTGTTACATGGGCTTTCTTGAAACGCAAGCCCATTGGCCTGATGAATCTTCCATAGATAAGTAGTTTTCTTGTAAAGCCATCTCCAACAAAGCAGACTTTAGTAACCATCCTCCTCTATGCCTGCGTCTTTCTCTTTCCTGTTGGAATAACTTTGAGACAGAGTCTCACTCTGTTGCCCAGGCTTGAGTGCAGTAGAGCGATCTTGGCTTACTGCAACCTCAGCCTCCTGGGTTCAAGTGATTTTCCTGCCTCAGCCTCCTGAGTAGCTGGGATTACAGGCGCCTGCCACTATGCCCAGCTAATTTTTGTATTTTTAGTAAAGACAGGGTTTCACCATGTTGCCCAGGCTGGTCTTGAACTCCTGACCTCAAATGATCTGCCTACCTTGGCCTCCCAAAGTTCTGGGATTACAGGCATGAGCCACTGCACCTGGCTCTGTTCAAATAACTCTTAACACTTCTGTATCTCCCTGGGCAAGTTACATTTAGACAGAGGGACTTTCCATTTTCCTGCTTTCTCTTTTCATTTCGGCTTAATCATACTGGGAAGTACGTTAGCTTGAGGTTGTCCCTCTCTGTCCAGCAGATAGGCAGGTACTGCTCCCTGTGGAGTCTTTCTTTTGTCTGGTGTTTCTCTTTTCATGCATCTTGATGGTCTTTTTCATTTGTATTTTCTCAGCATGGTGCTGTTTAAGATAAAGCTTAGCCTTCAGACCAATCATTTTCTTTGACTTCTTTGAATGTTCATAAGCCTCTCAACTTTCCTTCTTTCCCTTTTTCTCATGGTAATCCAAATGATATCCATGGCATTTACAGTGTAATTCAATATATTTGATCTGTGGCATGGCACAGGCGCAGCCCCTGGGGTGCGAAAATGCTCTCAATTTTTGGGTCTCAGAGACCCACGAGTGAACTCCACACAGGCCGCAACAGGAAAGGCAAGACCGAATTTTAGGTGTAATCATGAGAGGTGTTACAGCTGTTAAATACTTTCCACCTCTTGTTTCCCATACATATGCATTCCAATTGTGAAAAAGGTCACCCATATATACTGGTTGCTGTTTAGAGCATACACATTCTGTAGGTGATTTCTTCCAGCTGGTGCCATCTAAAAGTTTGTAAATTTCATGAATTTCATAATTTTTGTGGCACTGAAAAAATCAGTTTTGTAGTTCATGATTTAAAATACCACAGCTTTTTTCAGATGATTGAATATATGTTAAGATCAGTGAATTCCATGGACATCCACCTGTTGCCTTACATCTCTCTTCATGAGGGAAATTATTGGAGGTAATGTGCTATGGGCTACTGGATAACATGCAGCCTAACCTATAATAAGTGTCAAGTTCAGTGAGGACAAATTGTTATCCCTTCCCTTTAATGGAAGGGTTCCACTGTAATCAACTCATTACAGAATGCCATCCTTGGAGTCCAGGGTTGGGTGCTGAGTATTGGCAAATGATGTATTGTATACTGTTCTTATCATTGCTTCCATGGACACTTAATCCATGAACTTGTTGATGAGGAACAAGCTAGCTTAGTTACTCCACTGATTTAGGTGGATTATGGCTGCATGTAGGTAATGTGAGATGATCTCCATTTAAATTGACTATTACTTACAGTTTCTTAAGATAATAGACTCACTCTACATTTTATCTTTTTTAAGTGTGAATGGAGTAGCATCTAGAAAAATTTAGTGCTGCTGCCAGTATTTTTATACAGCTGCAAATAGTTAATAAAGCATACCCTTCAGGGAAATTTAACTAATTTGACAATTTTTTTATTCTTATAGCAAGACATTTATGAAAAGAATTGTAGCCCAGCACTTATGGATATAAAAGATCTTAACAGCTTGAGGTGCAATGAATTGTACATACTCTAGGAAAGCAATTCTACATTATAAAGTATTAAAGTAGAAAAAATGAGTTATAACCATGATCTGTCCTAAAGAAAAAGCTAAAGAATTGTTTGAGAATGATCAAAACTTGGTTTTAAAAAATACGTAACTTTTAAAAACCTTTGCACTATGCATGTTTAAAGTCAAATACAATTAGATGTATTTTCCCTGCATGCTTAGAGATGGTGTTTTTCTTTTAAAGTAATAACAAGTTTAAATGTTTTAAGGTGCTTAATCTAAAAAATTAAATCATACTGTAATTGGAAACTATAATACATTAGATAATGGTAACTGTTGAACTACTATTTTAGTCATGTATAAGATGGAAATGAGAGGAGTGTTAATAAAGAAAATAAGCCACATTCTTGGAGGCAGATTTTTCTTTCTGTAAAAATACATTTAAAAAATATATTGTGTTAGTGACTTAAATACATAAAACTAATGAATATTTTTGGATAATGTTTTAGGCCTTGCTTATCCAAGAGTCAAAATGGAAATTACCACACCTACTACAGTTGCCTGAGAATTATAACACCATTTTTCAGTACTACCACAGAAAAACCTGTAGTGTCTGCACCAAGGTTCCTAAAGATCCTGCTGTTTGCCTTGTGTGTGGTACTTTTGTATGCCTGAAAGGACTTTGCTGCAAGCAACAAAGTTACTGTGAATGTGTACTGGTAAGCAATAGTAGATAATACAAAATTTATGAAAACACAGATCTCATATCACAAAATATGGTCAAGCCATCTCTTCATATTAACTACTCTTTGAATTAAGTATATAATACATATAGGGATTGTGTGTGTTTTTTAATCCAGTAGAAGAGTAAAAAAAGAAAGTCTTTGAGGCTTTAAGTGAGTAAATCCTTCCTTAAGTACAATTCTAGTTCTCCTTTCATCTACTATCCCTTTAATGGTATGTACTTTGGAATGTGCTGTGAAACAGAAGTCATCTGTGCTGTTGAAGATACTAGACTCTGAATTAGGTTGGCTCTTAATTGCTTTACTAGATATTCCTTACCCAAATACCTCCTAATGTATTAATAATAAAGTGTTAGGAATGGAGTTATAAGTTTAACTTAAATGAAATCTTACTATTTTTAAATCACTGTATTATTTAGAAGGCATTAATATATTCTTGATTTTATTATAAAGCCTATTTGATTATGAAGTTCATTAATATATTTTTAATTTTTTAGCACTCTCAGAACTGTGGTGCAGGAACAGGTATTTTCCTTTTGATCAATGCATCGGTAATTATCATCATTCGAGGTCACCGCTTCTGCCTCTGGGGTTCCGTGTATTTGGATGCTCATGGAGAGGAAGACCGGGATCTTAGGTTAGATGTTCATGGATATATCCAGGTGTTTTATTGAAATTTGGTCAGTGAAAACCAATATGCTATTCCTGGCTTTGTAATTACAATTTTTTTAATATTAAGAAATTCTGACAGTCATTAATTTAGAGCTATTTCTAGTTTTTGAGCTATTGTCCCTATCAATACGTTGAGGAAACATGAAATACACCAAATTACCATGTGAGGTTTTTGCCACAAAGAATCCGTTGGCCAGGCCCAGTGGCTCACACCTGTAATCTCAGCACTTTGGGAGGCTGAAGCAGGATTGCTTGAGCCCAGGAGTTTGAGACCAGCCTGGACAACATAGTGAGACCTCATCTCTACAAAAAAATAAAAATAAATAAGCCAGGTGTGGTGGTCATACACCTGTGGTCCCAGCAACTCGGGAGGAGGTGGAAGGATCGCTTGAGCCCAGCAGGTGGCGGCTGCAGTGAGCTGTGATCGTGCCACTGCACACCAACCTGGGCAACAGAGAAAGACTGTCTCAAAAAAGAATCTAGTAAAAAAAGAAATGTGGTAGGTGTGGTGGCTCACGCCTGTAATCCCAGCACTTTGGGAGGCCGAGGTGGGTGGATCACTTGAGGTCAGGAGTTCGAGACCAGGCTGGCCAATATGGTGAAACCCCGTCTCTACTAAAAATACAAAAAATTAGCCGGGTGTGGTGGCGGGCCCCTATAGTCCCAGCTACTCTAGAGGCTGAGGCAGGAGAATGGCATGAACTCGGGAGGCGGAGCTTGCAGTGAGCCAAGATCGTGCCACTGCACTCCAGCCTGGGTGACAGAGTGGGACTCCGTCTCAAAAAAGAAATAAGTAAATAAAAAATAAAAAAATAAAAAAAGGAGGCAGGCATGGTGGTGAGCACCTGTAATCCCAGCTACTCGAGAGGCTGAGACAGGAGAATTGCTTGAACCCAGGAGGCGGAGGTTGCACTGCGAGAGACTGTCTCAGAAAAAAAAGAAGAAAGAAATGCATGTGAAATCTTCCGTGTATGATATTAATACTTTTTTTTTCTTTTTGTTCTAGGCGAGGCAAACCTCTCTACATTTGTAAGGAAAGATACAAAGTTCTTGAGCAACAGTGGATTTCTCATACTTTTGATCACATCAATAAAAGATGGGGTCCACATTACAATGGGCTGTGACTCTCCACCTCAGCATTGCATCGTATCATCATTTTCGCTACGAATTTATTTTTCAACAATAAGCTTTAACTTAATTTGGGGGATTAACACTTTTGCTGAGGGAGAAAAAGAAAACATACATTATGAAGCCTTTCCAAAATTAGGTGCTTGGTAATCACGTTAATGGTATAATTTTTTTTTTTTAATATCTGGAGAACATTAATAACAAGTTAAATTATTCTTTAGTGGTCATTTTTTAAGTGCACAATTAATAAGAAGCACAACTTGTTCACAAACTCATTCAGAAATGATTCTCCCAACAATGCGTATCAGCTATTCATTGATACTTAGAGTGGGTGTGATTTATTTGACATTTTACTGCTTCTTTCTGTCTGTGTGTTTTAATTTGCATCTGCCAAGCATAATGCATCTTTTTTCCTCTGCCATTCTTGTGTTGATTGGAGAATTTTTCTGTATGTAATTAGAAAAAAATGTAAAACATGATTTATGTGAAATACTGTATAGTAAAAGTTGGTCTAATAGTAGAACTTTAAAATTTTTTCTTATTGTGAGGAATCTGTTAAAAGTTTAAAGCTTTGCTGAAAACTGAATTCATTCTCAGGAATTTCATAAATCTTCTCCCCAGGTAAATAATTGAAATAGCTGTAAAATAAGTAGATAGCTGCTGTTAATATAATACAGTACATTTTGGGGGGCATATGTGTGGTTGGGGGGTCCTTAAAAATCAAAATTTGCCATTTCAGTTGGATGAATTACTAGAGGTAATAACAAATCTTACTATGAAATCAAGAGGTTTAAGAACATACACTGGGCAGATGTTGATTCCGTGCATGCCCACCTTTTATTACCAAACAAGGTTTTGTTTATATGATTGTATTAGAAATGCTCAGACTTCCCCAGAAATGAACCATAAATTTTGGAACTTCCTTTCAGCTCAAGAGGTTCAGCTATATTGTATTTGTGCAGTGTAATCACTACTATTTCTGCTCGGTTTCCTAAAAGGAAAAAAAAGGCGCAGTGGTGATGACCCTCATGAATGAGCCACGCTTCTGCATTCTTCTTAGAAACTGCTGTGAAAAACAATTTATGTTTGCAGGGTTTAAAAATCAGTAAAAATGGGAATGATTGAGCTAAAACCCACTCTATGAGAAGGAAGATTACTGAAAAGCATGTGACATATTGCTACAAAGATTTTTTTTCCTAAATGATTCAGTAATTGAATGATTATTTAATATATAGTGCTATCAAGCAATCCCTGGTACTTTGGACTTCCATGGCTTGTTATATAAAATTACATTTTTACATGTAAAAATAAACTAAACAAATCTAATGATAAAATATGTCAGATCCATGTTCTAAAAAATTTTTGTAATGACATGACATTACAAGAGTATAAAAATGGACATTAAATCATGGCCTTGCATTAAAATATGGAAAGCAGAGCAGTACATATTCAAATGTATTCAGAAAGTCAAAAGATTACCTATCGTTCTACAATAAAATACATGGAAATAGCTTGCTATTTTTATATACATTTCCAAAATATTAAGATAACTTTCTGTAAGAGTCAATGATTCTGTTCGACTAAATAGCTGTCCTTTCCAACACATTGCTACTTTTTTAAATACTGTATCATAAGTTCAGCCTGTCATACTTTTTGCATTGATCGTTATGAATACCAGACCATTTGTAAGTGTGGTTGAAGAGCAAAATGCTAATTGACATCTCTAGTAAATACTGTTACAGGATTCATGAACTTGAATAATTCTACAGTTTGAAACTCTGATGCTATATATACATGGTATAATGTATTCAGACTTTGATTACTACTTATTTAAAATGGAATGTTTTATGGTTGTGCATATGGATGTGAAGTGAAAATATTAGCCTTAACTTTAAAATTTGGGTGTTTGATAGTGTTTATTTTGATATTGGTGAATTAGTCACCAGTAAATTTTAAAAAAGCACTTGGTTGAAAATTGTACTTGAATACATACATGCATGCTGCTAAACTAGAACTTTAATTTTTCCCCATAACTTTTATAAGTCCCATTTATAAACCCACTTTTAAAAATAACAGGTCCAAGTTAGAGTGATGTGTGTATATTATTCAAAAAAATGTACTGGTGTGATATCTTGTATGAATGATCATTTAAATACAGTACATTACTGTAGAAGCTAAATTGATCTTTATAATTAAGCAGAAATTACAAAACTAGGAATAATCAACATTGTAAGATATGTTAATAAAAACCTGCTGTCATTTGGTTTGTGAAAGGTCCTTAAAATGTTTACTGCTTACATGTTTTTTTTTCCCCCAAAGATATTGACAGTAATATATGTGAGTGAACATGGCTGAAAAGATCAAAGCACAACATAATTAGTAGTTGCTTTAGGGTGGAGTAAGTGTAAAGGGTTTGCTTTGCTTTTTTTCTTTTATTTGCAGAGTGAGTTCTTGCTTCTTCAGTCCTTGTCTCATAATCAATGCACATTCTTTGCTAAGTGTGTGTGTTTGGTAGGGGGAGAAGGAAATGGGTATGTAGATCTGAGGAATTGTGATCTCTGTTCTTTTCTGAAAGTTCCCAGCCAGACTTCAGAAATGTTTAGTGCTTTATGAGAATGTTTATTTTGAGTGGTTTGCATTCTTGTTTGAATTGACAGTCCTCACCCCTACCTCTCCATCCTGAAGCTCACCAGCCATTTATCAGCTAGCAGTCCATTTCTCTTCAGACCTTTCTCTGTTTTATGTATTCCGATATTTACTGATTTCTGTGACTTAGAAAAAGATGCTGACTAAAAGCACTGAAGGCTTAGAGGAAACAGCAATATGGGAAGAGATGTGGTCTAAGACTCTCTGTATTATCTCCAGGATTCTAATTGCTGACTCTCAAATGGCTGTTGATGGCTTATATTTGAGATCATATTTGGGGTTGGGGGGGACACAAAGCATGGTTTTAACCACTAGAATCAAATCACCGAGAGAAGATGAATTCATTGGTGAGGATGCCTGATGATTGATGATTGTGGGAGAGCAGATGACTTATGACTGTGTCTCAGTCCCATTCACAGCACATAGTTCTTTCCTCTGCCTTATGATCTGGCTAGATGATATCAAGCACTGCTTAGTTCAACAGGGATGAGCTGGAGTGGGCAAAACAGCAACATGATCACTTCTCTATTTATGACACTTCAAGCTCCCTATTAATTAGGCATATCAGGTATGGAAGAGCTATGACCTGCCATCTTAGTGTACAGTACAAGTAGTGGAATGAATGTGACTTCAGCTGATGCAACACAGTGAAAACACACAATGGAACCTTGTGTAGAGCTGCCTTTGTGCAAGTTAAATTAATGTAAGATGTGACAGTACCAAAATCAGTGAGGTAGAGCCCAAGAGCAGACCAGAAGGAGTGGGGTCAAGAGCACAGATAAAAGCTTCAGGTTGAGGGGAAAAGATACAAGAGAAAAGGAAAGAAAGTCTAGAGCAAAATAAGAGGATTTGTGTCTGATTCCCTCTTCTCTTGGTGACAAAGGAGCAGGATCATGTACCGAGAGTGAACAGGCCTAGCATATCTGGGGGCTTGAGATAAGTGGCAAAAGCTTAGACATATGCTAGGAGAGAGAACAGGCCAGAAATAAGGGGAAGCACCACTGAAGTTATATTGACAGCCAAGTGGGGTTAGAAAACCTAAGTTTAATGGAGCCAGTTAGAAAGATTCTGTAACTTTGTGGAGCCCCTGAGTTTAGCAGCTTAGGACCTGAAGGATAGAAATTAGACTGCTAAATTAACTGGGGTTTGGAGACACGGATACAAAATGTAAAGGATGCAATATAAGTTAAGAGAATTAGGGGAGCTGGTTGAAATGAGTGTGGGGTTCATGTTGGATTTGTAGGGGCGTAGGATTGGAAGACACAATAAGATTTAGTAAGACAATGAACTCTTTCAAAGTTTTCTTTTGAACTTACGCAAAATTGCTGCAATGTTGAAGCATTTAAATTCGTTTATTTAGTAAATATTTATTGCACTCCTCCTGTGTACCAAGCACTATGATAAATACTGGAAATACAGTGGAAAAGAAGTCAGATAGTCCCTTCTCTCACCTCGCTTTCTGTATGATTAGTGTTACAAATGGTATGTGTGTTTGGAGGAGAAGAGAAGTAGAGTAGAAGGTGCTATAGATGGACCCTCTAAACCAGACTTGGGTGTATGAGGAGGCTTCCAGTGGGGAGAGATGATGATTCCCAAATATTGTGTAGGTGATATCTGGGTGAAACAAGTGTGGAGAGTAGTGATTCAGGCAGGCATAGAGAATATTGTTTGCGACGAGTTGAGAGAGCACTTGTGGATGTGAAAGGGAATCATTTTGACTGTAAGCATAGGTGCTTTTGAGAGGTAAAATCTAAATTACAAAGAGTTTTGTAAGCCATGCTGAGGGTTTTAGACTTTTTTAGAGAGCAATGGGAAGGCATTTTAGGGCTTTAGATAGTAGAGTGACATCAGATTTGCATTAGAAAAGTCAACCTGGCTGCACTCTGGAGAAAAATCCACTAGAGTGGAGAAACCTGCCAGGCATCTGTTGAAAGACTCCAGATAAAACATGATAGTTGGCTCAAGTAGGGGAGTTGTGGTCGGGACAGAGAGATGTGGACAGTATCTGAAGAGAGTTGACAGAATGCAGTAACATGAGGGACGGCCAAGAATATTGAGTGCCTAAGGTGTGCCAGATACTAAAGTAAGTTATAGGGATCCCACGTTGAACAAGACAAAGGGTCAGTGTCTGCCTACAGTCTGGTGGAAAACAACACTGATTATGTGATTACAGTTCAATAGGATGTTATCAGCAAGTTAGTCTATGGGAATCAGTAGACTCGTTTAGTTTGGGAAGTTCACAGGTTACATGGAAGAAATGATGTTTAAGCCAAGACCTGCCTGAAAAAGTGAGCTAAGTGAAGAGGGAATGGGGGAGGGCATTCTAAAGAGTGCAGCACATAGACCCTGAAATAAGAATAAGGAGGGTTGCACTCAGGAAACTGAAGGAAGTACAGTATGGTTGAAGCATAGAAAGCAGAAGAGCATGTGGTAAGAGCTGTTGCAGGAACAATAGGCAGGAATCAGATCATGGCTTCCTGAGTAGTGTTATGGATGTTGGGCTTTGTGGCCTCTATTTTGGTTATTACCTCAGTTTAGAGCAGAGGTCAGCAAACCTTTTCTATTTTGGTTATTGCCTCAGTTTAGAGCAGCAGTCAGCAAACCTTTTCTATAAAGGGCCAGATGGTTTCTGTCACAACTATTAATCTCTGCCAGTATAATACAGAAGCATCCTAGACGTACACACACACACACACACACACACACATATGCATATGGATGTGTATGTGTGTGTGTGAATGGGCATGGCTGTGTTCCAGTAAGACTTAATTTACAAAAGCAGGCCGTAGGCCAAGAGAATGAGAGGAGGGGAACAGGAACATTTGGGAAAACCATTCAGGAGGGTAACTCAGTAGCCAGAGGAGAGATGAGGATGGTGTATGATGTATACTAGGGCAGTGACAGAAACCACTTATGTTCTGGCCTGATGGTTGGTTGTGTTATTTCATGAGCTAGAATCAACTTTATCCAGGTATAAAGTTGAATGTGATATGTACAGATTTTGACCAGTTGAAAGTGAGGCTTTTGTGAGTCATCCAAATGGGGATGTGATAATTGATGGGTTTGAAGGGTAGATGCTCAGGGGAGTCATCACCAACAAACTGTAACTGAAGCCGTGGGAATGGATCTCATCCAGAGAGAAAAGGGCCTGTGGTAATACCCTTAAATACTATCTTCATTTAGAGGACAAGCAGAAGATGGTTAGCCTGAGGACAAGATTTATGAGAGACGCAGATAGGAAGGAGAAAATTTGGAATGTGAAATCCTAGAAGGAATTATGTTTTTTTTTTAAAAAAAGGAACCAGTCAACAAGTGTCAAGTTCTGTGGAGAGGTTAAGAGCCAAAATGTATTCATTGGATTTTGTGACAAAGGAGGCAGTTGATATCCTTGATGAGGATAGTTTTGGTGACGTGGTTGGGGTAGCAGCCAGAACATGGCTTTTGGAGGTTACAAAGTAGAAAATTTGGCAATAAAGTGGAGGAGTAGAACACACATTTCCTTACTCTCCCTGGCATGGTCAGGACTTCTGCAGGACACCTGGACGTGTTTGCACCAGAACCTACTTCTAATTAGATGTTGTGTTTAGTCCGATGGTATTGTTTACCATTTGAGTTACTTCTCCTTACATGAGTATATCAATTAGGAATGTGTCCTGTTTCAAGCCACAGAAAACCTGACTAAGAAATGGCCTAAAGAAGTAAGGAGTTTATTGGTTTCAGGCAAAAGAAAGGCTGAGGCAGACATACGAGGAAGGGGCTGCGGCTCAAGGGAATCAATATGGATCTCAGCTTCTCTTGTTTTCCTTTTCCATACCATTAGATTATAGGTTTTATCCTCATGGCTGCAAGATGACTGCTAATATCCAGGCTGCTATGAGGATGAAAGCGAGATAGTAGCTCACCTCATTTTCCAGGCAGGATAAAAGCAAATGGGCCAAAAGCCTTTTCCTAAGCCTTTATCCTGTGCTCAACAAGAGAAGCCCTTTCCTGGTGCACTTGTACATACACCTCTTTAGTCAGTAATGGTAGGTGGCCGCTACAAAATGCGAGGAAATCTGGAGGGGCCGGGGGGGGCGGTAATTTTAGCTTGCGAGCTGCTGTGCTAGAGGAATCCAAAGGCAAAAAGGATTGTGAGTGGCTTTTTGGTGGCTAATTCAATATCTGCCACACTTTGGTTTCTTATCTGTGCAATGGAAACAATAGCTAATGTGGTGATTAAATGAACATAGACACTGTTGCTTCCAGTAATGGCAGAGTAAGTGATTCAGACTGTATTAGTTGTCTATTGCTGTGTTTCAGATTACTGTAAAACATAATGCCATGAAACAGTACACATTACATCACAGTTTCTGTGGATCAGGAATCCAGGAGCAGCTTAGCTGGGTGATTCTGGCCCAGAGTCTTTTACAAGACTAAATTAAGGCGTTAGCCACGGCAGCAGTCATCAGAGGCTTGATCGGGGTTGGAGAATCTGTTTCTAAACTCACTCATATGGCTGTTGGCCAGAGACTTCAGTTTCTCGCCATGTGGGCCTCTCCACAGTGCTGCTAACAACAGCAGCTGATTTTCCACAGAAGAAGTGACCCAAGAGAGGGAGACACAGAACACATAAGAAAGCATGCCTACAAGGAAAGCCTCGGTGTCTTTTATCACCTAATCTTAGAAGTGGCATATTATTTCTGCCAAACATGCCAACCCAGAGACCATGTAGGAGGCTACACAAGAGTCTAAATACTGGGGGGAGGAGGGATCATTAGGGGCCCATCTTACTGAAGAAAAAATGCCAAATGAGTGGGCAAAAGTTGAAGAACCAGGTTTGCATTGTTTCGTGGTACATCCCTCCAGGTACATATGAATTACAAAGGGAAAGATTGTAGCTTTACAGAAGAGAAACCTGATAGATAAGTGATTAAAGTTCATTATTACCAGTAAAGACTTAATAAACCCCTAAATATGATTCACTGAGAAGTTATATAGTATCATTACTGCAATATAACTGCAAATGTTGCATAACTTCATTATAATCATGTAAAAACATAGGAAAAAGTCAACTGAAGGACATTCTACAAAATAACTTACCAGTACTCTTTGAAAGTGTCAAAGTGAAAGAAGAGGAAAAATCAAAGAATTGTTACAGACTGTAGGGGACTGAGGAGATATAACTAAATGCAATGTGAAATCTTGGACAAAATCCTGACACCAAAAATAGATCATAGTGAGAAAACGCAAAATCCAAATAAAGTCTGTTGTTTAGTTAATAGTATTTAGCTAATTTCTGATTTTGATGATTGTGCTATGTTTCTGTGAATTGTTATATTAGGGGAAGCAGAGTCAAGGATATACAGGCACTCTGTGCATTATTCATGCAACTCTTCTGTATATCTAAAATTTATTTAAAAATGGGAAGTTTTTTTAGAAAAGACCAATAACCTAAGAAAGCTTTCCTCAAATAAAAAGACCTGAGTTCATATTGAAAGAGCCCACAGAGTACCAGGAAAATTGATCATCAATAGTAAACTTCAAGACATACCCTAGAAAAACTATTTAACTATAAAGACAAGTTCCCAAGACTTACAGAGAGAATTAGACTGGGTATTAGACTTTTCACAAGCAAGAGCAAGGCAAAATTGAGCAGAATTTTCAAGAACACCTCAAGGAAAGAAAGTGTAAGCCAATGATTTTATGTAAGGTCATGCTGTCCTTCAAGTATCAGATCATAGAAAAATAGTTTAAAGTATGCCTATGTCAGTCTTTCCAGTGAAAATCTACTAAAAGATTGGCTTCATTTAACCACAAGTAGACTGGAGGAAACTTCAACTAGACTGTTGAAGTGGAGGTATTAATTGTACTCCAGCTCTAAAACAAAATCAAATCTTGGTCACAGACTGCTATTACTCTCCAGTGCCTGGAAAAAAATATCCTCTCTGGAGACTGATGACATCATCCTAATTCTCAAACTATTTCTGAAAGTGTTTCAGGTAAACAAACATGATGAGACAATACACAAAAGCCAGAATCAATAGAAAAATAATAAAAACAGATCACAGGGACTCCAGTTGTTATAATTACTTGACTCATGTAACTTTTTATTTGAAAAAATTTTAGAGATTCTAGTCCTGAAAAGATAACCAAAAATAACTAAATGGAGCTGTTTATCAGATGAAATACAGCTAAAGAAAGACTTGGTAAACTGGGTTATAAATTAGAAGGAGGCATATAGAATAGAGCACAGAGACTAAAAGATGAAAAAGGAGTAAGAGGTAAAAGACATAAAGCACCCTGTGAAAACACCAAACACACTTGTAATTGGAGCCTCAGGAAGGGAGAGGAGAGAGAATATGGCAGAGACAATATTAGAAGAGATAATGGCTGAGAATTTTTCAGAAGTGATGAATGACATTGAACCATAAATTCAGGAAGTTCAAAAGATCACAAATAGGATAAATGGAAAATAATCCATACCTAGAGAAATAATAGTGAAACTGCAATGAATAAAAAGTATCTTAAAAACTGCTCAGTGGAAAAAGGATGGATTACCTCAAAAGGCCTCTGTCTTCTTAACAGTAACATTGGAAACAGAGCAATAGAAAAATATCCTCAAAATGTGGAAAGAAAATAACTCTTAACTGAAGATCCTCTACACAACAAATACTCTTCAAAAATGATAGCAAAATAAAGACATTAAAATAAAGATGGAGAGAATGTAACAGCAGCATAACCACACTAAGGAAGGAAAACACAAAAAGAGTTTTTGGGCAGAAGGAAAATAAGCCCTGCTGGAAGATTAAATTTTGGCAAGAAAATAAAAATTGTGAATATATGTATAGTATAACTAAATGAACACTTTCTGCATAAAATGATTATGATACTGCATTATATGGGATTTCAGTATGTATGTATGTTGGTGTTTAACAGAAATGTAATAAGACGGGGATAGATGTTCCAAAGTCCTTGCATTATCTCAGAAAATGGTGAAGGTTAATATTATACTTAGGACATAGTTTTAAGTCCTTGTTGCCTTAGATTAGGCAATCATTTCTTAGATATAACATCTAAAGCAGGGAGTCCCTAACCTCTGGGCCACGGACCCATACCAGTCCAAGGCCTGTTAGGAACCAGGCTGCACAGCAGGAGGTGAGTGGCTGTGAACAAAACTTCATCTGTATTTACAGCCACTCCCCATGGCACCCATTACTGCCTGATCGCCGCTTCCTGTCAGATCAGTGGTGGCAGCAGATTCTCATAGGAGTGTGAACCCTATTGTGAACTAGCATGTGAGGGATTTAGGTTGCTTGCTGCTTATGAGAATCTAATGCCTGATGATCTGTCACTGTTTCCCATCACCCCCAGATGGGGCTATCTAGTTGCAGGAAAACAAGCTCAGGGCTTCCACTGATTCCACATTATGGTGAGTTGAATAATTATTTCATGATATATTAGAATGTAATAATAGAAATAAAGTACACAATAAATGTAATTGCTTGCATTATCCAGAAACCATGCCCTCGCTCCAACCCCCCAGTCTGAAAAAACTGTTTACCACAAAACCAGGCTCTGGCACCAAAAAGTTTGGGAACCACTAATCTACAAAACACAAGCAATTCCCCACCCTTCAAAAGGAAAAATTTGACTTCACCAAAATTTGAAACTTTTGTGCTTCAAAGGACACTATCAAGAAAATGAAAAAACAACCCACAGAATGGGAGAAAATATTTTCAAATCATATATTTGCTAAGCCTTAATGTCCAAAATAAAGAACTCCTATCAACAATAAAAGGACAACCCACTTAAACAATAGGCCAAGGACTTGAATGCTTTGATCTAAGGAAGATATACAGAAGGCAAATAAGCACATGAAAAGATTTCAACATCATTCATCATGACGGAAATGGAAATCAAAACCATCATGGAATACCACTTCACACCCACTAGGATGGCTTTAATGAAAAACATGAACAGTAAGTGTTGAGGAGGATGTAGAGAAATTAGACTCTCCTACATTGCTGGTAGGTATGTGAAAGGATGCTGTGTTCCCTCAAAAAGTTAAACAAAATTGCCACATGACCCAGCAATTCCACTCTTGGCTCTTTACCCAAGAGAATGAAAAAATATGTTCACACAAAACTTGCACACAAATGATTACACAGCATTATTCATAATAGTGAAAAATGTCTGCCAACCAATGAATAAGCAAAGGGTGGTATATCTGCATGGTGGAATATTATTCAACCATAAAAGGAATGAAGTACTGATACATGTTACAACATGGACGGACCTTAAAAACATGCTGAGTGAAAGAAGCCAGACACAAAGGCTACAAAAAAGGCCATTTATATGACATATCCAGGATAGGCATCTTTATACAGACAGAAAGTAGATTCGTGGTTGCCGGGGGCTGGGGGAAGGGAAATACAGAATAACTGCTAATAGGGATGGAGTTTCTTTGTGGTGAGTTGAAAACATTCTGGAATTAAAAAGTGATCATGGTTGCACAACGTTGTGAATGTGATAAACACCAGTCAGTTATGCACTTTAAAGAATACATTTTGTAGTATGTAATTGTACCTCAAAAAATAAAGTGACAATCATATACACTCAAAGTAGCAATGCATATTACAGTTATTTAGCCTACATTTTGACAAATTCTGTGACAAGGTGGGAAAAATATATAGTCATTAGAGATGGGTATAGGTCTGGGTTCAAATCCAGTCCACCCCTTAATGGCTGTGTGTTCCTGGGAAAATCTCACTGAAATCAGTTTTCTCCTCTGCATAATGGAGATAATAGTTCACTTGAAGTTTGTGGTGAGGATAGCTGTAATGTGTAAAAAGATACTTGTAAAGATCCAGAACAGCTGGATCCTTTGAAATGACAAACCCAAACCAAAAAATATTTCAAAAAGACTGATATAATAGCTGACAATCTCTACAATAAGCTCATAAAATATTGAATTTATTTGTAAATATATGGTATTTGCAGAAAGAAAAGAAGTAGTGGTCTGAACATGGGAGATCTGGAGATCCTTCAAAAGAAAACTGAAGAGGCTGACTTAGACTTAAGTTCTTCAGGAAGAGAGACTGCGCTACTCACCTTCTTAGCCCCATTGCATTTTACTTCACCTGATATATGGACATGTTTCATACATGTTAATGAAAGAAGAAGAGTAATATTATACCTTGGAAAGTTGATTTCTAGGGTAGGTTTTTTGAAAATTTTTCAGATAGAGTATAAAGAGGGTAAAACTTCCAAACTAATGTGGGAGTGGATAATGCAATAATAAAAAGCAATCTAAAATAATAAGTGAAAAAGAAATGTAGCCAGTGAAGAGAAATAAAAGTACAATAAGAGGGTGGTATTTAAGTTCATACAGTAATTACATTAAATTGCATATGATCTGAATTCCTAGTTAAAAGACAAAGATTGTCAGACTAAATAGAAAACCAACACAGGCTGTTTACAAGAGACACATATAAAACAATTACTGTTATATTTTAAATTACTTTGATAAAAATTAGCTACCAAAAAACTAGCTATAGGTCATATATCGAATGGTGAAAGATTGAAAACTTACCTTTGAGATTGGGAACAAGGTAAGATGTCCTATTTAGTTCAATAAGACAAACAAAGGAATAAAAAGTATAATGATGGAATAAATAAAACTCATTTTTCAGTGATGATATGATTGTGTACACCTGATATATGTACACAGAAAATTCAGATCTACAGATGTACTATTCCAATTAACATCAATGGGTTACTGGAAATAATTTCTAATAATTTGATAAGTAATTTCTATCAAAAATAAAAAAATTTAAAAGTTACTATCTAAAAGCATACAAGTATCAAATTTCTGAGCAATAAAAGATTTGTAAGACTTCTTTAGATAAAACAATAAGATATCAATAAGAATCAAAGAGAACCTAATTAAACATGTACATGATAAAAATTGGTAGACTCATTGTAAAGATAGTCTTCCTTAAATGTATCTATAATCAGTGCCAATGCAGTAAAAATTCAAAGATACAAAATTCAAGGATGAATCTAAATTTTATATAGAAATGTAGCATCGGCTAGGCGCTGTGGCTCACGCCTGTAATCCCAGCACTTTGGGAGATGAAGGGGGGAGGATCACGAGGTCAGGAGTTCAAGACCAGCCTGGCCAACAGGTGAAACCCTGTCTCTACTAAAAGTACAAAAACTAGCCAGGCATGGTGGTGCATGCCTGTAATCCCAGCTACTTGGGAGGCGGAGGCAGGAGAATCACTTGAAACTGGGAGGCAGAGGTTGCAGTGAGCTGAGATCACTCCATTGCACTCCAGCCTGGGAGACAGAGCAAGACTCCATCTCAGAAAAAAAAAAAAAAAAAAAAAAAAAAAAAATATATATATATATATATATATATAGACATCAAGGTTAAGCCAGGACAAGAGCAAGAGCAAGGTGGGGAGATTCACTCTGTTATCCGGTCTTTTCAATAGCAGTGAAGATAATGTGCAAGCCAGATGTGATGGCACATGCCTGTAGTCCCAGCTACTTGGGTGGTGGTGTGAGACTGTAGTCCCCGCTACTTGGGAAACTGAAGCGGAAGGCTTGCTTGAGCCCAGGAGTTCAAGTCCAGCGTGGGCAACATAGTAAGACCCTAACTCTTAAGAAAAGAAAAAGTGGAAAAACTACCTATCAGGCTGGGCATAGTGGCATGCGTCTGTAGTCCCAACTACTCGGGAGGCTGAGGTCAGAAGATCACTTCAGCCTAGGAGTTTGAGGCTGCAGTGACCCATGATCATGCCACTGCACCACTCCAGCCTAGGCAACAGTAAGACCCTGTCTAAAACAAAACAAAACAAAACCAAACAACAACAACAAAAAAAAAAAACTATCTATCAGGTACTATAATATGTTCACTACTTGGGTGAGGGGATTATTAGAAGCCTACCTCAGCATCATGCAATATACTCATGTAACAAACCTGCACATCTACCCCTGAATCTGAAAAAAAAAAAAAAAAAAAAAAAAAAAAAAAATTGAAGAAGATAATATGCAGTTTGTGCAAGGGTAGATAAGCAGACCAAAGGAAAAGAGTCAAGAGCCCAGAAAGAGAGCTGTGCATATATGAACACTGATTTATAACAAGGGAAGTACTGCACAGCAGTGGAAAGAGGATGAGCTTTTCAATACATGATACAATCTATATTGGATCTCATCACACCATACAAAAATCTGTTCCAGTTAGATGGTAGCCCTAAGTACAAAAAGCAAAACAATAAAGATACTGGAGGATGTCATGGTCATTAATGTCGCCCACCAAATATTTCTAGTTCCTTTTCGGGTCCATGCTAGGATTATAATTCCCTACCCCTTGAAATTGTGTATAGCCACATAACTTGCTTTGGCTAATGTCATGTGACTGGAAGTGATATGTGCTACCTGCGGAATTTTTCAAAGCCAGTGAGTGATCATTCTGTTCTTTTTCCCACTGTAATGACAATTTGCGATGTTCCAGTTGTCAGCCTAGGTCTCAGTTTGAGAACAAGCCAATCTGGCTGGATGAGCAAAATAAACATGAGCAAAAGTAAACCCAGTGTTTTAACGTGATGAGATTCTTGGAGTTGTTGAAACGTAACTTGGATTATGCATATTGATAGAAATTGCTAGGAGGAACAGGATGCTTTTGTAGCAAAAAGTTATTAATATATGTATTAATGATTTAAAAGTTGATGGTAGGTGATAATGAAGGATGAAAGGGAGATCCATGTTATCCAGGAGCAAAGTATTTGTTGAGCTGTTGTGTGCAGTAAATTATAAGATAATAACACACCGAATGAATTTGTGACTATAAGGGAAAGAACTGGAAAACAGAATGTGTTGCCTGGCAGTGTTTGCATTACACAGGGTATTACGTGGAAGAGATAAACTCATATATATGTAAATGGCCATTTGGTAGCAGAAATAAAAAATAATATAGTCTAGAAATTTGGGGGATTTAAGAGTTGGAAAACACAACTGCTCTTAACCATAACCACTAACAGATAAACCTGAGAGAGCTTTGAGCAACAAAGATTAAACTCAGCCTTGTGGCAAAGATTAAATGAGATTATGGTCTTGACACCATAGTTAAAACCTCTGAAAAGCTTCTGTGAAAGTGTTTGTCTCAGAATCAAGGTCCAACTAAGGGTGCGTAGCAGTACATCCTTTCAATTAGACAAAATGGTTTAAGGAAAAGAGACTAAAAGTGTGACTGTCTCACTGAAGTCCTGATAAATTCAATTTATCTGAAAATAAGTTGAAAGAGAGTCATGGAAACTAGAAAGCAATGAATAGAGCAAATCTAAGGAGAATGTCTAGAAAGGAGCTGTTGATGTAGCTTTTGAAACATGGAACTGATTGGACTCCAATATATAAAAAGTGTATGTTTTTAGGAGGGTTGTGTTGTTAAACCATAAATGTAGATATTAAAAGTCTGTGACTCTTTGGGACTTGAAATGACTTTGTACTACCAGCCATATATGGGAAAGAAGCTGAGAGAACTGCACAACTCTCAAGGAGGCATATTCTCAAATGCCCACTCCAGATGCAGACCAAGAGTATAATGGGAAGGGAATATATTCCCAGAGCCTGGAGCCACAAGCTACTAAGAACAATGGACAAAGGAGCTCTTCCCAAGGAGCAGAATCTGGACCTAATCGAGAAATATTACATACCCACCTCTAGAGGGACTTCAGAGTATCTTCCCAGCCACATTTCAAAATTGCTATGAATCAGTGACTGCTGTGTTTAATTTTCTTTCTTTCTTTCTTTCTTTTTTTTTGAGACAGTCTTGCTCTTGCTCTGTTACACAGGCTGGAGTGCAGTGGCACAATCTCAGCTCACTGCAACCTCCACCTCCCAGGTTCAAGTGATTCTCCTGCCTCAGCCTCCCGAGTAGCTGGGATTACACGTGCATACCATCACACCCAGCCAATTTTTGTATTTTTAGTAGAGACAGGATTTCACCAAGTTGGCCAGGCTGGTCTCAAACTCCTGGCCTCAAGTGATCAGCCCACCTTGGCCTCCCAAAGTGCTGGGATTACAGGTGTAAGCTACCACACCCAGACTAATTTTCTAATTTTCCAATTGGAAGTGTTTATTGTTATTATCTAATCCCTTTTCCCTTATTATATATTCACATTTTGTTTTCTATGTAATTAAACTTTTTTACTAAAATAAATGTTTTTCTCTGCAACAAATTTTTAATAAATATGATTTTTAAAATGTATATTAAATCACTTTGTATTTCTTCTCTTAAAGTGTTCTAAGGAAAACTAATCATTAAAATAAAAACTCCAGGGATTACAGGCTTTAGTTAGATATAAAGAAGCAAAGGTCAAAGTTAAGTAAAATATTTTGTCTCAAAGGAATATAACAATTGTAAGTAAAATATATATAAGCAAGTACCAAAGGTTAATAAGAAAATTTAGATGAAATAAAATGAAAGGTTTTTGGCCTAAAATATTTGAGAATTCCTGTCTGAGGTCAAATATTTTCTTTTGATTTTATTTCATTGTTAATATTGGCCCATATACTCTAGCTAGTTTCCTTTAAAAAATAGATTATAGTTCTTTTGCCAGCCATTTGCCGTTAAATTTTCTAAGTTATCCAAACTAGTTATATTATATGGATACTTTAAGAGAATCATAATTATGTAAATTTACCTCTAGGCTTCTCTTTTCTTATATGACATTTGGGTTTTTTAAGTTTATGAGTCTTTCAGTGACCTTTACAATACTTCAGATCAGTGCCCCTCACTTTAGTTTTTCCAAAGGAGAGATCTACGGTAGATGATTATGTAGAGATGATCCCATCATCTTGGAGACCCAGATCTACACAGATTGGTTGCTTGCCTGGAATGGGTATTATAGTCAAGCAATTTCTCCTTAATGTTCTTAGTTATTTAAAGGAACAGTTGCTTCAAAGAAATTACTTTCTCTGTAATTTTCTATGATAACATATAATATATAATTATATGTATTATATATAATAATATATAATTATAATATATAACAGTGAGAGATCCCCAAAGTTCCTGACACACTGGAGAGTCTGGTTTAGAGACAGTTCAGGAACAACCTTCCTCCACTGACTTTCCCCACACCCACTACTCTCTGTATGTGCTCCTAGACTGGGCTTTGAACTTGCCCTCTACTTACTGTTATCCTCCTTAAAAGCAAACTCTGTACTATAAATGGTAGCAAGAGGGAGATCTTTGTGGCGACTGAAAGAATCTTGTTTGACTGCAGTAATGAATGGTTACACAGAACCCCATGTGATAAAATGACATAGAACTGTTCACACTACCCATATCAGTTTCCTAGTTTTTATATTGTACTATGATTATGTATGATGTAAACATTGGGTGAAGGATATTGGGACCTCTCTGTACTGTCTTTGTTTGCAAACTTCTGCAAATCTATAATTATTTCAAAATAAAAAGCTAAAAAAGAAAAAAAAAGACAGGTAGTTCTGTCCATTCCATCTCTCTTTGTTTTTGACCTGCTCGTTGACAGCATATTTGAGGCCTTTCTCAATATCCTCTAATTGTGTTTAACCATCAGCCTTGAAGGTTTATTTTTCTTGGTTTCAGTTCTGCTTGTTTCTAGATTTCACTGGCTTACTTCCAATTCTAATACTACTCTGGCCCCCACCGCTATACTTATGTCATCATTTGGAAAGAAAGATAGATATACAGTAGGAAAAAAATGTACCTACATATGGCCACACATAAAGATTTATAGGTCAGAGATTCATTAGTCAGGGGACTGAACAATGACCAGATGGGCTTGGCGAGGTGGTTCACGCCTGTAATCCCAGAACTTTGGGAGTCCCAGGCAGTTGGATCACCTGAGGTTGGGAGTTCGAGACCAGCCTGACCAACATGGAGAAACCCCATCTCTACTAGAAATACAATATTAGCCGGGCGTGATGGTGCATGTCTGTAATGGGAGGCTGAGGCAGGAGAATCACTTGAACCCGGGAGGCAGAGGTTGCAGTTAGCAGAGATCGTGCCACTGCACCCCAGCCTGGGTAACAAGAGCGAAACTCCGTCTCAACAAAAAAAAAAAAGAAAACCAGGTGAACTTTTATTTTTATTTACTCGCCCATAGACTGTATTTACTTAAGTTCTATGTTCTTATGTTATTCCGTCCAAAAAACCTCCAAGGCATACAATCTTCTACATTTCACCAATAAGAAAACTACAACAGTAACAGAAATAACTGCCTCAGATGATTCAATCAGTGAATGGTCTGACCCAACATGGCGCTAACTCTTTCAGATCTTTCAGCTGTAACTGTTTAAATTAGCCATGAATACGACAAAGATCAAATGCAAACAGGCAGTGTACCTAAAAGAACTATCAAGCATTTCTGTTTTCTGTGGAAATTGATGGCAGGAAGTGGGATAGAGGGATATAGAAGTGTTTTATGTATTTATTTGTTTTAAAGCAATGTGTATTTATTGAGGGCCTCATGTTTAAGGCCCTATGTCGGTTGTTTCCAGCAATACAAAGAAGTCAAAAGTCCGGGTACTCAAGGAGGTGATATTATAGTTGGTGAAACATTAATTTACCTGTAAAATAAAAAACTAAGTAATGATACAATTACAGTATGAACCACAGATGGCTAGCAGAGTAAAAACTATAAATGTCCCAGCATTAGAGACATTGATATTATTGAGAAATACAGACTTTGATGAAGGGGAAAGGAAACAAAAGATACAATAGAAGGTGGGAAGTGGAGGATGGATGTTCTCAATCTGCTAGAAGGAAATGGAGGCAATTGTTATGAGCATAGACTTTTTTTTAATCATACAACTTTATTCTCATTTAAGAAAATTTTTGTGGGTACATAGTAGGTGTATATGGGCATAGACTTTTAGATCAGATAAATCTGCGAGTAAATCTGTTGTCCATCTTCAAAGTAGGTCTTTGATCTTAGGTAAGTGATTTAGCCTCTCTGGTCTCAGTTTTCTTGTCTAGAAAATGAGGATTATAATGGCACTGATTTCTGGGGTCACTGGGAAGATTAAATAAGGTAGAACAGGACCTCCTCCCCTACCTGATGTTGGTTACTGCAAATATCTTCCTCACCGGGTTATCTGTTTTATTTGAATTTTGCCTATAGTGTTGTTCCTGGGGGAGAAATGTTTAGTTTTGGTATCAAATTTATCAATTGTTTATTAGTTTGTCCTTTTGGGGTGACTTATTTAAATTAGTTAAAAGTACCTGGAAACCTGGTAGCAAAATGAGAAAATAATATAAATAATTCACATAACCAGAAATCTGTATTATTATTATGTGGATGAAAGAAATGCTCATCCTCACTAACAGGGAAATACAGGCTAAAAGCATAATGACATACTATTCTAGAAAGCATTAGGATTTCCTTGCTGGCAGTACTTGGCAAAGATAAATATGAATACTTTATGACCCAGCTATCCCAATCCTAGATATATATTCCAGAGATACTTTTTTTTACACAGGAGATGGGTGAGAGAATATTCTCCGCAGTGTTTTTTGTTATTCAGCACAAAAGGAAGAGACATATTTTTTTTTGAGTGGTAGATACATGCTGAGGAAACTCTGCGGCTGTCAGATGCGCACATGGTAACAGAGATAATTGTTCAAAAACATGACGCTGGGTGAAAAAAGAAAAAGGAATAAGATCTATAGCCCAAGCCATTTATGTATACTAAAATGTATACACATTAAAAAAACTCTATATAAGTTTAAAGAATACAATCGACATCCAAGCATAGTTTCAGGAACATTCTCTAGGAACTTATGTTTGGGGGCAAGAGGAGGACAGGAAGAGAAGAACTGGGGACACTGGGGAAAAGAACAAAACCAAACCATAGACATACCTTGTGCAAATAGGGGATGATTATCCTAGCTCTCTCACCCTAAGACCAGCACTCCCTAAATAAAAGTATACTCCATGTTTTTAAGGACCACTAGTGTAGTCATAGTGTCAATAGTTACTGTCAGTGATAGGTAACAGTGGTGAGTAAAATATGGGTGAAGCTGATGCAAATTTTATAAAACAAGAAGACTTATAGAGATCTAAAGATATTTGTAAATGACTGTTAATTAGATACAGTTAAATCAACACATGTTTCAGGTCATTCTGCTAGTGTTCAACTGGTTAATGCCAAATGCAAACTGCAATTTCAAAATGCAGTTTACAAATGTTTCAAGACATAATAGCACTCTATTTTCTTTTTATGTTTATTATTATTAAATTTTTTGGTGTGGAACAAATTTTCAGAAAAGTACATAATTCCTAATTGTTTACTTTAGTGAGTTATCACAAAGTAAACATATCATCACCAAGTCTTGGGCTATAGATCTTGGGCCATATGGCTTGGGCTATAGATCTTATTCCTTTTTCTTTTTTCACCCAGCGTCATGTTTTTGAACAATTATCTCTGTTACCATGTGCACATCTGACAGCCGCAGAGTTTCCTCAGCATGTATCTACTACTCAAAAAAAAAATATGTCTTTTCCTTCTGTGCTGAATAACAAAAAACACTGCAGAGAATATTCTCTCACCCATCTCCTGTGTATATAGAACACAGCAGAGATGCCAGAGGCCCTCCATGACCTCACCCAGATGCTACATCCTTTTTCCTTTCCAGGCGCAATTACTGTCTTCCAACACCATAGCTTAGCTTTGCCTGGTTTTGAACTTTTGTTTAGAATTTTTAAATGCCTTAGTACTATAGAAATTTTAAAAAATCTAAAGTTGAATATTAGACCTATATTTGAGATTTCATTTTATAAATAGTGTTTTCTTAAAAAAAATCTTCATTTCCAACGGTTTATTGCTAGTATTTAAAAATCCAGTGATTTTTGTGTGTTGGCCTGATATGTTGTGACCTTATCAAACTCACTTATCAGTTCTAGGAGATGTTTTTTCTTTTTTTTTTTGTGGTAGCTTTTTTAGGATCTTCCATGTGGATAATTATGTCATCTGTGAATAGAAACAGTTTTTTTTCCTTTCTAATTTGTATGACTTTTATTACTTTTTCTTGCCTTATTGCACTGATTAGGATATGCAGTCAGGGATAAGAGAGATAACAGCAGATCCTTCCCTTGGTCCTAATCTTCAGAAAAAATTACCCAGTCTTTAACCACTAAGTATAATGTTAGCCGTATTTTTTTTTTAGTTGTCCTTTCACAGGTTAAGGAAGTTTACTTCTATTTTTTAGTTTGCTGCTAGTTTCAGTTATGAAGAGATGTTGAATTTGTCAAATTCTTTTTTTGTGACAATTGGTACAATCTTTACACCATGTATAGGGTAGATTACATTTATTGACTTCTCCCCCTCCCCATGGAAGTTATAAAAGGATTGCTTTTTTGTTGTTTTACATTTTAAGTTCCAGGATACACACGCAGTACATGCAGGTTTGTTACATAGGTAAACGTTTGCCATCGTTGTTTGCTGCACCTATCAACCCATCACCTAGGTATTAAGCCTCACGTGCATTAGCTATTTATCCTGATGCTCTCCCTCCCCCCAGCCCCTGACAGGCCACAGTGTGTGTTGTTCCCCTCCCTGTGTCCATGTGTTCTCATTGTTCAGCTCCCACTTATAACTGAGAATATGTGGTGTTTGGTTTTCTGTTCCTGAGGATAATGGCTTCTGGCTCCATCTATGTCCCCACAAAGAACATGATCTCATTCCTTTTTATGGCTGCATAGTATTTCATGGTGTATATGTACCACATTTTCTTTATCCAGTCTATCATTGATGAGCATTTGTGTTGATTCCATGTCTTTGCTATTGTGAATAGTGCATTTATTATTGAAATCAGTCTTATATTCCTAGGATAAATCCTAGTTGATGTTAGTGTACTATTATTATTTATTTATAATGCATTCAATTAACTAACATTTCATTGAGGAATTTTGCGTCTATGTTGATGAAGGATATTGGTCTATAGTTTCCTTGTATTGTCTTTGTCAAGTTTTAGTATCAGGGTAGTGCTGGCCTCATAAAATGAGATGTTTTCTGAAAGACATTGTATAGAATTAGTATTATTTCTTCTTTAAAGGTTAGGTGGAATTTGCCAGTGGAGTAATCTGGGCCTCTTGATTTCTTGTTCAGAAGATTTTAAACCACAGATTTAATTTATTTACAATTTTAGGACTATGTAGGTTGTTTGTTTCATTTACAGTGAGTTTTAGTAGTTTGAGGTTTTTGAGGAGTTGGTCCAGTTTATCTAATTTTTTAGTCTATAAGCATTAAATTGTTCATAGTATTCACCTTATCCTATTATCCTATTAATGCATATGAAATCTCTAATAATATTCTTTTTCATTCCTGATAGAATTTATGTCTTCTATTTTCTTTTCAGTCTTCCAAGATATTTGTCAATTTTATTATTTTCACATAACTAGCTTTTGATTTCATTTATTTTCCCTATTGCTTTTCTGCTTTCAATTTCATTGATTTCCGCTTTTATTATTTCCCTCCTTCTTCCTCTGAGTTTGTCTTACTATTCTTTTTCTAGTTTCTTTAGGAAGAAGCTTAGATTATTGGTTTGAATTTTTTTTTTTCTTCTGAAATTAGTATTTAGTGTTTGGATATCTTTCTGTTCTCTTTCAGTTGATGATTTCTGATTCAATTCCATTATGGTCAGAGAACATACATTGTATAATTCCAGTTCTTTCCAATTTGTTAAAGTTTATTTTATGACATGGAATATGGTCCATCTTGGTAAATGTTCTATGTGTACTTGAAAAGAATTCTGCCATTGTTGGGTGGAATATTCCAAAATTTTCAGTTAGATACAGTTGGCTGATGATGTTCAGTTCTCATAATCTTGCAGATTTTCTATGTACTAGTTCTATTCATTACTGAGCAAGGAGTATGAAATCTCCAACTCTAACTGTAATTTATTTGTTTCTCCTTTCAGTTGTATTAGCTTTTCTTCATGTTCGAAGCTCTGTTGTTAGGCACACACACATTTAAGATTGTTCTGTCTTCTTGGTGAAATGACCATTGTATCATTATAGAATGCCCTTCTTTATACCTGGTAATTTTCTTTGCTCTGAAGTCTACTTTGTTATTAATATAGCCACTCAGCTTAAAAAAAGTGTGTTCCTGGTATATATTTCTCCATCCTTTACTTTAAACTTACCTATATCATCATATTTAAAATAAGTTTTTTGAAGATATTATAGTTGGAACTTTAAAAAAATCATTCTGATAATCTCTATCTTTTAACATGTATTTAGACCATGTACATTCATGTAATTATTAATATATTTAGATTTAGGTCTATATTTTTAGTATTTGTTTTCTGTTAATGAGTATTTGTTTCTGTTTTCAGGCTTGTGAGATCCTAAACAAAGAACCTACTAAGTTCTGCCCAGATTTCTCACTTACAGAACAGTAAGATAACAGACTTGTATGGTTTTCAGCCGCTAACTTTGTGGTAATTTGTTATGCAGCAGTAGAAAATTAATACGGATGCCTTTCCACATTAAATCAGTGCTGGCCTATGTGATCAGTACAGTATGGAGGAAGCAACAATGTGTGACTTTGTTTCTGTGTGTGTGTGTGTGTGTGTGTGTGTGTGTGTGTGCGCGCGCGCATGTGTATTTGTAGAGATGGGGTCTCTCTTTGTTGCCCAGCCTGGTCTTGAACTTCTGGCCTCAAGCAATCCTCCCAACTCTGTGTGACTTTGACGACTACATCACACAAGCGTCATGGCAGCCCTGTGAAGAGGCTGACTTGGAAAAAAAAAAAAAAAAGAAATGCTTCTGCCAACGTCCAGCAACATCTTCCAGCCATATGAATGAGCCACCTTGGAAGTGGATCCTCCAGCTCCAAACAAGTCTTCAGATGTGTGTAACCCCAGCCAATATCCAACTGAAACCTCATGAGAGACCCTTGGCCGGAACTACCTAGCCAAGCAACTCCTGAAATCCTGATCACAGAAACAGTAAGAGGTAATAAATGACTAGTGTTTAAGCACTACATTTTGGGGTACTTTTTAATGCAGCCTTAGATAACTAATACATGGCCCTATTACATGCCTACATACTAGAAATATAGCAATGAGTAAAGCCAAGCGCCTGTGTCATGCAGTTTTTATTCTACTTTAAGAGAAGGTATATAAACTATACAAATAGTTAAAAATACACTTTGCCAGGTAGAAATAAGTGTTGAGAGAAAAATAAATCAGTATAAGAAGTTGAAAAGTAATAATGGGGCTTCTATAAGATGGCCAAGGAACACATCTTTAATAAGTAAAAATATGAGTACTGACCCGAAGTGAGGGATCAAGCCATGCAGGTATTTTGGGGAAGAACATTCTAGCAGAGGGAACTTCAAGTATAAAGACCATGAGGTGGGAGTACCCTTAGTGAGTATGAAGAATTGCCAAAGATGTGAAGAGTTCTGTGTTGTGTTTTAATTGAAAAACTTCAAGAATGTTGGAATGAGGATTGCCAGATTAAATATAGACCCCCTGTTAAATTTGAATTTCAGATAAATAACTTTTTTTTTAGTAAAAGTATGTTTCAAATATTGCAAAAATTATTAGTTCCTTATCTGAAATTCAAATTTAAGTAAGTATCTTGTAATTTCATTTGATAAAGTAAAATGATTGCAGGAATGGAAAGCACATCCCTTTGGAGGAATGGTGAAGGAGTGCACATGAATATTCCAGAACAGAGAAGGGAGGATGCACCCATTTCCACCCCCAAATTAAAGCCACATTGAATTTTTTAATTCTATGGACAGTACCGGAGGAAGATTAGCTTAGCCAACTGTGTCTCAGACGCTTCCCTCAGATGTTTTGCAGGCACTGGAAACTAAAACCCACTGAATTCATGCATATCTTTGGGCAAGCATCCATGTAGGTAGAATATGGGAGTAGTGCCAGATGATATCTGCAGTTTCGTTTGGCTTTTACACTCTGCGATTCAATGAAGGGTTAGAAATTACATACTAACTTCTTGTTTTTCAGTCTCCACAGAGAATAGAGCAGGAGTTGATGAGTCTTGCAATGAGAGAATTGATGAAATACTTAAGGAAGAACTTCTTAACTGAAGGGCAATTAAACACAAATGGCTTTGCATGGGAGGATATGGAAATCTTGCTCCTTTGTGATCTTTGAAAAGAGGCAGCAGCTGTTGTGAGCAACTTAAGACTCACAGAGTGCTATCCTGGAGGAGGAGGAGGATGAACCACATCCTGGGAATAACTCTCTATACACTTTAACATATTTTCCTGGTGGTCCTTATGCACACTACAGTTTGAGAATCATGGTTATTGAGAAATAAAAGGCTTTCTTTCTCTGCCTAGGCTTAGGCCTTTAATGACCTATTTAGTCTTACATGTGGTGATGGAGACCTCTGCCTAAGCTTATTTTCTACAGGGATGGTACACATGCTGAGAATGAAATGGGAGATGGAGATGCTAAAGGATTTAAAAAGAGGTTTTAGATCAAGGTGTTCTAGGCCAGGTACAGGAGAGGTTTACGGGCTCCTACTTTTGCCAAAAGCTCCCCTTACAACTTTACTATCTGTATGTCCTAAAACCATCTCTGTCTCTTATCTTCCTAAAGTTTTCTACCAAATCTTTTCTTTAATTGAATGATATCTTTATTAAGTAAAAATGAAGGATTCTTTCCATTCCACCATCAGTTCAGATTGGGGACCCAGAATATCCCAAACCTTTATGGGGCAGACAACCATCCCTTCTCAAAGTTTCAGGAAGAACTAGTGGAGCTGGTGAAAATAAAATAGGGGAAGAGCTTAGGGTCATCTAGGAAGCAATTTAATGTCATTTAATATTACAAAAGGAATCTAAAGGCACCTAGCATCTCCAAGTTCCATTTTGACCCCATAACTCAAGAGTTGTGGTTGTGAAAGTCCTTGTTAAGAAGGAAATTTGAAGGAAAGACTATTAAGTAGAACATTTCAGACATCCCCTTTACGGCCACTGGAGATTCTACCGGAGCAGCTCCCTCCAGCTGACCTGATGGGTTACAGCTCAGCTCTGGGTCGTTTTTTGGATTCCTCCAGATTTCTGCCAAGCCCTGGGTTGCCCATTCCTCTCCTCCTATCAGCATTCCCATGTTTATCAGTCTGTTTCAAGCTCTCTTTGAATGGCCTCCTGCTGGTGGATGACCCTGTCATTATTAGGATGTCCCATGCCTCAAACTCCTTTTACCCTCCACAGACTTTTATCCTTATTTCAAGTTGATGCAGGGCAGATAATGGTTTTCCTGACCTTTTGTCTCCTCTGCCTTAGATACAGAAAGAACCCTGATCCTGTGTCTATGGGTGGCAGTCAACTTGGGGTCATGAAAATTGCCAGCTTCTTATAAACAGAGCTCTGAAACATGCCAGAATTTATTGTTCAAGCACCTGAACAAGCCAATTCAGCCCAAACAGGGTAAACCCACACTCTAAGCCCAGGCCCACTTCGTGTGAATAGCTCACCCACCTCCCCAACCCCTGCAAGTTCCATGAATCTTGCCCCATAGCAGGCTACAGCCAGTCTTTGCTTATGGTAACTCCAAACTGGTTCTAAAAGTTTCTTCCAGGAGATTCACACAAAATACTTTTCTCCTAGCAGAGCAGCTTGGTTTGATTTGGGCTATTTGACTACAAAAGCCCAGAGGCCATGCATTTATTTCAAAATATTAGGAATCAGCAGCACAAATGAGATTGCATTTTTGTGAAAAGTTAAAGATTTCTCATTTAGGGAGAGAGTTCACAAAGGACCCCATTAGCCAAGCCTCACCAGTAATTAGTCTGATTTCTCATGCAAAAGGCAGGCTAATTGTCTGCCATCCATTCCAAAAGACAGAGACACTTTAAAACCTACCACCCATTGAAAAATATCTCTGGAGAATTTTCTGCTATATCTGAAGTATTTTCCATTAACGAAATGTTCAAACTAAAATTAATATATGAAGTTATGAACAAAGTGGCTGACTATAAATATGTCTTTTCAAATGTCAAAACATGGGCCTATTACTTATGACACTGAACTATAGAGAAATGGAAAGGGGCTGATATTTATAAAGCAATACTGTGAAATATACATTATTATTTAATAGATGGGGCAACTGAAGCTCAAAGAAGGTAAACAACTTTCCCAAAGTCACACAACGAGTTAGTGGCAGAGCTGGGATTCAATGGGTTAAAGCGAATATCATTTCCACAACCCAATGTGGAGCTTAGGAAGAAAGCAACATCGAGTTAGGGGTGTTTGAGGCTGGGTATCGAGAGATCTGCAGGATGGTCTAGTTTAACTGTGTGATCTCTCAAGGGACAGAATCCATTAGCCAAGTGCATATGATGAGAACAAAGTTGAAACCAGTGTAGCAGAGCCGGTTTTTGAGCCTAACCTGTGCTCACCTGAGAGCTGGACTTGTCTCACTAGGTTTGATAGACCAATGGCCCATCTAGGATATATGCACATAGCATGTTGGCCCATGACAGTGTCCTGGAGGACACGGCTATAGTCAAACTCATGCACACGAAGCCTGCAGCAGCAATGGTGCTGTATGCTTCAGAAACATTTCTCTCCATGCAGACAACTTGAGACACTGGCAGCTTTGGTGTGAATCGCTCACCCACCTCCCCAACCCCTGCAAGTTCCATGAATGCATCAAGAGGTCCCTGGAAGCAGCAAAGCCATGCTAGATCAGAAACACTGACCTCTTGGCTTCTTCCTCTCTGCTCCTCTCTAATGCCAGAGTGTGGCTCTATTCACTCCAGCTTGTCCACATAATGTCCTCTGCTCCTGCTCCTCCATTCCAGTAGGCAATGACTGCTGCCACTGTTCCCATGCTGCACCCCAAGGTCTCCCAGCAGTCACAATGCTGGGGTGGGGTGAAGTCCCTTCGTCCTGAGTTCCCAAAGCCACAGCCCTTCTGTTTCTTCAAGAGTTTTCATGGGTTCTGCCCCATTATTGATACCTCCTTCAGTCCTATGGGTCCCTAGGAGCCACATAGAAATAGACCCCCAATGAGCCTGTGCTACTGCACAAAAATGTACAGATGTGACTAAAGGCACAGATGTGGCTAAAGCTTCAGTGGGGTGTAGGACAGATCTGTGAGTACTAAACTTGGGAGTATTTTAGACACCATTGTTAAAATGCAGATTTCAAGGTCTTACACCCAGAGATTCTGATTTGGTAGTTCTGGTGTTTGGGGCCTGGATGCTGCGTTTTAAATTAGTTTCTCAGTTACTGTGGCACAGAAGGTGGGCTGGGAAGCACCGGTGTAGGCCTGTAAGCTGCGACTCTACCTGCCTCTCCTGTCTTTGTTCATGTGTCTCGCTGGATGCTGAGCTCCTGCTGGGGAGGGATGATGGCTCATCCCTCCCCACATTTTAGTGTCTAGACCAGTATCTGGCACACAAATGGGCATCAGTAAATGTCTGTGTCATGAATGAGTGGAGGCACTGTGTGAGGAGACTTCTCTTTAACAAATTAAAGAACTGGATGAAGAACCACCCTTGGTGCACTGTATTGACAGTGGCCACCCTGATTCAGATGCTGCGAGTAGGTAGAGGGCGATGGGAAAAGAAAGAATACTAGGAACATAGAGAACCTAATAAGCAAACGATGTGCAGGCAATAAGCATTTAGGGCCCACCCCAGAATCCTCATGTGGCTCGGGTTAAGTGTCTTTGGAAGTAGGGAGGTCACCAGGCAATTCGAAAAAGGTGAGTGATTGAGCCAGGCAGGTGATGGTCATGCTGCAAAAAGACAGGCGCTGCTCTCCAGGGAGACTCTGGTTTCTTCCTACTTTCCAGATTTCTTAGAGGAGAGTTAATTATTTAAAGGAATTTTTAACTTTTTTTTTTTTTCTGAGATGGAGTCTTGCTCTGTCGCCCAGGCTGGAGTGCAGTGGCGCGATCTTGGCTCACTGCAAGCTCTGCCTCCTGGGTTCACGCCATTCTCCTGCCTCAGTCTCCCGAGTACCTGGGACTACAGGCGCCCACCACCACGCCCAGCTAATTTTTTGTATTTTTAGTAGAGACGGGGTTTCACCATGTTAGCCAGGATGGTCTCGATCTCCTGACCTCGTGATTCGCCCGCCTTGGCCTCCCAAAGTGCTTGGAATACAAGTGTGAGCCACCGCACCTGGCCCATTTTTTACTTTTTAAAGTATTTGTTGGGGGCTGGACAAGTTTGACTTAAGAGAAAGAATTGGTAAATTCTTACAGCAGAGATTTGGCTTTCATGGTAAATTGCCCAATATACCCAGCTTTTTATCAAATAAAGCCTGTGCGCATATGTGTTGTGTCTTATTAAACGGTGGACAAAGGCCTGAGCAGATTGTGGCTGTCGTCTGGAGAAGCTCCCCAGAGCAAACACTGTCTGGTCTAAGTGGCTCTCTTGTTAGGCCTTCTCCCACTGAAGAACCCTCTTTGCCTTCAGAAGTCCTGCCTCCAGGACCACACCCCCCCTGACAGCCCTGCGCTTGGACTCAGGAGTCTTTATAACTGCATCTGTCTGCATCCACAGAGTCAGGGACAGGAGACACCATCTTTATAGTAACAGCTACCAATGGCTGAACGCTTACCGTGCCTGAACCTCATACACTCTAAGCACTTCATATACACTGCTTCCCTCAACCTTCATCATAATCTTTGGAAATTATCTCTCCACAGAGGAGGAAACTGAGGCTCAGGAGACAAAGTAACTTGTCCCAGGTGCCACAGCTGGTAGAGGCAGGGTCAGAATTTAGACCCAGATCCACAGGTCTCCCAAGCCACATTCAATCTCTATGCTATATGGCATCTCTGATTTTTGCTCAAAAAAATAGAGTTTGAAGTCGATTTGAGTTTTTGTTGCTCTGTCAGTCCCAACAGCTGGGCATTGTTTATTTTCTGAATTGGACTTGGGAGGCGGTCATGGCTGGGGTTTGCTCTCTCTAAAGCCCTTGCACTGAGCCTGGCATTGGGCAAAATGGAGCCATGGGTTAGACTTGCCTAGCTTCATGCCCCACTCTGCCTTCAGCCCTCCTTAGCCCATTCATGTCTTCCTCCAGTGGAAGCCCAGGGCCCACAGAGTGGCTGCTGTCATGGAGCATTTGCTCCAGAATTATAGGTAAGTTCAAAATGCATTCCCTCTCATGACACTTTGCAAACCTGAGGGGTTTCACCGAGATATGGCCTCATATCATCTTTGCCCTGGTTCAGAAGGTTCAGACTTTAAGAATATTTAAGGATCAGAATAAGTGCAGTTATATTTTTGAAATTTGTATTTGAAAATAATTTCAAAATTACAGAAAGTTGCAAAAACAAAAATAGTACAAAGAGCATCTATTTGGTCATGTTTGTACTCCACTTGCTTTATTATTTGCATGTTTCTCCCCTGCTTGACATACATATATATAATTTTCTGAGTCACTTGAAGGTAAGTTACATATCTCATGGCCCTTTACCGCTAAATATTCCAGTGTGTATTTCCTAAGAACAGGGATGTTCTAATACATAACCATAATACTTGGCTGTAGGAGATCAATCAGAGTGGTGGGAAAAATTGCAGAAAGATGCAAACCTTTTTGGAAGGCTGGGAGGTTTTACAAAAGCTTTGGGAAAGGATTTGGCTGAAGGCAGCCAGATTCTCTTACCTGGTGCCTGAAAGCTTAGGTTAGATAACAAGGGGATGTAAAGAAACTGAGCTAGATAAGTTAGCTTACTTAGGCCTTGGAACCTGGCCTTTAATCATCCGTGCACAGGACTGCTCTCTCTGGGGTGGGGGTGACCCACAAGTGTGTTGACTCAGGCCTTTGTCATTGAATCTGTACTGAATAAATGCCTGCAGTGCCAGTGGGTCAGGGCTGCTGCTGCTGACTCTTTACAGCATCCTCCTTGGGGTCTGTAAATGGCCCGGTCCCCTAGCCCACTCTTTCACTGGATACCTGTGTCTGAGTGCATTCTTTCATCCATCACTTGGCCAGGGTCTGTGGGTTGGACCCGGCAGGTGGTGCCCCGTGTGAGGAACACCACAACAGATCACGATGGAACCCTTGAAAACGAAGGTGAAGAGACTGTGCAGTCAGTAAGTCATTGGTGCCTGCTTGGGATTTCCAAGTTCAAGGGAATTGTTCAGGCTAGAGTTTCATCATGGGACAACAGTTATCGGCTCAAAAGCAACAGTATATAAAAGTATTGAAACAGCTGCTTAAAGCTAGTGGAGCCTCGGTTTTGCAGGCTCAATTAAGGGACCTAATGCAAACTGTTGTTTCCCATAACCCATGGTTCCTAGAAGAAGGTATGCTAGACATAGTGCTCTGGGAACAAGTGGGGAGAAATCTTAAACAACATCATGCGCAAGGGCAACGGGTCCCAGTAACATCTCTAATGTTATAGGCTTTAATTAGGGTGGCTCTGGTTCCGCTTTACACAGAAGAGCCTAAAAAGGGAAGGGAGGAGGAACAGTCACCTACTTTACTGCCTCCTTATCCCTCAGCCTGCTACCACCGGGCCAAAATAACAAAGAGGAAACGGAGGTTTTGCCTAAGCCCCGTCCTCCAATAAATTGGAAAAAAGACAAGGGATACGTTACAGCTATGGGACCCTGCATTAGGCAAGCGGCATTAGAAGGGAAGCTCTTAGCCTGCCCAGTAATGCAAGATCGACAAGGCAATCAGGTACATGAACCCATTTCTTTTAACGCTTACAAAGAGCTATGAAAAAGCATTAAATAAAATGGAGCTGCTAGCCCATTTATGAAAGGAATGATTGAAGCCATGGCAGACAACTTCTGTATGACCCCATGGACTGGTCAGTGCTAGCTAAAACGACTTTGGAGCCCAGCCAATACATTCTCTGGAGAGCAGAATATGATGAGTTGTGTCAACAGTAAGCCAACCAGAACCAGGTTGCCAGGCAAGACATAACAGCTGCTATGCTCCAGGGGTGGGGCCCCCATGTCGATGTACAACAACAACTAACTTTTGATCCCCAGGTCTATGCACAAGTGTTTTTGTGCACTGTCAGGGCTTGGGACTGAATTCCCAAAAGCGGAGTTCAACAGGGATCTTTTATAAATGTTTGACAAGGGCCTCAGGAGCCATTTGTTGAGTTTATCAATTGGTTAACCCAGACAATTAAGAGACAAATTAGTCATGCCCAGGCTGCTGATATCTTATTGTTGCAATTGACTTATGAAAATGCTAATGTGGATTGCCTGCAAGAAATGCAGGCACTCAGAGGAAAGGCAGCCACAGTTGGAGAATTTATATGAGCATGTCAACTGGTGGGGACTGAAACACACAAAGCCAAAATATTGGCTATGGTATTAAGGCCTCCTAAAGTGAAAAGGGAGAGAAACCCAAATTGTTTTCTATGTGGAGAGCCAGGTCATATGAAGAGAGAATGCCTCAATAATAGAGACCAAGGTAACTCAGGAAAAGAATCCCCTTCTATATTTCCCCGATGTAACAAGGGGAAACAATGGGCAAATCAAGGCAGGTCCAAATTTGATAAAAACGGCAACCCTATAAGTAACCAGGTGGGAAACTTCATGAGGGGGCTGGCCCCAGGCCCCGCTTCAAACTGGGGTAATGCCAGTGGCTTTCCTCGGTCAGATGGAAAGCCCACAGTCCTCTCTCTCAGAGCAGCCACCGCTGGAAGCGCAGGACTGGACTTACTCTGCCCCGACGAATTAATGCTAAAAGAAGGAGAAGACCCTAAAAGGGTTTGCAACTGGGATCTGGGGCCCACTGCCTCTGGGAACAGTGGGATTAGTCCCAGAGCGATCGCGCCTATCCAGTAAAGGAATTAATGTGCTCAATGGGGTAACTGATAGTAATTATCAAGGTCAGATATTACTTACGATGGAATGTAAAGGTCTGCATATTCTTCCCCCGGATCAAAGATAGAACAGTTACTGCTTTCACCATACTGGGTTCCCAACGCCCACAGAAAGGAAAGGGGAAAGGGAACTTATGGAAGTACAGGAGCCATAGGAAAATATTGGAATCAATTAATCACTGATCAGAGACCCATGATTACCTTAAAATTGGAAATAAAAATTTTACTGGCTTATTGGACACAGGGGTGGACATTTCGATTATTAGTGATGAAAACTGGCCAGAAACTTGGCCTTGGGTCACTCAAAAAATTGGGTCACAAACAAAAAATTGTCGGCATCAGGGAAGCATACACAGCTAAGCAGAGCATGTGCCCCCTAACCTGTTGCGATTCAGAGGGAAGAAAGGCAGTTATACAACCTCTAATTATGCCCATCCCTGTTAATCTTTGAGGATGAGATCTATTAGCCCAGTGCGGGGGGTCACTCTGCAGTCCCTTTTCTAATAATGGCCACTGTTATTATCCCTCCGGTACCCCTGACATGGCTCTCTCAAGATCCAATTTGGGTACAACAGTGGCCTTTAAAGGGACAGAAATTACAAAGAGCCTATGAATTAGTTGAGGAGCAATTAAAAACCGGCCATATAGAACCATCAAACAGCCCTTGGAATTCACCCATTTTTGTCATTCCCAAAAAGTCTGGTAAATGGAGACTTTTGCATGACTTACGTGCCATCAATGCTCATTTGCAACCTATGGGGCACCTTCAGCAGGGGCTCCCCTCCCCTGTGGAGATTCCTCGAGATTGGCCTATAATCATTATTGACTTAAAAGACTGCTTTTATACTATTCCCCTTGCAAAGCAGGACAGAAAATTTGTGTTTACAATACCAGCTATCAATAATGAAAGGCCAACTCGCTGATTTCATTGGAAAGTGCTTCCTCAAAGGATGCTAAACAGTCCTACTATGTGTCAAGATCATGTAAATCAGGCTTTGCTCCCCAGTAGAAAAAAATTTCCTAATTGCAAGGTTATTCATTTTATGGATGATATTTTACTAGTAGCCCCAACAGAGCCAGTACTTGTAAATTTACATGCCTCTGTCATAAAGAATACACAGTTAAGAGGTTTAATCATAGCACATGAAAAAGTATAGATGTCTTCTCCTTGGAAATATCTTGGATACATACTAACTTCTTGGTCAGTAAGACCTCAAAAAGCAACTTATACACCTTAAATGATTATCAGAAATTACCAGGTGATATTAACTGCTTTCACCCCACCTTAGGCATAACTACTGATAAGTTACAGAACCTGTTTTCTATCTTAAAACGCAATGCTGCCCTAGACTCTCCTAGGTATTTAACTCCTGCGGCACAAAGGGAAATTGAAGAGATAGAGCAAGCTATTTCTCAGAGGCAACTAGATCGCATAGATCCATGGTACTCAGTTCAATTGTTTGTTTCCACTAAACGTTCCTCTACAGGGTTAATAGGACAGATGACCCCAGGGCTGTGCTTCCTAGAAAGGGTTTTTTGCTCGTATACCGGGACTAAAACACTCTTTCCCTATATCCAGTTCGTCAGTAAAGTCATCTATTCAGGCTGCAGATGACGCAATCAGTTGCTAGGTTATGACCCTGATATCATCAGGATTCCTTTAAGTAAAAAGCAATTCAAAGCAGTATTGCCTTTATCTATGGACGTGCAAATAGCACTCTCTGATTACACAGGCCAAATAGAGCATGCCCTACCTGCTGACAAACTCCTTCAATTCTTATCTCACACTTCTGTGGTTTTGCCTACTAAAATAGTTCAATCCCCCATACCTAACACTTTAACACTGTTTACTGATGGCTCTGGTAAACATGGAAAAGCGGCTGTTTGGTGGATTCTGCATAATTCCCTCACTTGGTCTGGATTTACTAGCACTCAGAGAGCTGAGGTTGGAGCTTTAATACTGGCCTTGGAAACTTTTTCCGCTCAGCCCGTCAATATTGTTAGTGAGTCTGTTTACTCTGTTTGTTTATTGCAGAATCTTGAGACAGCCCTCATTAAGTCCACATTGGAGCCCATCCTGTGTGCACTCTTTCTCCAACTTCAGCATTTGCTAGATCAACATACACATCCTATTTTTATCACACATATTCGAGCCTACAGCTCACTGCCTGGTCCATTGGCATATGGCAATGATCAAGCAGACCTATCAGTTATGACATCACTGCTTGACCAAGCCACCCAATTGCATCAATTTTTCCACCAAAACTGAAGAAACTTATCTAAACAATTTCAACTTACCCAGAGACTAAACAAATTATCCTGCAATGCCCAGATTGCCAGCTCAGTCACGTCCCCTCCTTCCACAGGTGTTAACCCTACAGGACTAGAACCTTATCAGTTACGGCAAACAGACGTTACACACATCCGTGAATTTGGAAAACTTAGATATGTACATGTATCCGTTGATACCAATTCTCACTTAATTAGCACTTATGCCTTTCCTGGAGAGTCCACCCATTATGTCATTAAACATCTTCTTTTAACTTTTGCATTTATGGGGCAGCCCACAAAAATTAAAACTGATAATGGTCCGGCTTATGCCAGCTCACAATTTCAACAATTTTGTCACACGTGGAACATCCAACATTCCAAAGGCATCCCGTATAACCCTAAATACAGGCCATAGAACGTACCCACTCCACCCTTAAAAATATGCTCAGAAAACAAAATAGGAGGAATATGAGTAAGGGCCCTGCAATACTATTGGCACAAGCTTATTTACCCTTAATTTTTAAAATTTAAATGATAAATTTCAATCAGCTGTAGAAAAGCACTTTGCTAAAACCTCTCAAGACATAAAACCTGCTGTTTTATGGAAAGATGTAAACAGTAATGTATGGTGTGGTCCAAGTGAATTGTTAATGTAGGGAAGAGGATATGCTTGTGTTCACACCCCCTCAGGTCCTCTTTGGATTCCAGCACAATGCATCAAACCATACCATGGCATGGGTAGGACCCAACCCGGTACCAGAAATGAAGAAAATGACCCTACAGGACCCACAGCCCCAGATGATGTGGCTTCCTTGGATAACTAAAGCCTCAGACATTACCTGGGGGATGCTGAAGAAGACAACTTAGGAGGCTGAACGAATCCTGCTCCGGACACAGACACCATTCACTCCAGATAATGTGTTCCTTGCTATGCTCTCTGTTGTACACTGCAACTCATGTAGGGTATTGATCCTTTTTATGCTCTTGCTTTGTCCGCAACCTGTACCTGCTATACTCTGTTGGACTCATATCTTAGATCTGCCTTTCTTCGCCCTGTCACCTGGGCAGACACCCCCTTTCCACCCTCTAAAACCATAACTGCTTGGCTGGGAGGGACAGATTTACCCCCAGTGGGGTCCCTCATTAATAGCACACATTGGACTAAAGTGCCTGGTAACACTACATATCACTCCACTATCCTGCCACTGTGTGTAGTTACAAAAGTTCTAACCCTTACCCTTACTGTGTACCTGCCCCAAATACAATTATGGCTACATCATGGCAAAGGAAATGCCTTAACATTCTTAGCTGCAGGTAGCCTTAAACCGGGCAACGCAATCAATGCCACTTTCCCAAACATTCCTCCCAGTGCTAAAGAACAAAGCCTGGAAAGTAATGGATTCCACTTTAGCTGGGAGGTCTGTCATGGGGGACAAGCCCATAGCTTCTAGTTAGGCAATTGTAACATCTTAGACTGGAGCCCCCACAGCCATTTGCAGGGCGATCATACTGATGTCCGCGTCTATCATGGCATCAATGACAGTTTTGAAGCCACTTCCCGTTCCCCTATAATTTGGGCTGATAGGAAAATGTGACATCCCAGACCTCAAGTAAAGTCCATACCACCTGAAGACACTTTATGGTGCCTGGGACATCTTAGCACCCCCCTTAACACCTGGCATGGGACATATCAAAATTCCAGTCACAATTATACTATGATGTTTTTTCATAATCACACTGATCAGTGCTTGACTTGCACTACCCATGCATATGTTTTCCCTTATGGGAACCAATATTTCTATTACACTCCAAAACTCCACATTTGTGACCCGAGTGCAGGGACAGGCTTGGTTTGCCTCTGTATCTCTAATTATAATATATCTAATTTAAATATTACCAGCATCATGGTATTGAGGAGACAATCTGAGGCTTTTCTGCCAGTCAATTTAATATATGATTGGCAAAGTTCCTCTACCCTTGCCAACTTAGAACGTGCCCTGTCCCAGTTCAGACACAAAAGATTCATAGTTACACTTATAGCCTTTATAGTCTCAGCCATAGTCATCCTAGCAATGCTAGCGTGGCTGTAGCATCTATTACTGAATCAATACAAACAGCTACTTTTATAGATAATTTGGCAGAAATGTGTCTAATGAACTTCTCTTACAGCAGGGTATAGATCAAAAGATTCTTGCATGTCTGCAAGCCCTCGAGGCTGCCTTGGAAGATGTGGGGGAGTGACAAGATGCACTGGTATTCTGACAGCAATTAAACTGTGACTGGGAGCATAAGGATAACTGTGTCACTTCTCTACCTTGGAATCAATCAATACATAGTTGGGATGAGGTGAAACCACCTCTGGAGAACCTTTCATGACAATTTAACAGCAGACATAAAGCAACTCAAAACTAAAATTCTAGAATCCCTAAATGCCATAGATCTACATGCCCAACAAACAGCCATATGGAAGGGTGTGCGAGATCATCTCTCCTGGAAAGACCCCCGTTCCTGGGGGCCACTCCTTCATTGGAAAAGAACGTTGCTAATTATACTCATGTTTGCTTATGTTATTTACTAATTCTAGGATGCAAAGCCAGAATATGAGCAATGACCACCACGCCTGACAAACCTGTTCCTGCACAAATCTGTACTCTTCAATCAACAAAACCTGATGCAAAAAACAGAAAAAGGGGGAGATGTAGGAGATCGGTCAGGGTGGTGGGAAAAATTGTAGAAAGATGCAAACCTTCTTGAAAGGCTGGGAGGTTTTACAAAAGCTTTGGGAAAGGATTTGGCTGAAGGCAGCCAGATTCTCTAATCCAGTGCCTGAAAGCTTAGGTTAGATAACAAGGGGATGTAAAGAAACTGCTCTAGATAAGTTAGTTTACTTAGGCCTCGGAACCTGGCCTTTAATCATCTGCACACAGGACTGCTCTCTCTGAGTTGGGGGTTGGGGGGTGGGGGGATGACCCACAAGTGTGTTGACTCAGGCCTTTGTCATTGAATCTGTACTGAATAAATGCCTGCAGCACCAGTGGGTCAGGGCCACGGCTGCTGACTCTTTACAGCACCCTCCTCAGGGTCTGTAAACGGCCAGGTCTCCTAGCCCGCTCTTTCACTGGATACTTGTGTCTGAGTGTATTCTTTCATCCATCGTTCAGCCAGGGTCTGCAGGTCGGACCTGGCACTTGGCAAAGTACTTTATCTAGTGTGTCACCATATGTCACTTTTATTAATTAACTTATCAATGTCCTTTATGGCATTTCCCCATCTCCAGTACAGGTTTCAGTCTAGGGTCAGGTATGGCATTTTGTTGTCATTTCTCTTTAGCCTCCTTTAATCTGGCTTTCACGATGTTGATTCCCCCATCTGACCCCACTCCACCATTACCCACCACCAATACCCTTTTTTGTTCCTCACAAATTTGTGTCATCTTCGTGCAGGGCAATGCTAATCTTCTCTATGTCATTTCAATTTTTCACATATCTGCTGCCAAAGCAAGCACCACGCACCATTTTTGTTTGAATTGCATGTTCCTCATTGTGTGTTTGTCTCATATTTCCTCATGGTCAGATTACATAATTTCAACCTGAATACTGTCCTATCCAGGGTGTCACATCAAGAGCCACACAATGTCATCTGTACTGCAGAAATGAGGTTAATTTTGATCACCTGGTCAAAAAGTGTTACACGGTTTCTACTTGGTCTCATTACCGTTTTGGTTTTTTTCTCCCTCACAACTAATAAGAAACTAATAATATGTGGGGATCACTTTAAGATTATGCGGATACCCTAACCATGACTATTGTGAGCGTACCTTTCCCATGCCAAGCACTGTGCATTCCAGATGTGGTCTCTTCCCATCCTAGGAGGGCTCCTTCATTTCTCACGACCACAAACCCATCTTCTCTTGGCTTGAAGCACTCTCTTGGACGCACTGTATCAAGAGCAGGATCAGATCTGAGGTTGCTAATGCTGTGATTAGGAAGCTGCAGATGGAACTGGAGCAGAGAAAAAGAGAAAAAGAAGACATGTTAATGAGGGGGTCCCATCAAGAGGAGGAAACTGTCTTCAGAATCCTGGCTCAGCTCCAGGAAAGGGAGAAACAGACTCGAAGGGCTGGGAGGTCAGGGACTTAGAGTCACTGAGTCATACTAGTGAGACTTGGCCTTGTTCTGTGAAACTGAGCCCCTGGCTTCCCACACTCTGTGGGGCCAGCAGCCTGGGCACTTTTCTCTGCAGGGTTGTCAGTGGGCAGTGGTAACCCAGAACATCTGAGGAACAATACCCTTTAGAGCAAAGCCAGTGGCTGCCAAGGCTTTTAAAAAGACCAAAAAATCCAACACCCTCATGACAAAGAAAAACAGGCCCCAACTTTAATTGCTTCAGAGCCCCAGAAGGGCCATTTGAACTGCTGTCCAGACCCCAAACTGTGCACAGCCATTCCAGAACAAAGCAGATGCCAAGGGGCCTGACAGAATTGAGCTGTGCTGGAAGCACACAACCATGCAACCATTCACTGAGAAATTCTACCCAGGACCCAGGCAGCCAGGTTTTCATCCAGCTCTTCTGCAAAGGATAGCAAAGAATCAAATAAAGGAGTCTTCATTATTAAATTCTATTGTATGGACCCCAAATAGGCTTAAAAGATGTCTCTTTGATAGGCAGGTCCCTGAGGAAGAGCTACCACGGAGCATGATGAGGGGTTTCTGCCAAGTTGGGAAGGTGTCCTAGAAGGCAACAATTCTGTCCATCTGTCCATCCATCCATCCATCCACCCATCCACCTATCCGTCTGTCCATCCATCCATCCACCCGCCCACCCATCCATCTGTCCATCCGTCCGTCCATCCATCCATCCATTCGTTCTTTCATTCATTCAACCAATGAATATTTCTTTAGTAGCTACTATGTGCCTAGAGACCCAGGACACTGAGCTGGAGATGAAGTGGGAAGACAATGCCCCAATAATAAAAGAGAAAACTTCTGTCCTCATAGGGTGAATAGGGAAAATCTTTACTTTTCCTGTCATTGAGGAAATATATAGCCCTTAAGATCTTTGTAAATATAGAATCTAGACTCTTCTGAAAGAAAAAAACCTTTCTTTCCTTTCACTCTAGGAAAAGAAAAATAAAGAAACATGAGCTGACATTCATTAGAATCCACTAAAAGGTGGAATTTCACTTTGACATTGAGCTTTAGAACCAGCACACCACAGACCCCAGAGTGATTCCACACTTTTCTATGCCCTCTGTCTTGAGCTTGTAAAAATAGGTCAGGTAAGTGTGAAATGCCCAGAGGCTGTAAAAGGCTGGAAAGAAGCTCACAGGCCAGCCTACCTGGGGACAGAGGATTAGGATGTGAGTGTGTGTTCCAGGACAAGAGCACCTGTCTCCCCAGAGGGCCCCTCACAGCCTGAGGAGGGCCATTTGCCTGAGCAATGTCCCAGTGCAAGGAATGGTTGGGTGCCTCTGCAGTCTTACGCCAGGAGACTTTGGGGGAACAGGAGCAGCAGGGCTCTTCCTGAGCCAGTGTGCAGGCTTCTGGGGACAGTTGAGATTTCTGCTGTATAAGGAATTAAATGGTTGGCACCTCACTCACCCATTGAAAATGCGCCCCAAGATGATACTGAAATGTTGGGCTGGGGGTTTCTCCTGGTACAGAAAAATCCAGTGACTAGATGGTGCACTGCAGGGAGAGGCAGCAGAGGAAGAAGCCCTGTCTGGAAGCCATTTCTGCAGGATGGAAGTGTGGTGTCTCGTAGCCCGACGTCTCCTGGAGGGCAGGGACCCCACTCACAGCCAAACTTATGGACCAGAGTTCCCTCAGGGATGGGGAAGTCCTCATTCTTTTAGTAATTCTCTATAAGGAGTAAGGAAATTGTGAGGGTGCCTTCTTCTGCCCCTCCCTCCCCCTCCTCCCCTGGCTCTTCTGCCTCCTGCCACAGTCATTGGCAAGTCTTTCCCTGAGGTATTTCAAGAATTGCTAATCCAAGTGACTGGTTCCATTTCCAACCCAGCTGATACCCATGACGTTTTGGAGCGAGTGAAGCACACCTGAAGCCTAGTCCCCTTGTGAGGTTCCTACTGCCCACCAGTGTAGGACATGGCCAGGAATGACAAAACAAGCCAGCAAATCACCAAAGAGGCCAAAATCGATGTCACAAAATGTTTCACTTGTTTTATTTATTTATACCCAACCTATTTTCAGAAAAAGCCTCAGAGTAACTTTAATTTATTCACATGTAAAATCTCCATTTGGAACCCATTTACACTAACTTTACACATAATTCTAATAAGTTTTCTAAGCTCTTAAATATAAAAAGCAGCAAATAATTAAATGTGGGAGAAGCTACTACAGACAGATAAACTGATAACAGCAGGAAATGACAAGTGCCAACAAGAGGGGAGACAGAAAAACTGAAATAGTCCCCAGAACTCAAAACCAACAGCCTGGGCCCATTTAGTGTGGGGTTAAATAACCCTTAGACTCTTACACCTAATCTAGACTGGGCCACTTATTGATATTTTCAGTGATGACCCCAAGTCTCTAAGAGGAGGTAAAATTATGTTCACTTTAAGGAAGTTGAAATGTATTTGTTTAGAAAGATTTTTGTCTTAAGTCACTAAAATTTTTAAGTTTTGTGTATACATGATTGAATTTTCAAGTACTTGGAGACTTAGTCATCTAGAATGACTCACAGCATGAAGTTCAAACAAGCCTGGGTAGCAGGTTTTCAGTGTGAACACAGGTGTGTTTGGGGTTTTAATCAGTTGACTCTTGGTACAAATTATACTTCCCATCTTGAAAGGGGTAATTTGGGGCTCAACATAGACCTTCCTTGCTATTAATGCAAATAGCATTAATATGATTCACACAGCAGTGAATCAGAACCACAAGGACCAAATGTTTCACCTGGAATCTATACAGGCATATAAACAAGTGACCAAATGGATTTGGTGCCTCCCCAAATTAAAAAGAGAATTTGGAAATATAACTCAAGGTGTTTTGTCTAAATTCCAAGGCTGTCAAAATTTTTATTTTTGATTTGGTTGGTTACATCCTAAACCCCTGGAACTGGGTGGCTGTAGGGTACAGCAGCCACTAGTCTTTGGCTGCCAAGAATCTCCCTTGTTACTTGGAAGAAATCCTGGTGGAAAGATGGGCTGTACTTCTCCCTACAGAAGCCAGAGGGGCCCAAGTATCTCTCCTAGCACGGAAAGAATGCGGCCATGTGACCCAGGATTGGCCTTGGCCTTTGAATCCACAGGAAGTAGTAGTTGTTCATGACATCTATACTATTTTAATAAGATAGACTGGGAGTGTCAGAGTAGGGGGAAATGACTGCCCTTGGAAAAAAAAAAGGATCCTGCAGGACAGACTTTGATGTGTGTGTGTCGCATGTGTGTAGTATGCGGTGTGTGTGTATGTGTGCATGCATGAACGTGCTTGTGTTTGCTTGACAGAAGGATTTCTAGTGTCATACCTTGGGGTATGGGTGGTGAGACAAAGCAAATAGAGACAGTGGGACCAGAAGAGACTCTGTATCTGCCCTAATATTGATATACTATGGTAAGACAAGGGCTGGGCCCAGTGACACAAAAGGCAAACATATTTAACAATAACAATTAAGATATCTTATATTTTTAACACTTCGTATGTCCCAAGTCCTGTGCTAAGGAATTAGCATGAATTATCTCAATTAATACTCATTAACATATGTGATGTAGCCTGTTTATACCCCCATTTCACAGCATCAGTCATGACTGTTTTATTGCCTAATTCAGGGGTCATTTTTAAGTCCTCATTCTGATGTTTAACCTCTCCTTTGGATGTTTGCCTACTTTGTTTTCCAGGACACCATATTATTCTTGTTCCTGCTTTCTGGTCATTGCTCTATTTTCTCTGTGGTCTACACTCTGCTCTCATCATGTATGTGGGGTTCCATCCTAAGCCTTCACACTCTCTGTAAATGATCCCATAATTTATAGTACCACCTATACATTAATGATGCTCAAGAATAGTAAATGTCAGTTACTATTCTTGAATGGTTTCTATGTTCCAGGTTTTTTTCTAAGTAGTTTAGATGTAATAGTTCACTTGACGTTCAACATCATGAGGTAATTCCTATTATCATTCTGATTTTATAGATGAAGAAACTGAGGTACTGAGGCTCCTCATGGTCACAAGCTACCAAGTGGTGGAGACAGAATTCTAACCAGGTGGTTCATCTCAAGAGCTTGAGTAAAGGACCCAAGGTTGAGGGCCTTCTTTAAGAAAAAGAACACAAAATTACAAATGAAAATTAAGTAGAAAAGTGAATATTAAGAATGGGAATAGAAATCATAACACATTATAAATTTGAAATTGCTAATAGAGGTTTCCACTTTTGGTTAAGATGGAATAACAGACCACGTTTACATCTTACCTGAAACAGCCAAAAACAACATCCAAAAAAGTGAAAAGAATATATAATCCAGTGATTTTTCAAGACAGTGGTTATCAAGTTACAAAGGACAGTGATCACAAAGAAATAAGAAACAAATAAAATAAATCTTATAATTACTCTTACTTTATTGAGCATTTCCAGGCTGTAGAGCAAAGAAGAAAATTCCAAATGGAACCTGGTGTACTCCTTGAATTGAACAGGCTGAACTGAGAGTCTGTGAAGTCCAAAGCAGCTAGAGTTCATAGATGGACTGCTGGGGAGGAAAGAGCTCCACAGAGAAGGAATTCCAGAGATCTGCAGAGGGCTGCCCTTGTGTATTGGCAGAGTACTAATCAGTGCATGTGTATGAGAAAACTACACAGGGCCAAAGAAAGAATCACCCAAAAGGATATCTAGTGTTTGTACAGGGCCAAGAATAGTATTTCTTTCTACCAGCCATATTGGAAACCATCAGAATTCTCAAAGCATTAGGTAGAATACTCAGAAATGTATAGTCTCTGTGGTGGGAAGTAGTTAGCTCTAGAAAAAACCATGGTCTTCCCTAATGTTAAAAAAAAATCTTGAAAGATGGCTGAGTAGGAATAGCTCTGGTCTGCAGCTCCCAGCGAGACTGACGCAGAAAGTGAGTGATTTCTGCATTTCCAATTGAGGTACCTGATTCATCTCATTGGGACTGGTTGGACAGTGAGTGCAGCCCATGGAGAGCGAGCCGAAGCAGGGTGGGGCATCTCCTTACCCAGGAAACGCAAAGGGTCAGGGAATTCTCTCTCCAACCCAAAGGAAGCTGTGAGACTGTGCATGAGGAACGGTGCACTCCGGCCCAGATACTGCGCTTTTCCCAGTCTTCGCAACCCACAGACCAGGAGATTCCCTCTGGTGCCTATGCCACCAGGGCCCTGGGTATCAAGCACAAAACTGGGTGGCTGTTTGGGCAGACACCAAGCTAGCTGCAGGAGATTTTTTTTGTTTTCCCATACCCAGTGGTGCCTGGAATGCCAGCGAGACAGAACCATTCACTCCCCTGGAAAGGGGGCTGAAGCCAGGGAGCCAAGTGGTCTGGCTCGGCGAGTCCCACCCTCACGGAGCCCAGCAAGCTAAGATCCACTAGCTTGAAATTCTCGCTGCCAGCAAAGCAGTCTGAGGTTGACCTGGGATGCTTGAGCTTGGTGGGGAGACGGGCATCTGCCAATGCTGAGGCCTGAGTAGGCAGTTTTACCCTCACAGTGTAAACAAAGCCACCAGGAAGTTTGAACTGGGCGGAGCCCACCACAGCTCAGCAAGGCTGCTGTGGCCAGACTGCCTCTCTAGATTCCTCCTCTCTGGGCAGGCTATCTCTGAAAAAAAGGCAGCAGCGCCAGTCAGGGACTTAGAGATATAACCCCCATCTCCCTGAGACAGAGCACCTGGGGAAAGGGGAGGCTGTGGGTGCAGCTTCAACAGACTTAAATGTTCCTACCTGATGGCCCTGAAGAGATCAGTGGATCTCCCAGCACAGTGTTCGAGCTCTAATAAGGGTCAGACTGTCTCCTCAAGTGGGTCCCTGACCCCCGTGTATCCTGACGGGGAGACACCTCCCAGTAGGGGCTGACAAACACCTCCTACAGGAGAGCTCTGGCTGGCATCTGGCGGCTGCCCCTCTGGGACAAAGCTTCCAGAGGAAGGAATAGGCAGCAATCTTTGCTGTTCTTCAGCCTATGCTGGTGATACCCAGGCAAATAGGGTCTGGAGTGGACCTCCAACGAACTCCAGCAGACCTGCAGCAGAGGGACCTAACTGTTAGAAGGAAAACTAAAACAGAAAGGACTAGCATCAACATCAACAAAAAGGACATCCACTCAGAGACCCCATCTGAAGGTCACCAACATCAAAGACCAAAGGTAGGTAAATCCACGAAGATGGGGAGAAACCAGCAGAAAAAGGCTGAAAATTCCAAAAACCAGAATGCCTCTTCTCCTCCAAAGGATCACAACTCCTCGCCAGCAAGGAAACAAAACTGGATGGAGAATGAGTTTGATGAATTGACAGAAGTAGGCTTCAGAAGGTGGGTAATAACAAACTCCTCCGAGCTAAAGGAGCACCTTCTAACCCAATTCAAGGAAGGTAAGAGCCTTCAAAAAAGGTTAGATGAATTGCTAACTAGAATAACCAGTTTAGAGAAGAACATAAATGACCTGATGAAGCTTGAAAAACACAGCACAAGAACTTTGTGAAGGATACACAAGTATCAATAGCTGAATCGGTCAAGCAGAAGGAAGGATATCAGAGATTAAAGATCAACTTAACAAAATAAAGTGAGAAGACAAGATTAGAGAAAAAAGAATGAAAAGGAACAAACAAAACCTCCAAAAAATATGAGACTCTGTGAAAAGACCAAATCTACGTTCGATTGGTGTACCTGAAAGTGACGGGGAGAATGGAACCAAGTTGGAAAACACTCTGCAGGATATTATCCAGGAGAACTTCCCCAACCTAGCAAGATAGGCCAACATTCAAATTCAGGAAATACAGAGACCACCACAAAGATACTCCTTGAGAAGAGCAACCCCAAGACACATAATCATCAGATTCACCAAGGTTGAAGTGAAGGAGAAAATGTTAAGGGCAGCCAGAGAGAAAGGTTGGGTTACCCACAAAGGCAAGCCCATCAGACTAACAGCAGATGTCTCTGCAGAAACCCTACAAGCCAGAAGAGAGTGGGGGTCAGTATTCAACATTCTTAAAGAAAAGAATTTTCAACCCAGAATTTCATATCCAGCCAAACTAAGCTTCATAAGTGAAGGAGAAATAGAATCCTTTACAGACAAGCAAATGCTGAGAGATTTTGTCACCACCAGGCCTGCCTTACAAAAGCTCCTGAAGGAAGCACTAAACATGGAAAGGAACAACTGGTACCAACCACTGCAAAAACATGCCAAATTGTAAAGACCATCAACACTGTGAAGAAACTGCATCAACTAATGGGCAAAATAACCAGCTAGCATCATAATGACAGGATCAACTTCACACATAACAATATTAACCTTAAATGTAAATGGGCTAAATGCCCCAATAAAAAGACAAAGACTGGCAAATCAGATAAAGAGTGAAGACCCATTGGTGTGCTGTATTCAGGAGACCCATCTCACGTGCAAAGATACACATAGGCTCAAAATAAAGGGATGGAGGAAAATTTACCAAGCACATGGAAAGCCAAAAAAAAAAAAAAAAGCAGGGGTTGCAATCCTAGTTTCTGATAAAACAGACTTTAAACCAACAAAGATCAAAAGAGACAAAGAAGGCCATTACACAATGGTAAAGGGATCAATTCAACAAGAAGAGCTAACTATCAAATATATATGCACCCAATACAGGAGAACCCAGATTCATAAAGCAAGTTCTTAGAGACCTACAAAGAGACTTAGACTCCCACAAAATAATAGTGGGAGACTTTAACACCCCACTGTCAATATTAGACAGATCAACAAGACAGAAAATTAACAAGAATATTCAGGACTTGAACTCAGCTCTGGACCAAGCAGACCTAATAGACATCTACAGAACTCTCCACCCCAAATCAACAGAATATACATTCTTCCCAGCACCTCATCGCACTTATTCTAAAATTGACCACATGATTGGAAGCAAACCACTCCTCAGCAAATGCAAAAATGGAAATCATAACGAACAGTCTCTCAGACCACAGTGCAATCAAACTAGAACTCAGGATTAAGAAACTCACTCAAAACCACACAACTACATGGAAACTGAAAAAACCTGCTCCTGAATAACTACTGGGTAAATAACGAAAGAAGGCAGAAATGAAGATGTTCTTTGAAGCCAATGAGAACAAAGACACAATGTACCAGAATCTCTGGGACACATTTAAAGCAGTGGTTAGAGGGAAATTTATAGCACTAAATGCCCACAAGAGAAAGCAGGAAAGATCTAAAATTGACACCCTAACATCAAAATTAAGAGAACTAGAGAAGCAAGAGCAAACAAATTCAAAAGCTAGCAGAGGACAAGAAATAACTAAGATGAGAGCAGAACTAAAGGAGATAGAGACACGAAAAACCTTCAAAAAAAAAAAAAATCAATGAATCCAGGAGCCGGTTTTTTGAAAAGATCAACAAAATAGATAGACCACTAGCCAGACTAAGAAAGAAGAAAAGAGAGAACACTCAGATAGACATGATAAAAAATGATAAAGGGGATATCACCACTGATCCCACAGAAAAACAAACTACCATCAGAGAATACTATAAATACCTCTATGCAAATAAACTAGAAAATCTAGAAGAAATGGATAAATTCCTGGACACATACACCCACCCAAGTCTAAACCAGGAAGAAGTCAAATCCCTGAATAGATCAATAACAAGTTCTGAAATTGAGGCAGTAATTAATAGCCTACCAACCAAAAAAAAGTCCAGGACCAGACAGATTCACAGCTGAATTCTACCAGAGGTACAAAGAGGAAATGGTACCATTCCTTCTGAAACTATTCCAAACAATAGAAAAAGAGGGAATCCTCCCTACATCATTTTATGAACCCAGCATCATCCTGATACCAAAACCTGGCAGAGACACAAGAAAAAAAGAAACTTTCAGGCCAATATTCCTGAGGAACACTGATGCGAAAATCCTCAATAAAATACTGTCAAATCAAATCCAGCAGCACATCAAAAAGCTTATCCACCACAATCAAGTCAGCTTCATCTCTGGGATGCAAGGCTGGTTCAACATTTGCAAATCAAGAAACATAATCCATCACATAAACAGAACCAATGATAAAAACCACATGATTATCTCAATAGATGCAGAAAAGGCCTTTGCAAAATTCAACAGCCCTTCATGCTAAAAACTCTGAATAAACTAGGTATTGATGGAACATATCTCAAAATAATAAGAACTATTTATGACAAACCCACAGCCAATATCATACTGAATGGGCAAAAACTGGAAGCATTCCCTTTGAAAACTGGTACAAGACAAGGATGCCCTCTCTCACCACTTCTATTCAACATAGTATTGGAAATTCTGGCTAGGGCAATCAGGCAAGAGAAAGAAATAAAGGGTACTCAATTAGGAAAGGAGGAAGTCAAATTGTCTCTGCAGATGACATGATTGTATATTTAGAAAACCCCACTGTCTCAGCCCAAATTCTCCTTAAGCTGATAAGCAACTTCAGTAAAGTCTCAGGATACAAAATCAATGTGCAAAAATCACAGGCATTCCTATACACCAATAACAGACAGAGAGCCAAATCATGAGTGAACTCCCACTCACAATTGCTACAAAGAGAATAAAATACCTAGGAATACAATTTACATGGGATGTGAAGGACCTCTTCAAGGAGAACTACAAACCACTGCTCAATGAAATAAGAGAGGACACAAATAAATGGAAGAACATTCCATGCTCATGGATAGGAAGAATATCGTGAAAATGGCCATACTGCCCAAAGTAATTTATAGTTTCAATGGTATCTCCATCAAGCTACTATTGACTTTCTTCACAGAATGGAAAAAAACTACTTTAAACTTCATGTGGAACCAAAGAAAGGGCCTGTATAGCTAAGACAATCCTAAGCAAAAAGAACAAAGCTGGAGGCATCACGCTACCTGACTTCAAACTATACTACAAGGCTACAGTAACAAAAACAGCATGGTACTGGTACCAAAACAGAGATATAGACCAATGGAACAGAACAGAGGCCTCAGAAATAACACCACACATCTACAATCACTTGATCTTTGACAAATCCGACAAAAACAAGAAATGGGGAAAGGATTCACTATTTAATAAATGGTGCTGGGAAAACTGGCTAGCCATATGCAGAAAACTGAAACTGGACCCCTTCCTTACACCTTATACAAAAATTAACTCAAGATGGATTAAAGACTTAAACATAAGACCTAAAACCATAAAAATCCTAGAAGAAATCCTAGGCAATTCCATTCAGGACATAGGCATGGGAAAAGACTTCATGTCTAAAACTCCAGAAGCAATGACAACAAAAGCCAAAATTGACAAAAGGGATCTAATTAAACTAGAGCTTCTGCACAGCAAAAGAAACTATCATCAGAGTGAATAGGCAACCTACAGAATGGGAGAAAATTTTTGCAATCTAAGCATCTGACAAAGGGCTAATATCCAGAATCTACAAAGAATTAAACAAATTTACAAGAAAAAAACAAACGACCCCATTAAAAAGTGGGCAAAGGATATGAACAGACACTTCTCAAAAGAAGACATTTATGCAGCCAAAAAGCACATGAAAAAAAGCTCATCATCACTCATCATTAGAGAAATGCAGATTAAACCACAATGAGATACCATCTCACACCAGTTAGAATGGCAATCACTAAAAAGTCAGGAAACAATAGATGCTGGAGAGGATGTGGAGAAATAGAAACACTTTTACACTGTTGGTGGGAGTGTAAATTAGTTCAACCATTGTGGAAGACAGTATGATGATTCCTCAAGGATCTAGACTAGAAATACGATTTGACCCAGCAATCCCATTACTGGGTATATACCCAAAGGATTATAAATCATTCCACCATAAAGACACATGCACACATATGTTTATTGCAGCACTATTCACAATAGCAAAGAGTTGGAACCAACCCAAATGTCCATCAATGATAAACTGGATAAAGAAAATGTGGCACATATACACCATGGAATAATATGCATCCATAAAAAAGGATGAATTCATGTCCTTTACAGGGACATGGATGAAGCTGGAAACCATCATTCTCAGTAAACTAACACAAGAACAGAAAACCAAACACTGCATATTCTCACTCATAAGTGGGAGCTGAACAATGAGAACACATGGACACAGGGAGGGGAACATCGCACACTGGGGCCTGTAAGGGGGGTTTAGGGGGACAGGGGAGGGATAACATTAAGAGAAATACCTAATGTAGGTGATGGGTTGATGGGTGCAGCAAACCACCATGGCACATGTATACCTACATAACAAAACTGCATGTTCTGCACATGTACCCCAGAACTTAAAGTATAATTAAAAAAAAAAAACACACAACACACAAATCCAAAGGAGAAAAAAAATCTTAAGAACTCAAAATGACTGGCATCTAATAAATTACCAGGTATATAAAGCAGAGGGAAAATATGACTTATAATAATGAGAAAACCAATTGAAATTGACCCAGAACTCATATAGATGTTAGAATTGATAGGTAAAGACATAAAAACAGTTTTTTTAATGACTGCATTACATATGTTTATAATAGTAAATAGAGACATGAAAGATATTTTAAAAAATCAAATTGAATCTCTAGAGATGAAAACTCTCATTTCTTTTCTATAAAAGTCCATTAGAGGGAATTAATGGTAAATTAGACACTGCAGAAGAAAAGCTGCATGGAGACTATACTACTGCACTTACCTAGAAACAGAGTCTCCACACCCTTCCTAACCAACCCACTAAGATTCAACTGTAGGTGAAAGTCTTTCTCTATGAAAGCCACTCTAGATAGATTGGAAGAGGCAATTCCACCAGATGCACAGACTTCAATGCAGAGACATAAGAAACATGAAAAAACAAAGAATTATGACACTACAAAGGAACGTAATAAATCTTTAGTAACAGACCCCAATAAAAAAAAATTGACAAATTGCTGGAAACGATTTTCAAAATGATGATCTTAAGGAAACTCAAAATGGGATACAAGAAAATACAGATAGACAATTGGAAAGACAATGAAATCATGAAAACAATTTATGTTATGAACAAGAAATTCAACAAAGAAATAGATAACATACAAAAGCCAAAACAGAAATTTTATAGCTGAAAAATTCAATAAATAAAATAAAAAATACAATCAAGAGGTTCTGCAGCAGACTTGATCAAGCAGAAGAAAGTGTCCCTGAACTTGAAGATAGATTGTTTGGAATTGCCCAGCTAGAGAAAAAAAAAAAAAAAAAAAGAAATAAGAATAAAAATAGAGAACAAAGCCTATAAGACTTATGGGACAGCAAATTTAAAAGAATTTAAATTATATCCAGTATATTTTCTGACCACAATGGAATAAAATTAGAAATCAATAACAAGAGGAACTTTTGAAACTGTACAAATACATGGAAATTAACATGTTTCTGAAAGACCAAGGGGTAAATGAAGAAATTAAGAAGGAAATTTAAAAATTTCTTAAATGAAAATAGAAATACAACATAACAACCTATGGGATACAGCAAAAGCAGTATGAAGAGGGAAGTTTATAGTAATAAATGCCTACATCAAAAAAGTAGAATAATTTCAAATAAGCAACTTAATGATGCATCTCAAGGAACTAGAAAAGCAAGAACAAACCAAACCCCAAATAAGTAGAAGGAAAGAAAGAATAAAGATCAGAGTATAAATTTCTAAAAATTGAAATGCTTTTACACTGTTGGTGGGAGGTAAATTAGTTCAACCATTGTGGAAGACAGTGTGGCGATTCCTCAAGGATCTAGAACTAGAAATACCATTTGACCCAGCAATCCCATTACTGGGTATATACACAAAGGATTATAAATCATTCTACTATAAAGACACATGCACATGTATGTTTATTACGCCACTATTCACAATAGCAAAGACTTGGAACCAACCCAAATGTCCACCAATGATAGACTGGATTAAGAAGATGTGGTACATATACACCATGGAATAGTATGCAGCCATAAGAAAGGATGAGTTCATGTCCTTTGTAGGGACGTGGATGAAGCTGGAAACTACCATTCTCAGAAAACTATCACCAGGACAGTAAACCAAACCCCACGTGTTCTCACTTATAGGTGAGAATTCAACAATGAGAACACCTGGACACAGGGCGGGCGAAACATCACACACTGGGGCCTGTGGGGGGTGGTGGGGGGAGCAGGAGGAGGGATAGTATTAGAAGAAATACCTAATGTAAATGACGAGTTGATGGATGCAGCAAACCACCATGGCACATGTATACCTATGTAACAAACCTGCACATTGTGCACATGTACCCTAGAACTTAAAGTATAATTTAAAAAAATTGAGACAAAAATACAAAATATTAAAAAAGTGAAAAGTTGCTTTTTAAAAACATAGAAATAAACCATTAGCTAGACTAACCAAGAAAAAAGAGAAAAGATCCAAATAAATAAAAACAGAAACATTTACAACTGATACCACAGAAATACAAAGGATCATTAGAAACTATTACAAACAACTATATGCCAGAAAATTGGAAAACCTAATAGAAATAGATGAATTCCAGGAAACATACAACTTACTAAGATTGAACCAAGATGAAATAGAAGGCCTAAACAGACTAATTACAAGAAACAAGGTTGAATTAGTAATAAAAGGTCTCCAATCAAAGAAAAGCCCAGGACCTCATGGTTTCATTGATGAATTCTATCAAACTTTTAAAGCAGAAGTAATACCAATTCTTCTCAAACTCTTCCAGAAAATTGAAGAGGAGGAAATTCTTTCAAACTCATTCTATGAGGCTAACACTACTCTGATACAAAAACAGACAAGTACACAACAAAAAAAGAGAAAATCATAGGCCAATATCCCTAATGAACATAGATGCAAAATACTCAACAAAACACTAGCAAACTGAATCCAGCAGTACATTAACATGGTCGTTCATCATGACCAAGTGGGATTTATCCCAGGGAGGTGAGGATGGTTCAACATTTGTGAATCAATAAACATGATACATCACATCAACAGAATGAAGGACAAAGCCATATGATAATTTCAATAGATGCAGAAAATGCATTAAGTAACATTCAAGATCCTTTGATAATAAAAATTCCCAATAAACAGGTATAGAAGGAGTGTATCTCAACACAATGAAGGCCATATATGACAAACCCACAGGTAACATTATAGTGAAAAGCTTTTAGCTTTTTCTCTAAGAACCGAAACAAGACAAAAATGCCCACTCTCGCCACTCTTATTCAACATAGAACTGGAAGTCCTAGCCAGAGCAATTAGGCAAGGAAAAGAAATAATGGGCATCTAAATAAAAAAGGAGAGAGTAAAAATATCCCTATTTGCAGATGACATTATTTTATATCTAGAAAACCCTAAAAGCTTCACAAAATACTCTTAGAACTGATAAACAGATTCGGTAAAGTTTCAGGATAAAAAAAAATCAATGTACAAAAATCAGCAGCTTTTCTATATACCAACAATGAACCTGAGGAAAAATAAATCCAGAAAGTAATCTCATTTACAATATCTACAAAAAAAATACCTAGGAATAAATTCAACCAGGGAGGTAAAATCTCACTACAAAGAAAACTATCAAACACTTATGAAAGAATTGAAGAGGTAACAAAAAAATAGAAAAGCATCCCACGTTCATGGATTGGAAAAACTAAAATTGTGAAAAATTATTATACTACCAAAAGCGATGTACACATTCAATGCAATCCCTATCAAAATACCAATGACATTCTTCACATAAATAGAAAAACAATCTTTTTTTTTTTTTTTTTGAGACGGAGTCTCACTCTTTCGCCCAAGCTGGACTGCAGTGGCGCTATCCCGGCTCACTGCAAGTTCCGCCTCTTGGGTTCATGCCATTCTCCTGCCTCAGCCTCCCGAGTAGCTGGGATTACAGGCGCCCACCACCACGCCCGGCTAATTTTTTGTATTTTTAGTAGAGACGGGGTTTCACCGTGTTAGCCAGGATGGTCTCGATCTCCTGACCTCGTGATCCGCCCGCCTCGGCCTCCCAAAGTGCTGGGATTACAAGCGTGAGCCACCGCGCCCAGCCGAAAAACAATCTTAAAATTCATATGGAATTACAAAAGGTCTCAAATAGCCAAAGCAATCCTAGCAAAATGAACAAGGCTGAAGGAGTCACACTTCCTGATATCAAAATGTACTACAAAGTTATAGTAATCCAAAGAACATGGCACTGGCATAAAAATAGGCACATAGACCAATTGAACAGATTAGAGAACCCAGAAATAAATCCACATATTTACAGCCAACTGATTTTTGACAAAGGTGCCAAGAACATTTAGTGGGGAAATGAAAACCTCTTCAATAAATGGCGCTGGGAAAATTGAATATCTATATGCTGAAAAATGAAAGTAGACTCTTATCTCTCACTATATACAAAAATCAAATGAAGGTGGATTAAATACTTAAATGTAAGACCTTAACTATGAAACTACTAGAAGAAAACACTGGGGAAATGATCTAGGACATTGATCTGGGCAAAGATTTTTTGGGTAAGACCTCAAAAGTATAGGCAACAAAGGCCAAAAAAGACAAATGGTATTATGTCAAGCTAAATACCATCCATGCAGCAAAGCGAATAATCTACAGAGTGAAGAGACAACCTGTAGAATGGGAGAAAATATTTGCAAACTATCCATCCAACAAGGGGTTAGTAACTACAAAATATAAGGGACTCAACCCAATATCAGAAAAACAATTCAATTTCAAAATGGACAAATGATCTGAATATACATTTCTCAAAAGAAGACATATCAATGGCCAACAGGCATATGAAAAAATGCTCAACATCAATCATCAGGGAAATGAAAATAAAAACCACAATGAGATATCATCTCACTCCAGTTAAAATAGCTATTATCAAAAAGACAAAAAATAATAGACACCGGTGAGGATGTTGTGAAAGAGAAATGCTAGTATCCTGCTGGTGGGAATGTAAATTAGTACTGCCACTTGGAAAACAATATTGAAGTTCCTCAAAAAACAGAAAATACATCTACCACATCATCCAGCAATCCCACTGCTGGCTAGATAGAAAGCAATCTCACAACTGGGTTAAAAAAAGAAAATCAGTACATTGAAGAGATATCTGCATGTCCATGTTTATTGTAGCAGTATTCACAATAGCCAAGATATGGAATCAACCTACGTATGAATGAAGAAAGTGTAGTATAATATATACAATGGAATATTATTCAGCTATAAAAAAGAATGAAATATTGTCATTTGCAGCAACATGGATAGAACTTGAGGTCATTATGTTAAGTGAAATAAGCCAGGCACAGAAAGACAAATATTACATGTTCTCACCCATATATGGGAGCTAAAAAAGTTGATCTCATGGAGAAAGAATGGTGGTTACCAGAGGCTGCGAAGGGGGAGGGGAATGAAGACAGGTTGGCTAATGGATACAAAAATACAGGTAAATAGAAGGCGTTAAGTTCCAGTGTTTGATAGCATGGTAGGATGACTATAGTTAACAATAATTTATTGTATATTTCGAAATAACTACAAGAGATTTTAAATATCCCCAACACAAAGGAATAATAAATGTTTAAGGTGATGTACATCTTAATTACCTTATTTGATCATTACACATTATGTACATGTATCAAAATATATATACCCCATAAATATGTACAATTATTATGTACCGACAAAAAAGTCATTTCTTAAACATGAAGCCAGTGAGTTCTTTGAGAGAACATAAAAATCCTAAGTGTTTATGCACTAAATAACAATGCTTTAAAAGATGCAAAGTGAAAACCAATATAACTGCAAGGAGAAATAGACAAACTCCAATTATAGCCAGAGATTTCAAAATCCCTAACTTAATAGGATAAGTAGAAAAAATAGGAAAATAAAAATACAGAAGACTTGATCAATAGTATCAACTAACTTGATCTAACTGACATTAAGAGACCACTCCACCTAATAACAGCAGAATACATATTCTCTTCACAGTCCATTTACCAAGATAAATCATATTCTGCAGCATAAAACAGTTCTCAGTAAATTTTAAAAGATTCAAGTCACATAATGAATGTACTCTGACTATAATGGATTTAAATAAGAAAACAACAAAAGAAAGACTTCTGGAAAACCTCTAAATTTTTGGAAACTAAAGAACATATCTCTACATGGGTCAAAAAAGAAATCAAAAGGAAAATTAGAAAGTATTTTAAACTAAATGAAAATAAAGCCACAGCCTATCAAGAAGCAGGTGGGGAAGGGTTACAATAGCTTATAAAGGGTCCCACAGAAAGTTTTGAGAGTGATGGCTATATTCACTATCTTGATAATGATGTATGAGTGTGAGAATTTCATGGGTTTATAGAAATGTCAAAACATCAAATTGTGCCCTCCAAATGCATGCAGTTTGTTCTATGTCAGTTATACCTCAACAAAGTAGTTAATGAAAAGTCATAAAAACCTGACAGGGGGCAGGGCACGGTAGCTCACACCTGTAATCCCAGCTCTTTGGGAGGCTGAGGTGGGCGGATTTCCTGAGCTCAGGAGTTCGAGACCAGCCTGGGCAACATGGTGAAACCCCCATCTCTACTAAAATACAAAAAACTAGCTGGGCCTGGCAGCCTGTGCCTGTAGTCCCAGCTACTCAGGAGGCTGAGGCAGGAGAATTGCTTGCACCCAGGAGGCAGAGGTTGCAGAGAGCCGAGATCCTGCTACTGCACTCCAGCCTGGGTGACAGAGTGAGACTGTTTCAAAAAAAAAAAAAAGGCTGACAGATGCTGCAAAAGTAAAACTATCCAGAAAAATAACATATCTTATTAGCCTTCTGACACATCTGTAAAGTACTTCCCTAAAATCTTTACTGAATACTCTTTCTTTATGAAAGTTTTGTAACATTATTTTCAACCAAGAGAATAGAAATAATTCAGCTTTTCTTTTATCACTGTTGATCAAAGTTGGGTTTTATTTATATCTGAGGAAAATTTTAAACTAACTCCATTGGTGGCAATCACGCATTCTACTTTGGTATCCTCAGATGTCATCAGGATAAGGTGAGTCAAATACACTAAATTAGGATTTGCTGTGATGTAAAAGCATATGTTTTCATCTACAGCAGCACTTGCTGTTTTTAATGCTGCTGTAGTATTGTGCCTTACCAACACAGGAATGCTAGTATATTCTACTTTGTGTGATTCCAATTGTATATGCTGCATTTTAAAGTACAATTTTTGAGGGCCTATAGGTGCCAGGTACTATTCTAAGTGCTTCAGGTATAGCAGTGAATGAGACTGGCAAAAAATCCTTGTCCTTATTGAGCATAGATTTTACTGACAGGAGAAAGAAAATTAATAAAAATCATGTATAGTATGTTATATTGTTGAATGCTATGGTGAGAAAAAAAGTAGGAAATGAGGATGGAAGTTGTATACAACATGGTCTGGGGCAGCCTCACTGAGTGGATAACTTTTGAGAAAAGATCTGAAGAATCCAAGGCAGTGGGCCACAGGAGTAACTAGTGGGACAGTGTTTCAGGTAGAGAGACAGTGTGTGCAAAGGCCGAGGCTGGCCTGTGTGTGGAGTGTTGAGGACCAGAGTAGTTTCAGGGGTGTGAGAAACATGAGAGCAGAAGGAGGGGCAATCAGAAAGGGGAAGTGACAGATTCGGGAGCAGTGTAGTTTGGACTCAGGATGAGCTGGGACTCTTTGGAAGATTTTGAGCGGAGGGGTGATGTGATGTGATTTGTGTTTTAACAGCATCACTGCAGGGGGTTGAAGACCAAGCCCTAAAAGATATGTCCAAATCTAGATATGTCCATGTCTAAGACTAGATATATCCTAGTACCTGTGAATGTGACCTTATTTGGAAATACGGTCTTTGCAGATGTAACTAAGTTAGGGATCTCAAGATGAGATCATACTAGGTTCAGGGTAAGCCCTAAACCCAGTGACTGGTGGGAGATAAGGAGTGAACACAGCTGCAGAGAAGAAGGTAATGGGAAAACACAGGCTGACGCCTGAGCGATGCGTCTAAGAACCAAAGACTCCAAGGCTCACCAGCACCCACCAGCAGCTAGGAGAGAGGTGTGGAACATCTAAGATCTTCCCCCTACAGCCTCTAGAGGAAACCAACCCTACCAAAACCTTAATCACAGACTTCCGGCCTCCAGAACTGTAAAAGAATAAATTTCCGTTGTTTTAATCCCTCAAGTTTGTGGTAATTTGTTCCAGCAGTCCTCATTAATGAACGCAATCTTGTTGGCTTCTGGATGGAGAACTGACTCTCAGGGAAGCCAAGGACACCCCTGAGGAGGCCACTGCAGTGATCCAAGTGAGGCCTGCTGTTTAGATCACAGTGGTGGCAGCAGAGTGGGGAGAATAAGTAGAATCCTGAAAATATGTTGCAGATAGAACTCAGAGGATTTGTTGGCAGGTTGGAGGTGGGGCATGAGAGAAAAAGTTTTTAGAAAGGTGTGTGGAGCCTCAGTAGCCAAAGACGTGGGCAGTGCTGGTTCTTAAGTTTATGCTTCTCACCCAGTGTTTCTGCAAACCAGTCTTCATTTTTCCCAGCCCCTGCTCCATGTTCAGCAGAGCTAGAGGGAGATACAAGCCTGGGGAGAGAGAAGAGACGTGTTCCGCTGTGTTGACTTCCTGTCCCTGTCAGCAACACTACCACAGGAGCTATTTCCAAATTCTAGCTTTTCCTCACACTCCCGGAGCGGCCTCACTGGGCCCCTCTGAGGTAGCAGCACCCACTGGCCCTCGTGCCCTCCTCAGTGGTCTAACTCTGTGGGTCCCTCCTTGAGACTGCAGGCTTTTGATGAGCCCAGCTCTTCTCTCTGTTCCCCCAGCCCTCCAGGCGGAGGCTGCTTCCTACAGTTACAACCTCTGTGCTGCCTCGGGGCCCCCTTTTGCCTTTCAGACTTCTAATACCTGGTTAACAATTATTTATATTAAACTCTGTGAGAATAATGGTGTGATTTCTAGTTCTCAAACAGACTCTGACTAATGCAGAAAGCATCAATGATCCCAAGAAAATCCTGAGCCACAGGAAGCACAGAGTTGCCATAGACAAGGCTGTGAACAGCAGGTTTGGGGCCTGGTTTGGGACCCGTTACATTTAGATGCCTGCTGGACATCATGAGGTGTCTGAGGGAGATCATGAGTGGGCTGTCGGGTATGTGAGTTTTGACTCCACGGGAGAGGCCTGGGTTGGAGATGGCCATGCGGAGGCCACAAACATGGGCATTCAGCACTACAGGCCTCCAAGGCAGCCTGGAGACATTCTGGGTCTTACATTTCTTCTCAGTTCTAGTATCTTAGCACAGATGGCATAGAGAGAGGCTTCGCAAATATTTGTGGAGAAAAGGATACATGGATAAGAGTCAGTGAATGGTATTAGTTGAGTTATCGTGCTTACAACAGTAAACAATTTCGAAAAGAAGAAGAAAGTTTCCTAGGAATAGAACCCAGAGGAAAGGGAGGAACACGGACACCTCAGAATCGACTTGCATGCATGGCAAGCCGGGTGCACGCACCAGGGTGGCTAGTCTCCAAAGCGGGCATTTTCCCCAACAGCAAGTGTCCCCTTGGGATTTTTTGGAACCCACGGCCCGGTTTTTCTCAGTCCAAAACTAACATTTGGAAAGAGAGGCTCAGTTCCCAGCACATGAACGTGAACCTCCCCTTTCTGAGCTTCCTTAGGGGTAAAATGTGGCCTTTCCTGTTGAGTGTTTCTTTTATTCACCCCAGGCCTCACACTTACCTTCCGTTCCGCTTCAAGTTCTGGGGCATTATTAATTATTCATCTCTCCCAGTCCTTTTTCCTGGGAGCAGGATTTCCCCTGGTTTAGTCTCATCTTCGGTCAGGTGGAACAATGGCAGGTAAGGCCCTTCCTCCTCTGCCAGGAGCACAGGGAGTGAAAAATAATGCCTGGACCCTGGTACCTCAGGCGGCCCCAGCAGGCTGGCGGCAGGGCCTCGGGTGTCAGGTGGCTGTCATGATTCTGTTTTTTTGCTTGTCGTTGCAGCAGCATTGGATGTGAGCAGCGAACGTGCCGAAGAGGACAAAACAAGGTAAGAGGAAGAATTTCCAAAGCCACTCATTCCCCCTTGGAGAACTAGACCTGGCTGTTCTTTCTGTCCTGCATTAATTGGTATCATCCTGAAGAAGAAGCTTCCTTTTTAAGAACATTACAGCTGCGAGTCATGTGACCGTGATTATGTCAGCTGCGGCATCAGAAGAGTTAAAATTAGTAAGGTTTCAGTAAATTTGACTTAAACTATGATTGAAAACTGCTGCGTACCCCTCCGCCTGCACGTTCCGGTAAACTGCCTGCTGTGCCCCTGTGATGGGCCTCACCTGCTTTCCCCGTGGGGATTAATGCAGCTCAAGGAGTGGGGCTGGTTCCCTTCCCCTTAGCTGTGTGACACCTTCCTCTCCCAGAGTAGCCCAGACCATGAGGGAGCCGCAATGCAGATGGAGCCACGGACAGATCGTTGCTGAGCGGGTCACTTTGGAAGCAGGTGGGCTGCAGAATTGCTCAGACCCACACCCCTAAGGGCTCTTGCTCAGGGCTTCGGTGAACTTACCTACCTGGTTTTTTCCCCTATAGTCCAAAACTTTTACCATGCAATCAGTCCTGTGACATTTTTGGAGGGAAAGCTTCAGAGTTCCAAGCACTAGGTAGGTAGGTGGGTGGTCTGATTCCCATTTCTGCCCACCACAGGCTGGGCAGGCCTGCCTCCTTCCCGGTCTCCAAGGCCGCCCCTCTGCGGGGCAGAGGGAAGCTGTTGGAAGGCCATGCCAGTGTTATCAGATAATAAGATGACAAGGTTTAGGATAGTGGAGAGAGGACAGATGCATGTAGCTTTCCTTACCCTCATTGTAACCACTGCTCTAAAACTGATTTATGCCGTTCTGCCGGCCCTGAAGCTGGCCAGGGAGTGCCTTTGCTGGCAGTCTGTCTTCAGATGGGAGGAGATAAGGGAGATCCGGAGAATGGATCATCAGGAAGCATTTAGAGAAAATTGCTTGCCCTCCCAGTGCCTTACACAGTCCACTGACAGACACTGTTGGTCGTGGCTGAGAGTTATTTCATGATTTTTAAAACAACTACAGAATGTAGTGTGTTCCCAGAGGCAATCACGAGCTCATTGTGTTCATCCTTGCTAATGCCTAGCAGAAAGGCTAGCTGTTGGAAGACTCTCACAAGGAGGCAAAAATGAGGTTGAGATGAGCACATTTTCTTCGGTGGCAATGGGCTTTGTGAGAGGTGGGAGTGGTGCTGGCTCCCATTGCTGCTGGGCATCCCCTGGAGTGGTCACTGCTGTTTGCCAGGAGTGGCTGTTCCCAAGCAGAAGACAATGAACCTAATGCTTTTGCTGTCCTCTTCCCCACTTGCCCAGATGATCTCCAGACAGATCTCTTGAGGGTTTCACTGGCTGCTTTGGGAGTAAATACTTGGTGTGGTCAAGTCCTCGGATGGAAACATGAAGAATGCTTTCCGGGTGGTTATCAGCGCAGGCAGGGGACTCCTTGATAAGGATTGCCTAAGACTTTGCTCTCTTATTCTAACCAGAATGAGAACATAGCTATTGTCTACTTAACATCAAAACCCCCACATATGAAGTCCAAAACAAATTCACTTACAGTTTTGCCTGGACAAGGCCATGCATTTAGGTATCTTGGCTCTGACACATGGCTTGGTTGTATTTTTTAATCAAAAATACACTTGGGCTAGTAGATTTGAGTATCCTCAATCTGCTTCTCTATGGTGGTGACCTTGGGCTCAGCCAGAATCTTTTGCCAGGTTGTGAACAGGCTTTTTTTTTTTTTTTTTTTGCCAAAACAGAAGATGACTTGACAAGGTAATCAGATATTGAGGTATAAGCATAAAGTAACGCTAAATAAATAATTATTTAAAAATTTGGAAAAGAATGTTTTTAAACCACTAGTCAGGAAACAGCAGTGCATTTTTTATGAATTGGCCTCCTGTAATTTTCAGTGGCCTTGGGCTTGTGGGCAGGAGGTAACTGCAGGGTTGGATTAGCTTATTGATGCAGTGTGCTTGGAAAGGACAGTAGGATAAAAGGTTTTTTAATTGGCGGGCCCGTGACCCTGCGACTGGCTGATCATCCTGGCGAGGAAGGAGACCTAAATTGATTTAAGGACCCTGCCAGCTTGCCATTGCCCTTCCTCCTTGTCTCTCTCCCCGCTCTGCCTCTGTCTCTTTGCTTTAGTCACTCCTCTTTTTCTGTTTCTCTCCCTCTCTTTGTTCTCTCTTACACTTGTCTCCACCTATAAACTTTACAAAATAGTAGATATAATTGGGTATATACATACCTTTAAAACATTCTGGAAAGAGTCTCCCCCACAACCCACCAACATTTTAACAAATATCTCTGAATGACAGGATTACACATGACTTTACTCATTTCCTTCATATATGTCAGTACTTTTTAGTTTTTTCAGTGACTATATCTTTCATACTCAGACATTTTTAATAAAAATGAGAAGTAGGATGCTGAGTTATCTACACAGGATGAAGGTAGTAGTCAAATGTGAAAACAGTTTGTGCAAGAGTCTCCTCCCTTGACTAACATCAGCTGGGGACAGTGTGGGGACAGTGTCTTCTTCAGTGATGTCCTCAGGCCTGGGAGAACCACTTCACAGAGTGGACTTTGATACGTGTTTGTGGCATTAATAATTAGGGAAAGATATATGATGAAAAGAAAAAAGCAATTTTGGAGGAGACAGCTGTTTGGTTTTCAAATGATTGCTATTGAAGATTCGCTCTACTTGAATAAAGTGAAAAGGATAGTGGTGTAGAACTAAAAGGCTTGACTGGACACAGGCAGGATTTAATAAAACTCTCATTTTTAACCCCAGTAATCTTTTACCAGAAAGAATATTACAGGGGTCGGGAAGTGGCTGTCTCCATGAAAAACAAATCTGGCAGATGTTTTTTAACCAAGAAAGTCAGTCCTCTGTGGGAATCCTAAATACTGGTCTTTGGTCACTTGCTAGAAATACACATAAAAGCAAGTGTGGGATGTGGGGCAGCTCCATTTTCTCTGTGTTTAACAAGCCTGTTTCTTTCAAGGAGAAATATTAATGGATTTCTCTGGTGCCCAAACCTACTTGTGGAAGGAGGAGCCTGACCTTACTGTCTCCCCATTCTACATAATCTGGGTGTTCAGCCAACTGGCACAGATGGGCCAGACGCCAGGCTCAGCAACGTGCCCTGTACGCAGCTTTCTACCTCCTTGAAAGCAATCACCTATAAATGTCTGGTGCGAAGACTACAAAAGTTGAACTAGTTAGTAAAATGCTAAGCTGCTTCCAACAAGACATTCATCTCAGCTATTGCTTTGATGGGTGAATTTAAAACTCTGCTAAAGGAATCTTTCCAGGAATTCCATCTCTAAAGCAGCACACTCCGGGACCTTAGTGGTGGAGAATCCACACCCATATTTTTCCCCCAAAAATCACTTGTCTAGTTGCCATGTCTCCTCAGGACTATATTGTATCACTCTGATGTTTCTAGAATATTTTGTGCTGAGTGACTTGCTTAGAAAAAAAAAAAAAAAGCAAAGCAATGGTAATAGCTAACAGAATTTGGATTGGTGATGACTAAGGACTCAAGGTGCAATTTCTGGTTGAGTAGTCACTTTATTTACTTGGCAGGATGACAGCAGTATTTTGAGAGAGTAATCTTTATTAATTTTGGTCCTAAAAAAAAGCCCTGAATTTTTTTTAGAGAGAGGCCCCCAAAGTATATTTTTTAATGTCAAAATAATATGAAAAAAAGGCTGAAATTTCAATAAGGGAATTCCTCAAGCACATTTTATGTTCAGCATCAACTGAATTGTGTTTTCTCTTCTATGTGGGCAATCCATGGACTGTTGTAAGTCTATAAGCTGTCGTGTCTAACATCTCATTAGCATTAGTGGAAGTATCATTGTGAATGGCCTTTCTCCTAAAGATAGATACGTTCCTGGTATGGATGGGTGACACTGCATGTCCCTACTACCATCCCTCTGTGCTTACTGTCTCCTTCGCTTCAGCCTCTTGAGTTCATTTGAAAAACTAGAGCCCCAGAATAGCAACAGATGACTCCAGGAATGCCCTGACTTTTGAAAACGTTTGTGGACACTCTGAGCCAGCCGTGAGCTGTGAAAAGACATCTACTCATCTTCCCTGCCTCCTACACGCCCTCTGGCTTTCCTCATTCAAATATAAATTTGCTTAAATGATTAAAGAGAAGTTAACTAAGTAAAAACAGTACCGCTTCCTGTGCAGAAATTACATGCTTGTTTTGATGAGGGCCATTTATTTATTAGATGGTTTGCTGCATGTTATGTTGTCTTTGCAGTCTGCTGAGCTACCTTGATTGGATGCCAGGAGGAAATTATTCCTTAATGTAATTTTATGCTTAATTTATAGATGTAATGCCTATGTTTTTTTATCATTTCTGCTAGCTTTTAAAGCTCTATTAATACTTTAATTATGAGTTTGCTTTGTTTTCATAGCCTAAGGCTATTTGATGGGTAGGCAGATTTTAATAAATTAAATAAGTAGATATGGTTCACTTACAGAGGAAACAAAATAATCAGAGAAAGTAAACTATTTGGAGGAATGACTGTAATCAGTTTCCTAATTTAAATAAAGATCTGCCCACAGTGCAGAGCCTTGGCAATTTGACTAGACCATCACTTTCTGAAATAATGGAGCCTCCACCGCCACCTGCTACTGCTCTTACCTCAGACACAGAAAAACTTTCAACCATTATGTGAAAAAGGAATAAGATTGAATTATATTATATTGTAAGAAGAAAAAAAAAGAAAAAGGAAAAAGTACAGAAACCCTAAGGGCTGGGAATGCTAGCCTTGACTCTTATTAATTGGCTATGTGAACTTGGGCAAGTTATTTACTTTCTATGAGCCTCAGTTTCCACATCTCTAAAAGTTTTAATAATAACCTCTATTTTTTCTGTCTTTGTAGGGCTTTTTTTTTTTTTTTCCAGAGGCAGGGCCTCACTATATTGCCCAGGCTAGTCTCAAACTCCTAGGCTCTAGCGATCCTCATGCCTCAGCCTCCCAAGTAGCTGGGACTGCAGGTGCACACAACTGTGCCTAGCTTTGACAGGGCTTTTATAAGGGAGAAAGGACATAATAGATGTAAAACTGCTTGTCAAACTGTAAATTGTTGTGCAAATATAAGGCAGAGGCCACATGCTGGCAGTCGTGGGCCAAATATTGCACATGTATTTCACTTGGTTTGCACTGTATTTTTAAAAACAGAACTAACATTTAAAAATAGAACAGTTTACATAAATTCTGGATTTCTTACTTCTCTTGAAAAACCAAGCAATGTGGCAACCTGGGCCCCGTCTCTGTGTGGCAGCAGTTGGCCCGAGTTGAATTGTGGCAGCCCCTCAAGAAGGGGCATGCCTTTCCAGTTCTGGTGATCTGTACCCTTCCCTGACAGCTCTCTGACAATGACAGTGGTCTCTTTCACAGTTGATACAACTTGCCTGGCTCATGTGTGCATTTAAATGTGTGATACTTGAGTAAGATATTAGACAGACCGCTTTAATTCTGTGGCAAAACCTTTTGGATTTGTGAAGACAAAGCTAAAGCCCTAGCTTGGACATTTTTCAGCTGGGGCAACTTGGTCAAGTCACTTCACCTTTTTGAACCTTTTTCTTTCTATGTACAATGGAAATATGATAACTACCTCATAAGATTTTGGAAAGGTTTTATATAAGATAAGCACCTCAGCTTATAAATAAGAATGAGTAACACATATCTATTATGTGTTAGTAGATATACAGTTATTTATTACCACAATAATGCTCTGTGTAACAACCATAAAATCTCAGTGGCCTATAGCAATAAGCACTTATTTTTCCCTACGAATTTGTAGGTTGAATGGATGGCTCTGCTGATCTGGGTTGGGCTCTCTTACATGTCTGAGGGCGGTGGCTGGGCATTCTGTTCCATGTGTCTCATCCTCCAGCAGGTTGGCCTGGGCTTGTTCTCATGGCAATGTCAGAGGAACAAGAGGGAAAAAGCAAGAGTGTGCAAGTGCTTTTTCAAGTCATCGCTTGTGTTATATTTGCTATTATTCCAGTGATCACAGTAAATCACATGGCAAAACCTAAAGTTGAGAGTTGGGACAGAAAGGCCCTTCTGCAATGGGAAGGCACTGCAAAGTTACATAGGAAAAAGACCCAAGGAGGGGTGAGGATTTGAGGCCATGCCTGCCATCAATCAGCCACAGTAGGGCAGGCTAACCTGCTGAAATAAATTCCAAAGTAGTTAATAACTGAAATACTCTAGAAGTTAATTTCTTGTTCATTTTAACAGTACAGGTCCTGGTTACTGGGTGGCTCCTTTCATTTCTTAGCTCCATCATCACCTAGATCCCACTACTGCCTATATCAGGGGTTGATAAACTTCTTAAAGGGCTAGGTAGTAAATATTTTAAGCTTTGAGGGCCATATGGTTTCTCTTGCAACTACTCAATGCTACTCTTGTACATAAGCAGCCATAGACAATGTGTGAATGAATGGGCATGGCTGTGTTCCAGTAAAACTTTATTTACAAAAACAGACAACAAGCTAAACTGGCCATGAGTCATAGTTTGCTGACTCCTGCCCCAAGAGCTGCAGGCCTGGTAGATATTAAGTTAATATGCAAGTTAACAGAGAGGACAATTTTACCAAATATTTTGCCCATGGAATAAGAGGAATCTCCAGCTTCCCATCCTGCCCTATCTGAGTCTTTGCTTTCTCTGGTGCCAAAACATTAAGCCAATTCTCATATATGCACATTTTCCAAACAGTTGTTTTCTACTTCAAGATAATAATTTTTTAATTAAAGAGTTAGAATAGGCCAGGTGTGGTGGCTCATGCCTGTAATCCCAGGACTTTGGGAGGCCGAGGCAGGTGGATTGCCTGAGCTCAGGAGTTCAAGACCAGCCTGGGCAACACGGTGAAACCCCATCTCTACTAAAATACTAACAATTAGCTGGGCGTGGCAGTGCTAGTCCCAGCTACTTGGGAGGCTGAGGCAGGAGAATTGCTTGAACCCAGGAAGTGGAGGTTGCATTGAGCCAAGATCGCACCACTGCATTCCAGCCTGGGTGACACAGCAAGACTTTGTCTCCAAAAAAAAAAAAAAAAAAAAAAAAGAAGAGTTAGATTAGCTTAACTGCTTTTTCTTTTATCTCTAAAAAGGCTTCAAGATGTGTAATGGCTCTAACATAATAGAAATGTAGCTCTCCCTCTCCCTCTCCCTCTCCCTCTTTCCACGGTCTCCCTCTGATGCCGAGCCGAAGCTGGACTGTACTGCTGCCATCTCGGCTCACTGCAACCTCCCTGCCTGATTCTCCTGCCTCAGCCTGCCGAGTGCCTGCGATTGCAGGCGCGCGCCGCCACGCCTGACTGCTTTTCGTGTTTTTTGGGTGGAGACGGGGTTTCGCTGTGTTGGCCGGGCTGGTCTCCAGCTCCTAACCGCGAGTGATCCGCCAGCCTCGGCCTCCCAAGGTGCTGGGATTGCAGACGGAGTCTCCTTCACTCAGTGCTCAATGGTGCCCAGGCTGGAGTGCAGTGACGTGACCTCGGCTCGCTACAACCTCCACCTCCCAGCCGCCTGCCTTGGCCTCCCAAAGTGCCGAGATTGCAGCCTCTGCCCGGCCGCCACCCCATCTGGGAAGTGAGGAGCGTCTCTGCCTGGCCGCCCATCATCTGGGATGTGAGGAGCCCCTCTGCCTGGCTGCCCAGTCTGGAAAGTGAGGAGCGTCTCTGCCCGGCCGCCATCCCATCTAGGAAGTGAGGAGCGCCTCTTCCCGGCAGCCATCCCATCTGGGAAGTGAGGAGCGTCTCTGCCTGGCCGCCATCCCATCTAGGAAGTGAGGAGCGCCTCTTCCCGGCAGCCATCCCATCTGGGAAGTGAGGAGCGTCTCTGCCTGGCCGCCATCCCATCTGGGGAGTGAGGAGCGTCTCTGCCCGGCCGCCCATCATCTGAGATGTGGGGAGCGCCTCTGCCCTGTCGCCCCGTCCGGGATGTGAGGAGCGTCTCTCCCCGGCCGCCCCGTCTGAGAAGTGAGGAGACCCTCTGCCTGGCAACCGCCCTGTCTGAGAAGTGAGGAGCCCCTCCGCCCAGCAGCCGCCCCGTCTGAGAAGTGAGGAGCCCCTCCGCCCGGCAGCCACCCTGTCTGGGAAGTGAGGAGCGTCTCCGCCCGGCAGCCGCCCCGTCCGGGAGGGAGATGGGGGGGTCAGCCCCCCGCCTGGCCAGCCGCCCCGTCCGGGAGATGAGGGGCGCCTCTGCCTGGCCGCCCCTACTGGGAAGTGAGGAGCCCCTCTGCCCGGCCAGCCGCCCCGTCCGGGAGGGAGGTGTGGGGGTCAGTCCCCCGCCCGGCCAGCCACCCTGTCCGGGAGGTGAGGGGTGCCTCTGCCCGGCCACCCCTCCTGGGAAGTGAGGAGCCCCTCTGCCTGGCCAGCCGCCCCGTCTGGGAGGGAGGTGGGGGGGTCAGCCCCCCGCCTGGCCAGCCGCCCCGTCCGGGAGGTGAGGGGCGTCTCTGCCCGGCTGCCCCTACTGGGAAGTGAGGAGCCCCTCTGCCCGGCCACCACCCCGTCTGGGAGGTGTACCCAACAGCTCATTGAGAACGGGCCATGATGACAATGGCGGTTTTGTGGAATAGAAAGGGGGGAAAGGTGGGGAAAAGATTGAGAAATCGGATGGTTGCCGTGTCTGTGTAGAAAGAGGTAGACATGGGAGACTTTTCATTTTGTTCTGTACTAAGAAAAATTCTTCTGCCTTGGGATCCTGTTGATCTGTGACCTTACCCCCAACCCTGTGCTCTCTGAAACATGTGCTGTGTCCACTCAGGGTTAAATGGATTAAGGGCGGTGCAAGATGTGCTTTGTTAAACAGAGGCTTGAAGGCAGCATGCTCGTTAAGAGTCATCACCACTCCCTCATCTCAAGTACCCAGGGACACAAACACTGTGGAAGGCGGCAGGGTCCTCTGCCTAGGAAAACCAGAGACCTTTGTTCACTTGTTTATCTGCTGACCTTCCCTCCACTATTGTCCTGTGACCCTGCCAAATCCCCCTCTGCGAGAAACACCCAAGAATGATCAATAAAAAAAAATAATAATAAAATAAAAAATAAAAAAAATAAAAAAAGAAAATTAACTTTGGTACCAGGTACAAACCAGTCTGGGAGCAGATCAGCAAAGAAACTCTTGAAATAAACGGTTAAGATAAAAAGGAGTAACAAAGGTGTAATACCAACGCATCGGCAGTGGCGCTGACCTTAGGAGGCTTCCGACAGTCAATCACAATACTTCAGGACCTATCAGAGGTAGGATCTAAGCCTCCCAGAGTCCCCGCATGCCCTTGTCAGCTTCCCTGCTCCTCTCCTGATGCTTCCTGGGATCACTTCCCAAATAAATTACTTGCACTTAAAAAAAAAAAAAAAAAAAAAAGAAATGTATGTGTATAATAGTTAAGGCAGGTGTTCCTGATCAGTGACTGGCTTTTTTCCACAAAAGACATTCAGGGACCTACTTCCTTGCCCTCTTGGGGCTTCGCCATCCCCTCATAGCTACTTCTTGAAAGCTTTGGCATAAATGGCACACATTACTTCTCACTTTCCATGGAGGAGAATGTTGATATATAGCCACATGGAACTGCAACAGAGGCTGAGAAATCAGTCTAACCACATATGCTACAAGCATGTTCCTATGCAAAGAAAGAACAGCTTCAGATGGATAATTAGTGTTGTCTAATGCTTACAGAGTCACAAATATCCCAGTACCTAACATAGTGCCAGGTATGGAGTGAATTGTTAAGTATTTATGGAGGAAGGAAGGGAGAGAGGGAGGCACACCAGTCCGGGTGTATGGCCTAACCATTGACAGGCAGATGGGACTGTCTGTGAAGGATCATGCAACCCCATCTTGCCATCTGAGGTTTAATCTTTGCAGTACTAAGTAATTGTTTGTGTCCCTTGGATTCTGTAAATGTTGTACTACAACTGTACACATGTCCTCTTTGACTTTTATAGGCCTGGGGGAAGAAAATTAAACATTCTTCATTTTACTTAGGTAATTAATTCATTCCTTTTGTCACTTATATGTAAGTCAATGGGAAGGAGGAAACAATATAAGAGTAACTGGAACACAACCTTCCTAAGCATATAGGCTCAGAGTTGTCAGAATCATCTCACAGAACAGTGAGAGAACATGCTCATGTTTCTCTGAGCTCTCTTCTGCCTTTAAGGTGTATCTTAAACGGACTTTATAAAGGTCATCTTCATTACAGGACTTTGAAGCAATTCCGAATGGCACTCTCTAGGTGCTGCCTGTGTCTGGCTGAGGAGGAAGACTGTGCAGTTACCTCCCTGGCTGCACATATGGCGCCTCTCTGTTCAGTCACCTCTCACCACCCTCTGCTGTTTTGGTGACCGTGTGGGGAAATTCCATGTTGGAATCTGAAGAAATCCACTTTACCATTGAGGACAGTGCTAAGGGCCCAGTGGCTGAGGGGGAAATCCTTGGGACAATGTTGAACACAGTTAATGCAGGGAGGGAAGAGAAGCCTGGCACTCATGGCTACCACTCTGCCTTACTCAGAAGGTGAAGAAGAGAGGATGAGTAGAGAGGTCTACTGGTGGAACAGAAATGATGGGGAATGGACTGGTATCTGCTTTAGGGCCCTGTGGAGCTGCAAGGCTGGTTCACGCTTGCCCCAATGTACCTACCAGACTGAGGGTCTGAACTGCCATCTTAACCTGACTCTTTCTCTTGGAGGGACTTCCAGTGGTGGGTGTGTACAGTCTGCTAGACACAGTGCCTAACCAACCATGAAAGATGGCTTGGCTGGGATTCCCAGCAGTGGACTGGGGTGACTTCCTAAAACAGAACACAGGCTCCACCTCTAAGCAGGGTGTGGGAGTCTAGACAGGAAGGGAAAATAAAAATTAAAAAAAAAAGATTTCTCAATTATATCATATCTGGCCCAAATGACATAAAACCAGTCTAATTACTTGAGATACATGGTCTAGGAAAGAATTTAATATTTATCAGTCTAGTACTACAAGAGAAAATTTATTTTTGAGCATTTGATACTTTGACATTTCTGGATTGAGTCGAAACAATAGGCCACAGGCTCCTTTTTCTTCCATTCCATGTCATTCCATTTCATTCCGCTATATCTTTTTTCCTTTCATAATATTAGCGCATACTTAATGTTTCATAGTGTGCTTGTGTTTTTCTGCTTCAAGTGGAATATTGCTTAAGTTGTAATCACTACAGCAAGCACTGAAAAAAAACTATACAGGGATATAGTAAGAAAACAAATACATTAAATAGAATAATAAAAAAATGCTTAACCCAAAAGAAGGCAGGGAAAAGGAAAGTAATTCCAGTTAATACTAATTAAAAGCAGAGATGGTCAAATAGATTTTTAAAAAGGATCCAACTTAGAAACAAACAAAACAAATAAGATGGTAGAACTAAATCCAAACTGATCAATAATTATATTAAATGTAAATGGTCTAAACACACCAACTATATGCTGTCTACAAGAAATTTCACTTCAATCATAGTTATACAGGTAGAGGACAGGAAAAGATTGCACTGTGTCAATTTTTTTTTTTTTTATGCTGTGTAACCGATTACTACAAGTAGTGGTTTAAATGCTATGTAACAGGTTACTACAGATAGTGGCTTAAATGCTGCGTAACAGATTACTACAAGTAGTGGTTTAAATGCTAAGTAACAGATTACTACAGGTAGAGGCTTAAATGCTATGTAACAGATTCCTGTAAGTAGTGGTTTAAATGCTATGCTACAGATTACTACAGGTAGTGGCTTAAATGCTGTGTAACAGATTACTACAAGTAGTGGCTTAAAACAACACATATTTATTATCTCAGGGGTCAGAAGCCTGGGTATGGCTTAGTTGGTTACTTTACTTCAGGGCCTCACCAAGTTTTAACCCTCAGGGTCTTGGATGAAGCTGTGGCCTCATCAGAAGCTTGGGGGTGGATGATGGTGGGGGGAAGTGCAGAATCTGATTCCAAACTTCCTCAGGTTGTTGGCAGAATTTATTTCCTTGTGGCTGCAGGACTGAAGCATAAGTTTCTTATTCACATACATTTGTCAATGTAGATGAAACAGACTAGGTCCTCAGAAAACCAGAAGTTACCAAAACTAACCCAAGACAAAATAGATAATCTGAATGATCTTATAATTATCAAAAGTAATTGAATCCATAATAAAAAATCTTTAAAAACTAGAGTTTCAGTAAGTCTATCAAATATTTAAAAAAGAAATCAATCCTCAACAATTTCTTTCAGGAAATAGAAGAGAAAGAAATACTTCCCAACTCATTTTATGAGGCTAGCATTACACTGAAAGCAAAACTAGACGAAGGCAGTAACAAGACAAGGAAACTGCAGGTCAATATCCTCATGACCATAGACACAAAACCCCCCAACAAATTATTAGCACAACAATCCAGCAATATAAAAAAAGAATACTACGCCACAACCAAGTGGAGTTTATCCTGAGAATGCAAAAATAGTTCAGTCTGTGAAAATCAATCAATGCAAGTCACCCTATTAATAGTCAAAAGAAAAAGCACATGATTATATCAATTGATGCAGAGAAAGCATTTAAAAAATTCAACATTCACTCATGAAAAAAAAACAGCGAACTAGGAATAGAAGGGAAATTATTATTATTTAATTATTTTTGAGACAGGGTCTTGCTCTGTTGCCCAGGCTAGAGTGCAGTGGCATAAACATGGCTCACTGCAGTCTTGACCTCCTGGGCTCAACCAATCCTTTTACCTCCACCTCCCAAGTAGCTGGAACCATAGGTGTATGCCACAATGCCCAGCAACTAATTTTTTAAGAAATTTTTTATAGAGATGAGGCCTTGCCATGTTGACCAGGGAGGTCTTGCACTCCTGGGCTCAAGCAAGTTTCCTGCCTCAGCCTCCCAAAGTGCTGGGATTACAGGCATGAGCCATTGTGCCTAGCTGTGGCTCATGCCTGTAATCTGTAATTCTTAAACCTGATAAAGGATACCTACAAAAAGCCTTGAATGTGGCAAAAACAACAAAGAGTTCTCAAATGCTGGGCAACACTGCACAGTACAATTGCTTTCCTTGTCCTAGTGTAGTGCAGCAATAAAATCCCAAGGCATCACCCTTTCCAAAATTGCGCTTATTGTTCCTGATAGTCTAGTGACCAGCAGTTGGCGAGAACATGAGTGCAACAAAAGTGAGCTCTGGATCTTTATTATGTAGCACTGGGATCGGGACTGCACACTCTGTGTCTTACTGTGACTACATCGTGCAGAAATGGGGTGGTGAAAAGAACATTAAGTTGGTGGAGAGGCACTTTGCTGAACAAGGATATAGGCGCTGATAACAAGGCTGTGCATCAGGAAGCTGGCAGTTAATCCGATCTTGGGCGCCTCCTGGGAACCAGAGCCAGCAATCAGCATCACGCAGAAAAACAGCAGGGATCTGGAAATGAGATTTCTGAAAGTCAGGAAGTTGGCAGTTGAGTCAGAGCTGCAGAACCAGCTGGAATAAGAACCTTTAGCTATCAGTACCAAGTAACAAAGCAGCAAGGAAGAGCTCACTAAAGGGACCATGGAGAGTTTTTTTCATTGTTTTTTTTTTTTAAATGAAGGGACTCAGAAATAAAAAACTTTGCTTAATTATTGTTACAGCCAGCCAGAGATTCGAAACAGCAGAGTCATAAAGAGAAATGTCTCATGAAGGTTATTCTCTCATGCAGACAAGTGCACTTGAATTTGTAGTCAGACACTTCTGCTTTTGAGCTTGTTTCTGTCAACCAGACTTTCCACACTTTCTTCTTAATGACTGGAACTTCTGACTTTCCCAAGCTTTTCCATGAGAAGTTGGGTCTCTCAGTCAGTTCAAGCAGAAAAAAAAAAGAAAAGTTTAACAATGAGGCAAAGTTGGAAGTATAATTTCAGGCGTTCTAATCTTCAGCACACACTTAAATTCCTGTCCTCCTCTGGAATTGCTAACAGAATGCGTCAGTTTAATTGCTCAAAGAATGTGTCAGTTAAAGCTTAGCTTAACTATAGTTCTGAAGTTGAGCTGCTCTGGTTCTCAAGATGCCCTAAGCAAAGAAAAGTACAGAATTTTGCAGAGGCAAAGAAGTGGTACGGAAAAGTCTCAGAAACAAGCCAGCTCTTCCTGGAAAGAAAAATCACTGGGTCTCTCGGTGGCCAACAGCAGAACTCCAGCTTTTTATTTGAGACTCACAGCCTTCAAAGCAGCACGTGTGATAGAGAGCACCCATTATGGACATCCGACGACCTGGGTTCAGACCCACATTTGCCCCTCTGAGATAGTGGTGATGGTGGACTCTTGATTCAGGCAGTCTGGATTCAAGGGGCAAGTCTGATATTTTCTTATTGTTGACCATGAGCAACTTAGTTCACCTCTTTGTGCATCAGTTTCCTTATCTATAAAACGAGATGATAAGCATATCTACCTTATAGAGTTGTTGTGAAGATTAAATGAATTCCTACTGCATGTGTAAAACGTCTGGAACCATACCTAGCTCATTGTAAGTGCTATATAAACGTTTGCTGTTATTATATACTAACTAGGTACTAGGATAATTTACCTGTCTGGTTTCAGCTTCCTTAGCTGTAAAGCTAGAGTGCTGGTTCTCAAAATGTGGTCTGGAGACCTCTAGCATCAAAATAACCTAGAGTATCAGTTTAAATAAAATCTCTTAGAGCATGGCCTGGAAAGGAGCTTATAAAAATGCTTTCAAAGTCATTCTTATGCATGTTTATCTAATCATAGGAGAACCCACATAATTAAATGAGCGTTGAGTTCATTCTAACTGTTGGCATTGAGTTGCTTTGGGAAGAAGAGAGAAATTATGCCCTGAGAGGCACAAGCACTGACCCTCTGACAAGAGAATGGAAAGCCGAGCCTGAGCTGTAGACAGGCAGTGCCCATCTCAGCAGTGAGTGGGAATCATGGCCTGGAGATGGGTGAGTCGCCTTTTTCATAAATGTCCATGGACTGCTCATGGAATGACCTGATAAAATTCTCCTTCCCAGTTGTATGGACTGAGAGTGAGCCCTTGAATCTTTGTGGCAATAAACAAAAAAAGTAACTTGTTGGAAGTTGGAACTAACTTCTCTGTCTTCTGTGCTCCCATTCACATTATTTCTATCCTATTATAATTCACATCCTACTGTATCACAGTGAAGTACTATGTGTATCTCCTCCTGAAACTATGAGCTTCTTAAATATAGAGGGAATACCTATATTCCCTCATCATTGGATTCCTCTCTTCCTCCTCCTTTGCCCTAACATTTAGCACAGTGATTTGCATGTGGTCGTTCTTTAGTAAGTGTTTGTTGAATGAATCAGCAGAAGACCCTGTTTGAACTGAGTCACTGGGATGGTGTTTACAAGTCTGTGATCCCAGGCAATGTACACTGTAATCGATGAGACCCACAGAAACAAAGGCAGTGGAAAAATCCTGCCTCCATCACAAAGGCCTTTGCAGTATTAATACAGTGGAAGATATAAATCTTAATTAGTAGCAGGAAAAAGTGATGATGTATCAAGGTTCTCAAAATGTCAGCTGGTGGCTGCTCAATCCATTCATTTATAGCTGCTAACCATAGCACTGTGATACTGAAACCAATACTGCTAATTAAAGGTGTAATGACAATCAGCCAGCTCACTGTTAATTGATTCTTAATACTTCAATTACTTGTTTTTATGCCAGTCGAATTTAATCAAAGGAGGTCAGAGAGTCATACAAGGCTTATAATTTTTAAATGATTTGCATACATTAACTTTTATGGGCATCATTTTCAAAAGTCAAGTGAAAAGATACCTATATTCATATATACTTTACTTGCTCATTAAAACTTTTGGAAAATAAAGTTAATCCATGATGACAAATAGATATAAATATTTCAACAACAAGGGGGAAATTTTGTTACACCTTAGACTTTGGTTCTATATTCTGTTTCTTTATCCTCTGCTGGAAAATAACCCCTGGATTTTTAATAACTTAAGGAAAACTTTCACTTGGGGCCCATTCTCCATCATCTTATTTTTCGCTTCTTGTTGTTGACAAGTTTTGAGGGGAAAGTGGTTTACAGATCCTCTGTAACCCTTACAATGTGGCTTCTGCCTCCTTTGCATATTTGAAAGCCACCATTAGCCTTTACCAGCTTAACTCAAATGGCCTTTTCACGGTCCTCGGTTGTCTTGTAGACTTTAATACTATCGACCACTCTTTCTTTGAAACTCTGCCTTCCTTGGCTAGGATCTCCACTAACCACTCCATCAGAAATATTTTCCAGAAGGAATTAAAATAGCCTGCAAGATAGGCAGGGAATATAAGCATGGAGGCTTACTGGGCTGCAGGAGGCAAGGAAACCCTGGGACAAGAAGTGGTGGCTCCTTCTCAGGAAAAGCTCAATGACCAGCAGGTCAGAACACCCAGACCAAGAGGGATTGGAAAATTCTACTCCAATTCTAGGCCTGTGTTCGTATTGAAGGGGGCAGGCTGGGAGCACATCTCTGGGAGGGTGGGATGCAGATTTTAGGTGCAGAACAATGCTGTGTTGAGTCAAGTCCTTTAAAGAGAGGACCACCAGGGATCCGGTCCACCCTTGGAAATAGGATTGGCAGGAGAGAGAGAAAGCAGACCCCAGGTGGCTGTCTGGGGCACAGGTCTGGGCTTTTCCTGGGTGGTGGAGGTGAGACAGCTCCTCATCTGGAGTTGACTGGAGATTCCCCATGTGGTGTAGATGATATGCACAAAGCCACTTTGCCAAACTCCTCTTTTGACATTTGGGTGTTTTAAAAAAAAAACCACTGTTTGCCAGCTTATACCCACAGTTTGCAGACGGCATCCATGACTACGAGAGGCTGGGGAGGGAAAGAAACTCCCATAATCCCTCTCGGTCTCTTTTCCCATTCAGTCTCCATCCATCTTCCCCAACCCTGATAGTCTCTGGCGATCTCTTGGTGATCTCACCTCTCATAACACCAGCTGGGGAGGCAATGAGCTGTGAGGATTGAGGCCTTCAGAGTTAGGCAGACCCAGGCTGGAAAAGCTGCCTCTTACTCATCCTTCCTAAGCCAGTTTTCTCATCTTTAAATGGCCTTGTTGGGTTGTTGTGAGAATTATATAAAATAAAGCATGCGAAGAGCCCAGCACAGTGGCAGTCACATTGCTGTTTTCCTGATTATTTCAAGCTCTGCCTTCTCTCCATCCCCAAATCCAAATTGTCTAGCCATGAACTCATGTCCAGGCTCTGGGTTCCACACCTCCAGTGGCTTAAAGACATTGAATGGAAGGCTTTCTCCTGTCAGACACTGTGCCAGACTCTTGATTTACATCACCTCAGCTATTGGAATTGTTCCCATTAGAGATGGAGAAGAGGCACAGAGAGATTGTGAAACTTTCCCAAAGCCACACAGCCAGATTCAAACTGAGATTTGTCTGACTTCAAGGAGCTCATACTTTTTGGGTCAAAATTTGGACTCATTATCCCTGAGTAGACCTGCTCCTCACCAGGGGAAGCATAAAAATTAAAAATTCCAAGTCCCTTTGAATTTTCCTTTCTTATCACCCCTAGCCCCACTCCCTATCCCCTCTCCCTTGCTGTCCTCCCCCACTCATATCTAACCAGTCATTATATTATCTATTCCTATTCCTTATTCCTCCAGTGTCCTTCTCCCCTCCTTCCACCATCACCCTGACTCAGTTCTCAAGCCCTGGGTGGGGACTCCTGACCTGCTTCCAGGAGGCACATTCTGCCCTGGTCTTCTTTGTAGGGTATAACATGGTGCTGAGCAGGACAGACCTGGGAGCCTGACTGCTGGCTGCAAATACTGGTTCCATCCCTTATTAATGGTGTGGCCATAGGCAAGTTACTGTAACCACTCTGTGCATTAGCTTCCTAATACCTACCTCAAAGGGGTGTCATGAAGATGAATTGAGTTAATCTTTAAAAAGCACTTGGAACTGCATCTGGAACACAGTAAGCAGTATATACAAATAAACCAATTGCAACCAGACCCCTGGTCCCAAAATGACAATTTTATTTGAGATTCTCTTAAGAAACTTCTAAACCCCAAAGAACTGAAGTCCAGGGTTGTGCCAAAACATCCACCCAGGCTGATCCCACTGCCTCCTGGAGAGCCCCTATGCTGGTTCTCTTGTTTGCTTTCTAGATTCTTGATTTAAGCCTCACATTCCTGCTTCTCAGCTGTGCAGCCCTCTCCTGTGACTCTCAGTCAGCTTGCAGGACCCCTTCAGGACTTCCTCCTCCAGGCAGTCTCCCCAGCCCACAGTGATGACCCCTGCTTGAGACTGGGAGTTTCTTGCACTTATTATTTTGTACTTAATTGCAACCTGCCACGTGATATTTGTTATATCGCTTTTTTTTTTTTTTTTGACATGGAGTTTTGCTCTTGTTGCCCAGGCTGGAGTGCAATGATGTGATCTTGGTTCACTGCAACCTCCGCCTCCTGGGTTCAAGTGATTCTCCTGCCTCAGCCTCCCAAGTAGCTGGGACTACAGGCATGCGTCAGCCTGCTCAGCTAATTTTGTATTTTTAGTAGAGATGGGGTTTCACCATGTTGGTCAGGCTGGTCTCCAACTCCTGACCTCAGGTGATCCACCCACCTCGGCCTCCCAAAGTGCTGGGATTACAGGTGTGAGCCACAGTGCCTGGCCCATAATGCATTCTTATACATTTTTATTTAACTTGTAACAATACTTATGCTTTGTCTACACAACTTAATTATAAGCTTCATGCCAGTAGAGACTTTTCCTTTTGCCTCTTTGTTTTCTCCACCGTGTCTAGGATAATATTTTGCACATGAGATACGTTCCCTAAACATTTGCCAATTGAATCATAAACCACTTTAAAACAAAAATAGCTGACATGAGGCTAAATATAACAAAATTAAGTGTTACTTGGTTTCTTAGTTTCATTTTGCAAATTTTTGTTTCATTTTGAAAGTTTGGAAGTCTTTAATTAGAAATGCATTTATCCTACATGGTACTTTGAAACCAAAGATGTTAGAGTGACACCACTTTATTGTTTTCTTGAAGTGTTAAGTGATGTGTAAATAGAATATTGTTTGACTAATTTTTTTTTACATTTGTATATTTTAAGGTATGGGGAGGGTGGTTTTTGAAATACGGCTAAAAGTCAAGTGAGAAGAATATACATTATCACCTAATTTAATTTTAAGATTAGACTGAAGCACAAGAAACCTCAGCATCATTTAGTTCTCCTTCATGTTGTATGGAACCAGTAATCTAATACCTATCCTGAGAATCTGTCGGCTTCTCTCTTTCTTTTCTCGCCCTACTCTAGTAATTATTTTAACTTTCAATATCCCTTCACGAGTAGGTTTTTGTCATTTTGAGATACCCCCACATCTTTTCAATCAAAAGGCAGAGTGGGAGGAGAGGAGGAAAAAGAGGAGGAAAGAAGTACAGCTATTTTTTATGTCTAGCACAACTCTCTAATATTGCAGACAGGAACCAAGTACTTTACTGGTGCATGTCATTTATTCAGTCTTCTTAATCTTCTCTTTGTAGTGAAAAATCCTAGATTCTTGAGCTTTTCTCAGAACGTATTTATGACTTTAATCATCCGGGTTGCTCTCTTTGGAACCTTTTCCAGTTTCACAATAAAAACAATTTAACAGAGTTTCTGAGCCCTAGTGTTTTTTCTTTAGAAAAAGAGCACTTGCTTCACTGGAATTTATCCTCCTTCCCTTTCTTCCCCACTTCTTCACTTTCTTTTTAGTGTAAAGCTGAATTATACGAGAATTAAAGAAGTCATTTGCTTCTGTTCATTCTTGATCTGTGTGTGTGTGTGTGTGTGTGCGTGTGTACAGTCTTAGCTCAAAAGAACAAACTTTAGCCAATAAGTTAAGCCAATAGTGAGAAATATCTCAACTCCCCTCCTGGACTGGGGCTTGAGGCTCTTGGAGCCTTGCCTGATGGAGAAATTTGAATGAGCTTATGGTGAAAACATGGCTTACAGTATGTGGATCCTAAAGCCCTTTCACCCCATCTCCTCTAGTGAACCAATGTTGTTTTTGCCCACTCAACATCCTTTCTCCTTTCCTCTGGGAGAGGAAGGCGCAGGAGTCCCATTTCCCATGGGGAGTCCTTGTGGCTTGACTGGGGCAGACACTGCTCACATCTCACAGGAGTAGGCAGTGACTCCAGCCTGGCCAATCAGAGAGCTCCATTTCCCAATTCGCAGTGATTGGTTCAGGGCTAGACACATGACCAAAGCCAGATCAGTTGGAGTTTTCCTTGGGACACTTCTTTTTGTGCTGTTCTGCCAGTGGAGGGGACTAACTTTATGGATTAGCAATCTTGGGTTGCTGTGGCCACCTTGTTTCTCAGGTGGAGAGAGCCTGTTAGAAAGATGGGGAGAGAGAGAGAGAGAGAGAGCGCTCTGATGAAATCCTGTGAGTGATGCCTGAAGTCAGTCAGTATAGCCCTGGACATGTCTGAAATATGAGTCAAGAAACCACCTTTGGAAAAAAAAAAAAAAAAAAAAGCTGGTTTGAGACATGTTTTTGTCACTTATACACAGTTTCTGACTAATACACTTGTCATTTTATAATGAGGACATTGAGCCACAGAGTGGTGAAGCGTCTGCCATAGCCTCCTAATTAGAATTTTTGCTGCCATGTTGGCATTATCCCATTTCCTTCACTTTCAGCCCACCACTCCCCTTTTCCCTGTGATGCCAGAATGCTCTTTCTAAACCTCGTACGTGGTTGTCTAATTGAGCTCTTTTTTTTTTTTTTTCTTTTGAGGCAAAGTCGCTCAGTCACCCAGGCTAGAGTGCAATGACATGATCTCGGCTCACTGCAACTTCCGCCTCCCAGGTTCAAGTGATTCTCGTGCCTCGGCCTCCCCAGTAGCTGGGATTACAGGTGCCTACCACCACACCTGGGTAATTTTTATATTTTAAGTAGAGGCGGCGTTTCACCATGTTGGCCAGTCTGATCTCGAAGTCCTGACCTCGAGTGATCCATCCACCTCAGCCTCCCAAAGTGCTGGGATTACAGGCATGAGCCACCATGCCTGGCCTGATTGAGCTCTTTATGATAAAACTCTTTGATGACTCTCCAGTTGCGTATGCTGAATACAGCTGAAGCTTCCCAGCATGGCATACGTGATCTCACAGTCAGGTCTCTGTCCCACACGACTGCCTCTGCTTCTCCTTGGTATTTATGCTCCAGCTATTCTAAAATACTTAAGGTTCCCCAAACATGCCATGCCATTTTAAACTGCTTTCTTTTGCCACCTAGAATTCCCTCTGTCCGGAATGCTCTTCGTGTTCTATGCTAATTTTGAGCTTTTTATTTGTCCTTCAAAATTAATCCAGTTAAAACAAAAGTCAACCCAGTCATCATCCCTCTCCCTGAAGGAGCTTAGAAACTAACAGTAATTCAAGTGACTTCCTTGAGATGACTTGGCTGGTAGTCAGAACTGGAACCCAAGTCTCCTGACTTCCAGCCCATTGCTCTCCTACTGCCCTATGATAGATTTAACCTGGAAAAGATCCAGTGGACGCTTATTTCTCCTCTGTTTATGCAAGTACATCAGTTGCACTGGATCACCCTTATTCCCCACCCTGGCATCTCGATGGCAGCAGCAGACTTCGTTGTACAGAATTTTAAATGTGCCACCAATTATGTGCTGTCTTTCAGGTTGTGCTAATAGCATAAAATGTACGATGCTGAATGTGTTTCTCTAATCTATTCATGTATAATGGTAGCTCCCGGCTCTTAGCATCTGGCCTGCTAACTGCATAGTAAATAATAGTAAACATGCTGCAAGTCTTAATGAACTACTTGTCTAAAATTATTTCTGTAAAATCAGAATACTATTGTTGCTATCAATAAAAACAGCCATTGTGGACGGGTGCCTGGGCCCCACTCTGGCCCAATTAAATAAGAATTGCTGAGGGTGAAGCCAGGCCTTGTGATTGTGAAAGCTTCTGTGGTGATTCCAATGTACAGTCAGGGTTGAGAATCACTGGGCTCATCAGTTCCTCCTTGAGAGGAGGCCTAAGCAGGATTGACAAAAGTTTTAAGCTATGGAACCAAAATAAGGTCATAAGGGGAAGATGTGACATTTTAAAAGAGTTATAAAATATATTTACTTTTTGGCTGATTTGGGGCACACTGCCTAGGAGTTAGGCCATCTCTGGAAAGATATTTTTTAGAAAAGAAAAAATAATTATACATGTATATATGTATATATATGTGTGTATATATATGTATATATGTGTGTGTGTGTATATAGATATGTACTTTTTAATTGCTAAAGCTAGATGTTGTCTGTATACTAAACATCATTTTCTTTGTTTCTGTATTTTTTCCTCATTAAAATATCATTATAAAGTGCTGCCTTATTGCCAGGAAAACAGAGAGGAGTTCACCTAGTTAGCTTAACCTTTCCTGGAGACTTTGTTCTACTTGATCACACTTTGTGTTCCTAACTCTCCTCATTCCTGCAGTGGTGAGAATACAAAAAAATTCTACAAAATGCTCTGTTGGCTTCTTTCCCCTCTTCCCTTTGCCTCTCCAGGGTAGCACTGGTCTGTACATTGTATCTAAATGCACTAACTGAACCCGTTTTGTTTTTACATTTAACTCCTCGTAAGTGATAGATATCTTCTCTAGTTAAAGCAATCTGTACAATATTTAAAAGTTTACAGTTTTAACAAAATCATCCTTGCTTAGTTTTGCTTTGTGCCTGGTATACACAACATCAGGCTCAGGATATTCAGAGTTCATATATGCCTTGGCAAGTGGTAGCAGGGCTTTCCTGGCTTTGGGGATCAGGTATGGAAATCCAAACTCCTCAAAATGTGTTCTGTGCTTCTGAATGCTGTTTTATTGTTTTACTCTCTCTGCAAACATCCTACGAGTCTTTTACTTTTTTTTTTTTTTTTTTTTTTGAGACAGAGTCTTGCTCTGTTGCCCAGGCTGGAGTGCGGTGGTGCAATCTTTGGCTTACTGCAACCTCTGCCTCCTGGGCTCAAGCGATCCTCCTGCCTCAGGCCCCCAAGTAGCTGGGATTACAGGTGCATGCCACCACACCTGGCTAACTTTTTGTATTTTTAGTAGAGATGGGGTTTCACCATGTTGGCCAGGCTGGTCTCGAACTCCTGACCTCAAGTGATACACCTGCCTTGGCCTCCCAAAGTGCTGGGATGACAGGTGTGAGCCCCGTACCTGGTCATGATACAAGTCTTAATGAACTACTTGTATAAAATCATCTCCTTTCCTTTTGACTGGGAGTAGAAGTCCTATTTTATATGAGGAGCCCATTCCATATGGCTTGAGCAGGGCAGCCCCTGCCCTTATCTCATAGGAGGAGGATTTGACTTAGACCTGGACAATCAGAGAGCTCCATTTCTCCATTCATAATGATCTTTGTGATTCATAAGGAACTCTGGTCATAGTGATTCATAGTGAACTCTGGTTCAGAGTTTCCTGTGTCCACCTCTTCACTTTTCTTTTACGGTGGAGAAATTGATTCCTGCACTTCCCACCCATGGAACTCAGTGCCCAAGCCATGGCAATATGTCAAACGAGAAACACATCCATGAATCCCTCCACAATGAGTTATGAATGAAATAAAACAGACATAGCCCATGTTCTAGTGTCTGTAGAGAATGAAACAGAAGTTCATTTTAAAGTGATACTAAATTCACAGTAGCTTGTGCTATATGTTTTTCAATACCAGATAGTGAAAGTAAGCCTCTGTTATGGTAAGAGGTGGGGTAAAAAAAAAAAAAAGCATACATTTTTTGGCTTTGAAAAATGAGTCTTTCTCTGGAAATGGTGGGAACCATTGTTGTGCATAAAGACACTGGTGCAGTGGTGTTCCTTATACTCTCCCTTTACAGGCCACACAATGATGAGTTTAGAGCAGGGCTTCTGAATTTGAGGGACACAACATACTCCCCTCAAACACAAGGGCTCATTGCCACAGTGATCCTCAACTAGTGCTCTGCATGCTCCTAAGGAGAATAATTGGAATCTAAGGGTGGCCTGGGACATCGTGGTAGGCATAGATGACTGGAAAAGAGTCACCATGGTGATGTTTATATCTCTATCCCTGTTCAGAATGTCGGAGAATGTGATTTGAGACCTGAACCGTAATTGCTACTTAATGGCAAAACCAAGAGAGTAAAACAGCTCAGGTACTGTTTAGTTCCTGCTCCTTGTTTTGCCTAACCCACTGTTCCTTCCTTCATTTGTTCATCAAAATTTTGCTGAGTGCCTCTTATGGGCCAGATACTGTACTACTAGGCAATGGGGTTATAAAGGGAGCAAGACAGACAAGGTTAATATCAAAAAGAGATCTTGTATAATGGAGACGTTACTGCGAATGAAGAAGCCTGAGAAAGCGCTTTTGAACAGGAGAGTTCGTTAGCTGCAGGATATGGTAGTCAGGTGAACAATGTGTTTTCCAGGAACCACTACGACTTTCTCCAAATGGCTTTGTTTTACAGATTTTTCTCCCAACTCTGACACCTATTTTTATCCTTGAAAAGGGAATTTTACTTGCAATGTAAAAGAAAAAAATGGTCTTGGGGTTATTTCCATCTCAAATAGAATTTGCTTTCACAATACAAAATAGTTTTTAAAAATAACTTAAACATTCTGAAATTACGTTAAATTATAAAATTTCAAACTTATGGAAAAGAGCATAAAGTTTAAATTTAAAATGAAAGGAGATCTTATGACCCATCAATTCTATTCCTAGGTATTACATCAATTCTATTCCTAGGTATTATATGCAAGAGAAAGAAAACATTTGCCCACACACACAAAAAAATACTTTGTGCAAGACTGTTCATAGTAGCTCTGTTCATAATAGACCCAAAGTGGAAACAACTCAGATGTCCATGACCAGGAGAATAGATAAGCTGTGACAGATCCATAAAAGGAATACTACTTAGCAAAACAAACAACAACCACAAAATAACTACTCTAAATATAACAACATGGATCCATATCAAAATATGCTGAATGAAGTTCAGGCTTCAGTGAGCCATGATTGCGCCACTGTACTCCAGCCTGGGCAACACAAATGATACTTTGTCTCAATTAAAACAAAAACAAAAAACCCCTACATGCCACATAATTCCACTTATGGAATTTTGAAACTGGTAAAATTAACCTGTGGTGATAGAACTCTGATCAGTGGTTTCTTCTGAGGGAAGTGGGAATTGTCTGGGAATGGGAACAGGGGACTTTTCTGGAGTGGTGAAAATATTTTGCCTCTTCATATGCATTTGGCAAAATTAAATTGAATGGTATATGTAAGATCTGAACACTTCACTCTCAGGAAAGTATGCTTTAACTAAAAAATAACACAGAGATATTTTATAAATACAGTATGTTTCTGTCCCTTTCCCTATTAGCTTGAGAGTTCCTTGAGGCTAAGAAACATTGTCTTATTTGTTCTTTATTCTCTTTTAATTTCAACATCTACCACAGAGTAAAGATAAAATACATGTTTGTTGAATGAGGAAGAAATAATATTATCCTATACTGATGTAGTGCTTTCACATTTATAACCTTATTTAATCCCTGTAGTAACTCTGTAAGTTTACAGCTGAAGCCCAGAAAGGTGACCACCTGAGGTCACACAGCAGGGACTGGTATGGGTCTCCTGCTATCATAATCATCTAACTCCAAATCTCATGCTATTTCCATGACATCCCAATTGATGACATTTGAATAATTATCTGTATTTTTTTCTTCAATTTTGTCAACATATATTACATATCTATAACTTCAAATTTTTAAAGAATTTAACAGTTATTTGGAGTTAGAAACTTGGCATTGTCCTTTAATATGCATTCCACCATAACGTGTCATTTTCTTTAGACTTCAGACATGATTTGGCAGCTCCTGGCTATAAGTATCTCACCTGAGAGGTAACTGAGAATCAGAGATAAAGAGAAATCCTTTCTGTTGTCTTGAATCAGGTTGCCATTTAAGCTACTGAAGCAGCCCTGCTAATGTTCAATGGTGTTGGCTGACAAAGAAAGGCCACCAGTCTACTGTCTGTCTTGAACATTCTGGGTCAGAGAAATTCTCTTTTCACTGAATTCAATGGTGTTTAACCTCATGTCAATATCGTGAAAATCAGTAGGTAGTTGGCATTAATGCTACAGTACCCATTTAACGGGCAAGTGAAGGAAACTGACTCACATTTATTCCACACCTACTGTGGATTTATGTTTGTTCTCCCCTTTAACCCTTACAACAACAAAATGAAGTAGGCATTCTGGCCCCGCTTTAGAGGTGACAAAACTGAGGCTCAGGGGGTTTGAGTCTATTGGCTAAGGTCACATAGCTAGAAAGTGGCCAAAGCCAGGATTCAAACACTGTCTCCCTCACTCCCCAAATGTGTGCCATCCACCCCTCATATGCTACCTCTTCAGGATACTACACGGTGCTAAACGCCAGTTTCAGAAGGTTGGTTGGGAGAATAACGGCCTTGAAAGATGTCTATGTCCTAATCCCTGGAATCTGTGTTACCTTACGTGGCAAAAAAGACTTTATAGATGTGATTAAATTGAGGATCTTGAGTTGGGGAAGTTACTCTGCATTATCTGGGTAGGCTCTAGGTAATCACAAGGGGCCTTATAAGTGAAAGAGGGAAGCGGGAGAGTCAGGGGTCAAGGTCAGGGAGAAGTTTGAAGATGCTATACTGCTGGCTTTGAAGGTGGAGAAGGGGCAGCCTCTACAAAGTGCAAAAGTCAAAGAAACAGGTTCTCCACTAAATCCTCCAGAAGGAATGCAGCCCTGCTGACACCTTGAATTTAGTACAGTAAGACCTGTTTCAGATGTCCAATTCAGAACTGTAAGGTAATAAATTTGTGTTGTTTTAAGCTATGAAATTTGTGTTAACTTACAGCAGCAATAGGAAACAAGTACAGAGGAATAGCAGTTAACTAATACAGAAAGCATCTTCTTTTGGAATTTCAAAGAAGCAAATTTAATTCTCTCTTTTCATAACTTGTGTCTTGATTAGGAATCCTTATGGTCAATACCAAATTAAAATGTGCTTGTATTATGAGTCTTAGTACTGTAAGAGAAATCCAACATTGTCAAGGCTTTTGTAGAGTAATGGTAATAATTAAACATAACAATAACAATGCATTAAAATTCATAGAGACCCAAATAATGTGGAAATTTGCTACTTTCTCCACTATTGTGGACATTATCTGACATGCCATCTTAATTTATAATATTTATTACATTTATTCATCATTCATTTAATAATAATCAGGTATAATTATGCAGCTATAAGGTAAATGTGTAGGGGTATACATTAGTATATAGGTAAATAGACATATCATAAATTCTACAGGGCCTTAGGTTCTGACAGACAGATTTTCCATTTTCAGTATTAGTTCACTTGCCATCTTTGAATTAGGTGAATACATAAATGTTTAAAAGTTTACCAGGTATCTGATTACAAGAGATTATAAATAATTCAATACAGAAAATTACCCCTTTAGAGTTGATAGAAGTGGCAAGTAATATAAATTTTATAATATAAATGATAAATTTTAATCTTATACTATAAGTTGCTTTGATGATTAATCTTTTTTTCAAAAAAAGAATTAGAACTCCTACCAGAGAAAAACACTCTGACAGCTATTAGATCTTATAAAAGGTTGATTTATTTCTTTTTTATCAGTTTAATTTTGAAACTTAGGAAAAAAATCTTGATGCTAAAAGATATGGAAAATCATTCCATGCAGTATAAGATGACCCAGTCAGAACTCAGTCTCAATCAAATTGCAAAGCTGCTCATTTATCATTAGAATTGCTTAGCCAGGGACCTAAAAGTAGGTCCTGCAGGGTGTGTGAGGGGCAGTTTAGGGCCTAGATTAAATGCAAAATTAAATTTATATCTGATTTGGCCTAAGAGTGCTATTTTAAGAGTCTGGTAATCTAGATGAGCTCTTTGAGCCTCTTTTTCTTAAGGACATGTTCTCTGAATTCTCTTCCATTGCTAAAATGTTATCTGTTCCCAAATCATCCTGGGACTTTTCCCCCTCATAGTAGTCTTAATATAATTATCAACTAACAATGTACTCAATCTATTTAATGTTTGCTGATGGAGCGTATTGGCATATTTTAAAACTTTTGCTACATTTGGTTGAGGAATATGAGTAAACAAAACACAGAGGACTTGTCTAAGTGCCATTGCGTGAATTGCAAAAAGCTGTACAACTTGGTGAGCAAATGTGCCTTTGTGATCATTAGAAAAAATTGCCCTTTTCTCTGGGCGGATGAAGCCCCACACTAGAGCACATGTGTTGGTGAACAGAGCATGGGCTAGATTACAGCTTCTGCATCTGTCCTTGGCTAGGTAAATTTGGGCAGGCATAACCTCTCTGACTGTACTCAGCAACTCAGTCACCACTTTGTCATCTACTTGTGGAAATAGCACATCTACTCTACATTCAGTTCTTAAAATTGCTTCTAATGGTGCATTGTTGATTCCTCTAATGAAATCAGAGGAACTAGGATATTTTCATTCTTAACAACCCTTGTGAGGAAATCACCATATGGCTGTTTGCAAACTGTTTTGTTTTGTCAAGTTTGTTTTTAAATATCCAAAGTGCTTATGAATTTCACAAGTCTTGCATATAAAAGGGAGGTTGCTAAATCTTATCTATTCATCTAGCAAACATGTTTTGAAAACTATTGTCAAGAACTAGGAGATCAGCAGTGGATGGTAAATAGACAGCCACCATCCCTGCCTGCATGGAGAAATAGTCCAGGGTCGGGGGGGATTAGTAAAACAGGGATCCTGATAAAGAAGTCTTATTCCTGCTAATATCAGGGCTTACTGAGCAGGAGTTGTTGGGGCAGTGGTGCAGATGGTTGCCAAGGGAACCTTTCCCAGTTGAAAAGTAACAGGTGTGGGCCTGGGTGTGCAGACGTGCATATCGTCATGTTGCATATCGTCATGTTTAGCCTTTCTATCCTGTCTCAGAAAGAAAAGGAAGCTGGAGGCTTCCCCTTGAAGGGACTGGATAGGCAGTTAGAGAGTGCCAGAGGTACTTAGGAAAATTAAGAAGGCTAATTAATTGGTTTCCTGAGCCAGCATAGCATAGCGTCTCTGAAGCTGCAATGCAGATTGATGGGAGAGTTTCCTTGGGGACTGCATGTGCCTGGAACCTGGATGTTTGACATCTAAGTAAGAAAGAGAAAGGTCTTGGTTGTCTTTTACCTAGGAGAACCAGTGATTGAAAACCATTCGTTCATTATAAGAAATATTCTTAATATAGTCAATAGTTTTTATATATTTTGATCATTCTCTAGTCTAGGTTACATCTTTCCCCAAAAGTTATTCATAAGCCTTAAAAATATTTAAATCCTTTTGTCTAGCAAGTCTATACCCAGGACTTTAACTTAAAACCATTACGTATGTATATATGAATGCTAAGATGTTGATTGCAGTAGCTCATAAATAAGGAAAAATTGGAAACAACAAAATGCTTATGGGGCATCAGTTAACTAATTTGGTGTGCCCGTGTAAGGGAAAGAGGAATGGTCAGTAATACCTCTTGCAGACTAGCAGTTCTCATATGTCTGTACAAGCCCCAGCCCACCAAGAAATCTTAATGTGAGGGTGGGTGGAGGAGGATTGTAGCTTCGGAAGCAAGGTATAATTTTTAAAATGCCTCCTTGGTGATTCTGATATCCTGAGAGTGGAGATATCTCCTTTTAAGAATCAAGATTATAGTTAAATGATGTTAAAACCTACTAAAAAATGATGTAATATTTTTAAAAATACCAAATATCAAACAATAGGTAGTCAACACTGGTTAAAAAAAAATGCACACCCACCCATAGACACTCTTGCACCTACCCACATGCATTTTTTTTTTAAGTCTGAAGGAAAGACAACAAAATGTTGAAAGTGATTAGTTTTTGGGTAGGATTAGGGGTGATTTTATTTGATTTGTATCCTGTATTTTCCAACATCTCACCTACAAACATGTACTACTTTATAATCACAGAAAAAGACACAACACATTCTTGAATTTAAAAAGAATGTAAAAATTAAAATAGTAGCCAATATTTTCTGAAGAGTGTTAATTTTGACAGAAAAAAAAATTCCTGAATTGTTTATTATACTTGTATGGTCTCTAAGTTATCCATAGTTTGCCAAGCCTGTTGGCTTACGGTAGAACCAAACCCAGACATTACTTCCCCCTCATGGCAGCTACCCAAATTTCAGGACTAGTGTCTAAGAATGTGAAAACAAACATCTGAGTTCTCTTCCAAATCAACTTTACACTCTGACTGAATTTTTTTTTTTTTTTTTTTGAGACAGGGTCTCCCTGTCATCCAGGCTGGAGTGCAGTGGTGAGATCATAGCTCACTACAGCCTTCTGGGTTCAAGAGATTCTCCCGCTTTAGCCTCCTGAGTATCTGGGACTACAAGCATATGCCACCACATGAGCTAATTTTTAAATTTGTAGAGATTGGCAGGGTAGTTCTCCCTATGTTGCTTAGGCTGGTCTTGAACTCCTGACATTAAGCAATCCTCCTCTCTTGGCCTCCCAAGGTACTGGGATTACAGGCATAAGCCACCATGCCTGGCTTTTGGATTGAATTTCTGGAGAGTCAAATAGTTGTCTAAACATAGCCAGGGCCTTCTGGAACAGTCTCTGGTGACACATGCGTAAATGCTATGGGCAGGTGTGTATGTTACCACCTATGTGGAGAGCTGGTTTCTCCTATATTTTTCTCAGCACTTGGACAAGAATTTTCTAGAGGACTGGACTTTTCCATTTGTGGGTAGAAGTAAACGCTGGAGGGTAACGAGCTATAGTAGAAGATGACCAGAACAGGAGTCTGATAATGGGGTTCTAGACCTGGCAAAATGAAGGCAGGAGCGCCAGACCTTCTTGCATTCCAGGATTTCTTTAAGAATTGGATGAGATAACACTTGCAAAAGTGTCATGAAAGCTATAAAATGTTAACCCTGCAAAGAGTGTTATTACTTTTTAATAATAAGCCAGCCTGGATTTTTCATAATCTGAGAGTTAAGAACCCTACTGATTGGACAATACTACTGTGGCCAATTCTTGTGAAGAGGAGCAGCCTCTTTTGCTTTGTGGAGTCATTTTTTTTCTCAGTCATAATCATAGATGGCAGGACCAGGATTTGTGTCCACCTATCACTGGCCTTACCCTGCATGATCCTCCTTGCTCCCTAACCTCTGGCCATGCCTCAGATCTCTTGGTTCCAGGAATATTTGCTTGCCGCGGTGCTATCTCCACTTTGGGCCTTCACACGGTGCTTCCCTCTGCCGAAAACATTCCCCCGTCCCCTGTCCCTTCAGCTCACTTCCTCAGCTGGCTTTCTGAAGCAGTGTTTCTCAAAGGGTGGTCCAGCATCACCTGGGAACTTGTTAGAGATGCATATTCTGTGGCTCTTCTCCACCACCAGGGTCAGAAACTCTGGATGTGGAGTCCAGCAGTCTGTTTTACCAAGCCCTCCAGAAGATTCTGATGAATACAAAAGTTCGAGAACCACCCCCCTAGAGCAATGATTCACAAACTTTTTTGCCTCTTTGGGAAGCTTAAAAACTGCTGGTGCTCAGAGCCATACTCCAGAATTTCCAGGGAGAGGTGGGACCAGGAATCCATATTTGTAAATCTCTTCAGGTGATTCCAATGTGCAACCAAGTTGGAGAATCACCTCAGAGGCCTGATTTCCTTTGTCATGGGCTCCTATAGCACCTTGCACTTCCCTTCTGTAACACTCATGCTCTGAGCCCCATAGGGATAAGGAGGCTACTTTATGTCACCAGGACCTGCCACACCATAGGCACCATGGAATGTTTTTGTTTGTTTTTTGTAGAAACAGTATCTCACTCTGTTGTCCAGGCTGGAGTGCAGTGGCAAGATCATAGCTCACTGCATGCTCGAACTCCTGGACTCAAGCCATCCTTCCACTTCAGCCTCCCAAGTCGCTGGGACTACAGTTGCACACCATCATGCCTGGATAATTTTTTTAATCTTTTAGTTTTGTAGAGATGGGTTCTCACTATATTGCCCAGGCTGGTCTTGAACTCCTGGGCTCAAGCAATCCTCCCACCTTGGCCTCCCAAAGCCACTGGATGTTGACAGAATGAATCACACTGTGCTTTGATTACAGGGTATGTTGGAAGGATTGATTTGAAAATACTAATACCAAAAAGATTTCCACATGACATTTTCCAAAATATGATTAGGAAAGTAGTATGGAAGATCATAGTAGTTTCACCGTATTCAGGATGAAGGAAGATTGAGCTTTATGGAGAGAGAAGTATGGAAGTGCAGGAACAATCCCCAGGGATCTCTGTGTGTACCGTGTGTGTGTGTGTGTGTGTGTGTGTGTGTGTGATAAAGCAGATCACACACAGGTGATCTCTGTGTGTGCCCAGTGTGTGTGTGTGATAAAGCAGGCGAACTCCAGATCCACAAATTTTTAAAATCTGAAACTGGACACATTGTTTGCCCTGTTTTTCAGGGCAGACTTAATACCCAGAGATTCTCCTTTTACCATTAGGATTTATTTGTTTTTTAAGTATTAGCTGATGACTTTGGTTAAGTTCTTATTTGACTTAGAATGTCATTTGGAATTGAGGGATAAAACCCATGAAATGAAAATGTGGATATTAAAATGGAGCAGAAAATGGATTATTTGGTGCTGCTAAAAATTCATCTGTTTAGAGTAAAACTTTTTTTTTTTTTTTTTTTTTGAGACGGAGTCCTGCTCTGTCACCCAGGTTGGAGTGCAGTGGGCACCATCTCAGCTCACTGCAACCTCTACCTTCTGTGTTCAAGCGATTCTCCTGCCTCTGCCTCCTGAGTAGCTGGGCTTACAGGCGCCCGCCACCACGCCCAGCTAATTTTTGTATTTTTAGTAGAGATGGGGTTTCACCATATTGGTCAGGCTGGTCTCCAACTCCTGACCTTAGGCGATTCACTCACCTGGGCCTCCCAAAGTGCTGGGATTACAGGCATGAGCCACCGCGTCTGGCCTGTTTAGAGTATAACTTAGTAGGATGTTCTTTGGAAAAATTATCCAGAAGACACTCAAAAGTTAGGTATTTTCTTTTTTTCCTTCTTTGCAATTTGTCAGCCATCAAGTGTAGTGTCTGGCACTCCATAAATGGATGAAGAAAACTAAGAGGTTTACTTGTGGTAATTCATTTTACAGTGTTATTAAATGCTTTGCTAGTTTGAAATGTTTCTGCTATAATAAATAATTTAAGACTTAAAGTCCTTTCTTTTCAATGTAGTTCCTTCTTAAGGTGTTTTTACTTGAAGGGTGTGCGTGTTTGCCCGTGCACACATGTGGGCATGTATGCTTATGAATGAAAATGATCATGAAATTATTGCTCTTTTAGTTCTTTGGAAAAATAAATCTTATGCATATATTTCTTAGGTATTTTAATTGCCTTTGTTATGTAAAGAAATCCCATTCATTCATCCATCCAGTAGGTCATTTCTTTCAACATTATATAGCCACATGCCAGGCCCTATGTTAGGCATGGGAGATATAATGGTGGACCTGATAGGCATGGTTCCTGTCCTCCTGTTGCTGTGTAGTGGTTTTAGCACTTGCGAAAGTCATCTATGAGATTCTTTTGCTTCCGGGTTCTTACATTTTTATTGTTGAGGTGGGGTCTCACTTTGTCCCCCAGGTGAGAGTGCAGTGGTGTGATCATAGCTCACTGCAGACTTGAACTCCAGGGCCCAAATGATCCTCCCACCTCAGCCTCCCAAGTAGCTGGGACTACAGGCATGTGCCAACATGCCCTGCTAATTTATTTATTTTTTGTAGAGACAGAGTTTTGCTATGGTGCCCAGGCTGGTCACTTCTGCGTTCCTGAGTCATTCCTGACTTGATGTGTGTGCGTATATTTTATTCTTGACATTAATTAGCATTTTTCTGCTACTCTTGGATGAACTTTCTAAACACGCTACCTTCCAACCTTATCAGTACATTCAAACCAAGTGGACATCCCAGAATAAGGTGGTGATTCTATAGCAACACAAATTAAATGTCCATTCCCCAAAATGTCTCATTGGAGAGAACAAATAATACACCACATAATTAATAGATTTAAAATCTTCATGGTACTTTAGCTTCATTAAAGATAGCAGCTCAAGCAAATTTAAAATTAATAGATTCTATCTAGTTCGCCTATTGTTATTTTTGAAGTCTGTTACAGAAGAGAAATTATGCAAATGGCTGTCAGGCTATTGCTGCTGCACTCACACTAGGAATGCATTATAATTTCTTTCTTAGAGGAAACACTTATTTGGAGCAGACCAGGCCCTCGGTTCGTTCGCAAGAGGTTGTCCCTTCCTTCAGATGGTCCATTTTGAGCTAATAAGTACTATCAGGGTTGAGGTGGAGAGGCGGGGCTGTGGGGAAGGAAATTAGGATAAATTACTGGGGCCCAGTGGCTGAAAGGGCCTCGGGCAAATCCCTGGTGAAGACAGTCTAGCCAGTCCTCCTCTGCTGGGGCATCTGGTATTTTTTTTCCCTTGGGCCTGGGCAGGCTGTCGGTCACCTTCCAGACTGTATAGCCTTTAACTCCTTGTTGCAATGGAATCCTGCTGGCCTTCTGATTTGCCTTTTCCTGCAAAAATCTGCCAAGACACTCTTTCTCAAAGAAAATTTCCTATGTTACTCTACTGTTTAAAAGCCTGGTGTGGCACCCTCTCACCTTTGAGGAAAAATTCCAGCCCCCCAGGCTGCCTGAAAGCTCTGCCTTCAACTGACTCTTGTATACAAATTCAACTTCATCTCTTGATTATTTTTATAATTCTTCTACTGGAACCAGGCTGATCTTTTTAACAACCTGTTAATTTTAATAACCTGTTCATTTATTTATTAATTTATTCTGCAAGCAGATGGGATGATAAGTTCAGTCCAACTGTAGGAATCCATGATTCTACTAGCTATAATATGAGCAATTATTATGTGCAAATACTGTAGGAAATATAGGAAGATAGAACACATTATCCCCATTCTTAAGATTCTTATGACAGTAAATGGAAACACAAAGGCCATTATTGACTAGCGGGAGTAAGATCGCTGTCCTTTAAATCACCTTCTTCATATTTGCATTCTCTGTGTGCTGTTTCTTGGCTCTGGGTTTCTCTCCTGCCTCATCTACACTAATCCTTTTCACTTCTTCATTCAAAACTGTACCTAGATTTATCTGCTCCAGGAAGCATTCCCACTCAAGTCTTGGTCCTGGGTTGAACTGACTCCTCCTCAGAATTGATGGATATAGCTTATCCAGTGTTATTGCACAGTCTTCAACTATTTCACATGGGCCTATGTGTCATGTTAGCTGGCCAGAAAAGAAGCTTTCTGGGGACCCTACCCTCCTGTTTCTCACTTCCCCTCTCTCCCTTTTTTTTTTTTTTTTTTTTTTTTGAGATGGAGTCTTACTTTGTTGCCCAGCCTGGAGTGCAGTGGCAGAATCTCTACTCACTGCAACCTCCGTTTCCCAGGTTCAAACAATTCTCCTGCCTCAGCATCCCTGGTAGCTGGGATTACAGGCGCACACCACCATACCCTGCTAATTTTTGTATTTTTAGTAGAGATGGGGTTTCCCCATGTTGGCCAGGCTGGTCTCGAACTCCTGACCTCAGGTGATCCACGAGCCTTGGCCTCCCAAAGTACTGGGATTACAGGCGTGATCCACCATGCCCAGCACCACCCCCCCACCCCCTGCCTCCTCTTAACCTACTGTTCTGTATATAGCCCAGGGCATGCTACTGAATGAATAGTCACTGTTGAATAGTCACTGTTTCATTGCTTGGTAATTCAGATCAGAAACTCATGGTGTTTCCCCTGGGTTTATCTGCAGTTCAGAAAAGTGACCCTGACTACATGCTTTGATTATGCCCTTTGCTCACAAAAAGATGATTAGTTTTGATTGTGCAGCATTTGGAATGAAGGAATTTAATCTGGAATGAAGGAACTTTAAAAGGTTGGGGGAATATCACATTGGAACTGTTAAATGACATGCAAACAGGATCTGTGAGAATGGTTTTGATTCTGCTCTGTGTCCTGGTAGGAGACACTAAATAGATCAGGCTCACTACCAATTAGCATCATCTTAATCTTGCCTAATAGTGAAGCAAAGTCACCAAGGATTTGGTGGATTTATCAGCTCCTCCCACAATAGTCATCTGAGGCTAACACCTCTTGGAACCTAGATCGAAAGTCCTTTGGTAATGATGTGTCATACATTCTAGTCATCAAAGACACCATTTTCTGGGCCTGAAGTGTTCTGCTGGTTTTTGGAGGAATGAGAATCCAATCTCTCATAAGCCGGATTCAGAAAATAGGTCATCGATGTGAGTTGCAGTTATTTTCCTTCCAGCTTTCTTCTGTGCTTGCTTTAGATTGTTTTTCTGCAAAGGGCAGATGCAGCTGCCCTGGCTGGTGGGCAGTGGAGGGGGATGACAGCCACTCTGGCTTTGGGCCTCTGTCTGACATCACCCAGATTCCTGGGTCCTCTCAGTTAGCATTTGCCTTTTGTCTGGGTGGTTAAATTTCTCTTGAAGGAGTAGGATAAACACCCTCTTGAGTATTGCTTTTTACACAGACACACACCACACACACACACACACACACACACACATACACACAGCATAGTTCATAGTCACTTGATTTGCCACCTGCAGTTTATAATAGAATGGACCTGTGGGATTATAAACCACTTTATTTCTGCACAGAATTTCTCAGCTTGAGGCCAAATTGAAGGGCATTAGTCATCAGTAATTTGCAGATGTTTTTAATGTTTTTCACCCAAGAGAGGTTTCAGGCAGCTAAAGCTAAGATAAATTTCCTCATGCTTTGGTGGGGAAATGAAAAATCTGATCATTTAGTTAATCATTTGTAAGAGCTGTGGGTATGTATTGTTCCTTAGTGACTGCAATATCATGACAGATTTGTTAATTTGGTAACATGACAATGTAAACAATAGTAGATAAATTCCATTATGCCATGATTCTTTTCTTCCTCTCAGTAATTTTGTATATTCAAGGTTTAAAATCCATAGAACATTAGAGATGGAACTTAGAGATCAACCTAGAGATCATTGGATTCCTCTACCAAGCTCTGTCAAATGCCAGTCCTGAGTGTCTCCCCTGGAGCATCAGGATAAATAGCTAATGCATGGGGGGCTTAATAGGTGCAGCCAACCCACCATAGCACATGTTTATCTGTGTAACAAACCTGCACGTCCTGCACATGTAACCTGGAACTTAAAATAAAATAAAATTTAAAGAAAGGAAAAGAGTACATAATCAGTGGAACCATAAAGGTCAGTTCTAGTGGGAAAATTAGGAAAGGCCTCCTAGAAGAGAAGACATTTGAGCTATACTTGAACAGGCCCTATCTAGCAGCATCCAGATAGGTGGTTTGTGAAGAAGCCAGTTCCTACTCTTACGTCTTTACCATGGTTATGGTTTGAATGTCCCCTCCAAAGATCATGTTGAAATTTAATTGCCATTGTGAGAAGAAATGGGACCTTTAAGAGGTGACTAGGTCATGAGGGCTCTGCCCTTATGAATGGATTAATGCTGTTATTGTGGGAGACGGCTCCTAGTAAAAGGATAGGTTCAGTCTCCTTTTTCTCTCTCTTGAGCTCTCACTCTCTTGCCCTGTCTCACTATGTGAGACCTTCCACCATGTTATGATGCAGCAAGAAGGCCCTCACCAGATGTGGCCCCTTGATCTTGGACTTCCCAGCCTCCAGAACCATGAGCCAAATAAACTTCTATTGTTTATAAATGATGCAGTCTGTGGTATTCTGTTACAGCAGCAGAAAATGGACTAACACAACTATTATGCACTTGCTTATGTATTGGTTTGGAATTATTCTCTAATTTACTCACGCTTGTATGGTATGTGTTTCCTTATTCTGTGTATCTCTGGGTGTTATATTTAATATTTGTACAGATTTCCTCTGACATTTCACAGTTCAGGTTTCCGATTTCTTCTTTCTAAAATCTATTCTCTAGATTTGAAAGCATTCTATGATTTGTGATTCATATATACCATACTATAACATCTAGAAAAAATATTCTGAATAGCATACTGAGCAATGGAAATCTTCATCATGAATTTTCTAATGAGTATAAAATGTTGCTGGGCAAGTTTCTATTTAAATCATGCTCGCTAGGCTTGACTAACTGCAGACATTCACAGGGTGCATGCTGCAGAGTGCTTTACTTTCAACAAGGTAAGGCTGTACCTCCGTTAGGGACTAATTCAGGGTATTCAACAAGGGATCAGACTAGACCAATTTGGGGTTGTTAAGGAACTAAAACTAGCTCACGAGAAACTCAAATCAGCTCATGAAAAGAGGGGCTGCTTGGAAGAATGCAGTAGGAAATTTCATGGGTTACAAGGACAGACAGCAAAGCTTAGCAGGCCTCAGAGGGCCAAGATGTAGAATTCACAGTGAACCCACTCACTAATCCTCTTTGTCTCACTCTCTCAAGCATGGTCCTTTCAGTTTCTTATTTCTCTGTTTTCTTTTTCTTCTCAGGATGAGCCTCTGTTTCATATGGTTTCTGCTATCCTCTGACTTCAGCACACATTTGGGTCATAATAGTCTCCTCTGTAGAGATCTCTTATATGTTTTTTTAAAAAATATTTATTTTAAAAAGTAGAATAACATATGCACTAGCAAAAAACATGACTAAAAATGTGTAATAATTTTAAAAAGCATATAAATTTCTCTCTTTTCCAAACTCTCTGATTTTTACCACCTCTCCCTAAAGTTTAAGAGTTTCCTGTGTAGCCTTCTGGAAAAATGTATATAAGGATATACACATACATAGAGACATACACACAAATATACACATAAAATGACTAGAAATGCAAATATTCTTTGTATTTACACAAAAATTGTCCTCTCTATACACTATTCAACACTTTTAAAACAAATCTTAATTGTATATTTGGCATTCTTTCCATATTAATTGGCAGAAAATTTACCTTTTTTCTTTTTGGTGGTTACCTGTGGCTACATTGTATTTAATTTTATGTAACTATTATGATTTATTAGATAATCTCTCCATGATGATGGGCCTCTAGGTTGTATCTGGTTTTCTACTGAAAATAATACTATAGTGAACAATCTTGTATGTCTATCTACTTCAAGTTTAATAGAGTTTTAGCTCTTACATCTGTTTAATGATTAAAGTTAATTTTTATATGTGGTGTAAGGATAAAGATTCTTTTTTTCTTTTTGCATATTGCTCTACAATTGTTTTAGCACTGTTGAAAAGTTTTCCTTTCTAGTATGTAGAAATATAATTGAATTTAAAATATTGACCTTGTTTGTATCCTGTAATTCTGATAAACTCACTAATTAGTTCTAGTAATGTTTTTATAAATTCCATCAGTTTTTTAAATAGATAATCATGTAATCTTCAAATTAAGCCCATTTTACTTCTTCCCTTCTAATCTGGATTTTTAAATTTTCTTTTTCTTGACTTATTATTCTGGCTTCACCACAGTATTCAATATAAATGATGAGAGCAGACATCCTTGGCTTCTGATCTTAAGGTGAAAGCATTCGGTTTTTCACCATTAAGTGTGGTGTTAACTTCAGGTTTTTCCTAGATTCCTGTATCAGATGAAGAAGTTCCTTTCACTTTCTAGTCTGTTGAGAGATTTTTGTTGTTGTTTTTAAATTTTGAATAAATGTTGAATTTTTTGTGAATGCTTTTTCTGCATCGATCGAGATGATGGTTTTTCTTTTATGTTCTGTTAATATAAATCTAAGTGTGCTTTTTTTGATTATATATGTAAAGTAAATGCCTACCAGTAGAATTACAGAGACAAAGGGAATGGGCATTTGGTAGATTTTGACTAATAATTCCTCACAAAGATTGTTTACGCTTTCGCTCATGTTGTCTCAGAGTGCTTATTTCTCTTAACACTATTATCAAACTTCTAAAAATCTTGACAGTGTGATAGGAGACAAATGGTATCTCATTAGTTTGATTTGCCGTTTAAAATTTACTAGTGAGATTTAGCATCTTTTATACATTTAAATTTTTTGAGTCTTTTTCTTTTTTATTGTATATACTCTTGATAGAAAATTAGCTCCTGATACAAACCTTCTTTTCTATTTATTTTTTGGAAAAATGTTAGTACTTACAACAATTCTTTTGGTTGTAGAGACCTTTTTACTTGTATGCAATTATGTTTATCAATTTTTTTCTTAGGGCTTGTGAGTTTTCTATTCTACTTGAAAATATTTCTTGCCTACACCAAGACTATAATGTATTTAGCTATATTTTTTTAAAAAATTTTGAGCCACCATACTCTATTTTGGAGAAAGGAATGAGGTAGCAATCTGGCTTAACTTTTTTTCTGAACAGCCAGCAAGTTAAGCCAGCATAATTTATTGAACAGTATTATTTAGTCCATCTTTTGCCTATTGATTTGTAATGTGATTTTTATCATAAACCCTATTTCTTTGTGTATTTGAGTCTACTTTTGGTTTCTAGTCTAACGATCTGACTACTTATTTCTACCCCTGTGGCATAATGTTTTAATTACTCTAGCAGTATAACATGTTTTAGTGTCTGGTCAAATTATGTTCACTAATTATTCTTTTTTAAAATTTTCATGTTATGTGTTTTTCTTTTTCTGTTTCTTTTTTTTTTTTTTTGAGACTGAGTTTCACTCCATTGCCCAAGGTGGAGTGCAGTGGCGTGATCTCAGCTGTCTGCAACCTACGCCTCCCAGGTTTATGTTATTCTCCTGCCTCAGCCTCCTGAGTAGCTGGGATTACAGGCACCTGCACCACACCCGGCTAAGTTTTCTGTTTTTAGTAGAGACGAGGTTTCACCATGTTGGCCTGGCTGGTCAAACTCCTGACCTCAAGTGATCTGTCTGCCTTGGCCTCCCAAAGTGCTGGGATTACAGGTGTGAGCCACTGTGACCAGCCCTCATGTGTTTAATTTTCTAATGAAGTTTAATATCATTTTGTCAAATTCTTAAAAAAAAACAAAGCGGCTGGGCGCTGTGGCTCATGCCTGTAATCTAGGACTTTGGGAGGCCAAGGCGGGTGGATTGCCTGAGCTCAGGAGTTCAAGACCAGCCTGGGCAACACTGTGAAACCCCGTCTCTACTAAAATACAAAAAAATTAGCTGGGCGTGGTGGCATGCACCTGTAATCCCAGTTACTTGGGAGGCTCAGGCAAGAAAATTGCTTGAACCTGGGAGGCAGAGGTTGCAGTGAGCTGAGATCACACCATTGCACTCCAGCCTGGGCCACAGAGCAAGACTCTGTCTCAAAAAAAAACAATTATTTACTTTCAGACTAAATTTAGGAAGAATTGACATCTTCACAGTAAGGTTTTCTATCCAAGCATAAGGTATATGGTTTTGCATTTTTTTGGTCTCTTTTCATTTAATCCATTGATTTTAAGATTTTACTTTTATACATTCTGCTCTGTTCTCGTTAGGTTTAGCTTTGGGCATTTTACTCTCTTTAATTCCTATTAAAATGCTATTTTCTTTCTGGCTGATTACTTTTAACATATAGAAAAATATATTTTGAAATTGCTTGATTTCTAGATGCTAATTTTATACTCAGCTCCTCAATGAATCAACTTAATTTTTTTCATTGTTAAACTTTGATTTTCCAGGAATAAATCATTCCACTATTTATTTTATATTCACCATCTTCCCAGTGTTTATTTCTATGTTTTTTTGTCTAATCACAGTGGCTAATACTTCAAAAACAATGCAAAATTTTATAGTGTTTGTGAGAGATACTTGTCTTTTTTCTTGATTTTTATTAGCAATGGTTGTAGAAATCCATTATTAACTAAGATGTTGACTTTTGGTTTGAGAGATATGTTTCTGTGCTGTTTAAATGCTAGAAAGGAATTAACCCATTTGAATTTTTTAATGTTCTAAAAATTAGATATTAAAACTTACCAGATTCATTTTGGATTTCCATTTTTAATGGTGTTTCATACTTTGATATATTAATGGGAAAATCATAGTAATATATTCCCTAATGTTGCATTATCTTTGCTAAATTCTAATAGCTGATTTTTTTTCTGTGGTTTTATGTTTGTTTATTTTTAATTTTTAGTTTTTGTGGGTACATAATAGATGTATATATTTCTGGGGTACATGAGATTTTGATACAGGCATATAATGCATAAGAATCACATCAGGTTAAATGGGGTATCCATCACCTCAAGTATTTATCATTTCTTTGTATTACAATCTAATTATACTTTTAGTTATTTTTAAATTTACAATAAATTAGTGTTGATTGTAGTCATCCCTTTGTGCTATCAAATACTAGATCATATTCATTCTATTTTTTTGTACCCATTAACCATCCCTACTCCCCATCACCACTACCCTTCCCAGCCTCTGGTAACTATCCTTCTACTCTGTCTCCATGAGTTCAATTGTTTTAATATTTAGCTTTCACAAGTAAGTGAGAACATGCAAAGTTTGTCTTTTTGTGCCTGGCTTATTTCACCTAACATAATTACCTCCAGTTTCATCCATGTTGTTGCAAATGACAGGATCTCATTCTTTTTATGGCTGAATAATATTCCATTGTATATATAAACCTGATTTTATTTTTCCATTTATCTGCTGATGAACACTTAGGTTGCTTGCAAATCTTGGCTATTGTGAATAGTGCTACAATAAACATGGGAGTGCAGATAGTTCTTCAATATACTGATAACATTTCCTTTGGGGTGTACCTAGCAGTGGGATTGCTGAATCATATGGTAGTTTTATTTTTAGTTTTTTGAAGAACCTCCATACTGTTCTCCATAGTGATTGTGTTAATTTATATTCCCACCAACAGTGTACAAGAGTCTACTTTTCTCCACATTCTCACCAGCCATTTGTTATTGCTTAGTTTTTTTGGTTAAAAGCCATTTTAACTGGGGTGAGATGATATCTGATTGTAATTTTGATTTACATTTCTCTGATTATTGATTTTGAGCACCTTTTCATAAACCTATTTGCCATTTTTGAGAAATATCTGTTTAGGTCATTTGTTCATTTTAAAATCAGATTATTAGATTTTTCTTATAGAGTTGTTTGATCTCCTTATATATTCTCATTATTAATAACTTGTCAGATGGATAGTTTGCAAATATTTTCTCTCATTCTGTGGGTTGTCTCCTCACTTTGTTTATTGTTTCCTTTGCTGTTCAGAAGTTTTAAACTTGATGTAATCCCATTTGTCCATGTTTGCTGTGGCTGCCTGTGCCTGTAGGGTATCACTCAAGAAATCATTGCCCAGACCAACGTCCTGGAGAGTTTCTCCATTGTTTTCTTTGAGTAGTTTCATAGTTTGAGGTCTTAGACTTAAGTCTTTAATCCATTTAGATTTTATTTCATTCATTTGCATATGGATAACCAATTTTCCCAGCACCATTTATTGAGGAGCCTGTCCTTTCCTCAATGTATGTTTGTGGCAGCTTTGTCAAATAAGAGTTCACTGTGAATGCATTGATTTGTTTCTGTGTTCTCTATTCTGTCCTATTGGTCTATATAACTGTTTTTATGCCAGTGCCATGCTGTTTTGGTTACTATAGCTCTGTAGTATAATTTGAAGTTAGGTAAAGTGATTCTTCTAGTTTTGTTTGCTTTGCTCAGGATAGCTTTGGCTATTCTGGGTCTTTTGTGGCTCCATATACATTTTATGATGTTTTTTCTATTTATGTGAGGAATGACATTGGTATTTTGATAGGGAATGCATTGAATCTGTAGATTGCTTTGGGTAGTATGGACGTTTTAACAATATTGCTTCTTTCAAACTATGAACATAGAATATCTTTCCCTTTTCATGTGTGTCCTGTTCAATTTCTTTCATCAGTGTTTTATAGTTTTCGTTGTAGAGATCTTTCATTTTTTTGGGTTAATTCCTAGGTATTTTATTTGTAGCTATTGCAAATGGGATTACTTTCTTGATTTCTTTTTCCAGTTGTTTGCTATTGGAATATAGAAATGCTACCGATTTTTGTATGTTGATTTTGTATCCTGAAACTTTACTGAATTTATCAGTTCTAGTAGTTTTTTAATAGTGTTTTGGTTTTTCCAAATATAAGATCATACCATCTACAAACAAGGCTAATTTGACTTCTTCCTTTCCAATTTGGATGCCTTTTATTTCTCTCTCTTGTCTGATTGCTTTAGCAAGGACTTCCAGGACTATGCTGAGTAACAGTGGTGAAAGTGGGCATCCTTGTCATATTCCAGATATTAGTGGAAAGGCTTTCAATGTTTCCCCATTCAGTATGTGGGTCTGTCATATGCAACTTTTATTGTATTGGGGTATGTTCCTTCTATACCCAGTTTTTTTTAGGGTTTTTATCATGAAGTGATGTTGAGTTTTATCAAATGCTTTTTCAGCATGAACTGAAATGATCATATGATTTTTGTCCTTCATTCTGTTGATATGATGTATCACATTGATTGATTTGCATATGTTGAACCATACTTGCATTCCTGGGATAAATCCCACTTGGTCAGGATGAATAATCTTTTTAATGTATTGTTGAATTTGGTTTGCTAATATTTTGTTGAAGAGTTTTACTTCTACATTCATCAGGAATATTAGCCTGTAGTTTCCTTTTTTTGATGTGCCTTTGTCAGGTTTTGGTATCAGGCTAATACCGGCCCCATAAAATGAGTTTGAAAGTATTCCCTCCTCCTCTATTTTTCAGAATAGCTTGAGTAGGATTGGCATTAGTTCTTCTTTAAATGTTTAGTAAAATTCAGCAGTGAAGCCATCAGGTTCCAGGATTTTCTTTGTTGGGAGACATTTTTATGGCTTTGATCTCTTTATTTGTTACTGGTCTATTTAGTTTTTGGATTTCTTCATGGTTCAATCTTGGTAGGTTGTATATGTCTAGGAACTTACCCATTTATTCTAGATTTTTCCAATTTATTGATATATAGTTACTCATAGTAGCCACTAATGATCATTTGGATTTCTGTGGTATCAGTTGTAATGTCTCCTTTTCATCTCTGATTATATTTATTTGAGTTGTCTTTTTTTTTTTTTAAGTCTGGCTAAAGGTTTGTCAATTTTATTTATCTTTTCAAAAAACAAAAAGGTTTGTCAATTTTATTTATCTTTTCAAAAAACAAACTGTTTGTTTCCTTGACTTTGGTGTTGTTTTCTTCATTTCAATTTTACTTCTTTCTGCTCTGATCTTTATTATTTCTTTTCTTATAGTAATTTTGGTTTTGGTTTGCTCTTGCTTTTCTAGTTCTTTTTTTTGTTTTGTTTTTTTCAGATGGAGTCTTGCTCTGTTTCCCAGCCTGTAGTGCAGTGACACAGTCTTGGCTCACTGTAACCTCTGCCTCCTGGGTTCAAGTGATTCTCCTGCCTCAGCCTCCTGAGTAGCTGGGATTACAGGTGTGTGCCAGCATACCTGGCTAATTTCTGTATTTTAGTAGAGATGAGGTTTCACCATGTTGGCCAGGCTGGTCTCAAACTCTTGACCTCAAGTGACCTGCCTGCTTCATCCCAAAGTGCTGGGATTACAGGTGTGAGCCACTGTGCCCAGCCACTTTTCTAGTTCTTTAACATGCATCATTAAGTTGTTTATTTGAAGTTTTTCTACTTTTTTGTATGTAGGCACTTATAGCTATAACCATTCCTCTTAGCACTGCTTTCACTGTATCGTGTAGGTTTTGGTATGTAGTGTTTCTATTATCATTTGATACAATACACTTTTATGTTTCCTTCTTAATTTCTTCATTGACCCACTGGTGATTCAGGAACATATTGTTTAATTTCCATGTGTTTGTACAGTTTCCAAAATTCCTATTGTTACTGATTTCTAGTTTTAATCCGTCATGGTTGGAGAAGATACTTGATATAATTTCAATTCTTTTGAATTTTTTAAGACTAATTTGGTGGCATAACATATGATCTATCCTTGGGAGTGATATATGTGCTGGGGAAAATGTGTATTCTGCAGCCATTGTATGAAATGTTCTGTAACTATCTAATAGGTCCATTTGGTCTGTAATGCAGATAAAGTCCAATGTTTCTTTGTTGATTTTCTGTCTGGATGATCTGTTCGATGCTTAAAGTGAGGTGTTGAAGTCTCTAGCTATTAATTTATTGGAGCCTCTCTTTAGCTCTAAAATTTACATATCAGAGTGCTTCAGTGTTAGGTGCATATATTTACATTTGTTATATTGTCTTCCTGAATTAACCCCTTTGTCATTATATAATGACCTTCTTTGTCTCTTTGTATAGTTTTTGTCTTGAAATCTATTTTGTCTAATGTAAGTATAGCTACCTCTGCTCTTTTTTGGCTTCCATTTGCATAGAATATTTTTTTTCCATCCAAATAGAATCCCAAAGTAGTTATATTCAGTCCGTGTGTGCCTTGATAAGTGAAGTAGGTTTCTTGTAGGCAGCAGATCATTAGGTCATTAAAAAATCTATTTAGCCATTCTGTCTTTTGATTGGAGAGTTTAGTTCATTTATATTCAATATTATTGATAAGGACTTAATTCTGCCATTTTGTCATTTGTTATATTTTCTGATTGTGTTTGTGGTTATCTCTTCTTTCTTTCCTTTTTTTCTTTTTAGTGAAGGTGATTTTCTCTAGGTATGTTTTGATTACTTGCTTTTTATTTGTTGTGTATCTGTTATGTTTTTTGATTTGCAGTTACCATGAGGCTTGCAAATAATAGCTTATAATCCATTATTTTATTAATAAACTAATGATAACTGATTTCATAAGCAAACAGGCAAAGAGAAATTAATGAGAACTCTACACTTTAACTTCATCTCCCTGCTTTTTTGGCTGTTCATATCTTATTGTACTGTCTATGTCTTGAAAAGTTGCTGTAGTTATTACTTTTGATCAGTTCATCTTTTAGTCTTTCTAGATATGTATAGTTTACACACCACAATTAGTGTTATAATATTCTGTGTTTTTCTGTGTGCTTACTATTGCCAGTGAGTTTTGTACCTTCAAATAATTTATTCTTGCTTTTTGACATCCTTTTTTTCAGATTGAAGAACTCCCTTTAGCATTTATTGGAGGTCAGGTCTGGTGCTGATCAAATCCCTCAGCTTTTGTTTGTCTGGGAAAGTCTTTATTTTTCCTTCCTGTTTGAAGGATATTTTGGATGGATATACTACTCTAGGATAAAAGTTTTTTTCCTTCAGCAATTTAAATATGCCGTGTCACTGAGGAGTCTGCTGCCAGATGATGACTGGAGCTCTTTGTATGTAATTTGTCATTTCTCCTGCTGCTTGTAGGATCTTTTCTTTATTTTTCACCTTTTGCAGTTTGATTACTAAATGTCTTAAGGTGGTTTTCTTTGGGTTAAATCAGCTTGGTGTTCTATAATCTTCTTGTACTTGAATATTGATATCTTTCTCTAGGTTTAGGAGGTTCTCTGTTATCATCCCTTTGAATAAACATTCTACCCCTTTCTCTCTTTCTACCTTCTCTTTAAGGCCATTAACTCTTAGATTTGCCCTTTTGAGGCTACTTTCTAGATCTTATAAGTGTGAGTTCTTTTTTTTATTTTTCATTTTTCTTTTGTCTACTCTGACTTTATATTTTCAAATAGCCTGTCTTCAAGCTCACTCATTCTTTCTTCTGCTTGATCAATTCTGCTGTTGAGACTCTGATGCATTCTTTAGCATGTCAGTTGAATTTTTCCATGCCAGAATGTCTGCTTGATTGTTTTAAATTATTTCAATCTCTATTAAATTTATCTGATAGGATTCTGAATTCCTTCTCTGTGTTATCTTCAATTTTGTTGAGTTTCCTCAAAGCAGCTATTTTGAATTCTCTGCCTGAAAGGTCAGATATTTCTGTCTCCCCAGGATTGGTCCCTGGTACCTTATTTAGTTTGTTTGGTTAGGTCATGTTTTCCTGGATGGTCTTGACATTTGTGGATGTTTCTTTGTGGCTAGGCATTAAAGAGTTAGGTATTTACTGTGTTCTTCACAGTCTGGGCTTGTTTGTACTTGTCTTTTTAGGAAGGCTTTCCAGGTATTCAAAGGGACATGAGTGTTGTGATCTAAGTTTTTGGTCACAGCAGCAATATCTGCATCAGGGGACACCCCAAGCCCAGTAACACTGTGGTTCTTGCAGACTCATATAGGTACCACCATGGTGGTCTTAGATAAGATCTGGAGGAATTCTCTGGATTGCCAGGTAGAGATTCCTGTTCTCTTTCCTTACTTTCTCCCAAACAAACAGAGTCTCTGTCTCTCTCTTTCCTGAGCTGCCTAGAACTGGGAGAGGGGTGACAGAAGTACCCCTATGGCCACCACCATTGAGACTATGTGGAGTCAGACCTGAAGCCAGCACAGTACTGGCTCTTGTCCAAGGCCTGCAGTAACCACTGCCTGGCTACTGCCTACATTTACTCAAGGCCCTAGGGCTCTGCAGTCAGCAGGTGATGAAGCCAGCTAGGTTTGTGTCCTTCCCCTGTAGGGCAGCAAGATCCCCCTGGTCCTACATGGGCTCAGTGATGATGTCTGGAAGCCAGGGCCTGAGTCAGAAACCTTAGGGATGTACCTGGTGCTCTATTATACTGAGGCTGAGCTGGCACCCAAGCCACAAGACAAAGTCCTTCCCACTCTTCCCTCCCCTTTGCATAGCAGAGGAGTCTCCCTGTGGCCACCACCCAGGCCATAGTAAGAACTGCCTGACTACAGCCAATGTTCATTCAAGGCCCAAATGCTCTTCAGTCAGCTTATGATGAATGCTGCCAGGCCTGGGACTCTCCCTTCAGGGTAGTAGGCTTCCCCAACCCCTGGCCCAGGACAGGTCCAGAAATGCCATCCAAGAGCCAAGGCCTAGAACTGAGGACCCTAAGAGCCCACTTGGTGCTCTACCCTACTGTGGCTGAGCTGCTGCCTAAGCTGCAAGACAAAGTGTCCTTTACTCTTTTCTCTCCTTTTCTCAAGCAGGAGTCCCTCCCCATTGCTACCACAGTTAGGTAGGTCACACCTGAGGCCAGCATGTCTTTGAATCTTACCCAAGGCCCGCTGCAAATACTGCCTGGGTACCACCGCTGAATATTCAGGGCCCAAGTGCTCTTATTAGCAAGTGATGAATCCTGTCAGGACTGGGTCCTTCCCTTTAAGGCAGCAGGTTTCCTTCTGGCCCAGGGTGTGTCTAGAAATGTCGTAGAGGAGATAGGGCCTCAGGACTCTTCCTGGTACCCTGTCCTACCGTGGCTGAGCTGGTATCCAAGTTGCAAGACAAAGTCCTCTTTACTCTTCCCTCTCCTCTCCTCAAGCAGAAGGAAAGAGTCTCTTCTGGAGCTGTGCGCTGCACTGCCTGGGGTTGGAAGAGGGGTGGCACAAATACTCCCTTGGCTCTGGCTGATGTGTTACTAGGTTGCATACCCATCAAGTCCACTGGCTTTGAGCCCAGCACAGCGTCAGGACTTGCCCAGGAATTGCAGTCTTTGTGGCCTAGACTACCTTTCAGATTTCTTTAGAACCCCAGAGCAATTTAGTTCACGGTGGTGAGGCTTGCCAGAACTCAAGTTCCTATCACTGGGAGGTGCAATTTCCCCCCGGCTAGGTTGTTCTAAATGCTTCCTCCGTGGATGCTGGCTGAGTTCTGCCTGGTGTTACTTTCTACTGTGACAGGGCAGTACTGAGTTCCAATGCAAAGTTCCCCAATCACTGTGCTCTCCCTCCCGCAAGTGCACAGATTATCTCCGTGCCACATGACTGTGGCTGGGAGATTGGGGGAAGGGTGGCATCAGCAATTCAAGATTGTCTGTCCTACCCTCTTCAGTGTCTCTTTCAGTAATATGAAGTTAAAACCAGATATTGTTATCACTCATCTGATTTTAGGTTCTTATGAAGGTGCTTTTTTGTGTGGATAGTTTTTCAGTTTGGTGTTCCTATAGGGAGGACTATCAGTGGAAGCTTCTGTTTGGTCATATTGCTCTGCCTGTAACTCGAGATTCTCCTATTGGCTGATTTTTAATTTAGTATTTTTATACAGGTATTCCGAAGTGAGGTTGATTGCAGTTTTATTTTTCTGTGCTACTTTTATCATGTTTTTGTAGGAATATTTTGTTATTTTACTCTAAGTGATTTGAAGTTTTTTTCTTCATGACCTGGAAACCATAAATAGCATTGGAATTATCTTTTTCTTTCTTCATGACCTGGAAAACATAAATAGCATTGGAATTATCTATTCTTTGAAGGTCTGGAAGAATTTATTGTTAAAACCATCTGAGCCTGTGGCTTTTTGAGGGCTAGCTCTTTTTTTTTATTATTCTGAATTTCTTCCATTATATGTCTACTTAAGTTTTCTATTTCTTTTGGGTTCAATTTTTTTTATTTGTATTTATCTAAGAAAGCATTCATTTTATAATTATTTATAATTACAAAAAATATTTACTTATTTAGCGATTTTCAAAGTAGTCATATAATTTTTGAATTTCTTATGCATCTTTTTCTTTTCTATTTTTATTTGTGTTTTCCTCTTTTTCTTGATTAATCTATTTTATCTATTTTATTGTTTTGTCCCCAGAGAACAACATCTTTAATTTAATTATATATTCTACTGTTTTTCTGTTTTCTAACTCATCAATTTCTGCTTTTATTTTTTCTTCTACTTTCCTTATGCTTATTTTATTTATCTATTTCTACCTTTTTGAATAGAATATTAAAAAAAATTTCTTTTTAATTATAATTTGCTTGGTAAAACGTTTAATTCTATAACATTTTGTTTTTCAGCCCAGCTTCTTAAGTTTTTTGCTTGATAGTATCCTCAATATTTTTATTTTTATATACTCTGTAATTTCAGTTTTAACTTTTTGTTTTATATCAAGACCTAAAAGAGTTTTAATATTCTCAGGTGGCTAGGTTTCTTCTTTCTATTATTAATATTTAGTTTTATTGTAGTGTGGTCAGGGAAGATTTTTCAAATTTCATTTTCTTGGAATGTATTGAGGCTTTACTTTGTGGCTTAATGTATTCCTTATTTTTAAAATTAAAATATCTCATTAGTGCTTGAAAATAAGTTTTATGTTAAATATGCACTTATTGATGTGCATCTAATAGGTTAATCTTTTTATTGTATCATATATTTCTTATTGTCACCTTGTTCTGTCATAGCTGACAATGTCTTTTACTATTATTGTGTTTTGTCTATTTCTTCTATAAGTTTATGCTTTTATGAATTTTGACATATTGTTTTTGATACTGAAGGATTTATGACTTTTATAAGCTTATTATTGATTTAAAGTCTGCCCATTCTAACAGTATATAGAATAGTATCTGGTGCCTAGTAATTGCTCAATTACTATTGTTGAATGTAAAATAACCCTTTATGTTCTTTGATAGTTTTTAACTTTACTCTTTTCTGATATTAATATTATGATTCTTTTTGGTTTTGTTATCATTTACCTGGTTTATCTTTGACTTCTTTTTTTTACTTTTAAAGTTTCTGAGTTATAGACTCTTGAACAGTTTGTTTTAGATGTGGATATCTATAGATCTGTTTTTTCTATGTTTTGACCTTATTAAAGAATCTTAATTGATACAACAGATATTTACCTCTGTTTTTAATGTCCCCCTCACCACCACCTCCACTCGTCCTCTCTTACTCCACAGATTGTCTTTTTGTTGTTTGATGTTTGTATGTGTGTTCATATGAGTAAGTGTGCTTTTTTTGTTGTTATGTCAAAGACTTATAGTCTATTTTTAGGTCTTTTAGAGATTTGATAACTTTATAGTGTTTTTAGCATCCATTTAGCAATTTATCAATTATCTATTGCCTACTTACTGAAATTAGTGAGAAAATTAACATACATATTTTCTCCTTATTAATATTGTCTTTTTGCTTGGTTACCTTAATTTTAAAGAGGATATTTAAATCTCAGTTTCTTAATTTAGCATCAAAAAATAAAGAAAAATGAGGAATTTTCACCCTTATTTTTCTGTTTAATTTGATTATTTACTTTTATTTTTGAAATGTATAACATTTCCCTTTTGTAAACATACTTCACACTGTTGATTAGCTTTATTTCTAAGTATAAATGGGTTCAGTTCTTCTTATCAGACTTTTTACTAGGGCTTCACATTTATCTCTTGGTTAGCTGGATTTTGGAATCATGTGACTTTTTCAGGAAGGACTCAAGCTGTTGCATGTCTGAAAGTGTCTGTTGTTGTCTTTATACTTCAACAACAGTTTGGTTAAATATAAAAATATTTGCTCATACTTTTTTTCCCTTCGAAACTTTGTACATTCTGGACATGGTGGCTCATGCCTGTCATCGCATCACTTTGAGAGGCCAGGGTGGGAGGATCACTTGAGCCCAGGAGTTCAAGACCAGCCTGGGCTGTTAGGAAGATCCTGTCTTTACAAAAAATAAAAATATTTAGCCAGGTGTGGTAGTGTGCACCTGTGGTCCCATCTACTCCAGAGGCTGAGGTGGGAGGATTGCTTGAGCCTGGGAGGTTGAGGCTGCAGTGAGCCATGATTGTGCCACTGCACTCCAGCCTAGACAACAGAGGAAGACCCTGTCTCAAGAAAAAAAAAAAAAGAGCTTTGTTAATATACATGGTTTACATATTTTTCTGGTTTTGAATGTTAACTGGAGAGAAACCTGAGCTTTTGTTTTATTTGCTTTTATTTGGTTTTGGTTTTGTGTGTGTGTGTGCATCCTATTGTATTAGTCAGGGTTCTCTAGAGGGACAGAACTAATAGGATATACGTATATATGAAAGGGAGCTTATTAAGGAGAATTGACTCACATGATGACAAGGTAAAGCCATCTGCAAGTTGAGGAGCAAGGAAGTCAGTGGTAGATCAGTCCAAGTCCCAAAACCTCAAAAGTAGGGAAGCTGACAGTGCAGCCTTCTGTCTGTGGCCAAAGGCCTGAGAGTCCCTGGCAAACCACTGGTCTAAGTCCAAGAGTCCAAAAGCTGAAGAACTTGGAGTCTGATGTTTGAGGGTAGGAAGCATCCAGCACAACAGAAAGATGAAGTCCAGAAGACTCAGCAAGTCTAGCCCTTCCGCGTTCTTCTGCTTGCTTTATCCTAGCCGCTCTGGCAACTGATTAGATGGTCCCACCTAGATTGAGTGTGGGTCTGCCTCTCCCAGTCCACTAACTCAAATGTTAATCTCCTTTTGCAACACCCTCACAGACACCTCCAGTGATATGGGCAGGAGACAGGGAAACACTAGGTAGAAGAGGGCAGTCACCTGGCAAAGACCCCACCCACAGGCATGGAAACCCATGGCTCCAGTGGGAAGAGGCATTCTGTTTTCATGCCCAAAAGTTGGCTTTTGGCATGCCACACCGTCCTATCCTGTACCCATATAAACCTCAAACCCCAGGCTCCACAGAAGATGAGAAGAACAGAAGAACGGCAGAACGGCACAGCAGAGAGAAGAGAAGGAGCATCTGAATGCCAAGAGGAATTCAGCTTGGGGTGGTTGGAGAAGAGATCTGCCACTGGACAGCCAAGCTTCAGGGGAAGATCATCTTCCCACCCCATCCCCATCCATCCCACTGAGAGCCACCTCCACCACTCAGTAAAATCCCCGCATTCACCATCCTCAAGTCTGTGTGACCTGATTCTTCCTGGACACTGGACAAGGACCTAGGTACCGAGGGCACTGAGCTTGTTAACACTTAAGCCGTCTGTGGACAGCAAATCTAAAAGAATGCACTGTAACACATGCCCACTTGGGCTTTGGGAGTTTTAGGTACCCACCTCTAGATGCTAGCATGAGTCTGGAGCCCCCAAGGCGCTCACCCCAGATCCTGCACCTGCCTGTCTATGTGCTCCCCCTCCCATAAGGAGTTTGAGCAGACACACAGCCAAACAGTCAAGCCACACCCCTGCAGCATGTCCTATGAGAGGGGTCAGGGAACTCTGCCATTTCACCAGGAACAATAATTTGGATCTTTTAATCCAAGCAAGTTGACACTCAATATTAACCATCACACATATACCTAAAAATTTGTTTCTCTACCTTGATGTTCAGTAATTTTAACAGAAATATTTGTTTTTCTGAGAGTTGTTCATTTTTCCCTCAGATTTGTGGGTTTCTGAGTGTTAGGGGCAGCCACAATTGATGGATATGAGCTTTACTCTTCTTTCTGAAATGTCATTTAATGTGCATATTAGGGTCATTCCACCTGATAGGAGGCAACTCCTACAGCATAGCTTTGGAAATGTTCCTCATTTTAGAATAGAGCCTGATTATTTCTCCTACTTCCTTTTAAGAGCCTAGTATTGGCCAGATGTGGTGGCTCATGTCTGTAATCCTAGCACTTTGGGAAGCTGAGTCAGGAGGATCACTGTAGCCCAGGAGTTTGAGACTAGCGTGGGCAACACGGCAAGACCCTGTCTTTACTCTCCACCCCACCAAAAAAATTAGCTGGGTGTGGTAGCACATGCTTGTGGTCCCATCTATTAATACTTGGGAGGCTGAGATATGATTGCTTGAGCCCAGGAGGTTGAGGCTACAGGGGGTGGTGATCACACCACTGCACTACAGCCTGGGTGACAGAGTGAGAGCCTGTCTCAAAAAAGCCTAGTGTTGAGTAATACATGTAAAAAGTTCTTAATAAATCCTTACTGAATGTATAAGTGAATGAACCTAGACTCATTTTCTGCTGCTGTCTTTCCTTCTCTGTCCATTTTTCTCTAAGTAAAGATGAAACTGCCTTTGCAAAAATTATATCAGTGAGAAAATTATGGCAGTGGGGAAGATTTGATCTAGCTAACCCCTCTAGTGCTGTTAGCCTTCAAGCTGCCTTCAGTTATTCCTGGGTTAACTTTAGGAGACATTTAGTTTATAGTTTAAATGATAATAGCCCTTCCCCAAAACTCAGCTGCCTTTGCAAAGCTAATGAGAGAGCACCAGGCTAGGAGAAGGAGAGGAGCCTGAATTCTGCTAAGGTGTAGATATACCTGATTGGTAGCCATTGTTTCAGAGGTCACAAGACATGCAACTTCCCCAATTACTCCTGCAGATAACATCACTATTTTTGAACCTAGGATCGGTCTTTTGAGATATCTTTTCAGGTTTTTTTTTTTTTTTAAACATGTCTGACACCTGGCTCCACCTGGATGGCCAACTTCTCCTGTGGCCCCACCCAGCAGCAACTCAGAGCAAGAGGACAGCTTCAACTCCCTGTGATTTTATCTCTGACCCAACCAATCAGCAGCAAGTGCCCAGTGCCTCGCCACTCCCACCCGTTTCTTCAAACTGCCTTTGAAAAACCCCTAACCTTCAAGCTTTCAAGGAGATTGATTTGAGTAATAACTCCATCTCCCACATGGTGTGGCCAGCCTCATTTCAAACTTTCTTTACTGCAATGCCATGAATTGATTTTGTTTGTGCAGTAGGCAGGAAGAACCCATCAGGCAGTTACAGGGAATGTTGCTGAGATTTTTCAATATTTTGTTCCTTCACCATTTGGCAAATCCCATCACACTCTGGGAGAAGAGAGTGAACTGCTTGAGCAGTGATTCTTGGGATCTTCTCTCATTTTCACTGAATGCTACTCTTCAAAGATTATGGCGTGAAGTTATATCCCTTCTTTTGTTTGATTATTGCTGGTATATTTTGATTTGTTTGCTGGATTTCAAGTTTCCATTTTAGTGTTGTTCATTCATTCAGTTTTAGGGAAAGGAGATACTTGACTTCACTTTGCCATCTCACCCCAGAAGTCATAAAAATTTTTGAAACAAATTCGGAACCTCCAGAGCAGAGCTCAGTTTCTTCTTCCTCCTCATATTTCTTGTAGAATCTAGTGTAGCTTGAATGGGATTGGAATTTATTAACTATTTACTGAATGCATAAATAACATTTTATGGTAATTTTGGCTAATTTATGACCTGTTATTGAAAGAAGGGTAGATGGTGTACAATCACCTTGAAAAAAGTATCATTTCTGATTAATCTTAAGAGGGGATGGGCAAAGCAGCAAGGAATGTGCAGTAAGACATGGGCGAATCAGCCACACGTCAGACTGAGCATGTTTAGTGCTCACTGCAACCCTGAAGAATTGAGTCCATCTATTGCTTTTGACCTAATGTGGGAAATAAGCTCCTAGGGCCTCTGAAAAGATATGGGTGAATGATCAGAAATTTATCAGGAGCACCTTTCTCCTTTGGGTTTTTTTTTTTTTTTTTTCCCTTCTTCACTAAACACATCAGTTTTAAGGGCACCATGTGAAATTTCATTTTTGATTCCTTTCATTGCTAACGTCAAGGCCCACTTTACACTATTCTTCATTTTCCCTCCAGGCCTTTCACTGGCTGCTTAAGGGCAGTCCACCCAGCTAGTTAATGCGTATTTCTCTCTTCTTTTATGTGACTCTGTTTACACTTGGGCAGACATAGCTTCCTGCCAATGGGCAGTTTCTTTTCAGGGACAAGATGAGAAAGATCACAGAGCTTTGTAGTGATGAGTGGTTTTGTTCATCTCAGTTTCTGCATGTTGATATTCTTTCTGTTTTCCTCCTTCAGGAGGAAGGAACAAGAATTGGACTAGAAGAAGAAAGTCATTTGTATTCTTCTGACTATTGATTTTCCTTCTACCATTCAGCAGTTCAGTAGTTTTGCGTAACTACAGCTGTTTGGGCTGGGACATCAGCCATATTGTGGGACTGACTATATTTCAGTAAGCAAGAAGTAGATTGGGAAGGTGAATTTCTGACAATATGAGTGTGGGTGCTTTAAATTTACTTCTTTTCACTCAAGTTATCTAACATAGAGCGAGGATAAAAAAGAAGAAATATGAGTCAAATGCCTGGTAGTACACTGATGTTGGGGATTAGCTCCCAGTGTCTATCAGGGAGCCCTCATGAAGGTTACCATAACCTAGGGACAAAGATGTTAGACTTAACAGTTTTCAGCCACTTTCCCTGGCAGCAGCCACCATTCAGCAGCCTATCAAGACAACTGTCCAATCATGACCAGAACATCCTCTTTGGCTGTTTTACTCTCTCCTGTGGTGTGTACATAATTTCCATTTTTAGAATCATGTTTTTAGGATGTTTCAGAGCCATGTTACTCCTCCACTCTATCTTTTATTACCATTTCTTAAGGAGGGTCCAAGTTCTTTTTCAAAAAATTTATTTACAATAGAGGAAGAAAATAAAAAGTAACATGAGGTTGCTGGTTAAGAAATAAAAATCTTTTTGTTTCAAAAGTCCACTGCCCCCAGTTCTGTGATCTGTTGCACATAACAAATTTTTCCCCCAACCAGGAAACATCTGTATGGATTATTTCACTATAATCCTATGATGCTTGGACTTGAATCACTTCCAGATCCCACAGACACCTGGGAAATTATAGAGACCATTGGTAAAGGCACCTATGGCAAAGTCTACAAGGTAACTAACAAGAGAGATGGGAGCCTGGCTGCAGTGAAAATTCTGGATCCAGTCAGTGTAAGTAACAGTTGTAAATTATAACCAGAATTTGGTGTTTTATGCACACTGAGTTTTCAACTTCTTTTCTTGATTTTAGGTTTAATTTTCATGAAACCTGGTATGAAATCTCAAAATGGGTCATGATTTGTCAGCTTCTCTGAATGAAGGGACTCCACTTGGAGTTAAAGCTTCCCTTGACTTTTGTTTCTTGTCCATTTTACTGTTGTGTTGGTTTGGGACCACTGGGATCTTCAAAAGTTATTCTCTTGGAAAGAGTAATATATTTTACTACCTGGTCTTTCTGTAAGTTACAAAGTGACCCAGACTTGTGATATTCAATCATCTTACGCTGACATCTTATTTTAGAGCACCGGGGTTATAATGCTGTATGCTGTTTTGCACAGTGAGGTTTTACATGTCCTATCCTGTGATAGGTCCCTTCAAGCAAGTTCTCCATAACTGCTTTGAAAATTCAGACACTTTTCAATAAAAAAGATATTTATGATAGTATTATTAAAGAAAAAATATCATAAACATTATTGATATAATTATGTAATAATAGAAGGTGTAGGTTGTAATATTAGAATGTAATAATGTAATACTAGAAGGTGTAGATTGATATCTGAATGTCCATTGTTAGATATTTTGAAGGTATGGTAATGAGATTGAAAATACATAGTACATATGTTTTACTAAGTACTTGAGCATGATGTCATATCTGTACCCTTCCTTACACATTAGATTTAATCCAGCTTGCATTTTTCTACCCTGTTTAGGATATGGATGAAGAAATTGAGGCAGAATACAACATTTTGCAGTTCCTTCCTAATCATCCCAATGTTGTAAAGTTTTATGGGATGTTTTACAAAGCGGATCACTGTGTAGGGGGACAGCTGTGGCTGGTCCTGGAGGTAAGAGGCTCCCATTGGGTAACCAGTGATTTGAACAGAGTGCCAGAGGCCAACAGATGCTTTATTACCTAGAGGGTGTTTTAAGGTACACATTTGAGGAGTAGGTCCCTCCTGCATGTCACAGGTACCTCACCAGATGTGACATTCTCCTCCACAGTTCTTACAGGTAGGCCTTATGCTAAAAATATTTTTGTTTCTCTGCTTCAGAGGTTTAATAATCTTTTATTCTAGTACAGGGTGAATATAGGAATATAATTGAAAACATTAATTTTCTTCCCTAACATTTAATTGTAAACATGTTTGAATTGATTGCAACTCATTTTCAAAAATTGTTAACCCAAGGTTTACTTGGCTTGCCAAGTTTGGATTTGCCCACTCATGTTCATTAGTCCTCATTTTAGATTGGGTTTCCTGAAAACTGACTCTGAGAATTGTGTATGGAAAGTTTGTTGCAGAGTTCTTAGCGGAGGTAGACCTAGAAAAAAGTGAGGAAGGCAGGATCAGGCAAGGGAGACACTGAACAGCAATATGGTCATAACAGAGACCTAAGCTGGTCCTCTGGGAAATGGAGAGCTGGGCAGTTTTTGGAATGTTGTCCTGAATTGTATCTCCACATCAGCCAATCATTGCCTGCATGCCATCCCTGCGAAGGAGCGTGACTTTGGGGGAGTCAGTTCTCTGAAGTGGAAGCCAACTTGGGTGAGGGGTGCAGCTGAGGGCTGGGAGCTGTTCCTGTTTCTAGCAGCATCCACTGTGAAGAGGGAATCTGAAGGGAACAACACTGTATCCACTATAGTCCTGCATTTTTTTCTCCAACAATCCTTCCATACACAATTCTCAGAGTCAGTTTTCAGTTATTAATGGGAATGAATGTGTGCATCTGGGTGCAAAAGAGTCAATTCCGAACAAATACGATTCCCTATGAGGCTAAAATGACAAGGAAAATAATGACAGTATATGAATTAATATATTAGGACAGGTCTATCGCCACATTCTCACTAGGCCTACACTGTTTTATTCTGGGCTCTGACCTTCTGAACCAGCTCATGTCTCCATGTCTGAGGTCACGTAGGTGACCCAGCACAGTGTGGACACAAGTGGAAGCCTTAAGAGAGAAGCACCAGGGGAGAAACCAGCCCTCACTTCACTGTCTGGTACCTCTTGTCCACATGTTTCTGGCTCTGGGAGGGCCTGAGCCTGGGACAATAAGTACTGGCTGCCATGGCAACCATGTTTGGGGAATTCATTTGTTATATTCAAATGGGATAATCTGCAGGGAAACTGGTTTGAATTTATTTCTGTCACATCAGTTGCCTTCCTCAGAATATATAAGATGTAAGGGATTTTGGTTTTCTAATTATCTTTGTTCCTTTAGTTGACTGGTTAAGTCATATAACACACTTCTTTGGGGTTTTATTAACTCCCCCACCCCCACCCCAAGAATATTAGGATTTTATCTTGCCAATGAAGCTGTTTAACAATGCTATTTGGAAATGATAAAGTACTGTTCCTGGGGTCTCTGATTATATTTGTCTTCAGCTCTGTAAGATCTCTGTGTTTTAAACCTCGTTGTAACTTAGTAATGGAAGTACAGTGACCAAGAAACCTCAGTTTCTGCTTATTTTTAACTCCTGACTAAAAAAGGCTCATATCAGACATAGAGAACTGAAACTTTCAGGAATTTTCGAGGGCCTAAAAAGGAGCCTTCCCTCCATGCAACCAGGCAGGCAGGTGGGCTGCTCATACCTGAGGCCACCTGGTGAATGAACATCCTTCCTGATGAGGAGTGACCCTCAGACATGGCAACTCAGGTATGGCCAAAGCAGCCAGGAAGTAGCACATGGACTTGAAAGATGAGAAAGAGCCCAGAACTATGAGCTGAGCCTTGCGCAGGTGCTCCCTTGCCACCTGTTTCTAGCTTTTTCAGGGTGACCACAGTAATGAAGCTGCCCTGAGACACTGAATTATTCATACCTCTGCAATACAATATGCTGTCATTTATGACTTTTGCTGGTTGTTTTGGTCCATGCCAAAGTGGGTGATATGAGATACTGGGTGTCCTCAGTCTTTTCTGTCCCAGGATGGGCAGTCTAAACCAGGCTGCTACATGGTCATGTGCATTCAGTGCCTCCAATAGTCTTAGGGAAACACAGGAATTCCTAGACTCCTAATACTGGCAGAAGCCTCTCTCTTCAGTCCCCTAGCCTTCAGATGAGGGACAGAGGCCCACAGAAGTGAGTAACATGCCTATGGTCACATAATTGGTTGTATGGCAGAACTGGAAGGAAAAGCATATTTCAGCACATTTTCTTTCACCATGTGCAGCTGCTCCTCTGATGTTATCCATTGGGTCATGGAAACACAGATGTGAAGTCTCTCACTGGGATCGTAGCACTTCCTGACCACACACACAGAGCTGGATGACAATGATGGTCCACATAGTACCCTATTTTGTTCTCTCTGCAGCTTTTTAAGGCATGCTTTAGGGGACTCACACAAAAAAATTATCTGTTTAATACTGTTCTCCTCATCTTGCATATTAAGAATAAATTTATGTTGCCTTTGCTCTTTATTTGCCTGACTGATGAAAGGACGAGTGAGAAGCTATTCCACAGAGCAATTCTAGAGGATAGAAAAATGTTATTAATAATCCCCTTAAATCACGACAACTCTGAAAACAAAGCAAATAAAAATGTCATTTTCTGAAATTCATTACTAATTGTTAGTAGAAAGCAAACAAAAGCTCTCTTTCATGATACACACCTACTATATTGGAAAGATATGGAGAGAAAATACACACACATAATAGTGTTTTGGAAAATCTGTGAATGCATTTTAAGTGAATATTAAATTTTTAAAAATCTATAAGTCCGCCTTTCACCTAGATGATATACATATTAATAAATTAGACCTTTAAGAAAAACATGATGCTCAGAAAAAATACCTAACATGTGGTAGCTAAAGCATGAACTATATTTTCTTTTTCCTTTTAGTGTAAAATCTTTGGCAGGTAGAAACTTAATTTCTGCATGAATCAAGTGTTCTACTTAAAAGAAATGGTTTGGAGTACTGGTAAATGAGGCTGGAAAGTAAAACAAACAACTTTGTCCTTTAAACCATGTATGAGAATTAGTTTTACATCTTTTTTTTCCCTTCAGAGATCTCGGTATAAGTTCAGTATCTAATATGTAGAGCCAAAGCAAAAGGGGGCGGCGGGGGGGGGAGGGAGGGAGGGAGAAAGAGAGACAGCAGACAGAGAGACCGACAGACCGATGGACCTTTGTCCAGATTTTGCTTTTATCCAAGGCCCTAGAAAGTATAATCTAGACCTGAATATCACTGGAAGTGTTACACATCAAACCATTTTGTTGATACTGTGGCATGAATTAAGTTTATCAGGTTAACAAATCAGGGTCTTAGTCATACTCTGACGGACTCAAATGTGGGACTGGTGGATTTTGATTGACCAGAAGTGGTTAGAAAGTACTGCAGCATTGAACACTGACTCAGTGGGTTCTAGAGTGAGAGACACTGGAATGCTGGGAGCCTGGATGAAGGCACAGAAAACTTGAGACTGGAGAAGGGAAGAACTTTGAAATGGAACAGCATTACATCCCACAAACATATACTATATGTGTTCAACAAAAGAGAGAGAGTTAAGAGGCTGAGGACTGGGAGTGATTCTTCCCACTCTTGGCTCTATTCAATAAGGATGTGCCCCAGGAAGAGAATGAGATGGGAGGTCACTCTCAGGGCCCACTTCCCTCTCATTGTATGAGCATCTCTCCACTCTGATAGAAACTCTAGGGTTTCAAGTGACATAGTTTTCACTGGTCTTGTGGCAAGCCAGTGACTTTTGCTGGCTTTCATTAAAATAAACATGATTCGTCCAACACCAGAGGAAAAAATGTGCTGTTCTGGAATTACTGAGAGGCGGACAGTGTCCAACATGATACTTCCTAAGGGATTTTCTGAAGTAATTTTGACTGTCTTTGACTTTTCCTTTATGTTATCTGTAGAACCCAACACCCTTAAAAGACAAAGTCTACTGAACAAAGGGGCACCAAAAAGAAATTCCTCTTAATTCTGCAAACTGACTATGTCAAAGCAGCAAGCTAGTATAGAAGCTACTTGAACGTTGGAGCCTAGGTCTGGTGATTGTGTTGCATGGGCCATTCTTTAATAATGTGGAAGAAAGTTGATGGCTTATTGAGCAAGGAACATTTTATTGCTTGAAATGATGACTGTCTTAGCAAATGCACATACTGTGATTGAATCAATATTCAATGACGTTTTGGAAAATAGATGTGGAATGTAAATGATTTTTCTATTTTTCTTGGTTTGGAGCAAAATGCTCATTAAATTCTAGATGCATTCAGCTACCACATTTCCTGAATGCTGAGGGCGTAGGGAGGAACTGCAGGAATGAAAACACACTTCTGTATTTGAATCTGGTGGCTGGCAGAGTGGGCGGGAATAAAGGGCTGATATGTCAACCCTCAGGGCTGGGGTGGGAGGCTTGGTTGCCTTCTTACAATTCTAAAGGGATTATTTTACTTGGTGCATTTAAATATAATTCTTTGTTATGCTTTTAAAATGTTCAACCCATTTCACTGAACATTTATTCTGATTAGACAATTGTCAGTGTACACCTGATTTCTTTTTTTTATATCCAAGTGCCCAGTCTTTTTTCTATAACCCATAGGCTGCCCTTGAAAACCTTGCTGGTGGGCTTATCAACTTCACAGGACAGCTTCCTTTAAAAGTGTCCTGAGCAGTTTAATTATATGTTTCTGTGAGTTCTGGGAAGTCAGACAGCTCTTATACTCTGACATTTAGTGAACAAAAAGCACTGGCTGGGTAAGATTCCTTTGTTGTTTTTAAATCCATAGCTGAGTTTTGATCCTGCTGACAAATAGCTACTCTTAATCCCTTCATAAGTTCTAGAGTTACAAATAAAGTTTATAAGTTGGCTACCTATATAAAATATTGCTGAAGAGGCCTTTGTTGCAAAAATGGCCACACTTAAAGTAGGGCAGGGAGAGAGACCAAAATGAGGTGTCAGGGGAAAATTCCAGGGTTGCATTTTCTGGGATCATCACCCAGCATTTAATTTAAAATTTCTCTCAGTAGAATTTTAATAGCATGCTTGCAATGCAAGAAAGCCTGTGCCTCCCTGAGATGTGAGCCAGGGTGGGGAGTGGTCCTGATGAAGGTTCTGTTGTGCTTTGCATCCCTATTACTGCCTTTCCTTTAGAGGAGCAAAGACTATTGATATTTTCCTAATTCTCACAGTTTCCCTAGACTCTGTCTCTTCTTCACCTTTCACATGTGGCTGGTCAGAAATTCCTGTCATTTCTATCTCAAAAAAAGTCTCCCAAATCTCTCCCTCCCTTTTATCCTCATGACTTCTTGACCCTGCCTCTCTTGATTACGTCAATATCTTCCAATGGATACTCCAGCTCCTAGTGTTGTCTTCTGTCCATCCTCCATCTGCTGACCAAATCATTTTTCTAGAATGCCAGTCTGAACATTGAGACCTCCTGCCTAAAATCTGTTAATAGTTTCCCTTTTTTATCTAGTGATATATCATGGTATTATAATATACATAGAATATTATATGGGTAGTATACAGGTATATATTATATGCGTAGTATATGGATATATATTATATGGGTAGTATACATAGTATATTATAATAAAGCCCATACTCCTTAGCAGGGCATACCTGTCATTCCCTGTCATTGGCCTTCCTCCTCCATCTCCCTGCCCCAGGATTCTGGCATCCTTTGTCCCAACAGTAGTAGAGTATTTAGAACTCATCACACACATGTACCCTCACATGCACATTCCCCCTCATTCTTTCATGCCCCCTACATTTGCACAAGATGTCCCCATGTTCCTTTTCACAGAATCTTCTTTCCCTTCATGTCCACCTGCCCCAAACCCATTTGTCCTTCAAACTCATTGTAAATGTTACATCCTCTGGGAAGTTTTCCTAGACTGTCCCCTCTTTGCCCTCCCTCAGCAGAGTTCACCCTTCCTTCTTTGGTGCCACCACACTTCCTTAGGCACAGCTCTGCTTCCACATTCCACACTATAATTACTCGTATGTCCATTACTGGGCAGTGACCTCTTTGAGGCTAGAGATTGTGTCATATTCATGATTGAGTAATAGGTAATAAACCAGACAGTCATAAACTATTGATAACAAAGAGGTGCCTTTCTTCTCAATAACTGAACTAAACTGGGTTCTTGAGCCCCCAGCCTGACTAAAGGAGGCAACTGATTCTAACCCATTTTGTTAAACTTAAGTCCAGTTGAGTGACTTTGTGGAGTGGCATATTCCAGTATTTATATCCAATTTTCACTGTCCAGTTCAAGGCTTAGTCATTTGGGTACGTACTCAGTTTTTTAGGGCCTCTTCTCTCCCTCTTCCCTCTCCCTTTTCCCTGGGTGGCATCTGGATCTGGGTACAAGTAGATGCTTACATAATGCCATGGTAGTGAGGGCAGAGGCTTCGGAACTGTATTGTAACCACAAAGTCCTTGTGATAATAAAACTGTATTTTCTCCCTTTGGTATCTTTGATGTTCCTGGTCTCTGACACTCCCTCCTATCATGAGGTCCTCATGTCCTTTGTCCTTATTTAAACTCTAACCTTATCCCTGTCCCCAAATAGAGCATGAAGTTCTGAGTGTCTTACAAGTTGTGAGCAGATTGTAGAAAACTGTTATTGTAATCTCAAGCATGGTCTACCTCACCATGCCATACTTTCATTTCACTTGACACAGACACCCCTTGTTATCAAGAGGTCTCCTCTTAGATTTCCAAATGGGAAGAGGATCATAAGAAACTGAAATTTCTATTATCATTACCCGCTTACACAGACACCCCCCTCCCAGAGGGAGCATCCTCATTCTAATCTTGTCCTCTTAATCTCCCCTAACTCCAGTTAGGGGAAAACAGTCAGATCTCCCTCAGAGGCCTATCTAAGGGTTGCTGGCCAAAGGGGCCATCATCCGAGGCTCCAGTTGCATGACCATTTGGAGTTTGATGTCATGAAGGTGAGAAAGAGACAAACTGGGTTATTAGAAAACATGTATTAAAACAAAATGGGGGCAGGGGGTGGGGATAGCTCAAAAGTCTTGAGGCCTTTTATGTTTGCACAGGAAGAGGGAGGCCAAAAGCCCAACTGGTAAAAAACTTTTACCTTTCTGCCATCGTGTCAGGCTTTTGGGTTCCCTTCCCCTGAGCGCAATCCTAAGCCAACCAGTCTAAGGTTTGGGAAATTAACTGTTCCTAGTTTGGAGGATGCATCTGAGGGGAGTGTCCCATAGTACAGAGAGACAATTACCTATCAGTGAAGAGAGGAAGAGAAAGAAAAAAAAAAAGGCTTTTTTTTTTCTCAAAGGATTAGTCTAAAGTGCATCCCAGGGGTTCAGGATGCACTCAAAAGGGGTACAGACTGAAGATGAATGGCTACTCATCTAGAAAGAGGAGAGCAAGGCATCCCTGGTTCCCTTCTCTTCCTAGCAAATACCTGGGGTACATGAGGGAGAGAAAGTGAGTCATTCCTCTTTCTTTTCCTCCATCCTTGTATCCCCAAGTTCCAGTGACTGTGACAGGGTACTGCCCATGGAGTCAAAGCGGCTTTCACCCTTGTTAAAAGGGAGTCTGGGGGTGGGAGTATCCACTCTTACCCACGTATGCCCTATCTCCTCTGCTGTCAGTAGCCTTTGAATTCTCTAGACCTCATTTATGCCACGGGTAGTATCATGACCTTTATCCATGAAATGGGAAGCCTGGCTTAACTGGCAGGAAACCAGTCATGCTCACCTGTGCTATGCCTTTTAACTTCCATTATCATCTACCTCTGGATCCCTCAAATCCAGTTTTCTTTCCTAGGGCTTTGACCTGAAGCTTGGAATTGAGTTTGGGACAAAAATGTGCCTCGGAGAAGGGGTGTTGCATGGACTCCTTATCATAAGCCAAATGCTAAGGTGAAGCTGTGGAATTGAGTCCTCCTCCAACAAGGGAGAGAAAAGGATGTCTTGTGACATGCCCAGATAACTGGTGGCTATAGTTATGCTTGCTAAGATGTAGGTGCATGGGGCTTGGCTTTGGTTAGCTCCCTTGGTCTTACTTTCCCCAGAAGAAAACTCTGGGTGATGGGCACCCTATTTATATCCTATTTATTCCCATCACCTGGCAGTATTTGCAGGATAATTGCTCAGAACTAGAATTTTGATCCAGGTTTTTACATCACCTATCCCTTTTATTCTTTCTAAGCTGCAGCTGGAGATTCCTGGTTGGTTCACAGGAACAAGCAGGGTTAGTCTAAAGGGTAGGCAAAAACTTAAAAACAACTAATGAGTCTAGAATTTAATGACAAATGTATGGTAAGTTTTAAAACATAATTTCTCTATCTCCAGTCCCTCATTTTTTTGTTAAAAAAAAATCAGGACTGAGTTGCTGGCAAAATAGACTTTAGTCTTACACTTGACCTGATTATTTGCATAAAGTGCAGCAAGAATAATTGTTTCTACATAGGCCTTTTAGATTGGCTTTGATGGAACTCTGTTCCTCAAGGAATTTCGGATAAGACCTTTTAAAGCTGAGCACAGCCATGGGTTTGTATCCTCAAATACCTGTGAGTTGGGTGATCCTCTCCTTTTAAGGTCCCAAGATAAACTTAGAGCTCCTGGTCCTGTCATAAAGTAACATTTTTTACTTACTACAGGTCAGGAACCCTATACAGGTACTGCGTAGATAAGGCCAGTTTTCCCAAGGGGCTTTTAGCAGCTCTGCAAGTCGAGCTTGACTCCTTAAAGGGAAGCATACCCTTCCAGTCAAAGCCTTGGTAAAACAGTTTCTCCAATTGCATCATACTGCAAAAGAAAATGGATTCTTATGGCACTGATGCAAACAACTACATTGCTGTAAGTTAAGAATACTCACAACTAGTTTCCAAATTCTGGGGAAGCCAGGCAGAGAGGGACATATATGCTCCAAATTTTGTTCACAGGAGTATACCTTAATCATTAAAGGCCATAAATAGTTCAAAATAAGTTTCCTTGACTCTGAAAAACAAAACAAGGGTCAGCAATATTCCAAGCAAAAGTCAAAAAGATAGCTTCAGTTTTCTATGAGTTCGGTCCATTTAGTTAACTCTTGTTTGATATTCATGAACATTTCAGCTCTTTATGAGTCCTGTACATTTTTCCTTTTTTCCAATGTCACAATCTCCAAAGTTATCAGAAACCTGTATTTGAGAGCACCTGTCAGAGTCCTGTGGCACCTGTCAGAGTCTGGTTTATTATAAACTATCTTTTGAAAAGGACCAAAACAAGACAACAATTGTTGGGAATAAAAAAATTGCCCAGGGTATTTACAGTTAGAAACACAATTGACAAAGAAGTTTGGTTATCTCTCTTCTTCTCAAAGAAGTCTGGTTTACAATAACATAACAACCTTAATTATGATGATAGCATATACATTAGACATTAGAATTTTAAAAATCCCATACAATTTTGGAACACATATTAATATTATTCATCAAAATATAACCTAAATAATATTGAACACCATTTTGGCAATTCCATGTAACTAAACATGTCAAATGATCCCTTTTACCTCTCTTTTGGATACTCCAGGGCCCTCTGTAGCATCCAAAAGCTAGGTGTCAGGAAAGGCAATTTTGAAACTGAAGTTTGATTTTGGGAAGCCTATTAAATATGTTAGTGGTTTAAAACACTGAAATAGAATTCCAGATTACCAAAAGTTATTTATTTTGCCAAACGATGACTCAGAAATTTAAAAAAGCAAAAACCTTTTATAACCCTTTACAAATTTTGCTAAAGAGCAGATTAGTGCCTTAAGAGTACCTTGTTGTGCTTTTATTTCAATGCTCAATTTACAAAAAAACTATATAATACCCTTTTGAATTTAGTCAATCTGTTCACACACTGAATTTTTGCAATATTAATTTTTACAGTCCTTCCATCATTTGTTTAAACTGTCAGCTTTATTTTATCTAATTCAAAACAGTCCTTTAAACCTAGGCAAGAATTTACATTTCCATGCCTTCTTGTAATCTTTTACTAAAAACACATCTTACTGTTCCTACATACCTTGCGTGTAAATCTATTTCCAGTAGTTTCAATTACATGTTATAATGGTAACCCCTAGCAATTTTAAGTTTAATGTAAAACCTGGTAAGTTGTTTTAATTATGTGCTAGGTTCAGGCAAGGTTTGACTCCTTCCAACATAATTAAGGGTGTGGTTAATTCCTTATGTCCCCAGGCCTTACTAATTGTCAAGCTGGCAAGTTGAAAAGTTCTTAAAAACCAAAAAGGCAGTTTATAACCTTAAAACATTTAGCAAACCTAGTATCTGACCTGCATAATTTAGTTCACCTGTGTATATTTGACAACATCTGCATTTTACCAATAATCTTTAAGGCTGTTTTTATTTCTCAAAGATTAAAGTCACATGAACTAAAACGTACCACAGCTTTAATCTTCCCTTTAAAAAAAATTTGATCCAAGCACTTGTCTTCCATTAGACCAATTAATTAGAGCTTTTTTATAGACATCACACACACAACACATATGTAACTACACAGACAGGCAGAAGAAAACCAGCAGCCATAAGATTTTCATTTGCCCATCTCCTATTTGGATTATTGGCCTCTGGGTGGGGCCCTTTAAGAGACAGGGCTAGGAAAACATGCAGCTTTTAAGGCCTAATAAACAGGCATGACTGGGAGGCAAAATCAGAGTTTGAGAGGGATCTATCCACTTTTAATTCCTGGGGTTCCATGAGAAAAACAGGTTTCTTCCCAAAACGGAGTGGTGCCTTGTCTGTTTTTCCCAAGGAGTCCCATGGCCCCAGGAGTTATCTTAGGGCCTGCCATGCATGCACTGAGAGTGGCAAGCCAAATGGAGAAAAATAATTTAGTCAACTGAGGAAAAGCCTTTTTCCAGCAAAGCAAGATACCCAAAGAGGAAAAAGCATAAAGGCCTTTTAAATAAACCATAACTTGGACATCCACTTTTAATTAAACTGAGCACTCTCTAAGAAAATCCTTTTAACTCCCTTATTACCCGATTTTAGCCATGCCAAGCAGCTAGTATTTCTGGCTTTCAAACTTTACTAACGTTAACCTCGCAGGTGAAACCAACAAGCCTCACTTAAGGTTATTATTTCACTGTGAGCGTATGCGGTATTTTCGAAGGGGATAAGGGTAAGCAATTCTTACAAAATTTAGAACCTTTAGAGGTAACCCAGTGAAAGGAAGATGTAAGAAAAAGGCTAAGCGTTGTTCATGGTGGGGAAGAGAATCAGCAAATGGCAGAAGTCACACAGATATTAACTGGAAAGTACTCATTTCCTAAGCCAGGATTGAACCTAGGCATCATTGTGAAATGAAAAACAAAAAGCATTGCCACATGGTTACAGGTCACAATCCCAAGCACACAAAACAAGATGGAGGCCTGCAGCAAAGTTTGCTGTTGGCCATACAGGAAGTCATGCAAAGCACACCAGATTGGCTACAGCTTAAGACCAACCTCACAAATCCTTTTTCATAATTAAAACTTTACAGAAAATATAAACCCTGATAGTTGGGGTCCTGGCCTGGTAAAATGTTTTCTTAAAAAAAAAAAAAAAAGCCAGCTGGGTTCTGTGGCTCAGGCCTGTAATCCCAGCACCTTGGGAGGCCGAGGCTGGCAGATCACCTGAGGTCGGGAGTTCAAGACCAGCCTGACCAACATGGAGAAACCCTGTCTCTACTAAAAATACAAAATTAGCTGGGTGTGGTGGCGCATACCTGTAATCCCAGCTACTCTGGAGGCTGAGGCAGGAGAATCGCTTGGACCCAGGGGGCGGAGTTTGTGGTGAGCCAAGATGGCGCCACTGCACTCCAGCCTGGGCAAAAACAGTGAAACTCCCTCTCAAAAAAAAAAAAAAAAAAGTCTGGGGGAAGAATCTCTTATTTTTATGCCAGTGAGTTTCTCCAACAGGGAGAGAAACTTGGGAGCTGGGGAGCCACCAGTTTGCCCGTCCAGCCGACATTCCTGACCTCCAGGAATGACATTTTAATATGGGGGGGCATAATTTCTCTACCCTCAGAAGAAGTCGGAGGACAAAAAGGCTTAGAAGCCAAAGGAAAAAGACTTTTTGGTTTGCATGTCACTCACCTTTCCTTAAGCCCTACGCCTGGATGCCAAAAATGTTGCAGAACTTTCTCCTTAGTTCCACCAAAACGGGGTTTTTGTCACTTGACCAGGAAAGATTAGATTGGTAGACACATAAAAGGGTGAGGAGCGGAATTTATTGGGAGAAAAGGAAAAAAAAGAAAGAACTCAGCAAAGTGAGATGGAGTCCTGCTAACAGGCCCTCTACCTCACCGATTGATTCCCAGGTCACCACACGAGCTAAAGAGAGCAGGCTACTTCCCTGCATAAGGCGTGAATTCCCCGTGGCTCCACCCATTTCCCCCAGTGCTCGTGTCTGGCTCCAGTCTGCTGTGGGGATGCCCATACAAGCCTAGGGCACAATTGTTGCCTAATCTGCACAAAGCATCTGATGTAAACACTTGCGGGGCAGGTCAGAGATTCTCTGGGGACCCCCTTTTTATCTGCCTAGGCGTTTGGCTATCTCAGTAGCTTTTAGAATCTGGTGAAAGCTCTGCATTTTCTCCCCAGTAAACTGCAAGATGCATATACAGCATGCTGCCTACAATTTCAGGGTATTTCCATGCTCTGCTCAAAACAGTTAAGAACCTTTGACTTAGGATGGCTTGTAGCAAACCCAAACCTGCACGTTGACTTCTGCAATTAGTAAGAGTCATCTTTGGAAATCCTTAAGTTGATGAAAAAGTATTGTAGCAGGACAAGCCGCAGACAAAACTCCTCAGACACCGAGTTAAAGAAGGAAGTGGTTTATTCCGCCGGGAGCATCGGGCAAGACTCCTGTCTCAAGAGCCGAGCTCTCTGAGTGAGCAATTCCTGTCCCTTTTAAGGGCTCACAACTCTAAGGGGGTCCGCGTGAGAGAGTCGTGATCGATTGACCAAGCAGGGGGTACGTGACAGGGGCTGCATGCACCGGTGGTCAGAGTGAAACAGAACAGACCGGGAAGTTTCACAGTGTCTTTTCTATACAATATCTGGAATCTATAGATAACATATCCGGTTAGGTCAGGGGTCAATCTTTAACTACCAGGCTTAGGTCAGGCAGGCCCAGGCCTGGTTTCGGGTCTGGTTCCTAGGCACCGGGCTACCTGCCTTTTGTTTTGCTTTTCTTTTCTGAGTATAAAACAATATAAAACAATATGAGAGGGTCTGTCTCTCTTCTCTCAGTATAACTGCTTTATGTGCTCAAACTTCAGTTAAGATACAATATATGACAAAGAACAAATATGCAAAATAAAATTAGTGTTTTTAATTACAGACAAAAAAGAGAGAAGAGCATAAAGTTGCTGAGAGCCTAAAATTGAACATTAAAAAGTTAATAAATGCACTTATGATGCAACTTCACTCCATAAACTTTATCTGCAATGGCAGTTCTAGGAAGAACTGCTGGTTGGGCTTCTGATACGTGCTAGCACTGGAGAAATCACTGAAATTTATTCTCTCTCAGGTATCAAGGGCATCCATCTTGCCTCTCCCGGTTTTTCCTTATCCTCAAAATGCACATTAAAAACATAGACAATATTCATATAAAGTGAAAAATATCCAATAAGTTGCCATTATTATTTATATGCTTTTTCTTTCCAAAAATATTCTTTGTAAAAAATTTCTAATTGTGCTTTATATTTTATTTTTATTTTATATTTGGCAATTAAAAAGTTAGCATTTTGAACATGCACTTTCACTCATAAATCATCACCTCAAATAAAAAATACATACGCAAAGAATTAGATTAGACTGGGTAATGGAAATGTGAAGTCTGAGTATTCCAAGCTGGAGTTTTGTAATCTGCAAATTTACTACATTGAATCAGTATCAGTCGGCTTTTCTTAATTTCTTTTTCTTTTCTTTTTCACATGTGGTCTCCTGCTCTCCCTGTGTCTGGCACCTCTTCTTGCAGCTGTGTAATGGGGGCTCAGTCACTGAGCTTGTCAAAGGTCTACTCAGATGTGGCCAGCGGTTGGATGAAGCAATGATCTCATACATCTTGTACGGGGCCCTCTTGGTAAGAACATCTATCAAATGGGGTATGACAGCAGATGGGATGGTTTGTTCATTGCTTGGGTCCTTATTGCATATTAACAATGGGGAAACTGCCCTATGATATGCAAGGATTACTAACAGCAGGAAGGTGTAGCCAAATGTAGACTTTCATGAGACTTTTCAATAGTAGGGTAATTGCTTTAAAATAAGCATGTAAATTTCCCCTTTCTCTTTCCTGTTGTTTGGTGGTGGTGGGATGCCATGCAGGGCCTTCAGCATTTGCACAACAACCGAATCATCCACCGTGATGTGAAGGGGAATAACATTCTTCTGACAACAGAAGGAGGAGTTAAGCTCGTTGACTTTGGTAATGACTGCTTGTCGTTTGTTTTCTTGACGTGTGCAGTTTAGCCAAAGGGGACAATTTATTGCAATCTCAGAAGACTGGGGCTTCTCTGCTACACCATAGGCTGAGGGACTTTTCCAGTCAAACACAAGCTGGAGGGGGTGGGGGCTCCAGATGGATCACCCTAGGAGATGCTGTTTGCTAATCTAGTTTCAGCTTTAGAAGCAATTTTATAAAGATTGAAAATAAAAGTGTTTCAAAAGAAGAACTTGATGGAAAAACTTTTCGGTTTTCTGCTAAGAATTTCACATCTCAGGGCAATTGTCTATAATTTACATTTTGTCATTTCTTCTTTTGCATATGAAAAGAGAAAGCAGTTTGGTCTTTCAAATGACTTTCACTAGCCTTAGGCATACTTATTCCCAGGGAGCAGAAGGTAAAATAGTCCTCTGGGCCTGGGAGCTAACATCCTTTTAAATTGTGTTTACTGCTGCTACATGTGAGGCTGGTTGAACTGGAAACATTAACGGGAAATGGAAGTGTGAGAGGAAATGCAGGGCAATATCACCTAAGGCCAGAGAACTATTAAATATCCCCTTGTAATATCATATGTTGATATTCACAAAACAACAAACCATTTGGTTTTTTTTTTAAGTTTATTGAAGGTTTAGTCTTCTAAATGAGTTCAGCAATAGTACTTCAGAGTCATTGTTACAAATAATGAGAAAACATTTAGTGAAACACTTTAAACGTGTTTTTTTAAAAGAATATTTATTGTCTTATTGCTAAGAAAGAGTTCAGTGTAAACATGTATCAGTTTATCACTTGCTCAGAAGAAATTACTTAAAAATAAATGAGGTTGGTTTAGACGTACTAGTCTATTTTTACTGAAACACAAGCAAAGAAAAATAGCAGAGGGAGCATTTTGTTTAAGTCTTATGCTCCTCTTTATAAGGAATGATATAACTCCAATAATATGCTGTGTGTATGACATTTGAATTGTTTTTGCACGTGATTCTGGGGACTGTAAATATGTTGTGAGGGGAAACAGACTGAAAGGATGAGGATGGGGTGGGAATTGATACTGATGTATTCACTCAGCAGCTTTGCGATTTGACATAGAGTAAATGTTCCTAATCTTTCCATTAGAAGGTTCCTGAACTTTCAGTGGCTGCAAAAGGAATGTCTAGAAATTAAAACCAGAAAGGTATAGTTGTTTTTACCAAAATTGTGGTGGAGGACTTGGTAAAATGGGAAATTATCTAGGTCAAATAGACTTTAAAGAGCTTCTTGGCTCTCTAATAAAGAGAATGTCCGCAGTCATCCCCCAATAAACCCACAGATCCTTGGCAAATCTATGCTCATGTTTCAAAGGTGTGTCCTTTGCTAAGAACACATAGTGTTCAGTTTCTAAGTTTTTGTCATCAATGACATTAGTGGCAACCCTTGTCATTCTCTTAAGGTCTATGTGAGACTTCTGTGTGGTATAAAAGAATACCTTATGTGTGTAAAATGCTTTGCAATTTATAAAGCATTTTCACATTTGTTCTCCTATTTGGTCTTAAGAAGAACCCTCCGTGTTAGGTGTGACTGTTGTGATTATCCCTAGTTTAAAGATGAAAAAACTGAGGCTCAAAGGTGAAGCAATCACATAATTAGTAAAAAGCATAATTGGGATGGAAAACATTGATTTTTAATCCTGTGGACCTTTACGCTCTCGTGATATGAAGAAGACAGTTGGTTAAAGGACATTGGAGTTACATTAGAATTCAGGTCCCCAACATTGAGCCCCAGATAATGTTATTAGTCATTTTCTTTTTCCATTTGACAAACACAGCTTTCTTGCCAGGTTTCCAGGCTTCTAGGCAAGATAAGGCACTGAAATCTTTTTATGTCTACACTGATGCTCTGTTACAGATAGTGCAGCCGATCTTCTTTCTCCATAAAATGAAGCCCCTTATTAAGAAAGAAGTCATGTGAAATAATTTGGAAATATAATAGGATGATATTTTGGATTGATCCTAGTTGTTGATATTTTTCTTTTGATTTTTGCAGTGATATAGACAGGGATGTCCATTAGGGAAAAAAAAAAATCCTAATGATTTAAATAGAGTGATAAATGCTCCAGAGTTGTAGTTTGGCAACTACAGCTAGTGAGCCAAATATGACCTACCTCCTATTTTCATATGGCCTATGAGCTAGGAATGGTTTTTACATTTTTAAATGATTGGAAAAAAAAAACCCAAAATATTCTGTGACGTGAAAATTATATGAAATTCAAATTTCAGCATCTATAAATAAAGTTTTATTGGAATGCAGCCACATTCATTCATTTATGTGTTTACTATGGCTGCTTTTGTACTATTGCAGCAGAACTGAGTAGTTGTGACAGAGACCATATGGCCCACAAAGCCTAAAGTACTTATTTGGCCTTTGTGGAAAAAGTCTGCCGATTGCTGGTCTAGCATCATACTTTGCTCACTTTTGAATTCTGATACTCTTTCCTTATAGGTGTTTCAGCTCAACTCACCAGTACACGTCTGCGGAGAAACACATCTGTTGGCACCCCGTTCTGGATGGCCCCTGAGGTAAGCTGGAAATACCTAGTTCTTTCTTTGCACTTGTTGAATGCCTTGGTACTATGCCTTTTTATGGGTAAGTCATATGCTTTGCAGAATTTTTAGGGAGAAGAAAGTCCATTATCCTCATTGAACTTTAAGAGTACTAGTTTGGTCAGCGATGCTGGTGAGATGTAACCTCAGAAAAGCAAGATTAAGTTATAGCTATCCCACAGGGCACCTTCATGCAATTAGAAGAAAGTGTCCCTCCAGAAGATGCAGCCCCCTCCAAGGGCCATGTCTTGGCAAATTCATCAGCCCTTGTATAAATTAGAAAAAGTCAACTTCCCTGGATACATGCAGCCCCAGAGGTATATGGCTTTGTGAAGAGCCAGATTTCAGCACCAACTGGCCTACAGAACTATATGCGGTGGCCCTGGTTGTTTTTTTGTTACCAGATACATAGCAACTTATCTTGTGTACTTTGTCGGCTCTCTGTAGTGAAACATGGGATTTATTCCTAATTTAGGTTTGGCATCATCACAGAACTCTCTGGAAAATGACGCATGTAGAAGTTTGGGGAACCTTCCAGCTAGATGAGTCTTGCTCTGAAACACCAGTGCAGTTTAGTTTTTCAGGTCATTTAATTCCACAGTATGCTGACCTTTGCCTGAGAGCAGCTTTCTGGATTAAACAAATGGGTTCTTTTAATAAAAGGACTCAGATGGTCACCTCCTTAGATGTCTTTCCATCTCTGCATGATGGTATTTCCTCTGTGTGACTGCCAAAGTGGTCTCCTAACAAAGTAAGTGGTTCACACTAATCTCTGCTTAAATTTCTTCAGTGACCTCCCCCGCCTCCCATCATCTATGGCTCTTTCTTTCATACTGGGTAATGGATAGGCCCATTTTAAAGAAAAAGAAAAATGCTGCAATTTCCAGTGTTTACCTAAATCTTAAATATTTCTTAAATAGGTTTTACAAAACATAAAACTAGATATAAACTCTTTGTCATTTTTATTTGCAGAAGTATAAAACCAAAAGGAAAAAAATGTATTATGAAAAAAAGCTATTATACAATGCCAGTAACATTCAAGTAAGCAGCTCTACTTTTATGAGACAAATGATACTGTTTTGTGACTCTCCATTGTCCTTTGCAGTGTGCTTATGTTTCAGGACACAATAGTATGGGTTATTTTCAGTCTGGCACACCTACAACCACGTACCATGCGGCTACTCAGTTCTCCTACTACTTTATTCCATTTCAGCTAGCATAATCTGTTTGTTCAAACAGCACCTCTTTTGATCTCCAACTGTTACATCTGTGTTGGCTTGGTGCCAACTTAATAGTAAACATAATATGAACACTGTGTGACAAATAGTCATCCAGATGATCTAGACTATGTTTTTACTCCTCCTTCTCCCATTATTATTATTATTAATACAATTATCACTGAAACAAAACCAAAAACATAAAAAGTTATCTAGGGACTTTGTGAATCCCACTTTGAGAAGCACTGCAGGATAAAGTCAAAACTTCTTTGAATTTTGAATAAAGCTCTTAATATTCCAGCCCCTATCTATCCAGCCTTGTTTCAGATTACTTCCCCCAATTTACTTGTTCTTAATGCCCCAACAGTAGTGAACAGCAGGTGACTCTCCAAATCCCTACTGATGTGTCTTTCCTTTAAACCCTTGGTGTACTATTATATCATCTGGAATGGCCCCCAGGCCTCTGGAAAATTCCTCCTTAATTGACAAGTCTCAAATGCTAGCTCTGCTGGGAAACATTCCCTAATCCCTTGCCCACATTGAGGCTCCTTTCCCTAAGTTTCCACCACGTCCTTAGACCCTCCCTTAATACAGTATCACCACTGCATTGTAGTTGTTGGCAGGCAGGTCTCCCAACTGGACTCAGGTCTGCCAGGGACTTGGGATGCCTAAGCTCTTAATATAGTGCTTGATACAGAGTACATGCTCAAAAAAATTATCTGTTGGGTCAGGAGCGGTGGCTCATGCCTGTAATCCCAGCACTTTGGGAGGCCGACGCAGGCAGATCATTTGAGATCAGGAGTTTGAGACCAGCCTGTCCAACATGGCAAAACCCCATCTCTACTAAAAATACAAAAATTAGCTGGGTGTGGTAGTACACACCTGTAATTCCAGCTACTCTGGAGGTTGAGGCAGGAGAATTGTTTGAACCCGGGAGGCAGAGGTTGCAGTGAGCAGAGATGCCACCACTGCACTTCAGCCTGGGTGACAGAGTTAGACTCTGTCTCTCAAAAAAAAAAAAAATCTGTTGAATGAATGAATGCATCCATCTGTAAGAAAGCCAAAGGGATAAGATGCACTTGCAGGACAGTTTGAGGACGGCTTCACAACTATTGATATTAGCAAATTTGTCTGTAGATTTAGATCTGTTCTGAAAGGAAAGCATAACTAAGGTCACTCAACTAATATTTGGGGTGATATAACACGGAAGATGGTATTCCTGTTCTACTCTAGAGCAAATTGGTATTTTCAAAATCACAAAATATAATTAAGAGAAGCATTTTCTTGGCTTTGTACATTTATGTATAAATGGCTTTGTACATTTATTAAGAGGTGTTTGTGGCCGGGTGTGGTGGCTCATACCTGTAATCCCAGCACTTTGGGAGGCCAAGGTGGGCAGATCACGAGGTCAGGAGATCGAGACCATCCTGGCTAACACAGTGAAACCCTGTCTCTACTAAAAATACAAAAAATTAGCTGGGCATGGTGGCGGGTGCCTGTAGTCCCAGCTACTCAGGAGGCTGAGCAAGAAGAATGGCGTGAACCCGGAAGGCGGAGCTTGCAGTGAGCCGAGATTGTGCCACTGCACTCCAGCCTGGGAGACAGAGTGAGACTCCGTCTCAAAAACAAAACAAAACAAAACAAAACAATCAAAAAAGAGGTGTTTCTGACTTTCCAACTTTAACTGGATTGAATAAAATATGTGGAGTGTTGACCGGGAGCGGTGGCTCACGCCTGTAATCCCAGCACTTTGGAAGGCGGAGGCAGGCGAATCACAAGGTCAGGAGATCGAGACCATCCTGGCTAACACGGTGAAACCCCATCTCTACTAAAAATACAAAAATTAGCCTGGCAGGATGGCAGGGGCCTGTAGTCCCAGCTACTCGGGAGGCTGAGGCAGGAGAGTGGCGTGAACCCGGGAGGCAGAGCTTGCAGTGAGCCAAGATTGCACCACTGCACTCCAGCCTGGGCGACAGAGCCAGATTCCGTCTCAAAAAAAAAAAAAAAAAAAAAAAAAATGGAGTGTTTCTGTAGGGGACAGTTTATGGTGAGCTTTTTGCTCAGATTCCCTGGAAGTGGTTCCCCTGTTAGCTGGGAAAAGCCAGCACTGCATCCTGCCTGTTGCAGTGGATCAATTGAAAAGTAAGCAGTTTAAGGTATGGACACCTTGACAGCACGTTGCAGGAGTGAATGTCTGACTGTTCAAGTGCAGGATTCTCTCAGGATGTGTGATTGTGTCCAGTATGCTCTGGGACCCAGGCTGTAGCTCTTGGGAATCAGGCCTGCACTATTCTCACATTTTTATTTTCTAAATGGAGAAGCATTTTTTCCAACAAAGTCTCTTTTTGCGCCATAATCCTCCATAGGAATGTCCACAAGAACAACCTTCCATTTTTCAATTCAATTCAACAAGCATTTATATTGTCCATCTGAGCAATGCTTTGGGTCAAGAACAGTCCTTGAAAGTATAATCAGTAATGGTTCAAATTAACACTGTCTTCATATGATGGCCTGTGTGGTATATTGATCCTGATATGCTTTCACTTCTGCTTGTATGAATAAGTGGTCTTTAGATTAAATACGACAATGCACGCAATACCAATGCCAGTGGAATAAGAGCATTGCAGATGACTTGTGCTTTATTTTTAAAATGCAGCTGAGAGATCCTTGATCCTATTTTATTTTTGAGGAATTGAACCAAATTGTTTTTTCCCTTTTTTATTTCCATTTTTATTCCACAAGCTTGAGTAAGTGTAATATTTAATTCAGGTAGCTATTCTACAAACCGGGTAGCTAATGGAATGTGACCACAGTACAATCAAATGTTGATGAGCAGTCAAGACACACAGTTCACTGGGGCACCTCAAAGCTGCAGCATGAAATGACTATCATATTGTCAATACTCCCTACTCATTTTCTCTTACTACCTCATTTGGACACTACTAAAGTTGAAAGATACTGGCAGAGTAGTATCAACTCAGCAGTGTAGGAGAAGAGTTCTGTGGGATGCCCTTAGTGTATTAGAACTTTGAAACAATACTACTGGGGAAATAAATTGCTTGGCATAATAAAAGGGTTAATCTAAAAGTCAAGATCAGTAGAATTTTTTTTTAAAAGATGGGGTCTTACCATGTTGCCCAGGCTGGTCTCCAACTCCTAAGCTCAAGCATTCCTTCTGCTTCAGCCTCCCGAGTAGCTGGGACTACAGGGCATGCCCCAACATGCCTGGCTTAAGATCAGAACAATTTTTTATAAACTAAACACACTGTATGTGAGTAGCATACTGTGACTACAGGAAAGATTATCTTAAGAGAGAAAGAAAAATTTCACATGGAGACTATTTAGGAGATTATCATGAGCAAAATAACTTGAACAATAGATAATTAAGTTTCTCGTATAATAAGATCAGAGGTAGTTTGTTCCGGAGTTTGTTGATTTAGCAGCTCATAATAATAGAGTCATGAAAACTTCCGATTTTTAAATCTCCCTGGCTATGACTGCTGCAAGCTGCATGGCTTCATTGTTCTGGGACTGACTTTAGGGCAGTTATGACAACAGTGCCTGTGAATATCTGAGGGGCAGTAGTGGCTCCAACATGCCAATAGCCACAGGTGAAGGCACTCATGGTGCAACCAAACAGCGAGAAGTTAAAGTGGGTTTTCCTCCTCTCTTGGGGTTGAAGACTTTTCCACCCTATATTTATTTTCCCGGTCTGCTGTAATCAAGTAGTACAAACTGGGTAGCTTTAAACAACAGAAATATATTATCTCACACTTCTGGAGGCTAGAAATCTGAAACCAAGATGCCAGCAGGCTTCCTCTGAAGCCTCTAGGGGAGGGATCTTGCTTTGTCTCTTCCCAGCTACTGGAGGTTTGCTGGTGATCTTTGGTGTTCCCTGGCTTGCAAGCTGCGTAACTCCAGTCTCTGCCTTTGTAGTGCCGTGGTATTTTCTCTGTGTGTCTTCACATGTCCATGACTTCTTATAAGAACACCAGTCCCGTCGGATTAGAGGCCCACCCTACTCCAGTATGACCTCATCTGAATTCAACTAATTGTATATACAGTGACCCTATTTCCAAATAAGTTCACGTTCTGAGATTCTGGGGGCTAGGACTTAAATGTATCTTTTTTTTGGAGGACACAGTTCAACCAATAACAAGCTCCCAAATACTAATATTTAGCACCCTTCCTTTGTATTAAATCATTCAAGTTTCCAAGGTAATTAGTCAACTATTTAGAACCTGCAGGGCTGCAGGTTATAGATGCTAGCATAGTGAGAGGCTCAGCTTTGCCTGTTTACACACACATACACAACCACCTCCCCTACTCCACACACACCACACACATAGACTGTCTGCACTCTCTCAGCCTTTGGTGTTTGAGGCAAACGTGGTTCTTTCTGAAGGTACAAAGCATACCAAATTGCCTTCCTGTGTGGGCGCCCAACACCCCCAGACTTTTGTTCTCTCCTACCTACTCTCAGGCAAAGCATTTTTAAAATTATTATTATCTCCTGAGATGTTTGGCCAGCTCATAGTCACTTCCTTGAACCTTCTCTTTACCTGATTAAGCCTCTCTGGTCTCCTGACCTAAAACTTTAGCCTGCATTTTATGCACTTAAAAAAACTCACAAAAACAACACAGTCTTCCTATTAGCCATGTTTATTATCTCTTTTCTCCTCCACTATCTCCTGACAGCCAATTTCTTATAGTAAGTAATATGAATAATAGTATCCCACATTTGCGTAGAATTTTTACAAATAGTATTTTAAAAACACTGTCATCTACCTGTGAGAGTGCCACTCGGGCATGATTACATTGATGTTGTAGATAAAGAATCTAAGGCTTTGTCAGGCCAAGTGTCCATAGACACAGAGTGGGTAGGTGGGTAATGGTGACTGGAATCCATATTTTGTGACTTATTCAACTAAGGGATTTCCAATGTAACCCGTGTCCGCTGTTAATATTGCTCAACCAATTTTTATATCAAACACATGCCAGGTAATATCCTGGCCTATAGCAAAAGGGATACAAGCCTAGTTTATGTTGATTAATGGTAATGGCAGGGGGTTAGGGGTAGTTGATACCTAAAAAACTTTTTCTACCATCACATATAGCAAAGAATTAAACTCAGTGTTTGTAAGTGACTGAAACCCAAGAGAAAGAACCAATGTTGTCATTATCGTTTTTATTGAGGACACCAGTAGACTTTGAAAATAATGGCTTATATTTAGCTGATGTACACTGTGTGGCCAGGCTGGTTGTTAAGATATTAAACTATTCATTCTGGATGGTAAATGGCTGCCATCCAGAGCCCCTTGAGTGCTCCTCAGCCACCAGAGGTGCCCTGTCTTTTACCCTGGGACATTTCTGACCTGATGATCCAGTAACTATGGGGGGAAAGGTCTGTTTGACAAGCAGGGATGGCCAGTGCCACATGCCACCTGATTGTCAGATATTTTGAACATTGCACTTGCTAAGCAGAGGCATAGTGGGAAGGAAACTTTCACTTACTGAGGACTGACTCTATACCAGGGACTATGATAGGGGCTTTTAAAATATTTTATTTCATTTTCACAACAGCTCTCAATAGTGGATGTTATTTTCTCCATTTGATCACTGAGGAAAGTGAGGCTTAAAGAGCTATAGGAGGAATCGAGCCCAAATTCACATACCTAGTAAATATTGAAGCTGTTTGGCTTTTCAGAGAGCATGGGAATGCAAGTCCCATTTTGCAGATGAAGAAACCAAGGCAGGGAAAGGATACTTGTACTCTCACTTTACAGTGTGTTCATATGGGATATTCATTGTGGAAAATGTGTACCAGCTAACTGAGACACCAGCTCATATAACAAAGACACGCAGAGATATAGTGGAAGTATACTCTGAAATTGGAGTGTGAGACATCATTTTAAAAGATGCACATGAAGGACCTATCACCTATAATTTATAGGTTGACTACACTTTGCAATTCCGCCATGCATTAAGGATCTAGTATATGCAGCATCTTCCTAAAACAGCTAACGGTCTGTTTCTGTACTGGAAAACAGACTTGTGGATAAAATAAACATTTGCTTCTTTTCAGAAAATTCTCCCCCTCTTTACTTCCATCTGCTCATTGTTGCAAACAAGAGCTAATCAGCTGAGCAGAGAAACAGATGTGCTGTGACGGCTCCAAAAATGGGTCTCTCTCTGCCTGGCAAAGGGTCGTTGACAAGGGACGGTTGCCATAACAACTAGCTTACACTAATGCAGAAATATCGCAAGCTTTTTGCAGCCACTCTTGCCTTTGTTAATTATGCCATTCCTAGTAAATGATACGATAATGCTATTTCCTTTGGCATTGCCAGGGCTAGAGATGACAAATGAGATATTTTGTGTCAAAGGGCTGAGAAAGACATACAACACTATAGAGTTGAATTATTATTATTGTCATTATTACCATTTTGTTCCCTAAGCTCTAGCTAATGGGTTTGGTTCCCAAATAAGAGCTAGCGTTTAGCGAGTGCTTACTATGTGTTAGGTGCTAAGTGAGTTGTGTGTATTAACTCATTTATAAATCTTACAACACTACCAAAAAGGGGGTGCTATTGCTAGTCCAATGTTTTAGGTGAAGTAGATGAGTCACAGAAAGTAATTATTCTTGTCCTTGGACAAGTTATTAGGTGATGCCACCAGAGTTTGAACCCAGATATTTGTCTCCAAAGTCCTTACTTTTAACCACTATACCACAGCAAATTATTTAATTGTGACAACCAGTGTACCAGATAAGTCATGAATTGTTTTTTCCCCCAATTCTTAACATAGATGAGAATTATCCTTCCTAATATATGAAGGAAAATGTAATATTTCAATCTGATGCTAAAAGCCAGTGTAATTAATGCCCAAGAGAAGGATATGGAAAAAATAAAATAAAGTTCTTTAGAATTGAATTTAGGAGATTTACATTTTACTCTTGGCTCTGCCACTCATTTTCTAGAAAATGATTGTGGTTCAGTTATTTTAATATGGCTTCAGTTTGAATAAAAAAGCACAAATTTTAGAGTCAGATAGATTTGGGAGCAAATCATAGATACCTGCTACCCATATAACCAGTAACCTCAGGCAAGTTACTTAATATTTCTGACTAGTAAAATGGGGAGAAGTTAAAAGAGGTAAAATGGGGAGAAAAAAACCTGCCTGAAAAGATAAAATGAAATAATGTACTGCAACTGTTCAGGGCAGTGCCAGACGCAATAGGGGCTTCTAACAGTGGTGGCATATGTTGCCCCTATGCCTACCTCTGCTTAGCCTGTTCTCATCTGTAAAAAAGAAGAAATTGGCTTAGGTAGTCTTTGCCTTTTAAGGTCCTGTCTATTTTACAGGGAACATTTACTGTTTTTAGAGGGAAGACCTGCTTTCAGTTCTCATATTCCATGGCTCTGATGTTCCACAAGCAATGAGGGTGGGATCTCACCAAGTTCCCAGTAAGAGTGAACTAATGTTGATGCCGTGGCTGCTAGGTTCCATTTTACCTGGCTCTGTTAAAAGACTGGAGATTCATGGGACCCTGTCTGCCGGTCATATCACTGTGAGGAATGCAGGCTTTGGGAGCTCAGGAGAGTTAAATGAGAGGTTTAGAACTTCAGATCATTGGCTGAAAGACCTGCCTACCTTCTCCAGAGACATTCATCTCTGAGATTCCGTAACCTTTTGCTGTTGCCTGGTTCACCCCAGGCATTGTGTGTCAGGCTCAAAGAAACAGATTCCTTCTCTGGTTCTGAGGCTGGCCCTGGCCTGCCTACATTTGCAGAGTGGTTCTGTCTTCTAAGGCCCTGAGGCACAACCCAGACGCTCAGTGTTCCAGCAGGCAAACGGCCCAAGGTGCAAGGGGTGGAAATGACTGGATGCAGCCCCAGGTTTTCACCTCAGCTCCAGCGATAGTTCCCTCTCAGCTGGAGCTCTGTGGGGAGGTTGAGTCATGTGTCATATGTCAGTGTGGAGGCGGGGGGCTGATTCTGGAGGAGGTGGTGATATGTTATTACCCTCTTCCTGGTGGGTCTAAATATAAGACCCTATCTGAGGGCTTTAGATCCCAGATGTGCAGAAGCATGTGAGGCCCAGAGCAGAGGCCTCACATCCCCTCCGAGTGCTGAGTGAGAAGTGCTAAGCCAGAAATGTCAAAGGAACAACTACCAGGAGCATTTGGAATTTTTAAGGCTGTCCTCACTCCTCTCTGGGGAGGTGAGAAGGGTCAAAGCATCTGCTGTTGCCCCTTCTCTTCATCCACCAAAGAGGAAAAGAGGAAAAACTGATTCTGTTACTGCAGGAACAGAAGTGTTTGCTGAAGGAATGTCAGAGTTGGCCTCAGCTCTTCCTGAGCTCTGGGTCCCAAATTACCCATGACTGACCTCCAGTCAGTGCCTCCACTGCCCTGTTCTGGGTACAGTCTCAGCCCATGAAAGAGAATTCCCACCCAAGCCAAACTCTACATTTGCTTCCTTGCCTGATGGCCACTGAGCCACCATGAGAGCAAATGGGGGAGAGCAGTCAGCATGAGGGATGGGACCTCAGAGGAGCCTTGAGTAGGATGAAATAGGAACAAGTAGAGGCAGATGGACTAGTGTTTCTTGTGCTCTATTATGTCCCGGGTATTTCTCATACTTTTTTGTGAGGGGAAGTGGGGGGGTACAGGGTCTTGCTCTGTCATCCAGGCTGGAGTGTGGTGGTGTGATTTTGGCTCACTGCGACCTCCACCTCCAGGTCTCAAGCGATTCTTGTGCCTTAGCCTCTCTAGTAGCTGGGATTATAGGCATGTGCCACCACGCCCCGCTAATTTTTGTATTTTTAGTAGAGACAGGGTTCCATCATGTTGCCCAGGCTGGTCTTGAACTCCTGGGCTCAAGTGATCCACCTGTTTTGGCCTCTCAAAGTGCTGAGATGACAGGCATGAGCCACAGTGCCCGGCCTCCCATACCTTTTTTAATTTTAGAGAGCTAAACAGAATCACTCTCTAACAGGAACATATGACATTCTCAAGGACATCCTTATTTGCATGGTGCTGTCAGCCTGGGTGAGGACAGAAACCACAGATACTTGCCGATGAAGGGGTATGTCCAAGTGGGAACTTTCAGATACTCTGATTGATTTGCTTCCCTTCCTGTTTTTCAGATGTGTCATGAAGGAGAAAAACATTTTTTTCCTCAATAGTTTCTGATTGGGTGCTCTCCTTCAGTTCTATCCCCTACTAGCTGTGGCCTTGAGCGCATATATCTCTTAACTTTCTGAATCTGTTTCCTGACTTGGTGTAATAATACGTGACCTGACAAGCTGTAAAATGGACTGAATTGTAGAGGTTCTCCTTGTCCTTAACATACTCTGGTGGAAATGGAGCACTAACTGGCAAAAGAAAGGGGCAGCAAGGGAGAGTGAAGGGACAGGGAAGTGAGAGGCGGCAGGAAATCCATCTGCTTAATGCTTGCGTGCTGTGCCTATGGGTTCATAGCGTAGATGTTACTGTGACTGCGGCTCTCTGAATATGGACTCTGTTTGGAAGTGGCTCAGCATTCTCCATAATTATAAGGATTCCCAAGAGATGCCTCACTCAGGAAGGTGGTAGGTAACCATGGAGTTTGCTCCTGCTTTGGTCATGAACCAACTGTGTGATTTCAGACAAATCAACTGACTCTCCCCTCAGGCCCTCAGTTTTCTCTTCTGTAAAAGAAGGGGGTTGAATGAGTGAATCTTAAAGGTCCTTTCATTGTCCATCTCTGTATGAGGAAGCTCTGGAACAGGCAAGGACAGTGGGATTGCACTGGGTCTCCAAGCAAATGTGCTCCTTCACTTTTTGAGTACCAAGGACACATACGAAATTTGGACATGCTAGGAGTTCTGTAGATATTGGTCCTGAGTCTGAGAACGGGACTTAACACACAAGTAAGAATAAATGATCTGTTCCCAGGGCTTCAGGGAATTTAGGTGCAAAAATCAGTGTGTGGGCTGACCTCAAACCCAGAGTGAGTTCCTCTTCTACCCTCCACTAGCTATGGTGGGAAGCTGGTGTAGTGTAAGCGTGCTTTGAGTGTTTTTAATTTGAACCTGGCTTTATTTCTCTGTAGACTTAAGCTGAAACTTACAATCCTGGGAAAAAAGAGACCCATAGAACATCACATTATAATTAGAGACCTTCCTGAAGTTCATAAGAACAGTCTAATTTAAATTATTTCTGACAATTTCATAGTGTACAAAATGTGGATTTAATCTTAGCTCTAGTTTTAGTTTTATGAAAGACCATCCCCCTGCCAAATACTTCAATTTCAGTTCATCTAGTCCATATTCCCTTTACAAAAAAAAAAAAAAAAAAAAACAACGAATCTCAAATGTATCCTCTCTTGAAATTATGTATCATCATAGGTAAGAAACTTCATTTGTTTATTCAGTATCTCAGCTTATAACACTTTAAGATGTTCATTTGTAAAAGTGATAAAAATATTTGCCACTGGAATATTTATACTGTAACCACAATTTCTGATTCCAGAGAAGTTCTGACTTGGAAATCTTTATGATCAATAACATTTATCAATTATGCTGCATGAATTGTGTAAGCAAATTAAGAATCCTATTTGCCTTCCTACCTCTCAGCCCATCTTATTTGCCAGTCTATTGCCTGCATTTTTGGGCTCAAGGTCAGCCAAGGATTAATAGCTTTAGGTCTGTTTGCCTTGCCTCTTATTTAGCTGAATGTAGCTCTTGAGATAACAGCATTTTGCCTGTGTACTTGAGTGAAATTTTAATCCTGACCTTTGGTTATAATTTTGGATTGCATGAATGATTCTAGTAAGGTGAGAAATCAGAACATAGAAGGCAAACCTAATTACATTTTTAATGACATTTAAAAATATTAGTGGAAAATTAGTCTGAATAATACCTGTTGTTTAAGTTTGATAAATTATTTCTTATGACAGCAAAAATACTATAATACTATTTGCTTGAAAACATTGCTTAAAATTACATTATTGGAAGAAATTTCAGCCCAGCAGCTCTCTGACATAAAATTCGATAAATGGTTTAACTATTTTATTAGAGAAACTAGGTTTTCTGAATCTAGAAGCTCATATATTGACTGTTTTTATCCCTTTCACATATAGTATAATACAGATGATCTTTCTGGATAATGAAGATCTTGAGATGAGAAGCTGTAAGCTCAGGTTCTTATACACCAAGTCTTTGTGCAAGAGAGGGTGGAACTCACTCCTATCTTGGTAACTTTATCAATAAGTCCTAGTCATGGATCATGATGGCCCGAGAAAGTGAAAGTACTCTACTCATGCCCTGTGCTTACAGTAGAAAGGGATATAGTTGGGAAGGGAATTTCATTTGTAAAACTGATTAAAAAAAATCTGCCACTGGAATAGTTATACTGTAACTACAACTTCTGATTCCAGAGAAGTTCTATTTTAGAAAGCCTTATGTTCAATAACATTTATCGATTATACTACATGAATAATTATGCTTCATTCTTCTGGTATTAATCTCATGGGGACCTAGTTTTTTTTTTTGTTTTTTTTTTTTCGAGACAGAGTCTTGCTCTGTTACCCAGGCTGGAGTGCAGTGGAGTGATCTTGGCTCACTGCAACCTCCGCCTCCCATGTTCAAGCAATTCTCTTGCCTCAGCCTCCGGAGTAGCTGGGATCACAGGCATGTGCCACCACGCCTGGCTAATTTTTTTTTTTTTTTTTTTTTTTTTTAGTAGAGACGGGGTTTCACCATGTTGGTCAGGCTGGTCTCTAACTCCTGACCTCGTGATCTGCCTACCTTGGCCTCCCAAAGTGCTGGGATTATAGGCGTGAGCCACCACATCCAGCCAGGGACCTAGTTATATAATCAAGATACAACCTTTAACCTGCCAACTTCTTGATAAAGAATCCCAGCAGTCAACAAATACTCCAGAAGAAAGAAACATGCCCTTGAAAATTAAGGCAAACTTTTCAATATTTATTTATATTTTCAAGACAAAAAAACATAAAATTCGCTTCTTTCTATTATAGAAATAATCCATGCTCTCTATAGACATTTTAGAAAACATAAAAGATCTTAAAGAAGTAAGTAGATAAAATAATTATTAGCCATATGTCAGTGATCCAGTGATATCTACTATTAACATTTTAGTGCCATAGTAAAAGCTGAATAACCAGCATTTTCATAAGCAGTGCTTCGGATGAGGCCCATGAAAAAGGGGTTGCTTGGTTTGCTTGCAAAGAAGAGGTACAGGGAGATAAAATATTTTGTCAAAGTCACCCAGTGAGAGGGTGGCAAAACCAAAACAAAAATGCCAGGCTCTGGGATTTTCTAGCATTAGTCAGAGGTGAAAGTCTCTTCGTGACCCAAGAGCTGCTGACTGTTGTTTTTCTCTGCCATTTTCTGGCTGGTGGCTAAGGAAAGGAACAGCCATCTTCAACAGAACACAGCTGACCCTGCTCAAGGACAGACAAGGGGATGATATGTGTCAAAGCAGTTGTGCATGTGGTTTCATCCCATAGATTCCCGCAGGAGAGGGGAGGTGTTCCCTCTGTGGGGTAGGAGGGAGTGACTGGGGGTAGATTTAAGGAGTCTGGATCTGTGAACTCCTTAGCCTGAAGAAGGCTAAAGAGAATTGCCTCAACAATTGAAGACAGATAATGACTAGCCTTTGCTCCAAAGACCTGTCAAGCTAAGCCATTAGTGAAAACTTGTTTCTTGTTCTCAATCTTCTCCAGAAAGAAAAGTTTTTGGCAGCTAAGGTGGTAATGACCAACATTTGGGAGTCTCAACCCACTGCTAGGTAAAATAGCTATTGGCCTTGGGCACTAAAGCTGCCAGTGCATAGATATTGCTAGTAATCCAGCATTAGTGTTTTTCTTCTTCCTAAAATAAGCAGCAGTGTAGTCTAACTGTACCAGAAGAGCCGTAAGTTTGCATTTCAAGGTAGGAACCTGGACATGCTCCATTAACCAGCTTCCAAACAATTGCTCTGTCGCTGAAGCTCATCTTCCTTAACAGAGGCATTATTACAGCAACCAGCATATTTTCATAGACCTTAAGACCTTCTACAAAACATTGGCAACAAAATCCCCTCAAAGTTCCAGCCATCCTGTTCACACCTCAGAATAATGTACTGTTCACTCTAGCTAATTTGTATGGCAGTGTTAGCCTCTCAGTTTGAGATACTACCCAAAGATCACTTACTTGGAAGTCGCAAAGTCGTAGAATATTAGAGCTAGAAGGGATCGTATAGGTTATTTATTTCCACCTTACCACTTTATAGATAGAGAGAGGTCCTGAGAATATAAGTGATTTGTTTTCAGATGTGAAAGGGTGTGCATTTGGGATCCTGGACCTTTGTCAACACCGTCTCATTTCTCTCCACTCCTTTAATGTGACTTACAGAACCTGGAAAACCTGGTCCCAAAGACGTGCACTTACTTGCCTTCGTCAGTCTCCTTTCTTAATGGAGCATCCTAACAACTGATTCAGAGAGTTCTTTTTGAGGTCACCTTCTCCTGGGGACAAGGGAAGAAAGACCATTCGACCATCCAAGCATCCTTAACTCAGCTCTATTTAACCTAGAGACAAGGAGAATGTTGAGCTAAAGAGAATGATAGTAGTGTTTTCTCTTAAAGAAATAGCTTCAGACTTTGGTATTGGATTGATAGGGAATCCCATTCCAGGATGTTGACCTTCAGTTGCCCTGCATCCTCTTAAGAGTGCTTCTTTAACTCTCATCGTATGTGTAACCTGCAGAAAGGGCTGTTTCCTCCTGGTAAGGAGCAATCCTGAATGAGAGACCCCCAAAGAAGATGGAGTTGAAATGACAAAACCTCAGAACACCTGAGCGTAGTCAAAATATGAGTGCAGAAGCTGATAATTTTAACAATTTTAACCAACTGTAACTTTTATTATAGATAGCACTTATATGGCAATGATTCATTTAGTTATCCTTCTCCCTGCCTGGGTTCAAATTCTGGCCCTGACAATTACTAGCTATGTGATGCCAGGTAAGCTGTTTAACCATGCTATCCTCAGTTTCCACACCTGCATAAGTGATAATAGCACCTACTTTGCCAAATTATTATGAAGATTAAGTTCAGTGTGTATTTGACTTTCTCTTCCCAGGGCCTACTATCATGCCAGACTAATGAGTACTCAATAATTATTTGTGAATTATTTTATTAGCATAATTTTCAATAAACTTCCTTGGAAGGCTGAACTTAAATAATTTCTTTGTTACATGATGCACTGAAGAGAAGAATTAGGCCAAGATATGATTTTCTATTCATCAGAATGAGCTGAAGATAATGTTTGTCTGTAAAGAGAAGTTGAAACCAGATACAAGTTTTGAATATTTTAGGACAACGCTTGAGAAATGTTAGAATATCTCCATTTTCACATTTAGATATGTTCTTAGAATTGCCTTTTGTGTCCCATCCAAGTTGGCTAGAAGCTGATTTGAATTTCTCCGCAAAAGTTCTAGACTATGGGTACTAGATACTTTTTATTGTCTTGCTTAGCCAGCAGTGGTCTCCTTCTAAAATCTTAAGCATTTAGAGCCCATATCCTTTATTGGACGTGTTAGTACACATTGTCTTAGGGCATTTATAGTTGTCATGGTTTGTCATTTAATTATGATAGGTTCACCTTATATTTTGATTGGCCATAGCTCCTATTGGGGAAGGACAGAGTCTTATTTCTCTCTCCCTCACAGGCCCTATCACAGTGTCATGAATAACAGTGAACTATTTGTTGATTGATAGGTCTAAAATTATGTTTGTCTTACACTTTCGAAAGTGTCATTTCTGAAAGGGAAGGTGTTGAATAGCCTTCTCTAGGGATCTTTAAAAATAATGTAGGTTCTCACCTGATTGGGGTGAGGAAAGGGAGGTCTTTGGGGGCAATGAAATGGCCTTTGGTTCTGAAACTGGAATTGTTTGAACTTCAGTTTGAATGTACATTTGAAAATAACGTGTTAAAAGTATGACAGGATATTCTATTCAGAAGATGGGGCTGGGGCCAGGCCAAGGATGTGGATATATAGAAAATGTTCTTCAGCTCAGAAGAGAAGAGTACAGGGCAATTATGAGAACAAGAGCACAGAGTTTAGAGCACATTTTGCACAGTTGGCACATTTTGCCAGGCCTTACAGGTCCAATGCACTGTTTCTGGAAGAGAGCAGGAATACTAGTTTTCTATCACTGCCATAACAATACCACAAACTTAGTGGCTTAAAACACCTGTTTCTGGCCGGGCGCGGTGGCTCACGCCTGTAATCCCAGCACTTTGGGAGGCCGAGGCGGGTGGATCACGAGGTCAGGAGATCGAGACCATCCCGGCTATAACGGTGAAACCCCGTCTCTACTAAAAATACAAAAAATTAGCCGGGCGTAGTGGCGGGCGCCTGTAGTCCCAGCTACTTGGGAGGCTGAGGCAGGAGAATGGCGTGAACCCAGGAGGCGGAGCTTGCAGTGAGCCGAGATCCCGCCACTGCACTCCAGCCTGGGCGACAGAGTGAGACTCCGTCTCAAAAAAAAAAAAAAAAACAAAACAAAACAAAAAAAAAACACCTGTTTCTTAGTCTTAATCTGTTTCATGCTGCTATAACAGATTATCTGAGACTGGGTAATTTATAAAGAACAGAAATTTATTTTCTCACAGTTCTAGAGGCTGGGAAGCCTAAGGTCAAAGTGCTGGCATCTGGTGTGGGCCTTCATACTATGTCCTCACATGGCAGAAGGCAGAAGGGAGCAAACCCAGTCCTGCAAGCCCTTTTCATGGTAGCATTAATCCATTCACAAGGGCAGAATTCTCATGACCTAACCACCTCCCAAAAGGATCCACCTTCCATTGGTTGCACTGGGGATTAAATTTCTAACACATGAATTTTGGGAGGCATGTTCAGACCATAGCAGTTATCTTACGATTCTCTAGATCAGAAGTCCAGTATGAGTCTCACCAGGCTAAAATACTCTTCTCCATTTCGAAGTGTCCCAGGCATCTGAGGCTTAATATATCCTAAATGGAGGTCCACTCTTCACCCCAAACCTGCCCCTCCTACTGTCTTCCTCATCTTAGTAAATACCAATTCTATTCTGGTGGTTGCTCATGTCAAAAACTTTGGAGTGTTCCTTAGCTCTCCTTTCTTCTAAGCCCTGTTCAACAAATCCAGTTGGCTGTACATTCAAAATTATACCTAGAATCTGATTATTTCTCGCCATCTCACAATCTCTCATCTGGATCCCTGCAGTAACATATTTAACTGGTTTTGTTTCTTCTCCTCATAATCTATCCTCTGCACAGTAGCCAGAGTGATCTTGCTAAAACATAAGCTAGATCTGTCACTCCTCTGCTCACCACAGTCAGTAGTCTCATTTCATTTGGAATGAAAAAAACTAAAGACATTATGATGGCCTAAGAGGGTGTCTCTATTACTCTGGTCTTCCTGTGCTCACCATTATAGGTGTTGCCCCTCCCTGATGTTTTGGATCATCAGACATTGAAGTCTCCCACCTGGCCATGGCCATGGGTCATCCTGGTGGCAGATTTTAGGTCAAATAGGAGTTCCTGGTCCTCCACATCCTCTGGCTCACTCCTGACTTCTCCTATCGCCATTGTGATAGTCATCAGAGTCTGAGTGTAGGAGATGTTCTTGCCTGACTCAAAAAGTTGATAAAAACATTCCTCCACAGGGTTACAGACTCCTCAACCCAATGACAAGCCCAGGGTCATTTTCTGGTTCTGCTGCTCTTGTACCTAGTCAGGCCAAGTAACTGGAATGGCAGTTGTTTCTGTGATGCATACCATTGTTGGAGTTTGAGGAGGGGAAAGATGCTCTTAGAAAAAGGGAAGGGTGGAGTGGGGTCATTTCTACTTTATGTTAACCATGTGGGTCTTCCAACATCTCTCTGCTTAGTTGGTTATACTCGCGGGAATTTCATGCATCTCAAAGTACACAAGCATCTTTGAGAACAATTGTTGCTTGTTATTGAATTCAGTAGCTGGTAATGAGGTGAAGGATGTAGACAAAGCCTTTCCTTAAAGAATAGCAGGGTTGGGATGGTGTGGTATACATCCGCTTCCTCCCCTTGCACTGTTCTTGTTACTTAGACGGTTCAATGCATGCTTTTTAAAAACAAAACTGACACATTTGTAAAAGCTAATGAACGTATAAGATAATAAATTGGTTATACACAAATAAGGCCTAGAATGCACACATCTTATTACTGGAATTCAATATCATCGTGGCCAAGAAAACTGAGAACGGGGCTAAGATCAGCCCAGGGCCTTTTTAGGACATCTGATGTGGCAGTAGGGTTGATGTGTCATGTCCTGCTTTTGTCCAATAGGTCATTGCCTGTGAGCAGCAGTATGACTCTTCCTATGACGCTCGCTGTGACGTCTGGTCCTTGGGGATCACAGCTATTGAACTGGGGGATGGAGACCCTCCCCTCTTTGACATGCATCCTGTGAAAACACTCTTTAAGATTCCAAGGTAAGACACAAGATGGCGCTCTTGACTCATTAGTTCTTTGTGAAAGCGTCTGGTTAGAGGGATAATAAATAGTTTGCAAGCAATTTCTCTCCAAACCTGACAAAGCCTGATTGTGAAATATATTTTCTTTGAAAAAGCAAGGGGGGCTGGGGGGGACAGAGAAGAGGATGTTCCTGAAAGATAACATACCCCAAGGAATAATAAGACCATGTTGGAACAATTGCCTATTTTTAGCACTCAGCTTTTTCTGAGATACTCATTTTTTGTACTTTGCACGATAAGACTACGAATGGAATTGTGGATTAAGTAATCTGTCTAAATGCTAGTGTTTTCTTTTTAATTACATACTTTCTCTAGTATTCAGTGAAAACATATGTATATCATATTGCTGTATTCACTCAGACTAGCATTGAAATGTATCAGAAAATGTTACATCAGCGCTATATCTTACTCTCCATCCCTTAATTTCCGTCTCAGTGGAAAATTGTGCGGAAAGAGGTCTGTTTGGAGAGCATTTAAATGCAAGTATACTTTCTATTCTGTGTATTCATTAGTGGTTTGTACAAGAGGTTGGGTTGCCTTTCATTGGAATCGGGCTGATGTATGGCCAGCTCACGGCTCTAGTTATGGAATATGAAGCTATCCAGGGACTCCTTCCCAACCAGGGTGCAGATTGAGAGATAATTTGTACCTTCCATATGTCTCTTTCAAAGGAAGGCTCTGGGCAGGCTGGGAGCCATTTAACTGCCTTAACAATACAAATGTTGACCTTTCCTTATCTGCACAATCACACAGCTATCACAGCCTTTAAAAATTTCTCCTGATTGCAATTTGCATTTCTGATTAGGTCTATTTATATGCAGATGAGGCTCTCTGATGTTCATCATCATAATTTTATCATTTTATACCTAATCCAGATGTGAACAACCACCAACCACTATTCCAAAAATGATTCCCACCCAAGCCAGAGTTAGTCTTTTTGCCTTTTTCGAATCACAAAAACAGGTCACAGCGATTAGAGGAGCAGACGAAGCACCTGGCTTTTTAAATTAATAGTCTGGTGAACATTCAAAAGGATATAAGAATGCAGGAGCTAAAAGCTGCATTGTGTATAGTAATAAGTCAGAAAATGGGAAATGGTGTCTGGAATGATTTGTGTGTGTGCTTTGATTTTTTTTTACAAATGGTTTACCCCTCACCATTTATTTAATGTGGCAACATAATTTCCTGAATATCAGGATTAAGGTGTAGCTTCTCTTTAGCAAAATAATATGTACTTTTGATAAGAGATCATCTATATTTTTTTCCTTTCTTGTTATGTATTTGTATACAGACCAGGTGTTCAAAAATTTCTTAAGGTGATAAATGTGAGGCAGCAAAGAGTGTGTGTTTTTGGCGGGGGGGAGGGGGGTGTATATGTTTAAATAGACCCTTCCACTCTATTGACTCCACTTAGCTTGCTTCTGTGCCCAGCCAAGCTTCTTCTAATAATCTCATATTCTCTCACCACTCATCTCTTCCATCTTGGGAGAAGCCTCCAGATCTCCAGATGTGGAATACGAGTAACTAAGTCTCTACTGCCTGCCTCGGGACAGAGTGGATCCCAAGAATTGGGCAATTGTTAGAAAAGGATCCTTATCCCAACTTAGTTTAAGGCTTTGTTTCTCTCCCCCTAGTGTAACCTCCTGCCCTTTTAATGTCTCTTGGTTCCTGTGCAAATGATGAATCAGATTGAACTAGGCAATGTCAGCAATAATCAGTCAGCAGATTCTCAGTGTGATTATGTGTGCTCATGTGTGTTCAACACTTGCCATTGTCACAACCTTAATGGCTGACGTGACATTCTTGGACAAGAATGATAAGAGGTTTTATTTTATTTTATTTTAAATCTTAGCATATTTACGTACATTGTACAGCTTTTTTCTTCCCCAAACCAGGAAAAATATGTTGGGTTTATATTCACCAAGTTATTTACTTTAAAATTACTCTGTCAATTAGAATTGCACAGTTCTCTTTGAAGGGTTATGGATTGACCAAATGTGTGCATCCTGTGTGAGTGCTACTTAATTTCTAGTGCTAAAAATGTATCCTTTCCCCAGAAAAGCTCTTTGATGAAAAGTACAGAAATTAAGCATTTATGTATTTTAAAAAGGCATTCAAATTATTTACCTGTGTGTTTCATTGGAATCGATCTCAGTTCAGTGCCTGTCTGTCTGTCTGTCTCTCTTTCTCTCTCTCTCTCTCTCCGCCCCCTCAGTGGAGAAAAGCAAATGAAAAATAATGACAAAAATCCTTTGAATCCATTTGGCTTCAGAATTAATTTTTTTTCTATTTGAATGTGACTATTTTCAGTGCTTTGGAATTCTTGTCAGTGAAACAATGAAATCCTTTTCAGGGTATGTTGGGATCCAGAATACTGCGTGTGGCTTCTTCCTCTGGCTTTCCTCACTGACCTTTTCCCGGCAACCCTTTCTTTACTGGAAATAAATTGAGTAAATTACCCAGTAAGGGAAGAAAATAAAACCTTGATGGAGTCAGGGAAGAAGTGACTTTCACAAGTTAAAAAAAGATTTATGAGTTAATGAAGTGCTGGTTACCTGTGAGCCTCAGATGTCAATAAAACAGGTAATTAGGAAGGTTCCCTGGGTATTGTCAGGAAATAGGTGGCAACTTGCCTTGATGTGGTTGATTTGCCTGTACATGGGTCTCCTTGCTTTTCCCTTTTCTTCCTTTATCCACCTTCTCCTTTCTCTTGACCTTCACATTAGAAGATCACACACAGGGTCATCGTGACCTGCTTTGAAATACTGCGTGACTCACAATCTTTCCCACTTTGCAAACACACAGAAATTACCTGCTGATTGGCAGAGCATCCACTATTTGCTGAACCTGTCAGCATGTGTCATCTCGTCTAACGCCTTTGCTCCAAAAAAGTCACCCCTCTCTGACTGTCACTGCTCTGTCTGCTGCTATTTTTCCCCAGGAGTTATAAGAGAGCAAATGAGTGAATATCATTTCTCTCAACATCAGTGGATTCAACTGTCTCTCATGACTCTTTACTGAGGACTTCTTTAAAATTCCAAAGGCTTAAAAGGATCTTGAAGATGACCTGGATATATTTTTCCCTTAAAAAGAGATCCGTTTCATAGATATAATTGCAAGAATCAATAGAGTTAGTGGAAATATACAATTATGTTGGTCTCTTGACAAGCAGGTATCTTTCCTTAGCTTTGAGTCTTTGGCTAATGACCCCCTTGACTTCCATAGAGGGGAGTGAGGAAGGCTGTGGGCATCAGTGTGGGTGGGTTCACTGGTCAGTCACTGACAGCTGCATCATCTGCCCATTTATTTGGGGCCAGGTATGAGCTGACTCTGTCCATTGTCTCATCACACATTGAATATTTCCACTTTATTCCTTGTGGAAAAATGCAGAATGTTTTCAGGATTCTCAGCAGAAATGTCTTTGGCTGGAAATGGACAGCACAGGCTGGCCTGAACATTCCAGTCCCTGAAGCTGGTGATTATCCCTTCCTAAAGAGAATTTCCCTGCAGTACACAATTCAAAAAAAGGACAGCTCATGATCATCACCAATTTGCATTTCGGCTTGTTTCCCTCACTAAATCTAGGTTGTTCCAAAGTCACCTGGACCCAGCTGTATTTGTTTCTTAGGGCTGCTACAGCGAATGACCACAAACTCGGTGGATTAAAGCAACAGACATTTATTCTCTCACAGTTCTGGAGGTCAGAAGCCCCACATCAGCGGGTCAGCAGGGCCACACTCCCTTTGAAGACTCTAAGTAAGAATCCGTCTTTGCCTCTGCCAGCTTCTGGTGGCTCCAGCTTTTCCTTGGCTTGTGGCAGTATGATTCCAATCTCTGGCTTCGTTTTCACATGGCCGCCTTTCCCACGTCTTTGGGTCTTCTTTTCTGGTCTCATATAAGGACATAGACTTAGGGCTTATCCTAATTCAGGATAATTTCATCTGGGGATCCTTGCCTTAATTACATCTGCAAAAATTCTTATTCCAAATGAGGTCGCATTCTCAGGTTCTGAGTAGACATATCTTTTGGGGTTCACAATTTAACCCTTTATACCAACCAACTTTTATGTTTACCACATTCCCTGAGAAACTAATTTGCGGGCAAGATACAAGACAATTAGCTCAATGATCATGGAAAAATAATAGCTGCTAAGATCTGTCAAGTGCTAACTGTGGGGCAGGTACAGTGTTCTGTGTTTTAGAAACAGAAATGCATTTAATCCCCACAGCAACTCTGTGAAGTAAGTACTGTTACCACTATTTTTTCCAGATGAGAAAACTCAAGGATGTTAGGCAGGCTTGCTTCCCTCCTTTTCAGGGAGGAAAAATGATTTGAATCTGAGAAGTTTGACTCTAAAGCCCACATGTTTTGCTACTACATTGAAAAGTTAAAGCCCTTCCTTAAATTATATTATGTGTTGATGAATTACATATGTTGAGCACTGAGGGGACTGGGGTATATGGAAATGAATAGAAAGTGGTCCTGCCCTTTAAGAAGCTTACAGTCCAATATCTTTCCTCCTCCCAATTTTAAGCTGACATTATCAACCTGAAAGTTAGAATATTATTAGCATCATGACTGAATCAGCCAAGAAACGGAAGAACAGAAATCAAGAGTGTTGTCTTAGGTGAACATAGGCTGTCTCTGGCTCATTGATTTATGACCCGCAAACCAGAAATCTCTCCCTTCTCCAAACTCCCCTTAAAGGAACTGCTTTTTAGTTCCTAATTTAGAACACTTAAGGCAAGTTTTTAAACTAAAGAATTGTGGAATACATGTTACATAAAAGTAGAAAAATACTTCAGGATATCTTATTCTCACCCAGAAGTTTCTGTCTTATCTCACCTTCCTTGCAAAGTTGTATCTCCCGTGTCAGGGCTATTTCTAGTATAGCCAACACCTTCTCTCCCTTTGCCTTTCTCTTATTTTTTCTCTTCCCTTTTATTTATTTGTTTTTTTTTTTAGTAGGAAAAGCTCATTCTTGGTCTTGAGGAAAATGGAAATCTGTTTCTGGCATGCTAAGTTGGAACACACTTTCTCATGAAAGCAGTATTTTCAATGGTTATTTAGGAGGAAGCAATAGAATAGCTGAAGTTCTCTACTTTGGATGCATTATTAGATTTTTGTGGCTAAATAGAGCTGTATGACCTAGTCTAAGGACTTAGGCTTCCTCTAGAGCTTTATACTTATGGAAAAAGAAAATGCTTTCCAAGTTCGAAACTACCAGTTTACAAAAGAGCTTTGGAGCACAATCCACTGGGAACTTGGGAATGCCCTTGTCCTCTACCCTAGGACGCCTTAAACTTTGTTCGTCCAGACTCAGGCTTGGGTTGGGTGCTTGAGTTGCAGAGATGACAGAGTTTTTGCTGTCAAGGAGCACATCAGTTTACTGCCTCCTCCTCATTTATCGGTAAAGGTGAAACGGAGAGAGTTTGGATAACAAAAAGGAGAAATCAGATTTTTGGGAACCCAGGGTCTGGATCCTTGTGGACTGCCTGGATGCTGTGGGTAGTGGGGCAGATGGGCAAGTCACTGCTTGAAATATTTGTGTGTCTATTTGAAGAGCTTCCTCAGGGACTCAGTGCCTACAATCGACTCTCATCCTGAAATAGGATCCTTGGGCTAAATTTTTATCTTACATAGGCATTTTTTTTTTTAAGATTCCTTTTGATGCTGACTTTCCTAATTCACAAACCAAATTGTTCCTATATGGGAAGCAGTAGTCTCTGCCTGCTCCTCCGCTGTGAGATGCAGAGGCAGCAGGGAGCCCTGAGTCACCAGTAATTGTCTCACTATTACAGAATTGTCACAGGACATTTTCCTTTAGGGCTGTGAAATATAAAGGAAAGAAATTAAAACTAAACTATTGTTGAAGTGTAATGAGTGAGGGGTGCTGAGTGTTTAATGGCACAGTGAGGCTGGATTTGCCCTGGGGAGTATTGGTTTCTCTTCACCAACCCAGGTCACTTAGCTATTGGCCTTTTGAGCAATGAATCCCCACGATCCAAGCTTCACTCATAAAGCAAGAAGTGCTAGAAGAATTAGCATCATTTAGCATTTATTGAGTGCCTAATAGCAAAAAAAAAGTTTTAAAATATTCCAATAGAAAAACAGTTATGTTTTATGTATCTTTTTCTTTCTTTGAGAGATTTCTAATCCCATTTTTAATGGATTGCCTTCAGTATGTACCCTGTTCCAGATCCCCAGAATATCTTCTGGGCCCAGGACTTGACACTCCCTTTCCGTGGGAACCCAGTAGCTGGAGGCATCTGGCAGAAATGCCCCAGAAGGCTTTCACTCTGTGGAACACATTGCCAAATTATTTTTAAATTCGAGTTGAGCAGCTGGGGCCATTCAGTCCTATGTAGGTACTGCTTGCTGCCCCCTGCCTGAGTCCTGGCAGGCAGGGAGAATTTAGCTTTGCAAGGTTTCATTTGGGGATCAGGTGACAAAGCAGGAGCATGCCTTCAGGGACTTTGGGTCCCCACCACTACTGAGTAAGAAGCTCACCCTGAGAGACAGGCCAAAGGTGCGAGGGGTTGATTCCCAGCGCTATCTGTGCCTTCTTCTCATTACCCTGGTATATTATTTTGGCACAACTGACTGTGGCTAATTCCAACCCACCTCCTAAATGATGGAGAGATGGGCAAAGAAGTAGGCAAGGAAACAGAGCTCAAAATTGTGCTAGAGTTGAGGCACCCTGGTTTCCTCTCTACTCCAGAAAAAACTAAGGAATAAAGGTGAGGAATAATTATAACTGCCTTTATGGGTTGGCATAATGGTAGGGGCAGGGGTAAGACAGGGATGAGGAGCAATGAGGTGATAGTCTAAAGGAAGGTTCTTCACAGCTGGAGCTATCCATTCCTGGAGGATCCTAGAGTCAAGTGAAGCCAGTATCATTTGAAGGAAAATATAGTATAGTGGTCCAGCATGGTTGTTTGTATCAGTTAACTACTAGTATGTAACAAACCATCCCCAAACTTAGTTGCTTAAACAACAAACATTTATGATTTTTCATGAGTCTATGGGTTTCTCTGGGTGGTTCTGCAGATCTTGGCTGGGCTTGCTCATGCATCTGTGATCAGCTGAGAATGTGGCTGTGTTGGTTGGTCTAGGATAGCCTTGGCTAGGATGACTTGGCTCTGGTCCATGTTGTTTCTTATCTTCCAGCAGGCTAGCCTGAGGTAGTTCTCATATTGGTGACAGGGTTCTAAGCACAGATAGAGGAAGGAACAGAAAATTGGACCAGTTTTGCTCTCAAGTTATTACAGTGTTCTACAGTCAATCTACACGGGTTCAACTAGCAGCTCCATCACTTTCAAGTTCACCAGTGTGAACTTGACCAAGTTACTGCATGTCTGTGTGTGTCAGTGTCCTCCCTTATAAAATGAGGATTTGAGTAATGTCGACCTCATAGAGCTATTGTGGGAGTTAAAGAATGTAAATTGGTCAGAATATTTCATAGTAAGCATTCAATTCATGCTGGATGCTACCAAGGAAAATATCTCAAGGGCATATTTATACTGTAAGGAATTTTCTTTCCCTTGTAGCTGAAGAATTGAAAGCTTCTATTCAAAAAGAGCCACCCATGAGATCAGTCATTTGAAAGTTCAGCTAATTGATTGATTGATGATTGTATGAGGAATTAAGAGAGAATGAAGGCTGATTTCTGAAGTCCCTACTACTTACATTGCATCTATGTGAAGGACTCTGCCATTAGTATCCATTGTCACAACTCCTTTGTAAATAGACACACTCTTAAGAGATACGGTCACATACACCTCACCCTCACACACATACATGAATGCTGTGACAGGAACTGCACATGAGGAAGCAGGGCTGGCCTTAGTCTCCACTGCCATGATGTCTACAACGAGTGGTGATGCTGTCATCCTCTGAAGAGAACTAGGGCCATGGTACTTTTCCTTTGCTATCAGTTCTATCAGTTTTTGTGGTGGTTTTGTGCTCGGTTGATGAGTCGTATGACTGGTCTTGGCTGCCTCCTTCTATAGGGTCCTTTTAGCCCCCTTAGTAGGTTCAACCTTCTCCAGGGTTCTAGAAATTTTTTTGTCTGCAGATAAAGGGACAATAGCAAGAGTTCTAAACTTAGGGTCATTGATTCAAAATTGAGTCCCATTTTGCTATTTCCTCTACCACAGATAATATTTTTTTTCCCAGCCCCACCTGGAAAGGCTCAAAACATTGGCAAAAGGAGACAGAAAACTGAAGCCAGGTCAGGGGATTGTAAGGAGAGCACCTGGTTGTTGCAGATAAGTTCAGGTTTCTTTGGGGAGGAGTGATATTCCAGGTGCTGAGGGAATATACAAGTGAGACTGCTGCCCCACTATCAGTGCTCTTAGAATTCTGGAGAACAGAAACAGTATTAGAGGAGTAGAAAAGGGAGAATGTGCTTCAATTCTTCAAATAAGGGAAGAGGGCAGAGCCTGCAGACTACTATCTGGTGAGCTTGACTTTCGCCTTGGGATAATTACTAAAATTTTTTTCATTTTCTCCTTGAATAGTGTGTGAATTCTTAGAAAGCTGTGATCACTAGGAATTAGCACGGGTTCATTGTAAACAAGCCATGTCAGACAATTTCCTTATTTGGTGTTAATTTGAGACTGGTATGAATGGGGACTATTTTAGACATAATATATTTGTATCTTTGGCCTTAAGTAAAATTTGTTGTGACATCTTAGTGGCTAAGATGGAAAAACATAGACTGGAGAATGGTGGTAGCGATGGAATCACAGCCCGGGAAAGATTGTGTTGAGGAACACTGGATAATTGTGTCAATATGAACACACTGGCTGGGGTAAAATTGTGTCAGTATGAATACACTGGCTGGGGGATAATCGTGTTGGTATGAACACACTGACTGCGGGAAGTTCTGGGGGCCTGAGGCAGGACTCTGCTGACCGTCCTGCCAACTGAACATTTAAAAATATTTAATGAATTGGAGGACATTGGCAGCCTTTCTGTCACATTCAAGGAAGGGGTGGTTGGTGTGCTGGATGACAGGCTTGGAATCCCACAATGTCTTAGTCGTTAAAGGCAATGGGGGTCTCTAACTAGCAAATAGAACCCTTGGAAACCCTGGTGAACTGTATAGGCTGAAAGAGCCGTGAGTTTAATAGCCCACGGTGAAAAATGAATTATTTGTAGCTGTAAGCCCAATGGGGGGATCAAACAGTAAGACCATCTTGCATGAAACATGAGGTTTGATAGAGCACCCACTACCAGCATCCCCCAAAGTGGCTCTGTCCTAGCCAGATGGAATGATGTCTTCCTTCTGAGTGCCAGACCAAAACTGCCATAAGGGAGTCTTACCCTGGCAGAACTCTAAACCTGAAGCTGACATTTCAAACCGGGATTCAGATGCCTGGGTTCCGGTTCTGCTCCTGCTCTGTTACTATTCCATCATTTCACCTTTCAGAGGGGAATAAATGGCTACCATTCTTGAGCAACCATGTTCTGCACTCAGATAACAGGGCTTATGTAAAGTTTTCTTAAGTATCCTCTCTATATTCTGTGGCTTCTCAATAGACAGGAATGAGAATAGCTACTAACTGCAGGGCTGGGGCCACTCACTGCAGCAGCAAGTCTCACCCAGGACAGGGTCCTCAGTCCTTGATATAGATAAGAATATCCTGGGAGCTTTAAAAAGATACCAGTGCCTCATGTATAGGTATGTAACAAACCTAACAAACCTGCACGTTGTGCACATGTACCCTAGAACTTAAAGTATAATAAAATAAATAAATAAATAATAAAAATATACCAGTGCCTGGGTACCATTCCCCAGGAATTTCAATTTAATTGGTTTGGGTCAAGTTCAGCATTTATATACAAATACAATTAATTTTACAAATATAATTTTGGGATAACATGCATATTATTTTATATTTACAAGTTCCCTAGATGATTCTGAAGGGGTTGAGTAAAACCCTTCCCTGAAACAACTATCAGACCCTTGTTTGTTTTTTTGTTGATATTTTAAAACTACAGAGTCTCCCTCTGGAAATTCTTGCTCCTACCTTCCCAATTCCCACCCCATGGTTGATAATTGAGAAATGAGAGATGATATCAATGGAAGTGTGTTGCACATTATGAAGAATGTAAAAGTAGAAAAAAGGATTCTAGCAGAATAGCCAGTGGTGAAGTTATGGGTTGAACTGTGGTGTGCCCCCTACAAACAGGTATGTTGAAGTTTTAACCTCCAGTACTTTATTTGCAAATAGCGTCATGTGGACATAATTAGCTCACTTAAGATGAGGTTATACTGGAGCAGAGTTGATCCTTAACCCAATGTGACTGGTATCCTTATAAGAAGAGGAAAATTTGGACATGGACACACACACACACACACACACACACACACACACACACGAACATCATATAAAGACAGACACACAGGAAGAAGGCCACACTAGAAGAGGCAAGGAAGGATCCTCCCCCAGAGGCTTCAGAGGGAGCATGGCCCTACCAACACCTTGATTTTGGATTTCTAGCTTCCAGAACTGTGAAAGCATAAATTTCTATTGTTTAAAGCCACCTGGTTTGTGGTGCTTTCTTATGGCAGCCCTAGGAAACTAGTACAGTGACTATCTAGTTTGGAGTCCATTGCTCCTAGTAGCATCCTGGAGGTCTGCCTAGGGCATGGTTAGGGATGGGACAATGCGGGGAGGGAGGGAGGTATTCTTCCTAGGAGAGTCCTAGGGGTGGGTATAGGAGTTAGATTGGCCAGCCTTCCATTCTTCAACCCCCACTAAGTGGCATTTCTGTAGAAGTCAAGACAATCTTACATAACATACTTGGCAGTTCTCAGTCTGCTTCTAGATAGGAAGTGGGTACATGAGAGATTCTTCCTCTCCCTTGCACCAGACAGCTGAGCCAAGAACTTCCTTTTCTATCCAGACTCTTCTGCAGTGCTCAGGGTGGAGAAGGGAGCTCTACGTTTCTTCTCTGAGTTCTTCCCAGACTCAGTACTTCCAGAATGAAGTACAGAATAAAGATATGGCTTTTAATGTTCAATCTTTCCATCTCAGAACACAGTAGTACTTGGGGACATTGAGAGGTAGCTGTTGTGGCCTATCTGGCACAGGTCCTCTGAAGTTAGGATTTCCAAGAAGATTCAGGTGTCCATCTGGGCAAGGGTCAAGCACCTGTGGAATATGATCCGAAGAGCAGCACCATCTGCTTCTTATGTCTCAAAGGGGCTTAAAACCTGCACAGAGGGCAGGCAGCATCCTGACATCATGCTTCATCCTGGTCATGGGGAATGGGCATTGACTTCTACCAGGCCTCATCAAGGTTTCGTTCTTTATCTCCACGCCAAGCAACTGGCCTATTTAGGGTGTCTTAGTTCATTCAAGCTGCTATAACAAAATACCTGACTTAGACTGGGTAGCTTACAGACAATAGAAACTTGTTTCTCACAGTCCTGGAAGCTGGGAAGTCCAAGATCAAGATGTCATCAGATTTGGTGTCTGATGAGGGCTCACTTTCTGGTTCATAGATGGTAGCTTCTTGCTGTGTCTTCACATGGGGGAAAGCATGAGGGGGTCTCTCTTAGGCCTCTTTTATGAAGGTACTAATCCCATTCATGAGAAGTCTGTCCTCATGACCCAATTTTCTCCAGAGACCCCATTTCCTACAACAATCACACTGGTGATTAGATTTCAACCTATGAATTTTGAGGGGACATAAACATTCAGACCATAGCACAAAGAATGGTGAGGAGCACTGTGTGGGGAGTCCCCTCCTGAACCCTCCTTTCTTCTTGCTTCCTCTACATCTGAACCTTCAGCTTTTGCTTCCTTTGGCCTCACATTCTTGGTGGCAAATTTGGCTTGCTCTCTGGATTCATGGTTCCCAGCTCCCCCTCTTTCTGTGCCACCTGTTGTTTGGACTGGAAGCTCTTGTGTTCATGCTGCATTACTCATCAGTCTTGATTGGCAAGACCCCTCCTGGCTGCCCTTACTCCTACAGTCCACACTTATCTCTGATGAAAATATCTCTTTCTTTCCTCCTTCCTTCCGGAAGGGTGAAGGGATAGGAAGTCTCCCACTTGAAGGGCTGAGGAGGGGTTTAAAGTTAGTCAAACCTAGGCCTCCAAGTCACAGGGATCCTATCTGCCTGATAATACTGCTTTATATTTATGTGGTTCTGATGTCTTCAGGCTCAGTCCCATACTAGCAAGATCTGAGCTGCATACCTCTTGTGTTAGTTTTAAGAAACTGCAGTAAAAAATTACCATACATTTAGTAGTATAAAACAGCACAGATTTATTATCCTTTAGTTCCGAAAGTCAGAAGTCTGAAATGGGTCTCCCTGGGCTAAAATCAAGGTGTCACAGGGCTGTGTTCCTTTCTGGAGGCTCTAGGGGAGAATCTGTTTTCTTGCCTTTTCCAGCTTCTAGAAGTTGCCTGGATTTCTTGACTTGTGGCTCCCTTCTATCTTAAAAGCCACCAGTGGCTGCTTTAGTCTTTCTCACACTGCACCACTCTGACACTGTATCTTGTACCTCCCTCTCCCCCAATTTAAAGACCCTTTTGATTATACTGGACCCACCAAGGTAATCCAGGATAATCTTCCTATTTTGTCAGCTGATTGGTAACCATACCTGCATATAAACTTAATCCTCTCTTGCCATATAACCTAACATATTCACAGGTTCTGGGTATTAGGACACGGACATCTTTATTCTGCTTACAATGCCTCCCAAAGTATTGCCCAAGAATTTTTAGAAACCTTCAAGAGCGTGCTCCTTATGTACTCATAGCCATTTTGAGCTATCATTATTGTGTGGCCTCTGACTTGTTGTTTCTCTTCCATCTAGTTCTTCTTTGGCCACGTTTACTGCCTGCTTATCTACCATCAGAACATCCAGGCCTTTGCAGGCTATTCATTCTGGTAACTCCCAAAGCCTCCAGTCCTGGGTGCCAAAGCACTGGTTTCCACTCAGAGGAAGGGAGGTAGCCCCTATCCTGAGCTCTGAGCCATTCTCTGCCACTTAGGTCCCTGAGCAACTCTGCTTGTGGCCAGAGCCTCACCATTTTGGCTCTCCTCTCTCAACAGAGTAACATCAACTCCCTCTATATAAACGGGCCTTTCTATTTTTATCCTTATTCTTTTAATTAGTCCAAGGAGCTAGAGAGAAAACAAACCCACACCACCCTGCCCACCTTCCTCCACATTTCCTCTGCCCCAAACCTAACTCTTTTGGCCTCAGCAGTTTAGTAACAGATGTTCTTATTCATATCAACATTTGCTTGAGGGAGAAGAGAAATAAGGGAGAGTTACTGACTATTCCTGTGGTCTCCAATGCAGGAGCATCTGAACCAATCCCTTGGAGTGCAGACAGAAAATATTAGAACTTCTGTTCCTAAGTATTTCAAATCAAAAAACAAGAAAAACAAGAAACAAATTATGCTTTCCTATTACTAAGTATAAAGATGATCACTGCTGCCTTTGTTCAGTCCAAATGTTGGACAGTCCTGTCTGGTTGGGTTTACAGATGAATCATGAGGCAGCTCCACAGCAAAAAGGCTGAGGAAGCTCCACTTGTGGGTTCAGTTCTAGAATTCTGGAAAGCATTTTCATTTAAAGGTGCCTCATTAGTGGTTATATGGCAAACGTCCTTGAGTTTCAATAAAGAGACCTTCACAAAATGGACAAGTGGCTTTAAAAGATTTCTGTAAAGAAACCTCAGACTGAATCTAATTCTACTAATACAAGCAAAAGTGAGCAACAGAAAAAAATGGCTGAAATGCTGGCACTTCTCCTCCTATGACAAGCTCTTCATCAGCCACTTGAGGTTTAGAACAATGACAGGCTAATCAGATCTGCCAAGAAATCATTAAAAAATTCAAAATTACCATGAAGACTATTGGAAGTATGGATTTATATCCACTATTATTGACGATGAGCCCTCTTCATAAGTGTGTTTTATGCATGAAGTTATTAGCATGACACCATCAAGATTATTCAGCATTCAGATCAGAAAGATAAACCACTACAATTCAACTACAAAATATTTTGGGGGTACTGTTAAAACATGTTATTTATTTCATCTTATTCATTTTAAAATTTAGTAGCACTTGTTCACAATTGATAAGAAAGGAAGTAGTTACTGGACCATAGGCTCAACATTTGTTACTGATGAAGTGTGCAGTCAAAAAAGTTTGGAGGCCACTGTCTTAAACCAGTAGCTTTGGGCCCCAGTTCAGCCACTGTGAAATGGGAGCATTCCCTGACCCCCATCACAGGACGTGACAGGGGTGTGGCTTTTCTGTCCGGTTGCTGCTGCTGCTCAAACCCATTACAGGAAGGGGGGCATGCAGATGGACAGGTGCAGGAGCCCAAGTGGGCGTGTGTTACAGTGCGTTCCTTTAGGTTTGCCATCCATGGATGGCTTAAGTGTTAACCAGCTCAGTAGATCCTCTGCCTTTTTGCAAGGGTAGAGGGCCAGTGTGACAGCCTTCTGTATCCAGAGTTCTTGTCCAGTGTCCCGGAAGAACTGGGTCACACACAGACTTGAAAAATGTTGAATGTGGGGTTTTATTGGGTGGTGGAGGTGGCTCTCAGCAGGATGGATGAGGAGCTGGACAGGGGATGGAGTGGGAAGATGATATTCCCCTGGAGTTTGGCTGTCTAGCGGCCGACTCTCCCACTGTCCCGAGCCAAATTTCTGATGTTCAGACTCTCCTTATCTTCTCATGCCGTTCTGCCATTCGTCTGCTTGTCTGTGCTTCTCCTTCTGGAGCCTGGGGTTTGAGGTTTATATGGGTACAGTTGAGGGGGTGTGATGGGCCAAAAAGCAACTTTTTGGGGTACAAAAACAGGAATGCCTGTTTTCACTTAGGGCCACGGGTATTCGGGCTTGAGGGTGGGGCCTTTGCCAGGGAACCGCCCTCTTCTACCCAGTATTTCCCTGTCTCCTGTCCGTGTCAACTGTACATAGCTTTTTTACAATTGTTTGTCCCTTCACGATTTACATTTACTGTCTTATACAGTTTCTTTGATTCTTTACTGCAACTCTGATAGGTAGGGTTCTTTTTTTTCTTTATGTTAGAGTTCAGAGGATTCAGGACTCAGTGTTGTGATTGGCTCAAGGACACACAGTTAATAAAAACAAATAAGTGGCAGAGGGCAAGCTTGAAGAGATCTGCATTCAATCAAGATTGATTGCAAAATGCACCATTTTTAGGAAAATGGTTTTTATAGGTTGAATCGTGTTTCTCAGAAAAGATACATTGAAGTCCTAATCCCCAGTGTCTCAGAATTTGACCTTATTTGGAAATAGGGTCTTTACAGAAGTAATCAAGCTGAATGAAGTCATCAGGGTGGACCCTAATTCAATATGACTGGTGTCTTTATGGAAAGGAGTTAATTTAGACACAGAGACAGACACATAGAGGTCCAGGAACGCCTGGGCTACCAGAAGCTGAAAGAGGCAAGGAAGGATCCTTCCCTTACAGGTTTTAGAAGGTGAGTGGTCTTGCTGAAGCCTTGACTTTGGACTGCTAGTTTCTGGAATTGTAAGACAATAAATTTCTGTTTTTCTAAGCCAGCTGGTTTGTGGTACTTTGTTACAGCAGTTCTAGGAAACTATGGTCCATTGCTCTGGAAAGGGTCTAGGATCCAAAAGCAGCTAAAACCAGTGATATAATCCAGTACAACCATAAGCAGAGGAGGAAGCCCAGAGACTGGGAGTGAGTTTTCCTAGGTGATATGGCTAGTTAGAGAGATGGTTAGTTAGATCCATGGCTGGATCTCATACATTCTTACTCCTAAGTTCAACTTTGAGACCAGGAGAAGTAAATATGGGGAAGTTGGCTTACCTCTCTCATCATTAGGCTTGGTGATCTGCCTTGATCTGGCATAGTTCACCGTTCTTCCAATGACTTCAAAGGAACAAATGGGAAATATGTTGCATCTTTGCCTTGATGATAATGCACTTACCTGAAGATCACAGTCCTCCTGCTGGCTCCACCCTTCACCCCCTTCCTTTCCACAGTTCACATGTTATCACTTCAGTGTCTATTAAAAAGGAAAAAACCCAACTGTTACTAAATATGTATATCTACAAGGAAATAGTTCATTGGATTGGTAATAATATGCTCTCCAACTGGAAAGGGATTTTAAAAAGTCAATGCACCTGGCACAAAATTGTAAGTAAGGAAAGAATGACCTTAGGTGAAAAATGTTTGCCAAAGAGTTTGGCAAAATACAAGACATTTAATTAAAATTATTTTAATTCTCTAAGAGCATGTGTATGAGTAGTGGCCTACTTACACATGGACTATAAGTTGATGCTTGGAACTAGTTTATTCAATCACTTATTAAATATGTTTTGAGTATTTACTATGGTCAGGAACTGTATCAGGCATGGCAATAAACAAAACAGTCCCTGTCCTCTTGGAGCTTACATTCTAGAGGGGGAAAGAAATAATAAACAAGTAAAAATAAATAATATGCTAGGTGACAATATGTCCCTGTATGAAGAAAAATAAAATGAGATAAAGAGAATACAGAGTGACAGTTGGGGTGGGGTTTGTTATATAATGTGCTGAGAGAAGGCTTCTCTGATAAGATGAAGAAAAATGTCTCAAGGGAATAAGGGAGCAAGCCACATTTGGAGGAAACATAAGTGCAAAGGTCCTGAGGTGGGAATGAGGTGGGAACATGGTGGGGACATTTTAGGAATAGCAAGGAGACCAAGGCAGCTGGAGCACATGAGAACAGTGGAGAGTGGTAGATGATGATGCCCTGGAGAGAGCTGGGGACAGATCATGTAGTGCCTTATGAGTTATTGTAGTGATTTTGAATATTTCTGTGAATGAGATAGGAAGCCATTAGGGTTTGGAGTGGAAAAGTAACATGAATTAGCTTCTGTTTTAAAGGGATCTTCTGCATACTATGTGGAAAATGGAATATTAGGGAAGGAGGTGGTAAGAGTAGAAGCAGAGACTCAAGGTAAGAGGCTCTTGTCATAATTTAAGTAAGGGATAATGGCAGCTTGGACCAAGGTGAAGGTAGTGAGACATAGTTGGATTATGGATATAATTTGGAGGTGGTGCTGACAGGATTGCTTATGGATTTGATGTAGGGTATGAGAGGGAGAGAGGACTTACTGAAAATCTCAAGATTTTTGGCTCGAGCAACTGCAAAACAGGAGCTTCCATTTTCCAAGTTGGAGACGGTTGTGCAAGGAGCTAACTTGGTGGGAGTATGCAGCCGAATCAAGAGTTCCTTTTCAGACATTAAGTTTGAGATGCAAATTTATCATCTGAGTGGTGACATTGAGTATGCAGTTGATACAAGTCTGGAGTTCAGTGGAGACACCTAGACTGGAGACATAAATGCAGAAGTCATCAGAGTCTAGAAATTTAATGTCATGGGATGAGTAGAATTTACCTGGGCAGTGGGTGTGTGTAAAGAAGACGAGAGCTCCTGAGGGCTACTCCCACATTTATAGATAAGAAAGATGAAGAAAAACCAGGAAAGGAGTTTGAGAAGGAGTAGCCATTGAGATAAGAGAAGAATAAGGGTAGTATTCCAGAGGCCAAGGAAGAAAGGGCTAAGAGAGTAAATGATCAACTGTATCAAATGCTCCTGAGTCAAGCAAGGTGAAGACTGAGATTTCACCACTGGATATGACAACTCAGAGAAAACTGGTGATGCTGTGAAGAGCTGTTCTGGGGACGGGGGGCGGGGGCGGGCAGTGATAAGACGGCTGATTAGATGTAGCCAGGAAGTGCCTCTCCCACTGAGAGAAAACAAAATATGCAGTAAATCATCACACTTTGAACAGATCTTTTGAGAAAAAACACTGAAAGTTGATAAGAGAGGTGATGCAGACACCAAGATTGAAGAGGGAGGAAGCTGGGAAGCCCACATGGAGTCACTGAGCACCACGACCAGCTCCTGGTACTGAAAAGGTTCTCAGGAAGGGGTGAATGAAGGAACTCTGTGGCACTACACTCCCGCCACAAACTTCTGGGATCCCAGCTAGAAAAGATCCCATGATCCCTATAGACATTTAGATGGGCAGGAGGAGCTGCCTGTAGAGTAGACAGAGGTAAAGCTAGAACCTGCATGGCGCCCAGAAGGTTACACTCATGTGGGGCAGCTGCAGCAAAACACCGTAGACGCCCACCCGCAAAGGCTCTCCATCTTACTCTGAATGACCACAGCCCTCACTGACTGCCAACCTGAGAGAGAGCAGAGCTGCCTTTCCTGCGGGACTCGGGGGGGCGCATCTGATCTGCATGCTCCCAGTGTCTGCTGGCCCCTCCCAAGGCCTCCTGCCTGGCTGCTCCCACAAGAGGGTGTGCAAAACAGAGCCACCACTGTCCTACCTGCGTGTTTTGCTAGTGGACTGGGAGCAGTTCAGCACCACCCCCAGCACAGCTGGTGCTTGACCCAGAGGGGTCAGAGGACAAAGCCACAGGCCTTGTCCCAACTTCCCAGGGTGTGAGCACACCACCCAGGGATATTGAGCTGAGATCTGTGGCCAGAGCTTGAGTGAGAGAGGAGGCCTCACTCTCAGAACACAGAGAGGAGTGAGGCACAGGTTCATGTGCCAGCATGGGAACTGGGTATCCCACCCTGTGCAAGACCAGTCTGGGAAGGGTGTAGCCTGTTGGCTAGCCACAGCTTCTACCTGAGGGAGCCCCATATCCCTGAACACCTGGAATCGTGCAGCAATCTGGGTGCAGAAGGTTTAGGACAAAACTAGTTGAGTGGGCCTGCTCCTGGGGCAGACACTGGAGGGAGATCTGGTTTGGGAAGAGAGAGCTGGGCAGACCCCATAGTCCTCTGCTGGGATAAAAGCCCCAGGCCACAGGTGCCACACCAGCTGCACACCCATGGCACTACTGCTCTGCCTGGGGATCCTACGCCCTTGACTCATTGCATCACCAGAACGCCTGCACACATACTCCATCACCTGCTCTGACTCTGTCAACCTCAGAGAATGAGTGGGTCTCCTTGTGACCTAACCTTTGGCTTGAGCCGCTGCTAAGACAGGTGGGAGTAGAGCCCGCCAGGGTCCCTACTGGGGTGAGGAAACACAGGTGCAATGTCAGTCATTGTAGGAGGCTCCCTCAAAACCCAGGAGTGGACTTAGTAAGGGAGTCATCTCTTGTGCTCCTCCCCCCTTCCCTCACCATCCCTCCCTGCCCGGAGCACTGCTGTGCACACACTGAAGTACAAAAAAGGTACATAACTAAGAGCCTATCTGCTGGCCCTTACTCTTAAGCACTGTCTACTGGATTGCAGCCTGAATTATACAAAAATAAGTTCCTTCAGCACCCAACACCTGTGAAACTCAATACAGGAAATTAGCTACAACCAAGGAACCCATACAGAGCACTGGCCCTCTGAAAGCACCAGAAACGAAGCCAATTGACTGTATACAGCATACACCACAGTCAAACCCTGAAGGGAAAAAAAAACCCAGAACCCCATTCAAGCAACAGCAAAGTCAAAAAGAAAAACACCAGGCCCCCTGAGATGAGAAGCAATCAGCCAAAGAGCTCCGGCAATTCAAGAAATCAGAGTGTTTCCTTACCTATAAAGTATTGTACTAGCTCCGCAGCAATAGATCCTCACCAAATTGAAATGTCTGAAATGACAGACATAGAATTAGGAATCTGGATGGCAAGGAGGCTCAAGATTCGAGAGAAAGTTGAAATTCAATCCAAGAAAGCCAGTTGTTGATACAAGAGTTGGAAGATGACATAGCCAGTTTAAGAAATAATCAAACTGAACTTCTGGAATTGAAAAATTCACTACAGGAATTTCAAAATACAGTGGAAGCCTGAACAACAGATTAGACCAAGCTGAGAATTTCAGAGCTTGAAGACTAGCCGTTTGAATCAACCCAGTTAGACAAAAATAAAGAAAAATGACTTAAAAAAATGAACAAAGCCTTTGAGAAATAGATTCTCTAAAGAGACCAAACCTATGACTCATTGGCATTCCTGTGAGAGAAGGAGAGAGAGTTAGCAATTTGGCTAACATATTTGAGGATATAGTCCACAAAAATTTCCCCAATTTCACAAGAAAGGTTAATATGCAAATTCAAAAAATTCAGACAACCCCTGTGAGATACTATATAAGATAGCTATCCCTAAGATGCATAGTAATCAGACTTTTCAAGGTCAGTGTGAAAGAAAAATCTTAAAGGCAGCTTAAGAAAAGAATCAGACCACTTACAAAGGGAACCCCATTATGCTAACAGTGGACTTCTCAACAGATATCTTACAAGCCAGAAGAGAATGGGGGCATATTTTCACCATTTTTCAAAGAAAAGAAATTCTAACCAAGAATTTCATATACCACCAAATCAAGATTCATAAGCAAAGGAGAAATAAATTTTTTTCCAGGTAGGTAATCATGAAGGAAATTGATTTCCACTAGCCTGCTACCACAAAAATACTGTTAAGGACATAGCCCACAGACTCTATAAAGCAACTACACAATTGAGACTACAAAGCAACCATATTGGCTGGTTGTTATTAGCAACCAGCTAATAACATCATGACAGGATCAAAACCTCACATAACAATATTAACCTTGAATGTTAATGGTCTAAATGCCCCACTTAAAAGGCACAGAGTGGCAAGTTGAATAATAAAACAAGACCCAACTGTCTGCTGACTTCAAGAGACCTATCTCCCCTGTAATGGCACCCATAGACTCAAAGTAAAGAAATGAACAGCTATCATGCAAATGAAAAATAAAAAAGAGCAGGGGTCATCGTTCTTATATTAGATAAAACAGACTTTAAACCAAGAATAGTAAAAAAGGACAAAGAAGGACATTACATAATGATAAAAGATTCAATTCCTCAGAAATAATTAACTATCCTAAATATATATGCACTCAATGTTGGAGCACCAAGATTTATAAAACAAGTACTTCTAAATGTATGAAAAGACTTAGACACAATAATAGCGGGGGACTTCAACACCCCACTGACAGTGTTAGATCATCAAGGCAAAAAACTAAGAAATTCTGGACTTAAATTTGACACTTGACCAATTGGACCTAATAGATGTCTACAGAATATTCCACCCCACAATCACAGAATATACATTCTTCTCATCTCCATACAGAACATACTCTGATCAACTGCATTCTCAGCTGTAAGACAAGTCTCGATAAATTCAAAAAAATTGAAATAATACCAACCATACTCTTGGACCACAGTGGAATAAAAATTGAAATCAATACCAAGAAGATCTCTCAAAACCACACAATTGCATGGAAACTAAACAACTTGCTCCTGAATGACTTTTGGGTAAATAACAAAATTAAGGCAGAAATCAAAAAATTATTTAAAATAAATGGTAACAGAGATGCAACATACCAAAATTTCTGGGATGCAGCAAAACCAGCGTTAAGAGGGAAGTTTATAGTGCTAAACACCTATGTCAAGAAGTTAGAAAAATCTCGAATTAACAATCTAACATCACACCTAGAGAACTAGAAAAACAAGAACGAACCCCAGAGCTAGCAGAAGATAAGAAATAACTAAGAGCAGAACAGAACAAAATAGAGGCTCCAAAATACAAAGGATCAATGAAACCAAACGTTGGTTATTTGAAAAGATAAACAAGATCAATAGACCACTGACTAAGTTAAAGGAAAGAGAGAAGACTCAAATAAACACAATCAGAAGTGACAGAGGTAACATTACAACCAATCCCACAGAAATACCAAAGGTCTTCAGAAACTTATGAACACCTTCATGAACACAAACTAGAAAATCTAGAGGAAATGGATAAATTCCTGGAAATGTACAACCTCCCAAAATTGAATCAGAAATTAATTGAAACCCTAAACAGATCAATAACAAGTTCTGAAATTGAATCACTATTTAAAAATTTTAAAAACCTGGCAACCTAAAAAGCTATGGACTAGATGGATTCCCAGCTGAATTCTACCAGACAGACAAAGAGCTGGTACCAATCCTACTGAAATTATCCACAAAAGTCAAGGAGGACAGACTCCTCCCTAACTTATTCTATGAAGCCAGCATCATTCTGATACCAATGAGACAGTGAAAAAAGAAAACGTCAGGCCAGTATCCCTGATGAATATAGATACAAAAATCCTCAACAAAATACTGGCAAACTGAATCTGGCAGAACATCAGAAAGTTAATTCATTACAATCAGGTAGGCTTTCTTCCTGAGATGCAAGGTGGGTTCAACATATGCAAATCAATAAATGTGATTCACCACATAAACAGAATTAAAAGAAAAAATCATATGATCATCTCAATAGATATAGAAAAAGCTTCTGATAAAATCCGATATTCAGTTAAGACAAAAATCCTCAAAAAACTAGGCATCAAAGGAACATCCTGAAAATAATGAGTCATCTATGACAAACCCACAGCCAACATGATACTGAATGGGAAAAAGCTGGAAGCATTTCCCTTAAGAACTGGAACAAGACAATGATGCCCACGTTCACTACTTCTATATGTCATAGTATTGGAAGTTCTAGCCAGAGCAGTCAGAGGAGAAAACGAAATAAAAGGCATCCATATAGGAAAAGCAAAAGACAAATTATCTCTCTTCACTGATGATATGATTTGATACCTAGAAAACCTTAAACCTTAAAGACTCCACCTAAAAGGCTCCTAGAACTGATAAACGACTTCAGTAAAGCTTCAGGATACAAAATTATCGTACAAAAATCAGTAGTATTTCTATACACCAGTCTTGTTCAAACTGAGAGCCAAATCAAGAACACTGTCCAATTTACAATACACACACACAACCTAGGAATTCATCTAACCAAGGAGGTGAAAGATCTCTACGAGGATAACTAAAAATGAAACACTGCTGAAAGAAATCATAGATGACACAAACAAATGGAAAAACATTCCATGCTCATGGACTGGAAAAATCAGTGTTGTTAAAAAGGCCATTCTGTCCCTTAGCAATCTATAGATTCAACACTATTCCTATGAAACTACCGATGTCATTTTTCATAGAATTATAAAAAACTATTCTAACATTTATATGGAACAAAAAAAGAGCCCAAATAGCTGAAGCAATCCTAAGCAAAAAGAACACAGCCAGAGGCATCACGTCACTCAACTTCAAACTATACTGCAAGGTTACAGTAGCCAAAAAGCATGGTACTGGTATAAAAACAGTCACATACACCAATGGAACAGAATAGATTACCCAGAAATAAAGCCACTATAACCATCTAATCTTCAACAAAGTCAACACAAATAAGCAATGGGGAAAGGACTCCCTTTTCAATAAATCGTGCTTGGATAACTGGCTATCCTTTTGCAGAAGAATGAAGCTAGACTCCTACCTATTACCATATACAAAAATTAACTCAGGATGGATTAAAAACTTAGGACCTAAAACTATAAAAATCCAACTGGAAGCCTAGGAAATGCTATTATGGACATTGGCCTTGGCAAAGAATTTATGACAAAGTCCTCAAAAGTAGTTGCAATGAAAACACAAATAGACAAGTGGGACATAATTAAACACAAATTGATAAGTGGGACACATTAAGCTTTTGCATAGCAAAATAAAATATCAATAAATGGATAACTTACAGAATGGGAGAATATATTCACCAACTATGCATCCACAAAGGTCAAATATCCAGAATGTGTAAGGAACTTAAATAATCTAACAAGCAAAAAACATATAACCCCCTTAAAAAGTGGGCAAAGGACATGAAGAGATAGATACATCTCAGAAGAAGACACACAAGCAGCCAACAAACATGAAAAAAAAAAAGCTCAACACCACTAATCATCAGACAAATGCAAATCAAAACAACAATGAAATATCTCACATTAGTCAGAATGGCTATTATTAAAAAGTCAAAAAATAACATGTTGGTGAGGCTGCAGAGAAAAGGGAATGCTCATACACTATTGATGGGAATGTAAATTAGTTAAGCAGTGGAAAGCAGTTTTGAGATTTCTCAAAGAACTAAAAGAAGAACGACCATTCAACCCAGCAATCCCATTACTGGGTATATGCCCAAAGGAAAAGAAATCATTCTACCAAAAAGACACATGTGCATGTATGTTAATTGCAGCACCATTCACAATAGCAAAGACATAGGTGCCCATCAGTGGTGGATTGGATAAAGAAAATGTGGTACATATATATCATGGAATACTATGCAGCCATAAAAAGGGATAAAATCATGTTCTTTGCAGCAGCATGGATGCAGCTGGATGCTATTATCCTAAGTGAATTAGTGCAGAAACAGAAAACTAAATGCCATATGTTATCACTTAAAAGTGGCAGCTAAACATTGGGTACACACAGACATAAAGATTGGAACAGTAGACACTGGGGACTACTGGAGTTGGGAGAGGAGAAGAAGGGTTGAAAAACCACCTATTGGGTACTGTGCTCACTACTTGGGTGATGGGACCAATTGTATCCCAAACTGAAGCATCACACACTATACTTATGTAACAAGCCTGCACATTCACTCTGTCAATCTAACATGAAAGTTGACATTTTCTAAAAAAAGAATTCAGTTGAGAAAAAGAGCTGTTTTGATGGAGCTATGGGGATAAAAACCAAATTGGAATGGGACCTGGGGTGCTGGCAATAGCCTATTTCTTGACTCTAGTGGGTAATTATACTAGTGTTGGGTTATGTGTGATATATTTCATAGTAAGAAGAGAGGGGAAACAAAAACAGTCATTTGAGATAGTGAGCATAGACACTCTTATGAGAAGTATGCTTTAAAGTGATGCAGAAAAATGGGATGGTACCTGGAGAGGAAAATAAAGGATACATTTTTTCTTTTCTTTCGTTTCTTTTTGTTTTTGTTTTTGTTTTGAGACGGAGTTTCACCCTTGTTGCCCAGGCTGGAGTGCAATGACACGATCTTGGCTCACCGCAAACTCCGCCTTCCGGGTTCAAGCAATTCTCCTGCCTCAGCCTCCCAAGTAGCTGGGATTACAGGCATGCACCACCACGCCCAGCTAATTTTGTATTTTTTAGTAGAGACGGGGTTTCTCCATGTTGGTCAGGCTGGTCTCAAACTCCTGGCCTCAAGGGATCCCACCCGCCTCAGCCTCCCAAAGTGCTGGGATTACAGATGTGAGCTACCACGCCCAGCCAAGAATACATTTTTTCAAGACTAGCCTAGGCAACATAGCTAGACCCTGTCTCTACCAAAAAACAAAACAAAACAAAACAAAACCTGGACATGGTGGCGAGCACCTGTTGTCTTAGCTACTTGGGAGGCTAAGGAGGGAGAATTGATCCCGTCACCAGATTGAGGCTGCAGTGAGCTATGATTTTGCCACTGCATTCTAGCCTGGGCAACAGAGTGAGTTTCAATGGTCATCAGTACATGTGTGTTTTAAGTAGGGAGACTGCCAGTACACATGCATAATCCCATGATATGTGTGCTAAGTGGCCACATATAATGTGATCTTTCATCATGAAGTGTACACAGTATAAAAAGTTTTAGGGGAAAATGCCTGGTTGTGGCATGATGCTATGTTTAGCATTGTTTCGCATTGTTTCATGCTATATAGGATGATTTGATCCTGTCAGCATTTAATCTGCATCTTTTTGGCTGATGGTACAAATGTCTAAGAATGACATAGATTAGGCAGGCTTAATCAAAGTTCAAATATATAAATGTTCAGGAAGATTGGAAATAGAATATAGGATAGCATCAATAGAAGATATGTATGTGTGTATATATATGTGTGTGTATATATATGCATCTCCAATGTAAGAAGGACTACTCAAAGCTGGGGAGATGTAGTGATCAGTCAGGCAGAGCTTCTGCCCTTGAGAGTTCGCAGTCTGTTTGAAACTCCATATTGTGACTAAGTGTACACATCAGACAGAATGGAATGAAGGTATAAAGAAAGGGCTCTGGAAATGTAAAGGGGAAAATGATTAATTTTGACCAAGGAGATCCAGGGAGGCCTTGTACCTCATTTAAGCTGAACCTACAAGGGGCAGAATTTTCAAAAGGATGGGGATTGGGGCCAAAGTGATCCTTCAGAACGTTAGTGAGAACATTAGCAAAGGAATAGCTGTGCAAAAGTGGGTCCAGGTCTGGAGTTGCTGGGGTGAGAGACGGGGCTAGATGGTTACCTTGAGAACAGAATGCTGAGCATCTTGGTAGCCATGCAGAGCCATTGGGTGGGACTCTGGGGAACTGGAAGCCATCAGCTGCTTTGAGAACAGTGACAAGAAATTTACTTGTGTTTTAGAAAGATCCTTCTAGAGACAGTAAGGATGAGTTGGGGAAAATAGGAGGGAGGAGGCAAGGTGAAATGTGAGGAGCCTGTAACAAGCTTGTAACAAGCAAATCAGCACAGGGCAGAGGATGGGACAATGAAGTAAGAGTTGGCCATGTGGAGTTGGTGACTGGTTGTGTGACAGGTTCTGAGGGCCAGGAAGAAATCAAAGCTGATCCTTGTCCACGTTTGGGTAGATATGCGTCCATGGACAATGTGTGGAAGCCACCCTCTAAATCTGGGGGTCCCAGTCAGAACCCTGGGCCTGTGCTCTTCCCTGTTCAGGTTGCTACTCTAGCATCATCTTTGCTCACTCCTTTGTGTATTTAGGGCCATTTGTGTATTTGGTTATCTCTCTCCCAGGATGTAAGAGCCTTTGAAGTCTAGGACTATAAATTTCTGAATTTTTGTATCTGTCGTAGCACCTAGCACCACATTTAATGCATACTTAATCTACTCAAAATGCTTTTAAATTTAAAATTAAAACATGATTTTGACGTTACCAATGATCATTTGATCATTGCATCATTAAATGACTTGAAGGATAAATTGGTTTGGTAGGAATTAGGAGATGGTAAAAAATTGGAGCGACTAAGCAGCAGGAGATCTTAGAACCAGACTTTGGTTATTTATTGCTGTGTAACAAACAACCCTAACACTTAGCAGCTTAAATAACAATTTGTGGTTTATCATGAGTTGGTAGGTTAGAAATGCAGGCAGGGCTTGGCTAGACGGTTTTTCTCCTCCGCATAGTGAGTGTCAATTGGAGGCATCAACTTGGCTGCTACATTCAGCAGGCAATTGGGCTGGGTTGGAAGGTCTTAGAAGTCTTCATTTGAAGGGCTGGCCTGCCCCTCCACACCTGTGGGTGTTTCTTGTCAGGTGGGATGACAGACTGAGAAAAGAAAGAGACACAGAGGCAAAGTATAGAGAAAGAAAAGTGGGCCCAGGGGACCGGCACCGGCACCAGTCTCTGAATTCCCTCAGTATTTATTGATCGTTATCTCTACCATCTCGGAGAGGGGGATGTGGCAGGACAATAGGGTAATAGTGGGGAGAGGGTCAGCAGGAAAACATGTGAACATATGTCTCTGTGTCATAAACAAGGTTAAGAAAAGGTGCTGTGCTTTGATGTGCACATACATAAACATCTCAGTGCATTAAAGAGCAGTATTTCTGCCAGCATGTCTCACCTCCAGCCTTAAGGTGATTTTCTCCTATCTCAGTAAATAGAACATACAATCGGGTTTTACACCGAGACATTCCATTGCTCAGGAACAAGTAGGAGACAGATGCCTTCCTCTTATCTCAACTGCAAAGAGGCCTTCCTCTTATCTCAACTGCAAAGAGGCCTTCCTCTTTTACTAATCCTCCTCAGCACAGACCCTTTACCGGTATCTCGGGCTGGGGGACGGTCAGGTCTTTCCCTTCCCGTGAGGCCATATCTCAGGCTATCACATGTGGGGGAAACCTTGGACAATACCTGGCTTTCCTAGGCAGAGATCCCTGTGGCCTTCCTGTTGTGTCCCTGGGTACTTGAGATTAGAGAGTGGTGATGACTTTTAACAAGCATACTGCCTTCAAGCACTTGTTTAACAAAGCACATCCTGCATAGCCCTAAATCCATTAAACCTTGAGTCAACACAGCACATGTCTCTGCGAGCACAGGGCTGGGGCTAGGGTTAGAGAATTTTTCTTAGTACAGAACAAAATGGAGTCTCTTATGTCTACTTCTGTCTACATAGACACAGTAACAGTCTGATCTCTCTTTCTTTTCCCCACATTCGTTTAAATGCCCCAGTGCTCTGTTACATGGCCTCCTTTCTTTACCTGGCTTTTTCACAGTATGGTGGTCTCAGGGTAGTTGGATTTCCTATGTGGCAGTCATCATCCAAGAGGGTCCTCTCCCAGTACAGGAAAGCAGAGCTGCAGATCTTGTAAGGCTCAGTCTTGGAAGTTACACCCATCACTTTTGCCACATTCTACTGGTCAGGACAAATCACAGGGCCAGCCCGGTTTTAAGGAGAGGACTACACTTCTTCAAAGGAGGAGGGACAAAGAATTTACAGTCATCCTTAATCCACCATGCAGACATTCAATCTGCCACGTGCTGGTTGTGTGATTTCGGATGAGTTATGTGAACTCTTCTAGCTGACATAATATCAGTGTTATTGGGTGCTATGAGGGAAAGAGATGGTATGGCAAAATACCCTGATATATAGTAGTTGCTCAATAAATAATAGCTACTATTATTACTACTGTCTTATGCTCTTAAAGGATAAATACAATGAAAATTGGAAAGAGGATATTTGTTGGATTTGACATTTGAGAGACTTTGGGTGATGGCTTAGTTTTGGAGGATGGCAGTAGCAAGGTAAGGAGCAAAAGCTAGTGGCAAAAGTTAAGTTGTAAGTGGATTTGAGGGTAGTGAGTGCAGCTTGTCAGTGAAAAGGGAAATCCTGCTGTCATGTGGGAAAATCAGGTTAAGCCAAAGGGGCAAGTGGAGAGGTAGAAAATGAAGATATGTGAGAGGAGATAATTGTTGAGGGCAGAGTTTTAAAAAGCCTTTTAAAGATTTTACAGAATTCATATTTAGAATGCTGTGATTATAAGCCAGAAAGCTGTTGGGGCTGGCTTTCATAATGGCACCCCATCTCTTTACTGAAACTGTTCTTACCTCCTGACAGAGGGTTGTCTTGCCCTCACCTCCCAAAGTCTTCCTCTAGTTGGAGACAGACTTTTAAAGAATATGTAGCTCCTCTAGATTTTTAAGTCTTGGCCTTAATTTCAGAGCTCCATGAATTCTTAGCTTATAAATTACATAGCTGGAGGTTCCAAACTCTGAAAAGGTTTATGCATTTCAGAAAGGTTCTAAAAGAAAGCACTCTTTTATATAACTTGGAAAGTAATTGTGATAAAAACCTACATTATATGTGAATTTGAGAGTAATTATAGCATGGCTGGGGCCAGAATCAACTAATCAGAGTTATTAGGAACACTGCCAGGTACCCAATTCCCATGCCAAGATTTGAGTGATACAGAGACAGGGCACAGGCAAGGTCAGGCTAGGTCAGGGCATGTGGCAGGCATGGGCCAAGACACAAAGTTGTTGTCAGGTCAGAGGGATATCAAAACCAGGAGCATCAAGATAGGCAGAGATAATGGAAGTAAAGGACTGTTAGTCCCTGGTTGCATTACAGTCCAGGTAATACCAGATTTTATTGCTTGAAGAAAATTTGTGGTCCTACTGAGAGTCTCCTTTTACCTTCCAGTCCTGTACTTTTTTCTCCTTTTCTCTAGTTATGTGTACATCCCTCTATTTCTTGGCTCATTCTAAAAAGTATTTAAAACCATTTACAAAAGCACAGAGTATGCAACAAGATGAAAACACATGACAGAGGAATTTTGTATGAATACAACATAAAATAAAGTAGAAAAAAATAGGAAAAAGAAGATTAAGCCAAGGGGAGGCTGGTAAACAAAATGCATACCATACTTTTCTGTTCACTTGTGGATGGCACACTTACTTCTGAGCTCCCTAGCTGTCAAGGCAAAAAGGAAAATATAGTCAGTTACACTATTTACAGTATTCAGAGAATTAAACACAAGCAGAATACTCAGGATGGGTAATCATAATTATGATTTTTATGGTAAATCCAATAATAATTTTTCAGTGTAGATTGACATAATGATTATAAAGAAAAATTCAGTCAAAATTAATAAAACAATGCAGCCTCATGTATATAGCTCCCTGGTGGCTTGGCCTAATACAAGATTAATTTTTGGATTTTTTAGAGTAATGGATTGAGTGCCTACCTTGCCCATAAAACTAAACAGTTCTAAACTCAACAAAACATTAATTTTTAAACTAGCTGTATGTCATTTCTTGGTGTGCTAAGTTAAACAAATGCATTTCTAGGTAACTGATCAAGGTAGTTTGTTGCTGGTTATGGGCTAATTACATTTTTGTAGGATATCTACTAGAAATTATAACTCTGGTTTTAGAATATTCTTAAGGTCATTCTTTCAATGGCTGATCTATTTCTTAACAGTTTTTGTCAAAGAGTCCTGTGCTTTGCATATAGAAATGTGCTTATTATGCTTTTTTCTGTCAAGCAGAGAAGTACAAGGACTCTGACACAAATGAGAGAAGGAAGTTCCAGGTTCTTATGTAAGTGTCACAATACCTAGGGGTCTATAGTGAGTTCATACCTCTTAGTTCACGACAGATTCTCATCTGTGGGGTCAAAAGTTTATTGAAAGTCAATAAAAGCTGTAAACAGCCCCATGTCATTTCTAATAGGTTTCTTCTGATGGCAATAGAGTGAAACAGTGGATAATGGAGGAATGACAACACTTGGCATCCTCTGCCCCTCTTAGGGAATATCAGCTGAAAATGACCAAACTTGCAGTTTTCCAGAAGGGAAACTGGTATATAGATTTTATTGTTTTGAAAACCTTAAAAAAGTTTACAGGTAATTAGAATACATAAATAAGCCAAATGAAGGAAACAAACCCCACTATCTGATTAACATCTTGATACACATTTTCTCAGACATTTTTCTAGAGATATATTTCTGTATTAGAGCCAGGAAAGCTAGCTAGACATCTTCCTGTTCTCAGTGGCTCAACAGATGAAAGTTTATTTTTTGTTCACAGAAAACTCAAACAGCAGCTGGGGGTAGGGTGGGAATTGGGTTCTGCACCTCACAGTCTTTGGGGAACCCAGCCTGACAGAGGCTCTGCCATATTTAACAAGCAGACCCATCATCTTGTAGGGCCCCTTAGTCCTCTGCTGGATGCTCAGCATTGGGTTGGCAGACACAGGTAGAAAGAATATGGAGGACTGCACAAGAGTGGCTTCCATTCCTTATGCCCACATTCCATTGGCCAATACTTAGTCACATGGTCATACCTAATTATAAGGCTGGGAATATAATCTAGTTTTGTGTGCAGAAGGAAAGAGAATTGGTTTGGCAGACTAGTTGGTTTCTGCTACTCACACATAATGTATTATTCTTCCATAAAAATAGAATTATGCTGTATATACAGTTTTGTATCTGTTTTTACCATAGAGACAAGATAAATATCATTATTCACCCAAGATGTGGGGGTAAGTTCCCTTAGCTGGTCTTGAGCTCTGTAGTGTTATTCATTCCAAAGGCTCATGTCAACTGGTCAAGACAATTTCCACTTTTCCTGTCATGAACAGTTAGTTTATCTTGTAGAAACTTTCTTCCTCTTGATATCTGATAGGAACAAAATTGCAAATATAGTAATCTGTGGTAATATTTATTTTCGAGGACATAGATGATGGAATTTGAAGAATTGGCCTGGAGACCCAGAGTAAGATATTAGTGTTCAGAAAATCTGGCATTTGGGCACATAGTTGTGAAAGAGCTTAGGGTTGGACAGAATCCATGTTGTAGGGAAAAAATGGATAAAGAAACTGTAGAAAGTCCAGGTGTGGTGGCTCATGCCTGTAATCCCAGCACTTTGGGAGGCCGAGGCGGGTGGATTACCTGAGGTCAGGAGTTCGAGACCAGCCTGGCGAACATGGTGAAACCCCGTCTCTACTAAAAATACAAAAAAATTATCTGAGTGTGGTGGCAGGCACCTGTAATCCCAGCTACTTGGGAGGCTGAGGCAGGAGAATCACTTGAACCCGGGAGGCAGAGTTTGCAGTAAAAGAAAGAAACTAAAGGAATGGAGTGGCCTTTATGCATCACACCTGGATGACAAAGGATATATAAAAGAGAATTTGGAAGTGATTTCTGGAGAAAAGGGCAAACTCCACTAAAGTAGGATCCTGTTGACTGTGATGAAAACAAGCCATAATGGGTGAGAAAATGGCAGAATGATTAGACCTAGCAAAGGGGCCAAGGTAGTGTGGGCAGAATAAAAGATGAACTAAAAAGAAGGAATGGTTTGACCTAGAGAATCCAATTGTAAAATCTATAGGCCAGAGTGATTTAAAGAAAGAATACTAGTGAAAACTGGTCAAAATATTAAATCTTGAATAATATAGCTTTATGTGCATAAGACTATGTGCTTTTCTAGATAGTCATTTATTCACTTCATTGAACATTTTTGCCTACATATACCTCTACTACAAACTTGGGGGCTAGAAGGGATGAGGAAATAAACTTTAAAATGCAAGTCATATTTACTGCCCTTTAGTCCTATAGTTGTCTAGTTGGAAAAACACATAAAACTGATAAATAATGTGATAAATAAAGGGGTACCAAATTAGCAACACACAGATGGAAAGAAAATATTTACAACACATATAACAGATAAAAATTAATATACATAATATATAAATAACTTCTTCAAATAAGAAAAAGATTGGCCACACGAAAAGAAGACAAAGGATAGAAATTAGCATTCCACAGAAGAAAAATACAAATGGCCATTCAAAACATGAAAAAGAACTTAACCTGGTCAAACCACTATACATATAAATCAAGAAAATGTGAAATAAAACAATGGGACATTGCATGATTCAGGTAAGAAAAGTGCGTGATAGGTGCACTTCTGTTTCCTGAATCCAGCTCATTGTAGGGATTGAGGTGGGGCAGTTCTGCCCGAGTGACGGTAAGATGCCAGCTGTGAATCTGCTTTTGCTCAGGTGGTTGTACACCTTACAGGCTGCCTCTTAATCTAAGGGGTTCCTGCCATACAGAGTGTGAGCCCGGCATTTAAAGATATGTACTTTTCATATGACAATGCCCCCAAACATTTTAAACATTTTTTCCTAGGCTCCAGAGGTAGCCTAGGAAAACAATCTGACTGGGTTCTCCATATTTGGAGTGAGTGTATTGGTCACCAAAGTGGCATATTTCTAAAAGACCTTCAAAGGAAATTTTGACTATACAATATGTGGTTCTCACCTTACCACTTCAGAACCTAAATCCCTCCTTTCCCAATGGCATGTGATTTTATGCTTCCATTTTTTTTCCCCACCTATCAGAGTAGCAAAACTGGGAAAGACTGATAATAAGTGTTGGTAAGAATGTGGGGAAACAAGCACTAGCACTTTCAATGGAAGTATTGATAGAGGCTTTTAGAGGACAATTTGGCACTATCAAAATTTGAATAAAAATACACTTGGCACACTTGGCTTTTAAGAATCCATCTATAGGCATGCCACGTAAGTTCATTGAGGTAATATACCAGAATGTTCATTGCAGCATTTTCTCTTAATATTAGGAAAAACTAACCAAAAGTAGGGAAATGGCCAAACAATTAGGATATATAAATTCTGTGGAATAAAATGCATCTGTTAAAAAGAATGTGGTAGAGCTGTATGTCCTGACATGCAAAGATTTCAAAACCAGAGGTCCTCAAACTTTAGTGTGCATCAGAGTCATCTGCAAGCCTTATTAAAACACAGATTGCTGGGCTTCCCAGAGTTTCTGATTCAGTAGGTTCGGTGAGGAGCAGGGCAGGAATAATTTGTATTTCTAAACAAGTATTAGGAGATAACGATGCTGCTGGTCTGGGGTCCACATGTTGAGAACAACTGTTCCAAAACAGTGTTAAAGGAAAAATATCAAGTTGCAGATTATTATGCACAATATAGTCCTAGTTATAATAAATCTTTGCATATTTGAATGGTCATAAACTCATGGAAGAAGGCTCCAAGGATATACATCAAATGGTTAACAGTGCTTTCCTCTGAGGAGGGGAGTTATTTTACTTTTTCTATGCTACTGTATTATTTAAATATTTTACACTGAGGATATATTTATATATTACTTGTGTTAAAAAGGGAAATTACAAAAACTAACAGGAAGAGTGCAAACCCATTCTGCTCCACCCTCAGAACTAGTAAGTGTGCTCCGTAGTTGTAAGAAAAATAGTACTAGAGTTTGGATGAGAAAGACTGATCGTGATAGGATGTATCCTGAATCAAGAACCAGAGATTTTAAAAAATGATAGGGTTTAGAACAATAGAATTCAAAGCTTTACTTTGAATTTGCTCATCTCTCAGACTCTGGACGCAGCTGGCTTAGATCTGATGTATTTGTTTACTTTTCTCTGAGCCTGTTCTGTCAGATTTTGGATTAGATTTTTCTAGTCCTTGGCTTTGACTTCATGTTGTTTAAAACAGTAGTATCCACCAACATGCACAGTTTAGTCTCCTGTCCTTGCTGCCCTGCCCTGTATAGAAGCCCTCCATTGCCTGACAGTCACTGCTAGAGCCATTTTCTATGTTTCCTCCAACGTGGCAAGGCTGTTGGAATGGTAGTTTAGGAGAGGACGTAGCAGGGTTTGAGAGGGTTGGAGGTGTGACCCCAGGGAAGAAGAGTACTCAACAAGGGAGCTACAACCGATGGCTAGCCATTGCATGAACTTAAACATTTGGCCCTTTTCACTGTGTGTTTCATAAGCCTTTTGTAGTTGAATTTGGATGGTAAATATGAGATAAAGGAAGAAAAGTATTTTATTCCAACAACCACTACAGCCAGTTCCACATCCATGGAGTTGGGTAACACTTCACCGTTTATAAGCATATCCACATTTATTATCTAAGTTAATTCTCAGACCTTGAAAGGCAGTTATATTTATTTGCCAGATATAGAAATTGGAGCCGGTAAAGATTGCTACTAAGTAGCAACTTTGGAAGTCACATGCAGGTTTTGTAACCTGGTTTCCAGGGGTTCAGAAATGAGAAAGACTTCTTCCTTTCCCCTTCAGGTATTATTTTAGTATTTGTTAATGGAGTAAAGAAATGGGTGGGGCACAGGGAATGTTAAAGTGGTGAACATTTAGCCTTTAACTGGAAAGCAGCATAATCTTAAAATAAATGTTATTTTGTTTTTAAATAATACACACATTTCCTTCAACAAAATGGAATCTTATAGGTAGCTCATACATCTCTTGAATAGGGGCCTCTGGTGCCTACAGATATAAATAAATCACACTGAGAGAATGGTGAACCATGAAATGACTCTGTTAACATGTCATCTGTCTAGAATATATTTTCAACTCTCCAACAGAAGTGTCTCAATTATGAAGGGAGGTGGCCTACCAAAGTTGATACTTTGATATTTGATGCTTTTAACCTCCTCCATCAGCTGCCTTTGCCTAAGTGTGGAATCTGGCCCAGTGCATAGAGTACAACGTGGCCTAATGGCTGAGAGTCATTGTAACTGGTGATTTTAACATGCAATGAACTCTGAAGCTCCTCAAACTGTGCTATCTTGTGAAGGCATGTATCAGTGCTACTTGTCTGGTCTTATTAAGGAATTCTGAAAATTGCTAATTGTTATAATAAGAATTTTAACCACAAACAAGCCAAATTTACTGAATTCTTCCTTTATGCCCAGCACTGACTGATACTATAGTGGGCTTCGGAAATGTTCCCAAAATGACTTTTGTTTTTAAGTTACTCTGAATGTAGTCTCAGAATTTGAGGTGGGGACTAGTAGGTTTTAGTGGCCTATTTGTATTCAGGTTTCAGTATATAATAATGTGAAAATAGCTCTTTGTATCTAGTAAACTTGCAGATGCCAGCTGACTGGTGAGGGACTGTTATATTTCTACATTTCATCTTACTGCTTCTAACCCAGTGATGTCCCTCTTTCTAAATAGTGACAGAAGGGAAACTTTTTTTTTTTTTTAACTTGGCCCATGGAAATGGGCTATTCCAATGGTTCTCAAAGCTTGGTCTCTGAACCGATAGCATCGGCATCACTTGGGAACATGTTAGAAATGCAAATTCACAGGCCCTAGCCTAGACTGACTGAATCAGAAACTGGGAGTGGGGACCAGTGATCTGTGTTTTAACAAGCCCTGTGGGTGCTTCTGAGGCTCACTCAAACTTGAGAATCCTGGGATGGCTCCTTTCCAACCCTTCTGTTACTGCCTTGGTGTAACCCTCATCAGTCTGGACCACTGGAGCAGTCCCCAGCTGGTCTCCCTACTTCCAGAGTTAACCTGTCCAATCCATTCCCCACATCAGTTGGCCTTTGATTTTTGTCTCATCACCAGTGGAATACTCAACACTCTAAAGGGAGCCCAAGTTTTCCTCCTTCAGTTTACTCACCCACAAGGAGTAGACCAAGGCAATGAATGCAGTAGACCACAGTAGTGACAGGGCAGGTAGAGGTGGGAGTGGTAACTACCATGGTTTGAGAGTGTCTCCCAAAAACCATGTGTTGAGAACTTAATCCCCCGTGTCAACAGTGTTGGGAGGTGGGGCATAATGAGAGGTGACTGGACCATGAGGGTGGAGTGACTGTATTAATGCTATTATTGTAAGAGTGAGTTCTTCATAAAAGGACAAGTTTGGCCCTTTTCTGTTTTTCTTTTGCCCTTTCTTTGCCCCTTTGCCATGGGACGATGTAGCAAGATCCTTAAGCCTTCAGTTTTGTACGTCTCAATCTTGTACATCTCATAATACTATTCTGGTATAATGAACAGAAAATGTATTAGCTTGTGGATACCAATGTCTGGATTCTGTTACAGCAGCACAAAACAGACTAAGATAGTAACCATTATGGGAAGGAGTATTGGGTCAATTGCTCTTTCTCCTTTTTCTTTTAGATGGGTTGGGGTGGGGTAGTGTATATGTGTTTCCCTTAGGATCAGCTGTATTTGCCATTTGAGACTTAAGATCAAGAGGGCCAAGATTCAAAAGTGGATCTCCAGGAAGAATCCAAAGAGACTACTCAGCCCGGAGCCAAGGCCAAAAGGATGCTCTGAGCAATCTATAGTCTGGCCCATCTCACCCAGTGACCATGTGGGGGTTTGAGGTCCAAGCCTCAACTGATAATTAAAAGTGATTTAGCCTGGAGCAACCCACCTGCATTTCTGTCTTGGGAACTGGAGGCGAAACTAGGGATCTCAGAATGCTGAGACCCTGGGTCCTTGCTGTATATTATCCCAATAAGTCTAGAATCCTCCTCTTGCCTCACACCCCTGGATGGCCCACAGCTGCCCAAAGGATGAAGTTCAAATCTCTTGTTACAGCCTAGAAGGTCTTTCAAACTCTAGTTCCTGCTTATTTTCTCTTGAGTCTGCCTAAAGAATCCTGCTCTCCAGCCGTATCAAATTAAGTCTCTGAAGAAGACATAGTCTTTCATCGTTCTTTATGTTTAACACATACTGTATCATCTGCCTGGGATGCTCATTTCTTCCTTCCTCTCACGTACTTCATCTTCCATATTCCCCTTGGACCTGCCACTATCTACATGGTGACCATCCTTCAAAACTCAGCTCATATGTCACTTCCTCGGTGAAACCTTCCTCAAACCCGTCAAGCAGGATTGGACTCGTGTAATTATCACATAAAGTTGGTCTAATACATATTTTTTTGTGACAATTGCTTTATTCCTGGAATAAGACATTTTCAGGCTCAAAAGGACCGCAATTCCCTAGCCCCTGGCTATTAATGAGAGGCCTGGAGACCCCACTTTAAATGGCAGTGGGGGGGCACCTGGGGAAGCCATAGATGTGGAGCTGGGCCAATCAGATTTCCTTTCTTGGAAATTTTAACTGAGACATAGAGAGTCATTTAATCGGTGATGTGTGTATGAGCTGAAAAGTTGGAAAGAGTTTGGGCTGGTCTGGCCATATTAGACATATATCAGATGCATAGGCAAAGCAAACTACGAGAGAGAGAGAGAGAGAGATCAAGACTGAGAGAGAGACCAAGATGGCTTTAGACAGAGGGAGGGAGAGAGAATGAGAGAGAGAGAGAGACACTGAGAGAGAGAAAGACAGAGACCAAGCTGACGTTAGACGTAGGTGAGACAATAATATCCAGGGATTAATCCAAATTTCCAGCCTTTTTTCTTTTCTCTTCCTAGCTTTTTTACTTGAGGCCTGTCTGAATGTAATTTTGGGTTCTCAGATTCATTGGAATGCTTTATCCCTTTGCATCCTTAAATAAAACTCCTTTAACTCAAGCTTTTTGAAGCAGGTTTCTTTTCAGTGCAACCGGGAAAGCTTTGATTAGCACAAGGATTCTACTCACTGTGTTCTCAGTTCCACATAGCAAAGTGGCTACTTTTAGTAGGCTCGGTAAATATTGGATGAGTGAACTAACAGTAGGCACTAAAGATGCTGCAGGGCACCCAGAAAATTATTCTGTAGAGTCAAAACCTGAAAGGCATAGGGTTGTGTGAGGAAGAGAGGGAACTGACTACAGAGGCATGAAGCTACTATTTGGAGTGATGGAAATGTTCTATATCTTGATTCTAGTGATAATTCCATGACTCTATGTGCTTATCAAAATGCACAGAACTCTACATTGAAAAAGGTGACTTTTACTGTATGTAAATTTTAACTTAATAAACTTAACCTAATAAAGAAGCAATAAAAAAGAAAAAAACGCAAAGTAAAATAATATTTTCTCTACAACACATTAATTTCCTAATCAAAAATCTTTAACTTTTTTTGCATCATTTTACCCAATTCTTTTTCTTTTTTCCTGGGACCATAGGATCCAGATAATAGAAATGTTGATTATGGGACATGATATTGCTTTTTGACTTGCTTGACATTATTCAAAAATGTTGCCAAAATAGAAAGTACTATTTCTCTACTTTCCAGTTCTGAGTACTGATAAAAGCAAAATATTATGTTCAGAAAGAAATAAGCCCGTATTTCTGAGCTCCAGCTTCTGCTAGGTCCCCATTTAATGTTGTTGCCTAACTACTAACTATTTGATTTGAAAGCTTTAAACAATATTGATTATACTCTCCTGAGCAGGCATCTCTCAGACTTAAACATTGCTTCATAGGATATTTAAACACGCCAATTGAAAACAATAATAACAATGACAATTTATGAAGGTTGCATTCCCAAATGTATTTGAGAAATTCTAGTTTAAGAAAAGTGAACATGTTTCTTTATTTCAAGACTTCCCGATGTCTTAGAATAGTCAGACATCAAATTTCATCCACAGTTTCCAGAGTTGCTATTTCTTTCCCATACCTTTGCTTTGGAACTTGATCTAATGGAATTGTTACTGTTACTATGACATTTTTCATGTGTACTATGTCCTAAAAACACTGTGGTTGCATTCATTTTATTTTATTTTTGAGAGATGAATCTAGGGCCTCTTGAACTTTTTATTCGTAGTTATGCTGAGTACTAGCTTACTTTAAAAATAAGTCTCCAGTACTTGTGAGGAAGACTCATTGTCAGAGCATGAAAGATTTTTCTGCCTTTTGTTTTGACTTCTAAGATACGTTTCTTTATTAAGGAATAGTTTTATGCTTTGCAGAAGATGCATTGTACCATAAAAACCAGTAAAATCTGTGCATTAAAAAAAATACCTGGATTTAAACCAGTTACTTGGCATTCTGTGAAGGTAAAGGAATACATTTTTACCTTAAATGATAGTGTTTATATTTTGTTCACACAGAAAAAAACAAAATAAAAACAAGCAACTCTTAGTGATTCTGCATATAGTTATAGTGGTTGTGGACCTTTAAATATTCTCCATCAGTTATGTTTTTTAAAAGCAGAATTTTGTAAACTTTACTAAATTCAAGCTGCTCTCCTGTCTGCGATGGCTGAGGACATTGGAAGAATACTTCTGTACTTTTCCATGACAGCCAGTGTCACCTCCTGGAAGCAATCATTCGTAGATTACTTATAAATTTTACTCCTAGAATAGCAATGGTCACTTTAGACAAATGAAATCATGCAAAGAGCTGGTATCAATTTCCCACCTATACCCACTTTCACCCAAGTCAGGAGGGGGCAATGTGGAACTTGGTGTGGGTCCAAGTCCTAAGTGAATTATTCCTAGTATAGCCCGTTGAAATGGCAAATAAATGGCCACTTAGAGAATGTTTGAGTGAAACAAATTGGTCGTCTGTTATTTTTAGGCTACTTATTCATAAAATCCAAGCTATATTATCTCTGGCCTCATGATGCTCTAAATAATTTTCTGTTGTAGAACCCATATGCTTATGGTTATCCAAGAGCTTCTAAAATCTACTTTGGTAAGATGAGGAAATATTTTATATAGTATACAAACCCTGTATTTTATATAGCATACAAACCCTGTAGCCTAACCGTCCTGCCATCTTAATTGTACAGTTTGCTGCTATAATTATTAATAGATTGTAAATTAGGAACATCTGGCCAATTATTAGAAACACAAAAATAAATCATGAAATTGATATGAGAGCCTAAAGTGATGACCATCAAAAAGGCAGGCAGGAATATTTTGTATTTGGTCCTTCACAGGTAAATAATTTAATGCCTGCCTAATATAATCAGTTACCTTTCTTGTAAATTTAATTCTTTGATCTCCATTTCCTTTTGTAGCAGCAATTTCCAACATAAATTTCAGCAGCAGAAAAAGAATCAGGACCCTATAATATAAAGCAACTGTTTTTTTGCTTTATAATGTATTTATGTGGATCATCATTCTCATTTCTGGTTTCTATATAGTCTAAAAGGCAAGGATAGTTCCCCTCCCCAAGATATGGGCCATTTTATGGATTATATAATAAATGGGCTCTAAAGGTAAATTGTTATTATTCAAAACCAGCTGGTCAGGCAGGCAAGGCAGCTTAGATACAGTGAATTCTGTTTTGCTCTAGTGGAAAATGTCATGCTGACAAGGTCAGTGCTGGGAACTGGTGTCATCCAGAAGCAGGCATGCAGCACCTGGGGAAGGCTGAGAAGGAGGCCCCTGCTCTGTTTGCTGTTGGTCAAATGAGTGCCAGAAATGCAGGGCTTCAGCAGCACCTAGAAGTCCAGGTTTAGCAGTAGGTTTGGGGGCTCACATAATCTGTACTAGTGATTGTTATTGTTAATCACATAATTACTAGTGTGTTGTTAGAGCATATTGTGCTTTAAATAGGATTTCCCAAGAAACTAAAACGTCATGGTGTTTTTCACTGACCACAGCTGTCTTGTGGCAATCTCTTGAGCAGTCAACATCTATGGCTGGCGCAATAAGTCATTAAATCAAAATACATCAATTACTGGTTTTCAAAGAGAGTCTTGATTTCTGCATAATGTGACTTACATAAGGGTAACTGTATTGTTGCTGAGTGTGATTGCACAAAGAACTCACTGGGCACTGCTTTAACAAATGAAAGCAGGTCAGAGGGAAATGTATCCTTTATAAATGGCTTCATCTATTCATTCAATTTAGGAAACCATTTCTTTTAGGCTGGTAATTTAAGGATAGCACTGCTGAGGACTAGGAATTTGTTTTTACCTGTACTATTTCATCTGATTATAAAAGTAATATATGCCGACCAAAAAAAAAAATTACACAAATAAATGTCTTACAGAGAATGCAATCTGTTGAAATCCTACCCCTCAGTACCACTGTCACCAGTTTGCTGCACATCTTTCAGATATTTTCCATGTAAAATACATACATATGCATTTCTGCAATTCGCTTTTCCCCTGTAGCATTTAAGGGGATATGTATTTTAGAAGGACATTTTCTGATATATCTGAATATTCCTGATAGAAATTAACTTTTCTATATATCAGCTTTTAAAAATTATGTGTGTGCCTGGAATAGGTTAAGATAGAGACATTTTCAATGCCTGTTTATTGCTGTAATATTCAAAATCCCTGAGAGACTGTGGATAGTTTATTAGACAGAATTAGAAAGAATAACTGCAGTACTAAGCTTTTTGCTACAGAGTGGGCTTCCAGTGCACAAAGCATTATGATTATTTGGAGACAATCTGTAGCCTTGGAAACAATATGGCGATAGTGACATCAGTAGCAATTATGTGTAATTTTTATCCCCAGTTTATCACCAAGGTAACCAGAGCAGGTCTCCCTGCTTGAAATTTTAAGAATGTCGTAGTCTTATATACAGCAAGGATGTAGGAAAGGATTATATTCAGAATTCTTTCTACAGTTCATTCTATTTCCCTTATAAAAGAGCTCTTTAGAATTCTAATAGCACACATCTATTTTTGGCAACAGCCGCAAGTTTTTGAAGCTATTAAATATAATTCCAAATATTGTAGATACTAAAAAGAGTTCATTCTAGTGCATAAATTTTTTCTTTTTACTGATACAGAATATTTGTGCATATATTGATGTTCATGTGATGTTTTATGCATAGAATGTCTAGTGATCAAGTCAAGGTATTTAGGATATCTGCCCTCATGTGCCTTATAATTTTATGTGTTGAGAACATTCGAGTCCTCATTTCTAGCTATTTTGAAATGTACAATAAATTGTCACTAAATTTAGTAACCCTACTCCACTACCAAACATCAGAACTTATCCCTTTTACCTAACTGTATGTTTCTACCCATTAACCAACCTCTCTTCCTTATCCCCCTAACCCCCGCCACATATACCCACATTCTTCCCAGCCTCTGATAACTATTCTTCTACTCTCTACCTTCATGAATTCAATTTTTTTAGTTCCCACATTGGAATGAGTACATGCGATATTTGTCTTTCAGTTTGTAGGTTATTTTATTTAATGTAATGACCTTCAGTTACATCCTTGCTACTGCAAGTGACAGGATTTTATTCTTTTTTTATGGCAGAATAATATTCCATTGTGTAATTCCATTGGGTAAATATATCACATATTCTTTATTCATTCATCTGTTGACAGACATTGAGGTTGATTTTTTATCTTTGCTATTGTGAATAGAAACATGGGGGTGCATGTATCCCTTTTATATATTGATTCCCTTTCCTTTGGGTAAATACTCAGCAGTGGGATTGCTGGATTGTACAGTAGTTCTATTTTTAGGTTTTCTGAGAAATCTCTTTACTATTTTCCCTAATGGCTGTTCTAATTTACATTCCCATCAATAGTGTATGAAAGTTCCCTTTTATCTGCGTCCTTGCCAGCACATTTGTTATTTTTTGTCTTTTTGATAATAGCTATTCTAATTGGGGTAAGAAGTGATCTCATTGTGGTTTTGATTTGCATTTCCCTGATAATTAGTGATGTTGAGCATTTTTTCATATTACCCCTTGGTATGTCTTTTTTTGAGAAATGTCTGTCTTTATCCTTTGTCCACTTAAAAAAAAAAACTTTTAGGTTCAGGGGTACATGTGAAGGTTTGTTACATAGGTAAACTTGTGTCATGGGGGTTTGTTGTACAGATTTATCTCATCACCCAGGTATTAAGCCCAGTACCCAATAGTTATCTTTTCTGCTTCTCTCCCTCCTCCCACCCTCCACCCTCAAGTAGGCCTCAGTGTCTGTTGTTTTATTCTTTGTGTTCATAAGTTCTTATCATTTAGTTCCCACTTTATAAGCGAGAACATGCAGTATTTGGTTTCCTGTTCCTGTGTTAGTTTGCTAGAATAATGGCCTCCAGCTCCATCCATGTTCCTGCAAAAGACATGATCTCATTACTTTTTATGGCTGTATAGTATTCCGTGGTGTATATATACCATGTTTTCTTTATCCAGTCTACCACTGATGGACAGTTAGGTTGATTCCATGTCTTTGCTATTGTGAATAGAGCTGCAGTAAACATTTGTGTGCATATGTCTTTATGGTAGAATGATTTATATTCCTTTGGGTATATATCCAGTAATGGATTGTTGGGTTGAATGGTAGTTCTGCTTTTAGCTATTTAAGGAATAACCATACTGCTTTCCACAATCACTGAAATAATTTACACTCCCACCAACAGTGTATAAGTGTTTTGTTTTCTCCACAACCTTGCCAGCATCTGTTATTTGACTTTTTAATAATAGACATTCTGACTGGTGAGAGATGGTATCACATTGTGGTTTTGATTTGCATTTCTTTAATGATCAGTGATGTTGAGCTTTTTTTCATATGATTATTGGCTGCACATATGTCTTATTTTGAAAAGTGTCTGTTTATGTCCTTTGTCCACTTTTTAGTGGGGTTGTTTTTTTTTCTCTTATAAATTTGTTTAAATTTCTTATAGATGCTACATATTGACCTTGGTTAAATGTGTAGTTTGCAAATATTTTCTCCCATTCTCTAGGTTGTATGCTTACTCTGCTGATAGTTTCTTTTGCCGTGCGGAAGCTCTTAAGTTTAATTAGATCCCACTTGTCAATTTTTGCTTTTGTGGCAATTTTGCCATGAAATTTTTGCCATGAAATTTTGTCATGAAATTTTTGCTTGTTTCTGTGTCCAGGATGGTGTTGCCTAGGTTGTCTTCTGGGGTTTTTATAGTTGGGTTTTTACATTTAAGTCTGTAATCTATCTTGAATTGAATTTTGTATATGGTGTAAGGAAGGGGTCCAGCTTCAGTCTTCTGCATTTGGCTAATCAGTTATCCCAGCACCATTTATTGAATAGGGAATCTTTTCCCCATTGCTTGGTTTTGTCGGCTTTGTCAAAGATCAGATGGTCATAGGTGTGCGGCCTTATTTCTGGGCTCTCCATTCTGTTCCATTGGTCTGTGTACCTGTTTTTGTATCAGTACTATGCTGTTTTGGTTACTGTAGCCCTGTAGTATAGTTTAAAGTTTAGTAATATGATGCCTCCAGTTTTGTTCTTTTTGCTTAGGAGTGCCTTGGCTATTTGGGCTCTTTTTTAGTACCATATGAATTTTTAAATACTTTTTCCTAGTTCCGTGAAGAATGTCATTTGTAATTTGATAGGAATAGCATTGATTATATAAATTGCTTTGAGCAGTATGGCCATTTTAATCATATTGATTCTTTCTATCCATGAGCATGGGATGTTTTTCCATTTATTTGTGTCTTCTCTGATTTCTTTGAGCAGTGTTTTGTAATTCTCACTGTAGAGATCTTTCACTTCCCTGGTTAACTGTATTCCCAGGTATTTTATTCTTTTTGTGGCAATTGTGAATGGGATTGTTTTTCTCATTTGGCTCTCAGGTTGGCTGTTGTCAGAATTCTCCTCCCAAAAACAATATATATTCTTCTCATTGTCTAATGGCATGTACTCTAATATTGACCACATAATTGGACATAAAACAATCCTCAGCAAATGCAAAAGAACCAAAATCACACCAAACACACTCTTGGACCACAGTGCAATAAAAATAGGATTCAAGACTAAGCAAATTGCTCAAAATCATGTTTATATTCCTGAATGACTTTTGGGTAAATAATGAAATTAAGGGAGAAATCAAGTTTTTTGAAACTACTGAGAACAAAGATGCAACACACCAGAGTCTCTGGGACACAGCTAAGGCAGTTAAGGGAGAAATTAATAGCACTAAATGCCCACGTCAAAAAGTTAAAAAGACCTCATATTAACAACCTAATGTCACAACTGAAATAATTAGAGAAGCAAGAACAAGTCAACCCCAAAGCTAGCAGAAGCTGAACTGAAGGAAATTGAGACACACAAAAAAAGCATTCAAAAGATCAATGAATCCAGGAGTTGGTTTTTTAAAAAAATTAATAAGATAGGCCACTAGCTAGACTAATAAGAAAAGAGAGAAGATCCAAATAAACACAATTAGAAATGATGACGGGAATGTTACCACTGACCCCACAGAAATAAAAATAACCATCAGAAACTACTACAAATACCTCTATGCCCACTTTTTAATGGAATTTTTTGTTGTTGTTTGAGTTCCTTGTGTATTCTGGATATTAGCCCCTTGTCAGATGAATATTTTGCAAATATTTTCTCCCATTCAACATGTTGTATCTTCACTCTGCTGATTATTTCCTTTGCCATGCAGCTTTTTAGTTAATATCTTCCCATTTGTCTACTTTTGTTGTCAATTTTGCCTGTGCTTTGAGGGTTTTAGTCATAAAATCTTTGCCTAGACCAGTGTCCTGGAGTGTTTCACCTATGTTTTCTTCTAGTAGTTTTATAGTTTGGGGTCTTAAATTTAAGTCTTTAATCCATTTTGATTTGATTTTTGTGTATGTTGAGAGATAGGGTTCTAGTTTCGTTCTTCTGCATATAGATAACCAATTTTCCCAGCACCACTTATTGGAAAAGGTGACCTTTCTCACTGAATGTTCTTAGCACCTTTGTCAAACATCAGTTGGCTGTAAATATGTAGGTTTACTTTGGGTTTATCTTTATTCTGTTCCATTGATCTACATGTTTGTTTTTATACCAATACGATGCTCTCATTGTTACTATAGCCTTGTAGTATATTTTAAAGTCAGGCAGTGTGAAGCCCCTAGCTTTGTTCATTTTGCCTAGGATTTCTTTGGCTTTTCAGGCTCTTTTTTGGTTTCACATAAATTTTAGGGTTTTTTTTTCTAATTCTGTGAAAAATGTCATCATATTTTAATAGGGATGCATTGACTCTGTAGATTACTTTGATTAGCATGATCATTTAAACAATATTAATGCTTCCAATCCCCAGGCCTTGGGTAGCGTGCTAGAGTGGGTGCAGTAGCAGTGCAGTGAGTGGGGAAAGCCTATTCTTAAAGTGCATGCAAACACAGAGCTGTTGAGGGGTCAGGGTTGCTATCGGTGATAGCCACCTCAGGCAGGCAGGTTTGAGGCTCTGAGGAGTACATACTTTGGCTCCCCTTTCCCCAGCATGCAGATCACTGTGTGGGCTAGAGTTCTGGGGACTCTGTTTTTCCAGTGAATCCAAGTAGCATTTCACCATTGCAGTCCTCTGGGTGGACTCAGGGGGATGCCAGTGGTGTGCTCCCAAGAGGCAGAGATGCAGAGGCTGTTGTACCCTGGGCTAGGATGCAGTTTGGTGGGGCTGGGCTCTCAAAATCGTGCTGTGCTGCCGCTGCCTGGAACTTTAGGAATGTGTGGGACCCAGCGTGAGCTCCTTCTCTAGGGCAATGATATTGTATAGACTCTGGGAGCTCTCTACTTCAGTCTCAAGGAGAGTCAAGGGACTCTCCTGTGGCTAGGGTTATAGGAGCCTAAGGTGAGAATGTGGACTGCTGGAGATCCCTCTTATCCATTTCCCATGCTGGGGAACCTATCAAGGCTCTCAGGGGATCCCAGCTGGGCTGTCACTTGCCTGCTTCTCCTTCATTGCCTCAGGTGTTTCCTGTGACTTCTTTACTTATATGTTCTATTTAAAGTGTGACTATCTACTTGCTATTTTTGTTCTTTTTGCAGAAGTTCGTGTCCTGTACCTCTGGTCAGCCATCTTGAACCTCTCCCCTATAGTGTTTAAATTTTATGATGCTCTTTCCTGTTAGAATATCTCCTTTTGCTCTTAACTGTGGTTATGGGACATACCTTTTTGGTCTTTTGGTCCTTTGTAAACCCCATACAGACTGGCTAATTCCTGAAACCAGCTGCTGTAAAGCTACAAGCCACTAATAACAATCATAATTGTCTCTTCCTAGATTGGAAGATTCTGGTCAGTTAATTGTGTGGGTTAAATATCAGAAGGCTAGAGGTGAGCAGTAGTACCTCTGGTTGAAATTGGCAGTTTATATTGGCACTTTCTGGTTGAAAGTAGCACATTATATTTGGATTCCTGGGTTATTCTTGATACATTTGGATAAGTTGCATACTGATTCTGAATGAGTGAATAGGTGGATGAGTGAGTGCAAAGATGCATACATGTACATCACTGTGCATTATTGTAACAATACATTGGCTTCTCAGTTTTCCAAGAATCCCTTTGTCCCATAGCTGAGCAGCTCTTATGAATTCTTCACACATATATGCTACTTCTAGTCCTTTCCATAAGTAGAACTCCATGGAACAAATACCAAAACAATGACTACTCTACAGTTCCTTTCTGATCTAGGCTGGAGAATGTTTGTGTCAGATGTCTATCCCTTTAAAGCTGGGGGGAAGAAACTGAAAGAGAGGTGCAGAGGAAATGCCTCTAATTATGGGACCAATTTAATTTAAATGTCCAAATGAGCACCCTATATGCACCAATCCTTGGATAGGGCAGTGAATCAAACATGGACTTTCAAGGGTTCCAGAGTCTGATAGCAAAGACAGATATGTAAATATCATTATCAGTTAAACTGTATGACATTCCCTATATTCAAATGTTTTGACCTACCAAAAGCAGCAGTCTCTCATGGTTCAGCTCAATACATGTCAGTATGACAGCTAAGATAATAGAGGTGTGTGTACATCCAGCAGGGGTGCAGAGAGGGGAGAGGCAGGCAGAGTGAGGACTCTGGAAATTTTTTCAGGAGTTAAGACCTACAAAGCATTTTGGTGAATGATGGGGAAAATAGGGAGAAAAGGAAAGGGAGCGAATGAAAATTTTGGAAAATATAAAAGAATGTATTTCCTGAGGAGAGTGGCCTACATTGTTAAATTTGATTTTGTTTTTATGTTTAAATATTTAAAACATACCAAAAAGCTTAAAAAATAGTATGACCTCCCACATATTCAAAATAACGTTTTGAGAAAAAGGAATTTGCACATTTGCTTAAATTCCTTTTTCTTCATAAATCAAATGTAATAAGGGTAACACCACTATCTATCCTACTTGTCTCTCTCCTTTCCTATAGATGACCATCACAATAAAATTGGTGTGTATTTTTCTTATGCATTTTAAAAAACTTTCATTGCATATGCATATATTTATAATATAGAGTATGGTTTGATTGTTTTAAAATGTTATATAAACTGTCTCATACTGTACATATCCAATTGCATCTTGCTTTTGAGTTGCTAAACATCATGTTTTGAAAACTTATCCATGTTGATGCATGCAGATCTAGTTTATTCAGTTTACCTGCTGCATAGCATTCTGTTATTGGACTATATCATACTTTATCTATTAATAGCTATGTTCTTACTGATGGGTGGGCATCTACATTGTTATTACAATACAAATAATACTCTACTTGTCTTCTTGTGGACAAGGGTGAAGATTTCTCTGGAGGACATTTCCAGAAGTAGAATTTTGATGTCAGCTTAATCAGATATTAACAACTCGCATTCCAAAGGGTTTTTTTTGTCTTTATTAATTTATAGGTACATCTTATATATTCAGGATACTAACATTTTATATTTTATGTGTTGCAAATATCTTCTGTCAGTCTGTGACCTTTTTTTTTTTTGGGAGACAGAGTCTTGCTCTGTTGCCCAGGCTGGAGTGCAGTGGCACAATCTCGGCCCCTCTGCCTCCCAGGTTCAAGTGATTCTCCTGCCTCAGCTTCCCAAGTAGCTGGGACTACAGGCATGTGCCACTATGCCCAGCTAATTTTTGTATTTTTTTAGTAGAGATGGTGTTTCACCATATGTTGGCCAGGCTGGTCTCAAACTCCTGACCTTAGGTAATCCGCCTCCCTTGTCCTCTCAAAGTGCTGGGATTACAGGCGTGAGCCACCGTGCTCAGCTGTGACCTATCTTTTGACTTTATGGTATTTATTATTGTGCAAAAACTTTTAAGTTTAATGTCAAATTTCTCGATCTTTTTATTTTTGGGTATGCTTTTCATGTTATAGAAATCATTATTTATGTGAAAGTCATAATGTTGTATTTTTTTTTTTTTACAAGTTTTAAAGGTTTGCTTTTCTCACTTAAGGTCTTTAATTCATCTGGAATTTTAGGTTTATATACATAATATGAGGGAGAAACCTAAGTCTTTCTTACATGAAAAGCCAATTGTTCCAATATCATTTACTGATTAATGTTTTACCAACTGATTTATCATGTCATGTCTACCATATATCTAGATCCCACCTATATGTGGATCTATTTCTGGTCTCTGTTTTGTTCCATTAATCTGTTTGACAATCCTTGTGTGAATACCACACAATTTGAATTATTGTGCTTTGATAATAATTTTTGATATTATAAAGCAGACCCCTTTTAATAAGCCACATCATGAAGTGTGGTCCAGGTTTGAGGATGGGTAAGCAGAACTTCCAAAGCAGCCAAAGCAATGTAAAGGAAATGGACAGGTTTCTCCGTTGCTCTGTTTTATCTCATTGAACTATATCTGATGTTCACAGTTCTTGGTAGTCCTAACAGAGTAAGATGCCTTCTACATCTGATTAACCTAAAGCTGGGGGCATGAATATATGTCAATAATTCTACACTGATCTTGGGGTCTTGCTTGCTGGGAGTACTGGGGCAGTTGGTTTCCATCTGTACCTGTACCACATGATGTAGGAAGTTTCCCATTTATATCTATTTAGAGGCTTTCCTGGATTATATCTAGTCATGGTTGCTATATTCTTTCTCCTTTTCCCCTTCCTTCTCAAAAATTATTATGACTAATCTTGGCTTTTAATTTTTTTATATAAAATTTAGGAACAGTATGTCAAGTTCCGTCTTACTGGGAGTTATCTGGAATTGCATAGAGTAATTTAGGAAGAATCAACTTTTTTGAGGTATTAGTCTTCCCATGTGTCAAAATGCCATAGACCTTCTTTAACTTAGGTCTTCTTTTCTGTCCTCCAGTTAAGTTGTTTTTGTTCGTATTTTTTCATTTTATTTTTTTATTGGGTAAAAAATAAACATAAAATGTATCATCTTTACCATTTTTAAGTATAGAGTTCAGTGGTAATAACTACATTTATATTTCTTTTTTCCTCTTCATCCCTCCCTCCCTGCTACCCTTCCTGGCCTCTGGTAACCATTAATTTACTCTCTGTCTTTATGAGATCCACTTTTTTGAGCTCCCACATATGAATGAAAACATGAGGTATTTGTCTTTCTGTGCATGGCTTTTTTCATTTAACACAATGGCCTCCAGTTCTATCCATGTTGCTGCCAGTGACAGGATTTCATTCTGTTTATGGCTGAATAATATTCCATTGTGTATGTCTACCACATTTTCTTTACCAATTCATCCATTGATGAGCACTTAGCTTGATTCCATAGTTTGGCTATTGTGAATAGTGATGCAATAAAGATGGGGGTGCATGTATCTCTTTTATATACTGATTTCCTTTCCTTTGGATATATACCCAGTAGTGGAATAGCTGGATCATATGGTAGTTCTACTTTTAGTTTTTTGAGGAACCTCCATACTGGTCTCCATAGTGGCTGTACTAATTTGCATTCCCACCAACAGGGTATCAGGGTTCTCTTTTCTTCACATCCTCACCTACATCTGTTATTGCCTTTTTTTTTTTCCATGTAAGCTATTTTAACTGAGATGAGGTGATATATCATTGTGGTTTTGATTTGCATTTCCCTGTTGATTACTGATGTTGAGCATGTTTTCATATGCTTCTTGGCCATTTGTATGTCTTATTTTGAGAAGTGTCTCTTCATATGTTTTCTCCATTTTTAAATTGTAGTATTTGGTTTTTTGCTATTGATTTGTTTGAGCTCCTTATATATTCTGGTTATTAATTCTTTTTCAGATGAATAGTTTACAAATATTTTCTCCTATTATGTGGGTTGTTTCTTCAATTTCCTTTGATTTGCAGAAGATTTTTAGCTTGATATAATCCCATTTGTTTATTTTTGCTTTGGTTGCCTGTGCTTATGATGTCTTACATAAAAAAAAACTTTGCCCAGATTAATGTCCTAGAGCAATTTTCCCAATGTTTTCTTCTAGTAGTTTCATTGTTTCAAGTCTCAGATTTAATTATTCAATCCATTTTGATTTGACTTTTGTGTATGGAGAGAGACTGGGGTCTAGTTTCATTCTTCTACATATAGTTATCCTGTTTTCCCTGCACCATTTGAAAAGACCGTCCTTTCCCCATTGTATGTTCTTGGTACCTTTGTCAAAGATGAGCTGATTGTAAATACATTGATTTATATTTGGGTTCTCTATTCTGTTCCATTTGTCTATGTGTCCATTTTTATGCCAGTACCGTACTGTTTTGGTTGCTATAGATTTGTAGTAAATTTTGAAGTCAGAGAGTGTGGTGCCTCCAGCTTCGCTCTTTTTGCTCAGGACTGATTTGTCTTTTTGGGGTCTTTTGTGGTTTCACATAAATTTTAGGTTTTTTTTTTTTCTATTTCTGTGAAGAATGTCATTGGTATTCTAATAGGGACTTCATTGAATCTGTAAATTGCTTTGAGTAGTGTTGTCATTTTGACAATATTAATTATTCCAATCCATGAGCAGGGAGTATCTTTCCATGTTTTTGGTATCCTCTTCGATTTCTTTCATCCAAGTTTTATAGTTTTCATTGTATAGATCTTTCACTTCTTTAGTTAGATTGATTCCTAGGTATTTCATATTTTTTGCAGCTATTATAAATGGGATTGCTTTCTTGATTTTTTTGTTTGCTCTTGGCATATATAAATGCTGCTGATTTTTGTGTGTTGATTTTGTATCCTGCAACTTTACTGAATTTGTTTATTAGATATAACAGTTTTTTTGGTGGAATCTTTAGGTTTTTCTAGATATGAAATCATGTGGTCTACAAACAAAGCTAATTTGACTTCTTCCTTTCTGCTTTAGATGCCCTTTTTTTCGTTCTTTCCTAATTGCTCTGGCAGGGACTTCCAGTGTTGTATTGAATAAGAGAAGTGAAAGTGGGCATCCTTGTCTTGTTCCATTCCTTAGAGGAAAAGCTGAAAGCTTTTTAGTACAATGTTAATTGTGGGTTTGTCATACATAGCCTTTATCATGTTGAGGTATGTTCCTTCCATACTCATTTTGATGAGGGTTTTTATATAAAGCAATGTTGAATTTTATCAAATGTTTTTCAGCATCTATTGAAACAATCAGTTGGTTTTTGTTCTCAATTCTGTTCGTGTGTTGTATTACATTTATTAATTTGACTATGTTGAACCATCTTTGCATTTCTGGGGTGAATCCCACTTGATCATAGTGAGTGACCTTTTTAATGTGTTGTTGAGTTTGGTTTGCTAGTGTTCTGTTGAGCATTTTTGTACATATGTTCATCAGTGATATCAGCCTGTCATTTTTGTTGTTTGTTGTGTCCTTGTCTGTTTTTGGTATCAAGGTGATGCTGTCCTTGTAGAATAGTTGGGAAGTACTCCCTTGTCTTCAATTTTTTTGAAGACAAAGAATTTGAGTAAGATTGTTACTGGTTATTCTTTAAATGTTTGGTAGAATTTATCAGTGAAACCATCAGGTGCTGGACTTTTCTTTGATGGGAAACTTTATTACAGCCTTCTTCTCATTAACAATTATTGGTTTTGTGAGGTTTTCTATTTCTTCATGGTTCAATTTTGATAGGTTCTATGATTCCGGGAGTTTATCCATTCTTCCAGGTTTTCCAATTCGTTGGCATTTAGTTGTTCATAACCATCTCTGATGACTCTGTATTTATGAGGTCTCAGTTTTAATGTCTTTTTTTTCATTTCTGACTTTATTTATTTGGGTATTCTCTCTTTTTTCTTAGTCTAGCTAAAGGTTTGTCAATTTTTTTATCTTTTCAAAAACAAACTTTTCATTTCCTTGACGTTTTGTGGTTTTTTAGTCTCAATTTCATTTATTTTTGCTCTGATCTTTATTATTTCTTTCCTTTTACTAATTTGGGGTTTGGTTCATTCTTTCTAGTTCCTTGAGGGGTGTCATTAGGTTGTTTATTTGAAGTCTTTCTACTCCTTTTGATTATAGGCATTTACTGCTATACATTTCCCTCTTAGTGTTGCTGTTACCGTATCCCATAGATTTGGGTATGATGTATTTCCATTTTTGTGTGTTTCAAGAAATTTTAAAATTTCCTTCTTAATTTCATTGACCCATTGGTCATTCAGGAACACATTGTTTAATTTGTATGTGTTTGTGTGTTTTCCAAAGTTCCTCCTGTTACTGATTTCTAGTTGTATTCCATTGTGATCCATTGTGATCAGAAAATATACCTGATGTAATTTATATTTTTTGAATTTGTTCAGAGTTGTTTTTTGGCCTAAGCTGTGATTCATTCTGGAAAATGTCCTGTGTGCTGATAAAAAGAATATGTATTTTGCAGCAGTTGGGCCTATTAGATTTAGTGTGGAGTTTAACTCTACTTTTTCTTTGTTGATTTTCTCTCTGGGTGATCTTTACATTACTGAGAATGGGGTGCTAAAGTTCCCTACCATTATTGTACTGCAATCTATCTCTCCCTTTAGATCTGTTAATTTTTCCTTTATATACTTGAGAGCTCCACTGTTGGGTGCATATATACTTACAATTGTTATATTCTCTTGCTGAATTGACCCTTTTATCATTATATAGTTACCTTCTTTGTTTCTTTTTACAACCTTAGATTTGTAGTCTATTTTATCTGAAATAAGTATAGCTATTTCTGCTTTCTTTTTAGCTTCCAGCTGCATAGGATACATTTTTCTACCCCTTCATTTTCAGTCTATGTGTATCTTTATATGTGAAGTAGGTTTCTTCAAGGCAGCATATAATTGGATCTTGTTTCTGTCCCTTCAGCCACTCTCTAACTTTTAGTTGGAGAATTCAGACTTTTTACGTTCAGTGTTATTATTGATAAGTAAAGACTTATTATTGCCATTTTGTTGCCTGTTTTATGGTTGTTTTGAGACTCCTCTCTTCCTTTCTTCCTGTCTTCCTTTGTGGTTATTTTCACTGATAGTATGTTTTACTCTTTTGCTTTTTATTCTTAGTGAATCTATTATAGGCATTCATGCTGTGGTTACCATGAGGCTTACAAAAAAAAAAAAGAACTTGTAGATATAACAGGTTACTTTAAAGAGAAGAAAAGTTATTTTGGATCACAAATAAAATAATAGAAACAAACAAAGGTGGCCAGGTATAGTGGCTCATGCCTGTAATCCCAGCACTTTGGGAGGCTGAGGTGGGTGGATCACCTGAGTCAGGAGTTCGAGACCAGCCTGGCCAACATGGTGAAACCCCGTCTCTACTAAAAATACAAAAATTAGCCAGGCATGGTGATGGGCACCTGTAATCTCAGCTACTCGGGAGGCTGAGGCAGGAGAATTGCTGGAACCTGGGAGGCAGAAGCTGCAGTGAGCCGAGATCACACCATTGCACTCCAGCCTGGGCCAACAACAGTGAGACTCCATTTGAAAAAAAGAAACAAACAAACAAAAAACCAAAGTTAAAGGACCACAAGACAATCTACGCTTTAACTGCATCCCCCCCAAATTTTGACTTTTAGTTGTCTCAGTTTACATAGTTTTATATTACTTGTCTCTCAACAGGTTGCTGTAACTATTATTGTTTTTGATAGATTTGTCTTTTTGGCTTCATACTAGAGTTATGAGTGGATTGCACACCAAAATTTACGGTAATAGAATATTCTGGGTTTGTCCATGCAATTACTTTTACCAGTGGTTTTTATACCCTGAAGATTTTTCTTTTTGCATGGTAGTGTTTTTCTTCTTTTAGATAGAATAACTCCCTTTATAATTTCTTGTAAAATATGTGTGGTGGTGAATTCTCTCAGCTTTTATTTGCCTGGGAAAGATTTTATCTCTATTTCATATTCAAAGGATAATTTTGCTGGGCATAGTATTCTTGGATGACAGGTTTTTTTTATTTTCTTAAAGCACTTTGAAAATGCCATTTTTTCCCTTCCTGGCCTGTATGGTTTCCGTTGAAAAGCCTGTTGCCAGACAAATTGGAGATCCTTTATATCTTATTTCCTTCTTATCTCTTGCTGCATTTAGGATCTTCACTTTGTCCTTGACCTTTAAGATTTTGATTATTATATGCTTTGGATTAGTCTTTTTTGGGTTGAATCTGTTTGGTGTTCTTTGACCTTCCTGTACCTGGATATTTATACCTTTCTCACATTTTGGAAAATTTTCTGTTACTTCTTTGAATAAGCTTTCTACCCCTTGCTCCTACTCACTTCCCTCTTGTACATCAATAATTCTTAGATTTGGTCTTTTGAGATAATTTTCTGCATCTTGTAGTTGGTTTTCTTTCCTTTTCACTCTTCTTTTTTCTCTGACTGTGTATTTTCAAATAATCTTCAAGCTCACTGATTTTTTTTCTCTGTTTGGTCCATTCTGCTATTGAGAGTCTCTAATGAGTTCATTTCAGCAAATGTATTTCTCAGTTCCAAGGTTTCTATTTGATTTCTAAAATTATTTTAATATCTTTGTTAAATTTCTCTGATAAATTTCTGAATTACTTTTCTGTGTTACCTTGGAGATCACTGCATTTCCTTAAAACTGCAATTTTGAATTCCTGGTCAGAGAGCTTACAAATGGCTGTCTCATTAGGTCAGTCACTGGATTTTTGCTTTGTCTTTTTGGGGAGGTAATGGGTCTGTTTGCTGTTGTTTCTTATGGGTAAATGTCTATGTCTTTGAAGGACTAGCTATTTATTCCAGTTTTCTCTGTCCAGCTTGTTTTGGTTTTTATTAGATATATTTGCTTAGTATATCTTTATCACAAGGTTGCGGTTTCCTTTTTGCCTCTAGGTGGTACCTTAAGCCCAGGTCCGCGTTAGCTCTAGTAAATGATCTGAGCCCTGCCTGTTTCAAATGTGGAGATCCCAAAGGGATTATCCAACCAGTGTGGGAAGGCTGGGTAGGGGTTCATGTTCAAAAGACCTCTGAATTGTACCTTCTACAATGTGATGCTGCTGAACAGCCACTCTGATTTGGCATCTTCTTTAGCCAAGTTACAGTACAGTTTCCAGGAATGAGTATGGTAGTCCTGCCTCCCACCTTTGTCTTTGCAGGCAGTATGATGCTTCCAGTGGGTAGAGGCAAGTACAGAACTCCTGCCAGGGAATCCAAGCTGGTGGGAAAGCTGATTTACCACCTCAATCTCACATTTTTCCAGTGTAGAAATTGTGAGTTGGGGAAAGATTTTCCACACACTTGTTGCAGGGCACCATGAGGGGGAGAGGCCTCAAGGATTTGGAAGTCCAACTCTTTCACTGTTGACTTGGAGTTTTTTCACCTCTCTGTGGCCCCAGGATGCATCTCATCCTCATATTTGACTTCTGGGTTGTTGCTGGTGAAAATCTTGGCACTGTATATTTGGTTTTGGTTTTCTGTGGGGGGAAATGAAGCTAGATTGTTTCTGCACTGCCATTTGAAAACTGGAACTCTTCCAGTTAAGTTTTATACTTTTTCCATAAAAGTTTGGCACATTAGAAAAGATTTATTTTTGGATACTTACTTTTTGTTACTATATAAGTGATATTTTTGCTTGTTCTAATGTTTATTCTAATTAGTTCTACTGCTTATTTCTTATATTATGTTGAATAAAGTGGTGACAATGGGCATCTGTCTCACTTCCCACTTTAAGAGAATGCTTCCAATGTTTTCACAGATATTTTTTGGTGGTAATACTCTGTCAGATTATAAATTTTTATGGAATTGCTTTCTCAACCTCTTCTCTGTCTGCAATCTCCGTGGTACTGTCTGGCTTCCTGCAATTCCCCTTTTCAGTCTTCCAGCCAAAAATCTAAGATTTATTTGGTCTGCTTTGCTACACACTTTTTATGACTGCAATTGTGTCTGAGACCAAGTGGCTGGAGGATAGAGAAAGAGAAGCAGTAGGGATTCACCTCACCTTTTGAGACCACAGCTCCCCTGATTGAAAGGAAATTTCCCTTTCTTTAGAGTTTTAGCTGACAGTTGCTACTGTACCAAAGAAGCCTTTTTTTTTTATACTTCTAGAGCCCAAACTAGAGGTATTCTGCATGAGCTTTTCTCTGCCCATGTCAATATCCACTTCTTGGTTTCAGGATGCCTTGAGACCAGGCTAAGGGATATGGAGGGAAAAAAATGATAAATTCACCACTGGTTGGGTGATTCTTAGAATTTCGTTCTTTTTTTTCCCTGTTCACCTGCTCCTATTTACTTCTCAGAATCCTCAAATAACTGCTCCATGCATTCTGTTCAAATTTTGTAGCTTCATTCAATAGGAGAGACAAGGCAGAGTTTATCTGTTTCGTCTTACCTAGAACAGAACCTACTGATCTTTTTAAACAAACAGTTTTTGGCTCAATCAACTTTATTCTTTCTTTGTTTCTTTTCTATTTAATTTCTGTTCTTAAAAACAAAATTCTCCATATACTGTTCTCTTTGGGCTTATCTTGCTGTTTCTCTACCACCAATCTTGAGTTGCAGACAGCCCAATTTTTGGTTTTTCCCCTCATAATATATAGATAAAATAATATATTATAAAATTTATTCTAAAAACTAATTTGGATATATTTATTTTCATTTTAAGTTAGTTCTAATTAGTTCCTAGTTTCTATTTTTGTAGTTTTCTTTGACTCAAAAATATAAGTTTCAAACAAATAGCTTGCTATATTTTTGAAGATTGATTTCTAATTTTATTTTACTGTGGTTATATACTGTGATTTGTGTGAATTCAATTTTATATTATTTATTAAAAATTTGTGATCCAGTTCATGTTCAATTTTTGAATTAATGTATGCTTGGAAGGAATGTGTACCCTTTAATTGTGAGTGGCAAGGTTCAACATATCACCATCAAATTAAACTTATTAAAAATTCTCATACTCATTGAAACTACCCTGTATGATACTATAGTGGTAAATATATGTCATTATAAATTTGTCTAAACCCATAGAATGTACAACACCAAGATTGAACTTTAAGATAAACTATGGACTTTGAGTGATAGTGATGTGTCAATGTAGGTTCAGTTGTACCACTCTGGTGGAAGATATTGAGAATGGGGGAAGGCTATGCACATATAAAGTAGGGGATATATGAGAAATTGCTGTACCTTCTGCTCAATTTTTCTGAAAAACTAAAATTACTCTAAAAAATAAAGTGTATTAAACATAATTCTCACCATGCTGATTGTTAATTAATTCATTTCTCCTTGTAATTCTTTCAATTTTTAAAAGTACAGAACTATTATTACTGATGAATGGTTACCTTTGTCATTATACAGTCTTATTTTAGTTTTACTATAACTAAATTTTTGTTAGTATTTGTCTTATATCTTATTAAATCTCCCTCCTTTCAATGTTGATGAGCCATTATGCTTCAAGTGTATCTTGTAAATGACATGTATTTGGATTTAAAAAAAAATTATCCTGAGACTTTCTAATGGGCTAGTTTATTCTGTTTATACTCATTATTTCTGATATTTTTGGATTCATTTATACCATTTAATTTTATTTTCTATTTATGATCCTTTTCTTTTTGTGTATATTCTATTGTATTGATTTTCTTTATTGTTTCTCTTTTCCCCCATCTATCATTTTGAAACTATATAATTGATTTATATTATTTTAGTGGATTCCCTTAAATTTTTAATATACTATATTGATTTAACGAGGTAAAAAGAATCTCTATCTTTACCTATTTGCTAAAGAATATATGGGACTTAAAAAGCTTTAACTCTAGAAATCTCTCAATTCATCCATGTATTCTATTTATATCTTATTTTTAACATCCCCTGCTCCCAAATTAGTCATTACTATTATCATTTAAAATAGATGTATCCATGTTGAGCCAACTGTCTTTGTTCCATATAGTTTTTTGTATAATATTGTTTCATTTAGGATCAAAGTACAACCTTAAATAGTTCTTTCAGAGTCTTTGAGTAATCAACTCTCTAAGTCTTTGCCTTTGTAAAAATATCTTTATTTCTTCTTTATTATAAGACATATTTACTGTTGGAAAATAACTTAGCTGGGTATAGAATTCCATGTTGAGAATTATTTTCTCTTGGTATGTTGAATATGTTATTCCATAAAGTGCTGGCTATCTTCTCCAAGTCTTCTCTACCTGAAGCCCACTCTGGACCTGCTAAGCCAGTAGAGTGCACCTTTTTCAGGGGTCCTAAACCTGTAGCAGCCTACTGAAAATCATATAACTTTCTCCCTAGAAAAATGGATAAAATAATGCCTACTAATTTGAGAGTTACAGATGCTCTTACGCTCATCTTAGCCTTCAGTTTAAGAACACTTGTAATAGGGCTTTCAAAGGTGGAAGATCTTTCCCAGTGAGAGACAGGCCCTACATCTTTCCATGTACAACTTTGGCCCTAAAGTTCCCACCCTGATGAGCAGAGTGATGGATCATGCGCTGAGAGAGCTGCTTTTGTCTTTCCAACCTAAGGCTTAGCTGAAAGAGACAGTAATGGAGACAAGAAGCTTATCCAATGTGAAATAAATTGCTAAACAGCTATCTGTGTAGAAGCTGGAGGTGAAATACAAGTTGCTATTCTGTCCGTATAACCATTGGTGGTTAGTGGTACAGCTACACTCACATGGTACACCACAAGAGGGGTATTCAAACAGACTTATCAACAGGAATTATTTAGACGTCTCCATGTCAATTCAGTCAATAGAAGGTTCTTGTTAACCAGGCATTGGAGACTACAAAATAACATTGTGTGAGATTAGGAAGAGGCTACAGAACTGAGCAGAATCTTGCAATGGGGAGGTATGGGGGTCTTCATGGGTCATAAGCCCACTCTTTATTGCCCAAAGGAGAGCAAAACCTTTTTACCAGCTGACCTCTGTATTAGTCTGTTCTCACATTGCTGTAAAAAAATACCTGAATCTAGGCAATTTATAAAGAAGAGAGGTTTAATTAGCTTGCAGTTCCACAGGCTGTAAAGGAAGCATAGCAGCTTCTGCTTCTGAGGAGGCTTCAAAAAACTTACAATCATGGTGGAAGGTGAACAGAAAGGAGACATGTCTTATATAGCCAGAGTGGGGACAAAAGAGAGAGTGGGGAGGTCTACACACTTTTAAACAACCACATGTCATTAGAACTTACTCTTGCGATGACAGCATCAAAGGAGGTTGGTGTTAAGCCATGACAAACCGCACCCATGATCCAATCGCCTCCCACCAGGCCCCACCTCCAACATTGGGGATTACATTTCAGCATGAGATTTGGGTGGGTACACAGATCCGAACCATATTAATCTCCTTCACATATTGAATAAGGTTATGAATAGGTAAGAACCATGTGAGAAATTCACAAGAAGATGTACAATTTTTTGATCTTCAATAAACTTTTATTTAACATCTGTTGTGACTGAGGTATGCCACTAGGTGCTGGGATGTAAGAGCTCACCTTAGAAAAAGATTTTTTCCCCCCAATACCCCTTCCATATTTTATAGGCCTGAAAAACAAAACATACCCGCTCCCAATGGCCACCCCCTCCCCCAATGACATGCACCCACAGACAGTTAAGGATGTGTGGGTATTTGTATACCTTGTAAAAAGAGTTGAGCTAAATTATAGCTCCCCATTTAAAAAACAGTGGTAGTCTAAAGCTGCAGAGTGCAAAATTCAGAGATTGCCATAGTAACTCTGCTTTTCCCAGGAAGTAATTGAAAAAAGGCACATTTTATAAAAATAGAATATTGATGTTCATATCTATAAAGGAATTAATTTACTGACTGATAGAGGGGAAAGAAGAAAGATGAGCCATTGAGCTGCATTTTAATGTGATTGCGATTATCCCCAGGGTGGCAAGCAGCTTAAACTCGTTCTTTTATTTTTGCAGCAAAGAGCACTTTTCTTTTCAGCTTGGTTTGTGTATAGAAATAGTTTCCAGAAATATATAGAGTAATAAGGAATTAGAGAGCACATTTAGTAAAACACTGAAAGGCTCCAATTTGTTTCTTGCCATTATCAGTCTGATGAATGTTAAAATTGCTTGGAGTATATTTAATCACTGTTCATGATTAGTACAGCAGCGATACTATAGGAATAGCTGCAAATGTACCATTAGCAATTAGGGAATTCTGGTCTATCACAGGTGCCATCATGAGACCAAAGACAAACACATGAATGAAAAATGATTAGGCTAGGAAATAATAATGATGATAATCATATTCTAGAAATACTATTTAGAGGGTTGACAGGATTTTGATGAAGACTTATATATGTGTATATTTTTATATATGTGGTGTAAATATATGACATAAATATTCCAGGGCCTGTTCTCTGGAAATTTTCTTCTAGAGAATTAGAATTATTCTCAAGGTAATTTTTTTAAATTTCCCAATCACATCCCAGCTGGCTAAAAAATGATCCAGTTGAAAGCATCTCAGATGGTGAACTCTTAGGCCTTATGGCAGGAATGGGGAGGAGAGTTTGAGGAGAGAGCCCTCCCTAGAGACCAGTGAGATCACACCCCTGGTAAGATTGGTTCTAGCTGGCAGGAAGTGAGAATAATGTGGTTTTTCTCTCAGAACAATTCTTAAACTAAAGGACTAGAACTTTAAAAGTTGAATTTCAGGCTGGGTGCAGTGGCTCATGCCTGTAATCCCAACACTTTGGGAGGCCGAGGTGGGTGGATCATGAGGTCAGGAGTTCACAACCAGCCTGGCCAAGATGGTGAAACCTTGTCTCTACTAAAAATACAAAAATTAGCCTGGTGTGCTGGCGGGGACCTGTAATCCCAGCTACTCAGGAGGCTGAGACAGAGAATTGCTTGAACCTGGGAGGCAGAGCTTGCAGTGAGCCGAGATCACGCCACTGCTCTGCACTCCAGCCTCGGTGACAGAGCAAGACTCTGTCTCAAAAAAAAAAAAAAAAAAAGAATTTCAAGCATAGATACCCTGGCATGGGAGTTTTGGATGGATGGAGTTTTGGAGAGGCTGCACTGGGCTCTATTTAGGATTTATATCTGTAATCATACACCATATAATGATGTTTTGGTTAATGACAGACCACATATATGACAGTGGTCCCTTAAGCTTATAATACCATATTTCTACTGTACCTTTTCTATGTTTAGATACATAAATACTATTGTGTTAAAATTGCCTATAATATTCAGTAGAGTAACATGCTTTACAGGTCCATGGGCTAGGAGGAATAGGCTATATGATATAGCCTAGGTGTGTGGTAGGCTAGGTTTGTGTAAGTATATTCTATGATGTTCACACAAGGACAGAATTGCCTAATCATGCATTTCTCAGAATGTATGCCTATCTTTAAGTGATGCATGACTGTATTATGATATTTCTTATGCTTTGGAACAACACTACTATTTTTCATTTATCTATTGCTTCCCCTACTAGGATATGAGCTCACAGAAGGAGGGAAGGATAGTGTCTTAATAATCTCTGAGGTCATAGGCCTGGCACAGTTCCTGGAATAGAGAGACAGAGTGGTAAATAAATGCCTGATTGATTGATTAAATGAATGAATTCAGTGAGGCAGACTTACATCCTCTTTTTTAGGGCCATCCTTGCTCCCTGGACATTGCCACTGGCTTGTCTGATATCACAGTCACCTTCACTGCTGCCATGATCCTTGATAGAATTTTACAATAAATTTCTTTTCTAAAAATGAAATTTCTTTTTTTTTTAGAAGAAATGAAAAGAGCCAATATTTATTGAATACTTGCTATAAGCCAGGCACTGGCCTGAGTACTTTATATGTCACTATGTACCTTTAATCTTTTCCAAAAGCCTGGTAGAGTATTATTAATATCCCCACTTTTCAGAAAGGGAAACTGAGGTCCAGAAAGAATAAGTAACTTGGCTGAGATTTTGTAACTGGCAAATGGCAGGGCCAGAATTAGAAATCGAGCAGTCTAGCTTTCATTATTTTCCCCTTTGTTCTCAGGACACTGAGTATAAATGGAAATAAACCCAATTCTTAGATGTCAGAAATTAGGGTAAAGATATTTTCATCGTGGGCAAGGGCAGTAAGAAACAAAGATGCATTGCTAGATCACAGGAATAATTATGTGGGGTCTTTGATAAAATCTGAAAACCTAGAAAGCATTTTCCAAGTATTAGAAAGCATTCATGTTTACATTGTTGGAATGAGATTGTAGCATCGCAGTGTAAGAAAGGCCTTGGATAATTCTCGATGGTGTGCCACTTAATGATAACTCACTATTGTTTTGAGCTTGCAGCTTTTAAAAATACTTTCATGTCTTGCTTTGTTTGATCCTCACACCCGCTCTGAGATATTCAGTGCCGATAGGGCAGACATTAGAGATGCTCAGTATTCTGGCTTTCTTCTTTGGGCACAGGGTAGATTGTACTTACCTGTACCTTTGAAATTGGGTCTGACTATATGAGCTGCTTTGGCCAAAGAAATGTGAGTGGAAATAACACATGACATTTCTAGGTGAAAGCCTTTGAAAAGTGACTCACCATGTTCTCTTTTTCCCTGCTACAATGATGAGCTATGTTCTGGATAGTGCAAGTTCATATGCTTGTGTGTTTAGAGGACTGATATGGAGGAAGGCCTATATGCAAATTATGACTCCATTATTTTAATATCAATACCTCTTATATTTCTGATTTTCTAAATCCTTATTATAGTGCATATATTATCTGAATCTCTGACCCCAAACACGTGTCCCTCTGGGGAGTAATGTGGATAGCACTGGTCTCCCTAGGAGGCTGGTAATGAGGCACGAGGGCATTTGGTGCCTGGATAAAGGTGGCAGAATAAGGAGCTTAGTATTATAGATACAAGGATACCTATTTCTCCTTTTCTCTTCATTTTTGGGCTTTGAAAATTAGACAATCAAGCATTATAGGAAACAACAACAGTATCCAACTCAGAATTCCTGCTGGCTATTTTCACCTTGGCACATCCAGTCTGCAACCAGCTTCAAGTGCTCATGAAACAGACATCAGAGTATTTTTCTACTTTTTGAAACCTACCACATTACATCTTAAGTGACTTACTTGATAAGACTTATATTTAGGGTTTTTTTGTCTGTTTGTTTTTATTTTCCCCCATCTCAAAATTAGCTAAGCATGAAGATGAAACAGATTTCTGTATGAAGACTAAAATCTCAGGAAGAGGTGCTGAATTACAAAGGGAGTTTAGTTAGTTAGTTGATGAACCATGGTGGGTGCCAGCATGTAGGCACATCAGATTTTACAGGCTACATCTTTGTGTCTTGCCTGTTGAGAAGGCATCCCAGCCCAGGATATATCCTCCAAAAGGAAAGGGAATTGGACTCTAACTGGGCAGCAATGAGAATAATTTCTTTGAATGTTACACCATTTACTTGTCAGTGTGTGGTGAGCACTCAGCTTGACTGTAATGACCACAGGATCCTGAGTTATCTGCACCAGCTGCTCAACCATGTTTTATTTTGGTGATCGAAATCCTAGTTAAAAGTATCCTAGTTGACTAATGAAGGTATTCTAAACTTACATAAGTAACTGAGTCCTAGCAATATATTCAAATGTCAAATTTAGGGATGTTGACATTTTAGATTACTTTATACATCAAATGATTTATCTGAAATCAGGAAACAACCACTTATAATACCTCAGATTGTATCGATAATAGTTTTAGATCACTCTATTTTTATACATTTCTGGGCACAAAACATGATCAAAATAATGTGGGATGTAACTAAAACATTTCTCTCCATTCACACTCTTCTACTACATTAAATTTATGTTTAAAATGGCTGGAAGGTGAAAGAGGCAGAATCCTTTAAGGAGAATGCCCTTAGCCAGAATCCCAGCTTCCATCAAGCAAAACAAAACAATGGCTGGGAGTAGATGGGTGTTTAATGACTAAAATCTTCAATAATATATGGGCAATAACAAATAATAGTGATCATGAGAAATTGTTTCCTGATTGTGTGATACACAGTCATGTGCAGGGTGGCAGTGACGACACGTGGTCCAGTATTTCATGGCCTTTTTTTGTGTAACAGTATGTGCAAGGTGAGAAAGCCTACAGGAAACGAGCGACATAGAGCGGCCACATAGGCAAAGTGGAGGCTTTTTTTTTTTTTTTTTTTTTTTTTAGGAGGCTGGATTTTCCTTCTCAGTCACTGGCTTGATAATTAGAGCCAGCAGCAGGAGGCAAATTAAAGCCTTATTGGAAAATTCTAAATAGGTAGGTGTTTGTGGGTTTTGGATATTTCTCCAAAGCCCTGAAGCAAGACTGAAATGTGGGAGCAGGCATAAGCACGTCTTCCCACCAAGCCAGATACATCCTTTAGCAGCTCTCAAAGTTCTTAAAAACCATAATGCTGCCATAGAGAATGAGGTCTGCATGACTTCTGATTTTAAAAAAGAGCAGACGTAATGAGTAATAACAATTGAAGTCGAAATTCTGTGACTAAGATTCTTGTATGTGGTCTTGTATTTCTTTAACTCTTACTCCACAAGGCATTTTCTTTTAGAATTAAAACATAAATGTACACAATATCTACTTAATGTGATTATTAAGAGTTTCTAAATAGAAAAAACCCCAGCAATATTGCATGGAAGTACTTGCCTTAAATGGATGAGTTCTCTGTTTTCTGTAATTGAAATGACCAGCTGGGGCTGGGACTGTAAAATCTAAACAAGCATTACTGTCCACCTAGTGACAATGGCCCCAATCTCAGCATGAGATTTTGAAGGAACTAACTTGCTAACTTTAGAGCAGTGGTTCCCAAACTTCTTCCTGACTCCAAACTCTTAAAGCTGTAACATCTGTTAGGAGGGACTTTCTATATTCATTAAAGTTTATTCCAGTTCGTTCCAGTAAAAGTCTTGCTATACCATGGCAGGGGTGGGGGAAAAGATATCTGGAGGGAATGAGGAAAGTGTGGTTTAAAATATTTCTTCTTCTTGCACTGAGATCACTGGATTAAAGAATGAGTCCTGCAAAAAACAATTTTATATGTGTTAATTCCTCAGGTGTTAAGCATATATTAGGAGAAAGAGCTAAAACATAGAGGTATTGCCTATGAGGCAAGGATGCAGGCAGTTTTGGTGATATGATGCAGCTACAAAGAGAAGATGGTGCTTGATCTATTATTATCCTTTTTATGTCACTGATTTTTGTTTTTGTTTTCTACTTGAACATTTATTGAGCAGTTATCTTTTCATTCTTGAGTCTACTGAAACAAACATGCCGCATTTTGTTTTACATAAAAGGCACATACCATATATAATGTTTAGGATTTTTTTTCTAGTCACTTAACAATATATTTTAGAGCTACAACAAAACTACTTCATTCTTCCTTTATGGCTTTATAGTTTACTACTGTTGTAAATGTTCCAACTATGTTGTCTATGAATGGAAAACTGTTTTTTTAAGTTTTCTCCTACTAAAAAAAGTATTATAATAAATGTCTATGTATCTACATCTTTGCTGTCCAAAGAGATGGGCATTTAGAAGTTTGGCAGATTTTACCCAATTCTTGCTCAAAGAAGTTTTACTAAATTGTGTTCACACCCACAGTGTATGAAAGTGAATCTCTGCCTCCTTGGCTGTGGTATATTGTCATTTAAAAAATCTCCATCCATCTTATGGGTGTAAAAAATGGTATTTCACATTCTCATTTACATTTTTTAAATTATGCATGAGACTGATTATATTTATAATTTTTCTTAACTTTTGTTTGAAGTTCAGGGGTACATGGGCAGGTTTGTTATATAGGTAAATGTGTGTCATGAGGATTTACTGTACAGATGATTTCATCACTTAGATATTAAGCCTAGTACCCATTAGTTATGTCACTTTATTCTTTGATTGCTTTCCTATTATTAAAAAAAAACTAATAGATCTTTGTTATAAAAAGGTTGTTCAATATAAAATACTGTGAATCTCTCCATTACATGGAGCTACTGATTACAGTTCATTTTATATTTGCCCAGACATCTCTTTTCTGGAATATGTATCTATTCGTGTGTTTATGCATACATGTTTTTCTTACACATGTACTAATATATATTAATATGCAATTACTCATTTGTAACTTTGATTTTTTTACCAAAATATGATCATACATTTGTGTTTTGCTTTTATTCACTTAGCAATTTTATTAAAGATGTCTTTCCTTATTAGTACTTACATAGACCCACCTTATTCTTTTAAAATGGCTGTGTTGTTTTCAATAATATAGAAGTTTCATAATATATTTAACTATGCCCTTATAGATGGGCATTTTGGTTCTTTCCCTTTTTCGTTGCTGTTATAAACAAAGATTTGGTGCATATCATTCTGTGTATATTTGTATATCTATGTATTTGGTGTGAGAAATTCTGTAGGATAGTGAAAAACAGAACCTATGATTCAAAAGAGTACTTATTTTTAATATTGACACATATTGCCAAGTTATTCTAACAAAATGGCCATAGTGATTTATATTTTCCTTCAACAGTGTATGAAAACACCATTTTCTTACATTTTTATCAACAGTTGGTATTACTAATCTTCAAAAATTTTTCCAATATGATGGATAAAATTATATCTTGTTTTCATTATTTTGATTATTGGTGGAGTTGAATATAATTCTATATATTTCAGGCCATGTACACTTCATCTAAGTGAATTGTTGCTCATTTTTTCACTTTATTTTTTTTTCTTTTTTCTTTTTCTTTTTTTTTTTTTTGAGACAGAGTCTCGCTCTGTCACCCAGGCTGGAGTGCAGTGGCGTGACCTCAGCTCACTGCAACCTTCATCTCCCAGGTTCAAGTGATTCTCCTGCCTCAGCCTCCCGAGTAGCTGGGATTATATAGGCATACACCACCACACTCAGCTAACTTTTGTATTTTTAGTAGAGATGGGGTTTCACCATGTTGGCCAGACTGGTCTCAAACTCCTGACCTCAAGTGATCCACCCGCCTCAGCCACCCAAAGTACTGGGATTACGGACATGAGCCATCGCATCCGGCCCTTTTCATCCATTTTTCTACTGGGGCTTTTATATTTTCTTAGTAATGTATTATGGCTCTTAACCCTTTGACTGTTATGTCACAGGTATTTTTTTCCCCCAGTTTTCTTTTGGCCTTCTAATTTTGTTTAAGGTTTATTTTTTTTTTCTGTAAGAATCTGACATTTTAATACATTTAAATCTGTCAATTTTTCCCTTTATGGCTTTTGAATTCTATTTCATGCTTATGAATCTCTTTTCTGTCTCAAGATTTTAAAAGTATGCCTTATTTTATCATTGAAGTTTTATATTTAGATAATATAAATATTTTGATTTTTAGAAATTTAGATTTCTAGTTACACTGGAACTTTTTCTGATTGATTCAAGTAGGAATGTAATTAGACTTCTTAAATATGAATAACCTGTTGTTTCAACACCAGGGGACACATCCTCTATTCTCTGTCACGGTGTAGGATAGTTCATCCTTTCCTAGTGATTTGGAGTATCTATCCTACACTAAAACGTTACATACACATAGATATGCTTCTCTACTTTTTATTCTGTTCTGTGATTAAAATAGTACTATACTGTTTTAGTTATTTTAAGGTATATTTTCTTAACTGAGAAGGTAAGTCCTCATTTTCCCCCCAAAATGTTTCTGCCTATTTTTCCACACTTATTCCTCCAGAGGCTTTTCATTTTAAAATATGGTAGTGATAATCTCAGAGGCAGTTTTCTTGGTCCAACCCTTGTAGTTCTAGTTTTCTAGCCTTTCTTTCAAGCATTATCATGTCTTGAATAATAATGGGGAGAAAGAGATACAGCCTTCCTTCTGTCTGCTAATTAATGCCTTCCCAGGACACTTTTCCCTGTGCCCATCATTCAAGTAGTCTTAGCCCTGAGATCCTGTAAATTTTTGTCCCAAGTACTTATTGCTGCATGATAGACTACCCCAAACCTTTTTGTTAATGGGCCAGTTGGGACCATTAACAAATAAATAATAAATAAATTTTTATCTATTACTTTTCGAAACAGGGTCTTACTATATTACCTAGGGTGATCTCAAACTCCTGGGCTCAAGTGACTTCCTCCCTCAGCCTCCTGTGTAGCTGGGATTACAGGTATGCATTACCACTCTTGGCTCTATCCCAAACCTTAGTGGGTTAAAGCGATAAACATTTTATTGCATGTTATAACTTTGGGGTCAGGAATCAGGGCAGAGCTTAGCTGGGTAATTCTTTTATTTTACATGATATGAACTGGGGTCAGCCAATGCTAATCTGCTGGTAACCAGTCCAGTCTACTGGGTCCATGGTGGTTTCACTCATATGCCTGGGTGCCTTTGGTGGGAATGGCTGGTAGCCTGGGTTAAGCTGGATCCCGCTTCCTATGCTTGTGGTCTCTTCAGCGGGATAGTTGGACTTACATATCTGTTCAAGGCTCCAAGAGTAGGCATTCAAAGACATAGGAAGTGGAGGCTGCCATTCTTTGAAGATCTAAATTTCCAAACTGGCACCACATATCCGCAAGATACTGTTAGTCACAGCAGTTACAGAGCCTGCCCAGATTCAAGGAGTGAGGGCATAGACCCCCACCTCTTAATGGGAAAAGTGTCAAAGAATTTGCATATGGCAGTTTCTAATGATTACTTTGTGCATGCTTCCATGGCATTTAGAACCTAAAGTCAGACCATGCGATGACTTTATTGTTTTATGAACTCCAGAAATGTACATATACAATTTATATGAGTGTGTGTGGGTGATGATATGGGGAAATTAGAATTCAGACAACCTGATCCTTGAAAACAATTGGTTATCACACAGTGACTGTTGACTGACCGTTAGTCTGACTTGTGTTTTTCAAAATGTCCTTGTCAAGTAGAGCTCAGTTGTCTGGAGCACTGAGCCTGTGAGCCCAAAGCCAGCGTGTCCATCCCCACGTCAGACTAGAAAACTGCTGTCGTTCTGGCCCTGAGTTTACCTATCTGCCATTGCATGTGTGGGTGTGAAGTGACAACATGACAGATGATTATTGTAGGGAAAAACAAGCCCAAGTTCTTCTGCACTTGGGTCTGAGGTGTCATCTTAGTGCATAAAAATCATAGGTTCACATTGCATGTATTTTGCATATTTGGAGACTCTAGTAGAAAACTACGTTTTAATTAATTTCTTTTTACAAGTAGCTTTGTATGTTCTCAGGCATATGGAAATGGGGAAAACATTTTTTTAACACTTTTTATTCTCATTCACCCAAAAGTGATATAATTTTCCTTTTATTTCAAAATCTCTGTGTTTTCCAGCCTGGGCAACATAGCAAAACCTTGTCTCTACAGAGGTAAAAAATGAAAAAATTAGCTGAGTGTGATCGTGCACACCAGCAGTCCTAACTACTTTGGAGGCTAAGGCAGGAAGGTCACTTGAGCCCAGGAGTTTGAGGTTACAGTAAACTATGATCATGTCACTGTACTCCAGCCTAGGTGACAGAGTGAGGCCTTATCTCAAAAAAAAAAAAAAAAAAAAAAAAAAGTCTGTGATTCATCATTTACTTTAGGTTGCTCATAATATTATTTGCTTTTCTCTTGACTATTGGCTTAAAAAATCATATGTACTTTCACCAAAGAACAGGTTCTCAAACAGATAACGAATTGTGTCTTTAACCTGAGAAAATTAAAATGCTCTGTTCAGTGAGTCAAAAGTTTTATTCTCAATGCTACCTTTCTTGCTGTTATCAATATAATAGAGAATGTATTGCATATCAGTGGTACATGTGATCCTCTTAAACTGTGAAATTCTATTTTAGTGTAGATTCCCTATCCTTCCATATGGCCTTGAAGTGTTGCAGGACAGGGGGGCCCCAAAATTGAGGCTCTGCCCAGGAAGTTTCTTTATTTTGCCCAGGAAGAAATTCAAAGGCAAGCTGGTGGTGAAAGAAAACAGCTTTATTGAGGCAGCAGTATTACAGCTTCATGATTGCTCTTGCAGAGCAGGGTCACCCCATAGGTAGTGCAGCAAGAATAGCAGCTCAAGGGCAGTCAGGCAGTCACATTTATATCTGCTTTTAATTACATGCAAATTCAGAGGCAAGTTATTCAGAAATTTCTAGAAAAGGGTTGTAACTTCTGGGTTGTTGTCAGGGAATGGGTGAACTGTCATGGCTTTGGTGGGCATGTCAGCCAGTCTTCAGTCTGGTCCAGAGTCGATCCCTGCCTCCTACTTCAGAAATAGGAAGGCAAGACCCTTTGTGCAACAGATGTAAAGAATGATTTATCTCAACTGAGAATGGGAAGTCCCATTCTTGTGTCCCCACATCTAGCCTGCTCTGGCTCATAGTAAATACTCAATAAATATTTATTGAGTCAATGGCCAGGGCAATGATTTGAATGTACTGATCTATTTCCAGCCTTTTGTTTGCCCTATTGAACCCCATTGTCTCAGAACATGCTGTGATAATAGACTACTCTCAGGTTCTGAGAAAAACGTGAATGTTCTGTTCTAGCAACATTGCAAAAGGATGTTGTAATTGCTGTAGGCAGCGCCCTTTGGAGGCCTCTCTGGCATACAGAAGCCCGAAAGCAAAAATCAAAGAAATGATTGCTTCCTGTAATTATTTTTGTAGCCATGTTGCTGAGTGCGACACATGCATCTCTCTCTTTCTCTACAGAAAGGCACCTCCCTGGGCCTGGTGGGTATTGATCACAATATCCCTGCCCAGGATTTATGTCAATGGATGTGTGAAAATCACTGATCCCATAACAATTTTGACATTTATGTAGGGATAATTGCTGCCTCCTTTTTGATCTTAGATAATCTTTACTATCTGAGGCATACTCTGGGTGCATCCAGGTCTCTGTGCCTTTAAGTCCAATGGGGCTGGCTTCATATACTCATGTTGATTTAATTTCTCATCTTTCTCCCCAGGATCCTTTTCTTTCTTGATATATTGGAAATACCACTTTTATTCTGTATTATAGTTACTCATTCCTTCTCACATTCCTACACACCTTTCCCTGTTGGACTCTCATGCCCCTTTCCTCCCCAGCCTTCAAGAAAGACAACATCAAAGCCAGTCACTCATGGAAAAATGCCTGTTCCTTTAGAAGGGGGGACACAAATTCAAATGTAGTCAGAGGCCAAGCAGAAAATGAAAATGAGGGAAACATGTAGGTGTAAAATTAAACAATAGGAAGTAGAGGGGCCTGGGGTTAGACTGAAGAGGTTATGCCCTCTGTATCAGAATCTTATTTTTAAGGCCAGGGAGGCCAATCAAAATGTGTCTTTTGGGTGAATCTGGCCAGTTCTCCCTGTTGAATCTATAGAGCACTGGATGATCTCAAAGGGATCCTCTTGAGACCTTTAAATAACGTATGTCACTATGGCATATAATTTCCCCCATAAAATGCCACAAAGTATGTGAAAATTTTAAGTAGACCCTTCAGTACTAACAAAAATATGATAGTACAACTAAGTTGGCTAGGGACACTCAGCCTCACAATTTGAATTGGTATCTCTACCAAATCATAAATTACTGTGTGTAATAAACCAGTGGGTTGCTTGCAAATAGTCAAAACTATTACTGATAAATCATTCAAATGCTAAGGAGGTACTAGCTTCCTTTTTATCCTGCCACTAGATCTTTATACATGTTGTTTCCCTTGAAGGAATGTTCTCCCCACCGCTACCCTGAACCTTCCCTAACCTCTTATTAACTCTAACTTATCTTTTCTACCTTAGCTAATATTTTTTGCATCTTCAGGGATATCTTCCCTGATTCTCTCAGCCTAGAACCTTCTCACTTTGATTTGTGGTATTTACACTTCATGAGGGTGATTATTTGATGAAGTCTGTCTTGGCTGCTAGACTGGCATGCGTGTGCTCACTATTTTATCCCCAGTCCAGTGCCTGCTCCATGGTGCTAGTTCTGCACTGAACCTTTCCCTATTGTTGAATAAATGAATAAATGAATTTTCTGTAGACATCTTTTTTTTTTAATTTGAAGTTTTTGGATTTTCTTTTTTGAGGTGAAATTGACATAGTATAAAATTAACCATTTTAAAGTAAACAATTTAGTGACGTTTAGTACATTCACCATGTTGTGCAACCAACACCTCTGTTTAGTTCCAAAACATTTTCATCACCCCAAAAGGAAACAGTGTACTCATTAAGCAGTTGCTCCCCATTCCCTATTTCTCCCAGACCCTGGTAACTATCAATCTGCATTCTGTCTCTATGCCTCTACCTATTCTGGATATCTTATATAAGCGGAATTATACAATGTATGGCCGTTTGTATTTGGATTTTTTCACTTAGCATAATGTTTTCAAGGCTTATGCACATTGTAGCATGGATCAGTACTTATATCCTGACTGAGCTATGACTGAATAATATTCCATTGATTTATAAACACAATTTGTGTATCCATTCATCCATTGATGAACATTTGAGCTCTCGACGAAAAGCGTCAAACTCTGTAAAATATTTGAAGAGATTTATTCTGAGCCAAACATGAGTGATGATTGCCCGTGACAGTGCCCTCAGGAAGTCCTGAGAATCTGTGCTCAAGGTGACTGGGGTGCAGCTTAGTTTTATACATTTTAGGGAGGCATAAGACATCAATCAAATACATTTAAGAAATACACTGGGCTGTGCGCAGTGGCTCATGCCTGTGATCCCAGCACTTTGCGAGACCGAGGCGGGCGGATCACCCGAGGTCAGGAGTTTGAGACCAGCCTGGCCATCGTGGCAAAACCTCATCTCTACTAAAAATACAAAAAATTAGCTGGGCATGTTGGTGGGCACCTGTAATCCCAGCTACTTGGGAGGCTGAGGCAGGAGAATCTCGCTTGAACCTGGAGATGGAGGTTGGAGTGAGCCAAGATTGTGCTACTGCACTCCAGCCTGGGCGACAAGAGCAAGACTCCATCTCAAAAAAAAAAAAAAAAAAAAAAGAAATACATTGGTTTGGTCCAGAAAGGCAGTACAACTTGAAGGTGGGGGATGGTTCCAGGCTATAGGTAAATTTAAACATTTTCTGGTTGAATATGTCTAAAGACCTGGGATTAACAGAAAGGAATGTCTGGGTTAAGATAAAGGATTGTGGAGACCCAAGTTCTTATTTATCAGACTTAAAGTCTGTGTTAATGTTAACGCCAGAGATGTATAATGATGCATGTTAGACCCCCCACTTCCCATCATGGCCTGAAACAGTCTCTCAGGTTAAATTTTAAAAGAGCCCTGACTGAGGAGGAAGTCCATTCAGATGGTTGCGGGGCCTTAGAATTTTATTTTTGGTTTACGGGGCTGTTTCCACCTTTTGTCTATTGTGAATAGTGTTACTGTGAACATGCATGTGTGTATGCTTGTTTGAATACCTGTTTTCAGTTCTTTTCACTATATATCTGGGAGTGGAAATGCTGGGCGATTCTGTGTTTTAGCCTTTTGAAGAACCACCACCAAACCATTTTCTACAGTAACTGCACCATTTTACATCCCTACCAGCAATGTATGGGAGTTCAGATTTCTCCACATTTGCTCCAACACTTTTTGTTTTCCATTTTATAGCCATCCTAGTGGGTGTAAAGCGATACTCCTGGTGGTTTTGATTTGCATTTCTCTGATGACTAATGGTGTTTTAACATGTTTTCATGTGCTTCTTGGCTATTTGTATACCTACTTTGAAGAATGTCTATTCATGTTTTTTGGCCACTTAAAAATTTAACTGTTTGTGTTGCTGAGTTTTAAGATTTTTTCTAATATATTCTGGATACTAGATCCTTATCAGATATATGATTTACAAATATTTTTTCCTGTTTTGTGGGTTGTCTTTTTACTTTCTTGGTGATGTCCTTTGAAACATAAAAGCTTTAAATTGTGATGACATCCAGTTTTTTTTTCTTTTGTTGCTTGTGCTTTTGGTGTGTCATACCTAAGAATCCATTGCCAAGTCCAAGGTCATGAAGATTTACCTCTATGCGTTCTTCTAAGAGTTTTATGGTTTTATTTCTTATATTTAGGTTGTTGATCCATTTTGAGTTAATTTTACATTTGTTGTAATGTGTGGGTCCAACTTCGTCTTTTGTGTCTGTATATGCAGTTTTCCCGGCACCGTTTGTTAAAGAGACTATTCTTTCTCCATTGAATGGTCTTGGCAACATTGTCGAAAATCAATCAAATATATGGGTTTATTTCTGGACCCTCCATTCTATCCCATTGATCTGTACGTCGCTTCTTATGCCGGTAATCACACTACTTTGATTGCTGTTGCTTTGTAGTAGGTGTTGAAATAAGAAAGTGTGAGTGCTCTTTTCTTATTTTTCAATATTGCTTTTCGCACGGGGTAACTTTTTATTTGCTCCTGACTATGTCTTATTTCTTTGCACAACCTCTTCTACCACTCACAGAACCAAGTGTCCTAAGATGCACGTTTCTTCAAGGTTTCATCTTTTCTCACAGTCACAAATGTGTCTAGACTACAGTTCAGGTTTGTTGTGATTTCATGATATGACTACTTTAAGACTGGTCTGGGACAGGGTAAATTGATAGAAGGGAGCTGAAATGTGACATGAGCATCCTTCTCTGACTCATCCAGACAGCGTTTACTTAATGGTCCATTTACTTATCTATGAGCACTGAGTGTGAGAATGGCTCCCCTAATATTTAGTACAGCTCCTGGCTTTTAGTAGGGGATGACTGTGCCTATTTAGTGTATTGCTGAACAAAGAAATCCCTGACTAAATGTGAGTAGATGTCATGTCATTGCCTAGGCAAGGGTTCTGACCCCATTGACAAAGGACTTGCTGGTGGTGTTAATAAACCAGTTCTTAAATTGTGATCTAAGTTTGATCTGAACCAAGAGGCAAATGCCATCAAAGTGAATCCTGCGTGGAAGGCTGGTGGGAAGGAATAGAAATGTTTATTTTGCAATTAGCTAAGGATAAGGGACACTTTTCTGATTATTTTGCTTGGTAGCTCTGCAGACCACTGTTCTAACCACATTCACTGAGGGTTAGAGGCCAGTTGAAATCACTTCCGTTTGGTATCCAGGGAAATCACACCTACGTACAATTTTGGGGGCATGTTTCCCTACAATTATTGTTTGAATTCTGGTTACACTTAAAGCTGATGAGTTTCTTGGTGCCTTCTATGGAGTGCTGATTTTCACCTACATACCTGCAAATGTTTCTAAGTTACACATAGAGGAACTATTTATATTTCATTTGTGATATAATCATGGTGTTTTATTTTCTTAACCATTATGGAATTGAAGGACCTAGACAACTGGGTATCTGTTTTAGACAAATGTAATAAATGCATTAGCATTGCCCCTTCTTCTACTCCCAGTAATTGGCATTCCTGCTTTCTAAATTTGTGATTTTTTTGACTGTAATAAGAAATAAAATATTGCACTGTTTGGCACTTTGAAGTTGGCCTGCCTGGGTTGTTCACCTTAATACTTAACATCCTTGAGATAGTTATTTCACCTTTCTCAACTTCGTTTTCCCCCTCTGTAAAATAAGGGTTATGACCTTTCCCTTGAAGGGGAGTAATATGGATTATGTGAGGCATGTAGATAACATGTATGGCCAAGTGCCAAACATAGTGCTCAGTAAGTACATGAAAGCTCCCCATATACATACTAAAAAAAATAAATAAATAAAGGTTAGGGGTTGGGGTTAACCTTAGAAAAATGATTCCAGATGAAGAGAGGGAAAAACCTACAGCTGAGCCCATCTTCAGGGCCAGCCTTGGTCTATGTCTAATCTTGCTGCTCTCTGATCCAGTGATAGCATCTCTGCACTTGAACACTCAAAATGTTCCTGAAAGGGACCTACATTATTCAGATATGCAGCCAGCCACCTGGACCCTAGAATCAGTTTTAATGTCAGCAAGCATGATCTCTTCAAAATGCTCCTTTGAGAATATCCTGAATTCATTTAGTATTGTTTCCCCCTCTTCTGACAGGGCCTCTCTTCCTCTTTCCACGCCCACCTCTTGGCCACCCTCTCATCCCAGCAGCTGCAGGCAAGATTTCTCTCCAGCTGTCCATCAAGTCTTCAAAAGCCAGCCGGAATGTAATTGTAATCTATTTTCCACCCCTCAATAGTAGCGGGTGAAACACACACACAGACACACACACACAGCTCAAAATTGCAAGGAGAAGGGAGCCAGAGCTACCTCATGACTCACACACAGCCCTGCATGGATAATTACTGCCATTCATTACTGGCCCAGGAAAGAAAACAAGGGTCCAATTGGGTTTTCGTGAACCACAAGGCTGACAAGTAAGAGGGGGAAAGAAGGGGACTGTGCTCCCTCCCTACAGCCCCCCTGCCAATGCCATTTTCAGAAAAGTAACATCCTGCTGGCCTTCTATTCCTGGCGCACATCTTTTATTATGTTTATTTAGTGTGCAGTTTAGAATTGATACTGTGGCCAAATTCTGCCAAGCACCTCTCCCCAGAAGGACCTTGAGCCAGGTCCTTCTTTGCCTATTTTGCCTATTTTCCTGTATGAGGGCAAAATAGGCTCCGTTTCATTAATTCATGTATATGTTCAACCAACAGTTTGCATGAATTCACAGAAAAGAGCTAGATTCTGTAGGAAATGTCCAAGCTGCATTCATCTCAATGAAGTGTGTGTGATTTGCTACCCACTGTAACCCCTGCCTAGTAACATCTCTTGCAGCCATACTAGGGTGCCATGTGCTGGCTCATCCCACTGAAAGCATTCTGTCCCTCCTCTGAATTCCCTTGGTTGTGCTCTCATCTTATCACCTTTCATTAGATCTTTAATTGTTGTGGACAGAAAACATCACTAAGAAAGGGGTAGTATATACAAAAATACATCTAATCAGCTTTCAGCAGTTTTTTATATTATTGGTGGGAAATTCAATTAAACTGTATTGAATGAATGAATGATCAAATAAAGAACTATGTATTTTAAACTAAATGTTTTGTGATGGCTATGGGGAGAGGCAAGTCCTAATGAAACAATAAGATTTGGGTTAGTTGGCAGAGATGGAAAGTCCTTCTAGAATGGGAAGTGTTGGAAGAAAAGCATCTTGTGCTGGTGCTGGGAGTGAATCTCTAGAATTAGAATACATAGAAGACTACGCTACAGCTGTATTACTCAATGTTGTATTTCTTACTCAGCATTACTCAGTTTTGTGCCCACTATGCTACTCAAGACTGGTCCATCAGTATCCACGTATTTCATTTGGCAACAGTCATTCTTGGCAGGAGCTCATTAAGTGTATGGACTTTGTACTGGGTGATTACGGACCCAATTGACATTTTTAGGACTATCAAGTTTTGCTTCAAATTACAGGCATCCTGTTGTTCTTAATGTTTTATTCTGTTGGTTTATGATTCTCACAAATCAGCACACAATTCCCTATTTCTTTCGCTTCTGAAAAGACTGAAGCTTTAGGAATTAGAAGCAGCATTTAACTTATGATTCCTGAGAGTCTGCATTATTTTGCAGACTGATTGACTGATTTCTCAGAAATGTGTCATACCATGTCAGAGATAATCTGGAGAATTAGTGACAGTGAAGAGACATACAATTTACTTATAATTCTTTTTTTTTTTTTTGAGGCAGTCTCGCTCTGTTGCCCAGGATGGAGTGCAGTGGCACGATCTCACTTGAACCTCCGCCTCCAGGTTCAAGTGATTCTCCTGCCTCAGCCTCCTGAGTAGCTGGGATCACAGGCATGCACCACCACACCTAGCTAATTTTTGTGTTTTTAGTAGAGGTGGGTTTTCACCAAGTTGGCCAGGCTGGTCTTGAACTTCTGACCTCAGGTGACCCGCCTGTCTCAGCCTCCCAAAGTGCTGGGATTACAGGTGTGAGCCATCGTGCCCGGCCTTATAATTCTTAATAATAGGGGTAATTTTAACTATTGCCTATTGAATGTTTACTTCATGTTTGACAGTGTTAAATGTTTTACATGAATCATTTTATTTAACACTCATTTGATTTCTGTAATATATGTACCATTGCTATCGCATTTTACATATGATACAACTGAGGCTTAGAGGAGTTAGGAAATTGCCCAGGCTGATGAAGATAGTAAGCACTAGAACTGGAATATGAACCCAGGCAATCTGACTTCAGAGCCCACACTCTGCAGGCTCTCCTAGCCTTAGCTTATCTCTGTGACTGGAACCCTGATCCTGACAGATATCTGGAAAAAATCACATTCTTTGTCTCCTAGGATCTAGGCAGATCAATGCAAATGTGATCTCAAAATGACACATGTCTGGGCTATTTCAGAGATGATTCCAAAGCTGATTTAGTGGATTATTTTTTACTGGCATGATTACTATTGATTGTTATTGTGTTCTTAGATGAAATAATTGGCCTAGTATTCCATATTCCCATATCTCACAGTGTTATGATCTTCAAAACTTCAGCCATACATGCATATGCATATAGACACATATAAATGTGTGTGTATTAATGAAGTATATGTACATATGTGTGTGTATTAATGAAGTATCTGACTTTAAAAGCTAATTAATTATTTTAGATATAACAATTTACTGAATTATTTCCAAATTACTCTGAAACCAAGGTATTTCTAGGAAAATCAGCTGAAGTTCTTAAAATGGTCTTTAAATGAATCATTTCCTCTTCCAAAGAATTTGTTTTTGTTCCTAAGAGCAATTTTCCCTCACTGCATCTTCTGAATACTCATAAAATCTTCATTTTAAAATCTGAAAAGGTCATCTTATCTACCCACTTATGCCTGGGCAGGAAATCTTAGAAGATCATATTACTGTTTTTAATGACCTATGGAGGATGCCATGCCACCTATTTTGGCAGTTTATTGCCTTTCCTAATAATCTAGCTAGTCAGCAGGTACTTCCTGATGTGTGAACAAAATGTCTTCTGCTGCCTTGGCTTATTCCATTTGATGGTCATGAGACTAATGTTATCTTATTCATGGTCCTTTTCCTAAGGCCAGAAAATCACAGTATCTATAACTCAGTCGATAGTTATGGTCACATTCTAATTCCTTAAGTGCCTCCATCTTGAACAGTCCTCTGAGTCCCAATTGTTGTAATGTGGGTGAGGTGCTGTGAGCATGCCATCTGTTTGCGAGAATGGTGCCACTGATGGCTACACATTTGACACTGAAGATGGCACTGCTCATCTAAATCAAAATTTGGGACCTATAGAAGCTGGCTGCAGACACCTGCATTGACTCTCACTTTGTAAAGAGATGTGGCCATTGGATGGAAACATGAGCCTGGAGTGTCATTTGTATTGCATTTTTGTTTATTGAGGATAACTGCTATACTCATCTTTGTATAAAGCATGGAAGTAATAGGATCAAATTAAGAAAAACTACTTAGATGGAATAGCAGGGAAGTTTCCCTAATGAAAAGATCTGATAGACCATGGAATAGCCTTCCCCAGGAAGGCTGGTCTCATTGAGATGTGGTTATTACCGAGAAACCAAATAGTCCCCCACTGGATGCATCTTGGGCGATTTGCATTTTGGTTTGTGACTTTGATTTAATTGGAAAAGTATCTCACATCTGTTGTTGACTACATAAGTCTGTTTCCCAAATTCTAGTTATGTCACAGTTGCCTAGCGAACTTGTTAAAATGCAGATTCCTGGGCCCTGTTCCCAGAGGTTCTGTTTCATTAGGTCTGTGATAGTCTGGGACTCTTTGTGTTCACCAAATTTCCTGGATGATTCTATGCAAAGGGCTGTAAACTCTGTTTTGAAAAACATGGAGTTAGGGCCATTTTGGGAAGATTTCAGATCTGATAGTAAGTGTATCTGTGTATTTTGATTTGTCCCTTATCCTCATCCTAATACTCTAGTTTGCCCCATCACCAGAGTCCTCTTCTGTTTGCAGATAGGAGGAAATGTTTGGTGAAAGACCGGAGGTTGCTAAGAGGAGAGTATTTCTCCAAGGAGCCCTAACCTTACTCAAGCTGGCATTCCCTGTGCTTCCCATGAGGCAGCTTACTATAGGGTAGTGTTTTTCAAAATTCTGTGGGAATTTATTCTTAAAAAGGAGGTTCCATGATCAGAGAAGTGTGAGAAACATTGTGGAAAACAAAGGTAACCAGATGCTTTACTGCAGGATTTCCTAGAGTTTTTATCGTGATAAAATCTTCACCATTTTCTAAATTTTTGGTCACAGGATTTCTCATGGGACTACTGATTCATGGGACGCATTGAAAAACTCAGTGAGTTGAAAGCAAGAAAAATTAGTTTATAACTGCTACTTTTCACCCAAATAATAGAGTGACCTTGGATATGTCCTTTATTTTCCTCAAGTTTGTTTTCTCGTCTGTGAAATAAGAGTAATCATGCCACCTTACCTAGGTCATAGGGTCATTTTGAGGATTGAATGAAATACATTTGTGACAGTGCTTTGTAAAATATAAAGCATCATTAGTTGTCATTGGGAAACTAACTAGTTGCATACAAGTTTGGAGAGTAGAGAGAGAGCACTGGACAGTTTATATTCATCTTTGCTTAGACTTTCCTTAGATTGACCAAATGGGACTGAAAAATCTGGTCTGTTTACTTCACCAGGGTTTGTCTTAATACCATGTTAATGGTTAACTAGAGATTCTCTTTTACTACTTTCTAAATTATTCCACTGACACACTGATTTAACTAAATATTATAGTCCTTAATACCTTGTAGTCAATGCAGATCCAGGACTAGGAATTGGTGGCACATGGTGAAGGAGATGTTCAGGGCTATGAGCCAATAGGATGGGGAGGGCTAGGACTGGGAAGAACTGGAAGCTAGGATGCTGATGTGGTTATTGGGCTGTACCCCATGATGTGAGTGGTCTCAAGCGAAATTTCCTTGTCTTGAAGATTTTGGCCAAACTTGGGGTCAAATAAGTAAGAGTCATATATAAGAGATCCAGTATAGTGGGTGGCAAGAGCAGAGCAGGAGGTACCTCTATGCAGAGAAGACGTATATAAATTCAGTAGCTGTGGTGCTGTAATTCTGAGTTGTTAGTGTGGGTTGGAGCTTGATGACAACTAACACCCAAAGGTATGAGAATCAAGGTCCAGACCTTCTGGAGATGAGGCCAAAAAAATCTGTGTCATGTGTCGAAATCTCACCAAGTGAGCTTAGTATTAGCCCTAGTGGTGTGACCATAGTGTAATTTAGCAAAACAATAGGGAAACCCAAATATACCTATGGAACAAGCATAGTGGAACTTGAGAAGAAAGAATAGGAAAGGCTGAAGAGGTCACATATGTGGGGCTAATCTTTCTTACCCCAGATCTCAGGTTTAGGGTACAAAACTAATTTCAGATCATGTCTGCTAGGATGACCAAACTCCTACATCAGCAGTAATAATAGCAAAAGGTTATTGGGATGCTTATTTTATGACAGGCTTTACTCTAAACACTTTATGTAGTAGCTCAATTCTCAAACTGCACTATGAGTTAGGCACTTGTAGTATTTGCATTTTCTAGGTTATAAATTTGATGTAGAGAGAAGCCAAGTAAATTGTTTTAGTTCACTCAGCTAATAAATGGTGGTGTGCAGACTTGAATTCATAAAGCTTGTCTCCAGAGCTATGTTCTTTTTCACCATTTTAGGCTGCCTCCATCCCACCCCAATGATGGTGAAAAGTATAATTGTTGAAATGAAAAAAATTAATTATGGATCTCATCAGATTTGAGATGGTAAAAGAAAGAATTAGTGAATCTGAAGAGAGATCTATAGAAATTAACCAACCTGAAGAACACAGAGGGAAAAAAAGACATTGAAGAAAAATTAACAGAGCTACAAAGACCCATGAGACACCATAATGCATTACAACATACATGTAAAGGAACTTCCAGAAGGAGGTGAGATAAATGTTCAAAATTTTGTTTAAAAAAATAAGAGGTCCAAACATTCCAAATTTGATGAAAACATTAGTCTACACAACTGAAAATCTCAACAAACCCAAAGTAGCATAAATACAAAGAGATTGAGACCTTTACACATCCTAGTTAAACTGGTGAAAGATGAAGAGAAAATCTTGAAATCAGCAAGGGAAAAATCAATTGATCATGTGCAAGGGAAGGTCAGTATGATTAATGGCTAACTTTTCATCTGAAAAGTAGAAGTCAGAAGGCAGTGGGATGACATATTCAAAGTGCTGAAAAAGTTGTCAACCAGGAATTTTTTATGTAGCAAAATTATCCTTCAAAAAAAATGAAGTTAAAATAAAGGAAACCCCAGATAAACAGAGGTTGAGAGAACTTGTTGCTAGCCAACCCGCCTTACAAGAAATACTAAAGGTTGTCCTTCAGGTTGAATAGAAATGGTAACTGAAGTCCACAGTAAGAAATAAAGAGCACAGGAAACGGCATAGATGTGGGTTAATATGAAAGATTCTTTAAATATATTTTTCTCATTTTCTCAGCCCTCCCCCGCCCCAAGTAGCTGGGACTACAAGCATGCGCCACAATGCCCGGATAATTTATTTTTAGTTTATTTTTTGTGGAGACAAGTTCTCACTGTGTTGCCCAAGCTGATCTTGAACTCTTGGGCTCAAGCGATCTTCCCACCCCAGTTCTTCCAAAATGTTGGGATTACAGGTGTGAAACACTGTGTCTGGCCAGATGCTATTTTATAATGAAAATATAAGAAGTATATTTATTTGTGGCATCACGTTCATAAAGCAGAAGCTATGAAAAATACAAGGAGATGTACATTGGTTGCAAAAGTTATTTAATGAACCTATCTCATTTTGTGAGAAATAGATTTAAAAATTAAGATAGATATAAAAATAAGCAACAGTGTATGTTTTTGTGAATGTTTCATGGGCACTTGAAAAGAGATGCATCCTCTAATTTCAAGGACAGGGCTTGAGATATCGATTGGTATACACTTAGTTTTAAATATAATTATATATTTATGATATATGTTATGTATGTCATATGTAAATATTATTTACATATATATATGTGCTTATACCTGCTATGAAGTCTACAGAGACATTCTCAAATTTCAAAAATGTAAGTAGTACAGACAACATTCTCTGACCACAATGCATTACAACTGGAAATAAACAAACAAACATAGAAAACAAAAAGTCCTTACCACCTAGGTATGAAAAAACAAAACCATCTTTAACAGGTCAGGTGAAAAAAATCAAAATGGAAATTGAAGAATACATAGAAAATAACAATTTTCAAAGTACTGTATAACCAAGCTGGGTGCAGTGTCATGCACCTGTAGTCCCAACTACTTGGGATGCTGAGGCGGTAAGATCACTTGGGTCCAGCATTTCAAGGCTGTAGTGCCCTATGATCATGCCTTTGAATAGCCACTCTAGTCCAGCCCGGGCAACATAATGATACCCCATCTGCTAAAAAAATCGAGAAACAAACAAGAAAACTCCATGTCAGAATTAATGGAAAATAGTTAAAGCAGGGATTAGAGGCAAATTCATAGCCCTGAATACCTATATTAATGATCCAGAAAGAATGAAAGCAAATGAATTAAGCTTTCCACCCAAGAAATTACAATTTTAAAAAATCTAAATAAAACATAAGAAAGGATTTAATAAAATAGAAGTAGAAATTACTGAAGCAGAATGTAGAAACATAGTAGAACCAATATATAAATCATGAGCTTTTTCGGGACAAAAATAATAAAATAGATCGTTTATTAACTAACCTAATCAAGAAAAAAGAGAGAAAGTTTAAATATACAAAAAATAAAAAGAGGGAAGTAACTACAGATACAGAGGAAGTTAAAAGAACTACTTATCTTAGTTCCTTGCGAATGAACTTGAACACCTTAATGAAAGGGTCCTTTTTCTAGGAAAATATAATTTAGTGAAAAGAAGGAGACCAGACAGACAAGAATGCAGCATTATTCACTAGTCATTCACAACTAGAGTGAAGTGAGAGAGATTACAGTTTCTTCTCAGGCATGTCTGGGACATGCCTGAATACTCAGTGTGTTTCTGATGACTTAATGTTGATGTATTTATTTTTCATCTTAATTAAGATGCAGTATCAGTGATACACTTCCCCAGTTTCTGAAAATTCTTGTGTAAATACACTTGCTGGCACTGTGTGTTCCTGCTAGAAGAGTAGGCCGGGTGCAGTGGCTCATACCTGTAATCCCAGCACTCTGGGAGGCCGAGGCGGGTGGATTTTGAGGTCAGGAGATTGAGACCATCCTGGCCAACACGGTGAAACCCCGTATCTACTAAAAATACCAAAATTAGCTGGGCGTGGTGGCACGTGCCTGTAATCCCAGGTACTCAGGAGGCTGAGGCAGGAGAATTGCTTGAACCCGGGAGGTGGAGGTTGCAGTGAGCCAAGATCACGCCACTGTGCTCCAGCCTGGTGAAAGAGCGAGACTCCGTCTCGAAAAAAAAAAAAAAAAAAAGAGTAGCAGCACTATAATATAGCACAGTTCCTCCACCTTCACCCCACTCCCACCCCAGGAAGTGACAACAGATTGATTTTTGAAAAAGAAATCTACGAAATAAACACTTATCTATTAGTCTCCAGTATCCTCCTTCCTATTTCTGTCCCCTCAAAAGGTTGCTAGGCAACCGGGTAGGAAAAAATGTCCAAAGCCCTTTTAAAGAGAAGACATGCTTACAATGTCAGAAAAATAAATGTGTGCTTGCTCAGTTAGGCCCCCTTACAAACTGCCAGGACCCGCAGCATAATCCATTCAGTAGCAATTATTGCAATTGATCTTGAGGTTGGTGAAAACAATTGGCCATATTCTGGCTCAGTGGAGACATGACCCAAGCCATCCAGGTGTGAGAGGGGGTGCTGCTGTGGTGTCTTTTGCCCTTGAAAGAGGACGAATGTTCGGTAGTTACTGCTGGGGCCTCTCTGCCCATGTGTGTGATTCTATTCTTGCAGTTAGTACGATCTCTATAAAGCCTTTGTAGCGCTCACTGTTGTTGATAACCAGTCTTCCTCAGGAACTGCTACTACATCTCCTCTGGCATTTCATATATCCACCTGACTTTAAATGGAGCCTGTCAGCCTATGCTTCTGTGGGCATTGGCATGCACATGGTCTCTGGTGATCCAGGCTCAGATTGCTCTAAGGAACTGTACAGCCTTCCTACCTGGTGTGTGTGCCAGGGTCTGCTCATGGTGACAGGTGTTGATGTTCAGCTGCTAATTTCCCCCATTAGAGACAATGTGGTAGGATCTGATGGTACAATCTGTTCATCTGAGGTCTGCCCTGATTTTTTCTGTCTAGAATATAATGCTAACTTTATGGAAACAATAAAAGAAGAAATAGATGCACAATCTGCCCTTTAAATGGTTTTGCTTTGTTGAGGAAAAAAAAATCCATAGTAGTCAATTTCTTTTTGTCTATTACAAATTTATTAACAGTGTGTCATAATTAGGTGCATGGCTTTGCCTTAGAGGACAAATGGTGCTTGTTGAACTGTGACGTTGGTCTTATTGTGGTAAAATGACCCATTTGGTTTTACCAGCTGTGACTTTGGAGGGAGCTAAATGACAGAAAACACGTAAAACTCAACAGATGAAAACATTCTCAGCTCATACTCTATCGCTGATCATTCAGCATCTCAAACAAAATGTTCTTTGGATTTGCTTGCTAGTGTCTTATAATCTGAAGAATGCTAATGCTTAAGTTGATAGGATGAACTGAAGAATAATATGCTTGAGTTGATGCTTAAGTTGATAGGATGTCAGAAGGGCAACTGGCTTATCATATCAGGCCTGGATTCCCCATTAATATGATATAAAATGCTCTAGCAGAATCTAAAGAAGTGGTGTCTCATTAATCAAGAATAAATCCCAAATGCAGAAACAAGATGGTTGTAATTGTGGACTTTGGAATTGGGCTGCCTGCATTTGAAGCTCGGCCGCACCATTACCAGCTTCTGAACTTCTCTAAGCCTCTGTTTTCTTATCTCTAAAACAGACTTGTTTATCTTCCTCATAGGGTTTATGTGAGGATTAAATCAGCACATTATTAGCACAGTGCTTTCACATAGTAAGTACTCAAGAAGTGAGTTATTATTATCTAATAACTTATTATTGTTAGCTGTTGTTATTATTATCATGAATGACTCAGGCTTCAGAAATATTAGACTGCAGAAAAATGGTCCAGCTTATAGGAAAGTCTTGGGTTCCTGACTGGACCTAAAAGAGCCAGGGGGAGACCCATGAATCAGCTCCCTTTGGCTGACTCCCTATCTTTGACTTAGCACTCATGACTGAGTTGGTGAGAAATTGGGGCCCAGAAGAAAAAGGAGTTCCCCTTTTATGGCCATGATCCTGGCAAAAGAGCTTCGAATCACGTGGACTTTCACTGGTTCCTTTACCTTTCTATGTTGGGCGAAATCCTAGAGGCAGAGCGACAGGAAAGAGTCAGAAAGGTGCCATGCCACCTGACTCTTCACTTTTTCAGCTCATACAACATTGGAATCATAGGAACGGAAACCCATAAAGAGATTAAGTCTGTATTTGTGGCCCTTTCCCCTCACTGGCCCCTTTGCTGGATCCCTTTTTCTACATTTTTATTCTTGACTGTCATTTATCCCAAGGAAGTTTTGGTCAATAAAGGTTTACAAAAGGATGCCTCACAGAACATTCCCATTTCAAATAAGGAACTTCTGGATTGAAAAACTATGAGTCTTAATGAGGAAATTTCATGCCCATCACAAGACATGTCTTTTTAAGTAGGGGAAGAGGGTTTCTATAATCTCTTCTTTATCTCTCAAATATATGCAAGTGCTCCTAATGTCGGAGGAGACTGGACTCAGTCAGTTGACGATAGCTTGAAGTTGCCTATTGCAAGCCCCAAATTGAAATTCCTTAGAAGCTGGTTTTTTGTCTTTTTTTAAAGAGCGTTGTAACATTCCTGGCCTCTCTCTGTTTTCTAATTCACTTCGTTCCTGCACTTTTCAGCGCTGAATCTACCCTTTGCTCTGCTTTGTGATGCTGGAGTGGACTTGGTGAACATTTCTTCTTTGCCATGTGGCAGATATTAAGCTTTGTCAGCAGAGGGCACTAGAAGGCCACTGCAGGAGGAAAGAACGCTCTTGCAGGTTTCAGTGTGCTTTTTCCTAATTGCTTCTGTGGCCTTTGGCTCTCAGTGGCATTTGGGACACCCTGTGGTGCTCACCCTCCAGCGAATTCTTCTGGCACCTAATCTGGTGGCTTCTCAATGAATTTCAAAGGCACCCCAGCAGGTGGTCTTATGCTTGCCAGCCCTGGCTTGTCTCACCTCAGAGAACTTCACCACGGAGGCCCATAGTGATAGCCTTTCCACTGAGGCCTGAATCTCAGGCTTGGGTTTGGGGGCAGGGGCTCTTCCAAATTTGTTTCTTCTTGGGTACTCCATCTCAGTAGAGGTAGCAGCTGCTTCCAATACCTGCTATATCTGTATTCTTTAGAACTCTCTTTACTCCTTAGTATCTAATCCGCTGTTACAAGTTAAACATTCTTTTTTGTTCTGTTTGGTTTGGTTTTTTTTTGAGATGGAGTCTCGCTTTGTTGCCCAGGCTGGAGTGCACTGGTACAATCTTGGCTCACTGCAACCTCCGCCTCCCAGGTTCAAGCAATTCTCCTGCTTCAGCCTCCCAAGTAGCTGGGATTACAGGCACCCACCACCATGTCCGGCTAATTTTTGTATTTTTAGTAGAGACGGGGTTTCACCATGTTGACCAGGCTGGTCTTGAACTCCTGACCTCAGGTGATCCACCCGCCTCAGCCTCCCAAAGTGCTGGGATTACAGGCGTGAGCCACTACGCCTGGCCTAAGTTAAACATTCTTTATATTAAATTTTCTTTGTTCAAATTTCTGGTGTGGTTTCCGTCTTTTGATTGGACCCAAACTGATAGATGCTAGAGGATGAGAAGTGATGTATGCAGATGGTGAGTTTGGGGAGGAACTGGTCGTGCATGGTCCTGCTCTTTCCCTTCTGCTTTCTTCTGGAAGTTAGCCTGCCTGCTTGATTGCTCTCAGCGTAGTTAAGCTCAGGGGCAAAGGCTGTGTTCCTGACTGAGGTACCTGTGGTGGTCCAGCCCAGTCCCAAGACTGGCCAGATAAGTCTATCTCTACCTCTGCCTTTCAGTTTGAGAAAGTCCACTCCCTGCAGATGAAAGCTACATTCTCCAAGATCAGTTCTATCTATAATAAAGGTATTATTTTGGACCTTATCTGCTGACTGTGTTCATCGTGTTCAGAATCCAGGTAGGGAGAAGTCCTGTTTTTATTGCCACTCCCCTTTCCCCAACAATTTTCATATAAAACAACTCTTTTAAAATAACTTGCCACCAGAAAAAGTGATTGATAAGCACGGCATGTTTAACCTTTGGCTTTAACTATACCCCGGCCCTCCCCCATACCACTGTGGTTTTTATCCCACCACACATATAAAGCTTTTTTTTTTTTTTCTTAAAATACTAATCTAATTGAGGAGTGATTCTACATCTCTCATTAGACACACTGTAATGATCACCTTCAAAGAGCACACTTCCAAAGAACCCATGTAAACAGTCCAGAATTTGATGATGGAAAAGCATTTAGAGAACAACATGATCTATTTGAAACACATCTCTTTAAAATAATAATTTTTTTAAAAAAATTATGCATTTACAAATGTGTGTGAAAAAGAACAGGGTTGTGGTTTCCACTCTATATGTGAAGGACCACCTAGGAAAAGGGTCGTTAGCCAGTCCTGGGGCAAGGTCTACTTCCCTGACACACTGGACAATAACAGTTGGAACTGATGATATTGCCGAGTTCTTATTGAAGGAGGAAATTAAAGAATGGATGTCAGTAAATGACCACATTGGCTCAGACAACGAGCCACACACCCACTTGTCCCCTCCATCATCTCTATTGACATGGCACCTTCTATTGTCCTTGACTTTCTCCTGCACTCTTCATGCATGGCTGAATTGCTTATGCGTCCTGTGTTTGCGTAAGGAGAGTACAGTAGAGGGAAAGGTACCCCAATGTGCTTTAGAGATAATGAGAAAATGTGATTCATGCCTTTTGTGAACACTTACATTTTGAGGTAGTGGTCAAGGATTAATAGAGCTTGGTGACACCCCCAAACCTCTGCAAGTCATTCCCACAGGCCTGGGGTAATAATACCTGATATGGGAAACATGTAATCTTCATATTCTGGGATGGCCTTTGAAGCAGATTGGTGCTGGGCTGGAAAGCCAGAGGACGTGAACACCTGTCACTTACTGACTATAGTGGTTAGGAATGGTTTATTATGAACTGGGTGATTCAATGTAGTAACTTTACATTTTAGTGATTATAGCCTAACATTGCAAATGGCATTATTTAAGGTATAGGACCAAACAGGTCATTAAGAATCAGAATCAAAAGAATCAACAAGGCTGGGTGTGGTGGCTCACGCCTGTAATCCCAGCACTTTGGGAGGCCAAGGCGGGCAGATCACAAGGTCAGGAGATCGAGACCATCCTGGCCCACATGGTAAAACCCTGTCTCTACTAAAAATACAAAAATTAGCTGGGTGTGATGGCACATGCCTGTATTCCCAACTACTCGGGAGGCTGAGGCAGGAGAATCGCTTGAACCCAGGAGATGGAGATTGAAGTGAGCTGAGATCACGCCACTGCACTCCAGCCTGGGTGACAGAGCAAGACTCCTTCTCAACAACAACAAAGAAGAATCAACAAGCTTGAAATTTAACTACAAGCTTTTGCTTTTCTCCTTACTACCTTTGGTAATTCCTTCAGTTACTGTAAAGTATCATAGTTATTAATCATAGAAGCTTCCCTTTCTTAGACAGTGGTAATCTAAGGCTGAGATGTGATCTAGGAGCATTTTGTCTTTGCTTTCTTCCAGACATTTCCCCATCTAATGTTCTCCTTACACATCTCTTCTTCTCTTCCTTTTCCCTACTTTAAGGGATTGACCCTGATTGGGAGGTGCCTTTGTGGTGGATTTAGCACTTAGCATGGATATCTTTTCTAACCTGGACGAATCTTTCACATTTAATGACGGTATAGTATGTAGCATTGTGATACTGATTTCTGTTTCATTTTCATATCATCTATTTTCTAATTATAAATGCCTCCAACTATTTCTGTAATTTTTTCAAATGTTTTCTCTAGTGGAATTATTAGCATATATATATATATACACTATATATAGTATATATATATAATGTATAAATATATATATTTGAAAGACAGTCTCACTTTGTCACCCAGGCTGGAGTACAGTGGCTCCATCTCGGCTCACTGCAGCCCCGACCTCCCAGGTTCAGACGATCCTCCTGCCTCAGCCTCCCAAGTAGCTGATACTACAGGCACCTGCCACCATGCCTGGCTAAGTGTTGTATTTTTAGTAGAGACAGGGTTTTGTTGTATTGCCCAGGCTGATCTTGAACTCTTGAGCTGAAGTGATCTGCCCGCCTCAGCCTCTCAAAGTGCTAGGATTACAGGCATGAACCACCACACTGGCCACATATGCATATTTTGAATATATCTTCGTCTGTGTCACGTATGCTGAGGTTATTACCCAGGGATACCCACCACTGGAACGAGGTAGCAGATTCTTGCAAGTGGAACCCAGCAATAAGGTTCAGTGTTTGTAGCTGCTGGAATCGAACCACTCAAGGTCACTATTTACAGTGTGTTCTATGGAGTTTTGGCCCACAGAGCATTATTCATAATCCTGTGGGACCATTTGCTGATTGCTTCCTCCTTGGCTGTAGCTCTGTTGCCCCCACTGCTCTGAAATTGCTCACTGAGCCACCCCCAGAAGATGCGGCAGTATATTCTCTCTTTGCATTCAAGTTTCTTGGAAGGATACTAAGTGTTCATTTGTCAGTGCTTTTGCCACCTAAGAGATATTTTAAAAGTTTGAAATCCCATATGACATGTGGCATATGTAAGCCATTTCAGCCTTCTTTCTAATAGTAACAAAAACAGAAACAACCTAAATGTTCACCAATACATGAACGGCTAAATAACCTATAGTTACCCACTCTGTGGAATGCCATTTAGGTATGAAAGTGATATGGATGAACTTTAAGCTGTATTACTGAATGGAAAAAAATAAGTACCAGGACATTTTTGTGGTGTATAATCCCATTTCTATTGGGATTATACTCTCAACTATATTATAAAAATTATAAAAATTAAGGCCGGGTGCGGTGGCTCATGCCTGTAATCCCAGCACTTTGGGAGGCCAAGGCAGATCACCTGAGGTTAGGATTTCAAGACCAGCCTGGCCCACATGGTGAAACACTGTCTCTACAAAATTTAGCCGGGCATGATGGCAGGTGTCTGTAATCCCAGCTACTTGGGAAGCTGAGACAGGAGAATCACTTGAACCTGAGAGGCAGAGGTTGCAGTGAGCCAAGATCGCTCCATTGCACTCCATCCTGGGCGACTGAGTGAGACTCTGTCTCCAAAAAAAAAAATACTACTACTACTAATAATATATTGTCCAATTTATATTGTGACATTTACTTACAACACAGAAAAACAGTGTGTGTGTGTGTGTGTGTGTGTGTGTGTATATATATAAAATATTTATAGCAGATGCTACAAATTCATGTAATAAAAGGTCTAAAAGAATATAACCCATACTGATAATGGGGAGGAGACTGTATAATGAGGAGGAATTTTGCTTTTTATTCTCTACATTCCACTATTGGGGATTTTTTTTTTCTCTGTCGCCAGGCTGGAGTGGAGTGATGCCATCTTGGCTCACTGCAATCTCCACCTCACAGGTTCCAGTGATTCTTCTGCCTCAGCTTCCCGAGTAGCTGGGATTACAGGTGCAGGCCACCACACCTGGCTGATTTTTGTATTTTTTTTTTTTTTTTTTAGTATGGATGGGGTTTCACCATGTTGGCCAGGCTGGTCTCGAACTCCTGACCTCAAGTGATCTGCCTGCCTTGGCCTCCCAAAGTGCTGGGATTACAGGGGTGAGCCACCATGCCCAGCCAGGGAATGTTTCTTACACTTAGATGAATCATGTATTACAATTAAATGTAAACTTTTAAAAATAATTAATTTTGAACAGGTAAGATGTGACTTAGGGAGAAAAGCAAATTTAGGAACAGCTGGGGCAAGACAGAGAGACACAGACACAGACACACGACTAACTATTCAACTTTATTAATGGGATTTACCAATTGTAATCAGAATGGCAGCTCTGTTGCTGTAGTTAATACTATCAGAACAGTTAATTACACTCAAATGTCTTGCTTTCTTGCTTTTATGAGTAAGGAAATAGAATGTTTTTTTAACACATTCCTAAGTGTTTAACTGGATGTTAACAATTGTTTCTTAGTTATTATACTTCATTCTTTCTATCTTCCTCTGTTATTCCCCTTCTCCCCTAACACCCTCCTCCCCTAGTTAGCTGATTTATGTCCCATCTGTGAACAGAGGTCCTGCTTTAAAATTCACAACTTTCAGGAAGCCCTTCTTAATTAACTGTGCCTCACTGAGAAATTTTTTACTCAGCATCTCCTTGGTGAGTGTGCTTTAATGTTTGAGGGCTTCATTTTGCACCTTCTTGAGGCATTGCTTGCTAACTGGTTTTCTGTCATTTTTTTTGCATGTATGTTCTCTTAATTCATCTTCCAAAGTAATGGACTCTTCACGAGATAAAATACAGAAGAGTGAGGTATATGGGCATTGGAGACAGAAATACCTGAATTTAAAACCTGGTTCTTCCAATTTTTGCTGAAAGTTTTTTAGAAAATTTCTTCTTTTAAGTTGCATTTTCTTCACTTGTGAAACTGGAATAATTCCTATTTAATAGGATTATTGCAATGTTTGGTTGACCTACATGTGAAGCACTTGGCATGAAGCTTTGTGATAGTAAGCACTCAACATATGATGGTTATTGGTATTCATCTCCTTCTGTCTCTGACCCACCATGTATGTGTGTATAATGGTTGTGACATCAGCTAATGTCTACAATGAGGTTTAAATCATGATTTATTTGCTCATTTTGGTTATATATATTCAGGGACCTGGCGACATTTGGGCTTCAAAAGTAGAGGAATGAGGCTTATATTTTCAAATCCAAATCAAGTCAATACTCCTTTATTCTTCAAACCTGCTTGCTCTGAATAATTTAGTTGGAATTTGCTGATTTCCGAAAGAGCTGTTCCATATTTGTCTAATTTTATGCTACTTTGAAGACCAAGTCATATTTTGTCATATCACCATTTCTTGGCCTACCTGCAACATGTATATGTTTGTGTGAATTCATTCAAAAAATTTACCGAGTATTTCTGTGCTGGGCACTATAGATACACATGAAACATGAGTAGGAGCCTGCCAGGTGGACAAATTAGGGAGAGTATTCTAAACTGGAGGTACATCATGTGCAAAGGCCCTGAGGCATGAAAGAATAGGACCTGTTTTGGAGCTACAAGTACTGTGCAGCACAGTGCTACAGCATCTGGTGAGCAGGTGATTTAAGATGAAATCAAGTAGACAGGTAGGTGGCAGGCAAGACCATTTGTATATATCATGCAAAGGAGTTAACATTTTATCATTCTGGCAGTGTGCATCTGCTGAAGAATTTTGAGGAAGAAAACCATGAGGTCATATTTTTATGTTATAAAGAAATTCCAGCTACCAAGTACAAGAGGGATTAGAGGGGTATAAGGTAGAGGGAAGGAGAAAAACAAGAAGGACATTGGAGTAGTATGGGTATGAGATGATGAGTAACTGGACTAGGATGTGAAAGAGGGGACAGGTTATGAGTAGGGGATTTAGGAAGTAGAACTGAGAAGACTTGATACTTGATTGGTGTATTAGTTTTCTATTACCGTCATAACAAATCACCACAAACTTAGAGGCTGAAAACAACACAAATTTGTTATCTTATGGTTCTTTAAGTTAGAGTCTGCCATGGGTCTCAGTGGGCTAAAATCAAGGTGTCAGTAGGGCTGTACTCCTTTCTTAAGGCTGAGGGGAAATTTATTTTCTGGGTCATTCAGGTTATTAGCAGAATTCATTTCCTTGCATCTGTAGAATTGAGGATCTCATTTCTTTGCTAGATATCGGCTGAGGCCCGTTTCCATCTTCCAGATGCTGCCTGCATTCCTTGGCTCATGGCCACTTCCTCCATTTTCAAAGGCAGCAATGACGGGTTAAGTCCCTTTCATACGTTGAATCTCTCCTGCCTCTTCTTTTTTCTTTCTGCCTCCCTCTTCCACTTTAAAAGACTCATGTGATTAAGTTGGGTCCATCCAGGTAATCCAAGACAACCTCCCCGTCTCTAGGACCTTTACCTTAATTACATAAATAAAGTCCCTTTGCCATATGAAGTAGCATATTAATAGGTTCTGAGGATTAGAATGTGGACATCTTTGAGGGAGCCATTATTCTGCCTGCTTTAATTGGATATGGGGTTAAGGGAGAATGTAGAATCCAGGTTTCTGACTTCAACAACCGGGTGGGATGCAGCCTTAAGAAAGGAAGATGTTTGGTTTTGAACATGTTGACCTTAAGATGTCTCTGGGAAATCAAAATGCAACCATCTAGTAAGTAGTCAGATGCACCAGCTAAAAGGCAGACAAGAAATCAAGGCATGTTAGGAAGCTGTCAACATACAGTAAGCCCTCAGTGAATGCATGGAATGGGAAGAGAATAGGGAGAAAAACAGGATTCTGGGATCAATAATGTTTTAGCTGCAACAGAGAGAGGAGCACTCACAAATGAAACAAAAGAATAACCTACATGGTTTCCCTTCACTGGTGTTCTTTCTGGGTTGTGAGAGAATTAGAATTTATATTGCCAGTCCAAACAAAGTATTGCGAAGTCTTCAAATTCATTGGGTTTTCATTATATCAGATAATAATCTTTCACAAGATCTTGCTTTACTGAACCAAAGTAGGATGAACTCCAGGAAAGGCAGGACATTTACAGGATCAAATGAGGTTCTCTTAACCAACTTGCTATGATGCTGGGCTTCAAAGAAGATGTTTCCTTGTGTGGTGTTTATGTGAAGCCATAGAGGGTTGGTGGTGACCTGGGTGAGTGGTGGTTTGCTGCCATTCTCCTCAGGCCAACAACTAAACAATACCCCTTTGCATATTTCCTGCTGAGAAAGAGACTGAAAACAGGAGGGTACATTGTTCTCTATACTAAAGTGGATATTCACCATCCATTTCATATTGGACCCTTGCCAGGTCACTCTCTACTTATAGAAGAGAGATGCCCTTTCCCTGCTGGGCTGGCCAGTGTTGAGCCTACTAGTGTCATTTCAGTCAAATCTACTCAGTCTCTCTACAAATGACTTAGTCATGGTGAACTGCTTTGGGGGTGAATGAAGTCTATTAGACAGTAGATTGCTTAAGCAGCTCTTCTCTGTGGGACTGACCTTAGAACAGAATGATCAGGAAACCTGAGAAGATCAAGGAAAGTGCAAATCCTGGATACGGCTGTAGAGATGATCTAGGATAACGGACTCACTGAAAGATATAGCACCAAAGCTGCCCACAGAGGTGAGCTGGCAGGGCATGTAAAACCTCAGATAGCCACAGGCAGTAAGAACTGCTCAGTCAAACTAGGACTGAAGCTGAACTTATGTGATGGTGGTACTAGGGAAAGATGAAGGCATATGTTGTTGAATGGAGTGAATGAGATAAAGAGGCAGCCTCCTCCTTTGTCTCTGATCCAGCAGAAGGGGGAAAAAAATTTAACTGCTATTCTTTCTGGGTAATACACAGATAATTTATAGGTTTTTGAATTATAAGATATGAAGGGTAACTAAATTCGTATGCAGAACAGATAAATCATCTCCTTCCTCTAATCATTCTTCCTTCTCATCTTATCCTTCCCCCCTGCTCTCTCTTCAGATCCAAAAGATCATATATAGTCTAGCCTCAACAAATTAGGTTTTTTGGACATACTATGCTTTTTTACATCCTTGTGTCTTGGTACGTATTGTTTTCTGAGCCTAAAATGGCTTCACTCTCCTTCTCTATCTTGAAAAATCCAATCTAATTTTCAGAAGCCAGCTCAAGTTTATCTTCTATAAAGTCTTTTGAGACTCCCTAGATTGAGTAAGCAGCATCTTAATTATTCTACCCACATATGGTGCTTGTGCTTCTAGTATATCACTTACCATATTATGTTCTAATCATATGGTAGGAAAATACTCGGAAAGGTTATCTGACTGAGGATTAGACTCAGCTGCATGTACCAGTGGCTTGAAGAAGATGGAAGTTTATTTCTCTCTCTTAGTAAGGAAGATTAGGGGGAAGCAGACTAGAGCTGGTCTGGCAGCTTTGCAATGTCATAATGAATCCAGTTTTCTATCTGTTTGCTTTGTCGTATTCAGCTCATAGTTTTCACTTTCAAGTTCATCTGATGTCCACAATGGCTGCTCAAGCTCTAGCCATCATACCCATGCTCTAAAAAGAAAGAAGGGGGAAGGAGAAGAATGGCATGTCTCCCCTCTTTTAAGGAGACTTTCTGGAAATACCATATAATACTTCTATTTATATATCATTGACTAGAACTTGATCACAGAACCACATCTAGCCGTAAGGAACTCAAGAAATTGTAATCTTTATTACGGCAGCAGTATGCTGAAATAAAAATTGTACTATAAGAAATGAGAAGATAATGGATATCGAGGGGCAAATTGCGATCACATTATCTGATGTATATTTATTTCTGGTAATTCTTGCTGCTTCCCATTCCTCTGCCTATTGAATCTGAGCAATCCATGGCTTTAGGAAGCAGTTAGAATCAAGGTAAAATCAAGGATCACATATGATGGCTTTAAAATTTACAGCCATAATTCATGTGTGCAGAACTGTCACTTTCTTCATTTTCTGAACTTGAGTTGCCGACAAGCCCTTATTTCCATGTATTGCTAGAAAAAAGTCTCATCAATTAAAGGTAATATAGTCACTTCTGTTTTGAAATCAGATCTCTTCGTGGTATTCAAGCAAATCAGGGCTCTTACCCCATCCCCACCCCTCTTTTTTTTTGCCCTCTCACCAAGAGGTTGTCTGCTTACCTAAAGTTCTTTCTGCCATTCTCTCATTCTCTCGGACATCCAATTATTAGGTATGGTATATGTCTGTCTCCTTCTCTACCCAGGAACTTCACGGAGTCTGGGACATTGTTTTGACTGTCTGACTTTCTCCAGTGCTTATTGCAGAAGTTGATACATAGGAGATAGTTAAAAATGTGACTATGAATTTATGAGTACACTTTAAATGCATCACATAATTAATCCAAATGGTACCATAATGATCTGAAAATCCTGTACAATTAAACGTCTATTTCACTAAAGCCCCTAGCACTATGTTTAGAGCTTTCTTATAGCACTAATAATCCTCAGCTCTGTTATAGTAGTTTGTGTGCTTGCCTCACCCCTCATTAGGGTGTCTGCTTCTTGAAGAATGTTCCTGATCTTTGTAACTTTCACAGGTCCTGAGAAGGCCAGGGACATAGTAGGTCTTCAGTCAATGAAAATGAATGACTACAGGAATAAGGGTTGGCACTTTATAATCTACCACTAAAAAATGACTCTCATATGAGAACAAACAGATTTTATTAGAGCTATTTAGAATGATATCAATAAAAACAAGTTGATATTTTGCCTTTAATGAAATTCTTCTTTCTTAAGAAAAAATTGCTGTTATTTTTTCAGAAATCCTCCACCTACTTTACTTCATCCAGAAAAATGGTGTGAAGAATTCAACCACTTTATTTCACAGTGAGTATTTCTTCCACTAAAAATTGCCCATCTAGCAAGGCCTTGAGCAGTGATTGGAGAAATCCAGGCTGTGGAATTTACTTGACACTAGAGGTTGTTATGCCTGTTAGCACGTTATGACTCGGGGTTTGTTCTAGTAAATGATAGAAGATGCCTTTGCAAGATGTGAAAAGTAAGGCGTTCCATTTGACTCTCAGTTATAATAAGTCCTTCTTATCATATGGGTCACATTTATCTGAGAACCTACTTTGTCTTAGGGCAAATATTGACAACTTGTCATGTTTAATGGGGAGAGATGAAACATCTAAAAATCTGATGCCTACATTAGGACCAAAGAGAAGACAGAAGGTAGCAGCCTCCAACAGAGTTTTTGCAGTGTGAAAGTTGGGCTTCCTCTAGGATCTGTGGCATGGGAACAAGGGTCCAGTTTCCAAGATGATAGAGGGACAAAGTAGAATCTCAGGCTTGGGGTACCAAGGTAAGGTATCCCAGCCAAGGCTCAAGGTATGAGGAACAAAATGAAGGCCAAGATGATGGTGTGACATACCTGGTAGGAGCTATGTCACTAGGCAAGTATTGCTGGGACTCAGACAGGAGCAGAATCAACAGTGAAACCAATAGTGGCTCAGTGCTGGGGTCATGGGCTTTTGGACCACACTGGTCCTAAGTCTGAGAAAGATACTCAGACTACTGGAGGAGGTTACAGGGCCCCAAGCTAGGGGCCTGGTGAATTGAGGGGACAGGAATCTAGACCAGGCATTACCAACCATACCAAGGCAGAGGAGCTTGGAAGAAGTCCTGTAGGATCTAGTATATGAAACAAGGTGTTCAGAGGTCGTGGGAGGAGAAAAGAAGTGACCAAATTAGCTGATAAATAAGAAGTGGGGAAGGGTCAACACAAATTTTTCTAATTTATGCCTCTGTGCAAACTTAGCTTTCACAAAGAAGCCAGGCAATAAAGCAAAGTGGGTCTTTTGATCATCTTCCTTAATAAATCACAATACAGATCAACAATCTCTTATCCGTATTTCCAAAATCCAAAGAGCTCCGAAAGATAAAAGTTCTTTTGTAGTTGAGTCATTTAGCAGCAAAACCTAACCTTATGTGAACTGATTTGATGGTAACATATGACCTTAACTGTGAGGCTATTTATAGTTGTTATTCATCTTACTTGATGTGAATATTCATGTGTTTGGCAGCAGATATATTTGTTTGATTATAGTGTGCTGCCCCATATCCTGCTGGGGCTGTTACATAATATACAGTAAATGTACCAGTTTACCTTTGTAAAATTTGATAAAATTCTGAATTCCAAAATACATTTGGCCCCAGGGGGTTTGTGTAAACAGCTATGAACCTATATTTCAGTTTCATTTTCATTTCAAATGTAGTATAGTTCAGGGTCCCTGAATTTGTTTGCTTTTCCTATCCCTCCTGGACTTTTGCCATGTTCCTCAGGAAAGGGGAGTGGAAAAGAACTCAAAGACCCCTGCTAAGAAAGACTGTGTTGGAACATGACCATGAAGTTGAAGGTCAGGGGTGGAGGGTATCTCGTTGCCCCTTTAGCCCCACGTTGACATTTTTGTCCTGGCTGCAGAATGCACTAGGAGCAGCCACCAGTCAAAGGTGATGGTGTCAGGCCATGTTGAGAGGAAAAACAGATACTTGTAGGAGGGATGATGCTCACATAAGAGCAGTGGAAGAGCCACTTCCAGAGGTTTGGGACCCAAAAGAGTAGGTGGAGGGAACTAAAGGGCTGAAGACATGCTGGTAGCTTGGGACCACATTTCAGACCACCCCAAGGAAACAAATCTGGGAGCTAAGGTTCCAATGATTTTGCTGGTAAAGGCTGAATCCAAAGATTTTTCCTTTTCATTTCATTGCCACACACAGATACCCTTGATTGACCTTGTCTAAGCTGTTGTCCTAGAAAAATCCATTACATATTCACTAATATGCCTTCCCATACCAAACTCTCCTGATGCCTCTAAAAATGTGATTTGACTCACAAAACTTTGGCTTCTGTATACTTTTTCAAGAGTATGTTCGTAATCATAAACTAAGCTCGGTGTTCCTTGGATGGATTTGAGAATAAAGGTATATAATTGATGACAGAGATTGGACTGTACACAACGCAGTTGACTCTTAAACAATGCAGCGGTTGGGGTGCTGACTACCCCCCACCTTATGAAGTCAAAAATTGCCTATAACTTTTGACTCTCCAAAACCTTAACTACTGATAGCTTACTGTTGACTGGAAGCCTTGCTGATAACATAAACTGTTGATTAATACATATTTTATGTGTTATATGTATTATATACTGTATTCTTACAATAAAGTAAGCTAGAGAAAAGAAAATGTTATTAGGAAAGTCATAAGGAAGAGAAACGTGCTTACTGTTCATTACTTGGAAGTGGATCATAATAAAGGTCTTCATCCTCATCTTTTTCACGTTGAATAGGCTGAGGGGGAGGAAGAAGAGGAGGGGTTGGTTCCGCTGTCTCAGGGTTAGCAGAGGTGGAAGAAAATCCATGTATAAGTGCATCCATGCAGTTAAAATCCATGTTGTTCAAGGGTCAACTATGCAGAAATTCCTCCCTAAGATAGTTCCTTATGGCAAATCCTATTATATGCCAATTCAAATCTGCTATGTTTTTCCCAATTCTGAGAATTTCAGATGCACTCATTCTGAGTTGCAAAAGGTCTTGAATACTAGAATGGAGGGCTAAACACAGAAAACAATGCCTTTGAGTATGCATACTGTCAGGAGCAAAGCAAAAAGCATCCTGTTGTAATTGCAAGGGAGGGAGAGTCTGGAAAGTTTATAATGAGTCAGGAAGGCAATTAGAAATTAAGTGATTATGTGGTTTAGTACTAGTTTAAGATGGAAATATGTCATCAGTCTTCTTTTTTGTTTAATGAGTTGTCTTTACGGTTTTTTATTAGTGAAAAATTTTATATAATAGGTGTTTATAGATTCCTTCTTGACCTCAGCCCTCCAATCCTGTTTTCCCATAACATCTTAGGTGCTTCAACCATAAATTCTTCTGCAATATTTTTGGGAATATTTCTCAAAATTGGGAACTGATTATTATATTATATATCTTTAAATAGAAGCCTGCCCACCATTCCCAAATAATATACTTTCTTTTTTTTGTTTGTTTGTTTTGAGACAGAGTCTCACTGTGTTGCCCAGGCTGGAGTACAGTGGCATGATCTTGGCTCACTGCAACCTTGGCCTCCCGGGATCAAATGATTCTTGTGCCTCAGCCTCCCAAGTAGCTGGAATTACAGGTGTGTGCCACCAGGACCAGCTAGTTTTTACATTTTTAGCAGAGATGGGGTTTCACCATGTTGGCCAGGTTAGTCTCGAACTCCTGACCTCAAGTGATCTGCCCACCTCAGCCTCCCAAAGTGCTGGGATTTACAGGTGTGAGCCACTGAGCCCAGCCCCAAATAATATCCTTTCATTCTGTAGAGGAGACTGCTGATACTAGGCTGCCATTACTCAGCCTATCAAATGCAGTTTGACCAAATGCTGTGCATTATATTTATTCAAATCTCTAATTCAGTATAAACAATGATATTCACTGGGTTTGAAATGTCTATTTAAAGAGAGAGCCTTAGTTTGTTTTTATACTTATCTTGCTCATATTAGGAGTCAAGGGAAAGAAAGATGGAGGATTAAGACCTTCAGATTATAAGCTTTTCATTATTGGAGGGACTGGGCTGGAGAAGATGATTATCTGGTAATTTTAGGAAAAGTTTCTTTTAACCTGAATTATACAGATAATTGCTTCAGTTCCCTTTGTAAACCAAGACATAGTAAATCTAACTGTTTCTCTTTAAAGAATAAATAGGACAAAAAGTTCCTTAACGGCTTTAAGACCTTTAATACTTTGTCCTCATGTGACTACTGAGCCGTAACAGAGTCGATTCAATACTCTAGGTCTTTTTTAGTCCATGCTGGTCACTACCCACCAAAAGATTTCGTATTGACTGCTGCAGGGATCTGAACAAGTTGGTCTGGCTGCAGCCTAGTGATTATAGCTATGTAGACAGGGCACAGTGGGGTGTGTGTGTGCACGTGCATACGCGTGTAGGAGGGCCAGGAAGGCAGGAAATCAGGAGCACTGGGGATGTGGCTTAGTGTGTTTCAGATTTATTTCCAGCCTCCTTAATTTAGAGATAGTAAGAGAGATTTTTTAAAACATCTAAAAGTCTGAAATACTATTAGTAAACCTGTTTGGGGGTTTTAAAAGAAGCATCAGCCTGTTTGGTTCTGAAGCTTTGGTTGTTAGTGATAATTGATTCATTTATATTCATTAGTTATGCGTTTGTCAAAGCATGATTCCTGACAGCTTAGTTATGATAAATTAAATGCAATGCTCACATAAATTCTGCACTGCTTTTCATCCATATGCTAGGACCCTGCTTGATGTGTTTTGTCACCTCTATAATGTGTGGTTGGCTTTGTAGAGATTTCATTATCAGCCCTTTCCCCTACGACTAAAGCTATTTGCATAACAAGTTTATCTGGTTCAAGTACCAGCCAGACTTCTGCTTTGTCAGGAGGCTCCATTCAGAAGTAGCCTTTTGATAAGATAAAAATAATTTTCATTTTGTCAACTTCACCTTGGTCCTAATGGATGTCACTTTTCTTTTTAAGTTCAAGCTAATTTCAGGTCTTTGGAATCAACTACAAAAATACTTACCAAGTCATTGGTCACAAGGTATTTGTGAGCTATGCTTTCTCATTTTGCCTCTATAACTTTAGTGGTTTTTTAGGAATTAAATTTAGGACCTCATCATCAGTGGTCCTTGAGCCGATTATTGAGACAATCAAGATGGATTTCTCTTGGTCAAGGGCAATTCCACCAATAGCATCACGGCTGCTCAGCTTTGGATTTAATGATGACTTGAACTACATGGTCACCTGCACATGAACTGTTCTTTCTTGAGGTGGCTGGCTTGGGTAGTATAGGGGAGAAAAAGTAATATCTTTTCATCACCTACTGTGAGGTTAATGGCTGACATTCCTATAACAAAAGACAGATTAACAAAAGAAAAGTGGAACAAATTTATTTAATGTAAGTTTTATGTGACACAGGAGCCTTCACTCAAAAACCGAGTGAAAACTACTTTTGTGGTTAGGTTTAATGAATGATGGACAGTTGTATAGAAGTATGATTGAACAAAAAAGGCATATGATCTAATGGTAATAAACTGGGGAAAACTTAGCAAGTCCTCAGATTCTTCTCAGCCTCTCTGTGTAACATTTCTTCCTTCTGATTATATGGCAGGTCACCTGTCACATGAGGATCTTCAAGAGAGAGAGGGTGGGAGAAGGTCAGAGGGACCTTTCTGTTTTTGTGGTTTTCTTAATTGCCTTCTGCTTAAAATACTCAGTATGCTGAGGGGCCATATTTTGGGGTAGCATTTCCTGAACTGCATCAGCATCTAGCATACTGGTGTGTCTATTTCTCATTTCTCGGAGTGAGCATTGTGGCTGAGCCCTGCCATTTAGTCATCAAATGTTGAAGCAGTCTTTCCTAGCCCTCTAAATGACATTCAAATGGGTATAAGCAGTTGCCCTGAATGTTAACAAGATAAGATCATTCTGAGCCCTAAAACTACTAAGACTAATGGTCATTTGCATATGTTTATTCTTTAAAAATTGAAACTCAGATCTGGAACATTTGCGTTCACTGTAGGCCTGAATGCTGATAAAGCTAACCATTTTGGGGTGGTTGTTTGCTTGACATTGATTGTATTTCCCTGAAGGCAACAATTCTCAGCTCTTAGCCTTTCTCCATTTTGTGTTTCAAGGCTGCTTAATTCCACATGGCTTTATAGTGTCAATGAACAACACACTTGCAGTGATAAATATTGTAACTCAGTGATGAAGTTTCACAGATATTCTTGGCTATTTACGTCTTGTCGGATTCTCAGGAGGCCATGCAAAGGGTTAATACTTCCTAGAGTAGAAGGATACAATAACCTTTATTTACATTACTTCACAAATTCATAATTTTAATTAAAATGAGCAGTGGTATCTCTAGTGACAGACTCTCTCCATTTTAGATTTATTTAGGCAGTGATTAGCTATTATGATTTCTTGAATTAATTAGCATCTCTTGAGCTACAGGGAATTAGTGAATTAATAAAAACTCATGGAGAAGCTCAAAATTAACACAAAAAATAAGTTAACCCCCCCCAAATTATCCACTCCTCACTTAACATACATTGATCAATATACTTATAAATGCAACTCAAATCCTTTCTTATTTTGAAATATTGGGATTTTGTTTTCATGAGAAGAACAAATAAAGCTATGTGTGAACTTCAAGGTTATATCTCCCTGAAGAGCGTCTAATTTAGATTACCTAATAGATCATCTAAACACACCAAGGGCCTGATTTGATCTCACTTATACCCTACTTATAAAGTCACCTGATAAAATCTGATTTTCTCATAGTGTAAACCAGGAAGCAGCTGAGTGTGACTTGAAGTTTAAAACATGGTACCCACATATACCTGGAATATACTAGGAATATATCCTGTCTTCTCAGGAACCATGGTAATGTGAGAGAAATGAAGGTTTAGCGTCATATGAAATAAGAAAAAGGCATAGTAACGTGGGTAATCTAGACTGTTGTCAGCATATCCTGTTTATTTCCTGACAGATGCTGGGTTTAAATCTTGTGAGAAACCAGATCTGTGGCATATGTCATAGATTTTATGTTAGTGCTTGTGGCGCATTATATTAGCTGACTTTTGTAGCTGCTGTGGATTCATTAAGTTATGTCTGTACCATTTTCTCCATACTGGCTTTTCTTTCTTCTTTTAAAAAAAATTACACTTGATTTTCATACTGTGAATCAAAAAGACTCTGTAATTGAAATAATAGAAAGTGAGGGTGAGTGCTGCATTGTCTGTGTGTGCTTGTGCCTGGAGGTGGTGGCTCACACATTCGCCTCTCCCCAGAGTGCCGCCTGGATCATCACCAGGAAGAGGCAGCTGTGGAAGAGCTGTGCTATAGTGTGTGTATCCAGCTGTGTCACTTACTGGCTGTGTAATCTTGGAAAGATATTTAACCTGTCTGACCGCCAGTCCTCAGTTGTCAAATTGGGGCTAGAGTAGTATCGCTGTGAGGATTAAATTACATAATGTATATGTAGCACTTGACAAATAATAATAATAATTAACATATATAACTCTTATGCTAGGCACTGTTCTCTACATGTTGTATAATTTACTTAATCCTCATGATTCTATAAAGTAGTTCTAATTTTATAGAAATTGAGGTAAAAAGAGGCCAAGAGTCCCAAGACCACAGCTAGTACATGGTGGAGCTGGGATTTGAACCCCAGAAAACTTGTTCCAGAGTTCACGCTCAACCAGCAGTAGAGGTTATTTTTATTACCCTTTGCATTTGGTCTGTGCTGCTATTCTGAAACTGTGTTTTGAAAGTGGCAATGACTTTCTCTTCTTTGACACCAATGTGCTGTTTCAATCTGTTGTCCACTGTCTCTTTATTTAGACTTCAGCTCACTTACTTCCACAGTTCGGGCCTCTAACACACACACACACACACACACACACACACACACACACACACACACACCCCTCTCCACCCCTTCTCAATGGCAACAGCTCCCTCCACCTGAAAGAATTGGCTGCAACAGGAGTCAAGGCAGAGTCAAGCCAGATGTGGTAGGCTTACGACTGTAATCCTAGCACTTTGAGGGGCTGAGGTGGGAGGATCACTTGAGACCAGGAGTTTGAGCCTGGGCAACAAAGTGAGCCTGTCTCTACAAAAAATTTAAAAATTAGCCAGGCATGGTGGTGTGTGCCTATATAGTCCCAGCTACCAAGGAGGCTGAAGCAGGAGGATCCCCTGAGCACAGGAGTTTGAGGTTATAGTGAGCTAATTGTGCCATTGCACTCTAGCCTGAATGATGAAGAGAGACCTTGTTAAAAAAAAAAAAATCGACTCAGGCTCACCTTCACTTCTTTGCTCTGCAAACAAACCTTCCCCACCTGGCCCAGGTAACACCTTCTCCAAGTTGAGCATCTCTCTCTGCTGTCAGCCAGCCACAGGCTTCTCCATGGGGAAGGAACAGTGGGAAGGAAAATGGGTGTCTGGACACTGAGAGGCAGAATCCACAGTGCTTGGCACCTAACTATGGGAGGAGACAGGTACTACAGAGAGAGAAGAGTTAAACATGACTCCAGTGTTTTCAGCATGGAAACAGGGCTTTTTGGAAAATATATATTGGAGAGATTAAGAGCGTAGGGTCTAAAGTCAAATTGTATTCTAGCACTGCTAATTAGATTTTTGGCCTTGAACAAGTCACTTAACTTTTCTGAGCCTCAATTTCCTCATCTGCAAAATGAGAATAACAATGCTTCTATAATAATAACTAGTTGGGATTAAGATCAAGTCTGTATGTAATAGAAAACCCCAAAAACAGTGGCTTTAAAGAGTTAGGCTTTTATTTTTCTCTCACTTGAAATCAGCTGGGAGTTAAGCCACATATGTACTGCTGGTGTGGCAGGGCCACATGGCAGCCACCTGGGCTCCTGCCCTCAGGCTGCCCCACTAAATACGATTTCCATTCCGTGGAACCTCATGGGCCAAGATGACTGCTGGAGCTCTGACATTCACATACTTATTTTAGTTAGAGAGAAAGAGAAAAAAATGCAAGTCTCCTTACTTTAAGACTCTCTGGGCCAGGCACGGTGGCTCATGCCTGTAATCCTAGCACTTTTGGAGGCCGAGGCGGGTGGATCACAAGGTCCAGGGTTCAAGACCAGCCTGGCCAACATGGTGAAACCCCGTCTCTACTAAGAATACAAAAATTAGCCTGGTGTGGTGGTGGGTACCTGTAATCCCAGCTACTTGGGAGGGTGAGGCAGGAGAATTGCTTGAATCCAGGAGGCAGGGGTTGCAGTGAGCCGAGATCACATCACTGCACTCCAGCCTGGGTGGCAGAGAAAGACCCCGTCTCGGTTGGGGGGGTGGGGGGCGGGGCGGGGCGGGAAGGCTTTCTGGCAGTTTCACACAACGTATCATTAGCTACAACTTTATCACATGGCCACACCTAGCTGCAAAGGAAGCTAAGAAATACAGTCCTCTGACTGGGCAGCAGTGGACTACTGGGGCTCTATCCCTAAGTAAAGGGGAGAGTGTCTGGACAGGAAGCAGTCTGCATCATGCTACTTTATAGTGTGACTGAGAGAATTAAGTGAGATACAGAATGAAAGCTCAGCAAATACTAGTGATAAGAATAGTATTATCAAATAAGTAGTATCAAATGACAGTGATGAATACTATAACTCACAATAATGATGCCATCCAAAGAAATGTAAGAGTCAGGAAGGAGAAACTGTAGGGCCCCGGGGGGATGAATCACAACAGAGAGGATCTTGAGGAGTAGCTGTCAGGATCCCTCTGAACCCCAGGGCTGATCTGTGGCCTGTGGGATGAGATGAGGAAAGTAAGGACAAGGTGGGAGCAGTAGTGTGGCCATGTTGACACCTTTCCGGGTCTTTGCCTAAGAGCTGTGGTGACTTCCTGGTTCAGTGCAAAGCTCCCAGCTTCTTGCCTGCTCTTCCAGTCTCTGCTGCTTCCACTGTGGCGCTTCCACAGGCTCTGGTGCAGAAGGAAATCTGGCTCTGGGTCAGTTAGAATTTTAATTAAAAATGGAAATGCAGGCTCATGTCACCAGTACTACATTCTTTCAGCCCAGTGATGATTTCTGGCAGGGATAAAAATAACAGACATAGCCCTTTGGCACTAATGAAGAAAGGGGTATATGTGTGGGTGTGTTTTAATGAATTAAAAATTTATAACAGAAAATTTAGATATAATAAGTCATCATAGATTCTGTTGGTCTTATGTGCTTTTGGGCATATGTGCGGCTTCCACTGCCTTCTTAGTATTTTAATTCGGAACTTTCTAGGGTCATCAAATGCATAATATTTAGCTGTCATACCAGGTTAGTGAATGGAGGGGGAAATTTCATAATTTATTTTTAGTATGAAGGGCTATTTAATGATTTTTTGAAATAATAGTTTTATTTAAAAGCCCACATTTTAGTGAATAATGAGAATTTTTGCCTTTAAAAGAGGCCCAAAGCTTGAACCTTCAGGCTCAAGCAGTGCTTCACACACACATACAGAAACCCTGGCTTCAATCCCCCATGTCATGGGTCGAATTGTGTCCCCTCAAAATTCATATGTTGATGTTCTCATCCTCAATATCTCAAATGGGGCCATTACAGATGTAATTAGTTAAGATGAGGTCATACTGGAGTAGGATGGGCCCCAATCTAGTATGACTGGTGTATTTTAAAATGGGGCAATGTGTACACAGACAAACAGATAAGATCATGTGAAGACTGGAGTTATGCTGTCTTAGGCCAAGAACTACCAGCAGCTAGGAGAGGGACCTGGAACAGATCCTTCCCTAGTACTTCCAGAGGGAGAATAGCCCTGCCGACATCTTGATCTTGGAAGTCTGTCCCTCAGACTGGAGACAACAAATGTCTGTTGTTTAAGTCACTTGGTTTGTGATACTTTATTATAGCAGCCCTAGGAAATTAATACACTCCATGACTGGGTAGTTACAGGACCTTAAGGCATTTGATATTCCAAGACTTTGTTTCCTAAGCTGTGGGATAGTAATATTCACCCATCTACCAGTGAGGATCAAGTGTACCTGTGAATATTGTAGAGCAAGCTTGTCCAATCCTCAGCCCATGGTTCTCATGCCACCCAGGACAGCTTTGAATGTGGTCCAACACAAATTTGTAAACTTTCTTAAAACACTATGAGATTTTGTTTTGTGATTTTTTTTTAAAGCTCATCAGCTATTGTTAGTGTATTTTATGTGTGGTCGAAGACAATTCTTCCAGTTGGTCCAGGGAAGGCAGAAGATTGGACACCCCTATTGTAAAGCATCACTACAATGTCAAGTATTAATATGACACCATAAAACAATCACTACAATGTCAAGTATTAATATGACACCATAAAACAATCACTACAATGTCAAGTATTAATATGAAACCATAAAACCATACTGTATTTTCTTCCCTCCCTACCTTCCTTTTTCTCTCTTTCATTTTATTTTTTGTTTAAATATGTGTCATAAGGGTTTATGTTAAATTCCTCCTCCTCAACCAACTGCACAGTAGTAAAAGTGGGGAATTTCTGTAATCATCAATGATTTGCTGGCCTTTATAGAGGACTTCAGGAACTAAATATATACTGTACATTAAGATTTCTTGGTAACAAGTATCTCTCCATGAGGAACAAATTATAGAATGAGATGGCCAATTAGTGTCATCTTGCATCCCAGCACTGATCAACTGATCACCTCCCTGCAATGCTGTGTTAAGGAGGATTCTGACACTGCATCTAGGATAGAGCATCATGATCGCTTAGTGACATTTACTATGGGTCTGAACTGGATCAATTGTAGCTCATACTTTTGTGGACCTGCAGTTTACATTTCTTTTTAATTATGACCAAGTTCTTTGTTATGTGAAAATCTTTATTCATGGCAAAATTCATTTAGCCAATGAAAGCAAATTGGCATATGTTCAACTAAATCAGCTGTAGCCTAAAAATACCTGAGAGCTAAAATAAAAGTAGTAGAATAAATTTGGAGTTGTCTGTGTGAGGAGTACAGATAATAATATTAACAGTAAGATTTATTTAAAGCTTACTGTCAGATGTTGTGCATCTGACATGGTGAAGTGTACTTTACTTGCATAATTTCAGTGAATCCTCACTGCTGCCATATGAAGTAGGTCACTACTCAGATGGGAAGCTGAGTTTCTTATAAATCAAGTGATGGGGGGCCAGGTGTGGATCACATCTGTAATCCCAGCACTTTGGTAGGCTGAGGCAGACAGATCACTTGAGGTCAGGAGTTCAAGACCAGCCTGGCCAACACAGTGAAACCCCATCTCTGCTGAAAATACAAAACTTAGCCAGGTGTGGTGGCATGTGCCTGCAATTCTAGCTACTTGGGAGGCTGAGGCATGAGAATCGCTTGAACCCGGGAGGTTGAGGTTCCAGTGAGCCAAGATCCACCACTGCATTCCTGCCTGGGTGATGGAGTGAGACTGTCTCGAAAAAAAATAAAAAGAAAATAAATCAAGTGATGGACTTTAGGCCTCACAGCTGGCAGAGCTATCATTTAACACCAGGTCTGTGACATATTTCAATGTCTGCTCTGACGCTCATGATGCTAGAGTGTGCATGCGTGAATATGTGTGTTTGAGGTAAAATTCACATAAAATATTAACCGTCTAAAAGTGAACAATTCAGTGGTATTTAGTACATTCAGTGTGTGCAACCACCACTTTGATCTACTTCCAGAATGTTTTCATCATGCCACAAACAAACCCCACATCTATTAAACAGCTACTCCTCATTTCCTTCTCCCCTCCAGCCCCTGACAAACAGCAATCTGCTAGATTTACCTATTTTGGATATTTCATATAAATGGAATCATACAATAGGTGACTCCTTTTTCTTAGTAAAATATTTTTGGCCAGGTGCAGTGGTTCACACGTAACACTTTGGGAGGCCAAGATGGGTGGATCATTTGAGCCTGAGTTTGAGACCAGCCTGGGCAACATAGCAAGACATTATTTCTGTGAAAAAATTAAAGCAAAATATAATGTTTTTAAAGTTCATCCGTGTATCAGTACCATGTATCAGTATTTCGTTCCTCTTTATGGCTACATAATATTGTGGTGTTGTTGTTGTTGTTGTTGTTGTTTTGAGATGGAGTCTCGCTCTGCCACCCAGGCTGGAGTACAGTGGCACAATCTCGGCTCACTGCAACCTCTGCCTCGCGGGTTCAAGCAATTCTCCTGCCTCAGCCTCCAGAGTAGCTGGGATTACAGGTGTCTGCTACTATGCCTGGCTATTTTTTGTATTTTTAGTAGAGATGAGATTTCATCATGTTGGCCAGGCTGGTCTCGAACTGCTGACCTCAGGTGATCCTCCTACCTCGGCCTCCCAAAGCGCTGGGATTACAGGTGACAGCCACCATGCCCAGCCCATACTGTGTATATTTTGAGGCAGAATATCAACATCCTATGTACCTTTTTCACCTGGATATATGAAGAAAACCCAAGTCTGGCTACTCAGACACCTCCTCCATTTCCCCATGTCATTCTCCACATGGTGACATGGATGACCACACTGCTAAAATATCAGGTGCTCTCCCTCTCCCTGGATATGGAGTGTTTGGACATGGTCTTCTGCCCTCCTGATGCATGAGGCCAAAGCGCCCACAGGCTCTAGATGTAGGAGAGCTGGCTATAGCTTAGTATATGTGCTTTCCCTAATCCACTTCTAATTTGGGGTAGTAGTTTTGTTATCTGGCTTTTTCTGGCTACCCAGAACATTCCATCTTATAGGGGCCAAGTGTTTCTGGGTGATGATTCAGATCTCTGCTCCAACTAGAGCAGCAGCTTTCATAATACTCTCCCTGGATCTCATCACAAATTATCCTGCACAAAACAGTCAGTGTGATCTTTCTGAATCCCTAAACTGATCAAGTCATGCCCTACTCATAATTATTCTGTGTCTTCCCAGTGCTTACAGGGTGCACTAAAACTCTGTAACACACAAGGTCATGAAGGATCTGCCCCTTTCTATGTAATACCATTCTCTCCTCCAAACTCCCTGCACATTCTAGAAAAATTGAACAAGTGATGCTTCCCCTGACTTCCCCAGGAGGACTCAGAGGCCCCTTCCTTCATGCTTTTATGTCAGCGTTGTGCCTTTTACAGAACTTTATAATAATGGGGAGAGAGGGAGCATGTCAAGCCATCCTGGAATTATTTGTTTCTACGTCTGTCTCCCCACTCAAACTGTAAATTCCTTGAGAGCAGAGAATGTATCTTTACTGCTTCATATCCCCAATACCTAGCACAGTTCCTAGAACATGGCAGGAACTCAGTAAATATCCATTCCTTTTGAAGAACCACGAATTCTTTAGAGGAAGTGATACTCTTAAAATTATGCACCTCATGGCCGGGTGTGGTGGCTCATGCCTATAATCTCAGCACTTTGGGAGGCCGAGGTGGGTGGATCACTTGAGGTCAGGAGTTTGAGACCAGCCTGGCCAACATGGTGAAACCCTGTCTTTACTAAAAATGCAAAAATTAGCCGGGCATGGTAGTGGGCACCTGTAATCCCAGCTACTTGGGAGGCTGAGGCAGGAGATCACTGGAATCTGGGAGGTGGATGTTGCAGTGAGCTGAGATTGCACCACTGCACTCCAGCCTGAGCGATGGAATGAGACCCTGTCTCAAAAAAAAAAAAAAAAGAAAGAAAGAAAAAAATTATGCACCTCATATAATGGACCTAGATAGAAGTTGGATGTTAGAACTCATGATCTTTGGACAGTCTCTCCAAACGACAAACATAATGATAAGGAAGAGAATAAGGGGTGGCAAAAGTGGTCAGATACACCTTCCTCTCTCAATATACACACAGTATCCCAGAACACAACTGAACATTTTTTTTTCCTTTGAGATAGTGTCTTGCTCTGTTGCCCAGGCTGGATTGCAGTGGCGCGATCTCGGCTCATTGCAATCTCAACCTCCCAGGGTGAAGCAATCCTCTTCCCTCAGCCTCCCAAGTAGCTGGGATTACAGGCACGTGCACACCCAGCTAATTTTCTGTATGTTTAGTAGAGACTGGGTTTTGCCATGTTGCCCAGGCTGATCTCCAACTTGTGGGCTCAAGTGATCTGCCCGCCTCGACCTCCCAAAAACCGAAATTTTAACTGTAAGAAGAAACATGATAGGATTGTTAAATTGATAGCTACGTGGTTAGCTGTGGATTCTTTTTTGATTGCCTTAAATACATGAAAAGAATGTCAGAATGAATCCTTCATGGCAATCTCAGTGGTTATTCCTCTCCAAAAGCTTCTGCCCATTCCTTTTCATCTCTGCCTTCCCTTATTTCTCACCACCAGCTCCTTTATCACGTGGTTTAGAATTCCACAGAAAGATTGAAGAGAAGCCACTTCTGAACTCTGGATTATAAGAAACATCACCATTTGAAGGCTGCCTTAGGGAACTATGCAGAGATGATGGGTAAAAATCGAGATGTGGAAAAGTTCAAGGCCTGTGAATGCAACTTTACTTCCTCACTGTAAAATAAAATTAGGTTAAAATCAAGGTGTTGGCAGGGGGAAAAAAGATTAGGGGCACGTCTCACAGATGTTAATTTTGGCCACGTACCTTAATGTCTTAATACATTAATATGATACATACATTAATAGCTTAATAGCTTCACACTAATAGATCTTACTAAAGAAAAATGATTTAGGATGGTAGTAAGCAGAAGAAATGATTGGATAAATTTGAATTTGAAGGATTTTTGCCTTTAGATGTTTCCGTGGAAGATATTTTCTGTAAAGGTGATGCCTTAGGTTTATACTTTTCCAAACACAGGATATTGCTAGGCCACATATATAAAGAAAAGGCCAAAAACATATTAAGAAGGAAGGAAGGGAGAAAAGAAAAAAGGGAGGAAGGAAGAAGGAAGGCAGGAAGGAAGGGAAGGCAGGGAGGGAGGAAGGCAGGAAGGAAGGAAGTTAGTTATATTCAGAATGTTCATTGTGATGGATGAGAATGGAATGCTCATGAAGTGCTCAGCTGGGCTGAAGTCACAGGTCCGCAGGTATCAAGAGCAGTGGTGACTCCTGTGAGTAAAAAGACTAACAGGGCTCCAAACAAGATAGGATTCAGAGTTGAGACTCCTACTTGAAGCCAGTAAATGAGGTGGTTCATTTAGGCTGATAAAAAGCGTCTGGGAAAAAGAATGGGGTAGGGGAGAGGTTATGTGATCCTGTGCTCTAACTGTAGCAATTTCTTCCACATATTCTCCATCGTCTGGGGTGATGCTGACCATCACCCAGGACTATGACTTTTAGCCACCTTCTGGCTGAGGATGGTAGAAGGATATATAAGCAGCCAGGCCTGTGGCTGCCACAGTCATAGGCTCTTCCATATGCCCAATAAGACCATGGGACAGCAGCACAAAATGCCATTCTACAACCTGGCTCTGGGCTAGAGACCCAGAGAGCCAAGCAGACATAACCATAACATTACTAGAATAGGAGGGTGGGCAAAGGGGAAGTGAGAGGGAGAGAGAAAACAAAATCCTCTTCCTCCTCACCCTTTCAGTGAGCCTGCCAACTGAAATTTCAGAACACCTGAATAAACCTAAAGCTGAGGAAGACAACCCACCAAAACAACAAATGAAGCATAAATTCGTTTGAAATGAAACTAAATTCATGGAATAGTCTGAAGGATTAATGTAGATAACTACTAACTGTAAGAAGGAAAACAATTTGGGATAAAATACGTAAAAACTAACTCTAATCATACAGTTGGGGCAGGGACAGCATCCAGTGTGTGATTTAGGCATGCACAAGTTGTTTTTCTTTGTTTGGTTTTTTGTTGTTGTTTTTGAGATGGAGTCTCGCTCCGTCGCCCAGGCTAGAGTGCAGTGGCATGATCTCGGCTCACTGCAACCTCCGCCTCCCAGGTTCAAGCGATCCTCTTGCCTCAGCCTCCTGAGTAGCTGGGGTTGCAGGTGCATGCCACAACACCTGGCTGATTTTTGTATTTTTAGTAGAGACGGGGTTTCACCGTGTTGGCCAGACTGGTCTCGAACTCCTGACCTCAGGTGACCCGCCCTCCTTGGTCTCCCAAAATGCTGAGATTACAGGTGTGAGCCACCGTGCCCGGCCTAGGCACGCATAGGTTTTTGTACTCAGAAAGGGGATAGAACTACAGGAAAATTGACAGTTAAGCAAACATGTTAAACTAATTTGTAGTTAAGCAAATATGTTAAAACTATAGAAAAACAATGTCTAGTTTCTAAACCAAAAGAAGAAAGGGTCTACAGAAAATTTAATCAATCTAACAGAAGACAGGAAATGAGGAAAAAAAGCATTGGAGGAAAAGGTTGGTAAAAAGAGATTTCTATCTATATGACCATGCTTTTGAATTATCAGGCAGTCAGTTTTTCCCAAGATTTCCAGTACATAAGCAGTGGTGTACTGGTAAATGTTTAAACTGGCTGGTTGCGGATAGGGGTGGGAGTGGGGCTGATTTTCAGTGTTTACTCGTTTTCATGGTGTAAATATTCCCACCATAGCCAATTTCAAGCTATCAATCTGATATCAACCAGCTCACAGAATTCCTGAAAATGTTAACAGTAATGTCTAGTAAGCTTATGCATGCTGGTTCTAGGATACTATTGTTTACTCGTTTGGGATAGACAGGATTTCCTCATAGTCTTCCTACTGCATATAACTTTTGACAATAAAATAAAAAGATTCAACAATGAGATACCACTACATACCTATTGGAATGACCAAAATCTGGAACACTGACAATACCAAATGCTGCCAAGGATGTGGAGCAAAAGGAACTCTCCTTCATTTTTGGTGGGAATGCAAATGGTATAGCCACTTTGGAAGACAGTTTGCTAATTTCTTACAAAAGTAAACATATGCTTACCGTAGGGTCTAGCAATCGCCCTTTTTAATATTTACCTAAAGGAATTGAAAACTTATATACACATAAAAATCTGCACATGAATGTTTATCACAGTTTTATTTACAAGTGCCAAAACTTGGAAATCACCAAGATGTCCTTCAGTAGGTGAATGGATGAGTAAACTCTGGTATATCCAGACAATGGAACATTATTCACTGCTAAAAAGAAATCAGCTATCAAGCCATGAAAAGACATGGAGGAATCTTAAATTCATGTTACCATGTGAAAGAAACCAATCTGAAGAGTCTATATACTGTAGGATTCCAATTACGTGACATTCTGGAAAAGGCAAAACCATGGAGACAGTATGGAGATCAGTAGTTGTCAGGAGTTGTGGGCAGGGAGGGAGGGGAAGAACAGGTGGAACCCACAGGATTTTTCGGGCAGTGAAAATACTCTGTATAATACTCTACGAATGGATTACATGTCATTATAAATTTGCCCAAACCTATAGAATGTACAACACTGAGAGTGAACTTTAATGTAAACCATGGACTCTGGGTAATTACGATGTGTCAGTATGAGTTCCTCAATTGTAACAAATGTACAGGTGGGGGATGTTGACAGTGGAGAGGCTGTGCGTGTAGGGGGGCCGGGGTATATGGGAAATCTCTGTACCTTTCTCTCAATTTTGCTGTGAACTTAAAACTGTTGTAAAAATAAAGTCTTTAATAAAATAAAACAAATTCTCTGCATGCTACTTTTCTAACTGAAATCATAAGGGAATTTATTATGAAAACAGGACTTGGTGGCATTCTCTTATTAGAGTATTCATCATATGGTTATGGAAGGCTAGTAATTTATGATCCTTGCTAGCAAAGCCAGATCAATAAAGAGATAAATGTCCTCAGCACAATAGAATTTATATCATCCACATGATAATTGACCACTGTGTCACACATTCAATCATTCATCGCATTATCTGATATAACTAGCAGGAAGGGTAATATGTCTATGATTTATTATTAATGCATACTAGTATGAAATTCGTGATCCATCTAACCTGTTACCTGTCCTTGGCAACATAGTATGTACAGTTGTCTACTTCCAGTAATAGGATCCCGCAGAAAGAATCAGACAACCCTGTTTAATGCTAGGCATTGCCTGTTGAATTGGAAGAGATCCAAGAAGTGCCTGAGCTAGTGTTACTCCCTCTCTTCTTTTCTCTTCTCTTCCCTTTCTCCTTGTCATCAGTTCTGGTTCCTTTTTTTTGTTCTGTTTTGTTTTTCTTTCCCCAGAGCACAGTGGCCTGTCTAGAGCAGAGATGGGTGGGTAAGTGGTCCTAAAAGATCCTTTGATGTCACTGATTTGCTGCTATGAGTATATTTTGTGACAGTCATTCTGTATCACCTATCTATGCATGTCAGTGAATTAACAGTGGCTTCAAGCTCAGGACACACCATAATACCAGGGCGGGGAAACAGCAGGTCCCCTGGGGAAACAGAATGGAGAAAATTAGAAAGGAAAACAGAAAGATAACCATTCAGAAACCCATGCATAGAGTTAGTTCCCTAACAATAGGAGTCAAAAGTATTCCAAACTGTCTCCCCCTCCCCCTTCTTTCCCAACCTCTTGGGAACATGTGTTGGTTGCCTGCAACGTCTGTGCTTTACTTTGCAAGGGTTAATTAGATGGCCTATTATTCAGCAAATTAAAGGCTTGGTTGCCTGAGTTCCTTTCAGAAAGGATTAGGGTCTCTGATGAGGCTTTGATGTAATAGATGGAGCTGTTCTGCTCCATCTTGTTAATGGAGGAGTTTTAAGGACTCCCCAGACTCTATTTGGCCGTCAGTGTCTTTATTCATTCCCTTTCCTAAAGAAGAAAAATATTTTATCTTGCAAAAATTCAGTGCTTGAACAAGGCACTGGATTGACATCCTGGGGGTGGGGTGGGGGGTGGAGGGTGAAGTGTTCATTTCTTGTCTAAAATCACACAGAAGCAGCACTTCCTGGCTTCCTTGGGTGGCCACTTCCTCTGCAAAAACCATCTCTCCAAAAAAGCAGCAGGAGCAGTAATTTAGGCCTTGTGGTTCATTGTCCTTTGAAGCTTTTTTGCTAAGAAGTTGGGCAGGAGAGATGACAGGTGACAGGCATGGTAGTGGTTTGTGTCCTCAGGAACATGAACCAAGACAGCCAATAACTGCAAAATCCTACCTTGCATAAAATGTGTGCACCTACATATTATCTGACAAGATTTTTTTCCAGACTTTTTAGTGTGGTTAAGTTGTTATGAAAATCTGGCTTAGTTCATTTTCTCCAATTTGATGTTCACATAATTGGCAGTCAGCCAGAGAAGTGTTTAGTCAATTTTAGTCTTTACCAAAAGAACAAACATTAAGGGAAGGGTACAAAATGTGGGTAGACACAATGCCAGTACGACTATTGCAGCTCTAGGTCATTATCCTGCCTCTTTATCTAATCTCCTAGCCCCACTGTGTATTATGGCCTGACATTTTAGCTGGAGTAATTATTGTCATCATTTAGGGAGCAAGTCAGCTGTCCTTTTGTTGCCAACTCCCACTTGTGTGATGCTCCAGTCTTATTCCTGCCCTTCCCCAACTCACATTGTTGGGATTGAATCGCTCCCTCCTTTGAGTTACTTTTGATTCATGGGCTCAACATTTTCAGCAATCTTCTTTTCATTCTTTGCAATGAATAGCACATGGTAGCTTGGCATCCACCTTTTCTTTCCTTAATCAATGCCAGCATCCAGACATTCAACGTGTCAGGAATCAAGGGGCCTGACCCTATAAAAATTCACCAAGTTGCTGATAGATTTAGCAATGGATTAAGACAGATGGCTCTTGTCTCTTTGTGTTGGCCACCCAGGGAGAATTTTTTTTACTAGATGATGTAAGGCATCAGTTTATTTATTTATTTATTATTTATTTATTTTTATTTTATTTTATTTTTTGAGATGGAGTCTCGCTGTGTCGCCCAGGTGGAGTGCAGTGGCGTGATCTCGGCTCACTGCAAGCTCTGCCTCCTGGGTTCACGCCATTCTCCTGCCTCAGCCTCCCAAGTAGCTGGGACTACAGGTGCCCGCCACCATGCCCGGCTGACTTTTTTGTATTTTTACTGGAGACGGGGTTTCACCGTGTTGGCCAGGATGGTCTCAATCTCCTGACCTCGTGATCCGCCCACCTCGGCCTCCCAAAGTGCTGGGATTACAGGCATGAGCCACCGCGCCTGGCCAACAGGCTTCGGTTTACATTGAAGAGTGTCATAAGAAACAGCCCTATTAAACCCATAGCTGCATTTACTAGAGAGTGATAATATTCATTACATAGCATGGAGGCATTTCTTTTCTTTTTGAGACAGATTTTCCCTCTTTTTGCCCAGCCTGGAGTACAACGGCATGATCTCGGCTCCCTGTAACCTCTGCTTCCTGGGTTCAAGCAGTTCTCCTGCCTCAGCCTCCTGAGTAGCTGGGATTACAGGCATCCATCACCACACCTGGCTAATTTTGTATTTTTAGTAGAGATGGGGTTTCACCATGTTGGCCAGGCTGGTCTCGAACTCCTGACCTCAGGTGATCCACCCACCTCAGCCTCCCAAAGTGCTGGGATTACAAGTGTGAGCCACCGCACCTGGCTGCATGGAGCCATTTCTATGAAAACCCTGGAAAGCTATATCTTTAGTCTTGTTACCTGTCATTACATCACAGTTCTCCAAATTGCTGGTCTGTTTTATTTATTTATTTTTATTTTTATCTTTAAAAAAATGTTTTAAGACAAGGTCTCACCCTGTGGCCCAGGCTGGAGTGCAGTGGTACAATCATGGCTCACTGCAGCCTCAACCTCCTGGGCTCAAGCAGTCCTCCCACCTCAGCCTCCCAAGTGGCTGGGACCATAGGTATGCACCACCACGGCCCCCTGATTTAAAAACAATATTTTTGGTAGAGACAGGGTCTCCCTGTGTGGCTCAGGCTTGTCTCTAACTCCTGGGCTCAAGCAATATTCCTGGCTCAGCCTCCCAAAGTGCTGGGATCACAGACAGGTGTGAGACACTGGGCCTGGCCTAGTCTGTTTTTATATCATGGATTTTAAGAAATATAGAACAGAATTCCTGTCTCTACTAAAAATACAAAAATTAGCTGGGCATTGTGGCAGTCACCTATAATCTCAGCTACTCAGGAAGCTGAGGCAGGAGAATCCCTTGAACCTGGGAGGCGGAGGTTGCAGTGAGCCAAGATCACGCCTTGCACTCCAGCCTGGGCAACAGAGAGAGACTCCATCTCAAAAAAAATAAAAATAAAAATAAATAATATATATTATATATATATATTTTATATATTATATATTTATATGTGTATTATATATTATATTTTATATATATGTATATAACTGACTACATTTTATCTTTCACATTGTCTGACAGAAAGCCCAGAGCCCCATTTGTGGACACCGCTAACAAAGTCTTTTATTTGGTATTCTAATTCCTATTAGATTCCAGGGTATCTTTCTTCCCTTATTTCCCCTTTGCTTCATTTTTCTGTTTGGTTTATAATTGTTTTTTATCTTTCCTTATCACATATACCTTTATTTATTTAAGCACCTATTGTTTTAAGGTGTCTTAAGTTATTTCTGGAACAAGATGGAATATTTTAAAATTTGCATACGTTGGTAGGAATATAAAATGATGCTATGATTTTGGAAAACAGTCTGGTAGTTCCTCAAGAAGACAAACATAAAGTTACCATAACCAGCAATCCAGGGGAAATGAAAACATGTGTCCACATAAAAGCTTGTACAGAAATGTTCGTAGTAGCAATAATTCATAATAGCTTAAAAGTAGAAACAACCAGCTGGGCGCAGTGGCTCACGCCTGTAATCCCAGCACTTTGGGAGGCCAAGGTGGGTGGATCACCTGAGGTCGGGAGTTCGAGACCAGGCTGACCAACATGGAGAAACTCCGTCTCTACTAAAAATACAAAAGTAGCCAGGTGCGGTGGGGAGCGCCTGTAATCCCAGCTACTCCGGAGGCTGAGGCAGGAGAATCACTTGAACCTGGGAGGCAGAGGTTGCGGTGAGCCGAGATCGCACCATTGCACTCCAGCCTGGGCAACGAGAGTGAAACTCCTTCTCAAAAAAAAAAACAAAAAAACAAAAGTAGAAACAACCTAAGTGTCTATCAACTGATAGACGGATCAACAAAATGTGGTATGTCCATATAATGAAACATTATTTAACAATAAAAATGAATGAAATATTAATATATGCTGTGATATGAATGAACCTTGAAAACATGCAAAATGAAAGAAGCTAGTCACAAAAGACCATACATATTATATGAAATGTCCAGATTAGACAAATCTACAGGGACAGAAAGTAGATTAGTGGTTGCCTGGGACTGAGGAGGTTGAGGGAGTATAGGGTGTGAATGCTAATGGATACGGGGTTTCTTTTTGGGGTGATGAAAATGTTCTGAAATTGATTGTGGTAATGGTTGCACAACTGTGTGAATATATTAAAAATAATTGAATTGTACATTTTTAATGGATGAACTGTATAGTATGTGAACTATATCTCATTAAACCTATTATAAGAATTATTAGCAATAATCAGTTGAAAATTTTATTGAGTAGTTTTTGCTGATTTTCTTGCATTTAAAATTTTTACTTAATGCCAGCTATGCACATTATAGTTGCAACCACTCATTTTGAGCAGAATCTACAGACTTGTTTGGGATTGTGGGTCTCCAAGAATAGGGACGGCCTTCTCCGTAGTAGGCAAATTCCCTCTATATTACTTAATTTATAAATTTGAGCTACTAGGCAAAGGCAGTAGTTGTTCAGGAGCAAGTTCTAAGCCTGTGCACATAAAAGCTATCAGTTCTATTTTCGCTTCTCCTTGTCTTTGCATACCCTATCTCCTCTGCCCTTGTCATCTTATTCCACCTGGTAATGAAAATAAATGAGCGAGAGTAGTCAGAAAAGTAAAAGAATAACTAAGAGATGTAGCATCACTACAGGCAATGAAACAGAATGTTTCAAGAAACCAGGGTAATGATGGTCATTAGTGACCTCTTGAACAGAGAGGTTGAATACAATGAGAACTAAAAAGGGAACACAGAATCGGCAACTTAAAGGCCTTTAGGGTCCTTTGAGAGAGATTTTAGTTGGGTAGTGAAGATAAAAGATTTTTATGTTCACAAACATTTAGCTACAGGCCCATCTATTAAATTTAAGTTTGCCTAAGATTCCATTGGTGACCTCTTCTCTTTTCTTTCAACACTCTTGACTTGTCTTCAAGTTCCAGGGCTACAATCATCATCTTTCCCTTTCTATTTCATTAATTCAGACTGTATTCTTCCTAAATGAATTCACTCCTTCCCTCTAATCTACTCTCTAATGTGGTGCCACTTTATTTTCTAAAGCAAATATCTAATTGTGTTATATCCTTGTTCATGAACCTCAGTTTAATGTGGCTAAGAAAGCCCAAACTTACCAGCAAGACCTTCTGGGTTCTGAAAAGATGTTCCAGCCAGACTCTCACCCCATCTCTATTATAACTGCATTGTTCTGTTCTACTCATATCCCTAGATGAGCCTTGCATTTTATACCAATGAACTTCCTCAAAAGGCTACTGTACCCTCCGCTTGGAATGCCTCTTGCCTGCATTTTCTGTCAATACCCCTTTTGTTCTTTAAGACCCAAGGATCATCTCTCATGTGAAACTCTTGCTCCTAGTTAGAATTATTTACTTCGTCTGCGCTATTCTAGTGCTTATACTTTTCAGCCTTAAATTATTATTATTTATGTCCATGTCTATTCTAATACTTCTTTCTAAATCCCATGAAAGCAAATGTCTCATTCCAGGCATTGTTTTCCCTAGGCATTTGCTGTGGCACCATTCACAGTAAATACCTAGTAAGTTTTTGAATGAATCAATGAAATCAATCTCATCTGATTCTCTAAATCTTTCATATGTGTAAGTTTGGTATTACCCCAGAAGCTGATAAGTTTCTTGTGGATGAATATAATGTCTTCTGTTTGATTTGCACTCTCTTAGCCCCAACCCCAGTTCTGGTATAGTCCTGAGCATGTAATGATCATGCACTGTGGAACAGATTGTTCATTTCTGTTAGAGGATGGCTGGGTACTCTCTATTCCTTCTCCTTGTAGGGAGAAGAATGCATACAAATGAGAATTGTGGATTTAATTCAGGGAAGGGTGGCAAGTAGGATCATGGGAAGAAATACAATTCATGTGTCCCTGGGCATTTAAGCCTGGACTAAGAAGCAGACCATGACTGTTTGTCAAAATGGAAATTGATTTTCGAATCAAAGAAATGAGCCAGACATTAAAAAAATTACCCAAAGGCATGAACTTGAAAATGCCAAAGCTCTTTGCTTTTGCTGAATTGCCAGACCCCAGAAATTCCCTTCCCCTCAGAACTTTGAAAGTTCTGATCAGGGCATCTACTATCAAACAGAAATTTGTCCTCAGTGGTAGGAATCAACTGAGAGAAAGTAGCTAACTAATGAGCACAGTATTATTAAAATCTAACTGAGGGAGCCATTGCACATTAACATTTCCTTGTTGCTGTGGTTTGAATGTGTCTCCTCCAAAATTCAGGTGCTGGCTTTGTGATAGTATTAAGAGGTGGGTTCTTTAAGAGGTCGTTAGGTCATGAGAGCCTCTCCGTGGTGAATGGGATTAAGGATTAAGTACTGGATAAACAGGCTTGAAGGAGAGGCAGTTAGTCTCTTCTTGCCTTTTGGCCTTCCACTGTGTGAAGACACAGCATTCCTCTCCTCTGAAGGAGCCATCTTGGAAGTAGAGAGCAGCCCTCACCAGACAACTGAACCTGCTGGAGGCTTGATCTTGGAATTCTCAGCCGTCAGAACTGTGAGAAAGTACATTTCTGTTCTTTATAAATTACCCAGTCTTAGGTCATCTGATAGAGCAGTGCAAAATGGAGTAAGACACTTATGTAGCACTCATACTGCTAATTATCAATAGGTGTACCACAGCTATCTTCCTCCAATGGACTGACTGACTGTATACCCAGCAACTAGTACAGTGTCTGGCCCAGGGAGCTGACATTTATCAATTGTTCGCTATATACCAAATACTAGACATGAATTAACTCATTTATTCCCCACAATAACCTTTCTAACCATTTAAGGTGTGATCTCCCAGGGACCACACCTTCTCCAGCCCTTTGAACTAAAGGGTGGCATTTGAACATAGACTAACAATCTGATAAGCTAGTTGCTGGGGCTGTGTTTATCTGTGCCCTGACTGTGTCACATGGGTGGAGTTGCCTGGAGAAATATCTGGTTAATTGCAAGGTGCTTTTTATAAAAACTCAACCAAAGAAAAAAGAAAGCCAGGAGGAGGGAGAAGGTGATGACTTGGGGCCACCAGTTAACAATCCTTAAGACTGCCTTAATTCTCGGACACAAAATTGACATCTTCTTGGCTGCCACTGTGTCCAGCAGAGGGCAACCTTATCCCCATTCTTTGTCAAATGCCGTAGGACAGTTTGAAAGCGTAGCTTAAACATAAGAAGGAGGTGCCAAGAACAAGAATAAAACAGCCAACTCGGTCAGTATGCCTTCAGTGACTTTTTCTTGGAGATACCTCTCTTTACCTTGAATCTGTGCCCCATCTTGACCTGCTACTTGGCTCTGGCCTGGTTCACTTGGCCCTTCTAACTTCATGTCATTTGTTTAGCACTTTTACATCTCTCTCTCTTTTTCCTCCTCCCAGACTGATTCTGCCTTTTGTCTATAGTATAGTCTCCTTTCCTCTGTTCCTCCTCACTGTGGCTCTCCACTTGTCCCCAGACAAGCAGGGCTTGAGGATCTAGAATTTTTGTTACCACATCTCCTTCCCTAAGAACATAGTCAGTTAGTCTGGGCTTTTCAAACTATTTCATATTGACCAAGGGCTTAGAGATAGAGGGTAAAGAGGTTCCTGGTTGACAGGTTTCACTGAGGCTGCAACCCTGGGGCATTACAGGGTTACATATTGCAGCTCTCTGCCTTACTGGGGGTCTCTGATCCTGGGCCTTGTTTTTGCATAGGGACTTTCTCCAGCCACACTGGTGCACACGTCTTAACTCTAGAGGTAGATTCTGTCCCATTTGCTCAGAGATGTGATATTTTGGCTTCAAACCACCACCCTATATGTTTTCTTTTGTCACCTTCTTTACTTTCTTTGAGTCTTCTCTGGGTGAGAAAAGTAGATGTTCTTTATCCCCAAGTTTCCTGCCCAGTGTCAGGCTTCAGGAAATGCAATGTTCTTCCCTTTCCATTTCCGTCCTACCTTCACTTGAGCTTACTGTGGACCTTTGGTGCTGACAGCTTTGTCTAAAGATCAGGCTCACTTGTTTATCTTTCCAACCTTGCCCCAGGATCTCTGGCAAGATGGCAGCTGCCCTGTCGTCCAGTAGCCATGTGGTCTCTTGCTTTTTACACAGACTCTATTCCCGTTACTCATTTCAAAGGGAGACTCAGCTTCCTGTTCAAAAGCTCTCCATCCTACCTTCTTGGGGATTTTTGTCTTTTAGCAAATACTGACTATTCTCCTCTGATTGATAACCATAGACCTGCCTAACTGAGTAATGCACTCCCAGTTCTCATTTACCTGTTTCAGGGGAGGACCCCACTTCCCCACCCCAAATGTGAAGTTAGCATGCAATTTCAGTTCTCACCAGTGAGACTTTGCAACAGCATCAAATGTGATATTCAGACTTCAGGAAAACTGAAATGCAGTTAAATATTCCACCAAACAGGGGGGTGATGTTTCACAGAAATACCATACACAGCATCAAGTTTCTCATTCTGCCTTCTTTTGAGGCATTAGTCATTTTGAGAAAATGCCTGTTTGTCATAGTCTTGTCTTGCAGAATGGAAATTTTCTTCCAAGGCAGAATACTGTGTGCTCTGATATTTAACCTATAATTAGTGTATCCTCTGGAGGATTTTCTCCCCTTGATTTAGAGGCCTCTTTGTCAGTCAGCCTTCTGTTTGACGATGATAGCAACCACAGGGCAGCACAGTGAATCACACGGCAGGGAAATGCTTGCTCAGATCCAAAATGTTTAGATCTTCTGTAGCAATGGGAACACATAACAATTCAAGTAGCAGGCCTGCAAGAAAATAGCAGGAAGTATAAAAGACAGAATATTTATAAAGAAATGAGAAGAGTCATAAATCCTGAGTTTTGATCTAGTTTTGCCCCAATGTATGGAATACATTGCTCACCCTCATGCTTTTCTTACCCAGTTTACTAGTATTTTTAGTTTTTGCCTTTTCAGCTGCTCTATATCAAGTGTTTTATTCATTGGTAAACAACAGTCAGAGGCTCTTGACAAATAGCTCCCCCTTGCAGGCATCCGGTTTTTTGGTTATGAAATGGCAGTTTACAGGCACAGAGTAGCTGTGTCACGACAGCATTATTGTCTTGGAGCAGAGAGTGCACAGACACCACCAGCTTGAGAGCCCGACCTTGTTTCTTGCTAAGAAATGTCCCGTTTTTGCCTGTTTTTGGCAGAAGCCAGACTGGGAGATTGCTGCAAATGGCTGCAACAACCTGTGTTTAATGTGGTGACACTAATAGATTCTGAGAATTAATCTTCAGCCAAGAAAGCATGATGGAAGGTACTAGAATTTCAAATTAGATAGTGGATTGATTTCCTTCAAGGCTGAAATTTGCTTCCTTTATCTTCTGGTGGACTTTTCTATCATATTCAAAACCACCCATCATGGCCTTATTTCCAGAGTCTCTTGCATATATCTCATGGTATAAATAAATTGTTATTCTGTTGTTTTGTCTGTTAGCACAGAGAAAGCATATCTAAATCCTAATTTTTTAAAAAAGATTAAAAAATCCAGGAATGAATGAAAGAAAGAATTACTTATGATTTGGGGAAAAGTAGTGTATCTAAATCTAGTCCTTGCTACTTGTTTTCTAGAATAAAGGACTCTGGAAAGAACTGAGCTCAGGAAAATATCTCCCCAGGTTGAAACACTGTCTTTTGCAGAAACAATAGCCCTCCAGAGTGTCTGAGATGTGGCAATTATTAAGAGTTCTTACAGTGTCCCCTCAGTCCACTGAGTTGAGGACTCTGGTGTCCATTCTAAAATCATGCGACTAATTGCTTACAACAGAACTTCCAAGGATATCATTTGTGGGGCCCAAACAAACAAACAAAAAGGTCTCTGTGGCTAAGTAAGCTTGGAAACGTGGGCTCAAATAGAATTAAACTTTTTTTTAACCCTAGCTCTTGTAAGAACCTTTAATAGGCTTGTGTGCATTACAAAACTCCAAACTTACTTGGTTTAGAGAATCACCAATGTTTTCCAAACTCTTTTGACTAGGAAACTAGCTTCTTTTTTTGATGGAATGCTTTATGTGTCTAGTGCTTCCCCTAATTCACCTCATGTTGGCTGGCCCCCAATCCCATACAGAGTTTAACATTTTATGCATCCTTTTGTAAAAACTGCTCAGTCCCTGGCTGGGGGAAGATAGTCTTCTTTTGGAATTTGCAATTCCTGGTTTAATAAGCAATACCTGAAATGAATACGTTTCTTAGAACTCCTTTAGTTCTACTTGTTTGTTCTCCAAATCAGGTTAAAGGATTCTATCTTGCTTTATAAAAGGACATGGAGGCTATCAGGAGTTTTAGGAATCCCAGCTGTCAGTTTCATCTTCATCCACTAAATCTCTGCTGACCAGGGATAGAAATGACAAGCCGACAAACTTAAACAGTAAGAATTCTGGGCACCAAACTACAAAGTCTTAAGCAACAACAATTATACCTTAGTTAAAGTTGGTAAAGGGACTAAAGGCAGTAACTGTTGTTAGGCATTCAAAAGAAGCAGCTTAGGAGGTGAAGGTCAGTGTTCTGGTGGCCTCCTGACTTACTGGCTTTGCAGCTTGTCTAGTCTGCTTCTTGCATTGCCGGTCTGGCTCCCCAGTATGACTTCTGCCTTTACTCCCCCAGTTTAGTTCAATTTAGTTCCAAAACTTCCCCCAAGACTTACCTAGCTCAATTCTTACCAGCTCCAGGAAGTCTTCCCTGACTACAGTTCTTCCCTCTGGCCGCGAAGTATTGTTTCGTACGTTGTACCTTTGTCATTTTTAACAACACGGAACAAAGCAGGAAGGGTCCTCCTGTGGGAGTTGAGGAATTGACCTCATCATTGCCAGGACTTGATCCCATTTCCTCACCTCTTAAAAGAGGGGCTAGAATCGAAAATCTCAGTCCCTGTGGCTCTGAAACCCTATGCTTTTGTGCTATTATTTCTTATCCTAAAGATAGAAGCAAACATATGGCTTTTGCTGTTTCTTGTGCTTCTCTTGTCCTTCTGTCTTTCCAATTAGATTGTAGATCCTTGAGGAAAAGGGTCATAGCTTTTAATTAATTTATGTATTGTGGCTAGTTCTAGTGCTGAGTAATAAATGTTTGCTGAGTAAACGATATGATGCTATGCCCTCATATCCAGTAACGCAGGACTTTCTATCTGCTCTTAAGGCATAACTTTCCTCTATTTATCTGTAAAATAATAGTTCCATTTCAGACTGGCTCTTTGCTCCCCATGAGAAAAAAATATAGAGAGGAGTATTTTAGAATAAAGCTATACCTTCAAGTTCTTCATGCCCTTTCCCTAAAAATCCTCCAATGCAGTTGGAGAGTCACAACTCTGCTTAGCCTTCTTCCTCTTTACACTCAGGTTCAGTTGTGCTGATCCTGTGGTATGATGGTATATGGTAGACACACCCGACAGCAATAATTTAACTTGAGCATACCCTGAGGATGATCCTGTATGGCAGTTGCACCTGAATATGTGTTTGGAGTTCAGAGCGTGCCCAACCCAGAGATAAATTCCTTGTCTGTGAGGAACATCTGAGCTCTGGGCCCTTCCTGTGGAACATCAGCATACAGGGGAGTGAGGCTCTTTGTTTTGCGTTAAATGAAGGTTGCCAGGTGGAGGTTGTTAGGAGGAGGGAGTGAAGTGAAAATGCTATATAAACTGCATGCTTTTTGCATGCAGTGGTGGTTCTTCTGTCCAGCACATGGCTACTGCATCATCCCTGTATGTAAGTTTCTCCTAATAAAACCCTATATCTCATTTGTTGGCTCTGGGTCTCTCCTTCAGCCTCTTGAACTTGGTGCCATCCCTACTGAAGTTAATAGGGGTTTATCACGCAGACATTCAACCCACTTCAGTCTTTCTTTCTTACTTGGAGAACTAAGAAAGCACTTTTTTTTGTTTGTTTTTTGTTTTTGTTTTTTTGAGACAGGGTCTCACTCTGTTGCCAGACTGGAGTGTAGTGGTGGGATCATAGCTCACTGCAATCTCAAACTCCTGGGCTCAAGTGATCCTCCTGCCTCAGCCTCCCAAGTAGCTGGGACTACAGGTGTGCTCTGCTAATTTTTAAATTATTTTTAGTAGAGATGAGGTCTCACTATGTTGCTCAGGCTTCTCTTGAACTCCTGGGCTCAAGAAATCCTCCTATCTGGGCTCCCAAAGTGTTGGGATTATGGGCATGAGCCACCACGCCTGGCCAACAGATCTTCTTGATCATTGCTTCCAGAAAGTAGAATGCCTACTATCTTCATTTTTTGGATCTTCAAGAAATAACAGATTTACTCGTTAGTTTCTTCTTTGTCTAATTCTCTGACTTCATTATTCATTCATTTCTTTTATTCCTCCATAATCTAGAGAGGGACCCTCTCTAACATATCAAATGATCTTGCGACCGTGTTGGAAGCCTTGCTTCTCCAGTGGATGCTAACATTGTGAAACAAGCTATACCACCTTTAATTGTGGTCCCTAGACTCCAGTGGAGGCATCTTTTCATAAGGCTGGATGGAGTATGGGTTTCCTAGTCTTTCTCAATCCCTGTTCAAGGAGCTTTACTTACTGAAGTACCCAAAGGACCTTGTTTTCAGGCCTCACCTGGAACACTGCCCTGAGGTACCTATATTAAGGAGGAAGGTAGAGAGGCAGCTCCAGCTCACTTTCCCCTTCACATGCTATGAATTTTTTGTGAATTGCCTCCTTCCACCTTCAGTCTCTGCCCCTGTGTTTACTAATTTGAAGTGTTGCCACTAGTCAACAGGCTATTGAGGGACCCCTGGTCCTTTTGTTCATTCTTTCTTTTCAATGAGCATTTCCTGGTAGTCAGATGACGCTTCAACAATTAACACAGGAAGAAAGCCAAAACAAAAATGTGGGGAGGGTGACGGATGGGTGGGATGAATATTATGTGAGGAAACAAGAAATTTCTCTCCCCATGTTTGGGAAATACTTCAATACTGATATGCCTATTTGGTGATGAGAAACAGACATAATGTGACTTATTAAGAAATCAGTAAGCAGGCTTAGCTTCAGATCCAGCAGTTCCTGGACTCCCATCCTACCCGTTCCCTCTGAGGTTCCTGGGGGTGTGCACAACTACCGGGTGCATCTTCAGTAGGAACTCTCAGAGGACATAGGGGCTATGTTTATCTTAGGAGTTTTTATACACTATTCCTAATGCTAGGAGGACTGGGCCATACACCTATGTTACTGACAGTATAACTACCTCTTGGGTTCCCTCTTTTTTCAGGAAACATGGTTATTAGCATTTTTGCATAATATCTAAGCATATTAACTTTGATAGTTACATATAGAGATGAATATACAAGGAATCAAGGGAAGATTGCTGATGTAAAGACATGAACACAGTCTTCTTAAAGCATATGCACTGATTTTTTATTTTTCACAGAAAAATAATAGATTATACAAAAAGCCCTGAACCTATAAAAGTCAAATGATGTATTTCTTCCCATGGCAAGGCAGAGGTGGTATTTATAGTCCTGCAAGCAGCTGAATGGAGATAATTTAGGTTCCGTTGGCTTTTCTGGCTGAAAGCTCCAGTTCCAATAGATAGGGAATCCCCTGAATCAATTATAAAATGGAGTAACTGGGAGATTTACCGAATATCTTTTCAGGACTAGAAGGTAAGGGATATGAAAGTGTTTTGAACTGAAAACTGCAGAAACCAAAGCTTTTTTGTAAATTTAACTTTTGAGGATTGTTTCAAGAACTCTGCTTAAGTGTTTTGAAAAGATGTTCAAGGTGAGGCTGAAGTTTTTTAACATTTGTCAGTGAATTTCATTAAAAATACGTTGTATGTTAGATGCTGCTGGCATTCCACTGTTGAGAAAACTAAAGACGTTTATTTCATGGATTGGGCAGAATGGCATCCATTTATCCTAAGCCTCCAATGTGGGCTTAAGGACAAGTGGCTTAAAAGGGTAGATGTTAAAATTTCTTCCTCTCGCCAAGGGCAGGTACGCAGAATAGAAATGTGATGGCAGTTGGAGGGATATTCGTCAGATTCAATTTCACTAGAAATTTCCCTGTATCCAAATCATCTTGAATAACACAGAAGGTGCAGCAAAATGTACTGAATCATTGCTTTGAAAAGGATTTTGAATCTAAAACAGAAAGTAGTTATGCCGGTATGATTTTAACCAATTAACCACAGAAGAGTTTAAATGCAACCCAATTTTTATCATTTCGAATGGACTTTTTGTTCCCTGTTTGTATAATTCTATTCCAATTCATCTGAATTATATTGTACTCACTTCCTGTTCTGTGGTTTTTCTGGTTCTTCAGAAGACATTAGAAATCAAGCGCCAGCGTTTCTGTGAAGGTTTCTTTATGATTAGTTTTTTTCCTTTTAACACCTAGATGCCTTTTCCCTGCCGGTAAACAAGGGGCATTTCATATATTAGGATTTAATTGAGGTGATAGTATTTAATTCTACGTATTTCTAAAAGAAAGTATACATACAAATCAACTTGACTCCACTGAAAATATTTTTCTCTAATGAAAATGCGGATAGAAAATTGAGCAGTCTATATTTTTAGTGTTTTGAGTACTTCAAGTTGATGGTACAAATTGTGTTTTCAACTTTGCTTAAAACAAACGAAGACAGATTTCTGATGTTTTAATTAATTCAACTAATAGAGAATTACTATTTTTCTGTTTTCTGGTACATATTAATTAAAGAGAGAGCTGTGTATCATTAACCAATGATCAGGTTTTATAAATGAGCTTTTACCTTCTCTCCATCTCCCATATTCATAGGGGAACAGGGTGTCTAAGATTGTACTTTGGATTGTTTGTTGGTTTTTGCAAACAGGTGTCTTATTAAGGATTTTGAAAGGCGACCTTCCGTCACACATCTCCTTGACCACCCATTTATTAAAGGAGTACATGGAAAAGTTCTGTTTCTGCAAAAACAGCTGGCCAAGGTTCTCCAAGACCAGAAGCATCAAAATCCTGTTGCTAAAACCAGGTACTGTACTCTCTTTCTTCTTTCTCCCTGTGGTTGTTTATAAAAATGTCATGTCATGTGTTTTGATTTGCCCAGCATTATTACTGGTAGTTATTACATTCCTGCATTTTTAAGAGTTTTATTTACATGACATTAAGTACTCCATGCCCAGTGGATGAGAGCAGGAGAACTTCAGAAACAAACTGCCCATTTGTGCTCTTATGGCCAATTTCTCTCAAGTGGCTGAAATCTTACTCTGCCCTGGTGTTCAGTTAGCTTTAGTTAAAAAATCAACAAATATATATATTTACATTTAACAGAAATTTGGATTTTTTTTTTTTTTTTTTACCAATAGAGGTAACCGTATGAAAGCAACCATGGCTGACATTGTGTGAAACACCTTTACTTGGCCATTGTAGACTGAAGAGCAGTAATGCAGGCTGTAAAGTGATTTTGGAAAGATTATGAGCTAAACACCGAAGGCTGTTTCTCTAATGTGCTCTGAGACCATTTTCTCTTTAGTTTCAAACTCTTTAGAGTCGATTTGGTATTTTTAAGTAACATTTTTCAGGTATTTCTTATGCTATCTAAAGCAACTGTGATTCCTACCCTACCTCATCCTCTTTTTTTTTAGAAGGTAGATTTTTATACAAATGTTTATTTTCAGGGGCAAGTGCTTTAAACAGTATTCCCTGGTAAATCTCTAAGAAATAGATCTTCAATTTCTGTCCAGAGGGTGGCAGAATTTCTCTTTAAAAAAAATTAAATGCAAATAAACCTGCTTCCTATGCTCAGCAATTATTTGGTTTTATGAAACCATCCAGGATGTAGATAAGCTCCAGTCCATTATTATTAAAAGAACATTGGAAGTACTGGAGGTGAAGAAAATAAAATATCATAAGTTACAAGTTCTGGAAATATTCATGTATTCTGCAGAAAACTGTTTACTAATCAAAAAGCCAAACATTGGCATCCAAACTCTTGGAGCTGGAGGCGTAGTATCAAGGTGACTATATTTTGCTGATTTTTCTCCACCAGGTTCCCTTTTGGATAGCTCAGAGGGGATTTTTTTTCCTACTTGTTTCCTTTTTCCACTGCCTTTTCTGTTTCTATGGCCTCCCTACAGAGTAGAGAAATGCAGAGAAATTCTTGTGACTTGGGGTCTTTTTGAAGCAGCAGGAACTTGTGTTTAAGCCCCAGGGAGCTGAAATCTCTTTTCTTCCTTGTTTTGGTTCCTATACACCAGCCACCACCCCTACCACCCACCTACACACACACACACACACACACACACACACACACACACACACACACACACAGCACCACCACCACCAAAAATGAAGACGAAGTAAAAGAAAATACAAACCAAGCAAAAAACAAACCCAACATCTAAAGGGTATGAGTCAAATCCAGCATCTCCTCCTTGTCTCCCTGTTCTAGGATTTGCCATGGAATGATTTCTAAGACTTCATTTGCCAAGCTATCTGGATTTTCATATTTGCCTGACTTTGCCTGTCCAGATCTATGCTCTCTCTCTCTCTCTCTTTTTTTTTCTTTTTTTTTCAAAAAGAAAAAGAACAGGCCAGGTGCGGTGGCTCACGCCTGTAATCCCAGCACTTTGGGAGGCCGAGGTGGATGAATCACAAGGTCAGGAGTTTGAGAACAGCCTGGCCAACATGGTGACACCCTGTCTCTACTAAAAATACAGAAAATTAGCTGGGCATAGTGGCAGGCACCTGTAATCCCAGCTGCTCGGGAGGCTGAGGCAGGAGAATTGCTTAAACCTGGGAGGCGGAAGTTGCAGTGAGCTGAGATCGCGCCACTGCACTCCAGCCTGGGCGACAGAGCAAGACAGTGTCTAAAAAAAAAAAAAAAAAAAAAAAACCAAAACCTTTCTTCTTTTACCATAGAAAATTGTAACACCAGCCTCTCTCATCCCCTTTCTCTAATTTCTCTTTATCTTTGTTAACTCCTTTGATGTCAGAAGCCTCATGTGGTGGCAAAGGCTTCTCACAGGGTCTTTGTAATCTTGAGTTTCACTCAGTGGTTTGTGTTTCTTTGAACTATCATTAAAAAAAAATACAACCTCACAAATAGGTATCAACACTTTAAACAGACACTTCCTTAGGATGTGGGAAAATTAATTCCAAAGGAAACACAGTGCACGTAATTGACACTTAACCTGCCACCTCTCTTGTACTATTACTTCCTCTTAGCAACTGGCAAGGAGCTGGCTACATAGATGTTTTTCAGCCCACCAGGAAAAACTCTCAAATATCATTCCATGCTGATAAATCAATATATTTAAAGCTGTGGTTTTTCAAGTTAAAGCAGAAAAAAAAAAAAACAGAAAAATTGAGGTGAGTATATAGATGATTGAGGCCTAATTACCCGCTCATCATTTTTCTGCACAGTTATGGCCACCCGGCAGGCAGTGCAATGTGGTGATTAAAACCACTGGCTTGGCAGGGTGTGGTGGCTCACACGTGTAATCCCAGCACGTTGGGAGGCTGAGATAGGAGGATCACTTGAGCCCAGGAGTTTGAGACCAGGCTGGTCACTATAGCAAGACCTCATCTCTACTAAAAAAATTAAATAAATAATAAAAAATAAAAGAAAAATTAGCCGTGCATGGTGGCACATGCCTGTAGTCCCCGGAGGCTGACATGGCAGGATCACTTGAGCCCAGGAGTTTGAGGCTGCAGCAAACTGTGATTGCACCACTGCATTCCAGCCTGGGCAACAGAGTGAGACCCTGTCTCAAAAAAAAAAAAAAAAAAAAAAAAAAACAACAACAACAAAGAAAAAAATCTATTGCTCTGCCAGGTTTGGATCTCAGGCCAGCCACTAACTGGATAAGTTTTTAATCTTTCTCTTCCAAAGTTTCTTCTATAAAACGGGGGTTATTTTGAGGGTTAAGTGAGTCAATACATGTAAAATGCTTAGAATAATGCAACCTCCATAAATGTTAGTAGTAGAAGTAGTGTACAAGGTCTATTTAATTCTGAGTCTTTCATTTCTTTTTAACACTAACTACCTCTTGCCCATAATCTGTGCAAATTCATCTTTTTACTTACTGTACAAGATCATGAAAATAAACACTACTGAGGTACTGAATGTTTAAAATATCCCATTTTATCTCTTATTCAATATCTAATTTATTCATTCAAGAGGCATTTATACATGTGTATGTGTCAGGCCCTATGCTGAACAGAGGGACTACAAAGGCAAATCAGATGCAGTTCCTGATAAAGAGCTAATAGTCTGGTGTGTGATAGAGACAAGAATCAGGTGAGAACAGTTCAAAATGAAAAGTACCTAGATAAAGGAATGCCTGGGATACCTCTCAGAGCACCTGGTAAAGACACCTAAGTCAGTCTGGGGTTGGGATGGTAGGGGAAGATGCCCTGGAGCTGCTGGGTAGATGATCCTTGAACTGCCCTGAAGAACAAATCAAAGATAGTCAAGGAAAGGGGGTTATTCGGGGTAGAGGGGAAAGAAAGAGCAATGAGCAAAGGGCAAGGCACAAGGGCTAGAGAGAGCTTGGGGAATCTGGTGAACAATTAGTTGACATGGCTGGAGCTTGGCATGGGGTAGGTGGGAGGGAGAGACAAGGTAGACAGGAGCCACGTCACCATGGGCCTAAGGAGCTTGAATTTGTTTCTTAGGTGCTAGGGAGCCATTGAAGAGTTCCAGAAAGTTGTTCTGATTGCAGTATGGAGAATGAAGCAGGGTAAGGCTGCAGCCAGGGAACTAGTGAGCAGATCATAGTAATTACAAATGGCAGAAGATATTAAAATAATGATATTGTCAGGACTTAGTGATGGATTGATTGAGGGAGATTAGGGAAACAGAGAAGTGTGTTGGGGCCTACCCAAACTGGGCTGCCTCCCTGGCCTGGTTCACAATGCAATCATGTAGAAATTGCAAGACACGTCTTCATAGTCTATCAAATGCAATGCCAAGTACTTCCAGATATTACACAAAGCTTCCAGCTTTCTGCCCAAAAGAGAGTTCTTCAATGGTCTAGGCAGTCCTGGGCCCTCCAGCTGTAGCAACTCTTTTTGGATTTGAGAGCTGATACAGAGTAATGAAACCTATAATCTACAGGGAAAACTTTCTTACCATTCCTGCAAAGGTAAGGAACGTTCAGTCCACTTTAGTACTTTTCCCAGGGGAGAGAGAAGTTGGTAGTTTGAGCAGGATGCAGGGAAGAATGCAAGTTCTTAAAGGATGGGGGAACACTTGGACAGGTAAAGGGGAAGGATATATATAGAGAGGGAGACAACGAAGACAGAAGAGAGAGGAAGCAATGGAGGAAGCAAGAGGGAGTGGGTCAGGGGCCTAAAAGGGAGGTTGACTTTAGAAAGAGAGAAACTCTAAGTTGGGAAAGACACAGAAAGGTTAGATAAAAGTACTCAGAAAACTTAGGAGAGGAGGCATTGTGAGGAAATTCATGTTGAATGGCCTTTAAAAAAAAAAAAAAAACTTAGCAAGGTTTCAGAGTTGGGAGTGGATTGTGGACTCCAGGGAATCGTTAAATCTTTGAGATATTCACTATGAGGAATATGATAAAGGGTCAGTTAAAGATCGACATCATGATTGCTTAATAGCATAGAAAACCCAGGTAGAATGCAACTGAATAGCATCCTATTGTAGTGAAGTTAATCAGTGTCTAAGATAATGCATGTAGAGCATTCAGGACACTTGGCACTAGAAACTCTCAGAAAATGCACCATCACCACTGCCGCCTTTCTCATCTGTCATCTCAATTAACTCTTAGCAGCAAGGAGTTAGGAGTAGAGAAAGCAGACATTATGGTCTTCTTCAGGCTAGAGACTGACTTCAGTGGACATGATGAGTGGGCAAGGAAGCAAGGGAATCGAGGTTAGTAGAAGAGTGGCCTTGGGATCTTTGTGGGTAGGGAAGAAAGTGACACCAGACTGGCTTATTGACTTTGAGGCTGATCTAGTCCTGGGACTGGCTATTACAACAAAGATGAAGAGCAGATTCAGTGAGGGGATGATGAGAAAAGGGATTGTAGAACTGAGATCCTAGGAACTTTTGATAGATAATTAGGAACTAAGGATAGCTGAGCTTGTGGGCAACTTCGGTGGAATAGAAAGAAATGTTTTTTAAGTGTTGACAGGTTGAGGAACTCTTAGATCAGATCCATCTCAGTTATGGCACATATTCAAGAGTATTCAAAAACAAGGCTAAGAATCATGGAGGGCTTGTTCACATAGAGCAGAAGCTGTACTGTGCTTGGAGGGCTTGAATTTGTAAGTCCCCTGTCTCACCTCTCCTGGGTCTAACCATTCAGGCTTTTCTGAGTGCTTTTTGGAAAGCCAGGATGTGATTCATCCCTATTTCACTCTCTCTATATATATATATGCATACATACACACACACACACACACACACACACACACACACACACACACTACAGATATAGATACAGGACAGCAGAGGCACCTGTGGAGAAGTGATATTGTACTATTTGAGATTTGATAGATACCATTACCTGATGCTGATTATAGTGTATGTATGACATCATTGGAATTTAAGTTTTTCCAGTAAATTATAATTGTGCCAATGCATGTATTTGATTCAGGTACAATAGAGCAGTTATTAATCCAAGTCTTACTCTTTTAAAGGAGTAAGCCCTAAAGGGCTAAAGAAGCCCTAAAACTATGTGAACAATGGGCTGAAAGTACATTGTTACTTCATCTGTTGGAGGTGTTTTTAAACTATTTGGTCATTTCCTTTATATCAGCACCTATTTCCTTGATCTGCAAAAAGACGACTTCTTCCCCAAACCAGTTTTGCAAATCCCTGAATTCATTAGTATCATCTGGTATGTCATCTCACTGTTAAAGTTCAGAGAAGTAGATTGAAAACATGCTTTGTATCATTTTACAAGGGTTATTGGGAGAAGAGTGAAACCACTCTCTGGAATGTGAGTGGAGGCAGGGAAAGGACTCGATTGTCTCTGCCACGACCATGAACTCAACCGTGAACCTCAGTAAAATTACAAGATCCAGCATGCCGTGCCCCTGCAGGTGGCTTGGTACTAGCTGAAACCACAGATGTTAAACCCTAAATGCCAAGGGTCTGTTCTAAGTATTACTTGGTAGAAGAATTAAGTTGCTGGGTTTTTTTTTTTTCTGCTCTGTTTAATGGGTTGTCATGTCGCCCTTGCAATTTGCCTGAGGCTGATTAAAACAATGACTTCAGCTTTTGATTTCTTTTCAACCTGCAGCAATGACCTTTAAAAACAGATTTCTCACTATTTAACTGCTAGTTTTCCCCAGTAATCCTTGCTCACTCTCTCCCTCTTCTACCTTCAAATATGTGCATGCATGCACACACACACACACACACACACAGAGCACCCCATATTATATACACTAATGGGTTATTGGGTTCTTATGTAAATAAGTAACTCCAGAAAGATTACTTCATAAAGTGCTGAAGAAGCTTAACACACAGGAGGTTAAATATCCTTTTATCTTCCTAACAGAAGAAATAAATCTATACCTTGCTATAATTAGTATCTGCTATCTATCTATACCTATATCTGTCTATCTACAAATGAGTAAGTTAGTTAATATTAATTTTATGCTGGTGTTACTGATTCTTGCCGCTTAGAGAAGTTGGGTATATCAAATACTGTTTAATATGATTAATGATAAGATGCTGATTTATTGGGATTCTGGCCAAAACGGTGCTTAGATGAAAAATGGGCAGATACTATAATAATTTCCACCCAAACAATTCTCCTATTTTAAAATTTATGCATTGTATTGTTTGAAAGACATAGCCTTAAGTTCAGGGTCAAGATACAGCTCATGTAGTTAAAGGTATCCAGCTGCTATCTCTGTCCATATTTGACTCTCAGTAGAATAATGTCATTCCTCAAAGGTCTGCTATTGTTTTTCTCGTTTGAGGTCCATTATTATATAGTTACGGTAAAATAAAAGTCCCTCTTTCATTGGCTCTGTTATCAAAGGGTATATTGAATGGAAATTAAGATTTAGAAGAAATATTCAACATCACTGACCTTGGTGTAGTAACAGTACTCTATTCTCAGTTTTGAGTAATGTTTTCTTTCTTGTATGGAATCCATTGAATGTAGTGATAAGGGAGTGATCCCTGAGTTCTCTCTATGGCCATGGAGGCTTTTGTCCTAGATTCTTGAGGACTGACATCTTTGAGCCTGCACCTTTTTCCTTATTCCCTCTCTCTATTTTTTTTTTTGCCTCTATCCGCAACAAATTTTACTTCCTTTTCCATCTGGAATCTGGTAACAGTGATAGTCATTCTCCACTTTTTGCAGTTCCACTCTTGGACGGAGGAGAGGGTTCTTATCCTGGGTGTGGAGGAGCAGAGGCAGAGGTGACCTTCACAATGGTGCTGACACAGGGTGACTCTCTAAGAAGCCAGCAGGCATTTCTCAGTGCAGAGATTAACTTCTTAGGAGTATATTGCTTGTTGTTATTATTATTAGGCTGAATTGATAAGCTAGAAGAATTTGTTTCCTTCTCATGTTTGAGTTATGATTTAGAGCACCTTTTTCTATTACTTGTTCTTCATCATAGTTGGGGAGTGAAAGGAAGAGCGTATCCTGTCTCACCTACGTGAAGTTCTTGCAGCTCTGTTTGTACCTACCTACATGGAAGCCTCCACTTCCATAGGCATAACTGGCAGACAGAAAGAGGCTAATTGATTAATGAGTCACTTTTGGGCAAAATATGTTTGTCAATATAGTTCATAGGACTAGCAGCTCAAACAAAGAAGCTAGCAGGCCCAGTGATGAGATATTAGAGAACAATGACACAGAAATGGTTTTAACCATAATGCAGATACAGAGATTAAACTAGAGTGAAAGCTGCAACACTTTAGGAGTTTATTTCATGAGAATAATTCTTCTAGTGTTTAAACCAGTTTGGTGTCCTCTAAAGCTCCTTTCCCACTCATTGGCTGGGCCAAAGATTTGAACAAAGACCCCCATCCTCTACCTCATCTATGCCCACTGTTGTCTTAGGGGAACTCCCAGCCTCTACCTCTGGCTCTGTCTTTCCCGTTCTTCAGATTCTATTCTTACGCTGCACTCATTTCCTTGGACTTGATGGTACAGACTTGCCCTCATTCCCACCCTACTTGATCCATGGATTCAGGCACCAGTTTCCCCTTTACCTGATCCCTGAAACCTAAGGCCCGTCCTGCTCTCCACAGTCTCCCGCTCCACTGCCACACCAAAAGCAAACTCCAGGAACCAGTCCAAGCCAAGACTTTCCCTCTAAGCTCCAACTCGCAAACTCTGTTTGTCTGAGAAGCCAGCCTTGGCAGCCAACATACTTACAAACTCATAAAAACAAGTAGGAAATCTAAGAAAAGCAATATAAACTTTACTGGAATTTGAAAACGTCTTCTGAGCCATTAAAACTACAGTGCCTTACCACATACTTTTGATTTAGTAGAATGTTTTTTGCTGTTTATCCATTCATTTATCTATGTCTCCATTCCTCTGAGCTTTGGAATACTCGATCCAAGTAGCTTTTAGTTGGAGATCTGTAATTTTCACATTAAACGAGGAATTCTTCAGCAAAAATTGATAATAGGTCCTATTCTCAAGTAGGGCACTAGATGGAGCATGTGAATTTAAAGGAAATTAAGATCTATAGTTACTAATGACACAAATCACTTAACTCAATAAAATTAAAAAAATAAACCAAGTTTATTTTTATTAATTTCAACTAAAAATAGAGAAATATAAAACAACGTAACGCTTTTTATAAGCTTATGCAAAGTCTAGGAAAATGTTTTTAAAGGAGATAAAAATTGAAATAAATAATGCTTTTTCTCTACGATAGACCCTCCAAACCCCATAGCCAGAGGAGGAAAGTTAAGCGGGCAGCAGTTTCCAAAGAACACTAGTTGTGGAAGGCAGAAATAGTGCTACACATATATATATTTTTTCTGGTTGAGAAAACGAAGTGGTCTTTATCAGAGTAGAGAAGTCTTGCATCTACATCCACTTCTAGATTGCCTACTTCACTTTTAGGAGCAAATATTTCTAAAGAATTTGATCACCTGTAAGCATGGAAAGAGGCCACACATTGCTACTAATAGCAGTTAAAATTTTTAAAAAGTTATTTTTTGTTAATACAATATTATTGGGGAAGATTTTTTACAAGAATCAAGCTCAGATTTGCAGACAACATCTGCATGATTCTTGGAAGTTATATCTGTGAGACAGATTGGCATAGCACACAATCTCCTTCAGGCTCAGAAGATACCAATGTTGATCCTAGTGATATTGCATTGTGTATATTCACACTGAAAATTAAAACTTTCTACTAGACTGCATCTATTTGTGAGATTGCAAGTAAGGTTTGGTCCATGCTTCCATTTTTAGTTGGCTATAAAAATGTCATCCAATGTGAAGCTTGGCATTTCTGTATGCAGCTCAGGCTGCCATTAAATCCAGGTCAGGAGTTACTGAAGGAAAAAAAAGCCTGGAAAACTCACCATTGGTTCAGTGGTATTTTGAGTTCTGACTTCCTTCCCCAGTCTGCCTGTTACAATTTACTTCTCAGAGTCTTAAGATAGCTGCTCCATGCATTCTGACAAGGGTATTTAGTTGTCTTCAGTGAGGAGTGGAGAGGGCTTACTCCATCTTGACCAGAACCAGATCTGAGGTAATTTTTTAATTATTGATTTTCTTTGTCAAATGATGTGCAGAATATGCAATTATAAGATATAAATGTAGGAAGGAGACAAACTAGCTGAATTTAATATGGTAATTTAATTATTTCATGAAAATGTGGTACAATTTTTTTTTTTTTTTTTTTGAGACGGAATCTTGCTCTGTTGCCAGGTTGGCATGCAGTGGCTTGATCTCGGCTCACTGCAACCTCTGCCTCCCGGGTTCAAGCAATTCTCCTGCCTCAGCCTCCTGAGTAGCTGGGGCTACAGGCGTGCACCACCACGCCTAGCTAATTTTTGTATTTTTGGTAGAGACGGGATTTCACCATGTTGGCCAGGATGGTCTTAATCTCTTGACCTTGTGATCCACCCGCCTTGGCCGCCCAAAGTGCTGGGATTACAGGCGTGAACCACTGTACCCAGCCAGTATTTTGTTTTTTGATTAACTTCAAGCAAAATTATTCTTAGGTTTTATGTGAAGGGGATTTTGATCGGAAATATGTATCCTCCTGCTGTTTTATTTAACAAAATGGCTAGCTAGAGGCAGGCAGCAGCTCTGAGTTTTAGTAAAAATCTGTATTACAAACCAATTTGATTTTTCTTTGCCATCACCAATATGTAAAGTCACAGATAAATAATTCTGTTTAATAATTTTAAACTGCTTAGGTTATAAATTTGATTTGATTAAATAAAAATTAAGCTTCATTCTACTTTGGACCTTTATATGAATTAGCAGCAAAACTGGTTCTAGGACTGGAGATGACTAATAGCATGCTTCAAATATCTCTTTTCAAATTTATCAGTGATGGAGATTGAAAGGTAAGATTTAACTTAATAGGCTAGAAAGAGAGAAATCCATTTTATTTGGCCATTAATATTGCATTATAAACTCAAGACTCAATATGCAGAGCTGATAAGTTTGCTTCTTCCTTTTTACCTACTTTTGTGAAATGCATACCAAAGGGTGGGGTGTACATCAAGATTCCATGACTTCTAGCTGGTACTTACCATAAAACTTTCAGTCAACACCAGCTTCTAGGATCTAGCTAGATAGAATTGTATTGGTGGGTGATATCCTCATAAGCTGTGATGTTGATGGGCACAAAAGTGACAGAGAAGAATCAAGAAGTTATGCTTCTGGGCTAGTGAATTTACAGTATGTAGGACAGTTTATGTATGATTTTGTTTAGTCAATGATATTCAGAGTAATGTGTGTAGTTATGCAAATTGTTGATTCCAAATGTTAACAAGGATGTAAGAATAATAATTAGTACATGTTTTCAACTTTATTGCATTTTTATATCCATGACTATATGTGCTTTCACAGCTACCTGGGAGATAGACAGATCAGTTATGAGTAATTCTATTTATAGATGAAGAAAACCGATATACTGGCTGTTAAGGGATTTGCTGAGTGTCTCATACCACATTGCTCGCAACTCTGAAACTAGGGTCCAGAGCTCTTCTAGCCAATGCTTTCCTCCTAAACCGCATTGAGGAGTGATGAGTTTATGAAAGGAATTACGGGAAGGCCTACTTTGACCTTGAATTAATTTTAAACCTTAAAGAGCTATATTTTAGTATACCAGAGGGGATTATTACTGATTATCAAACAAGATTTTTAAATCCTTAGTGAACAGTGCCCTCCAGGAGAAAAACTCACATATATACACAAAAAGATGTGTATAAAGTTTTAAGTGTTGCATTATTACTAGTAGCAAAAAAATTGGAATCAGCCTAAATGTTGATCAACATAGGACTGAGTAGGCCGGGTGCAGTGGCATATGCCTGTAATCCCAGCACTTTGAGAGGCCAAGGTGGCAGGATCACTTGAAGCCAGAAGTTTGAGATTAGCCTGGACAACAAAGCAAAACTCCATCTCTACAAAAAATAATTTTAAAAAATTAGCCAGGCACAATAGTGCATACTTCTAGTACCAGCTAGTTGAGAGGCTGAGTGGGGAGGGTTGCTTGAGCCCAAGAGTTTGAGGCTGCAGTGAGCTATGACTATGCCACTGCATTTCAGCCTGGTGACAGAGCAAGACCCCATCTCTAAAAATTACTAAATAAATAAATAAAATTTTAAAAACAACAACCCCCCCCATCGGACTGAGTAAATAAATAGGTACATATTCATAAAGTATAATACTACCCAGTGATTAAAGTGACTGAACTAGGTAGGTAGGTAAGTGGGTAAGGTAGATAGGTAGATAGATAGATAAATAGAGTTTAAAAATCATAATGTTTAATGAAAAAAGTAAGCTTACAGTATAAAACCTAAGTATGATATCATTTTTATAACTAAACATACAGAACCTGTATATTGCTCATGGGTATCTATAGGCATATGACCAATATTTAAAAATAGACTGGAAGGAAACCCATCAAATAGTGGTCACCTCAGGAGAGAGGAGTGGGATGGGACAAGGGTCACAAAGGGATTTCACATGAATAAGAAAAAACATAAACAGTGATCAATTATTTGGTATTTACTATATTAATCTCTGAAAGTGTTACGTAGGTTAAAAACTATCACAAAAGTTGGGGGTGGTGCTGGTAGATAAAGCAAGGGGACCTCAAGGGAAGTAAGGCACTTATGGCTATACCCCAGTGAGAACTATGTGCCTGACACTGAGCAGAAGTCAGAGGTGTTTATTCTGGAAGTGCTGTCTTTGGCATTTAAGAAAAGCAAGTATGTGTATTAGGTGGGCCCATTTGGTAACACTCCTCACTCTGGCAGGAAGTAGACTTGAACTATGGAGATCACTTTATCCCAATAGTTCTACAGTGGCAGGAAAAGCCTGGGGACCTGGACTGGACTTCCTGTCCCTGTCTCTGAAGTCTCTGAACATATCACGTGATAAGATTGTGAATGAGCCATGCTTGCTGCCCGCTTTCTGCTACATTATTTGCTGTCTTAATGCTTAAACTCTCTTGATAAATTTCTAGGCATGAGAGGATGCATACCAGAAGACCTTATCATGTGGAAGATGCTGAAAAATACTGCCTTGAGGATGATTTGGTCAACCTAGAGGTTCTGGATGAGGTACTAAATATTTAGTAGACAATTCTCATTGAAGACATTTGTTTCATGTGAATGGTCTGAACTTTCTGTTGTAGACCATGTCCTCCTAAGGTCATTTGAAAATTTAATTGTTTGTGTAGCTATGGGATGAAGTTCAGGGAGCATTCAGTTGCTGTGACTATGATCCTGTGCTGTGTTTATTTAGATAGCCCCTAGAATGATGAAGAGAAAAGGATTTGGATTTTTGCAATAAAGCTCTTTATATTGTAGCCTTAATGATGGATTATATCAGCTGAAAATATTTTGTTTGATAAAATTTGATAAAATATTTCAATTAACCCTTAAGAAGTTGTTTGTTCTTCATAAGAAAGAGCTTCATTTAGGGAAATAGTGAAGTTAATATAGCTTGAATTCTAAATTTGAAGTCTGTGATAATCCCCATTTAAAATATGCATGTTTAATAGAGCTGTTAATTGCACTGGACCTGTTTATGCTGAGTCTAACTCTGGGGATTGTTACCTTCAATGTCTAAATCACTAAAGTGTAATACAAAGTGGTTAATTCTGTATTTATGCCACCTAGGTTTTAAGTGCAGTGCTTTGAGAAATTAACTTACCATTCTGTCGGTGCTCTATCAGTAGGAACAGCCTATTAAATAAAATTTTAAATACAACATTTTGACTGGTTGAGATGAGTTTTTTTTTCACAATAACAAGTAAAATCTTTGTTGGATATCTCAGTGTCTTTTAGCAAGTCCTAAGTGGGCCTAATTCTTTCAGTGTATTCCTATTTTTTCTTTCAAGGCAAATATTGGCATTGTTTTAATGAATTGGGATCATTAGGGTCATTGTATGATTTAAATGGACTACTTTCATCGTTTAGAGAAAGATGTTCTTGGAAGAATAAATTTGTTGTCATTTTTAGAATCTATCCCTTGACTGGGAATAATATTTACCTCAATACCATTTATCCTCTTCTTAGGATACAATTATCCATCAGTTGCAGAAACGTTATGCAGACTTGCTAATTTACACATATGTTGGAGACATCTTAATTGCCTTAAACCCCTTCCAGAATCTAAGCATATACTCTCCACAGGTAAGGGATGTTTTAAGAGCATACTGCTCCTTAATAGGAAATTAAAACTCACAAGGGCAAATGAAGAGAAAGAAAAAGTAAGAATAAAATTATGCTACCCTAGATGTATATACTCCAAACTGCAGATAGTAATGTAATACAAATGGAATTTTTACATCTTGAGAATACCTTTTTAAAGCAAACTATAGCAATAATAGTTAACATTTATTGCGTGCTTACTGCGTGTTAGACACTGGGTTATCTCACTTTTTCACACCCTGTGGGACAGGTACTGTTGTTAAACCTAGTTGGCAGACAGGGAGACTTAGCATAGAGTGAACTCCCTCTTACTAGCTCATGAAGCCAGTAAGTATAGAAGTGAAATTTGAACTCAGTCCTGCAGGCTCCAGAACCTATACCCTACAGTCTTCCTAATGCAACAAGTACCCTAATAAGTGACAGATTCTTGGTTTCATGGGCAATAGGTAGTGGAGTATTAGATGGTCCAGGGGAGAGTTTCCTTTAATTATTTTTCCTTCAGTTTTCCAGACTTTATCATGGGGTGAAACGCGCCTCCAATCCCCCCCACATATTTGCATCAGCAGATGCTGCTTACCAGTGCATGGTTACTCTCAGCAAAGACCAGGTAAGAACTCACCTTCCTTTCCTACGGAGTCACCCAGTTAAGACATGTTGTGTCTTCCTCGTCAACTCCTAAGTCTTCCTGAAACCTTTCCATTCCGGTTGCTGGTGCTGACCCAAAGAGACAGGAGATGAAGTGGCAGCTCTGTGGAACTTGAGCATAGGTAAAGCCATAGCATCGGGAGAATGTGAAAATGCTTTTCAAGAAACATAAAACAGTCACATGAGGTGCGCTCATTTTCTCTGATAAGATATAATAAAAATGTCTCTAATATGAATATGATGAGAACAGTGCAAACGCAACCTGATTACATGGCAGTGATTGTAATAAAAATAGCATATAGAATGGCATAAGTGAAATTCTTTCCTATTAAGGTCTTAGAATTTTCATGATTCAGTCTTTTTTGTATGAAATATTGCACAGAGGTTGACAGTGACCATGCACCACACCATTTAGCTGCTGAAAAATTGTGATAGATTGGGTAGAGAATGAACAAACCTTAAACTCAATACTAAACACAGGCTCATCCATTTTACCTTTCTAGCCTTCTAATTCACATTGCTCATATATCTAATCTTTCATCCCTTCTTTACTTTCAATAGGTATATTTTTCTTTGTTTCTTTATTCTGTTTGAAATAGAAGTAGTCTAATTTGGCAAGCAAATTTTCTGAGGGTATCAATGTGTGGATTTCCTAAGATCTGGAAAAGTCCCAGCTTTGGGGTTTGTTGAGTAATAGATGACATTATAACAACATAGATTATAAAATGGAATACATGGATTCACTGTAGCTTAGAAACTTAGCTCTTCCAAATTCTTACCTTTCCCAGATACTTGTAAAATGTCCATAGATTTCATAGGGAGGAAGTAAATGGAGAGAAATATATATCGTTTTTAAGTTAAGAAGTTGCCTCACTGTGTTGTCTTTTTTGACACCACTTCTGACACCAAATGTTGTATTTTTTCCAGCATGAACCAATTCTCCAACACCAACTGGGTGCCCAACAATTCAGTTCAATTCTGACACTACCTGGAGTTAGCACAGACTCCACAGATTAAGCGATTAGTGCCACAAGACTGTTCCCACTTTAGATGCCAGCTGCAAATGGAGTACCTAGGCTTCTCACACATCTGCCCAGCCGAATACCAGTCCAGGGGTTCTTGTGACTCTCTTTAGGTTTGATAATTCACTAGGAATGACTCAAGGAACTGAGGAAAACACTTTACTTACATTTACCAGTTTATTATGAAGGGTATAACTCAGGAACAGCCAAATAGAAGAGACACATGGGGCAGGGTGTATGGGGGGAGGAAGGGGGCATGGCACACAGAGCTTCCATGCCTTTTCTGGACACATCCCCCTCCCAGCACCTCAATGTGTTCACCAACTCAGAAGCTCTCTGAATCTCCTTGTTCAAGAATTTGTATAACTTAATCTTTAAATCCCCTCTTCTTTCTAGAAGTTGGGAGGTAGGGCTGAAAGTTCCCACACTCTAATCACATGTTTGGTCTTTCTAATGACCAGTCTGAAGCTGTCTAGGGGGCTCACCTTGAACCACCTTCTTAGGAATAAACTGAGGTATGGTTGAAAGGGGCTCCTTGTGAATAACGAAAGATACTCCTACCACTCTTGGAAATCCCAAAGGTTTTAGGAGCTCAGTGCCAGGAACCAGGGACAAAGACCCAATATATAATTTTTATTATACCACATCCACTAATTTCCTTTATACCTAAAGAGCTCCTAGAAATGAATGATAAAAATATCAACAATACAATAAAAAATGGGCAAACAATACGGACAGGTCATGTAAAAGAAAAGCCTCTTAAGCATATGGAAGGAGGCCTCATTCATAATTTTTAAAATGCAGAATAAGGCTGCACTGAGATACCATTTTTTTAAGCTATTAGATTGTCAACAATCTAACATTCTGTTGTTGAGGCTACAGGAGAGCAGGCACTTTCACATATTGGTATAGTCCCTAGGAAAGCAATTTGGTAACGTGTGTCAAATTTACAAATGTATTTACCTTTTGATCCAACATCCCCATTTCTAGGAATTTCTCCTGCAGATGAACCTGCATAAAAATATAATGACTTAAGTATAAGGTTATTCATTGCAATGTTGTTTATAATTACAAGGAAAAAACTCAAATATCCCAATATTGGACAGATTAAACAGATTATGGTACATATGTACAATGGAACAACAAGTAGCTATACAAAAGGTTGAAGAAGGTCTCTATGTACTGAAATAGGAAGATGCCTAAGATCTATCTCTCAGTGAAAAATTAAGGTGTACAGTAGTGGATGTTATATGAAGCATGCAAGTTGCTTCTGTGCTATAAATTCTTCACTTGACGCTCCATTTTCTGTGCCAGTGCATTGTCATCAGCGGAGAGAGTGGCTCTGGGAAGACAGAAAGCGCCCACCTGATTGTTCAGCATTTGACTTTCTTGGGAAAGGTATTGACTAATCTGCTTTACGTATTGTGGCGAGAAGTTCCTACAGAGTAACTGCATATTTGATAAATGATGGAAGTGCTGGGTTTTTTTTATTAAGGCTTACATAAAGACATTCCATCTTTGCTACGTTTGCCTCCTGATAGCGAGGCCTCTTAAGATGTCAGCATGCTATCCTTCCTTCACGTAGGGAGGAGAATAATTCCAGCACAAATTTACTAGATTATCGGCAATTAATTTTCATGTTTTCAATGTAATAGAAACATTCAGCCATTAAGTAGTAAAAATGGTTAAGCACTAGGAACAGGATCAGGGAAAGCCACTATAGTGATTAAAAGGATGTAAAATAGAAGCCTTTGAGCAAAAGTTGAGGGAAATGAAAATTTTCAGCTTGGTGAAATCAATATTGAAAGAATGAATTCAAATAGTCTAGTAGTTACTTACACTCTGAATTAGTGTACTAGGTGACTAAGAAAGAATGTATGGAATTTTTATAGATAAGGTTTATAGACTATTACGATAAATGCCAGAAAAGTTACGGGATCTATTTAAAAATCTTTCTAAACTGGTTAGGTGTTTTATCTGTCAAGGATTTTAAATGAAATATGGCTGGATTTTTAAAACTGCTGTCCTAATCTAGCCAAATCCGATTCATATGCAGATCTGGGGAGTTGCTCATATGAGAAAATGATGCTGGTGGTTGATGCTAACGTCCCCCAAATGGGGCTCTTTGTAAAAAGACCATGTGGATTTTGGTGGGCAAGGGATGGTGCCTGGCAACTTTGCTGGTGTAATGTTTCTGGAGTCTCTTCTTGACCGTTCTCTGTTTGGCACAGGCCAATAATCAGACCTTGAGAGAGAAAATTCTACAAGTCAACTCCCTGGTGGAAGCCTTTGGGAACTCATGCACTGCCATCAATGACAACTCGAGCCGTTTTGGAAAATATCTGGAAATGATGTTTACACCAACTGGAGTTGTGATGGGGGCAAGAATCTCTGAATATCTCCTGGAAAAATCCAGAGTTATAAAACAGGCAGCGTAGGTGCACTACTTTATCACTGTGTTTTTGCCCTGCAGTAAAAACTGGGAGACTTTGGAAATTTTAATGGTTCAGTTTTCATTCTTGTTCTTAACATTCCCCTACCCTCCCCAAGGGCAAAGAATTATTTAAGCAAAGGATCAGTGGTAGTTTTTGACCTAAAAGAAATTAATGGAAAGAGTACAAAGGGCTGGGGTGGGCGTGCTTTAGGGATGGGTATGCTTGTTTCTCCTGAGTTGGTTGTGTCAGGTAGAATTTAGCAGCATTGCAGACATTTTTTAAAACCCTGAGGCCCCTTAAAATTGAACTTGTTGGTTAAAAAAGAAAAAGACACCAAGAATATTTCACATGTTAATTTTTTCCTTAGATTGAGACAGATAGAGAAAACAATTATTCTGTTTTTAGGGAAAGCATTTGGTAATAGAAATCAATAGCACAGACTTTGATCTGGGTTCAAATGCAGGTTCTGATACTCACTGTGTGACATTGGGCATTTCACTAACCTTCTCTGTGCCTCATCTGTGGAATGGAAATGCTACTAGTGCTGACCTCATGGGTTTGTTGTGAGGATTAACATGTTCATTTATATAAAATTACTTAAAAGAATGCCTAGTGTGGTACACCCTATCAGTGTTAGCTACTCTTCCTATGATAATAATATAACCACTGGTGTGGTACATACTATCAGAGTGTTAGCTACTCTTCCTATTATAATAATAACTCTTCATATAATAATAATAGCTATTATTATAATTGTTAATAATAATAGCTATTATTATTATTGTAGGACACCAGAGTTTCTCAGGAGCATGGCTCCGCACTTCCATATTAATGCATTATTGAATCCCTGCTGTTTGCCAGTGCTGTGCTTTGTGTTGGCTTGTAAGAGCAAACTAAATAAAAAAGATTCTTGTATTCACGGGGCTTAGAGTATGCGGTATATGAGGAAGCAGTAGGGGAGGATCACAGGCATTAAACAAGTAAACTTAAATGTAGAACAATTGTAATAAGCACCAGAAAGCAAAGTAGGTGCTATTAAGGTGAAACGAGAGAAGGGAACGACACATAACCTAGTCTAGGGAGAAAGAGGGGCTCCCTGTATATGAGATCACAGGATCACCAGGAGTTAGGCAACGAGGTGGGGACCAGAGCAAGGAGGAAAAGTGGCAAAGATAAGACTGAGACCAAATCATGCAGGGCTTTGGAACCAGGATAAGGATCTCAAACTTTTTTCTAAGGGCAATAGGAAGCCACTGAACGTTTTCAAGCAGGGGAGTCACCATACCCAACTTTCATTTTGAGATGATCACGCTAGCTTCAATGGGGAATGGATTGGGGGAGATGCAAGGATTGTGTTGACATGATTAGGAGGCTGTTGCCAGATTCATGTGAGAGAGAACGCTGGCCTAGACTAAGGCGGTGGCAGTGGAGATGGAGAGAAGATGAGGAGTCTGAGAGATACTGTGCAAGTAGAATTTACAGGAATTGTTCTGGGTTGAAAACCCAAGCATCTTCCTCTATCATGTACTTGCAGTTTCCTCACGCAGTAGGGACTGGCATGAACATTAAACAAATGAAAGACAGAGTCAGAGTCATTTACGCTTCCCTGTGGCTTTTTGATTAATTTTTATGAGGTCCCCTGCTTTTGTCTCCCCAGGTTAGGGTGGTTTTAAAATTTAGGGAGCTACCTCTGACAGAATGGAAAGCATAGTGTTCTGTGTTCAAATGTAAAGTGGTCTTTTACAAAGATAATGTGAGGAGAGTTCTAGGTCACTTAATGTGATATGTTGCTTATTAATGTAAATATTCATATACCTTACTTTCCTCATATGCAACATGGGCATAATAATGTCAACCTCACAAGGCTGTTATGAGAATTAAATGAGATGAAGAGAAGATGGGGCCTGTCCCAGTCCTGTTCATCTAACTGTTGGGATTCACCCCCTTCTGGGCACACTGTAGGGTTCCTGTGTGGCTGGGTGTGGTCATATAACTGGTTCTGGCAAGTGGGCATGTAATGGCAACCCTCCAGAGTCTGGCACAGTGTAAGATGGGGGCTGCTCTGCCAGCCACAGCCCATCAGTGACTGCAGTGAGCACAGCCCCACCGCTGACCTGCCATGGACATGTACTCTGAGCAAGAACTAAACCTTTATTGAGTTAAGCTACTAAGATCTGGGGGTGTTTATTATCATAACAAAGCCTAGCCAATCTTGACAGATAAAGGGATGAAAATGAAACTGAAGTGATGCTAGGGATGGATGTCGGCAGGAAAAGCTTGGAAGAATTGAGAACTAGATGGATCTGTAGAAAAACTAAAGGAATGTAAGACTAAGATGGGCCAGCCAAAGCCTGCACATGTAACAGAGGTTAAAGAACAAGTGACATTCATCTCAGGCCTTTCGGTTCCTGTCTCAGTGAAGGGTGCCACCATCACTAGATGCTCAAGCTAGAAATCTAGGAGGCAGACTCTAGGTTTCTTTCCGTCACCATCCTCATTCAGTCTATTAGGATGTTCTTTTGGTTGTTTCTCCAGAATATATATAATATTTAAGCTTACCGTTATTCTCCATCACCACTACCATTACCCTATCCAAGCTATTATGCTTTCTCACCTGGACCCCCTCACTGGTTTCCCTGTAGCCATCTTGGCTTCTTATAATGACACTCAGAGAACATGAATCCCTTTAGTCCTGTATCCCTGGCACCTGGTATAGTGCCTACCGTGACTGGCAATTAATATGTTTATTCATTGAATAGTCACATTTTTCTATTTATATATATCCTATAACATGTTGTATATCTTAAATATACACAATAAAATTTATTTTTAAAAAATAAAAATAAGGGCTGGGCACAGTGGCTCACGCCTGTAATCCCAGCACTTTGGGAGGCCAAGGCAGGAAGATAGCTTGTTTGAGACCAGCCTGTGCAACATAGTGAGACTCTGTCTCTACAAACACAAAAACCTTAGTGGGGGATGGTGATGTGTGCCTATAGTCATGGCTACTTTGGAGGCTGAGGTGCAAGAATTGCTTGAACCCAGAAATTTGAGGCTGCAGTGAGCTATGACCTCACCACTGCACTCCAGCCTGGACAACAGAGTGAGACCCTGTCTCTTAACTAGATTTATTAGTTAAGTGAACAAGTGAGTGAGAAATGGCAAGTAGAGGCATCTAGAATACAGGGCAGGGATAAAGAATGTCACAGAAGGGCTTTGACAGGATAAACAACCAAAGGAAGATGAGGAGACCCAGGAGAGGCTGAACAGAATGGGGGCCATGCCACAAAGGCGGATAAGGGGAGAAGAAAGACGATTTCTTTTCATGGAGCTAGGTTGACCAAAGAAAAGATTTGCCAAAATCCAAGGGTATCTACAGAAGAGACTGTCCTCCTCCAGAGGAAAGAAGGGGATGTGGAGCAGTGCTTTTCAAACTCTGTGCTAAGGGACCACTTTTTAAAAAAAATCTCCAACCCATTTTGAACTAATACCTTTGTAAAATGCAATGCAAATTAATTATCAGAAAAATTATCATGCTCTTGGATGTCATGGCAATGTCACTTGCTATAAAACGTCTAGGCATGTACTTACCAGTTCCTTCTCTTGTTAGAAACTGACAGCAGTCCACAGGCTATGCTCAGAGTAGCACCTATCTGAAAGGACCCTGGCCAGGGTAGCCTAAAAGAGGTGGATGGCAGGAGACCAGACTAATGAATGACATTTTGAGTAGTACTTTTAAGAATACCAGCTTGGGAGAGTGAAAAACCTCAGTTCTGGACCAATTCTGCTCCCTAACCTGCTGTGAGACTTGCAGGCCACTTCCTGTCTAGGGCTCCAGTAAAGTAGAGGATTTGGCTGATGTCTCTAAGCTGGACCTCACTGTCTCTGAAGCAACATGTGGTACAAGCAGAAGGTAGTAGGCGTTTGGGCTGCAATAGAAAGAGCTCAACATATGTAACTTGAGCTGTTTCCTGTAAATGTCCCATTCTCTGAAACCTTTTGCTTGTCGTAAAGTGTGTTTAATAATGCAACATTATGACAATTACTATACTAATCCTATCACTATTCTGTAAGTGGGATTTATAATATTTAATTGCCTGAAAATACAAATTTGCCATGGAATAATCTTTTGTACAGAAAGGAAATGGTGTAAAATACTTGGGATGGGGAAGCCAGAATATATTATTACTAAAGTCTCTTTTTTTTTCAGGAGAGAGAAAAATTTTCATATATTTTACTATATTTATGCTGGTCTTCATCACCAAAAGAAGCTTTCTGATTTCAGACTTCCTGAGGAAAAACCTCCTAGGTAAGTGTCAGGGGGGTTGGTTGTTAATTTTTGATGAATGTACGATTAGCAGTTGACAAACTTGGAAGTAAATGGAGCTGTTTTCCTAACTGGAAACTCACAGTCTATTTAACTAAAGTGCCCAGGGTGAGGTGGCAGGAAGTATCCACCATTTTCATTGTCTAGAAAGTTCAAAAACTCAACTGCACATGGTTTATTTTTTTTCAGCCATTTGCATCATTATTCTACCACAGTATTAGACTATAAAGGAAATGGGCTGGGTGTGGCGGCTCATGCCTGTAATCCCAGTGCTTTGGCAAGCTGAAGTGGGAGGATTACTTGAAGCCTGGAGTTTGAGACCAGCCAGGGCAGCATAGTGAGACTCTGTCTCTACAATTTTTTTTTTAATTAGCTACTCGGGAGGCTGAGGTGGGAGAACTGCTTGAACCTGGGAGGTCGAGGCTGCAGTGAGCCAAGTTCGTGCCACTGCGCTCCAGCCTGGGTGACAGAGCAAGACCCTGTCTCAAAAAAAAAAAAAAAAAAAAATTAGCTGGGTGTGGTGGCATACACCTGTAGTCCAAGCTACTCAGGAGGCTGAGGCAGGAGGATCACTAGAGCCCAGGAGTTCAAGGCTGCAGTGAGCTATGATCACACCACTGCACTTCAGGCTGGGCAACAGAGTGAGGTCCCATCTTTAAACAAACAACAAACAAAAAATGGAAATGCCTGTACTACTTTCCAAGTCAGTGCTCATTCTGTTTGGTCATGCTCCACTTCATTTAGGTACATAGCTGATGAAACTGGAAGGGTGATGCACGACATAACTTCCAAGGAGTCTTACAGAAGACAATTCGAAGCAATTCAGCATTGCTTCAGGATTATAGGGTTCACGGACAAAGTAAGTGATGATCAAGAGAGGAACTCAAGTGACAATATTCTTATATGAATGTGAGTAAAGATGTGGTATTTCTCACTTGGGATAAGACACTTGCTTTCAAATGCCATGTTGGTCATGTTATAAGGTCTTGCTACTCAAAGTGTGGTCCCAGGACCAGAAACATTGTTATCACCTGAGAACTTATTAGAAATGCAGACCCTGAGGTCTATCCAAGAATGACTGCATCAGAATATAATCATTTTAACGAGAAGTCCAGATGAACATCAAACTAGGGGAGCACTGTTTTAAGGACCATGTGCTGATAAATTGTTATCATTGTCATCAATTCATTACACGTGTAATAACAAATACCAAAACAATACTGTGGGTTTTTTTTCTGATTGAGCGTTCTTCCAACCATTAAAGTGAACGGGGGGTAGGAGTACAGGAATATGTAGATGACACCCAAGTCACAGAAATATATTTATGCAAGTAGCTCCTTAGGTAACAAGACAAACTAATTAAAACCCTTTCAACTTTCTTGCAGTTATTTCCTTCTCCAGGGTACACAGTTGCACATTATTAACTATAGCTCTAAGTACTGTACTACTTTTTTTTTTTTTTTTTGAGACAGAATCTTACTCTGTCACCCAGGCTGGAGTGCAGTGGCGGGATCTCAGCTCACTGCAACTTCTGTCTCCTGGCTTCAAGCGATTCTCCTGCTTCAGCCTCCCGAGTAGCTGGGGTTACAGGTGTGTGCCACCACACCTGACTAATTTTTGTATTTTTAGTAGAGACGGGGTTTCACCATGTTGGCCAAGCTGGTCTTGAACTCCTGACCTCAAGTGATCCACCTGCCTCAGCCTCCCAAAGTGCTGGGATTACAGGCATAAGCCACCATGCCTGGCCAATACTGTACTACCCTTATCATCCTAGATACAAGCTGTCTGTATTAAATATATGCTAGGGGTGACAGACAATATTTATAACCCTAGGCTCAAATATTACTCTGTGATACATTATGTCATAGTTTCTGGGCTTCATGCCATCAATTTTGCAAAATATATAGATTCTTTTGCTTTTCCAACAAAGGGGGTGAATTATTAGGAGGTAGGTGAGAGTGTTAAATCTTAAGGGATTAGATTACAAGACACTCCAGTTACCCTGGGATGGCCACTCCAGATAAAGGATTACTTCTGTGTAATGCAGTATGATTGGCTAGCCCTTCCCTCCCCTGCATGGTTGATTTTAATCATAATAGTACCTTTCTTTTTTTTCTGTCTAGCCAGCTGTTAATTTTCTCTGTCAGCCTCCCGCAGACTTTAAACTGACAGACAATGGAAAATCCCAAAGGTCAGATAAAAATATAAATATATTTTCCTTGGCTTCTTAGAGGGGGGCAATTAAACAGGTTCTAGCATTGTTAAAGGACCTTTGTGGTTATTAACTTAAAGAACAGGTTTTTTAAATCAAAGATGCATCCCCAGAAGAGTTAAAGCATGGTAGGAATGGCAGTGGAGCAATTTAAAGTCACTTGTGTCATGCCAAAGTACGCAGGGGCACATGTCCTTAAAAGGGTACAGGAACCATAGAGAAGTCAAGGTTAATAATCATTAACAGAGTTAATATTTTGTTTTCTTTGAGTACAAATATAGTTATAGAATACTGTGAAGAGACTGATCCTAGCTGAACCCATTTATGCCTAGTGTTCCATTATTGGAATGCTAAACATGTGGGAGTTATTTATACCCTACTGCTCAAGGTCATCACCAAGGTCTGATTGCAAAAATTCAAAACATTGCAACCTCAGGCTTAGGTGGGTTAAAAGAAAGTATATAATGGTGCCATTCTAATAATAGCAATGTACTGCTAATAATAATAAAACAGATGCTATCTGTTTCAGGATAAACAACGTTGAAAACTGTTAAAATCTGTTTTAGTACAACAACACTAAAGCATTAAAAACAGAAGAATTAAGTATGTTAAGTATATGTCCTTGAAGTAAGCCATCCCTAGCCCCTCTGGGAAAAAAGGTACAATAGAAATAAATGAATGACTGTATGAATAAACATGAAAAGAAAAAAATGTAAAAGATGGTGAACATTTTTCATTTGTGCCTGGTCTGTACTGTTAAATGAATAACCAGAATGTAATGGTGTTATGTGTGTATATTTTCACCATGTCCCACATTAATTCATACAGGAAATAAACCAATTTATATAAGCTGCAACCTTAGAAATGAAAGGAAGAAGCAGGATCTTCTCTCTCCAACTCTGAATTCTGTGGTTCTATCTCTGCTGACAACCTGTTTTGCTGAGTTAACTCAGTTCACTTCATGTTTATAAACTCAAAAAGTAGTGTGACTAAATTCAGAAAGATCCAGTTGAAGGTAGTCAGGAAACAGATGCCAAATGCTGATGTAACAGAACTTTCTCTTAAGTTTTTCTGGCAGACATTTCTAGATAAAGCTTAAATGAACTGATCAAGTCAATCAAAATTATGGTTCTTCTCCTTTCTTACAATGTCACTAGTTCCCTGCAGGAATCCCTTTAGTTTTTCTCAAACCCTTACAGCAAAATTATGAGTAGCAAACTTTAGTGTGGAGTCAGGAGCATGAATTTTAATTCTGGGACAACAGCCAAAGTATCTGAAAGAACACTTGACCCTGAGTTTATTGTAAAGAAATTTCCCTGGTGGAGGAGTCTTCCACTAATAATGATGATGACTCCTTGTGGAGGGCTGGGGGATTATACCTAAGACCTTATTGTGAAGATTGTGCTTTTCAACTCTTATTTCTGGAGCCAAACCATACTATTTTTGTTTAAAATTATATTTGTCTTCCTGGTAGGAATTAACATATTACATAAATTGGGTTTTAGATATGTTTCTATTTAATGCTACATGAAAACTTTTTGGGCAGATGATCTATGTGATGGTCAAGATTGGACGTACACTATAGATCCCTGTTGGAGAGGTTAGGGAGAAGCCTTTGAGATCGGCGCAAAATTTCTTCCCTTTCTTCAAAATAGATTATGAATTGAGAGAGTACTGCTCTGAAGAGAGATTGAAGGATTATATGTGAAAATATGACTCGGGAGTCTTGAGGATTTCTAATGTCTTGATGACAGACAATAGGATACCATTGACTTTTAAGATGACAAAAGTTGTGAGCCTCTGCAAAGGAGACCGAGAAGTGTTGGAACAGAGCCTGTGGGGAGGTCCTTCAGCTGGTCCTAATGCAGTGCTTAGGGAAGAACTGATGAAAAACTGACGAGATTTACAAAAAAGAAAGAAAGGAAAGAGAGACTGGGAACGGAAGTAAATTCCTAGGGATATACCAGAGAAACAACTACCGGAGATGCCTGTGAGCCAGGCCAAGGGGGATTTTCTTAGAGTAGCGCCAGGCTAACAGAGAAAACTAAGTTTTCTCTCTACTTTTCAATTAGCCTCAACTCTATCAAGAGAATACTACATCAAAAGAAGTGTCTTATGAGAAAAGAGAAGAAAATATCAGACATCCTGCAGTGGGGCTTTGATGGAGAAATGCTCTTTCTTCCCCACTGTTGTTGATTGGTAGTGAAACAGTTTATACCCATCAACAATAAATTGAGAAACCCAGTTGGAGGACTTGGTCTTCTTGAGTAAAGCTATTCCACTTTATAATATAGAAAGCTGAAAACTGGTAGAAATAAAAAGAGACAGCAGCGTAGCAAGATTCTGCAGAAAAGGCAGAGATGCCAGGAAAGGCTCTGTAGCTGGAGATGAAGCAAGAGAAAATGGACAAGGTAAAGAAGGTGAAAAAACCTTCCCTGGCTGTCTGTTGGGGAGACAATAAGAAAAATTTGATTGAAAAGTTTTAAGGCAGGAAGAGTAATCCCTCAGGTGGACATATAACTAATTGAATTTTGCCATGAGTGTAACTGATGTTTTGACCTGAAAGCAGAGGCTCCTAGATCAGAAAGGGAGAACTAATTAACCCAAGGTTAGGACTGATGGAGTCAAGTGGATGGAATAGCCCAGAAATATAAACTCCTTAATAAGGTGAGCATTGGTTACCCCGCTGTTAGTTCTCACTAAATCAAGGAAGGAGACCCAATCGGTCATTAATTTCAGTGATTCACACAGTGTTTGAACCTAAAAGTTTTTCTCAGGGTCATAGATAGTTTTTCACTTTAAATGGTTGTCTAGGCACTATGCTGAAGAGGGTAGTGCCAGAGAAGCAACGGGGCAAGATGCTGGTTTCAAGGGTATAGTCTTTGACAGTCATTTTCTATGGTGATTATCCCAGTGGTGAAATGCTGGAAGTCTTATTTTGGGAGGTTTCAGAGCTTGTACTGTAATACATGAAGAAAGAGAGAGAGAGAGAGTCTTTGTGTGATGTGTGTTTTAATTACAGGAAATACATTTATTTTTTCTAAGAGTACTGAGAGTTTCAGATAACCTCGATATAGAAACAGCTGATGTAGAACTCACTGCAAGAGTCTCTGTTTTACCCCCTGGGATCTGCCTCTGTGGGAGTTGCTCAGTGTAGTGAGCAAGCCTCACACTGTATTGATCAAAGTAACGAGGTGCTGTCATGTTAAATCCGAGCAAGTCCCAGAAAACCTACTTAGTAGGTGTTCTCCTTAGCCACTCTTAAGTTGGGTGATTAAACAATGATTCTTAAAGTAAAAAAAAATGACATATTGCCTTTGATTTAGAAGTTGGAAGAATAACATTTATCCATTGTAGAAGCCTCGTTTAAAATCTTCATTTGTCTTTGTAGCATTATCAGGTATCCAGCAGATGTCACTATTATAGTCTGTGTTCCTTTTTTTGGCTTTACTGAGTAATGTTTATAGGAAGTTGTAATCTGTGAGGCAATGCTTTATCAATGGTCCAGTGACCGTTCCTATTCCTTTGCTGCTGTGTAGAGTACCAAATCAAGTTACCTGCCTGAGTATTTTTGTGAAAGTACTTTTCTCTGTCTATAAGCATAAAATGCAAAATTTTCCTGGCTATATATTTCGTTGTTTCACGTATAGAAAATGTAAGTTTTTAAATAAGTAAATACACCTTAATTTCTTTTTACCATTAATGATACATATGTATTCAACTTTCAATATAAAAATAGAGCTTAGATAATCGGAACCGTTTTTACTCACATTTCTGACACCAAATATGTGGGTTTTTCTCCCCCATACCTGCAAATTATCTGGCACCAGCTGGGTGTCCTACAATTCACTCAATTCTGACCCTCTCCACCTGGAGTTAGCATCAGATCCCACAAGCTAAGGGCTCAGTCCCACAAGACTACTCTGACTCCAGATACCTATACTTCTGTCTCCTATACTTCTGACTGACTGGCTATAAATTGAGAGTCCCCACAATTCCCTCCTCAGGTTGGATAATTTGCTAGAATAGTTTCTAGAACTCAGGAAAACACTTTACTTACCATTACTGTTTTATTATATAGGATACAACTCTGCTGGGCGTGGTGGCTCATGGCTGTAATCCCAGCACTTTGGGAGTCCGAGGCGGGTGGATCACCTGAGGTCAGGAGTTCAAGACCAGCCTGACCAACATGGTGAAATGCCATCTCTACTAAAAATACAAAAATTTAGCTGGGCATGGTGGCAGGTGCCTGTAATCCTAGCTACTCAGGAGGCTGAGGCAGGAGAATCACTTGAACCTGGGTGGCGGAGGTTTTAGTGATCCATGATCACGCCATTGCACTCCAGCCTGGGCAACAAGAGCAAAACTCTGTCTCAAAAGAAAAAAAAAAAAAAAAAAAAAAAGGATACAACTCAAGAATAGTCAAATGGAAAAAATGCATATGGCAAAGTATGTGGGAAGTAACATAGAGCTTCCATTCCCTCTGAGCACACCACTCTCCCAGCACCCATGTGTTCACCAACCTGAAAGCTCTCCGAATCTCATCATTTAGGGGTTTTTACGGAGGTTCCATTATATTCACATGATTGGTTAATCATTGACCATTAGTGATTAACTCAATGTCTAATCCCTCTCTGCTCCCCAGAGATTGGGTTGAGGAGGACCCAAAAGTTCGAACTCTCTAATCACATGATTGGTTCCTCTGGCAACCAGCTCTCCATCCTAAAGCTATCTAGAGGTCCACCAAGAGTCACTTGCTTAGTATAAACTCAGGTATGGTTGAAAGGGGCTTGTTGTAAATAACGAAAGACTCCTAGCATTCCTATCACTCACTTTCAAGGGTTTTAGATGCTTTTGTGCCAGGAACTGGGAGCAAAGAACAAATATAATAGTCCCTCCGTATATGTGAGGGATTAGTTCCGGGAACCCCCAATTCATATACCAAAATCCAAGCATACTCGAGTCCTGCAGTCAGGACATGAAAAGTCAGCCCTCTGTATATGTGGGTTTCACATCTTGTGAATACTGTATTTTTGATCCGTGTTTGGTTGAAAAATATCTATGTATAGGAGGACATGTGCAGTTCCAACCTGTGTTGTTTAAAAGTCAGTTGTTGGTCAGGAGTGGTGGCTCACGCCTGGAATCCCAGCACTTTGGGAGGCTGAGGTGGGCAGATCACCTGAGGTCAGGAGTTTGAGACCAGCCTCAACATGGAGAAACCCCATCTCTACTAAAAATACAAAATTGGCCGGGCGTGGTAGTGCATGTCTGTAATCTCAGCTAATCGGGAGGCTGAGGCAGGAGAATTGCTTGAACCTGGGAGGCAGAGGTTGCAGTGAGCCGAGATCGCGCCATTGCACTCCAGCCTGGGCAACAAGAGCGAAATTCCGTCTCAAAAAAAAAAAAAAAAAAAAAAAAGAGAGAGACCAGTCTGGCCAACAGGGCAAAACTCCGTCTCTACTAAAAAATACCAAAAAGAGCTGAGTGTGGCAGTGCATGTCTGTAATCCCAGCTACTTGGAAGGCTGAGGCAGGAGAATTGCTTGAACCCGGGAGGCAGAGGTTGCAGTGAGCCGAGATTGTGCCACTGTACTCCAGCCAGGGTGACAGAGCAAGACTCTATCTCAAAAAAAAAAAAAAAGGTTAATTATATATATTTCTTGTTATATAAAAATATAATTTAATATACAATTATCACAGATAATTTCTAGTGAGTCTTTCAAAATATTTCCTGACTTCATAACTATATATTCCATCATTTAACTTTAAAATGTTCTAGGAGCCATGAATGAATGTCTTCCCAACTACTTCATAAAAGCGATATTCAAAAGAGGTTAAGGAAACAGCTCCTCTCTTGCTTTGAACAAAAGATCATACCTGAATTTGGGAGCTGGTATTAGTTAGGGTAAAAGGCTGAAAGTGGCTTAAAGAACAAAGAAGATTAGTTATCTCTTAATAACCATTTCCAGATAAGAGGTTCAGGTTGCAGAGCAACTCCGTTTATGCAATTGTTGGTCTAAGGCATCCTCATCAGTGGCATGGTAAGGCTGTGCTGGGAGTTCCAGCCGGCAATAATGAGAAGGAAAGTGTGGAGGAGGCATGCTCATGCCGGTAAGGCCTGGGCCCAGAAGTGACCCACGTCATTCTGCTTGCTTCATTGTTAAAATGTAGTTATATGACGACCTCTAACTGCAAAGAAGTTTGGGAAATTTTGCTGTGTGTCCAGGAAAAGAGGGAGAATGGACTTTGGTAGACAACTAGTAGTTTCCACTACAGGTCTAATGGTTCATTAGTTTGACTGGCAATGACCTTCATATATGGTTCTTGATGTCCTTTTCAGGAGGTGCACTCAGTGTACAGAATTTTGGCTGGGATTTTGAATATTGGGAACATTGAGTTCGCAGCTATTTCCTCTCAACATCAGACTGATAAAAGTGAGGTGCCCAATGCTGAAGCTTTGCAAAATGGTAATTATTTGATATTTGTGGGCTGTGTTGTTGCCAAAGCACGTGCTTCTTTAGGCTCTGTAAAATATAATGCAGCATTTGCTGGTCCTTTTTTTTTTTTTTTTTTATCGAGATGGAGTCTCACTCTGTCATCCAGGCTGGAGTCCAGTGGTGCAATCTCCGCTCACTGCAACCTCTGCCTCCCAGGTTCAAGCAGTTCTTTGCCTCAGCCTCCAGAGTAGCTTGGATTACAGGCGCCTGCCACCACGCCTGGCTAATTTTTGTATTTTTAGTAGAGACGGGGTTTCACCATCTTGGCCAGGCTGGTCTTGAACTCCTGACCTCATGATCCACCCCCCCCCCCTCGGCCTCCCAAAGTGTTGGGATTCACCCAGCCTGCTGGTCTTTCTAATGGCTCTGGATGTTTTCATGAACTAGTATTTCCCCAAGGATGTCCTGTGGAACACCAGTGTTCCTTCCATAAGCTGCAAGTATTCTGCAGAAAAGAATTCTATGGCAGGTAATTTTGAGCAGTGTTTTTTTCTTTTTTTTTTCGAGGCGGAGTCTCGCTCTGTCTCCCAGACTGGAGTGCAGTGGCGCTATCTCGGCTCACTGCGGGCAGTGGTTTTTAACCTTGGCTGTTTTAAAAAAATCATCTACAAACTGAAAAAGATACAGGAGGTTGGGCCCATTCTGAATCCACTAAATCAGCATATACAGGAGAGAAAGCAGGCGCCTATTTATTTTTAAAGTTCCACGGGTAATTATGGTGGCACAAAGAGTGAGAATCCTCAAATATGAACAACAAACAAACAAACTGATTTAAATGAAGTAAAAACCTTTTTGTGTTAAAACTGTAGGACATTTTAGGGCCTTTAATATATGAATGTATTTTGTGACTAAGGGTAGAATACAGTCTGCACCTATTTCCCCAATTTATTTGGCAAAAGACCACCTCCTCTTCCTTTTTTTTCATCAAGCATCTATGAAGTAAGAGCTTTCAGAACAGTTTGGGAGATACTGTGTCAGTCTGGAAGCTTCTTGGGGTTAGGGATCTAGCCTGTTTATCTTTGAGTCAAAAGTACCCAAATGGAGTCTGGCACATAGTAGATGTTGAATAAATGCTGAACAGACTGACTGAATGAAGGTCTGGCTACATTCTGTGTTATCCTTACTCTTTGTTTCAGCTGCCTCTGTTCTGTGCATTAGCCCTGAAGAGCTCCAGGAGGCCCTCACCTCCCACTGTGTGGTCACCCGGGGCGAGACCATCATCCGTGCCAACACTGTAGACAGGGCTGCGGACGTTCGAGACGCCATGTCCAAAGCCCTGTATGGGAGGCTCTTCAGCTGGATTGTGAATCGCATTAATACACTCCTGCAGCCAGACGAAAACATATGGCAAGTTCCTCGGAGAGCAGAGGGTCTCAGGAGAGCTGTCATTGACCCCGCCGTCTCTTAGAGTTTGCAAAAGGAAGCATTTGGTCCTCTCTGGGATTTTCTTTCTTTTTCTTTTTTTTTTTTTTTGTGGAGTCAGAGTCTCACGCTGTTGCCCAGGCCGGAGTGCAGTGGCACGATCTCCGCTCACTGCAACCTCCAACTCCAGGGTTCAAGTGATTCAACTGCCTCCGCCTCTTGAGTAGCTGGGATTACAGGCGCGTGCCACCACGCCCGGCTAATTTAGGCATTCTCTTTTAGAAGACACAGTGAGATCCAGGACAGTTGAAGCATTTGTACCCGAGAGGCAAAGGACTGAAGGAGCCACTAAGTGTAGTATTTGAGAGAATAGTCTTGGCTGGGAGCTGGACAAACTGGGTTCGCACCCAAACTCTACAGCTTAACCCATTTATGCCTGAGGTTGCAATTTTTTGAATTTTTTCATCAGACCTTGGCGATGACCTTGAGCAGTAGGATGTGAATAACTAACTCCCATATGCTTTGTGTTCCAATAATGGAACACCAAGCATAAATGGGTTTTAATCAGCTGCATGTTCTAAGTCAGTTTTCTCACCTGTAAAATGAGGATAATAATATCCTCTTCATAGTTTTGTTTTTAGAATCAAAGAGACATTTTATGAAAAAATTTAAAGCACACTATCTTACATTACTATTCCTACTTCTTCAACTACTTTTCCTTGCTCTTTCCTAGGCGTAGTGGTTTCCTATATTGTGGAGGAATTCACCACATCAAATTCTGAAGAGTACTCTTCCAGTTATCCTTGTGGGTAGATAGGTGGGAGAATAAATAAGCAACAGCTGCAACCCCTTCAAACAAAAGGACTTTAAAAATTTTATTTTATACATGGAGTTTCTGAGTAAGATTTTAAAGGATTCTACTGCTTGAAAAAAAAAAGAAGTTGAAAATACTATTGAAAGGCCAAAAGAACAAATAGTTTGAGACATAAACTGCTTCTTTTCTTAGGGGTGGCAGGATGCTGCTTTCCATGAGTGGGTGAATTGGGTACTTGAGCTGATAAGCACTTGGGCACATATATTCTCATCCTCTTTAGGTGGGTGTTTCCTCCCCTAAAGAGTTTTGTTCTTCTCTCTCATGCAGTAGTGCAGGAGGTGGAATGAATGTGGGGATCTTGGATATCTTTGGATTCGAGAATTTTCAGAGAAATTCATTTGAGCAGCTCTGCATAAACATCGCCAATGAGCAAATCCAGTACTATTTCAATCAGCATGTTTTTGCTCTTGAGCAGGTAATAGTGAACTCTGAGGTAACTAAACTTGATGGGGAAAAGGTGTCTCCAAGCTGCCCACAATTTGTAGCAGAAACCCTGTAGACTAACAACTAAAAGACCCTAGAGAGAAAATAGGGTAAGGCAGTCCTGGCTAAATAGTCTAAATTTGTCTGGAAAAGGTCTCGATTTCTGTGGAAAGGTACATTTCCTCACTTGAGTGGAGCTGGTGACAAGTCACTCATTTAAATTTTGTGTCAAAACTCTTTCGTGCATATTGCTCAAAATACTGTATCTCTTCTACTTTATTTAACTAAAAATATTTATGATTGCGTTCAAAATGACACAGATGACCTTGAATTCGGGACATAGGTTCTTAACTGCTACACTAGCCCTCCCTATCCCCTATCTGCTATATACCAGATCCCACAGTCACTGGAGAGGTATCTCCAGGGAAGAGTAAGATGTGTTCTTGGTTTTCTAGAAATGGAAATCATCCCTCTATGAGTTTAATAATAAATAAGACAGAGTAAGAAACTAGTGGACCCAAGGGATGGGGCTCTTTTCCTGTGGCAGCAGCCTATATAGCAGTCTGATCAACCCCAACCTTTACTTAAACCTTAAGACTCTCTTCTGTATGAAGTAGTTGCAATAATGAAACATTCTGGCTAAGCCTCTTCGATGCAGGGATAATTGTTTTAATGCAGGCATGAGGACGCACAAACTCAACTTCGATGAGATAGACACAAAGACATTTAGTGAAAATACCAGCATTGCTTTTATCTCTGGAGCTGGATAAATCTGTATAGCACTCCTCTCCCATCCACTCTTGTTTCAGTCCAGGTTCCTTCCATTTATTTCCCGGTAATCTGGAGTTTTTCTAGTTTTCCAACCCTAGATGATTCCTTTGTCGAACTCCTTGCAGAAGAGAAGTCTGTTTTCTTGGTTTAAACAATATTTCTCACCAAAATAAATTTTTTTTTTCAGCTTCACTTCCTTGTACATTAGTTTCTAAATGATAAGTTACCAAGTCCACATTTGAGAGAGATGTTTTACTGGTTTAGCTGCTGCCATAGGCCACTTGTAAGTCAGATTTAAGTGCACAGCTTTAATGGTGTTATATGCAGAAGATTCCTTTATTATACACATAAAACATATCCTGCTTTCCACATGCATTCAATGTTGCTAGACCCAGAAAGTCCATGTCAAAGTATCCTGGTGGTCCCAAGGCTAGTTTTGGGCTGGAGAGAATCACAATCCATTTCCCTCCAGATGGAATATCAGAATGAAGGCATTGATGCTGTACCCGTGGAATATGAGGACAACCGCCCGCTCTTGGACATGTTCCTCCAGAAACCCCTGGGACTGCTTGCACTTTTGGATGAGGAAAGTCGGTTTCCCCAAGCAACTGACCAGACCCTGGTTGGTAGGTAACTTCTGAGAAACAGGCATATACATTTAGAACAAAACTTGGCTTGTGTCATCAATTGAGTGTACTTTAATGAATTTACCTTACATATTTTGTTTATATGGTGGTTTGTAAGAATATAGGCCTTCTTTTTCATTGAATTGAAGTGTTGTGGTAGAATTTGAATGTTAAAGCAAACCCATCGCTATTCCTAACACCTTCCCACTTTCCTATTCTTGCCAACATGATTAGCATTACCCCCATGTTGATTTCATTTTTACACCTTCCTCTCTCTTCTTTCCTATAGGCAATGTTTGCTTCTCCTCCTTTGTGTGCCCCCATCTCATGTCTTCCCCTGTACCCCCATCCACCTCTAATCTGATTTCATGCAGAAGCCCTTTCCAGTCTCCTGACTTCCAGGCTCCTACCTGCCCCATCTACCCTGGACATCCCAGCTAGTTTAGTCTTTCTAAAGCCACCTTCTCATTAGGTTACTATTATCTACAGGATGAATATAGGGCACCTCGTCCTGACATCAAAGGCCCTCTATTCTGTACCCTATTCTTGAATCTTCAGTGTTTTTCACAACCTTTGTTCCTCACTTAGATTGCGAGGTGCTTGGGGCAATGAAGCCTCAGTCTTTATGTGCCTTTAGTGCTTAGCAGTTTCTCATACTTAGTAAGCTTTCAACCACAATAGCAAAGATCGTGTGTTAAAGGAGGAACAAAAAGTTTCAAGCCTTTTCCCCAGCTGGAAAATTGATTTGTGGCAGAGATTCACTTTTATGAGTTGAAATTATAACCCTCAGTGGTTTTCTTTTATATATAACATTGTCACAAGTTGTCCAGATGAGTTTAAACCAGGTTCTAAAACTAACTGGCAGGGCCTCTGGTGTCATCAGTGTCCATGCTAGGAGTTCTTAGAAACAGCAGGAGAATATACGATCTTAGAGCACAGCCTGACATTAAGACAATGCTACACAACTAAGCAAGGATATAATGATAAATGCCCATCATATCGGTGATCTTTCTCCACCCTTGTTAATATCAAGGCCTTATTCTGAAAGCCCTTATTCTGAGTCATTCATGGCTTGAGGAACAAGTTTTTGTTTGAAAGAGGAAATAATTCACATTGTAACTCTCCAACATAAAAATCCACACAGATAAATTTGAAGATAATCTACGATGCAAATACTTCTGGAGGCCCAAAGGAGTGGAACTGTGCTTTGGCATTCAGCATTATGCTGGAAAGGTGAGGCCAGTGTGACAGTTATTAGACCTGAATTTGGCAAAGGGTAAGTGTCTGTATTACCCTGTCTGTGCTGCTCATGAAATTGCTTACAGATTTCTTTCCCATTTTAATTCTTCCTGAATACCTAATCATAATTCTTAAAGTTTCTCAGTGGTGCCACTCACAGAAAGTTGCCCCTGGCATAGAAGCAATTTCTCACTGGGGTGGCCCACAGTGTTGCCATCTGCTTCTCACCTGAGGTTTGGCCTAGAACTGACAGCTCTCCAGAGAGAAAACACATTACAGCTTTTTGCGGTGTTTAGCAGTAAATGTTCACATTCTAAAGTCATTTGGAGACATGTAGGTAATGCAGGAAGGTTAATATCACAGTGGGACTCAATTTTTAGTACTTTAATCATATGTCTAAGGGCCCCAAAATGTCCAGATGAAAAGAAAAAAAAATTCACATTATTATCCAGATGTTAAGCTTTTACAACTTAACTGAAATGTCCACTTTTCATACATTATGCCTCAGTCTCAATTTCAAGTTCCTGAAGCAGATTAGTGACTGATTCAGGAAATTCCCTATCCCATAACCACAAGTTCCTTGCTTATGTTACTCCCAAAGGAGCCATTTGAATTATGGCTGATTGGTTCCTCTGGGCTCTGCTGAGGCTGTAGGTCCAGAAAATTGGTAGGAGTTCAATAAAAGACATTTTTGATTATTTTATTAATTTCAGATGTATTGAAATTGTCATTCATATTCACATCATGGCATTGGAACTGATTTTCCTAACTGGATGTTGGGAAATTCTAGTACAAGGGAAGGGGATTATTTTTCTCTCCACATAGTACTTTATGGTATCTATTTTGGATCTTTGTTAGACATTGCAATTCAGTTTTTGCCCTTAAATATTTTATTTACCTTAGCATATTAAGGTCCTCCTCAGAGTCTGAAATACCAGCATCTACCCTGATTCCCCTCCCCATTCCTCTTTTCTGCCTCCCATTCCTGTCCTCCTCTTCTCACCTCTCTGTCCTTTTATAACTATGTCCTACCCACCCGTCTTCTTGACTCTTACTATTTTCCTTTCTTGATTTTAGGGGAAAAACTTTTTTTATTTTTATTTTTTCTGGCCTCTGTGTCCTTTGCTGCATCCATTTGCCATTCAAAGCTTATTTGTAGAGAAGGAATTCTCTGAGGGTGTTCCTTAAAATTTATCTGAACTGGATCCCCTCTGTTCTGAGAACCAAGAACTACTCAGCATCCTTGAGTGATCACTCAGATCTCATGAGGACCTAGGGAGGCAGTGAGAGTACTTAAAGTGGTTGTGAGCATAGAGTCAAACTGCCTGAGTTTTGATACCTACCTACCACTTGTGAAATGTGTGACCGTGGGCACATTACTCAGCCTCTTCCTAAGTCTCTGCCTGCCTACCAGTAAAATGGAGATAATAATAGTGTTTACCTCATAGGATGGATGCTTTGCACATGGTATCTAATATATTTTAATAATTATTCTGATGTGATTTATCTTTGATAGTAGTCTTCAAAAAGCAACTAGACAGGCCAGGTGCGGTGGCTAACACCTGTAATCCCAGCACTTTGGGAGGCCGAGGCGGGTGGATCACGAGGTCAGGAGATCAAGACCATCCTGGCTAACACAGTGAAACCCCATCTCTGCTAAAAATACAAAAAATTATCTGGGCGTGGTGACATGTACCTGTGGTCCCAGCTACTCGGGAGGCTGAGGCAGGAGAATCACTTGAACCCGGGAGGCGGAGGTTGCAGTGAGCCAAGATCATGCCACTGCACTCCGGCCTGGGTGACAGAGTAAGACTCCATCTCAAGAAAGAAAAAAACAAAACAACAACAAAAGAAAACCCATAAAAAACAAAAACCAAAGCAACTAGACAATAAGTTAAGATAAACTGGTCTGTCAACATCATAATTATTCCCTTTATCTGGTGCTCTGGATATGAAAGCTATGTAAAGATGAGTTCTATATAGAGGTTGATTAACAACTGGTTAGGCAAGTTGCCAGTGTCACCAATGACGGACAGTTGACTTGGCTAATTTGCCGTTTGCTATTCATGTTACAGGTATTATATGATGCTTCTGGGGTTCTTGAGAAAAATAGAGACACTCTCCCTGCCGATGTGGTTGTGGTCCTGAGAACGTCAGAAAACAAGCTTCTTCAGCAGCTCTTCTCAATCCCTCTGACCAAAACAGGTACTTGGGAACCCTCTGATAGCCCTGCTCTTAAAGCTTTTGCAAGACCAGGTGAAATTTTCCAGTTAGTGTCTGAATACTGCCAGGGCTGCACCGCTAACATTGAACTTCTTTAAGCAGGAGTAAGGGTCTAAATTCAAGAAAAGGAAAATGTTTGTTTCTTTTGTAATTGAATTGTGCAGCATCCGTGTGTACACAGACACGTGTAGCTGCACACATAAACATACATACACTATCCATAACATCAACTCTTAGACTTTCTTGTCCTTCTTTTCATTCTTCCCTTTATAAAGCCATACGATATCATTAATTCATGCTAAGCAATCTAGGATAGTCTCAGTTTACCAAAACTTATCAGGAAGATTATTTCTACTTGTGTGTCATTCCAAGTTAAAGGAGTGTGTTGAATCAGAGTTCAGGGGATCCTCAAAGATCACCTTGGTCCAATTTCTACCCAGTTATGACCCCACCCTACCTCTCTCCTAACCAATTTGGAACAGGTCCATCACCTATGTATGTGGCCTTTGCCTACTTACAGTTACCTTCTGTTTAATTGCTGTCAGTCCTCATGCCAAAAAAGCAGGAAACTAGGGCCAAAGAACAGAACTTCCAGGTCTTAACTGTTTTTCCAAATGGATTCTAATTGAGTCAACCTTTTAGAATGTACCTGGGATTCTGCTGCTTTTAGCTGGGCGGCCAACTCAGCCTTCTCACAGCTCTACTCTCAAGGGCTTTGTGTTTTTTAGGCTAGGTCTGGAAATAGCAGTGGGCATGCTTTTAAGAAAAAGAGGAAGAGAAACCTTTTTATCACTGTTCATTGTTCACTATTTCCTCTTCTTTTCTTCCCACATCCCTCTTAACTGGCTGCCAGGTCTGATTTTTAGCAGCTTGCAGAGGAATGAAAAGCCTGGCTAAGAAAAAAAAAAAAGCCACAGTCTACAGCCTTTGCTTCATCTTAACTTGGAAGGAAAGTTGAAATCCGGCTCTTTTTTCAGACATGCTCCTGTAAACAGAACTAGTAGCAGTGCCCATCAGAAGGCTGCCCTCCAGCTTCCATTCCAGACCTTCCTTGGAGCAGCCGGGGTTTAATTCAATATGGAATCCCAGGAGCTCGGGGCAGGTGTGGAAAGGGCTATCTGGTGTTTCCTTACCAGAGACCCAGGGATGTAGACTCCTCATCAGGCGACTTCAGCACAGAGGTGAAGAGACAGCCATTATTGATAGGGGACATGCTCTCTGGGAAAAAAATCTATCCAAATAACTCTTCAGCTGGCATTTACATCCTCCCACAAATATTAATAACGACTTGTCAAATCTGTTCACAACTTCGGAATTTCCGATTTTTCAACCTTTGGCAAAATAAAAACCATTTAACAGCCTGGACCACTAGGGGGCGCTATGCAGAAAGTAAGGCCCTGCAGCCGGTCTCTGTTCTCCCTTGATTCACCCAACTGCGGGAGGAACAGGAACAAAGAGATAACCTCCGCCGCTGCGTCTTTTTTACCCCTCCCAAAGAGCTTTCCTCTTGTTTCTGAATCTTGTTTTGAAACTACACTCCACACCACTTGATAGAAACAAAAGTGAAAAATAAGACTAGACACAAACGTGATGTACCAATAGGCTTCCCAGTATTCCTGAGCTATATATTATGCATAGTAATTTCCTTTGAGATCCTAAGCTTGAGTATAGCTTAGGATTCTCCACATTTTGAGTATAGTTAAGAAGCCACAAACATCAAAACTTATAAGCATGATTGTGTTTTCTTTTTCTGGAATTATTTATGTAGGAATGAATTCAATCAACAAACATTTAAAGAACAGCTTCTAGTAATAAGGTACTTTTTAGGCAACGAGGGAAATATAGGAGTAAAGGTAATACGGCTTTGCCGTACACCAACTAGAACTTTCTTTTAACTTCATTTTCTATATGGAATTTTCTATACAGAATTGGGCACTAATTTATCTCCTTATGACAATAGTTGCCCTCAAACCTCGATTCTAACATGATTGTGCATCCTGTGTTGAATGTCAGAATATTACTTTTCTAAATTTTAAAACGTTCATAGTCTATATTTTTGGGGGTTATTATGTTACAGCCTTTGAAGATGGGAAACCTCACTGGACAGAAATAAGTTATGCTGTTCTTTGCCAATGCTTGTTTCAGGCATGTCCCTCTCGTGAAGGGGAAGGTGCCTATACATCTTGATGTTCCCACTAGAAGCAAGATCCCACACTATCCTGGCACTTTGGAAAAGAATATGCTAATATTTTCAATGCATAAGAAACCATTTTCTTGTCACTTTTATTTTTCCTTGCTTTAATTGTTTTATCGAAATTAAATGGAGCACTAGTTCAGTAAGCATATATATTATGGTCAATTACTTTACAAACCTCTTTTGAGGAATGAACTACAGGGAGGAAGGAAAAAGATCAAAGTTGAGGCCAGGCGCGGTGGCTCACGCCTGTAATCCCAGCACTTTGGGAGGCCGAGGCAGGCGGATCACAAGGTGGGTGGATCACGAGGTCAGGAGTTCGAGACCAGCCTGGCCAACATAGTGAAACCCCGTCTCTACTAAAAATACAAAAAATTAGCCGGGTGTGGTGGCGGGCACCTGTAATCCCAGCTACTAGGGAGTCTGGAGCAGGAGAATTGCTTGAACCCAGGAGGTGGAGGTTGCGGTGAGCCAAGACCATGCCATTGCACTCCAGCCTGGGAACAGTGCAAGACTCCGTCTCAACAAAAAAAAAGAAAAAAAAAAAAAAAAAAACTTGGGAAACCTTAGAGGCAATTAGCTCAAAGCATAAAAGGAGGTCCAGTGCTGGACTCCTCAATTTTGAAAGAGGAGAAGACGTTTGTTAGGAAGACCCCTAAGAGATGTTGGCAGTGGTCTGGCTCCTGATCTTGGTGGTGGTTACATGTATGCTTGCATTATATTTATTATGCTGTACATTTATGTTTTGCATACTTTTTTGTGTGTGCATTCTGTGTCATAGTAATGTTGGGTTTTTTTCTCCAAAAGATAGAGAAGACCCCTTAAAATACAAAGAGAAAAAAAAAGCTTGATGTGGTAGCGCATGGCTAGAGTCCCAGCTACTCAGGAGGCTGAGGCAGGAGAATCACTTGAGCCCAGGAGTTCAAGGCCGGTCTGGGCAACACAGTGACACCCCCCATCTCTGAAAAAAAATTAGAATTAAAATTGTTTAAATGCAAAGAAAAACTTTAATTTCTTTATCGAAGGATTCCTGACAGTTAACTTGAGGTTTTCTGGTAGCTAGATTGCCACTGTCCTTTGCTTTCAAAACAGCCCCAGGATCACTTTCCTGTTCTTTCAAGTTACCTCCTCTCTGGGTTGCTGGGCAGGTAACATTCCCTTCATTAGTATATATCAAAAAAAGTATAGTCATGCATAGCTTAATGATGGGGATGCATTCTGAGAAATGCATCGTTAGTTGATTTCATCGTTGTACAAACATCATAGAGTTCTTACACAAACCTAAATGATATAATCTACTATACATCTAGGCTATATGTTGTAGTCTACTGTTCTCGGGCTGTAAACCTGTACAGTATGTTACTATACTGAATGTTGTAGTTAATTGTAAGACAATGCCAAGTATTTGTGTATCTAAACATATCTAAACATAGAAAAGGTACAGTACAACTATGGTATGATAATGTTACAGGACCACCAGTTTATATGCAGTCCATTGTTGACCAAAATGTACATGGCGCATGACACTACTGGGGCTTGATTTAATTTCTTATCAAGGTTGAGAGGATCAACCTCGGTGTGTATATGTGCAATCATAATATAAAATCATAGAGAGTAATCCAGTTGGTATTTTCTTGTTTCCAGCTCCCACTTTCCAGACTATTGAAGAGATTAAAAAGCATGAGGAGTAGAATAAGGAGGCCCAAGGTCACCAGGAGACAGGGCTCCTCCCAGGTTTCTGCAGCCCCCTTCTGCTTACACCTGGCTGCATCTGGCTGTGGAGCTGCCTGTGCCTGAGAGGCACACTCTCACTGCAAGGTTCTCAGTGACCTTGTGGTAAAAGGAGGCAGCCACAGTCAATATGAATTCTCTCTGTTCTCTTCTCATGCTTATGCAGCCAGCCTTTTGCCTGCAGATGGGCCACTTCAGACATGATGAAATGTTCTTTGTAATACTTCCTATTGATAGGAAATCCTCTGAAGATTTTAGGTGTGAAAATTTGAAGTAGCAGCAACACTGCTTTCTAACCCTTCGGCTGAGACTTTTCAAACTGAATGATCTAGATAGAAAAACATTAAAAGGAAGGATGTTATAACATGGTTTCAAGGCATATTTTCCTGTTTGGGTAATGTTCCACTTGCAACTAGTAAACTGAGAGAAAAGCTTAAAAGGCTCAGGGGAAGAAAGAAACAGAGTTTCAAAAAGAACTTGAAAATTCATTTTTGTCTTTGAATCATGAATTCTGACTTCCAAATAGTAGTTTGGGGTGTTAAAGAAGTTATGAACTTGGGAGAAACTAGGAAAAATAAGAATAGCACCAGAGGGAACATTCTCTGAACCTCAAAGTTTGATTTTTGCTTCAGAACCTAGAACTGAGTTTTACCCTCATTGCCTTCTTCTGTCTGAAGACTCAGGTCTCTTCCATGGGATTTGATTTGCAGTGAAAATCAACAATAAAGTATCTGTTTATTGACTTCTATTTGCTCCTCTTTTTTTGGATGGGGGAGACAAGATGAGCCCCTACATTGTCATATCTGTAAAGCACTATAACACCTTCACTGCTGAAATCCTTGCAGTCAGTTTTCCGAGTCCTGATTCTGTAATGCCCAAAATGAATTAAGCTCTTAAGAGAGCGCCTTTTGGTATCCATCTCTCAGTTTCCATTTTCCACTTATGGCTGTTGGTCTATCCTGATAGTTTAGCAAAAGGGTCTAGCAGATGAGCTGAATCTAATTGACAAAATTTCAGGGCCACAGACATGGATAGTGCTGGCTCTTCCTGAAATGGAGGCTCTGATGAGCCAGCCCCATCAGGGAGGCCTGGGGAGTGAGTTCCTCCTTACAAAGAGACCCACTTCTTTCTATTTAATTTGGGAAGTGTATCTCAGTCAATAGATAATTATGTATTGAGAATCTGTCTAGATATGGTGCTATGTATAGGTTATTTCTAGAAGTAACACAACAAAGTCCCAGCTAGAATGGCCAGAGATCAATAGTGCCAAATCCCAAAATGTATAAAAGATGAACAAAAAATCTACATTCTGAACAGGCATGCAAATCCATAAGTGAAGCAATATAACAACTATATCCATACAAATAAAAATAGAAGGAAATGTCAGGGAAATGTCATGGGTAAACATGAGGAAAGACTTCTTTTAACTAAGAAAGGCTTATTGGAGTGGTGTCTGTTTGTTTGTTTTTAGTAGAGACTAGAGAAAATTGGACAGTCTGGGAGTAATGAGGCATTCTAAGCCAGGGCCTACAGCACTGGAAAGGAGAAGGGAGTGGAAGTTAGATGATTAAATGAATAGGACAAGGAGGAAAGACCTCTTTGGGCAGAGGGAGGTTGTGAGGAGGAAGAAATGATGGCAGGCTGCTGAGCAGAGGATGGCTCGTGATGCTGATCTGAACTGCCGTGAGTGGTGGGGCTGTGCTCTTGAAGAGCACAGCTTTAGGGTGAGAAAGGAAAACTTGAACAAGGGTGTTAGAGACTGACTAGTGAGAGCCAGGGTGCACCCACGGTGTTGTGTGTATATCTGTGTATGAATAGGTGCTCAGTTAATACTTTCACATTCTAGATTTAGATTTAGGATCCAGTTTGAGTAAATTTCTGTATAAAATGTAAGGTTAAGATGTTTTGGTTTTTTTCTTCATAACTATGCCTAGTTGTTCCAAAACCATTTGTTGAAATAACTATCCTTAGGCCGGGTGCGGTGGCTCATGCCTGTAATCCCAGCACTTTGGGAGGCCGAGGCGGGTGGATCACGAGGTCAGGAGATCAAGACCATCCTAGCTAACATAGTGAAACCCTGACTCTACTAAAAATACAAAAAAATTAGCCAGGTGTGGTGGTGGGCGCCTGTAGTCCCAGCTACTTGGGAGGCTGAGGCAGGAGAATCGCATGAACCTGGGAGGCGGAGGTTGCAGTGAGCCGAGATCACGCCACTACACTCAAGCCTGGGTGACAGAGCGAGACTCCATCTCAAAAAAATAAATAAATAAAATAACTATCCTTTCTCCATTGAATTGCTTTTGCACCATTGTCAAAAATCAATTGGTTATTATTTATGTGGTTCTGTTTCATTGATCAAACTATCTCCCTCTTCACCAATACCACACTATTGCAGATTCATAGTAAGTCTTTTTCTTGAGATGGAGTTTCACTCTTGTCACCCAGGCTGGAGTGCAATGGCGCGATCTCAGCTCACTGAAACATCCATCTCCCAGGTTCAAGCAATTCTCCTGCCTCAGCCTCTTGAGTAGCTGGAATTACAGGCCCCCACTACCACGCCTGGCTAATTTTTTGCATTTTTAGTAGAGATGGGATTTCACTGTGTTGGCCAGGCTGGTCTCGAACTCCTGACCTCATGATCCACCCACCTCAGCCTCCCAAAGTGTGGGGATTATAGGCATGAGCCACAACGCCTGGCTGTAGGAAATCTTAAAATCAGGTAGTATGATTCCTTCAACTTTATTCTTCTTTTTCAAAATGGTTTTGGCTGTTCTAGCTCCTTTGTCTTTCCATATAAATTTTAAATGCAGCTTGTCTATATCTATAAAAAGTCCTGCTGGGATTTTGACTAGAATGGCATTAAATCTACAGATGAATTTAGGAAGAATTAGCAACCTTGCTATGTTGAATATTCCATTCCATGAACATGATATGTCTATTTATTTGGATCTTCTTTGATTTATTTAATCAATATTTTGTTGTTTTCAGCATGCAGATCCTGTACATGTTTTATTAGATGTATAATGAAGTATTTCAGTTTATAGAACTAGTATAAATGGGTTTTTTATTTTGATTTTAGTTATTCATTGCTAATATGTAGAAATACAGATGACTTTTGTGTACTGACTTTGTCACTCACAACCTTGCTAAACTTACTAGTCCTAGAAGTCTTCTTGTTTTTGTTTTTGTAGATTCCTTGGGATTTTCTGTATAGATAATCATGTTGTCTGTGAATGAGAACTCTTTTGTTTCTTCCTTTCCAATCTTAATGCTTTTTATTTCTTTTTCTTGCCTTATTATACTGGCTAGGACTTCCAGTATGATATTGGATAAAAGTGGTGAGAGGAGACATATTGCTTTGTTCCCGATCCTGAGGTGAAAACCTTCTGTCTTTAAACATTAAGTATGATGTTAGCTGTGGGTTTTATGTAGGTGCCTTTGCACTTACTGTTCCCTATATCTGGAACTTTTTTTTCTTTCCTAAGACATACCCATGGCTAACTTCTCTTCATTCAGATCTTTTCTCTAAACCTACCTTTTCTGGCTATCCTATCTAAAATTTCAACCTATTCAACATTTTATATCCACATTCCTGTTTTATTTTTCTTCTTAGCACTTACTATCACCTTACATACTACATACATTTTACTTATGTATCATGTTTATTGTCTGTCTTTCTTCACTATAATGTAAGCTCCAAGAAGGTAGGGAATTTTTATCTCATTTGTCCATTACTGTGTCCTCAAAGCCTTAAAATATATCTGGCATATAGTAAGCATTCAATATATTGTTGCTCAATAAATGAATAGATAGATGAGCCAAATCGACGCATCCACCCGCATTGTTCCTGTTTGCTCTATCTTCCTTCTATATATTTTTTTCACAAAGATACCACATGACCAATGTATCTGTCTTCCTTCTGGTCTAAGGGCTTCTGAACCATCCCTGCTCTTCTTACAGGTAAGATGCTCTCTACTTGTACGCAGCATCCCTTCCTCTCTTACCTCCACAAAGATTTTGATCCTGTAGGTATTTCTCATGTCTTCTGCATATCTGTTTATTCCTCTTGATGTGGTTGTTCTTATCAACATAGTCTCTTTCATCTTTTCAATTATTTCTTATGGGTTGAATTGTGTTCCCTCCAAAAAAAGATACATTGAAATCCTAAGCCCCAGTACCTCAGAATGTGACCTTATTTGGAATTAGGGTATTTGCAGAGATAGTCCACTTAAAATCATGTCCTTAGGGTGAGCCCCTAATCCAATATAAATGATGTTCTTATAAAAAGGGGAAATCTGAACACAGAGACACGCACCAGGAGAACACCCTGTGAAGATGAAAGCAGAGTTCATGGTGATGCATCTGCAGCATCGCTCACCTGAACCTGCTAACTCAACTCTGCTTCTCCACCTGCCTCATACAGCCCAACAGCCATCTTAAAAGATACAAACTAGACCGGATGCAGTGGCTTACACCTGTAATCCCAGCACTTTGGGAGGCCGAGGCAGGTGGATCACTTGAGGTCAGGAGTTCAAGACCAGCCTGGCCAACATGGTGAAACCCCGTCTCTACTAAAAATACAAAAAATTAGCCAGGCGTGGTGGTGCACGCCTGCAATCCCAGCTACTTGGGAGGCTGAGGTAGGAGAATCACTTGAACCTCAGAGTGGAGGTTGCAGTGAGCTAAGATTGTGCCGTTGCACTCCAGCCTGGGCAACAGAGCGAGACTCCGTCTCAAAAAAAAAAAAAAAAAAAAAGATACCAACTAGATCATGTCATTCCTCTGTTTAAAGTTTCCACTGGATCCTCATCACACCTAGAATAAAATCCAAACTCCTTTTTTTTTTTTTTTTTTGTACACACAAAATCCTATGTGATCTGTCCCTGCCTGTATCTCTGTCCTCACTTCCTTGAAGTCTTTCATTTACTCTGTTTTTGTTTTGTTCCTTAGGTATTCCAAGCCTTTTCCTGACTCTGCTCCAGCTGCTCACTCTGCCTGGAACACTCTTTCCCCAGATCTTTTTTTCTGTTGTTTTTTTTTTTTTTTTTTTTTTTGAGACGGAGTCTCGCTCTGTTGCCCGGGCTGGAGAGTGCAGTGCCGCGATCTCGGCTCACTGCAACCTCTGCCTCCCGGGTTCAAGCAATTCTCCTGCCTCAGCCTCCCGAGTAGCTGGGTCTGCAGACATGGGCCACCACACCCGACTAATTTTTTTTGTATTTTTAGTAGAGACGGGGTTTCACTGCGTTAGCCAGCATCTCAATCTCCTGACCTCGTGATCTGCCTGCCTCGGCCTCCCAAAGTGTTGGGATTATAGGCTTTTCCAGATCTTTATGGGTCCATCTCTTTCTTCTGACCCAGAATTTAAGCTCAAATGTCACCTCCAAAGAGAGGTCTTCTCTGTCTACCCAATGGAAAGTAGCCCCTCTCTTCCCCACTCATTCTATCACATCATCTGTTTAACTGTCTCCTTCAAGAGCCAACATACATCTATCTCTATCCCTGCCCCCACTCCATGCTAGCCTGTAAACAACTTGAAGATAGAGCCCTTATTGGTCCTGTTTGCTACTGTATATCCTTGACCCAGAGCAGTGCCCAGTGCATAGAAAGTATTCAATAAATATTTGTTAAATAACTCAGTTAACTACTGCAAGATAGAAACTAAAGTTGAAGGCCAAGTCTGGACTCCCAATCTAAGGCTCTGTATTAGTATAATAGGGCTACCATGTCAGAACACCACAAACAACAGAAATGTATTGTCCTTGTTCTGGAGGCTACAAGTTCAAGATTCAGGTGAAGTCAGGGTTGGTTCCTTCTGGAGGCTCTGAGGGAGCGTTTGTTCCAGGCCTCTCTCCTGGCTCCCAGTGGTTTTCTGGCAATCGTTGGTGTTCCTTGTTTCTGCACCAACCCTCTGTCTGCCTTCACCTTCACAAGGTGTTCTCCCTCCATGTCTGTGTTTAAGTTTCCCCTTTTTATAAGGACATCATCAAAATGGATTAAGGATCCACCCTACTCCAGTATGACCTCATCTAAACTTATTAAATCTACGAAGGCCCTATATCCAAATAAGGTCACATTCTGAGGTACTTAAGGGCTAGGACTCCAACATATGAATTTTTTAGGGACACAATTACACAATTCAATGTATAATAGGATCTTTCTGAGTGGGAGGGAATGGGGGATTGGGAGAGCTTAAGGTACTGAGGCATCACCAAGGAGGAGGGAGTGGGGCTGCCAAGCCCTAGGCCTGGGTAAGGATGGGACCAGATTCCTGAGTTTAAATCACCCAGTCCAGTGGGTGTGCAGGAGGCTTCAGTGAGGTCACGTCCTAGTTTGACCTTCATGTCATTGCCAGCATATTGTCCCTAGTGAGTTGAGATTGCTCTCATTTGGGCCAAAAGAGCTAGGGAGCCCTGGTTTCCATGGCTGAGGGGCCTGTGTGTCTGGCTTGCAGGGCAGAGGCGGGCCCATGCTCTCCATACTCCCCTTGCCTTCCTGTGTTATTTCTGAGTCTGACAATAAAGCATTGTTGGTTTGTCTTCTACATAACTAAGCTGAGTTAAAATGCATCTTTTTATTAGCAGAGGCATTATTGTATTAATATCATCGCTACTAAATTTTCTCTTTGCAAAACTAGAATTTTAAGCTGGAATCTGGAGAAGTGTGATTTCCCTGGAAAAGAGTTTGTAGACCTCTTTGTTTGTGAAAAGTGCATCCCTAGGTCTTCATAAAAGCTCTAGCACCTAACTGAAAAATACAGGAGCTCTTAATAACAGCCAATGTTTACAACAGGGTGGAGTGTGGTGCTCGGTCCAGACCTGTTTTCCTGGAAATAAGGCCCATGATGAGAACAGAAGTCCCTGCACCTCACATTCTAAGTTCAGGAAAGGTCTAAGAGTTGTTACCTCCATCCCCTGGCCCTGGGCCACCTGGGGGCAAAGGGAGAGTATGCTTTTCCTCCCCCAAACTGGGGGAAGGAGGCAGTTCTCAAAAGAATCACTCATGAAATTTGGAGGCAATTACTTTAAAAAAAAAAAAAAGATGCTTACAATCTCATCCCCTAATTGGATACTTGCTTAGCTAGCAAAATATATAACCTTTCCCTTTGTAGGGGAAAAGGTAACTAGAGAGCAAGAGATGTCATAGTGGGGAACTGTCCCATTTTGAGTTTTCAGTTCTTCACAAAAATGGAGGGATCCTTTGTGAGCCTACAGCCCCACCATTGTCTGAGGACATAGAAGAAATCAAGTGCTACTGTCTCACTGGGAATCAGCACAAGGCAAAAAGATGCACACATTAGATGAATGTACTGTGAGAGTTGAGCTCAAGGTCAGTTAAAAGATGTAGCCAGTCTGGCAAGGGATCATATATTAGTTTGATATGGTGCTGGAGCAAATCCCCAGCTAGTGCTAGAACCTGTCAGCCTCCGAGGATCAGGACGTACTTTTCACAAATAAAGAGGTCTAGGAAACTCTTTATTTTATCTAGGGCTGCCAGAACAAATTAACACAGACTGAGCGGTTTAAACAATAGGCATTTGCTTCTCACAGTTCTGGAGGATAGAAGTTGGAGATCAAGTTGTCAGCAGGTTTGGTTTCTTGTGAGGCCTCTCTCCATGGCTTACTAATAAGGACACCAGTCATAATGGATTAGGACCCACTCTTACAGCCACATCTTAATTTACTGTCACCTCTTTAAAAACCCTATCTCCAAATACAGTCACATTCTGAAGTAGTGGGGGTTATTAGGGCTCCAACATGGGAATTATGGAGAAGAAACAACTCAGCTGGTAACAGATCACTAAGAGCTTGGGTAGCTGTTAAGTGTGAGCTCCTTAATTGTGGGGCATGTGGGGACTACCACCTTTCTTTATAAAGCCCAAGGACTACTGTGGCCACCTAGAGCGGCTCTGCAGCATCCCCAGTCAGAGAAGGAGAGCTCTGCCCCTCTCATCCCCACTCCCTCCGCCACACCTAGGGAGCTAGCCTAGAGAAGGTGAGCGGAGAGAAGAACCCTCCAAGCCCGTGAAAGCCATACATCCAGCCTGGGGGCAGAAGGAAAGTGGGGAAAAAGCTGCGAATTGATGTAACATTAAAGGTTAAAAACAAACAAGAATGAAGCCGGGTGTGGTGGCTCACGCCTGTCATCCCAGCACTTTGGGAGGCCGAGACAGGTGGATCACGAGGTCAGGAGTTCAAGACCATCCTGGCCAACATGGTGAAACCCCATCTCTACTAAAAATACAAAAATTAACTGGGTGTGGTGATGCATGCCTGTAGTCCCAGCTACTCGCGAGGCTGAGGTAGGAGAATTGTTTGAACAGGACCCGGGATGCGGAGGTGGCAGTGAGCCAAGATCGCACCACTGCATTCCAGCCTGGGCTACAAGAGGGAGACAGTCTCAAAAAACAAACAAACAAACAAACAAAACAAAAAACAGAAACAAACAAAACAAGAATGAATTATCAAAACCATAATAATATTTAATAACTGAAAAATCTATGAAATGGGACTATGCTACGGTTAAGGAGCTGCCATCTTCATAGAAAGCTGAGTCCACATGGGTGAGGGAAGTTAGAGGGAAAAGTGAAATTGTTTCTGGATTACCCACAGAGAACTGAGATGTCTCAGTATGCTGATTTCATGCCTAAGGCACAAGCAGAGAACCACAGAGCTTTTGCAGACCTGATCCTGGTAGGCTGGCAGGTTCTGTCACTAGCTGGGGATTTCTTCCAGCACCAGCCTGGAGTGGGTGACAGATTCTTGTCTCAGGGAAAGGGCAATGATACAGAGAGTCCCTTATGAATAATGGAACTAGCAAATGTTAATTACATGGGCTCCTCATCTTCATCAGTCTGCAGCTGGAGCTGTGCAATTCAGCACATTGGTCTAGCCAGCTGCACAGTCCTGTCTCATGTGACCATCTTGTCTGACTGAAAAGATCATAAGTGCCATGAGACCAGAAACTGGGTCTCCTGTTTCATTTATATACCAAACATGTAGTCAGTACTGGTCACATTACTTCACAGCCCCATGCTAATTCTGCTTTTTAGAATTACTTCTGCTCCCCACCGACACCCCTCATCACCACACCTCCCAACCCTGCCCTTCCTCTGCCTCCCCAACATTTTTGTGTTCAAAACTCAGTCCTAGCATCACCTCTTCCAGGGAGTTTCTAGTCTGGGTTGGGTAAAATTCCTGGTACCACTAGAATGTAAATTCCATTAGGACAGGGATTTTTGTCCATTTGGTTGGCACCTCTTTCCATCGTCTAGAGAGGAGTGTGACAGGAGGTGCTCAGAGAGTCTTTCTGTCCAGATAGAGAGTGCGATTTGTGGACGGTTTCCTGGTAGTGCTGGGAACACTTTGAAAGCACATCATAAATGTGGGTCATCCTGTGATTTATGGTGCTGGCAGGAAGCCCACCAGAATCAGATCTATTTTAATAAGTTGTGAAATTCAGAAGGCGCTCCATTCAGAACTTCATATTCTGAATGTAGAGAGATGAGTATGAAGCCCTTATTAGGACTCTTGCACCAGAGGAGTGCAGATGTAATTGCAGTTACTTCTGGCATCTGAAATCAATTGCTGGCCCCCTTCTTGGATTGGGCGGAGTGGGGCTTTCCCAGAAGCAAACAGTACACTTGTGGCTAAAGTACAGATCTTTAAGCACGAGAACCACGTACTCCCTTCACATTACAACTTCCCTCTTGGAACGTGGCTGCCCCGGGGTGCCACCCAGCCCTCTCCAGCCACCCTGACTGGACCGCATGTGAGGGTGAGTCCCACCTTACTGCCACAGCCTGCTGGGAGGACCAGAAGCTTTATCTGTGAGATGTTGTGAGGGCCGTGCCCTCTTCTGCCCTTGTCTTGGCCTCATCTGGACAGCCCCAGGAGGAACTTCACACCTTCCTGGCTCTTCCCCTGTTAATGGTTTTCAGCCCTTGTTTAGAAGAATCTGATTTTCTTTGTAAAGCTTATTGAGGGGAAAATACGTGTATGATGTGGCTGTGGGGTGAAAAGAGCATCCCTTGAAACTCTTGTTGCCTTTTTCCCCCATCCCTGAATGTTTTTAGGTTTTAATTTGTACTCTGCAAGTGCTGTCTTGTTTTTTGTTTAAGTATAGGTGGCTTAAGTGTTTCTTTCATTTTTAAAATTCTCCATGCAGTTTCTCCTACCCTCTCAGCTATGGTGGAATGAAGAACTCTGAACTGTAAGTCAGGAGATAAGCTAAGAGCTACCTGAACTGGTACTTTGCATCTGGCAGATTTGATTTAAAGTTCTGAGCAGCTTCCACATCTGCAAATTGAGGGGTGTGCATTAAGAAGAGCCTCCAGATTAGATGGGACCTTAAAATTGAACAGACCAACCCCTAATATCTCTAGACCAGATGTTCAGTCTTGAGTTGCTTTGTTGTTGTTGTTGTTGTTGTTTAAGGAAATGGGGTCTCACTCTGTTGCCAAGGCTGGAGTACAGTGGTATCATCATAGCTCACTGCAGCCTGGAACTCCTGGGCTCAAGCAGTCCCCCTGCCTCAGCCCCCCAAGTAGTTGAGATCACAGGCATGAGCCACTGCACCTGCCTGATTTACTCTGGTTTGGAAGTGTTTACTTGGCTCTCTTTAGAAAACCTTATGGGACAGTGCTATACAATGAAATGTAAAATGTTCTATTAGCCACTTTTTTTTTTTTTTGAGATGGAGTCTCTCTCTGTTGCCCAGGCTGGAGTGCAGTGGCTCGATCTCGGCTCACTGCAGCCTCTGCCTCACAGGTTCAAGCGATTCTCCTGCCTCTGCCTCCCAAGTGGCCAGGATTACAGGCTTGCACCACCTTGCCCAGCTGATTTTTGTATTATTAGTAGAGGTGGGGTTTCACCATGTTGGCCAGGCTGGTCTCAAACTGACCTCAGGTGATCCACCCGCCTTGGCCCCCCAAAGTGCTGGGATTACAGGTATGAGCCACCATACCCAGCAGCCACATTTTTTTAATTAGCCACATTTTAAAAGTAATAAATAACAAGTCATTGAAATTAATTTCAATAATAGATCTTCATATATCAAAAGTATTATTCAACATGTAACCAATATAAAAGTTATTGAAATAGTTTACTTTTTTTGTACTAAGTCTTCAAAATCTGATGTGCATTTTATATCTATGGCACATTTCTATTTAGACCAACCATATTTCTTTCTTTCTTTTTTTTTTTTTTTTTTTTTGAGACAGAGTTTCACTCCTGTTGCCAAGGCTGGAATGCAATGGCATGATCTCAGCTCACTGCAACCTCCGCCCCCCAGGTTCAAGTGATTCTCCTGCCTCAGCCTCCCAAGTAGCTGAGATTACAGGTGCCCACCACCACACCCAGCTAATTTTTTGTATTTTTAGTAGAGATGGGGTTTCACCATGTTGGCCAGTCTGGTCTTGAACTCCAGACCTCAGGTGATCCACCCACCTTGGCCTCCTAAAGTGCTGGGATTACAGGTGTGAGCCACCGTGCCCAGCCTAATCCAGCCACATTTCATATGTGCAGTAGCCACCATATCGAGTAGCATGACTGCAGAGGATCGCTGCATCGGCCACAGAAGTGCCTCATTCCTGCTCTCAAAGAGAAATGCAGAAATGCCAAGGAGCCCTTCTTGTTGATCCTCCCAAAGAAAATAAAGTGAGGTGGGGTAGCACAGAATAATTCTGCAGATTGGCTTCTTCATAAAATATTTATTTTCTTGTGTACAGACTTGACTTCAGATTATCTCCCAGTGTGTAAGAGACATTATTGTTCCCGGATTTGCAGAGTTTCAGCAAAAGCTTTTTTTTTTTTTTTTTGAGACAGAATTCACTCTCACCAGGCCAGAGTGCAGTGGTGCGATCTCAGCTCACTGCAACCTCCGCCTCCTGGGTTCAAGTGATTCTCCTGCCTCAGCCTCCTGAGTAGCTGGGACTACAGGCGTGCACCACCACACCCAGCTAATTTTTGTATTTTTAGTAAAGACGGGGTTTCACCATGTTGGCGAGGATGGTCTTGGTCTCTTTACTTCGTGATCCGCCTGCCTTGGCCTCCCAAATTACTGGGATCATAGGCATGAGCCACCGTGCCCAGCCCATAGCAAAAGCTTTTTAGCAGTTTCCTTTGTTCTTTTTGGAGAGATAGAAGTGTTCCATATTATCAGTACTGAGCAATGTTTTCCAAAGTGTTTTTCTTGAAACACCAAATTTGTGTGGTGTTAAGAGGTGTGAGCTGAATAAGATTTCCATGACCAAAAAGCGTGGGGAAGGAACATTGTTTATGAATATCCAATAGGTATCTTTACTGCAGAAATACCAAGAGATGGCTCCCGTGTACCAGACATCCAAAATCAGTGAGATCCTTTTTGTGAGAAGCACCTTGAGGGTCAAGAATCATGTGGGACCTGCTAAGGTAATGCTGATCAGATGATCTTCCTGAGTTCCTTTTCCAGGACATCCTTCCAGTGTGGATCTTAAATCCATTTCCAAAAGTTCCTCTTGCCTTCCTGGCTCTAAGGCCCTGTTGCTACTGTGTCTTTGAAAAAGAAAAACTAGGCCAGGCACGGTGGCTCACGCCTATAATCCCAGCACTTTGGGAGGCCGAGGTGCATGGATCACAAGGTCAAGAGTTTGAGACCAGCTTGGCCAACATGGTGAAACCCCGTCTCTACCAAGAATATAAAAATTAGCTGGGCATGTTGGTGCGTGCCTGTGGTCCTGGCTACTCGGGAGGCTGAGGCAGGAGAATCGCTTGAACCAGGGAGGTGGAGGTTGCAGTGAACCAAGATTGCACTCCAGCCTGGGCAAAAGAGGAAGACTCCGCCTCAAAAAAAAAGAGAAAAAGAAAAACTAAAACAAACTTTAATAATGAGTTATGATAATGACTCTAACCTTGGGAAAATTAGTGTCTATTGTGAATCAGATTCACCATCTTCCCCTAACACATTTTAATAGTTCTCTTATAGGTCCTGAATAAGACAGTGAATGTATATTTTAAGTGGAAGTTCAATTTAGAGCCATTTGGTTTTATTTCTTTAATGATCCTGCTAAGTATAGAAAACATAGCAGCTTTGATTTTTCGAATGGTCAGAATACAAGAAAAAGAAATTCTGCTTCTCTCTGCCAGCATCCTTCTCATTCATAGAAAAGAAAAATGTTCCCATTTGAGATGAAAGATTCTTTACTTTTTCCATATTTATTTCATATTTCAATAGCTCATATTGGAGAAAAGGTCTCAAAGCCATTTATACTTTATTAAGTCATCCCACTCTAAAATCTTTTTATAATGAGGCTTTCAGGTCATTTCCCTCCCTTAGTAACAGATACCTCCTGGCACTTTAAATGAAATACATTAGAAACAAAGCCATTCTAATTATCATCTCTCTACTTAAAGATGGAATAAAACTTAACATTTTTCCCCAGGAATTTAGGTCATGTTAATAGAAACTGTATTTTTCTTTTTAGAACACAAGACTGCCTTCTAACAGTCTGGTCCATATGTTAGAAGCATATAAAGTTAATCATTTTGCTTTGGTGCCAACGTGTTGTGTGCAAAGAGAAGCTGTAAACCACAGCTGTGTGGAGTAACAATTGTGAACTTTACTGGCTTGCACATGTGAGTCATCAGTAAACTAAATTAAATGTTGCTTAACTGAACTTGAGAGCTGGAGGTTGTAAGGGAAGACTGCTAAGATTTTATTAAAGTTTGAATTTAGTAGAGTGGTTCCATCTTTGCATTTCGCAAGGGACTTCAAGTTATACAAAAATCAAATCAACTGTTGTCCAGATGATTAGGTTTTTTGGCTTCTCCATAACAATAGTGATTGCCAGGTAATCAATGGGAATCACTGTTCAGTTGACCTAGTTTGGTGTGTAAACAGCCAAAAAAAATCCAGACATCCTCTAAAATCAACTGGGCCCAATTAGTTTGGCCAGGCAGCAATCCCATCAGCTACTCAGTAGTCTTCCTTGCATAAGATCAAAATCCCTGAAATGATTACAGTGTAATTGGAGCATCTTGATAGGTTCTCTGAGCGTTACTACTTAGTGCTATGACCTTGAGCAAGAGTCTTGAATACTCGGCCTCAGTTTTATGTCTTTGTGGACTGGTGACATGGCTCACAGGGTTGTTGTATTAAGTAATTCATTTTAAAACATTTAGCATGGTATGTACAACATTGTAAACCCTCAAAAAATGTTAGTATTTAAGTATTGTTAAATATTTTTTGATCTGGAGCAGAGTGATAAATATGAGACAAAAGTAAGTAGATTTCCACATTTATTTTCTTAATCTCTGATTTTTTTTTTTTTACAATAAAGCAGTAGATAACATTTGTTTATTCTCTTTTTCCTTTTGCTCTGTCTTTTGTTGAGAGTTTGAGATTTCTGTGTTTACCTTAAGAAGATAAACAGGGGGTGCTGGGGCTCATGCCTGTAATCACAGCTACTCAGGAGGCTGAGGCGAGAGGATTGCTTGAGCCCAGGAGTTCGAGACTGCAGTGAGCCACGATTGTGCCACTGCACTCTAGCCTGGGTGACAGAGCAAGACCTCATCGCTTTTTTTTTTTTTTTGAGATGGAGTCTCTCTCTGTCACCCAGGCTCGAGTGCAGTGGCGCGATCTCAGCTCACTGCAAGCTCTGCCTCCTGGGTTCACGCCATTCTACTACCTCAGCCTCCTGAGTAGCTGGGACTACAGGCACCCACCACCATGCCCGGATGATTTTTTTGTATTTTTAGTAGAGGCGGGGTTTCACCATGTTAGCCAGGATGTAAATATAATCTGTCTCTAGGTGGCAAGGGTAGAAACATTCTAAAATGTTCTTCTAGTTCATTGTAACTTTTTCTTTTCTTTATTGTCTATGTGAAGGATAAGCAAAGGGCACTTGGCAAGTCTTACGCAGTAGCTGAAGAAATATTTTTTGAATTAATGAATGGGAGTAGAAATAGATACTTAGGGCCAGGCGTGGCAGCTCACACCTGTAATCCCAGCACTTTGGGAAGCCAAGGCAGGCGGATCATGAGGTCAGGAGTTCGAGACCAGCCTGGCCAATATAGTGAAACCCCGTCTCTACTAAAAATACAAAAAATTAGCCAGGCGTGGTGGCATGCGCCTGTAATCCCAGCTACTTGGGAGACTGAAGCAGGAGAATTGCTTGAACTGGGAGGCGGAGGATGCAGTCAGCCGAGATTGCGCCATTGCACTCTAGCCTGGGTGATAGTGCGAGACTCAGTCTCAAAAAAAAAAAGAAAAGAAATAGATACTTAGTACCTGGCTTCAAAGAGGTTGTAACATCTATAAGGAGCCAAATCATTTCTAAAGATTAATACTAATATAAGATAGCATATTTGCATTGAGTTTAAAGGACTCAGACACAATTGTACTGACTACCTGCAACCTCTAGAATTAGTGTAGAGTTGTGATGCTTGTAGAGTTCCTTCATCAGATAAATAATCTTTGTTGGCCTTTATTCTCAATAGGTTTCACTCTTTCAAAAAAAAATCAGTAATTGCATCGCAAGTCTGTCAGATAATACTTTAATTTAGAAAGTCTTTTTGAAATCAGTTAGTTTGGATAATACAGCATTACAGTTCCATAAAGCCAAGGTCTCCAAAAATCAATGCCTGTGCTTAAGAATGTAAGTTACATTAACTTCATTCTTTAACACCATGAAACATATAAATTTCAATGGAAGAAGTGTTTCTGGGCACTGGCGTTTTATGAACGGGTTATACATATATCTATAAGAAATGTGTGTGCATGGGTGTTCAGAAACATTATAACAATGTAGTTTAGATATGAGTAATGCTGGCCAATTGGGCACATGCAAGTTTGGTTTCCTGTGGAATACTACCTATTTCAGTATGCCTCTCCTTATTTTCTGGATTCTTAAGTTGCTATAGTTTTTCCCAAGGATATATACATATACATGGATGTTTATACTAGGTTCTTTTATAAAAGAGCTAGTGACATGGAATAGTCATTCTTTAAAATATAACAAAAATAACTGGTAAATGTGAAAATTAGACTTGGATACCTATATATCAAAAGCTACCCTTGAGTACTTTCAGAGACCCAATAGGAAAAAAAAGCTCGTATAAGTGATTATTGCCTTCACATTAGCACCCAGTTTTTCAAAATGGCTGGTACTTGCCAATATGCAAACAGAAGCATAATGTTTTACTAGGAGAATAGATGTTATAAAGATGTTGAAAAATGAACACCTTGAATTCATTAATCTTAAAAACATTGCAGAAAGGGAGCAAAAAACTATGCCTCTGTCTCCTCTCACGTGCTAAGAAACAAGAATGATATTAAAAAATTAGAGAACTGAATAAGCTTACCTTAGCCACAATAGCAAAGTAAAGGAGGAGGAATAACTGAAGAGATCATAGCAACAGAGCCATTGCTGGTTGCCTGTGTTAGCTGTGAAGAGAACATTGGCAAATTAAATATCCAGGCCTCTGTAAAACCACTATCTAAGCTTCCTCCATTTATCTAAGCGAGGCTATCATCACCACCCACTTCTTCTGTTGCCTACTGAACTGCTAAGAAATAATACATTTTGCAGATTTTAGTTTTATTGTCTTTATTTTGTTCTTTCTTATTTCCCCCACTTCAGGGGTCTTTTAGGAGATATTTCACAACTATAGATAAAATTTCAGAGCTGGATGGAAGCCTAACAATACTTAACTTTTTTTACTCCAACTTGCATCTAGTTATTGCACTTACGTGTTTCCTTGTTGTTCAGCGTGTTGTTGATTTTTGAACAATACTGTTTACTTCCTTGATTAGCTCTCTGATTTATAGCTTAGGTAAAGCTCACACATGTCCTGGCCACAGATATCACACAATATTTTATTTTGGCACCAGGTTGACATTACACACTGTTCGTTGTAGTTCCATTTCAGAGAACAGTCCACCCCCATCTACACCACATGCCTGGCATTGATCTAGGTGAAGCTACATAGCCACAAAGGGTGTTCATTATGGACACCATGACGGAATGCCATGACACACAAGTGCAGAACCACTGATCTTCTCAAACTCCTCATTTGACATATAATACAAATGAGTCATAAAGAGTAGACATGATCTCCTTAAGTCAGTGGCAGGTGTGGGATAGGAATCCAAGTTTCTCACTTTCCAGTGTCCTTTTCATTGCTTCCATGCTAAAGAGGGAAACTCAAAAAAGCAGTTATAGTTCCAAGCACTGAATCATAATCCTGCACAATGGGAAGCTAACAGCGTCTTGTTTGCTGAAGCCCTGTGTAACTTTCTCAGGCTTAAAAACACAAGGAAGCATAGGTGTTGCGGGAAATTATATGACTGACCTACCACCAATAGATAAGGTATGTTGTGCAAATCTTCTAGGGAGGGATTTTTTAATTTGCAGTGATCAGTTGATTTGCTCCTGCCTGAGCATTTTATTTAGGATTCTATTCTTAGACTGTGGAATGTAACTTCTCTGTATGAAACTACCTGACCCATATGAGATTTTACTTAAGACTTTGGCCATATCAGCACTATTTTAACTGGAATGAGTCTCCTAGTAGCTCGTATCCAAACCATCCACCTTTGGCCACACAGATGAATGGGCATTCTACCTGAAGGCCACCTGAAGAGCAGAACAAGCTTTTGTTCCCAGTCCCACCAGTGACTTATGATACCTTAGCAAAGCCTTCTTCCCCATATTTTCTTCCCCCTAAAACTGTCCCCACAGGTGGTATTTTCACTGGAAGGGAGTGGTGAGTAACTTGTTTTTATGTTTGCAAGGGTAAAATAATAAATGTTTTAATGCTATTATTAAATGTCTAATTTTAAAATAAGAAGCCTCCTAGAAATTTGTCTTACAAGCTCTCTGGAACTCTCTGGAACCCTCAGGTTTACATTCTGTATCTGTCTTGCGCATGTCTTTCAGATAGAATACCTTCCATTTCCTGTCAAACTCATGTTAAGCTTTCACAATCTAGCTCATTCATTGACTACTCTTCAGTTTTTGTTTTCCTCATCCTCTCATGAAAACTTAGTATTCTGTCCCCTTGTGTCACTTTATTCAGAGATTTATTCTAACACTCACCAGTTTCAATCGCAATGAATTGTTTATATGTCAGCCTTTCCCCTTCCCCCCAAGAGCTTCTCTGGGCTGTCTTCTCCTTAAAACAAAGAACTGTATAGTTGGCTCTTGAACAATGTTGGTTTGAACTGTGCAGGTCCACTTATACACAGGTTTTTTTTTTTTTTTTCAAACAAATGCAGATAAAAAATACAATATTGGTTGGATGCAAAACTGCATATATGGAGGGCCAACTTTTCATATATGTGGGTTCTTCAGGGCTGAGTGCGTAGGTTTTGGTATACTAGGGGGTACTAGAATGAATCCCTCATATATACTAATTGCATTCTATTCATCTTTATAAGACCCATAGAAGGCCTTTACTGTATTATTTCAAAGTATGAATAACATGAGCATCATTAAACAAAAGGTCCCCTATTTCAAAACTGTCCCCCTTACCTGGACACTAGATCATCTACAGGTTTTCAACATTCCCATCAATAGAATCATTCCATAAAAATTTTTTTTTCTGGATAGCTTTTTTTTTTTTTTTGAGACGGAGTCTAGCTCTGTCACCCAGGCTGGAGTGCAGTGGCATGATCTCAGCTTACTGCAATCTCCGCCTCCTGGGTTCGAGGGATTCTCCTACCTCAGCCTCCTGAGTGACTGGTATTACAGGTGCGTGCCACCATGCCCAGCTTATTTTTGTATTTTTAGTACAGATGGGGTTTTACTGTGTTATCCAGGCTGGTCTTGAACTCTTAACCTCATGATCTGCCTGCCTCGGCCTCCCAAAGTGCTGGGATTACAAGCATGAGCCACCGCGCCTGGCCTAGATAGCTTCTTATACCATATAAACATCTCACCTGAGTGAATTAATAAATTTCTTTGTCCATTAACAAATTACACCTGGATTAAGTATCAGAAGAATAGTAACCTGAAGGTTTGGAACAAAAACAAAAGGAGATTTGATGAGAATATGGAGGAGGTGTGTACTGCATGGAAAAGTTCAAGGGTGGGACAATGAAGTAGGGGGAATTAGATATTGGGATAGGGAGGAGACAGCATTAAAGCCATGTTGCACCTTCAGAAGTGGAAATAGAGAGGTGAAAAGGGATGTGGGGAATTTGAATACATCCTTTGCCTAAATTATGATTTTGCCCAGGACCATCCCTGATTGCTCTGAGATTGGAATAAGCCATTCTCACACCTCATGACATGGGTGCTGACAGACATGTGTATGTGGCTTTTATTTTATTGTATTTTTAAATGGGTCAGGTCTTCTTGGGTAGATATTGGGTAGATGTCAGTAGTATAGGCTCTTGTACTTTTGTGAACACACATCAGGCCATGTGACAGCCATATTATTTTCAAGCAAACTCCACCAAGAAAATAATGGGAAGAGCTTTCTTCATCTGGCTCTAAAAGGAAATTCTCCTCGTTAAAAGAGACTGACCTACTGCCGACGTGGCAATAAAATGCAGAAAACAGAGCAACTCCACTATTGACTGTGTTAGGAAAGAGAAGCCTTGTTAGCTCCTTGAAACAGTCTGGGATTCAGTATAGTTGTTTGCTGGACTGACATCCTGTTTATGAGTTTTAAAGCTTAAGGAGAAAGGAAGGAGTTAACTATTTTTTCCCTAGCTCTACAATTTGAGATCTCTGGGTCACAAATCTTTAAAGCTGTAGTTTATATTCTAAAGAAAAAAGTCAGTGAAAACATTGGTTTGGCTTTCTTTAAGCAAATAGTGTAAAGGTGTTAATTATGCAGAAATTCCTTAAAATGCCAGACAATTACCAATTAAAAGTCAATACAGTAATAGGGAAGGGATTTCTTTGGGGCTTTGAATTTGCCACATGCAAGATAAAGTTGTAGATTCAGAAAAGAGAGTGAATTTGTTATCTGTGCATACCTTTCTTCAATAAAACCGATGGGAGGATAGTCTGGTCTCTTACTTACTCTTGATTCCTTCCCTCCACAAAACTACAATCCCTTCTATATACAGTTATGCATCACATAATGACATTTCAGTCAATGACAGACCACATATACAACTGTGGTCCCATAAGATTACAATGCAGCTGAAAAATTCCTATTGCCTAGTGATGTCCTAGCCTTTGCAATGCATTACTCAGGTGTTTGTGGTGATGCTGATATAATAAGCCTACTGCTTTGCCAGTTGTATAAAATATAACAGATACAGTTATGTGCAGTACATAGCACTGAATAATGATAATAAACAACTATATTACTGGTTTACGTATGTGCTATAGTAGGCTTTTAAGTTATTATTTTAGCATGTACTCCTACTTATTTTTTTTTAAGTTAACTATAAAACTGCCTCAGGCAGGTTCTTTAGGAGGTATTCTAGAAGAAACCATTGTGATTATAGGAGATGGCAACTCCCTGTGTGTTATTGCCCCATAGACCTTACAGTGGGATAAGATGTGTGGAGGTAGAAGACAGTGATATTGATTATCCTGAAACTGTGTAGGCTTCAGCTAGTATGGGTGTTAGTGTCTTTGTTTTTAATTAAAAAATTAAAAAGTAAACAAAAAAATCTTAAAAATTTAAAAAGGCTTATAGAATTAAGATATAAAGAAAATATTTTTGTACATCTTACAATGTGTGTTTTAAGCTAAGTGTTATTTCAAAAGAGTCAAAAAATTTTAATATTTTAAAAGTTTGTGAGGTAAAAAAAGTTATGGTAAGTGGTTAATTTATTATTTAAAAAAAAAGAAATTTTTTTTTTTTTTTGAGACGGAGTCTTGCTCTGTTGCCCAGGCTGGAGTGCAGTGGCACGATCTCGGCTCACTGCAAGCTCCGCCTCCCGGGTTCGCACCATTCTCCTGCGTCAGCCTCCCAAGTAGTTGGGACTACAGGCGCCTGCCACCATGCCCGGCTAATTTTTGTATTTTTAGTAGAGACAGGGTTTCACCGTGTTAGCCAGGATGGTCTCGATCTCCTGACCTTGTGATCCACCTGCCTCGGCCTCCTAAAGTGCTGGGATTACAGGCGTGAGCCACCATGCCCGGCCAAAAAAGAAATCTTTTGTATAAATTTAGTGTAGCCTAAGTGTGCAGTATTTATAAAGTCTACATTAGTGTACAGTAATGTACACTAATGTACTAATGTACAGTGAATGTAATGTCCTAGGCCTTCACATTCACACATCACTCACTCACTCACTGACTCACCCAGAGCAACTTCTAGTCCCTGCAAGTCTCATTCATGTTATGTGCCCTATATAGGTGTACTGTTTTTTTACATTTTATACCATATTTTTACTGTACCTTTTCTATGTTTAGATACACAAATACTTTCCATTGTGTTATAATTGCCTATAGTATTCCATACAGCAACATGCTATACGGGTTTTTAGCCTAGAAGAAATAGCATAGCCCAGGTGTGTCAACCAAAACAAAACAAAAAAAAGAGAAAATTATCCATAAATATGCTGGGTTTACTTAGGAATAAAAATAAGGATTATAATCTGGAATGGTATAAAATGGCAAGCCACCAGTGCATTCAGTGAGGGAAGGGTAAGGGGAGGTTTTATTAGCAAAAAGAGATTTATATAAGCTGCTTAGAAATAGAGTTCATTGGTTCCAGAAGTTCAAAGCCAGAGTTGTCAGTTCACTGGTGGAGATACTGTTACTGGGCAAGTGTTCTTCTGAGAATATCTTAACTGAATTACTTCAGTCCTATAGAATGCCTAGTAATAAACCTTATCAAAGTGGGAGATGCATGAAGGATGCAAAAGGGTTTTTTGTGGGGTTTTTAGAAAGTCCTTGGAAACAGTTCTTATCTCAGACATGTAAGCATGAGCCTCTTCTTTTTCGGGCCTTCCCAGCCCTATCTTGTCTGGGTCTGACAAAAGTGATTTCATCCTGTATCTGTAACTTTCACAATGTGCAGAGGCTATACCATCTAGGTTTTTGTAAGTACGCTCTATGCTGTTCACATAATGACAAAATTCCTTATGACTCTTTTCTTACAATATATCCCTGTCGTTAAGCAGCACAGCACGTGACTGTATATAAATTATCCATGTTCTTTTCATAAGACATTAGGTCATGTCCAAGTGGGCTGGGAACTCTTCCATCCTGCTCTGCCCATTTATTGATATTAACGTGAAAGCTGTAGATAAATGCTAAGGGAGAAAGTAAAAACTGCAGAACAAAATTTAACATTACACATGATCTCCTTTTCTTGGCTTCCTACAGCTGTGTCATATTTTGTGGCTATCTTAAGTTACTTCAATTTATCGAATCTAAAATAAATCCTTCTTATAAATTTAGGAGAGATGGTTATGTGAAGATGAACTAAGATTTTTTAGTATACAAAATACTATAGGTTTGTGTTTTTTTGAGAATGGGTCTTGCTCTGTTGCCCAGGCTAGAGTACAGTGGTGTGATCATGGCTCACTGCAGCCTCAACCTCCCGGGCTCAACTTGTTATATATAAAGTTTTGGTGCTGCAAAAGGAATAGCACTCGAATATAAAATTTTCTTTTTGATTCTCAGCAAGGCAAGGTACTTCTGTATAGAAGGGTTCACCCTTACAGATGGAACAATGGTGAGCGCACACTTGGACAAGGGAGGGGAAGGGGTTCTTATTCCTGACGCACGTGGCCCCTGCTGCTGTGTCATTCCCCTATTGGCTAGGGTTAGACCACACAGGCTAAGCTAATTCTGATTGGCTAATGTAAAGAGAATGACGGGTGAGTGCTTTAGTGGGAGTCAGGGCAGAGAAGGTAGCAGGTAATTGGAATGAGTTAGGGTGGAGCAGGTGATCAGAATGAGTCAGGGTGGAGTAGGTAATTGAAAAAGGTTGCTTTACGAGGAAGTTAAGTTTAGAAGGCAAAGAATTGAACATACTGACATATTCTTTGAAAAGAAATTTAGAACTCATATCTAACAAACAGATCCTACCACTTCAGCCTCCTAAGTAGCTGGGACCACAGGCGTGGCACCACGCCCAGTTAATTTTTAAAACTTTTTGTAGAAATGGGGTCTCACTATGTTGCCCAAGCTGGTCTCAAATTCCTGGGCTTAGGTGATCCTTCCACTTGGACTCCCCAGATTCTGGGATTACAGGTGAGAGCCACTGTACTTAGCTACTATAGTATTTTTTATAGTATGTTTGTATACAACTATGTACTGAATTTAACTCCTTGCATTTTTGTTAGCTACAGTGTTATAAACTGAAATTGGAACATGTTAATTACTGCAAGTATTGCACTAGCGTAGGTCTGTCTCAAGCTTGCTCCCAAACATTACCAGCCCAACTCACTGATAAGATAAAGTGGAGGTTATTGCTTCCCACCACCTCTCAAAGCTTTGGCAATGTCTTGGAGAAGGGAAGTCAAGGTCAGAGTTTGTTGAGAAATCGTTTATTTTTAGGAGGGTCTTTCAAAGTGAGGGCCTTTGATTAGGACTGGGTAAGGATCATAGTGCAGCAGTCCAGGGCTGGTGGAAACAGCAAGGGGAGGACTTTGAAAGGAGAGATGATAGGAATCATAGGTAATGAACTGTCAGGTTGATCCTTTCCATGGAAGAGCTGATGAGTCTTTCAGGAAGTTTCTGTAATGAGCAATCTAACCATTTGCCTGGGCTTGGAGACTCCTGAAAAAAGAAAGTCCTACTAATGGAGACAGGAATTACACAAAGTCATCGTATTGTAGACAGTAAGATGTGGTTTCCGTTCTCAGTGTCTAAGCTGAATGTGGGCTACGTGGTTTCAGTTCTCAGGTCTACTGCGATATAACTTAATCTTGTAACAGATGAACTGAAGCATCTGATTTTTATTTACTGCTCCTTATCTTTGTAGCTATTTGACACAAACAGCTTTTTACATTTCAGCATTGCTTTGCAATCATTTCTTAGTTTATTAGCCTATTTCTTGTGTTTGGAGAGAAAATTAAAATCGGAAAATTTCTCAAACAAATGCCCACCAACAATCACCACTGGAACCCAGCTACAAGTCCTATAAACCCAGAGGGTGCAGCAGAGGGAGACTGAATTCTATGTTTGATTATTTAATACAACAACCTGTCCTTTGGGGCAGTTAGTAAAAGATGACTACAGGTGACACCCTGGGTTCTGGGTACTTTCCAAGCAAGGAAAATCCTCTGAAGCAGGCGGAAAATTGCCGTCTTTTAAAAGTTCCAGCTCTGTCTTCAGACCACTTGTGTCTTTTCTTTTAAGTTGGAAGCAGGGAAATTGTGTGAGATCTTTGTAATCTCCAATTCAGATTCTCTCTTAACACAGTTCCCACATAGGATATAAATTCCATTAGATGCCTCTGACTTCCGTTTTCTCCTTCCAACACAGGACACATGTTGGTAGTTGCAGTTTTGAGAAGCACAGAAGGGTGTTCTGGGGCAATGAGCAATGCTTAGCTGGGAGGAGGCTGTCTAGGGGGTGAAGCACTGAGGATGCTTAACATTTGAAAGAAGTGTGAACACTATTTACATTTAAATTAAAATGGAAACTTTGGTTATGTTTCTGAAAGGTGTGTGTGCGCATCTGCTGAGGTCTATTGTTTATTCATGCTGTAAATCCTTTGAAATGTGTTAAAATGCTTCCCACTCATTATAAAGCTCCTGCCACCCCTGGATTACGACTTTGATGTCACCAATCCTGCTTCAAAGGGTTCTTTCTGGGCTATTAATCACAGTTTAGCCTCTGAAGATATCGCCAGAGAAAACATTTGGACATCTTTGTGCTAGACTTGCTGAAACTTTGAAATCTTGAGCATCTTGCATATGCACAAATTGCAGCACTTCCTTTCATTAACAACTTTTTATTTTGCTACAGAATCAAATGACACTGTAGGTAAAAATGCAAACAAATCTCTTCACACACTTGGTTTGGGGGAAGAACAATCAGAGAAGTGGTGAAGGGTGTGTGGGGTAGTGAACAGGCCATTCAGACTCTTCAAAGGTAAAAAGTGGGAGGAATCTGAGTAGCCAAGAGTTGCCCTATCATTTTTTCTCACCTTTCATAGTTTTTTTGACTAGCCAGTGATCACACAGAGATTTGGTGCGATTTCCTGGTCTTTTCTTGCTCTCTCCTTTGAGACCTTTGTGAACAGTTCACAGCAAATAATAATAAAATACTACCTAATGTGAAATGAATAGTTGCCCTGCTCTAGTCCTGTGTTGGCAGTGCTTTTTGTAAGTTGTCTTGTTGAATCCCCATAATAACTCTTATGGGAGGAAAACAGGTGGTACTGTTTTCTTATTATGGACTAGGAAACTGAGGCTTTGAGAAGTCAACTTGTTCAAAGTCACACTCCTGACAAATGCAAAGCCCTGCAAAACTTCATTGGCCCCCAGGACTCAGAAGCTGCTGTCTCCCACTCCCTACCCCACTGATTCACTGGGGGTGGCCAGGTTTCTCCTTACGTGCAGAGAGATTGATGGGGTTTAGGGCTCACTGTCCCAAAATATGGCCCCTTGACCTATTGAATATTTTAAGCTGAAGGAATTTGAGAAAATGACAGATGCAGGAATGTCACTCTTAGCCCCCACCCCCTTCTCCCTTGAAGCAGGTCATAAAATCTAGGAAGGTTTTTTCTGACCTTCTCCTAAAGCAGGCTGTAAGACTCTCATGTAGGAGCTGCTCTTCCTATACCCACAGAAAAGAAGCGTCTTTATCTCTGCGGACACAAGGACACAGAGAAGAATCTGAACAAATAGGCCTTGCTAAGTTTCATTAGTTTCTTACCATTAGATGATACTTTTTCCTATCATATTTCTTTACTACTCTCCTTTTTGTTTCCTTATAAAGGCTCTAGTGTCAACTAAAACTTACATTAAGTAAATTTTTATGCTTTTCACTTAGTAATCTGTCCTTTGTTATAAGTGCCTCAACCATGAACCTAGGATGGGTAGAGAAAAAGATATTTTTCCTCCCCTGAAGGATCCTTACTGCCCAGTCTACTAATCAGTGTCTGTGTCCTCAACCCTCACAATGGCGCGCTCTATCGTCTAACTTCTTTCTCGGGAAAACTTCCTTCAGCACCTTTTTTCTTCCATATTCATCTTTTTCAATGATTAGCAGTGTCCCAGTTGGAGACTTTTTCTTGTTGTTGCAGTAAAAAATATATATAACATGAAATCTCTCTTTTTAAGTATACAATACAGTATCAAATATGTGCACAGTTTTGCACAGCAGATCTCTAGAATTTTTTCATATTATGTGACTAAAACTCAATACCCACTGAATAGCCACTCCCACTTCCTCGTGTCCCCAGCCACTGACAGCTACCATTCTACTCTCTGCTTTTGTGAGTTTGACTACTTTTGATATCTCATGTAAGTGGAATTGTGCAGTGCTGTGTTGCTGTGACTGGCTTATTTCACTTAGCCTAACGTCCTCCAGGTTCATCCATGTTGTAGTGTATGGCAGGATTTCCTTGTTTTTTTTTAAGGCTGGGTATTCAATTGTATGTATATATCAAATGTTCTTTATCCATTTAACTGTTGATAGGCATTTAGTTTGTTTATACTTCTTGGCCCTTGTGAATAATGGTGCAATGAACACAGGAGTGCAAATATCTCTTGGAGATCTTGTTTTCAATTCTTTTAGGTAAATACTCAGAAGAGGGATTGCTGTATCATATGGTAGATCTATTTTTAATTTTTTGAGGAAACTTTATACTACATTTTCCATAGCAGCTGCACCATTTTATATTCCCCCCAATAGTGCAGAGAGTTCTAATTTCTCTACATCCTCTTTAGCACTTGTTTCTGTTTCTTTGATGATGACCATCTTAATTGGGATGAGGTAATATTTCTTTTTTTTTTGAGACGGAGTCTTGCTCTGTAGCCGAAGCTGGAGTGCAGTGGCATGATTTTGGCTCACTGCAGCCTCCCCCTCCCAAGTTCAAATGCTTCTCCTGCCTCAGCCTCCTGAGTAGCTGGGACCACAGGCGCCTGCCACCATGTCTGGCTAACTTTTGTATTTTTAGTAGAGACAGGGTTTCACCATATTGGCCAGGCTGGTCTCAAACTCCTGATTTGTGATCCACCAGCTTTGGCCTCCCAAAGTGCTGGGATTACAGGTGTGAGCCACCGTGCCCGGCCAAGGATGAGGTAATATTTCATCTCATTATAGTTTTGATTTTCATTTCCCTAATGTTTAGTGATACTGAGTATCTCTTCATATACCGGTTAGCCATTTGTATGCCTTCTTTGGCGATATGTGTAGTCAAGTCCATATTTAAATTGTTTTTTTTTTTTTTGGGCCAGGCATGATGGCTCACACCTGTAATCCCAGCACTTTGGGAGGCTGAGGCAGGCGGATCATGAGGTCAGGAGATTGAGTCCAGCCTGGCTAACACGGTGAAAACCCGTCTCTACTAAAAATACAAAAAATTAGACGGGCATGCTGGTGGGCGCCTGTAGTCCCAGCTACTCAGGAGGCTGAGGCAGGAGAATGGCGTGAACCCAGGAAGTAGAGCTTGCAGTGAGCCAAGATTGTGCCACTGCACTCCAGCCTGGGTGACAAAGAAAGACTCCATCTCAAAAATAATAATAATAATAATAATTTTTTGTTATTTGGCTTTTTTACTATTGAGTTGTAGGAGTTCCTTATATATTTTACACATTAATCCTTTATTAGCTATATAGTTTGAAAAAAGTTTCTCCTATTCCATAGCTTATCTCTACAATTCGTTGATTGTTTCCTTGGTTGAGTAGAAGTTCTAGTTTTATGTAGTCCCATTGTCTATATTTGCTTTTATAGCCCATGTTTTGGTTTCATATCCAAAAAAATTGTTGCCAAGACTAATGTTATGAAGCTTTTCTCCTATGTTTTCTTCTAGCAGTTTTATAGTTTCAGTTCTTTTTTTGAGACAGAGTCTCGCTCTGTCGCCCAGGCTGGAATGCAGTGGTGCTATCCCTGTTCACTGCAAGCTCCACCTCCCAGGTTCACACCATTCTCCTGCCTCAGCCTCCCGAGTAGCTGAGACCACAGGTGCCCACCACCACGCCCGGCTAATTTTTTGTGTTTTTAGTAGAGATGGGGTTTCACCATGTTAGCCAGGATGGTCTCGATCTCCTGACCTTGTGATCCGCCTGCCTCAGCTTCCCAAAGTGCTGGGATTACAGGCGTGAGCCACCATGCCTGGCTATAGTTTCAGTTCTTGCATTTTAATCTTCAAGCCATTTTGATATGATTTTTGTGTATGGTATAAGGTAACAGTTAAATTTTATTCTTTTGTATGTGGATATTCACTTTTCCTAACACTGTTTGTTGAAGAGATTATTTTACCCCATTGTATACTCTTGGTGATTTTATCAAAGATCATTTGATCATGCATCTGTTGTGTGTTTATTTCTGGGCACTCTGTTTTGAATTCAGGAAATGTGAGTCCTCCAGCTTTATTCTTTTTCTCACTGTTGTTTTGGCTATTCTGGGTCCTTTGTGGTTCTATATGAATTTTAGGATATTTTTTCTATCTGCAAAAGATGCCATTGGGACTTAATAGGGATTACACTGAATCTGTAGAATGCTTGGGATAGTATGAACATTTTAACAATGTTAAGTCTTCCAACCCATGAACAGTGATGTCCATCAGTTTATTTGTGTCTTCTTTAATTTCTCCCAGCAATGTTTTGTAGTTTTTGGTGTAAAAGTCTTTTGCCTCCTTGATTAAATTTATTCCTATTATATTTTGATGCTATTTTAAATGGAATTATTTCCTTAATTTCTTTTTTGAATAGTTCATTTTTAGTGTATAAAAATGCAACTGAATTAGCTGGGATTGGTGGCGCGTGCCTCTAATCCCAGCTACTCAGGAGGCTGAGGCATGAGAATCACTTGAATCTGGGAGGTGGAGGTTGCAGTGAGCTGAGATCACACCACTGCACTTCAGCCAGGGCAACAGAGTGAGACTCTGTCTGAAAAAACAACAGCAACAACAACAACAAACTGATTTTTGGGTGTTGGTTTTTTTTTTTTTTTTTTTTTTTGAGACGGAGTCTCGCTCTGTCCCAGGCTGGAGTGCAGTGGCATGATCTCGGTTCACTGCAACCTCCGCCTCCTGGGTTCAAGTGATTCTCCTGCCTCAGCCTCCAGAGTAGCTGAGATTACAGGCGCGTGCCACCACGCCCGGCTAATTTTTGTATTTTTAGTAGAGACGGGGTTTCACCATGTTGGCCTGGCTGGTCTCCAACTCCTGACCTTGTGATCCACCCGCCTCGGCCTCCCAAAGTGCTGGGATTACAGGCGTGAGCCACCTCGTCCAGCCTGGGTGTTGGTTTTGTATCAGCAATTTTGCTAAAGTTAGTTCTAACATTTATTAGTTCTAACACTTCTTTTAATGTGGAATCTTTAAGGTTTTCTACATATAAAATTGTGAACGGACATTAATTTTACTTCTTCCTTTCTGATGTGGATGCCTTTCATTTCTTTTCCTTATCTAATTGCCCCAGCTAAGACTTCCAGTACTATAATATTTTGAATGGAAGTGGTGAGTGTGTGAATCCTTGTCTTGTTTTTGATCGTGTGGAAAAAGCTTTCAAATTTTCACTATTTGGTATGATGTTAGTGTTACTGGAAAGGGATCCCAATCCAGATCCCAAGAGAGGGTTCCTGGATCTTGCACAAGAAATAATTTGGGATGAGTTCATAGAGTAAAGTGAAAGCAAGTTCATTAGGAAACTAAAGGAATAAAAGAATGGCTGCTCCATAGGCAGAGCAGCCCCAAGGGCTGCTGGTTGCCCATTTTTATGGTTATTTCTTGATTATATGCTTAATAAGGGGTAGATTTGTCATGAGTTTTCTGGGAAAAGGGTGGTCAATTCCTGGAACTGAGGGGTCCTCCCCCTTTTAGACCATATAGGGTAACTTCCTGATGTTGCCATGCATTTGTTGTCATGGAGATGGTGGGAGTGTCTTTTAGCATGCTAATGCATTATAATTAGCATATAATGAACAATGAGGATGACCAGAGGTCACTTTCATTGCCATCTTGGTTTCGGTGAGATTTGACCAGGCTTTTCTTTTTTTAACTGCAACCTGTTTTATCAGCAAGGTGTTTATGATCTGTATTTTGTGCCAACCTCTTATCTCATCCTGTGACTAAGAATGCCTAACCTCCTGGGAATGCAGCCCAGTAGGTCTCAGCCTTATTTTCACCCAGCCCCTATTCAAGATGAAGTTGCTGTGGTTCAAATGCCTCTGACATTTCACTGTGGGATTTTCATAAATGGCCATTAATATATTGTGGTAATTTCCTTTTATTTCTTTTTTTTGTGGACATATATTTTTATTTCTCTTTGGTAAATATCTGGAAGTGTTATCTCGGAGCTATATGAATTTATGCTTACTTTATAATAAATTTTCCACCTGATTTCAACAGTAGCTCTAATATTTTGTATTCCTATCAGCAATGAAGGTTCCAGTTGTTCCTAATACTTGTGAACACGTGTTATTGTCTGCCTTTTTTATTTTAGCCATAATAGCAGGTATGTAGAGCTGTATCATTATGGTTTTTATTTCTACTTCCCTAATGACTAATTAAGTTAAAGTTATATCATGTGCTTATTTGCCCTTTGAGTATCTTCTTCAGTGAAGTTTCTGTTCAAATATATTGCCCATTTATTAATTGATTGTCCCTCTTCTTGTTATTTAGTAGGAGGTGTTCTTTTTTTTTTTTTTTTTTAATTATACTTGAAGTTCTAGGATACATGTGCACAACGTGCAGGTTTGTTACATAGTATACATGTGCTATGTTGGTGTGCTGCACCCATTAACTCATCATTTACATTAGGTATATCTCCTAATGCTATCCCTCCCCACTCCCCCCACTCCCCGACAGGTCCTGGTGTGTGATGTTCCCCACCCTGCGTCCAAGTGTTCTCATTGTTGAATTCCCACCTATGAGTGAGAACATGCAGTATTTGGTTTTCTGTCCTTGCGATAGTTTGCTCAGAATGATGGTTTCCAGCTTCATCCATGTCACTACAAAGGACATGAACTCATCCTTTTTTATGGCTGCATAGTATTCCACGGTGTATATGTGCCACATTTTCTTAATCCAGTCTTTCATTGATGGATGTTTGGGTTGGTTCCAAGTCTTTGCTATTGTGAATAGTGCCGCAATAAACATACATGTGCATGTGTCTTTATAGCAGCATGATTTATAATCCTTCAGGTATATGCCCAGTAATGGGATAGCTGGGTCAAATGGTATTTCTAGTTCTAGATCCCTGAGGAATCGCCACACTGTCTTCCACAATGGTTGAACAGTCCCACCAATAGTGTAAAAGTGTTCCTATTTCTCCACATCCTCTCCAGCACCTGTTGTTTCCTGACTTTTTAATGACCGCCATTCTAACTGGCGTGAGATGGTATCTCATTGTGGTTTTGATTTGCATTTCTCTGATGGCCAGTGATGATGAGCATTTTTTCATGTGTCTTTTGGCTGCATAAATGTCTTCTTTTGAGAAGTGTCTGTTCATATCCTTTGCCCACTTTTTGATGGGGTTGTTTGATTTTTTCTTGTAAATTTAAGTTCTTTATAGATTCTGGATATTAGCCCTTTGTTAGATGGGTAGATTGTAAAAATTTTCTCCCATTCTGTAGGTTGCCTGTTCACTCTGATGGTAGTTTCTTTTGCTGTGCAGAATCTCTTTAGTTTAATTAGATCCCATTTGTCAATTTTGGCTTTTGTTGCCATTGCTTTTGGTGTTTTAGTCATGAAGTCCTTGCCCATGCCTATGGCCTGAATGGTATTGCTTAGGTTTTCTTCTAGGGTTTTTATGGTTATAGGTCTAACATTTAAATCTTTAATCCATCTTGAATTAATTTTTGTATAAGGTGAATTTCCTTTTATTTCTAATTTGTTCAGTGAATTTAATAATTTTATGTTCTTTTTGCTTATAAAATGAATATAAATTCAATTTATAAGTTACAAATTATTTTAAACTTATAAATAATTATTATAATTTATAATTTATATCATCAAAGTGTCAAAATTTTCCAAATTTTAAAAATTCAGAGCAGATTGTTTTGAAAATTCAGAAAAATACAAGGACCCAAAGGGAAAAATTACTCATGATCCTATTTCTTAACTTTTCCTTTAATTTATGTTCTTTGTGGTCTCTTTCTCAGGTAATTTGGCCCAGACAAGAGCTAGGATAACAGTGGCCTCAAGTTCTTTGCCTCCACATTTCAGTGCTGGGAAAGCCAAGGTGAGTAACAGATTTGCACCAAATATAGTATGGACTGGCAGGTACTCTTGACCCAGGGATAATCTTAGAGTGGGCAGCATTAGTTCCCTTCTAGCAGCCCTCTGCCTGGGCAGTCTAGTAGAGAGATTAAAGGCATTTAGGAAATCAGGGGTTAGGAAATTGGAAACATCATGGAATCCTTACAATCCTGATTCTCAGAAAGAGCACTTAAGAACAATGCTACCTGAAAAAATAAAGTCTAAGAAAAGATAAAGCATTTCTCTGACACTACCAGCAAGCTAGTGGACCAAATGGAATCAGGGAGGAAAGAAACTACAGTGTTTCCTATTGCTCTCCTTTGCCCTCTGAAAAATGAGTTGTACACTCATCTGTGCAAAGGAGTTATTAGAAGGGTTAAAAAATATCCAGCTGTAAAATATGTCTTTAACTGTTCTATCCTTCCAGCTAAAGTTTAACAAGAGTCTTAAGGACTGCTTCGTTAATATTCATTGTAAGTGCCAACAGAGAAACACAGTTATCTTGAAGGTGTTGGAGTAAAGGCTGGTCACGTTTCTGAATTTTCTTATCTTTTGGTTTACACTGAAAATTTATTTAATAAAGAATAAACAATTTGGCCACACGTTAATACTGTTGAATAGTATTCCAAAATTGATACAGATGTACATATTTATATTTACTTTTCTTGAGAATAAAAGACTTATTTGCAGAGTGGGAACTCAAATCATTTTTTGTTAAAAATAATTTTTTACCAATATTGCTATTATAATTCATTGTAATACCCTACATTTCAACCTTGCTACTTCACGGCAAAACATTAGTACTATCTGGGCCTCTAGAAGGATTTACACAGGAGTTTCAGTGGTTCTGATGGCCTCTTGATAGCGCATGTAAAATTTTATCTGTATTTAATACAGTTGGTTCTCATTATTTGTAAAAGTTGTGCTCTCTAAAGTTGCTGCAAACTCTGAATCAGCAAATACTGAACCATTGCTTCCAGGAGGAAATACGGGGTCAATACTTAGGCCACAATATTTTTGTGAAGTGATCAATGCATAACCTCATTTTACACATGTTTCTGTTAAAAGACACCCTATTTAATATATGTTTATTCTAAATAATTATAGTCAGTATTTTAAAATATAAAACAGTATGTCAATTGCAGCATTTGTGTCATTGAACTCACAATCAATAGCACTGTAACACATGCCTGAACAATAAGTATTTTCTCCATGAGGCATATCACAACCTTCTTGTGCTTAGAAACACTAGACAGCACCACACTTGCGGGGATACATTTTTTTTTTTTATTTTTGAGACAGAGTTTCACTCTTGTTGCCCAGGCTGGAGTGCAATGGCGTGATCTTGGCTCACCACAACCTCTGCCTCCTGCATTCAAACGATTCTCCTGCCTCAGCCTCCTGAGTAGCTGGGATTACAGGCATGCACCACCTGGCCTAGCTAATTTTGTATTTTTAGTAGAGACGGGGTTTCTCCATGTTGGTCAGGCTGGTCTCCAACTCCCGACCTCAGGTGATCCGCCCACCTGGGCCTCCCCAAGTGCTGGATTACAGGCGCTCGCCACCACACCTGGCCCATTTTTTTTTTTAGACAAGTTCTCACTCTTATGGTCCAGGCTGGAGTGTAGTGGCATGATCATATCTCACTGTAACCTTGAATTTCTGGCTTCAAGGATCCTTCCACCTCAGCCTCCAGAATAGCTAGGACTATAGGTGGGCACCACCATACCTGGCTAACTAAAAAAAATTTTTTTTGTAGAGATGAGGTCTTGCTATGTTGTTCATGCTGGTCTCGAACTCCTGGCCTAAAGTGATCCTTCTGCCTTGGCCTCCCAAAGTGCTGGGTTTGCAGGTGTGAGCCACCACATCCACCCTGGGTTGGGCAGGGGTCGGGGGCAGCATTTTAAACAGCAAAATTACCAATGGAAAAATCACAAAAATGCAAAAAAAAAATGTGGTACTTAAACAGACCTCAAAAAGGACACTTGTTTATGAGAGCTGAAATAAGAAGGCAGAGCATCATCTTCTTTGACATCAGCTGGAAATGTGTGCGTCAGGGGACTGAGCATTTCTGTGAATGACCATGAAAGCATTGCAGATATTGACTTTGGGTTACAAATAAATTTTAGCAAGTAGGCAAATCCTCAGATAATGAAGATGGATTGTCTTTGTGGTTTTTTGGAGTCACTGGCTTCCACCAGTTCTAAAAGGGATTATGACACAGAAACATTAAAGAACCCCGTGTCGTATTTCCTGTCAACCCACATTCCTCTCCTTTCCTCTGTTTGATTTTTGACTACTGGACTAAGGCATATCCCCTGCCTTCCACACCCATAGTACCAGCAAAGTGTTGCCTCCCTCCCTGTACTATCTACCATGGCTCAGACCCTGCCCACATGAAAAGTGTGCCTTCTAGTGTGTGGCATATATTTACGTTATTAATAATAATGTGTATGGGTCTGATGAAAATGACTAAAGATTTGTTTTCACTTAGAAAATGAGTTGAAAATCCTAATAATTAAGGCATCAAAAATATGAAGTGCAGTAATAGCAATAAAAAATGAAACAAAACCAACTCCAGTTACTATCTGACTTATCCAAGGTAAAATTACAGAAGTGGCCCTGGATAAAGCTCGGCTCTGTAAGTGTGGGGGAAAAGTAATATTGTTTCCTCACCCATCAAAAGGTTTATGGCTGAGACCTCTATAACAAAAAGCAGATTAACAAGAGAAAAGCCTACAAATTTATTTAATATAAGTTTTAGATGACATGACAGCCATCAGATATGAAGACCCAAAGAAACAGGGAAATCTGTGTATTTTTGTGGTCAGTTGTACAGAATTATGACTGAAAAACAAAAGGGTATGATTTAATGGTATTAAACTGGAGCTTACTTAGCAAGGACTGTTTGCTCAAATTCTTCTTGGTGTCCCTATATGACATTCCTTACCTCTGGGTATTCCTTACCTCAGGTCAGGACATCTGTCACATGAGGGTCTTCAGGGGAGAAGGGAGGGAGAATGGCAGAGAGTGACCTTCCTAGGTATTCTGGCCTGCTTCAGAGAAGAGCTGTGGGAAGGTGAGAGTGGCCTTCCTGCTTCTGCTGTTTAAATGCCTAAGTCCCATGTTTGGGGATAGCATGTCCTTGACTCTATCAGCTCCAACACATGGAGCAGCACTGCACAGTCAGTTTTCAATGTGTCTTGCTTTCTATTCAGTACTCTAACGATGTTTGAGACCAGTGGTGCTGTCGGGTTTTTTTTCTTCTTCTTAAGGGATAGATGTATCACTTGATAGCAATAAAAATTCTTCTAAAGAGGCTTTGTCAAGAAGATAATAAATATGAACACTTCTGAGGCTTCAGCATGCAAATAGGGAGCGCTAACTAAGAACAGGAGGAAATTCTTCAGTTTTCATTTATTGCCAAAATCTAGATGGTTTATGGGATTCTTTGGAGTCTATATCTGTATCCAAGAGTAAACTTAGTTGACAAATGAGGCAAATCTTTTTACTGATACCGTGCTTTCAGACTTTTATTTTATAAGTTATATAAACCACATCGGGTGGTGTAACCACCCAGTGGGTTCATCTTGGCCACTGCCTAGACAGAGCCAATTGATCAAGATGGGAATTGCAATAGAGAAAGAGTAATTCACACAATGCTGGCTGCGCAGGAGACCAGAGTTTTATTATTACTCAAATCAGTCTCCTCGAGTAGTCAAGGATTGGAGTTTTGAAGGATACTTTGGTAGGTAGGGGGCAAGTCAATCAGGAGTTCTGATTGGTGAGGCCAGAGATGAAATAATAGGGAGTTGAAGCTGTCCTCTGGGGCTGAGTCAGTTTCTGGGTTGGGGCTATAAGACCAGATGAGTCAGTTTATTGATCTGAGTGGTGCCAGCTGATCCATCGAGTCCAGGGTCTGTAAAATATCTCAAGCATTGATCTTAGGTCTTACAATACTGATGTTATCCCCAGGAGCAATCTGGGGAGGTTTAGAGTCTTGCAGCCTCCAGCTGCTTGACTCCTATACCATAATTTCTAATCTTGTGGCTAATTTGTTAGTCTTGCAAAGGCAGTCTAGTCCCCAGGCAGGAAGGGGATTTGTTTTGGGAAAGGGCTGTTATTGTCTTTGTTTCAAAGCTAAGCTATAAACTAAGTTCCTCCTGAAGTTAGTTCGGCCTACACCCAGGAATGAACAAGGACAGCTTGGAGGTTAGAAGGAAGATGGAGTCAGTTATGTTAGATCTCTTTCACTGTAATAATTTTCTCAGTTACAATTTTTGTAAAGGTAGTTTCAGTCCCTTTCTTTGGGTTTTGTAACACCTTATTCTTCAGATGTGGGCTATGAAGATGGAAAAAGGATGAAGACCACTCTAACATCTTCCTGCTGAACAGGGGGCATAGTGGGGTTAGGTATTGACCCCTAGGTAAGAGGAGTAGAACTGCTTTGCAGCTGTCTGCATGTACTCATAGGTGCCTGGTTGGGGTTTCAAGGCTTACATGACAAGGGTGTTAGTATCCTCATCTATAGTTTTAATGCATTTATAGAACAACATACTATATGGTAAATAATGCATTCTGGGATAAGCAGTGCAATTCCAAGTTTTAAAAGTAAAGATTTGAAAGCATTAGTTTGGGGACTTGTAGCTCACAGATAATTTAGAATTTAATCCAAATTGCAGAAAATAATAAAAACTCAAGAACAACTAACAACAGGTGTGCGATAGTTTTTTTTTTTTTGAAGTATAATTTTTCTCTCACGAGTCCCCAGTTTTACTAAAGATAAATCATAGTAGGTCAAATTTACTTGCAAAATAAATTTTAGCCCTATTATGCTTGGCTTGATTATTTGCATAAAGTCCAGTAGGAATAATTATTTGCCATATAGGATCTTTTAAAATTGGCTTTGCTGAAACTTTGTTCTACAAGGAATCTCAGATTGTACTTTTAAAGCCTTGAAGCCCAGTCACAGATTTATGTATGCCTGCAAACACCTTTATGAGTTGAGTGAATTTTCCTCCTCTGAAGGTCCTAAGGTAACTTGGTGCTCCTGGGCCTGTCAGAAAGTGACATTCTTTATTTACTACAGATCAGGAACCCAGTACACGGACTGTGTAGACAAGGTATGAGGCCAGCTTTCCCTTTATTAGCTCTATAAGTCAACTTTGATTATTTAAAGAAAGCATGCCATTCCAGTCAAAGCCTGGTAAAATAACCAGTTTCTCCAGTTGTGCCCTGTTACAAAAGAAATGAGATTTTTATTGCAGTTATGCAAAAAACTAGACTGCCATAAGTTGAGAATACTCACAAATAGTTTCTAAATTCTGGAGGAATCAGGTAGAGAGAAAGCAATATGCTCCAAATTTCATTCATGGGAGTATACTTTACTCAATTGCTAAATGTTCTAAATAACTCAAAAAAAAAGTTTTCTTGGCTGAACACAGTGGCTCATGCCTGTAATCCCAGCACTTTGGGAGGCTGAGGTGGGCGGATCACCTGAGGTCAGGAGCTTGAGACCAGCCTGACCAACATGAAGAAACTCCATCTCTACTAAAAATACAAAATTAGCTGGGCGTGGTGGTACATGCCTGTAATCCTAGCTACTCGGGAGGCTGAGGCAGGAGAATTGCTTGAACCCAGGAGGCAGAGGCTGCGGTGAGCTGAGATCGCGCCGTTGCACTCCAGCCTGGGTGACAAGAGCAGAACTCTGTCTCAAAAAAAAAAAAGAAAAGAAAAAGAAGAAGTTTTCTTGACTCTGAAAAACAAAAGGATTCGCAATGTTTATCACATCAGCTCTCCATAAGTCCTAGAAGTTTGTTTTGTTTCCTCTATTCCAATAACACAATTTCTACATTATCAGAGACCTGCATTCAAGAGAACCCATCAGAGCCCTATATCTGATTATAAACTGCCTTCTGAAAAGGATCAAAACAAGACAACTGTCTGTGGATGACAAAAGTCTTAGGACAGCCACTATTAAAGCTACAACTGACTAGGAATTTTGGTTACTTCTGTGGCACACAACAATTTTACATAATAATTAAAAGGCTTAATATACATTAAATTATATCAGAATTATAGAAGCTTCCTATAATTTTGGAACACATACAAATAACATATTTATAAAAATACAGTCCAAAGAAAGCCAAACATCATTTCATATTTGACAGTGTTTCCTGTGTGATTTTTATATAAGAAAGCAAATACATCATTTTTGCACTTTAGGGGACCTAATATCTAAAAGATTAATTAGGTCAGAAAAAGACATACTTTATAATTTAATTTTGGAAAGTTTGTCACATATCAAAGGTTTACAACACTGGATATCACTAAATAGAATCCCAGGTCACCGTAAGTCATTCATTTAGCCAAAATGATAACCCAGAAATTTTAAAAAGGAAAAGACCTGTACTCTGATAGAGAGGAGACTCAGCTTTCTAGACAACAAGATCCTATGAAGACAGCATGAGGCCAGCTGAATCTGTCTCTTCTCTCTCCCCTCCCTTTTTTTTTTGTAGTTTACTCAAAAGGCAAACAAGATTTGTTTTCATTGTCTCTAATATTACATAAAAATCTTTTTCAAAAGAGAAAACTAAGTTTCATGTTTGCTTTAGGGCATCTTTAATGCTAAAGCTAGTTTTTAATAAAATTTTATAAATTTATGCAGTTTTAATTAGTTTGACCATAAGGTAAGATTTTCATAAACTTCTTATAACTCTTTACAATTTTCTGTTAAACAGATCAATTTTTTTAAAAGAAAACCCTGCTATTCAGACACATGGGCCCAGATTCTGGCTCCACATCAGTGTGCTTTTATTTTAATGTTTGAGCTATAGAAAAATACTAAACAATTCCCTTCAACTCTTAGCCAACTTGCTGCTTCTCACAGAACTTCCTTTATCAGATCAACCCTTCACAAACCTTTCTAACTTGCTTAAACCTTCAATTTTGTCCCTTTACTCTTTTAGTTTAAGACATTCTTTAAAACCCTCTTAACTAGACAAAATTACATTCCCTTTAACAAAAACCATATTCCCATGCCTTCTTATAATTTCCCACCAAAACCACATTCTACTTTCCTTCTATACCTTGCAACCTTGCATGTAAAACTCTTTTTCCAGTGGACTCAAGTACATGTTACACTATTAACTTTTTGCATCTTTCATTTTTGGTGAAAAGCCTGATAAGTAAATGATTTTAATATATACTAGCTGTGGAGCCTAGGACACCAGACAGAAGTACAAATAAGGTTTGATTCTTCCTAGTACAGGTAGGCGGCATGGCTTACGCCACATGTCCCTAGGCCTTATCTAGAACCTAATGACTCCAAAGTAGGTAAGTCAAACAGTTTTCAAAAGTCAAAGAAGCAGTTTATTACCTTAAAGCATTTTAACAAACCTAATATCTGACCTAATTTAGACCAAATGTTTTGACCAAATGTCTAAATTTTGAAGACATTTTTATTTTACCAGTAATCTTTAAAATTGTCTTTATTTCCGAAAGATTACTAAAGTCACATGAACAAAAACTTAAAGTTTCTATTTTTCTAACAAAATATTTGATTTAAGCCCTTATTTTTACCCCCAATTGTTCAGAGCACTTTCATATATAAACATCACACAAACAGACATGAATATACACAGAAAAGAAGATCCAGTAGTTGTCAAGATTTTCATTTGTCAATAGTTGGATTACTGGCTTCAGGGTGGAGCCCTTGGAGGAATAGGGTGAGGAAAGCTTGCAGTTTTCAGGGCCTAATAAGCAGGCACAGCTGGAAGGCAAAAACAGATCCCCAAAATTAAGGGTCCCATTTTTATATCACATCCTGGATCCCCAAAAAGAGGAAAACACTATGGAAGAAGACAGTACAACGCTTTTACTGTGCATTTTATTGCAAGGCAACCCAAAGCCAATCGGCCCATTTTGTAATCAGCCCATCTACATGGGAGTCTCATCTCTCAGTGGAAGGTGGGGATGTTTGCACACCTTCCAGATGGCCAAGCATGCTTCTCTAATCCAAGCATGCAAAGAGCCAAGTATCCCTCCATAACAGCCAATATCCCTTAAAGTTGCTATACACCAAGGCTAAAGGCTTTCCCATAATGCAAAGTAATTTCTGATACCCCCAAAAGTAAAAAAAAAAAGGTTCAGGTAACATAACGTAAAACCAAACAAAGCCTTAGATTTTGAGAGAGATCTATTCACTTTCAATTCCTGGGGTTCCATGAGGAAAACAGGTTTTTTCCAGAATGGGGTCTGTGGTGCCACCTCTGTTTTTCCCCAGGAGTCCAGGCTTTTGAAATTCTTAGGTTCTCTCATGTGGGCATCAAGAGCAACAAAAAGACAAAATGGAGAAAAATAATTCCGTCAACTGAGAAGAAAAGCCTTTTTCAGAAAAATATGATTCAAGAAGAGGAAAAAGATAAAGGCCTTTTAAGTATGTATAGCTTGGATATCCATTTTAATTAAGCTGATTTTAACAGTAGAGCTCTTTTGTTTTTTAAAAAAACTTTTAAAATCTCTTATTCCAGACTCCAGCCAGGAAAGCCAATATTTTTGGCCTTTGAATTCTACCACAGGTAAGCTCCCAGTGAAATTAATAAGTTTTAACTAAGGTTATAACTTAACCATGGATGCATAAAGTGTCTCAAAGAGACAGTAAACAGTTTCTTTATTTACAAGATTTAGAATCTACCCAAAGATAATTGAGAGAAATAAAAAATTAAGACAGGAAATCAGAAGCCGTCCATAGGGGAAAATAATCAATAAATGGCAAAAAGTTACACAAATAACAAACCAGAAAGGACTGATTTCCTAAGCGAAGAATTGAACCTAGGCTGCCATTGTCAAAAAAACAAAGCCTTAGCTATGGAACTACAACATTAAGCATTTCCTATTGTTCTTCCCAAAAGAGGCCTAGAGTAGCCAATTTTGAGCTTGCAAAGGCTTTAAAGTGCTTAAGATAATTTTTAGGACTAGCTATGACATGAACCACAAAATCCTTGTCCTCTGGATGGCAGAGACTAAAATAAAGTATCCCCACATGGTCACATGGTTAAGATTTTAAGGACATAAAACAACATGAGAAACTTCATCCGGTATTGGTTTCAGGGGCCTGCAGCAAAGTTTGTAACTGACAAGCCTGCCAGGCTGGCTTGAAAAGTAGGGGTTTAGGGGTCCACAGCCCACGTTCTATCCTGTGGCACTGCCGCTCCATTACAGAAAGACAAATTCTTTGCACAAAGTACACCAGATTTGCTGCAGCCTAATAAGACGAGTTTCACAAATCCTTTTTTTCTATTAATCATACCTTTGCAGAAGAGACTAACAGTGATGTTTACCATTTACACACACACACACACACACACACACACACACACACACACACACGAGAGAGAGAGAGAGAAAGAGAGAGCGACCAACTGACCAGAAACCTGGCTGGTAAGAAATTCTTACCCTTTTTGACAGCATACCAGGTACCAGGTTTCTGGGCTCCCTTTCTCTGCAACTTTCAGAAGAACAGAGCAGCTTTTGATGACCCTGCTCACCACACCATAGCTGTGGGGACCAAGCCCCATTACAAAAGAAAATGATCACTTTCTGTTTTATGGAACCATAGGCAAAAGCTTTCTAGTTTTGCAAGATGCTGCCCGATAGTCTGCATGAGGAACTGAATTAACATTTTCCATCCCAGTCTAAGCAAAATACCCGTAACAAAACAGACACTAGTCACCTCATTCCACACCCAGTATTGACCTAACAAGGCTCAAACTTTCTCCCATTGGTCTCTGTCATCTTTGATCCACTTAAGGTGAGGAGGGATGACCTCCAACCAGGAATTCAATGAGTGGTCTCTGGGCAAGACGAAGAGTGGAGAATCACAGAGTCAGGCCTGTTGAGCTTTCATCAGGGCTAACCGAATGCAATTACACTTACAGAGGGTTCTTCAAGTTAGGCCTGCTGGACTTTGGTTAGCAGTTTCTTCAGAGATCCATTCCACGCATACAAACACACACACAACAAAGACAAGATGGACAGAAGGCCTTCCAAATCAAGATCCCTTGCCAAGAATTCCAAGAGTATTCCTTCCAAACTAACCTCCTATTCTCCATCTGAGAAATCTCCCCAGAATCTTCCTGATTGAGGAGAAATCTCTGGAACCAAGACTCTTCTTACTCATTAGGGAGGGCCAGCTGAGACCTTGAAGGAGCCAAACCTATCAGGAGAAGGGAGGAGGTGTTGGCAGCTCCTAGAATACCCACCAAATCAGACACCGATAATGGGGCTACAGCTACAGACACTCCAAGATTGGGCTACAGACAGAGACACACCCTGCAATACGGCTCCAGTTACAGACACCCTGTGGTGGAGCTACAGACAGACATCCTACCATGGGGCTACAGTTATGAAATGTCTCCGCAGGACTATTTCTCTATTGCAATTAAATTCATGCACATTGGGCTGGCAGTGACCTGCCAGTAGAGACAGTGCCCGAGTCAGCCCCTAATCCAAGAGAACTAGGTGGCTGCTTGGGCTGGCCTCTGGATCCATCAAAGGAGAGGGGCTACCGAACCACGGGCAGGTAGCCACAAAGGCAATCCCAGACCAGCCCCCAAATTTGTAACCACCTAACGGGCTCACCTTGCCCACTGCCTAGACAGAGCCAATTGATCAAGACAGGGAAATTGCACTAGAGAAAGAGTAATTCACATAGAGCCAGCTGTGTGGGAGACCAGAGTTTTTTTTATTACTAAAATCAGAGAATTTGGGGATCTGAATTTTTAAGCATAATTCTGTGGGTAGGGGGGACAGTGCATTAGGAGTTCTGATTGGTCAGTTCAGAGATGAAATCATAGGGAGTTGAAACTGTCCTCTTGCACTGAGTCAATTCCTGGGTTGAGGCCACAAGACCAGATGAGCCAGTTTATTGAGCTGGGTGGTGCTAGCTGTTCCATCGAGTGCCGGGTCTGTAAAATACCTCAAGCATTGATCTTAGGTCTTACAATACTGATGTTATCCCCAGGAGCAATTTGGAAAAATTTAGAATCTTGCAGTCTCCAGCTGCATGACTCCTAAACCATGATTTCTAATCTTGTGGCTAATTTGTTAGTCCTGCAAAGGCAGTCTAGTCCCCAGGAAGGAAGGGGGTTTGTTTTGGGAAAGGGCTGTTATTGTCTTTGTTTCAAAGCAAAACTATAAATTCCTCCTAAAGTTAGTTCAGCTTACACCCAGGAATGAAAAAGGACAGGCTGGAGGTTAGAAGCAAGATGGAGTCATCAGATCTCTTTTCACTGTAATAATTGTCTCAGTTATAATTTTTGCAAAGGTGGTTTCAGTGGCAGTATATAATGTTTAAGAAATATGGTTTAGGAATCAAAGTGGGTTCAGATATAGGCATGGCCATCTACTGGCTGTAGGACTCTGGGAATTCTACCTAAAATATGTTAGTCTTAACTTCCTCATATGTGGAATGGGAAGAATAATATTATTTACCTCATAGGTTATTTTGAGAATTTAGTGACATAACATAGGAAGTGTTTAGTACAGTGATTTCAGATAGGAAACACTCAATAGATACTGTATTACTCAAGTTTTGATAACTATTTAAAATTCCATGTGTGGAGCCCATATGTATATAGAAGCTTGCTCAACTGCTGTGGTGTAGGGACTGTAACACAATTTGTAAAACTTACTCGTGACTACTCTGAAGGCTAATCATTCACAAGGAACCAAACAGGATGTTTATCATGTGGGCAGAAAGCACGCTTGCTCAGCTCCAACTGACTTACATTGTTTTGTAAGTCCGTGTTGTAGGAGGAAAGTATACTGGGTTAGACAGACAATGGTTTTGTCCAGAATATGGCTTCTATTGATCATTTTGATATTGGTCTTATAGGGGCCAAGGGAAGACTTCCTCACTCTCTGAAAGTTTGCTGAAAATAAACTGACAAGAGGCAGATTAATATGAGAAAATGCATACAGATGTATTAACGGGAATAGGGGAGAATCACAGAGTGATTACCCACCAGACAAATGGTACACAGATGGTTATATACCCTTCTTAAGGGAGAGGGAGATGGAGAAGTGTGGATATTTTGGTGGGGGGGTGGGGCGGTAAATGATTTTAGGGGAATTTAATGGCCTTGAAGAACATACAATGGCCTGGGACAAAGTCTGTTAGGTCTGCAAAACAAACAGTGGTTTGGGACAAGTCTGTCCAGTTGTGTTGACAGACTGCAGCCCTTCTTCCTGTGATAGGAGTTTAGTTAATGAAAAACTCAGGGAAGGGATCACAGGTAATTGTTTTCTTTGGTGGGTCTAGGCTTTAGGCAGATAAATGAATTTCAGAGAACAGCTTCATCCTGGGCTATGGGAGAGACAGAGGATTAAGAGATGGGGGTTGGGGGTATCAGAGAGACCTTGATTCTTCTTCAGTTCAACATGTCAACATGGGGTATATGAACCCAGTTCAACATGGGGTATATGTTTCTGTACCCCAACAGTTTCATTAGAACTATTTTTCTTACCAATAAATAAAAAGATCTCCTTGCTGAGTTGCATGGTAGCAGAACTCTCCTTCTGCCACTGAACGCACTTTGCATCCTTGATATTTAAAACTACGCTAAAACTAAATCAATCACAGTAATGATGGAAGGAGAACTAATGTTATTTGTTATATGTGCGCAAGGCAGCAGTTTTGACTAACCAATTTTATTAATGAGGAAAACAGAGGCTTTTAAAAGTTAAATACAGTCATCAGTCACTTAATAAAGTGATATATTCTGAGGACTCTGTCATTGGGTGATTTTTGTCGTCGTTCATTCATAGAGTGTGCTTACACAAACCTAGATGGTATAGCTTACTATACACCTAGGCTATAAGCTATCGCCTTTCGCTGTGAGACTACAAACCTGTATAGCATGTTACTGTACTGAATACTGTAGGCAATGTAACACAGTGGTATTTTTGTATCTAAACATAGAAAAGATACAGTAAAAATGTGGTACAAAAGATTAAAAATGGCACACCTGCATAGTGCACTTACCATGAATGGAGCTTACAGGACTGGAAGTCACTCTGGGTGAGTCAGTGAGTGTGTGGCGAGTGAATATGAAGGCCTGAGACATTAGTGTACACTCCTGTAGACTTTATAAATAATGTACACTTAGGCTATACTGAATTTATTTTAAAATGCATTTTATTCAGTAATAAATTAACCTTAGTTTACTTTAACTTTTTTTTATGAACTTAAAAAGGCCTGTAAAACAAAGAATGGTTTGGGACAAGTCTGTCTAAAAGACTTTTTCACTTTTTTTTTTGTAATAACACTTAGCTTAAAACACAAACACATTGTACAACTGTACAAAAATCTTCTTTCTTTATATCTTTATTCTATAAACTTCTATTTAAAAATTTTTTACTTTTATTTTTAAAATTTTTTGTGAAAAACAAAGACACCAACACATACATTAGCCTAGGCCTACACAGGCTCAGGATCATCAATATCACTGTCTTCTACTAATGCCACATCTTGTCCAACTAGAAGGTCTAACACGCATAGTGTCATCATCTCCTATGATAACAATGCCTTCTTTTGGAATACCTCCTAAAGGACCTGCCTGAGGCTGTTCCACGGTTAATGTTTTTTGTTTTGTTTTTAATGTAAGTAGAAGAAGTACACCCTAAAATAATTACTTTTTTGTTTCTTTGAGACAGAGTTTCGCTGTGTTGTCCAGGCTGGAGTGCAGTGCCATGATCGTGGCTCACTACAACCTCTGCCTCCCGGGTTCAAGCAATTATCCTCCCTCAGCCTCCTGAGCAGTTGGGACTACAGGTGCCCACCACTACGCCTGGCTAAGTTTTATATTTAGGTAGAGACAGGGTTTCACTTCGTTGGCCAGGCTGGTCTCGAACTCCTGACCTCAAGTGGTCCACGCACCTTGGCCTCCCAAAGTGCTGGGATTACAGGCATGAGCTATCGCACCTGGCTAAAATAATGATTACAAGTATTGTAAATACGTAAACCAGTAACATAGTTATTTACTATCATTATCCAGTATTATATACTGTACATTATTGTACATGCTCTGCTTCGATATGATTGGCAGCGCAGGTTTGTTTACACCAAATCACCACAAACACATGAGTAATGAAGTGCACTATGACATTATGTCTACAACATTACTAGGCAATGGGATTTTTTCAGCTCCATTATAATCTATGGGACTAATGTAGTATATACAGTTTACCATTGACTGAAATGTCCTACTTCTATGGCACATGAGTGTAACAGGTGCATGGCCACACAGCTAGCAAGAATTTCAACCAGGTTTGTCAATAGCAATCACTCAGCCTAGAAAAGCTTTTCTGGTCTCTTTTTTTATCCTAAGGTAAAGAACATATACTTTGGAGAGGATTTTCTCTTTGTCAAATCCCCACTTTTGGGAAGAATTATTTGCTAGATGATGCCCTAATAGAACCCACTTTCCAGGTTGTTTCTAAAAGCATTTTTGGTTAAAAAATTAAATGATGCTACTACTACTATAATGAAATTAGCTCAGGAAGACAAACTCTTAGGCTACACAACAGCCTTCTCAGCCCTTTTGGTTTGGAGTTTTGGGGCTGGCTTTGGAGCTCCGTGGAAGGCCTGATACAGAGAGAGGTCTAGTTTAAAAGGCTGAGAGAAGCAACTTCTGGTTTGTTCCTTGTCGGAAATTCTTTTAGATCCATTCCAAGTTCAGGAGAACCTTATGAATATGCAAATATACAAGAGATCCCTCACCAACCGAAGACCTTTTTAAATTCTTCAATTAGAAAATACTCCAATAACATATTGTGAATTGGTGGGTTCTTGGTCTTGCTGACTTCAAGAATGAAGCCATGGACCCTCGCGGTGAGTGTTACAGTTCTTAAAGATGGTGTGTCCAGAGTTTGTTTGTTCCTCCCGTCCGGAGTTGTTCATCCCTCCCGGTGGGTTTGTGGTCTTGCTGGCTTCAGGAGTGAAGCTGCAGACCTTTGCAGTGAGTGTTACAGCTCATAAAGGCAGAGTGGACCCAAAGAGTGAGCAGCAGCAAGATTTATTGCGAAGAGTGAAAGAACAAAGCTTCCACAGCGTGGAAAGGGACCCCAGCGGGTTGCCACTGCTGGCTCTGGCAGCCTGCTTTTATTCCCTAATCTGACCCTACCCACATCCTGCGGATTGGTCCATTTTACAGAGAGCTGATTGACCCATTTTACAGAGAGCTGATTGGTCTGTTTTGACAGGGTGCTGATTGGTGGGTTTACAAACCTTGAGCTAGACACAGAGTGCTGATTGGTGCACTTACAATCCTTTAGCCAAACACAAAGTTCTCCAAGTCCCCACTAGATTAGCTAGACACAGAGCACTGATAGGTGCATTTACAAACCTTTAGCTAGACACAAGGTGCTGATTGGTGCATTTACAAACCTTTAACTAGACATAGAAGTTCTCCAAGTCCCCACCCCCACCCAGGAGCCCAGTTGGCTTTGCCTACTGGATCCTGCTGCAGGTGGAGCTGCCCACCAGTCCCGGCGCCACACTCCTGCACTCCTCAGCCCTTGGGCAGTCATGGGACCGGGCGCCATGGAGCAGGGGGTGGTGCCCGTCGAGGAGGCTCAAGGCTCGGGCCGCATGGGAACCCACTGGGGGTGGGGGGGCTTGGGCATGGCGGGCTGCGGGTCCTGAGCCCTGCCCCACGGGGAAGTGGCTGAGGCCTGGCGAGAATTTGAGCGTGGTGTGGGCAGGTGGGGGACCTGGTGCACCTTCCGCAGCTGCTGGCCCAGATACTAAGCCCCTCACTGCCCGTGGCCAGCGGCACTGGCCAGCCGCTTCCAGTGCAGGGCCGACTGAGCCTGCCCCCACCCGGAACTCATGCTGGCTCTCAAGGGACGCGCAGCCCTGGTTCCCAGCCCGTACCTCTCCCTCTTTACCTCCCCGCAAGCAGAAGGAGCCAGCTCCGCCCTCGGCCAGCCCAGAGAGGGGCTCCCACAGTGCAGTGGCGGGCTGAAGGGCTCCTCAAGCGTGGCCAGAGTGGATGCTGAGACAGAGGAGTCGCCGAGAGTAAGCGAGGGCTGCTAGCACGGGCTGCTAGCATGTTGTCACCTCTCAATATCACCTATTCTAGGCCGGGCGTGGTGGCTCACGCCTGTAAACCCAGCACTTTGGGAGGCCGAGGCGGGCGGATCTCAAGGTCAGGGGTTCAAGACCAGCCTGACCAACATGGTGAAACCCTGTCTCTACTAAAAATACCAAAATTAGCCAGGCGTGGTGGTGTGCAGCTGTAATCCCAGCTACTCAGGAGGCTGAGGCAGGAGAATCGCTTGAACCCAGGAGGCAGAGGTTGCAGTGAGCTGAGATTGCGCCATTGCACTCCAGCCTAGGTGACAGAGTAAGACTCCGTCTCAAAAAAAAAAAAAAAAAAAAAAAGACATATGACCTATTCTGTCAAACACAGTACTAAGTATGTAGGTGGTGAATTACAGATAAGCATTAGCATTTCCAGGTTGTATATGTCAAAGGATAGGTTTTTACTTTATTTCCAAACATCACTCTGTATGTGATTGCAAGGACAGAATTTAAAGTCCTGTTGAAACACAGATGCTGTGCAGTTAGACAGGGCCCGTCACTAGCTGGGAGCTACCTCCTGACCACGTAGCCTTATAACTTTTAGAGTGCAAATTGGTGCTTAACTCTGCATTTTTCCAATTTGCTGTAGGGAACTGGTGCTGATCTTGAAAACAATACAGATTATTCCTTTTATTTATTTATATTTTATTTGTGCAGATTTATGGGGTACATGTGAAATTTTCTTATAAGAGTATTCCTTTTAAATTGTGTTTCAGCTGAATTAATACACATCAAGGATTTTTTGGTCACTAAACTTAAATTCTCAAATGCTAAGTGTCTGTTATAAGTTCTGAGGGAGGGTAATAGGTCAATTCATAAACATCTACCAATAGAAAATTATAAATGAGCTTTTCAGCTGCCTGGGGGGCTGGTGCTCACTAGTTAATTTGAATAAAAAGGGAGGGAAATGAAGGAGGAAAAGCCAGGTTCAAAGCAAGAGGTGCTTCTTCAGGGAGGATCTCTTAACAAAAAGAAGTGCTGAGGCCGGGTGAGGTGACTCACTCCTGTAATCCCAGCACTTTGGGAGGCCGAGGCGGGTGGATCATCTGAGGTCAGGAGTTTGAGACCAGCCTGACCAACATGGAGAAGCCCTGTCTCTACTAAAAACACAAAATTAGCTGGGCGTGGTGGCGGGCACCTGTAATCCCAGCTACTCAGCAGGCTGAGGCAGGAAAACACTTCAACCCCAGAGGTGGAGGTTGCAGTGAGCTGAGATCGCACCATTGCACTCCAGCCTGGGAGCAAAACTCAGTCTCAAAAAAAAAAAAAAAAAAAAAGGGCTGGGCCGAGCACGGTGGCTCAAGTCTGTAATCCTAGCACTTTGGGAGGCCGAGGCAGGCAGATCACTTGAGGTCAGGAATTCGAGACCAGCCTGGCCAACATGGTAAAACCTCATCTCTACCAAAAATACAAAAATTAGCTGGGTGTGGTGGCAGGCGCCTGTAATCCCAGCTACTCGGGAGGCCGAGGCAGGAGAATTGCTTGAATCTGGCAGATGGTGGTTGTAGTGAGCTGAGATCGCGCCATTGCACTCCAGCCTGGGCAACAAGAGTGAAACTCCGTTTAAAAAAAAAAAAAAAAGAAGTGGTGGAGAAATTCCCAAAGTTGTGTGTATGTATATGTATGGAGGTCGGCGGGGCCGGGGTAGAAGAAGAAAATAAGGAGAAAAAAGTTGAAGAAAATCCAGAATTTACAATTTAGCCAAAGGCTGGCCCTAGCCAAGACCTTTTCTTCAGACCTGATTAATTTGCCCCAAACCTCACCAGCTCTGAGTTCTGTACTCAAATGGGGGTGAGAAAGGGAAAGAAACCTCCAGAGTGGACCCATCTGGTGACAGCGGAGAGAGTATAACACGCTCTGCAGGTGGTGCTGGTGTGTTGTGTTTTCTCTTTGTTCCCTCTTCTTTCTAAACCCAGGATCTTTCCTTTCCTCCTTTCCCATTAGAAAACATCAAAATGTCAAACCTACAGGCAGTTATATCATTGTTTCAGCTGCATGTGAATGGACTGATGGCATCGGCCGTGCAGCTCATTAAAATAAAGCTGCACTGTCTCTGATGTCTTCACTTGGGTCATAGAGCTGCTCACTGATAGGTTGTTTTTCTAGGTTTTGAAAACTTAGCTCCATGTTTTCTCCCCTTCTTAAATGAACCTGTTTTCTTTACCCATCCCAGATGAAGCATTTCCTTCCATTTTGCATACAGTCTCCCACATACTCCTTTAGGCAAGCCTCTTTATTCACCCCTCCTAACTCTCACCCCTTTTAGCACCAGTTTTTCACTTTCATTGAACAAGGCTGCAGACATCCTCACCCCATGGGAAGGTGGCTGCCTGGACGGCAGTCCACCCAGCCTAACCCACATGCTGACAGCAGTGTCTTCCATCTCAAACATTTCTGCTTTATACCCTTGCCACCTGTTCAGAGCAGATGGGAAGCTGCCACGGCAAGGCCAGTGCTAAATGCCACTCATGCACTCTGCAAACCAAAGCAGGGTTTTTGTTGTTGCATTATAATAATGGAACACAGGCTGCTTGCAGTCAGCCCCTACAATTGTTTTCATCAATCAGTTCCTTTCAGTCAGCCCAGGTAGTTGGGATAGATATTGAGAACAGGTGCATTCCATTGGGTTTCCGAGTGATTTGGTGCCTGAGCTCCTATCTGCAATGAGCACATGGGAACTGTGGGTGGTAGGAGGAGTCTGATGGTTGCAGCATCAGAGTCTGACGACGTGGAAGGCAACTGGTGCTGGCCTAATTCCCTGTGGTACAACCTGGGCTTTGGGGCCATCACGTCTTTATAATCATTTCGCCTCATGGCCCTTTGCCAAGTTTCCTTTTAAGCAATAGTTTGGTCTCATATGACCTTACTGGAGAATTTAACAGGGGTTCATTAGAAGATGTAGAAGTATAGAAATAAGAGGGGTTTACACTGAAACCACATGGTATTTTATAGAGTGAGGTATTGTCAAATGAGTAGAACAATGCATATTCTTTCGTTTCTATGTTTTGAAAAATTCTCCCCACAGTATACACTATTGTGTCCTAAATACCATGGCCCCTCAGGTATTTGGCCAAACAGGCTTTCGGATTTTGGAAGACATGGAGCATGAGGTAAGTGCCTAGATCCTCAAACCACTTGCCTCCACCTATGCTTCCAGGTGGACACTCTGGAGGTGATACGGCATCCGGAAGAAACCACCAACATGAAGAGGCAAACTGTGGCTTCTTACTTCCGGGTATGGAGTCTTCTTGATCTCTATTCTGCCTGCTTCCAAAAAGGACTGTCTAAGCCTTCTTATGAGATGCCCAGATGGAGTCAGTGAAACAAGGGCAAAGCACAGAGTCAAGAAAGATTGGGTTGGGGAAGTGGTGGAAGCAAGGAAGGAAGAGAACATTGGGCACAAAACCCTGCCCATTAAGTGACTGATTCTGTTAGCATATGAGCTGCTTCTTGGTCTTAAAGCTACTAGAGGCAGCCACTTTTCTAGCATACTGAATAGTAAAGTAGTTAATAAAGTTCCAGAAGGTGGCTTATAAGTTCAGATACTGAGAGAATCTGTCTTAGCATTGACTTTATTTTCCTAGATTGAATTGACCCCTTGTAAAACCCACTTGTCTGAGCCCTATTATTTCCCATTTCTGCCATCCCTATTTCTGATACTTCATCTAGTTAAATGCCTCCTTTGGGTAAAAACATGGTCTCTAGAAGGGCTCTGTTAAATGCACATTATATAGCAAAGATAAGACATATACACTCTTGCACAGATTTGTTTGTCTTCAAATTATAAAGCGTTAGAGTTGGAAGGCCCTTAGAGACTGGGAGCTAAGGTCCAGATAGTTTCACAATAGAAATACTGTTAGGCCGAGCACATTGGCTCACACCTATAGTCCCAGCATTTTGGGAGGCTGAGGCAGGCGCATCACCTGAGGTCAAGAGTTAAGAGACCAGCCTGGCCAACATGGTGAAACCCCTTCTCTAGTAAAAATGCAAAAATTAGGTGTGGTGGCAGGTGCCTGTAATCCCAGCTACTTGGGAGGCTGAGGCAGGAGAATCACCTGAACCTGGGAGGTGGAGGTTGCAGTGAGCTGAGATTGCGCCATTGCAGGCCTGGGTGACAAAGTGAGACTCCCTCTCAAAAAAAAAAAAAAAAAAAAAATGCTGTTAGATCAAATTTAGAACTGATCTCAGGGATAGCAGAATGAGGTAGTAAGATAGGGTTGGCACAAGAAAGGGCTTGGCAGGGATGAGAGGTCAGGTGGATGGGAAGCTGGAAGAGCCAGGAAGGCTGAAGGGCAGGACTTGGGAGCCAGCACTCTGGATAGAAGGCTCCATGGAAAGCTAGCAGGTGCAGGGATCTAAAACGCGGAAGTCCAGCCTAGCCAATTGTGCTTCAGAGGCAGGCTAGAATTGGGCTCGGTATGAATTGCAGGGGCCCCAGACCTTCGAATCCAGTATTCCATCCATGCATTGAGTCGTGCTATAGCATCTGTGGAAGGTGGGCCCCTGCCTCATCATTCTGATGTTTGGTTATTTATAATTGCTACTTATTTCTTATATTGAGACACACCTGGTCCTATCCCCTTGAGTGGCTCTATCCTCATCTGTTAGTCTGTTAGTCCATTTTATGTTGCTATGAAGGAATACTTGAGACTGGATAATTTTTTTTTTTCTTTTAAGACAGAGTCTGGCTCTGTCACCCAGGCTGGAGTTCAGTGGTGCCATCTAGGTTCACTGCAACCTCCGCCTCCTGGGTTCAAGCGATTCTCCTGCGTCAGCCTCCCACGTAGCTGGGACTACAGGTACGTGCCACCATGCCTGGCAATTTTTTTTTTTTGTATTTTCACTAGAGATGAGGCTTCACCATGTTGGCCAGTCCGGTCTCGAACTCCTGACCTTAGGTAATCCACCCACCTCGGCCTCCCAAAGTGCTAGGGTTACAGGCATGAGCCACTGTGCCCAGCCAAGACTGGATAATTTATAAAGAAAAGAGGTTTATTGGCTCACGGTTCTGCAGGCTCCACAAGCCTGGCACCAGCATCTACTTGGCTTCTGGTGAGGCCTCGGGGAGCTTTTACTCATAGAGCAGGCGTGTTACATGGCAAGAGAGGGAGGAATGGAGAGAGAACAAGATAGAGGGGAGATCCCAGACTCTTTTAAACAACCCGATTTTGCATGAACTAATAGAGTAAGAATTCACTCATTGCCGTGAGGACAGCACCAAGCCATTCATGAGGAATTTGCCCCATGACCCAAACACCTCCCACTGGGCCCATTTCCAACATTAGAGGTCACATTTCAACATGAGATTTGGAGGAAACACACATCCAAACCATATCATCCTCCTGGTAACCCTTGGTGTCTGTATGTGTTTCCCACTGGATTTAGTAGCTCTATTTACTCTGTGAAGTGATCCTCAAGATCTTAGGGCCCCCCTATCAGCAGAAAAGCCTCTGGCTACGGTTTTTCAGAAATATACCCATACAACCAGTTTGGTGTTCTCAAAATACCCGTTCACGAGTGCTAAACCTGAAAAATAAGTTACCTTGGAAACTAGGTAACACCAATTTTGATCTGTAGGAGCAGTGACTATGAAATAATGGAACTGAGTTCCTTTGGCTTATAATAGCTCCTGAAGGTGAGCCCAGAAGAGCTCCAGCAGTGGATGCCCCTGAGGAACAACTGAGGCCCTCCCTCACAAGCACCCCCCTGATTTTCCGTGTCCTTGCTCCCCTCTTGCTGTGAGAGCCCTGTACCAGCTGCTTGGTGTATGTTAGTTGATAGTCACCACAGTCTTCTTTTTGGTACTTCTCTCATTTTCTTTGCCTTGTTTTTGTATTTTTCTTTTCTGTCCCACTACCTTATTACCAATCGTATCTGTAGGATTTGCTTAGACTATCTGGTGGTTCTTAGGCTGAAGAAGCAAATAGCCCCTTCCTCAAAAGCTGGACATTTTAAATTACAGATACAGATTGTGGAACATCACCTTGGAATACCAGCGACAAGCATTCTAGTTCTGGCGGTGGAATTACAGGATAACCTAGATAGAGCATGTTCTTAGCTAAGTTTCTGCCATATGGGATATTGCTTGGCACTAGGTGATGTTTAAAGAATGGTTTTGAATCTGCAGATGGCTATAAGTGCAACTTACATTATTATCTCCTATTGCTGATTTCATGTTCTTCCTCAAGAAGGTCTGTGAGCCTCGAACTGCTCCAGAGGCTTCTGCGGGCCTGTGTTGTAACTATCCATTGTGTTGGTGGTAACCTTGTTCCTTGTGCATTTTTCTCCCTGGTAGTATTCTCTGATGGACCTGCTCTCCAAAATGGTGGTTGGACAGCCCCACTTTGTGCGCTGCATTAAACCCAATGATGACCGAGAGGCCCTGCAGTTCTCTCGAGAGAGGGTGCTGGCCCAGCTCCGCTCCACAGGGATTCTGGAGACAGTCAGCATCCGCCGCCAGGGCTATTCCCACCGCATCCTTTTTGAAGAATTTGTGAAAAGGTCAGACCGTCATCTACGGGAATGCATTCTTATAAATGTAGCTCTACTCTGGCCATCCCTGTGTCCTAAGATTGTTCCTCCTGCGTGCTCTCCTCCAAACATGTAATTGGCTAGTTGCCAGCTACCATTTACTTGCTTGAATGTTGCATTTTTATTGTGCTTCAACTAAACTGCAGTGATCCAGCAGCCAGATTAAGCTTCCTTCTGATCACATTATTTTAAATTTCCATATACGTTTATATGTTATAAATCCTTAGGTCTCAAGTTCTCCAGGTATTTTGTTGTTATGATGAAAGTATCCCTCCATAAGTGGGCCGGATTTGAATGCACCCAAGCACCAGTTCTTCTTCCAGGTTCTGGCATGATATAATACGATAATTAACACTTACATAACACCTGAAGTATCATAAGAGTACAGGACATTTTAGGGCACTATTCTAAAATGTATTATCTCATTTGATCCATAGAACAACCCTATAAGCTAGACTCTATTATCATCCCCATTTTACAAAACGTAAAGGTGAGAAAACTTGGGTATGAAAAGAAAGTAAGTGATTTTCCCATGGTCTCATGCTGGTCAATGTAGAACCAGGATTTGAACCCAGGCAGTCTGGTTTCAGCATGCATGCTTTTAATCTCTTCAGTTCAGTGCATTCAATCAATATTTATTGAAATAAATTGCATGGCACTTTCTTAACCCAGAAAGTGCCTTTGCCTAAGAATGAAATGCTGCTCTTTTCTGAACGACTGCCATAGAGATTATGTATGAATGTGATTACAAGTAGAATTTTCTGTGAAGAAATAAGGAAAACAGTAACAAAAAAAAAACACCCCTGAGAAGCACTGCTGTCTGAGGATGCCTGGAGAGGAATATTGAAATCCATTGTATGCCTGACAAAGACAAGGCAATCAAGAAAAAAAAAATACATTGTAGAATCTGCCTCACTCCTTAAGCCATCCTTAGTGTCTTTTTACTTCCACTCTGAAACATGTGCCCAAAGTCATTTTTTCCAAAATTTTCTCAGGAGAGGATGAGTCATAAATATGGTAGCTTGCTTTGTCACGTCTCCCAAACTCTGCTAAATTCCATGGAAAAGATAAGGCAAAAAAAAAAAAAAAAGTTCCTTGCAATGAGAGCTTTTAAATTAAAAATAAGAAGGAAATGGCTTTTTTTTTTTAAGTGTCTTTGAGCTCCTTTTTTCCTCTTAAATTTGGAAGTGGAACAAGAAAAAAAATTTAGCACATGAATTTGACTAGTCAAGTATTTTTTGTAACAATGTTTGAATACATAAAAATATTTAAGAAAACAGGTCAAATGCTGAACAGATTGGCACTTCTTTGTTCATAATCAGAAAGCCATTAGGCAAGTATGAACAGGAGTTTCAAAATGCCAGTAAATCTGAGGATATCAAAGATTTCTGAGCCAGCAAGTTAATTGGTATTTTGATCCTTTTGAACCACTTAACAAAATGGATGAGTTAGCAGTTTTCTCCCTTGATGTTATTCAACAAATAGGTACACTTCTTATCTTCCTGTTCAAGAGTGCTGTTTTGTAAACTCTTAGCAGGAAATATGCAGACAGGACAATCAAAGACAGGAAACAGAGCCATTCAAGGTTTATTAAATGGAGGTAAATAAAAGATAAAAACTCATTTAATGTGACTCTACATTTTTGTATTTTCTGGCATTCAGGACTGAAACCCTGAGTATACACCTGGTGGTGTTCTTGGGATCATGTTGTTGGGTTCCAGAAAGGGGAAAGACTTCCCCAGTTCCCAAATTACCCAAGTCTGCAGGCTTGGCCAAGCCTAAAATACTTTCTTGCCCCTATTATCTTTGAGCTTTCTGGCAAAATGACTTGGAAGTGCCCTTCCTTATCCTCTACTCATGGAGCCTTTGAGGAAGAGGGTGTCCCCAACATCCTCTCATCAATAGGGCCAGGTGAATTGGAAGTCTTTATGTTCTCGACTAGGCATGAAAGAGGCCACCTGGAAATGCTGGAGCCACACTGTTGAGGGACGTCATAGAAAAGCAATCTAAGCATTTATTGTTTTTATGGTCAGTGGATTCTGATGCATAGTCTCTCAGAATGTCTACAGAGGGCAAACACATAACTGCATGTATTGGGATGTGTTCTGGCAAATGTCTAAAACATAGGGCTGAGTCAGGCTGGGCGTGATGGCTCACACCTGTAATCCTAGCACTTTGGGAGGCAGGCACATCACCTGAGGTTAGGAGTTCGAGACCAGCCTGGCCAACATGGTGAAATCCTGTCTTTACTAAAAATACAAAAATTAGCTGGGTGTGGTGGCTACTTGGGAGGCTGAGCCAGGAGAATCGCTTGAACCCAGGAGGCGGAGGTTGCAGTGAGCCAAGATCGTGCCACTGCGCTCCAGCCAGGGCGACGGAGTGAGACTTCCTCTCAAAAAGATAAAGAATAGGGCTGAGTCTAATTGTTTGTTTATGAAGCTATTGTAGTAAATAATGCAGTTTAGTAAGGAGACCTGAATTCTAGTCTCCTTCAGTATATAACATCTGGAAAGTAACCCAATATTCTGTAAAAGATGTTTCCTCACCTGCATGACAAGAAGGCAGGAATATACAAAGCCCACATTCTAAAGATTTTCAAGGATTACTTGCAGATGCCTGGGGCTTACTTAGTTTCTAAGTCTTCTAGGGATTTTTGCCTTCCCAGTCGAGCTCGCTGGATGAGAGACCTGCATCTACCAGGCTGTGATGCGTAACAGTTGTTAACCATTGAACAAAATGAAACTCTTCCCTCTTCTCTTTCATTGGCATCTTCCATTTCTTCTCATGATGGCGTGGAGAACCATGGTGTCTTGGTATCTCTTTCATCTCATTCTCCTTTCTGTTCCTTCACTCTCTCTCTTCCAGAAACTAGGAGTCACCTTTGACTTCTCCTCACTTCCTTTAAATAATCCATCACCAGGTCCAGCTCACTACCTGCTAAAGTTTCTAAAAAATGTTCCCTTGGGAATCTCTCATCCCTTCTCCCATAGCTTTAGTCCAGCCCTTTTGTTATTATTAACAGCTCAATTTAGATATAATTCACGTATGATAAAAGTCATCTTTTGAAAGTATACAATTCAGCCGGGCACGGTGGCTCACACCTGTAATCCCAGCACTTTGGGAGGCTGAGGAGGGTGGATCACCTGAGGTCGGGAGTTCGAGACCAGCCTGACCAACATGGAGAAACCTCGTCTCTACTAAAAATACAAAATTAGCTGGGTGTGTTGGTGCATGCCTGTAATCCCAGCTACTGAGCAGGCTGAGGCAGGAGAATCACTTGAAACTGGGAGGTGAAGGTTGTAGTGAGCCGAGATCGTGCCATTGCCCTCCAGCCTGGGCAACAAGAGCGAAACTCCGTCTCAAAAAAAAAAAAAAAAAAAAAAAAAAAAGAAGGAAAGTATACAGTTCAAAGGTTTTTAATTAGTCACAGAGTTGTATAAACATGACTACCATCTAATCATAGAACATTTCATTACCTAAAAGGAAACTCCAAACTCATTAGCCATTCTCCCTTTTCTCCTCAATCCCACCAAACTTAGGCAACCAATAATCTAACTTCCATCTGTATGGATTTGCCTATTTTTGACATTTCGTGTAAATGGAATCATACAACGTGGCCTTTTGTGTCTGGCTTCTTTTACTTAGCATGTTTTCAGTGTTGGATGAAATGAATACTGGTACTATGTACCAGTATGTTATTTTTTTGTAGATGAATAATATCCCATTGCATGAATATATCATGTTTTGCTTGCTCATTTATCAGGGGATGAACTTTTGCATTGTTTCCACTTTTTGGCTGTTATGAATAATGCTGCTATGAATATTCATGTACAACTTTTAATGTGGACATATGTTTTCACTTCTTTTGGGTATATACCTACGAGTAGAATTTCTTGGTCATATGGTAACCCTCTGTTCCAAGTGGCTGAACAATTTAAATTACCATCACCAGTGTTATGAGAGTCCCAATTTTTCCACATCGTCTCCAACATTTATTATTGTTTGTCTTTTTTATTTTAGTCATTCTAGTTGATGTGAAGTGGCATCTCATTGTAGTTTTGATTTGCATTTCTCTAATGACTAATGATGTTGAGCAGCTTTTCTGTGTTTCTTGGTTATGTGTATACCTTCTTTGGAGAAATGTTTATTCAAATCCTTTGCCCACTTTATATTGTTGATGTTTATGTATTCCAAATATTAGTCCCTTATCACATAGATAATTTGCAAATATTTTCTCTCTCTCTCTCTCTTTTTTTTTTAATGAGCTACTGGTCACTTTGATATTTTCTCACTCTATGGGTTGTTTTCTCTTTTTTTTTTCTTCTTTGAGATGGAGTCTCATTCTGTCACCCAGGCTGGAGTGCCCTGGCACAGTCTTGGCTCACTGCAAACTCCGCCTCCCGGGTTCAAGCAATCTCATGCCTCAGCCTCCGGAGTAGCTGGGATTACAGGCATCTGCCACCATGCCCTGCTAATTTTTGTATTTTTAATAGAGATGGGGTTTCACCATGTTGGTCAGGGTGGTCTCGAACTCCTGACCTCATGTCATCCACCCACCTCAGCCTCCCAAAGTGCTAGGATTACAGGAGTGACCCACTGTGCCTGGCCTGGGTTGTCTTCTTGATGGTGTCCTTTGAAGCACAAAATTTTTTAATTTTGATGAAGTTCAATTTATGTATGTTTTCTTTTGTTGCTCGTACTTTTGGTATTCTACCTAAGAAGCTATCATCTAATCCAATGTGACAAAGATTTACTCCTATCATTATTCTGGGAGTTTTGTAGTTTTACCTCTTATATTTTAGATCTATGGTCCATTTGGATTTAATTTTTTGTATGGTGTAAGGTAGAAGTCTAACATCATTCTTTTGTATGCGGATATCCAGCAGTTTCAACACCATTTTGTTGAAAATACTGTTATTTCCTCCCATTGAATTGTCCTTGGATTCTTGTTGAAAATCACTTGACCAGGCCGGGGCGCAGTGGCTCACACCTGTAATCCCAGCACTTTGGGAGGCTGAGGCGGGTGGATCACCTGAGGTTAGGAGTTCGAGACCAGCCTGATTAACGTGGAGAAACCCCGTCTCTACTAAAAATACAAAATTAGCTGGGCATGGTGGCACATGCCTGTAATCCCAACTACTTGGGAGGCGGAGGCAGGAGAATTGCTTGAACCCGGAAGGCAGAGGTTGTGGTGAGCCGAGATCGCGCCATTGCACTCCAGCCTGGGCAACAAGAGTGAAACTCTGTCTAAAAAAAAAAAAAAAAACTCACTTGACCAACTTGACCATAAATTTAAGGGTTTATTTCTGGACTCTCTTCTATTCTTTTCTCTATATCTTTTCTGGGCCTTTTAAAACGTTTTTTTTGCTCACCCTCTTGCCAGTTTTCTAAGTGGACTTCCTGCCTATTTCATTCTCCAAAGAGACAGCAGAATAGAATTTGTTAAAATTCCTATCTGAGCATATTGTTTCCTTGATTAAAATGACCATCCAGGCCCCCATGGGGTGAGCTGCAGTGCTCTGGCCTGGTGTAAGGGAGTCCACCTGATTTGGCCCCTGCTTACTTTCCTAGTCTCTTCTCTCATTTTCCACATCTCAGATCACACTCCAGCCAAAATTGAATTACTTGGTGTTCCCTAACCATCCCAGGCTGTTCTAGTCTTTTGTGCTTTGCTCAGGCTATGTCGACTAAATCTGCCTTCTCCAAGCCCTCAGTCTGCTGTCTTAGCCAAGCTAAATCCTACTCATTCCTTAGGTCTTTGACCAGGCATTAACTTTTCTGTGATACCCTCCTTGACTTTCCCAGGCTGAGTTAGGATCTCTTTTGATGAGCTTCTTTGGTAGCACTTACTACATTGTAGAGCAATTATCTACCTCTTATCTGAACCTTAACTGCCTGGAAGGCAGGGATATTTTTCAGCTCACTTTTTATCTATTTATTTATTTATTTATTTATTTATTTATTTATTTATTTATTTTGAGACAGGGTCTCACTCTGTCACCCAGGCTGGAATGCAGTGGCACAATGTTGGCTCACTGCAACCTCTACCCGCTGGGTTCAAGCGACCCTCCCACCTTAGCCTCCCAAGTAGCTGGGCCACAGGCGTGCACCACCATGCCTGGCTTATTTTTGTATTTTTAGTAGCGATGAGGTCTCACCATGTTGCCCAGGCTGGTTTTGAACTCCTGAGCTCGAGCAATCTGTCTGCCTCAGCCTCGCAAACTGGTGGGATTATAGGTGTGAGCCACCATGCCTGAACTTCAGCTCACTTTATGTCTGTATTGTCCGATGCAGTGCCTGGCACGAATTCAGTGTTTAATTAATATTTGTTGAGTTGAATCAAACTCTTACCTCTTCTTTTTCATCACTATTTTCTTTTTCTTTTTCTTTTTCTTTTCTTTTTTTTTTTTTTTTTTTTTGAGATGGAGTCTCACTCTGTCACCTAGGCTGGAGTGTAGTGGGGTGATCTCGGCTTACTGCAAGCTTCGCCTCCTGGATTCATGCCATTCTCCTATCTCAGCCTCCCGAGTAGCTGGGACTACAGGCACCTACCACCATGCCCAGCTAATTTTTTTGTATTTTTTTTAGTAGAGACGGGGTTTCACCATGTTAGCCAGGATGGTCTCGATCTCCTGACCTTGTGATCCGCCTGCCTCGGCCTCCCAAAGTACTGGGATTACAGGCGTGAGCCACTGCGCCCAGCCGTTTTATCACTATTTTCTTTTATCATCCCTTGACTCACACTTCGATCCTTGCTCTTTGAAATATATGACAGATACCTAGAACTGGCTTTGTTGAGGTTAAGTTTTCCTTGTACTGTAGTGTACAACCTAGATTGATAGAATGTAAGATTTCAGGTAAGTCATAGTAGCTCTTTATCAATAAAAGGTAAGAAACCTAAATAAGTTGATTTAAAATAAGGCTGTAACCCAGTTTGACAATGCTATTATTAGAAGTTAATACATTGAAAGGCTAACTTTAAACAAATTTGCCTCCCTTCTCTATAACAAAAATGATTTTTTTTCGAAATCCAAAGAGATAAGCTTAATAGGACAAGGAAGACTCTCTCGTTTTCCAGCTTCTTCTCTCTCATCTCCCCATCTCTCAGCTCGTACTCCAGAAAAAAAGAAACCACTTGGAGCTTCCTAACACAGCCTACGTACATTTTATGAAAGCACCATTCTGTGAAAGCAGGCTGCTTACTTGGTATGTTAGTTAGGAACCTCTCAATAACAAGTAACTGAAACTCAAACTAGTTGAAGCAACAATTAAAAGGGGATGACATATTGGCTTAGGAAATTAGGAAATCCAAAGACATGTCTGGATCCAGGCAATCAAACAGTTTTACCAAGCCAGTGTCTTTTTCCTTGTATCAGGTTTCTTTTTCCCTTTTTTGAGTTTCTGATAAGGAGCCAGGTTAGCTCTCCTTACATGTTGGCAAAGATGGTCCCTGGATGCTCCTATAGAAAGCATTCTATAGGCTTAGCAACATTAGCAGCAAGAGAGTTTCTGAGAGTTCTTATGCAAGGAACTCTCTGACTCTCTGAGCCTGGATCACATGCCCACCCTTGAGCCAATTACTGTGCCCAGGGGTATGATTGGCAGGGTCTTGGGTCAACTGCCAGGGATGGAGTCAACCCCACTTGAACCATGGCCTAATGGACTCTTTAAAGGAAGGATAGGGATGGATAGGCTAAAACGATAGGCATCCATGGCTGGACATGGTGGCTGACGCCTGTAATCCCAGCACTTTGGGAGGCCAAGGTGGGTGGATCACCTGAGGTCGGGAGTTGAAGACCAGCCTGACCAACATGGAGAAACCCTGTCTCTACTTAAAAAAAAAAAATAATAATAAGCCAGGCGTGGTGGCGCATGCCTGTAATCCCAGCTACTTGGGAGGTTGAGGCAGGAGAATCACTTGAACCTGGGAGGTGGAGATTGCGGTGAGCCGAGATCACCCCATTGCACTCCAGCCTGGGTGACAAGAGTGAAACTCCGTCTCAAAAAAAAAAAAAAAAAAAAAAAAAAAAAAAAAAAAAAAAAGATAGGCATCCATTACCCTTAGTTTTGACTATTCTGTGTCCTAGAATAAATGACAACAGTTCAGAAAGGTTCACCTTAGCCCAGATATCTACCTATAGGAGCCCTTTAATTTAGAATTTCGTAGGAACAAAAATTTTGCTGACAATAACTGAATGTTAACTTTGGAATAAGAACTAAATATATATAGTTACTATCGTTTTCACTTAAGAATGGTCATCTTGTTTTGTTTAAACACGACTTCACATAGCATACAGTGGGTTATTGAAAATAGTTTCCAGCTCCACTTCACTAAGGGATTAGAGAAAACTCAGTCTATTCTGGCCCAGTTTGAATTTATCTTCTTGCATTTGACACAGTTCTCTGACTCTCTCACCCATGATGTTCTTGTCCCACCTAGGACCCAGCATAGAAGTGCTGCATGTCACTATGTCACTTCCCTTTCGCAGGGTCTCTTCTCTTAGCCTCTATTTGTGTTTTGTTTGTTGAGATAGGGCCCTGCTCTGCTGCCTAGGCTGGAGTGCAGTGGCATGATCATGGTTCACTGCAGCTTTGAACTCCTGAGCTCAAGCAATTCTCCTGCCTCAGCCTACAAGCAACCGAAGACTACATGTGCAAACCACCATGCCTGGCTAATTTTTTAATTTTTTGTAGGGACAATATCTCATTATGTTGCCTAAGCTGGTCTCAGACTCCTGGGCTCAAGCTATCTATCCTCCCACCTTGGCCTCCCAAAGTGCTGGGATTACAGGTGTGAGCCACCACGTCCAGCTTATTCTCTCCTTTTGAGTATTTCCTGCCATACTTTCAGAATACTAATCAATCTTTCAGCTGAATTTTTGCTTACACTTTGTGCCTTGCTAACTCTAGTCTCTGTTTACCTTACATGATCCTTTATACTGCCACCAGAATTACGTTTATAAAAATATCAAGATGATCATGTCACTCTCAGGAATAAACTTCTGTGCCTCTTCTTCGTTGTCTATGGGACGAGGTCTAAAGCCTTTAGCTCAGCAAAGTGAGGAGGCAAAGCAATTCCATCTTGGACATTAACTTGCCATGTTAACTTCTGCTTAACCCCAGTTCCAGCAATTCCTCTAAGATTTTTATTTTATTTACTGTTTCTTCTGCAAGAGCATCTACTTACCATAAATCCTGCCCTTAGGTAAGAACAACCTTGACCATAAATCCTGCCCTTAGGCAGATTTACACAGCATTCTTGCTTTTCCCTGGGAGGTTAACTTTGATTATCCTACACATTCCTTTCCTTTTGAAATGGGAGTGTTCCCTGTCCCCCCCCACAGGACATGCGACAAGGGTGTGGCTCGTCTGTTTGGTCACCACCACTGCTGAAACCACCTGCGGGAAGGGGAGCACGTGGATGGACACGTGCAGGAGCTGGGACAAGCGCTGTGGGTTCCAGCCCCACTCTCCAAGTAGTGTCTAGGAGTGGGGTGTCTGCAACTCCCAAAGCCCAAGTGGGCATGTTACAGTGCACTCTTTCAGCTTTGCTGTCCGCAGATGGCTTAAGTGTTAAACCAGCTCAGTGGACCCTCTGCCTTTTCCCAAGGGTAGTGGGCCAGTGTGATAGCTTTCTGTATCCCAAGCTCTTGTCTTGCGCCCCAGAAGAATCAGGTCATACATGGGCTTGAAGGATGAATGCAGGGGTTTTATTGAGTGGTGGAAGTGGCTCTCAGTGGGATGGATGGAGAGCTGGAATGGGGATGGAATGGGAAGATGATCTTCCTCTGGAGTTTGGCTGTCCAGTGGCCAGACTCCTCTCCAACTGCCCCTAGCAGAACTCCTCTCAGCCTTCAGATACTCCTTCTATTCTCTTTCTCTGCCATGCTGTTGTGCCATGCTCTGCTTGTCTTCTCATCTGCTCTGGAGCCTGGGGTTCGTGGTTTGTATGGGTGCAAAATAGGGGATGTGGTGGGCCCAAAGGCAATTTTTTGGGTGCAAAAACAGGAATACCTGTCCTTATTTAGGGCCATGGGTATTCAGACTTGAGGGTGGGACCATTGCCGGGGAACCATCCTCTTCTACCGAGTATTTCCCTGTCTTCTGTTCATATCACTTTCCTATGGTATATAAGCACTGGGTTGGGGGTTAATGGCCCAGGGATCCTCCATCTTGTCCCACTGCCATCCTAGACACAGACATGGCTTTTGTTCATAAATCTCTATTAAATGTTTCTTTCTTTCTAAGGAACCGGATATGTCAGCCTCTTTCTTTGGACTCTCAGCTTCCTTAGACTTTTGGGGGTAGGTTTGCCTAGGCCTGCCTACTGCAGAACACAAAGCTTTCCATAACTGGTCTCAACTGACCATTCTCATTTTTCCCCACCATTCTCCCTCACATAGCCTAGACTGCTGTCAGCCTGACCTTGGGCCCTCCAGCCCCATGTGTGATGGTCAGCCTTTGTGCATTCTCTTCACTGATGGAAAGCCTCTTCCTCTGGTGGTTTTCTCTTCATCTTTCAATCCCCAGTCCAGGCACCTTCTCTATGAAGGCTGCCTGGACTCTGCCAAACTAGTTGTTGCTCCATCCTCTGTGCTCCCACAACTGGATGTTGATATCTCTGTATTAGAACCTATAGTCTTATTTTTATCCTAACATGTCTGTCTGCCCCACAAGACTGTGAACTTTTACAGGGATGGAGTGGACTTTACTCATTTTTTTATCCCTAGCACTTCACGTGTTATGGTATCTGGCTCATGGTGTGTGTCCAGTGTTTCCTGAATGGAGGACTCTATTAATCAGGAATACATTTGACTGTGAATAGCAAATAAACATTCTTAGTGGCTTAAGCCAGAGTTTCTCAACCTCTGTGTTATTGACATTTTGGACCAGATAATTCTTTGTTGCGAGCTGTCCTGTGCCTTATAAGATGTTTAGTAGCTTCTTTCTAGATTCTACATACTAGATTCCAACACCTCCACCCTCAGCAGTTGTGACAGTCAAAAGTATCTCTAGATGTTGTCAAATGTCTCCTGAGGGGGAGGCGGGGAATTACCCAAGATGAGAACCACTGGTGAATAGGTTTGTTTATTTCTTCTCACATAAAAAAGAAGTTGAGAGGTAAGCTGTTTCTAGCATTAGTTCAGCTGTTCAGCGATGTCATCAGAGACCTGGACACCTTCTGACCTTCTTTCATCCCTTTTGGCCGGCTTTAGTGTGTGGGTTGGCTTATAGTGTCACAGTCACAAGATGGCTATTGCCCCTTCAACTATCATGTCTGCATTTAAGGCAGGAAAAAAGGAGCAGGATGAATGGCTAAGGCAGCCACGTCTCTACTATTTTTTATCAGGAAAGAAAAAATTTTTTCAGAAGCCATTTTACATATACCTCATTGACCTGACCTGGGTCCCGTGACCATTCCTAGCTTCAGGGAGAGGCTTAGAAAGTGGAGAACAGGACTGGGGCACATTGTCACCCAGTAAAAAACTGGTGTTCATTTAGCCAGGGAGAAGTGAGTGTGGAAATGGGGGAGGCGGTTAGTCATGTTTCTCTCAGAGAAGAAATCTAATATTTATTAATTGAATGCGGGAGTGATTTAAAGAATACGGGATGAATGAATATTAAGTAAATATTTCGAGTTCCTTACAATCCATTCATTTCTTACTCCTTGCTACCTCATTTAAGAGTCAGAAAGTGCAGACGTGCCTGACTAGAAGCAGGTGAGATCCTGGGAATTTTCTAATTCCGTGGCCATGGAGAAGGTGTGTGGGGTGTTATTGTACACACACACACACACACACACACACACACACACACACAGGTTTTTTTGTGTTTTTTTTTTTTTGAGATGGAGTCTCACTCTGTCACCCAGGCTGGAGTACAGTAATGCGATCTCAGCTCACTACAACCTCCGCCTCCCAGGTTCAAGTGATTCTCCTGCCTCAGCCTCCGTAAGTAGCTGGGACTACAGCCAAGCGCCACTACACCCAGCTAATTTTTTGTATTTTTAGTAGAGATGGGGTTTCACCATGTTGGCCAGGCTGATCTCGAACTCCTGACCTCAGGTGATCTCGGAGGTCTTGGCCTCCCAAAATGTTGAGATTACAGATGTAAGCCACCATGCCTGGCCCATATATAGGTTTTACATACACACACACACACACACACACACACACACACACACTAAACCTATATATATATAATAGGTGTTATTATATATGTATATATATTTTAAAAACCTATATACAAATATATATTATGGCTGAGCATGGTGGCTCATTCCTGTAATCCCAACACTTTGGGAGGCCGAGGCGGGTGGATCACCTGAAGTCAGGAGTTCAAGACTAGCCTGGCCAACATGGTAAAACCCTGTCTCTACTAAAACTACGAAAATTAGCTGGGCATGGTGGCACATGCCTGTAATCTCAGCTACTCGGGAGGCTGAGGCAGGAGAATTGCTTGAACCCGGGAAGCGGAGGTTGCAGTGAGCCAAGATCATGCCACTGCACTCCAGCCTGGGCAACAGAGTGAGACTCTGTCTCAAAAAAATAAAAAATAAATAAAAAATTAAAATATAAATATTATATGTATGTGTGTATGTATATAAAACCTATATATTTATATATAAAAATAATATATAGAATATAATTATATTATATATCTATTATATAGATGTGTGTATATGTATTTAAAATATATAAAATATAGATTTTATATATATACACACACATATATTTTAAAAACCTATATATAAATATATGTTTTATATATATACATCTATATAATAGAGGTGTATTTTATATATATTTTATATAAATGTATGTTTTATATATACATACATCTATATAATAAAGGTGTATTTTATATCTATTATATATAAATATATAGGTTTTATATATACATATATATAACAGATGTTACATATACACTACATATATAAACATATAGGTATTATATATACACATATATAACACCTATTATATATAGGTTTAATATATATACCCACATATGTGTATATGTTGTAACTGAATGTTAACTTTGTAATAAGAACTAAATATATTAGTATACATATACACATATATAGGTTTAATATATACGTATATATGCATATATAGGTGTATATGTGTGTATATATATGCACACATATTTATAGGTTTAACATATTTTATAGGTTTAATATGTGTGTATATATATTAAACCTATAAAACCATATATGTGTATATATGTATATGTATATATATTAAACCTATATATATGTGTGTATGTATATATATTAAACCTATATATATGTGTGTGTGTGTATATATATATATATATAAAATAACACCACACACATATATTTGTTTATTTATAGACAGAGAGGTTTTCAGCATGGTTCCTGGCTCATAACTCCCATAACCCTTATTACAGTCTTTTGTTTATAATGTTTGGTGTGTCAGGCCTCAGGAAACAGAATCCTTCTGCCCTCCTTTCACGGGCCCCAAGGCAAGACTTTAATCTTCCCCTTTCTGATTGTGGGTCATAAGACCCTCCCCAGAGAGGGTCCCATCATATATCACAGGGGGAGGAATGCTGAAGTCATGAAGCTTCAGTGATAACCCAAGAGGTTTGGATTCTGGATAGTTGAACACATGGAGGTTCCTGGAGGGTGGCACACCCAAGCAAGGCATGGAAGCTCTGCACCCTTTCCCCGGTAACTTGCCCTACTCATCTCTTCATCTGTATCCTTTGCAGTATCCTTTATAATGAACTGGTAAAAGTAAGTGTTTCCCTGAGTTCTAAGAGCTGCTCCAGCAAATTAATTGAACTCAAAGAGGGTGTCATGGGAACCCCAACTTGAAGCTGGTCAGTGAGAAGTTTCAAAGGCCCAGACTTGTGACTGGCATTGCGGGGTGGGGAGTGGTTAGTCTTGGGGACTGAGCCCTCAACCAGTGGGATCTGACACTATCTCCAGGTGGACAATGTCCAAATTGATTTGAAGGATGCCCAGTTGGTATCTGCTGCAGAATTAACTGCTTGCTTGTGGTGGGGAAAAACTCACACACATTTGGTCATAGAAGTCTTAGTGTTGATGATTGTTGTAGTGGTGTGAGAGCAAAGGAAAAACATCATTTGAGAGTTTTTCCCACAACAGTGTGTTTGCAGTTTTAAGCCTACAACACATCCTTTAACTCTCGCAAAGTGAACTGAATATCATCAGTTAACATTGTGAAAAGTTCACCTATGAGGACATGGTCCACCATATTCCCTTATTAAGCCCTAAGGTTAGTGCCTACTCACAGGATAGCGTTTAGAGAAATCAGCAGCACAGAAGAACCCAGACATCTCGAGAAAGGCTGAATGTCAAACTTCAATTTTCAATGAGTAAAAGCTTCTGCTTTTTTCTCTGGGTAGACAACAGTGAATAAGGAATAAGAAAACACAAATCCTCCAGGACATCATTAGACTTCTTTTCTTTTCACCTGTAGCTACATAGATGAGAGTCTGATATAAACAGATCTTAATGTGTCATCCAGGTAAGCTAGTACATCTGCAGCAAAGTGAACAGCATCCTCAATACCCTGGAAATTGCTGGGTGCAGTGGCTCGCGCCTGTAACCCCAGGAGGCCAAGGTGGGTGGATCACTTGAGCCCAGTCATTCGAGACCTGCCTTGGCAACTTGGCAAAACCCTAAAATACAAAAATGAGCAGAGTGTGGTCTGGCACATGCCTGTGGTCCTAGCTACTTGGTAGCTGAGGTGAGAGGATCGCTTGAGCCTCAGAGGTCAAGGCTGCAGTGAGCTGTGATTGTGCCACTGCACTCCAGCCTGGGTGACAGAGTGAGATGTTTCAAAAAAAAATTTAAAAATTTTTAAAAAGTAAAGAAGAATATTCCATGAAAATTAACTTACATGGTGTAAGGAACCTGTTAAGACATAATTAGGGAGGATGACAGCTTCAACATTGTGAGTAAAATATATTTCATGCTTGTATGAAGTCTCCACATCTACCTTCTAGGGGCAGGAGTGGCATGGTGGCTTCTCTGGGAGGGTCTTTAACATTGCTCTCCTTGCATACTATCGTTTCCATCAGCTTTTCTTTGTTTAGTTGAGAGGGTGAGTTGCTACCTGCTTCCCAACTGTGTGTGTTGGTGCCTTTTAGGTAGTTTATGTATTAGAGTATTAGGGAGGTGAAACTTTGAATGACTTCTTTTCTCTCTTAATCCTTACATTACGAATGTTATAACCTTGGTGATATGGTTTGGCTGTGTCCTCACCCAAGTCTCATCTTGAATTCCCATGTGTTGTGGGAGGAATGCAATGGGAGGTAATTGAATCATGGGGGCACATCTTTCCCTTGTTGTTGTAGTGATAGTGAATAAGTCTCAGGAGATCTGATGGTTTTAAAAAGGGGAGTTTTCCTGCACAAGTTCTCTCTCTTTTTTTTTTTTTTGAGACAGGGTCTCACTCTGTCACCCAGGCTGGAGTGCAGCGGAGCAATCTCTGCTCACTGCAACCTCTCCCTCCAGATTCAAGTGATTCTCCTGCCTCAGCCTCTCGAGTAGCTGGGATTACAGGTGCGCACCACCATGCCTAACTAATTTTTGTGTTTTTAGTAGAGACGGGGTTTCACCATGTTGGCCAGGCTGGTCTTGAACTCCTGACTTCAGGTGATCTGCCTGCCTTGGCCTCCCAGAGTGCTGGGATTACAGGCATGAGCCACAGTGCCCGGCCCAAGCTCTCTCTTTGCCTGCCGCCATCCACGTAAAATGTGACTTGCTCCTCCTTGCCTTCTGCCATGATTCTGAGGCCTCCCCAGCCATGTGGAACTGTAAGTTCAATTAAACCTCTTTCTTTTGTAAATTGCCCAGTCTCAGGTATGTCTTTATCAGCAATGTGAAAACAAACTAATACACTTGGTTAGTGCAGTAAACAAAAAACTTTCTTAAAATGCCTTTTACAATATCACTGAAAGACTCTAAGAGATGGCTTGATCCAACTTTCTCATTTACAGATCTGTATTTACAGATCTTATTTACAGAGTCTGAGGCAATAGAGGTAAAATCACTTCCCCAAGGTATCTCTAGGAATAGGCAATATCAGTCTTTCCAGAATATTATAGGCTAAAGAGAACTTCTGTGACCACCTCTACTTATTCTTATGGGGCAGGATGGGTTCAAATTGGCATTGTGGGCTGAGGACCCTTTCTTAGTTGCCTAAGGCAATTGGGACAAAATCCCAAAACTAATTGTTTTAAGCCCTGCCTTTTTCATGGAGCCCATGCTGCTGGCAGCAGCTTTTCACATAGTCAATTAGAAAAATCATTTCTGTAGTTGATAGCTCTGTAGATTTAGCCAGGAATCTGTAGTGGTGGTTTGAAAAAGTGGATGCAAGAATTAATATTCATTTCACTGTTCTCCAAAACACTGAATGGTGGCAGAATAATAAGCCCAGGCTATCTTTTCTGATTTTCCAAATGTTCTGTGTTATAAGCAACCTCATGAATTAGTTCAGTTGTAGGAAAGAAGAAATAATAAAGGAAAACAAGAGAAAAGACATTATGAAGGCATTAAATAATATCTGGACATTTGGATTTGCTTGCCCAGCTTACTCTGGAAATCAGTGGCTGAATTAAAACTCCTTGCTTGGGGATTCTTTTTTTTTTTTTTTTTTTTTTTTTTTTTGAGACGGAGTCTAGCTCTGTCGCCCAGGCTGGAGTGCAGTGGCGCGATCTCGGCTCACTGCAAGCTCCGCCTCCCGGGTTCACGCCATTCTCCTGCCTCAGCCTCCCGAATAGCTGGGACTACAGGCGCCCGCTACCACGCCCGGCTAATTTTTTGTATTTTTAGTAGAGACGGGGTTTCACCGTGTTAGCCAGGATGGTCTCGATCTCCTGACCTCGTGATCCGCCTGCCTCGGCCTCCCAAGGATTCTTTAAAACAAATATCAGTGGGGCTAACTTATGTTAGATAATAACAATGAAGCAGCAAAAAGAAAAAGCAATGAAGAAAATAACAAAATGGAGAAAAAGAGGAAAGAGAATGTGAGGAAACCTCCTGGCATGGGGATGGCAAATACATGGGTATGAGCACAGCTTCACTCTTCAACCCTAGCTGCAGACCTGGCTCTTCAGTCAAGGCATGTTTTCTTCACAGCCTCGATGTGGCCTTGGAATCCCTCCCAACATGGTGCTCTAGGAGAACACTACCCAGTCCATCAGCTGAGCAGTTGTCCTCTTAGCCGTGACTGGTACAGCATGCTCTAGTTACTTACAGTAAATATCTGCCTACCCCTGAGCACGATGGTTTAGGGATGACTTACAGAAAAGATTGCTAACTATGTTTCTTCACATGTTTGGGTAGGAGAAGAGAAAAATAGATTTTTCTTAAAGGGAAGAAGAGAGAGATGGACATTTATTGAGAACCTACTGATGGTGGGCTTCATGCTAGGGTTTTACGTATATCATCTCACTTAACACTGGTAGTAGTCCCCCAGATAGATGGTATTTATTCTGGTTTTACAAATGAGGAAACTAGCTCAAAGTTACACAGAGAGTATGTGGATGATGGAGTCAGGATGTGAAATGCCCATCCTCAAAATAAATAAATTGAGGTGGTTGAACACATCTGAATATTCATTGTGAAATCAATCTGTAGAGTTCAATCAGAAAAAAATGCATTAATAAATTTTCTAATTGTAAATAATCAGTTTAAACTTAAGCTTTTATTACAAATTAATTTGAGTAAATCCAGCCTCAATTTCCAATTCCCAGTGTCATTGTGATTTTTCCTCTTTAGGGGCCTCTCATTTAAAGTTTATGAGGAGGCAGCAGTAGCAGTATCAGAAACATTTATTAAGCACCTGTTGTATGCTAAGTGCTATCTATAGTGAGTAATACTGCATTAGAAGGAATCTATAATTTCAGGACTTTTTCTTTCTAATAGCACAGATTAGTGCAATTTCTTAACCCAAGGCCCAAATTTAGGAGTCTAAGGATATAATGAATATATGGCTTTTTTTTAGGCAGCAGATGGTGGCCAGCTGTTCTGTCTCTTTACTCAAGGCCAAACATGAAGGGAAAAAATTAAAGTAACAGGGATTATGGTAAATATAAGATAGAACTTAATCTAAATCTGAATTTTTATACACACAAAGGGGAATGGGCAATTGGGGGTAATTATCAGATTATCCAAGCCAAAATAGTTCTGCTACCTCCATTATCTACATAAGAGAAAATTATTTATATGGATTGAATTGTTCAGATAATTGTCTAGTATTTTGGGTTTCTGAGTAGACAGTCTGGGTGGTCATTGATATACATTGAGGGTCCTTCAAGGAATATTTTAAAATGGGAAAAGCGTTTATTTCTTTGCCATATGACTGGGGGCGTTTCTACTTAGATGCAAGTAATATTGATCAAATTTGTATAGTCACGATTCTTTGACCAGGATTTGGGCCCATTACAATAAAACCATAACAATTTTTACCCAATGTTTGAAGTCAATTTTTAATTGTAAAAATAATGTATGAACACCCTTTCCTCTAAAATTTTTAAGTATCACATATAAAGCTAAAATTTCTTTTCCATATCCCTAATTCCATTTCCCAGCATCTGCCCAATGATGCCCCCTCTCTAAAGTAGCTTTAGTAGTTTTATCCTTTCAGAACACACACACACACACACACACACACACACACACAGAGAGAGAGAGAGAGAGAGAGAGCGAGTGAGTTAGAGGAAGAGGAATTTGGACTTTAGCTTGTGAACCACACTTTTTATACCATTTGCCAACTGCTTTTCTACTTATACATGTTAGAGATAAAACCATGTTGTTCCATAGCTCTAACAAAATTCCTTTCAACCCCCTCATTGACATTCATGATATTTATTTAGCCGTTCCTCTACTGGTGGATACTAAGATTATTTCCAGTTGTTTGCTAGCAGTGCTCAATAAACAATCCTAAATATTAAACATGTGTGAGGATTTCTTTAGGGGAGATTCTGAGCAGTTGACCTTTTCCAAGAGAAAATGATGTGCTCCAGAGACTCCGTAAGTCATTTGGGCCTAACAAAGAGAAAAGATGATGGAGATACTTGGGAGCCAGTTTCTTTGCTTATATAAACTCTGTCACTGGAAACAAGTCACTTAATTTCCCTGGGATTCTATTTCTGTAAATCACTGATTCTCCAACCTTCTCACACAACAGAAGCTCCTGGAAGGCTAGCTAAAATGCAGATTGGTGGGCCTCATCCCCAGAGTTTCTGATTCAGTGAGAAAGAAAGAGGGAGAGAGAGAGAGAGAGAAGAGAGAATTTGCATTTCTAATAAGTTTCCAGGTCATGCTGCAGCTGCTGATGAGGACACTACACTGACAGCCACTGTTCTAGGTGTATGTTGGGGAGACTATCCTGTGGAAGAGATCATAGTTGAGGTTTTAAAGCCCCTAATAGATTATCTAGGGATATTTTAGGAGGCTTCCAACTTATTATCCAAACATAAGACAATAACTCAAGATTTATCACAGTAACAGTATCAGATCAATGATAAACATCTATTTTAAAAATCACAGAATCCATTCTTTTTTTTTTTTTTTTTTTTTTGAGATGTAGTTTCGCTCTTGTTGCCCAGGCTGGAGTGCAATGGCGCAATCTTGGCTCACCACAACCTCCACCTCCCAGGTTCAAGCAATTCTCTTGCCTCAGCCTCCCAAGTAGCTGGGATTACAGGCATACACCACCACGCCTGACTAATTTTGTATTTTTAGTAGAGACGGGGTTTCTCCATGTTGAGGCTGGTCTCGAACTCCTGACCTCAGGTGATCCGCCCGCCTCGGCCTCCCAGAGTGCTGGGATTACAGGCGTGAGCCACCGTGCCTGGCTTAGAATCCATTCTTTTTAACCAAGAGAGAAGTCAACCTAGAATCTTTGTTAGAAGGAATCTTGAAGGGTCATCCAGTCCAACTACCTGGCTAGGCTTTCATCAGTAGCATTCTTGACCTCATCAACTAGCGTCCCATTGAATAGATTCAGTGTTTATGAATTCACTCCCCAGCTCCTGAAGTAGCCCATTCCCTGTGTCGAGATGTCTGATCACCATCATGTCCTTCATAACCCTGACCATAGGAAACCATCCTTCAGAAGCTTCTAAGCATCTACCCCGGTTCTACCCTCAAGGCTTTACTGAACAAATCATTTCCCTTCTCCACTTGATGGCAGTCAATTATCATGTTCCCCTAAGTCAATGGTTCTCAAACTTTAGTACTCAATATCACTGTAGGAGTTTATTAAAATATAGACTCCCAAGGTCCAGCCCCAGAGATTCTGATTCTATGTCTGGAGTGTGGCCCAGGAATCCACATCTTTCATTGTATCTCCAGGTGATTCTGATGCAGGTGGTCTGCACATGACTGTTTCAGAGACCCTGCTAAGTCTTTTTGTTTTTAAGCTCCACGTTCCCAGCCTCTTCATCAGTTTCTCATACGACATGGCTTGAGTTTCATCACTATCTTGGTTGCTTAAGGCTGCCTGCCAAAATATACCCCTAAAGTATACTCATTGACCTTCCCACACTGATTTTTTATTCTTATCCTTATCCAAAATGATGTCCTTCATATTTCTGTTTATGTTTGTCTTCCCTACTAGAATATAAAGCTTCATGAGGGCAGGGAAATTGTGTGCTTTGCTTACTCGTGTCATTCAGCACTTCTGCCCATGCCTGATACATCAGTAGATCCTACGTCAAGTTTTATTTAATGGAGATGAAAAACCAATTTGATTTACAAAGTGGTGAATGGTGACAACATGGTTATACCAAAGCCCTAAAACTCTACAGAGTGAATGATCCATTCTAAAAGAAGGAATTTGTTTAAAGTCTTTATAAATAAAAAAATGTTTCAGTCTGTGTAATTAGCCTTGAGATAAATTTTCACATTGACTTAGGGCTGTGCAGATCTCCAAGCCGGGTGCAGATGTTTTATATGCCTTTGAGTGCAAAACTCAATTGGAGGGATGAATCAAAGCAGAGCTCATTCATTCTAGGTTAGGATTTCAAAGCCATCTTTAAAACATACAAATCCTTCCCCAGTGTAAAAATGCAGGAGCAGAATGACCAAAATGAGAGGTGCAAATAAAAAATGTAGGCCATCTCCCACGCTAATACAATTTTTATCTAAAATGGTGATTCTTCTTTCTCCTCTCCCTTCCATGAGTAAGAGTAACCAAGGGGAAAAAAATAGAGAAATAAAATTCATTGTTCATTGTGAGAGAACATCATTGAAAACAAAAGGAAAAATCCAGCCTCTTTAATCAAGGAAATTCAAATTAAAACCACAATTCAACACCATGTTATGCCTATTTTGGCAGTAACCAATAAGTCTGTTAATTCCATAGAGTGTCATAGTTAGAGAGCAATGGGACTCTCATATTCTAGTGGTAAGGATGTAAATTAGTGTAATCTCTTTGGGAAATAGTTTGACTTTCTTGATAAAGTCCAACATGAACATATTCCACGAATATTTTCCACTTCAAAGATTATAAGTAGAAAAGTAGCAGTGGTTTTATTTATTTATTTATTTATTTTATTCATTTATTTTTTTTAGCCTACTAGGTAGGCCTTTTAGGATTGCTTGGTAGCATTGGGTCTACCCAGGTATGAAGACTGCCTACCTCAAAAGTTGCCCATTTGTGTGTGTGCCTTTGTGTCAAACCTGGATCTATAGCGTAGATTTTTGTACTTCTTTCTTTCCCTTGTTAAAAAAAAATGTTCAGAAGAAGATAAAATCATGACTGGCATACAGAAATAAAGATGAATGTGTTAAAAAGAATTTATTTTATTCATACGTTATGAGGGAACTAGGCAGATGTTATAATCAGTTCAAAGGAAGAGTCAAAGTAGCATAGCTTATATGAAATAAAAGAATGTTGGGATGAATTGCAAATGGAAATAAAACTGGTTTTCTGCAGTGGGTAGGAAGTCAATTAGAATCATTATCAGGCTGGACAGAATTTACATATCTATTTATCAGTTGGAATTTAGAAAGAGTTGCAAAATGGCTCAAAGGGGATAACAGGACTCTAATAATCTGATAACTCAGGAAGTTATTTTAAAGACAATGTATATAGCTTTCTACTGAAACAGAAGCACCTTCCTGATACACTAATCCAAATAGAATATTCTTTGGATCCCTCACACGTATGTCAAGGAGAGCCAGACTGCTGGTACTCAGATAGAAGAAATCAACACTTTAAGTCAAAAGCCTGATATTCCAGATACCTGTAAACACTCATGAGTTCCAATGAGGTGAAAGGTGCTGGAGCATCAGAAGTGCCTGCCAGAGTGTCAAAGATACCAGGTGCACACAGGAAGAGCTAGGAAGGTTTGATAAGTGTAAAGAAGCCTGAATTAGAAGACCTGGTAAGCCTCAGATCTTCTACTTACTAAATTTCTCACCTTGGGCCAATTGCCTTCTCTCTGGCTTTCTCCTCTGTACAAAGAAAGAGTTTTTTATCAATGATTTTAAGTTCCCCCTCAGGATCTAATGTTTACTAAAGGAGCCAGCCAGTCCCTTGCAGAGACAGCCCTGTGGGAATGCCCAGGCATAGAGTTTTGACGCAGGGCAGGGAAGATCTGTTTGTGAATGTGAGGAGGAACAATGGGATTGGGGTGTCCTAGATCCCCAGTGTGCGGTGCAGAAGCCCCCAAATCTGTGGGGAACTTGGGTAGTCAGTGAACAAAGAGAAGAGAAATGATAGGGAAGGAAGTCACTAAAAACAACCTTCTACCATTTATGGTTTTGCACAGAACTTATCTCTACCTTTAGCAATATTGTAAGTTTATCACCAAGGTTGGCTCTGTCTCCACAGTTTACCTACATGAGAGCAATCAGGGTTCTCCAGAGAAACAAAACCAGTAGGGGTGTGTGTGTGTGTGTGTGTGTGTGTGTGTGTGTCTGGGTAAGTGTGGGTAAGTGTGGGTAAGTGTGTGTGGTGTGTAGACTCAGTACAGTCTAGAGACAGAATCCCTTTCTTCCTCGTCACGGGACTTCAATCTTTTAAGGCCTTCAACTAATTTTATGAGGTCCACCCACATTATAGAGGGTAATCTGCTTTACTTAAATAATAACAATATTATTTCTTCTGACCTATAAACATGATATCTCTCTCCATTTATTTAGGTCTTCTTTAACTTTTTTTAGCCAATGTTTTGTAGTTTTCAATGTACAGGTTTTATACATTGTCAGATTTATCCCTATTTATTTTACATTAAAATGCTATTACAAATTATATTTTTTCATTTTCAGTTTCTTTTCTTTCTTTTTTTTTTTTTTGAGATGGAGTCTTGCACTGTTGCCCAGGCTGGAGTGCAGTGGCGTGATCTTGGCTCACTGCAACCTCCGCCTCCCGGGTTCAAGCCATTCTCCTGCCTCAGCCTCCCGAGTAGCTGGGACTACAAGCATCTGCTACCACGCCCGGCTAATTTTTTGTACTTTTAGTAGAGATGGGGTTTCACCATGTTAGCCAGGATGGTCTCGATTTCCTGACCTCGTGATCCGCCCTCCTCGGCCTCCCAAAGTGCTGGGATTACAGGCGTGAGCCACCGCACCCGGCCTCATTTTCAGTTTCTAATTGTTTGTTGCTAATATATAGAAGTACAATGATTTTTGTATATTGATCTTTATCCTAAAGCCTTGCTAAATTCACTTACTAGTTATGGTAGCTTTTTCGTAGATTACACTGGATTTTCTATTCAAATAATTGTGTCATCTTCAAATTAAGACAATTCTACTTACGCCCTTCAAACATGGATGTTATTTTTTTTTTTGTCTTATTGTGCTGGATAGGACGTCTGGTACAATGTTGAATAGGAGTGATGAGAGTGGACATCTTGATTTGTTCCTAATCTTAGGAGGATAGCATTCAGCTTTTCACCATTAAATATGGTGTTAGCTTTAAGTTTTTCATAGATATTTTTTAAAAGTCAAGATTCAGAAAGTTGTCTCCTAGTTTGAGGTTGTTGAATTAATTTTTTAAATTTTTAATAAGAATTAGATGTTGGATTTTGTCAAATGCTTTTTTTTCATTTATTAGGATCATATGCTTTTCTCTTTAGCTTATTGGTATGGCATAAAGTCATTCACAATATTTCCCTGATTATTCTTTAAATATTTGTAGAAACTATAGGATATCACCAATCTCATACCTAATATTGGTAATTTGTTTCTTCTTTTCCTTTCTTTTTTTCTGATCTGTATGGATAGAGGCTTACCAATTTTATTAACTTTATCAGAAAACCAGCTTTTGGTTTCATCAGTTGCTTTCCTATTTTCTATTTCATTGACTTCTACTTTGATCTTTATTATTTCCTTTATTCTGCTTACTCTGGGTTTAATTTGCTCTTCTTTTTCTATTTCTTATGGTGGAGGTGAGGTCATGTATTTGAGACCATTCTTTCCTGATAAGTTTTTAACACTATACATTTCTAAATACTGCTTTAGCAATCAAATCTTGATACATTGTATTTTCATTTTTATTTAATTTAAAGTACTTTCCAATTTTCTTTTTGATTTTTTCTCTGGCCTCTGGTAAATTTAGAAGTCTCTTCATAAATATTTGGAAATTTTCCAGATATCTTTCTGTTGTTGATTTCTAATTTAATTCCACCGTGGCCATAGAACATACTTGTGTGACTTGAGTATTTTTTAATTAATTAATTAACTTTTTTTTTATTTTAAGACGGAGTCTCTGTCGACAGGCTGGAGTGCAGTGGCGCGATCTCTGCTCACTGCAAGCTCCGCCTCCCAGGTTCACGCCATTCTCCTGCCTCAGCCTCCCGAGTAGCTGGGACTATAGGTGCCCGCCACCATGCCCGGCTAATTTTTTGTATTTTTAGTAGAGACGGGGTTTCACCCCCTTAGCCAGGACGGTCTCAATCTCCTGACCTCGTGATCTGCCCGCCTTGGCCTCCCAAAGTGCTGGGATTACAGGCATGAGCCACTGTGCCTGGCCATGTATTTTTTAATTTATGAAGTCATGTTTTGTGAAACAGAGTAGGGTATATCATGGTAAATGTGTCATGTACACATGTCAGCACTTTGGAAGGCCGGGGTGGCAGATCACTTGAAGTCAGGAGTTCAAGACCAGCCTGGTCAATGTGGCAAAACCCTGTCTCTACTAAAAATACAAAAATTAACCAGGTGTGGTGGCGCATGCCTGCAATCCCAGCTACTCAGGAAGCTGAGGCAGGAGAATCACTTGAACCTGGGAGGCAGAGGCTGCAGTGAGCTGGATCTCACCATTGTACTTCAGCCTGGGTGACAGAGATGAGACTCCGTCTCAAAAAAAAAAAAAAAAGATTTGTGATTTGTTAGGTAGAACCAGAGCTGTGTTAATGACTAATATTTCCTCACTATGAAGTGAGATCCTTCTAAGTACTCTATTGTCCTATGAATTATGAAGTCAACTGGTCGGGCTGGCATAAGCAGCTGGTATTGCCAGCCCTTTGTAAGCACTGGGCACTGTTCCTTCTAATCCTCTCAGATGGTTCTTTCCAGTCTTGGATAGTTTCCTCGTATGAATATGCCAGTTAGTACTCTGCTGAATGCTTGAGGATATCCTCCACAGATCTCCAGGGTTCTCTTTATCTTTAGCTCTCTCCTAGTTTTCTGTCCTATAAATTCTAGCTGCCTAGGTGGTAGCTCTCGACATGTGGTAGTAGAGTCTGAAGCCTGATCAGTTAAGTTCAGTTCCGTTTTGCCCACGTTGTGTTGAAAGAGGTCAGATACTAGTTCTTTACATGAACGAAAGTAACCTAAGAAATAATCTGACAACTGATCAGGAACACACAAAGATTCCAAAATTTCTAAACACTTCTTTTCCTCCATAATTAAGTTGTCTTTCAGAAATACAGAGCTCATGTTGAGTAAAGTCCAGGGCCACATTCCCTCTTTACTCCTTCTCCATGGTGCCCTCAGTCTCTCCTACCTGTCTTCTCTTTAAGGTCCTGCTTCCTCTGGGGGAAAGCCTGGAAGTTATGGAGACCTGATAGACTTTGTTTCTGGCTGTATCCTGGAAAAGCAATGTTTGGTCGTTACAGTTTCTCAGACTTATGTCCTTCGCAATCTTCTGAGTAGAACCAGAGCAAAGACCACAAACCTTGTTTTTGCTGACATGGGCCAGGTCTCATAGGACAACTGTGGTGCATTTAACAAAGTCTCTGTTTCTCTACTCTGTCTTACCAAAGATTTTTCTTCATTTGCACTAAAGAACATAAGAAAGGAGAATGAAGGGAAGTGAAAGCTCCCTTCCGCCCTCAAAGGTAATACTGTTCAAGTTAAATCAGTTAAATCGGCCAAGAAATTAACCACCGTTGTTTTGATGAGGGATGTGCCTACATTCCAAACAATAGCATTTTGTTGGGACCTCTCTATAAAGAGCATAATAACGTGTAACATGGAAAACCTATTATATCTAAACAAGCAAAAGCTAAAGAACTAAAAGAGATCAATTCTTCCCAAATCTCCAATTTTTTTTCAGGTAGGAAAATTTTATTTTTGTGTAGGCAAGTTTATCAGTCTTTTCCTTTCTGGCAAGAAGTAGCATTTAACTTTACTCTTTCTTGTTTTTTTTCCCCTTGCATCAAAAATTAAACTTCATTAGCTGGAGTCTTGTCAGTTGTTTAAAAATATTAATGACCTGGACATCAGTGACCTTGGATAATAATTTTAGCCTCTGTCATTTAATCTGTCATCTTGGATAAGTCATCTTATATCATTAAGAGTGGTTTTTGTTATCATTACTAGATAGAAGACTTGATGAGCTTGAGAGATCTTTTGTGGTGGCTTTAACATACGTCTACAAATTATTTGATATTCCTCCCTTCATTCCTCTCCTATTGAATGTGATCTGGACTTAGTGACTCACTTCTAAGGAATCGAAGAATATAGAAGAAATGAGCGTATGTCATTTCTAAGCCTAGGTCATAAAACACATTGCAAATTCTTCTCTTTCTCTCCCTCTCTGCCCCCAACCCCAACCCCAACCCCAAGACGCTTTGTTCTGAGGGAAGCCATCTTCTATATAATGAAGGGACTCAGGCAGTCCCCTGGAGAGGCCCACGTGGCAAGGAGCTGAGGCCTCCTGCCAACAGCCAGTGAGGAATAGAATCTTGCCACCAACAGCCATGTGAGTGAGTCATCTTGGAAATGGATCCTCCAGTGCCAGTCAGGCTTTAAGATGACTGCAGCCATGGCTGACATCTTGACTGTAATCTCATGAGAGACCCTGGGCCAGAAATAAGCTGCTCCTGAATTCCTGACCCTCAGAAACTGTGTAATGATAAATATCTGTTTTTAAGGCATTAAATTTTGAAGTAATTTGTTATACAGCAATATAAAACAAACATATCCTGGAATCTTACAGATCCTTCCAGTTTATGATTCCATAATTTAAATGCAGGAGGATGTATCTCTAGTTGCCTGTTGCTTTTGCTAACAAACTGCTTTGCCTGTTACATTTAAAAACTCTTCCTTGAAACAGCCTGCATTCCATGCAACAAAACATTTTAGACAGAAAATGAAATGACATTTTTTGAATAGAGATATTTTTCAACTGGATATACACTATTGTGATAGCTTATATGTTTTAATAAAATGAAGCCTTGGGAAATTTATGTCTTCATAAAATTCTGCAGTGTTCTTTGGTCCTCGAGGGCCATCAGAAGTTATGTGGGGCCAGATGCGTTGGCTCATGCCTGTAATCTCAGCACTTTGGGAGGCTGAGGCGGGCAGATCACTTGAGGTCAGGAATTCAAGATATGCCTGGCCAATGTGGTGAAACCCCGTCTCCACTAAAAATACAAAGGTTAGCCAGGTATGGTGGTACATGCCTGTAATCCCAGCTACTCAGGAGGCTGAGGCACGAGAATTACTTGAACCTGGGAGGCAGAGGTTGCAGAGACCCCAGATCACACCGCTGTACTCCAGCCTGGGCAACAGAGTTAAACTGCGTCTCAAAAAAAAAAAAAAAAAAAAAGAAGAAGAAAAAAAAGAAAAAAGAAAAAGAAGTTACGTGGATTTCTTGACATTGTATGCAATGTGTTGTGTTAAGAGCATTTTCCAAGATAGAATTTGTATAGCTTTTACCAGACTTTCACAGAGCCTTGAGCCCCATGTCCTTCTCCCTACCCAAGATAATAGTTAAGAACCACTTATCTGGTTCCTATTCCCACCTGTGGAAAGTTAGGTACAGAGAGGTGAGTGACTCACCCACAGTTAGAGACAGAGATCTTCTGACTCTGAACTCAGTGCTCAGACTCCAATATATAAAATCAATTCTACTTAGAAGAGGCAGCTCAGGGAAGTCTGGTTTTTGCAATGCCCTAAAGTGTGCAGATTCTCAAGACAGACTTTTACATTTATTATTTTGCTGTTGCATATCTTTTGCTTAACTCATCATGCTGCTTCAGGAAAGGGGTAAAATGGATCTTTCCAGAAAACTCTCCCTTCCTGATGGACCTCTTGGCTTGGTTCCTTTCAGCTTAGCCTTTACATTGAAGTACACAGGAGCTCAAAGTGATTTATCACCATGGTGCCTGCTAGAATCCAAAATTATTCCGTGAAGGAAACATATTATGCTTTTCTTACTTGATTACTATAGATATGTCACTTACATGTTTCTTCACTATATTTTGAAAACTGCCTGTTTACATATAGTACTGTTACCCATGTCTTTCTGAACTAAGCTAGATATGAATATTATTATCATAATAAATTAAGATGTTTTGGTTGATGGACTGAAAATCAAAGTTAAGTTCTAATATTAATGATCAGAATACATTCTGCCTATTTAGAAACTAACAGTTGCTAAAAAAAAAAACACCCACAGATGTCCGAAAAATAAGTATAAATCTTTGATTGGTGAACTGGAACATATCTTACACTCCTCTTATATCTTTCAAGGTGCTGGTCATTCATCAGATTCTTTAAATACTTCATCACCAGTAACACTGAGCATTCACCATAAGCAAGCCTGGGCTACTTAAAGCCGGTGGAACCCATGTTGTAAATGGCTGGTCCTAAAAGTATAGGAAATCCTGATTTTACCATTGACTTTTCTCACCGCAATAGATTTGCCAGCCATTCCCACCATCCCTATGTGCTCCATGACACAATCTTTTTGCTGTGGCCAAAGCCAAGTCAGAGAAATCATAACCAAAACTACAGTCCTGGAGAACCTGGGGCTGAAGAATCTGTGCTGATGCCATGAACTGTCCAGAGAAAGGTCTAAGCTTGACTCCTGGCTTTCCCTCCTCCCACTTAGCTCCGGAAGATATCTGCTATGAGCAGGTTCCTGGGTTCTGCCAAATGATCTAGCATCATCTGGTCTTGGCTACTGTTCAGGTTCAGAGAGCACTGCCCCTCCTCCCCAAAGGTGGAAACAGAGATTCAGAGCCTTGGAAACAGCCCCAGGGTTTCTGAATGCAAATGTTTCCAGCAAATTCAGCATTATATCCTAACTTGCAAAATAATTCTGTAGCAGGAAGATAAAGTTGAATGAGTCAAGTACTAATTAGGTACACTTATTCTTCCATAAACAGGAAGATATGGATATATTTGGCAGGGGGGAGGGATATCTTTCACATTTTAAAAAGTAAAAACAGCTCTATATTTAAAAGTAATTTCAAAATATCAGATTAGTCTCGTTTGAGGAATGGCAGGAAAATCCTTTGACAAAGAAATTAAGTTTATTTCAAAGTTTTCAAGGGGTTGAACTAAATTATAGATGGCAGCAAAGAGCAGAGAAAAAAATGCCTTGCAAGTTTTCTAAAGAAAAACTAAGGTGAGATTTTCTAAAAGGATAATATATTCAAAAAGTTATATATAATATATATGTATAATATAATATATATAATACATATTTTTATATATATGTATATTTTTTAATTTTGAGACAAGATCTCCTTGTGTCACCCAGGCTAGAGTGCAGTGGTGTGATCATGGCTCACTGCAGCCCCAAACTCTGGGCTCAAGCCTCCCAGGTAGCTGGGACTACAGGCACATGTCACCATGCCTGGCTAATTTTTTAAATTTTTTGCAGCGACTGGATTTGGCCATGTTGTCCAGGCTGGTCTCGAACTCTTGGGCTTAAGTGATCCTCCCACTTTGGCCTCTCAAAGTACTGGGATTATAGGAATGAGCCACTATGCCTGGTGCCTCAACAAGTTATATTTTTAAAAACAGGGAGAATAAAGGAGAAGAAAGGAAAGGGGAGGAAAAAACCCTTTTGGTAACGATGGAGTTCAGGACACACCACCCCCAAATATGGCACTGTAGCATTTGAGAAAATAGCAGAGGTAGGAAGGTCACTCTCACGTTCTCCTGCCCTTCTGCCCTGAAGCAGGTCATAAGACCCACACGTGAAAGGTACTCTTCCTATACCCAGAGAAAAGGAACATTTGTATCTCTGAAGACACAGGGACACAGAGAAGAATCTGAACAAACAGGTCTTGCTAAATTTCCTCAGTTAATTACCATTAGGGTAATAAACTATTTTTTCGATTCTGTTTCTCCACAATTATCCACTTCTTCATCAAAGTTGGCATAGAAATACACAAGTCTAGGCCAGGGGCGGTGGCTCACGCCTGTAATCCCAGCACTTTGGGAGGTCAAGGCGGGTGGATCACGAGGTCAGGAGATCGAGACCTTCCTGGCTAACATGGTGAAACTCTGTCTGTACTAAAAATACAAAAAATTAGCCGGGCACAGTGGCGGGCGCCTGTAGTCCCAGCTACTCAGGACGCTGAGAGGCAGGAGAATGGCGCAAACCCGGGAGGCAGAGCTTGCAGTGAGCTGAGATCGCGCCACTGCACTCCAGCCTGGGCAACAGAGCGAGACTCAGTCTCAAAAAAAAAAGAAATACACAAGTCTAATTGTTTCTTCAGGTTTTCATTTCCTCATGAAGGCTCCTGTGTCACTTAAAACTTACGTTAAATGAATTGGTACGCATTTCTCTTGTTTATCTGTCTCTTGTTCTAGGGGCCTCAGCTGTGAACTTGGATGGGTGAGGAAAAGATATTTTTCCTGGCTGGGCAAGGTGGCTCACGCTTGTAATCCCAGCTACTCGGGAGGCTGAGGCAGGAGAATCGCTTGAACCCATGAGGCAGAGGTTGCAGTGAGCCGAGATGGCGCCACTGGACTCTAGCCTGGGCAACAAGAGTGAAATTCTGCCTCAGAAAAAAAAAAAAAAAAAAAAAAAAGATGCTTTTCCTTCACTACAGTGTTCTTCTCTGAAACTCTTTAATCTGAAAGTTTAGAAGTTCACTAAAATGAAGTAATTTAAGAAAACAAATGTGGTTTTCGTGATTATATCAAGAAAATACACCTCCTCTATACGCTGAGTAAGATGAATAGCTCAGCAGAATCAGTAGTGTTAGGCTGTGATCACTTCTGCTATCTACAAATTGCTTTAGACGGGACTTTGCAAAGCAGAGTCAAAATATATACAATGGAATTTATTTTTTATAGTAGTAATACTAATATTTAGGAGTATTACTTTCACTAGGAGAGTTGTCTAAATTTCAGCTTTCTAAAAAGATTATTTTGATTTTGAATGCACTAGACACCAAGTATGCACTGAATATGAATTACAAAGCAACATTAAAAGGGAAGTAAATACACATTGCAGAACATATGAAAGTAGGGAAGAGCCAAGTTCATAAGTATAAATTTTGTATCTTTTACTACCTACTATGCTATTATTGGTGCTCGACAAATATTTACTATTAAAAAACAAGGTGTGTCAATGGTCCCGAGTAATTCTACTATGCTGAGTCAAATGGTGACTGAAAAGGCTTCACTTAATTCTTTTATTTTGCAGGTATTATTACTTGGCATTCACAGCACATCAAACACCTCTTGCTAGCAAAGAGAGCTGTGTGGCTATCTTGGAAAAGTCCAGATTAGATCACTGGGTACTGGGAAAAACAAAGGTAGTTCGTTCTTTATTGTTCAAATTGTCCCGTATGATTTCTTTGTCTCTTGTCAGTGATGTCACTGGCATGAATGGCTCTGTAAGTTGTGTAGCTTAGCAAACAAGACTCCAACGTAACAATGGTCTTTGCTGGTATTAAGTCAAGAGGTTGGGGACGTTAGGGAGTAGAGGAGGAGGGTTTGCCTCCTGTTCTGTATGTAATTTGAGAGCTATTTAGCATTTTTAGAATGAGATCTTTGAGCTCATTTAAAAACGTTTCTTTTCTCAATGCTGCTTATTCCAGTACCACATGTAAATACACAAATCATATTAACGGCAGTGATGAGTTTCTAGTAGAGTTTTGTCCATTTTTTCACTGGACTCATGTTATTTGCTGCATAGCCTGATTATTAGTCTCAGCATCTGTAGCTTTTCATTTGGGAGAACGTCACGTCCCCATAGGATCCCAGGTTTTTATGGTCCATCCTGATTGCCTTATAAAACCAGCCTCTGCCTGAGTGACGATGGCAACACTGCTCCTCCTCAGCAGAAATTAGATCACTGTGGATCATCTAGGTACCTCACCCTCTGAACTTCCACTGTTGGCTGGGTCAGTCCTCTTGGTTAGCACCTTTATCAGAGGCTATGGGGAAAGAGAGTAGATAGAGCTCAAACTGAGAAAATGAACTCCTGACTGACATGAGACAGGCCTGGAGAGCATTTGGAATCGCTTAAACCCTGTTGACCTCATCATCTATTTACATCAATTATCAAGGATTGGCTCAATCTTAGAAGGAGAATTGTATTTACCTCCATGAAGTCAGTAATGTGAGCATAAGTCACATCGCTATAAACTTTATTTATATCATTGTTTTAATATTTTCATTTAGAATATGCTGTAGTAGAGTGAATTTCTGTTGAGGAACCCATATGTAATGCTAAAACTACTGTCTCGTTTCAGGTTTTTCTCAAATATTACCATGTTGAGCAATTAAATTTGCTGCTTCGAGAAGTCATAGGCAGAGTGGTTGTGCTGCAGGCATATACCAAGGGGTGGCTTGGAGCCAGGAGATACAAAAGGGTCAGAGAGAAGAGAGAGAAGGGAGCCATTGCCATCCAGTCAGGTAAATGGTCCTGTTCTCATAAATACTGCCCTGGGTATTGGCATGTCATTAAGTACTGGGGAATACTCAACTGTTTCTCTTCTAAGTGGTTTCCCTCCCTCCCTTCCTTCTCCCCTCCCTCCCTCCCTTCCTTCCTTCCTTCTTTCCTTCCTTCCTTCCTTCTTTCCTTCCTTCCTTTAGCAAATGTGTATCAAATGTGTATCAAGTGCCTACTACACAGGTTCTGTGCCAGGTGCTGAAATCACAGCCATGAGCAAGACTGTGTAGGGGTGAAAGAAACTTTCTTTCCGTGTCCTGAAGATTTGATAATTTGAGTCTATAAAACAAACTGAGAAAGACAGGTTAACAGGAGAAAAGACATACAAATTTATTAACATGCAAGTCATAAAAAGTGTGAAACTCAAAGGCCAGATGGTTGAAGCTTAAATACCCTCTTCATAGGGGAGAGGGAAGTGGAGGATGTAGATAGTTTTAAGGGAAGATTCAAAGGTTTACGAGGGAAATGAATGGGCCTAAGGAACAGGCAATAGCCTGGGACAAAGTTCATCTGACCTCTGGGTGATATTTACTCCAGTCTTTCTTCCTGGGGTATGCATCAGTTTCTCCTGGTTGAGGAGATATCTGGGGAAGGGATTCACACAGTTGAATATCTTCTGGAGGAGTTTGCCTTTAATAGATAGGGAGAGTTCAGAGAAAGCCCTTCCCTGCATTTGCTGCTACCCAGGTGCTCTAAGTTTGAAGTCAAAGCAGCATATTTTGGAGAATTATTATCTGAGCCCCAACAACTGCCATGGTCCCTGACTTGCAGGTAAGCAAACAAGTCTTTACAACATGAGTGACAGGATAGATAGTGGCGGTATAAATGGACCAGTGATGTAAAGCCCCAGTCACACAGATATGTGCCGCATCTCCCAGAATGACTGAGATAATATACACTTCAGGTCTGTGGTCAGGTGTTCAGTACCAGAGTTACTAACGCCATTTCCAGAAGGCTTTTCTAGTCCAGATGGAACTTATAAACCAAGGGAAGAGGTTGCTAATCTCTTTCATGTGCCCTGCCTAGTCAGTGCCTCTTTGTTTACGTATATGTGTTATTAGTGTTACACACAACATTTAAGTTCCTGTGCAATAGACAAATGATTATGAAAGCACCAGATCTTGAACAAAGTGGATGATTTCCCTTATGCTCTCATAACCCAGAATCCTCATGTGGCTCAGTCTATTTTGGACTTCATGAGCTCACCCAGCAACTTCGAGAGTTGTGATGCTGAGACGGGAGGAACAAAGACATTATGCTCCTCGTGGGTGGCTTAATGCCCCAGTTTTGTATCTAAAGGGCTTACCACCTTTGCCCCAGAGAGTCCCTTCCTCTTTTCTCTCTTTTTCTTCACCTTTCTTCCCTGCCTTTTCCCTTCCCACTGCACATCTTTCCTCTCCCTCAGCATACCTCTCGGCACAGAATTCACTCACAGCAAATGACAGTGTTGTGCTACTTATCATTTCCCTTAACTCCGCTCTTTCTCTTCTTCAACTTTCCTGTTTATATTTTTCTCCCAAATAACAGATTTTGAAAGGGTCAGGCTATTCCAGTTCCTTTCTACCATCCCTGCCAAACCCTTCCACCTGTATCATATCCCCGAGTCTTGAAGACAGGGCTTTCTCCAGGGATTAGAATGACAGGAAACCATCTCACCTGGAGTAGGGGTCCCATGTGATTCATCAGTGGAACCCAGAGTGTTCTGGAAATCACTGCCTGAACAAAAGCAACCCCTCAGAAGCATCTTTAAAGCCAAGCTGTGAGAACAGAGAGGCCTCTCTTCTCGCCATAGATCACATACCTCTGCTTATTTTGTTCAGTGAGAAAGCAGGAGGGAGGATGAGACGGGCAATAGGCTGGAGGGGAAAACAGCTTATATCAATTCTCTGGCACGTTCTTAAATTAATGTCATTCCTAGCACATGGTTTTATATTTTTAGCCTGGAGAGGATATGATGCTCGGAGGAAATTTAAGAAAATAAGCAACAGAAGGAATGAGTCTGCTGCTCATAATCAAGCAGGTAATTAAAACATCATTTTCACAGTGTCCACTTGAAAATATTCTGTGACTAACTTCTGTGAATGTAGAAAAGCTGAAAGGTTAATAATTCAGGAGCACTGGAATGAGTCAAGAGTTCTGGGAGACAGGAGTCCTAGTGTTCTGACCCTCCTTGTGTGATAACTATGATGCTAACGGTGAGCATGAGCATTTGCTGTTTGCCACACTTGGCTAAGGATGCTCTGACTGGGTTCTCTTGTATACCTGATATTATAGAGGAGGAAACTGAGGCACTGAGAAGTGAAGGGACTTGTCCACCATCACACAGTTCATCAGTTGCAGAGCCAGCATTTGAACACAGGCCGTTTGGATAGAGTCAGCATCGCATACTGCCACCTGAACAAAACCCTTTCCCTCTCGGAGTCATATGTCCCTCGTCTGTTAAATGAGAGCGCTGGTTAAAAAGGTCCAGAAGGTGCCTTCCCATTTTGGAATTCTCTAATTATATGCAAGACCTGTTTCTTAGCATCACAGAGGAGGAATCACTCAGGGAGTTTCCCAGCAAACTGTTTCCCAAATCCAGGCTTATATGTGGCTATCATGGTCCTCTGGGCCCCATGGCATGAGCACATGGTGGCTTTTATGGCTCGGCTTGCTATTGGCAGCCTGAGAGGTGTAAGCTCTGGTTTCTGACTCATCCGTCCCCTCTCTGGCTCTTCAGTCACTCTGCTCTTCTGCAAATGGCAGTGTCCACTGTGGGTGCGGGTGCCAGGCTGGGCTCCTTCCCTCATTTGAAGCTGCATATTCCTACTCGAGGCTCTGGAAGAAACAGGCCCCTGAGCTCCAGGAGCCACAAGAAATTAGAGACAGAATGAGAGAAATAGCCAGGCTGGTAGACTCAGCAGCAGAGAGAGTGATAGGATTTCACATACAGCTGAGCTTGAAGGAAACTCTTAAATAAAACAGCTGCAACCTCTTGAAAGAAGTCCCTCCTCGGAACCTGGCTCCAAGTAAACTTCTCAGAACTCTTAGACCACTGTAGAAGCCTGATGTCTTCATTCAAAACGAAAATAGTTGGGCGGAAAGAGTGCTATTAAAATGCAAATGTTAACTTTTAACACCATCTCCTAGGAATTCTAAGCTCTACAACTTCAAAGCCCCAGGAAGAGGGATGCAATTCTTGTTACAGCTTAAGAGAGAACTCAAAGTGCATCATTTGTTCCCTACTTGCCTGCCTCCCAACACGCACACAATCTCTCATTAAAACAGGGTACCAAACTGATTTCTGATCTTGCAGTTTGGTACAAAGGCCAACATGTGTTTTAAAATTTAAACTTGCTTGAGCTTATTTATTGTTGATCCACTGAGTTCAGTATACAGGAATCATAAATCCAATTTTCCCTAAGTGAAAGTCATCTTTTGAGTGCTCCCTGTCTTGCACTCTGTTAATGCCAAGTGAATACTGCTGTAAAACAGAAATGGGTCTGCTTCATCATCATGGATCAGGATAGTAATAATTGTATCTTTTCAGTGGAGCACCTATGGGGTAGCTACCATGGAAGGATAATGTTGCTCAGCGAAACTTTAAAAAGCATGTTTCTTTAAGGGTGTCTCCCTTTTTTTTTTTTTTTTTTAGCCTTGCAAGCACCCAGCAGGACTTTAGAAAACACATTAAGGTGCCTTCCTTTTTTTTAGCCTTGCAAGCACCCAGCAGGACTTTAGAAAACACATTAAGGTGCCTTCCTTTTTTTTAGCCTTGCAAGCACCCAGCAGGACTTTAGAAAACACATTTCTTTAAGGGTGCCGTCCTTTTTTTTTTTTAGCCTTGCAAGCACCTCCCCTTTCTTAGCCTTGCAGCCAAAGTGTTCTTGCCTATCAAGTGATGTTGGGAACTTCCATTAACTGAGTCTGCAGGGGCTTAGATGGGCATGAAGGTGGCACCAACACCACCTCTGCCCTCTTAGAAGTAGTGTGGCAGCCAGAGCAAAGGCAGACAGCATCTGCCCTTTAGCCAACACCGTGGACAGGAATTGGTGCGCTGGTTTTGTGTTGGTGGTAAAGATGCATGAATAGGGTAGCAATCTTTGCAATTTTATGGGCAGTTTACTTTTACTTGGGAATATTTTCCTTATCTTTAGATTTGAAGGCATAATTGCGTTTATCTAAGAAGCAAAGCAACTCATTCCGACGTTTCTGTTTGGGGTTGTGATCTTCCCCAAACATAATCTCATTACAAGCCTCTCTTCGTCCCACTAGGACATTTCCTAGTAGAACCAGACCCAGATACAGTGGCTCCCCGCTTTAGGAGCCTGCAGGAAGTGGCTTAGGGATGTTGTCACAGCACAACCATTTCCGGTTGTTTTCTAAGGTTATTCTCTAATTTATTATTTTTTCAACAAATCATTTCATTTGAAATTTAGATTCTGTGGAATGCATTTGTATTTCTAGTTCTGGCCCATAGTATTTTCTTAAGTGGTGTTGCTAAGATATGTTATATATTTTTAAAAGAGCGGCCCTTGAAATTTAGGAAGCATTTGGCCTACATGTTGCTACAGGGCAGCACATATTGAAATTTGTTTTCCTTTCATCTCCTTCCCAATAAAAGCAGCCGTGCGGCTTATCCCTTTAGCTTCCTCAGAACTTCCTTTCAGAATTCCCGATCTATTACGGCACATTCACATACCAGAAACAAGATGCCTTTTCATGCTGTCAACCTTTTTCATCTGAAATGTAAATTAATTCTTGCTGGTATGCCTTGACAGAGATCAAAGTCAGGGTATTAACCTTCCCAGGCTTTCTCCTCATAAGGACTGGGCGGCCACCATTAGGAACTCTGTGTCCTTGTTATCGGGCCCTCCTCCAGGCAGCCCTCGGTCTAGGAGCCACCATTTCAAAGCCTCAGAGTCCTTGGTAAATGTCCTCATCATTACTTTCAACTGGGTGAGAAATAATCTGCCTGGCTAATTATTGCTCGTTTTTAATTGTGGGCCCTTCATTCAGATTCCAGGAGCAGGTTTCAGTGATTCTGACAGCCAGTGGTCTTGGTGTGATCGAGGGAGGGACAGGGCTCCAGATTGGAAACCTCTCCCCCAACTCAGTGGGTCATTTCTTGCCTGTCAGTCTTTGAGGTAGGCCACATTTGCATTTTCAAAATAAACAGATGCCTTTCAAATACATGAGCTGGTGGTCTAGAGATCTCTGCGGGCCCAAACAGTTCACCAGCCAGTAATCAAATGCTGGAAGAGAAAACAAACGGAAAAAAAATACCCTGGGTACACAAGGATACATTTCCTATGTGTATAACACTGCACAGTCAATAAAGGGCCTTTATGAGATGTAGGGGGGAGAGGGGAGAGGGGAGAGGAAGAGAAAGTAAAGGAGCCTGAGCAAAGGTATTGTCTATCAGTTTCTTTTCTGCGGGGCTGAGGGAGGTGGGAAGCAACTCTGCATATCACCTTGGCAAGAAGTGGCATGTTTCATTGTTTTTTGTACTGGTTAATTCTGACAATGGGTTCTTGCCACAGGAAAACACATTCCTTTAAATGCCAAATAATTAAAATACATACTTTGTTAAAATCCGAAAAAAATTGTACATATTAGTGTTCAAATAGATGGTGTATTCTAAGTAAAAACTAACAGTGACCTTGATTCCATTACTAATCTGTTATATTTTTAAATTACCTTATGTTTCAGAAATTGGACCTAACTACATTTATTCAACCAAAAAAAGCTTACATTCCTCAGTGAAAATTATCAAAACAAACTAACTGCAGGGAACTTTATTAAAGACCTACATGTAATATCTCATTCATTAATTTTTCTAAAGCTCTGGCTTTAAAACTGCCCCTCTAATTCAGGATATGTGTTTTAGATGAGAGCAAAGTTGTGGGCCTCCCTCTCTCAAAGGAGAAATGCCCTTTGAATAGGTGACAGTGGAGCCCTAGGGGCTGGAACCTTCTCCCAGGAGGAGTGGTCTTCCAGCACCTCACTGCTTCTCCCCACACACACGCACAGGAGTCGGAAGAGACGCTAGTTTACAGGACATTTTCATCTAATTGCTTCAGTGCTGTGGAAATTGTTATTTTCTCTTTCTCTCTGTTGTTGGATCAGCTTCCTACATACTCCCCTCCTTGGCCCTGCCAAAAACACAGATGTTATCACAAGATAACAATAGCTCTAACAGTGACGGCCATTTCTCTTCTGATGCTCTTTGGGGAGAGTGCTTTTCCCAGCATCAGCAGAGACTCTGACGAGGCTGGCAGGGTGCCTTCCTTGAGCCTGTGAACAGGCATTTTAAGCCACTGCAGCTGGGAACCACTGGGCACATCATGTGATGCATGCAGAGCAGAGTTGCTTTAAATGCTGCTACCAGAAGAGAAAGCAAACATCGTATCCAGACAGCCTGACCCTACTTTGTAACAGAACCAAGTTTTTGGTGTATAAAACTGCCTGAACTTTTAAACTCTTTCAGTGCAAGGTTTTCTCCTAGCCTTTTCAAAAGGCTGTTTAAAAGGCTGTTTCCTTTAGCATCATCAGTGGGTTGGCAATGATTAGGTGGTTGTAATTTCCTAGAACTAAATTTCCCGCTATTTGCCTACGTGTGCAGGACAACTATATTTAAACTGGGATATTTCTTTCATTCACTTACTTAACTACTATTTGTTAAGCACCTACTTTATGCTGGGGCTCCCACGGTAAACAATGAGATTTAATTTGGGGCTTCAAATTATCCAACTCCAATACAGAGCACTCTAAAATATGCTTTCCCTCAAAGGGATGCTGTTTGAATAAATCAAGTACTCTGTATTTTGCCAACGCTCTTTGGAATGGAGCTCTGTAAAATCTAAAACAATACAAAGAGTACAAATTATTATAAAACACAGCCAAGTGTATGCATTGAAATGACCCATGCTTCTTGAAGGTAAAAATGACTGTAGTAGATATTTTTCATCCTGCTAAAGCTGTACATAAGTAGATTGTTGATCCCAAGCCAAACAAGAGGGGGACTGTAAGTAAATGCACCATTGAAAGAAAAGGTCCATTTTGAACAAACAGAAGGAAAACAAGCATGCCCTCTGTCACTCTTTTCTGTGTCTCTATTTGTAGTTCTACCTCTATTTCACTTTTTCTTCACTCATTTCATTTCTATTTCTTAGATCCCTGGTCATTTCACACAAAAGCTAAATTCTTCAAACTCACTGTCTTTATCAGAGGAAGCACAGGTGTGAGAGAAGACAAGATCCAAACTCTTCTTGGCCGTAGGGCAGGAGGCAGCTGCTTCTCTTTTCCTGGTGTTTTCCGTATCCACATATCCACAGAATAGCAATAAAACATCTGGGGGAAATAATTTACCTGGTGCACCTGAGCTTGAGATGCACTGTGAACTGCAAACTAGCCCTCCCCATCCGCCTACCCCCCCATCTTCTAAACCTTTGTTTAACACAAGACAGGATGCCCTTCAGTCCTAGGCGAGGGGTCCTGCTCACTTCACTCTCATGCTATCTTGGTTTCCCTAGCTCTCCCATACTTGAGAAAGTGGGGCTTTCTTTCTTTCTTTTTCTTTTTCTTTTTTTTGAGATGGAGTCTCACTCTGTCACCCAGGCTGGGGTGCAATGGTGCGTTCTTGGCTCACTGCAATCTCCCCTTCCTGAGTTCAAGGGATTCTCCTGCCTCAGCCTCCCAAGTAGCTAGGATTACAGACATGCACCACCACACCCAGCTCTTTTATTAGTAGAGATGGGGTTTCACCACATTGGTCAGGCTGGTCTCAAACTCCTGACCTCAAGTGATCCGCACGCCTCAGCCTCCCAAAGTGCTGGGATTACAGGCGTGAGCTACTGTGCCTGGCCTGGGGCTGATTTCTGACAGCTGCAGGCTTAACATATCTTGTAGGGGGAAATGTCTAGGGGGAAAGCATTGTGGTTTACTTGAGGAAAACATACCTTGTCTGTGACAAGGCTTAGAGCAAGTGGTGTAGTACAGAGACAGGATGGCCTGTGGTTTCGAGGTTTCTGACAAGAAATGAGCTCTGCCAAATCTCTCTTTGGCACAAACGATAGAATTTTTGTCATGGCATAGCTTGGAATGCACAGGAATCTCCTTTGCTATGGAATAAAATTATTGCCCATGCTAGGATTAAATAAGCCAGAGGGCAGAATACTGTTTACCTAATGCACAGAGAGGAAGCTGCAAAGTCATTGTGGGCTGGAGGTCCACTTGTGCCCAATATCATACCGGCATGGCACAAGTATGCTTAAGATGAAACTTTTGTGCAACAGTAGGTACCCCTAGGACTCGATATTATAACTTCAGAGGACGCCAGGGTTAGAGCCTACAATCTGGAATCAGTTTTCTCCATTATGAACCTTGTTTAGCATTCCAGAGTCTAGCTGCAAAGAAGTGGTGCCTGAAAAGGTATCTTTGCCACCTCAACACAGAATGAAACAACATTATTATGATCGATTACACACTTGAGTTGCCTTTACTCTATGTCTTTAAAACAATTTCATGTAGAATCATAAAATATGTTATCACATTTTATAACTTTTATTAGTTGTTTAGACTGTAACTACACAATAGTAAAGAAACGTTTAGGGGAAAGCTAACTGGGCTGTGGCAAGAATGATCATGCTATTTTTCTTCAAAAGACTCTTGGAAATAGAAAGGCAGGCTTTGTTTTACCTCTTAACAGAGGAACCAGGAGCACAGAGAGTTAAATAAGTTGTGTCTCCCTTATGTGTTCTGCAAGTTTAAACACTGGTTTCAGAGCCCTCTTCAGAGCCTTCACTCAGTGCTCTTTTCAGTAGACCATGCCCTGCCATTGGTTTCCATCTTGAATATGACACATTGGAAATAAGGTACCAGTCAAAGCTTTGGAAAGAGTTGAAATACTGTCCTAGGCATGTGGAGTTTAGAGTCAAACAATGAATGTTAAATGATGGCTATGCTGCCATTTGCCATGTAGTTTGGGGAAAAGTACTTAACTTCTGAGCCTTAGTTTCCTCAGCTGTAAAATGGGACTCATTAAGGCCTAATCCTCAGGACTGCTATGAAAATGATAGCAGGTAATATATGCAAAGCATCCTGCACAGTACCTGGCTCATGGTACGTATTCACTAAATGAAATGTTACTTCCCTCTCTGTACTCCCTTCCTAAATGTCAACTTCACTGGGGGGGAAAAAAGTCTGTGAAATACTCTTCTATGGAGGACATAATAATGCTGTAACTTCAGGCCGGGCACAGTGGCTCAAGCATATAATCCCCGCACTTTGGGAGGCCGAGGCGGGTGGATCACTTGAGGTCAGGAGTTTGAGACCAGCCTGGCCAACATGGCAAAATCCTGTCTCTACTAAAAACACAAAAATTAGCTGGACATGGTGGCGCATGCCTGTAATCCCAGGTACTTGGGAGGCTGAGCAGGGAGGATTGCATGAACCCAGGAGGCATAGGTTGCAGTGAGCCAAGATCGCACCACTGCACTCCAATCTGGGTGACACGGTGAGACCCTGTCTCAAAAAAACAAAAACAAAATGCTATAACTTCAAAAAGATGAAACAATTTCTTTCATTTCTGGAGAAAAATAGTACCTGTCAAATCTCAAATTAGATTACAGTAAAATCTTTGTAAAAAGAATTTTCCAAGTCTTAACTTACGTCTTGTTTATTTGACAGGGAAAAAATAGAATACAACAATAACATGTAAGAGATTTCAAGTGGTTTTGTTTTTGTTTTTTGTGAAGAGCTGTGCTCCATTCATGCTGAAACCTTGATTCATTTGTGTATATAAAATTTTCAGGAAGCTCAAAATTGTTAAGACTTAGGTGTGCTCCTGACATCATTTGTCCCCCTCACTAGTTTGAGGCCCTTTTGCAACTTGTTCTGAAAGATAGCAAGTTCCATTGTCACCCTGCTTCTGTAAAGCCAGAAATTCTAAAATCTAGGAGCTAAATATCACCAGATTTGTTGCCTTCTGGTGTGGAAAGCAAGTTGCCTTTCAGATGTCTGAAGAGTTGGAAGATCTTGGTGTACCTATCATGTTTAACCCACAGTGACGGGTGATGGGCAGCCTAACAGCTGAACGACAGCCGTTTGGCCGGGAGTTCAAACCTCAACACGATGAGCCATAGCAGGATCACGGTTTGATTTGCTGTGGCCATGAAGTCTGAATCACCAAATACAGAAGCAGAGGCAAGGGTGACAGCTGGTAGCCATTCTCGTCAATAAAGTTGTGACAGTTGAGATGTACAAGTAACTAGAGCCTGCTAATTTCATAGACTTTGAGCCAAGTGCTTAGTGTCAAAACCAGCTATGGTCAGTGATGCAAATGGTTGTGAAAAGTCCCTCATCAGCAGCAAGACTCTCCCCATCAGACTCTTTCCTCTGATGGATTAGAAGCAAATTGGATCCTGCTTTCTAGGAATAGATCCAGTTTGAAGAAAAGGAGGCCTTATTTTTTAAAATTCTAGTAAATTCTTAAAAGTCTATTAAGTATAATTTACATACAGTAAAATTCAGTTTGAGAACACTAGATCCCCTCCATAATCAAGAAAAAGAACAAGGAGACACAGGTCCTTCCTCCAAGGAGCTTGCATTCTAATACAGAAAGTAAGAATAAAAAGAGATTAAAGATATGAAAGCACCTGAAACTTTTAAGGGGGGTGTGTCAGTTTGACTAGTGATATCCCAAAATTCATGTCCATTCAGAACCTCAGAATGTGACTTTAGTTGGAAACAGGATTTTTGCAGATGTAGTTAATTAAAAATGAGGTCATACTGGATGAAGGTGGGTCCTGAAGCCAATGACTGGTGTCCTTATAAACATGCCATGTGAAGGCACAAAGAAGAACTCCAAAAAGTTCCCTTATGCCCTTCTTGACATCCACCCCCCTCACCCTCAGCCCCTGATAACCACTAATGGGTTTTCTGTCCTATAGTCTTACCTCTTCCAGAGTCTTGTCCTTATAGTCTTGACACTGTAAATGGAGTCATACAGCGTGAAACTTTTGAGTCTGGCTTTTTTCACTTAGCATAATGCTTCTGAGATTCATCTGCGTGTTGCGTTTTTTAGTAGTTCATTTATTTTCATTGCTGAGCAGAATTTCAGTGTATAGATGTACCACAATTTTATTCATTTACCAGCTGAAGGACAATTGGATTGTTTCCAGTTCTTGGTGATTATGAATAAAGCTGCTATAAACATTTAGAGCATTTTCCTTTTGTTTTTTTTTTTTTTTTGAGACGGAGTCTCACTCTGTCGCCTAGGCTGGAGTGCAGTGGTGCGATCTCAGCTCACTGCAAACTCCGCCTCCCAGGTTCATGCCATTCTCCTGCCTCAGACTCCCAAGTAGCTGGGACTACAGGCGCCCGCCACCACGCCCAGCTAATTTTTTTTTTTTTGTATTTTTAGTAGAGACGGGGTTTCACCGTGTTAGCTAGGATGGTCTCGATCTCCTGACCTCGTGATCCGCCTGCCTCGGCTTCCCAAAGTGCTAGGATTACAGGCGTGAGCCACCGCGCCCAGCCTTAGAGCATTTTCCTTTTGAGTAAAATGTATAGTAAAGTAAATAACTTTGCTTCACAGGAAACCAGAACTGTAGGAGCAGGAATGATCCTAGAGGTGGAAGTTGTTTTCTTTTTGATTAGCTGACAGGTATAGTTATTTTATACTTTTGCATAGCAATTTATAGTCTATTCAAAGCACTTTCACACACCTTACTTCCTGTAATTATCATTATAGTAACCCTGAGAAGTAGGCTAGGAATCTTGCTTCATTTTACAGATAGAAGCTAGGAAATCTCATATAATCCAGACTTCCTAATCCTTATTTGCTGTCGTTCCTTCTAAACATTTTCTCAACATCCTGTCTGTGCAGAACAGTCTGCTAGATTCTTTTGGGGTACCCACAAAATATTTTTTCCCATCAAGACGGAGCAGTCTTACATGGAATCAAACTGACCACTCTGGCCCAGGCTTGAAAGGAATACAAAACTGGGCCACTTAACACAGCCACAAGAAGCAGTCTATGAAGCTACCAGAAGCAGGCAGGACATAAATTTTAAGAAAGAAATCCTGAAGCTGGTGGGAGTCAGAAAATAATGGATTGACGGTCCCTAGATGATCAGAAGGAAGGGGAATTCCCCAGACAATGCTGTTTCAGGACAAGCAAGAAACTGATTTCTAGGATAATGGAAAACTTCCCTCCTTGGCTTCCAGGTTGGGGAAAACACTTACCAGGGAAGATTTTCTTTGAACTCAAAGTTTAACTGGGATAATGACTGGAATTAAGTACTGGATAATCAAAGTGGAAAATGCTTTCAGAGGCCTGAAATTACTAGACTTGTTTTGTGTGGTAGAGATAGAGGCCAGGATTTCTTATAGGGCTGTAGAAAAAAAAAATGTGTCAATGAGATTCTATTCCTTAAGAATCCAACTTTCTTGGTGCTGCTTTTGGTGGCATTTGCCTGTCAGACCTCCCACAAGTTGGCCTCTTTATCCTTTATATTCTGATAAGATGGCTGATGACCAGCTGTCAGTCCAAGCCAGAAACCACACTGGCTCCTTGTAAAATCTGCCAGCAGCAGTTAGGAGGGGAAGCCTGGGCTTTTGTGCCTCATCCGTATGAGCCTTCTCTGCCAGATACAGTGGGTGCCCTTTGCCAGGCCCATTATGAGGGCAGGAACGTTTACCCAGCCTAGATCACCAACCAGGAAACCTACCAGGACAGTGTCTCTGCTGAAACAATGCCTGATCTGTCCTTTGGGTGGGTCACTAAATGCCAGGCCAGGCCAGAGCCTCTTTCTGCAGCAGCTAATCTATGGGACCATTAGAGGCCCAAGCACATGAAAGAATGTAACAAAGGTCTGATTTTTTTACTTTCATTTATAAAGGGGGAAAAAAAAGGAGAATAGGGATTATTATTTTGAAATGTTTAAATAAATGACCTGCATCATGTAATATTTAGGAGTTCAGACTTTAGGAAAAAATTTTGTGCTTGGGTTCAAATCCTGGCTCTGCCAGTCTACAGCTGTGTGACTTTGGGCAAGTCATTTAACCTCCCCTTGTCTCAATTTCCTCAGCTGTAAAATGGGAATAAAGTAGTCGCTCTCTTTTAGGGTTACTATGAGCATTAAATGAGTTAATGTTTGCAAAGGGCTGAGAACAATGCATGGAACATAATAATCCATATGTATGATAATGTTTGTTAAATAAAAATAATGGAGCTTTTCTTCCCACCCAATTTTTCCCCGCACACCCCAGCCAAATCAAGCTGAAAGTACCTACCGTTCAGCTTGATCTTGTCCTTCTCTTTCTTCTAATTTCAGTACTTAACATCTGTCATGCCACTCCCCAACCCCAAAATTAGATTCCTAGGGCTGCCATAACAAATTACCACAAACTGTGTAGCTGAAAACAACAGAAACTTATTCTGTCACAGTTCTAGAGGCTAGAAGTCCATCAAGGTGTCAGCAACATTGGTTTCTACTGGAGGTTCTGAGGGAGAGTCTGTTCCAAGTCTCTCTCCAGTCTCCTGTTGGTTCCTGGCAATCCTTGGCCTTCCTTGGTTTGTAGACCCATCACTTCACTCTCAGTTTCCATTGCCATATGCGTTCTCACTGAGTCTCTCTGTGTCTTCACGTGGCCTGTTTATGAGGACACCAGTCATTGGCTTTAGGACCCACCTTCATCCAGTATGACCTCATTTTTAACTAACTACATCTGCAAAAACCCTGTTTCCAACTAAAGTCACATTCTGAGGTTCTGAATGGACATGAATTTTGGGATATCACTAGTCAAACTGACACACCCCCTTAAAAGTTTCAGGTGCTTTCATATCTTTAATCTCTTCTTATTCTTACTTTCTGTATTCGAATGTGAGCTCCTTGGAGGAAGGGCCTGTGTCTCTTTAATTTACTTTGAGGCAGCTAGAAATGTTTATTTGGCCACTTGAAAGGATTGGAGAGACAAGGGTGACACCAAGTTGGGTGTGGAAAGGTGATGCCTGAGATGGAGGAGTCAACCAGAAGGAGGGAGAAAGACAGGATTTTAAAAAATCACATCTGAACAAATAATAAAGGAGAAAGGTCAGGGATACCAAATATTCTAATGTGGTATATTTGGAAGCACTGCTGCCGGAAATAGAAATTGCCAAAGCCAGAAGGAAGGTGCAAGAAGTGAGAACAAGGTGTAGGTAAGAGGCCAGGAAAAGAGGAGATGGGGACAGGGTTATTGCCTCGGGGCAGGACCAGAAAAAATCTCCTCCGTGAGGAGGGGCAGTCCTGCTGCCAGTGTAGTTTCTGTCTAAAGTCAGGAGATCCAATGGAAAGAACCTGCCTTCTCCAGATATCTGAGGTAAAAGATGTTGGAACATCTTCAGCCGCTCGTGACCTTGAGGTCATGGAGAACGGAAGAAGAGATGTGACAGCTGGGAAAATCCCTGGTAGAGCCATTATGTTGTGGAATCCAAAAGGAAGTAAGCTGACTGGACAATGAGAAGCTGCAATGTGATATTCCTCAAGTGAATATAGTATGTAGTCCATCTTCTCCCTGACAGCATAATAAAAATCTATGATCAGGGCTGCGAGTTCACAGGAAGGGAGGGGCACTTCCAAGAGGCAGAGATGTGGAGGAGAAAACGGAGCAGCTTCCTGGGAGAGAGCTCACCCTTCTGTTTACTTCCCTGGTAGTGGCAACTGAAAGACAGCAGGAAAGCTATCCAGTGACCAAACCAAGAATCCTAGCCTGGTGCACTCATGACCTGTGTTTGTCACTGAGTTTCCCTATTTGACTAATGTGATCAGTGACACAGTTTCCCCAAATTACCCAATGTCATCCAGCTAGTAGAGAATCTGGCCAGAACAATTATTAATTCTGCTGTTTCCTACTATTGTGCCCTTTCTCAACTACACTGTATTAAATCTTAAAAATAAGCACCAAGTTCATAAGTGAGATTAGTCACCTTGGTGCCTTGAACCGTAAGAAAAGTGTGGATTTTCCTGGCCAACTTGTATCACCCAGTTTGGTAATTCATCTAGGTGTGGGAGCATAACCTTGAGAAAGTCTTTTTGTTTCATTCCACAGGGGACACTTCAAACCAAAGCAGTGGGCCACATTCCCCCGTCGCAGCAGGTACGAGGGGAAGTGCCGAGGTTCAAGACTGCAGCGAGCCTGGTGACCATAAAGGTAGAGTCTTTCGAGATTTAGAATGAGTGTTCTAAATTCAGGGGCATTCCGGAGAAGGTTCCAAAGCTGGAAGTGATCACCTCTTATATAAGAACCTTCTGTCCACCACTCCTTCTTTTTTCTATAGGTGACAGCCAATTAAATTTAAGGCCAACCTTGCAGAGGACTCTGAAGGGTGATTTCATAGAAGGGAATAGAATAGATGGGGATAAGCTCCGTTCCTCACAGTTGCCCCTCCACCTCCTTCCATGTTCCCTGGAACACTGGTCTAGTTGCAGCTCTCCTTACCAATGGCTTCGCCTTAACCTGTCCTCTTGAGGCAGACTCTGACATGTTTGTATCAGATTTACCTTAAGACTGAGGAAAGTTTAGTGTCTTGGGAAGATCTTTCTATGATCCAGAACCTGGTATATAGATCTCAGACTGATTGAGAACATTCATGGAAGGAAGGGGTACTGTGGACAAGAAGTGGAAACGTGGGTTTCTGGTTCTCAGTCCTCCACCAGTTAATATCCCTAAGCTCCAGTCACGGTAACATGAGACAATTGGACTAAATCATGGTTTTCAAACATTTTTAAAATATTGCAGTCTCACCCTTTTGAATTTTGAAGGTCCCTGGACTTCTGCTTGAGAGGCTATGATTTTTGAAGTATGGTCTTTAATGCCAGCACCTGCATTTGATGGCAAGTGAAGATTTTGTGGTAGAATTTACAGTTACAGTTTATCTGCCAGCCCCAGCGCCACTGCCCAGTGTGTAGGCAGAGAGTCTCTGGGTACCTCAGACTCCTTTAGTATCTCTCACTCAGTCTGTTTCAAGGAAATACTGAACTGGAACTTTACCTTGGGGCAAGGAGGTTAGAAAGTAGGAGAAAAAGAGAAGTAGCAGGATCCAGGAGAACATCAGTGTTTCTTGAACTTGAGGAGACTTGGGGATGGAGACAATGAGAAAGTTTTCATTTTCAAAAGAAGGGTGTCTGGCTATTACTGACTGAGGGTGCAGATCACTGTTTCCCCCTAGAAGTCACAAATAGGAGATCCTCCAGTATAGGAAGTCACAAATAGGAGATCCTCCAAAGATGTGTTATGCTTGGCCACACACAGTGCTTTTTAAAAAACTTTGAACCTGAATGTCTTTAAGTGGGGTGTGAATTCTCTGGTTCATCACAAATCCCACGATTCCCCATCCTCTTTGCCTGATACTTCACACATTTATATTTCTTCCTACGTGCCCCCAAAGGCATTTGCAACACCTCCTAATGGTGTTCTTGGTGTTTTTTGTTGTTTTTTTTTTCTGACAGGCAGATGCTTTTCCATCTTACTTCAAAATAGTCTGATAGAGATGGGCGCGGTGGCTCACGCCTGTAATCCCAGCACTTTGGGAGGCCGAGATGGGCAGATCACGAGGTCAGGAGATACAGACCATCCTGGCTAACACACAATGAAACCCCATCTCTACTAAAAATACAAAAAATTAGGCGGGCATGGCGGCAGGCACCTGTAGTCCCAGCTGCTTGGGAGGCTGAGGCAGGAGAATGGTGTGAACCCGTGAGGCAGAGCTTGCAGTGAGCCGAGATCGCGCCACTGAACTACAGCCTGGGCAACAGAGCCAGACTCCGTCTCAAAAAAAAAAAAAAAAAATGTGAATGGCTTATAGAGCTCAACCAGATTTTGGAAGGATTTAGTTCCTCTAGAACTCCACTCCAAGTATTGCTTTACTTCATTAAACCAGAAACACATAGGAACCCTCCCTGATGAAAGGTGACCCATCTCTAGCGAAGCTTCTATTGTCACACCTGTACATTCCCCAAGTTCGGCATTTTATGAATATTTCTACTATTTAAGTTCATAATTTTATTTTTCAGCCATGTCACTGGTCTAATTTTTTTTTAACTCAACCTATTCATACACTTAAAATGAGTCACCTTCTCTCTCTTTTTTTTCCTTCATATCTCCATTTCTCCAATGTCCTTGTTCAGCAATTCATTTGCCAGAGAGAAGCCAGGTGATTCCAACTGTCACCAGCTCATACTGAAAACTGTTTGACAATTTCGGATGCTGCCTTGAATTCAGTGGTTTGATAATCTTATTTATCTCTTTAGTTTGACCCAAATCCTTCTCCCTGTTCTTCAGCAAAGCTGGGGGATGGAGGAGCAGATTCCTTCTAAGCTTTATTCAGAATATTCTGTAAGTTTCTGGTTTTATACTTCAAATAACTCTTAAAAATCAATATTTTGATGACTGAAGTGTAAATTAATAAGAAACATGGAATAAGTTTTCCCTTCAATTACATGAACAGAAATTCTATGGAAACCCCAGCAAAGTAGCTGGGGGCATTTGCTGAACCAGGTAAAGATATTGCTTCCTCTCGTTCTGGTCTTGGACATGGCACCTTCATAAGGAGAGTCCCAAACCAAAAGAGATTTTACAGTTTTTTTTTTCTAGATCTCTTTGTGCTATTTTCTTCTTTGGATGGCTATTGCTCCTTATTATTTTTAGTTTTTTAACTGAGGATCTCAAAATAGGTACAGACAAAAGCTTGCAATCTTAGCTTTCCACAAGGGCAATATCATTTGGCCTTTGATCAGTGGTAGCTCTTGGTGCTGCTGATTTGGGCCAGAGAACAAGGTTAAAAATTATTTGTGGTGATTTTTCCTTCTTAACAGGGAAACAGAAAGATACTTGTATCCCTGAAGTGGGTTCCCCTTTTTTGTTTTTATGTCAGTTCTTGCTTTTATGTTGCTTATCACAGCATTGCAAGTGAGTGTGGGCCAAACAGTGATTTAGAATCTCCAAGAGGGGGGAAAACCTGCCTGGTGCTCTAACTAGAGGATTTTATCAACGGAGAAAAGGCAGTGGGGGAAGGGAAGGGAATTAGTTAATGAAATTCTAACAGGTGGTGGCTATTTTTCTTTATTTCTATTTTTTCCTTCTTTCAATATTGTTGTTTCACTGTTTGGCCATAATGTTTGTGTGTGTGTGTGTGTGTGTGTGTAATAATAAAAATTGTATTAATGTCTCACTTAAATTTTTCTCTTTTGGTGTTTGTAGCAATAATAACAACAACAACAAATCTTTCTATCCATTACCTTAGCTCAAAGAATTGCATTTATTCCACACAAGAAATATTTATGCTGAGGAACCAAACTGACAATTTAAAATCAGCACATGTTCTTCCCAGAACAGACAACACAAAAAAAACTGATTTCTATACTTTTTATTTATTTTTCTACACTCCATTTCTATCATGTATTCTGTAATCATAATGTCAACCATTTATGCATCTTCCACAGTAAGTCACAATTCCCAAATTTATAGATTATCTTTGTTGGTTACTTTTCAGTTTGGATGGTTCTAGGTTATCTAAAATAAGGATGGCAAATAGGTGTGCAGTCTCCTTCCAACCCTAACTGATGGGTAGTGACTACTTGGAACAGTGGTTCTCAGCCCTGGCCACATATTAAAATTGTCTAGGGAGCTTTTAATAATTGATGGCAGTTCCCATCCCAGATCAATATCAGAATGTCTAGGGGCTGGTCCTAGGCATGTTTAAAATCTTCCTGGGTGTTTCTAATGTACAGCCAGGAGTAAGACTCACTGATCTGGAAGCAGTGTCTCTCAAAATTTAACATGGATCAAGGTCACCTGGACAGCTTGATAAAAACACAGATTGCCAGACCCTACCTGCAGAGTCTCTGATTCACTAAGTCCGAAGTTGGGCCCAAGAATGTTCATTTCTAGTAAGTTTCCAGGTGATGTTGATGCTACTTGTTGGGCCACACTTTGACAACCACTGATGTGAAGTGTTAAGAAGGAACTTCAGGTTGAATTAAAGTTCAGTGGAAAAGAAGGCCGTGATTGATTAGCCATGGTCACTGGAAGAAAGAATTGTATTTGTTACCCTCATTGTTGAGAAACTCATCAATAAACTGTCCTCAATCAAAATGTGGAAATAGGTTACTCCTGGAATTATTCCCTGTTTACAGTTAATCCTAGCCACATCATCACATTTTGCTCCTTGCCCTATCCACATCAGCAAGCAGCCTAGCCAGAACTAGAAGCTGATCTGCTGTCTCTGTCTAGCACAGTGTTGTTCCAGCTGTTGTATACTGCTTCTACCGGGACCCAAATCACTTGGGGCCTCTAATCTGTGCACTCTTTATATCTATTGCCAGAGAGAGGTAGCTTGTTTTCCTATAAGCATGAAAACAGTTTGCTGACTGAGACCAAGCATGGAACAAGACCTGGAATCGAGAACAGCTCAATTTTAATGACATATCCTAGAAAAAAAACCTATAGAAAGTCACGGAGTGGTATGAGGGCAGGGAGAGAAGGGCTGCAGAGAGTGTAGATGGGCACCAAAAGCTAACCCTACCTACTTCTGAACATATGCTTAGCCCTCCTTTCTTTTCTCTCAGTTCTCAGGGGCTCTGTACATCGTAGGAGCCATTCACAAGCAGAATCCAACAATGGCCGTACACAGACTTCAAGCAACTCTCCTGCTGTCACAGAGAAAAATGGGTGAGCATTATCTGCTAAGAGTTCCCTGTTGTAAACTCAGGTGCTCCATTCTAATGGATAATGAAATGGTAATGGATAATGCAACAAGTATTTCTACCACTATGGTATTTTGGTGAACTGGAGAGAGTGGAACCAAAAAGCGTTTCCAGGGCTGGGCGTGGTGGCTCATGCCTGTAATCCCAGCACTTTGTGGGGGCCGAGGTGGGTGGATCACCTGAGGTCAGGAGTTTGAGACTAGCCTGGCCCACATGGCAAAACCCCGCCTCTACTAAAAATACAAAAATGAGCTGGCCATGGTGGCATGTGCCTGTAATCCCAGCTACTCAGGAGGCTGAGGCAGGAGAATCACTTGAACCATGGAGGTGGAGGTTGCAGTGAGCCAAGATTGTGCCACTGCACTTCAGCCTGGGCAACACAGCAAGACTCTGTCTCAAAAAAAAAAAAAAAAAAAAAAAGTGTTTCCATCAGATTCTCCCAAGTCTTTATTCTACAGAGCAACGTGAACACAACCCTACTTTTTGGGTTCTCTTCATGGTTAAATCTATACTTAGCGTCATCAGGTTAAACATCCTCCCCCTGGATATTTAGCAATGTCTGAAGACATTTTTGTTTGTCACAACTTTGGAGGGAAGAGTTGTGCAGTTGGCATCTAATGGGCAGAAGCCTGTGATGCTGCTAAACCTCCTGCAATGTAGGACAAAGCCTCCCCGCAGCAAAGAATTGTCCAGCCTCAGATGTCAGTAGTCCCACAGTTGAGAAACCTACAGCCAGGCATGGTGGTATGTGCCTGGAGACCCAGGTAATTGGGAGGCTGAGGTGGGAGTATCACTTTAGCCCAGGAATTTGAGTCCAGCCTAGGAAATATAGTTAGACCCTGTCTCCATATTAAAATATGTATATATATACACATATATATATACACACACATATATATACACATATATATATACACACATATATACACACACACACATATATATATAATCTCATTTGGGGGAGATATATATATTATCTCATTTGAGTAGAAAAATGATGAGCTTCTAGAAAAACCCTAGATTTAAGCTAAAGCAAAAAGGGAGTATCATTTCCTGTTTAGCCACAGGTTTGAGTTAAATATAATTCAAAAGGAGTATAGCAGAGCTTGCCTTTCAGTGACCTCTGAGCTGCTCAAGCTGCAGGGCCCGATACCCTGGCTAAATGTAGGCTCAAGACACTTTAAGTCCAGCCAGGCCAGGCATGACACCAAGAGCTAAAGACACAAACAGCTCCTAGGCCTGTTCTTCACGGAAGCCTTTATAATGTGCCTTCTCTCAGATAAGGTTTCCAGAACCCATCATGTATGTCACCAGGAGGAGGACACAGCTACAGGAAGGAGTGGACCATGGCAAAGGGAAGGCCTAATAGAATGAAACTCACCTTTCTTATTTTCTTCCACATTGATTATGGGGAACTTCCTTAAAAGTTTTAGTCAAAGATTTCAAGAAAGAAGCAGGTCATTAGAGAGTTCTTTGCATCTTTTCACCTGGAAAAGAGAAAGTCTTAATTTACAATTTTAAACAAAATTTTAATTATTTTTTATTATTTTATTTTGTGAGATCGCTTAAGATTTTTGAGACTTGATAAATTAAATTCTTAATACTCCCCCAGTGGTCTCAAATTGTCATTGGGCTTCTTTTAAAGTAAAGTACTTTAGACTACTTGCTTAAAAAGTCAGAATAGCTCATTTAAGGGCACTTTAGGAAAAGACCTAATATCTCATATTAGAATAACAAAGTTTACAATTTCTAATGTGGTAGAAAGATCACTGAGCTTGGTTGGAAGACTTGGTTTCTGATCCCAGCTAACATTTTCCAACTGTTTGACCTTGGGCAAGTCAGTGAACCAGTTTGGAAAACAACTTCAGCCCCAGTCTGACTTCCTCAATCTCAACTGAGGTCTGACTTTACTGAGAACACCAGGACAGTGCTCTGAGCTCTTCCACCGCCCTTCTCTTCACCTTAGAATCTCTCCTTATCTTCGGCTGTCCTTCCTTCCTTTGCTCCCATCTCACAGACCCCAGATCCTCTGCCTTGTGCAGTGTTCCTGCCATCCAGGCCCTACCACTATCAGGTAGCACCTCCCCTGCTTTCCCATCTTTTACACTCTGCTATCACTTTCCATTTTGCTTATACCTCCCCCCATACTAAAAAAAAGCCTGCCCTTGGCCTGTCCTTCCTTCTTTTTGCTTTTACCACCAGACTTCCTCCAACTGCTGTCCAGGTCCACTGCCTCATTTCCTCACTAAACCAACCCCTTTCTCCCTAATCCTGAAATCTGATTTGTGTCCCTACAATGTCCCTAAAACTATTCTTGGGAAGCACAGCTCCCAGTTGCTAGAGCTTTATGTTCATCAGACTCTGCAGCATTTAGTTCCATGGGCCATGCGTGCTTTCCTTGAAGAGCCCTCTTCCAAGGGTATCTGTAGTATTGCCTTCTTCAGGTGCTTGCTCAGAGGTATTCTCAGTCTTTGTTTTCTCTGGTTCCATTCTTCTTCTCTTCCGCTTACCATTAAAATAAAGGCAATTCTCCAAGTCTTAGATTCTCTCCTTTCTCTCCTTCTCACCCTGGATGATACCATCTCTCACCAGTGTGTTCTGGTATCAAGTCTCTGCTAGGTGAGCACGAGTCGCAAGTCTCTGTTCTGAGCTCCACACTCCTACACCCAACTCACAGTGGACATATATTCCTGATTCACACACCAAGACTTCAACAGAAAAGCCCCTCCTAAAGCACCTCCTCCACTCACCCTTCCCACTTCTATGATTGACATAAACACTGTCTTGTGACCTGGCCTTCAAACCTGGCACAGTCACTCTTGACCCCTACCTCTCACTTAATCTCACTTCCAGTCATTTTCCAAATACTCTTTCCTGGTCCAGGACTGCCATTATCTCTTTTTCTTTCTCCTTCTGTCTTTACAGTCCAGCTTTCATTTCTCACACCTGATCAATTGTCTTACAACATATTCTGACTTGTTCAAAGAACTTTAATGGCTTCCTATTTTAGACCAAAAAAGGTTCCGACTTCTCAGGCTGCTGTTCCACGCCTCTCTCTAGCTCACTTCAGTTTGTCCTCCAGGCTCACCTCCACCTTGTCCCTAATACACCTTATGGCTAACCAGAATCAGACTTCTTATTGTTCTACCGGTGCACCTTCCTCTCTTCTCTCTGCCCATTCCTTTCTGTTCAGCTCTTACCTTTTGGTCAAGACACATTATCATATCCCTTTCCTCCATGAAGACCTAATTCTTTTTAATACTCCTTGAGCTGTAGCCCTTTTGTAACAGTACTACTCAAAGTGCTTTTTCACAACAGGATAATGAATTTGTGCCCAAATGTAAATCAACTCACTGCTTTCTTCATTAAGAAACTCTTGTTACTAAAAAAAATCAGCTGAACTAAACAATGTACTTGGTGATGAATTGATTTACATTCTGGCACTAGCCCCTTATGTCATTGTGAGTAGTAACAGTTCACAGACTGGGTCCTCACACCACACTTTGGTGTTTCAATCTCTCTGGTGCTCTTCATATTTTGCCTGGTGTTATGGTTGACCTTGTGCTAGCAAGTTAGCTTCTCAACAGTGAGGACTGAGTCTTACTCTTTCTTGTATCCGATATACACAATAGCTACTCAATAAGTTTATTGAGCTAACTTTCAAAGCCACTTCTCAGCACTCAGATTTTTATGAGGGAAGTGTTTTTCTTGTCAGTCTTTGGGTAGTGGCAACAATAAGAGGATCCCGAATAACTTACCAAACAGTGGGCCAGGGTATCCCTGATCCAGGGACTGGGATTCTGTTGTCCCCCTTATGTTTGTCAACTCAGTGTTCTGTGAATCAACAAGGGCTGATAGGAAGGAGTTTTTGGGCAGAGGGTGGGGTGGGAGTAGGGAGGGGTTTGGGGTGGGCAGAGTAAGAAGAGAGCTGGATTGTGTCACTGGTGATGTTCTCATTGGAAGTAACAAACATTCAACCCATAGATTCAAGGATCCCTCGAGACAAAAGGTCCAAAGACAGAAGTTCCAGGGCTCGGTCAGCCATTCAGGAATGTCAGCAAAGACACAGGCCCCTTGCATCTCTTTGCTTTGCTGTTCTCAGCATGTCAGTCATGCCCCCACTTATGGCCACGAGGTGGCCAAAGCAACACTAAACATCACTTCTTTACATGCCAATGTCTGGAGCAGGAAGACAGAAGCGGATGGAAAGGGGCTTCTTCTCAGGAGTCTCTCTCCATTTGCTAGGAGGGAAATCTTTCCCAGAAGTCACCCAGGAGACTTTTCTTGCATATGATTGGCCAGAATTTGCAGTGGTGGTTCTGCAGGAGAGCTGCAAAGGAGGTTGAGAGATTAGGCAAAGAAGAAAGGAAGAGGGAAGCAACCAACAAGGTCTGCCTCAAGAGTCCTGGAGAGACAGTGATGGGAGCAGATAGGTACCAGGAAAAGATGAAGGGAAGGCAAAATCAGAGGGAAGAGTTCATAAGGACGATCCGTATATGTCAAGAAATATTGCTGCAAATAAGAACTGAAGGGAAGTGTTGAGATCATTCAGATTGATTGTTAGCATTTATTGCTATGCCAGTTTTTTTTCCCCCCACATTTTATCTCATGTAATTCTCACACCAGCCTTCTGGGTTGGTGTTACTCACTCTATGTTACAGATAAACTGAACCTGGGGAAAGCTAAGGCAAATAGCTCATAAACATTATCTCAGAGACCAGTGCTGGATTGGTTTCAGATCTACCTACACCTGCCCCCCATCAGCTAGTCGAGGAATCACTGGGTTATGCAGGGTCACACAGAATAAATGGTGGGTCTGGGCTTTGAATTCAGATCTTCTGTCTCCAACAATAATAACAACTGCTAGCATTTGGTTCATTAGCAATTTCCTGGGCACTGTGCTAAGTGGTTTTGTTTTTGTTTTTTGAGATGGAGTTTCACTCTGTTGCTCAGGCTGGAGTGCAATAGCATGATCTCAGCTGACTGCAACCTCCGCCCTCTGGGTTCAAGTGATTCTCCTGCCTCAGCCTCCCGAGTAGCTGGGATTACAGGTGCGTGCCATAACACCTGGCTAATTTTTGTGTTTTTAGTGGAGATGGGGTTTTACCATGTTGGTCAGGCTGATCTCGAACTCCTGACGTTCTAGCGATTCGTCCCCCTCAGGCTCCCAAAGTGCTGGGATTATAGGCATGAGCCACCGTGCCTGGCCTGTGCTGAGGGTTTTACACGCATTATCCTGTTCAACCTTATGGGAAAGGTATAGATTTTACAATCTCTGACATTGAGAGATCACAAGTAACTTGCCAATGTTACTTAATCAGTAAAGTGACAGAATCAGGATTTGAACATGGGCCTTCTGACCACAGCACTCATTTTTTAACTGGTACATTCTACTGCCTCTCAAGGCTCCAGGTCTCAGATAATTAGTCCAAGGCTTTTTCTCTCTACCCACGTTGTCTCTATACCTGTCATTGTTTAAATCTTAAATCACCACCCACTGAGAAATACACCCTACTTGTTATAACTGTCACCCTGTGATTGATGAAGAAAATTCCAGCACCCAGTTCTTGGGAGAAAGCCTAAAGCCTCATGGGAAAGGTGCTCCCATCTGTGCATGATGGGACAGAGTTAACTTGGCTGGAGAGAAGGAAACCTCAAGTTGAAAGTAAAAGTGAGTGGTTGGGTTGATGCTTCTCTGCTTCACTTCCTATGTGAGCCTGTAACTGTGTACAGTGAATGCCAAAATGGAAATAGTCTTTTATGTTGTGGGGCTTTGTTCCCATGATGGTAATCCCCCATTTTAATGCTGATAAATACAATGGTGAGGATTATGCCCCTTAATTTAATTTGGCCTGCATATGGCAAAGCTCTCACAAGGCTTTTATGTGACATTCTTTAGCACAGCTAGCCTGTTTTTGTGTAAAAGGAACTCATATGAAGAGGCAGGAGATTGATAATGCTGGTGCAAATGTTTTCACAAGACGGCTTGTAACACACCCCCAGTGAAGCTGCTTCGTTATGGGCCCTTCAATGAGGATTCAGATTCAGAGTGATGGGAACCTCCGTGACTCAGGCAGCTCAAGGAGAACTGGCACCTCACAAGGGGAAAACAAGTGCATATTTCTCCTGTGTGTCATCCTTGCAGCTCTGGGGCTTGGAGCCAATTGGGCTGACCTCAGAATTGATGAGCCAGAGAAACAGCCTCCCAGTCAGCAGGGCCGACTGTGGGCCAGATTTTCATGTGGGCTGTGAAGTACAGATTGTCACATATCTTGACGAACATTGTGTGTGAGGGGTCACGGCAGAAATACATGGCAGTTCTAAGACTGTTGAACAGAACAAATCCTCCAGCAAATTTCCTACCAGTGTGGTCAAGTTAGTGCACTAACACGTTAGAGGACCCCACATGAAACCAGAGGGAAAATGGCAGCATGATGTGGGAGTGGTGGTAGGAATAGTAGCCTTCTCTGATCAAGTGCTTAAGATGTGGTAAACACTGTATGTATTGTCTCATTTGGGTAGAAAAATGATGAGCTTTGGTGACAGACCTGGGTTTGAATCCTAGTTGAATTACTTACGAGCTATGAGACATTGGACAAGTTCCTTCCTCTCTCTGAACCTCAGTATCCTAGACTGCAAAAAGGGAATAATTGGGAGGACTGGAGATAATCAAAGCAAAGGAACTAGCACAGTTCTAGACATGTAATGAATACTCAATAAGAGATTATGGCAAGCTGTTGTGGGTCATGGTGATAGAAGTAGCAGCAATAATAGTAGTAATATTAGTATGGAAAAGTTTTCTGTAAAGTTAAACTCATATGAAGGATCAAGACTTTGACTTAGCTCTAGAATTGTAGACTAAAATAAGCATTGAGGTTTCCATCACCTTAGAAACTTTGAACAATGCTCACTCTCTGCTTTAACTTTAGAGACAAATTTTATTTTCTTGTATTCCTGGCTCCTATCTCAGGAATGAATCTGAGATTGACTTTGGGTTCAGGAGTCACCCTTACCAACATTGCCAGCATGACATTATCATACCCTCAAATAATAACATTCAGAGCTTAGTTGATTGCTAGAGCTTTCTTAGACTTTCTAGATTTTTAAAATATTAATTGGTCACGTGTATTTTCAAAACCTTTTTGAAGGCAGAAACCTTATCACCAGCTGAAAGAAGCTTCAAGGAGAAATCTGTTTTGAGTTATATTTTTCCTTGGGGACTTGCTTATGGCCGTACATAAATATTTATCTGAACTATTTCAACAAACCCTAAATCATCAGTGATCCTTATGCAAAGAGTCCTTTTAGAAGATTTCTGTATGTCAAGAATGCCAACAGTCTCTTTCTAAGAACAGATTCCAAGGACCAGAGGCCTCTTTTAAAATAGTTGGAACTCTTTGGTGGTTTTCAACATGTCTTTTGTTTTCATATTCTGTATATCTGTTCACGCTATTCCATCTGAATAGAATTCCCTTGCCAGTCCTGTCTTTACCTGCTGATGTTTTACTCATCCTTCAAGGTCTCATTCGTGTGACATACAGACAAGGGCAAGAGAAGAGCATCCCAGGCAGGAGAAACAAGAGTGGGCCATAGCCAGAGGCAGGATATGCAGAGCCATTCTTGGAAGGTGAGAGGTCCAGTGAGAAGAAGGCAGAGGGTAGGATGGGGGTGGTATGAGGCAGGAAGAACTATTACAGGGAATAAGGCACCAAGATATGGGAGGTCTTCAAAAGTACACAAAATGTTTTGTTGTTCTATAGGTCAAAAGATGTAAACCCATAGTGTTTGGGTAGAATATAGTCTACAGACATGTTTTGTTTGGCCTGAATGTTGTTAAATTTTTAAAATTAGATTCTAACACATAAAAATAGATTTCATGTCATTCGGACTTCTGATAGCTCTTAAAAAACCTGAGTATCTGGCAGCAAACTGCTGGAAGTGAGCAGGAGCTATCTTTCACAGATCCCTACTTAACCGCCTGCCTAATTCATGGCTTGGCCTGCCAGCATCCGAGTTTGATTCTCTCCCGCTGTCTGCAGAGCACCATCTAGGTAGAGGAAACGATTCAGCTACAGACCCTGGAGCCAAACTGCCTCTGTTCTGGCCCAGGTTTGTGTCCAACTACCTCAATGACCTTGGGCAAGTGTGTTTCTAATAATGGTACTTACCTCATGCCGCCATTGTGAGAATAAACCATAGGAAACGTTTAGATGACTACCTAGTACGTAGTTAAGTGGACAAAAATGTTAGCTCTTATTACTGTATCCCACATGAGATAATAAACTTTAGGGCTGAAACTGTCACTCATTTCTGTAGCACTCACAGAATCCAGAATTTAGAATCTTTGGCCATAACTGGCATAAAATGAAATAATTGATGAATGGACAAATGAATATGTGCTCCTTGAGTTTTTATTTCTGTGAGGTCCAAAGCTAAATTTAATTACTTTGTTCTCTAGAAATGCTTCCTATTTACCTTGAGTTTGATTTGAGCATCCTAGTTAGTTGATAAAGGAGCTAGCTTTCTCAAAAAGTCGAAAATCCTAATTAAACAAGTGAAGGGAGATTCTATTAACACCATGTCATTTTTCTGTGATGCATCTACCTTCCTAACTCAAAAATAAGCTCCAAGTTTGGGAAGATGTTTCTGTGTTTTCTTTAGGAAGCTCACTTATTGGCTGGTAGCTGCCTATGGTTAATATCTCAAATTGAGGGTCAGTTGCTAGGAACTAGGATGTGGTGGACTTCAGCAGATATGATGTTAGAATGCATGTTTGACTTGGGTTTTCTTATATCCCATGCCTGCCATGTGATCCACACTTCAAGGCAAAATTTTATTTTATTTTTTTTGAGATGGAGTTTCGCTCTATCGCCAGACCGGAGTGCAGTGGCGCAATCTCAGCTCACTGCAACCTCTGCCTCCCGGGTTTAACCGATTCTCCTGCCTCAGCCTCCTGACTAGCTGGGACTATAGCTGTGCACCACCATGACCAGCTAATTTTTGTATTTTTGATAGAGACGGAGTTTCACCATGTTGGCCAGGATGGTCTCAATCTCTTGACCTCAAGTGATCCACCTGCCTCAGCTTCCCAAAGTGCTGAGATTGCATGCATGAGAAACTGTGCCCAGCCTCAAGGCAAATATTTTTGTGCCCAATGCATCAGACGACGATGGACGGTTTGGCATGGGAACCAATTTTCAGTTTTTTAACATTTCTTCTATATAGCTGAAGTCACATCATCATCCCCATCAAGGCCTTCAATGTGATCACCTGTGGACATGAACGTTTATGTTTACATTAATCTATCCCTAAACAGACTTGCTGTCAACAATGTTGCTCTACAAAGTTGACTAGCAAGGTTAGGCTCACGTGCTCTCTGGAAAACTTGAACATTTTCAAACCCATTTTAATTTCGTTTGAATAAACTTCATCTAAAACTGAATCATGTACTCAAGATTCCAAAAAATTGCTGTTTAATTTCACCTGATAGCTCTCTTCTTTCTTATAAAAAGTCAATTTTTTAGTATGATATTTTTAGCATGATAATGCCTCTACTTTTTCTAAAGAACTCTCAGTCTCTCACACATGGACACGAAGAGGAGAACAACAGACACTGGAACCTACTTGAGGTTAGAGGTCGGGAGGAGGAGGAGGAGCAGAGAAAATGATTATTGGGTATTAAGCTTAGTACCTGGGTGATGGAATCATCTGTACAACAAACCCCCATGACACAAGTTTACCTATATAACAAACCGGAGCATGTACTCCTGGACCTAAAATAAAAGTTAAAAAAAAAAAAAATTTCAGTCTCCCTTAGACCTCTCCTTTCCTTCCTTCCCTTCTGTCCTCCTTCTCTCCCTCCCTCCCTTCCTTCTTCCTTTTTTTTCTTTCTTCTTGTCTCTCTCCTTATACTATTTATATCTACGTCTCTAAAGTTCTGGTTTCTGATCCAAAAGACAATTTCAAATAATAAGAAAATCTGATCTCTAACCATTTCTCCATCCCTCATCCCCTTCCTGCATTACCCATAGAAATTCAGCACATTGCTGGTACCTACGTTGTATCCTCATCAAGCTCTTTATTATATTCCCGCTCAGAATGAGTTTCTGCCCAAAAGACCTTTACATATTGAGCCTATTTTGAAAAGTTTGAGAAAGGAAAATGGACTCAAGTGGAAAATATTGCAGGAAACAAAATTTTGTAAAAATGAACTTTATATAAGAGTGCTTCATTATCAACACATAATGAAACCTAGATTATAATCCTACATGTTGAAAGAAGATTAACTTTGTACATTTTCACAATTTTATTAACTTCACTTTCTTCACTGGGTTATAAGGAAAACATAATGGTGTTTCAGTTCCAAGTATATTTTGTGAATTAAATAGCAGCTTGTTCCTCACTATAAAAAACAAATATGCCAATATATTTTCCACTAGCATCGCCCTGGTCACCTTAAATTAAGAAGAAACTGGAGTATTTGCCATTAAAAGCTGTTAACAGTAGTAATGCCACAACATCTCCGTGTGCATCTTAGTAACTTCTCAGACTTGTCTCCTTGATGAATAGACAAAACAGGAGGAGGGGTGAATTTGTTCTTTTTATCTGAATGGTGTAGGTGGGGAAGACAGAGAGCAATAGAGAGCTCTCGTGAAACAGAGCTCTAGCGACTGCTGTGCTTGGGAAATTAGATAATAAACAGTCCCTGATACCAAAATTCTAATGGCCTAAGATCAACACAGTCTGGAGACGCAGGTGGGAGTGGCCTTCCTCGCTCTGATCCAGACCCTCCCGGGAGAGCTCTTTGTGTCAACAAGAACAGCCAGTGCTCCTGGCCAGCTCCCAGGACTCAGAGTGGGGCTATCATTTTTGTTTGCTTTGCAAATATCTTAATGGGAAGTGGTTCAACACCACCTATGGGTTAATCTGAGGGGTTCTGCTTGGCAGCTGTTAGCTCTGAGAACCACATGGCCGCTCTCGGGTGCAGGGAGTCAGGCTAGCTGTTAACTACCCAGCGCCAGGTTGAGGCATCGTCTTTGCTTATTGGATTTACTGACTGGCAGGAAGCACCTTGTTGACTTTTATTTTTAGTTTGTTCCTCCTGGGAGAGCAAGGATGTTATTCTCAGATCCAACTGTGCTTTTTTCTCCAAGGGAGGGCAGTTGTTTAAATTATTTTTACTAGCATGAAGCATCCTTTCACCTAAGCTCATTCTCAGAATCTGAAACTTCATATTAAAAGTGGTGGTGTGGTGAAGGTGGAAGGGGCATTGTTGCCAGAAGAAAGATTTAGTATATTAGCCTGCAGGGAGGGCAAACAGTGGAAGCCACAGCCTTGTCTTCACCTGGGATCTAAAGAATTGGATAGATAGTGAATTTCTCTGCTCTACTGTTCCCTTAGTCCTCTCCCCCTCCCTCTCCTCCACCCCAACATGGCTTTCACTTGTCTTATCTTGACCCATAGGAATGTTTCCCTGGGCGACACAACCAAGTCATGCCTTTCTGGATCTGTGTCTGCTGACATTGACACAGATGATCTCTTTCTTTATGCTTTCCTTACAGGATTTCAGGCAGGTAGGATGGTTTCCACAAAGCAGGTTAGGGAAGTACCTGGAGTGATGACAGACATGTAGACAGTTTCCAAATGCCCCATTTGTAAAAATGCAAAAAGTTCAGATTTCTCTGTAGGTCCTGGAAAAAGTGTCTAGCTACCCTCAGGAATAGTGTAACCCAGCTTTTAAAGCCTTATTCTTTCCTGGGGGTTTTCTACACCTACTTGTGGGATTGTCTTGTGGTTGACAACAAGGGCCCTAGAGTCCACTAGACCTGCTACTACAGGGTAAGAACTTCATAAACGCACTTATTTTCTCAAGGCTTCAGTTTCCTCATCTTTAAGTGGAAGATCAAATAGCACAATATCTACCTCACCAAGACATGAAAGTTAAATGAGGTAACATATACAAAGTATGTAGCATCTCATTTGATGCATAAAAAGCACTCACAAATTGTAGTGATTAGAGGAGTTGTTGTTATCTCTGAGGCATCCACTTTAAGTCATCCTTAGTATTATGCATTTTGTACTCATTTTGAAGTCTGTTACTCCCAACCCTTTAAAATCATCCAGTGCCAAACTATGAGTATCAAAGTAAATGATGACAAAAGAGTATAATCCATTGAATAAAATAAGATATCATGAGTCCATGTGGATGGATGGAAGGAAGGAAGGAAGGAAGAGAAGAGGCTGAGCTCTGACTTACAATAAAATATGAAATAATAAAGGTAGATGAAATTAAGAAAACAGAAAATCATCATTTGGCAACTGCAAAAATAATTGTTTCAGGCAATAATTATGAATGGATGCTAACACTACTATGTGAAAGTTTGAGGAGTAATAAACTATTTGCATAGTCTCAGAGTAAGTCCCCATAAGAAACTTATTAATTACAAAAGGACAGTGAAGAAACCTGGCAGAAACCACCTTAACCCAAGTGATGAAAGTTAGCATCACCAGTAATTGAACAAACTGACAGCATGTGCCTCCTGTTATGATGTATTGAGAAGAAGACAACATCACTTTTGTGGATTTCTTGCCAAATGTGCATAACCTGAATTTAATCACGAGGAAACAGCAGACAAGTCCAAATAGAGGGAGCCTTTACAAAATGACCGGCCTGTAGGCTCCAAAATGAAACATGACAGAAGACTGAGAAACTATTCCAGATGAAAGGGAACTAAAAGAACGTTACCTCTGAATGCAATAGATGATCTAGGAATTTATTTTGCTATAGAAGATGCCATTGAGACATTTGGAAAAATCTGAATACAATCTGTAGATTGGAAAATAGTGTCATATTAAATTCTGATTTTGATCATTGTATTCTGGTCATATAAGAAAATGCCCTTCCTTTTTGAAAATACACACACTGAAGTATTTAGGGATAAAAGAGTATCAGGTAGGCTGGGCGCAGTGGCTCATGCCTGTAATCCTAGCACTTTGGGAGGCCAAGGTGGGCGGATCACCTGGGGTCAGGAGTTCGAGACCAGCCTGACCAACATCGTGAAACCCCATCTCTACTAAAACTACAAAAAAAATTAGTCAGGCATGGTGGCAGATGCCTGTAATCCCAGCTACTCGGGAGGCTGAGGCAGGAGAATCACTTGAACCTGGGAGGTGGGGGTTGCGGTGAGCCAAGATTGAGCCATTGCACTCCAGTCTGGGCAACAAGAGTGAAACTCTGTCTCAAAAAAAAAAAAAAAAAAAGAGTATCAGGTTTGTAACTGACTCTCAAATGGTTCAGAAAAAAATTATGCATGTTTGTATGTGTATATATCAATACAGAGACAGAGAGAGGACAAAGCAAATATGTAAGTCTGCTGAGGAATATATAGGATTCCTTATACTATTCTTGCATCTTTTCTATTAATATAATTAAATCAAAATAAAAAGTTGCAATAAACAAGTCAGTGCCACTTCTTGCCCTTTAGACAGGGCAGTTCATCAGCCACTTTCTCTTTAGACTCCTGATCTTTCTCCATTCACACCTAAAAGTCTATTCCACGTCATCATTGCCGTGCTCAGTGATGGTCCTCAAGCTTCTCGGCTGTGACATTGCTGACTAGTCAGCACTCACTGCACACAATCTTGTTTAGGCTTTTCGTTTGTAAAAGTTTCTGAAAATGTCCGTCCCTCCTCTCACGCCCCCTCCCTCACCTGTCCTTGGGCCCCATCATTTAGTGCCATGTGTGTCATGCACTTCATTTTAGCACTTCTTACTTCTCCTTCCCTGGACTAAGTACTACTTTCAGAATTAAAAGAGGAAAACTGGGTTAAATATTATCTTTTGTGGGGGTGGGGGGGGGGTGTGCAGTGGTGAAAAGAACATCCTCCAGTTACAGCATGAAAAGGGTGTAATAAATGGTCTCTGAAGTTTCCTTTTTCTCTACAAGTCTATGCCTTGGCCTAATTCAGTCTTAAACTGCTAGAACTGTAACTCAAAAGTAGCTCAACCCACAAGTTACTTTAAGACTCCAGCCGAAGGAAAAGCACAGATTCTAGAAAGGCAGCCACACAGATACCTCATCATTACTATTCTCCCTTGAAGTTTCCATGTTTACGGATTTGTCTTTCAGATGTGCAAAATCATAAACAATAAGTAACCACATTGTTAAGTATGTGTTTTATTTCTAACTTCTGACTATATATGCATCTTTAATTTAATTATTTTAAAACCTTGTCTTGTGTGTTTATTTTGTTCTGCCCAGGAGAACAAATGCAATCATTTTTTCCTTAGCTCAGGCAAGAGTTTTTATTTATATTTTGCTGATGAAGAAGGGGAGAGGTGATTTGCCCAAGTTAGAGTTGCCATATTTGGCAAATAAAAATGCAAGATACCCACTTAGATTTGAATTTTCTATAAACAACAAATAGTCTTTTTTGCTTAAGTATGTCCCGTTAAGTATTTGAAAATACTTTTACTAAATAATTACAAACATACCTTGTTTTATTCCCTTTTGCTTCATTACACTTCACAGATGTTGTGTTTTTTACGAACTGAAGGTTTGTGCCACCCTGTGTTGAGCAAGTCTGTTTTTGCCATTTCTCTAACAGCATGTGCTTACTTCATGTCTCTATGTCAGAATTTTTTAGCCATATTTTGAAATTAAGGTATGTACATTTTTTAGACATAAGGCTGTTGCACACTTAATAGATAATAGTGTAAAAATTATATGCACTGGGAAGCCAAAAAATGTGTGTGACTCACTTTATTGTGATATTTGCTTTATTGAGGAAGTCTAGAACAAAACCCACAGTATCTCTGAGATATGTTTGTTGTTAGTCTGGAGTTCAAATTCAACTGGGTGTCCTGTTTTTTTGTTTGTTTGTTTGTTGAGACAGGGCCTCACTCTGTCACCCAGGCTGGAGTGCAGTGGAATGATCTTGGCTTACTGTAACCTCAGCCTTCTGGGCTTAAGTGATCCTCCCATTTTAGCCACCGAAGTAGCTGGGACTACAGATGTGCGCCACCACGCCTGACTAAATTTTTTTGTAGAAACAAGGTCTCACTGTGTTGCCCAGGCTGGTCTTGAACTTTTGAGCTTAAGCAGTCCTCTCATCTTGGCCTCCCAAAGTGCTAGGAGTACAGGCATGAGCCACCCACACCCAGCCTCAGTGTCCTGTATTTTATCTAACAACTCTAGTTCAAGTGTTTTAGAACTAATATATCATGAATATGTACGCATATAGCCTGACTGTATTTCATGAAATATATTGCTAAATCTACCAAGTGTTTATAGCATTCCTCTAACCTCTACGTGCCATAACACATAGTGTTTTTTGCCCTTTAAGGACTTTTGAAACCGTATTCAGGGATATCAATTCCTACTTATTTATTAAGGTCTTTATTCAAATGTCACTTTCTGTAGCCACTCAATCTAAAATTGCAGACCCTGCCTCCAATACTTTCTATCCCCCTTCCCTGCTTTAACTTTCCTCTTTGGCACTTACTTGTATTTAATATGCTACATAGTTACTTTTCTGTTTCAATTTGTGTCTGCTACTTGAATGTAGGTTCATGAGCAGAGGACTATTGGATCTCCTCTGCTGTATCCCCAGTACTTACAATAGTAGGAGACAAATTTAAAGGTGCTCGGTAAAGACTTGGGAGCCGAATGACTGATGTCTGGGAGCCTGTAGAAGACCTTATATTGCATGTGTCATACACATTGTTCTTATACAGAATCTCAAGGAGACTTGCACCAGATTAGAGCCTTCAGTGTGGTACGAGTGTGTATAATCTTAGTAATAGTCCATAGACACAAGATAAATAGAAGGTCAGGCCAGGGTTTATACCTCCAGATATCATTGGGCTTCATTTAATCTGCCTCCTAGCAAATTTTCTAGAACTGAATGTTAGTAGCCCCAGGTATCATTCATTAAGATCCTTAATAGAATTGTGTGATTATCTGGAAGAGTCCAGTAACAAAATTATGCTGAGGCTGAGAGCATGGGCTCCGGGTCAACCAGATCAGGATTTGTATCTGGTTATGACCTATGTTACTCAAATAGCCCAAGCTTGGGTTTCCTGGTCTGTGAATTGGGAACACTGGGGGACCTCTGCTGCTAGCACTGTCATGGGATGAAATGGATAGTCTAGCCAAGTCCTCAGCACAGTGCCTGATGGAAAGGAAGCTGCTTCCATCACCGTCACCCAGGCCACACCACAAATTCCACCTGAGCTCACATAAAGCTCAGCTGTTCTAGCCATGCTGTGGCCCTCAGCCCACGGCTCTGTATCCCTTCAGATCACAATACCCTTCTCCACTACTGCGTCTCTTGTTTTATCCCTGAACTTTCTCTCAGCTCCCTTGGTTGCTGACAAATAACTGAAATAAGCTTTATGGGCAGCTGTCAGTTGAGTGTCCTTTTTTCCAATAAAGCAAGCATTCTCAGCAGAATGAAGAAAAGCCTTCTGCTCCTACCTTAGACTTTTACACAGTGACAGCTGCCTGCAGTAAAGTAGTGAAGGAGGGAAAAGAAAACAAATGAGAATGCAAGGACTGGCAAATTAAGACTGTATGGGCTCACGGTTGGGGAAAAGCAATGAGGCAAACAAATATGATCACATTTAAAGGGCTCAGTGGGATTTGAGAAATTAGCATAAGTGCATAAATCTAACTACTGCTAACTTAGAGCAATGGCATTATGAGACAGTCATCAGCCTTTTTGAGCCCTTCTGATGAATTTATCCTTGAGCCATGTTCTAAAACTTAAAATAATTGTGTGCTTTAGAGCAAACAAATATCCATATATTTAGATATAACTTGCATATTCAACTCATTCAGTAATGATTAGGGTGGGATGCAGTGCATGCATTCAGAATTGTTCCAAAAGTTACTGGGTATCCAAACCTGATGAGAAAAAGTAATACAAAAGGTGTGAAGTTTATTCCTTCTTGTTTCCCTTATTTTCCTGCAATAATGGTGATCTTATTGTGTACTGTTACTGTTTCTCCTTTCCTATGCTCTTTGTATTTCCTTCATATCACACATTAAAGCCCAGGAATAATGTTTTTCCTCTTTAGAAATCAAGAAGTACAAATTAAAATAATAGTGAGGCATATTTTGCAAAGAGATAAGCAAAGTATCTCTTCTCTGATGTCATTCCTTAAATATCTTAATTTACCTTTGTAATTTGAATTTACTGAAACCGTTTCTGAAGATGTGTATGTTTTCTATTATCTCTTATGGTAATAACTTCCATAATGAAAGTTATATGACTTGTTTATCTGAAACTTGCCTCCCTCAAGATTCTTGGGGCCCCTACTATTTAAAAGTATGCTGGTCTCGGCTGGGCGTGGTGGCTCACGCCTGTAATCCCAGCACTTTGGGAGTCTGAGGCAGGTGAATCACGAGGTCAGGCATTCAAGACCAGCCTGGCCAACATAGTGAAACCCCATCTCTACTAAAAATACAAAAAATTAGCCGGGCGTGGTGGTGGGCGCTTGTAATCCCAGTTACTTGGGAGGCTGAGGCAGGAGAATCGCTTGAACCTGGAGGGTGGATGTTGCAGTGAGCCGAGATCGTGCCACTGCGCTCCAGCCCGGGTGACAGTGCGAGACTCTGTCTCAAAAAAAAAAAAAAACAAAAAACAAAAAGTATCCTGGTCTCAGGAGGCTGAGATAAGAGGATCACCTGAGCCTGAGAGGTTGAGGCTGCAGTGAGCCATGATCTCACCACTGTACTCCATCCTGGGTGACAGAGTTAGACCCTGTCTCAAAAATAATAATTCTGGTCTGATCATATCGTCTGCAGAGTGGTTTTACTGCTGCTTCTTGGGAACAAGAAATTGACCTTCTCTTATTAAGAGCTCTTTGATTTTTTTTTTTTTTTTTTTTTTTTTTTTTTTTTGGTGGGGAAGCTGGAGTGCAGTGGCACAATCATAGCTCACTGCAGCCTCGACCTCCCTGGGCCCAGATGATCCTCCCACCCCAGCTTCCTGAGTAGCTGGGACTACAAGGGCATGCCACCCTGTCTGGCTAGTTTTTGTATTTTTTGTAGAGACAGGGTTTCCCCATGTTCCCCAGGCTAATCTCTAACTCCTAGATTCAAGGAATCTTCCCACCTCAACCTCCCAAAGTGTTGGGATTACAGGCTTGAGCCACCACGCCCAGCCAAGAGCTCTTTGGTTTTTGTTCAAAGTTATCAAAGAGGTGGAAACAAATTACTTGGCTATGCTGATTGCCTTTCTTTTGGGGCTACCAAATGAGACACAAATTTACTAGGAGAAATACTCCCAAATTTAGAGACAATGGAAAGCTAACAAAAATCAACCAACATTGAATTAGCTATTTTGAAATTAGAGTATGCTTTCAAGCGTGAACGAATAAATGGATATCTCAGTTTCTCTCCAAGCCATTCTAACTTATAATTGATAAAAGATAATCTTGAAAACTTTATCAAAATTAATAAAAAGTACACAAAGAAACAAGTAAAATTTAGAAAATGGAGAATCTGAGGGGAGCCAGTGTGTCTCAACGCCTATCCAAGCAAAAAGGTACTGATTCTAACCCTAAAATAGAAAAAGCCAGTTACTAGGCAAGCTTGACTGATCAGATACATTCTCAAAGAGCACCCTGCTTCTTTTGCTTTAATTCTAATGTGTAATTTAGTCTCCAGAGTGTATCAACCAACTAGAGAGGGGAAAAGTATAGTCCAGATCATACCATTCATTATAAAATCACACTCGCATTGTACATTTCAAATATGACTCTTTTGAGATTGGTTATTGCAACTCAGCTCTCCCCAAAATCATCATCCCTCAATGAACTGACAAATTGAATTTTGGAGCCTGTGAAGCTGAGGCCCAGTCCCTGGACCATGGTGACTTCACCTAGTGCCACCGGCGCAGCGTGACAGAGCCAGCTGGCCTCATGGATCTCTGCTGCAGAAGAAGGGAGATGCTGGGTATTCTCAGCAGCCAGCTACTCAGGAGCCAGCCTTCACCTTGCCCCTCATCCACTCACACTGGGATCCGGATTTAAGAAGAAGGAATTAGATGTGAGTTTTGTCTGGGGGCTTTTTCAGGACAGATGCCCAGCAGAAGGGTTCTCAACGGTGACTGAGAGTTTCCGTCTCCCCTAGAACCCACAGTTCAATGAACTGACTTCAGCGAAGCGGTCGAGCCCTGGAGGCAATCTGTTTGAGACTTTAGTTATGCTTCCAAGACGCCAATGGAGCCCTAGAAATATGTGATGAATTATACAAAGAGGGACAACTACTTTCTATTCACCTTATTTTGATAGCCATATACACTGCTTCTGCCCATTTAGCTTATGATTTCCAGCAGAGGCCGAGGACAGTGTTATTTGTTAAAAAAAATTTCCTGTGGATTCAGAAAACAATATCACACTTCATAAATGAATTAATTCCTTAATATCGTCCCATACCAATTCATAGTCAAAATTTCCCAATTGTTCTAAGAATGTCCTTTGCACATGTTTATCCAGGCCAGGATCCGATCTAGAATGTTACAGTGCATCAAGTTGTTATTTCATCTACATTTCTTTTGATACAGAATAGTCACTTTTTTCAGAATACTGACTTTTTCAGAGGATCGAGCCATAAAATAGGATTATCTCATAAAATAGCTCACCTTCTGTATTTAGCTGCTTGCTTCCTGTGGTCTTATCCAGCTTGTCCCTCTATGCCCTATGCTTTGCGTAGACTGTAAGTTAGATCTAAAGACTTAATCCGATTTAAGTTACATGTTTTTGACCAAAAGGAAAAAATACATCCTGGGTGATATTACATACTTCATGTTGCCTCACATTACAAGACAATGTTGTCGTGGTGTTAGTGGTGTTAAAATTGAGCACCGGATTAAAATACTGACCTTCTGATTTCTCCAGTGTACATTGCCTCTCTTGTGAAATGAAAGAAGGAGGTTAGCCACCTGTATGGTGGTACTTTGGCTCCATATGAATGTCCTCTTCCCTATTAACAGTTTGTCTATGATTTTATCAGCAATTAATAATTCTTTTTATTTATTTATTTTTTTTTTTTTGAGATAGGGTCTCACTCCGGCTGTCCAGGCTGGAGTGCAGTGGTGCGATCTTGGCTCAGTGTAGCCTCGACCTCCAGGGCTCAGGTAATGCTCCCACCTCAGCCTCCTGAGTAGCTGGGACTACGGGTGCACATCACTATGGCCCGGCTAGTTTTTTGTATTTTTAATAGAGACAGGGTTTCACCATGTTGCCCAGGCTAGTCTCCAACTCCTGAACTCAAACATTCCACCTGCCTCAACCTCCCGAAGTGCTAGGATACCAGGTGTGAGCCATCACACCCAGCAACAATTGATAATTTTGGCCTGATAATTTCCCTCTGGCATCACCTTTTCCATAGTCAATATACCATAGTCTTATGGTACACTGCTTACCAGCTGTGGTTTGAAGCAAATCACTGGCTTCTTGATGCTTAATTCCTTTATCTGTAAAAATAGGTTATTTTAGGAAGCAGAGGCAGGAGGATCGCTTGAGGCCAGGAGTTCGAGACCAGCCTGTGCAATATAGTGAGACTTCATCTCTCCAAATAATAAAAAATTAGCCAGGTGTGGTGGTAGCACATGCCTGTAGTCCCACCTACTTCGGAGTCTGCAGCGGGAGGATCACTTGAGCCCAGGAGTTCGAGGCTGCAGTGAGCCATGATCATGTCACTGCACTCTAGCCTGGGCAACAGAGTGCGATTCTATCTCAAAAAAAAAAGAACCAATCCACATGGCTGTCAGCAGTATGTAACATGCTTTGCCTGGTGCCTGGTGGTATGTATCCATGCAATAAGCATTGGCTTTTTTTTCTTTCTTTTTAAAAAATATTTTAAAAATTCAATTAAATAGAGACAGGGTCTTGCTATATTGCCCAAGCTAATCTTGAACTCCTGGGCTCAAGCAGTTCTCCCACCTCCACCTCCCCAGTAGCTGGGATTGTAAGCTTGAGCCATGGCTTTTTGTTATTATTGTGCTTTTTCTTATTTTGGTAGTGACGGATTGCAGAGCATTATCCAGTCTCATGTCCCTAAGGCAAAAACAAAAAACAACAAAAAAAACAAAAAAACAGCAACAACAACAACAACAACTCTATAAAGGAGTTGAGGAAGTTAGATTTTTTAAGAAAACTGACTTGTACCATCTTCTTAAAAGCAAGGTGTGTTCTAAGAATCAGTAGTGCCTCAACATGGTACAGAGGAGAAGGGTCCATTGTTAAAATAATGTCTAGAAGATGTTTCCAATTCTTTTCCTTTCTTGGAGTCTCATTGAACATATTATTAAATTAAAGTTGCCGGAAAGCCTCTCGGGAAAGAAACCTGGCTTGTAGGCTAATCTAGTATTTTCTAATTTATTTGCCTGTAGACACTACTCCCTGACCTCTGCCGCTGACTTTTCTTAAACACACACAAACATTACATTGAGCTGCCTTCGATTCTTCCAAAGGCTTGAATGAAGAGGGAATCAAACAGATAAGCTGACTCCCTGTGGAGAGTTGGGAGGTGTCTGCCATTGGCTTTGGATTCTGAAAAGCCACACAAGCTAGAGGAGTTGTCAAGAGGTTCATTTTTTGAGGGGTCAGGAAAGGCATAAATTAGGGGTCTGGCAGTAATTCAACAGCTAAACTCTCTTTCTTAGACTTTCTCCTAGAGGATCTTAGAATCCACCCATCCTATAGGTGTGTCACAGCTACTGGGACTTGCCTAGGCCAGACAGGAGTGAGTCCTTTGGGCCAATGCTTAGATACTGAAGGGTATAGAATATATTATGGTTCAGAGGAAGAGCAGAGGATTTGGAGTCAGACAAACACGGGTGAATGCCTTAGCTCTACCAGGTATTTACCATGATACCTGGGAAAATCTCTTAACCTCTCTGAACCTCTTTGTTTATCTGTATGATAGATACAATTAAAGTACTTAGACCAAATGGTTGTGAAGCTTTCTTAAATATTTAAAAGCATTTTTTTTAAATGAAGTAGTATATAAATGATAGTTAATTTAATTTTAATAGTAAGAGTATTCTTACTGATCTACATGGCCCCGCATTTTGTGGATTGACTAATCATTGTTTTATTTATTCAAATGGTCAATATTTACTGAGCATTTTCTATGTACCAGGCACTGGGTAGGTGCTTACACAGAGCGTGAAATAGAGCAGATCCAGTCCCTGACTTAATGTAGCTTACATTCCATTGTGGGAGACATATGATAAGCAAATATACACACAAATAAATATAGAATTATAGTCCCCTCCTTCCAGGTACTGATGTGGTAATTTTTAAATGGGCATATTGCTTATAATATATATTTTGAAGGTAATATCCACAAATAAATATACGGAAATGAATTTGTCAGCTTAAGTAAAGAATAAGATTATTAATATAGAACTGGAAGAGACCTTAGGAATAATTTATCTCAATCTCCTCATTTTATAGATGAGGAAAACTAGGACCCCGAATACTACAGAAACTTACCCAAAGTCACATGTTTGTTGTGTCATGTGTGTCACATGTGTGCGTGTGTGTGAGGCAGGGGTCAGAACACAGATTTCCCTTCTTTACTCAGTGCTTTCCACTCTGCTGGTTCCATCTGAAAGGCATTATGAGTGGCTCCTATTTTATCTGTGTGTTATAAGTACACTCTTATACAATGTGTTCTGATTATCAAAAATTGGGGACCCAGACCAATTGATTTTTCCAAACTTTGTTCCATGAAGCATTAGGATTTTATTAGATGTTAATAGGTTATCACTTTAAGCTTCTTGGTCAAATTACTGTTGGAACTTTATCTTTACTATAGAGATCCATAAATGTATATTGTAATTTTAAAAGATTATTCCTGCAGTAAGGAAACCTTTCAAACTACGCCCAACCTAACATTCCCCAAACTTACTTGATTACGGAATCCATTTTAAGTTCTGTAACTGTGAATGTGATTCATGTGCTGTGCAGGAAGTGTAGCCTTAGCATCCATTTAGTTGGCTTCTTGGTAAAGGTTGTGGAAGCCCAATAGAGCTCGCTAAACCAAAGCCAATCACACAACTTTAAAAGGAGCAGTTTCTTGGGTCTTAGGAATTCAGGCAGACTGTGGATGTGCTGTAACATGTAGGAGCAACACCTAGTAGGACTCATTTTCTTAAGGTGACCATGTCCTTTTAACCAAGGACTGAAATGGGAAACCATGGAAGCATAAAAAGTATGTTTTGATATATCTTTGAAGAAAAACAGTCCTCTCTAAGTTTTTCTATTATTATTTTCAAGTCTTTTAAAATTATTATTATTGTTATCTTTTCAGGCATTCACAAGCCCAGAGTTCTCCAAAAGGGTGCGATATCTTCGCAGGACATGCAAACAAGGTAGCTGGATATCTTGATTCCAAAGTAAATGTGTATCACTCCTTCAGACTCATCCAAGTTCATAGGCATGAAGCTTGTCTGCGGCTGCGTGGTTGGACCATCCAAACTTGAAACTGTTAGTGATATTTTGAAGTCTTTGAGACAAAAGCCCAGCTTGCTGAAGAACTTTGGTTCAGTAGAGAGACAGGGAGGTACAGGGGAGAGAGAATCAAAAGCCTGGAAATTTGCTGCTGAGAATAAATGTTAGCTGCTCCCTGAGGTGATTTGTCTGTGCACTCCACTCTCTACAGATGTTAGAGCCTCTTTTTGAGTAAGGACCCGAGGTTCTTTGGTAGCACTTTGATATCCTGCTCGAATTCAATATGTGAAATGGAGGCGTCTCTCTGTGACTTGGAGCCCACAGCAGGCTTTGAAGTCTGATCCAATTTTTGCTGCCTACTATTTGATGTTGAAAGGATGAAATGAAGAAAATGTACAGTTTTTGCCAGTAACTCTGCTGAGCATATGTAAGATTAAAAAAACAAAATCCTTTGGATGATGTACTTAGAAATGTTAAGCAGATTAATACCTTCCTATAGGTTTTCTTTTTTCTTTCTTAGAGATAAAAAATAAGTATAGGTGAAAATCAGCACATAGCTGTTTTATATTCTGGACTATAATTAATTTAACAGGAAGCTAGGTTGACTCGTTCTGAGGAAGAAATGAATGAAGCAAAAGATGTTAAGACTTGGCTTCTAATTGCCCCAAGGAGAGGACCTCCATTCAATTCTATGTAAGATGGGAGCAACTTACAAATGATTCCAGTATACTTAGCCTCTTGCTTTTAGTCAGGTTTAAGTGCCCCTTCATTAAATAGAAGCCATGTCCTTAAGGCTGTTTCATCAGAGGATAAGAATAATATTTCTCTTACTGGGTTTTTCTGAAGCACTCGGTTTCTGGGACTGATTTGCTGTCTTCTCGGATATGCCATCCTGCTCCAGATCAGCAAGGATTGAGTCTCTGGGGAGCCCCTCAAAAGCCTGGTAAGAAGAACGTTTTGAATTGCATGCGGCTTCTACCATTTGCATGTTTGTGTACTTTTTAGTGTGTTGTTTGGGCAGGACTCAATTAGATAGTAATATGACCAAATGTTGGCAAAAAGTTTTGGGAAGCCATACATGCTGGATGTAAAACTTGTATTAAAGGTAGCAGTTTACCATGTACCCATGTCATTTAAGACAATGAATATCAAAGTCCATGCTTTTCCATTTACTTAACCTTAAACTAGGAAACTGTTCTAAAATTTCATTTTATTAAAGGGAAGATAAACAGCTGACCAGCTTTTAGTGGAGCGGATCACGCAGGGTCGAAATCTAGGAGTTGATAAAGAATATGGATTTAGAAAGTAGTTCTGCCCTTTTGGCAACATGGCCATTCTTTGAGCAAGTAGACAGAAATGCCTTTGGGACACAACTCTTTCTGGCTCGTTTTCTAAATGTCTTGCTACAGAATATAGTAAAAGTCAGTTTCAGGTTTGCATGCAGCTAAAACCAGTGCTTCTGGAAAATAAAATAGAAACATAATTGTAAGAAATATTTACAAGCTAGAAGATACTAAGGACTACGTGAACCATTCCAAGAAAAGAAATGCTCCTGATGTTACACTTAATGTCAACCTCATCTATTTTTCTGAAATATAAAGTAATTTCTCAGATCTCTTCAATTTTCTTCTTAGCCTGTTTTTCGGTGACAAAGTAGCACAGTATGAAGTGGGAAATGCATAATAAATGTGTCATGACTTCAGTCTATATGGATCTTAAACTCTTGGAGAGAGACAAGAGGATGGGTCCATTATAGCAGAACCTTTTAAATGGACATGTAGTAAATGATAAACCCGACAAAGGAAATATTTTCCTCATAGGCAGACAGTATTCAGGAATAAGGCCACAATGAAGTGGGGGTAAAAGTAGTACAAAAAAAGAGGAGAGAATTTAGGGGAAAAACAGTATAATGGAGCAAAATTCATTATGCGAGAGTTTGGTTGGTACTTTTCTCTATCCAAACAGACAGTCTCTGTATTTTAATTGGAGTGTTTAGATCATTTATATTTAATGTGATTATTGATATGTTTTGGTTTAAATCTATCATCTTGCTATTTATTTTCTATTTGTCCTATCTAGTTTTTGTTCTCTCTTGGTATTCTATTTTTAAATAGATGTAATTCCTAAAAACAAAACTTTGAAGTACGGTTGAATAGCTAAACCATACTGACAGGTTCTGGCATCAGACCTGCCTGGATTCAAATCTCTGCTCTCCTGTGTTAATCAAGTTACATAGCAACTCCTTACCTTAGTACCTACACATGTAAAGTGAGGGAAATAGTAATGCATATCTGAGTGGTTTTACTTAGGATTAAATGAGCTAGTGTAAGTAAAAGGCATAGCATAGTGTCTGGCTCATAGTAAGTGTTTAGTAAATGTCAATTGCTGTTACGGTAATTATTGTTATTGACATTATATAAATGCAAACGTAATCTATGAACATGAATACTAGGTAGAGAAATAAAGTTCTTTTTGTAAGGCATTAAGTTTTGGTGTGATAGTTCAGGGGAAGTAAAAATACATTGCATTTTGAATTAATATTTATTAAAAAGAAAAGAGACTTGTTGGATTACAATAATCTTTCCCATTCTTTAGGAAAGTATCTTAAAAAGTCAAATTTATTAATAAGTTACACATCTGATTTGCTATAAATGGCTCATATGCACTTTCTTTCTAGAGTTGTCTCTTCCTTCCAGTCTAAATGATTTTCTATTGGGTCTGCCACCATCACCATTACTTCCCCTTACACTCTTATAAACAGCATCCTAAGTATTTTTCCTGCCTCCATTCTTCTGCTTTAGCTTCTCTTATGCCAACAGAAACCTAAGATTTCTAAAGCAAAATCCTAATCATGACCTTCTCTCCCTCCATACTCTTCAGTGTCTCCCTAGTATCCCAGCATGACCTTCAAGGCTTTCTCTGTTCTGGTCCTAATCTTCTTTTCTAGCTCTAACTTCCACTGCTCTCTCTTTTTCATTCTGTGCTTCAGAATCTCCAAACTATTCTCTATTCTCCGAACATGCCTGGTGTGTTCTTTCCCTCCTCTGTGACTGTTCATGCTGCCTCTTCTGCTCCACATGTCCTTCTTCCTCGTTTACTTTTCAAAATCCTCTCCATTCTTCAAGGTCCACAATGGCTCCCTACTCTTTTACTCTTTCTTATAATACTTATCACATCCTGCTTTGTGTTATAGTTACTTTAATGCATCTACTAGATTTAAAACTCTCTAGAATCATGTCTTCCCATTTATGAGTTCTCTCCTCACAACCTAGCCTAGGTCTCGAATTGAATTCTTGAACATCCAAAGTGGTGATGAAATATAATGGAAGCAAGAATGAAATGAAACTCTACCTAAGTAAGCAATCAGAGAAAAGTTTTAAAATGTATTTCTAACAATCCTAGAACAAAGTAAATGTTTCTGAGGCAAGCTCCAAATAGATATAGTGTACTAGTGGAAGAAATTAAAATAATCCAAGCTATTTCATTTTGTTGCTATTGCTGTTTTGGGCAGGAGAAGCAAAGGAAGTTTAGACATGAAGACGTGAGAAAACACTATATGTAAATCGAATTCCCCTTGATCTTAGAAAACGACAAAGATGAAGAACAAATTAGTTTTTCCGTTTCGCATATATTATCAGTTGTAGAAACAAGAATATATTATTTAAGCAACATTTTTAGCAAATTATACCTTTGTGTTTCATTCTGTGCTTTAAATGACCCATTATTTTAACCCATGTTTTTGTGGAAGGCTGAATGAGAACATTGTGACCTTTTCAGTTTAAAAAAACACTAACATCCAGAAGGTTTGCCTTCTAACTTGCAGTGAGGCCTAACTTCGTTATTCTATGAAGGGGTCTGGTGAGGTGAGAGTGAGAGGCAGGGAATAAATCTAAAGTTACTCCATCTCAAGCTCAGCTTAGAGCAGCCACTCAAATAAGTCTCTAAATATGGGGCTTAAACAAGGCTGTCTTCAGAGTATAAGAAGTGTCCCTGGCACGGCGTGGTGGCTCACGCCTGTAATCCCAGCACTTTGGGAGGCCGAGGCGGGCAGATCACGAGGTCAGGAGATGGAGACCATCCTGGCTAACACAGTGAAACCCCGTCTCTACTAAAAATACAAAAAAAAAAAAAAAAAATAGCCGGGCATGGTGGCAGGCACCTGTAATCCCAGCTACTGGGGAGGCTGAGGCGGGAGAATGGCGTGAACCTGGGAGGCGGAGCTTGCAGTGAGCCGAGATCGCGCCACTGTACTCCAGCCTGGGCGACAGAGCAAGACTCTGTCTCAAAAAAAAAAAAAAAGAAGTGTCCCTAAACTGGCCCATGTGGTCCGGCTTATTGCTCACATTAAGAGAAAAGCACAATATACCCGGGAAGTGCATAATTCTAGTCACTTGGTCACTAATCCAAGCAGTGAAATTATTTAATAGGACTGACAGCAATGTATACAGACCTCATCTGGTTTTACTAATGCAAATGGTTATACTTTAGGCATTTGTTCTTCTACTTATATTTATTTATTCAAAAAATAATTATTAACGCTATGTGCCAGGAACTGAGCAGTATTTCTCAAAACTTTTATAAAAGGCCAGTTTTTGGTTGGTTGTTTTCCATTTCACCACAGTCTGATACTTTTGTGGAATACAATAAAAATGAATTACTAACAAAATAATCATGCACTTGGATGTTGTGTCAATATCAAAACCCTGTCCACATGATGCTACACTCTAGCAGAGGGAGATAGACAATAAACATTAAGCAGACAAGTAAGTCAATTATGTGGGATGTTAGAAGGGTGAAGAGTTACGGGGAGAAAATACAGCAGCAAGGGTGATAAGGGGTGGCCCAGGCGTAGAGGGTGAGTTTGGGTGGTTGTATTTTTAAACAGGGTGGCTTCATTAAGAATGTGAGGTTTGTAGCCGGGCGTGGTGGCAGGCGCCTGTAGTCCCAGCTACTCGGAAGACTGAGGCAGGAGAATGGTGTGAACCCGGGAGGCCGTGCTTGCAGTGAGCCAAGATCGCGCCACTGCACTCCAGCCTGGGAAACAGAGCAAGACTCCGTCTCAAAAAAAAAAAAAAAAAAAAAAAAAAAAAGAATGTGAGGTTTGAGTAAAGGCTTGAGGGTGGTGAGCCAGTTCACCATGTAAATATCTAAGAGAAGAGCATTCCTGGCAGAAGACCATGATAAAGGCCTGGAGGAGAGAATGTGAATGGACTATATGAAGAGTAGAAGTCCCTGTATTGGAGCTAAGAGAGCAAAAAGTAGAGTCATAGGAAATGAGGAGCCAGATAGTGCAGGTTCGTACTGCTTAATGTCCTAACAAACATCCTAGGAATCTAGATACAATGAAGATTCTCATTCAGCAGGTCTGAGTGGCTCTGAGATTCTGCAGCACTAATGAGCTTGCAGGTGGCTCTGATATTGTCGGTCTGAGGTTCACTTTATGAGTAGTGAGGGTTTAGTCTCAGTGAAATGGGAAGCCAGTGAGTGGGAGAGTGGCATGATCTGGGTTATGATTTTAACAATAACTCCAGTTTTGGAGTTGAGAACCAACTAGACATCATCAAGAAATGAGATAGTCTGTGTAAGTACATTTTCTCTACAGCTGAAACTCTCTCAAACCTAAAATTACCTTTCATATTGAGTGCACAAACACAATTCTCCTTATTCTTTGTATCTAGGGGCATGATTATTAACAGCAGTTATCACATTGGGCTGTAATGCAGAGCAATCCTCAGAGACCAATATGAAATGGGGCCACCTACCCTTGCAGTAAATGACCCTTGACCATTATGATTTTTAGTTAATGTGCCAGATTCTCTGTTTAATTTTTCCTCTCTCAACACAAAGCTGATGTTTCTTGCTGTTGTTAATGAGCTGACTTTTTGTGACATACTTTTCTTCTCCTTCTTCCTTTTTCATCTTTGCTATGGTCTAAAAAACAGGTTTTAAGCATTTTTTTTAGGCAGTAAAAGAAGTGGGTTTGAGAGGGAGATCTGAGAAAATCCCCTATGAATAAAAGAACAGGAACTCTTATGTATGTAGTACCTATATTAGGTACCATGCCAGGCCCTTTACTTACATTTTCTTAATGTAAAGTACACAAGCTTTAGTTTAACCTTGTGACCTGTGCCTGTTAAAGAACCCTCACTACCTGCCCTTGGGTTTTCTTTTATACCTCACCTAAGAGGTACCTCTGTTCTGGGTTTTCTTCCTGTCTACAGGGAGTATACCTTAATCACGTTTCTTTTTGAAGGTCAAAAGTAGCAAGCAGTATTCTACTGGCCTCCTGAGGGGGTCACAGTTGGCAAAGCACACTGTTGGGATGTAGTAGAGCCACCAGAGAGCATGTGGAACCTGGCATCAGGCATTAGTGATTGATTTCGGGTCTTTCATGGCCTGTCTAGCCACAGCTCCTGAGCAAATCACACCACTTTCTTTCACTTAGCAGCTTCTTTAATGCCATCTACTTCATTATTTTCCTTTACCTTTCCAGTTGCTCTCATTACTAAATTTTATAAATTTTATAGTTTTTGGCAGCAATTCAGCTATCAGAAAGCAAACTCAGGCTGTATTTTATTCTTGGAAACTTTGATCCTTAAGGTGACCAAATATCTCAACTTTCCTGTGACAGAAATGTTTTCCAAAATGTGGGATTTTCAGTGCTTACACCAGGACAGTCCCAGGCAAACAGATGAGTCGGTCACCCTGTAATAATACAGGAAATTGAGTTTGATTTAGGCAAGATCACTATATCGGGCAAGACTATGCCTCAGATCCATGCAACAGAATCACTTCACACTGGCCGCCTGTGTTTGGAAGGGAGCGCAAGCAGCTTGCCAGACAGCAATGCTATGATCATAAAGGGCTAAGATGTCTCCCATTTGATAGGGAAAGCATGTTCCTACAACAGAGTCTCAAAGGCCGCATAATCTCCCTCAGGAAGGCACGTGGAAATCAGACACTAAACAAAGGCAAGGCTACTGGGCATCTCTGTCCCATACCCAAATTCATGACTGAATGTCACACACAAGACTGTATTCATTTATGGGTAGTCTCTGAGGTTCTGAATCCCTGCTCTTTTTGGCTCCCTCAGGCTGAAAACATCTTTTCTTCTTGTCTGGATGCCATTGAATTCACCTTAAACCCTCACCAGTAAAACTTGGTAAAGTCTTATGTGAGGACTTTTCTCAGTAAAATGACAAAGGAATTACAGGTATAGAATTGTTATTGCTAGCATGTGAGGTTAGAAAAACACCTCAAATGAAGGGATCTTTTTAGACAAATGGCTCTCAAACTTCACTGTGCTCTCCAGAATCACCTAGAATGCTAGTTAAGACAGACTGCTGAACCCACTGCATAGTTTCCAATTCTGTGTGGGATGGAGGCGGGGATTCGTATTGTTATCAAGTTTCCAGAGGATAAGATGCTGCTGGTCTGGGGACTTCCCTTTGAAAATCACTGCTCTGGACATTACCTATCTCTGTGACACAACATTGAATCAGAGAAAGTGGGCTTTATATATGTGGCTTTCTCCTCATTCATTCAACAAACATTTATTGAGCACCTACTATATGTCAACCACAGGGCCAGGAAATGAAATAAGACACTTAAGAGACTAATACGATTATAATATCTTGGTCTTTGCAGCTGTTGTTTTCCAAAGCTAGTCTGGTGACATGTTGAGTGTCCTCCTGTATCTCAAGTGATCTCATTAAATTCTCGGGAAGTTGTCAAGAACAAAGTTACATTTACTTTTAGCTTTGCTGTGCAGGAAGAGGGTGGGAGTGTTCCAGACTTCTAAATAGTCTATAAAGTATATCATTTTCTAAAATTATTAGGAATGACTGCCTTTATTGTTTGTTTGTTTTTGTGAGACAGAGTCTTGCTCTGTCACCCAGGCTGCAGTGCGGTGGCATGATCTCACCTCACTGCAACCTCTGCCTCCTGGATTCAAGCTTTTCTCATGCCTCAGCCTCCTAAGTAACTGGGATTACAGGCCTGAGCCACCACACCTGGCTTTTTTTTGTATTTTTTTGTAGAGACAGGATTTCACTATGCTGCCCAGCCTGGTCTTGAATTCCTGGACTCAAGTCATCCATCTGCCTCAGCCTCTCAGAATGCTGGGATTACAGGCATGAGCCACCACACCCAGCCAGAAATTATTGCTGTTAAAGGTTATTTCCAGATTATAAACTATGCTACTTCTGCTAACCTGGCTGTAGTATATTCTCCCACATGGCAAAATTACTCTAAGCCCCACCAGATCTGAATGTTTTCATATATATTTAATTTAATTTAATTTAATTATTTATTTATTTATTTATTTATTTATTTATTTATTTTTAGGTGGAGTCTTACTCTGCCACACAGGCTGGAGTGCAGTGGTGTGGTCTCAGCTCACTGCAGCCTCCACCTCCTGGGTTCATGTGATTCGTTCTTACATATTTCTAATACATATGTCATTGCCATAATGTTTGTTCCCTGACTTTTTGCAAAAAAAAAAAAAAAAAAAAAAAAAAAAATCTAGGCAAGGCCAACATAAGGAAGTGTACAGTTTGAGGCTTGTGGGCATGAGGACAAAGGGATGGAAGAAGAAAGAAGACAGATTATAGTTGTCTTAATCCCCAATCCAATTTCTAATTAAGCTTAATTTATATTAATCATATACTTTTTCTGTTTTGCTTAAGTGACTGATATGGTTTAGCTCTGTGTCCCCACCCAAATCTCATGTTGAATTGTAATCCTCAGTGTTGGGGGAGGGACCTGGTGGGAGGTGATTGGATCATTGAGGTGGGGATTTCCCCCTTGCTGTTCTCATGATTGTGAATGAGTTCTTGTGAGATCTGGTTGTTTAAAAGTGTGTAGCACTTCCCCCTTCTCTCTCTCCTGCTGCCATGTGAAGATGTGCTTTCTTCCCCTTCCCCCTTCTGCCATGATTTTAAAGCTTCCTGAAGCCTCTCCAGTCATGCCTCCTGTACACCCTGTGGAACTGTGAGCCAATTAAACCTCTTTTCTTTATAAGTTACCCAGTCTCAGTCTCAGGTAGTTTTTTATAGCAGCATGAGAATGGACTAATACAGAAAATTGGTACCAGGAGTGGGGTATTGCTATAAAGGTATTACCATAAAGATAACTGAAAATGTAGAAGCAACTTTGGAACTGGGTAATGGGCAGAGGTAGGAACAGTTTGGAGGGATCAGAAGACAGGAAGGTGAGGGAAAGTTTGGAACTTCCTAGAGACTTGTTGAAGGGTTGTGACCAAAATGCTGATAGTGATATGGACAGTGAAGTCCAGGCTGAGGTGGCTTCAGATAGAGATGAGAAACTTACTGGGAGCTGCAGTAAAGGTCACTCTTGCTATGCTTATCAAAGAGACTGGTGGCATTGTGTCTCTAGAGATCTGTGGAACTTTGAACTTGAGAGAGATGATTTAGGATATCTGGTAGAAGAAATTTCTAAGCAGCAAAGCATTCAAGAGGGGTCCTGGCTGCTTCCAAAAGTCTACACTCATTTACATAAACAAAGAAATGACCTGAAACTAGAACGTTTATTTAAAAGGGAAGCAGAGCATAAAAGTTTGGAAAATTTGCAGCCCAATCATGTGGTTGTAAAGAAAAACACATTTTCTGTGGAAGAATTCAAGGCTGCAGAAATTTGTATGAGTAAAGAGGACCTGAATGTTAATAGCCAAAACAATGGAAAAAAACTCCTCCGGGGCATTTCAGAGACCTTCATGGCAGCCCCTCCCATCAAAGGCCTGCAGGCTTAGAGGGAAAAATGGTTTCCTGGGCTGGGCCCAGGGTCCCACTGCTCTGTGCAGCCTCAGGACATGGTGCCCTGCATCCCAGCCGATCTAGCTTCAGCTGTGGCTAAAAGGGGCCAAGGTACTGCTCAAGCCATTGCTTCAAGCCCCAAGCCTTGGTGGCTTCCACGTGGTGTTGGGCCTGTGGGTGCACAAAAACAAGAGTTGAGACTTAGAAGCCTCTGCCTAGATTTCAGAGGATGTATGGAAACACCTGGATGTCCAAGCAGAAGTCTGCTGCAATTGCAGAGCCTCATGGAGAACCTCTAATAGGGCAGTGCAGAGGAGAAATGTGGGGTTGGAGCCCCCACACAGAGTCCCCACTGGAGTACTGCCTAGTGGAGCTTTGAGAAGAGGGTTACTGTCCTCCAGACCCCAAATGGTAGATCTACCAATACCTTGCACTATGTGCCTAGAAAAGCTGCAGGCACTCAATGCCAGCCTGTGAAAGCAGCCAAACTTGCAGAACCAAAACGCTGAGCTGCCCAAAGCCTTGGGAGCCCACCTCTTGCATCAGTGTGGCCTGGATATGAGACATGGAGTCAAAGGATATTATTTTGAACCTTTAAGATTTAATGACTACCCTGCTGGGTTTCAGATTTGCATGGGGCCTATAGCCACTTTATTTTGTCCAATTTCTTCCTTTTGGAATGGGAGCATTTACCCAATGCCTGTACCCCCATTGTATCTTAGAAGTAACTAACCTGTTTTTGGTTTTACAGGCTTATAGGTGGAAGGGACTTGCCTTGCCTCAGATAAGACTTTGGACTTGGACTTTTGGGTTAATGCTGGAATGAGTTAAGACTTTGGGGGACTCTTGGGAAGGCATGATTGGTTTTGAAATGTGAGAAGGACATGAGATTTGGGAGAGGTTGGGGTGGAATAATATGGTTTAGCTCTGCATCGCCACCCAAATCTCATGTTGAATTGTAATCCCCAGTGTTGGGAGAGAGACCTGGTGGGAGGTGATTGGATCATGGGGGCGGATTTCCCCCTTGCTGTTCTCATGATAGTGAGTGAGTTCTCACAAGATCTGATTGTTTAAAAGTAAGCAGCACTTCCCCCTTCCCTCTGTCCTGCTGACATGTGAAAACGTGCTTGCTTTCCCTTTACCTTCTGCCAGAACTGTAAGTTTTCTGAGGCCTCCCCAATCATGCCTCCTGTACAGATTATGGAACTGTGAGTCAATTTCACCTCTTTTCTTTATAAACTACCGAGTCTTGGGTGGTTCTTTATAGCAATGTGAGAATGGACAAATACAGAGACTTTTCTCATTTTTACTAGATCTGGGTTTTTGGTTTCTTTGTTTTTGTTTTGCTTTGTTTTGTAATTTTGAAGAATAGGAACAGGGTGCTTTGGACATCAGTTATAGTCCTAGTAGTTTACCTCAACTGAGGGCTCTGTTCAAAACTGGTGCTCTCTGAAGGAACTCTGTGGATACCTACCAAGATTGATCATAGTGCCCCATTTCCCTTGAAAGAATCAGGATGAAAAGGAAGAACAAGGGATGTACTCCACAAAGGTCAGTGCTTTTCTCCACCCTCAGCCAGCTGAATCAATAGCAAGATTCTGACTCTATTGGAGGAGCTGAGGCTAGAGGAGTCTAGAGGCGGCTGGAGGGGAAAGTGGCCACAGATGTGAGAGTGGCAGATACAAGCCGCAGAGGTCACATGCCAGGCCACCATTCCTGAGGCCACATACCTCAGGAAAAACCTTTCACAGCCTGTTCTCATTCCTGCGACTCATTAAAGCACATTACAGAATTGAACAGTTTTTGAACATCATTTCTTCTTAGATTGTTGCTGCAAACATAGCTGTGAAAAGTTCTTGCTAAACTTTTCCGGTGCTTTCCTGAGTTCGTTAGGTCATGATGCACTTTTTGCCAATGCCAAGTTAGGTTTTGGCGTTGGCCCAGGACATCAGGAGTGCAGATGCCAAACAACACAAGGCGGGTGGTGTGTGAGTCAAGTTAGGGTATTTGGCTTCCAAGATTGGATGTTGATGGCATGGCTGTAAAATGTGCCTAGAGAAAATTTATTTTTAAATTCTTTTCTTATTTGATATAATTGAAACAACACATACTCTCAAGACTGCCCTGTTAACCACAGCTGCCTAGTTTATTTCATTTTAAAGGATTCTTTCAACTTTAAAATCAAACATACAATTGTTTAATGGTAGGGTTGTAGTGATTTTTCTTCTTTTTATGTTTGTTTGTTTTCTAAGATTGAGAATAATAAATTTGTTTGCGTTTTAAAAAGTTAATAGAGTTTACTTATTTGAGTAATTTTTGGCTTACAGAAATATTGAGCTTAAAGTACAAAATTCTTACATACCCTTTCTCCTCTCCTTTTCTCCCTGTTTCTTCTATAATTAACATCTTGTATTAGCATGGTTCATTTATTACAATTGATGAGCCCATATTGATACACTATTATTATTATTACATTAGAGTTCACTGTTTGTGCTGTACGTTCTGTGAGCTTTGACAAATGCGTAATGACCTGTATTCATCATGACAGTATCATACAGAATAATTTCACTGACCTAAAAATCCCATCTCTACCTCCTTATTCCTCCCTCCCCACAAGCCCCTGGCAACCACTATTTGTTTTTTTATTTATTTACTTATTGATTTTAGTGCCTCCATAGCTTTGCCTTTTTCAGAATGTCATATAGTTGGAATCATACAGTATATAGCCATTTCTGATTGACTTCTTTCACTTTAGCAATATGTACTTAAGAGGCCAGGTGTGGTGGTTTACACCTGTAATCCCAGCACTTTGGGAGGCTGAGGTGGGAGGATTGCCTGAGGCCAAGAGTTTAAGACCAGCCTGGACAACACAGCAACACCCTGTCTCTACAAAAAATTTAAATATTAGCCAAGTGTTTTGGTGCATGTCTATATTCCTAGCTACATGGAAGGCTGAGGTAGAAAGATCACTTGAGCCCAGGAGGTCGAGGGTGCAGTGAGCTATGATGGTACCACTGCACTCCAGCCTAGGCAGTAGAGCAAGATCCTATCTCTAAAATAATAATAATAATATGCATTTAAGATTCCTCCATGTCGGCTGGGTGTGGTGGCTCATGCTTGTAATCCCAGCACTTTGGGAGGCCAAGACAGGTGGATCACTTGAGGTCAGGAGTTCTAGACCAGCCTGAGAAACATGACGAAACACTGTCTCTACTAAAAGTACAAAAATTAGCTGGGCGTAATAGCACACGCCTGTAATCCCAGCTACTCAGGAGGCTGAGGCAGGAGAATCACTTGAACCTGGGAGGCAGAGGTTGCAGTGAGCCGAGATCACGCCATTGAACTCCAGCCTGGGCAACAGACCAAGACTCTGTCTAGAAAAAAAAAAAAAGATTCCTTCATGTCTTGTCATGGCTTGATAGCTTAATATCTTGGTTGCTTCCAAGTTTGGACAATTATGAGTGAACCTACCATAAACATTTGTGTTCAGGTTTTGGTGTGGATGTAACTTTTTAATTCATTTGAGTTAATACCTAGGAGCATGATTACTGGATTGTGTGGTAAGAGTATGTTTAGCTTTGCAAGAAACTGCCAAACTGTCTTCCAAACTGGCTTTACCATTTTGCATTTCCTTCAGCAATGAGTGAGAGTTCCTGTTGCTCTGCATCATTGTCAGCCTTTGGGGTCGTCAGTATCTTGGATTTTTACTTTTTTTTTTTTGAGACAGAGTTTAGCTCTTGTTGCCCAAGCTGGAGTACAATGGCACGATCTTGGCTCACTGCAACTTCTGCCTCCCGGACTCAAGTGATTCTCCTGCCTCAGCTTCCCAAGTAGCTGGGATTACAGGCATGTGTCACCACGTCTGGCTAATTTTTTGTATTTCAGTAGAAACGGGGTTTCACCATGTTAGCCAGGCTGGTCTCGAACTCCTGACCTCAGGTGCTCCACCTGCCTTGGCCTCCCAAAGTGCTGGGATTACAGGCGTGAGCCACTGCACCTGGCCAGATTTTGACATTTTAATAGTTGTGTAGTCACATCTCATTATTTTAATTTGCAATTCACTGATAACATGATATTAAGCATCTTTTCACAGCTTATTTCTTTCACATGCTTATTTGACATCTGTGCGTCTTATTTGGTGAGGTATCTATTCAGATTTTTTGACCATTTTAAAATTGCATTGTTTGTTTTCCTATTCTTGAGTTTTAAGAGTTCTTTGTATATTTTGGATACAGTCCTACGTTAGATACGTGTTTTTTTTTGTTTTTCTTTCCAACTTTTCTTTTAGGTTCAAAGGGTATGTCTGCAGGGTTTTTTATTTTTATTTTTATTTTTTTTTGAGACGGAGTCTCGCTCTGTCGCCCAGGCTGGAGTGCAGTGGCACGATCTCGGCTCACTGCAAGCTCCGCCTCCTGGGTTCACGCCATTCTTCTGCCTCAGCTTCCGGAGTTGCTGGGACTACAGGCGCCCACCACCATGCCCAGCTAATTTCTTGTATTTTTAGTAGAGATGGGGTTTCACTGTGTTAGCCAGGATGGTCTCCATCTCCTGACCTCGTGATCCGCCCGCCTCTGCCTCCCAAAGTGCTATTTATGTTTGCTAAGTTACTAAAACTCCTGGAAAAACTAGAAAAACTCAGGTTGTCTGCTAAAACAGTATTTAGCAAGAGATCAGTTTGTTGGTTTAAATTTCAGAGAGGGCTGGGAGATAATAAAATATACCTTTATTCCTCATTCATTAGGATATTTGTCCAGCAGATGTTACTTGAGCACCCACTAAATGGCAGACACTATGTTTGATATAATACAGGGAGCAAGAGCCAGGCTTGCTCTTGTGAAATTTATATTCTGAGAGAGATGGACAAATAAATTTGAAAACAAGTCTGCTTTGACTAGGGTGTTGATAGGGGTGAGCACAGGAGCTGTGGGAGCTCCAACGGTGATATGTGGTCTCCAGGAAAGGTTCAGATAAGCTTACTCCAAAACTCAGACCTGCAGCGAAGAGTCAGAAAAGATGTTTCCAGCCGTCTGCCCATTCTTTTTCCACACGGGGAGAAGCTCACATGTGAGAGATACAAGATCAAGGTGGTTGTTTATTTTGTTTTGCACCCCCAGCCCCCATCCTTGGTTATTTTTGGTTTTGCCTTTTAAAAAATTCTGAAATGTAACATGCTTACAGAAAAAAAAAATTCTTAAAACGGAGGCCAGACACCGTGGCTCATGCCTGTAATCCCAACACTTTGGGAGACCAAGGCGGGCGGATCACAAGGTCAGGAGATCAAGACCATCCTGGCTAACACGGTGAAATCCCATCTCTACTACAAATACAAAAAATTAGCCGAGCATGGTGGCGGGCGCCTGTGGTCCCAGCTACTCAGGAGGCTGAGGCAGGAGAATGGTGTGAACCCGGGAGGCGGAGCTTGCGGTGAGCTGAGATCGTACCACTGTACTCCAGCCTGGTACAGACAGAGTGAGACTCTGTCTCCAAAAAAAAAAAAATGCTTAAAACGAAAATGGACAGTATAATAAATTATTATAATGCAAGCACCATGTGAGCACAACCGAGATCACAAAACAGTCCTTGCCAGTGCCACAGAAGCCATCAGCATGCCCTTTCAGGATTATGACTCTCTTCCTGCATCCTACAGGTAACCACCTAAATATGTGTCTCTAAATATTATAGCTTAATTTTGCCTGTTTTTAAACTTTGCACAGCTGGAACCACATAGCATATATTCTTTGACTTCTAGCTTTTTCTCTTTTTTCCCTTAACATTATATTTTAAAGATTCACTTGTATATTTTCGTTACTGTATAGTATCCCATTTTAGGATGAGAGCACACTTTATGCATTCATGTTTCTGTTGATGGGCATCTGGGTTGTTTCTAGTTTGGAACCCTTACAAAGAAGAGATGTTCATGGATGATGGTCCCATACCCTTGGCAGGGTGGCAAAGCTGGCTTTGGAGTCAGTCAAACTTAAATTTACATCCCATCTATGCCACTCTAATAGCTTTGTGACTTTGGTCAAGTTAACTTAATCTCCCTATATCCCTCTTTCCTCATCTCCAAAATAGGAATAGTAACAGTACCTACGTCATAGGGTATAGATGTAAGGTGCTTAACACACTACTTCACATGTAGTAAGCACTCAACAAAAATTTGGTGCTGCATGGAGTTATTCTTGTTACTCATAGGAATATTTCATTTTTATTTGAGGAAGTTTTCTACAGAGTTAATATGGCCTAACCTATCCAGATTTAAGATTGTAGAAGCTTTCAAGGTCTTTTGTTCAACTCTCATTTTATAGATGAAAAGACTGCATATTAGTTGGCCAACCCAGAGCTAGAACCCAACCCAGAGCTGGGCTTTAGGGAGACATAGAGTCAGTAGTACCTCTGGATCAGCATTCTGGCACAGGCTATTCTTAAGGGCTCATTGGATGGCCATTTTAGCTTCTTAAATGTATTCTCCTCTTTGTTCTTTAAATAAATGGGAAAATAGAAGCCTTAAGGGGTTGACCAGTTAGCTCTATATTTGGCTGTAGACTGTAAAGTCTATTACATTATATCCAAGTTGTTTGATTATTTATTCATTGGTCAGAATTTAGGGTTTCAAGGGCTCTATCCTAATTAGGCCAAAAGATCAGAGAGCAAAATAAGGCACATAAAGCCATGCCTGGGGGATTATTGGCATTAGGTAGAGGTGTTTTGTTTAGTTTGGACTGCAGTTGAATTTGGATTAAAAATACTTGCAATTTTTTAAAAAGAACAGATATATCTCTTATTAAACAAACTATAAATATAGTTTGGATAATGACGGGAGGGAGAAATTCAACATAAACTGGATATTAAATGAGTCTGTAATTTTTCTCCCTACCAAGAACAATTCACAATGACTTCCTGACCTCCCACTTTCAAATCATGCACTCTATCCTAGACTAGAGCTTTGCCTGAGCACTGCCCACCACCATCACCCCCACACTCACTCCTCCGGTCCCACATTGTCCCCTCTTTCCAGTGTTTTGCTGATATTTAAGGTTTTTATTACACTAAAATTCCCTGTTCTGTGATCTGTGTTCCTGGGTTCCTAAGAATGTGTGTGTGTTTGTCTGTGTGTGTGTGATGCTCTGGAAGCTTTGAGGGGATTCTGGGTCAGGACTTATCCAAAAATAAGACTCCAGATTATTAGCTTACTACATGTAGAATAATGCCTGGTACATAGTAAGCATCTAATAAAGTTTAGCTGCTGCTACTGCTATTTCTTACTCTTCCATTGCGAATCACTTTTGAAAGTACCTAATTTCCAAGTTTAGCAACTCCTTTCTTCTTTCCACTCAAATTATCAAGTCTTCTGGAGTGCGCTACAATTTCTAAAAAACTACACTTGTTTTCCCTCGATACTACCACAAGTCTCAAGAGTATATCACCTTGAATCTTTACTGCATTTGAGTGGGACCAATTTGTTGGTATTTTCTGTGTCTGGCAGTTTGTGTAATGGGAGGGAGTTGTTTCATTAATCCACCTAAATGGTTTCAGGAATATTTATAGCTCCCACAGACTCAGATCCCCAAGTCACCATCCAGAAAGGTCTGTTTGGCTGCTTAGCAGTGAGCAATTAGAACAGCCAGTCTACCCAGACACCAGGCTGGTTTGTCTGACCTAATATACGTGAAGACTCAGTGTTCCCAAAGGGATTCTTCCTTTTTAGAGGAAGAAATTAATGATATCCCTTTTTGTTAAATTGGTGCCAGTATTTTCCCTAAGCAGCCCATTTAAAAGAGCAAATTCAAACAGGGTCCAAGAAACAATTGCAAGAGATCTACAAAGATCTTAGGGGATGAGTTTACACACTATCCTAATTTCAAAGGAGCCGTTTTTATGCCAGGACACAATGGCTGGGTTCTCCCAATGGATACACACCCACTGTAAATGGCAAACTCTGCATTTGTGCAGAAATCAGATAAATGGAAAGAGCTCTAGATTTGTTTCTGCTCTTAACTGATTTGTCCTCCAAAGCACAGTTTCCATGCTAACTCATTAGCCTGGGTGAATGCTGGGGGTACCGACGGGGGACAGAACATCCAAGGATCCATTCTAAATCTCCGAGGGTCAGATTACAAAGTGTTCATTCCTTTTTTGTCCTTCACTGCTGTATTTACCCATGTCCAGAGCAGTCAGCTCACAACACACTTGTACTCTGCCTTCTGATTTTCAACTTGGGTTGCCATTAAGAAAGCAAGGTACCTCCCTTCTCTTGTGTGCTGCTTATTCTTTGCCCTAGACCCACATTCTCATATTCAGTCCATTAATGGAACCCCCATTCATGTCATGTAGCAGTTTCTATTTAACACTGGGAGGGCACTGGGAAACAGTCCATTATGTTGTCTCTCCCCTTAAAAGAAGAGTTAGAATGGATGCCTCCCTCTCATCTACCACCCTGAGCAAATTAACCCATATGACCAGAAGGGACAACCTGTGAATAACCACTGAATGATTAGAGGATTGAACATATACTGCATAAAGGTTTTACTTACTAGTTATCTGTACCCAGAGGATTCTAAACATTGCCCTTAGAGTGACAATCTTTTCTTCAGCAGTCTGACAAATGGTCATCCATGCTAATTTCCCACATTCTTTTGCACATCTTTTTACATCACAAGCCTCTGTGGGAGGCTAATGGAATCCATGCACCCTAACTCTAGAAAAATGCACAAATGTACACCGGCAACATTTTGCACATAAAATCCTTAATACCTTCATGTTCCCATCAGGATCTGTATCCCAGGTTAAGAATTCTTGTACTAATGAGAGGAATTGACTAATTGTAAAGACTATCAATTTTATGTTTGGGAAGCTTGATCGAAGGATTTTTCTTCCCATGTGGTAGTTCTTCAAGTATTTGTAGATTGCTCTTTTTTGGTTAGATGTCTCTTTGGGGGATATGTCTCTATAAATCATCAGATGACCCTCAAAAGTTATTTAAGAAAATTTTGTGCTATGATTAAAGTCTTTGGGCTAGAAGATGTACACGCAATACATAAAAAGAATAGACCTGTGGTTTCTCAAAAATGCCAAGGCAGGTTGCTATAGTCTTTTTCTTCTTCATTAAACAACAACAACAAAAAGTTGATTCCTTTAAAAAAAAACCTCAGAATTCTTGAAAAAAATAAAAACATTGAATCCTGTGTTTATTGCTCCATCATCTTAATTTGTTTTTGATTTAAAAAATTACTTGGCCATTGCTCAATTTTTCATATTTAATAGAAACAGAAGGAGAATTATTAGTGGAATTCTAAAGTTAGAACATGAAGATTGGGATAATATTTCACATTTTACTTTTAGCTCTCTGCAAAGTGGTGGTAATGTTTTCTGAGCCACTGTTACATGCTCAGATAATTTATGCACAACATAAATTAGTGTTATTGCTCTCTTTGAAAGCAGTTTTTTCCTGGTTCTCATTCATATCCGTATAAACTTAGATGTTAACCCTATTTTGACGTTTTAGACCACTGATTTTAAAAGAGTAATGATAGTTCCAGATATCTCAGATATTTTGTTTTGGAGTTTTTACATTGTCTCTAGTTTTTCTTTCATCAAAGGCTGAAATTTGGTAGAATTTAGAGAAGAATTATGATATAGAAAAATAACCCCAAAAGCCGACAAAACCCAAAAATAACAATAACAACCAAAGCTTAACTGAAAATCTAGAGATAATGTATTTATACTTGGTTCCAGGCAGTCAATTAGCCCTCACTAAAGATGAGTAAGTTGAGTCAAATCATGCATGAATTTCCTAAAGTCACATGATTCTGTAATGTGAAGATATTAAAGATCAGTAATGAGGCTGTGCATTGACAGATATTTGAGTCATCCTTTCTGCCTCCTGTAAAATGATTGCAGTTTGTCCATTTAAGAAAGTATTTTTCAAACATTGATTGTGATGCCTGTTATAACAGTTTACATCCTTCCTTTATATAGTTACTTCAGCAATTTCTGTAGCCATGAAGTGGTGCTTTGAGTCTACCCACTAAAAGTGTTTTCCTGTCTGTCATGTCACAGTTAACTCTTCACTTTTAAAGGGAAACTATGTGAGATGCTTGCTGGTGTGGGCCTATGGCCTTTCCTCAAATCCTTCTTATAATTTTAGCTTCCCTACTTCCCCATGCAGATAAACAGAAATTGACTGAACACTACAAAGTTGTAAAACATGCATACACACACACACACACACACACACACACACACTCTAGACACACACACTACACACACATACACTCTTTCTCTCTCTCTCTCTCACACATACACACACACACACACACACACACACATACACACACACACCCCAAGAATCAAACAGAATCTCAGCAGGAAACAGATTGCACACTCAAATTAGGATAATTGGAGTATTGTTTAATAAAGGGATTATTTTTTAAGGTTGGGGCAAGATATAGTGAAACCATAAAGGATAGTGTAGTTCTCCAAGGACCAATGAGAGTAAAGCCATTACCACATACACGTAAAGGAGCAAGAAGAGAGCATGGCATCTGGAATGCAAAAGGAGAGAGTCATATGGATATAGGAGTCATGAGAAGAGAGATGACCTTCAGTTAAGGACACAGTCAACACAAGACAACCCCATAGGAAGGGAGCTGGGGAATAAAAGAGAATCTTCTTTGTCCCTTTCTTCCATCTGATTTCCTGATAGGGCTCTCTATTGGCCAAACCACTGAGAAGCCAGACTAGTCTATACAGGTCAGTAAAATTGTGCTTCAGTTAGGAATTAGTCTGTGCTTTCAGAAACACATACTGAAATAGGGTGACTTCAACAGACAACTATTTTCCTCATATCACCAGAAGTCCAGGGGTAGGCAATTTCTGGTGTTGGTTCAGAAGATCAAGAATGACAAGCCAGGCCAAGTCTCTGCAATTCTCTCCACTTTTTCTTCATAGTCCCAAGAACATGAAAGATGGCTACTGCTGGAGCTCCAGCCATCATGGCTATAAAAAGGATTTTCCTAGAAGCTCTATGCAATGATCTATTTATATCTAATAGGCCTCCTTTATCTACAGAAGAAGCTGGGAAGCATAGTTCAGTTGATTACATTGCTGTGGCATATGATTTAAGGGTTCTGTTATGAAGGAAGCAGTGAAGAATGGATGTTGAGTAGACAAGGAGTAGCATCTACCCAAGATAGAATTTAATCATCTGAGGCACATGTGCCCAGGGCATTGTTTCATGCTCATTTCTGAACTTGAGAATTTTCAAATCATGTGAATGATCAGATTTCACCTTGGGTCCTTCTTCATGAGATATCAAGACCTGCAGGCAAGAGAAGGACCACTTAGATGAAATGGCTATAAAATTCTAAGGCAGCCAGGTGTGGTGGCTCACGTCTGTAATCCCAGCACTTTGGGAGGCCAAGGTTGGTGGATCACTTAAGGTCTGGAGTTCAAGACCAGCCTGGCCAACATGGTGAAACCCCATCTCTACTAAAAATACAAAAATTAGCCAGGTGTGATGGTACATGCCTGTAATCCCAGCTACTTGAGAGGCTGAGGCAGGAGAAGCACTTGAACCCAGGAGATGGAGGTGGCAGTGGGCTGAGATCGCACCACTGCACTCCAGCCTGGGCAATGGAACGAGCCTCCATCTCAAAAAGTAAATAAATAAATTCATTCTAAGGCAAATATTTAAGTGTGTCTTGTGGAAACAGTTTGTGCAAATAAAATGAAGTTATTTCTGGTATTCCAGAAATAAGAGAAATGGAAAAGACACACTTTGTTAGCATGCTGATCGAAGTATAAAGATACAATTTTTATACAAAAATATTTGCAATATGTATTGAGAGCATTGAAAAAATGTTTGGATGCTTTATTCCAACAATTCGCTCAGAATCTTTTTTTTTTAAGTTCAGAAAAAGTTAAGAGAACAAGTAAATAAATTCTACAGCCACACTGTAGAATAATATGTAACTGTTAAAAATTACATTTACAAAGTATTTAATGTGTGGAAGACTTTTTTATTATCATAATAACCTAAGGTTCTGCTGCAGTTTTGCCTGGAGTATTCTCTAATTCCATAAGGTCTCTCTTTTAATATCCAATTAAAATTGCTTGATTTTCCATCCCACTAAATAGTAAAATTTATATTCTCTATTCTTTTGCTGCCTGTCACAACTCAAACTGCAGGGGGAAAAACTCCTTTAGAAAGAAATTGACAAAGAATTTTAAAGGGCAGTTCATAAAAGGAGAAAGTGCAAGTGACCATGACTCCATGCAAAAATGTTCAACCTCGAAATTTAATGAGAAATAAATTTTTTTTGCATATCAAACAGGCGAGGATTGAACAAAAAAGATAGTACATGGGCTGTCAAGAATACAAGGAAATGAGCATTCGTAGTATTGTTTGGGGCAGGAAACAGCCTTTTTGTAGAGCAATCTGCCAATATATTATTTGACCCAGCAATACCTGTTTTATAAACTTATCCTTTGTACGTAATTGGATTAAGCTATGCATAATATTTTTGTGAAGTTTGTACTGAAACAAAAACTGAATGATGTTCATTTTGGGTCATCATGAGAATGGTGGTAGATGAACAGAGGAACAGGAAACTGCTCAACGTGGTACCTAGCACACAGTAAGTGCCTAATAAGTGTTTGCCGAATGATGAATTCATTCAGATGGGTAGTCTCTAAGGGAGAAATTGGTTTTGTTTCAAATGGCATCTTGCATCTTGCATTTTAGTCACACTTTGTAGATATTTCTTGTCAACAGTTGTAGCCATAGGACTGGAGCTCAGGAGATGGGCACAGCTGTCTGTCTAGAACAGTGGGGGACTATAAGGAATGACATTTCTGTTTGTCTTTTTTTATATAGTCAAATTCATTGTGAAAATGAAGTCTCCAAGTGAGAGTAGAGAAAGAGATTAGTAGTGGGCCTTAAAAAGTCTGCAGGGGGCAAGGTAGACCAAGTGAGGTTACTCTTGTGATTTATGTAACTGCATACAATACTTTCGATGAGAGAAAAATTAACTGGGTTATCTGATTGATAAGCATAATCATTTTAGATAAATTTGCATAGTCTATGGAGATGGTCTCAGGCCCTACTGAGAGAGGAGGGTGTAGCTTGCTTTAAAGTCTTTTCTCCTCCTATGCTCAAATGCTTTTCCCATAACACACCTCAAAAATCCCCAAACCTTTGTTGCAAGAGTCTGGACTATAATAATCAGTGAAGGCAACTTGAAATATTAGTCTTCATATCAGTAGGTTATAGTACATTAAAATATACTTGGATTTTAAAGATGAAAACATGCTGAATTAGAAACTTCTGCAAGTTTCATTATTTTCTCAGTAATTCCCAACAGATTGTACTCAAATCATTTAATGTAAGAAAGCATCTAAAATAGGAGATTAAGGAATTTATTCTTAACTGTTTATGTTACAAAAGGATGAAGTAATGCTGCTAGTTAGAATGATTATTTCGGGTTGAAAGTGCAGTGTAAGTACATGGTGACAAATAAAAATTATGAGTTCTAAAATATGGCATTGCATAATCATTTTGTTGATTGTAATGCTTGAGTGTTTTTACCATGTGAACCATGTAGGCAATAATGTTAAAATAGTTTAAAGTTTAGTCTCTTTTTGAATATGCATTACAGCTAGAATTCTGTCACCTGGATTTTTCTGGGTTCTGCTTACCCAGGTAACTAAATATTACTGATCTTATAGAGGGAGTTATGAGTAGCCAGTGAGAAAATTCTAATTTCTTCAATAACATTTTTCACTGATCACTTTATTACTGATATCCCCACTAAGTTTATTAAAATATTGAAATCTCTGGAGTTACTAGATCACACAGGTAGAAGAAAGCTCAAATTTTAAAAAGTTGTGTACCAAGTGTGAATGGATTTAGGATTTTGAAGAGGGTCTCATTCTCAGTAAATAAATCTTCTCTATATAAATCTGGAGTTCAAACGGTTCTGATTAGAGCCCTGCTGTCTTACTGGTACCTCCTGGAAAGCAATTAGATTAGTAGAGTGCATGAATCCTTTATATCTTGTCATGATTGAGTCCAGGTTTGAAAGCAGGGCAGTAACCCTGATGAAGAACCACATCATTCTGTGCCTGAGTCACAGACTCAGACTTTAACATGGCTGTTTTTCAACCATCCAATCTTTAATATTGTCGTATTTTAAACTGAGACACTTAGCCAAGTGGCATATGAAAAAGAGGTGGTAGAATCTTTGCAGGCAACCTTCTGTGGAAACAACAATTTGAGCTGTATTTATTGCATAAATTGTTATGAAGAGGATGTCTTCTTGTCTTTCCAGAGCCTATTTCCTAAGAGCAAAAATTAAATAAGGCAGTAGAGGAAGAAGAGGAGCTGATTTAGTTCTAAACTTAAAATACCAATTTTAATAATGTATTCTACTGAAATTGTCATTCTGATACCAAAATCATGGCTAGATGAGTATTAATGAAATGAATAAGGATTTCAATAAGATTTTTGTGAATTTCTTTAAGATTCTCAGCTAACCATGTAAATTTTTTCCCGTAACCACTGATTTTAGTTGATGCTAGTGAAGGGTAGGGGACATCCAAAGCAAAGGACTAATAGAAATGTTTAAAGCCCTCTTTGGACCTAAAAGTATGACATTCCTTTGTTTTTATTGTTTTTAATCACATAATGAAATGTTTATGAAAGTTAACAGGACACAAAACTCCAATCAGAGCAGCAAAGAACAAATCATTGCGCTTTGCTTCTGTCAGCAGAAAATGCTTTGTTTCAGTCTTTGGCTGAAGTTGGAAGGGGAATGACCTTCTGAACAGCTCTTATGGTAATGCTGAGAGGCCTCCAGGCAGAAAGTCCAGTGCAAAAAGTACAACACAGCAAGAGTGACAAACTGAGTATCACTGTGAGAAAAGCCGACATGACTCCAGGTGTTTGGAGAGTAGCATCTTAAGTAGTCTTGACACAGACCCAAATTCTGAAAAGTTTGATGAAATTTAGACATGGGATGGTGAAAAGCCATGCACATTTTTATGTGCTTTTAAGTAAACCTTTATATTCCATCTAACAACTTTTTAAAGAAGTAGTAATATAACATCACATAGAAAATGAATACATTTTATAATGGAACTTCAAGCAAGGTGCCAAGGTGCACTGATGGGTCATGGATGTGTTATGGTTGTGCCAAGATATTGATACCCTCAGCTTTCAAAGCAGCCAGGCAGTACTGGGCAACTGGAGGCACCTCTGTCTACTTGATCTCTGTTTACCAGACCAGACCGTACAAATATTATTATTTTCTATGTGTGCCATGACATGGCAAAGCCTGAAAAACTCTGCTTTGCAGATATACTTTGCAAAACCCCTGAATTCCAATAAGAAGGGGTATGTAAAGTTATCTTATGTCTAAATAAACAGAGGCAGAAAGAGTGTGGTATATATTCCCAGATACTATGCACAATGCATTTGGTAATAACAGGGGCAGAGTATGGAAGAAGGCCAGTGATGGAAGGCCAGGGACTTCCCGTCTGGGCTTTTCTGCTTCTTCTGCCTGACTGCACTGACTCTCTAACAATAAATATTCAGAAATTTTCTAGCAAATGTTCAGGAGTGAAGGCATATGGAGCGTTTGATTTTGTTTGTGTTTAAAATATTGTTTCCACACAGATGGCATTGGTTTAGCTATTGTGTGACTTTGTTTGGATCTTCTTTTGCCCAAATAAGAGATGAGAACCATAGCTCTTTGAAACTCAAGCTACCAGGTTTGTATTCTGCAGTTTGCCCCACCACATTCTGCAGAGGCTCTTGTCCCATTTTGTCCACAAAGATACCTTTGCATATCAATGAGAATACAGTGACTTTCAGCAATGATTTCAATTGGCTCTTGAAATATAAGGATTAAGACATAAAAGGAGACCGTGAAAATTGCGTGAACTGTGGGTTTAGATGTTTAGATATTTAGATTCCAGAGTGCAGTGACTGTAGCAGCAATCTGGCCCTGATACTAGGGCTGACAAAGTCAACTCACTGTTTCTTTAAAAAGTAAAGAAGACTGTTGGACAGTCTTCTTAAAAGATGTTTAGGGAAAAGGTCTACAAAAAATGAACTTGGTGACATGTGTGTCCTATTAGATAAGTTTCTGTTTTGTATCTAAAGATATTTTTAGACATCCAGTCTGCCATGTTGTTGCTTCTAACCTTGTTAGTGCCGGTGGGTAGGGGGAGAGAAAAACAAGCAAACACATAGAAATAATACCTTAAAATACAATAAATTTATAAAATTGCGAACGTTTTTCTTTTATTAACCATCATGACTACGCTTTCCTATTACCAAGGACCTCAATACTACTCCAGGGAACAAGAGAGTGCCTACTTTGTTTCCTCCCCTCTGTATTTAGCTTTCTTTCACCCATTCTTCCAAAAGTTGACTAAAGTCAGAGTCTCACTTTTGCATCTCCCCAGAGCTAGGCAAAAAAAAGTCTACTTCCAGCAATACTCAAATATATGTTCTTCCCTTCACAATAATGACTGTATAATAAGATACCCACTTAGTCAGTAACAGCCTCTAAAAGCTGTTCTTCTGGAATCTGTGGACCTGAACTTGAATTGTATGCTAATTCATAAGCAGAAGAGCCATTTCCTTCCTGGAATCTTGTGAGAGGGAGAGACAGAATCTATAAAACTGGGCTGAGTTTTTTTTTTTTTTTTTTAAGCTTTACTTTTTGAATTGTGATCCATAGGAAACCGAGAGTTGGCTGGGTGAGGTGGCTCACACCTGTAATCCCAACACTCTGGATGGCCAAGATGGGCAGATCACTTGAGGTCAGGAGTTCAAGACCAGCCTGGCCAACATGGTGAAACCCCATTTCTACTAAAAATAAAAAAATTAGCCAGCCATGGTGGCACATGCCTGTAATCCCAGCTACTCAGGAGGCTGAGACAGGAGAATCACTTGAACCCTGGGGCGGAGGTTTCAGTGAGCTGAGATTGCACCACAGCACTCCAGCCTGGGCGACAGAGCAAGGCTCTATCTCGAAAAAAAAAAAAAAAAAAAGTAAGAAAACTGAGAGTCATGGAAACGTTTTGCTCTTCTATTCCCTAAATCCTAGAATTCAGACTGTTTTGCCAGGTCTTTCTGAAGGACCTGGCTCTTTTAAAAAGCTCCTCAAGATAAGACAACATGGATTATTTGAACATGAGCATATTTCACCTACCTAAACCCAATTTAACTAGAAGAGGGTTAAGGAGACTCAGACACTGGTGTGATTCTGGAGGAAGATCCAAGATTAATATACTGAGATGCCAGAACTATTGTTTCAAATGTTGCAAAATCAGATTTAGATCTTGTATGAAAGTTCTTGGCTGAAGAAAAAGAGTTTTCCAACTTAGAGAGAAAACCAACTTTGCCCATCTGCTGTAACAAGACTAAGTAAGGAAATGATGTTTAGAGGGAAAGGAGACTTGAATGTAAAACATTAGTTTGAAGATTGGAGTTGAGTTGGTTTGTCTATCTTCCTTTTTATTTAGCTGCTTCTTTTACGCTAGGAAACCTTATATTATGAGATACATAATTAATCTTTTTTATATTAGATCTCTGTGAACCAAATAAAAGAATATTTCCATCTCACCGGTGAGGAAACTGCTGCTTATAAAGGTTGGGTGCATTGGCCACATTCATTGAGCCAGAAAGTTTGGAGCCAAGATGCAACCCAGGCTCTTTTCACTCCAGCGCCTGGGCTCTAGCAGACCTTGCTATGCCTTCCACAGCAAATTACTCTACTCAGTGTTGTAAGACACGTAACTGTGCTTTTTGGCGGTTTTCCTTGATCATTATTGTAAGGCCAGCGGGGCTGATTTTATTTAGCAAATGACCATTTTGATTATTTGTCCTTGAAGAAACAGTCATTTGCGCGTTATTCTGGCCTTGTTTTTGGATTCTTTATTTGATTTTTTTTTAGTGGTTTTTCAAATTTCCAGGCAGTTCTCAATTGTTGCACAAATATCAAAATGCTCTACAAACTAGCATTATCCCAGCAACCCTCTTTGAGCCTCTTGCTCTCATTGCTCTCTGTGTGGTGCTAGGAATGTAGATGGAACTCAATCTCTGTGAAACGAATGAGGCTATCCCATCATCCTAAAAGGATCACCAATAACATCTCTTTTGCTGAAGTAGGATTACCTCCAAAAAACATATTTTTAATATAACCTTATGTTTCTTAAGACAGGTAACATGTATATAGATTTAATTTTTCAGGCTAGCTGGCTTTCACCAAGCAATGAGTAATTTCCAAAGGAATAGGAGATGTTAGTGGAGGTTTTTGAGCAAGAGCAACTAAAGGATTTATTCATTCCTGAATATACATTCCTTTGTTATTTGGTATGATCCATGCCACAGAAATAGAAATATGAATGATTCTGTACCTGCCCTCAGGTGGGTAATATTATTATGTTGTTATGTACACGATGAAATGGGAGCCCTGTGGAAGCGCATTTAACATGGACCTAGAAGTCAGGGAAGGCTTCCAGGAGAAGATGAGACTGAGGTGTTTCTTATGGGGCTAGCAAAGCTAGTAGTTTGTTTTGTTAGAGTGTAGGCTGAGTTCTGAGGAATGGCAGGAGATGAGCTGGAGAGAGGTAAGTAGGTGTCAGATTAGGAAGGGCTTTGTGTGCTGAAGAGTGCCATTTTTGTTCTGAATGTTGTGGAGAACCACTAAAGATAGTAAGCAGAGGCATGACATGTTCATTTAGAAGATTATACTGTCTACCATGTAGAGAATAGATAGGATAGTACAAAACTAGAGATGAGATTAGCAGAGAGGCTGTCACTGTGGTCCAAGCAAGAACTGATGAGAGCCCGAGTCAAAGCAGTGAGATAGATGGGATGATTCATGTAGGGAGGATAAAAGTGGAGTATATAGGGCTTGATGACTGATATATGGTGGGGAGTAATAGAGGGAGGAATCTGGAATGATGAGGAATCTGGAATGTTTCTGACTTGTGTTCTCTCTGAACACACTGCAGAAAAGTGATGCCTTTTCAACAACTTTTTAAGGCAGTAAATCTCAATGACAGCTGCTAACATGATGATGAAATGATGCTAGAGAAATAAGCCTGTAAACAAGGGTCAGTCTTTCAGTATACCATTGAAACATCAGTGGTCAGATGATAGAGAGGTGGAGGAAGCATTCAAAGGTTAACACCTCAACCAGGAGCAGTGGCTCACCTCCTGTAATCCCAGCACTTTGGGAGGCTGAGGCAGGTAGATTGCTTGAGCTCAGGAGTTCAAGACCAGCTTGGGCAACATGACAAAACCCTTTCTCTGGTCGGGCATGGTGGCTCACGCCTGTAATCCCAGCAATTTAGGAGGCCGAGGCGGGTGGATCACGAGGTCAGGGGTTCGAGACCAGCCTGACCAACATGGTGAAACCCCGTCTCTACTAAAAATACAAAAATTAGCTGGGTGTGGTGGCGGGTGCCTATAATCCCAGCTACTCAGGAGGCTGAGGCAGGAGAATTGCTTGAACCTGGGAGGCGGAGGTTGCAGTGAGCTGAGATTGCGCCACTGCATGCCAGCCTGGGTGACAGAGCAAGACTCTGTCTCAAAAAAAAAAAAACCCATCTCTACAAAAAATACAAAAATTAGCTGAGTGTGGTGGTGTGCTCCTGAAGTCCCAGCTACTTGTGGAACTGAGATGGGAGGATTACTTGAGAACAGGAGCTTGAGGCTGCAGTGAGCCATGATTGCACCACTGCACTCCAGCCTGGGCAATGACCCTATATCAAAAAAAAAAAAAAAAAGGTAAGGACCTCCTCCTCCTCCCACCAACAGCATATGCCCTATGCTCAAGGCCAAAGTTAGCACCTTTTGATGTGATGCACCCCTTGTACAACATGGCAGATATTCCACTGGATAATCCTCTTTTTGAAATAATTTTAACAAACATAAATATCTACAAATATGTTTTGCTTAGTTTAAGAATCAAATGCACAATGTAATATTATGTCGTGAATCTCCACCTGGTTTCTCACTTATTCCAGACCAAAATATTATGAGAAATAATTAATGACTGTTTTTTCCCTAGTTATTCCTTAGTCTCTTATCCCTTCAGTAATTCATTGTATAAACTCTAATCTCCCATGCTTAGTATTTTGGCTTTGCCTTTTAGTTGGTCTTTGTGTTTTAGTGATCAGAGCTAGGACTCTGATAAAAGGTATATATTCTTTAGAGGTACAGTATAAATCTGTAAGGCAGAACCACTCTGTCTTCTAGAGAGAGTCTCTAGAAGAATTCTGTTATTCTAGAAATTGGACTGCTTCTAGGGGATACTATATATATATATACACCTAGTATACATATATATGTAGTAAACATATGTAATAAACATATATGTATACTGTGTGTATATATATATATATATATATATGTATGCTATGTTGTACTAGCAAAGTTTAACTGAATTTAGAATCAAACTGAATTATCTAATAACTAGTAGGATGTAGCATGCTTGTGAATCAAAGTACAAGAAGACTATAGAGTGGATACCTGTGTGATTAATTAAAAATTAATTCTTCCAAAAACAGCTGCATATAGGCCTAAGAACATAACTCTCCTATGGTTCAAAGGGGCTGTCAATTCCATTATAAGTCTAGGTTACTGTTTATTTTCCAAAGTAAAATGAACAGCTGGCAAAAGGCAATTAACCTTATAAATAATCAGAAATAATTTGTGCTATTTAGTGGCATACAAATGCCACTTTAGTTGGCCTTTCATTGCTATAAAATTCTCCTAAAAATATTTTGTACCATTATTAAATAAGCTCTAAGGGGAGGGAATGACTTTCTCAGCACAAACTGGAAGAATATTTCAAGGTAAGAAGTGAAAAGATAATGCTAATATATATTTGATTTTTTTAAGAAAAAAGAGACTTGTTAAAAGACTAGATGTGATCATAAATAGGACATATAAGTGATCCTGCTTAAGACGAATTTCTATCAATCAACCATAGTTGCCTTTTTCCCTCCCTAGTCATTCTCAAGTTAATTATTAACTAGAATCTCAGTTAAGTTTGAAGTTCCTTTAAATTGTGTTCAGTGACTGCCTTGTTATTATTTCTTACTAGTGCTTAGAGTTGGAATATGCCTTAGAATTCACCATTAGAAAACACCCTCTTTTATAATACAGGAAACTGAGGGCCAAGAAAGCAAAATGACTTGCAGCAGCTCAAAGGAAACAAAGAAGGCTCCCACCCCACACTGCTTCAGAACCCTGAAGCACTTAATAGAATGTGCATATATTCATTAATCAGAAACACTTTATTGTGTTCATTTACTAAAGATAAGTAAATCACAAAGCCTTTACTAGTTTAGCCCTGAAATGTGACCATCTTGATGATATGCATGCACGGTAGGTTCTCATTAACCTTTGTCAGATTTAAGTATACTTAATTCTAATTGGCTTTATTTTCAGTTGGCCGTTATTTGATTTATTGAGATCGACTAATGTAATATATGGTTTTTAGGATTTCAACACAATTTGGGGATTTTTTTGCAATGCAGATATTTTCCTTTTGCCCAAGGTAATAATAGACAGGGATGAAAACACTACTTTAAAGAGGGTGTCTGCTGATTTACATATTTTAAAAGTATTAAGATCAAAGGTAATGAGAATTTAATCCATATGGCATGCAGAAGATAAATAAGAATATTAATACTGTATCAAATACTAATTAAAAGAAACACATGGATCTAATTTTAAGAATGTAACGCAAGGATGAAATACTCTTTGTAAAGTTAAAACACGATTCTCTTGTAAAAAGGACAGTTATGGTGAGTTGTTTTTCCCCCCTCAGGGTGAAAACTGGCTGGTTCATATATACAGCTTTCTTAGAATCAGGGTAATAATTATGAGCACAGTGATTGTGCCTTAACAGTTAACAAAGTGCTTTCACATCTTTTTTGATCCTCAAAGAAAATCTTTTAGTTCCTAGAACTCTTACCCCTGTTTCACTGAAGAGGAAATATGCTCATAGAGGCAAATGAACTTGGACCTAATAAATCAGTCTCAGTCTTGATCTCCTTCTCCCTCTCCCTCTTCTCTTTCCCCTTTCACTTACCCTCCCCACTCCCTTTAATAATAATTAGAAGAGTGCAGGGAGATGAGCACTCTCATTCACTGGGAATAAGCGTGTGTAAACTGGTTTTGAGAGTACCTATAACTTATAATCAGAGATGTAGTGAAATATTTATGCCTAGGGATGTTTGTGACACTTCTAATTGAAAAATTTTAATAAACCAAGTGTCCAACAAAAGAATATTTGGGTTTTATTGTATCTTAAATGATATAATCTTAGGGCACTATTAAAATCATGTTTACAAAGAATCCTTACAGTTTACCAGCAAGTGTTTGTATTTAAATGTTAGGAAAGAAGTCGAAAATAAAGTATATAATATAAATTTCATATATGTATTTATATATTCCCATATGTTTATATTTTTTTCCTCTCTATCAGGGGTCAGCAAATATTTCATGAAAGAAACCAGAGAGTCAATAGTTCAGGCTTTTTGGGTCTTAAGGTCTCTGTTGCAGTTATTCAGCTCTGCCATTGTAGGGTAAAAAAAGCATAGACAGTAGATAAATAAACATGAATGTGGTTCCAGTAAAACTTTATTTCTGTGCACTGAGATTTGAACTTCATATAATTTTTATGTCCCACAAAATATTATTAGTGTTTTGGGCTTTTTTTCTAACCATTTAAAAATGTACAAACCATCCTTAGCTCATGGGCTGTCCCTAAACAGATATGGGCCAATGGTCATATCAACCCAATTGATATTATGGACAAACATACCCTAAAATAGTCAGTTACCTCTGGGTAACAAGATTATAGGCAGTCCTTACTTTCTTCCTTAATACTTACCTATACTTCTAATATTTCCTCTAATACATATTCTATACTTTAAAAATACAAGGAAAAAGCATTTTTTAAAAGAAAAAGTGTGTCCAAGCTTAACAAATCGTAACTGGCAGGGACAGGTTTTGAACAGAAAACCCCTTTCTCCCATTCGTATTGCCTCCTAGACTCTCGTAGCTGAAAGGATTCTTTAGAGATTTATGAACAGTCTATTCCCTTATTTTACAAAAGAAATAAAGACTCCAAAAACTTAAACAGCTTACCCAAGATCATGAGGCAATTAGTGGCAGAGTCCCAGCTAGCCAAAGTCCCCAGACTCCCTATGCAGTGCTCTTTCTTTAAAGAATTTAACAATTCAACATTTTTTCTAGTTGTTAACCTATATTAGAGAACTGAAAAAGACAGAAAGGGGATGCAGCAGTATCCCAGAGAATAATTTTAGGAAGCAGCTACCACTCCTAAAGGCTGAGGAACAGAGAGAAGATGTGATTGTTGGAACTTAGACTTGGATGAGGGGCCTCATATAGTTGAAACTCAGACCTCTGTGTAGGGTTACTGTCCGGCTGATGCTGGTCTCTGAAGGGATTGCTGAGGCTAGTTCTGGGAGTATGGGGACCCTGCAAACTGGAACTACTGCTACAGCTGAAATCAAGCATTGCTGCCAGAATGAAGATCTGTTGCTGTGGTGACCGTGGTAGGAACAAGAAGCAAACCGGAAGAAGCAAGTCCCTCTTCTCCCTCGTGCCTTGTAGTTTTCCTCTAGCATCCCCTGTTGGGAGTCCAGTGGAGAGTCATATGGCAAAGAAGTATGATTTGTGGAGTCCCATTCCACCGTCACACAGAGCATGAGGCTATGAGTGATATTATTAGGACGAGAAAGAAAGAGAAAAGAAATTAATGTTCTTGTGTGTACATACTTGCGCATTAAAACAAGCAAGAAGAAAATGTATATAACTGCTATAGTCCTTGTTACTATAAGTGAAATGGTCACAAAGCAATAGTTGATGCTTATAATTTTCTTATTCCTTACTCTATGATCTCTTAGCAGGGACCTCAGCTTGTTGAGATTCTTTGCCTGGCAAGGTGAGCCTAGCCTCATTCCTGAAGGGTCTGAATCACCAGCGGTTCTGCAGATTTCTGCTTGCTGTAGTTTTCTGTAAACCTTTACTATTAGACATGCAAGTACTAAGAAGTACTCAGAGAATATCCTGGGCTCCAGACATAGTCCTCTTTGCCCCCATTGTATAGCCCCAATCCTAGCTAATCAGGATCAATACATCCAACAGAGTAATTTCTTTGCCTATTGGTTCAGTTGCATAAGGAAGCCAAATGCCAAGTGGCAGTGTCAGCCTCTAATTCAGTGGAACCATTGTTGCATCCCTTGGTAGAAGCATTCCCTTCTTAAGTACCAAGATCTTCGAACCAGTAGAACTCAAAGTTGTGAGGAGAAAGAGCAAAAAATTCTATGTAAAGCTATTTTAATTATTTTAAAAGTAATTTTAAAAATCCAGAGTGGATCGATTAGCTCTGATTTATCATTTCCCTGAAAATATATTTTTACCTTTGACATTAATCTCCTTGAGGACAAAATCTGTAGCTGGTTCATGTTCACATATCCAGTGGGCCTTATTATACATCTGTTACCTGGCAGGCACTCAATAAACCCTGGTTGAATGTGTAGGTTGACAGGTAGCTATAAACCAGCTTATATTGACTAACTGGTTAAAATTAGAAGACTAACAATTTTAAATTTTCCTTTGCTACCTTGCACGTGAAATCTGTTTCTTCCATCTCTGGACTTACGAATAAACTCTAGTAATTTGTGACTCAGCAATTCCGTTGATCAGTATTAGGCTGTTGATTACAAGAATATGAATTCCTCAGGGGAGACAGTGGGTCTCCACTCCCCATCAGAGAATTGTAGCTTTGGGTAGTGTTAATATTACTGGGCACTTTAAAATGAAATATCTTAAATTTTAGAAGATTCATTTTCCTGTGAGTGACTTGAAGCAGAGAAGCATTTCATTAGCTCCTCTTCCCAAGTCCTGAGGAACTTCTGAAATGTGAACCAAAGCAGTCTTCCACTGCCCGGAGCTCCTTCACAACATCAAACACTTAATAAAAATGTTTTCCTTAAACCTCAAGCATTTCCAAATATTAAATGTGAAGGGGAAAGATTTTGCTCAAACTGCAAAGTGTTCTAGAACTGGAGGGTATGTGAGAATATGTGTGTACTGTATGTGTGTGTGCACGTTTACATGCACACACAGGTATGTTTTTCCTGTTTAATATTTTGGAAATTGATTTAATATTAGGCCCAAACCCTCTCTAAACAAGGTTGCATAAACAAACATACCTGCTTATGTTTGGCTGGTCCCCAATGTTAACGTCAAGGGTTCATTAGGAGGAGGTAGAAGGGGCATATGCTCTCCCCACAACCCAGACAAGCTGTTAGCCTGAGAACAAGTGGGTTCTCACAGACAAGGTCGCAGCCTGCGGCTCTTGGGGTCGTGATGTCTGGAGACCTGAGGGACATTGTTTGTGGGGAGGAGGAAGGCGGGGCCAAAAGGGTGACCACTCAGATTAATTTGGATTGTATCTATCTTACTGAAGCACAATTTAAGGGATGGCCTGGACTTTTAAAACAGAACAGCTGTTTTGCATTTGAAGTTTCACTCTCTACTGAGTTTCTATGAAGTACTTTGTTTTAAACAAACCATATCAAAAGTAGTTCCCAGTGAGTGGGTGTTGGAAACTTAGTGTACATTTTCTGTTGAAGTATTTCGAAAGCATCGAAGGTAAACAGGTGAAGGCTGTTAATTACGACTAATTTTAATTACTACTAAAATTTACATTTTACATAATCTGTGCGTTGTTAAAAATGTATTCAACGTCCTAGTGTGTTAATGTATTCACTGCATTATCCACAGTTTGTACTCATTTCTCTAAACTAACTGCTAAAAAAATATTTCCGATGTTCACTGTGAAACTTGCTTTAACAAGTAGATATTGTGGTCTAAGTGAACGGACGTCCGCTGCCCCGCTGCGAGGAATTGTGCTGTCCTCAGCCTGTTGTGGCATTACGCAGAGGGCCTTGAAACCTACCCAAGGCTTGGCTCTTTAGCAGTAGCTCCAAAGCGCTTAGCATTTTCTTAGAAGAATGACTTGGTACTGAAATTTTGTATAGTCTGGGGAGCAGCAAGTTATTGTACTCAGGAAGTTCACATTCTGATTAGTCTGTAAATCCTGGGTAAACTCAAAGTGATGGATTGAATATAATTACTCAGTATGTTTGCAGTGCACATCGCCATAGAAACAACTATTCATATAAAGCAATAGAAGTATAATTCTTGGTTGTGTAACTAGTTATGTGGAAAAACTATGACTAGCAAAGAACTGCAGAATCAGGATCATCAAATGTAAAGATTTGCATTCTGTAAACAATATGCTTTGTTTGCATGAGACCATTTCAAGCAATTTGAGCACAGTGGGGCACTACTAGTTACAACCCAATACTCAGTCCTTTGATTTTTAAAAATATAATTATGAAGTATATTATAAACGAAATATAATTAGTATATTATAAATAAAATATAATTATATTTCAAACATCCAGAAGAGAGGGAAAATACCAAAAACCACCCACATAATAGGTTTTAACATTTTACCGTATTTGCTTCAAGTCTTGTTAAATTGAAATTCTGTTGCAACCCCCACCATTCCTCTGTCCCAGTTCTATCCTTCTTCTCTTATCTCCATAGTAATTGCTATCCTGAATTTTCATTTTATTCCCTACCATATTTTTATATTTTTACTAAATGTGTAGGCAGAAGCCAATTTTTCCTGAAGCAAAGGAATACTGGGCCTCTGGGCCAGTCACTCCTACCACTTCCTCCAAGGCCCAGAAGTTGTCAGGGCCATTGTCAGGGAAGCAGCCACAGCCACAGGCTAGAAACCTGGAGCACCACCACAGCCTGGGAGGCAGTGCCAGGTCTTCAGTGGGTGGTCTTGGAGCCATTGGCACTACCTCCAGAGCCTCCCAGCTCCCAAGGAAAACCTGCTCTTGATGGATCCCCCAGTGCCTCTGATGACCATACGTTACCCTGTGTGAACTGATGACCGTACATTATCCTGTGTGAAGGTTCTGCTCCTTGTTCAGGGGCCACAGCCCAGGCTGCTCTGGGAACCCTGCCCAGAGAGGTCAAACAGCTACTCTGCTATCTAAGAACAGAAATTACAGAGTTGTGATGCTTAAAGACTCTTTTCTAAAGTGCTATTTTTCTTCCTTAAATTTGTTGATCAACCGTGCTAGAGAAAAAAATGGCATTATCTTTTCACTCTTTACAGAAAAATTTATTACCATATTAGAGTTAAAAAGAATGCAGCTAATGAATATAAGAAAAACAATATTATCAAGGTATGTCTAATAGTAATCATAAAGGCATGTCTAATAGTTAATAATATCACATTGTTTTTCTGGACTTTATTATTTAGGGTATTTGCCAGCTTTTGCAATTTTATAACAGTATGATTTTTTCTTATTCAAACTTGATATTCAATTTTGTACCTAATTTTATATTTATAATTTTATATTCCTTTTCTTAAAAGCAAGTGCTCAGGCCAGGCACAGTGGCTCATGCCTGTAATCCCAACGCTTTAGGAGGTCGAAGTGGGCAGATTGCCCAAGGTCAGGAGTTCAAGACCAGCCTGGCCAACATGGCAAAACCCCGTCTCTACTAAAAATACAAAAATCAGCTGGGTGTGGTGGCACATGCCTGTAATCCCAGCTACTTGGGAGGCTGAGGCAGGAGAATCGCTTGAACCTGGGAGGCGGAGGTTGCAGTGAGCTGAGATCGCACCACTGCACTCCAGCCAGGGTGACAGAGCGAGATCCGTCTCAAAAACAAAAACAAAAGAAAACAAAATATAAAAAACCACTCCTCAAATTGTATAAGCTTCAGGTCCCACAAAACCTTATATATGTGTGTGTGTGTGTGTGTGTGTGTGTGTGTGTGTGTGTGTATGAAAGCGTAAATAGTATATGTTTTTAATCTTTGTATAAATGCAGAATATATTTATCACTCTGCAGGGTTTTATTTTTCCTTGAAATGTTTCCAATATTTATCACGTTGATACATATAGAACTCTCATTAATTTCATGACTACAACACAATATTCTCTTTTTTATTGTCATTTTGGTTGTTCATGATTTCTCGCTATTATAAATGACGCTGTGATGGATGTTCTTGTATATATCTCTTCATGTAGAAGCACAAGAAAATTTCTGGGGTATATATCTCCCTAGGAAGGAATTGCTAAGCCACACAGGATGCACATCTACCATTCAGAATATTGCCAACTTGCTCTCCAAACATGTAGTACAAATTTGCACTCATACCAGCAGACTGATGAACCTTCCTTTTCTCCATATTCTCACCAACTCTTTGAATTTCCAGATTAAAAAAATAAATTTCGGAGTCAGAAACACAAATGACATATCGCTTTTTTTGCTTGTCTCTGATTAATAATAAAGATAGTCACTTTCTCATGTGTTACTTTTTGGTGAACTACGTATTCATGTCCTTTGTCCATTTTTCATTTTTTTGTAAGAATTATTTCTATATTGTGGCTATTAATTATTTGCAGATTATATGCATTGCAAATATATTCTCCTAGCCTGTGCCTTGCCTTCTGTATGTATATGTAGCATTCTTTATTGAACAGATGATTTTAATTTTAACAGTTTTATTAGTTTCTTTTTTAATGGCTTATGTGCCTTAAGAAGTCTTTCCTCCACAAACTTATAAAGATATTAAGCCTTATATCTTTTTAAAGTTTTAATCTTTTTTTTTCACACATAGGTAATCACTCCACCTCAAATTTATTTTTATATATGATATATGGGATGAACTTAATTTTCTTTTTTTCTATATGGATAACTAATAGGTCCAGCTCCATTTATTGAATAGTGCATCCTTTCCCTATTAGATCTTGCTCAACCCTCACAATTTTAGCTAAACAACCTAACCTCTGATTTATTATAAAAGCTAATATTTACTGTATATACAATAATAACATCACACTTTTGATGATGATGGCATATGTTAATAAGCTATCTTCTCAGGCAAGATTTTTTCATGGCAAGTTTACCAAAGCTATAAAAAATGTGCAATGGAAAGGAGACAAAAGATGTGTGTCATTATTAACAGGTAAAAACACCCCCAAAAGTTGAGGATCACCTTAATGTAATGTGGGATATACACCAAGATTGGACAGGCCAACAGTTGTAAGGCAGTTGTAAGGCAGCCTATTGATTTATAAATTACCTTCTATCCACTTTTGGGGAAGAAAAAAATAAATATCTGCAAGGGCAAAGATTCTTTCATGCAACATAACTTCGTGAAGAAGTAGTTTTAGGACCGTAATCAGATTAAAGTTCATGATGGCTACAGACGCACTACCAGCAGGTCTGTAGAATTCCCAGGAAGCAAAGGGATAGGAGCTTCTGGGGTTTGATGTCATTCAGAGAAGCAAATGAAGTTAGTGTAACAAGTGTTGCTTCCCTACTTCTACTCTGGAAAGAAAACAGGACAATAAAGGCTTCGTGGCAAATGTGCGTGGGGTGGAGTCAAGCTTTAGGGAAGCAGCACTGTTTGCAGGGAAGATGACCTCACTGCCCTCCTCTTCAGTTCTGGTATCATTTTTGGGTGAGCTGAATCCAACCATACATCCCTGGTGAGGGGTGCTCTAAATGGCTGCCAAGATGGCCCCTCCAGTGGGCAGCACTGATTGACAGGTGCTCAGCAAGGCCTTGTTCTCCAAAGCAGGAAGAAATCCCGTTTCCTTCAGTGGCTTGCTTTTTCTTCCACCTTCCTTTCTGCCACTTTGCCACCCTAGCCTTCCTCTACTTCTTTCTTCCTCTCTCAACTTTTTATTAAAAAAAGAAAGAAAAATCCCAGCAGGAGTTGTTGCTCCTAGTTCCCCTGGAAAAGCGAAATAAGTACTCAGCAACAGGCATTAAATATTCAGGCCTTTTGTTAAGAAAAAAATCGTCATTGTGGTTTTTCTTTCTTGAGGCCCAGGGGAGAGAAACAATGGGATTTTCTCTCTCCCTCTTCCACAGAATTCCCTCCTGAGCTTATTCTCTGGAGGTCAACAGATCCTTTTCAGCCACAGCTCACTTCAAAGGATATAAAAGCAGTAGCTTGGCTAGGAGACACAACCCCTTTGCCACAAAAACTAGCCTTGGACTCTCTGGCTGCTCCTGACAGCTCCCCCTGCCCTGGAGTGCTGCCACACTGCAGAGTCTACCCGCCCCACCGCCTGACACCCCGCACACCCCCCACTGCAGCCCCTCCACCCCCTCCCCCTTGACTGAGCTCTGATGATTATTTGAGTGTATTTATGTGTGTAACTACCCCTTGTCTCCCTTACCAGACTGATAGATTTTTTAGAGCAGGGATAAAGTCTAGCTCAATATAATCCACATCTGATCCCTACCTAGGGTTGATCACAGAGAAAGTGCTCAGGGAGAGATCTCAGCCTGCCTCACCTGCTGACATGAGGCAGAGGCTCTCAGTGGTTCAGTCCTTTCTCGCTGAGCCTTGCCTGCAGGCCTCGAAGAACATGGCATCATTTCTAAATTTGCCTCCACCGTTCCCTTGGCCACATCAAAATCTCTAGAAGAAATGGGAGTGACAGGTCAAGGCTACGAGCTTGGTTTTTTTTGAATTTTTATTTTACTTAGGGCCACTGGTCTGTATTCATATATAAACCCAAGTCTTTGCTCTTAGGGCTCCACTTCTATAATAATTGCATTTCTCTGTGGAAAAATTAAGATGGATACTAGGATTGTCTATGCATAGTAAATAACAACAGCAAATATTTCTTGAGCACTTTATTCTGTGCATGGAACTGGGTTAAGTGTTTTTCACACAATATTGTATTTAATCCTGACAATATCTTTTTAAGTAGGCTAGTATCTAAAATATCTAGTATCTAAAAGGTACTCTTCCTTGATGAGCAAACAGTTTGAGAGAAGTTTAGCTCCTTGCCCAAGGTCACACAGCTGGCAAATAGTACATTGTGACTTCAGACTCAGTCTCACGGTAAGGAAAAAATCTTTTCCATCTTGAAGATGTGATTTTCCATATGTAACAGTAAACTTAAAAAAAATTAAACCTCAGAAAGCAAGCTAACTTACAAAAGACCTTTTTTGTTTTCAAGATAACCTGGCAAAGAGCTGTATATTTCTCCTCTCCTGTCCCTGTCTTGTTCTCTTTCCTTCTGTCTATAGTTACATTTACACAATGCCAAACTAGTGGATCAAAACAAAAATATAGTGACACCCAGATGTAGAGAATGTCTTATGTGCATGCCACCAGGCTTTTGGCCAATTAAATGAATCTGAATTTTTTATTTGATTTTAAACTTTTCATCCAGGATTGTGGTCCCCCTATGGGGCTCTAATTCTGTGGTGTATCTCCCTCCAACAAACTTGGAAAAAGTTATGAAATTGAAGAGGGTGAGGTGTGGGTATTTATATCAAAGCTATGGATAAAGTTTTTTAATTTTTTTTTTCTTTTTAAGAGTAAAACAGGGTCTGTACACCCATCACCATTTTTATAAAGTATTTATTTACCAATTAGTCCACACTATCAACTGGTTGATTTAATGATCTCTCACATGAGTTATGCATAACTTTTATTACTTGAGCCTGTGGAGATGAAGGGCAGATATAAATTAATGTGGAAAATGTATTGCTTGTCATTCCTTTAAGAAAATACAGTTCTCTTCAACTATCTTTGCTGTTCATGTTTTTTCCCCCATTAAGTGTTTCTTGGATTTTAGGTAAAGAATTGCATAAGTGCCAGAGAATACTCATAGGGATTAGGTGTTGGATTGGACCTTTCGCACTTGTTAACGTGATTAATAAGACCTTTTATTGATCTGTAACTTGATTCTTAATAGCTACATTATTTCAAAGGGAGAAGGCAATAAGCTTAAGTTAAAAGGCAACTTAGAATTTCCAACATTGCCATCAGCCACACAAGCTGCTAATGAGTTATTTTTAGGCTGTCTGCCTTTGATTCTAACCCATAGGAGAAAAATTGAAATAAATTTTCAGTAGACAGTAGGTAGTTACTCTAGAAATCTGGGATGCTTTTAAGAGGTCAGCTGAACTGAGAACCTTTCCACCTTTGTGTTATCAGCTCGTGAAATGCAGGTTCATGCTATTGACTGTTATTCCTCTCATGCAGCAGTTCTCAACCTTGGCTACACATTGAAATCACCAGAGGAGCTTTAAAGAATATTGATCTGCTGGAGTCCCACCTCCAGAGATTCTGATGTAATTGTTCTGGGGTGTGGCCTGGCCATTGGGATTATTTTAAAGTTCTCCAGATGACTCTAATGTGCAGCCAAGGTTGAAAATTACTGCTCTAGGGGCATGCACAAAAAGGAAAGCTGATAAATAAGTCTTACACATAAATTCCAGCATGTCCTCAGGTTTCTACTAGCCTAAATAATGCATCCCAGGTGAGTAATGTAGTACTCATAGTAATTCTTTGTGTCCTGAGCCAAGAAGAGTTTCAGGAGTCACTTGAGCATGTCTTCATTTTATGCAGTTGGGGAGGACCCAAAAAAAGTATCAGTTCTTATACCCAACTCCCCTCTGAAAGCTTCAGACAGAAAAAAAAAGCAACATGGATGTGCTACCTGCTCACCTCCACCTCCCGCCTGCATTGTAGAGCCTTGAGCTCTTGCAGAACCATCCTCAATTTTTTACACCTTTTTGTAGTTTTTCAGGAGTGGACACACTAGGCACAGGTACTTTCTTGGCCTGGCCCCCTTGTGAGATCTGTGAGATGATCAGCTAGCATTAGGGGTACCGTTTGTGGGCAGTACAACAGTCCAAGTGATCAGGACACCTATAGCTCTGGCCTTACCAGCAACAGGCTCTGAACAAGCAATAAGTAAGGAAATCGAGTCACAGTTCTTGGAGTTGGAAACCACTTCAAGAAATCACACAGTGGCCAGGCGTGGTGGCTCACGCCTGTAATCCCAGCACTTTAGGAGGCTGAGGCGGGTGGATCACTTGAGGCCAGGAGTTCGAGACTGACCTGGCTAACATGGCGAAACCCTGTCTCTACTAAAAATATTAAGATAAAAGTTTGCCGGGCATGGTGGCGCGTGCCTGTAGTCCCAGCTACTTGGGAGGCTGAGGCAGGCCAGGGGGAGGTTGCATTCCAGCCTGGGCCACAGAGGAGACTTTGTCTCAAAACAAAACAAAAAACAAACAAACAAACAAAAATCACACAAGTGTTTGTTCAGGGAAAGAAGGTTTTATTGTCCTCAGTTAGGAAGCAGCACCTTTGGCGGAGTGAATTTACTAAGCAGTGGAGTGAAAACTGGAAACTAGAATGCAGATCTTTTTCTAGTAAACACTATATTATAATCCAAAAGTATATCTCTAGATTCCTTTGTGTTTGGTCTTTGACTTTGTGGGATGTAGCCATTTGTTTTGGTTGCCTTAGCCCTGTGACCTAAAGTTCACAGGTCCAATCATTTTGCAGTTCCTCTGCACTAGACTCAACAGAAACATAAGGCTCAGAGCAGTAATTTTCACAGCAGCCTGGACCTCACCAACGTGATTTATGTGTTTTTACTTGGAGAATATACTTTAATGCTGAGATTTTTCTGATTATCTTTTTGTGTGCACCCGCTCACCACATGGGCTCTTAATTTAGAAAATATTTAGCAATTACATGTGGAGTTGATACTTTACATAAAAGCAAAAATGGTGCCTGTTATGTATGTTACTAAAAATTTTGATGTCTTTTATTTTTCTGGCAACAGAGATACATGACCCAAAGAAATGGCTCATTATTTTTCATTTTCTGTGAGATGAAAAGTTCTTAATTTAAAAGTGGATCTGCCCCTGGAATAAAGGTCACATGGTAGAAGTTTTCGTTTTAGTGGTCCTGAAGCCTTTGCCAGGCACCAGAGATACTGCTGTGTACTCATAAATTTTAATTACTGATGGCTGGGAGCCAAATCTAAGTTTGATTTGAACTAATTCTAAAATTTTGTGAAATTAATTTTGATGTCAAAATCAGATATCTTGGCAGCCTTTTAGAACATAATTCTTCCAGAACTTCTACTTTGACAATTGATTATCCAAATATTTAAGAGTTTGTATAAACAACACTCAACTAAAAGCTTTGGAACTCAATTCGTATGGATTTTCTCCTTTTAATGAATGAATATGTTGGTTTTCTCTCTTGCCAAGTCTACCCAATGCCAACAAAGCAAGAATTTCAGCATTTTTGCTGAAGGGTCACTTTGTGATAAGAGAAAAATTACATAAACATCTGTGCTACCAGTTGTGTAAAAGTGTAGCACATACACATGTATATTACATAATTTTAGATAATGATAATACTGACTTATGTATTTACTATACTGTACTTTTTATTATTATGCCTTCTACTTATAAAACAATGTGTGCTGTAAGACAGTATGCCATGTTATGCCAGCAGCAGCCTCATACATCTTGTGTTTACCACATCTCTTGATTGCATCATTTTCTCTTGTGCTTGATTTAATCTCATGTTGTTTTGTTCATTATGGCCCCTAAGTGTACAAAACTTATGGCTAATGTTGCCAGTAAGAGGCCACATTGAGTGACTGACCTCGAAATAAAAGTGATTAAGAACCACTTAATTACAAAGGTAGAAAGTCAGTGATGGTTATTGCTCACCAGTCAGGTACGTCCTATTCCACCATAGCTATGATCTTGAAGAACAAGAGCAAAGTGATGGAAGTTGTTAAGGGATCGGCTTTATTGAAAATAATGAGACTCACAAAAATGCAAGAAGGGTCTGTATCACATATAGAGAAACTTTTAATGACCTGGACTGATGGCCAATCACAGAAGCACATTCTTCTCAGTACCATAATGATCACAGCCCAGGCAGAAGGTTTGTTTGCAGTGTAAAAGAAAGGCCAGACCTGACTACAGTGTTGAATTTACTGTTAGCTGTAGATGATTTAAACAATTCAAGACTTGTTATTCACTACATAATGCAAAAGTGAGCACTGAATCTGTGAGTGCTGATATGAAAGCAGCTGAAGAATTTTTGGAAACTCTAGATAAGCTGATTATGGAGGAAAATTACTTGTCAGAGCAAATTTTCAGTATGGATGAAACCTCCCTATTCTAGAAATAGATCTCTACATGGACTTATACATATGGAGGCCATATGGACAAGTCAATGTCAGGTTTCAAGGCTTTTAAGAAGAGGATAACAGTCTTGGTTGGGGGGAGTGTTGAAGGCTACAAATTAAAACCCTTTGTGATCTGGCACTATGAGAACCCCAGGGACTTCAAGTATATCAATAAACACACACAAGACAGGCTTGGTGACTCACTTCTGTAATCCTAGCCCTTTGGGAGGCCGAGGAGGGTGGATCCCTTCAGGCTAAGAACTTCAAGACAGCCTGGGCAACATAGTGAGACTTCATCTCTATACAAAAAAAAGAAAAAAAAAATTAGCCGGGTGTAGTGGCACATACCTGTAGTCCTAGCTACTCAGGAGGCTGAGGCAGGAGGATTTCTTAAGCCCAGGATTTTGAGGTTGTAGTAAGCAAGGATCTTGCCATTGCACTCCAGCCTGGGTGATAGAGCAAGACCCTGGCTCAAAAAAAGGGAGAGGGCACACAGTGCCAGTGTACTACAGGAGCAATAAGAAGTCAGGGTTGACTCAACTCCTCTTCCAGGATGCCCTCCTGAATTGCTATGCCAGTGAAATGAAGTACCGTTTGGAGAATACCTTCCAAGATTTTGCATATTGTTGATGATGCTCCCACACAGTCTTCTTTTATTGACGATCTTTATCCCAACATCAAAGTGGCATTTCTCCTTCCAAATATCACCCCTGACCCAACCAATGGATCAAGGAGTTATAGCAGCTTTTAAGGTCTACTGCCTGAAGAGGACCTTTGTTCAAGCTATTGCTGCAGCTGAGGAAGACACTGAGAAAACACTGATGCAATTCTGGAAGGATTATAACATCTATGACTGCATCAGGAACCTTGCTTGGGCATGGGGTAATGTCACCAAAGAATCTATGAATGTCATCTGGAAGATGACACTCAAGAGGTTCATCCATGATTTTAAAGAATTTGCCAACGTTGCAAAAATCAACAAGGCTGTGGTTGAGACGGCCAACAACTTTAACCTGGGTGTGAATAAGAATGAGATTGGGAGCTTCCAGAAGTGATTCCTGAGGAATTAACTAATAGTTAGTTACTGGAACTGGAACAAGAACATGTAGCTGAAGAAGAGGCAAGAGAAAAGGAAACTACAGGAGAAGATGAAAAAAAGAAGAATCCCCAAGAAAATTCAGGGTTTAGCAGAAGTTTTGCAGACCTCAAGAAGCTCCTTAAAAAGTTTGATATCATGGACCCCAACACTGAAAGGTTTTCGATAATACAGAGGATGTTCGTGGTGTATTATCTGCTTACAAGAAAACCTATAATGAAAAAAAGAAACGAACCAAGTAAACTACTATGGACATTATTTCTGAAAAGAGTGACACCACCTCCTCAAGAAGAGCCTCAGGCAGGTCCTTTAGGAGGTGTTTCAGAAGGCATTGTTGTCATAGGAGATGACAGATCCGTGCATATTCTTGCCTCTGAAGACCTTCCAGTGGGACAAGATATGGAGGTAGAAGACAGTGATATAGATGATCCTGATCTTGTGTAGGCCTAGGTTAATGTATATGTTTTTGTCTTAGTTTTTAACAAAAAAAAGTTTTAAAAGTAAAAAAAATTTTAAATAGAAAAAAGCTTATAGAATAAAGATATAAAGAAAATGTTTTTGTACAGCTGCACAATGTGTTTATGTTTTGAGCTAAGTGTTATTATGAGTCAAAACATTTAGAAAATTTAAGTTTATAAGGTTAAAAAGTTACAGTAAGCTAAGGTTAATTTATTATTGAAGAAAGAAACAATTTTAAATAAATTTAGTGTAGTCTAAGTGTATAGTGTTTATAAACTCTGGCAATGTATAGTAATGTCCTTCGCATTCACTCACTGACGCACCCAGTGCAACTTCCAATCCTGTAAGCATCATTTATGTCAAGTGCCCTATACAGAGGTACCATTTTTTATCTTTCATATCTATTTTTACTGTGCCTTTTCTATGTTTAGATACACAAATACCATCGTATTGTAATTGCCTATTGTAATATGATGTACAGGTTTGTAGCCTAGGAGCAAAGGCTGTACTGTATTAACCTAGGTATGTAGTAGGCTGTACTGTCTAGGTTTGTGTAAGTACTCTATGAAGTTTACACAATAACAAAATCACCTAACAACACATTTCTCAGAACATTATCCCCATCATGAAGTGATATATGCCTGTATATACGTGATATGAGAAGTTACTTTCCAGGACAAAATTCTTGTTACAGTTACTTTCTCTAAACAGAACCAAAAGGGATAGGAGAGTAAATGTTTTCTATGGGTAAAAGGACAAAGATTTTTTTAAATGAGGGGTTTCTTTCTCAAAAGTTCTATCTTAACTTTTCTCCTTATAGTACAAGAGTAGACACCTAAGGTGGTTGGAAGAAATGGAAATACTCCTTCATATTTTGGTTTTACAGCCAGCAAAATTTCTTATTATATCCCCACCCCACCCTCACACCCCTACATTAACATATTTTTTTAAGTTACCTGTAATGAGGGAGCCAGAACCCACCAAATGTACCTCTTCTCACACCAGCTGAGGCTACTTTCTTCAAACATTTCCTTGCCCATTACCAGAAGTAGTATACTATATATGATTGATTGATTTTTTTTTTTTTTTTGCCTCAAAACTCTCTGAATCTACAAAATTCAGTTACCTGAAAGATCTTCCTTTTTGTATTTTCCTGCATGGAACTGAGCTAAGAAAAATCTGGCTGAATTTGGAGAAGAAAAAGTGGTCTGCTGCAGAGAAACCCAAAAGGGGAGAGTCGGTGGTGGGGTGCTACACTTGGACACCAGATTTAGAATTGCCTGGACCATGGGTCGTAGTATTCACAGTGGCTTCTCTCCCTCAGGCCCTCTAGGGTGCTGCAGGGAGAAACGTTTGGCCGCAATACTCTACACTCACAGTCTCTCAGATTTTGGCTTTGCAGTGGGATCTTAGAGTCAATTACCTTGAGAGACTATGTCTCAATATTCAGAGGCCACAGACTTCTGCTAAAATGGGCTGGAGAAGAAAAAGGACATAATAACAGATTTGCTCTCAACGTTTAAAAGTGAACATTATCAAAGTGGGCCTTTGGATGCTTGATTACTTCTCTCTCCCAACTTGGAGCTTTATTTTTCCCAATTGCCTCAGGTGTAGGTAATTTTTTCTTTAGGAAAATCTATTGACATAATTATTAATTTAGGTTTTTGATTGCTCTCCTTTGAGCATCAGCGGATTCCTGTGGACTTAAGAGATTGTACAGTATCAATATGTGTCTGCAACTTCAGACCTTCACAAAGGCTCATCTCATTTCCAGGAGGCCTAAAACTCTTGGGTGTCTGTATTAAAGGTTCATAGACCCTCTAGTATTTCTCATGATCATGCTAAATGAGTTCAAACTACTTTCTCTGAGATCAAAAATTAAAAATCAAAGAGATGTCAGGGTTGTAAACCACACCTTTTCACATTCAATGGACAAAAGAGATTTTCTGTGAAAATGTGAGGTTAATGACAAAGAGGTTAGTGACAGCAAAGGGTGGCTAACACAGTCATCAGTTGGCAGGTCTAGTGTAGAAAGGGAGGGTGCAGCAGAGCAGGACAAAGACTTTTTTTTTTCTTTTGTGGAAAATTCTCCCACAGATTTTCAGCCCTGCAATCATAGAACTTTAGAATTAAAAAGGATTTTAGTGATTATCTATTCCAACCCTCTTGTTTCAGGGGTTAGGAACTAAAGCCCAGAGCATGTGATTGGCCCAAGGCCACTACCTTTCCTGGTTAACTTTCTTAATGTCTCTTCCCCCATACTTCTGCCAAAAGAATAATGTATATACAGAATGCACCAGTATTACGTATTGAACTTAAAAACACATTAAACTTGGTCGTAGAAATCTAGAACCAGCTGCAAATGTTTACTTCCAGAAGTTCAACCATTTTGCAATAAACATGCAGTTGCTTCTCAACTCAAGGCAGTATATTCCATTATTAAACACGTACTCCATACCAAGCATTATCTTATACACATTATCTTATTCAATTCCCACAATAATTCTGTTGAAGTTGATTTTTTAATTCCCACCTACAATGTGGAAAGTGAGGTATGAAGAGGTTAAATCATTTGCCCAAAATCCCATACCCAGTGCTGGGATTCCAACCAGATCTACCTGAGCCAAAGCCCTCACCATAACCATATCACTAAAATTGTTCTCGTATGTGCCATTCTGTTGATAGAGGTACTTTTTGAGGATGTTTCAGGCGTGGCAGGGTAGAAATATCCCTAAAAAGCTTTATATTATTGTGAAGTTGGTGGTAAAGGGCCAACCTGGCAATACTAATGAGGCTGTTCTTCAAAGACATAGGATTCAAGTGAAAGTTTCTCTTTAATAAGACCATTCCCTACACCCTGGGTGAAGAGGAAAGAGAAATAAAGATTTGCAGAATTTTGGGGCAAGAAGAAAGATTAGAAAGCCTCCCCAAACACCTCAATAAACCCATGAGAAAACCACAGCTTAGAGAAATTAAGAGCCTTGCCACCATTTCTAGGTTAAAACAAAATGAGTGAATGAATTGGCCGGCAAAGAGAAGATAAGGCAATTCACATTTATTGAACACTTACTGTGTACCAGGCCCTGTCCCTGGGTGCTGTTTGAATTTCCTTTCCTTTCATCTGTCCCCTTCACTGACCATAAGGTTCATGAGGGCAGGGCAGGGATCATGTACATTCTCTTTAGTGAAGTATCCTTGGTGCCCATCACATGGCCATGGTAGATGCTCAATAAATATTTCTGACTGTTGGAATACATTAATGAATGAATCACTCACCAACTCTAGGGGGTCTTACCATCTCTTACATCTCTTTCTCTCTGTCTATCCATATAGATAGATATAGATACATATAGATATATAGACAGATATATCTATATCTGTTTTATGAGATAGATATATATAGATATCTAGATATCTAGATCTATATATAGATATATATCTATAGATAGAGATTATATACCTAAATAGGTAGATAGATAGATGGATACATAGATACATAGATCTCTAGATAAATCTATTTACATCTCTTTCTGTACATAGATCTGTCTGTCTATAGCGAGAGGAGGAGATAGATTTCTAGAAAGAGAGAGAGAGAGTGAGCCAGTCTTGCTCTGTTGCCCAGGGTGGAGTGTAGTGGCATGATCATAGATCACTGCAACCTCAAATTCCTGAACTCAAGCGATCCCCCCACCTCAGCATCCCAAGTGACTGGGACTACCTGAGCTTGCCACCACACTTGGCTAATTTTTTTAAATTATTTTTTGTAGGGACAAGGTCTCGCTATGTTGCCCAGGCTGGTCTTGAACTCCTGGGCTCACGCGATCCTCCCACCTTGGCTTTCCAAAGTGCTGGGGTTGCAGGCATGAGCCAGCATGCCTGGCCGCATCTCCATTTTATAAATAAGAAAACCAAGGTGCAGTGACCCAAAACAACTTACCCAGGTTCATAGAGTTTACCTAAGTCAGTTGATTGCAAGGTGCATAGCCCCTTGTATACATCAGCACAGAAAAGCTACATCACCAAGCTGATAAGCAGATCTGAATATCAGCTAACACTGGCTCTCTCCTGCCTCTTAGCAAGAGCTGGAGAACAAAGACCCAAATGAGGTCTGTTAGTCCTAAGATGTTGTTATTATTCACAATACATACTGGGATCTACTTATAGTATGCTGTGAGACATCATAAGTAATTAAAAGAGAACTGCACATCTTAAAATAAATGAGCTCTATACACTTGAACATGAATGCAGCCTTGGCCTTCCACTGTTTTGTTTCCAGCTCTCTATGATGTGCACCTTAGTAGTCATTAGTCAGGAGCAACTGCAAGATTTTCCTATATCATGAAACATCCAAACATTTTTCCTAGAGAATCTATGTTATTTCTTGGGGCTCGCTGATATTGTACATTCTGATATTCATAAAGACACTGTCACCAACTGTTAGTGGTGTCAGCCCAGCATTCCTTCTCATCCACTTTGATCATGTTACCTTCCTTCCTTTGGAAAATTATACCCTAACATACACACTGTTTATGGTTCTGATGGGGCCGTCAGGCATATTACACTAAACCCTGGCCAGAACTTTGGGTATGTGACCCAAGCTCATCTATCCGAATCAACTATCTCCCTGATCACTGTAATTGGTCCAGAGTAGGACAAATGCCTCAAGTTAGGCCTCTCTGAGACTTTATATATGGCTACCTCTTGACCTCCAAATCCCATCCTCCTGCCCTGTCATTTCTACCACCACCGCCATGGCCAAGTAGAGGAAGGCTGTACGAAGTTAAAAAAAAGTATCGTCAGTGCATGGCGAAGCTAGGGAGAAGAGAGCGGAGATGAGAGATGAGGAGAGGAGAGACTCTAGGCTTGCAGGGGACAGCAGGAGACAGAAGATACAGGTTACATGATTTTAGTCCCTGGAATACCTGAAGCCAGCTCTTCTAGTAAGCCAGTGTTTCCTATGTTGGGTAAACACATTTGCAGTGGTTTCTGTCATTTGCAGCTAACAGACATCTAACAAATTTTCTAATAGCAAATAGGAATTTTACCACAGGTTTCAAGGGAGAGAGGAACATGATGGCTAACTTTGTACTGTGAATTCATTGCCTGAGGCTGGCAGGGCCTGAACATCCCACCCAGTAGCAGATGTGTTGAGGTAGACTGTGCTTCAAGCTAAGACTTACCCTTTGTGTGCAAATCCCAATCCCATCTATATTCCAGTCACCACCTCCTCCTTGCAGCCTTTCCTACCTTGCTTTTCTCTGGTTGTTCCAATCTGCCCAATGAGTATGCACTCTTTCCCAGCGCGCGCACACACACACACACACACACACACACACACTTGTTGCTATCACTTTCCTCTCTACTTTCCTGAAGGCGGCAACTACCAGGTACAGAAGGTAATCATTAAATCCTCATTGGCTGCTCTTGACCCAGCTGAATTTGTGGTGTGAAGAGGATCTAAGGACAGTGTCGTGCCCCAGGCTTCTGAGAAAGAACCTGTGCAGGAGAGGGACATAGACATGGGCTCTGGAGCCTGATGATCACATCTGGCTCTGACATCGAGCCATGGGATCTCAGGCAAGTAAGTTACTTACCCCCCCACAAACCTAAGTTTTGATTTCTGTAAAATAGGAACGGTAACCATCGTTTTGCAGGGTTGTGGTGAGGAGTAAAGGTAGTACATGCCAATCACACCAGGTAGGGGGTGTTCCAAAAATGATAGTTCTTGCACTACTGCCTTAACTAAAGACGGCCAGATGATTGATGGGAATCTTGTGGGCACTGGAGACATAAGTTGTCTGGTGCAGCCTTAGATGAGGAAGACTGAATTACGAGGTAGAAGCCATTATTAGCCTCATGTCTGTGCTGCATCTTCATTTTGCCCCTCTTCTTGTTTACTGTTATTCTCTAAGTGCTTGTTTTTGTTTTTGTTTTATGAGACAGAGTCTCACTCTGTTACTCAGGCTGGAGTGCAGCGGCATGAACATGGCTCACTGCAGCCTTGAACCCCCAGATTCAAGCAATCCTCCCACTTCAGCCTCCTGAGTAGCTGGGACCAGGTACACGCACCACCACGACTGGCTAATTTTTGTACGTTTTGTAGAGATGGGGTCTCGTCATGTTGCCCAGGCTAGTCTTGAACCCTGGGCTCAAGCAGTCCTCCTGCCTTGGCCTCCCAAGGTGCTGGGATTATAGGTGTGAGCCACCATGCCTGGCTTCTGAGTGCTTTAAGGGTATTCCGAGCTATCCAAGGTCCTCCAGCTCCAAAGAGCATGCCATCTGTGCCTTCGTAGGCTTCTCTTCTCACTGTTATTCCAACCAACCTTTCTCCTTGCTCAGCCAGCCTAACTAATGAATGAGGCTTCTGTGGTTGCGGTTGCTAAGGAATCCACCCTCCCAAATGTAGTTGCATCTTAGTGAGGACCTTTTACAGTCAAAATACCTGAATCCAGGTGTTTTCAACATTTTCACCATCTATTACACCTTTTATTATTCTCTCTCTTGTTGATGCTATATTTTGAAATGGATGTCTTCTCCCAAGGGTAGGATTTGTTTAATAAAATTAACTTTCCCACTTCATTAATTATAGGAATGGTTGCCATTAGGGCTTAACCCAAGAGCATGATACAGTCAATGTTACCACACAGAGTAAGTTAATTTCTGGCCAAAAGGAAAAAAAATTTGAAGTACTAATTAGCCTGTTTGTGATTCTGGCTGGGTTTGTTGTAATACAACAAATAATTCAAGTCCCATCACAACCTTTCTGAGGGGCACCCCTACCTGAACTCCCCCAAAAGCTGTCGCTTCAGGTAGAGGCCCTGGAGAGGACTGGTCCGTGAGTCCCTTACCTGGTAGGTGGTCCCTGTTTGACTGTTACCATTTCCAGCCCCTCTGCTTTCTCCTCACCAGAGCTGGCTTTTACCTGAGTTTATCTGGGCCTCAGAGTACAACGTAAACCGTGCAGAACGATGTTTCTAACTGTTCTACATACCTACACATTACCACACATTCATAATTGGACTTGATTTGGCCATGAAATTCCTTAATTCTGACTACATGTTTTCTCCCACCCATGAGGTTTATAGGGGGAAGAACAACTCATTTAAATAGGCATCTCTTCCTCTGTTCTTTTTCCACCCTCTGCCCCCAAACCACCACTACCCTAGAAACCTCCCGCTGCCCCCCCAGGGCCTAGAGAAGGCCCTTTAAGGGGATAAGAAATGGTGCATTTTGTAGAAAGCAACCTCCAAGCTGAATTAGGTGAAAGAAGCCATTGTTCTTAACGCACATGGTCACCAGCCACAGGCCTGTAAAATAGGCTTAGATTCCTTCAGAAAAGGAGTCTCTTTGAGCAGCCTAGCCCCTTCTAACTAGGTGTACTATCTTCACCTCTTCTTGACCCTCATGAAGTTGGTTTTCTGTCTACACATTTTTCTGCTTAGGCGGGAAAATATGGCTGGGGTGGGGAATCTCCGTTTCAGGGATGTAGTGCCAGAATTCTGAGCTGTCCAACATTTACCTTGCCCTACTCTCAGCATCCCTGTCTTCTTTGGGAAATCTCACTGTCTAGGTGGGAAGTAGGCTCCATGTTGTCTCTCTCCCACTACGGAGCCACCATGGAACAAACCCTTGAAAGAGACCCTGCCTCGAGAGCAGCCTGGCCAACGTGGTGAAACCTCGGCTCTACTAAAATACAAACAAAATTAGCCGGGCATGGTGGCACACCTGTAATCCCAGCTACTCAGGAGGCTGAAGCAGGAGAATCGCTTGAGCCCAGGAGGCAGTTGCAGTGAGCCGAGATTGCGCCACTGCACTCCAGCTTGAGCAACAAAGGGAGACTCCATCTCAAAAGAAAAAAAAAAAAAAAAAAAGAAGCCCTGCCGAGCTGGTGCTCCTCCCAGACTCTTCAGCCAACCAAGCAAGGAGCTGTGGAGGTTGGAGAACAACAGCAGCAAGGCCTGTTTGTATTGCCTGGCCCTCCAGAGTACCCCTGGATCCTGCCTATTGTCCATGCTGGGTTCTCAACCCTCCCATCAATTCTATGATTCCCTGACTTCCTTCCAGTGAATTTCCTTTTTGCATAAGATGGTCTCAGTTGTTCCCACCCTGTCTAGTGGTTAGGGGAAAAAAAAGAAAAGATGGTCTCAGTTTCTGATGACTACAGTCATGAACCCTAAATGATTGTGGTATTATCCTCAAGGCGAATGAATCTTCTGGACAAGTAGATATAATAATATCTATTATTAGTGCCTCTGTTGCCAACATTTTTGGCTCTGTATTCTGCTGTTTATTGCTCACTTAACTAAAAAGCTTCACATTCTAATACAATGAATTAGAATAAGATGGCTAGAGAAAGATCAGGACAATATCAGAGTAGGGAACAAACAATTCTAAAAGGGTCAAAGGGTCTAGTTGTGCAACCTATTTCTCAACATAGCACCTAAACATCATAATTATAGCATTTGGGGACAGCTAAAATGATTAATTTTCCAGAAAATATCTGTTGTTTAATTACAGGATCATATGGGTCTTTTGGCAACGAACAGATCCCAAAACAGACTTTAAGCACCATCTTGAGAAACTTGTGATTTGCTTAGTGTGCTTTTAATTTAAAGCATATGGTTTCACATTCAACTGCAGTGTCCAAAATGAAGACATTAGCAATGAATCACTCTATTGGAGAAAACGCAGTGCTCCTGGACCAGGTCTTTTGGTCTGTGTATTCAAATGGTTCTGTTTAGAGGCATAAACACAAAGCAGCTCTGCCTGCTTCAGCCGGCTGTTCCTGGGATTCATGAGACATCAAAGGGCCTCACGAACGAATTCCCCTGCAATGCACAGTGCTTGGCACCATGGCCTGCCTCCATCTGAATAAACAGAGTGCAGTTTGGTCACTGGAAACTACGATTAGAATGATTAGAAGGCCGAAAAGATCATTTATTTTGTGTGCAACTTTTCCTTTTTGAATCTCTCAGCCTTCCAGCTTAGTCTGACACTTCATGGCCCTTGGGGAATCCAGCTATCCTGTGTGGAAATTCAGAACTGCAGCCTTTATACTAAGAACCATGCTATGGCTACAGGCCACAGACCCGAGTCCATTGAGACCACATGTGGTCTACCTGCTGGTGAGGGATGGCAGTAAGGACACAGAGTGTAGTTGTAAGGATGTGGGCTCTGGACTTACATGGCCCAAATTTGTATGAACAAGCCATTTCCTAGTTATGTGAACTTGGGTTAAGGGGTCCTGGGCTTCAGTTTCAGAATCTATAAAATGGTAATAACAGTACAAATCTTTCAGAGTTGTTACGGGAATTAAATGAAATTACCCATGTCCAGAGCTAAGCTAAGAATCTAGTACCTCGTAAGCTATAAAACTATAGTTAACCATTATTGTAATTCTAATTACAATTATTATTAGAAATAGGTCCTTCCTCTTTGCCTCAAGTCCTTTCATGCCTCTGTTTAAATTCAATGCACATTTAATGAAGTGCCTACTGCAGGTCAGGCCCAGTGTGTTAGATACATACTTCTCAGAGTGCTGTATGGCTTGAAAAATAGCTTTTGTGTTTCTCTGTTCATTTTCTTCAGTGTTTCCACCCATCCTGTCTTCATTTCACCCTACAAGACATTCTCCCTCACTCCTCATTGTGTTCCTAGTCATTCTCTATCTCTGTACCACCCAGTAGTAAGGACTACATCAAGCTAAAGCATAGAATACTGTTCGTACTGGTAGCACCCATTTGACAATACTCCAGGCAGTTACATCAAAGGAGAGGCATTTCAGAAGGTGTATACAATCTGTTTTATTTTCCAAAGAGAGCTCTGGGTAGAAAATCTATTACTCCCCAAGATTTGTAGTAGCTCTTTACATATTAGGCACAGTAATCTGTTGTCAAATATAGCTGTTACAAGTATTTTCTTTCTATTTATCATTTGTTTGTTTTTACCGTTAAAAGGGTTTTTTTGCCGTAATCCCAGCAATTTGGGAGGCCAAGGCAGGCGGATCATTTGAGGTCAGGAGTTAGTGACTAGCCTGGCCAACATGGTGAAACCCCATCTCTACTAAAAATACAAAAACTTAGCCAGGCATGGTGGCGGGCGCCTGTAATCCCAGCTACTTGGGAGGCTGAGGCAGGAGAATTGCTTGAACCTGGGAGGTGGAGGTTGTAGTGAGCCGAGATTGTGCCACTGCACTCTAGCCTGGGTGACAGAGTGAAACTCCGTCTCAGAAAAACAACAAAAAAAGTTCTTTTTGATGTGTTCAGCTCAATATTTTAGAGTGCTTGCCCTTAGTCTCAGGCTTAGAAAAATCTTTCCCACCTTGTGATTAAATATTCACCCATATTTGCTTTTATCATTTTTTAAATTTTTTAATATTTAGATTTAATACAAATATCCTTAAAATGTTTATCTTTATCTAGGATTTATCTAGAAAAAATTATTAAATTCATAAGTCAGCCATAATTGTTGATTATTTTCCCTTCCTGGAGATCTTGCCTTGCTTCTTATGGCAGTGATGGCTCTGGGAAGGCACTAATGAAGGAATGCAAAAATGGTCCACTGGATGTAAACAATAGAGAACTCTGAAGATAAGCCCTTCCTTGTTGTTGTTGTTTTTTTTTAACTCTGCAATTATTAGTTTATTAGTATCTTCTAGGACTCAGATGTTCAGTATTCCTCCTGAAATTACATAAACAAATCCAAATGGAAATAATCCAAGTCAAAATTACATAACAAAACAACACTCCATCACAAAAGCACGTAAAATTATAAGAACGCTATTTTAGAATACTGGCACTTCAAGAAAACAATAATCTCGAAAACCACAAAATTGCCAAATTGTTCCCTAAACTGCTAGGCAGATAAACGTGACTAATGAATGAGTTTGGGTTTTGTAAAGAAAAATCATTCAAATAAATTGAATAATTCATACTGAAATGCAAAGTTTAAGTGTCTTCCTTCCTCTGATCTACTTGGATTTATAAAGGGGCAAACCATAATATGGGAAAATATACCCTATTTTAAAAGCTGGCCCAATTAATTAAAAATACTTTTAATGGAAAGTCTCATTTCCTGAGCAGTCCATATTTAGATAAATGGGAAAAGACATCTATAGCCAGCATTTTCATAGTCTTCACTGAGACTAATGTCCACAAAAAATTTAATTTGGCAGTCTTATATTCTAAGCTCATGCTTTTGGTGATACATTCTCAGGTCTTCTTTAATGTGGGAACTGCAAAATATCACTGCCATTACATGGTAATGGGAGTTAAAGAATAGAGTCCTCATGTAAAGGATAAAGCATACTTTTCTATTAGTCCTTTAAGGACAGACTTTGAAAATGTTTGCTTCTAATAATCCCATGCTGTGAGTAGATTGATTACTTATCAGTTTGTAAATATAAGTGGGCTATGCGAAATTTCTTAACTGATCAAGATTTTGGATTTTCAGTTACAGATGAAAACTGTCTCAACTTAACTTTACCCCCATTATGATATGCAGGGTGCATAGACAAAAGCTTTTTATTAGCTAACTATATGAAAGGATAAACACTGTAATAATTCATGTGATTCAAAATGGGCAAAAGCTTCCCCTCAAGAAGAAAAATTTCAGACCTATGAAAACGACAACAATACTAATAAAAAAATTGTATTTACTTCGAAGCATTCAGAATGTCAACAAAACAGCTGCCACTTTTTATTTTGTAATTACAGAGTGGTATTCAGTTAACAGAACAACAATTATTTCATATAAGCTGCATCAGAGACAACTAAAGATGAAAAACTACCATCCCCATATATAACTAATTTGTGCTGTGCACCAACAAGAACCTGCTTTAAATTTCCATGCCAGTTTATAACCCCCATACTGTACCAGGCAAGGTTAGTGGCTATTGAAAATACCACCAGGACAGGGCTATCTAAAGACACATTTGGTAGTGTGTTAACTGTACAAAAAAAGACACTGTACAGTGTAAAAACAAATCTTACACAGCCTTACATTTTAATTTTTTTATTTAAAAGGAGTGAGTTGTGTACAGGGGGGTTAAATGCTTTATAGACAAGGAAAAAAACTAGGCTAGAACCAACTTATTCATCATCATCTTCTTCATCTTCCTCCTCATAATCCTCTTCATCTTCTGTCCTCCTCTTCCTTCTTTTTCTTGCTTTTTTCAGCCTTGACAACTCCCTTTTTTGCTGCATCAGGCTTTCCTTTAGCTCGATATGTAGCTGTATCCTTTTTGTATTTTTCCTTCAGCTTTGCAGCCTTCTTTTCACAAAGCTGCTTGTCATCTGCAAAAGTGTTATTCCACATCTCTACCAGTTTCTTTGCAACATCGCTAATAGGCAGGCCAGGATGCTCTCCTTTGATTTTTGGGCAATACTCAGAGCAGAACAGCAAAAAGGCCGAAGGAGGCCTCTTGGGTGCATTGGAATCCTCGAACTTCTTTTTTGTCTCCCCTTTAGGAGGGATATAGGTTTTCATTTCTCTTTCATAACGGTCTTTGTCCACCTTTGCCATATCTTCAAATTTTCCTTTATCTTTAGCAGACATGGCCTTCCACCTCTCTGAGCACTTCTTAGAAAACTCTGAGAAGTTGACTGAGGCATCTGGGTGCTTCTTCTTACACTCCTCCCGACAAGTTTGCACAAAAAATGCATATGATGACATTTTGCCTCTCGGCTTCTTAGGGTCTCCTTTGCCCATGTTGAGTTATTTTTCCTCAGCGAGGCACACAGTCACCCAGTGCCCGTCCGGCTCTCACTTGCCCCGGCACTGTCTCTGTGGAGCTCAATGTACTGCAGTGGCTGTGAGAGTGGGAGCCGGGCATAGCCTCCTCACCCTCTCCACTCTGTAACATTAACCTTCCTTGTTTTTATATAGTTTAATGATTTGTAGCAATATACTTTAATAGCTTAGCCTTTTAATTTGGGTTTTCTGCTGCACTTATAACAAAGTTTTGAATGCAGAGTGAATCACTGTTAATAGGATTTGTCTTCTCAAGTGTGCTAGGGCAGGAAAAAAAGTTAAATTCACTCTTAGGTCCTTTTTACTTTTTGCTTCTGCTGTTCCCATTCCAGCCAAGGCTTTCCTCACCTCAGTTGGACTATTATAATGTCCTTTTTGATTCTCTTCTTTCCCTCTCTCCTCTAAATTATTCTGCATGCCACTGCCAATTACTATATGTCATCCTCCTGATCAGAAGCTCCAGCGTCTCCCCAGAGCCCATGGGATAAAAGACAAAATCTTTAAGAATGACTTCTGCCAGGCGCAGTGACTCACACCTGTAGTCCCAGCACTTTGGGAGGCCAAGGCAGGTAGATCACCTGAGGTCGGGAGTTTGAGACCAGCCTGATCAACATGGAGAAACCCTGTCTCTACTAAAAATATAAGATTAGCCAGGCATGGTGGTGCATGTGCGTGTAGTCCCAGCTACTCAGGAGGCTGAGGCAGGAGAATCACTTGAACCTGGGAGGCAGAGGTTGCAGTAAGCCAAGATCGCACCATTGCACTCCAGCCTGGGCAACAAGAGCGAAACTCTGTCTCACAAAAAAGAAAAACAAAAAACAAAAAAAAACTTCTAAACCTTCATAAACTTTATTTTCCTAAAATCTCCACTTCCCTGCCCCTGAAATCAGTGGTGATACTAGGGGAAGGCCTGTGGGCACTTTAAGCACCCTCAGAATACGTTACTTAGGTCCATGAAATCCACGCCCCCCCAACCCCATAGAAGTCTTAGTATTGTTTGAAGTGGAAAATATTAATTGTCCATATAAGTGTGAAGGAAAGCATCTTTAGGAAACATTGCTATTTTGAAAAAAATCTAGTGGCATATTATCTAAGAAAATACAAAATACTATGCATTTGCTATATAAGCCATTTGATAGCCCATAAAATATTTATTTTATTCTAAAAGATTGTTTTTCTAAACGTCTTAAAACTTTCGTATTTTTTTCTCTTCTCATTATTCCTGTGGCATTGATTAGTGTCACTGATATCCCCAGATTTCATAGATGAAGGAGTCACACAAACATCAGCCACCTTTTTTTTACTACAAAACAGGAAAACAGTAGTTATTCCCAATCCAACAGTCTTTGGGATTTAGGATGACAGTTGTCTACTTCATATTGGTTAAAGGTTTTGTGTGTTTTTAGGCAAAGGTTTTGTGTAATCATTCAAGAAAATTTTTGGTTTGGTTTTAAAATGCTTAGGAAAACATAAATATTCATCAGTAGAAACTTGTTAACATAATGGCACATCCATAAAATGGAATACTATGGAACCATGAATAAGAATGACATAGCTGTATCATCATGGACCACATAACAATGTTGTGATCAACAATGAACCACATATAGGATGGTGGTCCCGTAAGATTATAATACCATATTTTTGCTGTACCTTTTCTAAGTTTACATATGTTTAGATACACAATTTTTTACCACTGTGTTATAATTGCCTACAGTATTTTGTACAGGAACATGCTATACAGGTTTGTAGCCTAAAAACAACACATTATACCATATAGCTTAGGTGTCTGATAGACTATACCATCTATGTTTGTGTAAGTACACTATAGGTTATTCCAATGAAGACAAAATTGTCTAGTGGCACATTTCTCAGAACATATCCTTGTTGTTAAGCGATGCTTGACTTTATGCAAAAGCCTCCATGTTATATTGAAATATGAAAAAAGCAAAGCACAGAGTGTGTAAATATGCTCACATTTGAGGGTTTTGTTTTTATTTTTATTTTTGTTTTACAGGCAGGAGATGTAGCCTTAGAATTGTATGTATATAGAATAGTTCACACAAGGTAGTGATGGCAACAGTTTCCTCTGGAGCAAGGGCTAGGGTTCTGGGGAGGACTTATTTATTCTATAATCTTTTGTGCTATTTAACTTTTTTTCTTTACCTAAAGTGTGTGAATTTTTTCAATTAAAACTGTTAATTAAACATTTTAAAAATAAAATTTATAATGAAATTTTACCCTCATTTAATGACCCTTAAGCTAAGAGGGAAGTGAACTGTATCAACAGATACAGAAGCCAAATAGGTCAGCACTTCTGAGTTAGAGAGGAACAATAATTCTTTCTGAAATAAAAGAACATTCTTCAGTGACTGCATATCATTCAGAACTTAAGCAACAAAAAAAGACAAAGTAGGGATAGAAAAGCTATAATAATTAAAGCAACCCAAACAATTTCCTTCCAGAAATGTGGGAAAAGAAAGAAGAGAAGGTGACCCTTAAGGAACATGGTATTTCAGAAAGAGGCCACACAATGCAGTTGTGCACATGTATAGCAAGTTAGCTAGTTCTCAAGTCTCCATTTTTGCTGATGGTAGAAAACAATCTGGTAGCTTCCAGGTAAACTCAGTCACTTCCAGGATTTTTCACAGTCTCTCTTTAACATAAACACTCAGTTAATTTAGGCTTCTCCTCCCTCACCCTTCTTCTCTTATCCCCTTCTTAGCCAAATTTTAAAACATTTTTTACTGTACCTGTTATCTGTATTTCCCACTAGAGAACCCCTTTGGGTCCTACCGCTCTCCTGAAACACATTATCAGGGTTGCCAAAGACCTCCAGGTTGCCAGATCCAGGGCATCTTCTCTGTCCTTTTCTCATTCCGCCTCTCAGCAGCATTTGACAAGGCTGACCCATGGTTTTCTTAAACCACTCTCTTCTCAGCTTCTGTGAAGACTCACCCTTCTGGCTTTCCCCCAGCCTCATGGCTGCTCTTTGTTTCCTCCCAAACCTCTAAATGCCAGGGGTTCCTCAGGCATCAGAGAACCTTTTTTCTTCTCCCTTTACATTTATTCTCCAAGCCTGAAATTCCAGTGATGTGTTGATGATGCCCCAGTTCATATGTCCAGCCCAGATTGTTTCTCTGGATTTCAGACACACACAGAGCTTCCTACTTGATATCTCCACTCAGATGTTTCCAGGGTATCCTGTGCTTAGCATGTCCAGAACTGAACTCTTGATCCCCTCATGTCTTGAAAACCTTAGTCCTCCCTTGGTATTTCCTGTTTTAATAAGTGGCATCATGTTTGGCCGGGCACGGTGGCTCACGCCTGCAATCCCAGCACTTTGGGAGGCGAGGTGGGTGGATCACCTGAGGTCAGGAGTTCAAAACCAGCCTGGACAACATGGTAAAACCCTATCTCTACTAAAAATACAAAAAAAATTAGCCAGGCTTGGTGGCGGGCGCCTGTAATCCCAGCTACTCGGGAGGTTGAGGCAGGAGAATTGCTTGAACCCAGGAGGCAGAGGTTGTAGTGAGCTGAGATCATGCTACTGCACTCTAGCCTGGGGGAGAGAGTGAGACTCCATCTAAAAAAAAAGAAGTGGCACCAATGTCCACCCAAGGATCCAAGCCAGAAGTCTGGAAGCCATTCTTGCTGGTCTCCTTTCCCTCATTTTCCACATCCAGAGCATCAACAAGTTCTGTTTTGACCTTCTGAATACATCTTGATTTTGTCCATTTCTCTTCCTCTTCACTGCCACAACCCTGGTCCAGATAACCATCACCTCTGACCTGTAGTAGCCTCCTCACTGGTCCCCTCACTTCCCCTTTGTGTCAGTACGTATATGGGACTCCCAGCAGAGACAGTGATCAGCGTTGAAGAAATAATCTGCTTCGTGTCTTTTTCTTCACATTTTCCTTCCATAGCTTCCCATTGACTTAAAAAAAAAATTCAAACTGCCTCCCTGGCCATCAAAGCTCTGTATGACATGTCCATACTCCATTTCTTCAGCTTTACCTCACATCATGATCCCCTTCCTCACTACATTCTAGCTACACTGGGCAGATCTGATCTGCCTCCGGGACATGGAGATGCCATTTGCATTATGCTGTCCCCTCAGCCTAGAACACTTTTCTCATTCTTCAGGCCTCAACCATCAACTCTTCAGAGAGGCCATCATCCACCACCATATCCATGAGTTCCTTTTACTCTGTAATTTTGACTTAAAACAATCTATTCATTTCCTAGCCTGCAATTATTGTTTATAGTTGAACTCCATCACTAGAATGAATGAAATCTCCATGAAGGTATGGGTCATGTCTGTCTTGCCCACCTAATACATTCCTAGAAAGTGACACATGGAGGACATTCGATCAATGATGAGCATTGCTGTGGATTTAGGAATGCGTAAATATTTGCAACATTTTCTCTAACTCTGCTATGATGTTCCTTATAAAAATAAAATACAGGCCGGGCACGGTGGCTCACACCTGTAATCCCAGCACTTTAGGAGGCCGAGGAGGGCAGATCACCTGAGGTTGGGAGTTCAAGACTAGCCTGATCAACATGGAGAAACCGTGTCTCGACAGAAAATACAAAATTAGCCAGGCGTGGTGGCACATGCCTGTAATCCCAGCTACTGGGGAGGCTGAGGGAGGAGAATCGCTTGAACCCAGGAGGCGGAGGTTGCTGTGAGCCCAGATAGCGCCATTGCACTCCAGCCTGGGCAAAAAAAGCGAAACTCCGTCTCAAAAAATAAAATAAAACAAAATAAAATAAAATACAAGTAATAAATATACTCTTCTCTTAATAAGTAATTATCATCTGGGAGGAAAAGCATTCATGAGTAGAAACTTATATTCCTATTTTCTCAGTTATAATAAGTCAAATTGTATGAGATTGTTGCTATTAGATAGTTTGTTACTACCAAACAACAATTTCAAAAGGTACAAACTAATAAAGTGTACATATTTAGTTTAAGCTGTAGTATCAGTTGGGATAGATTAGATTATGATGCAGAAATAAACAATCCCCACAACTTCGTGGCTTACAGCCACAAAGGTTTCTTTCGCATTTGTGCTATACTACATGGGTCAGCTGCGGCTCTGCTCTGTGTCCTCTTCACTCCAGACCCCAGGCTGATATAGCAGTTTTCATCTAGATCATCCTGGGGGTTATGGCAGAGACTTGGCAAACCACACTCTAGTTTCTATCTACAAAGACACATACCCTTTTGGCCCACATTTCACTGGCCAAAGGAAGTTTCATGACCATTCCTGAATTCAGCAGTGTAGAGAAGTGAATCTTTCTGCTGGGAGAGGCACTTCAGGGATAGGAACACAAATATTTAGTGTAAAAGTAATACAGTCTATCACAGTTAGCCTGAGCAGCTACTGTTTTCACCTGGTAATAGCTAGCTACATTTTAGTTATTAATATATATCCTAGCAGTAAATAGGACTAGGCTTATGCCATTTAGCCTATTCATAAATGCAATATTATGTGGTAAAAATACCTACATTAGTGTTCTGACCTGTATTTAGCATTTTATAATAATGTAGGTTTCTTTTATTTAGTAGACGCTCTAGGTAAAGGAACAAAGCTTGTAGAAATCAGGAATTCTAAAGTATAATAGAAATCCCTCTGCTTTGCTTGTTGATTTGAAAGATATGTTTTGTGAAGGAGAAGTAATATAATTAGGGGTCACTGACTTTCGATGTTCTGTTTTAAGTTTGTACACTTTTAAGGATACCTATAGACAAAATCCAGAAATGCTTATGAAGTTGCCTGAAATTTGGGGACAGGTACACTTCTGGAGGTTTCCTATTCTAAGTTAATTCCGTGATGTAAAGAATAGTTACAGGCGAGGCGGAGGTTGCAGTGAGCCAAGATTGGGCCACTGCACTACAGCCTAGGTGACAGCATGAGACTCCGTCTCAAAAAAGAATAGTTACAGACGTCAGAATGGTTTGGGAGCATATGGGTTCTGGGGTAATTTTATTACTTACTTGCTATGTACCTTCTCTTTCTACAAGATACAGATATTTATATGTAAGTGCCACAGACTTCTGAGTACAGTTCATGGGCAACAAAAGAACTGATAATCAATTAATAGACATTAAAAGGATGGTGCTTTGTAAGCATTACTTTGACTTCCCAGTGGGATTATACAAGATTGAAGGATCCAAAAGGCAACCAAGAGAAGTTCCCATTAATGATAAACAGCATTTCTCTTATCCCCTCCTTTGCTTCTCCAGAGGTGGCACTTCAGATTCTTGTTACCGTTTACATGTCCTTTGCATAGATGTGCTCAGAACAACATCACCCAATAGGAAAAAAAAAAACATACAACTTTGCTCGTGGTCCCAGTATGCTTCAGCTGGCTTATTCAAGCCCAAAGAGAGAGAGAGAGAGACAGACAGACAGACAGACAGAGAGTATGTGTGTGTGTGTTTCAGCACTTCCAGCCTCTCATGAAATTAACCATTGATCTAAAACTGAGAGATGCAAATCCAGAGAAAACTGGAAGCAGTCCAGGGCCCACAATATAAAGTTAATTACCTAAGGAAAACTACAAGAAAGACTTTTGTTTTCCATCAAAATCTCCTCCCCAGGCTGTTAGCTATGTCGTACATAGGCCCAATCGATATATTAGCGCTTGAGAACCAAAGTCCCTTGGAATAAATTAATCTGTCAGGGAAAGAAATAAACAAAGAACAAGTTAACATGTTTTAAGACATTGCTTAAATTTTCATAAATACAGACCTTGAGATGGGATGATGAGTTCCCAGGAGCCAAAGCTAATATTTGGTTGTAATTAAGAGTTGCTCTTTCATGTTTCTTCTGATGTAGGTGGGAAATCACCCACGTGCTTGCTGATTTCCTTGCCCATGTTCCTTCACAAATGCCACTGTTTACTTCATTAATGAGAAATAGATGCCTCACACATTATACTGGCATACTTAGCTTGTTTCACCTCTAGCTAACATTAACATAATGGAAAACTGTACACAAATATACACACTCACACATATACATACCACACACACACGTACATGTCATACAAGCAGGTATTCCTTCAGGAATCGCCATACATTTTTAGTGGCTCAAAAGGACCTAATGGCCTAATACATGATGTACTAGACCCATCCAAGATGTTCATAACTCAGACCTCTGTTGCTAACAATCCCTATGTGCCCTTCACTGTGTGCAGGTGTGGAGGGAAATTGCTGATGATTAGCAGGAAGAGAGACAACTATGTAAGTTACTTATGTGTAAGGACTCATTTAAATACAAGAACCAGAAAAAAAATCTATCTCAAACTAGCGTAGACCAAAAGACAATTTATTGGGGTCCAATGATGTCATTAGGCTGCTGTTTCTTTCTCCCTATGGTTCAATGCTGCTTATTCTCAGCAGGTGACATTATCAGTGCTGGTAAGGTGGCCACTGCCAGCCCTGAGCCTATATCCATGAAGTAGAACTCAAGATCCCGAAAGACAAAGGGCTGTTCCTCTTCCAGTGTCCATATCTCAGATCTCCTAGAGGAACTTCAGCCCTGCCTGGGTCCTGTGCCCACTCTTGAACTAATATTAATCACTCTGGGTGGGGAAAGGGGGGCCAGGCCCTGGCCATGTGTTCAAATTGATTTGGAAAGAGGCAGACTGGGGAGATCAGCCACATCCAAATGCCTGCAAAGGAAAGAGAAGACTCTCACCACAGCAGAGGGGTAGAGATGTTAGACAGGTCAAACAACCAATGCCCACCTCAAGAATTTTATTTCCAAGGCCAGGCACAGTGGCTCACGCCTGTAATCCCAGCACTTTAGGAGGCCAAGGCGGGTGGTTCACGAGGTCAGGAGATCAAGACCATCCTGGCTAACACAGTGAAACCCCATCTCTACTAAAAATACAAAAACAAAATTAGACGGGCATGGTGGCGGGCACTTGTTGTCCCAGCTACTTGGGAGGCTGAGGCAGGAGAATGGCGTGAACCCCGGAGGGTGGAGCTTGCAGTGAGCCGAGATCATGCCGCTGTACTCCAGCCTGGGTGACAGAGCAAGACTTTGTCTCAAAAAAAAAAAAAATTTTATTTCTAGTGTATTCATCATGTTCAATTGCTGAATGAGCTGATTTACAGAAGAGGCCAAGATAGAGATCCTTATGTTTACATAGCAAGTCCAAGCTCTGTTAACAAAATTGATTACCCTCTATCAGGCAGTCAAGTAATTTTCTATCAAGTTCTAAACAAAAACTCACTATAGGCCTTTAAAAGCTGACATGAGATACCTACATATGTTTCTTTTCCCAGTTATGGTAGCTTTCTCAAATGAATTTAAATAACTTCCTACTTCCCACTACATCCTGCTTGATGGAATGTATCTGTGCTAATTATCTTATTACTTACTATTACTAAAGCATACCCAGGAAAAACCAACAGAGTACAGTACTTTTTATCAGTTGAGAACTTTTAAAATGCTAATTTCTGTGATTGCATAATTTCATAACTCAGCACTCTTGAGGATTTCGCATTTGGGTAGTAGATGAAATTTGAATTGTTTATTTTGATGTGAGATGCTTGTTCTAATTATTGAGCAATTTATATATTGTGAAGCTAGTTTATATAATTCTCAATACATGGACACAGAGCTGGAAATATATTAATATTCTCCAAAGCTATACTATCATGGAAAAGAGAATAGTCTCTGAACCAAGTAGTTGCAGATCCATGAGACCAGAGGAGCCGTTGAGTCTGTTCTTTTCGGGAAGCAAGATAAGCATGGCTGGTGCTTTATTAACCTCCATGTAGGATTCAGATTTACCCCAGTGAAAGGCATGGCAAATTCATCAGGACTACAAACAAACCATGTTCTGAGATGGATGGGATTAGCAGGTCAGCCCCCTCGGCAACTGGAGGGGCACCACCTAGATCCTTATGAAGCGGAGATTTGGCAGATTAAAAACACTCTGCCTCAAAATTACTTACATAACATCCATCATGTAGAAGCAGTGTGTTTAACCCATGATTGGGGTAATGTTTTTAAGTAAATATTCTATCAACAATGATTGGGCTTTTTTGTTTGTTTGTTTTTTTAAAGGGCAAGGGCCAGAGTCATTTTGGCAAAATAGAATCCCCAAAGACCAGCCCCTGGAATAACACTTATTGCAGCAAAGCTTCACGTAAAATTTGTAAAATGGGTATGAAAAAAAATTTGCACAAAATGCGGGTGTTGAGGACAGTGGGGACAGTGGGGACAGTGGGAATTCTACAGATTGGAAATGAAATCAGGAGTAGTTCAGTGTTTTCTCCTTGAAAGTTATATTCCTGGGGATGGGAGAGGACCAGGCAGGAGAATTCAAAAGCCTCCTACTACTGCATTCAATAAAATAAAAAGAAGACAGCATGTTAAAGAGACTAGCAATAACATTTCATAAATCTTTGAAAATAGCAACCATGGGTATAGCACAATTAATTTCTATACACCATCTCTTTTTCATAGGGAACTTGTCAGTTTCTCCCTCCCTAGAGCTTCAGTGAGGAGTTTATGGCTTTATTTTGCTTTGTTACAAGTGAATAGACTGAAGCAGGGTTTTTCCTCCTGTGTGGACCTACATCCAAATGTAGGAACTTCACAGATCAATTTTTGAATCCCATTTCCTCCTTGGCCCAAAAATGCTTCTCAAAAAATAGAAAAATTATGTTGTCTGTAGTATCCTAATGGATCTCCAGGCCAGTTCTCAGGGACACTGAGTCCTATTCATAGAACAACAGTGGACTGCCTGGCCACACCTTCCCTTGATACCTGGGCATGATAGGAGAGCCTGGACTCAGCCACCCCTTCCCTAAAAATCTGCACTCCCACCAGTTAGCATAAACTAATGCATTGTCTTGTCTGTCACCTGTTCCACTCTTTGGTCCAGCTCCCATGAACCCAAACATTTCACAGGAAAGAGCATGACAGGGCAGGCCAACCCTGGTGGTGCAAGGGCCATTCCTAGTGTGTGTCTGCATTAAGGGGTTTATGTGAGGTGTCATCAGATCTTGGGAAAGGAAGCTTGGCAGCGCCAGTGCTCAGGGCCTTATGGACAGCAGGGCTAGTCATTGTGCCCTGACCTATGATTCCTTTTTTTGTGTAAATAACCTCTATCACTTTCTAACATTCTATATGCCACTCTTACTTATTACCCCTATTGTTTATTGTGTCTGCCCCTCATTAACTGCTAAACTCCATAAGGGCAGAGATCTTTGTTCACTACCACATCCCCAGTGTGTAGAACAAAGCCAGGCACAGAATAAGCACTGAATAAAATCAAATGAGCAACAAGGAACAGATTTCACCATCAGGGAGAAAAGGAGTCTGACACGCTGACCCACACGTAACAGTGGAGGCAGGAGTTAGAGGGAGTAAGGATTCTGGGTGCAACATGGCAATGGATATTTGCGCTCATTTTACCTTACCTAGCCTAGTGCAGGTATTGCATGGAGGAAGAGACCATGCTTGTGAACTAGAGAGAGGCTTTGTTAAATTCCCTAATACTTCAGGACAAGCAACCTTACTGTGCAGCTTTCTTAGCAGAGCATGACCCACGGAAGATGTCTCCTTTTTCACTTTAGAAAGACTCAAGCACTGTCTTTTTGAGGACTATAAGCTCTCACAGATTGGGTGCATCAGAAGCAATCTGTCCCTGGTAAGTGGGGAGGCCTACGCGGAGCACTGGGACCAGGGGCAACACTCAGCTTAGGGTGTGGACTGGCCATCCTGAGCAGGCGACTCTGGTAATGCGGAAAGCAGGGCCATACTCCAGTCTCTCTCACCACCCACCTGGAGCTCTGCAGGAACTTCCCAGCTACCCTCCAGCTTTCACAAACTATTCTGTGTACCAACACTAGATCATCTCTATTAATCTCACTCACTCTCAGCAATGACTTTTCAGAAGCATGAAAACAACCTCCCATCAACTTCTGGTTTGGAGTGCTGAACACAATTCAGCCTGCCAGCTCTTAGTTCCCACCCCTACCTGCAATCCAAGTTCACACTGGCACTGATGGGACTTCACAGAAGAGGTTGTTCCATTTGATATCTTAAGTCTATGTTGAACTCTGACGCACACCTCAGTCCTTCCATCCTCTACCCAGAGCATCCAAGCTCCACATTAATCCTTCCTTCTCTACTACCACACCTGAGATTCTAAGCACTACTGCTAAAAAGCATATTAATGCAGATTGATGCCACTCACAAAATCATCATCTCTAGTCCTAGCTGGGCCTATAACACTCTCCCAAGTCCGAGTCCTGTGATGGTTAATACTGAGTGTCAACTTGACTGGATTGAAGGATACAAAGTATTGATCCTGGGTATGTCTGTGAGGGTGTTGCCAAAGGAGATTATCATTTGAGTCAGTGGGCTGGGAAAGGCAGACCCACCCTTAATGTGGATGGGCACCATCTAATCAGCTGCCAGTGTGGCTAGAATATAAAGCAGGCAGAAAAATGTGAAAGGAAGAGACGAGACAAGACGAGCCTCCCAGCCCACATCTTTCACCCATGCTGGATGCTTCCTGTCCTCGAACGTGGGACTCCAAGTTCCTCAGTTTTGGGACTCAGCTGACTCTCCTTGCTCCTCAGCCTGTAGATGGCCTATTGTGGGACCTTGTGATCATGTAAGTTAATACTTAATAAACTCCTCTTAATATGTATATCCTATTAGTTCTGTCCCTCTAGAGAACCCTGATTAATACAAGTCCCGAACAAGCTCCCACTCCCATCCCCTTCTGCATTCTATTTCAAGATTTCATCCCTCTCTTCAATCCTCGTGCTCTCTCTCCCACCTCCCCTACCCCTAGGGTGTAGTAGAAGCAATGGGGCATAACAAAGGGGGCATGGACTTTGGTGCCAAATGAATCCTGGCTCAACTCTCTGCTGCTTAGTTGGATAAACCTAAGTGATTTATTTTTTTCTGCAAAATGAGGATAATAATTCTCACCTTGTAAGGTTGCTAGAGTATTAAGTGAGATAATTTATATAAGGCATCCAGAATGCCACCTGACACAAAGCACACTACTCAACACATAGTAGCTGTTATGATGGGGATCATCATTGTCTGCAGACTATCTGGATTCCTGGGCTCTCTTTGGAGTAGAGAGAGGCTGCAAGGTAGGAACTCCCTTTACTTCCTACTGGGATTTCCAAATGTTAAATCCAGCTGCACCCATCATGAGCTGACCCTGCCATTTCCACAAATAAGTTGCTCTTCCTTCTCTCACCAGCACTTACTCCTCTTTGCTGTGCTCTTAACCAGAGTTTCTCAAACTTAATGCACTCACAGATCATCTGGAACCTTAATATCAGATTCTGATTCAGTAGGTCTGGAACAGACTGAGATCCCATATTTCTGACAATCTCCCAGGTGATGTTGATGCTGCTGGTCCAAAGCCCAGCATCTATAGCATAAGGCTTTCTATCAATCACATTCTGTCCTGCTGCACCAAGGCCACAACTCCCCTCAGTCCTGACTCTCAGAGAATTCACAGGCCCTATCTCTTCTGTCTTTAGAAAGTTCCCTCCCAGCATGAGCCCTCCACCTGTTGCTCTCTTCTCCACTCTTCACAGCCTCATTCCTTGGAAGGTAACTCTTACTACTGGCCCTTCTTCACCTCCCCCTCCCTCCCTTGCTCACTAATCTAGCTTTTGCCTCCAACACAGTCTTGAAACTGATGTTATTTAATGTCACAGTTACTTTCTGTTTCTTACATTAAATGACCTCCCTGCCTCTCTGTAGCATTCACTACTGTGGAGTCCCTCCCTTTGTGTTTCGGTGTCACACTTTCCTCTGTTTTGCCCCCTGCTCTCTGATCCTGCCTTCACATGTGACTACACTTGAAAATCCCACAGGTACCTAAAACCCAACATATCTAGCTCTAGACGTATCTTCCTCCCTCACTTCACCACACATGTTTACTCAGTACCTACCATGTACCAAACCCACTTCTAGGCACTGAAGGAAAAGCTGTAAACAAAACAGGCAAAAATCCCTGGCCTCATGGAGCTGACAATGGGAAAGTCAGACAAGAAAGAAAATCACTTGTATAGAAGGTGACACCTACAAGTCAGGACGGAGGGATAGGGTGTGCTAGAGGCACAAAGCTGTCTGAGAAAAGAGCTTTCTAAAGAGGGAATGGCCAGTGCCAAGGTCCTGAAGTGAGAGCAAAGCTGGTATGTTCCAGAAACAGCAAGGAAGTCAGTGTAGACAGAGGGAAGTGAGTGAGGGGAGGAGGAGGAATGTATTCATTATCTATTGCTTCTTACAAATTACACCAAAACTTAGTGGCTTAAAACGGCAAACATTTGTTATATCACAGTTTCTGTGGGTCAGGAATCTGGACGCAGATTAGTATTGCAGGATCTGGTCAGCAGCCCACAATGCAATGGGGCTCTCTCTTTGTTCCCAGGTGTATTGGCAGGTTGAGAAATAATAGACACACACAAGATAGTGAAAGCTGGGTCCAGGGGGTTCACTGCCTTCCGGTCCCATGGTGCCAACAATGCACTGGATATACCAGCGTTTATTATTAAGTTTAGTGAGGGTGGGGGTAGGTTAGTGAGGGATTTAGGGTCATTTGATTATGAGGTGAGATGGTCACATGGGGATGAAGTAATTCTTTCACATAACATTTGTATGTAGAAGTACAGTACATTTGTATGTAGAAGTACAGTATAGAGAGATAAGAATTTACAATATAGTGTGTGTGTCAGTAATTTCTAACAGAGCCTTAAAACAGAAACACAATCTTTCCATAACCTATGATTAGCAAGATATTAATCAGCAGTAACAATTGCAACAAAAGCTGGTTACAAACAATCCATGGAAACAGGACGTGAAGCTAGACAACCGGTTAGACCAGAAATTCCCAGAAGGGAGTATGCCTTAACCCTAAAGAGGCCTAGAAGAGCTGTGGCAAGATGAGGGCGTTTATAGCCCTATCTTATCCATACGGACAGCCACCTCCCCATGCATCCGTTTATAGGCTCTCCACAAGGGTCGCATTCCATTCCTAGAGCTATGAACATCTGCCTTTCTAGGATAGGAATCTTGGTGATGTGAAACCTCCCTGACTGCACGTCCATTCATAGGCTCTCTGCAGGGGGAATCACATCACGTGCAGTTGGCTCATTCTGGCAGTCCAACCTGGCATTGTCTTTACACAATCCTGCATGCAACTTTGTATTTACAATAATCAGGAGCATTTCATCTTTTATTCCATAGCAACAGTTTCAGGGGGTCTCCTTACATCTCCCCCTTCTCTCTGATTTAAATGAACCATAGCAATCATAGCTTGGCACTGATCACAATTGGACTGAAGAATATTTTTTCCAATTTTACACATGAACAATAAACCAATAGTACAAATTATACACAGAACAAAATTAACGATAGTGGATCCTCCCAAAGATTTTACCTATTGAATGGGGTTGAGATTAGATAATCCCTCAGAGATACCGTCTAAAACTTCAGCACCGGGTAAAGCAGTTAAGTGTGCTTGAGAGGCCTCAAAAATCTGTTCTTTTAGTTTGCTTATGTCTAAAGCTTTAAATTATCTTCACTTCCTTGTAAATGGCATTTTACTGATTCCCAATTGTGAACAGACTCATTATATTGAAATGGAGTTATACAAAAATCAGAAGTATTCCAATCACATTGCATTTGTAATCTATGTTCTAAACTCATAATTCTACCTCCCATCCATATAACAGTTTGTCTTAGATCATTAATTTGATTAGCCAATTTTTGATCAATACCTGAGAATTCCACATCCGAGTAGAATTTTTTTGCCATTTATCCACAAAATGAACAGTTTGAATAGATGGACGTAATGCAACTCCAGCAGTAGCAGCAATCACAGTAACAGCAATCAAGCCCATTATTATTGCAATTAATGTAAAAATAAATTGTTTACTCCTTTTAAGAATTTTCTATAGAATATTGTTAATAACATGGATAAAGGGGGAAGATTCCCAAGGCCTATGTAAGGCTACAGGGAGCCAAATATCTTGTCTGGCTCTGACTATTAAAATACTATGATATTGATTAAAGGATGAGTCAATACAAGTATACAAGTAACAATTAACACAGGTAATTATGTTGGTTTTTGAACTAATATGCAACTTTCCTGCTAATAACATATATGGTGGTTTAACACAACTTTTAAGTGGTATAGTTTTGTTGGACTCCATATAGAGAGTATATACATTTTGAGGTGACAAAGTGGATTTACTTATAACACTTTCTCCAGCCCAAACTCTCATACCAGTCATAGCTATTGTTAATCTCCATAATTTGGAATGTTCAGGTCCTATGTGGGGAACAATGAGCCTTGGCTTTGGAGGCGCAACCCCTGCCCCTTTCCACTTAAGAGGAAAAAAGGAGTTAAATCTACGATATAATAGGGGAGGGCTGTCACTACGTTTTTGATAAGTAATATTATAGAGAAAATGTTGACAATCTCTGTGACCTTGAGAGCAATCATTAGTAATATGACCTTTAGGAGCCCAATCAACAATGGTGTAGTGAGAAGAATTAAATAACACGGTTCCTTCTGAGCTAACACAGTCTTTCCATATTAATTTTGTCAGCATTTGAAGACAAGTTGAGAGGACACACAGGTCTAAAGGCTTATATTGGGATGTGTGAATATAATCAGTGATTACTGTTTTGATCTGCCTTAGAGGTTTTAATGAGAGCCCTGATATCAAGTGTCCTAAAGGAGGGACAGAGTGACCAGACGGTAGTGTGACAGCCCAAGTTTGAATATCTAATGAGAGACATACATTAGTGGGTCCCAGGCAGAAAGGTGGATACCTAAAACCTAAAGTGATATTGAAAGGGGTTCCTTCTTCTGAAGGTTGTGCAGGACAACGATCATCTAGAGAACCAGGCATCCAAATACTATCATTAACATAGACCTCGATAGGAGCATCCATCCATGTCACGGCTCGAATAAGAGGAGGAAAAGGAATATAGGCCCAATATGTATAGTTTTTAACAGTCTGTGGCGTAACAGAGGTAGAAGGATCAGTGTCATCAGGAGGAGGCAGAGGTTGAGCCAGACCTGGATCGCTGGAGACAAGTTGTTCAGGATGGCTGTCTGGATTGTCTGTTGTAAAGGAGTTAGCGTGGTCTTTTCTTCTTTTTGATGATTGGATGTGTTAGTTGTTTCCTGCTGTGGTGCTTTTTCAGCAAATTTCTCTGTCTCGTTGTTGCATGCATCTTCAGGATCTGGTCAGCAGCCCACAATGCAATGGGGCTCTCTCTTTGTTCCCAGGCAGATCAGCAGGTTGGGAAATAATAGACACACACAAGATAGTGAAAGCTGGGTCCAGGGGGGTCACCGCCTTCTGGTCCCATGGTGCCAACAATGCTCTGGATATACCAGCGTTTATTATTAAGTTAAGTGAGGGTGGGGGTTGGTTAGTGAGGGATTTAGGGTCATTTGATTATGAGGTGAGATGGTCACATGGGGATGAAGTAATTAACATAACATTTGTATGTAGAAGTACAGTACATTTGTATGTAGAAGTACAGTACATTTGTATGTAGAAGTACAGCATAGAGAGATAAGAATTTACAATATAGTGTGTGCGTCAGTAATTTCTAACAGAGCCTTAAAACAGAAGCACAATCTTTCCATAACCTATGATTAGCAAGATATTAATCAGCAGTAACAATTGCAACAAAAGCTGGTTACAAACAATCCACGGAAACAGGATGTGAAGCTAGACAACCAGTTAGACCAGAAATTCTCAGAAGGGAGTATGCCTTAACCCTAAAGAGGCCTAGAAGAGCTGTGGCAAGATGAGGGCGTTTCTAGCCCTATCTTATCCATATGGACAGGCGCCCCACCCCCATGCATCCGTTTATAGGCTCTCCACAAGGGTCGCATTCCATTCCTAGAGCTATGAACATCTGCCTTTCTAGGATAGGAATCTTGGTGATGTGAAACCTCCCTGACTGCACGTCCATTCATAGGCTCTCTGCAGGGGGAATCACATCACGTGCAGTTGGCTCATTCTGGCAGTCCAACCTGGCATTGTCTTTACACAATCCTGCATGCAACTTTGTATTTACAATAATCAGGAGCATTTCATCTTTTATTCCGTAGCAATAGTTTCAGGGGGTCTCCCTGCAGCTTAGCTGGGTGCTTGTGGCTCAAGGTCTGTTGTGAGGTTACAGTGAAGCTGTTGGCCAGAGCTGCAGTCTCATGTGAAGTCTCAGTTTGGGGACGAGGGTTGGGGATCCACTTCCAAGCTCACTCCCAACCACGTCTCTCACCACATGGGACTCTTTACAGGACTGCGTTACCATGTGGCAGCTGTCTTCCCCTGGAGAGAGTGAGAGAAAGCACACAAGATAGAAACCACAGTCTTTTTCAAACCTCATCTCTAAAGTGATGGCCCATCACTGCTGCCATATTCTTTTTTTTTTTTTTTTTTTTTTTTTTTGAGACAGAGTCTCGTTCTGTTGCCCAAGCTAGAGTGCGGTGGGGTGATCTCAGCTCACTGCAACCTCTGCCTCCCAGGTTCAAGCAATTCTCCTGCCTCAGCCTCCTGAGTAGCTGGGATTACAGGCATGCGCCACCATGCCTGGCTAATTTTTGTATTTTTAGTAGAGACAGGGTTTCACCATGTTGGCCAGGCTGGCTTGCTGCCATATTCTGTTTATTAGAAGCAAGTCACTAAGCCCAAAGAGAGGTAATTAAACAGAATGTGAATACCAAGAAGTGGGGATCATTAAAGGACCACCTTAGAGGCTGTCCACCATAATATGAGGTAAGGCTTATAAGGACTTTGGCTTTTACTCCAAGTGAGATGATAAATCTTTGGAGGGTTTCAAACAAACAAACAACATGATTTCTTTGCTTTTTCCAAACCAAAAAAAAAACACTTCTTCCTTAAGAATTTCATACAAATACCTCAGTCTAACATTCCAGGCAAAACTCCACTTTGCTTTTACAGACTGTACTTCCATGACACATAACAGGCTGAGGCCAATTAATAAGAGTTTACTGTACTGGTTAAGAGTTCAATTCTAGAGACAGAGTGCCTGAGCTGGAATGTCAGCTCCTCTTCCATTTATTAACTATATTAGGCAAGTCATCAAATCTCTCTGCCTCTTTCTCTATAGATAGTGACAATAATTGTACTTTTGTCAAGAACTGCAAAGGGTCTGAGATTTTACCCTGCTTGTAGGCTAACAAGTTAGCCTGCCCCATCTTCACAGAAACTAGCAGAAGGCATGAGATTCCCATGTCAGAGACAAAAGACTTGATTATTCACAAGACAGTAGGCAGCATGAGCTTCATGTTCCCATTGGTTACCCTTGTCCCCAAATCCCATGGGGTAGATGGAAAATGGCCCGGGTAGATCTGTGCACACAGTGGATTTGTGTCACTGTTGAAGAACCCTGAGCTTAGGAACCTTTCAGTCTCGTAACAGGCTGCAGCAAGGCTGCCCACCCTTTGGCCTAGAGGGAGACATTTTCTTTATTATCCTAGTCAGGAAGCGACTCTGTCCTCTGCATTGGAGAAAGACATGATCTCTAGCCTCTCAGGGTGTTTGCCATACAAATTTTTTTTTCTTTTTTTTAGTTGGAGTCTTGCTCTGTCACCCAGGTTAGAGTGCAGTGGCGGGATCTCGGCTCACTGCAGCCTCCGCCTCCCGGGTTCAAGCGCTTCTCCTGCCTCAGCCTCCCGAGTAGCTGGGATTACAGGCACCCGCCACTGTGCCTGGCTAATTTTTGTATTTTTAGCAGAGACAGGGTTTCACCATCTCGGCCAGGCTGGTCTCGAACTCCTGACCTCAAGCAATCCACCCGCCTCGGCCTCCCAAAGTGCTGGGATTACATGCATGAGCCACCGCACCCGGCCAACCATAGAAATATTTTTGAAAAGATAGTCCAGGACAACAGTTGTCACATATGTATAGAAACACTTGGAGAACTGCTCCCCAGGAGGTTACTTCATAGGTTTATTTTATGTTTTATTCAATGAGTTAGTTCATATGGAGTATCTGGTACATAGTAAGGGCTCAATAAATTATTATGACACCCTTCTAATATAACACCTTTCTTCAGGCAAGTTACAAGATGCTCTTCCTTCCCACCTTTCACACATATTTTAAGCTCCATATTAAATACTACAACTTATATGAAGCCTTTTCTTACTACCAACTGGAAATGTTTTTTTGTTTTTTTGTTTTTTTGTTTTTGAGACAGAGTCTCACTCTGTGCCCAGGCTGGAGTGCAGTGGTGTGATCTTGGCTCAGTGCAACCTCCGCCTCCCAGGTTCAAGTGATTCTTCTGCCTCAGCCTCCCGGGTAGTTGGGACTACAGATGTGCACCACCAGGCCCAGCTAATTTTTTTGTATTTTTAGTAGAGATGTTATTTCGTCATGTTGGTCAGGCCGGTCTCAAACTCCTGACCTCAAATGATCCACCCGCCTCGGCCTCCCAAAGTACTGGGGCCACCGTGAGCCACCAGGCATTAGCCACCATGCCCGGCTAGAAATGACCTTTATAATCTGAATTGTGTACCTGTTTTGGAGCACATGTCACATTCTGCCATGTATTACCATGTACCTGTTTTTCCCACCTGTCCCCTAGATTTTAAACCCTTTGAATGTAGGAGCTGATCTTACCCTTGTATTTGCTTTGCATACAACTGACCCTCAGGAAGTAATCTTGCAACTTGGCAGTTGTTCTCAACCTTCATTTCAAAAGCCAAAAGCCAACTATTTCTACCTTTAAATCGGCTCCACCCTTCTAAATACTGAGAATCTAAATCTTACATCCTTTACTTATATAGTTCTAAAAAGAAAAATGCTCAAGTTTCAACTTTCATGTAAGAAAGCCTGAACTACTTAATGTTCAGAAAATCAGTAATTTCCAATGTTGCAGTGTGGCTAATTGTTAAGGTTCCTAACCCTAGCCTACTGTACAGTTTTGAAGCTAGAAATTGTGCCTTAATCCTTTCACAATGTGAGGATATATTAAAATATCCTCAATTAGTGCTTATTTGAATTAGAAATGAATCAAAATGATTTTCTGTCCTGAGAAGAGCAACTTTTAAATATCATATAAAGTGATACATGCTTGCTTAAAAAACAAGTAAAAACTTAAAACAATACAAAAGGAATACAGTGAAAACTACCTTCCTCCCACAAGCCTTACCCCAAGTCCCTGTTAACAGTTTCTTATGCCATTAATATGCAAGGAAATAAATATGCACATTCTTACATTCTTTTATAATATACATTTTTTTTTATTATTATACTTTAAGTTCTAGGGTACATGTGCACAACGTGCAGGTTTGTTACATATGTATACATGTGCCATGTTGGTTTGCTGCACCCATTAACTCATCATTTACATTAGGTATATCTCCTAATGCTATCCCTCACCCCTCCCCCCACCCCACAACAGGCCCCGGTGTGTGATGTTCCCCTTCCTGTGTCCTGGTGTTCTCATTGTTCAATTCCCACCTATGAGTGAGAACATGCGGTGTTTGGTTTTTTGTCCTTGTGAGGGTTTGCTCAGAATGATGGTTTCCAGCTTCATCCATGTCCCTACAAAGGACAGGAACTCATCATTTTTTATGGCTGCATAGTATTCCATGGTGTATATATGCCACATTTTCTTAATCCAGTCTATCATTGTTGGACATTTGGGTTGGTCCCAAGTCTTTACTATTGTGAGTAGTGCCGCAGTAAACATACGTGTGCATGTGTCTTTATAGCAGTATGATTTATATTCCTTTGGGTATATACCCAGTAATGGGATAGCTGGGTCAAATGGTATTTCTAGTTCTAGATCCCTGAGGAATCGCCACACTGTCTTCCACAATGGTTGAACTAGTGTACAGTCCCACCAACAGTGTAAAACTGTTCCTATTTCTCCACATCCTCTCCAGCACCTGTTGTTTCCTGACTTTTTAATGATTGCCATTCTAACTGGTGTGAGATGGTATCTCACTGTGGTTTTGATTTGCATTTCTCTGATGGCCAGTGATGATGAGCATTTTTTCATATGTTTGTTGGCTGCATAAATGTCTTCTTTTGAAAAGTGTCTGTTCATATACTTTGCACATTTTTTGATGGGGTTGTTTGATTTTTTCTTGTAAATTTGTTTGAGTTCTTTGTCGATTCTGGATTTTAGCCCTTTGTCAGATGGGTAGACTGCAAAAATTTTCTCCTATTCTGTAGGTTGCCTGTTCACTCTGATGGTAGTTTCTTTTGCTGTGCAGAAGCTCTTTAGTTTAATTAGATCCCATTTGTCAATTTTGGCTTTTGTTGCCATTGCTTTTGGTGTTTTAGACATGAAGTCTTTGCCCATGCCTCTATCCTGAATGGTATTGCCTAGGTTTTCTTCTAGAGTTTTTATGGTTTTAGGTCTAACATTTAAGTTTTTAATCCATCTTGAATTAATTTTTGTATAATGTGTAACAAAGGGATCCAGTTTCATCTTTCTACATATGGCTAGCCAGTTTTCCCAGCACCATTTGTTAAATAGGGAATCCTTTTCCCATTTCTTGTTTTTGTCAGGTTTGTCAAAGATCAGGTAGTGTAGATGTGTGGTATTATTTCTGAGGCCTCTGTTCTGTTCCATTGGTCTATATTTCTGTTTTGGTACCAGTACCATGCTATTTTGGTTACTGTAGCCTCGTAGTATAGTTTGAAGTCAGGTAGTGTGATGCCTCCAGCTTTGTTCTTTTGGCTTCAGATTGACTTGGCAATGTGGGCTCTTTTTTGGTTCCATATGAACTTTAAAGTAGTTTTTTCCAATTCTGTGAAGAAAGTCATTGGTAGCTTGATGGGGATGGCATTGCATCTATAAATTACCTAGGGCAGTATGGTCATTTTCACAATATTGATTCTTCCTATCCATGAGCATGGAATGTTCTTCCATTTGTTTGTGTCCTCTTTTATTTCGTAGAGCAGTGGTTTGTAGTTCTCCTTGAAGAGATCCTTCACATCCCTTTTAAGTTGCATTCCGAGGCATTTTATTCTCTTTGTAGGAATTGTGAATGGGAGTTCACTCATGATTTGTCTGTCTGTTATTGGTGTATAAGACTGCTTGTGATTTTTGCACGTTGATTTTGTATCCTGAGACTTTGCTGAGGTTGCTTATCAGCATAAGGAGATTTTGGGCTGAGACGATGGGACTTTCTAGATATACAATCATGTCATCTGCAAACAGGGACGATTTGACTTCCTCTTTTCCTAATTGAGTACCCTTTCTTTCTTTCTCCTGCCTGATTGCCCTGGCCAGAACTTCCAACACTATGTTGGATAGGAGTGGTGAGAGAGGGCATCCTTGTCTTGTGCCAGCTTTCAGAGGGAATGCTTCCAGTTTTTGCCCATTCAGTATGATATTGGCTGTGGGTTTGTCATAAATAGCTCTTATTATTTTGATATACATCTCATCAATACCTAATTTATTGAGAGTTTTTAGCATAAAAGGCTGTTGAATTTTGTCAAAGGCCTTTTCTGCATCTATTGAGATAATCATGTGGTTTTTCTCTTTGGTTCTGTTTATATGATGGATTAAGTTTATTGATTTTCATATGTTGAACCAGCCTTGCATCCCAGGAATGAAGCCCACTTGATCATGGTGGATAAGCTTTTTGATGTGCTGCTGGATTCGGTTTGCCAGTATTTTATTGAGGATTTTTGCATCGATGTTCATCAGGGATATTGGTCTAAAATTCTCTTGTTTTGTTGTGTCTCTGCCAGGCTTTGGTATCAGGATGATGCTGGCCTCATAAAATGAATTAGGGAGGATTTCGTCTTTTTCCATTGATTGGAATAGTTTCAGAAGGAATGGTACCAGCTCCTCCTTGTACCTCTGGTAGAATTTGGCTGTGAATCCGTCTGGTCCTGGACTTTTTTTGGTTGGTAAGCAGTTAATTATTGCCTCAATTTCAGAGCCTGTTATTGGTCTATTCAGAGATTCAGCTTCTTCCTGGTTTAGTCTTGGGAGGGTATATGTGTGGAGGTATTTATCCATTTCTTCTAGATTTTCTAGTTTATTTGCATAGAGGTGTTTATAGTATTCTCTGATGGTAGTTTGTATTTCTGTGGGATCCGTGGTGATATGCCCTTTATCACATCTATTTGATTCTTCTCTCTTTTCTTCATTAGTCTTGCTAGCAGTCTATCAATTTTGTTGATCTTTTCAAAAAACCAGCTCCTGGATTCATTGATTTTTCAAAGGGTTTTTTGTGTCTCTATCTCCCTCATTTCTGCTCTGATCTTAGTTATTTCTTGCTTTCTGCTAGCTTTTGAATGTGTTTGCTCTTGCCTCGCTAGTTCTTTTAATTGTGATGTTAGGGTGTCAATTTTAGATCTTTCCTGCTTTCTCTTGTGGGCATTTAGTGCTATAAGTTTCCCTCTACACACTGCTTTAAATGTGTCCCAGAGATTCTGGTATGTTGTGTCTTTGTTCTCATTGGTTTCAAAGAACATCTTTATTTCTGCCTTCATTTCGTTATGTACCCAGTAGTCATTCAGGAGCAGGTTGTTCAGTTCCCACGTAGTTGAGCGGTTTTGAGTGAGTTTCTTAATCCTGAGTTCTAGTTTGATTGCACTGTGGTCTGAGAGACAGTTTGTTATAATTTCTGTTCTTTTACCTCTGCTGAGGAGTGCTTTACTTCCAACTATGTGGTCAATTTTGGAATAGGTTTGGTGTGGTGCTGAGAAGAATGTATATTCTGTTGATTTGGGGTGGAAAGTTCTGTAGATGTCTATTATGTCTGCTTGGAGCAGAGCTAAATTCATTTCCTGGATATCCTTGTTAACTTTCTGTCTCGTTGATCTGTTTAATGTTGACCGTGGGGTGTTGAAGTCTCCCATTATTATTGTGTGGGAGTCTAAGTCTCTTTGTAGGTCTCTAAGGACTTGCTTTATGAATCTGGGTGCTCCTGTACTGGGTGCATATATATTTAGGATAGTTAGCTCTTCTTGTTGAATTGATCCCTTTACGATTATGTAATGGCCTTCTTTATCTCTTTTGATCTTTGTTGGTTTAAAGTCTGTTTTATCAGAGACTAGGATTGCAACCCCTGCCTTTTGTTTTCCATTTGCTCGGTAGATCTGTCTCCATCCCTTTATTTTGAGCCTATGTGTGTCTCTGCACGTGAGATGGGTTTCCTGAATACAGCACACTGATGGGTCTTGACTTTTCATCCAATTTGCCAGTCTGTGTCAATTGGAGCATTTAGCCCATTTACATTTAAGGTTAATATTGTTATGTGTGAATTTGATCCTGTCATTATGATGTTAGCTGGCTATTTTGCTCATTAGTTGATGCAGTTTCTTCCGAGGATAGATGGTCTTTACAATTTGGCAAGTTTTTGCAGTGGCTGGTACCAGTTGTTCCTTTCCATGTTTAGTGCATCCTTCAGGAGCTCTTGTAGGGCAGGCCTGGTGGTGACAGAATCTCTCAGCATTTGCTTGTCTGTAAAGGATTTTATTTCTCCTTCACTTATGAAGCTTAGTTTGGCTGGATATGAAATTCTGGGTTGAAAATTCATTTCTTTAGGAATGTTGAATATGGGCCCCCACTCTCTTCTGGCTTGTAGAGTTTCTGCTGAGAGATCCACTGTTAGTCTGATGGGCTTCCCTTTGTGGGTAACCCGACCTTTCTCTCTGGCTGCCCTTAACATTTTTTCCTTCATTTCAACTTTGGTGTATCTGACAATTATGTGTCTTGGAGTTGCTCTTCTCCAGGAGTATCTATCTTTGTGGTGTTCTCTGTATTTCCTGAATTTGAATGTTGGCCTGCCTTGCTAGGTTGGGGAAGTTCTCCTGGGTAATATCCTGAAGAGGGTTTTCCAGCTTGGTTCCATTCTCCCCATCACTTCAGGTACACCAATCAGATGTAGATTTGGTCTTTTCACATAGTCCCCTATTTCTTGGAGGCTTTGTTCGTTTCTTTTTATTCTTTTTTCTCTAAACTTCTCTTCTCACTTCATTTCATTCATTTGATCTTCCATCATTGATACCCTTTCTTCCAGTTGATAGAATCGGCTACTGAAGCTTGTGCATTCATCACGTAGTTCTCTTGCCATGGTTTTCAGCTCCATCAGGTCCTTTAAGGACTTCTCTGCATTGGTTATTCTAGTTAGCCATTCATCTAATCTTTTTTCAAGGTTTTTAACTTCTTTGCGATGGGTTCGAACTTCCTCCTTTAGCTCGGAGAAGTTTGGTCATCTGAAGCCTTCTTCTCTCAATTCGTCAAAGTCATTCTCCGTCCAGCTTTGTTCTGTTGCTGGTGAGGAGCTGTGTTCCTTTGGAAGAGGAGAGGCGCTCTGATTTTTAGAATTTTCTGTTTTTCTGTTCTGTTTTTTCCCCATCTTTGTGGTTTATCTACCTTTGGTCTTTGATGATGGTGACCTACAGATGGGGTTTTGGTGTGGATGTCCTTTCTGTTTGTTAGTTTTCCTTCTAACAGTCAGGACCTTCAGCTGCAGGTCTGTTGGAGTTTGTTGGAGGTCCACTCCAGACCCTGTTTGCCTGGGTATCACCAGCGGAGGGTGTAGATCAGCGAATATTGCTGAACAGCAAATATTGCTGTCTGATCGTTTTTCTGGAGGTTTCGTCTCAGAGGGGTACCTCGCCATGTGACATGTCAGTCTGCCCCTACTGGGGGGTGCCTCCCAGTTAGGCTACTCGGGGGTCAGGGACCCACTTGAGGCAGTCTGTCTGTTCTCAGATCTCAAACTCTGTGCTGGGAGAACCACTACTCTCTTCAAAGCTGTCAGACAGGGACATTTAAGTCTTCAGAGGTTTCTGCTGCCTTTTGTTTGGCTATGACCTGCCTCCAGAGATGGAGTCTACAGAGGCAGGCAGGCCTCCTTGAGCTGCATTGGGCTCCACCCAGTTCGAGCTTCCTGGCTGCTTTGTTTACCTACTCAAGCCTCAGCAGTGGCAGGCGCCCCACCCCCAGCCTCACTGCTGCCTTGCAGTTCGATCTCAGACTGCTGTGCTAGCAATGAGCGAGGCTCCGTGGGCATGGGACCCTCTGAGCCAGGCGCAGGATATAATCTCCTGGTGTGCTGTTTGCTAAGACCGTTGGAAAAGCACAGTATTAGGGTGGGAGTGACCCGATTTTCCAGGTGCCATCTGTCACAGCTTTGCTTGGCTGTGAAAGGGAATTCCCTGACCCCTTGTGCTTCCTGGATGAGGCAATGCCTTGCCCTGCTTTGGCTCACGCTCAGTGCGCTGCACCCACCGTCCGACAAGCCCCTGTGAGATGAACCCGGTACCTCAGTTGGAAATGCAGAAATCACCCGTCTTCTGCATCGTTCACGCTGGGAGCTGTAGACTGGAGCTGTGCCTATTCGGCCATCTTGGAACTGTCCTCTTATATTCTTATAAATCAAACTCTGATATTACAAAACCTACAGCCACTGAAGGCATCAAAGCCCCCCTAGAAGTTCACTTTACCAACAATGGTCCATACAGCATCTTTTGTGAAGCTTTAGTATAGGATTGGATAGTAGGCTTCAAGTTTGGATATTTTTACCAAACAATTTTTTTTAAAAGAATCTTCCCATAGTCTTTCCCAGGAACCCTATAACTCTGATCAGGTCTGGGTTTTCATGACTCAAGTGTCATGTTTATGTAGGCACACTTACATCCTATGAAAACCAAAAGTCTCCATGAGAACAGTGAGAAAAGTCAAAATCAGAGTGAGCCCAACCGAAGAACGTTAAGGACAGGATTCATCCATACCCACAGTGTTCTGTCTCTGGGACTTGCTTGTCTGTTTTTAAACAAACTCTGTTCTGTGTAATTGGACCTCCGATTAATACACTGTCTCAGACAGGCTGGCCAGTATGGGCATAAACTGTCAAAAGTTTAGGATTGGATGATTTAAAATGATCCAGATTCAATCCCCAGAATCTTGCATTTCTGCTGGACTTCTGCTGGACTGCCAGCCACCCTGATTACCCCTCCAAATGATGCCCACTTCCTGGATTAGCAGCCAGTATCACCTGACTCACCCTCTGGTGAGGCTGTATCTGAGGCTACAGAGTCTTAGATCTTCCCTGTTATTTTTCCCCCATCCCAAGCATCTATAAACTGGCCAGAAGCTTCATGAGGGTGATTTTAGCAGAGGGTAAAATTATCATAAAAGTACCATCACCATCTAAAAACAAATATACCCTGAATCCTTTTTCTTGTAATACCTTTTTTATATCAGAACTAAGGGTATACTGAAGACTAATGTTAAAAGCCACACAACGGGCTGGGTGCGGTGGCTCACACCTGTAATCCTAACACTTTGGGAGGCCAAGGCAGGTGGATTGCCTGAGCTTAGGAGTTCAAGACCAGCCTGGGCAACATGGTGAAACTCCATCTCTACTAAAATACAAAAAATTAGCTGGGCATGGTGGCACATGCCTATAATCCCAGCTACTCACGAGGCTGAGACAGGAGAATCACTTGAACCTTGGAGGCAGACATTGCAGTTAGCCAAGATTGTGCCACTGCACTCCAGCCTGCGCAACAGAGCGAGACTCTATCTAAAAACAAACAAACAAAACCCACACAATAATGAACTAGAATGTAATTCCTCTAATGAACTCAGCTATAATATTAATGATCTGATTTCCATTCCAAGACGGCCAAATAGGAACAGCTCCATTCTACACCTCCCAGCATGATCAACACAGAAGATGGGTGATTTCTGCATTTCCAGCTGAGGTACCTGCTTCATCTCATTGAGACTGGTCAGAAAGTGGGTGCAGCCCATGGAGGGCGAGCTGAAGCAGGGCGGGGCATTGCCTCACCTGAGAAGCACAAGGGATCGGGGGATTTCCCTTTCCTAGCCAAGGGAAACCGTGACAGACTGTACCAGGAAAATCGGGACACTCCACCTAAACGTGGCACTTTTCTGAAGGTCTTAGCATGCAGCACACCAGGAGATTATATCCTGCACTTGGCGCAGTGGGTCCCACCCCCATGGATCCTTGCTCATTGCTAGTCCGAGATCAAATTGCAAGGCGGCAAGCCTGGCTGGTGGAGGGGTGTCCACCATTGCTGAGGCTTGAGTAGGTAAACAAAGCTGCCAGGAAGCTCGAACTGAGTGGGGCCCACCGCAGCTCAACGAGGCCTGCCTGCCTCTGTAGACTCCACCTCTGGAGGCAGGGCATAGCTAAACAAAAGGCACAGAAATTTCTGCAGATTTAAACGTCCCTGTGTGACAGCTCTGAAGAGAGCAGTGGTTCTCCCAGCACAGTGTTTGAGCTCTGAGAACAGATAGCCTGCCTCCTCAAGTGGGTCCCTGACCCCCGTGTAGCCTAACTAGGAGACACCTCCCAGTAGAGGCCGACTGACACCTCATACAGCTGGGTGCCCCTCTGAGACGAAGCTTCAGAGGAAGGATCAGGCAGCAACATTTGCTGTTCTGCAGCCTCCGCTGCTTATACCCAGGCAAACAGGGTCTGGAGTGGACCTCCAACAAACTCCAACAGACCTGCAACTGAGGGACCTGACTGTTAGAAGGAAAACTAACAAACACAAAGGAGTAGCATCAATATCAACAAAAAGGACATCCACACCAAAACCCCATCTGTAGGTCACCATCATCAAAGACCAAAGGTAGATAAAACCACAAAGATGGGAAGATACCAGAGTAGAAAAGCTGAAAATTCTAAAAACCAGAGTGCCCCTTCTCCTCCAAAGGAACGCAGCTCCTTGCCAGCAACAGAACAAAGCTGGACGGAGAATGACTTTGACGAGTTGAGAGAAGAAGGCTTCAGATGACCAAACTTCTCCGAGCTAAAGGAGGAAGTTCGAACCCATCGCAAAGAAGTTAAAAACCTTGAAAAAAGATTAGATGAATGGCTAACTAGAATAACCAATGCAGAGAAGTCCTTAAAGGACCTGATGGAGCTGAAAACCATGGCAAGAGAACTACGTGATGAATGCACAAGCTTCAGTAGCCGACTCTATCAACTGGAAGAAAGGGTATCAATGATGGAAGATCAAATGAATGAAATGAAGTGAGAAGAGAAGTTTAGAGAAAAAAGAATAAAAAGAAATGAACAAAGCCTCCAAGAAATAGGGGACTATGTGAAAAGACCAAATCTACATCTGATTGGTGTACCTGAAAGTGATGGGGAGAATGGAACCAAGCTGGAAAACCCTCTTCAGGATATTACCCAGGAGAACTTCCCCAACCTAGCAAGGCAGGCCAACATTCAAATTCAGGAAATACAGAGAACACCACAAAGATAGATACTCCTGGAGAAGAGCAACTCCAAGACACATAATTGTCAGATACACCAAAGTTGAAATGAAGGAAAAAATGTTAAGGGCAGCCAGAGAGAAAGGTCGGGTTACCCACAAAGGGAAGCCCATCAGACTAACAGTGGATCTCTCAGCAGAAACTCTACAAGCCAGAAGAGAGTGGGGGCCAATATTCAACATTCAATGTGCAGAGACACACACAGGCTCAAAATAAAGGGATGGAGGAAGATCTACCAAGCAAACGGAAAACAAAAAAAGGCAGGGGTTGCAATGCTACTCTCTGATAAAACAGAGTTTAAACCAACAAAGATCAAAAGAGACAAGGAAAACCATTACATAACGGTAAAGAGATGATTCCAACAAGAAGAGCTAACTATCCTAAATATATACAGGAGCACCCAGATTCATAAAGCAAGTCTGAGAGACCCACAAGGAGACTTAGACTCCCACACAATAATAGTGGGAGACTTTAACACCCCACTGTCAATATTAGATCAACGAGACAGAAGATTAACACGGATATCCAGGACTTGAACTCAGCTCTGCACCAAGCAGACCTAATAGACATCTACAGAACTCTCCACCCCAAATCAACAGAATATACATTCTTTTCAGCACCACATCGCACTTGTTCCAAAATTGACCACATAGTTGGAAGTAAAGCACTCCTCAGCAAATGTAAAACAACAGAAATCATAACAAACTGTCTCTCAGACCACAGTCAAATTAGAACTCAGGATTAAGAAACTCACTCAAAACCGCTCAACTACATGGAAACTGAACAACCTGCTCCTGAATGACTACTGGGTACATAACGAAATGAAGGCAGAAATAAAGATGTTCTTTGAAACCAACGAGAACAAAGACACAACATACCAGAATCTCTGGGACACATTTAAAGCAGTGTGTAGAGGGAAACTTACTTATAGCACTAAATGCCCACAAGAGAAAGCAGGAAAGATCTAAAATTGACACCCTAACATCACAATTAAAAGAACTAGAGAGGCAAGAGCAAACACATTCAAAAGCTAGCGGAAGCCAAGAAATAACTAAGATCAGAGGAGAACTGAAAGAGATAGAGACACAAAAAACCCTTCAAAAAAACCAACGAATCCAGGAGCTGGTTTTTTGAAAAGATCAATAAGATTGATAGACTGCTAGCAAGACTAATAAAGAAGAAAAGAGAGAAGAATCAAATAGACATAATAAAAAATGATAAACGGCATATCACCACTGATCCCACAGAAATACAAACTACCATCAGAGAATACTATAAACACCTCTATGCAAATAAACTAGAAAATCTAGAAGAAATGGATAAATTCCTCGACACTTATACCCTCCAAAGACAGCTGAATTGCTGAATAGACCAATAACAGGCTCTGAAATTGAGGCAATAACTAACAGCCTACCAACCAAAAAAAGTCCAGGGTCAGACAGATTCACAGCCGAATTCTACCAGAGGTACAAGGAGGAGCTGGTACCATTCCTTTTGAAACTATTCCAATCAATAGAAAAAGAGGGAATCCTCCCTAACTCATTTTATGAGGCCAGCATCATCCTGATACCAAAGCCTGGCAGAGACACAACAAAACAAGAGAATTTTAGACCAATATCCCTGACGAACATCGATGCAGAAATCCTCAATAAAATACTGGCAAACCAAATCCAGCAGCACATCAAAAAGCTTATCCACCAAAATCAATTTGGATTCATCCCTGGATGCAAGGCTGGTTCAACATACGCAAATCAATAAACTTAATCCATCATATAAACAGAACCAAAGAAGAAAACCACATGATTATCTCAACAGATGCAGAAAAGGCCTTGGATATAATTCAACAGCGCTTCATGCTAAAAACTCTCAATAAACTAGGTATTCAAGGAACATATCTCAAAATAGTAAGAGCTATTTATGATAAACCCACAGCCAGTATCATACTGAATGGGCAAAAACTGGAAGCATTCCCTTTGAAAACTGGCACAAGACAGGGATGCCCTCTCTCACCACTCCTATCCAACATAGTGTTGGAAGTTCTGGCCAGGGCAATCAGGCAAGAGAAAGAAAGAAACGGTATTCAGTTAGGAAAAAAGGAAGTCAAATTGTCCCTGTTTGCAGATGATTGTATATTTAGAAAACCCCATTGTCTCAGCCCAAAATCTCCTTAAGCTAATAAGGAACTTCAGCAAAGTCTCAGGATACAAAATCAATGTGCAAAAATCACAGGCATTCTTATACACCAGTAACAGACAAACAGAGAGCCAAATCATGAGTGAACTCCCATTCACAATTCCTACAAAGAGAATAAAATACCTCGGAATGCAACTTACAAGGGTTGTGAAGGACCTCTTCAAGGAGAACTACAAACCACTGATCAACGAAATAAAAGAGGACACAAACAAATGGAAGAACATTCCATGCTCATGGATAGGAAGAATCAATATTGTGAAAATGGCCATACTGCCCTAGGTAATTTATAGATGCAATGCCATCCCCATCAAGCTACCAATGACTTTCTTCACAGAATTGGAAAAAAACTACTTTAAAGTTCATATGGAAACAAAAAAGAGCCCACATTGCCAAGACAATCCTAAGCCAAAAAAACAAAGCTGGAAGAATCACGCTACCGGACTTCAAACAATACTACAAGGCTACAGTAACCAAAACAGCATGGTACTGGTACCAAAACAGAGATATAGACCAATGGAACAGAACAGAGGCCTCAGAAATAACACCACACATCTACAACCATCTGATCTTTGATAAACCTAACAAAAAACAAGCAATGGGGAAAGGATTCCCTATTTAATAAATGGTGCTGGGAAAACTGGCTAGCCATATGTAGAAAGCGGAAACTGGATCCCTTCCTTACACCTTATACAAAAATTAATTCAAGATGGATTAAAGACTTACATGTTAGACCTAAAACCATAAAAACTGTAGAAGAAAACCTAGGCAATACCATTCAGGACATAGGCATGGGCAAGGACTTCATGACTAAAACAGCAAAAGCAATGGCAACAAAAGCCAAAATTGACAAATGGGATCTAATTAAACTAAAGAGCTTCTGCACAGCAAAAGAAACTACCATCAGAGTGAACAGGCAACCTACAGAATGGGAGGAAATTTTTGCAATCTACCCATCTGACAAAGGGCTGAAATCCAGAATCTACAAAGAACTCAAACAAATTTACAAGAAAAAATCAACCCCATCAAAAAGTGGGCAAAGGATATGAACAGACACTTTTCAAAAGAAGACATTTATGCAGCCAACAGACACATGAAAAAATGCTGATCATCACTGGTCATCAGTGAAATGCAAATCAAAACCACAATGAGATACCATCTCACACCAGTTAGAATGGCGATAATTAAAAAGGAAACAACAGGTGCTGGAGAGGATGTGGAGAAATAGGAACACTTTTACACTGTTGGTGGGAGTGCAAACTAGTTCAACCATTGTGGAAGACAGTGTGGCGATTCCTCAAGGATCCAGAACTAGAAATACCATTTGACCCAGGGATCCCATTACTGGGTATATACCAAAAGGATTATAAATCATGCTACTATAAAGACACATGCACATGTATGTTTATTGTGGCATTATTCACAGTATCAAAGACTTGCAACCAATCCAAATGTCCAACAATGATAGACTGGATTAAGAAAATGTGGCACATATACACCATGGAATACTATGCAGCCATAAAAAATGATGGGTTCATGTCCTTTGTAGTGACATGGATGAAGCTGGAAACCATCATTCTGAGCAAACTATCTCAAGGACAGAAAACCAAACACTGCGTGTTCTCACTCATAGGTGGGAATTGAACAGTGAGTACACTCGGACACAGTAAGAGGAACATCACACACCAGGGGCCTGTCGTGGGGTGGGGGGAGCGGGGGAGGGATAGCATTAGGAGATATACCTAATGTAAATGACAAGTTAATGGGTGCAGCAAACCAACACAACACATGTATACATATGTAACAAACCTGCACATTGTGTACATGTACCCTAGAACTTAAAGTATAATAAAATATATGTATATATTAACGATCCTCACAGTGAGATTGGAAGCTTTGTAATATCTCTTAAAGATCACATTATAGGGCATCTCTGTTCTTTAAGTCTAATCTGTGATCAAAAGAAATAAAATATTGTATTTTAAACATGTTTTCTTTCTTACATATTTATAGATAAGGGGAAGGAGGAGGAGATATCCAAAGGTCTAAAAAAGAGAAAGAGAAAATGAATTTAATCAATAATGTAAACCAAGTTCGTAACCACATGTATGTAATATGCAACACCCCTGACTGACATTTCCTTGTACAAATTACCTTAGAAAGTGAACCCAGGCTTGTTTTAGAATTATTTAAGTTGTGTCAAAAATCACAACTTAGATGATCAGCTTGAACACAGGTTTTCTAAGCAAAGCTGTCTGTTTTTTTCTTTTTAGTCACAGATCGTATTATATAGTGTGTGGAATATGATTAATGCATTATTGGATATGAGCTGTGCCCCATACTTTAGATCTGACATATTCCAGTTACCTTATTATGAAGCATGTGTGTTACGATCTCTCGCCACTATCAAAGTATAAGAGTTTGTTGGCCATACACTTGGTCTTGGGCTGGTCCCAACCCAGGTGCCAATAACTGGTTCATCATGGCCAGAAACAGGCCTAGAAATGTGACTGCCTGGCCCTACTCTCAAAAACAGAGCACTTTGAAGATAACCTAACTTCCAAGGAAGGAGCCACGCTGGAAATAACATAACTGTTTGTGTTATGTTATTGAAAAGAAAAGATCTCCATGAATTTCTTTTTTTTTTTTTTTAAGCCAACTTTGACAGCCTCTTTCCTTCCAGATGGTGCCTGGAGCCAAGCCTGTCAGAGAACCTTAGTCTCCTGCTGCCTTTTAATGCTGGTCCTTGATTGCTAATGACCCCTGGCTGGACTGGCTTCTCAACCCATTTAACCCCTCTCTGCTGGGTCCCCATCTCATGCAGGATGAGCGGCCACGAGAGCTGGAAGTGGGAAGGTGCCAAGTCAGCCAGAGCCTCCCACCCTTCCAGAGCTGGTGGCGCGTTTCCCGGTGCCATCATGGATGTCCAAGATCATTCCAGTGAAGAGCTCATGTTAATATGATTTTCTCTATATTGTCAGATAAATGCTGCCAGGTTTCTGATTGTTAATATTTTATTTGACTAAACCAAGACAACCAAGTCCCTGAAAGAATGTTTCCTTCAGGGGTCAAGAGCTGAGGACCACTGATATGAGCCTCCTGGAATATGTTCATTTGGAAACTTAAAATTACATTGCACTGGAACTATCTTTTAGTTTGGTCGAACTTCATGGACAAAGCATTTGCTTTTGTGCGTGTGTGTGTGTGTGTGTGTGTGTGTGTGTGTAGGCAATAATTTCCTTGTCAAGGCTGAAATATCACTTGTATAACACAGGAGATACCCATTTCTCAGCTTTGTTAGCAACAACTGTAACCATTTACTTTTTGGTTAAGCTTGGTTTGTTTTTTATGACATATAGGAAGGTGCTTATAGCTATACTGATCAGGTAGGTCACTCAGAGTGTAGGGTTTTTTTTTTTTTTTTTTTAGATGGAGTATCACTCTGCCGTCCAGGCTGGAGTGCAGTGGCCTGATCTTGGCTCACTGCAACCTCTGCCTCCCGGGTTCAAGCGATTCTCCTGCCTCACCCTCCCGAGTAGCTGGGATTACAGGCATACGCCACCAGGCCCGGCTAATTTTTTGTATTTTTAGTAGAGACAGGGTTTTGCTATGTTGGACAGGCTGGTCTTAAACTCCTGGCCTCAAGTGATCCACCCCCCTCAGCCTCCCAAAGTGCTGGGATTACAGGTGTGAGCCACCACGCCCCACCTGAGTATAGGGATATTTAAAAGGGGTGGGGGCAGGAAGCTGCTGATGCTAATTTGTTGAGAAATCTTGAGTCCAGTGGAGAAATTCAGATCTCTTGCAACCTCCTCAGGTCAGGGAGGGCATGAGAAGTCATCATTTTATGCATTATTTCCGTAACGGATTTTTACTAATCTCATATTGGATTGTAAAACAAGGCAAAGAAATTTGGTAGTTCTCTGTGACCCTGAAGAACTGAAATTTAAATTCTTGATTAGAGCAGAGAACTGAAAGCTTTGTGCTGCCCTACTTGTACAAACGTCTTAATGTTTACTGGATAGTTGGACCAAATTGATTTTATAATGTAATGTACTTAAGAAATTTGTTCCAAAATTCGGCACAAATTAGGAAAATAACCAAACCATACCTTTCTATTTAATCTTTGCTTCTCTCAGATACTTACTATTTTCTTGGCTTTTTTGAAGATTAAGACTGAAAGATCACAACTGCATTTCTCACCACTAACACTTCATTGATTTCATTTTTACATCTTATTAATTAAATGCAAGAAAAAAATTATATTTGTGATTTTATTTTGGTCTACTACTGACATTCTTTTCTATTTCCACTCAATCTCTCTCTCCCTCTCTCTCTCTCTCTCTCACACACACACACACCTGCCAGACATTTGTAGATATAACCTCCCCCAAATCATGTCATTCATACTAATGACTGCCCTCTCTATGTGTAAAAATATTTTATAATTTATGGACCTGGGTGGGGATTTGTACAGCTGTGCAATATTAATCTATACACTGCAGGTTTTGCTAACAGCTGGGCAAAGGCTGAGGTGAGGTTTTAATGATGTCCTTTAGCCCATCAGTAACCAAATGACCCAGAAAGTGGTTCAGGGGAACCTACCTTGTGCAGCTGTGCTCTTTGAATGAATGAATCATGTTAGAATGAAATTCTGGTGTATTTATGGAGAACTTTTTCCTTTGAAGCCTAAACACATTTTGATTGGTCGTATTTAAATTCCAACAAGCTGAAAAGCAAAAGCATTTATGTCAGTTTCACAGATGAGGCTCCAAGAGGTTAACTGGCGATTACTCTGGAGTTACAGCATCTTAAAGTTGGAAGGGACTTTAAAGGGCCTCTGGGCTAATGGTTCTTACCCTTTTCCTGCCTTCACACTGGCTTCAGGCAACAGATCCCCATCAGGCATGTCTCTCACTGCACACAGATGTTCACACACTGGGAAAGAATGTGACTCCAAGGAGAGCAGCTCAGAATCTTCAGGCCAGAACATGTGTAATTTGCCACACCAATGTTCTCCATTAAAAATTACTACCTCAGTCCACCCCTCTCTTTATCATTTTACACATAAAACATGGCAGCAGAGGGGTAAGGGATTCACTTAAGGTCACATACCAATATGTGTCACAACTTGAACTATGTGTGCCGGGGTCTTCTGATCCCCCATGTCCAGTGCTGGTTTTGCTACAGCTGACCAGCCCCTTGCACACTCACAGTAGAACTGGAACTAGCTCCTCAAAGAGTGAGGCAGAGCTGGAGACGAGTGCCCCAGGGTCCCCTGCTGCAGGGAATCAAAGACCCCGTCACAATTAGCTTAGTAAAACCAACACTATCTGGTGTCCCATATCCGCAAGCACTTAAAATGTCGTTCCAATCTTCAAAGAAATTCTTTCATTCCATTTTTATCTGCTTTTACCCAGGACATTGTTTCCCAGCTCCCCAGTAGTTCACTAGGTGATTTGCATCTCATTAGAAGCTCCAGAAGTGACATCTCCCAGACTGCTGCCTGGCATTGTGGGTCCCTAAGCATCAGATCTAGGTCTTGGATTTTCCAAGTTGACACTTTTTTAAAAGCTGAGTTAATGCTGTTTTCCCACTGGGTGCAGTTTGGGTGGCCATTTTCGCCATAATTCCTGCTCCCGTGCTGGATCAAGGTTAGGGAACTGCCATTGTCAAAGATGAAGTCAGTCATCTCCACGTGAAAGTACGTGGTGGATGAGAATATTCTGGGGCCTCAGAATAAAGGAGTTTAAAGACTCCTAAAAATAGAAAGATGCTACATGATGCAGATATTCTGAACACTACACAAAGCAAAACAAAAAGACAGCAAGACAATAGCAAACCATTGCTGAAGCTGTATAATTGATTCTAAACGTTTGCCTTTTAAACATTTTCCCCTGGATCCAATCCTCCTGAGACCGCAGAGTTTTTGCCCTACATTTATATTTTGCTTTAAAGATAGTCTCCCTAGGTCAGAATGCCTTTTTGGCTTTGTCATTTCTTCATACTACAACCTCCAGAAGAGCACTGAACAGCACTGTACCTCTGGAAACCAGAGATAGTATTTCCATGGTCAGCAAAATTGTTCTCTTGGAATAAGAGAAATGATTTTCCCAGTGTCCAGGGAAATAAGGAGCCCTTATGTCTACTTTGGGCTCAAGCCATTTGATGCAGCTTCCAGCACAAAGCAAGTGCCTGATGGTGCCTAGAGCTTCCGCCATCCAGAATTCCTTTTGTCCAGTGAATACTTCCCTGAGCTTATGCCACCTTTTCAAAATGGCAGATAGCTAATCTGCAGAATTGATCTAAGCTCTTAGGAAAGGGTTAAGTCCATGGTTTTTCCAACACTGGCTACAAATTAAAATCACTGGGAAGGAGGAGGAACTTTGTTTTAAACAAGTAACAATGCCAGAACCCTACCCCTGACCAATTAAATTAGGATCTCCAGGGGTGAGGTCATGATATCTGTATTTTTAAAAAGCCCTTCAGATGATTCTAATATGCATCCAGGGTGGAGAACCACTCCAGTATAACAAGAAATACAACAGCCCCTTCGCAGCACCTGCTAATGCCTCTGGCACCATGTTTTATCTTTTCATATATTATCTGTCATTCTCACTACAACCCTACAAGGAAGGGTCATCATTCCCAAGTGAAGGCCTCTAATAAGTGCTGAGGTGGTTATCATACTCCAGTTTTTCTGACTTCAGATTCCCACCCCAACACACGTTTCTCAAAGTGTGGGACATGGGCCACTAGTGGTCACCAAGTTGACTCTTGATGACGTATGGATGTGGCATTAAATAACATAATTCTTTTACATAATTTCTTATGTAAAATAAAGTTACTTTTTTCAATTCTCAATTTAAATCCTCCAGATTACTTTAAGGAGAAAGTCTTAATGGTGCTAGTATGTCTTAAATTCCTCTCACATTTACTCATCTCTCTTTTTAACAAGCCTTTTAAGAAACCCAGAACCTTCTATAGGAAATGGAATCTAGCACAAGTGTGATGATACCATTTCACTTTCACCGTATTTACTATATAGTTCACTTCTATATATGGCAAATGACACTGGTTTTCCATTTACAGTGGCGAATAAAGTTCCAGTTTTAAAGACATGTATTTAAGCAAAAAAAAAAATCAGTTGAATTTTAAAAATATTAAATAGTAGTACAGGTGAATAAAGTAAAAAATGCCTAAGAGGTAGATACGTGACAAAAGTTTGAGAAATATTCCCCTACAACATGCTAATTTTTAAAACAGGCATACCCACACCTGTTAGCCAACGGGACTGCTCATCTACCATCCTACTCCAATAGACTGGCAACAACCTGTTCCGTCCACTTTACATCCACTCACGACCTGTGAACTTTGCTGCTGTTTCCAACTGAAGAGGAATCCTGAAACACAAATGGTGAATAAACTGGGAGGGTAGGGAACATTCAGCCTTTTCAAATAATCAATGGCATGCAAATAGAAACACAAATGAGGTGTTATTTTTGCACCTATTAAATTGTCAGACTTTTTCTTAAGAACCATCTCATGCTGGTGAGGACCTGCTTAAATGGGTAATATAGGTATAGGTGGCAGAAGTGTATTTTGCTGCACAATTTCTGGATGGCGATTGAAAAAAACAAATCATAAGTTTTTAAAATATGCATACCTTTGGCCAGTAATTCTTCTTTTAGAAATTTATCCTAAGGAATAAGGAACATTTGTCAAACACCAAACTATGAGTATGTTCCTCAAAGCACTGTTATTATAGAAAAACATTGGAAACAACTTCTGTGACCAAAATAGGAAATTATATAAATTAATCATGATTCATCCATAAAATGAAATACCATGCAAGCATTAGAAGTGATACCATTTAAGCTATCTCTGGAAGACAGATATCTCTGGAAACTTGTCTCAGCAGTTACTACTATTGTGGGAATGAGATTGGGTGTGGAAAAAAGACAAACTTTTCACTGCTTAACTTATTTGAACATTAGGTTCATTTATTACCTTTTCAAAAAGTAACTCTAAAAGAAACATACTATTTTAAAAGTTGCCTAATAGAATGGAAATATTTATGACTTTATTGTTAAGTGGGGGGGGGGGGGGAGGGGCGGGGAGCCATAACCCAAATTAAATGAATGAATGAATTTTTTAGTTAAAAAAAAAAGAATACATATTCCTGTAAAGATATTGAAAGGACAGTAATAAAAAATACTAAGGAACTTTGTTTTTAGAGACTGATTTCATCTACCTCTTTGAAACGCCTCTGGACAGTTTCCCCAGAGGTATCCCAGGATACGAAAGACCCTCTTCCTATTGGAAGCCTGGACAAAAACATCCCAATTAACCGTCTGAGAACCAAAGAATAGGCCACATAGATGGAAGAGATCTTAATAAGAATGGTGAATAGTCAGTATTCACTCATTCACTCATTCATTCATTCATTCTTCATTCATTCGTCATTTGTTGAGAGTGTGCCAGGCTCTGAGCTATTGGTTTCAGGGGAAGTTATTGCCACCTCCTTAACTAATAAGTAGAAAATTCCACATAGACAATTTATAACTCCAGCATCTTCCACAGGCACTAATTTAGCTCAGGGATGTTTTCTTTGTAGCAGTTTTGCAATTTTGAAGAAGATTGTTCATGACATAACATGGCAAGTGGGAAAATTTGTAGCTTTCCTTTCATCTTAAAAAGCAGGATCTGAATTACATGCACCCCAGGAGAAAATCTCTCTTTCTGGTTGTGTGTGTATGTGTTTTACAAAAGCCCACTGAATTCCTTAGTTCCTCCTGAAGTTAGACTTGGTGAAGTGAAAACTTATGAAAATGTCTCAGCAAAAGTACAAGCATCATAATAGAGGCCATGACCTAGGCCCTGGGATTTTGAATCAAGAATCTTGAGTTATAGCTTAGGGACCTAAGCTCCTTGAGCCTCAGACCTCTCAGATATAAAAGCAAGGAGCCAGACCACAGAGAATTTTCCTCCATGACATGACTTAAATTTGGAAATCTGAGCTACCAGGGCATACTTCCCTGTCTCCAATAACCTGAGGATCTGTTAGGCTCTGAGCATTCCTGAAATAGTCCATGCCTCAAGGCATATTAGGGACAAGGGGATTACAATACATTTCTTCATTTTTAAGGTGATGTAGATTATTGGTAGACTTTCTGCTGATATGGTTCTTATTGGGAAGGAAAGATTTAATATGGTCAAGCACAATGGTTCTTAACCTTGACTACACAGTAGAACCACCCAAAGAGATTTGAAAAAAAAAAAAATCCATGTCCAGGCTTTGACCCGGGCATTAGTATTTTAAAAGTTGAACAACTGGTATCATGTTAAAAAATACTCTCAGTTGGACTTCAAAAACCTGAATTCTCATTTGGGCTTTGCCTCTAACTGTATAATCTCTTAGTCTCACTATGCCTCTGTTATCTCTTTAGGGTTATTTGGCCTTGCTAAAATGAGATGAAGTAAACAAAAAGTACTTTGCAAAACAAGAGTTGCTATATAAAAATGAAATGGTTAGGGGAAGAGACAGAGAGCCAGAAAAGACAGGTCATGTCTTCAGAAGCTATTTCATGGGAGTATCCACTGGAGTACCATGTGCATGGTCAACCCTCATTGAGAAGAAAGATTGTCTAGCTGACAGCTGGGTTATTGTCACCTGCAAATGCCCTGAGAACCTTGGTCAGAGGAGTGATGCACCTTTCTTTATGCACAGAGTTGGCAGAGCTCTGTAAATTAATTGCACAACTCTAATCCTATTTAAATGCCCCAGGGGTATAGCTTATAACCTCATATAGGATTTGCCATCTGTAAATCTAGAACACTGAACACTCTGTTTGCTTAAAGGGGATGTTTCATTTGGCAAATGAACCTGAGAACGCCTCATCCACAAAATGGCAATCAGATCAGCAATCACACAGCTCAGAAAGTATCCGTACCTGATGAAGGACCACAGGAGGGTGCCAGGGTCTATGGCTCTCCCAGGATATTCTCTCCCTTTCTTCCCAGGACCCCTGTGCGTTGCCTGCCCATTCCTCAGGAGCCAAGAACGCATTCTGCCCCACCAAGCTGGGGAATACGTGGGCTGCATGCTCCATCCTGCCCTTCCTTGCAGTTGTCCTTCACTTCCTTCAAGCTTGCTAGGAAATTTACCAGAACTGGCACATCTGTAGCAGGTGATGAAAATGGAAACATTAAGTTTTAGAGGACAGCGTAGGAGGGGGCATGTGTAGCCAAAATAGCTGCAACTCAGCAAGTCAAATGGAGTAGAAGAAGACATTTTCTTCTTCATCTCTGAAACCTTGGAAGACGACAAAAGCCTCATTTGTGACTTACAACTGTGCATGAATTAGGGTTGCCAGATTTAACAAATAGAAATGCAGTACACTCAGCTAGATTTGAATCTCAAATAACCAATCATTTTTTAATATGTCTTAAATATTTCATGGATGTAATAAAGAATTATTGGTTGTTTATCTGAAATTCAAATCTATCTAACTGTGTGTCTTTTTTTTTTTTCTTTTTTGAGATGAAGTCTCACTCTTGTCACCCAGGCTGGAGTGCAATGATGCGATCTCAGCTTACTGCAACCTTCACCTCCCAGGTTCAAATGATTCTCCTGCTTCAGCCTCCCCAATAGCTGGAATTACAGGTGCACACCACCACACACAGCTAATTTTTGTATTTTAAGTCAAGACAGGGTTTCACCTTGTTGGCCACGCTGGTTTTGAACTCCTGACCTCAGGCCATCAGCCCACCTCGGCCTCCCAAAGTGCTGGGATTACAGGCGTGAGCCACTGCTCCGAGCTGAGCCACCGCACCCAGCCATGTCCTCCATTTCATCTGGCAACTCTAGCTTGAGTATACTGGCATGTTCAATAAAGAGAAAAGAAAAATTAAATTTACAAACCAGTTGTTTGAATTTATGTGACAGATTGACTGAATTCAGCTATTTGTCTCTCACCAAGGGCTTGGGCACATGTGCAGCCACAGTGTGACAGTTTGGGATTAGGAAGTAAGGAGTAGGCATTTGCCAGTGCTCCTGAAATGCTATCCAGATTTCTTCCATTTTCTGACAGATTTAGCTCCAGTTTATTATAAAGTTCTATAACAATTCAGAAGAGAAAGATGTGTTAAAGTTCTCAAATATGAAATCAGAAGGTGCAGGGCAGGGGGTTGGGGGGAGGTGCAAAGATTCTTGAAAAGGAAAGAGACCTATGTTAAATGCAAACTGGTATTCATAACATAATATACCTTTAAAAGCCCAGTAAGGAGGTAGTTGCCAATGTACGACAAAGTGGGGAGTTTGGTTTGTCTCATGGGCATCTATGCGAGGTAGAAATAAGCCACTTTGAGAATATGAGCATTATGGTCCTCAAAGTAAAAACTCACATTCTAATGTGAATATTCAGGCCGGGGGCAGTGGCTCACGCCTGTAATCCCAACACTTTAGGAAGCCAAGGCAGGTGGATTGCTTGAGGTCAGGAGTTCGAGACCAGCCTGGCCAACATGGTGAAACCCCATCTCTACTAAAAATACAAAAAATTAGCCAGGCACAGTGGTGGGTGCCTGTAATCCCAGCTACTCAAGAGACTGAGGGAGGAGAATCGCTTGAACCCCGGTGGAGGTTGCAGTGAACTGAGATCGTGCCACTGCACTCCAGCCTGGGTGACAGAGCAAGGCTCCGTCTCAAAAAAAAAAAAAAAAAAAAAAAGTGAATGTTCAAACTTGAGTTGCCCAGTTTCTCTACATAAACTAATCAAACGAACTAGGTAACTATCCGATAACCATACTGTTTTATATCTTAATGCAAACTGACTGGCCCAAAATCCAAAAGACAGGGTTCAAGTTTTCACTCTGCCGCTTACAAATTTAGCCTTTTCTGGTTATACTTTCTTCATATATGCAAAGAACTAACAATTTTGGTACTATGTGCCTTATTGATTTTTTAGTATTTAAATTTTCAAGGGAAAAATCATGATAAACTTCTTAATGCATGTACAAGCATAGATTTAGTCAATGTGCTATATGTTATTTTGTATTTTACTTCTTTTTCCAAGTTTTGAATTTTCTTCTGTCAACATCATACACATTTATCGCCGCTTTGTCAGTGACTCAAGATATGAAACAATTTTTATATCTGAGTTAATTTCTTCTCGATTATTAAATATGTATCATGTTTCTAGCTTTTTTACTGCTATAAAAGTGTTATGGCTGGGCACGGTGGCTCATGCCTGTAATCCCAGCAATTAGGGAGGCTGAGGCAGGTGGATCACCTGAGGTCGGGAGTTCGAGACCAGCCTGACCAACATGGAGAAACCCCATCTCTACTAAAAATACAAAATTAGCCGGGCGTGGCGGCACATGCCTGTAATCCCAGCTACTAGGGAGGCTGAGGAAGGAGAATCGCTTGAACCTGGGAGGCGGAGGTTGCGGTGAGCCGAGATCACGCCATCGCACTCCAGCCTGGGCAAGAAGAGCGAAACTCTGTCTCAAAAAAAAAAAAAAAGTGTTATGTCTGTCTGTCTTCATACAAATTGGGTTTTTTTTCTTTTGGTTTACTTCATTGCAACGTATTCCTTGGAACAAGTTGCTTAGTTCTGGGGGTTTTTTTCTGGGTTTTTTTCTTTTTTTGGAGACCAAGCGTCACTCTATTACCCAGGCTGGAGTACAGAGGCGCGATCTCGGCTCACTGCAACCCCTGCCTCCTGAACTCAAGGGATCCTCCTTTCTCAGCCTCCGGAGTAGTTGGGACCATAGGTGCATGCCAACATGCCTGGCTAATTTTTTGTATTTTTTGTAGAGATGGCACTTCGCCATGTTGCCTGGGCTGCTCTCGAACTCCTGAGCTCAAGCAATCTGCCCGCCTAGGCCTCCCAAAGTGTTGGGATTACAGGCGTGAGCCACCGTGCCCAGCCAGCTCTGTTTATTGCCAAGTTGCACTTCAGGAGGCAGGGAACCTGTGGATTGTCCTGTTTCTCTGGGGCCCCTCCCACATTGTCTTTTAACCTTATGGTGTATGAATTAATAGAGAAGCAGTAACAATTGTTAAATTGAAGCTGTTCGTCAGGATAGTTCAACATTTTTCAGTATCTCGTTTTCTAACTATATTTCTCTGTCTCTCGCCTCAGCCTTTCCACATTACGGATGTAACTTTTATGGGTATATATCTTTCAATTGTTTTTATCTTTCTGTTGTACTTCCTTTCATCTTAGTTTTGTTACTGTCCATCATATGGAACGTTTTACTTTAATATAATTAAACGCATGCATGTCACTAACGTCTTCTTATACAGCTGAGATACTCCATTTCTTTCTAAAGTTTTTTGGAGAATGTTTAAAATTCTCAATATATAACTCATCTCGAATTTATTGTGGCCTGTGAGAATCAAGAAATGTATTGAGAAGAGTAAAGGATTTAGAATTTTAAAAACTAAACAATTTGAGTCCAACAGCACTAGCTTAAACGGCTTTAAAGAAGTCACTTAACATCTTAAAACAGTGTCCTCTACTAGATTGAAAACAGGGACTTTGTCTTATTTCTCTTCGTATTTTCCACAAAATCCAGCAAAGTACACTGTGTATAGGATAAATGTTAATATGTCTGTATTTAAGTTATATTTTTGCATATTGCCATTAAATTGTTCCAGTAGCATTTATTAAATAATGGTCTACTTCCCAACTATTTATTCGGTTGCTTACAATGGATCATTGTATCAGTGACACTCAGATTTCTTCCAATGGCAAAGCACCTGGAAGTTACAGCATTCTTTGCAGAACATTGTGAAATATGGAAAAATTAAACTTAAAATAATGAAAATTAAAATCTGATGCTAAATCAGATAACTAGCTTATACCAGATTCTAGTATAGTGTAGAAACCATAAGATTAGACACCAACAGTTGTTTTTAAGTAATGGGAGAAATATTAAAATTAAGAACATTCTATCCAATAACTTAATTCCTTATAAGAATCAGGAAAAAAATAAAAGCCAATGAAACAGCAAGTTCGTCAAGAACAAAAGTTGAAAATCATATCGTATATAAAGCATTACCAGTTGAGACAATATAAATAAAAACCTCTGATAAAATGTAAACACTATATAAATATGAAGTCCAGCTGAACTAGGCTGAACTCTAGTTGAACCCAAAAACTTCTTAAGATCAGTCTTTTGAGTTACCATGGACGGAATTCCTGCCGTATTAGAAAGTCTGAGGGAGAGTGGATGTCAGACCTCCAGAGCATACTTCACACCAGCAGCCGGACCTAAGGACACTTCTCTTCATTGATCTATAAATCAGAAAGGAGATGACACAAAAGGGACTCACAGCTTCACATTCTACCATATTGCAGAGTATGGACTTCACAAAGCAAACAAGGAGGAGGTATGTTGGAACCGTCAGAAAGAACCGCTGTGTTCTTTGTGTTCTGAGGACTTTGCCAGCACAACAGGCTAGATTCCTGTGCTCTGCACAGTGATCATGAAGAGGTGGATGAAAATGTCTGTTAAGGCTGTTGGACCTTCTGCAAGCAACATTGTTTTGCTATGCTAATTAATATGTTTTCATTGAGGCCAGACATGGTGGCTCATGCCTGTAATCTCAGCACTTTGGGAGGCTGAGCTGGGCAGATGACTTGAGGTCAGGAGTTCGAGACCAGGCTGGGCAACATGATGAAACCCCATCTCTATTAAAAATACAAAAACTTAGCTGGGTGTAGTGGTATCTGCCTGTAATCTTAGCTACCTGGGAGGCTAAGGCAGGAGCATCGCTTGAGGCGGAGGCTACAGTGAGCTGAGATCGTGCCACTGCACTCTAGCCTGGGTGACAGAATGAGACTCTGTCTCAAAAAATATGTATATATATTATATTCTATATAATATATATTATATTCTATATAATATATATTATATTCTATATAATATATATTATATTCTATATAATATGTAAAATATATATTATATTCTATATAATGTATTATATATAGAATATAATATATTCTATGTATTCTATAATCTATATAATACATATTATATATTATATAGAATATTATAAATAATATATTCTATATTATATATAGAATATATTCTATATGTTTATATTCTATATATTATATATGAAATAGTATATAAAATATATATAATATATATAAAATATGATATATAATATATATAAAATAATATATAATGTATAATATATAAAATAATATATAATGTATAATATATAAAATAATATATAATGTATAATATATAAAATAATATATAATGTATATTATATAAAATAATATATAATGTATATTATATATAAAATAATATATAATGTATATTATATATAAAATAATATATAATGTATATAAAATAATATATAATATATTATATATAAAATAATATATAATATATTATATATAAAATAATATATATTATATATAAAATAATATATAATATATTATATATAAAATAATATATATTATATATAAAATAATATATAATATATTATATATAAAATAATATATATTATATATAAAATAATATATATTATATATAAAATAATATAATATATATTATATATAAAATAATATATAATATATTATATAAAAATATAAATATATTATATAAAAATATAAAATATAAAATATTACATATAAAATATATATAATATATTACATATAAAATATATAATATATAATACATATTTTTTTCATCGAACTTACTTTTACTTAAACCTTTGACTTTAAAAAACATTTCTTCTTAAGAAAGGCAATATCTTATAAGCTGGGCACGGTGGCTCATGCCTGTAATCCCAGCACTTTAGGAGGCCGAGGAGGGCAGATCACTTGAGGCTAGGAGTTCGAGACCAGCCTGGCCAACATGATGAAACCCCATCTCTACAAAAAATACAAAAATTTGCTGGGTGTGGTGGTGCACACCTGTAATCCCAGCTACTTGGGAGGCTGAGGCAGGAGAATAGCTTGAACCTGGGAGGTAGAAATTGCAGTGAGCCAAGATCACACCACTACACTCCAGCCTGGGCAACAGTGAGACTATCTCAAAAAAAAAAAAAAAGGACCATATGCTATAGTGTAAAAAAAAAAAAAAACAAAACACCTATTGGAACAAGAAGTAAGAAATCTAGGGTTGGGTACCCACCTGGCCACTTGATCTGAGATGAGCCATTCAATTTTATGGGCCTCAGTTTCTCTTCTGAAAAAAAAAATGGGTATTTAGAATGGATGGATGTGATAGTCTTTTTTTTTTTTTTTTTTTTTTTTTTTTTGTGAGACAGAGTCTCACTCTGTCACCCAGACTGGAGTGCAGTGGCGCAATCTTGGCTTACTGCAACCTCTGCCTCCCAGGTTCAAGTGATTCTCCTGCCTCAGCCTCTCAAGCAGCTGGGACTACAGGCGCCCGCCACCACGCCCAGCTAATTTTTGTATTTTTAGTAGAGATGGGGTTTCACCATGTTGGCCAGGCTGGGTTCTGATAGTCTTGTCCAAATATAGATTTGTCCCAATTCAAGAAAAATCAAGATACAAAACTTTATACTTAGGGAACAAATATTTTGGTATTAATAATGGACCTTGCTAAGTCACTCTCTACTTTAAAAATTCCCCCAGAATTTTTTTAAATCGTGGAAATCTCTGGTGAAGTTAAAATATGATACCAAGTAAAATCTCCAACTCTTTTTAATGAATAGTTTATAATAAACACTCTGTCCTCCAGGATAGTGATAGCTTTTCTCTAAACAACAACATTCATGGACAATATTCTATGACAGAGGTGTGTGTGTCTGTGTGTGTGTTGCCAAGAAATTAGAACTGCTGAATCCTGATTCAGATATAGAGCCAAAAGGACAGTAGATCCAAAAAATCATTTGCTTGGAAGGGAAATGAATTATGACTTTTTTTTTTTTTTTTTTTTTTTTTTTTTGAGATGGAGTCTTGCCCTGTTGCCCAGGCTGGAGTGCAGTGGCACGATCTTGGCTCACTGCAACTTCCACCTCCCGGGTTCAAGCTATTCTCCTGTCTCAGCCTCCCGAGTAGCTGGGATCACAGGTGTGCACCTCCACACCCAGCTAATTTTTGTATTTTTAGTAGAGACGGGGTTTCACCATGTTGGCTAGGCTGGTCTCGAACTCCTGACCTCATGATCCACCCGCCTCAGCCTCCCACTGCGCCCAGCCATGAATTATGACTTCTTCTGACTCGTGGTTTCTTAATCTCCAGGGCACTCTTGGTCCAGGGTTCTGAAATCAGGACAAACAGGGAGAGACTGCTTCATGTAATCGTGCAATCATCCTTTCTCCTTCTCTTTTACACTACCTCCAAAGACTGCATGCATCAGTGGTATTGTTCAAAGCATTTCAGTAAATTTTAGCTCAAGCCATTTCCCCCCCGACAAAATGTATCCCACCAAAAGGTTTGCTTCTCACCTCCCCAAGAGTATGTGTGCTCCAGATGTTTTTGAACTCTCATTGCAGGATGTGGTGCAAACAATCCCAGATTACTTTGGTTGTCCTAACATAGTCATGCCACTAAGGGCACCCTACTCTATAAATGCTGACCACCAACTTATACTTCACCAATGTGGAAACAACAACTTGCTTTCTGTCACCCTGGACTGCTGATTCAGATCAGAAAGCTGAATGCAAAGTTACAGACAGTGGCCCTTGTTTACACTTAGCAATCTGTGTGTATTTTTTAGGATGGCATTTCTCCTAATATTAGTAAAGCTTTTAATATGCCCATTAAAATAGGACACAGTTTCTACTAAGTGCATTTATGTGAAGAGCCATTTTTCACTTAATTTTCCCAACACCTCGGACAGTTTACAGCAAAGTTTTGCTCTTTTTTCAGGTTCAGAAAATGGTCTTGCACAGAAGCATCGAACACCTCGCCGACGATGTCAGCAGCCCAAAATGCTGAGTAGCCCTGAGGACACCATGTACTATAACCAGTTAAATGTGAGTTCAAAGTGGCCGTAAAGCTGTTTCACTGGCTTTGTTTCCAGTTAATAATTCTGTTATTACTACCTGTTCCAGCCCCTGCAGCCCCACCCCCACCCTCATGCTCTCGTCTTGAACATGTGCTTAGGCTCTTTATCTGTTGCTTTCATGTCAGGATGTCTGCCTTCACGGTGAATAATTGATGTGGTTTATCAAAGACGAGCAAGATGCATGCTTCATCAGGCTCACTTGAGCCCTTTGATCAAAAAAAATTATGCTGTGACTTCTGATATTATCAGCATCTGCTTGCATTCAACACAAAATCACTTTGAATTAAAAATTAACGACTTGCTGCTTTGCTTTGACTGTGTGTTCTTGGCCCTCTCCACAGGGAACTCTAGAATATCAAGGGAGCAAGAGGAAGCCAAGAAAACTTGGGTAAATATCTGTCTTCTTAGTTCTAAGCAACTGTAAACAGAAGGGGTCCTTTGTGATATTACAGAAAATGCAAAACTTTCCAGAGAGGCTTCTAAAAATATGCAATCCAGATATTGCCACTCTTATTGACATTGGAAATTACTTTTCACAGTAGCAAGTATACAAAACTTGAATCTATTCTGTCCAAAAAGGTTGAAATTGTCACCTAAGGGCAAATGTTATTTCTCATAATTATTCCAGGGAATTGTACTTTCTTCATAATTAGAGACATGTAGTGGGTTATATAAAATTCTCCTTCCACAAATAAGAGCACTCTACGAAGTACAAATAGGCCACTTCCTCCACATTATCCTACCCCTGGGCCTTAAAAACATGGACAAGGAGAAACATGCCCAACTGGTTAGATAGAGGATAGTAAGGAATTTGTCGTTCATTTGATAGTTAGCATCTCAATTGAGAACAGCAATGAAGTACATAATGGTAATAATTAGAGAATTGGGGGAGGTCAGGAGGAAAACTTTCTCATCTAGAGGGAACCAGATGGAGACAGAGTTCAATCCCATAAAGCAAGTTGCAATACGACCACAACTTCCAGACACCACAAAACTGGACCCACTATCAGTGCACGACCCAAAGGTGAAGGGCTTTGTAGATCAGACCCTGGTACCTCTGTACTGGGAGACCCTGAGCTACCTAGGAGCTGTCCTTCCCCTCCAGTGTTGGAGCCCAACCCTGTTCCAGCTACTCACATGACTTTAGCTGCCCCAGTGATGATTGTAACATTTGTTTTATTTTTTGTTGAAAATCCTGTTGTTTTCTTTGTTGCAGCCAAATCAAAGTACTTGATGGGGAAGATGAATATTACAAATCTCTGTCACCAGTGGACTGTATCCCTGAGGAGAACAACTCAGCCCACCCTTCCTTTTTTTCTTCATCCTCAAAAGGAGACTCTTTTGCTCAACATTAAATTGTGCTTCCTAACCCTAAATCTGTCCAGAGTAGGAACATTCATGGTAATCGACTGTCTGTCATTGCGTAAGAAAGCACTGATATGGGGTCAGCTTCTTTGGACATATGGTCCATGCCTGAACCTTACTGAACCACTTGCAGATTCCAAAACATCTTATCCTATCCTCTACCACTCTCCCACATGTGTTGTGCAGCCTGAGCTGGGCGCTGCCTTCCTTTCTCATCCCATGGGGCCCTGTGGGACACTGAGAACACCTTTACAATAGTTTAAACAGTCATTCATGCCCCCAGTGTCTAGGAAGATAACAGCCAGTCTCACCCCAGTCTAATCATGGACCCTGATAATATTGCTTGATTTTTCCTATCAAGTTACTTTTCAATCCATTCAGAATCTGCCCCAGTGGAGACCCAGGAGTTCCTTTCCTGCACTCTTCTCCATCCTCCCACCTTTGCTGGGCTTTTCTATCACTCCCACCTCCCCCAGAGTCAGGGCTCCATTGCTGAGTGCCCCATCCTGGAGGATTGGCCCCAAGATCTCCTAGAACAGGATAATTGCCTGTGTTTAGGCAGATAGGCCTAAATCTTTCAGATTCTTTCTACAAGGCAAATAACCCCTCTCTTGTTAATTATGATGCTGAGAAAGCCTCTGTCTCTTTATTTCACCTTGCCAAGACACCCACACTACTTTGGTGATGAAAAGAAAGGAATGAGAGGGAAAGTTTGGACCTGTCACTTTGGTGACAGGGAAAGTCCAGGTCACTTTATTCTGTAACTCTCCATTCACTGGTCAAATAACTCCATGAGGCTATCAGTGGCTACAGTGGAAGGACCTGATCTTGTCCATCTTTGTGTGCACAGAGCCTAGCACAGGGCTTGGTAGAGGGTATATCTAGTGAATGGAGAATACATGGAGAAACTTAACTAAGTTACACAAGCATATCTGACAGGAATGTTACCTTCAATTGTATGTTACATATGATTAGTCACTTTTCATACACTATAACCTCTGATTTTTCACTCAAGTTTGGGCTGATTATATTGTAATGATGTTAGATAATACTCAACATGATTCAGTATGACAAACTTTTTTGAGCACCTACTTTATATAAAACATGACAAATTGCAGTGTGATGTAATCAAAAACAAAGAAGCCCTATAAGACCATTTCTCTAGAACAGATGTTCTTAATATTTTTCTTACTCTAAAATATGTGGTAGATAGTATGCAAGAAAAGCCGGGTGCGGTGGCTCAGGCCTGTAATCCCAGCACTTTGGGAGGCCAAGATGGGCGGATCATGAAGTCAGGAGTTCGAGACCAGCCTGACCAACATGGTGAAACCCCGTCTCTACTAAAAAAAATAATGATAATACAAAAATTAGCCCAGCATGGTGGTGCATACCTGTAATCCCAGCTACTCAGGAGGCTGACGCAGGAGAATCACTTGAACCCGGGAAGCAAAGGTTGCAGTCAGCTGAGAGCGCACCACTGCACTCCAGCCTGGGCGACAGGGCAAGACTCTGTCTCAAAAAAAAAAAAAAAAAAAAAAAAAAGAGATAGTATGCAAGAAGACACCTAAATTTTGAGAGAAATAACCTTGAAGAAAATCTTGTTATCAGAGTTTTGAAAGGGAGCACATTAATAGGCCTTTTATGAAGATAAATAATGAAATGAGGTATTTAAAGATCTCAGAAATTGTAATTTTACAAGTAAAATAAATATAGCCAATTTTTCAATAGCTGAACTTCACCCAAAAGGTAATGTTTATAAGTAGAGCAGAAAAAATGCAGATAAATTTTATTTTATTGTTTAAAAAATAATGTGTAGAATATATAAATTTTTTATGTTACTGTTAATATACGAGTGCTTTTGGAAGTTTCACTTTTGTCACTGATTGTCTACTTTTGGTTTGATAATATGAGCTGCTTTTCAAATTGTTGAATGGAAATGTTCATAACTCCCTGCTTGTCCGTGCACAATGTAATTCTAAACCTGGCTTGTTTCTCATTTAAATATATCTATAAATAAACTTAAAAAGAAAACAGAAGTAATTGTGGAATCATAATCCAGAAGCTCTGCATAGTTAAGTCATTAATACAGCCATACTCCTAAGAGTACTTTAGAAATGATGTTCACTTTCAGTCACAGTATAGAGAAGACGGACTGTAGACATTATTCTTGGGCTAGTCACAGTACCAAAACTCAAAAAGCAATTCTTTTTTTTTTTTTTTGAGATGGAGTTTCACTCTTGTTTCCCAGGCTGGAGTGCAATGGCGTGATCTCGGCTCACTGCAACCTCCACCTCCTGGGTTCAAGAGATTCTCCTGCCTCAGCCTCCCTAATAGCTGGGACTACAGGCATGTGCCACCACGCCCAGCTAATTTTGCATTTTTAGTAGAGACGGGGGTTTCTCCATGTTGGTCAGGCTGGTCTCGAACTCCCGACCTCAGGTAATCTGCCCGACTTGGCCTCCCACAGTGCTCAGATCAAAGGCGTGAGCCACTGTGCCCGGCCTCAAAAAGCAATTCTTAAACCAAGCAGATGAGAATGATGCAACCTGGAATCTTGTAACTTTTATTAGATTTATCAAAGTAATATGCACGTGACAAAAATCAAATAGTCCAGAGGGTTTATAGTGGAGAGCAGTCTTCTTCTCCATGTGCCTCTCTCCAGGAAGCAATCATTGTTTAAAATTATTTCCAACTCTTCTAACGGTTGCTAGCATGCCTCTGAATAATTTGCTTCTATCTTCTTGATTTGTCATTTTAGACAATATTTAATCTCCCCCTTATGAAAAATGTAGATTTGGCCTGGCACGGTGGCTCATGCCTGTAATCCCAGCACTTTGGGAGGCCGAGGCAGGTGGATTGCCCGAGGTCGGGAGTTCAAGACCAGCCTGGCCAACATGGAGAAACCCCATCTCTACTAAAAATACAAAATTAGCCAGGCATGGTGGCACATGCCTGTAATCCCAGCTACTAGGAAGGCTGAGGCAGGAGAATCGCTTGAACCTGGGAGGTGGAGTTTGCAGCGAGCCAAGATCGCCACACTGTACTCCAGCCTGGGCAACAGAGCAAGACTCTATCTAAAAAAAAAATAAAAATAAGTAAAATAAGAAAACCAGCAGACTGAACAATGTCAAGTCAAACAGAAATGATTCTGGGAGTAGGACATTTTTTAAAAGTTCCACTGCAGATATTTAGTGTTCATATTTTGAGCTGCTGCTTCTTCCATTTTGGTCATTTGCAGATATGCCTTCATCTACTTTTTTTAAACTTTTTCTTTTTTTCTTTTTTTTTTTTTTTTGAGACAGAGAGTCTTGCTCTGTCACTCCAGCTGCAGTGCAGTGGCGCAATCACAGCTCACTGCAACCTCTGCCTCCCGGGTTCAAGCAATTCTTGTGCCTCAGCCTCCTGAGTAGCTGGGATTACAGCCATATACCACCACACCCAGCTAATTTTTCTGTTTTTAGTAGAGATGGGTTTTTGCCATGTTGCCCAGGCTGGTCTCAAACTCCTGGCCTCAAGCAGTCCACCTGCCTTAGCTTCCCAAAGTGTTGGGATTACAGGTGTGAGCCACTGCACCCGGCCCAAACTTTCTTTTCAAATATAATACATATCCAGAAAAGGGCACAAATCAGAAGACTGAGCTCAATAAATTATCAGAAAATCAACGCCCATGTAACCATCCTCCCGTCTAGAACAGAGCATTGTTAGCACCTAGAAGCCTCTCTCCAGGCTCTTGCCAATTACCACTCCTGTCTGTGCCTCCCCAAAGATAAACATTCTCATGACTTTATTGGTAAACACTTCCTTGATTGTCTTTATAGTTTTATACTTACATGCATTCCTAAACACTATAGTTAGGTTTTGCCTCATAATTAGGTTTGGAGAACTCTATATAAATGGAATCCTACAGTAAATAATTTTTTAGGTCTTGTTTCATTCAATGTTGCATTTGCAAGGTTCATCTATGTCATGGAATGTAAATGTAGTTTGCTCATTTTCATGTCTGTGTAGTATTCTAGTAGAAGAATATGACATAATTGATGTAGTCATTCTACCTTTTTTTTTTTTTTTTTTTTCTTTTGAGACTGAGTCTCACTCTGTCACCCTGGCTAGAGTGCAGTGGTGTGATCTCGGCTGACTGCAACCTCCGCCTCCCAGATTCAAGAGATTCTCCTGCCTCCTCAGCCTCCCAAGTAACTGGGATTACAGTCACCTGCCACCATGCCCAGCTAAGTTTTGTATTTTTAGTAGAGACGGGGTTTCACCATGTTGGCCAGGCTGGTCTCGAACTCCTGACCTCAGGTGATCCGCCAGCCTCAGCCTCCCAAAGTGCTGGAATTACAGGCATGAACCACCGCACCCGGCCAGTCATTCTACTTTTAATGGATGAATATGAATTTTTTCCAATTTGGGGCTATTTTAGAACTTGCTGCTGTGAACATTATTGTATCTATCTCTTGGTGTCTATTTTTGCATGGTTTTCTGTTGGCTATATACCTAAGATGAGAGTTGCAGAGTCATAAGGTATACATATCTTTACTTCAGTACAGAATGCCAAACTGTTTTGCAAAGTAGTCATACCAATTTACAATCCTGTTAGTGGTATAAAAGAGCTCCCATTCTGCATTCTCACCAACTCTTGCCAACTCTTCGCCTGTCATCTGGGGACTCTGATGGGGTGCTGAATCCCAGAATCTCACTGTGATTATAGCTTATATATCCCTCATTAATAATGATACTGGGCACATTTTATGTATTTTGTGCCCAACTTAGATAACTTTTATAACATGACCATTTTGAATTAGTTTAACCATTTTTTTCTTTTAATGTGAAGAAACACATTATATGTCAGTCATATGTGTTGCAAATATTTTCTCCACTAGGCAGCTTACGCTTTCATTCTTTTAAAGTGCCTTTGATGAGAAAAAAGTATGTAGTTTTAATGTGGTATAATTTATCAATCTTTTCCTTTTTTTAACTTTTATTTTACGTTCTGGGATACACGAGCAGGTTTGTAACATAGGTAAACTCATGTCATGGGGGCTTGTTGTACAGATTATTTTGTCACCCAGCTTTTCCTTTTTGATTAGTATGTTTTTATGGTCTGTTAAGAAATCTGGTGGCTCACACCTATAATCCCAGCACTTCAAGAGGCCAAGGTGGGCAGATTGCTTGAGCTCTGGAGTTCGAGACCAGACTGAGCAAAACCCAGTCTCCACCAAAACTACAAAAATTAGCTGGGTGTGGTGGCATGCACCTGTAGTCCCAGCTACTCGGGAGGCTGAGGTGGGAGGATTGCTTGAGCCCCAGGAGGTCAAGGCTGCAGTGAACTGTGATTGCACCACTGCACTCCAGCCTGGGTGACAGAGTAAGACCCTGTCTCAAAACAAACAAACAAACAACAACAAAAAACTTTTCCTACCCCAAGGCCACAGAAATACTTGCTTTTAGAATCTCCTGGGAGCATTATTGTTTTGCCTTTCACATCTAGCTCCTCAACTCCCCAAAATTGATTTTGTGAATGGTGTGCAGTGAGGGTCAATTTTCATGTTTTCTATAGGGTTATTCAATTGTCTCAGCCCCATTTAATAAAAAGGCCATTATTTTCTTACTGCTGTAAAATACTACCATTTATGTAAGTCAAGTGTTCATGGGTCTGTTTCCAGATTCTCTATTCTGTTCATTGATTTATTTGTTTTTCCTTGTCTTAAATACTATACCTTTATAATAGGCTTCAGTATATGGCAACAAAAGGCCTCCAACATTGTTTTTCTTCTCCAAGAGAAACTTCCCATTAGTCTGGGCCCTATGTATATTATGGAATCAGTTAACATCTGAAAAACAAAAGCTGTTGGAGGGCCAGGCATGGTGGCTCATGCCTGTAATCTCAGCACTTTGGGAGGCCAAGGCAGGAGGATCTCTTCAGGCCAGGAGTTGGAGACTACCCTGGGCAACATAGTGAGACCCCATCTCTACAAAAATAATTTTTTTTAATTAGTCAGGCATACTAGCATGGATCCTTTCAGGCCAGGAGTTGGAGACCACCATGGGCAACATAGTGAGACCCCATCTCTACAATAAAAAGTTTTTTGTTTGTTTTTGAGAGAGCCTCGCTCTGTCACCCAGGCTGGAGTACAGTGGCGCAATCTCGGCTTACTGCAACCTCCACCTCCCAGGTTCAAGCAATTCTCCTGCTTTAGCCTCCTGAGTAGCTGGGATTACAGGTGCCCGCCACCACACCCAGCTAATTTTTGTATTTTTAGTAGAGATGGGGTTTCACCATGTTGGCCAGGCTGGTCTTGAACTCCTGACCTTGTGATCCTCCCACCTCGGCCTCCCAAAGTGCTGGGATCACAGGTGTGAGCCACCATGCCCAGCCAAAAAAAAGTTTTTAATTAACCAGGCATGGTAGTGTGCACTTGTAGTCCCAGCTACTTGGGAGGCTGAGGTCGGGGGATCATTTGAACCCAGGAAGTCTGCAGTGAGCTCTGGACTGTACACTGCACTCCAGCCTGAGTGACAGAATGAGACTGTGTCTCTAAATAATACTAATAATGTTAAAACTATTGGGATTTCTTTGGAATTATCTTGAATTTATAAGTGAATTTGAAAGGAATCGTCATGTTTACAATATTGACTTTTTCGATCCATAAATATGGCATATCCTTCCATTTATTTAGTTATTTATTCCTTTTTGTCTCTAAATAATGATGTATACTTTTTTTTTTTTTTGAGACAGAGTCTCGCTCTGTCACCTAGGCTGGAGTGCAGTGGCATGATCTCAGCTCACTGCAACCTCTCCCTCCTGGGTTCAAGTTGTTCTCCTGCCTCAGCCTCCTGAGTAACTGGGATTACAAGCACATGCCACCAGGCCCGGCTAATTTTTTGTGTTTTTAGTAGAGACAGGGTTTTGCCATATTGCCCAGGCTGGTCTCAAACTGCTGAACTCAAGCAATTCACCTGCCTCGGCCTCCCAAAGTGCTGGGATTACAGACATGAGCCACCACATCTGGCTAATGATTTATAATTCTACATGAGAATTTTGGCACAGATTTTGTTAGTTTTATTTCTATGTGCCACATATGATTTGATGTTATTTGAAAGGTTTTTTTAGTTATTTTCTATTTGTTTCTGTTATATGGAAATGCGGTTGATTTTTAGCATTTGAGTTCCACAACTTTGCTAAATTTACTCATTAATTCCAATAGTCTATCTATGGATACCTTTGGATTTTCTGTATACATAATTTTACCATCTGCAAATAACTACAGATTTTTTTTTCTTTTCAATCTTTATACCTTGTTTTTTCTTGGCTTACTGCCTGTATCATTTACCTATTACTACATTACCCAAAACAATTACATATTTCTCACAAGTCTAGGGGTTGGCTGAGTATTTCTACTGATTTGAGCTAGTCTTGCCAGGGTTCACTCGTGCATCTGCAATTAGCTACAAGTCAGCTAAGCAGCTTTGTTGATTTTGGCTGGGTTTCTCACATACTTGGGGCCACAGCAGAGACAGCTGGGCTAACTTAGTTCTGTTCTACATGGTCTCAAGCTCCAAGTTACTATTATTCCCAGTGGCAGTGGCAGAGTCTCCAAGAAGGGAGGGGAGAGAAAGAGGTCTCTTTATTCTCAGAAGTGCTACATTGACAATTCCACCACATTCTTTTAATCAAACCAAATCACAGGGCTAGATATTTTTAATATTGTACAACCTACTGTAAGATCCTCTTTATCATCTGTGATCCTGATTGTCACTTAGTTTTTGTTATTAAGTTCTAGCTTACTCGCATTACGAACAGAGAACAATTCAGTAATGATTTCAAGTCTGAAATTTGTTGAGACTTTATAGCTGGAGTGCAGTGGTGCAATCATACCTCACTGCAGCCTCAAACTCTTGGGCTCAGAGATCCTCCTGCCTCAGCCTTCTAAGTAGGTGGGACTATAGGCACACGCCACTGCACCCAGCTAACTGTATGTGTGTGTGTATGTGTGTGTGTGTGTGTGTGTGTGTGTGTGTGTGTGTGTGTGTGTGTGTGTAGAGACGGGACTCTCACTTTGTTGCCCAGGCTGGTCTTGAACTCCTGGGCTCAAATAATCCTGCCCCTCTCATTCTCTCAAAGTGCTGGGATTACATGGGTTTACAGGGATAAGCCACAGTGCCCAGCCAATTTTTGTAAAATTTTAGTACATTTTAAAACTATAATACATTATTAGGTGCATACAAACACTTTTATCATCATTCTCTTGTGGCTACCCAAGAAATTACAGTATGCATCCTTAACTTATCCAATAATAGTAATCCAATAATAGTCATCTAATATTATTTGTATTTTTACTCTCTACCTAGACAATTCCAGAATTGAAGGACCTCAATACACTACCTATATTTCTATGTGTGTGTTCATATACATATGTGTGTTCATATATACATATACACACACACATATATATATATATTCCTTCTTATTTTGCCACTGTTGTGGTATATTTAATTTTGTAGCTATTGCAAGTCACATAAGACATCATTATTATTGTTTACATTACTCTTCATTTCTTCTCACATCTCTGACCTACTATTCTGGGATAGATTTTCTTCTACCTAAAGAACATTCTTTAGTGTTTCCTTTAGCGTGACTCTGCTGCTGTTAAGTTTTTGTTTAACAGAAAATGTCTTTATTTCACTGTCATTCTTGAAAGATGTGTTTGATGGGTACAGAATTCTATATTGGTGGTTATTTTCTGTTATCACCTTAAAAATTGTACTTCATTATCTTCTAGTTCTCATTGTTTCTGCTGAAAGGTCAGCTGTGAGTCAAGTTGTTGTTCCTTTGAAGATAATCAGTCTTTTTCCCTGACTGCTTTTAAGGTTTTCTCTTCCTTTGGTTTTTAGCATTTTTACTATAATGTGGTTCTTATTCATGTTTTCTTACTTTCTTGGTTATTTGTTTATTGCATGCTGGAAACTGCATTTGCAAAATTATTTGTAAAGATAATTGGAGGCCCAGGATAATATTCCATTCCTCCATAAAATAGTAATATAGTTATATTTGCTGGGGGCATGAGTAAGTCAGGATCACTTTAATCCAACTTCAGAGCTGTAATTATTTGAAACTGGCCTGCAGTTCCTCTAAGAGCAGTTCACTCTCTGGTTCACTATCTCCTACAGTGCAGCTCTTTGTGATCCTAAGTCAAAGTGTAAGTGTGTTGAGGGGTAGATATTTAAGACTTCAACTTTTGTCCTGTTGGCCCCACACTGCTCAGCCTCACAGCTTCTTAGTTACCTCTTCTGGAATGGGCAGATGCCTCCCAGAACTCTCCTCTTAGAATTTGTCTTCTGGCCAGGTGCGGTGGCTCTCGCATGTAATCCCAGCACTTTGAGAGGCAGAGGCGGGCAGATCACGAGGTCAGGAGTTGGAGACCAGCCTGGCAAACATGGTGAAACCCCATCTCTACTAAAAATACAAAAATTAGCCGGGCATGGTGGCGTGCGCCTGTAATTCCAGCTACTCGAGAGGCTGAGGCAGGAGAACTGCTTGAACCCGGGAGGTGGAAGTTGCAGTGAGCCGAGATCACACCACTGCTCTCCAGCCTGGGCAACAGAGCAAGACTCCATCTCAGAAAAAAGAAAAAAAGAATTTTGTCTTCTACTAGACCTTGGGGTTCAATATTTCCCTACTCTCTTGCTACCTCTCCAATGCCTACAATAAGGTATATTTTTAATTTTGTCCTAATTTTCACGAGGAGGCCAATTTGAATCACCTATTTCTTTATTACTAAAAGCAAGTATCTTCTTCTATCCATTTGCCATCTTCCAGAAATACGTTGAAATCTGCCTTCCCTTGATCAGTTCCTCTTCCAGTCTTATCACTATTTTGAGCTTATTCTCTTTCGTTCTTATTTATTATGATTAAAATTACAGGCATGTACCACCAGAGCAGCCAATTTTTAAATTTTGGTAGAGACAGAATCCCACTATGTTGCCCAAGCTGGTCTCAAACCTCTGGGCTCAAGCGATTCTCCTGCCTCAGCCTCCCAAAGTATTGGGATTAAAGATGAAACTGAGGAGAAAATTCTGGAGAAATTGAGGAGATAAACGCGTGCATGCTATATCTGCCATGTTGTACCAGGTCCTGCTTAAAATTATTATTATTATTATTATTATTATTATTATTATTATTATTATTAAGACGGAGTCTCGCTCTACCACCCAGGCTGGAGTGCCCTGGCGAGATCTTGGCTCACTGCAAGCTCCGCCTCCCGGGTTCACGCCATTCTCCTGTCTCAGCCTCCCGAGTAGCTGGGACTACAGGCACCCGCCACCGCGCCCGCCTAATTTTTTGTATTTTTGGTAGAGACGGGGTTTCACCGTGTTAGCCAGGATGGTTTCAATCTCCTGACCTCGTGATCCACCCGCCTCGGCCTCCCGAAGTGCTGGGATTACAGGCATGAGCCACCGCGCCCAGCCTAAAATTATTTTTAAGTAACTTAAAATCATTTGTTAATATTAGGATTCAGTCTGGGTATGGTGGCTTATGCCTGTAATCCCAGCACTTTGGGAGGCTGAGGCAAAAGGATCTCTTGAGCCCAGGGGTTCAAGACCATCCTAGGCAACACAGTGGGATTGTCTTTACAAAAATTTAAAAATTAACCGTTATGGTGGCACGTGCCTGTAATCCCAGCTACTCAGGAGACTGAGGTGGAAGGATTGCTTGAGCCCAGGCGGCCAAGGCAGCAGTGAGCCATGAATACACCACTGCACTTCAGCCTGGGAGACAGAATGAGACCCTGTCTCAAAAAAATAGATAAATAACTAAATATTAGGATTTGAACTATTATTTTTATAACAACTGTTTCGAAATATTATTCACATACCATGTAATTCCCCCTCTTACAGTAAAGCCATTGTACTTGGAACTGTTATTAAGAATAAATTATTTGTGCCATGCCTCATGACAATTCTTCAGATTCTACTGTGGGTTTCTGTTTGTGTTTGTTTGTTTGTTTGTTTTTGAGACAGGGTCTCACTCTGTCACCCAGGCTGGAGTGCAGTGGTACAATCTTGGCTCACTGCAACCTCCACCTCCTGGGCTCAAATGATCCTCCACCTCAGCCTCCCTAGTAGCTGGGACTACAGGCGCCCACCACCATGCCCAGATAATTTTTGTATTTTTTTGTAGAGATGGGGTTTCACCATGTTGCCCAGGCTGGTCTTGAACTCCTGAGCTCAAATGATCCGCCCGCCTTGGCCTCCCAAAGTACTGGGATTATAGGCATGAGCCACTGTGCCCAACCAGATACTATTGTTTTAAGACACTGTTGTGGAGCTGCTCCAGGAGCTTACAGCATAGGAGGGGAGATGTGACACCTGCACAGACATTTACAATAAGAAATGGCAAAGCAAGTAAGATGAGAGGAGGCTGCATAAAGGAATGTTTCATGAAGGAATTAGTATTTAAGTTGAATCTTGAATGGTCAGTACAGCAGAAATGGCCAGAAGTAGGACAAACTGGCACTCCATCAAGTAGGTCACCAAGACTGCTGGGCTAGCCCTTGGTGAGGTTTAGAGAAAGCCTTCCTGCTCCCACATTCTAAGCAGCCTTGTGTAACCGGAACAACTAAGTGCCCTGGAAAAGCCCAATTAGACTGAGGAAATAGGAAACTTTAGGCCCTATTGTCGTTTGGTGTTTTTTGTTGTTGTTGTTTTTTGTTTGTTTTTGAGACGGAGTCTCACTCTGTCAACCAGGCTGGAGTGTAGTGGCACAATATCAGCTCACTGCAAACTCCTCCTCCCGGGTTCAAGAGATTCTCCTGCCTCAGCCTCCTGAGTAGCTGGGATTACAGGCGTCCGCCACCACGCCCAGCTAATTTTTTATTTTTATTAGAGACGGGGTTTCACCATGTTGGCCAGGCTGGTCTCGAACTCTTGACCTCAGGTGATCCACCTGCCTTGGCCTCCCAAAGTGGTAGGATTACAGGCGTGAGCCACCACGCCCACTCCCTGTTGTTGTTTTGAATAGAGCATAGTCAAACTAAAAATAAAAGGTAAAACAGAAGAAGTAGACTGTGGGGAACTTTGAATGCTACAGTAAGTAGTTTGGACTCTATTTAGTAAACAATAAGAAGCCAGGGGGGGATTTTGTTCAGAGGAATGCCATAAACAGAGCTGAAATTTGAAGAGGGCTTGTTGGCTGTTGTGTAAAGGGGAGAAGCAAGAGACAAGGAGATCAATTAGAAGATCAATTACAGATCAATTAGTAAGCTAGAGTAATGATAGGGGAATAGAGAGGGACTTGAGACCAACACATGGTGCAAAGACATCACTTTACATACCGGAGGGCGTGGGCTACAGAAGGAAGGGGTGGAGGAAGGACACATTAAAGATGATGCCATGCAGAAGAAATGGGTTGAGATGTGGCGCCACAGTTTTTTAACTGCGTGACTAGGACAGTCACTTTAGTTTCCTGTGGCCTCAGACAACTCCAGAAACTTGGTGGCAGAAGGAAGGAAAGAAATGGAAAGGTAATTAAAGGGGGTTGTGGGATTGGCCAGATTTTCAGGGTGGAAATGATCAGAGACTGAAGAGAAGGATTAGGATTAAGATTTAGATTGACGATGGGAGGGATTAAATATTTTCTATGTTAATGAACTAGATGAAGTTCAAGAGTGAAAAATCAGTATATTAATTGGACTTCACATTCTTATTAATCATTATAGTAGTCATCGAAAGATAGTTTGCTGAGGGCTGTGTTTGCTAATGTTGATTTATGGGATTTCATAATGTATTTATTACCAGTTCCTTGGTGACAGTTAACGTCACCTCCAACAGAAAAGCCAGTTATATCACATACACCGTTTTATAGATATTTCAAAGTTCAGAGACTATCCCTAAAGTAAATGTTTGGGTATTGCTTTTTTTTAATTGCATATGGTGCCGCTTTTCTATGTAGCTTTGACAGAATTACATTAATTTTCATCCTAAATCAAATTTGTGTGAAATGGACATTTTAAAGAGATACTGAGATATTTTCACTTAAATGTTTCTTTGTTTGTATCCATAACTAATTCATAATCTCGTATTTAATTATATGTGGTTCTTTGAATTATTTGATCCATGGAGGACCTCTAATAAAGTCACTAACTGGTTATTGATCAAGTTAATTGGTTAAATGACTGAACGGGTCATCAATTCAGATTGTGTCTATGTGTAAAAACCAGTCTGACTGCTTTTACTGAAGTGTCCAGCCAAATCAGGTTTTCATTATATTCCTGTTAAAAGTAGAAAAGGATTTTGTGCATTTACACATGATGCACATGAACCATCGACAACCTGTGAATATAGCGGGTGGTTGGGGCGGACACTATACTTATTTAATTGGGTAGTGCTTCCCACTTCCGTGAACCTCTGGTATTTACTGTTCTCCAAACCAGCTCCTTGGTTGATGACAGCAAAAAATGCTAGTTTTTGAGTCACGCAGAATGTTTTCTTCATTTCTATACTGTTAATATATTACTGGGCCACATATCATTCAAAACAAAAGGAGGGGAACAAAAATAAAACCACAAAGACAAAACCCTTATTGCTACTCACCCTGCAATGTTAAAAGCAAAGAAACTATTCCGACCAACTAACATTTCCGTGACAACACTAGACGGTTGGATGCCTCTTGCCAGATCAGTGTAGAGACATAAGTAATGCCATATCACTGCCCTATACACACAAAGGCTATGTTTTAGAACAGTAAGAATCCTTAGAAAATACATAGGCCAATCCACTCCTTACAGGACAAGACAGAGATCCAGTGAGTCACTAACAGAGTCAAGAATCTAGGTTGATTTTTTCTGCATTCTGAGCTCGTTGGACCAAACTGCCAATGATATACTATCCAAGACCAGCCTTGTCTGCACACAGAACAGACAGCTTGCTTAGAAAGAAGATGTTCTGTTGGGCACGGTGGCTCACGCCTGTAATCCCAGCACTTTGGGAGGCCGAGGTGGGCAGATCCCCTGAGGTCAGGAGTTCAAGACCAGCCTGGCCAACATGGTGAAACCCCATCTCTACTAAATATACAAAAATTAGCTGGGCGTGGTGGCAGGCGCCTGTAATCCCAGCTACTCGGGAGGCTGAGGCAGAAGAATCTCTTGAACCTGGGCGGCGGAGGTTGCAGTGAGCTGAGATCATGCCATTGTACTCCAGCCTGGGGAACAAGAGACTTCATCTCAAAAAAGAAAGAAAGAAAGAAAGAAGATGTTCTTCTCTCCAAAAATATTTCCTTAACTAATTCTCCCAATTTGTAAGATATTGATACCTGGCCTAATGCCTTGCAAGAACTCCACAGATATTTAGATGTAAACTGAGGACATCTAAGACCATTATTAAAATAAAAATATTTAACAAGAACTGGCCATTTCACTGGCATTCTCCCATGATGTACTGTCCATACAGCTGTACATAGGTAAAAATTATAAATGGTAAACTCAGTAAAGCAATGTTACCTGACCATGGTCAGAGAGCTAGTAGGGAGGAGCAATGTGCAAATCCAAGTGGGTCAGATTCCTAAACCATGCTCCTTTCAGGAGCCAGGGAGCCTGTATTTCAGTGTCTTTAAGGAACGCTAATGGTTAAATGGCAATCTGCCCATAGCCAGAGCAACCGAAATATAGCTCAATATAAATTATGCTGATACCGAGCCAGGCATGGTGGCTCACGCCTGTAATCCCAGCACTTTGGGAGGCCGAGGCGGGTGGATCACCTAAGGTCAGGAGTTCAAGACCAGCCTGACCAACATGGTGAAACCCTGTCTCTACTAAAAATACAAAATTAGCCAGGCATGCTGGTGCGTGCCTGTAATCCCAGCTACTTGGGAGGCTGAGGCAGGAGAATCGCTTGAACCCAGGAGGCAGAAGTTACAGTGAGCCAAGATCGCGCCATTGCATTCCACTCTAGGTGACAAAGTGAGACTCCATCTCAAAAAAAAAAAAAAAAAAAAAAAAAAAAAAAAAGCTGATGCTTTTATCTCATTTCTATCTGAGAATAACAATAACTGATATGTATTGAGTACTTGTGTACCAAGCCCCGGCTTTACCCTATTGCTTCATTTAATCTTCACAAGTAACCTATTAGACAAATGTTTTCATCATTGTTAGTAACATTTTTACAAGAAACTGAGGTGTAGAGCAATTTAGTGACTCACCAAAGACCTCGCAATTTGCAGCAGGGATTTGAGCCTGGGCAGTGACTCCAGAGTCCTTAATTACTATTTTATGCTGCCATGTAGACACCTTCAGCCTCCATAAGAAGCCTACAGAAGGGGCCTGGTGGTGGTTCCATGAAGAAAGTTGTGGAGACTCCAGATTGCTAAAGGTGCAATAGAGGCAGAGGTAGAAAGAAGTCTGAATCTTTTAGACAACTATTATTAATAGTTCACACAATTATCAAAGGTCTTGAGGCAGCATGGACTAGCCTTTACAGAGCCTTGCGGAGAAATTCCTGATCTCTTGGTGACAATTAACAAGGCAATGGGGGAAATGATGTGAGTCTTCTCTTTGGAGACCACTCACAGCCATCTTTTTTCCCAAAGAAGAATGCCTAAAATTATTCTTACAATCTATGCTTCAGTTGTACTTAGTTCCTCGGATGAGTTATCTTTTGAGAGCTGGTCCTGAGACAATGAACCAATGAACTGGGATAAGCAAGTTTGTTGGGGATCTGTGGGCAATAAGAAGTCTGGGGCATGTACTGCAAAGGCAGATGGAGACACAAAGCAGGAAGAACGCTAAGAAGCAAAGAAAACCTGCAGGGATAAAGGAAAGCAGGAAAAACGGAAGACAATTTCTCTGTTAGTTCTGGCTGTAGTTCTGACATTCAGAAACTAAACTGAAAAACTCAGCCAGTTACCCAACTATTGTGCAGTATAACTAAATTAACAGTGTCTTTATTTTTGGTTAGCGATCATTTCTGCTTTCATTCAAAGAACATTCAGACCAAAAATTCAAGCATATAACTCATTGGGCTTCTCCCCAGCAACCCAATAGTAAATCTATCCAGGGAATAAAATAAATATTATCAACTTTCTTCCTTTTTTTATTTTGAAACAGAGTTTCGCTCTTGTTGCCCAGGCTGGAGCGCAATGGTGCGATCTCGGCTCACCGCAACCTCTGCCTCCCAGGTTCAAGCAATTCTCCTGCCTCAGCCTCCCGAATAGCTGGGATTACAGGCTTGTGCCACCACACCTGGCTAATTTTGTATTTTTAGTAGAGACAGGGTTTCTCTATGTTGGTCAGGCTGGTGTTGAACTCCTGACCTCAGGTGATACGCCTGCCTCAGCCTCCCAAAGTGCTGGGATTATAGGCATGAGCCACCACGCCCGGCCCCTCAACTTTCTTAATTACTTACATGCAAAATTTGTTCTTCAACTTGGCCATGCAGGGAAGTGGCATCTCTCAATGTTATGTGTTGACAAACTACCACCTGTGTGGGCCAAAGCTCCAGACCCACAGTGTTTTTGGTTTTGTATTGTTTTGTTTTGTTTTGTTTTTGGTGATGGAGTTTCACTCTTGTTGCCCAGGCAGGAGTGCAATGGCGTGATCCGGGCTTACGGCAACCTCCACCTCCTGGGTTCAAGCCATTCTCCTGCCTCAGCCTCCCAAGTAGCTTGGATTACAAGCATGCACCACCATGCCCGGCTAATTTTGTATTTTTAGTAGAGACGGGGTTTCTCCACGTTGGTCAGGCTGGTCTCGAACTCCTGACCTCAGGTGATCCGCCCACCTCAGCCTCCCAAAGTACTGAGATTACAGGCGTGAGCCATCACTCCCGGCATGGTTTTTTTGTTGTTTTTTTTTTTGTTTTTTTTAAACTAGAGATGAGGGTCTCACTATGTTGCCCAGGCTGGCCTCAAACTCCTAGGTTCAAGCTATCCTCCTGCCTCTGCCCCCCCAGGTAGCTGGGACCATATTGATTGCCTCTGTACCCCAACTCCAAAGTGTCTTTTTATAGATAAAGTTTTATTGGCACACAGTCACACCCATTCATTTACATATTGTCCACAGCTGCTTTCACACTACAACAGTAGCGTTGAGTAGTTATGACAAAAACCTTATGGCCTACAAAGCCTAAAATATTTACTCTTGGCCCTTTACAGAAAAAGTTTGCCAACCCCTAGTCTAGACTACTAATGAGAGAAATGGAGGAAAAACTTTTTTCTAACAACTTTCTAACAATTTTGGGGGGAACGCCATATAAATTTGGCTTAGTAAAAAAAGACTATTGGACCGCCCCCCAGAAAATTGTGCCAAAGAGTTTAGAAAAATAAATATACAATAAAAGTAAACACACACACACAAAACAGCAAACTTGAGGTAACTATTTTGGATTGCAAACAGGATAAATTAAATGTTCAAACAATCTGATAAAATAACCACTTGGAAACCGAAAAAAAAAAAAAGACTCTTAGACTAGAAGCCTGATAATATGATTTTGTTGCCTTTTTTTAAGTTACAGGATTAATATTATATAAATGGGACTATAGAATATGAGCCAGTGAGGTTATCCTAACTACTGACTCCTGTATCAAGCAATAACTGTGGGAAGAGGGAAGACAGTGTGGAACGCTTCACAGCTCACCATGCAAGAGGAGAAAAAATGAGTGAAGGAGCCCAGAGGGAAAGAATGTTTTCAAAGCTATGGTTTCCTCATCTATTGAATAAGGGCACTGGGCTTCTCCCTGCGGCCTAGGATTAACTTCACTGGCTTTTTGTGAATCACCACAAAAATCCCAAGATTTTATGTCCTGAAATCCAGCATCCTACATTCACTCCTGGATGTGGATGTCTTCTTGAACTATACCATCAGGAATCATCAAACCACTGAAGCATCTATTCAGTACACTGGGATTCTCTGGTTACCTATTACTATTCCAACATCTTTAGTTTCCATATGTATAATATGTCTGAATGACTTAACAACTTCTAATTATTAGCAAATTCACATCTTTTCCCCAATATTAATACATGCAAGCCAGCTATCACAAGACACCATTCTCAGCCGAACACTACAGGATTCAAAACTTCTCTGAGGCCTCAGCATTATCTTATTAGCGACTAACCGCCGACTAACCTACACATTTTGAGTCAGGCTAGGAGTGACTGATAACTGTCCGTGTGACTGGGTAGCTGTAGGTTCCTGACAATCATGGTAGGTAATCTTGTGACCAAAGAGCAGCTTAATTGAGATTTTAAAAACTGTCACAGCTCTCGGAAGAGGTGTAGATAGAAATTATCTGTGCGTCTCATATGTCTATATTATACAGCTAGGAATAAGGCTCGCGCCTATTAAAAATATATTCAGGCCGGGCGCGGCGGCTCACGCCTGTAATCCCAGCACTTTGGGAAGCCAAGGCGGGCGGATCACGAGGTCAGGAGATCGAGACCATCCTGGCTAACACGGTGAAACCCTGTCTCTACCAAAAATACCAAAAAAAAAAAATTAGCCAGGCATGGTGGCGGGCGCCTGTAGTCCCAGCTACTCAGGAGGCTGAGGCAGGAGAATGGTATGAACCCGGGAGGCAGAGCTTGCAGCGAGCCGAGATCGCACCACTGTACTCCAGCCTGGGCAACAGACCAAGACTCCGTCTCAATAAATAAATAAATATATATATATATATTCATTTATTCCACGAATATATGCTGAATACCTACTTTATGCCAGGAATTGGGTTAAACTTATTATGTCTGCAACTGTAATCCTTACATGATTTTGTGTTTCATTTTATCCCACATTCTTGCTAAAATAAGCCACACTACACAAGTTTTCCCTGATTTTTCTGATAAATATTGAGCTGTCCACTTGATGATATTTTCACACAAAAATCACAGGGAAGAAGCACTTCCTGCAAGGACATCAGAGGCAATACCCACTTTTTCTTGATGGCTTTGGCTCCAGGGGGTCAAAATATCCCATCATATTTAACCAATACGGTTCCCTCACTGATAGTGTCCACTTTTTCCATCCCATTTATAGCTAAAAAGGAGCCTGCCACTTTTAGCTCCAGGATATGTATGAGAAAGCCATAAGAATTCAAGAAAGGGATGGGGGAGATGGGGCGGGGGGCTGGTCACAGAAACCTGATCGTCCCTCTCAGCTTTGGAGGGCAGAGAGAAGTATTGGGGGCAGAAGCCACCTTTTCTTCTTCAGAAACAGGAGAGATGAGAGGAGGTTCTTGGGACCTGATCCAGGGCAGAAGGGGTAAAAATAGTGACTGCTAAGCCGATGATTTTCCAAGAGCCTCCCAGCTCAGTATATCAGAGCTGCCTGCAGTGCTCGGTACAGTAGACCTTTCCCTGGGCCCACCCAGACCTGGAGAATCAGGGCCTCTGGAGTGGGGTGAGGGAAAGTCTATACGCCAAAGTGATTTCCATGCACAAAAAAGTATGAGAACCCCTGTTGAAATATTTATGAATTAATGTACAGGCCTTTAACTTTAAATTAACTAAAACATTGATTTAAACAAGTGTGGCTAATATTATAATGGAGTTTATTAAAACTCAAGCCCTTAAAGCACCATGATGAGTGACAGAAAATTACCTTGGAGTGGGTCTTTCTTCCCACCCTCTTCTCTCTAGCTTCCCTGTCTTTTCCCACCCCTCTCCCTTTCATCATATGGGAAGGGCTGTAGGACTAAAAACCAAGCAATAAAAGCAGCAGCAGCAGCAGCAACAACAAAGACTAAAGGCCAGATGCAGGGCAGGACTAGGCATTAGCTCATGGCTAAGAAAGGTCGCTGAAAAAAGCAGAGAAGGCAAAACGTTTACATTTCTGTTGTAGACATTTCCATATATATATATATATATATATATCTCACATGTGATATATGTATATATCACATTCTATCTGTAAAGATTAACAAGACTGGCGAATTTATCCCTGAAATAGGAATCTCCTTCCAAATTATCCCTGAAGCTAAACTTCTTAATAATGATTACAGATGATATATGCGATTATCCCTATTGCAAGAAGTAGTTTTCCTCAATCTCTCTATCCTGTTCTTGTGTTGCCTAAACAGACTGACACCCAGGGGTCCCTTTCTTCCTCATCCTGCTGCTCTCAGAAGCCTTTTGCTCCACTGACCACTCTTCTAACCTTGGGCAGGTTCTCTCTCCATCTTCTTAACTGAACTTTGTCCCCACACTCCTACGTATTCTGTGATGTTTTAGACAGAAAGATGAAATAAATATCCTTGCCCTCCAGTCTCATGCCATCTACATGAGACAGTGATCAACTAAACCCAAATCAGATGGTCAATTCAACACAGCTCTTCCTGGCCACTCCTCAGCTTCTTCTCTTGCTCCTCTTTCTGCTCACCCTTTTAAGTTTGCAACTTTTCTCCTATGCCCTTTGATTTTCTCTAAACACTATCTTTCCCACACATCACTGAAAACATTTTGCTAATGAGAAATACTTCCTTTGCTATGTTAAACAAAAGGCATTTGATGATGAAGTCATTTTAAAATCTTAAATCATTTTTTAAGGTAAGTACAAGTACCACCTGGGCTTTCAAGAAAGAAAATAGTTGACTTCAATAGTTGTTTTATTTTATGGGATAACCAAAACAGCTTTTAAATTGCACCAAAATAATGGGGAGCGATGAATGAAAGAGCAGTATAAAAATACATGTTTAAGCCGAGTGTGGTTGTGCATGTCCACAGTCCTAGCTACTCACGAGGTGGAGGTAGGAGCTCCAGGAGCTCAAGACTGCAGTGAGCCATGATCCTAACACTGCACTCTAGCCTGGGTGACAGAGCAAGACCCTGTCTAAACAAAGAAACAAACAAACAAAAAAAAAAAACAGCTGAAGCACAGTCTTTCCTATTTCCCTCCTGATTATACTGAAAAATACATATTGGTGTCAAGACAGATACGTACAGATAGATAGATAGATAGATAGATAGATAGATAGATAGATAGATAGATGGCAAAGTGAGAAAATTAAGTGAAGACTATGCAGGAACTAATTCATCAAGAGTTGTTGGTTAATACCTAATGGGGAAAAAACACTAGGAAGAATATGAGATCACACCATGTGGGAAGGCTGTCTGTACATTAATATTTTAATTCATGCCAAAAACAAAACTATATGAGAAAATGTTAAAATGCAGAGAATTTCTCCTTAAAAGTGAAAATAGGGTGAGGTATGGTGGCTCACACCTGTAATCCCAACACTTTGGGAGACCAAGGTAGAGGGATTGCCTGTGGCCAGGAGTTGGAGACCAGCCTGGGCAACATAGTGAGACCCCCATCTCTACAAAAAATTTAAAACTAAGCTGGGCATGTTGGTACATGCCTGTAGTTCCAGCTACTAAAGGAGGCTGAGGCAGAAGGATCCTTTGAGCCCAGGAGTTCAAGGCTGCAGTAAGTTATGATTGCACCACTGCACTCTAGCCTGGGCAACAGAGCAAGACTCTGTCTCTTAAAAAAAAAAAAAAAAAAAAAGGTGAAAATAGCTCTCCAAGTGGGCAGAAAGGGGATAGAGAACACTTAAACATGTTATGTTACTATACAATAAATCAATCCTAACTTACCCATCCTAATGAAGGAAAATAGCAGCACATCAGTCCAGGGTGGCCAACCAAAAATAGCATTACTATTAGACTTTTAATATATTTGAGTTACTCGTTTTAACAGGGATGGGGTTCTGTTCTGAGAATTCATCAGATCTCAAACCAATTAACAAGAAAATATTTAGCGTGCTCTTTTTATGTGCAGAACACTCAACACAATGTCTGGAGTGTGGCAAAGACTTGGCACGGTATGGGATAGTTTAGAACATCCCTTCACATTTACATAACATGTTTTCCAAAATGAATTTTTTTTATCATTCATTCATTCATATACTCATTCATTCAATGAATCTCTGACCTATTATGTTCCAAGCACTGCTCTGGCCCTTGGAATACATCAGTAAACAAACAGATAAAAAGCTCTGCCTTCTCACTCCTGTGGAGCTTCAATTTAGGTTGGGGGGATGACCGGTAAGCATAATGAAAAAATCAACTACATGGTGTGTCTAAAGTTGCCAGTTTGCTTCAGATAGCCTCAGACTGTAGACATTGCCCTGGCTCCTCTCATCCCAGGTTGATGACCCCTTTCACTCTCAGAAGGTCATATTTGATTAATAAATTGTATAGTCACTCTAAGTATGTTTGAAGTTAATAAGGATCATGGGAAGAAGGGAGAACAGAGGGTGGATTGCAATTTTAACAGGGTGGTCCAGGTGGGTCTGATCAGAGCAAGAGACATTTGAGCTAAGATTTGAAGGAGATGAGAGAATTAGCCAGAAGAATATGACTTTAAAAGTCTACATCCTTATTATAAAACATTGAAATAATACCAAAGTGTAAAAAGTTACCTCTCTTTCTTCCCTACTTAATTCTACTATTAAACAGTTTCTTTTGCACTTTGGGAGGCCGAGGCAGGTGGATCACAAGGTCAGGAGATGGAGACCATCCTGGCTAAAATGGTGAAACCCCGTCTCTGCTAAAAATACAAAAAAAATTAGCTGGGCGTGGTGGCACGCACCTGCAGTCCCAGCTACTTGGGGGGCTGAAACAGGAGAATCGCTTGAACCTGCGGGGTGGAGGTTGCACTGAGCCAAGATTGCACCACTGCATTCCAGCCTGGGCAAAACAGCGAGACTCCATCTCGAAAAAAAAAAAACAGTTTCTTTTTCAGGCATATACAAGACTTTAGAACATAAGTTGTATCATATTGCATACCATATGGCAGTTTTAAAAGCAACAACTTGTTATGAAAACATCACATTCTACATCTTAAATATATACAATTTTATTTTAAAATAAAATAAAATGATTTAAAAAAATTTATTACCTCTCTATCTAAATCAAATATGCTCTAGTAAAAGAAGGGAGTGGGGCATTCGGGGGGAAAGGATGGGGAGGAGGGAGAAAAGGCTTAAACTTTTCTTGGTAATGGAGTTTATGCTAAGACTCAATGCATCTTGCAGGCTACAGCAAGTTTCTGTAAAACATACAGAGATAGGCCAGGCGCAGTGGCTCACGCCTGTAATGCCAGCACTTTGGGAGGCTGAGGTGGGTGGATCACAAGGTCAGGAGTTTGAGACCAGCCTGGCAACATGGTGAAACCCCATCTCTACTAAAAATACAAAAATTAGCTGGGTGTGGTGGTGGGCACCTGTAGTTCCAGCTACTCGGGAGGCTGAGGCAGGAGAATCCCTTGAACCTGGGAGACGGAGGTTGCAGGGAGCCAAAATTGTGCCACTGCACTCCAGCCTGGGCGACAGAGCGAGACTCCATCTCAAAAACAAAAACAAAAACAAAAACAAAAAACATGCAGAGATAGGCCAGGCACGATGGCTCACACCTATAATCCCAACACTTTAGGAGGCCAAGGCGGGCAGATCACGAGGTCAGGAGTTCAAGAACAGCCTGACCAACATGGTGAAACCCCGTCTCTACTAAAAATAAAAAAAATTAGCCGGTAGTGGTGGCACACACTGTAATCTCAGCTATTCAGGAGGCTGAGGCAGGAGAATCACTTGAACCCGGGAGGCGGAGGTTGCAGTGAGCCAAGATCGCACCACTGCACTCCAGCCTGGGCAGCAGAGCAAGACTCCATCTCAAAACAAAAAACAAAAAAAACTAAACAGGCCGGGTGCAGGGGCTCATGCCTGTAATCCCAGCACTTTGGGGGGCTGAGGTGGGTGGATAACCAGGTCAGGAGATCGAGATCATCCTGGCTAACATGGTGAAACCCCGTCTCTACTAAAAATACAAAAAAGTAGCCAGGCGTGGTGGTGGGTGCCTGTAGTCCCAGCTACATGGGAGACTGAGGCAGGAGAATGGCGTGAACCTGGGAAGCGGAGCTTGCAGTGAGCGGGGATTGTGCCACTGCACTCTAGCCTGGGCGACAGAGCGAGATTCCGTCTCCAAAAAAAAAATACGGAGACATTGAGGATGACCACAAAGAATGCTTTAAGAATAACAGTATCTCTCCATGCAGAAGTTGAAGAATTTGATCATCTCACTAGCAGTGAAATCAGCAAAGAAATATTTGAGAGATTTCACTAACACCATGAATGCATTGGATTCATTTCTTTTCTTCACTGGGGTTCCCTTCTTTCTTTCCCCTGCAAACAGGGAGACGGTGGGTGTCATTGACATTATGTATGACTTTTTATTTTGTTTCTCCTCCTTCCTGACCCCTCCCCCACCCCATCTGAAGAGTGGGGCCATCATGATGTCACATTAAGCTAAGGGTATCCGTAAGGATAAAAGGCTGGGTGGGTACAAGGTCATGATTTATAATAGAAACACTTCTCCATGACCAGCATATTGTAAGCTCCACTTGATCAAGTTAATGTCGTGGCAAGTTACGTGTGTAATTTATTTCTTTGGGCGAAACTAGTCCTATAATAACGGTACACTTTATGTAAAATCTGTCAGCAGGCACTGAGTTAATAAAAAGACCATATCACCAAGACATTTATAGAACCAGATTCAGTACATCTTAGTAATTGATTCTTCCTTTGGTGATTTATTATTACTGTGAAGGCATATGGACTGATACTGGGTGTTCAGAATGAAAAGTAAAAAGATTCAATCTAGAATCTGGACCTTATGGCCTACCGTGCACCAAGCATTATCTGGCCTTTTCTAAATAGTATCAGCATGTTCCCAAGTCTCTGGAGGATGAAACACCCAGGCTGAAACTATCACTTGTCAGTCCTGAGTTTAGGGTATGTAGACATAGCTTAATACCATAACTCAGAAAGAAGAGGGGAAAGCCTTTAGCAAATAGGATAAATCCTTGTTAAGTTAGAGCTAATTACACAGCGTATATAAGACTTTCAGTGGTTTAAATTGAATTCCCTCTGAATTGTGAGGATCTTATTCATGAATAAGAGTCTGATTAGCTTTAGTAGCTTTTCCAAAGTATGTGTTCAGGAAAATAAGACCTGCCCTCAGAGGCTGAGTCTAGCAACTCAGTCTCATAAACGGATGTGTTTATTAGTTTGTAATGTAAGTCTATAAACTATAGCGTTTTTTGTTTTTGTTTTTGAGATAGGGTCTCACTCTGTTGTCCAGGTTGGAGTGTAGTGGTGCCATCACAGCTCACTGCAGCCTCGACCTCCTGGGCTCAGGTGATCCTCCTACCCAGCCTCCCGAGTAGTTGGGATTACGGGCACATGCCACCACGCCCAGCTAATTTTTCTATTTTTAGTACAGATGGGGTTTCGCCATGTTGCCCAGGCTGGTCTCAAACTCCTGGGCTCAAGTGATCTGCTTTGCCTAGGCCTCCCAAAGTGCTGGCATTTCAGGTGTGAGCCACCACTCCTAAACTACAACGTTTTTATTAGTGAATTAATTTTTCTTACAATAGTCCATTTTATATCAGATGATAATATTTTATATTGAATAAAATATCCTTTTCTTTTTCAAAAATTGTATCATTTAGGCCTTCCACAAAGTCAGACTACCCATCCACAGCACACACACTCATTCTCAAGTAATGAAATTGAACTGCACTATTATCATTATGCAAAGCTATGTAAAATAACACAAGTGCGTTAGGATGTATTTCACCCAGCTTTTGTCTACAGGAAAACCTGAGAAAAAAATGAAATGGGTGTCTATCCCTAATTCCTAACAGTAAATGTCCTTGCCTTTGGACCTTTCTGTGTTCTTGGACAGAGAGATCAAGGTGAAAAATATCAAGGAGTAAGAACAGACAAGGCTAAGATGAAAGAAGTTTGCCAACCACCTGCCAGATGGGAAAATCCTTACAGTTCATGAGCATCTGAATTTCCCAAGATTTTTTAGAGAGAGACATAAGTTATACATAGAAGATGAATTGCCTGAGCCTCTGAATCACAAACTCTCTAAGACCGCCTAATGTTATTTTTAAAAATGTATGAATACATACATCTTCATTTTTACTTTATAATCTGAGCTACAGAAAATTTACTACAGCATTATCACCCAGGCCTCATTACCTCTTGGTTAATTAGCTAACATTTGTAAAGTGCTTTGAAGATGAAAAGCATCATATAAATACTAAGAATTATTAAATAACATGAGGGGGAAATCATAAAATAGCTACATTGTTAACATTAATTTGTATTTTATCTGATTATCTTCTCCCTAGCATTTGACATTTAGGGCTGGACTATATATAAAGGCTGAGGAAGTTACAATGTCTATTACAGCTGCGCTCAGGATTTCAACTAGCTCCAAATTAATACTTGCCAAAAAACAAGTTTCAAGCAGAAACAAATCAACTGTCCAGAGATCGCCACTTATACTGGTTAAAGTGTTAACTAGTTAAGCAAACAATTTGCCCCCCGCCCCGCCCCACCCACAGTTAAAGGGAAAGCTCTGTTAATCCAGAGACTATTAATAAACATTTCTACGTCAAGAAAACACAAAATATACTCATGAATAGTGAGCTCAGCCAGACCATTTTGGTGTGAAACATGTGATTCCACTTTGCACCCACGGTACAGTTGCAGATCCTGCTGCTGAGTAGCTCAGGGCGGTATATTATGCAGTGTTGACTGTTCCGGACATTTTGCTGTCATCAAAGTGAGTTAAACAAACTTTTCTGAAGCTGCAGTTCCACTCCCCGTCATCTCACCTCTCCCTTCCCCCAATCCCAAACGGACAGGACAGGCAAACCTGCCTTAGAAAGTCTTTGGCAGCCTGCCAGGGACTGATACAAGGAGGGAAAAAAGCTATAGTAAAATATTATTTAAATATATGTATCATGAAAGCTTTCAATAAAACAGGAAGTAATAGATCAAGTACATTCAAAGTATTTGCAAACTGCTTAATTGGGTAAGGGCAAGTCAAACTCTTCTGATCACAGCAACTTCCTTATTGTAAAGCCCACTTCAGTGATACTGAAGTTAATCCCAAGTCCTGTAACAGGAAACGCATCCTTATTAAAGTAACATTAAGTGCTCCTTTTTTATTGATCTTTCCCTTCAGCTTAATGATAGAAACTTACTGATGTTTTAATAATAACCTCACAAGCTTTATCTCATTTTACTTTGCCTTGCTACTAAAAGATGCAGTGGAAACTAACTTAGCATAAACATTTTGCAGATGTCTTTAAAGGCCAGAGGGAGGTGAAAAAAAAAAGATTCAATTGAGCTGCATGTTAACAAAGATGGCTGAAAAACTAAAAGATAAAAGGGAGGCTCCAGTGTGAACATCAAAGAATTGTTAATGACAAGAAATACCATTAGGGTTAGCATCTCTTTTGTTTTAACCCTTTCACACCTGCAGTGTGTGGTGAGCTAAGCCTTTGTTCCAAAATCTGAATTACCTCCATTAGCATTTATAGAAAAATGGTTGCAAAACAACAGAAATGTACTTTTGATTCTCCCCCTTTGCTTGAAAAGTCAGAAATTAGCTAGGTATCTGTGGGTTTCCTTCTAGTTACTGGGTGTAACTATAGAGACTATAGAGGTGGAAGGTAATAGGTTGCAAATGAGTTTGGTTGAAATGTGAGAATAGCTTTGTAACTGAAAAACAGAAGTAATACCAGCAATGTGGAGAAGCTCACATAAGAAGCTCAGACATTAGCAATAGCAAAATCAGAGCGTGAAATTCAGATTAGCCCTCCCCAGGCTGTGAGAGGAAGGGGGTATTGCAAGACTTGGCATGGCTAAAGGTGTAACCTGTTTTATTTGGCCCCTGAAAAATTTTAACAGATGGTGGGACCAGCTGTCTTTTTCAGCCATTTAATAAACTCTTCGGTGGTAACAGTTTGGAAAGTGGGGGTTTTTCGTTTTAGGCCAGAGGAGAAAATAAAGAAATCTGTCCTAAATTGTCTTTGCCAAGTAGTAAAGCCTGGAAACATTTTGAAAAGTTAAAGACCAAAAAAAAAAAAAAAATCTAACAGACTATACAGTTGTCATTATATTTTTTAAGAGAGCAGCAATAAAAACAAATCTGCCAAATAAGATGACTAAATACTGGCCAAATGCATTTTGTATCAATCTTCTAATCTGGGTTTTAAATTTTGGTCTTTTAAAAAGAGATGCCTGGTTATCCTGTTTAAGGCTTATTGGCAAATTAACAGCACTTTAAGGCAACTATCCACAGCAGCACAAAAAGAAGCAAACTAAACATTTATTACAAGTTAGTACTCATAAGATAAATACTTACTCATAATGAAGGGGTGAATTCCCTCCAATTTACATAATTAGTCTAAAATGGCATAGAACCCTCCTAATCATGTCATGTAAATTACAGAATCCAGGCCAGACCTCAGGGAATGTGGAAAATGCTCATGTCAACTTATTTTCAGAACAGGATCTAAGAGATTTTGCAATTTTGTAAAATTGGGCATTTTTCCCCACCAATAAAATGGCAACTCTCAATTACGAGAGAAAGAGTTTACTTACAAAGATTCTCTCCAATGGCTACAAACACAACTCCTCTTTTTGCAAGTGTTCATGATTCCTGGCTGAGCAACAGCTACTTCCATGTGACAAAGCTTTGTTTGGCCCACAGGCCTATTATGGATACCAGATCTATATTGTCCCAAGTAAATTGCAACAGTAAAATGCAAACTCTTTTTAGGAGAGATTCAGACACCTCAGCCATTTGCAGCTTTCATTATGTGTAGTAAATCTCTTTTACTTAGATTCCAGCTTGCTTGCTTTCTGGACTGCTAGTGATGTTTGCTTCTAAAACAATTAGTAAAGTGTAGCTGGTTGAAGAAAGCATAATGAATAATCCTACCTGGAATAAGTTATACAGTCATCAAGCTAGTTACCAGAATTCCCAGAATGCCATTTCTAATTCCCCGACTGCCATGACAAATTGCAGTTCTTCTTTTAGGAACACTTTTTCTTTCTTTTTTTTTTTGAGACGGAGTTTCACTCTTGTTGCCCAGGCTGGAGTGCAATGGCGTGATCTTGGCTCACCGCAACCTCCGTCTCCCGGGTTCAAGCAATTCTCCTGCCTCAGCCTCCTGAGTAGCTGGGATTACAGGCATGCGCCACCACCCCGGCTAATTTTTTGCATTTTTAGTAAAGACGGGGTTTCTCCATGTTGGTCAGGCTGGTCTTGAACTCCCGACCTCAGGTGATCCACCTGCCTCGGCCTCCCAAAGTGCTGGGATTACAGGCATGAGCCACCAGGCCCGGCCAGGAACACTTTCTCTAGTCTGTAACACCAGCTATCATTCATGCAACACATTCTTACTGAGCACTTACTATGCTTCAAGCACTGGGTCAGCAGCTGAAATATCACGGTGACCAAGACAAACAAGATCCCTGCTCTCTTGGAGCTTACACGGCCTCACGTCTTCACTGGATAAGGAATGAGAGAAAAGAGAAAGGCCATAAACATAAAGCCCTTCACAGCAGAATGTTTAGGATCGATCTATGCAACTTCAAAACTATCTAAATGACACAGATGAGTTTGACAACTAAATGTGGGGGAAGGGGACTTGCCCTCACTTCAGGAGGAGCAATGGAAGAGATTGCAAGTTCATCTTAGCAACGCTTAGCAAAGCACCTGGCTTTTTTATTGTAACATTTTTGTTTTCCAGTCACTGGTTTCAAACAGACGTCACAAGCCTCTCACTAGAAAGTATGATCATCTAGAAATTATATAAATCTAGAAATTGTATGCATTTCCTTACATATTACAAAGTGCTTTACTAAATTTTGGGAATAGTTTCAAGGGGGAAAAATAAAGAAATGGAGCCTTACTTTATAGAAAGAGAAGCATTAGCCAGGCATGGTGGTGTGTTCCTGTAATACCAGCCACTGGAGAGGCTGAAACAGAAGGATCGCTTGAACCTGGGAGGTGGAGGTTGCAGCGAGCCGAGATCGTGCCACTGCACTCCAGCCTGGGCAACAGAGTGAGACTTCACCTAAAAAAAAAAAAAAAAAAAAGAAAGAAAGAAAGAAATAGAAGCATTAACACTGAGTAAAAGCCAGATTGATCTTGTGGCTAGAAGGCAGATACTTGCAACTATTTCTAGTCCCTACCTCCAAAACTTCAACACCTTTATGTCTATATGAACCAATGCGGGTACCAAAGTCATTTAAAGACTGACAGCATAGTGGCCGGGCGCGGTGGCTCACACCTGTAATCCCAGCACTTTGGGAGGCCAAGGCAGGCAGATCACGAGGTCAGGAGATCAAGACCATCCTGGCTAACAAGGTGAAACTCTGTCTCTACTAAAAATACAAAAAATTAGCCAGGCGTGGTGGCGGGCACCTGTAGTCCCAGCTACTCAGGAGGCTGAAGCAGGAGAGTGGCGTGAACCTGGGAAGCGGAGCTTGCAGTGAGCCGAGATCGTGCCACTACACTCCAGCCTGGGCGACAGAGCAAGACTCTGTCTCAAAAAATAAAAAAAAAAAAAAAAAAAAGACTGACAGCATGGCCAGGTATGGTGGCTTATGTCTATAATCCCAACACTTTGGGAGGTCAAGGTGGGCGGATCACTTGAGGTCAGGAGTTCAAGACCAGCCTGGGCAAAATGGTAAAACCCCATCTCTACTAAAAATACAAAAATTAGCCGGCATAATGGTGCACACCTGTAATCCCAGCTACTTGGGAGGCTGAGGCAGGAGAATCGCTTGAACCCGGCAGGTGGAGGTTGCAGTGAGCTGAGATCCCGCCACTGCACTCCAGCCTGGGGGACAGAGTGAAACTCCATCTAAAAAATATATATATAAAAAATAAAATAAATAAATAAATACTGACAGCAATTCTACCAGATTTTCCAGAATGTGGAAATGGAGTTTGCCCTGAACACATGAGAAAAATGAGGAAATTCATGTGAACTCAACTAAACCTGTGCTGGAAAATTTATCTGTTTCCCTGTAGGGTATTAACCTTTTATTTTTCTTTCAATATCATCAATCAACAGGTCATCTGGGCTTAGTGAACATGGGATTCAGGACTAGTTGCCAGCTTTAATGTTTTCAGGTCAACAAAGTTAGGATCCCTGTCTGTCTGCAAGGCAAGTGCTCTAGAAGTTGCTGCCTTGGCCAAGGTCTTAGATACCTATGTATAGGACACTGTCTGCTGTGGCTGGCCATGTCACCTTCACAGTGCCAGGCAGGTCACCAGCAGTGGTCACGGCCCAAGCAGCAACTAGTAGAGTAGCCCACAGAAAGGCAGCAACCCCTGGCCGGGCACCGTGGCTCACGTCTGTAATCCCAGCACTTTGGGAGGCAGAGGCAGGCGGATCACCTGAGGTCAGGAGTTCAAGACCAGCCTGGCCAACATGGAGAAACCCCGTCTCTACTAAAAATACAAAATTAGCTCGGTGTGGTGGCAAATGCCCGTAATCCCAACTATTCGGGAGGCTGAGGCAGGAGAATAGCTTGAACCCTGGAGGAGAAGGCAAAGGTTGCGGTGAGTCGAGACCGCGCCATTGCACTCCAGGCTGGGCAACAAGATCAAAACTCTGTCTCAAAAAAAATAAAAAAAAAAAAGAGAGAAAAAGAAAAGAAAAGCAGCAATCCCTAAGAATAATCTCAATGACACCTAAGTAGCAATCTGATAACAGACTAAGTTCACATATTTGCCCTGTCCCTAATGTCTCGCATAAATAAATGCTATATTTGACATCAATTTTTTTTTTTTTTTTTTTTTTTTTACTAAAAAGTCTCTTCTGGGATGGTAAACTGTAACATTCCTAGCAAAGACAAAAGCAATATTTTACTCTAATGGAAAGCAGGAATGACGAAATAATAAAGCCCATTAAAAGATGGTAAATAAATTTTGGCCTATAAATTTCCTTAGGATTGTTGAAAAATATCATTAATTTCAGAACTCTCTAAATATCCAGGAAACTGCAATTTAGACAACAGTGCAAGAACCCTTTATATTTATATTAGGCATTTTGTAATAGGTTAAATTCTTTGCTTAAATTATATAATCAGTAACAGTTGAATTCTTAACATTTAAAGGAACGGTTTAAGAAATTAGTAGTACATGTGAAAATTAAAGTGTTTCCAGTTTCATTGCTATAATTATAAAAATTCAAAAGGGATTGAGTACTTGACAAAATAACTCTTAATTTTACTAACATTGTTCAAAACACATTTATTGAATATTTGCTATGTGCCAGGTACCATTTATCTGGTACAAAGAGCCCCAGAAAAACACTAAAAGTGACAGGGAAGGAAAAAAAGAAAAAAGGAGGGGGGAAAATCAAGAAAGAAAGAGGATATTTACTGCTCAATGTTAAAACACACTATAAAATTACAAAAATAAGAGCATTTTGCTGGCACCAGAATAGACAGAGAAATAGAACAGCAAAGATATGAAATAAACACAAGTATATCTTCATATTTCTTATGATGCAAGTGAAATTTCAAATCAGTCCAGAATAATTCAATACATGGCATTGAAAAAAATTAAACTTTCAAAAAAAATACAGTTCAGTCCTTGTCAAAAACTGTGAGGGCCTCGGGCTTTTTACCTACTTGCAAACTACCAAGTTAGCCTGCTGTAGTTTCACGGATATTGGCAGAAGGTACAAGACTTTTGGGTCAGAGACAAAATGGCAGTAGCAGCAGCCTGGAGGTCAACGTTTACACCGGCTCCCTGAGCCCCCATTTCCCACAGGGTGATGTGAAGAGGGCCAGATGCTGCCTGCAGGCAGTGGGGTGGATTACAGGAGAGGAATCCCAAGCTGAAGGAGCTATGCTCTTTTGTAATGGGCAGTATGCCTGCTTGATCTTTGCCACTGATCTTTATTACATGCATAAGCCACCAACCTGCTCTCTGCTCCTAAGAGGAAACCATCTCTGTTTTCCAAGGCTGTTCACTATACACACTCTGAAAAGATAGTTGAGGTCGAAGCAGTGCCTTCGCTCAGAAAACATGCAGCAACACCAGAGACATGGAGAATTGTGCCCCGCAATGGCCATTAACTAGTGCTTTATTTTAAAAGAATTCTAGATAGATTAAAGAAAGAGTTGAATATAAGAAGAACAGGGTGCATGGGCCTGTAATCCCAGCTATTTAGGAGGCTGAGACAGGAGGATTGCTAGAGTCCAGGAATTCAAGACTAGCCTGGGCAACATAGTGAAACCCTGAGAAAGAAAAGAAAAAGAAAGAAAAGAGAGAGGAGAGGAGAGGAGAGGGGAGGGGAGGGGAGGGGAGGAAAGAGGGAGGGGAGGAAAGAAGGAGGGGAAGAAAGGAGGGGAGGGGAGGGAAGGAGAGAGGAGGGAAGGCGAGGTGAGGCGAGGCGGGGCGGGGCGGGGCGGGGCGGGGCGAGGCAATAGAAAAACTAGGAGAAAATGTATATGAACGTATCCATGCTTCTCAGGCAGGGAGACCTTTCTAAGCATAACATCAAAGACAACTTAAAGGGAAAAATCATAATGTATTTTACTACATAAAAATTTAAAACCTGCTCATGTCAAAGACACCATAAAATAAATTGCACTGAGGGAATGGAGTTATTGTTTAATGTGTACTGAGTTTCAGTTTGGAAAGATGAAAAAGTTTTGGAAATGGGTATCAGTGATGATTTCCCAACAATGTTAATATATTTAATGTCACTGAATTGTACACTTAAAAATGTTTAAAATGATAAATGCTATATATATTTTACAATAAAAATGTTGTAAAATATTAAATTGCACCAATAAGCTGGAAAGAAAATTTGTTCATAGGATAAAGACTAATAGCCCTACTATTTTTTTATTCAACAAATATGTATTGACTGCTATGATGCATTAGGAACATGATGGAAATCAAGACATCATGGTCTTGCCTTCAAGGACAATAATGAGCTTCTACAAGCTATTAAGAACAAGAAAAACATCCCAATAAAAAAATAAAGAAGAGCGGCATACACAGGTAGTTCACAAAATAATACAAATGGATACATATGAAAAAGTGTTCAGGCCAGGCACGGTGGCTCACACCTGTAATCCCAGCTGAGTGAGGGGGGCTGAGTGAGGCAGGAGAATCGCTCCAGCCCGGGAGATGGTGGTTGCAGTGAGCCGAGATGGCACCACTGCACTCCCGCCTGGGCAACAGGAGTAAAACCCTGTCTCAAAAAAAAAAGAAGAGCCAGGCACGGTGGCTCACGCCTGTAATCCCAGCACTTCGGGAGGCCGAGGCGAGTGAATCACGAGGTCAGGAGTTTGAGACCAGCCTGGCCAATATGGTGAAACCCTGTCTCCACTAAAAATACAAAAATTAGCCAGGTGTGGTGGCGGGCGCCTGTAGTCCCAGCTCCTTGGGAGGCTGAGGCAGAAGAATCGCTTGAACCTGGGAGGCAGAGGTTGCAGTGAGCCGAGATTGCACCACTACCTCCAGCCTGGGCAACAGAGCAGACTCCATCTCAAAAAAAAAAAAAAAAAAAGAAAAAGTGTTCAACCTCACTAGTAGTAAAATAGAAATTACAAACAAAATACCATTTTACTTTCAGAATAGCAGTTTTTTCCTTAAAGTGCTCAGTGTTGGTGAGGATACCGGGAAATGGGTACTACCCAAGTCCGCTGAAGTTCATGAATCAGCATGAAGTTCCTGGCCTGCACCCAGAGTGAATACATCAGAAACCTGAAAACCATGCTTACTTCTTGCCCAGTTATTCCCTAATAGGAAGGCATCCTAGGAGAATGGTCTGAGATACATACAAAATGTTCTTTGCAGCACTGTATATAATACCAAAAAAACAAACAAACAAACAAGCAAACACTGGAAACAATTTAAATATTCAAAGTAGGGCATTAATTAGGTAATTATGTTGCCACCATTCAATGGTATAATAGTCTTTTTCTTTTTTCTTTTCTTTTCTTTTTTTTTTTTTGAGCTGGAGTCTCGCTCTGTCACCCAGGCTGGAGTGCCCTGGCTCGATCTCGGCTCACTGCAAGCTCCGCCTCCCGGGTTCACGCCATTCTCCTGCCTCAGCCTCCCGAGAAGCTGGGACTACAGGTGCCTCCATCATGCCCGGCTAATTTTTGTGTGTGTGTGTGTTTTTAGTACAGATGGGGTTTCATTGTGTTAGCCAGGATGGTCTCGATTTCCTGACCTCATGATCCGCCCGCCTCAGCCTCTCAAAGTGCTGGGATTACAGGCGTGAGCCACCGCGCCCAGCCGGAATAATGTCCTTAAATTGGCTCAAAAAGGTAGAAAAAGAAGCCTGGCTATTAAAAAAAATACAAAACGACACTATTTTTATTTTTCAATTAAGCCTAAGTAGCCATGAAAATATTAAAGAGTTATACTAGAAAGTTGGCAATGTTTGTCTTTGTGCATTGACCATTTAATAGTTGTTGTGGCCGGTACGGTGGCTGATGCCTGTAATCCCAGCTCTTTGGGAGGCCAAGGCAGGCGGATCACAAGGTCGAGAGATCGACGAGACCATCCTGGCCAACATTGTAAAACCCCGTCTCTACCAAAAATAGAAAAATTAGCTGGGCATGGTGGCACACACCAGCAGTCCCAGCTACTCAGGAGGCTGAGGCAGGAGAATCGCTTGAACCCGGGAGGCAGAAGTTGCAGTGAGCCGAGATCATGCGACTGCACTCCAGCCTGGGTGACAGAGTGAGACTCTGTCTTAAAAAAAAAAAAAAAAAAAAAAAAGCACAGAACAAGCGGTTCTAGTTTCAGAGAAGGCAGGGCCGGCCCAAGCTCCTCTCCTTCAGGCTCCCTCACCCCCAATACCCCGAGGCACCTCTGCTGAACCCTAAGCCTTTAAGCAAGTTAAAACCTCCACATAATCTTCCAGAAGACAGATTTATAAAACAGAATAGCAGTTTATTGTCAGTAGGAAAATCTAAGCAAACTCTGAGACGATCAAGCTAAGATGACTGGGGAGGTCGCCGGGCGTGGTGGCTCACGCCTGTAATCCCAGGACTTTGGGAGGCTGAGGCAGGTGGATCACCTGAGGTCGGGGGTTCGAGACCAGCCTGACCAACATGGAGAAACCCGGTCGCTACTAAAAATACAAAATTAGCCGGGCATGGTGACGCATGTCTGTAATCCCAGCTACTTGGGAGGGTGAGGCAGGAGAATCGCTTGAACCCAGGAGGCGGAAGTTGCGGTGAGCAGAGATAGCATTATTGTACTTCAGCCTGGACAACAAGAGCGAAACTCCATCTCCAAAAAAAAAAAAAAAAAAAAAGAAAAGATGACTGGGGAGGATGAGGTCAATAGAGGAGCTGTAGGCACATTTCTCAAAGTGCTGGGTGAGAACCCCTGCATGACAACCACACAAGCCAAGTCAAGTGCCTTGTGGCTACATGAAAGGAAGTTGGGGGTATGAGTCTCCAAGGTAGGGCCTGGGAGTCTGCATGGAGACACACTCTCCAAGGAGGGGGCTGTTGCAAGGGAGAGGGTGTGGAGTGACAAAGTCCTCATGTATCAGCTCCGTCACCTAGTCTCCTACAAGGCAGGACAGGTTGTCTCAGGCCAGCTGAACACCATTTTCTCATGACTGACAAATGCTTCTTCATTCAAGTTTGTTTCCAATATTTTACCTTCAGCACCATGATCATCTGACCTTACAACATTGTTTCAGAGAACAGGAAACACCAGTAATTAAAATACTGCTAATCCCGAATGAGTCACCTGTTTAGCTGAGAGTTGGGAGAAACATCAGTCCCGTCAGTCACATTTGCCAATCATTTACGAGAATAGTTGGAGAGATTTCCGAAGATGCAACATTCATACATGCAAAACTTCATCCATACTTATGTTATTTCCAATTCAGGGAGACAGATTTCCTTCTTAGGCTCCTAATTTTGGAGATACACTCTACTTAGGGTCTGAAAATCTCTATATATTAATAAAAATCAACACTTTAAATCTGAACTCCTCATAGAAAACAAGAAGAAGATAATTTAAAAATCCTTTCTTGGCTGGGCGTGGTGTCTCACGCCTGTACTCCTAGCACTTTGGGAGGCCAAGGCAGGCAGGTCACCTGAGGTCAGGAGTTTGAGACCAGCCTGGCCAACATGGCAAAACCTCATCTCTACTAAAAATACAAAAATTAGCCGGGCATGGTGGCGGGCACCTGTAATCCCAGCTATTTGGAAAGCTGAGGCTGGAGAATCATTTAAACCCAGGAGGCAGAGGTTGCAGTAAGCCAAGATCACGCCACTGCACTCCAACCTGAGCAACAGGAGCAAAACTGCATCTCAAAAAAAAAAAAAAAAAAGATAAAAATAAATCCTTTCTTTACCAGCACTCTTTGATTAAAATAAAAACTTCTAAAGAAAAGGTAATATCCATGGCACTGATTTATTTCATTTCTGACAGCAGAATTCAGGGCCTAAAACTTTGCATTAATTACATTATTCTTTTCATAATACAAGCGATGCATCTGATTCTTTGAAACAGTTGTGGCCAGATGGAAGTATTGTGTGAATATGACAGCAGCTATGCAAGTTGTTGGATTGACTGCTCTGGGGACCAGAACTTGAGATTTCTCTGCAAAACAGAGCATAAGCAAAAGTGAAGGTTTTAACTCTAGGCGCCCACTCTCTGTCACTGAGCCTCAGCCCTGTCCTGCTGAGGCCACCAGCTCCAGGTGGAAGAGCAATTTGGTCTCCTCTCGACTTAATCCTCTCCTGTCTGTGGAGGCCTCACCAAGGGTGCCAATTCTAAAGATGGCACTGAGTTTCAAACACCTGTCCACTAGGAACTGGACTCATACCCCCAACTTCCTTTCATGTAGCCACAAGACAGACATCAGATGGTGACGACTTCTGGTCCCGCCTGAGCAGATCAGTTACACGGTGTCCAATAGCTCCCTGCTACAGCGTCACTATTTTCTGGATATTTATCTGGCTGTGGAATTTTAAATCTAGACTAAAATAGCAAGCAAAATCTTCAGCGAGCCTTGCCAGAATCATAGGCAACATGACTCCGCTTTCCTTCTATTTGATTCCCACAGCATTCCTTTATGCTCATTGTATTTTTTGTGCATTTTAAAAATGTAATTGACATTAATTTTGTGCATTGCTCTAAGTCCTTCACATTTAGGAACTGTTTTAATCCTCATAACCCTATAGGGTAGATATTGTGATTATGCCTATTTTGTAGATGAGAAAATAAGGCACAGAGAGAGAGGTTAAGTGTCCAAAGTCACAAAGTAGGAAGTGCAGGGGCTGGGAATCACCCCCAGGGAGTCTGCCTCCAGAACCTGTGCCTAAGGTATAACACCAACTGTCCACATTTTGCATATCACTAAAGCTAGGTGCAGAGAGGTTATGGCACTCACGCCGCGTGACCTTGCCTCTGCCAGCTGAAGCCCAGACTTGCTCGGCTCCTACCACCTTAGTGAGGCCTGTGGTGGTAACCTTGTGCACGTCCTCCCAGGCTGTATAGTGTTTCCCTCCGAGTGCTCACTGTCAACCTGACAGCTGGAAGCCCCTAGCAGGGAGAAGTCAGTGACCACTCCAGGCTCTGCCTTCTGCTCAGGCTTCCTTAGCCTCCACTGACCTGAGTAAGGAGCAAACCAGGACTTTCTCAGGGAACTCACTGGGAGTGAAATCCTCTCCTGCCACACACACTAACGGGACCCTGGGGTCATTCATTTGTTCATCCATTCATCATCTGTTTAATGAGGACCTACTATCAAGCACTATGCTAAGCACCAGATAAAATGTGAGCAAGACACACATCCCTGCCCCCAAGGAGCCCACAGTGCACATATAGATGGAGACAGACACAAAAAGAGGCAACTTCAATATCCAGGAGGAAGTGTCATAAAAGGAACAGCCACACTAGGGTGTTGTGGAGCACAGCAAAGGGGCTAAAACCAACAGAAGTTTCTCAGGAGGAAGTGGCGCCCACCCTCAGACTTCAGCCCCCTCAAAGTTTCATGATATACGAGTTAATGAAAGCTTGCACGTAGAACCCCAGGTGATTATTGCAATAGCCACTGAGGAGTTTTAGGCCAGGAATCAACAAGACATAAGTTCAGTTTCCAACACAATAATAATAAGCACTAGCACTTACTGAGCTGTGTTCTAAGTATCTATGTGCGTTATATTCACTGCATGCTCACAACAATACAATGAGCTGCCAGGCGCGGTGGCTCACGCCTGTAATCCCAGCACTTTGGGAGGACGAGGTGGGCAGATCACCTGAGATCAGGAGTTCAAGAGCAGCCTGGCCAACATGGTGAAACCCCATCTCTACAAAAATACAAAAAAAATTAGCCAGGCATGATGGTGGGTGCCTGTAATCCCAGCTACTTGGGAGGCTGAGGCAGGAGAAGTGCTTGAACCCAAGAGGTGGAGGTTGCAGTGTGCCGAGATCACACCATTGCACTCCAGCCTGGGGGACAGAGCGAGACTCCATCTCAAAAAAAAAAAAAAAAAACCAATACAATGAGGTTGGTGTTGCTGCCCACTTTATAGATGAGTGGCAGCACGCAGGCTCTTATTTACTCTGATACACTCCCTGCCACACAGCACAAGCTCACACAAGGGATTTAAAAAATGTTTGGGACATTTGGTATTCAAATATCTACGTTTTCACTTCCCCACCTAGTCCAAGGGTTCTTAGCCCTGCTTCTCATTGGAATCACCGGAGAAGCTTTCAAAAAAATGAAACAGGTGTGGTGGCTCACACCTGTAATCCCAGCAATTTGGGAGGCCAAGGCAGGCGGATCACGAGGTCAGGAGATCGAGACCATCCTGGCTAACATGGTGAAACTCCGTCTCTACTAAAAATACAAAAAATTAGCCGGGCATGGTGGCGGGTGCCTGTAGTCCCAGCTAGTCAGGAGGCTGAAGGGGGAGAATTGCTTGAACCCGGGAGGCGGAGGTTGCAGTGAGCCAAGATGGAGCCACTGCACTCCAGCCTGGGCAACAGAGCAAGACTCCATCAAAAAAAAAAAGAAAGAGAGAGAAAGAAAGAAAGAGAGAGACAAAGAAAGAAAAGAAAGAAAAAGAGAGAGGGAGAAAGAGAGAGAGAGAAAGAAAGAGAGAGAGAGAAAGAAAGAAAGAAAGAAAGAAAGAAAGAAAGAAAGAAAGAAAGAAAGAAAATGTGCATGAATGTTTATAGCAGCTTTATTTGTAATAGCCCCAAGCTGGAAACATGGGGAAATTTGGTATTCGAATATCTACGTTTTCACTTCTCCACCTAGACCAAGTTGTCCCAATATGCCCATCAGTAGGTGAATGGGTAAACTGTAGCAGCGCTGTACAATGGAACACTGTGCAGCAATAACAAGACCCAAAGGACAGATGCACACAACTTTGAACAGCTTGCAGGGAATTATATTCAGTGAAAAGAGCCTGTCTCAGAAGGTCACATGCTGGAAAATCCGTTTGTATGACATCCTCAAAATGATAAAATTAGAGAGATGAAGAACAGATTAGCATTGCCAGGGGTTAGGGATGGTGGAACATGGAGAGTGGGTATGACTATAGAGGGTAAAGGGGCAGCAGGAAGGAGTCTTGCAAGGATGGAATAGTCTGGGTCCTGACCGCGGTGGTGGTTACACAACACAACAAAACAACAAAATTGCATGTGTCATAAAATGGCAGGAACTATACACAGTGCACCAACGCCGATGTTGTATTTTTTGGTTTTTTTTTTTTTTTTTTTTTTAGACAGAGTCTTGCTCTGTCTCCCAGGCTGGAGTGCCGTGGTGCGATCTTGGCTCACCACAACCTCTGCCTCCCAGGTTCAAGCGATTGTCCTGCCTCAGCCTCCTGAGTAGCTGGGATTACAGGCACCCGCCGCCACACCTGGCCAATTTTTGTATTTTTAATAGAGACAGGGTTTTGCAGTGTTGGCCAAGCTGGTCTCGAACTCCTGACCTCAAGCGATCTGTCCACCTCAGCCTCCCAAAGTGCTGGGATTATAGGCATGAGCCACTGCACCCAGCGACGTCCTGGTTTTAATATCGTACTATAGATACGTCAGATGTAATCACTGGGGGAGCCTGAATGCAGGATACATGGGACATCTCTATTTTTGCAACTTCCTACAAATCTGTAATTATTTCAAAATAAAAGTATATTTTAAAAAGCCCATGCCTGAGCCTCACAGATTCTGATTTAATTAGTGTGGGTGGGGCCTGGGTGGCATTAGGTTTGAAAAGCTCCCCAAATAATTCTCACCTACAGCCAGAGTTAAGCACCCCTGTGGGAATCCCTAAAGATGGAGACACTCTTTTGAGTTGAGATGTTGTCTTCAAAAGCCTCTGATAGAATGCACGAGGCCGTTTATGAGGTTCCTAGCTGTCACCTGGCAGAGGACAGACCACTGAGAGGCCGGGACCCCAGACATATCCACATTACTTACGGGGGTTGGGGACCGTGGGGGGTGTCCTACAGCAGGAGGTGTGATCAGCAATCAGCAGCGTCAATCCCCAATGTGCTGGTTTGGCCGTGCTCCCTGCTGGTGTTGCCTGCGGAAGTCAGAGCCCAGATGCCCACAGAGGGATCCCAGCTCCTGCATTAAGACCTTTTTCCCGCTGGATGTGATGGTTCATGCCTGTAATCCCAGCACTTTGGGAGACCAAGGCGGGCTGATCACTTGAGGTTGGGAGTTGGAGACCAGCCTGACCAACATGGAAAAACCCCGTCTCTACTAAAAATACAAAATTAGCCGGGCGTGGTGGCGCATGCCTGTAATCCCAGCTACTCAGGAGACTGAGGCAGGAGAGTCGCTTGAACCCCATGAGGTGGAGGTTGCGGTGAGCTGAGATGGCACCATTGCACTCCAGCCTGGGCAACAAGAGCAAAACTCCGTCTCAAAAAAAAAAAAAAAAAAAAAAAAAAAAAAGACCTTTCTCCCCCTCCTGGAAGCCCTAGTCACCAGGTCCAGTTTCAGGGCCTTTTCTATTTACTCTCTTACCATAGCCTCGTAGAAAGGGTCGCTGAGTCCCAGATGGCCAACACTGATTTGCTGGGTGATAAGCCGTCTCCAGAACAGTCTCATGCACAAAGGTACCACCTTGTACCCCATGTATGTGAACGTTTTCAAAGGGGTTATTCAATTGGTATTAAGAGCAGGTCAAGAAATCCACCGCTGATTCTTGGCAGCCGGCAGCTCAGGTTTCTGCTGGAAGTCTCCAAGAGCTCCAAAAGAGTCTCAAATCAAGGAGGGAAATAGACATTTGGTGTCTGAAGCCCCCAGCTTCCCTGAGACTGCTCATCAGATGGAAGCCACGTGTGCTCCCACGTTAGCAGAGTGGCCACCCACGGAGCTGCCTGGGCAGCTGCAGAGCAGCCCTGGAATGAATGTTCTGGTCGCTGCATCTGGGTGAGTGGCAGACTTCCTGGCTGCCTCTTTTTCTTTTTTTATAGCCTCTTGGCTGCCAGTGTGCAGAGATGTTCTGGCAGCTGGGGACCCTGCTTGGGGTCAGGGTCCTGATGAGTGGCTTTGTTCTCTTAAACACTATTGTTGTCTGACTCACCTATTACTGTGAATAACTTGCTAATTTTGGCCAAAAAAAAAAAAAACAAGTTCTTAGACAATCTGCAGTAATGTGTCTTTTTATGTCGGTCAGGGGAGTATTTTCCTGCCTCCTCTTTGATATGGAAATGAGGCTGATAAGTTCATAGGCAGCCAGGAGCTGAACAGAGGAAAGAAAATTGTGTCCGTCATAAAGGTGGCTTCTGCTCTCTTCTGCAAGTCTCTGAAGAATTAGTTCTCAGAAAACGAAGTCTCTCAAAATAACTGAACATCCAATTAAGGTTTCCATGGGTGTGTGTGAGTACATTCTGGGTGTCTATAAAACATACATATTATGTGTTGCCTGATACTGCTATTCATGAATCATCTGAGACAAAGCTTCCTTGTTAAAGAAACTAACTGGGTTAAGAAAATAAAATCATCATAAATCATGCAAATCTAATCTATGGATTCACATTCATATTGTCTGGCCACAGCAGGTCTGCCACCCAGGCCTACCACCACTGCAGACAAATGAGGCTGAGATCAAGCCACAGTGCAGTTGTCTTTGATTTGGCTTCCCCCGTGGTTCTCTCCTGCATGAATACAGTAGCTCCCTTTTTAGCCATCCAGCAACCCACCTGTTCCGCTCACTCTCCTTCCCAGAAGTTTCTGATAAAATCACTTACACTTGTTGAAGGTTGGTTGATTATACTCTAAAGGGCCAGAGTGCCAATCAATCTGTTAACTCAGCAAGGCATGTGTAATTTAAGACTTCTCTCCACTGCCTGAAAGCCACTGTCCTACTTTGAGGTATTTCAAGCATCAGTGGACGGGTAGGAGTGGGGGACACTAGAGAATTCCATGCTTTTTCACTAAACTTAGCTTATTGAAGGAGGTGGGCCTGAAGTAAATAGGATTTAGCTGCTATAGGGCAAGAGTAATTTTTATTCACTAGCACTTAAAAAGATTCTTTTTAGTTTTTGGAGATAAGGTTGCTCTGTCCCCTAGGCTGAAATGCAGGGGGCATGATTACAGCTCACTGTGCTCTCCGACTCCTGGGCTCAAGGGATCCTCCCATCTCAGCCTCCGTAGTAGCTGCGACTACAGGCATGTGCCACCACACCCAGCTAACTTTTTAAATTTTTGTTGAGACAGAGTCTTATTATATTGCCCAAGCTGTTCTCAAGCTCCTGATTTCAAGTGATCCCCCTGCCTGGGCCTCCCAAAGTGCTAGGATTATAGGCGTGAGCCACAGAGCCAGGTCACTAGCACCTTTATAAAGCCTGGGTCTTCCACCGTCGCTAAGTTCCCGTCCTTCCCTCCTCTCCTGATTTTCTCTCCCTTTAACTTCTCCCTTCCCCATATCAGTCTTTCCTCTACCCCCGTCCCCTCCTTATATTCTAACCCCTCCCCTGGCTCGCTGCCCCACATCCCCAGGTGCACATTGTGTTGTCCTGCACAACCAAGGCTATTTTCCCTTCTCTCTAATGCTATTTTAAACCCTGTAATCTTTCTTTTTGGATTACCTGTAGTGCAGCCCCTCATCTCCTGGTGTGGCAGAAAAAGTACTTGCTCTGAATGTCCTCAGACCCTGGCTTCTGACCGAGGCATCTACACTAACCTGCGGGGTGGCTTTCTATGAGTAACTTCTCTGGCCCTCAAATTGCATTTCCATGTCTATCTCTAGCCTAAAATGTTATAATCTTATCTACCTTCCAGGCCTATCTCTAACCTAAAATGTTATAATCTTATCTACCTCCAGGAGCAAGGTTTCTTTAAAAACAAAAAACAAAAAAACAAAAAAAAACCACTGTCTTGATTTCAGCCTTAAGAAGGAAGGAAACCCTGGCTGGGTGCGGTGGCTCATGCCTGTAATCTTTGGGATTACTTTGGGAGGCCAAGGCAGGCAGATCACCTGAGGTCAGGAGTTTGAGACCAGCCTGGCCAACATGGTGAAACCCCATTTCTACTAAAAATACAAAAATTAGCCAGCCATGGTGGCAGTCGCCTGTAATTCCAGCTACTCGGGAGGCTGAGGCCGGAGAATCGCTTGAACCCGGGAGGCAGAGTTTGCAGTGAGCTGAGATCGCTCCATTGCACTCCAGCCTGGGGGACAAGAGTGAGACTTCATCTCAAAAAAAAAACCAGAAGGAAACCCTGATGTGCAATACAACCTAGAGGAACCCTGAGGACACGATGCTAAGGGAAGTCAGCCAGACGCAAAGGGACGAGTACCGTATGATTCCCCTTATATGAGGTGTCTGGAGTGTCAAATTCATAGGAACAGGAAGTAGAATGGTGGTTGCCAAGGGCTGGGGGTAGGAGGAGAAAGAGGGAGTTATTGTTTAACAAGTACAGAGTTCTAATTTTGCCAGATGAAAAAGTTCTAGAGATTAGTTACACAACAATGTGAATATACTTAACACTGCTGAAATGGTTATGAAATGGTTAAGATGGTCAATTTTTTGTGGGTTTTTTTTTTTTTTATAACCACAATTAACAACATTTTTTAAAGGGGAAAAAAACTGGCCGGTGGCTCACGCCTGTAATCACGGCACTTTGGGAGGCCGAGGCAGGTGGATCATGAGGTCAAGAGATCCAGACCATCCTGGCCAACATGGTGAAACCCCATCTCTACTAAAAATACAAAAATTAGCTGGGCGTGGTGGCACACGCCTGTAGTCCCAGTTACTCGGGAGTCTGAGGCAGGGGAATCACTTGAACCAGGGAGGCAGAGGTTGTAGTGAGCTGAGATGGCGCCATCGCACTCCAGCCTGGCAACAGAGCAAGACTCCATCTCAAAAAAAAAAAAAAAAAAAGGGGAGGAAAAACCCTTCTCAAACTTCACATATAAGGAAAAATAATGTTATTACTGTATTGTTGGAATCCAGAAAGAAAAGCAGGCAGGAAGAAAATGTGTCCCTTATTTCACAGGTGACGAAAATGCATTGTCAGGAGCCTTGCTAGGGTCACACATCTCTGCCTGTAGGCTCACACAGAGCGCTGAACTTCTTACTAGTTTGTCATCAAAAACAGGAAAGTTAAAGCCTCTATGGTTTCTTGTACAGCTTTTAGAAGAAAACAATGTTAACTCTTCATGCTATGCCAAGAGAGCACAGCAACATACATGTTTGTCAACTATTAATTAGGTTAGTAGAAAATAAAATACACAGGTGTTTTATATGGTTCTCCCTTTTAGATCTAAATGTAAGCCATCATATTCTTAAGCTGTTGAGGTCTGAAGAGTGATATTGCTCTTGTGGCTAATTATGTGGAAAGTTATTAACACCCCCTCCTGGTCCTGGGGTGTGCGTCCAGGGCACCACTCACTTGGCAGAGACTCCCTGGTAAAGAAAGAGACGGTGGCCTCACCCTCAGCAAGCACTGGGGATGGGAGGAGGGTGGCTGACCTGCTGTGGGCCACATTGAGATGCCCCTGCTGGAGTTCTGCTTTGCCTCAGCCCCAAAGGCACTTATTTATTTATTTATGTTTATTTATTTAAGATGGAGTTTCGCTCTTGTTGCCCAGGCTGGAGTGCAGTGGTGCGATCTCGGCTCACTGCAACCTCTGCCTCCCGGATTCAAGCGATTCTCCGGCCTCAGCCTCCCAAGTAGCTGGGATTACAGGCACTTGCCACCACGCTCGGTTAATTTTTGTATTTTTCGTAGAGACGGGGTTTCACCATGTTTGCCAGGCTGGTCTCAAACTCCTGACCTCAGGTGATCCACCCGCCTCAGCCTCCCAAAGTACCAGGATTACAGGCGTGAGCCACTGTGCCTGGCTTGCTTTCTGCATCTTAAAAACACATCCTAACAAAATAAGCACAAAATATTGTCATTGTGGCGGAAATAATAATCATTCTCGGCCAGGTGGAGTGGCTCACGCCTGTAATCCCAGCACTTTGGGAGGCCGAGGAGAGTGGACTGGAGGCAGAGGTTGCAGTGAGCCGAGATCGTGCCATTGCACTCCAGCCAGGGTGAGAGAGAGAGACTCCATCTCAAAAAAGAAATTATTCTAAAGTGACAGCTAAGTTAGGAGAGAGGCCCAAAGGTATCCAAAAGTCATGAAATCCAAAACCAAAGAGCAGTGCCCTGATTTTCGGCATCTATTCCAGATAAATTCCCATTTATTACTGTTAGATAAAAGTAAGGTTACTGAGTAACTGAAAAGGGGCTTCTGTTACAGAGGCCAGGTTTTTATATTTAAAACAGAACGTTTAAGCCAGGTGCCGTAGCTCACGCCTGTAATCCCAGCACTTTGGGAGAAGGCCGAGGTGGGTGGATCACTTGAGGCCAGGAGTTTGAGACCAGCCTGGCCAACATGGTGAAACCTTGTCTCTACTAAAAATACAAAATTAGCCGGGCATGGTGGTGGGCATCTGTACTCCCAGCTACTCAGGAGGCTGAGGCACGAGAATTGCTTGAGCCCAGGAGGTGGAGGTTGCAGTGAGCCAAGATTGCACCACTGTACTCCAGCCTGGGTGACAGAGCAAGACTCTGTCTCAAAAACTAATGATAAAATAATAAAATAGAATGTTTAGATTAAATAAATATTAACCTCAACCTCAAAAATATCTCAGGTTTAAGAGAAGCTCCCTCTCGGGCTGTGAGTGAAGGGAAATGAAAACAGTCAACATTGTTAACTTGAAGACATCATGTGATATATGAACACCATCATGGGCTGTCTCTACAGGGCTTGTGAAAGGCCACGTTAATTAACACAGTGCATCTATCACATGCCTAATAACTGCTTTCTTGTACAGGTAAAATTTAGATGGTTAACTTGAAAATAATTACACATACACACATACAATTAAGTAGTCTTGTCACATAGCATATAATGTTAGAATTCAATGTTTGTGCTTTATTAGTATGAATTTTATAATGTAGGGATTGGTGATAATCTTTTCTGAAACTGGAAGGAATTTCATCAGTCTGGTGATTGGTTGTGCTTATGTCTTCCTTGGTCAGAGAAGCAACAGTGAGAAGGAAATTCTTCCTTGGCTTGACGGCATGTAGCGTTGGCAGATAGATTAAGATGTCAGGAGGACTAGGCAAAAAATTGGCATACATTGAGACAAAACACATGCAAGCACACACTCTAAAATAATTAAATACCTAAAATAGCTGCTGGAGAGAACAGAAACAGCTACACCAGAATGGCAGAATGCTCCTCTCAAGAGACCTTCCTCCCAAATCACCTGTGATTTAAAAAATAGCTATCCTGATAGATTATATATTGTTGAAGATAACAGACTTATGTTGTTTGTTGAATATTTTACTGGAAAAGATCATAAGAGGTCATTTCACCCAGACCCATTAGTATAGTATAGAGATTAACCACTGCTTCCTCCCAACTCAATTAATATTTGAGCCACCTCCCATTTACAGAGCAGTGCACTAGAATGGTAGAAAGCCAAGGTGTATCTGTAATTTCATGGATTTGGATTACACAACCCTCAAAAATATTCAGGTCAAAATTGCTAAAAATGCAGTTTTAAGGTTATATGGGAGAAGGAGAGATTAGTTGAGAAAGGAAAAGCTAAAAAGACAGTGCTGTTCACTGGGATGTGGCTCCTGAGCACGGAAAGTGGCCAGTGAGACTGAGGAACTAAACTTTAGATTTTAATCAGTGCTATTTTAAATGTAAATAGCCACATGTGGCTACTGGCCACCACATTGGGCAACAAAGTCTTACAGGATGTGAGATTTGCACTGAGCTTGAAGGAATGATAGCTAGGAATTTGGTAAATATAGAAAACGACAATTCCAAGCAAAAGGCCAGTGCTGGTGAAAGGGCACAGGGATAGGAAAGCATCAGTCGTGGCCCAGTGAAGATCTGACATATGGTACAAGTGGATTGAAAGTGAGTAGCGGGTTAAAGTGAAAGATAAGGTAGTAAGATTGAAAACTGAGCAGGATCTTGAATGCAAGCCTAAAGAACATATAATTAATTCCATATTCAATGGGGGAACCATTTAAGGTTTTTTGAGCAAGATAAAAATATGAGCTGCTTGGTATCAGTGAAAGATAACCATCAGATAATAAGCAACATGAATGTGAGGGGTGTTTTGATTCCTTATTGCTATATAGCAAACCACCCTATACTTAGTGGAGTAAAACAACAGCCATTAATGTGCTCATAGATTTTCTGGGTCAAGAATTTGGACTGTGCACAGAGAGGATGGCTCATCTCTGCTCCATGAAATCTGGCATCTCAGCTATGGTGGCTCCAACAGCTGGAGGCTGGATCACCTGAAGGCTTCTTCCCTCACATGTTGGCTCCTGGGCTATACATTGGTTTGACCTAAAAAGGTGGGACATCTCAAAGGGGGCCCACAGGTCATAGGTAAATTCAAAGATTTTCTGATTTGCAATTGGTTAAGGAGGCGAAGCTTCATCTAAAAATTTGGAATCAGTAGTAAGAATGTTAGCTCTGGCTTGTGGGTGTGACCTCCTCGAGGCCCCTTAGGAAGAAATCTGAAAAAAGGAAGAGTGGTCAGAGTTCAGTCCTCAGTTCCCCCTTATCTGACTGAGGTCTGCATGCCAGGGGATCCATTTTGTGGGGTTCCAGGTTTCTAAAAAACAACTCAAGGACATATATTAAGAGGTGATTTTTGCCAGGTGCGGTGGCTCACGTCTGTAATCCCAGCACTTTTGGGAGGCTGAGGCAGAAGGATCACGAGGTCAGGAGTTCAAGACCAGCCTGGCCAACGTGGTGAAACCCTGTCTCTACTAAAAATGCAAAAATTGGCCGGGCATGTTGACAGGTGCCCGTTAATCCCAGCTACTCAGGAGGCTGAGGCAGGAGAATTGCTTGAACCCAAGAGGCGGAAATTGCAGTGAGCCGAGATAGCACCATTGCACTTCAGCCTGGGGGACAGAGCAAGACTCCATCTAAAATTTTAAAAAAAGGTTATTTTTAGTTTCTACAGGGAACCAAACATTCTTATGACTCTAACTTCCTTGGCTATTTTAAGCGACAATTACATTCTCGCTTATCCAATTGCTCATTTACTTCTGAGTTCTAGCCAGGTGCTTGGAATTACCCTTAAAGGAACTCAAGGTTTTCCTTTATTTCCATGCTGGGGGGGTCCCTACTCCATCTCAATACCATGATATGTGTCTTATCTCTTGACAACTATGAATATAGGGCTGGGACTTAGGACCTGTTACATCTGTCATAGAAAAACCAAAGGTACCACCACTGTGCTTACTAGTAGGAACAGCCAAAGCACAGTTCTTGCCTTACAACTGTTTACTTCTGCTTTCCAAATTTGGTACGCTGCATCTGATGGGTATGATCTAAATATTATATATGGAACCCTAGCTGCAAGGGAATCTGGAAAATATAGTTTTTTTGTTTTCTATCTTAGAGATTGGAATAGCTGAAATGAACCAATCCAAATATCTGCTACATTTGCTAATTATGCAGTTGCTTCATGTTAATTCCTAGTCTCCATGCCTAGACCCTCACTTCTCCTTTATGGCCAAAAACCAATGTGCTCTTTCTGCTCACTACAAACACTAATTATGGTTTAGCCAGTCTGGTCCCAGCTGTGACGGGGTTATGTCATTCAACCAACATTTATTGAGTTCCTACAACGTGCACTCCCTTGACTACCTCTCTCTCACATGACTCCCAAATCTGTCTCCAGCTTCACTTTTCTCTAGAGTTCCAGCTCTGAATTACTAACTACCTCCCTGATATCTCCTCAGGAACGTCCCACTAGAGCTTCAAAATAAATACATGCCCAGGAAACACCTCCCCTCTTCCCACTTTCCAAACCAATTTGTCTTCCCAAGATTTCTGATTGGTGTTTTTAAATTGGTTCAAGTTCAAACTCAGTTCTTGGCAGAACTGTGAATCAATTAAACCTCTTTTCTTCATAAATTACTGTCTCAGGTAGTTCTTTATAGCAGTGTGAGAACTGATTTATAACTTTGCCTGTGCATTAGTCTATTCTCACACTGCTATAAAGAAGTACCTGAAGGGGCTGGGCATGGTGGCTCACGCCTGTAATCCCAGCACTTTGGGAGGCCGAGGCAGATGGATCACGCAGTCAGGAGTTCGAGACCAGCCTGACCAACATGGTGAAAACTGGTCTCTACTAAAAATACAAAAATTAGCCAGGCATGGTGGCACATGCATGTAATCTCAGCTACTCAGGAGGCTGAGACAGTTAAATCGCTTGAACCAGGGAGGTGGATGTTGCAGTGAGCCAAGATCACGCCATTGCACTCCAGCCTGGGCGACAGAGCAAGACATCTGAGACTAGGTAATTTATGAAGAAAAGAAGTTTAATTGATTCACAGTTCTGTGGGCTAGACAGGAAGTATGACTGGAAGGTCTCAAGAAACTTACAATCATGGCAGAAGGCAAAGGGGAAGCAAGCATGCCTTACCATGGTAGAGCAGGCGAGAGAAAGCAAAGGGGGAAGTGCTACACATATTTAAACAACCAGATCTTGTGAGAACTCATTACCATGAGAATAGCAAGGCGGAAGTCCACCCCCATGATCCAATCACCTCCCACCAAGTCCCTCCCCCAACAATAGGAATTACAGTTCAACATGAGATTTGGGTGGAGACACAAAACCAAACCATAGCAGCCTATAACATCTTCCTCCCTGCCTTTAAAAACCCTTAACTGCAAACCATCTGGGAGTTCAGGTCCTAAGCTTTAGCTGCCCAGTCCTTCTTGCTTGGCATCCTGTAATAAATGCCTCACTTCTCTTGCTGCAATCCCAGTGTCAATGTTTGGCTTTGCTGTGCTAGGTGGGCAGACCCAAGTTCAGTCTGATAACAGTAGAGGTGGCATGAGTCTGAAGCTGGGCAGCTGTCACTATGGCTTCCCAGGAGGCAGGCAGCTTTCTGATTCCACAATCTCCTGATCCTGGCGGGAACAGCAGCTCCCTTGTCAACCTAAGTCTGTGATGTGGCACTGGGAGTCATGCCTGAAAGCTCAGTAGCAATTCTGTTTCTTCTGCCCTCCAGTCATTCTGTAAGACATTAATTTTTTTTTTTTTTTTTTTTTTTTTTGAGACAGAGTCTCACTGTCATCCAGGCTGGAGTGCAGTGGCACAATCTTGGCTCACTGCAACCTCTGCCTCCTGGGTTCAAGTGATTCTCCTGCTTCAGCTTCCCAAATAGCTGGGACTATAGGTGTGCACCACCATGCTCAGCTAATTTTTGCATTTTTAGTAGAGACAGGGTTTCACTATGTTGGCCAGGCTGGTCTCAAACTCCTGACCTCAGGTGATCCACCTACCTTGGCCTCCCAAAGTGCTGGGATTACAGGCATGAGCCACTGCGCCTGGCCTAGACATTAAATATCTTATAAGAAGTCCCTTTCTGCTTAAACCAGGTAGAATGGGTTCTGTTCACTGTGAATGAGCCCTAATGACATAGTAAACAAGAGACAAGCAGAGATTCTGGTGCAGGCTTAGAGCCTCTTGTAGCAGTTACCTAGGAGAACCTTTAAAAAATAACAAATGAGAAGGGCATCAGGGAGCAGCCATGAATAAAGCCTAGAGAAGGAGAAGAGAACAAAGGCAAAGGGGGATTGGTGCTGGTGCCCTGGAAGGGAGGATCTATATCTCTGTGATTCTGCAGGGAAAGGTGCAGAGGAAAGAGGACAGATCCAACTTGAAACTACACCATGACACTGAAACACAAATAAAAAGGGCATTGCCTCCTGAAGACCAAAAGGCCCATGGGTGAGACACTTGTCAGTCCTAAAGGATTTTAAAGAGATGATCTTTTAAATGGAAATGGGGACAGATACCTGATATTAGTGTTAGTCTATTCCCAGCTGTACCTCTAAAGATACTGGACTGATATTTATCTATATCCTTAAAATTGGTGCCTTAAATTTTCCAAGGTAAATGGCCAATTCTGTGTGCCCCCTGGTGGCTTGGGGCAAGGGGTAGGGGGAAGAAAAGAGTACTCTAGAAGTGAAAGAAAAAGTCATCATGGATCTGAACTATAATCCTTGAGGTCAAGACCCATACTTCTTTTGGGTAAAACCAGATAACAAACATCTCACGTGGGACCGACATTTTCACCATGAGGCAAATAATAAACAACCTGTAATGTGGCCAGTAAATATCCCAGACTTCATATTTAATAATTCCACCACAGACTGACATACGTGTTTAATTGTTTTTCCAATAATAGAAAGAGATTTGCACTCACCCAAGGAGGCACTCTAATCTGATGGTTAAAAGGTTGCCCTCTGGAGTAACATTACCTGCACTCAATTCCAAGAACAAGATATGGGATCTTGGGCAAATTACCCATCTATAAAATAGAGTCATTGAGAGGATTCCATGAGACTCCATGTTGTGATTGGTAGCAGCAGCATGGTCGACCAGCCACATGGTCAAACAAGCACACTGGGTGGGAGACAGCATGCAGGCTGTGGCCCCCAAAAGACCACTACCAACAGACCAGAGCAAACCCATGACCTCACCAGCATGCGTCTCTCCGGCCTAAGTTAGCCAACCCCCGCCTCCATCTAGGGGTGCTAGACTTAGAGGGGTGGAAATGGGGGGGGGGGGTTCAGACTTTATTTGCATTTATTGATATATGACAATGTTTTTCATTAAATCTTTGTTGGGTTTGTATCCAAAGTAATTCTCCTATATATTAATGCATGTTTTATTTTATTGCTATAATCCAGATCAAATTTCAAGATTTTATATATGTGAAACATTATTGCTCAGCCTAAAAGAAAGATTTATCACATTCATTTCTTTTTAGGAAATAAATGCCACCACAGATGGGTAACAGTACATGGAGAATCTTTTCTTTCAATATTCATGTTCCCTAGAAAAATGTTCACTGGAAAAATGATGAAGCTGGGTGTGGTGGCTCACATCCATAATCCCAACATTTTGGGAGGCCAAGGCGGGAGAATCACTTGATCCCAGGAGGTTGAGACCAGCTTGAGCAACATAGGGAGACCCTGTCTCCACAAGAAAATAAAAAACAAGTTAGCCGGATATGCTGGCACATGCCTGTGGTCCTAGCTACTAGGGAGGCTGAGGTGGGAGGATTGCTTGAGCCCAAAAGATGGAGGTTGCAGTGAGCCGAGATTGTACCACTGCACCCCAACCTGGGTGACAGAGAGAGAACCTGTCTCAAATAATGTATGTGAGACTCAGTTCTTTCACTCTGTGATCTCAAGGAGCCACGTTACTTCACTGGGCCTGTTTCTTCATGAGTCATAGATAGTTGCCAGGCCCTTGCAGCCAACAGTATTCTTCCCATGATTGTGGGACCCACCTGTGCTCCCCATGACCTCTCTTTTCCTCAGTGCTGGATTCTAAACTCTCTGAGGGCGCAGTGACTCTTTGTCTCAGGTCCTCTGCAGCACCTGGCACTGTGCCTGTGCTCACCTGGGCATTCTTCCACCACACTCAGTAAAGATTTGGTTTCTTGTGCCTAGAAAGAAAGATAGATGACAGAGCCACAGAGTACAAAGCCACAGTACTGTGAGCTTCTGCAGGCTCCTGCCATGACCTTAAGTTCATGCCTTATCCATGAACCTGCCTTGATTCCTTCTCACATCAAGTGGTACTTGCTACAGGGTCATTTTGAAACATGAACATTAATGACTAAATAGGAAAACATATACTTAATAAAGGAATTTTGGCACTACCTTTTCCTAACATATGTCTCTTGTAAGGAGGCCTTGTCTGTACCTAAAGATCATTCGTGTCCATGGCAGTACTGTTGAAAGCAACTGTGCGTGTCTAAGCAGGTTTACCGGAGGACCTCCCTGCCATGGGAGGCAGATGTCACCCAGGACTCCTCCCTTTGCTCCAGGTCACGGCACCCGCTCTCCTTACCATTTTTTTTCGAGATGGAGTCTCGTTCTGTTGCCCAGGCTGGAGTGCAGTGGCATGATCTCGGCTCACTGCAACCACCGCCTCCTGGATTCAAACGATTCTCCTGCCTGAGCCTCCCAAGTAGCTGGGATTATAGGCACCCACCAGCACATCTGGCTAATTTTTTTGTATTTTTGGTAGAGATGGGATTTCACCATGTTGGCCAGGCTAGTCTCGAACTCCTGACTTCAAGTGATCCGTCCACCTCCACCTCCCAAAGTGCTGGGATTACAAGCACGAGCCACTGCACCCAGCCCTTTCTCCTTACCTTCTTATCTGAGGGAATACAAATGGCAGCAGAGTGGAAGAGAAGGTGGGATTTAAACGTGTAAGGCTTGAATGTGATCAAGTAAAACACAGGACAAGACTCAGCACAAGCAAGTGTATGCGGCTGACCTGCCACAGTTTCCTACTGTCTTTTGAACTTGTGACCACCCCTTTCACTCCCAGCAACGACTGTGCCCTTGTCCTTTCAAATCAATAAAGCAGCAGCTTCTCCTTGAGTTTGTTTCACTCCCCCCAGGTCAGAAGTTATGTCCTGGGGCTATACTTGCTTCACCCCAGGCTGGGAAAAAGAAGTTCCTCTCCTCATTAATGGAAACACCCACACTCCACTGCAAACGGCCAGTTTCTAGGCTCCCTACCTACCACTTCCCCGTTTTTACCAGGTCCTAAAACACAAACACAACTTTTTTCTTGCCCTGCTATCTGTCCTCACTGCTTCTTAAACTCGAATCTTCTGCCTTCTTCCCCACCTCGGCTCTGCGAATGGACCCTCAAGGCTTCCTCTCCAGCAAAAAGACTCTTCCTGTTGCTCACCACGCGGCCCTCTCCACCGCCTTCCCCAGCCTGGGCAAGCACATTGGTCTTGCTCATCCTCCCACCCCTACTCTCTGTGTTTTCTCCTGCCTCTCTCACCGTTATTTTCTTGGGCTGCTTTGATGGCTTCTCTTCCTCTGTTCATCTTATATTTGTGCATTCTCTCCAAATCCTGTTGTAGCTTTTCTCTACCTGTTTGATCTCCACTCACTCTTATGAGCTCACTTTTTCAGCCCTCCCTACTTACCGAAAGTTCATGAGTCTTCTCTTTAGCCTTGTCCATCACACTCACTGCCACTGCCGGCATTTACAGCTTTCTGCAGGCGTTTCTTCACGAGCAGCCAGCCAAAATCTTAGATTCAACAGCCCACGCTGAATTCAGTCCTTCTGCTTAACTCCCAGCTGTCTCTTTTCCTTGTTCTCCTGCTTTTGTCAGCAACTGAGCTATTCCTCCTGCCGCACAGGCTAAAACCTTGGGGTCCTTTTGATGTTATTTTTAAACAGCTTTATTGAGATAGAATTACATACCATATTGTATCATATAATTCATCCATTTAAACTGTACCATTTTTTTAATATATTCACAGAGTTGTATAACCATCACCACAATCGATTTGAAGATACTTTTACCCCCACCAAAAAGCCTTACCCACTGGCAGTCATTCCCTCTTCCCCCACCCCCAAGTCCCTGGCAGCCACTAATGTGCTTTCCGTCTCTGGATTTTTCTATTCTAGACATTTCATATACATGGAAACATACAATAGGTGACTTTTGTGACTGGCTTCCTTTAGCATGTTTTCAAGGTTCATCCATATTGTAACATGTATCGGTACTTCATCCCTTTTTATAGCTGAATAATATTCCTTTACATAGATTATCAGATATGATCCATTTATCAGGAGATGGACATCTAGGTTTCCAACTTTTGGCTACTATGAATAATGCTGCTATGAACATTCATGTACAAGTCTTTATGTGGATGTGTATTTTCCATTCTCTTTGTATCTACCTAGCAGTAGAATTATAATTCCATCTTCAACATTTGGAGGAATTGCCACATTGTTTTTCAATTGTTTTCTGTACCATTTTACATTCCTATTAGCAATGTATAAGGGTTCCAGTTCTCCACATCCTTACCAATACTTACTATCTTTTCTATAATCTAGTCATCCTAGTAGGTGTGAAGGGGTTCCTCTCACTGTGGTTTTAATTTGCTTTTCAGTGATGGCTATAATGATGTTGGGTTTCTTTTCATGTGTTTATTGGCCATTTGTATATCTTCCTTGGGAAAATGTTTATCCAAATCCTTTATCCGGTTTTAAATTGGGTTGTCTTTTTACTGTTGAGTTGCAAGGGCTCCTTTATTAGATATATAATTTGCAAATGATTTCTCCAATTCTGTGAGTTGTCTTCACTTTCTTGACAGTGTTCATTAAAGCACAAAAGTTTTAAATGTGGTGAAGTTCAATTGAACATTTTTTCTTTTATGATTTGTGTTTTTGGTGTCACATCTAAGAAGGTTTTGCCTAACTAAGGTCATGAGGATTACTCCTTTTTTTTTTTGAGATGGAGTCTCACTCTGTCACCCGGGCTGTAGTGCAGTGGCATGATCTTGGCTTACAGCAACCTCCGCCTCCCAGGTTCAAGCGATTCTCCTGCCTCAGCCTCCTGAGTAGCTGGGATTACAGGCATCCGCCACTATGCCCAGCTAATTTTTTGTATTTTTAGTAGAGACAGAGTTTCACCATGTTGGCCAGGCTGGTCTCGAACTCCTGACCTTGTGATTCGGCCTCCCAAAGTGCTGGGATTACAGGTGTGAGCCACCACACCCAGCCTCCTTTGTTTTCTTCTAAGTGCTTCAGAGTTTAACTCTTACATTTAAATCTATGATTGGAGTTAATTTGTGTGTGTGTTGTAAGGAAAGGGTCCAATTTCATTGTTTTACATGTAGATATGCAGTTGCCCCAGCACCATTTGCTCAAAAGAGAAGTCCTTTTGAGTGTCCCCTTTATTTAATGTCTTATTCCAACCTGTCACCAAATTTTGCTCTTTTTCCCCTTTAAAATGCTGAGTCATCCTTTCACTACTACCACCAGTTCCCAATCAAAACTTTCACCATCCCACACCTAGGTAACTGCATTTGCATCTATCCTTCCAGACTCTGCAAGCCAATCCTTCTAGGGAAGAAGCTTTCAGACATGGAATTGAACTCACGTTATTTACCTGCTCAGAAGAAGTTCCTACTATAATGTATACAGCATGGGGGCAAACTCCGTGTTCTGACTTCTCTAATCTGGCCCCACCATGTCCACACCAACAGATCAAAGACCCAAAACTTCATCGTTGTTCAACTTTTCACTGAAGTGGAATTCTCTTTCTTCTACTGTCCCTTTCCCCTTCACCTTCTTCCTTTCTTTGCACTAAAATTAACTAAAGTTAAAATTCTGTAGGTCCTTAAAGTCTCCTCCAAACCCCAGCTCCTTGATAAAGCCTCCTTTGACCACCCCAGTCCTCACCAATCCTCTCTGACTTCCTACTACATTTGTGTGCTCTGTGGCACCAGTCATACGCTGATGACATTGGTACACACAATTCCACTCTACCACCCAACATCAATGAGCATTTATTGAGCATCTACTGAAGCTCACAGCATTGTGCAGGCAGGATACATATCATACAAATGCTGTTTCCTCCTCCCACCAAATGAGGGAGAATTAGATGAGATTTTTAAAAATTCCTCCTAGTTCTACAACCAGTATTGTATACTGATCCAATTTGGAAGTTTAAGTTTAAAATTAATTCAAGGATTCCAGTTGAGGAAATGGTCCCACTTCCTTGGAAAGTAAACTAGCTCGGTCACCAGGCTAGGTTACCCACGTTGTAATTGCTTGTGATTGACTACTCCACCGTATTAATGATGAAGTGCCCCCGACTTGAGATGCAGGCGTTAGGGCATCTGTGATTTGATCTGCAGCTTAAACTGGGAGACCACTCCAAATCCTCAAAGTTAACTTTGAGTATCAGATTGCAATCCCTCCCCCCACCACCATAAAAAAAAAATCTTTCAAATTGAAGAGGCAAAGTTTGAACCTTTCCTTGTTGAGAGATGAGAACAATAGCAGCTTTCTGCTCTAGCACAGCTTCAAAAGGCTGCCGAGGGACTGCTCTGAGAATTCTTGGTTGTAGATGACTGAAGAAATGCATGGGCAGCCTCCTGCGATTCAGTGCCGCATTAGCACCGGGGAAATTCTGTCCCCACCCTCCCAGAACCTTTAGTATAGCAACGATTTAACTAGGCAGATATGGGCAACTGCAAAATTGAGTCTCCTTGGCAAGGAGTGGGGAGATCCAGCCGATTAAGCAACATCTTACTGTGAAAGGCCAAAGCATTAAGAATTTGCTGAAATGATCTAAATAATATCTAGATTTTTAAAAAATCTAGCTTGAGAGGGGTGACTCTCTGGTTGGATTTATGCCAGAGGCATGCGTCCCTTCTAGCTGCAAGAAAATGCCCGAGGCGAGGTACCAAGCTTGGGCTGGAAGTAGCAACCCCTGACTTAATCCCAGAGCGCGCAGAGCTGGTCCGTCCCCTGCGCAAGTGTCACTGCGGGTTCACCTACCGGCCTCTTCCTCTCGCAGGTGGCATGCAGTCGGCGCTCGCCGCCCGCCCGCAAAGAAACGGCAATGCAAACTTCCCAGCCTGGGAACCCCGCTGCTTGGAGAGCAGCTCCGCTGTGCCAGCCGCCGCCAGGAGACTGGTATTCAACCTCCCCGCCCCCCGCCACGGTTAAAGTTTGCTCCACATTCGCAGCTCCCACCCCACCCCCATCTCCGCCCCGAGGCAGGAGGACCACATAGGAGTTCCTGGGTCCACCGTGCGCAAACACACCCACCAACAAAAGAAAGCCCATTAAATCTTCCCTCCTGTGAACTCGCGCCCCAACGGATACCTCTTTGAACTGACCCCCGCCCCCGCAGCCCCCGCGCTGTCTGGGGCGCGCCTGGCCCTCCCGGGCTTACTCTCTCCCCCACAGCTGCGCACTTTTGCAGCGCGCTCGGTCTTTGATGTCTCTTTACATTATGGCAGAGCAGCCACACGCTCTTCCCGGGCGCGGGGCTTTGTGTAATGGAACTGACATTTGGCCTTGATACCTGTATCTCTTGGTGATTACAACAAATTTCTAAAATAAATATTGTACTTTGATCTCCCAGCATTGCATTTTTAATGGACGCTCTCAACATTACTTCATTAAGAACTTTTTCCAGGAGCTCCGAGGGCCAAGGGGGTTGGGGGAGACTAAACAGCTATTCAGCAAAGCCTCTCTCCAAACTTCAGCTGGGGCCTGGGAGGACCGGAATCTGGACGGGTTTTCACAAACGGAGATGAGGCCGAGAGCAGCCAACTGCGACCACTCAAGAGAGGGCCTTCTGTACGCTCAGCACCGTCCTAAAGACCTTGCGTATATTAACTCTTAAACCTATAGCCACTCTACAAGGGGTGCACTATTGTAACTCCCATTTTACAAACCGCAAAACTGAGGTACACAGCGGCTGAGTACCTTGCTTGCCAAGGTCACCAACTAGAAAGTGGCAAGGCGGGAAAAATGTCTTCAGAGAGTTCGGACTCCGAGCTTTCAACCACCAAGCCACTAACTTTGACCCTGTTGGCCCACTGATGGTTTAACTGGCTAATGGGGGCATCTTGGAGAAAAAGCTAATTCCCATAACTATGGGGATGTGAAATGGCTTTTCTGGCCTTTTTGGGAAAGTAGCTATCAGATTCAATAAAAAGGGCTGCCTTCCATCCTGCTTAGCCCGGCCCTGCCCGCCTCCCTGGGAAAGGGGACTTCGAAGATCTCAAAGAAGCTGGAAAGGAAACCAGCGCTAAGGAACCAGATCGCTTCGAGGGTGCAAGCATGTGCAGGCGCGAGTGTGTGCCAAGGGGCTCCCTGGCCTCCGACTTGCATCCAGGGAAGAGCTCCCTCGAGTCTCACGCTTCTCCAAGACTCAAATCCTGGACGGGAGCGTGGGAAGGAGCAGGTTGGCCAGGCCTCGGATGAAACCACTAAGCTCTCTCCCCTTCTCCGCTCCCAGAGCAGCCGACCTCATCTTCAGAAGCCAGATCGGGTCGGCCAAGTTGTGTGGTCGCCGCTCGCGTTTTAGAGGGGACAACTCGTTGGGGGAGAAGGGGGCGTGCGAGTGCAGGATGTGCGAGGGACCCATTGTATTTGGGTCGCAAGCAGCCCACCCGTCTTGAGTACGATATTCTCATTCCGCAGGCGCGCCCTGGGCGTGGGAGAAGGTGGGCCCGGAGGCATCGCATCCCCGACCCCTGATGGAAGTGCGGAGGGCATCCTTATACAGTCCAGATTCCGAGTCCGTTGTAGTTAGGCTAACCTCTGACGCTGCATCGGGAGATAGGTCACCCCGTCCGTCCCGGTCGCAGTGCGGTTCCCGTGAGGAAGACGGGCAGAGAGGCCGGGCGCGAACTGATTAGGGGCTCCCCCACGGCCGGCGGCCTGGAGAGTGGAGACTGTGTCCGACGGGAGGTGGGTGGGGGAGAGGAGTAGGCCGAGCTCCGGCGGCCACTCCGCAGTGCGCTCTCGCGAGCCGGGGCCGCGAGGCCTCCAACGCGGTTCCGCACCCCTAATGCCCCAGGGCGGTGAGCACCCCGCGGTTCCCCGCCCGCCTCTTCCTCCTTCCCCGCCCGCGCGCCCGGGAGAGGCGATCCCCGCGTCCGCAGTGCCGGGGCAGGACGCGCCCTGCGCCCTGGGCCAGGAGGAGGCAGGTGGCCCTCCTCGGCAGGAGGTGAGCCGCCAGGGAGGGATGGGGGTCACCCAAGCCCCTGCAAGCGCGACCCTGCCCAGAGCAAAGCACGCCCCGCGCCTGGTGAGGAACTTTTTCTTTCCAAAGGTGGCAGGAACAAGTCTGTACTGACTTTTCTCCCGCCTTCGGGATCCTCTCTCGTATGATTTGTGGTTTGTGGGACCACAACAACCAGGCTTCCTCGACCGCGCCTTTTTTCCAGTAGCTCCTGGTCTGCCAGGCTTGCGAGAGGGCGCGCTGGCTTGGCGGGGCTCCGGGCGAGAAATCACCAGCAGCGCTGGGGCTTTCGGCCCCCCACAGCCCAGCCCGGGCCTCCTGGGTGGCCTGGGGAGAAGGGGGCGGGACAGCACAGCTTCTTCCCCTCGGGTGGGCATGACGGGTCGCCTTGGGTGTCCTGCCGAGCTCAGCTTTGAGGGTATGCGCGGCGCGGGTGTTTTTCCCAGGTCCACTCTGCAAAAGTTGTGGCCTGAGGAAAACTTCCAGGTCGCCAGCAGGAACGTCACAGGAGAGCCCCGGTCGCTCGTCAGGCGGGCGGCCCTGGAGCGTGCGCGCCACCCAACGCCGCGCTGGGCGGCCGCCCGGCCCCGCCCCAGGTCACAGCCCTGCCCTCGGCCCCACCGCGGCGGGCGGGGGACACGCGGCGGGCCGGGCGCTGTCGGTCCCACGCCCCACCGGGGATCTCGCTTGGGTCCGCTGTGTGCGCGGGCGGGTGCGTGTGCGGCGAGGGTGCAGGGTGTGCAAGTAAATACAGGGGAGAGTTACACTCTTTGCCGTCTCAAAGTCCGGCGCCTGGAAGCCGAAGGCAGATTTTTCCAGAGATAACAAAGACACTTTGTCACTTTGGGCGCTGCGTCGGTGCAAATCTTTAATTGCAAGTGTGTGTGTGTGTGTGTGTGTGTATGTTGGGGGGGGCGGGAAGAGTGTCTCGAGCAACCCAAGCGCGGGTCTCCAGGCGGCAAGGCCCCCTTTGATCAGGAAAATCCAATTATTTGTGTATATACATTTCCCACATAGTGATTACTTCATTAATTGTCCCGCCTTTATCTCCTCCCTTCCCATCCCCCCTAATAATCAGTTCTTTTATCCAGACCAACAAACACACCATAGGAGCTTTGTGGATTCAAAGGATTTGCTTTCGCTTCTGAAAGAGCCGCTATTCTTTGATGATTGGGTAGCGGCAAACTTCAAAGCCATAAATCTTCCCTCTGACTGGCTGGCGGCCCAGCAAAGTCCTTATCAAATTCTTGGAGGTGATCCTGAAGCGCTCAGACCGCGCGCGGGGCGAGCGAGCGGGGCGCGGCGAGGGGCAAGGGCGGGGAGGGCCCCGGCGCTCAGAGCAGGCGCCAGGGAGGCAGGCTGGGCGGCCCTTCGTCCTCGCCTTCGGGTGTCCATGCCTCGGCGGCGGCGTCCCGCTCCGCAGCCAGGGGCCTGCAAGCCGTAGCCATGGCCGCGGTGGCCGTCCTCCGGAACGACTCGCTGCAGGCCTTTCTCCAGGTCAGGGCCGAGCCCGGAGGGGGCGGGAGAAAGGTGGAAAGGGCCGTGTCCGGATCTCTCCTGGTACTCCGTGCACCTTGAACCTCAAAGGGAACCCCGCCGATGGGTGCAGCTGGAGCCAGGCCTAGGGGTGCCCACGCCAACTTCACACCTAATCCGGTGTGGCCTTTGCTGGAGGGACGCGTGGATCCGGGATTGTTCGGAGGTGCCCGGCTGGCCGAGAACAGGACCGGAGCTCACCCTGCTGGGCCCTCCTGCTGATTTCAGCCTGGGGCGGGCCAGGGAGGAGCGCGAAGGCAGTGAGGACAAGAGAGCTTAAAAGATGGGAGGGAGAGCGGCCGGCCGGCGGGGTTGTGGGTGTTTCCCGACTCTTACTGACCACGGAGCCGGGAGGGGCCCGTCGGATGCCTCCCCCTCCCACTTCGCGCCTGCTTCCTCTAAGGCTGGATGGCGTCTCAGTGCACCAAGTAGTTTAGCAAGAAGCGCTCGCGGGCCCCACGTTCAGGTAGCGCAGGCACCAAAAGTTTCCCTCGGCCGGTGGGTGCGTGCGTGGGGTGCGGTGGCGGGGGAGGGACGGCCGGGACGGAGGAGGGGCGGCGGTATAATAGCGGGCGTGGGGGCGGCGGGCTGGCCCGGAGTCCGCGCTTGGAGCTAACCTTTTGTCTCTTCTCCGCCCTCCCTCGCCGCCTATGCAGGACCGCACCCCCAGCGCCTCCCCGGACCTGGGCAAGCACTCGCCCCTGGCATTGCTGGCCGCCACCTGTAGCCGCATCGGCCAGCCGGGCGCGGCGGCGCCCCCGGACTTCCTGCAGGTGCCCTACGACCCCGCGCTGGGCTCACCCTCCAGGCTCTTCCACCCGTGGACCGCCGACATGCCGGCGCACTCGCCAGGCGCACTGCCGCCCCCGCATCCCAGCTTGGGGCTGACGCCGCAGAAGACGCACCTGCAGCCGTCCTTCGGGGCTGCGCACGAGCTTCCCCTTACACCCCCCGCCGACCCCTCGTACCCCTACGAGTTCTCGCCGGTCAAGATGCTGCCCTCGAGCATGGCGGCTCTGCCCGCCAGCTGCGCGCCCGCCTACGTGCCCTACGCGGCGCAGGCCGCGCTGCCGCCAGGCTACTCCAACCTGCTGCCTCCGCCGCCGCCACCGCCCCCGCCGCCCACCTGCCGCCAGTTGTCACCCAACCCGGCCCCCGACGACCTCCCGTGGTGGAGCATCCCGCAGGCGGGCGCCGGGCCGGGGGCCTCCGGGGTTCCGGGAAGCGGCCTCTCCGGCGCCTGTGCCGGGGCCCCCCACGCGCCCCGCTTCCCCGCCTCTGCGGCCGCTGCTGCTGCGGCCGCCGCCGCCCTACAAAGAGGCCTGGTGTTGGGCCCGTCGGACTTTGCGCAGTACCAGAGCCAGATCGCCGCGCTGCTGCAGACCAAGGCCCCCCTGGCGGCCACGGCCAGGAGGTGCCGCCGCTGCCGCTGTCCCAACTGCCAGGCGGCGGGCGGCGCCCCCGAGGCGGAGCCGGGGAAGAAGAAGCAGCACGTGTGCCACGTGCCGGGCTGCGGCAAGGTGTACGGGAAGACGTCGCACCTGAAGGCGCACCTGCGCTGGCACACGGGCGAGCGACCCTTCGTGTGCAACTGGCTCTTCTGCGGGAAGAGCTTCACGCGCTCGGACGAGCTGCAGCGGCACCTGCGGACTCACACGGGCGAGAAGCGCTTTGCCTGTCCCGAGTGCGGCAAGCGCTTCATGCGCAGCGACCACCTCGCGAAGCACGTCAAGACTCACCAGAATAAGAAGCTCAAAGTCGCTGAGGCCGGGGTTAAGCGGGAGGACGCGCGGGACCTGTGAGCCCTCCCGGAGGTGGACCCCCTTCCCAGCACCTCTGCGAGAGATCCGGGGACCTGTGGGCAGCTGGCGGAGGGGAGACTCAGCAGACGGACCCTCTCCGTTGCCTGCCTCCCAAAATGGAGCCAGGCTTCCAACTTCCGCTGCCTTCGGACATAGGGACCCAGTTCCCAGGAGCGGGGAGGTAGGGTTGGGGCTGGGGCATTTGGATTGTAATTGGGAGCTCTGCCGTACGCCAGGGCGGTTCCAAACTCTAAACCGTTCCCACCGTCAGGGAGACCTACAGTTTCGGGGGACCACCCTGGTCTGGCCTTGTATATAGGAAATGCTGCTGAACTGAATAGAAAGGAACTTGGGAGATTTGAAACAGTGCTCGGGTTTTCGCTAGGACCGGTTTGGGCTTTGTACAGGTTATTTAATAGCTTTGTTAAAGATAATTATAATAATTATAACATTAATAAAAATGTTGCTTTTGTCTTCAGCTCCATGCAGAGCTACAGCATGATATGTCTCTGTAAAGTGATCAGCAGTTGCAGCGTGAAAATAAATACTTTAACTCAGGGGTCACTACAGGAAGACCCCGTTGAGCCGGTCTCATTTGATCTTTTCTTCTTCTGGGTGGCTGTACTAAGCGGTCGGGTTTCCCCGGGAATTTGATGGTTCCTATAGTCTGCCTGTGTCGGAGGCTTCTTTGGTTTGGAAGGATCTGGGCAAATGTGTTGGGTTCAGGAATGGACAAAGGCAGGCAATTCCGTTTTGTGGTAAAGAGGTAGGGCAAGATTTTCCAATCACAATTTGAGTTTCTCATGCGGCCTTAGGATTCACCCGAGACTGTTTGTCTTCCAAGTTTGTTTTTACCTGACGAATTCCCTGTGGCTTTCTATTTGTTGGTACTCTCGGGACAGGTCACAACTATGCTGGTGTTAAGAGAGGTATTAGAGGCGCCAGGATCTGTTCACAGGTGAGACTTTGTGGAGAGGTACAGAGAAACGGGACCCTTGTTCAGGTTGGTCTTTGCCTGGGAAAGAACCAAGAAGATAGTTTCCCAGACGCCACTCCTGTATTTCAGTCCCGTCACGATAGCCAGCGTTGTTTTGCTTGTTTTCTTTTTAATCTTGCGATGGAAATCTTAACAAGTCTTATTTCACAGTAACCACCCAGGAATTTCTGGCTAGGCCAGGACGTTTAGTTCCATTTTGTATCTGAATTTTATTATGTTTTTAATCATTGAAGTAGTCTAAGATTTTCTCAGGGAAGAGCCAGGAATACTCATGGTTTGGAAATGTGGAAATAGGGTATTTTTTGTCTAGGTGCCTCGCCTTTCTCTAAAAGTTGAAGTTTTGAAGTTTACAAATGTTTTATCAAGTGTCTAACTCCTTGATATTTTCTAATATTTGAGTTTTTAAACCTGTAACTGAAACTTTTATCAGCAGTTAAATCTTGATTTAAGATTAGCAAAGAACAGAAAATGTTCTAAATTTTATTAACATGTTAAGCTAGCATCATTAATGCCAAATTTTAATAGAGCCGAATAATCTTTTCATGATAGTTGAAGTGTGTACAAATTGATAGGATTTCACAGTTCACAAACTGCTTTTACTTTGCCTTTTGTTTGAAGTCAAACTGAAGGATCAGTTCTTAAAAGCTTTGAGGGTTGTTCTTGAATTCTTATACGAAGTAAAACACAAATATCAACATAATTCAGATGAAAATTACTTTTATACTCCTAAGAAATGGCATTTTTATTCTGTAACTTGGGACAAGGTAGTAAATGAATATTAGATTCATAGTGGCAATATACCTTAGAATAAGAGATATTGGAACTATTTAATGACTAATTAGAATGTGAGTCTTCATGGTTCTTCACCTGGGAAGAGGAGTTTGGGTTACATTTTCAAGGGTGTGGCAGTTTGCAAGCAATAGTGATAAAGTTGCTAGGCAGTAATATTAATATACACTTAAATATGTAATCTTAATCAAAATCATTAGATCTAAGTCATTAGATCAAGACTACACATTTTGATGTCTAAAGCAATGTGAAAAGTTATAGAAACTCTCACCTTTCTCTAAAAAGTTACAGAAACTCCCATCTGAACCATGCCCTGGGATCAACTATAGATTCAGAAAAGGATTTTTGGAAAGTGGTGAGAAAGAGGAATCCTTGTTAGAGAGTGAAAATTTTCAAAGGCTTTGGACTCAAAATTTGAAATGATTCTTTCATCTGAAAGAATGACCTTGGTAGAGAAAGAAAAATGGCCATTTAAAAATGAGTCTACTAGCTATTATTGACAGAGCCAATCATTTATTTAGTATCCAAACAGAAGAGGTGTTGAAGATAAAGTTTTCTTATAATTTTTTGGTTGTTAAATATATGGAATTTAATATCTAAGGAAATGAGATATTGGAGATAGATAACTGTGGTTATTAGAGAAAAACAAAATAAATGTATATAATTTTTTAAAGTAGAACAAAGTCTTATGACAAAATAACTTTGTTATGGTTTTACTTAATTGCACCTGCAAATTGAAAAAGTATGGTCTTTAACGTGGTACAGCTGAAAGGCTTGCTCATTGTACCACTGCAAATCTGATAGGATTGTACCACTGCAAATCTGACAACATTAAAGAAGTAGGCAGCATTAAAAAAGTAAGTTTAATCCACCAACTTTATTCAAGGTTTCACTTAAAGATCCCAGCAAACAATTCAATTAAGTTTAAAAAACTTATTGAAGAAAATATGTTAATGATTGCCTCAAATGTCAGTAGGCATTGTAGATTTTAAAGCAACTGTTTTATTAGCATGCAAATGTAATGTACAGTATTCTTTTAAAATACTAAAATTCGTGATATTATTTTAATTTTAACAGTTTTTGAACCATTTTGAGCAAGAACTTGGAAACATGGAGAAATTGAAATATCAGTAAATTAGTTAATTTAGAAGCATGTGTTTCTGAATTTATTAACACTGTAGTTATCTGCTTTTCTCAAGAAAAAATTGTGCAAATATACTCTTAACTGATCACTAGTTTTAAATAGTTCTGGTAATGAATGAAAGTAAATTACGTTAAAGAAAATACAACTGTAATCTCCATGTTATTTTCTAGTTTCAACTAGTGTTTAAATCTTATGACTATATTTTTGTTTTTTTTTTTGTTTTTTTGTTTTTTTTTTTAGACGGAGTCTCACTCTGTCGCCAGGCTGCAGTGCAGTGGCACCATCTCGGCTCACTGCAACCTCTGCCTCCCGGGTTCAAGCAGTTTTCCTGCCTCAGCCTCCTGAGTAGCTGGGACTACAGGTGCGTGCCACCATGCCTGGCTAATTTTTGTATTTTTAGTAGAGACAGAGTTTTACCATGTTGGCCAGGATGGTCTCAATCTCTTGACCTCATGATCCGCCCACCTTGGCCTCCCAAAGTGCTGGGATTACAGGCGTGAGCCACCGTGCCCGGCCGTATATTGTATATTCTTTTAAATTATTTTACTTTAATCAAACAAGACATGCCAATTAAAAAATTAATCTTGCCAAGCATGCCTCTTGCAGAAACCTATTTGAAACAATGACATTTGTAGAAAAGTCAGTTTTTTTACCCCAAGCTGTACTATTTTTTATTCTAATATTGTGGGGTTTTAAGTATTAGTTGAAAGCAACATCTTCAGTGTTTTCTATTTATTTCATTTCTGCTATGACTGTTTCACAGAATGTTATAGCTGTAGCTATGACTTCAAATTCATGTAAACATCTAGTAAGTTGTTTAGGGCTCTAAAATTGCAAGCCACTTTTACTTGCATTAGCTCATCACATTAAATAATGACTAGTCAAGGTAAGTTGCCCATTCTCACTGGGAAATAGTCTGTGTTATAGAATCAGATTCAAACTTTAAGCTTTGTGTTATAGTAAGTGTAATTATAGTTTGCTAATGTCGCAAATTGAGGGCCACTCAAAACAAGCAATATTAATTTTCTATTAAATATCATGACCTTCTGGTTTGCATGATAGAGAGAACTTTAAAGGAGTATGAGACCCAGGGCAGTTTTGAAATGTCATGCACCAACATAGTTCAATAGAGTAGGAAAAAATAAGGAAAATATCTAGATAGATGTATGTTAGTAATGAGATATATGTTTAGATTAATACGACAAAAGAACATGTTTCATTATTGGGCCACTATAATGGTAACCTGATTAGTGTGGCATGTGATTTATTTAATATAGACAGTATATTTTTCTCTCATGTTCAGACTCAACACATTTTTGTATAAAGATCTTGATGTCAGTTGCTCCTTCCTTGATTATTTTTAAAGAATCTACTATGTTGCCAGAGACAGCAATGTTTCAGATTAATTTATGGACATTATACAATAACTTAATGTTCCTGACTATAATTAACAAGTGATATTTGTTCAACAAAGATGTAATCAAACAGCTACGGATTGATAGTTTCGCAATTGTTTTACTATTACAGCTTATTACCAATTGAAGATTTGTACATGATGATTGATATAGTTTCATGCTGACATTTTGATGACTTCCCTTTCTAGACTTTATGCACTTTTCTTTCCGTGTCTTTAGCAATTATCTAAAGTATAATCCTCTATTGGATATTTGAGACTTAATTCATAAATCAGCCTATGCATATGAACTATAGTAGTATCTGCACAACACATAATAAACCACATTAACTAATACATTTTGGTTGTCTACCTCATACCAAAATGTAATTCAGGGTAAATAAACCCAACTCTTAGTTTGATACCACTTGGAAAATCTACAGCTTTCACTTTTCAAAAAGTTGTTTCAGCATTATGAAGATTCATTATGCCTATTATGAAATGGAAGTTTGTTTTACAGTAAAACTATTCATCTAATATTTTCATTACTTGTCAAAATTCTGACATCAAAATACACTAAAATTTTCTAAAGTCTAAGGCAGTGTCTAAATGTCATCTGATTTTTTCATGTAGAGTTAAACCAGTCATATATGGGTGCTTTCTAATCATTTTATGTTTAGCATAATCTAAAACACAGATGGAAAACATCTGGCCCTCAGCTTAATTTTACCCAATTCATGAAGCAAATATCAAGGCTAACTCATTTATGCTTATGGTTGGGAAAATGTGTCCTAATTTTAAAAATATTTGGTGGCAATTTCCCAAAAGCCTACATCAGATACCATGAAAGCTCATTTCTCTTATCTCTATGTGAGTTTTATTCTTATAAATTCTATGTCTTGCTTTCTTTTCCATTCTGACTTGTGGATGTCACACATCTTCTATATATCCATGTCCATTTCTAGCATGGAAACTTTCATTTTGTGTCATGTGTCTCTCCTGCTTTTCTCAACGTATTTATGTCCATGATTTGATTTTGCTCCCAATAATGCGGAACTCAACAGGATTCTAAACTGTAGTATTTTAAATCTATTGTTTTTTTTGGGTTTTTTTGTTTTTTTTTTTTTTTTTGAAACAGTCTCTCTGTCGCCCAGGCTAGAGTGCAGTGACAGGATCTCGGCTCACTGCAACCTCCGCCTCCTGGGTTCAAGCGATTCTCCTGCCTCAGCCTCCCAAGTAGTGGGATTACAGGTGCCCACCATCACACCCAGCTAATTTTTGTATTTTAGTAGAGATGGGGTTTCACCACAATGGCCAGCTGGTCTCAAACTCTTGACCTCAGATGATTCACCCACCTCGGCCTCCCAAAGTGCTGGGATTACAGGTGTGAGCCACCATGCTTGGCTGTATTTTTAATAGACATTTTTATTCTTTGGTCTAAATTTTACATGTGCTTGAATTAAATTTATAGTTCTATTTGTCGATTCAATTCATATTTTATTTAGTACATGGCTGATGTTTCCTGTGAATTTGTGAACATCAGTGGGAAAAATACATGGCAATAAAGTAAAATTATAAAATACAGTAGAAGATTATGGTTTGAGGTAATACCAATTTGGATAGATTTTAGCAAGTAAAAAATATACAAATGAAGTATATTTATATACCCAAGTCATTAAACAGCCCTTTATTTCTTGAGCTATAATTTTAATGAGGGGAATGTGAACTAAGACCTATAAGCACATAGCTATGTATAGTTCTCATTGTGGTTATTACCTTTGATGGAGACTTGTTTTTCTTTTAAGCCTTTTTCTCCCCTGTTTGATCCTTGAAGTCCATGTCATCTCTTGATAGTACTGCAGACAGCTGCCAAGAAAGTCATTGTGGTAAGAAATTCTGTAGTGAGCCTGGGTTTGAAGTAGAAAGTTGCCAAGTTGTTTTCTAGGGAGAGAGCACTCCCTTCATCAGTCATGATTCAGACTTGTCAATAGCAAGCCTGCGTGCCCTGAGCAGCCAGCAGCTAGAGGCTGTGGGGCTGTGGCTGCCCCCTTGCTTCTGGAGCAGGGAGGTCTAGGAGTAAAGAAAGGGGAAACAAATGGGGAATAACAGACGTGGAGAATATCCTATCTAAACAGGATATCAAAAGGGGTTGAAATAGGGTCATTTAGGTAGAAGTAGAAAGGCAAGGTTTGAGCACCTTCTCAAATTTGAAATGGACCCCAGGAAGGAAGGTGCCTCCCTCACCCCAGGTTTTTGGAATTTTGTGTTTTGTGTTTTGTTTTTTTTTTTAACTAAAGGTGAGTATGAGTAGGCTGTAGAGGAGATGTGGTGGACTTTAACGACCTTTGGACTTGAATTATCCTTATGGTCTCTTCCAAAGCTGAAATGCCTCAAATCTAACATCTGTAAGCCAAAAAGTCTGAATAAATCTTATTATAGCTGGGCACAGTGGTGCATGCCATGCCTATAATCCCAGCTACTTGGGAGGCTGAGGCAGGAGAATTGCTTGAACCCAGGAGGCAGAGGTTGCAGTGAGCGGAGACCACGCCACTGCACTCCAGCCTGGGTGGCAGAGTGAGATTCTGTCTCAAAAAAAAAAAAAAAAAGAATATGTGAGCTGCATACTTAACTTGATATTTGTTGTTTATAATTATTACATGTAGGAAAGCAGGCACAAAACATGTACACATCACTAAATTCAATTTACCAAACAATGATTTGAAGTCTACAAGATGTAAGGTACAATGAGGATTTAAAGATGAACACAGTCCTTCAAAGAGCTCACAGTCACAAAGGAGATAAAGCATAGGCACAAATGAATGTAATACAAGGCCTAATGCCTGATAAAAGCGACCAACAAAACTCCTCTAAAAACACAAAGGAAAGAGAAATTACTTCAGGTAATAACAATGATAAACTTTTTTATTCCACAAATGGATATTCTGCTTTGAAAAACAATCTCCAAACTGCATCTGTGGCATTCAGAATCCAATTAGATTTTTATTCAGAGCTGTTAGTTCAAGACATTGGTCCCCAGACCTGCAGCATCAGCATCACTTGGGAATCACTGGTTAGAAATGCAGATTCTCGGGTCCAACCGCCAGACTTACTAAATCAGAAACCCTGAGAACGGCCTGGCAATCTGTGTTTTAACCAGCCCTCCAGGTGATTCTAATGCACACTGATGTTCGAGAACCACTGGTTTAGGAAACTGCACGTTTTAACCATGTGCAAGATGGAAAATATATAAGCAAATTCTAGCCTAAGACATTTCTCACAAGTTACTTTGGGGAAATAGAAAATGGATAGACTGGCCAGGCACAGTGGCTCACGCCTGTAATCCCACCACTTTGGGAGGCCGAGGCAGGCAGATCACCTGAGGTCAGGAGTTTGACACCAGCCTAACCAACATGGTGAAACCCCACCTCTACTAAAAATACAAAAATTAGCCAGGCATGGTGGTGCACACCTGTAATCCCAGCTATTCGGGAGTCTGAGACAGGAGAATCGCTTGAACCCAGGAGGCGGAGGTTGCAGTGAGCCAAAATCACACCATTGCACTCCAGCCTGGGCAACAAAGCAAGATCTGTCTCAAAAAAAAAAAAGAAAGAAAGAAAAGAAAATGGATAGACCATTTGGCTGAAATTCTCACCCAATTGAGAATATTGGGCTCTAACTCCCAATGAGAATACAAAAATAGTCTTAATTAAATATTGATCCTTACATGCATGTTATGTAATTGTGTAGACAATTGTCCTTTTATAGTATGTAATACCAATACAGTATTTACATTTTTGAATTATAAATCACATATTTTAGATGTTAGTGGAATTTTCCCCATTAAGTCGAACAGTGACTTTAGCAATATCTGGTTTCCTAAAGGGAATACTGAGCTAACTAAGCAGTATTTAGTATCATTGGATGATTAACAACTAAACATCATGAGTCACATATAAACTCCACCACTAAGAGTAAAAAACACGTATATATTCTGTGCTGCAGAAATGCAATGATGGCTCTTCTAAAAGATAAGCGTAGTCACCACCAGCCTCTGTTTTGCTACAGTAGCTTTTTAAAACTACCCACAGGGAAATGTAGGAGCCTGGAGCTTCTCTGTAGTACACATGAAAACCTTAGAAGGTTGTGGATATTTATCTAAACCAAGAATGTTCACTTTCCTCTGGTTCTAGCCCAATCCTCATTGGTCCACCTTTTTTCTCCTCTACAAAGTCTTTCTTGCTCAAAGTGCATTTCAGGGCTGTATCCCAGACCAGAACATGATTTAGTAAAAATTTTTTGGCAGTTTATTTCTGACCTTTGGAATTGTAGAAAGCTGCTGGGAATTACCAGTACCAGGGAAACCTGTAACATAAATGAAAATACCTCTATGATTCTATGATTTTTTTTTTTTCAGAGAATGGGCCCCTCACTCTGCCCCCAAGTCTAAACTATCTAATCATCATTGTTTGGGGTCCTTTAGGAGGCCTCCCTAGTGAACAATAACAAGAAGCTAGGATGATGCTGACTGTAGCATATTCCCAAGGAGGCCCCAATCCCTGAGAGATCAAGGGAGCTCTCTAAGACAAGATAAATCTTCCCAGCCACAACTTACAGAATTTAGCATGTTGGGGTTGGAGACTTAAAAATCACCGACTCTGAGGCTGGGCACGGTGGCTCAAGCCTGTAATCCTAGCACTTTGGAAGGCTGAGGCGGGTGGATCACCTGAGGTCAGGAGTTCAAGACCAGCCTGGCCAACCATGGCCAAAATGGTGAAACCCCATCTCTACTAAAAATACAAAAATTAGCTGGGCGTGGTTGCAGGCGCCTATAATCCCAGCTACTCAGGAGGCAGGAGAATCACTTGAACTGGGGAGGCGGAGGTTGCAGTGAGCCGAGATCACGCCACTGCACTCTAGACTGGGTGACAGAGGGAGATTCTGTCTTTAAAAAAAAAAAAAAAAAAGAAAATCAGCAACTCTGATTCTCTCATTTAACAGAGGAGAAAACAGCATGCCAGATCCAATGAAAACATCATTATCCATGTGCATTACACAAGTAAGCACATTCAATAGGAATCCAGCAGCCTAGCAAAGGGAGAGATGGTTGAGGAGCATAGAGACTGAGAGAAGACTCGGAAGAAGTATGGAGAGAAGCTTTGGTCTGAAGTTGCCAAAGTACTAAGAATGGTGGCTCTCAGCTTTTTACATGCATGAAAATTACCTGGGATGCTTATTTAAATGGAGGATCCTGAGCTACATCCCTAGAACTGCTAATTCGTTTGGTCTAGTGGTGAGGAAGCTAGTTTCATTATAAACATCACCCCAGTGACTCTAAGACAGGTGGTTGGAAGATCACCATTAGAGAAATGCTTCCTTACAAGAGAAAACCTAGTGAATGGGGTAACATCTACACATTTTGACAACGGCAAATGCTCAGGTAATAAATCCATATCTGATTTTCCTTTTTAAAAAGTCCACAGCTGATTGCTGAGGTCTGACACAATATATTCCATGATCTCGAAGAGGAGAAGTGACTTAGAAGTTTTATCTTATTTACCTGGGTCTGTGCCAAATGCTGTAGTAGATGTCATGACCCTTTCCCTGTCAAAATATAAGAATAAAGACACTAAATGATCACGTGGGTTTGCTAAATTCCCAACTAAAATTAATTAAATTCTGAACTGAAGTCACAAAAATTGAGTTAAATATATATGTTCTAGATATTTTATTCTGGGCTCATATCTTTCTGTGACAGTTCAGAATCAGAGTCATTGAGGTTTATAACCAAAATGATTTCAGAGTTCACCAAATCAAGCCTCTTTATTGTACAGATGAAGCAACCAATACTCATCAAGGTCCAGCCCTCATAGAGTTTGCATTCTAGTAAAGTCACCGTACTGTAAAATCTTACTCCCTCACCTGATATCTTACCTCTTTATCATTCCATTCACTTTTAGATTCATGTATTCCACAAATATTTATTCAATATTTACAGATGGCACAGATGAACATCCATCATGAAAAAGTCATACAAGGTTCTTGCTGTCACGGAGCTGGCAGTCTAGTAAGAAATACAGAACGTTGACAGGAAATATTTAGGAACATCAGGAGAGCAGAGGCTATTCACTACCACATACTGGAGCCTAATATAATGCCTGGCACATACTATATACTCAATAAGTATTTGTTGTGAATATAAGGTACTACAAGTATGGTCAGTATAGTAAATATGCCATAGTTTTAACTGGTAGTGTCTCTTCCCATTGGCATCTATAAGAGGTGGGTTCAGATTAAAGACCAGAATCCCTTTCTTCCTTGAGCTGTTTGAGTGGGGATATGGTGGTGGTTCTAGGAAGATGCTAACTGTCTCTGTCTGTCTCTTCCAGATCCTGGGTCTGATGGCTTCTCTGAGGCAATCTCAACTTCCCAATGTCTAACAGTCATTCCTTTGCATTCCCCAAGTCTCATTTCTCCAGCTTTTAAAGACATTCCTGTACCACTACCTTCCTGGCTATTATCATAATCTAAACTAACTTAGAAGAGTATGTTGAGTGACCATTCAAAGGGAAAAAAAAAAAAAGCAAAAACCACAAGGCAGGAGGTGGAAGAAGCCACAGCTGAAGAGAGAAGGAGAGTGTCTCAGATGGAGAAGAGATGGTAGTGGTGTGGGTATGTGTTGTGTGGAGGACTGATGGATCTGGAGGTATGGAAGGGCCATGCCTCAGAAGGAACAGGTATGGTGCTCCTAAAACAGTTAGACCCAGAGCAGCAGTCTTAACAAAGACCCCTATGTATTAGTTTTTTTTTGTTGCAACAAATTACCACCAACTTAGAGGCTTCAAACAACATACATTTATTATCTCACGGGTTCTGTGCATCAGAAGTCCAGGCACAGTTTAGTTGCGTCATCTGCTTCAGGATCTTACATAAAAGGCTACAGTGAAGGTGTCAGCCAAGGCTGGGGTCTAATCTGAAGGCTCGATTGGTAAGGGATCCATTTCCAAACTCAAGTGGTTATTGGTAGGATTCAGTTCTTTGTGGGCTATTGGACTGAGGACCTCAGTTCTTTGTTGGCTATTGCCTGGAGACTGACTTTGGTTTCTTGCTATATGGGCCTCCCCAACATGGCTGCTTCATCAAAGCTTGCAAGCTGCAAAGGCAATAAAGTCAGCTAGGAAAATGGAGGTACATCTTTAATAATCTAATCATAGAAGTGGCAGCCTATCAACAGTCTATTAACTTGAAGGAAGTCATTCAAGAAAAAGGGATTACACAAGGGCATGAGTACCAGGAGACAGGAATCATTTGAGGCCATTTTAGAAGCCACCTACCACACCCTGTGATGCACACTGTCAGTAATATGGAGTTACATATATAGGCCATAAAGACTTGGGCAAAGAGTTTCTCAGCATCAGTCATGATGCTTTCCTACTGATGAGAGACTGCCAATCCCACCCATTCATATTTTCTTTCTTCCTTTTGGTAATAGTAATCCCCAAGTTTTTGGGAGGTACATGATTGTCCATCTAGAGATGACATATCCCAGCCTCACTTGCAACTAGTTGTGGCCATATGACTAAGTTCCCACCAATGGCATGTGAGCCTAAGTGATGTATGTCACTTCTAGGTCACATCCTTAAAAGAAAGTTGCATGCTCTCCCTTTCTTCTTTCCTCTTTCTTGAGGCTGGAATGCGGACATAATGTTGGGCATTTAACTCAATCATGTGGATAGGACAACACCCGAGAGGATGGCAAAGCAACAAAACAGAAGGCATAAGGGTCCTCAGACCATCACAAGAAGCAGAGCAGCCCACCTTTCCTGGGCTGCCTACCAGCTGGACTTTTATTTGAAAGACAGACCATCTTGTTTAAGCCATGGTTACTTGGTACCTGTTACAGCAACTAAACAAATATCCTAAATGATAGATCACAAAATGCTTCTAAGGCAGTTATTAACGGTGTTCCTGGTGAGTCTTCTTGGGACAGCTGTGAATTACATCCTTTTAAAAGAGTACCTGAGAAAGCAAGCCCAGGTGATATCACCATTTAAGCCCCTCTTAGGCTGTGTTTGCTGATGTCCTCAAAATGCGTTCTCACTAGCTTAAGGGTGTCTTCTTAGGATGCTGCTATGGAAAACTCCATCACTGTTTTCCAGCTTTGCCCATACTCAGGTACCAAGAGGATTTCACTCATGTGATTCTTCATTTATTTCACTATTTTAGGGGCTCTTCTCATGTGGCAGTCACTGTGTCAGGCGCCAGGGAAACAGCAGACAGCAGAACAGACACGAGCTTTACACTCTCAGGAAGCTGATATTCCAGTAAGGCAGGAAAGACCCAATAAACAAGATAATTTCAGGGAATTATACAACAAAACAGCAACCTGAAATTTGTCTTCATGTCCTCTATAAATTACACAGGCAAACTGAGTCTATCACGTTGCTGAATATCTTATGGTCTCTGTGATAGCTAGCCTCAGAGATGGCCCCCAATAGTCCTTGTCTCTTAACTGCCTCAGCCTGAAGGAGACGCATTACTTCCACACACATTCCATTGGTGAGAATTAGTCCCACAAACACACCTAGAAGCACAGAGATTGGGAAACATAGAGAAGCACATGGATATTTGTTGAAAACTAACCGTGATCTGCCAACATGCTCATCATAAAAATTCAAGCAGGTCCGGGCACAGTGGGTCATGCCTGTAATCCCAGCACTTTGGGAGGCCGAGGCAGTCCGATCACCTGAGGTCTGGAGTTCAAGACCAGCCTGACCAACATGATGAAACCCCATCTCTACTAAAAATACAATCAGCCAGGCACAGTGGTGGGCACCTGTAATCCCAGCTATTTGGGAGGCTGAGGCAGGAGAATCACTTGAACCCAGGAGGCAGAGGTTGCAGTGAGTCGAGATCATGCCGTTGCACTCCAGCCTGGGCAACAGGAGCAAAACTCTGTCTCAAAAAAAAAAAAAAAAAAAAAAATTCAAGTAGGCGGGGCGCAGTGGCTCACGCCTGTAATCCCAGCACTTTGGGAGGCTGAGGAGGGTGGATCACTTGAGGTTAGGAGTTTGAGACCAAACCTGGCCATCATGGCAAAACCCCGTCTCTACTAAAAATACAAAAATTAGCCGGGCATGGTGGTGTGCACCTGTAGTCCCAGCTACTCGGGAGGCTGATGCAGGAGAATCACTTGAACCCAGGAGGCGGAGGTCACAGTCAGCTGAGATGGTGCCACTGCACTCCAGCCTGGGCGACAGAGCTCAACTCCATCTAAAAAAAGAAAAAAAATTAAGTACAAAACAGAAGTAGACAATAAAAGGGTTGCCTTATCCTCTACCTCTGTTGAAAAAAAAAAAACTGTTAACATTTGGCTCATTCATTAAATCAACACAACTTTATGTATCACCTTCAGTGTGCCTTGCCGTGTCCCAGATGCTGGATATGATTCCTAACCTCGTGGCTTCCAGTTTGAGTGTGTGTGTGTGTGTGTGTGTGTGTGTGTGATTTCCTCATTTGCAAAATGGTTATAACAATAGTGTCTAACTTATAGGGTTGCTGTGGGGATTAAGTTGTACAGGTTAACATGGAATACAAGGGAATGAAATAATGGTGTTTGCAGCAACCTGGATAGAGTTGGAGACTATTATTCTAAGTGAATAGATAACTAAGTGAATTAAATAACTCAAGAATGAAAAACCAAACATTGTGTGTTCTCTCTTATAACTGGGAGCTAAGCTATGGGGATGCAAAGACATAAGAATGATATAATGGACTTTAGGGACTCAAGGGGAAGGGTAGGAGTGGAGTGAGTGATAAAAGACTACACATTGGGTACAGTGTACACTGCTTGGGAGATGGGTGCACCAAAATCTCAGAAATCACCACTAAAGAACATTTCCTTGCAACCAAACACCACCTGTTTCCCCCAAATTATTGAAATTTAAAAAAGAAAAAAATTCATTCATTAAAAAATAAAATATATAGATTAAATAACTTAGAAAAATGGTACATAACAAGTACTCAATAAAATTGTTTTGCTGTATATGCACAATATAAATATTTAATAAAAACAGTATTATACTACTTATATGGTCCTATTCTATGGTCTACTCCTTAAACCCTTTCAGTAATAGGGCTCAATTTCTACTTCAAAACATAGAAGATGGAGTTCATCATTTTAACCACTTTATCCATTGTCTGGATTTATCCTATATTTAGCCCAGAGATTCACAGATGTGGAATTCATGAATGGGCATTGTATGCTGTTATAGATGGAATGTTTCTGTCTCCTCAAAATTCATATGTTGAAATCCTAACCCACCATGTCATGGTATTAGGAGGTGGAGCTTTTGGAAGGTCATTAGGTCATGAGGGTGGAGCCCTCATAAATGGGATTACTGCCCTTATAAAAGAGACCCCAAGGAGTTCCCTAGTCCTGTTTCTGCCATGTAAGGATGCAATGAGAAGTTGGCTGTCTGAAACCTGAAGAGGGCCCTCACCAGAACCCAACCATGTTGTTACTCTTACCTTGGGCTCCCAGCCTCCAGAACTATGAAAAATAAATTTCTGTTGTTTATAGGCTACCAGGTTTATGGAACTCTGTTATAGTAGCCAGAACTGACTAAGACATATGCAAATTTTTTAATGTCCAAATTTTTCTGGAGAGTGCATCCAAACTTTAGTTGAATCCTGAAAGAATTCATAATCCAAAAGCAGTAAAGAACTGTGATTTAAATGGACCAATCCTTGACCTTGATCAACTATGTTTACTTTTTTGTGCACCAGTCTCTCCATCTGTGTGTTTAGTTAAATCATTCATCCTTCTGGACTGGGCGTGGTGGTTCACACCTGTAATCCCAGCACTTTGGGAGGCCAAGGTGGAAAGATCGCTCGAGCTCAGGAGTTCGAGATCAGCCTGGGCAACATGGCAAAACCTGTCTCTACTATAAATACAAACAAACAAACAAACAAGTTTAGCAGGGGATGGTGGCACATGCCTGTAGTCCCAGCTACTCGGGAGGCTGAGGTGGGAGGATTGCTTGAATCCAGCAGGCAGAGGTTGCAGTAAGCAGAGATGGCGCCACTGCCCTCCAGCCTCAGTGACAGAGCAAGACATTGTGTTAAAACTAAATATATAAAAATCATTTCTCTTTCTTTTCTGGAAATGTGAAAGCTTTCTAGAAAATAGATAAAAACAGCAACATAGAACCCAAACCAACAATTTTACTAGGTTTAAACTTAATGATTCCTTTATATTTCCAGCTCTTCAGTGGGACAGAATGAATTGTCAACCTCTTAGATATACTTGAGTTTAGTTAAACAACCCCTAAATATCTTCCCAGACCAGGCTTTAAAAATCTGATTTTCTGTTTTCTTTCTTCATAAGGCTTACTTTTTTCCTCTGAAGAATATGGCCTTGTTTTAGAATTTCCCCTCTTTATAGTCATGCTAAAGCACCACTCTTGAGAAGATACATATGTTCCATTAAACACTTGAAAAGCATCCTTTTAATGTGTTCCCAATGCTAGAACTTAATGCTGCTATCTATAAAGTCTAAATTTTTGATGTTGAAAATGTACCTTTGAATATCAGTGATTTAAATATTAAAAAGCCACAAATAAAATCTTTAAAGGAGAAAAATGCAACTACCCATTTTGATGCTTTGGGATTTCCAAAGAGGCACAAAGAGTATGTATGATCTAGGAAAATCACTTCACTTCTCTGAGATCATATAAGTGGAAGAGAGATTAAAGAATTTCCAAATGTAATTCCTTAGGACCTTGGTGACTGATGAGATGTGTCAGGAGTCTCCTTGTAGATGGGGTGTTCTACTTCTGTCTCTTTCAAATCTTGAGCTCCTCTGATAACTACCAACAGCTGGATGATCCCTTTCACTTCTGTTATGAGTCTTACCCCATAATTTCAAGCATACTCTGTGCCCCTCAAGGCCATTGATTGATACACAGTATTTCAATACCCAGTGTTGTAAAAGGGAAAGAGAAGAAAATAGTGGAGTGGAAGAAGCCACAAGGAAGAGAGGGAGAAAGACCAAGGAAGACTGAGAAAAGGAAGAACCAAGTTGGCCAGCCTAGTAAAGTGAGGGATGACTCTTTAGATAGACCCCACAGGGAGCTTCAGTTTAAAGGCTTACCCAAAGTCAGGGCTTTCTCCCTCCAGAGAGCTGGAACTTTAGAGAAGAACCTGTCCCTGGCAGAACAGCTGCTGTAGTTCCAGTTCATAGGAGTTTGCAGGGCATGATGAGCATGTCTGTATTGTAATGGGAAAGGACTTCAGACTCTTGGTCTGCCAGCTAATTGCATGACTTCAGGCAAGTCATGTAACTCTGATTCCTTATCTGAAAACTGAGGAAGGAGGACTGGATGATCTCTTGAGGTCTTTTCCTGCTTGAAAATGACATGATTCTTATGAACGCTTGTGTATCTAACCAGGTGTTCTGGCTTACCTATTGCTAAGTAGAACCACCCCAATACTTAATGGCATAAAATAGTAACCATTGTACTATGCTCATGTACTCTGCAGGACAGGAATTCACAAAGGGCACAGTGAGAGTGGGCTGTGTCCTACAGTGTCTGGAGCCTCCTTTAGGAATGACTCCATTGGGGGTGACTTGAATGCCTGGGAGCTAGAATCATCTGGAGACTGCTTTGCTGACATGCCTGGTACCTGAGCTAGCATGAATTGAAGTCTGAGCTCAGTTGAGTTTGTCAACCAGAGCACCTATTTGTGGCCTCCACACATGGCTTGTGTTTCACACAACATGGCAGCTGGGTTCCAAGAGGGAATGTCTTTTTAATGATAATTCTGTCACAATTTATTGGTTATAAGCAAATCACTAAGGCTAGCCTAGATTCAAGGGAATCTAGTTCTGGAGTAGACTCCAGAACTTGAAGGGGGAGTGGCCAATTCACATTGCAAAGGATCCATCTTCCACTGTAAACCAAAAATAAAATTCTAAGCCCCCCAGCCAACTGAATGGACTCCTCCTCTTGGCCAAGGGCATTCCAAAGTAAACCTGAAAAACTAGTTCAAGCCATGATGGAAAGGGAGGGTTAGACATGCCTCACTGTGCCCTCCTCCCTTGAAATTCAGGCACAACTGACCAGCATTAGCATTGAAACAGAGATCTGAAGACTGACAAAAGAGCTGGCGTGGTGGCTCACACTTGTAATCCCAGCACTTTGGGAGGCCAAGGGGGGTGGATCACCCGAGGTCAGGAGTTCAAGACCAGCCTGGCCAACATAGTAAAACCCTCTCTTTACTAAAAATACAAAAATTAGCCAGGTGTGGTGGTGCACACTTGTAATCCCAGCTACTAGGGAGGCTGAGGCAGGAGAATCACTTCAACTTGGGTGGCGGAGGTTGCAGTGAGCTGAGATTGCGCCACTGCACTCCAGTCTGGGAGACAGAGAGACACCCTGTCTTAAAAAAAAAAAAAAAAAAAATATATATATATATATATGGACAAAAGAGACTGTTTGTAACAATAAGATACCAAATTCCAGGCTGACTGTAGTATAGCATCACACGACAAATAGCAGGCCCTGAAAGTAATCAAAGTATTTTACCCCTAAATATGTTTCTTTGATGTATTTTGCAATGACCCTGAAAAACTATCTATCTCTGTTGGAGAAAATTCTCCATTCTGTAGAAAATCCCCTTCTCTTTACAGGTCTTTTCCTGATCCAGGAGAGATTAAACTGAGTCCGGTATCCTTTAGGGTCTGATAAGAGACATTTACCATCTATTCTCTCTGAATCCTGCTAGCTGGAGGCTTCATCTACATAATAAAAACTTTGGTGTCCACAACCCCTTAACTTAACCCAGTCATTCCTTTCTATTGATTCCAAGTCTTCTTTTTTTTTTTTTTTTTTTTTTTGAGACAGAGTCTCACTGTGTTGCCCAGGCTGGAGTGCAACGGCATGACCTCAGCTCACTGCAACCTCTGCCTCCCGGGTTCAACTGATTCTCCTGCCTCAGTCTCCCGAGTAGCTGGGATTACAGGCATGTGCCACCATGCCCGGCTAATTTTTGTATTTTTAGTAGAGACAGGGTTTCACCATGTTTGCCATGCTAGTCTCAAACTCCTGACCTCAAGTGATCTGCCCTCCTCAGCCTCCCAAAGTGCTGGGATTACAGGCGGGAGCCACTGTGCCCAGCCAACTCCAAGTCTTTAGATAATAACTTAGCTCTCTCTAGCAATTGCCAGTCAGAAAGTTGTTGAATCCATCTGTGACCTGGAAGCCCCTGCTTTGAGTTGTCTCACCTTTCTGGATCAAACCAATGTACACCTCACATGTATTGATTGATGTCTGCCTGTAACTTCTGTCCCCCTAAAATATATAAAATCAAGCTGTAACCCAGCCACATTGGGCACATGTTCTCAGGACCTCTTGAGACAGCGTCTCGGGCCTTGGTCACTCATATTTGGCTCAGAATAAACCTCTTTTACTATTTTACAGAGTTTGACTCTTTTCATCAACACCATCATCTTTGGAAAAGCGCAATCTGTCACAGCCCACATGCCAGCAATAGCCGCTCACATCCCTCCCACGTAGAAAAGATGCAGCCACCGATGTGACTCTAAATACTGTTATAAGACCTCAGAAAGATTTCAGATGGTACCTCATGAACACTTTCAGACAGAAGTAGGCCTTTCAAGGATCTTAAAACACCACTTGTGTCTTTGGCCCTCAGGTCTTCCAGATTTCGAGAAACCATACTAAAGGGGCTGTACCCGAGAAACCTCATCAGCGCTGGCACCTGATTTGATGGCAAAATCTTGGACTTTGAACTGATGCAGTAATAGGATAAGACTCTGTAGACCTTCAGGAAAGGGAGAGTACATTTTCTATGTGGGAGGGATGTGAGCTGCTATTGAGACTGAATTTAGTATCAGAATGTGCCCCCAATTCAGCCATTGCACTGAGGACCTTCAGAATGCTTTGCTAACTAGAAAGACTGATTTGAGCCCTCCATACTTCCTCTAAAGTGTGCTGGAAAACTGACAGTTCCTCTTTCTCCAGCCATATTTCATCATAAGTAGAAACAAATTGACACTTTAAATTGTCTGCCAGGAAATATCCTTGGCCAAACCCACTGGTTCATTAGGTATATTTTCTATTTTCAGTGTTACTGTAGGTGGCAATGTTGCTAAACCTTTTGCTACATTTAACGAGGTCACTTTTCTTCCACCCTCCAGTCATAACTTCCTCCCCATCTTTCCAGCCTTCACTGGTAGTCTTCTCAAGGTCAGTCCAGCTTTCACCAACAAACTTCTCAAGGCCATTTAAGCCTGAAAGACTGAATATACATACAGACAATGGCCAGAAAATATGAAAAAATAGAACTCTGACCCACAATCTGCAGCAACCAACCTAGAAAACCAGCCCATGATTTAGAGAAACCAGCCGAAGAAGCAAGCCTACTAGAAATCAGTCTGCTATCTCTAGCAACAATCCAGGAAACCAAACAATAGCCTCTGTAACAACTGGCCCCAAATGACCAAGACTTGATTAATAACTGACAGCTTCCCTAATTTTTTTATTTTTGTCCCCACTTCCAACTTACAGCCAACCAGGGAAAGCCAAATGTGCAGTCTAACCAGTCAAAGAGGATGCCCCACTTCTAGTTAGCCTAACTAAAGCTTCCCAATGCCAGCAGCCTCCAATAGGGCATACCCAAAGCCTTCCCTTTTTTCCACTAAAAGCTTTCCCACTCCCGCCTGCTTTTGAGTGTCTTCCCAAATGCAAGTAATGGCAGCTGGCTCCCTTGCTACAGCAAGCTCTAAATAAATAGCCTTTGGTTATTCTCATTTGGTTGATCTTCCTTTATTTCCACAAGCTTCTTTCTGCTGACTAGTCAAAAGCTGATTGCTTTCGCTTATGTTTTGGGTTTTTGTTATGGGAGAATCCCACTTCCAGGTACCAAATTCTGTTCTGGTTATCTATTACTCCACAACAAACCACCCCCAAAACTTAGTGGTGTAGACAATAGTTATCTTACTGTGCTCACAGATTCTGTGGGTCAGGAATTCAGATACAGTACAACAAGGATGGTCTATTTTTGCCCCACAATATCTAGGGTGTCAGTTGGGAAAACTGGAATGACTAGGGGCAGGAATCACCTGGCGGCTGCCCCACTCACATGTCTGTTGCCTGGGCTAGGGTGGCTTGAAGACTGGGCTCAGCTGGAGCTGGCAACCAGAAAACCTGCCACGTGGCTTTCCCATGTGGCTTGGCTCTTCACAGCATGGTGGCTGGGCCCGGTGAGGGAGTGTCCTGAGAGGCACAGCCAGGCCGTGAATGTTCTAAGAGAAAGGTGGAAGCTGACTGACCTTTCTGATTAGCTTTGGAAGTCACATTTGTTGGTTCAAGTGAGTCACTTAGACTAATATATATTCAAAAGGAGGGAATTAGATTCTGTGTCTTTTTTTCTTTTTTAATTTATTTAGTTTTGAGACAGAGTTCTCCATCACCCAGGCTGGAGTGCAGTGGCACAATCTCAGCTCACTGCAACCTCCGCTTCCCGGGTTCAAGCGATGCTTGTGCCTCAGCCTCTTGAGTAGCTGGGCTTACAGGCATGTGCCACCATGCCCAGCTAATTTTTGTATTTTTGGTAGAGATGGGGTTTCACCATGTTGGCCAGGCTGGTCCCGAACTCCTGACCTCAAGTGATCTGCCTGCTTCAGCCTCCCAAAGTGCTGGAATTACAGGCATGAGCCACCGTGCCCGGCCAGATTCTGTCTCTTGATGTGGGAGTGACAAAGTCCCTCTGCAGAACACGTGGAATGGGAGAGACTGTTGCAGTCATTTTGGTAACTATGATTTGCCACTCCAGGCCACCCTCTTCCTGAAATCCATCTATTCATTTATTCATACATTACTTATATTTACCCTGCTTTCTTTCAAAAATAATTTCAGAGCTGAGTACAGTGATGCAAATGTGTAGTCCCAGCTATGCAGGAGGCTGAGGCAGGAGGATTGCTTGAGCCCAGGAGTTTGAGACCAGCCTGGGCAATATAGTGTAGAGATGGGATCTTGCCATGTTGACCAGGCTGGTCTGGAACTCCTGGGCTACAAAAATTTTTCAAGAAATTAGTTGTGCATGGTGATATGTGCCTGTAGTTCTAGCTACTTAGGAGGCTGAGGCAGAAGGATCATTGGAGCCCAGGAATTGGAGGTTACAGTGAGCTATGATTGAGCCACTGCACTCCAGCCTGGGTGACAGACTGAAAGACCCTGTCTCTAAAAAAAAGAAGAGGAATTTGAGGAAACTTCATTGTAGTTAGAAGACGTATTGGTGGGCATGGAAGCAAAACAAAGGAAGTTGGTTGCTCTCAGGTGATAATTTCATACAGGTATTCACTTATTCATTCCGTAGGTATTTTTTAAGCATTAACAATAGGCTCACGCTGTGGTCAGCACAGATGTGAGGGGAGCAAAATTAATACAAATCCTGTTCTCATGAAGCTTAAGTCCAGTTGGCAAGGCAAACACTGTAAAATAATCACACAAATATGTAACTATGAGTGCTGCGTAGCTCACAAATGTTATGCAGTCATGGTCCAGGAATGTGCTGCATAGGAGCTTGGTCTAGTCCAAGCAGTTAGAGAAGACTTCCCTAAAACAAAGCAATATTTAAGCTAATAAATAACTCAACAATGAGTAAAAAGTAATTAAACTAGGGTGTTGCAAAGTATGTTACAGAAACTAGTGGTACACAGATATATTATTGTCATTATTCTGTATTTTATGGTTTTGCATTATTTGTGGCCAGTGAAATTGGCTTTCCATTTACGTTGGCATATAAAATTTCCTTGTAAAATAAATGTATTTAAGTTTTAAAAGCTGTCAATGTAAAAAAGATCATAAGAAAAATAATAGAGTACGCATTACACAGAAAGGGCAAACATGAAGGTGTTAGGTGTAAACCTGAAGCTTGGTAAATACTGGACTAGGCGTGTTGGAGGATGGGTTGAGGAGAGGAGTCATGGGCATAAAGGGAGCTCCTGGTGCAAAAGCCTGAAGTGGAAGAAAGACTCAGGGGTCCAACAAGCAGAAAAGGAGCCAATATGGTTTGAGCAGAAAGAAAGAGGAAGTCACTCACTGTGAGCCAGGAGAGGCCAGCAGGACCTTGATATTCAGGGACTTTAGTTCAGAACTGAAACCCCCTAAAATCAAAATGAGCAGCTGCACTTTTTTTCCCTTAAATATTGTACTTGTGGAAGCTTACTACAAAATCACTGATACTTCACTGAGTATTTCAATAGTGATTTTTTTTTTTTTTTGAGACACAGTCCTGCTCTGTTGCCCAGGTTGGAGTGCAATAGTGCAATCACAGCTCATTGCAATCTCGACCTCCTAAGCACAAGCGATCCTCCCACCTCAGCCTCCCAAGTAGCAGGGACTGCAGGCACCTGCCACAATGCCCAGCTAATTAAAAAAAAAATTTTGTAGAGATGGGATCTTGCCATGTTGACCAGGCCCATTCTGGAACTCCTGGGCTCAAGTGATCCACGCACCCTGGCCTCCCAAAGTGCTAGGATTACAGGCAAGAGCCACTGCACCCAGCCTGAATAGTAAATTTTTAATAGAACAAACTTAGGCTATATAAATAACAACAATATTAACTTGCAGTGTCTAAGAGCTAATATTCCCACAGAAAAATAGTGTTGCTCAATCTGTTTCAATTATCCTAAAAGCAATGGGACACCATTGAAGAATTTGGGAAAGAGGAGTGATAAAACCTAGTTTTTGAGTTTTTAAAAAGTGATTTCTATCAATGTATCCATGCATTTAAAAAATTGTGCAGGAATGCTAATAATAATAAGATGCAACATTCTGCTCTCCAACCTCTTTCCCACCTCCAGAGACAACCACCTTACCTTTTTTCTGTTTGTATTCTCCTGGTGGTTTCCTCCTTCTCTCCAGAAAAAAATATGCTTCTATCTCCCTTTCTTGCTTTTTCACATTTGGACACTGCAGTGCATACATCACAGGTGCTTGCTTAGATATCTTAGGCTCAGCTATCTCCCAGCCACTCAGCCTGCCCTGCCCAGGGCATCCCAGTGGTGACTGACTGAGTGTGAGCATGTGGTTCCACCGCAGGAGCCATCAGGCCACATGCCTAGATCTGGCTTCCCCAGTGGCTACCAAAGGGGCCAGGTGACACAACTCGGATGTGTGAGGGCGTTAACTGCCCCAGCCAGCAAATTTTGACCAGCAGAAGAAAGAAGACAAAGTGAGCTTGCAGATGCATTTTCTCTCCCTCCTGCCTTTGAGCGACTGTCCTAGGCACAGTATTTCCATAAAGCCTGTCCAAAGAGGTCCTTTGTGACTGAGCAGCCAGCCACCTGCTGAGAAACCGGCTCTGTTTTTTCGTGGCTCTTCATGAAGCAATGGCCAGTGCAGTCATTCATCACCTTGTACTTGCTGCCATTCCTTCCCTGCCTCTCTTCCTTTTCCCCTGGCTCTCGCAGAGCTGGGTCTGTACCTCCCGACAAAAGCGTAAGCACTTAAGCTTTGCCTCGGGCTCTGTGTTCTAGGGAAATCAGACAAAAGCAGACATTGCCAATATTATTGATGAACTCAAAGTTATGATTCATATCATCACTTCCATCTCTCTCCCATGTTAATTCATTGTTTCTAGTTCTATCAGTTATGCTTACAACCATAAGTTACAACTTTCAATTTTGTGCTTATAAGTTTACTTCATTTTCTAACCATCAGAGCCAGTCTCTTGTTTCTGATACTTTGCAAGATGAAGACATTGGTGTCCTTTCCCTTCTTTTCACCTCTCCTTCCCTGATCACCTCCAAACCTCTGTCATCATACTGTACCATCCTTAAGGTTGAAAGCATTTACATACTGTTCTGTAATCATAATTATCTTCTGTTATTTTCCTAAGTGCTGATTCTAAATTTGAAAATCAATATGCAGTGTCAATCACTATGATGACTACCCATTGAACAGTGAATGTTTATTAAGAGTTTGCTATGTTTTGGGCACAGTTCTCTAGGCTCTAGGGATAGAACAGGGAATAAAAAGGACAGAAATCCTTGCCTTCACAGAGCTTTCATTTCAGTGGGGAGACAAACAAAAAACAGATATGTAAACTATAGAGCATGCTGGGTAATGGAAAGTACTAAGAGGGGAATAAGACAAGGAAGAAGAATAAGAGTCGATCAAAGGAGCTGAAATTTTAGGTAGGCTGGGCAGGGAAGGCTGCTCTGAGAAGGTAACTTAAGGAAGTGAGAGATCAAGACAAGCAGCCATCTGCTGGAACAGCATTCCAGGCAAAGGGAACAGCAAGTACAATGGCCCTAAGACAGGAGTGTGCTTACTGTATTCAAGCAACAGCAAGGAAGCTCATGTGGCTAGAGAAGATTGACCAAGGGGGATAGTAGAGGGGAATAAAGACAGAGAAGTCATGGGGAGCAGATCATGGAGGGCCTTAGAAGTCAAAGCAAGGACTTTGGCTTTTACTATAGCAGAGGCAGATAACCTTGAGAGGGTTTGAGCAGTGGATGGACAGGATCCAACGTACACGTGAACATGACCCACTCTGGATACTGTGATAAGAAGAGACTGAAGGGGGTGGGGAGGAAGCAGGAAAAGTAGTTGGGAGACTCGAAACAATCTAAGCAAAGGATGATGGTGGCCTGAAGTAGGGTGATGGCAGTGAAGGAGATGAGAAGAGGTCAGAATCTTGGTCTATTTTGAAGGTAGAGCCAATATGATTGGTGAATGATTGGATGTGGGAGAAAATGCAGTCAAGATGACTCCAGGGTTTTTACCTGAGCACCTGGAAGAGCAGAGTTGTCACATAAGGAGACGGAGAAGACTGTAGGGAGACTAGAGTTTAAAAGAAAAGATACAGGCTCTGCTGTAGCCAGTTTGAGTTGCTGTTTTATGTTTTGTTTTGTTTTGTTTGAGACAGAGTCTCGCTCTGTTGCCCAGGCTGGAGTGCAATGGCGCGATCTCAGCTCACTGCAACCTCCACCTCCCGGGTTCAAGCAATTCTCCTGTCTTAGCCTCCTGAGTAGCTGGGATTACAGGGACTCGCCACTGCACCAGGCTAATTTTTGTATTTTTAGTAGAGATGGGGTTTCACCATGTTGGCCAGGCTGGTCTTGAACTCCTGACCTCATGATCTGCCCACCTCGTCCTCCCAAAGTGCTGGGATTACAGGTGAGAGCCACTGCGCCTGGCCTTGTTGCTGTTTTAATTGTCTGTACTGCATAACCAATCACCCCAAAAACTTAGTTGCTCAAAACAGCAATTTACTGTCATCACTCATGGTTTCTGTAGGTCAGGAATTTGGATAGGATTCATCTGAGCAGTTCTTGCTCGAGGTCTCTCACTGAAACTGCCCCAGTTTTAGCTCTGAAAGCCCTGTGTCCTGGCAAATCCCTCCCAAGGATATGAAACGTTCTGGTTGTCAGTAACGGGGGCAGAAGTTGGAGAGAAAATACAAAACCTATACAGTGGCCCTGAAAACTAGAGACTGAAAGCCATGCTATTTATAGTGTTAAATGGATACAGCATAGACTCTCTGCCTTTGGGAGTCACTATCACTGATTTTTCCTGACCACTGAGGTTGGCAACAGTAGTTTGTGGTTAACATAATGGATCACCCATTGTGGCATCACTTCAAGTAACAGGAATTAAGTATACAACTTGAGTTGCAATTGTGGGTATTAATAGTCTGTTTGACCTAACCTATAGATTAACCGTTGTGCTTTTTTTTTTTTTGAGACAGGATCTTGCTCTGTCACTCAGATTGGAGGGCATTGGCACAATCATGGCTCACTGCAGCCTTAACTTCCCAGGCTCAAGCGATCCTCCCACCTTAGCCTCCTGAGTAGCTGGGACCACAGGCACGTGCCACCACACCCAGCTAATTTTTTATTTTTTGCAGAGACAGGGTCTCCCTGTGTTGCCCAGGCTGATCTCAAACTCCTGGGCTCAAGTGATCCTCCTACCTGGGATTACAGGCGTGAGCCATTGCGCCCCACCCAATGTCTGAAGATTACTGTGACCACTCTGGAGAACTAGGATAAGCCCCACCCAAAGTTCAGTTCAGATGTTAAGACTCATAATGCCAAGTACACCTCAAGAGATAACGGAAAGGTTGATTACTTACATACTTGAAGTCTCTGGGGAAAGCAGAGCAGGCCTCTCTGTAAATCCAGAATGGCTTGAGAGAGCAGGGAACAGAGACTGGCTCTGAGTTTTATTGCAGTTAGGGGGTGGGGGGCGGGGTGAGGGCTCCCCCGTTGGGAGGAGCTTATGTAGTTTGAGTCTCTCCACAGCACAGAGAGAACACCCAGCCTTTCTTATCAGCTTGCCCAGGTGTGGGGCAGACAGAGAGACAGAGAGGTGGGGCTCAATGCTGTTGCTAGTCAAACGCCAAAGAGTGGAACCAGACTCCTTATTCCAGAGAGAGTGCTAGTTTAATTTTTAACATTGTGAATATTGTGGCAATATTTTCTAAAAGTTCAGATCGTGAAAAATAGAACAACTGCAATATCACCAGCATGACCCAGATCTCGCTGAAAAGGAACGCTAAATGACTGTGTTCTTTTAAGGACAGAAGGAAGGACACATACGACTTGATTAGGGAGGTAAGTCGCCAAAATGGCGCACATTGCACAATATGCAGAAAACAGCTTTGGCCTGGGCGTTGCGGAAAAGGTGATTGCGAAAACACATGTGGACGCTGGATTTCACAATTCTGGGATTAGACAAGGAAGAATTTCTAAATCAGAAGAGGTTTTTTTTTTTGGTCTCCCAAAGACACCTAAGTTCAGTTAAGAACAGTGACCACTGAATTGGTATGGGCATACCACATGAACAAACACACAGTATTTTATCATTCTCTTGATGGCACTATGGAAGTGAGTGAAGTTACATTTCCTGATTCGCAAGCTGAAGCTATAATGTCCTGTGGGCAAACAAAAGGGGGAAATTTGAGAACTGACATGTTGGCCCCTGTAATAGGTTGCTAGGGCTGCCATAACCAAGTACCACAAAACAGGTGGCTTGACACAACAAATTTATCCTCTCATAGTTCTGGAGAAGGAAACTCTGCAATCAAGGCGTCAGCAGGACTGTGCTCCCTCCGAGGTTCTAGGGATGAACCTATTGCATGCCTCCATCCTAGCTTCAGGTAATCCTGGCAGTCCTTGGCATGCCTTCACCTGAAGCTACAGTATTCCAATTTCTCCTTCCAGCCTCACCTGGAATCACACGTCTTCCGTGTGTGTGTCTATCTGTCTGTCTGTCTGTCTGTCTGAATTTCCCTCTTAAGGACAGCAGTTATATTGGATTTATGGCCCACCCTAATCCAGTATGACTTCATCTTAACTTGATTACATCTACAAAGACCCTTATTTCCAAATAAGGTCACATTCACAGGTTGCAGGTGGACATGAATTTTAATGTTGGGGGTGACATTGTTCAACACAGTACAGCCCTTTGGAACTCATCTCATCAGGCTGTACCTATGATCATGCCTCCTATAACATATTAAGAAATGAGTCGAATTATAGCAACAACAAAATGTTTTCCTGCTCTTAGTTACTTTAATTTGAAAAATTGAGTTTCAAACAATTGCCTTATTTCTATGAAGATTTTAGTGAAACTACAGAAAGCAGAAAACAAAAAATTGTTGATACTTTGTTCAAAAAAAACACTAGACTTTCCTCATCTATCTGCATATTCAGCAGAAAGTGCTGCTGGGAAAATCCTGGGAAATTCCATTCTGTTTATAAACTTCTATAATACGGACTTGATAATAGCAGAGCTGCAAGTCAAAATGAATTTACATTTGACTGTATTCAGTTTTACCACTGCATAAAAGGAAGGAAGGATGTCGTAAAAGCTGCAGGCAGTTCAGAGAAATATTATTGAAAAAGGCGGCCGGGCGCAGTGGCTCACGCCTGTAATCCCAGCACTTTGGGAGGCCAAGGCGGGCAGATCACCTGAGGTCAGGAGTTCAAGACCAGCCTGACTAACATGGTGAAATCCCGTCTCTACTAAAAATACAAAATTAGCCAGGCATGGTGGTGCATGCCTGTAATCCCAGCTACTCAGGAGGCTGAAGCAGGAGAATTGCTTGAATGATCATGCCATTGCACTCCAGCCTGGGCAACAAGAAAGAAACTCCATCTCAAAAAATAAAAAAATAATAAAATAAACATGAAAAAGGCAACAGAAGATTAAAAAAAAAAACCTACCATATCACAGGACAGAAGGAAACATGTTATTGCAATTTTTTATTAAATATAGGTAATATCTGGTTAATAATACTATTTATGTTCTTTTAAAATATGTATTTTTCTTAAGAATATATAATAATAGAACCTGCAAAATTTAAATACCTAATATAGAGTTAAAAAAAGATAAAACAAATTGCTGTATCAAAGGACAAGAAGAAAGTTATTAAAATATTGTCATATTTTGCTCACACATGTTTAGTTAGTCCTATTGTTAATTACTTCTAATTGCATTATTTATTAGTCCCATTGTTTATTTACAAATTTTTAAGTAATTTAAATAGTTAATTTAAATTTATGTTTGTGTGCATATAAGATCTCTGATAGTCTACTTTTGAGAATAATTTAGTAAAGCTTTTAAATAAAAATCAGAAGTAACTCCATTAATTGCATTATATATCATAATTACATTTTTCTGTTTATTTAATGAAATAAAACTTCATAGCTGACTAAAAAAAAATTCTGTTTTTTTGAGACAGGGTCTCGCTCTGTAACCCAGGCTGGAGTTCAGTGGCATGATCTCATCTCACTGCAACCTCTGCCTCCCAGGTTCAAGCAACTCTCATGCCTCAGCCTCCTGAGTATCTGGGACTGCAGGCATGGGCCACCAAACCCAGCTAATTTTTTGTATGTTTAGTAGAGATGGGGTTTCACCATGTTGGCCAGGCTGGTCTTGAACTCCTGAGCGCAAGTGATCCACCCACCTCAGCCTCCCAAAGTGCTGGGATTACAGGCGTGAGCCACTGCACCCGGCCACTAGCAACCATTTTTTAATAGGAGGTAGATAATATTTAACACTTTATGAAAGTTGACTGTAAGTGAAATATTTCATGATATAATTTTATAAAATAGGTACTAACTATATTATTTAATACAGTACACCCAATCTGAAAGAAATCACATAAAAGTTTTATCTATAGCTTTTATTTAATATATCTTTTTAAAACTGGTAATCTCAGAAATCATTCCAGTTACAGTGGAAGAATTGTTGTTATTAACTTACACTGATTTGCTATTCAAAAAGGTTTTTTCTTCCTAGCTAATAACATAGCCCTAAGGATGAGAATAGAGAAAAAGGTTCTCTAATGTTTAAATACATTTAAAAAGTCATTTTTTTTTTTTGGCCAGGCGTAGTGGCTTATGCCTGTAATCCTAGCACTTTGGAAGACTAACGAGGGAGGATCTCTTGAGCCTAAGAGTTTGAGACCAGCCTGGGCAAAGTAGTGAGACCCGGTCTCAATTTTTTTTTTAATTAACTCTAAAAAAAAATCTTTTTCTCATTAATAGTCAATAATTTACCAATCAATATCCTCACCAATATTTCTCACTAATCATCTCTTTGTTCTCCTGGACTCTCCCCCAAGAGTGATGCATTCTTGACAAAAAAAAGTCTGGGTCTTTCAACGAAAATTGTCAGTGATCTACCACCCTACTCTACAATGTATAGGAACTGAAAACACTTCAATGTGGGTCAAATGCTGACTTCCCTTGAATGGAAATATACTCAGAACAGAGAAATGTTAAATGTTTCTGTGTCTTGATCAGAGGTGACAGGGAACTGCCCTGTGGCTTAGCCCAGGTGGTATTGAGATCCTCAGGGCCACCCTGAGATTGGAGGGGGTGAGAGATTGCCTTTGTTTTGCACAGTGAGAGAAGAAACTTTGTGATGTGAATTTTAGGAAACCCCATGTAGATGTTGAGGATCTGGTAGCTAATTCCCTTCAACTCTTTTCTCCTTGGTAAGCCATCGCAGTTTGAAAACCACTGGTACAGGAGAGAAGGAGAGCAGACAGACTGAGCACATGTGGTATGAGGGAGGGCTGCACTGAGGGTCTCCTGAGATTAACCAGGAAGAATCTGAAGTGAAACTGGTCATATGTTTCCATCAGCCGCAGTCTGCTGTGCTGATACAGGCATGAAGGAGTCAGAGATCTGGATTTAACCAGGGTTGTAGATTTAACCAAGCAAGTAGTTTTGAGAATTTAAAGATGTGATACAGGCCAACAATGAACAATAGGGAAGAAAAAAAAAAAAGACCATATAAGAAAAGAAACGTCATCACAGTACACCACTAGATTGTGCAGCAACACGTTTGTATAAACTTCAGCTCCTGACTCATCATGCTCTCTAAGATCAGCCAGTCATGTTCCTGATAAGTCCATTACCCATGCAGAAGCATAAGGGATTTAAAGGTATATGCCAGGGAGTGATTAAAATGATTGTGGCCAGACGTGGTGGCTCACACCTGTAATCCCAGTACTTTGGGAGGCCAAAGCGGGCAGATTGCTTGAGCCCAAGAGTTTAAGACCAGCCAGGGCAACATAATGAGACCCCATCTCAAAAAAAAAAAAAAAAAGATAAAAAGAAAAAAAAGCCGGATGTGGTGGCATGCACCTGTAGTCCCCACTACTTAGGTGGCTGAGGTGGGAAGATCACCTGAGCCCTGGAGTTTGAGGCTGTATGAGCTGTGATGGCGCCACCGCACTTGAGCCTGGGTGACAGAGTGAGACCTTGTCTCAAAAAAAATGTTTTTTTAATGATTGAACATGGCATTTTAGCTAGGTAAGAAAGGCTGTGAGGACCCTAGGGGAGGGGAGAAGGTTCAGTGAAAAGGTAATAGCATCAGTGAATTAAAAGTTTAGTGGGAAGGAAAAGTTATTAGAGGTGGAGTCCCATAGGAAGTGAGCTGAGAAAATAATGTTCAGCGAACAGGGTGATTAAAATGGAAATTAAGGAGGATTTTCTGTGATTGATAATAAAATCTAGGGACTGCTAATAGAAATATAAAGTGAGTAACATATGTAATTTAAAATATTCTACCAGCCACATTTAAAAAAGTAAAATGAAACAGGTGAAATTTCTTTTGATAACATTTTACTTAACACATATATGCAAAGTACTATCATTATAATATGCAATCAATATAAAAATTCATTAGATATTTCATATTCTTTACTTTTTGAAACCACATCTTCAAAATTCAGTGTATATTTTACACTTGGGTACATCTCATTTTGACCTAGACACATTCAAGGCTGCAGTGAGCTATGATCACATTGCTGCACTGAAGTGTGGCCAACAGAGCAAGACCCTGTCTCTTATAAAAGAAACAAAAAAACAGGGGGAGGGGTGTTTGTAAGATTAGTAATTTGAAACTAACCTAGATTTGATACAAATGATAGAATTCGTGGACAAGGGTATTAATGCAGCCATTATTATAATTATCATCAAGAAGCTAGAGAAAAGGTTGAGCATGTAATTGAAGACATGGAAGTTATAAAAAAGATCCATATCAAACTTTTAGAGATGAAAACTAAAATGTCTAATATGAAAAACACACAGGATGGGATTAATGTCAGATTGCACATTGCAGAAGAAATGATTAGTGAATTTGAAGACATTTTCATAGAAACTATCCAAAATGAAACACACAGAGAAAAAAATATTAAAAAAAGAAATGAACAGAATATCAGCAAGCTGTGGGACAAGGGGCCTAATACATGTGTAACTAAAGTTCCCACAGAAGAAAAATGAGGGAAGAGAGAATCGTATGTCAAGTAATAATGGATGAAATTTTCCAAATTTGATAAAATGATAAACCAACAAATTCACAATGCTCACTGTATTAGTCCATTCTCAAGCTGCTATAAACTGCCCCAGACTGGGTAATTTAGAAGTAAAGAGGTTTAATTGACTCACAGTTTCACACTGCTGAGGAGGCCTCAGGAAACTTACGATCATGGTGGAAGGCAAAGGAGAAGCAGGCGCTTTCTTCACAGGGCAGCAGGATGGAGGGAGTACAAGCAGGGGAAATGCCAGATACTTATAAAACCATCAGATCTCATGAGACTCATTCCCTATCAGAACAGGATGGGGGAACCACCCCATGATCCGATTATTCCACCTGGTCCCACCCTTGACACGTGAGGATTATGGGGATTACAATTCAGGATGAAATTTTGGGTGGGGACACAGAACCAAACCATATCACTCACCAAACCTCAAGCATAAGAAACTTGGAAGAAACTACATCAAGGCTCAGAGTAATAAAATTGCTTAAAAATAGTAATAAAGAGAGAATCATAAAAGCAGATAGAGGCAAAACAACATCACATGCAGAAAAACAAAGAACAGTATGACAGATTTCGTTTTAGAAACAATGCAAGTGTAGCATGGCAAATGAAGGTGCAAGACAATGGAGCAACATTTTTTAATGTCCTGAAGGGAGGGAAGGAGAGGGAATCACTGGCAACACAAAATCCTTTACCCAGCCAAAATCTCTGTGAAAAAACGGAAGGCAAAACAGGGACCCTTTTTAGACATACAAAAGCCAAAAGAATTTATCATCACCAGACCAGCACTACAAGAAATGCTAACAGTAATCCTTCAAGCAGAAGGAAAATGCTACCAGATATAAATCTGCAACTACATAAAGGAATGAAGTATAGTGGAGATGGTAACTATGTGGGTAAATATAAAGTTTTTTCTTATTATTTAAATCTCTTTAAAAGATAACCAACTCTTTAAAGCAAAAAATAAGACAATGTATTATCTATTTGGAAACTAAATGTAAATATAACACATATATATAACACATATAGAAATATAGGACAACAAAAGCACAAAGGACAAGAGGGGAGAAAAGGAAGCATGTTTTACATTTCTTATATTCTACGTGTAGTGGTATATTACTCAAAGATAGATTGTCATAAGTTAAAGATGTCTACTCTATGCCTTAGCAATCACTGAAATAATACAGCAAAGAGTTATACTAATAAACCAACAAAGGAGATATAATTTAATCATAAAAATAATTTAATCCAAGACAATGAAGAAAAATAGGAAAAAGGGAATAAAGAACAGGTAGGATGAATAGAAAACAAATAATATATAATCCCAACCATATCAACATAATATTAAATTAAAGTGGTCTAAACAATTAAAAGGCGAAGATATAAGACTGGTTAAAAAGGCAAGATGCAAATCTATTCTAACTACTAGGGACCAGCTTTATATATAAGGACACAAATAGATAAAAAGTAATAGGATAAAAGATAGATCTATCATGGTAACACAAATCAAAAAAAGTCTGGGGGCTATATTAGTATCAGACAAAGTAGATTACAGAGCAAAGAATATTACTAGGGATAAAAAGGGTCATTTAATTTTGACAAAATGATCAGTTTATCAAGAGGCTATAACAATCCTAAATGTTTATGTCCCTACTAACAGAACTTGCAAACACATGTAGAGAAGCTGATAAAATTGCAAAGAGAAATAAACAAGTATACAATTATAGTTGGAGATTTTGACACCCTTCTTTCAATAATTGGTAGGATTAAGTGGACCTAAAATCAGTAAGATATAGAAGATTTGAACAAAACTATCAACCAACTTGACCTAATTGACATTTATAGAACTCCCCATGTAACAACAACTGAATACATATTCTTTACATGTGCATCTAAAACATTTACCAGGATAGACCATAGTCTGGGCACTAAAAAGTACAAATATGTTTAATAGAATTCAAGTCATACAAAGTATATTCTCTGATCACAATGGAATTGAATTAGAAAGCAACAACAGAAAGATCTCTGCAAAATCCCCAATTATTTGAAAACTAAGCCATACACTTCTAAATACCTCATGTGTCAAAGAATAAATGAAAAGGGAGCTTAGGGGTGGGAGAGGTATCGGCAGGGGCAGCGCTGCCGCCGGGGCCTGGGGCTGACCCGTCTGACTTCCCGTCCGTGCCGAGCCCACTCGAGCCGCAGCCATGTCTGGGGACGAGATGATTTTTGATCCTACTATGAGCAAGAAGAAAAAGAAGAAGAAGAAGCCTTTTATGTTAGATGAGGAAGGGGATACCCAAACAGAGGAAACCCGGCCTTCAGAAACAAAAGAAGTGGAGCCAGAGCCAACTGAGGACAAAGATTTGGAAGCTGATGAAGAGGACACTAGGAAAAAAGATGCTTCTGATGATCTAGATGACTTGAACTTCTTTAATCAAAAGAAAAAGAAGAAAAAAACTAAAAAGATATTTGATATTGATGAAGCTGAAGAAGGTGTAAAGGATCTTAAGATTGAAAGTGATGTTCAAGAACCAACTGAACCAGAGGATGACCTTGACATTATGCTTGGCAATAAAAAGAAGAAAAAGAAGAATGTTAAGTTCCCAGATGAGGATGAAGCTCTAGAAGATGAAGACAACAAAAAAGATGATGGTATCTCATTCAGTAATCAGACAGGCCCTGCTTGGGCAGGCTCAGAAAGAGACTACACATACGAGGAGCTGCTGAATCGAGTGTTCAACATCATGAGGGAAAAGAATCCAGATATGGTTGCTGGGGAGAAAAGGAAATTTGTCATGAAACCTCCACAAGTCGTCCGAGTAGGAACCAAGAAAACTTCTTTTGTCAACTTTACAGATATCTGTAAACTATTACATCGTCAACCCAAACATCTCCTTGCATTTTTATTGGCTGAATTGGGTACAAGTGGTTCTATAGATGGTAATAACCAACTTGTAATCAAAGGAAGATTCCAACAGAAACAGATAGAAAATGTCTTGAGAAGATATATCAAGGAGTATGTCACTTGTCACACATGCCGATCACCGGACACAATCCTGCAGAAGGACATGCGACTCTATTTCCTACAGTGCGAAACTTGTCATTCTAGATGTTCTGTTGCCATTATCAAAATTGGCTTCCAGGCTGTCATGGGCAAGCGAGCACAGCTCCGTGCCAAAGCTAACTAATTTGCTAATCACTGATTTTGCAAAGCTTGTTGTGGAGATGTGGCTGGACAGGTTTGCCATCAGAGTGGATATACCATTGTATTAAAAACAAGATAAAAAAGCTGCCAAGATTTTTGGCGAGTGGTTGGTTGGTCTGAAGTCCTTGCAAGACGCTGATGCTCAAGCTGTTGACATACTCATTGCCTACTTTAACACCTGTCAGAGAAACGTGATATGGGGTAAGGAGGTGCTTTTTTAAAATAGTTCATAGACTTCTGTAAAATGCAAGATAAATTAAAGTTATTATAACAGTGAAAAAAAAGAAAAGGGAACTTAGGAAGTATTTAGAACTAAATGAACATGCAAGACACAATATTCAAAATTTGCGGAATGCAACTAAAGTTGAACTTAGGAAGAAATTCATAGCGCTGAACATTCATATTTGAAAAAAAAAAAGCCTTCAATCATTGACATGAGAGCTCTCATCTTAAGAAGAAACTTGAAAAGGAAGGCCAAATGAAACCTAAAGTAAGTAAAAGAAAGGAAATATCAAAAATCAAAGTAAGCCAGACATGGTGGTGCATGCCCATCATCCTAGCTATTCAGGAGGCTGAGACAGGAAGAGCACTTGCGCCCAGGAGCTCAAAGTTGCAATGAGCTATGATTGTGCCACTGCACTCCAGCCTGGGTGACACAGTGAGACCCTGTCTCAAAATAATAATAATAATAATAAAGTCAGAGTAGATATCAGTGACAGAAAACAGAAAACAATACAGCAGATCGATGAAACCAAAAGTTGGTTTGAGAAAACAAATACAATTATGAAACCTCTAATTATACTGATAAGGAAAAAAGAGAGAAGACCCAAATTATCAGTATCAGGAATGAGAAGAGTGGCATCAATACATATTTTATAGGTAATAAAAGGACAATAAGGACTACTATGAACATCTTTATGCCAATAATTCAACTTATACAAAATGGACAAATTCCTTGGAAGACATAAACTGCCAAAGCTCACTTAAGAAAAAATAGGTAACCAGAATAGCTATTTACCAGAAAGAAAGTTTTAAAAACTTTCCAACAAAGAAACTCCATGTCTAGGTGGCTTCACTTGGGAATTCTACCAAACATTGAAGAGAGAAACTCTATACAAATTCTCCCAGAAAATTGAAGAGAAAGAATACTTTCCAACTCATTCTAGAAGGTCAGTATTACTCTGATACCAAAACTAGACAAAGACTTTACAAAGAAAGAAAAGCAATGACTAATGTTATTATGAATGTACATGTAAAAATTCTTAATAAAATTTTAGCAGATTGCATCTGGCAATATTTTTAAAAGATAATATATCATGGCTAAGTTAGTTTATCCCAAGAATTTGTTCAGTTTACTAGTAGAAAAATCAATGCAATTCAACATAATAGTAAACTTAAAAAGAAAAACCATGTGATCATCTCAGTAGGTACAGAAGAAGCATTTGGCAAAATTGAATGTTTATTCCTGACAAAAATTCTCAGGAATAGAAGGAAACTTAAAATCTTATAAAGGGTATTCATTAAAAAATCTACCAAAAGCATTATACTTAATGTTGAAAGACTGACTGCTTTCCCCATCTCTGATAAAAAATAAAGCAAAGATGTCTACTCTCACCACTTCTACACAGCATTATGCTGGAGGCTCTAACCAGTGCAATAAGACAAAAAAAAAAGAAATAATAGGCTCCTAGAATGAAAGAAAATGATAAACTGTCTTTATTCACAGATGACATGCTCTTCTATGTATAAAATTCAGTGGAATTCACAGAACAGCTACCGGAAATAAGCAAATTTAGCAAAGTTTCAGGATACCAAATCAAAATACGAAAATTACTTGTATTTGGCTGGGCTTAGTGTCTCACACCTGTAATCTCAGTACTTTAGGGGGCCAAGGCAGGTAGATTGCTTGAGCCCATGAGTTCAAGACCAGCCTGGGCAACATGGCGAAATCCCGTCCAGTCTGGGTGAAAGAGGGAGACCCCAATTGGCCGGGCACAGTGGCTCATGCCTGTAATCCCAATACTTTGGGAGGCCGAGGCAGGTGGATCACGAGGTCAGGAGTTCAAGACCAGCCTGGCCAAGATGGTGAAACCCCGTCTCTACTAAAAATAAAAAAGTTAGCCAGGTGTGATGGCGGGCACCTGTAATCCCAGCTACTCGGGAGGCTGAGGCAGAGAATTGCTTGAACCCAGGAGGCGGAGGTTGCAGTGAACCGAGATCAGGCCACTGCACTCCAGCCTGGGTGACAGAGCGAGACTCCATCTCAAAAAAAAAAAAAAAATTAACTGTACTTCTGTACACTAATGGCAAATAATCAGAAATTGAAATTTAAGCACTCTTTACAGTAGCATCAAAAAATATGAAATACTTTAGGAATAAGTCTGACAAAAGATGTTCAAGACCTGTACACTAGAAACTGCAAAACATGGCTGGGCGCCGTGGCTCAAGCCTGTAATCGCAGCACTTTGAGAGGCCGAGGTGGGCAGATTGCTTGAGCCTAGTTTGAGACCAGCCTGGGCAAAATGGCAAAACCATATCTCTACAAAAAAATACAAAAACTGGCCGGGTGCAGTAGCTCACATCTGTAATCCCAGCACTTTGGGAGGCTGAGGTGGGCGGATCACCTGAGGTCAGGAGTTCGAGACCAGCCTGACTAACATGGAGAAACCCCGTCTCTACTAAAAAAAAAAAATACAACTTTAGCCAGGCATGGTGGCACATGCCTGTAATCCCAGCTACTCGGGAGGCTGAGGCAGGAGAATCACCTGAACTCGGGAGGCGGAGGTTGCGGTGAGCCAAGACCACGCCATTGCACTCCAGCCTGGGCAACAAAAGCAAAACTCCGTTTCAAAAAAAAAAAAAAATTAAAAGTTAGCCACGCATGTTCACAGGCCCCTGTAGTCTCAGCTACTTGGGAGGCTGAGGCAGGGGGATCACTTGAGCCCAGGAGGTCGAGTCTGCAGTGGGCCATGCGCTCCAGCCTGGGTGACAGAGCAAGACCCTGTCTCAAAAAAGAAGAAAAAAAGTCCGGACACGGTGGCTCACGCCTGTAATCCCAGCACTTTGGGAGGCTGAAGGGGGTGGATCACAAGGTCAGGAGTTCAAGACCAGCCTGATCAATATGGTGAAACCCCATCTCTACTAAAAAAATACAAAATGAGCCAGGCGTGGTGGCGTGTGCCTGTAATCCCAGCTACTCGGGAGGCTGAGGCAGGAGAATCGCTTGAACCCAGGAGGCAGAGGTTGCAGTGAGCCAAGATCATGCCACTGCACTCCAGCATGGGTGACAGAGCGAGACTCCATCTCAAAAAAAAAAAAAAAAAAAAAAGAGGAAAAAAGAAAAAGAAAAGACACTACAAAACACTGCAAGATAAATTATTAAAGGAGATCTAAATAAATGAAGAGATATATAATCTTCATGGGTGAGAAAGCTCAATATTGACAAAATGTCAAATCTCTCCCAAATTCAATGTAATTGCAATCAATAGTTCAGCAGGCTTTTCTGTAGAATTTGACAAGCTGATTTTAACATTTATATGGAAATGCAAGACAAAAAAACAATAAAAAGCACCCAAAAACCTAGACTAGCCCAAACAACTCTTTTTTTTGACAGAGTCTCATTCTGTCACCCAGGCTGGAGCATAGTGGCACAATCATACCTCATTGCAGCTTCAAATTCCTGGGCTCAAGGGATTTTCCTGCCTCAGCCTCCTGAGCAGCTGGGACTACAGGTGCATGCCACCACACCAGGCTAATTTTTTTCATTTTTTGCAGAGGTGGGTCTCTTTGTGTGGCCAAGGGTGGTCTCAAACTCCTGGGCTCAAGAAATCCTGGCACCTTGGCCTCCCAAAGCACTGAAATTACAAGCCTGAGCCACCACGCCCAACCAACAACTGACAGAGAAGAACCAAGTTAGAAGACATACATTACTTGAATTCAAGAGTTATTATAAATCTACAGTAATCAAGATATTTTGAAATTGACATTAAGATTGATGAATAAAATAGATTAATGTAACATGTTAGAGCCCAGAAATATACTGATTTATTTGGTCACTTGATTTTTGGCAAAGGTACAAAGGCAATTCAGAGTAGAAAAAACATTTTTTAACAAATAGTGCTGGCTGGGCACAGTGGCTCACGCCTGTAATCCCAACACTTTGCAGGGCCGAGGCAGGCAGATCATCTGAGGTCAGGATTCTTTCTTTTTTTTTGAGACAGAGTCTCGCTCTGTCGCCCAGGCTGGAGTGCAGTGGCACAGTCTCGGCTCACTGCAAGCTCCGCCTCCCGGGTTCACGCCATTCTCCTGCCTCAGCCTCCAGAGTAGTTGGGACTATAGGCGCCCGCCACGACGCCCAGCTAATTTTTTGTACTTTTAGTAGTGATGGGGTTTCACTGTGTTAGGCAGGATGGTCTCGATCTCCTGACCTTGTGATCTGCCCGCCTTGGCCTCCCAAAGTGCTGGGATTTTACAGGCGTGAGCCACCACACCCAGCAAGATCAGGATTTCAAGACCAGCCTGGCCAACATGGTGAAACCCTGTCTCTACTAAAAATACAAAAAAATTAGCTGGGTGTGGTGGCGGGCGCCTATAATCAATCCCAGCTACTTGGGAGGCTGAGGCAAGAGAATCACTCGAACCTGGGAGGCAGAGGTTGCAGTGAGCTGAGATCGCACCATTCCACTCCAGCCTGGGCAACAAGAGGGAAATTCCATCCCAAAAAAAAAAAAACAAAATAGTGCTGGAGTAATTGGAAAACCATACGTTTTTAAAAATAGACTTCAGGCCAGGCAAGGTGGCTCATGACTATAATACCAGCACTTTGGGAGGCCAAGGCAGGTGGATCACAAGGTCAAGAGTTCAAGACCAGCCTGGCCAAGATGGTGAAATCCCATCTCTACTAAAAATACAAAAAATTAGCCAGGCATGGTGGTGGGTGCCTGTAATCCCAGCTACTCGGGAGGCTGAGGCAGGGGAATTGCTTGAACCCGGGAGGTGGAGGTTGCAGTGAGCCGTGATCACACAACTGCAGTCCAAGCCTGGGCGACAGAGCGAGACTTCGTCTCAAATAAATAAATAAATAAATAAACAAACTAAAAATAGACTTCAATTCATACCTTGTACCATATAGAAAAATTAAGGAAGATGGATAGCAGACAAAAATGTAAAACCTAAACATATGAAACTTCTGGAAGAAAATAGAAAATCTTTTTGGTCTAGGATTGGGCAAAAATTTCTTACATATAAAACACACAGGTCAGGTGTGGTAGCTCACACCTGTAATCCCAGCACTTTGGGAGGCTGAGGCGGGTGGATCCCTGAGGTCAGGAGTTTGAGACCAGCCTGGCCAACATGGAGAAACCCCATCTCTACTAAAAATACAAAAAAAAATTAGCCAGGCATGGTGGCGGGCACCTGTAATCCCAACTATCTGGGAGGCTGAGGCAGGAGAATCACTTGAACCCGGGAGGTGGAGGTTGCAGTGAGCCGAGAACACGCCTTTACACTCCAGCCTGAGTGACAAGAACAAAACTCTAAAAAAAAAAAAAAAAAAAAAAAAAAAAGATATAAAACACACAATAGTGATTTATAAAAGCAAAAATTTGATCTAGACTTCATCAAAATTAAAAGTTTCTGCTTTTGAAAGACACTTTAAGAGAATGAAAAGGCAATATATATGGATTTATTTATTAGTATATACATATTTATACTATATATGTGTGTGTATATATATATTTTATATATAGTCCTATGCTACATAACATTTAAGTCAAGGACAGATTGCAGACAGTCAGTGGTCTCATAAGATTATATCATATTTTTACTGTACCTTTTCTATATTTAGATATGTTTATTTATTTTTGAGACAGAGTCTCGCTATGTCACCCAGGCTGGAGTGTAGTGGCATGATCTTGGCTCACTGCAACCTCTGCCTCCCAGATTCAAGCGATTCTCATGCCACAGCCTCTCGAGTAGCTGGGATTACAGGCATGCACCACCACGCCCAGCTAGAGACAGGGTTTCATCATGTTGGCCAGGCTTGTCTTGAACTCCTGGCCTCAAGTGATTTATCTGCCTTAGCCTCCCAAAGTGCTGGGATTGCAGATCTGAGCCACCGAGCCTGGCCTAGATATGTTTAGATACACAAATACTTATCATTGTGTTATAATTGCCTATGGTATTCAGTACAGTAACATGCTATTGAGGTTGGTAGCCTAGGAGCAACAGGCCATACCATGCAGCCTAGGTGTATAGTAGGCTATGCCATCTAGGTTCGTGTAAGTTCACTCTAGGATGTTCCCACAAGGATGAAATCACAAAATGACACATTTCTCAGAAAGTATCCCCACCATTAAGCAATATAAGACTGTATATAAACCCTCCCATCTAAATAATTAGAAAGGAAATTTTTAAACAGTCCCAATATTTGAACAAAGACTTCACCAAAGAAAATATATGGACAGCAAATGAAAAAAGCACTCAAAATCATTAATCATTGGGGAAATTAACATTAAAACTACAATGAGATAATGCAACAGACCTAATAGAATGGCTAAAATTTAAAAGACTGCCTATGGAGAATCGCTTGAACCTGGGAGGCGGAGACTGTGGTGAGCCGAGATCCCGCCATTGCATTCCAGCCTGGGCAACAAGAGCGAAACTCCATCTCAAAACAAAACAAAACAAAACAAAAGACTGCCTATACCTGGACTAAGTGAGGAAGTAGACGAACTGGAATTTTCATATGCTGCTGGTAAGAACATAAAACATACAATCACATTGCCAGTGTCTTAAAAAGTGAAACATACATATACCAAATGACTCCTATGTGTTTACCCTATGTGTTACTCCTATGTGTTTACCCTATGTGTACCCTAAGTGAAACATACATATATCAAAACACTCCTGTGTGTTTACCCAAGAAAACAAAAGTATATGTCCATAGAACGTCTTTTTGTTTTTTTTAATTTATTTTTATTTTATTTTATTTTAATTTATTTTATTAGAGACGGGGTCTCACTCTGTTGCCCAGGCTGGTCTCAAACTTCTGGGCTCAAGTGATCCTCCCACCTCAGCCTCTTGAGTAGTTAGGACTACAGGCACATGCCACCACACCCAGTTAATTTTTTTTATTTTTGTATTTTTTGTAGAGACAGAGTCTCACTATGTTACCCAGGCTGATCTCAAACACCTGACCTCAAGTGATCCTCCTGCCTTAGCCTCCCAAAGCATTAAAATTACAGGCATGAGTCACTGCACCCAGCCTGAAGTCGTACATGTGAATGTTAATAACAGCTCCATTTGTAACAGCCAGAAACTGAAGACAACCCAAATGTCCATCAACAAGTGAACAGATAAATTGTGGTATATCCATGCAATGGACTACTGCCTGGCAATAAAAAGGAATGAACTGTTGATTTTGCAACATGATTAAATATGAAATTATGATGCTGAGTTAAAGAAGCTAGACAAGGCCGGGCTCGGTGGCTCATGCCTGTAATCCCAGCACTTTGGGAGGCCGAGGCGGGCAGATCATGAGGTCCGGAGATCGAGACCATCCTGGCTAACACAGTGAAACCCCGTCTCTACTAAAAATATAAAAAGTTAGTCGGGCATGGTTGTGGGTGCCTGTAGTCCCAGGTACTCGGGAGGCTGAGGCAGGAGAATGGCGTGAACCCGGCAGGCAGAGGTTGCGGTGAGCCGAGATCACGCCACTGCACTCCAGCCTGGGCGACAGAGCGAGACTCCATCTCAAAAAAAAAAAAAAAAAAAAAAAAAGAGGCTAGATAAAAAAGTATATACTGTATAATTCCATTGATATAAAATTGTAGAAAATACAAAGATCTATGGTGGTAAAAGGCAGATCAGTAATAGCTTAGGAATGAGAGGAAGGACAGAAGATCTTTTTAAAAAAAAAAGAGAGTTCATTTAATATTTTTGGAGGTACACCTTCACCTCCTCCTCCTTCTTTGGCCTAAGGTAAGGTAGGGAATACTTGGCTACTAACTGTTCTGTCCTAGAAGGAATGAGGAGGATGGTGGTCATTGCAGGCCATCACTTAACCTCTCTTTTTTCTGTTCCATGTCCCATGTCCGTCTCTCATATCTGCAGCCATCTAGTCCAAAATATCTAGACTTTTCCAAAAGAATCTCTTTTTGGATCTATTTTCCATGCAACATAGAGGCTTAGACTGCCTCTATCTTGATTCATCAGTCACTATTTCTCCATTGCTTTCTTCCCTCTAAAAATGTTGAACTTAATGATGGTCAGCCCTGCCTCAATTCTCTTTGTTATGGATGTAGGCTTTTCAAAATTTTATATTATTTTAATAAAGGTGTTGGGAGGAAGAGATGACAAGCATAGCTGCTTAGTTTGTAACCTTGAACAAAAAGTTATCAAATTGCATTTTAAACGACTACTCTGGCTCTTGAATGGAGAATGGATTTGATAGAGGGGACAAGAGTGAATGAAGTGACATTAGGAGACAGTTGCAGTAATCCAAGTAAAGGGTGCTAGTAGCTTGGCCTAAAGTGGTAGAAGTGGAAACAGAGAAAAGTGCATGGTGTGGAGAGTTATTCAGAATATAAAATTGACATGACTGGGTTATGAATTGGATATGGGGAAAGAAAAAAAAAAAAGAGGTTTGCCCAGGCTTCTTACTTGCCAGTGGTTATAGTCACTAAGATAGGGACTGAAAGAGGACAAGATTTCTGGTAGAAAATCATTAATATAGTTTTAGAGCTATCGAGCTTGTATCATTGATACATCCAAAAGAAGAAGTCAAGGAGGCTCATGCTATGTGAATTCAGAGTTGAGGTCTGAGAAGACATGTATTAGGGAGTTATTGATGGACAATGAGCCAAGCTGAATGGATGAAATCTCTTAGAAAATGATTATGAATAAGAAGAGGAAAGGGTTGTAGTATACTGAAAAAAAATAGCCACATATGCCTCTTGCCAAATTTGCATGACTCTGCAATGTGATTTTTGTCTCCCACTAAAAGGTGGAGTTTATTTCTCCACCCCTGGATTCTGAACTGGCCTTGTGTCTTGTTCTGACCAATAGAATATGGTGAAAGTGATGAGGGGGAATCTGAGCCTAGAAGTCAAGAGGACTGGCAGCTTCTGCTCTTGCCCTTGAGACCACCATGTTAAGAAGCCTAGATTAACCCTTTGAGAAGGTAAACGACAATGAGACAAAGGCTCAGCCAACAGCCACCACCAACACCCATACATGAGAATAAAGTCATAGATTACAGGGGCCCCAGTCAGCCACCAGACAAGTACATGAGTGACCACACATAGGAGCAGCAGAAGCCCTCAGCCAAGCCAACCTCAACTTGCTACCCCATTGAATCATGATCAAATAAAATATTTGCCATTTTTTTAGCCTCTAAGTTTCTTTTTTTTTTTTCTCTTTTGTTTTTAGACAGAGTCTCGCTCTGTCACCCAGGCTGGAGTGCAGCGGCATGATCTTGGCTCACTGCAACTTCCACCTCCAGGGTTCAAGCAATTCTCCTGTCTCAGCCTCCCAAGTAGCTGGGACTACAGGTGCACACCACCACACCTGGCTAATTTTTGTATTTTTTAGTAGAGACAGCTTTTCACCACGTTGGCCAGGCTGGTCTTGAACTCCTGACCTCAGGTGATTCGCCCGCCTTGGCCTCCCAAAGTGCTGGGATTACATTTAGCCACTAAGTTTCAAGATTGGTTGTTATGCAGTGATAGACCACTGATGCAGTAGCCGAGGAGACTTGAGAAACTCCAATATTTAAATATTTACTAGAGAAATGTAAATTGGCAAAAAAAAAAAAAGAAAAAAAAAAAGAGGTAGTCAGAAACAGTAAGAAAATCAGAAAGGTACAATGTCACAGATACAAGATATAGACCCACAGAAACAAAGCAAAATGTTTTCAGAATAAAGGAATACAATGTGTCAAATATAGCTGAAAGGTCAAATAAGATGAGATGAAAAGTTACTTTTGAATTTAATGACATGAAGGTTGTGGTAACACAGTGACAACTGGGGCAGAGGGAAAACTTATAAGCTCAGCTTTGGACAAATAGAGTTTGAGATGTCTATGGGATATTTAAGTATATTTGTCCAGCATGTAGTTAGATAATATGTGACCTGAAGCTCAGTTTAGGGCCAGTCAGCATAAAGGTGGTCGATAAAACCGTCAGTGTAAACGAGATCACCAGGGAGACCATGTCGACGGGTGGGAGGGGATCTTAGCGCACAGCAAGGTTTTATAGCGTGAGCACAGGTAGAAAACACACAAAGAAGCTCATGAAGAGGAGAACTGGGAGAATGAGGTTCATGAAAGACAAGAGAAAAGTGTTTCAGAAAGAAACGAGAAAGACCAGGCATGGTGGCTCATGCCTGTAATCCCAACACTTTGGGAGGCCAAGGTAGGAGGATCATTTGAGCCCAGGAGTTCAAGACCAGCCAGGGCAACACAGGAAGGCCTCATCTCTACAAAAATATAAATAAAAAAATTACCCAGGCATGGTGGCACACACTATAGTCCCAGCTATTCCGGTGGCTGAGGAGGGAGGATAGCTTAAGACTGGGAGGTGGAAACTGCAGTGAGTTGTGACGGCGCCACTGCACTCCAGCCTGGGCCACAGAGCAAGACCCTGTTGATGCAGGGTAAGTGAGTGCCAAAGTGGACCTTAGCTCACTGGGTTCTCGGTTTTGCCCAGGAAAGAATTTAAGGGCAAGCCAAGGGTGGAAGAAAACAGCTTTATTGAAGAGGCAGTGTTACAGCTCTGTGACTGCTCCTGCAAAGCAGGAGCATTAGGCAGAGAATAGCAGCTCAGGGCATTTTGCAGTCATAGTTACACTCATTTTTACTTGCATGCAGATTAAGGGATGGTTTATGCAGAAATTTCTAGGGAAGGGGTAGTAACCATTGGGCCATTTCCACGGAAAGGGGTGGTAACTACCAAGTGTTGCTATGGCAATAGTAAATTGACATGGCACACAGTGGGTATATCTGATTGAAAGCTGATTTTATCCTGGCCCTGTTTTAGCTAGTTCTCAATCTGGTCCAGTGTCCAAGCCCTGCCTCTCGAGTCGAGTCCTGCCTCCTACCTCACCATCTAAAAAAAAAAAAAGAGGCCGGACGCGGTGGCTTACGCCTGTAATCCCAGCACTTTGGGAGGCAGGCGGATCACAAGGTCAGGAGATCGAGACCATCCTGCCTAACACGGTGAAACCCCGTCTCTACTAAAAATACAAAAAATTAGCCGGGCATGGTGGCGTGCGCCTGTAGTCCCAGCTACTCGGGAGGCTGAGGCAGGAGAATGCAGTGAACCCACTGCAAGGAGGCGGAGCTTGCGGTGAGCCGAGATCGAGCCACTGCACTGCAGCCTGGGCGACAGAGCGAGACTCCGTCTCAAAAAAAAAAAAAAAAAGGAATGAGAAGTAATTATGTCAAATGCAGTAGAAAAATCTCCTAAGGCAAGAAGCAGAAGGTCCCCTCTCACATACCGCTCTGAATCTGACACTATTTGCCAGAGCAGTTTCAGCAGTGCGGTGTAAAGCCAGCAAGGGCAAGCTGAGCAATGATGAAAATTAGAATATGGATGCCCACATGTAGAGACTCTTGGTGCTCAGGACGGGAAAAAAGGGCACTTTTGAGGGCCATGTGCTTTGTTTTCTGTTTCATTTTGTTTTGAGACTGACTTAAATTTGTTTATTAATTCAGGGGAAACACCCCAGTGGAATGTTTTTCCAACATTTGCTTTCCCCAGCTTTTATGAAAAGCCCTTCAACTTGTGTTTAGTTTTAACAACATCACCTTTCATGTCAATATATAATTGGGTACAATTCCCAGGTTTATTTGCTTTTAGATTAGTTGATTCTCAATTGAGTGGGGGTGGGGCGGGGCCTTTTTCTCACAGCTATCTTCAAGTCACAGTCAGAGGAAGTATCTTGTACTTCAAGAGTTCCTAAACAGCACTAAGAAAAAAAGCAAAATTCCCTGGTCAAGTAAATTTGAGAAAGCCTACACATTAAAAAAAACTCCCTCTGAGAAACTGACAAAGTATATTAGCATACTAAAGCCTCTGAGACATTCTACATTAAACAAAAAACTTTGTTTAACAGTTTAACAAACAAACTAATTTCCTCCAGGGGCAATGCTTTTTTCTCTGCATGTTAATAACATACCAGAAGAATTTTCCCTTATCACCAGTTTAGGAAACCCTGCTGTAGCCGATTGATTCTACCTACGGATTCCTTTTGGGTTTTACAATAGAGAGATTCTTCTCCATTTTATCTCTAGATTTAGGGATTCCTGTTACCTCAGGGACTTGGAGCCCTCCCTAGACTATTTACAGTAAAGAATGGTGATGATACCACCAGTTATTACCTTAGGAACTCCTTTGTAACACCAGGGTCAGTGGGTACTTAACAAAATATTGGGCTAAGGGCAAAGATGATTGAGGAGAGCTCAGCAAGAGACATCTTTAACTAAGGGTAACAAAATTCCCAGTCCGTGAAAGGATTGTTAAGTTATTAAACACTTTCCTAGGATATGAGTTGGTGACAGGATCCAAGTGCCTCCTTATATGTCTGGAGGAAGCCATCAACTAAACTACAATGACTGTAAGATACAAAATTGGGAATGGTAACATATTTTGAAGTTCTGTTGACATAAAGAATCATGATATTAATGCCCATGGAAATGAAAGGGCGATCAACACTATGGTTTGAAAAGGGGGAAATTGTAGAGCACAGATGTGTTCGTGTGGCAGTGTGCTGTCTCTAGCAATACTCAGAGAAGAGAGAGAACAATGAAATTCTGATTGGCCCCAGTGTGAGCCCAGATGAGGTTCAGCTGCCAACTTTCTCTTTCACATCTTATGAAAGTCATTTAAGCACAACTAACTTTTTTTTTTTTTTTTTTTTTTTGAGACAGAGTCTTGCTCTGTTGCCCAGGACAGAGTGCAGTAGTGACTCAATCTCGGCTCACTGCAGCCTCCACCTCCTAGGCTCAAACGGTCCTCCTGCATCAGCCTCCCAAGTAGCTGGAATTACAGGAGTGGCCCACCATGCCCAGCTAATTTTTGTATTTTTAATAGATACGGGGGTTTCACCATATCACCCAGGCTGGTCTCGAACTCCTGGCCTCAAGTGATCCACCTGCCTCGGCCTCCCAAAGTGCTGGGATTATAGGCGTCAGCCACTATGCCCAACCCGACCAACCTTTTTTAAAATAAATATTTAAAAAATTGGTATTTCACATATATACTAGTATTTACATTTATCCACACATCAAGAATTGGAGGATAATAATCATTTCCATGAAGCCTACAATAACACTGTTTTGGCTCCAGGCTCCCTCTACTGTCTTTGAAATAATAAACAAACATTTTATGGCACCCTCCTGACTAGATTCTAATACTTATGAAAGTCAAAACAAACACAATCTCATGCAGTAAAAAGGATATCCTTAGTATGATAATCAGGAAGTTCAGTATTTGAAGAAAGTTGAAAAAATATAAACTACTTAATAAAATATTAATATAAATAAAGCCATATGAAGTTGCCATTATTTGACCATTTTTTATCCACGAATGGTAATTTCATATGGTTTGACCTAATATATGAATGTTTAATTGTCAAAGAATAGTAGGGTATGTGTGTGTTTGTGTGTGTGTGTGTGTGTGTGTGTGTGTATGTGGTGTGTTGCAGGAAAGATTGTTGCTTTTAATAAATAATATCTATTATTAAATTCCCTAAATGCATTGGTTAATTTATATGATGTTTCTTGACAAATATTAACTACAGGATATGTAAAGTCCATGTCTTATAGGAATATATGTATTATAATTTGGGTTTAGAAGAAAAAAAAATCGGCCTTCAGATTAATAAATGTGAAAATACAAAATGTTTCACATGAAAAGGTAAATGAAAGAAATGCAGCAAAGCCACATGCTTACAAGAGGAAAGCTGGAAATAAAATAGTTAACATTTTAACTGAGAGAAGGAAGTAGGGCAATTTACATAGACTTCAAACAATCTCACACTGTTGAGAAAACCAGCAAATCCTGGAAAGGATTAGAGGTAAAAGCCAAAGTCAATACACTTCAAATACCCTGGGTACTTCACAGTAACTAACAAGAAAGCATCTTCTGGGTAAGTTCACACTTCGCACGAAATAAATATTAATTCCGTTGTTGGTAGTTTTCCAAAAAGTTAATATTTTACAGTTCAGAAATTTGGTTTCTTAAATTTGCCTTTGAAGCTCGAAGAATGCCTTTTGAAGTTGTTTTCATAGTCCTAGGAATTGAGTCTAAAAATGAAAGATGCCACCAAAGATTTGTTTACAAAGATGTTCATCAAAACCTTATTTTTATAGTTTACTGTTCACCAATTAAATCTTATGTCTGGCATAATGCCTGGTATATACTAAGTACTCAACAATTTTTTTTTTTTTTTTTTTAAGACGTAGTCTCACTCTGTCGCCTGGACTGGAGTGCAGTGGCGCGATCTCGGCTCACTGCAAGCTCCGCCTCCCGGGTTCACGCCATTCTCCTACCTCAGCCTCCCGAGTAGCTGGGACTACAGGCGCTTGCCACCACGCTTGGCTAATTTTTTGTATTTTTAGTAGAGACGAGGTTTCACCGTGTTAGCTGGGATGGTCTCAATCTCCTGACCTCGTGATCCGCCCGCCTCGGCCTCCAAAAGTGCTGGGATTACAGGCGTGAGCCACCGCGTCCGGCCCTCAACAAATATTTTTGAAACAATGAATTACATAAGAAAAGTTGAAAAATTTCAAATTGGGGACTGTTTGAATAAATTATGGATAAATATTATACAGCCATTAAAAATGTTTTGAGGCTTAAATACATTTGGGAAATGTTTAAGAGGAAAAGTTAAGCAAAAAGGATGCTGGCACCGTGTACACATCTAATGCAAATGTTGTAAAGTATATATATATATATATATATATATATGTGAGCACAAAGAGGATAGAAGGAAAAATAGAATTATTGACTGAGGTTATTACTGAGTGGTAGAATTCTGGATGGTTTTAATTTCTTCTTTTGTGTTTCTCTGCATTTGTTTTATAATTAGAAAAACACTAAAAGTGATTTAAACATTTTTAACATAAGGCACTGCTAACATTCAGATCTGTAATAAAAATGAGTCCATTAAAAATCAGGGAGTTAGCCAGGCATGGTAGCTCACGCCATGTAATCCCAGCACCTTGGAAGGCCAAAGTGGGTGAATTGCTTGCGCCCAGGAGTTTGAGACCAGCCTACGCAACATAGTGAGACCTTGTCTCTATAAAAAAAGAAAAAAAAATTAGCGGGGGGCAGTGGCCTGTGCCTGTAGTCCTAGCTACTCAGGAGGCTGAGGGGATACAGAGGTTGCAGTGAGCTGAGAGGTCAGGCCACTGCACTCCAGCTTTGCAGCCTGGGCTACAGAGCAAGAGTCTCTTTTTAAAAAAAATCAGGGAGTTTCATGAAATGTAGTTGTGGGATGATTCAATATTTGTATAAAACTGGCTCTTCCTCTCCACTTTGTTAGAACGAACTCTTGCTAGACAGACACTTTTGGTAATTTATTCAGTGGTGTAAATGCACAGGCCAGGGCTAAACTGTGCTTTATTTTTGAGTATAACACCAATAATAACTTCTGCAGAAAAGTTAGGTGACTTATTTCTCAAGTTATACAAATAAAGATGAAATGTAGTGCTTTTTCATCAGAGAGAAGCAAAATAATCATCAGTGGTTCAAATAGGTACTGGACCAGGCACTTTACCTAATGATCTTTAATTCTTACGGCTATCCTGAAAGTACTTTTATTTATATACAGAATATTATGGTAGAAGTAATAATATCTCAGTTGTTGACGAATTGTCATGTGCGAGGCTCTGTGTCAGGGGCTTTATTTTCTCTCATTCCATGTTCTGAGCTACAGGGGCAGGTAGTGCATGTATTTCCACTTGGCACTTGAAGACCTTGAGGCCCAAGGTGGAAGCCAGATCACTCTAACCACTCCTCGATGTGGAGAACATACTTTTATTCTCCAAGGTCATGAATCTTTTTTTTTTTTTAATACAGGGTCTCACTTTGTCGCCCAGGCTAGAATGCAGTGGCACAATCAAGGCTCACTACAGCTTCGACCCCCCCTTACCCCACCGCACCCGTGCCACTATGCCCAGTTAATTTTTTATATTTTTTTGTGGAGACAGCGTTTCGCCATGTTGCCCAAGCTGGTCTGAAACACCTGAGCTCAAGCGATCCGCACACCTCGGCCTCCCAAAGTGCTGGGATTGCCAGGTGCGGTGGCTCACGCCTGTAATCCCAGCACTTTGGGAGTCCGAGGCGGGCGGATCACGAGGTCAGGAGATCGAAACCATCCTGGCTAACACGGTGAAACCTCGTCTCTACTAAAAATACAAAAAAATTAGCCAGGCATGGTGGCGGGCGCCTGTAGTTCCAGCTACTCGGGAGGCTGAGGCAGGACAATGGCGTGAACCCGGGAGGCGGAACTTGCAGTGAGCCGTGATCGCGCCACTGCACTCCAGCCTGGGGGACAGAGGGAGACTCCGTCTCAAAAAAAAAAGTGCTGGGATTACAAGTGTGAGCCACCGTGCCCAGCCCATTAATCCATTTTTGCTCCCTTCAGGAGCAGTAAGTAAACTAAACACTGCATCCTACAAATGAACTTGAGCTTTTCTGTCAGGGGGAAGAATAGGTAGAGAAAGAAAGTTTAATCAAATTTGAGGTTTTCTTACACTTCCTTGTAGTGGATCAATGGGAATAACCAGTCAGCCATTATCCATTCATCAGTACTAAGCAAATTCAACAAAACTAATGTTTTCAAATGTGTTGATCAAGACATACCCTTGGCCTTGTTTAAATGAAAAGTCCTCAATCAAACAAGACATTTTCTATGTAAGGGTGTTCCTGTAATAGAGGAGGCAGTGGCCTGCTATGTCCTTATCAAACTAGGGATGTATTTGTCAATGACTCCATTGAGTTCTTTTCAAAAACTTCCATTCTGGCATTTTTCCTTTGCCTCCTACCTATCATCAAGGGCTCACAGGAGATTTAAAGAATGAATGTGAACAGATGACTAAGAGAATTAAAAAATGGCCACGTCTCTGTATTCTCTTGGTTCCGGAAATGGTCCAGCTGGTTCTATTTTTATTATAATAATAATAAAATTTGTTATTTATTAAGCATCTTCCACATGTCAGAGCTTTATACATTTTTATGTCATTTTAGCTTCACAACCATCTACCAAGGTACATATCCTCAGCGGGTAGCAACTCCAGAGATTAAATAGGGAGTACACCTGATATTATGTGTCTACCATGTGAAAGTCGAATCCAGATTTGAGTCCAACAAACACGCGTCCTTCAAAACACGTTGCCTAGCAACAAATTGATTCTAGTTACTTCCGGCATCCCAAGTGGAGAAAAATAACCAATTCCTTCCTAGAAGCCAAGCTTGAGGGACCTTTAGAATTCTGTAACAGAAAAGCTCCCCACCCCCTACTGTGACCCAAGCAGTTACTTAAACACTAATACCTCCCATTGGCCGGCGTGGCAGAGCAGCAGCTCTGGCGCTAGAGGGAACCTGGGCTGCTCTAGCTGGGGGAGAGCCGGGTCTCTGGTTCTAATCACTTGAATCTGACTTCTGGGAAAACTGGCGTCCAGGGACTCCCCCCGGAGACCCATAATCTTCTTGGGGCGACCTCAGGTTGGGGGACTAAGTCCTGCAGGGGACACTTGTTCATCCACTACCAGGGACACCCATCTCTCCCAACTCAAGACTTCTTTTTACTCCCCAAGTTTAAAACTCTGAGGCCACCCCGCCCCCTTCCCTCTCCCTCGCTTAGAATCAGGTATGGACACCGACATTCCAACCTTCTTTCCTTCTTCGGCGCTCCTGAAGGTAACCGGTGCGCGTGCGCACGTCAATCCGAGGGTGTGTGCGCCCAGTTTCCGGCGCCGCGGGACACCCACAACCGCGGGGCTGTCCCTCAGCTCGGCCGCCCGCCCCGCCCCGCCCCCCCGGACCCGCCTCCCAGCCCCGCCCCGGGCCCTCCTCGCCGCGCCCGCTCCGTCCCGCGCCCTCCACCGCCCTACGGCCTGGGCCCGCCTCCACCCTGCCTCTCCGTGGTTCCCCGGGCTGCCCCTGCCCCCGCCCCCGCCCCCGCCACCTCCCCCGCCGTCGCCCAATTCCCCCAGCCCCCACCCTCGGCTGCTGCCCGAGCTTCCTCCACGCGCCGTGCAGTCTCCACGGCGACGCTGCGTTCCCGACTCGGAGCCCCCAGCTCCGCGCGAGCAGCTAGCCGGGCTGGCTCTCGGTGTGTGCCCTTCGGATGGTCTGCTGAAGAGGGCCGCCAGCTGGTAAGACACTCCGAGGCAACGACCGGTCTCCCTCTCCCTAGCCCGGTGTGCAGTCTGACCCAGCCCCCACAGCAGACCACCCCCAGACCGGGCGCCCGAGTCTGCGGACCGCTCTACCGCACCTGGTTCTGGCTCTGGGCCCCGGGCCCCGTGGCTGCCAGGGGCCGCCGGGAAGGGAGGATGCGCGCCACTGGGGTGCGCCTGGCTTGCGGCACCCTCCTCCCGCAGTGGTCGGAAGAGGTGAGGAAGCGCCGTTCGTGTCTACACGGGTGTGGAGATAACTGGGCGATTCTGACAGGCTTGTCTACACTACCATTCTTTGACCGGCCGGTGCACACGCACCAACTCCTTCCCCGCAAATAACGAAGATGGCCCAGCCCATCCCAGGGCTTCCCGACCCCCTTCCCTCAGTCCTTGCCCTTGCCCGGAATTCTTTTACTTATTTTTGGAAAATTAGTTAAGACATCACTACTAGCTAGATATAACTTGCTAGCCATACAAATTTCGATGGAATTTGGACAAATCATTTATATTCCCGGGCCTTATTCTCATCTTATGAGATGATGAAATTGACTTGAAACTTCCAAAATGTTGATATTGTTCTTTTGACTACTCAAACTACTCTACACTGAGCCCCTGTGGCATTTAAAGTAACACATGGTATAATGATCAATTTATTGTTTGGCATAGGTGTCTTGGCTGAATCTTATTTTTACCCTAGGAGAACCCCTGGAAGTCGCTTTTTAAAAATCTGAAAAGGACACCGGAAATGTCTTTTAATATGTTTCATTTTTCTAAAAACCAAATACAATGATCCCCAAATCCAACTTATTTTTTAATTTTTATTTTGTTTTTTGTGAATTGAAATAGTTTTGGTTTTTGTAATCTCTGGAGAACAATAATAACAATAACATTTCTCTTTACGTGTTAAGAGTTTTCCAGAGCTGAAATTCCAGCATCTCTAGGTATTTCATTGCACCCACTCCAGAATTCCAGAGCTTTCTACCTACGCTCACCGGTTGAGCCACATCCTCAGTGTTTTCTCCCTTCTTTGCCCCATCCAGTTTCGGCGTTTAGAACTGGCTTCATTTGTGACAGTTCACCTTCAGGACTGGCCTCCCTGAGCTGTAAATATTAACAATAGTATAGGAGGAGGAGTTATAGTAACTGCAGTTCTGGCAGGAGATGAGTGCTACTATTATTATTTATTGGTAGCTAATTATTTTAACCTTTGCAATTTAACTCTATAAGGTAGGTGGTGTTTTTATCCACACTTTACAGTTGAGGAACTGAATCACAGAGAGGTTAAGGAATTTGCTCAAGGTCACACAGTTTACTGGGATTTAAACATAGACAACCTGACTCCAGAGTCTGGAATCCTAGCACTATATTACACTGTAAAGGAAATATATAAAATTTATATTTAGTCAGTTTAAAAAATGAATGTAAGTGATGGATGATCCTTGACACCATTTGTATACACATTTGAAGCTATGCCATGAAATATTGTTCCTGCATCATGTAATGTTTCCCCCACCAAGCTCCCTGAGGATAGAGGATAGTGCTTAATCAGCTCTGTCTCTCCTTCTCACCAGAGTTGCAGGGCTTGAGTGTGTAGCTAGCTAGCTATTTATTCATTCTGTCTTTGCCTATTAGACTACAAGGTAGCTTATAAAAACCAGTAGCACAAAACAGTAAAATAATTGCATAAGTGGGATGAAGAAAAACATGTAATGTCTTCCAATATTACAAGAGAAATCTAAAATAAAAATTTTTTGAAATCTGAATTTTAAATGTTGGTAATTCATTTTATAAAAGGTGTTTTTGTTTTTTTGTTTTGTTTTGTTTTTCCTGAAGTCTGTGGAGTGTGGAGTCCAAATAATACCAACTGGGGAGGTTCAGAATCTTGTGGCCTCTGGTTGCATGACTCCTAAACTACAATTTCTGAATCTCGTGGCTAATTTGTTAATCCTGTAAAGGCAGTCTGGTCCCCAGGCAAGAAGAGGGTTTGCTTTGGGAAAGGGTGGTTATCATCTTTGTTTCAGTGTTAACTGTAAACTGATTTCTTCCCAAAGTTAGTTTAGCCTATACCTAGGAAAGAACAAGGGCAGCTAGGAGGTTAGAAGCAAGATGGCATCAGTTAAGTCAGATCTGTGTCACTGTCATAATTTTCTCACTGTTATAATCTTTGCAAAGGCAATTTCACCTCTGTCCTTCCAGTTCTGCCTCCACTGCCTGCTGACTTCCTTAGGTATCTCCAGTCCTTGAGCCCAAAAGAAAGAATTTGATTGGTCCTGGTAATCACTATTCCTCAGTTTGGGCAGTATGGGAAATTACATTGTAGCCCCTTAAAGGGAAGCATTTGTTATAGTATTTTGAAGCTTGCTCTGTGACATACATATAAGAAGTTAGTACCCGTTTCACCTATAAGATTCTGAACTTCTCAAAGTAGAGTATCTTCATCTTTGTGTCCCCAGAGTTTAGCATAGTTATATGTGACATGTAGTAGGTGCTCATCAAATGTCTGGTATTGTATTATTATTGTCTTTTTTTTTAGAGACAGAGTCCCACTCTCTTGCCCAGGCTGGAGTACAGTGGCACAATCATAGCTCATTGTAACCTCAAGCTCCTGGGCTCAAGCCATCCTCCTACCTCAGCCTCTTGAGTAGCTGAGACTACAGGCATACACCACCATGCCTGGCTAATTAATTTTTTATAGAGGCAGAGTTTTGCTGTGTTCCCCAGGCTGGTGTCGACCTCCCATCCTCAAGCTATCCTCTGGCCTCGACCTCCCAAAGTGTTGGGATTACAGGTGTGAGCCACGACACCTGACCCAAATACCTGTTTTAAATAGACATTGAATAGTGCATGAAAATTTGGAACTATCATAAACTGTGCTGTTCCCATTGCCACAAGGACTGTTAAAAGAAACACCTTTATCTGTGTTCTAAATTAGTCTGCTTTTTCCCTGGAGTCAGTGATCTTTCTAAACAAGTATCAGTACTTTAGGTAGTTTTTAAAATTAATTAAAAGCCCTCAGAGATAATCTGCTTGTCTCAATCACAGTAAAGGCCCATTTTTGCTTCCCTAAGCAATTTTAATCATCCCCATAGGACATCTTTCCAAACTTTTCTTTTAGATAAAACATTGAATTGTTTCAACAGTGTCCTTCCTATATGCCAGGCTCTGCTGAACACTTTACCCAGATTATCCCATTTAATCCTTATAATAATCCACCAAAGGTGGCACCATGGTGATCCCCATTTTTCAGATGGAAGAATGGAATCTTAAAGAAGTTAAGTGACTTCTCCAGGCTCACCTGGGAAGTGACAGGAACTGGGATGTAAATCTAGTCTCTTTCACTCAAGAGCCCCATCTTTTTTTTTTTTTTTTTTTGAGATGAAGTCTCACTCTGTCACCCAGGCTGGAATGCAGTGGCACGCTCTCGGCTCACTGCAACCTTCACCTTCACCTCCCGGGTTCAAGCAGTTCTCCTGCCTCAGCCTCCCGAGTAGCTGGGACTACAGACTCACACCACCACGCCCGACTAAATTTTTTTTGATATTTTTAGTAGAGACGGGGTTTCATCATGTTAGCCAGGATGGTCTCGATCTCCTGACCTCGGGATCCACCTGCCTCAGCCTCCCAAAGTGCTGGGATTACAGGCATGAGCCACCACGCCCAGCCCAAGAGCCCCATCTTTTGAGTATTCTTTACTGCCTCCCAAGGAATTCAGTGTAATGAAAGGAGATGAAATGGACATTTCCTAGCTAATGATAAAGCCAGACCTAGCAGAGCATGGGTCTCCATCAAGGGCTGGGATCTGTCCATCCTACGTTTTCACCAGGTGAAAATGGGAGGAGAATTATGTGCACGAATGTTTCATCTAGGTGAAGAGTTGAATGTTGCAATCCCTGAAGATCCTAGAGCTAGAAAGGAGAGGACTGCTCTAAAGGTGGGCCAGGAAGGTGGCTCACGCCTGCAATCCCAGCACTTTGGGAGGCCCAGGCAGGAGGATCGCTTAAGAGCCAGGAGTTCAAGACCAGCTTGGGCAACAAAGTGAGACCCTGTCTCTTCAAAAATAAAAAAAAAAAAATAGCCGGATGTGGTGGTGCACACCTGTGGTCTCAGATACTCAGGAGGCTGAGGTGGGAGGATTGCTTGAGCCCAGGTGATCGAGGCTGCAGTGAGTCATGATCATACCATCACACTCCAGCCTGGGTGACAGAGCGAGACTCTGTCTCAAAATAATAATATTATTAATAAATATAAATGTGATGCTGTACATCACATTTATATACAGGTACCCAGGGGATTGTGGAACTCTGTGAAATGAAAGTGTCTCTCAGGGGAGATGATGTTAGATTTCTTTTGTTAAGGCCTTATTTAGTTCATTATTGCTTTGTTTCGTCTTTGGAGCTTTGCTGCCCTAGATAACCAGAGGAAAATCTTTCATTTATCCTAGAGTTTGGTCTTCCACAACTGTGTTTCCCCAAAAGATGCCGTGCTGTTCTGATAGACTTTAGTCCTCTGTGAGCCTCTTGGAGAGCTAATCGAATTAACGTATGTAATGTTGGCTTGGTCAGGGTTCCCCAGAAAGCAAAGCCTGAGGCAGAAGTTTATATACAGCTGCTTTATTCAGGAGCATAAGTCAATATAAAGGAGTTGGATTTAAAAAAAATAAAAACAATACGAAATAATGACGCTTTGCTTTTAATGTCCACAGTCTTGGCCCTGAATTTTATATTCCAGAAATCCCTCAGTAGGTAATAATTATGATAATTTTTAAAGTCTGGTTTGGGTGTGGGAACAAGTGTTAGAGGGGTGAGGAAGTGGATTGTTACTTAGGAAAATTTTAAGTGTGGCCGCTCCCATACTTGAAAAAAAAGTAAGAGTTTATTTTTCTCTTAACTATGAGAATGAAATTTATCCAGATATATAAAAGGCTACACTATACGAAAATCAGTCCTATGATCAGGTAATTTAGGTAAAAATTCATAGAGAAAACATTGTACCTTTATATTAATAAACACATGAGAACTTATGAGGTAAGAATTATATTTTAGAATCAAAAGTAATTTCTATATGTATTTGTTTAAATAATACTTTATTAAAAATACCATAGCTTGAGATACTGTGGAAGAATTTCTTCTTGTTCTGGTCACATGTACTCTAAAAGGTGTTTTGTTGTTGTAGTTGTTGTTTTTTGAGACAGAGTCTCGCTCTGTTGCCCAGGCTGGAGTGCAGTGGTGCGATCTCGGCTCACTGCAACTTCCGCCTCCTGGGTTCGAGCTATTCTCATATCTCAGCCTCCCGAGTAGCTGGGATCACAGGCATCTGCCACCATGCCCGGCTAATTTTTGTATTTTTAGTAGAGACGGGGTTTCGCCATGTTGGTCAGGTTGGTCTCGAACTCCTGACCTCAGGTGATCCACCTGCCTTGGCTTCCCAAAGTGCTGAGATTACAGGCTTGAGCCACCGCGCCCGGCCTTAAAAGCTGTTTTTTATTTTTGTGACACCAATAAACTGGAATGTGGCAGATAAGTTATGTAAAACCAAAAAGATAACAGAGAATTTCTTTTTTTTTTTTTAACTTTCATTTTAGGTTTGGGGGTACGTGTGAAGGTTGGTTACATAGGTAAACGTGTCATGAGGGTTTGTTTTACATATTATTTCATCACCCAGGTATTAAGCTCAGTACCCCTTAGTTATCGTTTGTGCTTCTCTCCCTCCCCACCCCGTCCCCCAGAAGGCTTAATTTCTCTAGATTTTTTTAAAACTAAATTTCATAATCCAGAAGAATGAGGTTTTACAGTTAGAATGGAAATAATGCTACTAAATACAAAAACAAAATACATACTTAATACCCAACTGACAGACTGTGTTCTGTGTTCTATTTGTATTTTAAATCTATATAAGTGTTTAGAGACTTATGAAGTAAATATTTTGGTTTTTGCAGGACTTCTGTAGACAAGACAGATACTGTAAAGGTGAGAGTATATAATTTTTTTAGGATGTTTTGAGTCTATTTTAGCATCAATTTATACAGTTTTTAAATAACCAGCTTTAGTATAAAATTGTATCTTATTCTAGCTAGTAGAAATGTTTACATAAAGGCTATTAGTAAATTATTTCAAATATCTCAAACTAAAATAATAATGCTAGTTTTTATTTCTGCTTCTATTTTAGACAGCAAAGAACAAACAGAATGGCAGATTGCTAATGTTTGATCCAAACGGTAAATGATTTATTACTTTGAAAGAATATGTTTAGCCACTATCTTGTCCTAAATAGTAAGAAGACTATTGGAATCTTGAGTGTCATTGAATGACTTAGTAATTAAATCCTTTATTATGTTGCCTATCCTTTTAAAAATCCTAAATATTTGCCATTTAGAAGTGTATGTCAGGGACATCAGTGTTAATAAAATACTGAGGGTATTTTTTTCTCTTTCAGAAAAAGTGATGATTGAATCAAACGAAGCAATGTCAGAGTAAGAAGATGTCTTTGATTGTGCAGCTGATCTCTCCCATGCCTTTTAAGCAATTAGAACTAGATAATGCAGCCATTTGTCACCCAATTAAATTTGAAAGGCCAGAAATGCATGGATTAGCACTTCAGCTTTTGCTGCAGTCAAAGCAATTGTTACTATAGATAGAAGGACAGTTAAAATGAAAAATGAATTTTGATAAAAATGCAGAAGTATAGATAATATTCACTTCTACTTTTTAATGCTTAAACACCCTGTATTCTGTATTTTACTTGTATCATAATTTTCATTGCTCATTCCTATTTCCCTTTGATACTTATTTCTTTCACAATATTTCTTCAAGTGAATATGTACTTTAAAATTAACAAATTATTTACTATAACATGAATTGTTACTACTCAATAAAGAAAGTAATCACCTCAACTAGTTGAAGAAACTGGTGTTAAAAAAATTGTATTCTTTCCAGCCTTTTGGCTAAGATCAAGTGTAAAAAAATCACAGTACAATATCAATTTAGTAGCTAAATTTTAAATATCTTCTCTGTTCAAGGCTCTGATTCTGATAATCTATTAAAGCCCTTCCTGTAGTCATCTCCTACTTTCTGAAAAAAAAATCTCTATTTATTCTATGAAAAATTACAGCTTGAAAGTTGATCATAAACACATTTGTGGGGATTACTGACAAATTAGTAGGTACTATTCTGGTGGGATTCTTCTATTCAAATTCATACTGTTTTTGTTTATTCTAAATATTGACTGGGAAAAATTCTACCCTAGACAACATATATTTAAATTTTCATATTGTCAAAACGAAAAATGTCCACCTTGGCTTTTGTTGTAAATTATATGTATATTACATATTATATAATACATGTTTTTATATTAAAGAGAAAGTAATGTATAGCAAATCAGTGACAGAGGACCTTATTTATTTTCATTTAAAGTTACAATCAACCAGAAAAAAAGAGCCTTGTTACATATGGTAATCTACATGTAATTTTATATGTATCCTATTACATGGTTGAAAACATTTAATAAAATCTAAAAAATGTTTAGTTGTCTTTGAGGGATATTTGAAATATAACTTTCAATAATAGTAATAGAAGTTACTAGATCATAGATGAAAAGAAATTACTGTTGTATCAATGAGCCCCAATGTTCTTTGAGTGATAAGCAGTGTTGGAACTGGAGCAAGGGGTGTTCCACCTCCTGAGGTAGATAAACCCCGGGGATAAATCAGATGCAGTCTAGGCCAAAATAGAAAAGCAGAGTGGCTACTTGTTCTCTTGATCTCAGTCCTAATTGCATCTGCCTCTCAAACTGCTTCTTGCAAGGTCAAAATGATCATTTCCCTTTAATTTGCTTTCAGAGGACAAGGGTGGATAGTGTAGCCAATAAGCTTCACAGGTGTGTAGTTTTGTCACCTCAGGTACTTCACCCAGAGTTGAAGGTAAACAGGGCTAGTTCTAGAGAAAAATGATCAAGTAGGAAAAAACATTGGAGTGGGGAGATCTTTGCATGGGAAGAGTGTGACTGACCTGCAAAGTTGATGAATTTTTTCAGCATAGCTTCCATTCCGCTCTCCACCCTGCTGCTGGCTTCATAGTCTGACTGGCAAGTGAGATTTGCCAAAAGATTTCATTTAGGTTGGGTTAGGGAAAACTAAAAGTTTTTTCTTTGCTCTAGTTTTTGTATTTTTCACTCCAGTCCCAGCCACAAGAAGTATGTGGACTCTATAAACCACAAGTTTCAAACTTCTGGGCACACAAATGCCACATTTAACATTTTCTTTTTCCTTAGAAATCCTATGTGGGAAAGATTTTGTCTACCCAGCAAATTGCTTGTAGTTAACAAACTATTTTCAGCAGCAGAAATAAAATATGTATTTAATGCAGGATAAAGTTTTCTAGATTTTGGACCTTACTGGATTTTTTGGTCAAGCTTTCAAGCATAAAGATTGAGGGGAATATGGCTGAAGCAAATCCACAGCACTCAGCGCTGACTGAGCTTGAAAAAAAATTGTATCTCTAGGACTTTTCTTACATAATCACGTGTTTTATCACCTTTTCTAAAATGAATAATGAGCTATTTTTTATTCCCATTTTTATACCTCAAGTAAATGCCTCTTTGGACGCAGACCAAGATTGACAAGCAAACTTAATACCTCACCAACACAGGTCTCTGTAAATGTAGCTAAAACATTCTCAGAAAAGTAAGTTTTAATTAATTTTGTTTTTAGGCCCATGTTTGACAAGTATAAATCATTTTATGACAAAGTTTAAAATAGAAATCTCCTGAAAGAATTATTTCAGTAGAAGTTTTGGGACACTAAATATACCCAACATGCTGAGGAAAAAATTCTAAAACTTAGGTTATCTGCCCTCTAGCATAAATATGTTCCAATGGAATGTCTAACCTGATTAACTCTGTAATTTTATTAAGTACTAAATTAAAGACTTTTGCATTTCCAAAGAATATTATTGCATAAAGTAAAATTTTAAATCTTTCCTCAGTTGTAATTGTAGTTAACAAAAACAGATCTGTTAGAGTATACTGGTTACCTGTTTTTCTTAGTTAGGGGCTTTATTACCATAAATAACATCACTTTCTCAAACAGAAGTCAATAGATTTTAGGTGAAGAGGAAATTGACCTTTGGGCCTCCGATTCTTTGAAACTGTGCAAGAAAGACCATAGAAAGTGAACAGAAAAGCCATTTATGTCTTACTGTTAAAATCAGGATTTGATCAGCTCTCATATAGGTATTTTTCTGGCATGTTCACTGCTTCCAAATAGTAATATTCCATTTACTTCAGGTCATTGAGTATGTTGGCTGCCTCCATGTGTGTTTCATTAAAATTATTATAGGCATTTCCAGTTATTCAAATACCCAGAACTATACTAGCTAAATTCCTGTTTTAAGGGATGTAACTCAGTGAATATATAAGTGCCATATTTTATTCTAAAGCACACATTTTTTTCATATTTTAACACCTTTTACAATCAATGTCATCTTACACTTATATTTGGCAATATATTTTTCTTTTTTAGTGTACATAAAACGATGGTATGTCTTATAATAAACATTGTATCTTAGATTCAATGAAATACTTTAATTCAGGGAAGAAAAAAGACATCAAAGCCCTTTTATGTAGATCAGCTATGAGAGCATATAAATTTTAGTAATCACTAGTGTGGTGAACTTTTACATAACAGGAGTCTCACAATCCTGGAAACTGAATATTTCAGTGATTCTACAACTTTTCATATGTAGAGTTTCTTCTTGGATGCTTTCTGTCACAATTAGAAGATCAAACAGGGCAGAGGCAGAACAAATGTAAATCATCTTTGCTGTGCATTTTTCATTTCCAGAGAAGGGTTTTGCTTTAGCCATATATACTGGGGGAGTAAAGATTCCATTCCCTCCCATAGTATTAAGGATGTAACAACCTGGTCAACCTATTTGCTAAATTAGTGCATGGGACCACTAACTTAACTACTAATGTTCTGGATTCACATTTCCATGAGGGAAAAAAACAGAGCCATTGTAACTTTGGGGAACAAATAATACTTTACATCTTTTTATATATTTCCATGCAAACTAGAAGGTGAATTTTTAAAACTTTATGAAGGAGACAAATTGAAAGATTCTCAAGACCTCAAAAAAAGAGACTTGGGGGGCTGGGCACAGTGGTTCATGCCTGTAATCCCAGCACTTTGGAAGGCCGAGGTGGGTGGATCACAAGGTCAGGAGTTCAAGACCAACCTGGCCAAGATGGTGAAACCCCGTTTCTACTAAAAATAGAAAAATTAGCCGGGCATGGTGGCAGGCGCCTGTAATCCCAGCTACTAGAGAGGCTGAGGCAGAGAATTGCTTGAACCTGGGAGGCAGAGGTTGCAGTGAGCCGAGATCGCGTCACAGCACTCCAGCCTGGGTGATAGAGCGAGACTTGGTCTAAAAAAAAAAAAAAAAAGACCTGGGTTTTTTTTCCCACAAGCATAGGGTGCTGTCTTTGTGAACAGAGGGCACCTCATTAAGAATTCCTTGTTTCAATGTGTTATTTACTAACATGAAGCTTCAAGTTTAAAGATTAAAAGGGAGAGTTAACCCATTTTTAATTAAGCTACTTAATGAAAAAGGCTATTTTATATTATGTCCAAGGGCTAATATTAGTGTTGGACTCTGCATAAGCATAGCATTTAGCAATGGCAAAAATCGATTTATAAACTTAAAAACTCAAGGCTAATTTTCTTAGTTTTATTCCATCATATCACTGTGATGTACCAGAGACATTTATATAACTGATTACTTAAATGCTCTGTGTTAAAGAACTCTGAAAAGAGTCTAAGAATTGTTATACGATAACAAATGCCAGTCAGCAATAGAATTTTAATCATTGTAAAATAATTTGTAATGCTTTTCCACAAAGAAGATACTACATTTTAGCTATTTAGTTTATTGTTGACATATTATATTGTATGTTTACATTAAATGTAGTGTCTGTGTTTAAAGCATTAAACAGAATTATGACCTAAGAAAATATTTTTTCACTGTCTAACATATAGGAAGGAAGTCCCTTCTAAGAATATTGCAAATAAAGTCTCTTTACAGACTACTGAAAATAGAGTATCTTCAAGGAGTATCGAAAGTAAAGATATCTTAACAAATCTACAGTCTGACCTATTGTCATCTTCCTGCTTAAAAGAAAGCACAGGTAATAACATTTGTTTCATTGAATTAACTAACTATGGCTTCTAATTGAACCCTCCTTTTCTGCGACCTTTGGGAACTGACAACTCTGTAGATCTGGGGCGGGTCATGAGAATCAGTAGTTCTCCAAAGTCATGTTGTAGGTGATTCTTATATTCAGCCAGGTATGAGATCCATGGATATGCATTACATAAGATGGTAATTACAGAGTCTTAAGTCCTGGAATGAATTAAAATACCTATGAAAGCATTAACACGTTCCATTCATTTAATAACCAGAGTGAAAGCCAGAGTGCCAGGCACTGGTTTAGAGGCTATGGATACAAAAGTTGGCAAAATAGGGAAAGCCCTTGTCCTTATAAAGTTTACATTCTAGTAGAAGTCAGACAGCTGACTATTAAAAATAAAAAACAGGCCAGCTATAGTGGCTCATGCCTGTAACTCTCAGCACTTTGGGAGACCAAGGCAAGAGGATCAGCCCAGGTCGAGCCCTAGAGTTTGAGACCAGACTGGGCAATATAGCAAGACCCCATCTTTGAAAAAAATTAAAATTAAAAAAGAAAAATTGCCAAGCACGCTAGTATATACTTGTAGTCCTAGCTACTAGGAAGGCTGAAGCAGGAGGATTGCTTGAACCCAGGAGTTAAAGGCTACAGTGAACTATGATCATGTCCCTGCACTGGGTGGGTGACAGAGCAAGACCCTGTCTCAAAAAGAAGTTTAAAAATTTTTGAAAATTAAAAATAAAAATAAATAAAAATAAAATAAAAAATAAAAAAATAGGCTGATGCAAAGATAGTTATCCAAGTTGATTGTTCATAGCTACAGAATTAACTCCTGGTTTTACTCTTTCTACCCTTCTCACTACTGCACTTGACTAGTCTAAAAGAAAAAACAATTAAAAACACAAACACTGTAAACTTAGCACTTTTAGGTGGGTGGATCACTTGAGGCCAGGAGTTCAAGACCAGCCTAGCCAACATGGTGAAACCCCATCTCTACTAAAAATATAAAAATTAGCTGGGTGTGGTGGCGTGCGCCTGTAGTCCAGCTACTCAGGAGGCTAAGGCACAAGACTCGCTTGAACCTGGGGAGCAGAGGATGCAGTGAGCCGAGATCACATCACTGAACTCCAGCCTGGGCGACAGAGTGAGACCCTGTCTCCAAAAAAATAAATAAATAAAAATAAAAACACAAACACATAAGTAAGGTAATTGCAGTTTGTGGTAGGTGCTATAATGTAAATAAACAGCTCCTGGAGAGAGGACTGCTTTAGATCTAGGGATCAGGAAACTTCTCTCATGCTGCTAACTGTTTGTGAAGTAAATGAGACAGTTCCTGTGACATCACAAAATGTCCCTAATTCCTCATTATGACCTCCCTTGGTGACATCAGTGCATTGAGTCAGTCTACAGGCTAGGTGCACACTGGACAGTCAGGGTGGTTGTGAGCTGATGGAGACTGTAAATGAACCAGAAACAGGTAGACAGATGGCCTGAATAACACAACCGTCATACTCTTGGAAGAACTTGATATTCCTTTTCAGGGTAGCATTTTGGGTTTAGAGTCAGGAGTTTGTTTTAGAGTCATTAGTTTTACCTTTTTTTGTTGTTGTTGTTCTGTGTTTTCTTAACATTGTCTTCTATGAAGCTCTCCTAGATTTCCTCATTTTCTTCTTTCTAACACAATGTATATACACTATTTAGAGTAGCTCATGGCTACCTTCCCATCAAAGAAGGCATCTCAGAGACTTCCCAGGCACTCAAAATCATACAAGAAGGGGTGGATGTAACACAAGTTCAATTTCAAACTGTGAAAGACTTCCACAAAGCTGAAGGAGCCAGCAGGCTCACTCAGTAGTATTTCCCCAGGAGATGATTTAAACTTACTTTAATAGAAGTATATTTATTTTATTGTGTATTAGTAAAAATAGTACAAGATATAGTTAAGAATATGGAATCTAGGGCCAGACCGACTCACAGATCTACCACTTAATTAGCTGTGTGAAGTTGGCCAGTATATTTAACCTCTGTGTCCCTCAGTTTCCTCACCTATAAATGGGAATAAAAATAGTACATACCGCCTTGATGTTGAGAGATTTAAATGAGTTAAAATATGTAGTGTTTTGAATATAAGTTTGTTATGATAATTATGTTACTTTTATTAATATATCAGTTTAATGAATAGTAATAGGATCTGGCAAAATTTAATTTGCGAACTTTTCGATCTCTTTTGATTAAATTAGGTATATTCTCTTTTAGGTGAAGTGAGCAAAGATGCAGTCATTGTAAAGCAGGAGAAAAATAATGAATATTGCCTTCAGGATATTGATGATAAATTGTCAGAATCAGCAGAGGATGATGGTGAAGATGATACCAATGATGAAGATGATGATGAAGATAGTAACCCTAAAAAGAATACTCAGGCCCCACTAGAGTTAATGGCAGAAGTAAGTTTTACTTGTGCATATAATTGAAGAAACTTTAAAATATTGAAATAACTAAAGACTGAAGATTTAAAATCACTACTGTGAGAACTAAAAAAGTAGATCTCATGGAGGCAGAACATAGAATGGTGGTTACCAGAAGCTGGACGGGAAGAAGGGAGATAAAGAGAAGTCCATTAAGGGGCACAAAAATACAGTTAGATGGAAGGAATAAATTCTAGTATTCAGTAGTACAGTAGGGAAGTTATAGTTAACAGTAGTTTATTGTATACTTTAGCCAGAAGAGAAAAATTGTAATATTCCCAGCACAAAGAAAAGATAAGTGTTTAAGATGATGGATAATCCAATTGCCTTGATTTGATCATTACACATTGTATACAAGTATCAAACATGTACCCCCAAAATGTATACAATATTATATATCAATAAAAAATAAACATTTTTAAAAATTAATAAAAAGATCCTTGTCCACACACAGATGCTTACCTGGCTACTCATCTCTCTTACTACTTTCACCAGGTTAGAGGTGAAAGAAGATTCTGGAAGGGACATGCAGTATTTTGGTAAAGCTGAGGCAGGAGTAAGAGAAGTTTTGGTATAAAACTCTTCAAGGACTGCTTTAAGGAAAGCTTTCTATACACTGGGCACCATGCTAGTTGCTGGGGATATAGAAATAAATAAGAGAGACATGTCTCTGCCCTTGATAACATGCATATATATAAATAATTACAATAAGATGAAATGTATGCTAGTAACAAAAGTTATTTATTAAGTTTTCTGGGAACAGGGAGGATTAAGGGACTAACTGAAAAAAGAAGCAGGAGGATCAAAGAATAAGAGGAGGATTTTTAGAGGAAGAGACACAAATAGAATCTTGGAAACCTGAAGGAAGAGGCAAGTATAGAATTCATCTGTTAAAACAAGAGAAGGCATTACTGGCATCAGAAAAGGCATATATGAAGGCATTGAAGCCTGAAACAACACACTCAAAAATTATACATAAGCATTTACTGATAATTCTATGGAGAACAAAACAATTTTACCTCGCTTGTTGTGATATCACAGTCTGCCTTTAATTATTATTATACAACCTCATGTATGTTGTATAATAGGACACTCATTTCCCTTTCCCATCCTTTGTATTATTTCCCATACATTTTACTTCTATCCATGCATATGTTGTAAGCCCTTCAATACATTATTTTTTTTAATGGTTAATTCTCTTTTCAAGAGATTTTAAAATCTCTTTTCAAATGTCCTTTATATTTACCCACATATGTGCAATTTCTGGATCATAGCTTTCTGTAGATCCCAATTTCTACCTGATATCACTTTTCCTTTACCCAAAAAACTTCCTTTAGTATTTCTTATAATGCAGTTCTACTGGCAATAAATTCTCTCAGCCTTGTTTTGTCTTAAAAGGTCTTAATTTCATTTTCATTTAAAACAAATTTTTAGCTAGAGAATTCTAGATTGCCAAGATTTTTTTTTTAGGGCTTTGAACGGTTGCTTCATTGTCTCATAGCTTGCATAGTTTCAGAAGAGATATCCGTTGTTCTTATCTTTATTCATCTGTATATAATATGTCTTATAAAAATTTTTTCTTCCATATTATTTTATTTCACAATTTAATTATGATGTGCCTAGGTGTGGTTTTCCTCATATTTCTTCTGCTCCTTAAGATTCTTGGATCTGTGAGTTTATAGTCTTCATCAAGTTTGGGAAATGTTCAGTTATTCTTCAAATATTTTTTCTGACCTCTGCTCTTCCTCTTTTCATCTAAGGTGCAATTGCTAAAACGCTGAACCACTCAGTATTGTCCCAGAGGTCACTGATATACCACTTAAATTTTTTTCAGTTTTTTTCATATTTTTTTAGATAATATCTATTGCTATCTCTTCAGGTTTATAATCTTTTCTTTGCAGTTATAATCTGCTGTTAATCCCATCCTGCATTATATTTTTTTGCATTTCAGATACTATAGTTATCATCTCTAGAAGTTCCATTAAGATTTTTTATACCTATTATTTCTGTCATCATCATGTTCATATTTACCTCTGTTTTTGAGCATATGGCATATAATAGCTGTTTTAACATGCCTGCCTGCTATTCTATCGTCTTTGTTAATTCTAGGTCAGTTTCTACTGATTGTTTTCTCCTGCTTATGGGTCTTATTTTCCTCCTCCTTTGCATGCCTATATTTTGTTTGTTTGTTTGTTTGTTTGTTTGTTTTAACAGATGGGGTCTTGCTTTGCCAGGCTGGAGTGCAGTGACTACTCACAGGCATGATCATGTTACACTACACCCTTAAACTCCTGGGCTCAAGCAATCCTGCCTCAGCCTCCTGAATAGCTGGGGACTACAGGTGCACACCACCACACCTGGTACCTGGCAATTATTTACTGAATCCCAAACATTGTAAATCTTATGTTTTGGGGTACAAACTTTTTTTGTTTTTCTGTAAATATTGTTGGACTTCGGTAAATATTTGTTCTGGTGCACAGCTAAGGTGCTTGGAAGCAGGTATCTCTTTGACCCTTGCTTTTAAGCTTTGTTAGGGAGCATCCGGGGCAGCCTTTATGTAGCATAAGGACAGTACTAAGGCAGTGCCCTTATGGGGATTCTCCCCAGTGTGCTGCATGTTAGGAGGACCTTCCACTCTGGCTGGTAAGAACATGAGCTGCTCTCAACCCTGTCTGATAGCCAGTGATTATTCCACCTGCTCATTCTAGTGATTCTTTCTCCAGATTCAGATAGTTTCTTCACACTCACATGCAGATCATTACCAGCCAAAGACTCAAAGAAACACCTCTGCAGATTGCTGGAGCCCTCTGTCTTTGTGAAACTCCCTCCTCTTTTGAAAATTATAGCCACCTTGGCTATAATCTCTGCAGTCCAAACTATGTTATTTCAACCCAGAGAAATCACTGGTTTCTGTTTAGATTTTTCTTCCTCATGCTGGCCCCTGGAAACAGCCTACAAGTGGTAAGCTAAGGCAATCATAGGACCCACTTTGTTTCCCTACTCTAAGAAATATCACTGTCCTGTGGTATCTGTTGTCCAGTTTCTGAAAACTGTTGTTTCATATATTTATGTCTAATTTTATGGTTGTTTAAGGAAGGACAGTAAGTCTGCTCTCTATTACTCCATCAGGGCCGAAAGCCTCAATTAGATTTTTAGCACAAAATAAAAAATGCTTATGTACTTCTCTTCTTAGATAATTTAATTGCTAGCCATGGAATAATATAAAGAAATCAGTCATATTATATTTACTATATTTCCTTCCTAGAATAAAGCATATATAGGAAATTTTGAAACCTCCTTAATATTATAAGGTGCTTTTAAGAAAGAAGAAAAATTAATGCCAAATATTAGAAAGACTTCACTTAGTCTTCTTTTGACTAGACACCTAAATCATTCATGAATTGTAGAGCATTCAATGACCCTATCTACCATAACTAGACTCTCTGGAGTTGTTTTGTTTTTTTCTTTTTCAACATTTAATTATAAAAGTTATCCATTAATTCATTTTCATGTAAAAATTCAGATAATATGAGATTGCTTACTTTCATATCTTGTTTTGTACTGTGCATAAGATTTTTTGTTTTCACAATGCGTCCCTTTTTAGTTGTCCCAATTTTTAATTTTTATTTTATTTTCGAGACGGAGTCTTGCTCTGTCACCCAGGCTGAGTTCAGTGGCGTGATCTCGGCTCACTGCAGCCTCTGCCTCTCGGGTTCAAGCGATTCTCCTGCCTCAGTCTCCCGAGTACCTGGGACTACAGGTGCACGCCACCACACCCAGCTAATTTTGTGTGTGTGTGTTTTTAGTAGAGACGGGGTTTCACCATGTTGGCCAGGATGGTCTCAATCTCCTGACCTTGTGATTCACCTCCCTTGGCCTCCCAAAGTGCTGGGATTACAGGTGTGAGCAACCACACCTGGCCAATTTTGTAAATTTTAAAACCTATAGAAAAATGGAAAGAGTAGAACAATGAACACCTGAATACTCTTTACCTAGATTCACTACTCATTAACATTGTGCCTCATTTGCTTTATCTTTCTCTTTTGATAGGAGAGGCATAGATATAGCCTAGCCATATTCTTCTTCTTCTTTCTTTCTTTCTTTCTTTATTTTTTTTAATTTTTTGAGACAGAGTATTGCTCTGTCACCCAGGCTGGAGTACAGTGGCACAATCTCACCTCACTGCAGCCTCTGCCTCTGAGTTGAAGTGATTCTCGTGCCTCAGCCTCCTGAGTAGCTGAGATTACAGGTATGCACCACCATGCCTGGCTAATTTTTTTTTTTTTTTTAAGTAGAGATCGGGTTTCACCATGTTGGCCAGGCTGGTCTCGAACTCCTGGCCTCAGGTGATCCGCCCACCTCGGCCTCCCAAAGTGTTGGGATTACAGGCATGAGCCACTGTGCCCATCCTAGATATATACTTCTGACTGAAATACTTGAAATTGGTTGTAGACATCATGAAACTTCACCCGTAAATACTCAAGCATGGGTCTCCAAAGTTCATTCTTCAGTGTAACACTATATCCTTATCACAACTAAGAAAATTAGTAATAATTCTGTAATATATAATATTCCACCAAATTTAGATTTCTGAATTTATCTTTAAAATGGCTTTTGTAGCTTCTAGCTGGATTTTTTTCCAGTCAGATATCATCAGTGTTTATGCTTTTTGTTTAGTTGTTAAGCATCTCTTTATTTCGAATATCACAAATAATTTTTTAAACCTGTCTTCAGCTTAATTTTGGAGTGTTAGATAATTCTCATCAAGGGCTTCTGCAAAACATCCATTGCAAGAATTTCTTAATTTTACTGCCTTTTGAACTATTAAAGGAAATATATTTTATGCTAACAAAAACAACACATAGGTCAATACAAGGGAAATTGATTCCATACTTCTTTTCTTTTTCTGAGGCTAGTATTAATATAATGCTTCATTAAATAGACTACATATTAGATAATATTAAGAAATTCCTAAATGTTTAGGTATGATAGTAATATTTTGATTGGGTTTTATAGTAATGTAAAATGAGATGATATCTGTAAAGTGCTTTAAAATAATCCAGACAGAGGTGGGGAAAGAGTGTGTGGTGATACTGGTGGAACCCAAATTTTGAAGCTGAGAATTGGGAAATTGGATTTCTTTTACTATTCTCTCTACTTTTGTGTATATTTAAATTTTTCACAATAGATTTTAAAAATATAAAAATAGCTGTATATTTTACTGATCACATTCCCTGTCCATGCTCAATTAAACTAGGCATTAACAACAAAAATAACAATAACAAATTAAAACCACTTAAAACTAAAAAATATTTTTCTAAATGGCATGAATGTAAAAGAAAAATAAAAAATAAACTTCAGCTGGGCGTGGTGGCTCACGCCTGTAATCCCAGCACTTTGGGAGGCTAGGCAGGAGAATCACTTGACGTCAGGAATTCAAGACCGGCCTGGCCAACATGATGAAATCTCATCTCTACTAAAAATACAAACAGCCAGGCATGGTGCCTCACGCCTGTAATCCCAGCACTTTGGGAGGCCAAGGCAGGCGGATCACCTGAGGTCAGGAGTTCAAGACCAGCCTGAACAACATGGTGAAACCCTGTCTCTACTAAAACTACAAAAATTAGCCAGGCATGGTGGCAGGCGCCTATAATCCCAGCTATTCAGGAGGCTGAGGCAGGAGAATCTCTTGAACCTGGGAGGCGGAGATTGCAGTGAGCCGAGATGGCGCCACTGCACTCCAGCCTGGGGGATAGAGCAAGACTCTGCCTCCAAAAAATAAAAATAAAAATACAAACAATTAGCCAGGTGTGGTGGTGCATGCCTGTAATCCCAGCTTCTCAGGAGGCTGAGGCAGGAGAATCACTTGAACCCAGGAGGCAGAGGTTGCAGTGAGCCGAGATTGCACCACTGCACTCCAGCCTGGGCAACAGACCAAGACTCCTTCTCAAAAAAAAAAAAAAAAACTTAAAAACTATTTGGAAAATAGTAATCACAACAACACTAATTATTAAAATTTTGAAATAAGCTTAAAATTTCAAAGCTTTGATGATAATGATGATGATTCAAGAAAGAATGACAATAAATGAACTAAATATTAATGCCAGAAACTAGAAAAATAAAATAAACATAAAACAAGAAAAATAATTAAACTTTAATTCAAACTAAAAACCAAATTAATGTATCAAGAGTTGGATATTTGAAAAAAGGATGACATAGATATAAACCACTAAATATCATAATTAAAATGGAAGAAAACCACAAATAGGAAAGAAAATGAAAATGTCTTAACCTAGACAAGAATAGATTTTAAAAATATAAGAATTCTATTGCATGAGTTGAACATACCATGTTTAAGACCATACCATGTTTAACCTAGACAAGAATAGATTTTGAAAATATAAGAATTCTATTGCATGAGTTGAACCTACCATGTTTAGGTTTAACATACCATGGGCAGGGGGTTAAGATAATGTCAAAATTTTACCCTCATGATGATGGGTTAGTAACTTTATACCTTTAATTTCAGAGAAGTGTCAGGTAGTACAGCAGTCAAACCTTAACTGAGCATGCATTTATCCATATTAATTAGTATGTGAGGCCGAGGCGGGCGGATCACGAGGTCAGGAGATCGGGACCATCCTGGCTAACATGGTGAAACCCCGTCTCTACTAAAAAAAAAAAAATTAGCCGGGCGTGGTGGCAGGCGCCTGTAGTCCCAGCTACTACAGAGGCTGAGGCAGGAGAATGGCGTGAACCCGGGAGGCAGAGCTTGCAGTGAGCCGAGATCGCGCCACTGCGCTCCAGCCTGGGCGACAGAGCGAGACTCCGTCTCAAAAATAAATAAATAAATAAAATAAAATAAAAATAAAATAAAATAAATAATTAGTATGTGAATGAGAATTTTGATGAAATTAATGACTTATAGAAAAATCTCCGGAAGAGTTATATTTACATTAGAAATAAAATTTTTTTTAACCCATGGGAGAAATTGAGAAAACTGGTAGAGAACTACTTCTGAAAACAGTGTCTGGGTATTTATCAAATATCTGGAAGTATATGAGAAGGGTCTCTTTCATATTACTATATGCCTCTGTCTCTTACAGAATAAAACTCATATACCTGCATGTGGTTCAGAATGTGTCACACACAAGCAAGAACAATCATCAAAGTATAGGGGATTTTTTTGTGCATTTTTTTAATGGAAGCAGTCTAAATAGCTATAATAGAAGATTAGTTTAGTAAATTGTAGCCTAAGTAAGTAAAAAATACGTAAGAATATTTCATGCCATGAGGAGAAAATGATCACAATCCATGGTTTATTTTTTTTAAGTTACTAAATAATCTTAAATGTTGTAAATGCATATGTGTTAATTTATGGAAAATAATACTTGAAAGAATATACATGAAGATGTTAAAAATAAATGTGTTTATTTTTCATAGATGGTAGAAATTAAGTGCTTCTTAATTGGGGACAGAATGTGTGTATTTAGCTTTTAAATTTCCTACATAAAAAAAGATGTATTATTTTGTAACAAGAAAAGTATAATAAAAATAATAAAAACAAAACTGGATGATATAAGAGCAATGCTGGAAAATATCAAATGTACATTTTGTAAATCTGCATTTTTTTCAACTGTCGTATAATTATGGACTAAGTTACAAATGAAACCTGTATCTGAACCAAAGGAATATTAAAATAAAGTGATTAATGTCTTCACTATCTGTGCCAGTTGAATCAACCTACATATTCTCAAATTGTTCAGTAGTACATACACAGTATGGCTGCAGGAAAGCAGAGGTATCATCCTTACCCCATGTGGCTTTGCCATCAGAGGTACTTCAATTTCCTTGATTAATTGATTCACTATTCATTATAGACTGACTCCTGGAAAAACATGTGGAAGTGTTAAAAGCAAAATAACTAATGATTAATGGAAGATTTTCTAGGGAGTTTAGAGTTGACAACATTTAAATTCACTTATCTGAAGAATTTAATGTTTTCCAGTTTCTGAGAGCAGAAATGGCCCGAGAGTACCAGCTGGCAAAAAAATTATGTCAGATGAGTAAGTACAAAATACTTTCATATTTTCTAATCTTCTCTTTGTTTTCAAAAATGAATTCCGTAATATATAAAATGGCTTGATTATCATAGGTCTAGTGAATTCCCTGATAGTGTCTCAGTGATTCCTTGATAATAAATTAGGTTGATTGGTATAAGTACTAATTTAGATCTCTAGAGTACATTTTAGTGGAATAAATTAATGTAAACTAGCATCGGCTAATTACCATCACTGGAAAATAAGTCAAAAATTTTACCCTCATGATGATGGGTTAGTAACTTTATACCTTTAGTTTCAAAGAAGTGTCAGGTGACACAGCAGTCAAACCTTAACTGAGCATGCATTTATCCCACAAACATTGAGTGCCTACACATGCCAGCCACTGTTCCAGGCACTGGAAATACAATAGTCAGTCAGACAGATGACAATCCCACATTTGTGTCTAGTGTTAGAAAGACAATAAACAGATAGTGTGTCATGAATGATAGGTGCCATGGTGAGAAATAAAGTAGGGAAGAAGGAATAGAAGGTACTGGAGGAAGGCAAAGCAGTTTTAAATAGGATGGCCCAGGAAGGCCTCACTGAAAGACTTGAGGAATAGCCACATGAATATCTGGAGGCAGAGTGTGCCAGGGAGGATGAATGGCAAATGTGCTATGACAGGAGTGTGCCTGAAAGGAATAGTGAGGAGGACAGTGTAACTGGAGCAGAATGAGCATGGAGAAGTGTGATAGGAAATGAAGTCAGAGGCGTCATAGGCAAGGGGTTGTCAGATTGCATAGGCTCTGTTCTTTCCCTGAGGTGGGAAAACCACTGGAGGCTTTTGAGTAGAGCAATGATATGATCTACCTTATTTTTCTTTTTATCTTTGGTTTTTAATGGTTTGACTTGATGTTCAAAATAGTTGTGGGTTTTTTGTTGCAGTTGTACTGTTCAGGGCATTTGCTGAGTTTCTTAACTCTGTGGGTTGATGTTTCTATCAGCTTTGAAAATTTTTTGGCCATTACCTTTTCAAATACCACTTCTAGTCTATCCTCTCTCTTCTCTTCCTGGGTCTCCAATTACACACAAATTAGACTTTTTTTTCATGATGTCCCATGTGTATCTTATACTCAGCTCTAGTGTGTTTTGTTTTCCTTCCTTTCTTTCTTTCTTTCCTTCCTTCCTTCCTTCTCTTTCCTTTCTTTCTTTTTTTTTTTTTTTTTTTTTGACAGGTTCTTGCTCTGTCACCGAGGCTAGAGTACAGTGGTGCAATCTCCGCTCACTGCAACCTCTGCCTCCTGAGTTCAAGTGATTCTTATGCTTCAGCCTCATAAGCAGCTGGGATTACAGGCTTGTGCCACCATGCCTGGCTAATTTTTGTATTTTTAGTAGAGATGGGGGTTTTACCATGTTGGCCAGGCTGGTCTCGAACTCTTGGCCTCAAGTGATTCTCCTGCCTCAGCCTCCCAAAGTGCTGGGATTACAGGGTGAGCCATAGCACCTGGCTCTCTTTCTTTTATTTCTATGTGTCAGTTTTAATATTTTCTATCTACCTGTTTTTGGTTTCTTTATTCTATCTTCTGCTGTATCCAATATGCTGTTAAAACTATTTAGTGAGTCCAAGGTTGTCTTTTCCAATTTTAGAATTTCCATTTAATGATCTGGAAAGATTCTGGTTCTTTGTTGAACTCTATCATCTTTTCAACTATTTTATGCATCTTTTTCTTCTAACATATTAGTGATAATACGTTAAAAAAGAGAAAATAGCAACTCTACAATTAAACTTGTTGACAACAAGACTCAAAATATTAAGCAGTGTTAAACTTAAATTCATTCTTACAGTAAAGTCCTTAAGTGAAAATGTAGCACAAGGATTGAGTGACGGTCTGCCCTGGCTTGCCTCACAAGAGTCCCAACTGTGGATAGAGTACTTCTAGATCATTGGCTCATTTTACAAATTGGTTTCTTGAATACTTCAACACTTCCTATCTTGTATCTGAGGTAAATAATCCTTTCAAGCACTTTTGACCTTTAGAGCCATTGAATAAAATATTTTAGTCAAACTTATTTTTGGTGACCCACAAATATAGAATTTTTTTTGAGACAGGGTCTTGCTTTGTCACCCAGGCTGGAGTGCAGTGGCACAATGTCAGCCACTGCAGTCTCAATCTCCCAGCTCAGGCAATCCTCCCACCTCAGCCTCCCTAGTAGCTGGGACTACAGGTGTGTACCACCACACCCACTAATTTTTGTATTTTTTGTAGAGATGAGTTTTGCCATATTCTCCAGGCTGGTCTTGAACTGCTAGGCTCAAGTGATCTGTCTGCCATGGCCTCCCAAAGCAATGGGATTACAGATGAGAGTCACTGCATCCAGCCAGAATTTCAAATTAGAAGGAATCCTGATAGAATCATGTTCAATTCTCTATTTTTATAAAAACACTGAAGTATTATTATTACTATTTTTGAGGCACGGTCTCACTCTGTCACCCAGGCTGGAGTGCAGTGGTGTGATCACAGCTCACTTCAGCCTTGAACTCCCATGCTCAAGGGATCCTACCACCTCGGCCTCTCAAGTAGCTGGGACTGTGGACACGTAAAACCATGCCCAGGTAATTTTTGTATTTTTTGTAGAGGCGGGGTTTCACCACATTGCCCAGGTTGGTCTCAAACTCCTGGGCTCAAGGATCCTTCCACCTCAGCCTCCCGAAGTGTTGGGATTACAGGCATCAGCCACTGCACCTGTCCAAAAGTGGTTTTTAAATGGAACTGAAAGTCAAGAGTCCAAAGTACTTTACGTTTCTCCATTCATCTCATGAGTGACTATGAGATTTGGTGCCAATCAATCTTCCTATTTTTTGGTCACTTCACCTGTAAGTCAAAAGCCTGCAGCTCAGTCTCTTTAGGGTACCACACTTCTGCTCCCAGGCAGCCTGAGATTCTCTACATAATACATGGAGGTCCGGAAGATTTATTTAATAAATCATCAGTTGTAAATGTTAAAGAATAATGGCTCAAAAACCAAAATACTTCATGCCATTATATGTCTAATGCAAATACAGATATACTGTATCTTCCAAAAATATAGTTCCTACAAAATCTTCTATTTATTTTTGAATAAAATAACTCACTCTTTCCTATTAGCCTACAGTATACTTTTAAAGAAACTAGTATCTAAAGAAGCAAGCTGGAGAAACCCTCTTCTGGAAAGAAGCTTAGCCTCAGAGATTTAGACTATTAATGATAAGCATATTTTAGTCCAAGGTAAAATGTGCAAAAAATTACTTTGCTCAGAAACCTTATGGGTATGTATAATGATACATAAAATACTTACAGGATCCTTAAAAGCAGCTTCTAAGCAGGCACGCAGTCATGCTAACCCAGATTGATGACAAATTGTTAGTTATGTTAGTAGATTAGGAAATAAAGTCCCTTTTTTGTGTATCAAGATGAAAGCCATGGGTGGGATCCTATGAGCCAATGGGGTCTAATTGAACAATCCACAATGGTTATCTCTCTCTCTCTCTTTGTTTTTTTTTTTGTTTTTTTTTTTTTGAGACAGCGTCTCCCTCAGTCACTTAGGCTGGGATGCAGTGGCACGATTTCAACCCACTGCAACCTCCATCTCCTAGGTTCATGTCATCCTCCTGCCTCGGCCTCCGAAGGAGCTGGGACTACAAGCACGTGTTACCACGCCCAGCTAATTTTTGTATTTTTTTGTAGAGACAGGGTTTCAGCAGGTTGCGAAGGCTGGTCTTGAACTCCTGAGCTCAAATGATCCACCTGCCTCAGCCTCCCAAAGTGCTGGGATTACAAGTGTGAGCCACCATGCCCAGCCTCACAATTGTGTCTTACTTTTAGCCAGATGAAGAGCACACTTGATGTTTCAGTGCCCCCCTTGGAGGCCACCAAGATATTGAGCAGGAGTCACAATATTAAACGGATGATGCAAAATTATGAATACTCCTCAAGGCTGGTAGGAAGAAGTAGAGAGAGATCTGTGGAGCGAGATCTAAAAAAGTGAATAAAATAGTCTAGACAACTCTGAAACTAAGGGTATAAATCTTTCTGGCCTCTAGGATTTTGCTAACATACTAACAAGCCTAAAAAAGTCTATTGTTGTGGTCCAAAAGAAAGGTGACACAGTGACATAAAGGATCAGCAGAAAGGAATAAATAGTACTGAAAACAATGGGTCCAATGAAGGTGGAGAATGTTGTTAAGCAGGCAATGACCAACGTGTAGACTACAGTAAAAGTTGTCAAGATGAAGAGAAAGAAGTAACATCAGTTCCCCTATTGGAAAGATGTAACAAAATGGCATCTCTAGCATGGAAGAGGTTGCATTAAAAACAAACAAACAAAAACTTCCTCTGTGTTCCGATGAGACCTTTAGTAAAGGATGTCATGTAGATGGGTGGATGACATGAGATGAAGGATTAACAGACCTCTAGGCACACAGTCTTCTCATTAGCAAAGTCTCCATATTTTGCAGAATTTGTACCTTCTTTGGGAAATGATTATGTTCATGAAACACTCTGGCTACTGTCCTATGAGGGAAGCTATATTGAGGTGATAGAGATTGCTTTCTATGGATAGGAGGTAGAAAATATAATGAGGGCTGGGTGCAGTGTCTCATGCCTGTAATCCCAGCACTTTGGGAGGCCGAGGTGGGTGGATCACCTGAGGTCAGGAGTTTGAGACTAGCCTGGGCAACATGGTGAAACCCTGTCTCTACCAAAAATACAAAACTTAGCCAGGCGTGGTGGCACACACCTGTAGCTACTCAGGAAACTGAGGCACGAGAATCACTTGAACCCGGGAGGCAGAGGCTGCAGTGAGCCAAGATCATGCCACTGCACTCCAGTCTGGGTAACAGAGCGACACCCTGTCTCAGGGAAAAAAAAAAAAAAAAAAAGAAAGAAAGAAAATATAGTGAGGATCATTTATCTTCCAAAGTGCAAAATAGAAGTGCAGAATTTTCTCTATTTGTACTCAGATATACCTGTGGTATAATTGTTAGTGTTTATTGCATTGTGCCTTTCACCTGCTCTGACTGACAGTTCAATTTCATTCTAAGGAGCCTGTTTGCTGCAACACTGAACGTTAATAACACACATTCTGTTGTCCATTTTCATTTTCAGTCCTAATCTATGAACCAGAAAATCCTGAGGCCAAGGAGTTTTTCACACTTATTGAAGAAATGTTGCTGATGGGTAATTTTAAAAATTGAAATTCCTTGTTTCTCATAGAACTATAAGCAGTCACTTTAAAAACCCATTATCCCGGGAGATTGTCGATACATCTTTAGGAAGTGGTTAAGAAAAGGCTAAATGGCTGTCTTAAATGGTTTAGTGAAACAGCTTGTCCTCTGTGGATGGTCACAATGACCCCCTTCTCTCTGTGGGATAGAACTGCCCGAGCAGAGCAGGCTCCCTGGGCACCAGGCATCAGGTATTGACAAGCAGAATATGCTAACACGGCTGCGTGTTAAAGGAATTACCCACAATTCCAAGGGAAGCCACACCCTCTCAATTACCTTGTCTCAATTCCTTTCAATGGACAATTTTACTATTGTCAATAAAATTCTATGATAGAAAGAATTCTATGAAATCGTTAAATAGAATTTCATTGACAATAGTAAAATTATTTTTATAGACTTATGTTTTAAATTATCAAAAACACCTGTATGCCAGTAAAAATACATTTCTTCTTTGTACTACCATTTGACCCTAGTGCAGTTAGCCAAGTCCAACTCAGTTCTTATGTTACAAATATATGTATTTCTTGGTAGAGGGAGGGGCAAGGAGAATTATTTTTCAGAGTGAAATATTAAGAAACACCTTAAGCAATCCTCTTCCTTTCTGTGGCAGAGAAAACTCAGAATCATGAGCAAGACGGTGAAAACAGTGATGAAGACAGCAGTGGTGAGAGTAAAGGAGAAAGCGATGAGGAGCTGAGTGACGAGAGCTCTGACGAAGGTGAAGATGGATCATGAGTGTTGCTGCAATACTTGAAGCTTCATGTATTTTCATTAATGTATACCATGCAAATATAAAGACAAGTGACATTTTAGTCTAATTCTTCCTTATTTGGTACAGTTTCTTTTAAGTTATCTATATTCTTGGCTTAAGACTCTTCCTAATATTTAGGCCTTAGCTCAATATATGAGTTACTCAGAGAGGAAAATAGTTGAAAACACTTACATAGGACTGTGTGCCAGGTACTGTTCAAACTGCTCTACACACATTGTATAATTCAACAACCCCATTAAGTACTATTATTATGCCATTCTACAGATGAGAAAACTGAGGCACAGACAGGGTGAATAATTTGTCCAGTATCATACACCTATTTGTTTGTAGAGCCTGGATTTGTGCATGGACATTATTGCCCCAGAATTCATATGTTTAGTTCCCTATAAATTACCACCATTTCAGGCACTTTTATATCATTCATCATTTGTTTGTTTGTCTAGATAATGGGATCTTGCCACATCAACCAGGCTGGTCTCAAACTCCTGGCCTCAAGTGATCCCCCCATCTTGGCCTCCCAAAGTTCTGGGATTACAGGCGTGAGCCACTGTGCCCAGCCCATTCATTGTATGTTCTTTACAGCATGTATCAGTGTCTGAAATGCTTGTTTAATTGTTCATTTCATCTTCTCCCTACCTGCCAGAGAATGTAACACCCATGAAGCAGAACTTTATCATTTTCCTCATAATATCCCAGCAACTGGACAAGTACCTGGCAAATAATAGAACACATATACCAAATTAATGAACAAATGAAGTGAAAGTTAGTGGAAATATTTATATTCTTTCATAAAACATTTACAAGACTTATACTTCTTACGTACCCATCTATTTTATTGTGCTGATTCTGTAGTTCTTGCTGGATTTCTGCCACTTTCAAATTAGGTTGTAAGGTAACTGTCTTAGTCTGTTTTTTGTTACTATAAGAAAATACCTGAGGCTCGGTAATTTATAAAGAAAAGAGGTTTATTTAGCTTACGGTTCTGCAGGCTGGGAAGTTGAAGATTGGGCAGTTGAATCTGGTGAGGGACTCATGCTGTTTCCACTCATGGCAGAAAGTAGAAGGGGAACAGGCATGTGCAAAGAGATCACACAGCAAGAGAGGAAGCAAGAGAAACCAAGGAAGCCAGACTCTTTTAAAAACCCACTCTCATGGGAACTAATCCATTCCTATGAGAGCAAGACCTCACTCACCCCCGGCCCCCAAATTAATCTACTCATGAGGGATTCAACTCACCCGCCTGACCCAAACACCTCCCACCTCCCAACTCCACGACATACTGGGGATCAAATTTCAGCATGAATTTTGTTTTGTTTTGTTTTTATGTTGTTGTTGAGACAGGGTCTTGCTCCATCACCCAGGCTGGAGTGTAGTGGTGTGATCATGGCTCACTGCAACTTTGAACTCCTGGGCTCAAGTGATCCTTCTGCCTCAGACTCCTGAGTAGCTAGGAATACAGTCACGTGCCACCACATCTAGCTAATATTTTTTAAAACAATTTTTGTAGAGACAGGATCTTGCTGTGTTGCCCACAGTGGTCTCAAATTTCTGGCCCCAAGTGATTCTTCCACCTCAGCTTCCCCAAATCCTGAGATTATAGGTGTGAGCCACTGCACCCAGCCCAGCATGAGTTTTGAAGGGGGCAAACCACATATAGACCAAAGCAGTAACTGAGGTAAAAGAAAAATATTCCTAAGTAATTTGTTTACAAATGTGCCAATCCGATTTGAGGGGAAGCATTTTGAATTTTTATCTTATGTCAGTACAGTGTCACAACATATCCAAAATGTTTGCGGCATTGCTTATTCTTTAGGCATTGTGGCCTGTTAACATTCAGAGGAAGAAAATCTGCAGCACCAATTCATAGGGATGACCAAAAGAAATGAAGATGGATATGTGTAATCCTCTAGTTACCCTTTCTAAATCTGCAGTAAACTCTCAGGGCTTCATGCATAAATAACCAAATAGCATCAGAGGTTTGACTGACAGATCTCAGGAATTACCTGTTCTTTTCATTTTCTTTTGGGTTTAATATTCATTCCACCATGGGAAAACCACCATATCTCAATCTAATGATGCTTACCTGATTAAGGAGAACCCTCCATAAGAAGTTCATAGTATACCCTAAAGCTGACATTGAAGACTAAATAAGTTACAATGAGATTTTAGTTGTCTTTTAAAGGAACAGGGAAGCTTTGAGGAAGAAACTGTCCGAATAAAAAGCCATGATATCACAGGCTATGTTATAGCTAAATCTAAGAATTTATGAGGCTTGTTCATTCAGGATCATCAGTACCCCCTGTCCATACTCTTCATCCTACTAGCCCTCACTAATGAATGAAATGGTAAGGTGTTGGCATGACCTGACAATAGGCACGTGTGTATAATAGGTATGTAGTAATAATAGCTTAAAAAATCTGCAAATTATTGTTTACATTATTTAACCTACTTGCTTCTCACAGTCATCTGAAGAGCATGCTATTATCCCCATCAATTACACAAACTGAATTTGACATAATTGAGGAATCTAAGGTTAAATATTGGCTGGGATGTTGGAATTCAGATGAGGAAACTGAAACTTAGAGATGCTTGGTTATGTCCCAGTATGAGAGATTTTGTGAACCTTAAACCCAATGTTCTTTGTTACCTCACACAGAGCTAGCATCTAGGAACTATTTAATAAGTCTGCCAATGAGTTATATCTGTGTAGACAGTTCAGTTCCAGACCTGTGCCTTCTTCAATAACTTTACAACACATTGTAATGATGTTAATGAACCCAAATATCCAACAATATGAGAATATGTAAGAATGCCTACTCAATAGACTTCAGAGGGGAACCCACTGAAAAAGTTTCATGTATTCAATAAGGTTTGTTTGTTTGTTTTTGTTTGTTTGTTTTGAGACGGAGTTTCACTCTTGTTGCCCAGGCTGGAGTGCAATGGTGCGATCTTGGCTCACTGCAACCTCCACCTCCCGAGTTCAAATGATTCTCCTGTCTCAGCCTCCCGAGTAGCTGGGACTACAGGTGCCCGCCACCACACCCGGCTAATTTTTGTATTTTTAGTAGAGACAGGGGTTTCGCCATGTTGACCAGGCTGGTCTCGAACTCCTGACTTCAGGTGATTTGCTCGTCTTGGCCTCCCAAAGTGCTGGGATTATAGGCATGAGCCACCACACCCGGCCTCAATAAGTATTTACTGAAGGCCTTCTAGGTATTCTGGAGGGAACAAAACCCAGTCTCTGCTCTTCAACAGCATTGTTGTTAAATACAGGGAGATAAACACTGCCATTGTGTGGGTCCTGGGCACTAAGGGAGAATGTGGGAGGGCAGGAGAGACAGTCTAGGCATCCAGGAAAAGCATTTAGAGAGAAGTGAAGTCTAAGCTAAGAAGGTAGAGGAAGTGGGAATTAGCTGTAAGAAAAGGGTGTCTAGAAGACAGTCTGAGCAGAGTAACACAACTTGCAAAGGCGCAGAGACACAATCTGATATCAGAAAGTTAAGCAGGTAAGGTTGGATTATAAAATGAACCATTTAGAGTGGAGAAAGACGAAGCTACAGTGATAAAAGAACTGGGTGATGGGGGGTCTTAGAAGCCATGTTAGAGTTTGAACTTTATCCTTAGAGTAATGGAGGCATTGAATGCTTTTAAGGAAAATAATTGTATTTTAGAAAGAGCATTCTGGTAGGTAAAAAAGATGTCTTCTTAAACTACACATTACGATCCATTGGTCAGTTATGAAATCATTGCAGTAAATCACAAATACCTGGGGGTTTTACAAAGTTAAATACATAGAATAGAAACTATCAGCATATACTGCAAAAGAGTATGGCAAGCATTGTTTTATGAAACTTTTGTTTCAGGAGTGTGTATTCCCTAGACCTTGAAGTGAAATGTATTTCTTCCTGTGGATCTCGATGAAAAATAAAATTTGAAAGCTTAGAGAACAGACTAGAGTTGAATACAGACTCTAGCAGTTCAAAATTGTAACCTGAAAAGAGACAGTAGCAGGGAGATGTAATGGAATGGAGGGGTTACTCTAGAGGTAGAAAGAATTGGCAGGAATTGGGGATAAAGTAAATGTGGTAAAGAGGTAGAGGTCAAGAATGACTCTTAGTGGGAGGACAAGGTATATGGTGATGCCAGCCCCTAAAGACAGGAACACAGGAAAGCAGCTTTGTTGAAGAAGATGGAGGTTCACTTGCACAAGTTGACTATGGGAAATGTATTAGTTTCCTATTGCTGCTATAAAAAGTTACCACAAACTTCGTGGCTTAAAACAACACAACTTTATGATCTTATAGTTCTGGAGGTTCTAAGTCCAAAATGGGTCTCACTGGGCCAAAAGCAAGGTGTCAGCAAGGCTGCATTCCTTCTGGAGGCTCTAGGAGATAATCCATTTCCTTGCCTTTTCCAGCTTCCAGACCCCACGCATATTCCTTGGCCCCATCTTTCCACCTTCAAAGCCAGGAATGTCTGGCCAAGCCCTTGTCATGCTGCCATCTCTCTATTCTCTCTCCTGACTTTTTCTTCTGCTTTTAAAGATGCTTGTGATTACCTTGGGTCCATCTGGATAATCCAAGATAGTCTCCCTATCTTAAAGTCAGCTAATCAGCAAGGTTAACTCCGTCAGCAATCTCAATGCCCCATTGCTATGTAATCTAACATATTTGCAGTTTCTGGGTATTAAGATGTAGACATCTTGGGAGAAGAGGGGTGCATTATTCTGCCTAACTCAGGAAGTATTGGGTAAGTGTTAACTAGTTTTCATGGTATGAAGCTTAAAAAAGACACTTGGGCGGGAAATATACCTTTATTAGTAGTCATCACTTAGAGATAGTAGTCAAATAAACAGAATGAAGGACCCATGGAGAGAGTGTAGTCCAAATAGGAGAGGACCAGGGATAGAATTATAATGATCACCAACATTTAAGTGGTAGTCCATGAAAGAGAAGTGCACATAATAGACTGAGAAGGAACAACCAAGAGGAAAATTGGGAAAGCAAATATAGTGGGCACTGTTGGTTTCCTACTCAGCAACTATCCTTTTCCCTTTCTTTGCAAAGAGCAAAGACAGTCCCGACTCTGTTCAGATATTCGCTCCCCACATCCATAGCCACGAGACTCAGCCAACCAGTCCCTGGCATTTCTCTGGTGACTGTTATTGTTCCAGAGATGGACATGTGACCTACTTCTTCTAAAAAGATCGAGGACTTTATTTCATGATTGGGAGGAGATGTTCCTCCATTCTTCTGGTTAAGAACCAGGAAGCATGCTGCCCTAGTTTCTGCTGGCAGTCATCTCATGATCACGAGAGAAGCTAATCTTAGGAAGAAGCTGATGCTGTGGATGGAAGAACAAAAAGAACCTAGGTCCCTGCTAATGCTCAGCCGCTGAGTCGACGGGCCTGGGAGCCACCACTCTGAGTTTATGTTATGAGATAAACTTTCTTATTGTTCAAGCCAGTTGGATCAAGGTTTCTTTTACCTGCTGCCAAAAGCCTCCTAACTGATATTGAGCAGCACCACAGAAACCCAGAAAAAGAGTTTCAAGGAGCCTGTAAAAACCTGCTTTGCAAAAAGTTGCAGAGAAGACAAGTAAGATAAGAACTAAAAGGGTAATGGGATAGCAACAAAGAGGTGGTTGGTGATATTAGGAAAAGCTGTGTCAGTTGAGTGTGAATTGGGGGTGCCGTATTTCAGTGAATTTGAGTGCATTGGAGGTGAGGAAAAGGAAAACGAGGAAAGAAAACAGATGAAGTATCATTGGAAGACATAAGGTAAGTGCAGTATTATTTGTAAAACATTTAAGATGAGCATGTTTACCGGCCTGGCCAACATGGCAAAAAACATCTCTATAAAACATATAAAAATTAGCTGAGAGTGGTGACACACGCCTGTAGTCTTAGCTACCTGGGAAGCTGAGGCAGGAGGACCGCCTGAGCCTGGGAGTTTGAGGCCGCCAGTGAGCCAGGATCTGATTGCGCCACTGCACTCCAGCCTGGGAGACTGTCACAAAAAAAAAAAAAAAAAATAGATGAGCCTGAGCCTGTTTAATAGGATGGATGATAATAACAGCTACTGATAGCCTGTTATGTGTTAGGCACTATACTAAGCATTCATATGTTAATGTTTTTAATCCTCATAACACCTGTATGGGATAGACATTATTATTCCCAATTTACATACGAAGAAAGCGAGGTGTAGAGATGCTGAAAGTAACTTTCTAAAGATCACATACTTGGGAACTGGCAGATTCAAGTCCAGGTCATTTTATTCTAATACCCTGCCCTTCACGCTATGGCTTCCTCCCTAAGAGGCCAGTAGAGAGGAACAGATTGGAAAAAGGGATAACTTACAAGGCATTTATCTAATATTTTAGAAGATCCATGTAAGAGAACCCTAATACATGGCAGTGTTTAGGTGAACCACTGCCCCGGCAGTCCAAGTGTGGAATCAGAGCTGTCTCCTCTTCTCCAGTATTGGTCCTTTCATAGCCTTCAATTACCCTATATTATATACTAAAAAAGGTGATAACCTGCCTTTATTTATTTATTGAGACAGGGTCTCACTCTGTTGCCTAGGCTGGTGTGCAGTGGCATAAACATGGCTCACTGCAGCCTCAAACTCCTGGGCTCAAGTGATCTTCCCACCTCAGCCTCCCAAGCAGCTGGGACTACAGGCGCATACCACCATCCCTGGCTAATTTTTTAATATTTTGTAGAGACTGGGTCTTGCTATGGTCCCAGGCTGGTCTATAATTCCTGGCCTCGAGGGATTCCTCCCACCTCAGCCTCCCAAAGTGTTAGGATTATAGGTGTGAGTCACCATGCCCAGCCTGCATTTACTTTAATTACAATGTTTATTTCCCTTTAGCTTGATCCTGGTGGACATGTAAGATAGATGTAATTTTGGTATTTGCCTGAAATATTGATGTTGGTCAAGGGGGAGCACGTGAACAGAGCTCATGGTACCAGATGTGAAGTCAAGCCTAGGGCCATTGGAAACGCTGTGGGGTTTGGGGCAAAAGTCCTATGCCATGAGGTCTTGAGAGTTCATAAGAGGCAGGTAAGATAAGGCCTCCAAGGCCAGACTAAGGAGTACAACGGTCTTTCTGACTGTCTCTCCTAATAAGCCCCCCAGTCCTCATAAGATATGAGTTATAATGGAGCAGGGGGAGCGTACAGAGCTTGGAGGAGCCTGGGAAGTAAAGCACTGGGAGAAGAGATTGGCTTGCATAGCCTGTTCAAAATGTACCCTTCTGAACAAAGAGACAACTTATGACACATATCGTGGTTGGTTCCCCCTATGTCCATTCCACCCCAGATGATAAATCTAATCATGGTAATCCTATCCCCTTTGCTACTAGTTATTGCTAGGCATGGGCAGAACTACACCAATTTCAGCTGATAAAACATCAGCAGGAGTTGGATATTAACAAGAAGGAATGGAGCCCTCATGGCTGCTGGCAGCCATCTTAGAACCAGGAGTAGGCCTTATGCTGAAGCCAAAGCTAAGGACAGCAGAGCAGAGCGAAAAAGGAACCCGGTCCTTGAAGACATTTTCTTACTATGTAAGACAGTACATTTTCTTGCTATTTAAACCATTTTGCTTCAGATTTTCTATCACTAGTAGCTGAGAGTATATCCAATGTATCTGCCACAGCGCAATAAGCATGATAATGCCAATAACATCTCCTAAGAGTGTGTAAGTCAAACTGGATGCTTAGGTTACCCTCAGTTCCCCAAGGGTTCATGGCCACTCAAAGCCAAGGAAGAGGAATTGGTGGGTCCTTCTGTCAGTCAGGAAAAGCAGAAACATGAAACTTGTTACGATGGTTATCTCTGGGTTGTGCAATTGAGGGGAGGTAAGTAAGAAAAGTTGTACTTTTCATTTTACACCTTTTATTTATTCCCTTAAAATTTTAAAATCATGGGCATGTATCACTTTTATAACTAAAAGCTTTTTTATTGTAAACCATACACAGCATGCAATTTATCATTTTAAGCATTTTCAAGTGTATACTTCAGTGGTATTACGCACATTTACATTGCTGTGTAACCATCACCAGCACCCATCTCAGAAACTGCTTCATCTTCCCAACTGAAACTCTGTCCTCATTAAACAATAACTCCTCATTTCCCACTCCCACTAGCCACCATTCTACTTTTTGCTTTGATGAATTTGACTACTCTAGGTACTGCGTATAAAAGGAATCATATATGTCATTTTGTGACTGGCTTATTTCACTTAGCATAAAGTCTTCAAGGTTCATGCATGTCATAGCATATGTCAATACTTTATTCCTTTTACTGCTAAATAATATTCCACTGTATGCATATGCCACCTTTTGTTCATCTATTCATCCACTGATGGACATTTGGGTGGCTTTCACCTTTTGGTTATGGTGCATAATGCTGCTATGAACACAGGTGTACAAATATCTGTTGGAGGCTAAAACCTTTTAAATTAAGCCTATACATGGGGTAGGGGAAAATATGGGATTGGGGGGGGTTACTGAAAATGCTAACCATCGTAGTGTTTGTGTAATGAGGTTATTTCCTTTTTCATCATTCTAAAGTCATAAGCTTTCTTTAGCAATCATATATAACGTTAAAAGAAAAAAGATGTACATTTTTTCAAAAGAAAAAAACTTCAAAAGAGAATTAAGGTAAAATTGACCTTAGAATCAGAAAAGTGAACATGAGGAAGGAAATCAACATTCATGGAGTGCCAACTATGTGAGGTGTTTTAGCAGGCCTTAGTATCCTTTCTGGTGTGATGGAAGCTTTTAATGAGGATAAATACTAATAAATAAGCCAATAAATAGTTCATTAAGTACAGGAAAAAAAAAAGTCACCTGAGATAGAAATTTGCTGATTTTCATAAAATATTAACCAGTTAGTACATTTACAAATTGCTTACCCTGATGCCTAATTGGATATTTAAGCAGGGTTAATTGCAATCCATCACAAATAGCCCCCAAAGTCCCTGTTTTCTTAGGATTTATTATGTAGTTCCTGTTGCTGCACAACAACATATATTTTAATACTGAATTTTCATAAACTCCTCTCCCCGCTTTTTAATACTTCAGCTATTTTGTAACAAGGCTTTTGGTGTCCCATGCTCTCAGGTCCCTAATGTATCTTCATCTCTAATAAAGTTCTAAAATGTTCTTCTGTAAAAGGACTTGCTTGAAAGTGACTATTCTTTAAGATGATAGATTTCACAGTTCCATGCCTACCACTGGATAATATGTTAAGAGGAAAATCTCTTTCCCATCAAAACATGCATCAAATTCAGTTTCTTCCAATTGGCATCAGAAGAACCCAAATAAAGTTGGGAGCAGAGTGTTGTTTTTTTTTTTTTTTTTTTTTTTGAGATGGAGTCTTGCTGTGTTGCCCAGGGTGAAGTGCAATGGAGTCATCTCAGCTCACTGCAACCTCCGCCTCCCAGGTTCAAGCGAGTCTCCTGCCTCAGCCTCCCAAGTAGCTGGGATTACAAGTGCGTGCCACCATGCCTGGCTAATTTTTGCATTTTTAGTAGAGGTGGGGTTTCACCATTCGGTCAGACTGGTCTCAAACACCTGACCTCAGATGATCCGCTCATCTCATCCTCCCAAAGTGCTGGGATTACAGGTGTGAGCCACGGCACCCAGTGGGGGGACAGAGTATTTAAATCAGCAGACAACATCCTCATCGAAAGCCACCTTCTCTTAGCTCACAACTGCCAATGAAAGAAAATAAGAGAAAAAATATTAAAAATCATATGTCACTAAACAAAATTAAGGGAATACTTCAAGAAACTTATCTCAAATGAAAACTTGCTAAATTGATCTTTTTTTGAAAACCTGTTAAAGCAGACTGGGCACAGTAGCTCACACCTGTAATCCCAGCACCTTGGGAAGCCAAGGTGGGAGGATCACTTGAGCCCAGGAGTTGAAGACCAGCCTGGGCAACATAATGAGACCCTGTCTCCATGAAATATAAAAAAACAAAACCAAAAAATTAGCCAGGTGTAACGATGGGAGACTATAGTCCCAGCTACTCAGGGGTGGGGCTGAGGTGGGAGGATCATGTGAGCCGGGAATGTCGAGGCTGCAGTAAGGCCTGATTGCCTCACTGCACTCTAGCCTGAGTGATAGAGTGAGACCCTTGGCCTCCCAAAGTGCTGGGATTCTAGGCATGAGCCACACTGCCCAGCCTGCAATTTTAAATATAACGATAAAAGAAAACCTCACTGGGAAAAGAACACTTGAATATTTGAGTAAAGACAGAATGAGAAGGAACAAACCCTACAAATGCCTGGAGGAAGAGCTTTCCAAGCACAGGGTTAGTAATTACAAAGTCCCTGGCCCATTCTACTTCATGTTTATGAAACAGCAAGGAGGCCATTGTCCCTAGGGTGGAGTGAGGATGGGGCAGAGCAGTATAAGAAGAACTCAAACAGGTAACAAGGTCAGACCGTGTAGGGCTTTGTCAGTATTATAAAGACTTTGTCTTTTCCTCTGAGATGCGGAATCATTAGAGGGTTTTGAGTAGAGGAAAGCCATGATATGAGTATGACCTAGTATTTTACATTGTGTGTGTTAGGGAAGGAAACAAGGGATAGTAAGAGCAGAAATAGAGAGTGAAGTTGTTAAAGTTTGAAAGTAGCTCCACCAGAATTTACTGACAGATTGTAAGGAAGAAGTCAGTGATAACTCCAAGGTTTTGGACCAGACCAACTGGAAGGTGGAATTGCCTCTAGTTATTTACAGAGATGGAGAAAACTGTAATAGCAGCAGGTTTGGAAAAAAGTATCAGGAGTTCAATTTGGGACACCTTAAGTTTCAGATGCCTATTAGAAATCCAAGTGGATGGCCAGGTGTGGTGGCTCATGCTTGTAATCCCAGCACTTTGGGCAGCCAAGGCAGGTGGATCACCTGAGGTCAGGGGTTCGAGACCAGACTGGCCAACATAGCAAAACCCTGTCTCTACTAAAAACACAAAAATTAGCCGGGCGTGGTAGCACATGCCTGTAATCCCAGCTACGAGAGAGGCTGAGGAAGGAGAATTGCTTGAACCCAGGGGGCAGAGGTTGCAGTGAGCCGAGATCACGCCACTGCACTCCAACTGGGCGACAGAGCGAGACTCCACCTCAAAAGAAAAAAAAGAAAAAAGAAAAAAAAAAATCCAAGTGGAAAATTCAACTGGACATATCAACCTGGAATGCTGAACAGAGGTTCAGGGTAAAGATATAAATTTGGGAGTCAATAACATCTAAATTTTTTTATTTTAATTGAAATAAAAATTAAGATATTTAAAACTGCCAGATTGGATGAGATTACAGAGGGAGAGAATGAAGGTAGGAAAATTGAAACGATCAAAAGATTGAATCCCAGCAGAAATCCATAATTATGTATAAATGTCACCTCATCACAAAACTGGCTCCCTCTCTCCCTTTCCTAAGAGAGTCTGAATACTCCATCAGAAAACTTTCTCTACAAATCAAACTATCTTTGTGGACTAATAAAAACCTCTAAGGCACTAAAGAGGAGGGCTTTGAGTCCTATGTCCGGGAATGATCAGTAGCTCTACTAAAAGAAATTGGCAAAATAATACAAATATTATGCTTAGCTTATACATCCAAGGAGAACAAATTTAATTTGTTCAAAATCACTGTTGAACTAAGGGGAAGGAGCAGAAGCAGCTATTAAACATGTATTGAACACCATTAACTAGGCACACTTGAGCTTGCTAAAATGGGTTCTCTTTTTTTTGAGACTGAGTCTTGCTCTGTTGCCCAGGCTGGAGTGCAGTGGGCAATCTCAGCTCACTGCAACCTCTGCCTCCCAGGTTCAAGCAATTCTGCCTCAGCCTCCTGAGTAGCTGGGATCACAGGCGTGCGCAACAATGCCTGGCTAATTTTTTTATTTTTAGTAGAGACGGGGGTTTCACCACGTTGGCCAGGCTGATCTCGAACTCCTGACCTCAGGTGATTTGCCTGCCTCAGCCTCCCAAAGTGCTGGGAATTACAGGCGTGAGCCACCACGCCCGGCCTAAAATGGGTTCTATGAGCATCAAATAAGATAGCCCACAAGGCTGATATTAACCCCCATTTTACTTAGAAGTAAACTTGGAGCAGTCAAACAATAGCCGATAAGTAGAATCTAGATGTAAACTCAAGTCAGACTGACTTCAACATTTTTGCTTTTCTCCCAGTAAAAGCTGCCTTGAGGGCCTCAAGAGGTTCTTGAGTCCATGGTATTTACAACATGAGAAGAGTTGCCAGTGAGAAGAATCACAAAATACCTGTAATAATAAATTGTTTCAGATGAATGAAACCTCATCTGGTCTTATCTTGTACCCAAACCCTCCCATTATGGGGGTCTGGAGAGATTCTGTGATTTTTCCAAGGTCAAATGATTATTATGTGACAGAGCCAGAAGGCTTCACTGAACAAGCATAAGGCGCTGGGACTGAGAGAAGAAGAAAGCATTTCCAGCCCCCTGCGCACTAAGCATGTGGTCTGGGAAGTCCTGTAGCCTCTCTGGACTTAAGTTTCCTCATCAAGAAAACAGAAGACCTCAGGTGATAATTAACTGAGAATTCATACAATAAACACACCACACAATTTCCCTGAGACTTATTTCCTTCCTCTATGAGGATAATTATTAGTCGTGTTGCTAAAGAGAGAGAGACCGCAAGAGAGACCGAGATATATAGAGAGAGTTCTCTAATGTCCCCCACAGACCCCAGCACCACCACTGTTGGCCAGACTGGGCCCACAGTAAGCAATTCTGGGCAGCCTATGTCAGACTTTACCCTGAGTTCCACCTTGCGCCTGCGTTGGCTTTTTTTTTTTTTTTTTTTTTTTTTGAGGCAAGAGTCTCACTCTGTTGCTCAGGCTGGAGTGCAGTGGCACGATCTTGGCTCCCTGCAACCTCTGCCTCCCGACTTCACATGATTCTCGTGCCTCAGACTCCCAAGTAGCTGGGATTCCAGGTCGTGCAGCACCATAACTGGCTAATTTTTGTATGTTTAATAGAGATTGGGTTTCTCCATGTTGCCCAGGCTAGTCTCGAACTCCTGGCCTCAAGAGATCTGCCTGCCTCGGCCTCCTAAAGTGCAGGGATTACAGGCGTGAACCACCGCACACAGTCCCCGTTGCCCTTCTTGGTATAGGAGAGTGTATTCGTCAGCTATTGTCACAATATTTGATATAGTTTGGATGTTTGTCCTCTCTAATCTCGTGCTGAAATGTGACCCCCAATGTTGAAGGTGGGGCCTAATGGGAACGGCAATCAATCATGCACCCCTTCTGTTAAAGTTCCAGTTTCCTCCCCTGAGTAACTGGTCAGGATTAGGGGAAGAAACCTGGCCTGGAATAGAAGTTTAAGTTATTAGATTCGCCACAACTAAGTCAGAACTTTCCAGAACCTTTTCACAAACAACAGTCCCAGATACCTATGTTTGAAAATGGGGACTAAATATCTGTTATTTTAAGTAGTCCAAGAGCTTTTACACTAAAAGAAATGAATAAAATATTACTCTCCTCAGTCTCCCATGAATTCTGTATTTCACTAAAGCATCTCAGGTGGGAAATCCTCCTTTTTGCATCCCACCCTTTTGGGGAAGGACTGATTTCGCCTTGGTTTTTGTTGAGATCAGAAGACACAGATATACCTTTAAAGCTCCCCATCAGAATTACAATCCAGAACTGTATTTCCTTGGTTTCCAGTTTTGCAGTGAATCAGTTTCTTGCCTAATATTCACAGGTTCACTACATTTGAGACACAGCTAGGTGGGAAAAAAACAGATGCCATGCACCCCCTAGTCTTTCACCAAAGAGACGCACTACCCTAGGTGTTTCAGGTCACTTCCAGAGCACTTCTGACCATTTGAAAAGGCCCTGCTTTGTGAAATTTGGCAGGGATGAGTATGAGCCTGCATTCTTCCTTGAAGAACTGCTCCCTTGGGAGGCCTGTTGTTTCTTCTCAGAAATTGTAATCTATTGCCACCTGGTGGTCATTCTGTCTTCGAGTTTAGAATAGCAAGAATTGGACGTTTCAAGATTTGCACAAGGAGATTTGCCCAAACACAAATCACCCTGTCCTCCTTGATTCATTTATTTGTATTAGAATATTTTCATCTTCTGACTATCAAGGGGGAAGGACCATTTGCCAGTTATCCGAAGAATCCAGCTCTCTTCTTTAGAAAAAGTGGCTGTAATTCCTAGAGTCCTCTCCAGCCTTCCAGCATTCTGCTGTCACCCCTCCCACCCCCTCTCACCCTTTTAACATTTTCCTGCCTCCCAGCTGTGAGTGTTGTGTGGTCTGTTGGGATGGGGGTGTGGATTTAGCTATGATCCTTCAAAAAAGTCCAGAATAATTCAGGGAACTATCTTTAAAGTACAAAAACAGCAAATGGACCTTAGCTCCGACTTAAGCAGAATGAAAGGTTAAGTAACGCTTCCCCCAGTTCTCGTCTCGGGAGACAGACGTTTAACCGGTGAGCACTGCCATTTTTTTTTTCCTTTCTGGTCATAAATTAGACACTTAAAATAGATTTTAAGGAGCCAGCTGAAACGAACCAATACCATGGCTCTAAATTACGTTTCCTGGAGGCTAAAAATTCTAATTGCGTCAAAAAAAATTGACGTGTCCTGTCTACTCACCTTGACTGACCACGTTTTAGGCGTGAAGATCTCCCCGCAGCCCGTTTGGGCGCTCCTTCAACGCCTCACGCTCCTCCTACTCACCCGTTTTTCCCTTTGCAGAAAAGGCTTGGCCCCAAATCCGGTTGGAATATCTTTAAACAATCCCCCACCCACCCACGACGGGGAAAGGAATAAAGGGCATTGTGGGCGGAGGGTCGTGTTCCCAAGTCCCAGCGGTGGTTGACCTAAGGAAACGTTATCCTCGGCAGACAGGGTGGAGTAGCCGGGGCTGCAAGCTCGCAAATCCCTAATGCCGGAGAGAGACTGGAGGGGTCGCATATCGCCCCCTCCTTCTTCTGCCTTTGAGCGCCGCGTTCCCATTTCTTCAAAGCGCTTCAAATACAATCGAAACAGCTGGGCGGACACCACTCCCTTCCGGGCCACCCCTCATCACCGGTTCGAGTCCCCGGAGAGGATATCTTTTTTCCACCCCCATTATCCCAAGAATCCTCCCCCAGGAATGATAAAAGATTAAAGGAAGAGTGAAAGACATAAACAAAAATATAGGTTTCAAATGTTGTTTAGAGCCGAATGACAACCACGGCCACTCTTAGTTCAAATTCCTACCGGAGAGAAGAGCAGTGGGCGAAATACCTCACCCCCCAACTAGGCAAAACAAACAGCAGTTACTGTCAGGAGGGAGGAGGGCTGGGGCGAGTCTGGTGGGTTGGCCCATAGCTATTGGCGGAAGCAAACGAAACAGAGGCATGGGGACCAGAAGGACGGGCGCTGTCCTTCGTGCTGAAAGATCTATGCCCTACCTCAAAACTCAGTAATCTGGATGGAGTGGAATTCCAGGCCTTCAATTCATTACCATTCCTGCTGTGCCCAAGAGTTCGAGTTGGAGGAGATCATTGAAAATTAAATCAAATTTATGAAGTTTCTAAGTGCGCTCCTCTCCCTGCCTCACCGGAATGTCCACTCCCGGCGTGCAGGATAATATAAACCGCAGGGACAATGCAAGCTCCAAAAAATAAGTGCTTGGCACATAGTAGGGGATTAATAAATATTCGTTTAATCAATTACTGCTAATATTCAATTAAACATTCTAAACAAGGACGGACAAAAGTCTTCATTCCTCCCCTACTCACCATAAAGGAGAAAGAGAGGGATGTCCTCGAAGCTGGACGGACTCAGCTTCAGCTTGCGTTACCTAGCCTTGCAGGAGATTCCTTCTCCAACGAGATTATTTCATTGGCTAAAACGTTAGGGGTGTTTTGAACTCTGGGGTCAAAGGAGGAAGTGGTTGGAAATGTCTCAATCTCGTGCCACAGGTGAAGTAAACGAATCTTCCTTTCCAGGGAATCACGGGTTTTGGGAAAAGGTTGAGGCGAGCGGGCGTCTATGCTGGACAATGAAGAACGAGGGGCACCGGGAGATGTGTTGCCTCCTCCTTCCTGTCTCCTGCCCCGTGCGTCTTGAATGATTTAGCACTGGCACCTGGCTCCCTGATTGGTGCGAGCGTCTCGTTTAGGGAAGGCTCTAGGAGGGCCGGTGGATGGAATTCCGAGCTTCACCTGGTTGTATGCCGCCCACTTCAAGCAGCGCAGAGCAGCTGCCGGTTGAGTGGTTTGGGGGGACGTTTCCTACGTGGAGCAGACACCCCCAGCCTGTCCAGCCCCAAGCCTCAGTGCCCGGGGCTGCAGTCACCGCGCGCCCCGCCGTTTAGGATGTTTTTTGTGTCCTTAAAAAGTGCCGGGGATTTCATCGTCAGGTGGAGACAAGGCGACAAAACAGTAGTTTCTTTAGTACCAAAGGCAACGCGATTATTTCAAACCCCACAGCGAGATCCCTCTTGCTGATCAGGCCATGTCTGCCCAGGGCGGACCCTTCGATCTCCCTTATGGAACTCTCGGTAATTTATAATATTTTTGTGTGTGTTTCCATTGTGTTGTGGTGAAAGGCGATAAGGCATTCAAAGAAAACGGACGGGCCTCCGCTGAACCAGTGAGGCCCCAGACGTGCGCATAAATAACCCCTGCGTGCTGCACCACCTGGGGAGAGGGGGAGGACCACGGTAAATACCAGTAAAGGAATCACTGCCTACACGGTGTCACCCAGACACGCACAGACATCAACATTTTTGCCCTAAAGAAAAAAACTGGGGGAGAAGAAAGGGGAGAACTTAAACTAGTGACAGGGCGGTGAGGGAAGGCATGAAGAGGCAAGCCGGCGCGTAACCGTCTGGCCAGCAGCTCCAGGTGTGGGCTCCGCTCGGGCGCTGGCGGAGAGACCCGGGAGCGCAGGGCCTCTCCGTCTCTGGGCTCTTGGCGCCCTCTGGTGGGAATTTCTCTTTCAACGCATTTTTACGGCGAGGGGCTTCTCCCAACGCAGCGGTTCTTTTAACTACGCCTAAATATTGCAAAGGGAGAATCCTTAAAGCGCGTGAAATCGAAGGGGGAGCGGGCCAGGGCAAGGGGGGCTGGTCCGCCCCTTCCGGGCACCTCTGTGCTCGGGTGCCCCATGCGCGTGCAGCGGCGCTCGTGCGTGTCATCAACCTTCAAACGTGATTAATCAGGAGGCCTTCTTTTCCCATCACCAAGGGGGCCAAAGCGAGGAGCGAGCGCATAGCAAAAGGGACGCGGGGTCCTTTTCTCTGCCGGTGGCACTGGGTAGCTGTGGCCAGGTGTGGTACTTTGATGGGGCCCAGGGCTGGATGAGGAAACTGTAATTCCTCCATGGTCTAAGAGGTCTCCCCTCATTTCTGCCTCCTTTGCGGTTACAACAATCCCAGCTCCGTAGAGAGCCAACGAGGACACGACCCAAAGCGCGCTTTCGCTCAAGGAAGCGTCGCAGGGTCACAGATCTGGGGGAACCCCGGGGAAAAGCACTGAGGCAAAACCGCCGCTCGTCTCCTACAATATATGGGAGGGGGAGGGGAAATGGGAGAGGGGAAAGGAGGGGAGGGAAGAAGAAACGCTCAGAAAGGCAGAATTCTTCGTAGGAATTATCTTTTCCCTCCTCTCACCCGACAGCCTGCCTATTTCCAAAGGAAAAAAAAAAAGCGTGTTGAGTACGTTCTGGATTACTCATAAGACCTTTTTTTTTTCCTTCCGGGCGCAAAACCGTGAGCTGGATTTATAATCGCCCTATAAAGCTCCAGAGGCGGTCAGGCACCTGCAGAGGAGCCCCGCCGCTCCGCCGACTAGCTGCCCCCGCGAGCAACGGCCTCGTGATTTCCCCGCCGATCCGGTCCCCGCCTCCCCACTCTGCCCCCGCCTACCCCGGAGCCGTGCAGCCGCCTCTCCGAATCTCTCTCTTCTCCTGGCGCTCGCGTGCGAGAGGGAACTAGCGAGAACGAGGAAGCAGCTGGAGGTGACGCCGGGCAGATTACGCCTGTCAGGGCCGAGCCGAGCGGATCGCTGGGCGCTGTGCAGAGGAAAGGCGGGAGTGCCCGGCTCGCTGTCGCAGAGCCGAGGTGGGTAAGCTAGCGACCACCTGGACTTCCCAGCGCCCAACCGTGGCTTTTCAGCCAGGTCCTCTCCTCCCGCGGCTTCTCAACCAACCCCATCCCAGCGCCGGCCACCCAACCTCCCGAAATGAGTGCTTCCTGCCCGCCCTAGTCCCTGCTCTCCACGGGTGCGCTGCGCAGGGACCCCCCCCCCCCCGCCTCCCTCGTCACTCTTCTTATCCCTGCCCTCCGGATTCACGCCCCGGGGAAGCACGGAGGCTGAGGCTCTAGTTGAAGTGGGGCAAGAGCGATTTTCCCTTGAGCTTCCATGCTGCGAGCGCCTGTCCCTCCAAAGGGCGCCTGGGCAGCAGCAGCCGAAGGCGCTACTAGGAACGGTAACCTGTTACTTTTCCAGGGGCCGTAGTCGACCCGCTGCCCGAGTTGCTGTGCGACTGCGCGCGCGGGGCTAGGAGTGAGGTCGGAGGGAGGGTGTGGAGGCGATGGCCGGTGGGCCCTTCTCTGTGGGGTCCTCGATCTACCCAGATTAGCCCGCAATCTCTCTGTCCCGGGGCCTTCGGGCGCCATCGCGCCAGCGCCGAGAGTCGAGCAGGGGCGCCGCGCAAGATCTTTGTCCGCCGCCTCCTGCGCGCTGCGCGCAAGTTCGTTTCCCCGGTGACGTTCCCCATGCTTACTTACCCCACCCTCTCTGGATCTGTACCGCGAGAAATCTGGGGTCCTCAGGGGGCTAGGTAGAGGAGAAACGCTGAAACCGGACCGAAACCTCGCCCTAGGCTTAGCGATGGCTAAAAACCGGCTGGGATAAGAGGGAGGCAAGCAACATTCCGACTCGCTGCTTTCTGGCTGTCTGGAGTGCAAGGTGACTGTGGTTCTTCTCTGGCCAAGTCCGAGGGAGAACGTAAAGATATGGGCCTTTTTCCCCCTCTCACCTTGTCTCACCAAAGTCCCTAGTCCCCGGAGCAGTTAGCCTCTTTCTTTCCAGGGAATTAGCCAGACACAACAACGGGAACCAGACACCGAACCAGACATGCCCGCCCCGTGCGCCCTCCCCCCGCTGGCCCACACGCCGGCTGCTGAGTGCCCAATGGGGCTTGTAGCGGCTCGGCTGGAAAATCGCTCACTGAGCGCTCCCCTGTGCTCCTAGCCTAGTCCCCCACACCCTTGCGTCTTGTACTGGCCTTGGACCCCCACCCCGACCCCGACCCCGCCTCGTCTCGGCGCTTCACTCCAGGTCGCGCCGATGCACCGCCAGACTCGAGAGCGGCCCAGGGCTACGCTCCCTGCGCCCCAGTACCGGAGCTAGCGCGCACGTCTCCTCCGCTGCCCCCACCCCTGCGCACCCCTACCAGGCAGGCTCGCTGCCTTTCCTCCCTCTTGTCTCTCCAGAGCCGGATCTTCAAGGGGAGCCTCCGTGCCCCCGGCTGCTCAGTCCCTCCGGTGTGCAGGACCCCGGAAGTCCTCCCCGCACAGCTCTCGCTTCTCTTTGCAGCCTGTTTCTGCGCCGGACCAGTCGAGGACTCTGGACAGTAGAGGCCCCGGGACGACCGAGCTGATGGCGTCTTCGACCCCATCTTCGTCCGCAACCTCCTCGAACGCGGGAGCGGACCCCAATACCACTAACCTGCGCCCCACAAGTAGGTCCCGCCCCAATTTTCTATCAAATGAACTGCAGGGAAGATGGGGGCGCTGGGACGTCGGGAGGCTGAGCTGGCGGAAAGGGAAGGGGGAGCGCGGAGATAATGGAGGCTGGGAAATAAATGGGGCTCTGACCCCGTCCCTGCCAGAGGTCATTCGGCTGTCAGGGACGCTAGGTGACTCCCAGGGCACCGGAAAGCGAGGACCACGCAAGGTCCGAGCAGCGGCGATCGTTGAGGGCTTCGCGGAGGAGGAGGGGCGCGCAGCCAGGGTGTTGTTTTTATTCTGTTGTGTGTGGTTTCTTTGCTCCGTGGGACGACAGGGGTCAGCGCAGGGGGCGGAATGAAGAGCTAGGAGCCCCAGCAGGAATAAGAGTTTTCAGTCCCCGGCTTTCGTTGAGCCAAGATCTGACCTCCTCCTTTCCCCCTGGGCTGTGTTCAAAGTCTATAATCAGCGGAAATTTCGACGTTAATTGCAGCTTTTAGAAAACTCAAGGTCCCTAATTGCTCCAAATTTGCATCAAGCTATTGACGAGTTAGGGAGAAGTCAGGGGCGGGAAAGGTGCATAAAACTGAGACTGAGCCTTGACATTTCATACAATTAATTACATCTCAGAGAAATAAATAAATAAATAAATAAATAGGGGAGCGGGCGGCATCCTGAGTGGCAAGAGATGGGGAACTGGGAGGGGGCAAGAAGCTTTATCATAGAGAGGAGAGAGCACCTCTCTCCTTATCCCAGGCAAGAGATCTGTCAGGAGGTGACATGTCCCGAAAAGAGAGAAAGAAAAGAGACACCAGATAAAAGAGGGGGGAGGATTTATGCTTCCCTGTCTTAAGTGCGACAGGCTCCTCAACCCATTTCCAGAATCTATCTTTAATTTTATTTCCTACCTCTGTAAAGGCTTGAGATGAGAAAATTGTTTTTCTTTTTCCTTGTTGGAGTGAAGAAGTGTCTCCTGACCCCACCCCCCTAAAAAAACTTATCAGCTTCAGACTGTAAGTGTTCCCACTCCCCCATTTATTTATTTCTGAGATGTAATTAATTGTATGAATTTCCAGAATTTGTATACAGAAAGGGCTTAAGAAGGATAGTGTGGTTACAGGGAGTGCTTATTGATGCGCTTTTATGGCACTTTATATTTGAGAAAATAAGTATCCTCATCAATGAAGTGGGGATTATTACCGGAAAGCCCCTTTAGACGCTGGCATTGGCTCCCGGGCAGGAGGTCTCGTGTTAAGTCCTCAGGTCTCATTCCAATTTCCTTTGCAGCTCCCTCTTCCCGCCACCCAGGAGGGATACAATTACCCACACAACAAAGAGGGCCTCGGGAGAGTCGCCAGCCCTGGTAGCATATGAACCAGGCACCGGCGTTGGAGCTGGCCAGGGCAGGGCGGGAGGAACGCGAGGCCTGCGCGCCTTTGTGTGGTGCTTTCGCCTTGATGGATTTCTTTTCTGACGCTTTCCACATTTCCCGCTCCCTTTTGCCGCCTGGGGGTGGGGGTGGGGGGTTAGCGGGCAGTTGTGTTAATTTGCCCTCCACTCCCGGCGCCCTTACGGAATTCCCGGTGGCCGCCAGTCGCCGGCGCAAATGCCAAGTCACCGGTAGGAGACACAACAGAGGCGATGACCTGAATCCGCACGTGGCCTGGTTCGCCTGGAAGCTGCCAAAGCGAAGGCAAGAGAGCCCGGGACCCTGCTGTAAAACAGCAAGCAGCACGTGTCCCAGGCACACTGTTGCGGGCCCTTAGCCTAGCTACGCATCCGCACCCCAGGCTTCAAAGGCGCGCTGGGCGCTCTATCCACTCTCACCCTCCCTTGCAGACAATACCTTTGCCCGCCCAGCTGGCTCCACTTCTTTGCCCCTTTAGAGTCTCCTGGGAGGTGGCGTTAGTGCAGGCAACCTAAGGCACTCTCTTGTTCCAGAAACCCTTGGGTGGGGCTTGGAGCCCTCCTTGTCCCCAACCACTAGGTCTTCCCGACCCTTGCTACATCAAAGGGGCTCTCTCGCTTGCTCTCCCCGTCTCCCTTTCCCTTTCTTTCATTGCAACCCCCAATTTTGAAAGGCAGTGCAATGTGTCTGAACTCCAACTTCCCTGTTGATTGACCTTGGAAAACTCATGTAACCTCTCTGAGCCTCGATGTTTTTTCTTTGTCAAATGACTCTTAGATCAACACTCCTGCCAGTTTCATAGGACTGTTACGAGAATTAGATGAGATGATGTTGAAAGTGAAAGCACTTTATCAGGTCCAAATAGCTCTTTATCCGCCAGGTATTATTAGGGTTTCGCTTTTGCACTGATTTCCTGTCTGTCACTGGAACTCCATCTGTGACATGTCTTACCGACGTCAGGCTGTTTCTTCTCCCCGCTGGGGCTCTGTTGTGCCTCAGGTTTAATGGATGTCACTCTCCTTATCGCCTCCAACACCTGTGCGAAGCTGGAGGCACCAGTCAGGGTAGGGTAAGCGAGTGCTTGGAGAGGTTTGCTTTGAGAGATTGGAAGGGGATTTCGTGCTGGGCTCACCACACCACTCCGCTTGGGGGCTTAGTGGGGATGGGGCTGCTTCCCACGCTTCTTGCTGGAAGTTGAACCCCGAAGGCAGCAGGTAGACCTTGAGGGGTTTGAGAACAGCCTGGAAAAGAAGGAAAATCCAGCAGCACCTCCACCCTCAGTTGTGACTCAGAGGAAAGGTGCTTGATTCCATTTACCTTTGCCTGCTCCAGACCCAAGATGTCAGAGGGAAGGGTTAATGAGGGGCAGGTTGGGAAGAGGGGCCAGGGATGAGGACCTGAGGCGCACTATTGTCTTCCCCACTCCCCGGTCTGACTGAAGAGCAGCCATGCGAGCCCGATCATCTAGTCAAATACTATTTTTCACCCAATTAATTCTTGAACTCTTCCACGACCCCATTTCATGCCAGTTTATTTTAAGCTGCCACTAGGCTGGAGACCCGCCAAGAAATTATGAGACGTTTCGGTCCCAGATGCCTGTGTTCCCTTTCTGGGCTGCTGTGGTCGCCCTTTGAGTCTGCGGGGCCCGGCCAGTGGGTGTTGGGCAGCTCGATCGGAGCCTGGCCCTTTGCGTGTGGGTCAGCCTTCACCCAACTCCGACCCCACCTCCGGAGCTGCCGGGCGGGGGTCGCTTACGGGCCCGGAGGGGCGCCGGGTGCCCCGCCTCTCAGAGACACCGTTCCATATTTGAAGCCAGGAGCAGGAAGGGAGTATGATGGGGGCTTAGAGTATATGCCTGTCGGCTCACAGATTTGGCTCCTAGCTCCTTTCAGGAAGTAGCTTTTAATGAAGAGCTCTGGCAAAGTCCTCATCCTCCCCCAAGAAAACCATTGTCCTCCACCCATTTCCCCGCGGTCGGAACCTCCCTAACCGAACCTCTCTCCCTCTCTCTCGTCCTAGCGTACGATACCTGGTGCGGCGTGGCCCATGGATGCACCAGAAAACTGGGGCTCAAGATCTGCGGTAAGTGACAGGACCCACTGGGGCCCGGCTGGGTGGCGCGGCGGGCGGACCTTTGGGGCTTGGGAGACTGGGACGCAAGCGGAGGGGGATCCGGGCTCATGGGTCTGATTTTCTAATGTAATTACAGCCAGGACAGCCAGCGACCACGCTCCCCTACAGGCCCTGACCCTCCTCTGCCCGCCCCAGACCTGGTCCCCAGGGGTCTTTTCCTCTGGAGTCCCCAATCCCCAACACCCAGTGGAGCGAACGCCGGGTGCCCTGCCTGGGCGCAGAAGCGGGAGGAAAGCGCCCCCGCGCGGCAACCCCGCCTTCCTAGCCCTGCGCGCAAGCAGCTCCCACCCGGTGCCGTGCACTCTGCCTGCGCGTCCCAAAGGTCGCGTAGAAAAGGTGAACTGATCTGGCTTGCTGGAGAGCAGACCAAAGGCGGTGTATCTGCCTAAAGCTGTAGCTGACACGTCTCCCCCATCCCCTACATCATCGCCTACCCCTCACTCGCACCTCCACCCGCGCAGTCGGGTCGCATTGAAAGTGGTCTCTCCACCTTGAGGGGTTTTGCCCTGAGATGTCATAACGGATTCAAGTTTCTTTCTTTGGGGCTTCGGAGGCTAAAGAAAAGGATTGCCTGGAGCCCTCCATGGCCTGCCTGAGGGAGGCACGAGGGTTTGCCTGGCGCATCCTTGAAGGCGAGGAGGGAAGGGAAAGGGGACGAGCAGGGACGAGGAGCCGCAGGCGGCGAAAGAACCGGGAAGGAAGAAAATAGATCAGGGAGCTGGAGAGGAGAAAGAACTGCTCTCTGGAGACAGGAGGGTCTGAAATGAAAACGCCCAAAGGATGTAATTTTTTTAAAGGAAAAAGGGAGATTTGTTCGAAGGGACACAGCTGAGTGATTCTGGCTGAACAATGAGGCCTCACTTTCCTGGCTACATTTCACCGACTAAAATTCTCTAGCCTTATCGGGCCAGAAAATACGGATGTCCCCGGGCAGAGGTTGGAGAGGCGGGGGAAGATTAACGGGCGGCTTATTAAAGAGCCATCCGTCAGCTCCTGCGCGCGGGAGATAGCGGCAGAGCAGGCACGGGACACGCCCGCCCGCCCTAGCCCCGGAGCGCCGAGAGCCGCCCGCCGCCTGGGTGCTCTCTGCACCTGATCTTCCCAGCCTCCCTGGGTCCCGGGGCGAGGGCGGTGGCAGTTTGCAGTCAGAGCAGAGTGGCCGCTTTGGGGAACTACTCCCTTCCCTGCTTGGCCGCGCCGCGCCCTCCCTGCATTTCTGGGGCTCTGTCCTCTAGACCCTGGGACTCGGCGTTTAGGGAGGAACAGGCGCTCCATTCCTAGACCCAGCCATTTTCCACCGAAAGCCCAGCCCTGCCGCCGGGCGGCCTGGGAGTTTGGCCTTCTCCCCAGCGCAGGACGCCCGTGGGGCAAGGCCAGGGCTGCATCCCTGTGCTGGGGCAGCCGGCGGCCGCGGATCTTTGTTCTATAAATAGCCCCGTCCCACTCCCACCCCCACCTCCACCCCCACCCTGCCGCCATTCTGGGCTTAATGGCCCGTTTCGCGCCAGGTCCCTTCGGCGGCCGCAGCGCTCGGCTTCTGCAGCCGTCATTGTCATGCAGCCAGCCGGGCAGGCAGAACTGAGCGAGCCCTGGGCAGCCGAGGACAGGGTAGGGGCAGGCTCTGGGCGACGGCTCCTTACCAGCGGCGCCTGGCCTGCTGAGGGTGGGGGGCAGCCCTCATTCACCCCCATCCTGCCCCCTGCTGTCCCCTGCTCCTCTGGCTGCAGGCGCTCCACTTCCGCGGGAATAAAAGGTCTAAGTGCTTCTTATGGGGACATACCCGACGAGTTCAGAAAGGCTAAAGAGGCGGGAAAGAGTGGGGCTTCGCTGGGTCCGGAAATAGGGAAGCCGGAGTTGGCCTCCACTCCCCCTCCCCCACTGTCAGCCGAAGCTAGGAGGGAGAGCTCCTGGGGGCTACAGTCCTCAGAGAGTTTCCTCCCTGTGTCTGCTCCCCACAACCCATGGTAGTCTGTTGAGGAGAAATTGCCTTGGGCTAAAATGCCCCGCTTTTGGGGCCACAGGTTAGGAGGCTTCCCATTAGGTTTGATTGTGAAAGAAAACAAAACACCAAGATTTATTTTCCACACCTTGAGACAACTTTGGCTTTCCATTTTAATCTAGTGGAGGCAGAGTGCAGTCTTTTGTGTTGGCCCTGGGTCCACAGCTCCCTGCCTGCCTACACACACACACACACACACACACACACACACACACACACACCCCTCCCTTCATCCCTGGAGGGATGGACCTGGAGGGTCCCTTCTTGACTTGACACCATCCAGGTTGGTTTACCCTTTCACATTAAGAGAGCAGAGGAACTCATGGTCCTCTTCCCACTTCCAAACCCACTGCCCTGGATGACTCTCAGAAGCACCCTCAGTGCCTTGCCAAAATTCAACCCCCACCCACTCTCCCCCTGCCCTTCCCCAAAATCCACAGAATGAAGCTGCAAGGAAGGCCCTGGGCCCCACTAGTGGTAGCCCTGAAGGCAGAATTAGCTCTGGAGGCAGAATCCCCCAGGGAGAGTAATCAGCTAGAAGAAACCCATGGTCTTGCCAAGAGCTGGAGAGTGCTGCAGGCATGGTGGCATGACCTAAATACGATGAGTTGCAGGGATCCCTAAGTTCTGGCTCCAGGCTCTGCTAACTTCCCAGGGTGTCCTTGGGCTTCCATCACTTATCTCTTGCTGCCAACTACAGCCCCTGAGCTGTTTTATTTAGCCTACACTCGTGTGTGTGTGTGTGTGTGTGTATGTATGTGTGTGTAATTTTGTATCAAGTGCCAAACCTTAAAAATAGAGAGATTTCAAGTGCTCTCTTTTTCTGGTTTCTCTTGAAAAAACTTGGGGGTGGGCAATGGGGAGGGAAACATGGCAGGTGCTGTTAGCCCAAGAAAATCAGAAAAAGAAGTCATGGTGGCTCACATCTGTAATCCCAACACTTTGGGAGGCCAAGGTGGTAGGATCATTTGAGGCCAGGAGTTTGAGACTAGCCTGAGCAGCATAGGGAGACCCCATCTCTACAAAAACTTTCAAAAAATTAGCCAGGTGTGGTGGCCACATAGCTGCAGTCCTAGCTACTCAGGAGGATGAGGCAGGAGGATCGCTTGAGCCCAGGAGTTTGAAATTACAATGAGCTATGATGGCGCCACTACACTCCAGTCTGGACAACAGCAATACAGTATGACCCTGTCTCAAAAACAAACAAACAAATGAAAAAGAGCCCCTCCGTCTATGCATATGCAATTCCATGCCATAGCTTGGTGAACAGAGAATGTGCTGGGCTTCAGCTCCCACGTGCCCTGTTGGCCATAGGTGTTTATGCCATACACAGCTCAAAGCCCCACTTGGCAACAACTGGCTGGAGCCAGGTGCTTTCTAGCTACACATACCTGTGCGCACATGCACGCACACATACACATACACACTCTCTCACTGGGCCCCATAAGCCTTTGAGTTTGGCAGCAGGGGTGAGGAACCTGCAGCAGGAGCTCCCCTCAGCTCAGAGGTGGAGTCATGATTTTTCTCCCCTTGCGGCTGGCCAGTGTGCTAGCACCCAACCAAACACAACTGCAGCTTTGCCTCTCCTCTGCTTTCCTCTTTGCCTCTAAGAATGTAGAGCTCTGTGACCAGTTACCCACAGGCTTAAACTAGGTCCTCGAAGCTGGGGTGTAGAGCAAGAGGGAGTACACTCGGCTTCATTCTCTGGGACCCCTTCTTACAGGACCCCTTGCTAGCCAGGGAAATTGTCAAGGCACTGACCTCCATGTCATCCACCACCTCTTCATCCTTGGAGAAGCAGTTCCTTCCAGGGCCTCTCAGAGCCAAGGGAGGCCTGGTTCACCTACCTTTCTGAGGATCCCAGTATTTTAGAGAACAAACACCTTCCTAAACAAAGTGAAAGACATGTGACAATATATATTATATGTTTATATTAGCAAATTAATTGTTTTAACATAAATTATAATGCAGTGTAAGTGTGCTATTCATAAAATAATTACAGGATTTAGAGAGGATTCTGATTCCTAGTACATTACTGGAAGTGCAGCCCAAGGAATGGGATGCAGGTTTAAAGCCGTGTCGTAGGGCCGGGCGCAGTGGCTCGCACCTGTAATCCCAGCACTTTGGGAGGCCGAGACAGGTGGATCACCTGAGGTCAGGAGTTTGAGACCAGCCTGACCAACATGGCGAAACCCCCATCTCTACTAAAAATACAAAAATTAGCCAGACGTGGTGGTAGGCACCTGTAATCCCAACTACTTGGGAGGCTGAGGCAAGAGAATCACTTGAACTTGGGAGCTGGAGGTTGTGGTGAGCCGAGATCATGCCACTGCACTCCAGCCTGGGTGACAGAGCAAGACTCCGTCTCAAAAAAAAAAAAAAAAAGCTGTGGCATAACGATCGTTTCTCAGCCTCATGAGCGCATCTCTGGGAGAGCCTGTGTCAAAACCTCAAGCCGAGTTTCTGCTTCCTGCAGCTGCCCAGAGGGAAGGGGCTTCAAGGTGGGGAGACTCAGGGAGTGAGTCAGAAGCCTAAGCAGGCGTCGGGGACAACAGAGTGGAGGTTCAGCTGGGCAGGACCTCACTACATGAGGCCACATGGGTTTGGTCTTTCAAGTCTGGCAAATTCCACAGCTCAATGTTCTGGGATGAGAGGAGCAGTCTCAGAGTTCAGGTGCCATCTGATCCTGCATCCCTCTGGCAAATGAGTGCTGGCTCCTGGCTCTGGACTTTGAGGATTTGGAGGAGGAATTCAGGAAGTAGGCAAAGAGATATGGAAAAGGATACAATCCCATCTTTATACCCAAGTGTGGAGCTCTATTATAGTGTATTTCCCCCCTTCTCATGTCCTTTGGGCTTTAGTGATAAATGTAAAAGGTGCTGGGAGCAACAAAAAGCTTGGTGGCTCTGCTTTCCCCTTCTTCCCTCCAGAAATAGCCCCTGGCTCCCTTGTGTGGGAGGATTCTAATCACCGCAGCCCTCCCATGCATCCCCCCTTCTCCCACCCATCACAGTTGAATTGTAGTCCTGGGAAGCAAAGCTGAATTCTCCAGATTAACTTGCCTTTTTGCACCTCTTGGGACTTTCTTCCAAGTCTGCCTTGTGACACGTGTGACTCCGCAAGTTTCTTGGTATTTACAGAAACAGCTTTGGGGTCACCAAGAAGCTTAGAACCTTTTTCCTCTTTTCAGTGTGCTGCATTTTGGGCTAAGACTGAGGCTGAATTGAAGGAGGAGAAGCCAAAGGAAAGAGCAGACGTGCGGGCCAGGAGCCCCACAGGGGATGGTGGAGATGTGGAGGGAGTGTGCTCCACGCTGGCAGGTTCTCCTGCCCTTTTGGCTTAACCCTCTTTCCCCGTTTGCTGCCGGAGTTTGTCCTGCTCACCTTGGGCAGGAGAACTTTCCACTCACTCCGAGGGGCAGAGGTGAGGCACTGAGAATCCCGCCCTGGGCTCAGATCCCTCCTGTCATCTCTGTGGAGTTCTTGGATGACTAGTTTTATTCCAGCATTTGTCACCATCTGCCAGGCTTGTAGGCTCCTGGAGGGCAGGGGATCTGTCCCACTAGCTTTATCAGTCCCCAATCCTAGATGCTTAGCAAAGTGTTTTTGTACAACAGGTGCTCAATAAGTACTTATAGAATTAAATGGCAACACAGAAGATTGAAGCTTTTTTTTGTCTCACAGTACCTTCATTCAAGGAGAGGGGGTGGTGCAAGAAAAGCTGCATTCAGGTTTGCATTCAGAAAAATACCACTTACGTTCAACCCTGTGAGCATTACCTGGTGCTGGAGGAAAGTGTCTGCCCGAATCCTCTGTGTTGGACCTCACTACTTCTCCTTCTGCCATCCTCACCCCTCCTCCTTCTGCTGTCCTCCCTCTGCTGTCCTCACCCCTCCTCCTTCTGCTGTCCTCCCTCTGCTGTCCTCACCCTCCTCCCTCTGCTGTCCTCACCCTCCTCCCTCTGCTGTCCTCGCCCTCCTCTCTCTGCTGTCCTCACCTCTCCTCTCTCTGCTATCCTCACCCCTCCTCTTTCTGCTGTCCTCACCCCTCCTCTCTCTGCTGTCCTCACCCCTCCCCTTCCCTCTGCTGTCCTCACCCTCCTCCCTCTGCTGTCCTCACCCTCTTCCCTCTGCTGTCATCTTCCTCCCTCTGCTGTCCTCATCCCCTTCCCTCTGCTGTCCTCACCCTCCTCCCTCTGCTGTCCCCACCCTCCTCCCTCTGCTGTCCTCACCCCTCCTCTTCCCTCCGCGGTCCTCGCTGTCCTCCCTCTGCTGTCCTTGATCTCCTCCCTCTGCTGTCCTTGATCTCCTCCCTCTGCTGTCCTTGCTCTCCTCCCTCTGCTGTCCTCACCCTCCTACCTCTGCTGTCCTCACCGTCCTCCTCTGCTGTCCTCACCCCTCCTCTTCCCTCTGTTGTCCTTGCCCTCCTCCCTCTGCTGTCCTCACCCTCCTCCCTCTGCTGTCCTCACCCTCCTCCCCTGTTGTCCTCACCCTCCTCCTCTGTTGTCCACACCCTTCTCCCTCTGCTGTCCTCACCCTCCTCCCTCTGCTGTCCTCGCCCTCCTACCTCTGCTGTCCTCACCCTCCTCCCTCTGCTGTCCTCACCCCTCCTCTTCCCTCTGCCGTCCTCACCTCTCCTCCCTCTGCTGTCCTCGCCTTCCTCCCTCTGCGGTCCTTGCTCTCCTCCCTCTGTGGTCCTCACTCTCCTTCCTCTGCTGTCCTCACCCCTCCTCATCTCTCTGCTGTCCTCACCTCTCCTCCCTCTGCTATCCTCATCTTCCTCCCTCAGCTGTCCTCACCTCTCCTCCTCCCTCTGCTGTCCTCACCCTCCTCCCTCAGCTGTCCTCACCTCTCCTCCTACCTCTGCTGTTCTCTCCCCTCCTCCTTCTGCTTATACAGCCCATAAACAGTGCTGGCAGCATCTTCTCTGATTGTGTCTCCTCCTTTAAAGCCCTATCCTGGGGCTGGTCACTGGAGTGGAAGCTGTCCAACTTACTTAATTGTGAGTTCACTGTCACATTCAGAGAGGAGAACGGGCTTCACTTACTGTTTTTCTCTCTTGCATGACTGGGCCTCTGCCACTGATGACATTTGGCACTGCCCCCCTCCCTGCCTGAAGGCGAGCAGTGCCAGAGCCACTGTATTTAAAACACAGACACTCACTTCTTTTCTCAGGAGAAACAAGAGCCCTGCTTGGAGAGTTGATTCACTCTGCAGCTGACCCTCAGGGGCTGGGCAGTTTGCAGCACTCTCTCTGACCAGCTTCTTGTGCCATAGGCTTCTTGCAAAGGACCAACAGCCTGGAAGAGAAGAGTCGCCTTGTGAGTGCCTTCAAGGAGAGGCAATCCTCCAAGAACCTGCTTTCCTGTGAAAACAGCGACCGGGATGCCCGCTTCCGGCGCACAGAGACTGACTTCTCTAATCTGTTTGCTAGAGGTAGCCCCTGCCCCACTCCCGCCCCATGCTAGCCAGTAGATTTCTTATTTGAGTTTCTTGACTTTTTCCTGCAATTTTACTTCTTTTATCAAGAAATGTCATTATTCTCTCTGAACCCACATGAAACTGCTTTTGTGACTTTGGGGGAATATAATTGACTCCCTCCCTCCCTGCTGGCCAGGTCTCCATCATTTTGGAAACTGGATGAAGGCAGTCAATAAAAGTCAACTCTAAAGACACTCGAGGGAACAAATATGGATTCATAGACTCTCAGAGTCAAAGGAACCTTGCATATAAGAAAATCTAATGATTTCCTTAATAACGTTTATCCTGGAAGATTGGCCACACACATACACACAAAATCACACTATGGGAAGTTGCATGCTGAGCCTCATAACCAACGAGTGTCCTGGAACTTGTTTTCCTTTCAGAGATGTTTTACTAACCCCTGCTGCCCCACAACACTCATCTCAGGAGGTGCTTTACCAGTCTCTCCCAAACAGCTCATAGGTAGATCCGCTTCCATCCCCTTCTGTGAACTTCCCACAGGGCCACAGAAGGCAGACCAGAGTATTAAACAATATGTCACTAAAACCCTGGAGCTAACCCAGGAAGTCACAGAGAGTATCGTGCACAACTGCACAGCCTGCCTGTGAGCTACAGAATTGGGCCCCTACAGCTTTTTTCCCTGCCTAACCTCTAGCCTGACTACTGCAGAGCCTGTCACCCAAAGTCACCTCTGGATATCTCAAAGTCCAGGCCCAAAAGGGTGGGGTCAAGAAAGAGGCAGGGGTTCCCTGTCCCACCTTCTTGAGCCCCATCTTCCAGCTCCAGTTTCCTGTCGAAGGACACCGCCAAGGACCACCCTCCTCAGGGGGAACCCCAGCCTCTACCCACAGAGGCCTTACCCTCTGATGCCAACAGACCAAGCACATCACAACACCAAACCAGATAGACAGGGACACACCTGGTCCCAGGGGAGCACGACAGATGCCCCCTCCATCACACTCCTCACAGGTGCCCATTCAACCTGCAGATGACAACCGCAGTCGCAGGTTGTTCACGGCGTCTCAGAGCACTTCATTCCATGTCTGAGCAGCCTGTCAGAAAGGCTGTGAACCCCCAGGAAGCATGTGCAAAACTTCTGTGTATGTGCATTTTTCTGGAGATGTGGTATATCCGATTCTCAGTGCACATACATATCCCAGAATGAAATCAGGCCTATACAGATAGCATGGTTAATATTAGGGGTCTCTGGGCTGAAGAAATCTAGATATGAGTCAGGTGAAAACCATTCATTGCTCTCCCCAATTCAGATCTGCTTCCGGCTAAGAACGGTGAGGAGCAAACCGTGCAATTCCTCCTGGAAGTGGTGGACATACTCCTCAACTATGTCCGCAAGACATTTGATCGCTCCACCAAGGTGCTGGACTTTCATCACCCACACCAGTTGCTGGAAGGCATGGAGGGCTTCAACTTGGAGCTCTCTGACCACCCCGAGTCCCTGGAGCAGATCCTGGTTGACTGCAGAGACACCTTGAAGTATGGGGTTCGCACAGGTAAGGAGGAGAGTTGGGTAGACAGGTAGTGGCAACTTTGCCCTCCATCTCACCCTTGCCAGTTGTGAGGATATCAAACTTGTGTTGGAAGAAAAACACAGCCCTGGTGAGATAAGGCGGCAAAGTACCCAGTGACCACAAGAACAAGCTTGGGCAGTAACAGTTGGTGGAGGGACCCGACCCAGGCAAAAGTTCATCAGCATATATCATGGTAAAAGTAGATAAAAAAGATATAAATGCTTGGTGCTAGGTCAAGTTCTGTATAAAGAGTTTTCATTCTGGCCAAGCACAATGGCTCATGCCTATAATTCCAGCATTTTGGGAGGCCAAGGTGGGCAGAACACTTGAGCTCAGGAGTTCGAGACCAGCCTGGGCAACATGGCGAAACCTTGTCTCTACATATGTGTGTGTGTGTGTGTGTGTGTGTGTGTGTGTGTGTGTGTATATACCTATTTTTATATATAAATATTTATATATAAATATTTAATATAATAAATAAATAATAATTATAAATAATAAAATTTAAAAATAATAAATTATAAATAATAAATATAAAAATAATATATAAATATTTATATATAATATTTATATTATATATTATATATAAATATAAATTATATAATATTTATATATATATGAAAATGAGCTGGGCATGGTGGCGTGCACCTGTAGTCCCAGCTACTCAGGAGGCTGAGGCCAAGAGGCAGAGGCTGCAGTGAGCCAAGATCGTGCCACTGCACTCCAGCCTGGGCAATAGATTGGGACCCTATCTCAAAAAAAAGAATTTTCATTCTTGGATTTAGGCTATTCACAACCTAAAGAGAGCAGAATGACCCATCCTCTGCTTCTTTTCTTGCCTCCATTTTCAGGTCTATTTCATTCTGATAAATCCTGCCCTTGCCTGTCCCTGACACTGGGGAGAATTGGGCTATTTCCTCTCCCTTTCTGTATTAGTTTCCTAGGAATGCCATTATAAATGACCACAAATTGGATGGCTCAAAACAATAGAAATTTGTTCTCTCACAATTCTGGAGGCTAGGAGTTTAAAATCAAGGTGCTGGCTATGCTCTCTCTGATGGCTCTTGGAGAGGATCCACCCTTGTCTTTACCAGCTTCCAGGTGTTGTGGATATTCCTTGGCATTTGTTGGCTTGTAGATGCATCGCTCCAACCTCTGCCTTCACTTCACATGGCCTTCATCCTGTGTGTGTGTCCAAATTTCTCTCTCCTTATAAGAATGCCAGTCGTTGGATTAAGGCCCACCCCAATCCAGCATGACCTCATCTTAACATGATTACATCCGCAAAGACCCGATTTCCAAATAAGGTCACATTCACAGGAACCAGGGATTAGGACTTGAACATATCTTTTTGAGGAACACAATTCAACCCATGACACCTTTTACCAGCTAGGCCAAAAAGACACATGCACACACAGGCCAAAAAGACACAGGCACACATGCGCGCGCGCGCGCACACACACACACACACACACACACACACACATACACACATGCCTTCTCATTCTACTGCAACTTCTGGAACTTAGGACACTCTGAGTCACCAAATTCTATTTCCAGTGGGAGTCCTTGAGGATGTCCTCTTGCCTCCTTTTCTTGTTCCAGGAGCTCTCTCTAATCAGCAATCCTCATCAAAGCAGTTGCTTTCCAATTGCCTCCAGTTCAAGGACTTTGGGGCCTCTGTCTGAGATGCTTAGAAACAGCTCAGACTGTGGACTAAGCCCAGGAGTGACACAGTGGTTTCTTCTCCCTATAACTCTCTCCACACTACAGTCTGGCTTTCCTGAGCTCTCAGGCAGACAGATCTAGAATAATTGACAGTCCCTAGCTTAGTTGCCACCACAGGGGAAGCCCCAAGGCCACAACTGGCAATCCTGTGTTCTTTCTTCTTCTTTGTCTCTCCTTCTTTATTTTCCCTCTCATTCTTCCTCGTCATTTGAAGATAGATTTAAGACTGAGACTAGGAGGCTGGTGGTGATAGAGCTGAGTAAGACTATTGGATGTCAAAAACAAAGTGTTATAATGAAATAATGATGCTGGCCAAAGATGCTTTTTAAAATGAGGAATCCCAGAGAGCTGCTGAGGTCTGCCAACACCACTGGAATAAGTGCAGCTTCATTAAATGACTGATGGATACACAAGACTCAGTTATATGTACAAAATTTATGTTGTTTGATTTTTAAAGAAAAGCACTCTATCAATTTACATTTAGTTACTTCTCATCTTGGTCAGATGGCTAATATATTCCTAATGGAAAACAAATAGTGTTATTCGGCTGCATTTTAAAAAGAGTCAGAATTCCCCATGTATGTTTAGCTTGACTTGCTTTGGTGTGATATTTTGAACTTTGCCAGTTTGCTCTACATGCGCTTTCTCAGAGAGATGAGAACTACATCATTTTATTATGAAAGCCCAGAATGGCGTTGTCCCTCAAATAAAAATACATGATTTTGTCATAATATCAACTAATATTATCTACAAAACCAAAGCATCTTGTGGTCAGAGAAAGCACTGACGGGCCTGGCCTGGTGGCTCACACTCGTGATCCCATCACGTTGGCAGGCTGGCAGGTGGATCACGCGAGCTCAGGAGTTCAAGACTAACCTGGGCAAAACCCCATCTCTACCAAAAATACAAAAATTAGCTGAGCGTGGTAGTGTGCACCTGTGATCCCAGCTACTCTGGAGGCTGCAGTGGGAGGATCACTTGAGCCCGGGAGGCGGAGGTTGCAGTGAGCTGAGATTGTGCCACTGCACCACTCCAGCCTGGGTGACAGCAGGACCCTGTTTCAAAAAAAAAAAAAGAGAGAGAGAGAGAGAAAGCATTGACTTTCATTAGTCCAGTGTATGAACCCACTTAGGTACTTAGCCTGCAAACATTCATTTTTGTTCCTCAGAGTTGCTTCTTGGGGCAGATATTTGTCTTTACAGAGTTCACAGTCTTCCAAGCAATATGAAACCTCCTGCTATATCTCAGGATTTTGGCCCTGATAAAAGCATGCTGTTGCTGCCGTGTCAAAACAGCTCCTGGTTGCTGATGTGGAATTTAAGCATAGATAAGGAGCAATAGGGTAAACCCCACAGGTAGCTACACACAGTAGAAAGTATTTTTTCAAGGATATTAATGCATTAATAGGCTCAGCCAAAATAATGAATTGGGTTTTAATAGTGAAAACATACTGATCCGGGTATAGTCTGTGAAGAGATGATGATGGCATTTAGAAATTTCTCTATAAATTAATAAAAGACTTCTTTTAAAAAATGAACCAGCCTATAGAGATTTCCCATGAACTAACAGGCACCAGTCAGCCTTCAGCCACAGCAGCTACTTAAGTGATTTGTAGATATGCTGGACTCCCTTCGTTGTTCTTTTTAAAACTTTTTCTTATGGAAAATTTTAAACTTATACAAAAGTAGAATCCTATAATGAACCCTATAAACCTAATGCCCTGCTTTATTATCAGCTTTTACCTGTACCGCCATCCATTCCCCATCACCTACATTACATGAAAGCAAATCCCCAACATAATATTATTGTATCCATAAATATTCATTCTTTTTTTTTTTTTTTTTGAGATGGAGTTTCAATCTTGTTGCCCAAGCTGGAGTGGAGTGCAGTGGCGTGATCTCGGCTCACTGCAACCTCCCCTCTTGGGTTCAAGCGATTCCCCTGCCTCAGCCTCCTGAGAAGCTGGGATTATAGGTGCACGCCACCATGCCTGGCTAATTTTTGTATTTTTTTAGTAGAGATGGGGTTTCACCATGTTGGCCAGGCTGGTCTCGAACTCCTGACTTCAGATGACCCACCCACCTTGGCCTCCCAAAGTGCTGGGATTGCAGGCATGAGCCACCGTGCCTGGCCCAATATTCATTCTTAAGAACTTTTTTTAAAAAAGTCCACAATGTCATTGTCATACCTGAAAAGAAAAATTTATAGCTCCTTAATGAAATATTTAGTCAGTTTTCAAATTTCCAATTGTATCATGAACGTCATAAATGCTTTTAGTTAATTAAACTCATTTGAATCAGGATCCAAATAAGTTTCTTACATGCAGTTGTTTGCCTTGTCTCCTAATCAAGAGATCTCCCCCTCCAACTCTTCTTTTTTTTCTTGTAGTTTATTTGTAGGAAAACTTTGCTTTAAAAAATAATTCTTTCCTTCTCCCCCTACCTGAATTTAGGCCATGAGCGGCCCAGCACCATATCTATCATCTGCTACTTTCATCCAATATAGAGAATTGAAATTCAAATTGAAACTATTTTGTTACTTAATAGAAATTCTGATAGATATAAGATTTGGGGGCACAAGGTTGTAACCATAAGCTAAAAATAAGATTTTGAAGGACTTTGTGTCCTTTATATTTTAATGGACAAAGAGATACTATTTCACTTTGTGTTAATCTCTCTGTCTTTGTCCATCTTTTGTTTCTGCCAAGCTGTATGGTTTTGATACATTATCAAATAGTGTGATTGCATTTATTTACCATTCAGTCTTGTCTTAAAATGAAGTGTTATTGTTAAAAGTTTTTAAATGGATATTGCATATATATTTTAATGGCTTTCAATACAATGTGTTGTTTCAAAAGACCTCAGATTCTGTTGGCAATGAGCAAAGTAGAGTAACATGGAATCATTTAACTATCTAGGATAGTCCACATGAATATCTAGAATATGGCCCCATACTTAAACTAAGTTTACTAGTTATGCTTCTTTTAGTTTTTTCTAAAAAACAGTATTATTTTGTGAGGGCTCTTAAGATGCAGAGACTGGTATCTTCTGATATGAGAAGTCATAGTCCAGATGTTCTGAATCACATCTAGGGAAGAATAGAGATTCTCAGAGAGGAGAGTTAGACCAGGAACATTCTAACACTAGCTCTCTGACCGTTTTTGGTTGTTTTTCTTTTTTTTTTTTTCAGAAGCAAAGGCAATTTCCACTGGAAACACAGCAGTCAGCATATCTTTCTAACACCAGTTCCCAGCCACACGTCCCTAGATAATCTATTGCGTTGACTCCTTCCTGACAGCTGAGCCAAGCCTGCTGATGTGGAGTTGAGTTTTCCGTTGAATGCTAAGTTGGCAAAAACTTGGCAACAATCCTGAATTTGCTGAGAGCAAAGCCTGTTAAAGCATACTGTGGGTTGCACAGGGATTTAGAGTTACGTAGCAAAAGCAATTATTTCACCAACAACTGAATGAGTGAAATAGGCTGCCCATTTCACAGAGGAGAGCTAAGTTATCTCAGCCATAAATTTAATTTGAAGGTCATTTTACTATATATATATTGGCAAAACACATCAAAACACAAAACACTGGAAAGCATGATTTGTTTCATGATACTGGATATTATTCTTTAAAAGCACGATGCTTTAGAAACATAGAAGTTTGAGGGACATTATGAATGTTAATGTTGGTATAGGGTGGGTCAACCTGCCCTTCCTTTTTCAATATCCTTGAGCAGCCTTATTCGACATATCACTGGGATGGAAGCCCCATCAGTGTGACCCAGTGGGGCAGGCCGTTTGCCTTCAAGATAGGTTGAGAAATCTGCATTTGCCTTGATGCTTTTCTGTTTCCTATCTAGGTCATCCTCGATTTTTCAACCAGCTCTCCACTGGATTGGATATTATTGGCCTAGCTGGAGAATGGCTGACATCAACGGCCAATACCAACATGTAAGTCTCATATGTTTTCATATAAGCAACCCTGATGTATGACTATGGCTTGTTGCTTTAAAAGTTCAGTCCCAGTGGTTCTATTTTATTAAAGTTTCCCTGGTCATTTTTTCTCTTAAAATCTTTAGGTTTATCACAGTTCTGATTTAATGGTAAATACTTGATAAACTATTGTTGAATTTAATAATGGAATTTAAGGAAAGCATGGTCATGAGAAATAATAACTCTAACTTCCAAAATGTAGTCTTGAAATTTCATGTTAAAAGACCCATTTCTGTTAATGGTGTATCTAAAGAGGTTATGTTTTGAGGTATGATCTTGGTTTTACCTTTTTCCACCCAAGCACATTGGTCCTTATCATTTAGGTCATGTTTCTTCCATAATTAAAGCAGCCATAAACCCACAAACCAATTTGATCAACCTATTGCTTAACTAAAAATTCTAAAACAAAATTCAGCCGATACTGATACAGTATATATTCTTTTCAAAATAAGTGATTGTTTTTCTAAATGTGACATTTTTTCATACTTGTTTGTGTAGGCAAAGCCTTCCTTTGTTTCTAAGTTCTTGAAAATTTACACAAAACTGACTCTGAGGTCCTGTAGGGTATGGGGTAGAAGTACTACCTGGGTAGTCTTATAGCAATCATCCCAGATTTTCCTCTACATGCATGTGCCCTCTTTTAAGAAAATGTCAGATTACTAATCGATGGAGGGGCCATCAGAGTACTGCCTTTGCTCTCAACACTAATGACAATGTTTTACCAGTATCTATACATCCAGACAATGGCACTACATCCTATTAAAGTATCCAAAGGAAAATAACAAAACAAATATCTTATAATAATTTAAAAACAACTATATAAGAATTACATGGGTGTCCATCACTGTGGAAATATTCAGAAAATAGCCACTCACTTTTTAAGTTCATAGAAAAGTAGATTCCAAAAAATGAATTTAGGTAAAAGGGTAGTATTGCTTAAAATGAGAAAATCCATTTGATATCAAGATAGAACGTAAATTACTGAAGTTTAAGGTAGTCTGTTTTTCTTAAACTGCTCTCAGCCAGAAAACCTGAAGGGCATTTAAAATTATATAGTGACCCATATGTATTCTAAAGCTGTTTAATGCTGTGACTCAGAATACTTAACTATATTCAGAAAAGTTTCTATTAATTAAGGATTCCTGTTTTCTTGGCTAATTTAAAACAACAGTGACAAATTTTAAAGAGCAAATGTGACAAGTGAAGCCTCTGGTGGTAAAAAAGCATAAAAGATTAAACTGATTGAAAAACTAAAACGATGTTCATGCTCCCTGCTTGCAGGTCATGGTTAGCTTCACAGACTGTCCATGTTGGGTCACTGAGATTTGGAAGAGCCAAGAGGAATACAGGTCAAAGATACAGTTGCTTGGAATTTGAACAAAAAGCTCCATTTAGCAATCTTTACTGTACTGTGATTTTTGAGATAAAAATATACCAGCCAGCACAGACATCATAGTAGAGTTAATTATAACTTGAGAAAAGACACTAATGTTTAATTGTAGTATCTAGCACTAAGGAACAATTTAAATTAGGAAATATAGTTGTTGTTTTTAACTCAACCATTTGGAAAATAAGTGAGGAAAACAGAGTAAAAGATACATATCTATTAAAGTCCAAGTACCCATATTAATACAAGCACTGAATTTACTCAGCACCTTTAAGTGTGTGTTCTGCAGGGCACTCAGCTGCTTTTTCCATGTATATATATGTCTCCAATCTCAAGGTAAATAACGGACCTCCCCCCTTTCAACCACTTATGACCAGATATTCCTAAACCAGAAAAATCCCACAAATTCTCCTTTTTTGGCATGTGTTCATAAAACCAAAGTCCCTTACTCTTCTCTTAGCTCAGCTGCAAAACACTAAAATGTGTCCCAGCCATCTGAGGTCAAGGCCAATCCAACTAAATGACATGTAGTAATTGCAGCTGTACTTGAATGGGAGATATTTATAAAATATGACCGATTCCAACAGATCGATAGAGAAGGTTATTTAAAATAGCAAAATAGTTTCTGTCAGTTCTGGAGACAAGGCATTGTCTGAAGAAGCAATAACTATTATCTAGAAATTGTTCTAAGCCAGTTGCCCTGGAAGATCATGAAATGTGGCAGCACTGTCAGGAGCTGAGGCAAAATTTGCTCCCTTGTGACAATTCCTTCTCCAGTCGGGAACAGTGTTCAAAATAAGTCTGGGAAAGAATGGCAAAAGGATCTTTCTATGGCAGTGCAGGATTTATTTAGTGATAATGCCTGGTTTTTGGTCCTGTACTCTCATTGAATTTAGGTGGCACCTGACATAGAAAATAAGAACTATATTCCTCAGTCATAGCCTCTTAAAAAGAACGATCCAATAACCTGACACAGGTGCAAAGTGCAAGGTGTCTGACTATTAGAATAGAAAGATGGTAGGTTGGGTGTGGTGGCTCACGCCTGTAATCCCAGCACTTTGGGAGGCCAAGGTGGATGGGTCACCTAAAATGGGAGTTCGAGGCCAGCCTGGCCAACATGGTGAAACTCCATGTCTACTAAAAACACAAAAATGAGCCGGGTGTGGTGGCGGGTGCCTGTAATCCCAGCTACTCAGGAGGCTGAGGCAGGAGAATCACTTGAGCCTGGGAGGTAGAGGTTGCAGTGAGCTGAGACTATGCCACCGCACTCCAGCCCGGGCGACAGAACGAGACTCCATCTCAAAAAAAAAAAAAAAAATCTATGTCCATGCCTTTACACCTGTTTCTGCACATAGCTGTGCAGTATATTCTTCTTCTAAGCAACGACCCAGTGAAGATCCAAACAAAAGTTCACAAATATGTAGTTATCCAAGGCACATACAGCTCTTTTCTTCCAGAACAGGGCCACCAAGCACAATTGCGCAGGTAGGGCCCGAGTGTAAACAACAGCCTGCCCTCAAACATCTAATGGCAATACATAATCTTAATGGCAAGATCTATCATAACCCTTTGCTATGAGGTTATGATTTCAAGTATCTAGCACTTTATTTTCATAGAAAATATCCAGGAGAAATTCTCTATGGGAGTTATTCATCATTTTACACCACCGGGCAGGTCATTAGATAGGAGCCTGCAGTAAGCAGTTCTCGTTTGTCATGGAAAAGCAGCTGTGACATAGACTTGGAATTCTGCTTAAACACACTAACTCGGAGATCTTAAAACAAACCACTGAATTTCTCTGAACCTCAGTTTTCTCATCAGGAAAATGGAGGATAATAGTATCCATCCTACAGAGTGGTTCTGAAGACTAAAAATGGCTCCAGTCCTAAGTGCCTAGCGTATACAAGGTACAGTGTTTGCACCTAGGAAAGGCAACCACCGCACAGTCACTGTTGCTATTTGAGACTTTCCTGACTCTTTTATTTCTGTCTCTCATCATCTGGACAGTAGAGTGTTTCCCTAAGCTCCCCTCAGCTATGTTACCTTTTAAGGTGAAGATGTACTACCTGCCACATCTGTAAGGAGAAGTCAAGAGGAGTATCAGGATAGAGTCAGCATGGAAGATTATTTCTCTCATTAAAGAAGTTCCCAGTTTGACAGTCACCAGGGATCCAGATTTTGTGTGCCTTTCTAATCCCTATTGTAGCACATGGCTCCCATCCTCAAAGTTGCATTATGGTGCAGCCTGGCTGCTGGAGCTCCAGCCATCACTCCGGTGTTCCAGAACTCAGAAAGGAAGGGAGGGAGGGAGGAAGGGAGGAAGGGAGGAAAGGAGGGAGGTAGGGAAGGGAGGGAGGGAGGGAGGGAGGGAAGGGCAAAAGAGACATACTCCTCTTTGATTAAAAAAAAATTAAAAAAAAAACCTTCTCAGAGGTCTCACACATTTCCATAAAGCCTCTTTAGCCAGAACTTAGTCCAAGACCACACCAAAAAAGGGTAGAAAATATAGTCTTCGATCAGAGTGAACAGCAACCCTAAATAAAATTTAACAAAGCAAGGGAAAATTGATATGGGTAGCAACAAGCAGACTCTGCCACACAAGAACTACAGCTTGTTGACAGTCAATTTGCCTTCGCTCTGAGTGAACTCCTCCGGGAAGGTGAGTTGAACCACTGCAAAAGGGCTGACTCACTTCCCTACTCGGAATATAGACATGCTCAGAATGCTCCTCTAGTGTCACTCCATGAATGCCACCATCCTACTGTTTTAAATCTTTACTTCCAATCCCATGTTCTTATGCTTCAACCCAGAGCTTCTGGCAGGTTTAGTTTCTGGTTCTGACTCTGAAATGTAATCTTGTACTTTGACTTTAGCATCTAACCAGCTTCTTCTGAATTCATATTTGACCTTTGATCTCTTGACTTCATTTGCTTTCCTCAGTCATTTAGGAAAACAGTACCCAACCTGGAATCTAGGTTGCAAGAGAAGAATCTCCTATAGTTCTATACAAAATGATGTGCCTATCTTCATTTTTTACTTGGAGAGAAGGACTACAGATTTCCTAGGATTCCCAAAGGGATCTGTAATCCCAATTAGGTGAAGAACCACTGGGCATGGTGGCTCACAACTGTAATCTCAGAACTTTGGGAGGCAAAGGCGGGAGGATCGCTTGAGGCCAAGAATTGAAGACCATCCTGGGCAATATAGTGAGACCTCCATCTCTACACAAAATAAAATAAAATAAAGTTAAAAATAAGAAATTTTTAAAAACTGCTTTGGTGAACTACAAGGCCTTCTTTAAGAGTGCAGCTGCACAGATTGTAAACATGGCCCAGGATGGGGCAGCAGGGTCAGAAGAAGTGTCAGGAATGAAGAACACCATGTCAGCCCATTTGTCAGGCCTGGCTGTGGATCAGCAGCCATGGACTGATATACTAGCTTTCAGGAGAGAGTGTCAGGCCTAAGCTAATAAGTCAGGAAAAGAGTGGAAAATTGGTCCTTTAGACTCAGGCAGGGACTATCAAACAGGATACAGCTAAGGCCAAGAACCAGATGCTAGAATCATCCTAGTAGGTTTCCTCCTCAAGGTTGAGAATGGTGTCTTCTAATATCTTAGTTTCCTTAGTACATAGGATGTCACCTGGCAGAGAATAGCCACTCAGTAAGTATTTGTTGAATAGAACTGAAAGAAAGTTTAGGAATCAGGTACCTGGCATAGATAAGGAACCTGAAATAGATTAGATCAGTTAAGCTCATGATAAACTCTCTAGACTCTTCCTCCTAATCCTGAGAGTAATGGCCATGTTCCTGGTCCTTGGGGAGGCTAATTCATGCAAACCTTGGGCCTAATTGGTTTTAAATCTGAAGCATGGAGTGGGACCTATGCCTGATATTCAGTCCCATTCCCTCTCCCTTGTCCATGTGGTTCCTGCCTGGCCAACACTGACTTGATCCTAAGCCAACTTTCATCCAGTCTTTGATATGGTTCTGATATTACGGTATGTGATTTCATTTGTTCCTTGCCTTACCCCAGAGAGCTTTCTTATATAGTACTGGGAGATTCTAGCACAGACACTGCCACCAGTATCTCCTCGCCATGCAAACATTTTTGTCATGTCAACATTTCCAAAAACCAGTGGAACCATTAATAACACATTTGTTCAAGAATGGTTAAAAGCCCATCATGAGTTTGCCTCTTGGTACACTTGGCAGCACAGGCTAAACCAGGAATCCTTCTCTTCTTCTTCCTTTATCAGGCCATCAGACATGAGGGAGTGTTGGTTGCTACGGTGATGGGGCTCAGAGCAGAACCAAAGCATGATTGTGACCTCCAGAGGTGATGGTAACTGCACACATGGTTTCCAAGGGTCTTCCTCCTAAATTTCCAGGGGCCTCCCAAGGAAAATGGACATATTCTTTTTGGAAATAAAATACTTCTACCAACATATCTGAGGATCCTTCAGGATCTTTTTGTCTTCTTTTACCTCCATGTGATTAATTTGACTGCTTTTTTCATCCACAATTAAAACTTAGTAGCTTCACCTGTGTCTTATGTAAAACAATAGTTATCTCATCCTTACAAATAGCTTTGCCTTACATTAAGCAAGCAAGAATTCCCATTAGTCTTCAACATTAGCACTTGGCTCAAACACCCTAACCAGTGATAAAGCTTCCCCATGTCACTTAGCTGAGTCAGTCTAGGCATCTCTTTTCGGTGAGGATGATCTGAGCCCAGCCTACAGACTCTAATGCTAAAGAATGCCAAGCAAAAACAAGAAAGACAAAAAGCCTCAGAGCTTAGTAAATATCTTTTTGTTTTCTGGCTTAATTTTCTGTGGACAGACCTTCCTTGATTTTTCTTAGGCCCCACGTTTGGTCTCACGATCTTGTTTCAATGACTAGTCTACCAGACTATGCCTCTGTGTTGAATTGCTTTGAAAAGAGCATGGCTTGCTACTTTTAAATCAGTTTCTTAGAAGACAAATGTAACCTTCCAAGATATCTGATGCCCACAGCTAGTTGTTTATGCCAGTTGACCGTCTTCTTGTTATTTATAATTTGTAATTAGAAAATCATCACTTAGAATTATTCTTGACAGATATTGACTTCAGAGAATTATAGAAACATAGCTGTCCTTGAGGATTATTACAGAAAAACCATGTAGATAATTATATTGAGATCTTTAAAACCTGGGTCAATATTTCCAATTATCTTCACAGTTAGCCTTCAGATGTTTACATTATTTTTAAAAGATAGACTTTGGCTCTGGCTTTTATATATTCTACAAGTGTGAAACTGGCAGTCAGCTTTTTTTTTTTTTTTTTTAAACAAATTGTAAACCAATTTTACATAGAACTTGGAATGCTTTTTTCAATTAACATTTGCATTGTCCTATAATCTTAGAGGTAAAAGGGACTCAGAAAAGTCATTTTCTTTCCTTCTATTCCTCTGGGTGGACCATGCCTAAGACATTCCATTCAGATAAGAATCTATTTTGTTGGTGAAGTATCACAGGGCTGGCACTTCCACCACCTCTCTCAGTAACCCAGGCTGGTTTCTGACATTTTATGATCGGCGACTTAATGCATTTCCAGGAAATGAATCATGTTAGTGGTTTGGAACAGCTTTTTTTTAGAACCCAACTACAAATACTAAACCAATCCTCTGTGTTCCTAAAATAAGTGGTTTGACTTCTTTATTTTCTTTCATCCTTCTTCTTACCACCTTTCCAGGTTTACATATGAAATTGCACCAGTGTTTGTCCTCATGGAACAAATAACACTTAAGAAGATGAGAGAGATAGTTGGATGGTCAAGTAAAGATGGTGATGGGATATTTTCTCCTGGTAGGTTTCTCTTCTCTTCCTCTTCTCAAGGTTTGGGATTCTTAAGAATACAAAATATGAAGTAGGTTTATGGAAGAATAATGCCTTAACATTTTTTTTGGATACCCTGACTTCCTATTTTTTCAAGATGAAGGCTAACAAAAATGCTACATTCTATATGAATTAACTAACAAAGGCTATGCTTAAATCTGTAAAAACTGACAAAGGCTGTGTCTAGATAATGCTAAATAACCCCATTTTTTCTTTTTTCTTTTTTTTTTTTTTTTTTTGAGACAGGGTCTCACTCTGTCATCCAGGCTAGAGTGCAGTGGTGTGATCCTAGCTCACTGCAGCCTCGAACTCCTGGGCTCAAGCAATCCTCCTGCTTCAGCTTCTCAAGTAGCTGGGACTATAGGCATGTGCCACCATGCCCAGCCGTTTTAAAATTTCTTTTGTAGAAACAAGGTCTCACTATTAAACAACTCCATTCTGTCAACAGCAGTTTGATTATGCTGGGGATCAGTGAATCAAGATTATTAATTAATTGATTGATTTCAGCCAAAATAGTATATCTACTTTGAATCTCTAGTTTGAAGTAGATAAAATAAGAATTTTTAAAACAAGAATAGGTATTCTGATGGTGTCAGAGACAGTGTGATTGTGTACAAGGGGAAAAGAAGAAATAAGAATTGCAGTTATCTAGGTAATTCAAGCAGACCACAAATTTGCCTAAGTTTAATTGTCAGATAATTAATGTAAAATTAACTAGTTTGTGTTGGCCAAACATACATAGTTATGTCAGTTCTCCTTGTGTCTTTATTTAGGTAAACATGAGTTTGTTCTTATTTTAATAAACTTAGAGCTCTCCTAAATGACTCAGTAACTCAGTTGGGCTGAAGAGAGCACCTAGGCAGGTAACCAAGAAATGTCATTGTTTCTTTCTGTAAGCTCCGTTACTCTTTCTTTCTCTGTCTTTCTGAACTCAGGGAACAGATTCATCTTTGTTCAGTAAATAGATTGAGCAGAAAGTAAAGCAGGAAGGATATAACTCACCTATCCCTTTGCAGCCACTGATGCAGCTACCTCTTATATTTCTGTCTAGACTTCAGGTGGAAAGCGCACTGAAGTACACGAATCACCTCCAGCCAAATTGCCTAGATAGCTTTGGTAATAAGTGTGACTACTTGTATTCCCAGGGTAAAGGGTCCAGTGGGAAGCCCCAGCAATAGGGAAGCCAGCAAAACCTATCAGGATATTATCCTTTCGCTTCCTGACCTCCCTTGTCTCTTGAGACACCAGCTCAGCGTTCGTTTTTAGAAACAATAATCAAAGAGCCCCAACACCTCCCAATATGTCCGCTTGCTGACAGGGGGCGCCATATCCAACATGTACAGCATCATGGCTGCTCGCTACAAGTACTTCCCGGAAGTTAAGACAAAGGGCATGGCGGCTGTGCCTAAACTGGTCCTCTTCACCTCAGAACAGGTGAGTCGGGGATGCTTTCTCATGGATAGTGGTGTTTTTTAGGGGACTTTCCAACTTCTAACCTCGAGCCTCTGTTTGTTGCAGAGTCACTATTCCATAAAGAAAGCTGGGGCTGCACTTGGCTTTGGAACTGACAATGTGATTTTGATAAAGTGCAATGAAAGGTAGGCAGGGGAGGGTGAATATTAGGTTCTTGATGTATTAAATGTGTTCATCTGTTAAATTTGTTTTATTGTGCTTAAGGACTGGCTCAGTACATTGTGCCAAGCTGCTAATGGTCTGTTGAAAATATCCGATTAAATTGCTTTTTGCTGCTGCTAAAGTTTTTTTCATGTGCAATCTCATTGACTCTTCATTTTAATTTCCCTCCTTTTCCAATAATTATAGGGGGAAAATAATTCCAGCTGATTTTGAGGCAAAAATTCTTGAAGCCAAACAGAAGGTATGTACTCCGTGGTGCATCTGAACTCCAGTTTTAAAATACCTTCTTTCTGTCCTAGACAAAAACAGTCCTTGATAATATGAGACAATTTTCTTGTGCTTCTAAAATTCTATTCTTCAAATTTGCTTATTTCCAACTAGTAAAATAATTTGGTTTTAAAGCTGTGTCTACACAATATCAGGGTTTTTTTAAAAAATGAAAAATTTGGTCATTAAACTATTTGTCCTATCTTCATTGTGCCAAGTGATTGGTTTGATGTTCTTCAATAAATCAAATCCCTGAGCATCATGAAGATATAGCCTAATTGAACTTTTTATTTACTACTTGTTGGGTATTATCTCATTTTAACAGATGCCATTTTAGCTTAGGATTCTGTTTAGCAAAGTGCTTCCATGCCCTGGCAGATGGCCCATGGTACTTGGCACATCCAGCCTCAACAAACTCTATTAAACAAAAAAACTCACAGAACAGATGTATCCACAAGTCAGTGCCAGGTAGCTGTCAGGCCACTTACCAACACATGGTTGTTTCAGTTACATTCTTATACCTCCTTCTCTAATTGTAGTTATTTGCTGGGGTCTTGGCACAGGAAGTGGATCTAAGTGTTGTAAAGACTGAGCAAGGAGCAGAGGTGGAGCTGAGCTTCACAAAAGCCTAAGAGGCAGGGCATGGGGGCTCGCACCTGTAATCCCAGCACTTTGGGAGGCTGAGGCAGGAGGATCCCTTGAGCCCAGGAATTCAAGACCAGCCTGGGCAACATAGGGTAACCCACATCTCTGTAAAAAATTTTAAAAAATAGCCAGGTGTGGTGGTGCACGCCTATAGTCCCAGCCACTCAGGTGAGGTAGGAGGATTACTTGAGTTGGAGAGGTAGAGGCTGAAGTGAGCCATGATCGTGCCAATGCACTCCAGCCTAGGTGACAGAGCAAGAACCTGTCTCAGAAAAAAAGAAAAGCTTAAGATTCACAGATTTCCCCAAACTTGTCTTAGATCTATTACTCTACTCCTTCGTTTATTTTTTGTTTATGTCAACATTTAACCACGTCCACTGTTAGTGAGTGTATCAGCTTTCACAGTGTATAGACCTTTTTTAAATAATTGAACCCCACAATGTTTCAGTATAATTATTATATCAATACACTTAAAACAACACAGCCTCTTAAAAGAATGATGCACAGGTGATATTCAGAACTATCTGACCATCATTCCAAACACTTATTATTACTCTTTCCTGCTTTATTTTTTGCCATAGAAATTATTGCTATTAAACATACTGTATATTTTGCTTATTTAATTTAGCTTATTATCTGTCACCTGCCACTAAAATGTAAACTCCGCAATGACAGAATTCTTTATCTGTTGTGCTCACTGCTGAGTCCCTAGCATCTATGGCAGGGCCTGGCACATAAAAGGCAATCAAAAAATGTTTGTTGAATAAATGAATGAATGAGTGAATGAGCCAACAAAACACTACTAGACATAGTATCTGGTAATACATAAGTTTTGCCATTTACTGTTAGAAATAAATGTTACACAATTCTTCTTCCTGTGAAAATCAGCAAATGAGAAAGGTTAAAAATACTCATCAGCCTATATCTGTCTTACCTTGTAGGGATATGTTCCCTTTTATGTCAATGCAACTGCTGGCACGACTGTTTATGGAGCTTTTGATCCGATACAAGAGATTGCAGATATATGTGAGAAATATAACCTTTGGTTGCATGTCGATGTAAGTGCTATATAACTCAGGCCAGTCCATGTGGGGGGTGGAGGCACCTCTTTTTTATGACTTGCCTCAAGCTTCTCCCCACGCCCCAGCCAGCCCTCTCTCCACACCACATTAGTTCCAGTTCTTGTCTGGACCCTAGCCAGCCATTCACAACTGGTACACACCACAGACCTGGAACATCCTCTGGGACTCATCCACTTCCTTACTAGTCGATTGCTGTCTTCTGTGGTTCATCCTAGAATATGGTCTCATTGCCTTCCCAGGTAGCTTTGTTGGGACAAGTGGCTACAGAATAAAATATAACTGATTTCAGAGGGAAAAAATAGAAGACACAACATACAGAAAGTGGCCATGAATGTGAACCCTCAGCTACCTGCCTTCAGTCCAGCCGTCTATGACACGTCTCTTAAAAAGGTTATATCTGGCTGGGCGCGGTGGCTCACGCTTGTAATGCCAGCACTTTGGGCGGCCAAGGCAGGTGGATCACCTGAGGTCAGGAGTTTGAGACCAGCCTTGCCAACATGGTGAAACCCCGTCTCTACTAAAAATACAAAAATTAGCTGGGTGTGGTGGCATGTGCCTATAATCCCAGCTACTCTGGAGGCTGAGACAGGAGAATCACTTGAACCTAGGGATGGAGGTTGCAGTGAGCTGGGATCACGCCACATCACTCCAGCCTGGGCAAAAGAGCAAAACTCTGTCTCAAAAAAAAAAAAAAAAGAAAAAAGAAAAAGAATATCTGCTACATTTAGGAAAAATAAGGCAGTATACGGAAGGCATTATCAACTAAGAGACTTAATCCCAAATCTTCCCAGGAACACAAAAGATGCATTTTCACATGTGTGACTGGGTGTATTTTTTTTTTTCTTTCTCTCTGCCCATTTTCTTAGGGATTTAACTTCTCACAATTGGCCAATAGGATCATCTGCCTTGCTACTGAACTAATGACTAACAAAGGCTGTGTCACGTGGCATCCCAACTATTCAGTAAACATGCATCATGGTACCCACAAAAATGTCTTGTTGTTACATAAGTTGTTGTGAGACCTCCAAACCCAGCAGGAACTGCTGCTTTTTGAGTTTTTCAGGAGCTGTTAGAATTCTACTCTGGGAAGAACCAGACAGCAGGCCTCAGTTTTTTGAGCAGCTTCCAGAGCCACCCGGAGGGGGACTCACTGTGTTGGCTTTCCACAACACATTGGGCTAATGGGCCATTGGACCTTTGGGTCTTGGCAGAACAGGCACCTCAGGCTCAGACCTGGCCTAGCTGTATCACTTGTGCAGCTAAAGTCCAGAGGAACTTTGAAAAAGAAATGACAAGCAATGAAGAATCACAACTGATTGAACAATCAGTGTGGGCTGAACTTTTCTGAGAAACTTATGTTTTTCACCTTGTACTTTCTTGCTCATGTTTTAGTAGAAGTGAGGACTGACTAGTTTTAGATTCTTAAATGTCACTGCTCCCCTCTTCCTCTCCTTTCTCTGTCCCCACAGGCTGCCTGGGGAGGTGGGCTGCTCATGTCCAGGAAGCACCGCCATAAACTCAACGGCATAGAAAGGTAACGGCCAGAACTCGCCAGGCCTCCTTCCACCCAGCACATCAAACAGACCATGCTCTGATGTCAGCCTGCACCACCCTGCCCTGATCCCCAGCATCATATTTCGGTCTAAGTTTGCTTCAGTTCAGCAGGCATTTGTTGAGCATTTATTGGATGACTGATTTCCCAGTCAAATGAGTCCTGAAGGAGTTCACAATTTAGAAAGAAAGAAAGACAGGCCAGGTGTGGTGGCTCACGCCTCTAATCCCAAAAATTTAGGAGGCCGAGGTGAGAGGATCATTTGAGCCCAAGAGTTCGAGACCAGCCTGGGCAACACAGTGAGACCCTGTCTCTAATAGCTATCAATCAATCAATCAATCAATGAGAAAGACAATAAACAAGTAGTTAGAACACAATGTGATAAGTGTAACAGGAGACAATTGCAGGTACCCAGGTAGGAGATAAGAGAGACTAACCAGTGAGGGGAATTGGAGGCCATCAGAGTTTGCCAAGGGCACAGGAAGGGCCACTGGTTCACTTTCCTCTTCTTCCTCATTAAGCTTACTTCCAGAAAGGGCAGGACACTCAGCTCCTAACTTATTTTCTTTTTCACTGTTCAAATTCAGTGGATGTTCTAGGCCAAATATGATTTTGACCTGACTCCTAAGTGTTGACCCATAACAAAGTCACAATGATTCATTGATTCGTTCAGCATGTATTTACTGAGCACCTATCATGAGCCAGGTAGGAGTTGATGTGAATATTCAGTTATGTGTCTTCCATCCAGCCACCTATGGTGCTTTTCTAATAAAAATGCATATCTGATAAATGCAGAAAAAATAAGGCAGTATATGAAAGGTGTTATCAACTAAGAGATTTGTCCTCCTGAAGTTTACATTCCAGTGGGCTAGATGTTCATAACAAATATTTAATCTGTCTCATAGTAAAGAAAAATAAAACAGGGTTAGGTAGCAGTGAGTGACAAGGCATGCTGTTTCAGACAGGGTAGTCAGAGGCCTTCCTGAGGAGGTAACATATCAGCAGATACTGCGATAAAGGGAGACAGGAAGCAAGGATATGAGGAACAGTATTCTAGGCAGTGCGAGTGGCAAGTGCAAAGGCCCTGAGGCAGGACTGTTCTTGGCAAGTGGGAGGAGGATCAAAGAGGCCATTGGGGCTGGAGCAAGGTGAGAGAGGTAGAAGCAGACTAAGGAGGGAGAGGCAAACATGGAGCAGGCAGGGAGAGCCCGCCCAGGGCTTCTCCCACAGCCAGGACTCTGGCTTTTGTTACCTCTACTGTGCCTCCCCAAACTTTTGTCTCAGTTTTGAAAGACCAGTGTCAACGTGGGTGAGACCGGCTCTGTGAAGTGGACAACCCCGTAACTCGGAGGATAATGTAAAAAATCTGGGCAGGGTGTAGTGGCCTGTAATCCCAGCACTTTGGTAGGCCAAGGAGAGCAGATTACTTGAGCTCAGGAGTTCGGGACCAGCCTGGCCAACATGGTGAAACCCCCGTCTCTACTAAAAATACAAATATTAGCTGGCATGGTGGTGCACACCTGTAATTCTAGCTACGCAGGAGGCTGAGGCTGGAGAATCACTAGAACCTGGGAGGCAGAGGTTTCAGTGAACCGAGATCACGCCGCTGCACTCCCGCCTGAGTGACAGAGCAAGACTCTGTCTTAAAAAAAAAAGAAAAAAAAAAGAACTGTGGATGAGCCAGCCCAATTTAACTTTAGATTTCTCAGACAATTTTAATTTTCTGTCTTTGAGTCTAGGAAAACTTAAAACATTTCACACTAGACTTTTTCTTTTCTAACATTTTAAATCACATAAGTCTTCTAAAGGAAATTGAATTCATATTATGTCTTATTACTTTCCTTTTGTAGCAGCAAAGAATCATTTACTTCAGACCTTTAGGATATGCAGAAAACCATTTAAGACATTTTATGAGACCTAAATATAATTTTTTAATGACTTGGTAAATGATAGCAATGAGAAATTTGATTAAATTCACTACCATTTAAATATGACCTGACACTGATGCTTTTTAGTGAGCTAAGCACTTAGTTAACTTTCCTTGGAATTTTTCACAGGTCTCTTTCACAAAGGTTTTATTATACACTGAAGGGAAAAGTTCTTCAGACCTTCCTCTCTTCTCCTTGAAACAGAGTGCACTAAATTATTTTGTTAGGTCCTTTAACTAAAGGACCTAAGCACGATGAAGAGGTTGAAAGTTCACAACAAGGGTTTAGCTCTAGGGAGAGCAGAGGCAGGATGATTCTGAGCCAATTGCTCTATCTAGGGGAAAAGATCCTTCACAGGTATTAAAATGCAGCACCTAGCTATAGGCCAGGCCTTTGGGAAGGAGTCTGCAAACCAATGAGGCAAGTTACCCATGTTTTCATCATCATACATTAGACTTAGTTGTTTCTGTAATGCCCTAGCTAGTGTGCTCCTTAACCATCTAATTGTGTCTGACAGAATGATGCAGTTGCTAGGAGACCATGCTTGTTAAGCTATCATTGCAGCCCAAACTGGCAAAATCACTCTAATTTAGCATTTAAATAATTCTGCTAGGTAGTCAGAGTCTAGAGTAGTCCAGTCGAGCCTTGCTTTTAGGTGCCACTCTTGATACTGCCCCATAAGTGGGTAGGGCAGCATCACCAGCCTATAAATGAGAAGAGAAAGGCAGAAAGAAGCCACTGTGTCTCCTAGAGAGAAGCAGTCTAGTGGAGTGGTTACAAAAAAGGGCTGTGCACTTAGAGGCCCTGGACTTGAATCCAGGCTCCAACACTTCCCAACTCTGTGACTTTGGGTAATATATTTAACCTTTTGGCATGTTAGTTTCCCCATCTAAAACAGAGGTAATAATAGTACCTACCTTATAGGGTTGTGGTAAGGATTATGTGTGCCAGGCACTCTTATAAGCATTTTATATTAAGTTATTTTGTCCTTTATTCAATTCTGTGAGGCACACACTCCCCATTTAAAAGAAACTGAGGCACATAAGAGTTATATAATGTGCCCAAGCTAACAAATATTAGAGCTAGGACTCAGACTTAAACAGTTTGGCTCCAAAGCCTGAATTCTTAACCATACCATATTGATATAATACCTGAAAGCTCTCAAGACAATAAGACATATAATAAGTTATTCATAAATGTTAGCTATTGTTAATAGCAGTTACTTCTAAGATATAGTCCGTAATGTAATACTCCGAGACTGCCTGCAAAACATTTGTTTGCTACTTGATTAGTCAATTCAGGAGAATAGGCATGGATAATATTTACTAACTTGAGTTGGAATGGGTGTTTTCCTCAAGAGAACAGTTGCGTCTTTCCAACTCCTGCACCTTCTCGAAGTCTCATGTGCTTCTTTCAGGGCCAACTCAGTCACCTGGAACCCTCACAAGATGATGGGCGTGCTGTTGCAGTGCTCTGCCATTCTCGTCAAGGAAAAGGTCTGTACTCCCTCCAAAGCTACACTGGGGCCCGTACGTTCTTTAGAAAGCACAAAAAGACACACGTGGGGTCTCTTTGCAGTACTTGTTGGCTGACTCACGAGATTGGCAGCCCCACTGAGAGACTACTGCTGCTGTCCTTTCCTGCCCTTGCAGCTAACCTGGTTTCTTCTCTTGGCTCTTGCTGGCTACTGTGCTTCTTCTTTGATCAGTACTCAGGGTCTGTCAGCAACTGAACCTTTAAGGAAATTATTTAATTGAGTATTCCTTCATGTTTGCACAAAAAAAGTGGGAGCAAGTAGGTGAGGCATCCAATCAGTTTTGTCCTCAGTGAGGACAAAAGCACTCACTGGAGCATACTCGGAGTTCTTAGTATAAACGTGTGGTCCCAAGAACTGAAATAAATGAGACAGAACAACAACTACAAATATCAACTTAGGGCCACAAGGAATATTGCCCCAAAAGCTGCTGTAAATGGTTGAGCCTCATATTCCCTTCTTCACATGCCTAATGTTAGGATCCTGCCCTCCAAGGCTTTGTTGCTCCAGTAAAACTTCTGCACACAGAAGCATTCCAAAAAGTCTGTCTCCAGCCTGTAGGAGCCAGAATCTGCACAGCGTCTTTAGTCCACTCATATGTGGAATCCATGTTAATGTCATAGGAGGTCCTGGAAAGGTTGGAAGACTTTTGCCAGAGCGCTTTTGGAGAGAAAAATTCTTCACAGCATGAAACTATCCCACCCACTGAGGAATTTTCTATCTCTAACCCTGGCCCACTGAATGCCGTAGCACTTCCCAATCTTGAAACAATCCCAGACACCCATACACATTTCCCCTTAGAGGGATGGCATCTGAGACGGAAAGATCATCTTCTAATCAGAGAGTCAGAGACAAAAGGGATGGCAGTTTTTCCAAGAGTGATTTTAGAAAAGGGCATCAGAACAAGTGTAAGGCCTCATAAAGACATCAGAAGAAAGATTGCATATGACCCCAAGCCCCTCCTTCCAAGCAGCCTAGTTTTAAAGCCACCCACATCTCTGATGTGTAAATGCAGATGCACCCATCTTAATTTCCATGATAGGGTATACTCCAAGGATGCAACCAGATGTGTGCAGGATACCTCTTCCAGCCAGACAAGCAGTATGATGTCTCCTACGACACCGGGGACAAGGCAATTCAGTGTGGCCGCCACGTGGATATCTTCAAGTTCTGGCTGATGTGGAAAGCAAAGGTATGAAGGGAATAGTTCAGGAAATAGAGCAGAAATGTAATTTGCACAGACTGGCTGGCAAAAGAGGGGCAAAGATATATCACAGATAATTCACTATATGGGGAATCAATATCTAGATAATTGAATTAACTGTGTTTTCTTTGTGAATGAAATTACTTTATTCCTTATGTCAAATTCTCTCTCCTTTTGTTCAGTCTCCTCAATTTGAACTATTATGAAGTCTTCTTATAACGTTCTCTTATAACAACTAAAAATTATGCCAAGATAAGGATTTCTGCAGCAATCCTTGGGGATGCTGGAATTATTTAGTGCAGGCATAGAGAAAGATAAAAAAAAATAAAATTACTGCATTATTCTGAGTAGAACCTTGAATTCTTTTTTTTTTTTTTTTTTTTTGAGATGGAGTCTCACTCTGTAGCCCAGGCTGGAGTGCAGTGGCGCGATCTCGGCTCACTGCAAGCTCCGCCTCCCAGGTTCACGCCATTCTCCTGCCTCAGCCTCCAGAGTAGCTGGGACTACAGGGGCCCGCCACTACGCCCGGCTAATTTTTTAAAAAATATTTTTGGTAGAGACGGGGTTTCACCGCGTTAGCCAGGATGGTCTCAGTCTCCTGACCTCATGATCCGCCCACCTCGGCCTCCCAAAGTGTTGGGATTACAGGCGTGAGCCACCGCGCCCGGCCCCTTGAATTCTTTTATGAGGCTTCTCAACATGGGCTATGTATGACAGTTTTAACTTCAACTTCAATAATGCCTTTCCCATTGTTTGTAGTTAATACACCATTCTGGAAAATGTATACTTTATTGTGAAAAATCCTACTTTTAGATGGTAGCATGCTGTGTCTGCATTCATCAACCTTTTGGGTTTCATTTCTGTACCTAAGGAAAAAAGCTAACTATTGGAATTTCCCCCAAAATATGAGTGAGGGAGAGGATTACCATTTGATTATTTGTTTCAAAAATATTTGTATGCAATCAAGGAAAAGAAATTTTGATTTCATAGTTTTATATTACATACCTTGTTTTTGTTATAAATTAATTTTAATAATTTCTATGTTTAAGATTGAGTCTAACTGTCTAACTAACACTCAAACAACAAGATTTTCTGGCAAAATTTCTAGTCAAATATTTCTTCTGTAGGAAAAATTTGGTAGATTATTAGTTTTTTCCTCAGTAAGTCATTTTGTCTTTTTTTTTTTTTTTTTTGAGACAGTTTCATTCCTGTTGCCCAGGCTGGAGTTCAGAGGCGCGATCTCTGCTCCCTGCAACCTCCGTCTCCCAGATTCAAGCAGTTCTCCTGCCTCAGCCTTCCAAGTAGCTGAGATTACAGGCATGCGCCACCATGCCCATCTAATTTTATATTTTTACTAGAGGCGGGGCTTCACCATGTTGGCCAGGCTAGACTTGAACTCCTGACCCCAAGTGATCCACCCACCTTGGCCTCCCAAAGTGCTGGGATTACAGGCGTGAGCCACCGCACCCAGCTCTATTTTGACTTAATATAGAAATAGTCTGAATTTGATTTCTATTACAAAGTAATCATAGGAATTTTAAACATATAAATAGCCATAGGCTGGGCACGGTGGCTCACGCATGTAATCCCAGCACTTTAGGAGGCCAAGGCAGGCGGATCATTTGAGCTCAGGAGTTCGAGACCCATCTGGGCAACAAAGTAAGACCCCATCTCTACAAAAAATACAAGTTAGTCAGGTGTGATGACGCATGCCTGTGGTCCCAGCTACTTAGGAGGCTGAGGTGGGAGGATCACTTGAGCCCAGGAGGCGGAGGTTGCAGTAAGCCGAGATCATGCCACTGCACTCCAGCCTGGGCAACAGAGTGAGACTCCATCTCAAAAAAAAAAAAAAAAAAAAAAAGCCATAAACGGCAACAACAAAAAAGGAGTCGTGTCATTTTGAAATATAATGACCACACAACCTGTTTCAGTAATTTGTGTCTTCTTTTTTGTTTCTAACAATAACCTCTTGAACCATCTGCTGCAGGTTTTGACCATAGTGATTGGTTGCTGAAATGGGACCCTGGTACAGGCTTCATTCCTAAGTGGACTGACTAGGGTGTACAGTCAGCAGTGACACTACCTGGGGAGGCTGATGCTTTCTCAGTGCTGGACTTTGCTCAGGCCCATTAGCAATCCACAGCCAGCCTTGTGCATCTGCTCTCCTTGTTAACACCGACCCACTCAACAACCCTCATACTGCTGTTATTAATCAGCCATGCTGGCTTTTGAAACTCATGCTCAACCAGTTTGTCAATAGTTGGAACTATTGCAATATCAGGGCATATACTGAGACCAATGGCTTCCCCATCTACCTGCCTGCCTGTCACCTAAAAGGCATAACACTGTTATGTGGAAGGTTGCCTGCCTGAGAGGGCATGGGACATGTTTCACAAGGACTTACTGCTGGGGAAGATGAGTTCTACAGCAGTATCTTTCGAAGTTTTTCTGATGAAGAACCAGTTATTTGTTGTTGTTGTTGTTGTTTTTCACCTATCATGGACCAATACCCTAAAGATTAATTGTTAGAAAAATGAAATTTAAAAACATACAAAGAACAAGCCACTGTTTTTTATTAGAGTCAACAGACAAAATCCCTTTGTCCAATTGCCATTAAAGTTTCCTATGCTTAATCTCAATTTCTACACTCATTTGATTGTAGACCAGTTACAGTTGTGGAGTGGCCTCAGTTCATAGATGACACTTTGAGTAGCACCATCCTAAAGCAAACCAGAATCAGGCATAGGTCCAGTTGAGAATAACTACCCAGAGACTGGAGTGCCTTTGAAAGAGGAAGCAGGCACACATCATTTATTGCATGCACATCTGTGAAAAAGCTGACATATTTGATTAGATTGTTCTTCCTAACCAGCTCCAAAAATACTTTTTTTGTTTATTTCCCATAGACAGGGACAGCATAGCCTTCCCAAATGCTCATCACAGGGAAATGCAACCACAAACATGACTTTTCTCTTTAAAACAGGGCACAGTGGGATTTGAAAACCAGATCAACAAATGCCTGGAACTGGCTGAATACCTCTATGCCAAGATTAAAAACAGAGAAGAATTTGAGATGGTTTTCAATGGCGAGGTAGGTAATCATCATGGACCAGGTACACAGTATTTCCAGAAAAACTGCTGAGGGAAGCTCCTGAAGCTTCTGGCAACATGGGAAAATCAATCCCATGTTGCCAGAAACTGCTTCAAAATTTTTATTCTTATACACTCTTAATTCCTCTCTTTAATTCCTTCCATGTCTATGAACTTTTCTTCTGGTAGCACTGGGATGACTTTTTCCTTTACATCTTTTAAAACTGTGTTGCTCTTGGCCAGCTTTTGGCAGACAAGAGGTCTTTCCTTGACAGGTCTGAATCCTTCATCATTCTTGGGTTTGTTTTGTGTTGAACCTTTATGAAAAAGTGTTTTTCAGGCTGGGCATGGTGGCTCACACCTGTAATCCCAGCATTTCGGGAGGCCAAGGCAGGAAGATTGCTTGAGTCCAGGAGCTCAAGACCAGCCTGGGCAACATAGCAAGACCCTGTCTCTATAAGAAAAAATATATATAATTTATGAAAAGAAATTTTACAAAACGATAAAGTGGTTTTCATTTCCAGGAAGCTTATAGGATGGGTATATTCTTACCTCCCAAGACTTGTTCTAAAATAAGGTTCTACTTAACATAGACTCATAAGGAAGAGAGCAAGATAAAATTGTCTCTGCCCTCAGTTCATGTGCATACTGCACACAGCAAAGTATTTGTCAGTGTTTACTGAGTACCCACTGTGTGCCAGGCCTCCTGCTAGGACCTAGATTCTAGAGTATTGAACAAAACAGATACATTCTCTGACCCAATGGAGCTTACACTTGAATAAAGAAAGATAGAATAGGAGCCAGTGTTGAATAAAAGAAAATCCACTTATAAGCCAGTATAATATAACACTGCTTACAGTCAACATTATTCTATTTATCAGGCAACCTAAACTACTAGGAACACATGTGAATCACCAAATGAACAAAAAAGAGCCCTGGGCAGTTTAAAATCAGTGACACTGCTCTGATCATTTACACACTACTTTAAACACTCTTAATAGCAGATTAAAAACAACAAATGTGATATCTCAAACCAATTAGAGGCAGGCACAGTAATGGCAAACAGCAACCAGCGAGAAAACTTTATAGCAAGAATAGGGAAGAACTCAAAAAGCACAGGAATCTTTAGAGGAGGGACACTAAACAGTTTGAGGCATCTCAACAGGCCTTGCCTTATGCTGTAGAAACAGTCTTTTGGTTTTTTTTAGGAGCAACCCTATTAATTGATATATCCAGTCTTAATGTTTGTTATGATAGTCCTGAGTCATCAAGAAAAGATTCAATATCAATATAATAAACTCAATAAAATATTCATCAGCATCCATAAACTATGTTTCAATTATCTTCTATATGTGAGGCACTACAAAATGACAACATGGACAGACGGATACCTTTTTTAAAAAATTGCCCAAATGTAATTATTTGTAACATTTCAATGTTTAAAGTCGGTAACTTTAGTTACCTAGAAAATTGGTTGTAGGGAACAGCTCTCTTGCCACATATGATTGGATAAATGAGGCATTGTTCTCCCTGGTGTGGAAGTAACATTGCCTTTGAGATGAACATTCAACCTCTTTCTTTGGTCCAAGAGACTTCCACCAAGGATGCATATTGGTTTGGGAACAGCTTTCTCTCAAGTTATCCTAATTTTCTTTGTTTGTCTTTTAAAATCTCTGCAGCCTGAGCACACAAACGTCTGTTTTTGGTATATTCCACAAAGCCTCAGGGGTGTGCCAGACAGCCCTCAACGACGGGAAAAGCTACACAAGGTATGGACTTGCTTTTTGTCTCATCTAATCCTCTGCAATTTCTCTGGCTGGTCAGGACATCCTCATTCCAATGTGCCTTTCTAGTGGGGGAAATATAAAAAATAAAGCCTTGGGGTGGGTTTCTAGTAATGGGGTGGTGGGGAGCCATCCTGTTATATTCCTCTTGAGCCTGCATCGCCCCCTTACTGTGGTTACCACGGGAACTTCTAAAGGATGCATCTTGTCTCCTTGTCCTTGGTTGATGTTCTTCATTAAAGGAGCCCTATGCAGGGTAAGGGAATAATGTGCATATTCCTAGGGACATTCTAGATTAAACTGTGTCTGTTACAATAACATTTTAAGTTCAGGCCCACTGTAATGCTGATTCATTCTAACTGTTTTCTATATCCAGTTTATATCTTATCCAGGGTTCTTAAGATTATATTTAATTTATATAACATTTCATTCATCCAACCATTCAACAAATATTTGTTAAACACAGTCTGTGTGCCAGGCAGTATCCTGGGCTCTGGGTTATACAAAACCCTGAATTTGTGGTGTTGTCTATAAGAGTTTTTTGGTTTTGTCTTCATTTTTTATTTTACTATCATTGTTCCATGACTGACTTTCAAAATTCGGTTGCACAGTACTTTCTGAGGGAACTTGTGACCAGGTAGTCATTTGATATTAGCCCCTGAAGATTCCTGGATATGAAATATTTCTTTGCTTTTATGTCAATGTAAACACAAATAGTAAAATGCAAGTTGGGTTGAATTGTTAAAAAGAGAGGGTGTTCATATCAATCTTGAGTTTTGTTTTGTGTTTTCCATCACAAGGTGGCTCCAAAAATCAAAGCCCTGATGATGGAGTCAGGTACGACCATGGTTGGCTACCAGCCCCAAGGGGACAAGGCCAACTTCTTCCGGATGGTCATCTCCAACCCAGCCGCTACCCAGTCTGACATTGACTTCCTCATTGAGGAGATAGAAAGACTGGGCCAGGATCTGTAATCATCCTTCGCAGAACATGAGTTTATGGGAATGCCTTTTCCCTCTGGCACTCCAGAACAAACCTCTATATGTTGCTGAAACACACAGGCCATTTCATTGAGGGAAAACATAATATCTTGAAGAATATTGTTAAAACCTTACTTAAAGCTTGTTTGTTCTAGTTAGCAGGAAATAGTGTTCTTTTTAAAAAGTTGCACATTAGGAACAGAGTATATATGTACAGTTATACATACCTCTCTCTATATATACATGTATAGTGAGTGTGGCTTAGTAATAGATCACGGCATGTTTCCCGCTCCAAGAGAATTCACTTTACCTTCAGCAGTTACCGAGGAGCTAAACATGCTGCCAACCAGCTTGTCCAACAACTCCAGGAAAACTGTTTTTCAAAACGCCATGTCCTAGGGGCCGAGGGAAATGCTGTTGGTGAGAATCGACCTCACTGTCAGCGTTTCTCCACCTGAAGTGATGATGGATGAGAAAAAACACCACCAAATGACAAGTCACACCCTCCCCATTAGTATCCTGTTAGGGGAAAATAGTAGCAGAGTCATTGTTACAGGTGTACTATGGCTGTATTTTTAGAGATTAATTTGTGTAGATTGTGTAAATTCCTGTTGTCTGACCTTGGTGGTGGGAGGGGGAGACTATGTGTCATGATTTCAATGATTGTTTAATTGTAGGTCAATGAAATATTTGCTTATTTATATTCAGAGATGTACCATGTTAAAGAGGCGTCTTGTATTTTCTTCCCATTTGTAATGTATCTTATTTATATATGAAGTAAGTTCTGAAAACTGTTTATGGTATTTTCGTGCATTTGTGAGCCAAAGAGAAAAGATTAAAATTAGTGAGATTTGTATTTATATTAGAGTGCCCTTAAAATAATGATTTAAGCATTTTACTGTCTGTAAGAGAATTCTAAGATTGTACATAAAGTCATATATATGGAAATCCTGTTACTTAAATAGCATCTGCTCTTCTCTTACGCTCTCTGTCTGGCTGTACGTCTGGTGTTCTCAATGCTTTTCTAGCAACTGTTGGATAATAACTAGATCTCCTGTAATTTTGTAGTAGTTGATGACCAATCTCTGTGACTCGCTTAGCTGAAACCTAAGGCAACATTTCCGAAGACCTTCTGAAGATCTCAGATAAAGTGACCAGGCTCACAACTGTTTTTGAAGAAGGGAAATTCACACTGTGCGTTTTAGAGTATGCAAGAAGAATATAAATAAATAAAAATATTCTCCATGGAGAATTTGAACAAAATTTTCTTCTAGTTTGTGTTTCATACAGAGATGTTTCTAATTAGAGTTCCTTGGGTTGCCCATAGCCCATTTGCTTTCTATTGGCTGACTTTAGGTGATGCTCAGTACCCTGATTAAGCTGAAGGAGACTCGATCCACTGTCACAGGCTCTGAAGCTCCTCATCTATAAAATCATTATGGGCTGGGCATGGTGGTGCATGCCTGTAATCCTAGCACTTTGGGAGGCTGAGGCAGGCAGATCACTTGAGCTCAGGAGTTCGAGACCCATCTGTGCAACAGGGCGAAACCCTGTCTCTGCAAGAAATGTAAAAATTAGCCAGCTGTGGTGATGCGCACCTGTGGTCCCAACTATTTGGGAACCTGAGGTGCAAGGATCACCTGAGCCCAGGAGATCAAGGCTGCAGTGAGCTGAAATCGTGCCACTGCACTCCAGCCTGGGTGACAGAGTGAGACCCTGTCTCAATCAATCAATAAAATCATTATGATTATAATTAATTAAATGTGCAGTTCAAGCCTTGAGAAAGAAAAGCCATCCCTGTTTCTCCTTTTCCTACTTGCATCTTGGAGTTACATTCATTCAGTCATTCAACAAAAGATAAGTATTCCTTCTAGTGGGCATCTTACATCACTTGGTATCTCTGCTAACTGAGTGCCTCTAAGATCACAGAAGCATAACTTCCTGCTGCTTTATGCTTGTAGAGTGGTCCCCATTCACTTCCTAGGGAAATATATGTTGGTGCTGGATCATTAGGATATGGGACTGATTTTCTACAATATTCTTTGTGTGTGTGTGTGTGTGTGTGTATGTGTGTGTGTGTGTGTGAGAGAGAGAGAGAGAGAGAGAAAGAGTCTCAACTCTGTCACCAGGCTGGAGTGCAGTGGCGCCATCTCAGCTCACTGCAACCTCTGTCTCCCCGGTTCAAGCGATTCTCCTGCCTCAGTCTTCTGAGTAGCTGGGATTACAGGCGTGCACCACCACACCCAGCTAGTTTTTGTATTTTAGTAGAGCCACGGTTTCCCCATGTTGGCCAGGATGGTCTCAATCTCTTGACCTCGAGATCTGCCCACCTCGGCCTCCCAAAGTGCTGGGATTACAGGCGTGAGCCACTGCGCCCAGCCCATTTTCTACAATATTTTATTCAGCTATATTAATACAATCTCACTCATTTGGAATACAAGAAGCTCCCTATTTAGCACAGGTAGGGAATACAGAAGAGTCCTTTGTAATTAGCACACTGATTGCATGTAACCATTGTATTAAACGACTCTATAGGGAGTGATCATAAAGCCACTTATTCTTTCTCTCACTGTTTCTATAAAACGCCCCTGGGGGCTGATTTTTTCCATGCCCCCATTTGAATTTAGGCCAATCCCATAGCTTTTCTGTCCTCTCGGGTGCATGAACAGTCTCATTTTTGCAACTGAGGGTCCAGGTTGATGTAATAAGCAAAGTTTCAATTTTTATATGATATAGAGTTTCTCCCCCCTCCCCCCGATCTGGCACTGCTTCAGCTGCAAGCCTACAGTGGCAGGGAGAGCAAGGCTGACGGTGGGTGAGGTCACCTTTTTTCTTCATCTTTCAGCTCATCTCCCTAGCTCCTGTGCTTCCTCATTCAGGGTCAGGCCTAGCGGGAGGAAGGGATAACGTGACAAAGGTAAAATTTTACATGGCTATTAAATTGTCATTGGGCATCAAGTTCCCTGGAACATGAGTTTTTGTTTTTTGGGGGGGTTTTTTGTTTTTTTTTTTGAGAAATTTTCTGGAGTGAATGAGGATTTTTGGAATTAAGGTAAAATTTAGATACAATGAAACTTTTTGTAGTGTACTGTGTATAGTTTTCTGTGGATTTTGACAAACCCATTCAGTCATGTATTAATAACTATCATCATGATCAAGGTCTACAACAGGTCTGTCACCCCAACGAATTTCCCATCCCCCTTTGTACTGAACACCTCTCCTACTCAGCTCTTGGCAACCTCTGCTTTGTTTTCTGTCCCTAGACTTTTGCCTTTCCCACCATGTAAATGGAATCATATAAGATTTAGTCTTTTTTTAGTCTGGTTTCTTTTGCTTAACGTAGTGCACTTGAAATCCATCCATGTTATCTCTATATCAGTGTTCATTCCTTTTCACTACCGCATAGTATTCCATTTGCATAAATGTACCATACTCTGCTTATCCATCCCTTAGTAGAGGGGAATTTCTGTTGTTTCCAGTTTTTTTGGCGATTAGAATAAAGCTACTGGAAACAATAGTGTGCAGATTTTTCTGTGAACATAGATTTCATTTAACTTGGGTAAATACCTACGTGTAGGATTGCAAGATAACATTAATAATATGTTTAATTTTATCAGAAACTGCTAAACTATTTTCCAAAGTGGCTGTACCATTTTGCATTCTCACCAGCAATGCACAAATATTCCAGTTGCTCCATATTCTTGCTGACACTTGGTACTGTCATTTTCCCCCCATGCTGGCCATTCTAAAAGTGTTATCTTGTGGTTCTAATTTGCTTTTTCGTGAAGCACTTTTGAAGGATCCCTCTGGGGTCCTCCCAGCTCATTGCACAGGAGGCAGTAAAGGTTTATCCTCCTGCAACCACTTAGGACTCAGACCCTCAGGCCTGGGCCCCTGGCAGTCTACACTGTCCAGACCTTGTAGTTGGGATCCTTTCTTCTCCAAGTAGTACATTTGGCCAGGATGCCTTTTATTTAACATCAGTTACTGGCCAGGTGCAGTGGCTCACGTCTGTGATCCCAGCACTTTGGAAGGCCAAACTGGAAGGACTGCCTTGAGCCCAGGAGTTCAAGGCCAGCCTGGGTACATTGGGAGATCCCATCTCTACAAAAAATAAAAAAATAGCTGGGAGTGTGGTGGTGAGCCCCTGTGATGCCAGCTACTCAGAAGGCTGAGGTGGGAAGATCACTGGAGCCCAAGAGGTCAAGGCTGCAGTGAGCCATGATCATGCCACTGCATTCCAGCCTGAGCAACAGAGTGAGACACCATCTCAAAAAAAAAAAAACAGAAACAAAAACAAAACCCTCCTTAGATAATCTACAATAACTGATTTTTTTTTTTTTTTTTTTTTTGAGACAGGATCCCGCTTTGTCACCCAGGCTAGAGTATTGTGGCATGATCACAGCTCACTGCAACCTCGAACTCCTGGGCTTAAGCAATCCTCCCACCTCAGCCTCCCAAGTAACTGGGACTGCAGGTGCATGCCATCATGCCCAGCTAATTTTTTATTTTTTTGTAGAGATGGAGTCTCATTCTGTTGCCCAGACTAGTCTCAAACTCCTGAACTCAACTGATCCTTTCACCTCGGCCTCCCAAACTGCTAGAATTACAGGCATAAGCCACTGTGCCTGACCAAGAAGGGCTTTATTAGACATACATGTATAGGACAAAGGGTGATGACATTATACTTGAGTACCCATTACTTAGCCTAAGATATAGAACATTATTATTATCATGACCTTAGCACTCTCCAACCCCGTCACGAACCTTCCCTGATTGGATGCTCCCCACTCTCTAAGAAGTGATCACTATTCTGAATTTTGTGTTACTCACTCTCTTATTTTTCTATATAGTTTTACCACATACTCATGCATCCTTATTGTTTAGTCTTACCTGATTTTGTACTTTATGTAAACAGAATAATACAGAATTTTTATACTTCTGTGACTTTTCTAGTCAACATTATGATTTTGTTTGTCCAGAGCTAACCTCTAGGGAGACTTCGTGCAGTTTAAAATAAAAAAGGTACCCCTGTCTTGATAGCTAAGCATCCCTGTGCCAGTGGAGCTGGAATAGACTTCAGCGCCTACTCAACCTATTGGCACACCCTGCAAACACGGTCTCATGTAGAAGCCTCATGGTTTTGAGAGTCACCTTTGACAATGGCTGCAGCTGTAATTCATTCATTTTTATGGCTGCAATGCTATTACAGTGTATGAATATACTTCAGAAGGTTTATCCATTCTATTGGGGGTGAATATATGAGTTTTTCCAGTTTTGCCTTTAGAGATAACATTGCTATGAGCATTCTAGTACCTGTTTTCTGGGGTACATGTACAAAAGTTTTTCTAAGGTTTATACCTGGAAGTGAAATTGCTGGGTCACAATGTATTTATGGAACTTTACTGAGTAGAGCGGTCATACCAAGTTGCATTTCAAGCAGCCGTGCACATTGTGCTATAACTTCACCATCAGTTGGCCTAAGATTTTTGCCAGTCTGGCAAGTATGAAATAGTATCTAATTGTAAATTTAATTTGTGTCTCCCTGATTACAAATGAGGTTGAGCGCCTTTTCACATTATTATGAACCGTTTATGTTCTGTCTTCTATGAAATGCCTAAATCATGCCTTTTGTCAAATTTTCAATTGTTTGTCTTTTTCTTTTGATTCTTTAGGTATTCTTTATATATTCCAAATCCTAATTCTTTTAAATTATGTTTGGCAAATGTCTTCTTCTAATTCAGGGCCACCCTTTTTACTCAGTTAATGGTCTTTTCTGAAAACATAAGTTCTTAAATTTAATGTAAATTTATCAATTATTTTCATTGTTTCTGCTTTTCTTGTATGTCTTCTTTAAGAAATTCTTCCGTATCCCAAAGCCATAAAGACATTCCCATATATTGGCTTTTAAGTTTTAAGGTTTTATGCCTTTCACATTTAAGCCTTCAATCCATCTTGAATTGATTTTTGTGTTTGGTTCTTTTTTGAGACTGAAAGGGCTATTAATAGCCCCTCAATCTTCCATATAAATTTAGAACCAATTCATCAAGTTTCTAAAAAATTCCTATTGGCATTTTTATTGAAATTTCATTGAATCAGTGGATCAACTGAAGAACACTAACATCTTTTTAATATTGAATATAGTAGCCATAAGTATAGTATGTATTTCCACTTAACTAGGTCATCTTTAATGTATTTCAGTAGTTCCACAACAGTCACAGAAAACTTTCTTTTTTTCTCTTTGAGATGGGGTCTCACTCTGTCACCCAGGCTGGAGTACAGTGGCATGATCTCGGCTCAATGCAGCCTCGACCTCCTGGGCTCAAGTGATCATCCCACCACAGCCTCCCAAGTAGCTGGGACCACAGGCACACACCACCATGCCCAGCTAATTTTTTGTATTTTGGTGGAGATGGTGTTTCGCTATGTCACCCAGGCTAGTCTCAAACTCCTGAGCTCAAGAAATCTGCCTGCCTCAGCCTCCCAAAGTGCTGAGATTACAGGCATGTGCCACCGCACCCCATCCACGCAAAACTTTTGACAGATTTATTCCTAGGTGCTTTATATTGTTGTTATTTTTAATGGCATCTCTTAAAAATTACATTTTCTAACTGTTGCTGATGTATAGAAATATAATTGCCTTCTAATGAAGGATTTTTTTAAAAAAAGAAGGAAAGCAATTAAAAAGAACAACAAAAAAGAAATGTAATTGCCTTTCGGTTGATGATTTTATATCCAGAAAGCTTGCTAAAACGCAAATAATTTGTTTCTTTAATGCTTTCTAAACAGGCAAATATACCATCTATGAATAATGGCAACTTTGCTTATTCATTTCTGATTCTTATGTCTTTTATTTTGCTTTTCCTTGATATACTAAACAGTCCAGGATATCCAGTACAGCATGCAAAAGAAGTGTTAGTAGCAAGCACCCTTACCTGATTCCTGATATTAGAGGGAATGCTTTCACCAGTCACCATTTGGTTTCACATTTCCTTTAGTTTTTTTGTAGATCCCCTTTAATGGGTTAATAACATTTCTTTTAATTTTTAGTTTCTATAGTAAATAAATGTTTAATTTCATCAACTTTTTCTGCATTTGTTGAGATGATCATCTTTCTTCTTCATGTGTTAATGTGGCATTATTCATAAACTAAATTTTCCATGTCTTGAGTCAGTTTTTGCAAGTTGTATTTTTCCAGGAATTTACACATACTTTAAGTTTTCAGATTTATTGGCATAAAGTTGTCTATAATATTCTTTTATTTTTAAAATTTGTTTCTATCTGTAGTTACATTCCCCATTTTTTCTTAATAGTGTTAATTTGTGTCTTCTTTCATTATTGCTTTATCTTAGCAGATGTTTGTCAGTTTCATTAAACTTTTCAGAAAATGTTTGTCAATATTCTCAGTTATATGGTTGTTTTTTACTTCATTAATTTATCTTTCTATATGTATTATTTCCTTCCCTCTACTTAAATTTTTTTTTTTTTTTTAGTTTCGTCTGCTGTTCCTATTTCTTTCTTTTCTTTTGTTTTTTCTGAGACGAAGTCTTGCTCTGTCTCCCAGGCTGGAGTGCGGTGGCGCGATCTCAGCTCACTGCAACCTCCACCTCCTGGGTTCACGCCATTCTCCTGCTTCAGCCTCCCGAGTAGCTGGGACTACAGGCGCCTGCCACCAGGCCCGGCTAATTTTTTTTTTTTTTTTTTGCATTTTTAGTAGAGATGCGGTTTCACCGTGTTAGCCAGGATGGTCTCAATCTCCTGACCCTGTGATCCGCCCGCCTCAGCCTCCCAAAGTGCTGGGATTACAGGCGTGAGCCCCCGCGCCAGGCCTGCTGTTCCTATTTCTAATTTCTCAGGTTGTATACATGGATCATTAATTTTGAGCTTTTCTTCTTTTCTAATGATAGCATTAAGAATAAATATTTCCCTACAAGCATCCCTTTAACCATATACTACAAGGTTTCCACATATTATTTTGTTATCATTTGATTCTAAATACAGTGAATTTATCAATTTTCTCTTGTAGTTGGATAATTTTTGCTCTATTATTAGGTATAAACAAGTTTATCATTTTCATATTTTTCTGGTGATTTAAGCTTTTATCACTGTGTAGTGACCAGTGTTGGGTGTGGGGGTTTTTTGCCTTTTTGTCTAATAGTCTATTTTGTCTTATATTAATATAGCTATACCACATTTCTTTAGATTAGTCTCTGCTTGATATACATTTCCTTCTTTTAAGGATATTTCTGTATCCTTATGATTTAGGTTTGTGTTGTATAAATGGCCTAGAGCTAGATTTTATCATTTTCTTTTTTCTTTTTTTTTTTTTTTGTTTCTTTTGAGACAGGGTCTCACTCTGTCACGTGCTGGAGGGCAATGCCATTCTCATGGCTCACTGCAGCCTCCAGATCCTGGGCTCAAGCGATCCTCCTGCCTCAGCCTCCCGAGTAATTGGGACCACAAGCATGCACCACCACACCCAGCTAATTTTTGTATTTTTTGTAGAGACGGGGTTCCAAACTCCTGAACTCAAGCAATCCACCCACCTCAGCCTCCCAAAGTGCTGGGATTACAGATGTGAGCCACCATGCCTGGGCCTTTTTCTGACCCTCTTTGTCTTTTAACTGAAGGAAGTCATTCACTTCATTTATTGTGATTACTGATATATTTTGATTTAATTCTATCATCTCATTTTGTGCTGTTTGTTCCACTTTTTCTCTTCTTCTTTTTTCTCTGCTTGTCAAAAAATTTGGATTCATGGAGGTTTGCTTTTTGTTTCTTTTGTTTTTCTGATTTTCCCCCTCTGCTTATAAGTTATACTCTCTATGTCTGTTTTTCGTTGGCTACCCTAGATACAACAGCATAAATATTTTACCATTTCAAAAGTTAATAATTTTACTCTCCTCATGAGTCATTTAAGAATCCAAGAATAATTTTACTCTGATCCTCTTCCCAATATGCATACCAATGCTATCCAGTATTTTAAGTCTCTCTTCTAACCCCACAATTTGTACATTATTAATAATTTTGTTTGGTTGATTTTTGCTTGATGTGCCCACATATTTACCACTGCGTTTGTGCATGATTCCCTCTTACATCTCAGACCTTTCATTTGGGTCATTTTCTTTTTTCCTGATCTGCATGTGTTTGAACTTTTCCTTATTGAAGCCTATTAATAGCCCCTCTCTAGAAGGAGCTCTCTAACTTTGTCTGCTTCGTGGGCATCATTTCTGAGGCTGGTTTGAAAGCACAATGATCCAGGTGATTTGCTGCTTTGAGGATGGCAACAGTAACTCTTAGATAAAACAGACTTTGTTAAACAGGAAATGTTCCAGTCACACCCCAGGGCTCTGCCTCTAGGCATTATGACTCTGTTATCTCTTACACATAAAGGATACCAGATACATGCATCAAAATGTACCTGCCAGAATCTTAAATCCTTTAATCTGAGCAAATGATATAAAGCAAATTTATAAAGAAAATCTCACTATATTTTTGGCTGAAAAGTGGAATTCTTTAAAATAAATGTGGTATGCAAGGTTGCTTTAATATTCCAATAAAACCACTTCAAAATTCCTATTCCCGGTTCCCTCGTTCTCCATAATGGACATTTGTGTTTTATGCCTGCCAGGCATCTATTGTTTCTTCTTCTGGTCATATCGCCTTCATTTTTCTTTGAGAAAATATTCTTTCTTCATTCTTTCCCAATGAAAGTAAAGGGATGAGCTCACCTTCTGATTCCAGAGATAGTCACCCAACTCAAGTGTGGTCAATCAAGGCATTCTAATCCTCTGGGCAAAACGGATGGACACCTGACCCTAGACAGGCTGATGAGATTCCTGAGGTGAGATCATGAAGCCCCAGACCAGTACTGCAGGCTGTACAAGCTTCCTGAGGCCTCACCAGAAGCAGAGCAGATACTGGCACCATGCTTGTATAGCCTGCAGAACTGTGAGCCAGTTAAACCTCTTTTCTTTATAAATTATGCAGTCTCAGGTATTCCTCTGGGGAGCCCTCAAAGAAACTGTGTGTGGGTGATATGGTTTGGATGTTTGTTCCCTGCAAATCTCACGTTGAAATGTAATCCCCAATGATGGAGGTGGGGTCTGGTGGCCTAACACAGCGGGGGAAAGAAGAGGGCATGAGGAATGGCATTCTACTTTGTAGCAGGTTAATGAGTGGGATTTTCTGTTTGCCCCAAAATTGGTGCTTAGGATCCAATGCTGGAGACAAAAAGGCAGTAAGTACCCCACATTCTAAAGAAAGCGGCTGACCATTGGGATGCTCACCACGCTCACAGCTTACTGGGTGGGGTGGGGTGGGGTGGGGTGGGGTGGGCGTTGAGCTGGCCCTTCTTTTTGTTTTTTGAGATGGAGTCTCACTCTGTTGCCCAGGCTGGAGTACAGTGGTGCGATCTCGGCTCACTGCAATCTCTGCCTCCCGGGTTCAAGCGATTCTCCTGCCTCAGCCTCCTGAGTAGCTGGGACTGCAGGCGCATGCCACCACGCCCGGCTGGTTTTTGTATTTTTAGTAGAGACGGGATTTCACCATGTTGGTCAGGCTGGTCTCGAACTCCTGACCTCAGGTGATCCGCCTGCCTCGGTCTCCCAAAGTGCTGGGATTGCAGGTGTAAGCCACCACGTCTGGCCGAGCTGGCCCTTCTAACACCAGCCATAGCCTCGAACCAGCCCCACAACCCCACCACCTTCTCAGAGAAGAGAGAAGAGATTTGCTAGGGTTGTGAGTTGGGGTCCAACACCCCATTGCAGCTAGAGCCTGGAGGATGAAGAGGAGGCAGCATCCCAGAGGTGATATAGCCCTTCCACTCTGAGGGAAGGTGGAGAGGTTGGGAGAGGACCAGAGCAGTTCACAGCCCTGTCCTGACCACTGCAGTTCCTTTGAGCCATAAGCCTGACAAGATGGGAAAATAGACAGCTTTGAGAAGCTGGAACATCTTTAATAATCAAGGGTGTTCATGAAGTTACGGAATCTAAGCTGGTGGTGGTGCTAAGGGGTCCACTACCTAATGAGAAAGAGATAATAATCTGGAAAGGAGACAAAGACAAATAAAACCAGTTTATGTTTTACCCCACCCAGTTAGGATTGTACAAAAATGTTTACAACTAATTTACAATAATGGCAGAATAAGCACCAGGGATCTTCTTTTTTGGGGGTGGAGGGGCACGGAGTCTTGCTCTGTTGCCCAGGCTGGAGTGCAGTGGCTCAATCTCGGCTCACTGCAACTTCCACCTCCCAGGTTCAAGCAATTCTCCTGCCTCAGCCTCCTGAGTAGCAGGGATTACAGGCACATGCCACCAAGCTAATTTTTGACTAATTTTTGTATTTTTAGTGGAGACTAATTTTTGTATTTTTAGTAGAGACAGGGTTTCACTATGTTGGCCAGGCTGCTTGAACTCCTGACCTCAGGTGATCCACCCGCCTTGGCCTCCCAAACTGCTGGGATTACAGACATGAGCCACCACACCTGGCCGTATTTTTTTTTTTTTTTTTTTTTTTAGGCAGGGCCTCACTCTGTTGCACAGGCTGGAGTACAGTGGTGCAATTATGGTTCATTGCAGCCTTGACCTCCTGGGCTCAAGTGATCCTCTCTGCTCAGCCTCCCGAGTAGCTGAGACTACAGGCACACACCACCACACCCGGCTAATTTTTTGTATTGTTTGTAGAGACAGGGTTTCGCTGTGTTGCCCTGGCTGATTCCAAACCCCTGAGCTCAAGCAATCCTCTCACCTTGGCCTCCCAAAGTGCAGGAATTATAGGCATGGGCCGCCGTGCTGGACCAGTACCAAGGATCTTATTTTCTCCTGATAGTAGTCAAGCTGCCTTACTCTTTCCTATTAGGGAAAAACAAGCTTGATTGTGAATATTTTCCCCCAGATAACTTCAGAGAACAAAAACAAAGAAAAGGGCCCAAAGTAGACTCAACCATTTTATGAGCAGAGAAGGACAAAGAACTTCGACTAGATTTCTATGTTCTTACACACTGAAAGGAAGGAGTGAAAGGACAGGCTGTGGGGTCCAATCAAGGCAATGGCTCCATGATGCCAGGGCATGGTGTTAGTGAAGTGAACAGTGGAGCATGGCCTGCAGACCTAGAAGAGCATCTCCCATGTTGGGCCACTGTGCAGCCCGGGGGACCTTTGGCACATCACAGCAAGAGCTGGAGAATGCCTCCCGGCAGGGCTGAAAGAAATGGTGAATTTCTCGTGGTGCCTGAGGGCACGGCATCCCCACCTGGGCCTTTGGTTTTTTTAAGTTTTATTTTCTTCTTAACTGACAAATAATAATTATATATATTTATGGGGTATAATGTGATGTTTTGATACATGTGTACATTGTGGAATGATCAAATCAGGCTGATTAACTTATCCATCACTTCAAATATTTTTTGTTTCTTTGTGGTAAAACATTTAAAATTCATTCCTTTAGCTATTTAGAAATATGCGATACATTATTATTAACTATAGTCAGTCACCATGCCATGTAATAGATCACCAGAAAAGCATACCTGGAGTTTCCTCAGATAATGCATACGGGGTAGCCTGAATAAATAGGTTTTTACTACTAATGTTGTAACCCTATTTTTCCTTCCATGCAGATGTGGCCTGGGGAAAGATGGGAAAAAGGAGACCGGAGGCAAAACTCCAATCTCTCCTCCCTTCAAGCTGATCTAAAAACTCACTTTTTTCTGTGTGTTGTGGCTCACACCTGTAGTCTCAGCACTTTGGGAAACTGGGGCAGGAGGATCACTTGAAGCCAAGAGTTCGAGACCAGCCTGGGCAATATAGCGAGACCCTGTCTCTACAAATGAATAAAATAAAACTCACTTTTAAAGTACAAACTGCTTTGCATTCCCTGGAAATGGCAATGTATTTGATAGGCATTAGCTTTAGTTTTTATTTCATGGAGCAAATCCTTGTAACCTCTCACTTCTTAGGCCACACCATGCCCTCCGCCTGCGTAGACACTCGTGCACTGCATAGGCCCTGTGTTAAATCCCGCTTAATTGATAGTAGAGATTTTCTTCTCCTACTGCTCCTCCTTCCAAAGTAAATTTAAAATGGAGCAAACTTGAAAGAAAAAAAGAGGGAGAGAGAGACAAAGGGAGAAAGAAGAAGGAAAGAAAAGAAAAGGAAATCTATGGCTTAACTTCTTACTTGTGGGCCTTGGAGAAAATCAGCTGAAAGAAAGGGGTGGGAGGAGGTGAGAGTTAACTGGTGCTCAGTGGACTCCAATTACAACCTAATGGCAAACTGGGGAAAGCACAGACTTCTTGTCTTACTCTAGTCAGGGGGGTCTGAAAGAAGCTGCAATCCCCTTGGGAGGGAGACTTAGAAAGGCGCCTTGTTTTAGTGTTACTTTTAGAGTAGTGGGGGCCGTGATGCTGGTGAGTGGAATAAACAGGAAAAAGAAAAGCAAAAGAACGCTTCCTTTGTGCGTTTTTAACAGGAAAGCCCTCATTGTCTCCTCAGGCTCCACAGACGCCACCTAGTGGGCAAACAACCAGCTGACACTCAGCCGGCAGCTGGGGTCAGCCAGAGTTGACATTTCACGTCGCCCTTACTTCACCTGCCCAGTGCAGGAGTGTAGACAGCGCTTTAGCTCCTCGAAGGTTGCCCATCACTTTTGGGGCAGAAGCAGCAGCTGATCAGGACTGACGGAAGGTGGCTCGGGAGAACCAGGGAGCCCCAAGAGGTGGGACAGAGCAAAGGGGAGTCCTGGCTGCCGCATGCCAGCCAGGAGTCAGGAACTAGAGAGGCCAAGGACTGGCCAGGGTTCCAGCAACACCAAGGATCTGGAATCTAGGGTATCTGATGAGGCGAGTTGGAACTCAGTGGTCCTCAAAACAGAGGTCTAATGCTTAGAAGGTCATCACTATTCAAGACAGTAGCACCAGCCTGCAGACATGCAGTGGTGAGGTTCATTCTAGGCAGGAAATAGCTCTCCTCTGATCCATGCTATATTTTATACTACTGTGTGTGCCTTTGTGGGCCTGGAGAAGACTTCTGGGGCCCGAGAAAGTCTGGATATAAGGAATATTGAACATAAGTTTACCAATCAGTTGACCTTCAGATAGGGAGGTTAGCCTGGATCATGCAGGCAGGCCCAGGGTCATCACTTGAGTCCTTAAAGGCAGAAGGACTCAGGCATGGCAGAATGAGAAGTCAGTGCACGGCTGCTGTTTTGCAGATGAAGGGGACCACGTAAAAAGGAATATTGGTGGCCGGGCGTGGTGGCTCACGCCTGTAATCCCAGCACTTTGGGAGGCCGAGGCGGGTGGATCACGAGGTCAGGAGATTTTGACCATTCTGGCTAACACATGAAACCCCGTCTCTACTAAAAATACAAAAAATTAGCCGGGCGTGCTGGCAGGCGCCTGTAGTCCCAGCTACTCGGGAGGCTGAGGCAGAAGAATGGTGTGAACCCGGGAGGCAGAGCTTGCAGTGAGCCCAGATCGCGCCACTGCACTCCAGCCTGGGCGACAGAGCGAGACTCTGTCTCAAAAAAAAAAAAAAAAAAGGAATACTAGTGCAGTGGCCTCAAGGAGCTGGGACAATGCCAGACCGAAAGTCAGCAAGGAAGCAAGGACTTCAGACCTACCGCTGCGAGGAACTGGATTCGGCCAGCAACCTGAATGAGCTTGGAGGCACGTCTCCCAGCGAAGCCTGGCAATGGGAGCCCGGCCTCGGGAGCATGCGCATCTAGGCAGTGAGTCCAGCCAAGCCAGCCCAGATTTCTGACCCACTGAACCGTAAGAGAATAAATGGATGTGCTGTAAATTTCCCAATTTATGATAGTCTGTCAAACAGCAATGGAAAACTAAGACCAACCCTAACTGAGTTAGCTGGAATGGAGGGTGACTCAAAAGTTACATGGCATAGCCTCTTGGGCAAACACTCTCCACAGCAGTTGGGAGGCTGAGGTGGGAGGTTCACTTGAGCCCGTGATTTCAAGACCAGCCTGGGCAACATAGTGATAATCTATTGCTACAAAACTTTTTTAAAAAAATTAGCTGGGCCTGGTAGCATGTGCCTGTAATGCCAGCTACTTGAGAGGCTGAGGTGGTAGGATCACTTGAGTCTGGGAGGTGAAGGCTGCAGTGAGCTATTGCACCACTGCAATCCAGCCTGGGTGACAGAGCAAGACCGTGTCTTAGGAAAATTATATTTATTTATTTGTTTATTTAAACACTCTCAACTCAAACAAATTTGAAATGGTTCTATTTTTCTCTAACCACTGCCTTCAACTATATGAAGATACATCTTACTGCCTACTGGATAACAGGTACTCTAATAATATCTTGGGTGTTTCTTCAGCTTCCTGGTCACTCTTAGTTATGAAAAGTCTATTTAATTTAAGGTTCCAACATCATATCTGATTGAAAGCATTCCCTCCCCTCATCACCTGAGAGCTTGTAACTGCAGGGAACTGAGTGGAGGGTGTGACATGAATGACTCTTTTACCCTTCTTCCCCCATATCTTCTGGATGGGGTGGCTGCGGCACAGTCTGCCCTTGAGATACCGTCTCCACAGGACACAGGCTCCTGTGGGCTCTAGCTCCTCTGGGAGGTTGAGTCGGGGGAGGAAGAAGAGAGAAAGGGACAGGTGTCTCCTACTTCACTGGGCGGTGTTGTGGCCTTGTCCCGTGGCTGTCCTGCATCTCTGGCTCTCTTGGGTGCATGAGGTCTTCAGAGGGCTCTTAGCAGGGAGTCTCCCTACTGCACTATTGCCCATGTAAGAGTTCCAGCTCTGGCCCAGCCTCTCTCAATCCCCCTTGGCTCCTGCCAGCCTTCTTGGCCCAACCTCCTTTACCCTCCTCAGGGTCCGTTTGACCAACGCGAATATCATACATCCTTGCCACACCAGCCAGTGGGATTGAATCCTGCTCCACGTTCATCCTCCTCGTTTGACCCTGACATTGTTCTTTCATTTTCATTTCCCCTGCTTAGAAAGGCACAGAACAAATTCACATGTCTACTCCCTAACCAGAAAGACAGCAAGAGAATAAAATATCTAAATCCCCCCTTTTCAAGCTTCCCCACTATCTATGAGTAAATTGCTTAGAAGTCGTCTCCCATTATTTAGCTTGGAGGGGGACGGGCATTCCCTCCCCTTCACTAAAGCAATGTTCCTTGCAAAAATCATTGCACGGCTCACAGGGATGAGGGCTTGAATGATGGATGCAAGTAGGAAAGCCAGTTAAGGCACAGCTTAATACTCCCAAGGGAGGCGCCTAACCCAACGGTTGGTGGCTGTCTTTAGAACATGAGGTACGTAAACCTTTGTCCTCATCTTTGAGCCCCAGTCAGCAATTCCTGGGCTCCAGAAACAGTTCTCACTCAACATCCTGTTTCAAAAGTAAGAAATGGTTGGGCTCATGACTGTAATTCCAGCATTTGGGAGGCTGAGGCGGAGGATCCCTTGAGCCTAGGAGTTCAAGATTTCAGTGAGCTATGATTATGCCACTGCACTCCAGCATGGGCAACACAGTGAGACCTTGTCTCAAAAAAAAAAAAAAAAAAAGGTAAAAGAAATGAAAACTGTCTCAACACAAATGCAAAAGATTTCTTCATTTTTTGCCTAATGACATATAATGTTAATAGATTCACAAGACAGGTATGTAGATGTGTACAAACATTGAAATACATCAACTATACAACACAGGATGAGCATGATAAGGCTTAAAGTTCAGGTAAAAAGAAAAATAAAAGGAAAGGCTAGGAGATTTTAGTGGATGAGCTCGCAATGTGACTTGGCCACCAAAGCACTTAATGAAATCTGTGACCAGACACCTCAGAGTATATAGTGCAGCACAGAATGATAATAGCCTCATTGCTCTCACTCTGCTTGGGCCATATCTGGAGGACAATGTGCAATTCTGGGAACCACCTGGGAAAGAGCAGGTGGTCAAACAATATTGACAGAGCTCAACAAAAAGCAACTGGATGAGAAGGTGCTTATAAGATGCCCCATGGGAATATTTGAACACACTGGGGATTTTTCATTTGGATATGACTTGAGGACGGGGAGAGGAAATGATTGCTCTTTGAAGGGTGTTAGCAGTTCCAGAGAGTAAAGCTAAAGCAAATGAACATATAAGTTACAGAGAGGAAGACTGCAACTCAATACAAGAAGAAACATCAAACTTTTCTAATGATACTAATAGTTATCACTGAGTGCTCACTGTGAGTCTAGCACTCGACTTGTATGAACTCATGAAATCTTCACAGCAACCTATAAGGCGGGTACTATTGTCCTCATTTTATGGATGAGGAGACTGAGTGGCATCAAGATAAGTAACTTGTCCAAGGTTACAAGTTCTTGAGTGTCAGGGTTGATGCAAACCCAGGCAGTCCAGCTCCAGAACCCACAGTTCACCTGCCGCCCTACGCTACCATTCCATGGAGTGGGATGCTCTCCTTCACCCCAAGCATGCAAGGATTACAGGATTTTCTGCACTGGGTTGGAGGTTTGACTAAGAGTTCTCTGAAGTCTTTCCAAATGCTATAAGAAACTAAATGTGATTGTTTTCCATGAAAATAATTTTTCATTTAAAAGTATTCCTTCTTTCATTTGGCAAATATATGTTCACTTAGTATGGGCCAGGCCCCTGTGAATGATAGTATTCATAGATAAAATCCTTCAAAAACCAGCTTCTCTTGTGTATTGAAAACATGACTGATAACTCTTTTATTTATCCCAAACTTTCAGAATCCGTGAAGGAAATAAAGTACATGCATGCCTTTCACCTTTGCAGTGCTGACTGAGTTTGTTGTTAAGCACCAGCTAAACATTTCATAACAGTAGCACTCCAGAGTCTTTTCGGAAACCAAGTCTATGATGACCTATATCTGTACCAAACATTAGTTCCTGGATTTTTTTTTCCTCTGTCACCCAGGCTGTAGTGCAGTGGTGATCTCAGCTCACTGCAACCTCCAGGGTTCAAGCAATCCTCCTTCCTCAGCCTCCTGAGTAGCTGGGACTACAGGCATGCACCACCATACCCAGGTAATTTTGGTATTTTTTGTAGAGACAGGGTTGCGCTACATTACCCAGGCTGGTCTCCAACTCCTGAGCTCAAGCAATCCGCCTGCCTCGGCCTCCCAAAGTGCTGGGGTTATGTGTGTGAGCCACCATGCCCAGCTGGACTTTCTTAAACAGCAGATTATCAATCAATGCCCAGGGAAAACTTGCCCCATCTCTTTAGAAACCCCATAGTAGCCAAGTTTCCTAAGCATCCCAGGAATAGAGCTGTTGTTTCTCCCAAGAGAGCTAACATGTTTCTATTACCTCTTCAAGATGTGGAATCCAGATAGTGTTCTGTTCTGAAGAGTCAGAGAAGTTCTGAGTCACCTGGAGATCATTCCAGGAGGAATAAAAGACTTCTACATGTAACCAGCTTACATCATATCCAAAATAAACACAAGGAATATTTAAGCATGACCAAAATGCTGTAATTATTTAATGACAAAACCACATATAACAGGAGGTGGGGACAGTTATTATAAGAACTGGCTCTGAAGTTTAAGGAAGTTCACTAGTAGAGGGAAACCTGCTCTTTTGTTAGAAAAACAGTCTAGTGGATGGATTGGTTATGAACAACTAGGCTCCTTAGGAATTAACCTAGATGGGAAAGAGTTAAGTAATAAGAGTTCCATTGCTTTTCAAAACAAAATCACAGAAAATTTGAATCTTTCTCTACTGTGCAGGAGACCAAAGTTGTGGAAGTATAGGAGAGAAAGTGAAAGAGAAAGCTCTTGGTGGAGGGGCATCTGGGTACAATGGTGTGTATTCATTTGCTAGGGCTGTGTAACAAAGTATCACAAAGTGGCTTAAATAACAGAAAGGTATTGTCTCACATTTCTAGAGGCTAGAAGTCCAAGATCAAGGTGTTGGCAGAGTTGGTTCCCACTGAGGGAATAATCTGTTCCAGGACTATAGACTTATGGATGGCTATCTTGTCCCTCTGTTGCTTCTTATTATAATCCCTCTATTCGTGTCTGTCTCTGTGTCCAAATGCCCCCTTCTTTTTTTTTAATTTTGAGATGGAGTTTTGCTCTTGTTGCCCAGGCTGGAGTGCAGTGGCACAATCTCAGCTCATTGCAACCTCCGCCTCCCGGGTTCAAGCGATTTTCCTGCCTCAGCCTCCTGAGTAGCTGGAATTACAGGCACCTGCCACCATGCCCAGTTAATTTTTTGTATTTTTAGTAGAGACAGGGTTTCATCATGTTGGCCAGGCTGGTCTTGAACTCCTGACCTCAGGTGATCCACCCGCCTCGGCCTCCCAAAGTGCAGAAGTTACAGGCATGAGCCACCACGCCTGGCCAAAATGTCCCCTTCTTGTAAGAATACCAGTCATATTGGATTAGGGCCCACCCTAACGACTTCATTTTAACTTGGCTGTCTCTAAAAACACCTTATCTCCAAATAAGTTCCCATTCCGAGGTACCTGGAGTTAGGACTCCAACATGTCTTTTTCCGGGGAGACTCAACCCTATAACAAATGAGGAGAAGGATGGCTGGGATAAATCCCCCAGGGAAGGATGGCAAGGACCTTTAAGAAAAGCAATGTTTAATAGTCAATTTAAATGTTCTCTTACACCTGTAATCCCAGCACCTTGGGAGGATGAGGTGGGAAGATTGTTTGAGCCCAGGGGTTTGAGACCAGCCTAGGCAACATAATAAGACCCCGTCTCTACAAAATTTTTTTTTAAAGTTTAACTGGGCATGATAGTGTGCACCTGTACTCCAGCTACTCAGGAGGCTGAGGCAGGAGAATCGCTTGATCCTGGGAGGCGGAGGTTGCAGTGAGCCGCAATCGCGCCACTGAACTCCAGGCTGGACAACGGAGCGAGACTGTCTCAAAAAAAAGAAAAAGAGGCTCGTCGTGGTGACTTACGCCTGTAATCCCAGCACTTTGGGAGGCCGAGGTGGGTGGATCACCTGAGGTCAGGAGTCCGAGACCAGCCTGGCAAACATGGCAAAACCCCGTCTTTACTAAAAATACAAAAATTAGCAGGGCATGGTGGCGGGCACCTGTCCCAGCTACTGGAGAGGCTGAGGTAGGAGAATCACTTGAACCCAGGAAGTGGAGGTTCCAGTGAGCCGAGATTGCGCCACTGCACTCCAGCTTGGGTAACAGAGCGAGACCCTGTCTCAAAAAAAAAAAAAAAAAAAGAAAGAAAGAAAGAAAGAAAGAAAGAAAAAGAAAAGAAAAAGAAAGCAAGTTAGAGCCCCAAAACATCCCAGCCATGGGTGGATGAGGTGAAGATTACTCTGAGGTGTTTCTCATGCTCTCCAGATTCCCCAGCGGCATCAAGCTTCTGTTGCCCATGGTGGAAATACACACTTCATTCACTTCCTTCCCCTCCTGGTCTCACTTTCCCTCTGCCCCATTAGTGCTTCCTGGGCTCAGCTCCTACATGAGCTACTTTTGATCAAACTGTAGTCTGTGGGTTTGATACTGGATGATCCTAAAGTTGGACAATAACAAAAAATCTGCAAACTAAAACTGGGATCCGAGAGTTTTCTTAGCTCAGCATGGAAAAAAATCCTAATATTCTTAATTAACGTTTGTTAATGTCTTTGATAACCCCTTGCCCTGGAAAACAATACTATATCAAAGTCTCTTGTTTCTTTCATGGCTTTCATCATTAAATTGGAAAAGCTGGAAAACAACAAATGTTTGTATTTTTGGAGTTCAATTTTACTTTGCTCCCTGCTAGCACCTTAAAACAGATGGTATCCATTCAGATGGAAATGAGGTATAAAAGTGATTTTTATTAAAATTAACATTCAATTTAGATTTTGCTTTATTATGCATACCACAAATAACTGTGTGAGTTCCCTGTAAAGAGGTTGTATATATGACATAATTTATAGTTATTCATGCTCTATCAATTACATTGAAATGATGACTGGAGTTACCACAGTACCTCAATAATCATTACTATGTAATTTGCAGTTTTCTGGATTAGGGAACTCTTTAGAAGCTGCACGTAACTAGCCAATTGTTTTTAGAGAGTACAGTAATGACTGTTATTACTGAGGAGTTGAATGAAGCTCCTTTTTATGCCCTGAAGATTACTTGATGATATCATTTTTTTTAAAAAAAAGTAACCAACAGATAAACAGACAGCAAACCAAGTATATAATGGTCCAATAATGTGGGCCAACACTGTTGGCTGTGAAAATTACCACAATCTTCCATTGATTTTTATTTCTCTAGTGGGAACACCTGCCTATGCAAGCATACTTAATTAGATGGATTGCCTTGGCCCGTGAATGGTATTAGAACAGGTGAAAATAAAGGGAAGATTTCTGAGATTTTGTTTAGTATATAAAAGTGCAATAGGCTGCAAACACGACTCAAACTAAGTCAGGCTCACCTTATTCAAAACAAATCTAACTCTATCCTCTCTTCCAGACTTCTTGAATATAGTGCCCAAACCCACTTCCACTTCCCTTCAGTAACCTGACCCTGAACTAGAATTTATTACTACAGCTCGCTTCTCAGAAAATCTTTATTTTCTATAGATAGAGCCCATTAAAATCTTTCTTACATTTAAGTACTTGAAAGCAATATTTCCCCTCTTTATTTTTCCCTTTTAAGCTAAGCCATAGTAAACTGTCTTCAGACATTTTTTGGTGCACAAAAATATTTTTTTCCTCCAGAACAGACCCCAAGCTGAAGTGTTAGGCATTCGCCATTTGCTTTCCATCCCAGTAACCTCCTTTCTTTTTCCCCACGTCCCTCTTCCTACAGTCACCTTTAGATGTGCAGTCCATGTCTGAGCAAAGCCTGCTTTTATGACAGTGCCTCATGCCCGCCCATGTGTTACCTTTCCCAGTGATCCCTGCTCTGTAAAATTACCACTAGGCAGTGAATAAGATTTTCATCCCATCTTAAAGCACCTCAGCCAGTGGGTGGGGGAAGGCATTTGGGGAGGGCCAAGTAGCTTCTGAAATCTGTGTCCCAGGCTGTACCTTGTCAAGTTATCTTCCTTAACTATGGGTATGGCTGGTGAAACTGCCCATCATCTAGATTTCCCTGCTAGAAAAACGGACGTCCCTGTCTGAAAACAACCACAATGACAGCAATGGGACTTAGTCTTTGATGCCCTCATTTTCTGCAGCAGTGACTCCAAAATAAAAGCTCCTGCCTTTCACTGGTAAGTTCCCCTAGAAACCACTGTAATATGTTTATTAAGATCTTTGTGTAAGCTCTGTCTCACTACTAGTATTGGGCTCCAGTTTCTAATTTTAGTAAGATTTACACTAGCCAGCTCAGCGAAATAGCCCTCTTATATTTTTGTTCAATGGATCAACTCCAGCTGTTTTATAACTAAACCATTTTATTTAGTAGTCTCCAAAAGCACCCCATAAAATGCTTCATGAGTGCTTTCTTGGGCCCATTTTAATGAGCAAGACCTACTACATTTTGGAAATTCCCATACTCAGAATCTCTTTTACTTCTAGAAAACTCCAACTGATGGCAATACAACCTACAGAAAATCTATCACCAGCCGGGTATGGTGGCTCACACCTGTAATCTCAGCACTTTGGGGGCTCAAAGTGGGAGGATTGCTTGAAGCCAAGAGTTCAAGATCAGCCTGGGCAACACAGTGAGACCCCATTTCTACAAAAAAGAAATTAGCTGGGTGTGGTGGTATGCGCCGAGTAGCTGAGTCCCAGCTACTTGAGAAGCTGAGGCAGGAAGATTGCTTGAGCCCAGGAGGTTGAGGCTACAGTGGACCATGATTGTTCCACTGCACTCCAGATGACAGAGCAAGACCCTGTCAAAGAAAGGAAGAAAGAAAAGAAAAGAAAGAGAAGAAAGGAAAGAAAGAAGGAACGGAGGAAGGAAGGAAAGAAGGAAGGAAGGAAAGGGAAGGGAAGGGGAAGGAAAGGGAAGGGAAGGGGAAGGGGAAGGAAAGGGAAGGGAAAGGGAAGGGAAGGGGAAGGGAAGGGAAGGGAAGGGGAAGGGAAGGGAAGGGGAAGGGAGGTGAAGGGAGGGGAGGGGAAGGAGGAAGGGAGAAAGGGAGCAAGGAAGGAAGGAAGGAAGGAAGAAGAGAAAGAGAAAAGGAAAGAAAGAAAATCTGTTGCCTATGTGGGATGAAATGACAAAGTGACAAGACTGACAGAAAGGCTGAAGTAGACACATTTGGGTGCTGCTCAGTTCTCCCTCCTCAGGAAACTTCCCTCCTTACCCAGTTCCACAGAGGAGGGCCATCGGCAGCTATGTTTATACTACACATCTCCACTGCCCTGGCCACAGCCAACTGGACCTGAGGGGACCATCTAATCAAAGTTGGGCCAATCCAATTCTTTGTCCCAGGAATTTGGAATTGGGACTGAGAACTCAGTTGGCCTGTATATGTTTTGCAAGCTTAGGAGCAAGGGATGGGGGTGAGGGCTGGATGTCACATGCTGCCAGGTGGGCAGGAGAAGCAAGAAAGCCAATCTGAAGAGAAAGGAGAATGAAGGCAACAGATAGAGAGCACAAGAGATCAACAGTGCAGCACTGGTTTTTTGGTTTTTTTTTTTTTTTTTTGGCCTTTATTTATTTATTTATTTCCATAGGTTTTGGGGGAACAGGGGTGTTTGGTTACATGAGTGAGTTCTTTAGTGGTGATTTGTGAGATTTTGGTGCACCCATCACCTGAGCAGTGTACACTGAGCCAAATTTGTAGCCTTTTATCCCTCTACCCCTTCTGATTCTTTCCCCCACCGAGGCCCCACAGTCCATTGTATCACTCTTATGTCTTTAAGGTGCAGTGTTCTGACCATATCCCAGTCCCTGGGTCCAGCCCTTGCTGAAGCTCAGCTTCACTTTGCGCTGCCATCAGATTCCATGAGCACCCCCTGTAGCCTTATGACAAAGCCCTCAGTTCTGCTAAAACTGGCCTCTTCTCATGGCCCACGTGATGTCTTTAAAATGTATCCACACATTCTTTGACACTCCTCCCTTACAATGATGAAGGCTAATTTCTCTCCCTTTGAATGTGGGCTAGACTTAGTGACTCACTTCTAAGAACTACCCTGGGGTGGAACTGACCATGTGTGACTTCCAAGGTCAAATCATAAAAGGCACTGCCACTCCACCTTGTTCCATTGCACATCACTTACTCTGGGGCAGTCCAGCAGCCATGTCTTGAGGACAGTCAAGCAGCCTGTGGAGAGGCCCAAGTCGAGAGGCAAGGAGACCCTGCACATCTACCAGCTGTTCTTCCCAGCCATGGTGTGAGCTGGGAAGTGGGTCCTCCAGCCCCATCATACCTCTCAATGACTGCAGCCATGGTCAACATTGAGACTAAACCCTCATGAGATTCCAAGCAGCACCATCCAGCTAAGCTCCCCCAGATTCCTGGCCCATAGAAACTGCAAGGATAATAATTGTTTATCGGGTTTGTTTTGTTTTGTTGTTGTTGTTGTTTGAGACAGAGTCTCGCTCTGTCGCCCAGGCTGGAGTGCAATGGCGCGATCTCAGCTCACTGCAACCGCCCCCTCCAGGGCTCAAGCAATTCTCCTGCTTCAGCCTCCCAAGTAGCTGGGATTACAGGCACCCACCACCACACTCAGCTAATTTTTGTATTTTTAGCAGAGATGGGATTTTGCCATGTTGGCCAGGCTGGTCTCGAACTCCCAACCTCAGGTGACCCACCCGCCTCAGCCTCCCAAAGTACTGGGATTACAGGCATGAGCCACCACACCCAGCCTGTTTATTGTTTTAAGCCACTAAGTTTTGGGACAATTTGTTATGCAGCAGCCTTCAAGACCCCACATGGTCCTTGGGCACCCTTTCAGTCATCATTTCTGGTCCCCCACACTCTCTGCTCACTATGTTCTGACCATGTGCCTTCCCCCTTACAGCCTCACACAGGCATCCTTATGACTGGAAATCCTCTTCCCCCAAACAGCACTTTCTCATCTTTTAGCTCTCAGCTTAAATGCCAATGCTTCAGAGATGTCTTACCTCTAAAGCCCACTCTAAAGCCTGTCCTTCCACCACAACCCCTCTATTCCCTCACAGCATCTTGTTCTTATTCTTCATAGATTTTACTATAACTTATAATTACACATTTCTTTGGTTAGCGGTTTTCTTGTTTATATCTGTCTTTCCATTCTAAGTTCAGGGCCAGGTACATAGAAGACTCTCAATACATATTGTACATAAAGTAGTTTCCATTAGTTACGACCAGACTCCTAAATAATGGCCGAACACATAAACACTGGGCCAGGAAACCTAGATTCTATTTTCTCACTTACAGTAAGCTGAATGCTCTTTTGGGGTATTATCAGCTCTTCAAGGAAATCTGTAGGACAGGTAGATGCTCAACTAATGAAGAAGCCACCTGAGCCCAAGTGGTGAGGCTGTCAGAGGCCAAACAGTGAAAGGACTGTGGATGAGCTGTCCCCCCAGTGGCCAAGAATCACAAGCACCAGCTCTCCCAGGCCATTCCACCACTCTCTGTCCACCCACAGATTCCACATAACATGTTTTTCAGCCCGTTTTAGAATGGCAGCATTTACCTTAATCCCAGAGCATTAGGAAGAACTCATTATCACTGCATCTGGTGTAGAGGTCCCAATTTACTTTCTGCCAGTGCTAGAAGCTCTTCACTCTCCTACTCTCCTCTTCTATGACTCAGAAGAGCTCTTCCCCTTCCCTCTCATCCTGACTCCACCCTGCCCAGCTTCCACAGCTCCCTCATTCCTGAAGTCCCCAAGCTCTACTGCATTCTCAGGCTGCCTGGCACCAACAGCGCTACCCCCACCCGGCTCCTACCTCAAGTCTGTCATGTACCTCTTAGGAGAGCTTCAGCCTCGAGGACCCCCATCCCTCGGGTCACCCACAGGGAAGGTGACATTTCCTCCCAGCTAGCAGGGCCCAAGCCTGTGAATGACACAGATAAGTTCCAGGAGTAGCCGGTTCATAGGCACAGCCCTTGGCTTATGTGGCTGAGGTACATACGGTAGCCACAGCTCTCTCTCTTTCTCTCTCCTTCCTAACTCCACTGGTCTCGTTCTGTGTCTGTTTCTCTCCGTGCACCCACCACATTCTTTTTTCACTCTCAGCAGCTTCCTTTTTTACTTAAACAAAGCCCACCCTATGCTCCATTTCTGCAGGCCCATACATCACAGTACCCACAGATCACTGGAGTTTCTCTGTGTCTTTTATTTCTAATTCTCAAAACAGCTTCTGAGAAGTTCGGGTCATCTTTTTAGGCCAACCAATACCAATCAGAGGCACTGGCTCACCTCTGCATGGAGGCCCCTGGCCAGTGGCCTAGGGATTTAGGGGCTGGGAATGGGGTCCTCAGCAGAACAGGCAGGAACTCTTCCAGAAGGGTGCCAGGTGGGAAGTCCTCCTGATGAAATGCCACTCCTCTACTAAGACCTGCCTCTCTCCTAGGAGGTTAGGTGTGATCTGAGGGTAACCCAACCACCTAAATATCTACTCTATCGAATCTCAAAGTTCAAGAAATTGTCTCCGGAAAAGTCTTGCTACTGGATGATATGTTACACACAAGCACAGCTTGGGAGTCTTACAAAACAGTACATTAGAGACCATCTAGTCCAGGAAGAGCAAACCTGACTCATCTCATGCCAACTCTGACTGCCTGCAGCATTGCATTGTAAAGAATGTGCCCTATTCTCAAAAGAAGACAGACAACTGGCCAAGTAATGTGAAAAAATGCTCAGCATCACTAATCATCAGAGAAATGCAAATCAAAACCACAATGAGATACCATCTCACACCAGTCAGGATGGCTATTATTTAAAAGTCAAAAAATAACAGATGTTGCCAAGTTTCAGAGAAAAGAGAACACTTATATGCTGTTAGTGGAATTGTAAATTAGTTCAGCCCCTGTGGAAAGCAGTTTGGAGATTTCTCAAAGAACTTAGAGTAGAATTACCATTCAACCCAGCAACCTCATTACTGGGTATGTACCCAAAGGAAAATAAATCATTCTACCAAAAAGACACCAGCACTCGCATGTTCATTGCAGAACTGTTCACAATTGCAAAGACATGGAATCAACCCAGTTGCCCATCAACAGTGGATTGGATTTAAAAAAAAAAGTACATATACACCATGAAATACTATGCAGCCACAAAAAAGAACAAAATCATGCTCTTTGCAGCAACGTGGATGTAGCTGGAGGCCATTATCCTAAGTGAATTAACATAGAAACAGAAAACCAAATACTGCATATTCTCATTTATAAGTGAGAGCTAAACACTGCATACACATGGACATTAGAATGCCAACAATAGACACTGGGGACTCCAAAAGTGAGGAGGGAGGATGGGGGAGGAGAATGGGTTAAAAAGCTACCCATTGGGTTGGGTACTATGGTCACTATTTGGGTGATATTCATTCAAAGCCCAGACCCCAACATCATGCAACATATCCATGCAACAAATCTACACATGTACCTTCTGAGTCTAAAATTGAAAAAAAAGAAGAAGAAGAAGAACATGCCCTAATCATTTTGTGATGTTTGGGTGTGAGTTATTTGCTGGATATTTGCTTGACACATTGAGTCGTTCACCACTGTTTTCTCAGGGGAACTATCTTTTCCCTACTCAATGTGGTGGAGTGGAGTGTCTGTGATGGTGTTCTGTCCCTTCCATCCTCAGTGGTTGGCAAATGATCCAGGCTGAACCAATTACAGTACACTATCCCTCTGGCCTCAGTGATGGTGCAGAGAGGATATGTGATCCCTGCAAGACTTGAGTGTTTTCTATGATAGATATGCCTTGTTAAGCTAGCAAGCTGAGGTTGCCAAATGCCCTCTTCCTCATGACATGAGAAAGCCTGAGGCAGCCTGAAGACAAGGGAAGTCCTGCAGAACAGAGTTGGAGAAAGAGAGAGAGAAAGCTAAATCATTTTATAATATAACTTTTATAATAAGTTTTATCTACTGGATCCAACTATGCCCAAAGGAGCCAATAAATTCCTTTTTTTCCCTTAAACTATTCAAGTGTTCTGTTACATGCAACTAACGGAATTCTAACTAATAATCCCATTCATTGTAAAGATGAGGGGACTGGGAGTCCAAGAGGTTAACTGATTTGCCTATGACCAACCACTCAGCTATTAAGTTATATGGCCAGTTAGAAAGATTCTAAAAGAATGTGACATGGATCATTTATTCCTGCTGGCTCACAGAAAAAAGGTATTTGGATGCTGATTCTGTCATTAATTCTCTTCCAGTTCTATGTCATCTGAAAATTGATAAGGATACCATGAATGTCAAAGCCACTACTAATATTCTTAGACAAAACAAAACTAAATCCCAAGCATCGAAATCTTTCCCCCAGGGCTGGGGGTGGTGGCTTACACTATAAACACTTTGAAAGGCTGAGGCGGGAGGATGGCTTGAAGCCAAGAGTTCAAGACCAGCCTGGGTAGCATAGTGAGACCCACATCTCTTTAAAAAAATTAGCCAGGCACCGTGGTGCTCACTTGCAGTCCTAGCTACTTGGGAGGTTGAGATGAGAGGATCACTTGAGCCCAGGAGTTGGTGGCTGCATTGAGCTATGACCACACCACTGCACTCCAGCTTGGATGACAGAGCAAGACCCCAACTCCAAAGAAAAAGAAAAAGAAAAGGAAATCTTCTTCCAGAATATCACTGACCCATTAACCAGTATTAATTTGCTATCACTGTTCAGTTTCTTACTAACCCCCCTCACTGTACTACTGTGCAGTCTACACCCTTGCCACTCAAAGTGTGGCCTGTGAACCAGCATAATTGGCAGCACCTGGCAGTTTGTTAAAATACACTCACAGGCCCCATCCAACCTACAGAATAAGAATCTGTATTTTAACAAGATGCCTAGGGGATTCACTGCACAGTAAAGTTCAGATGCGCTGGTTTTCTTGGTTTTCATTCCTCTCTCTCTGTCTCTATGCCTTCTAAAATGTAATGAACTTACACACACATGCCCCTTATCTAAATGTCAGGCAACCCTGTTGAAATAGCCAATGTAGTCAGTTTGATGTGTCTTTTCATGCTGAACCTGTGCAAGTTCATATTGATCACTACTGATAAACCATAATTTTAATAAAAGGAAATATTGGCTGGGCTTACTGCCAGAAGTACAGATTAGAGGACCTTCTTCTTTTGACTTTTTGAAAATTGAGGGTTTTTTTTTGGAGATTTGCCCATCTCAACTCTTTCTAAAATCACCCCTTATACTCCTCCAACACATTCCTCACAATTCTTTAAAGACAATCAAAGGAGTTCAGTAATTTCATTTGCATGTGTTTTCAATACTCTGGAATTCACCCAGGTCAGATCACTCAAGCTGATTTAGAGCACGTAGGTCAGTGGACTGCAACCCCGGCCACACATTAGAATCACCTGAGACAAATTTAAAACCACCAGGGCCTGGACCTGTCAACAGGACAATTAAATCAACTTCTCTGGGGTGAAGCCCCAGCAGCATATTCACGTTTTAAGCACCCCAGATAATTCTAATGTCTCTAATGTCTCACCAAGGTGAGAAGCCATTCACAGAGGGTTTGTGTGTATGGTTTTAAAAAATCTAATATCCAGAGCCCACAGACTTAGAATTTCTGTGGCTGAGGCTGAAGCCTTGATAATTCTAAGCTCCCAGATGATACTCAGGTGCAGCAGGATGAAGAACCACTATTCCAGGTGTGCTCAATACACCTTTCTCTCCTATTTGAGCTCCAATTCTCTCCTGCCTCATCTTTTCTTTCCTGTCTAAAGGGAATTCTCCTTGACAAAGAAGTTCAAAATGAGGGGAAAAAAGTTAAAAATTTAAAAAAAATTTTGAAAAAGAAAGTAAATTGGGAGGCCGAAGCAGGTGGATCGCTTGAGGTCAGGAGTTTGAGACTAGCCTGGGCAACATGGTGAAACCCCGTCTCTGCTAAAAATACAAAAATTAGCTGGGCATGGTGGCATGCACTTGTAATCCTAACTACTCGGGAGGCTGAGGCAGGAGAATCACTTGAACATAGCAGGCAGAGATTGCAGTGAGCCAAGACTGTGCCACCGCACTCCAACCTGGACAACAGAGCGAGACTCTGTCCCGCATTCCCCCAAAAAAGTAAAAACAAAACAAGTTCCTGATGCCTTTCAGAGAAACTAGTTTTATAGTTTTATTTCGGCATTTTTCTCTTTCCCCCTCAGGATACTTTGACGTCTTCTAGATTTGACCAGCTTGTCCCTTGAAACACAGTTTACATTCCTCATGCAACCTACCCTGTCCCCAGTTTTAGAGTCCAAAACCCAAACACCATTCTCAGATATTTATAGTCAGTGGAGTCAGCAGTTTATATCATCCACCATGTTAATGCAATATTCCTCCCAGATTATTTTCAAAAGGGGAGGTATGACTGACACCATTTTGCAGATGGAGAAACTGAAACTCAGGAAAATTAAGTGACTTACTTAAATCCATACAGCCAGGAAGTGACAGAAGTAGGATTTGAATCCAGGTCTCTTTGCTCTAAAGATCATACCGTTTTTTTTTTTTGCTTCTGGTATCCTGAAAATAAAAAAAAAAAAATAAGATCATATCCTTTCACTGCAGCATGGTGCATCCTGTGTTGTTTTTTAAAATTTGTTGCTAAGGATTTTTTAAAAAATCAAAATCTTAGGTGTACAAAGCGTTGCTGCAGATATAGGGGAATTTGAATTCTCATCACAGACAAGATTGGTCATAGAACATCTGTCTCAGATTCCCAGATAAGCTGTATTGGGCATAACCTTGAAGCAGGCAATCTATCCCTGTCTAAATGTCACAACTATAAGATCAGACCCTGACTTTCACAAATGGTTGCAAGAGCTTTTGAGCTATGGGAATACAATGCTTACAGACCACTGTATCTTCAACATGTTCTCTTGCTTGTTAAGCAATATTTTAAAACACTGAAATTCCTTGCAACCCTCTCCTTAAAAGGAAAAATCTAAATATATCCAACCTTCCTACCTGTTAACCAAAGTACTATCTTTTCTTCTGAGAAATAAGTATAAGATGGCTAATTGGTCTCAATTTCCAATGATGATAAAGCATAAAATGGATTTGAGTTATATCTCAGAAATTTAGATTACATAGAGGGAAGTTCTTTATAATGTTAAGTATGGGGACAGGGAAAGTTGCCTCTCCATCTGTAAGAGTCTCTATCAGTAGTCAGGGCTTTAAGAAGAGAGAGAAAGAATAACATTCTACTTCTTCAGGAATTTTTTGTTTTGCACTGGCAGTTCTGAGCTGTTTGAGATGCTTTAGGATGAGTTGCAGGAATTCTGGCCTGATACCCAGAGAAAGGCAGGTGGGATTCTGAGATAGACCCAATTACAATTACTTAGGGGCCACACAATAAGATGCTCTACCAAGAATGGGAAGTGAAGGAAATGTCGACTTTTCAAAGGTTAAAATGCAAGAGAAATACATTCTGGATTAGAGTAGGTAGGGTCAAAGTCACTTGAAGAAGACAGGATGCCTCCTAGGCTAGAAACTCTCCATTACAATCTGTTTTAATGTAATTTCTGCTCTTCCTCCTTCCTGCTGCCAGGAATGTGTTGAGATGGCTGGAGCTCTCCCAGCTATCTTGGATCATGGGATGACCTTGAGAAGAGAAGCCACTTTGCTGAAGATAGCAGATAAAAGTATAGCAGGCTAAGATTTTGTTGACACAGAAAAGCTGCTCTAACACCACACCTAGAAAGTCTACTTCCAGATGAGAAATTGTTCTCAATTTAAGACAGATATTATGCATTCTTCTGTTACATGTGGCCTAACCTAATCCAAATGAATGCAACTAGAATTCACCATTTGGGTAAATTCCCCGAACGTATAATCACTTGGGCACTCCTAGCCCAGGGCCCCATTGAAAGCAAGGAGAAGAGATCAATTGAAGGAAAAGTAAAAAAATAAAATAAAATAAAAAACAGTTTAGGAAAATACTACAGCTATCAGATTAGCTCAATAACTGAGGTTATATTGTTAAGGAACTGAAAATATTCCTCTAACCAGCCCAAAGATGGTAAGATGGCCTTTTGCCAGACCAGAAAAAAAATAATTTTAACTTTTAATTGGGTTTTGGTCCAAGTCACTGGAGGAAGCATAAGGGCAGCTAGGAGTAATAATAAAGGTGGAAGCTGGGTGGAGGGAAGGAGGAGGGGCAGCCTGAGGGCTTCACCTGCACTCGGGCTAACAGTCTCCTATGCAGGTGTAAAGATACAGGAATCCATGCAGCATGTCACCCAGATCCCAAAGCTGAACTAGTGAGGCCGCTCCGATGTCACCCCGAACTAACCTCATGGCAAGGGCAGCACATATGAGGAAGAATCTCTAGTTACTTTGGCCTTTTATTCATTTCAGCTGATCTATTAATTTAATCCAACCTGCTCTGAATGGAGGCTGGTCCAATTTGTCTCCTCCTGGCTGTGGGGCCTGCTTAATTAAACTTGGCATCTAGTTTATTGCCTTAGAGTCTTCCTCATGAAAGATGTCATCGAACCCCTGGAAAAGGAAGTTCTTTATAACATACCATTTTCTGGAGAGGACTTCACTTGCCAAATGGGAAAATACAGCTTGTCAGGTAGCTGGGCAAGGCATTCTTCACGCTCTGAGTGTTTTCTTTCAGCTGTTCAGTGGGCTATGGCCTGGGCTATTTTCAAGATCTACTGAGAGCCAGTGAATGGCTGTGCCCACACACCAGGCTGCATAAGCCACATAGAACTGCTGGCAACACTTCCGTGGTTGCCACTAAAAGAACCCTTTTAGTTCTTCAGAGGTGCCACGTTGCTTTAGAACAAGCAATGAACTGCTGATCTGGGTTCAAATGCTGACTCGTCCAATTAAGACATGGCCTAGGGTGACACCTCCAGGCACGTCAGCTAACCTCCCCGGGCTTCAGTACATTTATTTGTAAAATAATGAGTTTAAATGTCCTTTTTAAACGCTTTCAGCTTTAAAATACTAGAATTTTGTGAGTTCTCTTATTTGGAAAAGAAAAATGAAAACTTATCTATATTTTCGTTGCATGTGACCAATTATTTTTTCCAGCTTTATTGAGGCATAATTGAATAATAAAACTGTATATATTTAAAGTACACCACATGATGATTTGCTTTACATATATACTGAAACGATTACCACAATCAAGTTAGTTAACGCATCCGTCACCTCACATAGTCAACTTTGTGTGTGTGTATGTGGTGAGAACAGTTAGAACCTACTCTCAGCAAATTTCAAGTATACAATTCAATATTATTGACTACAGCAAATTTGTATTACTCAAATAGCCCACATTATTTGCCAAAAGTACAAATACATATTCACAGAAAGATGAAAATGTAAACATTCCATAATCTCACCACTGTTAATGTTTTGTGTATATCCTTCCAGACTTTTATCCAATCGTAAACATGCTAAAAATCTTTTTACAAAAAAATCACATCCTATAAACTGTTCTGTCATTTTTCACTGAACACAATATTCAAAACATTTTTCTGGCCAGGTGTGGTGATTCACAACTGTAATCCTAGCACTTTGGGAGGCCGAGGTGGGAGGATCATTTGAACTCAGGAATTCGAGACCACCCGGGCAATGTAGTCAGATCTTGTCTCTATAAAAAATAATAATAATAAATAAAAAAGAAAAAAATTTTCTATGTCATATGTGACATATATATATACATGTTTAATGATCATAGTATTTTATTGTAAAAATATACCAAAATTTAACAAAACTCCTAGGCTTTTTGCTATTATTCTGTCATATATATTATTTTGCTATTTTTTATGTCATATATACATATACACACACACGTTTAATGATCATAGTATTCTATGGTGAAAATATACCAAAATTTTACAAAACTTCTAGGCTTTTTGCTATTATAAATACTGCTGTATTAAACATTCAGGTATATATACCTTGTCTAATTTCTTTGTTTCCTTATGAAAAATTCCTAGAAGTAAAATCCCTGGATTTAATAATATCCTCCTTTTTTTTTTTTTTTTTTTTTTTTTTTTAAGACAGGGTCTCTCTTTTGTTGCCCGGACTAGCGTGCAGTGGTGTGATCTTGGTTCACTGCAGCCTCGACCTCCTGGGCTCAAGTGATCCTCTCACCTCAGCCTCCAGAGTAGCTGGGACTACAGGCACGCACCACCATGCCTGGCTACTTTTTTGTATTTTTAGTAGAGATGGGGTTTGCCATGTTGCCCAGGCTGGTCTTGAACTCCTGGGCTCAAGCGATCCATCTGCCTCGGCTTCCCAAAGTGCTGGGATTAGGGGCATAAGCCACTGCGCCCAGCCAACAGGATCTTCTTTTTAAAGACTTTATAAATATTCCAAATTGTCCTCCAGTGAGGTGCATGAATTTACATTCCCCCAGCAATGCGTAAAAATGCATTTCCCCATCCTCTCTCTCATTCCTTTTACTTTTTATCTTTCTGATAGATACAGTCTGTTACTTTTAATGTTGCATTCTTTCATAACCAGCAACCCACTCCAGAGAACAGAGGAAAGAGACACAGAACTTGCACCCCTAAAGATGTGGGGAAAGCTAACGCAACCCTCCAGGTGACTACCTGAACCTTGGCTGCAGTAGCAAGCCAGGGCACTCGGAGAGCCAGAGCAGCTCACCAGCTGTCATTTAGAAAAAGTGACTAGTAGAGGGCAATATCCAGCTGCACTACTAGCACCCACTACATATTTATGTTTTTGGTTATTTGATAAATATTTATTATTTACTATGAGCCAGTAACTGGGATCTCCAAAATAAATAATATGGTAAATTGTTACTTTATACCTATTTGCATTTTGTTTCTGCAAAAGGATTCTATTTTCGGTGTTCAACATTCAGAAGACTATTTCATTTGAAATATTTAAGAGGTGTAGGATCCTCAGATCCTCAATGGAATAGGATCTGAGTAGATGAAATGGAATACTTCTCCAAACGATATGTTGTTTCCATTGAACCGTGAGATTAGACAGGACCTGGAGATGACATGTAGAATTGCAGAAATGCTCTAAATTGTTTCTTTGGGACCTGGGGAATTGATACAACCCAGTCCCAGCCAACTCACCACGTGGGATATGTTTTCACAAAAGGCAAAGCTATCAAGAGTTTGTATTCAGTAGTGATGGTGGTAGCACTATTAGCAGTGGTAGTAGAACATCTAACAGTTTTTACAGTGATGTAAGTTGAAATATTTTAGTGCAAAAATCTTCAGACTATTGACATAAAAAATGGAAACTTCTGAATATGACGCTGTGGCAGCTGTTCAGTAATTCACTACAGCTGACTCAGAGAGGATTTCAAAATCAGTAGAGTTCAGCTCCTCTTCCTTACCTGCTCCCAAATAGCACTGTCTGGTGCAATAAAAAATCAATAGTTCAGTCATGTGCATTATCTCAAAGGTATAAGGCAATACAATAAATAAGACCATCCTTTATTGCCTGCTCAGATTTGTGGGGCAGTTTTCACATTTCGCCCTGGGCATACTACTTGCCCAGGCAGTTTTCCTTTCTGTGAGCTTTGTTCCAGTGGACCAAGGCTAAATGCCACAGCTTGCAGCTTCCAGCACAGGGTGGGGGGTGTCTATAGCAATCTTCCAAATAAATAATAGCCATTCAGGGACACAGACCTTTGTTTCAGCAGCTCAGGAGAATTCATTCTCCGTAGAGAAAACTCATTTGCTCATGGCAGTGATTCAAGCCACCAACTTCACAGAGAATATTGCTGGAGCCAAATTCTTTCTCAGTTATGGAGGTCATAGGTGAGGCAACTGTGCTTACAGGGCAAAGCTCTTTTTTGGATTCCCTTGGCTTTCTGCTTTCTTCTTTACAGCTGATTAACACCCAATGGCCATTTCTTTAAAAAAGAAAAATTCAATTTCTTGATTTAATTAACTTCCTTAACACAGTATTTACCACAGCCTGCCAGAATTCAGACAGTGATTTGAGACTTCCTAATACTTGATTTCAGTTTCAGGTAATTCATTGCTTGCAGCTCACTAAATTCCAAGTATCATCTCAGGGCTGTATGGTCAAAATCAGGTACGGACTTAACCCTTAGCTTGCACACAAGAGGACGCCTGAGTTCTGAGTCCATCAAAGGTGATTTTGGACAGCCTGAAACTTCTTGCCCTTAGTTTGACATTTTGCCCCCACTTCACAGTCAAAGCCCTAAAATCAGTCTCCCATCCGTCTCCCAATCCCAGACTGGCTGACAGCATGGGTTTCATTATTGTTCATTTTAACAAACTGTGGGGTACTTCCCTCTGCCTCATTTTTTGAACAATCAATAAACAAGTTTTTATTGAAAATCCAGAGAGCATGGTTTACTTTCTACATTTACTTAGTAGCTGTGGATTTAGACAATCATATGCATTTTTATTATTTGATTACAGCTCTTCAGTACTATATGGTGGAGGCAATACAGTATAAAGGTTAAGAGGGTGACTGTTAAGTCAGTTGCCTGTCTTCAAATCTAGGACTGACATTTAGCAGCTATGTGATCTTGGGGAAATTAATTAATAGCTCTGTGCCTCAGATCCTTCATATGTAAAATGAGGATAATAACAGTGTCTACCTTGGTGTTAAGTAGTAAATAAGTTAACAAATGGAAAGCAGTTAGAATGGGGCCTGGGCCCATAGTAAGCCCTCATCATGAGCATTTATTAGAGGATGTCACTACTGAAAGATCATTATTTCATCAAGGGGTGAAACTGTAAATTATCTACAACTAATTGTCGTGTCAACTACCATTCATCTATTACCCGGTTCATGGGTAATGGTGGGTGATGGAGCCACAAGGGTGACTCCTACATAAGCTCTACTTTCTGGTTGCTTGGGGATTTTGCACATACATCACAATCATCTGATGAGTTGCTGCATGCAGAAGTCACCCCATTGTAGCAGCCTGGCTGTGACTGAGTCAGGGCCTCATGTATCACCAGATAATATGAAGCGTCACAGTGCTCTGATATCCAACTCATTATTTCCTTTAAACCTTTCTAAATTACCTCACCATTGTCTGTAGTCTGTGCTTCTGGAAAAAGCTCAGGACACAAGAAAGAAAACAATTCAGTCTCCTTCTAAAGAGAACCCCGAGGAAGGTGTTACTGTATACCAGTGATTGTAAGGTGCATATTTTTTTCACTTTTTTCCTCCTCTGAAATTGGATGCAGCAAGAAAACATTGCCATTGCCTACGTGTGCACAAACATGCTTATAGCTGCTCATCTGTCCCCGCAGTTGAGTGATGTGCATTGTTCGTAGCACAGGATTTGAGATTTATCGATGTTAAAATGTCTTTCAGATTGAGATTGAAACGAAAAGTTATCACACATACAGAAAAGCACAGAAACAGAGCAGTGCAATATATGATTTAAGAAATAATGCCCAGTCAGCCTAAAAGAGTGCTTTCATTAAACATAAAACAAAATTCTAAGTGCTAAGAAAGCACTGCATCATAGTTTAGTTGGCAGCATTTTCTTGTTTCTTCATGGTATGTAAAATAACGATTCATTTTACAATTAAAAGCTTTTTAGATTTGATGAAATATGATACATTTTAGAGTGCTAGCAACAATCTGGAGAGCCTAAAATAGGTACCTTGAAATTTTCCCCAACATTCCAAATTTTCAACTTGTGGCAGAGCTAAGTTCCACCAGCACTAATAATATTTAATTAATTTTTTTTTTTGAGACAGAGTTTCACTCTTGTCACCCAGGCTGTCGTGCAATGGGGCGATCTCGGCTCACCACAACCTCTGCCTCCCAGGTTCAAGCGATTCTTCTGCCTCAGTCTCCCAAGTAGCTGGGATTACAGGCATGTGCCACCATGCCCGGCTACATTTTTTTGTGTGTGTTTTTAGTAGAGATGGGGTTTCTCCATGTTGGTCAGGCTGGTCTCGAACTCCTGACCTCAGGTGATCCGTCCACCTCAGCGTCCTAAAGTGTTGGGATTACAGGCGTGAGCCACCGCGCCCAGCCATATTTAATTAATTTTAAAACTTGGCTGGGTGCAGTGGCTCACATCTGTACTCCCAGCACTTTGGGAGGCCAGGGTGGGTGGATCATCTGAGGTCAGGAGTTCGAGACCAGCCTGGCCAAATTGGTGAAACCCTGTCTCTACTCAAAATACAAAAATTACCCGGGCGTGATGGTGTGTGCCCGTAATCCCAGCTACTCGGGAGGCTGAGACAGGAGAATCGCTTGAACTCAGAAGGCAGAGGTTGCAGTGAGCCAAGATCGGGCCATTGCACTCTAGCCTAGGTGACAAGAGCGAAACTCTGTCTCAAAAAAAATGTTTTTTTTTAATAAAATAAAACTTATCTCATTGTTTAAACCTAAGCACATTTCTTTTGGCAAAAAAAGTATATTATTCTTGTAAATGTAAAATTAAGGTTTTGATGAGCTAGTTGAATTATTTAAATATGAATTAAAGCTGGGCATGGTAGCTCATGCCTGTAATCCCAGCACTTTGGGAGGCAGAGGCGGGCAGATCACCTGAGATGAGGAGTTCAACACCAGCCTAGCTAACACGGTGAAACCCCGTTTCTACTAAAAATACAAAAAATTAGCCAGGCATGGTGGCGTGCACCTGTAATCCCAGCTACTTGGGAGGCTGAGGCAGGAGAATTGCTTGAATCCGGGAGGCAGGAGAATTGCTTGAATCCGGGAGGCGGAGGTTACAGTGAGCTGAGATTATGCCATTGCACTCCACCTTGGCCAACAAGAGTGAAACTCTGTCTCAAAAAAAAAAAAGAATTAAAATAAATCTATTCCCATTAAGATGAACAAAAAAGTTTGACCATTTACCACATAAAATTGTCTTACAGTAGAATACAGACGTGCACAGGATCCCTTCGGGAAATACATTTTGATGATGTTCTACCTCCTCAGATTTATCTTTTCCTCCCAGCCACTGAGGCAGCTCCCAACCTGACATTTCCAGACTCGATTTGCATTTGCTTCAAGAAATTCCCACTGAAAAACCCTCCGCAAACTGAATTCACAAACACCTCCTGCCAACTTAGTGTTCTAGTCCTCCATACCCATAATTCCCAACTCTGATTTTTGTTACTAAAGGATAGAAAGTTTGGTGTCCTACTTAGGCTGTGATGACTGACTCTCTTGGGTTCCCAGACTTCATGGAAGACTTTGCCATGAATTCTTACCAACATTTTGACACAATAATTTTAGAACTTTGGAAGAAGGTCTGATTTTAGCCTAGAGAAATCATTTTTAAGGTTGGTACTTGTCCTTCAATTAAATTTGTAAACCCCATCCTATGTCTTCTTTGACTCAATAGTACATCACTTTCACCTATGGGCTGGTTTCTTGTATCTTGAAGATGAGGAAATCCTGTTCATCAGCAAGTGACACTTTCCCCACTTTGCACTTCCCACTCATCAAATGGCTGTTAAGTTGTCAGGGTCCTATCACAAAGAGCAGCTCATTAACTTTAATTATTTTTGAAATTCATTGGTTCAAAATGAAGCTAGTAGGTGCCAGAGGTTCATAGCTACAGATATTAATTAATAAGTGGAAGCTCTCATTAGCTGACACTTTTTTTTTTTTTTTGAGACACGGTCTCACTCTGTCACCTAGGCTGGAGTGCAGTGGTGTAATCTCAGCTCACTGCAGCCTTGACCTCCCAGGCTCAAGCAATCCACCTCAGTCTCTCTAGTAGTTGGAACTACAGCTGTGTGCCACCACACTCAGGTAATGTTTTTTTAGAGATGAAGTTTCACTGTTGCCCAGGCTGGTCTTGAACTCCCAAAGTGCTAGGATTACAGGTGTGAGCCACTTCGCCTGGCTGAGCTGATACTTTTTGCCATCTTTTTTTTCCTGCCATTTAATCAGTTCAGAGTGGGTCTAAGACTCTTCAAACTGGAAGCAGAGGAAAGGTAAGAGCTAAGTGTCCAAGACACAAAAAATCCAAGTGTCAGGCCCCAGACAAGAGCAGAGAATTTCCCTGGCTCCTGTTCCATCATTTTCCCAACTAAATCACTATTGCGTCTGGATTTAGAAAACCCACAGATCAGTTGGTTTCCAGATCACCTCCAGCTGATGTTTATGTTTAGTTAATTCCAGATAGAAGGTGACACTTGTGAGCTTTGCTAGAATCCCTCTGCATGGTAACCTGTTAAAATTATATTTAATGGCTCATGGCAGTCCTCGCTCCGTGAAGATGTGGCATTTTGCTGGTATTCTTTAAACATCAAACCAGTTATAATCTGTTGTAGATTTCATTACTAAGTCCATGCTTGTTCCAATTTATCTTTTTGAAAGTAACTTCCTGCTATGGAAAAGTAGTGTCCTCCAACACTGCTAGAGGCAGTATTAATTAGTATAATCTTTCTTTGTAAATTTCTCCTTCTGCTTTTTTTTGGTACAATCTTTCTTGAAAGCAAGATAGCTGTAAGTTTCAGATGCCATAAAATATACATATCATTTGATCAAAATTTCCACAAGTATTTTGTCCAAGGAAATTATAAGAAATGCAGACAAACACTTATCAACAAAGATATTCATTACAACATTAATTACAGTACTGAAACATTAGTAAAACCTAAACATCCTGAATAGGCCAATTTGTTAAATAAATTCAAGTACATCCATCGGAATATAATATAACCAGTGGAAGTGATATCATATAATATTTGACACAGGAACACATATACTCTATAAAATGAAATCAAAGAACCATATTGCAAAACTATATATAATATTATTCTAATTTTATGTCTTTTTTTAAAATTATTTTAGAGACAGGGGTCTTGCTATATTGCCCAGGCTGGCTTCAAAGTCATGGGCTCACGTAATCCTCCTGCCTCAGCCATCTTAATAGGCAAAACTATAGGCACATCACACTGTGCCCAGCCTAATTTTCAATATTTCTATATGTTTATAACAGTTATGAGTGGTAGAGTTACAGTAAATTTTATTTTCATTTATTTTTCTGTGTTTTTCCAATTTTCTGCATTGAACAACTACCCTTCTTTTAACTACCCCTTTTTAATCTTTTAAAGGAACATTACTTTTTTTTTTTTTTTTTTTTTTGAGACGGAGTCTTGCTCTGTCACCCAGCCTGGAGTGCAGTGGCGCGATCTCGGCTCACTGCAAGCTCTGCCTCCCGGGTTCACGCCATTCTCCTGCCTCAGCCTCCCGAGTAGCTGGGACTACAGGCGCCCACCACCATGCCCGGCTAATTTTTTGTATTTTTAGTAGAGACGGGGTTTCATTCTGTTAGCCAAGATGGTCTCGATCTCCTGACCTCGTGCTCCGCCCGCCTTGGCCTCCCAAAGTGCTGGGATTACAGGCGTGAGCCCCCGCGCCCTGCCCATTACATGATTTTTAAAAGAAAAGAAAGTGGGCTGGGCACAGTGACTCACGCCTGTAATCCCAGCAATTTGGGAGGCTGAGGAGGGCAGATCGCTTGGGCCGAGAAGTTCGAGACCACCTGGACAACATGGTGAAGAGACGGGGGTCTCTACAAAAACTACAAAAATTAGCTGGTAGCGCGCACCTGTAGTCCCAGCTACTCAGGAGGCTGAGGTGGGAGGATCACCTGAGCCTGGGGAGGTCAAGGCTGCAGTGAGCCATGATTGTGTCACTGCACTCCAGCCTGAGTGACAGAATGAGACCTTGTCCCAAAACAACAACAAAAAAAACAAGCAAGCAACCTTCTTGATGCATAGCACAATGGTATGCCTTAAGTCATACAGAGTATATAAAAATCCAGTCTCTAAATTCAAAGCTTACAAAAATTAAACGTTTATAAAAATCAAGCTCTTATTCTTTCTAAAAGTTCAGGAAGGAAGGAGACTGATTTGTTGAGGGCTAGAACCTTTTGTATATATCATGCCACTTATCATCACAATAGTGCTGTAAGGTGGCTACTATTAACCTTATCCTGTGGATGAAGACACAAAATAAGAGAACTTTAAGTAGTTTAACTCATCTCAGTTCAAACAACAATTAAATGAGAGGATCAGAATTCAGAGTCAAGTTTCATTCATTTGTTCATTCATTAATTTATGCACACTGAGTTTTGAGAATAAATAAATGCTTCTGGCAACTGAAAACAGAGTCTAATATAACGAACATAGACAATAATATGGAAAATATCCATAAATTCACCTTCCAGCTTAAGAAATAAATATTTCAGATACAGAAGATGCCCCTGTGTACTTATTCCCAATTTCATTCTCTCTCTTCCAACCAGCAGTAACCAGTATCTTGAACATGGGGTTTATTATTCCCGTGGAAGTTTTTATTCCTTTGCTACATGTTTGTATCCATAAACTATATTCAATCAACCACTGTCCAATCAGGAAAATGGAAACCACTCTACGCATTTCACAGAAAGGAGATGTAATACTGATAATTGGTTATAAAGGTATAGAAAGGAAGGGCTGAATATGCAAATGGAATAAGGGGTTATGTTCAATTTCACCCATTTATCCGCCAGATCAATTCTCTACCTTTTTTGTGCTCAGAAAAGTGGGTGATGCAGACTGCCTCACTGGACTCCCTTTATCTCTGGCTTCTGGTTGGCTTTGGCCAATGGGAAGCACTGGTAAAAGGTGAAGAGGAAGAGAAGGAGATCAGAATACCTGTTCACTTGGCTTCTTCCCTGTTGGGTTGCTACAGGTTGGCACTCCCACTGCCAAAATAGCCACTGATACTACTGAAATGCTCCTCTTCAGTCACCTACTATTGCTGCTGCTGCCATTGCTAGGAGCACTGCCAGGAACAGAAAGAAAAATGGCATCACCCTTTCTTCTGTTTTCTAATCTCCTGCTACTGCCTTGCATTGGCAAAACCTAATCAGAATCCAACTAGCAAGGAAGCCTGCAACAGGTATGTAGCTCACAGGTTTTTAGCCTCTTGCAATACAGGAGTGGAAGCACATAACCAATACAAGTGCCTAGTACTGTTTGCATTTTTTTTTTTTTGAGACAGGGACTCATTCTGCTGTCCAACCTGGAGTGCAGTGGTGCAATCATGGCTCAGTGCAGCCTAAACCTCCTGGACTCAAGCAATCCTCCCACTTCAGTCTTGTGAGAAGCTGGGACTACAGGCATATGTTACAATGCCTGGCTAATTTTTTTAAAATTGTTTTTTGTAGAGATGGGGTCTCACAATGTTGCCCAGGCTGGTCTCAAGATCCTGGCCTCAAGCAATCCTCCTGCCTCGGCCTCTCAAAGTGCTGGGATTACAGGTGTGAGCTCACTTGGCCTTGTTTGCTTTTTTTTTTTTTTTTTTTTTTTTTTTTTTTTTTTTTTGAGATGGAATCTTGGTTTGTTACCCAGGCTGGAGTGCAGTGGCATGATCTCGGCTCACTGCAACCTCTGCCTCCCAGGTTCAAGCGATTCTCCTGCCTCAGCCTCCCGAGTAGCTGGGATTACAGGCACAGCCACCACGTCCAGCTAATTTTTGTATTTCTGGCAGAGATGGGGTTTCACCATGTTGCCCAAGCTGGTCTGGAACTCCTGACCTCAAGTGATCCATCCACCTTGGCCTCCCAAAGTGCTGAGATTACAGGCATGAGCCAACTCACCCAGCCTTATTTGCATTTTTAAAACTTTACATAGATTGTATGCTGTACATATCCTTGCTTTTTAAACTTTATACCTTTGAGATCTATTCATGTTGATACATGTGGCTCTAGTTTTTCCATTTTAACTGCAATATTGTATTCAATAATGATATTTCTTCAAGGGAACTAGTGAAGAGAGAAACACTGAAGCACTGGCATTGGAACAAAAGAGGTATTAAAGTTACTAGATGGCAAACCACAAAAAGTAGGTAAAACTGGATTAAAGGAAAATGTTCCTAAAAGCTGTTCCTTTTTTACCTTAGGCATGTTGAGTAAAAATAAATAAATAGAGAAATAAATAAATAAGCCGTCTCTTCTTTCATTCAACATATAATAGATTCATTGAGCTTCTACCATGTCCTAAGCATTGTGCTTGACACAAAGGACAGAATATAGAATACAATCTGGTCCCTGCTCTCCAGTTTCGTCAAGGTCACAAGTACTATGATAGAAGCATGACTAGGATACTATGAAGGCACAGAACTTGATAGAAAAAAAGAGACTACAGAGTCTCTTTAAACTTAAAATTTTCTAAATACATAAAATGTTTTACAAATGGAATCCAGCAGTATAGTGAAAAATAATATGACCAAAAAGGGCTTATTTCAAGAATGCCAATGGTTCAATATTTTTTAAAACTTATAAATACCACAGGTTAAATGGGAAAAGTCACGAATTAAGGGGGAATATGTCAAAAAGTCACTTGAAAAATTTCAGCAGCTTTTCCTAATAAAAACTTGAAGTAAAACAGGGTTAACAGGAAACCATCTTAACATGAAAAAGACTAGTTAGCAAAAAACAAACAAACAAAACACAAAACCAAGAGCAAACATCATATTAAATAATGAATTAACGGCCAGGAGTAGTGGCTCATGCCTGTAATCCCAACACTTTGGAAGGCTAAGGTGGGAGGATTGCTTGAGCCCAGGAGTTTGAGACCAGCCTGGGCAACATTATGAGACCCTGTCTCTCAACATTATGAGACCCTGTCTCTACCGAAAAAAAAAAAAAATTAGCTGGGTGTGGTGGCGCATGCCTGTAGTCCCAACTACGTGAGAGGCTGAGATGAGAGGATCGCGTCAACTTGGGAGGTTGAGAATGCAGTGAACTGTAATTGAGCTGCTGCTGCACTCCAGCCTGAGCAACAGAACAAGACCCTGTCAAAAAAAAAAAAGAATTATTAAATATATTTCCATTAAGTTAAGAGTAAGATAATACTTGTAATTGTCTTGGTTTGGAAGTCAGATAATACAGCAAAATTTTTAAAAGGAACTAAAAATTAGGCATTTTAACAAGTATCAAATTATGTACTATAATATTGCTATCAAAATAGAAGAATGTTCATGATATATTATTAAATGAAAGGAAGGGAAGCACATCACAGAGTCCTGTATATAATACGACCCTGTTTTTGTGTGGGGGGTGGGGGCTTGGGCAAAAAGAAAACCGGTGTGTGCATAGGTGTGTATCCATTTATATTTAGCCAAAGAAGTGAAACTATATACACCACACTCTTAATATTGGTTATTTCTGAAGAGTAGAATTTGAGTATGGGAACTGTGAATTTTTTATCATTTTAATTATACATTATAATAATCATTTGTATTATTTGCCTTTCTATTATTTAAAAATGGTCTGTATCCTTTTATAATCTAAAAATCTAATAGACCGGATGCGGTAGCTCATGCCTGTAATCTCAGCACTTTGGGAGGCCAAGGCAACCAGATCACTTGAGGTCAGGAGTTCGAGACCAGCCTGACCAACATGGCAAAACGCTGTCTGTACTGAAAATAACAAAAATTAGCTGGGCATGGTGGTGCACGCCTGTAGCCCTAGCTACTCGGGAGACTGAGGCACGAGGATTGCTTGAGCCTTAGAGGTGGAGATTGTAGTGAGCTGAGATCGCACCACTGCACTCCAGTCTGGGTGATAGAGTGAGAGCTTGTCTCAAATAAATAAATAAATCGAATAAAGTAAAAAGAATTTTTAATCAGGTGGGAGGTAGTCAAAGACGGCTTCCTGGAGTTCACTGAATAAAGAACCAGTAAAAAGGGTGTTCTCTGCAGAAAACAGTAAGAGCAAAGGCATGAGACTAGATAAAGTTTTCAGGAAATCACAAAAACCTGAGGACAACTCAAGCAAATATGGTATATGTGTCCCTCATTACTAAATTCTGGTATCTCTGGGTTTATAAGGTGGTTCTAACCAAAGAGTAGCTAACAAATTCGGCACCCTGTTGGGACTTTAGAGGCTGTAGACACACCCCTTTCATCCTCATAGAGTTCAGAACCAACTCTGTCCTTTGAAGGATAAGACATAGGGTTTAGGCAGATGGTGACTTTTGTCATGCCATTATGATGGAGAAAGCAATTCAAGTATATGGTTTAAATGTGCAGCCACAGTGTGCTTCCTAATCCTTCTTCATCCCAGCATTTACTTTTCCACTCAGTCATAGGAGGACAGCTGGACACTGCAGAGCCAGCACGGGATGTTTACCACAGAGTGAACAACAAACCTGAAAGCCTGATCTCTGCTGGTCTCACCCAGCAGGGAGAGCCAAGAGGACTGGAACCGAGCATGCTCCGTTCCTTCCCCAGACACTTCAGTGAGATCCGCCACTCCTCTCCCCAGACAGAGAAGCTGAAGGGATACTCCCTAACTTATTTTTTGTGGCAAGCGTGTGGAAATCACCTCCCTGTAGAAGCTTGAGGAGGACAAATAAGTGTTTGTCCTAATACTCTCCAGCTTTACGTTCTCACATGACCAATTGGGCATAACATTTAAGTCCATAGTCAAACAACACACTTTTCACTTTTTTTTATAACGTCCTTTGATGTGCAAAACTTTTTCATTTTGACAAAGTGCAATTTATCTATTTTTTTTTGTTGCCTGTGCTTTTGGTGTCATATCTAAGAATCTATTTCCAAATCCAAAGTCATGAAGTTTTCCCCATATGTTTTTTTCTAAGAGCTTTTATGTTTTTAACTCTTATACTTAGGTTATTAATCTATTTTGAGTTGTCCCAGTGGGGCAAGACTCCTTGCAGTGTTTTTAGATTTTAATTCATTTCCTCTGCTGATTTGAGAAGCATGAACCAATGAATGCCAGGCCCATACCACCTATCAAGCATCATGAATGAGGGCTAGGGAGAGATGACAGGAGAACTCCTTCAATTTGAGACCCTTGTGAACAGATGAGGCCAGGGGGAAATAGAGGCTGTCCTCAAAAGCAATGTGGTAATGCAAAGACCCTGACACATGGAATCAAATGCTATGGATGGAAAATTTAGAACAAATTAGTACCATGACAAGAGCTTCCTTCAATCTCTTATAAATCATTTCCCCCAAAGAAATGAAACGTGGTTACTAGCTTCAAGGAGGACCCTTTGAGATTGGTATTGTTTGAAACAAAAATATCTCATTTATCCATTACTAATGTTTTTTCTTTTCAATTCAGTCTATTACTCTTAACAATATACCTTAGGTAATTTATCTCTAGAACTCACTTATTATTTCCTGCCCCATACCTAGCCTTGACCATGAAAAGGATTTTTTTTCTGAGTAACAAAATAATTTCAGATTTCAAATAAGGTAATGATAATCTTATGGAAGGTCTGAGCTCAACTATTTGCCAGAAATCTTTTTTCTTGGTATGAAATACTACTGTCACCTGACCAGAAGGTTTGTTAAAATAGTACTTGAGAATTGTTAGTGTACAGAGAAACCTTTAGGTTGAAAAAAAAAAAAAAAAGAATTGTTAGGGCATTGCCTCCATAAATATTTGGCCTAAAATTTGGATAACTTGTTATTAAATTATTGGCTCTTTGTTAAACAGCTATACCATCACTAGGTGTCATTGTCTAAGAAAAATAGATCAGCATTCATTACCATTCAATTATCTTTGTCTTTAAAAACAAAACACTGGAGCTGGTTGTTCAATTTCCATGTAGTTGTGTGGTTTCGAGTGAGTTTCTTAATCTTGAGTTCTAATTTAATTGCGCTGTGGTCTGAGAGAGTGTTATGATTTCAGTTCTTTTGCATTTGCTGAGAAGTGTTTTACTTTCAATTATGTGATCAATTTTAGAGTAAGCGCCATGTGGTGCCAAAATGGGCAAAGGACATGAACAGACGCTTCTCAAAATAAGACATTTATGCAGCCAACAAACATATGGAAAAAAGCTCAACATCACTGATCATTAGAGAAATGCAAATCAAAACCACAATGAGATACCACATCACACCAGTCAGAATGGCGATTATTAAAAAGTCAAGAAACAACTGATGCTGGCGAGGCTGTGGAGACATAGGAACGCTTTTACACTGTGGGTGGGAATGTAAATGAGTTCAACCATTGTGGAAGTCAGTGTGGTAATTTCTCAAAGACCTAGAACCAGAAATACCATTTGACCCAGCAATCCCATTACTGGGTATATATCCAAAGGAATATAAATCATTCTGTTATAAAGATATGTGCACGTGTATGTTCACTGAAGCACTATTCACAATAGTAAAGAAACGGAATCAACCCAAATGCCCATCAATGATAGACTGGATAAAGAAAATGTGGTAAATATATACCATGGAAATACTATGCAGTCATAAAGAGGAACAAGATCATGTCCTTTGCAGGGACATGGATGGAGCTGGAAGCCATTATCCTCAGCAAATTAACGCAGGAACAGAAAACCAAACACTTCATGTTCTCACTCATAAGCGGGAGCTAAACAATGAGAACACATGGACACAGGGAGGGGAACAACACACACTGGGGCCTGTCTGGAGTGGGGGAAGAGCGGGGAGGGAGAGCATCAGGAAAGATAGCTAAATCATGCAAGGCTTAATACCTAGGTGATGGGTTGATAGGTACAGCCAACCACCATGGCATATGTTTACCTATGTAACAAACCTGCACATCCTGCACATGTACCCTGGAACTTATACTTTTTAAAAAGTAAAAAAAAAAAAACTCTGTAAAGAAAATGGTAATATAAACAGTAAAGAAGCTGTGTTTATATTTACTATCACATTTTTCAATAGAACAAGATTTTTGAAGCCAGGCACAGTGGCTGACACCTGTAATCCCAGCACTTTGGGAGGCTGAGGCAGGTGGATCACTTGAGGCCAGGAGTTCAAGACCAGCCTGGCCAACATGGCGAAACCCCATCTCTACAAAAAATACAAATATTGGCGGGGAATGGTAGTGGGTGGCTGTAGTCCCAGCTAATTGGAAGGCTGAGGAAGAAGGATCACCTGAGCCTGGGGTCCAGGCTACAGTGAGCTGTGATCTCACCACTGCACTCCAGCCTGGGTGACATAGTGGGACCCTGTCTCAAAAAAAAAAAAAATTTTTTTTTGGAAATATGACCCATGAATGACAACTGCATCCCTCACTGATCCCTATTGTTACCACTGTGTATCTAGTTTATTGTTCTGCAAATTGGGGTAGACCTAACTCTAGAAATTTTGCAACAGTTTAAACTCTCTCCATCAGTAGTGCACATAATTTTGCTAACGCTGAGTTTATCACTAAAATGGTAAGCCAAAGCCGGGCACGGTGGCTCATGCCTGTAATCCCAGCACTTTGGGAGGCCGAGGCGGGTGGATCCTGAGGTCAGGAGTTCAAGACTAGCCTGGCCAAGTTGGTGAAACCCCGTCTCTACTAAAAATATTTTAACAAAATTAGCCGGGAGTGGTGGCAAGCGCCTGTAATCCCAGCTACTCAGGAGGCTGAGGCAGAGAATTGCTTGAACCCGGGAGGCAGAGGTCGCAGCAAGCCGAAATCGTGCCACTGCACTCCAGCCTGGGCGACAGAGTGAGATTCCATCAAAAAAAAAAGGTAAGCCAAAAAAAGGTAGTATCTATTTTTAAAAATTTATTGTGATATATATCTATGAAATAAATGTATATCTTTTTCTATTTTATATATATGTAAATTTACCACTTAAATAGTTTTAAGCATACAATTTTGTGGGATTAATTACATTCACAATGTTGTGCAACCCTATCACTATTTCCAAAGCTTTTATCTCATTAAGCAATAACTCTCCATTCTCCCCTCTCCCAAACCTCTCATTTACTTTGTCTCTATAAATTTGTCTATTCTAGATTGTTGATATGAGTGAAATCACCCAATATTTTTTTTGCGTGTCTGGTTTATTTCACTTAGCATAATGTTTTCAAGGCTCATCCATATGTATCCATTCATCTGTTATGATCAATTGGGTTGTTTCCACCTTTTGGCTATTGTGAATAATGCTGCTATGAACATTCATGTACAAGCATCTGTTTGAGTCCCTGTTTTCAAATCCCTTGGATGTATACTCAGGAGTAAAGGTGCTAGGTTATATGGTAATTCTTTTTTTTGAGACAGAGTCTCACTCTGCTGCCCAGGCTGGAGTGCAGTGGTACTATCTCGGCTCACTGCAACCTCTGCCTCCCAGGTTCAAGCAATTCTCTTGCCTCAGCCTTTTGAGTAGCTGGGGAGTTGCCTTTGCTGAGGAGTGTGCGTGCACCACCATGCCTAGCTGATTTTTGTATTTTTAGTAGAGATGGGGTTTCGCCATGTTGGCCAGGCTGGTCTTGAACTCCTGACCTCAGGTGATACACCCGCTTTGGCCTCCCAAAGTGTTGGGATTATAGGCATGAGCCACTGTGCCCAGCCGCAGGGTTATATGGTAATTCTATGCTTAACTTTTTGAGGAACCACTACACTGTGTTCCACAGTGGCTACACCATTCTACATTCCCATCAGCAACTCATGAGAGTTCTAGTTTCTCCATATCTTCAAGAATATTTGCTATTTATCTTTCTTTCTTTTCTTTTTGGCTTTTGGTTTTGGGGTATTTTAAATAATACCCACCCTAACTGGGTGTGAAGTGGTATCTTACTGGGGTTTGATTAGCATTTCCCTAATGACTAATGATGCGGAACACCTTTTCACATGCATTTTGGCCATTTGTTTACCTTCTTTAGAGAACTGTCTGTTTAAATTCTTCGTCTATTTTTTATTGGGTTGTTTGTCTTTTTGTGATTGAGTTGCAGGAGTTCTCTATATATTCTGGATGTTAAACTTTTATCAGATATATTATTTTGTTTTCTCTCTTTTTCTTTTCTTTAAAGACAGAGTCTTGCTCTGTCACCCAGCCTGGAGGGCAGTGGTACAATCATAGCTCATGATAACCTTGGGCTCACTATAACTCTTGGGCTCAAGGGATCTTTCTGCCTCAGCCTCCTAAGTAGCTAGGACTACAGGTGCACACAACCATGATCGGCTAATTTTTAAATCTTTTGTAGGGGTCTTGCTATGTTGCCCAGGCTGGTCTTGAACTCCTGGCCTCAAGTGATCCTCCCATCTCAGCCACCCAAGGTGTTGGGATTACAGACATAAGCCACTGAGCACAGCCCATTTTCTCCTATTTTATAGGTTTTTTCACTTTTTTTATAACGTCCTTTGAGGTGCAAAAGTTTTTCATTTTGACAAAGTGCAATTTATTTTTTTTGTTGCCTGTGCTTTTGGTGTCATATCTAAGAATCTATTTCCAAATCCAAAGTCATGAAGGTTTCCCCATATGTTTTTTTCTAAGAGCTTTATGGTTTTAACTCTTATACTTAGGTTATTAATCTATTTTGAGTTAATTTTCATATATAGAGTGTGGTAAGAATCCAACTTCATTCTTTTGCATGTAGTTATCCAGTTGTCCCAGCACAATTTGTTGAAGACTATTCCTTTGCCATTGAATGAACTTGGCATCCTTATCAAAAATCAACTGGCTATAGATGTATGGGTTTTTTTAGGGAGTCTCAATTATATTCCATTGGTTTATATGTCTATCCTTATGTTAGTATCACATTGTTTGATTAATGTATTTTTGTAGTAAGTTTTGAAATCAAGAAGTATGAGTCCTCTGATTTTGTTCTCTCTCCGTCTCTGTTTTTGAGACAAGGTCTCACTCTGTCACCTATGCTGGAGTGCAATGATACAATCATGGCTCACTGAAGCTTTGACCCTCTCGAATAGCTGAGACTATAGGCATGTGCCACCATGCCTGGCTAATTTTTTAATTTTTTTTGTAGAGATGAGGTCTCATTATGTTGCTCAGGCTGGTCTTGAACTCCCAGGTTTACACAATCGTCTACCTCAGCCTCCCAAAGTACTGGGATTATAGGCATAAACCACTGCTCCCAGCATTTTTTCTCAAGAATTATTTGGCTATTGTGGGAGGTGGGATATGCAATGCATACGAATTGAATATCAGCTTTTCCATTTCTGCAATAAAAGGTTGTTGGAATTTTGATAGGTATTGCAGTGAATCTTTAGATTGCTTTGAGTAGTGTCGCTATCTTAACAATATTGTCTTCCAAGCTATGAACATGGTATTTTTTTCATTTAATTAGGTCTCCTTTAATTTCCTTCAGCAATATTTTATAGTTTTCACTATAGGTAGAACCTATTTTAATTGACTTTAAAAATTTTTTTCTGGAGATACTTGGGTTTTTTCATATTTCTATTGGGTATCTGATTTCATCTTCTATAATTACTTGTTTGAATTATTTGCCCTACTGCCTCTTGAGATGGCATCTTTTCCTTATTAATTTGCCTTCCCAGTCTTTCTCCTTCAAGTCATTTATTGTTTTGTCATCTGTGGGTTTCATATATGTATTGAGAATATTTCCTCCCATTCTGTGACTTTCCATTTTTAACAATTCTCTTTTGAAGAGCAAAAGCATTAAATTTTGGTAAGTCCAATTTACTGTGTTTTTGAAACCTATTTATAATTCTGTGCCAAATCCAAATTGCTAAGATTTCTTCTATTTTTTTTTCTTGCAGTTTTATAATGTTTGTTTTTACACTTGGGTAAGAAAATGGTCTAGGACCCATTTCAAGTTAATTTTTATATGGTGTGGGAAGAGTTGAGGTTTATATTTTGCATTTGCCTATCCAATTGTTCCAGCATGATTTGTAGGGAAAAAAAAATATTTCTTTTTTTTTTTTTAGATGGATTATCTCTGTCTCCCAGGCTAAAGTGCAATGGTGCAATCTCGGCTCACTGCAACCTCTGCCTCCTGGGTTCAAGCAATTCTTCTGCCTCAGCCTCCTGAAAAGCTGGGACTACAGGCACCCGCCACCATGCCCGGCTAATTTTTGTATTTTTAGTAGAGACGGGGTTTCACCATATTGGCCAGGCTGGTCTCGAACTCCTGACCTTGTGATCCGCCCACCTCGGCCTCCCAAAGTGCTGGGATTACAGGTGTGAGCCACCACACCCAGCCTGGAAAAAACATTTCTTTCCATCTAATCGCTTTGGTAACTTCATGCCATAGCTGAAAGAAAGGCACTAAGGTCACCCTTCCCCAAACAGGTTGATGTCCAGCCTGACAACATCTCTGTAGACATTATCTTAAATGCTCAAAGAGAAGTCCTAGGCACAGTTCCACTGACATGGTACCAGTGTGCCCTACTGTGTCCTGATCAGCCTCAAGGAGGTAGGGCCTGAGATGATCAGGTCAATTCCATTCTTTACCACCAGCTAAATAATTTTCCCTTCCTTAGTTCATTCTTTTTCTCCCTTTCTCATTCACTCTATCCCCAACATTGCCCTCATTTTCCCCTAGGTGCTATGTGGCTGCACTGTGAACATTTGTACCATGGATGGTCAAGCGATCCCTTGCATGCAATGATGGCATGAAAAGACTCCATAGGGAAGAGCTTCTTTTCCCCAGGATACCCACCCAATGGGAAAACCTCACTGTGGAGTTTAGTTTACTTCCAGACAGATTAACACTAAATAGACAACAAAGCTGCTATAAACAGTCATATATAGGTTTTTGTATGAACATTTTGGATGGACATTTATTTTCTGTAAATATCTAGGAGTGAGATCACTGGATCATATGTTAAGTGCTTGTTTAACTTCAAAAGAAACTGCCAAACTGTCCTCCAATGTGGCTGTACCATTTTGCATTTCCACCAGCAATGTTTGCGCGTTCTAGGTGCTCTGCATCCTTGCTAGTGCTTAGTATTGTCAGCTTTTTAATTTAATTTTATTTTTTGAGACATGGTCTCCTGTCACCCAAGCTGGAGTGCAGTGGCACCACCATACCCAGCTAATTTTTTTTTTTCGTATTTTTAGTACAGATGGAGCTTCACCATGTTGGCCAGGCTGGTCTCGAACTCCTGGCCTATACAGTGATCTGCTTGCCTCTGCCTCCCAAAGTGCTGGGATTACAGGCATGAGCCACCACACCTGGCCATGATTACTGATATTTTTTAAATTGGTTGATTTCATAAGAGTACTGTAAGTTTCTAGATCTCTTGAAAAATCAAATTTGACAACACTAGACTCCAATTCCTTAACGTCCTCAATCAGGTGGAGATTAGCAGTAGCTAGCCCTTTTAGGAGGGGCTTGAGAATTCCTATTTCCCACGGCCCCCACCACTCCCACATACTCAGCCCAACTTAATTCCCTCCGTGGACATACGAGTTTGTGACTCCTGGTTATGAAGCCATTCTCACAAGATTAGCAAGAATCCTGAACAGAAATGTACTTTTAATTGTTAGAGACTGCACTTTGACCCACTTTTTAAAAACCTAAATAACACTAGATACTAATCATTTGCATCCCCATTGGTCCTAGAGACAGGATTCCTGATGTTAGAATCAGGAGGCTTTTGTTTAAGAATTACTTAAGATGTACCTCAGATTCTGAATTCTAGTGACCAGCTGACACCAAGTTTAAAGATCCCCACAGAGGAACCAAATCAGGATGAGAATACAGGTTCTTCACCTCCCTGTCCCATGACTTCACCCTGCACTTTTTGATCAGTCAATGATCTCCACACTCCAGCCCACTCCAAAATCCTAGCCCCAAAATTCCTTGAGGAGATGAATTCGAGGTTTCCTCCAGTCTCTTTATTTGGCAGTCCTACCGCGTCCGCAATTGGTGGGTTCTTGGTCTCGCTGACTTCAAGAATAAAGCCACAGACCCACGTGGTGAGTGTTACAGTTTTTAAACATGTTGTGTCGGGAGTTTGTTCCTTCAGATGTTCAGATAGGTCCGGAGTTTATTCCTTCTGGTGGGTGCGCAGTCTCGCTGCCTTCAGGAGTGAAGCTGCAGACCTTCGCGGTGAGTGTTAGAGCTCTTAAAGGCAGCGCGTCTGGAGTTATTCATTTCTCCCAGTGGGTTGGTGGGTTGGTGGTCTCACTGGCTTCAGGAGCGAGGCTGCAAACCTTCGCGGTGAGTGTTACAGCTCATAAAGGCAGCACGGACCCAAAGAGTGAGCAACAGCAAGATTTATTGCAAAGAGCAAAAAAAAAAACCAACCCTCTACAGCATTCAATGGGACGCTAGCGGGTTGCCCAGCCGGCCTGGGCAGCCGGCTTTTATTCCCTTATCTGACCCCACCCACATCCTGCTGATTGGTCCATTTTACAGAGAGCTGATTGACCCATTTTACAGACAGCTGATTGGTCCGTTTTGACAGGGTGATGATTGGTGCGTTTACAAACCTTGAGCTAGACACAGAGTGCTGATTGGTGCCTTTACAATCCTTTAGCTAGACACAAAAGTTATCCAAGTCCCCACTAGATTAGCTAGACACAGAGCACTGATTGGTGTGTTTACAAACCTTGAGCTAGACACAGGTTGCTGACTGGTGCATTTACAAACCTTGAGCTAGACACAAAGTGCTGATTGGTGCATTTACAAACCCTTAGCTAGACATAAAAGTTCTCTGGAGTCCCCACCCAACTCAGGAGCCCTGCTGGCTTCACCTAGTGGATCCCGCGCCAAGCCAGCACCATGGGCGGTGCTGCCTGCCAGTCCTGCACTGGGAGCCGCACTCCTCAGCCCAAGCACACTCCTCAGCCCTTGGGTGGTCGATGGGACTGGGCGCTGCAGAGCAGGGGGCGGTGCCCATCGGGGAGGCTCAGGTGGTGCCAGAGGCCACCATGGGCAGTGGGGGATGGGTAATTGGGCATGGTGGGCTGCAGGTCATGAGCCCTGCCCTGCGGGGAGGCAGCTAAGGCTCAGCAAGAATTCAAGCGGGGCGGGCAAGCCGGTAGTGTGGGGGCGGGGGGGACCCAGCACACTCTCCACAGCTGCTGGCCTGGGTGCTAAGCCCCTCACTGCCCGGGGTTGGGTCGCTCCGAGTGTGGGGACTGCCGAGCCTGCGCCCATCTGGAACTGCGTGCAGCCCCATTCCTGCCCACGCCTCTCCCTCCACACCTCCCCGCAAGCAGAGGGAGCTGACTTCAGCCTTGACCAGCCCAGAGAGGGTCTCCCACAGTGCAGCGGTGGGCTGAAGGGGTTCTCAAGCGTGGCCAGAGTGGATGCTGAGGCTGAGGAAGCGCCCAAAGCGAGCAAGGGCTGTTAGCCCGTTGTCACTTCTCACTATGATTAAACCTCTTTCTCTGTTGCAACCCATATCTCAGCTTACAGATTTGCAATGTGTGGGCAGCAAGCCACCCAGATGCCGAGGCAAGAGACCAAGGGCATGAGCTGTTCCAGTATAATAAAATATAAAATAAGGATAGTTATACTAGATCTAGATCATAGACATGATTATATATGAATATCATTAATCATTAGTTTGTAGCAATTACTCTTTATTCCAATACTATAATAATCCTCGCTCTATAATCATAACCTAGGAAAAACCAGGCCATACAGAGATAGGAGCTGAGGGGACATAGTGAGGAGTGACCAGAAGACAAGAGTGTGAGCCTTCTGTTATGCCCAGACAGGGCCACCAGAGGACTCCTTGGTCTAGCGGTAATGCCAGCATCTGGGAAGACGCCCGTTGCCAAGCGGACCGTGGTCTAGCGGTAGTGTGTCTAGGAAAAACACCCACTACTTAGCAGACCGGGAAAGGGAGTCTCCCTTTCCCTGGGGGAGTTTGGAGAAGACTCTGCTCCTCCACCTCTTGTGGAGGGCCTGACATTAGTCAGGCTCGCCCACAGTTATCTGGAGGCCTAACCATCTCCCTGTGATGCTGTGCTTCAGTGGTCATGCTCCTAGTCCGCCTTCATGTTCCATCCTGTACACCTGGCTCTGCCTTTTAGATAGCAGTAGCAAAATTAGTGAAAGTACTAAAAGTCTCTAATAAGCAGAAATGGCGGCGTAAGCTGTCTCTCTCTCTGTCTCCTCTCTCTGTCTGCCTCGGCTGCCAGGCAGGGAAGGGCCCCCTGTCCAGTGGACACGTGACCCACGTGGCCTTACCTATTATTGGACATGGCTCACTCTTCTTATCCTGCCCCTTTGTCTTGTATCCAATAAATATCAGTGCAGTCTGGCATTTGGGGCCACTACCAGTCTCCGCATCTTGGTGGTAGTGGTCCCCTGGGCCCAGCTGCCTTTTCTTTTATCTCTTTGTCTTGTGTCTTCTACACTCTTTCGTCTCCGCACATGGGGAGAAACCCACTGACCCTGTGGGGCTGGTGCCTACCGCAATGCACATAAGGCAATGGATCTATTACAGTTACAGTGACATCAGTAATATATTACTACTTAATAATGCATCATTTGCAAATGACATTTTCTCCACACTAAAGCAGGTTCAAAGTTTTCCTGTAATAATAGTATTATCATCCAGTTACATTACAATACATTTTTGATGCAGGATTTTTCTCAGTCGCTTTGCTAGCCAGAGACCACCAGCCAGTGACACCCCTGCCCAGGCCTTGCTTGGGCCTTGGTCTGCCACAGGAGATGCTCCATTTACTCAGCCACCTGGGCCACACCTGGCTTGCATTCCAGCACAAATTCCATGGCTGCCACAACTGCGGGCTCAGCCCCTGGTGGGAGAGGGTGTGTGAGCAAGCAAGTACAGGATCCAGCCAGCCATTCCAAGTGCCAGCACAGGAGCGGGCTCCGTGCAGGGCTTGAGGCTGGACCAGGCATGTTGCAAGCCACCTCCACGGTGGACTCCAGTATCCAGATGAAAGGAAGTCGGTGACACCCAGGGAGGGATGCCTGCAACCCCAAAGCCCTAGAGGGGGTGTTACAGCATGCTAATAGCCCTTTCAGTCTCACCATCCACAGCCCAACAGATGGCGGCATGTTAACAGCTCTATCAGTTCTGTTGCCCTGCTCCAGCCCATGGCTCTGGGGCTGGCTCCGCCCTACCGCTGCTTCCTATCACGTGGGGCGGCTGCCTTCTGCTGGCAGAGGGCAGAGGGTCACAGTGTTACAGGCTTCTTTGTACCTATGTTCTGTGGGTCCTGAGCTCTTGTCCCATGTCAAAGAAGAATGAGGATAGGCTGACAATCGAAGGGTGAGGAGGGCAGAGAAGAAGTTTATTGAGTGACAAAACAACTCTCAGCAGAGAGCAGATGTGAGGGTGGCCCCTTACCCAAAGTCAGATGGTTTCTCCCTCAGTGTGGCTGGGTCCAGGGCTTTTACAAGCTCAGAATGGGGAGTGTGTGCTGATTGGTTTGTGAGTTTCAAAAAAGGCTAAAACAAAGGCACCACTCAAAGACGGGCATGACAGTGTAAAAAAACAATTAGAGAAGGTTAGGTATATGTAAAATAGGTAAAGCAGGGGGATCAATCAGAGGAAAGCATGCCAGGCGGGAAGAGGCATTCTCACCAGTCCGTGGATTTATCCAAGACTTGTAGCTTGGCTTTCAGGCTTTAAACTGTCTTTGGTCTCACTGGGGGCTCCCCCGTCTGCCTAGGATTTGTCTGCCTCCTGCTGCTATCGCTTTCTTAAGAAAGGACTTGAATCACAGCTATCAAACTGAGAGTTTTGCATAATCCTAGATATGCCCCAGATGTGTGTGTCTTCCAAGTGAAAACCATCTGTTAACAGTGTCATGGAAGGGGAAAGAATTTATCTTAACATGAAACAGAGCTCTCCCCTTGGGGCAATTTCCAGGAGAAGTAAGGAATAATGTGTTACCAAGCCTTTTGTAGGCCTGGAAAGCCTCTTGAAATATGTGACCTTTAGACAAGAGACCTTTAGCAATCACCTCTTAACATCACATCACTGTATGTATCATGCTTTAACATGATTGACACTGTCCCATGATACAGCAGAGGGGGCAAGGAGAAATAAATTGCCTGAAATGGCAAGATAGGCTCCTCTCTATTGCCCAGAACCATATGGAACTACACCAACTTCTTCCATATTCTGAGGAAGTAATTTGGTGCAGCTCATGGGTTTTGTAAACCAAAAAGTGTCGGAGACAAGTCTCAATCAATTTATAAAGTGGATTTTGCCAAGGTTAAGGATATGACCATGACACAGCCTCAAGAGGTCCTCAGGACATGTGCTCATGGTTGTTGGGTTACAGCTTGCTTTTATACATTTTAAAGAGACATAACACATCAATCAATATATGGAAGATTTACATTGGTTTGATGTGGAAGAACAGGACAACTCCAAGGGTGGGGCTTCCAGGTCACAGGTAAATTTAAACATATTCTGATTGGCAATTGCTTGAAATAGTTATTTTCAACAGGAAGGAAATATCTGGATTAGGAAGATGTTGTAGAGACCTAGGTTTTATCAAGCAGATGAAGTCTCCAAGTAGCAGGCTTTAGAGAGAAGACTGTAAATGTTTCTTATCAGACTGACAGTCTGTGTTGATGTTAATGCTGGAGGGGAATAATGAGGCATGTCCAACCTCCACTTCCAGTCGTGGCCTGAACCAGTCTTTCAGGTGAAATTTTAGAGTCCCCTGGCTGAGGAGGAAGTCCATTCAGATGGTTGCAGGGGTTCAAATTTTATTTTTGGTTTACATTCTCTACCTCTTCATAATATCAAGGGGAATTAAAGAAGTATCAAACAAGTCAGGCAGGCATCAAAAGGTGAATAGTGTTCTTACTGCAGTAATTACTGACCCTACCAATATCTTTCATCTTCACAGGACCCACAGGTAACAATTAACCCAAGCAATTATTCCCTAAAATTAGGCACCTGCAAAGTTGCTAGAAGGACTCAACTGCAAGGAGACAGTTTGAGGCAGGTCCAGGAAGGCTGTGTTAAGAAGATTATTTTATCTGAAAAAAAAAAAAAAAAAAAACCCAAAAAAACAGATGGGCAGCCTACCTTGAGTAATAGAGGTTTTAGTTAAATATATATATGTGTGGCCAGGCACAGTGGCTCACATCTGTAATCTCAGCACTTTGGAAGGCCAAGGTGGGTGGATCACAAGGTCAGGAGATCAAGACCATCCTGGCTAACATGGTGAAAACCCATCTCTACTAAAAACACAAAAAATTAGCCAGGCATGGTGGCGCACGCCTGCAGTCCCAGCTACTTGGGAGGCTGAGGCAGGAGAATCGCTTGAACCCGGGAGGCGGAGGTTGCGGTGAGCCAAGATTGTGCAACTGCACTCCAGCCTGGGCAACAGAGGGAGACTCTGTCTCAAAATAATAATAATAATTATATATATATGTTAATGAAGATGATGGAAATGTCAAAGAAATACAAGAATATCAGTAAAATTTGGGCCTTTTATTGAGTTTGCTTGCTGGGAAGATTGTATCCAGCTCCAGAGATTCTCTTTGACAGGGGGACAAAGACAATTCAATGGAGGAAGGATTGTCTTTTCAGCACATGGTGCTGGGAAAACTGGATATCCATCTGTGAAAGTAATCCACCTAAACACATATCTCACACCTATACAAAAATTAAGTCAACATGGATCATAGGCCTATAAATAAAATGTAAAACTGTAAAACTTCTAGAAGAAAACTTAGAAGAAAATCTGCATGGCCTTTGGTTTGGTGATAAGTTTTCAGATATAAAACCAAAAGCACATTCCATGGAAAATATTGGTAAGTTGGACTTCATCAAAATTTAAAGCTTTTGCCCTGTGATTTACACTAAGAGAATGAAAAAATAAGCCAAATCTTGGTTTCTAAATACCATTCTCCATTCTAAGGAATTCAGGGTGCCTTAAAGAAATGGCTAACTCTAGGGCTAGAGCAAGAAAAAATACAAGATGAACCTGAGCATCCTATAGTGCCAGAAAGTACAGGCGTGCTCAAAATACAAAAGGATAATTCCACAACAATGTGAATGTATTTAATACCGCTTAACTGTACATGTAGAAATGATTAAGCTATTAAATATTATGTATGTATATTTTACCACAATTTTTTTTTTTTTAAAAAAGAATGGTGGTCTGTCAAAGGGACACAAAAGCCAACCTGAAAAGTGCTTCCCAGGTCAAAGCCAGTACCATTTAGCTACAAAATATTGCATTACCACCAGCAATGAGAGAATCTGTCTCAAACAACAACAACAAAAAACCAACAAAAGACAAAATACATATACATGAACCCGTATTGATATACAAATAAGTGATTTAATTAATTAATAAATGGGAGAGATGAGGCAAAAATCTTTACAGAATTCCAAATTATTTTTGTCATTGTTGTGTTTTTGTTTGTTTTGTTGTTGTTGTTGTTGTTTTGAGACAGAGTCTCGCTGTGCTGCCCAGGCTGGGGTGCAGTGGCGTGATCTCAGCTCACTGCAACCTCCAACTCCCAGGTTCAAGTGATTCTTCTGCCTCAGCCTCCCAAGTAGCTGGGACTACAGGTGTGTGCCACCATGCCCAGCTAATTTTTTTTTTGTATTTTTTAGTAGAGATGGGGTTTCACTATGTTGGCCAGGCTGGATTTGAACTCCAGACCTTGTGATCTGCCCGCCTCAGCCTCCCAAAGTTGGGTTTTTTTTTTTTTTTTTTTTTTTTGGAGATTGGGTCTTACTCTGTTGCAGTTTGGAATGCAATGGCACTGGTCACGGCTCACTGCAGCCTCAGTCTTCCAGGCTCAAGTGATCCTCCCACCTCAGCCTCCTGAGTAGCTGGGACTACAGGTGTGCGCCACCATGCCGGGCTAATTTTTAAATTTTTTATAGAGACAGGGTCTTCCTATGTTGCCCAGGCTGGTTTCAAACTCCTGGCCTCAAGTGATCCTCTCTCCTCAGTCTCCCAAAGTGCTGGGATTACAGGTGTGAGTCACCACACCCCACCCCAAATTATTTGCATAGATAACCCCCTTCAGGAGGTGCAGCTTAATTCCCCTCCCCCAACACACACACACACCCTCTAGGATGCCTAGACACGGTGACTTGCTTCCATAGGAAAAAGGGGAACATAGTAACTTTACTATTAAAATGGACAGCATCTTAATGATCAAGGTTAAAATCACCATTAATAAGTCATGTTAATAGCACATACTCCTGATATGACCTGATAAGCATGGGCATTTCACCTCTGTGGTATTCCTCCCCAAAATCCATAACCTCAGTCTAATCATGACAACAGGCATACCCAACAGGAGGTATATTCTTTAAAATACCTGAGCAGGGCCAGGCGTGATGGCTCACGTTTGTAGTCTCCGTACTTTGGGAGGCCAAGGCAGGTGGATCACTTGAGGTCAGGAGTTTGAGCACAGCCTGACCAACATGGTGAAACCCTGTCTCTACTAAAAATAAAAAAATTAGCTGGGCATGGTGGCGCATGCCTGTAGTCCCACCTACTCAGAGGCTGAGGAAGGAGAATCACTTGAACTCGGGAGGTGGAGGTTGTAGTGAGCTGAGAGATTGAGCCACTGCACTCCAGCCTGGGTGACAGAGAGACACTCCCTCTCAAAAATAAACAAACAAAGAAACAAAACCTGAACAGTGCTCTTTGAAACTCTCAAGGCCATGAAAAACAGGAAAGATTGAGACACAGTCCCAAACCAGAGAAGACAAAGGAGACATGACAACTAACTGTGATGTAGGCCTGGACTGAATCCTGCAACAGAAAAAGAACATTAGTAGAAACACCTGTGAAATTTGAATAAAGTTTAGAGTTTAACTAATAATGTACAAATGTTGGTTTCTTGGTTTTAACAAATATACTGTGGTTGATGTAAGATGTTAACAATAGGAGAAACTGGGTAAAGGGGACCTATGGGAACTCTCTGTACTGGCTGCAACTTTTCCTTAAATCTAAAATTATTCCAGGCTGGGGGTGGTGGCTCATGCCTGTAATCCCAGCACTTAGGGAGGCCAAAGCAGGAGGATCACTTGAGGCCAGGAGTTCGAGACCAGCCTGGGCAAACTAGCAAGATCCCTGTCTCTACCCAAATTTTTATTTAATTGAAAATTATTCCAAAATCAAAATTTTGTCTAGAAAATAGATAAAGACAAAGAAAAATTTGACAATAAAGGTGATGGAAACAACAAAGATATGTAAGAAACTGAGCACAATTTGGGTCTTTGTGGTCAAGTCTGATTGCTAAGAGGATTCCTCCCAGCTCTAGAGATTCTTATTCATTATCTGATTACCCACAAAAAAGCAGAAGTTTATTAAACATTGCTCTAATGGGGAAGTTCTCAAACGTGTGTATCAGAATCACCTGGAAACTAATGACAAATACTGGGACCAGGGTCATCAAAGTAGACTAGCACTGGGACTTCTGTATTTTTACCAGGTTCCCTGGTGAACCTGATACATACCCCAGCTTAAGAACCACTGTTCTAGTGCTTTTCTGTTGACATTGTCACAGGATCCTTAGGGTGTTGCTTTGCCAGCTGGAAACCTCTGTGATCAGCAGCACCTCTGCTTGAGTTTTGCTTGCGCCTGCTGGGCTTGTCCTGCCCACTTGGCCTGGCAGGCTACACTTGCTTTGCTGCCGGCCTGGATCCCACACTTGACAAGGTTGAGGCAGGTGTGGAGCAGTGAGGGGTATGTGAACGAGTGAGCACAGGTTCTTGCCTCTTTGCACAGCCAGGCACACTGGCTGCTGTGGCAGGGTGGGCAGCTCCAGGCACTGGCACAGGCGCTGGCTCCATGTGACGCTGCAGCTGGACCCGATATACCACAAGCGGCTTCCACTGTGGGCACCAGCATCTAGACAAGGGGAGTCCAGTGGCACCTAAAAGCTCAGAGATGCCAGGAACTACAGAGTGCCAAAGAAGGTGTTACAGTGTGTCACAGCCCTTGCTCAGGGAGCCCCAAGGTCTGGGCATCCAGAAGGGCCACAGCTCTTCTCTCCTTCTCATTGCCCGCAGCATGGTGAGTGGGGGGGTGTGTTTTGGGGGGCATGTTTCAGCCCATTTGTGTTACAGCTCTTTCAGTCCTGCTGCCACACTCTGGGCCACAGTTCCTGGGCTAGCCCAGCCCCGCTGCTGCTTCCCATCGCATGGGGCAGCTGTCTGGTGCCAGCAGAGGGTGGGAGAGCTATAGTGTTGCAGCCCTTTAGCTCCCACCATAGCTCAGGGAACCAGCCAGGGAAGTGTTACAGCTCCTTTTGCTCCTGCCATTTGGTGGGTCCCAAGTTCTTGTCCCATATCCAGGAAGAATGAGGTTGCATGGGCAACTGGAGGGTGATCAAGGCAGAGAAGAGCTTTATTGGGCAACCAAACAGCTCTCAGCAGACAGGAGACCCAAACTGGGTAGCTCCTATTCATAGGCAGGTATTCCCAATGAGTATAGAGGAGACCCAAAGTGGGTAGCTCCTATTCATAGGCAGGTATTCCCAACGAGTATAGAGGAGACCCAAAGTGGGTAGCTCCTATCCACAAGCAGGTAATCCTGATGAGTCTCTGAGTCTGGCTGAGTCTGGGGTTTTTATGAGCTCAGAAGGGAGGAAGTACATGCTGATTGGTTCATGGAAAAGGCACCATCCAACTGGCCAAAAGGCATCAAGGAAGTTCTCACTCTGGGTCATGAACTCCACCTGGAACTGGGAGCCAGGCCCCTAGGTTTTAGGCCTGGCCTGAAGATGGGGTTTCACCAGGGACCTGCTTCTTCCCACCTAGGAACCTGTCTGCCTCCTGCCACCATCAACAGGCCATTTGCAGTGCCCAGGCTGTCTGCAGGCCCACGTCAAGCTGCCCTCAGCACCCCAGCCTTCCTCCCATGCTCATTAGTGCCCAAAGTCTGAAGGGGCCGAGGTAGCAGAGGGCTGGTGCCTCAGTACTGCCCCAAGGATACACACACCTGGCTGGGTTGCACCAGTACCTGGGCTCGGCCACAACTGTGTTCCACACCAGAGTGGGTGCTAGGGATAGGGAGAGGCCAGGGAGTGGGAGCAGGCACTTCTGAGCTTGTGGGGGAAGGAGGCTTCCTGAGCCCCTGAGAGCATAGGGATGCCTGGGTCTGGAGCCATAGCTGGGCAGCTGCAGCTGCACCCAGGAGTTGGTGGGCTCCCACCCCACCAACTCGGTAGGGCGTGGGGGCTCCCACTGGGATTCAACTGTTCCTGGCCCCCACGGGCCAACGAGTGCACAGCCCTGGCCACACCTCCCCCGCTACAGCTGGTGTCCTTGCAATGGCCACTCCATACGGATCGCCACTGCCATCAACATGACTACAAACACGACCATTCATACGTTCAACAGCCATTTATTAACTATTATGTGCCAATTCTTTGTCAGTACTAAGAGCACAGTAGTAAACACTCAGGCAAAGTCCATGCCCTAATGGAGCTTACATTCTAATATGCAAATAAATATACACTGATGGAGTGTCTCCTTGTATTTCCCAGTTCCAAGTCCCCAGAGAGAAAACCTGATTGGTGTAGCTGGTCACTACCATCCACTTGTGGGGGGAGAACCTTTTCTAAAGGCCACCTCATTCAGTGTGGGTATTGGCTGCCTGTATATCAGGGTTTCCCTCTAGTCCAGTCAGCTGTGACTGAGAGTGCATGACACATAACATGGTCTCTCATGTGGTCTCATGTGGTTAGCTCCCTCAGCAAAACAGGCTAGGTTAGGAGATTCTCATCTGCCCTATCCAATGTGGTTCTTATTCAAATATGGTAGGAACCAAACTTTCTCAGGGTAGTCTGAAGGCAAAAAGATAAGGCTGCACTAACCAATACCAAGCTGAGTATTAATAATCTAAAAATCCAAAATGCTCCAATTGGAAACTTTTTGAGTACTGATATAACACTCAAAGGAAATGCTCATTGGAGCACTTTGGATTTTGGATTTTTGGATTAGAGATTCTCAACCAGTAATGTTCCAAAATCCAAAATCCAAAACACTTCTGGTCTCAAGCATTTCAGATAAGGGATATTCAATGTGTATGATAAAAATGATCCCTCCATCATGAACAACTTATTTACAAGAACTCAGAATTGGCCAGGTGTGGTGGCTCACACTTTGGGAAGCTGAGGTGGGCAGATTGCTTGAGGCCAGGAGTTTGAGACCAGCCTGGCCAACACCGCAAAACCCCATCTCTACTAAATATATGAAAATTATCTGGGCATGGTGGCGCATGCCTGTAATCCCAGCTTCTTGGGAGGCTGAGACACAAGAATTGCTTGAACCTGGGAGGTGGAGGTTGCAGCAAGTTGAAATTATACCACTGCACTCCAGCCTGGGCAACAGAGAGAGACTCTATTAGAAGGAAAGACGGGAGGGGAGGGGAGGGGAGGTGAAGGGAAGGGAGGGGAAGGAAGAACTCAGAATTAATGTTAATGGAACTCAGAACACACACAAAATTGAGTACCAGATACTTCTTCCAGAAGAATAGATTACTTCCGGTTTTTTAGCCTGTAGACATTTGCTTCTGTTGGACTTCACTTTTCTGCTGCCTCTGATGTTTCAAAATACCAACCTGCCTGCAGCAGATTCTTACTCCAATTGAAGCTGACTTGACAATAATCTACCACGTGTTCCCTCCATCATGTTGTATTATTTATATTAGCTTTGGCAATATCCTTGAGATTTTACTATTTGCCTTCTGTTGGAGCGTATTCTCCAACTAAAAGAGGAAACAACTGGCACCAGGAAAAATGGAGCAATCATTCTCACATTTTTTCAGTCCCAAACCAGGTGGGCCCTGTACCTCACCCTCACACCCTCCACCAACTGCTGCTAAAGAAATAACATGGGTTTTTACCATCACCCTGGGAATTAGGAAAAAAAAGAAAAAAAACCCACAGATTTTGATGAGACACAAATAGTAGCCACAGAGGTCACTTACTAACTGATTCTGAAAAAAAGGCTTTGAAGCTATTCATTACACACATTCAATTCAAATCAATAAACACTACTACCATGTTCCCAATACTCAACCAGGAACTGGGGATCTCAAGATGAAAAAACATGATCGGCTGGGTGTGGTGGCTCACACCTATAATCCCAGCACTTTGGGAGACTGAGGTGGGAGAATCATGTGAGCCCAGGAGTTCGAAACAAGCCTGGCAGCATAATGAGACGTCGTCTCTGCAAAAAATCAAAAAAATTAGCTGGGTGTGGTAGTGCGTGCCTGTAGTCTTAGCTACTCGGGAGGCTGAGGTAGGGATGATTTTGAGCCCAGGAGGTGGAGGCTGCAGTGAGCTGTGATCACACCCCTGCACTGCAGCCTGGGAGACAGAGTGAGACCCATTTCACAAGAAAGAAAGGAAAAAAAAGAAGGAAGGAAGGGAGGGAGCGAGGGAATGAGGGAAAGAGAAAGAGAGAAAGAAAAGAAAGAAAGAAAGAAAGAAAGAGAGAGAGAGAGAGAGAAAGAAAGAGAGAAAGAAAGAAAGAAGAAAAGAGAGAGAAAGGAAGGAAGGAAGGAAGGAAGGAAAAAAAAAATATGATCCTTGCTCTGAATGAATGGACCACGAATGGTGGAAGACAGGCCTGTGATGATGACGATGATGTCATAGAAATGAAGGAACTGTTTCATGGCAAGGAGAGAGTCACACTGACCTTAAGGATAAATAAGTAACATTTGAGATGGGACTTAAAGGATTAGGATTTTTTCAAAGTTAGGATTTTTTAAGTGGAAAATGTAAGGAAGGGCATTCCAGAAGTAGAGAATAGCATGAATAAAATCAAGAAGGTAAGAAAGTAAATGGCTTGTGTGGAGAATAACAAGCAGCCACTCATGAGGCTGAAACATACACTACAGCTCTAAGGAAGGGCTGGACTTGCCCATGGACCACCAACGATCCACAGCCTGGGTTCTATAGGCCGCGGCTGCCATCAGACATATGGGAGACAACTGGTCCAAAAATTTTGACCACTGAACATGGCAGCAGCTTCCATCATAAAGAGGGTTATAATTGCCAAGCAGAATGAGAACATTATAATTAGATCTAGTTCTTCCATTTATTCTCTTGCATTAAATGTATTAATTTGTTGAATTAGCTGCTAGGCATTCTGGTAAATATCAAGAACATAGAGCCAACTCCACTGCAGACCCTGTCCTTGAGGAGCCTAATAACTGGAGATTTCATTTATGGATTTATGGATTTATTAGGCCTCCTAAAAATCTGCTATTCACTTACCGATAGCAAAGAAAATTATTTTTAAATTTTAAATAATATTTTCTTATTACAAAAGCACTTCATGAGCATCATAGAATATGGAACCAGCCAAAACAAAAAATAAAATATCTCTGTCACCACCCAGAGATCACCACTGTAACCCTTGGTTCATATTCTCCTCCCACATCTTCATATGCATACATACATATTAATCTGTATTTTGAGGACATGTTTTTCATTTTGTCTACAGACACATCCCGTCTTGTAACCAGCTTTTAAAAAAGACAATAATTTCCACGTTTCCATGTGAATAACTACTCTTCTAATACTCAGTACATATTCAAATTTCTCCAAATGAACCAAAAATGTCCTTTACGCTTATTTCTCCAAGTTGGCCCCCAACTCAAGCCCTTGCAATGTGTCTCTTGGTTATATTCTTCGGGTTCCTTTTAATCTGGCATAGGCCCTTTCATAGGACTCTGACTCGACAAAGAGAACTGGCCAGCTGTCCTGAAGGAAGGCCCACTTCCTGTATTTGCCTGGTTCCCTGTGGTGTCATTTTACTTGCTCCTCAATTCCCCTTACTTCCTGTAAACATCAAACTCAAGATGCCATAGAGGCAAGTTAACCACCTTGGGCTAGAATACTTCATGGGCGATAGCACGTACTTTACATTGCATCACATAGGAATCCACATAATACCTGGTTGACGCAACATCAGTCCAACTGACCACAAAGCAACTAGGGGTTTCAGAGGGAGTACACGTAAGGGGCAAAAGCAGCAACGGAATACGACAACGGAATAAGCATGAATACGACCTGGCTACCTGAAGGAGGTAGGACGGGGAACCGAGCAGCAGCAGGTGGTGGAATGCCAGGGAAATCCAACCGTGCTTCCCACGCTGGCATCGCTCTGATTATGACCAATCCTCTAATCTTATTCTCACAATTAGGGAGGAAGAAAAAAAAACAAACCCAAACCAAAAAAGAAGTTGGTAGGTGACTCTGTGAGACTACTGTTTTATAAAGGGAGCGTTTCCTTTTATAAAATTTAGCTGAGCAGATGCTAGGCAGCCCACAGGAGGCCACTATTCCCCTCAGCTGTACAGTTTGGGAAAATACCTACACACCCGGAGAACAGAGAGCTTGGTGTGTGTTGAGTTCGCTCCTGTTCATCAGCAGCCCTTTCCCCGCCTCTGGCCACCAGGGGGACCTGCAACCAAGTATGTGTTCTTTCAGGCGAGCGGGAACGCGTCTGCATAAATCTAGTCCAATCCAGGGCCCCGTAGCAAGGCGCCAAAGCTGGGGGAAGCGCATTTCTGTTCTCTCGCGAGCACGACGCGGTGCCTCCCAGTCCTCCTCCGGCCCTCCCTCTCCGCCCTCCCGGCCCGCGAGCGCTCGGGCCCCTTCCAGTGGCTCGCGGCAGGTGGCGCTGTCTGCGGCGTCGCAGCGGCCCGGGCTGCAGCAGAGACGATCTCCCGGCGGGCTGTGCGGCCCGGCTCTCCGGCGGCAGCGAGTGCCACGTCCCAAGTGCTACGCGGAGGATTAGAGCAGGCGGTGCGCTGGGGGCGGGAGCAGCGCGGAGCCCGGCTCGGCCACACCGATCGCCCGCCGCCATGGGCTCCTCGCAAAGCGTCGAGATCCCGGGCGGGGGCACCGAGGGCTACCACGTTCTGCGGGTAAGGGCTCCGACGGCGGCCGGGGAGCTGCGGGCTGGAGGCGGGGCCGGCCGCGGGGAGGCGGAGGCCCCCATGGGCTCCTTCACGGGGCAGCCAGGCCCGATCCCGCGAAGGAGCGGCGGTCGCGGGCGCTGCCTTGGTCGAGGCTGGTTCCGGAGGCCGCTCGCATCCCACCTCCGCGGAGCGCCCTGGGCACGGGGTCCGCGGCTGTAGGAGGACGGGCTGGAGCTGGAGGCGGCTGCCGGCGACTCGGCCAGGGGGCGGCCCTGGGAAGGGGGGACAACCTTGCTCTTTTTCCGCACGGCCTTCTCTCTCCTCCACCCCCCCTCATTTTTAGCTTCCAAAGTTAGGAAGGGCGCGGAGGCAACGTCTCCAAAGTGGTGACTGTGAAGGCAGCCTTTGCGCTTTCCTAGGAGAGGGATCCGGACCCGCAGTCCGGAGGCGGGGCCTGCGGCGGCAGGTGTTAAATCACCTCGGCGCCGGCCGAGTGGCCTGAAAGACCAGCAGGGCAGGAGACGGAAAACCAAATGGCCTGGAAGTAGGTTCGACGGACTTAAACAGACTTGATTTTGACCAGACTTTTCCTTTCCCGTGCCACTCCTGACCCTCCCAAACCTTCTCAAGATTTCCTGGAGTGGGAACTTCCGTTCTGTTCCGATTGCTGAGGGTGTGGTTTAGATTATAAGGTTTAGATCCACAGTGGTAAAGAGGTAGTGCAGAGAAATTTTTTTTAAAAATCGGAGTATATAAAGGAAAACAACCCTAGCTTAACTTCCAGGACGCAGAGAAACATAGTATCTCAAAAGGCGTCAGCTAAGCCCCTACCTATGAACGGCCTGGGCCTGGGTGGTACAAAGCATGTGGTCTTTTCCTCATGGAACCGGGCGACTTTAGAAGTAGCATTGATGGTTGTTTGCTGTGACACCTGTGTGAGTGTTAACATGAACAGTCAACAGAGTGGCCGCAGCGTGTAGCGCCATTTAGGGGTGTAATAGAGTGTCACTCAATATTAGCTCCTCACAGGCAAGAACGTTTTCACTGAAAGTAAGAGAGTGCACTTCCTGGTGCTACCTTCATTTCCTGCCCTGGGTCCCATGTTTTAGGTGAGACACATTCTTAAATTGCCCAGCTGTCTATGTGATAGGGCTGAGACAGATCATCTTTCTGATCTTCCGGATTATCGTGTCTATTGCCTTTCCATTACACTAAAAATCCCTCCTCTGCCATACTCTTAGTAGGAAAGGGTGATTTTTTTTTTCCCCGAAAGGAAAAGGGAGCCTATAAATAAACCGTATTATCTTCCTATCCCCTTCTGCTAACCAAACACCCAAGAGCCACACTGAGAGAGGAAATGGAAGGAGAATTGTCAGTTCCCAAATGTGAGGTGAAAGCTGTGCTTTTCTTTCTATTATCTGGTCTGATTTTGAGTTCTCTACCCTGGGATGTTACCCAGTATTACCAGCTGTTTCTCACAGTGACCGATTGTGGTCATGAATCCTTGGGGATTCATGATATTTTTATAATACATGCACTCAGGGAAACTCAGTAAAACACATTAGTGTTAATAAGCAAAAAAAAAAAAAAAAAGTCGCGTGTTTGAAAGAAAGCCATACACATCAAAAGGATTCCAACTTAGTGACTGCATTCCGACATAAAATGAGTTTGTATTTTCTTTATGTAAGTGCAGTCAAGTGAAACAGCATTCATACATATTCAGTAGTGCAGATGTGTTATTAATCTATACATCTGATTTTTAGAAAAACTAGGGACAACCTTAGTTACCAATCTGCATCTGGAGCATTAATGTTGCACACGATGAAATAATTCTTATTTAGTTAGACTTTTACTAAAGAGAGCTTTAAAATAGTAATGATCTAGTTTAGGAGAATTTTGTGTCTGCCTTCCTAAGACCCTCTGCCCCTGATTCTGTAATTGGTTTTCTTATCTTTGTTTTTAGAGGGAAAAGTGCTGTGTTAAATCTTAACATGTAAAAATGTCTTCCTTTCATTTGTTATTGCCTAAATGGACAGCGATATATTTCATTGTTAGATTACCAAGCTTGTAAACTGGAGTAACTGTGGCAGGAAAATTTTGAATAAAATCACCCATATTCAACAAGTTCTAGAACGATTTAATTAGAAGTTAGTTTTCTTGAATAACCAATTCCCTGGCCAATCTTGTTGTAGTAAAAACTTAATATGATTGACTGGGTTTTGAAATACCAATTATAATAACATTTATATCCACTGCTGTCTTTTGATTTCATGAGTCCCTATAATTCAGATAGATTGAGCTTTCCATTTTTTTCATTATTTTTCAATATCCATCTAAAAATATTTAGGGGACAGCCTTTAAATGGATTCAGAAGTTCTGCTATGAGCAGTGTAGTTCCTTTTTATGTGTTCTGTATGTATGAGTGCATATTTTCAGATTGTGATCATATTGTGTACCCAACTTCTTATCCCCACTCCAGAGTAACCACTGTGGACAGTTTTTTACATAGCCTTTCAGATATATTTTATGCTTATAAAAAAGTCTCTTTGGCCGCGCACAGTGGCTCACACCTGTAATCCCCACTTTGGGAGGCCGAGGTGGGCGGATCACCTGAGGTCAGGAGTTCGAGACCAGCCTGACCAACATGGTGAAACCCCATCTCTATTAAAAATATAAAAAATTAGCCGGGCATGGTAGTGCACACCTGTAATCCCAGCTACTTGGGAGGCTGAGGCAGGAGAATCACTTGAACCTGGGAGGCGGAGGTTGCAGTGAGCTGAGATTGTGCCATTGCACTCTAGCCTAGGCAAAAAGAGTGAGACTTCTTTTCAAAAAAAAAAGAGTCTCTTCTTCTTCCACCCTTCTCTCTTTCTTTTTGTTACCTTGTAATCATGATCCATGCTGTTGCACACCTCAGTCTTCTCAGTTGTTGACCTATCTTGGCAGTCTTTCTGTAGTAGCAAGTGGCCATCTGCTTCATGCTTTCAGTTAGCTCACGGTAGTCTTTTGTACCATAGATTGGTTAAGGAGTACCTCCTGGTGTTGAACATTTGGTTATCTAGTCTTCTGTTATTATAAGTACATATTTACAACCTTAAATCCTACTTTTTGTTTTCCCATAACATACATCCTTTTCCCAGATTACTGTATTGAATTTTAATGGTAGCTGTCTGTAGAAATGTTGATCTTTATTTTAGTAAATAACTACATTGTTTTCTGATCATCAACATGTGTCCATTAGAGAACATTTGGATGTGGTAAAAAAGTACAGCAAAGAACCTGAATTACCTGTAATCCCACCATCTAAAGGCAAATACTGTTGAAGTATTTCTCTTAGTCTCCTTTTTTTCCTGGGCCTAACATCGCCCCTTAGCCATGTTTCACAAAGATTTTGAATAATATGACGTATTCAAGGACTATATGGCCAAAAGTTATCTTAAGAGGTTAACATTACAACCAAAATAGCCAACAGCTGAGAAATTGTTAAACAAATCAGGGCCTAAACACAGATAGAATGCTACACATTCACTCAAAATTGTGTTTCAGACACCCTGTGTGTGTGCAGGTACATTTGAGTGCTTAGGAAAATAAAGCTGAAAGGTAATAAACAAGGTTGTCTAAAAAATTATTAGTGGATGGTGACTTTTTTTTTAACTTTAATATATTTTCTAGGATTTCTGAAGTGATCATTAAATACTTGTATAGTCACCCAAAGTGTAGATATGCAAAATTACTTTTAAAAAAGAAGTGGACTCCTAGTGGAGGATTTAAAAATTTGTGTAGAAGTCTTTTTTTAAAAAATAGCATTTCAGATTTCCTTATATAGTGGGTCAGATTTGTGCTCACTATGAATGGCACTTTTATTTTGGTCCTCCAATCCTAATGTAAGGCAGGAAAAATGTTAGGGCTTCTCAGTTTTTGAAGTTATTGTAAGTTACCCCCTACATGTGAACTATGTTTAATATCAAATTTTTGCCTATATTTTCCATTAATTATCCAGTGAACCCAACAAGACCATTTTCAAAATTAAATTAAACCAAAATATCCAACAGGTGAGAAATTGTTAAACAAATCAGGGCCTAACCACAGATAGAATGCTATACATTCGCTCAAAATTGTGTTTCAAACACCCTGTGTATGTGCAGGTACATTTGAGTGCTCAGGAAAATAAAGCTGAAAGGTAATAAACAAGGTTCTCTAAAAAATTATTAGTGACATAGTTCACAAAATTAAATTTTTGGAGTGACCTCACAGATGCCTATTATAGGATCTGCTTTTAAATTAAAATATTCATATTCTGTTCCACACTTAAAAGAGATGGGGAATAGCTGAGGGCATACTTTCTGGAGCAAGTATTCAGTGTGGAGACTGTGTGGAGTGTGGAGACATGGAAAATGGCATTTTCATTCTTTCTCATGCTTGCTTCTGGGAGAGATTTTGAGGTGATGGATATTTTGAAGGAAGGGTCATTGACATGAAATGTGTCACGAGTGTAATAACAGGTTTTTATCTTCTGAGCTATTTGCTGCAGACTGGGTAACATTTAGGTGTTCTCAGAGAAGCAAGTGACTGCAAGTGGAATTACTTCTATAGAAAATGCAATGCCTACACCATATCTTCTATCATATGGAACTGCTCTTTTTATATATTTTTTTCTATTTTGTCAGAGATGAGGTCTCCCAAAGGTACTGCTCTTTTTAAATGGTGCCTAACTAACCTATCTGCAATCCTGTTGTGATGGGATTTCAATTTAGTACTTATTTTGAAAAAATTAATTTCTGATATTCAATAGTCATTGTCTTCTTTATTCTTCTAACAGTCTTTCTCAAACTTTTGAAACTCATACCCTGTTTTTTTTTTTGTTGTTGTTGTTGTTGTTTTGTTTTGTTTTTTTTGAGATGGAGTTTCGCTTTTGTTGCCCAGGCTGGAGTACAATGGCGCATCTCGGCTCACTGCAACCTCCCGGGTTCTCCTGCCTCAGCCTCCCAAGTAGCTGGGATTACAGGCACCTGTCATCACGCCCAGCTAATTTTTGTATTTTTAGTAGAGGTGGGGTTTCACCATGTTGGCCAGGCTGTTCTCGAACTCCTGACCTCAAGTGATCCACCCGCCTCCACCTCCGACAAGTGCTGGGATTACAGGTGTTAGCCACCACGCCCTACCTCATCCCCTAACACAGAAATCTCACTCTGGCTCCCTTCTCACTCATTCTGGAAACAATGGGTAAAAAGAAAACAGTAGGGTTATTTGGTATTGTTTTCTATATATAAAGTTATAATTGTGAAACCTGAAGAGTCTGACCCTGCCCCCAGAATTGATCTCTCCTTTTTTTTCTTTTTTGTTTGTTTGTTTGTTTGTGAGATGGAGTCTCGCTCTGTTGCCACGGCTGGAGTGCAGTTGTGCAATCTCAGCTCACTGCAACCTCCGCCTCCGAAGTCCAAGCAATTCTCCTGCCTCAGCCTCCAGAGTGGCTGGGATTACAGGTTCCTGCCACCGTGCCCAGCTAATTTTTGTATTTTTAGTAGAGATGGGCTTTCACCCTATTGGTCAAGCTGGTCTCGAACTGCTGACCTCAGCTGATCCACAGGCCTCGGCCTCCCAAAGTGCTGGTATTACAGGCGTGAGCCACTGTGCCAGGCCCAAAATTGATCTTTTCTAATAAAAGGCCCAGAAGTTGTTTAATAAACATTCTTTTAAATTGCTTTCAAATGTAGGAATCAGGATGTCTCAGTTTATTGAAGCCATGGAATACAATGTATATAAATCTTGGGATACTTTTAGGAATTATATCATTGAACATAAACTTTTTCTAATATTAATAGGCCTTGAACAAATTAGTAGTTTCATGTTGATTATATACACTTTTTTTTTCTTTGAGATGGAGTCTTGCTCTATCACCCAGGCTGGAGTGCAGTGGCGCGATCTCAGCTCACTGCAACTTCCGCCACTCCAGTTCAAGTGATTCTCCTGCCTCAGCCTCCCAAGTGGCTGGGATTATAGGCACCCACCACCACACCCAACTAATTTTTGTATTTTTAGTAGAGACAGGGTTTCACCTTATTGGCCAGGTTGGTCTAGAACTTCAGACCTCAAGTCATCTGCCCACCTCAGCCTCCCAAAGTGTAGGGATTTCAGGTGGGAGCCACTGCACCCAGCACCCCCAACGCCCCACCTCTTTTTTTTTTTTTTTTTTCTTTTTTTGACACAGGGTCTCACTCTAGGCTGGAATGAGTAGCACAGTCTCCACTCACTGCAGCCTCCAACTCCCAGGCTCAAGTGATCCTCCCCCCTCTCAGCCTCCCCAGTAGCTGGGACTACAGGCACACACCACCATGCCCAGCTAATTTTTTGTATTTTCGGTAGAGATGGGTTTTTGCCATGTTGCCCAGGCTGCCCTCGAACTCCTGAGTTCAAGCAATCCACCCACCTCAGCCTCACAAAGTGCTGGGGTTACAGGCGTGAGCCACTGCGCCCGGCCTGTATATGCTTTCGTACTTATGTGATGAGGTGTGTTTTAATGCCTGCGCTATCATCCTCAGGATTCTCACTGGGGGAGATCTGCTGTTAGTGGTTAATTATGGTTTCAGTAAGTAGTAGAGTGTACAACACTGATTCTTCTGCCTTCTGGGTCAGATACTAACAGGGCTTTTTAATAATTCCTCTGCAAATTTTATAAAAATTGAGCTTAGAATAACCGTTAACATCAGTGTGTTCATTTTGCTTACTTTAATATTCTATTGAAAGGATTATATATATTGATTGATTCACTATAAAATACTAATGTAAACTAGGAAATAGAAAGTTTGATATGTGCTTTTGAAACTGACTTTTTTTTTTTTTTTTTTTTGAAGCAGGGTCGCACTCTGTCACTATGGCTGGAGTGTTGTGGTGTGGTCATGGCCCACTGCAGCCTTGAACTCCTGGGCTCAATTAATCCTTTTATCTCAGCCTCCTGAGTAGCTTACAGGCATATGCTGCCACGTCTAGCCAATTTTAAAATTTTTTTGTAGAGAGATCTTTCTATGTTGCCCAGGCTGGTCTTGAACTCCTGGGCTCAAGCGATCCTCTCGTCTTGGCTTCCCAAAGTGTTGGGATTACACTTATGAGCCACCACACCTAGTCCTAAGTAGTTACTTTGAGAGACTGTACATTTCCCTGTTGGCATTGCAAATAAATTTACTGTAGCATGAAGATAATTATTCTGGGGTTTTGTTCTCTCTTTTAAGCATCAATGAGAGAAGGCTCAAGCACATTGTCAGAAATAAGGAAGCTTAAGCCGGGCATAATGGTGTGCACCTGTAATCCCAGCTACTCCAATCAGGAGACTGAGGTGAGGTGGGGGCCCAAGAGTTTAAGACCACGCTGGGCAACATAATGAGATCCGGTCTCAATAAAAGCAAAATTGTCACTTGACCAAGGACTTTGAGGCTGCAGCGAGCTATCCTCACACCACTGCACTCCAGCCTGGGTAACAGCAGCGTCTCTAAAATTAATTAATTAATTCGTTAATTTTTTTAAAAAAAATTTAAGGCTAGGTGCGGTGGCTCACGCCTGTAATCCCAGCACTTTGGGAGGCTGAGGCGGGTGGATCACCGAGGTCAGGAGTTCAAGACCAGTCTGGCCAACATGGTGAAACCCCCTCTCTACAAAAAATACAAGAATTAGACCGGCATGATGGCGCGTGCCTGTAATCCCAGCTACTCAGGAGGCTGAGGCAGGAGAATCGCTTGAACCCTGGAGGTGGAGGTTGCAGTGAGCCGAGATGGTGCCACTGTACTCCAGCCTGGGCGACAGAGTGAGACTCCATCACAAAAAAAAAAAAATTTTTAGAGACCCGGTTTTGCTCTGTTGCCCAGGCTGGAGTGCAGTGTCACAGTCCCAGCTCACCGCAGCCTCGACTTCATGGGCTCCAGCAGTTCTCCCTCCCTAGCCTTCCAAGTAGTTGGGACTACAGGTGCGTACCACCACAGCTGGCTGATTTTTTGAAGGGACAAGGTCTCGCCACATTGCCCAGGCTGGTCTCAAACTCCCGGGCTCAAGTGATCCTCCTGCTTTAGCCTCCCAACGTGCTGGGACTATAGCTGTGAGCCACATCCCTGCCCTAATTAATTAAATAAAAGTAAAATCCAGGCTTTGTGGCATGTGCCTGTAGTCCCAGGTACTCAGGAGGCTGAGGTGGAAGGATTGCTTGAGCCCAGGAGTTCAAGAGTAGCCGTGGCAAAATATTGAGAGCTTGAGAAAGAAAAAGAAAGAGAGAGGGAAGGAGGGAGGGAAGGGAAAGAGGGAAACAAAGGAGGAAGCACCTGGTACAGTGACTGTCACCTGTAATCCTAACACTTTGGGAGGCCGAGGCAGAGTATTACTTGAAGCCAGGAGTTTGAGACCAGCCTAGACAGTAAAGTGAGATCCTGTCTCTAAAAAAAATAAAGACAGAAGGAAAGAATCTTGTTATCTTTGTGGACATGAGTACATTGAGAAACTATCATAGTCAACCACCAGAGACCACCTTTGGGAACTGGATTCTAGTGCCAGCTCTATCACTTCATTCTGTTTCCTTGAGCAACCCTTTGAACTGCTTTGAAAAGCTTCAGTCTTTGTATCTGAAAAGTGCAGATAATAGCAGAGCCACTTCTACCTTTTCCACTAAAAAACACATTAGATACTGTGTATGAAAATAATGAAAACAATTGAGCATTATTAAATCTCTTTCTTAAAACAACGCTATCTACCTCCTTGATTATCCTGTGGGTTAAATGAGATATTCCATGTAAAGCACTTAACTTAGAATGTGGAATATAATAAGGATTCAAATGTTAGCTGATGCCTTTATTACTAGCATTTGCATTATTGTGTAGAACCAGTATCGTGGCAATACTAGCTAAAATATACTACTGTAGTTGTAAACATTTTTAGTATTTTTATTTGATTAAGCAACAGTTACTTTTTGTCTGTGTACCTAACCTGTACTTTACTGCTGTTTAAAACGTAAGTTTGAGGTCAGATCTGACCCATTAATTTTAGTCATATAGGCACACACATAAATGGTGCCTGTTAATTTCCTCTGATCCTCATTTTTAAGGAAATTGTTTTTTAATTTTAAACGGGGAGTGCCAGTATCCTTTTCATTGCATTGCTACAGTGTTACTACACACATTAATTAAAATGGCTGAAAGAGTCTATGCAATTAAAATGATCTTGCTGTATTTGATTTTCTTCATTGTAGAATCTATAGATAGCTTAGCAACAGTTAGACTTATTTCATGGTGGGTCATTCAGGCTTACAGATTACATAGTTAGCCTCCTCATTTTTGCAGCTAAAGAAAAGAAGCACAGGCCTGTAATCCCAGTACTTTGGGAGGCCGAGGCGGTGATCACCTGAGGTCAGGAGTTTGAGACTAGCCTGGCCAACATGGTGAAACCTTGTCTCTGCTAAAAAATACAGAAACTTAGCCAGGCATGGCAGTGGGCGCCTGTAATCCCAGCTACTTGGGAGGCTGAGGCAGGAGAATTACTTAAACCCAGGAGGCGGAGGTTGCTGTGAGCTGAGATTGCATCACTGTACTCCAACCTGGGAACAAGAGGGAAACTCCATCTCAAAAAAAAGAAAAAAAGCACAGAGAAGTTAATCTGATTTGCCCAAGGTCACAGAGCAAGTTTTCTTTCCCTAAGAAACAAATCCCTAAGTTATTTGAAGAATATAAAATGAGTTCAGAAGTTGTCAGAGTTTTTGCTTCTTTTAGAGCAAACTTCAATTTCTTTCGATGTTGTTTTTCTAATGTACAGATCTTTTCTGGAAAACTATTATGCAATAATGGGTTTTTATTTCCTTTTAGTTGCCATTACAATTTTATTTTAAATTGCTTGAATGTTAAAAATTATGTCAGGGTTAGTGTCAGGAGAACATGTACTTTGCTTTGTTTTGGAAGAACATGTGAAGACAATGTTTTAGCAGGTGAGGCTTGAACTCTTCTAGTCTACTGCAAAATTATTTACCACACATTTGTGTCAAGACCCAAATAAGGAAACTTACCCATTTGCAGACATAGAATATAGTAGTCTCTCCTTATCCACAGTTTGACTTTCTGTGGCTTCAGTTACCTTTGGTCAACTGAGGTCCAAAAATATCAGATGGAAAATTCCAGAAATAAACAGTTCATAAGTGGTAGATTGTTCTGTTTTATATTATTAGTTATTGTTGTTAATCTCTTACTATGCCTAGCATATAAATTAAGCTTTATGATAAGTGTTTGCATATGGGAAAAAATATAGTACAGTATATGTAGGGTTTGGTACTCTGCAATTTCAAGCATCCATGGGAGGTCTTGGAACATATCCCCTGCAGATAACAGGGACTACTATAGCTCCCTCACCCTCCTCACTAAAAAAAATGCTTATTATAACCACGGAGGATTTAGGATTTCTTTTTATTATATCACATTCCCAGATCTTTTCCCATCATTTTGATCACCTACGCACACATATAGTGCATGAGGATTTATGTTTATAGTTGAGGTGGGTCATCATTTAGGTATTGCTTGGATTGAATTTATTTTCTAGTCTTGTTTAACATCTCCACTGTTTTTAAAAGCAGTACAAGAGGGAGAGTGTTAGAAGAGATGATAGTGTAGATAGTCATTCAATGGGGCTTTTCTGCATTTTATGTGTGGAAAAGGAATATATGGTGTAGTAATAAAAAGGAGACAGTTATACATTCTAGTAAGCCAATTTTATGGTATAATTTTCATTGTCAGAAAACTTAAGGAAGATAATTTACATATCAGCCAGAAACATGGATAAGTGTGTCTTTGTGTATCACCTAGTGCAGCATGTAGTCTGGTGATATCCTGTGTGCTGCAAGTTGCCTTGTGGTTTACTTTCTTTGTTACTTTAAGGTAGAAGGTCTGTATACCTCAGCTGAAGGTATGTAAGTCAGTAGACCAGTGCAGTTGGGAGAATGCCCCCTGACACCCAACTCCACCCAAACACTTCTTCCCTCTTACTCTGCCATTCCTCCCTCCCCCAAGTGAAGAATTAAAGAGAGAAAGAGGTAATGTGAAATGACCCAAACCTAGCATAAGTAGTAGTAGTTGAACATTCTTAATCCTGGAAGAAGAGATGAATGCTTCACTGGAAAGCAATAGTTAGGTCTGTGTGTTAAAAGAAAAGAAAAGTTTAGGCTAAATCTGGTAAAACTTTTAATGATACGGGATCAGAAGTGGAGGGAAAAGTCAAGAAGTGAATTGCTTTTTTTTTTTTTTACCAGGAACTTAATGGAGCAGAAGTATTAACGGTATCTTGTAGGACAGCTTTTCCTAACTTTATTTTTATTGTAGCTCAAGCCAAAAAATGTATTTTCCATTGCAACCAGTACATACTACATTTCATGAAGAATATAGGCCTTTATTATATCATGCATTTTTGACAGATTTTCTATTGTGATATTGTGTTTTGATACTTGTCTTTTGTGACACACTAAATTGATTTCAGAACCTACTGAAATCATCCACTGTAGTTGAATGACACCACTTTAGGGATTATTTCTATAAAGTTGGTGATTAAAAAATCCAGCTTCTAATCATTGATGCAAATTTCTTTTTATGTAATAGAGATGCCCCTTTACTGTGCAGTTTCATCATAAGCTTCTCATTTTTGCTCGTTGAGGGGTAAAAACTGTCTAGCAAATATCATCTTGTTTATTGCAGCCGTTTTTTCTAGAATGTTAGGAGAGAAGCATTTCTTTCACGCTGCTGTAGTTTTTATTTTGTAAGCTAACCTCAGATGTATAGTTTGAACCTTACAACTGCCAGTTAATGTGTTCATAATTTCTTCTACCTATCCATGTTTTGGTAATATATCTTTTTATAATTATTATTTTGTAAGCATAATTGCTCTTTAGTATTTTCAGCTGCTTTATTATGTTTCTTAATTGTCAAAGTAAATCGTGTGGCCCTAAGAAGAATTGGAAAAAAAGGCATTGGAAAAAGTGTAACCTCAGTATACTTGTTTTGATACAGGGAGCATCTTTTAAGGCTTTATATTAAAAGAGTGCACACAAGTGTATAGCTTGGTGAATTTTCACAAGCAACACACTTAATGTAACCAGCCTCTTATCCCTTTCCAGTGACATCCTGCACAACTCCCACCTCCACAGGATGAATATCCTGATTTCTAACAGCATAGATGAGTTTGGCCTGTTCTTGTACTTTGTATAAGGGGAACCATGTGCTAGGTACTCATTTGTATCTGGCTTCTTTTGCTCGGATATTGCTTGTGAGATTTATTCATGTATATTATTGTAGACCTTTCATGTCATTAATGTATTTGGTGCCATTGAGAGAATATGCCAATATTTATTAACCTGTTGATGGGGATTTTTGTAGTTTTCAGTTTGGGGCTTTTATAAATAGTGCTACTATCAACATTATAGTGTATTGCTTTTAGAGAACATGTGTATACCCATTTCTGTTGGGTATATACCCAAGGTTGGAATATACGGTCAAAAGGTGTGCATATTTTCAATATTAATAGATATTGCCAAGTCATTTACTAGTTTGCATTCTAACCAGCAGTAATTGAGGTTTCTAAATGTCCTACGTCCTCACTAACACTTAATATTTTTCGTCTTTTTAATTTCATTCATTCTGATAGATGTGTAGTAGTGTTGCATTGTGGTTTTAATTTGCATTTCCTTGATGACCATTGAAGTTGAGCACATTTTCATATTTATAGATCACTTCAGTATCCTGTTTTGTTTAGTGTCTGCTAAAATCTTTTCTCCATTTCTCTATTGGGTTGTCTTTTTTTCTGTTTTAAGCAACTTTATTGTGATAAAAGTTACATACCAGAAAGTTCAGACTTCTAAAGTATACAGTTTGGTGGGTTTTTAGTATATTCATAGAGTTCTGCAACCATCACCACTGCCTAATTCCAGAATCTGTGTATTACTCCAGAAAGAAACCCATATGTATTAGTAGCCATTCCCCCATTCTTCCACCCACAACCCCTCATAACAACTAATCTGCTTTCTGTCTCTATGGATTTGTCTATTGCGGACATTTCATATTAATTGAATCAAACAATATGTGGTCTTCTGTGACTAGCTTCTTTCACTTAGCATAATGTTTTCAAGATTTATCCATGTCATAGCGTGCATTGGTACTTCATCCTTTCTTATGGGTATACCACATTTTGTTTATCCATTTATCAGTTGGGGGACATTTGGGCTGTTTCTACGTTAGGGATATTATGAATAATGCTGCTATAAAATTTGTGTACAGGTTTTTGCATGGAGATATATTTTCATTTTCCTTGGTTATTTGTATACCTGGAGTGGAATTGCTGGATCATGTGATAACTTTGTGTGTAACATTTTGAGGATCTGCCAAACTGTTTTCCACAGCGGCTACACCATTTTACATTCCCACCAGCAAATGTATGAGTGTTCCATTTTCTCCACATCCTTGCCAATGCTTGTTACTCTCTTTTTAATTATGGTCATTCCAGTGGACAAGAAATAGTATCTTGCGGTTTTATTGTCTGTCTTTCTGAACGCTTTACAGTAGTTCAAGATTTCTTCTGGATACAGATCCTTTGTTGGATATGTATTATGTCTTTTTACTTTCTTAATTATACCTTTTGATGAGCAGAAGTTCTTAGTGTAGTTCACTTTATCAATTTATTTTAGTTTATGGTTAGTGCATTTTGTGTCCAGTTTATTAGGAAGCCTTTGCAAACTTGAAGGTCTCAAAGATATTCTCTTATGTTTTTCTCTACAGCGTTTATTGTTTTACCCTTGACCTTTTAGAGCTGCCATCCATCTGGAATTGATTTTTGGGAGGCAACATTTGAAAAAATGGTTTGTCTCTCTTTCCTGCTAACACTTTACAAGTTTTATTTTTTCTTTTTAAGAGTAAAAGGTATTTAATATGGTTGTAAAAATAATGTTGTGTCCAGGAATTGGTTAGCTATAAAGACTTACCCTCAGATGGTGATTGCAGAGTTAGGAGGATGAGCTTAAGATTTCTTGGCCTTCTATCATAGGCTTGAGACTTAGCTAGGCATTTCATAAACTTAACTCATTGAATCTTTACAACATTCTTGTGAAGAAGATGGCGTTATCCCTTACTTGCAAATGAGAAAATTGAGGCCCAGCGTGGTAAATAAACTTTACCAAGCTCACACAGCTAATAACTGGACAAAATCATGGCTTAAAACCAACTCAGTCTGGCTCTAAAAGTCTATTATTTTTTCACTGTATATAATCTTTTAAAATCTTATTTATTTATTTATTTGTGAGATGGAGCCTTGCTCTGTCGCCCAGGCTGAAGTGCAGTGGCGTGATCCTGACTCACTGTAGTCTCGACCTCCTGGGCTCGAGCAATCCTCCCGCCTTAGCTTCCTGAGTTGCTGGGACTACAGGCAATTGCCACTATGCCTGGCTAATTTTTTAAAAAATTTTTGTAGAGATGGAGTCTCACTTTGTTGCCCAAGCTGGTCTTGAACTCCTAGCCTCAGGAGATCCTCTCACCTCTGCCTCCCAAAGTGCTGGGATAACAAGTGTGAGCCACCGTGCCTGGCCTTAATTATTAAATTTACAAATTTAACCTGTTCATTGTAAATTGCTTTGATATTTGGCCCAGTAATAAATGTTAAATGGTCTGTGGAGCCAAGTATATATAGACTTTTAGTTAAGATGACTTGAAGAAAGCGAAGATAAATTAATAATCAGGAGATCTCATAGGGGATAGAAAGTATTGAAGTGGTAATCTGATGCTTGAGAGATTACGTGCCAGGAGATTCTTGTCAGTGGATAACATTGCAAGAGAAACTTACCTGTGTCAGTGTTTGGTTTGCTATGTTGTAGATCATATTTTCCATGCTACAAAATATAGGAAATTTCCTTTAGGTATATGAGGGTCAAAGAGAGGATTTTTCTAGGGCACTCTCTGCTGACTTCCTAGCAGTAATTAAGATACCTACCTATGTAATTGTGCAGATACTAATGATGTAAATAAATTTAGGAAAGAAGTTAATTTCAAGGGCCATTAGAAACAGAGAGGAAATCGATGTTAGTAACAAATGAAATAGAAAAATAGAGCTAGGGAAAGGATCAAGTTTATTTTAGAATTCAAATTTAGCTATTGAATCATTTTTGAATTATAGGAAAAATACTTCTGATATTGGAAAATTTCCATTTCAGACAAATAGTTTAAACTTTATACTCTAAAGTTTATACTTTAAACTTTATAAGGGTGGCCTAGTAAGAATCAGTATGCAGGGTCAGCTTTCTACATGAGTGATTACCTTATAAAAGTGCTGTCTTTAGCCCTTTTTAACTAAAAGGTAAACTTCTGGCAGTCTCAGTGGCAAAGTCTGAAATTGATCAGTGACCTAGTTGAGTTCTAGATAAAATGCTATTAATAGTTTTTTAGAAACATTCAGATTCAGAGAATTAGGTGATTAGATGTGGGCTTTATTAGATGAGAAACTCCACTCTGAGGAGGCGCCTGAGGATCTGTGCTGTTCATTCCCTTTCACACCTGAGGCCTTTCACATCTAATTGATAACCACCTAATAGGCATTTCACATCTAGTTGATCTGACTTTGTCCCCAGTAGCTGTGACTTGACCTCACTTTTCTTGTGACTCCAGGCAGCCACTACTTTACCTTTCAGAGTTGCCATTTGAGAAGAAATATGCTATTTTGAGTCCTAGACATTTTATTTGATAACATACAGAATATGAAATAACCCCCATAGAAAACTGAGTATACAGAAACTAAAAGCTGGGTATGGTGACGTGCCCCTGTAATCCTAGTGCTTTGGGAGGCTGAGATGGGAGGATCACTTGAGACTAGGAGTTCGAGACCTGCATTGGCAACATAGCAAGACCCCCATCTCTATAAAAAATTAAAAAATTAGCTGAGCATGGTGGTACACTAGAAAAAATTTAAAAATCAGCTGCGTGTGGTGGTGCGCTAGAAAAAATTTAAAAATTAGCTGGGCATGGTGGTGCACACGTGTCCCAGCTGCTTGGGAGGCCAGGAGTAAGCTATGGATGCACCCCACTCCACTACAGCCTGAGTGACAGAGTGGGACCTTGTCTCAAAAAAAAAAAAAAGAAGAAGAAGAAGAAACTGAACACCTTTAATAGATCCCTTTGATATTTAACTTATTTAATTTACAAAATGATTTGGTCCCAAATTTGCAGGGAAACATAAAAAACATGATCAAACAGTTTTAGGGAGTTAGACGTTGAACCGTCTATATAGGGCAACTATTCTTTACTGTTATCAAAAGAAGAATATCAAGTTTTACTTCTTCTGAGACAATACTATAATTTGGCGTAAATAAAAGGTAACATTAAGAGGTAATGAACAATTCTGATTGACACTGGTATTAGAAGGATGTATTTTAGGAACAATCTGTGTTCCATTTTGAAAGTATTAAAATGACTTGTTACTGTATAAATAGCTGTAGCTTTGTGTATGGTTGAAAGTGTATCTGTCATTTGCTGCTGTTATTTGCAAAACTGACTATAGAACTATTTGGACTATTATAGAAAGTCAACCTATAAATATCAATGCAAACTTTTGTTCTTGTGGAATAGATTTTTTTTTGTTTTGTTTTGTTTTGAGACAGGGTCTCGCCCTGTCCCCTATACCGGAGTGCAGTGGTGCGACCTGGACTCATTGCAGCCTCAATCTCCTGGGTGCAAGTGATCCTCCCAGCTCAGCCTTCCAAGTAGCTGGGACTACAGAAGCATACCCCCATACCTGGCTAATTTTTTTGTAGAAACAGGGGTCTCCCTATATTGCCCAGGCTAGTCTCAAACTCCTGGACTCCAATCCTCCTGCCTTGTCCTCCTAAAGTTCTGGGATTACAGGCATGAGCCACTGCACCTGGCCATGGAATAGTTTTGACAGCACTTAATAATATCAAGCAGAATAAAAATTCCTTGGGAAAATATTTTGGAAAAAAAATGTGGAGTGGATTATATTTTTTATTTTTTGTCATATTTCTGTTACTAGCTACTAACATTTTACTACTGTAAATTTTGAAAATTTGACAGTCCATTATCAAATATGGGATGATAAACATTTGAGTTGTTGAGAAGCTAAGTAATCTTTTTTATTCTATGAACCTATGAATTATATTAAAAGTAATCTCACTCTTTCATTTAAAGGCCAGTAAATGTAGCTCTACCCCTTCTTTCCAGCCTTTTGTTAGACTAATAGTTTCAAGATGGACTTTTGGCCGGATGCAGTGGCTCACACCTGTAATCCCAACACATTGGGAGGCCGAGGCGGGCAGATCACTTGAGGCCAGGAGTTTGAGACCAGCCTGGCCAACATGGTGAAACCATGCCTCTACAAAAAAAAAAAAAAAAAAAATTAGGCGGTGTGGTGGTGGTGCACACCTGTAATCCCAGCTACTTGGGAGGCTGAGGCACAAGAATTGCTTGAACCCGGGAGGTGGAGGTTGCAGTAAGCCGAGATTGTGTCACTGCACTCCAGCCTAGGCAACAGAGCAAGACTCTTGTCTCAAAAAATAAAAATAAAAAAGATGAATTTTTGAGTTTAACTTCCACCATTAGGCAGCTATGGAATCATAAGCAAGACATGGTAATTTTTTTTAACCTATCAAATGAAAGAATTGCACAAAATCCCTGGTTTTTAAACCTTCTTGGAGTTATGGAGAAACCCTTTGAGAATCTGATGAAAGCCACCAATATTTACACCCTGAAAACTGCTTATTCATATAAAAGATAGTGTGTAATTTCAGGAGCTGTAGTATTCTCTGAAGCCATCCACAGACCTCAATTTAAGATCCCTGGATTAGAGGATTTCTGGGTTAATCCTAGTTTTCAAAGTCTATAATTCTCTATTTCTGTCCACACTACTCTGTTGTCTAGCTACGCATGCTGTGATCCTCATTCTTCAGACTCCTGCTTCGGGTGTTTACTCATACTGTTTTGTCCATTTTCAGATGTCCTTCCTACCCCCTTGACCATCTTTACCTTTGAATGTTCTACCCTCTTTTTAAACCACAATTCCTTATCACTTTTTATGTCTGAAGCTTCTTCAGTCAGAATTAATCTTTCCCTTAGAACCTTATACCAAATAGCCTTTAGCCTGTTTGGTTTTACATTATAGTGATTAGAGGGCTGTGTATCCATTGCCCCTTCCTCTTCTCACCTATTCCTCAACAGATTATAAATGTCTTGACATACGTGACTATGTGCCTGTATTTGCTTTGTAACTGAGTGGTGCCTTGCTAGTAGTAGTCAAGGAATAATTGCTTGAATTTGTCACTTAATTGTAGTGACTGTCTGCTGTGTCCCCTGCTAATTGCTGAGAGGATTAGCCCCTTTCTCCCAAAAAAGGAGAAAGTGGTGCAGAAATAGAACCACAGAGGGAAAACCTCATATAGAAGATGAACTAGGCCCGGTGCAGTGGCTCACACCTGTAATCCCAGCACTTTGGGAGGTTGAGGCAGGTGGATCCCTTGAGCCCAGGAGTTCAGGACCAGCCTGGGCAATAAGGCGAAACCCTGTCTCTACAAAAAATACAAAAATTAGTTGGACATGGTGGTACGCACCTATAGTCCTCCCAGGTACTCGGGAGGCTGAGGCACAAGAATCGCTTGAATCAGGGAGGCAGAGGTTGCAGTGAACCGAGATTGTGCCACTGCATTCCAGCCTGGGCAACAGAGGTGGAGTCTGTCTCAAAGAAATAAAATAAAAATATAAATAGAAGATTAACTTAAAGAATGGGTAGAGTTTAGGGAGCTGGACGGGCATTATCTGGGAGAGATGAAGAGAAATGAGAGAACTAGCGTGTACTGTATTTCATTATCAGTGAAATTGGTCTATTTTTACTGAAAAGAGAGATTCGGCTTACAATTTTCACCTAAGCTTTACATTTTTTATTTTTGTCGTTTTTGTTTCCGCAGGTACAAGAAAATTCCCCAGGACACAGAGCTGGTTTGGAGCCTTTCTTTGATTTTATTGTTTCTATTAATGGTTCAAGATTAGTAAGTTCAACTTTCTGTAGTTTTGTCTATAGTATTTGTAATCTCTCAAAAATGGAATTTTTCAGATGACCTGAGATGGGTATTTATTAGTTACAATCATTATGTGTAGTATGCCAATTTATAGAAATAATCATGTATTAATAAACATTGAAATATCTATAATATTATACCTTATGCTCCACTGATTATCTTAGGGAAGTCTCTAGAATCAGTGGAGTCTTTTATATGTTAAATATTTAATTTTTATAAGCAGAAAGAAATAATTAAGATGTAAAAGATTGCTTTTTAAAGATGTCAGACTTCTGTTGGTTGTTGACAAATGGATTACTAGAAAGATTCATTCTCTCATCTCATTCTCTCAAACTCGTCAGTTTTCTTGGTGCTAAGTTTCACAATATATGAATAATGTTATTAGAACCAGACAGAGAGATGTGCTCCAAAGTACCAAATTAAAACCACTTTTTATACCTTGTTTAGAGTTTACCCATAATAAAGTTCTAAGATAAAGAAATTATATAATCTCAGCAAATTCTTAGGACAGTAGCCACTTGGTTGGTTTAATTTTTCGTAACAGTCTTAAGTTTTCGTTCATTACTTACAACATCTCTGACATATAAATAAAGGCCAACATCTGGCCTTTATTTGTTTATGAAATGAAATATTTAATATGCTGTTTCTACTTTCTTTTCTATCCAGCTCTTAATAAAGCATGTATTTAGAAATAGAGTCCAAAATTAAACGTTAACCCCAGTAAATGTTTTAGATTTTTATAATCAAAGTCATCACAACTTCGTTAGTAATGTGACTTCTTATGGCATATTTTGTTTTTACACATTGAAGCCCTAGATCATTCTAAATAATGTTGGGTTGCAAATTCCATAATCCATAATGAGCTATTAGAAAAAAGTCAGTTTCAAGTTGTTGCTAACGTAAGAGTTCTTAATTTCTTGACATTCTTTTACATAGAAGAAAATTTAAATGTTGGTGAAACCTTTGTTGAATGTTTTATTTATGTTGATTATTAATATTACTCTTATAGGGCCATAGGATGCTTAAGCTAACATTAAATTTTTATTTACTAAGGAATGTGATTTCTATGTGTTCACAGAATAAAGACAATGACACTCTTAAGGATCTGCTGAAAGCAAACGTTGAAAAGCCTGTAAAGATGCTTATCTATAGCAGCAAAACATTGGAACTGCGAGAGACCTCAGTCACACCAAGTAACCTGTGGGGCGGCCAGGGCTTATTGGGAGTGAGCATTCGTTTCTGCAGCTTTGATGGGGCAAATGAAAATGTTTGGCATGTGCTGGTACGTATCAACTGTGAACTGTTACTGGAGGTTCATGAAGCAGTGTGGAAAGATGTTTTAACAATGGTTGTTTCTGGCTTAATAAGATTGTAAGGATATTATTAATAGGCAATTTTTGCCAAAAATCAGCGTTCATTGCTTTTTAAGTATGGATCAATTTTTTTTTAAGTTGAGGAAGAGAAGCAAATGTACAAGTTTAAGAACTTTTTCTAATGATTTATTCATTATAAGATGTGTTAGAGTAGATAGCTACAAAAATATTTTAAATATTTGTTAAATATTATGTAATTTTTATGCTCAGAAGTTTAAAATATATTCTGTAGTTTCTGACATCTGACACATCTCTAGCAAGACAGAAGTATACAGATTTAAAAAATCAACATAATTAAAAATTGGACTATAAACCTTGGAAGATTATTTTATATATATTAATTTTAGGGTGTGTGTTTATGTCATTCTAGGAGGTGGAATCAAATTCTCCTGCAGCACTGGCAGGTCTTAGACCACACAGTGATTATATAATTGGAGCAGATACAGTCATGAATGAGGTAATTCGTGTGTTTATTCATAGTGAGAACTATATAAAATTTTCTCATTGAGGTTTGAGTTGAGAAAGATATTTGCATGCTTTGCATTTAGAGTTAAAATTTCAGTCTTTGCTGATCAAAAATAACTTAAGCCTCAGGGTGTTAAATGGAACATCTGGTAGGTGTCTTATTAGGTATAGCTGTGAGGAAAAACACATACTGTGCGGCAATTGCACAGATTTTATGTGTAATATACAGAAATCTTTGCATACCTGAAGTCTAAATCAAATTCTCATTTTCAATTGTTCATTGATTTCATTTTCTCTTCCCCTTTTTGTTCAGTGACAGCATTAGCTCAGCTATATTACATCCTTTTCCTTGTCTCTTAGCTAGCGGAAGTATACATTGCTAAATCAAAAATGAGAGAAAAGGCTGGGCACAGTGGCTCATGCCCATAATCTCAGCACTTTGGGAGGCCGAGATGGGAGAATTACTTGAGCTCAGGAGTTCGAGACCAGTCTGGGCAGCATAGTGAGACCTTGTCTCTACAACAAATACAAAAATTAGCCAGGCATGGTGGTGCATGCCTATAGTCCCAGCTACCTGGGAGGCTGAGGTGGAAGGATCACTTGAGCCTGAGAGGTTGAGGCTGCAGTGAGGCAAAATCATGCCACTGCACTCTAGCCCAGGCAACAGTTAGAGAGACCCTGTCTCAAAAAAAGAAGAAAAAAAAAAGAGTGAGAAATGAGGTGCCCAGACAACCAGGTCTTAATAATGGGAAGTAAAAGCAGAATATGTAGAACTCGGGTGTAAAAGAATTGTACTAAGAGTGCCAACTAGATCTTAAGGAACTGGCCATAAAGCCTTGTATGTAGTAAGTAGGCTTTGCTTGAATTAATATATTGAATTAAACCTGCTTGTGATTTTTATGTCTGGGGCAGGGCCCAGAATCTGTATTTTTTTCTTAGATTTCTCAGGTGATTCTGATAGCCAGGTTTGAGACACACTGTTCCAAAGTATGGTAACGTGAAACATTTTCTCCTGTGACACTTTTGCAGTCTGAAGATCTATTCAGCCTTATCGAAACACATGAAGCAAAACCATTGAAACTGTATGTGTACAACACAGACACTGATAACTGTCGAGAAGTGATTATTACACCAAATTCTGCATGGGGTGGAGAAGGCAGGTAAGGTCATTTTTTAGACTAAGTTATGACTGCTTAAACATACCAGTCAGATATGTTGCAGACATTGATTGTTTTTATTTTGAAAGAAATTACTGGTTTATTTTAAGACTCCTCTTAAAAAAAAGGGAAGAGCTAGTCTAGAATATTGAAACCAATTTTTTTAAAGTACATATCTAGGGAACATAGTATATATACTATAGTCCTTTTCTTTACTAACCTAAGAGCTAACAGCATTTCTTTTTAATTGAGAAATTATTGCGCATAAGCCATAATTATAGAAAAGCCTAGAATTTGGAAACATTCCACATGTTTTCAAAAGTTCTAATCCCATGCTGGGAAAAGGATAACTTAGTTGCTGCAGGCAGGAAAAGCTTCCGTTTGCTCACAGTATCTTTACCCACACTACCTGAGATTCTCCAGCTGAATGTTTCGCCACAAGTATTCTAACTTGTTGCAGTTTGAGAAAAGTAAGATAGATGTGTCATCCAAGAGTCTGGCCTATATGGGGCAATACTTGATCAAATTATCATTGTCCATTGCCCAGGTTTGTAAATGCCCAGAAATAGGATCTATTCGAGGCATTCAAAATTTATTCATTACAAGAGGCACTTCCTCATATAAACTACATTTGCAGAGAAGCTGCTATATTTGAATGACAAATTTTCAGTTTGCAATAGAAAAATACCCCCTCTCTAGTTAGAAGAATACTCAGGTCAGATTAGTACCACAAGAGTGCCTGCTGAGCATGGAATCAAACTGGAGGAAGAGATTCTGTGGACAGTGAAGACCAACAGCAAAGAACATCACATATTCTTTCATTTTTAATTATGTTAACTAAATTTGGCTACATTCTTTGGAAGACATTTTTTCTTTTGATGTGTTTAATACTGTCAGTTGGCCATTGCATTAGCTAGGCCCATACAGAACATTTTCGTCAGTCTGCCTCTGACCATGCATTTGGTCTTTTTGTGCTTCTGTTTTTATTCCTTCCTCAGAGGCTGACCACATTTCATTTATTAAATCTTATTTCTCTTAATTTCATTCTTAGGCTGTCTTTAAGTTTGCCCAGGGTCTTGCTGTTGCCTCAAGTGCATTGTCTATTACCACTTAATTACTTTGACCAATAAGCACCTTGTTTTCAAATGTAGCTACCTCTGAAAGGCCATAATTGATCACTATAAATTATTTAATCTTTATTTCTCTAAATCCCAGTCCAGTGAGAATTGCAGGGTTTTGTTTGTTTGTTTGGAGACAGCGTCTTGCTCTCTGGGCTGGAGCACAATCATAGTTCACTGCAGCCTTTAACTCCTGGGCTCAAGCTGTCCTCCCGCCTCAGCTTCCTGAGTACCTGGGACTACAGGTGTACACACTGTACTTGGCTAATTTAGAAACTCTTTTTTAGAGATGGGGCCTTGCTTTGTTTCCCAGGCTAGTCTTGAACTCTTCGCTTCAAGCAATCTTCCCACCTTGGCCTCCCAAAGTCCTGAGATTATAGGTGTGATCTTCCATGCCTGGCCGAATTGCAGTTTTGATTGTGAGGGAAGAAGGGAAGAAGGAACAAATAATTGTGAGATGAAGCATCATTGTGCATATCAGACTGGTAAAGGAGGAGCTAGGCCTGGCATGGTGGCTCACGCCTGTAGTACTACCGCTTTGGGAGGCTGAGGCGGGTGGATCACTTGAACTCAGGAGTTCAGTACCAGCCTGGGCAACCTGAAGAACCGTTGTCTCTACAAAAAATACAAAAATTAGCCAGATGTGGTGGCATGCACCTATAGTCCCAGCTACTCAGGAGGCTCAGGCGGGAGGATTGCTTGAGCCCAGGAGGCAGAGGTCGCAGTGAGCCAAGATCATGCCACTGTGCTACAGCCTGGGCAACAGAATAATAAATTGTCTTAATAAATAAATAAATAAATAAATAAATAAAATTAAAAAGGCTGAAGTTGGCTACTGCCTGCTCACCCAGCTTTTGGTGGCAGTGGAGATAATAGATGATGTGGCAGGAGAAGGGCACAGAGGTATTCATGCATGGCCTACTCTGAAATTGTCAAGTTGTTTGGGAAATAAAAGACATCATGATGGAAACATAAGTTGGAACCTGATTATGGAGAGCCTTAAATACCACGGTCAGGACTTCCGATATATTTTGAGCAGTTGAGGCTGTGATAATTGTATCAGTAAGGGGTTTTGGGTTCAAATGGTAAAAACTAGCTGTCACCATCATAAGCAGATAACATACTTAATGATATGGATTAGCTCATATAATCAAGGAAACAGCTGAAGAACCAGATGTAGAAAGGACAGGACTCAGAAAACCTAGGGATTTAGATAGGAAGAAGTATTTGGCAATGTCATCAGCATTCATTCTACTAAACCCATTTTTGTTTTTTCTCTGACTCCCAAGGTTTGCAGCCATGGGCAAGAGAAATTGGCCTGGCTTTGACCATGAGCCATTCCCTTGGTTTGGGCAGGGCAGACACTCTGATTGACAATCCTACCAGCACTGCACACAACAGCAGAGAAGTAATTCCCCAAAGGGAGGAAAGAGAAAGGAATGTTGAGAAGACATCAGACTAGAAAGAAGCAATGTGATCACATCTTACTAGAAAAATGCCTCTGGTGGCAGTGGGAGGATGAAATAGAAGAGATCTGGGTTGAACATACATGACTGATTTGTGTCAGGTTCTGAAAGAGAACTATGGAATGTGTAAATGATGTCATCATACAGACGTGCTTAGAGCTCTTCAGTGGAAAGGCTGTATCGATGTCATTTGTTTAGCGAGTAATCATCAAATGTCTGCCATGTGCCGGCAGCTATGAAGGCAGTAAACAGACAAGGTCTCTGCCCTTCAGGACCTTAACATTTTGTTGGGGGAGATAGATAGTAAATAAATATGCAGTGTGTTGGATGGTGATGAATTCTTGAAAAATAAAGGAGTAAGGGTGATATCCACAGTGGAGGGCAGGGTGTTGTTTTCTGTGGGGTGGTCTGGGAGACCTCTGCTTAGATGACATTATCTAAAAGAATAGAAATTTGTTTGTTTTTATCTTTTAAAATCTCAAAGAAGGGAGTGCATGTTCAGGGCAACTTGAATCTATGCTCTTGGGTTACCCGCCCCCCCCAAAAAAAACACCTCAAAGAAATACAAGCTGTGATAGATAACAACGTTAAGAAAAAAATGTTTTTATAGCCTAGGATGTGGCATTGGATATGGTTATTTGCATCGAATACCTACACGCCCATTTGAGGAAGGAAAGAAAATTTCTCTTCCAGGACAAATGGCTGGTACACCTATTACACCTCTTAAAGATGGGTTTACAGAGGTAAGATCACGTTCCTACCTGAGTATATCATAAAGTTTTTACCAAAACGAGTCACGTGTTTCAGTGCTACTATATGGCAGTAGCACTATGAAAATAGGGTAGACGATGAGTTAAGTATTGATTGTGTTACATTTGAGGTTCCTGTAAAATACCTAGATAGAGGTTAGATATGTGAGTCTGGATTTTAGGAAAAAGGACAGGGCTAGAGATGCAGATTTGGGAATCATCAGCAAAGAGAGGGTAATGTAACCCATTGGCTGTTAGGAAACCTGTACTGCTAGGGATTGGGTCTGGGTGGGTCGCCATCTTGAAAATCTGGATGGGCAGAGATCTAGCAAAGGAAGCTCAGCAGGAGGCCAGAGGGAAAACCAAGCTTCAAGAAATCGAACACAGTCAGCCATGTCAGGTAGTGCAGAGAAGTCAGGTGAAAGGAGTGAAAAAAACCATGTCCTGGGCGAGAGCAATTTCAGAGACTTGCCAGGGGACAAACAAACTGCAGGTCAGCAGAGTGAATAGGTGAAAAGGTGCTGCTAGCTGTTGCTTATTGTTTCAAGAAACGATTGAGAAAACAAGGAGAGCTATGTGTGTGGGGGTCATGAGGGGAGTGAAGGGGCTATTACAGGATCAAAGTAAGACTTTTTAAGGAATAAGAGATACTTGAGCAGGCTTACAGGGCTTTTGAATGTTTCTTAAGGAGGTATCTCAGGGCAGTTAACTCTTGTCTGCACCACTAAATAAAAACCAAATACCCAAAAAGAAAATGCTGCTGTTGTAAAGACAAGGCTGCTGCCACTGTGGTTTTGTCTACACAGTTTGGCCATCTTCAGTTCTAGAGGAACTGAAGCTCTTCTTTAAGAGCTGCTGGGAAGTTTCACCTCCAACATTGGCTCATGGCCAGAGCCAATATAGTTACATGTTCAGACCCCAACCACCATATCCACTGGCCCTAATCAGGGCTTTCCCAGTTGAACCTCTTTGGGTAGTCTGAGAAGATGACAGTGACTAGCAGCTGGGCAAAGGGCCAGAATACAGGTTGTCTCGGAATGTACTGAAGGGCACTGGAGCTGCAGAAGGTGGGTTATTCAGAAATGAAACCACCCATCTGTAGAGTCCATAGAGACTCCTTTTTTTCTTCTCCTGAAAAGTGGAGATCTGGCTGCCACATTTATTCACTGATGAGAAAATATTAAATGCACTCATGAGGTTGGAAATCTTGAGAAGTCTATCATGTATTAAGACTTCCAGCTGATTTCTTTCCTGAGCAATGAAAGTTAAAACAAATAAACCAGCTGGGAATTCAGGAAAGCAGTGGTGGTTTAAAGGTTGAATAAAATGATTTCCAGGTGGTGAGGAAAGAGGAGAGAGTAGAATCTCTTCTAGTGTGGAAGTATGAAGAACAGCATGTGCAACTTGGGGTAGAAGCCATGTGTCTCAAGACTAGAAGTGACAGGAGAGAGAGATGCTTACAGTGCATGGTCCGTGACATGTACCAAAATTAGGAGGGAGTGTCTGGAGGCAGACGTGCCAGATGAAGCTTGTGACAGCTCATGTGTGAACCAAATATCTATCTGCAGGGCAAGTAAGAGCCAATATTTATATTTTCTTTGAAATAAACTTAAGTAATCTTTGTGTTTTTTTTTCTTTTTTTGGAAGGTCCAGCTGTCCTCAGTTAATCCCCCGTCTTTGTCACCACCAGGAACTACAGGAATTGAACAGAGTCTGACTGGACTTTCTATTAGCTCAACTCCACCAGCTGTCAGTAGTGTTCTCAGTACAGGTGTGCAGAAAAATATATTCTGTTTTCAGTCTATTTTATGTAATATTATTGCATAGAATTTTAAAAATTGACCAGACACAGTGGCTCACACCTGTAATCCCAGCACTTTGGGAGGCCAAGGCAGGATTGCTTGAGCTCAGGAGTTCTAAACCAGCATGGGCAATATGGTGGAACCACGTCTCTAAAAAAAAAAAACTTTTTTTAATTAGCCAGGTGTGGTGGTGTGCACCTGTAGTCCCAGCTCCTCGAGAGCCTGAGATGGGAGGATTGCTTGAGCCTTGGAGGTTGTGGCAGCAGTGAGCCGTGATTGTGCCACTGCATTCCAGCCTGGTCGACAGAGTGAAAAATTTAAAGAATTTTAAAAAATTATTTTAAAAAAATTTTTAAAAAAGAATTTAAAAAATTAATGCCAGTGTACCTTGAAAACTGCATATGTACTCTGTGTTGACAGGTCCTGGCTGTGAAAGCTTGTTCTAAATCACCATGTGGATACACACGGGGTTTAAACTTCTTCCCTGCATATTTTAGACCCTGAGCTTTCCTTAGATTCTACAACTTGTAAAGCCAGGACTCTGAGTTGAAATTCTGTTTAACTGCTCTGGTTACTCAACACGTTTGCGTGTTTCTGAAGTAGTAGGCACTGAGGATGCAAAAGTGAGTAGGAACTCCTTTCTGAGGAGCTCAGTCTTGCTTAGGGGACATGTGCCTGTCTCCTTCCTTTTCTTTTTTTTTTTGAAACAGAGTTTCACTCTTTTTGCCCAGGCCGGAGTACAATGGCATGGTCTTGGCTCACTGCAACCTCTGCCTCCCGAGTTCAAGTGATTCTCATGCCTCAGCCTCCCAAGTGGCAGGGATTACAGGCACGTGCCACCATACGGCAGCCAATTTTTGTATTTTTAGTAGAGACGGTTTCGCCATGTTGGCCAGGCTGGTCTTGAACTCCTGACCTCAGGTGATCTGCCCTCCTCGGCCTTCCAAAGTGCTGGGATTATAGGCGTGAGCCACTGCACCCAGCCTCCTTCCTTTTCTTCATCCCTTGTTCTACCTGATATAGTCCTTTTTGTTTGTTTTGGGTTTTATTTATTTATTTTAAAGCTTTCTCAAGATAAAATGCATATTACCATACAATTCACCTGCTTAAAGTATACAATCCAGTGTTTTTTTAGTGTATTTGTAGAGTTGTACAACCAATAACCTCAACCAATTTCAGAATATTGTATCACACCAAAAGAAACCCTGTACGCATTATCAGTTTTTCTGAAGTTTTAGTTTTTATGTTTTTGTAGGGCTGGGGTCTCTCTGTTGCCCAGGCTGGTCCCTAACTCCTGGCCTCAAGTGATCATCGTGCCTTGGCCTCCCAAATTGTTGGTATTACAGGTGCGAGTCATGGCTCCTAGCCTCATTAATACCTTTTATTTCTGGGCTGTCTTAAATATTTATATTCACAATTTGTTTATATCCCACTTTGTTCTGTAATGGACTTAAAACAGCCTACCAAGATGCAGTAGTAAGGTTGACAGTTTGGTGTCTAGAATTGGTCTCCTAGGTTCTCATCCCAGCTCTTTAGTCCTGGTTTTATTTCTCTAGATGAAATTTAAAATTTCAAACATACACAAAAGAGCTGGAATTGTATAATGAACCCCATCACCCAACTTTATCAATTATCAATATTGGGATATACTTCCCCTTTGCCTTCTTTGCTGGTTTTCTTTTTTTCCAGCTTTATCGATAAATAATTTGCCTACCATAAATTAACTCACAATAAGTAAACAACTAAATGATTTTTAGTAAATTCATAGAATTGTGCAGTCATCACCACAATCCAGTTTTAGAATGCTTCCTAGATGAAATTAAGTATTAATGTCATCAGTCTCTAATCATAGAGTTGGAAGGGAACTTAAAGTTTATTTCATTCAAGCAGTATGAGTCCTTTTTATGATATTACGATTTTTTGCCTACATCTCATCACATAATTCTCTAGTTTATTCCTGAATAGACTTAGTAAGGGTAGGGTAGTGTACTTCCCAAGGCAGCAGCCCATTTGAGTCTGAATTGTTCATATTTGTTTTAGAGTAAGCGTGTTTCCAGATGCTCTTTTTTTTTTTTTTTTTTTTTAAAAAAAAAAAAAACAGACTCTGTTGCCCAGGAAGGCTAGAGTACAGTGGCACTATCTCTGCCCACTGCAACCTCTGGCTCCCAGGTTCAAGCAGTTCTCCTGCCTCAGCCTAACCAAGTAGCTGTGATTGATTACAGGCACGTGCCACCACACCCAGCTAATTTTTGTATTTTTAGCAGAGATGGGGTTTTGCCATGTTGGCCAGGCTGGTCTCAAACTCCTGACCTCAAGTGACCCGCCCGCCTCTGCTGCCCCAAGTGCTGGGATTACAGGCGTGAGCCACTGTGCCCGGCCCTTTTTTTGAGGCAGAGTTTCACTCTTGTTGCCCAGGCTGGAGTGCAATGGCGCTATCTCAGCTCACTGCAACCTCCGCCTCCTGGGTTCAAGCGATTTTCCTGCCCCAGCCTCCCGAGTAGCTGGGACTACAGGCGCACGCCACCATGCCCGGCTAATTGTTTGTATTTTTAGTAGAGACGGGGTTTCACCATGTTGGCCAGGCTGGTCTCAAACTCCTGACCTCAGGTGATTCACCCGCCTCAGCCTCCCAAAGTGCTGGGATTACAGGCATGAGCCATCGTGCCCGGCCCCAGATGCGCTTCTGATTTTAGGCGATAGTTGACATGTCTCTTCAAGCCCCAGTTTCTCTTCGACATTTTAAATCTTTCCTCATTACGTTGTAGTTATACTTGTATTGTCTGATAAACACATGCACGGAGCTCCCTGGCTTATGGCACTGCAGAGAAATGGCTTCTTGACTGTTAAAGACAAATGTAAATAAAGCACTAATTGCTCAAAAGAGACTGAAAGAAATTGACATCATCACTTTTGAGTAAATAAATTTAAAAAGACTAAAATGTTCTAGCATCACAACACGTGAGAAACAACTTTTTGATGGGCATTTTTCAGTCTTCACTTTTCATTATATTGCTTGCAAAGTAGCCTATACATTGTAACAGTGTAATACAGTAGCCTATATAATGTAACTGTAGAGACATAAAAGTAACTATAGAGAAATAAAAGTATATGTATTTTTAAACTTTTTTGTGGATTTGAAGATTTTTGGATTATAAAATTTTTAGAAAAGATTTTGAAGTGGCATCGATCATTGTGACCTGCTTGATTTTTCTGCAGTGTATCACCTTTTTCTTTTTTTTTTTTTTTTTTGAGACGGAGTCTTGCTCTGTCGCTCAGGCTGGAGTGCAGTGGTATGATCTTGGCTCACTGTAACCTCCACCTCCTGGGTTCAAGTGATTCTCCTGCCTCAGCCTCCTAAGTAGCTGGGATTATAGGTGCTCACCCCCATGCCCAGTTAATTTTGTATTTTTAGTAGAGACAGGGTTTCACCATGTTTTCCAAGCTGGTCTTGAACCCCTGACCTCAGGTGATCCACCTACCTCAGCTTCCCAAAGTGCTGGGATTACAGGCATGAGCCACCGTGCCTGGCCCAAGTGTATCACCATTTTACATGCTATGTATTTTGATCTTTCTCCTTTTTCCTGCCCCTCATTAGAATGTAAATTTCCTAAAGGTTCTGATTTCTTCATGTTGTAAAGTGCCTCAGTGCCTTGAACAATGTGTAACATACAGTAGGTGCCCCCCAAAAAACTTGAATGAATGACCACACTCAACTATCCATTCAACTCCATTGAGAATCTGATGAAAGCAAAGAACCTGCCTTCGAAAAATTGTTGTATACAATTTTAGGAGCTTCACAGACCCCCTGAAGCCCACTTGTGGGCCCTAGATTTAGAATTCCTGTCTTAGATTGAGTCTTCCTGGCTTAGATTTAGTCAGTTATTTTTGAAACTTGTGAATGTATCTATCCTTTAAGAATGAAAAGAAACTTATGTGAAAGACTTTATTGGGAAAGAGAAGAAATTGGCTTAACCAATCCAAGCTGCTTTTGTTTTCTTAAAACCGAGATTTCAAAACAAATATAAAAAAATTATAGCATTGCTATTGTGTGTGACCATTAACAAAGCACACACTCACTAACATTTTGGTACAGAGTAGAGAACAGCTTCTTTTATTTCAGTGAAATTATGCAGTCTGGGATCCAGTAGAGCATTTGCCAGTGCTTCAGTTAGACTTTTCTTATTTTTGCTTGCCTCTGAATTCCGCAGAAAAGTAGATAAATGAATAAATAATAGACTGCCTGCATGGTTGGTTCATACTTTTAGGCACAATTTATTCCCGCTACCATATGTAAGCAGATCTGTAAGACAAAATCTGGAATCTATGCTAGATAAATGAAAATGAGTGCTAAATAAGTGAAAGGTGTGCTTTCATTTATTGTTTCGACATCAGCAAAACGTCCCACTGGGGTAGGTGGTAAACGTGATTAGGTGGTATCCTGAGGCTTACTTGTACGTGAGGAACGTAACCTCCTCAAGCTAATGTTAGTACACGTTTGTGTTAGACTTCAAAGGACTGTCACAGAACCTAAGGTCAAAAGGAAATGGACATTCAGGAAGCCAAGTCATTCTCTCCATCCTAGAGGTTCATCTGCTCTTTTGTCTCTTTCAGGCCATCTATGTCATTCTTTTCTTTCACAGACTAGCATTCACTGTTTCACAGGGCACATGGTCCCCCTGCAACCCCTGGCTTACGTGGCATCTTAGTTTAGGAGCCCAGTTGAGATTGACTAGAATCCTTGTGTCCCATATACAAATTTCTAAGACAGTTTTCTAATCTAGCCCTGCTTGGGTCAGGTGTAAACCTCTTGTCCAGTGAGCTGGGCTGGGGTGGGACTGCACGGCCTCTTGCCCTCTTGTCACAGGCTCTGGTAACAGCCTTTGTTGAGAGCTGTGGGCAGAGTCAGTGAATCTGCCGTAAAGGGTGATGGACAGTCAGTTGCAGCTGGAAATCGGGACCAAATGAAGACCTGACCACGGGGCAAGGAGGGACTGCAGATTGTCCTAATGTGTTCTGTTCATTTCTTGTCGACTAAATTTGTTAGAAATGAAAAGATTGTGCTTTCTTTTTAGGTGTACCAACAGTACCGTTATTGCCACCACAAGTAAACCAGTCCCTCACTTCTGTGCCACCAATGAATCCAGCTACTACATTACCAGGTAACCACCAGGGGACTAGAGATGTGGCTGATAATAACAGTATTACTGATATTTGCATCTTAAAAACAATGAAAAATATTATACCTGTGTGGTAACTTTTTATGTCTTTTAATCTCAGTTTATCTCTGCAATAAGTTTGTGATAAATGAGAGCTAGGGCAACTCTCCTTAGTAAACAAGGAACCAGAGATGTCATTTACCAGCTAGTTAGCTGCCGAGCCTAGTGCTCCTTACCCCCAGCCAGCGGCCACCTACTGCCCCTGCAGCTCTACAGTGCAGCATCGGCCAGGAATAAGGAATCTGCAGAAGTCCATTCTCCACTGTCTCCTTAGTGAGGATTTCCTGGCAGTCATTCGTGTGAGCCTGAAGAGAAGGCTTCTTATTTGGTCTTCAGTAGCTCTAACATTAAATTAAATTTTTGTGTTTTTCTCTTCATATTCCCAGTGAAGACCAAGTCCCTTTATCCAGCCAATAATAATCAAATACTATTTTAGTGATCAAATATACTTTCATTGTGAGGGCTTTTAATGTATGGCTAAAAATGTCATTATCCAAGCATATTAAGCCATGAACCAAATGTGTGCACACACACAATGATGAAGCAAGTGTGCTGATATGTGGACATGTGGGAATTTGGGTGAAAGGTGGATTCTTTTTACTACTTTTGCAACTGTAAGTCTGCAGTTATTTTTCAGAATAAGAAATTTTAAAAGTCATAGAGACTGTAAACCTCAACCATCAAAGAAAAATTCAGTTTCATTATCTGCCATATCTACTGAAACAAATCAGCCTTTTCTCCAAGGCGCTCGGGCCATCATCGTTCTTATTCCAGAGTGTTAAGAGTATTAGTTATTTATTTTCATCTTCACCCAGTTAGCCACCTAATCTATCTAATCACTTAGGTAGATAAATATATTTCAATTAAGTGAAATTTTGTTATTTATATTGTTATGATACACAGCTGCCACACATTAGGTGGACTTCTGGTACTGTCACTTAGAAGTGGCTGGGATTGTTTTTAATACACGAGGATTTATTTCTTCCCCAGGTCAAGTGATTTCTCTTTTTTTCTTTTCTGCCTTCTCTTCAGGTCTGATGCCTTTACCAGCAGGACTGCCCAACCTCCCCAACCTCAACCTCAACCTCCCAGCACCACACATCATGCCAGGGGTTGGCTTACCAGAACTTGTAAACCCAGGTATGTTGCAGATCTCACCCTCCTAGGACTCTCTCTAATAAAAGTTTTATTCAGGAATGCCCATCCTCTTCAGTTTTTTCTGGAGAGAGCAAATCAGTTTAACAGATTTCAGCTACTTCAAATAAATATTCATCTTTTTTGTTTAAAAAGCTTAAGAGGATCACGCCTGTAATCCCAGCACTTTGGGAGGCCGAAGTGGGTGGATCACCTGAGGTTAGGAGTTCAAGACCAGCCTGGCCAACATGGCAAAACCCCATCTCTACTGAAAAAATATAAACATTAGCCAGGCATGGTGGCAGGTGCCTGTAGTCCCAGCTACGCAGGAGGCTGAGACAGAAGAATCACTTGAACCCAGGAGGTGGAGGTTGCAATGAGCTGAGATCACACTACTGCACTCCAGCCTGGGCAACAGAGCAAGACTTCATCTCAAAAAAAAAAAAAAAAAGCTTAAGAGGAAAGAAGAATGTCTCTCAGTCCCCGCTGCTACTGCTGCTGCTGCTGCTGCTCCTCCTCCTCCTCCTCCTCCCCCTCCTCCTCCTCCCGCCCCCCTCCCCCGCCCCAGAGTAGCAGTAAAGCACAGTGGAGTGGCCCTGCTGCACTGACTTTAATGAAAGTGTACAGGCTGCCTAGTGGAGGCGAATGAATTCCCCACCATTCTCATCACCCCTGCTCAGCTGGCTGGGCTTGTATTTTTTGTTTTGTTTAGTTTTTTTGAGACAGAGTCTTGCTTTATCACCCAGGCTGGAGTGCAGTGGCACCGATCTTGGCTCACTGCAATCTCTACCTCCCAGGATCAAGCCATCCTCTCACCTCATCCTCCCAAGTAGCTGGGACTACATGCACATACCACCACACCTGGCTAATTTTTTTGTATTTTTTGTAGAGAAGGGGTTTCACCATGTTGCCCAGGCTGGTCTTGAATTCCTGGGCTCAAGCAATCTTCCTGCTTTGGCCTCCCAGTGTGCTGGGATTACAGGCATGAGCCATCTCACCCAGCCAGTATTCTTCTTTTGTAAAAAAAAAATACATATAAAAAAACAAACGTGAATATTCTCCATTATTTACAAATGCTTTTATACTCAAAACTATGGGAAATTTTAGCTGGAGATGTCTACGGTAGCAGATATTCCAAGTGTCTGCACTCAGATTTTCTGTCTGAAAATGAAGCAGCAGCTTCCTACAAGTCCATGCAGTTAATGATCAGCATACCTTAACCTTTGGGAGGGCTGACTTTTAATAGGTCATCTCAGTAGTTTTATAGGCCCGTCAGTGATGTCAGTGAATGATCTTACAGCACCATGGTGTGCATCGTCACCATCTTGTTTCTGTCTAGATGATAATTGTCCCTCTTGTAACACTCACCATCTGTGTATATTCCTTAACCTACTTAGTTTTCAGGCCAAAGGTTTAAAAATGAAGTACTAGGCCAGGCACAGTGGCTCACGCCTATAATGCCAGCACTTTGGGAAGCCAAGGTGGGTGGATCACCTGAGGTCAGAAGTTCGAGACCAGCCTGACCAACATGGTGAAACCCTGTCTCTATTAAAAATAGAAAAAGTAGCTGGGCATGGTGGCAGGTGCATGTAATCCCAGCTACTCGGGAAGGTGAGGCAGGAGAATCGCTTGAACCCAGGAGGCGGAGGTTGTAGTGAGCTGAGGTCGCACCACTGCACTCCAGCCTGGGTGACAGAATGAGACTCCGTCTCAAAAAAAAATAAAAATAAAAATGAAGTACTAGTAGTAGTCAAACTACCATTTACTGTCGCAGCGCTCACCCCACCTTTTGTGCCCTGTATTCTTGGCTCCTCCTCTGCCCTTTCCCTAAATTTGACAGGCTCTAAGTAGTGAGGATTTCACCAGCTGGTGGTTGCCCTGAACCTGTGCTTTACACCCTGCCTTTCCTTTGTTTCTTGAAATAATTCTCCTTTCCTTCATATGCATTTTAATTTTTTTTTTTTTTTTTTTTTTTTTTTGAGACAGAGTCTCACTTTGTCATTCAGGCTGGAGTGCAGTGGTGTAATCTCATCTCACTGCAACCTCTGCGTCCTGGGTTCAAGCAGTCCTCCCACCTCAGTGGCCTTGTAGTCTCTAGTAGCTGGGACCACAGGTGTGTGCCACCACGCCCGGCTAATTTTTGTACTTTTTTTTAGTAGAGACGAGGTTTTGCTATGTTGCCCAGGCTGGTCTCCAACTCCTGGGTTCAAGCGATCCTCCCACCTTGGCCTCCCAAAGTGCTGGGGTTACAGGCGTGAGCCACCACGCCTGGCCTTGCATTTTAAAATCATCATCATGAGCCCACTGAGTGTAATATAAATAGTTATCAATCACAGGTTTTAAGCAAATGCTGAGTACTCCTGGTGAGGACAGTGGAAAGGGCGAGAATCCAGGCCCCTCCCTTCTGCTGCCTTCGCAGGAGGGTTGCAGCCTACCTCTCCCTGTTGTCTGTCAAGAATGCAGCTGTAACTCAGCTTGCAGCTGGCATGGGTGAGCATGAGTCCCCCTGTCTGACATCCAGTGTAGCTGTGTCACCTGCTGGGTGGGCTGCTATCTCTTCTGACTGGAAGGATCCTATCTATCTTTCTTCCCTGAGCCAGTTTCCCCCAGTGCTGGGCCAGGTTACATGGAGCCTAGAAGTTGAGAACCTATTCCTTCAGGCAGCTGCGATTGTAGGGAATAGTTAACCCTGCCAGGGCCTCTATCTGGAAATCAGCCAAGGTTGTGATTTGTGTTACCTCCTCAACTTCAGTTTCCTTAATGAAATGTAAATAAAAATAGCCCTTTGACAATGCCTGCTGTCCTTTCAGTGCTGGGAGGATGTATGATCTATGCCGTTTTTGTCCTAGGTCTGCCACCTCTTCCTTCCATGCCTCCCCGAAACTTACCTGGCATTGCACCTCTCCCCCTGCCATCCGAGTTCCTCCCGTCATTCCCCTTGGTTCCAGAGAGCTCTTCTGCAGCAAGCTCAGGAGAGCTGCTGTCTTCCCTCCCGCCCACCAGCAACGCACCCTCCGACCCTGCCACAACTACTGCAAAGGCAGACGCTGCCTCCTCACTCACTGTGGATGTGACGCCCCCCACTGCCAAGGCCCCCACCACCGTTGAGGACAGAGTCGGCGACTCCACCCCAGTCAGCGAGAAGCCTGTTTCTGCGGCTGTGGATGCCAATGCTTCTGAGTCACCTTAACTTTGAACCATTCTTTGGAATTGGCGTGGTATATTTAACCACGGGAGCGTGTCTGGAAACGCAAACTATCATTAATTTCATACTAGTTTGTACCGTATCTGTAGGCATCCTGTAAATAATTCCAAGGGGAAAACTAAACGAGGACGTGGGTTGTATCCTGCCAGGTTGAGTGGGGCTCACACGCTAGGGTGAGATGTCAGAAAGCGCTTGTATTTTAAACAACCAAAAAGAATTGTAAGGGTGGCTTGCTGCCAGGCTTGCACTGCCGTTCCTGGGGGTGTGCATCTTCGGGAAAGGTGGTGGCGGGGCGTCCACTAGGTTTCCTGTCCCCTGCTGCTCCTTCCGTAAGAAAATGAAATATTCTATGCCTAATACTCACACGCAACATTTCTTGTACTTTGTAAGTCGTTTGCGAGAATGCAGACCACCTCACTAAACTGTAAACGGTAAAGAGATTTTTACTTTTGGTCTCCGTGAGTCGCATCTCTACTAAGGTTTACACAGGAATTCCACCTGAAGACTTGTGTTAAAGTTCTACAGCGCGCACTGTTAACTGAACGTCTTTTTCTTCAGCCTATACGCGGATCCTTGTTTTGAGCTCTCAGAATCACTCAGACAACATTTTGTAACTGCTGCTGTTGCTTTCTACATACACCTTATAAAGTGACATTTCAAAAGAAATAAGGTGCCACAGTTTTAAACCAGAAGGTGGCACTCTGTGGCTCCTTGTAGTATTATAGCTATACTGGGAAAGCATAGATACAGCAATAAAGTACAGTAATTTTACTTTTTTTCTTGTGTTACATCTAAATTACAACCCTTAATTGCCACGTGTGCACTTACTACTCTCCAGTATGTCTTATTACTCTCCAGTATGTCACGCATCTTTAACTTTTCACGTCCTATGTTTGCTTTCTCCCATTTTTAAGAGATGGTAAGTTAACTGGAATTGATTTACTGAATGAAATTAAATGCAGATATCCCTGTTTTTGAAATAAGACAAAAGTGCTTCCTCAGTTATTGCCCTGGTATGAGTCTGAAGATGCTCATCCCCTGCAGGGAGGACGTGGCTGAGGTGGCAGCACCCTCACATCACCCTCATGTCACTCACCCCTGGCCGCCCTGCTGGACACTCGAGGTCAACGCCAGCCCAGCACTCTCCCAGGAGGCCCAGTACCAGCCAGTTTTGGGAGTAGATCCGTTTCTGGGGCCAGGTTTGTACTTAAAACTGAATGATGAAAGAAGGCTCCAGCCCTAATCATAGCTGCTTCTGTTTACACTGTGTAAATGTTTCTAGAATATTTCAGTTAATCCCATTTTTTGAAAAGAAGCTTATAACAGGTGAGGAAAGTATTCACAAGCACATTTAAATGTTATGATTTTTGACTTTCCAGGATAGGAAAAGTTGAGAAAGTTACTACTTTGTAAAAGATTTCTTAAATATTAAGATCTCCTTAATATTTGTTGTTTTTACGTTAAAAAATATTAAGGAGATCCCTTAGTGGAAAGCAAGTAAGTAATTTTTAAGTTTTACAAAATGATTTTTTTTTAAACAGTTCTTCCAAGGCAATGCTTGTGAACTCTGGTGCAGTCACAGCTCTCATTTGGCAACGACGGCAGGCTGGGCTCTCTTCCTGGGCAGATATCTGTAGCATAAATGAAACACTAATCTCTAGGGAGATTGAGGGACTTTTTTTTTTTTTTTTTTTTTTGGAAACAGGGTCTCGTTCTGTCACCCTGGCTGGAGTGCAGTGGCTTGATCTTGGCTCACTGCAGCCTTGGCCTCCTGGGCTCAAGCGATACCCCCACCTCAGCATTCCACGTAGCTGGGACCACAGGTGTGTGCCACCATGACAGTGAGGGACTCGACACTCGACGAATGGACACAGACTCAGGCTAGATTGGCTCGTTGGATCTTCCCTGAGGTGGAAAATACTTCATTATTTTCTGCTGTCTTCAGAAAAGCCAGTTTCAGTCTTTAACAGTGGTAGATTTGGTACCAGGTTCCAGAAACACGATGTAAGAGAGAGTTTCCCTGACAGTGGGCCACTCTCCGTGGCCTTGTAGGGAGACAGACCAGGGAGTCAGTCCTTAGGGCCAAGGCAGAAGGATTGCTTGAGCCCAGGAGTTGAAGACCAGCCTGGGCAACATAGACCCTGTCTCTACAAAAAATTTAAAAATTAGCTGGGCGTGGTGGCACGTGCCTGGAGTCCCAGCTACTCAGGAGGCTGAGGTGGGAGGATCCCTTGAGCGCAGGAAGTCAAGGCTGCAGTGAACTGTGAGGAAACCATGCAAGGTTAGGAAAAGTCTTGAGTGTTTGTGTGCATGGGGCTGGGGCCTGTGTGCTGGACTAGGGAGTTTGAGCTTTGGCTTAAATACGGCAGTCATGAAGGCTGGAGGGGCAGCACAGTGGGGGACCAGCTTCAGGAGGGACGCTCACCTGAACCCCCTTTGCTAAGACTCTGAGTCTAGGATGACGACTGTGTTACTCTGTTCTGACACTGCTATAAAGAAATACCCAAGACTGGGTAATTTTATAAAGGAAAGAGGTTTAATTGACAGTTTCACGTGGCTGGGCAGGCCTCAGGAAACTTACAATCATGGCAGCAGAAGAGAAGCGCAAGCAGGGGAAATGCCAGAGGCTTAGGAAACCATCAGATCTCGTGAGAACTCACTCTCACGAGAACAGCAGTGGGGAAACCACCTCCATACTCCAATCACTTCCCACCGGATCCCTTCCTCCACACGTGGGGATTATGGGAACTACAGGAAGAGATTTGGGTGGGACACAGCCAAACCATATCAGTGACTTTACCTTTTCCCCTCTGATTTTTGTTCCTGTTTTATTTTTAGTCCATTACTAATTGTGCTTACCTGGGAGCAGCTTAACTTAGCTCATTTTCTGAAAATTCTGGAGACCTAGAAATGGCCTTGTGGCCTCTTCCTCACCTGAAAGGCACCTACTAAAGCTCAAAGATGGCTCTGCCTTGGATGTCCAAAATTTCTGCTTTTGACTATAGTGAAGATGAGACTGGTGAGCTGCTGGAGCTACGGTAGTGACATGGAAGCCCTGATCCCACCTTTAAGGAACCTGTGGTTTAGGCGGGAACATGAGGCAACTTCATGCAAACTGCAGCAAGTGAAGAGTCTCAGCTGAGCAGAGACCTGGAGAGTCTGGGTGAAGGGAACATTCTCTGGCACCTGAAGAAGGCTTAGCCAGACCTACATTTTAGCAGGTGGAGAAGGAGTTAAAAAAATCCAAGCAGGAGCCCTAAGGGAGCTCACAGTAGGAAAGCCATGGGTGTTAAAGCCTCCAGCAGCAGTTGGCTACAGGTGCATTTTATTAGAAAATTTAATACATCTTATTTAAAGGATTTATTTGTGAAAAGTTTTTTCTTCCAGAGAGTGGCCCGATTTTATCAGTAACTTGTGAAGGAAGGTTGGGTCTTCTCCCTGTGACCCTGAAGATGAAGGTCTTCTTTAATTATCTGACTACCCAGCAAGGTTTCAACCCTGTCTTCAGATTAGAATCGCCTCAATTAGAATATTAATTCCTGGGCTCTTGGAGTTTTTAAAAACTTCCCCAGGGAGGGTGGACCTGTAACTGCGGGAGGTAACAGGGGCATAGGAAGGTCATCGTTCTTGCTAGGTGTTTACTTTTACCACTAAGCAAAGTGCACAGGTTAGAGGAGGGATCCTTTTGTCATTTATATATATATATATATATATATATATATATATATATATATTTGCATTAGATCTAGGAAGAACAATTTCCGACTTGGCTAACCAAAGTGTTCCTTTATAGGCCTTTTGCATATCGAGCCAATTGATAAAATGGGGAATTAATGCCACAGCCAGTTATTCAAGCACTAGAACAAGAAGACGTGGAAGGGCAAGTGGGCCCCACTCCCAGCTGGGGGCTGCAGGTGAGGGGGATGGGGAGGGGTGAGGAGAGTGAGAATGTGCAGCAAAAGAGCAGAGGAGTAAGGAGTGCAGACAGGTGCAGATGCCGCCCCACTGCCTCTCCAGGGAGTTACACGAACGTGGGTACTCTGGTCACTGACAGTTTAGAGAAAACGCCACACTGCAGCCATTGATGGAGGTGGGCCTCGGACTTTCAGTGTTACCAGAGTTGAGGTTACACTGTATTTCCTGGCAAGAAATAGATACAAGCCCATGCTCCATGAAGGCCGCTGGGGTTTGGGATAATAACAGTAGCCAGCATGTATTAAGTGTTTCCTGTACATGGGGTGAATAATGAGATAAGACAGTGCTCTGCCCAGCAGACGAGAGGAAGCAAACAGGTTCCCCCTAGGCATGTTTCCTTTGAACTCCCCTGTATATATTAAAATGTGAATTAATTGCCAACATTTAAAAATCAGAAGGTTTCACATAAATCCAGATTTCTGGTTTCTCAAAGTCACAAGATCTGGCAACAGATCAGTCCTACAGGGAAATGAATGCCCCTTGGAGTCTCTGTCCTCCAGTCTCCAATTCCCACAGCCCCACCTGCGTGCGCCAGCCCCCCTCCCACCACCCGCAGGTGTCTGAGTTTGCAGAGCCCTGTGTTATCCTGGTAGTAACACAGCTGAGTCTGGGGAGAGGGGAGGGATAGCTGGGAAACTGAGGTTTCCTTACAGTCAGCGGGGCCAGAACCCGTGGGGACCCAGGATTAGGAAACAAGGTCCTTCACGGATTTCATTATTTAGGATCCAATGAATCGTGTGGAATGGGCACTAAGGTTAGCAAAATTTGAAGTAGTTGCTTAGACTGTAAACCTGATGGAGAAAATGTCCCTGGACAATGACTGGGACAGTAACAGCAATTTGAGTTTCACTAGTCTCTTTTCCTAAAGCCATATTCTGGGTCCCCAACCCATTGATCATTTACCTTAACAACCAACTCTATTGGAATTGATCATTCTCTTTTCCAGAGACCAAGGGTTGTGAATAAGAGTTCATGAATCCCTGACTGGCTTTCTTGCCGTCCACTCTCCATGGCCTTGCTTCCTGGGGAGGGGCCTGTTTGCCCAGCTCTGCCCAGGCTGGCCTGGTTTGAGACCCATACTAAGAAGTCTGCCTGAGGTTCAGGGCAAGCCTCTTCCAGAAGCACTTGAATTATGGTGGCTGGGGGTGGGGTTACAGGAACTTCTCATTTCTTCTCATAAACTTGCATATTGCCAGAATTTTTAAAACCACAATTACTTTTTATTATTTTATTTTACTTTTTTTTTTTTTTGAGATGGAGTCTTGCTCTGTCACCCAGGCTGGAGTGGAGTGGCGCAATCTCGGCTCACTGCAACCTCCCAGGTTCAAGCAATTCTCCTGTCTCAGCCTCCTGAGTAGCTGGGCTTACAGGCATGTGCCACCACGCCCGGCTCATTTTTGTATTTTTAGTAGAGATGGGGTTTCACCATGCTGGTCAAGCTGGTCTTGAACCCCTGACCTCAGGTGATTCACCTGCCTCGGCCTCCCAAAGTGCTGGCATTACAGGCGTGAGCCACCGCGCCAGGCTTCGAATTGCTTTTTTTTGTTTGTTTGTTTGTGTTTTTTTTGAGACGGAGTCTCGCTCTGTCGCCCAGGCTGGAGTACAGTGGCACTATCTCTGCTCACTGCAAGCGCTGCCTGCTGGCTTGACGCCATTCTCCTGCCTCAGCCTCCCAAGTAGCTGGGACTACAGGCGCCCGCCACCACGCCCGTCTAATTTTTTGTATTTTTAGTAGAGACGGGGGTTTCATCGTGTGAGCCAGGATGGTCCCGATCTCCTGACCTCGTGATCCATCCGCTTTGGCCTCCCAAAGTGCTGGGGTTACAGGCGTGAGCCACCGCACCCGGCCTGAATTACTTTTTAATCACTAACAACAATGGGGTTATTTTGATCTAGGGGGTGTGGATGAATGGGAGACTTACAGAGCCAGAAAAAGCCCTGTTCCGGGCCAGGCGCGGTGGCTCACGCCTGGAGTCCCAGCACTTTGGGAGGCCGAGGCAGGCGGATCACGAGGTCGGGAGATCGAGACCATCCTGGTCAACATGGTGAAACCCCGTCTACTAAAAATACAAAAATTGGGCGTGGTGGCAGGTGCCTGTAGTCCCAGCTACTTGGGAGGCTGAGGCAGGAGAATGGCTTGAACCTGGGAGGCGGAGGTTGCAGTGAGCCGACATCATGCCACCGTACTCCAGCCTGGCGACAGAGCGAGTCTCTGTCTCAAAAAAAAAAAAAAAAAAAAACCTTGTTCCATCTCTTCTGAAGCCTTTCATTTCAGTCTGTCCAGGACGGCCGCTGCTGCAGGGCCGGGGAAGCTTTTTCCCCAAGCAGCGTCATGACTGGTCAGACTAAGGGAGCTCTCTGCTAACAACCCCCAACACTGTCCCTAGATTAGAATTATCCATGAAATTTCCCTGAATAGACTTGCACTGTGACTGATTTGCAATGCTGTGTTGTGTTTGTAAATCAGTTTGGCCAGAACCGTGTAGCTCAGACAGCTATGCTGAAAGAGCCCAGAAACACAATGGCAAGAATCCATGTTGTACCCAGGCGCTGTTTTGGCTTCTAGAGCTCTGGAAACAGTGTTAGCGTCAGGTAGTGAAGTATGCATGGTTCCAACACGTTCACTCGAGATCAGTGGCTAAACAACCTGTGTGCTTCTCGGTGGTGAGGAACAGAACTGCTAGAGGAGCCTCATAAAATCAAGAAGAAACAGATGCCTGTTGTATGAGTCCAGGAGCTCAAAGCTCATTCCGATTTTAATAAACAGTTACTTGCCTTTGTCTCTGTCAAGGTTTTGTTTTTAAAGGGCATGAAACTTTAGAGACTAATTCATTTCCCCAAATTCAGATCTCTCTTAGGTAAGCAGTACAACCTGAGAAAAGAGGACAACCCTCTGGGATCTTTGGCACCGTGACGCTGCCATATTCCAGGAGAGGACAGGTGAGGGTTCGCTGTGGCTGAATCGGAAGGAGACAGAAGAAGCAGGGACGAGCCACCGGGCAGGCCTCAGGACAGGCTTAGGTTCTGAACTTGATCCCATGGACTGGTGTTACCCAGAGTGAAGAAAACTGTCTTTCCTCCTTTAATACCTATATATTTTATTTTAGCACGTATTGGGGAAAAAATAATAGTTGCATTGGATATGGCTAATTTTACGAATTAACTTCAGTGAAAAAAGGGAATGGTTTTAAAGAGAAGTGATGGGTGAGTTCTTGAGTTAATTCCCTCAGGGGAAGCAGGTGCGCCTGGAGAGCTCAAACCGAGGCCCCTGCTTCACAGGCGGGCGGGCTTTGGGGTAGGAGCTGAATCCACGTAGGTCTGCCCGGTCCCACGCCTCAGTTCTGTCCCCACGCGGCAGGTTCCTGGAACGACATTCACCTTTGTTCAGGAACTCCGGTCTTACCGCCGCCCACGTGGAGTGGGATCCGAGCCAAGGGGGCCTCCCGAGCGGGGACTACAGTGCGCGCCACGGGCCACCAGGTGGCGCCGGGAGCCTGGGAAAGCCGCGCCCCGCCAGCGGCCGCGGGGTCTCCGGGCCGCCCTCGCAGGGCCCCTGGGCGGGGCCGGGGCGTCGCGGTGGGGCGCTTTCCGTTCTTTGGAAGAAGGGCTCTGGTCCCCCGCTTTCTTTCCATCTCAGACCCAGTGCGGAAACGTGGGGGATGAGCCTGGGCGCCTTCACCAAACGGAACCCCCTTTAATCTGATGTGAAGGCAAATCTCTCCACCGGGGGACCCGTTGGGTGCGGCGGAGACACCCTTCGGTGGCTGAGAAACCCTCAGACGCCGTGGAAGCACCAGGGGTCTGAGCGCCCAGTGCGGGAGGTGCGGGGCCGGCTTCCCTCCCCGGGGCTGGAGCCTTCAGGAGCGCCGCCCCCACCCGGCTTCCTCCGAGGGCAGTGCTGGACTCTGGCCTGGCCCCTGGCCGGCCGCTGCCCTTGGCCTCGTCCAACCCACACCCGCGGGGCGGAGGCTCCTGCTGTGCACAAGCCCGGGGCGCCGGGGTGGGGCGGCTGGGTCTGGGCCCAGGTGTCCCGAATCCAAAAGCATCCCACTGCGCTGCCTGTAAATTAGCGATTTCGGATCTAGTGATGAGCAGAGGGGACAGAATAGCCCAGAGGCCGGGTAACTAACATGTGCGGGATCAAGGAAGGCGTTCGTGGGCAGCTACTATTAGGGCTTTGAAGAATGCATAGAGGTTCTCTTAGGTGGTCAAAGTGGAAGGAAGAGGTTCTCTTAGGCAGAGGGAACAGCGTCTGCAAGGACACACAGGAATGTGGCACGTGGTGTGTCCCGGAACTACAAACAGCTCTGGTTGCTGGAATGTGAAAAGTCAAGTATGGAGTGGTAGCAGTTGCCACAGAAGGGGGAGCGGGGCCAGATCGCCGAAGGCCTTGAATGCCATGCTCAGGGGCTTAGACTGCACTGCCCTGGGGAGTTTATAAGGGGGATGGATGTTTTTTGTTCTTGGCAGTGAAGTACCCAGGGAGCTTGCCCCTTACATAGGTCAGTGGTCTGAAAAACCTCCTTTTTGGCAAGCAGGGGCCTTTCGTGAAAGAAAAAAAAAATCATATGGCACATAGATTCAAAAGCCAGGCCAGTGTGGAGCTGCCGGCAGTTTCCCTGTGAGCAGGAGGGAAAGGCGGGGCATCCCTGAGAAAGGAGCCATAGTCATCCCAGCCGGATGGCGTGGGAGAAATCTCAGGAGTCCATTATCCCCAAACACTAAAGTCCAGCAAAGTGCTGTGCCACATGTCATCCCCCACCCTCCACCTGCCTGCTGTAGTTGTGGCTGGAGGAGTAACTCACATTTTCCCTGGTCTTGTAGCAGACTGGGAAGAACCAAAAGCTGAATAGGGTGAGAGCATCCTCTTTCTTCTTCAGCTCTTTAGCCAAAGGACTCTTTCAATCCTGAGCTCGGAAAAGCAACCATGGACCAGCACTTCTCAACCCTGGTGGCTTTGAAAAACACTGTTGCCTATGGATCAGGGACAGCATTGTGGAGATCCTCCCTCTCAATTCCTTCATTTTATAGATGAAAACAGTGAAATCCAGAAAGGTTAAATGTCTCTCCAACAAGCATACGGCTAGGGGGTGGTAGAGCTGGGTCTATACCTAGTACCCAGGTGGAAATCGGATCCAGGGATTCTTTCAGCAAGCCTGAGACCCGGGCAGGTGTGGGGCGGGGCCGGTGGAGCAGAAACAGACCAGGCTGCAACTGCAGGGCTGCATGGAGGACCTGGGTGCAAGGTCCTCGGGGGACTCGTGGGGGATTCTCAGAACCCAGCCCCCAGGGCTTTTAGTATCTTCATTTTGATCACAATTTAAAATAGCAGTGGTTTGTGGGGGTTTTTTTGTTTGTTTGTTTTTCCCAACAAGGAGATGGTGTAGTCAGTGATCAGACCTCGGTTGTGAAGTCAACTCGATTCAGCCTAGTCAAATGGCCGCTCGCTACTGGGGGAGCTTCCACCACTGCAGGGGCCATGCACCTGGCTTCAGCATTCTTCCTGGGCACGGGCATCCTTCTGCCCCTGCAGACTGGCAGAGCAGCAGAGGCAAAGTGGACAACTAGGGTGAGAAAGTGCTACAATGCGACCTGTGAGGAGGGGAGGTGGCCTCAGGGGTTATACCTGTCTTCAAGCCTTGGTGTCGTGGACAAAGTCTGACTTAAAGTCCTCTCCAGCACCTAGCTCCCAGCAGGCACTCACCATATGCCGCACAAAGGCACAGGCGATGAGTGTAGCTCCATGTGCTGGGTGCTAGGTTAGAGTCGAAGGGGTGGCAGTCAGTGCCTGGCATGTGGTGGGCACTCACTGGGGTTCTCTGCCTGGGCCACTCCCTTCTCTGGACCCTGGACCCTGGACAGGGATTTGAGTGGGGAGGGGCCTGCCTTCCTGGGAGGAAGTTACAGAATGGAGCAGGGTGGGGAGGGGAAGAGGTTTCAAACCATTTCCCACCGCCCCCTGGGGGGCATGGGCTATCTCTGGAGGTATGCTGTGCATGGGTCAGTGTGACCGAAAGGCAAGGGCTACTCTGCCTCTGACACCCAGGTCCGAGGCTTTGTATTCTTGAATTTGCCATCCAAAACCACAAAGTTGTTTTAAAAAACCCACGAAGTTGTTTAAAAGATACAAATTTAGGCTGGGTGTGGTGGCTTATGCCTGTAATCACAGCATTTTGGGAGAATCACTTGAGCCCAGGGGTTGGAGACCAGCCTGAGCAACATAGTGAGATCTCCGTCTCTACAAAAAATGAACAAAATCAGCTGGATGTGGCGGTTTGAGCCTGTAGTACTTAGAAGGCTGAGCTGGGAGGATTGCTTGAGCCCAGGAAGTTGAGGCTGCAGTGAGCTGTGCTTGCACCACTGAACTCCAGCCTGGGTGACAGAGTGAGACCCTGTCTCAAAAAAAAAAAAGAAAAAATATATATACATACATACATACACACACATATATCATTTGATCCTTAAAGAACAGAGCTGTCGGCCGGACGCGGTGGCTCACGCCTGTAATCCCAGCACTTTGGGAGGCCGAGGTGGGCGGATCACCTGAGGTCAGGAGTTCAAGACGAGCCTGACCAATATGATGAAACCCCGTCTCTACTAAAAATACAAAAATTAGCCGGGCGTGGTGGCATGTGCCTTTAATCCCAGCAACTCGGGAGGCTGAGACAGGAGAATCTCTTGAACCCGGGAGGCAGACGTTGCAGTGAGCCGAGATCACGCCACTGCACTCCAATCTGGGCAACAAGAGTGAAACTCCATCTCCAAAAAAAAAAAAAAAAAAAAAAGGCGGGTGTGGGGAAGAACAGAGCTGTCTTGCACCCTGACTACATTTACAGACTTCACTCAGAACCAGAGAACACTATTTATATTTTTCCCCAGGTGGGTCTTGGATCCAGTGTTTAAGCAAAAAACTTTTCAAAATTCCCCAATACAATTGTTTTTCTGTTAAGAAAATTAAATAGCTCATTAAATAACTTTAAAATCTCAAAAAGCTGTATCAGACATGACCCATGGAAGTTAAATGTAATTTATTAGATATTGCACCATGGGCCGGGCCAACCAACATGGCAAAACCTCATCTCTACTAAAAATACAAAAAAATTGGCCAGGCGTGGTGGTGCCGACCTGTAATCCCAGCTACTTGGGAAGCTGAGGCAGGAGGATCACTTGAATCTGGGAGGTGGAGGTTGCAGTGAGCTGAGATGGTGTCACTGCACTCCAGCCTGGGAGACACAGAGTGAGACTCCGTCTCAAAAAAAAAAAAAGATAAGATACTGCACCATGAATTGACCGAATACTCTCCCCTGCCATTACTTTGGTCACTTCAAAGGTTTCTTTTATGCGCGTCCGTGTGAAGAGACCACCAAACAGGCTTTGTGTGAGCAATAAAGCCTTTAATCACCTGGGTGCAGGTGGGCTGAGTCCGAAAAGAGAGTCCGTGAAGGGAGATAGGGGTGGGGCCATTTTATAGGATTTGGGTAGGTAAAGGGAAAAAGGGGGTTGTTCTCTGGCGGGCAGGAGTGGGGGGTCACAAGGTACTCAGTGGGGGAGCTTTTGAGCCAGGATGAGCCAGGAGAAGGAATTTCACTAGACAATGTCATCAGTTAAGGCAGGAACAGGCCATTTTCACTTCTTTTGTGGTGGAATGTCATCAGTTAAGGCAGGAACCGGCCATCTGGATGTGTACGTGCAGGTCACAGGGGATATGATGGCTTAGCTTGGGCTCAGAGGCCTGACATTCCTGTCTTCTTATATTAATGAGAAAAATAAAACGAAATAGTGGTAAAGTGTTGGGACGGTGACAATTTTTGGGGGGTGGCATGGAGAGATAATGGGCAATGTATCTCAGGGCTGCTTCGAGCGGGATTAGGGGCGGTGTGGGAACCTAGAGTGGGAGAGATTAAGCTGAAGGAAGATTTTGTGGTAAGGGGTGATATTGTGGGGTTGTTAGAAGAAACATTTGTCGTGTAGAATTATTGGTGATGGCCTGGATACGGTTTTGTATGAACTGAAAAACTAAACGGAATAAGAGAAGGAGAAAAACAGGTATTAAAGGTCTAAGAATTGGGAGGACCCAGGACATCTAATTAGAGAGTGCCCAAGGAGGTTCCGCATAGCCCTGCCAGCAAAGATTATTTATTTACTTTAAGAGTTAAGAGTGGCGGTTTGGGGATAGCACCAGGAGATATCAGCTATGATGGCTTGGAGAAACAGTGTAAACTGGCAGTGTAAACAAGAGCAGGGCATGTATGAGTAGTTGAGAATGGTGAATAGGAGTATGACTAGACAGAAGACAGTAGGGAAGACAAGTTTTTTGGGGCACAGTCCAAGTGGGTCTGGTGTCTGGAATGAGACTGGGGCCTAATAAAAAGGAGCATCTATACGGGAGCTTAAATGGGCTGTACTTTGTAGCATTCTGAGGACAGGCCTGAATTCTGAGAAGGGAAAGTGGTAAAAGTATTGTCTATTCCTTTTTAAGGTGGTGGCTGAGCTTGGTGAGGTGTGTTTTTAAAAGACCTTTAGTCTGTTCTACTTTTCTTGAAGACTGAGGACTGTAAGGGATATAAAGGTTTCACTGAATACTAAGAGCTTGAAAAACTGCTTGGCTGATTTGACTAATAAAGGCTGGTCTGTTATCAGACTGTATAGAGGTGGGAAGGCTAAACTGAGGAATTATGTCTGACAGAAGGGAAGAAATGACTGTGGTGGCCTTCTCAGACCCTGTAGGAAAGGCCTCTCCCTATCTAGTGAAAGTGTCTACTTCGACTAAGAGGTATTTTAGTTTTTGTGACTCGGGGCATGTGGAGTAAAGCTAATTTGCCAGTCCTGGGCGGGGGGGCAAACCCTTGAGCTTGCTGTGTAGGGAAGGGAGGGGGCCTGAATAATCCTTGAGGAGTAGTAGAATAGCAGATGGAACACTGAGAAGTTATTTCCTTGAGGATAGATTTCTATGATAGAAAGGAAATGAGAGGTTCTAAGAGGCGGGCTAGTGGCTTGTACTATAGCATATCCTGCCTTTGCTGGTGTGTGGGTATTAGGCCTGGTGGAACTGCCATGAATAAGTGTGATCAGGGTGAGAAACAGGGAAGAAGGAAATGTGGGGAAATGGGGTGAACGTCAGGTGGATCAGAGAGATGCAGTCATGAGGGTCAGGTGTGGTATCAGCAGGAATAATGTGGGAGGCGGGATTGAAGTCCGGGCCAGGAACAATGGTAATTGTGGGAGACTCAACAAAGAGTGAGTACAGCTGAAGGAGCCGGGGAGCAGAAAGTATATGTGTCAGGTGTGAGGAAGAAAATAGATTTTGGAAATTATGAGAGCTGTAGAGAGTGAGTTGAGCATAGTTTGTGATTTTTAAGGGCCTCTAAAAGTATTAGGGTGGCAGCAGCCACTGCACGGAAACATAATGGCCAGCCTAAAACAGTAAGGTCAAGTTGTTTGGACAAAAAGGCTACAGGACGTGATCCCGGTCCTTGTGTAAGAATTCCGACTGCACAACCCTGCACTTCAGCCGTGTGTAATGAAAAGGATTGGGACGAGTCAGGGAGAGCTAGAGTGGGGGCAGTGTCTAAAGCTGTCTTCAAGGAATGAAAAGAGGAGTGGGGAAAGGATTTAGGATCTATGGGGTCAGCTAGGTTTCCTTTTGTGAGTTTATATAATGGTTTTGTTAGGATGGCAAAACCAGGTATCTAAAGGTGAAAGTATCTAACCATGCCTAGGAAGGAAAGGAGTTGTAGTTTTGTAGAAGGGGTTGGGGTGTGAGAGATTAGTTGGACACGATCGGCAGGGAGAGCATGTGTGTTTTTATGAGAATTATGCTGAGATAGGTAACAGATAAGGAAGAAATTTGGGCTTGACTGAAGTAATGGGGGCTGTCTGTGAAGCTTTGCGGCAGTACAGCCCAGGTAATTTACTGAGCCTGATGGGTGTCAGGGTCAGGCCAAGTGAAAGCGAAGAGAGGCTGGGATGACGGGTGCAAAGGAATAGTAAAGAAAGCATGTTTGAGATCCAGAACAGAATAATGGATTGTGGAGGGAGGTATTGAGGATAGGAGAGTATATGGGTTTGGCACCGTGGGGTGGACAGGCAAAACAATTTGGTTGATAAGGCATAGATCCTGAACTAACCTGTAAGGCTTGTCTGGTTTTAGGACAGGTAAAATGGGGGAATTGTAAGGAGAGTTTGTAGGCTTTAAAAGGCCATGCTGTAGCAGGCGAGTGATAACAGGCTTTAATCCTTTCAAAGCATGCTGCGGGATGGGATATTGGCATTGAGTGGGGTAAGGGTGATTAGGTTTTAATGAGATGGTAAGGGGTGCATGATCAGTCGCCAAGGAGGGAGTAGAGATCTTATACTTGTCGGTTAAGGTGGGGGAATACAAGAGGAGGACGCAAAGGAGGCTTTGGATTGGGAAGAAGGGCGGCAATGAGATGTAGCTGTAGTCCAGGAATAGTCAGGGAAGCAGATAATTTAGTTAAAGTGTCTCAGCCTAATAAGGGAACTGGGCAGGTGGGGATAACTAAAAGGAGTGCTTAAAAGAGTATTGTCTAAGTTGGTAACAGAGTTGGGGAGTTTTAAGAGGTTTAGAAGCCTGGCCGTCAATACCCACAACAGTTATGGAGGCAAGGGAAACAGGCCCTTGAAAAGAAGGCAATGTGGAGTGGGTAGCCTCCGTATTGATTAAGAAGGGGACGGACTTAGCCTCCACTGTGAAAGTTACTTAAAGTTCGGCGTCCGTGATGGTCTATGGGGCTTCCGAGGCGATCGGGCAGCGTCAGTCTTCAGCCGCTAAGCCAAGAAGATCTGGGAAGGAGTCAGAGAGCCTTCGGCCAGAGTTCCAGGGGCTCTGAGAGTGGCTGCCAGGTGAGTTGAACAGTCTGATTTCCAGTGGGGTCCTGCACAGATGGGACACGGCTTAGGAGGAATTCTGGGCTGTGGGCATTCCTTGACCTGGTGGCCAGATTTCTGGCACTTGTAGCAAGCTTCTGGGGGAGGCGGGCCTGGAGGAATGCCTGGCCACTGCGGTTTAGGCGTTGGGAAGTTCTTGTGTGCTGGAGATGTGGCTGGGGTTTGTCTCACAGTGGAGGCAAGGAATTGCAACTCAGAAATATGTTGCTATTTGGCTGCCTCTATTATTGTACACCTTGAAGGCGAGGTTAATTAAGTCCTGTTGTGGAGTTTGAGGGCTGGAATTTAATTTTTGGAGTTTTATTTAATGTCAGGAGCAGATTGGGTAATAAAATGCATATTGAGAATAAGATGGCCTTTTGACCTTTTAGGGGCTAGGGCTGTAAAGTGTCTCAGGGTTGCTGCCAAACGAGCCATGAACTGGGCTGGGTTCTTATATTTGATGAAAAAGAGCCTAAACGCTATCTGATTTGGGATAAAGAAAAAGGAGCATTAACCTTGACTATGCCTTTAGCTCCAGCCACCTTTTTAAGAGTAAATTGCTGGGCAGGTGGGGGAGGGCTAGTCATGGAACGAAACTGTAAGCCGGACCCGGTGTGAGGAGGGGAGGTGATAAAAGGATTATAGGGTGGAGGAGCAGAGGCTGAGGAAGAATTGGGACCTAGCTTGGCCTGGTGAGGAGCAGCCTGGGGAGGAGGGGAGAGGTCAGATGGGTCTGTAGAAAAGGAAGATTAGAAAGACTCAGCGACACTTCGGGTTGGGACTGAGGGGACAGGCGGGAGGGAAAGAAGGAAGATTTGGGGTGAGTTGCATTGGGCACAGACTAGGGAGGGACTGATGTGTAAAAGAATGCCTGGATATCAGGCAGCTCAGACCGTTTGCCTATTTTACGACAAGAATTATTTAGATCTTGCAGGATGGAAAAATTGAAAGTGCCGTTTTCTGGCTATTTGGAACTACTGTCAAGTTTGTATTGCGGTCAAGCAGCATTGCAGAAGAAAATAAGACATTTAGGTTTTAGGTCCAGCGTGAGTTGAAGAGGTTTTAAGTTCTTGAGAGCACAGGCGAAGGGAGACAGAGGAATGGAGGGTGGAATGTTGCCCGTAGTGAAGGAGGCAAGCCTAGAGAAAAGAGAGAGTAGAGACACGGAGGAAAGGGGTTCGGGGGTTCTTAACTTCCAGAAAAGCGTGAAAGGGGTCGGGGCATGGAAATAAGGGGTTGGGGCGCAGAGATAAGAGGTCGGGGTGTGGAAATAAGGGATGGGGCACAGAAATAAGAGGTCAGGGTGCAGAAATAAGGGATTGGGGCACAGAGATAAGAGGTCGGGGCATGGAAATAAGGGATTGGGGGTTCTTGCCCCTTAGAAAAGTGGGACTTGCTGCTAAGGGTGAGGGAGAAGGGGTTGAGGGGTTCTTGCCTCTCCCCCAGAAAAGCAGAGAAGGGGTAGAGACACGGAGAGAAGGGGTTGGGGTACTTGCTCCTCCCCCAGAAAAGCGGGACTTGCCGCTAAGGGTGAAGGACCAAGGCAGGCATCCTTGCATGGTCTGACACCTCTGAAACGTGGGTGAATAATCAGACAGGTGTCCCTGCAATGATTAAACACCAAGGAAAGCCTGCCTTCCCAGTCCGTGACCGACGCTGGAGTTTGGGTTCATGGATAAAACGTGTCTCCTTTGTCGCTACCAGAAAATGAAAGGAATTGAAATTAAGAGAAGGGAGAGATTGAAGTGTGGTGCCAAGATTGAAAGGAGAAAGAGGTTGAGGGATAGTGAGAGAGGTTGGAGAAGACAGTAAAAAGAGACTGCTTACTCGATTTGAAATTGGTGAGGTGTTTCTTGGGCTGGTCGGTCTGAGGACCTGAGGTCGTAGGTGGATCTTTCTCACAGAGCAAAGAGCAGGAGGACAGGGGATTGATCTCCCAAGGGAGGTACCCTGATCCGAGTCATGGCACCAAATTTCATTCGCGTCCGTGTGAAGAGACCACCAAACAGGCTTTGTGTGAGCAATAAAGCGTTTAATCACCTGGGTGCAGGTGGGCTGAGTCCGAAAAGAGAGTCAGCGAAGGGAGATAGGGGTGGGGCCGTTTTATAGGATTTGGGTAGGTAAAGGAAAAAGGGGGGTTGTTCTCTGGCGGGCAGGAGTGGGGGGTCACAAGGTACTCAGTGGGGGAGCTTTTGAGCCAGGATGAGCCAGGAGAAGGAATTTCACAAGACAATGTCATCAGTAAAGGCAGGAACAGGCCATTTTCACTTCTTTTGTGGTGGAATGTCATCAGTTAAGGCTGGAACCAGCCATCTGGATGTGTACATGCAGGTCACCGGGGATATGATGGCATAGCTTGGGCTCAGAGGCCTGACAGTTTCTGAATAGTGGGTTGGGGATTTCAGACTCTCAAAACACAAGAACATTGTAAGAAAATTTGACATTTAAAACTTATTAAGCCTCACTTTGTTACTTTTATTTTTTAAAAGATGTTGATGGATTATAGAATTAGTGATGTTTAATCCAGTTGAGTTTTGGAGTCAGCCAGTCTCGAGTTAAATCCCATCCCTGCTACTTCACTATTTGAGCAAACAACTTAATCTGTCTCCAATGCACCCCTCCCCTCTTCCACCTACAAAATGGCATAATCATAGGGCTGTTTTTGGGGATTCTAGGAAATGTAGGTTACAGTGACTGGTATACCATAAGTGCTCGACAAATTGTCCTTATTACTCTTTCCTTAAACAAACACAAACCCCTGCTCAAGTGAAATGTTTATTTTCTCCATCTTTGTAATTCCAAGTCAAAGTCTATGGTAGAGTTGTTGGAAGAGAATCTCAAATAATTAACTGGGTCTAAAATAATCCTGGCTTTTTTCTAGAATCTTTTTTTTTTTTTTTTGGCTTAAAAATGTCAACCTAAAATATTCTCTTTTTCTTCAATATCTACACAATAAACCAATCACAATGAACCACCAGGCAGAGGGCATGGCGTTGAGCTGGTTTGCTCCTATTCTTGGGTATGGTCCTCCAGGGCTTCCCATCTGAGCCTCAGGTATCTGTAACTACCTCAGTGGATTCCTACTGATGAGAGGTTTTCAGCTAAGCTCTTCAGGTTCCTGCTCCACACAGCTCCCAAAATCTGGCAAAAGTCATGAATCACAGACTAGATATGTATGTATTTGAAGTGGAGATTCCCTTTAAAAGGTACAAGCAGGTTACATGTAAACCTGGATTGTCATGCAAATTCTTGATGGTGACAGAGATATAGTACCTCCTGTGCAGCTGATTTGAGGCCACGACTCAATTCTAGCAAGGAAAGACAATACTTCTGGTCCAAGGCATTTAAGAACTAGGATGTCCCCTCCTTTCCTGCCTTCCTCTCCTGTAACTACAGATTGATGTGACTAGAACCATAAGATGCAAGCAGCCTGGATGCCCCAGCCACCACCTGGAGAAGAGAGCTGTCTTGTAAAGTTGCCTAGGAGTTACCAAGCTCAGTGTGGATTTTGCATAATTGAGAAACAAACCTTTTGGGGGGGTTAATTTGTTACTATAGCTTATCCTGTTTTCATTTCACACTAAGATGTGGGGTGCGGGGGGGCAGGGACCATGAAGATTTCATAGTTTTGGAAAAAACAATGAAACAAGAACACCTAACAACACGTTCATGATGCAGTCTAGGGAAGTAGCTGAGAAAGGTACGTGGAGAGAAAGTTCCCATGTTTGGCTTTTTGTCAATTAAACAGTATTTACTAAAATTTATTAAATAACTTGTATATGGTACAATATTAGTCTATCAGAAAAGGGTAAACGGACACAGAATAGTCATTTTTTGTAGAGACACAGTCTCCCTATATTGCCCAGGCTGGTGTTAAACTCCTGGGCTCAAGCGATCCTCCCACCAGCCTTCCAAAGTGCTGGGATTGCAGGCACGTGAGCCACCTCGCCCAGGCCGGAAGAGTAATTGTAACCTACGTATATTTCTTGTAGAGACCAGGATCAGGCTTTAATTTTAAATTGTGTGGTAATGGCAAACTACTACAGCTGTCAATGTTTCCAACATGATCTTATTCAACTCAGTGACCCAATGAAGGAAACAGTTCTAGTGCCAAGATGGTTGATTTGTGAGAGGAGCTTTTTGAAGTGTTTATATTACAAGTTCAAAACAAGTCACTTTGCCACTTTTATTTTGCAGTGCCAGGCCAATAAATGGGGGAATGTTGTTCTTCTAACTAACGTGGCAGTGAGAACTCTGCTTTTCCAAATTTTATCTCTGAATATAGTTTTTTACAGAGATGTGGGGAGGAGTAAACTTTATACAATGAATTTCCGTGGTGGAACAGCGGTCCCCAACCTTTGTGGTGCCAGGGACTGGTTTCATGGAAGACAATTTGTGGAAGACAGTTTTTCCTCGGATGGGAGTTGAGGGCATGGTTTCAGGATGAAACTGTTCCACCTCAGATCATCAGGCATTAGATTCTTATAAGGAGCGCCCAGCCTTCGATCCCTTGAATGAGCAGTTCACAGTAGGGTTTGTGCTCCTGAGACCCTAATGCCGCCTCTGATCTGACAGGCGATGATGCTCAGGCAGTAATGCTTACTCAACAGCCCATCACCTCTTGCTGTGCAGCCAGTTTGCTAACAAGCCACAGACCAGTACCAGTCTGTGGCTTGGGGTTTGGGGACCCTTGCTGCAGAACATGAAACTTGGCTTAAGCAATTTCCATGGTCATTAGTGGAATGAATATCTTCCATATCTGCCACTGGAAAGTCTATCACTTTTTCTAAGTCTTGGTCACAAATATGCCAATTTACAATTAAGGGTTACTACTTTCCTTATTGTGTAATTTTTTAAAAATCAGCAAAGAAACATCTTAAACTGCACTTTAGCATAGCTTCAGTCCCCTAAAGGTTATTTCGTTCCCCCAAACTACAAAGCACATATTGTTTTAGTCAAATGTAAGGGTATGTTTGAATACTAAAATGCTATCGACATACGACAAATAACCCTACTCATGTTGCTTAAGTGTACTTAAAGTTTCTCATCTTACACAAACTTTGTTGGTATATGGCTAATTCTGCATCTAGAATAATGCATGATCTCATTCTTTCAAGCTGAATTTCTTTTAAAGCTTTTTCACTAAAAGCTGTATACACACGTCTTTACTTCTGGGAAGGAAGCTCACAGAAATTAAACTTTAAAAATATTTCTACTATGGCCGGATGCAGTGGCTCACACCTGTAATCCCAGCACTTTGGGAGGCCGAAGTGAGTGGATCACGAGGTCAGAAGTTCAAGACCAGCCTGGCCAAGATGGTGAAACCCCAATCTCTACTAAAAATACAAAAATTAGCTGGACGTGGTGGCGCATATCTGTAATCCCAGCTACTTGGGAGGCTGAGGCAGGAGAATCACTTGAACCCAGGGGGCGGAGGTTGCAGTGAGCTGAGATCATGCCATTGCACTCCAGCGAAACTCCATCTTAAAAAAAAAAAAAAAAAATATATATATATATATATATTCATTCATTCCTACTAATGAAGTTAAAATTCATTGTCAAAGTGAAATATCAATAAATTTTGTTATATTAGTTCAGAAACCACAATAGTGTTAATTTTCATAGTGGTTTCAACATAACCACTCTTGAGATCTAAACAGCATCCCAAAAGTGATGAAAACACAGACCAGTTGGGACTCCAACCTGCAGCGGTCCTGTTCCCCCTCGGTGGACGCACACACTTCCACAATAGCTGTTTGTACTGGAGTGGGAAAAGAAGGCAGTGAAGAGCGTGCCACCGTCAAGGCGGCATGCAGGGCTCAGACTAAGCAGTTAGGCACAGATATGGGTTAAATACAGAAAACTTCCAAGCCAGTAGGTAGGAGACTGCGCCAGGTCTCCTGAGCAACTCCTCCTCACATCTCCCAACCATTCTCAGGCCCACCCCCCAAAAAAATACAAAACACATAATGACCCTGATAGGGGCCTCTTGAATCTTGTCTTCTGCATTTGTGGCATTTGTTCCATTTTGTCGCAGCCCATGCCATTATCAGCTGGGAAAACTTCTGAACCCCACTCTTGATGCTAGGTTCCCATGAGGCAGGTGCTATTAGAAATAGTTTACAGACAAGGAAAATAAGACCCCAGAAAGGTTAGTGATTTCTGTAAGGTCATATGCTATTAAGTAACAAAGCTGGGAGGCAAAGCCAGGTCAGACTTCCAAACCCATGCTTTCTTCCACTTTCATCCTTCTAAATATCTCCTTAAAAGGAAGCTATGAATTTGGCAAGTAGTGGACATAAAGAGATGCTCTTAGGATGCAATATGACGTAAGATCATTTGAAACACCAAAAACATGGCTAATATTAGTAACAAATCAGCCATGCTCATTCTTTGGATCAGGTAATTTTAGTATCTGAGTTTGATGTCTGTCATATAATGGAAATAAGACCTTAGTACCCCTGTGACATACCACACACCCAATCAAGAACAGGTGGGATGCTGGTCATGCACATATACTGTTTGGCCCAAGGCATATAGTTTTGGGAACAATCTAAGGTCCTTCAGGTGAAAATGGATCACACAGAGAATCTTAAACATAATTACATACAGCAATTTTAAACCCCAGTAGAGTCACTTGATGCAATCAGAAGTACCCATTTGTGATCTTGGTGGTAGAACACCACACATACGTAATTTATCAGATTTAGAAGACTTCGAGATACAATGTTCAGGGGCTATATATTGGTGAATTGGTAATTAGTGAAATCTCTCCAAAGTTCCAGGGCTTCCTTTAGAGGAGTTACTGACTTACTAGAGTCAGTTTTAAACTTTTTTTTGGCGGGGGGGATGGAGTTTTGCTCTTGTTGCCCAGGCTGGAGTGCAATGGTACAATCTCGGCTCACCGTAACCTCTGCCTCCTGGGTTCAAGCGTTTCTCCTGCCTCAGCCTCCTGAGTAGCTGGGACTACAGGCATGTGCCACCACACCTGGCTAATTTTGTATTTTTAGTAGAGACAGGGTTTCTGCATGGTGGTCAGGCTGGTCTGAAACTCCTGACCTCTGGTGATCCACCCGCCTCAGCCTCCCAAAGTGCTGGGATTACAGGCATGAGCCACTGCACCCAGCATTTAAAAAAAAAAAAAAAAGAGCAACTGGTACCACTGCGGGGAGAGGAACCAGGAGTACTTTCTGTGCCTGTGACAGTGGGCAGAGGAAGACCTCCATGAGGTGCTTTCTGTAAGACAGGTAGAATGGGGTGGGGTAGCTCATCGATGGACCTGATCTTTGACTTAAAAAGGCAAGGGAAAAAGATGTAAGAACAGAAAAAGGTGCAGCCCACTCTCCCTCTTACCTAGAATGGGTCTGTGGCAGGGCTCTGCTCTCTAGTGACTCACAGCCAACAAGACTCAGCTCAGATGGCATTCTTCATCTAACACTTGAAAAATTCTTAGGTCAGGCGTGATGTGGGTCACATCTGTAATTCTAGCACTTTGGGAGACTGAAGTGGGTGGATCACTTGGCCCAGTTCGAGACCAGCCTGGACAACATGGTGAGCCCCTGCAAAAAATACAAAAAAAGTAGCCGGGTATGGTGGCATGCACCTGTAGCCCCAGCTACTTGAGAGGCTGAGGTGGGAGGATTGCTTGAGCCCGGGAGGTCAAGGCTGCAGTGAGCTGAGGCTGCACCACTGCACTCCAGCCTGAGTGACCCTGTTTCAGAGAGGGGTGTTTCAAAAAAACAGGGTTTCAGAGAGACCCTGTTTCAAAAAAAAAAAAAAAAAAAATCTTTAGATTTGCTTTTAAAAAGATGACAATAATGTCTGTAGCTATTTGGCTGTCACCTTTGAAGAGTCATGATGAGATTTAACTCACTACGCCATGTTTACTATATACCAAGATGTTAACATAGTTAAAAACCTTGCTCCACGACTCCAAAAGCTGTGCTTACCAGTTATGTGGCTTTACCAAGTTATTCCCCCACTCCAAATCTGTTTCCTCCTTTGTAGAACACGGATACTGTCATCTGTCCTACCTCAATCAGTTGTTACTAGCAAGGAAACTGTGGAAAATATGACAGATATCTGTGATGAAACAGCATCAATAGGGCATGATCCTTTTGGCAATTAGTTCACACACACAGCTACTACTTTTTGTTTCAAATTGCTACATTTCCTCACCTTCCATTTCCAGACAATCTAATCATCACTTGTTTGAAACCTGAGTCAAGCACTGTGAAAGTGTTTCTTAAAATAATTAAAATTACCACAGGAAGCAAAGCAGACTGAATTTTATAAATAGGGCTAATAGAATAATCTTTTGAGTTTTAAAAAGGGATGATGACAATAGCAGCTTATTATATACAGTACCTACTTATGAGCTGGGCATATAAGTAAAGGTTGAGTGCGTTACATATGTGAATTCACTTATTCATTCCTTGCAGCCACTCTGCATGATGGGTAGTTGTACCCTAATTTTCAGATGAGGAACCAGAAACACAGGTAGTAAATGTTAGTCAACATTTTAATCCAAAAACTCTGGTTCAAAAAAATTGATATCTTAACCTATTTTATTGCCCTTCTTAAAACAGTCATATGGGCCAGGCACTGTGGCTCACACCTGTAATCCCAGCACTTTACGAGGCCCAGGCAGGTAGATCGCCTGAGCCCAGGAGTTCGAGATCAGCCTGTGCAACATGGTGAAACCCCGTCTCTACAAAAAGTACAAAAGTAGCTGGGCGTGGTGGCATACGCCTGTAGTCCCAGCTTGAGCCCGGGAGGCAGAGGTTGCAGTGAGCTGAGATCACACCACTGCACTCCAGCCTGGGTGACAGAGTGAAACCCCGTCTCAAACAAAAACAAAACCAGTCATATGTGTGTAGATAATCCACATCTCTATTACTTTAGACAAATGAAGATTTCCAGGTGAAAGCCATGCATTTTTGTCCTAACTATAAGTAACTCTTCTACCCCATTCTCTGGCTCTCTGCAAATAACTTTAAAAGTTGATTTAAACACATTTACTCAAATCTTTCCTTTTCAAAAATTATAGAATTCCCAGAGGGGGCGGGGTGGGGGAGGAATCCTCAAAAAAGAGAAATGAAGGGAAAGTAGGGGAAGGTAAATGGAGATGTTTATGTTGTAGGAAATACATCTAATTTAAATTGAAAAACAAGTTATATAAATTCTAAAACTGCCGAAGAATGAACTGAAACACAGGAACTAGAATTCCAATTTAATTCTAAAACTAGCTGCTAAAAGCACTTATTTATTTATTTTTGAGATGGAGTCTCACCCTGTCGCCCAGGCTGGAGTGCAGAGGTATGATCTCAGCTCACTGCAACCTGCGCCTCTGGGGTTCAAGTGACTATCCTGCCTCAGCCTCCTGAGTAGCTGAGATTACAGGTATGCACCACCATGCCCAGCTAATTTTTTTGTACTTTTAGTAGAGATGGGGTTTCACCATGTTGGTCAGGCTGGTGGTCTCCAACTCCTGACCTCAAATGATTTACCTGCCTTGGCCTCCCAAAGAGCTGGGATTACAGGTATGAGCCATCACTGCCAGCCTAAAAGCACTTTTTGAATTAGATTAAATCTTCAGAACATTGAAATTTAGTATATGTAGATGAAAAATCATCAGTTAACAGGTCAAAACTTAAGGCAGAATTAAAGAAAGACCTGTCAATGGGCTTTTAAATGTGTAAGTAAGGTTATAACATTCACACAAAAATCAAACAGCAATGTAATTAAATTTTAAGAGTAAATTAATCTAGGTGAACTGTACTATACAACTAAAACACAGCTAATAGCATGAGGGCAATCAACATTACTGCATTTAATAAGTAATGATGAACAGCAAAACAACACACAATATACTCTTTAAATGTTTCACTGAAGCTCTTCACCATTTTGACTTCATGTAATGAGGTGTTTGTTCACATTTTATATGCCATTTAAACTGACAGAGTTGTTTTAGAAGGAGATGGTAGTGAGTGTTTAAAAAAAAAAAAAAGATTGAGTCTTTATTTTTGAAAAACCACCAAGTATCTCCAACTCCCAACTTACAAATTAGGGTGGTTTCTACACTTACTTCCTCTCAACATGCACACACTAAAGCAAATTCAAATCAAAGAAAGATTTTAAAATCATATGCAAAAACTGTTGATTTTACCCTACATCAGTGCTGACTCTTAATAAAAGAGAGGCCTTGGCTATCATCTTAGGGATGCAGGACATGCTTTAATTCTGAGGACAGACACCAGGAGACCAGAAAACAATAAAACCCTAAAAAAAACAGTGTCAAAGACTGTCAGAGTGACCTTGAAATCATTTAGCAATAGATACCAACTTTCCATGTGAGGGTAAAAGTAAGTTATTCAATGTGGCTAAATTAGCCATCTTGGTTAGCCATCTTGGACCTGCTGGGTCACTGGCATGTTATTCAAAATCTATAACATTTCTTTGGGAAACTTTTAGAAGGAAAATATGGGTCTATAAGTTGATTCATCTCCTACACATCTTTGATTTTAAAATGATGACCTAAACCCAGGTCAGGAAAGCAACTTCATTTCATGGCTTGTTTTTCCCCTTTTCTGCGTTCTGCCACTAGCAGTCGCTCTCATTCATTTGAAAGTAAAATGGTAAAGCAGTGATCTCTAGGTCTATACTACTTAACTTACTGAACCTCAAAGTTAGATTTACACATTCACTTCGTATCTCCCCAAAATTTTAAGCACAACAGGCATTTCCTTTTAGTTCAGGAATTTAAATGTTACTTTATGAACATAGGACTTTATCATTCATAAAGACGAAAACTCTAACAACAAAACTGAAAACTTGCAGGCAGCACGTAAAGCACTCAATCAATGCTAAGATTTCATTACCATGTAGTATTTTTTTTTTAATAGGATTTCTCTGTGCTCTACAGAGGAATGGGTATAGCCAGCCCCTTAAACCACTCTTGATGGTTCTAAGTGTTACTTACCCAGGAGTTGCCTTGATAATGGTTATTAGGTTTAACTTTAACAGCTTGAAACAATTTACACTTGTCTTGAAGTATACTTAAGGAATTTATTCAGCTGATTTTTAAGTGAAGGAGCTCAGTTAGTCAATATCCTACCATCTTGAAAGCTCCCTTCCAATGTAATTTTCATAGTCTTTACATTTTAACTGTCATTGTTTATTACTGTTTTGGCTATACTCTCTACAATTTCAGCAGCATTTTAAAGAGACAATGTGTCTATGTACAATGAAAAAACAAAATGGCTTGCAACATCAGAAATACAGTTTAACTGTACAATATTAAAGAGAATCCGTGGTACGTATAACCTTTTTCTGCAACATGAACAACTTACATGTAAGTATCAGCATTATGAATGTGACAATAAAGAAAAAGTCCTTACAGGAGTGAAATACAGCATCCTGAAAAATATTGGTTTCTACCCTACGAGGCAGTTAGAAAACGTTCACATTTTAACAAATCTGTACAAACCACAAGAAATTTGCTTATGGGACCATCTTGCTGATAAGAACTTTCTAGAAATGTAGAATAACCATGAACAAATTAAAAATCTAGTATCTATGTGTTCTACAGCCCTAGAACCCAATAAACTGATTTAAAAACTCAATTATGTCCAACATGGATCACTTTTACATCTTGATTGTTAATGACTGTCTGCTTTTTAATATCTATGATGTACAGTCAACTTGCACCTTCTAGGTCATTTAATTTTTTAGCAAAGAAGCAACATCATTTAGCAGCAATTAGAGTGCCTTCAAGAAGACTTAAAAAAAATACAATATCCAATTAGAAAAGCCATATTTTAAACATTTGTACAAGAATAAGCTGCTGAAACTTAGTAATTGAAATATGACATCTGTACAACAATTTACAATAGAGCTAGAAGGGAATTTATCATTATCCTGCATAGAACTGGTCTGCATTTGGTTACTCACTGTCACCTGTTTTGATGAACAAGGCCTGGTAACAAAAGAAAAATACCTGTTATCAATTCTAACGTGTTGAAAACACTGGCAATATTATAATTTAGTGAATTCAACTGATTTCAACACAAGCAGCTCATTTTGTCAAAGGTGTAAAGTATTTAGAAATAATAGCTCTCCCTTTAATATAACCAGTGAAAGAAAACGGACATGTGATCTCGAGGTACAACTTGGTAAAAGTCTGAATAGGCAAATGACAAAGCCTAACTTTGTCCAAAGATTCTAACTCTCACATTCTATTACTATAAAACACAACTGTCACTGTCATTCAGTTCTTACTTTGGTTTCAGCAGATTAACTGCCAAATGCTGAAGAATGTATCCAGGCACTATAGTTCGTATGTTAGAAATATGTCTCATATTTTTCCATGTGTTTTTAAATAATGAAAAACTACCCTTCATATTAGAACTCTCTAGTAACAACCAAATGTATTTAAGTATTATAAACGTTATTTACAGTGTTCCCCCAAATAAACAAAATTTTTTTCCTCTATCTTAACATGGTATTCCTGTTTCTGTGTAACAGGCAGTCATCCTTCCTTCACTGCTCAAAATTATAGTCAGAAGTGTGCATTTATTCATTGTCCATGATCCTCTCTCATACAAATGACACTATGAGGAACTTCAGTTCACAAACAGTTCTTAACCACGTCTTGTGTAAAAAAAAAAAAAAAAAAAAAAGAAAAAGAAAACAAACACTCAAATGCTCTCAAACTTAAGTGTGCATCTGGAAGCAAATTCAAAGATATCATGCCAATCTTGGAGGAAAGTCAGTAAGTAATTATGCTTGAAGAAGGGGGTGTAGGGGATGCTGTCAGCCCAGCCATGTGTAGGTTTCCTGAAGAATTTGATCTTCTCATGTGTGGGAGAAGGTATGGGTCATTTGCCAGCTGGTGCACATCAAATCGATCTTCTTTTCGATATGCCAAACAGCGTCTTATAAATGCCTCAAAAAGAGAAAGGAAATGTTAGCAATTAATGATCTTTTTCCCTTCTAAATATCAATCAACTGAATCAGCAGAAGGATGGACACATTTAAGACATAAGTAGATCTCATTTTATTGGAAGTTCAAACCTTAAAAAAAAAATTCTGTAGCTAGAAAATTCTCACTCCAAATGCAACTCACTGCTTGAAGCCCCTGCAGTGGTTCACTTTACAGTCTAAATTACTACTGCAACCATTTGAACTTATACTGGAAAGTTGTTTCTGCTTACGAAATTCTGAAGACTTTTTTCTAGCATTTTTCTTCTGCTAAACAGTCCTCCCACCCTCATCCCATTTTGTTATCACTTCAGTTTAGCAAAGGGTAAGATGCCATTTTCAACCATTATTTTTTTTTCCTACTGACATAAAGACTTTCTTTAGATGAAGAGATCACTGAAGGGACACTTTCATTAGGGACATTGTTTCCCAGGTTAACCCTATGCATCATTACACTCCTGGAAAAGCTAAATAAACAGAATATAATCACTATTTTTTTTTTCTCAAACCAATTTTACTCAGTTTTTCTTTGAGAATAGCCTCTTACAAAAAAAAAAAAAACCTTTCCTGAAGTGTAACACATTTTTAGAAATGCACACAAATCGTTAAGTGCATAGCACAAAGTAAATACATCTATGTAACTGGCAACCAGATCAAGAAAAAGAACCTCTGAATCCCCCTCATGCCCAGTTCCAGGCACTGGCTCTGTCCCCAGTCGAACCTGGGTTAACCTTTATCTTGACTTCTAAAACCATAGTTGAGTTTTGATTGTTTGAATTTTATATAAATAGAATTATAAATTATGTTCTCCTTTGCCAGGCCTCTTTCACCCAATATTAAATTTTGAGGTTCATCCTTTTTTGGGGGGGGAGGGAACAGATAAAATATTCTCAGGAGGTAACTGGTAATTGTTTCCCTTTCTTAATGCTGACACTAGAAATTAATACATACCATTAAACAGAAGTATAATCACATTAAAAGGTAACTATTTTGCACTTTCTTTGCTTTGAAATTCATTAGAAGTATATTTTTCTCTAAAAATATACCTAGCTATTCTCATTTTACCATAGCTTACTGTTTATTGGAAGTCAATCTGATCCCTTAGAGGACTTATCTTTTTTATCTTTAACAAAGTTTCAGAGATCACTTTGAAAAATGATTAAGAGGGAAAAAAACATCAAGACTGATATGTTAGAGTTTGAGGAGTGGAAAGGCTATCAATAGCAAGGTTAAGGTTAAGTCTGCAACAAATAATGTACTTAAAGATGCCCACACCAAGTCAGGGAAAGTACTTGGCAAAGGTATCTTCTGTAGGGATACAGAATATAGAGATATTATATATTACATTAAAATATTAAAATTTATATCATATAATTGTATCATATTAATATTATATCCCCCCAACAACCCCTTAACCCTTCCTGGATTCCAGATCTCTAAAAGGTGACTGTGGTGCCTATTAAGAGCCTAAGGAGAGAACCAGGAATGGCTAAATGAGACTTTGCCTTTGGCAACTCCACTCCTCCTGGTCTTTTCAGTCAGTATTAAACAAACAGATCATGAATCAACTAAATTCATTTAATTTCTGTTCTCAATGAGGCTACAGACAGAAAATAAGACAAGATTTAGATGTCAGCACAGTTAAAATATTTTTAAAGGAGTCATATTTATCTTACAAAAATAATTCATTTTGCTTTCAAATAAGAATATTTATCTCTTTTGTTTTTTTGAGAATGGGTCTTGCTATGTCGCCCATGCAGGAGTGCAGTGGTGCGATCTCACCTCACTGCAACCTCTACCTCTTGGTCTCAAGCGATCCTCCCAGCTCAGCATCCTGAGAAGCTGAAACTAAAGGCACGGGCCCCTACACCGGGCTAATTTTTGTATTTTTAGTAGAGATGGGGTTTCACCATGTTGCCCAGGCTGGTCTCGAACTCCTGGGCTCAGGCAATCTGCCTGCCTGGGCCTCCCAAATTGCTGGATTACAGGTGTGAGCCACCGCGCATGGCCTATTTGGTTTTTTTGAGACAGGGTGTCACTCTGTCCCCCAGGTTTGAGTGCAGCGGTATCGTCATGGCTCACTGCAGCCTTGACCTCCCTGAGCTCAGGTGATCCTCCCACCTCAGACTCCCAAGCAACTGAGACTCTAGATGTGTGCCACCACGCCTGGCTAATTTTTGTATTTTTAGTAGAGACCGGGTTTCACCATGTTGGTCAGGCTGGTCTCAAACTCCTGACCTCAGATGATCTGCCCGCCTTGGCCTCCCAAAGTGCTGGGATTACAGGTGTGAGCCACCACGCCCAGCCTTATTATTACTTTTAATATTTCTTATATACTTATATATCTCAGTATTAACATAAGCAGATAAAATAATACATAAAAGGTAATGATGAGCCCAGATCTTGTGATTTTTCCCTAATTTTCAAAGTAGCAGCTGATGAACATAAACAATCAGAGACCATAGCTTAAAAGATAAAAACTATAGCAACCAGAGGCTGATGCAACTCCTTCTCTGAAAGTAAATCACCAGCCCCTGCTGGACAGATCCCCTGCAGCAGCGAGTCTTGTGACTTTACTTACTGGAAAGTACTTACCTTGTTGTCAGCACAACTGATGAAAGAAAAGTTACTTCACAAAACTCATTTACAAAAATTTAATACCTTGGCTTCACTGCTTACAACCGGTTTTACAGGGAACTGGACTTCTGTGGCTTTTAATATTGTATTTTCTTGAAGAATGTCTTGTTGAGATTGATTGTGACCAAATGGCTTAAAAAAAAAATTAAATGTTGAGATACTTTTCTCACAAAATATTTAAACACAGATATCATTTCTGTTTAAGCGAATTCCCAAAACCGAAAATCCAAATATCTTGTGTTCTAAAATCTTCCTCAGTTATTTGAAACCTGAGATGAATTCTCATACAAACAAGCTATAATTGATAGCAGGCCAAGAAAGCCTACCTAACAGATCTTCAACATAGATTAAACACTGTAAGAAGAAGAAAATAATGCTGTTGCAATATAAGATAAAAACATAAATTTAAAACTTTATTCTGAATAAACAATGAAGTTCAGTTAGAGAAGAGATGAAGTAGTAATGAAAATGTCTATGACAATTTCCAAAGAATAAAATACTGTGTGCATCACAGGCGAATTTAAATGAAGGAGCTCTGGATTTGGAGTGAGGAGATCCCACACAAATCCCTTAACCTCTCTTCCCCTATTGATGAAGGGATGGGGTGGGATGTGGGCTAGTTAATATTTATGGTAACCTGCACTTCCAACTTCAATATAAAAAGAAGTTGGGAAATAAGACTAAGTTTGATGGTATTTCCCTGATGAGCAACGGGGAAACTGCCCACCCAGGCCAAACTGTGTGTGTGGGTGGGGTGGGGGGTGTAAGAGGAGGTCAAGTGAATGGTGGATAATGAAAAGTATTGACTCCAGTATTCCCAATAGCAGACAAATATTAGCATGTTAACAGATAGTTACTTCTTTTCTTAAAAAAAGGAAAGAAAGCAAAAAGTAGGTCAAGTAAACTGGTGTGACATTAAAATAATTCTGATCCATGGAAATTTTAGGAAGAAATAGAGGAGAAGCCTGGCTTTCTTTAGAAGGATCTAAATTGACTTTAAGTTAGTGAAATTTTGCTTTTAAGAAGGAAAAATTCAACTTAATTTATCTCTGTAGAGCTGAAGGCTGGTAGAATTCAATTTACCTTTCTACCATAAAGACACTGAAAGAAGATGACTCCAACCGACCATACATCAACCTTGTTGGAAATCTTTGGTGGCTCTTTTCCAACTACAAAACACTCAGGAGGTAAATACCTGTAAGTTTTGTGGGAGAGAAAAAAGGTTACTACTGACAATCTGTAACTTAAAATCTTCTAAGTGTAAAATCTTAGAACACGAATTTTATTCATATATAAACTCTAGGACTCCCATCAGTGAAAATCATCAACTGAACTTCTGGAGCATTTACATTCTTTTATCATTTAACTCTAGAGCCAACACATACAACATTGTGATAAAGTTCATCTCTATCTATCTTTATCTATCTATCTATCTATCTATCTATCTATCTATCTATCTATCTACCTACCTACCTACCTACCACCTACCTACCTACCGAAACAAAAACTTAAAGAGATTACAATGGTCTTATTTGCAGTATCTAATAATAGTAGAAGAAACCCTCTCCCATCCTCCTTAACCACTGTTCAAACTGTAGGCACTTCTCTCCCTAAAATATACACCTGATCACATGGTTCTTTTGTTCAAACAACTTCGACAGCACTTACTGCCAACAAGACCTTGTATCTCTTGTTTGTAACACAAGACTCATGCTAATCTGGCAACAACATACATTTTCAAAATCTGCACACACTATCTTCCCCCACCCTAACCCGCCAAATTGGCTAGTCAAAACCAATTCACTTGCATCTCCACTCGGCTCTCCTTTATCCTCTGAGCTCTTGAATATGACAATCACTACTGCCTTCCCTAATCACTCCAATTACTTAGCATCTTTTCTTCTTCAAGACCCACCCAACCCCCATAAGCCATCTTTTGCTTCTCCCCAGGTGGCTCTGCTTTTCTCTGTGTTACTGCAGAATGGTGCAATGCCTCTATTATGGCATTAAACTACAATCACACCAGACCGTGAGCAGCTCAAGGAACTCTTATTCACTGTGCAGTTTCAAGCACTAGCAGTGTCTGAAACACAATGGGTATTCAAAATTACTATTTTAAAAATATGTAAGTCCTATTTATAAGTTCATAATTTTTTTTGATACAGGGTCCAACTCTGTCACCCAGGCTGGAGTACAGTGGTACGATCATAGCTCACTGCAGCCTCACACTCCTGGGCTCATGTGACCCTCGCACCTTAGCCTCCCAAATAGATGGGACTACAGACGTGCACCAGCACACCCAGCTAATACTTTCTTCTTTGTAGTGATAGTCTTGTGCTGTTGACCAAGCTGGTCTCGAACTACTGGCCTTACGTGATCCTCCCACCTTGGCCTCGCAAAGTGCTAGGATTACAGGCATGAGCCACCACACTAAGCCAGTTCATAATTTTTAATAGATGAAGGGTAAAAATCAATTTGTCATCTCCAGTTATAAGTAAAAGATCCATCACAAGGATGCAAGCATCTCACACCTCAAAAATTTAGATAAACTTAAAATTATCAAAACAAATAATGCTGCTCAATGGGAATTTACTATTTTTTTTAAAAAATGCAGTTTTGTATTCACTATGCTAAAATCATTAAGATTTCAGCAAGATGTTGACAGATCTCTTAAAATACACATGAAACTTCCGTGAAGTAAAACCAGCAAAGATAACCAATAACTCATTTGTAATGCAGTAAAAAGCTGGATTTATTTTGTCAATAAAAGTGTGTATTTTACGCAGGTGTCTATGTGTGTAACTGAAACAGGAATAGCTTGTAAAGATTAAGCTATACTCTCTCCAGGCACAAGGTGTATGTATGCAAGGAGAGCAACCACAGAAATTGACGTCAAAGTAACTTGGGAAAAGATGTCCACCAGGATTTAGTGAATTTGAGACCAGAGAGACAAAACTAAATATTTTAAGTTTCTGAGGATGAAAGGTAATTTATAAGAGCAATATTATATGTGTATTCTAAAATATACGAGTATTTATAGTGCTATCCAAATATATCAAATACAGTTGACCCTTGAACAATATAGGGGTTGGAGGCACTGACCCATGCAGTTGAGAATCCATGTATGATTTTTATTTTTATTTTTTTTTGAGACCGGGTCTCACTGTGTTGCCCAGGCTGAGTGCAGTGGTGCGATCACGGCTCACTGCAGCCTCGATCTCCAAGCCTCAAGCGATTCTCCCACTTTAGCCTCCCAATTAGCTGGGACCACAGGCACACACCACCATGCCTGGCTAATTTTTTTAAAAAATTTATACAGACAGGGTCTTGCTATGTTGCCCAGGTTGGTCTTCAATTCCTGGGCTCAAGTGGTCTTCCTGCTGGGATCAGAGGCATGAGTGAGCCCCCATACCTGGCCACATGTCTAACTTTTGACTCTCCCTAAAAAGTTAAAAAGTTAATTACTAGGCTGAGCGTGGTGGCTCATGCCTGTAATCCCAGCACTTTGGGAGGCCGAGACGGGTAGAACAGGAGGTCGGCAGTTTGAGACCAGCCTGGCCAACATGGTGAAACCCTGTCTCTACTAAAAATACAAAAAAATTAGCCAGGCATGGTGGCGGGCACCTGTAATCCCAACTACTTGGGAGGCTGAGGCAGGAGAAATCGCTTGAACCTGGGAGGCAGAGGTTGCAGTGAACCAAGACTGTGCCATTGCACTGCAGCCTGGGTGACAGAGCGAAACTCTGTCAAAAAAAAAAAAAAAAAAAAAAAGTTAACTGCTAATAGCCCACTGTTGACTGGAAGTTGACTTACTGATAACATGAACAGTTAATTAATACATATTTTATATGCTGTATTATATACTAAATTCTTATAGTAAGCTAGAAGAAAAAAACTGCTATTAAGAAAAATCGTAAGAGAAAATCACTATTCATTAAGTGAAAGTGGATTATGACAAAAGTTTTCATCCTTGTCATCTTTAGGTTGAGTAGACTGAGGAGGGGTTAGTTTTGCTGTCTCAGGGGTGACGGGGGAAGAGATGAAAGGGGAGGCAGACACACTCAGTGCAACTTTACAGACATAATTTGTTTTGCTTTTTCATATAGTATCAATCCTTCTTCCACCACTTGCTTTAGTTTCAGTGCCTGTATTATAGAAGGGTCCATGTCATAAAAGTCAAAAGCAATGTCTTGACTAATAGAAACCCTTCTGCCAGGCTGTCTAATGTCAACCTGTTTTCTGGCAGTGCCTCTTCTACTACTACTTTCTCATCTGGCACCAGTTTGGAAGCACTCATCTCCATCAAGTCACCTTAATTCCTCTGGAGGGGTGTCTTTTAGCTCTTGAATTTCTCCAAGATCCATATCTTGAAACCCTTCACCCCACCTTCTTTGCCATATCCACAGTCTCTTTCATGATTTCCTTGACTGCCTCTGTCATAAATCCTGCAAAGTCATATGCAACAACTGGACACGGTTTTCTCTTGCAGCAATGTACTCTTTCAGGCTTGATGGCTTTCATGGCTTTTTCTAAAACAATGATGACATCTTCAGTGGTGTAATCCTTCCAGACTTTCATGATGTTCTGTCTACTGGTGTCCTCTTTAACAGCACTGACAATCCTTTCCATAGAGTATCATGTGTAACGAGCCTTAAAGTTCCTTAAGACCTCTTGATCTAGAGGCTGAATTAGATATTGTTGTGTTTGGGGACTCATGGGCTCCTAGGTGGCCAGGGGCATTGTCCAGTATCAAAAGAACCTTAAAAGGTGATCCCTTATTGGCAAGGTACTTCCTGACTTCAGGGATAAAGCACTGATGGAACCAATCCAAAAAAAGGGTTCCAATTGTCCAGGCCTCCTTGTTGTATAGGCAAAAGACTGGCAGCTGGTATTTATCTTCTCTGTTTGAGGCTCCAGAGTTAGCAGCTTTATAGCTAAGGGCAGTCCTGATCATAAACCCAATTGCATTTGCATAAAACAGTAGAGTTACCCTGTCCCTTCCTACATCAAATCCTGGTGCTCACTTCTCTTCCTTACAAATAAATGTCCTCCGTGGCATTTTTATTTTCCAGAAGAGGGCACTTCTGTCTGCATTAAATTATCTGTTCAGGCAGCTATCCTTTCTCCTCAATTATTTTTTCTTTTTCATTCATTCATTCATTCATGAATGAATGAGACCGAATCTTGCTGTTGCCCAGGCTGGAGTGCAGTGGTGTGATCTCGCTCACTGCAACCTCTGCCTACTGGGTTCAAGCAATTCTCCTGCCTCAGCCTCCATAGTAGCTGAGAATACAGGCATGCACCACCACACCCAGCTAATTTTTGTATTTTTGATAGAGACGGGGTTTCACCGTTGGCCAGGATGGTCTCGATCTCTTGACCTCATGATCCGCCCGCCTGGGCCTCACAAAGTGCTGAGATTACAGGCATGAGCCACCGCGCCTGGCCTCAATTATTTTCTTAATAGCATCTGGGAACTCTTGGTTGGCGGGAGCTGCTTCTCCTGTTATCTTGACATTTTAAAAGCCAACCCTTTTTCTAAAATTATTAAACCATCCTTTACTGGCATGAAATTCTCCAGCTTTAGATCCTTCACCTTCCTTTTGCTTTAAAATGGTCATATCATCTTTTTCTTTTTTTTTACTTTTGAGACAGAGTCTGGCTCTGTCACCCAGGCTGGAGTGCCATGGCACAATCTCAGCTCACTGCAAGCTCCGCCTCCCGGGTTCATGCCATTCTCCTGCCTCAGCCTCCCGAGTAGCTAGGACTACGAGCAGCTGGGACTACAGGCGCCTGCCACCATGCCCGGCTAATTTTTTGTATTTTTAGTAGAGACGGGGTTTCACCGTGTTAGCCAGGATGGTCTCAATCTCCTGACCTCGTGATCCACCTGCCTCGGCCTCCCAAAGTGCTGGGATTATAGGTGTGAGCCACCGCGCCTGGCCTGCTTTTTCTAAAATCACATTACAGTCTGTGGGTATCATGCGCCCAGAAAGCTGCATTTTCTTTGTCCTTTTCTTTTGAGACATGTTCTCACTCTGTTACCCAGGCTGAAGTGCTGTGGTGCAATCTGGGCTTACTGCAATCTCCACATCCCAGGCTCAAGCGATGATCCTCTTGTCTCAGCCTCCTGTGTAGCTGGGATTACAGGTGTGTGCCACCACATTTGGCTAATTTTTGTATTTTTATGCAGAGATGGGGTTTTGCCATGTTGCTCAGGCTGATCTTCATCTCTCAGGCTCAAGTGATCTGATCTGCCTGCCTCAGCCTCCCAAAAGTGCTGGGATTACAGGCATGAGCCACCGTGCACGGCTTCCATTTTCAATTAGAGATAAAAGGGTATTTTGCAAAAAGTACAAGGTTTCGCTGGGCGTGGTGGCTCACGCCTGTAATCCCAGCACTTTGGGAGGCCGAGGCGGGTGGATCATGAGGTCAGGAGATCAAGACCATCCTGGCTAACACGGTGAAACCCCGTCTCTACTAAAAATACAAAAAATTGGCCAGGTGTGGTGGCAGGTACCTGTGGTCCCGGCTGCTCAGGAGGCTGAGGCAGGAAAAGGGTGTGGACCCGGGAGGCGGAGCTTGCAGTGAGCCGAGATCGCACCACTGCACTCCAGCCTGGGCGACAGAGCAAGACTCCGTCTCAAAAAAAAAAAAAAAAAAAAAAAAAAAAAAAAGTACAAGGTTTCTGTTCCTGCTGACATAGCTGCAGTGACAGCTTTACAAATTTCTTTTTTTTAGCAATGATCTTTTTGTTGAATTCATTTATCTTGGAATGGTGGGCAACTGCAGCTGCAGACCTCAATCTATGGTACATATCAAGCAATTCAACTTTTTCTTGTAATGTCATGATTTTTCTCTGCTCCTTGAGAGCACTTCCATCATTACTGGTGTTATTCAAGGTTGACAATATTGCACTAAACATGATGAAAAATATTTGAGAATCACGAGAGATTACTTTTTACTGCGATAGGCCTTTTACTGGAGAGATTAATTGCTCGGAGATTAGCATCACAGTGTTTTAAACAGATACTCAAAACAGTTGAGCTCCTTACAATAGCAACAAGGTGTAGCTACAAAATTATTACAGTACACAGTATGTGGTACAGTTAATTTTATGAAGTTATTATTTAATTCGGCATCTTTACATTTGTTTACGTTTCTCTCAACTGCAAATAGCACCAGGTACAGTCTGTGTTTGTATACGTTTTGATAAATTTTAACTTCTTGTAATAGATTTGTGTACATTTTATGGCAGTAAATGGTAAAACAGACAAGTATCTACATATATTTCACGCCTTCGTGACATACCTTTTTCTTAATTTTTTCAGTATTTTTTTTTTCGAGACGGAGTCTTGCTCTGTCGCCCAGGCAGGAGTGCAGTGGTATGATCTCAGCTCACTGCAACCTCTGCCTCCTGGATTCAAACAATTCCCCTGCCTCAGCCTCCCAAGTAGCTGGGATTCCAGGCATGGCCACCATGCCCAGCTAACTTTTGTACTTTTAGTATTTTTAGCAGAGACGAGGTTTCACCACGTTGGCCAGGCTGGTCTCGAACTCCTGACCTCAAGTGATCCGCCCGCCTCAGCCTCTCAGAATGCTTGGATTACAGGCGTGAGCCACCGTGTCCAGCCAATTTTTTCAATATTTCTAGGCTACATGGTTCGTCAGTGAGATTTTTCAAATTGTTGCAAATCTCCAAAAAATTTTCCAATGTATTTATCGGAAAAAAAAAAGCCACATAAAAGTGGACCCATGCATTTCAAACCTATATTATTCAAGGTCAGCTGTACATAGCTAAACAACTAATATGACTGTAGACATAAACCAATTTTTGGACCACAGATTTCCATGAGAAATACATTCCATGTTCCTATAGAACAATGCCATTATTGTATCTCCTTCCAGTACAGCCCCTGAAACATAAGCTCTTTGTCCCTCGAACATCTGTAAAAGGGAAATTTCCTTGTCCTTCCCTATACTAGTGAAGCCAGAGTGAGAGAGAAACAAATAATGAGAATGTCCTGCAGACGAAGAATAATTTATTGTTTAGAACATGGTTTTCAAGCTATCTTCCATGGAATCTAAGATTCTACCAAGATGCTTTGTTTTTGTTGGTTTTATTAGAATAAGATTTTGTTGTTAAAAAAAAAAATGAGCCTTGTTGCTAAAAGAAAAAAGTCCAAAGACTTTGAGAATATTGACTTTCAGGGGGTTACCAGTTTGAATAGTTTTCTTAAAATATGAAGAAAAAATTCATGACATTATTATCTTATCCATGTTCCTAGGAAATGCCACAAGCCAAATTTAAAATTTGAAAGTGGCTTTAAAAGAATACATGAATATGACTAATCCCTGCTCATTAAAAGTGAAATCTATACAGACAGTGGCATCGTGTGTAAGTGGTTATGATGTGCTCAGTTTGTGTGAATACTGTTCTGGAAAACCTGAAGTCACATTTATGTTTGTAGTCACAATCCTGTTTCAATGAAGTTGAACGCAGTTATCTTTCTTCCATTAAAATGTCACTCTTTATGCTAAACTAATTTTCTCTGAGAACTAAGTTTGTTTTGAAATTTTATAGTTTATGTTCTCCACTTTGGTGAATTTAACAAGTTTGAAAATTCACACTGAAGTAGTTTTTGTGAACACGTAGGTATACTGAGGGGATGACAGTCATTTAGATTTATATCTATGAATCTGTGATTATATCTAAATTTAAATCTAGACATATCAAGTCTTTAAAAGGGATTTCTGAAAGTCAAGTCCAAAGAATATGCCAAATTTATCTCCCATTCACAGCCAACAAAACATCCATCTTCCACAAAAACCACCAGCCAGGTGCAGTGGCTCACGCCTGTAATCCAAGCACTTTGGGAGAGGCAGATCACTTGATACCAGGAGTTCAAGACCAGCCTGGGCAACAAATTAAGACCTGGTCTCTACAAAAAGTTTAGATTAGCTGGGCATAGTGGTGCGTACCTGTGGTCTCAGTTACTCAAGAGTAAGTGGGCAGATCGCTTGAGCCTAGGAGTTTGAGGCTGCAATGAACTAAGATTACACCACTGCACAGGGCAAGACCCTGTCTCAAAATAAAATGAAAATTCCTGCAACCATATAACCTCCACAGAGAGGGCTTGATGCTTGCAGTTTTTGCTTGCAATAGTTAAAATATTATATTAACATAAGTATTTATATTTATGATGAACATCACGCTAACATTGTAGAAGAAAACCCATGAATGAATTCTTCCTGTTAGGAGTTTCTGACTGGCAGGTACTGAAGTCACTTGTTAATGCCAGGTCATTCTCTCTCCAGTATGCTGTTATTTGCAGTTAAGAACAGATGAGAAAAGAGGAATGACCACAGAAGTCTCCCTCTCAACTGAGAGCTTAATATCAGTACCTTTACCACAGTAATCTTAATGGCTACATGGAAATAAAAAAAAAAACACTAAATTATTATAAAAGCACTGGGCACCAATCTAGACATTCTGATGTTTTTAGTAATACACTTACCAGTAAGTGCCTGCCCCCTGGGAAGTTAGATCCATTCCATCTACACCATAGCTATCATCATCCATAATCTTGGACAGACCAAAATCAGTGATTTTGATTTCACCACATGCTGTTCCATCTACCAGTAGGATGTTTCCTAAGAATAAAATATAAGATTCTTTTAATGATACATACATGAAAAACATAACTTTAATAACTTTTAATTTTACTAGTATTTTACTGATGTCTTACAAGAGAAACCAAAAAACATGTTTTCAGATAACTTAATGAATGACTTTTAAAAACTATACTCAAGTTTAAAAAAAATTAGACAAATTTCATAATTACCTGGCTTAAGATCATAATGTATAATAGGGGGTTTGATCTCATTGAGATATCTTAGTGCATTTACAATCTGCATTACAATAGACCGAGCTTCTTTCTCTGACATTAACTTGTGTTGCTTCAGATAGAAATCCAAGTCATTGCCTTCACAGTATTCTAACACTGTACAAAACCTACAACAGAGAAGAGAAAAAAATTAGACATAAGTAATATCCAAGAATTCAGAATCACAATGGGGAAATGGAGAGTATTTATATCATCAACACAGGATGGGGAAAGAGAAAGCAAGCATATCTTTCCTTAAAAATTGAACCTTAATATTCACTTACGTATCTGTATCCAAGGAGAAATAATCATAGAGTTTAACTATTCTGGGGTGATCCAGTTCTTTGTGTATTCTATACTCTCTGCAGGCATGTCTATGAGAAGACAGTGTATTAATTCTCCATGATCATTCAAAAAATATTCAATTTTAAAAAACCATAAAGTATTAGTATTTACTTGTGGTAGTTTTCTTTCTTCTCATCTCTCCAGCTTTTATTAAGCTGATGTATCTTCACAGCAGCATATCTTTGTTCATAAAGGTCAAAAGCCTAGGATTTCAAGTCAAAAACAATTAAGATGAAAGACCAATTGAATAGCTGAAGAGATGTTTTTTATTTTGGTGATAATTTTTGCAATAATATGGAATTAGGACAAACCCTACAATTATTAATGATCTTCTCTGCTAAGACTATATATAGCTCAATGACACTTTTATTATCAGAAGACAGAAATTCCATGGTAATAAATCAGAGAAAACCTTAATGTGAATTTTCACATTAAATTTTATAAATGCCAATATACTGAATAAAAATAAAACAATAAAGCTATTATTTGTTTTTAATATGGACTTATTCCTCTATACTAGTAGTAAGCAGCCAGGAAAACAGATGACTGTACCACTTTTTTTGTAGGTTGGATAAAACCTTTTAAATCTATCTTTTCCTAGCAACCCCCTATTTCTTTCTCACTTTTTAGAAAAATTAAAAAGTTCCTAACAGTTATTTTTCCAACTGTTGAAAAAAACTCGTTATTATAAAACTGTTCAAACATATACACAAGTAGACTACTATAATGTGCCCTTATGCCCCTACCATCCAGTTTCAAAAATTACCAATATGTTGCCATTCTTGTTTCATCTATTCCCTAGTACCCTTGCATCCCACCCTTCCCAACCAGAGTATTATTAAAACAAATACATTATTTCTCCCAGTAAACACATCAGTATTTAAATAAAAATAACCACATACCATTATCACACCTAACTACATCAGTAATAATTCCTTCATCTCATCTAATACCTAACCTGTCTTCAATTTTCCCTGGTTGTCTCAAAAAGAATTTATACTTGATTTGTTCAAATCACCAGCCTATTTCTTAAATTAAAAACACAGAATGATCAGTATTTTAACAGCTTTACATGACTTATGTTTTTTTAAAAAGCAATGAATACCATTAAAGAGACATTTAATAATTTTGGTTCCATTGTGATTTACACACAAAGGTGCCCCTTTCACTTAAAAGCTTACGTATTTATTAGAAAGAAGGTCCCCATTTCCTCCCATCAATTTAACCTAAAAATAAGCAGGAAGGGATAAGCAGTAAAGTGACTACTTTGGTACAAAACTATAAAAGTATGAGATCAGATATAATATAGCACACAGTTGTTAAGAATATTCTGTTTGCAATCAGATTAGCTTATTAGCTGAGTGACTCTGTGCTAATACCCTCTCTGAGCCCCAAAAGTTAGGGTTATTGAGAGGATTAAATGGGGGTAAAACATATGAGGTGTTTAGAATAATACATGGTACGGCCAAGAAACATTAGCTAATTACATATTATTATTAAGGGTTAAGTGTAAAGAAACTGAGAAGAATAAAAATAAAGTAAGTTTATATAAGGGACAAGGCGGAACAAATCTATAAAGAATTCAAGGCAATCATAGTAAAGGATAATTGAAGAAAAAACTAAGCAAGCAATAAAAAGTTATTATCAGAGTATACTGATTATAATAAATTATATGTAACACATCTTCCTCCCAAAATTTCAGGTGAGTAGAAGTATACCTTTCCATAAGGTTAATATGGCAATCACTCAGCAACTGACTCAACATCTCCCATCCTGGTATAAAATACAACTCTTTACTTCTTGACTTACAATCTGCTTTTTGTCTAGTTGTTTCCCAACAGAACTGGCAATCATGAAAGGGCTTTAAAGGGCTTAGAGAATGATGTCACTAGTATTTAGGTCAGTATAGAAAGTTCAAGTCACTGGGCCCCAATCTGCACTTTCTAATCTCTATGTAAGCCTCTTCTACAAAAGTCCTCACCTATGAGGGTAAAATAGTTATTTAAAATACAACCAGGCAGTAGCAGAGGGTTGTTATGAAGGCTCATGGTAAGTTCATAAGCTCAACAACTTTTAGGCCACGCTAATGCTAACTGCACTTTTAGTGACTTTTAGATCCCAGCTGAACTATCATGATAATCTTTTCTACCTTATGGTAAGCCTACTTCACCCATTAAGTGCTTAAGGATAAACTATTATTAGAATCAGAGAAACAGGAATTGGAAGAGAGCCCAAAGATCACTTTTGATGAATGAGGAAGGTGAGGACCCTGACGTGTAATGCTTATCTAAGTTAACAAAAAATAGTGCATGGTTGAACTGATACCAGAACTGAAGTTCTCTTAACTCAAATCCCATAATTTTTCCAAGTCAGAAGCAGAAACGAGAAGGGTGTAGTCTTTGTCCCATGCAACAGTCAGGATTTCTTTTCCTTTTTTTTTTTTTTTTTTTTTTTTTTTTGAGAGAAAATGTCTCCCTCTGTCCCCCAGGGTGGAGTGCAGTAGCACAATCTTGGCTCACTGCAACCTCCCACCACCAAGGTTCAAGCGATTATCATGCCTCAGCCTCCGAGTAGCTGGAACTACAGGCATGTGCCATCATGCCTAGCTAATTTTTTTCTTGTATTTTTAGTAGAAACGGGTTCGCCATGTTGCCCAGACTGGTCTTGAACTCCTGAGTTCAGGCAATCTGCCTGCCTTGGCCCCACCAAGTGCTAGGATTACAGGTGTGAGCCATGGCCAACAAGCAGGATTTCTAATAATCTTATCAGCTTATCTCAGCACCTATGTTCTATATGATTTACATGTGATAACTCAGTTAATCACTGCAACAACCCTATAATGTAGGTATTGTTATTATTCTCAGAAGGAGCCAATGAGTCAGACAGGGATTTAAATAAGAAGCCCAAATTAATAAAATTAGTAAATAGCAGTCAGGATTTAAACCTAGCTGTCTGGCTTCAGAACCAAAGCTTTTAACCAACTATGCCAGTACGTAATGAAGCACAAAGGAGCTTATAAAAAGGCACACCAAATCTATCAGAGAAGATGCAGAGGGTCAGGGAAGCTGTTTAGAGGAACTAAAGATGAGCATATAACCCTTCACTAGGACTTCATCCCAAGAGCAAATGGGAAGCTACTGGGGCTTTCAAGTAGGACAGATGATCAGGCTGCCTTTTATAAAAAGTTCACTCTAGTTGCAGTGTACAAAATGACTTGAGAAAAGCAATGCCCAAAAGAAGACAATCAGCTATGAGGTTCCGGAAGAAGCCTTGAGCTAAGAGACAGAAGGGAAGGGTCATGGCTGAATTTAGGAGAACTTAATGACATTAATAATAGCAGGAACTAGGGGCTTATAATATGTGAGGGGAGGGGAACAAAGGGAAAGGAAGAGCATACGATGGTTTTTGTGTTTTTTCACTTGAGGGACCAGGCAGATGAATGGCAATGTTATATACTGAGGTCAGGGAAGTCAGAAGCAGTGTTAAAAGACATTTTAGAGGAGAGGAAGATAACTTCTATTTCAAATGTGAGTTTCCAGTACCTATGAAGCACCCACATGAGGTAAGTCATGTATACAAACATACTTTGAGGTATTGAACTCAGGAAGAAAGTGTGAGCTAGATATTACCTGGGGGTGACACCAAATAGATAACCCAGTGAATGAGAGAGGATAAAAACCTTCTTAAGGGAGAATACAGAATGATAAAAGGGACCTTAGGAATCCAATATTTAAAGGTTAGGCTAAAAGATACAACATAAAGTACAAAAAAAAAAAAAAAGAAAGGCATAAAATAGTGAACATGGGGAGTAAAAATGCTACATTTATACATATGCATTTGAGAAACGGACTTGACATAGGTAGAAATTTGGATAAATTCAGGACATGTTAATACTTCAGACATTTTTTAATTAAGGGGTACAATCTTTCTATAAGTGTACTGTATTAAATGGCTACCTGCCTATCTTGATTTAAATAGCTGTTACTCTTTGTATTGGACTGGTTAATGGTGACTAGGTATCAAATATCACAGGGACTGTGCAGGTGGCAAGGACAGTCTTTGGATTCTGGAAATAAGACAACAGAAGCCACAACAAACCCTTTTTTATAATGAGGACATATAATCAATAAACAAAAGACAAGTACTTCTTTTTTTTGTTTTTGAGACAGGGTCTTGCTCTGTCACCCATACTAGAGTGCAGTGGTGCAATCATAGCTTATTGCAACCATGAATTCCTGGACTCTGCAATACTCCCACCTCAGCCTCCTGAGTAGCTGGGGCTACATGTGTGCGCCACCACACCTGGCTGACTTTTTTTTAAGTAGAGACAAGGTCTCACTATGTTGCCCAGGTTGGTCTCAAACTCCTGGCCTCAGGCACCCTCCCATCTCCCAAAGCCCTGGGGTTACATGTGTGAGCCACCATGCCCAGACAACGTAAGTACTTCTTAACCACATACTCCTATATCCTTGCTACATTAGTGTAAAAAAAACAGAATAAAACATACATTACCTTATACACTTCACTAAAGCCACCTCTACCAAGCAGATGAAGTAATAAATATCTTTCATTTAATGTTGGGTGATCTTTGAACCTTAGAGGTGGGGGCAAAAAACAGACATATTAAAACACACACATAAAAATTCCTTCTACACTGAAGTTCTACTCTCTTATTCTATTCCTAGCTATTTATTTCTCAGTTACTCCACTGCTAATTTCAAATTTCATTCAATATTTCTTTTCATTCTCTACCAGTCTATCTGCATGACTACCACCCATCTTAAGGCTTTGGCGCTCACAAAACTTTTATAGCTCAATATTCAGGAGCAATGACCAATTATAGCACTCTCACAAAGACCTAATAATTACTGCATTGCCAAGAGCTTCATAAAATCCTTTATGTACTCAGCAAGAATCACTTCTCTGGAAAAAACAGACTTTTATATTGGGAGTTATAATCAAGCTTTTACAGTATTGACATATGATTAAACATAATTATAAACTGGCCTTCATCATTAAATTTTACTGTCTTCGGACTTTTGTAAAATAAATTAACCACCAATTTTAAAAAGATTTTTTAAAATTAAAAAAAAAATCACTCATAGGTAATACTACTACTATTACTACTTAAAATTTACCGTACTTGCCATATATAGGCTGAGTATCCCTTATTGAAATACCTGGAACCAGAAGTGTTTCCGATTTGGGAGTTGTTTTTTTTTTTAGAATATTGCCGACTGAGCATCCCTAATCTGAAAATCCAAAATCTGAAATGCTCCAATGAGCATTTCCTTTGTGCAAGACCTTTGAATGTCATGTCAGTGCTCAAAAATTTTCAGATTTTAGAGAAGTTTACATTTCAGATTTCCAACATTAGGATGTTCAACTTGTGCGTTTTATGCTCTTACCTGTATTAACTCATTTAGTTTTCAACCCACCCTATCAGGTAGGTCCTATAACTATGTCTGTTTTATAAATGAAGGTACTGATGCACAGAAAAGTTAAGTAACTTGCTTAACAGCTAATAAAAGGCAGGACTTAGCAGAAAAATGTGGTTCCAAAATGTACACTTTCAAAAAAAAAGTCAGCTTTGCAATACTAATACACTGTATTTTTATTTATTTATTTATTTTTTTATTTTTTGGAGACAGAGTCTCGCTCTGGCTGGAGTGCAGTGGCACGATCTTGGCTCACTGCAGCCTCTGCCTACTGGGTTAAAGCAATTCTTCTGCCTCAGTCTCCCAATTAGCTAAGACTATAGGCATGTGCCACCACGCCCAGCTAATTTTTGTATTTTTAATAAAGACGGGGTTTCACCATATTGGCCAGGCTGGTCTCAAACTCCTGGCCTTGTGATCCGCCTGCCTCGGCCTCCCAAAGTACTGCGATTTCAGGTGTGAGCCACAACGCCTGGCCAAAATACATTGTATTTTATTATTTTTTTCAAGATCAATTGACTCTAGATTTAGTAATTTAAGCTTTTTCTTGAGAAACTTGTAGATATAAGAAATTTCTGCTTAGTTTCAAGCCACACTGTAAAGCTGTAACAGTTGATTTTATTTTCATCAATGTAAGTCAGATCCACAAAATTTGAAATGTAATTTTCGGAACAGTTAGTCTTAAATTAGTTTTGTACCATATGCTCTATTAGATTTTTTTTTTTTGGAGACAGAGTCTCACTTTTTTTTAAGACAGTCTTGCTCTGTTGCCCAGGCTGGAGTGCAGTGGCGCAACCTCCGCCTCCCGGGTTCAAGTGATTCTCCTGCCTCAGCCTCCCAAGTAGCTGGGATTACAGGCGCCCACCACAACGCTGGGCTAGTGTTTTTATTTTTAGTAGAGATGGGGTTTCACCATGTTGGCCAGGTTGGTCTCGAACTCCTAACCTCAAGAGATCCGCCCACCTCAGCCTCCCAAAGTGCTGGGATTACAGGCATGAGCTACCACACCTGGCCCCTCACTTTTTTTTTTTTTTTTTTTTTTTTTTGGAGACAAAGTCTCACTTTGTCAATCAGGCTGGACTGCGATCTAGGCTCACTGCAGGCTCAGGCGATCCTCCCTCCTCAGTTCCCCAAGTAGCTGCGACTACAGGTGCATGCCACCATTCCCTGCTAAGTTTTGTATTTTTTGTAGAGACAGGGTTTTTCCACCTTGCTGAGGCTCGTTTTTGACTCCTGGGCTCAATCAATTTGCTTGCACTGGCCTCCCAAAGTGCAAGGATTACAGGCATAAGCCAGCACACCTGGCTTTCATTAGAATTTTAATCTGACATAATTTAGGTTATTCCATAACTATTTCTTTCTCTTCACACAATGGAATGATCTGTGTATTTATGAATTATACATACATAGACATCACAAGAAGACCTTTCTAAGCAAGATTTTCATATTTCACACAGAAATTGGCCACTTCCTATTCTGATACTTATATTAACTCATGAAGCTTTAAACTACATGACCAGTCAAAGATGAAGTGTAAACAGAAACCTTTCCTCTCTTGTACATCAACTAAATCCAAGTAGTACCTTGCTTAATTTCTACTTCTATGTCTTGCTCAATTTCTATCTTTTTCATGAAGCTCCCACAAGCCCACAGATATTTTCTTTTCTTTCAATTGCTTCAACATATACTATCTATGGCACTCATTCTGACAACTGATTAAGAACACAGACTGTAAGCTGTACTTTTCCATTTCTCTCCCAATTCTTGCATAATGTGGGATACATGGCTTACTGAAATACTTTTGGTTGAAATAATTTCTCCTTCACTACTATAACATTAACTTTGGTATTCAAATATTTATTAAGTGCCTGCCATATGTCAGGCACTGGTCTAGGCTTTACGGATACAGCAAGAACAAAACCAAGTCCTTGCACTCATGAAGCTTACATTCTAGAGGGAGGAGACAAATAATAACTAAAAAATAAATTTATAATTCCAGATAGTGATCAACATCCAGAAAATATAAAGCAAGGTAACGATATTAAAAGAGGAAATGAAGAAGCAGAGACTTTTTTTTTTTTTAAAGAAATGGGGGTCTCACTATGTTGACAAGGCTGGTTTTGAACTCCTGGCCAAAGCAATCCTCCTACCTGAGCCTCTTGAGTAGCTGGAACTATAGGTGAGCACCACTGGGCCTGGCTAGGGACTACTATTTTAAATAGGATGATCTAAGAATGGCCTTTCTAAAGAACATTTGGAGTGAGATAAGTAATTAAGCCAATTAGGTGTTTAGAGGAGGAACATCCAGGCAGAGGAAATGGTAAGCACAAAAGCCCACTGAGAAGGGAATGCTCTTGACATGTTTAAGAGAAGTGAGGACAGTAAGGTGGCCAGGGACCAAATCATAAAAGGCCTTCCAAGCCATGGGAAGGACTTTGGATCTTTTCTAAGTACGATGAGACAACCCAAGAAGGAAATATTGTGTTTATGCTCTATGGGGGGCGGGGGTAGTTTTAATAATATGAAACTGTGAAATGCAAATAATGACTTACTGTGAATTATCTTCATTGTTTATTCTTTTCAGCTCACGTATGTGAAGATTTCTGACTCTTTCCAAACGTTCAAGTTCTGCCTGGATTTCTGCCTCTTCCTGAAAATGAAGAGAGGGGACTATAACAAGCTCAATTTATTTGCGATATAAAAAAGATATTTTTACCCATGCATCAATGTTTTACAGTGATGGGAAGAATAGTATATTATAAAGTACCACCGAGTTAAAAGACCAAAGTGCTCTTTTCAATGCCGAAAAGATGGAAAGAGATAAGGCAAAAACCTATTTGAAGAAACCATCCTCCACATGAAAATCTATACCTAATGAGATGCTGGGTTTTATTCTGTACTACAAGAAATCTATTTTTATAATGTATATACTGAAAGGTAGTTGAAAACTGACATAACATAAAATGAGCCATTTCTAGTCCATGCAAATTTTAATTTAAGAAGGAATAATTTACTAGTAGAAAACAAATAAAATGAAAATATTTTATAATAGTTAAAAGAGGAAGAAAGAAAAAAGCAGAATGATTCTTCCTACGCCTTACAGCATTTGGAGTACAAACACACACACACACACACACACACACACACACACACACACACACACAAACTGACCACTCACTTGCAATCCTAAAGATACATTACAACAAAAAATTTATAGATTGCTGTAGTAGACTCTAAGGTATCAGAGCAGATGTAAATAAATCTTAAAGAAATTTAATAATCAATATAAATATTTTGATAAATACATTTTTGTCTTAAAATATACAACTTTTAGACTAGCCACCAAAACAAGTACACATATCACTCATGTCATTCATGTCATTCATTCATACACACACACATATACACACACACACACACACACACACACACACCCACCCCTTTTTTGTCAATACAAATTTGAATACTACTTAAAAAATGGATAAGACTAGGGCTGGGTGCAGTGGCTCACACCTGTAATCCCAGCACTTTGGACTTTGGGAGGCTGTGGCGGGCGGATCACCTGAGGTCGGGAGTTCGAGACCAGCCTGACCAACATGGAGAAACCCCGTCTCTACTAAAAATACAAAATTAGCCAGGCGTGGTGGCGCATGCCTGTAATCCCAGCTACTTGGGAGGCTGAGGCAGGAGAATTGCCTGAACCTGGGAAGTGGAAGTTGCAGCAAGCTGAGATCGTGCCACTGCACTTCAGCCTGGGCAACAAGAGGGAAACTCCATCCCCACTCTCCAGCCCACCGCCACCCGCCGTCAATAAAAAAAAAGGATAAGCCTGTGCCAGGTTTCAGTGAAAGTTTCTAGCCCAATTTCTTTTTTCACTCTGTCACTCAGGCTGGAGCGCAGTGGCATGATCACAGTTCACTGCAGCCTCGACCCCGCAAGCTCAAGCAATCCTCCTGCCTCAGCCTTCCCAGTAACTAGGACTACAGGCATGCGCCACCACACCTGGCTATTTTTTTGTAGAGATGGGGTCTCACTGTGTTGCCCAGGCTAGTCCTGAACTCCCGAGCTCAACGGATCCTCCTGCTTCAGCCTCTCAAAGTGTTGGGATTATAGGTGTGAGCCACCATGCCCGGCTTAGAATATTTTTAGTACGTAATTTTGAAGTAAAGAAATACAGATCACCTTGGCCTAATGTGTACCCACTAGAATTATAAATCTAGACCACGTGGAACAGAAGTTTTTTCTGAATAATGCATTTAAATATTTCATCAGCTCCTTTGCTTCTTTTTAGTAATTTATCTTTTGATATAAAAAATTATTTACCTCAAAATATAACTCTGAAATTTACTTTGAAAATATAAATATTATCATTTCATTCAAAGACAGAAAACAGAGGTATAAAGCTTATCACACCGGTACCTAAGACAGAAATTCAGAGGAATATTTTAAGCATTATGAGAAAAAACAAATTATATCTCTAAAGATTATGTTGTTTGTACTTCACATTACTCCTAAGGTTATTATTTTAAAATGAAATTCAACCACGACTTGTTGCAGAGATATTTAATGCAGATTTGATATTACATGGCAAATAGAAAATTTCAAAATAAATTCAAATGAAGATAAATCTTTCTACAAGTATTGGGAGATTTTCTACAATAGGTACACTACATAGATTCTCTTAATTTAACTGAAATTTCCTCATTAACAGCTTCGGTCACATATATTTTTAATTTTAATTTTAAAAAGTAAAGTGATATCCTAGGAGATTCAATAATCAAAGTTTCATAAAAACAGGAAGTAAATTTTAAAGCTTTGAGACAAAAAACTCAAAACATAGCTTAGTTATCATAGTTAGCCATGTAAAACAGATAAGAAACTTGCCTACAGGTTTACCCAGGAGTATGAAAGAATTTAAATTAATTTACACTAGAAATGTAGAATCTAGATTCAATTCTAATCTAGACTAGAATCTAGAAAGCAATGACTCTTTCCCTTCATGTTACTAATGTTTGCTGCTTAAAAACTTAATTTGACTGTCACATGTGTAGGAAGCTACTCAACATTTGGTGGGCTGGTGCAAGTTTAAATAATCTGATAAAATTGTGAAAAGCCTATTAGAATAAATACTTGTTTTAACTTTTATTTGAAATTGTGGCATGGGGAGACTATTTCAACAGTGAATTTATAAAAGCTAATTTTTACTGAGTCATAAATAAGTAAGATTCAAATAGGTTGTTGATGAACATAATTACATTTGTTTTATAATCTTCAGATGTCTATACAATGGTAGTAATCAATATTACAAAATAAATACTTGTTAAAGAAAGTAAAATATGTATCAGCAAATTAAAGCAAGCTTTTTTTATTTTGCCTCTAAAAACATGACAAATATGTCCCATAAAAATCTTACAAAATCAAAGCACAAGCAAGTTTCATTCCATTTGAATTGTTAAGTTTACTGGAAGAACAACAAAATGTCAGTAGCACTAGAGAAAAAAAGATGGATTCTGGGTATTTAGAAGGAAATGTCAAGGGAAGAAACTATGTCTTAAATAGATAGATATAAACCCACCATACTCAGTGAAATATATTTGTCTTTCATCTTGTAAGTTAGTATTTCACAGTATCTTGGACTTCAAGCAAACTGACACACTTCTGGGGGAAAGGTAACTCTGCTACGCTAAAAATTCCACTAAGAAAAAGTACATATATTGTGATGGGCTGAATGTCTGTGTTCCCTCAAAATTCATATATTGAAGCCCTTATTCCCTAATATGGCTGCATTTGAAGATGAGGCCTTTGGGAGGTACTTAGGGTTGGATTAGGTTATGGAGCCTTCATGATGGGATTAGTGGCCTTATGAGAAGAAAGGTTCCCCCACCCCTCCCTCCAAGGAGCACAGAGAAAAGGCCATGTTAGGATAAAGTGAGAGGGTGGCTATCTGCAAGCCAGCAAGAGAGCCCTTACCCAAAACTAAACTCTGCCTGATCTTGTCATGGACTTCTAGAATACATTTCTGTTGTTTAGGTGCCCAGTCTGATATTTTGTTATGGCCAACACACATACTTGTAGATAAATGCTAGGGCAATACTGTCTAGCACCTTGTCCTCAGAGAATGGGGCAAGGCCCAGTTTTGGTTTGGCCCAGGGTACAATAGTTTGAACAACTTATCTTTGCTACAGATCATTTCCAAAGATCTATCCAGTAGGCTACATTCTCCTTGCCTGAGACTGACATTAACCTGTGGGCCATCCTCAGAAATAATCTTTTTCCAAGGGTTCAGGAGAAGACAGGATTAACTAGGCTCACAATTGATCTGAATTCACCACAGAATAGAATCCTCAAACTCATAGCAAAACTAGGCCAGACGAGTAGACTGAAAGGAGACAATCCAATCAGCTAAGTTGTGCTTAGTAAGAACACCAAGTTTCAGTCCTGAATTCATACACTAGCTGAGCAGTTAATGAAAGCAGAGAAAATCTAAAAGAAACAAAGAGACAAACAGCATCTCCAGAAATGAACTGGTCTCTGTAGGCTATTACAATGAAGAAGAGACATAAGTAAGAACAGACTGTATTAAAGAGAGAGGTAAGTTTGGCAATTAAATACACAATAAAAGGACATGGCTCTTTTCTGTTCAAACAAAAACTACAATGGAAAATTTAACAATACACACTATAGCTATTTTAACAGTATTTTAAAATAAAATCTAATACTCACATAAAAAGCCAAGTCAGACAGGTATACAACAGATCTCAACACTGTCTCATTGTTTAAGTAACTTGCAAAAAACACCACCTTCTAACAGTTAAAATTAAAAAAAAAAAATGTGTATGGATAACTCCCACAGCAACTTCACTAAAAGACTTTGTCCCTCACCAGATCTTCAGCATAGAAATGCTTTCTATTTGTAATCAAAGTCTCTTATGGCAACATAATATTCCTTTGGCTCAAGTCTATAAGCCAAATGTAGGCTGTAGCAATGTAGAATTTCTGTAAAATTCCAGGTTAAAAATGATAGGTGGTTCCCATGTGAAGGAGATGTTTTTTAAAAAGAAAAGAAAATGGTAGGTGAATCTGGAGTATTTTGGAGCATTTCTCATAATGGCATTTTTTTCAAAAGGCAATTATTAAAAGGTGAAATATGGTAGGCATTAAAACTATAAGGCTTAAAAAGTTATAAAATACATTTTTATATGTAAAACCAATACATTTCCTGAAAAAATTAAACTTGCTAGTTTAAAGTTATTTAGCAAATCCTGAATATATGTTACATATTCTCTCTATCAAAAAACTCAATTTCTAAGAACTGCCTCGCATAAAGCCAAGATAAAACAGGAAGTATTTTGATGTATTATTCTCAGCGTGCCTATAACCTATGGGAGTTGGTAGAAGAATATGGCTTGGAACAGTCTATTCACCGTAACAACACTACTTGATTAAGAAAACCGGTTCAGAATGAGGTTTTAACACCAGCCAGGTGAGGTGGCTCACACTTATAATCCCAGCACTTTGGGAAGCCAAGGCCGGTGGATCACCTGAGGTCAGGAGTTCGAGACCAGCCTGGCCAACATGGCAAAATCCTTTATCTACTAAAAATACAAAGATAAGCCAGACGTGGTGGTGCTCGCCTATAACCCCAGCTACTCGGGAGGATGAGGCACGAGAATCACTTGAACCCAGGAAACTGAGGTTGCAGCGAGCCAAGATCACACTACTGCACTCTAGCCAGCCTGGGTGACAGAGTAAGACTCCGTCTCAGAAAAAAAAAAAAAAAATTTAACACCAAATTCACTTTAGTAATGTGAATAATATCAATCCCTTAAAAGTTAACATCTCTAAGTCCTAAAAAAATTAAATTTTAATTTCACAAACGATTTATAATGCCATTCTGAAAGTTTACCACCAAGAAAGGGAAAGGTGAAATCAACAAAAGGCACTATTAAAATCTAATTAAGGGCCAGGTGCGGTGGCTCATGCCTATAATCCCAGCACTTCAGGAGGCTGAGGTGGGTGGATCATGAGGTCAGGAGTTTGAGACCAGCCTGGCCAACACAGTGAAACCCCGTCTCTACTAAAAATATATAAATTAGCCGGGCATGGTGGCAGGAGCCTGTAGTCCCAGCTACTTGAGAGGCTGAGGCAGGTGAATCGCTTGAACCCAGGAGTCGGAGGTTGCAGTGGGCCCAGATTGCACCACTGCACTCCAGCCTTGGTGACACAGCGAGACTGTCTAAAAAAAAAAAGAAAAAAAGAAAAAAAAAGCTAATTAAAAGGAAGGGCAGTGCAAAAAAACAATTAAGGAGAAAATTACTAATTTATTTCGAATTTATCCTTATTATGTCACCATATTATATGCTTTCCCATATTCTAAATATGAATGTGTGAGATATGAACCAACCAAAATAAAAGCCAGCCAACCAACCAACCAACCAACCAACCAAAATAACCACCTAGACAAAGCAGGTCTGACTTTTGAAACTATTGCACCATAATCATATTTTTGCTTGAGAATAATTGTGTAGATTGGGGAGAAGGGTAGGAGAAGGAGAAAAGATAAAAATCATTAAATATTGGGGGCTTTCTTTCCTAATTATATAAATGTTCCCTCCACCCCTATCCCCAATTACTAAAGTGGCTTATTACTGATGAGAGCATACTGTATCACCTCAGGTGTGTTCAACTAGCTTAGATAATTAACTTAGTACCTTTACTCAATGTTTTGCTCTCTACACACTTCATTTCCTGTTTTTCTGGGGGTGTGTGGAGGGGTAATGGTTTACTCTCCCTTCAAATGCATAAATACATGCATTAATACCCGTAACTTGGAATGACTGTTAAAACAGGCAGGTTTTAATTCTGTCAGTTCCTCTACTTTATTATAACAAAACAAAACAAAAACTACCTCCCCAGCATCAAATAAATGTTTAAGAATTCAACTGATTGGCAAAATTTAAATATCTGGCACACTTGTCTTAAAAATATTTACAGCTGCTGTATTATAGGAGTGAAATTAACGTTCAACACTAACCAAGGGGCTGACACCAAGCCTGATCACACACAGGTGCAATGCCTTCGTGTAGTGTACTGCAGTCCTTCTCCCAGTTTTCTTTCCTGCTTTCCCGCCCCGACTTTTTTTTTTTTTTTTTTTTTTTTTTTTTTTTTTTTTGGTAGAGACAAGATTTCCAACTCCTGGGCTGAAGCAATCCTCTGGCCTCTGCCTCCCAAAGTGCTGGGATTACAGGCATGAGTCACCATGCCTGGCCTCTGCTTCCTTTTAAACCTAGTCTTCTACATGCTCATTATGCATATGGCATGGATTTACAGTTATGATTGGGAAGGGCTGGTAGCCAAGCAACTGTTTTCTCTTTTTTGTGAAAGTTATCTCTGAACTGAATTTACAAATCTGAATTAGTTACAAACCCTGCTGATGGCTAACATGACTTCTAAGATTCTTCCCAAAATGTTTTAAATTCCATTGCCTGTATAACAACAGGATTAATATTAAACACTGTGGATCAGGCACGGTGGCTCACGCCTGTAATCCCAGCACTTTGGGAGGCTGAGGTGGGTGGATCACAAGGTCAGGAGTTCGACACCAGCCTGACCAACATGGTGAAACCCCGTTTCTACTAAAAAATATATATAAAAATTAGCCAGGCATGGTGGCACATGCCTGTAATCCCAGCTACTCAGGAGGCTGAGGCAGGAGAATCGATTGAACCTGGGAAGCGGAGGCTGCAGTGAGCCGGGATCATGCCACCACACTCCAGCCTGGGCGAAAAACACACACACACACACACACACACACACACACACACACACTGGGGAAGTAAAACACCTTTTACCTCTACATTTTCATTTTGGTAGCTGAACATTATCTACTACCAAGTTAAGGTTGTGTGATTATAAATATGGAAAAATAGAGCCAGGATAGTTTGCAGGTCCATATGTGAGTAAGAGATAAGAACGTAAACACTGAGTTTTCCCATCTACAGCTAGTTCCATGTTCTCTCACCACAGTCATCTTTTTGGGACAACTACTCATTTTTAAATGGAAAATAGTAGTAAGCACAAATTGTAAAGTTAGAATTCCAGCACTCTTCTTGGCACCTTTCTTGCACATACACACACACACACCTCCCTCCAAGAAATCAGGAATCTTTTAACATTCTTCATGGGCTTAATCACGACTTTTTCCAGTATAGTATACTTTTCCCAGAATTCCACTGAAAACTACTGCCTACACAAGCAGCATCTTGTGTCAGGTTCTACAGAAACATCATGTACAATGTAGTTGGCTTTAATTGAGAGAATTCCTAGAAGATTTCTTCCAGTCATGGCTATAAATATAAAGATGAACAACAGGTTTAAAGATTAAGCCCTCTAGCATTATAATGCTCATTATTTTCATATTTTCATTCAAACCTAAAGTGACAAAAAATGTCACATATGCAAACTTATTCTTTGTGGTCATACTAAGGGTTTGATAAGTCAGATGACAATGGTGTTCTAGAAAAAAAGACCAAAGGGGACATCAAACTTCAAGAATATTTGGGGGTCAATTCACCTAAAGCCAACGCCCTGCATTCTCCACTGTTCAAAAGGCTTGTAGACAATCCATTGTCTTCCATTTCAACTAGTTGCATGGTCCACTGTGAAGGAGTGAGAAAAGAGCTGTGTACTTGTTCTTGACCTGTAAAGATTTCATCATGGAAGATTAATACTGATGCTGCTGCTGCCTGTTACTGGTTGTTTCTCTTTGCAGGTGCCAATATCGGTCAGAGAACAGGATTTCAGTGGCAGAGTTGTTGCTATACTGTTATCTCTTCAGAACGGAGGCACAAGGAGAGATGAATGCCACATCGCAAGGAGCAAAGGAGAGAGAGAGAAAGAAATGGTGTCAGGTGGCATGTTGGATGTGATTTTTGTTTTAGTAGAGATTGAGATGACTGTAAATTGTTTAGCTGATTCCTTCGGTCTGCAAAGATACATTTGTGTTGGTGCTGATGGTTCTTGACTAATCCTGTTTCAATTACAAATTGGTTATGTTTTTCAAATAAAACTTCTGGCACTTATATTCAGGGCTCATAAGTCAAATGCACTCACACATACACACACACACACACACACACACCAAAACACACACATTAAAGCCAATCCCTACTACACTATTTAATACTCCATACTGAGATGTCACACTTTCTAAACACATTCTCTCCAACTAATCAAATATTTAAAATCAAGAAGACAAAAAAATCTGAAGACAAGAAAATAAAGAGTAACATACCCACATGCTGTTCATATCACAAATTTGAGTAACAGCAGTCTCAAGACATAGTTACTGGACCTAATAACTTTCAAAATTCTCATTTACTCATCAGTTTGGGGTATTATGACTAATAACTTGTATCTTTTTAAAAATATAGACATTTCAAGGAAGTTGATTTTGCAGGGATTGTATTTTTAGTTTTATGTGTTAATTTAGTGACAATCCTTGAAAGCAAATCCACACCATCTTCTTCAACTCCAGAATAAAGATCTGACTATATAATCAACCTAGCAGAGCTTCTGAATCACAAAGATAAATTGTTTTCCCATAATTAGAACTTATCAGAGACAGGTATCAAAACCTGATCAACTATAAGAGCAAACTGGTTTTTGGTTGGTTTCCTTGAACCCACGATTCCACATGGGCACAGGTAGATAAAATAGGATCATTTAGAAGCTTTGCCTCAAATTAACAACTTTTTAAAGATAGGAAATTAATCTCTTTACAACTACAAGCTTTTATTAAGTAATAACTGGGGAAGTTTGTATATAATTAATGATAACCAAAAAAGTTACTTGTTCCTTTTGAAATAGTTTCAGGAATAATTTGTATAGTCTCCATACATTTTACTATATAGTTCTATTCTAAGAATTCCTTAAGATATATTTTAAAATTATTTGAGTTTTTATTTAAAAATGTGCTTTTTAAAAAGGTCTTTGTTGACCTTTAAAAATAAATCGAGTGAAAATCAATATATTAGTTAATAATAAAGAAATATTGTAGTTGATTCAACAGTCACTAACATAATGCCCAAGGAAGAAAGTATGTGAAAGAGAATGAAAAAGAATGTGTATGAAAAATAATTAACTTAAAACTGTTCTCCTTTATCTGTAATGAAAATGAAATAGCACGTTCATCCCGCCACACACCAAAAGAAAACTTAAGGAAAAGCAAACAGTCCAGTACTTAATAGAGATGCAAGGAAAGCCACAAGTGAATTAATTTTTCTGAATACAAAGAATCAACTTACTATTAATCTACAACAAAATAATTCTAGGAATTAACTACATGGGTACAGTCATTGAAATAGGAGTGGGAATGGTTCAAGTTTTGGCTTTGTCACTTACTGGTGGTATTACTCCAGAGGAAGTATATATAGATCTGGGCTTTCAAAAAGGTGTAATTAATGTTCACTCAAAAATGGTGAAAGCTTCAAAGTCTATAAAAAGTAATATGTAATTCCGTTAAAATGGGAATTTGAATTATGCCTGTGTCAGGCAGAGTATGGCAATAAGTCACTTAATAAATGGGTGAGCAACGACTGCTTAAACTTGGGAACAACTATAACAATAAATATTAGATAAAAGAATTCTTGATACAGTTGAGAGGAAAAAAAGTGACGCTCTGCTGTGATTTTCCTAATCTCAGAAGAGAAAACTAATAAGTCCATAAGTAAGTTTACATTTACTTTTTGGTAGTAACTAGAAACACCTATTTATTTTAGCCATGTATTTACTTTTGGAGGTTTCTGCCTGACTCTCATTCCTTACTCTATCACACATTGGATAATAGAGTAAGGCTATCTTTGGATTTATTATTTTTCTAACCCTGAAGAACAGCATAAAATATGAACTAAACTTCATGATTTATTCAAAGGTAAATATACTTTTTCATATTTTAGTTTAGCTTTTCAATTATAGTGATTATCATTATGAAACACAAAGCATGTCATAAATTATCCACTTCAAGAAAAAGTAAACAGGTCTTTCTATTCTCCTATGTCCATATGCCATGGGCTTCCTCAATGAACTTTGGTCCTTCAGTGCTAAGAAAGTTAGTCTAATAATTAGTTCTGCTTAATGTTAAGAATTTATTGAAGGGAGAAAGGGCAAGAGAGTCACCCATGCTAATGCAAGAGTATGCCAGGCTCCAAATCTAAACCGTAAACTGACTGGTTATATTTCCTGTGCAGGATACAAGGGGCGTCAAATATTCAGATCCAGCCTATGGTAGAAGCTGTATATTTACAAGTCGGGGTTCATGTCTGCTTAATAAACCCAGGAGCATAGGGAGCTGATAAGACAGAAGTGATAACATCTTTTCTTTTGACTCAAGCCTGTCCTGTGTTTTAAAAATCTGTTTAATCTTTTTTAGAAAACAGAATGACCTATTTTCCAACTGTGCTTCAGAATGCCAAATAACTTATTTTTATACATGTAACTTATTGCTTATTATTTTTTAACTGTATAACTCAAAAATTAATACTCGGTTCTAAGCAGGCAACTGCTATTTATGCTCTAAGGTGACATTACTTGCTTAATTTTGTTCCCTGTATGTACTACTGGCCACTTTCTTTATAATACACTCATTCTTCTCACCCAAAATAGTCTCTCAGAAGAAAACATGGGTATTCATGACATGAGAGTATGTTTCAGCATTACTGTTAATCCATTTCCCCAAAATATTCCATGATGAAGGTCAAAGAAAAGAAAAGTTATGTTGTAAATTAGTTAAAAAGAAGATAAAGTTAGAAATCTAAGACTGCTCAGTAAATTTGATAAAAGCTAGGAAAAAAAGCAGGAAAAAGATTATGGAAGGGATAATTATTGGAAAGAGTAAGTAAATACGAAAAATATAGAAGTCAAACACTGGGAAAGAGGAAAATACGAAGGTTAGAAGGTTTAGTGTTCTACAACATTTTACAAATGTCTATATAATATTTGGACACTAAGTATACCTTACTTTATAAAAGTGTTTTTCACAGAAACCAGTATTTTCAAAGTACCAGGAAAGCTTTAAAACCAACCAACCAAAAACAAAAACAAACCCTCCTTTGAAGCCTTTTCAAAGTGTACTTTTTGTAATACAAATAGCCAATTCCTAATTTAACTGCTCTACAATTTCAGATTTTATAACAGATTTTCATAAAATAAGGTGCATATGTAAAATGTCATCATTTAGAAAGAGTAATCTGAAATTTGGTATTACACGTGAAGATAATAACCCTTCAGTAAAACTCTCAAGTACACCTTGGAATCACTATAACTAAGTAAATAAGTATTCCTTTATCACCACAGGCTGGTTAGAAAATAACTGGTAAATCTTTATATGAGACATAAAGCATAGGCCCTTACGAACTCATTATCAAAACAGTTTAAGTGGGCACACAGATACTTACGACTCATCCTGTACTAAAAATTCCCTTTTCGCTTCCATAGTTCCTTTATATGGTTCTATCACTATTATAGAACTATTATGATAGTTATATAGCTCCATCTATTATTATAGAGAATAGACTTAAGTTGTCAACTAAGTCTCAAAGCGCAGGAAAAGTAGTCAATAATTACAATAGAACAGAATAGAACTACTTAAATAACAAAACCAAAATAAATCACTTTTTAATTCACTGTTCAAGTAGTTTACGTTGAAGCTTTCTGGGCAGTTGGCATAGACAGATATAGCATATTAAAGGATACTAATGCAAATTATATATAATAATTTTCTATTCCCTATAAATGGTAGGAATCCCCAGCATATTAATAACATTTCCAAAACAAATTAGTATGCAGTGTAATAGTAGCTGCTACCAGAATGGGTTTCTCCATCCTACCTCACCCTATCCCATGGAGACAACTTCACAGATACTATCTCCAATTAGTTCACTCCTTCAATTTTACCTATAATTCAGCCTATTTAAAAAATTGAAAGAACCTGACAAGCAGAAAGCACAAAAAATTGGGTCAAAGAAAAAGAACTTTATGTCTGTCAGTAACTTAATTTTGAGGGAAAAAAACCTACTCTATTATTACTACTTCTCTGAAATCATTTGAACTAAAATTAAGACCTGTAAAAACAATAAACTGATTACAATTTCAGAGTTTACAAACAAGTAGAAAGATACACATTATTTAAAAGTTTACGACAATAACACATAGCAACATTTTTTCTCAGTTTTATCCCTTTATACTATCACTAAGTGCTTTTTCCTACGTACATCTTCTAATCGAAACATCACACATGCAACAAATTAAAAGATAAGCCAAAGAAATAAGTTTGCTATTTATTTACAATTGCTATTTTATTATGAAATGAACATAAACAATATGGAATTTTAGATTTCATCTTTAAAATGAAGTATTTTTTACCAAAAGGTAGTACTTAAATAGAATAATCTAAAGACCTTGGAAGTCTGTCCAAGAATCATTCCTCCACTAAAGGGATATGGTGTGTCACCATCTCAAGATTTTTAAGTTGACACAAGATAAAGGAATGTTGTTTTAATATACTCAACATAAAAATGTAATTTTGGCCGGGTGCGACAGCTCATGCCTGTAATCCCAGCACCTTGGGAGGCCAAGGTGGGTGGATCACACGAAGCCAGGAGTTTGAGACCAGCCTGGTGAACATGGCGAAACCCTCACTCTACTAAAAATACAAAAATTAGCCAGATGTGGTGGCGCATGCCTGTAATCCCAGCTACTCAGGAGGCTGAAGCACGAAAATTGCTTGAACCAGGGAGGTGGAGGTTGCACTGAGCTTAGATTGTGCCGCTGCACTCCAGCCTGAGTGATGAGACTGTTTCAAAAAATAAAAATACTAATAAATAAAATAAAGTAACTTTAATGCATCTCTTTTTAATCTGAAATTTTTAATTTGAAATCTTACTCTCTTAAATTTTGGCTTTTAAAATAAGTGACTTATAACACAACTTCCCACAAATTCTGGTAGCAAATTGAACTAAAAATGCAGCATATGTTTCACATACCTTTTTGAGATGTCCTAGTCTAAGTTTGAAAATTTCTTCCTGTTCATGATATTCTGCCAAAGTCAACCTGTCAAAAATGAAATTTTAATTCTACATATTGAGATTAATACTTAGTTTATTAACAACTAGCAAAATATAAAAATCAAGTGGAAATACTAAAATGTGGACAACTTTAAGCCCAAAATGTATGAGCCAAAAATCCTTTGAGATATTCTTCAGAATATATTTAATACTTTTAGATGAAACAGTTAACTAATTCTACAATGCTTTAAGGAAAATGTATGAGCCAAAAATCCTTTGAGATATTCTTCAGAATATATTTAATACTTTTAGATGAAACAGTTAACTAATTCTACAATGTTTTAATGAGTACCATTTATCAAGTGATGTTCTAGAATTTATATTCTAAGGATACAGTGAAAAACAAAACAATTTCTCCTTACATATTAGTTTGAGCGTACACTCTATAGTGGAAGTAAGCAAGCATAAAAAAAACCACGTGATGAAATAAATAAGTTTAAGTAACAGTAAGTGTCATGAAGAAGGCAAAAAAGGATGGTATGGTAATGACTAATTGCATTATGTTAATTTGGACTGGGTGTTAGAGAGGTGACCATCTAAATAACAAAAAGACAACCATGAGAGGACTCTGGGGAGTATATTCTAGACATGAGTTATAGAAAGTTCAAAACTCTAAGATGAAAATAGTCTTGGCATATAAATAGAAGAGAAAAAAATGGGAGTAAATCAGATGTAGTCAAAAGGGTTGTGAGTAGTAGGAGAAGCAAGCTGGGGAGACATACTATGTATAGATTTGCAGGCCAAGTCAAGAATTTCAGTTTTACTCTAAGAGTAATGGGAAATCACTGCAAAGGGAGTCAGTCCAGTTTGGGCAGTTTTTAAAAAGAGGAAAAAAACAAAGACATTTTTCCTTTCCCTGCTTCAGTGTGTTGGGAGTAAATAAGCAAGATAAAAAAATGCTAAAACTTTAGTCAAAGTACTAAATTCTGGCCAGGTACAGTGGCTCACGCCTGTAATCCCAGCACTCTGGGAGGCTGAGGCAGGTGGATCACTGGAGCCCAGGAATTCCAGAACAGCCTGGGCAACATAGCAAAACCCCGTCTCAATCTCCCTCACCCCCAAAAAAGCACTAAATTCTTATACTCCAAATATAGACATAGGGTCTTGCTTTAGTGTCCAGGTTGAATTTGAACTCCTGGGCTCAGGTGACTCTCCTGCCTCAGTGTTCCAAGTAGCTGGGAGTACAGGTGTACGCCACCATGCCTAGCTACTTCAAAATCTTAATTATAAATAGATACAGGACTTTAAGTCTTGAAAGTGCTTCATGGTTATCTTATTATTTCAAATATTATTACCTGACTTTGAAAAGTAATCAGTTTAATGTATGCAGAACTACAACAAGGCTTATTAGGGTCTCGCTCTGTTGCCCAGGCTGGAGTGCAGTGGCCACGATCTCAGCTCACTGCACCTCCACCTCCCAAATTCAAGTGATTCTCCTACCTCAGCCTCCAGAGTAGCTGCGACTACAGGCACACGCCACCATGCCTAGCTAAGTTTTGCATTTTTAGTAGAGACGGAGTTTTGCCATGTTGGCCAGGCTGGTCTTGAATGCCTGGCTTCAAGTGATCCACCGACCTCAGCCTCCCAAAGTGCTGGGATTACAAGTGTGAGCCACCACAACCGGCCCATACCCCAACTTTAAAAGAATAGCTCTTATCTATCATATTCAAGCCCTTGTTTGTTAATTTACTTATGTGTTCTGAGGTTATTTCATTAAGCTCCTAACTCAGGTGTGATCTGTTTGGTTTCAGTCCCTCAGCAACATTTAGTATAAATGCCATTTCCCTTTAGCTAGATGCTAATTAAATTAACTAATTCTAAAAAAGGAGTATTCAAAGGAAATAAACAAAAACAAGAAATTCAGTTAGTATTCCACCCGCAACATCTTAAGAGCCAAAAAAATTAACATGTTAAATTAAACTTCTCTACCTAGTCTTAGGGTGACACAACTACTGGATTTTATTACACTGAATATAGCAATAGTTGATAGCTGTAGCAGTTGCTTATAGTAAATTTAGAGAATTAAATGCTGGAGTGTGAATGTAGATGAAGTGAGAGAGGGAGGAGGAGGAATGTGATACTAAAGAAAATGAGGTTTGAAAACTAAAATGTATAATATCTCAACTAATCTAGAAAAGAAAAGATGTAGGAATGTTAGCAAAAAGCTTCTGGATATGGGTACAGGTTTATGCCACTGGTGGAAGTTTGCCTATGATACTGCTATTATATAACAGTATCATAAATTCATATTCTTAAAGTATGGTTTAAGGTCCACTAGTAGGCCATAGTATGGGCTCATAACTAATTTTTAAAAGATATTTAAATTTGTTTTCTTTCTATATAGAAATTCTGTACTTTGATTTTTACTGAATTACAAAACAGCTAAAATTTGGCATATCTTAAACCAAAGTTAGTACATGACTTGAGTTACTTGAAATTTTTGTCCTACCAAGAGGTTTGGCTATCATGTATAACTGCAAAGCTCCTACACATGCACATGGCTAGACTCTGTGCAATTTAGGAGAAACGCTATTTTGTTGTTGTGTGTTGTTAGGCTACTCACTTTTCAGGGCAGTGATTCTTACCATTTTACAATCATAAAAAAAAAAAAAATCTGAAGGAAGTTATAAATACTCTCCCCAGAAAATTTTACATATATATAATTTTGGGATTCACAAATCTCAGTAAGAGTTCCTCTGCCTGGGTCTTGTCTTGCCAATTAGAATGCAAACCCCCAAATGACAAAAGAGCCATTTCTTACATTTTCTCTCCCTCTTCCTACTAGGAAGTATTAGGGATTATTAATACCTGACACATTGTAGCTTCTTCGATAACCTCTGTTGTCCATTTGTATTAATCAAAAACGTTTTTAAAGAAATCTATGTATTTAGATAAAAGCAACTGGGAACAATCTTCTTTAAAGAAACAGGATTTTAGACAGAATGAAAAGAGCTAAGCTAGGATAATGTTCACATCAGTGGCTTTTAATTATCAATACTTTTATGTGTGTAAGATGCTTTTAAAAGAACCTGCCCTCTCAAACAATTCAGTTAAATTACTTAGCAAATCTTTTATTCATAGATAAGGCAAAGATATAATCCATCTCTTCCCATAGACTCATATCTGATGATAGCTAAATTATTAATATTTTTATTACACAAACATAAAAATATTTTATTATGCACACATAACAATGTATTATTTTTATTATGCACACATAATATTTTAAACGTTAACAAATTTAAACCCCAAACATAAGACTTGACTCCTGATAATCTTCCACACTAAGTCTGAGTAAATGAAAATTTTAATTTTAAAAGTGTTCTAAAATAGTTTAACAGAAATATGGGGTGACAGTATTTTAAAAAGTTAGTAGAAATAACAAAAACAGGGATATTCATTTTAAACAAATTTGGTATTCAATGTCTTAAAGACATTCTGTTTAAGCAGAGAATTAACATGAAGCCTCAAAGAACACAAACTATGGTAAATAGACTGTTAGAGGCACTTAAACAAAAATTAGCCAGATGTGGTGGTGCACGCCTGTAGTCCCAGCTACTCAGGAGGCCGAGGCATGAGAATCACTTCAACCTGGGAGGCAGAGGTTGCAGTGAGCTGAGACTGCCACTGTACTCCAGCCTGGGCAACAGAGCAAGAAAAGAAAAGAACAACAACAACAACAACAAAAGGCAACAACAACCCAGGCAAACTAACATCATAGTTAATGGTGAAAATGGAAAGATTTTCTCCTAATACCAGGAAAAAGACAAGGACGTCTACTTTCATGATTGCTAATCAGTATTGCACTGGAAGTCCTACCAGAGCAGTCAGGTAAGGAAAAGAAATAAAATGCATCTAAATTGTAAGCTAAGAAATAAAACTATCTATATTTGCAGATGACATGCCTCTATATTTAGAAAATCCCCAAAAAATGCACAAGAAAAAAAATCACTAGAACAATAAATAAATTTGGCAAAGCTGCAGGGTATGAGAGCAATGCACAAAAATCAGTTACTTCTATACACCAGCAATGAACAACCTGAAAAGGATATTAAGGAAGCTATTACATTTACAATAGCATCCAAAAGAATATAATACCTAGGAATAAATTTAACCCAGGAGGTGAAAGACTTGCCTACTAAAAACTACAAAATATTGCTAAGGAGTTCAAAAAGAGTTAATTAAATGAAAAGATATCCTATGTCCACAGATTGGAGACTTTCAAAAAGTATGGTACTGCCATAAGAATACACATATATACCTATGAAATAGATCTGAATTCAGAAATAAACCCAAAAATCTACGGCCAGTTGATTTTTGACAAGAGTACCAAGACCACTCAATGAGGAAAGAATAATCTCTTCAACAAATGATGCTGGGACAACTAGGGAACCACATGCAAAATAATGAAGTAGGACCCCTACCTCACTCTATGTACAAAAATTAACTAAAAATGAATGAATGACCTAAATATAGTAACTAAAACTATTAGAAGACAATACAGGAGGCTGGGTATGGTGGCTCATGCCTGTAATGCCAGCACTTTCGGAAGCTGAGGCAGGTGGATCACTTGAGGCCAGGAGTTCAAAACCAGCCTGGGCAACATGGTGAAACTCTGTCTACTAAAAATACAAAAATTAGCCAGGCGTGGTGATGGGCACCTGCAATCCCAGATACTTGGGAGGTTGAGAAAGGAGAATCGCTTAAACCTGGGAGGCAGAGGTTGCAGTGAGCTGAGATCGCACCACTGCACTTCAGCCTGGGTGACAGAGCAAGACCCTGTCTCAAAACAAAACAAAACAAAACAAAGGGAAGATAACACAGGGGTAAATCTTCATGACTACAAATTTGGCAATAAATTCTTAGATTTGTCACCAAAAGCATAAACAACAACAGTAACAAAAATCAACAAAATACATTTCATAAAAATTAAAAACATTAAAAATTAAAACAACTGAATTCATGGAGATAGAGAGTAGGATGATGGTTACTAGAGGCTGGGAAGGACAGTGGGGAAGGGGGCAAAAGGTGGGGTTGGTTAATGGGTGCAAAAACATAGAATGAATAAGATCTAGTATTTGGTAACACAAGAGGATGACAACAGTCAACAAAAATATATTGTACATTTAAAATAACCAAGAGTATAATTGGAATGTTTATAACAAAGAAATGATAAATGCTTGAGGTCATGGATACCCCATTTACCCTGATGTGATTATTACACATTGTATGCCTGTATCATAATATATCATGTACCCTGTACATTGGTTGGTGCAAAAGTAATTGCGGTTTTTGCCACTGAAAGTAGGCAAACACCACAATTACTTTTGCACCAACCTAATACTATGTACCCATAAAAATAAAAAACTTCTGTACATCAAAGGATATTATCAAAAAAGTAAAAGACAACTTACAGAATAGCAGAAAATATCTGCAAATCATATATGTTAAGGGTTTAGTATCCAGATTTTTTAAAAAAAAAAAAAAACCTCCCACAACAACAAAACAACAAACAGTCTGGTGAAAAAATGAGCAAAAGACTTGAATAGACATTTCTCCAAACAAGATATATAAAGACCAGCAAACACATTAAAAGATGTTCAACAACATTAAGTCATTAGGGAAATGCAAATCAAAATTACCGTGAGATATCACTTTACACCCACTAGGATGGTTATGATTTTTAAAATGGCAAAGTAAAAAGTATTGTCAAGGATGTAGAAAAATAGGGATAATTGTCATGCTGATGGGAATGTAAAACGGTGCAGAATGGAAAATAAGCAGTTCTTGAACAAGTTAAGATACAGAATTACCATAATACTCAGTACTAGACAGATAAAGAAAACAAAACAAGCTCACACAGAATTGTAGACAGGTGTTTATAGCAGAACTATTTATAATAACCAAAGGGTGGAAACAACCTAAATGTCCATCAATGAATGAATGAACAAATTGTGCATAATCACACAATGAAATATTGTTCAGCCATAAAAAGAATGAAGTACTGATACATGCTACAACATGAATATATTTTGAAAACTTATACTAAGTAAAAGCCAGACACAAAAGGTCATATAAGGTATGAGTCATTTTATATACAACATTCAGAAGAAGCAAATACACAGAGAAAGAAAACCGATTATTTGCTACTGGAGGTGAGAAGAGAAAGGGCTAGGGAGTGATTACTTAACGTGCACAGTGTTCCTCTGGGTTAAGGAAACAGTTTTGAAACTAGAGAGAAGTGATGGTACATAACACTGTGAATGGACTAAAAGCCACTGAACTGTACATCTTTAAATGGTTATTCGTATGTTACATAAATTTAACCTCAATTAAAAAATGTTATCACTAGGAAAAAAAATAGGTGATTGTGGGAGGGATGAAACTAGTCTTCCTTTGAAGAGTCCAAACGTTCACAATGTAATAGAAATTGAAGTGCAATTACTTATACTTAGTATAAGTATAATGGCTGATATGGTTTGGCTGTGTCCCCACCCAAATCTCATCTTGAATTCCCACGTGTTGTGGGAGGGACCTGGTGGGAGGTAACTGAATCATGGGGGCAGGTCTTTCCCATGCTGTTCTCATGATAGTGAGTGAGTCTCACAAGATCTGATGGCTTTAAAAAGGGGAGGTTCCAGCTGGGCTTGGTGGCTCATGCCCGTAATCCCAGCACTTTGGGAAGCCGAGGAGGGTGGATCACCTGAGGTCAGGAGTTCCAGACCAACCTGCCCAACATGGTGAAACCTCGTCTCTACTAAAAATACAAAAAATTAGCCAGGCGTGGTGGCAGGCACCTGTAATCCCAGCTACTCAGGAGGCTGAGGAAGGAGAATTGCTTGAACCCAGGAGGCGGAGGTTGCGGTGAGCCGAGATCTTGACACTGTACTCCAGCCTGGGCACAAGAGCAAAACTCCGTCTCAAAAAAAAAAAAGGGGGTTGGGGGAGTTCCCCTACACAAGCACTCTTCTCTTGTCTGCCACCATGTGAGATGTGCCTTTCACCTTCTGCAATGATTATGAGGCCTCCCCAACCACGCGGAACTGTTAAGTCCATTAAACCTCTTTCTTTTGTAACTTGCCCAGTCTCGGGTATGTCTTTATCAGCAGCGTGAAAGCAAACTAATACAATGACTTACATACCAAGTACTACTGTGATATGCAAAATAATGGCCAAAGACTTCCATATCCTAATCCTTGAGACATGTCAATGTATTAGGTTATAAAGAAAAGGAAAATTAAGGGTAGCAGGTGAAATTAAGGTTGCTTATCAGCTGACAGTAAAACAGGGAGTTATTCTGCATTACCCATGTGTGCCCAGAGGGAAGGGGAGGCAGTGTCAGAATCAGAGTAATGTGACAGGTGAGACACTTGACTGGCCGCTGCTGGCTATGAAGACGGAAGGGGATCATAAACCAAAAAATGTGGGCAGCTTCTAGAAGCTGGAAAAAGAAAGGAAATGGATTCTCTTCTAGAGTCTCTAGAAGTAACATAGCCCTGTTAACAATTTGATTTTAGCCCAAATGAAACCCATTTCAGGTCCGTGATCGCTAAAACGGTAAGGTAATATTTGTGTTGGTTAAAGCTAGGTTTGTGTGATTTGTTACAGCAGCCATAAGAAATTACTGCAGATCTTCTTACCTGGAAGTAGAATGCGCCTTTAATAAATACCTAAAAACATGGAAGTGGCTTTGGAACTGGGCAGGGGACAGAGGCTAGAATTTTAAGAAGCATAATTTCTGAAGGCTGGACACAGTGGCTCACGCCTGCAATCCCAGCACTTTGGGAGGCCAAGGCGGGTGAACTGCTTGAGGTCAGGAGTTCGAGACCAGCCTGACCAGCATGGTGAAACCCTGTTTCTATTAAAAATACAAAAATTAGCCTGGCATGGTGGTGGGCACCTGTAAACCCCAGCTATTTGGGAGGCTGAGGCAGGAGAATCACTTGAACCCAGAGCGAGACTCTGTCTCCCCCCCCAAAAAAAGCATAATTTCTAAAAAGTTTAAACAGATTGTTAGCAGGCTAAACTTCATCAAAAAGAAAGGATAACCTAGAGGACAGAAACCTGTGCCCAAAAGGCAGAAGCACAGAAGATCATCATAAAAGATTATTCCCAGACCTTGAATCCAAATGGAGTTTGAATGGATTTTGAAATTCTGCAGGAATTTGCTTCCACTGCTTTTTGTTTTGAACAGAAATGTCTCTAAACTGTCATCAGATACCTGGTTCCTCCATCGTACTGTGGGAGGAGGTAACTTGCTTCTCGAGTTTCAGTTTCACAGATGAAGAAAAACTGTGTCTCAGGGTGGATTATACCCCAAGTCTCACTCATATCTCATTTATTTGATGAGAATTGAACTTTGAGCTTATGGGATTTAGATGTGATGTCAGACTTTGTGCTGACACTGTAATGGGGATGTTGAGATAGGGTGAATGTACTCTGCATGTGGAAAGGATGTGAATCTTTGGGGGTCAGTAAACAGAATAATGGTTTTCCCAAAATGCCATATCCTAGTCTTTAAAAAAGGCTAGATTTAAATGGGATCAAGGTTGCTCATCAGCTGATTTTAAGATAATTACTTTTTATAATACAGCTATGAATACACAGAGCAAAGAAAAAAAATACATTCTATCTGCAGGAAACTAGTCAAAGTCACAGAAAAGGTAATATCTGAACTAAATTAAAAAGAAGCAACAGCAGGAGGCCAGGAAGAAGAAATAGGGTATTAAGAAGCATGATGGGCCTGGCACGTTGGCTCACGCTTGTAATCCAAGCACTTTGGGAGGCTGAGGTGGGCAGATCACCTGAGGTCGGGAGTTCAAGACCAGCCTGACCAACATGGAGAAACCCCATCTCTACTAAAAATACAAAATTAGCCAGGCATAGTGGCGCATGGCTGTAGTCCCAGCTACTCGGGAGGCTGAGGCAGGAGAATCACTTGAACCCAGGAGGCGGAGGTTACAGTGAGCCAAGGTCGTGCCATTGTACTCCAGCCTGGGCAACAAGAGTGAAACTCCGTCTCAAAAAAAAAAAAAAACAGAGGCATGATGACCCAAGAGTACAGCATGGAGATACTCAAGCAAAAGTAAAAAGGAAAGCAAACTGCAGATTAAGGAAGTATCTTCTGCTTGTTTGCTAAGAGTTTTAGTCACAGATCAATGTTGAATTTTATCTAATTTTTTAAAATTTTTCGTATCTATTAAGATAGTCATATGATTTTTCTATTTATGTGAAAAGTTATATATATTTTTCTGATCTATAACCAACCTTGCACATCCAACATAAACCCAACTTGGTCTTCATAAATTAGCATTTTTATATATTATATGTTGTGTTTGTGTTACTATTTTAAGATTTGTGCATTTATTTTCACAAGTGAGATTTGCCTGTAACTGTCATTCTTGTACAATCTTTGTTGAGTTTTGACATCAAGATTATGTCGGCCTCAGAAAATAAGTGGGAAGCATATCTACCTTTTCTGTTCTTCAAAAAAGTTTGTAAAAGACTGGCACTATTTCATCCTTAAATGGCTGATAGAATTCTTAGATGCGGTTATTTGGACCTGCAGTTTTTCTCTGAATAAATGTTTAAATTACAGATTCACTTTATTTAATAGTTACAGAACTATGTGGATTTTGTTTCTTCTACTGTCAGTTTTGGTTCCACTGTATTTTTCTTTAAATTTGTCAATTTCACAAAGATTTCAAATTTAAGCAATTTATAATGTGTTGTTTCCTTTAAATATCTAGACACAGTAGTAATATTCCTTTTTTCATTCCTGGGGATAGCTGTGGTTTTTAAAAATCAATCATATCAATTGTATCAGGTTTTTTCCCCTACAAAAATTTTAACGCGATTTTTAAAAAACTAGTTTATTCTCTGTATTGTATGTGTGTTTCCTATATTAATTTCTGCTATCTTTTCCCTCTTCTTTGGTTAATTCTCTTGCTCATTTTCTTTCTAACTTATTGAAATAGATGATTAGTTTCTAAAGTTTTAGTTTTTCTTCTTTTCTTACATACATAACTAAAGCTATAATTTTCTCTCGATACTCTTTCAGATACATTTTACCAATTTTGTTATGTAGCACTTTCACTAACATTCATTTCAAAATATTTTGAAATCTTTCATTTCAGAATTTTCTCTCATTTCCATTGGCACTTTTCCACTACCTTTTAGTTACAGATTTCTAGCTAATTGCATTGTGGTCAGGGAACATATATAATGGTTTCAATCATTTTCATCCTGGAGTTCTACCAATGACTAAGGGAGAAAGAATACCACTCTTACATAAACTTTCAATCCTGTGAAATTTGCCGAGGCTTGCTTTATAACCAATTTTTTTATAGTCAATATTTTTAAAAGAACATGTATTCTGCAGATGTTGGGAGGTATTCTATATATGTCCATTGGTTCAAGTTTGCCAATCCCATTAATTTTGCATGCACTGTGTGTTTTGTTTTGTAATGCTTTATTTTTATCTACATGTTCTATTTCTAAGAAATGTGCTTAAATCTCCCACTATGATTTGTGGATCTGTCTATTATTATTAGTTTTTTATTTATCTTGAGGCCATGTTATCATATTTATATAAATTTAGAATTATTATAGCTTCCTAGTGATTTCAACCTTTTATAACAACCACTTCATTTCTAATAATTTTTTTTGTCTTAAATTTTACTATGTCTGATTTAATATAGCTTTCTTTTGGGTGGTGTTTGCCTGTCTTTTCTAAACTGTTATTTCAATATGTCTTTTTTCCCTCTGGCTGCTTAAGAATTTTTTTCTCTTTGCCTTAATTTTCTGAAATTTCACTATGATGTGTATAGATGAGCTTTGTTTTGTTTTGTTGTTTTGTTTTTTGAGACAGAGATCTCACTCTGTCACCCAGGCTGGAGTGCAATGGCACGCACATGGCTCACTGCAGCCTTGGCCTCCCAGGCTCAAGCGATCCTCCCACCTCAGCCCCTCAAGTAGCTGGGAGTACAGGCCCATGCCTGGCTAATTTTTGCATTTTTAGTAGAGATGGGTTTTTGCCATGTTGTCAAGGCTGGTCTTCAACTCCTGAGCTCAAGCGATCCACCCACCTCGGCCTCCTAAAGTGGCAGGATTACAGGTGTGAGCCACCACACCCAACCTCAATGAGTGTTTCTTTTTATTCATATCCCCTGGAATTTGCTGGCCTTCATGAACCTGTAGACTGATCTTGTTCATCTGTTTTTGAAACACTCTTAGTTATCTCATCTCCAAATACTGCTTATGCTGCATTCAGGATTGTTTCTCTAAAGACTATCAGCTACCTTGTCAATAGTAATAATGTAAATCAGAAGACAATAAAAATCATCTCTTCAAGTAACTACCAACCCAAAATTCTAAAACCAGTAAAGATATCCAAAGAGGGCAAAATAATTTTCAGACAAACAAAAACTGGTCACTACCAACAGACCCCTTTGTAATTTTCCTTTACAAAGGAAAATTTGTAAAGGGTATTCTTGGCAGAAAAATCTTGTGAGAGGTGTAGAAATAAGTAAAGAGCAAAAAATAAATAAATATGTGGATAAAGTCCATATGAACACTCACTATGCAAGACAATAATGATGTCCTATAGGTAGATGTGTGTATATATGTGTGTCTGTGTATAGAAGCATGCTCATACTGTAATAGAGAAAAAGAATAAAATAAACAAAAACTGGTCAATGCAATAAAAGGTGAGAAAAAAAGAAAAAGGGGGAGACTAGGTAGGATAAACAGAAGCATAAAGATAAGCCTCAATAAGTAATTGCATGAATTGAAAAACAGATTAAATTCTCCAATGAAAGGAAGATTTTTCAGACAGGATTTTAGAAAAATCAGTTATACATTTGTCAAAACCCATAGAATGTACAACATCAACAGTGAACTCTAATGTAACTTTGGATGACAACGATGTGTCTATGCAGGTAACATATGTGCCACTGTGGTGTGGGATGTTGACAGTAGAAGAGAATGTATCCGTGTGGGGACAGGGGTTAGGTATATAGGAACTCTGTACTTTCTGCTCAATTCTGCTGTACTACTGCCCTCCTCCTCCTCTAAAAAATAAGTTCATTAATTTTAAAAAGAGATAAGTAGTCTACTAATAATGTTATACAAAATATATTCCTTTTTTGTTTTTTTTTTTTTTTTTTTTTGAGACAGGGTCTTCCTCTGTTGCCGAGGCTGGAGTGGAGTGCAGTAATGCAATCACAGCTCACTGCAGCCTTGACCTCCCCAGCTCAAGCAATTCTCCCACCTCAGCCTCCTGAGAAGCTGGGACTATAGGTACATACCACCATGTCTGGCTAATTTTTTATTTTTTGGTAAACATGGGGTCCTGCTATGTTGCCCAGGCTGGTCTCAAACTCCTAGGCTCAAGTGATCCTCCCGTCTCAGCCTCCCAAAGTGCTGGGATTACAGGCCTGAGCCACCACGCCCAGCCTAAAATATATTCTTAATTTAAAATTAAAGCTATAATGGAAAAGCAATGACCTGTCCAACTTCAATAATATATGAGGTAAAATATTACTTATTCTTAACTTTGCAGTCACCCTCTGTGAAACATGCAACATGTAAGTCTAACAGATACAACCAAAGCTTAATTTGAAATATATTTTAAGTAAAAATCTTGGTTAAAATGTATTAGTAAAGGAAAATCAATGTAAGTGTCAACAGACTTTATCTAGAGATAGTATTAACTACCCAAACTATTTACTCTGAATAAAAAGTCCTTGTAACTAAAATTACAAGTTATTACCTAAAAAACTGACTCTTGCTAATAGTTAAAAATAAATTATGAACTAAAAACCATGCCAAGTACATGCATTACCTCCTACCATCTTTTCAACAGTATAATGTAGATACTTTCACAAGAAAATGGAGATTCAAAGAAGTAAAATAACTTACTAAAAATAATCTGGGAGAGTTAAATTTGGAATCCACATCTGTCTGACTACAGAACCTAAAGTCCTACCCACCACATCTGGATTCCCCACCCCTGGGCCACAGACCTGTACCGTCCATGGCCTGTTAGGCTGCACAACAGGTGGTGAGCAGCGGGCCAGCAGGCATTACCACCTGAACTCCATCCACCTCCTGTCAGACCAGCAGTGGCATTAGATTCTCATAGAGCACAAACCCTATTGTGAACTGCGCATGCAAGGGATCTAGGTTGTATGCTGCTTATGAAAATACAATGCCTGATTATCTGAGGTGGAACAGTTTCATCCCAAAGCCATCCCCCAGCCCCCACCCCAGCCCATGAAAACACTGTCTTCCACAAAGCTGGTCCCTGGTGCCAAAAGGTTGGGGACTACTGTACTACATAATAGTAACTTCATTTTCTATGTTAATTTCTTGATAGACAATTGATAACTAGATTCATAACTTGTCCCCTAATTATACTAGATATTCTGCACACAAGCCAAAGCCATTTTCATTAAACAATGAATCAAAAGAAGTTTTAAAAGATAGTTTGCCAAGTAGAGATGTGACATTTTGTGTTAAAAAAGCATTATTCAAACTGCAGTATATATGAATCAAAGTGCTTCTGTGGCCTTTTGCCCTATTTAAACCTATAATTTGTTTAAGAATGCAATCAAATTGCCATGTAGTACCCATCACTTCATTTGCCACAGAGTTAGTTTTAGGTCAACATATGTAATAAAATGGGATAGAAACGAAAGAAGACTATGACTATTAGACTATAATTAAAGCTGTTAGCATCTTGGAAGACAACTAGTAAACAAAATACCTGTGACAAACCAGAAAGATGATCTATCAAAAAGAAAATGAAATTCGATCAAATGTGTTTTTTTTATTTTTTTCCCTTTGAGGCCGGGTCTCACTGTCACCCAGGCTGGAGTGCAGTGGAGTGATCATAGCTCACTGTAATCAAACTCCTGGGCTCAAGAGATCCTCCTGCCTCAGCCTCCTGAGTAGATGGGACTACAGGGACATGCCACCACACTTGGCTAATTTTTTTTTTTATTTTTGTAAGGATAGGGTCTTGCTCTGTTGCCCAGGCTAGTTTCAAATTCTTGACCTCAGTGATCTTTCCACCTTGGCCTTCCAAAACAGTGGATTACAGGCATGAGTCACTGCACCCAGCCTAAATGCTTGTGTATTGTAATTTAGTATTGACCACTTTCCATACACCAAACACTGTGCTAGGCATTGGGACTACAGAGATAAAACAGTGAAATAAATGCTACAATACATACAAGTATGCACAAAATATCATGGCACCTAGTGTGAGAGGCAATAGGAGAAACTGGTTAAAAAAAAAAAAAGGTTAGAGAGAACTTCCTTTTGAAGACAGCATTTAAGCCAAGTCTTAAAGGATAAACAGGAAATGAGACAAATGAAGAAAGGTAAGGAACAAGATAAAGTCACAGAAGCAAGAAAGCACAGTCCATTTAGAGAATTGAAAAAGTTTAACTTAAGATATATGTAGGGCAAATGCTGGAGAATGAGGATAAAGTGAGAAATAAGGTTTACATAAAGGGTCTTCATGTGGGTGAATTTTATCTAGAAAGCCACTGACAGAGGTTAAACATGGTGAGACATGAAAAATAGTAATCTAGGTTAAAAAAAAAACCAAGGTCCTACACTAAGACAGTGACCGTGAAAATGAAGAATGGAGCAAACATGAAAATGTTATGGAAACAGACACAGAGAATGAGGGAAAGAGAAACATTAAGATGACAGGCAGATTCCTAGTGTCATCACCTGAGTGGACATTGATGCTGCGACTGAAGAGATAGAGGGTACTTACTATGGTGATACCTCAAAGTAATAAATAACTCCCATCTTTCATATATTAAAGAAAAGCTTCCAGGAGGAAGCGATAACTACCGTGGGACTTAACAGATTAACAGAAATTAAGACAATGGGTGAGAGTCTGAATGTTGGCAGTGAAGTAGAAGTACTGAGTGATGGCAACAATGAGGCTAGATAACGAAGAAGGAGCCAGATCAAAAGTGCTTTATAAGCCATATTAGGACTTTTGGGTTAGATCATTCAAGTACTGGAGAGCTTTGTTAGGGTTATAGGGAAGAGAATGAAAGGATCACATTTTTATTTCAGAAAAATGACTCTACGACATGAAAACAGACTGCAGGAAGAGACCAAAATTGAAGCGGGAAGAGGGAGAGATTATAAACATCACCCAAGTAAAAGACAGCATTAACTTGAGTTAGAATGAATGGTGTTAGCGGGAACTTGCATAAAGGATGAGTGGACATATCTGGTATCTAGCAGGACTGGGCATCTACAGGGTAGAGTTAAAGCTAACACATACTTTGCTTTTTTTTTCTTTTAAAGAAATAGAGACAAGGTCTCACTATGTTGGCCAGGCTGGTCTCAAACTCCTGGACTCAAGTGATCCTCCCACCGCAGCCTTCCAAAGCACTGGGATTATAGTGTGAGACATCCCACCCAGCCCACACTTTCTTTTAATACAATCACCCACCAAGCCAGTCATTCACCTGGCTTTTGGTTTTTTCTTAAACAAATTTACTAACTTACAAAAAGTACAGTTCTTTTAAAAAATTAATATAGTCAAAATGTTTTAATTGTAACTTACAACAGCTCAAGAAAATTAAGAAAGGCTTTAAGAAGAAAGTACATTTTGAGATGGACTTTGAAAGATTAATACTATCACCATCTAATTACTAATGGATTAAGAAAAAATCAACAAAATCTGGCCGGGTGCAGTGGCTCATGCCTGTGATCCCAGCACTTTGGGAAACCAAGGCAAAGAGTACAGCTTGAGCCCAGGAGTTCAAGACAAGCCTGGACAACATGGGGAGACTCCATCTCTTCAAAACAATAAAAAATAAAAATAAATAAAATCTGTACTTAAAATGTTAAAGGTGACAACTAGAATTCTTACATGTGAGAGGATGGTAGTGCCACTCACTAAGAGAACACAGAAAAGGGGCAAAGTATGTGTGTGTAAAGACAGACTGAATCGGAAAGATAACAGTAAATACAAGGTTTTATTTGTTTTTAGTAAATATAGTTTTGAACAGGCTGCATTAGAAGTTCCTGTGAGACATTTAAGTACTGATAGCAACTAAGCAGGATGTGATATTCAAGACTGAGACAGAAGTATCCGATACTCAAGAGAAAAGTGGGCTGGAGATGGTAATTTTGATGTCAGCAGGATGTATACGGTAACCGAAACCCTAAGAGTAGATACTACTCAAGGAGAATACGCAGAGTGAGAAATGTGACGGCCTAGGACATATCCCTAAAAGTCATCTACATTTTACAGATTGGTAAGTAAATGATGCCCATAGAAAGAGACTGAGAAGATGCAGCCGGATGAGTTAAAATGGAAACTTCAGTATCTTCAAAACTAAAATAGTCTTTTTGGAAAAAAATAAGTCAACAATATTCAGTGCTGCTACGTAAGTTAAAGACCCAAATGTTACAGCATTTAGCATCAGGAAGATAATCTTAAGAAAAATTTCAGTTAAGAAAGGGCAACTGGAAGACAAGGCAGAAGAGACTACGAGGACAGGCAACTCTTTGAAGAAGCCTAGTTATGAAGAGAACATACAGAATATAGAGACTAAAGGGATTTGTAATTGAGGGAGAGTTTTTTAATGGTTTTGCTTACATGTTTTTGGAAGGGAAGTAACAAGCAGAGCACAAAGGAGGTATCAACAGAAGAGGTTCCTGATACAGGTGTGGATGGGATTCAAAGCATGGATGACAGACAATCTTTCAATAGAGGAGAAAAGAATACATGACATACAAGACATTAGAGGGTACATGTATTTTCTCTTTTTTTTTTTTTTTTTTTTGAGAAAGTCTCACTCTTGTCCCCCAGGCTAAAGTGCAATGGCACGATCTTGGCTCACTGCAACCTCCGCCTCTCAAGTTCAAGCAATTCTCCTGCCTCAGCCTCCTGCGTAGCCGGAATTACAAGTGCCTGACACCATGCCCGGCTAATTTTTGTATTTTCAGTAGAGACGGGGTTTCTCTCTGAGAATTTACTGACCTCACGTGATCCACCCACTTTGGCCTCCCAAAGTGCTGGGATTACAGGCATGAGCCACCGTGCCCGGTCTATGTATTTTCTACTCACGTGAGTTTACGTAAGTTCTTCTAGAACAGAAAATTTATGTAAGTTTGGATACATCTGTATATTGAAATTTTAACAATGGTGTTCTCTGTGAAATGGGATCATGGTCTATATTATTATTCTTGTCCTATTTTCCAAATTTTCTTTTAAAAAATGTCTTTGTCCTTTAAATTATAAAGAATAATTCATTAACAAAGAAAATCCAGAAAACAAAGAAAAGCAGAAAGGGAAAAACAATACCTATAACCCACTAATGAACTGCTTTCACAGGCTGAGAAAACATATAAATGGTAGTTACATTACTTCATTCTCTCAGACAAAGGAATGTGAATGGAAACGTTGAATTAGAATAATCCAAAACTTTTAATTGATTCCTAACTGATTCAGACACAGAAGGGTGAATTCTGGTAACCTCTTAGCTACCTAGGTCTCTGTTTTAAAAGAGAATTGTTAAATCTCTGCTTAAAACGGTAGAATTCAGATATTTGGGGCTATTAATTTAGAGCTAAATTTTCAATACTGCCTTCCTTCCTGGTCTTAATCATTTTTGCTATCTAAGTATTAATTATAAATAACATCCATTAGTAACATTCACGCTCACTGGCAACAATTTTAAAAAAGAAAAATTTTAAATGGAGGCTTACAGTTGTGGTAAATTTGGTCTAACAAAGGGATCATTCTCTGCTCCATTGACTGCTTTGTTTTTCCTTTGTTTTGGTTCAGAATTGGTAGAGGGTGCCTGAGAATTATTAGCTGTGGGAGGTTTGCGTTTGGCTAGAAGTTTCCTTTGCCTTTCAATATCTTCCCTTTGCTGATTCACCCATTCTTGTTGCCTGTGTAAAAATAAACAAATAAAACCATATTAACCTTCCATTACTTTTCAAGGCTAAACTTGGAAAAAATGCATAAAAAACATGAAAAACCATAAAATATACATTCGTAACCTTTTGGTTCCACTCTTGTGAACCAATTTGTACTTATCCTTCAGGTCTCATTTGAAAGAATTTTTTTAAGTGAGGTATTCTCTAAACCCCTAGATTAGGGAAAGATGTGTTGCCATATATAATTTCATGGGATCTTCTATCTCCCCACCTCACTCTTTCTAATAAATATTATTCCTATAGATACTTTATCAGAAAGTGTCCGGTTAGATGACATCACTCCCTAAGAACACAGATGGTGTCTATTTATACAGTATTTATACTGTTGTATCCCTAGTACCTAGTGTAGTGATCATCACTTACCTTTGCTCAGTAAATGTTTCTTGAATGAAATGAGATAAAACAATACCCCAAACTATTAAAGTATGGGGTATATGTTACACATGCATCTCACCACAGTATTTGCAAACAAATTTACAAAAGGCAAATATGAATTTAATGTGAAGAGAGTTATTTTCTAAATCTACTTTTGTTAAAAAAAATTGGTAATGGGAAGTTGGTGTTTTGAAATGAGACAAATTAACCTTAATATAAGAAATTTATGAGAAAAATTTTTTTGATAATTTAAGGGGAAAAAGACAAGAAAATAGCAAGAAAAATTAGCATGGCTCTGAAAAATGGGAAAGTAACAAAAATAAAATCAATGCTTCCCATTCAAGAAACTGAAACAATTTTGCAAATAGCTCCCTAATTCTAAAAACGAATAGATACCATGTCTATTATTAAAATGTAGATTAGATATTTTAGCAGTTTGAGCAGAGCATAAAGTAGTTAACAGTGAAGCTTTTTAAAACCAACTTATCATACAACACCTTAAGCTTATTCTAACAGTAACCATGTTCTCTTTCAGGTCACCTCACTATGCCAATAAAAAATTTTCAAATCCTACATGGTTACAATACTTAGAGCAAGTCAAATATTTCATGCCCTCCTCTCCCCAACCACTGACATCAACTAAAGGGCTCCTACTTTGCTAATGCAGAATTGACCTTACACACATCCCCTTCCCTATGGTTTTAGTGATAAAGTAGCAGAATATGATAGGAGTGAAAAAAATCAAGAAGAATCTAGGTAGAAGATTGAAAGGGTAGAGAAAAATCTCAAGAATAGCAAAGTGAGAACAAGACTTTAATCCGGTTTTCATTTAGAAGCAGGAATAAATTTCAATTTTTAATAAGTAAATCTTAAGGCTATTTTAGGGCACAATCAAGATGGTATAAATGCAAATAAGCAATAATAATCCTAATGATTAAAATATTAATGGAAAGTAAAGAATTACTGGAATAGATATTAATAGCTGATTACTCAGGGATGACTATACAGTTTAGAGATTAATATTATTACTTTTATTTATTTCTCTTCTCATCTTCTAACCACTCTGGATTATATCACCAATTATAAACGGCTTGATATACACACAGTAGGTCCTCAATAAATGCTTATTAGTGAAAGTCAGGACATACAAGTAATTATTTTCTTTTTTGACATTATTTTTTGAGACAGACTCTCACTCTGTCGCCCAGGCTGGAGTGCAGTGGCATGATCTCGGCTCACTGCAGCCTCCACCTCCCAGGTTCAAGCAATTCTCGTGCCTCAGCCTCCCGAGTAGCTGGGATTACAGGCGCCCACCACCATGCCTGGCTAATTTTTGTATTTTCAGTAGAGACAGGGTTTCACCCTGCTGGCCAGGTTGGTATCAAACTCTCAACCTCAGGTGATCCTCCCAACTCGGCCTCCCAAAGTGCTGGGATTACAGGCGTGAGCCACTGCACCTGTGGCCTCTTTTCTGACAGTTAAGAGGAGAAATTGGAACTACTAGTAGAATTTATATTTCAGAACATTCATATTAATTATATAACTGTCTCTTTTATTCATTGCAGGACAATTGCCGGTCTGGGTTTAGTAGCAGAGCCTCTTGCTCATAAACACTAAAAAATTATCTTCTCCTGCTTTCCACTTTACTGTTGATATGTTAGTTCATGCTTTAATCACCTTTCATCTGGATACCCCTCCATCTTAACTACCAATAACATTCATCCTCTAATAATATTTTCACATTACCATCAGTTATTATTCTACAACTATCACTGTAGATATCATTCCGATCACGTACACTATATGTAAACCTTTAACAAGTCCCATTATCTGCAGAATTGAAACCCAAACTCTCTAATATCACAAGGACATTATCCTTTGTTTCACTGTGGTATAACTAGCACAGATATGTTGAAGAAAAGTTGAATAAATCTGCTGAGAGAGAAGGCCATTCTGTGGCAAGTCCTAGGAGGCAGTGTTTGAACAGCAATGTTGGTGTGATACCATGTGAAAGTAAGTTCTGCCTCTATTTCAAATAACTGGATACTCTGGAAAAGCTGATGTTCATGCTGGCATTACTCCCCATTTTCAGGTTTAAAAAAATTTTCCACCAAAAACGGAGTAGCATATTTAGCACTCCTTAACACATAAACAGCCAATAAATCCTTTTCTACCACCATCTGAACTCAAGAAAATATGGTAACTATAATTCCTCTGTTTAAAAGTTTGATCTGAAAAGTAACAGAAAACCAAACACCGCATGTTCTCATGTATAAGTGGGAGCTAAACATTGGAGACACATGGACATAAAGATGAGAATGATAGAAACTGGGGGCTACAAAGATGAAGGAGGCAGAGACAGGGGCAAGGATTGAAAAACTACTGGGTACTATGCTCACTACCTGAGTGGTGGGTTCAATTGTACCCCGAACCTCAGTATCAAGCAATATACCCCTGTAACAACCTGCATATATATTCCCTGAAACTAAAATAAAAGTTGAAATTAAAATAAATAAATAATAAATAGAGTTTACCTCAGAAACGCTAAAGCCACATGTTCAGTTTAACTGATAAATCAGTTATTATATCTGAGGCAAAAGAGAAGTTTTTTCCCTTAGGAATAGAGAGCAGGCAAGTGCTGAACATTAACATGTAAGGATTGGGGAATGGGAAAAAACTAAGTAGGAAAATCCTAGGAAATAAACACACACACAAATCTTCCAGTGAAAATTAAATTTTCAACAATTTCCCTCTCAAAACATCATCTGTAAAGCTAAAGGTTCAATTAATATCTCGGAAAGTCAGAATTAGAATAATATATTACATTCTATAGATGACTGCTAATTAATCAAGAAATTACTAAGCTAAAACTGTAATACTCTTGGTTTCATATCCCTTTCAAAGGTACTAAATTCTATGATTTCAGAGTAGCGAGGAACTGGAGAGCATAATTACAAATCTATAATCTTTTAAAGTAATGAAAACCCAAACGAATACTAAAAACTTTTAAATGTTAAGAATGACTAACTTCACAAGATTCTGAAATGCAAAACCATCTGTCCATTGTTCAGTAAATGAAGCGCCATGTCTAACTGTTGTAAAGTGCCCGAGGCGTAATCGATCTTGCATACTCTTCTCTCTGCTTGACAGCTTTTCTTGTGTACTCTGAAAAGGAGAAAAAAAATCATCACTCAATTGTATTCATTAATTTATAAAAGCATACAAAGCAAAAGGGGCTAATGAAGGGAAAGCGAAAATTTACTCAACTTTTAGCCTACCTTTTCAATAAGAAGTTTCTTGCTCATTGATATGCACTTATTTAATCGTTCTTTGTATTTTTCAAGTAATTTTTGTTGTTCATCTATTTGCCGTCTGAGATCACAGTTAGCCTATGACATAAGTAGAAAATGCAAGAGGTCTAGACTGGGGAATATGAAAAGCTTAGAAATAGTTTTAATGTTCTAAATAAATTATATACAGATAGGACTAATAATATTAAATATCTGAGTATGATACGAGAAAAAAAAAAAGCCTACTTAACCATGAGATAATACTGTTAAATGTTACTTAAGTGTGTAGTGGAAAGTACATACAGGGAAATTTGTATCCATATCCATACATTCAAATCCATACTCTAAGGTTAACTTTGGCTAAGTTATAAGAACTTTAGTTCAGCTTTCTTATTTCTAAATAGAAGCAACACAATCTACCTCACTTTGTTAAAAATAACTAAAATATGGTATATAAAGTGTCTATCACTTAAAAATAAATGTGAGTTTTCCTCTATCTCTTATAATTAACAAATTAAATGTGGGTTTTCCTCTATCTCTTATAACTAACAAAATATTTTCTCCACTGAACTTATAAATGACATACACAAGTTGCCTACCCAACAACTGTCCTCACCATTCTTCCTTAGCAATAGGATACTAATTCTGTTCACTTTGTAGGTGGCCATATGCTCAGAGAAGAGGCTTCCTTCTAACATCAAAAGATGAGTCTGATTAGTACAGTGGCAAGAGAATAACCTATAGGGCTTGTTACAACAGATTACTGGGAACCATTCCCAGAGCTTCTGAATCAGGTCTCAGGAAGGACCTGAAAATTTCCGTTTCTAATAAGTTCTCCAGTAATACTGATGCTCCTGGTCTGAAGATCACACTTTGAGAATCAAAAGTCTAGGCCAACCATGGTGGAATCCACAAGACAAGGGCACAAAATCTTAAAAGTGCTGAGAGAAAAGAATTGCCAACCTAAAATTAGATACCCAACACAGTTGTTTTTCAAGGAAGAGGAAACAGAATTTAGCACCAATAGACCCTCAGCAATTCAAACAAAATCTCAACACTGTGTGTGTATGATGCATATGCAACTTGAAACCTGATTCTAAAATTTCTCTAAGACTGTGAAGGGCCAAAAATAGCCAAAAAGAAGAAGAGGATATCTGTTTAACCATGTATCATGACTTAACATAAAGCTACATAACTATGATCACCCAAGCCTCCTCCTTCCTTAATAATGGAAATTCAATGTTTTATCCTGGATTGCTATCTGCCTAGCCAAATGACTACAGTTCCCAGCTTCCCTTAGAGCGAAGGATGGTTAATGAGATGCAAGCAGAAGTTGTTCAATGAGATATCCAAGAAGGCTGCACACAGAATTGTGCTTTGTGTTCTCTGCTCCCATCCTCCCTCCTGTTATCTGCTTAGAACACAGATATAATTGTGACCCTAATAGATATATTGAACCTTGATGTGACCTTTGAGATATAAGCCATGAACTAACAATGACAAGGTCCCTTATGATACTGAGGAGTAATAATATCTGAGCTGCCCACTTCTGTTCTTCTCTTGAAAAATAAGCTTCTATCTCATCTGAAGTACTGTTATTTATGTTCACTGTTACTAACAGCCAAAAACAACTGATAAAAATTGTTTTATCAACAATGATAAAAAGATGCTGCAGTACTTGTGTAGAGACACAAACAGAACAAGGAAACATGATACAGAACACAGAAACAGATCCACCTGTATACTGGAAACAAGATTTTATGATGATAGAGCTGGCAGTATAAGAATGAGCTTTTAATTAAATGGGGATGAACAACTGGTTATCCATATAGAAAGAAATTGAAATGAAACCCTACATCATGCCATACCCAAAACCAATTTCAGTAAGACTAATAATTTATATTGAAAGATCAGCTGGGCATGGTGGCTCATGCCTATAGCCCCAGCACTTTGGGAGACCAAGGTGGGAGGATCACTTGAGGCCAGGAGTTCAATACCAGCCTGTAGACTCCCAGCTCTACAAAATAAAAAAAAATCAGCCCGGAGTGATGGCATGAGCCTGTAGTCCTAGCTACTTGGGAGCCTGAGGTAGAAATATTGCTTAAACCCGGGAGTTTGAGGCTACAGTGAGCTATGATCCCCCACTGTGCTCTAGCCTGGGCGACACAGTGAGACCCTGTCACTTAGCGGGGGAAAAAAAAGACCAGACCAAAAAACCTTGAGAAATAACTGGTATTATACAGTAAAATGGAAAATGCGTATGCCCTGTACTCTGGCTATGTCTTTCCTAAACATATACCACAGAAAAATTCTTTCATATGTGCCCTGAAGACATGTACAAAGAATGTTCTTAGAACTGTTTATACTAGAAAAAGTAGAAATAAAATGTCAACTAAAAGCAGAAAAGATACAGAAATTATGGTATACTTGTAACACCTTACAATATTGCAATGAAATGAACAAACTACAGTTATACTCATCAAAGTGGATGACTCTCTGATATATTTCATTGAAAACAAGCTGGGCAAAAGGGTCCATACTGGAAAATTTCACTTAACGTTCAAAAACCAACTGAAATAATATGTTGTGAAGAATGTAAGCACATATTTAATACAACCATAAAGAAACACCAAGGCATCACAAATACAAAATTTAAAATAGTGGTTAAATGGTAAATGGGTGTGAGAAAGTAAATATGACAGGATCAGGAAAAAGACACACTGGATGTTTTAAAGACACTGTCAAATACAGTAGGATCACAGGTGTTGGTTTTATCGAGTTTCTACACCAGTAGTTCTCAATGCTGTCTTAAATTAAAGTTATCTGGGAGAGCCTTTAAAACTACCAATGTCCAAGACCTACATCATCATCAACTTGATCAGAACCCCTCAGGGTAGAGTTTCAGGCATTAGTACTTTCACCCTTCCCAACTGGTGAGTCTAAGGAGCATCAAGGGGTAAGAACTGCTGCTTTAAACCCTTACATTCTTAAGTATACTTCTAGATGTATTTTTAAATAAAGCTTCCATTAAAAATCCTACAGAACTGCAGCAGTTACTTCATCGTATAGGTATCAGATGTCAGGCATATAATAAAATCAATAAACTTTAACATGAAATGGCTATTTGTGTTATGGTAGTTGGTCATATAAATGTTATTAACTTCCAGTTCTCCAACAGTTTCTCAATTCCCAATTTATTGAAGATCTAATAAAATATTTCACTTTAAAATTGGTATTTTTCAATCATGTACTTAAACTAACAGAAAAAGCTTATTGAGTTCTAGCTACAGAATTTTTTTTTTTTCTGAGACAGAGTCTCACTCTGTCGCCAGGCTGGAGTACAGTGACGTGATCTCAGCTCACTGCAATCTCCACCTCCCGGGTTCAAGCATTTCTGCTGCCTCAGCCTCCCAAGTAGCTGGCACTACAGGCACGCACCACCATGCCCAGCCAATTTTTGTATTTTTAGTAGAAACGGGGTTTCACCATGTTGGCCAGGATGCTCTTGATCTCTCAACCTTGTGATCTGCCCGCCTCGACCTCCCAAAGTGCTGGGATTACAGGCATGAGCCACTGCGCCTGGCCTAGCTACAGATTTTTTTACAATGCTAAGTATTTTCTGAACAGTTTGACTGTTGCCAAATAATTTATTCAATTTTTTTCCCCTCTATGACTCATTACTTACCCTGAGCAAATCATCTATACGTCCCTCCTTCTTTTCCAGGTCCTGGATTTTATTACTTTCTAATGCTGCTAATTTCAGCATTGTGAGATCAGTCTAAATGAAAAAAAGTTATTTTATTATCTCCATTATATATGTTGTTTCAAGCAAACATAAAACTAGATTTTACTCCAAATTCAAAAGGTAAAGAAAAATATATTTGTGTGTATATGTAAAGTGAATCTCAAAAAGTTTTAGTGCAGTTTTAATAACTTCAAGTGTATAAATGCTACAGACTTACCAAGAAACATCTAGAAAGGCCAATTACTTAGAATACTGATGTTCCTCATTATAATTCAATATATCCGCTGCTTTGTGCTATACGTTCCTCTAGTTGATTTTTTTGAATTTTGCAAGACCTTTTTTAAATTGATAAGTAAAAACCTATCTATTTATGGTACACAACACGATGTTTTGATATATGTATATACAATGTGGAATGGCTAAATCAAGTTATTTAACACATATCTTTTTTTTGTGGTGTGAATAAAATCTACTCTCTTAGCAATTTTCATATACACAAAATATTGTTTTTAACTGTAGCCCCTATGATGTATAATAGTTCCCTTGAACTTACTTTCCAACTAAAATTTTATGTCCTTTGACCAACATCTCATGCAGCAAAACCTTTCATGATCTACTCAGTGGCTGAAAGGAATGTACTTCTAATCCTAGCCTCAGGATCATCCAAAGAAAGAGGTTTTGATACATGCACAACAGTTTGGATATGACCTCACAAATACAGTCTAATAGAAATAAACTGTCAAGCTGAGCTTGAAGAGTAAGATCTACTCTCCCAAACCCCAGTCTGAGAAAGTGCCACTCAGAAACTGTCACATGTAAAAAATTAAAATGAAAAACTTAGTGCTCAAATTCATGAAACTAAATAAGTATAGAAAATATACAAATAATTCAAATAATGTTTATAATTTGTCACATATACGTATTTAATAAATACAGTCAAATGAGAGGCTTTAATGTCCACTTCTAAAAAATACAGCAGTTTCACAAAATATCAATTACATATACTTGGAAATTAAGTTCAGAAAGAATCAGTAAACAGAACTGACATGTTAACGGTTGTTTAAAAAGCTGATAGTAAATTGTGTGTTTCAGTTTCTCACTCCTTCCTACAAATTCTGTTGTTTTTGTTTAGTAAGTTATCTTTCTTGATGTGTAATTCTGCTTTATGACTACATATAAAACAAACAGACATCTTAGTTGTTAGTAAGTTAGTCAATGGTTTCTTAGAAGCCATAGAAAAAAACATTTTAATTATCATTTACCTGAATAATTTTAAAGGATAATTGCTTTGGTTGTACAATAGGGTGGTCCCCAAATGCTAATGCAGTAGGAGAAGGGCTATTCGGTCGAACCTAAAGAAATTATTAAAATTTTTATATTAGCAAAAAAAAAAAAAAAAAACACAAAACAAAACAGATTTCTAATTAGCAACAATTACTTAACATTTCTGAAGAAGTTTCTATCAGAATAATACCTAAATTGAAACATAATTGACTTTTAAAACCTTTAATCACCATTTATTCAACAAGTGTTCATTAAGTACCTCCTACATAAGACCCAGTGAGAAATACAACAATATATTCCCTGCCCTCATAGAGCTTACATTCTAGTGCCATAAAAGAAATCTTAATGCTTTCATACAGTTAAAAAAAAAATAAGGCCAAATAAATTATTCTGAAAAATATTAAACAATGATTATGATAGTTGAAAAAACAAACTTACTAGGGACAATAATACACGCCCATATGTAGTTTAATATCAATTTATCAATGAATTTCATAGTTTATCTGGTCACTAGTTCAAAAAGACACTCACTGAAAGCAGATTATAACATTGTATCAGCGCTATCACTACAACTCTTAGTTACTGTTGAATCTTATGCCTTACTTTTATACACGGCAATGTGATATCCTGAAAGGTACAAAATGAGTAAAACAAAACCAAGTATGTCTAAAGACAAAGGACAAGAAGGGGACACAAGACATAAAAACAAGATGTTTGAATAAATAAGTGAAACTCTGATTTTTAAAAATCTTTAATTCCTCTTTAAATTACTGAAAACCAATATTGTTTTTCTAGTTAGATATTGAACTTTCACACAATGAAAGTAAATTTAAAAATGAAATCCAATATGCAAAACAATGCATATAAAAGAACTATATCTAAAATGTTATGAAAAAACCAAAAAGTTTAAGATAATTTTAAGTCCATGATTCTTTTCCTATACTGAACTACATACCCTGCCTTTTTCTTAAGGATTCCCAGAAAGGAATTATGCTATCATTTTAGTGGTTAAGAAATTCAATTGTTAAGAAAGTTATAAATTAGGAATCAACAACTGAATACAGACTGATACAAGAGTACTCATGTTAGTCCCACAGACTCAACAGGCATTCTTTTAACATAAACAATGCTTCTTGGATATAATTAATTCAGAAAATCTTTAAGAGGCTCACTTCCAGAAATAAAATTCCAATAGCACCAGATAACTTAAAAGGATTTAATTCATGTCACAGAAATAATGTATTAAAAGATAAATGCTAACTTATTTATATAGAAGTTCTCAATAAAAAACAACAAATTATAAAACTTATTCAGTGTACATAACCCTCCCAAAGACTACACATGAAAAACTTGAAAGATGACTTACAGATGAGGAAGGAGTGGAATGTGAATGTGAATTTTGAGGAGAACGGATTGCAGGAGGTATGCCTCTTACTGGACTTGAGCCATTTCCACCCTGGTACTGAGTAAAAGAAAAAGGAAGCATTATTATTTACTAAAGCAGGCTCAGACAGTTATTTCAGATATGACATTAAGAATTAATCTAAATATACCTAATTTTAAAATAAGTAGTCATTTAAATGGGTCCAGAACAAAAAAAAAAAACACAAGGTCAGCCAAGTCCTAAAAGACTAAGAGACTACTGATCACAAGAACATGACGAGACTGTTTTATAAAGATCCTTATTACTCTATATTCTGACTATCATCTGTTATTTTGGTCAACTCAAAGACAAATAAATTCCTCCAAAGCAATAAACATATTTTGTTTTCCCCCCAAATCTTAGCACAGGTCCCCTACAAATGTTTATTGAGCCATATAGTCCCTAATCCCAAGAAATTTCAAAATGTTTACCCATAGACCTTAGTGAACATAATCAACTATTTTAAACAGAATATCATTCTCAAGATACCCAAGTGTTCATGGCACTATATAAAAAGAATTATAATAGGTCCCTTCCCTCTAACAGCACAAAATCTTTAAAAAATCAATTCTTCTGTACAAAGTGCATGACTTAGCTGCATATGAAGAGAAGCCAACTGATCTATTCCATAGCTATCTTTTCTCCTATTTCAAGTTCACATACGAAGGATGGGAAAAGAAAATAACTTGCTGCAGCAAAGTTCCTCTGGGGGTGTAGATTATTGTCCATTTCATCATTTCTTGTTTAATTACTTTACTTACATGAACAGCACAGATAGGAACTTCCCAGCATGTTCATTAAACAACTTCCTGCAACCTAGGGATTTTGCCTTATTTATTTTATCAATAGAGCCTAGCATAAAATTTAGCACATAGTAGGCATTCAAGAGACATTTGTTGATTTGAATTCATCGTACCTTTGGCAAAGGTTCTTAATTAATGATATCAGTAAGTGACTGACCTCAACCAAAGAGCATCAGGTATCTCATGGTCAGCAACTGCTTTACTTTAGATTTTACGAACCCAAGAAAGAAAGCAGTGGTGGAAAAAAAAATCAGTCCTTCCCTTAATCAGCCAATTCTGCTCTCTCAAGTAAACATAAATATTTTTCAATTGAGTAGACCATGTTTGTTGTTTTAATAATTACACTTGATAGTAGAAAGAATTCTCAACTAGAGAGCCAGTGAACTTTAACTTCTATTCTTTACTCTTCAATTCAGACTTTGCCTTAAATGGGTTAACCCATTTATGCCTAGTGTTCTATTATTGCTCAAGGTCACTGCTGCCACGGTCTGACTGCAAAAATTCAAAAAATTACGGTGTAGGCTACTTTACATTTCTGGTCTTCAGTTTCATCATCTGTAAACTGAAACACTAATATGTATTTTGCCTATCTTACAGGTTATTATAAACAACTATGTGAGAAAGTATTTAGAAAAAAATGATATGGCATCCCAATGTAAATGTAAATCTAATTTTCCTAGAAAGATATCACATAGTAATAAAGCTCTGCTCTAATCAAGTAAGTAATCAAAAGCTGACCTTGTGCTTCTAAGAAATTATTTCTAGCTCACAGCAGAATAGTACTGAATTAGGAAATGGAGACAATCCTCAATGAACTTACTTCAAAATAGTCGCTAATTTTGTGGCCACGTCCCCCAATACTTTTTCCTAAAATATAAGAAGCGCATGATGTTAGTAGGGTAGTGATGGGCATCAAAAAAATATTAAGAGTCCGCAGGACATCAGCTATCAATTTCACAAATATGAAAATCAAATGACATTTCAATAGAGACATGCCAATTTTTAAAAGTTCCAGTTATTGGAGAATCTTACAAATAAATGATGTAAGTGATGTCCTGTTTTAAAACTACATTATTAATACTGCTTAATAACTACTAATTTCAGAAAAGCAAATCAGTAAATAAAAAAGTAGCGACTGCATCACTGACAAACTAACCTTTACTTGTAAATAATAATAAAACAGCTTTAGTTATACAAACCATAACATGATTCCTGTCAAACTGACAGTAACACACTTCAATAGGAATGTTATTTTGTAAAATGTATTTTGATTTTCTAAAAAGCATTCCCAAATTAAATACAATGTTTTTTAAAAACTAGATTGTAAATATTGCTCATATATGACCACGCTGACAAAGTGAACCAGCTCATTAGAGATCACGCTATTTTTTAAATATTTTGCTCTAAAATGGATTCTTCATCAGTCCTGTAAGTTTTAAATTAAGAACTTGCTAAGAAATACAATGTTTAGAGATGCTTTCTTGGGGGAGAAGTAACCATCCTTGACTGGAACTATACAGAATACACGATTTCTTCAAGTTACAACTAGTGATATCACAAAGTCAAAAGCTTTGCTTAATATAAACATACATATATTTGTTAATTCAATGCTGACTTATTTCATGATTCATTTATTTTATTTAACAAATATTTCTTAAGTGGTTACTATGTGCCAGGCATTACTAAGATGAAAAACAGTATTCTTAAAAGTTTAACAACTTTAAATTCCTTCTTGGAACAAGGTGGGGGGAATTTTTAAAAACTAAACAAGTATTCAGGACTACCAATGCTACCTAGAAATTTTGAACATTAGTTCTGCACAGATTTATTTAGAGGTCAGAGATGACTGTAAAGGTCTTATACTAAAGGGACTTCCCTTCTGTCCATAATAATTTCTCTGTAGATTCTAAAGAGGTACTATATTTTAATGAAGACAGATGGTTTTGGTTGCCTACTCCAGAAGCTATTTCCCCAATTCTCTTTCCTTAACTGAATGGAAATTTTGTTCTGTTAACACCCTTCACCCTACATGGCACATGTAACTTCAGAGGAAGCTGACTCCTATACAACTTCCACTTCCAGGTCCCCTTCTCACCTTCTTATTAGAAATCCAATTTTGTTCAAGTATCATCCCTTCTCCATACAGGCTGTATGTTTAAGAACTTAATTCCATTTCCAGGTTCAAAGATGGCCCTGATTTTTTTCTTTTTTTAAATTTCTGACACTATCCACCTACAGATGGCCTGATTTTTTTTAAGGCAATAGTACCTCTGTTGGTCCTAACTAGTTTTGGAATGGACATATGACCAATCTAGTCCATAAGATCAGTAGTTCCCCACCTTTTTGGCACCAGGGACCAGTTTTGTGGAAGACAATTTATCCACAGACTGCGGGGAGTAGGGGAGATGGTTTTGGGATGAAACGGTTCCACCTCAGATCATCAGGCATTAGATTCTCATAAGGGAGTGCATAACCTGGATCCCTTGCATGTGCAGTTCACAATAAGGTTCACACTCCTATGAGAATCTAACGCTGCCGCTGATCTGACAGGAGGCCGAGCTTAGGCGGTAATGCTCACTGGCCCGCTGCTCACCTCCTGCTGTACGACCCATTTCCCAATAGGCCAAGGACTGGAAGACCGGGAGGTTGGGGAACCCTGCAGAAGATGAGAGGAGAGGTCTGCTTTGGACTTGAAGTCAAGTTTACTCCAAAGGAAGGGGGGAAAAAACACTGAAAGCCAGACTAAAGCAAATATAAGTGAGGAAGGTGAAACAAGAAAAAACAATTTAGGCAACCATCCTAAAAACAAAGATAATCAGACAAATCTGTAGATGGCAGACCACAAAGGAAAAAAACATGGTTCAACCAATCCAGAAGCCTCATCTTATTCGGGGGCTTGTTTTTGAGTTTATATCTTTACAATAAATAAAGCTCCAAGTCCACTAACTACAACCTGGGGGAGGCTACACTAAGACCAAAAAGGAGCTCAGTGTAAACTGAGATACAAAATACAATACACCTCAGAAAAGGCACTAAAATGACTTACCCTTCCTTCCATAAAGACAGTTGCTGCAAATACATTCCTTGCTTCCAGTGCCCTATATACACCAGTAAGTCATGGGTTCACAGCCATAGATCTTATGGCTAAAGATTGGCTCCAACACATGTAACATTATGTATAAAGTCATCATTATACACGATTTAAGAGCCCAATTTATTATATTTAATTTTGAGTGCTCAAATTAAATGACAACACTATTTTTCTATTCATTATAAGATATTTAGTTAAATGAAAATAATTTTCTTAGTTCATATCACAAAAAGTAGGTATGCAAGAAAGGATGGAAAGAAAAACAGATAATACTTTAACTAGAGTCTCTCATAATTATTTTGATAGCCTTTTTTTTAAATAAATGGGAAAAGTTTGAGTAGTTCTGTTAAAGTGAGATTGAAGTTTTTAATTCAAAAACAAGCCATTTCAATACAATACATATAAAGAATGAAAAATGAAAAGTCATAAGTTAATGCTTGCCAGATTTGGACATGATACTTGTCTTTCTAGGACCCAAATGAAAACAATAAGGGCAACATTGAAAAGCCTAAAAGCAATCATTATACACTAACTACCTGTGCACACACCAAAATTTACAACTTCATATTATTTTACAATTAGAGTATTAATTGGTTAAAAATTAAAACAATTAATTTTAAGTGTCCACTAGGCTCTGAAGGAAGATGTTATGTGCTTACCCTGACTACTTTCATTCTGGTTTTCTGCTTTTCTCTTTCTTCCCCTGGATGATTCCGATTGTTTCTTCTCCGGTGTCTACAGAAAACAAGATAACAGATTTTTAAATGACAGTTTTAATATACAAAATTATCACAGTCAACATAAAACCATGTTTCGAGACCAAAAAAATAGCATTCAGTAGTGCTCAAGAGATGTTAATATACTGTTATTTACACACAATTTATTTAAAAGATAAAATTTCCTATTGTATACATTTTAAAATTCCAAGTAGAGAAGACCTTGTACATATTATCTGATATTCAGTTACAGAATTTGACATGAAGTGGATGAAAAATCCTAGAATAATTAGCCTTTAAAAGATGACCTTCAAATGCTTAACTGGATGAGGGGGAAAAAAATCACCTTAGTGTTTCCTATGAGTTTTTTCCTATTAAGTTTTTCCTTAGTTTCCTACTACTCAAACATACTTAGTGTATAAAAGTAAACTTGGATGAGAAAAAAGGGGCAGAACACAAACCCTGATATACACAATCCCTACTAAAAAGGACCATCCACGTAAATGCCTGGCAATTATTATCCAACCGTTATAGCCAATTCACAGATTATGCCCCAGATAACGGATCAGTAAACTATGGCCTATGGGCCTAATCAGTTTGGTCACCTGTTCTGTATGATCGAACCATAGCTTTCACACTTTTAAATGTTTGAAATTTTAAAAATTCAAAACAAAAAGAATATTTTGTGGTGTGAGAATTACAAGAAATTCAAGTTTCAGTATTCCTAATAAAATTTTATTGGAACACAGCCACACTCTTTCATTTAGGTATTGTCTATAGCTGCTTTTACATTACAACGGCAGAGCTGAGTAGCTGCAACAGAGTTGGAATGGCCCATAAAGTCGCAAGCATCTGGCTTTTTACAAAAAAAGTTAACAGATCCCTGCTCTAGATGGTGGCTCTGGTTCCAAATGACATGTGTGTTCCTATAACAGATAGAAAGTATCTTCATTAGACTAATACAAGTAATTTTTCTGGAGTTTGACAAACTTTCCTGCTTAGTCAAAAATTAAAACCAAGAGCAAAAGCACAGGCAATGGCACCAGGCCCTCAAATTCTAGAAACGTGGTAAGCACCTCTGGTGCCAGAAAAATTCCTGAACTTCACAAGAGCTCCACTAATATTTGACTGAATGAATGAATGAATCTTACTAAACAACTTAAAATAAATCTCTTAAAAGCATCATGGTCCCCCAACAAGGAAGGGATTTAATCCGTATTTTCATGTCTCTGAGTGGGCCTACAATTAAATATATGAATAACAATACATAGCCTAATTCTTATTGAACACATATTGTTCCTCTAAGTACCATCTTGAGTATTTAAAGTTCTCCCACCTCCATTTTGCCAACAAGATAACAGATTCAGAGAAATTGGACCAAATGTTCATAGCATCTGAATTCTTTAAATACAGATGTTACATCTTCTCCCTATCTCACCCTCTTACCCCACCCCTAGCATACAGTTATTACTTGATAAATACATGCATGAATATTAAGTAACCTACTCAAGGTAACACTACCAGTGTGGCAGAGCCAGGATTCAAATTAAATTCAGTTCTGTATGATTCTAAGACCTAAATGCTCTTTATTTTTTCTATGATATCCTACATCAAGAACTAACTAAATGAATCTACTATACAAAAATATTTCAGAATTTTACTGTTTATGAATAAAACTCAATATGTCCAATGAAATGCCAGTATGTTTTCATTTCACAAACCAGAAGTCTTAAAGAAATCCACCCTAACTGGCCATCTACTCAGGAGGTAGACTGATGTACCAGCAATTTTGGGTAGGTAGTTTACTACTTTTGTTTCATTGTCAAAATTACCAAACTCAAACAATAATCAATCTTCTGTTTTCCTAGAAATAAAAATATCACTACATTAAAAATTCTTTTAACATTTATTAAAGAACCCTAAATCGGCCGGGTGCAGTGACTCATGCCTGCAATCTCAGCACTTTCGGAGGCCGAGGCGGGCAGATCATATGAGGTCAGGAGTTCTAGACCAGCCTGGCCAACATGGTGAAACCCTGACTCTACTAAAAATATAAAAATTAGCCGGGCATGGTGGTGCATGCCTGTAGTGCCAGCTACTCGGGAGGCTGAAGCACAAGACTCGCTTGAACACAGGAGGTAGGGGTTGCAGTGAGCCAAGATCACACCACTGCACTCCAGTTTGGGTGACACAGCGAGACTCCATCTCAAAAACAAAAGAACCCCAAGTCTACGTTAAAATAAAAGATCCCCAAATAATAATTTATTCATATCCTTCCTAACTTAATTTATATATAAAAAAGCGAAGAAAACATAATTTTTCAGAATCCTTTAATGTTATACTAATTTTTTAAGCATGGCAGGATCCTATTCGAATTCCATCTTAAATCTTGACTAGGTACTCTTGAACAGGCAAAAATAGGGGGGAAAAACCCATACAAAATGTTATAATTCTGAAACAGTTGTATTGGAAACAGCATTTTCTAGCTAGAAAACAAAATAAAATGTAAAGTTCAAAATGGTTCTGTACCATTTTCTAAAGTATATCCTAAGGAACTAGTGTTCAATGGTAGGTTGAGAAGACTATGTTCTAAATGAGGGTAAAAAGGGGTGAGTTCAAACGGGGTAAACAAAATTAGATTTCTTTACTGCAAGGCTTCTCAGAACCATCAAAATGCTAACATGCACTGGCTATCTCCAAAAGAGGGATGAGGTGGGAAGATACAATAAATTTTCAAAACTTATTTGAGACAACATTCGTTAAATACTTCACTGGATATGCACTTCAGGATATTTAAGGTTGTTTTGTTGTTTAACATACAGATTACTTAGTTTTGTTGTTTAACATATAGATTACTTCGTGAAGCCTTTTTCCTCTGAGGCAGAATTTCCCAGTGTGGAGGTATGGGACAGTCCATTGGCAAAAATGTCTTTTCATTAAACCAACCAAAAAGCAAACGAATGCATTATAATTATAGTAAAGAAGGCAACAAGTTTACCTCCTTTAAACCAGAGAAGAATTTACAGATGGAGAAGAAAAAGGGTAACAGGACTAAAATTAATTTTAAGACTGTTGTGCCCCAGAAGTTATTAAAGGGGAAGGAGAAGGGAAGGAAGTGTGTGGCTGAGTTAAGGCTCCAGCCTACCAGAGACATATCCTATGTTACCTCTACCCTGAATCTGCAAACACAGCATCTCCTATTTTAATATTGAGATTCCAGATGAGATTTCCTTTGAAAAAATAGTTCGACAGCTTTTAAAAAAAACTACTGATCATGACCAATGATTTCCTTGAGGAAATCCAAAGGACATCAACCAGGCCACCTATGTATTTGCTAAGGTATATAATGTGCACATATTAAACATTTTATATAGAACATTTTCAAGACTGCTCTTGCTAATAATGCTGTCATTTCTTTCTTTTATTCTCTATTTTTTCTTAGCTATCCTACTATAAATAGACCACTAAAGAAAAGATTAATACGGAAGGCAAAATAATAGGATTTGGCTTTGAAGTAAAGATGAAAAGTATTCAGTAATTATAAAAGGCCAAAGAGCTCCAATATACAATGAAACAGTCATTAGGAGAAAATGAAGAAAGGAGAGACTAGTACACTTTAAACCAAGTTAGCTGTGTAAATGTTAGATTTGTAATCATACCAAAACCTGAATGACTACTCTGGCATTTAGAGATTCCAAGATATTAGTGTGAATTTACACAGTATTTTCTACCAGTTGAAAGTTTGTTGAAAAAACACAAAGACAAATTTAAAGGACTCAAGAAGTGTAGTGATATAATTTAACTAATCCTCCAATTTTACTTGGAACTTAGGTCAGTGATTATTAATCAAGGTTTTTATATCTAATCATGTAGCCTGCTGCTTTTATCTTATAATAAAATATAAAGGAGTCTTTCTTCAATGTAAATAAGACCAAACATAAGAACACATGAATCTCAATGCTGTTACAGTATGAGGGACAGAAATCAATATGAATTATTCCATGAAAACAGATAACCACCTGTATAAGCCTCAAACTAGAGAGAGATTTAAAATTATGGAAATAAATGCATTACAGAAAATTTTACAGTATACAAAAAATATTTTAATAGCAACAAAAAAAGAGGGAATGGATATTAAAGTTTGTTCTTCATTGGGCCTCACTGAATAGACAACAAAAATCAGGTATCATCATCTCTAATAAAATCACTATAGTTAATAGACACAGAATATTTCTTTTTGTTAAACAAGAAAATACTTTAAAACAGAAACAAAAGTTACTCTAATATTAAATAGTATCCTTACAAAATATTCAATCTTCAAACCTGACAGAATGAATTTTTTTCTGACAGATCCATTCAGCCAAAGACTGGTTTCAAAACTGCAACTTCACTGGCTATTCTTTCTTTTTTTTTTTTTTGAGACGGAGTCTCGCTCTGTCGCCCAGGCTGGAGTGCAGCGGCGCAATCTCAGCTCACTGCAAGCTCTGCCTCCTGGGTTCACACCATTCTCCTGCCTCAGCCTCCCAAGTAGCTGGGACTACAGGCGCCCGCCACTATGCCCGGCTAATTTTTTTGTATTTTTAGTAGAGGGGGGTTTCACCGTGTTAGCCAGGATGGTCTCGATCTCCTGACCTAGTGATCCGCCCATCTTGGCCTCCCAGAGTGCTGGGATTACAGGCGTGAGCCACTGCGCCCAGCCCTCTCTGGCTATTCTAATGATTCATACTTGGGTACCAAATTCAAGGGTACTATAATTTGAACAAATGGCATGACAAACCTTTTTGCTGGCAGCTGGTAAAACAATGTTCAATTTTTATCCACATTTCTAGGCAAAACTTGTTGAACTAGATGTGAGACAGGAAAATGTTTGCTGCTTTGTATCCTATTTACATATAAACGTTACCATGAAATATGCACATCCGAATTCAAGGATGATTTTGAGCTGGTATGACCTGAAATTCACATAGTCTGTCTCTGCCCAAGAGTTAAAACTTTAATATTGATAACTATTATCTGTAAATATTTACTTGAACCTTTGACCTCTAAAAGAAGATCTCTACTATAATGCTGATTTTAATATTTAGTATAAAAAATTTATGTATGTAAAATTTTGGAATCCTATCATCAAATAAAAGCATTTCCTTGCAATTCTAAGTAAATCAAAATCATCATATCAGCAATTTGGAGTGTAGTATATTTTCTGCTGTACTGCCTTTATTGTTTAATAACGTGTAATATAAAAGATGGTAGAACACCAGTAAGAAGAAATTGGGTAACCACCCAACTAAAATATGTGCTGTCTTACAGGTATACTTAAAGTATGCCACCTCATACATTTTTGTAAAGGCTGAAGGACTCTATTTACACATGCACAGCATTCACAACCGTATCAGTACTCCAAAGAAATGTAATATTAAAACAATTATTTTATGCTCAATTTTTAACAACTACCTAACTTGACATCCTCACATTGTGACTTCTTAAACTCCTATCACTTGGACCCACTGCATTCACACATGTTTAAAGGAGTATACTAAGTTTTTAATATTGATGAAAATGATTTTGTCTGTTATTTTCTTATCACTTACGTAGTCTATTTCCTGGCACTTTCCCTTCTCTGGCTATCCCTTTAAGGCTTTATTTGTTAAACAGTATATACTATAAAATTAGAATAAAGTTGAACTTTCTCCCCTACTCAAATTACCTTGCCAGTAGTTTTCAAATCATACAAGAATAAAACAGCCATTTAGAACAACTGCTGAAGGGTGGGGGTTGGGAAGTAACACTTTCAGATAATTTATTCTGGAAATGTTGGCATTTTGAAAGTGCTTGTAATAGTCAAATTCAGAGCTGTGGTCTCACAACTTTTGACCCATTGTGACACTCACAATGGAGTAACATACTCCTGTATCATACCCCTACAAACATTCCTTTGAACACGAATCCCTAGGTCTGTACAATTATTTCTCTGGTATACATACTTTTAAATGTAAATGCTGTATCACAGAATATGTGCACTTAGGTTTTTTTTTTTTTTTCTGAGACAGAGTCTCACACTGTCACCCAGGCTGGAGTGCAGTGACACGATCTCGGCTCACTGCAAGCTCTGTCTCCTGGGTTCATGCTATTCTCCTGCCTCAGCCTCCCGAGTAGCTGGGACTACAGGCACCCGCCACCACACCCAGCTTGTTTTTTTTGTATTTTTAGTAGAGATGGGGTTTCTCCATGTTGGCCAGGATGGTCTCGATCTCTTGACCTTGTGATCCACCCGCCTCGGCCTCCCAAAGTGCTGGGACTACAGGCATGAGCCACCACGCCCGGCCACACACTTAGATTTTTAAAGATAATGCCAAATTGCACATTCAAAGCCAGTATCAATTGACATGTTTACATTAACACTGTATAAGACTACTCACCAATCCTTTGAGATGTGATGGGTAAAAAAGTGTTACTATTTTTCTCTATACCAATACAACTTTTTTTTTATTATTATACTTTAAGTTCTGAGGTACATGTGCAGAACGTACAAGTTTGTTACATAGGTATACACGTGCCAAGGTGGTTTGCTATAACCATCAACCTGTCATCTACATCAGGTATTTCTCCTTATGCTATCCCTCCCTCAGCCCCCACCTCAAAACAGGCCCTGTTATGTGAAGTCCCCCCAACCGCCCTGCCCCGTGTCCATGTGTTCTCACTGTTCAACTCCCACTTAAGAGTAAGAACATATGGTGTTTGGTCTTCTGTTCTTGTGTTAGTTTGCTGAGAATGATGGTTTCCAGCTTCATCCATGTCCCTGCAAAGGACATGAACTCATCCTTTTTTATGGCTGCATAGTATTCCGTGGTGCCAATACAACACTTTTAATCAGAAAAAAAGTGATCTTTTTTTCCTGAGACATGGGATCAGCCGGGCATGGTGGCTCAAGCCTGTAATTCTAGCACTTTGGGAGGCCAAGGTGGGTGGATCACCTGAGGTCAGGAGTTCGAGACCAGCCTGGCCAACATGGCGAAACCCCACCTCTACTAAAAATACAAAAAAATTAGCCAGATCTGGTGGTGAGCACCTGTAGTCCCAACTACTCGGGAGGTTGAGGCGGGAAAATTGCTTGTATCTGGGAGGCAGAGGTTGCAGTGAGCCAAGATCGCGCCATTGCACTCCAGCCTGGGCAACAAGAGCAAAACTCCGCCTCAAAAACAAAAACAAACAAAAAAAAGAAAGATGGGGTCTCGCTTCATTGTCCAGGCTGGACTGTAACTCCTAGGTTCAAGTGATCCTCCTGCCTCAGGCTCCCAAGTACCTGGGACTACAGACATGTGACCATACCCAGTTTCTTTGTTCTTTTTTTAAATTGCTCTATCATATCTTTATTAGCATTGATTCTCAATGCTGACTATACATCAATCATTTATAAAGCTTTTATTTAAAGCTTATGCTGGAATCTCCAGTCCAAATTTAACCATCTCTGGAAAAAGACCAAAGGAATCATTAATTTTAAAAAGGTCCAGAAGTGATGTTATGTATCATCAGGATTAGGAACAGTCTGTCTGTCTATCTAGGTTTATATATAAAATAGTACGTTGTATAGTTCCCACATACTCCACTTTACAGTATCTCTAAAATTAAGAATGTTATTCCTTAAAGTCTTCCCATATTAAAGACCAAAATTATTACATATAGCAGAAAACTAATTAGGTTATAAAAAGTCAAATGGGTTGTCATGGTTACTCAGTTATTTTAGAAAAATGAGAATCTTAAAGAAAATTCACTGTGTTCTACTGACATAAAAATACATCTTTCTAATATTTTTTAAACTAAAGAATAAAATTCTGAAACAAAATTTGTCAGTAATGTCAACTTGTGCTCAATGCTTTAAAAATCCAGTCTAAAAGCAACATTTATCAGATTAAACATTTGTGAAGTGCTGTTAGCTCAGGTATATCTTAGATTGGCAAATTTGATAATTACTGTAAGTTATCTGAAATCTAAATATTTCCAAAGAGTACCATTTTTGTCCAAGACTTACCAGGGTAATTTATATAACAAGTTATATACTATCTTAGTTATATGGAAAGATTATAATAGCACAGTAGTTGAGAGCATCACTTTGAAATAAGGCATACTTTGGGAATGAAATTCTGACTCTGTTAACTTGTATCTGTGTGACTATGGACAAATTATTTACTCTGAGCACCGGTTTCTAAATTTAGACATGTAAAACTTAAGAAGTCGCAATCTAGCTCCATTGGTAACAGGCTAAAAACTTTCTTTTTTCTCCTTCCAGTAATGAGTTGGTTCTCAACCAGGAGAGATGGTATTTGGCAATACCTAGAGGCATTTTTGGTTGACGCACTGAGGATGGCGGTAACAAGGCTGTAGATATCTAATGTACAGAGGCAGAGATGCTGCTAAACATCCTACATTGCATAGGACAGGAACCCCACCCCTCAAAATTTATCCAGTGCAAAACGTCAATAATGTTAAGGGTGAGAAACCTTGCTTTGATGAACACATTAAGAATCATTTGTAGTTGGTACATAAAACTAACTGTACGGTGTGCTTTTTTACTTTCATTCTGAGTTTACAGTGAAAATTACCAGAGGCTATATGACATGTGACGACATCTCACTGGATGATTTATGGATTATGTATTCGTGAATTCTAGGGTTACAACATTTTGTTTGAAATCCTAAAATGGTAAATACCAAATAGTTGTAACCAACATAAACAAAAGCTCTTTAGGGTCCTTCAATTTTTAAAGTTAAAGAGCAGTCCCTGAGACCCAAAATTTGAAAACTGCTTTTGTAGATACACTCATCCTGATTGTATACTAGGAAATGCTAGCAAGTGAGATGAGTATGCTAGAGAATAAGTAGTAGCCTATTAACGAGGTGGGTAGACAACAGCTATTTACTGAGCACCTATTATGGTAAAGAACTATACTGGGTTCCACTTTAAAAAAATATCTTCACTCTCTTACAGTAATAGGCCATTTTTCTCTTCCAATCTTGTTTCCACCAATCAGCTTAGAAGGTTCCTTTTTAAATTTTTTTTTTTTAATCATTGTGGGTACACAGTAGGTGTATATATTTATGGGGTACATATTTTGATACAGTTGTTACAAACAACTGTAACACAAAGGTGTTACAAACAATCCACTTATAGTTTTTTTTTAAATATACAATTAAATTATGTTTGACTATACACACTCTGTTGTGCTAGCAAATACTAGGTCTTACTAAGTCTTTCTATTTTTGTACCCATTAACCATTCCCCCTCCCCACCACCACCACTCTTCCCAGACTCTAGTAACCATCTTTTTACCCTCTTTCCCCATAAGTTGCATTGTCTTAATTTTTAGCTCCCACAAATAAGTGAGAACATGTGAAGTTTGTCTTTCTGTGCCTGGCTTATTTCACTCAACAATATGACCTCCAGTTCCATCCATGTTGTTGCAAATGACAGATTGCATTCTTTCTTATGGCTGAATAGTACTCCACTGTGCGTATGTACCACATTTTCTTTATCCATTCATCTGTTGATGGATGCTTGGGTTGCTTACAAATCTTGGCTATTGTGAATAGTGCTGCAAAATGGGAGTGCAGGTATCTCTTTGATATATCAATTTCTTTTATTTTGGGTATATATCTAGCAGTGGAATTGCTGGATCGCACGGTAGCTCTATTTTCAGCCTTTTGAGGAACCTCCGAACTGTTCTTCATAGTGGTTGTACTAATCTTCACTTCTACCAACAGTGTATGAGGTTTCCCTTTTCTCCACATCCTTGCCAGCATTTGTCATTGCCTGCCTTCTGGATAAAAGCCATTTTAACTGGGGTGAGATGATATCTCATTGTAATTTTGATTTGCATGTCTCTGATAAACAATGATATTGGGCACCTTTTCATCAAGTTGTTTGCCATTTGTATGTCTTCTTTTGAGAAATGTCTCTTCAAATCTTTTGCCCATTTTTAGATTGGATTATCATATGTTTTCCTACAGAGTTGTTTGAGCTCCTCATATATTCTAGTTATTTATTCCTTGTCAGATGGATAGTTTGCAAATATTTTCTCCTACTCTGTGGGTTATCTCCTCGCTTTGTTGATTGTTTTCTTTGCTGTGCAGAAGCTTTTTAATTTGATGTGATCCCATTTGTCCTTTTTTTTTTTGACATGGAGTCTCGCTCTGTCGCCCAGGCTGGAGTGCAGTGGCGTGATCTCAGCTCACTGCAAGCTCTGCCTCCCGGGTTCACGCCATTCTCCCGCCTCAGCCTCCCGAGTAGCTGGGACTACAGGCACCTGCCACCATGTCCAGCTAATTTTTTGTATTTTTAGTAGAGACGGGGTTTCACTGTGTTAGCCAAGATGGTCTCCATCTCCTGACATAGTGATCTGCCTGCCTCTGCCTCCCACAGTGCTGGGATTACAGGTGTGAGCCACCACGCCTGACCCCATTTGTCCATTTTTACCTTTGGTTGCCTGTGCTTGTCGGGTATTACTTAAGAAATCTTTGCCCAGACCAATGTCCTGGAGAGTTTCCCCAGTGTTTTCTTATAGTAGTTTCACAGTTTGAGGTCTTTTTAGATTTCAGTCTTTAACCCATTTTGATTTGATTTTTGTATATGGTGAGAGATAGGGGATCTAGTTTCATTCTTCTGCATATGAATATCCAGTTTTCCCTGCACCATTTATTGAACAGACTGTCCTTTCCCCAATGTTTGTTCTTGGCACCTTTGTCAAAAACAACTTCACTGTAGATATATGGATTGCTATCTGGATTCTCTGTTCTGTTCCACTGGTCTATGTGTTTCACTGATCTATGTGTCTGTTTTTATGCCAGTACAATGCTGTTTTGATTACTATAGCTTTGTAGTATAATTTGAAGTCAGGTAATGTGATTCGTCTGGTTTTGTTCTTTGCTCAGGATAGCTCTGGCTATTCTGGGTCTTTTGTGGTTCTATACAAATTTTAGAATTATTTTTTCTATTTCTGTGAAGAATGCCATTGGTATTTTGACAGGGATTACATTAAACCTATAGATTGCTCTGGGTACAATGGACATTTTAAAAGTATTGATGCTTCCATTCCATGACCATGGAATATCCTTCCATTTTTTTGCATACTCTTCAATTTCTTGCATCAATGTTTTATAGTTTTTATTGTAGAGATATTTTACTACTTTGAGTAATGTCTAAAAGCTGGGTGCGGTGGCTCACGCCCATAATCTCAGCACTTTGAGAGGCCAAGGGGGGCGGATCACTTGAGGTCAGAAGTTCGACCAGCCTGGCCAACATGGTGAAACCCCATCTCTACTAAAAGTACAAAAAAATTAGCTGGGTAGGCCGGGTGCAGTGGCTCACACCTGTAATTCTAGCACTTTGGGAGGCCAAGGTTGGTGGATCACCTGAGGTCAAGAGTTTGAGGCCAGCCTGGCCAACATGGTGAAACCCCATTTCTACTAAAAATACATTTAAAAAAAAATATTAGCCAAGCGTGGTGGTGGGCGCCTGTAATCCCAGCTACTGGGGAGGCTGAGGCAGGAGAATCACTTGAGCTCAGGAGGCGGAGGGTGCAGTGAGCTGAGATGACATCATTACACTCCAGCCTGGGCAACAGAACAAAAACTCCATCTCAAAGAAAAAAAAATGTTGGGTGCAGTGGTTCGCTCCTGTAATCCCAGCTACTCAGAAGGCTGAGGCAGGAGAATTGCTTGAACCGGGGAGGTGGTGGTTGCAGTGAGCTGAGATTGTGCCAGTGCACTCCAGCCTGGGCAACAGAGCAAGACTCTGTCTCGAAAAAAAAAAAAAAAAAGATTAATGTCTACATATTTCATAGTATTTATAGCTATTGCAAATGGGATTACTTTCTTGGTTTCTTTTTCAGATTGTTCACTGTTAGCATATAGAAATGCTACTTTTTTAATATTGATTTTGTATCCTGCAACTTTACTGAATTTATCAGTTCTAATAATTTTTTGGTACAGTCTTTAGGTTTTTCCAAATATAAGATTATATAATCTGCAAACAAGGATAATTTGACTTCTTCCTTTCCAATTTGGATGCCCTTTACTTCTTTCCCTTGTCTGACTGCTCTAGCGAGGACTTCCCATTCTATACTGAATAAGTGGTGAAGGTGGGCACTCTTGTTGTGTTCCCTTAGAAATTTCTTGCTGTAACAAACAACCACTGAACCACATCGAATATACTTTTTTAAAGGGTAACATTTAACAGCTGTTTGTTTGCTTGCTAAATAGCTTACAGATCCATTTCATGATTTCATGACCTACAAGAACTCAACTAGACAGAATATATCAGAATTTCCAAGCAGGGAGCCTGGCTACTCAAACATTAAAAAAAGCTTCCTGAAGAATTCTGATATACATATTCTTCTACCTTTATGGAAACAGATGTATACAGCCAGGATGAGACTCACATTTGGTTTCCAGTTCACTTTTCCTTCCAAGAGACTAATAAGCATGAACATATTCAAGCAGGACTCACTTCCTTTGCTATGAACCCGGTTAATACAATATATTTTAGTGTCAGATACTCTAATTTCTGCCTGAATATAGGTCTCTAAAAGACTGTGTCCTTCAATATATAGTGGTGAATTAAATACTGTTTTCTCTTTAAAAAAAAAAAGTTACAAAGTAATTTCAGGTGTTTCACAGGAACTTTTAAGTCTAATAATTCATGATTATTTGTCTTAATAACAGAGAAGAGAATAAACTTAACATTCCCCCCCCCCCTCCTTTTTTTTTCTTTCTTTTTTTTGAGATGGAGTCTTGCTGTGTCACCCAGGCTGGAGTGCAGTGGTGCAATCTCGGCTCACTGCAACCTTGGCCTCCTAGGTTCAAGCGATTCTCCTGTCTCAGCCTCCTGAGTAGCTGGTATTACAGGCATGTGCCACCACGACCAGCTAATTTTTGTATTTTTAGTAGAGATGGGGTTCCACCCTGTTGGCCAGGCTGGTCTCGAACTCCTGACCTCAGGTGATCTGCTTGCCTCAGTCTTCCAAACTGCTGGGATTACAGGCATGAGCCGCCCCTCCCGGCCACATTCCCCATTTTTTATGTTACAAAATAATACTATTTTCCATGTGTACAAAGAGTACTTGCTTTCAAGACATCATTACTGTACATATTTGTTCATTGTATACAGCAACATTGTTGCATATCATGCCTCAGTAAAAACAATGACATAGGCTGGAGGTGGAGGTGTAGTGGCTCATGCCTGTAATCCCAGCACTTTCGGAGGCCGATGCAGGCAGATCATTTGAGGTCAGGAGTTTGAAATCAGCCTGGCCAATGTGGTGAAACCTTGTCTCTACTGAAAATACAAAAACTAACCAGGCAAGCTGGTGGGTGCCTACAATCCCAGCTACTTGGGAGGCTGAGGCCAGAGAATTGCTGAGCCCAGAAGGCAGTGGTTGCAGGGAGCAGAGATCGTGCCATTGCACTCCAACCTGCGTGACAGAGCGAGACTCTGCCTCAAAAAAAAAAAAAAAAAAAGAAAGAAAGAAAGAAGAAAAAACCAATGACATAAAAATAGTAAGATTTCTGGTAAGAACAAAGTGAGAACATACTAGCAGGAAGATAAATAAAAGACAGAGGAGGTCAACAAGTAGAACACCACAAACATCATTTATCACACTAACATATTTTAGAAAATAATTTAGACAGCAAGATAGAATATGTCTTAAAATTGATGATAGGTGTCTAACATCTTAAGGAGGAGAACAGATTTAAAGAGAGTTAGTCAAAAGCAAGGTAATTTATTCAGGAGTAAAAGGCCTAAAAATGTAACTTTCAGTGATACTTATCCCATCCAACAGTAAATCGATTTTTAAAGTCTCTCTTCTTTCTTACTAGGTACTCAGAGTAAGGCATTAAAAAAAAAAAGATTTCTCCAGGTCACAGTAAATAAATATAGATAAATTAAAATTTAATGAAAATGTTAACAAAACTTAAGGCCAGTATTACCTCTGTTTTCAAATAGAATCATAGCTAAGCACTAGTGCTTAGAATACACTAAGCACTAGCTAAGCACTAAGCATTAAGAGGGCAAAAAAGAAGGTATGAGAAAGTAGAGGTGGGTATGTATATAAAACAAGGTTAAATCAGGAAATGCTCTAGATGCAACAACTGTCCCAGCTTCCACATATCCATATAATTTAAAATTAATAACTCGAAAATCCCAAAATATACTTTGATGAAAAATACACAGTAATTTAAGGTCAGTGGATAAAGGCTTAAGACTTGGTAGTTACCCATGAAAAATGGTGGAAAACTACTTTGGTTATAGAGATAGTATATATTTTAACTTGTTCAAATTTGATTGAGATTATACAAAAGTATTCTGAAAGATGAATATTAAGGATTAAATTGAGAAAAACAGAATAATTTGATATATGTCTGCTTTATAAACATGAATATTATGGAGTATATTGTATATAAGCACACGTATAAACAGACATAACTGTGCTTCTCCAACATTAATTATTAAAAATGATGTAATTAAATGATATGTTCAGTCACAAATATCCCAACTTCAGTAAGAAATAAATAAAGCAGATAAATGTATCCTAGGGCATCCAAAACGAGAAGAGGAAAAATGGTTATGCTTTTAATAATCATTAAGAATTCCAAATGAGCTAGAAGATACATAATCTAACTTAGCATCTTGGGCTTAGGTATAGACAGCAACTGTACAGAATCTGAAGGTGCTATGGTTTGACTATGTGCCCTGAAGTTCACGTAGAAACTTACTCCCCGTAGTAAGAATATTAAGAGGTGGGAGGGAGGCAGGTGCGGTGGCTCTTGCCTGTAATCCCAGCACTTTGGGAGGATGAAGTGGGCAGGTCACTTGCGGTCAGGAGTTCAAGACCAGCCTGGCTAACATGGTGAAACCCTGTCTCCACTAAAAATATAAAACTTAGCCAGCCATGGTGGCGGGTGCCTGTAATCCCAGCTACTCAGGGGGCTGAAGGAGGAGACTCGCTTGAACCCAGGAGGGGGAAGTTGCAGTGAGCCAAGATCATGCCACTGCACTCCAGCCTGAGCAACAGAGCAAAACTCCATCTCGGAGGGCGGGGGGAGAAAAAGAGGTAGGGGCCTCATGAATGGATTAATGCCATTATTGTGGGGATGGGTTCGTTACTGACAGAGTGGGTTCCTGATTAAAAGGATGAGTTGAGTCCAATTCTCCCTCTCTGTCTCACACGCTCACTTCTGCCTTCCATCTTCTACCACGGGGTGATGATCCTCACCTGATGCTTGACACCATGCTCTTGGACTTCCTAGCCTCTGGACCCAAGAGCCAAATAAACTTCTGTTCATTATAAATTGCCCAGTCTGTGATATTCTGTTAGAGCAGCAGAAAATGAACTGAGACACAAGATCATTGTGTTTAGATAGTGAAAGTGCTACAAGAAGAACTGCAAATGGGTGGATCAAGGCAGGTTTTAAAACTTAGAAAACACTGAGCAGGACGTGGTGGCTCACACCTGTAACCTCAGCACTTTGGGAGGCCGAGGCGGGCGGATCACAAGGTCAGGAGATCAAGAGCATCCTGACTAACACGGTGAAACTCCATCTCTACTAAAAAAAAAAAAAAAAAAATACAAAAAAATCAGCCAGGCGTGGTGGTGGGCGCTTGTAGTCCCAGCTACTCAGGAGGCTGAGGCAGGAGAATGGCGTGAACCCGGGAGGCAGAGCTTGCAGTGAGCCGAGATGGCGCCACTGCACTCCAGCCTAGGCAACGAGTGAGACTCTGTCTCAAAAAAAAGAAAGAAAGAAAGAAAGAAAAAAGAAACACTGGTACTCAAGAAACACGGGCTCTTATCTTCATAAAATAATGTGGGCTGTTAGCCAGCAGGTCAGGTACATGACCATATTTCTAACTCCTTCAGGTATTCTAAAAAATTTAAATAAAGGATGAGTGGCCCTGGTAAACTCTCTTCTCTGGTCCTCTGATAAAATTTTTATCAGTCCTCAAATCCACAACCCACTCACGCTTCTTTCCTTTCAGCTGATAACCTATTTTCACTGTGAAGTAAGAGAAAAAGTTATCAGATATGCAAGTTCATCTACCCCAATTCAGGGGAAAGATGTTCCTAGTCCTGTCTATGAATAACCCTGCCCAACCAGGGTCTGGATTTCACCCATTCATTCCTCCTCCAGGAAAAGATGTGTGGTTTTATTTCTCTTTTCCCTCTCTCTTCAGCACTTTGTCTCCATCACAGCTCTGCTATGACTCTTTCCTTAGCACATGATATGTCAAGCCTGTCTGACTCTAGATACTGTCTCCCTTCCTTCATAGTCAAGGTTCTGCCAAAAGCAGTCAATATTTGCTGTCGCTATTTCCTCACTTTCTAATTTCTCCTCAATTAACTACAATCTGGCATTTTGTTCCCATTAATCTACTAAAATTAAGTCTAAGTGTCAAATTCTTAGTCACTTTTTACAGTCCCTATCTTAAATGACTTCTATGACATTTAATTCCACTTACTATCACTTTTGGGTCTCAGGATCCCTCTGTAACTTTTAAAAAATTGTTAAGGACCCCAAAGAGCTTTTATTTACATGTGTATAACTATCGATATTTACTATTTTAGGATTTTAAACAAAAACATTATAACAATAGAATATACAAGTGTAAAAGAATACAAATGAATAAATCAGAGTGATGATATCACGTTATACAGCTTCTGGAAATTTTCATTGTGAATTCATGAGCTAATGAAAGTTAAAAAGTCAAATAATGTGTTGGCGCTTTTATAAAAAACACTTGACTTTGTGGACTCCTTGGAAGAATCGCAGGGGACCCCTAGAAATCCTCAAACCATACTCTGAGATCTGCTTATCTACAACCAAGCCTTTTTAATTAACACCTATGCCAAAGACCCCTAGGTCTTCTTATGTAGCCTGACCTCTTTCCTGAATTCCAGATATCTTCTACTGTGCCATCTACACTTGTTATCTTCCTTCTGTGATGCCCATCTCAATCAAAGGCACTCTAGCTAGATCCCTTTGAATCATCTTAGGCTCCTCCCTTTCCTTCTTTATGCTAATTCCAAGTCATCAAACCCTACTGATTCTACTTTTTAAAAATCTAATGAAATCTGCTGGGCTTGGTGGCTCACACCTGTAATCCCAGCACTTTGGAAGGCCAAGGCAGGCAGATTATGAGGTCAGGAGTTTGAGACCAGCCTGGCCAACATAGTGAAACCCCGTCTCTACTAAAAATACAAAAATTAGCCGGGCATGGTGGCGCACACCTGTAGTCTCAGCTACTTGGGAGGCTGAGGCAGGAGAATCGCTTGAACCTGGGAGGCGGAGGTTGTGGTGAGCTGAGATCACGCCACTGCACTCCAGCCTGGGCAACAGGCGAGACTCCGTCTCAAAAAGAAAAAAAAAAAATCTAATGAAATCTAGAAGCTTGTTGGAAATGCAAAATTCTACCCCAGACCTACCGTCATAAACATTAAGTGATTCATTCGCACAGAACAGTTTGAGAACCACAGCCTTGGGTGGTGATAGTCTCAGTAACCAAAGTTAGAGAATCTGAAAAAGGCAGAGCCCAAACAGCAAACTTGAAAATACTAGTTAGAAGTCCTCTTATCTCAAGTTTTTCCTCCTAATATTAAACCTTGAAGGTTATAGAGTTTTATAAAGAAGGCTGTATTCCTTAATTAAGTGATCTTCCTAACTTGGGTTTCATGTCCCTCCAACGCAATCCTCTACATTCCATCTGTGGGAGCCTTTCACCTCTACTTTGTCTTTTGTTTCCCCTGTTTCAATGGCTCTCTACCTGAAGTCCAAATTCTTTACTATGAAATACAAGGGTCTTCAAACCTGACCCCTGCCTACCTTTCACCATTCCTGCATATAGTCCCTCTACCAGAAGTTTGAAAACCAGTGGAATCACTGAAGCAGCTGGGTATTTTTTAAAGCTTTTCCGGAGATCTAAAGAGCAGTAGTGGCTGAGAATCACTGTCCTCTCTTAAACCAAACGACTTGTCATACTCCCACATAAAAGCAAACACATATCCTAGTCCCTCTGTATACCTTCTTTTCATACTTCACTCTGTCTTATGGGATGAATTCACAGCCTCTCTTAAAAACTCGACTATCATCTCTTCTTTGAAGGAAGACCTCTTTGCTTCCTTTCCCCTACAGGCAAATGGAATTGGTGGTTTCTTGCGCTTTGCTTCCATAGCATCTTGTGCTTCTATCTGTTACAGCACAGCCTACACTGTCATGAGGCAGACTGTCTAAATGTTTGTTCTACTAAACACTGATTTCATTTGAAGGCAGGGATTGTATCCTATTCATCTTTATATTCTCTGTGATTGGGCAGAGACTAAAAGTTAATAGATATGCAATAAATGTTTACTGAAAATATCCTGAATTTTTTGGAGCCTGCTGAATGGACCAGGAGTGATGTAAAATAAAACAAAATCAAAACAATACCTTCTTACCTACCATCTTCTTTTATTTACGAGAGGAAAAACTTTTTCATTCTATTTAATTCCACATTTAGAAAAAAAGATTCATATATAAAATAAACCGCATACAAACTGAAATAAAAATTTCACTTGAAGTAGATTAATCAACTTAACAATGACAATTGGATGCTTTCCAGTTTTAATAGTAAGGGTAGAAGAAAACAAGAGGATTCTGGATGTCTGAAAAAGAGTACTGGGTAGGAGAAAACGAAGTACAGAAAAGGGATTGTGGTGAGTTAAAACCATCACAAATCCTAAGAGGGATTCAACAGAAAATGTCCAACTGGTGAACTACAATAGGGTATGCATATTAATTATATTAAAATATGGATATAAATTTCAGGAATCCAGGGTGGGGTAAGGGTGGTAGGAGAAAGCAATTTTTTTTAAAAAAAAAGTAATAAACTGTCTGGGCACGGTGGCTTACGCCTATAATCCCAGCTATTCAGGAGGTTGAGGCAGGAAAATTGCTTGAACCTGGGAGGCGGAGTTTGCAGTGAGACGAGATCGCACCACTACACTCCAGCCCGGGCAAAAGAGTGAGACTCCATCTCAAAAAAAAAAAAAAAAAGTAATAAACCTTCCAGTACTATTTGCTCCCAAAACCAAAAACTACTATTTTAACAACTGTAGTAAATTGGAGAATGGATTACCAAAAGAATAGTGACATCAGAAGACAATGAAATACTTCATAAACTTTACTACTAGGAGTACTAGGAAAAACAAAAGTACTTCTATCCTGCAACTGTTTCTTCTCATGTTTACTTAATGATCTATAAATATCTGTATTTTGATATATATAAAATTTCACCCCAAAGGAATTCATTAATTATCAACTATACAGATAAAACCTGGGAATCATTTTCCAGATAAGCAACTCCTTAAATGGAAAGATACACTAAAATAATAATAATAATAATAATAATAATAATGGTAATAGTAATTATTTCTTTGAATCTTAAGGACAATGTATAATCTGTAGTCATTTCTGTGCCACTAGACTTAACCATTAATTTGTAAAACTCCAAGACAGAGAATGCAGAACAGCAAAAGTCAAAAGATTTTTCTTTTTTTTTTTTTCTTAAGACAGGGTCTCACTCTGTTGCCCAGGCTGGAGTGCAGTGGCACAATCATGGCTCATTGCAGCTTCGACTTCCTTGGCTCAAGTTACTGTCCCACCTCAGCCTCTCGAGTAGATGGGACTACAGCCACGTGGCACCATACCCAGCTAACTTTTTGTGTTTCTTGTAGAAATGGGGCTTTGCCATGTTGCCCAGGCTGGTCTCGAACTCCTGGTCTCAAGCAATCCTGCCTAGGCCTCCCAACATGCTGGGATTACAAGCGTGAGCCCCCGTACATGGCCCAAAAGATTTTTCAAGATTTTCTACTGCTGCCCCAAATGTCAAAACTTCAATACAGATAAAGCTAAGTATATCCAATGATTAACCAAATTGTGTTTCATTTCAAATGCCAGTATGGTCTTTTAAGAAACAAAAACATGTTTTAACTAAAAATATAGCCAAAAGTGATCCTTGGGATCTTTAAAGGGAAGCTGAATTCTCTTATAGACTAATTCCTCTGAAAAAATCCAAATATTAAATCTATAACTTATATTTGGAATATGGGTACCTATAAAGAATGTATAACTGTGATAAGTGATCTAACTTTCACCATGTTTTGCTTTTTTAAAAAATCTATCAAAAATATCATATTTAGTGAACAGAAAAGAGAAATATCTAACATTATTTTATTGCTCTTCATAACACAAATGTCTATGAAACAGGAGGCAGGTGAAATTACTAAATATTCCCAATTCTGGGAAAATATCAAGAAATGTTCCAAAGTCCAGGAAATATAAAGTGAGAACATTCTTGATACACTTTTTAAAAAACTTTGACTAGAGCTAAACCTACAATTTTCAAAGGCTTAGTATAAGTATGTTAATTTTTTAAAAACTAAACTGATAATCTGATGCTACAGGGGCTACTAACGCTTACCTCAAGGGAACCTACTGCAGATAAAGTCCCGTCACTTGCACAGTCCTTTCAGCTGCCTGCCAGTTGTTTCTGTGGAAGGGAAAGCCTGATGAGTGAGAGCCCTATGCCATACTCCTTTGTAGTGTCAGGGTGCCTGCACAGAACTGCACGAAACTGTCTACCTAGAGATTTCTAGATGCTTTCAATAACACAGAGCTAAAAAGATGCCACCTTTGAAGTTCCCTTTCCTCTGAACAGTGAAACAAAATGCCTAAGAGTTTCTGAGTGCTAATGAACTACTGGTATTATCAAGTTGATAGGTCTATACTAACCAAGTAGAAAAAAGTCTATACTAATCAAGTAGAAAAAAGACAAAAATGGATCAAGTAGAAATAAGACTGACGGGAAAAATACACACACACACACACACACACACACAAGTGACAGACCTGTTATCATCCAAGGAGAGAAAAGGCTATACCCACAAGAGTCAAGCTGTAACATCAACAAATGAATGCTAAAACTCACGGAACTTCCTGTCTACCCATTTTTAAAAGATGTCATCAAGTATATCATGCTCAGGGTAAATTATACCATGGATCCAAATGCCTGCTTGTAAAATCCCAGATATTTTCTTGGTGGGATCAGTAAGTGGGTAAAAGGGGGAGGGATTAAGAGGGGAGGGAATTCTTCAGATTTTTTAAAATACGAAAAATGAAAACCAGCAGCATGATTCCATAAGAAATTCTAAAAAGAGGGAAAAAATGTGTATCTCAGAAAGTACACAAACTCTTACTAAGGATCAAACTAAAAGGAAAGAATAAAGAGAAATAATAGAAAACTGGGAAACCCAACATACTTAAGAACCTCCTTCCTCTCACAGAACTATGAATGGCTAATAACTGTCTCCAGTAAGAATATATACATATCATTCATTTACAAGTTCAGCTACATAACCAAAGAAATTATATTTTCTTTCTAATGCCAAATGCAGTCTTCAATCTGAATGTTGTGCTTCATAAGGCAGAACAAAACATTCCTATAAGAAACTTTAAAAGCATTAACCTTTAGCAAAAGAACTGATGAAGAAACAAAATACTAATTAAAACGGTGATTCCAGCTTTTACTTTAATAGCACCATATTTAAAATGAAATTACTTACCTCTGATTCTTTGTCACTTAAAGATCCCAAGCTTCCAAAACTGTGATTAGAGCTTTCGTTATTTGTTGAGGCCTGTTAAAGATTTTTTAAAAGGTAAAAATTAGGAGTAATTTTTTTAAAGCAGCGGGAATAATTTTAAACAAACATATTACAAAGTAGATAATCTATCTTCATAAATAAATAAAGTATAATTCCTTAAAACAAGGAAGCCAAATGAGGTAAAAATAAGAAATACTAAATTCTTAACACTATATACTTTGAAAAGTTTTATCAAGTCAATAAAGTTCTGCTGTGTTTTAGGAACTGACTTCTATTAGCTGGTTTTTTAAATCCCAGTTCAAAAGCAAAGGAACTGGGCCATTGTTAGGATGACAAGATCCCTAAAATTATTACTCAATGTATTAAAAACTAATGCTACCTTTGGCTGAAAGTATTATTTGGGCTCTTCAGGTCCCTTCACAATTATCAAATTCCATCATGTCTGAAACACACCTCTTTGCCTTTCTCTGTATTAACAAACTGTCCTGTTTTTCTTTTTTTTAAAATTTGTTTTAACTCTATCTCTTCAAAAACATCTTTGACCATCTCGACCATTTTAATTAATTGCTTTGCTCAAGAATTTCTCCATTTCCTTGACAATATTTTTGAACTGTAACAAAGAAAGAGCTAACATTCTGTAGGATGATGTCTGCTTTGTTTCCAATACGCTTCTATGATACTTATTATCTTGTGCACTTTTTTGTACCATCAGTACATCAGATCATAGTCTTCCAGAAATGCTTAGACCAGGTGGCTGACAGATTATGGCATATATGTCAAAGATGATGCAAGAATTAACATTACATACAGGCAAGCCAATTGATATCCTCATGTTTCACCTCACTTGTAACAGGAGTGGCTGCTAATCCTACTATTAACAGGTTGCCAGTTAGACTATAATTATATAATTGAAATTAGATTAATTTCCAAAGTGACAACTCTGAGCCATTGCATACATGCCCAGTACTATGCTGGATACTGTAAAAGCTGCTGTCAACAAAGGATAGCGCTTGAACTAATTACAATTCAAGTAGTACTTGGAATAAGTTATAATCTAATTATGGCAAGATTATCAAATTTGAAACAGCAGCAATTAAGAAGTAATACATTAGAAAGATTCTGGGACAATAAGGGCAGTGGCAAAGTGTTTGAGCATCTGTAAATACCCACCAAAAAAATGTATAAAACTAAATAGTAAACCAAAAACCCACAGACTGTATTTACAACAAAACTAGGTGACAAGAATCTCCATGAATCCCCCTCAAAACATCAGATGGAAACAAGTCAACAACAACCATAGATAATGTATGGTATCATTATCAATATGGGAGGAAACAGAAAGAAACAGATGTCTGATAACCGAGAACAAAAGACACCTAAAACAGCCAACAAGTTAGGTACAGAAGCTAGGTTAACTTAAGTACAGAAGGGTTTTGCACTTTCAATTAGTGACTAAGTGGGAGGAGTCCACGGTTACATTTAAAAAGTGAGAGCAGTCTAGCCTCCACGAATCCTTGAAACGGATCTTTACATAACAGGGTGGTACAATGAGTACAAATTACTGGGTGTGGAATGAAAATTGAGTACTATATAGGTACAATTACAATAATGGAAAGAGAATATTCAGATAAAGAAGGGAGGGAACACAGCCTAGCAATCTCAGAAAGCAAATGCCACAGTTTTGAAGCGTGCCTAAAAACAGCAGTAGAGAAAGCCCTGTAAGAAAAGCCATCCTGAACCACACCAACCATTTAAGTGTTCAGGAAATCCAATTTCACATGAAAGTAGGCAAAAGAAAATTATGCAGGTCATAAAGGTATAAGAAAAAATAAAGTAAGATACAGAATAACATCCAGATAATAAAAGCATACCAGGAACACACATCCACAAAATAGGTAAAAATTGTAACCTACTATTTTAAAATGAACTAAGAGATATTACAAAAAGGACTCAAGACATGAAACAACTATATAAATCAGATTTCAAAAAACTCGGAAATAAGGTAACAGAACTCAAGAAAGCATTAAAAATAAAAGTTTCAGAAATAAAAAGTATATCTGAATGAACCCAAGAGCAAATATATACAGTAGATAATGCTTTAAGATAACCAGAAGGCAAAAAACAGGGACATTTTTGAAATCAAAAGAAATGAAGAGATGAAAAGTATTTGAGAGTAAGCTACAGCTGATGATGAAGCAACAAAGATCAATATACAGATAACAGAAGACCCTAAAAACTACTAAAGCCAGAAAATAGTAAAAACTGTAATTCAAGAAAATGTCTCTGATGGCTGGGCACAGTGGCTCATGCCTGTAATCCCAGCACTTTGGGAGGCGGAGGCGGGCAGATCACCTGAGGTCAGGAGTTCGAGACCAGCCTGACCAACATGGTGAAACCCTGTCTCTACTAAAAATACAAAATTAGCCAGGCGTGATGGTGCACACCTGTAATTCCCAGATACTTGGGAGGCTGAGGCAGGAGAATCACTTGAATCTGGGAGGCAGAGGTTGCAGCGAGCCAAGATCACACCATTGCACTCCAGCCTGGGCAACAAGAACAAAACTCCATCTCAAAAAAAAAAAGAAAAAAAAATGTCTCTGACATTTTCAGTTGTCAGTCTCTTGTTGTCAGTTGTTGTTTTTTAAATGTTCAATTAAAAAAATTGAAACTACTGACAGAGCACCATGCACACCTAGGAATAACAACCCAGAAAGCGAACATCAAAGGCAAACACTTTATGCCAGACAAAAATGGAGTGACATAAGCTATTCAAGGAAAGAAAATAAAAGCAAAGTGTTTTATATTCAGTAAAATCCATTTTAAACACATGGAAAGCATAGATAAACGGTTACCAAAAATGCAAGCAATTAGGGAACCCTGCTCCCATGAGCCCTTCCTAAAGAATCTACTACAGAACAAGCTTAAGACAACCAAAATGAATAGTTTACCAGTCTAAGAACTGAAGGCAAGCAATAATATGACTTATTGTTGATCAAGATTAAATGATAATGACAAGGGAGAGGATATAATATTTAATGACTAAATGCATGCAAAGTTAATAGTACAGTATTTTTAAAACTAGGGGATGGAAAGCATACACAAAATAATTGTTTTCAGTACCCACTTTGTTCACTGTGCTAATGTTATTTTGAGACAGCTATGTGTGTGAAATACAGAATAAAGTAAAATAATTAAGGGATATCCAATTCTATCCTCTGCTTCGTATCTTCGAATTTCATAATTCACAGTATAAAGATGCATATGAAAAAAACCTTATAATCCTGAGTTTGAATAGGAAATATCAATAAAAATTCATGAAATATTTTTATCTTTTAAAACAAACAATAAAAATATAAGTAGGTAGGTAGATGAATAAGATTCCACCACCAGTAAAAACAGAATACCTTATTTTCTACAGATAACTATATATAAATCCTGGAAAAAAAGGATTTAAAAAAGCCACTACCTGAACCAAAAGTAGGCAGAATCTAAGTACAAGACAACACTTAGAAGAAGGGAACAGAGGCTGGGTGCAGTGGCTCGCGCCTGTAATCCCAGCACTTTGGGAGGCCTAGACAGGCAGACTTCTTGAGGTCACAAGTTCAAAACCAGCCTGGCCAACATAGTGAAACCCCGTCTCTACTAAAAATACAAAAAACAGCCAGGCGTCATGGCGCATGCCTGTAATCCCAGCTACTAGAGAGTCTGAGGCAGGAGAAATGCTTGAATCTGGGAGACAGAGGTTAAAGTGAGCAGAGATCGCACCACTATATGCCAGCCTGGGCAACAGAGCAAGACTCCGTCTCAAAAAAAACAAACAAAAAAAAAAAACAGAAAAAAAAAGAAGAGGAGAAGAAGGGAATAGATCTGGGTAGGTTTCCTGTTTTTACAGCTTTTGCTGAGGGGAAGGTCCCGGAGATCAGAGCTGCACAAACAGCAGTTGAAACCCAGATCAAAATCTTTAGTCTTACTGGCTTGAAAAACAAGAGTTTCAAGCTTCCAAAGAGGCTGCAAAGTAAGGAGGGATACGCTGGAAAATAAAGATCCACAAAGGGAGAGTCCCAAATTCTGCATATTAACTCTGCCTACTTCTTTGGCTGGTCAGTGATCTATGCAAAAACGGAGCAGACGATAAGCAGCCTAGATAAGACTAAAACAACTAGCAGGGATGTCAGTGCTGCCCTCTGCAGGGAGACATAGCTTAAATTTCAGTCTAGCCAAGTTAACTGCCTCCTAAAACAAAGAAAAACAAACAAAAAACAGTCTCCAAAGTCACTGTAATGTGTCATTCACAGCGTGGAGGATACAATAAAAATTTGTAATCATATGAAGAAACAAGAAAAAGTGACCCATACTCAAGAGGAAAGACAATCAATAGATACTAATCATGAAGTAACACAGATTTGGAATCAGCAAATAAATAACATAAAGCAGCTAATATAAGTAGCTCAAACGACAAGATTGGAAATTTCAGCAGACAAATAAAAACCGTAAAAAGAGCTGAACGTAAATTCTACAACTGAAAATTTCACTCTCTAAAATAGAAAACTTACTGAATGGGCTTAACAGAAGAATGGAAAAAGAGTACTGAAGATAGGTCAAGAGAAATTACTCAAACTAAAGAACAGAGAAAAAAATATTGAAAAATAGTGTCTGTTGGACACCATGAAGCAGTCTAAGATACATGTAACTGGGGTCATAAAATGAGAAAAATATGCAGAAAAAAATATTTGAAAAAATGACAGCCAGAAAAATCCCAAAATTTGGCAAAGACATTAATTTACAGATTGAAGTTCACTCAATCTCCCAAGCAGGATAACTACAAAGAAAACCACACCTACGCACATCATAGTCAAACTGCTGAAAAACCAAAGATAAAGAAAACAATCTTGAAAGCAGCTGGAGAAAGTACACATGAGAACAAAAAAGGATAAAAGTAACAGTTGACTTGTCATCATAAATGCTGGAGGCCAACTTCACTCTGGAAATAGTGAGCTAGGAGAACTCTGTACTAAGATGCATAAGGCACAGCTGAGAAAACAGAGAAGGTTAAGTAGAAAGTCTACACTAAAGAGACCCTTAGGCCCTTTCTTGTTCTCAATTCTAAAAAGTTAGCAGCCAAGCTTTTACTCCACAGGTATGAGATGATAAAAATCTCTCTCTGGGAGATTCTATAAGTCCCTCAGAGAAATGACTTAACTAGATCATCCTACTGCAAAACCCATCCATGGCTGGGTATGGTGGCTCACACCTATAATCCCAGCACTTTGGGGGGCTGAAGTAGACGGATGGCTTGAGCCCAGGAGTTTGAGACCAGCCTGGGCAACATGGTGAAACCCTGTCCCTACAGAGGAAAAAAAAAATTAGCCAGATGTGGTAGCATGTACCAGCAGTCCCAGCTACTCAGGAGGCTAAGGTAGGAGGATCACTTGAGCCCAGGAGATAGAGGCTGCAGTGAGCTGTGACAGTGCCACTGCGCTCCACCCTGAGCGACTGAGACCCTGTATCAAAAACACCCCAAAAAACAAAACCCATCCATCAGTCAGTAAACCCTGCCCAGTTACACAGTTTCCAGTAAGTGTTTAAGTGCCTAATGCACAGATATGAACAAAGTCCAATATCACTCAAAAAATTCTTCCAGAACTGGAAAGCATGTTTCTGGATTGGAAAGACACATTTTTAAAAAATCAAGCACAATGGCTTAAAGAAAACCAAACCAAGATACATCAGAATAAATAATTTCAAATTCTAGAGACAAACACAAGCTCCTAAATAAAAGCTTCGAGGGAAGAACAAATAGAGTATTTACAAAGAATCAGGAATCAGAATGGCATTGGAGTGTGCAACAGTAACACTGGAAGCTAGAAGACAATGGAACAATGCCTTCAAAATTCTGAGAAAATGATTTCCAACCTAGAATTCTACCCGTCAGATACACTAAAAACAAAGTGGGAGGAGGAAAATATGCAAGGTCTCAAAAATTTCACTACCCATATATCTTTCCTCAAGAAGCAACCAGAGAATCTGCTCCACCAAAAACAAAGAAATAAAGCAAGAAAGAGAAGATATGGGATACATGAAATAGCTCAAACACAGGACAGACACAAAAGTCTCCCTGATCCTATGATGATCTTGGCTCACTGCAAACTCCACTTTCCGGGCTCAAGTGATTCTGCCTCAGCCTTCTGAGTAGCTGGGATTACAGACATGTGCCACCATGCCCGGCTACTTTTTGTATTTTTGGTAGAGACAAGGTTTCGCCATGTTGGCCAGGCTGATCTCGAACTCCTGGCCTCCCAAAGTGCTGGGATTACAGGAGTGAGACACCACATTTGGCCTGGCTTTGAAATTATGAACATGAATTGTGTGTCTTTTCCTTCTTGATTTGTAGGAATTCTTTCCATATTCAGGACATGAATCTATGGTTTGCCTTTTCACACCTTACTGTGTCATTTCAACGTAGTTACATTTATCAAATGTTTTTCTTCTTGGCTACTGCCTTTTGGAACCTATTTATGAAATCTCTGCCAATCTAAGGTAATGAAGACAGTCTATTCATTTTATTAAAGTTTTATTGCTTTACCTTTCCCATTTAAATCTACAATTTACTTGAAATTGATTTTTCTATCATGATAAGAGTTCAAAGTGAAGAGTTATTTATTTTCCCTTATAGATATCCAATTGATACAGCACATCTATTTTAACGATCAACTCTTTCCCACTGCACTGCAATATCACCTTTGTCATAGATCAAGTTACTATTTACAGATGGGTCTACTGCTGGACTTTATTCTCTTTCATTGGTCTATTTTTCTATCCATGTCAATATCAGACTGACTTAATAACTAACTTTCTCTTTATTTTTTAAGAGACCAGGTCTTGCTCTGTCACTCAGGCTGGAGTGCAGTGCAGTGGCATGATCATAGCTCACTGCACCCTCGAACTCCTGGGCTCACGTGATCCTCCCGTTCAACCTCTTAAGTAGCTGGGATTACGGGCACAAGCCACCGTGCCTGGTTTAATTTTATCAATAATACCACAAAATATTCTTGATATCTAGTAGTATAATTCTCCCAGCTCTGTTATTGTCCTTTAAGGCTGCCTAGACCATTCTTGGTCTTTACATTTTTATATAATTTTGGAATCAGCTTGTTACTTTCCACCCTCCCCAAAATCCTGCTGGGATTTTAATTGGTATTGCACTGAAGCTACAAATCGATTTAGTAAGAACTGATAGCTTTATAACATTGAGTCTTCCAATATTTGAATATTGCATCTCATTTACTAAGGCCTTTTCTGATTTCACTGTTTTACAGTTTTCAGTGAAGATGTCTTGAGTATCTTTTGTAAGATTTATTTCAACTTATATTTTTATTATAAAGATTTAATAACATATTTATATTAACAATTTTTAATACTGTATATGGTACCTTTCTAAAACTTCATTTTCTACTTTCTACTTATTTGTTGTTGATATGCAGAAAATATAACTGGTTTTAATATATGATTTATAATCAATGACCTTAACTAATTTACTTATTAGTTTTAATTATTTTTAGATTCCTTGTGATTTTTCTCTAGATCATAATCATGTTATGGGGATAATCTTTATTTCTTGATATGAGTGCTGCTTACATCACTGTGTTCAGTTTGTGAACATTCATTGAGTGTACTTATGATTTGTGCATTATTCTAAATGTAGTGAGGAAGAGAACTACTTATCGCCTATGCTATTTATTTGAACGGTTTTTTGCTACAAAGTCATCAAATCCTTGGGATTTTCCTAGGTATTCACTTTCTAAAATCATGTATTTAAAAAGGTTAAATTTCAGTATTAATTCTTTGGAGACTAAAGCTGGTAATATTTCCCCATAGATAAGCACTCATTTATTCTTAATGCTTTTTATACCAGAATTCATTCTCTATCAATAAAAATATCTTTCCTAGCTCCACTATAACTCCACTTTATAAGGCTTTTTATTGGTAATGTTGCCAAAAGTTTAGTAAAAAGAACAATATTTAAACTAGCAGACACAATAGTTTTTTACTAAGAAACTATTAAAATTAAATTGAAAATTAATTTCCTCAGTCGCACTAGCCATATTTTAAATCCTCAGTAGCCACATGTGGCCAGTGGCTACTATTAGGCCATACAGATACAAAAGATGGCCATCATATCAGAAACTTCTATTAGACAGAGTTGCTATAAGATAGGGGATCAGCAAACTATGGCCCTCTGCCTGGTTTTTATATAAAGTTTTACTGGAACAAAGCCATACTCATTTCATTACATATGGTATATGTCTGCTTTAGTACTAAAATGGCACAGTTGAGTAGTTTTGATAGAGACCACATGACCTACAGATATTTAGTTACCTGGCACTTTACAGAAAAAGTTTGCCGACCTCTGCTACAGACATACGAAAATCACAAAAATCAGTGCTTGAGTTCAATGCTTGAGAGGAGCTATATGGGTTAAGAGGGAATATTATATTTCAACAATAGATGCCCCCATCTAACCAGACATAATCTAGTATAAACATTCCTTGCATCCCTAAAAAGCATTAACTGTCTTAAATTTGGGATTTGAAAGTCAAGTCTTATGATTCAGAACACAGTAAACATTTCCCATTTTAGGTATTCAACCTCCATTCCAATTTCATGACAGCAACATAGTTTCTTTTTAGAAAACCATCCTGTCCTTGTATTTTTGGTAGGACTGGAAATCAACCTGCCCAGCAACTAGAGAAATTCTAAGGAGGGTCCTTCTCCCATACATAATCTTTACCCATACCTATAATCGAGAAACAAAGGGGAAAATTAATCAACTCTCTTCCCCAGAAGTTTGAATCTCAAAGGAATGATATAATAAGCATGGGATGGCGGGGGGGTGTCTTTGTTGTTGTTGTTGTTGTTGTTGTTGTTGTTGTTGTTGTTGTTGTTTAGACGGAGTCTCACTCTGTCTCCCAGGCTGGAGTGCAGTGGCATGATCTCGGCTAACTGCAAGCTCCGCCTCCTGGGTCCATGCCGTTCTCCTATCTCAGCCTCCCGAGTAGCTGGGACTACAGGCGCCTGCCACCGCGCCCGGCTAATTTTTTGTATTTTTAGTAGAGACAGGGTTTCACCGTGGTCTCAATCTCCTGACCTCGTGATCCGCCAGCCTCAGCCTCCCAAAGTGCTGGGATTACAGGCATGAGCCACTGCGCCCGGCCGTCTTTTTTTTTTTAATCCACTGGAGATCCCACAATCAAAAGGATGAGCAGTTTCTGTTGCTTCATCACCCAAGGTTGCCCTGGTTCCTGTGCAACTCTGGTCTTCCAGGCTTCCAAATCATTCTGTGAATTGACTGATATTCGATCAATAACTTCCCTTCTTTGCTCAAGGTAGCTAGAGAGCTGGGGTTTATTTCTGCCAAAGAAAAAAAATCCATATTGTTTTGGCAAAAAATCTGGAGTGGACAAAAGTAGAAAACGAAGTCAAATGTCTTAAAGAAGACTTGTCCATCAATGACATTCACTTTCACACTACATATTTTCACTATGACCAGCTGTAGGCAAAACTGTAAGACAGACTAAGTTTTGGTTACCATCCACATTCTTATCAGCACCACCACTACTGGCTCTCTGTAGTTGTCAATTAATTCTAAATATTAATCAAAGTGTTCAGATTTTAGCTTGTAGCTGCCATCTCCCCAAATATCTCTTTAGTTCACTAATATCCCAAAATATCTATTTACTGTGCCAATAGATTTAATTAGAACACTTCATATTTTAACATGTTTTTTGAAATGTGGGTTAAACCTGCAAACTGTTAAGACCACCCTCCTACCCCCATGGACAAAATGATGAATATGTCCACCTGGAAGTTACCAAACTATGCTTGCTCTGCTGTGGTTACTACTAGAACAGACTAAAAGCATCTGAGGGCAAGGATTTTGTCCTCTGTCTACAAACCAAGGACACTAAATGGAACCTTACACATGAGTACTTTAAAGTATATGCTAAGGAAATGAAGCAACTAGATGGGTACATTTTTTTTTACGTGATGTTAACAGGTTAGAAGTTAGGAAAATTAGTAAAATAAACAGACACTGGCCTTATTTTCAGTTCCAAAGAGCTTGCTGATACTGGGCAGTGCTAAGAACATAATATTAAAGCAAGTCCAGAAGGACCACATGACTCCATGTAAACTCTAAATGCAATTCAAAATTTTCCCCCAGTACTCTTAAAAATATATGCCAGTCTCAAAATTAGCCTCCTACTGCCTAAGTCTCCAAAGTTTCTGAATCAGGATACACTGTTTTGATTTCTTATAATAAAAGGATTTCATTCCCCCAAAATTGAGGACATAACTAAAGAGTAGACACAGAGCTAAGTGCTGAGACCATTAAAATATGCCACACAGTCCTTTGTCTTCAAGAGCTTAGTAGGCTAGTAAGAAACAAATAATTAAAATGTGATGGGAAAAATTTTGTCTAGGTACACACAGGTGTTGAAGAGGGACACAGGAGGTCCACCAGATTTGGATTTGGGCAATTAGATGGAATGAGGTAATCAGAGAAACATCCTTAAAGTGATACCTGATCTGACCTTGACATTCAAAGAGTGATGCATCTGATGAAAAGAAAGGGCATATGGGCATCTGAAACAAAGTGAACTGTATGTTCAAAGGAAAGATGTGAAAAACCATATCCATTTAGGGAACCACAAATAGGCTGTTCAAAGTACAATGTGAAGAAAAGATGGAAAGTGGGGCATGAAACTGGGCTACAGTGGTAAGGTAGGAATCCGAAAAATGTCAGGTAATTTGAACTTCAACTTAAAAACTATGTGAAACCATTAAAAAAAAAAAATTCCAAGCAACACCTTCTTAATGCCACTGTTAAGAAGGCTAGGAGAATCAATAAGTTAGAATAGGTAAGTAAGATCAGGCCTGCTTTTCTGGTCAAATCTATGGGGAAGAATGTCTGTAGGGCTACATAAAGGTAGATCTGACAGAGATTTAAGTTGATCACTTCTGCATAATGAGAAGACTCCCCTTACCCACCTGTCCCATGCTGCTCTAGACGCCACCTGATTGTAGCCAACACCAGGAGTAAGAGAAGGGAACACCTGTAAACCTCACCACCAACCAATCTATCACTACTCAGAAGATCACCAGCCTAACCAGAATGGATGCTGTGGCAAGAAAATCTTACAGGTAATTTAAGGAGCCTAATTACCTTGCAAGGGAGAGCCCTAGTCAAACACAGAATAGGTGGCTCAACTAGAGGAGAAATTACGGTCAGAGCAGAAATAGGTCTTTTATAAGTATATTATTTGAATTTTAAAGTAAATATAATTAGAAATAAAAGAGTTGACAGTGAAACGCAATTGCAAAAATCTAAATTCAGTAAAGAGTAGGGGCAGAAGCACTGCTAGAAATGAAATTAGTAGTCTAGAAAATGAAGTAGAATCATCCCGTTAACATCAAAATATGAAGAAATTAAAATCATGAGTTAAAACAACAGATACAAAGGACATATCTAGGGGATCTACTATGAAAATAACTCGTTTTCAGAAGGGAGGAAACAAATTAAGAAAAAAAATCAAATATTAAAAAGAAAACTTCCCTGAGCTGAAGAAAAATTAAAACCTAGAAGACATCAAAAATAGTATCTATAAACTACTGAGATACTACGAGAAAGCAAAAGAAAGACATTTTCAGACATGCAAACTCAAAACATGGCAGCATGTATTCAAGAATGCTTAAAAGATCGACACTGTAAGGGCAAGCAATACCCTCAAACTAAATTTTCTTTTTTTCCGAGACAGAGTTTTGCTCTTGTTGCCCAGGCTGGAGTGCAATGGCGTGATCTCGGCTCACTGCAACCTCCACCTCCCAGGTTCAAGCGATTCTCCTGCCTCAGCCTCCCGAGTAGCTGCGATTACAGGCATGCGCCACCATGCCTGGCTAATTTTGTATTTTTAGTAGAGACAGGGTTTCACCATGTTGGTCAGGCTGGTCTCGAACTCCTGACCTCAGGTGATCTGCCCACCTCAGCCTCCCAAAATGCTGGGATTACAGGTGTGAGCCACTGCGCCTGGCCTCAAACTAAATTTTCTAAAGGGGGAGAAGAGGGTAGCAGATACAGGTTTATGTATGACTGCCATAAAGATTTGTTATAAATCACAAACATGCAGAAATTAAACAACACACTCCTAAATAACCAATAGGTCAAAGGATAAATCTCAAAGGAAATTAGAAAAAAACTTTGAGATGAATGAAAACAAAAACACTGCATATCAAAACATATGAGATAAAGTTAAAGCAGTGCTTACAGGGAAAACTGTAACTGTAAATGTTTACATTTAAAAAGAGATCTTGAATCATAACCCAACCGTCCACCCAAAAAACACTAGAAAAAAGAAAACCAAACTAAAACCAAAGCAAGCAGGGGGGAAAATATATATCACAGCAGAAACAAATGAAATAGAGAATAGAAAAACAATAGAAAAAAAAACAATGAAACCAAAAGTTGGATCCTTGAAAACAAAATTGACAAATCTTTAGCAAGTCCTACCAAGACCAAAAGAAGGAAGACTCAAATTACTACAATCAGAAATGAAAGAGCTCGTTATTACTGACTTACAGAACTAAGAATTACAAGAAAATATAATGAAAAGTTTTATGCCAACAAATCAGATAACTAAGATGATATGGACAAATTCCTAGAAAGACACAAGCTACCAAAAATGATTCTAGAAGACATAAATATCCTCAACAAAACACTAGCAAACCAAATTCAACACCACATTAACAGGATCATCATACACCAAGATCAACTGAAACTTATTCCTGAAATGCAAGGGTGGTTCAACATACATAGTCAATAAATATGATACACCACATTAACAGAATGAAGAATAAAAATCTTATGATCATCTCAATAGATACAGAAAATGCATCTGACAAAATTCAACATCCTTTCATGATTTAAAAAAAAAAAACTTTCAACATCCTTTTGTGATTAAACTCTCAATAAACTAGGTATAGAAGAAATGTACCCAACATAATAAAGGCAATAAATGATAAGCCCACAGCTAATTTCATACTCCAGGATGAAAAGCTGGCAGCTTTTCCTCTAAGATCAGGAACAAGACAAGTAAGCCCATTCTCACCACTGCTATTCAATATAGTACCGGAAATCCTACCCAGAGCAATCAGGCTAAAGGAAAGAAAAAAAAAGAATACAAGCCATCCATGTCAGAAAAGAATAAATAAAATTATCTCTATTTGCAGATGACATAATTGTATATATGGATAACCCTGAAGATTCCACCAAGAAACTATTGGAGTCAGTTAAACTAATTCAGTAAAGTTGCAAGATAACAAAATCAACATACAAAAATCAGTTGTGGAAGGGCATGGTGGCTCATGCCTGTAATTCCAGCATTTTGGGAGGCCAAGATGGGAGGAATGCTTCAGGCCAGGAGTTCAAGACCAGCCTGATCAACATAGCGAGACCCCATCTCTATAAAAAATAAAATAAACTTTTTTTAAAATCCCACACAAAAAATCAGTTGCATTTCTATATACTAATGATCTGAAAAAGAAATTAATAAAACACTTCCATTTACAATAGCATAAAAAAAATTTAAGAATAAATTTAATCAGCCCAGGCACGGTAGCTCATGCCTGTAATCCCAGCACATTGGGAGGCCAAGGCAGGTGGATCATTTGAGGCCAGGAGTTCCAGACCAGCCTGGCCAACACAGTGAAACTCCATCTCTACCAAAAAATACAAAAATTAGCCAGGCATGGTGGCAGGCGCCTATAGTCCCAGCTACTCAGGAGACTGAAGCAGGAGAATCACTTGAACTCAGGAGGCAGAGGATGCAGTGAACCAAGATGGCACCACTGCACTCCAGCCTGGGTGACAGAGCAAGACCCTGTCTCAAAAAAAAAAAAAAAATTAACCAAGGAGGTGAAAGATCTATAAAATAAAAACTATAAAACTGTCGAAAGAAATTGAAGACAATACAAATGGAAAGATATCCTGTTTTCATGAATTGAAAGAATTAATATTGTTTAACTGTCCATGCCACCCAAAGTGATCTACAGATTCAGTGTAATCCTAATAAAACTCCAATGGCATTTTTCACAGCAATAGAAAAAACAACCCTAAATTTACGTGTAACCTCAAAAGAACCCAAAGAGCCAAAGCAAAACTGAGTAAGCACAAAGCTGGAGGCATCATAGTACCTGATTTCAAAATATACTACAAAGTAATAATAATCAAAACAGTACAGTACTGGCATAAAAATAGACATATAAACCAATGGAACACAACAGAGAGCCCAGAAACGAATCCACACATGTAGGGTGAATTGATCTTTGGCAAAAGTGCCGAGAACACACAATGGGGAAAGGATAGTTTCTTCAATAAATGGCCTTGGGAAAACTGGTAATCCACATCCAGAAGTTGGAAACTGGACCCTTATCTCATACCATATATAAAAATCAACTCAAAATGAATTAAAGACATAAGATATGAAATTTTTAAAATATTAGAAGAAAACACAGGAAAAAAAGCTTGTTGACATTGGTCTGGGCAATGATTTTTGAAAATGATCCCAAAAATATAGGCAACAAAAGCAAAAATAAACAAATGATATTACATCAAACTAAAAAGCTTATGCACAGAAGAAGAACCAATCAACACAGTAAAGAGACAATCTACATAATGGGACAAAATATTTGCAAACCATGTATCTGATAAGAGCTTAATATCCAAAATATTGTAACTCAAGAGCAAGACAACAACCTAATTTAAGAATAGGCGGCCGGGTGTGGTGGCTCACATCTGTAATCCCAGTACTTTGGGAGGCTGAGGCAGGCGGATCATATGAGGTCAGGAATTGAGACCAGCCTGGCCAACATGGTGAAATGACATCTCTACTAAAAATAACAAAATTAGCTGGGTGTTGACGGCGGGTGCCCATAATCCCTGCTACTCGGGAGGCTCAGGCAGGAGAATCGCTTAAACCTGGGAGGCGGAGGCTGCAGTGAGCCAAGATCGCATTACTGCATTTCAGCTTGGGTGACAGAGCAAGACTCCACTAGGAAAGGAAAGGAAGGGAAAGGGGAAAGGGGTGGGGCGGGGAGAGAGAGGGAGAGAGAAAGAGAGAGAAAGAAAGAGAAAGAAAAATAAAAGAAGCCAGTTAAATACTGCATGATCTCACATGTGAAATCTCATGAAGCAATGAAGCAGAGAGTACAACGATGGTTGCCAGGAACTAGGGGGTAGGGGAAATGGGGAGATTTTGGTAAAAGGGTACAAAGGTTCATCTACACTGAATAAGTTCTGAAGCTCTAATGTACAGTATGGTGATTACAGTTAATAATATAGTACCGTACACTTGAAATTTGCTAAGAGAATAGATCTTAAATGTTTTCCGCACAAAAAAAACTACATGAGGTGATGAACATGTTAATTATCTTAATAGTGTTAATCATGTCACAATATATATGTATATCAAAACATCACATATACACCTCACATATATATAATTTCTATTTGTCAATCATACCTCAATAAAGCTGGGGTAGAAAGGTAGAAATAAATAATCTGAATAGTCCTTACAAGTAAAGAAATAGTAGCAGTATAATTAAAACAAGAAAACGAATAAATATCTACCCTCGAAGAAAAGCCCAGGCCTAGATGGTTTCACTGGTAAATTCCACCAAATATGTAAAGCAGAACTAATACTAATTCTTCACAAACTCTTCCAAAGAACAGAAGGAACACTTACCAACTCATTCTGGAAAAACAATATTACCTGATAGTGAAACCAGATAAAAACATCACAAGAAAATTACAGATCAATATCCCTTACAAATATGGATGCAAAAATCCTCAACAAAATACTAGCAAACCAAATCCAGCAACATATAAAAAGGATTATACACTTTGAGCAAACAGTATTCATTCCAGGAATGCAAGGTTAGTTCAACATACACCAGCTATATTAACAGAACAAAAAATAACCACTGATCATGAACAGACATAGAAAAAATGTCTGCCAAAACCCAACACCCTGTTTCTGATTTAAAAGGAACAAAAAAGAGCCACTCAGCAATCTAGAAATAAAAGGAAACTTCCTCAACCTGAGAAAGGACATTTATGAAGCACTCACAGCTTTCCTCTCTAAGATGACAATATATGTGCTCTCACCACTTCAGTTCAACATTGTATTGGATGTTCTAGTCAATGAAAATTAGGCAAGAAAAAAATAAAAGGTAAATACTAAAGGTAAATACAGTAATAACAGCAAAACTATTAAAGCTAATAAGTTCAGAAAGGTTGCAAGACACAAGACTAACACACAAAAACCAAATGTATATCTATAAAACAGCAAAGAGCAATGTGAAAAACAAATTAAGAAAACTTCATTTACAATACTATCAAAAAAATAAAATACTTAGGAATAAACTTAACAAAACAAATGCAAGACTTATACAGTATAAACTAAAAAACATCATTGAAAGAAAATAAAGAAGATCTAAATGAATGTACCAACAGTTGTGTTCATGTGCTAGAAGACTTAATGTTATTAGGATGGCAATACTTCCCAATTCAACCTAGACATTCACCAAAATTCCTAACAAAATCCCAGGTGGCCTTTTGTTGAAATTGACAAATTGATCATAAAAGTCATATTGAAATGCAAGGGACCCAGAATAGCCAAAATAATCTTGAAAAAAGAACAGAGTTGGAGGATACACACTGCCAGTTTCAAAACCTACTACAAAGCTATATTAACCAACACAGTGTGGTATGGCGAAAAGATAGACATACAGATCAGCAGAACAGAATTAAGAGTTCAGAAATAAACCCATATATTTACAATCAATTAACTTTTGACAAAGGTTCCAGGACAATTCAAAGGGAGAAAGAATAGTCTTTTCAACAAATGTTGCTGAGACAACTGAATAGTCCAACGCGAAAAAATTATTTTGGATTCCCTACCTCATACCATATATGCAAATTAACTCAAAATGGATCAAAGACCTAAATGTAAGAATTATTTATAATTATAAACTCCCTAGAAGAAAGCATAGGTATATAAATATGTGATTCTGGATTAAGCAATGATTTCTTAGATATGACACCTACAGAATGAGACAAAAATCTGTAAATCGTGTATCTGATAAGAGTCTAGTACCCAGTAAGTATAAAGAATTCTTATGACTCAAGATTTAAGAAATAACCCAATTTTAAAATGGGAAAAGGATTTTAACAAACACTTCACCAGAGAAGATATATGAATGGAAAATAAGCACATGAAAAGATGCTCATCAGTCATTAGGGAAATACATACCAAAAACACAGTGAGATCCCACTTCACACATCACCCAGAATGGTTATGCTATGGATTGAATATGGTCTGTTCATCTCCACCAAAACTCATTTTGAAATTTGGTCCAAAGTGTGGCGGTGTGGGAAGTAAGGTCTAGTGAAAGGTGCTTGTGTTATATCTCCCTCATGAATGGCCTGGTGCAACTCTTGCAGTAATGAGTGAGTTCTTACTCTGGCAAGACTGGATTTAGTTCCAGCAAGAGCACGTTGTTATAAAGCAAGGTTCCCCCTCCCCAGTCCCTCTTCACACATATCCACTTCCCCTTTGACCTTCTGTAACATGAGGGAAATGTAAAACTCCTCGCCAGAAGCCAAGGCCATGTCCTTGAACCTCGCAGCCTGCAGAGCCAAGAGCTAAATAAGCCTCTTTCTTTATAAACTGCCCAGTCTCTGGCATTCTGTTATGGCAACACAAGCAGATGAATACAGGCTATAATTTAAAAAGACAATAATAAGTGTTGACAGGGATGTGGAGAAAGTGGAACTCTCATGCATTGCTGGTAGGAATATAAAATGGTGTGGCTATTTTGAAAAGGAGTTTGGCAGTTCCTCAAAACATTAAACACAGAGTTAACATAGAATCAGTAATTTCACTCCTATCTATATACCTAAAAGAACTAAAACATATGTCTACAAAAAATTTCTAAGAGTGTTCCTAACAGTTCATAACATTTGCATCAAAAAACGGAAACAACCACCCAATGTCCAACAACTCACAAAAGAACAAACAAAATGTGGCACATCCATATAATGGAACAGTCTGTCATATAATGGAATGAGTACAATACATACTATAACATCTGTGAACATGAAAACATTATGCTAGGTTTTAAAAGCCAGGCACAGGCCAGGCGCAGTGGCTCACACCTGTAATCCCAGCACTTTGGGAGGCCAAGGAGGGTGGATCATGAGGTCAGGAGTTTGAGACCAGCCTGACCAACATGGTGAGACCTCATCTCTACTAAAAATACAAAAATTAGCCAGAAGTGGTGGTACGTGCCTGTAATCCCAGCTACTCAGGAGGCTGAGGCAGGAGAATCACTTGAACCCAGAAGGTGGAGGTTGCAGTGAGCCAAGATAGCGCCACTGCACTCCAGCCTGGACAACAAGAGTGAAACTCCGTCTCAAAAAAAAAAAAAAAAAAAGCCAGGCACAAAATAACTCATATTGTATCACTCCATTGATATAAAATGTCCAGAACAAGCAAATCCAGAGATACAGAAAGTAGACTGGTGGTTGCCAGGCAATGCAGTGTAGGCTAGGGAAGAAGGAAAGTTGCTGCTAATGTTTGTGTGTTTCAGTTTTGGGGTAACAAAAATGTTTTAGAGTTCGACAGTGGTAATGGTTGCATAAAAAAGTGAATACATTAAAAACCATTAAATATGTTAAATGAGTCATTTTGATGGTATGTTAATTATATCTCAATAAAAGTGGTTCTAAAAGTTCACATTAGTGGAGGGAAATCAGAAGGAAAAAAGCTCAACAAAGTACAGTATATAATCATTCATGCAAACACTCATATAGTATGTTCCACTGCAAGCACACATACACAGACTTGAGGCCTTCAAAAGAATAGGTTTTTTTAAAAAACACCCATGAGACATTGTTTTAAAAAATATAAAAGCAACACAGGCACATAAGAGGAATTTCAATCATTACAGAAAGATAATTTCTCCTTCCCACATCAGTCCCACTATTGAGAGGCAATGACTTATTTAAAAAATGTTTTTAATTAACTTTTGAATAGGCAATATAAACAGGCTACTTTGGTTTCTTTCTTATTGTCTTCCTAGAGTCTCTATTTCTATACAAGCAAATTAAATATATGTTCTTTGGTTCCTCCCTTCTCACTCAAAGATAACATTATACAGACTGCATTGCATATTTTTCTCTTAATATATCTTGGAGACATTTCCAAATCAAAACACAGATAGCTTCTTCATTCCTTTTTTTCTTTACTTCCTTTCTTTCAAACAGGTGAGTACGTACCAGATTCTAGTAAATCCTCAATTGACCCTGCCATGGAAGATGAAGAATTTATCTAGCATCACAGTTTCTCCTTCTTTCTGAGACATTTAGTTATATTTTTATTTTTAATTCTTCAAATGGTTGCCTTACCTTAAATATAATATTTTCTTTAAGTTCAAACTGTGTGTAATGACTCCTCATTATGTAAAATAAGAAAATATATCCTTAACTTCTCCCAACATGACAACTACACAATAAGTTTACATAATTACAGTTTATAACATTTACCCTTCTTTCTATCTGAGAGTCACAAATTCATATGCTATCAGGGTCTGGTAAGTAAATAAACAGGCGAAACAGGCTTAGGGTAAAACAATAGTCAAAATCTAAAAGAATTATTTAAAATCCCTCATTCTAACTGTGTTTTAATAAATTCACTACGTTATTTCTAAAACGGTTTGATATATAAAAATTTTAACTGCCTTATCTTCTTTGTGGAGACTTAGTCCTTAAAAAACGTCTATCATTATACCATTCAAGGTTTTTGCCTTTGAAGAATGCTTTATTTGCTATTCATTCATGCATTCAAAAGTATTCATTGAGGGCCTTGGTTCTGTTGTAGATGCTAGGGATACAGCAGTGAAAAAAACAGACTGAAGTCCAGTGCTCATGGAGTTTCCATTACGAGAAGGGAAAGAGAATATAAACAAACACATAAATTTTAGTATTACCTATGGAATCAATAAGTTGTAGTATTAAAAAAAAGAAGTGGAGAAACTAAGGGGCAGTGACAAAGGTATTACCTTACATACAGCGGTGAGATAAGGCCTCTTTGAAGAGGGGAAATTTGAATGAAGTCAGCGTGAAGTGTGTTTGAGGCAAGTGGCAAATAAGACAGCAAATAATAACTGCCGTGGTGGGGCAGTTGTTAGCCTAACACTAGATCAAAAGGCCTCCTGATTTAGAGGAAGGCCTTCTGATCTGTGTGGGGCACAGTGAAGACACTGAATTTTATTTGAAATGCAATGGGAAGTTTGGGGAAGGTTCTGAGTTAAGAAAAAAATTGATCTCAAATTTATATATATATATATATAATTTTTTTTGAGACATAAGTCACACTCTGTCACTGAGGCTGGAGTGCAGTGGTGCAATCCTGGCTCACTGCAATCTCCGCCGCCTCCTGGGTTCAAGCAATTCTCCTGCCTCGGATTCCTGAGTAGATGGGATTACAGGCACGTCCCACCATGTCCGGCTAATTTTTTGAGATGGGGTTGAACTCCTGGCCTCAAGTGATCCGCCTGCCTCAGCCTCCCAAAGTGGTGGGATTACAGGCATGAGCCACCGCTCTTGACCTCAAATTTATATTTAATTGCACTTCATTTTTCTTCGTGATTATCTGAGATACTTTCTTTCCAGATATTTCCAATGTTCATCATTTTTTAAGGGATGTTTCTTGTTAACAGCCTGTAGATGGAGTCTCATTTACTGTGTTAATACATGCCTGGCTTTATTGCTTCCATCTTATATAATAGCAGATAAAAATGAAATATTTTCTGTTTTTCTTTTTCTCCTTCTCTTTTGTTGAATTACATTTCTTTATATTCCTCCTTCTACATTCTATTCCAGTAATTTAAAAGTTCTATGTATAGCAGATGACACAAATTCATATATAGAAAACCCTAAAAGCTTCACCAAAAAGCTGTTAGAACTGATAAATTCAGTAAAGGTGCAGAATACAAAATCAACACACAGAAATTAGTAGCATTTCTATACACCAACAATGAACTAGCAGAAAAAGAAATCAAGAAAGCAATCTCTGGCTGGGAGCAGTGGCTCACGCCTGTAATCCCAACACTTTGGGAGGATCACTTGAGGCCAGGAGTTTGAGACCAGCCTGGCCAGCATGGTGAAATGCCGTCTCTACTAAAAATACAAAAATTAGTTGGGCATGGTGGTGGGCGCCTGTAATCCCAGCTACTTGGGAGGCTGAGGCATGAGAATTGCTTGAACCTGGGAGGCAGAGGTTGCAGTGAGCCGAGATTGCACCACTGCACTCCAGCCTGGGCAACAGAGTTGAGATTCTGTCTCAAAAAAAAAAAAAAAATTCCATTTACAAGAACTAAGAACAAACAAACAAAAGTAGAAATAAACGTAACCAATGAGGTGAAGGGGTTCCCTTTCTACAAGGAAAATTATAAAACACTGAAGAAAAAAATTAAAGAGGACATAAAAAAATAGAAAGACACCCCACGTTCATGAATTGGAAGAATACTGTGAAAATGACATACTACCAAAAGTGATCTACAGATTCAATGCAATTCCTATCAAAATACCAATGACATTCCTCACAGAAAGAGAAAAAACATCCTAAAATTCATATGAAACCACAGAAGACTCTGAATAGCCAAAGCAATACAGAGCTAAAAGAATAAAACTGGAGGCATCACACTACTGGACTTCAAAATACACTACAATGTTCACCATGTTGGCCAGGCTGGTCTCAAACTCCTGGCCTCAAGTGATCCTCCCAAAGTGCTGGGATTACAGACATAAGCCACTGCTCCCAGCCAGGGATTGCTTTCTTGATTTCTTTTTCTGCTAGTTCATTGTTGGTGTATAGAAATGCTACTACTTTTTGTATGTTGATTTTGTGTAACAGACACAGATCAATGGAACAGAATAGAACCCAGAAATAAATCTATGCATTTATGGCCAACTAATCTTCGACAAAGGCACTGGGAACATTAAAAACTGGATATCCATAGGCAGAAAAATGAAACTAGCCCCTATCTCTCACTGTATACAAAAATCAACTCAAAATGGGTTAAAGATTTAAATGTAAGATCCCAAACTATGAAACTACTAGAAGAAACCTTAGAGGAAACACTTCAGGGCATTGGTCTAGGTTAAGATTTTATGAAGAAGATCTCAAAAGCACAGGCAACAAAAGCAAAAACAGACAAACTATTATCTCAAACTAAAAAGCTTCTTCACAGCAAAGGAAACAATCATAGAGTGAAGATACAACCTGCAAGAAAGTGATTTGTAAACTATTCATCTGAGAAGGGATTAATATCCAGAATTTACAAGGAACTCAAACAACTCAACAGCAAAACAATAAATAATCCAATCTAAAAATGGGCAAAGACATCTCTTGAAAGAAGTAACCATACAAAAACCATACAAATTTTAACAGGTATATTTAAAAAATGCTTGGCTGGGCGCAGTGGCTCACGCCTGTAATCCCAGCACTTTGGGAGGCTGAGGCGGGTGGATCACTTGAGGTCAGGAGTTTGAGACCAGCCTGGCCAACATGGTGAAACGCCATCTCTACTAAAAATACAAAAATTAGATGAGTGTGGTGGCGTGCGCCTGTAGTCCCAGCTACTCAGGAGGCTGAGGCAGGAGAATCACTTGAAACCAGGAGGCGGAGGCTGCAGTGAGCCCCGAGACTGCGCCAGTGCACTCCAGCCTGGCGACAGAGCGAGACTCCGTCTCGAAAAAAAAAAGACAAAAAATAACAAATACTAGTAAGGATGCAGAGAAAGGGAAACCCTCCTACACTGTTGGTGGAAGTGCGAATTAGTATAGCCATTATGGAAAAAAATATGGAGGCTCCTTAAAAAAAAAGATACAACTACCATATGATCCAGCAATCCTACTACTGGGTATACACAAAGGAAAGGAAATCAGTATGCTGAAGAGATATCTGCATTCCCATGTTTACTGTAACATGATTCATAATAGCTGAAGTATGGAATCAATGTAAGTGTCCATCAACAGACAAATGGATAAAGAAAATGTGGTATACATACACAATGGAATACTATTTCACCATTAAAAAAATTTCTCTCATTCACAGCAACACTGATGAGCTTGGAGGACATTGTTAAGTGAAATTAGCCAGGCACAGAAAGATAAATACTGCATGTTCTCACTCATATGCAGAAACCAAAAAGGCTGATCTTGTAAGTAGACAGCAGAATAGAGGCAGGGAAGAGTAGGCGGGAGGGGACAGCCAACAGTTGATTAATGAATATAGAAGTACAGCTGCATAGGAAGAGTAAGTCCTGGTGTTCTATAGCACTATAGGAAGACTATAATTAACAACAATTTATTGTATATCTTCAAATAACTGGAAGAGCAGATTTCGAATGTTCCTATCACAAAGAAATGATAAATGTTTGAGGTGACAAATATGCTAATTACCCTGATCTGATCATTATGCATTGTCTCTACATGTAATATCACACTGTACTCCATAAATATGTACAATTACTCTATCAATTAAAAACAATAAAAGCAGAAAAACAAAAAATGAAGGTTGTATGTACAGTATCTGTTGCTTGTGCTTACTTCCTTGCTGCTGGCAAATATACTGCTCTATTTTTCTCTAGAAATAAATCAATACTCCTAGATAATGTATTTACCTTTCTACCCGACCCTCTCTGCTAGAGCACCGTTGCTACCAGCAATTTGATCCTTAGAATGTTTTTACTTCCAAATTACAAACTCTTGATGCTACTATCATTAAAATTTGCCTACCTATTAATACTGCATCTCACAAGCACATTATCATCATCACTCTAAACATTACAGGAGTCATTGGTCACAACTGTCATACATTCTGTAGCTTCACCTATATTTTAAAATTACAACTTAAAAGACAAAAGAGTAAAACCAACATTAATTCAGTATCTTCATCCAACATATACCTGTACTTGAATTTTCCCTATTGTCACAAAAACGTCCTTTATAACTGTTTTCCTCCAGTCCAGGTGCAAATCAGGATTCAGATTCACACATTACATCTGATTGCTATGTCTTGTCTCTTTAGCCTCATCCAATCTACAACAATTCCATTTACCTCTCTTTGTTCTTCAAGACACTGAATACTTTGATGAGTCCAGGCCAGTTGTCTAGCAGTGTCCCAGGAGTATTGTCTCATGACTAAATTCAAATCAAATATTTCCAGCATTAAAAACAGAGGTGATTTGTGTAACTCCTACTGCACCACCTTAGGAGGCACATACAATGTCAGATTCTCTGAGATAATATGCCAATGAAAAGTCTGATCTTGCTTATTATGGTGGTGAGAAATGGTGTCCATTTTAGACACATTTCTCTTTTGTAATAACTAATCTATGGGGTAAAACATTAGGACTCTGTAAGTATACTGCTCTTGAAAACATTTTACTAAATGTAAATGTCCAATGGAAAACATATGATCCTTGCCTTAATCAATAATTATATTGGGGATGTCAAATGGTGAGTGTTCTGATTCTACATTAGCTGGCATTCTTCTAAGAGACTATTATGTATTATAACAACAAGCATAACTAGCACCTAGATGTTGGTTCCTAAGCACCATTCTTCATTAAAATGAACCAGGAATCCTTGGAGAATGTCTGTTCATATTCAATGCAGAAAAGGACGAGGGAAGCCAGAAATGTCTTGTGTCTGAAAACCAAAGACTGATAAAAGATCTCTAAAGTGACCATGCGAAGGAGTTTCCACTGGCCAAATTTGGGACAATTTGAATTTCAAAGACAATAATGAATTATAACAACAGAATAAAAAAAGGAGCTGGCCAGGCGCAGTGGCTCAGGCCTGTAATTCCACCATTCTGGGAGGCCGACGTGGGCGAACTGCTTGAGCCCAGGAGTTAAATGCCAGCCTGGGCAACATGGTGAGACTCATCTCTAAAAAAAATACAAAAAACTTAGCCAGGCATGGTGGCACTTGCCTATCCAAGCTACTCAGGAGGCTTACGCATGAGGATCACTTGAGCCTAGGAGGCAGAGGCTGCAGTGAGCCGAGATTGCGTCACCGTACTCCAGCCTGGGTGACAGAGTGAGACCCCTCTCTCAAAAAAAAAACAACAACAACAACAACAACAAAAAAACAGGAGCCAGGAGACCACAGCAATACCAGAGAGACACAGTAAAGATGTACATGAACACAAATTAAGCAAAACTGTTTACACCTTTTAAATCTAGATGAAGAATATGATGGCATTCTTTATACTACATTTTCAACTTATCTATAGGTATAGATTATTTTCAAAGTAAAAAGTAATACAAATTTTAAGGGGAACAAACCCACAGGAATGCAGTTTGAGAGAGCATTTTTAGTGTTATAATGACACTCTATACTCATATACTATACACTACACTGAGTATACTGTCATTATAACACTACAATAGAATATGTAACTTTAAAACATCAGGAAAAAAATTCATTTGTCCAATGGAAAACACGTAAAGTACAAGAAGACATTAAGCAATAGATGGCAGAACTGAGTCAGAAAATAACAATAATTACAAAAAATGTAATAAACAAAACTCACCATTTAAGAGAGTCGAATGCTCCTATTGTATCAAAAAACATATGCTGTCTACAAGAAATGCATTTAATTTTTTTTTTTTTAAATGAGACAGGGTCTCACTCTGTCGTCCAGGCTGGAGTGAAGTAGCATGATCTCAGCTCACTGCAGCCTCAACCTCCTGAGCTCAAGTAATCCTCCCAACTCAGCCTCCCAAGAAGCTGGGACCACAGGTGGGTACCACCACGCCCGGCTAATGTTTTGTAGAGATAGGGTTTCATCATGTTGCCCAGGCTGGTCTCGAACTCCTGGGCTCAAGTGATCCACCTGCCCCCGCCTCCCAAAGTGCTGGGATTACAGGCATGAGCCACTACTCCCAGCCCCAAGAAACACATTTAAAAAGAGCAAAAATAAAATAGAAAACCATATACCTAAAACAAACATAAACCAAAAGAAAGCTAAAATTAACAGTAAGTAGTATACAGTCACAAAAAGAATAGAACAAGAGATACACATGTAAAAATACTGCCTCAAAATATATCAAGCAAAAACAAATGAACAGCAAGTAGAAATACATAAATCATCAGTTAAATATTTTAATACATCTCTCTCAGAAAAAGATACGCCAAGTTGACAATGCAAGGAGATATCTAAGATCTGAACAAATACAATTAACAGCTATTAGATATGAAATGTTTCTAAAATAAGGCACATTCAGGGACTGATGTCAGGGACTGATGTCATACAAACTACTTTCCAACTGTAATGCAACAGATTGAAAATCCACAACAAAAAGATAGCTCAAAATATCCTATATTAATAACCCTTGTGTTAAAAAGGAAACAAAGGTAATTATGAAATATACAGATCTGAACATTAATTAAAACAGCACCCATCAAAACTTATGGAACAGTTACAGCAGTTCCTGGAGGGACAGCATTAATCAAGAAACAAGAAAAGTTAAAATAAACGAGCTGATATTACTTCACACCCACTACACTAAAATGAAAAAGAATCACAACAAAATGTCAGGGAGGATGCAGAACAATCAAAGTTCTTATACAGGTACAAACACTTTGGAAATCTGGCAGTTTCTTACCAAGTAAAATATACATCTATCCAGCTAAGTATCTTCCCAAGAGAAATTAAAACATGTTACCAAAACATTTGTACCAAAATGTTTATTGTAACCTTACTCCTAACAGGCAAAATGAAAACATCCAAATACCACTCTACTAAATGCATAACTGTGGTATATCCATACAGTGGAATTCTATTCAGCAACAAAAAGAATTAACTACTAAAACAGCAACAACCTGGATAAATCTCAAAAACACTACATTAAATAAAGGATGCCAGATACAAAAGAATATACTGCATACTTTCATTTACTGTATATGGAATCCAAGTACAGGCAGAACTAATCTGTAGTGACAGAAATTAGATAAGGGTTGGGGGAAAGGGTTTGACAAGAGGGAACTGACTGGAAAGGGGCAGAAGAAAACTCTCTGGAGGGATGGAAGTGTTCTATATTTTGTTTTGTGTGGTATTTACACTGAACAATTTCCAAATCTAAGAGGGGGGAATACGTGAATGGTTATAATACCTTTATTCCTAATTATCAAAACACTGGAAACAACACAAATGTTCCTCATCTAGAAAATGGACTAAAAAGGCCAGGTGTGGTGGCTCATGCCTGTAATGCCAGCACTTTGGGAAGCCAAGGCAGGTGGATTACTTGAAGTCAGGAGTTCAGACCAGCCTGACCAACAGGGTGAAACCCCTTCACTACTAAAAATACAAAAATTAGCTGGGCATGGTGGCACATGCCTGTAATCCCAGCTACTCGGGAGGCTGAGGCAGAAGAATCGCTTGAACCTGGGAAGTGGAGGTTGCAGTGAGCCAAGGTTGTGCCACTGCACTCCAGTTGGGCGACAGAGCAAGACTGTCTCAAAAAAATAAACAAACAGAAAATGGACTAAAAAGAAGTGGTTATCTTCATAGAGCAGAATACTATTTAGCATTCAAAAGGGTCAAACATCCAACAACATGGATCAATCTCAAATGAATGCATTATGATAAGTTAAAAGAAGCCAGACTCAAAAAGGTACATATTGCAATATGTATCCATTTATATAGCATCTCTTAAAAACCTAAACTAAAAGAACAGAAAACAGATCAGTGGTTGCCAGAGGCAACCTAGAGGAGTTGACTACAAAGGGGTATGGGAAAATATTTCAGCAAAATAAACTATTTAATACCTTAATTGTGATGGTGGTTACACAATTATATACATCTGTCAAATCTTACAACAGAACTATATAGTAAAAAAGGGTAATTTTACTAACTGATAATTATACCTTAATAAAAACCATGGGGAGAAAGTCCCATAACCGAACACATAAGAGCTACGCATTTTACTGTACTTAATTATTTCTATATACAAGTAAATAAACTAAACATTCAACTCAATAGCTGGAAGAAGAGCCACAGAAGCAAATCCAAAATAACAAGTAAATTATGAAGGCAGAAATCACTGCGGAAAAGGGAGAAGAAAAAAACAGTGAAAAAAATTAAAACAAAAATTTGTTTATTTGAAATATTCATTAAACAAAGCTCTGGCAAGAATGAACAGAAAAGGAGAATATGAAGAAAGAAAATAACAAAGGAGGTTTTTAAAGTATTGTAACTATATACTAGTAAGTTTAAAAGCTTACATGAAATGAACTAATGAACTAAATATTAAAGAAATTAAAATCACAGTAAAAGATCTCCCCGGCTGAGCACAGTGGCTCACACCTGTAATTCCATCACTTTGGGAGGCCAAGACAGGTGGATCACTTGAGTCAAGAGTTTGAGACCAGTCTGGGTACATGGTAAAACCTGGTCTCCACAAAAAAAGTCCAGCAACAACAAAAAACTAGCCGAATGTCATGGTGCAAGCGCCTATAGTCCCAGCTACTTGGGAGGCTGAGATAGAGGGACTGCTTGAGCCTGGGAGGCATAGGTTGCAGTGAGCCGAGATCACACCCCTGCACTCCAGCCTGGGCGACAAAGTGAGATCCTGTATTCAAAAAAAAAAAAAAAAGCCACCATTCTAAATAAGCTCCAGGCCAGGCCAAGACAGTTTTACGTGTCTACTCATATTCTCATGAACATTTCCTATCATATACAGGATGCTGAAAAAACTAAAAATAGTGAAAGGGGCCCAGTTCATTTTGTGAGGCTAATGTGATAGTGAATTATAAAACAGATATGGTAGGGTAATGAAAATGTTCTGTATCTTAAGAGGAATGTAGATTACATGAGTGTATATACATTTGTCAAAACTCACTGAACTACATTCTTCCAGTTGGCACATTCATTTCTCTTAAAGCATATATGTAAAAATCCTAAATAATTAATCATGTATTAAATCCAATAAATGGTAGGGTTTTTTGTTTGTTTTTGGTTTTTTTGAGACAGTCTTGCTCTGTGGCCCAGGCTGGAGTGCAGTGGCATGACCCTGGCGCACTGCAACCTCCGCCTGCCGAGTTCAAGCAATTCTCCTGCCTCAGCCTCCCAAGTAGCTGGGACTATAGGCAAACGCCACCATGCCCAGCTAATTTTTGTATTTTTACTAGAGACAGGGTTTCACCATATTGGCCAGGCTGTTCTCAAACTCCTTACCTCGTGATCCGCCCACTTTGGCCTCCCAAAGTGCTGGGATTACAGGTGTGAGCCACCACGCCTGGCCTGATAAATGTTTTTTAAATAGTATATCATATCAAGTATGGTTTATCCCAGAAATACAAACAAGGTTCAACATTTTAAGAATCTATTAAATTATTGTATTAATAATCCAAAGGAGAAAAATCTGAGTCTTTTAATCAACACTGAAAAAAGACTTTCATAAGTTCAAAACTATTTATAATTTTTAAAACCAACAAAATCTCCTTAACTAACCAGGAATAGAAAGGCTCTTCTTTAATTTGGGCAGTTATATACTCCAAACCTACAGCAAACATTACACTTAATAAAGAACCTTCAGACAATTCCTCTTTTAGAGCAAGAACAAGACACAGCATTCAAGGTCATGACCAAGATAAGGAAAAAATATGTATTTAAGGTATAAGAGATTAAACTATCATTTTTGGAAGATAATTATTTCCCTTAAATAAATCTACAGAACCAACAAACCATTACAACCAATAAAAGAGAACAGCAAGACTGCCAGATACAAGACCAAACTATAAAAATTAAAAGCATCCTAAGCCAGCAAAAATCAACTAGAAAATATAATTAAAAAAAGATCAGCAACAAACTTTAAAGGATCTAACAGCCGAAAATTCCTAAGAAGTCCATGGGGAGAACTGAATAAACAGGGAGACATTTCATGTACTTAAATAGGATAACCTAATCTTACAAAGATGCTAGTAGTCCCTAATCTACAAATTGAATGCATTCAAAATTAAAATTACATTTGAATATTTTAAGGAAAAAGACACAAAAAAAGCTATAATAGAAGAATTCCCAAATGCTATCAAGAATATAGAGATGCTTAAATTTTATGAAGGACTAAAGATCCATAAAGAACAAAGTCAACCCCAGAAAAAGAGTAAACGAGAGATTTTACTCTACCATATAAAAAAGACATACCAAAATATGATAATATTTTTAATGTGATACTGGAGCACAAGAACACAGATCACTGAAACATCAGAGACATTTCAGAGACAAACCTACATACTATATATACATGGCAACCACATACATATCCTTTTTTTTTTTTTTTGAGACAGTGTCTCACTCTTGTCACCCAGGCTGGAGTGCAATGGCACAATCTCGGCTCACTGCAACCTCCATCTCCTGGGTTCAAGCAATTCTCCTGTCTCAGCCTCCCAAGTAGCTGGGATTACAGGCACCCGCCACCATGCCCAGCTAATTTTTTGTATTTTTTAGTAGAGATGGGGTTCCACCATGTTCACCAGGCTAGTCTTGAACTCCTGATCTCAAGTGATCCACCAGCCTCGGCCTCCCAAAGTGCTGGGATTACAAGCGTGAGCCACCACACCCAGCCCACATATACTTATCATATATATGTAAATCATATATGTGTTAATTATGTAAGTCATATGTATGATAAAGATGGCATCACAAATCAATTTTTAAAAAGATGATTTAAGAAGCACTGTGGAGAAAACTTGTTCACTAGATGGAGAAAAATAAAACTGGATCACTACCAATATTATATAAAAGATGGACCCTAGATGGATTAAAGAGCAAGTATGATAGTAAACCTATAAAATTAGTAACAGAAACTGTAGAATATCTTTATGGTCCAGGGATGCAGAAGCAGTATTTAATTAGAATACCATCAAGGTCTATGAGATCAAATTCTAGTTTTTGAATTTCTTGTTTGAGCCATTCTAACTATTTGTAAAGACTGATATTTGAGGACTTTTATTCTTTCTTAGGGATCATCCAAAAAACAAAAATTATATTTATTGTTAATAGAATAAAACTCATTCCATCTTGCAATTACCAGATGTCAAATGGGCCCTTCCATAAATCTAAAATATATTATGGAATCTTACATATCTTATTTTTCCTATATTTTGAATTTATCACGTACTAGCAATTACTTCATCATTACTTATTATTTTCATCAATTATTCCCAACTATACTAAAAAACAAAATAAAAAATCAAAGAAAAAAATGAAGAATGATGGTGTATGGTAGGCAGAATAATTTCCCCAATGATACACACACCCTAAACTCCAGAGCCTGTGACTATGTTACCTTACATGGCCAAAAAAAGGACTTTGCAGAAGTGATTAAGGGTAAGGCTTTTGAACTGGGGAGATTATCCCAGATTATTTGGGTTGGTCTAATCTAATCACATGAGTACATAAAAGTAGAGGCCCAACCTTTCCAGACTGTTGTCAGAGGGAGACGTGACTTTGGAAGAATGGTCAAGGAGATGGGCTGTTGCTGGCTTTGAAACTGGAGGAATAGCCAAGCCAAAGAACACAGCAGCCTCTAGAAACTAAAAAAGGTGGCCTGGTGCAGTGGCTCACACCTGTATTCCAACACTTTGGGAGGCCGAGGTGGGCAAATCACCTGAGCCCAGGTGTTCAAGACCAGCCTGGGCAACAAGGTGAAACCTCTTCACTACTAAAAATACAAAAATTAGCCGGGCACGGTGGCACGCACCTGTACTGCCAGCTACTGGGGAGGCTAAGGTGGGAGCATCACCTGACCCCAGGAGGCAGAAGGTGCAGTGAGCCAAGATCATGCCACTGCACTCCAGCCTGAGTGACAGAGTGAGATCCTGTCTCAGAGGGAAAAAAAAAGAAGAAGAAAGAAACTAAAAAAGGCAAGGAAACTGATCCTCCCCTTGAGCCTCCAAAAAGGATTACAGTCCTATAAACACCATGGTTTTAGCCCATAAAACTAGTAACAGACTTCTAACCTACAAAACTATAATAAATTTGTGTTATCTTAAACTCCTAAGTTTACTTAGTTTGTTATGGAAACAATAGAAAAATACAGATTTAATAACCTAAAAGGATGGTGCAATAGTAAAATAAATCATCTTTCAGTTTTCTTCTTGCCTTCCATTATCTTTCAAGTACTGCATCATCTTTCATCTTGCTTCATCTTTTAAGAATTTCTTTCTTTTTTTTTTTTTTGAGACTGAGTTTCGCTCTTGTTGCCCAGGCTGGAGTGCAATGGCGCCATCTTGGCTCACCGCAACCTCCGTCTCCCAGGTTCAAGCAATTCTCCTGCCTCAGCCTCCCGAGTAGCTAGGATTACAGGCATGCACCACCATGCCTGGCTAATTTTTTTTTGTATTTTTAATAGAGACGGGGTTTCTCCATGTTGAGGCTGGTCTTGAACTCCTGACCTCAGGTGACCCGCCCACCTCGGCCTCCCAAAGTGCTGGGATTACAGGCGTGAGCAACCGTGCCCGGCCTTTTAAGAATATTTTTGAAAGACTAGAATACCATCTTCGTAGTCTAATGTTAGCTTTCACTGACTCCACCTAAGAATTCAAAAATTTTCATTTTCCACCCACGATGGCCAAGAGAAGAAAATGACAGAGGAATACATCTTACAATTATTAGATGAATCAGAAAATATAAACACCAACAGTTGCATGTCTAGACTCTGAAGCTGATGGTGGTGATATTGACTATATGTAAAATCTCACATAATCAGGTAACATAATGCTAGACGAATTTTCTCAAATTCAAGAATCAATGAATTGAACAATATATTTCTAAGGAAAAAAAGAAAACACAGTAAGGACTGCATCATATAATATTCTGCAACCATATTCTGGACCACCTCATTATGCTCAAAGGACACATCACAGTACTCTTTCATCTTTTATGTTTGTGAGCCAAAATTTACCTGATACAAAGAGATGTACAAGGTAATTCTTATTAAAATATCTAATAAAGTTGTTTTTCATAATACTTTTATTCATGTGTCTATAAATTAGTAGTAAAATAGCTTATAAATATAAAAATACAAAAAGGTCTATTTGACCCAAATGGTTAATGGTGATGCTTATTTCTGTTAAATACCAAGAGTTAGTCAAAACTTTGGAGATACAAACCGTAAGGCAAAAAACTGGTGAGACTGATTACAACAAATTTAGAGAGTTCAATGTGCTATGAATTCACACAACTCCAGTTCAACAGAGACCATGAACAAAGTAAGAGACATATGACAAAGTGGGAGAAGTTACTTACGATGTATGAAGTCAACAAGAAATCAACATGTAGAATATACATGAAACATGAGAAAATCAGTTCAAAAAAGAAAGTAATACTAATATAAAAACAGACAAAGAATTAAAATAATTTCTAAGACTCCCAACAACCTAACAAGCATACAAAGAAATGCTCAAAATAGGCCGACCGTGGTGGCTCACGCCTGTAATCCCAGCACTTTGGGAGGCCGAGGTGGGTGGATCACCTGAGGTCAGGAGTTCGAGACCAGCTGGCCAGCATGGTAAAACCCCGTCTCTACTAAAAATACAAAAATTAGCCAGGCATGGTGGTGAGCACCTGTAATCCCAGCTACTTGGGAGGCTGAGGCAGGAGAATCGCTTGAACCTGGGAGGCGGAGGTTGCAGTGAGCCAAGATCATGCCACTGCACTCCAGCCTGGGCGACAAAGTGAGACTCCCTCAAAAAAAAAAAAAAAAGAAGAAATGCTCAAAATAATTGATGGTACAAGTAAAACAAGAAGATATTTTATACTTAAATGAGGAATGTGGATGGTGTCAAGTGTTTCTGCGATATGGAAATACAGAAATACTCATGCACTCCGCTGAAAATGCAGATTAGTACAACTGTTCTGAATAGCAACCTTGTATTTATCCAATTTCAGTCTATACATACCCTATGATCTAGCAATTGTACTCTTGGGAAAACATCCTAAATAAATGGTCACAAAGGTCCATAAGAGCCCAAGTACATGAAAACTCATCACAGTTTGAGGTAGACAATCTGGGTCTATCACTGAAAGGCTGAACACAGCAATACCTAATCTTTTTGGCACCCAGGATCAGTTTCATGGAAGACAATTTTTCCATGAAAAAAGAGGGAAGGTGGAGGTTGGGTGGGGAATAGTTTAGAGATGAAACTGTTCTACCTCATATCAGGCATTAGATTCTCATAAGGAGTGCACAACCTGGATCCCTTGCATGTGCACAGTTCACAATAGAGTTCATGCTCCTATGAGAATCTAACGCTGCTGAATCAAACAGGTGGAGCTCAGGCAGTAATGCTCACTCTCCTGCCGCTCACCTCCTGCTGTGTGGCCGGTTACTAACAGGACTGGTACTGGTCCTTGGCCCAGGGGTTGAGGACTCCTGGCCTAAAAGATATACACTATTAAAGTTTTATGCAGCAGTTAGAAACTGTGGATTAGATGTACAGATAGGACCATGGATAATAAGGGCAGGAAGGATAAGAAACTACATAGTGGGAGACAGGCAGTACAATCTACCAAACTCCTTTTTATCCCTGAAACATATTATGCTGTATTATAATGCCCCTGAAATATGGTATACTACATTAAAAACGCATTTATGAACACTGATCTTATTCTACACATTATAAAAGTTACATTTGCTGTTAAGCACGTTATGTAGGAATCCTTTACATACTATTTTAGATCATTTAATAGAAAGAAAGACTGTCAAATAAAGATGAGAATTTTGCTCACTTTAGCTCCAACACTGCAACTGCCCGTACTTCCAGTGCTCCCACTTGCAACTCCAGTAAATCTAGCTTCCAATAACTCTTGCCTTCTTGGATCCAGACTATGAAGCTCATCCATTGCACCTATTAAGAAAAAAAAATATATATGTACACATATATATGTGTGTATACTTTATACTTACACACACAAATATATATATGTGATTAGTTAAGATGTTAAAAATTTAGGAATGAATGCTACAAGCAGACGAAATTGAGAGACTTTATTTTTAAATGTACACATCAACTTATCAAAACATCCTACAATGGATTTCCAACACTTTTGGCTGCAACTCACAGAAGAAATATATTTTCCATCTAATTTAGTACACAGTTACAAACATTCATATATTTAAAAGTTTCACAGAATACCAAATCTTACTGCAATGCAGTAGTAAGAGTCCTGTACAACATCTATTTTCTAGCCTATCCTAGTCCACTTAAAAAAGAGTGAGGTGACACTAGTAAATAGCAATTAAATTGATTTCATAAACCAACAATGGACCATGGGTCCATAGTTTAAAAAATACTACTCTCCTAATGTAATCTCCCTATTCTGAGCATACCCAGAATTGTAACTATGCGACATTACCACTTAATTATTTTGTTTATGTATATCTTATATAACTAACTACATTTTAAACTATAAAGAACTGTTTTATTATTGTCACAATCCTTAAGATTTTTTGTACGGTTGATAGTTTTAAGTTTCCATCAGGTAAATGAAACACAAACACGTTTACCACACACACAGATGACTGAAGTAACACTTACTAGTATTAAACCACCTTGAAAATTAAGGGGAAAAATTTAACACCCTGATGTTATTGTTATTATGCAGACTAAAGCACTCCAAATTCTAGATGAAGTTCAAACAAAAATTACTTTATCTATGTCTGCTAATTCTCTTCTAACAAAAACCCCAGAAGTGACATAAATGAATGGCTCTCAAAGGGAGCAGGTAAGGATATTACCAGAATCCAGAATGACTTGGGGAACATTTTTGAACTATACTAGCCCCTTCCACACATCCTGACATTCCTCTCCTAAAGGTTAACAACTACTCCTATAGATCTTATCTTTTGAAATTCCCTTTCTTACTTTTTATCCTCACCTGGACAGAGGACTAGATGGATGGTGGCCACTCTTTCATGCTTATTTGGATCCCTGTACCTGAAAATACACCTTCCTCTGTCTACTTCTTCTAGCTCAAAAAAAGAGGTAAATCCCTCTAAAAAGCTAAAGCCTTTAACACTTGCTTTTGACCTCACTCCTTCTTGACATCCAAGAAATCTTGTATTCACAAGTACCCTACCTCTCTGGCATCTACTCACTCCTTGTCTCCTTCTGCCCTCACTTATGTCTTTTTAGAAGTCTACCTTAGCCTCAATTTTACTGTACTACCATTTAATTCTTCCCTTAAACTGGTTTATAACCATATCATCCTTAGTATCATCAATGCTTCCATTTTTTCTCTTCCTGCTATTACATCAGAAACTGTATATTATTCCTTTATTGAGAGGAAAAACCAAAGCAAAAACATAAACAGTTCTAGTTTTCATAATTCAGCCACACCTGTTCCCCCCACCACCTTCTTGTTCTCTCTTAACTGCAAATATTCCCCATGGCCTTCTGTTTTCTTTTCAGATCTCCTTTGGCTTCAAACATGATTCTCAAATCACACACCTATTATATGCCAGGTCTGCCAAGTCTTAAGCCTGGCACTGAAACTTAAAATCTACTGAAGTTTTGCTTTATAAAAAACTATCAATCCTTCCCTGGCACAGGACTATTTTGAAAACATTAAATCACATTTTTAAAATAAGAATATGGTACTGGCATAAAGACAGACATATATATAGAGCAATGGGATAAAACAGGGAGACCAGAAAATAAACCCTCACGTGAAATGATTTTCAGTAAGAACACCAACACCATTTAGTGGAGAAAGATCAGTCTTTTCAACAAATGGTGCAGGGAAAACTGGATATCCACATGCAAATAAATTGAGTTGGATCCTTACTTTAACCATATAAAAAAATTAACTCAAAATGGATCAAATGCCTGAATATAAGACCTAAAACTTTCTAACTCTTAGAAGAAAACATATGGATAAAGCTTCATGGCACTGAATTTAGCAATGGTTTCTTTGATCTAACACCAAAAGCACAGGCAACTAAAGAAAAAATAGGGCCAGGTGCAGTGGCTCATGCCTGAAATCCCAGCACTTTGGGAGGCCAAGGCCGGCAGATCACTTGAGGTCAGCAGTTCGAGACTAGCCTGGCCAACATCTCTACTAAACGTCTCTACTAAAAATACAAAAAAATTAGCCGAGCGTGGTGGTGTGTGCCTGTAATCTCAGCTACTCAGGAGGCTGAGGCAAGAGAATCACCTGAACCCAGGAGGCAAAGGCTGCAGTGAATCGAGGTCGTACCACTGCACTCCAGCCTGGGCGACAGAGTGAGACTCCGTCAGAAAAAAAAAAAAAAAAAAAAAAAAGGAAGGAAGGAAAATAGGTAAGTTGGACTTCATCAAAATTAAAAACTTTTGTGCCTAAAAGGACACAATCAACAGAGTGAGACGGCAACCCACAGAATGGAAAAAATATCTGAAAATTATATATCTGATAAAGGATTGATATCCAGAATATATAAAGAACTTCTACAACTCAATAACAAAAAAAACCCAATTAAAAAATGGGCAAAAGACTGGAATACAAATTTTTCCAAAGAAGATATGCAAATGACCAATAAGCACATGAAAAGATGCTCAACATTAATCATGAGGGAAATGCAAATCAAAATCACGGTGAGACACCACTTCATACCCATTAGGATGGCTGTTATCAAAAACTAAAACCCCAAATATACAAGTGCTAGTGAGGATGTGGAGAAATTGGAATCCTTGTGCATCGCTGGTGGGAACATAAAATGGTGCGGCCACTGTGCAAAACAGTATAGCGGTTCCTCAAAAAATGAAACACTGAATTACCATATGATCCAGCAATTTCACTTCTGAGTATATAACCAATACAAGCGAAAGCAATGGCTCAAACAGGTATTTGTACAAACACATTTACAGCAGCATTATTCACATTAGCCTAAAGGTAGAAGCAATCCAAGTGGCCATCAACAGATGAATGGATAAACAAAATGTGGTATCTACATACAATGGAATATTATTCAGCCTGAAAAATGAAGAAAATATGGGTGCATGCTACAACACGGAGATCTCCGAAGATATGCTAAGTAAAATAAGCCAGTCACAAAAGGTGGTTGCCAGGGGCTGGGGGTGTGGTGGAATGGGAGGTTAGTATTTAATGGGTACAGAGTTTCAGCTGAGGAAGACAGAAAATTTCTACAGATGAATAGTGGTGATGGTAGCACAGTATGAATGTACTTAATACCACTGAACTTTACATTTAAAAATAGTTAACATGGTAAATTTTATATTTTGCCACAATTTAAAAAAAAATAATTAGATGTCGCGGCGCCTGCCTATAATCCCAGCACTTTGGGAGCCCAAGGCAAAGAGAATCACTTGAGTCCAGGAGTTCAAGATCAGCCTGAGCAACGTGGCAAAACCCTGTCTCTACAAAAAATACAAAAATTAGCTGGGTGTGGCAGTGAGCATCTGTAATTCCAGCTACTAAGGAGCTGAGGTGGGAGGACTGCTTGAGCCCAGGAGGTCGAGGCTGCAGTGAGCCAAGATTGCACCACTGCACTCCACGCTGGGTGACACAGCGAGAACCTGTCTCAAATAATACTTACAAGTTCTTAATTCAATAAATTGGACTTCATCAAAAATTTAAAATGGTGCTAGTTCAAAAGAACATGGTTACAAAATGAAAAGGTAAACAACAGATTGGAAGAAAACATTTATAAAGCATGTATGTGCTATATACTATGCCTACTCTTTGACTTGATAACTGGTTGATGGCACACTGAAATTTACCATGGAAGATGAGGGCATGGGGCCCTGCTTTGACCTAGATCAGTAAATAATAATATATTTTGTTTCCTATTGTTTTTCCCAGATATATAGCTTCCTCTAGGACCTCAACCCTCTTCATGAGGTCTTACAGGAAATTAGGCACCCAAGAACAAATGGGTTTCTAACCAAAAACTCTTAAAAGCACAATCTCTCCTTAATTCTTAACACCTTCTAATTACTTTTTGTTTGTTTGTTTTTTGAGACGCAGTCTCACTCTGTCACCAGGCTGGAGTGTAGTGGTGCAATCTTGGCTCACTGCAACCTCCACCTCCTGGGTTCAAGCGATTCTCCTGCCTCAGACTCCTGAGTGGCTGGGACTACAGGTGCTCACCACCACGCCCAGCTAATTTTTGTATTTTTAGTGAAGACGGGGTTTCACCATGTTGGCCAGGATGCACCATGTTGGCCAGGATGGTCTCGATCTCTTGACCTCGTGAATTACACACCTCAGCCTCCCAAAGTGCTGGGATTACAGGCGTGAGCCACCGCACCCGGCCCTAATAAGATATTTTAAAGAGGCAATATACTCAAGAGCCCCTGGTGTAATTCCTGGCACATAATAGGTGCTTAGCAAATGTTAATCCTAAACAGTAGAGCCTTGCTACTTAAACTACAGTGCATGAGCCCAGCAGCAACTGTATCACCAAGATGCTTATAAGAAATGCAAAATCATGGGTTCCTCCACAAACCGACCACACCAGAATCTGCATCTTAACAAGATCCCCAGTAATTACTATATACATTCATGTTTCAGAAGTACTTCTGTAGAACACAGATCTGTAACTTTTTCTGTAAAGGGCCCAGTCACAAATATTTTAGTCTTTGCTGGCCAACAGGCAAAATCATATAGATACTTACATAACAAGACAGAAACAATTTTTTTTTTTTTTTGGAGACACTCTGTCGCCCAGGCTGGATACAGAAACAATTTCCAAAAACTTTTTATTGACAAAATCCAAGATACAATAATGAGTATAATATTTTATAATAGGCCAGGTGCAGTGGCTCACATCTATAATCCCAGCACGTTGGGAGACTGAGGAGGGCGGATCACTTAAGGTCAGGAGTTCAAGACCAGCCTGGCCAACATGGTGAAACCCCATCTCTACTAAAAACACAAAAATTAGCCAGGTGTGGTGGCGGATGCCTGTAATCCCAGCTACTTAGGAGGCTGAGGCACAAGAATCACTTGAACCCAGGAGGTAGAGGTTGCAGTGAGCCGAGATCACACCACTTCACTCCAGCCTGGGTGACAAGAGAAGACCCTATATGAAAAAATAAATAAATAAATACACACACACACACACACACACACACACACTTCTTTTTTTAATAAAAGTTTGCTAATGAAAAGAATGAAATTCTTTTTGAGAAGATAGCACCTCACTTAATTGGGGTTTCCTATCATCAAAATCTACTACAAATACTCATCTGTTAAATTTTGTTTTGAGACGGAGTCTTGCTCTGTTGCCCAGCCTGAAGTGCAGTGGCACAATCTCGGCTCACTACAACCTCCACCGCCCAGGTTCAAGAGATTCTCCCACCTCAGCCTCCCAAGTAGCCGGGATTACAGGCACATGCCACCATGCCTGGCTAATTTTTGTAATTTTTTTTTTAGTAGAAACAGGGTTTCACCATGTTGGCCAAGCTGTTTTTGAACTCCTAATCTCAAGTGATCAGCCCACCTGTGCCTCCTAAAGTGCTGGGATTACAGGCATGAGCCACCACGCCTGGCCTCATCTGTTAATACTGATCTGCAGGCTAAACGCAGTGGCTCACGTCTGTAATCACAACACTTTGGGAGGCCAAGACAGGTGGATTGTTTGAGCCCAAGAGTCCGAGACCAGCCTGGGCAACATAGGGAGACCCTGTCTCTACAAAAATTAAAAAAATAAAACCTAAGGTGTGGTGGTATGCACCTATGGTCGCAGCTACTCAGGAGGCTGAGGTAGGAGAAGCGCTTGGGGCCAGGAGATACAGGCTTGCAGTGAGTCATGATTGTGCCACTGTACTCCAGCCTGGGCGCAGAATGAGAGCACTTTTGCTTAAAAACAAACAAACAAAAAAACACTGATCTGTAATGAGACTGTATGTATTTGTCTTTGAAAATGTCTTTTAACAGAAACAGATATTGCCAAATATTGATATTAACCCACAAGCATGATTTTAATTGAGCATATTCATTACTGGGAAGGCAGTTATCCATTGGTTCTTCATTTGATATTTGCCTTTCAGTATGTCATCACAGTGCAGATTAATTACTTCCAATTCAAGGTTAGGTAGAAAGTTTCTCCACTACAAAATTAAACAAATTTTTGAAATATGGAACTTTCTGTGCATTTGTGTCAACTTCTGAAAAATGCTGTGGGAACTATAGTTTGAGACTAGAAAATACGTCCACTCATATTTATGTGGGAATGACAATCTAACTTCTTTGACAGCTTGAGAAATATATAAAGCAGCCTGAAATTATTTGGGATTTGAATATCAGTTGCCACTGAAATGACTTTACCACATTCTTTCAAATATAGACACTATTTTGCCTTGAAATCTTAGGTTAAATTCATTTTAAAAACATTACTCAATCTTCACAAAAAGCTAATTTCCAAAGCTAATTAGTATTTAATAGCAGTTGAGGGCAGTTCTCTTTATTAAAAAAATTTCAATCTCAGCCTTTAGCTCAAACAATTGTGAAAATATACTTTACCACTTCTAAGCCAGTCAGGATATTTGTCCTGTTTCTAACAAAAATTAATGCAGCTGATGCTAGTTAAGTCCAAAAGAGCAAACTGACTTCACAGTTGACAGTACTGATTCAGTAACACACATGGATAGATGGAAATATTTTCTGCAAAGTATCTGCCAATGAATAACAATGAATAACCATAAACTATGAACTCCTCAGTTTTACAAGCTTTGTAAATTACTCCAACTAAGCCTTTTGCTGCTCCGTATGTATTCTATCACCACCGCTTGCAGCACATCCTTACAGATTCCACTTCAGATTGTACTTAGTGTTTTCTCAGCTTTGAAAATATTCTTGCCTGTAGTTGTTCTGCACAGGCTATTCAGAGGCCAACTTTTCTGCCACTTCAAACTTGGAATTGACTCCTTGAATAAAGAACAACTGAATTGTATCAATAACATCTGCCGGCTCATCAAGAGCCGAGAAAAACCACTCCAAATCATTTGCCTTGTTTTTTAATTGACTAGTGATGTTGCTTCAAATGTCCTCAACTCTTAAATCAACTGTGCTTGCCAAAAAGCTAATAGCCTAAAACAAGTTTATTTTCTCTGGACATAATTTTTTTGACTGCTTCAATAAAATACAATTTAATTAACTCAACATCAGTAAATGGCTTTCCTTGCTTGGCAAACAAATAAGCCACTTGGAAACTTATTTTGGTGGCAGCCTCATTTTCATTTTTATGAAGAAATTATGCTGTGATGAGATATTCCATTTTTAAGTTTTGTAATTTTTCTATTGCTTTCCTCAGAGTTGGACATAGTGTAGTATATGATTAGTCTAGTTACTTTCATGTATACTGTATTCCTCTATTGCAGCTCTAGTGTCACTTCATAATAAGAGCAATGTTTTGCTATTAAATTCAATAACAAAATAACCCACACTCCAATGTGCCTTAAAAGCACGTCTATATTTTTCTCTTCTTTCCTTTTTTTGACATGATGGATACACAGTGGTAATAAATAAACAAATAAAATAAAAAATTGCAATCTGGTCACAGATGTGGCACTCAAAACACCGTCAAGCAATAATGGCAGCACTGAAATTTGTGGTACACCAAACAGTAGCTTGAAGTAATGAGAATGCCATATACAGTTTCTGTCAAAACTCCTCAGCTCTGCCATTATAAAGCAAAAGCAGCTGTGTTCCAATAAGACTTTATTTATAAATAGAAAATGAAATTCAAATTTCACATGTCACAAAGAATTATTTATTTTTTATTTCAACAGGTTTTGGGGGAACAGGTAGTGATTGGTTACATGAATAAGTTCTTTAGCGGTGATTTCTGAGATTTTGGTGCACCCATCACCTGAAAGAATTATTCTTTTTTGATGTTTTTAGCCATGTAAAAATAGGTAAGTTTGCTTACTCCTGTTCTAGAAAACACACTTCAAAGATTTCAATCTTTTATGGACTCAAACTGTCATTTTTGACCCTTAACAAAAAATTCTGTCCTCAAGAGGGAAATTTTCTGGAAAAAAAGTAAATTCACTATAATCCATCAAATTCTTTATTACAATAAATGTTTATAATTTTGAAAAGGAAGAAATTACAAAAGCCACTATAAAGATCATACCATTCTTAAAGAATAGCCCATTTCAAAGCACAACCACCTGTCTTTTAATTATGCTACTCTTCTTACTATCCTGTTTCCCAAAATTTACAAATGTAAATCCAAAACATCACATAAAACATATAACAAGGAATGTCACTACCCAAATTAGAGATCAATCACATTCAATATGATGAAGAAAAATTTTAGGGAACATAAAGAACACAATCCGACCCATTAGTTTGTCATGTTTCATTTTAATAAACATGTTTTCTCTCTCTCCCTGTCTTTAAACACACACTCTCATAAACTCAATAAATGTTGATTACTGTAGAAGTATGGGCTCCCAAGGATCCAAGGATGATATATTAGAACATATTACTAGTTCTGGTTAGTCAACATCACTTTATATGATAGTTATATCACCTGTATTTATGACAAGGAATCATTTTTTCATTATATAATTTTTTAGTTGCCTTAAGTCTTAATCTTCCTTGACGACAGTCATAATAAAATCAAATGCCTAGAATGCAGGTTTTTAAAAGGTTAATACCAGTTACCAAAAAGGTGAAAAAGAGTTTTTTCACTAAGAGCTTTCTAATAGTAGATTCAATTGCTGCTGAGCCATGACCTTAGTTTTAAATTTAAAACTTCCTGAAGTCTAAAAATATTTTAATTCACTCGAGATTTTAACTGCTACTTTTCATATTACACTTGATAAGCTGATTTATAGAGAACAGTTAAAGCTTTTCTTCTATTAATACTTTACATATTATACTAGATAAGGCAGAGGTTCCTTTTATTAAAAATAAACACTATGACAACGAAATTATTTCTCCAAGATAAAATATTCCACTTAAATAATTCCTTTTCATTAGTTTTTTTTAATGCACTCAAAAGTATCGAAAGCAAAAGAATTCAAAAGTCTGGGCTGGGCACGGTGGCTCACGCCTGTAATCCCAGCACTTTGGGAGGCTGAGGTGAGTGGATCACCTGAGGTCAGGAGATCAAGACCAGCCTGGTAAACATGGTGAAACCCCAATTCTACTAAAAAATACAAAAATTAGCCAGGCGTGGTGGTGCACACCTGTGATCCCAGCGACTCAGGAGGCTGAGGCACGAGAATCACTTGAACCCGGGAGGCGGAGGTTGCAGTGAGCTGAGATCATGTCACTGCACTCCAGCCTGGCCAACAGAGTGAGACTCCCGTCTCAAAAAAAAAAAAAAAAGAAAGAAAAAATTCAAGAAGTCTATATTGTATAACACTGGAATTACTTCTGAATCTTGTCTTGAAACATCCATTTTAACATGGTTAATAAATAGAACATACCTATTTTCATTGACAATATTTTGTACCATATTTAGCTATAACTTTTGTTGGCTATACTATGTTGCATTATTTATTCCACAGTTTGATTCCCTACTTTAAAACCAAATATTCTAATTTTTTGGCAGTTAAATGAACATGTTAGTTAAATGAGCTATCACAAAACCAGCCCAATTTCTTTTTCTAACCCTTCCCTCACATGAATTCAATAAACCCATTTCCTACATTTTTTTCTAATGATTTCAAATATTAACATTTAGAACATTAATCCATTTAGAATTATATATAGATATATATCTAATTTTTTTCCAAAGGAAAATGTCCCAATTTCTCACCAATTCAAACTTTTCCCACTAATTTAAAATACCTCTCTGGTTATCACATTCCATAAACATCGGTCTGTTTTGTACTTTATTCACTAAATAGTTTCACTAAACTATTTATCTGTTTCTGAGTCATATTATCTATCCATCTATCTACATATATAGATATATATGTACTGCACATACACACATAAACACAGACACACACTTTCCGAAGATTTCACCCAAATGTCTGACAACAGTAAGTATAGAAAGTCAGGTCCCTGAATCTAGGTATACATGTTCAATTATATAACCCTGTGGTAGAGAAGACAGGTCTAATCTAGAATCATTCCAAGTCAGAGTAATGCTTCACCTAATCTTTTTAATATAATTGGTCTTTTTAAACACTTTTGTTGCAACCCTTACAGCAAAGAATTCAAATACTCTGAGACCAAATAATTCATATAAGGAGATATGGCTTGCATCAGAGTTACTAAAGCATAGGGTTTCTGCTTCTCTCTACTGCCATGACCTTAAAAAATGAAAATAATTTAAATTTCAATTTTATTCTTACTAATAAAAAAATCTGACAACTAATTTTTCTTTCATCAAAAACATACGTAGGTCGATAAGTTGTGTAAAGTTTGGTCAAGTTCTTTAATCTCTCTCTATTTTAGCTTCCTTATATAGAAAATGGAGATAATAAAAGTACATACCTTATAGAGTTGTTAAAGTAAAATAAGTTTCTATGAATAGTTTTGAACTAAATCTGTCACTTAGAAAGCATTCAATAAATGTGAACATATATGTATGCTAAAATATAAGTGCTCAATAAATATTAGCATATATAATGTAATAAGCCCCCTTCTAGCTTTCTTCCTGGGGTTAGAAGTTCCTGCTAAGTATAATAGGATTACATATACTTCCGTGCCTAATTTCTTTATGCTAATATAGTAGTAACACAACTAACCAAGTTCCTCTTCCTCTAGCCTCAAACTTGTGACAATCTGCTATTTTTAAAATCAATCTCTCACATTGTGTATATACATGTACATGTATATATATATACACATACATACAAATGTATATACACATACTCACATATAGATGTATTTTATACTAGACTGCATTTCTGTATTAACATATAGTCCTGATTTTAAAAATAAAGAAATTGAGACACTGAAAGGTTAAGTTATACTGCCTTTTGTTATAGTTTATATCCACTCAACTAAGCATCTCTGTCCCAAAAGAAGGGTCCAGAGGAAGAGTATGTGTGTGTGTGTGTGTATGTGTGTGTGCACGTGTCCGTGTCAGAGACACAGAGAAAAACAGAGCATGTACTTGATCCTGCAGTAAGAAGGAATGTTCTCTAAGAAAACTCCAAAACAGGAATCTGGTAAAACTTGAGCTGGTAATTACCCTCTCCTCACTACCAGAAAGTAGACTGGTATCTTGTCTCTAACCTAAGTACTCAAGACTCTTTTTTGGTTTCATCCCTTTCCCTCATTACTAAGTAATAGGTGCTTCTTGAAATAAATACAAAAATATAAAAGTAAAAAGTCCCAATACCTCCTTGTCTCCAAATCCCACTCCTGAGAGGTAACCAATTGTTATGAACCTTAAAAAGGACAGTGATGATTTACTGCTCCACAGTACTCCTTCTTGGCCTATTCTTCTATCCCAATAATACAGGGTGAAAGAAGGGCCACAGAACAGTTTTTCTTTCTTAAAGTCCCTTTACAGCAGGTAAGTAGATCCCTGACCAAAAAGGAGGCTGCAAGTACTTTTTGTAAGAAGTCCAAGTTGAATACGATCTACCTATTAAAGCACAACTGAAAACAATGAATGAAAATCAACAAGGGGCCAGGAGTGGTGTCTCACATCTGTAATCCCAGCACTTTGAAGGCCAAGGCAGGCAGGTCCTTTGTGCCCAGGAGTTCGAGACCAGCCTGGGCAACCTGAAGAGACCCCATCTCTACAAAAAAATTTAAAAAATTATCCAGGCATGGTAGTCCGCACCTATAGTCCCAGGCTGAGGTGGGAAGATCACTTGAGCCCAGGAAGTAGAGGCTGTGGTAGTAAGCTGTGAAATGCTGCCACCGCACTCCAGCCTGGGATATAGATAGGTTACCAAATAACATAACATAACATAACATAACATAACATAACATAACATAACATAACATAACATGGGTAAAATTCTAAATATTCTAAATATTCATACAGTGATTTCAACCTATTATTTCATCAACATCATCTTTACCATATCCTCGTAAGATTCCTAAAATTGATTTCTGTGGACATTTATTTTAACAATACAGCCAGCTGTAAGGTTAAGAACATGGGCTCTGTGGCCAGACTGCCTGAGTTCAAATCCCAGCTTTGCCACGTAGTGACCCGATTATTATAAAATCTTGGTAATAACGGCTGGGTACAGTGGATCATGCCTATAATCCCAGCACTTTGGGAGGCTGAGGCGGGCAGATCACAAGGTCAGGGGTTCAAGACCAACCTGGCCAACATGGTGAAACCCCCTCTCTACTAGAAATACAAAAATTAGCTGGGCGTGGTGGCATGTGCCTGTAGTCTCAGCTACTCAGGAGGCTGAAGCAGGAGAATTGCTTGAACCCAGGAGGCGGAGGCTGCAGTAAGCCAAGATCGCACCACTGCACTCTAGCCTGGGCAACAGAGCAACTCTATCTCGGGGAAAAAAAAAATCTTGGTAATGACTATGTCCATCACAGGGTTGTTCACAGGCAGGACACAGCGTTAATTCATAAGGTGAGTTAAATGAGATAATACATGTAAGGTTTTGGCAGGTTCCTGGACCATATTAGCCTAAATGATGTTTACTTACTAAGTCCCAGAAAAATAAGCAACTTGCCCAAAAATACATGCAAAGTAAATCACGTGAGAAGAGAAAGCAACAGAAGGAACATATTAGCATTCCAATCTACTCACTTTCTACTCACCTAGCCTAAACCTTCAAATAAGGAACAAAAATAAATAAATTTTATCCACCAGATTTCCAATAAAACAGGCTAGCCTACGTAGGATAGGGCTCCTACCTGCTCTACATGTCCACGTAGACATGTTGAGTTATCCTGCTTGATGAAAACTAAAACAATCTTTAACCATCACTTCCAACTCTAACGTGCTATCAAGACTCCAGGGAATGCCAACTTTGGGATCCAGATATATAAATTAGCACATAATCCACATTAAGGTCATAATGGTCCTCTAGAAAGACATATTTCCAAAGACCAAATCACCCCAAAATCAAAATTTTAAGATTCTAATAATAATTTCTTTTATCTGCAACCTTAACGGACACACCAACCTGTAAACTTAGATAGATACCTATATATCTTTGTATCTATATATATAGATAGATGCAGAGATCTATATATCTATATATAGAGAGAGATACAGAGATATATAGATAGATACAGAAATATGTATATAATACAAGCTATGTAAATCAAATTTGAATGAAGGATGAAAAAGTACTATTTTTAACAGGTTAAATCACAGGAAGTTACAGACACTCAACCATTTTTAATCTATAAAATAGGTTCATATGGTTCAACCTAATACTCAATGACCAAAATGGCCTATGATATAATCAGATCCCCTAGTGTCCTCACAAATTACTGTAACTGCCATTTTTGGACAGTATTTAGTGATTCAAATAAATTGTGGGTCACATCATTCTCGTACCTTTTTTGTATAACTCTAAAAGCTGCCAAAACAGAGTGGCAGATGCAAAGTTCTATAGTCATATGCCTGGTTGGCCTCAGATTAACACCATAGTTTTCCAGCAAACAGTCACTTAAAAATACTGACTTATACCAAGACTTCTTTCAATTATTATATTTCTGACTTCATATTTCTTCATATTTCTTCCCCAAGACAATTTATTTGCCTTATGAACAAAAGGATATTTTCCTAAAAAACTGTCAGGAAAGAAGCAATTTCACTTCTTTCCCTTTTTACCCGTAATCATGAACGCATGGTAAAGAAAAATGGAAAAATGCAAAAAATTAAAGCCAAAAAAATCCCACTCATAGTCCTACCACCCAAAGATAACCAATGTCAACAATGGCTTATTTTCTTCCAGTCTTTTTTTCCACATACTTTTTTTTTTTCCAACAATTGAGATTACATTTTATACAGTGGTAGCCCCTGGCATTCAAAGACACTTTTACATTTACAATTATGAAAATGTGTACAAAATCCTGAAAGTTCATCACATGATATATTTATCACTAGCTGACGTACTGCTAAATGAAAGATCTTACATAAAATCTCCATCCATCCAATTCTCAGTTTGGGTTTGTTTTTCTTTACCATTGTATTCGTCCGTTCTCACACTGCTATGAAGAAATACCTGAGACTGGGTAATTATAAAGAAAAGAGGTTTAATTGACTCACAGTTCTTCATGGCTGAGGAAGCCTCAGGAAACTTACAATCATGGCCAAAGGCACCTCTTCACAGAGCAGCAGAAGAATGAGTGCAAGCAGGAGAAATGCCAAACACTTACAAAACCATTACATCTTGTGAGAACTCACTATCGGGAGGAGACCCAGCATGTGGGAAAGCGCCCCCATGATCCAGTCACTTCCCACCGAGTCCCTTCCAGGACACATGGAGATTATGGGAACTACAATTCAAGATGAGATTTGGATGGCGACACAGCTAAACCATATCAACAGTAGTCATATATCCAGAAACTCATAAAGTTACTTACCCCCCCCAACACGAGTTTCAGATAAATTATAAACTTACGTATTTGTATAAGTTCACTGCATATTAATGTTAGTACTCTAATAATACAGCGTAGTGGTATTTTAGTAAAAGTTTTTTAAGTTTCTTTACAAATAGCTGTTTTCTAAGATAATTAAAAGCCTAAAAGGGACACTTACACTTTTGTGTTTAATACTGATGGCTGTTAGCCAGGTGCTATGGCTTCCGAGTTCAAGATCAGCTTGGGCCACATAGTAAGACCTCATCTCAACAAAACATCAAAAAATTAGCTGGGTGGGGTGATCCCAACTACTCAAGAGATTGAGGTGGGAGAATCCCTTGACCCCAGAGATCAAGGCTGCAGTGAGCTATGAACACGCCACTGCATTCCAGCCTAGGGAACAAAGTGAGACACTGTCTCAAAAAACATAACAAAACACTAAATCTAAATCTCAACTCCACCACACAGTTAACTCTCAGCAACGATTTCTTTATTTGTAAAATGAGAATAAATGTCTAACTTACTGGCTTGAAGATTAACACAACACTAAATATGGATTAAACTCCTCTTACAGATCTTATTTAAAAACCAAGGAACTATAACTTCTTGGAGCTCAATATGTAAAACTATATAATAATAAAAATAAAAGGGACACAAGCTGAGCTACTTTAGTCAAGTTGAAAATTAAACATTGTTACCTGTCAAGTACTATAGCTTCTGCCTTTTTGCCTAACAGTAGATTCCAGAGGGGAAACATGGGGACATGTTAGGCAGCCATCCAGGTTAAGAGAAAATAGGAGCCTAACTAGAACAGTGACAGATAAGAAAAGTATCTAAGAGAGAAAAAACAACAAGATTTGGTGACAGACTGAATTCAGGCGCAGGCTCATGTCTGTAATCCCAGCACTTTGGAAGGCTGAGGAGGGTGGATCACTTGAGGTCAGGAGTTCCAGACCAGCCTGGCCAACATGGGGAAACCCTGTCTCTACTAAAAATACAAAAATATTAGCCGGGCTTGGTGGCAGGTGCCTGTAATCCCAGCTATTCGCAAGGCTGAGGCACGAGAACCACCTGAATCCAGGAGGCAGAGGTTGCAGTGAGCTGAAACTCTACCAAGGCACTTCAGCCTGGGAGACAGAGTGAGACCCTGTCTAAAATAATATAAAATAAGCTTTTTTAAAAAAAGAAAAGGGAATGGTTTCTTTCTGGCTTTAGACACTGATAGTTCATAGTGTCTAACTATGAACAATGATGAATACAGGTTGAGTATCCCTTATCCAAAATGCCCAGGAGCAACATGTTTCAGACTTCTGATTTTTTTTTTTTTTTAATATTTGAGTGTACATAATGAGGTATCTGGGGGATGGGACCCAAGTCTAAACATAACATTTATTTATGTTTCATATACATTGTGATGGTGTCAGGGTGTTGCCCAGGCTGGAGTGCAGTGGCATGATCGCAGCTAACTGCAGCCTCACTCTCCGGCTCAAGCAATCCTCCCACCTTCTCCCAAGTAGCTGAGGACTACAGAGATGTGCCACCATACCTGGCTGTTTTTTTTAATCCATAAAATTCATTGTTATGTGCCCAGCCACAATCATTTCAAGTTTTTTTCTTCCTCAGCATGTAAACCTAAATGCCATGCAGCATAACAGTTCTCTAAATTTATCTGCTTAACAGACAATTTGATTATAATATATAGGCAAGGTATGATTAATTCTATATGACACATAAAAATCAATCCCATATCTTTTTTAGTCACATTATATATATATTTCATCCTCTCAGATTGCTGTTCATGTACTTTAAAAACAATTATGGAATGGTCAGCTTCTCTATTAGACTGGCATTTAGCAAATCAGAAATTCCCCTTACTGTTCTCCTCATTCTTGCAATATATTACCTTTGTAAGTAAGGATTAAATTATGTTAATTTCTTATTTAATTGTACTTGTGACACACTGCAAGAGAGAAAAGAAAGTATTATTAAAATATAGTTGGCTAACAACTTGACTAACGATTGGGCAAAGAATCTGAACAGACATTTCTCCAGAGATGATATATAAATGGCCAAGAAATGAAAAGATGCTCACATCCAGCAATCCCATTTCTATATATCCAAAGAAACTGAAATCATTATGTTAAGGAGATATCTGCACTCCCATGTTCACTGCAGCACTATTCACAATAGCCAAGATACAGAATCAACCTAAATGTCCATCAACAGATGAATAGGAAAAAAAAAAAAATGTGGTATATATACAATGTAATACTATTTGGCCTTTTTTTTTTTTTTTTTTTTTTTGAGACAGGGTCTTGCTCTGTCGCCCAAGCTGGCGAGCAGTAGTGCCATCACAGCTCACACCTCAAGGGGTGCTTGAGGTGGAGCTCAAGCAATCCTTCCACCTAAGCCTCCCAAAGTGCTAGGATTACAGGCATGTGCCACTGAGCCGGACCTATTCAGCCTTAAAAAAGAAGGAAATCCTGTCATTTGAAACAACATGGATGAACTTAGAGGACAAAGTAAAATAAGCCAGGCACAGAAAGACAAATACCACATAATCTCACTTACATGTGGAATCTAAAAAATTTGAACACACAAAAGCAGAAAGAATAGTGGTTACCAGGGGCTGGGAGAAATGAGGAAATGTTGGTCAAAGGACACAAAGTTTGAGTTAGACAGAAAAAATAAGTTTTTGAGATCCATCGCACAGCAGGGTGACTATAGTTAATAATGATATATGACATGTATTTCAAAATAGCTAAAAGAATAAATTTCAAATGTCTTGCTGGAAAAATTAAAGGAGGTGACCGATATGTTAATTAGCTTTGTTTAATCATTCCACATTATGTGTGTGTTTGTGTGTGTGTGTGTGTATATATATATATATATATATATATCAAAACATGACACTGTACCCCATAAATGTATACAATTATGATTTGCCAATTAAAAATATTAATTGAGCTAGGCATAGTGTCTGGAGGCTGAGGTGGGAGGATCATTTGAGCTCAGGAGTTTGGGGCCAGCCTGGGCAATGTAACAAGATCCTATCTCTTAAAAAAGAAAAAGATGGCCAGGCACGGTGGTTCATGCCTATAATCCCAGCACTTTGGGAGGCCGAGGAGGGTGGATCACCTGAGGTCAGGAGTTCGAGACCATCCTGGCCAACATGGTAAAACCCCATCTCTACTAAAAATGTAAAAAATTAGCCGGGAGTGGTGGTGGGCACCTGTAATCCCAGCTACTCCAGAGGTTGGGGCAGGAGAATCGCTTGAACCCGGGAGGCAGAGGCTGCAGTGAGCTGAGGTCGCACCACTGCACTCCAACGTGGGCGACAAGAAAAAAAGAAAAAGATGCTCAACACCACTAATTATTAGCAAAATGTAAATAAAAAAATACAATAAGATATCACCTCACACCTATTAGAATGGCTACCATCAAAAACACTGAAAAAAAGTGTTGTCAAGGATTGTGGAAAAATGGGAACCTTTGTGTACTGTCAGTAGGAATGTAAAATGGTACAGCTAGATAGAAAATAGAAAGCAGGATCTCAAAGACATTGCTGCACACCCATGTTCATAGCAGCACTACTCACGATACCCAAGAAGTGGAAGCAACCCATGTCCAATCAAAAGATGAATGGATAAACAAAATGTGGTACACACGTACTATGGAATATTATTCAGCCTTAAAAAGGAAGGAAACACTGAAACATGACACAATATGGGTGAACCTTGAAGACGTTATGTTGAGGGAAATAAGTCAGACACAAAATGACAAATACTATATGATTCCAGTTCTGTGAGGTATCTAGAGTAGTGAAACTTACAGAGACAGAAAGTAGAATAGTGGTTGCTGGGGCCTAGGGGCAGAGGGGAATTAGAAAGTTGTTTAATGGGTGTAAAGTTACAGTTTGACAAAACGAAAACATTCTGGAGATTAGCTGCACAACAACAGGAATACACTTAACACTACCGACTTAGAAATGGCTAAGAGGTAGCCAGGCAGGGTGGCAGCCTCCAGAGGCTGAGGCAAGTGAACCTGGGAGGCGGAGGTTGCACCACTGCACTCCAGCCTGGGTGACAGAGTGAGACGCTGTCTCAAAAAAGGACAGGACAAGACAGGACAGGAAAGGAAAAGAAAAGGCTAAGATGGTACATTTTATGTCGTGTGTTTTTTAACCACAATTACAATTTTGAAAAAAAATGGCTAAAATGTTTGCATATGTACAGAGCTAACAATTTTGGTCCTTGACTTTTCTTGATCTATGAAAAGTCAGAGAAACATCTGCTCTTTAACTTAAAACTTTCAACTACCTGGATAGCTGGGTAACTAGAAGGGTTGAACTTCCTCAAGGAAAGTTACTCTATACAAGGACGGGCAGCAGTGACTACCCTGTTAAATATTATAAGGTAAAAAAATCAAGACTACTTTGTGATTAGTAAAATCAATATGAAATTCAAATATCAGTGTCCATAGTAAGGTTTTAAAGAACACAGTCATCCCACTTGTTAGCATATTGTCTATGGCTGCACTTTACCACACAAACACAAGCACCTGTCGTAGTTGTGACAACTCTTTTAAAACAGTTTAGGCCAGGTGTGGTGGCTCACACTTGTAATCCCAGCACTTTGGGAAGCCAAGACTGGTGGATTGCTTGAGCTCAGGAATTCAAAAACAGTCTGAGTAACATGGTGAAACCCATCTCTACAAAAAATATAAAAATTAGCCAGGCAAGGTGAGAGGACTGCTTGAGGCTTGGAGGTCAAGGCTGCAATGAGCTGAGATCATGCCACTGTACTCCAGGCTGGGTGACAGAGTGAGACCCTGTTTCAAAAAAAAAAAAGTTTGCTGACTCATGCTCTATATCTTATCCCAAATAAGGAATTAGATGCAGAGCAGAAATAAAACGAAGTAAATTCAAAAAAGAATATCAACAAATTAAAATGTTGATTCAATGAAGTGATTTTTTAAAAAATAAAAAGCCATAGCCTTTTCTGTGGCTTTTTATTTTATTTCTACCCCCAAGCCATCTACATATACACCCAGGCACATGCACATATGCCTTGTTTAATATCTTTAGTATCCGGAATAAGCCTCAGTTTTAAGATAAACTTTCAGCCAGGCGCAGTGGCTCACGTCTGTAATCCTAACACTTTGGGAGGCTAACGTGGGCGGATTGCCTGAGCTCAGGAGTTCGCGACCAACCTGGGCAACATGGTGAAACCCCGTCTCTACTAAAATACAAAAAATTAGCCGGGTGTGGCAGCGTGTGCCTGTAGTCCCAGCTACTCGGGAGGCTGAGGCAGGAGAAATGCTTGAACCCAGGAGGTGAAGGTTGCAGTGAGCTGAGATCGCGCCACTGCACTACAGCCTGGGTGACAGAGTGAGACTCTGTCTCAAAAAAAAATAAAATAAAATAAAAAAGTAAAAAATAAAAAAAAAACTTTCATTAGTTATTAAGCTCTTTGAGCACTCTTAATAAACAGGATTTATACAACTATTCAGTTATACAGCTTTGTCTTCTCAAATAACTGGACTGAAAGTTATTTTTACTTCATACAAATTTAGAAAAGGCATCCTATAAAAGTTAAATTATACAATAAAATTATTGAGAACTAATGATAAAAAGTTTGCATCACTTTTATCACTTTCTTAAAAGCAAGCTCAAGGGGGTAGAGATAGGGGTTGTAATTTATCGTGTGAGCTTTCAAAGATAACTAAAATGTTTGCTTATATCAAGAAGTTTTAGACAGTGTTCTAACTGGCCATGTACACATTTGTTTTAGCCAGTTAACTTATTAACATAAAATTTAAGGAAGAAGAGAATTTGCTAAATACTAATATACTTACAACGACATATTTAATATATTTATTTTGGCTTTATAATAGCAAATAGAGAGTAGAGAACTACTATAAATTGGTCCTAGCACAGAGGCTCCCATACCAAGGTATACTTATCTAAAAAATACTGCAAACCTTCAAATTTCAGATGGCAGCATTTGGAGGACAGTACGAAATAACGTAATCCCTCTTAAAAATCCCAATCATTTTTTTCTCAAGCTAGAGAAGAAAATTAGTCCAAAGAAATTTAAGTAATCTTAACATAAAAACTATCACACTCCTTGTAGTTTGTAAATACTATAGTAAGCCTTGGCAGTAATGAGCAGGAGTAACAAGTCCAAGATGAGATTTAAGACTGTTTTAATTTTTAAAACAAGTCACAAATAGAAACAGTAATAAACACGTGGAAAACTGCTTAATCTCTTGGTAATCAAATATATGTAGTAAGTAAAATAACATGTAATACCACCCCTACTTAACAAGCCAAACACTTCCTAAAAATACTAAGAGCAGTAATGTTTCCATTAAACTGGTTCATATGTATGTTGCTAGTGGCACTCTAAAGTTACAACTCGTACAATACAGTAACATCCACAAAGACATTCATATTTTTTTACTAAATAATCAATAAATTGAAACAGTAACTACAATACATAAGATGAAATTTTCCAAAGGCATAAAGGGTGTTATACAGTATGAGCAACTCTAAAAGTCTGTTTCGAAAGCTAAAACTTTTTTATATTAAACTACTGCTCAAAGGGTTATAATTTAAAAGAAGCAAAGTGACTAAGACGTGTATCACATTTTTACTTACAGGACAAAGAATTGAGTACAGAGCTGAGAAAATACCCAGCATTAAAGGAATAGGATATATATATACACACACATATTATATATAATGTTATTTCACGAAGAGCTGTCTTTTAAAAATATATTGTAATGCTCTGACGATTTTATTTGAATCCAAACTTAACTTACATTGGTACTAGCCGGTTGCCAAAAAAACTTAAAATAACAGTAATCTGGCTGGGCATGGTGGCTCACGCCTGTAATCCCAGCACTTTGGGAGGCAGGGGCGGGCAGATCTCCAGAGGTCAGGGGTTTGAGACCAGCCTGGACGACAAGGCGAAACCCTGTCTTTACTAAAGATTCAAAAATTAGCTGGGCATGGTGGCACACGAGTCCCAGCTAACTCGGGAGGCTGAGGCAGGAGAATCGCTTGAATCTGGGAGGCAGAGGTTGCAGTGAACCGAGATCCCACCACTGCACTCCAGCCTGGGCAACAGAGTGAGACTCTGTCTCAAAAACAAACAAACAAACAACAACAACAACAACAAAAACCGGTTATCTTCAAGGCATCAAAGGCAAAAATAGTTCTGCTTCCAATTAAACCTACAATTCCAGATGGCTAACTGCTCCACAAGTTGGTCCTATTCAAACTCTGTATATAACCCAGTGGTCCCCAACCTTTTTGGCACCAGTGGCCAGTTTCATGGAAGACAATTTTTCCATGGACCAGGGGTGGGGTGGGGTGGGGTGGGGTGGAGTGGAGATGGTTTCAGATGAAACTGTTACACCTCAAATCATCAGGCATTAGTTAGATTCTCATAAGGAGCAAGCGACCTAGATCCCTCGCATGTGCAGTTCACAACAGGGTCCACGCTCCTCTGAGAATCTAATGCCACGGATGATCTCACAGGAGGTGGAGCTCAGGCGGGAATGCTCACTGGCCTGCTGCTCACCTCCCGCTGTGTGGCTCATTCCTCACAGGATAGCGACCAGTACAGGTATGCAGCCCTGGTGTTGTGGACCCGATATAACCAATTGATAATTTAAACAAAAGGAAGATAAAGAGAGTGAGAGAAGAAGAGCGTGGTTAAGAGGAGAAAAAGATTCAGATTCACCCAAAATTTCAAAGCCAATTAAAGAATTAAAAATAAAAGCAAACAAGGACTTTCTCCTTCCAGTAATGGTGATCAGGTCATCAAACCAATCTTCTGGCTGAAGAAACTTGAAAAGTTGAACTAAGTTTAAAAAACGAAAACTCTACTTCTAGAGATCAGGCAGTAAAGAAATGGGGCCAGAATTCACTAAGTTCCCAGAAGTGAGTCTGGTATACCAGGTTTCTTCTCCCCTACAGGCATCTGCTGATTTAAGTAGTGACTGTGAGGCTGGAAAGCTAAGCAAAACATCTGAAAGCCTCACTGGGTTAGCCAGACAAAAATGAGACCCTGAGCCTCCCCCAAACTCTGGGTTGGGATCTCAACCTCAGAGCAAAAGAATTACAATTAAAGCCCAGATTCAAATAATCTCAATCCTTAAAAGTGAATTAAGAAAAGCAGATTTATAGGGCCCCTATGTTTCTGTCAAAATTAAATGTAAATTTTATGTCATGGAAGACTACCATTATTCTAGGCCTCAAATTATTTCTACAGTTTTTCACATCAAATGTCTCATACACAATAAAAATTAACCAGAAATCCAAGAAAATAACGCAAATAAAATGCAAATGAAACATGGAACAAGACCCAAAGGTATCTAGATAATTAAGTTATCAGACACAGACTCTCGAATAAGTATGCTGAGTAGTTAACACTGAGAACTTTAGCAGAAAACCTGAAACTAAAGAGAATAAAATTGAAATTCTAGAACCAAAAAGTAAAATAAACTAAATTAAAGAACTCAGTGTATGAGTCTGATGGCATATTAGACACAGCCTAAGAGAATTAATGAAATGGAAGATTGGTCAGAAAAATATATCTTTAAAAATGCACACAGGAATAAAAAGATAAAACATACAAAAAAGGATGTAAGAAACATAGGGCAAATTTAAGAATGTTTAATACATGTATAACTGGAGTACCAGGAGGAAAGAAGATGACAAGACAGAAGCACTATCCGAAGTGATATAGTCTGAGAATTTTCCAAAACTGACGAACGAGCTCATCAGTCCTGTGCAACAGAACTTTCTATTCTATTGATAGAATGATGGAAATGTTCTCCATCTGCCAATAGAGTAACTAATAGAAACATTTGTCTACTGAGAACTTAAAATGTGAGGAATTGAATTTTTAACTTTTTAAATGTTAATTGGTATCAACAGTTACATGCAGCTAGTGGCTGGCACTGGGCAGTGCAGTCCTACGTCACAGTTATAAGAAGTCCTATAAACACCAAGCTGAACAAATAAAAGATCACACCTAGACATATCACAGTAAAACTGCTGAAAACCAAATATAAACACCCCCACTCCAACAAAAACAAAAAGTGACCAGAGATCTACAAGCTAGATTACAGTCAAAGGAGCAACAGTAAGACTGATAGTTGACTTCTCAACAGAAACTCTGGAAACCAGGTCTCAAGGGCACTGTGCATAGCTGCAACATGACAAATGAAAAAAACTGCCAACCAAGATTTCTGTATCCAGCTCCCTCCCCCCAAAAAAATCCCTTCAAGAATAAAAATGAAAAAAAAGCATTATCAGATAAGCAAAAAAGAATTCCTCAACAGATAGGCCCAAATAGAGAAAAAAAAGAGTATTTTCAGAGAGAAAATCAACCCAGCTAGAAGCCTGGAAATGCACTAAAGATTGAAGAAAAAAACTGAGTATATAAACAAATTTAAATGTATAATTACTGAATAAAACACTAATGGTAATATCTTGTGGGGAGTTAAAATATCAGAGAACTAAACTATCTGGCAATAGTATGTAATTCTGGAGAGGGAAATGTACAGTTAATGTTTTCTAATGTTGCTGCACTGACCAGAAAGAGAAAAAAGTGCTAACTTATATCACACTTTAACACAGAAAGGAGGCATATTGTAATCTCTAGGATAAATATTAAAAACAAATTTAAAAAAAGATGGTCTAACTATTAAGCCAAGTTGGGGGGTGGGGGGTATTTGGAACAAAAAATAATAATAATCCCAAAAGCAGCAGAAAAGGAGAATAAGAGAAAGTTCAAACAGGATAAACAGAAATCATTTATTAGGAATATCAATTTAAACATATCAGCAAGTATATTAAATGTAAATGTACTACATGTTCCAATTAAAGAACAAACATGGTCAAACTAGTTTATTTAAACTAGTATATGCAACTTAAAAGATATGGCTAAAACGCGAAAGCTGAAAGAATGGAAAAAGCTGTAGCATGCAAACACCAAATGAAAGTTAGTGTATCTGCCTTAACACTAGATTAAAAACACTACAAGGTAAAATGCAATACTGAGATAAAGAGGGACACGTCACAATAATAAAAAGTTTGATTCACCAGGTAGATTTAAAAAAACCTTGACTTGTCAGCACTTTAACATAATCAAAATATATAAAACAAAAACTGACAAATTAAACAGAGAGACAAATGTTATAATCATTTGGGGATATTTTAACAAACCTTTGTCTGAATAGGAGCAAACAAATGCAAAAGCAGTAAAAATCTGAAACAGAAACAAACTTGATAGAACATATTACACCACATCTAACAACTGTAGTCTATAAATATTTTGTTGTTGTACACAAGGAATGTTTACCCAAAAAGACCATATGTTGAACCATAAAGCAAGTCTCAAATTTCCAAGAACTTAAGTCTTAGGGATTTAAATCTTACTAGAATGGAGTCAAATCAGAAATCAGGGCTGAGCATGGTGGCTCACACCTGTAATCCCAGCTACTCCGGAGGGATTCGCTTGAACCCAGAATCACTTGAACTCAGAGACAGAAGTTGCATTGAGCCAAGATCATGCCACTACTCCAGCCTGCGCGACAAATCGAGACTCCGTCTCTCAATAAATGAATGACTGAATGAAGGAATGAATGAATGAATGCACGAATGGACAAAGGGGTCAGTAGTGACAAACTTTACTGAAAGTAAGGAAATGATATCAAATGGTAAATGAATAGACAAGTAAGGTTAGTACAAAAACTATAAAATGTATTTTCCTTATCTCAGTTTCATCAAAAGATACATTTGGGAGGCCAAGGTGGGAGGATCACTTGAGGTCAGGAATTCAAGACCAGCCCAGTCAACACAGTGAAACCCCATCTCTACTAAAATACAAAAAGTTAGCTGGGTGTGGTGGCACATGCCTGTAATCCCCACCTACTCGGGAGGCTGAGGCATGAGAATTGTTTGAACCCAGGAGGCAGAGGTTGCAGTGAGCCAAGATCACACCACTGCACTCCAGACTGGGCAGAAGAGTGGGACTCTATCTCCAAAAAAAAAAAAAAAAAAAAAAAAAAAAAAAAAAAAAAAAAAAAAAAAAAAAAGGTGGGGGAGGTGGAATAGTAGAGCTATACAGGACTAAAGTTTCTATATATTGCAAGAATTAATGTAGCTATGAAGTAGACTCTGATAAGCTAAGATATATAAATGTAAACCCTACAGTAATCACTAGTAATTCAAATATAGTTTTAAAATGATTAAAGAAATTAAAATGTTACACTGGGAAATACTCATGTAATGCAAAAGACAGCAGTAGAGGAGGGAAAGAGGACAAAAGAGAAATGAGACCTATAGAAAACAAAACAAAGTGGCAGACAAATTTAACCCTATCAGTAACACTAAATGTGAATGGATTAAATAATACACTCAAGAGGCAGAAATTACCAGATTGGGTTTTAAAAGAATAAGATCCAATTAAACGCTGTCTACTTAAGACATATTTTAGATTCAAAAATACAAACGGGACAGGATAAGAGTAAATGGATGGGAAAAAACATACCATGCAAAAGAGCTGGCATGAATATACTAGTATCAGACAAACTTTTAAAAACTGGTGTTTTGAGAGGTCAAGAGAAACATTTTAAAACAATTAAGGGTCAATTTATTAGGAAGATATAAGAATTCTAATCACTTGCACTTTATGACAGAGCCCCAAATTACATGAAGCAAAACTGACAGAATTAAAGGGAGAAATAGACAAGCCAAGAACAATAGTTGGAAGAATTAAATGGCCCACTTTCAATAATGAATAGAACTAGGCAGAAGATCAATAAGGAAACAGAAAACAAACACTATAATCAACTAGATGGAAAAGACAGCTAGAGAACGTTCTGCCCAACAACACAATACACATTTTTCTAAAAAAGCACACATGGAACATTCTCCAGGATAGATGATCTATGCTAGACCATAAAACCAGCATCAACAAACTGAAAAGGATAAAAAGGATACAAAGTACGTTCTCTGATCACAATAGAATTAAATTAGAACTCAGTAACAGAAAAAAAATCGAGAAATTCACAAATATGCAGAAATTAACATATTCCTAAATAAATAATGGGTCAAATGAAATAAAAAGAAAAATTAGAAAATACTTGAGATGAATAAAAACAAAAAGGCAACATATCAAAACTTATGGAATGAACTAAATCAGTGCTTAGAGGGAAATTTACAGCTATAATGCCTATATTAAAAACAGAAAATATGGGAAAACATTTTTATGAACTTGAGATAAGAAAAGGCTTCTTAAATACCATAAAGAGAAGACAAAAGCAGGCCACAGAATAGGGGGAAAAAGTTTTAATAAAAAATAAGACTTCTCATCCAAAATACAAAAAGAATGCCTTCAAGTATGGTTTTTAAAAGACAAACACAACAGACAAATGAACAAAAGATTTGAACAAGCACTTCACAAAGGATAACGAAAAGGCCAATAAACTTTATGAAAAAGTGGTAAACATCCTTAGTCATCAGGGAAATGAAAAATTAAAACCACACAGATACCATCTTACAGCCAGGCACGGTGGCTCACACCTATAATCCCAGCACTTTAGGAAGCCAAGATGGGCAGATCACTTGAGGCCAGGAGTTCGAGACCAGCCTGGCCAACATGGTGAAACCCGTCTCTAACAAAAACACAAAAATTAGCCAGGCGTGGAGATGCACGCATGTAGTCCTAGCTACTGGAAAGGCTGAGGCAGGAGAATCGTTTGAATCCAAGAGGCAGAGGTTGCAGTGAGCCGAGATCGCACCACTGCGACAGAGCAAGACACAGACTACAAACAAACAAAAAAAGGCCGGGCACAGTGGTTCACACCTGTAATCCCAGCACTTTGGGAGGCCAAGGCGGGTGGATCACGAGGTCAGGAGTTCGAGGCCAGCCTGGTCAACATGGTGAAACCCTGTCTCTACTAAAAATACAAAAATTAGCTGGGCATGGTGGCGGGCACCTGTAATCCCGGCTACTCGGGAGGCTGAGGCAGGAGAATCATTTGAACCCGGGAAGCGGAGGCTGCAGTGAGCCGAGATTGTGCCATAGCACTCCAGACTGGGCAACAGGGTGAGACTCTGTCTCAAAAAAAAAAAAACAAAAAACAAATATAATGTATGAAGAGACAGGTATAAACATGTTCATAATACCATTATTAATATTTTGTCAAGTGGAAACAATCCAAATGTCAATCAACAAAGTATAAAATGTAGTACATTCACACAAAGTAATATTATAGTGCAATTAAAATTACAGTTTCAGAAAATAATGTGGATGAATCTTACAAATAATATGTGGGGCAAAAATATCTAGATACAAAATATATAATGCGTGGATCCATTTATATCAAACTCAAAAACAGGCATAACTAAATCAGAATAATGGTTACTTTGGGGAGCATGGAGAAGGTAGTGACTGATGGGGAAGGAGAGTGTTTGAAGTGCTGGCAATATTCTATTTCTTGTCTCAGTGGTCGTTACACAGGTCAGAGTTTATAATAACTTACTGAGCACTACTTTGTGTGCCTTTTCAGTATGTGTTATGCTTCAATATGAAAGATAAAATATATAAAATTTAGAAATAAAATCAGTTGAATCACACTAAAATTAGAGTACTTGAACTTCAGAAAGCAGTAACTTTTAAAGACTTATACTCATTAAAGTATCATAAAGAGCCAGTCATACTGAAGTGTGCCTGAAGTCCTAGCTATTTAGGAGGCAGAGGTGGGAAGATCACTTGAGCCCAGGAGTTCCAGGCTGCAGTGAGCTATGATTGCGCCACTATACTCCAGCCGGGACAACAGAGTGAGACTCTGTAAGAATGTGATTCTTTTGTAGTTCTTAAGTGTGATGACTGGGTGCTCACACACAAGAGGTGCCTCTCTCAAACCTTGTTATGACATCAGCATATGACCCATCTGATAAGAAAATAAATAAAATATAAAGAACAACTGGTATTGAATTCAATAAAAGCATAAAACTTTATACAATGGAAAATATTCAAATATATAAAAGAAAAAATATGACGGTGGAAATAGTTTCATCAAATGTAACAAGAATTAACATCACTACCATATATTCTCATGTCTAAGATACAGACGTCAAGAAAAATTGGCTTTGGGCTCTTGATAAAAATATTAAGTTCAATCTCACTACCAATCAAGACATATCAACTGAAACAAGATACCATTTTAACAGCAGTTAAACTGGAGGAAAACTGTGTAACTCCCTTCTGTAGGGAGTACTTTGTTCACAACCTCTGTGGCAGAAATACAATTTCCTTCCTTCCCACTTCTCCTTTTTAGAAAACTTTATTTCACAGCACTGGAAACAGTTGCTCAATGATCCACAAGAGAACAATGCTACTGTGATTCCTGAATTTCCGGTTTCTACCTCAGTAGGCCTCCTTAAGGCCTAACTGGGGTCTAAGGGATACCCAGCTCTATAACCTTCTACTACTAATAAATCTGTTTTGCTTAAGTTAATTTCTAGCAACCAAATGACCAATGAATATAACACCTTGATATAGCTTATCTCAGAAGCTGAAAACTGGCAATTCGGGTTGTTTTATCTAACCCACAAGGTGTTCTTCAAAAGTATAAATTAAATGTTAGAAATTATCCTTCCTCACTAGACTGTGACCAAGCTCCTAGAAAGCAAGGACTAACTTCATCATATTTATCTTTGTTTCCTCATTACTAGGCTTCAGGTCCAAAAATACTTGCTGAATGAACAAACTATGCCAATAAGTTTTCTATAAAACTCTATAGCTCTGACAACTGATTCATCTCAGAGAACAATAGACTAAAATCCCAGTTATTCCACTAAGAAAACAACAGTGACAACAGAGATTAAACGACATAAAAATACTCGCCCCCTTTGCCCAGTAAGCCAAATCTTTGAAATGTAAAAAACAAAAAGTAATTCACAGTTGTGATCATAGCACAGTACAGCCTTTCAACTTCTGGGCTCAAATGATCCTCCTGCCTCAGCCTCCCAAGTAGCTGGGACTACAGGCATGCTCCACTGCACCTGGCTTATGTTTTAACTATCACTATTATGTGTGGATATAATGATACTTTAGAATTTAAATGTTTTCCTCTCTGTTTATGTGGCAAAGAATAGGGACCAAATACTATCTGAATAAATGTTCCTTATAGCCACAGCATGCTTGACTTAGATGGTCTGTTTCTCCAGCCTGTTGAAGAACTGTAGCTCACAGATGTAGATTTCAAATGATATCCTAAATTGCTGCTTTCATCATCTTAGTGCCTGTAATTTTCTGTGGCTTTAGAATTGATCACATGTATGAGACGCAGTTATACCATTTAAGCATCAAGCACTAGATTTGGATTAGCAGTGTTTATACTTTGTATTGGTATGCAGTCATTCCTTTTTTTTTTTTGAGACAGAGTCTCACTCTGTCTCCCAGGCTGGAGTGCAATGGTGCAATCTCGGCTCACTGCAACATCCGCCTCCCAGGTTCAAGCGATTCTCCTGCCTCAGCCTCCCGAGTAGCTGGGATTTCAGGCGTGTGCCACCACGCCCGGCTAATTTTTTGTATTTTTACTTGAGATGGGGTTTCACCGTGTTAGCCTGGATGGTCTTGATCTCCTGACCTCATGATCCGCCCACCTCGGCCTCCCCAAGTGCTGCTATTACAGGCATGAGCCACCACACCCAGCAGCAGCTGCATACTGTAAAGCACTATATTGCAAATTTTGAAAGGGGCCTATATTGTGTTTTTTTGTGTGTTCTTATTAGTACCAAGGAGAAAGAGTGCTTTATGTGCACTAGGTGCCTAATAATGTGTGTATTACTATTAGTGGGAACATAGGCAGTGTGGTATAGGGATTAGAAGTGTGGACTTGGGTTGACATCCTTTTTTCAATCACTTCTCATCTGCGTGACTTTGGGCATGCTGTTTGTCATTGTTGCTCTTGGTGGTGTATTTTTTCTTTTGAGAGAAAGGCGAGACAAAAAACAAGCTAATATTATGGAGTCATTGCAAAGTAACTTTTAGGCAATGTTCCGTCATTTGTACATGTTTCCATATTGCACAGTTTTCCTACTTATTTTTTAAGTGAATGTATACAAGGCTGGGCACAGTGGCTCACACCTGGAATCCCAGCACTTTAGGAGGCCCAGAAGGGCAGATCACCTGAGGTCAGGCGTTCGAGACCAGCCTGGCCAACATGGTGACACCCCCTCTCTACCAAAAATACAAAAATTAGCTGGGCGTGGTGATGCATAGTAGTCCCAGCTACTCAGGAGGCTGAGATGTGAGAATCATTTGAACCCTGGAGGCAGAGGATGCAGTGAGCCGAGATCGTGCCACTACACTCCAGCCTGGGTAAGAGGGTGAGACTCTGTCTTAAAAAAAAAAAATATATATATATATATATATATGTGTGTGTGTGTGTGCGTGTGCGTGTGTGTGTATGTGCGATATATATATATATCACGTTGCTTTAGTTGATTTTGTTGATATGTATACCAAAACTTAATCTAGTTGTTGGTCTCATTTCTTGTCACTATATAATACTGTGGTAAATATTATGCAAATAGTCATTTTTCATCCTTTGAATTACTTTTCTTTTTTTTTTTTTTTTTTTTTTTTAACATTTCTAAGATTTTCCTTACTGGGAGTAAATAAATTGTATTTCTCTCTAGCCTGGACAACAGAGCAAGACCCTGTCTCTAAAAAAAAGGGTAGGGGCGGGCAGGGAGAAGCAGCAGCAGAAGAAGAAGAAAAGAAATTAAATAATCCATAGTGACTTGTTAAAGTGCCATGTATTTCTCATTCAATTTCACAACCTTGTGAAACCTTGTAGTTACTATTACTATCCCACCCTATCAAAAACAAAATCTACAGATAAGGCATTGAGAGGTTAAGTAACTTAGTATAATTAAGTGGCAAAACCCTTGAAACTATTATGTTATATTAACTTGTTATGTAATAATGTACTTTATACATGCTACCAACATCCAAAAGTATAATGCTGTCAACTAGGTCAGAGAAGTAGGAGACACTGGGAAGAAAAAGAAAGGAGGGGGAAGAGCTTGCAAAGGGGTGCCATTTATTAGCCTTTTGGTTTTGTTTTTTAAAACTATACAATAGACTGGGCACAATGGCTCAAGCCTGTAATCCCAACACTTTGGGAGGCAGAGGCAGGAGGACTGGTTGAGCCCAGGGGTTCAAGACCAGCCTGGGCAACATAGGGAGACCATGTCTCCACAAAAAGTTAAAAAATCAGCAGGATATGGTGGCGTGCACCTGTAGTCCCAGCTACTTGGGAGGCTGAGATGAAGAAGTATGCTTGAGCCCAGGAGTTGGAGGCTGCAGTGAGCCGTGATCATGTCACTGTGCTCCAGCCTGGGTGACAAAGTGAGACCTTGTCTCAAGAAAAAGGAAAAAGAAAAAGAAAGAAAGAAAGAACAAACGAACGAACGAAAGACTGTATAATAAAAATTTTTAAATGAAAATAAAAAATAGCCAGATAAAATATAATGAAACATTTGATAAACTGCATTAGATATTTGCTCAGTGTCAAGTCTGCAACCCTGTGATTAAGTGCAAGGCATGTGTTAATATTTAAGCCCAGTACAGTATTTCTAAGATGAGTTGAACCCTACCTGGTTCAAAAGTACATGCTCACCTCATGCCTGCTGTTGGTATATGAGCTAAGTACACGTATCCTTCAAAAAAATAATCTGGCAACATTTACCGAAAGCCCTAAAATTGTTTTATACTCTGCTCTCGTAATTCCATGACTGAAAATCTAGTATTTAAAAAAAAGGAGGCTTTTACTCAGTTACTGTATCATTATCTATGACAGTTATAAAGTTAAAATTAAAAAGACATAACCTAAATGATTCGCTATAGTTGTTTTTTGCTCATTATCATCCCTTCCTCAGGAAAACTACACCTCATCCAATTCATGTCATCTCAAGGGGACTGTCAATCCTGGCTTTCTGTGGGTTCCCCAACTCACCCTAACCACAGCCACCACAGTGGCTACCCTTGCTGTAGCTCATCTCCCAGGTTCCAATGATTGGTTAAGGAACTGACAATCAGAATTGATTACCAACAACACAACTGACATGTGGACATCAGGAAAGAGAAGCTGTCTTTCAAGTGTGGTTGCTAAGCTAAAGGTATATGTCTGGGGCTCCAGAAGCAAGAGGCTAGAAAAACCCAGAAAGGAGACAAAGAAACCCAATGACATTACTTGCAACCTTGGATCTAGCTGTTTCCAAAGCCATTCCATCACCCTCCACATACAATACCCAGTATGTGAACCAATACACTCATTTTTTAACTTAACAAAGTCGTGTTGTTATTACGTGTAACCAAAGGATTCATGACTAACATCCTACCTAAAGAAGAGTAGTTAACCAATTATAGTGCATCCATTCAAGGAAATAACATTGACAGAATAGTGTAACTGTTAAGAGCATGTACTCAGCCCAGTCTGAATCCTGGCTCTGCTAAATATTCTCTATGTGTGCCTGGGTACATTCCTTTTTTTTTTTTAGACAAGGCCTCACTCTGTTGCCCTGGCTGGAGTGTAGTGGCGTAATCACGGCTCACTGCAGCCTCAACCTCCTGGGCTCAGGCGATCCACCTCAGCCTCCCAACTAGCTGCAACTACAGGCGTGCACCACAATGCCCGGCTAATTTTTGTATATTTTTGTAGAGACAGGGTTTCACCATGTTGTCCAGGCTGGTCTCGAACTCCTGCGCTCAAGCCATCTGCCCACCTCAGCCTCCCTAAATGCCGGGATTACAGGCATGAGCCACTGTGCCTGGCCCTTGGATACATTACTTAACTTCTCTATGCCTCAATTTCCTCATCTATAAAGTCGGGATAATAACAGGACTTCATGTGATTGTTAGGAGAAGCAAATGAATTACTATTTACAAATGCCGGGAATAGTGTCCAGCATTAATAAATATGTGTATCTTTTTTTTTTTTTTTTTTTTTTGAGACGGAGTCTTGCTCTGTCGCCCAGGCTGGAGTGCAGTGGCGCCATCTCAGCTCACTGCAAGCTCTGCCTCCCAGGTTCACACCATTCTCCCGCCTCAGCCTCCCGAGTAGCTGGGACTACAGGCGCCCACCACCACGCCCAGCTAATTTTTTTGTATTTTTAGTAGAGACAGGGTTTCACCGTGTTAGCCAGGATGGTCTCGATCTCCTGACCTCGTGATCCGCCCGCCTCAGCCTCCCAAAGTGCTGGGATTACAGGCGTGAGCCACCGCGCCCAGCCATGTGTATCTTTAAGTAAATGAAATAAGTATCTTTAAGTAAATGAAATAAGTAACAGAGTAGTATACAAAGTTGAACTAAACTACATATTTACACAGATGTTTAAAAGAAATCGGCAAGGAAAAGGGAAATTTTATATTTTTTATGAGGCAAATATACAGTATCAAAAAAGGAAAAAAGTAAAACATGTCTCTGGTCTTAGGAGACAGGATGAGTATGATTAGCCTCACACAAACCCCTCTGACCTTCACCAGAGGAACTACATTCATCCTCAGATAGGAAGCACTTACCTAAGTGTCCAGTGGGGAATCATGAAGTCACACAACTTATCATATTAACAGCAAGAATTTAAACCTAGTAGTTTATTTACTCCAGCTAATTAGTTTTCAAGGAAAAGCACAAATTTATGAGTATAACCAATTCTTAACAATCCACATAGATGAAGAGGAAAAAATATTTTAAGTCATCCCCCCAAAATACTTATATTTGGCTAATGAATCTATGTAGAATATAATCACTTTTATTTAAATACAGGTTAAATTGCCTTCTTGAAATTCATTAAATTTCAGACCTAATGATGAAGCCACATTGGAAAAATTTAATTCAAGTTTGACAACCTACCACCTGGATCTGCTCTGCTCTGCATATCTTTCCACTCCATGACTGATAAATTCCTATCAATCCATTCAAATCCTGCCTCTCAATTAGGTTTGCTATATAATACATGCTACCAAAGGTTTTGTTATTGTTGTTGTTGTTGTTGTTGTTAGCAATAAAAGAATTAAAACTAAGTATTTTTTTAAAATACTTTTTTACAGATTAGCTAGACTGCACATCCTCTTCCCCTTGCCCATACTGAATACTATTAACAGAGTCAAAGATCTGCCACTAAAGCATTATAATTTAGTTTAAAGCCTTGTCCATCAGGTTATAAAGCCTCCACAATAAATAGACTGCTCCGATACTGACAGTGGGAAGTTTTTTGTTCAAATTCTAGTATTTACTTGTTATGGCTCCAGTGGGTTTATGAGGCCAAAATATCAAGATAAATGGAATTACAAATTAGATTATCTAACATGGAAATAAAATTTTTCATTGATGTATCTCTAACATTTTCCATGAATGGACAAAACTTATCTTAAAAAAATGAAGTGTAGGATTTGCACAGCTGGTACAGCTTTCTAAATTGGGTTGTTTGGTTGGGGTTTTTGTATTTTTTTAAATCTTATCTTCACACGTGTATAAAAACTCATGCAAAAAAAAGTTAACAAAAGTTTAGAAGTAAAATGAATAAGCCTGGAAGTCTGATTAGTAAGTTAAAATCTGCTTAGGAAAAACTACTAAAATACTAAAAACCAAATTTTCATATTTTAGGCAATATATCCTAGTGATTAAAATACACCAACTTGGTTCAAATCCCCATCATGTACTACTCTAGGTCACACTGGTAAGTCACTTTACTTCTCTGTGCTTCAGTTTTCTCATCTGAAGATGGGAATAACAACTGTATGTAACTCAGAGTTATGAGATATAAGAATTAACATGTGCGAACACAATAAACTTTAGCTATTACTGTTACTGTTATCCATATCACCCTCTAAAATATAGTTCACTTAAGAATTACTAAAATAAGCATCTTCCTGGGTCTGAAATATGTGCATACCATGATATATAGAGAGATGATGTATGTGAAACAGTCCTTTGACAAAACTTTTAGTTGAGTGCCAACTCTGTAGAGGATGTCCTCCTGTGCACTGAAAATACGAAAATGAACAAAATATAGTCTCTGAATTCAAGACCTTTCTGTCTAGTAGACAATATAAATAAAACTATAATAAAAGTAGCATGATGCAGATGCTATGGAAACAGACAATCCTGTGAGACACTAAACAACACAGGCACTTAACTAGGGGCAGACACAGGGGTCCCAGATAAAATAAACTCCAGCAATATTTTCTGAGGAACAATCACCTACTTACTTCACTTCCGGGTATCACACTGTTATTTACGCAATTTATATTATTAATATATTAATAAGTGTTTTACAAAAAACAAGACTACCTATCACACTACTTACCATGCTCATAAACTTAAATACCCTTTGGTATTAATGAAGATGTTTTCTTTTTTCTTTTTTGAGACAGGGTGTCACTGTGTTGCCCAGGCTGGAGTGCAGTGGCATGATCATAGCTCACTGCATCAACTGCAGTCTTGAACTGCTGGGATCAAGGTGGGATCCTCCCACCTCAGCCTCCCCAGTAGCTAGGACTACCGACATATGCCACCATACCCAGCTAACTTTTTTTTTTTTTTGAGACAGGATCAGGCTAGTCTCAAACTCCTGGACTCAAGCAATCCTCTTGCCTTGGTCTCCCAAAGCTGGGATTACAGGCCTGAGACATAGCACCTCGCCTGATGATATTCTCTTAAAAAAACAAAATATAACCTTGCAAAGGTTATACTGCCTCTTCAAGAAACATTTCTTTCACCAATAAATAAAAGCTACAAACTTTCCCCTAATAAATTATATTACGACTAATGTCACAGGAATGACAATATTTTTGAGCTGGAAGAGACCTTTGAGAGCCTCTAATCCAATGCTCTCATTTTACAGATGAAAAGAGGCTGTAAAGTATAATGGAAAAAAAAAACCAACCTGAGAGTCAGAAAACTGAATTTTGGGCCCAACTGTCTTACAGTGAAAGCCTGTGCAAATTATCTGCTTCCTCATCTGTAAAATGAGAGGTTTGTACTAGATTGCTTCCAAGATCCGGTTCAGCTCTGTAATTCTTAGTTTATGGAACTGAAGCAGAGATAAGCAACTTGCCCAAGGTCACACAGCTAGTTAATAGCAAAGTAAAGACTATCCTCAGATCCCAACTACAATCACTTTCTCCCCTATACCATACTGCTTCTACTACTTCATAACAATATTCCTGTAATTTATTTTAAGATTCTTGAAAATTATTAACAAGCATGAAGGAGTTTATGAAACTACATGACTGATTTCTACAGCTCTTCTATAGGAAATGAGCTTTAAATCCAAATGCAACAAGTACATGAGGTCTCAAGCTGGGTATTATTACTTACTACACTTATTAATATTAAATTGACCCCAAGAAAGTTATGAGAATTTATGCTTAAATTCCCACCACCTAAAAATCCAACTCACAGAAGAGATTATGTGCCATGCAAAATTAAAATATGAATTGTTATAAGTAATGATACATATTATAGGTATAATTCTAGGAATAAGATGAGAATTTAAATTCTTCATTTTATGTTCTAGTTATACTTAATATGCATTTTAAATTCAAAAGAGATCAATTTAAACACTTTTCTTTCTTCTTCCCTCTTTTCAGACTCTCTAGCTTTAAAAACATTAGAATAACTTAAGCATATTACTTCTGAAATCACGTAAACAATTACAAATAAAAGACTATATAAACTATGCTCATAATTTCTCTTACAAAATTGAAAATCAGCCCCCATAGTATTCTAAAATTCTGTGCTGAAATATATTACAACTCTACTAAACTGTATCATAAACAGCATTTGGTTCTCTAAAATGTCTTAAGCTTATTATATTTCACAGGGAATTTAGCAAGATTTCATGAAGACTGATCTTGCTGACACAAGAAAAGACAGAAAAATCCTCAGAGGAAAAGCACAATAAAAATGCAAAATAGTAATAAAGTCAACAACAACAGTAGTTTCATACTACTGACTTGCAAGAACATTCAAAAACGTTAATGAATATATATAAGTATAGTTTAACTATATTTAGGGATTTTTAAAAAATCACAGAATGTTTACATTTTTAAATTGGATGAAGCCTTAAGTCACTAATCCAATAGCACTCATCGTAAGAATCTACAGAATTTATCTCCACCTCCCCAAAAAATATGTCCCTGTAGTCCACTTTAAATTCTCAAAACTAACTACTTCTTTCCATTGTTGTTAGCTGTTGCGAGTTCCATTGTTGCTCCACTGTTCCACTGTTCCAAGTCTAGTTGTCATACAGTTCTTACATTCTGGTAAAAAATTAGACTGACCTCAATGTCTTCCTAATTTTCACCCGTTGGTCTGCCTTCTAAAGCAGGAGAATGGATCTATTCTCCCTCCTATTTATTAAAATTAACAGGTTTTTAAATCCTATTTACTGAAATCCAAGTTTCTTAAATACCTGGAGACAGCTATCACGTCTCCCAACCGTTAGTCTCTTCTTTAAATGTATCTTCCATAGACTTCCTGTAGGTCCTAGAGACATTTTTGGAATACAATATGCTTTCACATTGTCAGTAACTTAAAAAACAAAAAACAAAAAACTGCCACTTGTTGAATTTTGATGTAATACCAAAGAAGAATACTCACTCTTTCCTTTTCCAACCATATATCTACATGAAGCTGGATTCTCTTCACATATCTCAACCAAAACATCATAACAGACTGAAGGCAGACAAAAAATCCAGCTGTCTTCTCCAAGTAAGCCAGAAATCAAGGTGATTTGCAAAAATATAAAACAATGCCACTGGTCTAGTTTCTTTGGTTTTAGGACATATTTATTCTTCATAAAAAATTCTATTTACAACACAGTTTAAATTAATAAATATATTTGAAATTGTCATTTAATTTCTAAAAGAGCAAATATTAGTAGATATAATCTACATAAACCTAAATCTCTTGGGGTCCTCAATAATTGTTAAGAGAGTAAAGAGGCCCTGAGGCCAAAAGGCTAAAGCATAGTCTATTTCTCATAAGATTTTCAAACCTCCGTTCTGGTTTCTCTCTTTTATCTCTCTCCTCTAATATGTAAATGTGCCATTGTAAAGGAGACATCTGTCACATATCTATTCATGAGCTAGAATCCTTAAACACATAACCCTGTCCTCCTCCAGCTAGTGATTTCAAAAAATTAAAGGCCTACAGGGCCATCTGGTACACCTTCGTTTTTAACATCTCATTACTAAATCATCTGAAGTCAATTACTTTAATTCTTCTAAGGAATGCAGTCTTTAAATATGGAAACAGAGGAAGTTTACAGTTTAATCGAACTATCATGCCATCTTTTTTTTGAGAAAGTATCTCACTCTGTCACCCAGGCTGGAATGCAATGACGCTATCTAGGCTTACCGCAGCCTCCACCTCCCAGGCTCAAGCAATCCTCCCAACTCAGCCTCCTGAACCATGCCCAGCTAATTTTTCTATTTTTTGTAGAGACAGGGTTTCACCATGTTGTCCAGGCTGGTCTTGAACTCCTGAGCTCAAGCAATCCACCTGCCTAGGCCTCCCAAAGTGCTGGGATTACAGGCTTGAGCCACCACTCCTGGCCCATACAATCTTTTTGACCAAGCTTTCACTATTTACAAAAAAGTAAAGCAAATTATTTATAATTGGCAGGTTGGAGCAGGAAAGAAAATGCAAGTGTTCTATATAATCAATCATCTGATTCTCAGCAATAACCCATTCAAAAGTACCCATGTACTGATATGCAAAAAAACCCAACTACTTATCTAGCCAATATGACACTAGGTTCCTAGACTTCAACAAAGCAAAACTGGCCTTTACTTGAAAACCTTTTTAACTCGTCACTCCCTTAATCACAGGATTATAGAAGACAAAATGGGATGGAGATTATAGGTTTAAAAGATTCAACAGAAAATCTAGAGCTACATCGCTGAACTCCTCTAACAGAACCACAAGACTGACAAGCGAAAAGCTTTGGGACCCGAGGGAAAGAAATCTATACTATATTTATCACATAATTTCCTAAATTCTAATAGATTCCCAAATCTTATAGAGCTGTATTTTATTTGTGATAAAACTATGTGAATATGATAATGGTAATAAGGTAAAAAGAAACAAAACTACAACATACAGCATCAAAAATAATCAGATCATAATCTTAGGTTTGTGGTTTCAAATGTCAAAACTTCAAAATAAGTAACTTTTACAGATGCTTATGGCATATTTTTAAAAATAACCCATTTTCAAAGTTAAGTCTGCCTAAAAGGAGTTCATCACATAGAATATTTATGTAAGTTCACATACATGTGTATCTCTTTTAAGTTTCAATTATTCTATTACTATATGTTAAACTGACTCAATTTTTCAAGAAACAAAGTTAGTTTTCACCGTGATACATACAATACATTCAAGTTCCATTAATATTAACGGTTCTTACTAGCAGTAACTAGCAGTTAAAAAGCTTTCTAAAACTTCATCAATTTATATAATGTACTAACATGTATACCTGGAAAAGGTGCTAAACACTTAAAATAAAAACTGAGATTTCGCTCAATAGAAATCATCTCCATTTTGACACTCAGGGCTTCATATTCCTGTTAGCGTTAGTGAAATCTGAGAACACATCGCCAAGCTTCAAAATGAATATAACCCTAGAGAGGATTAATAGTTTCAACTTGCATGCTGGTTGGTCAAAAAGAAATATCCCCCTGTAGCTATACAGGTACTCGGTGTGAAGTGTAACTTTCACAAAAGCCTGTCCTATGATTTCATGAATTAACAGAAACTCACTACTTTAGGTTACATAAAAACCCACTGTAATCTAAACTGCCGGAAAAAATTATGGTTATTTGGAAGTTCAAGCTAAATGATTCCAACCCCTCCAAATTTTCAAACATCAGGAAAAGTGCAGAATGTTTTTAAGTTGAAGTAACCTCAGAAACTCACAATCTAGATGTTTTGTCTCCCAAATTCCCAATACTGATAACAGATATCAAGAGATAATTCAACACTATGTCCTCAGTATCCAGTTCACGGCCTGGCTCACAGTAATGGCTCAATAAATATTCGAGAAACGAATGAATGAATGAATGAATGAATGATGATATAGCCTTAAACAAGAAACAATAAAATGGTCTTTTTAAACTCATAACACTAACATTAAACATCTTAATGAAACTACAAACAAAAGTAAAAGCATGCTAAAAGCAAGCATCAACTTCTCTATGAAATACATTTTAAACCGTTCATTTAAAAATTTTCAAGTGCAAAAGAATCACCAGATATACTAAATTTCTAGTCATTTAATAAATAAACTTCTATATTCTAACAATGAAAGCTCAGCGTTGGGATAAGATGAAAGGGGGAAACGTCTGTCAATGTATTCCGCATGTTTAATGGATCCCATAAATCAAAGCTTTCCGTGAATTTTCTAGAGCATATTCATGCCAATCTTTAAGCCTATTGTCACTTTCACACATGCTCACAGGAACAAAATGACAAAGAATGCTATGCCTGAACCACTGGATTCAGGGCACAAAACACTTGATTAACACTTGTCAAGGCTCTGACTAGCAAATATCGACAGATATTTTCAAAATAAAGTACTCGCACCGATTCCTACATAAATCGAAGCTCTTGATTTCTTTAAAACATTCACTAGACGGTTGAACTTCCAGACATTTGAAAATGTGCCTATCTCCTCGTGTGCGACAACTAGGAGTGAACAGCCCGTCTACCAATTGCGGATGAATACCGCTAAGCTTTTTCCAGACTAAAGAGCGTTAAAAGACATTCCATGCACATTTATTCATTCCCCATAAATGTGTTTTCTCCCAAATTTCATTTTATGTTGTATACTTAGATACAGCAAGTTGAAATTTTAGTCAAAAGCACGCCGGTGCCTTACAAGCTGTGTAACTGCTACATCTGGTGGCAGCCCACTTGCTTGCAAGAAGCCAGAAAACTTAGAAAACAATTGTAACCGATTTGGTGCGTGTTTGCAATAACCTTTACGCAGATATTTCCCACAAAACCCACGACCCTGTCACAGAAGAACAGTAGCCTACTTGCAGCAGAGAATATAACGCACAAACACGCAGGAAGCAACGGCGAAGGAGAGAAAGTTGCAACCATCTGGAGGGGCGGTTTTAAAAGCCTGCCCACGAGTCAGTCTGTCGTTTAAATTGCTCTAGGGGGCCACACAGGGGATCAAAGTCTGCCCAGATAATTTCAGCGTCTCTCCCCAAAGGAGAAACCCAGCAAGCGAGGGGCATCCTCCAGGTCCCGGGCAGCAAAGCTCGCAAAGTGGGGACCGCCTCTATGGGAGGAGTGCGCGGGAGAAGGGGAGGGGGCTCGAGGACGAAGGCTCCAGCGGGAGGGAAAACCCACCAGAGACCGGAGGCCAGGAGGTTAAGAGTACTGAGTGTACTGGCAAATGGAGCAGAAAGGGGCTCGCGTCTGGGGGGAGGCTTCCCACCCTCGCAGGACTGGCTCCCAGGAACCCCAGGCGAGTCTATGCGCCTCGCCCCGTCCCCACCAGCGCGCACCCCCTCGTCCGTCTCCTCCGCCACCCGCGAACCACCATCCACAGCCAGGGCACTACCTCCCCAGAGCCGGGGAGCCGGGCGGCCTCGCGTCCACCTCGCCACCATCCCCCACCCCAGGGTCTGGCGGAGAAGCCCCGGGGCGGGGGGGGCGGGGGGGGGGCGCGGGGGTCCGCGGCGCGGGAGAGGAGGCCCGCGAGCGGGCGCGGGCGCGGCGGTGCTTACCTTCCCTGGGCCTCCCGGATGGCGGCGTGTGATTCAGCAGGGACCTGGCCGCCGCCGCCGAGCCCGGGGTTGGAGACGTGGAGAGCTGGGACCAAGATGGCGGCCCCTCCAAACTTCCACTGCTACTTTGGACACTCATCAAGCTACTTTCTGGGAACCCGACTCCCCCCCTGCGACGGCAGCGGCGGCAACGGCACCGGCACCCGCCTCCGTCATGGCGGGGGCCGCGCTGAGGGCGAGCGAGAGAGCGAGGGCTGGGAGGGGAGAGTCAAGGGGATGGGGGAGGAAACCGAGAAGAGGGGAGGTGGGGAGGAAAGAGGTGAGGGAAGGAGAGGGGACAGGGAGGAGGGAAAGGGGGAGAAGCGAGGGAGCGAGCGGGCGCGCCAGAGGAGAGGAGGAGGAAAGGAGCGCGGCGGCGGAGGCGTCGAGGGGGTGCCAGCCGGGCCGGGGTCGGAGCGCGGGCGGAGCGCGGGCTGCGCCGGCCGAGGACACTTCCGCGGGCGGAACCTGCCGGCACCTCTGCAGTGCGTCGGCCCCCGGCGTCGCCCGGGAGGCGGCGGCGGCGGGCTGTGGGTGGCGGCTGAGGCGGTGGGGTAACCTCTGCATCAGTTACAGGCGGCGGCGGCGTCACGCGCCGCCTGTGCAAACACTATCGCGAGGCTCCTGCGCCTCCGGTAGCGGCGGCGGCGGCGGCGGCGGCAGCGGCGGCCGCGGGAGCAGGCTTGGGGGAGGGACCTGCCAGGGGCTGGGGGGTGGGGGCATGGGGAAGGAGCGAGCGCGCGAGGGAAGAGACTAGAGCGCCGGGGCGCCCCTGCCGCACCCGCGGATCGCCGCGCGGCGCGGGAGCCCGGGGTTGCCGGACTCGCGTGCGCGGGGGCAGCGTCCCCGCGCCGGCCGGAGGGAGGCGCGCCCCCGCCGCGCCGCTCGGGCTCCAGCGCCGCTGCCACCTGACTCCCCCTGTCTCCCGCGGAAGCGCGCCTCTCTCCTGACCCACACCCAACACGGGGAGAAATGCTGCTGCTCTCGCTCAGCTGCCGCTTCTCGGGAGTTCAATGTGATCGTTTCTCAAAATGGAACTGAAAAGTTGAGAGTTCCTTCTTTCTTGCCCCTCTGTACTGTGCAGAAAAACGTATGTGCGCCTCCCCGTCTGCAGAATGGGAATAATGACCGAATAAAAGAGCTATGAAAATAAACATGGGTAGTGGGAGAGTTGGGAAATAAAACTTTCTCGTGTTTTCTAAAAAAGAGTGAAGAATCTTTAATGAGGAAATTGAAAATTACCAGTTTTGTAGACTGTATGGTATAGCAATTCTTTGTTTTAAAACAGTAAGTGGAAAATCTAAATGAAAAATGTGATTACTGAATCACATATTTAGGAAAACTATACAGCGTTCATCTTGCAGAAGGTATGGTTTCTAGAAACTTATAATTTGTTTCTAGTGTCTCCGCTGAGTCCCGACTACAAAAATCCCAAAATAAATAACAGCATTTGCTAAAATTTATAGATAGAGTGTAGCTTTCTACAGACCCACACAAGTATACTCACACCAGGGATTGGGCTTCTTGTACATAAAAGAGCACTCTAGTTCAGGAAAAGTACAACAAGGTTATTTCTCTCTTTAGAAAACCAAATTGAATAGAGCACTAAAAAGATTATGATATAGCGCTACTGCACAGACAAGAGGAAATGGCATGATTACCAGGGGGACAAAAATGTCGTTTCTATTTTTTATTTTTATGACTTCGCATTTCTCATAGTAATGTTTTGTTCAGATAAACTATCATACTAGAAAAGAACCTTGATTGTCAGTTATCTCCAGAAGTAATTGTAGTTGCCTTGTGCTTTAGATACTTCAGTGAGTTTTTAGTCTTGTCTGCTTTTCAAACTTAAGAGGGACATCTCACAAACAACTTTATTGAGGTATAATTGACAAAATAAACTGCACATATTTAAAGTGTACAATTATTGGCCAGGTGCGGTGGCTCACGCCTGTAACCCCAGCACTTTGGGAGGCCGAGGTGGGCGGATCACGAGGTCAGGAGTTTGAGACCAGCCTGGCCAACATGGTGAAACCCCATCTCTACTTAAAATACAAAAATTAGCCGGGTGTAGCGGCACGCGCCTGAAGTCCCAGCTACTCGGGAGGCTGAGGCAGGAGAATCGCTTGAACCCGGGAGGCAGAAGTTGCGGTAAGCCTAGATCGCAACGTTGCACTCCAGCCTGGGCGACAGAGCGAGACTCCTAGACTCTGTCTCAAAAAAATAAAAATAAAGTGTACAATTTGATAAGTTTTGATGTGTATACCTCCCTGAAACCACTTCTACAAGGAAGATGGTGAATGTATCTATCACCCTCCAAAGTTTCCTCTTTGTGGTTCCTCCTCCACACTACTTCCATTCTCTCCAACCACAGATCTTTCTGTCATATGGGTAGCTTTCCATTTCATAGAATTTTAGATAAATGCAGGCCATACAGTCAATTTGTACTCTTGTCTGGCTTTGGTTTTGTTTTTTGTTTTTTGTTTTTGAGACAGAGTCTTACTCTGTTTTGCCCAGGCTGGAGTGCCATCTCGGCTCACTGCAGCCTCCGCCTCCCGGGTTCAAATGATTCTCCTGCCTCAACCTCCTGAGTAGCTGGAATTACAGGCACGTGCCACTACATCCAGCTAACTTTGTATTTTTAGTAGAGATGGGGTTTCACCATGTTGGCCAGGCTGGTCTCAATCTCCTGACCTCAGGTGATCCGCCCACCTTGGCCTCCCAAAGTGCTGGGATTACAGGCCTGAGCCACCGTGCCAGGCCTTGTCTGGCTTCTTTCACTCGACATTATTTTTTTGAGAGATTCGTCCACATTGTTGCATTATCAATAGTTTGTTTTTATTTTTAAGTAGTATTACACTGAATGAGTGTACCACACTTGTTTATCCATTAAACTATTGATGGACATTTGCATTGTTTTCACTTTTTGGCTGTTACGAATAATGCTGCTAAGAACATTCATGTACAAGTCTTTCTGTGGACATAGGCTTTCCTTTCCCTTGGATACATACCCAGGATCTTGCCATTCGATTTTTATACCTAAATACATGCACTATAAGAGGAACAGAGTTTCTGTAATGACATGTTGATAAATGTATGCTCTTTCTGTATTTTTAAGAGTAAGCTTAGTCAGCAGATTGCGGTGAAAAGAACATGGGACAGGAAGGAAGTTAAGAGACCTGAGTATTAGTCTCAGCAGGTAACTTGATTCAATTTCCTCATCTACGAGAAAGAGGTTAGAGTCACTGAGTGATTTTTAAAGCTCCTACCAATTCTGAGACTGTACAGAGCTCAGTTCCTCTCAAAAATGGTAAACAAAGCCCAACCAAAAAGGTTTGATGATGGTAGGTTATCTTTCTCCCAACCTTCTCCAGAGCTTCAAGTTTTTAAGTTATCCTTATGCCAATTCATAGTACTTTTTTTTTTTTTAATTGTCACCCAGGCTGGAGTGCAGTGGTGCAATCTTGGCTCACTGCAACCTCTGCTTCCCAGATTCAAGGAAGTCTCATGCCTCAGCCTCCTGAGTAGCTGGGACTGCAGATGCCTATCACAATGCCCGGCTAATTTTTTGTATTTTAGTAGAGATGGGGTTTCACCATGTTGCCCAGGGTGGTCTCAAACTCCTGAGCTCAGGCAGTACACCTGCCTTGGCCTCTTAAAGTGCTAGGGTTACAGGCATGAGCCACCACGTCCACCCTAACTCATGTTATATTTAATGCAGATTGGCTATGTTTATTTTTAATGATAACTAGAGGATTACAGCATATACATGATCAACTTACTTTAGTTATATTTTTGTTGTGGATACTTCCTTAGAAGGACAATTAAATGTTTGATTCCTGTCTTCATGTGGTTTTTGATAAGACAGCACTCACCAACCTTTAAAAAAAAGGCTTTTACTGGCAATGGGGAGTTATTTAAACAAACTGCAGCTTAGCCTGAAAATGGAATGTCATGCCATTATTTAAAATCATGTCTTCAAAGAATACCAGAGAAGATAACATTTTCACACTATAGTAAGTGAAAAAATGGATATGATCTGGATTTATTCCTAAGTATGCATCAAAAACACTGGAAGTACTCAGGAGGCCAAGGTGGGAGGATCACTTGAACACAAGAGTTCAAGACTAGCCTGGGCGACATGATGAGACCCCATCTCTTAAAAAGAAAAAAAACTGGAAGGATGTGCCCCAAAAAGTTAATAATAACTAGCCTTGGGCTGTGAGATCACATAGTTATTATTTCTTTATGTATGCTTTTCCAAATTTTGTAAAACAAATCATGTATTTCTTTTTATATTCAGAAAAAGTTCAATAAATACGTTTTAAGTAATTGAAGTAATTGAAGCATAAAGAAGGCCTCTGGACATAAGTTGTGCAAATACATAATTTTATAAAATGATTATGTCAAATAAATGAAAACTTTTAAATGGCAAGGAGAAGCTCCTCCACACCTTGAAATTTGCTAGTATATGGGCATTCAAAAAATGTCCGATAAAAAAATAGATCAAGACTGGGCACGGTGCCTCACGCCTGTAATCCCAGCACTTTGGGAGGTTAAGGCAGGAGGATCACTTGAGCCTAGGAGTTCTAGACTAGCCTGGGCAACAGAGTGAGACCCCACCTCTATCTAAAAAAAAGAAAAAGATTAGATGGCTAGAGTGATAGATTACACAATAGGAAAAAATATAGAAAAGTCAGAAGAGTTCAGATTCAGACAGAAAGAGACACGTGCCACTCTGTAGGGAAGAAGAAATCTCAAGAGCAAGAAGAGATCATTGGAAGCTTTCTGGCAATCTTCCATGGAGGAATATTCCCAGAGGGAAAGCCAGCTTGAGAACACAGAAATGAACTGAGCAAGTAAAAGGTAGTAAACCTGCCTAGAAAGAATCAGGAAGAGACTAGAGAGAACGTTCTGAGTGCTCCATGAGGACAGGGCCTTAAGCCTCTAGTACAGACCAAGGGCTCTGTCAATGTTGTGGAATTAATGAATGATGACGATCAATGAGCTGGGTTTCAGGTGATAGGGCAATGCAGGAGAAGTCTTCAAGGGTCTCCTGATGGAAGGTCAGATGCAAAAGGTGAAGGTCTGAGCCCCGATCTATAGGATGATCATAATTTATAACTATGTTTAATAGACTATTTTCTATTTCTATACCATAGTAAAAATATTTACAAAGCATCCAATATTATAGACATACTAAAATGCATTTTATACTCTTAACTTCTAAATTCAAGGGAAAAAATTAATGTCTGAGCCACCTAAGCCCCTTTCCCCCAAACCAACAAGAAATTAGCCCAGAGGCTGGGGGCTGTGGCTCACGCCTGTAATCCCAGCATTTTGGGAGGCCGAGGCGGGTGGATCACAAGGTCAGGAGTTCGAGACCAGCCTGACCAACATGGTGAAGCCCCATCTCTACTAAAAATACAAAAATTAGCCAGGCATGGTGGCGCACACCTGTAATCCCAGCTACTCAGGAGGCTGAGGCAGGAGAATTGCTTGAACCCAGGAGGCGGAGGTTGCAGTGAGCCGAGATTGCACCACTGCACTCCAGCCTGGGCAACAGAGGGAGACCCCATCTCAAAAAAAAGAAATGAGTCCGGAGACTGGATGAGGTATACTTTCTGAGTACTCCCATACAGTGGGATACTGGAGCCTGTTCATAATGTCCTGGGAGAAGATTATGTACATGGCTTCCCAACTCCACATTCAGTAATGTTACATGTTACAATTGTAGCTTGAAGTCAGCCATGGTGAGAGTAGTTATAACTCCTAGGTCAGCAAAAGCTACAAGTTAGAGCTGCTTCTCCCCATCAGAGCCAATTATTAAGCATTCACCAGCACACCACTGCTCCCATCGTACATTTGTCATTGCTGTACTGTTCTCTGTTCTCTATTTCCCCCTCTTGGCTGAAAGCCTAGGGAGAGCAAGGACCCTTCTCTGTAATGGTTACAGTTGTGTTAATACCCAACATCTAGCACCTGCCTGGCATACAGTTGTGGAGCCAACCAACTACCTACACAGCTGGTTAATAAGCACTGGAGTCCCCTGAGCTAACCTGCTCATAAACATCTGGGCTGGCCATCTAGCAGGGGAAGAATAGGCCAAATGCCCCACCACCCCTTCACACTCATCCTTCATTGCCCAATGTTTGTGGTTTGATAAAGTTCACTGACCTTGTTAGGGTTTTCAGATTAAACTATGAATATTGTGTAGGCCATATTTATCCTAAAATGTTTTTTATTGATTTGAAATTCAAATTATCTGAGCATCCTGCATTTTAATTTGCTAAATCTGGCAACCCAAGCCCTTTTGAAGTAAGCAAAAAGATATTTCGTAAGGTAGTATCTGTGAAAGACGAAGATTCTCTGACCTGGCAGTTCCGTTCCAAAGAATGTATCCTAGAGGAATTCTTGCTGCTATGCACCAGGAGATAAGAACAAGAATGTCCGCGGCACTACTGTTTGTAGTAGTCAAAACCTGGAAATTACCCAAATGTCCGTCAACAAGAGAATGGATAAATTAGAGATATGTATATTTGTACAGTGGGATACTACACAACAATTAAAATGCTCACAAATATAATGCTCATTAAAAAGAGCAAGTTACAGAAGAACAAAGTCAGTTTGATTCCTTCTCAAATATTCAAAATCATTCAAAACTAAATCATATATTGTTCAGGAATACATTAAACTACAAGGAAAAAAATGGAAATGAGAAGCCAAGATCAGAGTGGTTACCTCCTTCAAGGAAAAGGGCACATGTGATCATGGGAACTCAGAGGGACTTCAAAAACACTGCTAAAAGCACCACTTGTTAAGCTGGGTGGGAGTACGGAGGTATGTTTGTCTTATTCTTTCTCTTTAAACTACATGTATATATTAGATCTACTCTTACATGTATGAATTATTACATTACAAATGTTGAAATGAGGAGTATTGGGCCTTCTTCCTTCTTATCAGAGTGAATTGAAATGTCAACAAGGCCTCCTCTGCCTGGACTCACCTCCAAATTTTTGTTTCCTTCTTTGTCCAAAGGTATGAATATAGATCAGAGCTCTTAAGATGCCTACCCTGCAATCTCAACACGCCCCCTCAATAGTTTTTTTGATTAGTTGCTTAGACAAATGGCTCCATTACATTAGATTATGAAGAATTCTCATTTCATTAAGTTGGTTCTATCTTCATTGCACAATTCACAAAACCACTGCTTGAAAGTTTTGGTTTCCAAATCCTGAAGAGATAGTTCCAAGCTTTTGTATATAATAGGCTAGATTACACTTCCTCTGCTCCCTCCAGTGATGGAAATGTTTTCTCTCAGATTTGTCAATCCATTTGAAAAAAAGAAAACCCTTGGTCCATACACAACAAAAACTGGAATTACTAGATTCTCAAACAAAAACTGGAATTACTAGATTTATTTCACCTGAGGTTAAATAATTGTAACCAACTTCAGAACAATAATATCCCCTCCCCCAAAGTGCACTAGAAGCTATCCTCCAAGGACATGGTATTATGAAATGTTTACAAAAACAAAGTACAACAAGCAAACAGTGCTCATATTACAAATTTTGAATCAATAGTGTACCTCTTAACAAAGCAGGCAACTTTGAAAAGTAATTTAAAAATATATAAATTATAATTTATAATTATAATCTAGTGTTACACTTTACTTATCCTAAATTTTACTGATTAAACCAAAATATAAATTTATCACATTAAGAGGGAAAAACAAAAATGCCCAAAATCTTACCCTGGACATTGTTTCTGCAGCATAAATTTTTTTGTAGGCAAAAGAAATGGAAGTTTCTTTTCGTAAAAAATATCAAATATCTTTGATCTTCGACAATATCTTTCCCACTCCATAGTTTAAAGATTTTCAGAATTACTTAATGCATTCCCAGAAAATAAAAACTAAATGCCAAATCTTTCTTAATTCGATACATGGCAAAGGAGACATATATAACCTCATATGAATTTAGAAACTTTGAAACAATATGGGAATGTAAAATATTGATGAGAATTTCTTCCTCCTCTTCCAAAAAAAATAAAAAAATAAAAAAATAAACAGTCAAAATGCCACCATGAAGTAAGAGCGGGGATTCTGAGCTGCAAGTGATTTTTTTGTTTCATGATCCAGGTGCTGATTAGAAGTGTGTATTCAGGGCGCTGTGGCTCATGCCTGTAATCCCAGGACTTTGGGGGCAAATTAGGAACATTCTCCCATGGATTTGTCATAATTCAATGAACCATGAATCACTGAATCATAAAAAGAATTCATAGTTTGGAAGATAGGGGTTGGAAAGAACTGGTGTCTAAAACAGACTTTAGCTATAGATACAAGATAATATAAACACCAATAATGGGAGATAAGATGATGCTAAGTCTAAAATGTTAATAGAACTATCACAACAATATAGTTACATTGAGATTTTATTTATAATGATGAGAGTTATTCTGGAAGTGTGTGCTCAGGGTGCAGTGGCTCATGCCTGTAATCCTAGCACTTTGGGAAGCAGAGGCAGGTGGATCACTTGAGGTAAGGAGTTTAAGACCAGCCTGGCCAACATGGTGAAACCTCGTCTCTGCAACAAATACAAAAAGCCGGGTGTGGTGGCGCATGCCTGTAATCCCAGCTACTTGGGAGGCTGAGGCAGGAGAATCGCTTGAACCTGGGAGGCAGAGGTTGCAGTGAGCCGAGATCTCGCCACTGCACTCCAGCCTGGGCAACAGAGTGAGACCCTTTCTCAAAAAAAAAAAAAAATTTGTTTTTTGATCCACTAATTTCATTCTGGGAATCTATCTGGAAGAAACAATCTTAAATTAGAAAAAATGTGTCTGTGCTTTTTCTCTTTGTACACAAAGATAATTCTATTCAACATTATTTATAGTAACAATAAAATTGAAAATAACGTAAATGTACAATATTAAGCATATGGTAATAAATTATGGCTCATCTATCTTATAAAATATGATAAGGCCATTAAAATGTTTGTGAAGATTTTATAATAACCAAAAGCAATAGTTTGCTTATAAGAGCATCTCAGTGAATAAAGCAGCATAAAATATATATATACAATATAGTCTCAATCATATAAAATGTGTATAACAAAAAGAATGAAAGGAAATATATCAAAATATTTTTATTACCAGTTCTCACTATCTTTCCCAGGCTGGCCTTGAATTCCTGGGTCAAGGATTTTTCCACATAATTGGAATTACAGGCATGCACCACCAGGCCCAGTTGAAAATATACCAAAGTATTAAGAGTGGTTGTCTTTCTGTGGTAAAATAATGGCAGATTTTTGTTGTTAGCCTTTGTACTTTTCAATATTTTCCAAACGTTTTATAGGAATAGCAAGTACTTTATGGGGAAAAAAAACGCTGTATTTTTTCAAATGACTGAGTTTATTACCCCAGATTAAATTAATGAAGACCAAGAAAAAGAAGGATTAACAGGGGCTAGAAGAAAAACAAAACGTTTGGTGCCTTCTTTTCCGCAGATAGTTAAAAGCTATTGTTTGGCTTTTTATTGATTCAATTAAGCAAAGGTAGATTTTTAAAGTATTTGTGGAAAGCTTTCAGGAACCCACTAGCAGAATCAGAGGAATGGCCATCTTTGAAAATCACAGTAGAAAATAAGAGCAAACAAAACTAAGTCTGCAGAGCAAATGACAAAACTGAAAAGAAACAGCATGCACACATGAAAAGAAAGGCATAAAAACATGGCAGCAGTGAGACTAACCATGATAAGTTTAGTTATTAAATGTAGATTCCCTATTAATAGAAAAAGCCTCCCAGATTGTGTTAAAAATTAAAATCCAATACTTTACTGCTTATAAAAAAATACTTCTAAATAAAATAAGACAAAAAGACTACAAAGAAAAGGATAGGTAAATATGTAGTAAGCAAGCTTGTAATAAATTAGAAAAAGCATTATTACATTAAAATAGAATTCAAAGCTTAAAGGTTATTTTGATTTAATATAAACATGAGATACACAAAAAGATAAATGTCAATAGATACAACAATTCACAAAATTGAAAATAAATTAGCTAACTATGGGAGTGTTGCAGAACCACTACCTCACTGTATCAGTTTTCCTCTTCTTCCTGGGCACATGGGTAAAGTATACCTTCAAGTCTCCTTTCAGTGAGATAGGGCCACGTTATTGGGTATAGACAGTGGAATGTAAGCAGACATCTGGTGTGTCTCTTCCAGACAAAAGACTTAAGAGTCATTGCGCCACCATCACACTCTGTCTTCTCCTCTGGTAGGTACTATAGAGACCAGATAATGATGCGAAGTCACAAGGTGAAAGTGCCCTGGATCTTCCAATCACTGCAGGGAGCGTAGCTGCCCCATAAGTTGGCACCAGACTTTGCATGTAGAGAAATAAACCTACGTTGTTTGGTGCTTTATTTGCTATTACAGCATAGCCTATCCTGTCTTGATTAACACAATGGACAAATGTCAAACCACCCAAATAGTCAAGAAATTTAAATTAAACAATGAAGTACTACTTTTCATCAATTAAACTAAAAAGAAAAACTTAGAATATTAATACTCAGTGAAGTGGGGTAAAGAATAATCTTTTCAATAAATGAGGCTGGGTCAAATGGATATCCAGAGGGGAAAATACGTACTTTGACCCTTACCTCACACCAAACACAAAAATATATTCCAAATGAATTGTAGCTGTAAATATGAAAATTAAAACAAATAAAGCTCTTAAAAAATCTAAAAATATTTTTATGATCTTAAGTTAGGCAAAGGTTTCTTATACAGGACATGAAATGTGCTAACCATATGGGATATTTTTGATAGGTTAAACAATATTAAGATAAAGAACTTCTAATCATCAAAAAACTTGCTTTAAGACAGTGAAGAGACCGGGTGCAGTGGCTCATGCCTGTAATCCCAGCACTTTGGGAGGCCAAGGCAGGTGGAGGGAGGTCAAAGCTACAGTGAACTGAGATCACGCCACTGCACTTCAGCCTGGATGACACAGTGAGACCCTGTCTGGAAAAAAAAAAGAAAAGACAGTGAAAGGATGCTGGGTGCAGTGGTATGCACCTGTAGGTAGTCCTAGCTACTGAGGAGGCAGAGGCAGGAAGATTGAAAGTTCAAGATCAGTCTGGGCAAAATAGGAGACTCTTACACTGCCCTCATCTCCAAAAAAAAAAAAAAAAAGACAGTGAAGGCAAACACAGAGCGGAAAAAGATAGTTGCAATACATATATTTGACAAAGGACTTGTATTCAGAATATGTAAAAAGCAAAATAAAACCTTTAAGGAAAAGATAGATAATATAGTAGAAACAAACAAAAACTTGAACAGTTGCTTCACAAAAAAGAATAACCAAATGCAAAAAAAAATGCTAAATATCTTTAGTCAACAACAGCAAAACAATTAAGGCAAATGAGATACCACTCAACAGACAGGCTAAAATGAAAAATATGAAATGTCAGTAAATATGTGCAACACTGGGAACTCCCACACACTGGTGGAAGTGGATATTGGTACCTGGTAGCAGTAACCACTAAAGCTGAAATGTCCATATCTGTGATCCATCAATTTCATTCCTAGGTATATACCCAACAAAAATGCGTTACATATATTCATCAAAAGCACATGTACAAGAATGTTCATAAAGCAGCACTGTTTGTAATAGCCCCAAACTAGAAACTATCTAAGTACTCATTAGAATAAATAAATTATAGAATATTCACATAATACAATACTATGCAGAAATGAGAATTAACAAATCACAACTAAACACAATGATGTAGATGAACTGTACAAAAATAATGTTGGGCAAAGGAAGATAGACATGAAAGATTACATACTATGTGATTCCATTTATATAAAGTTTAAAAACAGGCAAATCATTCTATGGGTTAAAAATCAGGACAGTGGTTACCCTTGAGAGGATAGGAGGGAGGCTTCTGAGTGACTGGTAATGTTCTGTTTCTTAGTTTAGGTTCAGGTTACAAAGTACGTTTACTTTGTGGAAATTCATCAAGCTATATACATTTAGATTTGTACACTTTGGTACATGTAGTTATACTTCAATAAAATGTTTAACAAATACAATAAAAATATAGACACACCACACACACAATACAAAATTATGGGAAGTATCTACTTAAACTAGTTGATATGGTTTGAATCTGTGTCCCCACCCAAATCTCATGTAGGATTGTAATCCTCAGTATTGGAGGTGGGGCCTGGTGGGAGGTGATTGGATCATGGGGGTGAATTTTCTCCTCCGTGCTGTTCTTGTGATAGTGAGTGGGTTCTCATGAGACCTGGTTGTTTAAAAGTGCCACCTTCCCCCATTTCTCTCTCTTGCTCTTATTCTGGCCATGTAAGATGTGCCTACTTCCCCTTCGCCTTCCACCATAACTAAAAGTTACCTGAGGCCTCCCCAGAAGCCACGCAGATGTCAGCATCATGCTTCCTGTACAGCCTGCAGAACTGTGGGCCAATTAAACCTCTTTTCTGTATAAATTACCCAGTCTCAGGTATTTCTTTATAGCAGTGAGAAAACAGACTAATACTCTAGTATTCTCATACCTTGTTGATAAACTGGTACAAACATTTTGGAAAGTGATTTGGATATATGTATAGTCCACTTTAACTGTATAACATACATATATTCCTATTTCTGAGAATCTTTCCTAAGAAAAAAATTCAAAATATGGGGAAATACTATGAATAAAAATGTTTATCACAGAGTCAAAGTCAATTATAACTATAGCATATCCTGTTAGTATAGTTTTATTCAGCCAGTTGTGACTACTTTGAAAACTCTGGTGCAACATGACAAAAGCTTTTGGTATGATGTAGGGTGAAAAAGGAAACAGAAACTTGTATGCTCACTATTATTATAACTAAGGAAATATACCAGTTAGAATAACATAACTAAAAAGGAAAACACACAAATGATATATATGCAACTTTCTTGCCCAATCTCATCTACTCTTGTGACTCATACGGATCACATATGTACAGAGCTAGACAGGATCTCACTCTGTTGCCCAGGCTGTAGTGCAGTGGTGTCATCACATCTCAGTGCAGCCCCAAACTCCTGTTGCCCAGGCTGTAGTGCACTGGTTTCATCACATCTGACTGCAGCCCCAAACTCCTGGGCTCCAGGGATCCTCCCACCTCAGCTTCCAGAGTAGCTAGGACTACAAGTGTGCACCAGCATGCCCAGCTAATTTTTTTTTCTTTTTTTGGCAGAGGCAGGGTCTCACTATGTTGCCCAGGCTGTTCTCAAACTCCTGGGCTCAAGGCATCCTCCCCGCTCGGCTTCCCAAAGCCTGGTATTATAGGTGTGAGCCATCACATCTGGCCCAATGATGACTCTTTAATTTGTTTCTTCAGCCCACATCTTTCTCCTGAGCTCCAGGAGGTTCAGAATTGACCCTATGCATCTCCCCTTGGATGTTCCACAGTTTTCTCAAATGTCTTCATCCTATATTCACTATCTTGGGTAGAAATGACCAGGAATAAGAACCAAGACAAGAACCCAGTTAGTTATCCAAACAAGAGAACTGAGAGTCATTCTTGTCACCCCCAGCTCCCCATTTCCCATACCTCCATCCCTTGCCACTCCCTAAGACTACGGTGTCTCTTAAACAGCCTGTTGAATCCATCTCCTCCCATTCATTCATCTGTCCATCCATCCGTCCTTCTTCCATTGCCTTAGTTCAAACTTTTATTATTTTTCCTCCTGGATTATTCCAAAAGCTTTCCAACTAGTCTTTCTAGCACTATGTGATTCTTTTTCATCTTTTTAATCTTGTTGTCACCTGCCTGTTTTCCCAGTTTTATATCTGGTTACTCTCTCATGGGAATCCCACACTGCAGCCACACGAAAGTTATTACAGTGACCAAACAGGTTATACACTCTGTTTCACTTCCTTTGCCTTCCTCCAGCTTGGAATTTCCTACTCCTACCTATTCTTTCCCCCACCCTTTTCCTAATCTTATTTGCTTGACTCACCATTCAAGATGCAGCTCAAGCCTCTCCTTGGCTAGAGAACCTTTGGGGAATCACATTGTTATATGATTGTAATCATGGGGTACACTAATTCTCCTTCTTGTTTTTATCACTAACATTAAAACGGAGCAATTTTTTAATTTGCCAAGGTACTCTTCATAATTATTATTTAACATGCAATATTAAGCTCTCTATCTCCTTGCTCCCATGGCATACTAGTATAATCTTTATTATATCACTTATCACTTTGTTTTAGAATTATTTTTTGCATGTCCTCCTCCTCCACTAAGCCCTGAGTTCCTTGAGGGCAAATACTTTTGTCATATTCATTTCTATATCCTTAGCACAGAGCCTGCTGCAAAGTAGGAATTCACTAAATGAAAGCTAGTCAATGACTAAGTAATGGTGATTGTGTTCACACAATAGTCTTTTGGATAACATTTTTTTTCCTTTTCTCAATTCCCCAAATTTTCTGTAGCTACTTATTATTTAGATTCACCATCTTTTTTTTTAAGGGAGATTTAGAATATAACTTTTAGTAATATTACCCTTAACATTTTAAATGATTTTTATTTATAAAATGCCTTATGACTCCCAACTTCACTCAGTAAGTACAATCAAGGCTGGGTGAAGTAGCTCATGCCTATAATCCCAACATGTTGGGAGGATTGCTTGAGGCTAGGAGTTTGAGACCAGCCTGGGCAACACGGCAAGGCCCCGTCTCTATACAAAATGGATAAAATCAGCCCCAGGTGCGGTGGTGCAAGCCTGTAGTCCCATCTACTTGGGAGGCTGATGTGAGAGGATTGCTTGAGCCCAGGAGGTCAAGGCTGCAGTGAGCTATGATTGTGCCACTGCACTCCAGCCTGAACTACAGAGTGAGATTGTTTCAAAAAAAGTACACTCAGCCCTCCGTATTCATGGTATCTATATCCATGGATTTAATCAACTAAAGATTAAAAACATTTGAAAAAAAAAAGAAATAGTAGTGGTTGCATTCTATGCTGAACATGTACAGACTTTTCTTTTTTGTCATTATTCCCTAAACAATACTGTATAGCAACTATTTACAGAGCATTTACATTGTACTAGGTATCATAAGTAATCTAGAGATGATTTAAAGTTTTTAAGTATGTAAATATGACACCATTTTATATAAGGGACTTGAGTATCCATGAATTTTGGTATGGGAAGGTGGTCCTTAAACCAATCCCCTATGGATACCAAGGGACAACTGTACATACACAATGAAGAAAAACTGGAGCACCATTTGTTATCTCCCATTCTATCTGTAACACACTTCATCATTCCTAATTAACAGTTACCTCTCAGTCTTTATCTAACTAGCCCTCCTAGCAGTATTTGATTCAGCTGATTGCTCCCTTCTTCTTAAACCTCTGTCTTTATTTGACCTCTGGGACACTATCCTCCCACCTTGATGGCCACAACTACCTCCCATGGACCCTGGTTCTCAACCTTGACTGCACATTAGAATCACCTGAGAAACTTTTTAAAAAGAAATACCAAATCCAGGCCCCTTTTGTATCAGAATCTTTGGGGCTGGAGTCAGGATATCAAGGTTTTTTTTTTGTTTTTGTTTTTGTTTTTGTTTTTGAGACGGAGTTTCACTCTTGTTGCCCAGGCTAGAGTGCAATGGCGCGACCTCTGCTCACTGCAACCTCCACCTCCTGGGTTCAAGCGATTCTCCTGCCTCAGCCTCCTGAGTAGCTGGGATTACAAGCATGGGTCACCATGCCCTGCTAAATTTTTTTGTATTTTTAGTAGACACAGGGTTTCTCCATGTTGGTCAGGCTGGTCTTGAACTCCCAACCTCAGGTGATCCGGCCGCCTCAGCCTCCCGAAGTGTTGGGATCACAGGTGTGAGCCACTGTGCCCGGCCGGGATATCAAGGGTTTTAAAGCAGTCCAGGTGATTCTAATTGGGACCAGTGTTGAGCAGCACACTGTGTGGGTTTAAAAACCATCTCTATGCAGATTAGTTCAGAATACATGTCTCCAGCCCTGACCACTCTCTGAGCTCCAACCTCGGCTAGCATGGCTTCTCTTGGGCTGTCTAATAACTCACATATCCAAAACGGAACTCTTGATTTTTGCCCCCAAACCTGTTCTTTCCCCAGTTTTCCCATCTCTGTAAATGGCCCCATTAGTTAGTAGTTGCTGAGGCTGAAATCCTAGGAATTGTCTGATTCCACACTTCCCACATCCACATAATTAAGTTCTGATCTGCTACGCATTAAAAGCATATTCTAATATTACCATTGCTCCTTTTCTTCATGGCTACCACTCTAGGCTACCGTCATCTCTTACTGAGCTAAAACAATAACTTCATAGTCTCCCTGCTTCCACTCCTGCATTCCTGCCCTACATTGCCCTCAGCGTCCACAATGACTTGGCCTCTGTTCTAGATCTTCAGCCTCCTCTCTGAGCATTCTCTGCCTTGCTCACTCTCTGCTTCACCTCATCGGCCTATTTTTTTTTTAATTTTTTTTTTTTAAAACAGTCTCCCTCTGTCACCCAGGCTGGAGTGCAGTGGCACAATCTCGGCTCACTGCAACCTCCACCTCCCGGGTTCAAGCAATTTTCCTGCCTCACCCTCCTGAGTGGCTGGGATTACAGGTGCCTGCCACCATGCCCAGTTAATTTTTGTATTTTTGGTAGAGATGGGGTTTTGCCATGTTGGCCAGGCTGGTCTTGAACTCCTGACCTCAAGTGATGTGTCTGCCTCTGCCTCCCAAAGTGCTGGGATTACAGGCATGAGCCAGTATGCCTGACTCCTCTTTTCTTTTTTCTTTTCTTTTTTGAGACAGGGTCTCACTCTGTCACCCAGGCTGGAGTGCCGTGGCCCGATCACAGCTCACTGCAGCCTTGACCTCCTAGGCTCAAAGGATCCTCCCATATCAGTCTCCAGAGTAGCTGGTACTACAGGCACACACCACCATGCCTGGCTAATTTTTAAATTTTTTGTAGAGATGGTTTTTTTGCCACATTGGCCAGGCTGGTCTCGAACTACTAGGCTCAAGGGATCCACCTGCGTCAGCCTCCCAAAGTGCTGGGATTACAGGCATTAGCCACCTCATTGGGCTTCTTAAAGCTGTTCCTCAAACAGAACAAGTACTGCTACCTCAAGACAGAAAGCCCTTGTGAGAGACCTCGGCATACAGAATCCTAAGTGTCTTGAGAGGAGGGAAGGGCATGGTTATTGGAAAGAGAAACCAAATTAGGAACAGAACTGGTCATCAAAGATATACTTTACCATTTTGTTTAGAACCTGTCTCTTTTCAACTAACAAAGTGATAGAAGTACAGCAATGTTTAGACTCAAGGTCCTTACTGAATAAGGCCCCCAAAAGGATATGGGAGCATGTCCTACCAAGACTATAGTGCATTTTTGAACAAAAAGCTTTTATATTAATAGCATCCATACTTTACTAACTAGCATTTTTTTTTCTTTTGAGATGGAGTTTCGCTCTTGTTGCCCAGGCTGGAGTGAAATGGCGTGATCTTGGCTCACCGCAACCTCTGCCTCCCGGGTTTAAGCGATTCTCCTACCTCAGCCCCCCAAGTAGCTGGGATTACAGGCATGCACCACCACACCTGGCTAATTTTGTATTTTTTAGTAGAGACGGGGTTTCTCCATGTTGGCCAGGCTGGTCCCCTGAGATCTCCCGACCTCAGGTGATCCACCCGCCTTGGCCTCCCAAAGTGCTGGGATTACAGGCATGAGCCACTGCACCTGGCCTTGCATTTTTGAATGCTTACTATATGCTAGGTTCTATACAGAGTGTTTAAATGCATTATCTAATATGCTCCTGTCAATAAACTCTATAAGATAGATAATATTGTTCTTCTCATTTTTTTAAGCAGTAAAACTCAGGTTTAGAGGGATTAGGGAGCTTGTCCAAGGTCACGCAGATATCAAGGGAAGAAACCAGGATTGGAACCCAGGTCTGCTTGAGGCCAAGTCTGTGCTCTCAACTGTTCTGCATAGGCCTTTATTCCTTTCAGTTTCCACAGATATGCTTCTTGATTTCTGGATGGAATGTCATGGAGCTTTCAGTTACAGACAGGAGCTTAAGGGAAGCTCTTTGGCTTCTCACCCTTTCTTGTCCTCCATCTTCCCTCTTCATTGACTCAGTATAAGACAGATAGGCTGGGGTGAAGACACCTCATAACAACAATGGTAACCTCAGCTAGAGAGCAGGCAAAAACAGCAGTGGAAAAGTAACTCCAAGCCTGACAACCAAAGCAACGAAGACATATCAAGCAAAACATTAGCTGAAATGAACTGAGAATCAGTCAGCTTTATAAGGAAAACTACAGGGAAGCGTAAGATTTTACTTGTCTAAATAGAGTCAAACAAAGCTGCTGTAATATATATTGCTCTTATTCTTTTTGTTAAGCAGTTATAGACTTATTAAACAGAAGAAATTTAAATGTTAGTTTAGGCATTCTACCATTTTCCTGGTTTGGGATATCAATTTAACTTAACATTATCAAAACAGTCTTAATTTTCAAGTATATGGCCTCTTACACAGATGACTATTAAATTTTATATATACTTTTTATTACATTGGATAATTCAGTGCATTTTTGGTGCTATAATTTTGAATGACTCTTTCCAGGGTTCTGAGGTAGCTTGCACCTGCTCTAGTTAGTGCTTTTTATAGCCTCATCTAATGATGGGTTTGAAGACTATTCTAATATTTCTTGTTACACCAGAATGGACCTTATATTCCATGTAAGAAGACATGGAATAACAATTACCAACTGTATAGGGAAATTGGCAATGCTACTGTGATGACAAGTACAGTTGGAGTGGTGTGATTGATTTATTCATTTCCTTAATAATCCTCATAGTTGTAATGAGTCATCCCTGTCTCTTATTCTAAATTACAGGGCACCCTTTTATTCCCAAATGAAATAAATATACATGATGACATTTTTTTCTTTCTCATTCTCATTTCAAAGACCTAATTTTTCATAATCTAGCAGTTAAGAGAATCAGACAGACATGAATTGGAATCTTGGCTAAGAGAAGAAAAAAGTTAGAGAAGGTGTGGATTCCCCAATGCCCCCTATTTGTCCTCTAGAGAGCTTTCAGAGGTTTTGAAACATGATAGGCTCTTTATTGCTATGAGTCTGACATTTAAGCAGTTAGCTCCTTATATTCCTTTTATGAGAAGAGAAGGAGTAAGCGAAGAAGAGAAAAAGGAAGTAGTTTTTGGTCTGACAATCAAGCAGACAGTATTTGTTCTATTTATCAATTTCATTATTCACAAATAAGGAGTAAGTAAAGGAGACATTAAGGAGCAGGAGCAGCCGGGTGCAGTGGCTCATACCTGTAATCCCAGCACTTTGGGAGGCCAAGGCCGGGTGATCACTTGAGGTCAGGGGTTCAAGACCAGCCTGGCCAACATGATAAAACCCCGTCTCTACTAAAAACACAAAAATTAGGCCGGGCATGGTGGCTCACACCTGCAATCCCAACACTTTGAGAGGCCAAGGCTGGTGGATCACTTGAGGTCAGGAGTTCAAGACAAGCCTGGCCAATATGGTGAAACCCCATTTCTACTAAAAATAAAAAAAACTAGCTGGGTGTGGTGGCATGTGGCTGTAATGCCAGCTACTCTGGAGGCTGAAGCACAAGAATCACTGGAACCTGGGGGCCAGAAGTTGCAGTGAGCTGAGATCTCACGACTGCACTCCAGCCTGGGTGATAGAGTGAGACTCTGTCTCAAAAAAAAAAAAAAAAAAAAAATTAGCCAGGCATGGGGGTGGACGTCTATAATCCCAGCTACTCGGGGCCACTGCACTCTGGCTCTGGCCTGGATGACAGAGCGAGAGCGAGAGCGAGACTTTGTCTAAAAAAAAAAAATTGCCCCCCGGGTCCCTGCGTCTCAATAGGCAGTATTTGTCATCAAAATTCAGGTCCTAATCTGATAGGAAGGGAAGACTTAGCATATTATCAGTTGTTTTACCCATATTGATATCTCTCTTCTTGAGTATGGATAATTGAAATCACAGATTAGCAACATGGGAGTGCTACAAAGTAAGGAGACCAATTGTTTTCTCCTTATGATTCCTGGAAACAAAAGAGGAACTGTCAGAACCGAGAAGACTACAACATGTTTTAACTACTTCAAGTATTATGGCCTTTTACACTGATGACTATTAAATTTTATATATACTTTTTATTGCATTGGATAATTCAGTGCATCTTCAGTGCCATAGGTTAGAATGACTCTTTCCAGAGTTCTGAAGTAGTTTGTATTTGCTCTGTGTGAAGCTTTGTGCTGATGTTACAAAGTTTCAGTAGTCCAGGAGGTTTTTCTGCATTGGCTTTAAAATGAGTGACTGTTACTGAGACACTGATTTGAGACTACATTTTCAGTCATGTAAATTCTGCAAATGAGTCACTTGACATGTTAGGACTATATGGGCATACAAATAATGTTAAGAGGATGCTTTTTTTTTTTTTTTTTTTTACTTTAGCATAATGTTCAAAGCTGGAGAAGATGACTTTTCATGAGAAGTAAAACTATAGGTCTAATGCAAATGTTAAAAAGTTCAGAGACTTGGGGCTTTAAAATATGATTAACTCTGATAATAATGGTTGAGGAGTTAAAGTTAGAACAGATTCATTCTGTAAAAAGCTTTGAGCACAAGAAAGTTTCTGTTTGTATAATGAACAAAAACAATAAAGGTTTGCCATTTGTTCTGATCTTTCAACAGAAGCTGGAAGAATTAATGTCTCATTGAGAGAAACAGTAGCTGAAACAAAATTCAATGTTTCTTTAATGATCTTGAAACAAAACTTCAAAGTTGGTAGTTGTAAAACACCATCACCAAGACCCCAAAATTGTCACACTCACAAGTGAAACAGTGAAACTTGTTTCTTAACTTCGATTGGTATGAATCATTCCATGTGCTTCATCAATGAGGTGTCCATATAAAGACTCTGAAGCATCTGAGAAATCCAAAGTAAAAAACCAAGCCAGGACCTAAGTGATCTAATTTTTTTGTACATCCTAAAGCTTCCCTTCTAACATATTAGCATCAAAGAGTTTCTACGTCCTCATCTCAGTCCATTTTGTGTTGCTCTAAAGGAATGCCTGAGGGTGGGTAATTTATAAAGAAAAGGTTTATTTGGCTCCTGGTTCTGCAGTCCATACAAGAAGCATGGTGTCAGCATCTGCTTCTGGTAAGAGCCTCAGGCTGCTTCCACCCATGGTGGAAAGCGAAGGGGAACTGTTGTGTGCAGAGATCACGTGGCAAGAAAGGAAGCAAGGAGAGGGAGAGGCACCTGGCTCTTTTTAATAGCCAGCTCTTAAGGGACCTAATAGAGCAATAACCTATTCCTCTCTAAACTTTAATCTCTTCTTGAAGGATCCACTCTCATGACCCAAACACCTCCCATTAGGTCCCACCTCCAACATTAGGGATCAAATTTCAATGTGAGATTCGAAGGGGTAGAGCATTCAAACTACGGCAGTCCTTCTCTCTCTCCATCTCCTCCTAATCTGTCAGCTGCCTCTGGCTTTACTTCCTTCCTTATCCAGCTACGCCCCACAATCCATCTCTTCGATCCTACTCTTGCCAAGACAATTAACTTGTTTACTCCTTTGAAAGATCACTTACTGAACCTACTCTGGGTCGATCCAACCAGTGGCTTTTCACTCCTATACCTGAGCATGTAGAGAAAAATCCCCATCAGACTATCAAAAAGGAATGCTAGTGATGACTATCTCTGGGAATAGGGCCATATGGAAATCACACTGTCTGTGCTAACAAATGTAGATGGAATTAGAAAATCACTTTTTGGCAATCAGCATAATAAAAATTGAGAAAAAGCCTCAATGGATGCTAATTTAGTGGGTGAAAGTAGAATGAGGAAGAGAATTTTACACGGTCTCAAAGTACTTTCCCCCAAATTCTTATTAATTACAAAGGAATAGAAGAATAATTTCTCAGAAACCTGGCATATACCATCTTAATCAACTGATCAAATTAATACCACCAGAAATGGGACATACTGACATTGTGGGCTACTTATTAGAATGCAGTAAGAAATTAGCTTCACTTCTATGATGTTCCAGCAGGATCTAAGTCAAATCAAAAGCACACTTCAGATAAGTCTAAACTGAGAGACATTCTACAAGGCCATGGAAAACAAGGAAATACTGAAGAACTATTTCAGGGTGGGAGACTAGAGAGACATGATAACTGGGTACAAAACATGGAATGTATCCTTTTGCTTTATAGCAAAAAGAATATACTGAGGCCAGGCACAGTAGCTCACACCAGTAATCCCAACACTTTGAGGGGCTGAGGCGGGAAGATTGCTTGAGCCCAGGAGTATGAGACCAGCCTGGACAACACAGTGAGACCCTATCACAACAAAAAATTAAAAAATTAGCCAGGTATGGTGGGGACATCCCTGTAGTCCCAGCTCATCCAGAGGTTGAGGCAGGAAGGTTTGCTCGAGCCCAGGAGGTCAAGGATGCAGAGAGCTATGATTATGCCACTGTACTCCAGCCTGGGTGACAGGTCAAAACCCTGACTCCAAAAAAAAAAAAAAAAGAAAGAAAGAAAGAAAGAAAGAAAGAAAGAACATTATTGTGACGCTGGACAAACTTGAATAGGGTCTCAGGACAAACAGTTTATGGGGGTTATTTGTATAATTCTTGCAATTTTTCTGTAAGTTTGAAGTTGTTTCAAATAAGTTGTCTGAAAATGAAGTTTAAAAACCTGTTTTTCCATATTAAAAATCATGATACATTACATATACAAAAAAGAATAAGTGTAATATATGTACATTAATGACATTTAAAAATAAAAATGAACATCTATGAATTTACTACTAAGTTTGAGAAACAGAAAATTTGTCAATAATGTTAAAGCTCCCAATAATGTTAAAGCTGTGGGTGTTCCTCTCCATCCACAGATAACTCTAAACTGGATAAGATATATCCTGAATATATCTTATCATTTCCTTGCTTTTCTTTAAAGATTTACCACATATGTAGAAATTCCTAATACTCCCTGATAGTGAAAGAGGTTTAGCTTTCTTACTCTCTGTTTATTAGTTACTTTTATTTTTTCTTTTCTAAATCATCTGTTTTATCCTTTGTCTACTTTCCTATCTGGTTGGTTTTATTCTTCATTGATTTTTTGATACTCTTTATATACTATGGATATTATCTGTCTATTATATATGTATATGTTGCAAATATTGTCTTCTAGTCTGGTGCTTGCCTGTTAACTTTGTAACTTTTTGCTTGTCTTTCATTGTATGGATGCTTTAAATAATTTAAATATTGGGCCAAGTCTGTCAATAGTTTAATTGATGACCATTGGGTTTCTTATCCTATCCAGGAAAGTCTTCCTTATTTAAAGATATCCTACTACATTTTTTCATACTTTGTTAGTTTTGATGTTTAGATCTTTAATCCATCAGTAATTTATTCTTCATTTATGTCATGAAGTAGGACTCTAAATTAACATTTTTTTCACCTGTAGTAGGCAGAATAATGGCTCCACAGAGTTGTCCATGCCATAAACCAAAGACCTGTGGATATGTTACCTTACATAGCATAAGAGATTTTCCAGATATGGTTAGGATTGTGGAGATGAGAAGATTATCCCAGATTGTCTGGGTGGGTCCAATCTAATCACACGGGTCCTTCAAAGTGGAGAAACTTTCCTAGCTGTGGTCAGAGGGCGATGTGACTACAGAAGAATGGTCAGAGACGTGCAATGTTACAGGCTTTGGAGACTGAAGAAAGGGCCAAAAGCCAAGGAACGAGGGTGGCTTCTAGAAGCTAGAAAAGGCAGGGAACTAGGTTCTCACCTAGAGAATCCAAAAAGCAGAAAGCCCTGCTGACACCTTGATTTTAGCCCAGTAAGATCTATGTCAGGTTTTTGACCTACTGAACAATAAGAAAAGAAATTTATATTGTTTAAGCCATCAAGTTTTTGATAATTTGATAATTAGAAAACTAGTGCCAGGCGTGGTGCCTCACGCCTGTGATCCCAGCATTTTGGGAGGCCAAGGCAGGCAGATCACCTGAATTCGGGAGTTTGAGACCAGCCTGACCAACATGGAGAAACCCCGTCTCCACTAAAAATACAAAATTAGCTGGGTGTGGTGGCTCATGCCTGTAGTCCCAGCTACTAGGGAGGCTGAGGCAGGAGAATCACTTGAGCCTGGGAGTTGGAGGTTGCGGTGAGCAGAGATCACGCCATTGCACTCCAGCCTGGGCAACAAGAGCAAAACTCCGTCTCAAAAAAAAAAAAAAAAAGAAAGAAAACTAGTATATCTTTCTAACCAACATCTCTAAAAAAAATTCCATTCATTTCCTACTAAATTAAAATGTCATCCTTACTGTATGTATAATTCCTATTCAATGTTGGTTTCTGAACTCTATCCTGATCCATTTATCAGAAAGGATCTCTTTTCACCATTTATAATTATGGTTGTTTGTTTGTTTGTTTGTTTGAGATGGAGTCTTGCTCTGTCACCCAGGCTGGAGTGCAGTGGCACGATCTCGGCTCACTACAAGCTCCGCCTCCCAGGATCAGGCCATTCTCCTGCCTCAGACTCCCAAGAAGCTGGGACTACAGGTGCCCGCCACCATGCCCAGCTAATTTTTTGCATTTTTTAGTAGAGATGGGATTTCACCATGTTAGCCAGGATGGTCTCGATCTCCTGACCTCATGATCTGCCCGCCTTGGCCTCCCAAAGTGCTGGGATTACAGGCGTGAGCCACCGAGCCCGGCCTATAACTATGTTTTAATCACTGTTACTTTATGTTTTTAAATGTCTTGAATCATCCCTCTCCATTTAATCCCCATCCTTACCTCTTTATTTGGGACCTCATCATTTCTCCCATGTTTCCTAGCATCTTAACTGCTGTCTCTGGTTTTATCCTCCTCCAGTTCATTTTCCACTCTGTTTCTAGGATGATGTAAAAATGCAAGTATCATCAGATTTCTACCCTTTGAGTCCTTCATGGCTACCCTTCATCTTCAATACAGAGTCCAAATTCCTTGGTATGGCAAATAAAAAGGATATTGACATATGACACTGCCTATCTCACCAGTGTTATCTCCTACTAGATACCATCTGCTCCAGACAAAAAAGAACTTGAAGCTTGCAGAGTGCACTACACTTTCAATCCTTTGTATCTTTGGATATGCTGCTGCTTCTGCCTAGAATATCTTCCATTCCTCCTTCAAGCCAATTAGCACTGTACATTCAAAACTCAGATAAAGCACCAACTTCCTGCGGCAAACTGTCCATATTCTTTGCTGTTAGATTGGGCTAGTGTCCTTCCTTTGTACTCCCATAGCAGCACAAATATACCCCTTCTAGCATACGCTTTTACATTTTTATTGCACTTATTGGTTTACTTATCTTTCTGTCTTGCTCTCTCCCTAGATAGTGAATTCCTTAATGGCAGAAATTGTTTTTCATTTCTACATCTGCAGTACCTAACAGAGTGCTAACAATCTCGTGATAATAAGAGTTTGAAAAATAATGAACGAAGTGGTATATCTTATTAAAACCTGAACTAAGTGCTTTTCATAATTCACTAACTACTAAGTGCTGGCTCATAATTTTATGTTCTGTGAAACTGCTTTTAACTAAAAATAATATTGTCCAGCTTGTTCACTCATCTTACTCACAAGGCTTGGCTACAAGTGACTTTGGGATGCTTCCAAAGGAAGAAACTTTCCTCCGTTGAACAAATTCAAAAGAATATGACTCAGGCTCTAAAAGTAAACCCAGAGGGGAGGCTTTAAAATATTTTGAGTAGGAATGGCATTGTTGGATTATTTTGATAGGAATAATCCTCATCGAAATGCCTATAGGAAACACCAGATTCAGTGAGATACCTCTCCCTCTGTGCTCCTGTAGCAATGAACACAAACATCTAGCCTCACACACACCATGCCACATGGAAGCGACACATTTAAGAATCTCTTCCTGATTACCAGTGATTCTCAGTCAGGGAGATGAGACAGTCCCCTCCCTTGGAGGGATGTTTGGGGAAATTTTCGTCACAATGATGGGAGTAAAAGCCCTTGTCATTTAGTGTCTAGGAGCCAGAGATGCTAAATATCCTACAATGTGTGGGACAGTCCTATCTGACCAAGAATTATCCTGCCCATAATGCCCACAGTGACTCAATTAAGAAGCGGACTTTATTTCTCATCCATTTCCCATTGGCTAGGAGAAGCCCAGCACTAAAAGTCACTCTGAACTGAAACTGCAAAGGAATGTGGGCAGAACACCTCATCATACTTTGTAAGTTGTGTGGGCTTAAATAATCACTTTGTAATCACTTTTCATAGTAACTTCCATATTAGTTTCTTATATAATTGATGAAAGATGAATGATAAAAGAATACTCTTTAGGCTGGGCACGGTGGCTCATCCTTGTAATCTCAGTACTTTGGGAGGCCGAGACGGGTGGATCACGAGGTCAGGAGTTTGAGGCCAGCCTGGCCAACATGGTGAAACCCCATCTCTACTAAAAATACAAAAATTGGCTGGGCGTGGTGGCGGTTGCCTGTAATCCCAGCTACTCGGGAGGCTGAGGCAGAAGAATCGTTTGAACCTGGGAGGCAGAGGCTGCAGTGAGCCGAGATCATGCCATTGCACTCCAGCCTGGGTGACAGGGTGAGACTCTGTCTCAAAAAAAAAAAAAAAAAAAAAAAAAAGAAAAAGAAAAAGAAAAAGAAAAGAATAAAGTCTTTAAATCCAGGCACTTCTTTTTATTTTTTTTGGTTGGTCCAGGTAAGAGTAATTCTAATAGAAACAGCAAAGTTCATCTTCATTACTTTCTTCCATCAATCCACCCATCTCTAGGAGTCTCCCTTGCATTTTGGCATCCACTCCTAGGAGCTTCCTCAATTTAGCATTATCCTAGAAAATAGACATCCTCGCTGGAATACGTACACCTGATGCTTCACTCCTTCAGGGTCCAAGGTCTTAACTGTTTGGCCTGATAACTCAGGTGACTCCCAAAGAATATTTCTAAACTATCTGCCTTCCAGTTTTAACATTCTATGACTCAATACCATTAAAAGTCTATGACAGTTTCACAAGTCCTTCCTAAACTTACTTCTAACTCTAGCTATTAATGAGCACTTACAGTCTTTAAGGGAAGAATGTCAGATGCCATGAGCTGAAGTGTTAGACAGAATTTTAAGAAGGGGGCACAAAATCACTTCAGTCAAGTGTGAGATAGTTTTTGAGCTACTGGCTTTTGAGTTCCTCCAAACATGATTTTTTAGGAAGCCAGCTCTCCACCATTCCCTAGATCCATTACTAGTTTTAAAATATTGTTTATTGTCTGCCTGCGTCTGCTAGAATGTCAGCTTCACGAGAACAAGAACCTTGTTACCCTTATTTATACTACATCTCCACTGCCTAGAACTCTCTTTGTTATATAGAGGCATTCATTAAATATTTATTGAATGAATGAATGGATGAATAAGAAACTTACTATAAGTAGAGATTTAATTATATACCAATAAAAGAACAGAGTGGTATATTCTACAATAAAAAGAAACTTCATGTTGAGGGAAGGGAGATTGTATGACAGATTATGAACTCTGGACTGAATTACAAAGTCATGGGAGGGGCAAGGAGCAGGAATCCACATGCATAACATGAAATATAAAAATAGATATAACTAAATTGTAAGGAACACATGAGCATGGTTCAAGGGTCAAGTGAAATTCACTCATCCCTTATGTCAGATCTAGGTGAAGAATACCTGGTAAGCTTTTAGCAAAAATATGATCAATTCTAAAGTAGCACCCTGAAAACAATCCAAAGTCTCTTAGCTTAAGCAATAATCCTGTACACACTTAAAATCTTATTCTACAGGATCCTAATATGGGCATTGAGACCTAAGCAGGCTGGGCACAGTGGCTCATGTCTGTAATCCCAGCACTTTGGGAGGCCAAGGCGGGTGGATGACCTAAGGTCAGGTGTTCAAGACCAGCCTGGCCAACATGGTGAAACCCCATCTCTACTAAAAACACAAAAATTAGGCCAAGCACGGTGGTTCACGCCTGTAATCCCAGCACTTTGGGAGGCCAAGGCAGGTGGATCACAAGGTCAGGAGTTCGAGACAAGTCTGGCCAACATAGTGAAACCCTGTCTCTACTAAAAATACAAAAAAATTAGCCGGGTGTGGTGGTGTGCACCTGTATTCCCAGCTACTTGGGAGGCTGAGGCAGGAGAATCACGTGAACCTGGGGAGGCAGAGGTTGCAGTGAGCCAAGATTGTGCCATTGCACTCCAGCCCAGCAACAGTGCAAGACTCTGTCTCAAAAAAAAAAAAAAAAAAAAGAAAATTAGTAGGACGTGGTGGCACGTGGTCCCAACTACTTGGGAGGCTGAGGCAGGAGAATCACTTGAACCCAGGGAGGTGGAGGTTGCAGTGAGCCGAGATCAGGCCACTGCACTCCAGCCTAGGCGACAAAGCAAGATTCTGTCTAAAAAAAAAAAAAAAAGATTCAAGCAAAATACCTCATAGGAGAATCGTTTGATACATTATCCATGGCATACAAAGACATTACAACAGACTCATTTACATCCTTTGTGCTTAATAAGAACCAATAATTATTTTCATTTTACAAAAGGACAAAGTAAACATATAAGAATTATAAGTCAACCATGAAAATCATCTTAAATCAATATCACATCTGAAGTGAAATATCCATGTAACCAGAATATAGAGAGGGAATTTAAATAACATTGAAAGATCAACTCAAATATTGATAGTACAATTTTTTTTTTTTTTTTTTTGAGATGGAGTCTTGCTCTGTCGCCCAGACTAGAGTGCAATGGCACAATCTCGGCTCACTGCAGGCTCCACCTCCTGGATTCAAGCGATTCTCCTGCCTCAGCCTCCTGAATAGCTGGGATTACAGGCGCCCACCACCATGCCCTGTTAAGTTTTTACACTTTTAGTAGAGACGGGTTTCACTGTGTTGGCCAGGCTGGTCTCGAACTCCTGACCTCGTGATCTGCCCTCCTTGGCCTGCCAAAGTGCTGGGATTATGATAGTACAATTTTAATATTTCAAATATTTCCTGATTTTAAAATGTTCATAAGAAGTATGGGAAAGACTTGAGAAAACAACATGCATTTTTTATTGCATAGGCCAACCAATTTTTAAAATGTTCAAAGTCCCACAGGGTGGCAAAAGAAATTCTGTTACCTATATCATTAATTCAAAATCACTATCATGGGAAGCATTTCAATTTGTGATTGCATTCATTAGCAAATAACAGGAAATATGACAGATATTTTTCATGTACCAAGAAGTCTGAAGATAGGCCATGACATCAGCTGGGCGCCTTCCATCTTTCTGTGCCTTTCCCTTTGTATATGGTTTTTGCCCTCATGTTGTCATTTTGTGGTCACAAGATGGCTGCTCCACCTCCAGCATTGTATTTGAATTCCAAGCAAGAAGAAAATCAAAAGGTCAGAAAGCAGTGAGCCAAGATCATGCCACTGCACTCCAGCCTGGGCGACAGAGCGAGACCCTGTCTCAAAAGAAAAGAAAAGAAAAAAGGGCAGAAGGCATGTGCCAGCTAAAACATGGAAAGAGATCTATCAGACATCTCCATTCAGTGAGGAAGAGACCCTGGCAATATGTTCACAAGGTCATATATTTTTGTCAAATTTGCACAATTAAGATCTTTTAGCTGCAATAATTAATATGACTTTTCTTTTCCATTCGAACTTCTCCACCCTCACAACATAAAGTGAGTGTTGCTGGAGTGGCAAGGGTTTTTGGGAGATGAAGCTAAGGGGAAATTCAGTGGGATCTGTTTAGGAGGTACACAGTCACTTTTGTTTATAGTTGAGTTAGTGCCAACCATGGAGGTATAGGAATCATTTTCAGGAAAACTCCTGCTGCCCATGGTGCTAACTCACCTGGCACCATGATGTGAGTGTACAGGCCTCAACATAAAGCTTACTGTCAAGCCACTACACTAGGACATTGATGACAAACTGTTAAATGAGTGTCTTCAATTCAAGGAGGAGTTGCATTAGTCACTCACAAGAAAATCTGAAATGCTCTCAAATCAGATACATGAGAGAATCTAGGTAAAAGTTTTCCAAAGTTTGACAATAATCCTAAAATTTTACATGACATTTCCAACTTATGATGCTGAAAGAAACTTTTCCAGATTACCAATTTAAAAAACAAACAAAACAAATTTCAAACAAACTTGCTAGAGGAAAGCCTGGATTATCTTTCTATTCTATGTAAAATGTTCTTTCAAAATGTGAAATCTTTATAAAGAGGCAAACAAAAAGCGTGCAGCAAAAAATAGTTTTAAAAATTTAGGAACATGTCAGGCAGTTTATAAAATTTATAATGTTTTTCTTTGTGATTTTTAATGGTATTTATCAGTTTTTAAAATCTAATTTATTGTGATTTCTTTCCTTATTTTAAATAGTCACTTTTGCCCTTAATTTTGTGTTCTTCTGGCTGGGCGTGGTGGCTCACACCTGTAATCCCAGTACTTTGTGGGAGAGGCAGGTGGATCACTTGAGGTCAGGAGTTCAAGACTAGCCTGGCCAATATGGTGAAACCCCATCTCTACTAAAATACAAAAATTAGCTGGGCGTGGTGGTGCGGGCCTATAATTCCAGCACTAGGGAGGCTGAGGCAGGAGAATCACTTGAACCCAGGAGGTGGAGGTTGCAATGAGTCGAGATCACGCCACTGCACTCTAGCCTGGGTGACACACTGAGACTCCATCTTAAAAAAAAAAAAAATTTATGTTCTTCTTTTCAACAAGTTCCCCCTAACTCCAAATTGGGTAACTTTCAAGTCCCATAAAATCAGGATCTGCCCTTATGGCTCAAGAACCCTACTAAGAAGCAATCTTAGCCAGGAGTGGTGGCTCATGCCTTTAATCCCAACACTTTGAGAGGCCAAGGTGGAAGTTTCACTTGAGGCCAAGAGTTCAAGACCAACCTGGGCAACATGGTGAGACCCACCACCCCCCCCTCTAAAAAAATGAAAATAAAGTTAGCCGGGCATGGTAGTGTGTGCCTACAGTCCCAGCTACTACAGGGACTGGGGCAGTAGGATTGGTTGCGCCCAGGAGTCTCTCTCAAGTCAGAATCAGAACTGGCCAGAGATACCCACCCCTTTCTCCTGAGCCACACCCTGAATTCATTTTCTTCCTCAATGAAGGCCATTTTCAGGCATCTCACATCAGCCAGGAGAGGGCCTTGGGAGGAAGCAAAGGGAAATTGAGTTTTAAATCATCTTACTTCTGCCACTGAAAACTAAAATCCCTGGTCCCACTGTCTTCCTAAGAACTCCTCTTTTTGTCATTGACCTATATTAGCAGTCTTTCTACCGAGGCATAAGAAAGGGTTTACCCAGCAAGGCCAATATACTTTCCTAAATGTGTCCTGTAAACTGTGATGAGCTTAAAAACTCTGATTCTTTGATGTAATAAATTGAGGAGATGCTACTATGCATCTCCTGGAAGATGCATAGTAGCATCTTCAAGGCTTTGAGAGGTCCAGATTTAATTCAGCATTTCCCAATCTAATTTGACCACAGAATCCCTTTTACCTCAGAATACATTTTGAAAATTTTTGCCCTAAATAGATGAACACACATTTATTATTTTGGAGAAAGAGTCTCACTCTGTTGCCTAGGCTAGAGTACAGTAGTGCAATCTTGGCTCACTGCAGCTTTGACCTCCCGGGCCCAGGTGATCCTCCTACCTCAGCCACTGGGGTAACTGAGACTACAGGTGCACACCACCATGTTGGCTAATTTTTTTGTACTTTTTGTCAGACGGGGTTTTGCCATGTTGCCCAAGCTGGTCTTGAACTCCTGGGCTCAAGTGATCCACAGGCCTTGGCCTCCTAAAGAGCTGGAATTACTGGTGTGAGCCACCGGGACTGACGATTATTATTTTCATAATACAAGTGGCAACCCTCCAAAGGGCATTTGGATTTAGAAGTTATTGGTAACAGAGCCAGGCGCGGTGGCTCACGCCTATAATCCCAGCACTTTGGGAGGCCGAGGCGGGCGGATCACGAGGTCAGGAGATCAAGACCATCGTGGCTAACACAGTGAAACCCCATCTCTACTAAAAATAAAAAAAAATTAGCCGGGCATGGTTGCACGTGCCTGTAGTCCCAGCTACTCGGGAGGCTGAGACAGGAGAATGGCTTGAACCTGGAAGGCGGAGGTTGCAGTGAGCTGAGATCATGCCACTGCACTCCAGCCTGGGTGACAGAGTGAGACTCCATCCAAAAAAATAAAAAATAAAAAAAATAAAGAAGAAGTATTGGTAACAAAAGAAATCAGTCTGAACCACTGGACTTTAAGGTGTCATGGCCAAAAGGTTAGAGATAGTTTAAGAGTTGTGGCCATCTGTACATGCTTCAAATTCCAACATCTTGATGACTGTTCTAGTCATTCATAAGAAGGGTCTTGAACCTGTTCACAAGAGAGGATTATTCTGGAAAATGTTGTTACTTGATCATGTTTCCATGCTATTATTCTCAGATTTGGAATTAGCTGCCTAATAGATCAATATACTTTAACATATGTACATTTTAGTTTTTAGTTACAGAATCTATTAAATGATTATGGTGTAAAACCTGCTAATTTTCCTTGGTTAACAATAAAGCTGGTGTAAATCACTGCAAGAAATCTTGTTGAAATTAGCTCTTTAAAAACTTCTGCTCAGGTACAGACTTATACAGTATTGGTAACCACACATTTGGTAAAAGAAAGCAATCTGTGAGCTCAACCATATGCTGACATAAATCAAATACATGAGGCCAACAGCCACACTTAGAAATATCAATACTGGGAGAGAATGAAAGTCTACTCTAGGAGGAGTGAAAATCACTCCTCCTAGGACTTCATAAACCTCACCAAAGCCGTTGTTTCTTAGATGACATAAATATGTCTCCATAGTGACTGTTAATTTTTTTTGTTTGTTTTCTGTTATCACTTAGTTTTTCGTTTTTTTTTTTTTTGAGATGGAGTCCCGTTCTGTAGCCCAGGCTGGAGTCCAGTGGCGCGATCTCGGCTCACTGCAAGCTCCGCCTCCCAGGTTCACGCCATTCTCCTGCCTCAGCCTCCCAAGTAGCTGGGACTACAAGCGCCCGCCACCACGCCCGGCTAATTTTTTATATTTTTTCTTTAGTAGAGACGGGGTTTCACCGTGTTAGCCAGGATGGCCTTGATCTCCTGACCTCGTGATCCGCCCGCCTCAGCCTCCCAAAGTGCTGGGATTATAGGCGTGAGCCACAGCGCCTGGCATTTTTTTTTTTTTTTTTTTTTTTTTTTTTTTTGAGACAGGGTTTCTCTCTTGTTGCCCAGGCTGGAATGCAGTGGCACAATCACGGCTCATTGCCAACCTCTGCCTCCTGAGTTCAAGCAATTCTCATGCCTCAGCCTCCCAAGTAGCTTGGGATTACAGGCACCCGCCACCTCATGCCCAGCTAATTTTTGTATTTATAGTGAAGACAGGGTTTCACCACGTTGGCCAGGCTGATCTCAAACTCCTGACCTCAGGTGATCACCTGCCTTGGCCTCCCAAAGTGCTGGGATTACAGGTGTGAGCCACTGCACCCGGTCATTTTTGTTTTAATAATGGGATTGCCCTTGTCTTAGCATGCCTAGTTCAAAAAAATTTTCCCTTTTAGGCTAAAAGCAAATGGCTTACACACCAGTACATGAAGGGCATAGTTGGGGCTCGCCATTGAAGAAATATATTTCTTTAAGCCTTATTCACATTAATCTGTGAACACAACACTTAGGAAGTGTAGAAAAATGAGCCTCAGCAATCAGGGTTTCTACATATAATTGTGCCATTTGTGGACTGTACAACCCAAATAACTATAAACAGTCTTCAATGGGGCCTGTAATTCCATCTTCCACACCTTCAGAAATAAATTGACTGAAGAAGAGAGGAATGTAAAGAAATCTTATGAAATCCTGTGATGTTTTTTCCCATACATGAGCAAGGTCGATCATTTATTATGTATCTTTAACTTCCCTACCATTTATTATGAAACAAAGTAAAGCTTTGGGGGTTGAGAAAAAGTTCAGTGAAATAAAATTTGAATAAAAATTAAAAGTAAAAGCCACTGTGGGCTGGGCGCGGTGGCTCACGCCTGTAATCCCAGCACTTTGGGAGGCCGAGGCGGGCGGATCACGAGGTCAGGAGATCGAGACCATCCTGGCTAACACGGTGAAACTCCATCTCTACTAAAAATACAAAAAATTAGCCGGGCGTGGTAGCGGGCGCCTGTAGTCCCAGCTACTCCGGAGGCTGAGGCAGGAGAATGGCGTGAACCTGGGAGGCGGAGCTTGCAGTGAGCCCAGATCGCGCCACTGCACTCCAGCCTGGGCGACAGAGCGAGACTCCGTCTCAGGGAAAAAAAAAAAAAAAAAAAAGTAAAAGCCATTGTAATTATTTTTCATTAAGAGAAAAATTCATTTGGTTATATTAGAAAAAAGAGGGAGGATTGAAACACAAGGTTCTTGGCAATCACTACACGAATCACTGCTCTGCTCATTCACTGCTCCTTTTCTAACACAGCCCTTTCCTCAATCAGTTCAAAATGCAGAATGTCTGTGGCTGGCAAGTTGAAGTCAGCAGCAAAATTTCTCTGATATGCATTTTCGTATACTTGCTGTCAGTAAAGATTCAACTAGTGAAATCCTTCAAGCCCTCAACCTTAAAGATGTGAAACACTCTTCACAACTGAAAACACCCTTTTCCTGACAAGATGTCAGACACTAAGAAGAATACAGTACTTGTATAAAACATAATCCGGCCGGGCGCGGTGGCTCACGCCTGTAATCCCAGCACTTTGGAAGGCGGAGGCGGGCGGATCACGAGGTCAGGAGATTGAGACCATCCTGGCTAACACGGTGAAACCCCGTCTCTACTAAAACTACAAAAAATTAGCCGGGCATGGTGGTGGGCGCCTGTAGTCCCAGCTACTCCGGAGGCTGAGGCAGGAGAATGGCGTGAACCTGGGAGGCGGAGCTTGCAGTCAGCCCAGATGGCGCCACTGCACTCCAGCTAGGTGACAGAGCAAGACTCTGTCTCAAAAAAAAAAAAAAAAAAAAACATAATCCACCATGGATAAGCTCTATATTTGAATATATATTATTTTCTACTGGGAAATAATGAAGTATGTCCTTGTCTTTTGTTCCTGAAATTAAGTATATTGTTACTAAATCATCAACACTGTTCATTTTGTAAAATATTGTCTTCTTACATCTCATTTTGGTGGAGCATGTGGATAAACACCTAAAATGATTACATTTATAAGATTTTCTGTTGAGATCCCAATGAGCTAAAAGGCATTGTAGGCCAGAAGCAGTGGCTCACGCCTGTAATCCCAACACTTTGGGAGGTCGAGGCTGGCAGATCACCTGAGGTCAGGAGTTCGAGGCCAGCCTGGCCAACATGGCAAAACCCCGTCTTGCAATGTTCGTGTGTGCCTGTAGTCCCAGCTACTTGGGAGGCTGGGACTCACCTGGGAGGTGGGAGACTCACTTGAACCTGGAAGGTGGAGGCTGCAGTGGGCTGAGATTGCACCAGTGCACTCCAGCCTGAGTAACAGAGTGAGACTCTGTATCAAAAAAAAAAAAAAAGAAAGAAAGAAAAAGGAAGGAAGGAAGGAGGAAAGGAAGGAAGGAAGGAAGGGAGGGACATTGTAGCTGGTTTTTTTTTTTTGAGATGGAGTCTCACTCTGCCTACCAGGCTGGAGTGCAGTGGTATGATCTTGGCTCACTGCAACCTCTACCTCCCGGGTTCAAGTGATTCTACTGCCTCAGCCTCCTGAGTAGCTTTGAATATAGGTGCCCACCACCATGCCCAGCACAGTTTTGTATTTTTAATAGAGATGGAGTTTCACCATGTTGGCCAGGCTGGTCTCAAACTCCTGACCTCAGGTGATCTGCCCGCCTCAGCCTCCCAAAGTGTTGGGATTACAGGCGTGAGCCACCACACCAGGACTTGTAGCCAGAAATGGTGAGACCTTTTCATTTTATTTAAGTGTAATGTGGATAATTGTCTCCTGGTAATTAGAAAACATCAAACTCATGGGGATTTTTTAAAAATGTTCTCAAAAAATTGACATGGTTACTTGGTTTGCCATATATCTATATGTTTTTTCTATGTCCGCTCTCGCAACCCCTTCCCAGCTACATGGACAGAGGTTACAGAGAAGTCAGTGCAGAAGAATGGTGAGCTTGGGCATCCCTTCAATGGGCTCTAAAAACTAAGCAGTTTGCAAGGGAAATACAAAAAAATGGTATGGTATCTGAAGGCAGCAGTCTGGAGGCCATTGTCAGCCTGGTTCTATGAGAGACTTCACAGTGAGTTTGCAAAGAAAGTTGAAGACAGATTGGGAGGACTATTCCATCAAACTTAAGCATTAGTTACAAAAGTAACTATGCCTATATGAATATAGCTCTAAAAACTTAGTAAGGTTATTTTATGTTTTGCTTTGCTTAAACTTACTTTCATAGTCTTTTTCAAAGTAATGAGCATATAGCTAGAAGCTACATTTCACGTAAGTCATAATTTGGGCCTTTAGTTGGACTAGAAAAACGAAATGTTTCTTTCCTCCTGGAAGCAGGAGAACCCTAAGTGTGGGGAAAGTACAAAGAAAAAAAATACTCAGTAGCAAACTTTGAAATCTAAACTTTTGTAAAGTAATAATATTATTGCAACAGTGTTATGTTTTGTGTTATGGTCTAATGGTGGTGAAAAAAATAAGGAAAATATATGATAAACTTCTAGGTTTTTAGAAAAGCGCTCATACATTAAATTTTCTTATACTTGACAGATAATCTCTGAATATGAAAAGATTTCTTATTTAAAAATGAGAGAGAAAAAAGCATTTGAGGAAAAGGAAACTGGTTAAATAATATTTTCTTTTATATAGCTTTTTACAAAAAAACCCGAAAATACCCCCCAAAAGATAACAGTACAGAACTATAGGCACAAATATAAAACATTCAATAGTATTCAATGTGATGTTTTCAAAGTGTTATCAAGGGACTACCTGCATCAGAATCACTTGGAGCATCAGGTCAGGCACAGTGGCTCACGCCTGCAATCCCAGCACTATGAGAGGCGGAGGTGGGCAGATCACTTGAGGTCAGGAGTTCGAGACCAGCCTGGCCAACATGGTGAAACCCTGTATCTACTAAAAGTACAAAAATTAGCTGGGCGTGGTGGTGCACGTTTGTAATCTCAGCTATTCAGGAGGCCGAGGCAAGAGAATGGCTTGAACCCGGGAGGCAGAAGTTGTAGGGAGCCAAGATCATACCACTGCACTCCAGCTGGGGTGACAGAGTGAGACTCTGTCTCAAAAACAAAACCAAACAAACAAAAAACAATAAAGAATCACTTGGAGGACTTGCTAAAATGCAGATGCTTGGGCTCTACTCCAAACTTCTAAAATTAAAATGTGGGGTAACTAGGGGTTCCAGAATCTGCATTTTTGGCTAGTACCCTTATATGATTCTTATAAGAACACTAAATTATGAAACAACTGCACCAGACAAAGTTTCCTGTGGATAGACATGATGTGTCCATTTTTGTATCCTCAGTACCTACCCTGGTTTCTGGCCTAGAGTAGATGGTCAATAAATGTTTACATGAACAACTTGCATAGGGGAGATGGTCTTTCTCCTCTTAATCATAGTTTAAATCCAAGCATTTACTAAGGAAAGTATCATCTACGTTCTATAGTTACCAGAGGTAAGCAAGAACAGAGAAAAAAAATGATAACGGTAAAGAAACATGGGCTGGCCAGCTGGAAATACATTATAAATGTATTTGACATGCATATTTAATGTGTGATATAAATGTGTAAGCGCATTTAATATTCTATAAATGTGTCAGCGCAATTAATTATAGCATGAAGCTTTTCTGCTCAGAGGCATCATTTAAGAAACAGCAGTGGTTCAACATGGCCACTATATCTCAATTGGAAAAATAATGTAAAATATTTGCGTCTTATGGATGAGTAGAATAATTTTCAATAGAAATATTAGCCCATTCAAAACTGCAAGGAAAAAAATCCAGGAATGAATGTGACAAAGTAGAGGATTGGAGTGGATTTGGATAGATGTATAAAAGAGCCATTAAAACTATTCAATTAGCAGGTTGTAAGAGCAGCTGGGACTAGATAGAGTTGGTGGTTGGGTTGGCAGTGATGAGAGTGGGAAGTTAGACAAGCATCCAAAGATGTGTTAGAAAAGAGGCCTGATTGACTAAAGGATGGAGATGAGGAATAATTATAAACGGCCTTTAAACTCTGCATGGTGAGGAAATTCTGACTCTGATAAATTTATCCTCCAATCTAGAAAAGCAAATGTTTGCTTGTTTTAGTTCTTTACTGATGATTATTTAAGACCTTTCCTATCTATTTACCTGTTGATCAATTTTAAAGTAAGTTTTATTTCCCATATAAGTACTTTATTTAATAGATTCAAATGAACAAAGCATGACTTTGACATCACCAGAATCACATTTTTGGTAATATATAACATGAATTATTAAAAGTAAAACTCAAGTCCTGTCCATCCAATAAGTTTCTAATGAAAGAACCATGTACCCAAAATTTGTTTTTCAAAAAAGGGAAAGGATTGTTTTCCAAAGAGCCATCTGTAACTAAGTTGTTTGCAGCTTGGAAGTAATTTATTTTAAAAGTAGTGTTATATTAGGAATGTGCATGTGTATCTGCCAGATCAGTTTTCTAGGCTAGCCCATAAAATCATGCCAAGGTCATTCTGAACTCAAAACTCCCCAAGAGCATCAGGTGCAGTGGCTCATGCCTATAATCCCAGCACTTTGCAAGGCCAAGGTGAAAGGATTGCTTGAGCCCAGGAATTACAGACCAGCCTGGGAAACATATGGAGACCCTATCTCTACAAATAATTTAAAAATTAGCTGGCTATGGTGGCATGCACCTGTAATCCCAGCACTTTTGGGGAAGCTGAGGCAAGAGGATCACCTAAGCCTGGGAGATGGAGGCTGCAGTGAGCCGTGATCACATCACCACACTCTGTCCTGGGTGACAGAGTGAGACCTGGTTAAAAAAAAAAAAAAATCAGAAACAAACCACAAAGTGCAGAGTCTGTCTGAGCCTCTGAGCCTTGAGTCCTAAAGCCCAGAATCAGTCTGAAGTTCGAGGGCTCCCTCAGCCAGTGGATCTTCCTATAAGTGTGTGTTTGGGATGGGGCACAGTCAAAGTAGTAAATCCAGTGGTCCCTTTTGCTGGGGAAAAACTTTTCAATTATGGAGGAGGGTCATATTACAAATTCGAAATAGAATCTGAAAATTTCAGAGCCTAATTTACTGAAAGGTTTCTGCAAAGTAGAAATCAAGGAATATAATGTTTGATGTTTTCATGTCTTTGTCATACGGAATACTGGTAAGCAAATAAACTCAGATTTTGTTGATATTTTCAACAGAGCAAGTGTAAGGTAAAAAAAGAAGCTTTCCCACAATAGATCATTAGTAACTGCTGAGCAGAGGGCACACCTTTGACATGGCTTACAATAATGGCCAATGACTCAAGAATTCCCTTTTCTGGAAAACAGGGAACCTCTAGCATAAATGTGAGAGACTGGATGGTGAGGCCAAGCAAGAGTTTTTTCCCCTGATTAAATCATAACCAATACTATTAGAAAATAAAGCCCTGTTTACACATAAACATAAGCAAATTGTGTCTTTGGAAAACACGGTAGAAATAGAAATTGTGGCGTTTCCACTTTCCCCTCCCATCAAGATACTATTTGTCAGCATTCCACAGTTATATTACATTATTTAAAGTGTGCTTTGCTTCATCCTTCAAGTGCTTGTTTTTTCTACCCCCCCATCCTGTGTTGTTAAATTTCAGTTGCGTGATATCATTACTTAAAGGAGTTTAAAATTTTGGTCTGTGCAACAACAATGGTTTGGAATTATCTTTATCATATGACTATCTGGAAGCCATGGTTCCTTTCTTTGAACTGTTAGAATGACTTGCGCAGCCCACATTTTACAGTCTTGCCGCAATGTATTGGGATCCATTAAGGTAGGCCTAAGCTTAGGAATTTAAAATTCAGGCAAGCTAAATAAAATTGGATCAAAGTCAAAATTATTTGGAACCTGGGGATGGTGGTGCATGCCTGTAATACCATTTGCTCATGAGAAGGATGTGGGAGGATCAAGCCCAGGAGTTCAAGGCTATAGTGTGCCATGATAGTACTTGTGAATAGCACTACACTGGGCAATATAGTGAGACCCCATCTGTATTTTTACAAATTATTTGGGAGATTCATATCAGGTCCTTTTAAGTCTTAATTAGCAACAGAAATATATTAGAATCAATCAGATTTTAGTTTGTATTATTTTTATTAATCTAAATCATTTAAAAATTGCTCCTGACAAGTCAAATTAGGCACTTGGCTCAGATCCCTTCTTTTTTTTTTTTTTTTTTGAGACAGAGTCTCTCTCTGTAGCCCAGGCTGGAGTGCAGTGGCGCAATCTCAGCTCACTGCAACCTCCACCTCCCGGGTTCAAACCATTCTCCTGCCTCAGCCTCCTGAGTAGCTGGGAATTCAGGTGCATGCTAACATGCCCAGCTAAGTTTTTTGTATTTTTAGTAGAGAGGGGGTTTTACCATGTTAGCCAGGATGGTCTCAAACTCCTGACCTCAGGTGATCCACCCACCTCAGCCTCCCAAAGTGCTGGGATTACAGATGTGAGCCACCGCACCCGGCCTCAAATCCCATTTTTATATTATCTGTCTTCCTTACCCTAAGTTCATCACAAAAGTTTTTACATTCATAGAGTATGTTTGAGATTAATTTTAAATTCATTTTATCAATGCTTGTTAATTACTATTGAAATGCCATCTCATTATTTACAGATTTACACTTAATATTTTGTCATCAATCGTTATGAAGCATCTTTGAAATTACTAGAGAGCTGCCATTTATTAAGAGCCATACTATCAACATGAACCCTGCCTGACCTCACTTCAGAGCATTTTTGAGGACAGCTGTGTCATGTATCCAGCCACTCAACTAGGAAATCCCATTCATGACACATTTGATAGGTGATCATCCAGCCTCAATTGGCAAGAAGCTCACTACTATTTAGGTTTTCATTTACTGGCTCTATAGACTGCTCTAACCATTGAGAATTTTCCTCATATTGTGCTGAAAGCTGCTTCTAAGGAACTGTTCCACCTGGTTCCCATCTAATGCTCTGGTACAACTCTGAAGAAATCTCAGGGATTCTTTCACTTAAAGTTTTCTGTTCCTTAAAGGGAGCTGTTCCATCACCCTGAAGTCATATCTCTTCACGCACGGTCTCTGCAGGTCTTTACTACAGCTCGATGTGACCAACTGGAGAGGGCAGTGAGAACCTCAGCTCTGTGGGTCTAGACACCACTATGACTATGAACTTAGCCTAAGACCATTTATCAGCTATCATCTATCTATCTATCTATCTATCTATCTATCTATCTATCTATCTATCATCAATCATATCTATTATCTATCTATCTATCTAGGCAATTTGCCTTGCACAGGGAAGAGGGGCTCATGTAGAAACGAGTTGGGGACTGTTACTGGATTTTGTTAATGTTTATTGAGTTCTTACTATGCCTAAAACACACAGTTGACAGATGAAATACAGGATGCCAAGTTAAATTTGAATTTCAGACAAATAACAAATAATTTTTGGGTATAAGAATTTCCCGGCTCAGGCCGGGCGCGGTGGCTCACGCCTGTAATCCCAGCACTTTGGGAGGCCGAGGAGGGCGGATCACCTGAGGTCAGGAGTTCGAGATCAGCCTCAACATGGAGAAACCCCATCTCTATTAAAAATACAAAATTAGCCGGACGTGGTGGTGCATGCCTGTAATCCCAGCTACTCGGGAGGCTGAGGCAGGAGAATTGCTTGAACCTGGGAGGTGGAGGTTGCGGTGAGCCGGGATCGCGCCATTGCACTCCAGCGTGAGCAACGAGAGTGAAATTCCAACTCAAAAAAAAAAAAGAATTTCCCTGCCAGGCGCAGCAGTGGCTTATGCCTGTAATCCCAGCACTTTGGGAGGCTGAGGCGGGCAGAACACGAGGTCAGGAGTTCAAGACCAGCCTGGCCAATACAGCGAAACCCTGTGTCTACTAAAAATACAAAAATTAGCTGGGCATGGTGGTGTGCGCCGGTAGTCCCAGCTACTTGGGAGGCTGAGGCAGGATAATGGCTTGAATCGGGGAGGCAGAAGTTGCAGTGAGCCGAGATTGCACCACTGCACTCCAGCCTGAGTGACAGAGGAAGACTCCATCTCAAACAAAACAAAACAAAACAAAAAAACAGAACTTTATATTTATCTACTTAACAATATTTTAAGTTATTTCAAATCTTAATTCTGGCACATATAAATATCATTCTCATAGTTTTATTGGACAAAATATTGATCTAATTTCCAAAGTCCTTTTTGAAAATTTCCATTTCTGTAGAAGAATGGTTTTTAGCATCTTTTAGGGTCCATATGTTTTTGGAAATTTGATGTAAACAATGGATTCTCTCTCAGTGGTGGGGGAACATACACTATATTAATATATTGTTAAGTATTGTTAATTCTTCCAATTAATTTCTTTAAAATTAAAAAAATAAAGCTAGTTGTTTTTTCTACTGCAAATGTAATTTTAGGAGAAATAAGGATCCCCATGCCCTCTTGGTGAGAGCATAATTTTTAAAAAATGTTTAATTGTGGTTTAAAAAATACCTCACAATATAAAATTTACCATCTTGGCCATTTTTATGGTATACAAAATGTATAGTTCAGTAGTGTTAAGTATATTCATATTTTGTGTAAATAGTCTTCAGAATTCATCTCGTAAAACTAAAACTCTATACTCATTAAACAACAGCTCTCCATACCCTTTATCCCCAGCCCCTAGCAACCACCATCTACTTTTTGTCTGTATGAATTTGACTACTCTAGGCACTCTATGTAAGTGGAATAACATTGTATTTGTCTTTTTGTGACTGGCTTATGTAATGTATCATGTCCTTCAGATTCATCCGCATTGTAGAATATGTCAAAATTTCCTTCCTTTTTAAGGCTGGATAATATTCCATTACATGTATAAACCACATTTTGTTTATCCATTCATTCATTGATGGGCACTTGGGTGGCTAACACATTTTGGCTACTGTAAATAATGCTGCTAGGAGCATGAGCATTGAGAATGTTAATTTATACAGAATATATCAGAGGAAATTTGACAGTGTTATTAAAGTTACTACAGGTTGGTAATCAATGAGACATATAAGAATTATAAAAGAAAAGATGGGCCGTGTGCAGTGGCTCATGACTGTAATCTCAGCACTTTGGGAGGCTGTAGCTGGTGGATCACCTGAGGTCAGGATTTCAAGACCAGCCTGGCCAACATGGCGAAACCCTATCTCTACTAAAAAAATACAAAAATTTGCCGGGCGTGGTGGCGCACACCTGTAGTCCCAACTACTTGGGAGGCTGAGGCAGGAGAATCGCTTGAACCGGTGGGGGGCAGAGCTTGCAGTGAGCTGAAATCACGCCACTGTACTCCAGCCTGGGTAACAGAGAGAGACTCTGTCTCAGAAAAAAAAAAGAAAAGATGATAAAATTATGGATAAGTGAAATGTTAAACATTTAAGTAAGCATTTTGTATAGAAAACAAATTTAAAACTTGTGATTAGATCAGAATTTAAAGGGATTTAGAGATCGATTAGAATATTTCTCCATTACACATGCAGAAATTGACATGAACTCAAGATTTTCAAGAGAAATGCCTTTTCCAGCTCTGCCATTAAATTGGCACCTAGCAGTGCTATCGTCCTGGCTACACTGATACTAAAATGGAACGATCTAAGTTGGAACCCCAGTGCGTGCCCAGATTTGGTCTTAAATTCTAGTAACCACTAAAAGTAGCTAATGCCATGTCCTATGATAGGGAGAAAAATAAAGGTAGACTTAGAATATCTTAATGTTTTCAGGAAGCAAAGATGTTTTTAAAATGTCAGAGTAATGTTGAAAGGACAAAAGAGCCAGCTTAAAGGCAGGCCTGGTCAACTTGTGTCATTTTGTGTCATTTGAGCATCCAAAAAAAAAAAAAAGGTAGTTATGGCTAATTGAAATGATATACATATCTGAAAATCTGTGAGTCTGTAAGCCACTCCAAAAAGGAAAAATCTACGTATTTTATATAAAAAGGAAATTATGGGCTGGGCATGGTGGTTCACGCCTGTAATCCCAACACTTTGGGAGGCTGAAGTGGGTAGATCAGTTACGGTCAGGAGTTTGAGACCAGCCTGGCTAACATGGTGAAACCCCATTTCTACTAAAATACAAAAATTAGCTGGGCGTGGTGGCCGGTGCCTGTAATCCCAGCTACTCGGGAGGCTGAGGCAGGAGAATCACTTGAACCCGGGATTCGGAGGTTGCGGTCAGAGCGTGCCACTGCACCCCAGCCTGGGTGATAGAGTGAGACTCCGTCTCAAAAAAAAAAGAAAAAAAAAGATTTTAAGTAAATAAAAAACAAAAGGAAATTATGATGTTAAATAAGGGTGAGTGCAATGGAATATGCTATATTCTTTAAATGTATTTTTAATAGGCAGGTGTGGTGGCTCATGCCTGTAATACCAGCACTTTGGGAGGCTGAGGTGAGAGGATTGCTTGAGCCCGGGAGTTAGAGGTCACAGTGGGCCATGATCATATGACTGCACACCAGCCTGGGAGACAGAGTAAGACCCTGTCTCTAAAAATAGGAGAATGTTGTCATTCATAGGTGTTCCATCTATCGTCTATTAAATATATGACAGTTAAATTATAGAAATGATAAGGTACACACTTATTGATTCTAAGACAGCTTTTTTTTTTTTTTCCCCCAACAGGGTCTTGCTCTGTTACCAGGGCTGGAGTGCAGTGGCACAATCTGAGCTTACTGCAGCCTTGACTACCCAGGCTCAAGCGATCCTCTCACTTCAACCTTCTGAATAGCTGGGACTACAGGTGCATGCCACTACACCCATCTAATTTTTGTATTTTTTTGTACAAATGAGGTTTTGCCATGTTGCCCAGGCTGGTCTCCAACTCCTGGGCTCAAGCGATCCTCCCACCTTGGCCTCCCAAAGTGTTGGGATTACAGGTGTGAGCCACAGCACCAGGCCAAGACAGCTGCTTTTCATATTTTAACACCTCTGAAATTCAGGTGGTTCTACAGTAGATGGCCTTTTTATTGCTGTTGGGTGGAGAGCGGCATGTTCACACTTGGTAACAGCTGTCCATTCTCTTCACTTAAGCTGAGTAATCTGCTTTGTTGTTTGTTATTTTACAGACTGAGTTAAACCACTATTTGAAATGTCTAAAAATAAAGGTTTCCTCTGTAAGTTTGGGATTGAAATGAAATATTATATACACAGAAAGGCAATAAAACAGAGCAGTGGAATGTACATTTGCTATTAGTGAAGCAAATCTTCATCTTTAGAGGAATGTCAACATATCTCCCATATTTTTTTCCAATGCAACAACTAAGTGCTTTATGGGACCTGAGAAAGAAAGCTACTGCAGTAAATGAAACTATGTTATATTTTGTTACTGAGATACATGCAAAAAGATTCTTATTACATGTCAAGAAATACAACTGAAGATGGGAAAAATGGCCAAATCCCTCACAGAAAGAAATTTCAGAGCAATGAGAGGCTATTTTAACTGATTCCTCAACTATGTAAGATTATCAGTAAGACATTGTGTCATAGTTTAATTAGTTTTTGTTCTTTCCTAGAGGCACATAAAATAATGAAGCAGCTGACAATCAATAGCATCTTACATTTAATAAAATATGGCATGCGTTTGTCTCTATTTGATTAAGAAAGAAAAGAGAAAGTTGTGAAATGGTGAGATAGCCAAATTATAATGAAAAACAGTAAGAACCCTACCAACTTTAGGATGGATGAGAGAGGAGAGGTAGAAAGGTGATGGATTAGCCAAATGTTCTAAAGAGGGAGGCTGGGCAATACAATCTCTACCCCTTGTCTGCATGGAGATGAAACCTTTAAGGGGCCTATCACTTCTAGGGCCTAGTAAGGCATATACGGGTTCCAACAGTGCTAGAAGACCAGGTCAATATTTAATGGGGACATGATACTGGTTTATGTAATGCTGACCAAGCAAATAAAAAGAATGCATTATTTTAGGAAAAGAGACCAGCTTGCTAGAAACTAAAATCTATGTAAAAGTGTGGACTGGACATGAAAAGTCCCCTTGACGTGAGGAAAACCTAACTATAAAAAGGGACCTATCTCACCAAAGAAGATCTACAGATGGCAAATAAGCATATGAAAAGATGTTCAACATCATATGTCATTAGGGAATTGCAAACTGAAACAACAATGAGATACCACTACACACCTATGAGAATGGGCAAAATTCAAAACACTGACAACACCAAGTGCTGACAAGGATGTGGAGCAACAGGAATGTTCATTCATTGCTGGTGGGAAGGCAAAATGGTACAACTACTTTGAAACAGTTTGGCAGTTTCTTATAAAATTAAACATACTCTTACCATACAGTCTAGCAATCATGCTCCTTGGTATTTACCCAAATGAATTGAAATCTATGTCTACAAAAAACCTGCACATGGATGTTTATAGAAACTTTATTCATAATTGCCCAAATTTGGAAGCAACCAAGATGTCCTTCAGTAGATGAATGGATAAATAGTGGGACATCCTACAAGGGAATATTCTTCAGAACTAAAAATAAATGAGTTATCAAGCCATGAAAAGACATGGATGAAACTAAAATACATATTACTAAGTGAAAGAAGGCAAATTGAAAAGGCTACACACTGTATGATTCCAACTACGTGACATTCTGGAAAAGTCAAAACGAGGGAGACATTTAAAAGATCAGTAAGTGCATTAGCAGGAAGGAGGGATGATTAAGCAGATCACAGAGAATTTTTAGGGCAGTATAACAGTGGATATATGTCACCATAAATTTGTTCAAACCCATAGAATGTACAACACCAAGAGGGAACCCTAATACAAACAATGGACTTTGGGTGATCATGATACATCAATGTTGGCTCATCTGTTGTAACAGATGTACCACTGTGGTGTGGGATGTTGACAGTAGGGGAGGTTGGGCATGTTTGGAGATGGGGGGATATAGGAACTCTTTATACTTTCTGTTTGATTTTGCTGTGATCCTAAAAGGGCTCTAAAAATAAAATCTATTTTTAAAAGGGAGGGGAGTCTAGACTAGTCAATGATACAGGATTGAATCACTTTCTTTTTGTCACCCAGGCTGGAGTACAGTGGCATGATCTCGGCTCACTGCAACCTCCACCTCCCACGTCCAAGTGATTCTCTTCTCAGACCTCAGCCTCCCAAGTAGCTGGGATTACAGCTGTCTGCCACCACGGCCAACTAATTTTTTGTATTTTTAGTAGAGATGGAGTTTCACCATGTTGGTCAGGCTGGTCTCGAACTCCTGACCTCAAGTGATCTGCCTGCCTCAGCCTCCCAAAGTGCTGGGATTACAGGTGTGAGCCACTGCGCCCAGCCAGGTTTGAATCACTTTCAAAGATACAAGCCTATTTCAACTAAATTAACAACCCAGGCTCTCTAACCTAAATTAGTCTGATTTAGTCTTCTTTTTTCTTTTTCTTTTTTTACTTTTGGCTTTAGTAAAATTAATGTAATCCTGGGAAAGTATAGAAATTAGTATTACTGCAACCTTAGGAAGGTATAAGAATAGACTTTTTATAAAATAAATTGAATTCATGGTGTTGCTATTTTTAAATTGTAAGTATAAGTTTTATTCTCACTGTTGTTTAAGGCATTTGAAGAATTCTAAATAATCCTTCAAATTAAATTTGTAATTAAATTTTAAATCATTGAAGGATTTTAATTAATTATGTTTAGAAACAATGTTTAAATGCTCAAGGAAACTGATTTTCTGAGTTTTATTTATTAGCTATATAAACTTAGAGCATTAATTACATTATAAGAGTGGAGAGTTCTCCTCTCCGTGCTTAAAAACCCCTGAGACTTCAAGAATCCTCAAAATAGTACAGATCAAAAGCCCTAAAAATGCATGTACTCCCAGAACAACATAATCAACTTTAAGAAATTTATTTTAAGGCTATAATTAAAATGAGCAAAGGTGTAGCTCTAAGGATATTAATCCTAGTGCTGCTAAATGTAACAAAAGTAGAAGCAACTTAAACATTCAAAAATGAGGCATTTGATATTGACAACCATCCCAAAGTTTACAACTCATTCTCTTGGGGAAGCTGTGAAAAATTAGTTACTGTTCCCTGCAGGTGGGACTGCAAAATGATGCAAGCCCAGTGCAGAGCATTTTAGCAGTGTCTATCAAAATAATAAATGCACTTTGACTCAACAATTCCACTTCTAGGAATTTATCTTAGCAATACATCTGTACTTGTAGGAAATGACATGTATGAGTTTATTCTTTGCCCCTCTGTTTGCAACAGAAGAAAAATTAGAGACAACCTTGTATAGAAGACACTGGTTAAGTAAACCATGGTTCAGCTACACAATTGTATATTTTCTGGCTATAGGAGAGAATGGGGAAGCTCTTTATGTACTGATAATGGAGAAGCTTCAGAAATATGTTGCTTTTTAGAAAAAGTAAGGTGCAGCACAGCGTAAATAGTGTGTTCCCTTTGTGTAAGAAAGTAGGGGAAATAAGAGCATGTATTTGCATTTGCTTTTATTTGCATAAGGAAACATTGGAAGAATACACAAGAAACTAATAAAAGGGGTTACTTATATGGAACAGGGGTGGGATGGAAGTATTTATCTTTTTATATTGTTTTGATTTTGAACCATATGAATGTTTTTCTTATTCAAAAAATTAAGTTTAAGTTAGGACTGCTAAATAAATTATTAGGTATCTATGTGATAGAATGCTAGATAGCGATGAAAATTTATATTGTAAGTGTTTAAATATACACAGAAATGTTCAAATATATATTGGGTAAGAAAAGCAGGTTATAAGAAAGTAATATATACTCCTATAACCTAAGAAATTATATTTATTTCTTTAGTATAGTTTACAAAATCTGACGCAGTAATGTGTCCTTTTGTAAGTCTATTTGTTGAAGTCCTAATTCCCATATCTCATAATGTGACTGTATTTGAAGATATGATCTTTAAGGAGGTAATTATAATGAGTTACAGTGAGGTCATTAGGTGAGCCCTAATCCAATATGCCTGGAGTCCTTATAAGAAGAGGAAATTTGGACACAGAATATGTACGAAGTGAAGACCATATGAAGACAGAGAGAAAACGGTCATCTACAAGCCAAGAAGAGAGATCTTGAAAGAAACTAACCTTGCCTACACCTTGGTCTTGGACTTCTAGCCTCCAGAATTGAAAGAAAATAAATTTTTGTCATTTCAGCTACCCAATCCATGAAACTTTGTTACCGCAGCCCTAGCAAACTAATGACAATACTGATACACATTCTCAAAATTTCCAGGAGCTTGTAGGCACAGGCAGTGTATGGGAATGCCTGTTTTGTACCTCCTATTAGCTAATCAGGTAAATCAAAATACAGTGTCATGTCTTCATTTATGTTTATTTACATTTTCCTTATGTTAAAAAGTTGTATTACTGTTCTGAATTTGAATGTCATTATAGTACCATGATCAGCCAAGCAACTGATTATTTTTAGATGAATAGAGCTGAACTGGAATGTGGCAACCAAGGTGTGTATTATAGCGGCCCCTCTGAAAGAGAAATAAGGTTATAATGCCACTCACACCTTCACGTTCTTTTTTTATTATTTTTTTTTTTTATAGGAGACAAGGGTTTCACTATGTTGCCTAGGCTAGAATGCGGCTATAGGAGAGAATGAACTCCTGGGCTCAAGCAATCCTCCTGAGTAGCTGGGACTACAGGCACATACCACCACACCCAGCCATGGTCAGTATCTTCCCTTTAAGTGTAATAGCCCTGGCTGGGGCTGCTCCCCACCAAGACCACATCTAGGCAAGTATTTGCGAAAGAAAAGAATTTCGATTTCAGACGTAATCAGAAAAATCTCTGACTAGTATATCCAATTAATACATCCAATGGGCTAAGCACCACAGTAAACAAAAACAATGCCCTGTGCAAAAACAAAGTCAAACAAAACAAACACACAAACAAACACCCAGTCTTAATGTTCACGGACACTTCGGACTCTGACTTTTTTGCATTGTATTGCAACATCCTTATATCTGAACCACCTAGAGACTAAACTAAACTAGGACAATTTACAAGGGAGAATTTGCCGGCTAATTAAATTAGGGCAAGGTTAATTCATTGAGAGAATGCCGTGAAATGTTGAGAAGAAATCTAGGAACTGATAACAGGATCTAGGCTTCTCTGACTGTTACCAGGAGGGAGAAGGGAAGCTGCATTTGAAGCTGAATATATCCAGGAGGCTGAGAGAGTAACTTCAGCCAGCAGGTATATACAGCCGGATGTGCCAGGGACAGCAGTCATAAGCAGCCAGCCCAGAAGGCACTTCTTCAGATATGTCCACATTATCTCCTATGATCTTTGCGGTGACATCCTTTGGGCACATGAAAACCTTACTTTTGGTTGATTTCTCTGCTTCCTGCCCCATGTTACATTCTTAGATACTAAAAAGCACTCTGAAGACAGATGCTCAACAATTCAGAGACCTCGAATCCTACAAGAATGTTAGTGCCTGTAACACAGTTTACATTGCTGTAGAGCCTTTCATGCGACAAAAATTTAAACAAGCATTGTTTTATTACTTACTTTTACTGGCTCCCTTTCTATAACCGGTTTGGGTTGTAGGAAGCCTTTTGGTTTTCACCACGAATTATATCAAACCGTTTGTCACGGTAAGTTCACTTCCTCTTTCTTTTCTTGTGTAGTTGAACTCACCTAAGATGCATGGCTTACCCTATACTTATTTAATACACCAGAAATATAATATACAAAGATACTTCATTGAGGTGCATACAAAAGTGTAATTGTTCAATGCTATTTTGCACAGACTACACTCAGTCATAAATGTATCTAGTGATATCTGAGTTAAATGGATGCTTTTTTTTTTTGAGATTAGAGTCTTGCGCTGTCGCCCAGGCTGGAGTGCAATGGCGCGATGTTGGTTCACTGCAGCATCCGCCTCCCGGGTTCAAGTGGTTCTCCTGCCTCAGCCCCCTGAATAGCTGGGATTACAGGCGCACCCCACCACGCCAGGCTAATTTTTGTATTTTTAGTAGAGATGGAGTTTCACCATGTTGGTCAGACTGGTCTCGAACTCCTGACCTCGTGATCCACCCGCCTCGGCCTCCCAAAGTGCTGGGATTACAGGCGTGAGCCACTGTGCCCGGCCTCTTTTTTTTTTTTTCAAGACAGAGTCTCACTCTGTCACCCAGGCTGGAGTGCAGTGGTGCAATCTCGGCTCACTGCAACCGCTGCCTCCTGGGTTCAAGCGATTCTCCTGCCTCAGTCACCCGAGTAGCTGGAATTACAGGCATGCACCACTACGCCCAGCTAATTTTTTGTACTTTGGTAGAGACAGGGTTTCACCATTTTGGCCAGGCTGGTCTCGAACTCCTGACTTCAGGTGATCCACCTACCTCCCAAAGTGCTGGGATTACAGGCGTGAGCCACCATGCCTGGCCTCCTCTCGTTTTAAAGCTTGTCTAACAAGCCTTTCCGGACCTCCAGAAATCAATTAACATCTGCATAAGCTCAGCCTGGCCACTCCAGCAGCTGTTTTATCATAGAGAAACATTCCTGGCTCCCCTGCCCCCACCCTCACCCCTTGCCGCCCCCTCCTTCACCTCCCCCACCGCCCCCAAGCTTCACTCCCTGTTATGCTGCCTTTTTGCAACTTTAACCTGACACCCCCAATTTTCCCAACATCTGTTCAGTTGATGTTATCTTTATATCTGGTAATAGGTCCTTGATGTTTGATTTCATTATACCTTTGCCTGGGTAAATAAACATGTTCCCCCTAAGGAAATAAGGGACATCATTTTAGACGTCCTTTATCAATGTCAGTGGAGTCTAAGGGAAAAGGATTTGGAACCAGGAGATAGAAGACTTCAGTTCCAGCACCGGCTCCTTTTAAAACTGGTTGTGTGACTTCGGAAAAGAAATTTAAGTCCTTTCTACCTCTAGCATGTAATTTCTTAACTGTAAAAAAAATTATAAACCCACTCTGTCCTCATAATTTTTATCATCAAAGGACATTTATTAAATGCCTACTTAGTGATGAGAGCTTGCATTTGGGGTAAGGCAGGCAGTCAGAGCCCCTGTTAATCAGGGGTCTTTAGCAAGATATTTGAGCTTCCTATGATTGTACACAGCATTTTAGTTTTAGTGCTCTGTGCACATGAAGAAATAAGAGGAAAACAGCAAAAAGCGTTTTGTTTTTTTTTAAAAAAAACAAGCAAAATGTATTTAACATGAAAAAACTTGTTTTATCCTAATTTCATATCTGATCTACATCTTTGCTATGAAAAAAGTCATCTCCTTTATGAAATTATGGCCAGAGTAGACATTACTTTGTAAAATTGTCCTTCTTACCAAAGTGAAAAGTTATAAAGCCTTTTCTAAAAAAATTTTTTTTTAGAAAAAATATTTTTATCTCCAAAAGGTTTTGCTAATGGGTGAATTCCAAGTCTGGCTCCGCTAGACTACAGGGCTCTATATCAGGCCATATCTTTCTTTTTCTTTTCTTTTCTTTTCTTTTTTTTTTTGAGACAGGGTCTTTTGCCCAGGCTGGAGTACAGTGGCATGACAATCATGGCTCACTGCAGCCTCGACCTCCTGGGCTCGGGTGATCCTCCCAACCTCAGCCTGCCAGGTAGCTGGGACTACAGGCATGCACCACCGTGCCCAGCTAATTTATGTATTTTTTGTAGAGACAGTGTTTCACAGTATTGCCCAGGTGGATCTTGAATTCCTGGGCTCAAGCAGTCCTCTCACCTCGACCTCCCAAAGTGCCAGGATTACAGCTATGAGCCACCATGCCAGGCCTATATCTTTTTTTTAAAAAAAAAAATTTATTTTAGTTTGGGCCCGGTGGCTCATTCCTATAATCCCAACACTTTGGGAGGCTGAGGCGGGAGGGCAACATAGTAAGAATTACTTTCTACAAAAACATGTAAAAAAACATTAGCTGGGCATGATGGCATGCACCTGTAGTCCCAGTTAGTTGGGAGGCTGAGGTGGGAGGATCACTTGACCCCTGGAGTTTGAGGCTTATATTTTTTTAGAGATAAGGTCTAGTTCTGTCACCCATGCTAGAATGCTATGGCATGATCATGGCTCACTGTAGCCTCAAACTCCTGGGCTCAAATGATCCTCCCACCTCAGCCTCCCAAGTAGCTGGGACTACAGGCACATGCCACCATGCCCAGCAATTTAAAAAAAATTTTTTTTTTAGAGAAGAGGTCTTGTTATGTTGACCAGGCTGGTCTCAAACTCCAGCCATATCTTTCTTGAGGAGTGTGGAGCTCACCTCTAGCAGCCATCATCTTCTTTCAGACTCTGGTGAATAGTTTTAGAAAATTTTTAATGAAAAAAAAAAATTAGCCGGGCATGGTGGCACATGCCTGTAGTTTCAGCTACTCGGGAGGCTGAGGAAGGAAGATTGCTTGAGCCCAGGAGCTCAAGGCTGCAGTGAGCTTTATCAAGCCACTGCACTCCAGCCTGGGCAACAGAGTGAGATCCTGTCTCAAGAAAAAAGACAAAAGAAAATTCTGAGCTGGGCAAGGTGGGACCTAGTGTCTTCTCTGCCTCTTAGTATCCATACGGCTTGGGTGAGTCACGTAACCCTTCTGCACCTCAGCTTCTTAATCTCTACAATGGGGTCTAGATAAGGTCACTAACTGTCTGTCTTTATCCTAATGGGACATCTGAGAATGACATGTGCGCATGCATGGCTCTCTGTGCCCCAGTCCCCAGGCACTAGTTGTATACAACTTCACCCATTCGTACTCCCTTGATAAAGCACACCTGAATGCCAGGTGTGTTAAATTGATACAATTTTAACAGTGGTTCTCAAACTGGAGTGGGCATCAGAGTCGCCTTGAGGGCTTGTTAATCATTGGTTGCCAGGCCCCACCCTACAATTTCTGATTCAGTTAAGTCTGCAGTGAGGCTGAAAAATTTGCATTTCTATTAAGTTCCCAGGTGATGCGAAGTTGCTGGTCTTGGAAGAACCATACTTTGAGGACCAATGTATGATAAGAACTTAGAATCCCCTGGAATTTAGTAATTAATCAATCAGTCATAAGCTGCACTTTTATTATTTCTAACAAATTACTTTCTATACTTTGCTTCAACTCCTGAATTAGTAACCCCTCAAGGTCTTCCAGCTAAAGAATTCTGTGATGTTTAAGTGAGTCAAGACAATGGGCCTTGATTCAGCAACTGAAGCCTGACTCCGCCTGCAATCATGTTCTCTTTCAACTCTTTTCTTTTTTTTTTTGAGACGGGGCCTTGCTCTGTCTCCCAGGCTGGTGTATAGTCATATGATCATGGCCCATTGTAACCTCTAACTCCTGGGTTCAAGCAATCCTCCCATCTTAGTCTCCCGAGTAGCTGGGACTACAGGTTGGCAACACCACACCTGGCTAATTTTTGTAGTTTTTGTAGAGGCGGGCACTTGCTATGTTGCCCAGGCTAGTCTCAAATGCCTGGGCTCAAGTGATCTGCCCACCTCAGCCTCCCAAAATGCTGGGATTACAGGCGTGAGCCGCCGTGCCCACTCTCTCTCTCAACTCTTTCAGTATCCTCTCCACCTCACCTTCCACTCCACCTACATAAAGACACTAACATTCAGTTTCATAGGAAAGAGGATGGCTTATTGTGTTTAGTTTCCAACACAAATACAGAACAGAGTGCTCTTCTCCAAGTCTTGTCAGTTGTGATGCTCTTTTTCCTCAGCGATCTGAGGGAATCAAGTCTGCATTCAGGCTCTGCTGTGGCTGGAGTTAGGTCACACTAGGCAGAGCAAATCTGCTTTAAGAATGTCCAAGACAGGCACGGTGATGTATTGCTCTTACTCTGATAGAGCCTACAGGTCATTTTAAGTTGAAATCCAAAAGGAACCAAAGGAAATTTAAATTATATATATAGGCTTCCCTAATAGTGATATATTTTCCTTGAAAACATTTCAATCAATTGTTTTTCAGAGGTTGGTTGTCCAAAAGAAGAAATATTTCTCTGGGGGCTTTGGAAGTCTCTTGACTTTATAGTCTGTCAGAGGCCAAGAAAGGCAATTTAGTAGCATAGGCAGTGAGCAGCTGCCCACTCCTCGGAAGTTCGGTTCCTCTTAGAAGGAGGCCCCAGCGGGTACATGCACGCGGTGGAACGCTTTATTCCCTTTAACAATATGCGCACCACCACCCCTTTCTAGTGGGAATTGATTACAAGAATAATCAACTCATGGTTCCTCATTTTTCATAAAATTAGCTAACACATATCAAGATTCTCTTTGTGCCAGGCGTTGTTCTAAGGACTTTCCTGGCATTAGTTCACTTAATCCTTATAACAATTCTGTAAATTCTGTTATTATCTCCATTTTACAGACAGCAAACTGAGGCACTAGGAATTAGTTAACTTGCCCAAGGTCATACCTGTTAATAAGAGGTAAAGATAGTATTCAAACTAATTCTGGCTCCAGAGTTGCACACTAACCACTATGCTGCCTTAAAAAAACAAGGGCCGGGTGCAGTGGCTCACGCCTGTAATCCCAGCACTTTGGGAGGCCGAGGCGGGCAGATCACGAGGTCAGGAGATTGAGACCATCCTGGCTAATACGGTGAAACCCTGTCTCTACTAAAAATACAAAAAATTAGCCGGGTGTGGTGGTGGGCGCCTGTAGTCCCAGCTACTCGGGAGGCTGAGGCAGGAGAATGGCATGAACCCGGGAGGTGGAGCTTGCAGTGAGCCGAGATCATGCCACTGCACTCCAGCCTGGGCGACAGAGCAAGACTCCGTCTCAAAAACAAAACAAAACAAAAAAACAGAGAATAACAACTTACGAGATTAATGAAATCCAGAATTCCAAGGTCTTATTTGACTTGTCTATTTGACAAGTAGAAACTATTATGGGTTGAATTGTGTCCCTCCTCACCCCCTAAAACATATGTTGGAGTCGTAACCCCTAGTACCTTAGAATATGACCTTATTTAGAAGTAGGGCCATTATAGTTGTAATTAGTTAAGATGAGCTCATACTGGAGTACTGTGGGCCCCCAATCCAATATAACTGATGTTCTTAAAAGACAGCCATGTAAAGACAAAGATACACAGGGAAAACGTCATGTAACAACAAAGGCAGAGATTGGAGTTATGCAGTTGCAAGACAAGGCATGCCAAAGACAGCCAGCGAACCATCAGAAGCTGGAAGAGCCAAGGAAGAATTTTCCTATAAGATTCAGAGGGAATGCAGCCCTGCCTTGATTTCAGACTTCTAACCCACAGAAGTATAAGGCGACACATTTCTGTTATTTTAAGCCACTCAGTGTGTAGCACTTTTTTACGGCAGCCCTAGGAAACTGATACCAAACTGATGCATTTATCCTCCCTACTTTTTCACTGTTACCTCCTACCTTCCAACAGCAGTGCCACAGAACAGGAGTCCCACTTGTTAGGGAAAGAAACAAAAACCTGAGTTATTCATTCATTCAGAGCCTGGCATGATTGCTGCCACATTATAGATGCTTAATAAGTGTTTGTTGATTGAATGAATTCTTCCAACATTTATGAAGGGATTGCTTTTTGCAATGATTATAATAAAAATGGGACAAACGAACTTACAAATCAAGAGTAGACAGTAGATACCATTCTCCCTCTCAAATCCACAGGTAACTTGGGAGGTATTATTACTGAAGTTTCTTCCAGCATCCCTAACATAAGGAAAAATGACCATTTTGAGAACTGGTTTCTGGACCCTCCTGTTCCATTGATCTCTTTGTCAGTTTGGGAGTCGTATTTCACCTCTTTTCCATTTCCTTGCCCCCCTCTGGTGGAGGCGCTAATGAATGGAGAAGGGTATGAAAAGCAGACAGCAGGAGGGAGGAACACAACTCCCAAAGCTGATCATGAGGGCTTGGATAATTGAGAGGACACCACTGTCAGATGGCAGAGAAAGCACTCTGAACATGCTTCAGACATTAACATCTAATGAAAGCTTATAAAGGTACTTTGAAACAGGTTTGCCCAAAGTCAGAGTGAAATGATTATTCTGAACAAAATTCAATAAACAAGTTGAGTGAAAAGAGAGAACAAAGAAGAGTACGTGTAATATGGTCTTATTTTTATAAAGCAATAACAAAAATTTCTGCATATATATGTGTGACTAAAATTGTTTGTGTACATTTATGAATATTTAAAGTTGTATGAACATGGACAAAGATGGGGAAGAATACCGTATTAGTTTCCTATGGCTGCTATAACAAATTGCTACAAACTTGGTGTATTAAAACAACAGAGTAAGGCCGGGCATGGTGGTTCATGCCTGTAATCCCAGCACTTTGGGAGGCGGAGGCGGGCAGATCACAAGGTCAGGAGATCAAGACCATCCTGGCTAACATGGTGAAACCCTGTCTATACTAAAAATACAAAAAAATTAGCCAGGTGTGGTGGCACATGCCTGTAGTTCCAGCTACTCGGGAGGTTGAGGCAGGAGAATTGCTTAAACCCAGAGGCAGAGGTTGCAGTGAGCTGAGATTGCATCACTGCACTCCAGCCTGGTGACAGAGGGAGACTCCATCGCATAACAAACAAACAAACAACAACAACAACAACAAATAACAACAACAAAAAAAAAACAGAGTAGTCAAATTCATAGAGACGGAAAGTAGAATGGTGGTTGCCCATAGGCTAGAGATGGAGGGGAATAGAATGTCGTTTAATGGGTATAAAGTTTCAGTTTTGCCAGATGAAAAGAGTTCTGGAAGAGACTGGTTGTACAACAATGAAAATGTACTTAACACTACTGTACTATACACTTAAAAAGTTGGTGTCTTAGTTCATTTATGCTGCTATAACACAATACCTGAGACTGGGTAATTTATAAACAATGGAAATTTATTTCTCGCAGTTTTGGGGGCTGGGAAGTCCAAGATCAAGGTGCCAGCAGGTTTGATGTCTGGCAAGGGCTGCTCTCTGCTTCCAAGATGGCACCTTGTTGCTGCATCCTCTGGGGGGACTAACCCTCATGTTAGTGTCCTCATGTGGAGAGGCAAAAGTGCAAAAAGGGGGCAAATACTGTGTGAAGTTCTTTTGTAGGAGCCTTAATCCCATTCATGACAGAGGAGTCCTCATTAACTAATCACCTCCTAAAGGCCCTACCTCTTAATACCCTTGCATTAGACATTAAGTTTCAACCTAAATTTTGGAGGGAACACAAACATTCAAACCATAGCACATAGTAAATTTTATATTTTGTGTATTTTGCCAAAAAACCCACAATTTTTTAAAGCTTTACCTTTGAGGTAGGTATTGTTTTCTAGCCCCATTTTGGAGAAAAATAAGGTGCAAGAATATGCCCAAGATCACAATGATAGATTCAAATCCAGGACGATTTGACTCTAAAGGCCTTGCTCCTAACCATATCAAAAGTAAAATAAACAGTCTCCAATTATTAAAACAAAACAAAACCCCATAAAATTGTTTTCTTTCAGTTCTGGAGACCAGAAGTTTGAAATCAGCTTCACTAGGCCAAAAGCAAGGTGTTGGCAGGGCTGCACACCCTCTGTAGTCTCCAGGAGAGTTCATTCCTTGCCTCTTTCAAATTATGGAGGCTGCTGGCATTCCTTGGCTTGTGGCTGCATCACTCTAATCTCTGCCTCTGTGGTCACATTGCCTTCTCTTCTGTGTGAATCGAGTCTCCCTCTGTCTCTCTCTGTCTTAGTTCAGGCTGCTATAACAAAATACCATAGGCTGGGTGGCTTATAAGCAACAGAAATGTATTTCTCATAGTTCTGGAGGCTGGGAGTCCAGCATTAGGGTGACAGCATGGTCACATTCTGGTGAGGGCCCTCTTTTGGGTTGCAGACTGCCAATGTCTTGTATTTTCACATGGCAGAAAGAGTCAAGAGAGCTTTCTGGGGTCCCTCCCCCCACCTTTTTTTTTTTTTTGAGACAGGGTCTTGCTTTATCACCCAGGCTGGAGTGCAGTGGTGCCATCTTGGCTTCCTGCAACCTCCATCTCCTGGGTTCAAGAAATTCTCATGCCTCAGCCTCCTGAGTAGCTGGAATTAAAGGCACGTGCCACCACATCTGGCTAATTTTTGTATTTTTAGTAGAAATAGGGTTTTGCCATGTTGGCCAGGCTAGTCTCAAACTCCTGACCTCAAGTGATCTGCCCACCTCGGCTTCCCAAAGTGCTGGGATTACAGGTGTGAGCCACCACTCCTGGCCTCTGGGGTCCTTTTTTAAGGGCACTAATTTAATTCATGAGTGCTCTAACCTCATGACCTAATTACTTCCCAAAGTCTCTAGCTCCCAACATTATCGCTTTGGGGGTTAGGGTTTCAACATAGGAATTTTGGGAGGACACAAACATTCTGTCCATTGTACTCTTTTTGAAAGACTCTGATTGCATTTAGGGCATACCTGGACAACTCAGAATAATATTTCCATTTCAATATCCTTAATTTAGTTAAATCTGCAAAGACCCTTTTTCCATATAAGATAACATTTCCATGTAAGATAACATTTACAGGTTCTGGGAATTAGGCCCTGCTATCTTTTAGGGACCATTCTTCAGCCTCCCAAAGATGTGTACTACATCATCAATATGAAGGGAGCAGCATGGCAGCCAGCCTTCAAGATGAGCCCTGGTGATTTGCCTCTTGATATTCATGCCTTTTCGAAGTCAGCTCCCACAAGGAATGAGAGCTGTCTGTGTGACAAACATAATATGGCAGAAGTGACAGTGTATGATTTCCAGACAAAGTCATAAAGGATGTTACGGTTTCTGCCTTGCTGCCTTTGGTAGCTTGCTCTGAGAGTAAGCCATCATGTGGGGACACTCAAGCAGCCTCATAGAGAGACCCACATGGGGAGGACTATCGCCTCCCACCAACAACCAGCACCAACTTGCCAATTATGTGAGTGTGACACCTTGGAAGTAGATCCTTGATCGTCAAGCAAGCCTTTAGAGGACTGCAGACTTAGAACTGCTCAACTAGCCAGCCAAGTTTCCCCTCACCCATACAACTATGAAGATAGTGTTTGTTTTTTTTTTTGAGTCATTAAGTTGGGAAGGTGATTTGTAATACAGGTAGTGATGTGGGAGAAGGAGAAACCAAGCCTCCTTCATTGCCCCTCTCACCCCCTAAAAACCCTATCCTAAACAAATAAACAAAACCTCCTCATCCTACCCACATATTTAAATAAAATTATATATTTTTACAATTTCCACAGAGAGGCCAGGCTCACGTCTGTAATCCCAGCACTTTGGGAAGCCAAGGTGGGAGGATCGCTTGAGCCCAGGAGTTTGAGACCAGGTTGGGCAAGTTGGTGAGTCCCTGTCTCTACAAAAAATTTAAGAAACAAATTTCCACAGAGAAAAATTGGGGCTTATATGTTAATAATCTCTAGGAATAAGTAATGGACTTGAGTGGCACACAGCATTCCACATTTCTGGGAGCAGAGAGCACATTTCTGGTTTTGTCATAGTTATCCTTTATTTTCTTTTACCAGGAAGTGTAATGAATATCTGTTATCATTACTTAGACACTGTCCATTTGCTTTTCTTCTGGTAACGGTGGCCCACTTTTCATCTGGGGAACTACCCTGAAAGGACAGCGTAAGGAACAAAAAAATGAAAAAGAACTAGATTTGGGGTCAGAGCTGGATGCTCGGCGTATGACTTCAATAATCCTTATGAATCAAACATTTAAAGGAGTGCCTATTGTGGTACTGCCCTGCACCTCACCGAAACTTCATGAACACCTTGGAGGAAAGAAGATGATGCATTGCTTTATAAGCTATTTTTTAAAAATCCAAAGCTTTCCATTGCCTAAAAATTAAACATGGATTAATTTAAAGCATTCTACAATATGGTCCGATCTATTTTTCTAGTCTTCCCTTCCTCTTCGTGGCTGATGCATATTTCTCAGCTCAGGCTGCCTTAACGAGTGACTTAAACAACACACATTTATTTTCTCACAGTTCTAGGGGCTGGAAACCAAGATCAAAGTGCCAGTAGGGTTGGTTTTTGTTAGGACCTTTCCTCCTGATTTGGAGACAGCCACCTTCTCACTGTGTCCTCACATGACCTTTCCTCTGTACACATGGAAAAAAACATTTCTGGGGTCTCTGTCTCTTTTTATAAGAGCACTAGTCCTATCCGGTTAGGGCCCTACCCTTATTGGGCCTTATTTAACCATTATTACCTCCTTCAAGTCACCATATCCAAATACAGTCACATGGGGGGTTAGGGCGTCAGCATATGAATTTTTTGGAGGACACATTTACTGCTCACCAAATACCCATGCGTTCCTCAACATTTCCCAGGCCTCTTATAGTCAGTCAGGATTGTGTGACTGGTTCTGGCCAATTAGCTGTTGACAAAAAATACATATGTCCCTTTTGAGTGAAGCTTTTAAATGCTGATGCATGATCCTTCAATTCTCCCTTCTTTTCTCATGGCAACCTACAAGCCAGCTATAAAATGCTGTAGACTCCCTTATCCTGGGTCTGTGAATGGCTATGTGGGAAGACAACCCCAGTCCCACTAGACATGCATCACAAATTAGAAAGAAACCTTTGTGGTGTTAAGTCTTTGGGATTTCAGGGTAAATTTGTAATTAAGCAAAACCTACTATTTCCTAATTCTTTTTTATTTATTTATTTATTTATTTTTGAGACAGGGTCTTGCTCTGTTGCCGAGGCTGGAGTGGGACGATCACAGCTCCCTGCAGTGTTGACATCCCCAGGCTCAAGCCATCCTCCCATCTCAGCCTGCCCAGGAGCTAGAACCAAAGGCGCACATCACCATGCCTGCCTAATTTTTTTTGTATTTTGTAGAGACAGGGTTTTGCCATGTTGCTCAGGCTAGTCTTGAATGCCTGGGCTCAAGTGATCCACCCCCCTCTGCCTCCCAAAGTGGTCTTTTTAAATCTTTATGGCTACATAATAGTTTACATATTTATGGGGGACATGTGAAATTTTGATACAACCATATAATGTGTAATGATCAAATGAAGATAATTGGATATCCATCACCTCAAGCATTTATCATTTCTTTGTGTTAGAAACATTCCAATTCTACTCTTCTAGTCATTTTGAGATATACAATATAAATTATTAACTATAGTCTATTTATTTATTTATTTATTTATTTGAGATGGAGTCTCGCTCTGTCGCCCAGGCTGGAGTATGGTGGTGCAATCTCGGCTCACTGCAACCTCCGCTTCCCAGGTTCAAGTGATTCTCTTGCATCAGCCTCCTGAGTAACTGGGATTACAGGCATGCACCACCACGCCCAACTAATTTTTGTATTTTTAGTAGAGACGGAGTTTCACCATATTAGCCAGGCTCATTTCGAACTCCTGACCTCAAATGATCTGCACGCCTCTGCCTCCCAAAGTGCTGAAATTACAGGCATGAGCCACTGTGCCCAGCCTAAGATATGTCTTTGATATTCTGATTTACTTTCTTTTGGCTATATACCCAGAAGTGGGATTGCTGGATCATATGGTAGTTCTATTTTTAGTTTTTAGAGGAACCTCCATACTGTTTGCCATAGTGATTGTACTAATTTACATTCCCACCAACAGTGTACAAGGATTCCTCTTTCTCTTAATCCTCACCAGCATCCATTATTTTTTGTCTTTTTGCTAAAAGCCATTTTAACTGGGGTGAGATGATATCTCATTGTAGTTTTGATTTGCATTTATCTGATGATTAATGAGGTTGAGCATTTTTCTTTCACATACCTGTTGGCCATTTTATGTCTTCTTTTGATAAATGTCTATTCAGGTATTTTGCACTTTTTTTTTTTTTTTTTGGAAGGACTCTTACTCTGTTGCCCAGGCTGGAGTGCAGTGGCAAGATCTCAGCTAGCTGCAACCTCCACTTCCTGAGTTCAAGCGATTCTCCTGCCTCAGCCTCCTGAGTAGCTGGGATTATAGGTGCTCACCACCATACCCAGCTAATTTTTGTATTTTTAGTAGAGATGGGGTTTTGCCATGTTGGCCAGGGTGGTCTTGAACTTCTGACCTCAGGTGATCTGCTTGCCTTAGCCTCCCAAAGTGCTGGGATTACAGGCATGAGCCACCACTCCCAGCAGTGCACATTTTAAAATCAATTTTTTTTTTTTTTTTTGCTATTGAGTTGTTTGAGCTCCTTGTATATTCTGGTTATTCATCGCTTGTTAGATGGGTAGTTATATGTTTTCCCATTCTGTGTTGTCTCTTCACTTTGTTGATTTTTTTCTTTGCTGTCCAAAAGCTTTTTAGTTTGATGTGATCTTATCTGTCTATTTTTGCTTTTGTTGCCTGTGCTTTTGAGGTCTTACTCAAGAAGTCTTTGCCCCGACCAATGCTATGGAGCATTTCCCCATTTTTTTCTAGTAGTTTTATACTTTGAGGTCTTAGATTTAAGTCTTTACTCCATTTTGATTTGATTTTTGTATATATGAGAGATAGGGACTTGGTTTCATTCTTCCACATATGGCTATCCAGTTTTTCTAGCACCATTTTTTGAACAGACTGTCTTTTCCTCAATATATGATCTTGGCACTGTTGTAAAAAATCAGTTGGCTATACATGTGTAGACTTATTTCTGAGTTATCTATTCTGTTCCATTGGTTGATGTTTTTATGTCAGCCCTGTGCTGTTTGTGTTACTATAGCTTTGTAGTATAATTTAAGTCAGGTAATGTGATGCTAAAGTTTTGTTCTTTTTGCTCAGGGTTGCTTTGATTATTCTGGGTCTTTAAATTTCATAATTTTTTTTTTCTCCAAGAAAAATGCCACTGGTATTTTGATAGGGATTGCATTGAAACTTTAGACTGCTTTGTATAGTCCTAATTCTTAAACCTTATCCTTCTATTATAGTAAACTACTAAATAAATGGACAGATATCCCATGTTCATGGATCTGAAGTCTTAATATCATTAAGGTGGCAATATTCCCCAAGTTGATCTACAGATTCAACAAAATCCCTATAAAAATCCCAGCTACTTTTTTAATTTTTGCAAAATTTGACAAACTCATCCTAAAATTTATATGGAAATGCAAGAGACCCAGAAGAGCCAAAACAATCTTAAAGAACAAAACTGTGGAAGAGTCACATTTCTTAGTTTCAAAACTCACTATAAAGCTATAGCAATCAAGACAGTGATACTGGCTTAGTGATAGACATATGTGTATATCAATGAAATATAATTGATAATTCAGAAATAAATCCTCACATTTACAGTTAATTGATTTTTTCAACAAGGGTTTCATGACAATTCAATGAGGAAAGAATAGTCTTTAAAAAATGTTTCTGGAACAACTGGATATTCATATACAAAGGAATGAATTTATTATAGACCCCTACCTCACATCATATATAAAAATTAACTCAAAATGAATCAAATATCTCAAGGCAGGCACTAAATATGACCCTAAAAGCACAGGTAATGATAAAAAAAATACACTGGGTATCATCACAATTAAAAACTTTTCTGCTTCAAAGGACATCAGTGAGAAAGTGAGAAGCAACCCACAAATTGGGAGAAAATACTTGCAAATCATATGTATAATAAGGGTCTTGTATGCAGAATATATAATAACTCTTACAATTCAACAATGTAAAGAAAACCCAATTTAAAAACAGGCAAAGGATCTGCACAAACATTTCCCCAAAGAAGACACACAAATGGCCAATAAGCATACTAAAGATGCCTAACATCATTAGTCATCAGGGACTCAAAACCACAATGAGATAGCCACCCACCAGGATGACTATAAGGGGAAAAAAAAGGAAAAAGGCAAGTGTCAGCAAGGATGTGGAGAAGTTGGAACCTTTGTACACTGCTGGTAGGAAGGTGCAATGGCATGACTGCTTTGGAAAACAGTCTTGTAGTTCTTTAAAAACTTAAACACAGAGTTACTGCGACCCAGATTTTCCACTCTATACATACAAGAGAACTGAAAATGTATGTCCACAAAAAAAAACCCTAACGTTTATACATTATTTATGAATGGATGTTCATACATTATTACTTATAATAGCAAAAAAAGTGAAAACAATCCAAATGTCCATCAATCGTTGAGTGCATACACACATCATTTTCAGTTCCTTAATGTGTCTTTATTTTCTGAAACAATCTTTCCCTGACCTAAACTGAGAATCAGCCATTTTTCCAAGGAGCCCTGATTTCTTTCATCATTGCTGAATGGAATTTAGAAACCAACATCTAGGTGTGCTTATTGTCATGGGCTGTAGTTGCTTCTAGGAACTATCAGTAGACAGAGCTAGATTTTCTGGTATTAGGTTTGTTTTTTTTTAAGCATCCTAAATTATAAATCGATATAATACTCTCTCACCACCCCCCTAATATTCTCCTGTGAGTATTAATGGATTTCCCCTGGTGGAGTCCCATGAACTAGAGCCCCAAGGAAACAAATTGCATGTTAATCTATGGAAAATGGTGAAACATGTAGTGAGAATGAGAAATAAGGCTTTATTGTAAACCACTGACATTCAGGGGCCTTTGTTACAACCACATAATCTAACCTATTCTGACTGTTATAGCATAAAGCACTGGTGTAGGTACAAATAGACATTTTAATATAAATAGCAAGTAGTATTAGGAAATTAAAATCTTGTTTGCCTTCACATAAATCAGTAAAGCATCAAAAGAGCAGAAGACCTATTAGAAATTTCAAACTGGCCAAATTTCCTAAAAGGCATCTGGTACTCTATCCTGACATAATAAGGGCCAGTCTCCACAAAACAGAGGCTGAAAACCCCATAAGAAACAGGGTAATGAGGGCCATGTTTTCCATATAAAACTCACTTCATGAGAATATGAGGACTCCATGTCACTGTACAGATTTATGAAGAAAACAGAATTCTTAATAGAGGCTTGGGCATCTGCTCCTATCATGGAGGGAAAGCACTTCCAGAAGCAAGTAGACAACATTTGCCTAGAACCTGCTATTATTACACTCTGTGCATATGGTAGCTAAAAACTCATTAGTTTTATAATTCTGGCTGAAGTTGGCAAGCCACCTCCAGAAATATTTCATACAAGCAAAGTGGCAGATGGCAATTTCCTTTGTTATAATAGGATGGTTAGGGTAGTGGTCATGCATACAAAAATCATCCAGCTAGAATGAAACTACTCTTATGTAAAATAATCAATTTATTTGCAGCTTCTGATAAGTTAATCTTCATGTAGTTGGCCTCATTTTTGTCATCCTAGAATACATTCTCAAACAGATTTACATAATTTTTTAAAATGGAATTAGAAAATAAATTTCAGTGGCTACCATGAGGTAGATACAAAATCATTTTGTAGCAGCAAAACAATCAGAGAATAGTCATTTTGTTTTAACTTTTCTCCTACAGCTGCAGTTCCTTCTGCAGGGACTGTTTGTTTAATGCCTCTCTGGCATACCATTCCCACCCTCTTTCTATTGGTAAAAGTGTCCCAATCAAGCTTTGAGACTCCCTACTACCCCTCCATGTAGTTGAGGTGGAGCTGACCCTTACCCCAGCCCCAAGCTCTAATGATAAATACATGACCCAGCCCTGGCTAATTTATCTCCTGACCTCATGATTGGTTCAGAGATGGGCATGTGACTCAACTTGGGCCAATGAGAAACTTCCTCCAGTTTTTTGCTGAAACTATTAAGAAAGAGATGATCTCTTTTCAGTGAATAGAATGAGAGCCTGGAGTTCCTTCTGGAATATTTGCTACAACTGCAGGAGAGCTTGTCTAACAATGCATCCATGCAGGAGAAAGCATGACCAAAAGCTTTCTGGTTTTGACTTATGTGTACCTGAGTCCAAATAATCTGGGAGTCACGATACCCCTGGGCTTTTTCATTTACATGAGTTAGTCATGAGTTAGTAAATCTCCTTTTTTTTTTTTTTTTTTTTTTTTTTTTTTGTTTAAGCCAGTTGGATTTCTTTCACTTGCAACTGTAAAAGTTCTGACTAATTCACTCCCCATTTTAGAACAGTCGAACAGCCAGAAAAATATTACAGCCCTCCCTTGTCTTACCTCTACAACTTAGTCAGTAAACCAGAAACACAACACAAATAAAATTTCTTTCCAGTATAGTACATTTTCCCAAAGAGTCTGAAAGCGCTTACAAATTTCAGAGAACAATACCCTGGAGTATATTAGACACCTTGGAAGAACACTGCTAACTCTTGTTAGTATAGTTAAAAATAGCACTGAAGGCCAGACGCGGTGGCTCACACCTGTAATCCCAGCACTTTGGAAAGCTGAGGCAGGTGGATCACTTGAGGTCAGGAGTTCAAGACCAACCTGGCCAACATGGAGAAACTCCATCTCTACTAAAAATACAAAAATTAGCCAGGTGTGGTGGCACACACCTGTTATCCCAGCTACTTGGGAGGCTGAGACAGGAGAATCACTTGAACCCAGGAGGCAGAGGTTGCAGTGAGCTGAGATTGTGCCACTGCACTCTAGCCTGGGTGACAGAGCAAGACTCCATCTCAAAAAATAAACAAATAAATAAAAGAACATTGACCTTTTCCTGAGAATAGGCTGTAGGCCAGGGACAAGGCATTTTGTAGATGTTACTGTATTTAATATTCACAACCTGTTAGGCATGCCTGTAATCCCAGCTACTCTGGAGTCTGAGGCAGGAGGATCACCTAAGGCTAGGAATTAGAGACCAGCCTGAGCAACACTGAAAGACCTCATCTCTGAAATAATTTTTTAAATCAGCTAAGCATGGTGCACACCTATAGCCCCAGTTACTTGGGAGGCTGAGGTGGGAGGACTGCTTGAGCCCAGGAGTTCGAGGCTGCAGTGAGCTATGGTTGTGCTACCGCACTCCAGCTTGGAAGACAGAGTAAGACCTTGTCTCTAAAAAAACCCAAAGATAAATAATATTTAGAACTCTTTTATTAAGTAGGTATTATTGTGGTCACTTTACAGATGGGAGAGTTGAGGTTCAGATTGATTAATTTTTCCCAAGTGATTCAGTTCAGTTGACAGCGTTTAAACTCATGTCCTTCTGGAGTTGTCTGTGTTGTTCTGAGCAACACTGACTGTCTCTTTTTTAGCCTATGTTATTAGATAATGGTTGTTTGAATCTGTGAAGGTAGCATTTTGTACTCTGGAGATATATTTTGCTAAGCTAGTGGTTGAACTGTAATTAAAAAAAAAATTCTGTGTTGCATGTAGGATAACCTTTCTGTCAATGCCTGCCTACTCAACTCTGCCAATTGGCCTCCCTGCTTAGGAGGTCCCAGCTGCATGGAACAGAATTGGGCATCTGACCTGGTCAAGCTAATTAGATTCATGCACTTGGGAATTTCCACTCAGTGGTAGATTCTTGAACTGAAAGGGCATATGCGTGTCCTATAAGACACACCTCTCCACCTCAGGGAACAATATGGTCTTACATCTTTTGTTTTCCAATATTTTACTCAAGTCGTCACATGTTCTTTTCCAGGACCTGCCCAGTGAGGCCTTCCCACTTAATTGTCCAAAACTCTCAGGGGCTTTCTTGGTGCAGAAGAATTGACCCTATCAAACCTCAAAAAGGAAGGAACTGGAAATCTCATGAGCTCACAGCAGTATGAGTCTGATCCCTGCCACACAGCCTCAACATTCAGTGCCAGTCTTGTGCAGGCTAATGGATATTTGCCTGTCTTCCTCAGCCCAGAGTCTAATGCTTGGCCTCCAAGATCAGAACTTTTTTGACTTGCATTCACATATTCAACTCAATGCCAGGAGAGCTGGGCCTCAGAGAATCCAACTGTTGCCATTTTGTGTTTAGTTCTAGCTGCCAGCTTAAACTCACTCTTCCCTCCGGGTGCCATCCCTTTTGGAAGCTGTGGTATCCTGTTCTGCCAGAGGACAGAACCACTTTGGTTGACCCTGATGAGCTACTGGACTTCAATTCTAAGGAAAAATGGACAGAATCTCTGTTCTTCAGTCCTAGGAAGTCCTTTCCTCAAGAGAAAGGGTGCAAACTTTGCATTTGCACAACTAAGTAGGAGCATTCAAGAGAGCCCTCTCATAAAAACAAATCCTTCCTCCTGGCTTAGGTATTGCCTCCGCCTAAGAACACAGACACCTCTCAATCAATTTTTAAAAATCGTACCTCACTAGGCATGCTGTGCCATCTTGGGTCATTGGCATGGCGAGTTAGCAGAGGAAGCTGATTGAAAGAAAGACTTTCTGATTTTGCACAAAGCTCCAGGTTCTACCATGCACAAGGCCTTGCTGTTCTTGCCCTTCCTTAGGTTCCACCCATGTTTGTAAGGTACTACCTCTGTTTAGTAGGAGTTCCCATTGCAAGTCAAATTTATATTCCAGAAAAATGCAAATTACAGTAAAAAAAAAAGACTAATAAAAAGTGATTACTTCCATAATTATTCATTTGAAAAGCTAATACTTATTTCCAGAGGCCCACCATCTAACTCTTTTTATCCATTAACTGCTACAAAATACATTAAATGACACTTCATTGCTTTGCACAAATAACAAAGAAATAATAAAAGACTTTGCAATTGAAGCCATCCTCACAGAGTTAACAAGAATCCTGGGCAGAAATATAGTTATAATTAAGCATTAGTCAGACTATACTTTGACCCACTTCCTTGCAACCAAAAGCTATGTAGCTCCAGATACTGCCCATTTGCATCCCTGCTGTCCCCAAAGATAAGATCTGTGACATTAGAGTCATAAGACTTTTAAGACTTGCTTAAGATGTTTTCCAAATTCCGAATTCCAGGGAAATAGCTGACACCACCCAGTTTGAAGGCCCCTATAGAGGAATGGAATCCGCAAGAGAATACAGTTTCTTCATCCCCCTGTCCCGACACCACCCTGCACTCTTCCACCAATCAACAATCTCCACACTTTGGACCACTCTAAAACCCCTAAACACCCTAGCCCCAGACTCCTCAGGGAGATAGATTTGAGATTTCCTCCCGTCTCCTTGTTCAACAGCTGTACAATTAAACTGCTTTCTTTTCTGCAACCTGGTGTCTTGGCGTATTGACCTGCCCCAATTCATCAGGCAACAGACCTACTACAGTTACATAATCATTCTGGAAAATGTTGATTCTGGGCTTGATGTCAGAACTTTTGAACATGCTATAGAGAACACCAAAAGCCAAGACGCTAGCAACTCTTTGGTAAATGGCCAGAGTTAGGCAAAGGAGAAAATGGAACAGAGAACTGACTTCAGTTTCCACTATCAAGTGTACCCGTATATCTGGAGCCAAAAGCAGCTGAGAGACATTAAAGGGCATTTTACTGAAGGTTTGCACCTGCAAACCTCTTCCTCGGGTATTTAAAATATGGAGAGAAATACAGAAAATACACACAAACCTCCCAGGTTTGACATATATTAACTTTTGTTACAGCAGCTCTAGGAAAGAAATACAATATTGCAAATTATCCCAAATTTGATGGCTTAAAAATAACAGAAATTTATTCTCTCACAGTTCTGATGCCAGAAGTCCAAAATCAAGATGTCACCGGGATTGGTTCTTCCTGGAGGCTCAGAGGGAGCCTAGGAGAAGCTAGGAGTCTGTTCTGTGCCTCTCTCCTAGCTTCTGGTGCTGCTGGCAGTCCTTGGCATTCCTCAGTGTGCCTTCTCCCTCTCTTCTCTTCTAGGACACTGATCATTGCATTGAGAGCCCGCCCTAACCCAGTATGATCTCATCTCAAAACCCTTAACTTGATTATATCTGCAAAGACCCTTTTTCCAAATAGGGTCATATTCGCAGGCTTTTGGTGGACATAGCTTTTGGAGGACCACCATTCCACCCACTACAAGTATTTACTTTAACCCTCACAAATAAACAGTGACAGATATTGAAATTCCCTCCTTAAGCCCCTCCCATCTACTTCCCTTCATCCCCAGATATAGTAACTATCCTCAGTGTCACTGTCATGTATGTTTCATACTTTTACTACCTCTATATCCACAAGGAACTTGTAGTTATTTTTATACAAATACCACCTTTATAAGATGAAAATATTTTTATAAATGATATCACCTTGTACATTTTCTTTTGCAACTTGTTTTTTAACTGATCTTTAATAGTTAAAGATTTTTCAGGCTGGGTGTGGTGGCTCACGCCTGTAATCCCAGCACTTTAGGAGGCCAAGGTGGGCGGATCACCTGAGGTCAGGAGTTTGAGACCAGCCTGACAACAGGGAGAAACCCTGTCTCTAGTGAAAATACAAAATTAGCTGGGCATGGTGGTACATACCTGTAATCCCAGCTACTTGGGAGGCTGAGGCAGGAGAATCACTTGAACCCGGGAGGTGGAGGTTGCGGTGAGCCGAGATGGTGCCATTGCCCTCCAGCCTGGGCAACAAGAGCAAGACTCCAAAAAAAAGGAAAAAAAAAAAAAGAAAAAAGATTTTTCTGTGCTGATACATATACCTCTGATTTATTTATTTTGACTATGGTATGAATATCCCATAATTTACTTATATGTTTCTTTATTGAAAGACATTTAGTGATTTATGATTTTGGATATTATAAACTTTCTGATTATGAACATCCTTGGATGTTATCTTCCTATCATTATACACATGTGTGAGAATTTCTCTAAGATTGATACTTTGAAATGAACCAATGATTTCTTTTCTCTATCTTTCTATTCTTTGGAAGACAATAAGGTAGGTATAAACTGTTATTTCTTGAAGGTTTGCTAACACTGGGTTGTAAATTGAGTGATGCTGTTTGGGGAAACTTTTTTTTACTATAATTCAATTTCTTTAATGATTATAAGTATATTAAAGTTTTAAAATTTCCTCTTTGGTGAATTTTTGTCATTTATCTGAAAAATTATTCACTTTATATTTTCAAATGTTAGGACTATGATTGTTCATATTAACATCAAATTGCAGTTTTGCAAAGTCAAAAGGTTGAATATCAGCAATTTAATGTTACTCAACATAATAATTTCTGTGGTTTAAATTTCCCTTCATCTGTAATTATGAGCTTCTTTCATTCCTAATATGATTAATTGTGCCTCCTGTATATTTTGGTTTGTCACCAGACACTTCTCTATTTTATTAGTCTTTCAAAACATAAGATTTATCTTTATTGTTTATTTTTTATTTTATTAATTTCTACTTTTGTTTTTCTTTCTTCTTCCTGCTACCATTTTTGAATGCACTCTGTTGCTCCTTTTCTAACTTCCTTAGATGAATATTGATCTTACAGATTTTTAATACTTTTAAATGCTGATGTACCTACATTTAAGGCTTTAACTCTCCTAGCTGTATCCAAATTTTAATAAGTAGTCATTTTACTGTCATTTAGTTCAACATGTTTTTATTTCTAACTTATTTTATTTGAAAAGTAAATTATTTAAAAGTGTACTTTTTAGTTTTTATAAACATTAAGGTTTTATTTAGCATCTTTTTAATAATTCATTTTCAATTATATTACATTTTTTCAGAGATAATATACCAATTTTTGGTATTTCTCTTCTTTTATGGCCCAGTATGTAATTCATTTTTTAAAAAATTCATGCACGCTTAAAAAGTGAACATAATATTGCATATTATATTATTGGTGGTAGGGTACTATTTATATATGAAATTGATAATTGTGTGGTTCGAATTCTCTAGAAGTTTACTGATTTTTTGACCCTTTAATCTATCAGTTTTGGATAGAGGCACTAAAATCTTCTACTATGACTCTGGATTTCTAAAATTTTCTCGTGTTCCCATTTGCTTTTGCTTTCTATATTTTAATGTTTGCTTATTAGGCATATAGAAGGATGACAGTGATTTTTTCCTAGTACTTTTAAGATGTTTATTGCTTTTGTGCCTCACCTCTATTTTGTTGCCTGTTGATCCAGTGTAGACAATCTGCCTTTCCCTTGTTTGTTTTAAGATTTTTTTCCCCTTATCTTTAATGTTATGTTATTCATTATGATGTTCTAGGTAGATCTGTATTTATTGACCCTGGACTTGAGATTCTTGCAGAGTCCCAGGGCTGTGTGGAGGCTGCCACTCAGCACCTATCTCATAGGGCCGACATGCTGGTTTGGTCTTCCCCTGAGCTGTTGGTAACTCCTGAATCTTGCTACTTTGGCTGTGAGTTTTTGCTTCATTGCTAGAATGGATTGCTTTATTTCTCTTACCTTTTTCTTTCTTCATTTCTTCCACTTAAAAAATGATGTAGTAATATTTTATCTAGCATTTGTATGTGTTTATATTGGGAAGAGGTTCTTTGTCAGCTCTATCCTCCATAGTGATGAATCAGAAGGTCCTGAATCCTCTTTACTCTTCTGTGAGATCATGAAGAAGAAATGAAGAGCCAACTGCTTTCCACCGAGAACCCTAGCACTAAGAATCAAGGAATAACATTCTCTTCCAGCCAAAATCCCTGTGTGACTTAAGATCAGTGTGATTTTAAAATGTGACAACTTATAGATTAAAATGTTATATAAAAGTGAGTGATGGCAGTGTGAGAAGACACGTTAGCATTCACATTTTATAGATGAGAAACTGAGGCTCAGAAGCAAAGGAACTTGCCCAAAGTTGCAAAGCATTAAGTGGCAGAACCAAGATTTTAGGCTGATTCTGAGGTCTCAAAGCACATATTTTCTCTACCATGTGACCTTGTCGGAAATTGTAACGAGAAGAGACATTTTAAAAAGGTAAAATGAAAGAATCAGAGTATATTTAAGGACCAAAATGAAAAAACTATAAAAGGAAGCTATCAATGTGGAGAGAGAGAGAGAGAGAGAGAGAGAGAGAGAGAGAGAGTGTGTGTGTGTGTGTGTGTGTGTGTGTGTGTGTGTGTATCTTCATTCCTGTAGAGGGAAACCAAATAGCTGCTTGTCAGTTGAATGTGTTCCTCACAGATAGAATTACCTGTCGAGCTCAGTTTTGGAAGAGCTCAGCAGATGGCATTCCAAATGAGAGATGCCCACATGGACTGTGAAGGCTATAATGCATTTCAAATGTCTATGTCTGTCTCTGGCAAGTGACATTGCTTTGAAAAGGTAGAAATCTATTTTCAAGGCTATATCCATGTATAAAGAGATGCACATCTGCCTTGTCTGTATTTGATCTAAATCTATGTTGATATCAGATTATGGGTGGCAGCTGACCTAACAATATTGGGTGATTCTGAGGTTAGAGGTGCTCTAGCTGATTTTAGAATTGCTAATATTCCCATTCTTCATTTATTCCTCAGATAAAGAAATCTGATTTTCCAAATAAATATGCTATTTCCTGATGTAAATCTGATGATAAATGAGGTCCCAGATTTCAATTCTAACTCTTTTCATTGTTTATAACAGAAAACCCAGCTAAAAATGGGTTAAAGGAATTTATTTTTCCACTTAGGAATTCTGGAGACAGAGTGATTTCCAGGTCAGTTAATTTAAGAAATTGTAGGGGCAGGAAGGTGAGCTATTTTTCCTCACCCACCGTGAGGGTCACAGCTGACACTCTGATAACAAAAGACTGGTTAACAAAAAAGCATAGCCAATTTATTTAACCAAAGATTTATGTGGCATAGGAACCTTCAGAAATGAAGACCCAAAGACTCGGAGGAAACTGTCTGTTTTTACACTTAGGTTCCATGAAGAATAGACACATGTCGAAATGTGGCTGGACAATCTAATGGTAACAGACTGATAGGGGAAGCCCAGCAAAGCCTGTCTGTTCAGATTCTTCTCGGCCTGTCTGTGTAGTATTCTTTCCTCCCGGGCATGGGGCAGAACCCTCTGGAATGAGGGTTTCAAGGGAAAATGGAGAGAGTGACCTGTCTAGGCTTCATAGCTTGCTTTGAGGCAGAAGGGTTCTAGTTTCTATGACTCACCTTAGGAAAGAGGAATTTGGCTTCTGTGCAGGAGATAGGAGGACAGGAGACAGTCAGGGACACCTTGCTTCTGGGGCCTTTACAATGTCCCTCAGTTGAAAGTACTCAGCAGGCCAAGGTGCCATACTTTGGGCTATCGTGCTCTGAGCCCCAGCAAGCTCGACAGCGCCATCAGGGATTCTGTCTCCCGCCATGTTTTCTTGCTCCTATCCGCAGTGTGCTGGGTTTTGTCCCCAGGTTATCTCATGATGGTTGCAGGCTGGCTGCCCCATCTCCAGGCATCTTCTTCTCATACAGCAATGTTGAAACATCCCAACAGGGCAGTTTGCCCTCCCAATTGGAGGAAAACTTTTTCCAGAAGCTACTACTTATCCCAGAAAAATTTCTTTCAAGTCTGATTCTCTAGAATTAATTCACATGCTCATTCTAAAGAATCAATGGCAGCTGGGCGCGGTGGCTCACGCCTGTAATCCCAGCACTTTGAGAGGCTGAGGCGAGTGGATCACTTCAGGTCAGGAGTTCGAGACCAGCCTGGCCAACATGGTGAAACCCCATCTCTACTGAAAATACAAAAATTAGCCAGGTGTGGTGTTGAGCACCTGTAGTCCCAGCTACTTGAGAGGCTGAGGTGGGAGGGTGGCTTGAGCTTAGGAGGCGGAGGTTGCAGTGAGCTGAGATCATGCCACCGTACTCCAGCCTGGGTGACAGAGCAAGACCCTAACTCAAAAAAAAAAAAAAAAAAAAAAAGAATCAATGGCAATAAAAATGGAATTGCCACTATAGGCTTTGCTAACAGAGACTCACCCTTTGATGCTGAGGAGGGGCTCCTTCACTGAGCACGTGGCCATGGTGAGGGCACACCAAATTGGGATTCTGTTGATAAGCAACATGGGAAGAACTGGCTACTGACAGGCTGTCAACAATATCTGCCACACTTAAGTCCTGTTGGACTGAGGAAATATGCTAAAAATTATTACCTTGATCAATTGGTTAAAGAAGGGGGGCCTACTATCATTATTTAACCATCAAACTGCTATGAATGACCATTGTCTTTACGAGAAAAACTTAATTTTTTCAGTATGTGAAGCTTGAGCCTACATCTTTAAAGACTATAGTTTGTTTGCCTAGAACAGCATCCCTCATGTTTTTGGAAAATCAGAAGTTTCACCATTCTACACAAGTGAATCTTTTGGGCTCTGCTAATTACTATACCCACTCCTCTGGCAATAAAGGTGAGCATGTAACCCAGGATGGGCCAATTTTTCCTACCTCTTTGGCCACGCTGATTATTCTATAGATAAGCACACGACTCAAGTCAAGTCTTTCTGAAGACTTTTCTAACTGGAGATGAAAGGAAATGATACTTTTTTTTTTTTTTTTTTTTTTTTTTTTTTTTTTTTTTGGAGAAATGGGATGAGGTTTTCCTCCCAAGCATAGAACTATAAAGCCTGGACACAAATGTGGCCACAATTCTAGCTGCACAGTTATAGAAGACCTGAGACAATGAAGCCACACACAGAAAAAAAAACAAAAAACAAACAAACAAAAAAAACAGATTTGAAACACAGAGGCAATAACAGATGAAGCAGAGAGAAAAGAAAGGCAGAGACATAGATATGATAGTGTTTGATTCTCTGAACCCACCATTCCTGTCCTTTTGTGCTTTTAACCAATAAAGTACTTTTTGTTTAAGCTAATATGTATTGGATTACTCTTAATTGCAGCAAGAAGAGTCCTCACTAAACAGAGTATTTCAATAATTTAAACTACATAGTTGAGGAGGGCCAACATTTAAATTGTACAATACAGGTACTATTTAAGTCAAGGTCAGTCTTGAGGCAGAAACCACACAGTAATGCAAACAGGTGAAGTTTATTTATTTATTTATTTATTTATTTATTTATTTATTTATTTATTTTTTGAGACAGAATCTCACTCTGTCACCCAGGCTAGAGTGCAGTGGTATGATCTCGGCTCACTGCAACCTCTGCCTCCCGGGTTCAGAGGCGGTTCTCCTGCCTCAGCCTCCCGAGTAGCTGGGATTACAGGTGCCTGGCACCACGCCCAGCTAATTTTTATGTTTTTAGTAGAGGCAGGGTTTCACTATGTTGGCCATGGTTGGCCAGGCTGGTCTCGAACTCCTGACCTCAGGTGATCCGAGTGCCTTGGCCTCCTAAAGTGCTGGGATTACAGGTGTGAGCCATTGCACCTGGCCTCAAACAGGTGAAGTTTAATATAAAGAATTAGTAACCATAACAGAAGACTGGAGTAATTAGAGAAGTCTAGTAAGAAGTAAAAAAAAGTTCTAAATAATATAGGAATATTAGATAGAAGTAGCAGCCATTACCTCTAGGGCTGAGATAAAGTCACTGAGGAAGAGTCCTCCTGCCCTTCTAGTCTGAGAGTCAGACCTTGTTAGGGAGGGCATGGGCACGTGACTCCCTGAATGGAGAAGTCAGTGTGGTGCCAGGTTAGTGTAACTTGCTGGAAATTCACCCTGCCAAGGAAAGCTGTTAAGAAGGAGGTGTCTTGCTGGACATGTACTACTACAAAACCATACAAGAGGGGTACCAGGGGAAGTTGCTGGCTTCTGGTACTGCTGACCACCCCTGTGCACAGCAGGAGCCCAGTGATGGAGAAACCACATGCATTACCAGTTGTCAGAGAAGCCACTTACGCTGCAGGAGATGGCTACAAGACACAGACACACAGGAACCAGGAAGGAAACCCCGTTCATCTTGCAATATCTAACCAAAGACTCAGTGACAAAACTTAACATTTACCAGTTGGAAAAGGAAAAATATTTAAAGGGCGCAGTTCCGTTTTTGCAGAGCAGGCAATGAAGAGTGAATTTGGAGCTATGAGGCAATAAATGGAGAACTTGCAAAAGCACATTATTGGAGTGTCCTGAGAACCTCATAATGTGTTGAGTCTGGGGTAAAATAAAATCTGCTTTACTTGACCTCAAAGAAACATACAACTTTAGAAATGTTATTTCAGGATAACTATTCCTCAAGCAATTTCTTTCAGCAAACAAAAATACTCGACCAGGGTCATGGTTGTTTCATAAACAAACTGAACTCCAGTAGAAGATTCTGTCATGGCAAAGCTCAGGTTGGATATCCTACATATCTTATCCCTTGCCATGAAATGTTGTACAATTTGTCATAATCATTTGGTAACTTTGTAAGGCTAGGGCTTAGAAAACAATTCTCCTTTACAGCAGGGTTCCCCAACCTGCAGGCCACAGACTGGTACCAGTTAGGAACTGGGCCACATGGCAGGAGGTGAGCTGCCGGTGAGTGAGCATTACCACCTGAGCACTGCCTCCTCTCAGATCAATGGTGGCATTTGATTTCGCACTGGAGCACAAACCCTATTGTGAACTACACGTGTGAGGGTTGCACACTCCTTATGAGAATCTAATGTCTGATGATCTGAGGTGGAAGAATTTCATCCTGAAACCATCGCCCCCACTGTCCATGGAAAAATTGTCTTTCATGAAACCGGTCCCTGGGGTCAAAATGTTGGGGACGACTGCTTTACAGGGAAGAGAATATTGATGGGCAATGTGCAGCTACTGGATTTGTATAATCTGAGTCTGAGGTTTCATTTGGCCACTTACCATCTACCGTTTCCTTCCCTATTTTTTTCATTTTTGAACAGAATAATAATAGCCTGTTCCCCAATGATAGCTCTTTCTCTCTCTTTTTGTCTCTCTGCCTGCCCACTTGCCTTCCTTCCTTCCTTTGCTTTCAACATGTTTTCACTCTTGTCACCCAGGCTGGAGTGCAGTGGGACAATCAGGGCTCACTGCAGCCTTGACCTCCTGGGCTCAAGCGATCCTTCCACCTTAGCTTCCTAAATAGCTGGGACTAAAGGAGCATGCCACCATACCCAGTTAACTTTTTTTAATTTTATTTTTTGTAGAGACAAGATCTCTCTATCTTGCCCAGGGTGGTCTTGAACTCCTTGGCTCCAGGATCTTCCTGCCTCAGCCTCCCAAAGTGCTGGGATTACAGGCGTGAGCCACCGGGCCCAGCCATTCATGTGCTCTAATTCTCGATACTTTTCTCTACCAGAAGATCTCTTCTGAGTAAAATGAAGAGAGAGAGAGAGAAAGGAAGAGAAGAAAAGAGAAGAGAGGAGACCAGGCGCAGTGGCTCACACCCGTAATCCCAGCACTTTGGGAGGCTGAGGTGGGCGGATCACAAAGTCAGGAGTTCAAGACCAGCCTGGCCTACATGGTGAAACCCCATCTCTACTAAAAATACAAATATTAGCCAGGCATGGTGGCATGTGCCTGTAGTCCCAGCTACTCGGGAGGCTGAGGCAGGAGAATTGCTTGAACCCGGGAGGTGGAGGTTGCAGTGAGCCAAGATTGCACCACTGCCCTCCAGCCTGGGTGACAGAGCAAGACTCCAGTTCAAAAAAAAAAAAAAAAAGGTGAGAGAAAGAAGAGAGATTGACTATGAGCCCCATTCAAGTGTTTTCTCAGTCCCTCAGTGAACAATCAGCCCATTTCTGCTCTATTTTCCCATGCTCCAGATTAGGCTCTACTTGACTAAAGAATCTAACATTATTTGATTTCCACAGTGAAAGGCTAGGTCAATGGCAAGAGGAGTCTGTATCCTCTTCAGCTGGCACTTTCTCGGAGGAGAGAGAAGCTCTGTTTTGATGGTATTATGTAACAGATGATTGATAAAGTGAACAGTCATTGTGCCAGTTTAAATCATGCCCTCTGTCCTGACCCTAGACAAAAATTTGCAAAAGGTCCTCTGTTCAAATCACTATGCTCAGAGGAGAGGTAGCCTCCCCAGGAGGCTTTTCCGCATGTTGCATTTTGGACAAAACACAACAGTGGGACTGGAGAGAAAAGAGCCTGGGTAAAGAAAGGCCCATGGCAGTGCAGATGGAGCCCATTTGCTGATTGAAATAAGGAAGCGGGTTGGAAGCAGTGGCTCACACCTGTAATCCCAGCACTTTGGGAGGTTGAGGTGGGTGGATCGCCTGAGGTCAGGAGTTCAAAACCAGATTGGCCAACATGGTGAAAACCCATCTCTACCAAAAATACAAAAAAAAGAAAAAAAAGAAAAAAATTAGCTGGGCATGGTGGCATGCACCTATAATCCCCGCTACCCGGGAGGCTGAGGCAGGAGAATCACTTGAATCCAGGAGGTGGAGGTTGCAGTGAGCCGAGATCTCGCCACTGCACCCAAGCCTGGGCAACAAGAGCAAAACTCCGTCCCCCGCCTCCCACAAAAAAAAAAAAGAAAAAAGAAAAAGAAATAAGGACGCAACTGACTGTGTGAACTCCAGGTAGCAGAACAAAGACCCAGGAGTAGAAGTGAGAGGCAGATTTGTGTATGTTGGTTCAATATAAAGTAAAGTTTCCTAATACAGTTATTCTAAAACAAGATAGGCTGCCATACTAAGAAGTAATTTCTCCAAAGTAGACATGTTCAGGCACAAGTAACAATATTGTAGAGTGAATTCCTGCCTCGGTGGGGAGAAAGGACTAGGTGACCTCTAGACTTTCCACAATCCCATGGCATTTGATGGGACTAAAGGAGAGCTCTGCTCTGACAATCAGTGCTCTAGAGAGCTACTTGATTCTGATTGCTTGTCCAAAGACTCAGGAGGAAATCAGTTCTTCCTGGGGTATCCGGACCCACCAGACATTGTCAAGGCTTTCTTTCCATTATTGAATCCTCTCCGCAGGCTAGTATCAATTATTACTCTGCCTTTACAAATGAAGAACTGAGGCTCAGAGAATTTGTGTTACCAGTCTTAATTATAATAGAATCCAGTCTTGTCTGTCTTGAAGACTGTGTTCTTAATCATTTTATTACACTGAAACACTGATTACAAATGTATCAACATATTTAGGCACTATATAAAATCAAACAAACTTTTAAAATAGTCAAACAGGTCTTGATACACATTTTTGTTACTATGTCATTTAGTTGCCACTTCATAACAAAATCTTGATTTTTCTCTTCTAGTTTTCAAAAAAATTCTTCTTTTTCCCTCAGTTTTAAAGCTTCCAGGCCTATGACATGCTAGGAAGAAATCACTCTTTAAAAGTCCTAGTAGACATTACAGGGTTTCTCCCATTGTGTACATTAATTCAGAATCTTGTGGAGTATGACTTCCATGTCCTTAAAGGCAAAGTCTTTCTCCAATATCTCTTTTCCTTGCTCTTTCTTCTTTCTGTTCAGGAAAAATTATTCTCCCCTCACCCTCCTTTTTTCTCTTCTACTACTATCTGAAGTCTCTGTCTAACCACTTTGTTTCCTTTCTTTTTTATTTATTTTAATATATTTTTTAAAAAACTTGTTTTCTTCTTTTCCTTCTATTTGGAGACAGTGTCTTGCTCTGTCAACCAGGTTGGAGTGCAGTGGTATGATCATAGCTCACTGCAGCCCCATGCTCCCGGGCTTAAGTGATTCTCCCACCTCAGCCTGCTGAGTAGCTAGGACTACAGGCATGCCCTACCATGCCCAACTAATGTTTTAAGTTGTTTTTGCAGAGACAGGGATCTCACTATGTTGCCTAGGCTGGTCTGGAACTCTTGGCCTCAAGCAATCCTCCTACCTCAGCTTCCAAAAGTGCTGGGATTACAGGCATGGGCCACTGTGTCTGGCACTGTTTTCTTTCAATGAGAAAAAATTTACTCTAGTAACTAAGTTACTAATTCATTCAATTAACCTTCTCCTTAATCACTTCTCAATTGGCTTAAGTGATTTCTTTGCTAAACCCCGCAGTTTTACAATCTGCTCTGGCCAACCTGCATCTTCAGAGAAACTTACAAAAAATCAGGGGGGTCTCTCTGGATCTATTCTGGTTCTGGGGCTGCCCAATTAAAAAAACAAAAAGAAAATAATCAAAACACTTTAAATACTTTTTTTTTTTTTTTGGAGACAGAGTCTCACTCTGTTGCCCAAGCTAGAGTGCAGTGGTGCAATCTCAGCTCACTGCAACCTCCGCCTCCTGGGTTCAAGCAATTCTAGTGGGTCAGCCTCCTGAGTAGCTGGGACTGCAGGCATCTGCCACCATGCCCAGCTAATTTTTTTTTTTATTTTTAGTAGAGACAGGATTTTACCATGTTGGCCAGGCTGATCTTGAACTCCTGACCTCTGGTGATCTGCCTGCCTCGGCCTCCCAAAGTGCTGGGATTACAGGTGTGAGCCACCGTGCCTGGCCAAGGATTTTTAAAGGAAAAGAAGAGACACTTCCTGAGTTGGTTACCAAGAATTTCCATTCTTTTTGTTGTCGTCGTTTTTAATCTACTCATCAAAAAGGAAAATAATTTCTATTCAAATAACATAAGTAGGTTGGGCATGGTGGTTTATGCCTGTAATCCTACACTTTGGGAGGCCAAGGTGGGAAAGATTGCTTTAGCTCAGGAGTTCAAGACCAGCCTGGGCAACATAGTGAGACCCTGTCTCTTAAAAAAAAAAAGAAAAAAAAGATAAATAAAATAAGCTATTGATTGGCTATATACTGTCCTTGGTATCATGAATTCCAGGAACATGAAGACAGCAGGAGAGGCAGCTAGTTAGGAACAAAATGACTTTAAACAATACCCCCAGGCATGAGTAGGGGATGACTGCAAGCCCTGCACTGTGTCTCTCTGGGCCTGCAAACCTCACAGAGCTGAGAGCTCTTTGAGCTGTTTTTCTTTTCTCAGAACCATTTAAACATAAGTTATACCATGATAAAGACATAGCCATAGGAAGTCCATACAACTCAATTGATTTATATTCTCCAAAATGGTGTCATCAATTAAAATGATGTAGATGGAATCTGATTTTCCCTTTTGAACCTGTAAGAAGGCGATGAAGTGTCTAAGGCCCTGAAGCCCATGATTTAATGAATGCTGGGTATTTATTAAAATGAAAGAAGCAAAAAACTGGAAGGAACTTTAAAATCATCCAGAGACTCCAATTCTTCTATTTTACAAATATGGAATAGCAACCTCTTACTCCATAGTCAATAAATTATATATCTAATGCTGAATAGTGTAATCTAAATAGTAATTAATCACACCCAACTTCAAATTTCATGATAACGACTTATGCATACACTACAGGAAAGTCTCTTTTAATATTCTTCATAATTTTTTCCTTGTTTTGATTGTAGCAAAGCAAAAATGAAAGGATTGCTGCAAGGAATCTTGGGCCAAGGAACTGAAAATAACTTTTTTTTTCTTTGAGATGGAGTCTCGCTCTGTTGCCCAGGCTGGAGTGTGATGGCACAGTCTCGGCTCACTGCAACCTCCGCCTCCCAGGTTCAAGCGATTCTCCTGCCTCAGCCTCCCGAGTAGCTGGGATTACAGGCATGCGCCACCACGCCCGGCTAATTTTTGTATTTTTAGTAGAGACAGGGTTTCACCATGTTGGTCACGCTGGTCTTGAAGTCCTGACCTCATGATCTGCCTGCCTCGGCCTCCCAAATTGCTGGGATTACAGGCATGAGCCACTGCATCTGGCCGAAAATAACTTCTAATGGAAATTTTGACAAAGCTTCTTCGGGAAGTAACTTTGGGGGAAATTTTGGGGGTGGTCTTTGCGTACATGGTTCAGGAAAGTTTGTCTCACTGTCTAACTTCATAGCTTTATAAATCAAATTAATGGTGTTGAGTTGTGGTATAATATAGTTGGTCTTTATTTGCCTCCAGTTCCTGGCACAGAGCTCCTAAATTATTAGAATTTCTTGAGTGATAGGTGTATCTTTTGTTATTCATAATGAGCTCCTTTTGACCATACTAGAGTTTATGTTAATGAGGTGACTCAGGGTGGCCTTAGATAGATTTAGGTTGGGGACTGGTCCCCAGAAAGACCAAACATGGGATCAGAGGGTTGAACATTTAACCCCACCCTCCAACCTCCCGGGAGGGGAGAAAGGCTGGAGATTGAGCTCAATCACCAATGGCCAATGATTTGATCAAACACACCTACAAAACAAAGCTTTGATAAATACTCTTGAACAGTGAAATTTAGAGAGCTTCTGGGTTGGTAACATTGATGTGGTGGGAGAGTGGCACCGTGGAAGAGGACATGGAAGTGTGACTGTAACAGGTTCCTTACCTAAAGCATGGCAAGTGGACACACTGACCTCAAGGATTGCAGCAGAGAAAGGGTTTAATAATCATAGGGCATCTGAACAAGGAGATGGAAGGAAACCTCAGATTTGCCTCCCTGAGGAGTTTGTAAGGGGTTTGGAGTGGGCTGAGGTGTGGGGATTGCAGGGTGAAGTCATGGACTGGAGAGATGAAGAAACTGCATTCTCATGTTGATTCAGCTCTTCTGTGGGGATTGCAGGGTGAAGTCATGGACTGGAGAGATGAAGAAACTGCATTCTCATGTTGATTCAGCTCTTCTGTGGGGATCCTCAAACTGGTTGTGGATGTCAGCTGTTCTGCTGGAATTCAGGATCTGAAGAACATCTTAAGCAACTCTTAAACAAAAGCCTCATGATTCCAACATCCGAAATCCCATCTATAGAAACAATGTGGATGCAAATGGTCAGTATCCAGTGCTATGTGACTTTCAGTTACAAGTAAGTAGGCCAAAATGCAGCCTATAATTAAGCCTCATGCTTAATTATAACTATATTTCTGTCCAGAACCTGGCATGAAATTCTTGTCAACTCTGTGATTGAAACCTCCTTTGCAAAGATTATGACAGTGAGAGAAATCTAACATGGCTGACTCCATCTTGCTTCTAGTCTCACAGGCTGGCTGTCTTTGCTCATTCCTGGGGATAGGCCAAGGTAACTGCGAGGAATATAGTTCATAGTTTAAAGCAAGAATGAGAAGAGTCCCTCCCTGAAACTGATCCCTTGTTTGTTCAGGGACTGAAACTGCCTTTGTAATGGGAGGGGCCTGACTTCTGCCAAAATGCAGGCATAATTTCTCTAATCTCTTACTGCTCAGGAGTCATGTGGCCAGAGGTCACAAATCTTGTGACTTCCCCAATTGCTCCTGTAGGAAACATCCCTGTTGTGGAACCTAAGATTGGTCTTTTGAGATGTTTTTCAGACTTTTGCATTCAGGCAACTGATTAATTCCAACTGGACTGGTGACTTATGACTCAACCAATCCTGTAGCCCCACCCAGAGGCAGACTCAGCACATAGGGACTGTTTTCCACACTCTTATGCTTTTATTCCCCAACCAATCAGCAGCACCCATTCCTTAGCCCCTGCCTGCCAAACTATCCATAAAAACCCTAGCCCCTGAGTTCTTGGAGAGATTGATTTGAGTGATAACATCCGTCCTTCTGCTTGGCTGTCTTGGGTTAATTAAGCTCTTTCTTTACTGCAATACCATGGTCTCAGTGAATTGTTTTGTCTGTGCCGCAAGCTGGAAGCACCCGTTGGGTGATTGTACAAGGACAGTTTCAGAAGCTCTCCACTTCCTTTCTCCCGCAGCCTTGCCCTATGCATCTCTTACATGTGGCTGTTCCTGAGTTGCATCCTTTATAATAAACCAGTAATCACAAGCAAGGTGCTTCCCTCAGTTCTGCAATTTGTTCTAACAAATTATCAAACATGAGGGAGGGTGATGCGAACCCCCAAATTTGCAGCCAAATAGGATAGAAGTGTGAGTAGCCTAGAAACCCAGGAATTCTACCTGGCATCTGAAGTGGGGGCAGTCTTGTGGGACCATGACTTTAACCTGTGGGGTTTGCACTAACTCTGGGTAGTTAGCATCAGAGTTGAATGGAATTGAAGAACACCCAGTTGGTGGGAGATAACTGGTGAATGGATGTTGGAACAATGTGTTGGAAAAGACACTGTAACCACCCAATGGTTTCACTTTGCCCACTGCCTAGACAGAGCTGATTTCTAAAGACAGGGGCATTGTAACAGAGAAAGTGTAATTCACACAGAGCCGGCTGTGTGGGAGACCAGAGTTTTATTATTACTCAAATCAGTCTTCCTGAGCATTTGGGTATTCGGGGATCAGAGTTTTTAAGGACAACTTAGTGGACGGGGGGAAGCCAGTGAGCTGGGAGTGCTGATTGGTGAAGTCAGAGATGAAATCTTAGGGAGTTGAAGCTGTCTTCTTGTGCTGAGTCAGTTCCTGGTGAGGAGGGGGCACAAGATCAAATGAGCCAGTTTATCGAACTGGGTGGTGCCAGCTGATCCATCAAGTGCAGAGTCTGCAAAATATCTCAGGCAGTGATCTTAGGAGCAGTTCAGGGAAAGTCAGAATCTTGTAGCCTCCAGATGCATGACTCCTAAATCATAATTTCTAATCTTGTGACTAATTTCTTAGTCCTACAAAGGCGGTCTAGTCCCCAGGCAAGAAGGAGGTTTGTTTTGGGAAAGGGCTGTTATCATCTTTGTTTTAAACTATAAATTAAGTTCCTCCCAAAGTTAGTTCAGCCCATGTCCAGGAATGGACAAGGACAGCTTGGAGGTTAGAAGGAAGATGGAGTCAATTAGGTTAGATCTCTTTTGCTATCTCAGTCATAATTTTGCAAAGGCAGTTTCAACACCACACATTTGGTGTCAGAAAAAACCCACACATGGATATATGCAAGGTTAGGATCAATTTTTCCCCAGTTGGTTAGATGATGCCACATTGTAGCACTTGTCACACTATGTTGAACTGCTTGTTTCCTTGTCTGTCTGTTCTATTAGACTGTGAGCACATGGAAGACTAACATGGGCCTTAATGCAACTTCATTCACATACCAGGGGGAAATCCAGGTTCTGCAGGCCTGAAGCTTACATAGTTTGGGGAAGGAAGGATTTTTCAAAAGAATACAAAATTAGGTATGAAGAAATCACAACCAATTACAAGTATAAAAAGCTAATAAACACAACATCTATGAAAATGAAATGTTTTTCTTTATTAACTGCCTGACACATCTCTATATTTTTCCTACTTTTTTGGCTTGTCTTCTTCGATTACCTCTTTCTTTTTCTTTTCTTCCTATTTTTTTTTTTTTTTCTGAGACAGAGTTTCACTCTTGTTGCCCAGGCTGGAGTGCAATGGCTTGGTCTCAGCTCACTGCAACCTCTGCTTTCTGAGTTCAAGTGATTCTCCTGCCTCAGCCTCCCAAGTAGCTGGGATTACAGGTGTGCACCACCACACCCAGATAATTTTGCATTTTAAATACAGACGGGGTTTCACCATGTTGGTCATGCTGGTCTCGAACTCTTGACCTCAGGCGATCCACCCGCCTCATCCTCCCAAAGTCCTGGGATTACAGGCATGAGCCGCTGGGCCCAGCCTTCGATTACCTCTTTCATATGACAATAATTTATAAGATCATTTCCTATATTGAATAGAAAGGTCGTTCATGCTTTTCTCTAGCATGGTTGATCAACATGTTTTCTAATATTTCCTAGAAAAGCTTATTTCAGTTCCCCAATTCATTATTGCTAAGTCATGTAAATTTTTACAAATGCTATCAAATTTTGGAAACCTCTACCAAGTGTCTTACATAGATGGGTTATAACATTTCAGGGCATTTCAAATTATGACACAGTGACTAAACTTAACTGTTCTTTGTATTGACCATACTCCTATTAACCAGTGTATCATCAATGCCCTGCACCATCAGGTCACAACATCAGATGACTTGTCATGTTGAAGAGTACAAGTATTCCTACCAGCCATTCCTAAGCTGGGATGGCCAGCATAGCTTAACTATTTACAGAAATGGCTGCCCAAACACATAAACGTATCCCACTAAAGCCCAAATAAATGTATTCCTAGCCCAAATTACCTTAGAGGAATCTCAAAATGACTGTGAATCTCCAATGCCACTAGACACAAGGGAGAACTGAAGTAAAGAGGAAGTCAAAGTGGAAAGAGATAGTAATCTTAATCAATTGTGGTTAGAGTATCTTACCTCTGCAAATTTTGCAAAAACATATGACCACATAAATATATCGCTAGGTGCCTTCTTGGAAGAGGCACATGACACTGAGGGTCTTTGAAGCTGAAGCTTTACTGGCTTCATGTCAGATTCCTGCCTGCCTCACACAGTACTGGTCACAAAACAGGTACTTTACAAGTATTTGCAGAGTGCACGAATGAGAGTTCATCTGTGTGCAGTCTGTCGAACGGCAGTAATGATAGCATGGGCAGGGAAGGAGTGAGTAAGTGCTTTGAGTCCATTACCCTAAGTCAGGGACTGCCTGTGTCCTTTCCTTTTAAAATTTGTTCCAATGTAGTAGAAGAAATACAAGGTTCCTCTGGTTAAAAACAGTGAAATGATTAAATCTTTACAGCTCTGAAAATAACTTTTGCAGCACATACCTCATAGTCTGTCCTTGCTGCCTAAAAGCAAAGAGAGCTGGCAAATCCACTGGGTAATAAGGAGGCCTCCAACCTCCCTGCCGCCTTCATTTTGAATATCCACCCCCCAACTCCGCCACCCCGCAAGTCACTTTGCCTCAATACCCTGACAAGCATCTTGATCATTTGGGGGCATTCTTTAGAAACTTTGATATGAAAAGGCCTTTCTCATCTTCAGATCAGTGCTTAAGTTCTACATTCATCAAATACAAAAGTGAAAAGAAGCTTTTAAAAATGTCATTGGCACTCACAGGCACCATCAGGAGAATGCTTGCACAAACTGTTTAGGGAATATTTCTGATAATAAGAAGCAACATTTCCAAAATTTGAAAGAATAACTTTAAGAGTACATATAAAAACACATTCCATTCTAATAATTTGGGCTACTGATATCCTACCTAAAAAACAAGCTATTTGCTAATTTCACAGAGTATGGTAGAGGTCAACATTGCTGTGTGTCTTATTTTTCTCTTATAGTTTCAGTTCTGAGTTGTGCCCCAAGTTGGAAATTATGGGAAAAGTGTTGTGACTTAGCTGGGAGTCAGAAGTGAGCCTCAGAGTTGGCTAGCAGAAGCAAATTTCACAAAGTTTGAGAAAACTAAGTTCATAGAAATAGGTTATAGAATGGATAAGGGGTCACAGATAGGAGTGCCAGAAACACACCCAGGGTAGACGCCAATTGTGTTGGATTTATATTTGCAGTTTCTCCAATATTAGGTAGTCCCCCACCCAACTAAAAATTCCACATAAGAGATATTTATTATTCTTGGGGTACTACTCAGCATCTGAAACTTCTTCCTATGTTTGGGGAATCCTACTTTATGAGTCTTAGTGGGAAAAAGTGCCTACTTCCCACTTCAGAAGCAGAAAATGCCAGATCTTCATTTCCCAGCTCCCTTACTGGAAGGTGGTGTTATACAATGTGGGCAAAGCCAATTAGAAATATCTGCCTTCGACTTTGAACCAGTGACACAGGACATAGATACTGCAGAGAATCCTGTTGTTTTTTTTTTCTTCTTAAATCAGCCAGAAGTAGTTTCTGTCATGTGTAACTTGTGACCAAATTATAGCTTCTGACACCTTGGTCACAAGTAAAATGCTATTTTAGGGGGCCTGAAGGGCACTTTGAAATCCTGAGTAGTTCCCTTTAAGGATTCAAATATGACTTTGGGCTGCATTTTAAATTTTAGGCTGGGTGCAGTACCTCATGCCTATAATTCTAGCACTTTGGGAATGAGGTGGGAGGATGGCTTGAGCCCAGAAGTTCAAGACCAGCCTGGGCATCAAAACAAACTCTGTCTCAACTTAAAAAAAAAAAAAGCCATGTGTGTTGGTGTGGGCCTGTGGTCCCAGCTACTCAGGAGGCTGAAGCAGGAGGATAGATTGGGCCCAGGAGTTGGAGACCTCAGTGAGCTATGACTGCACCACCACACTCCAGTCTGAGTGACAGAGCAAGATCTTGTCGACATCTGTTGGGATCATTGATCTTCTTAGTAACAGTGAAACTGGAGCAAGTATTAGGAATCTAATTTTACAGCTTAGGAAAATGAGGCACAGAGAGCCAAAGTGCCCTGTCCAGGTGACAAAACTCATTTAATGGCAAAGCTAGGGATCTTGATATCCAGTCCTGTGATCTTTCTCTTCTTGCCTTCATAAATCTTTTTTTTTTTTTTTTTGGAGATGGAGTCTCACTGTTGTCACCCAGGCTGGAGTCAGTGGCTCGATCTTGGCTCACTGCAACCTCTGCCTCCCAGGTTCAATAGATTCTCCCGGCTCAGCCTCCCGAGTAACCGGGATTACAGCTGCCCACCACCATTCCTAGCTAATTTTTGTATTTTTAGTAGAGATGGGGTTTCACCATGTTGGCCAGGCTGGTCTCAAACTCTTGATCTCAGGTGATCTACCTGCCTTGGCCTCCCAAAGTGCTGGGATTACAGGCGGTGAGCCACCACGCGCAGCCTCCATTGTAAATCTTTATCATGCAGGCAAAAGAAAAGCAGAGAGAAAGATGCATGATCAGAACTCAATTCATATAAAGATCAGAAAGGTCGGCCGGGCGCAGTGGCTCACACCTGTAATTCCAGCACTTTGGGAGGCCGAGGAGGGCGGATCACGAGGTCAGGAAATCGAGACCATCCTGGCTAATATGGTGAAACCCCGTTTCTACTAAAAATACAAAAAAATTAGCCGGACGTCGTGGCGGGCACCTGTAGTCCAGGCTACTCGGGAGGCTGAGGCAGGAGAATGGCGTGAACCCGGGAGGCAGAGCTTGCAGTGAGCGGAGATCCCACCACTGCACTCCAGGCTGGGCGACAGAGAGAGACTCCGTCTCAAAAAAAAAAAGGCTCAGAAAGGTCATCAAAATGACCTGATGCAGCTTCCAAATCTCAAAAACAGGACCTGGAAGCAGCAGAAAAAGGCTTTTGAGTCCCGTGCTTTTTTACTGCTAAAGAGACAAACCAAGAGATTCCTCCTTCTTCTATCAGCCAGCTTAGAGTGTGACCAATTGTGAGGGGCAGTGAAAAGATAATCACTCATCACTTTTTCTCTGTTTAAGAATGACCTGTGTGAGGTTATTTTAAGAGGAGAAATTACTGCTAAAATCACAGAGAGTCGTAATCAGTCATAATTTTACTTTCTCTGGTAAAATTCCCAAAGGAGATATTTGTACTGAATAACACACTTAAAACAAACCTGTTGTGCAGAATCCATTTCAGATTCCTCATAATGCTTCTGCTTCATATAAGAATTCAGCTCTGTACAGAGTAACCTGAACAATCATCACTCCCAGGATATCAAACCCCAAACAGTAATGTGCATTTAATGAGAACTTCAAGGAACGTTTCTTAATTTGGAAGAGGTGCTGTCTATAGGCAATGATGGTAGTTATTACAGGCAACCACTGAGAGTTCAGCTGTTGTGTTAAAAATAAAAGGTCGAATTCAGTCTTGGAGTTTCTCACAGATTATGTTCTATTCGCATCGACAAATAACAAAATGCTTTGGAAAGTTATTCTTTTGTGTACGCTATTTTAATTCCAATCTTTATCTAGATTTGGTTAAAAAAATGTTTGGTTGATCACTTATGTCCTTTATTACCCAGGCGCAGACAATGGATCGCAGATTGAGCTCAGTGCAGAGTGAATATCTGGTTGTTTGTGGAAGACTGGGGAGTAAGTCTAGCCAAAAGGAAAGGTCCACTTTTTTTCTTTCTAATAAGCTTATTATTTTAAATCAGTTTTTGATTTACAGAATTTTTGTAAAGATAGTACAGAGAGTTCTTGTATGCCCCAATTGCTAACATCTTACATTAGAATAGTACATTTGCTACAATTAATGAACCAATATTGATGCTATTATCAACAGAAGTCCAGAGTTCATTCAGATTTCCTCAGTTTTTTTCCTAATGTCCTTTTTCTATTCCAGAATCCCGTCCAGGACAGCACATTACGCTTAGCTGTCATGTCTCCTTGGCTGTAACAGTTCCTCAGTCTTTCCTCGTTTGTGAGGACCATTTGAGGAGTACTGGTCAGGCATTTTGTGGGATGTTCTTCAACTGAGATTTGTGTAAAGTTTTTCTCATGATTATATAAGGTTATGGGTTTTGGGGAGGAGGACCACAGAGGCAAAATGCCGCTTTCTTCATATCATATCAATGGTACATACTATTAACATGACTTATTACTGTTTATGTTTGGGAGCCCCCTTTTTCCTCTCAATCTCAGGGACCTTCTTCCAGGTCCCCAAATAACACTGACTTCTCTCTCTTTGTGTGTACGTTTTTTGTTTTGTTTTGTTTTGAGACAGAGTCTCGTTCTGTCACCCAGGCTGGAGTGCAGTGGTGCGATCACAACTCACTGCAACCTCCACCTCCCGGGCCCAAGCGATCCACCTACCTCAGCCTCTTGAGTAGCTGGGACTACAGGTGCATGTGCCACCACACTTGACTAATTTTTTTCTTTCTTTCTTTTTTTCTTTTTTTGAGACGAAGTCTTGCTCTTGCTGTTGAGGCTGGAGTGCGATGGCACAATCTCAGCTCACTGCAACCTCCGCCTCCTGGCTTCAAGCAATTCTCCTGCCTCAGCCTCCCAGGTAGCTGGGACTACAGGTGTGCACCACTATGCCTGGCTCATTTTTTTGTATTTTTAGTAGAGGCAGGGTTTCACCATGTTGGCCAGGCTGGTCTCAAACTCCTGACTTCAGGTGATCTGCCCACCTCGGCCTCCCAAAGTGCTGGGATTACAGGCGTGAGCCATCAAGCCCAGCCACTTGACTAATTTTTGTATTTTTTATAGAGATGGGGTTTTGCCAGGTTGCTCAGGCTGGTCTTGAACTCCTGGGCTCAAGCAATCCACATACCTTAGCCTCCCAAAGAGCTGGGATTATAGGCGTGAACCACCATGCCCAGCCTTTGCTTTCTCTTTTGATTGATTATTGTAATTTTGAAAGTGAAATTGGGGATCAAATATTCAAAGGTGGAGAGAATTCTACAAATTATAAACATAACCAAAGAGAAGCCTCCTTGTCTACCTCAGCCTCTGCCTTCTCATTGCTGCCCTGAAAAATCGAATCATCTCAGACTGATGAGACTCTTTTCACATCAGAATATAAACCAGGTGATACTGTCAGTAAAGGACAGGAGGAATTGCCAGTTGTGTCAATCATATTGTCCAGTACATTTCTAGACAGCTTTGCTTTGGCTAAATATAGTTGTAATGCATTTCTGTTGCTAAGCACCATATTTTTATTAGCCAAGGTACTCTATTTGAAAATGCAAACAGAGCCTGGGTCTTGTAATGAAGTGCCTGGGTAAAAAGGGACAGAGTCTAAATGTCATTGACTTTGGTAAGTGCGAACTTCCAGAATGGTGTGGTACAGTTTCCTAAATCCACCTTACAAAAGAGTCCAGGGAATGACCTGCTTTCATCTTGCAGCCTACTTCATTTTATTGCCATGTCTATGTGTCTTATTTCACATATCTTTCCCGTCAGTTACAGAAAGACTGAGCTACAGCTATGGCCGCTGAGCTGTATCTATCCACAGTCATGTGGTTCAGGTGACAACGAAACAAATAGCTCACTCAGATGAACATTGGCTCTCCAGAGCAAGGTAATCTATAGGAGAGGAACAAAAACTATATATTTCAAATCTTTCCTTGTGAGGAGATTCTGGGGTTATATCAGACAGTTCAAGGAGCCTATGAGTTGCTAAAAATTGCAGCAGGTGACCCATGGAGGTTTATGTAAAAAATTCTTCTCTGGCAGTTGAAGAAAAGCAGAATGAGTGTTTGCCTTTCTCAGTGGCTTAAGAATAACCTTCTCCCAAAACAGGCATAGACTAAATGTATTAGTCAGGGTTCTTAGCTGCAAATCAGAAGCCAACAGTAGGTCATTTAAGCAGAAAAGGCATGTTTTTGCAGAAGTCAGCAAATGTGACCTGGCATTTATTTTTGTATGGCCCACAAGCTAACAATAATTTTTACATAATTAAATAGTTGGACAAAGAACATTTTAAAAGATGGATATTCATGACCCATGAAAAGTATATGAAATTCACATTTCAGTATCCATAAATAAAATGTTATTGGAGCACAGTCACACTCGCTTGCTTAAGTACTGTCTCTTGTTGCTTTCATGCTATAGTGGCAGGATTGAGTAACTACAATGAAGATTCTCATATATGGCCTACGAAGCCTAAAATATTTATTAATGTCTTAGTTGGCTAAGGCTTATTTATTATAAGCTTATTTATTAATGGCTTATTTATTATAAGGCTTATTTATTAATGGCTTAGTTGGCTTAGTAGTCTATGTTATTAATAAAATAACATAGACTAGGTGGCTTAAACAACAGAAATATATATTTTTCACAGTTCTGGAGACTGGAAGTATAAGATCAAGATGTCAGCATAGTTGGTTTCTGGTGAGGGCTCTCTCCTTGGGTTGCAGATGACTGCCTTTCTGCTGTGCCCTGCACAGCAAAGACAGAGAGAGATAGCAAACTCTGTTGTTTCTTCTTATAAGGGCACTAATTCCATCATAAGGGCCCCACCCTCATAACCTCATCTAAACCAAATTGCCTACCAAAGGCCCCATCCTCAAATACCATCAAATTAGAGTTAGAGTGTCAACATATGAATTTTGGGCAGACTCAGCTCAGTCCATAGCAACTAGCTAACCCTTTACAGAAAAAGTTTGCCAATTCTTGTATTAAAGAATATTAGGACACATGCAGACTCTTCAAGGGGACCAGAAAACTAGTCTCAGAGGAAACAGAGCCAGGAAATTCATAAAATTACACTTCACACTGCTGATTCAGGAAGACTTCACTTGTACCACCCAAGGTCCTGCTAATACTCCCAACATCAGGCACTGGACAGGACTGTAGGAGCCTTGGCATTGCCGCCTCTGTAAACTGGAATGTCGCTTTTCCACCTTACCAGAATGGATTCAGCCAGCGCCTGCTACTTGTATACAAGCTTTGGATTCTGGTACTGGTGGATCTGATAGATGAATCCCAGATCACGTGTGTGTGTTACAGCTACAAAGGAGGCTGGAACAATGAGTGTCTGGCTTTTGCAGTGATGGGGTGGGAACCCATAATGTGGGGAATTCCCTAAATATGTAGCGATACTCTCTAATAGCAAGTCACAGTGTTAAAATAACTTGTTCCTACATTGTTTCCCTTCCACTATTTTCCCTGAGAATTGTTATCGTAACTGCCTTGAATGAACACTTGCTCTCTTTGGGAAGTATAGCCATGTGGCATCCCAATATTGAACAAGCCTTCCTGGGTCAAGAGACTGTTCTTGATAAAATGGGCAAAAGCCAGACTTAGTGATTAGGAACCTCCCTGCAGTGGCATGACATGGTTGGGGCATGGAGAATGATGCCCCAAAGTATAAAGCTTCAGCTTGCTGAGCACTTTTGAATTAAAAGAAATTGGAAAGCCTTAGAAGCTAGAAGCTGCCTCAGAACCAAGGACTTTCTAACCTTCTCTTGTCTCCTCCCCTCAAGTGCAGGGAGAGGCTCTCTCTGGATATTCCCTTATCTGAGGAAAACTTCTTCCAAAAGAAATGTAATTGTCAGGCCTGGCGCGGTGGCTCATGCCTGTAATCCCAGCACTTTGGGAGGCTGAGGCGGGCAGATCATGAGGTCAGGAGTTCGAGACCAGCCTGGCCAACATGGTGAAACTGCATCTCTACTAAAAATACAAAAATTAGCTGGGCGTGGTGCTGTGTACCTGTAATCCTAGCTACTCAGGAGGCTGAGGCAGGAGAATCACTTGAACCCAGGAGGTGGAGGTTGCAGTGAGCCAAGATCGCACAACTGCACTCCAGCCTGGGTGACAGAGGAAGACGCTGTCTCAAAAAAAAAAAAAAAAAAAAAAAAAAAATGCAATTGTCCTAAGACCAGAAAAGATGAACCACTAGAGAAGAGAAAAGACTAAAAGTCATCATGCCCACACAGACTCTTCATCTATTCTTCTGAGGGCACTCTGAGAGAATACCTGGGAGACTTTATCTATGTAATAAGACAACCTTTGTTCACAGTGAAGTTCCACCCCTCATCTTCCTGCCACCTCCCCCAGAGCTCAGAGGAACTTTGTCCCAAGCCATTGTCTGTTTTTTGGACTCATTCATTTCCCTTGAAAATAACTTCTGCCCTTCATAACTGCCTACATTTCCCATTTCTCTCTTCCCTATGAAATTGGTGCTATCTAAGCTTCAGCTACCGGGCCTTTGAGTCTCATATTTGTGGGACTACCATGTCCACGTGCATGTTAATGAACTTGTATGCTTTTTCTCCTGTCAATCTGTCTATTGTCTGTTTATTTTGGCAGGATGACTCAATTATTGAACCTTCAGAGGGAAAGTTTAAATTTTCCTACAATATATTTGCTGTGTCTCCCTCTTTCTCTTGCTAAATTCCCTTCTCCAGAGATGTGCTCTTAACAGTCTTTCCCACTTTGAATTTTGAATTTGCCTCCTCTCTCTGGAATTGAACATACTTTCATTTTTTTTTAAATACTATCTTGGCCGGGTGCAGTGGCTCACGCCTGTAATCCCAGCACTTTGGGAGTCTGAGGTGGGCGGATCTCAAGGTCAAGAGATCGAGACCATCCTGGCTAACATGGTGAAACCCCATCTCTACTAAAAATACAAAAAATTAGCTGGGCATGGTGGCGGGTGCCTATAGTCCCAGATACTTGGGAGGCTGAGGCAAGAGAATCACTTGAACCGGGGAGGCAGAAGTTGCAGTGAGCCGAGATCGCACCACTGCATTCCAGCCTGGGGCGACAGAGCGCGACTCTGTCTCAAAAAAAAAAAAATGTGTGTGTGTGTGTGTGTGTGTGTGTGTGTGTGTGTGTGTGACACAAGATCTCATCTCACTTTATCACCCAGGCTGGAGTGCAGTGGTGTGATCTTGGCTCACTGCAACCTCTGCTTCCCAGGCTCAAGTGATCCTCCTACCCAAGCCTCCTGAGTAGCTGGGATTACAGGCGTGAACCACCATGCCTAGCTAATTTTTGTTGTTGTTGTTTTGTTTTGTTTTTGAGACGGAGTTTCGCTCTTGTTGCCCAGGCTGGAGTACAATGGTGTGATCTCGGCTCACTACAACCTCTGCCTCCCAGGTTCAAGCGATTCTCCTGCCTCAGCCTCCTGAGTAGCTGGGATTACAGGCGTGCACCACCAAGCCCAGCTAATTTTGTATTTTTAGTAGACACAGGTTTTCTCTATGTTGGCCAGGCTGGTCGCAAACTCCCAACCTCAGGTGATCCACCCGCCTCGGCCTCCCAAAGTGCTGGGATTAGAGGGGTGAGCCACCGCGCCCAGCCAATGTCCTGCTAATTTTTGTATTTTTTGTAGAGACAGGGTCTCATCATGTTGCCCAGGCTGGTCTTAAACTCCTGAGCTCAAGTGATCTGCCTGCCTCAGCTTCCCGAAGTCATCCTATTTGCTGTCAAATACTAGATCTTATTCATTCTTTCAATTTTTTAATACACATTAATCATCCCCACTTGCCCCCTACTCCTCCAAACTACCCTTCCCAGCCTCTGGGAACCATCATTCTATTCTCTATTTCCATGAGTTCAATTGTTTTAATTTTTAGCTCCAAAAACAACCACCTCATGAATCTTAAAAGCAAGATGCAAAATGTTCAATGTTTCCGAATAATTTAATTGCATCCCAGAACAAAGATCAGGTATATTTATAAGAATACAAAAATATCCTGCACCCAATAGATTAAAATTCACAATATTATGCATTAAAAAAACTCGCCAGGCATGCAAAGAAACAGGAAAATATAACCAATAAGGAAGAGGAAAATAAACTAGTTGAAACTGATAAAAAAAACTAACACAGATATAGGAATTAGTAACAAGGATATTAAAATAGTAGTTATTATTATATTCCAGATATTTGAAAAGTTAAGGAGAGACAGGAACTATTTTAAAACCATAAATCAGATTTCTAGAGATAAAAACTATAATATCTGAGATTAAAATTACACTGATGAGATTAATGGCAAAAGAAAAGATTAGTGAATCTGAAGACATAGCAATAGAACTGATCCAAAAATAAAACACAAAGAGAAAAGAGAATTAAAAACAAGAATGAAAAGAGCATCAGTGAGCTGTAGGAAAACTTTAAGCAGTTTGATTTATATGTAATTGTTGTCCCTAAAGTAGCGGGAGGGACAGAAAAGCTATTCAAAGGAATAATAGCTGAAAATTTTCTGGTTTTGATGAAAACTAAAAACCTACAGGTCCAAGAAAGTCAATAAATCCTAAGCACAAAAATATGAAGAAAATGAGTACACTAAGGCACATCAGAATCAAACTGCTCAAAATTAGTGATGAAGAGATAATACTAAAAGTAGCCAGAGAAGAAAAGACACATTATATACAGAAGACCAAAGATAAGGATGACAGAAGACTCCTCATAGGAAACAATGATACAGGTGATAAGACAGTGGAGCAACATCTTTAAGCTACTGAAGGAAAAAACAAACTGTTACCTAGAAATTTATACCCAGCAAAAATATTTTTTAAAGATGAAGGTGGAATAAATACTTTTTCAGACATACCAAAGCCGGAATAATTTATCACTAACAGATCTGCAATATAAGAAATGTTAAAGGAAATCCTTCAGGCAGAAGGAAAATAACACCTGATGGAAATATGATTATACAGAAAATTCAGAGCAACAAAAATGATAACTACATGGACAAATACGTAAGACTTTTTCTCTTATAATTTGAATATCTTTAAAATATATTGACTGTTTAAACAAAAATAATAACAATGTGTTGTGGGGATTACAACATATGCATAAAGAAAACAGTAGCCTAAGTGCTGGGAGGGAAAAGTGGAGTTATGTAATTATAAAATTCTGTGGCCTGGCGCCGTGGCTCACGCCTGTAATCTAACACTTTGGGAGGCTGAGACAGGCGGATCACTTGAGGTCATCAGTTCAAGACCAGCCTGTCCAACATGGTGAAACCCCATCTCTACTAAAAATACAAAAATGAGCCGGGTGTGGTGGTGGGTGCCTGTAGTCCCAGTTACTTGGGAGGCTGGAGCAGAAGAATCATCTCTACTAAAAATACAAAAATTAGCTGGCCATGATGGCATGTGCCTGAAATCTCAGCTACTCGGGAGGCTGAGGCATGAGAATTGCTTGTACCCAGGACGTAGAGGTTGCAGTGAGCTGAGATGGTGCCACTGCACTCCAGCCTGGCAATAGAGTGAGACTCCATCTCCAAAAGAAAAAGGAAAAAGGACTGGTGCGGTGGCTCACACCTGTAATACCAGCACTTTGGGAGGCCGAAACAGGAGGATCACGAGGTCAGGAGTTCAAGACCACCCTGGCCAACATAGTGAAACCCCATCTCTACTAAAAATACAAAAAATCAGCCGGGTGTGGTGGCAGGTGCCTGTAATCCCAGCTACTTTGGAGACTGAGGCAGGAGAATCGCTTGAACCCGGGAGGTGGAGGTTGCAGTGAGTGGAGATTGCGCCACTGCATTCCAGCTTGGGCAACAGTGCAAGACTCCATCTCAAAAAAAAAGAAGAAAAAAAAAAGAACAAAAGGCTCAATAATAAGAAAACAACACAATTAAAAAAATAAGCAAAAGAATCAAACAAACATGGGTGACAAATAAGCATATGAAGCATATAAGAAGATGCTCAGCATCATTAGTCATTAGGAAAATGCAAATTAAAACCATAACTACTGAATGGCTAAAATTAAAAAGACTGACCATACCAGGTGTTGGTGAGGAGGTAGAGGAACTTGAACTCTTATACCTTGCTGGGGAAAGTATAAAACAGTACAACCACTCTGGAAAACAGTTTGTCAGTTTCTTAGAAAGTTAAACATAAACCTACCATTTTATCCAGCCATTCACTCTTAGGTATAAGAGAAAAAACATGCATCTATATAGAATTATGCATAAATGTTCATAGAATCTTCATTGGTAATAGCCCCAAACTGGAAACAACCCAAATGTCCATGTACAGGTGAAACAAACCGGTATATCCAGCTGATGGGATACTACCCAGCAATAAAAAGAAATGAACAATTGATACATTCAACAACATGGATGAATCCGCAAATAATTAATGCTGAGCAAAAGAGGCCAGACCAGAAAAAGAGTATGCACTGTATGAGTTCATTTATATAACATGCTAGGAAACGCAAACTAACGTATAGTGACAGAAAGCAGATTAGTGGTTTCCTGGTGGATGAGGAGATGTGAAAGAACAGGAAGAAAGTGTTACAAAAGCAAAGAAACTTTTTGAGGTATTTTCACTATATTAATTGTGGTTATGGTTTCATAGTTGCATATGTGAAAGGAAGATAAAATCATGGAACCCCAAATTCACGATGCCAAAAGGGAAAAGTTAAGCTTGGAAGCTGAGTCATGAAAAAAAACCCCAAAACTGCCTTTATCTTTGTTCCTAAACTGATAGCTACAGATAGAAGGCCACAGGGGGCCTCCCTCACCTTGACAATGTAAATGAACAGCTTATCTTCATGGACTTGGGGGTGGAGGAGTGAGGGGAAAGAGGAGATTCGAAATCCCCTTCCATCCTGAGCTGAATGCATGTTTGACTGCTTTTCTACTCTATGTTTACTTCACCTTATGTAAAAGAGCAGATTTACTGAGTGTGAGTCAAATACATAATTGATTTTTCCCCTACCCCTTCCTTTTCATGCACATGTGACTTCACAAGAATGTGACCATGCCCTTCCTCTTTTTTTTCTTTCCCCTTTCCCCTCCTGCCTACTTTTCCCCTTTAAAATTGAAGCCCCCAAAATTCTCTGCAGAAAAAATAAGGGCCACAGATCCTGCTGTGGCTTGTGTCTCTTTTTCCTGGGTGTGTATTCAACCTCAGCAAAATAAACCTCTAAACTGATTGAGACCTGTCTCAGATACTTTTTGGTTTACATATATGTATGTCAAAACCTATCGAGTTGTACATTTCAACTATATGTTATTTATTGTAAGTCAGTTATACCCCAATAAAGCTGTAGAAACATAAATATTAGTTATTTTTAAAAATCAGTGCTAGGGGCCAGGCACGGTGGCTCACGCCTGTAATCCTAGCACTTTGGGAGTCCAAGGCGGGCGGATCACCTGAGGTCAGGAGTTCGAGACCAGCCTGGGCAACATGGTAAAACCCCGTCTCTACTAAAAGCACAAAAATTAGCCAGGCTTGGTGGCATGTGCCTGTAATCCCAGCTACTCGGGAGTCTGAGGCAGGAGAATCACTTGAACCCAGGAGGCGGAGGCTGCAGTGAGCTGAGATTGTGCCACTGCACTCCAGCCTGGGAAAGGAGAGCAAAACTCCATCTCCAAAACAAATCAGTGTTAGACTTTACCACACTCTGGCCTTATGACTCTTTGAAGCTGAGATTCTTTTAGTCATCAACATGGTTCTGGCCTAGGAACTAGTAGTTCTTCTGTGGAGTTAGAGAGCAGATAAAGGCCTGTTCTTCTACAGACAAGTTCTTTGCAAGCCATCCAAGGTGATGGAAAGGAGGTGGGGGCCACAGAGTTGAGCTTTTTTCTTTCTTCCAGGAAGAAATTAAAGACCCTTGGGGTTTTTCAATCACAATTCTCTTGACCTACTTGAGTCACTATGGGGCAGGATGCTTTGTTTCATTTCATAGAAACAAAGAGTGAGCATAAATTCTAAACAAAGTAATGTATTTGTAGATGGTCTTGTCTCTTGACGCAGATATAAAGCCTATCTTCTGAGAGAGGACAAAGAGATTAGTATGTGCCTTGCTTAAGAACAATAGACAAATGTTACAGCCTGTTAACTCCATCTGCTTCCCAAAAGAAGAAAGAATTTTTACAATGAAGTGTCAGAGGGTCTTCAGGCCCCATACGGGAGATTTTCCCAAGGGAAGCCCATAACAACCTTCCTGTGTATTTAAGCCAATATGTTCCAGCTCCTAGAGTGGGGCTCCTTGTCCTTAATTGTGGAATAAAAAGCTTTGTCTTATTGAAAGAATTTGAGGCATAGGGAGAAGGGGAAGTATTTTGGTTGGTGGGGAGGGAAGTCACAAGGTTGCATGCTTTCCTGGCTACGATGGAATCATTTGTGTAGTGAAGAAACTGAATCATCCAAAGGAAAGTATCGTCAGCTACCATATTCCAGAAATCATTTGCTTTCCTGAGGCACTGGGTGACTGAAGCAGATACATTGCAGGCACATGCCTGTAAGAGCCAAGGAATTCAACTTTTTTTTTTTTTTTCTTTGAGACAGAGTCTCGCACTTTCACCCAGGCTGGAGTGCAGTGGCGCGATCTCGGCTCACTCCAAGCTCCACCTCCCGGGTTCACGCCATTCTCCTGCCTCAGCCTCCTGAGTAGCTGGGACTACAGGCACCTGCCACCGCGCCTGGCTAATTTTTTGTATTTTTGGTAGAGATGGGGTTTCATTGTGTTAGCCAGCATGGTCTCGATCTCCTGACCTCGTGATCTGCCCACCTCGGCCTCCCAAAATGCTGGGATTACAGGCGTGAGCCACTGCACCTGGTTGGAATTCAACTTTTTTTTTTTTTTTTTTTTTTGAGTCAGAATCTCGCTCTGTCCCTCAGGTTGGAGTGCAGTGGTGTGATCTCAGCTCACTGCAGCCTCCACCTCTCGGGTTCCAAGCGATTCTCATGTCTCAGTCTCCTGAGTAGCTAGGGTTACAGGCACCTACCACCACACCCAGCTAAATTTTGTATTTTTAGTAGAGATGGGGTTTCTCCATGCCAGGAATTCAACTTTGTTTTTGTTTTTGTTTTTTTGAGATGGAGTTTCACTCTTGTTGCCCAGGCTGGAGTGCAATGGCACGATCTCAGCTCACCACAACCTCTACCTCCTGGGTTCAAGTGATTCTCCTGCCTCAGCCTCCCGAGTAGCTGAGATTACAGGCATGCACCACCATGCCCGGCTAATTTTTTTTTTTTAGTAGAGACGAGGTTTCTCAATGTTGGTCAGGCTGGGCTCGAACTGCCGACCTCAGGTGATCTGCCTGCCTCAGCCTGCCAAAGTGCTGGGATTACAGACATGAGCTACCATGCCCGGCCAGGAATTCAACTTTGGAGGCCCCATTTCTCCATTCTTTCTTTTCTGGGTTTGTGGGGCTATATTTCCCTTTCCTCTCTTCCTAATATAACTTTCCATACCTCAGCTGCCTCCCTGGCGCCAGGGCTGCCATCCCAGCAGGCCAAGAGGCAGACCGCTCTGCAGCGTGATGTGTTTTTTATGTTTCTGGCCATCTTTCTAGTCTTCTGCACAAGTGGAGTGTGTGAGGGGAACCCCTGCAGGAGAGTTACTGAGGACTACAGACTCTACTTCTGGCAGGTTGCCCTGCTGGGGAATCAGGCATTGGTCTCAGTCAGCTGGATGGGGCTGGGATCTATTTTCTATTTCCAGGTTCCCAGCGCGCATGTTCTTGTTTCCTGATGGTGCAACACTGAGGCTCAGCTATATGGCCGGGGAGATCTGTGAAATAAATGTGGGCATTTCATGTCATGTCTGGAAATTCCTGTGGAACTCTGGAGAGTGCCCCCAAAGTGAATAAAAATCAACATAGTCCTCTAATAATGTAATCTGTCCTCATAGGAAGCACTTCAGAGAATATTTTCAAACAAAGGTAAGATCTGAATAAAGTGAAAAGTGCTACTTTTATGCCCATTACCTGATGGACTGCTCACCAGTTCCAGAAGTCCTCCAACTATGGGAACACTGTCATGAGAACATGAAAATAAACCATACTGATTAATCTTGAATGAAACCTAACTCTTAAGTTTTGACTCCTCCCCCTCAAAAAGTACCTAGTGAATCTGTTTGAACAAAAATGAAATCAAAATTTAATTTGAGAAACAAATATATAAACATGAAAAAGTTTAGGCAAGAAAGGGCAATACAGGCCGGGCACAGTGGCTTATGTCTGTAATCCCAACAATTTGGGAGGCTGAGGCAGGAGGATCACTTGACCCCAGGAGTTTGAGACCAGCCTGGGCAGCATAACAAGACCTCCATCTCTACAAAAATTAAAAATTAAAAAAAAAAAAGAAAGAAAGAGGAATATGATGAAATAATTCCTCATCTAATCTCTGTCCCCTATTCCCTTGTTTCTCTCCAGGAAGTATTGTTAACAATTACTTAAGTATCTATACATGGCACTGGCATAGACATTACACACACACACACACACACACACACACACACACACAGGTGGTATGTGTATACATGTATGTATATATGTATATATCACATATCCTTTTTATTATTGTGAATGTCTTTATACATACAAGAGAATCTATTGTATAAGTGATGAACAAAGATTATGACCAACATGAACATTGTTGAATGTCATGGTCCTAGAAACAGAGGACATGGGCAAACTGAGAAGAGTTTAATAAAATGACTATTTACAAAATTGCAGGCAGGTTTAGAGAAATCAATAAAGGATAGTGCAGTACTCAGACACTTACCCAGATTTTGTGGGACCTAATGAATATTCAGTTTTTAGAAACTTCTTTAAGAAAAAGCATGTACTTCTTTAAGAAAAAAATGCAAAATTATGACACAAAAGTAGGTGCAAGAATAAAATTAAATAGCTGGAGACCGGGCGCCATGGCTCACGCCTGTAATCCCAGCACTTTAGGAGGCCGAGGCGGGCGGATCACGAGATCAGGAGATCGAGACCATCCTGGCTAACACAGTGAAACCCCGTCTCTACTAAAAATACAAACAATTAGCCAGGCGTAGTGGTGGGCGTCCGTGGTCCCAGCTACTCAGGAGGCTGAGGCAGGAAAATGGCGTGAACCCGGGAGGCGGAGCTTGCAGTGAGCCAAGATCGCGCCACTACACTCCAGCCTGGGCAACAGAGCGAGAGTCCGTCTCAAAAAAAAAAAAAAAAAAATTAAATAGCTGGGCACAGTGGCACATGCCTATAGGCCCAGCTACTCTGGAGGTTAAGGCAGGAGGATCACTTGAACCCAGGAGTTTGAGACTGTAGTGTGCTATGATCACACCTGTGAATAGCCACTGTTTTCCAGTCTGGACAACACAGCAAGACCTCATCTCTTAAAAAAACAAAAAGAATGAATTAGAATGAGAAAGCACATCAAACCAAATTTCTAAGACTATAAATATCAAAATTGTCATAAAATATCATAAAGTATCAAATACGATAAAATCTAGATAATATCATCATATCACGATTAATCACCTGTCTTTAATACTTTTTTCCATATATATATTTTTTTGTTTTTGCTATGTCCTTTTTTTTTTCTTTTTTGAGACAGAGTGGAGTGCAGTGGTGCGATTATAGCTCACTGCCACCTCAATCTCCTGGGCTCAAGCAATCCTTCCACCTCAGCCTCTCGAGTAGTTAGGACTACAGGTGCATGTCACCACTCCCGGCTAATTTTTTATTTTTTGTAGAGACACGGTCTTACTATGTTGCCCAGGCTGGATATGTACTCTTTGATCATTGCTTTACATGACATCGGTATCATTCTCTAAAGAAAGAATGGCAAGCTAAGTTAGTCTTTCCTCTAGATGGTCTCTTTCTGGATTCTCTATTCTGTTCAATTGGTCTGCAAATATCTCCCTACAAGAGAATAAGAATAGTTCAGAGGAACAATTGAAAAGACAAATCATAGCACATATACTGCTGAGCATTGGTCAGAGGCACCATTTTTTAAGTGCAAAGATTAGGGCATTTTACAAAGCTAAGCAAACTCTCAGTTCACCTTCCACGCATAAGAATGATTTTGTCGTCAGGGTCACAGCTCCTGCCTGTAATCCCAGCTACTTGGGAGGCTGAGGCTAGAGGACCCCTTGAACCCAAGAGGTCAAGGCTGCATTGAGCCATGATCGCACTACTGCCCTCCAGTCTGGGTGACGGACTGAGACCTCATTTCTAAAAAACAACAAAAAGAACGTTTTTTTCACTTCCTTATTACCAAGTACTTCAGTGGCTCCTGATCCCTTCAGATAACATCTAAACTCCTCTTCGTGGCAAATGAGACTCTCCATCCTCTGATTTCTTTTTACCTGTCTGGCCCCATCCCTCACTATTTTCCTACCACCACACCTCCACCTGTTCCACACAAGTTTTACTCCAGTAGCACTCAGCTATCTGGTTCCAGAGCATGCTATGCTCAGTCCCATTCCTGAAGCTTTGTATACAATGTTCTCTCTACTTGGAACACCCTCCCCAGCTTGTCCACCTGGCAAATCCACCCCGTGTCTTCAAGTCACAGATAAAATACTGCTTCTTCTGTGAAGCCTTTCTTGATCCCCTCAGACTCATTCAGGTTTTCTTCTCCTTTGTCACAATCCTACTGAAGCAATAATCTTACTGTAATGCAACTGTTTGCAGGTCTGTCTCCTCACTAGTCTATACATTTCTGCAGATCATGAACTGAGACTTCATCCTTGTATGCCAGGCACTCAGCACAGGGCCTGGTACACAGTAGGCACTTAATAAGTATGTTTTAAATGAATGAGCTTAAGCAACTTACATATGCTTACTGCTATGCTAAAATGTTCTCTCATGTTATGCTTACAACAACCCTATGAAAAAGTATTATTCTTATTTTGGGGGGGTGATTAGAATATGCCACCCCAAAATATGAACTTTTGCATAAGGATTATTTTGAGCTGAAAACAGTTGAGAAGCAGCACATGCCAAGAAGTATCTCTGCCCTCCTCCCTACTTGCCTAAAAGTAGGACGTAAATTTCCATTTGTGCCAGGTTTGGCGGCTCACACCTGTAATCCCAGCATTTTGGGAGGCCGAAGCAGAAGACTCACTTGAGGCCAGGAGTTTGAGACCAGTCTGGGCAATATAGCGAGACACCCATCTCTGCAATTAACAATTTTTTTAATAAAAAAAAATACATTTGCAAAGGCGTCTCTCTCTCTCTCTCTCTCTCTCGCATACCAGGAAGAGGAAACTCTTAGACTCATAATCACTAGAGACGAGGAGATAACTCTAGCCCAGAGATAGCACCAAAAGGTACCTACATAGTAAACCCTAATAAAATAACTCCTATTTTCCATTAGTTTCTCTCCACATATTTACCTCCCCACAATTTGTCACTCCAAAAGCTTAAACCCCTTTTCCTTCGTTTTGCCACATCTCTACAAATACACCATTCTTCGTTACGATGCTACATAACAACTACTCCTGCAAACTACTCATCACTGAGTAGTTTTTATGTAGCATCTTTGTTACGATGCTACATAACAACTACTCCTGCAAGTTACACTCATCACTGAGTTTCTCCCAAATGCATGTGCATTGCACACATTCATAAGCTCTGTTTTTCTCTTGTTAACCTGTCTTTTGTCAGTTCAATTTCTAGGTTCCTAACTGTAGAACCTAGGAGAATAGAAGAAAAGTGGTTTTTTCCTCTGCAGTTTACAGATAAACAAACTGAACCATAATGAGTTTAAGTAATTTGTCTGTAGAATTTCAACCCAGTTCTGTCTAATGCTAAAAATTTATGCTGTTTGCTACATTATGCTGTTTGTCTAAGCAGGTAAATTGTGTCGTTTCAGTAGCACTTAAGCTAGCTGCATATGGCATGGCTGATCCAACTTTTTCTGAAATAATAGACTGCTCTTCTTTCCCTGAGAGATCAAAACCCCCATTATGTGTCTGCCCCATCCACTCCCACTGAAATTGTTCTTTTCAAGGTCTCAAGTGATCTCTTTGTTGCCAAATCTAATGACCATTTTTCTCTTATCTTTTTTGACTCTCAATAGTTTCCCACAAAGTTGACCGCTCTCTTTGTTCTGGAAATAATGTTCTCTCTCAGCTTTTGTGACAAACCATTCTCTTGGGTGTTTTTTTTTTCTTGCCTCCCTGGGCACTCTGTCTCAATTCCCTTTTCTGGCTCTTCCTTCTCTTCCCTACCTCTAAATACTGGGCTTCCTCAGAATGAGGTCTTGAACCAGCTCCTCTTCTCTGTCCACCTCCTGCTGTAGGTGATCTCACCCAGGCCTGGGAAATTAAATGACATCCATATGCTGTTTGCCATTAGTATATCTCCAGCCAAGAAGTCTGCTTACGCTCACATGTCCAACTAACTACTTGATATCTCTACTTGATTGTTTCATTAGTACATCTTTAAAATCTCATTGGGAACTTAATTTCTCCTCTTAAAGACGTCCCTCTCCCAGTGTTTCAGTTACTATTGCTATGTGACAAACCACTTCCAATCTTCATGTGTCAGGACCCCAGACAGGGTACAGTGGGAATGACTTATCTTGACTCCATAGTAGCTGAATCCTCTGCTGGGAAGACTCGGAGGTTGGGGTTGCCTTAACAATAGGGGCTGCAATCATCTGAAGGCCTCTTCATTCACACATCTGGTGGTCAATGCTGGCTGCTGACCGGGACCTTAGCTGGGACTGCTGAATGGAACATTTACACTTCATGTGACTTGGATTCCTTCATAGCGGGGCAGTCTCAGGATAGGTGGGCTTCCTTATTTTTATTTATATGAGGTCTCACTCTGTTGCCCAGGCTAGAATGGGAATGCAGAGGTGTGATTATGGCTCCTGCAGCTTTGAACTCCTGGGCTCAAGTGATCCTCCCTCCTCCGACTTCCTAGTAGCTGGGACTACAGGTGTGAGCCACCGTCCCCAGCTGAGGTGGACTTATTTTTTTTTTTTAAGACGGAGTATCGCTCTGTTGCCTCAGGCTGAATACATTGGCAAGATCTTGGCTCACTGCAACCTCTGCTTTGCGGGTTCAAGCAATTCTCCTGCCTCAGCCTCCCCAGTAGCTGGGATTACAGGCACGTTCCACCATGTCCAGCTGATTTTTGTGTTTATAGTTGAGAGAGAGTTTCACCATGTTGGCCAGGCTGGTCTAGAACTCCCGACCTCGGGCTGGGAGCGGTGGCTCATGCCTGTAATCCCAGCACTTGGAAGGCCGAGGTGGGTGGATCACCTGAGGTCAGGAGTTCAAGACCAGCCTGGCCAACATGGTGAAACCCCATCTCTACTAAAAATACAAAAATTAGCCCGGTGTGGTGGTGTGTGCCTATAATCCCAGCTACTCAGGAGGCTGAGGCAAGATAATCACTTGAACCTGGGAGGCAGAGGTTGCAGTGAGCTGAGACCATACCATTGCATTCCAGCCTGGGCAACAAGCGTGAAACTCTGTCTCAAAAAAAAAAAAAAAAAACAAAAAAAACTCCTGGCCTCAAGTGATCTGCCCACTTCAGCCTCCCAAAGTTTGGGATTACAGGTGTAAGCCACAGAGCCTAGCCTGAGATGGACTTCTTATGTGATAGACCATGCAATGTCCTAGCAGACAAGACAGAGGCTTCCCATGTCCTTTTATGATCTAAATGTGGATGTCCCGGGGTTGGTTCCACTGCTACTCTATTGGTAGAAGCAGCCACACGCATGCCCAGAGTCAAGAGAAGGAGGTGTAGAGATTCCCTCTCGGTGGGTATATTAGTCTGTTCTCACACTACTATAAAGAAATACCTGTACCTGAGACTGGGTAATTTATAAAGAAAACAGGTTTGATTGGCTTATGGTTCCACAGGCTATACAGGAAGCATGGCAACATTTGCTTCAGGGGAGGGCTCGGAAAGCTTCCAGTCATGGCAGAAGGCAAAAGGCGAGTGAAGAGCTTCACATGGCCAGAGCAGGATGAAGTGCTGGGGGTGGGGTGGGAGGGGCGGGTAAGGTGCCACACAGTTTTAAACAAGTAGAACTCATGAGAACTCACTCAGTGTCAGGAGAGCCTCGCCAGGATATGGTGCTAACCCATTCATGAAAGACCACCCCCATGATCCAATCACCTCCCACAAGGCCCCACCTCTGACACTGGGGATTACAATTCAACACAAGATTTGGGTGGGAACACAGATCCAAACCGTATTAATGGGATAAACAGCACAAGTCACTATCACCTGGTACCAACTAACTGGTCTTACTGCTTCCGTATTTGTCCTCCTCCAATACATTTTTCATGTAACAGCCAAAGTGATCTTACTAAAATATGACTAACCTTATTCTCTGCCTTAAAAGCCACTAATGATTTCCCAATGCACTCAGAATAAAATCTTAATTTCTTGTCCCTGCAACCTCATCTACTATCACTCTTCCCTTGACTCAACCACTGTAGAGCATGCCTCTTCTTTTCTACTTCATAGGTTTGTACTTGCTGTTCCCTTTAACTGAAATACTCTTTCCTTCCTTGTCACTGCTTTTCATCCATAGGCCTAGCTTTTTCTCACTCAAGACTTGCCTCTCATGGCCTGACCACTCTGACTAAAGGGACCTTTACTCAATTTAGTCACCTTTTTATTCACTCTTCATCACCCTCTTTTTTTTCTTCAGAACTCTTCAGAATCTGTAAGTATAATATTTATCTGCGTACTTGTTTATTTGGGACTCTCTCATTAGAATGTAAACTCCGTGCGGGTCTTATTAACTAATTTTATCCCCGGCACCTACCATAATCCCTGGCATACAGTAGATGCTGAGAAAATATTTTTTGAATATAACAATAGATAGATAGATAGATAGATAGATAGATAGATAGATAGATAGATAGACAGAGAGAGAGATAGATAGATGATCTAGTCATTCAATGGCAGCAAAAGAAAAGACATTTCCTCCTGAGTGTCTCTTTAGCCAAGAAAAAAATTTCCCTTAAGAAGTCCTTCCCCTTGAGAACCCAGTTCTAATTCCCAGTCTTTTTGAGATTCCGGACATCTGATTCAGGCCCTGAAATGGACCTGGCATCTTGGATCACACTGTTCCTGGAGGAGGCATGTTCATCAAATTATCAAAACAATGTCACCTGCATTCACTTAGAGGCAATGACATAATTAACCTTGCTGGTTTCTGAAGCTCATAGAGGGCTGTGATGGGTTTCCTAGGATCCCCGTTTTCTTTCAGACATCCATTTGCAGCCAGATCTGACCATCCACTTGTAGGTCATCCTTTCTGCAATCATCCTGCAATTCCAAACATTCAAAGACACAGACAATGGTTTACAAACACTTTGGATTTGTTACAACAACACATTCATGCTTTTTCATACCCCCTCATCTATGAGCTATAGGCATCTATGAGCTATAGGCATCTATTTGATTTTGCTCATCTAAAGAGAATCACAATGAAGTGATTTTGAAAGCATTTTGAGACTTTTGCCAATTCCTTTAAGCTTAGTAAACAGCCTCAGGTGTCAAAATGCCAGCACTCCAAATCACCCATCTAAAGATCTCTTGACAAGCTCATTAATACTAAAGGTTGGTTTGCCATTTCATTTGGTCTTATCAAGATGTTATTTTCTCCCCCTTTTATTCACACTGGATCTTCAGCCAAGGAAATGTGCTCCCAGTTTCCCTTCAAGGAAGATTTTTCTTTTGTTGTTTTTCACTGCACTTCTTTTTCTTCGTTTATTTTATTTTTTCTTTTCTTGCTATAGCTTGCCATGTTGCCTCTATGTTTTATTCTTAAGATGGTATTTAAGCCTTTTATATCCTGCTACCTTTATTGATAGCAAAACGGAAGTTTATGTGTCTTTTCCCCTTGAAACTCAGGAAGGATTTGTCAAGTGTGACTTTTTAAGGAAAAAAAAAAAAATCAACTGTATCTGTTTGGCAAAGATTCGCCACCACACTTGCAATTCTCCTCTCCAGTACTTTCCTGGGACTGACAGTTTTTTGGTCTATTTCACTGGCTGCTGTAACATGTTCCCTTATACTGGCTCATTCCCAATGGTTTGGTAGCAAGTCAGATGAATGAGTCATGGTGAACTGGGAAGTAATGTCAACATTCAGAGCCCTTCTCACTCTCCCTCCAGGCTGGCATAGGCCACCTCACATTCTTTACATGTTACAAAGAGCCAGGTAACTGATTCTAACACCTTTTCACCCATCTACAAGTGGAAATTGTGCAACCTCTGTGAGCACACAACAGGGCTGAGACATCTGGAATTTTTCTGCTATTCCTTTCCCCTTGGAGAGTTTACACTGTATTAAATTTAACTTTTCTGATAGCTAAAGAATAGTTTTAGAGTTAGGAAAAAGAGAGAATGAATGTTAATGAGCAACATTTTTACCAGTTCTCTGCAACATTACCCAAATCATTCAACTATCTTATTGCTAAAAAGAATTCTACCAACTTTTCGGGTGGAAATCCTTTGGACTGGTGCCTGATACACCAACTTTGAGAACAATTTAATGTGACTGGGTTTCATTGTTTTCAGTTCCTTCAAAGAAAGGCAAATTTTTTTTTTTTTTTTTTTTTTTTTTGAGACAGAGTCTCGCTCTGTCTCCCAGGCTAGAGTGCAATGGCGCAATCTCGGCTCACTGCAAGCTCCACCTCCCGGGTTCAAGCCGTTCTCTTGCCTCAGCCTCCCAAGTAGCTGCAACTACAAGCGCCCGCCACCACGCCTGGCTAATTTTTTGTACTTTTTTTAGTAGAGACGGGGTTGCACCGTGTTAGCCAGGATGGTCTCCATCTCCTGACCTTGTGATCCACCTGCCTCGGCCTCCCAAAGTGCTGGGATTACAGGCGTGAGCCACCGCGCCTAGATGGGGCAAATGTTTTACTACATCAGATACTTTGTCTTTAGTCAACCGATTTTTTTCTTTTTTTTTTTTTGAAGACAAGGTCTTTTTGAACATTTTATTTTCTTCTAAGTACTCCCTGAAAGTATTCTGTTTTGCAGTGTTCTTCATAATGCTCCATCTGTCCTGGATTTTTAGAAGATTTTTTTTTTAAATCCCCTCAGAAAATTCAATGAAAAAAGGTAAAGGCTTTACTGCCAGTAGATTTTTGTTTCTCTTCTTTCTGGGAAAGAGCCAGTTTGAGCTTAAAAATAGACCTGAGAAATATCTACAGCTTGAGAATCATTCAACCCTCTAATATTTGCTCTAGAATAAAAAGGAGAGTTGATACATCTGATCTCAAATGATCCCCATCGTTATCACCTTTTTATTTCAGATCAAATAATTCACCACAGCAGCCTCCTGGTGAAGCAAATTCCATTATGTTAACCACCTGCTCTCTCTTATTTTTAATTTATACTGACAAAAGAGAGAAGGTGGGAATTTAGGTCATTCCAAGTGTCCCATGTTCAACATTCATCAATTGATGCTGTTTATTATTTATTACCAATGGCAGTTACTGCGATCCTAACACCAGATATCCACTGGGATAAAAATAGTGTGGCAATAAAAAGGAATGACTTATTTTTAAAGTTTTCCTTTTTAAAAAAATTATTGATTACAATTGACATAATAAAATTCACAATATTTAAGTGTACAATGAAAGTGTTTATCATCAGCTGATAAATCTGGAAGTGTTGCTGCTTGAATTTTTAATGACAAATTAGAGTTGTTGATACGAATACATTGGTATTTGGATGTACTTTCAGGGTCAATGTTAAAAGACATTTTAATATGATTTGGATGTTTTGCCTTGGAAGCAGTTCATCTATGCATACAAAATCAATCCTTTTTTTGTTTGTTTGTTTTTAGAGACGGATCTCCCTATGTTGCCCAGGCTGGCCTGCAGTGGGGTTATTCACAGTTATGACCATAGTACACTGGAGCCTCAAACTCCTGGGCTCAAATGATCCTCCTGCCTAAGCCTCCAGAGTAGGTGAGACTATAGACACACACTACCATGCTGGGCCAAAATCAACTCTAAAGAAACTGTGGGTAAATTTCTTTTCTTTTCTTTTTTATTTTTTTGAGACAGGGTCTCATTCTGTCACCCAGGCTAGAGTGCAGTTGCACAATTACCGCTCACTGCAGCCTCGAACTCCTGGGCTCAAGCTATCCTCCTGCCTCAGCTCCTGAGTAACTGGGACTACAGGTGTGTGGCACCACGCCCAGCTAAATTTTTTTTTTTTTTTTTAGTAAAGACAAGGTCTCACTACGTTGCCCAGGCTGGTCTTTAACTCCTGGGCTCAAGTGAGCCTCCTGCCTAGGCCTCTCAAAATGTTGGGATGATAGGCGTGAGCCACTGCACCTGGCCTCGCTCTCCTTCTTAAATAAGTTTTTCCTCTTTTCCTTGGGAACTTAAAGTTTTGATGTAATTTTATCTTTACATTTTCATTTTTATTTTAGATTCAGGGGGGTCCATGTGTAGATTTGTTACAAGAGTATGTCATATGGGGCTGGGGTTTGGGCTTCTTTCTATTGGTCCCATTACCCAGATAGTGAACATAGTCCCCAATAGGAAGGTTTTCAGCCTTGCTCGCCTTTCCTCCTTTTGGAGTCTCCAGTGTCTATTGGTCCCATCTTTATGTCCACATGAATCCAATTATGTAATTTTAAGCTTACAGAAAAGCTGCAAGAATAGTGCAAAGAACTCCCATATACTCTTACTCAAATTCACCAATTTTTATTTTTACTCCAACTTAAATAAATTTAACATTTAGTTTTTTATTTGAGAAAAAAAAAATTAAGGTCTAGCTCTTTCCAAAGTTTGTATTTCCATTTATCTCTAGCCTAACTGGTAGAAAAATAGCAATTAATAGCACTGTTTTACAGCAAGGGAGACTGAGACACAGAGAAGTCTAACAGAACTCTGGGGTCCAGCACCACCTATGGCCAACATAAGGAAGCCAGTCACCACTCAGCTCTGCAGTCTAGCTTGGCAACCTCTAGCCTGACCTCTTCCTGGGATCCCTGGCTCCTATACAAAGCCCTTGCTCCTGACCCTTAGTTTTGATGACTGACATTACCCTTATTGTCCCAATCTTCGATGCGCCTTTTGCCTTTGGCCATTCTGGAGATCACCACACACTCAATTCAGCCCACTAGGGACCTTACCCTGTCTCAGCCCTTAATAGCAGGCAACTTAAAAAGTAGTAGTATTGTCAAATATGCACAACTAGGGATCCCAGGTGTCCTAGCACCTAGAATCATAGAATCAAGAAACACTGGCACTGACGTGACCATGAAATCATTCGGCACAACTCTTGTATCACATGAGGACACTGAGGCCCCAAGAGATTTAATATTTTGTCAGGGTCACATAGTGAAGTGAGCTGGTAGCAAAGGCATGGCTAAAATTCTAGTTTTATGATTTTTTAAACAACATACTGCTGCCTTGTTTTTATTATTATTAACAATTAATCACATGTAAAACAGTATGGCAGTCACTCCAAAAATTAAACATAGAACTACTAGCAATTCTACTTCTGGTATATACCTCAAAGAATTGAAAGTATAGTTTGAACAGATATATTTGTACACTGTATTTATTTATTTTGAGACAGGGTCTTGCTGTCACCCAGCTAGAGTGCAGTGGCATGATCACAGCTCACAGCAGCCTCAACCTCCTGAGCTCAAGCAATCCTCCCACCTCAGCCTCCTGAGTAGTTGGGACCACAGGCACGTGCCATCATGCCCGGCTAATTTATTTTTACTTTTTGCAGAGATGGGATCTCCCTATGTTTCCCAGGCTGGTCTCGAACTCCTGGCCTCAAATGATCCTCCCACCTCAGCCTCCCAAAGTGCTGGGATTACAGGTGTGAGCCACTGTGCCCAGCCTGTGCACTGCATTAATCAGCTCAGACTGCCCGTAAAAGCCACCACAGTCTGGGTGGCTTTAACAACAGAAATTTATTTTCTTTAAGTTCTGGAGGCAAGAAGTCCAAGATCAAGGAGTTATCAGGGCTGGTTTCTGTTGAGGACTCTCCTCCTGGCTTGTAGGCAGCTACCTCTTGCTGCGTCATCACATGGCCTCTTCCCTACACTTGTAGAGAGGGAGAGTGACAGAGGGGTGTCTTTTCTCTTTTTTAAAATAAGGACATCAGTCTTATTGGATTAGGGTCTCACCCTTCTGACCTCATTTAACCTTAATTACCTCCCTAAAAGTCCTGTCTCCAAATACAGTCACTTTGGAAGCTAGGGCCTCAACATATAAATTTTGAGAGGACATGAGTCAGTTCACAACAACTATCTTCTCAGTTTTTTTTTTTTTTTTTTGAGATGGAGTTTCGCTCTTGTTGAACAGGCTGGCGTGCAATGGCGTGATCTCAGCTCACCGCAATCTCGGCCTCCTGAGTTCAAGCAATTCTCCTGCCTCAGCCTCTTGAGTAGCTGGGATTACAGGCCTGTGCCACCACACCTGTCTAATTTTGTATTTTTAGTAGAGACAGGGTTTCTCCATGTTGGTCAGGCTGGCCTCGAACTTCTGACCTCAGGTGATCCGCCCGCCTCAGCCCCCCAAAATGCTGGGATTACAGGCTGAGCCACCACGCCCAGCCTCTTCTCAGTTTTTTGTAAACTAGAACTATTCTAAAAAATAAAATATATTAATAAAAAATTTAGATTCCCTAAGCAACCTAAGTGTCCATTAACAGACAAATGGGTAATGAAAATGTGGTACATATACATGATGAAGTATTATACAGCCATGAATAAAGAATAAGATCCTGTCATTTGCAAAAACATGGATGGAACTGGAGATCATTATGTTAAGTGAAATAATCCAGGCACAGAAAGACAAACTTCACATAATCTCACTGATTTGTGGAAACTAAAAATTAAAACAATTGAACTCATTGAGATAGAGAATAGAAGGTTGGTTAACAGAGGCTGGAATGGTAGTCAGAGGCGGGGTGGAGTGTGGGCATGGTTAATGGGTACAAAAATATAGTTAGAATGAATAAGATCTAGTATTTGATAGCACAACAGGGTGACTACAGTCAACAATAATTTATTGTACATTTAAAAATAACTAAAAGAATATAATTGAATTGTTTGTAACACAAAGGATAAATGCTTTAGGTCATAAATACCCCATTTACCCTGCTGTGAGTATTATGCATTGCCTGTCTGTACTAAAATATCTCATGTATCCCATAAATATATATATACCTACTATGTACCCACAAACATTTTAAAAAAACTTTAGATACCCAAACCAAACTTCTAGAGATAAAAATACATCTGAGATGAAAATACACTGGATGTATTGTGCCATTGGATGGGAATGTAAGTGCCATTGCATGGAAATAATGGTAGATTAAACAATGCAGAAGAAAAAATTATGGATTTTGAAGACACAGCAATAGAAAGTTCACAAGGAGCTGCCTCCACCGTGGGCCTGTGAGAATCGAGGCCCTCGCCAGTGTACCCATGTATCAAAACCAGTTCACGGCCCGGTACCAGTGGATGTTGGTGGTCTATGGGATCAGTTGGTGATCTATGGGATTGGCACCCGGTCTCTGGTGGGCTCAATGGTTTACTTTGGCCAGAAAATGGCGAAGTTGTCAGGTGATGAAGTACAGCAAAAGGATGGCTCAACAAGTGAAGTACCCAGTGAACTATCTGAACCCCCAAAAGGGTTTTATGTGGAAACAATTGTCACAGATAAGGAAGATTTTGTTCCAATTACTGAAAAGATCCTCAACAACTGGAAATCATGGACTGGTGGCCCTGGTGCAGAACCATGACTGGCTACTGAATTCTGAAAACTAAGACTTGGTTCAACATTTAAATTTGATAGATGCCTTGATTCCCATTTTGTGTTTGTGAAACGCATATATATTTAATTTTGCTGTAAAACATAATCACTAATAATATGCAATAAATCTTTTCTTGAAGGAAACTAAAAAAAAAAGAAAGAAAGTTCTCAATGAAACAGAGGGAGAAAAAAAGTCTAAAAAAAAAAACAGTTTCAATAAGCAGTGGAATAAGTTTAAGTAGCCTAATATATATGTAATTGAAGTCCCAAGACAGAGTATACTAATTTGCTAGGGCTACCATAACAAAATACCACAGACTGGGTAGCTTAAATAAAAATTTAAGCTCATGTTTCTGGAGGCTGGAAGTCTAAGATCAAAGTGCTGACAGGTTCTGTTTCTCCCGAGGCCTCTCTCTTTGGCTGGTGGACAGCCACCTTCTTGCTGTCTCCTTTCATGGCCTTTTCTTTGTGTGTGCCTCCCTGTTGTCTCTACCTCTTCTTATATGGACACCAGTCATATTTGATTAGGGTCCCACCCTTATAACTTTAACTTTAATTACCCCTTTAAAGGCCCCATCTTCAAATGCAGATTGAAGGGGGTTAGTTTCAATGTATGAATTCAATCCATAACAGACAGGAAAGAGATAGGAGAACAAAATTTTTTTGAAGAAATAATGGCTGAAAATTGTCCAATTTTGATGAAAACTCTAAACCCAGAGATCCAAGAAGCTCAACAAACCTAAGCACAAGACACAAGAAGAAAACTATACCATGGCACATGATAAATTGTCCAAAGCCAGAGATAAAGAGAAAAACCTTAAAAGCAGCCAGAAGAAAAAAAAAAAGGTTTATAATGTACGGAATAAACAAGATAAGAATGAAAGTAGAAAGGTAGACTTCTTGTCAGAAACAATGCAAACCAGAAGAAAGTGAAGCAACATCTTTAAAGTACTGACGGAAAAAAAAATTGTCAACGTAGAATTTTATACCCAGTGAAAACCTCATAAAGACATCTTCAGACATATGAAAGCTAAAAGCTTTTCACTAGCAAATCTGTACTATAAGAAATGTTAAAGGAAGTCCTTGAGGCAGAAGGAAAATGATATCAGACGGAAATCTAGATTTATACAAAGGAAAGAAGAGAATCAGAAGTGGCACCTATTTGAGTAGTAATAAAAGACTCTTTTGTTATTTAGAAAAACCTCTTTAAAGTATAATTGACCATTTAAAGCAAAAATAATAAGATATTGTGGGACTATAATAAGTACAGTTGACCCTTGAAAAACACGAGTTTAGACTGTGTGACTCCACATACACAGATTTCTAAAAATAAATGTATTGAAAACATTTTTGGAGATTTGAGACAATTTGAAAAAACAGATGAACTGCATGCATATCTAGAAATATTAAAACAATTAAGAAAAAGGTATATCATGAATGCATAAAATATATGAAGATACTAAGCCTTTATCATTTACTACCATAAAAAAAACAAATCTATTATAAAAAGTTACAATTTATATGCACACAAACACAGACCATATGTGGTGCCATTTGAAGTCGAGAAAAATGTAAACAAATATAAGAATGCAGTATTAAATCATAGCTGCATAAAATTAACAGCAGTACATACTGTGCTACTGTAATATTTCATTGCCACCTCCTGTTGCTATTGTGAGCTCAAGTATTGGGATTATCTGCTTAAAACACCATGCGACCCTAATCTCCTTATGAGCAGTTGTCCCTTCAGTAAATTGCATATTGCAGTAAAAAGTGATCTCCCCTGGTTCTTGCGTATTTTTCATGTTTAGTACAATACCATGAACCTTGAATAACATCATGGGACCCACACAAAGTGCCACTAGTGATGCTGGAAGTGCTCCCAAGAAGCAGAGAAAAGTCATGACATTAAAAGAAAAAGTTGAATGGCTTGATACATACCACAATTTGCAGTCAGACACTGCAGTTGCCACCATTTCAGACAGATGATATATCTTGTAAATGGATGGCGTGAACTTCCGGTATGGATAAATACAGCACAGAACTGACAATGTATGTTCTCTTCTTTATGATTTTCTTAACATTGTCTTTTCTCTTACTTACTGTATTGTAGGAATACAGGGTATAATACATATATAAAATACGTGTTAATCAATTGTTTAGGTTATCAGTGAGGCTTCTGGTCAATAGAGGCTATTAGTAGTTAAGTTAGTTAAGCTTGGGAGAAGTCAAAAGCTATAGGAGAATTTTCTACTGTACAAGACGAAGGGGGAGGGCAGTGCCCCTAACCCTTGCATTGTTCGAGGGTCAACTGTAATTATAATAAAAATGAGTTCTGAGTGTTGCTACGGGATTAAGCTGAAGCTGTGAGATAGGGATTGCGACAGCAGTGTTAACTGAAACTGCTTATTTCCTCAGAGAGCTTACAAGGTCAAACCATTTCTTACTTTTTCTGCATTAATTTGATCACAAAGTAAGATGATTACTGCTTTATCTGATTTTTACCACTTGTGGTCTTAGTATAGTAATATCTAAGCTCACAATTCCTCCGGGTATAAGATCACTTTATAGTATAAAGATCCCTTTAGTCTGTCTGGATTGAGTGTGGTGGCTCACGCCTGTAATGTTAGCACATTGGGAGGCCGAGGCGGGCTGATGGCTTGAGCCCAGGAGTTTGAGACCAGACTGGGAAACATGGTGAAACCCTGTCTGTACGAAAAATGCAAACAATCAGCCAGGTGTGCTGGCGCGTGCCCATAGTCCCAGCTACTCAGCAGGCTGAGATGAAAGGACACCTGAGCCCAGGGAGGTCAAGGCTGCAGTGAGCCATGATGGCGCCACTGCACTCCAGCCTGGACAACAGGGTGAGACTCCATCTCAAAAACAAAAACAAAAACAAAAAAAGCCTGTCTGGGCAGACTGGCGGGGGTCAGAGTCCTGTCTTTACTAATTTCAAAAATAGTCATTTAAAATAAGTTTAGACTTAGCTTCTGACACAACTTGGATAGAACTCTCCTTTTTTGGGAAAATTAGGAAGAAGATGAGGTAAAAGCGTCTCCTTAAAAGTCAGAGGCAGAAATTTAACCGGGGGATCATAGATGCACATAGCTAACTCGATAGGCCCTTTCTCTACCAGCTCGAGGTAGAGAAACACAAGAAAAACTCAACACCATAGGTTGTGTCATAAATAGGATAACGGGTTTGGGTTTGTAAAATCGTCTGGATATTTCCTTATTCCCACATTTCCTTACTCCTCCTTATTAAAAACACCACTTTGGGTCACTTTTTAATAGATTTATTTTATTTATTTATTTTTTTCAGTAATATACTTCTCCAGTAGAAGGCCAACGCCTTGATGGCAGGGCAGCTGCTTTGGGTTTGGAAAGTACAAGAACTAGTCTCTGGTAGGTGTGGCACAATGGAGAAGGAGGAACCATGCTTTATATTCATGCAAACATAAATCAGTGAAAAGCAATTGCCTGTAGGGATCAGGCCTGAGGGTGGGAGAGCAGCTGGGCAGAGATCAGCTACCATCTGGTATGATGACCTACATTTATTAATAGGAAAATGCGCATATTATGTCGTTGAGTAAAACAACAGGTAACAAGATAGTGTGTAGTGTGCAAAGATAAATACTTGACAAGCTGTGCTGTGGTGTGATTTTAGATTGATTTCATTTTTTTTGTTTGTTCATTTTCATGTTCTACTTTTTTTTTTTTTTTAACACAAGATACATGTTTTACTTACTAAACTAGGGGGAAATAATACGAGTTTTTAAAAAATTGAATAAGATTCTGGACCCTCACTGAGAATTCAGATACTCAAGAGACTTTTCAAAATTCTCACCTGTCTTCAGTGGCTTAGGGTGTTCTTACTTGGGGGACAGGGATTCGGGCACAGTCCCTTCAGTAGAAAATTAGCCACTCTTCAAACAGCCTGTGTACCTCTTGAAAGTACCAGGCTAAGGCATCCTCCAGAAACCAACACAGAAGTACAACAAACGTTTCTCAAGAACATTGGAAACAAGCTAATGGCCCAATATCATGTGATTTTTAAAGTAAATTATGGGACCGCCAGATAATTGGAATATTTGCAGCCATTAAAATCTATGGTTTATAAGAATATTTAATAACATGAGAAAATGCTCAAATTGTAACATTAAATTTAAAAAGTCATATGTGGTGTTATGCTATTTGAAAAGAGAATTATATATGCAATTTAATTTCCAAAAGGAAATAGACCCAAATGTTAATAAATGTTATCCCTGGGTAATAAAAATATAAATAATTTCAGTTTCTTTACCCCTTTCTCTAATTTCAAAAATTCCTACCATGACTTAGTTTTATAATTGGAACACAAAATGTTATTATTATAATTATTTTAAAAGAAGTTGGCTTATAGAACTGGAGAGAGGTTCATGACAGGCTCTAAAGCAGACAGCGTAGGTAAAAATCCTGGCTCCGACAAGTCAGCAAGCCACTGTCCCTCTCTGTGGCTCAATTTCCTTTTTCTTTTTCTTTTTCTTTTTTTGAGACAGAGTCTTGCTCTGTTGCATAGGCTACAGTGCAGTGGCATTATCATGGCTCACTGTAAGCCTTGACCTCCCAGGCTCAAGCAGTCCTTCTGCCTCAGCCTCCCAAGCAGCTGGGACTATAGGCACAGGCCACCATGCCTGGCTAATTCTTTAAATTTTTTGCAGAGACAGGTTCTCACATTTTTGCCCAGGCTGGTCTCAATCTCCTGGCCTCAAGGGATCTTTCCACTTTGGCTTCCCAAAATGTTGGGAATACAGACATGAGCCATTGTACCTGGCCTAATTTCCTTATCTTAAAATAGAGATAATGATAGTACCTATTTCATAGGATGACTATAAGATTAAATGAATCAATTCATAATAAAGTGCTTAAAATAGTGCCTGGCTTATAGTAAACGCCTCCCAAAGTTATTATGATTGCTATTATTATTATTGTAGGTCGAAAGTTCTAGCCTCCTACCTATTCATAAGTTTAGCTTTTCAATAAAAGCTGTTTTCTAAACATAATCACAGACCTCCAAGATAAAGTGGAGCCTATATACAGTATTTATTGCAAAAAACTCTTAATAATTTCCTTTTGGATCAGGTATTTAGCTTGCTGAATTAGGCAATGAAGAGTAAACTAGTTAGAGAGCCAGCCTGTGGTTGCTTTTTTCTTTCTCTATGGCCTTGATGCTCTAGATGTGATCACTGAGTTATACCTGTTTATTCCAATAACAGAGGAGTAAAGAAGAGCTCTCTAAATTTTTCCTTGGTGCACTCCAAATTTATAGTTGTATCTCACCTCTCAGAATTTGGGTCCAAATTTGGGTGAAAAGTCAATGCTCAAGATCACACAACTAATAAGAAGTAGATCTGGGATTTGAACTTATGTCTATCTGGTGCCACACTTTTTTTTTTTTTTTTTGAGATGGAGTCTCACTCTGTCGCCCAGGCTGGAGTACAGTGGCACGATCTTGGCTCACTGCAACCTCTGCCTCCCGTGGTTAAGCGATTCTCCTGCCTCAGCCTCCTGGGTAGCTGGGACTACCACCAGGCGACATCATGCCCTGCTAATGTTTGTATTTTTAGTATAGATGGGGTTTCACCATGTTGGCCAGGATGGTCTCAAACTCCTGACCTCAGGTGATCCACCCCGCCTTGGCTTCACAAAGTGCTGGGATTACAAGCCTGAGCCACCACTCCCAGCCTGGCACCACACTTTACTGCTTAACCTATATCTTTTTTTTTTCTTTTTGAGATGGAGTCTTGCTCTGTCACCAGGCTGGAGTACAGTGGAGTGATCTCAGCTCACTGCAACCTCCACCTCCCAGGTTCCAGAGATTCTCCTGCCTCAGCCACCTGAGTAGCTGGGATTACAGGCGCCTGCCACCATGCCCAGCTGATTTTTGTATTTTTAGTAGAGACGGGGTTTCACCAAGTTGGCCAGGATGGTCTGGATCTCTTGACCTCGTGATCTGCCCACCTCCACCTTCCAAAGTGCTGGGATTACAGGCGTGAGCCACCGCACCCAGCTTAACCTACATCTTATGACACTTTCCAAATGAAAGAAGAAAAACTTCAAGAGGACCACTTTATCTATCAAAACCCAGTAGTGGGAGATAGAGAGGATCAGTTTATTTTCCACTTCTCACTCCTAAATCTCATCAGCACAAAACAAATAAAGATCTAGCATGGCATCAGTGCAAAGATCAGCTCCTGACTCTAAAACAGAGCACAGAGCAGAAGGAAACTGTTTGCTTCATAAAACCAAGAATGGGTTATAAGTGAGGCCCCAAGTGCACCATGAATTGGGCTAGAAATCTGAATCCCAGTGTCATTATTTCAGGGAAACAGAGCTTCTCAGATGAGCAACTACTCTGGGTGAATGCTTGGGAAGCAACTGGTAACCTGGTGCTCTGAGAGCCTTGGGGTTTGGCCAGCTCCTATAGCATGAATGGTCTGTGCTGTCAATTCCTATCTCTCTGTCATCTGTATCCCTGCCTATCTAGTAGTGATCTCTTTCACCTGTGTTGCTCCTGCTTAAAAACTAGAATGCCACAACCTCTTCAAAGCCTGCCCCTACCCTCTGGGGACAGTGAACCATTCTCTCCTCTACTGAGCTCACTGGCTCTGGGCATTTTCCTCCATGGCATTCCTTTTCGCTGTGGATTGATGCTTTCTGTCCTCTCACACCCCAATGAACACCTTGAGGTCAAAGCATACAACCCTTTTTAGAAAAAAATTCTTTTAGGATTGATGGAAATGCATTGAGATGATGGAGGTAAAATGATGGACAGTGCCTGGTGCACAATAGGTGCTCAATAACTGTTCTTCCACTTTATTGGTTCTCCCACTTAGTATTCCCAGCACTCAGTGTGATTCCTCAAAGGCCATGGTTACTAAACAGATTTTTCGTGACTAAATAAATAAGTAAATAAATGAACACATTCTACCTCCTGCCTCAAGGGCAGGTGTCATGTCTCCTGCTGAGCTCCAGGAATATCTCCTTATTTTCATTTATATCTCTGAAATATGTGTAACAACACTGGTCACATGGCTGGGTATAGTAAATAACTTAATTGATTTTCTTTTGTTGCAAAAGATGTTGGTAGATTGAAATTTTACCTCTAAGGCATCTATAGGAAAGATGTGTTCTCCTATCTGTTTCATTTTGAGTAGAGTGAGATTGCCAGGGGTCTTATATACACAGCTTTAGGTCTCTCTAAGAAAACTTTAGCTTAACCCACTTGCCAATTAGAGGGTTGTTTTCCTTTCTTGATTTCTTTCTAAACAGTCAATAACTAATACAAACTCTAGAAGAATAAGCTCTCCAAAAGTGAGGACCCTGGTGAAATCCAAACATTTACTGCTATGATCCTAAGTAAGGGCAGGGAAGTCTCATTTATTTCCATATCCCTAGTGCCAGCCTAGTATTTAATGCATAGTAGAGACTCAAAAAATATTTCTTTGATAAATGAAGTTGCTTTTAAGGCAGTAAAGAGAAGTAAATTTATTAAATCTGCAGTGTAATTTTGTGATTATCTATGGCTTTAGAGTCACACAGTACAGAGATGAAAAAATAATAATTTGCCTATCTGGATAGAATCGTACAATTGAAAAAAGTGTTTTATCATGTATCGTATAGTATTATTTACATACCATTCATTGAGCCTCTAGTGTATAATAGGTGCTTTAAATATCATTGTATCTAATCCTGACAATGCATCTTGAAATGTTATTATAATGTCCATTTTACAGGTGGAAAAAACAAGCTTAGAGGGGCTAAATGATTTGCCCAAGGCCACAAACTAGTATTGGTCCCCACATTAAAATGTGAGCTTCATGTAGGCAGCATCTGGCACCAAGAATAGCGCCTGGCATATAGTAGATGCTAAATAAAGATTTGTTGAAGAATGAACCAGATCTGGCTGACTCCAAAGCCGTCATTCTTTTCATGACGTTATTTGCTACTCTGTAAACTGTCTTTTGAAGTATCAGAGCAAGTAGCACACTTCTTTACATCCATGAGGACCTGAGGTCCAGGGAAATGAAGTTAATTTTTCTACATTGCACAAGAGTGGCTGGGCCAGGAGTGGAACTCAAGTTTTCTGATAGTATTATTTTCTTTTTTCTAGTCTGCAGGGAGACCATGAGGCAGAGATAGGTTGTGGGCCACTTCCTTTCCTCAGGAAAGTTCAGGGGTCTGGCCTGGGGAGGAACATTTCAGAAGGAGTTATATCCAAAACTTTCTACCTAGAAAAGTGATTCAATGCTGGAGGAAAGTTATTTCCCCTGATAGAAGGATGGACTACTGGGGGATACTTTCTTATTCACAACACCAGAATCTGATGTTTTGAGACAGGGCTAGTCCTGTGGTGAAGTCTAACCAGGCAGCTGAAACCTGATAGTGGCTACTTCATCACACAATTTTATTTCTCCTAATCATATCACTTAAAATGATCACAGGCCTTTAACTTTTTAAGGAAGAAATTGGTGTTAAATTATACATCTTAAAGTCATTATGGTTTTTTTGGCCAAATAAACCCTTTCTTCTGTTTTTTTCATTGCATTTTTAATATCAAAAAAATGGGGGCCGGGCGTGGTGGCTCATGCCTGTAATCCCAACACTCTGGGAGGCTGAGGCGGGTGGATCACCTGATGTCAGGAGTTCAAGACCAGCCTGGCCAACATGGTGAAACTCCATCTCTACTAAAAATATAAAAATTAGCTGGGCTTGGTGGCAGGCGCCTGTAATCTCAGCTCTTCAGGAGGCTGAGGCAGGAGAATCACCTAGGAGGTGGAGGTTGCAGTGAGCTGAGATCGCACCATTGCACTCCAGCCTGGGCAACAAGAGCAAAACTCCATCTCAAAAAAAAAAAAAAAAAAGAAAAAGAAAATGGCTATGAACATCCTACTGTTAGTAGTAGTTTGTAGCTATGGCAACTCATATATCTATTTGTTAAGTACCCAACTAGTTGTGTCTCTATGCTAGGTGTACAGTTAAATAAGTAAGTAAATATATACATAAATAAATAACTACAAATTTACAATATTCCATACAGCATTAAGGAGACCACATAAAATTGAACAAACATATACCAGGCCCAGAACCAAATTAACCTACTATCTGAGATCATGTGCAATGAAGTCATTATAGCTACACAGGACAAGAGACTAGACCATCTAAAAGTCATTTCTTCCTTGCTTTCAAGTTCTCCATCCTTCCTTTCTTTTTCCATTTGTTTGTTTTTAATCTTTGAGTATTTTGCCTGTTAATCTTTTCAAATCATCAAAGTCTGAGTGAAGATAAACCAGAGCCTTTTCTAGTTACACCCACCTCAGGAATCCCCAAACCTAAACTCCCAGCAATAGCTTGCAGAAAAGCCATACAAACCATTCCTGGTTGGGAAAGAAGTCATCCTCATCAGCAGCTCATATGCTGACAAAGCCCAGCAAAGATTACATGTGGCCATAATAACTGCATGGATATGCTTCTCACAGCTGACATGTCTCTGCCTTCCTGGATTCTCACACTGTGTCCAGTACATGCCCTGGCAAAACTCTCTCCAAAGACACCAGAGTACTGGAGCTAGGTTTTCCTTGTCTCTTGTTCCTCCCCTCATCTCCACACTTAATAACTCCACATTGCACAGTGGAACACTTGGCAAGGCAAGAAAGAAGTCAAGCCTGGATGCTAGGGGCAGCTCCTGTCATGAGAAGGATCCATGACTGTCTCTTGCCCTTTTCTCTCCTCCTCAGCACACTTCTGCTTTCCCCTAATTTTTCCATCTTATACATATTTTATTGTTTTCTAAATATAGACATCCTAAAATCTCCGTGGAAAGACATCTATTGAAACCAGAGTGATAGCAAGTAATGTGCCCAGCAGGCAAATCGCAAAACAAATAGAGGGTGCACTCAGCACTTTTTTCTTCTGCTGCACAAAAGAACCCAAATAAGGCTCCTGGAACCATGGGTTGAGTAATCAAGTCCTTTTCCTGGATGTACAACAGCACAGCTTTGGGAGATAACTAATTCAGCTCGTGTAATTGTACACCCGTCTAGAAGAGGAAAAGGAAGCACAAAAAGAGAGAAAAGGAGAACAGGCCAAACTTTTAATGGCTTGCCCTCCTTCTGCACCTGCCATGACTTGCAAGCAGAATATTGTGTCCCAGCTGGCCACTTGTCCTGAATCTGAGACCCCAAGATACCCATTGCCCTTGGAATTAAAGAATTATAAATGGAATTTTTGCACCTGCAAATTTAAAAAAGAAAAAAAGATAGTGAGAAAACTTGGAAAGGTCCCTTGAAACATTTCTATCACCCTTGTCAGGCTGTGTTTACTGCCCCTGGTGAATGCTAACCAGACACATGAGTAAGGACTCTTGAGGACCATTTAGCTGTTTTACTGAAATTAATTTTGGTTCCTACAGATTAACCATAAAGACATGCACTGGCTGCAGGTGTGCCAAAGCCAGCATTCGGAGAAAATCCAGCAAATTTTGTGGAGATAGTTAATGACTCCTGCAAAATTAATTTAAATTGAAATAGGATAAGAACATATGGAAAGAATCAATCACTCCTCATTTTGAATGAATGTTATTTTAGCATGCATAGACTTCTGATATAATTTTCCTCCTTTCCCTTAAGGGTCAAGAAGTACTCAAACACTAAGTCTTTTCGCAAAAGAGAAGATTTTTTTTTTTTCTCCAAGAAAGAGGAGAAACGTGTTTCATAAATCTTTTTACTTGTCTAATGCGGAAATTTACATCTGGGGCTCCATAGACACTGCTCAAAGCCCTCTCAGAAAACACAACTCTGCTCTTGGGGTAATTATGCTTTCCTAGTGTCTGGACAGTGGCTCTGGCTTCCATTTAGAATAAGATCTGGGCCCACTTGTTATGCATGTCCACATTAACTGGACAAGTCATAGAATTTAAATGTGATATGAGGCGAAAACACAGAGGCAATAGCAATAGAATAGGATTAGAAAAGTCTTTTTCAAGTGTTTGGAAGGCAATTACTATGTTAAAATCCCACAGCCACGTGTTCACACTCTTGTACCCCCATTCCATGTGCAAAGCCATCTCCAGAGTTCTCTCTCCAGGGGAGTGAAACAGCGGCAGGCACACCCATCGTAAGCGGGGGCTCCCCCAGCATTAGTGCCACCCATGACGTTTCTTCTCCAAGACCTTCTTCTAATCCCATTTATAGTTTATTTACCCAAGTTATTTACACTTTGTTCCAGAAAATAGTTAAGACAACATTAATAATATAAATCCTCATCCACATCAATCACAGATATCAACTGTCTAGTCTTTACTTATTCTTCATTCAACAAATATAGATTATGGTTTTGTGCCGTATCAGGTATTATTTTAGGCACAGGGCAGGAGAGAATATAAAGAAGAAGAAAAACTAGTCCCCTTATTCTTGAGGACGATATAATTTAGGGGTCAAATGGATGCATAAACTTCTAAATAAAAACATAGCAACATTGTTCATGCAAAAATCATCTACTAATATTTTTCTCTCTTTTCACTTTGCATTTATTTTCACATATATTTATTGAAAACCTATTATGTGTCAGGCAGTATGCTAAGAATTGGGGATATAACTCTGGATACAAAAATCCAAAGAAGAATTTCAAAACAACATTCCACAATTCCAGGGACAGCAGGAAAGAAGTCACAAGACATCTATTTGTAATGTTTGTGCCAATGGAGATGGAGCAGAGAACTGAGAAATTTTTTTTAAAAAGTCATTTCTATGTGGGTTGGGAAGAAATCCTAAATTTTGTGGAAAGCAAGGAAATAGGGAGTGGTAAGGAACTAATGACTGCCTAGTTCAGCTTTCCTTAGGCTAATGTTACAATTAATCCCTGTTCCCTGAGCATTCATCATTCTGGGGAGTGGGGGGCAGATGGTGGAGGATTAAATCCAGATTCCAGCAGTTGGGGGGCCAAGCATTAATTGTATAAAATTCACAAAAGAGGTCACCTGGAATTGGCTGTATAAATAATTAAAAAGTAGGGAAAAAGGGGAACATGAGATAGCCAGAAAAGAAAGTCTTTGAGAGAAAAGGAAAGCTGGAGGAAGATACAATAAAAGACAAAATGAGACAGTAACAGGTCAAAAGGGTAGTATCTTTCCTCTGGTCCTGCTGACTAGAATCCTGGTTCAAATCCTTGGCCAACTAATTGGTGTAATCATTAGTTTATGTGCTCCATCTGCCTAGCATCCCTAGAGGACTGTGACCGTGTTCTGGTCATCCGTGTCTCCAAATCTCAGCACAGTGTCTGGCCCAGAGTTGGCCTTCAGTAAGTGCTGCTTAAATAGATTTTTTTTAAAAAAAGTGAATCATGTGAAAGAGAAGATAGAAATAAGTTAAACACACACGTATGAGGAGCTCTTCAAAAAAATTCATGGAAAATGTGTATTATCAAAAAACTATGCAGAGAATTCAAAATGTTTGCACTAAAATAAACTCATACTAATTTGTTATGGCATGTCTGAACAGGATCTAGTTTGGGGCACTAAGAAGGATAAGACATCAGTCTGAGAAGAGCCCCCATCAGAGCAACATGAATTCTGCTATTAATAAAATTGAAGCAAGAACTAATGTTAAGGCTGGGCACAGTGGCTCACATATGTAAACCCAGCACTTTGGGAGGCTGAGGTGGGCGGATCACCTGAGGTCAGGAGATCCAGACCAGCCTGGCCAACATGGCGAAACCCCGTCTCTACTAAAAATACAAAAATTAGTAGGACATGGTGGCACACACCTGTAATCCCAGGTACTCGGGAGGCTGAGGCAGGAGAATTGCTTGAACCCAGGAGGTGGAGGTCACAGTGTGCTGAGATAGCGCTACTGTGCTCCTGCTTGGGACAGAGCAAGACTCTGTCTAAAAAAAAAAAAACAAAAAAAAAACCAACATCAAATTTATGGTTTGTGTAGAAAAATAGTGAAATCATTGATGCTTTACAAAAAGTTTATGGAAACAATGTCCCAAAGAGATCAGTAGGGGTCTTTCTATGTTGCCCAAGCTGGTCTTGAACTCCTGGACACAAGCAATACTTCTGCCCCGGCCTCCCAAAGTGCTGGGATTACAGGGTGAGCCACCGTGCCCAGCCCTGAAATTCTTTCTGTTTCATAATCTTAAAAAGTCTTTAGCTGAGCCTGGTGTCTTACACCTGTAATTCCAACACTTTGGGATGCTGAGGGGGAAGGATTGCTTAAGGCCAGGAGTTCGAGACCAGCCTGAGCAACATAGTGAGACCTCATTTCTACTACAAATTTAACAAATTAGCTGGGTGTGGCAGCATGCACCTGTACTCCTAACTACTTGAGAGGCTGAGGCAGGAGGACTGCTTGAGCCCAGAAGTTCAAGGTTGCAGTAAGCTATGATCTCACCACTGCACTCCAGCCTGGCAACAGAGTAAGACCCTGCTTCTAAAAATAAAAATTAAAAATATCCTTTACAGTGCATCCATTTTTCTTCAGTTGACAATGCAAAAAAGATTGCCCTGGCCGAGTGCAGTGGTTCACGCCTGTAATCCCAGCACTTTGGGAGGCTGAGGCAGGTGGATCACTTGAGGCCAGGAGTTCAAGACCAGCCTGGTCAACATGGTAAACCCTGTCTCTACTAAAAATACAAAAAAAAAAAAAAAAAAAAAAATTAGCCAGGCATGGTGGTGCACACCGGTAATCCCAGCTACTTGGGAGGCTGAGGCAGAAGAACTGCTTAAACACGTGAGGTGGAGGTTGGAGTGAGCGGAGACCATGCCACTGCACTCCAGCCTGGGTGACAGAGTGAGACTCCATTTCAAAAGAAAAAAAAAAAAGACTGCCTTGACGTGGTTACATTCCCAGGACCCTACGTTCTTTAGGAAAAGACTAAATGGCTGGTATCATTGTTTACAAAAGTGTCTTCGGCTTGATGAAGCTTATGTTGAAAAATAAAGCTTATATTTTTCATTTTTATCTTTTAATTTAATAATCTTCCATGAACTTTTTGAAGTCCCTTCTATTCTGTACACAGGAGGCTTCAGTTACATCCCCTAAGTTTTGGTATGTTGTGTCTTCATTTTTCCTCTTTTCAAAGTACTTTTTGCCTCTCAAATTATTTTCTAATTTCTCTTTTGATTTCTTCTTTGTTCTTTGACCCATGGGTTATTTAGGAGTATATTGTTTAATTTCCACACATTGTGTTTCCCAGCATTTCCACAGGGAAATGACAATGTTAAACTGGGAGGCCCAAGAAGAACACCATTTGGAGAGGACAGGACTAGATTAGAATGAGCAAAAGGTTTCCTGGTGACCTCTGCTAATACACCTCATCTACATATACCCACCCTCCAGCTCTCCACCCAGAGAACACAGACGTGCTCAGCAGATACTTTTTTTTTTTTTTGAGATGGAGTCTTACTCTGTTGGCTGGAGTGCAGTGGCATGATCTCAGCTCACTGCAACCTCCACCTCCCAAGCAATTCTCCTGCCTCAGCCTCCCAAGTAGCTGGGGCTACAGGTGTGCACCACCAAGCCTGACTAATTTTTTTGTATTTTTAGTAGAGAGGGGGTTTCACCATGTTGGCCAGGCTGGTCTTGAACTCCTGACCTCAGGTGATCCACCTGCCTTGCCCTCCCAAAGTGCTGGGATTATAGGCATGAGCCACTGCATCTGGCCCAGCAAATACATATTCTTCCAACTCATGGATGAGAAATCGATGTCCACGCATGGTCTGACACAAGGTACCATGTAGCGTGTAGGAGAATTGGAATTCCAGGCAGGTGATAGGGCAAGATGGTTAGGAGGATAGGTTCAAATCTTCATTCTGCCATTTTTGGGCTGGGTGATCTTTGGAAAGGTACTTAATTTCTCTAGGTCTCAACTCATTTGTAAATTGGGATAATAGTACCTACCTCATAAGATTATTGTAATAGTAAAAATAATTCACATAACCCAGCACCGTGGGAAGCTTTCAAAAAATGTTAGCCTGGTCAGGCACAGCGGCTCACACCTGTAATCCCAGCACTTTGAGAGACCAAGGTGGGCAGATCACAAGGTCAGGAGTTCAAGACCAGCCTGGCCAACATAATGAAACCCCATCTCTACTAAAAATACAAAAAATTAGCCAGGCGTGGTGGTGGGTGCCTGTAATCCCAGCTACTCAGGAGGCTGAGGCAGGAGAATGGCTTGAACCTGGGAGGCGGAGGTTGCAGTGAGTGGAGATCACACCACTGCACTCCAGCCTGGGCGACAGAGCGAGATTCCATCTCAAAAAAAAAAAAAAAAAAAGAAAAGAAAAAAAAAATCCGGTGTTTTTGTTAGCACTTCGTGACCTGGAGCTGGAAGCCTTTAATATTAACATGCTGCTGTACTCTTGGGCCCCCACTGATTCCTGGGTTTGAATCCTGGCTCTCTCATATAATAGCTTAGGAGACCTTGACCAGGCCACTTACCCTCTCTGCATCTCGGTGTCCTTGTCTTTCAAAGGGGCCCTCACAAGGTGATTGTGAGTAGATGAATGAATATGGGTAAAGCTCAAATAGTCCCTGACCCATGCTAAGTAGAGACCCCATCCCTACACTGATGAAATTTAAATTCTTGCTAGGGAAACAGGCGAAAACCAATAAAGAGGTAATTATGTAAAACAGTTACCAATTGTGATAAGTGCTATGAAGGCTGAAATAAGGCTTAAAGAGAGAATGGGGAGGGGAACCTACTTAAGTGATTAGGTGGTCAGGGAAGCCTTTCCCAAGGAGGAAACATTTCAGCTAAAAGCTAAAGGATAAAAAGGATAAATAGAACTAAGGAACATCTTAATCTCAGCCTTACCAAGAGCTGAAGGAAATATCTTCAAGGCATAGGGAACATCAAATGCAAATAGCCAGAAATGCATTTCAGATTGAATTCCTACAGTATCCGCTATTGTAGAATTCCTTAACATGAATGTATCATTTTTACATAAACATGATAGCAAGTGAGATACATGATGAGACATGAACACGTGTCAAATACACATTCCTGAACATTGCTCAGCATTTAATTGACCTGTGCCCATGTGTTACAATGGTATACAAATGTGTGCAATTTTATATAAACGGACACGTGTAGACCTGAATTTTTCTAAAAGACTAATGCAGACCTAAAAATTAATTAGTGACACGTTTAAGATATTCAATTAATGGATAAGCAGAGACTGACTAGAAAAATTAAAAGAATAAAAAATGATGTTCAAATAAAAGCACAAAAGAGACAGGAGGAACTCTTGTTTTTAGGCTTGCACAAAAATTCACCTGGCAGCACAAGTTGACGTGTGACCTGTTTCCCATATGTTAAAAATTTTGATATATAACACGTTTGGATGTGCATGTTCCTGTGCTTTAGGGAAGTTCTTTTTTTTTTTTTTTTTTTTTTTGAGATGGAGTCTTCTTCTGTTGCCCAAGCTGGAACGCAGTGCTGCAATCTCAGCTCACTGCAACCTCTGCCTCCCAGGTTCAAGCAATTCTCCTGCCTCAGCCTCCCGAATAGCTGGGACTACAGGCATGTGCCACCATGCCCAGCTAATTTTTATATTTTAAGTAGAGATGGTGTTTCACCATGTTGGCCAGGTTGGTCTCAAACTCCTGACCTCAAGTGATCCATCTGCCTTGGCCTCCTAAAGTGCTGGGATTACAGATGTGAGCCACCGCGCCCATCCTCAAGGACAGTATTTTAATAGTTAGAAATATACATATTTAGAACAAGAAAGAAATGTCTGTGGAACCCCTAACATAATTTCACTAAACTCTTCAGTGTCACAGAACAGTTTGAAAAGCACTACTGCAAAATAATTCCAGATGGGAAAAAGTTAATTTTCCACCGTCCTCCATTCTCTCCTTAGTGACTAGTTTCGTTTCATTCATTCACTGAACAAATGTACTGAGCTCTGTGCTCATTACTCTTTATCCCATGCTCTCCTCCTGCCCTCACCTATTCTCCATTCTTCTCTGCCCAGGGTGGTGGGAGCGGTCCCCTAAGGGCTGCATCATCCAGGATCTCTGCCTTCCAGCTTCTGATTCCCTACAGCCAGTGGGAGCAAGGCATGGTTCTGGCAGTGACGGGAACTGGAGCTCCTGCTGGGTGCTCCTCTTAGGCACCTCCAGTGCTCACCAGCTCTAGTAACGGCTTTTCCTCTCCTTTGTAGGCTAACTGCTCCCCTCTTTTGCTAGTCTTTTGGTGCTTCAGCATCCTTTGTGGGTTTCCTTAACCTTGCCCACACTTCTGTAAACTGCCCCTTCATTAACATCTCTTCAAAATCCAAAATGAATGTATTTTCTTTTGCCTGCTAAGACCCTGACTCAAGCCTCTACTATGTTCTAGACCATCCCTGCCCAATAAAAGGATAACAGGAGCCATATATATACTTTTAAATTTTCTAGTAGCCATGAAAGACAGTAAAAAGATGCAGATAAAATTAATTTTAATAATATATCCTATTTAACACAATACATCCCAAACATTATCATTGTAACATGTAATCATTATAAAAATTTATTAGTGAGATAGTTTACATTCTCTCTCTCCCTTTTTTTTTTTTTTTTTTTTTTGAGACAGTCTCTGTCTGTCACCCAGGCTGGAGTGCAGTGGCGAGATCTCGGCTCACTGCAACCTCCGTCTCCTGAGTTCAAGTGGTTCTCCTGCCTCAGCCTCCTGAGTAGCTGGGATTACAGGTACCTGCCATCACAACTAGCTAATTTTTGTATTTTCAGTAGAGACGGGGTTTCCCCATGTTGGCTAGCATGGTCTCGAACTCCTGACCTCAGGTGATCTACCCGCCTCGGCCTCCCAAAGTGCTGGGATTATAGGCCTGAGGCAGCACGCCCGGCTGTCTCTCTCTTTTTTTTTTCGTTGAGACAGAGTCTCACTCTGTTGCCCAGGCTGGAGTGCAGTGGTGTGATCTCGGCCCACTGCAACCTCTGCATCTCAGGTTCAAGTGACTCTTGAGCCTCAGCCTCCCAAGTAACTGGGATTACAGGCATGCACCACTATGCCTGGCCAATTTTTTGTAGTTTTAGTAGACAGGGTTTTGCCATGTTGGCCAGGCTGGTCTTGAACTCCTGGCCTCAAGTGATCTGCCTGCCTCAGCCTCCCAAAATGCTGGGATTACAGGTATGAGCCACTGTACCCAGCCTACATTCTCTTATTCATACTAGGTTGACAAAACCTGATGTGTATTTTACACTCACAACAATCTCAGTTGGAATTTATCACATTTCAACTGCTCAATACCCACATGTAGCTGGCAGCTACCATACGGCACAATATAGTTCTGGATACTGATTTAGGGCTGGAGATAGATGCAAAATACAGTCCCTAACATCTTAGAGTTGATGGTCCAGTAAGAAAGATGGACACACAAACCATTAGAAAATAATGCAGCAAATGCATAATTAATGCTGTGTACAAGATGCTGTGGGAATAGAGCTCTTTCCATCAATGGGGTTTACAGAGAGATAATAGATATTAACATTTGAGCAGATCCTGAATGATCAAGGATTCTGCCAAGAAAACAAGAGGGTGGAGAGGACAATGCAGGCAGACAGACATAATCTTCACCTTTCCATCTACCCTCGCTGTATCAGCTGTTCTCTGACTATGCTCCTGAGACAGGCACCCTGCACACCAAGGGTGCACTTGGATCTCGCTAGTTACTGTGGTCCAGGTTTGGATGGACCTCTGCAGTCTTAGCACAGGCTCGAGGAGTATAAGTTTTCAAAGGAAACACAACTAGGAAATAAGGGTGAGATATGAATGCGGGGAGAATGCCTATAAACAGACATACTGAGAGAGCCTGGAGCCATTTTCCTAAGGTAATGGAACTCTGGCCACTGACAGGCTTCAGTGGCTCAGGTTCCTGGGCACAAAGCCTAACCTTATTTTCCTCATCTAATCTGTCTCCTTTGCTATTCAGAAAGCATTGTCACTGGCCAGGTATTAAAGCTCATTGTTTCTAACCTTTGGCAACATTTTGGTTGTTATTGTTTTTCATCTTTTCCCCTTATATGAGCCCATTTCTCTAGTAGTCCCAAGGATTTGAGGACCAGCACTGACCTCCCTCTAGATTGTCTCTCTCACATGAAAATCCTACTATTTTTAGTCAAATATAGCTCTCTTTTCCCGTTTCAAAACTCAGACGCCCTATAGAATAGCTCAAAAAGTTCTTATTTTGGCCAGGCATGGTGGCTCATGCCTATAATGCCAGCACTTGGGGAGGACAAGGTGGGAGGATGGCTTGAGGACAGGACTTTGAGAGCAGCCTGGGCCACATAAGGAGACCCTGTCTCTACAAAAAATTTAAAAAGTAGCCAGACGTGGTGGTATGCACCTGTAGTCCCAGCTGCTTGGGAGGTTAAAGTGGAAGGATTGCCTGAGCCCAGGAGGTTGAGGCTGCAGTGAGCCATGATCATGCCACTGCACTTTACCCTGGGTGACGGAGCAAGACCCTCTCTCAGAACAAACAAACAAACAAACAAAAAAGAAGTTATTTTTGTCTCAGAGGCAATGTTTGTTCTCTACTCTCTGAAGGGAGGTTATAACTTAAGTGACCCAAGGCCAAGGAATGGTCACGTATTTTCCGCTCTAACTTACCTTCTCAGCATACTTTGTTAGATATTTTTGGAAGATTCACCTCACTCTCTTAAATCCTCCAAACCTCAGTTTTCTAACATAAAAGTACATCACACACATGAGAGCAACAAAATAGAGCTGCTCACCTTTCAAGCCTAGGGCCTCCTGTGAGGTTCTCTGATCCACTTTGGGAAGCCATCAAGTTCCCTGCAGACCTCTTTGCGTAACTCCATGATACTTAATAGCTGGTGAGGATTTTTAAGGATACCCAAGCAGTAATGGGAGAGGAAAGGAGGATAACTATTCTTAGATACTAAAAAAGAAGTATGCACTTAACTCAGACAAACATTCTGGCGCCTTTCTGTATGAGCAGAATCCTGATTTCCAGGAGGTTGGAGAGCCATGGCTAACTGTTTACATCCTTGGTCCGCAGCAGTCAGATGGTATACACTGTAGCCTTATTTTCCTTGTCTCCTTCTTAAATCAACCATAAATCATGTTCAATGCCAAGCTTTCTGCAAAAATTCCCTGTGGTTTCTTTTAGTCTCTCACTCCAACTATCACATTGTGATTCCCATTGGCAATAATGTCGGCATCTGTTCTCCATACCAGCACTATTTGCAAATACTTTGAGACCGTGCCCTTGATTACTACTCAAAAGTTCAACTTCTGTTTTCTCAGAGCTAAAACACATACTGTATTATCCAGTTTAAATAGTTTCCAATCCTCATCTGGGCAGCAGGCTTCATCAGCTCCTCCCATTACTCATATTGTTTTTTTTTTAATGCTTTTAATTCTTTTCTTTCAATTGACTCATGTAGAGATGATTAACTTTGGTCTTGAACATTGCTAACCTTCCCACTCTGAGCTGTGCTTCATTCCCTCCTTAAGGATCTCTTCCATCCATGATGTCGTGGATTCTAAGAGGTTCTTTTACTCCCCAAAGCAGTTTATTAATACCACCTTTTTGTTTTTCTTCTCCATGGTCTAAATTAGATCTCAGAAAATAAATAAATAAATAAATAAATAAATAAATAAATAAATAAATAGGATCTCAGTATGCTAGGAATTAGGCAACAATTATATATAAAGAATCAGTTACGGCCAGGCGCGGTGGCTCATGCCTGTAATCCTGGCACTTTGGGAGGCCGAGGCGAACGGATCATGAGGTCAGAAAATCGAGACCATCCTGGCCAACAAGGTGAAACCCTATCTCTACTAAAATACAAAAAATTAGCTGGGCGTGGTGGTGCATGCCTGTAGTCCCAGCTACTCAGGAGGCTGAGGCAGGGGAATCGCTTGAACCCGGGAGGCAGCGGTTGCAGTGAGCCGAGATCGCGCCACTGTACTCCAGCCTGGCGACAAAACAAGACTCAGTCTCAACAACAACAACAAAATCAATTATTCTTAAAGAGAAATAATTTATATGGTTTACAATTTCTTTTATCTCTCTGGCTTAAAACATTTGTTTGTAATGTGCATGTGTGTATGTGCATGGTTTGGGTTTGGTTTTGGTTTTGTGAGTGTGTGTATGTATGTGGTTTGATTTTGCTTGTTTGTTATTTTTCTAAACGATTTGGTTGAACAGTTATTCAACAGAGATGACTGCACCATTCTGAGCACTGTCAGGCAGTCAGCATTTTTATGAGCTGCCCCTTTGGCATAGACTCTGTGTTTCTGGACTTGTGAGAAAATACATACTCGTACACTCATATGTGCATGTCTGAACATACACGCAAAACCAATACAGAAATTAAAACAACAGAGAAAGACACTTAGCCAAACCCAGCAGACCAAATGATTACATCTATGTTATATAAAGATTTGCCTTATAAGTTAATCAAAGATATTATGCATTTATACAAAGACCAGAGGAAATCATAAATTGTAATGAAAATCAGGAATGTTCTAATACAATTAGTACTTTTTTTAAAAGGTTCTCCATATATCAAGTACTATTGTATACACTTTACATTGAGAAATCCATACAACATCTCTGAGATAGAAATTATTATTATCCTGCTTATAGATGAGAAAACCAAGCCCCAGAGAGGTTAAGTGACTCACCTATGGTTTCACAGTCAGATAAATGGAAAAGGGCACAACCAGACAATTCACATAAGATAAAATGCAATCTCAAATGAAAAAATGTTCAAGATTGCCAGTAATCAAATAAATGTAAATTAAAACATTAAGTAATTTCATACCGCACCTTTGGGGAGGCTTAAACTATCACTCTCAGATATGGTGGCAACAATGTAAATCAGTGTAAGCTTTCAGGAAAGCCATTTGCTGATACTTATAAACAATGGTAAAGAGGTTCCCTTTAATTCAGTAATTACACTCCTAGAAATTTATTCTTAGAAAGTTATTCAAAAGAAAGAGCCATATGAATAAAAAATTTGCTGTAGCTTCTTTATGGTATCAAACATTGAAAGCAGTCTAAAGTTCCAAATATAGGGACTTTTAAAGTAAACTATGATACATCAATGAAATGGAGTACCATGTAGCCATTTAAACTATAATTATCAGTGATAATGATAATATTAAAGTTACATAATGTTAAGTGAAGTAGGCCAAATATAACATTTTACCTATTTTATGATTGGAACTATGTAAAATTATGTATACATATGTTCAAGGACCAGAATGGAACATAAAATGAAAATGCCTGAGACGTCAGATGGCATAATTTTAAGTCCATTTCTTTCCTATTTTTAATTACCTTTATTTTTGTTGTTTTCCATATGATGGCAAAATCGGGAGTTAGGAAAAAATAGAAGATACCGTTTCTACCTTTTGGTGATACAGAATGTAGCTGAGCATTCATAGAATCATTGACTTTTAGAGCTGGAAGGGGCTTTATCAGACTCTTGGTGCAACTTCCTAATTTTACAGATAAATACTCTGAGGCAGAAAAAGACTGACTTGCTCAATCACACATATTTAATTAGGAGCCAGAATTTTCAACTCCAAAAGTGACCCACAATCATTTAGGGTACATTTCTTGCAGAGAAATTAAGTTGTTAGGACCCTATCTTGAAGCAGATTATGTTAATAAAAATAACTATTTTAGCCTAATTCTACTTTTTAAAATCTGCATTATCAACTGCCTCCTTTCCCCACCTGAAATTTGCTTTATGCCAAAGCAAAAGCACTAATTCTTGACTACATGGCACACACCATGCATATTCTTGGCATTTCAAAAAATGTCAAAATATTTATAAAGAAGACGAGTATTTCAAATAACAATGGAAAACGTGGTAGTCATTTTCCGGTGATGGAAACAGCAGGAATTCAATTATGATTTAATAAATTAATTACATTGAATTTCACTTTCATACATTAAAAAATGTTTTCTAACATTGACTAAAAAATCTGCTTTAAATCTGCTAAAAATTAGTTTCTGGGATGAAAATGAAGAATATGAGTAAATATGTAAATGTTTACATAGCCTTACAGGGAGACCCTCATCTACTCACCTGTGATCACAAACAGCAAAGCATGTCCTCAGGAGACGTGCGACCCAGCTGGCAGGGGAGACTCATTAATCTTAAACCTACCTTTGATGATAATAGCTTCTGCCTGGGCTCTCTGAAAGACCAGAGGAAAATGGAGGTCAGGTGCAGTGGCTCACGCCTGTAATTCCAGCACTTTGGGAGGCCAAGGACGGCAGATCACTTGAGTCCAGGAGTTCGAGGACAGCCGGGCCAACATCGTGAAACCCCGTCTCTACTAAAAATACAAAAAAAAAAAAAATTTAGCCAGTCGTGGTGGCCTATGCCTGTAATCCCAGTTAGGAGGCTGAGGCAGGAGAATAGCTTGAACCTGGGAGGTGGAGGTTGCAGTGAGCTGAGATTGCACCACTGCACTTCAGCCTGGGCGACACAGCAAGACTGTCTCAAAAAAAAAACCAAAAAAACCAAAAAAAAAGCAAAAACATGGGAAGATGCTAAAGAAAATTTAGAAGTCACAGATTGATGGGGCTACCAAAGTTGTTTTGGTTGTTGGGGCTGCTATGTCACGGCCACAAGGTTGATTTGCAGGGAGTATGTAAAAGCATCATGTGCTCACTTCAGGGCACTGTGAGTCTCTACGGGCATCAACCGAACATCGCACCAGCAACCAAGGTGGTGGTGATGGCCGATCCCAACAGTGCTCTGCAGCTGGGGCTTCAGCAGCAGCAGGAAGCAGCACCAGCTCTGGGCACTGGGACAGGAGCATGACCCTCTCACGAGACTTGGTTGGAAGCCCTGGACACTATTTAATAGAGGTTAAGAGCTGTTGAGACACATACCCTAGGGACTAAGGAAATAGAAAACAAGAGAAATATAAAGAATCAGAGAGGAAGATTTTAGGGGAGAAATTGCTTCTACATACAATCTGTAATTTCACATTAATAGTCATATATTAAGGTTAAGACCTACTCAAATTTAATAATCTGACTCTGTTTTTTACAACTGTAAACGAGCTCACTATCCATGGTATTCTCCATGATATTTTTCTCTTAGTCATAACTCAGTGGTTCTCAAGCCTGGCTAACCATCAAAATCTCCTAGAGAATAAAAAACATCATCTGTACAGAGGAAACAAACAAACAAAAACAGACACAAAAAATGCAAAAACATAACACACACCAATGCCTAGGCCTCCCATAGATAGATGAAATCAGAATCTGGTGGTGGATCACAGGAATCAGTAGGTTTGCTTATTGCTTTTAGAGAGAGACAGGGTCTCACTCTGTTGCCTAGGATGCAGTGCAGCAGAGCAATCATGGCTCACTGCAGCCTTGAACTCCCGGGCTCCAACAATCTTCCCACCTCAGCCTCCCAAATAGCTGGGACTACAGGCGCATGCCACCATGCTGGACTTATTTTTTTGCCTGGGGGTGGTGGGGGGTTGGGGGTGTGTGTAGAGATGGAATCTTGCTATGTTGCCCAGGCTGGTCTCAAACTCCTGGTCTTAAGCAATTCTCCTCCTCCCAAAGTGCTGGGATTATAGGCATGAGCCACTGTGCCAAGCCAAATCAGTATGTGTTAAAAGCTTCTCAGGTTCTTCCAATAAACAATGAGGGTAGAGACCCATTGTTCCAACAAGAGCAGTTAGAATCTTTCTGGAACGGTTCTAATTTTAATGTAATACAGATCACCTGGGGATCTTATTAAGCTGCAGATCTTGATTTGCTAGGCCTGAGTTGGAGATTGCGAGGTCGAATTGCTAACAGCCTCTCCTGGTGATGTTAACGCTAATAGTCTGCAAACCACCTTATAAAAAGGATCTAGGAAAATTAAGACAGGTGGTTAATTCCAGAGTAGAGGGGCCAGAGACAAGTAACTAACAACAACAACAAAAAACTTTTTTTTAACCTTAACAAAAGGGTAAAAACAAAAGTATATAGGACCTCTTTTATTTTATTTTATATTTTTTTTGAGACTGAGTCTTGTTCTGTCACCCAGGCTGGAGTGCAGTGGTGCAGTCTTGGCTCGCTGCCTCCCAGGTTCAAGCAATTCTCCTGCCTCAGCCTCCCAAGTAGCTGAGATTACAGGCGCCTGCCACCACACCCAGCTAATTTTTTATGTTTTCAGTAGAGAGGGGGTTTTACCATGTTGGCTAGGCTGGTCTTGAACTCCTGACCTCATGATCCGTCCACCTCGGCCTCCCAAAGTGCTGGGATTACAGGCATGAGCCACCACACCCGGCCAGGACCTCTTTTAATACAACCCAATTTATTTATTTATTTATTTTTTATTTTTATTTTTTGAGACGGAGTTTCGCTCTTGTTGCCCAAGCTGGAGTACAATGGCGCAATCTCGGCTCACCGCAACCTCCTCCTCCCAGGTTCAAGTGATTCTCCTGCCTCAGCCTCCCGAGTAGCTGGGATTACAGGGATGCACCACCATGACTGGCTAATTTTTGTATTTTTAGTAGAGACGGGGTTTCTCCATGTCGGTCAGGCTAGTCTCAAACTCCCGCCCTCAAGTGATCTGTCCACCTCAGCCTCCCAGAGTTCTGGGATTACAGGCTTGAGCCTCTGCGCCTAGCCTATGACCCAAATTTTTAACTTGGTCACTGCTATGGTTGGAATGTTTGTATCCCCCTAATATTCATATGTCGAAATCCTAACCCCTAAAGTGATGGTATTAGAAGGTGGGCTGTTGGGAGGTGATTAGGTCATGAGAACTAAAGGGATTAGTGTCATCATAAAAGAGTCCTGAAGGAGCTCAGTTGTCCCTCAGCCTCCCAAAGTTCTGGGATTATAGGTGTGAGTCACCATATCTGGCCAAATCCTCCAGTGCCTTGATCTTGGATTTCCCAGCCTCCATAACTGTGAGAAATACATTTCTGTTGTTATAGCAACCCAAATGGGCTAAGAGAGTCGCCTCATCTAAACATGAATTACAGTCAACGAAATGCTAAATTGATAGCATGGACTTACCTATATTGCCTCCTACCTCCCAGGTTTGCTGTATGTGACCGCAGTCATGTCATAATAGTCCAGAAGGGCCTGCTGTGAGTGACACTCCCTAGCACCAAGCTTTAGGCTATGCAGTTGGAGGTGACATTTGGATTGAAATAACAGATAAGCTGAAGTCATAGGTAAGAAGATGAGCATGAACTCTGAAGGGAGATTTAAGACCAGAAAATGGGAAATGAGCACTTTGGTCAGAGATCAAGAGGCAGCTAGGTGCAGTGGCTCATGCCTGTAATCCCAGGACTTGAGGAGCCTGAGGCAGGAGGACTGCTCGAGCCTAGGAGTTTGAGATCAGCCTGGGCAACAAAATGAGATCCCATCTCTACCAAAAAAAATTTAAAAATTAGCCAGGTGTGGTGGTATGTGCCTGTAGTCCTTGCCACTCAGGAGGCTGAGGCAGGAGGATTGCTTCTGCCTAGGGATTTGAGGTGGCAGTGAGCTATGATCACACAACTGCACTCCAGCCTGGGAAAAAGAATGAGACTCTGTCTCAAAAAAAAAAAAAAAAAAAAAAAAGTAAGAGGCTGGAGAGACAGAAAAAAATATAGTTCTTAAAATGCCAAACTTGACCCTCAAAGAATGTTGAGGTTTTTCTCCTATGGTGTGCCAGGCACACTAAGAGGGAGGTCATGTGTAACTCCTTTGCTTCAGGCTCTCTCCACTTGTCCATCACCAACCACAAGGAGTAATGGAAGGGCTGAACTTTCCCAGGTTTGCTTGGCAAAGAGTTGTGATGATCCCAGAGCATACTGTGGGGTGGAGTGTTATGAGAAGGTTCTGTGGTGGTGGGAGTCCAGGATGTCTTATAATTAAGTCCTTCCTCTGGGACTGGATGACAAGAGTATATGCACAGTGCCAGGCACAGTCGACATCGGCTGGCCATAGTGAGAAACGGTGGAAAACAGCGTGGTGTATATAAAAAGTGGATGGCGGCCGGGCACGGTGTCTCACGCCTGTAATCCCAGCACTTTGGGAGGCTAAGGCGGGCTGATCACTAGATCAAGAGATCGAGACCATCCTGGCCAACATGGTGAAACCCCGTATCTACTAAAAACACAAAAATTAGCTGGGCATGGTGGCATGCACCTGTAGTCCCAGCTACTCGGGAGGCTGAGGCAGGAGAATCCCTTGAACCCAGGAGGTGGAGGTTGCAGTGAGCCAAGGTCGCACCACTGCACTCCAGCCTGGCAACAGGGTGAGACTCTGTCTCAAAAAACAAAAAACAAACAAACAAAAAAAAAACAAGAAAGAAAGAAAGAAAAAAGTGGATGGCAAGTCCAGGGAGCTAGAAATAGAGGGCAGAAGTTCATAGTTTTGGAAGGCCAGACTGAACACTGGGCTAGCTGCTTTTTTTTTTTTTTCTTTTTTGAGACACAGTCTCGTTCAGTCACCCAGGCTGGAGTGCAGTGGTGGGATCTTGGCTCACTGCAACCTCTGCCTCCCGGGTTCAAGCAATTCTTCTGCCTCAGCCTCCTGAGTAGCTGGGACTACAGGCACGCACCACCATGCCCGGCTAATTTTTGTATTTTTAGTAGAGACGGGGTTTCACCATATTGGACAGGCTGGTCTTGAACTCCTGACCTCGTGATCCGCCTGCCTTGACCTCCCAAAGTGCTGGGATTACAGGCGTGAGCCACTGCACCTGGCCGCTAGCTGCTTTTTTAAAAATTGTGGTAAAATGCACATATAATAAAATTTACCATCTTAACTATTTTTAAGTGCACAATTCAGTGACATTAGTACTTTCACATTGTTGTGCTACCATCAATATTGGGCCCATCAATATCATCCATAGAACCCTTTTCATCTTGCAAAACTAAAACTCTGTACCCATTAAGTGACAATTCCCCATCCCCCTGTCACCCAGCCCTGGTGACCACCATTCTATTTTCCATCTCTATGAATTTGACTATTCCAGGTACCCCATGTAAGTGGAATCATACTATATTTTTCCTTTTGTGATTGGCTTATTTCACTTGGCGTGATGTCCTCAAGGTTCATTCATATTGTAGCATGTGTCAGAATTTCCTTCCTCTTTAAGGCTGAATAATATTCCATTTTATGTATATATCACATTTTGCTTATACATTCATCTGTTGATGGACACTTGGTGCTATTCTTTGAATGTATTCCCCAAGCTCATGGGTTGGAAACTTAATTCCCAATTCAACAGTGTTGAGACCTTTAAGAGGTGAGTAGGTCATGAGGGCTCTCCCCTCATGAATGGATTAAAGCAGTTATCACACGAGTGGGCTCCTGATAAAAGGATTCATTTGACCTCCTTTTCTCCCTCTCATGCTCTCTTGCCATTCCACTTTCCACCATGGAATGGCACAGCAAGAAGGCTCTCACCAGACGTCAAGCATTTGCCAGTACCATGCCCTTGGACTTCCCAGTTTCCAGAACCATGAGCCAAATACATTTCTTTTCTTTATAAATTACCCAGTCTCAGGTATTCCGTTACAGCAACACAAAACGGACTAAGACACTTGGGTTACTTTCACCTTTTGGCTACTGTGAAAAATGCTACTATGAACATGCATGTACAAATATCTCCTCAGGTCCATGCTTTCAATTATTTTGGGTATATGCTAAGAATTGCTGAATCACATGATAATTCTATTTTTAATTTTTTGGGGGCCCACCATACTGTTTTCTATAGCTATTGCACCATTTTACATTCCCATCAACAGTGCACAAGAGTTCCAATTTCTCCATACCTTTGCCAACATTTATTATTTTCTGGGTTTTGGTAGTAGCCATCCTAATGGGTTTGAGGGGGTATCCCATTGTGGTTTTGATTTGCATTTCCCTAATGATTAATGACATTGAGCATTTTTTTATATGCTATTGCCATTTGTATAACATTTTCTGAGAAATGTCTATTCAAGTTCTTTGCCCATTTTAAAATTGAGGGTTTTATTGTTGAGTTGTGAGAGTATTTTTTGTTTTGTTTTGTTTTTTGTTTTGAGACATGATCTCACTCTGTCACCCTGGCTAGAGTGCAGTGGTGCGATCACAGCTCACTGCAGTATTGACCTCCAAGGCCCAAGCGATCCTCCCACACCAGCCTCCTAAGTAGCTGGGACTATAGATGCACACCGCCATGCTCAGCTAATTTTGTTCTTTTTTTTTTTTTTTTTTTTGTAGAGACAGGGGTCTCACTATGTTGCCCAAGCTGGTCTTGAACTCCTGGGCTCCAGCAACCCTCCCACCTCAGCTTCCCAAAGTGCTAGGATTACAGGCATGAGCCACCATGCCCGGTGTAAGAGTTCTTCATATATTCTGGATACTAAACCCTTATCAGATGTATGATTTGCAAACATTTTCTCCCATTGCGTGGGATGCCTTTTACTCTGTTGATGTGTCCTTTAATGCACAGAACTTTTTAATGTTGTTGTAGTCCAACTTTTCTTTTTCTTTTGTTGTCTGTACTTTCGTTGTCATATCCAAGAAATTATTGCCAAACCCAATGTCATGAAGTTTTTCTTCTGTTTTCTTCTAAGAGTTTTATAGTTTTAGGTTCTACATCTAGGTTTTCAATCCATTTTGATTTAATTTTTGTATCTGGCATAAATTTGGGGTCCAATTTCTCTTGCAAGTTGATATCCAGTTTTCCCAATGTTATCTGTTGAAAAAACTGTCCTTTCCCCATTGAATGGTTTTGGCACCCTTATGGAAAATCATTTGACCATATGTGCAGGTATTTATTTCTGGACTCCAAAAGGGCTATTTGTTGAGTTTATGTGAGGATCAGGTGATAACTGTGGTAAAGGTGAGTCAGATCAGGTTCTATGCTTGGATGACCGCTTTGAGTAAATGATGCATAGTGTGAGGCTTTATAGCCGTCTTTGGCCTATTTTGGAGAATCTTACAGATCTCCGGAAAGCAGCTCAGATCTTATCTTAATTGTGACCAGTTGGATGGACTGTGGTGATGCTTAGAGGTGCTGCTAGGTATTGTGAGTAGAAGTCCTACATGCTGTGGCAGGAGGCATTCTGCACAGAGTTATGGGCAGCATTGTTAAAAGCGACCTTGGATGCCAAAGGGTAGATGGTACAAAAGCTATACCTTAAGGACCCATTTCACATGCTTTGTTTGGCTTTTGCCGTATAGCACATGGCTAGATTTGTTCTCTGAGGTTCTTGAAAAGGGTCTAAAAAATGCGGATACCAATTGATATGCTGAGGTTGGCGAAACTATGGTGGCCAAATGGTGATGGTCTGTTGGAGCTAAAGATTTAAGTAGGAGATGCTTACCACATTTCAGACAAATGGGCATCTATCCTGAACTGCAGGAATCTAAAGAGCAGGGGTTCATTTCATCAGCCACCTGCATTTCAGTATTCTCAGTATGCATCACACTTTCTGGCACACAGTAGATGCTTAATAAGCATTTGATTATCTGAATTAAACATAAGCCAAAGAAACAGCAATGACTTTCTTAAATAAGAAAACTCAACTTTTCGGTTAGCAAGTTTCTTAAGGCTAATTTAATTATTTTTAAATAATTATTTAAAAATTATTTATTTTAATTTATTTAATATTTATTTAATATTTAATAATTTATTTATTTAAATAATTATTTAAAAATAATTTTATATTAAATATATTTATATTATATATAAATAATTAAATATTTAAATTATTTATCCTGTAATTATTTATCCTCCTCAAAAGAGACAAAGACTTGTTCACCATCCGTATTAGCCAAGGTTCTCTAGAGAGATAGAACCAATAGGGGAGAGAGAGACAGCGAGAAAGAGAACGAGAGAAAGATAAAGAGAAGAGAGGATTTATTAGGGGAACTGGCTCACAGAATTATGGAGGCTGAGAAGTCCCATGACAGGCCATCTGCAAACAGGAGACCAACGGAAGCCAGTGGCATGGCTCAGTCCAAGTACAAACACTTCGGCACCAGGGAAGCCAATAGTGTAACTCTCAGTCTGAAGGCCTAAAAACCAAAGCAGCTGCTGGTGCAAGTTCCAGAGTCCAAAGGCCAGATAACCTGGAGTCCAAAGGCAGGAGAAGAAGGGGGTGTCCCAGTTCCAGGAGAGAGAGAAAATTCACCTTCCCTCTACCTTATTCTATTCAGGTTGCCCACATTGAGGGCAGATCTTCCCCACTCAATTCACTGACTCACATACCAATCTCCAGAAATAATGCTTTACCAGCTATTCAGGTATCTCTTAATCCAGCCAAGTTGACACCTAAAGTTAACCATCAGGTCATCCTTTGAAAAAAAAAAAAAAAAAATATATATATATATATATATATATATATATTTTATAAATATATAATATACTATTATATATTATATATTAATAATGATATTAATTACCACTTATTAAGTGCCAGTTATCACCAGGCATCATACCTAGCATTTGATGTGCATTATATTTAGTCCTTGCAACAATCTGCAGGTAAGCATTATTTCCATTTGTAGTTCAGTGCATTGAAGCTTGGAGATTTCAAGTGTCTTGCTTAAGGTTACAAAACCAGCAATAGTGAAGTTAGGACTTATATCCAAAATGGGTCCCATGTTTTTGCTCTGAGAACCCTTTTTGCCAGTTTCTACCTGGGCACTGTCATTTTCATCTTCTAGTATGCATTTATTTTAGGGCAAACCCATTTCTTCCCTATAAACAAACCATTAACAATCTTTTCTCTATCTCTGGCCTTTTCCCAAGTTCTCCATGTTCCTTAAATTTGGCATCAGCCCAGCATTGACAATATCATTCGGTGTGACACACACATTCACACATGCGTGTATGCGTTGTAATGTCACCAAAAATGCAACCATCTCCCTTTCCATGTTAAGTCCGCATAGAAACTATTTTGTATCTATTCAAATATTCACAAAAAGTCAAATTTTTTTTTAGAAAGTGAACAAATAAAAGGAACCATAACTACCCGGACCCCTGGTGAGAGCTAGGTGGTGAGATGCTGAAGAGCCATTGACAAGTGCATCTCTGAGCAGACTACTCAGCAAACAGCAAAGGGACAAAGCAGAGTCCACCCCACACTGCTCTAGATTTGGTCTATGTAGCATATGCTTTACCCAGCACTTATAAAAGGTTTAGGTAATTCCCACTCCTGTTCTTTCCTGCCATGTGGAGGGACAGCAACTGATTTAAGACTGCCAGCCTCTTTAATCCCACCCTCCTCCTTCCTGGGAGAGGTGGAGTGATTTATGTAATCAGTGAATATGGGCGGTTACTTAGGCTTGTTTAATCCAGCTCTTCTTTGCTCTTTCTGTTGGATGAAAGTGTGCTGCAATAGGCCTCAAAGGGGCAGGGCCCCCTGTGTAGAGTCTTTGGCTGTCTAGCTGTGAGTCCTGATTCTAGGGTTCAGTATTAGGAAGACACTAATTACTTGTACCCAAAGCCAATTCTTTCCAATACAGCTTCATCAGTAATTGAGCTGACTTTTTTTTTTTTTTTTTTGAGACACAGTTTTGTTCTGTTGCCTAGGCTGGAGTCCAATGGCGCGATCTTGGCTTACAGCAACCTCCACCTCCCGGGTTCAAGCGATTCTCCTGCCTCAGCCTTCCAAGTAGCTGGGATTACAGGTGCCCACCACCACGCCCAGCTGATTTTTGTACTTTTAGTAGACACGGGGTTTCGCCATGTTACCCAGGCTGGTTTCAAACTCCTGATCTCAGGTGATCCACCCGCCTCAGCCTCCCAAAGTGCTGGGATTACAGGCGTGAGTCACTGCGCCCAGGCTGAGCTGACATTTTAATCTTCATTTATTGACACCTTAATCTCTCTGATTGGTTTAAAACTTGGGCAGAGAACATAGGGATATTATTTATTGGGTTTCTCTCAAACCTCATTGGATGGCTGTGATTCCACATTGTGGTCTTGTCTAGCAGACTATTCTGGCCTGTATTCTTTGCTTGCCCTCTGTTTATTTCCTCAGAGGGGGACAGTAAATCTTGAATCACTTGGTGACTCTGTTATACTGATACCTAGCCAGTTCCCTTAGTTCCCTTACACAAGGTAGGAGTCAGGCCTTTCTCCTTCACTGAGGAATGAGGATGATCTTCTGGTTGGCCAATGTCTCCTTCCCCTTTACATCTCTGGGTATATTTCTCCTAAATCTGTGCTGCATCTTTCCACATTTACGAAGCATCAACAAACTCGTGGTTTGTGATGTCATGGTAGAAAACAAACATAAAAGTCCAAGGGCTCTGGAATCAAACAAAGAATCAGGTAAAGGTGAGTCACTGCTCTTCAAACCAGTGTCAAGAAAAAGTGTTTAATGTAGGGAAGTTTAAACTTTCCCTCTGAAGGTTCAATAAGTGAATTATCCCACTGAAATAAACTGACATTACACAAATTAATAGGAGAAAAGCAAACAAATTTATTAACTTGCATAAGCATGGAGCCATGTAAAATATGAGACTCAAGGAAGGGCCAGATGGAGCTTACATAGTTCCCTCTTCACAGAAGAGAGGGAGATGGGGGAATACAGGCTATTTTGAGGGATAATAATATGGTTTGGCTGTGTCCCCACCCAAATCTCACCTTGAGTTGTAATAATCCCCATGTGTCAAGGGCTGGGCCAGGTGGAGATAATTGAATCATGGGGGCAGTTTCCCCCATACTGTTCTGGTGGTAGTGATTAAGTCTCATGAGATCTGATGGTTTTATAAATAGGAGTTCCCCTGCACAAGCTCTCTTGCCTGCCTCCATGTAAGATGTGACTTTGCTCCCCATTTGCCTTCAGTCATGACTGTGAAGCCTCTCCAGCCAGGTGGAACTGTGAGTCAATCAAACCTCTTTCCTTTATAAATTACCCAGTCTCAGGTATGTCTTTATTAGTAGCACGAGCACAGACTAATACAGTAAATTGGTACCAGGAGTGGGGTGCTGCTGTAAAGATACCCAAAAATGTGGAAGCAACTTTGGAAATGGGTAACAGGCAGAGGCTGGAACAGTTTGGAGGGCTCAGAAGAAGACAGGAAAATGTGGGAAAGTTTGGAACCTCCTAGAGACTTGTTGAATGGCTTTGACCAAAATGCTGATAGTGACAGGGACAATAAAGTCCAGGCTGAGGTGGTCTCCGATGGAGATAAGGAACATATTGGGAACTGGAATAAAGATCACTCTTGCTACGCAAAGAGTCCAGTGGCATTTTGTCCCTGCCCTAGAGGTCTGTGGAACTTTGAACTTGAGAGAGAGGATTTATAGTATCAGGTGGAAGAAATTTCTAAGTGGCAAAGCGTCAAGAGGAAGCAGAGCATAAAAGTTTGGAAAATTTACAGCCTGACAATGTGATAGAAAAGAAAACCCCATTTTCTGGGGAGAAATTCAAGCCAGCTGCAGAAATTTGCATAAGTAATAAGGAGCCAAACGTTAATCACCAAGACAATGGGGAAAATGTCCCCAGGGCATGTTAGAGACCTTTGCGGCAGCCCCTCCCATCATAGGCCCAGCAGCCTAGGAGGGAAAAATGGTTTCTTGGGCTGGGTCCAGGGACCCCCTGCTGTGTGCAGCCTTGGGATTTGGTGCCCTGCATCCCAGCTGGTCCAGCCGTGGCTAGCAGGGGCCAAGGTACAGCTGGGGCCATGGCTTCAGGAGGTGCAAGCCCCAAGCCTTTGCAGCATCCACATGGTGTTAAGCCTGCAGGTGCACAGAAGCCAAGAACTGAGGTCTGGGAACCTCTGCCTAGATTTCAGAGGATGTATGGACACACCTGGATGTCCAGGCAGAGGTGTGCTGCAGGGGCAGAGCCCTCATGGAGAACCTCTGCTAGGGCAGTGCAGAAGGGAAATGTGGAGTGGGAGCCCCCACACAGAGTCCCTACTGGGACACTGCCTAGTGGAGCTGGGAGAAGAGGACCACCATCCTCCAGACCCCAGAATGATAGATCCACCAACAGCTTGCACTGTGCGCCTGGAAAAGCCACAGACACTCAACACCAGCCCGTGAAAACAACTGGGAGAGAGGCTGTACCCTGCAAAGCCACAGGGGCAGAGCTGCTCAAGACCATGGGAACCTACCCCTTCCATCAGGATGACTTGAATGTGAGATATGGAGTTAAAGGAGATCATTTCGCAGCTTTAAGATTTGACTGCCACATTGGATTTTAGACTTGCATGGGGCCTGTAGCCCCTATGTTTTGGCCAATTTCTCCCATTTGGAATGGGTATATTTACTCAATGCCTGTACCCCTCATTGTATCTAGAAAATAACTAACTAGCCAGGCGCGGTGGCTCACGCCTGTAATCCCAGCACTTTGGGAGGCAGAGGCGGGTGGATCACCTAAGATCAGGAGTTCGAGACCAGCCTGATCAACATGGAGAAACCCTGTCTCTACTAAAAAAATACAAAATTAGCCAGGTGTGGTGGTGCATGCCTGTAATCTCAGCTACTCGGGAGGCTGAGACAGGAGAATTGCTTGAACCTGGGAGGCGGAGGTTGTGGTGAGCCGAGATCACGCCATTGCACTCCAGCCTGGCCAACAGAGCAAGACTCCATCTCAAAAAAAAGAAAAAAAAGAAAATAACTAACTTGCAGGCCGGGTGCAGTGGCTCACGCCTGTAATCCCAACACTTTGGGAGGCCGAGGTGGGCGGATCACCTGAGGTCAGGAGTTTGAGACTAGCCTGGCCAACATGGTGAAACCCTGTCTCTACTAAAAATATAAAAATTAGCCGAGCATGGTGGCAGGTGCCTGTAATCCCAGCTACTCGGGAGGCTGAGGCTGGAGAATTGCTTGAACCCGGGAGGTAGAGGTTCAAATTCCTGACCTCGGGTGATCCGCCCGCCTCTGCCTTGCAAAATGCTGGGATTGTAGGTGTGACAGACCATGTCTGGCCGGGTATGTCTTTATTAGCAGTGTGAGAACAAACTAACACAGGCAGTGAATGATTTTTAGGAGAACTGAGTGGACCCAAAGAGCAGAGAGTAGTTTGTAAATGATTCTCTTTGAAAACTGAATGGGACCAGAGAACAGATAATGGCCGGGACAAAGTTTTTTGTGCTCTGTGAGAGGTGGCAACAAATTTTAGGAAGGCAAGAGGCAGAACTTCATTGTAAACAAAGGTTGTCTTATTATGTGGATAAGGTCTCCCAGGTAACCTCTTCGAACTGCCCTCAGAAAAACAGATGAAAAGTCGGTCTGGGCTAGGTGACTTTTAATCTCTTATGGTAGTTAATCTTCCCTGGTTATTGAATGAGATTTCCTAGGGAGGCGGTTTTAGGCCAACAGCATTTCTTTTGGAAGAAGTCTACTCAGTCAGATAAGGAAACTTCCACAGAGAACCCCTTCCTGTGCTTGATGTGGGGTGGAGAAACCAAGAGTACTTGTTTTTTGTTTTTTTTTTGAGATGGAGTTTCACTCTTGTTGCCCAGGCTGGAGTGCAATGGCGTGATCTCGACTCACTGCAACCTCTACCTCCTGGGTTCAAGCAATTCTCCTGCCTCAGCCTCCTGAGTAGCTGGCATCACAGGCATGCGCCACCACACCTGGCTAATTTTGCATTTTTAGTAGAGATGGGATTTCTACATGTTGGTCAGGCTGGTCTCGAAGTCCTGACCTCAAGTGATCTGCCCAACTCGCCTCCCAAAGTGCTGGGATTACAGGCATGAGCCACCACGCCTGGCCGACTCCTTGGTTCTGAGGCAGCTTTGATGGCCTTTTAATTTCCTTTAGTTCAGTGTGCTCAGCATGCTGAAGCACCATCATTTGGACCATTGTTTTCTGCACCCTAATACTTTTAGTAGCCATTTCTGTGCTACAAAAACACCTGAAATGGTGTTTCAGGTAAGCAGAAAAAAGCTCCTGGCCTCTAGCTTTCCTATTTCCAAAGCTCAGCTAGGGCTCTTTCTTGGGTTCTTTCTCTGAGCTCAGGCAGGGGATAGTTAAGCCTACAGTTCAGTTCTCTGAGATTCAGTCATAAGTCACTCTTGCTACAATCTTCTGTGATTTTGCATTTTTCTTTGGGTCACTGAAGCAGTATTTACCTAATGTGCCTGTGAACACTGTCCACTTTCCATAAGGTCACAGTGCTGCTGGCTTCTGCTGGTAGCCTTCCCTGCAGGTGACTGCTCCTGACTGAGCTTTAGGGGAATGACCAACTCTGGATTCCTCATCACCAGTGACAGAGTGTGCTTCCTCAATTGGACCTTGTCTATGCCAATAGCTTAGTCTTTGTCTGTACCACCATGAATATGGTATTTGTTGTTCTGGTTTTTTTTTTTTTTGTTTTTTTTTTGAGATGGAGTTTCGTTCTTGTTGCCCAGGCTGGAGTGTGGTGGCATGACCTCGGCTCACTGCAACCTCTGCCTCCTGGGTTCAAGCGATTCTCTTGCCTCAGCCTCCTGAGTAGCTGGGATTACAGGTGCACGCCACCATGCCCAGCTAATTTCCTTGCACAATTAGAGATGGGTTTCACCATGTTGTCCATGCTGGGCTCGAACTCCTGACCTCAGGTGATCCACCCGCCTCGGCCTCCCAAAGTGTTGAGATTACAGGCGTGAGCCACTGCGCCTGGCCGAATATGGTATTTGATTTGACATTTTATATTACAGATTAAGTCCTTAAGAAAGACAACACTCATCCCTGATGTACTGAAGATCTTTGTTTTGTCAGTCAGTGCTTTCTACTTTCATTCTACTTATCATTCAACTTTCTTAGGTTAACTATCTTCTAATGTAAAAAAAAATGCATTAATATATAAAAGTATAGGCTTCAAGTTTAGAAAGCCTGTCTCTTCGGAAAGTTACTGACCTCATAGCAAACTATGAATAAATTCCCCAAAGTAGGATGAACAGAGCAATTTATATCCATATATAAACATAATTATACTATACAGTTACATAACTAGAATAAAATTTAATGTAAATGTGCCAAAGAGGAGAAGAAATCACAGAAGATTTACAAAACTTACATGAAATAAGAAAATGTTCAACTATGTAATAACCAAAGCTTCCTTAACTTGGGAATCTTGGGAACCTAGAAAGTGAGGTAACCCAAGCCAAATTCCTCTGGTGTCACAGTTCCTCCTATACCAGGCCAGGCACTTGCCAATGACACTGGAGTAGGGGTAAGCCCTGGGTGTGTTGTGTAGTGTGTGACGTAGTAGGTGAAAAACAGCAAAGAGGTAATTCTTTATTCTCGAGAGCTTCCTCGTGCACATGATCAGCTTTTGCACATGCTTGGAGGAAAAACAACACTATTAAAATGTCTTTTTAAAAGTCAAAGCTAAATGAGTATGCAATAAAGCTTTGAGAAATGGAAAAGAAAATCTATGAGGAAAACGTCAGCTTGCTTATCCAGGGAATGAGCAGGACTTAATTCTCATGCCGGCATGGGGCTGCCGGGCACCCAGCTCCTTTCCTGTGGGTAGAAAACAAGTCCCCAAGTTGCTACTGAGCCAAACTGTAAAGGCCAGTCAGGAAATGAGCAGCAGTGCTGAATGGGGAAGCCTGGATCCATGGTTTTTTCCTAAAGTAAACAAAAGATCTGCAAAAGTATTTCCTTGCACTATTTGGCAAGAGAAAGAAGCACCTGGAGAGTGAGTTAGGGAGAGAAAGCATGGAAGAAATGTGAGTAAAACAAGGAAGATTATAATGAAGCTTTGTCTCACTAATCTCCAGAGCCCAGGTGTTCTATTAAGAAACAAAGCTGCAAATGAAGAGACATCTCAGAGAGTGGTGGATTAAGAATATATTCATGGAAAGGATAGATCTTCCTTGCTTTTTGGGATCCTGAATTTCATCTTTCATTTGGATTAAAAAGAAACTTAAAAAATATCTTGTAGAAAGTCAAAGTAAAGATATAAATATTAAAATAAATGAGGGCTGCGAAAGAAAAAGTATGAGCAATGAGAAAAGCAATTATCCTTGGAGGCAGAAATTTCTTTCTTGTTTCAATGCAGCATGTGATACTGGCAATTTCAGCCATTCTCTTTCAGGCAATTTTCAGTGCGAGTGCCAAATGCTGCTTAGGGGGATATGTCTCTGCTCACCTGAGGGAGCAGGGCACAACTAAAGATGTAAGGAGAGCGATCGCATTCTTTACGCCAAGCATTCTGTTTAGCAGGACTGCCTCAGGAGGAACACAAGTTGCTCTCAGGAGGCAGAAGGTGAGAGAAATGAGGCAGCAATTACATAGTGTTGCTTGTGCTAAGTACAGAGCATTAAAAACAAAAAACAAAAAAGCCCCACTAATGCAGTGGACTCAGCAGCGGGCTCATTGCTAATTTTAGGAAGTCACACAGGTTTAGTGCTTGCTTCCAGCGGAAAAGCCTTAAAAGCCCAAAGGGTGACTGTCCTCCAGTGTTTTTTGAAACAACCAACACTTGATATATAAAGGTTAACTGAGGAAAAAATTAATTTCTGCGTTTTCTGCAATGAACTAGGAGCAATGGATTGAAAATATTTGGCCAAATAATTTTTATAAGCATAACAAAATTCCATTTTTCTGGACCAAACCTCATCAGCCCAACTAGGAAAGACGATGCTGGAGCTTTAGGAGGCAATCAAAGGCTCATTTTATTTGATAGGTAACATCTGATACAGAAGCATTTCCCGCCCTGGGCCCTGGATCTACTCAGTGCCTACCTGCTGGAGAAAATCAAAGATAAAGACCCAGATCACTGGGATGCCAAGGACACAGCTAGCTGGACACTATTTGAAGTCTATGTGCTCAAGTATTGCTTTTTTTCCCTCTTTATGTAACGTTAACGTGTATTTATTCATTCAGCTAACTCTAGCTGTTCCTTACTTAAGGTTAAGTGGTTGTGAAACCACAGACACTGTAGAATCAGAAGCTGTTGTTTTAAACTCTTGGCCAAGTAGCAGTGCCTTGTAGCTTGCCTTTGCCGAGCTCCAGGGGCAGCTGAGGGTGGGCTGTCTGACCATCTGGAGATTTCAGTGTGCTCCATCCATCTCATGCCAACCTGACTTGCCAGAATTAGGGTCACTGTGCTCTGAGACACTTTGAGATGATGCTCAAGGGAGCTGTGCTCTGCAGCCTCCTGGGTCCCTTCTGCAGGTGCACTTGCTTTTTCAATCTGATGCTATTTTTCTTACCCTCTGTAGGCACTCACACGCAGAACTATTATTACTTGCTTGTTACTGCATGTTGCTGATTCATACTCATAGGAAAAAGTAATTTTATCTTCAACACCTCTTCCTTGTCATTTAAGACATATGTTAATGAAAGACAGATTTTGGCATCCACTTTTCTCTGTAGCTTTGAGGCCACAATATAGATTCATTATAAATGAAGATGCAACTGTTATTTTACTTCTATTTATATTTATAACTACACCAAAGCCATCTTGCGGGTACCTTTGCGCCTCTCAAATCCCCAACCATATTCCAAGAAACCGTATTCCAAGAAATGCTCAACATTTCATGCCTGAATTGGTATTAATGTGGCATTAATGTACATACAATGTTTTAAATAACGATGTTTTCACTCATATTTTATTATGGACACCTCCTGATTTCACATATTTTACATTACCCTAGAGCTGAATCCTTTTGAAGACATTTTAAGGGTTTTTTTTCCCCACTGCAGTACAGAATGCTTTTTTTCTTTAAGCGAGGAGTATGCAAGTGAGAGTGCTCTGCGAGGAGGGATGCCAAGTGGAAGGCTGAAGCCTGAGGGGGTGGGGCGAGTGCAGAACTAGGCAGAAGCAGAATGCTGAAAAGAACTGATTGAAAGCTTTTTGCTTTGTCATTCCTCTCAGTTCCTTTCCTTCTCTTCTTTTCCAATTTGTAATTGTGGACAAGTGTAACCTACTTATTTGCTAGAATGATTGGATCTAGAATGAGCCATAACCTTGAAGGTCGTCTGAAACAAACTCCTCTCCACTGCTATCGTTTTCTGCTTGACTCAGAAAGCTCTTTCTTCCCTGGTGCCTTTCCCAGCAGCATTTGGGCCCATCCATTACAAGAGCAGCAAGTAGAGGTTTTGGAATCAGAGAGTTCTGGGTCCGAGTTGTGACTCTGCTACTTACTAGATGTGGTATCCTGAGCAAGTTACCCAACATCTCTTCTGTAAATGGTTATCATCAAAATGAATTCCTAGGAGTTTGAGGATTAAATAATGTGTATAGTATACACAAAATCTAGCATTCAGAGCTAAATTAAGAGTAGCTAAGCAGTTCAATAGGAACTAGGACCCATGCTTCCTGTTTGACTCTGAGGCAACACTTTTTTCCATGGAAAGATACTGTCTTTCTTACAATGTCTCATAAAACCTTTGAAAAAGTCACTGTTGCTGGAATACTGTGTGTACTGCCTTGTAGATTAATAACAATACCTCACATATATTTAATGCTCTAGAATTGACAATGCACTTTCACAAGCGGGGAAAATACCCACGCCAACACTAAGTCTCCTGATGACTAACAGAGGCAGGAAGCAGGAGGAGCAGAGGCTTTGAAAGAGGTCGATTAGTGATGCAAATGTGAAGTTATCTGCACTTGTGAGGAGCATAACAAACATCAAAACCAATTAGAAGTAACAATGTGTGATCTATTCAGGCTTCAGGACTTTGATGAGTTGGAAGTTTTGGGGTTTAACAATCCAGATGGTTCTGATAGCTTTAAGTTTTGCCTCCAAGAGGGCAGCTATCTGCATATGGGTGAATTTTCACGTACAAGCTAGAGTACAGCAACGACTTAGAATCACACACGGGTAGAAACCGGGACGTGTTCACAATTTGTAGACAAAGCATATGGAATCGAGAGAGGCAAAGCAAATAAGTTCTCAGAAGTCAATGTTAAATGGGTGTTTCAATACAGGCAAATGTGTCATACCGAATGCAAAACTTTTAATAATAGAAACTGTTATCTTGACTTTCTCACAACCTTCGGAAACAGTTCCTCATGTGTGAGAATTTTTACATTTGGACGATGCTCAAAAGTGAATTTTTAGAAATGGAGAAAAAAATGAAGGGTGCATTTAAACAATATATTCCATTGTTTCTGTACTGTAAGAAGATGAAAGAATATACCTTTTACTCCTGGAAAGAAAATGGTCCTTTTGAAATTCAGCTCTCTCAGAAGATGAATTTTTAAATATCAAACTCTGCCTAACCAACTGGTCCTAGCTTTATGGATGTGAGGGGTAAATTAGAATTTCATGCAGTTATCAAATATTTTAAACTAATACCCAAGCAGTTACATTTGCAACGCTTCATGATTTCTTAACATCTATAGACAAAATTCCAAATAGGTCTTTCCCTTTTCTTTCTGTGCCAAAATCTACATTTCTATCTAGCAGCAAACCCCGAGAAGGAAGTTGTTGTAGGTAGGTTAAGAGACAGAAAGACTGACCAGGCAAGCAGAAGACACTGGTGGAAATGGCCCTGCTGCGCAGCCATGTGGAATAGGAAGGCTATGCTGGACAGAGCCCAAAAGAGACCAGTTTGTGTCTCACAGTCCAAATTTGGTTGATGTATTTTTGAAGCTTCTAAAGGTTAACTCACATGCTGTAATACATTATAGAAAGACACGAAGCCGAATTTTACTGTGCCAGTCAAGAGGCTGGCTTGAATCCGCTATTTAGAACTGAGAGAGACAGTACAATTTACATGTGTGAGAATGTGAGAATAATTTTACCTTCTGTTGTTTTTGAAACCACCTTGGGCCATGATTTTTAAACGGAGACACAAGGAGATCTGCTGGGGTTCCCATAGCAACATTAACTTATCTAAACTGCCCTTGCTGTATGTAATACTTTCATGACTAGTTTGGCTTTTTAATGTACACTTTAATTATGAAATACAACTGAGTTAAGAGTCTTGGGCAAATTTTAATGTTTATATTTACTGACTTATGCATGTTTAAACAGAAAGCTTGATAATTGTACTTTTGAGGACTTGCCATCAAGGCAAGTTTGTGCAAAAACCTTTATGTGGTCTTCCTTGCCACTGATCTCTGACCTCACTCCATTCCATTCTATAGACAACTCCTCAACCTCTCTCAATACATTTATAAGACACCATATCTCAAACTGATCTCAGATGGCTCCAGTTCAGAGACTAGAAGTCATACACCTGCTAGTCTAGGTTATCTACAAGCTGACCCCCTTCCCATCTTTTCTACCTATCCCTCATCATTAATGTCCCACACCACACTTGTCTTCTCACCATCTGCTGAGAATGTACATTCAAGAACTAGCCTGAGACCTACCTCCCCCAAGAAACCTGATTCTTCTCCATTCTTTTTCAGAGCTAATCTCTCTCTCTCTCTCTGGAAATACTATTACTACTGCTACCACTGCTATATGATGTGTTGGCTGTGACTGGACAGCATCCCTCCCCTGGTGTTTTTTGACAGCAGTGTCTTGATTTTCCTTTGAAGAACTTTCTTCCATTCCAGGAAGTGAAATTTCCTTCCACTCCAGGTTGGAGTGCAGTGGTGCGATCTCAGCTCACTGCAACCTCTGCCTCCCAGGCTCAAAAGATCCTCCCAGCTCAGCCTCCTGAGTAGCTGGGACAACAGGTGCGTGCCACCATCACTGGCTAATTTTTGTATTTTTGGTAGAGATAGGGTTTTTCCCATGTTGCCCATTCTGGTGGCATCATCAATTAAGCTGCCCTGCCCCAGCCTGTTAAGAGATGAACCAATGACTAAAGCTGGACCAATGATATTCTTCTAGAAATTGGATTTTAAGTGAATTCAGAAAGAAAAAACAGTTGGAACTTAATTATTCCAATGATGGTTCTTTCAAGAGAGTATTTATTTATTCTAGGTTCTGTGGTTCATAATCAAAGTCTGCTAGCTGGTAAGTTCCCTATTTGAGTGTTTGTATATTGTCTTAGATCATGATTTACAGGTTTGGGATATGCACATTTTGTTTTGCCAGCTGTACTCTATTTATGCTCCCTGAAGAGCATAAACAAGGCTGGGTCTTTATTGTTCATATTATTCCACTGAATTTAGCACTCAATATGTAAGTAGTCAATAAATATTATGTAATGAGTATGAGACTAATCTTAAAAACTTCATTTCTACAAAATGTGATTTGCAAGCCAACTTATGTCCTTTTTGAAGCAAGGGAGTAAATAAATTTTTTTTTTTTTTTTTGATACGCAGTCTAACAACTGTCACCCAGGCTGGAGGGCAGTGGTGTCATCTCGGCTCACTGCAACCTCTGCCTCCCGGGTTCAAGTGATTCTCCTGCCTCAGCCTCCCGAGTAGCTGGGATTACAGGTGCCCACCACCACGCCTGGCTAATTTTTTTTGTATTTTTAGTAGAGACAGGGTTTCACAGTGTTGGTCAGGCTGGTCTTGAACTCCTGACCTCATGATCCGCCTCCTCGGCCTCCCAAAGTGCTGGGATTACGGGCTTGAGCGACTGCGCCCGGCCCTCGAGGGGATAAATACATTTTTAACTGCCACAATTTAAGAATTCTCTTGGGTATGACAGTTGTCTTAAACAGAGCTTACCACTGATACCAGAAAGGGTCTGGATCCAGACGCCAAGAGAGGATTCTTGGATCTTGTGCAAGAAAGAATTGAGTCCATACAGCAAAGTGAAAACAAGTTTAAGTAAAGAATAGGCTGGGCGCGGTGGCTCACACCTGTAATCCCAGCACTTTGGGAGGCCGAGGCGGGCGGATCACAAGGTCAGGAGATTGAGACCATCCTGGCTAACATGGTGAAACCCCGTCTCTACTAAAAATACAAAAAAAAAAAAAATTAGCTGGGCATGGTGGTGGGTGCTTGTAGTCCCAGCTACTCAGGAGGCTGAAGCAAGAGAATGGCGTGAACCCGGGAGGTGGAGCTGGCAGTGAGCTGAGATCACGCCACTGCACTCCAGCCTGGGTGCCAGAGCAAGACTCCATCTCAAAAAAAAAAAAAAAAAAAAAGTAAAACATAAAGAATGGCTACTCCATAGGCAGAGCAGCCCCAAGGGCTACTGGTTGCCCATTTTTAAGGTTATTTCTTGATTATATGCTACACAAGGGGTGGATTATTCAGGCCTCCCCTTTGTAGACCATATGGGTAACTTCCTGATGTTGCCATGGCATTTGTAAACTATCATGGCACTGGTGGGAGTGTAGCAGTGAGGACAGCCAGAGGACACTCTCATTGCCATCTTGGTTTTGGTGGCATTTGGCCGGCTTCTTCACTGCAACCTGTTTTATCAGCAAGGTCTGTATGACCTGTATCTTGTACTGACTTCCTATCTCATCCTGTGACTAAGAATGTCTTAACCTCCTGGGATTGCAGCCTAGTAGGTCTCAGCTTCATTTTACACAGTCCCTATTCAAGATGAAGTTGCTCTGGTTCAAAAGCCCTTGATACAAGAGCTTGTCAGCTTACATACCTTTTTTTTTTTTTTTTTTTTTTTTGGAGACAAGGTCTCACCATGTCACCCAGTTTGGAGCGCAGTGGTACAATCTCAGCTCACTGCAACCTCCGCCTCCGAGGCTCAAGCGATCCTCCCACCTCAGTCTCCTGAGTAGCTGGGACCACAGGTGTGTGCCACCATGCCTGGCTAATTTTTGTATTCTTGGGAGAGACAGGGTTTTGCCATGTTGTCCAGGCTGGTCTTGAACTCCTGAGCTCAACCGATCTGCCTGCCTCAGCCCCCCAAAGTGCTGGGATTACAGGTGCGAGCCATTGCACCTGGCCTAACAACTTGTATATCTAAGAATAGCCTGAAAATAATGTCAGCATGGGCTGTACTTCCCCAATTTTAGGAAAGGAAAGAGGAACTAAAATTCTATTTCAGATATGAGCCTCTGAATTTCAAAAAAAAATTGGGAGAAAATAGACAACAACAAGACAAAAAATAATACACTTTGACCTTGGGCTTGTTGTAGCTTTCCCTGGAAATAAGGTGTGCTTTCTCTCTGCAATCAGATGACAATGGGAAGAGTCTGACTGTGTTTGGGAACTGGTTTACTAAGCCTAAACAAATAAACAATTTTTTTTACTTGCAAAAAATGTCAAGTTACATTTTCTCAAAATTACTTGACATAATACTAACTTAATTGAATGCTTATAAAAATCAAGGAACAAGCAAAATGGTTAGATGTAATAAATTCAAACAAGCTTGAGCATATCAAGTTTTCAAAGCACAGAAAAAGGCATACTGTGCTGAACCACTTACATGTGCTTAAAATGCACAAAGGAGCTCACCTATGACAAAACGGCAGGAAATACAAATTCTCTTCTTTTTTTCTCATTGTCTTTTGAGAAACAATAGACTTACAGTAGTCCTTGAATAGCACAGTCCTCTGGCTTTGTACCTTAACATGTTACAAAGTTCAGTCTTGTGAAAGGAGTGTAGATACCATATTGGAGCTATTCTGAGTCTGGTGCAATGGTTTCTGGAATTTGCCTTGAATCCACACTCGGTGCATTTTCACTTGTTTTTTCCTATTAACTTGTAAGCGGCGATCAACCAGATTTTGCTTTTCATCTAAACTGGCTTTGCAGAACATACTGTGGACTTCCCCTGTGAGACAAAAATGGCAATAAAAGATATGACATGTGACTAGAGATGGGGGAGGTCAGGAGTAGAACACTGATGGAATAACTGACCATCTAAATTTCATTTATACAAGAAACACTCTCTAGAACAATTTGGTGAAGGAAACCTGTGAAACCAAGCGAGTTTCTTCTATTTCACAAAAATACACCATGCATATAAAAATACACCTGTTTACAGACTAACACGGCAGACATCAACAGATATATAAAACTATTGGTTGCAGCTTTCAATATTTTGAAAGGTGCTCCCTTTCTGAGTTTTTGTTGGTTTACAGAAACCCAAAACGGCAGATTATAAAAGTACTCACATAAATTTGGGGAAATCCTTGAATGCAGCATTCACTTGGTACTGTTAGAAATGCATTTTTAAAAATGTGAAATTGGTTGGGCATGGTGGCTCACGCCTGTAATCCCAGCACTTTTGGAGGCTGAAGCAGGCAAATCACCTGAGGTCAGGAGTTCAAGACCAGCCTGGCCAGGGTGAATCACTTGAGGTCAGGAGTTTGAGACCAGCCTGGTCAAATGGTGAAACCCCTTCTCTAATAAAAATACAAAAATTACCTAGGCGTGGAGGTAGGTAATCTCAGCTACTTGGGAGGCTGTAATCCCAGCTACTTGGGAGGCTGAGGTGGGAGAATCGTTTGAACCGGCGAGGTGGAGATGGCAGTGAGCTGAGATTGTGCCACTGCACTCCAGCCTAGGCAACAGAGTGAGACTCTGTCTCAAAAAAAAAAAAAAAAAAAAGAGAAATCAGCTAGAGATAAGTAATTTTCCTTCTTTCTATTTTGAAAATGTATTGTTTTTTTAGACATAAGATTCACTCTGCTGCCCAGGCTGGAGCACAGTGGTCCAATCATAGCTCACTGTAGCCTCATCTGCCCCAGCTCAAGTGATCCTTCCACCTTAGCCTCCCAAGTAGCTAGGACTACAGGTATGCACCACCAGACCAGCTAATTAAAAAAAAATTGTTTTGTAGAGACAGAGTCTCATTTTGTTTTCTAGGCTGGTCTCAAATTCCTGGCTTCAAGCAATCTTCTCACCTTCATCTCCCAAAGTGATGGGATTACAGGTGAGCACCCCTGTGACAGGCCAAGATAAGTAATTTTCTATAAACTTATCAAATGTCCTCCTTTGGCTGTGGCTATCATCAATTTTTTTCATATCTAGGCTAACAATATCTCCAAAATGGAACAGCCTTCACCTTCATCTGGGTATGAGGGTAAAACAAGAGACTTTAAAGCAGTTTAACTGGAAAAAGATTAAACAGTAAACGGCCATTTTCAACCTTTTATGTAGACCAGTAATAAGCATCAAAGTATGAAGACATCTAATGCTTAATCAATGACTGAAGCCTCAGTTTCATAGCTTCTGAGCTATAATCAATGAGATAATAACTAACAAGAACGATTATGACCAATTATTTCCTTTTGTAGATTAGCATACCTTTTGTAAAGAAATATGCTCTGGTACCATCTCCTCGAACATAAAAATTTTCAGATAAACAATGTCCTGAAAAAAATTGTGAAAAGAGAAACTCTTAAGGGTATTCCTTTAAAAAAAAACAACTAAATACTTTGATGTGAAATATAAACAAGGCATTCTTTAGAACATTTAAAAATAACCTCAAACTGAATATACTATTACCCTTTTTAAAACGAAGCTGAGTCTTATCATATCTTCCATAGTCTCGAAATAACAGCATTCCCCCAGGTTTCAGTAACTTGGACAGTCGGTTTACAACACCTTGCATCCTTTGGAAACAAAGTATTAAAAAGATACCCAGTTTGTAGAAATCTTGTTTTATATGCTGGATTTAACTTTGTTGAAGACAAAATAAGAAAAGCTTGATAAGGCCAAAGAAATCTAAACCATAAACATAAGGGTAACAAAAATAAAAATATTTTGTAAAGAAGAAAAAACCAAAACCAACTTGCTAAATGACTAGATTCAAAAGTCCTAGAGTATCAAGAAATCACCCAAATGATCAGAGTGGTAACTTCACAGAGCTTGACGTATGATGTCAAAGCTAAACTTCAAAACCACAGATGTTTCCTGGTACTTACAGAAAATTAAGGTAGTTCTGAGATAGACAACAATGGAGTGTGCTTCATTTTCCTTGCAAGATAAAAAATATGCCAAAGCCATCCCAAGTTGTACATATCTAAAGAGGGAATATCTTTCCTCCAAAACGAGCTCATTCTCCTTTTCTTTATTTAGTTCGGAGGTACCACCATTTACCTCATGAAAGAGAAATTATTTTTCTTCCACTGTCCTCTCCATGTGGCCATAAAATTCTATGTCCTCTTTAATTTTTATTTTTAATGACATCTTTGATATTTCCTGTCTTTTTTGTTTCCCATTTGTACTCCCTTAGTACCAACCCCTATCTCCTTAGGCCTGGAAACAAATCTGCTTCCTAACACGCTGTATTATTCTCCCTGTCAATCCTTCCTGCATGTTATCGATGAATAATTCTGCTTAAAATGATAATTTTGTCAAATCATCTCCTTGCTCAAAAACTTTCATGATTTTAATCCATAGGATAAAATTTCAATTTCTTAGTTGAGCTCTTAAGATCTCCTACTACTGACCCCAATTAATCTTACCAACAGCTTTCCAATCTGAAGCAGCTCCCCTAGCCAAACTGTCATGCTTGGCCCTGAGCAGCCTCTGCCTTTGCTCACATGGTTTTTCCTCAAAGAATTCTCTCCTCCTTACTGTCTGCCTATTTAAATTTTATTCACATTCCAAGCCCTAGTTCAACAGCAGGGAGCCTTTGCTTTTCTCCTTTACTGTTTATTCTACTTATTTGGCTTCCAGTCAAATACAATCCCTTATAGCTGCTCTTGATTTAGTGTTTTTGGCTAAGTGTTCATGGCTTTATGTGTGATTATGGGCCAGGGATGGCATAGATTTCAGATCTCATATTAATTCTGAGTGACAGCATCGGCTGCCTACAGAGCTCTGAGAAGGACTCATAAAGCTCATTGCGAGTTACCGAGTACAAAATCGATTATCAATGTCTGCCATGGGCAGAGAATGGTAAATGGCAGCTTGTGTGCTAAGTCCTTGTCTCTGCCTTATCTAAGCTACTTAAAGCTGCTGAGGTTTTCTTATTTGAAAAAAATGAAAAGTTTGAATCAGATAATCTGTAAATTCCTTTCAATTAAAACACTGTTCAGTGGAATAGTAAGGTAAAACTCAGATTATGTCATGTTATGAAGGAAGCAGATACTGAGAAAATGAAAGCAACTATAAAACAAGAAAGAAGTAGGACAAAAGGAGGTGGCATGATTAGGTGAAAAGTCCTTTTAAAAAAACTAGCACATAAGGACATAAAAGAAAAAAGAAACGTATTTTTTGTTTATTTTATTACAGGTTATTTTCATACTGTGCTTATATCATAGGCTTTGCGAATGAAAGAAAATCATATCTAAACCTTAAAATATTCACTTTCAATATAAATATTTTACGTACATAGCAAAATCTTTCTGTAATTATTAGTAAAACAAGTATGAAACTAAAATGCAGAAAAATAAACAATCGAACACTTTAAAATGTAGCCACCTCCTCCTGCAAATTCTTTCCTCTCAGCTATCCTTTAATGTCTGGGGTTGAGGATAAAGGCAAGGAACGGGAGCTACTTTTCTTGCTCATCTCATCTTGGTTCATAGTGCAGTTCCCGAGCCAATTCCTGAGAACTGCAGGTGGGAGTGGGCTGGGGGTGAGATGGACAAGACAGGAATGGTATGAAGCCCCTTTTCTTTCTTCATCCTACTTGGGCCAACTCTGCTGTCTTCACTTATCTCTGGATAGAGGGAGAGGAGAAGGAAGAGATAAAAAATGTATTGACTGCCTGCTTTATGCTTGGCTCTGTAATATTTTGTATTTTCATTTCAGTGACAAGAAGGACAATTCGCTCTTCTTTTGTAGCCACCTACAATTTATTCCCATTTAAGCTGGGTCCTCCAGACTCAAGGTCTAGCCAAATTGCTTGCCATTTGCTTATGCCTGAATTTTCCAAGCTACCAAGATGCTACTTTTCTAGAACTTTTCTGGGGTTGAATCTACTACTATAGTCCTAAGTGACACTATAGACATTGCCTTGGTTTTAGTTTTTTCTTTTTTTGAGACAGGGTCTTACTCACTGTCACCCAGGCTAGAGTACAGTGGCGTGATCTTGGGTCACTGCAACCTCCGTCTCCTGGGTTCCAGTGATTCTCCTGCCTCAGCCTCCAGAGTAGCTGGGATTACAGGCATGCAGTACCACGCCCAGCTAATTTTTGTATTTTTATCATTTATTTATTTTTTTGAGACGGAGTCTCTGTCTTGCCCAGGCTGGAGTGCAGTGGCATGATCTCCACACACTGCAGCCTCTGCCTTCCAGTTTTAAGCAATTCTCCTGTCTCAGCCTCCCAAGTAGCTGGGACTACAGGTGTGTGCCACCACAGCCAGGTGATTTTGTATTTTTGGTAGAGATGGGGTTTCACCATGTTGGCCAGGCTGGTCTTGAACTCCTGACCTCAGGTGATCCACCCGCCTTGGCATCCCAAAGTGCTGGGATTATAGGCGTGAGCCACAGCGCCCAGCCTTTTATTTTTTTTTTGAGACAAGGTCTTGCTTTGTCGCCCAGGCTGGAGTGCAGTGGTGCAATCTCGGCACACTGCAACCTCTGCCTCCTGAGTTCAAACGACTCTCCTGCCTCAGCCTCCCAAGGAGCTGGGATTATAGGCGCCCACCACCATGCCTGGCTACAGGAGGCAGAGGTTTCACAGTAGAAACGAGGTTTCACCATGTTGACCAGGCTGGTCTGGAACTCCTGACCTCAGGTGATCCACCCACCTCGGCTTCCCAAAGTGCTGGGATTACAGGTGTGAACCACTGCACCTGGCCTTTCTCTTCTCTATAACATTCAATTCAAATCATGAGAAAATACATTATCTGAACTAATTTCAAATAGTCTTTTTGTGGTTATATGTAGAATTTAGATGTTTCTTGTTATGGGTGTCAATGGGGAATCTTGTTCTCTATCCACCTCTCCATCCTTTTAACTGTTCATATAAGGAAACCAAACACATAGATGACAACTTTCTATTAGTACCTGAACAATGCCTACAGTCTAAACAGATTAGCAGAAAGAAATAGGTTATAGAAACTGGGAGGAAACAGTAGCTTCATAAAACCTGACATACCTCACTAGGTGCTAAAGTATCTTATTTCAGATTTATTTGGAAATGGAATTTGTTCTTCTACAAGTAATCAAAGTGCTCATTTCTGAATGGGAAGTAAAAGAACTGTAAAGGGTCCTAGTGGCCTTTTAATTGCAAAGAAATAAGCACATGGTAACTCAGTTTCTATGGAAAAGGGTCACACTCATCAAACAAAAAGTGGTTGACGCCAAGTCTGTATCTTCCACCAGGGAACTGTGAGAACCCAATTTTAAGAAACCTTATGAAAGCACAGACCTGGTACTTACCATATGTACCCTTTAATACATAGAAGATGGCAAGATTTAAGAAAGGTAATCATTCTAATTGCTGGTAATATCTCTTTATGTTTTCTCTCTGGAGAAAAGCTATGTTTATAGTTTTAAAACACTGTATGAAACTAAGTCATAAATATTTAAATGATGGCATCAGGCTAACCTTAGATCATAAAGGTCCAAGGATAATCTGGCAAATCTTAATAACTCCTGATTCCCTAGTGTGCTTCTTTAGAACAAAATTTTTAAAGCCCATCAACAGGCCTGTGTGAAGCCAAACAGATCCCAAGCCCACCTCTTCATGAACATTCAGGAAGACACTACACTAAAGATGTTTGTTTCTGATCACCAAGTACAATTTCCCTCTTGGGAGTCTATTAGGTTGTTCTGAATTTGTAATTTCCTTGAAGCACTGTCACTTTTAATAGGTATGTGTCTTGCCAGAATATGCTCACTTCATTCTGACAGTGACAGAAAGCTCATTAATGAAGTAGTCTGACCAGTTTCTGTCTAAAAGTACGAAGAAAGGAAAAACTGCCTTTAAAAGGCTGTGTATTATACATAATGTTGCTCACTAAATAATAAATTCAAAAATTGTCATTTTTGCTTTGATAGTTCTGAAAACCACTACTGATAAAGGAGCTTTACACATCCACTTTGCCCTTTCGTCTTCATTTACCTGTCAGGATGAATAGAAGAGAGCACAAAGACAAGGAGAATGACATCCAGGATCCCATCTGGAAAAGGGTAAGGTAAGCCATCATCACATACATCATGAACAAAGGCAAAACACTGGGTTGCTCTGTAGGACGAGTGTGACTGTCATGATAAAGGAACAGAAAGCAAAAAGAGGACTTAGTAGACTTCCGGGATTTTTTTTTTTTTAAATAAAAAGGTCAAATTTTTAACCTTTTCTCCCAAAAGCCTTTCCTCTGTCAGTCTGAACACTTTTTTCCAATTCAGTATTGTTAGCTTATTTCAAGCTGCCCTAAAAAAATTAAGGCTAGCTCTTGGCCTTGATAACAAATATCCTTCGCAATCCCTCTTTAACTTTAAAAGTAGAGGAGGGTAGGCTTTCTGAGTTAGTAGACAGTGTTGTTAGAGGCCTGCTCTGGGTTGCTGTTTCTGAACTTAAAGAGGTTCTGTTTGGACTACGATTATTCATGGGCAGGCATACATTCTAAATTTTGTAGGTCAGTACCCTTTCTGGTCATTTCTTGTGTGTTGTTGGCCTTTCTTTCTTTCTTTTTGAGACACAGTCTTGCTCTGTCACCAGCATGGAGTGCAGTGGCGCAATCTTGGCTCACTGCAACCTCCGCCTCCTGGGTTCAAGCCATTCTCCTGCCTCAGCCTCCCAAGTAGCTGGGATTACAGGCACCCACCACCATGCCCAGCTAATTTTTGTATTTTTAGTAGAGACGGGGTTTCACCATGTTGGCCAAGATGGTCTCGATCTCCTGACCTTGTGATCCGCCTGCCTCGGCCTCCCAAAGTGCTGGGATTACAGGCGTGAGCCACCATGCCTGGCGCTGTTGGCCTTTCATCTTTTTTTTTTTTTGAGACAGTCTGCTCTGTCACCCAGGCTGGAGTGCTGTGGCACGATCTTGGCACACCGCAACCTCCACCTCCCAGGTACAAGCGATTCTCGTGCCTCAGCCTCCCAAATAGCTGGAACTACAGGCACGTGCTACCACAGCCAGCTAATTTTTTTATTTTTAGTAGAGACAGGGTTTCACCATGTTGGCCAGGCTGGTCTCAAACTCCTGACCCCAGGTGATCCACCCACCTTGGCCTCCCAAAGTGCTGGGATTACAGGTGTGAGCCACCACGCCCTGCCTCTAGTGATCTTAAAATCAAAACAACTTTTATTGTTCTGGGGTAATACCTTAGGCATCAGTTGGTATGATTCCCAGGAGTAGCATACCTTTACGAGCTCCACAGCTCCAGAAGCAAAATCACAACAATACAGAAAGGACTCCGGAGAGTTCCTATGAAGATGGAAGAAATATTTATTTATTTTTTTGGAGACAGGGTCTTGCGCTGTTGCCCAGGTTGGAGTGTAGTAACGTGACCATAGCTCACTATAACCTTGAGCTCCTGGACTCTAGCGATCTTGCTTCCTCAGCCTTCTGAGTAGCTAGGACTACAGATGTGCCTCACCATGCCCAGCTAATTTTAGATTTTTTTGTAGAGATGGGGTCTCACTATGTTGCCCAGGCTGGTCTTGAACTATTGTTCTCAAATGATCCTCCTGCCTCAGCCTCTCAAACTGTCAGGATTATAGGTGTGAGCCACTGTGCTCGGCCAGAAGAAATATTTATATCTGGAGTCTAGAAATACTCAAACTAGAGAAGAAAGGAAACTGTAGGTCTGACTTGTTAATAAGTTATTTCCACCCCCGCCCCTCAGCTTTTTTTTTGAGACAGGGTCTCGCTCTGTCACCCAGGCTGGAGTATAGTGGCACAATCACGGGTCACTACAGCCTCGACCTCTGGGGCTCAAGTGATTCTCCCGCCTCAATCTCCCGAGTAGCTGGAACTACATACAGATGTATGCCACTGTGCCTGGCCAATAGGTGGTATGATTTTTAATTGGACTCTTCTTAACTTAAATATGTTCTGTTTGGCCTTTATCTGAAATTCAGTAATGATGGCTGGACCATGGTTACTTAAGGCAGCCATATACTCTGAAATTTGTAGACTAATACTCCTCTTGATTATACTGTGTATGCTGGTATCAAATAATCCTTGCATCATGTTGCTTAGTACCATGTCTGAACTACAGAAAGAGGTCAGCATGTCATTAAACAGTAAGGATGGTCCTGGCTCTCATGGGTTTTATAGTCTAGTTGGGGACATAATTGGTTTTATACAACTTCTACAGGGGTGTCAAGAGGGTCAGCACCCTGAGGTATAAGTCTTAAAATTTCTGAAGGAGGAGGATGTATTGTTAAGTGAGGAGAAGGGGAAATGGTTGAAGAGTTTAGAAGTGGGAGTCACATGCCAGGGATGAGAAGTAGCACTAATCCTGAGAGCCCAAACTGGTATATGGCAGGATAAAAAGGTGGGCCTTGAAGCATATCATTAAGACTTCTAATCTGACTCAAGAAGCATTCCAAGCAAGGTGAACCTCTAAATAAATATGGAATTTATTTAGCTAAATAAATATGCATTTAGCAAAATCTGACCCAGGTGCAGGTTATACTCTTTTTTTTTCTTTTCTTTTTTTTTTTTGAGACCCCAGAGTTTCGCTCTTGTTGCCCAGGCTGGAGTGCAATGGTGCAATCTCGGCTCACTGCAGTCTCCGCCTCCTGGGTTCAAGCAATTCTCCTGCCTCAGCCTCCCAAGTAGCTGGGATTACAGGCATGTGCTACCACGGCCGGCTAATTTTGTATTTTTAGTAGAGACAGGGTTTCACCATGTTGGTAAGGCTGGTCTTGAACTCCTGACCTCAGGTGATCCACCCACCTTGGACTCCCAAAGTGCTGGGATTACAGGAGTGAGCCACCGCACCTGGCCTCAGATTATATTCTTAAAGGCAACTCATTGATGAATAACTATGATAACATATAATTCACTCATTCTATGGCACTAGGGATTTGCATTCAATTTAAGATCTATCCAAATAAGTTAAAGTATGATTAATAGGATTTTGTTATGAAAAGCTAACCAGTACTGAATCAAAGTTAAAACTCATACTGCTTGGTCTTTTCTCATCTGTCAAACATAAAAATAGCACTTTACTTCAGCATGTTCCCCTGTTTTTTTCTGATTAAATCCATATAATTGTGACTTGTAATTTGCTGGGTGTTTGAAATGTATTTGAAATGTTCTCAGTAAACACTCAGCACTATGTGGCTAATGGTTAAGGGCAGGGGCTTTGGAACAAGACTGCCTAAGGTTTGAGTCTCAGCTTTACTACATAGTTGCATGACCTTGGGCTAGTTGCTTAATCTCTTCTTTAATTCAATTCCCTCATCTTTAAAAAAAGAGATAAACATGGCATCTAAGATGGTTGTTTGAAGTGAATGGATTCTTATAGCTAAAGTTTCCAGAAAGGTGCCTGATTCAGAGTAAGCACTCAATAAATGTTAGTCATTATTATAATTGTTGTTGCTATTATTATCATCACTATTATTATTAAAGGAGATTGTTTTTGCCTTCCAGGAGCTTAAAAACTAACATAGTCCTCTAAAACAAAACAAAACAAAACAAAACAAAACAAAACAAAAACCAAAAAACTTCCATATAGTTCAAAATGCTTTTCTGGACACTGGTATGTCTAGCTCATTATAAAAGGTCTGCAGTCTACCTTTGGGCAGTAGTTACCACATACCCATAAGATATAGAACAGTCTACGAGCTAAAGGAAAGCATGTGCCATATGCCATGTGTCCTGCCACGGTGGCAGCATGACCTCTAAGATGGAATTCCCACTGTATCAGCAGCCCAAGGTGATGTCTTGTGACCACCCAGTGACTTTCCAGAACCTTTCTGTAAAATCAGCTGACTACCTTGGCTCTTCTCCCAGCAAACAGGTGTAAATATCACTACTACCACCACACCACCAAGCACTCTCTTGGCAGGGGTCTATGAATTAAATGATCCTTGGAGAATGATATGACCTCTCCATTTCAGAGGTCTAATTATGGTAAAATATTCTGAAAATGTAAAACATTAATCCTACACTCTCTAAAAGTAGTAAAACATAATTTCTTAAGCAGAAAAAAAAAGTCTAATAATTCCTTTGGAAGGCTAATCACTGGTTGCCTTTAAAAGATGAATTAATTATCTGAGGTTATTGAGCTACAGTAATTTCTAAAACATAGGTATGAGGCAAAGAAAGACAGAGCTAAGAAGAAAGAGTTAGGGAGTGAGGAACCAAGAGCTTGCAATTATAAGCTGAAGGGAGAAGCAGAGGTGAAAAATACAACTAGCAAGTGGGGGAATGAGAGATATTAATCAGGCAATATGTATTGAGCTCCAACTAAGCTGTACTGTTAGGCAACCTGGGAAATCAGATTAGGATAAAATATGCCCTCTACCTTAAGGAATATAAAAAGTGGTCGGAGAGACAAGGCATAAATAAATGACATGCTAAATAATACCTTGAGATCAGTCATAAAGTAACACACAATCAACTGCCAATGTAGTGTATTTACGTGTATTATAAGCTCAGAGACCACTGGGGTAAAGGAATATGGCTATGTGACATAAGCAAGTTTGAAATTTCAGCCCAGAAACTAGAAAAAGGAAAACAAAACTAACAAAGACACAAACAGAAAGGACATTCAGAACTGTAAATTTACCAGCATCACCCAGGCCTGGCCACATTAACTGGTTATTAAATGATAGTAGGAAACTACTCACTATTCATTATGTTAGGTTTATAATAATATTAGAGAGTATACTGAGTTTTGGGAGATATATCCTGAATAATCAAGGATAAAGTATCATGATGTTGGCATTATATTGGTAATTGTTGAATTGAGGTGTTAGGCATATGGAAATTCACTGTACTCTTTGCTTTTCTGAATGTTTTTTAATTAAAAAAATTTTTTTTGAGACAGAGTCTCTTGCTCTGTCACCCAGGCTGGAGTGCAGTAGTGCGATCTCAGCTCACTGCAACCTCCACCTCCTGGGTTCAAGCAATTCTCCTGCCTCAGCCTCCCGAGTAGCTAGGATTACAATTGTGCACCACCACACTCAGCTAATTTTTGTATTTTTAGTAGAGACAGGGTTTCACCATGTTGGCCAGGCTGGTCTCAAACTCCTGACCTCAAGTGATCTGCCTGCCTCGTCCTCCCAAAGTGCTGGGATTACAGGTGTGAGCCACCGCACCAGGCCCCAGATGCTTTTACATTTTAATAATAAAAAGTTTAAAAGATCACATCATTTAAAAATATGCATAAAGACTGAAAGGAATTAAAACAAAAATTTTGTCAGTGGCTATGTTAGGATGATGAGTGATTCCCTCCCTCTCCTTTTCCTCTAATGGAAATGTTCTGCAACGTGCTAATGCTGATTTTATAATGGAAAAATAATGTGAACTTAAAAAAAATGTGTAAACTTAAAAAAGAATAGAGCTTGGCAGATTGGCCATAGATAAAAGGTGTTTGAAGAGTTTTGTGTGTTCATCATGGAAAAAGTAAAAGACACAGGTGAAATGGTGAACAGGAAGGGTGAGCCTGGAGCAAATCTCTGTCCCTGTAGTCAAACTCTGCTTTTTTTTTTTTTGAGACAAAGTTTCGCACTGTTGCCTGGGCTGGAGTGCAGTGGCGCATCTCAGCTCACTGCAACCTCCACCTCCTGGGTTCAAGCAATTCTCCTGTCTCGGCCTCCCGAGTAGCTGGGATTACAGGCGCCCGCCACCACACCCAGCTAATTTTTTGTATTTTTAGTAGAGATGGGGTTTCACTATGTTGGCCAGGCTGGTCTCGAACTCCTGATCTCGTGATTTGCCCGCCTTGGCCTCCCAAAGTGCTGGGATTACAGGCATGAGCCACCACGCCCGACTGCTTTTTTTTTTTTTTTTTTTTTTTTAGACGGAGTCTCACTCTGTCGCCCAGGCTGGAATGCAGTAGCGAGATCTCGGCTCACTGCAAGCTCGGCCTCCCGGGTTCACGCCATTCTCCTGCCTCAGCCTCCCGAGTAGCTGGGACTACAGGCGCCCGCCACCACGCCTGGCTAATTTTTTGTATTTTTAGTAGAGACGAGGTTTCACCGTGTTAGCCAGGATCGGCTTTTTTGAGTCTTAGGATTAGTTGCTGCTACCTCCAAACAATTTTAAGCCTAGACACAATGATTTGGCATGCAAACATCTTACATAGGGTGTTGCTTCAGAAGGGATGACAAAATGAGGCTTAAGTTGTAAGCTTTACATTCAATTGTCTATGTGTAAAATGACATCTAAGTATCTAGGGAGAGTAAATAATCTCTGAAGTTTAGCAGTTCACAGCTCAGTGGAAGGATGAAATCACTTCCTCTTTTTTTTTTTTTTTTTTTTTTTGAGACTGAGTTTTGCACTTGTTGCCTAGACTGGAGTGCAATGGCGCAGTCGGGTCACTGCAAACTCTGCCTCCTGGTTCAAGCAGATTCTCCTGCCTCAGCTTCCCAAGTAGCTGGGATTACAGGCATGCGCCACCATGCCTGGCTAATTTTGTATTTTTAGTAGAGGTGGTGTTTCACCATGTTGGTCAGGCTGGTCTTGAACTCCTGACCTCAAGCGATCCACCCGCCTCAGCCACCCAAAGTGCTGTGATTAAAGGCATGAGCCACCATGCCCAGTCTGCTTCCTCTTTTCTTATTCTCTCATCCATATACACATAAGCTTAAAAAATTACTTCAAAACAATGATGGACAACCCATGGCTACGAAACACTATTTTCAGAGTAATTCCCAGTTCACATGAAAGTAGACATTGAGATTAAGACATTTCTTTTGAAATTTGCTTGAGCCATTGTTCATATAAGAATTAGAAACACTACTGGCATACACGTGACAATATTTTCCCAGAATTTCTCAACATTCCATAAATATGTAAAATTCTGTAGAAAGAAAACTCTTAAAACTCACTCCAAAGTGTTCAAAATTGGAAACACACTATTTCCAGCTCCACAACCAACCTAAAATCAAAAGAACAAGCAAATATCAAAAAAAGCAAGGTTAAATTTTTGTCACCAATGTCAGATCTCCTATTAAAGAAAAAAACAATTAGACTTACTGGATCTCTGGGCACAGGATAATTTTCTAAACTCAAAAGCAATGAAATAAATCACAGGAATAAACACTAAGAAATCTGACTATGGAAACATTTAAATTTTTTACACACCAAAACCCAAAATAAACCAAATTTAAAAATAACCAATACGCTGTGAAGAAAACTGCAATGAATATGATAAAGGGCAAGGCTCATTAGGAAAAAAAAAAAAACAGATAAGCAGAGAAAATAAATGGACAGAACAAAAAAGAAGTACAAATGATTCTAAACATTTGAAGTATGTGACCTACTTAGTCATCAAAGAAACGCATATTAAAACAAGGTACAATTTTTGTCTAACAAAGTGGAAAACATTAAAATAATACTTCAATCAATGAGGGTGTGATGAAACAGACATACACTGTCATGGAATGGTATTAGTACAACTTCTTAGAAAGCAAGTGGGCAATATGTTTTAAAAGTATTAAAAATCTTCATAAATTATGAACTAGAAAATCTAACCTAAAACAATAAAAGAAAATGCAGGTAAAGGCTATACCCAAAATGTTTGCTTCAGAAAATCTGAAAACAATTAAAATGCCCAGTAGTGTGAAAATAGATAAGTAAAATTATAGTACTCCACATAGTAAAATATTTTGTAGCCATCAAAATATTTACAGAGAATTTTTAAAGATAGTGAAAACTGCTTATGATGCCATGTTAAATAGAAACAAACAAAACTTAGAATACATGTACAGTAATAAAAGAAGAAAAAGGTCAGCCAGGCACAGTGGCTCATGCCTGTAATCCCAGCACTTTAGGAGGCTGAGGCGGGCGGATCACCTGAGGCCAGGAGTTCAAAACCAGCCTGGCCAACGTGGCGAAACCCTGTCTCTACTAAAAATACAAAAAAATTAGCTGGGTGTGGTGGCAGGCGCCTGTAATCCCAGCTACTCAGGAGACTGAGGCAGGAGAATTGCTTGAACCCGGGAGGCAGAAGCTGCAGTGAGCTGAGATGGCGCCACTATACTCTAGCCCGGGCAACAAGAACAAAAGTCTGTCTCAAAAAAAAAAAAAAAAGAAGAAAAAGGTCACTAAAATGTTAACAGTGGTGAAATCCTTTGTTTGTAGGATTGGTGATAAATTATCTCCTTGTTAGCAAATTTTCTATAATCAATATACATTGCCTTTAAAATAAGAAAGACAGGGTTTAGTTTTAAAAATAGAAAACCAAGGTCTACACCAGATTATAGCAAATTATATATCTCACTTATTTCTATTTCATCTAAAAAGGGGTAATAACAAAGAGAGTAAAAATTAAGGCCAAAGCTTCATTGGTACTTAAAACTGCCCTCAGATTAAAATGAAAACAGACAATTTTTTTTTTTTTAAAAACCAGCAAAACCAGATTTAAACCACAAACTTAAAACTTGACTGATTAAAGACATGAGTCCCTTAGATATTATTTATGCACAGAAGTACACTGAATGCTTATTTACATTTGATAGTTTTCCACCAAAAAAAATCTGGATTTTTAATAAAATAATACAGAATGTACATTTTCAAATTATTTGTCACCTCCCATTTTTGTCCCTTGAGCACAATACCTCTAGTATCCTGAAAGTGGCATTGCTACCAGGAAACAATCCAGTCTCCATAGGTCCTTTTTTGTGTTTTTCAGAGTCTAGGTTGGAAAAATCAGATTCTGTTTTGCTTTGACCTTCTGAAGAACCAGAACTTTTCTCATAATGATTTTTTTCATCAGGCACAGTAGGACAGTGCATTCTTGAGAAACGATTTGTAGCACTAGTTTTTACATGATCCCATGATGATTCTCTCGCCTTCTCTTCAGGTTTTTGATCAACTGGAAGAATTTCAGGAAATTCCCTCAACAGCCAATTACGATCCTTGAAAAACTTATTCTTATGAATCTTGTAAAATGTGTCCCAGTATTTACTAGCTTCTCTCTCATACTTAACTAAAATAAAGAGGAAAAAGAAAGATTTATTTTACTACGAATTATATTTACTATTAGCTACTGTCTTGATAATTGTTAAACATATACATTATCATTTATAACAATTATATTTACAAATGAATAACTTTAATATTATAATATTTTAATCTATCTGATAAAAGGTTGAAACTACAGAGCTTTAATTCTCTCAAAATGTGTCAAAATGTGGGATATTTAGTCCTACCCCTGTGAATCTGCTTTTATCTTAATAGTTTAGCCAATTTTTGTGAGAAATATAATCACTGCAAACAACTTTCTAATTTTATCTTAACAATCACATTGTTACCAATAAGCTGTGTGGTTTTTTATTATCTTAAAGAAAGGTCCAGGCGCGGTGGCTCATGCCTGTAATCCCAGCACTTTGGGAGGCTGAAGCGGGTGGATCACGAGGTCAGGAGTTCGAGACCAGCCTGGCCAACATAGTGAAACCCCATCTCTACTAAAAATACAAAAAGTTAGCCGGAGGTGGTGGCAGGTGCCTGTAATTCCAGCTACTCAGGAGGCTGAGGCAGGAGAATTGCTTGAACCTGGGAGGTGGAGGTTGCAGTGAGGTGAGATTGCACCATTGTGCTCCAGCCTGGGCAACAAGAGTGAAACTCTGTCTCAAAAAAAAAAAAAAAGAATGAGGGCTGGGCACGGTGGCTCATACCTGTAATCCCAGCACTTTGGGAGGATGAGGCAGATGGACACTTGAGGTAAGGAGTTCAAGACCAGCCTGGCCAACATGTTGAAACTCCATCTCTACTAAAAAAATAAAAATTAGCTGGGTGTGGTGGCAGACACCTGTAATCGCGGCTCCTCAGGAGGCTGAGGCAGGAGAAATGCTTGAACCCGGGAGGAGAAATTTGCAGTGAGCAGAGAACACGCCATTGCACTCCAGCCTGGGCAACAGAGTGAGTTGTCTCAAAAAAAAAAAAAAAAAAAAAAAGAGCCTGGAGCAGTGAGACAGAGTGAGACCCTGTCTCAAAAATTAATAAATAAACAAATAAAAGAAAGGACACCTTATTTTTAATGTATTTACAAATACAATTTCAGCATAAATGCAAATTGGTGATCAGACAGGAAATTTCAAAATTATAAACAACATAATTTAAGAGCTAAAAGGGTCCATTGGAACAATTTACTCCAACCTCCCTTTTTGCATTTGAAGAAAGGACCTAAATCCACTTGTTCCAAGTCCTAGAGCCCCATCACAGTGAATCCATGGCCATGTCTCCTGACTTTTGGAATCTGGAGGCCATCCCGTAACTCCATTCTTCCCCCAACCTCCAAGGCATCTCTTCCTACTGACATCTCCCAAGATGAAGCCTTAAAGAAAATTTCTGATGCTCTTAAAACAAATATGCATTTTATGATGTCATCCTGTGGTCAGGGTTAGGTCAATAGTCTCAGAGCTTCAGGTAATTCTTCGCTTTCTGCCTCTTCCTATTTGCTCCTTAAATTAATAAAGTAAGGGCCGGGCACGATGGCTCATGCCTGTAATCCCAGCACTTTGGGAGGCCGAGGCGGGCGGATCACGAGGTCAGGAGTTCAAGACCAGCCTGACCAACATGGTGAAACCCCATCTCTACTAAAAATACAAAAATTAGCCAGGTGTGGTGGCAGGCGCCTGTAATCCCAGCTACTCAGGAGGCTGAGACAGGAGAATCACTTGAACCTGGGAGGCGGAGGTTGCAGTGAGCCGAGATCACGCCATTGCACTCCAGCCTGGGCCATAGAGCAAGACTCCGTCTCAAAAAAAAAAAAAAATTAATAAAGTAACCCACTCTCTCCCTCATTTATTCAACAAACATGTCTTTTATTTATTTATTTATTTTATATTTTTAGTAGAGACAGGGTTTCACCATGTGGGCCAAGCTGGTCTCAAACTCCTGACCTCAAGTGATCTGCCTGCCTCCACCTCCCAAAGTGCTGGGATTACAGGCGTGAGCTACTGCGCCTGGCACGTTCCTTTTTTTTCCCTTTTTTTTTTTCCGTGTTCTTGGGCAGTGCTACAGGCAGTAACAATTTCTTGAGTGCTATTATGTAATAGGCCTAATCCACGCATTAGGAATTACTTTAACCTACTGTAGACGCATGCCATTTTAAAAGTGCAAAAGCTTTCTTTCTAGGAATACAGAATAATTTCCAAGATTTGGTGTTAGGTGAAAAAGCAAGGTATATAACAGTGTCTATATTCTGTAACCACTCATTAAAATAAGAAGAAAATACGCATGTATGGTTACATAGAAATATTCATGTACACACACACACACACACACACACACACACACACTTGTAGAAGGTACAAAATACTTCTAGAAGGATAATCACATAATCAGTAATACTGGTTGCCTCTAGGGAGAGGAAAGGAGTGGCTGGGGACCACAGTTGGAAGGAGAATTTTCATTTGAATTTTGATCCATGTGAATTTACTATACATTCCAAAAATAAATTAAACTAAAAATAAAAATAAGAGATGCATTTCCTTCACAATTTTAAAGAAGCCCCTACTCTCAGAACAAGCAGTTGCCTGTAATCAGGTTCATCTTTGTTACAGAACCCTGTCCTGAGGCCCTTATAATTTTCTTCTTTCCAATTTTATCTTTATGGCCTTGTACCGTGGATCTCCACCCATCTGGCCACAAGACTTCCTTCCCATCAAGGCTGAATTGTATCTGGCAGCAGGAATGCTATAAAGACTGAAACTCCCATCTGTATTTAAGGTCTGAGAAATGAAAGTGGATCTTTGTAACAAAAGAATTATGTGATATTAAGTCCAAAACATACTCACCTCTGCACTAATGGAAAGAAACCTATTTATGGTTGATCTGAAACTATATATTTGTCTTTTAAATATTTCTATCTCTATTTTCCTTCTTTTTCAATAATTTTGGTGTATCTCCACTTTTAAAAATTGGAGTGTGCCTGATATACTATGTAAGAAAACAAAATGACACTCTGAAAATCAGACTCAGGAGAAATTATAAAAGAGTCAAATTTCTCCAGGGTCTTCTCAAGCTTTCTCTTCTTCCTTTACCTTAAAAAAAAAAAACTCTCTTTGTAACTCATTCCATGCAGGTAAAAGATTTTCTGCCTAACAAAAAGCAGCCATCTAAGAAGACTTATATTTAGTGAAATCTCTAGTATTTGAGTTTACAATATCAAGCTACTTGTGAAGTGTGTTTGAGCCCAATTACCAGTAACTAGAATGTACTGTAATACTACTATATCTTGATTAATTTGTGGGAATATTCCTCTAGGAATTAAGTGGGGTGGGGGAAGTACAGGGGAGTAACCTAATAAAAGATGTGCATAGCGGCCAGGCGAGGTGGCTCATGCCTGTAATCCCAACATTGGAAGGCCCAGGCAGGAGGACCACTTGAGGCTAGGAATTCAAGATGAGCCTGGACAACAAAGCAAGACCCTGTCTCTACTTAAAAAAAAAATGTGTGTATAGCAGTTCTATTTATATTAGGAAAAAGTGGGGAAAACTCAAATGCCCAACAACATGGGAATGAGCAAGCAAACCATGCAGTTCAAACAGGGTAACCTTATGTAGCAATTTAAAAATAAAAGATAATAAGCGGGGCATGATGGCTCATGCCTACAATACCGGCACTTTGGGAGGCCAGGGAGGGCAGATCACCTGAGGTCAGGAGCTCGAGACCGGCCTGACCAACATGGAGAAACCCCATCTCTACTAAAACTACAAAATTAGCCGGGTGTGGTGGTACATGCCTGTAATCCCAGCTACTCAGGAGGCTGAGGCAGGAGAATTGCTTGAACCCGGGAGGCGGAGGTTGCGGTGAGCTGCGATCGTGCCATTGCACTCCAGCCTGGGCAACAGGAGTGAAACTCCATCTCAATAAATAAATAAATAAATAAATATAAAAAATAAAATAATAAAGGAAAATAATATTAAGAGAAAATACACAGAATAGTATATACATTGATGGCAGCTCTAAAATTTATTTTATAGTCATTCATAACAATAAGTTGAAAATTTGAAGCAATGATAACAATTTAATCATTATTAGGTAGCTCTTTCTTTTGCAAAGCTGTATCTACTTCTTACACAAAGATTAAAGAATCTTAGCTGAATTCTTCATTCAAATTGCCTACAGAATTTCCTCATTTGATGAAAGGTTTGAATTAGAGTAGTATCTCTAAAGTCTGTTTAAGCTCTAAAAATTCTGTGTACTTTCCTATTAAGCGCCATGAATTTATGGAGAACATTAAACATTATCAGTTCTACAGACTACAAAATCTTGGATCAGATTGCCGTTTTAAACATGAGTCTGTACTACTGTTTTAATTTTTACAATTTAAAGAGAAAATGAATCTGTAGTGACGTGACTGCAATCTGGTTCAGAAACCAAACATGTCAAGCATCTAAATTCAACTCTAGCCTATGTAATATTAGAAGGCAATAGTCAGGGTTTGCTAATATACCTATTTTCAAGCCTTTTCCAACTATTTCCCACTCAGGAATTAGGAGAAAAGAAATCAGATAATTACATAAATTATACCAATAATAGTAGCATTAAAAATGACAAGAATAACACATATTACGTGTTTATTATGGGCTACGCACTATGTCAAATGCTTTACTTGGATTTTTCCCCCATTTAATCCTAGCAGTATCTCTCAGATAGATTTTATTATTCCAATTTGCAGAGAAAGAAATTCAATGTCAGAGGAAATAAAGAATTTCCCCAAGGTCACCCAGCCAGAAAGAACAGAGTCAAGACCTAGCCTAAGTCTGCTAAACTCTAAAGCCCACGCTCTCACCCATTACACTACACTGCCTCCCGAACACAAAGTCAATATGAACCCCCTGAAAATCATCTCTGCTTTTCTGATTCATACTTTCTTCTCAATTATGAAGTATCAAGTTGAAATTAAAACCTCAGTGTGGCTTACAATCAGTGTAACTACATTGTAAAAATAATGCTGATTGGAGTTACCCTTCATTAAGACAGATCAGAAATACATAATTAATTAAACTGCATACTTTAAATTATAAGAAATATAAACCATGCAGTTATATGATGAAATGATGAGCAATAGGAACATTAAATGCTCTATGAGAATATATGGGTTTGTGGGACAGAAACAAAACAGAGAAGCAGCACCAGTGTCTGGAATTTGGCTTTCAGCAGCTTCTCCAATCAATGCTGGCAACTCCATAGTTCCCAGTAATGTGTGAGAGCTTCTGAGACCCCACAGCTTGGTCAATCATCATAATTATGATTATGAGACAACAAACACCTTCAGTGTATGATTTAATTTCCTGAACTGCAAGAGTATCTGTGTTAACAGGGGAATTGGAGGAATTACTGCTCTGACCATGAGTAAAAAATTCAGTATCAAGCTGCTGGTAAGGCAGGTCAGGAATGATAAAATAATATAGCGTGGAGAAATCTGCCCTGTCTTCATCTTGTTTAACTGACTTTCTAAACAGGTGTATTAATGACAAATTTTTCTTGGAGGAAAATTTTTTTTCTTTCCTAGGTTGGTGATTCAGAGTTAACTGCTTTATGCCAGTGGCAGTAAGAGGGATGTAGCGATCTGTTTAACTACAGCCCAATGAAGCAACTTCTCAATTATTCACTTATTAAATTCAATATTGCTGAGGGAAAGAAGGAATATGCACGCTAACCATCCTTAAATATTCAGAATTCATTCTGAATCACACTCAACATCACAACTAAGAAATTGAATTAAACCATTTATGTATGACATATATAATATGATTAATATGAATTATGAAAATTTATTCTAAGTTTCCATGTAATAAAAAGCAATTTAAAGTTATTTTTGCACATCAATTACGCAAATACCTGAGCTCTCAAAGTTGGAAATTTCCACACATCAGTGAGAAAATTCATTGTCTAATAAAAGAAAACTCTTAAAAACTATGAAATTAAAAGTATGTTTCTAAGAGCACTGCATAAAATTTTAAACAAGCAAAGCCAACTTATAAACAAATAACCTAAATTTATAAGCATAAAACTTTTAGCTACTCTCTCTATATATTTTTTTCACATAGAACATTTTCTCAATGGTAAGGTATTCACAAAGTAAAGTATAGTGAGACTCATTCTTTTGCTTGACATAGATAACTTTCCATAGGTAGATAGTTAATTACAGGATATTTTAAAGTAAAAATAGCAGCTGCTTTTGTTATTCCATTTAAAAGACTCATTACATTTGCTAAATAACTGAGATATGACACACTGGAGATGTTTTTTAGGAAATTATAAAATATAATTATGTTAACTCAAAAATTGCCAAATGTATCTTTCATTTCTCTGAATTAACTTGCTTTTAAAATAAATTTGAGCTATAGTAAAATTGAAAATAAATTACAAAAAGGAAATGTGGAATTAAAAATCATTAATCTGGGCAATCTTATTGAAAGAAATGAGGGCCTGGATCTATAGTTTTTTTGTTTTTGTTTTTGTTTTTTGAGACAGGGGCTTACTCTGTGCCCAGCCTGGAGTGCAGTGGTGCAATCACAGCTCAGTGCAGCCTTGACCTCCTGGGCTCAAGTGATCCTCCCATCTCAGCCTCCCAAGTAGCTAGGACTACAAGCACGCACAACCACGCCTGGTTAACTTTTAAATTTTTTGTAGAGATGGGGTCTGACTGTTGCTCAGGCTGGTCTCAAATTCCTGGGCTCAAGAGATCCTTCCACCTTGGCCTCCCAAAGTGTTGGGATTACAGGTGTGAGCCACCACATCCGGTCCCAGATGCCATATACATTTTAATCACAAAAATGAAATGTCAACCATCCTGCAGCAAGACTATTATTTGTGATGCATAATTTCTTACTTTCAGATTGTGAGAGTGTTTCCTGACTTCAGTTCTCACCAACAGCTGAGACAATATGTGAGAAATGGGAAATGGGAGTGACAGGAGAGCCTGAGACACACAGAGACCAAAAGAAATGTGCCAGAGAGTTGGCCAGCATGGGAGAACAACCAGTACTTCCTCCCAGTTGCATTAAAATAAAGTGAGATAAGATCAGTAAACAGTGCTCCTGCTGTATAATAATCTGCATATAGAATACTCTGTGATGGGAGAACACTGGCTCTTTCAAAGATTTAGGACTCTCCTAGATAAGAAAAGATGGTGGTTCACAGAGGCACTTGCCGAAGAGCCAGGTCACTGCTTCCTCTGGGGTCTCAGTGTTTGAAAGTAGAGCTTTTAAACAATCTATTTACCTTGACCCATATTCATCAGAGACATTAAATATCAAACCTGAAGCCTCACCCAGGGTGCTGCAGACTGGCACGTCTGTGATCCCTACAGAAATTGCGCTGGATGGCTCTCACTGTAACGTCCTGCCACTCAACATGGTTCCTCAGAACAAAAGTATTCTTCCTTTACCACCCTCCGGGTAGCCTCAGTTATTGCTCTGTGTGCCCTTGCTTACGTGTGATAAGATGGTCACCCCCATAATGTGTTCCTTCTCCCTGCAGTGGTCCCCTGACAGGTATAAAGCCCATCACACTGAAGTGTTACAGAGGGGATGCAGAAGGGACCTAGCAGAAGCCTTTATCTCTTTGAGTCATTTTGAAATGGAATTTTTTGTTCTGTGTCTCTGCAGCAGTCAGAAAACTTGCACAGAAAGAGACTGGACATACTAATAAGCAAATCAAATGCTTCAAAGTGGTATCATCAACCCTCTCCTGCCTGCCTTTCCTGCTTCTACAGAGAGAGGCCAGTCACCACCTTTCTATTTCAGTCACACTACGTACGGTTCTATGGGAACTGTCATTTTCCTTTACTGCGGTTTCCAAGGCCCTAAAATAACCTTCTCATTAGCTTCACCAAGTTCATTGTTAACATAAATAGGACAAAATAGGCAGCCACATACAAACGACTTTAAGGGAACACTATCAGCACTGCTCATCTATTTATGTTCTAAATGGAAATATTCAAAATAGGGCAAAAAAATCCTTGGTTTTTCATATTATCAGGAAATATATTGTGGATAATTTTTAACTTCCTGGAAATGAATTAAGATGGCTGACAACTTTTAATTCAGTTTAGGCTTGACTCTGTCTGTCACATCCAGGTGGCCACCAGCAGAAGCTTGAGTAATGTGGAAAATATGTCTGTGCAGCTGCTGGCAAAGAAGCACAGTTATACTTCTTCAGAAACAGTGTGACAGAGTTCCTGCAAAGGAATGCAATATTGGCTGATTTGTAAGCAGTACTGCCACTGGTATGCACCCTCGAATCCAACCCTAATACTCTCTGGCCATATTCCCCTCAAAGACTTCGTGGTTGAAGCTCATAAAAATAGAATGATGTCATTGTGGATCAGGTGCTCTTCATTTCTGTCCACTCTCCAGGATACAATAAGGAGCTTAGGAGGAGGATGGAGAACTGGCTCTACGGAATAGCAAGTGATACCAGAAGATAAGATAGGTAGGCACTGCCCTCTTCACTAGGTAAGGGCAGCTAATGAGGGCAGTCTCATTAGCTTAGGCTCCCCAACTACTGTTGCTTCAAACTTTGGCCTCAATTTGTAGACTAAAGTCACCAGAACAATAGTTAACTACCAGTGGGATTAGTGATCTTCCTTATACTTGGTTTACACAGAGGAATGCTAACATCTTTCCCTGGGGAGTTCCAGGACAGCTGATCAATCTAGAAACAAAATTCAATCTCAGGGGTTGGAAACCTTTTTCTGTAATGGGCCAGATAGTATTTTAGTCTCTGTGGGCCAGCTGCAGCAGTCTTTGTTGCAACTACTCAACACTGTGACTATAGCTCAAAAGTGACCATAGACAGTATGTCAACAAATGAGTGTGTCTGTGTTCCAATAAACTTTATTCACAAAAACAGGCAGCAGGCTGGATTTCGACCATAGACTAGTTTGCTGACCCTTGCTTCATCTAACGGTTACACTGATGTTGCCACAAGAGTGACCAAAAAATGATAACCAGAACCAAGTTGTTCTGGCAAAACTAATCTATTGTATTAGAAGCCAGAATAGTGGCTCTTATGGGCCACTATTTGTGGGATTAGTGGGGTCAGGGATCAGGGGGAGTACTGTAATTGGGAAGAAGCACATGGAAGCTTCTGGATTAATAGTAATATTCTGTTTCTTGATATGGTTGATGTTTACATAGGTGTGTTAACTTCGTGAAAATTCATTGAACTATGCGAGAATTCATTGATGAGTTGTATAAATTTCTGTGTCTATTTTATAAACTATTTTTAAAAAGAAAAAAAAAGAACCAACATGTTCTAAGGGAGAAATCATTTTAAGAAAAATAAGGCAGAAAGTCCTATAGAGAGAATATAAGAGTTGGGTAAAGTGTCTGTGGGTTCCCAGCTGTGCAATGAGGATGATGCAGGCCAAGTTCTTTTGTTTGTAGTGTGCTTTTTAAAAAAATTGTGATTACAAACCACATAATGTAAAATTTAACATCTTAACTATTTTAAAATGTATAGTTCAGTACTGTTGAGTATATTCATATTGTTGTGAAACAGACCTCCAGGATGTTTTTATCTTGCTAAACTATTAACTACATACCAATTAAATGACAACTCCCCCTTTTATGAAATAACATGAGGTTAAAAAAGTAGATCCCCAAATTATATATGTATTATAATTACAACTGCTTAAAATTATATACACATTGGGTAAAAGTTCTAAATGATGAGCTAAAAACAATTATGTTAGAACAGTAGGATTAAGAGGCAATTGTCCTAAATTTTCTTAATATTTCCCCCATTTCCCGAGCCCTTGGCAACCACCATTTTTCGTTCTATGAATCTGACTACTTTAGATGTCTCAAATAAGTGGAATCATACAGTATCTGTCTTTTTGTGGTGGCTTATTTCACTTAGCATCACGTCCTCAAGGTCCATCCATGTTGTAGTATGTGACAGGATTTCTTTCCTTTTTAAGCCAGAACACGATTCCATTTTATGTATATACCACATTTGTTTTAACCATTCATCTGATGATGGGCATTTTAGGGTACTTCCACCTTTTGCCTATTGTGAATAGTGCTGCTATGAACATAGGTGTGCAAATGTCTCTTTGAGACTTTGCTTTCAAATCTTTTGCATATAACCCAGAGGTGGGATTGCTGGGTCATATGGCAGTTCTATTTTTTATTTTTTTAGGAACTTCCATACTGTTTTCCATAGTAGCCACACCATTTTACAATCTTACCAACAATACACAAGGGCTCCAATTTCTCCAAAGCCTTGTCAATGCCTGTCATTGTCAGGTTTATAAAACATTTATTTATTTTTATTGATATATAATAGATATAAATATTTTCAGAGTACATGTGATAATTTAATACCTTCTAATCAGTGTAACTGGTATATCCATCAACCTAAATATTTGTCTTTTCTTTTATTATTGTTATACTTTAAGTTCTAAGGTACATGTGCACAACATGCAAGTTTGTTACACATGTATACTTGTGCCATGTTGGTGTGCTGCACCCATTAACTCGTCATTTACATTAGGTATATCTCCTAATGCTATCCCTCCCCACTCCCGCCACCCCACAATAGGCCCCAGTGTGTGATGTTCCCCATCCTGTGTCCAAGTGTTCCCATTGTTCAATTCCCACCTATGAGTGAGAATATGTGGTGTTTGCTTTTCTGTCCTCGCGACAGTTTGCTCAGAATGATGGTTTCCAGCTTCATCCACGTCCCTACAAAGGACATGAACTCATCCTTTTTTATAGCTGCATAGTATTCCACGGTGTATATGTGCCACATTTTCTTCATCCAGTCTATCACTGATGGACATTTGGGTTGGTTCTAAGTCTTTGCTACTGTGAATAGTGCCACAATAAACATACGTGTGCATGTGTCTTTATAGCAGCATGATTTATAATCCTTTGGGTATATACCCAGTAATGGGATGACTGGGTCAAATGATATTTCTAGTTCTAGATCCTTGAGGAATCGCCACACTATCTTCCACAATGGTTGAACTAGTTTACAGTCCCACCGACAGTTTAAAAGTGTTCCTATTTCTCCACATCCTCTCCAGCACCTGCTGTTTCCTGACTTTTTAATGATTGCCATTCTAACTGGTGTGAGATGGTATCTCATTGTGGTTTTGATTTGCATTTCCCTGACGGCCAGTGATGATGAGCATTTTTTCATATGTCTGTTGGCTACATAAATGTCTTCTTTTGAGAAGTGTCTATTCATATCCTTTGCCCACTTTTTGATGGGGTTGTTTGATTTTTTCTTGTAAATTTGTTTAAGTTCTTCACAGATTCTGGATATTAGCCCTTTGTCAGATGGGTAGATTGCAAAAATTTTCTCCCATTCTGTAGGTTGCCTGTTCACTCTGATGGTAGTTTCTTTTGCTGTGCAGAAGCTCTTTAGTTTAATTAGATCACATTTGTCAACTTTGGCTTTTGTTGTCATTGCTTTTGGTGTTTTAGACATGAAGTCCTTGCCCATGCCTATGTCCTGAATGGTATTGCCTAGGTTTTCTTCTAGGGTTTTTATGGTTTTAGGACTAACATTTAAGTCTTTAATCCATCTTGAATTAATTTTTGTATAAGGTATAAGGAAGGGATCCAGTTCCAGCTTTCTAATATGGCTAGCCAGTTTTCCCAGCACCATTTATTAAATAGGGAATCCTTTCCCCATTTCTTGTTTTTGTCAGGTTTGTCAAAGATCAGATGGTTATAGATGTGTGGTATTATTTCTGAGGGCTCTGTTCTGTTCCATTGGTCTATATCTCTGTTTTGGTACCAGTACCATGCTGTTTTGGTTACTGTAGGCTTGTAGTATAGTTTGAAGTCAGGTAGCGTGATGCCTCCAGGTTTGCTCTTTTTGCTTAGGATTGACTTGGCAATGTGGGCTCTTTTTTGTTTCCATATGAACTTTCAAGTAGTTTTTTCCAATTCTGTGAAGAAAGTCATTGGCAGCTTGATGGGGATGGCATTGAATCTATAAATTACCTTGGGCAGTATGGCCATTTTCATGCTATTGATTCTTCCTATCCATGAGCATGGAATGTTCTTCCATTTGTTTGTGTCCTCTTTTATTTTGTTGAGCAGTGGTTGGTAGTTCTCCTTGAAGAGGTCCTTCACATCCCTTGTAATTTGGATTCCTAGGTATTTTATTCTCTTTGAAGCAATTGTGAATGGGAGTTCACTCATGATTTGGCTCTCTGTTTGTCTGTTATTGGTGTATAGGAATGCTTGTGATTTTTGCACATTGATTTTGTATCCTGAGACTTTGCTGATGTTGCTTATCAGCTTAAGGAGATTTTGGGCTGAGACAATGGGGTTTTCTAAATATACAATCATGTCATCTGCAAATAGGGAAAATTTGACTTTCTCTTTTCCTAATTGAATTCCCTTTCTTTCTCTTGCCTGATTGCCCTGGCCAGAACTTCCAACACTATGTTGAGTAAGAGTGGTGAGAGAGGACATCCCTGTTTTGTGCCAGTTTTCAAAGGGAATGCTTCCAGTTTCTGCCCGTACGTATGATATTGACTGTGAGTTTGTCATAAATAGCTCTTATTATTTTGAGATATGTCCCATCAATACCTAATTTATTGAGAGTTGTTTTAGCAAGAAGGGCTGTTGAATTTTGTTGAAGGCCTTTTCTGCATCCATTGAGATAATCATGTGGTTTTTATCTTTCCTTCTGTTAATATGTTGGATTACGTTTATGGATTTGTGTATGTTGAACCAGCCTTGCATCCCAGGGATGAAGCCCATTTGGTCATGGTGGATAAGCTTTTTGATGTGCTCCTGGATTCAGTTTGCCAGTATTTTATTTAGGATTTTCACATCAATGTTCATCAGGGATCAGGGATATTGGTCTAAAATTCTCTTTTTTTGTTGTGTCTCTGCCAGGCTTTGGTATCAGGATGATGCTGGCCTCATAAAATGAGTTAGGGAGGATTCCCTCTTTTTCTATTGATTGGAATAGTTTCAGAAGGAATGGTACCAGCTCCTCCTTGTACCTCTGGTAGAATTCGGCTGTGAATCCATCTGGTCCTGGACTTTTTTTGGTTGGTAGGCTCTTAATTATTGCCTCAATTTCAGAACCTGTTATTGGTCTATTCAGGGATTCAACTTCTTCCTGGTTTAGTCTTGAGAGGGTATAAGTGTCCAGGAATTTATCCATTTCTTCTAGATTTTCTAGTTTATTTGCATAGAGGTGTTTACAGTATACTCTGATGGTAGTTTGTATTTCTGTGGGATCAGTGGTGATATCCCCTTTATCATTTTTTATTGCATCTGTTTGATTCTTCTCTCTTTTCTTCTTTATTAGTCTTGCTAGCGGTCTATCAATTTTGTTGATCTTTTCAAAAAACCAGCTCCTGGATTCATTGATTTTTTGAAGGGTTTTTTGTGTCTCTATCTCCTTCAGTTCTGCTCTGATCTTAGTTATTTCTTGCCTTCTGCTAGCTTTTGAATGTGTTTGCTCTTGCTTCTCTAGTTCTTTTAATTGTGATGTTAGGGTGTCAATTTTAGATCTTTCCTGCTTTCTCTTGTGGGCCTTTAGTGCTATAAATTTCCCTCTACACACTGCTTTAAATGTGTCCCAGAGATTCTGGTATGTTGTATCTTTGTTCTCATTGGTTTCAAAGAACATCTTTATTTCTGCCTTCATTTCATTATGTACCCAGTAGTCACTCAGGAGCAGCTTGTGCAGTTTCCGTGTAGTTGGGTGGTTTGGGTGAGTTTCTTAATCCTGAGTTCTAGTTTGATTGCACTGTGGTCTGAGCGACTGTTTGTTATAATTTCTGTTCTTTTACATTTGCCGAGGAGTGCTTTACTTCTAACTATGTGGTCAATTTTGGAATAAGTGTGATGTGGTGCTGAGAAGAATGTATGTTCTGTTGATCTGGGGTGGAGAGTTCTGTAGATGTCTATTAGGTCCACTTGCTGCAGAGCTGAGTTCAATTTCTGGATATCGTTGTTAACTTTCTGTCTCATTGATCTGTCTAATGTTGACAGTGGGGTGTTAAAGTCTTCCATTATTACTGTGTGGGAGTCTCTTTGTAGGTCTCTAAGGACTTGCTTTATGAATTTGGGTGCTCCTGTATTGGGTGCATATATATTCAGGATAGTTAGCTCTTCTTGTTGAATTGATCCCTTTACCATCATGTAATGGCCTTTGTCTCTTCTGATCTTTGTTGGTTTAAAGTCTGTTTTATCAGAGACTAGGATTGCAACCCCTGCTTTTTTTTGTTTTCCATTTGCTTGGTAGATCTTCCTCCATCCCTTTATTTTGAGCCTATGTGTGTCTCTGCACATGAGATGGGTCTCCTGAATACAGCACACTGATGGGTCTTGACTCTGTATCCAATTTGCCAGTCTGTGTCTTTTAATTGGAGCATTTAGCCCATTTACATTTAAGGTTAATATTGTTATGTGTGAATTTGATCCTGTCATTATGATGTTAGCTGGTTATTTTGCCCGTTAGTTGATGCAGTTTCTTCCTAGCATCGATGGTCTTTACAATTTGGCATGTTTTTCAATGGCTGGTACCGGTTGTTCCTTTCCATGTTTAGTGCTTCCTTCAGGAGCTCTTGTAGGGCAGGCCTGGTGGTGACAAAATCTCTCAGCATTTGCTTGTCTGTAAAGGATTTTATTTCTCCTTCACTTATGAAGCTTAGTTTGGCTGGATATGAAATTCTGAGTTGAAAGTTCTTTTCTTTAAGAATGTTGAATATCGGCCCCCACTCTCTTCTGACTTGTAGAGTTTCTGCCGAGAGATCCGCTGTTAGTCTGATGGGTTACCCTTTGTAGGTAACCTGACCTTTCTCTCTGGCTGCCCTTAACATTTTTTCTTTCATTTCAACCTTGGTGAATCTGACAATTATGTGTCTTGGAGTTGCTCTTCTCGAGGAGTATCTTTGTGGCGTTCTCTGTATTTCCTGAATTTGAATGTTGGCCTGCCTTGCTAGGTTGGGGAAGTTCTCCTGGATAATATCCTGAAGAGTGTTTTCCAACTTGGTTCCATTCTCCCTGTCACTTTCAGGTACACCAATCAGACGTAGATTTGGTCTTTTCACATAGTCCCATATTACTTGGAGGCTTTGTTCGTTTCTTTTTACTCTTTTTTCTCTAAACTTCTCTTTTCGCTTCATTTCATTCATTTGATCTTCAATCACTGATACCCTTTCTTCCACTTGATCAAATCGGCTACTGAAGCTTGTACATGCGTCACATAGTTCTCGTGCCATGGTTTTCAGCTCCATCAGGTCTTTTAAGGACTTCTCTACGCTGTTTATTCTAGTTAGCCATTTGTCTAATTTTTTTTTCAAGGTTTTTAGTTTCTTTGCAATGGGCTCGAACATCCTCCTTTAGCTCAGAGAAGTTTGTTATTACCGATCGTCTGAAGCCTTCTTCTCTCAACTTGTCAAAGTCTTTCTCCATCCAGCTTTGTTCCATTGCTGGCGAGGAACCGCGTTCCTTTGGAGGAGAAGAGGCGCTCTGATTTTTAGGATTTTCAGCTTTTCTGCTCTGGTTTCTTCCCATCTTTGTGGTTTTATCTACCTTTGGTCTTCGATCATGGTGACGTACAGATGGGGTTTTGGTGTGGATGTCCTTTCTGTTTGTTAGTTTTCCTTCTAACAGTCAGGACCCTCAGCTGCAGGTCTGTTGGAATTTGCTGGAGGTCCACTCCGGACCCTGTTAACCTAGGTATCACCAGTGGAGGCTGCAGAACAGCAAATATTGCAGAACGGCAAATGCTGCTGTCTGATCGTTCCTCTGGAAGCTTCGTCTCAGAGGGGTACCTGTCCGTATGAGGTGTCAGTCAGCCCCTACTGGGAGGTGCCTCCCAGTTAGGCTACTTGGGGGTCAGGGACTCACTTGAGGAGGCAGTCTGTCCCTCTCAGATCTCAAACTCTGTGCTGGGAGAACCACTACTCTCTTCAAAGCTGTCAGACAGCGACGATTAAGTCTGCAGAAGCTTCTGCTTCCTTTTGTTCAGCTATGCCCTGCCCCCAGAGGTGGAGTCTACAGAGGCAGGCAGGCCTCCTTGAGCTGTGGTGGGCTACACCCAGTTCGAGCTTCCCGGCCGCTTTGTTTACCTACTCAAGCCTCAGCAATGGCAGGCGCCCCTCCCCCAGCCTCGCTGCCACCTTGCAGTTCGATCTCAGACTGCTGTGCTAGCAATGAGCGAGGCTCCGTGGGCGTGGGACCCTCCAAGCCAGGCATTTGATATAATCTCCTGGTGCGCCGTTTGCTAAGACCGTTGGAAAAGCGCAGTATTAGGGAGGGAGTGACCTGATTTTCCAGGTGCCGTCTGTCACCACTTCCTTTGGCTAGGAAAGGGAATTCCCGGAACCCTTGCGCTTCCCGGGTGAGGTGATGCCTTGCCCTGCTTTGGCTCATGCTCCGTGGGCTGCATCCACTGTCCTGCACCCACTGTCCGACAAGCCCCAGTGAGATGAACCCAGTACCTCAGTTGGAAATGCAGAAATCACCCGTCTTCTGCATCGCTCATGCTGGGAGCTGTAGACTGGAGCTGTTCCTATTTGGCCATCTTGGAACCACACCTTTTTGTCTTTTCTTCATGCTAGAAACATTTATTCTCTTCCAGCTATTTTTTTTTGAGATGGTCACCCAGGCTGAAGTGCAATGGCATGATCTTGACTCACTGCAACCTCTGCTTCCTGGGTTCAAGCTATTCTCCTGCCTCAGCTCCCGAATAGCTAGGACTACAGGTGTGTGCCACCAGACCCGGCTAATTTTATATTTTTGGTAGAGATAGGGTTTCACCATGTTGGCCAGGCTGGTCTTGAACTCCTGACCTCAGGTGATCCACCCACCTTGGGCTCCCAAAGTGCTGGGATTATAGGCTTGAGCCATCTTGTCCGGCCTCTTCTAGCTATTTTGAAATGTTCAGTAGATTATTGTGAACTAGTCACCCTACTGATCTATATTGAACATGAGGTCTTAACCCTTCTAACTGTATATTTGTACCCATTAATCAATCTCTCTTCACCCCCCACCCCTTCCTGGCCCCTGGTAATTACCAATCTATTCTCTATTTTCATAAAATCCACTGTTTTAGCTCCCACATATGGATGAGAACATGCAGTATTTGTCTTTCTGTGCTTGACTTATTTAACTTAAGGACCTCCATTTCCTCCATGTTGCTGCAAATGATAAGATTTCATTCTTTTTTTATGGCAGAATAATATTCCATTGTGTATATATACCACATTTTCTTTATCCATTCATCCATCTGGAACAGGCAAGGATGCCCACTTTTGCCACTTTAATTTTACATAATACTGGAAGTCCTGGCCAGAGACATTAGGCAAGAGAAAGAAATAAAGGGCAGCTAAGTTGGAAAGGAAGAAGTCAAATTAGCCTTGTTCAAAGACAATATTTTTTTTTTTTTTTTTGAGACAGGGTCTTACTCTGTCACCCAGGCTGCAGTGCAGTGGTGCAAAAGTGATCTTGGCTCACTGCAACCTCTGTGTCCTGGGTTCAAGTGATTCTCCCACCTCAGCCTCCTGAGTAGCTGGGACTACAGGGATGCACCACAATTCCCAGCTAATTTTTTGTATTTTTAGTAGAGATAGGGTTTCACCATGTTGGCCAGGCTGGTCTCGAACACCTGGCCTCAAGTGATCTGCCCACCCTGGCCCCCCAAAGTTCTGGGATTACAGGCGTAAGCCCCTGTGCCCAGCCAACAATATGATCTTACACTTAGAAAAACCTAAAGACTCCACCAAAAAACTGTTAGAACTGATACATTTAGTAAAATTGCAGGATACAAAATAAACACACAAAAATCAGTAGCATTTAAATATGCCAACAGTGAACAATCTGAAAAAGAAATCAAGAAAGCAATCCCATTTCCAATAGCTACAAAGAATATAAGATACCTAGAAATCAATTAAATCAGAGATGTGAAAAATCTATACAGGAAAACTATAAAATATTCTTAAAAGAAATTAAAAAGGACATTAAAAAATGGGAAGATATTCCATGCTGATGAGTCCAAATAATTAATATTGTTAAAATGACAATTCTACCCAAAGCAATTTATAGATTCAATGGAATCCCAGTCAAAATACCTATGACATTCTTCACAGAAATAGAGCACAAAATCCTGAAATTTTTCTCTCTCTTTTTTTTTTTTGAGACAGGTTCTCGCTCTGTCACCCAGTCTGGAGTGCAGTGGCACAATTACAGCTTACTGCAGCCTCAAACTCCCGGGTTCAAATGATCCTCTAGCTGCAGCCCCCTGAGTAGCTGGGACTACAGGTGCATGACCACAACACTTGATTAATTTTTGTATTTTTTGTAGAGACAGGTTTTAGCCATATTGCCCAAGTTGGTCTTGAACTCCTGGGCTCAAGCAATCCTCCAGCCTAGGTTTCCCAAAATGCTGGGATTACAAGTGTGAGCCACTTGTGCCTGGCCCCTAAAGTTTTTATAGAACCCCAAAAGATCCAGAATAGCCAAAGCAATCCTGAGGAAAATGAACAAAGCTGAGGCCAGGTGTGGTGGCTCACACCTGTAATCCCAGCACTTTGGGAGGCAGAGGTGGGCGGATCATCTGAGGTCAAGAGTTCAAGACCAGCTTGGCCAACATGACAAAACGCTATCTCTACTAAAAATACAAACATTAGCTGGGTGTGGTGGTGGGCACCTGTAATCCCAGCTAATCAGGAGGCTGAGACAGGAGAATTGCTTGAGCCTGGGAGGCAGAGGTTGCAGTGAGCTGAGATCCTGCCATTGCACTCCAGCCTGGGCAACAGAGCAAAACTCCGTCTCCAGAAAAAAAAAAAAAAAAAGAACAAAGTTGGAGGCATCATACTACCTGACTTCAAAACATACTACAAAGCTACAGCAACCAAATTGGCATGGTACTGGCATAAAAACAGACACATTGACTGATGGAAGAGAATAGAGAACCCAAATATAAATCCATGCATTTACAACCAACTCATTTTTGACAAAGGTGTCAAGTACATATGATGGGGAAAGGACAGTCTCTTCAATAAATGGTGCTGGGATAACTGGAAAACTGTAAGCAGAAGAATGAAACTAGATTCTTATTTACTATATATAAAAATCAAATCAAAATGGACTAAAGACTTAAATCTATGACCTGAAACTATGAAATTACTAGAAGAAAACATTGGGGGAAATGCTCCAGGACATTGGAGCATTTTTATTTGTCTATTTTGTCATTTGTCAAAAGATTTCAAAAGCACAAGCAACCAAAGCGAAAATAGAAAATGGGATTATATCATGCTAACAAGCACCTGTACAGCAAAGAAACAATCAACAAAGTGAAGAGACAACCCACAGAATGGAAGAATATATTTGCAAACTACCCATTTGACAAGGGATTAATAATGGGAATATATTAAGGAGCTCAAACAACTCAATAGGAAGAAAAAGAAAATCAGATTAAAAAATGGGCAAGGTTGGGGCAGTGGCTCACTCCTGTAATACCAGCACTTTGGGAGGATGAGGAGTTTCAGACCACCCTGGGCTGAGGTGGGAGGCTCACCTGAACCCAGTCAGATTAAGCTGCAGTGAGCCATGATCTCATCACTATACTCCAGACTGGGCAACAAGACCCTGTCTCAAAAAAAAAAAAAAAAATGGCAAAAGATCTGAATAGATATTTCTCAAAAGAAGGCATACAAATGGCCAACAGCTATACGAAAAAATGCTCAATATCACTAATCATCAGAGAAATGCAAATCAAAACCACAATGAGATATCATCTCACCTCACCTAACATAGCGTATATCAAAAAGACAGGGAATAATGAATGGATGCTGGTGAGGATGTGAAAAAAGGAGAACCTTCATACACTGTTGGTGGGAATGTAAATTAGTATGACCACTATGGAAAACAGTGTGGAGTTTCCTCAAAGAAGTAAAAATAGAACTACCATATCATCCACCAATGCCACTACTGGGTATTTATCCAAAAGAAAGGACATCAATATATCAAAGAGATAACTGCACTCCCATGTCTACTGCAGCTCTATTCATAGTAGCCATAACATGGAATCAACATTTCCGGTTTTTTTTTTTTTAGACGGAGTCTCGCTCTGTCGCCAGGCTGGAGTACAGTGGTGTGATCTCGGCTCACTGCAACCTCTGCCTCCTGAGTTCAAGCGATTCTCCTGCCTCAGCCTCCTGAGTAGCTGAGACTACAGGCATGTGCCACCACGACCAGCTAATTTTTGTTATTTTTAGTAGAGACAGGTTTTCTCGATCTCTTGACCTTGTGATCTGCCCACCTCGGCCACCCAAAGTGCTGGGATTATAGGTGTGAGCCACCGCGCCGGCTCCTGAGTTTTTTTGATAGTAGCATAGGCCAATTTTTTAAAAGCCATTTATGAAGGTTGGCAAGGCTTTTCTTAAATTAAATATAAAGGCCTTCAAGAAAACTGCCTTCAATCCTTACTGAAACTATATTTATCCTAAAACTTCAGCACCATTTTGATGTGACTTTATCTTCTTTGCTCAAAGTTTATAAATTTGTTCAAAGTTCCTAGGAAGTGAAATGCATAATAGCAAAGTAATAGCAGCATAGCAAGTGGAAAAGTTTAAAATTATGTTTTCATATTTTGTTTGAAATGCCACCCATGTGTGTATCTCCCAGAAAAAGCAATAATATGACTACTCAAAGACCCAATTATAGGGTGAATACAAATTTCATTAACTTTGGTCCCACTACACTGGAAGAACTGGGAATTCTACCAAATGGAACAAGTGGACTGGCATCAGGAGAGGCTAAGAACTCTCAGAAGCAATGACACGAGGAGGAGGAAAAGTCACTAAAGCTCTGGCTCTAGGAGCTACAGCACGCAGTTGACTACCTTGCTCTTCCAGAAGGACTCGCACAGCTGAGTTTTCTTTTACTTTTTTTCTGGCTGCTGCTTCTTCTTCCTTAGACCACTGCATGTGATCCCTATTAAAAAAAAATAGACTGTAAAATATGCTTTATCATTGAAGAAGGCAGAAAAAAGGTGACAAGGAACCACATCTTTCATTCTAGATTAGCTGAAGACATATGATACAGACTAATTCCACATGGAATGAATACATTTTGTGTAAGATGTTCCTACTGATGGCGCTGGTACAACCCTGGAACTCCTAAGATTCTTCTGTTTAAATCTGGTTGTGCTGCAAGCCCCAGCTACCTCTGGGAAACGGCTGCTAAAGTAATGTCCTCAGAACACCCTGGTGTATGACTATTTGGGTGCTGGTATGCCGGTTTTTACTCTAAGGCTAAATTTATTTGCCTTTTTGTTAATTTATGAACAGAACATTCTTCAGTAGTTTTTAAATGCTCCTCTTACAACACTTGTATTCTAACACTTTGCTGTCAAAGAGATGAAAGTTTTAAAATGTTTTGTACTTAGCCTGCAATTTTTAAAGTAACTTTAGATTTATTTTTCTTATTAGCTACTTTAATTTCTGTAAAAGGATTCATTTGCATTTAAGTGATAGAGTACTTGATACAGCATGTGAAAAGGTCACCTTTCTAAGTTCTGGTACTTTCTATAAGTATTTTTAGTTTCAGAATCGACTCTCCCTATATGAGAAGATACTATTTTCTGCTGCACAAAAATGTCTTTCTTGGAATAGAAGCGACAACTGTATACAAGAAAGGTAATTTTTTTTAAGTTTTGTTTTCACAAAGTTTGCTTTTTTTTTTTTGCAATAGGTTAGACTATAAGCAAAGCAATTTCCTGGAATAAACCAGGAATAATTTTTTATCACTAAACAATAAAAAAATTACACACCCCATATTCAAGTTGCATTTAGCCTAGAAGAAAAACCCCTAACACTATTATCATATGATATATGTAGTAGTCACCTGACTGATGAGAAGGGATAAATTATACAATTTTCTTGGAAGTGCATCATGCTGTGACCGACAAACATTGAGCAGTTAGGATGATCATAATTATAATTATAGTAACTGCCATCCTTTATTTATTACATATCAGGTATTGTAATAAGCACATTACATACATATGTCTTATTTAATCCTTTCAAAAATCCTTTGATAGGGTTATAATCATGTCCACTTTGCATAGTGGCTAACAGAAATTTAATAACTTATTCAAGGTCATATAGCCAGGAAGTGGCAGAACCAGAATTCACCTAGGTTTGTGTCACTTCAAAGTCCATCTTCTCAACTATTAGTCTATTATTTTCTACCATGGCAGTGGGGGACACAGAGAGATTTAAGATGTAATGTTTGTCCATCTTGGGTTTATATTCTCCTAGTGCAAGCAGGTAAACAATACGTAAATGATAATACAGTGAAACATGCATGGCTAGCACCTGATGAAGGGGAGTGCAGTCAATTAATGCAGCTGGGGCAAATAGGAAGGCTTAAGAGAAGGTAGGTTTGGGTTCAGGTTAGGAGGAAAAGTGGTGGAGCAAATTCATGTCACTCAGAAGCTGACAATACAGACAGTGCATACAGGGAACAGTTAAAAAACTCCATTTTGACTGGTTCTCTTGGACAACTGCAGATGAAGTTGGGAGCTGGGTAACGGTCAGATTTCAGAGGATCTTAAATGTGGGGCTGAACAGTTAAGTAGTATGCAAGACACAGTGAAGCGGGGAAGGACTGGAGGAAAAGCGACCAATTAGACTGTTGGAGTGGTCTAGGAGTAATGAGTCCCATGACTAAAGTGGTAGCTATGGAGAACAGGAAGGAAAGGGGGAGAGGGAGACACTGAAAACACTGAAATTAAGACCTAGAGATTAACTAGATATTGGAGTAGAAGTGTAAGAGTCATGAATGATTCTAAGGTCTTAAAACTGAGTATCTAGGAAAGTGGGGGTAACAATGACAGAATATGGAGTTACATTGGGTGGAATGATGATAAGCATGGTACTATTTTAAGTATTGCTTATACAATCAGATATGAGAGGGTATATTCCAGTGACCTGGCTATAAATACACCGTTGAAGGTACGAAACTGTTTTCCTTAAAAAAATAAAAATAAATAAATAAATAAATAAATAAATAAATAAATCAAAATTGGTATGCTGCAGTCTCCAGGAAAACTGAATGAGAATGTTTTCAGAGTTTCATAGATAAAAGTTTAACCACCAGTATTTAAATAAAACTGAATCATGTACAAGCCAAATAATCATTAAACAGCTTTGTCTCTTGCTTTAATAAATGAGGTTAGAATAGTTTTTGTTTTGACTTATTTTGACTTACTTTAACATATGTGAGCAATCACATATAAATTGGGGCTGGCAACTACACTTTAAATTCTGTATATATTAAATATACTATATTGAATACAATTACGTGACAGTTGTGAAATTAAAGGCAACAAGTTATTTATTGAAAAAACAGTATTTCTAAGGCTAGGGATGAGTTTTTCATCTACAAATTTCTACCACTTATAGGAAAGAAAATAGAACAATCTATTTCCCTGGGAAGAATCAAGCTGTGAGACAGTAAGAGTATATGTGGTCTTCCGCTTTAAGCATTTAAGCTTTTAGTTTAACTTGCTATTTCTTATTTAATAGATTTAGTTATTTCTTAACTGTAACTTCCTTACACTGTTCTTTATGTTACTTCATTTTCTTAACTGCTAAGTGAGGGGAATAGTATATCCTAAGTTCCTGCAGAACAGATTTTTTTTTTTTTTACACCACAGTTACAGAATCCCCACAGAAACCTATAAAATGTTCCTACTGTATTTATGGGGACTTCCTCCAGCCCTGCTGCTTTATGGCAGTTCTTTATTTTAGAAGAACTGGATTCACGTATCCCAAAACCCAACAGCTGACAATAAGAATCATACAACTTTTTATTAGTAATAAATACAACTATAGAATTTAAGCATAGAAACAAATAATAAACAAACTGGAAATAATCAAGTATTTAACAGTAATAAAAACCAAAGGAAAAAAGTGGTTTATAGAGTTTGGCCAATAAATTGTACTTCTGGGAACTTACTGAAACGAAGTAACTTGAAAGAACTAAGAAATTCTGTACAGGGAAATATTTGTATGAAGATATTCACTGGAACACTAAATATAATATTAATAGCAAAAAATTAGAAACAACTTCAGTGATAGGGGAATGAAAAAATTATAGTAAATCAAAGGAATATTATGCAGACATTAAGATAATAAATATGACTATTACATGACAATATGGAAAAGTATTTATAAAATGAGGTTAAAAAAGTACATCCCCAAATTTTATATATATATATATATATATATCTTTTTTTTTTTTTTGAGATGGAGTCTCGCTGTGTTCCCCAGGCTGGAGTGCAGTGGCACAATCTTGGCTCACTGCAACCTCCACCTCCCGTGTTCAAGCAATTCTCCTGCCTCAGCCTCCTGAGTAGCTGGGATTATAGGCATGTGCCACCATACCCGGCTAATTTTTTTATTTTTAGTAGAGATGGGGTTTCACCATGTTGGCCAGGCTGGTCTCCAACTCCTGACCTCAGGTGATTTGCCCGCCTCAGCCTCCCAAAGTGCTAGGATTACAAGCGCGAGCCACTGCGCGCCCGGCCAAATTATATATGTATTATAATTACAACTGTTTAAAATTATATACACACAGGGTGAAGATTCTAAGTGGTGAACTAAAACCAATTATGTTTGAATAGGAGTAAGAACAAACTATCTTAAATTTCCTTAATATCGTAAAGCAGCTTCAACTAGAGATAATTTTTTAAAAACTATATGTAAAACCTGTACTCTATGTTTAAGACATACAACAATTGTCTTTAAAACTTTACCCTTCTTGAGGAAAAAGCCATCAACCCTTATAATAAGAAGGAAGTTATGTTTTCTTAAAAAAGGAAAGACATAAAAAAGAAACTTGGGCAGAAAGTACAAAATATACTTTTCACAAAAATTTGAATTTGAGAAAAAAACCTCAAAAATAGAAGATTTTTGAGTAAAACAAATTTTTACATGCCCTATAATTTGTTTGTATACATAGTTTATATATATTTCTTATTCCTTCCATATCTATAGTACAATTGAATAATGTTTCCTTGATTTAGCTTTTAGTTGATGGCAATGTGTAATCTAAATAATTGTGTATTTGGTTTGATTTGGAAAAGTTAAAACACACACACACACACCCCAATTATTTAAGTTGGATACTAAAGTTTTTGATAATCTTACCTAGAGAAACTTCTGCTGAATGTAGTGTTGCTTCCTGTTACAACTTTTAATAATCAGATATAAACCAAAGTACCCAATATAAACTATTTTCCTATCTTTGTCATTTACTATGTATGTGATGGCCTCACTATAGGACACAATTTTGTTCTATAAGTCAATGATATTTGACAAATTTGACAAATGTATTAGATGACTAGGGAATTAAAAAGAAAATATTTATTCTTAGGTTAAAGGAAAAAATAGTTTATTACTTTCAGCCTAAAACGATTTCAATAATTCTTAATTCTATAACAAAGTGTGGGGAAGAGAGTTTCTGGGATGCCAGATGAGTTGGTCTCCCCTGTGTGAGACACCCATGGGGAGCCATGGGCGGCATCTGAGGAGAAAAGTCTCCTTATTGCCTTCCTGTCTTTATGCCCCAAGAGCATAACAGCTCCACGGCATTCCACAGGTTGCTCGGGGAAATAATACTCCTTTGAAGCAGTGGAGTATAATCAAACATCTTGGCTTCTCCTGAAACCCACTCCCACTCATTTTAGTCCCGATAAGTTAAAGATCTTAAGTAGTATAGAGACTACTTTGCTCCAGGAAATTCACAGAAACTGCCAATGCTATACATCTTATTAAATGACTCATGAGTTCTCCTTCACTGATTAATCCTCTTCCTCATCCGTTCCTACCCCTCCCATTTGCCCTAAGAACGAAGAGCTTGTAAACCAATAAATTGGGTGGAGGCCGAGAGCTCAGGGCCGTGAGCAAGCCTCTGATGCTCTGGTCCCCTGGACCCGCCTTTTAAACTCTTATTCAGTTTCTTTCTAATTCCTTTGTCTCCACTGGAATCTGGGTACCCGCCAGGTGGTATGGGGCTGGTTTCTCCAACACAAAGTCATATTTATTACATAGTTACAAACAAACACACACATTTTTCTATATACTACAAAATCTTCAACATAATTATGACTTAAAACTCTGGTATAGGACTTATGATTTTGGCCATGACAGAGTACCTGGCAATGGACTTACCCTCCTGCCACAAATAATTATAAACTGGATAAAATATATAAAGCAACTGCTTTTAAACACTGGACTACACTTCAGACAGTGCAAGACTGATCCTTAAGAGAAGAAAAACACAAAAGGTGAGTCCCCACATCCACCTGTTCTGTCTGGGGACACATTCTAGACTGTGGTGCAGAGAGGCTGTCTCACTGAGTGGCAGTTTCATGAGTTGAGAAGGCAGAGATCAGAGTTCAGAGTTGCAGAGGTGGTGAGGGTTTGTGCAACAGGATACTAAAGGGGAGATGGACAGACAAGAGGGCCCCTGAAGTCTACAAGAGTTCTCCTAAGGTTTTCAGCTAGTGCTAGCTGCTCATCTACAGGCAGAGTCGCCACAGGATCTAGTAGAAGAGAGAGGATTCTAGGAATGAGGATGGAGAAGAGAGAACTGACAAGATAGGTAGTACAGTGCTTGGTGACATTGGAGTTCTGGCTAAGCCACAGTGGAAAGATCTATCTGAGCATCTTGAGTATTTAGTTAAGACCCTAGAAATCCCATGCCATAGGAACAAGAACCACACTAGACTCAGGATATTATCAAAATAGTCCCACCCAAACAACACCTAAAATCAAACCTGATCCAAGAAGGAACTGGCAGAAATTTAACCACTTGCCAGAAAAAACTCGACATCTTTAAAGGAAGGCAACATAATCCAGACTGCATAGAAGATATTATCCATAATGTCCACCATATAATCAAAAACTATTAGACATGCAAATCAAGAGAAAAGTCAGTCAATAAATATAGACTTTGAGAAAACCAAATATTGGAATTAGTACACAAGGACTTTAAAACAGTATTGAAAAATATGTTGAAAGATTTAAAGAAAAAGATGGACAGAATGAATGCACAGATGGAAGAAATCTCAGAAAAAAATGAAAACTTCTTTTTAAAAAAGGAAATTCTAGAACAAACCCATATACACTATCTGAAATAAAGAGTTGAGTAGGCTCAGGTGGGCATGGTAGCTCACACCTGTAATCCCAGCACTTTGGGAGGCTGAAGTAGAAGAATCGCTTGAGTACGGGAAGTTGAGGTTACAGTGAGCCATAATCACACCACTCCAGCCTGGGTGACAGAGTGAGACCCTGTCTCAAAAAAAAAAAAAAAAAAAACTGGGAGGGTTAACAGCTGACAGACACTGGAGAGAATGGGTCAGTAAACTTAATGACAGATGTAGAAATTATTCAGATTGAAGACCAGAGACACAAAGATTGAAAAAAAGTGTGAGTCTCAGTAACCTGTGGGATAATACCAATTGGTCTAACAAACACATAAATTGAAAGCCCAGAAGTAGAAAAGAGAGACAAAATGAGTTAAAAATAATAATAAAGAAATACTAAAATTTTTCCAAATTTGAAGATAAAAAGAAGAAAGAAGAAAAAGAAATACTCAATAGATCCAGGCAGGAAACACAGCAAACCCCAGGCAATATAAATACAGAGAAAACTGATAAAAATCAAAGATAAAGATAAATTTGAAAAGTAGCTACCATATACAGTGGGAAAAGAAATGCAAACTACAGCTGATTTCTCATCAGAAACAATCATAATGAAGGCAAGAAGATAAAGCAAGGAGATCTTATGTCAGCATAGGGGGATGGGAGGGATGTGTCAACCTTGAATTTCACATGCAGTAAAAAGATCTTTCAAATTTGTAAAATAAAGACATTTTCAGATAAACAAAATTTGAGAGAATTTGTTACCAGCAGAATTTGCACTACAAGAAATGTTAAAGATCTTCAGGTTAAAGGAAAAGGGGACCACACGGAGTCTCAGATCTACAGGGTGAAAAAAAGAGACCAGAAGTGGTAAATATGTGGGTAATTATAAAATAATCTTTTTAAAAACTTTAAATTTATTTTAAAAAACTCAACTAACTATATATAGCAAAAGTAAAAACAATGATTATAGCATTTACATATAGAGGTAAACTGTATGACAACAATATCACAAATGTTGGAGGGATGACAAGTAGAAACATATTGTTGTAAGGTTCTTAATTTTATGCTAGGTGGCACAACATTAATTCTAAGTAGACTATACTAAGTTGACAAAGCACATTGTAATGTCTAGAGCTGTGGTTCTCAAACTGTCGTCCACCCTTTGAGGTGGACCACTAAATCGAAACTATTCTCATAACAATACTGTGTTTTGCTCTTTCACTGTGTTGACATTTGCAGTGATGGTATAAAAACAATGAGGGGTAAAACTACAACTGCCTTGGAATGAAAGAAGGCAGTGGCACCAAAATGTGTTAATTGTCATATTCTCTGCCACCATCCAGTGAGCAGCAAAGAATATAACAATTTTTACAAAAATGAAACAATTAAAAAATTTTCAATTTTGCTGATTGATGAAGCAGTAAAAACTATTAATTTTATGAAATATTGACCCTTGGGTACAAATCTTTTTAACAGTCTATGTGACAAGATGGAAAGCATGCACTTCTTACTGAAGTACAATGGATGGCTTGACTGAGGAAAAGTACTCATATGAACTGTGAGCTGAACTAGCTGCTTTTTTCATGGAATGCTATTTTTACTTGAAAGAGCAACTACTGATAAAGCTATAGTTATTTAGACTTGGGTATGTGGCATATAGTTTCTCAAAAGTAAACAAAATGAGCCTATCACATTAAGAAAAACAAATTACAGTATGTGTTTGCAAAAATAAATTTTGTGCTTCCAAGCAAAAATTAGACTTCTGGAAAGCTTGTGTCCACCACCATGAGTTTGATAGGTTCCCAATACAGATTTTCCTGATGAGACTGGTGGTGATATTAACAAATGTGATTTTTAAATATTTTATAATAAAATGTGTCAACATTTAGAAGATCTACATCAAACAGGGAACCAATATTTTCCAAATTATCCATGCATGATGTTATAAATCATGCCTAGGTAAAGGATCTATCCAAAGTGCAAGGTATACCAGTGTATCATAATATGGCAGAATATAGAGCCAGGCCCTGTGGAGCAGTCTTGTAGTCCCAGCTACTCGGGAGGCTGAGGCAGGAGAAAGGCTTGAGCCCAGGAGTTCACAGCCAGCTTGCGTAATATAGTGAGACCCGGTCTTAAAAAAATATATATATATGGCAGAATATAAAAAGTTCCGTGATATGGTTTCATATGCCATATTGCAACTAAGAAACTACCACTATTGAGATTTAGTGTAATATCAAAAAAAACCCCACAATTATCTGATAAAGGCTATTAAAAACTCCTCTCCAGCCAGGCGCGGTGGCTCATGCCTGTGATCCCAGCACTTTGGGAGGCCAAGGTAGGCGGATCACGAGGTCAGGAGATTGAGACCATACTGGCTAACACGGTGAAACCCCGTCTCCACTAAAAAATACAAAAAATTAGCCGGGCATGGTGGCAGTCGCCTGTAGTCCCAGCTACTCAGGAGGCTGAGGCAAGAGAATGGCATGAACCCGGCAGGCGGGGCTTGCAGTGAGCCGAGATCGCGCCACTGTACTCCAGCCTGGGCAAGAGAGCGAGACTCTGTCTCAAAACAACAACAACAACAAAAAAACTCCTCTCCTTTATAAGCACATATCTGTGAGAGACCAAATTATCTTCATATAATGCAAGAGGATATGAGAATCCAATTTCTTCCATTATGGCAGACATTATAAAGAGACTTGCAAACATTTAGAGCAATGCCACTCTTTGCATTACACTTTTGGGAATATACATTTACATTAAAATATGTCATTTATGTTAATATGTAATGGATTCATTATTGTTTTGGAATTAATAAATGTTTTCATGTCTGAGTTTTAATTTCTAATACAGAAAATATCAATAGACATAATCCATATCCATAAGAAGTCTTTGCGGTTCGTAGTAATTTAAGAGTGTAAAGGGGTCCTGAGACCAAAATGTTTGAAACTATTGCCTTGAAATAATTCCTAAAACAGAATGCAAAGATGTATGGCTAAATGCCAGTAGAGGAAGTAAAAATTGGATACAAAAAATTATTCAATTAGGCTGGTCACGGTGGCTCACACCTGTAATACCAGCATTTTGGGAGGCCAAGGCGGGCGGATCATGAGGTCAGGAGTTCAAGACCAGTCTGACCAACATGGTGAAACCCCGTCTCTACTAAAAATACAAAAATTAGCTGGGCATGGTGGTGCATGCCTATAATCCCAGCTACTCGGAAGGCTGAGGTAGGAGAATCGCTTGAACCTGGGAGGCAGAGGTTGCAATGAGCCGAGATCATGCCATTGCACTCCAGCCTGGGCAACACAGAGAGACTCCATCTCAAAAAAAAAAAAATTATTCAATTTATCCAAAAGCAGGCAGGAAAAAAGGAACAGGGGAAAAAAAGGGCAGAAGAGAGAAATTAAAAAATAAACAGACAACCAAACAAATATTAATATACAATGCTACCTGGACTAGGTGTTATCTTAAGTTTCTTTTCTTTCTGTTTTCTTTGGTGTTAATTTAATAGGTCCAAACATTACTTTATTGTTTGCATTTGTATTTTTTTAACTGTTAAATATTTTCCTGTATGCTCACATGTACTTCCTCCTGGATCAACTTTCTATGTACATTGTTCATTTATCAATTATTAGCAAGTAATGCTTTTCTGACAATATAAAAAATGTTCTATAGGTTAGCCCTGATGTATGGCAGTGGAAAATCATTTAAATTTTTTCTCTCTCCTTTGGTTTTTGTATTAGTAATAGTTCTCAAAACAGCATACGGGCTGGGCACGGTGGCTCATGCCTGTAATCCCACCACTTTGGGAGGCCGAGGTGGGCAGATCATGAGGTAAGGAGATCGAGACCATCCTGGCTAACACAGTGAAACCCCATCTCTACTAAAAATACAAAAAATTAGCCGGGTGTGGTGGTGGGCACCTGTAGTCCCAGCTACTCGGGAGGCTGAGGCAGGAGAATGGCGTGAACCCGGGAGGCGGAGCTTGCAGTGAGCCGAGATCAGGCCACTGCACTCCAGCCTGGGCAACAGAGTGAGACTCCGTCTCAAAAATAAATAAATAAATAAATAACCAGCATACAAATTAAGATTAAGTACTTTGAAGACTTTGGTTTTCCTTGGGAGGAGGTAATTAAGGTGAACAGGACCTAAGGGCTTCTGGGGTCTGCAATGTTCTGCTCCTGACTAGAGTGCTGGGCAGGTGGACATATTACACTTCGTAAATAAATCAAGTTGAGTACTTAAAAAAAGATTAAGTACTCTGAAATTATAATTATTCTATTTCATCAAATCCAATATGCTATTATTTTCTGTACCAGTAATAAAGAAAAAACATTTTCAGCTACAATTTTAAGATGCACAAACTGTAAAAATGTCATGATTTCAGAGATGTTAATAGGTAAATAAAAATGTGAGTCTCAGAAAAGATAAAATATAGCTGTTATAGGCATATCAGCTAATAACTGAAGTAACTTCAATTAAATCTTCCTTTCTACTATTGAGTCTAATTTATATTTGTAACTCCAGGATGCCTACCTCTCTTTTTGGCTATAATGAATATTTCAGTTGGTTACTGTTATTAGTAAATTAGTTTTTGTTTTGTTTTCATTTTTCATTATTAATTTATTTTTTGAGACAGAATCTCACTCCATCACCCAGTTTGGAGTGCTGTGGCACCATCTCGGTTCACTGCAACCTCCGCCTCCCAGGTTCAAGTGATTCTCCTGCCTCAGCCTCCTGAGTAGCTGGGATTACAGGCACGTGCCAACACACCCAGCCAATTTTTGTATTTTTAGTAGAGATGACGTTTCACCATATAGGCCAGGCTGGTCTTGAACTCCCGACCTCAGGTGATGCGCCTGCCTTGGCTTCCCAAAGCACTAGGACTACAGGTGTGAGCCACCGTGCCCAGCCTATAACAAGGTTTTTTTAAAAAAAACCTTTTTAGCCTCTGGAAAAACCTCTGACAGCCTCAAACTCCTGAGTTCAAGCAATCTTTCGGCCTCAGCCTCCTGAGTAGCTAGGACTATAAGTGCATATCACTGCGCCCAGCTAATTTTTAAAATTTTTAAATTACATTATTGTTATTATTACTATTATTATTATTATTATTATTATTATTATTATTGTAGAGACGGGTCTTGCTTTGTTGCCCAGGCTGGTAAATCCAACTCCTGCATCAAGCGATCTTCCTGCCTGGCCTCCCATACTGCTGGGATTACAGGCATGAGTGAGCCACAACACCAGCCTGAGTTTCTTACTTGTGTGACTAACAAAAAACACAAACATAGAGCCAATGCCTTTCTACTTTGCATACAATGGGATGGAGGTCACAGGTGCTGAAGAAACCAATACCCACCTGCCTCATTAAATATTTAGTGGGAACCTATATCTATCAGGCACTGGGCCTGTGAACTGAGGACACAAAGATGAGGAAGATTTGGTAGAACTCAAAATTTTGAGAAGTTGGAATCAGTATTAAAGAATACAGAATTTGCCATCAGGTAGATAGCAAGATGGGAAATAGGTACATAAGGAAGGGGGCATTTTTTTTTTAAATTAAAACTCAATACCAATGCATATAAAATATAGTTACATCTCTACCCTCCCTCTCATCCCCATTCCCATCTCTGATGTAAATACCATTATCAGGATAATGTGGACCTTTTCAGACTTTTCTCTCTATATATAAAAGCAAAGGTGTATATACATGTAACACAGGTACAATAATTTCTTTTTATTATTATTATTATTATTATACTTTAAGTTCTAGGGTACATGTGCACAACGTGTAGGTTTGTTACATATGTATACATGCGCCATGTTGGTGTGCTGCACCCATTAACTCGTCATTTACATTAGGTACATCTCCTAATGCTATCCCTCCCCACTCCCCACACCCCACAACAGGCCCCGGTGTGTGACGTTCCCCTTCCTGTGTGCAAATGTTCTCATTGTTCAATTCCTACCTATGAGTGAGAACATGTGGTGTTTAGTTTTCTGTCCTTGCGATAGTTTGCTGAGAATGATGGTTTCCAGCTTCATCCATGTCCCTACAAAGGACATGAACTCATCTTTTTTTATGGCTGCATAGTATTCCATGGTGTATATATGCCATATTTTCTTCATCCAATCTATCACTGATGGACATTTGGATTGGTTCCAAGTCTTTGCTATTGTGAATAGTGCCGCAATAAACATACGTGTGCATGTGTCTTTATAGCAGCATGATTTATAATCCTTTGGGTATATACCCAGTAATGGGATGACTGGATCAAATGGTATTTCTAGTTCTAGATCCTTGAGGAATCACCATACTGTCTTCCACAATGGTTGAACCAGTTTACAGTCCCACCAACAGTGTAAAAGTGTTCCTATTTCTCCACATCCTCTCCAGCACCTGCTGTTTCCTGACTTTTTAATGATCACCATTCTAACTGGTGTGAGATGGTATCTCATTGTGGTTTTGATTTGCATTTCTCTGATGGCCAGTGATGATGAGCATTTTTTCATGTGTCTGTCGGCTGCATAAATGTCTTCTTTTGAGAAGAGTCTGTTCATATCCTTTGCCCACTTTTTGATGGGGTTGTTTTTTTCTTGTAAATTTGATTGAGTTCTTTGTAGATTCTGGATATTAGCCCTCTGTCAGATGGGTAGATTGTAAAAATTTTCTCCCATTCTGTAGGTTGCCTGTTCACTCTGATGGTAGTTTCTTTTGCTGTGCAGAAGCTCTTTAGTTTAATTAGATCACATTTGTCAATTCTGGCTTTTGTTGTCATTGCTTTTGGTGTTTTAGACATGAAGTCCTTGCCCATGCCTATGTCCTGAATGGTATTGCCTAGGTATTCTTCTAGAGTTTTTATGGTTTTAGATCTAACATTTAAGTCTTTAATCCATCTTGAATTATTTTTTGTATAAGGTCTAAGGAAGGGATCCAGTTTCAGCTTTCTAATATGGCTAGCCAGTTTTCCCAGCACCATTTATTAAATAGGGAATCCTTTCCCCATTTCTTGTTTTTGTCAGGTTTGTCAAAGATCAGATGGTTGTAGATGTGTGGTATTATTTCTGAGGGCTCTGTTCTGTTCCATTGGTCTATATCTCTGTTTTGGTACCAGTACCATGCTGTTTTGGTTACTGTAGGCTTGTAGTATAGTTTGAAGTCAGGCAGCGTGATGCTTCCAGCTTTGTTCTTTTGGCTTAGGATTGTCTTGGCAATGCAAGGTCTTTTTTGGTTCCATGTGAACTTTAAAGTAGTTTTTTCCAATTCTGTGAAGAAAGTCATTGGCAGCTTGATGGGGATGGCATTGAATCTATAAATTACCTTGAGCAGTATGGCCATTTTCACGCTATTGATTCTTCCTATCCATGAGCATGGAATGTTCTTCCATTTGTTTGTGTCCTCTTTTATTTAGAGGTCCTTCGCATCCCTTGTAAGTTGGATTCCTAGGTATTTTATTCTCTTTGAAGCAATTGTGAATGGGAGTTTACTCATGATTTGGCTCTCTGTTTGTCTGTTATTGGCATATAAGAATGCTTGTGATTTTTGCACATTGATTTTGTATCCTAACACAGGTACAATAATTTCTTAACAAAAATGAGGTCATACTGGAGAAAATTCTCTTCAGCTTGCTCTTTTCATTTAATGATATATCATACCCATCTCTTGATTTCAGTATACATAGATCTCTCATTTTTATTAACTGCTACATTATTTTCCAATGTATGGAAGTAACTTTTTTTAAGGTTTTAATGAGGTGTAACTGACATACAGTAAACTGTATTCAAAGTGTACAACTTGGTAAGTTTTAATATATGTAGACACTTGTGAAATTTTCACCGTAATCAAGAAAATGAACATGTCCATTCCCTTCAAGTTTCCTTGTGCCCCTTTGTAATTCCTCCCTCCCACCCCTCCCCTTCTCCCCACTCACCTCCACCACTAGCATCCACTGATTTGCCTTCTGTCTCTATAGATTAGTTTGCATTTTCTAGTACAGTAAAAGAAAGTATTGTATGTACTCTATTTCTAACTTCTTTCACTCAGCATAATTATTCTGAAATTCATCCATGTTGTATATGTTTAACATACACAGTAGGTGTATGTTTAACTTTTTTTTTTTTAAGTACAATTTCCATTTTATTTTTCTCCAGAGAATAGTCTGTCTTCAGTCTTTAAGAACTCAGCTCCTTACATGGGCTTTGGTGGGGGACGTGGGGCAGCACCCACAGGTCTAAATCAGGGTGGGGGTGTTCGGTCTTTGTGGGCTTCACGAGATCGATTCCTGACTACTTTGCTGTGAATTGCACAACTCACACAGTAATATAGCTTCACATACAGCTTGGGAAGCACATAGGCATTGAAGACGCTCACTTCAGAAATGTCCCTGACTGCTGCGGCCTCCACTACGTTTCGAATGACGAATTTCTTAATGGCCTTGTCCTTGGGCACGCATCGGGTACAGTTAGTGCAGCGAATAGGATGCACGTGGCCGCGGCCCTTTTTGGCATGACCGTTGTTCCTTCTTTTCTTTGTCATCTTGGAGGCACGGACCAGAGATATATGTTTATCTTTTAAAGAAACTGCCAAGTTCCTCGTTAGCATAGTGGTGAGTAAAAACAACCTAAACAAACAAATAAACTGCCAAGTTGTATTCCAAAATGGTTATACCATTTTATATTCCCACCAGCAGTGTATGAAAGTTCCAGTTCCTCTACATCCTTATCAACACTTGGTAAGCTCAGTACTTTTAATTTCAGCTATTCAAATAGGTGTGTAGTAGTATTTTACTGTGCCTTTCATTTGCACGTTTCTAATGACTAATGATATTCAGCATCTTTTCATGTGCTTATTTACCATCTGTATATCTTCTTTGGTGAAGTATCTTAAAATACTTCATTTTTACTGTGTTGTTTGCTTTCTTATTATTGAATTTTGGGAGTTTTAAATTTATTCTGATTATGAATCTTTTATCAACAGTAAAAAGGAACAAACTATTGATACATGTAGCAACACAGATAAATCTCAAAATAATTATGCTGAGTAAGAGAGGCCAGACAAAAAGATAAAACATATTAAATGATTCTGTTTATACAAAATATTGGAAAATACAAGTGAATCTACAATGCATTCTAGGTTCTTTAACCTTCCTTCTTTCCTTTTATTTTGCAGGTAAATTCTCCCTGACACCCAACCTTTTCCAGAGACCTGCTTCTCCTGCCCTGTAAGCTTCATTTCAAAGACTAGACATTATGTATTTTCTGCATTTTTCTGTAGCAGGGGAGACTGGTAGCCTTTATGAGGGTCTGGGTCTTTTGCTTTGTCAAATGATCCTTTACTGAAATATTTTACTTTGTAGTTCTTAACTAACTGGGCATTTGACTGCAACATTGTTGAGTCATCTCTTCCAACTGGGCTGGTCTATTTGCTTGCTTTGAATATACCTCTTGTATTTATTCCCAAATTCACATCTTTATTCATGCTACCACTTGTGTAAAACATTATCTTCACTATTTAAATACTCTTTATCCTTCAAAGCTCAAGTTAAATCCTACCTGCTCTTCCAACCTCATCTTGGGAATCTCTTCCTATCCTGAGTTCCTTTGGTCTTCACTGTCTTCACACTTATCATAAAGGGCATCCAAATTGGAAAAAAGGAAGTCAAACTATCACTGTTCACCGATGATATAATCATATACCTAAAAAATCCTAAAGACTCTTCCAAGAAGCTCCTAGATCTGATAAATGGATTCAGTAAAGTTTCAGGATACAAAATCAATGTACATAAATCAGGAGCACTGCTATACACCAACAACAGCCAAGCTGAGAATCAACTCAATAACTCAATCCCTTTTATAAAGGTTGCAAAAAATAAAATAAAATACTTAGGAATACACTTAGCAAAGGAGGTGAAAGACTTCTACAAGGAAAACTACAAAACACTGCTGAAAGAAATCACAGATGACACAAACAAATGGAAACACATTCCATGCTCATGGATGGGTACAATCAATATTGTAAAAATTACCGTACTGCCAAAAGCAATCTATAGATTCAATGCAATTTCCATCAAAACACCATCATCATTCTTCAAAGAAAAAACATTCCTAACATTTATATAGAACCAAAAAAGAGCCCATAGAGCCAAAGCAACAATAAGCAGAAAGAATAAATCTGGAGGTGTCACATTACCCAACTTCAAACTATACTATCAGGCTTTAGTTACCAAAACAGCATGGTACTGGTATAAAAATAGGCATATAGACCAATGGAACAGAATATAGAACTCAGAAATAAAGCCAAATACTTACAGCCAACTAATCTTCAACAAAACATACAAAAACATGAACCAGGGAAAGGATACTCTATTCAATAAATGGTGCTGGGATAACTGACAAGCCACATAACAGAAGAATGAAACTGGATGCTCATCTCTCACCTTAAGCAAAAATCAACCCAAGATGGATCAAAGATTTAAATCTAAGACTTGAAACCATAAAAATTCTAGAAGATAACATCGGAAAAACTCTTCTAGACATTGGCTTAGGCAAAGAATTCATGACTAAGACCCCAAAAGCAAAACAAAATAAAACAAAAATAAATATAACAACAAAAAATAAATATAACAAAAACAAAAATAAATAAATCAGACCTAGTTAAGCTGAAAAGCTTCTGCAAAGCAAAAGAAATAATCAGCAGAGTAAACAGACAACCCACAGAGTGGGAGAAAATATTCTCAAACTATGTATCTGACAAAGGACTAATATCCAGAATCTACAAGGAACTCAAATCAGCAAGAAATAAAACAAATAATCCTGTCAAAAAGTGAGCAAAGGACATGAATAGGCAATTCTCAAAAGAAGATGTACAAACAGCCAACAAACATATGAAAAAAATGCTCAACATCACTAGTTATCAAGGAAATGCAAATGAAAACCACAATGAGATACCACTTTACTCCTGCATGCATGGCCATAAAAAAAGAAAAATAGATGTTGGCATGTATGTAGTGAAAAGGAAACACTTTTACACTGCTGGTGGGAATGTAAACTAGTACAATCACTATGGAAAACAGTATGGAGATTCCTTAAAGAACTAAAAGCAGAACTACCATTTGATCCAGCAATCCCATTACTGGGTATCTCCCAAAGGAAAAGAAGTAATTATATGGAAAAAAACAAAACAAAACAAAACAAAAAACACATGCACATGCATGTTTATAGCAGCACAATTTGCAATTGCAAAAACATGGAACCAATCTAAATGCCCATCAACCAACAAGTGGATCAACTAGTGTTCAAAATAACCAGCTAGCATCATGATGACAGGATCAAGTTCACACATAACAATATTAACCTTAAATGTAAATTGGCTAAATGCCCCAATTAAAAGGCACAGACTGGCAAACTGGATAGAGTCAAGACCCATTGGTGTGCTGTACTCAAGAGACTCAACTCATGTGCAAAGACATACATAGGCTCAAAATAAAGGGATGGAGGAAAATTTACCAAGTAAATGGACAGCAGAAAAAAGCAGGGGTTGCAATTCTAGTTTCTGACAAGACAGACTTTAAACCAACAAAGATCAAAAAAGACAAAGAAGGGCATTACATGGCTGGATGCAGTGGCTCATGCCTGTAATCCCAGCACTTTGGGAGGCTGAGGTGGGTGGATCATGAGGTCAGGAGTCCAAGACCAGCCTGGCCAACATAGTGAAACCCCATCTCTACTAAAAATACAAAAATTAGCTGGGTGTGGTGGCATGCGCCTGTAGTCCCAGCTACTTGGGAAGCTGAGGCAGAAGAATTGCTTGAACCCGGGAGGTGGAGGTTGCAGTGAGCTAGACCACACCACTGCACTCCAGCCTGGGTGACAGAGCGAGACTCCATCTAAAAAAATAAAAATAAAAAAATAAAAAAAGAAGGGTATTACATAATGGTAAAGGGATCAATTCACAAAGAAAAGCTAACTATCCTAAATATATATGAACCCAATACAGGAGCACCCAGATTCATAAAACAAGTTCTTAGAGACCTACAAGGAGACTTAAACTGCCACACAATAGTGGTGGGAGACTTTAACACCCCACTGTCAATACTGGACAGATCAACAAGACAGAAAATTAACAAGGATATTCAAGACTTGAACTCAGCTCTGGATTAAGCGGAACTGATGGATATCTACAGAACTCTCCACCCCCAGACAACAGATTATATATTCTTCTCAGTGCCATATGGCACTTCCTCTAAAATAGACCACATAATTGGAAATACAACATTCCTCAGCAAATGCAAAAGAATTGAAATAATAACAAATAGTCTCTCAGACCACATTACAATCAAATTAGAACTCGAGATTTAAAAACTCACTCAAAACCACACAACTATATGGAAATTGAACAACTTGCTCCGGAATGACTCCTGGGTAAATAATGAAATTAAGGCAGAAATCAAAAACTTCTTTAAAACCAGTGAGAACAAAGAGACAATGTACCAGAATTTCTGGAATGCAGCTAAAGCAGTACTAAGAGGGAAATTTATAACACTAAATGCCCACATTGGAAAGCTAGAAAGATTTCAAATCAAAACCCTAGCATCACAATTAAAACAACTAGAGAAGCAAGAGCAAACAAATCTACAAGCTAGCGGAAGGCAAGAAATAACTAAGACCAGAGCAGAACTGAAGGAGATAGAGACACAAAAAACCCTTAAAAAAAAAAATCAATGAATCCAGGAGCTGGTTTTTTGAAAAAATTGATAAAATAGATAGACTGCTAACTAGACTAATAAGAAAAGAGAGAAGAATCAAATAGATGAAAAATGATAAAGGGGATATCACCACTGACCCACGGAAATACAAACTACCATCAGAGAGTACTATAAACACTTCCAGGCAAATAAGCTAGAAAATCTAAAGAAATGGATAAATTCCTGGACACGTACACCCTCCCAACACTCAACCAGGAAGAAGTTCAATCCTTGAATAGACCAATAACAAGTTCTGAAATTGAGGCAGTAATAGCTTACCAACCAAAAAAAGCCCAGGACCAGATAGATTCACAGCTAAATTCTACCAGAGGTACAAAGAGGAGCTGATACCATTCCTTCTGAAACTATTACAAACAATTGAAAAGGAGGGACTCCTCCCTAACTCATTTTTTGAGCCAGCATCATCCTGATACCAAAACTTGGCAGAAACACAACAACAAAAAAAGAAAACTTCAGGCCAATATCCCTGATGAACATTGATGCAAAAATCCTCAATAAAATACTGGCAAACTGAACCCAGCAGCACATCAAAAAGCTTATCCACCAATCAACTTGGCTTCATCCCTGTGATGCAAGGCTGGTTCAGCATATGCAAATCAATAAGCATAATCCATCACATAAACTGAACCAATGACAAAAACCACATGATTATTTCAATAGATGCAGAAAAGGCCTTCAATAAAATTCAACATCCCTTCATGTTAAAAACTCTCAATGAACTAGGCATTGATGGAACATATCTCAAAATAATAAGAGCTATTTATGACAAACCCATGGCCAATATTATACTGAATGGGCAAAAGCTGGAAGTATTCCCTTTGAAAACTGGCATAAGACAAGGATGCCCTCTCTCACCACTCCTATTCAACATAGTATTGGAAGTGCTGACCAGGGCAATAAGGCTAGAGAAAGAAATAAAGTGTATTCAAATAGGAAGAGAGGAAGCCAAATTGTCTCTGTTTGCAGATGACATGATCCTATATTTAGAAAACCCCATGGTCTCAGCCCAAAAACTCCTTTAGCTGATAAACAACTTCAGCAAAGTCTGGGAAACAAAATCAATGTGCAAAAATCACAAGCATTCCTATACACCAACAATAGACGAGCAGAGAGCCAAATCATGAATGAACTACCATTCACAACTGCTACAAAGAAAATAAAATACATAGGAATACAGCTAACAAGGGGCATGAAGGGCCTCTTCAAGGAGAACTACAAACCACTGTTCAAAGAAATAAGAGAGGACATAAACGAATGGAAGAACATTCCATGCTCACAGATAGGAACACTCAATATCGTGAAAATGCCCATACTGCCCAAAGTAATTTATAGATTCAATGTTATTCCCATCAAACTACTGTTGACTTTCTTCACAGAATTAGAAAAAACTACTTTAAATTTCATATGGAACTAAAAAAGAGCCCATATAGCTAAGACAATCCTAACCAAAAAGAATAAAGCTGGAGGCATCATGCTACCTGACTTCAAACTATACTACAGGGCTACAGTAACCAAAACAGCATGGTACTGGTATCAAAACAGACATATAGACCAACGGAACAGAACACAGACCTCCATTAAACAGAGAAATAAGTCCACACATCTACAACTATCTGATCTTCAACAAACCTGACAAAAACCAGCAATGGGGAAAGGATTCCCTATATAAATGGTGCTGGGAAAACTGGCTAGCCATATGCAGAAAACTGAAACCGGACTCCTTCCTTAGACCTTATTCAAAAATTAGCTCAAGGTGGATTTAAGACTTAAATGTAAAACCAAAAAACATAAAAACCCTAGAAGAAAACCTAGGCAATACCATTCAGGACATAGGCATGGGCAAAGACTTCACGACAAAAACACCAAAAGCAACTGCAACAAAAGCCAAAGTTGACAAATGGGATCTAATTAAACTAAAGGGCTTCTGCACAGCCAAAGAAATTAGCATCAAAGTGAACAGGCAACCTACAGAATGGGAGAAAATTTTTGCAATCTACCCATCTGACAAAGGGCTAATATCCAGAATCTACAAGGTATTTAAACAAATTTACAAGAAAAAAAAACATCAAAAAGTGGGCAAAGGATATGAACAGACACTTCTCAAAAGAAGACATTTATGCAGCCAATAAACATATGAAAAAAGGCTCATAATCACTGATCTTTAGTGAAATGCAAATCAAAACCATGATGAGATATCATCTCACGAGAGTCGGAATGGCGAGTATTAAAAAGGAAACAATAGACGCTGACAAGGCTGTGGACAATTAGGAACACTTTTTTTTTTTTTTTTTTTTGACATGGAGTCTTGCTCTGTAACCAGGCTGGAGTGCAGTAGCATGATCTTGGCTCACTGCAACCTCCACCTCCAGGGTTCAAGCGATTCTCCTACCTCAGCCTCCTGAGTAGCTGGGACTACAGGCACGCATCACCACGCCCAGCTAATTTTTTTGTATTTTTAGTAGAGACGGGGTTTCACCATGTTGGCCAGGATGGTCTCAACCTCCTGACCTCATGATTCGCCCACCTTGGCCTCCCAAAGTGCTGGGATTACAGGCATGAGCCACCGCGCCCAGCCAGGAATGCTTTTACACTGTTGGTGGGCATGTAAATTAGTTCAACCATTGTGGAAAACAGTGTGGCAATTCCTCAAGGATCTAGAACCAGAAATACCATTTGACCCAGTAATCCCATTACTGGGTATATACCCAAAGGAATATAAATCATTCCACTCTAAAGACACATGCACACATGTGCTTACTGCAGCACTATTTACAATAGCAAAGACATGGAACCAACCCAAATGTCAATCAATAATAGACTGGATAAAGAAAATGTGGTACATATACACCATGGAATACTATGCAGCCATAAAAAAGAATGAGATCATGTCCTTTGCAGGGACATAAATGAAGCTGGAAGCCATCATCCTCAGCAAACTAACGCAGGAATAGAAAACCAAACACTGCATGTTCTCACTCATAAGTAGGAGTTGAACAATGAGAACACATGGACACAGGCAGGGGAACAACATACACAGGGGCCTGTCCAGGGGTGGAGGGCAAGGGGAGAGACAGCATTAGGACAAATCCCTAATGCATGCAACGCCTAAAACCTAGATGACGGGTTGACAGATGCAGCAAACCACCATGGCACATGTATGCCTATGTAACAAACCTGCACATTCTGCACATGTATCCCGGAACTCAAAGTAAAATTTAAAAAAAAAGAAAGAAAAAAAGAAAAGAAAACTACAAAAAAACAAACAAACAAAAAACACACATCTGGGCCAGACGCGGTGGCTCACGCCTGTAATCCCAGCACCTTGGGAGGCTGAGGTGGGTGGATCACCCGAGGTCAGCAGTTCAAGACCATCCTGGCCAACATGATGAAACCCCATCTCTACTAAAAATACAAAAAATTAGCCAGGTGTGGTGGCGGGCGCCTGTAATCCCAGCTACTTGGGAGGCTGAGGCAGGAGAATCACTTGAACCTGAGAGGCGGAGTTTGCAGTGAGCTGAGATCGAGCCACTGCACTCCAGTCTGGGCGACAGAGCAAGACTCTGTGTGAAAAAAACAAACAAACACAAAAACCCCAAAAAACACACATGTGTACTGAACATGTAAAAAACAAAAAGAACCATATATGAAACAGGGCAAGAGGAATCAGATGATAAGTATAATTTTTATATAAGGAAAATTATATAATGAAGAATTCTTGGGATATGAACCCCATTGAGATTCTGTAAACTGTCTATTATTTAAGTGGGTTACATAATAGAAATCACATTGCAACACACAGTCTTACCTTGGATCTACAGAAAACGGCTTAGCTCAGTGTTTTTAAACTGAAGGTCATAAACCTTGGTGAGTCATGAAATCAATTTAGTTACTCTAAGCAACCCTTGAATAAAGAAATAGAAACAGGGTAGAATAAAATAAATGGAAAATACTAGATGCACACCTCCCATGGTAAAAACTGTACTGGAAACTTTTGTTCCTGTTTTATATATGTGTATATGTTATGTACACATGTGCTGGTCCATGATGGAAAGTGTGTTTCTTACTGGGAGCATGCCAATGGCCTAGCTGATGTAGTCATGTAAAACAAGTGCTTAGTGCTTACTTATAAATGGCCGAGATCCCTTGAAAAGTTTCTATATGCTTAAACCAAGAACATTGTGAATAAGGAATGATTTTTCCAAGTAACTGTGTAAGTTGCTCAATATAGACAGATCTCTGGGCCATGTCTCAAAAGCATTTTGAAAATCGTTTCCTGTCATCACCCTCCAAAATTGATAAATGTACTAAGTATAATTAAAAGACAATAGGCAAAATGTAAAATGGTTCAGTCACTGTGGAAAACAATTTGAGTTTCTCAAAAACTTAAACACAGAATTACCACATGACCCTGCAATTCCACTCTTAGGTATATATTCCAAAGAAATGAAAGCAGGGACACAAACAAGAACATAGTTCACCCATGTTCATAGCAGAACTATTCACAAGAGGCAAAACAGGGGAACAGCCCAAATGTCTATCAGTAGATGAATGAATAAACCAACTGTGATGTATACAAACAATGGAATATCATTCAGCCATAAAAAGAACAAAGTGCCAATACATGCTGCAAGGTATATGACCCTCCAAGACATAAGTGAAAGAAGTCAGACATAAAAGGTCGCATTGTATGATTCCATGTCTATGAAATATCCAGAATGGCTGGGTGCGGAGACTTAAACGTCTGTAATCCCAGCACATTGGGAGGCTGAGGCAGGTGGATCACTCGAGCCCAGGAGTTCAAGACCAGCATGGGCAACATGGTGAAACCCCATGTATACTAAAAATACAAAAAAATTAGCTAGCCATGGTGACACACGCCTGTAGTACCAGCTACTTGGGAGGCTGAGGTGGGAGGATCACTTGAGCCCAGGTGGTCGAGGCTGCAGTGAGCTGTGACCGTGCCACTGCACTCCAGTCTGGGTGACAGGGCAAGACTGTCTCAAATAAGCAAACAAACAAACAGACAAAAAATGAAAGACTAGACCAACTGTGGTAGCTCATTCCTGTAATCTCAGCACTTTAGGAGGCTGAGGCAGGAGGACTGCTTCAGCCTAGGAGTTCCAGACCAGTCTGGGCAACATAGTGAGACCCCACCTCTACAAAAAAAATAAAAAATTAGCCAGGTGTGGGTAGCACACACCTGTAATCTCAGCTACTTGGGGGACTGAGGCAGGAGGATCACTTGAGCCTAGGAGGTCAAAACTGCAATGAGCTGTGATCATGCCACTGCACTCCAGTCTAGGTGACAGAGCAAGATGCTGTCTTTAAATTAATTAATTAATAAAGTAAGTAAATAAGTAAAAGACTATAGGCAGATATAAGTACTAGTAATACAAATACCCAGAATCTGGAAGGCAAATCTTTCTCAGCATATTAGAAACTAAATAAAAAAGAGTATCTTTATTTTTTCTTAAAATTAAAAAAAAATATGGTCATATAGAGAGTAAATAATCCTTAAAACCAAAGGCTAAATGGAAAAATGAACTGTAGATAATTCTGAGCAACACCTCTGAGAGAAAACTGGCATATGCTTTTCTAGAAACATCTTTAAAAAATCAAATTCAGGCTAGGTGTGGTGGCTCATGCCTGTAATCCCAGCATTTTGGGAGGCCAACACAGGAGGACTGCTTGAGGCCAGGAGTTCAAGACCAGCCTGGGCAACATGGCAAGACCCCCCCTCTCTAAAAAAAATAAAATAAAACAAAATTAAAAATTAGCCATTATAGTGCCATTGTACTTCAGCCTGGGTGACAGGGCAAGACCCTGTCTCAAAAAAAAAAAAAATCAAATTCAGCAAGAGAGGAAACACTATTCTTAAATATAAAGGAGAAAATAAGGAAGAAAACAAAAACTTCTGAACAGAATTTTGGACTTGAAGGATGGGGAGAACAAACCAGGTTTCGTTTAATTTACACATCTTCTCCTTAAGAAGAAAAAAATGTAAAAAAGGTGTGTGGGAAGATAATGTGAATCAACTACCTTCCTCTTCCCTGGGTGAAAGTTTTTATTGCTGCTCTTACAGTATGTATCTGTGTTGGTAGAGAGTTCACCACAGGTGTCGGGTGCAGACTGGCCAACCCCTTGGGGGGTATGCTATGAAGATGGATGGCTGTCTAGACTAGATCAATGTTTTTCAAACTGAATAACAGAGCCCTAAGGGTCCTCTTGGCTGCTAGAGTAAGTGAAGAGAGGTGAGAGGGAAAAGGAAGTGGTGCTGTTGATGCTCCAGGCCTCTATGCCTAATTCATTCAGGTCAGGTTTGCTTTTATCTTTTAAATCCTAGGATTCCATGTTAAAGCTTCACTTGAAAATAGTTCTGTTGCTAAAGAAAATTATAAAAACCACTGGACTGGATCAAGGGTTCCCAAACCTGGCTCCTCAACAGAATAACTAAAAGAGCCTTTTCAAGTTAGAAATTCCTGGGCCATACCTCTAGACCTACTGAAATAGTAACTCCCAGAAGGATTCTTGTGCAGCCAGCCCAAAGCTAGCCCGTGTGTTTGAGGAGTGCTGGACCAGATGATCCTTGCTTTCCTGAGTCTATGACAAAACAGAACTTAAATCAGTAGGCAAGAATCTCAGGCAAGAGAGCAGGTGGTAGCAGATGGAAAAAGAGAATATAGATAGCTAAATCACTAGGGTCTAATGAAGAAAACAAAAAAAATTGATAAATGAGGAGCTTGCCTAAGATCAGAAGTTGCTCTGGAGATTTAATTGCCTGGCAAAGGGCCCATTTTATCTCATAGCCTGTGATAACTATCCATATTGGTGATGGTAGTGAAAATGGTTTAATGGAGCAGCTGTCCAAAAAAGTATAATGTGAACTACATACGTAGTTTTAAAATTTCTAGTAGCCATGGTAAGGAAAAATGAAAATAAAGAGGTGAAACCAATTTTAAAAATATATTTTATTTAGGCCAGGCACAGTGGCTCACGCCTGTAATCCCAGTACTTTGGGAGTCCGAGGTAGGCAGTTCACCTGAGGTCAGGAGTGCGAGACCGGCCTGGCCAACACAGCGAAACCTTGTCTCTACAAAAAATACAAAAATTAGCTGGGCGTGGTGGCAATATGGAAGGGAAGAGTGTGGTCCCTTTAAATGATACAGAAGCGGGGAAGGGAAGCGCTACTTAGAGGAGGACGTGGTCCCTGGCTAGGGCTCCACCCACATGAACCTAGGTGAGGACAGGCATTTCCTGCCCAAATGTTGTATTTTCCCAAGACCGCCCTGGCCTGCCACGCCCCGATCCTATGCCTATAAACAATCCCCTCCCCCCAGACCCCAGCAGGCAGACACACAGGTGGCTGGACATGGCGAGAAGCACATCAGGAGGCACCAGCACACCAGCAGGCCACCCACCAGCAGAACGACATTTGGCTAGGGCAGCCAGAGGAGAGCCCAGTCCACCTAGCGGTCCGACTCCAGGGGAAAACCATCTCCCTTCTGACTCCCCAATCTGCTGAGAGCTACTTCCACTCAGTAAAACCTTGCACTCATTCTCCAAGCTCATAAGTGATCCGATTCTTCCCATACACCAAGGCAAGAACCCTGGGATACAGAAATCTGTCTTTACGATAAGGCAGGGGTATAACTGAGCTAACACAAGCTGCCTATGCATGGCTAAACTAAAAGAGCACCCTGTAACACGCGCTCACTGGGACTTCAGGAGCTGTAAACACTCACCCCTATACACTGTCATGGGGTAGGAGCCCCACAGCCTGCCCATCTGTATGCTCCCCTAGAGGTCTGAGCAGCGGGGCACTGAAGAAGTGAGCCACACCCCCATCGCACATCCAGCGAGGGGGACATAGGAGCTTTTTCCCTTTCAGTGGTGCATGTTTATAATCCCAGATACTCAGGAGGCTGAGGCAGGAGAATTGCTTGAACCTGGGAGGCAGAGGTTGCAGTGAGCTGAGATTGAATCACTGCACTCCAGCCAGGGCGACAGAGCGAGACTCTGTCTTATTTAAAAAAAATTAAAAAAAAAATTTTTTTTTAAATATATATATGTATGTATGTGCATATATATATAATTTAATTGCATATATCCAAATTTTCATTCACTTTTAACATATAATTCAATATAAAAATTGAGATTGTTTACCTTATTTTTTGTACTAAGTTTTTAAAATTTTACAGTACATCTCAATTCAGCCCAGTTATTAATATATTTCAAGTGCTGAATAACCACCTGTGGCTAGTGACTACCATATTGTATAGTGTAGAACTAATTAATTAAAAAATCAATGTATTCCCTTTCAAAATTGAGATTCGGTTGCAATAAAAACATAAAAAGCCCATGAATCACCTTCCTAGCCCCAGAGATGCTGTTCCAGAGGCTAGTCTGATAACAATTTTGTCTGCAGATATCATGCCCAACTTGACTTCTTCAGCTCTGACCACTCTCCCTCTTCCCAGCAGCAGTGTCTGCGTGCTGGACATTTACACCTGAATGTCCTGCTCACAAAGCCTATTATTCAAAATGTCTAAAACCAAATTAACCATCTTTCTTCCAAAATAAAACAAATACATTTACCTCTTGATTTTCCTATTTCTATCAGTTACTTAAGATCAAAACTTCAGAGTCAACTTCTTCCTTTTTCTTTACTCTGCACAAGCACCAAATTCTGTTTATTCTTCTGTCACGATCTCTTGCTCACTGGCCCTTTTCTGCTTCTAATTCTTCCTGCTGATCAGTCTAGCATGGTGTTACCAAATATATACACTTAATACACTAAATATAATGTCATTTATTTATCTTCAGTGGCTCTATAATGCCTTATACTTCAGCTATGAATTCAGGACCATGCACATCTTAAACCTACCCCCCATCTGGCCTATGTCATTCCAACCTTATCTTTCACCAATCTCCTAGAAAAGCCTTTCTTAAGGCAAACTATCCTATCCTCTATCTCATGAAAATGCCTTATATTTCCTCATCTCAGTGCTTTATGATTTTCTATCCACCTAGAATGCCCTTATTTCAGTTTACCTATTCAAAGCATTAATTCAACAATATTTGTGTGTCAGGCATTGTGCTATGTACTGCAGGCAATATAAATACAGGCATATCTTGTATAATTATGCTTTGCTTGATCACACTTCACAGCTATTGCATTTTTTACAAATTGAAGGTTTGTGGCAACCCTGCATTGAGCAAGTCTATTGGCACCATTTCTCCAACAGCATGTGCTCATTTCATGTCTCTGTTACATTTTGGTAATTCTTGCAATATTTCAAACTATTTCATTATTATTATATCTGTTATGAGCTGTGATCAGTGATCTTTGATGTTACTATTGTAATTGTTTTAGAGTACCATGAACCATATCCATATAAAACAGCTAATTTAATTGATAAATGTTATGTGTGTTCTGACTGCTCCACTGACCTGGCTTTCCCTGTCTATTTCCCTCTCCTCAGGTTCCCCTACTCCCTGAGACAAAACAATAATGAAATGAGGCCAGTTGATTACCCTACAATGGCCTCTACGTGTTCAAATGAAAGGAATAGTTATATATATCTCATTTTAAATCAAAAGCTAGAAAAGATTAAGCTTAGTGAGGAAGGCCTTTTGCAAGCTGAGATAGGACAAAACCTAGGCCTCTAGCACTAGTCAACTTGTGAAATGCAAAGGAAAAGTTCTTAAAGGAAATTAAAGATGCTACTCCAGGTTGAGTGCTATGGCTCACACCTGTAATCCCAGCACTTTGGGAGGCTGAGTTGGAAAGATCACTTGAGCTCAGGAGTTCAAGGCCAGCCTGGGCAACATGGTGAAACCCCATCTCTACAAAAAATACAAAAATTAGCCAGGCATGGCAGTGAATGCCTATAGTCCCAGCTACTTGGGAGGCTGAGGCCAGAGAATCACTTGACCCAGGTGAAGGTTCAGTGAACCGTGACCACACCACTGCACTCCAGCTTGGGTGACAGAGTCTCCCTGTCTCACAAAAAAAAAAAAAAAAAAAAAAAAAAAAATGCTGCTCCAGTGAATACATGAATGAAAAGAAAGTGAAATAGCATTACTGATATGGAGAAAGGTTTAGTGGTCTGCATAAAAGATAAAACCAGCCACAATATTCCCATAAGCCAAAGCCTAATCCAGAGCAAGGCCCTAACTTTCTTTGACTCTATGAAGGCTCACAGAGATGAGGTAGCTGCAGAAGAAAAGTGAAGCTAGTGGAGGTTGGTTCATGAGGTTTAAGGAAAGAAGACATCTCCATAGCATAAAAGTACAAAGCAAAGCAGTAAGTGCTGATGGAGAAGCTGTAGCATCGAGTTATCCAGAAGATCCAGCTAAGATCACTGATGAAGGTGGTTACACTAAAAAACAAACTTTCAATGTAAATAAAACAGCTTTCTATTGGAAGAAGATGTCATCTAAGACTTTCATAGCCAGAAAGGAGAAGTCAATGCCTGGCTTCAAAGCTTCAAAGGACAGGCTGACTCTCCTGTTAAGGGCTAAGGCAGTTGGTGACTTTAAGTTGAAGCCAGTGCTTATTTACTATTCCCAAAATCCTAGGGCCCTTAAAAATTATACTGAATCTACTCTGCCTATACTCTATAAATGAAACAACAAAGCCTGGATGACAACACATCTGTTTATAGCATGGTTTACTGAATGTTTTAAGCCCACTGTGGAGACCTAATGCTCAGAAAAAAGAATTCCTTGCAAAATACTACTGCTCACTGACAATATACCTTGTCACTCCAGAGTTCTGATGGAAATGTACAAGGATATTAATGTTGCTTTCATGCCAACTAACACAATATCCATTCTGCAGCCCTTGGATCAAGAAGTAATTTCAACTTTCAAGTCTTATTTAAGAACTACATTTCGTAAAGCTATAGCTGCCATAAATAGTAATTCCTCTAGTGGATCTGGGCAAAGTAAACTGAAAACACTCTGGAAAGGATTCACCAATCTACATGCCATTAAGAACATTTGTGATTCATGGGAGGAGGTCAAAATAATAACATCAATAGGAGTTTGGAAGAAGTTGATTCTAATGGATGATAAGGGGTTCAAGACTTCAGTGGAAAAAGTAACGGCAGATATGGTGGAAACAGCAAGAGAACTAGAATTAAAAGTGGGGCCTAAAGATTTAGTCTGAATTGCTGCAATCTCATGATAAAACTTGAACAGATGAGGAGTTCCTTTGTAGGGATGAGCAAAGAAAGTAGTTTCTTGAGATGGAATCTACTTGGGGTGAAGACAGTGTGAACACTGTGGAAATCACAACAAAGAATTTAGACATAATTTAGACAACAAAGAATTTAGACATAATTTAGACAACAAAGAATTTAGACAAAATTCTAAATATTAAACAAAATATTTAGAATATTACATACACTTAGTTGATAAAACAGTGGCAGGATCTGTGAGGACTGACTGATTTTGAAAGTTCTACTGTAGGTAAAATGCTATCAAACAGCATCACATGCTACAGAGAAATCTTTCATGAAAGGGAGAGTCAGTTGATGATGCAAACTCCATTGTTGTCTTATTTTAAGAAACTGCCACAGCCACTCCAACCACCACCCTGATCAGTCAGCAGCCATCAACACTGAGGTAAGACCCTCTGCCAACAAAAAGATTATGACTCACTGAAGGCTCAGATGACTGTTAGCATTTTTTAGCAAGAAATTACTTTTTAATTAGGTTTGTACACTGTTTTCTTAGACATAATGCTATTGTACACTTAAGAGACTACAGTATAGTGTAAACATAACTTTTATATGCACTGGGAAACCAAAAAAATTGTGTGACTCACTTTATTGCAATATTTGCTTTACTGCAGTGGTCTCAACCAAACCTACAACATTTCTGAGGTGTGCCTGTAATCGTAATCTCAGTTTCCCTCACTTTAAGAAATCTTTCTGACTATGCCCAAACAGAAGTGTTTTTGCATTACTGAGTTGTTCTCATATGGCATATAGTCTGTAACACTCATTGAGCCCTCACAATTTACTGCCTTGTAGGGGTAATTATCAGCTTTTTCTGTAAATATCTATCTTTCCAAATAGGGTGGATTCCCTGAAAGCATAGACGAGAATCATACCAATATGATCTCCCTGGTGCTCAGTAAGACACAGGTACTGATCTGCATTTGCTGGATGACAAGTATGAAAAAGAGGGAAGGAACTGTGGAGCAGGAGGAGGGCCCCACCTAGGAAAGAATCCTCACCCCCACCCAGTGACAGCAGGCAAATCAGGATCAGAGGTAAGTAGGAAGGGCCTGCAAGAACTCCAAGGCTACTAAAAGCATATGGAAAGTTTCACTCTTCCAATTCCATTTGCAATGAAATTCAGAATCAGCAACACTTAAGTCAGGATCGGTTACCCTAGCTTTTGGACCTCTACAACATGAGTTAGGTCATCAGCTTTAAAAACCCTTTCTTAATTCTAAATGAAAATAATACCACTGGTGATATTTAAGAAACACACATAATATCAGATTTAAAAAGAAAACTCACCACATGTTGTGTTCAAAAACTTTGGCTGGGTCAGTTAAAATCCTTGATCCCAGAGGGGCCACTGGGTGGTAACCACTTTGGTATCTGTGTGGCACCTTTCCTAGCCTTAGACAAGAAATGGAATTTCTCCAAATCATATTCATCCTAAGCAGTACCTAAAAAGTTACAAATGATTAATTAGTCAACATAGATTAAACAGTGTATTGTTTATCTAATACCCAAAACCTGGTTCTAAAGGTTTTCAATCTGAGAATGCACATGAAAACTAGAAACTTTTTAATGAAAGATGAGCATAACAGCTTCTCTCCTGAAGTATATTCAGGCCAAGAGATGGGAGAGAAATATTTAGGGTGGGCAACACTGGCTGGCATTTTTTTGAAGCCATAGCCTTGACCAACTTTGCTTTGTTCGATATTTTATTTGCTTATTTAATTTTTAGCACATGATCAAAGCATGTCTGAATTTGTGTACTAAAGACAGATTTTTTTTAAAGTAATTTTATTTTTTGGGGGGTAATTCTAGGAAAATATATTTCTAGGAAATATTTTGTGACCACTAGACAAAAATCCCAAGTATGGCAGAAGAATAAGAAAACAAACCTGTAACTCTCATTCTCCGTGCTGAACTGAATAATATGAAAATCAGTCAAATAAATAAATATTAAGACAGAATCTTAGCAATTATTAATTCTAACAATCCTGTATACATATATTTTTAAGAATAGTCAGTAATATGGATGCAAAATAGATTTTCCTGAACAAAATGCATGCTTTGCCAGGCATGGTGGCTCATGCCTGTAATCCCAGCACTTTGGCAGGCCGAGGCAGGTGGGTCACTTGAGGTCAGGAGTTCGAGACCAGCCTGGCCAACATAGGAAAACCCCATCTTTACTAAAAATACAAAAAAAAAAAAAATTATCCAGGAGTGATGTGAATTCCTGTAATCCCAGCTACTTGGAGGCTGAGGCAAGAGAATCGCTTGAACCCAGGAGGCGGAGATTGCAGTGAGCCGAGATTGTGTCATTGCACTCCCGCCTGGGCAACAGAATAAGACTCTGTCTCAAAACAAACAAAACAAAACAAAAATGCATGCTTAAGGCCAGCTGCAGTGGCTCATGCCTATAATCCCAACATTTTGGGAGGCCAAGGTGAGAGAGTTACTTGAGTCCAAGAGTTAGAGACCAGCCTGGGCAACATAGTGAGACCGTTTCTTCAAAAAATAAAAAAAAATTAGGGGTGATGGTGCACATCTGTGGTTCCAGCTACACGAGAGGCCAAGCCTAGAGGCTGAAGCTGTAGTGAGCCATGATCATGCCACTGCATTCCAGCCTGGGTCATAGAGCAAGACTCTGTCTTATAAAAAAGCAAAAAAAAAAAAAAAAAAGCATGCTTATACCCTAGCTCAAGAGGAGAATCATCTGCTGATTAGCCCAAATCCATCTCCATTTCTGGAAGAATAACAAGCATTTAAAGAGTATGTCATCTTAATTATGTACTTGTAAATATGTCACTTTAAAATCTTTATGGAAAAGTATTAAAAAGAAGCTCTAAGGTGCTTACTTTTTCCAATAAGAAACCATTGTAATACTGCTTGACATTTCAGTTGTTCATCACAACATTCAGCCTAATGCTGTCAGCTGTCAGGTGGAAACAGATGCTAAAAGGTGTGTGTATGTAATATGCATCACAGATCATTGGAGGTGCTATTAGGCGTAAAAATGCCATATACTGTGCACTCTTTACCACCCTACTGAAAATGAATAGGTTTAAGACTGTGAATTCCAAAATGAACTGCAGAATGTCAAAAACAGCTCTTTGTACTTTTAAACATAAAATTCAAGATTTTCCTTTTGGAAAAAAAAAGTGGGGGCATAGTTATACATACCAACAAGACTGTAATGGTTCCATTCAAATGTGACTTAACAGTGATAAGAAATGAAACCTTCAACAGCAAGTGCAGATGCTCCTGTTTCTTATTTGTTTTCCTTCTCCAGTAAATGCAAGCTCTTTGGTGGAGGCAAATGAAATGAAATGCTCCACCTACCACCACCTTTACCCTGATGTGCCTTTGTTCTTTTTGCCTGCCAATGTTCCACATAAGACTATCAGTGTTCTATAAAACCCTACCTGCAAAATTATTTTTAGAGCTCTTTCTGCAGTGAATAGTATTCATAAAATCTTTTGTATGCTGAAGAGTAGAAATTGATTACACCTAGAAAGAGAGGCAATTCATGCTCAAAAGTATAAAATGATGTAAATGTTTCCTACCCAGGAAAGGCAAATCAAAATGGAATTTCAATCCTTTAAATAATCACGTGATACTTATCTATACTCATCTATATATAGAAGAGGGAAAAAAAAAAAGTAAGAGTTTCTCTCACTATAAATGACCAAGAGCCTCTGTAGACAGAGACAAAAAGATACAACCAGATTGGATTATTAGGCAATTCAGGAAAATGTCAGAGAAATGTGAATCTTGCAGGCTGCTAGTCTGTGGAGAAAGCATGGTGTGGCCAGGGTCTAAATATGTGGCAATTTCCCTACTTAGGCAGCTGTTTCTTTAATTAACCACACAAACATCTTTATTTCACTTGCTTATCTATAACAGTTATGCACAGCCTTGCATTGCTATTTATCTTATTACATAAATATATAACAACTGTATATAGGAGATAATATAAATACATAATAAAATTATATAAATGCCTTCTTACTTAAATTGCAAGCTTCTAGAGGCAGCACCAGGCTGCTCATGAATTGTTTGACTGATTACATAAAAATGGTATTTGTCTGACATAAATCTAATTGGATGGAAGTTACTTCATATTTTCCAGGGTGGATCCTAATTAAGATCCTTGCAGTGCGAAGGAAGTGATAGAAGAATGTGACAATGTACAGGTAGCTATCCAATTAAATTAACTACGATGATTAACAAATATGTGCTTTGTATTATTACTACCACGTTAGCCTAAGGTTTGCTGGTCATGGTTCAATTTTGTGGGAAAAGAAGGGCAGGGCCAGCCCCAAATAAAATTGTGGTAGAAAAAGTAGGTTTCTGCCACCAGAATGACCCAATCCCTTTATGTACCTTCTCTTAGCTCTCTTTTGGCATACTCTAATTTGAATACCAGTTTAACTCAGATAATTGCACAACAAAACTGTGTGAATAAGTAGTATTTTTATTTGAAACAACACAAAGAGGTACAGTTTAAAATATTCCATTCATCCAAAAGAAGGCAAGAAAGGAAGAACAGAGGAATGAAAAACAAATAGGACAAATAGAAAACAAATACCAAGATAGCATATGTAAACCCAACCATATCAATACTTACAATAAATATAAATGGGCTCCAATTAAAAAGCAGATTATTAACTTGGATTAAAAAAAGTAAGACCCAGCAATATACTGTTTATAAGGCAAGCACTTTAAATATAAAGAAACAAATAGATTAACGTAAAAAAAGGTATACTATGCAAACACTGCATAAGAAAGCTGGTGGGGCTATATTAATAGACAAAGTAGACTTCAATGAAAAGACTATTATAGAGATAAAGAGGGGCATTTAATAATGATAATAAGCCAATTCATCAAGACAACATAGCAGTCTTAACTATGCATGTACCTAATAACAAAGCTGTAAAATAAATAAAGCAAAAAGACAGAACTTTCTAAAAGGAGAACTTAACAAATTCACAGTAATACTTGGAGATTTTAACAACCCTTTTCCAGTAATAAATAGAAAAATAACCAGCGACAAGCTATCTAAAAATCAAAAAGGATAAAGAAGATTTGAACATTATTAACTTGACCTAGATGACATTTATAGAAAGAACATCATACAGCAATAGCAAGAATACACATTCTTTTCAAATGAACATGGAACATTCACCAAGGTAGACCATACGCTGGGCTATAAAACAAGTCTCAATAAATAGATAAATTTGGCTGGCCAGGCACAGTGGCTCATGCCTGTAATACCAGCACTTTGGGAGTCCGAGGCGGGCAGATCACCTGAGGTCAGGAGTTTGAGACCAGCCTGGCCAACATGGTGAAACCCCATCTCTACTAAAAATCCAAAAAAAAATTAGCTGGGTATGGTGGCGGGTGCCTATAATCAGCTGAGGCACAAGAATCACTTGAACCCAGGAGGCGGAGGTTGCAGTGAGCCGAGATTGTGCCACTGCACTCCAGCCTGGGTGACAGAGTGGGACTCTGTCTCAATGAATAAATAAATAAATAAATAAATAAATAAAAATAAATCCCAAAGTATTAAAATCATACAGAGTGTGCTTTTTGACTATAATAATATTAAATGTTAATATTTTGATGAATTAACTTGTATTAATAAATGTCCCTTCTTATCTCTGGTAACAGTCATTTTCTTGAGGTCTACTTTGTCTGATATTAATACAGCCCTACCAATTGTCTAATGTAATGTCATGTATGGCATGCTGTGTATCTTTTAAAAAAATTTTAGTCTATTTGTGTGCTTTTCTAATAGGCAGTGCTTTTCTAATAGGCAGCATATTGTCAATCCTTGCTTTTGTATCCAAATTCAAAATAATAATAAGATAGCTACAAAAATTTCCAAATGTTAAGGAATTAAGCAACACAGCTATAAATAACCTATGAGTAAAAGAACAAATCTGAAGAGAAATTAGAAAATATGTTGAACTGAATGATAACAAAATCTGAAAATATCAAAATGTATGGGATGCAACTAAAGCAGTGTATAGAGAGAAATTTATAGTTTTACATATTTTTATTACAAAAGAGAAAGATGTCAAATCAATAATCTCAGCTTCTATCTTTTTTTTTTTTTCTTTTTTGAGACAAGGTCTTGTTCTATCACCCAGACTAGAGTGCAATGGCACGATCATAGCTCATAGGCCTGCTTTGGCCTCCCAAGTAGCTGGTACTACAGGCATGTACCACCACACCTGGCTACTTTTTTTTTTTTTTTAAGAGAGGGTCTCCCTATGTTGCCCAGGCTAGTCTTGAACTCCTAGGCTCAAGGGATCCTCCCACCTCAGCCTCCCAAAGTGCTGGGATTACAGGCATCAGCCATCTTGCCTGGCCTCAGCTTCTATCTTCACAAGCTAGAAAAATAAGAATAAATTAGACCCAAAGTAAGTAGAAAGAAGGAAATAATAAAAAATAAAAACAGAAAGCAATGAAATAGAAAACAGGGCCAGGCATGGTAGTTCACGTCTGTAATCTCAGAGCTTTGGGAGGGAGGTCAAGGTGGGCAGATGGCTTGAGGCCAAGACTTTGAGACTAGCCTAGGCAAAATAGTGAGACCCTGTCTCTAAAAAAAAAAAAAAAAAAAAAAAAAAACAACATCAACAACAACAAAAAACTTCAAACAAACAAAATTAGCCAGTGCCTGTAGTCCCAGCTACTTGGGAGGCCAACGAGGGAGGATCACTTGAGTTCAGGAGTTCAAGGCTGCAGTGAACTATGATCATGCTATTGCACTGCATTCTGGGCGACAGAGCAAAACCCTGCCTCAAAAAAAAAAAAAAAAAAAAAAGAGAGAGAGAGAGGGAAGGAGGGAAAATGAGCAAAGCAGGGAAAAATCAAAGTCAAAAGTTAGTTCTTTGGAAAGATTAATAAAACTGATAAACTTCTGGCAAGACTGATATCAAACATGTGTTTCACAAAACACAAACTTCCAATAATAGGAATGAAAAATGAGATATCACCACAGACCTTACAGACATTGAAAAGCTAATACTGGGATATTATGGACAATTTTATTGCATTCATTAGATGGGACAAAGTCCTTGAAAACCATAACTTACCAATAATAACAAAATAACACAAGAGAAAATCTGAATAGCCCTAAATTTATTAATTACATTTGTAATTAAAATCAAAACAAACAGCACACCTAATAGGATGGCTGGTATTTAAAAACAGCAACAACAACCCAGAATATAACAAGTATTGGTGAGGATGTGGAGAAATTAGGAAATTGGAGCCCTTATTCATTGCTATTGGAACATAAAATGATACAGCAGCTATGAAAAAACATTATGGTGAATCCTCAGAAATTAAACATACAATTACCATATGATTCAGCAATTCTACTTCTGGGTATATACCCAAAAGAAGTGAAAGCAGAGACCAAAGAGATATTTGTACACCCATATTCATAGCAACATCATTCACAATAGACAAAAGGTAGAAGCAACCCACGTGTCCATTGAAGATAAATGGATAAACAAAATGTGATACATACATACATATATATGTACAATGGAACATTATCCAGCCTTAAAAAGAAAGGAAATTTTGACACATGGTACAACCATGGATGAATCTTAAAGATATTATGCTAAGTGAAATAAGCTAGTCATAAAAGGATAGATATTGTATGATTCCTCTTATATGAGGTTCCTAGAGTAGTCAAACCGATAGAGACAGGAAGTGGAGTGGTGTTTGGCAGAGGTTGGGGAAGGGGGAATGGGGAATTAAGTTTTTAATGGATAGGGGAGGGGCGAGAGGAAACGGGGAGACGTAGATCAAAGGATACAAAGTTGCAGATATGTAGGATGAACACGTCTACAGATCTAATGTACAATACGAGGACTACAGTTAATAATATTGTATTATATTTGGGACTTTTGCTGAAAGAGTAGATTTCAGGTACACTTGCCACACATACACACAAAGGTAACTATGTGAGAAGATACAATTGTTAATCTGCTTGCCTATGGCAACCACTTCACTGTGTATATGTACATTAAAACATCTTCTTGTGTACCTTATATATACAATTAAAGAAGAGAAGCTAGATACCAAAAAAGTAAAAAATAAATAGATAAAGAGTTTCATTTAGGGAAGATGAAAAAGTTCTGGAAATGGATGAAGTATGAAGAAGGCAACAAAAATTTCCACAAATCCTGATAAGGTGTTTCAGTTTTTTAAAATTTACTATGTGAAAAATCTGAAAACGTGGTCCTGACCCTTCACTTAACTCAAATTAATGTCACATCAAAGGTATATATTGTACCAACTTTGCCCACAGGTTCCCATTTTCAGCTCACCATCCTATGAAGGTCCTTCCTCTTGAATCCTAAGAAGGCCAAAATGAAACAGAACAAGCAAGACTTTAGGGCCATGCCCCTATGAGATCTTAATGCCAAGGCTCAGTCATGAATAGGCAATGGTTAAAGCAATCACTAAGGAACAGACGAGAAAGGAAATGAAGCTCATTCAAGTATTGGATTGACAGTGTCATTAAAAATTGCATTTATTATGCTACCAAGTATAAAGAGGCATACCAAGAAAAGCTGACAGACTTCCTGCCAGCTCTAGGTGTAGGTAGGTATGTGTCTATTTTAGAATGTAAGGAAAAGAACAAATGTATAAAAGGACTTGGGTTCAGCATACATAGTAACCATGACAAGCCAAGGAGAAGGTGGTTTTAATAGTTACCAGTTTCCTGAGCAGACTACCACCACAATGAGCATAGTGGCAAAAGCAGCAGCCTTGATACAGAAGGCCAACTTATGGGGAGCAGATCTCTCCCCAGCTACAAATTTTGGCTAGATGCTTTGCCTACCACTAAAATGGGATCCTTTTCACAATGATTCATACATCTGCCTGACCATATCAACAAACTATAACATATGCTACAGGAATAGGTAAAATGTATGTAATGCACATGACAAAATACCTCTTAACTGCAAATTTTGCTTTTGGGGAGCAATAGTTTTGAGTAATACTTTTTTTTAAAGAAGGATTTTAATAAAAGGAAAGACTCCATAGTATATTTTGCAAATTGAAAAAATATTTTGGAAAGTAAAGGCTGAGCACAGTGGTTCATGCCTGTAATCCCAGCACTTTTGGAGGCTGAGGCAGGAGGATTGCTTGAGCCTAGGAGTTTGAGATCAGCCTGGGCAACATAGAGAGACCTCATCTCAAAATAAAAATAAATAAATAAAAGGAAATAAAGCACCAATTCCAATATCTCTTCCATGTAAATTTCATTTTTTTTTAAAAAAGTTAAATATTTACCATGTGTGATGACCTATCCTAAGCACTTATATACAGTATATTATCTTATTTAGCTTCCATTTCCCTATCAAGGGGTACTATTTTAAGAAAAAAACCTATAAAGGACGAAGTAAACTAACAGGCCTAAAGTCACCCAGCTAAAAATTGATAGAGATTCAATTCCAGTCCAAGCAGTCTAATTAAAGAATCCACATTCTACCTTTTTGGATGTTTTTGTTTTTGCTTTTTTGAACAGCATTATTATTCACATACATATAATTCACCCATTTGCCTTCTACTTTTGTACACCACATATACAAGAAGGATCATGTTACTGATTCCCCAGTCTTTAATGGGGTTGCTAATTTTGTTGTAACTGATTTAAGGAGGCCCAGAATTCCTTCTCTCCCTTCATCTCTCAACTCTGTTTTTCTCTTGGGCCTTAATCAAATAGCAAGCAATGCCATTGGTAGTCAGCAGTCCCCAGATTTAGGAAAGCACAGTCATTCTCTTATTTGGCTTGTCATATTACTATATGTGCTGAACCCATACATAACAATATGTATAATCTGTACTCAAACCTCAAGGTGCAGACAAAAGGCTCTTGCATCACCTAAATAATGTAACATTTTAACACCCACGTCTTTTCACCGGTTTGCTTCTGCAGAGCTGAGTAGTAGAGGCAAAGAACGGCTTCTTAGTTCCATTGCTTTTTAAGATGGTTCCTAAGACTGCTTTCTTGCATTTTAATACTACTAGAGGAACACCAAAGAAATAGAGCAAACAGTACTGCTGTTTGTGTGAATCTATAACGATTATCCTTGGAGCACTTAGCTAGCTCTAGGAAAAACTATTTGTAAAACTCCCCAAGGATGATTCCCAGTTGTCTCAGCTCACTGCAACCCCAGGGAGAGGAATTGCTATTAACCATACACTAAATGCCAGTCCACCATGTAAAAGTTAACTTCCCTTCAATGTTTCCTGAGTTCTGAGTATCCTTTAAATAAGTAAATTAGTGAGACGTTCATGTTTTCACCTTTGTAACTGTTTAGCATTTCTTCTCAGCTGGGAAGCTGGGAAGCAAACATCATCTAGAATGAAGTTGCACTAAACATTACCTGAGAGGCTAGCATTAATGAGAACAAATTAAGCGCTACTGTTGTACTTTTTTGGAGAGCAAAAGCTGACAGGTAAGAAACACTTAAGTATCAACTACACTGCAGTGAAAACTGAAGCTTCAATTAACCCTGGCAATTTCAGCGAACTCAGAGGGTGACCATCTGCCAGACAAACAGCTTAGGCAACTCATGCATCTTGTTTTAATCTTTCTTTGGATGATTATAATTTCAGGGTATAAATAAGGTTATTAGCAAGAACAGAACAACAACAATAATTACAGTAAGTATTTGCAGAGCATTTTGATCACACTATGACGTCAGTAACTCTGCAGCTTCAAAATGGGAATTTCATGCTTAGCGTTTGTTCTCCATGACTGCCCTGAATGGTGGCTACATGATACACTCACTCACACAAAAAGAGGCAACTGGGACTCAGAAGTTATTTCTCTAAGGGATTTAATGTAAGCTCATCTCAAAGCCATCTCAATCCAAAATATCTGAACTATTCTTATTTCTCTGGACGTTGTCTCCAAACACATTATACTGGGCCAGAATGAAATTGGTTTTAACTTATTTACCTGGCATTTCACATTTAGACTTCTATGTACGGAAGAAGGAAAAAAGCCTGGATTCTTGATGGCATCATTGAACAGGTAAACCAATGATAGTCTATCTCTGACTTCTTGCTAGGTGAAAAAAGTAAATCCTTTTGTATTTTAGCCACTATTAGGTTTTCTGTTACGTAATATGTATTATTGTTAAGTCCTGGGATTTCAGAGACAAATCCATTTGGTTTCTGCTCTCAAGAATTACCATTAAGTGAAGAAGAAAGAGATGCAAACAAAGAATCCTGACATGATATATAGTAAAGGTAAGTACAAAATGCTATTGGAGCACAGAGGAATGAAAGATTAAGTCTACTAGTGGTGGCTCTGAGAAGCTTTCTGGTAGAGGCAATATTTGTGCTGGGTATAGAAGAATGAGTAACATTCCACGGAGAGAAGGGTAAAAGCCAGGGAATTTCAGGCAGGAGGATTAGCACAAATAAAGATTAAACAGGTGTGAAAACATGGAATATTCAGAGAATAAAAATAATATAGAAAAAGGTGCTGACCTAAATAATTCTGGATATGAATGGTGCCTATAAAACTGAAGGCAATAGGAATGGTAATAAGCACTGTACTCTAGTTGATAAAGGGTTAACAATTCTGAAATCAGTATACAAGGAAATCAGAATTGAACAATTAGGAAGTAGGTGATACTTGGCAGAAGCCAGGTTTCTCATTGTTGGAGTGGGAGGTTACAAACAAGGGAGAAGAAAAGGCTAGAATAATCTATATGGTAATGACTTAGAATGCGAGTCATTTGTATGCACTCATATTTAGCTTAATATACATACGTTATATATAGAAATATCTGTAGATATGTATGTATACATTCATTAGTATACACACATATATTTCCTTACTCTGTCATCTGAGAGGGCCTAGAAGTCATCACATCCCGGTGGCAACAAGCACACCCAGTACCCAGATCTTCGTTTCTAACCATTCTCTAATAAAACAGAACCATGGCTGCTTGGAGAACTGGCTGATTCTAGGATTGAGGCAGAGAATATAACATGAGCCTAGAGCATCTTATAGTGCCAGAAAGTAAGGAAGTGCACACACATACACCCGAAAAACCAAAAAAACCTACAGTGCTGAGGGTATTGTCAAAAGGACACAGGAGCCAACTGAACGTGTAGCCAATGGCCAAAGCTAGAATACTCTGAGCAACAAAATAAAAAGTAGTTTTGGATTACAACCCAAAGTATAAAATAAATATCCATGTATCCATACTGATATAAATGATTAAATAAACAAATAAATGAGGGAGAAGAGAGAAATCGTCCATGCAAATAGTCCTGAATAATTTATGTAAATAAATACTCTTCCCTTAAGGAAGTGGAACATAACTCCTCATTAAGTGTGGGCAGCACATAGTGACTTCTTTCTAAAAGAGTTCAGTGTGGAAAGGGGGAAAAATAACTCTGCAGCGGAGTAACTTCACAAAGACTTCCTCAGCCAGGTGATCAAGGTTAACACGAACAGTGATAGTGCTGATAGCATGTATTCTTGATATGATGTGACAAAAACAGCACTTTACCTCTATGTTCTTCTTCCCCAACCCCCATAACTTCAGTCTAATCATAAGAAAACTATCAGATAAACCCCAGTTGACAGACATTCTATAAAATATGACTAATACTCCCCAAACTGTCAAGGTCATCAAAAACAAAGAAAGTCTGAGAAACTGCCAGAGCCAAGCAAAATAAGGAGACACGATGACTACATGTAATGTGGTATCCTGGATGGAATCCTGGAACTCAAAAAAGTCATTAGGTAAAAAGTAAGGAAATGTGAATAAAATATGGACTTTAGTTAACAATAATGTATCAATATTGGTTCATTAACTGTAACAAATGTACCATACGAATCTGTTACTAACAAGGGAGACGGGGTATGGACTATATGGAACCTCTCTATACTAACTTCACAATTTCTTCATAAATCTAAAAGTGTTCTAAAATTAAAAATGTAAAACAAAATAATTTTGTATGACTACAGACTATGATGTGAGGGGCAGACAGGTGGGGTGGGGAGGTGGTTATAAGGCTGGAAAGTTAGGCAGAGGCCAGATAGGAATCTTCATGTACACCAAATTAAGCAGTTTGAATATTTTCTCATAGGCAATGCAACAAACAGAATTTTAAATAAGAGAGCAAGATGATGAGATCTGTTCAGTGGTCCCCTCCTCATCCTGTCTGCAGGGGATAGGTTCCAAGATCCCTAGTGGATGCCTGAAACTGTGAATAGTAACAAACCCTATACATACTATGCTTTCTCATATATATATATATATATATATATATATATATATATATATATATATATGATAGTTTAACTTACAAATTAGGCTTAAGAGATTAGCAATAACTAATAAAACAGAACACTTGTAACAATATACAATAAGTTATGTGAATATAGTCTCTCCCTCTCTCTCAAAATATCTTATTATACTGTATTAACCCTTCCTGTGTTGATGTGAGATGATAAAATGCCTACGTGATAAGATGCAGTGAGGTGAATGATGCAGGCATCGTGACATAGTGTTAAGCTACTATTGACCTACATCTGAAGGACGATCAGCTGCTTCAGGTAATCCTGGATCATGGAGCCATGACGGTGTCAATGGCTGGCTGTCAGGAGCAGATGATGACTACCGGGTAGTTAGAATTTATAGAGTGGATACACTGGACAAAAGAGTGATTCACTTCCTGGGCAGGACAGAGTGAGATGGTGTGACACTTCATCATGCTATTCAGAATGGCATGCAGTCTAAAACTTCTGCCTTGTTTATTTCTGGAATTTTCCATGTAATATTTTCAGACTATGGTTGACAGTGGGTAAATGAACCATGGAAAGTGAAACCATGGATAATGGGAGACATTATTTATAAAGATTATAAAGACTTACAAAATGTATTTATATATATTATAATGGCCTTATACTACCGATGACTGATCAATGAAAATCAAAGTTCTGGGACCAGGGCATGTGTAGCATTTAAAATCTCCCCATACAATCTTGGTGTACATTGAGGATTGAGAACCACTCAGATACAGAATTAATGAGAAGAGAAAGAGGCCCAGGGCTACACACTAAGACTATTAGATCATGACAGCTAAAGAAAACAGTGGCCATGAGTATCAACGAGGGCACATATTCAAGTCACACTTCAGAGGGAGAATCAATGAATTTCTTGCAATGACTAGATGTAAAAGTTGTGTGCAGTGAAACAGGAGACAAGGTTTCTGGCTTGCATGGCTGAGTAGATGTTGATGGTATTCAAAACAGAGTTCATACACACAGGCAAAAAGGCTAGATAATGGTGGGATGAAGGTAGGGAAGGGAAGATAATGAGTTCAATTTGCACATGACAAACTTTAAGGATCCTACAATATATTCAAATGGATAGCCCCAATAGGTACTTAGAAATGAATTCATGTGAGTGGTAGGTGCTAGAGATGTGTATCTGGGAATCAAGTCCTGGTTTTACAGGTGGTGGCTGAAGTCGAGAGGGACTGATCAAGAAAAAAAAATAGGGCAGATGGAACTAATGGTAATACTGATATTTAGGAAGAAGAGGGGTTAGTTTATGGGACTCAATACTAAAGAATATTAAAAGAAGCCAAAAATAAACAATTGGTTTTAGAAATGTAGGAAATCAGTGATGACCTTTATCAAGGTGATTTGAAACCTGGCTCTGCCAGCAGAAAACAGTTTAATCAATATATAAGTCACTGGAGTAAAGGAGGTAATGAATGTAGATGACTGACAGGCAGAGGAGAGAAAAGGAGAGAAGTTGGGCTGTATTTTGAGGGATCATGTAGGTGAAAGAAGGGTATTTGTTAAGCTGCAAAGATTCTTGAGTATCATTGTAGGATGAGAGAACACACACACACAAAGACTGAAGATACTGAAAAAAGAAAATTGCTGACAAAACAAGTTTTGAGAATAAGTAGGCCAAAGAAAGGGGAAATAAGTACACAGAAAACACATCAGCTATGTGAGGTATCTAGAACAACTTTATGCTCTGAAGAGTAAGAACAGGTGAGTTTGTAGTAGAAGAGAAGATGGCTAAGACACTCCTTTCCCAATGAGCTCTTCTTCGTGAAGTAAGAGGCTGTAAGGTAGGGGGCATGAGAAAAGGAGGAACAGAAAAAAAATGGGAAAGGACACTAACAACATTTGAATAAAAGAATGTCAATGAACATAAGTTGCCTATCTAAAGATGCAGCTCAAATTAGTGGTTATTTATTGGTTGTCTCTCAAGTATTCACTCCCTACTTCCCATAGCTCATGGACTTGAAATCTGTACATTTTCTGAGAGGCCAGAGTGGACATGATTGAAGCCAGAGGTGAACATATACCCTATGCTAAGCCAATCGGCACACTTCTATACCTCTGGGCATAGTGATTGGTTAGGAAGTGGGCATGTGGCCAAACCTGTCCAACAGAGTACCTTTCTGTTTTACTGCTAGAGATCTGGGAACAAAGATAATTTTTAATACCTATTAGGTATGAAAGAGGAAGCACCTGTTATGTATGAAAGAGGGGCTTTTTCAACAGCCCCAAAGCTGTTGAAAGCTATATTGGTCAGCTTGGGCTGCCACAACAAAATATCATAGACTAGGTTGCTTAAACAACAGAAATTTTATTTTCTCACAGGTCTGGAGGCTAGAAGTCCCATATCAAAGTGCTGGCTGATTTGGTTCCTGGCTTGTAGACAGCCACCTTCTCATTGTGTCCTCCAATGGCCTCTGTGCATTCGCAGAGGGAGAGATATCTTCTCCTCTTTTTATAAGGACACCAGTTCTATTGAATTAGGGCCTCACTCCTAAGACCTCACTTGATCTTTATTACCTCCATAAAGGCCCATCTCTAAATAAAGTCACATTGTGGGGTAGGCCTTCAGCATATGAATTTAGGGGGACACAATGCAGTCCATAACAAAAGCCACCTTGGAGCCATGAGTGGGCCTAACGTTAGGTATGCATGGTACAAATATAGGATGAAGCCAACTATGAGGCAAGAAAACTAGGAAGCTAAAAAGAGGTTCATAAGTCCCATTGTTAAGTAGTTGGATTAAATTCCTCTTTTTTTTTTTTCAGTTATCGAGCCAATACATTTCTTAATTGTTTAAGCCATCTGAGTTTTCTGTTATCTGCTACCAAAAGTAACCTAACTGATAGGGCAGTTATTGATTTCCTCTACTACCTAGTTTGTGGGGCGAAATATTTGGTTTGATCTGGATTAGGACTATTTAGGCTTGTAGTATGGAAAGCAATGGTGATTTAAGATGGTGGAAGTGAAGGAAAATATAACTAGTAACCACAGAGTAAGCCCATGCTGACTGGGAAAAAAATAATAGAGAGGGAAGAGGAGGGTAGAAGGAATTGGAGGAGCTGATGGACTTAAAGTGGCTAGAGTCTGGGTTTAAAAGAAACAAGGGGAGGGACCCAGCAACTTGGGAGGCTGAGGTGGGAGGATCACTTGAGCCCAGGATTTTGAGGCTGCAGTGAGCCTTGATCATGCCTAGGTGACAGGGCAAGACCCGGACTCTAAAAGCGGGGGGGAAATGGAAAGAAACAGGGGAGGGAGAAGACAGATAGGAGGTACTGGTTAGGAATGAGGCCTTCTAAGTTTTTTTTTTAACCCATCTCACCTAGTAACAAAAACAGTAAACACTGTAACAATGAGAAGGAACTACTGCTTTGAACGAGAGGCTCTTACAGTGTGGCCAAAACCACAAGGCCACAAATGCCTATGAAAGAGAAAGCTTTTAGTATTGACAAAAGCTAAAACATGGACTCCCGTCCACCATCTTATGTTAATCTTCTGAAAGTCATTATAATAGATCTCCATCCCTTGCTCTTCAGGAACAGTCCCCCACTGGACACATCTGCTAAAACAGGGTTTGTCCAACCAAGGTCCTATGACAATTATTTAAATCGCATTTTTATTATGATAATAATCTAAAATTCAATAGGAGCCATGTATAACTGCTACTTGATTTCAGTGTCTGTGTTTGCATTTATGATCTTGCTGGCAATAAGCAGCACAGATGTAATACATAAATGATGCATCTGAGTATACAGCACACTGTAAAAAGATTCTGCAGTATTTTGAATAGAGAAAAGTGGTGAGGGAATTGGGAAGACACATAGCACACAACAGCACAGATGGGCTGAAGTCAAAAGAACCTGCATGATGATGGTCAGTAGCTTCTTTATAATGAGAGTTGCAATTTATTTTCAGTAAAACATCAGCAGTCACACTATACCGCTGTTAATTCGAGTTTTATTGGTTTTGTGGTTGTACTTGTACTTATTTTGATTTTGTGGCTGAATAGGAGCTCTATGTACAAGGAGCTTATACCTGGATTTGTGTTCATAAACAACATAGTAAGAATATTTTAAGTCAACTGAGGGACCTGAGAATATTTTTCCTTTAAACAGAGATTTATTTCTCAGCATTTAGAAATAGTATTAGAAAATTCTGTTCCAGAGAATTCTACAGTTTTTTTGTTTTTTTTTTTTTTTGAGATGGAGTTTCACTCTTGTTCCCCAGGCTGGAGTGCAATGGCAAGATTTTGGCTCACCGCAACCTCCGCCTCCCCAGTTCAAGTGATTCTCCTGCCTCAGCCTCCCGAGTAGCTGGGATTACAGGCATGCACCACCACGCTTGGCTTTTTTTATTTTTAGTAGAGATGTGGTTTCTCCATGTTGGTCAGGTTGGTCTCAAACTCCCGATCTCACGTGATCCACCCACCTCGGCCTCCCAAAGTGCTGGGATTACAGGTGTGAGCCACCGTGACCAGCTGCTGGGAATTCTACTCTTACTGCTCCTTAATAGCAGAAATATCCCTAAGTAGGGCAGAGTCATCTCAATTCTCTGCAGAAAGCAATTTCAGGTGGCGCTGAAGGGTATGGACTAGGTTGGTTCAGGATCTGCCACTTACTACCACAGGCTGTATCACTACCAGAGGTTGTCTTAGTTTTACAACCTCTGGCATGATACCTAACTTCGCTAGTCTCAATTTCTTTAATAAAATGTGGCTAATAAGGTTATTTCCAAAGATAGGAAGCTTCTGGGAGGTAACACATGTAGCTTAGTGCTGGGTGCGTGGTAAGTGTTCAATCAGTGCTAACCCATTTGCTGTTATCATTAGTCTGCCTCTCCTCACAATTTCCACAGGGCTTTGTGAATACCACAGGATCAAGCCTTCCACTAAGATGCTGCTTAATTTGAACAGCCCTAAGTAGTCCCAACTTTTCAAGAAGACAAAAGACTAATTTACCAATGAAGCAGGATGGTATAGTAGAGGGCTGAACCGACAACAGGCTTAGTCCCAAGTTCAAGTCACTTAATAGGTGGCTAAGCCGGGACTTGAAGTTGAGATTAAGTCTGTTGTCAGTTCATGATTTTTTAGGGAAAGTCACTTTGCTTACGCCTATCAGTGCGTTCGTAAAATTGAGAGAATTCTTAAGTCACAAAGTTCTTACAAAGAAAATTATAAACTACATAGTGCCTTACAAATGTAAAGTCAAATTATTATTCAACAAATTCCGGAAACATTTCTAAGGGGCACCTCTTAAAACTAAAACAGAAAAAAAAATCCCACAAAATAAAATTAATAAATAATTACGAACACCCTCCCACCTCCCACTGTCTAGCAATCAGGTACTGAGGCAGTCAGTTAGGACCACAAGCTAAAATGAAAGTAACAATCAAGTCTTACTTTCTGCAACAGTGCAAGCGGGAGGCAAAAAGAAATGCTAGCTCCCCAGCTTTCCTTTCTCCCCCACTGAATGGCAGCACTGGGTGAGGATCAAGTAGACACGGCATAGATGGGGAAATTGTCTTACTGTCAAGGAGGGGTGGGAGAAGGCTCTCGCTTTTCTAAATGGACCCCTGGGGTGGAGGTGGTCAGGGACGCGGCAGGGCAGAGAGGGGAGCCTGGAATGGAAGGAAGTCCTCTGAATGGAGGCATCTGGGCTAGGAATGCAGGGGGCTGATTCCTAGACTACAGCCCCTCCAGGAAACTGCAATGTTCTAGCTGTGCACCAACTATGGTGTGGGGAAGGCAGCTTCTCCCCATGAGGCCCTCCAGGCAGAGCCTTGTAATTGTCTACGGTCAGGCCGGAAAGATCACATGTGGAATTTCGACCTAGAGCCAGACTCCTCACCCACAAAGAAGTAAACCTTATCCCAGGAAACTATATAAACTTAAAAAAATCAATAAATTTAAGAAAGGTTTAGAAAAGCCCATGAATAATAATGTCACAGCAAGCTGCTAAAGAATAATTGAGAATATTAATTATGTTCTTAATCTCCAAGGAATACATCATATAGAGAAACCTTAGTAATCTTTCACCTATGAACGGTCTTATTCCTACGCTCATTTGTAAGACAGTTGTTAAGAGCTCAGAACCACATTTTCTATAGGAACATTTTAAATGGTGATTAAGAAACCAGGCTAGTCCACACATGCTTTTTAAATCCATAACGTGGATGAAAAGAAATGTCCTTGTTTATTTTAAATGGTCTTAGAAAACTGGCAAATCCTATTTTCCCAAATAGCTGAAACATTGCCAATCCACACTGCCTGGGGCAACTCGAATCTTATTTAATACAAAAACAATCTGATTAAATATGATTCTTTCCAAACAACAACAAAACACATAAAACCTGTCAACCAACTCCCTGCCACCTGACAACCTAAGATGTGTCTAGAAGGTACTAATGTTGTTTAGCTAAAAACTAAACCTGTACCTCAAAATAAGTGCTGTCCCTTCAAATAAGTGACTTTAAGAGATTACTATTTATTCCAATAATAGCAAAACATTTTTGAAATTCCATTTTCAGATAATGTCCTCATAGCAAGCTATTGTTCTTTTTCATATCCTCAATGATGGCAAACTCTTTGCTTTAGAAGAATACCTTTTGCTTTCAGAGTAAGTTGTTGTTCTTGTTGCCATACATGTATAAACTCCTGACATAAACAGCTTGGAAGAATAATACTCATTAAGATACAGCTTCTGGTATGTTATTTCCTTGAACAGTCTTAAGCAGTCATACCTCATAAATCCAGTTCACATAGTACATACTGTAATACCACAAATGATAGTATCTTTAGATATTACTTAGATAATATCCTTAAATGTTACTCTTTTCTAAGAAGCCAAAGTTATCTGGAAATATGAGCTGGATGTTTTTAAAAAGTGTTTTTATTTAAATGGAACATATACAGTGGGAAAGATCCCTCTACAAATTCAACATAAAATAATATGAAATACCTAGGAATAAACCTAGCCAGAAATATACAAGACCAATATGAAGAAAGCTATACAACTGTACAGAGGGACATGGAAGACAATTTTAATAAGTAGGAAGACAGTACATGGGTTTCTGGGGCTGAAGATTCAATACTGTAAAAATATAAATTCTCACCAAATCATCTATAAAATTAAAGTAATTCCAACAGAAATTCCAAAAATGTTTTGGGAGAACTTTAACAAATAATTTAAAAGTTCATCTGGACAAATAAACATGCAGGAAGCACCAGAAAAATACTACAGGGAGAAAGAGTGATGTGATTGTGTTGGGTGGAGTTGGGGGATGGTGTGTACCTGTCCTTCCAGACATTACAACACACTGTCAAACAGATAAGTCTTGGGCATACCTCTAACACAGGAGATACAGTCAAAGCAAATGGAACAGAATAGAAAGTCCAGAAACGAGTTAGAATACATATATAAGAATTCCATTTGTAATAAAGTTAGTATTTCAAATTAGTGGGTTAGAGCTGGCCTATTCAAAGATGTATATTAAGAAAAGGGCCACCCGTTTGGAAAAAAAAGGTACATCGCTACTCCATATCTAACATCAAAATAAATTCCAGATGAGTTAAACTTTTAAATGTGAAAAATTAAATCTTTATTAGTCTAGGAAAAAAGTGAATATTTTCCCAAAAAATGGGGTAAAAAAGACTCTTAAACATGATACCAAAGCCACAAACTATTTAAAAAAGGAGAACAAGACAAATAGATTGCTTACATTTAAATGTATGGGAAAATATGCTATAAAAGACACTGGTGGAAATAACCTGCAAAATATTACAATGTGTTAGTTTATAAGGAATGCTTAGAAAATAATAAGTAGAAATGACCTCAGCAGGAAATGTGCTAATGCTATGAATAAGCATTTACTAAAGAAATGCAGATGGCCACTAGACACTTGAAACTGTTCATCACACTAATAATAAATGTCTCTTTAGGATTCTTTTGACTGCAAATAACAGAAGGCACTACTCAAAGTGGCTTAAATGATAAGGAAATAATATCTGTCATAACTGAAAGCCCAAAGATTGGGCAAGTTCCAGGTAAGGTTTCATCTGCTATTCTACAATGTCATCGAGGATCCAGGTTCCTGCCATTTCTCCATCCTGCTCTCCGCAGCATCACCTTCATCCTAAGGCTAAGTCCCTCTGTCAATTACAAAATGGCTGCAGCAGTCCCAAGCATCACACAGACATGGCAACATCCAGCAAAAGAAAAGGACCATCTCTTTCTGTGTCTCTTTTTAGGGAGGAGGAAACTTATCCACAACTTCCCAGCCAGACTTGCTCTCAGATTTCACTGGCCAGAATTTGGTCACAAACTATTCCCAAATCAATCTCTGGTAAGAGAATCTTAAACTAGAAGTTCTCAGAGTATGGTTCACGAATTCCTGGGGAACCCTACCCCCCTTTAGGCAGTCTTCAAAAGGCTAAAATTATTTTCATGATAATATCAACATATTATTTGCCTTAAAAAAAAAAAACACTGTAGTGCCATTTGCACCAATGGTGCACAGGCAATGTGGATAAAAGCATTAGCACCTTTGCCTAAATCAAAACAGTGGCATCAAACTATACAGAAGATCACTGTCTTCTTCACCAACTATGGACTCACAGAAAAAAAAAAAAGGCAGTTTCACGTAAGCATTTCCTTGATGAAGCAATAAAAATTGTTTTCACAGAGCATCATTTTAACTTTGGTATTTTCTCAAAAATAAATGAAGTAAGACTGCCAAGAAAACAACTGACACCATTTGTTGCCTTTGATAAAATTTAAGCTTTTAAGCAAAAATTAGAATTCTGGAAAACCTGTGTTCACCACTATAAGCCTAACAGCTTTCTAATTCTTAAACACTGTTCAGATGAGAACAAGATATTTTTGGCACTATAAAATGAAATGTGTCAACATTTGGAAGACCTATACAACTCAATGAGCCAGTATTTTCCAGATGACCAACATAAGATGATACAAAATCAAGCACGGGCTAAAGATCCAGTCAAAGTATAATACAAGACAGACCAATGGATTTTAATGTAGCAGAATATGAAAAATTCACTGACAAGGCTTCAAATTGTAATATTGCAATTAACCTTTAAGATACTACCACTTACTGGGATTTGGTGTAGTAGTAAAGTAGAATACCCATATTCATCTGAAGAGACAAAGCACTCCTCCCCTTTCTAACCACTTATAAAATATATCTGTGTGAGATCAGATTTCTTCACATATATCAACCAGAACAACATATCACAACAGACTTAATGCAGAAACAGATATAAGAATCCAGTCATCTCTTAGGTGAGACATTGAGATTTGCAAAAAATGTAAAACAATGCCATTCTTCTAATATTTTTCTTTTGGAAAATATTTTTTATAAAAATATGCCATAATAACATACAATGGGTTTATTAGTCTTATTTTTAAATCACTTAATAATGCAGTTTTTACAGGTGTTGTGATAAAAAAGATTTAATAAATATTTAAACAATTAATTTTTTCTTAGGTTACATTTCAAATGTAGTAAATATCCATAGCTACAAGCCACATAAACAAATGTTCTTTGGAGCCTTTATAATTTTTTAGTGTCTAGAGGTCCTGAGACCAAAAAGCTGGAGACTCGCTGCCTTAGATTAATTTTCTGGGTGATATGGATAGCGGAAAGCCCATCACACAGAAAACAGTAAAATAATCTTCTGTCATTTTGGCGAAGGTAAAAACACTGTGATAAATGGTGTGCAGGAACAGGCATTCTGGCAAACTGAGGGGGCACTGAACTGAGAGACCTTTCCTGAGGGGGCTTTGGTAATACATATGAAAATTTTAAAGAAAAAATTAGAAAGAAAATTTCGTTTCTAAAAATATATCCTATGGATATAATCAGAAGAATATATTAAGGATTTGTCATAGCATTATTTGTATATTACACTGAAAAACTACAATACAAATATTAATTTTTAGAAGACTGACTAAATTATTGTACATGCATAGAAAGGAAAATTATGTAGCTGCTTAAAAATGTTGCTAAAGCCAGGCACAGTGGCTCATCCCTGTAATTCCAGCCCTTTGAGAGGCCAAGGTGGGCGGATCACCTGAGGCTGGGAGTTTGAGACCAGCCTGACCAACGTGGAGAAACCCCATTTCTACTAAAAATACGAAATTAGCTGGGTGTGGTGGTACATGCCTGTAATCCCAGCTACTCGAGAGGCTGAGGCAGGAGAATTGCTTGAACCCGGGAGGCGGAGGATGCGGTGAGCTGAGATCGCACCACTGCACTCCAGCCTGGGCAACAAGAGCGAAACTCCGTCTCAAAAAAAAAAAAAAACATCTTGCTAAAGGCTGGCCCCAGTAGCTCACACCTGTAATCCCAGGACTTTGGGAGGCCAAGACAGGCAGATCATTTGAGGCCAGGAGTTAAAGACCAGACTGGGAAACATAGTGAGACCCCCATCTCTACAAAAAATTAAAAAATTAGCTGGGCATGGTGGTGTGTACCTGTGGTCCCAGCTTCTTGGGTGGCTGAGGCAGGAGGATGACTGGAATCTGGGAGGTTGAAACTGCAGTGAGCCATAATTGCACCACTGCACTCCAGCCTAGGTGACAGAGTGAGGCTCTGTTTCTGAAAAAAAAAAAAAAGGTTACTAAAACCCTAAATTTATTGGTATGTGATATGGTTTGGCTGTGTCTCCACCCAAATCTTATCTTGAATTGTAGCTCTCATAATTCCCACATGTTGCGGGAGGCATCTGGTGGGAGATAAATGAATCATGGGGGCGGTTTCTCCCATACTATTCTCGTGGTAGTGAATAAGTCTCACGAGATCTGATGGTTTTATAAGGGGAAACCCCTTTCACTTGGCTCACATTCTCTCTCTTGCCTGCTGCCATGTAAACTGTGCCTTTTGCCTTCTGCCATGATTGTGAGGCCTCCCCAGCCACATGAAACTGTGAGTCCATTAAACCTCTTTTTCTTTATAAATTACCCAGTCTGGGGTATGTCTTTATCAGCAGGATGAAAATGAACTAACATGGTATGAAAAGATGTCCATGATTTATTAGGTAGAAAAAAAAAGTCAGGTACAAGATAGTATTTATAGTACGGTCTCATCTTAAAAAATTAATGTCTATATACCAAGAAACATGCATATGCATAGGGAAAGTCTAGTAGAATTTATAGCAGTTGTCACTGATTGAAAGGCTCACAGATCTTCCTTGCATTTTCTTCTTAATATATCTCGAAATCTTTTTTTTTTTTTTTTTTTTTTTGACAGAGTCTCACTCTGTTGCCCAGGCTGGAGTGCAGTGGCGCGATCTTGGCTCACTGCAACCTCTGCCACCCGGGTTCAAGCAATTCTCTGCCTCAGCCTCCCAAGTAGCTGGGATTATAGGCCCCTGTCACCATGCCTGGCTAATTTTTGTATTTTTAGTACAGGTGGGGTTTCACCATGTTGGCCAGGCTGGTCTTGAACTCCTGACCTTGTGATCCACCCGCCTTGGCCTCCCAAAGTGCTGGGATTACAGGCATTAGCTACCACGCCTGGCCTAAAATATTCTTTTTTCTATGTAAACCCAAATTACCTTTATAATTAGAAAATATAAAAATATTTTAAAATCACTAAATATACAAATTCTATATAATACTCATGAGTAGAGGATCCACTCTAGGGAATAAAAGATGGTATAATAGGCAGTAGGTGACAGCAACACTAGAATGCTGGATTCTGGACCCAAATAGCCAAGGGTAAATGTCCAGAGAAGAGTTGCTTAAAAGACCTCTAATTGTCAGACTGGGTAAGGCAGATGATTATGGATGCTGATTAAGGTGGAGCAAAGAACCAGGAAGTAGAAAGAAATTATTAGAAAAGGAAAAGGGTAACAGGAGAATGTGGGAAACCAACAGCCCATGCTAGAATGCTGAATTCCAGTTATCTAGAAACCTCCTATTCATCAACTATGGCAGGCACTTGCTACACTGTTGTTTGACATTATGGCTGCTCTCTCTTTCCATTTGATGACTGTGTTTCTGACGCGCCAGGATCGTTTCATTTATAGTACTTGTTAATCATCAGACAGAAAACACAGATGGTACCAGTCAGGTCTGCCCAGCCTTGCTGCTGAAGCTGGAGTCAGCTCCTAGGAAAGCTCGTGCACCCTCTGCTGGTCATCTCTACACCAGGACAAGAGGATCTGTGTCCAAAGGAGGTAGGTAGCTTCCCATATCACAGGGATTCACCTTTGTATTCTCCAGCTAATTTCAGTGAAGACTTTGGGAACCATTTCCTCAAACTGCCACCTCAAACAGACAATTCCAGACTAAAACAATGCCTTCCTTTATTATGCCAAAGAGAAACATCCTAAAAACTAAAGTGCTGTGAGAAAATTTTCCATCAAGAGCATTTTAAGTTCAACGATTTCACCTTATTACTTAATAATTAAAGGTGTCCAGATGGCTGCAACACTTAATATGGCTATAAAGCTCCATTAGCCTTTACTCTGGTTGAAAATCTGAGAACCACTCTAACAGATCTTATTTGTACAGATTTTATAACTTACAAAAGCTCTCACATTCATTTTCACATCTGATCTTCAACTATCCTGTAAGTGAGGGACAAGGGTGGGAAAAGCATTTCTGTTATCACTGTTGTACAGATGCAGGAGCTGAGGCTCGAGCACTTGGTCACATAGCCACAAGAGCCCACTCTCCAAGCAGGCTCCTGACTCCAGATTCTATGTTCTACTTAGTACGCTATTCCATCTGAGCTGCTGATCCATCAGAAGTTTTCTAAAGAGTTGGCATGAATTTTAGCAGAGAGGTAAAAGACCGGAAATACATGTTTCCATAATACATCCCACTTTTGCTTCAAATGTCATCTAAATTTTAGATGCTGAACCCTACATCTGAGGGGTTTGCATTGCAGGCAGTGCTTTTCCCAAAAAGAACATCAGCTTAACAAGGGAAGTGGATATCTTAGTAAGAAATCTACTGAAAACCAAATAAAATTAACTTAGAATTTCTATGTGTGGCATGTCTATGCCCATAAAAAGTAGATCCTGTCAGGCTTTGTAGCTTTCACTAAGTCAGTGCTATATATGAAGCATGAAACTGGGTTGGGGATTCTCAAGTTCTGGTCCTGCTTTCTCTTGAATCTTTATAATCTCGATGATTTTCCCCATGAAAACAAAGTATTATGGATACTGTTCTGTTGGAGTGCCAAGCTAAAAATCAGTATGCTGAAGAAGAGAGATGCAGTGAAATTTAGCCATAATCACCAAAACTAAAGAACAAAAGTAGTAATAATAAATAGATTCAAACAATTATATAAGGTTTGCTTTGTGCTAGGCACTACTCCAAGTCATACACATGCACACACACACAAATTCATTTAGTCCTCCCAAGAATCTTCACTAACAGATAAAGAAATTGAAGCACAGAGAAGTTAAGTAGTTCTAGTTACTTAAGGTAGCCAGGGTTACACAGATACTAAGCAGTGAGGCTGAGATCTGAACCCAGGCAGGCTGGTACGTGAGTTCATCTTCTTAATTACTAAGTTGTGCTATCCCTATATAGTGGTGTCTACCATATTCCTGCTGCATTTTTAAAGTAAACTTTTAATTTCAGATTTATAAAAATGTTACAGATAGTACAGAGAGTTTCCATATATGTGATATAGTTTCCCCCACTATTAAATCTTACATTATTATGGTATATTTATTATAATTAACAACTCAATAGTAATACATTATTATAAACTTAAGTCCATACTTTATTCAATTTCCTTAATTTTTATCTAATGTCCTTTTTCTGTTCCGGGACCCCTTATTACATGAGATCATGTCATCATGTCTTTTTTTTTTGAGATGGAGTCTCACTCTGTCATCCAGGCTGGAGCGCAGTGGCGCAATCTCGGCTCACTGCAAGCTCCGCCTCCTGGGTTCACGCCTTTCTCCTGCCTTAGCCTCCCGAGTAGCTGGGACTACAGGTGCCCGCCACCATGCCCGGCTAATTTTTTGTATTTTTAGTAGAGATGGGGTGTCACTGTGTTAGCCAGGATGGTCTCGATCTCCTGACCTCATGATCCACCCGTGTCAATCTCCCAAAGTGCTGGGATTACAGGTGTGAGCCACCGCACCCGGCCATGTCATCATATCTTCTTAGGCTCCTATTTATTCTGACAGTATCTCAGATTTTCCTTGTTTATGAAGACCTTGACAGTTTTGAGGTATACTAGTCGGGGTTTAACAGGTTTCTCCCCACTGTTAAGGTATATGCCCCTTTTACATAGTGTACTCTTTGGAAGGAAATCATTATGCAGAGCCCACATTTAAAAAGTGGGCACTTAGGCTCTACCTCCTTAAGGGCAGAATATCTACACAAAATATTTGGAATTCTTTTGCATGGACGATTTGTCTCTTCTCTCCCATTCATTTATTTATTCAATCCTTTATTTATATCAGTACAGACCAGGGATACTTATGTTATACTTCATGTTATAACTAAATACTAACAGTTATTTTGCTGCTCAAATTATTTTGAGCTTTGGCCATTAAGAGCTCTTTCAAGCCAGGCATGGTGGCTTATGCCTGGGATTATAATCCCAGCACTTTGGGAGGCCGAAGCTGGAGGATCACCTAAGCTCAGGAGTTCAAGACCAGTCTGGACAACATGGCGAAACCCCATCTCTACCAAAAATACAAAAAATTAGCCAGGCATAGTAGCATGTGCCTGTGGCCCCAGCTACTTGGGAGGCTGAGGTGGGAAGACTGCTTGACCCCAGGAGGCGGAGGCTGCAGTGAGCCGAGATCATGCCACTGTACTCCAGCCTGGGTGACTATACTCCAGTATAAGTATAGTCCGGTATGAGTATACTCCAGTATGAGTATAGTCACGCAGCGTGACAGAGTGAGACCCTGTCTCAAAAAAAAAAAAAAATCCTCTTTCAGTTGGCTCCTATATTCCTTTTGACATAGTTCCATCACTGTGTTTTTGTTTTTAGCACTTGCTTACTTTCTGGCACTCATTTTGTGTATTCCTTGATCTAGTCCTAGAAACAGCCATTTCTACAAAGAATCTTTGTTCCTTTTATTAGAGAATGGTCTGGGCACCAGGTGTGTTCCTTGCTACTAGGTTGTCCTTGCTTCTCAGTCCTCTCAAGGGACAAAGCAAGGAAATATAGGTGTGCATAATAAACCAAGTATATACATATATCTATATATAATGTGTTTCTATATGCATTCATCTGTATCTATATTAAACTAGAGTTCATACTACTAGCTCCAACTCTAATCTATTACCACACAGATAACTCCAGCCTTCCCTTCTTGCTTGTCTATAGCCTTCTACTCCAACAGTAAGAAACCTGGTTCCTATCATCACCATCCAGTTAATAATTGTTCGATTCTAGTACACCTGTATAGTGGTTTCAGAATTATTACCCCATACTGCCACAGGAAACTTTATCAACTGCAGTATAGTGCTTATGTACAGTTCCCATTGCCTTTAGTCTTACGGTCTCATTTCCAAAGTTACTCAGGTCAACACCTTTTCTCTGGCCCCCTTCAGTGAGGTTATTGCATACATTTGTAATACAGTTAGATTATTTTGTCACTCTGCATTCCATCCTGGAATCCCCACACTCCTGATATCATTTTAAAAATTCTGAACATGTTAAATTCCACTCTGTGCTGTACATAACACATGCATGGTGTCATGTACCCACCATTATAGTCTCAGACAAAATAGTTCCACCACCCTAAAAAAATCCCATGTGACTGATTTAAATCTCTCCCTTCCCCAAACTCCCTGTTTCTGTTACATTTTCTAAACAGAGAATGTACTGTATATCATTGCTTCTCATCCTTTCCCCTAACAACATGTTCACATTTATAAATATGTGATCTCACTTCAATCCTGAGTGTTCCCACCAAGCAGATGACTGAGTAAAACTTAGAGAAACAAAGTGTTGGCTGGGCACGGTGGCTCACACCTGTAATCCCAGCACTTTGGGAGGCCAAGGTGGGCGGATCACTTGAGCTCAGGAGTTCAAGACCAGCCTAGGCAATGTGGTGAAACCCTGTCTCTACAAAAAATATAAAAATTTTATTTAAAAACAACAACAAAAGAAAGCGGCTTGGTCAAGATCTCAGGGAGTGATGGTGCTGGCACTAGAACTTGTAGCTTTTGACTCCTGGTATGATGCTCTTCCCGCTAGACTATTCTTTTGTCTTTTCAGTAGAGAGTGGCATGGTTATGCAGAGAGACAAGAAGAAGAAAAAGAAGATGAGGCAGACATGGTGGTAAGTGATTATTGAAAGCATATATTATTAACAGAAGCTTTTAAACTAAAAGTATAATAAAGTGGAATTTTAGTTCTGCAAATTAGGTGAACTTTATACTCCAAAATCCTTGCTGCTATCAACCACCCCTAAATGGCTGGATTAATATGTTTTAAAAAGAAATCTTATTAAACATACCCCTGAGCCAGCAAGAAAGAGAAATACTCAGAGACCAAAAGCTCGCAAAAGTCCAGAGCTGAATGAGCACTGAGGTTAGCAACCACCCAAAGCCTACAATGTATAAAAAACAAAATGTGTCACAAAAATTGATCTAAATAAACCCAAGTTTGGTTTAACAATAGAAAGTATATCAATGTAATTTGCCACATTACCAGATTAAAATAAAAAATCATATAATGACCTCAGCAGATACAGAAAAGGCCTCTGATAAAATTCAACATTCGCTCATGATTAAAAATCAAAACTTTTAGTGACTGTGAAATGGAAGACAATTTCATTAACTTGATAAAGGGTAGCTGCCAAAAACTTATGATGTCATCCTTAATGGTGAAATATTAGAAGTATTCCCTTTATAAACATGAATAAGACAAGGATGTCCATTATCAATGGTTCTACTCAACACTGCAATGGAGGTCTTGGCCAGGACAGTCAGAAAGGAAAGAGAAATAAAAAGTAAAAGGTGGAGGAGGAAGTAACAAACTGTCACAGTTTCCTAACGATATGATTATCTACACAGAAAAAATCCCCTAAACCCTACAAATGACAATTATTACTATTAAATGGAAAGTTTGGCAAGATTGCCAAATAAAAGATCAATATACAAACAGACAATTATATTTTCATATACTAGCAAACATATAGTTAGAAAACCTAATTTTAAAATATACTATTTAGCAAGGCACAGTGGCACCACTTGTACTCCCAGCTACTCAGGAGGCTGAGGCAGGAGGATGACTTGAGCCTAGGAGTTTGAGGCTTTAATGCACGATGATCACACATGTGAATAGCCACTGCACTCCAGCCTGGGCAGCACAGTGAGACCTTACTTCAAAAAAAAAATACATACACACATCCATACACACACACACACACACACATCATTTATAACAATGACCAAAAATATGATACACTTAGGAAGTTGTAAAATATGCAAGTCCTTTAAAGAAAAAATTATAAAACTTCACTGAGCCACTAATGAAGATCTAACTAAATAAATGGAGAGCTACATAGTGACTCTTGAATACAATGGGTTTAAACTTCATGGGTCCACTTATATGAGGATTTTTTTAACCAAACTCAGATTGAAAATACAGTATTTGGAGGATGTGAAATCTGCATATAAGGAGGGCCAACTTTTCATATACTTGGGTTCCACAGGGTCAACTGAAAGACTTGAGGATGTGTGGATTTTGGTATATGCGGGCATCCTGGAACCAATCTCCCTAGTATACTGAGGAAAGACTCTATAGTCTTCATAGATAGGATTATTTGATATTGTAAAGATGTCAGTTCTCTTCAAACTGATATACAGATTTAATGCCATCCCAATCAAAATTTCAATAAGGCTTTTGGGAAGCCCAAGCTGATTTTAAAAGGTATATGAAAGTGTCAATGGCAAAAAAGAAATAAGACACTCCTAAAGAAGAGGAGTAAGATGGAACAGTTCCCCTACCAGCTCTCAAGCCTTATGATAAAACTGCAGTGAATAAGTGGTCACTTATCACCCCAGGGACAGAAAAATAAGATAATGGAACAGAAAACAGAGCACAGAAATAGACTTGACCAGATAGGTAACTTGATCTACAACAGAACTAGCACCACAGATCTGTGAAGAAATGAAGAGACTATTCAATAAGTGGGTCTGGAACAAGTGATTATTCATATACAAAAAATAATAATAATGAAAGGATCTCTAATTTATACCATACTCTCAAATCAATTTCATCACTGACTGAAGACTTAAGTGGGAAAGTTAAAACTTTAAAACCTAGAAAAAGAATAAGAGGATATCTTTATGACCTCAAGTTAAGCAATTCTTAAACAATAGTCAAATTATAACCATAAAAGGAAATACTGACTACTTTTACCACATTTAATGTGAGCTTCTTTTTTTATATAGTATCAAATAAGCCACATATTGGGAGAAGACATTTGTAACACATATTATGATGAAGAATTGTTACGGAGAAACATGCAGAAACATTCTAAACTCAAGAAGAAAAAGACACACAATCTAATAGAAAATGGGCAAAAGTCATGATCAGGCTTTGCACAAGAATGAAAACAGGAATGCCTAGTGACATTAAAAATAGATGCTCAACTGTATTTATAATATGGAAAATGCATAAAAATCATAATATGATAGTCTTATATTCACTACATTGGCAAAAACTTAAGTCTGACAATACAAATGCAGGCAAGGATGTAAAGTAATGGGAAGTCAGCTAATAGGATAGAAATTGCTATAACAACATACAGAGTCAACATGGTATCACCTAAAAAAGCTGAAGGTGCATAATATGGTTTGGTTGTGTCCTCAACCAAATCACATCTTGAATTGTAGTTCCCATAATCTCCACATGTTGTGGGAGGGACACAGTGGGAGGTAATTGAATTATGGGGGGTGGTTATCCTCATGCTGATCTTGTGATAGTGAGTTCTCATGAGATCTGAGGGTTTATAAGGGGCTTCTCCCCTGCTTCACTCTGCACTTCTCCTTGCTGCTGCCATGTGAAGAACGATGTGTTTGCTTCCCCTTCTGCCATGATTGTAAGTCTCCTGAAGCCTCTTGAGCCATGTGGAACTGTGAGACAATTAAACCTCTTCCCTTTATAAATTACCCAGTCTCAGGTATGTCTTTATTAGTAACGTGAGAACAGACTAATATAGTAAATTGGTACCAGGAATGGGGTGCTGCTGTAAAGATACCCAAAAATGTGGAAGCAACTTTGGAACTGGGTAACAGGCAGAGGTTGGAACTGTTTGGAGGGCTCAAAAGACAGGAAAATGTGAGAAAGTTTGAAACTTCCTAGAGACTTGGAGGGCTCAGAAGACAGGAAGATGTGGGAAAGTTTGGAACTTCCTAGAGACCTGTTAAATGGTTTTGACCAAAATATTGATAGTGATATGGACAATAGAGCCCCCCACCTGAGGTCATCTCAGATGGAGATGAAGAACTTGTTGGGAACTGGACTAAAAGTCATTCTTGCTATGCAAAGATACTGGAGGCATTTTGTCCCTGCCCTAGAGATCTGTGGAACTTTGAACTTGAGAGAGATGATTTAGGGTATCTAGAGAAAGAAATTTCTAAGCAGCAAAGTGCTCAAGAGGAAGCAGAGCATAAACGTTTGAAAAATGTGCAGCCTGATAATGCAGTAGAAATGAAAAACCCATATTCTGGGGAGAAATTCAAGCGAGCTGCAGAAATTTGCATAAGTAACAAGGAGCCAAATGCTAATCACCAAGACAATGGGGAAAATGTCTCCAAGGCATGTCAGAGAACTTTGAGGCAGCCCCTCCCATCACAGGCCTAGAGGCCTAGGAGGGAAAAGTGGTTTCCTGGGCTGGATGCAGGGCCCTCCTACTGTGTGCAGCCTCAGGACTTGGTGCCCTGCACCCCAGCTGCTCCAGCTGTGGCTAAAAGGGGCCAAGGTACAGCACAGGCCATGGCTTCAGAGGGGACAAGCTCCAAGCCTTGGCAGCTTCCACGTGTTATTGGGCCTGCGGGTGCACAGAAGTCAAGAACTGAGTTTGAGGAACCTCTGCCTAGATTTCAGAAGATGTATAGAAATGCCTGGATGTCCAAGCAGAAGTTTGCTGCATGGGTGGAGCCCTCATGGAGAACCTCTGCTATGGCAGTGCGGAAGGGAAATGTGGGATTGGAGCCCCCACACAGAGTCCCTACTGGGACACTGCCTAGTGGAGATGTGAGAAGAGGGCCCCCATCCTCCAGACTCCAGAACTGTAGATCCACTGACAGCTTGCACCATGTGCCTGGAAAAGCCTCAGACACTCTACACCAGCCCATGAAAGCAGCCAGGACAGGGGCTGTACCCTGCAAAGCCACAGGTGTGGAGCTGCCCAAGGCCATAGGAGCCCACCTCTTGTATCAGCATGCCCTGGATATGAGACATGGAGTCAAAGGAGATCATTTTGGAACTTTAAGGTTTAATGACTGCTCTATTGGATTTTGGACTTGCATAGGGCCTGTAGCCCCTTTGTTTTGGCCAATTTCTCCCATTTGGAATGGGTGTATTTACCCAATGCCTGTACCCCCATTGTATCTAGGAAATAAATAACTTGCTTTTGATTTTACAGGCTCATAGGCAGAAGGGACTTGCCTTGTCTCAGATGAGACTTTGGACTTAGATTTTTGAGTTAATGCTGGAATAAGACTTTGGGAGACAGTTGGAAGGACATGATTGTGTTCTGAAATGTGAGGACATGAGCTCTGGGAGGGGCCAGGGGCAGAATGATATGGTTTGGCTGTGTCCCCACCCAAATCTCATCTTGAATTGTAGTTCCCATAATCTCTACATGTTGTGGGAGGGACCCAGTGGGAGGTAACTGAATCATGGGGGTGGTTACCCTCATGCTGTTCTCATGATAGTGAGTGTGTTCTCATGAGATCTGATGGTTTTATAAGGGGCTTTTCCTCCACTTTGCTCTGCACTTCTCCTTGCTGCTGCCATGTGAAGAAGGGTGTGTTTGCTTCTCCTTCTGCCATGACTGTAAGTTTCCTGAGGCCTCCCCAGCCATGAGGAACTGTGAGTCAATTAAACCTCTTCCCTTTATAAATTACCCAGTCTCAGGTATGTCTTTATTAGCAGTGTGAGAACGGACTAATACAATGCACATACCATATAATTCAGTAATTAAGTACCTAGGTATATACTCTGGAGCAACTCTTTGTGGCAGCAGAATTATAACACAGTCCCCAAGAGACCCCCTCATCCTCTGCATAGTCCATCAGTGTGGATGGGACCTGTGAAAATGATGGACAGTCATCTCCTTCATAGGTTACTTTTATGTAAGACCTCATCTTAGCAGAGGAGGTCAGAGAGACATTCTCCTATTTGCTTTGAAGAAGCAGACTGCCAGGTTGTGAAAAGGGCCATGAGGCAGGGAATAGTGGGCAACGTCTCAGAGCTGAGGGCTTCAGTCCTATAGCTGCTAGGAATGGAATTGTGTCAATATCCAGTGAGGGTAGAACAGGACTGTGAGTCGCAGATGAGACCACAGCCCAGGCTGACACCATAATTTCAGCCTGGTGAGATCCTGAGCAGAGAATTAGGTTATGCTGTTTTAGGACTTCTACAAGAATTTGAGGTAATGAATGGGTGTTAATTTAAGCTACTAAAACTGTGGTAATTTGTTATACAGCAAAAGAAAACTAACGCATTCTTTAACGTGTGCCAGGAGACAGGGATAAGAATGTCTATAACAGCACTTTCCTAGAAATAAAAAACCTGAAAGAGGCCAGGTGTGGTGGCTCACGCCTGTAATCCCAGCACTTTAGGAGGCTGAGGCAGGCAGATCATGAAGTCAGGTGTTCGAGACCAGCCTAGCCAACATAGTGAAATCTCATCTCTACTAAAAATACAAAAATTAGCCGGGCATGGTGGTGGGCACCTGTAATCCCAGCTACACAGGAGGCTGAGGCAGGAGAATCTCTTGAACCCAGGAGGCAGAGGTTGCAGTGAGCTGAGATTGAGCCACTGCACTCCAGCCTGGGCAATAGAGTAAGACTCCATTTCAAAAAACACAAAAACAAAACAAAAAACATGAAAGAAACAAAAAGCCTGGCTAGTAGAAAGGGGATAAATTAATTGTAATAAATTTATACAAGGAAATACTACACAGTAGTAAACATGAATGAATTACAGGTATGTCGTAAAATGTAATGTTGAGAAAAATATAGACAAGCTATAGAAGAGTACACATATATAATATGAATGATGTTCAAAAACATTTAAAACAATTTTTTATTTATCTAAAGAGGAAAGAGGGATCTGGGAACCAGCAGGGCACATAAGAGATGTCAAAGTTTTAGGTAATATTCTGTTTATTTTTAAGTTGATGATAAGTATATGGGTGTTCATTTTATAATTGTTATTTGTATATTATGCTATGATATCTGTAACATAGCATAAAGGATTGATATTCTTTTGAATAAATATTGTTTAAAATAAGAGGGTGAGTCTGCGAGCTTTACTATCAATCCTTTAAACCTAAATCTTTCTGAAAACTTCGTATATGCATTAATATACTGTGTGTTCAGACACACATCATTAAAATATAGAGAGGAAAGAAAACATAAGAACCAAACTTGTGGTCAAAAGGTTCAATAACTTCAAAATAAATTTCTAAAAGTGACTTGCACCTGGACTACTACAATCACCTGCTAAGTGGTCTCTTATATTTCACTCTTGTTCTTGATGCTGCAGCCAAGTATCTGTTTAAGAAGAATGTCACATCACTCTAAGGGTTTTCCATCACATTTCCACAGTTCCACATGGTCTGACCCCTACCTACTTCTGAGATCTGATTTTATTCACTTTTCCCACATGCCCTAGCCACATAACAAATCCTAACATTCCTTAGCACTAATGTATAATGCTGATGTGCACCTTTAATAAAATCCAGGCATTGTTTCTTTGGCATCACATCATGTTTCCAATTTGTTTTGAGGAGTTTGGGAATATTTATCGTGGTTCTGTTTTATTAGGATTTCACTTGATTCTTTTCTTTTCCTCATCCTTAATATCCACTGTATCAGAAGTCCTATCAACTCTACTTCCAAAATACATCTTGAATCTTGTTCACTTCTTTCCATCTCTCCTGTTACCACTCTAGTCCAAAACACTATAATCTCTTACCTGGACAAATGCAATAGCCACCTGTCTCCTTACAATTATTCTTGCCTTCCACAATGTATTTTCCACTCTATAGCCATAATGACCTTTTTATAACACAAAATAGATCATATCACTCCCCTCTTCAAAGCCTCCTATCAGAATAAAATCCAAAATTCCTTACCATTGCCTACAAAGCTTAACGTCTTGGTCCCATCCGACTGCTCCAAGTTTACCTCTCTCCTGCACACTAAAGAGCCACACTGGCCTTCTGAGAGTTTTTGACTTCTTATTATAAGCCTTAGGAATCCTGAACTCAAGCATCCCTTTGCCTGGACTACTACTCTGGACTGTTGCAGATCAGCTCCTCCTCATCATTCAGGGCTCAGCTTACATGTGTTCTCTTTAGAACGGCCTTCCCTGACCACTCTGGCTAAAGCAGGGTGTTCAACCACCCTCCAGCACATCACCCTGTTTTATTTTCTTCACAGCACTTATTGCTACCTAGAAATCTTATTTTTTCATCTATTTATTTATTGTCTATCTCCTCCCACCTGTAGGGACCCTGTCTATCCTGTTTACTGCTATACCCTATGCCAAAACTTTCCCCTGCACATTATGGATGAAAAACAAAAACATGTTGAACAAATGACTTCCTATAGCTTAGTTAAAATTTGTCTCTGAATAAATGTTCAAGTTTAATAACCTGAGTATTTTATACATTTATTCAGTTATACTATGTTTCTTTAAACAAAGTATATGAACAAAAAGCATTTTATTAACTTTTGAATTAATATTTCTTCTTTCTTGTCTTTAAAATATCATGGCTAGGATGGTTAAGTATTCTGTAAACATAACACAGACAAAGAATAGAAAAAAAGAAGAACTAATATTTGTTCTATGCCCAAAACTAAGAGAAATCATTTTCCAATCATAAAACTGTATCTATTTATGCCATTTTACCTTCAACAAATGGAAAATATCTACTTCATAGGTAGAAGTCTTAAGGATTTAAGTTTTTTTGAAAGTTATTAATATTGTGACTTCCTACTGATTTAAGGAATAAGTGGAGACTAAATCTGCATCTAAGCTAAAAGTAGCTGCTATTGCCAAGTATTGTGGTATATGCCTGTAATCCCACTATACATGCCAGCTACTCAGGAGGCTGAGGCGGGATGATCGCTTGAGCCCAGGAGTTCAGCACCAGCCTTTGAGATTTCTTCTCAAGCAAATAAAGTTAAAAAAAAAAAAAGTACTTAGCTGTTGATAATAGATTCTATACAAACATATTGTTTTTTATAGCCCATTCATTTATTCAACATACATATGCATTAACCACATTTTAGGTAGTGTAAAGCAGGGAGAATTATATTACTACTCAGTTTCTGCCCAGGTTAGTTGAGAAGACAGACAAATGACAATTCTAGTATAGTGCCACAACAGTATACACAGTAACATGGAAGCACAGAAAAGGCTACTAACCAAGCTGGAGGAGTTAGGGGAAGGGTCTCAGTGGAGCTGTGATACCTGGGATGAGTCTTGAGATCAACTGATAAGAGGAGAGGAAAGGAAGCTTCAGATAAAGAAAATCTCAAATATAAAGGCACATTGGCTTGAGAAAGTCAGCAAACATGTCAGAACCACAAAAGCAAACATGAGGGATGGCCAAAGAGATGAGGCTGAAAATGTGGGCAAGATAATGAAAACATGGGAAGATAATGAAGTGCCTGGTATTCTACCCAAAGAGATTCAGATTTTGTACTATAAGGTACCTTATGTGAACCCCTAGGGATTTTGTACACATATCTTCAAGGCTATGAGATTTCTGTAGGAGAAACCTTTCATTTTCAATTTGATAAAAATCTTTCAAAAAAAAAAAAGAATATTAACAAAAGGACACTCTGGATCATCTGAATGAGCACTTTTTAATTGAGTGCTGTCACAAGATTTGAATTCACACGTGTGTTTAGGAGTGTATTGCTAAACAAGTGGTGCTGTTTGTCATTGATACATGTTAATGAGAATGAAATGGGGACTACTGTATGTAAATGATGTTGTTTGTCAAGTAAAGGACAAATGAAGCCATGACATACTGAACAAATGAAGGTTTTGTGGTGATTTATATAAAGAAAAGAGGTGAAGGCATCAAGTAATCTCTCAACACAAGGGCAATATGGACAGACCTTTCTGTAAGGAAGGTACGCCACAGAGGACATTCATGATTAGAGCTTTTTAGGTCCAACTAAAGTCTCATTGCTCACAATCATTTGAATTTATTGGTTTTATAGCTTTGTTTCATTTAACTTGTAAATGTTCGGGTGTTATCGGTGTATAAAAGATACAACACACACATAAAAAAATTAAAAAGACAAAAAACAAGAAAGAGACAAGATGAGGAGTTTATACCTAATTTTATCTTTGCATATATGTGACATACTAAAAAGGTTTTAAGTTAACAATGGAGGATCCTGAGTATCTTATTTGGGTATAAGAAATACTGCTCAGCCAGGCGTGGTGGCTCACGCCTGTAATCCCAGCAGTTTGGGAGGCAGACGCAGGCAGATCACCTGAGGTCAGGAGTTTGAGACCAGCCTGACCAATATGATGAAACCCCATCTCTACTAAAAATACAAAAATTAGCTGGGTGTGGTGGCATGTGCCTGTAATCCCAGCTACTCGGGAGGCTAAGACAGGAGAATCACTTGAACCCGGGAAGCAGAGGTTGCAGTGAGCCGAGATCACACCATTGCACTCCAGCCTGGGCAACAAGAGCAAAAAAACTCCGTCTCAAAAAGAAAAAAAAAAAAGGAATTCTGCTATGGGCCAGGAACGGTAGCTCATGCCTATAATCCCAGCACTTTGGGAGGCCAAAGTGGGCGGATCATCTGAGGTCAGGAGTTCACAACCAGCCTGGCCAACATGGTGAAACCCCGTCTCTACTAAAAATATTAAAATTAGCCAGGGATGGTGGTGTGCGCCTGTAATGCCAGCAACTGGGGAGGCTGAGGCAGGAGAATCACTTGAACCTGGGAGGTGGAGGCTGCAGTGAGCCGAGATAGCCCCACCGCACTCCAGCCTGGACAACAGAGCAAGACTCCATCTCAAAAACAAAAAACAAAAAAAAAAGGGAGCCTGTCTAGGGGCTAGGGGAGGGATAGCATTAGGAGAAATACTTAATGTAGGTGACGGGTTGATGGGTGCAGCAAATCACGATGGCACATGTATACCTATATAACAAAACTGCACGTTCTACACATGTACCCCAGAACTTACAGTATAATAAAAATAAATAAATAAATAAGAAATTCTGCTATGGGTGTTCGGAGCTGCTGAAAGAATGCAACAGGCAAGTGACAGCTTGTGCTTTAGGAAAATCACTCTGGCAGCAGTATGGAGGAGGGCTGGAATTAAAAGTACCCAAGTGATAGCAGCAGGAGGCAGACAAATCCTAGGCAGATGGGGGTGGGTCCCCAGTGAAACCTGACCTTCAAGCTGAAGACAGCTTAAAGCCTAGCTACATGTCCTGGATAAATCTATGGACCAGATCGAGAACCTCTCTTCCCATTTGGTGCACTTTCCTCTGATTGATCCCCACCCTTCACCTATTTTACATATACCCACCCTTCTCTAATTTGTTTTTTCACACTGTTGTGCCCACCTTTGAGTGGTGCCTTTGTTTTAGCCTATTTTGCATACTCACAAACCAATCAGCATGCACTTCCCCATTCTGAGCCCATAAAAGCCCCAGACCCAGCCATGCCAGAAGAGAGGCCAAACTACTTTGGGTGGGGGACCACCCTTGCGTCCCCTCTTGGCTGAGAATGAAAGGAGTTAGCCAGCTTGCTTTAGGCAGACAGTAAGGGAAGCGTCCCTGAAGAACCTACGACGTGCCCCAAAAGTGCTTACACCAGATGTTTTGTGCACATAAGGGAATTTGCACAGGGGGCTTGCCTAAACATGCCCACAATAGAAAATTCCATTCCCTAACACATGTGCAGTAAGGGAAATAACCAATATGGAGTAGCTCAGACTAAGGGCCCACGAGCACACTGGAAGGATGGGGTGGAGCCTCCAGAAATTTGCACCTTAAGCCCAGGTATTCAACTGTAAAGGGGGCAACCAGCAACCTGCTTTCAGGACCCCTTTCTTTACTGGGAGCTTTCCTTTCACTAAATAAATTCTACTCCACTCACTCTCCGGGGTCCACACACCTAATTCTTACTGATTGTGAGACAAAAACTCAGACCTAGCTGAGCTAAGAGCAAAAATCCTGCATCAAGAGCTGTTTTGTTGCTCAATAAAACTCTTCTCTGTCCTCCTCACCCTCCGATTGTTAGTGTAATCTCATTCTTGGACACAGGACAAGAGCTCAGGATGCCACCAAACATGGGTAGGAAGAAGAGAGTAACACGGTAGCTCTCTGCCCCACCAGCAGCGCCTGGTAGCCACCCTATGCAACAAGAAGCAGGGCGGGGGGCCAGGCCAGCCCCAGGGCCATGGGCGGGAGTGGGGTAACAGGACTGATAGGGCTGTTAACATGCCCCTGTTCGTCAGGCTGCAGAGGGCAGATCTAAAAGAGCTGTTAGCATGCTGTAACACCCACCTCTGGGGCTTCTGGGTTGCCTGACCCATTTGGTTACCACCACCTTCCCCTAGTCTGGACTCCAGAGCCCACTGTGGGAGTCACTTGTGACATGCCTGGTCCAGCCGCAAGCGGTGCACGGAGCCAGCTCCTGTGCCGGCACTTGGAGCAACCAGCTGGATACCACACAACTCTGCACTCACCAGCTCAGACACCCTCTCCTGCCAGGGGCTGAGCCCACAGTCAGGTGGCCACAGGATCCACACCTGCGTGCAAGCCAGGAGTGGCCCAGTGGGCCAGTTGTGCAGGGCACCTCCTGTGGCAAGCCCAGCCCGAGCAAGGCCTGGGTAGGTCTCCAGCTGCGGAGGTCTCCAGTGGCAAAGCAACGTCAAAAAAAAAAAATCCTGTGTCACAAGTAAGGCAGAAATTAAGAGACTACTTAATAATGTGATAAAAAATGGTGAGGCCCTAAATTACTTAGGTGAAATGAAGATGAGATGGATAAGAGTCTAAAGGACTTGGTTGTGGGTGAGGAACAGCAAGGCATCCAGGATGACTCTCCCTTGGTGACGACTTGGTGGTGAAATAAAGGCCACAAGAAAGAAGACAAACAAGTGGGGGCAAAGAGGAAAGAGAAATGAGAGAGTTGATGAATTCAATTCAGAAATGATTTGAATTTCATTTAAGCCAAAGAAAACCCAGTTATCTTTTCTGGGTTCCAGTTTTCTCAGTGACAGCTGCATTCATGAATTACCAAATTAACTATTGTAGCACTCTCTAAAAATATACAAAGCACTCTACCGTATGCTGTAAATAAGTCATGAAAAATCAGCAAAAGCTCGAGCCCTGAAGGAAATTCAGCAGGGTTAAAAAGAGATATGGCCAATGTTTACTAAACACTTAAACTGTGACCCAACACACTCACCCAGTACTGTAAGTACTCACTTAATGTCATCAACAGATTTTTGGAAACTGACTGTAAGCAAAATGACATATAACAAAACCATTTTTACCATAGGCCAATTGATATAAACAAAAGTTAAGTTCCTATAACATATTTCTGGTCACAAAAACATCACCAAACTCCTAAATACAAACCAAAACACTTCTAATATTAAACATTGAAATAAATGGGAGCTATACATACATTTAAGGAAGATTAATAAAAACAAGTAAGATAGTTATTTACCTAATTATTCCAGTTCAGGGTCGAGGGTGGCTGAAGCCTATCCCCTCAGCTCAGGGTGCAAGGTGGGAACCAACCCTTGGACACGACGACATTCCATCGCAGGGAGCACTCACACTCACACTCAGACAGGAAACACAGACAAGGCCAATTCATCCAGCCTGCACTGAGATGTGGGAGGCAGTACCCTGGGGTACCTGGTGAAAACCCATGCAGACGTGGGGAGAAGGGGCAAGATCCACACAAACAGTAGCCCCGGTAGGAAATTATTATTTTTTCTCATCAAGTTATACAAAATGACACTGAACGAAAAAATGCGATTCAAGGACCTGCTGTACTGTACTTTTTGCTCTGCCAGTCAGGTGCGATCGCTGGCTTTCTTTGAGCACCTATGAACAAGAGGTAGCATGCCCAAGTCCACGTGGGAGATACAGCGGCCCCACCCTTAAGGGACTTAGAGCATGGCGGTGGGACACATGTGGTGCAAGCTTGCTGAAAGTTTAGTGTGCTGGGAACTTTGAACATACAGGCAGGGCTAGTTAACAAAGTATATCTTTTACTTAGAGACATCGACGAGGAATATCTTAGGCCGTCCAATAAGAATGTAAGCATTTCATATTTTATTCCCTATAAAGAAAAAAGAATGGAGGCGAGAGGAAATGAAATGAAGCAATTATCGCAAAACCAGTCAGTGTCCCCGCAGGCCACCCAAGGACAAGCCTCCGGGAAAGAGTAACTCAATCCCAGTTTGGAGGGTGAAACTAAGAGTGAATGGGAAGCCAGCATCTTCCTAATACAAAAGCACAGTTTACCGTCCCCCTCAGCCAACATGCGGCTGAAGGGAAAGCCGCGGGGCGTACCTTTAGCACGGGACGCTGCTTTGGGGGGATCGCCCTCGACACAGCGCCCCTCCCGGCACCTGGCCAGAACCTCCCAGGGCGAAGGTCGGGGCCGAGAAGCTTGTGAGTACCGGGGCAGTGAGGGAGGGATCCCTAAGTGCAGGGCGCACACACGGGGCGGAGACCTGGAGGCGGCAGCACCGCGCCCCCAGGGCTCTGCCCAGCTAGCCACTCGCAGCACAGAGAAGCGCGCCCGCAAGACAGCGCAGCCTCCGCGGGCCGGAGGAGGCGGGGCCGCGGCAGGCAGAGGCAGGGCCGGGCAAGCCCTCGCTCCCCGCCGCCTGACGGGAATTGTAGTTCCTGGGAGAAGCCGGGCTGCCTCACGAGGCACTAGGAACTACATTTCCCGGTGAGAGAGCGGCTCCGGCCGGCCGCGCGGTACCGGAGCGTCGCACTGTCAGCGGCCAGAGAGCCTGGGGCAGATCGAAAAGGGAGTGCTTCTTCCCTTCTCTCCGCGCTCTGGCGGTGCAAGCGGCTCTGCTTTCCCTCGCCCCGCCGTCGGGTGCTCCCTGCCCGCCTCCCCGTGTCAGCTTTCCCTGGGCCCCGCCGGGAAAGTCTGGGCCTCGAAATTCGAAGGCAGCGGCGGCTGCCCAGCACGGGAGTGTGGGGCGCGCCACTCGGCGGCCCAGCCTACCCAGGGCCCGGCCCGCGCCTCCATGGGCCCGACCCGGAAGCCCAACGTGTGCAGCCGGCTGAGTCGCCGGGCGCTGGGCTGCTTCTCGCGCGACGCAGGCGTGGTGCAGAGGACCAACCTGGGCATCCTGCGGGCGCTGGTGTGCCAGGTGACCGCCAGCCGGCCGGGGCGGGACGGAGGGCCGCGGGCGCGCGGCGGCCGAGCCTCCTGCGGGGATGCGGTTTTAACGCGCTGGGGCCTCCCTTTATAGGGTCACATGTGATGGGGAGGAGGATACAAGCCCGGAATCTGGGATAGGTGGTAATAGGGCCACCAGCTGCTTTTAGTTTTACGCTTCTTATGTCTTACCTGGAAACAATTATTCTAAAAGTTGGTCACCTCATTAAGCCAAAACATGAGGGCAGAGTGGAGGAAGGATGCAAAAAGTTTTAAAATAATATAGGTGACATTATGTTGCTTTGAAAATTTAAAATCTAACTTAAAGCCTAAGAGTTCTTTCCTGAACGGAAATTCTTTATGTCTTTTAGGAAAGTACTAAATTTAAGAATGTCTGGACAACTCATTCCAGGTCACCTATAGCCTATGAGAGAGGAAGAATATATTTTGACAATTATCGGCGCTGTGTCAGCAGGTAACTTTTTATTGATAATTTTGCTGTAATTCACCTCACTGTTGATCTTAACTATAATTTGTATAGAACCACATGCCTACATTAGTGCCTAGTGAAATAGAATGAAAAAAATGGGTCCGAAATAAGACTAGGCAGTAAAAAATGCATGTAATTTTAAAATCTTGTTAAATCTAAAGTTGCAGGTGTCATTTTTGTAAATACCAACTTAAAGCAAAACTACAGTGCAGGCAAAACCACAGATTGTTCAGAGTACTGTTTAGTGTTTAGTCTACTTATACCACAGTCAAGAAATCCAGTTGCCAATCAAATAATTAGATGCTGCTTTGGAGAATTGATGGATTGTGTTTTGGAAGTACTTGCCTTTTTTTTTTTTTTTTAGAGAAATTTTTTCAAACAAAAGCCTAGTATTTAGAGATCCAAAATGTTTAACAGTCAGCCTCATCCACAACTGTCCAACATGAGGGGGGAAGGAAAGCCACAATGCATCCCCATATACTCATTACCCAGATTCAAAAACTATCAAGATTTGCCACATTTGCTTTATCTAACCCACTTTTCCTTTTGCATGACCTCTTTTAAAGCATATTCTAAACATACATCAGTTTGCATTTTTAAAAAAATGAGCTTTTTTTATAGGCTTTATTAGGATATAATTCACATACCATATATTTACCCATTTAAAGTGTACAGTTCAATAATATTTAATGCATTCACAGATACATGTAATCACTACCACAGTTAATTTTAGAGCATTTTCATCACTTCAAAACAGAACCATGTACCTTTAAGCAGTCACCTCAGTACCACCATTACCCTCAGCCCTAAGCAACCACTAGTCTGTTTTCTGTCTGTAGATTCACCTATTCTGTACTTTTCATATAAATGGAATCATATAATATATGGTCTTTTGTAACTGGCTTTTTCACTTTGCGTGTTTTCAAGGTTCATCCATGTTGTCACATGCATCAGAATTCCTTTATAAAGTTGAATAATATTGCATTGTATCAATTACCACATTTTACGTATCCGTTTATCAGTTGTTAGACATTGGTGTTTCTACCTTTTAGCTATTATAAATAATGCTGCTATAAACATTTCCATGTAAGTTTTTATGTGGGCATTTATTTTCACTTCTCCTAGATTATACCTAGGAATGGAATTGGTAGGTCATAAGATTATACTGTAACTGCGTTTAATAGTTAGAAGAACTGCCATACACTTTTCTAAAGTGGTAGTACCATTTTATGTTCCCATAAGCAGTATATGAGGGTTCTGATTTTTCCACATTCTTGTCAACACTTGATGTGTGACTCACAGCATCTCACTGTGGTTTTGATTCCATTTTCCTGATGACTAGTGATGTCAGGCATCTTTTCTTGTGCATATTAGCCATTTGTATGTTATTCTTTGGAGAAATGTTTGGTTAGATATTTTGCCCACTTGTAAATTTTTTTTTTTTTTTTTACAAAAATCCTTACATATTTTAGATACAAGTCCCTTATCAGATATATGATTTCAAATACTTTCTCCCATTGTGTAGATTGTCTTTTTACTTTCCTGATGTTATTGTTTGAAACAGAGAGGTTAATTTTTTTTTTTTTTTTTGAGACAGAGTTTTGCTCTTGTTGCCCAGGCTGGAGTGCAATGGCGTGATCTCGGCTCACTGCAGTCTCCACCTTCCGGGTTCAGGTGATTCTCCTGCCTCAGCCTCCCGAGTAGCTGGGACTACAGGCATGCGCCACCACGCCTGGCTAATTTTGTATTTTTGGTAGAGACCGGGTTTCTCCATGTTGGTCAGGCTGGTCTCGAACGCCCAGCTTCAGGTGATCCGGCCACCTCGGCCTCCCAAAGTGCTGGGATTACAGGCATGAGCCACCGCGTCCAGCCACAGAGAGGTTAATTTTGATGAAGTCCAATTTATCTAAATTTTTTTCATTACTCATGCTTTTGGTGCCATATCTAAGAATCCATTGCAAAATTTGAGGTCATTAAGATTTGCTCCTAGGTTTTTTTCTAAAGGGTTTATAGTTTTAGCTCATATTTAGGTGGTTGATCCACTTTGAGTTAATTTTAGTATAGGGTATAAGGTAGGTATCCAACTCCATTTTTTTTAACATGCAGCTATACATTTGTCCTAGCACCATTTATTAGAAAGACTTTTCTTTCTTCATTGCAAGGCCTTGCCACCCTTGTCAAAAATCAATTGACCATAGACACTTTTGGATTTATTTCCGGACGTTCAAGTCTGTTCCACTGATCTGTATGTCTGTCCTTATGTCAATACCACATTGTCTTGATCACTGCTGCTGTGTTATTTCTTCTTTAAATGCTTGGTGGAATTAACCATTGAAAGCATCTGGGCTTGGCACTTTCTGTTTTGGTAGGTTGTTCATTATTGATTACATTTCTTTAATAGATACAGACTTATTCAAGTTATCTAATTCTCCTTGGGTAAATTTTGATAGATGGTGTCTTTCAAGGAATTCATCTAAGTTATCCAAACTTGTGAGCCTAGACTTATTCATAATATTTCTTTATTATTGTTTTAACGTCCATGAGATCGGTAGTGATAGCCACTCTTTAATTTCTCATATTAGTAATCAATTTTGTTGACCTTTTCAAAAAAACAGCTTTTGGTTTTGTTGATTTTCTCTATTGATTTTTGGTTTTCAATTTTACTACTTTCTGAGCTAATTTTTGTTATTTCTTTGCTTACTTTGGATTTAATTTGCTCTTCTTTTACTAGTTTCCTAAGGTAGAAACTTAGATTACGATTTGAAGTCTTTCTCCTTTTCTGCATATGCACTTACTGCTATACCTTTTCCTCTAAGCATTGTTTTTGTTGCATCCCACAAATGTTGATACGTTGTATGTGCATTTTCATTTAGTTCAGAATATTTTTAAATTTCTCCTGGGACTTCTTTGACCCATGTGTTATTTAGATGTGTGTTGTTCACTCTCCAAATATATTGGGATTTTCCAGTTATCATTGTTTTATTGATTTGTGGTTTAATACCACTATGACCCAAGAGCATACTTTATATTAGTTCTAGTCTTTTAAATTTGTTAAGGTGTCTTTTATGGCTCAGAATGTGGTCTACCTTGGTGAACGTTTCGTGTAAGCTTGAGAAGAATGTGTATTCTGCTGTCGTTGGATGAGATATTCTGTTTGATCCAGTTGACTGATGGTACCTTTCAGTTTAAGTATATGCATAATTACTAACTTTCTGCCAGCTGGATGTGTTAATTACTGATGGGTATTGAAATCTCTATAATAGTGAGTGGATTTATCTATTTCTCCTTGCATTTCTATCCGTGTTTGCCACATTGTGTTTTGATACTCTGTTGTTAGATGCATATGTATTAAATATTGTTATGCCTTCTTGGAGAATTGACACCTTTTTCATTATCTTATGCCCACTTAATCCCTGGTAATGTTCCTTGCCAAATTCGACTTTGTCTGAAATTAGTATAGCTACTCCAGCTTTCTTTTGTTTAGTGTTTACACATTGTATCTTTTGCCATTCCTTTACTTTTAATCTATCTGTGCCTTTTTTTTTCCCCCCCAAAGTCAGGGTCTGGCTGTGTCTCCCAGGCTGGAGTGCAGTGGCACAATCATAGCTCACTGTAACACCAAACTCCTGGACTGAAGCAATCCGACCATCTCAGCCTCCCAAGTAGCTAGGACTATAGGCATGTGGCTATTTTTAAAACAATTTTTTTAGAGATAGGGGTCTCAGTCGTGCTGTGTTGCCCAAGCTGATCTCATACTCCTGACCTCAAGTAGTCCTCCCACCTCAGCCTCTGCTGAGGATTACAGACACGAGCCACCAGAACACTTTAGGTATTTATGTCTCTCTCTGCTTGCTCTTATGCTCTCTGAAGAGAAATCCAAATTAATTCTTATTGTTCCCCTATATAGTTAAGGTGCTTTTTTTTCATCTGGCTTCTTTCAAGATTTTCTCTTCACTTTTGATTTTCTGCAGTTTGAATATGCTTCCCAGATTTGGGGCTTGGTATCTGTCAGTTTTGGAAAATTCTCAGCCATTATTACTTCAAATATTTATTTTTCTCTTTTTCTTCCTTCTGGTATTCCCATTATGTGGATGTTATACCTTCTCCAATTTTCCTGTAATACTTGAATATTCTGTTCTACTTTTTCTTTCTTTTTCCTCTTTTATTGCCCCAGCTTGGGAAGTTTCTGTTGACCTATCTTCAAACTCACTGATTCTGTCCTTGGCTGCATCCAGTTTACTGATAACTGTTAAAGGCGTTCTTCATTTCTCTTATGGTGTTTTTTGATTTCTAGTATTTCTTTTTTTTCCTTTTTTTTTTTTTTTTTTTTTAGAATTTTTATCTGTGTTTAATTTACCCATCTTTTCTTGCATGGTGTCCACTTTTCCCAGCTCTGATCCTGTTAATCAGCTATTTAATTAATTAGTTTAGAAATGAGGTCTTGTGACTGGGTGCGGAGGCTCACACCTGTAATCTCACACTTTGGGAGGACTAGGTGGGCAGATCACTTGAGGCTAGGAGTTCGACACCAGCCTGGCCAACATGGCGAAACCCCATCTCTACTAAAAAAACAAAAATTAGCTGGGCATGGTGGCACACACCCATAATCCCAGCTACTCCAGAGGCCAAGGCAGAAGAATTGCTTGAATCTGGGAGGTGGAGGTTGCAGTGAGTTGTGATTGCATGCCACTGCACTCCAGCCTGGGTAACAGAGCGAGACTCAAAAAAGAAAACCCCAAAAAACCCCAAACAAACAGTAAAAAACAAGAAATGAGGCGTTGCTTTGTTGCCCAGGCTAGAGTGCAGTGGCTTTTCACAGGTATGATAATAGTGCACTGTAGCCCCAAACTCCTGCACTCCAGTGATCCTCCTCCCTCAGCCTCCTGAGTATAGCTGGAACTACAGTCACATACCATCGCACCTGGCTTAATCATTGTTATTTTAATTTCTGGTCTGCTAACTCTAAAATCTCTGCCATATCTGAATCCAGTTCTGATGTTTGTTTTGTTTCTTCAAACTTTTGTATTTTGCCTGTTAGCATGCCTTGTCATTTTTTTGGTTGAGGGCTATATATGATATGATATATTGGATAGGCCAGGCACAGTGGCTTACTCCTGTCATCCCAGCACTTTTGGAGGCCAACGTCTGGGGTTGCTTGAGCCTAGGAGTTTGAGACCAGCCTAACCAACATGGCAAAACCCCATCTCTACAAAAAATATCAACATTAGCTGGGCATGGTGGCACACACCTGTAGTCCCAGCTACCAGGGAGGATGAGGTGGGAGGATCGCTTGAGCCCAGGAGGTCAAGGCTGCTCGAGCCGTCAGCATGCCACTGCACTCCAGCCTGAGCAACAGAGCGAGACAGTGTCTCAAAAAATTTTACAAATTTAAGATAATATTGGATAAAAAGAATTAAATAGGCCTTTAGAGTGAGATTTTATGTTTATCTGAGTAGGAGTTCGGCTATGATTATTGTTTGTTGTAGCCGTAGGTATTAGAGGTTAAAATTTCCTCTAGTGTGCTTATTTTTGTCTCCCCCATTGTTGGCTCCAGTGGCTTGTTCCTGGGCTTATGTTCCTGGAAAGCTGTAATTGTCAGTATCCACCTTTCTCTCCAGTTTTGGAGGCAGCAGTTTGCCCTGTGACCTGAATTCTCTGATGGATCTAAGAATAATTATGGATTTTCAGATTGTTCAGCATTTTTCGTGCTATGAGGACAGACGGGTGGCACTTCCAGGCTGTTTTCGTCTTGGACCAGAAACCAGAATTTAGAGAGAATAGTCAGCTTTTGAGATTTGTTCTAACCCCAAGAGGGCTCTGTCCTGCTAGCTTTTTCTGGTTATTTCTGGCAAATTAGCCAGCCTACAATTTAGCCTGTATCTCCGCTGAGTCTACCAGTCTCCTCCCATTTGCCTTTCATCACAAACTCCACAGATTTTGTTAGTGCTCCTAGGCCTTAACTTCTCCACACTCTGTTGCAAATAAAATTAGTTTTTCTGGAAAGAGCCACAGAGCTATCTCTTTTATGGCCTGCTTCTCCCCTCCTGCACAGTTTTTGAACTAAGGCTCTTTACCTGGTTGTGGGAGTCAATGCCATGCTTCTCTCTGAGTGACTCCCCTACTCTAGAAGCTGCGCACTTGGAGTTGAGGAAACACTGACCTCAGATCTTCCCACCTTGTCTCTCTCTCAGTGTAGAACTACTGTTTTCTAAGGAGGATAAGGCCAGTTAGGGCCTCAGTATCCTCAGCTGTGCTACATCCAAGGTAGATCCTCCATCCCATGAATAGGGGCTGGGTGGAAGAAGGGACCCCCACCTCTTGACTATACTGACCCAATACTCAGCCCCAGCAATAGGCAGCTGGGGACTGGATGAGAAATGCTGTCATCCCACCCCTCCTAGGAAGATAGCTCTCTGAGTGGAAGCTTGGAAAACAGGGAGCCTTGTACTCTTGGCTGCACCAGTCTGGAGTGGAGTTTCCATCTTGCTGAGCTGGGATTGGGAAGGAAGGGACTATGCCCTGGTTCAGACACCACAGACTCACTATTCTTACTGAGCAGTAGTAGGTTTTCTTGAATAAATGTTTCTTCATATGCTGTATGTCCCCAGGACCATTTGCAGAGACTTTAAATAGTTGTCCTTTTATGATTTTCACCAGTTTTGCCAAGGAGTTTGTCCACAGAGCTCTTCATGCCCTCATGCTGGAAGTGGAAATCTGGACATGTTATCTTATCATGTCATTATCACACCTAGGAAAATGAGCAACAATTCTTCAGGATCATTTAATGTCAAGTTTATAACTTCCTGCTTTAACTTAAAAAAAAAATTAAATTAGAGTAAGTGGTGTCAATTAGTGTTCTAATGATTAAATATTATTGAGTTATTTAATGTCCAATGGTGTTTTATCCACAGGTTATAATCGCATATGAAGTTGCCTTCATTCTTGTGAAACTGTTTGGTTTAAACTTTTGAATCAGTGAGAGAATGTCAAAGAGGTACAATAAAATTATCACCTGAAAATTGTTTCTCTTTCAACAGTAATTTAATTTCAAAGTTCATTTAAAAAAATGAAAAGGGGCTGGGCGCAGTGGCTCACGCCTGTAATCCCAGCACTTTGGGAGGCTGAGGCAGGCAGATCACGTGGTCAGGAGTTCGAGACCAGCCTGACCAACATGGTGAAACCCTGTCTCTACTAAAAATACAAAATACAAAAATTAGCTGGGCATGGTAGCATGCACCTGTAATCCCAGCTACTCAGGAGGCTGAGGCAGGAGAATCGCTTGAACCTGGGAAGCGGAGGTTGCAGTGAACCGAGATGGTGCCATTGCTCTCCAGCCTGGGAGACAGAGTGAGACTCCATCTCAAAAAAAAAAAAAAAAAAAAGAAAGAAAGAAAAGCGCCAGGCGAAGTGGCTCACACCTGTCATCCCAACACTTCGGGAGGCTGAGGCAGGTGGATTACTTGAGTCCAGGAGTTCAAGACCATCCTGGGCAACATGGCAAAACTCTGCCTCTACAAAAAATGTAACAATTAGCTAAGCGTAGTAGCATGAGCTTGTAGTCCCAGTTACTTGGGAGGCTGAGGCAGGACAATTACATGAGCCTGGGAGGTGGAGGTTGAAGTGAGCTAAGATCATGCCATTGCACTCCAGCCTGGAGTGTGAGAAACTGTCTCAAAAAAAAGGAACAAAATAAAATTAAACATTTATGATCACATCTCAACTAATCAGAGAAGTACAAATTAAAAGAGACTATTTTTCACATCAAAGATATAGCATTCAATATTGGCAGAAGTATAAATTTACTCAACCTTTCTGAAAAGTAATTTGGGAGTAAAAAAAAAAACCATAAAGGGTTTTTTGTTTTTTGTTTTTTTTAAATCCACTAGTTTTCATTCTAAAATAATGGGACCCTTTTTATCCAGTAATTTTCATTTTAAATATCAGAACAATAGTTTTTGATCTTGATGGAATTCAACAGAGATATTCTTAGTAAATGTTCAGAGGTAAAGAAAGAATTTAATATGAACCATTTTTGGAAAACAACGTCCAGGTACGTATATGTATATAAACCAGAAGGAAATGAACCAAAATGTTAATAAGGGTTATTTTTGGCAGTTTTATGGTATTGTAAACTATTTTAATCTTGTTTTTTTTTATATGAATTATGTGATCAGAAAAAAATATTAATATTTAGTTAAGAGGAAAGCAAATAAATTGTGCCTTGGTATTTCACATCTCTGAATAAAAATAGTCTCTCAAACCTGAACAAATACTGTCTTGGTTATCAAGAATAATAATCATTTATTTTTCTTTTTTCCCAGTGTTGCATCTGAGCCAAGAAAACTTTATGAAATGCCAAAATGTTCCAAATCAGAAAAAATAGAGGATGCTTTATTATGGGAATGCCCAGTGGTAAGATTTGTTTTTAGAGCGTTTGTTTCTAAAGCATTTTTAGCCTAGAAGAACCAGTTATTATTAACATATTGCATAAAATAATACAACTTAAATATCATAGTGACTCTTGCATCTTTAAAGCAATCAAGATGAGAGTATATCTTTTATTTTCCTCATGAAATAATTTCTGTATTAAAAATACTAATATTATGAATGTGTTTTTAAAATTAGATAGATTTTTTTTAGATCCTGAAAACTAAAAAGTTATAAATCGATTAAAAGTTATATAAGCAGCATAAGCTAATGTATAATTATCTTAGTGTTTAAGAGATCATTCCACTCAATATACTGAAACAGTAACAAAGTATTTAGAGCAACAGTTATTTTACGTTATTTTACGTGTTAGGAAAATAATAAAAATAAAATAATAGGATAAGCTCATTTCATAAGGCTAGCTTTGCCTGGGTGTATATTTTTCAAAACACTGTTTTCATGGAATGTTAACGGGTGTCAGAGGAGTTAGGGGGAATTGGGCTGTGAAAAACTAAGTTTGGGACATTCTGAGTTTAAGACTGTAAACATATCTATTGATAGAATTACTTCTCAGAGCCTTTACTAATAATAATAATACAATAATACTAATAGGTATGATGATTATCAAGCCATTTCCCCAAATTCTTTTGATCATAGAACTTCCTTGTTTAAGGAATATTTCTAAGTACAGGTTGAGCATCCCTAATCTGAAAATCTGAGATCCAACATGCTCCAAAATTCAAAACTTTTTGAATGCCGACATGACGCCACAAGTGGAAAATTTTACACCTGCCCTCATGTGACAGGCACAAAATTTAAAATATTATGTAAAATTATCTTCAGGCTACATGTATAAGATAGATATGAAACATAAATGAATTTTGTGTTTAGACTTGGGTCCCATCCCCAAGATACCTCATTATGCATATGCAAATATCCCCAAATCCAAAGAAATTCAAATCTGAAACACTTCTAGTCCCAAGTGTTTCAGTAGGAGAAGGGATAATCGACCTGTATTTGTTTTCTATAGGATCAGTGCTTATTCTAAGAAATGCACTTAGGAAATACTACAACAGATTAATCAGGTCTTTGAATCTGATTGGCTGTCCTTTAGGAAAAACGGAACTCATAATATGTGACCAAAAATAATTTTTAAAGGATAAGAGGCTGTACGCTAAATTTATTGTTAATTTTTTTTTCAGGCTATCATTTTTACATAAAGTTTTAGTTTTCTGGAGCTGCTGCTTTCTTTTTCTCTGAATACTTATTGTCTGTTCACTGAAGGCTCCTATTTAAAAATTAGAAAGCTTTTAAACCTATGTTTTCTTCTTCAACTCCTTATTGAAAGCTAAAAGTAACTGTTGTGCCTTTAGCAATTTAAAGCTTTTTGATCCATTTTCATTGGGGAGTATGGGGGAAGACGACAGATTTCTTAATTGAGAAAGTTTTTAATACACTAGTATAAAACACCAAAAATTTAGTAACCTAATTCCTATTCTCACTATTTTTTTTTTTTGAGACGGTCTCTCTTTGTTGCCCAGGCTGCAGTGCAGTGGCGTGATCTCCACTCACTGCAACCTCTGCCTCCCAGGCTCAAGCAATTCTCCTGCCTCAGCCTCCCAAGTAGCTGGGACTACAGGCACCCAGCACCATGCCCCACTAATTTTTGTATTTTTAGTAGACACGGGGTTTCACCATGTTGGCCAGGCTGGTCTCGAACTCTTGACCTCAAGTGATCCACCCTCCTTGGACTCCCAAAGTGCTGGGATTACAGGCATAAGCCACCATGCCCGGTCCGTATTCTCACTTATTTTTAAACATTTTATTCTCATTTCAACTGCAGCAAGATTTTCTCTTAAGAAAAACCAGGAGCATTTTGAATTGTTATTAACACACTGATATGAAACTACTTTTAAGTTAGTGTCCATCTTTTCCAAGACTCTGTGTGAATTACAGCTTTTTGTTCAAGAAAATATTTCGAACGTATTATATTTGCTGCTTCAAATTATTTTGATAGGCAAGTTATAAATAGTATATTTTTTAAAACTTAAATTTTTTTAATATATTTTTTTAAGACAGGGTCTCACTCTGTTGCCTAAGCTGGAGTCCAGTGGCACAATCACAGCTCACTGCAGCCTCTACCTCCTGGGCTCAGGTGATCCTTCCACCTTGGCCTCCTAAGTAGCTGGGACTACAGGTGTGCACCAACAAACCCAGCTAATTTTTGTATTTTTTGTAGAGGTGGGGTTTTGTCATGTTGCCTAGGCTAGTCTTGAACTCCTGGGCTCAAGTGATCTGCCCGCCTTGGCCTCCCAAAGTGCTGGGATTATAAGTGTGAGTCACCACGCTCAGCCAAAAACTTTTAAATCTTCATGAAACAACATTTAGATAAGACGTTGTAGAATAAATGCATTTATATCATTGCCCTGAATCCAGTGTAAGACTTCAAGGGTTAATAAACTTAAAAAAAAAATCTTATAGCCAGTATTTTAAGAAACTTGATTATACTTACGAAAGGAACATTGTTTGTTTTCTCTTCTTTTAAATATGGAGAGGTTTAATCCTTTACCTAACAAAGGAATTAATTTTAGCAAAATGATTCATTCCAACCCTCTTATAAGAAATATCTAGGAGAGTGGCCAGGTGCGGTGGCTCACGCCTGTAATCCCAGCACTTTGGGAGGCCGAGGCGGGCAGATCACGAGATCGGGTGTTCAAGACCAGCCTGACCAACATAGTGAAACCCCGTCTCTACTAAAAATACAAAAATTAGCCAGGTGTGGTGGCACGCACCTGTAATCCCAGATACTCGGGAGGCTGAGGCAGGAGAATCGCTTGAACCTGGGAGGCAGAGGTTGCAGTGAGCAGAGATCATGCCACTGCACTCCAGCCTGGGTGACAGAGCAAGACTCTGTCTCAAAAGAAAAAAAAAAAATCTAGGAGAGTCAACTAAGAAAAATAATGAATCTAAGTGATAAACATTCAGGAAATTCTCTAAATAAGAGATTTATTTACAGTCTTAATATCTCAGGGTTCTTTTTAGGTTTCCAGGGGAAAAGAGCAGGATAACAGTGTGGAGACTGCTAAGTTGAGAATTTAAAACAAATGAGAACATAAGATTTTTAAAATTGCATTGTGAATGTAACATTTTTTATCAATCCTTTAATCTCACTCTTTTAGACATATTGAGAAAATGTTAAATAGAAAATATTATGAAATTTTAATAAGATGTTTCAGATCTTTGAGCATGAAAAATATAACAAAAAAGCCTAATTTCAAAAAACTATTTGAGATCAAGGGACAATGGTGTGACCAATATGAAGGGTCAAGACTGAAATGTATTGTCTTTACTATCAAGAACTCTACTTTCAGTTTTTTCTCGGACAGTTAATTTCAGCTTCGTAGAGATTTCTGACCAAATTAAGGAACACTGTTTTCCTGGGTTTGTTTTGGGTATATGTCATTATAGTTATGTTATTTCTTACTGAAATTTATAATTGTGAGTTTTTTGTATTGTTTTAGTATTTAGTGGTGTATAATGTGTTATTCAATTATATGTAGTCATACAAAAAAAAAACACTAGCATACAAACAAAAATTATTTTTTTCCTTAACATTTGAAAGGCAAGACAAATTTTTAGGGAGCATATATAAAATAACTATGTCTTCATTCTTTTCTATTCACTTTTTGGCCTAAGCAGATACTAGATTAATTTCAGCCTCTCTTTACTTTCTTTCTTTCTTTTTTTCTTTTTTGAGATGGAGTCTTCTGTCGCCAGGCTGGAGTGCAGTGGCACGATCTCAGCTCACCGCAACCTCCACCTCCCGGGTTCAAGTGATTCTCCTGCCTCAGCCTCCCAAGTAGCTGGGATTATAGGCAAGCACCGCAACGCCCAGCTAATTTTTGTATTTTTTTTAGTAGAGATGGGGTTTCGCCATGTTGGCCAGGCTGGTCTCGATCTCCTGACATCGTGATCCAGCCACCTCAGCCTCCCAAAGTGCTGGGATTACAGGCGTGAGCCACCGCACCTAGCCACTTCTTTTTTTCCTTTTTATCTAGAAACAGAGTCTTGCTGTGTTGCCTAGGCTGATATCGAACTCCTGGGCTCAGGTAATCCTTCTGCCTCACTCTCTCAAAGTGCTGGGATTACAGGTGGGGACCACGATGCCCTTTTAGTCTACAAATTAAAGAAGAAAACTTTGCTTCTCTTTTTCTTCCTGCCTTAGACTTCCACCTTGTGGTGGCTCCTCAGTGACAGGAGTGCCCATGCAGCTATCCTCTCCCTTTTCTAGGATAATTCACTGGTGACATAGGTCATCTTTCAAACCAGGTCCATTTTCTGTACTTTGGCTGTCTTCATTGGTTTCTAGCTTTTCATTTGAGCTTAGGTTAGAACCACAGTGAATAATGAAGTAATTTGCATTTTGCCAGTTTTGACTTCCATCTAAAGGAAACAAGTCCTGTGGTAAAGGAAAAAGGGGGCAATATGAATGTCTATTCTAGCAGAGAACCCTTTTTTTTTGAGACGGGATCTCACTCTGTCACCCAGGCTGGAGTGCAGTGGCATAGTCATCACTCACTGCAGCCTTGACCTCCCAGTCTCAAGCGATCCTCTTGCCTCAGCCTCCTAAGTAGTTGGGACTCCAGGCACTCACCACCATGCTAATAGCAGAGGACTCTTAATCGCTATGCTATATACATGATTTTAAGAGCTGTTATTGTTGTTATTGTTATCACAGAGGTAGCATCATTGTCTTCTACTGTTATTATGACTAACATTTGTGAATACTTAATAAAATAATTAATTCATAATAATAAATTATTTCAGGCCATGTTTAAGTGCTTTATGTGAATAAACTCAATAAGTGATGATGAAATAATTACCCACAATCTTATCTTTCCTTGTCTTAATTCTCTAGTTGGGCATTTAATCTTTCTTTTGTGGTTTATTTATTTGGCATTTGAATATTTAGCTATTTTCTTTGGACATTGATTACTGCAAATTGTTCATGGCCAAGCAGTTTCATTTTTATATCTCTCTTTTTTTTTTTAGGGAGATATACTTCCCAATTCATCAGATTATAAGTCCTCACTCATAGCACTGACTGCTCATAATTGGCTACTTCGTATATCAGCAACTACGGGAAAAATCCTTGAGAAAATATATCTTGCACCTTATTGCAAATTCAGGTATTTACTGTGAATTTATTATTCAAGATTTTATTTTAAAAATTTGAAACCTGTGGCCCATGAAATTTCAAGCCTTTTTTCCCTGTCAGTTTTCTAATCCATTACCAGATCTCAATTAATAAACCTATTTTCTTTTTCTCCCCTCATGACTACATTTAGAGGTCTGAGTATAGAGACCCTCTATCATTTGTCTTTTTTTTTTCTTTTTTAAGACAAGGTCTTGCTCTGTCTCCCAGGCTGGAGTGCAGTGGCGTGATCTCTGCTTACTGCAACCTCCACCTACCAGGTTCAAGCGATTCTCCTGACTCAGCCTTCCCAGTAGCTGGGATTTTGGGTGTGCACCCCATGCCCAGCTACTTTTTGTATTTTTGGTAGAGCTGAGGTTTCCCTATGTTGGCCAGGCTGGTCTCAAACTCCTGACCTCAAGTGATCTGCCCACCTCAGCCTCCTAAAGTTCTGGGATTACAGGCGTGAGCCATCGTGCCCAGCTGTCATTTATCTTTGTATCCCTAATAAGTAACTAACCTGTAATAGTTTAAATAAACTTAAAAAAAAAAATTCCCTGTATTCTACAAATAGTATTTTCTATGTAAGATGCTCTTTATGGTAGATTTTCCTGAAGGCTAGTCTGTTTCAGTTAAATTGTCTGCTGTGTACAATCCAAGAACTGTTATTTTAACTATTAGTTTTATAAATTAGATGTAAATGGAGTGAATATGTTCATGGAATGTGTGAAAGTAACATTTTTAGTGCTTTTTATACTTCCATTTTAAAGTAGAAATGATTATTTTGTTTTCTAAGTTTTGAATACTCTTAGATCGAAAACAATTTTTATTCACCAATGCTCTAGAAAGATTAAAATTATGTATGTATTTAAATAGGGATATGTCCATATGGGGATATAGAGGAAATTTTTTTAGCTATTTATTTTTTAAAATAGATCACTTTGCTTTTATAATTTAAATAACTAAAAAATAGTTTACTTATAAAATATAATATTTTGGTTTTAAGTATAAGGAAACTGACCCAAATAAATAAACTTCTCTTCATTCTTTTAAAAGATACTTGAGCTGGGACACTCCTCAAGAAGTCATTGCAGTTAAGTCAGCTCAGAACAGAGGCTCAGCAGTGGCCCGGCAGGTATACATATTTAAACATTCAATAAAATGAAGACTCTTTTTCATAGGAATTTGTCTGCAGATTTGTTATGAAAAATCTAATGATCTTTTATTTCTGAAGCATGCTGTAAAAGATAGGATTCACGGCAACCTGGATGGGATCGGAGACCATTATTCTAAGTGAAGTAACTAAGAAATGGAAAACCAGACATTGTATTTTCTCACTCATAAGTGAGAGCTAAGCCTTGAGGATGCAAAGGCATAAGAATGATACAATTTACTCTGGAGACTCGGGTGAAAGGGTGGGAGGTGGGTGAGGGATGAAACACTACACATTGGGTATAGTGTATACCACTCAGGTGATATGTGCACCAAAATCTGAGAAATCACCACTAAAGAACTTACTCATGTGACCCAACACCACCTGTTCCTCAAAAACCTATTGAAATAAAATAATAATAAAAATATTTTAAAAAAGAAAAGTTGATAGGTAGATTTTTTTTTTCTGAAGCGTGCTATTTAAAGAGATTTTTCTCTTAAAGAATTACCCAGGATTTACTAGATTTTATAAAGTCTGGAAATTTATATCAAGAAACTTTTTGTTTCTATTGGTGACTTATGGGGAAATACTATGGAAAGCATTTATTGAGCACTTAAAAAATAGATATAGACTGCTTTTAGAGGTTTTCTGTTTCTTTATACACCGGGACACCTAGAAAAAGCAAATACTTATTTTGTGTCTCCCCTTGGCAGAGTCTGTTGTAGTTCTTTCTCATTTTTAATTTGAACTACTTCAGCTGTTTCTCACTAGTGTCCTTGATTGCAAAACAGGCAGGCACTGATCTGAGTTCTTTACCTGTATTTACTAATTTGATCTTCAGCACACTCCTTTCAGTAGATACTTTTATCATCCCATTTTACAGGTGAGGATTCTGAGCCCCAGAGAAGCTAAGTAACTTATCCAGCATCATAGTGTTGGTAACCTTGGCTCAAACTCAGGCAGTTTAGCTCTAGAGTCCCTGCTCTTATGCACTGTAGTAAGCTGCCCCTTCTTGAAATTTCTGTAATATGGACTGGCAGGTGAAGTTTATATAGAACTCTAGCATTAAAAAAAAAAAAAAGTTAAGTAGTTCCTTTAATTTTACCTTGTTTAGATAACTACATCAAGCATTTCCTTGTCAACCCTCCAGTGTATTCCCATACATGCTGGGTCTGTGAACTCTGCTTTTCATTCCTCCCTCATCTCTCTTGTCTACTTTTTCTGTATGCCCCTGAAGCCAAGCAAACTATTTGTTGGCTACTTCTACTTACTTTTTATCATGGTTATCTGAATGTTTTCCTACCCTTTACTAATCCTGCCCAGTCACATTAATAACTTAACTGCATGCCTTTTATTGGAATCTCCTTACCCTTTTCCTGATTTATTTAGTATGACATCTAAGAAAGAGAGATGCTATCTCTCTCTTAGTAATACTTCTCTCTTTATACTCTTACTACCTTGCTTTTACTTTGGTAAAGGAAAATTCAGAAAAGTGGGATAGTATAAAAAAGCAAAACATTTTGCTACTTTGAGAATTCTAAAGTGTCTTGTCTGATGTACCTTTTTAATAATTTAAATTGCTAAAGAGCAAGAATTTTTGTTTTGTTTTGTTTTGTTTTGAGACGGAGTCTCGCTTTGTTGCCAGGCTAGAGTGTCGTGGTGAGCTCTCAGCTCACTGCATCCTCTGCCTCCCAGGTTCAAGCAATTCTCCTGACTCAGCCTCCTGAGTAGCTGGGACTACAGGCGTGCACCACCAGGCCCAGCTAATTTTTGTATTTTTACTAGAGACGGGGTTTCACCATGTTGGCCAGCATGGTCTCGATCTCTTGACCTCCCAAAGTCCTGGGATTTACAGGCGTGAACCACCACTCCTGGCTAAGAATTTTTTTAAGTTTAATTCTATACGTTATCATATGTTAATGTTTTACATTTACCATCACCTGATAATGTTAATAAAATCTTGTCAGTATTTCTATATTCTGGACTGTTTTCCTACAGTCTCCAGCCAACAAGTAGTAGCTCTTAGTTGGGGTATATAAACTGTACTTTTCCTTTGGGTTTAAGGAACACAGAAGGAGTCTGATTTACCTTGAAGATATTAGTTCAATAAAAATTTATCCCTTTGGAAGGGAGAATCTTTTGGGCTTTAAGCATTACAATCTTTTTTGTTTGCTGTTTATTTGTTTTCTAACTTTTAGTTATAGCAGTTTTGATTGGTGTTTCCAGCCTTAAAAGTTCTATTGAAGCAGAGACTGGCTGTGATGGGGCAGACAGCTTTGCCTAACACAAATTTAAGAAATTCCCTTCAAAACTGTATTGGAGAAGTACAAGAGATTGTTTTACATTTCACAGTGGCAAGAAATTGGACCTTGTTCTTCAAAGTAAGGAGGCTATCCTTTTCAAGCAGAAGAGTCACTCAAGCTTTCATTGATGATATTATTTCTAATTTCCTGTAAAGGAGTCAGCACAACACTACTTTCATTATATATTTATTTATTTAGAGACAGCATGTCTGATGCCCAGGCTGGAGTGCAATGGCTTGATCAGAGTTCACTGCAGCTTCAAACTCCCGGGCTGAAGTGCTCCTCTCACGTCACCCTCCTGAGTAGCTGGGACTACAGGCATGCGCCACCATGTCCAGCTAATTTTTTTATTTTTTGTATAAACGAGGTCTCACTATTTCTACAGTGAGTGGCCAGGCTGGTCTCAGACTCCTAGCCTCAAGCGATCCTCCTGCCTTAGCCTCCCAAAGGGCTGGAATTATAGGCGTGAGCTACCTGATCCAGCAGCTTTCAAATGATATGAGCACGATAACTACATTATCTTTTTATTAGGCTCTTTATTGTTCAAACTCCAATTCAAAATATAAATGCATGGTATTTTATTGCTAAGAAATGTTTACTTTTATGGATTTTTGTCTGTATATATGCGCATGTGTGTCTGAAGGGCTGAAGCTTTAGTGGACATGTTTTGAATATGTTGCCCTTCCATTTAAGTAACTTTGCAATCTAGATAGATGGTTGTTTTCATAATATGAAAATGTCTGTATAACTACATGCTAGAACAGATGGATTTTTTCAACTAATGAAAACAGTGTGTTTCTGAAGTACTTTTGAGAGCTGCGTGTAATTGTAGTCTTTCCTTCTAGGCAGGCATTCAACAACATGTTTTGCTGTACCTTGCAGTGTTCCGAGTTCTACCTTTTTCACTTGTAGGGATTCTAGAGATCAACAAAAAGGTAAGAACTCATTTCTTATTTAATTGCAATATTTTATTGACAATAAGTTGTAATGTCATTATTTAATTATTTATGAGATATTTGATTGGAAATGCTCCCCTCACTATAAAAAGTTCACTAACTTGGTTTATTTTGTAACAAAATACATGAGAACATTTGCCTAATATCCCTTCATCTTTCTGCATGTTTTTATGCCTCTCAGGTGGATCATATTGGATACCTGTGGTCATTAACAAACTACTATGTTATGAAATTACAAAATGAGTAAGGTTTTTTTTTTCCAGAAGGAACATTCCAAAGCTTGTTAAAAAGATCATTAAAGGAAGGTGAAAAGTTGCAACAAAATATTTCATTTTAATTGCAAGATATAGGTCTAAAACTTGCTTTATGATATATAACAAGCCTTATATTTAAATATGTAAATTTTCCAATTCATTCAGTTTTGGGTTTTATTGTTGTTCCCATTTGTTCTTGACTTGTGGAGCAGTTACATGGGAGGAAAGAAGGAGCAAATTTCCTTTGAGTAAAAGAATGAATAGGATTCTACTTTAAAAAAAAAAGTTACTTATTCTTGGTGCATAGTTATTTATTGAGCTCTCCTACTGGTCTTTAATTCAGCACCTGAAGTATTGTAGAGGACAGTATCTTGAGGATCTACTGATCTTTATAAGCAAACAAGTTGAATGTATTAAAATTTTACATTATGTAAGCATTATATACTAAACTGCATAATGGCTAAAGAGTAATATTAGTTACCGTTCATTGCTTATTTTGTGCCATGCACTTTGAATATTTTACAACATTGTAACGTATATATTTAATTAAGTTAAGCAGCAGTCCCAGCTACTCAGAAGGCTGAGGCAGGAGAATGGTTTGAGCCCAGGAATTCAAGGCTTTGATGAATTATGATTGCACCACTACACTCCAGCCTGGGTGACAGAGTTAGACTCTGTCTCTAAAAAATTAAAATAAAAAATAAAAAGCAGCTACCTAAATCCTAAAGGTGGCAAGTAGAGGATCTAGAATTAAAACAGATTGGCTACTTTATTATAGCAGTCATTATTATTATTATTAATTTTTTTTTTTTTTGAGACAGAGTCTTGCTCTGTCACCCAGGCTGCAGTGCAGTGGCGCAATCTCTGCCCACTGCAATCTCTGCCTCCTGGGTTCAAACAATTCTTCTGCCTCAGCCTCCCGAGTAGCTGGGACTACAGGCGCCTGCCACCACACCCGGCTAATTTTTTGTATTTTTAGTAGAGACGGGGTTTCACTGTGTTAGCCAGGATGGTCTCGATCTCCTGACTTCGTGATCTGCTCACCTCAGCCTCCCAAAGTGCTGGGATTACAGGCATAAGCCACCGCGCCTGGCCAGCACTCATTATTTTAAAATATGTTTGAATTGGCCTGGTGCAGTGGCTCACACCTGTAATTTCAGCACTTTGGGAGGCTGAGGCAGGCCGGTCATTTGAGGTTAGGAGATCAATACCAGCCTGGCCAACATGGTGAAGCCCCGTCTCTACTAAAAATATAAAAATTAGCCACGGGTGGTAGTGCACACCTGTAGTCCCAGCTACTCGGGAGGCTGAGGTGGGAGAATCGCTTGAACCTAGGAGGTAGATATTGCAGTGAGCCAGGATTGTGCCACGGCAACAGAGCAAAACTCCATCTCAAAAAAAAAAAAAGTTTGAATTGCACAAGTCCTCTTTTTCTTCTTTTACTTTTTCTTTCTTTTTTTAAAGCTTTTCTTTATATATTTTCTTTTTTTTTTAACTTCTAAGTTCAGGGGTACATGTGCATTATGTGCAGGTTTGTTATATAGATAAACATGTGTCATGGGGGTTTGTTGTACAGATTATTTCATTCCTCAGGTTTAAGCCTAATATCTATTAGTTATTTTTCCTGATCCTTTCCCTCCTCCCACCCTCCACCCTCCACCCTCCGATAGGCCCGAGTGTGTGTTGTTCCCCTCTATGTGTCCATGTATTCTCATCATTCCATGTGTTCTCATCATTTAACTCCCACTTACAAGTGAGAACATGGAGTATTTGGTTTTCTGTTCCTGTTTTAGTTTGCTAAGGTTAATGGCCTCTGGCTCCATCCACGTCCCTGCAAAGGACATGATCTTGTTCTTTTTGTGGCTGCATAGTATTCCCTGGTGTATATGTACAACATTTTCGTTACCCAGTCTATCACTGATGGACATTTAGGTTGGTTCCATGTCTTTGCTCTTGTGAACAGTGCTGCAGTGAACGTATATGTGCATGTGTCTTTTATATTTATAATAGAAGGATTTATATCCCTTTGGATATATACCCAGTAATGGGATTGCAGGGTTAAATGGTATTTCTGTCTTTAGGTCTTTGAGGAACCACCACACTGTCTTCCATAATGGTCAGACTAATTTCCATTGACACAAACAGTGTATAAGTGTTTCCTTTTCTCCACAACCTTGCCAGCATCTGTTATTTTTTGACTTTTTAATAATATCCATTCTGACTGGTGTGAAATGGTACCTCATTGTGGTTTTGATTTGCATTTCTCTAATGATCAGTGATGTTGAGCTTTTTTTCATGTGCTTGTTGGCCACATGTATGCCATCTTTTTAGAAGTATCTGTTCATGTCCTTTGCCCACTTTTTAATGGGGTTGTTTTTTTTTCTTGTAAATTTGTTGAAGTTCCTTTTAGATTCTGGATATTAGACCTTTGTCAGAGGTATGGATTGCAAAAATGTTCTTCCATACTGTAGGATGTCTGTTGACTCTGTTGATGGTTTCTTTTGCTGTGCAGAAGCTCTTTAGTTTAAGTAGATCCTATTTGTCAATTTTTGCTTCTGTTGCAATTGCTTTTGGTGTTTTCATCATGAAATCTTTGCCCATGCCTATGTCCAGAATGATATTGCCTAGGTTATCTTCCAGGGTTTTTATAGTTTTGGGTTTTAGATTTAAGTCTTTAATCCATCTTGAGTTAATTTTTGCGTATGGTGTAAGGAAGGGGTCGAGTTTCAATTTTCTGCATATGGCTAGCCAGTTATCCCAGCACCACAGGGAATCCTTTCCCCATTGCTTGTTTTTGTCAAGTTTGTCGAAGATCAGATAGTTACAGGTGTGCAGTCTTATTAATATTTCTGGGTTCTCTCTTGGTTTATGTTTCTGTTCTTGTACCAGTACCATGCTGTTTTGGTTACTGTAGCCCTGTAGTATAGTTTGAAGTCAGATAGCATGATGTCTCCAGCTTTGTTCTTTTTGCTTAGGATTGCCTTGGCTAATTCAGCCTCTGTTTTGGTTCCATAGGAATTCTAAAATAGTTTTTTCTAGTTCTGTGAAGAACATCAGTGGTAGTTTAATGGGAATAGCATTAAATATATAAATTGCTTTGGCCAATATGGCCATTTTAATGCTATTGATTCTTCCTAACCATGAACATGGAGTGTTTTTCCATTTGTTTGTGTCATCTTTGTAGATCTCCTTGTAGAGATCTTTCACTTCCTCTGTTAGCTGTATTCCTAGGTATTTTATTCTTTTTAGGACAACTGTGAATGAGAGTTTGTTCATTATTTAACTCTTGGCTTGACTGTGGTTGTTGTATAGGAATGCTAGCAATTTTTGCATATTGATTTTGTATCCTGAGACTTTGCTGATGTTGCTTATCAGTTTAAGAAGCTTTTGGATTAGACAATGGGGTTTTCTAGATACAGGATCATGTCGTTTGAAAAGAGGGATAGTTTGACTTCCTTTCTTCCTATTTGAATGCCTTTTATTTGTTTCTCTTGCCTGATGGCTCTGGCCAGAATTTCCAACACACTGTTGAATAGGAATGGTGAGAGTGGACATCCTTGTCTTGTGCTGGTTTTCAAGGGGAGTGACAAGATGTCTTTTTTCAAAGTGGGAAACTAGGATCAGTGAATTAAAAAGTCATGAACTAGTCAATGTCAGAGTAAACAATACTTATCCTTCTAAGAGATGACAAAAAATACAACTCATAATTTAATTGTTCTCTCTGTGCCTGTAGGTTAAGTACTTATGTTTGCTTATTACAGTCTACAACAGAAATGAACATGTGGCAAAGTAATAAACTGTTTCTATTTATTCCTGTATGTCCAAGGTAATTGGACATCTTCCTCTATTCCTGTATTTCCAAGGTAATTGGACAAGGACATCTTCATTTAAGTAGTTTGTTTTTGATTAAGCTGCTGAATTGTATAAAAATAAGAATAATAGAAAAATATGCAATTAGAGAGATTTGGTTTTAAATATTGTTACTTGGGATTGAAGAACATCTTTCACTTACCATGCATGAAAGACTATCCAGGGGCTGGGCACCTCTAATTAACTAAAAATTTGTCTCTATTTTATAAAGAACATTTTAGCATAAAGAATTGATCCTTGGAAGAGTATGAATAGTAGATTAAATATTCATTTAGAACGACATGGCCTTGGTGTATGCCAGTGTCTATGAGGAATGGAATTTGTTATTAATAGATATTGACAATGCTATGAAGCAGATGAATGCTGGTGCATTATTCTGAGGGATGTGTGCCGCACTTCCATTAGTGCTCCAGTATGAGAATCCAGTGGCTTACTGTTCACTCCTAATAACACCCTAGCCTCAAGGTGATAAATTATAATGAGGTTTTAATGCTAGGCGGCAGTGTTATCATAGTGACATGAATATTAAGCAAGAGTACAAACCACTGTGAACATTCAGAGGATTGGACTTCCAGTCTTTTCTCAGGTGATATCTGTCTTTCCCCCCGCCAGATTTTTGGGAACGTTACAGATGCTACCTTGTCTCATGGAATACTGATTGTGATGTACAGCTCAGGACTGGTCAGACTCTATAGCTTCCAAACCATCGCTGAACAGGTAGAGAAAACTGAAATTTGTCATGTTACTATTAGCATGAGTTTTCGACTAAAGTATGATTTTTTTTTTTAGTGAGATGCTTTTAGAGTAAGGCACTTCTGTAGATTTTGGCTCTAAAAAACTGTAGAAATGTAGAAGACAAGTAACCTTTAAAGCAGGGGTGGGGAAGATAAACAGAAAGGCCATTGGAAAAAGACATTTTCTTTGTCATATACATGTGAATTTTATTTTTGTTCTCTCCAGATATCAAATAAATAGGTGCTAAAGCCACCATTTTTGTTTTGTTTTGTTTTTAGTTCATGCAACAGAAACTTGACTTAGGGTGTGCATGCAGATGGGGTGGGACTACTGGAACTGTAGGAGAGGCTCCTTTTGGCATTCCTTGTAATATTAAAATCACAGGTATGGCTACTCTATAGTATTTTTTCACCTTAAAAAAATTAAGTGGTCATATAAATAGTTATTAATTATAGTCATCCAAATGTTTTTCTCATTTATTTAAAAAACTCAATTCATTTTACTCCTATACATCATGTGCCTTGCTATTCAATAATGAATAAGCTTCGAGGAAAATCTGTCAGTTATTCATTGAACCAAAGGCCTGGGGATGCTGAGCCTTGCTTGGCCACAGACCTTTAGCAATTCACTTTACTTTTCTGATCCTTGATTTCCTTATCTGCAAAATGAGTTGCAGCAAATGATACCATCTTAGCTCTCTTATAACTTAGTATTTTACAATTCGATGAAATTTACCCCCTCTCTAAGAAAGGTGTTTTCCAAGAAAAAATTTTTACCATGACATCTGAACATAGAGCTTAGACACAGACAGAACTTCCCAGTATACTTAAAGAGTGCCAAATCACAAAAAGAAAATTATATACAAGTCTATAAATATAGTAAAAATGTTCTATATTTAGCTTATGAAATTCAGTTGTTAGAAAAGAAATCAACTGGCCAGGCATGGTGGCTCATGCCCGTAATCCCAGCACTTTGGGAGGCTGAGGCGGGCGGATCACTTGAGGTTGGGAGTTTGAGACCAGCCTGACCAACGTGGAGAAACCCCATCTCTACTAAAAATACAAATTAGCCAGGCGTGGTGGCACATGCCTGTAATCCCACCTACTCGCAAGGGAGGCTGAGGCAGGAGAATAACTTAGACCTAGGAGGCAGAGGTTGTGGTGAGCCAAGATCATGCCATTGCACTCCAGCCTGGGCAACAAGAGCGAAACTCCATCTCAAAAAAAAAGAAAAGAAATCAACTATTACTCAAATTCAGTAGTAGTACATTAAAAGAAATAGATCATGACTGTTCAGAGTTCATCTCAGGAATCCAAGGATGGTTTAATGTTTACAAATTTAGTAGCTATAAAGATCACATGAGTAAACTAAAAGAGAAAATTTTCTTTATTATCCTAATATCTGTTTATCTTAATTCTTGTTCATTAAGACTCATTCCTTATCATGTTGAACACATTCCTCTTATTTATAACCAACCAATAAGCATTATATTTTTAGGTGAAATGCCAAAGGATTTTCTAATATATGCAGAATAAGATAAGAATTTTTTCTATCATTTTTCCTTAACATTGTATTAGTAATAGACCAAGAAACAGAAATGAATGATGTCATTGTTCAAAAGGAAAAAAATATTATTTTTGGTAGTAAATGACAAATTATAAAAACTACTGGGAGTTCAAGTAAGTTATTCATGAAGTTCAAAATAAATATTTTAAAAATTACTCAAGTTTTTAGATGCCTTGGACAAACTGAATTAGGCAGTTGTATGAAAATTCAGCTCTAGCAATACCTCCTGTATTCAGTACAAATACATTAAAAGCAATCTATTAAGAATTTTAAAACTGTAGGCTGCAGTGGTAACCAGGTTATTTTGAAATGGGTTATTTTGGACAGAGTTTTTCCAAATGGTAGCATTTTTCTTGTTGAAATGCAAATAAAAAGTAAGTAAAGTCTGGGCACAGTGGCTCAAGACTGTAATTCCAGCACTTTGGGAGGCTGAGGCGGGTGGATCACGAGGTCAGGAGTTCGAGACCAGCCTGGCTAACATGGTGAAACCCCATCTCTACTAAAAATACAAAAATTAGCTAGGCACGGTGGCAGGCACCTGTAATCCCAGCTACTTGGGAGGCTGAGGCAGGAGAATTGTTTGAACCCAGGAGATGGAGGTTGCAGTGAGCCGAGATCGTGCCACTGCACTCTAGCCTGGGCGATTGAGCGAGATTCCATCTCAAAAAAAAAAAAAAAAAAAGTGAGTAAAACAAAAGAACAAAGATGATAAAGACAAAGTACATAGAGCCTGAAGAATTGACCTGGAGTTTTATCCCTTTTTTTAGAAAGAAGACTGGATTTGGGATCAGAATTTTAGTCTGCTGACTAGTAAGGGTGACACTCTGCTACTAATTGGTGGTATGATAGTGGGCAAATTATTATTATTATTATTATTATTATTAATTTTGAGACAGGGTCTCACTCTGTTGCCCAGAGTGGAGTGCAGTGGAGAGATCACAGCTCACTGCCACCTCCACCTCTTGGGCTCAAGTGATCATCCTACATTAGCCTCCCAAGTAGCTGGGACTACAGGTGCATGCCACCACACCCAGCTAATTTTTGTATTTTTTGTTTGGTGGAGATGGTGTTTCACTATGTTGCTCAATTTGGCCTTGAACTCCTGGGCTCAAGCAGTCTGCCTACCTCATCCGCCCAAAGTGCTGGGATTACAGGCATGAGCCACTGTGCCCAGCTGATAGTGGGCAAGTTATTTAACCTCTCTGGGCCTCAAATTTTGAAACTTTGAAATAATAATATTTGAAAACATGATCTATGAAATCATTTGTCATTGTAAAAAAAAATAATTCAATGATTTTTGTATGTTTGACTAAGAAAATTAGCACATTATATTGGAAGCTTTCAGTGTTTATTTCATACTGTAGAGACTTAAATCCCATTCATTTCTCCAAATTTGTTTTTCAATCTTAAGGTCTATACAAATAGTATTTATTTTAACTTTAAATAACTTTTTTTCTTAGTGCAAAAGCAGTTCCTTTGCATTATTTAAAAAATTGGGAAATTGGCCAGGCGTGGTGCCTCATGCCTGTAATCCCAGCACTTTAGGAGGCTGACGCGGGCAGATCACTTGAGGTCAGGAGTGCAAGACCAGCCTGGCCAACACAGTGAAACCCCGTCTCTACCAAAAATACAAAAAATTAGCCTGTAATCTCAGCTACTCAGGAGGCTGAGGCAGGAGAATTGCTTGAACCCAGGAGGCAGAGGTTGCAGTGAGCCGAGATCGTGCCACTGCACTCCAGCCTGGGCGACAGAGCAAGACTCTGTCTCAAAAGGAAAGAAAAAAAGAAAAAATAAAATAAAATTTAAAAATTGGGAAATAAAGATAAGCAAAAGAGAAAATGTAAAACATTATAGTCCTCTTACATGGGGTTAACTGTTATCTCCTTGATGTGTAATTTTCTAATCTTATAATGTATATATTTCTATATGTTTAAAACCAAGAAAAGAATCATACCATAAGTGCTCTTTTATAACTCACTTGTTAAGAAATCAACTCTATTGAGGTATAATTTACATGTAATTAAAATGCACCCATTTTAACTGTACAGTTTGAGTTTTGTCAAATGTATACATCCATGAAATCACCACTACAGTCAAGATTTAGAATCTTTTCATCATCCCAAAAAGTTCCCCTGTGCTCTTCGCAGTAAATTCCTCTCTTAACCCAGCCCTAGGCAACCAGTGATCTGCTTTTTTTTCACAGTAGATTAAATTTATATTTTCTGGAGTTTTATATTAATGAAATCACATGGCATGTATTTTTTGGTTTGGCTTCTTTCACTCAGGATATTATATTTGAGATTCGTTTCATGTTGTTGCATGTATCTATAGCCTAACCCACTTTTTGATGTTAATATATTATGAGTATTTCCATCTAGATTATTTAATAGGTGGCCTTGTGAAAACAACAAAGTTGTAATCCTATCTCACTCTTAAATAATAGATGGATCAAAGACTTAAAAGTTTTAGAAGAAAACTTGGGAGAATCTTTTTATCTCAGTGTGGGGAAGACCTTTTTAAGTATGGCACAAAACCCAAAGCCATAAAAGAAGAGATTGATAAATTTGATTATATAAAAATAAAATTCTGCATGGCAAAAAATCCCCAGAAATATACAACATAAACCAACTCAAATAACAACAGGAGACATAGTTACAAATCATACTGTAATGGGGCAATTTCCTTAATATGTGAAGGGTTCTATAGATCAATAAGAAAAGGAGTGATAACACAATTACAAAATGATCAAAGGATATTGTTTAAAAGAAACAGAAATATAAATGACTTTTAATTAGGGGAGTGCAAAGCTCAATGTCACTGATAAGACAAATGTAAATTAAAATTATTATAAGATAACATCTCTTCAGATTCTTAAATATCAGAAAGTTAGAACTTTCGATACAATATGGTTGGTAAAAGTTTAGGCACTTTCATTTATTGTTGGGACCCTTTATGGCCCCCAACAATTTGTCAATATGACAGTTTGTTAATATGTATCAAAATTTTAAATGCGTGTACTCCTTGAACCCAGCAACTTCAGTACTAGGAATTTATCCCAGATATATTCACTTGTACAGAAAGTGATAAATGTACAATTAAAACATTGTTTCTAATAGCAAAAGATTGGAAACAATCTATACATTGGTAAGTGACATTAGTATTATTATATCATCGTATACAAAAGATTGGAAACAATCTATACATTGGTAAGTGGCATTAGTATTATTATATCACCATATAGCTGTATCACAAATTTAATTGCTAAATTGTTAAAAAGAAGGAGGAGTTTTAACTGGGCATAGTGGCTCATGCCTGTAATCTGAGCACTTTGGGAAGCGAGGCAAGTGGATCACTTGAGGTCAGGAGTTCGAGACCAGCCTAGCCAACATGGCGAAACCCTGTCTCTACTAAAAATACAAAAATTAGTCAGGTGTGGTGGCGAGCACCTGTGATCCCAGCTACTCAGGAGGCTGAGGCACGAGAATCACTTGAACCCAGGAGACAGAGGTTGCGGTGAGTGAGACTGCGCCACTGCACTCCAGCCTGGGCGATGGAGCGAGATTTTAAAAAAAAAAAAAAAACAGAAAGAAGAATTCTTTTTGCACTGGTATAGGATAATTTCCAGGATGTGTACTATTAAGTAAAAAAAAAAAAAAAATCGGTGCAAAACTGTGTATATAAAAATCTTCATTTGTGTAAAGTATTGTGTAAAGTATTCATACTCATGTATTAAAGGAATATATATATGGTGATGTGCTTTTGGATTTGCTTGGAATATCTGAAAGGACACATAAAAACTTGATAAATCGGAAGAGATACAGATCAAAGGAAGACTTAGTTTTCATTATATCTTCTGATACTTCTAAAATGTAGTGCTTGTATTACCTATGTGACAAAGTGGTTCTGTGTGTGTGCATCTCCTTGAGATGTTCAGAACTTGACCTATATGCCATTTTACAAATGAACCATAATTTACTTAACCAGTTCCCTACTTTGGACATTTAGTTTGTTTCTAATTTTGTGATTACAAATAGCATATTTCTATAACTATTAGTGATCCTTGCCTGAATCAGTTATGTCATGTGATTTGCAGAATGGCAGTTTTTAAAACTCTGTTACTGCTTTTACCTTCAATAGCTGGCATTTTTCTAGAAATAAAAGCTTTAACTCATCAGCTAGAGATAAACTGTATTTCCTTCCAAAAGGCAAGTTAAAGACTTATTTCTTCCCTTTAATTATCAATATTCAGAGCAAGGAGTTGGTATAATAGTCACTTTTGATGCCAGCAAAATGTTTTACAGACAAACACACATATATAAACACAATAGACTTGTGGATTTTTTATTTGTCCAATATTATATAGTAATAGTTATTATTCTTAATGATGTTCAAATTGTCCTGAATTTGGCCAACAGAAACTCCATTTTGACACACTCCAGTAATCTTAGAGAATTTCCTCGCTTTCTAGAACAATAATGTGTCCCAGGCTTACCTTTAACTTTCCTATTTCTGATAGGGGGCCATTTTATTAGAGAACGTCATTAGAGACTCTCAGTTTCCTAGAGAGCAACACTACAAACTGGGCAGCTTTAAACAATGGAAATTGATTCTCTCACAGTTCTGGAGTCTAGAAATTCAGAATTAAGGTGTTGGCAGAGGTAGCCTCCCTCTGAAGGCTCTAGGGAAGAATCCTTTCTTACCCCTTCTCGCTTCTGGTGGTTGTTCACAATCTTTGGTGTTTCTTGGCTTGTGGCAGCATAACTCCAAATTCTGCCTCTCACTTTTCCATGGCCTTTCTCCCTCTGTGTCTTCAAATCTCTTTCTCCTTATAAGGACACCAGTCATTGAATTTAGGTCCTATCCTTATCCAGTATGATCTTAACTTGATTATATCTGTAAAGATCCTATTTGCAAATAAAGTCACATTTACCAGTACTGGGGGTTAGGACTTTAACATATCTTTTGAGGGAACACAAGTCAACTCACAACAGAGACCCAGATCTAGTTGTGTTCATTGCAGTTGGATATCTTTACTTTTAGGTCCTTTAAATGAACAGAGCTGAGAAATACATTAAAACAAAAATTCATTAGCTCATTTTCATACTTCCAAATTTAGCCGTTCTTTTTTGATTATATTTGTATTTCTCTTAACTCATACTGAGCTTCTTGATTTCTAATAAAACTTTATCCTACTATATATATATGATAGTCTTAAAATTGCAGTACCAGTGTTACTACTAAGAACTAAAGTATGGGCCAGGTGCGGTGGCTCACACCTGTAATCCCAGCACTTTGGGAGGCCAAGGCAGGTGGATCACTTGAGGTCAGGAGTTCAAGACTAGCCTGGCCAACATGGTGAAACCCTGTCTCTACTAAAAATAGAAAAAATTTAGCCAGGCGTGGTGGTGTGCACTTGTAATCCCAGCTACTCGGGAGGCTGAGGCAGGAGAATCGCATGAACCCGGGAGGTGGAGGTTGCAGTGAGCCGAGATTGCGCCACTGCACTCCAGCCTGGGTGACAGAGTGAAACTCTGTCTCAAAAAGGAAAAAAAAAAAAAAGTATGGGGTGAAGGTTAAGATTTCCCTGCAGTTTCTTTTCTCCTTAGTGTACAGCCCAGTAAGTATACACATGGAGTGATGTGTTCAAAGGCGATTTGAAATCATTTTTCTATAGGATTAAGCTACCAGCATGACCTAATTAGATTCATTTGTTTCATTTTGTTTTCGATTTTGGGGTTTGCTGTTTTCCTTTTGAGTTTATTCTTGAAATTGTGAAATGTGTATATAGTTGAAAGGTTGAAACCGAATAAAAAGATACACTCTTGGAAATTTCTTTTCTTTTTGTTTTGAGAGTTTTGCTGTCACCCAGGCTGGAGTGCAGTGGCGCGATCTCAGCTGACTGCAACCTCCACTCCTTGGTTCAACCAATTCTGCCTCAGCCTCCTGGGTAGCTGGGACTACAGGCACACACCACCACACCTGGCTAATTGTTTTTTTGTATTCTTAGTAGAGGTGGGGTTTTGCCACCTTGGCCAGGCTGGTCTTGAACACCTGACCTCAGGCAATCTACCCACTTTGGCCTCCCAAGGTGCTGGGATTACAGACATGGGCCACTGTGCCCAGCCCCATTTTCTATTTCATTGCTTTCTGTTTTTATTTTTTATTATTTCCTTTAATCCTGTTACTCTCATCAGTAACCATTGTTTTTAGATTCTGGTTTATCTTACTATTGTTTCTTTTTGCAAAAATAAGCAAATTTATGTTTGCATACTTTAAATATTTAATCTTCTTTCTTACATCAAATGCAGTATATCATATCCTCTGTTCTATACCTTATAATTTTACTTAACATGTATCTAAATTAAAAAAAATTTTTTTATTTTTAGTAGAGGTGAGGTTTTGCCATGTTGCCCAGGCTGGTCTCGAACTCCTGGGCTCAAGCAATCCACCCACCTTGGCTTCCTGCAGTGTTGGGATTACAGGCGTGAGCCACCACACCTGGGCAAATTTTCTAAGTAAACATTTATTTGGTAGAAGAAATATATCAAGTTAATTATCCCCTACATTTAAAAATTCTAGAAAAAATCATATTGTATTACAGGTGTAGCCCTTCTTCTTTGATAAATAGTAAAGTTATTTTGTATGCTTTATGTTAAAATTGTCTTTTAAAGTATTATTTGACCTTTCACAGATTTTAAGTATTTTAATTAATCATAATATTTGTTTTCTTTTTAAGGCCCCTTTTTTTCACAATGTAGGAAGTGGAAGCCCTTTTGCTGGCTCTCCTACTCTTTTAATACTTCTCTCTGATATCCTTGTGAACATCCTTGCTTTCTCGAAACAACAGATTGTCCACACCCATCATAAAATTTTCTTACCACAAGACATGGAATCAGCTACTCTGAGAATTTTTAGGCCTTTTTCATTGAGAATATTAGAGATCAAAATTGGGGCTCTTGGGTTCACAGGGCACATTAGAGTTGTGGGCAGAGTAATAGTGCTACTTTTGGGTCATTTTTTGCATTTACTGGGAAAGGTATTTCTTTTTAAGTACATCTGTTTGTACTGTTTTTTTTTTTTTTTCTATTTTGAATTCCTATGTCCTCTATATTGAATTTCATATTCTTTATATATTAAATTTCACATTCTCTATAACATACCTAGTTGATTTCAACCCCAAATTCCAACTCTAATTGTATGTTTTTCTTTTAATAATTTTTCTCTTCTTCATCCACCATATCATCACATACAATGTGTGTATTTCTCTTATAATTTACCAACTCATGCCTTTTTCCCTTTTTCTATTGGGGTGTTTATATTTTTTATTGCTTAAAAGACCTTTATATATTAAAGATACTACCCTTTTCTTAAAAGATTAAAAAAATAAGCACTTGACATATATTTGATATGTTTATGCCTGTCTCTTCTTTTTCCTCAAGATTTTTTGTGAACCACTTTTTATGAAAGTTGACCCTTTACACAGGTTTGAACTGCACAAGTCCACTTATACACAGATTTTTTTCAATAAATACAGGAAAATTTTTTGGAGATTTGCCACAATTAAAAAAAAAATCACAGATGAACCGCATAGCCTAGAAATATGGAAAAAATTAAGAAAAAGGTACATGATGAGTGCATCAAACATATGTAGATACTAGTTTATGTGTTAATTGACTATTTATGTTATTGGTAAGGCTTCTGGTCAACAGTAGGCTATTAGTAGTTAAGTTTTGGGGAAGTCAAAAGTTTGGCTGGGCACAGTGGCTCACCTGTAATCCAAGCACTTTGGGAGGCCGAGGCAGGCGGATCGCTTGTGGCCAGGAGTTTGAGACCAGCCTGGCCAACGTAGTGAAACCCTGTCTCTACTAAAAAGACAAAAACTAGCTGAGTGTGGTGGCATACACCCGTAATTCCAGGTGTAATACTTAGGAGGTTGTAATACTTAGGAGGCTGTGTAATACTTAGGAGGCTGAGGCATGAGAATTGCTTGAACCCAGGAGGTGAAGGTTGCAGTGAGCCAAGATTGTGCTACTGCACTCCAGCCTAGGTGACAGAGCGAGACTGTCTCAAAAAAAAAAAAAAAAAAAAAAAAAAAGTTGTACGTGGATTTTTGACTACACAGGGGATTGGTGCCCCTAACCCTCATGTTGTTTAAGGGTGAACCATTTGTGTTTTTTTCCCATGTATAGCTCTAAGTAGTACATTGTCCTTATGAAGATGCTTAATAAAGTATGCACTTCTGTATATAACATGTGACTCTTACACGAATCATCTTCCTAAGACAAGCCCCTTTACTAATAGTAGTGGCCTCATAAACTAAAAATTAAATTCTCAAGTTAGAGGGTAAATAAGGCAGTCATAGGTTAGCCACCTGCCCAAACAGACCATGTGGTGTTTCCTAAAGGCTGCTTGAAATGAATTCAGGTCTTCTAAAATTGCTATACCTTCTATTTATGCATCTAAGAATAGATCTATTATGCCCTACTTAAAGTTGTGATAAAAGAAGATGACTAAAAATTTCTCTTGGTGCTTTTTAGCACCAAGAGAAATTTATTTTACAGTGTCAGTCTTCAAAAGAAACTGACTGGATATATCTGAACTACCTTAAAGTTAACTTGTCTGATGATAATAGTGGTAGTAGTGACTATCCTGTAATAAAGCTTTCATTGTGACAGGCCCTTTCCTAAGTGGTTACATTCATTGGGACTAATACTCCTCTGTACTGGAAATCTTAAGCAAGATAGATGTATACCTGAGTATACCTGTTAGTCCAGGATGTGGAAGATCTCTTCCTCACATTTGAAGGCATTATTAGACCTAATTACCTTGTAGGATTATTATGAGAGTTGGAAATAGTATCTAACCCAGAGTCTTTACATAGTAGATGTTCAATAAATGTCCGCTACTTTTATTAAATGTACTTTGTCATTTCTTACCATCATAAACACCTTTAGCCCAGTTTCAATCTCTACTCACCTGCGGGCCACATATACCTCCTGAAAACAGATACCTAGAAAGTTGATTCAGCCTAATTTAGGTTCCGACTGGCTGTTTCTTTTCTTACAATAAACTCCTTACCTGATTGTATTTTATTTCCTTGAACATAGTAATTTTTCATTAATAGAAATTTATAGATGTTGCATGCAAAGAAAGGTTGAATTCAGTTAATGAATAGTCCAGAGCCCCCAGAACAGTGCAGCTAATGAATTCCTTTTCCTGTCTCTACAGACATGCCACCACTGCTCTTTGAGGTGTCATCCCTGGAGAATGCTTTTCAGATTGGAGGCCATCCTTGGCACTACATCGTCACACCTAATAAGAAGAAACAGAAAGGAGTTTTCCATATTTGTGCCCTAAAAGACAATTCCCTGGTAAATGAGTGATCAGACTTTTTATTAGCAAATTTGTATCAAGTTCTTTATTTTCTACCTCTCAAATAGGCCCACATTCCTAAGAATTACTTTTTTGTGCATTTGTATTAACAATTTGCAAACAATTTAAAATACAGAAGAATACAGACAATATAGAAAACATTTGTGTGTATCACCCATAATTTTAAAACGTTAACATTTGAAAATTCTTATAGCAACAAGAATTTTATAGTTTTTTTAATCTCACCAATCTCCCAGCAAGGAATCTCATGTAAAACCTCTCCACAGTGGGAATCACCAATGGAATGTGTTCACATTGCTTCTGAAATTGCTGGTGGAATGTGTTGTTGGTTCTGCTTCTCCACGGCTTGTTGCTCTTTGCCTTCCAGAGCAGAACCAGATGGAACTCTGGTGGTCACAGTGTAGGTAAATTGAAGCACTTTGAATTTTTAAGGATATTCTTAAGTTATTTATGGCAGAGTAGGTAGAAATGGTACGTGGTAAAACAATGGAAATTTCTACCCTTCGAATTCATTTTTATTTTCTTTTTAAAAATGGCTTAGGCGTTGATTTGTCATTTAATAAACATTTATTGAGGGCCTACCATGTGCCAGACATGACTAAGGACACAATCTCTTCCCTCAAGTTATACTCTTAAAGGAAACATGTAGAAAAATAAGATGCAATGTATTAAGTACAGTGATTGTGATAAGTGCAAAAAGTGAGTTAAGGGGGGAGTTCCATTTTTATTTTGTATTGCTGATTATGTTTTTTGTTGGTTAGTTTGTTTTTCAAGACAGGATCTCACTGTGTCATCCACGCTGGAGTACAGTGGCACAATCACAGCTCACTGTAGCCTCAACCTCCTGGGTTCAAGTGATCCTCCTGCCACAACCTCCTGAATAGCTAGCACTATAGAAAAATCACTCAAGCTTTAATTGTTGATATTTTTTCTCATTTCATGTGGACATGTCAGTGCAACACTACTTTTATTTTATATTTATTTATTTAGAGACAGAGTCTCACTCTGGTGCCTAGCCTAGAGTGCAGTGGCACAATCAGAGCTCACTGCAGCCTCAACCTCCTGGGCTCAAGTGATCCTCCCACCTCAGCCTCCTGAGCATCTGGGACTATAGGAGCGCACCACCATGCCTGGCTACTTTTTTATTTTTTGTAGAGATGGGGCCTCGCTGTGTTTCCCTGGGTAGTCTCAAACTCCTGGCCTCAAGTGATCCTCCCTCTTGATATATCAGAAGAATTTGCTTTTTTTTTTGAGGCAGGTTCAGCTTATGCTGACCTTGCTCAATCAGTCACTGTTGGCTCCAGTGGCTTTTAGAGTCACAGATCACCTTTCACCACGCACGTTACAGATCACCTTTTACCATGTTGCAGGTCAGCATAGCGTTGGGTCCATTTGTCCACTTCCCTTGATGTCATGGCCATCAGGGGACAATGTGTCTTCTAGTTTTCTTTTGTAGGAGCATTGTTCCCTTCCATTTCCCCAAGTACTTATCACATGGCTGCTCCTATTTGGCCCAGCCCAGTGACGTTCTCTTTTATAAAGGACTCTCTAAGGGCTGTTTTCCACTGTGACAAGTCTTGGTTTGATTGGTCACCTCCCAGTGAGTGGACATCATTCAGCCACCAGGACCTGTCACATCCCTTTTTCACTTAACTTTGGATCTAGTGAAATCCTGCACAGTTCACATTCTGGACATTTAACACGTATTCTTTTTTATAAGAACTGATAGTACCTATTATTTCATACACAAACACACGCACACGTACAGATACAGCCGGCCTTCTATATCCGTGGGTTCCACATCTGTGGATTCAACCAACTATGGATTGGAAATATTCAGAAAAAAAAAGGATGGTATAAGGGATGATGTGCATAGATGCATAGATTATATGCAAATACTGCACCATTTTATATAAGGTACTTGAGCATCCATGGGTTTTGGTATTTGTGAGGGGTCCTGGAAGCAATCCCCTGTGGTTTCCAAGGAATTACTTTAAATCTAAATAATGGCCTTCAACATGTATATCAAGCATGCTTGTCACATACTCTCCTTCTATAATAACTGATTATAACATTTATTCCAATCTATATTTCAGCATACTCTTAAAGAGCTGCCAAATTCAGGGGAAGTTTTTAGTCCTTTTATCACAATTTTATCACTGTGACATTGCTTTAATGATTTGTATGCCTATTAACTCCCCACCTGTTAGTCAGAAGAGTAGATAACTAAAAAAAATGTAAGCAGCCGAACTTAAGATTTCAGAAAATGTTTCATAGCTTTCTCTATTAAACTGAGCTTTAAAATCTAACATTTGAGCAAATAAAAACAATAGAAGCTGATAATAAGCTGCCCAGTATTTCACACAAAAATCTTTTTTTGCATATTTTAATTAGATATTACAGTAAAGAGAACAATCTCCTAAAAAGATATGTATAGTATGTGCATATTTTGTATTAAAGGAGCATCTGGAGCTAATACCATCATGGACACATTAATTTCAGTGGTTACAATCAATCAACATATTTAATTACATTAATTTTCTTTTATGTAAAATGTAATAATACCACTATTTCTATTAGATATAATTAGGATTCTTGTAGAAATTCTTGAAAAATTGAAACTCATTAATTGATTTGATACATAAAATGTATTACATTCCAAAAAATTTAAAAATCATGAGGCCAGGCACAGTGGCTCATGCCTGTAATTCCAGCACTTTGGGAGGCCTAGGCAGGCAGATGGCTTGAGCCCAGGAGTTCAAGATCAGCCTGGGCAGCATGGTGAAACCCTGCCTCCACAAAAAATACAAAAATTAGCCAAGTGTGGTGGTGCACACCTGTGGTCCCAGCTACTTGGGAGGCTGAGGTGAGAGAATTGATTGAGGCCAAGAGGTCAAGGCTCCAGTGAGCCGAGATCACACCACTGCACTCCAGCCTGTGCAACAGAGTGAGACCCTGTCTCAAAAAATAAAAAATAAAAATAAATCATGGCATAGAAAGCACTTACAATATAACCCCAGCCTACCTCTCCAGTATCATGGCTGGATGCTACTTTTCAGTTTAATTTTACCTCCTACTCATGTTTATATGCATACTATATGGATTAGCACGTCTATACTTTTGGTTTTTTTGTTTGTTTTGTTTTGAGACAGGGTTTTACTCTGTTGCCCAGGCTGGAGTGCAGTGGCACGATCTCGGCTTACTGCAAGCTCTGCCTCCTGGGTTCAAGCCATTCTCCTGCCTCAGCCTCCTGAGTAGCTGGGATTACAGGCACACACCACCATGCCCACTAATTTTTGTATTTTTAGTAGAAACAGGGTTTCATCTTGTTGGCCACGCTAGTCTCAAACTCCTGACCTCAAGTGATCCACCTGCCTCGGCCTCCCAAAGTGCTAGGATTACAGGCGTAAGCCACTGCCCCCGGCCGATTAACACTTCTGTACTTTCGATTTTACTGTCTCTTATTTGTAGCTATTTTCTACTTATCCTTTAAGGCTCATTTCAACCTTTTTTTAACTCCCAAAATTCTGTTCACTTGGATATCTGGTGCATGGGTCAATCACTTATTGGAGTACAGTGGCACAATCATAGCTCACAATAACTGCGTTATTATTTTTTGTTTATGTTTCTGCCTCCCCCTAGACTATAAGCTTCTTGATGACAAGGATTATGTTTAATTGATGTGAGGTATGAATGCCTAGTCTGATACCTAGAACATAGTAGCCTATCAATATATGCTAATGGAATTTAAAAGCTTTAGTGTTTCAAAACTCATGAATATCTAGTAGGAAATATGGCATCATTTCATTTTACATTAGAGAAATTAAATTAAATGACTTCTGTAAAGCCAGTGAAGTTAATATATCCAAGTTGATGTTCGTTCCCAGTGCTTCTGGATATAAGGTAATACATTTGTGTACACATGTGATAACATATCAGATGGTTTTTTTCTTTATTTTAATTTCTAAATATACTACAGTGAAATCTCTTCTTGCCTTAAAAGCTAAGCAGTATTAGATCATTTCCTCAGATATTAGAGTTCAACATTTGACTTATCCAAGATTCTGTGACCCATGTCTGAGGCTTTAGGTTTGTTTACATGTTCATTTTTTGTTATCTGCTCTTCTGATTGAAAGATAGTTGGGGATAGGGAAGAGAGGAAGAAGTTGTGGAGAACTGCATGTGCATGATTATGGCAGAGTTATATAATGGAAAGTCCATGGATTTTGGAGTCAGATCTGCTGTTTAGTAGGTTGAAAATATTGGAAAAGGTCAGGTGCAGTGGCTTACGCATGTAGTCCTAGCACTTTAAGAGGCTAAGGTGAGAGGATCACTTGAGGCCAGGAGTTTGATACCAGCCTGGGCAACATAGCGAGACTCTATCTCTATTTAAAAAAAAACAAACAACATACACCAAAAAAAATTGGGCAAATGATTTATTCTATTTGTGTATCAGTTTTCAGTACTTCCTTTGAGTGTTATTAAGATTAAATGAAACAGTGCCTATAAAGCATCAAACGCAGTTCCTGACACAAAGTAGATGCTTGAGATATGGTATCTCTTGGGTTATTAACTCCTGTTTGTGAGATATAGGGTATGTTACAGAACAAATCCATGACATTTCTGAATTTAAATGTTCAGAATTTCTCAAATTTGCATGTCCTCATTTGGCCCTCAAATATATTCCACTTTAACTGGTTAATATTTTTTCTTCCGTGTACCTTTGACCTACTGATCTATCACTTGGGTTAGATTTGTAAAATCATTTGATTTTCCCTTAATCTTTGTCTTTAATACTTTTTTCCAACTTCAGGCAAAAAATGGGATCCAAGAAATGGATTGTTGTTCTCTAGAATCTGACTGGATCTATTTCCATCCTGATGCTTCTGGTAGAATAATACATGTTGGTCCAAATCAAGTCAAGTGAGTAATCTCATTAGCACTTGAAAGTTAAGAGCAGCTTTTGGTAGCATTTATTGGCATCTTTATTTTTGCCAGCGAACTAGTGAGCCAATTAATGGAAATAATTAGCTTGTTGTTGGGTGCTTCCTCAGAGACTGGCATACAGAACACCTGAATTTATTCTTTGAGACTCAACATTACTGTTTGTAAATATTAAATTTGAAAACGTTATTTGATGGATGATATGCAAGTAAAAGGGAATTACAGACTGGCCCTTTCTCATCAGGTCTTAGTTAATTCTATAGGGTTAATAAGAAAGAAGAGTATTTGTCTTTGTTCTGAAAGGCAGCCTAGACACAGGAAAGGAAGTAGATTGTTTGAAGTAAATCTTGTTTTATTTTGATTGGTTTCAGGGCACACACAACTCCCACAAACTGACCTCTCCTTCCCTTAAACACTTCTCATTTGTCATCCCTGACACCACAATTCTGAATATTTTCCTATTTCATCTATCTTTTTTAGTTTGCTTTCATGTTCTTCCTTCTCTACCCAGACTTTAATTGTTGAATGTCCATAGTTGGGTCTTAAGCCCTCTTCTTTTCTCACTGTTTCCATTCTGCATGATTCTATTTATTCCTTTGGCTTCAAGATCATGTATACATGAGAACTCCAAAATGTATATACCAGCCTCAACCTCTCATCTAAACTCATTCCAGAAATCTTGAATCATTCCTGATACCTTCTTACCAATTTGTCTTTCATCAATGTACATACATTTAAACACTTACAGGCATTCTCTTTCTCTCATACATACACACCATATATCCTCTTAATCCAGTTTATTTTGCTACAAAATATTTTTTAAATCTGCCTGTTTCTGCCCTTGGCCACTGTCTTCATCTTGGCCAGGTCACTGTCATCACTAGCCAAGGCTACAGTAATAGCCCACTCCAGGGCTCCAGGATCACTCTTGCGCTGTCTGTTTTCTTCTCAGCAGCTAGCATGATTTTTAAGAACATGAAGAAATATAAAAACCTATGCAAGTGAATTCAAATGCTTTAACCTTTTAATGGCTTTTCATTGCTCTTAGGATAAAAACCAATATAGTTAGCATGGTCCGAAAGACCCTCCTTCAACTCAGTTTACTCTAGTCATGCTGTCTTTTCAGAAAACTGAGGGCCTGTTCCCTCTGTTTGAAGTCTGTTTCCCCTACCTGTTCTGCCTAATTTCTATTCATATTTTATGGCCCAGCTTCAATGTCACTTTTCCACAGACCTTCCCTGATGCCCTTGTTAGATTTGCTTGCCCATCATATTTTCATTGCACCCACTGTGTCGTCTTCCTTTGTAGCACTTAGGGCAACTTAAATAAATTATTTTTGTGATCTTCTGCTTAAATAACTTATTTGGTATCATAAACTCTATGATGACAGGGAAAGAGTCTGTTTTGCTGACACCTATAACCCCAGCACTAAGCATAGTCCTTTGCACAGAGTAGATGCTCAGTATTTGTTGAATAAGAAGAGAAGGGGCTGGGCTTGGTGGTTTAGGCCTATAATCCTGCACTTTGGGAGGCCGAAGCAGGAGGATCCCCTGAAACCAGCAGTTTGAGACCAGCCTGGGCAACATAGTGAGACTTCGTCTCTACAAAAAATAAAAAATAGCCAGGCATGATGGTGGGCACCTGTGGTCTTAGCTCCTCAGGAGTCTGGGGCAGGAGGATCAGCTGAGCCCAGGAGTTCGAGGCTGCAGTGAGCTATGATTGTAGCGCTGTACTCCAGCCTGGGTAATGGAGTAAGACCCTGTCTCTTAAAAAATAAAAAATAACAAAGGGAAGTGTCTGCCTTTATTTTTTATGCTTCGTAGTAATCAGTCTACCTCTCTGGATCTATTTAATATAAGGAAGATGAAAGGATTTAATGAAATAAGATTATTTTTACACATTTTAAACTGTGGTTCCGCTTCAGTAAGCCTTACTTTTAATGTTTGTTACCACCCATATTAGTTTGAACTTAAGAAAACAAGGCCCACGAAGAGTGTATGGCCTTTTGCCAGGTTTTACAATATAAGCATTTAAAAATATTGCCACTAAAAAAACTAAGTGAATAATTTAAATTATTATTTGATCTCTTGGTCTTTGGGAACTCTGAGGTCTCCAGCACTCTCTGGACACATAGCTGCTTCTCTCTGCTGTTCTTTTTTTTTTTGCATTTGAGACTTTGAGCTTGTAAAACATTGTGCTTTTGAAGCTTGTTAACAATGTAAACAGATTTCTGTGGGTGGTGAGCAAATTATTTTATTTTCTTTTAATAGGCTTGATCCATGAGGCCATTTGCACTCCAAACCCCCAAATCTTTAAATATAACCAATCCTAAGAAAAAAGAATAGTATTTTCAGTTGTAGTTTTTAAATATTAATCTATCATGAAAACTCTTAGTTTCTATTTAGGTATAGATTTAATTGCTGATTGAATTTCTTTTTAGTTAACCCTAAGTGTTGCTCATAGATATCTCATCCTACTTCAGAAATAAAAATGCAAATATCTGCTTTAATTGTTAGAGCTGAAATGTTAGAGACCTGTTACAGCATAGCAGAGGTAAGGTTCTTCAGAGTAACTTTCATTAAGCCAGTTTGGAAAATAGCTTAGGCCTGACCAAGCTGATCATTACCTACTTCAGTGGCACCTGTTGTCACAGTTCCCACGTTTTTCTGTTTAACAGAATCTCCGAATTTGAAGGAGTTCATGGACATTTAGTGATCACTTATTAGTATTGTAGACTAATCAAGAGAACTACCTCAGTGTTACTATAATTTTTATTTGTTGAGTTTTACTTCAGTACTTAAACTTTGGCACCTTGATGGTGTTTTGAAGTCTTAGGTTCTCAGAATCCTTTTTCCCTTCTCAGAGTTTTGAAGCTAACTGAAATAGAAAATAATAGTTCTCAGCATCAGATCTCTGAAGATTTTGTCATTTTGGCCAACAGGGAGAACCATAAAGTAAGTCAAGAGTACTTTAAAATCCTTTATATATCATTGTCTTTCTATATAAGACTATAATATGCTAATATATTTGCCTTTGAGTGTAGCAGAAAACAACAGCACAGCCCTATAAAAGTCTGTACATTTTGTCTACATGGGTAGCCAGTTTTAGCCCCATGTACATTTCAGATTTAAAGAAAGTTGACTATCTTGAGTTTGTCTTTTGCTGATTTCCGCTTCTTTTCTGAGTTTCCTTTTAAGTTTTTATTGATGAATTATCAACCTTTGGGTCTAATTAATTGTGCAAACTTAAATTTAATTGGGGTAATATATAAGTCTTTAAAAATCACATACCATACTTTAACTCCAGATGGTACTTTTCTTTTAGTGTATAAATTAAGACCACAAAGAAAATTATGGGGAGAACAATTTCAAAAACAGATCCACTTTTTATTTGCTGTGCTATATACTAAGGCAAAAGTCAGGTGAATGAGGCAGCTAATCTATAATCTTTTAAATAATTTTTTTTTTGCCCATTCTGGCATTTTAGCCATTAAAAACTTTAATAAAGTATTTTTGAGCCGGGCATGGTGGCTCACACCTGTAATCTCAGCACTTTGGAAGGCCAAGGCAGACAGATTGCTTGAGTTCAGGAGTTCGAGATCACCCTGGGTGACATGGTAAACCCTGTCTCTACAAAAAGTAGAAAATTAGCCAGGCATGGTGGTGTATGCCTGTAGCCCCAGCTACTGGGGAGGCTGAGCTGGGAGGATCACTTGAGCCTGGGAGGCAGAGGATGCAGTGAGCCAAGATTGTGCCACTACAGTGAGGCAAGATCGCACCACGGCACTCCAGCCTAGGCGACAGAATGAGACCCTGTCTCAAAATATGAAACGGAGGATCAGAAATCTGATTCAGAATTTTCTCAGTTGAGGAAAGAATTGTGGATGTGGGAGAAGGGTTGGTAAGTTTTACCAAATTTGTTAATACAGTTTTACCTTTGACTGCATGTAATAGAACTTGTCATATCTTTTTATTTCTTTCCATATGATAGAATGAAAATGTACTCACTGTTACAGCTTCTGGACGGGTGGTAAAAAAAAGTTTTAACCTTCTGGATGATGACCCAGAACAAGAGGTATTGCTTTGGCCAGAGATGACAAACCAAACCAGTGTGTCCTTGCATTGTGAATTTCATATTAATACTTCCCCATATCCTGGGGTAGAGGTTGGGGTTGAGGGGTTGCAGGCAGGCCAGTTGGGTGGGGTTGCGCATGCTATTTCAACCAGTGCAAACCCATCATCCTCTCTTTTCATATTGTAATTATTCTTAAAGTTTTATTTGCAGAAAAGTTGATAGGACCAAAATAATTTGAAAACACGATTAGCTTATTGTTTTGTTTTATTTTGTATTGTTTTGTTTTGTTGATGTGTATATTTTCTAGGGAAATCTCTTAAGGGAAAATTCTTGAGTTATATCCTGAGGACTTTATGGTTTTTGCCTCATTTTTTACTTGCTAGACTTGAATATGTTTGTTAATGTCCGTAGTCCAGAGGAAGAGGATGTGAGGGCATGATAAATCAGTTCAGCTCTTATCTTCAAGTTGGTTTTATGAGTCACTGAAGTAATACATTTTTATCCCCTTCCTTTAAAAAGGCATTGGAAGTATTTATGAAATCAACTGATAGTGATCATGCTTTAAACATATAAACCATTGTGTAAATTCTAAATCCATTTAGACTATCTAACTATATTATTTGTAGGACCATTTTTAGGTAGAAACATTAGAGTGGCCTTCCAAGGACAGTTTTTGAACTTCTTTTAAAATAGGTTAGAGGTGGCCCAGTATGTAGCTGTTCTCAAAAAAACACACAAAAAAGTATTATTTTGGACCATACAAACCTATTGAGAACAAAGAAGAAAGCAACATACTCTGCATATAAAACTGTATTCCAGAAAGATGTACTAAAATTTCCAAAAGGTAGCATAATTCATTAAGGGGGGAGAGGTGGTGGCAAAACAGGAGATGCTCTGTATCATGAGATTAAAAAACAAAATATTTTAGCCTGTAAAGGAAAAGTTTGAAGAAATAGTGACTAAAATCTATAAAATCACAGACACCAAGGCAAGAAGTCACCCTTTGAAGTTTGACCATAGTAAGGTGAAGGCAAAAAGGAAATAACGTAAAAGTACATTTTAATAATCAAACGTAATAAATCCATATAAATTTTTATGTCTTAGGGTGGTAAAGGCAGAAAATGTCAGTGGATTAGAGAGCAGTTTGACCAAACATAGGTGAAGAATTAGTGCATAGTGATTGAGGGAAACATGCTATGCCTGTCTTTAAAGTTGATGCCAGGCATTCAGCCAAGATGTACCTTCCTGTGGTCTATTCCTGGATGCTTGGGCACTGATCTGCTTTCCGTGCAAGGTTTCTGGAGTCTCAGGTTTTCTTCCTTGAGACACAGTTCTGGGATTTTTCTCTCTTTACCATAGCTAACCCTCTTGTCCCAGTCCTGTTCTGTGGGTTGGATTTCATTTCCTAATATTCTCCCTCAAGTATAAGCAGCCATTTTTGCTTTATTTAAAAAACCAAAAGGATTTTTTTTTAAAGGTGGTAAAAAGTCATAAATAGTGTATGATGGGTTATCCGTCCTTCTAGAAATGACTGTGTTTTTCTGGTGTGAGAAATTTCAGAGCTCAGTGAGCAGTCTTTAGGTTTCAGAACCGAGCTTCATGTGTTTAGTCCTGTCCAGGAATCAGCAAACACACTTGTGAGAGGCAGCAGTTGAATACTCTTTTAAATTTAGAGAATCTCTGATTTGCTGTCACTGTGGAGAATTTCAATTATACTTTGAGATCTACATAGACTTGGTTTTGTTTATCAAATCTGTAGGATACTGCTTAACTCTTGAAAATCTTGGAGCTGATGTTTTACTAGGCATATAAACAGATACATTTCTACCTATTATTCTTCCCATTCATTCATTCTTCTCCCATATTTTTGTAAGTAATAGAATACTTAAACTATAAATACAGAAATAAGCCTACCTGAATAACTGGATTTTGCCCCTTTCCCTCTATTTTATCTATCTATCCCAAAGACTTTCAAAATTGTGGACTATGAAGATGAGTTAGATTTGCTTTCTGTGGTAGCTGTTACTCAAATAGATGCTGAAGGAAAAGCTCACCTGGATTTCCACTGTAATGAATATGGAACTTTACTTAAAAGCATTCCACTAGTGGAGTCATGGGATGTGGTGAGTAGAGTCCGTGGGATACAAAGTTGTAAACCTTTCCTTTATAGGTGCCATTTATTAGAACAGATGTTATTGTGTTCATGTCAGTCCAGACTCACCTATGCCAATGACCATGTGAAAGAGGTTTTGTCCTATATACAGGACAAAAGAGTACTTCTTAAGCCTTCCTCCCCTGGGCACTAGGGGATCCTTACCAGTGGCCTTAAAGATAAAACTTCATGTGTTTTCCTGAGACATGTTGTCTCTTTCCCTACCCTAGTCTTTGATTTTCTTTCAATTGTAAATTTGGAAAAATTTTTTAAAATAAGAGAATACGGTAATCCCCACAATTATTTACTAGAGACCATATCTAAGCATGCGGGATTCCCAGGTACTCTTGTATACATTTGTCTGATATTTCAACTATTATAGAATGTCAAAGTTGTAAGGAACAATAGACATCATTTTATCCAGGTCTTGTTTTATCAGTGGAGAACCTGGGAAGTTTGGCACCTCGTAAATGATCACACAGTGAGATAGATAATAGCAGCGTTGGCAATAGAATCTGGGTATTTAGACTCCTGGGTCCAGAGTTCTTTTTATTCTCTATATTTTGTAGAATGCCTTTTTTGTTAATAATCTGCATATCCACAAATAATGAAAAATAAACCTCTTTCTAGCAACTATTTTCTTCTAAGTGTATGTTTGAAGATCCCTAGCATAGGTACTGTGACATTTTAGTAACACAGTAGTGAATATGGCTGTGTGAAAAGGACTCCATATGATTGTGTTTTGTTACAGACATATAGCCATGAAGTCTACTTTGACAGAGACTTGGTGCTACACATAGAGCAGAAACCCAACAGAGTCTTCAGCTGCTATGTTTACCAGATGATATGTGACACTGGGGAAGAAGAAGAAACCATAAACAGAAGCTGTTAAAAAGAGTGAGATAATTGTAACCTAAGAGACTTTTAGCCAAACACCCCAGCAGCTGCGTCCAATCCATTTTATTATCTGCATGGCACATTCTCCAGTATTTTCCAAAAAAGTCTTGTGTTGACTTCAGATGACTATGACTTCTTTTTTAAACTCTTGCTGTAAAAGATGGTGAGGACTTCATTTTTTTTAAAGGTTTTTTAGAATACTGTTCCAAGAAGTTTAGTGTTTTGCAGCTTTGAGCTAGGTGGTAATGCAAATATAAAATGCTGGGAACAGAAAAGGACAGGTTAATTCCAATTGTTGAGGAGTTAAGTCATTGATGGGGTGGGTCATTGATGAGTTCTTAAAGGATGGTATGGAATTTTGTTTGTTAAGGCTAGGAAAGACAGGGAGAGACAAAAGTAAACATGCAGAAAGAAATCTTATATCCTCTATACCAAACTTTGCTTAAGGATGAGAAATGAGATGTGTTATGTGAGAACATTATTTTGAGCCCAAAATGTGTCATCACAGTTTTTAAAAATCTTATATATGTATTTATATGTGTTTCGTATTTGTATATAGTATCAGGAATTGGTTCTAGTTCCCAAATTATCTTTTCTTCCTTGGTTTTGTTCTCTTGGCTTGATGTTCACATTGAATATTTGTGTTTCTATATAGGCTAATGTAAAAGATTCCAAGCAAACCTTAAGTGAAATTGTTTTCTGATTTGCATCCTGTTTAGCTCTTAATGTATCTAAGGATGTTCTCATCTCACCATTCTACTCATTTAGTGAGTTTTCTGATCTTGTTTAGGCAATATTTGCATACTTATGCAATAAGATAAAGGTACCCTTGCCTGCAGTAGTTCTGTTTCCTGTAGAAAAGTGGATAAAGAGTCCCAGAAGAAGTTCTTACTAGCTTGGGAGTTACCTGATTAACCAGAGAAAATTTTTGGCTTACTTATGGAACAAGCATTATTTCTTCTTTGTTAGGAAAGATCTAAATATGGTCCTTGACTTTTAATAATCATTCTTTAGAATGTTAAATAAAGGCAACCCAAGTAAAGGGAGAAAATGTTTCTTTGTGCTTCCTGTTTGAGAAATTCAGTTGCTTCCATTTCGCATGTTCTGCACATTTATCCGATGTAACCTCAAAAGAATAACTGGTAATAAGGGAAGGAAACAGCAGCAACAATCATTGCTGATTCAAGTTTAAGGTTAAAATATGGAATTTTTAGCTTGGATGATTTATATTAAAATCTTTCCATTTTTTTTTTCAGTTTTGGCTTGATGCCATGTTAAGAATGATGTGAATTCTTCCCAGTTCTGCCCTGGTGCTAGACATTGCCCCATACTTTCAATTAGACACTAGCTGTATCTAAATAGTCCCACTCAGTAAACTTACATCTTGAAAAACAAGACCAGTAAGAGGCCAGTGAAAGTACTAAAGAAAGAAACCAATGTTGTGTGAGTTTCAAAGCAGCTGCAATGCTGTGTAAAAGTAGAGTGTTCATTCTCCATTTCCAAGAGTGTTTCAGAATAGGATGTCTTAAGACTTCAGTCATGTCAGAGATTTTTTTTTTTAGGTGATTATTGAGTTTCTCCTTCTCCTTTAAGTCATCACCTTCCTTTTATGAAATGATAGTAAGGAACTCGTCTATTCTGAAAGGCATTTGAGAAATAGCTGAATTCCTGGCTGCTTTTTTGCTGGGGGTAGATGGTGGAATACTTCTGGTCTAGATATAACTTACCACTAAGAAACCCCCAGTATGTCACCACTGCCTAAATCTAACTAGACCAGGGTCCAAATGCCATCCAGGCCAGGCAGGAAATATACCTCATGTGAAAGACAGTAAGGAGTTGTGGGCAGTGTAACAAACAGGAGAGCTATGCCCCAACTAAAAGGAGCAGCTGCTACTGCTTAGTTTCAGCCAGTTGCAACAGTATGTGGGAATGTAGGCTGCATGGTTGTTAACAAGATAGATGGTAAAAAGATGCCAGAAGATACAGAAGATAGCAAAGAATGTGGGGAATTTGGATACCACACATAGCGAGAGACAATGAAGCATGCTTCCCAGCTCGCCAGAGTGTCACACAGCTGCTCATTCTGCCACCTGCCAGACATTAATGTCTTCCTGCCCTACCTAAACCCCCTCTTTACCTGATATTTTAATTCGAGACTCTAGCTACATGCCCACCTACTTAACAGGTACTAGTGACAGGTACAAAACATTATGGGTAACAATTCTGAGTGTTTAATGCAAGCCCAGGTGAAGCAGGGTAGCTTCCATCAGCAGGTACAGACGTTACGCTGAAAAGAGGTGCATTCTGCATTGCACTCCTGGATCTAAGTTTCTGCATTCTCAGAGCATCAATGCAGCAAGCTTATTGTTCCTCAATTTTTTACAATATTTATCACAACTCTGGGAGAAAACAAAACAAATCCTATCCTATTTACTATTTGTGCTACCTAGTGAGGAGATACCGCTCTGTTTAGACAAATTAAGGCACTTCACATTCTTCCACCAATTGAAAGTTTTGTATCTTACAGTTCTTTTTTTAAATAATATATTTATTGAGCACTTTCTATCTACTAGTCACTGTGATACAGTATAAGTAAAGTGGGTTGTCTCATTTAATATTCAGAATAACCACATGAAGTATGAACTGCCATTATCTTTCCCCTTTGTACAAATGAGGAAAGTGAGGCTCACAGAAGTTAATTGGCCCAGGGTCCCACAACTAGTCAGTGCAGAGGTGGGAAACATAACCAGATTTGTTCGGCATGAACTTGTGCCAAATTTCCTCCAAAGTTCTCAAAAGGCAAGGCATGTTATTTTATCCCAATTTAGCATACCAACAACTATAATACTAGATATGTAGGAAAGTGCTTAATAATCGTTTTTTACTGATGATTCAGTGTCTAAATTTTGAACAAATTTGGGTAAGATACAAGTCACACATAAATTGACAGAAAATGTAGTTCTTCATTCAATGGTTAGCAGTCATTAAAAGGTACTTTCCCTTTGTTTGTGGTGATAATCAGTATTAGTAGTTTTCATATTATTTGGCTTCCATATTAATCATTTTTATATTTTCTTCTCCTTCTTACCATGTTTACTTATATCATCCATCTTTTAGAATCCCAGGGAGCTAATTTCTGGTCCCTGTGTTGCTATCAAATCTGTATCTTGCAGAAAGAATAATTTATTTCAAACAAGGGACATACAATAGAAAGATAAGACCTACTGAGGTCTTTTTCCCATCATTTTATTATGAAAAATGTTCAAACATACAGTAAAATTGAAAGAATTTTATAGTAAATACTGACCACGGGGATTCTACATCTTACTCTACTTGTTTTATTATTTTCCTATCCAGCGTACTTTTTGATGGATTTCAAAATAAATTGCAGTTGCTGATATACTTCCCCCTAGTACTTCAACTGCAGATTATTAACTAGAGTTTAGTATTTATTTAGTTTTTAAATTTTTTTGATTTAAGATTTACCTGCAATAAAATGTACAAATCTTAAGTATAAATTTACTGAGTTCTTGCAGACATATACACCTGTGTAACCCAAACCCTTTCCAAAATTTAGACCATTGCAATCATCTTCAGAAAGTTTCCTAAATCCCTCTCCCAGTCTATCCCCTCCCCACCCCTCAGGTATAACTACTGTTCTCATTCTTTTATATCAAAGGTTAAATTTACCTGTTCTAAACTTCATATGAGTGAAATTATACAAAATGTAATGCTTCTTTCACTTAGCATAATGTTTTTGAGATTTATTCATGTTGTTGCATGTGTCAGTGATTCATTTCTTTTTATTGCTGAGTATTCTTTCGTATGAATATATCACAGTTTGTTTTTTTATCTTTCTGTTGATGGACACTGGGCTCTTTCTGCTTGTTTTTTACTGTTATGAATAAAGCTGCTATGAACATTCTTAGACAATTCTTTTGTGAACATGTGTCTTTATTTCTCTTGGGTAAATACCTGGGGATGGAATTTTCGGGTCCTTGGGTAGGTGTATATTTAGTTTAATAAGAAACTGCCAGACCTTTTCCCCAAAGGATTGTACGATTTTACATGCTTGCAGCAATGTAGGAGACTTCCACTTGCTCCACACATTCTCCAGCATGTGTGGTTGTTAGTCTTCTTTATCTTAGTATTTATGCTGGGTGTGTAATCATTTCTAGTTGATACTCAGATTGTTTCTACTTGTGGTTAGCAACCCTCTTGTCAACTTGACCTCCTTCCTTCCCCAGGAACTGCTGAAAACATCCTTTGTGATAATAGTTAAGATACCCCAAAACTCAGCTTGAATTATTCTTTCTCAAACATGGGATACATTGCTCATCAAAGAACCCTGATTCCTTTAATGGAGATCATAGTTGGGAACAACCTGGGTTCTAAGGGCACGTGTTCCACCGTTTCACATGACTACTGGAGCTGGACAAAATGGCACTGGAGAAGAGGTCACAACAATCATTATAATAAAAGCAGAAAGGTGACTTTTTTCTTCAAAAGTTGAGTTCGTGTTATCATGTACATGATAACAGGTGAAATCAGGTGAATTTTTTTTCTCTAATATGAGAGCATATTAAACAAGCTGTATCCTTTTCTCACTAACTGTAGTATTCTAGGCCGGATATGTTGTGATAGCAAATTAGTATATTCAAATTTTAGAGGTGCACAAAATTTCAGAAGTATTTATTTATTTATACTCTTTTTGACTCTCAATTCAAGTGTCTTAGAATTTGTGCCAAAGTTTGCAGGTTCAGTTCCTTTCCTCATTATAACCTGAGTCCTATAGAAGGGTGAAGGTGGAAAGGAGGGGGACACTCAGCCTCCTATATAGGCACATTAAAAAACACCATGCTGTGAACACTAAGCTCTCAGATAGAACCCACTGAGATTAACAGACAATAGCAAGGAAAGGGAGGATTGAGATCAGCAATAGCCTGTAATATTTGTCTGATACTCTCCTTTAATTCTTTGTTTTCATGAATACAAGTGTTATTCCTGATTAGAGACAACATTGAATTTTAGTTTCATAAAGAATTTTGGCTACACTTTTTTTCTCAGAAAAACCAACTTTGCAAAGGTGGTAAATCCAATAAAAAGATGTCAGCAAATAAAATCAAATTATTAGAATTATCAGAGATCTTTAAATTTTCTTTATAGACTTATTAAAGTATAATTGACGTGCAGTAAACACTTTTTTTTGAGACAGAATCTCGCTCTGTCACCCAGGCTGGAGTGCAGCAGCACGATCTCAGCTCACTGCAACCTCTGCCTCTCGGGTTCAAGTGATCCTCCCACTTCAGCCTCCAGAGTAGCTGGGAGTATAGGCACCACCACACCCAGCTTATTTTTGTATTTTTAGGAGAGATGTGGTTTCACCATGTTGGCAAGGCTGGTCTCGAACTCCTGACCTCAACTGATCTGCCTGCCTGGGCCTTCCAAAGTAAACTGCATGTATTTAAAGTACACAATTTGATAAGTTTTGCCATGAAACTATCACCACAATCAAGATAAAGGACATACCCATTACCCAAAAAGTTTTTTTTCCTGCACCTTTGTGATCCCTCCCTTCTGCCCCTCTGTCCCCACTTCCCAAGACAACCTCGGATCTGTTTCTGTAACTTCAGGTTAGTTTGTGTTTTCTAGAATTGTATATAAATGAAATAGTAAGTATTTTTATTTGCTGGCTGCTTTCATTCAGTACAGTTATTTGGAGATTCATCTGTATTGCATGTATCAATAGATCATTCCTTTTTATTGTGGAGTAATCTCCATTGTATGGATATGTCTACAGTTTGTTTATACTGTGGCCTTTCGATGGACATTTCAGTTGTTTCCAGTTTGGGCTACTACAAATGAAGCTACGAGGTATAATTGTATGGACATACGCTTTATGTTGGGTAAATACTGAGGAGGGAATGGCTGGCTCCTATGTTAGGTGTATGCTTAACTTTTTAAGAAGTTTCCAAACTGGTTTTCCAAAATGGCTGTACCACTTCATATTCCCATTATCAGTATATGAGAGTTCTAGTTGCTTCATATCTTTGCCAGCACTTGATATGGCCAATCTTTTTAATTGTGTATGGGTGTGTATATATATATATTACATATATGAAATTGTTTTTATGATCTCAGGACCCTGGATTTTTTTTTTAATTTTAGACATTCTAATAGGTAGTAGCATCTCAATGTGGTTTAAATTTACATTTCCCTTTTGACCAATAATGATAAGCACATTTTCATGTTTATTTGTTGTGTGTATATCTTTTTGATGACATAGTGAAATCTTCTGTACTTATTTTTCTTTATTTATTTTGAGACGGAGTCTCGTTTTGTCACCCAGGCTGGAGTGCGGTGGCTCAATCTCAGCTCATTCCAGCCTCCGCCTCCCGGATTCAAGAGATTCTCGTGCCTCAGCCTCCCAAGTAGCTGGGACAACAGGTGTGCACCATCATGCCCAGCTAATTTTGTATTTCTAGTAGAGATGGGGTTTCACCATGTTGGCCAAGCTGGTCTCAAACTCCTGACCTCAAGTGATCCACTCACCTTGGCCTCCCAAAGTGCTGGGATTACAGGTGCCTAGCCAAAATCTTCTGCACTTAAAATAGAAAGAGAGAGAGAGACTTACTATGTTATGTTGCCCAGGCTGTTCTCAGACTCCTGGGCTCAAGCAATTCTCCCACCTCAGTCTCCCGAAGTGCTGAGATTACAGGTGTGAGCCACTGCACCCGGCCAAAGACACAAATACTAACAGACTCAAATTATTTTCTTCCCAGGACTTACAACCTTGGAGAAGCTCTGGGCATGTTGCCAGCCTCTCCCAGTCTTATCTCAGTTCAGAAGGATCATATACTGAATAAAATTATATCAGAAATACTTCATATCTAAAGTAGTATATCTAAATTATGTCTAAAGTTAGTTAATACCTGCTCTGACCTAGTTAATGCCTTGAACCTATTTTAGTTCAATGTACTTTGAAACCTTGGATCACCACGGAAGTGATGAAACTTCTAGTTAACAAAATTCATAAAAGTAACAGTCGGTGAAAGTGAAATTCATACTCAGGACACTCTACCTGCCAAGATAATATGCATCTATAAATTGACCTCTTAAATGAAATTTTCAAAAGAAAATTACCAATAATTTAGCAATTTTTTTTGCCATATAGCATTTACCAGCAAATGCTCTGTAACAAATGTTTTATGGCTCAATTAAGTATTTTTTATTTTCTCTTAAAAGGGTATGTTCTCAAGTAGACAACCGTTTTTGAATCCTATTCTAAACACCACTTGTGTTTTTGAAAAGCACAAGCTCCAAAGGCACAGCTTTTCAAGTTTTACCTGTTAGAGCAACAAGACTAGTTAAAGCATGTTAAAAGAATTACACTTTAAAAGCCATTATAACACTTCATTTTCCTGTCTCTGATCTGTCTGCCTCTCTTTAAAGAGCAAAACCAGTGAGAAGTAAAGGAATTCCCAACCCCTACCTCATCTAAAACCTCAGCTGTTACACAACGTCTACTTGAAGATGTGCTGAATCCAGTGTAGACTTGAAGAAGTCCTTCGGCCTCACTGCCACACCTAAAAGAACATCCCAGATGTCCCATTCCCAGAGTTTGTCTTGGTCTGCCCTACCAGCTGGACTCATGATCCAGTAGTTTCCTGTTTCAATTTCTGTAGAAAGTCTTGAGTGCCTCTGCCCCTCTGGAGTGATTATATAATTTATTGTCCAAACTCAGACACTTTTGAAAGTGAAAGGAGATACCAATAATCATTATGTCTGGACAACAGGCAAAAACCAAGCCTATTCTGAGCAAAAGGGGGCATGTGGTCACCCTAGCTAGAGCTAATAAAAGTAACCAGGAAATCGTAAATCTGCCCATTTACAGATTATTATTTCTTTTCAATCTGGTATGCCAGACTTCCCATAATGAATCAAGGGGGTAATGGACATAGTCCATTGAAACAATTTTCCATTTTTATCTACAAGCCATTTACAATCCCCTCTGCCAAGGGTGGTCCTATTGCTACCCTGGTATTCCTGGATCATATTTTCTTCTACAGTTTATCTATGTCTCCCTCAAATTAACCTAGCCGTTAAGGTCTGTTGTCTTTGTACTAGTCTCACTTCTGACACCAATTTGTACTGTCAAACAGGAAAGTGATATAAAGTAATATAAAAACACTAACAGACAGAGGATGGGAAACATTTCTGTAATAGAAAAGTATATGAAATGTACAGAGATGATCCCAAAAATGATGGAACAACACAGCATGCTGGAGGCACAGGGTTTACAAATTCTCACAAGGACATATAGCTGACGATATTACCTGCTACACACAGTGATGTTCATCCAGGCATGAGCTACTCAATTTTGCTCTGTTATAGGGAATTTTATACTTTCCTGGTTCCAGAGACTCTTTAAGTGCCACCTGTTGAGGTACAACTAATACAAAGCAATCTCAGCACATGCCTCAGTTTTTACTGTGAGACTACATAAGATGAAGCATAATTTCCTAGTTTTTTTTTTTTTTTTTTTTTTTTGAAACAGAGTCTTGCTGTGTCACCCAGGCTGGAGTGCAGTGGCGCAATCTCGGCTCACTGCGAGCTCTGCCTCCCAGGTTCACGCCATTCTCCTGCCTCAGCCTCCTGAGTAGCTGGGACTACAGGCGCCCGCCACCATGCCTGGCTGATTTTTTGTATTTTTAGTACAGACGGGGTTTCACCATGTTAGCCAGGATGGTCTCGATCTCCTGACCTCGTGATCCGCCTGCCTCAGCCTCCCGAAGTGCTGGGATTACAGGCGTGAGCTGCCGTGCCCAGCCCTAATTTCCTAGTTTTAATATCCCTTAGCAGGCCTAGACTTCCCCATACCTGTCTGGAGTCCATTTCTACGAGTCCAATGTTGCCAGGTCTTGCCATTTTTTTAATGGTAGAAATCTTGATTTATGTTAAATGTTCCAGTTTTTTAAATGACAGCCCTTAATTAGAATCTTAAAATATTGCACAAGCCAAACAAAATTAACCTGCAAGCTCATGACTTCTCTCCAACATACTCATGGGCTGTATCCCTAGCAAGGGCCAAGTATGTTTATTTCTAAACCTCTTTTTGCCAGTTATGTGTGTTATTATAATTATATATTTATGACTTTAACCCATGAAATGTGATTAAAAATTTGCTTTTTCTTTTAAAAAGATTGAGAACTTTGGAAAGACTCGCTAAAATCAGGTCACTAGAAATTGCTGTCAAATGCAGTGTGTTCAAAATAATTGTAAAAGATTGAGAGATGTCTTAGCTTGGGTGCTCCCAAAAGGAGACCCTGAGGCAAAAGCTTATATGCTACCTCCTTGGTAAGGAGTGAAATCTCAGAGAGCAAAAATGGGGGGTCAGCAGAGTGAAGCAGATCCAGAAGGAAACCCAATATGAGGATGTGACATCAAGCTGGCCACCAGTAAGTGCAATGAAATGGTTAATCTCATGGTCACACCTCTGAGAAATCACATAAACCACACCTCCAAACAGTATGTGTGAGATGGGTTGGGAAGAATTTATGATTCCTCAGCTCTTATCTGCCACTCCTCAAAGATTCACCCCAGAACATAATCTCTCCTGAATTTTCAGATTGCCCAAGGCAGAATTCACCTTGACATCAGTGGACAGGAAGCAAGGAGGACTCAGAGCAACATGACGTACATGAAGTACTGTTGGCTTGGCAGGTTGTGCCAGCAGGGAGTTCAGAGTCCACACAGAACAGTCTTGGTAGCAGTGGCTGGAACAAGAGAATAGTGAGGCCAAGAAGATCGGAATTAATGCAAGCTGTTTGATAAAAGAGGTAAATGAAAAAAAACTTGGATCCTGGGCTCAGATTTCTTCATATGTGTCTTTGAGTTCTGATCCACTGTAAAAATAACAATTCTTGAGGCCAGGCGCGGTGGCTCATGCCTGTAATCCCAACACTTTGGGAGGCCAGGGTGGGAGGATCATGAGGTCAGGAGTTCGAGACCAGCCTGGCCAACATAGTGAAACCCCGTCTCTACTAAAAATACAAAAATTAGCCAGGCACATGCCTGTAGTCCCAGCTACCCAGGAGGCTGAGGCAGGAGAATCGCTTGAACTCGGGCAGTGGAGGTTGCAGTGAGCCGAGATCATGCCACTGTACTCCAGCTTGGGCAACAGAGTGAGACTTCATCTCAAAAAAAAGAAAAGAAAAGAAAAAAAGAAGTCACTGAATGTGTAACATGCAATAATGAGAGAAGGCCTCTGGCAGCACTGCAATCCACTGTCTCTCCCAATAGGGCATAACACGGGTGAGGAACACCACAGATGCAGCTGGAATTGTGCTGAAAGAGCTAAAGAGGCAAAGTTCTTTGGGTGTTTTTCACCTGCTGGTGGCCGTGGATGGAATCAATGCTCTTTGGGGAAGGACTGCTCTGAAAAGAGAAGATAAATGCCCGATTGCCCCAGAGGAATTAGCACTTGTTCACAACCTGAGGAAAATGATGAAAAATGATTGGCATGGAGGTGCCATTGTGTTGACTTTGAACCAGACTGGGTCTCTCTTTAAGCCCCGGAAAGCCTATCTGCTCCAGGAGTTGCTGGTAAAGGAAGGATTTGATGCCCTGGATCCCTTTATTCCCATCCTGGTTTCCAACTATAACCCAAAGGAATTTGAAAGTCGTATTCAGTATTGTTTGGAAAACAATTGGCTTTAACATGAGAAAGCTCATACAGAAGAGAAAAAAGAGCTGCTGTTCTTAAATAACGCAAACCCCTCGCTGCTGGAGTGGTGCTGTGCCTACCTCTAAGCCACAATCACAATATGTGAGGAAGACAATGGACATCTGCTTTAGGCTGAACCCAGTGAGATGAGGAAGTCTGGCAGTATACAGGAAGAGGAGCCAGGCCCTTGTACCTATGGGGGATTGGACAGGACTGCAGTTGGCGCTGGACCTGCATTAAAATGGGTTTCACTGTGAACATGTGACGAGATATTCCCTTGTTCCAGAAACTTATATCGGTTTATTGGATGTGGTTTTTCACATTTAAGATAATTATGGCTCTTTTCCTAAAAAATAAAGTATCTGTCTAAAAAAAAAAAAAATTCTGCTGAGGCGAGCAGATCACGAGGTCAGGAGTTTGAGACCAGCCTGCCCAGTATGGTGGAAACCCCGTCTCTACTAAAAATACAAAAATTAGCCAGGTGTGGTGGTGCACCTGTAGTCCCAGCTACTCAGGAGGCTAAGGCAGGAGAATCGCTTGAACCCAGAAGGCGGAGGTTGCAGTGATCTGAGATCGCACCACTGCACTCCAGCCTGGGCAACAGAGCGAGATTCTATCACAAAAAAAAAAAAAAAAAAGATGGAGCACGGTGGCTCACGCCTGTAATCCCAGCACTTTGAGGGGCCGAGGTGGGTGGATCACAAGGTTAGGAGTTTAAGACCAGCCTGGCCAATATGGTGAAACACCCGTCTCTACTAAAAAAATACAAAAATTAGCCGGGTGTGGTGGCGGGCACCTATAGTCCCAGCTACTCAGGAGCTGAGGCAAGAGAATCTCTTGAACCTGGGAGGTGGAGGTTGCAGTGAGCCCAGATCGAGCCACTGCACTCCAGCCTGAGCAACAGAGTGAGACTCTGCCTTACTGCTTTTTTATAATACAATACCGTTATTGAGCTCTGATTCCTATACCATAAAATTCACCGTTTCAAAGTATACAATTCACAGAGGAAGTGGGGCTAATTGGAGTTGGCACAAATTCTCTGCTCCTACCAGCTCCACCATGTCAAAGCTTTCCTTTAAGATCACTCTGACGTCCGACCTGCGGCTGCTGTACAAAGTACTCAGTGTTCCTGAAAGTACACCTTTCACAGCAGTCTTAAAGATTGCAGCAGAATAATTTAAAGTCCTGCTGCAACAAGTGCAATTACTGCCAGTGATGGAATACAAATAAATTCTGCACAGACTGCTGGTTCAGAACTACAAAGTATGCCTGGAGATTATATTGGAAGGTAATATCTGTTACTTGAAAGTACAATTACCTTTCAGAATAAGTATTGCTAATTTTTTTAAAGTGTAGAATTCAGTGGTTTTTAGTGTATTCACAAAGGTGTGCAACCGTCATCACTATATAATTCCAGAACATTTTATAGCCCCAAAAGAAACCCTGTACACATTAGCAGTCACTCTCATGCCCCTCTCCCCACAACTTCTGGCAACCACTAATCTACTTTCTGTCTCCATGGATTTGCCTATTCTTGACATTTCATATAAATGAAATCACACAAAATGTGACCTGTTGTGTCTGGCTTCTGTCACTTAGCATAATGTTTTCAAAATATCATCCATGCTGTAGCATGTATCAGAATTTCATTTTTTTCTGTCCAAATGATATTCTACTTTATGAATGTATCACATTTTGTGTGTATGTGTCACATCCATTCATCTGTTTATGGATATTGGATAATTTTCATATTTTAGCTATTATCAATAATGCTGCTGTAGGCCAGACACAGTGGCTTATACCTGTAATCTCAGCACTTTGAGAGGCCAAGGCAGGAGCATCACTTGAGGCCAGGAGTTCAAGACCAGACTGGACAACACAGCAAGACCCTCTTTCTAAATAAAATAATAATACCACTGCTGTAAACATTTATATACAAGTTTGTGTGTAGACATATGTTTTCAATTCTCCTGGGTAAATACTTAGAATGAAATTAATGGCCATTTGGTAACTATGTTTAACTTTTTGAGCAACTGCCAAACTGTTACACCATTTTACATTCCCAGCAGCAAGGTATGAACGTTTCAATTCCTCCAAATCCTTGCCAACACTTGTTATTTTCCGTTTTTTGATTATAGCTATCATAGTTGGTATGAAGTGGTATTTCATTATGGTTTTGATTTGTATTTCCCTAATGGCTAAGGATTTTGAGCATCTTCTCATGTGTTTATTGGCTATTTGTATATCTTCTTTGGAGAAATATCTGCTCAAATCTGTGGGCAATTTTTAATGGGATGATCTTTTTGTTGTTGAGTTGTAACAATTTTTTAATATACTCTGGTTACGAACCTCTTATCAGATATGTAATTTGCAAATATTTTCTCTCATTTTGTGGGTTGTCTTTTTCTCGATGGTGTTCTTTGAAGCACAAAAAGTTTTAATTTTGGTAAAGTCTGATTCATTTTTTAAATTTTGTTGCTTATTTTTTCATGTCGTATTTAAGAAACAACTGTCTAAGTTCACAAAGACTTACTCCTATGTGTTCTTCTAAGAGGATTCAGTTAGCTCTTACATTTACATTATTTTAATCTATAATCTTGGAACGAATGGAATTTAATGTTAACACTATTTACTTTCTTACTCCCTCCTTCTATTACGCAGGAAACAAATGGCAGTTTGATTCTAAGTGTATTCACTAATACAAGGCTGGGGACTGCCCCATGAGGGATGAGCATGAGGGCCATGAGAGATACTGCTAGGAGCCCACTTTGAAACAGGAGTTGGTGACAGAAGCAAGCCCCAGCCACTGGCCTCACTTAGAGCTGGAGGAACAAGATTTTATCCAGTCCTAAGAGGAAGTATGGGAGAAACACAAAGATGCTGCCAACACACCAGTACAGGCTCACCGAGAGGGGCTATCTATTCTATAATACTTAAGTATATTTCCCCAACCTTCAGGTGGATATGGTTTTCATATGCTCCTACAGTAAGTGACTGCACATTGTATGATGCTATGAAATTAATACCTGTTATTTTATAAATGTTGACACTACTAGGTGACAGCAAAATAGTGACTATGTTATTAGCTTGTATGCACTTCTGAGCAATTGTTAACCTTTTAAGCCTTTGAACCTATCAGAATTTCGTCAATGTGCTGTGATAAATATTTGTTATCATTTTGAACTTAATAGACTACATACAAGTGTTTAAGAAGGCTTTTGAGTCCTCACAGAGTAATAACTACACCACAGAGTAATAACTACTATAATAATAACTACATTACAAAATAATAACTGCTATATTTAGACACAATGACCTGTGTGGCTATTTCATGACTTTGATCACTGAACTCAGTAGGTGCTCTCTATCAGCAAAAAAAAAAAAAGAAAAAAGAAAAAACCAGAAGTCAATTGTGCTTTTAATGATGTAGGAATAAAACAAAATGCATTTTAATAACTATTGATACCTGCTAGAAGATATGTATATTAGATAGGGAGATGTAGCTAAAAAGTAGAATTTCCACATCAAAGAATACTATGATTATATACAGACTGATGAAGCAAAACTATTTTCATCTGTGCTGATGTTACTTTAAAATTCTGTTAAATAAGAAATCCCGTATTTAGGTGTGTTCAGAAGTGCATAGTCCCTGACAGTCATTCTGAGAATGTCATTTGGGTTATGGTACTGCAGTTAATGTGTTTAAATACCTAGAACATGTAATACTCATCTTTGAAGTCTTGAAAAATATATTGGCAATTCAAAGAGAATCCACAGATTTATCAGGAAGGAGCAGAATTGGCACATAGTTCTTTTTAGCAGAACTGCCCAGACTCATGAAGGTCTGTGAATGAAGTACACTGCAGGATAGGGAAATGTCTTAATGCGGCAGCTATCCAAGATGTGCAAAGCAGCTGGAAATGCCCCACTTGGGACTGGACTGTTTCAGGATATAACTGAGGACAGGAAACCTGGGGATCACAGTTCGGTGGAGCTCCTTGGCCTCACGATCAGCATCACAAAGGAAGGAACCTGGTTTGAAATGGTTTCTGACAGCATAATTCCTAAAGTTGGGCCTGTATCTCAGGAAAGAGGTCTAGATCTCTTCAAAGAACCTGGACAGGCACAGTGGCTCACGCCTGTAATCCCAGCAATGTGGGAGTCCGAGGTGGCTGGATCACTTGAGGTCAGGGAACCAACCTGGCCACAATGGTGAAACCCCGTCTCTACAAAAAATACAAAAAAATTAGCCTGGCGTGGTGGCACACACCTGTAATCTCAGCTACTTGGTAGGCTGAGGCAGAAGAATTGCTTGAACCTGGGAGGCAGAGGTTGCAGTGAGCCGAGATGGTGCCACTGCACTCCAGCCTGGGCAACAGAGCGAGACTCTGTCTCAAAAAAACAAAACAAAACAAAAAAAACAAAGACTCAAGAATTACTGTGAACCACCTTGTCCCAGTGTCACTTAGATGTACTGTAGCAGGGTACCTCAAAGTTAATTTGCTGTATGGTCACTGGCAAAGAAAATACACACACACACACACACACACACACAACACACACACACAACACACACACACACATACACACACAAGTTCATTTGCAATTACAAAATTCAAAATGTTCAAAAATGAAAAGTAAATCACCCTCTCATCCTCTTTCTCGGTCTGTTTCTGAACTCTCTAGGTTTGTTCTTGCATTACTATAAAGAAATATCTGAGGCTGGGTAATTTATAAAGAAAAAAGGTGTAATGGCTCATGGTTCTGCAGGCTGTACAAGCATGGTGCCAGCATTGCTCAGCTTCTGGTGAGGCCTCAGGAAGCTTCCAGTCATGGCAGAAGGTGAAGAAGGAGCAGGCACATCACAGGGTAAGAGGGGAGTAAGAGTGGAGGGGGAGGTGCCACATGCTTTTAAACAACCACATCTTGTGTGAATTAACTGAGCAAGAACTCACTTATCACCAAGGGGATGGTGCAAAACCATTCATGAGGGATGGGCCCCCATGACCTAATGGCCTTTCACCACGCTTCACCTCCAACATTGGGAATCACATTTCAACATGAGATTTGGAGGGGACAAACACCCAAACCATATTATCTCTCTTCCTGAGCCTTATCTTTTACATTTAGAGCTACAATCCACCTAGAATTGTTTTCATCTATAATGTGAAATGGGGACTAACTCTTCTTTGCCTTCATAAAAAATTTCCATTAGGCTAGGCATAGTGACTCATGCCTGTAATTGCAGTACTTTGGGAGGCCAAGGCGGGAGGGTCACTTGAGCCCAGGAGTTCAAGACCAGCCTGGGAAACACAGTGAGACTCCGTTTCAAAAAAAAAAAAAAAAAGTTTATTAGTCCAGCATCATGCACACCACCTTTGTCATAAATCAGTTCCCTACATATGGGTTCTGTTCTATCGGTTTATTTGTCAATATCTCTACCAGTATCACACTGTCTCAATTACTGTAGACTTATAACATGTCTTAATATCTAGTAGAGTATGTCCTTGCACATTCTTTCTCAGGAGTGTCATGATTATTCTTGACCATAAAAAATATACATTTTAGAATCCACTTGTCAATTCCACAAAAATTAACTCATTGCAATTTTGATTGGGACTTCATTGACTCTATTGACTCTACTGTCATTTAAGGAGAAATGACATCTTTACTACTTTAGGTCTTCCAATACATCAACAAAGCACACACCTCTATTTATTTAGGTCATTTTCCATTTCTTTAAAAATATTTTTAGGTTTTTTGTATAGAGGTTGTCACACACATCTGTGTGAAGAGAGTCCACCAACAGGCTTTGTGTGAGCAACAAGACTGTTTATTTCACCTGGGTGCAGGTGGGCTGAGTCCGAAAAGAGAGTCAGCAAAGGGTGTTGGGATTATCATTGGTTCTTATAGGTTTGGGATAGGCGGTGGAGTTAGGAGCAATTTTTTGCGAGCAGGGGCTGGATCTCACAAAGTACATTCTCAAGGGCAGGGAGAATATTACAAAGTACCTTCTTAAGGGCGAGGGAGGATATTACAAAGTACCTTCTCAAGGGTGGGGTGGGTGTATTGTACAAAGTACATTCACAAGGGCAGGGGAATATCACAAAGAATATCGCAAGGGCAGGGAGGGTGTATTGTCACAAAGTCAATTGATCAGTTAGGGTGGGGCAGGAACAGATCACAATGGTGGAGTGTCATCTTTTTTTTTTTTTTTGAGACGGAGTCTTGCTCTGTCGCCTAGGCTGGAGTGCAGTGGCGCAGTCTCAGCTCACTGCAACCTCTGCCTCCTGGGTTCACACCATTCTCCTGCCTCAGCCTCCCGAGTAGCTAGGACTACAGGTGCCTGCCACCACGCCTGGCTAATTTTTTGTATTTTTTAGTAGAGACAGGGTTTCACTGTGTTAGCCAGGATGGTCTCAGTCTCCTGACCTTGTGATCTGCCCACCTCGGCCTCCCAAAGTGCTGGGATTACAGGCGTGAGCCACCGTGCCTGGCTGGAATGTCATCTTCTGTGGTTCTTCAGTTGCTTCAGGCCATCTGGATGTATACATGCAGGTCACAGGGGATATGATGGCTTAGCTTGGGCTCAGAGGCCTGACAGAGGTATTACACACCTTTTTTTAGATTTGTTACTAGATATTTGATATGTTTTGATGCTATGGTAAAGAGAATCTCTCTTAAATTTCATTTTTTAATCATTTGATGCTTAACTAGGAATGCAAAGAATTCAGTTTTATTTCTTCCTCTATCCTTAATTCTGTTTTGTAGTTGTTGTTGTACTGGTTGGGACCTCCAGTATAATTAGTACTCTAAATGTTTAGAGTAAACAGTTTCAACCATTAAGTACAATGTTTTCTGTAGTATTAAAAAATAGGGCCGGGCGCGGTGGCTCACGCCTGTAATACCAGCACTTTGGGAGGCTGAGGTGGGCGGATCACGAGGTCAGGAGTTCAAGACCGGCCTGACCAACATGGTGAAACCCTGTCTCTACTAAAAATACAAGAAAAGTAGCTGGGCATGGTTGTGCATGCCTGTAGTCCCAGCTACTCAGGAGGCTGAGGCAGGAGAATCGCTTGAACCCGCGAGGCAGAGGTTGCAGTGAGCCGAGATCATGCCACTGCACTCCAGCCTGGTGACAGAGCAAGACTCCATCTCAAAAAAAAAAAAAAAATCATATATTCATGAAATAAACCCAACTTTGTTGTGATGTATCATTTTATTTTTTTAATATTTAGTTTGCCATTATTTTGTTTAATGAAGACTTTAACTTATAAGCAGTTTATATTAATTTGAGGTAGTCTAATGTTTTTGCTGCAACAATCAGAAAATAAAATGGATAAATTGCAAAATTATACTTTTAAAGATATTAGAGAGTTTTGGAACAAGGAGGAATAGATGAACTGAAATTCTAGAAGGGTAAGAACCCTCTCTAGGTGAACTAACAATTGTCTTTGTTTTCTTCACCTGTGGGCCTGACCCCCAGGCAGAAAGACGCTAGTAGAAGAAGGAGAAACCAGTAGAACTTTTGACAGTCGCACAGGGCTGTTGTGACCTATAAGAAACTGGAAGAGCCCAAATGCAAGGCTAGTTTCCCGTGAGACATTTTCTGAGTTTTAGGGTGATCTGTGAGGCTGGGAGCTGGGCCAAAAAGGCAAACTGAACTCTCCCATTGTCTTGTTCTGCTTAGGGAAAAAAATTCTACGAAGGGAAAGGAGTCTTTCACAAATTCACAACTAGTCTGTCACTCATGCTGGTGACATGCTTGTTCAGCCTGAAGAATTGTGAGACAAATAAACTTTTCTTTATAAATTACCCAGCCTCAGGTATTCCTTTATAGCAACAAACAAAAAAATGGACTGACACAGTATTAGTTTGCTAGGAATGCCATAACAAAGTACCACAGACTACAAAGCTTAAAAGACAGAAATTTATACTGTCACATTTCTGGAGGCTAGAAGCTGGAGATCAAGATGTCAATTAGTCTTCTCCCAATGGACCAATGAGGGGAGAAAAAGATGTCAATTGGGTTGTTTTTTCTGAGGCCTCTTTCTTTGGCTTGTAGATAACAGTATCCTCCCTGTGTCCTCACATGGTCTTTCCTGTATGTGTGTGTCTATGTCCCAATCTCCTCTTCTTATAAGGACATAGTCACATTACCCACTACCCACCCTAATGAACCCCCCGCCTTTTAATTTTTTTATTTTATTATCTTTTTTTGAGATGAAGTCTCGCTCTGTGGCCCAGGCTGGAGTGCAGTGGCGCGATCTCGGCTCACTGCAACTTCCACCTCCCAGGTTCAAGCAATTTTCCTGTCTCAGCCTCCTGAGTAGCTGGGACTATAGGCACCACATCCAGCTAATTTCTGTATTTTTAGTAGAGACAGGGTTTCACCAGGCTGGTCTCAAACTCTTGACCTCAGGTGATCCACCCACCTTGGCCTCCCAAAGTGCTGAGATTACAGGGTGAGCCACCACGCCCGGCCTAATGAGCCCAGTTAAACTTAATTGCCTCTTTAAAGACCCCATCTCCAAATATAATCACATTGTGAGGTATTGGGGGTTAGGACCTCAACATATGAATTTGTGAGGGACACAATTCGGCCCATAACAATGGAGGCCAAAGAGCTAAGCTCACACCTCGAAAGCACAGGACTTCATGTTTTCAGGGCTGAGGACTCAATTAGGACTTGTAAAATCAGGACTTTACAAACTCTCAATTAAAAGCCCTGACCCAACTCAATCACTGATTGGAGTGGACTGTCCTTCAGTCTATCTGTCTAACTGAGGAAAGGAGGAATACCCACTAGTAAGAGATGTCAGTTGGAGCCTTCATCTCTTGTACACAAGGTCTGTCATATAATAAAAGACATGTAAAGAAGCAGAAAACCTGTCCAGGCATGGTGGCTCACACCTATAATCCCAGCACTTTGGGAGGCTAAGGCAGGCAGATCACTTGAGCCCAGGAGTTTAAGACCAGCCTGGGCAACATAGTGAAACCTCATCTGTACAAAAAATACAAAAATTACCTGGGCATGGTGGCACATGCCTGTAGCCCCAACTACTAGGAGCCTAAGGTGGGAGGACTGCTTGAGCCTGGGTGGTGAAGGCTGCAGTGAGTCCTGGCCGTACCACTGCACTCCACTGGCTGGACAAGAGAGTGAGACCCTGTCTCAAAAAAAGAAAGAAAAGAAAAGAAAAAAAGAAGCAGAAAAATATGACCAATGACCAAGAGAAAATATTAACAATAGAAGTAGACCAATGGAGGATCCAGATATCAGAAATAGCAAAGACTTTAACTGTTATAAATATGTTAAGTTAGAGGAAAATATAGATAAGATGGATGAAAACATGGAGAATTTCAACATGGAATTGAAATATATTTTAAAAAACAGGATGAACATTCTAGAACTGAAACACATAATCTGTGAAATTAAGAACTCACTGGATGGCTTTAACAACAGACTGGAAACAGCAGGATTGGATTAGTGAATGAAAGACAGGCTATTAGAAAACATTAAACTACAAGGAGGAAAAAGATCGTAAAGGAACAGAAAATTATGTGCTTATTGGCCACTCATATCTTGGCCACTCATATCTTTTATGGTAAAGTATCTGTTCAAATCTCTGGGCCATTTTTTAAGAAATGTGTTGTTTGTGCTTATAGAAACAATACATTGAGTTGTAGATATTCCTGTAGATATTCCCAACACATTGAGTTGTGTACATCTTGAGTTGTAGATATTCCTTTTATACCCTGAATACCAGAACTTTCTCAAGTATATAGAAATTTTTTCTCAAATATTCAAATTTTTAAAAAATTGAGGTGAGGCTGGGTGCAGTGGCTCATGCCTATAATCCAAACACTTTAGGAGGCCGAGGCAGGACAATCAGTTGAGCCCAGGAGTTCGAGACCAGCCTGGGCAACATAGCGAGACTCTGTCTCTATAAAAAGTTTTAAAAAATTAGTCAGGCATGGTGGCGCATGCCTGTAGTCCCAGCTACTCTGGCAGCTGAGGCAGGAGGATTGCTTGAGCCCGAGAGTTCAAGGCTGCAGTGAAATAGTATCACACCACTGCACTCCAGTCTGGACAACAGAGCAAGATCCTATCTGAATCAATCAGTCAGTCAATCAATCAATAAAAATTAAAACTGAGGTAAATATACATAACATAAAATTAACCATTAAAAGTGAACAATGCTGTGGCATTTAGTATATTCATGATATTGTACAACCAACATCTCTATCTAGTTCCAAAACATTTTTATTACTCCAAAAGGAAACTTTATAGTCATTAAACAGTTACTCTCCAGTCTCCCTTCCCCATAGCCCTTGGCAACCACTAATCTGTATTCTATCTCTATGAATTTGCCTAATCTAGATATTTCATATAAATGAATTCATATAATATGTGACTTTTTGTGTTTGGCTTCTTTCATTTAGTATAACGTTTTCAAAATTCATTCATGTTGTAATATGTGTCGCTATTTCATTCCTTTTCAGGGCTGATTAACATTCCATGGTATGTGTATGCCACAATATGTTTATCCATCAATTGATGGGCATCTGGGTTGTCTCCACCTTTAAAGTATTGTGAATAGTGCTTCTATGAATATGCATGTACCTGTATGTCTTTGGGTACCGGTTTTCAATTCCTTGGGGTATATTCCTAGATGTGGAATTGGTGGGTCATATTCTATGTTTAACTTTTTGAGAAACTGTCACACCCTTTTCCACAGCATCCATACCATTTTACATTTCCATAAGCAATGTATGAGGATCTCTATTTCTTCATATCCTTACCAAAGCTTATTATTTTCCCTTTAAAAAAGTTATAGCCATTCTATTTCTTCAAATCCTTACCAAAGCTTATTATTTTCCCCTTTAAAAAATTATAGCTATACTAGTTGGTATGAAGTGATATCTCATTGTGGTTTTGATTTGCATTTCCCTAAAGACTAACGATGTTGATCGTCTTTTCATGTGCTTCTTGGCCATTTTTTATCTTCTTTGAGAAATATCTTTTCAAGTCCTTTCCCCATTTTTAAATTGGATTGTTTGTATTTTTGTTGTTGAGTGATTAAGAGTTCTTTTTCTGGATGTTAGACCTTTATCAGATGTATGATTTGCAAATATTTTCTCCCTTCTCCCATTCTGTAAGTTGTCTTTTCACTGTTCTTGATAGTGTTCTTTGATGTACAAAAGTTTTTAATTTGGATAAAGTCCAATTTATTTTATTTTTATTTATTTATTTTTCAGACAGGGTCTCACTTTGTCACCCATGCTGGAGTGTAGTAGCACCATTTCAGCTCACCGCAACCTCTGCCTCCTGGGCTCCAGCAATCCTCCCACCTTAGCCTCCCACACAGCTGGGACTACAGGCAGGCGCCACCATACCTGGCTAATTTTTGTATCTTTTTTGGTAAAGCCAGAGTTTCGCCATGTTGCCCAGGCTGGTCTCGAACTCCTGGACTCAATCGATCCGCCCACCTTAGCCTCCCAAAGTGCTAGGATTACAGGCATGAGCCACTGTGCCCAGCCTTTAATTTATTTTTGTTGTTGTTTCTCTTGCTTTGGTGTCATATCTAAGACTCCATTGCCAAATCCAAGGTAATAAAGATTTCCTTCAATGTTTTATCCCAAGAATTTTATGGTTTTAGTTCTATTTAGGTACTTGTCTTAGCCTGTTGGGGCTGCTATAACAGAATACCATAGACTGGGTGGCTTATACACAACAGAAATTCATTTTTTGTAGTTCTGGAGGTTAGGAAGTTCAAGGTCAAGGTGCCAACAGATTTGCTGTCTGGTGAGGGCTTCCTGGTTCATAGAGGCTACCTTCTTGTTATGTCTTCACATGCTGGAAGAGGCAAGAGAGATCTCTGGAGACTCTTTTATAACTGCAATTATTTTTGCACTAGCCTAATAGAAGGACACTAATCTCATTCATGAGGGCTCTGACTTCATGGCCTAATCACCTACCAAAAGCCCTACCACCTAACACTACCATATTGGGAGTTAGGTTTTCAATGTATGAATTTTAGGGTGACACAAGCATTCAGTCAATAGCAGTTGCTGATCTATTTTGAGTTAATTTTGTATATGGTGTGAGGTAGAGGTTCAATTTCATTCTTACGCATGTGGATATTTAGTTGTCATGCACTATTCTTTGAAAAGACTATTCTTTCCCTCCTAGAATGGTCTTACCAACCTTGTTAAAAATCAATTTGCCATAGATGGATGAGTTTAGTTCTGGACTCTCAATTCTATTTAATTGGTTTATGTGTCTATCCTTATGCCAGTACCACACTCTTTTAATTACTGTAGCTTTGTAGTAAGTTTTGAAATCAGAGAGTGTAAGTCTTCCAACCTTTTTCTTCTTTTATATTATTGGATCAATTTTTCCATTTCAGCAAAAAGAAAGGTATTGGCATTTTGATAGGGATTCCATCGAATCTACAGATTGCTTAGATAGTATTGCCGTCTTAACAACATTGTTTTCCAATCCATGAACACAGATTATCTTTAATTTCTTTCAGCAATGTCTTATACTTTTCAGTGCCCAAGCTTTACCTCTGTGGAGGCCAAAGCAACTCCATCTTGGCTGCTAATCCACCACATGGGCTTCTGATTAATCCAAGTTCTGGAAAGGCCTCTAAGATTTCTAGTTTACTTATTGTTCCTTGTTTAAGAGCAGGCACTAACCATAAATCCTGTGCTTGTGTCAAACGACCTTGATGTTATTGTACTTCAATTGTCCTACACATCCCTTCTGAATCACTCTTTCCCTGTGGTAGATAAGCCCTGGGTCTGAGGGGTAATGGTGCAGGGATCCACCATCTTGTCTCACCACCACCCAAGACACGGACATGACTTCTGTTCTTAAGTTCCTATTAAATGTTTCTTTCCAAGAAATTGGATTTATCAATCTCTTTCTTCACCCTCTCAGCTTCCCAGACTTTGGGGCAGATTTGCACAGATCTGCCCACTGCAGAACAACCTCCTTGGATAAATCTATTCCTAGGTATTTTATTCTTTTGGACATTATTGTAAATGGAATTGTTTTCTTAATTTTCTTTTGAATTTGCTTATTACTGACATATGGAAACACTGCTGGCCAGGTGCAGTGGCCCACATCTGTAATCTCAGCACTTTGGGAGGCTAAGGCGGGTGGATCACTTGAGGTCAGAAGTTCGAGACCAGCCTGACCAAAATGGTGAAACCCCATCTCTACTAAAAATACAAACAATTAGCTGGGTGTGGTGGCAGGCGCCTGTAATCCCAGCTGCTCTGGAGGCTGAGGCAGGAGAATTCCTCGAACCCGGGAGGTGGATGTTGCAGTGAGCCGGGGTTGTGCCATTGCACTCCAGCCTGGGCGACAGAGCGAGACTCCGTCTCAAAAAAAAAAAGAAAAAAGGAAACGCTACTGACTTTTGTGTGTTGATTTTGTACTCTGCAAATTTGCTGAATTTATTAGCTCTAGTGGTTTTGTTGTTAGTTGTGGTGGTGGTATTTTGTGTGTGTGTGTGTGTGTATTCTTTGGGATTTTCTATATATGGGATCATGTGATCTGCAAATAAAGATAGTTTTATTTCTTCTTTTCTGATTTGGATGCCTTTTCTTTTTCTTGCCTGATTACTCTCACTGGAATTTCCAGTACAATGTTGAACCGCCGCAATGAAAGCAAGCATTCCAGTCTTTTTCTTGATCTTAAAGGGAAAGCTTTCAGTCTTTCCCCAGTGCATGTGATGTTAACTGAGGGCTTTGTGTGTGTTGGAGGGAAGTGTCATAAATGCCCTTTATCATGTTGAGGAAGTTCTCTTTTTATTCCTGGTTCTCTGAGTGTTCCTTATCATGAATGGGTGTTGGATTCTGTCAAATGCTTTTTCTTCATCAATTGAAATATCATCTGCCTTTTTTTTCTTCATTCTATTAATGTGGTATACAACATTGATTGATTTTCTTATGTTAAACTGCCCTCAGGTATACATTTTGGAAATATTCTTTCACAGTCTGTGGTTTGCTATGTTTCTTTTTATTCATTTATTTATTATTTTATTTTATTATTTTTAAGACAGGGTCTCGCCCTGTTGCCCAGGCTGGAGTGCAATGGTATGATGTCAGCTCACTGCAACCTCCGCCTCCTAGGCTTAAGTGATACTCCTGCTTCTGCCTCCCAAGTAGCTGGGACTATAGCGTGAGCCACCACGCCCAGCTAGTTTTCGTCTTTTTTGTAGAGATGGGGGTTTCACCATGTTGGCCAGGCTAGTCTCAGACTCCTGAGCTCAAGCAATCCATCTGCCTCGGCCTCCCAAACTGCTGGAATTACAGGCATGAGTCACCACATCCAGACCTATATTTCTTTTCAATGGTGCCTTTTGGTGAGCCAAAGTTTTTAATTTTGATGAAGTTTATCATCTTTTCTTATATGGCGATTGCTTTCTGTGTCTTATCTAAGGACTTTTTACCTATCTCTGAATATGAAGATATTCAATTTCCTCTAAAAGTTTTATGGTTTTAGCTTTTATATTTAAGTTCATAATCTATCACAAATTAAGTTTTGTATGGTGTGAGGGAATTAAAAAGTCCAAGAAGAGGATAAAATAAGCTCTTTTGCTTAGAGATGCATACAGAGATAGTAAATTTATAAAGTAGAGCAGGATAACTAGTGTAATAGAAGTCAGGATACTGATTATATCTTGGAGGAGAGATAGAATTATTATCAGAAAGGCGTATGCATGTAGCTTGTAGGGTGCAATGATAATCTATTTTTTGACCTGGTGAATGAGTTATGTGGTTGTTTGCTTTGTTACAGGTCATGCCTTAGAATAGTAAAGAATGATGAAAAAAGATCCAAACTATAACAACCACAAAATAAAAGACTGATAAATTCAACCACATTAAAATTAAGAACATCTATTCCTCAAAAGACTCCATTGTTATTACATATTATTACACATTCTTTTCTAGGAGCATTATTTTTCTTTTCTTAGCTAGGTCTTTCATATCCCTGGAACTGATTTTTGTGTTTTTAAAAAACTTTCTTAAACATTTTATTTATAGCTTTTTTATATTTTGTTTATTGCTTATGCAGATTCTCACTAAGGGTGGCTTGCTTTGCCTTCTCATGAACTTGATCATCTTTGATTGCAAGCTCGATCTGAATCTGTGGGTCCTATAGCTCCAAAGTGGAAAGCTCTCTTCCAAAGAGGATTTGTTCCTGCTTCTGTTTGTAGCCAAAGATGCTAGGTTGGTGCAAAAGTAATTGCAGTTTTTGCAATTACTTTTAATGGCAAAACCACAATTTCTTTTTTTTTTCTTTTTTATTTTTTGAGATGTAGTCTTGCTTTTGTCACCTAGGCTGGAGTTCAATGGCACAATCTCAGCTCACTGCAAACTCCACCTCCCAGTTTCAAGCGATTCTCCTGCCTCAGCCCCCTGAGTGGCTGGGATTACAGGTGCATGCCACCACGCCTGGTTAATTTTTGTATTTTTAGTAGAGTTGGGGTTTCACCATCTTGGCCAGGCTGGTCTCCTGATCTCAGGTGATCCACCTGCCTTGGCCTCCCAAAGTGCTGGGATTACAGGCATGACCCACCACACGGCCAAAACCACAATTTCTTTTGCACCAACCTAATACCATTTCAGGACCACTTCAGCGTCTTGGCTCAATTCATCCTTCCCAACCGTGTGTTGGCCAAAACTTTAGTATCTTAATAGCAGTGCTGCTACTATCAGCATTTTGCTCAGGACAACTCTGGTTTTGTTTTCTTTTTTGGAGGGGAAGTTTCTTTAGAGACCTTCGCTACCTCTTAAGAGACTAACACTGTCTCAGAGAAATGAGTCTATCCAAGGTCTAATTATTCCATAGCAGAAGGGTGCTTCAGCAAACCTAGTCAGCCTTTATAGGATATTTGAAAGTCCCTAATAATATATTTTGCACAGTGCTCCAGATCATTACATATAGAGCGTCTTCATTTTATAAGGCTGCATAGCCATCTGTTGTATGGGATCTATTTAGCCCATTTCCCAATTATTGATCTGTAGATTCCATCCAATTGTTTGCTATCACAAGCAATGTTGCAATGTCATTTCACACCTGTGTGAGTATATCTGTATTATAAATTCCTAGAAATAGAATTACTGCCTCACATTTCCTCTATAGAGGTTGTATCAATTTATAATTTTATATTGTTTACACATGCTGACATTTACATGGAATAGTTGCTTTATGTACTTTAAAAGAAATATACCACATTACTTTTTGACAAAGAATCAATGCAGTGTTACAATTTGGGTATTTCATTGAACTCATTAAGAAGGAGATTTTATGAGATTTGAAGGGAAAAGTAAAACCTTCCGAGTACACGTGGAATACTAAGCAAAATTGATCAAATGCAAGTTCATTGCTTCGTGAGCTTCAAGTGTCTCAAATGCTATTCTTTACATGCGGAAGAATATCTTATTTTTCTTTCCCTATCAAGAACCAATCTTTACAAAGATTTATTACTGTCAAACTTTTAATCTAGTCAATACATTTGTGAATCATTTATTTGAAAGTAGTTTAAATGAGCATGGAAGTCTGAAGTCTCACAACAGATTAGATGTCATGGAATTAAAGGTATGATGTTAAAATCAGTAACAGATTCTTTCATGTTTCTTCCTTTGCACACCGAAGTTAATAGCACCTTCCCAGGATATTTTTATGATAGAAAACTAGCCCTGCCTCTTAAGCATTCATAAATAAATAAATCTAAATGATAAGAATATAAATAATCATTAACTTAGTACATTACTAATTGAACTGAAGTCCATTTCTTGCTTTAAGATTATAGTTGTAAGGTTTTGGAAGCAAATAAAGAAAAAGGACGTTCATGTCTTCCAAGTTTTCCAGTTTAGAACACCAGGGTATCTAATGCAGAATATCTTCAGAGTAAAGCAAGTTAATGCTCACATTACTTGATGTCTTCAAGGACCAAATAGCTTATGTGTATTTTACTAGCAGAATATATTCTTATACTTTCTTTGCTTGAGCCACTGATTAAGTTATATTTGATTAAATAGTAAAGGAAGCCTTTATGATGTTACAGAAGGAAAGCCAGGAGATTACTAACACCTTTTTAGTACTTTAGAGCTAAGTAATCATCTTGACATATCTCAAATGTAAATGTATTACCTACGAGACAGGAAGGTGGGCTTGGAGGAATTTCTAGAAGCTGGGTTTGTCATAGTTTGGAACATGGCTGGACCTGGACTTGGCTTGGTTAATGGCTATGATCTGGGTTGTGCTGCTTTCTGTAGTTTCTCATTTCAGAATTAATTGGCCTACCAGGTTGAAGAAGACCCTGAAGGGACAGACCCAGCTAATGATGACCATGAGTGGATGTCCAGCCCAGCAGTCAGAACGTGGTATCCAAAAGTTATGGCCATAAACAACAGAAAGACCAAGTCAATAACAGGAAAATGCAACCTAAGGTATCATAAAACTGATCTAGGCTCCCACATATGGTTGTTCAGATCATGCACTGCACAACCCTAGATGATGCTATTTACATAGATGGTATGTCCTAACAAATAGACCAAGCATAGACTGGGAATGCAGGAATGATAAATAAATAGTTGTCCAAATAGGAAATACATACAGTTGGAACAGAGAAAGCCTACTAATAGTCAAAGATTCAGAGGTAGGACTCCAGACTAAGAAGATGGACCCAAAAGGAAATATTTCTGTCTTTAACAGAAAACAGAATCTCAAAGGTTTTGGCAGCTCGGGGTGTCATCAAGGAGTGATTCAGTAGGCGTCACCTTGAATTTCACCTCCTCTGGATTCTTGCTATTGCCATGGGCACTGTGGCTCAGTGGTGCACTACTCTGCCATTAAAGTTCTCACACAAGTGGGCAAAATACCTTCTTTTAATTCTTGATAGAACAGAAATAAACTGAAATTTTTCTTAAAAAAAGATTTTACTAAATACAAAAAATGAACAAAAAATAAATATTTAAGGTAATATAAAATTGAACTAACTATCTTTACTCAGCTTTTGCATGTCTAGGAATTTATCCAAAGGAAATAATTATGAATGTCAATTAAAATTTGATCAGAGAAGCAGAACAACTATGAGTGATCCAGAGGGATTTGTGTAGAGGACAGACCTTACACATTAAGTCAGCGTAGGAGCTGGTTGTGCAGTCTTTGTATGACTGTGGTCCTTTGTGTGGTACTGAGCCTGAAGTCAGCAGGGCCCGTAGTTAGGAAGGGAAGATGCATGTGAAGTGGGAGTGAGCAAGGACAAACGGGGATTCACAGGTTGAGCTAAAACTGATAAAGTGAAACTAAAATTTGCATCTGCCTCTCATTGTTTCCAAACAACCAACTTCAATGATGTGGAAGACTTCGAGATGATCTAATGCATTCCACCATGGAGCTGCACATGTACAAGGGCCAAAATCTGGAGAAGTTGAAAGCTGGATCTGTTGGACCCAGATATTAACCCATGGAGATAGAGCTGGAATTGCTACTGGTCTGGTTGCTGGCTCCTTTAACAAGGTGAGGCAGCATGACAATGTATGTGAGCTGCAATGGTGCCTGACCCTGCACCAGTCTTCCAAGCCTAAGCATGATTGCTGCTACTATTCCACCATCCAAATCTCATGCAATTTTTTTATGGTTCTCATTAGCTCAGACGCATGCAGGGAGGCGGGGTCTGGGAAATGTAAAGTCCAGTTTACGTGACACCATACAAAGTCACTGTGTAACGCGTGTCACAAATTAACTACAGAGATTTTTATTGCAGTATTACTTGTGATAATAAAGAATAGGATACAACCTAACTTCCAACAATACAGAAATGGTTAAAAATGTATGAAACATCCACACATTAGAACATAATATATTACAAAGGGGGCTGGGTGTGGTGGCTCACGCCCATAATCCCCAACTTTGGGAGGCCAAGGCAGGTGGATCACTTGAGCCCAGGAGTTCAAGACCAGCCTGACCAACATGGCGAAACCCCTGTTTTTACCAAAAATATAAAATTGGCTGGGCGTGGTGGCACACGCCTGTAATTCCAGCTACTTAGCAGGCTGAGGCTCGAGAATCTTTTGAACCTGGGAGGTGGAGGTTGCAGTGAGCTGAGATTGTGCCACTGCACTCCAGCCTGGGTGACAGAGTGAGACTCTGTCTCAAAAACAAATTAAAATTAAAATTAAAATATAATATATTATGAAGGACATAAAAGGATGTTTAAGCCCACGAATGTATGTTCACAATACATTATTATTGTACCTGGTTGTGTAAATACGAAATGTTATTGAGTCACTATGGCAAACAGACTAACAGCATCCCAAAGATGGCCACTTCCTAATCCCAGAACTTGTGAATGTGTTAGCTTACACAGCAGAGGAGAATTAAAGTTACAGATAGAATTATTAAGGTTGATAATCAGCTGACTTTAAAGTAGAGATTATTTTGAATTATCTAGGTGGAACATTTAAGAGTGGATAAAAGTGGAAGAGGGCAGGAGAAGAGGGTCAGAGAAAGAGATGTGATGATGGAAGAAAGGCTCAGAGAGATGCAGGTATTGTTTGCTTTGAAGTGGAGGAGGGGGCCATGAGCTAAGGAATGTCAGTGGCCTGTAGAAGCTGGAAAGGCAGATAAATGGATTCTCCCCTAGAAGCTTCAGAGAGGAGCTCAGCAGCCCTGTGAACCCTTGATTTTGGCCCAGTGAGACCCATGTCAGACTTACGTGCTCCACAACTGTAAGATAATACATTTGTGTTAGCTACGCTGCCATGTGGTCATCTGTTGCAGCAGCAATGGAAAACTAATACTGCACTGTAACATAATAAATGGTCAAGGCCACCATGCATGCCACAATACCAAGTGGGAATTTCCAAGTGGATGGCCTAGAACATATGATGTGGCTCTCAAACTCAAAGGAAGATATAGAAAGATGGCAAAAGCAGAGATGGACTACTTTGTGAGGTTTTCTTTGGGCAGAGCTGTGACTTTGCACTCTCCCTCCCAGCAGGAGAGGGGGACAGAGGGTAACTTCCCCTTCCCTTCACTAATTAGAGGGGCTTTAAGAACTTAGTCTGTATCCCCTTGAGTTTGGGGCCACAAAGGACTGAGTCTAACTGCTGCTCAGGAAACCTAAAGGGCAAGAAAGATGAACTGGTGATCTGCTTTGGTTTCAGAGGATGAAGGTCTGCAGCTGCGTTCAGCTCAGCCTGTCTCTCCCAGAGTTTGTCAGGACAGAGTAAATAGGTCATTTCTGTGGAACAAGTGTTTTTGCTCCTGCCTTAGGGAAGAGGAAGCAGATGATGAAGTTGCAATAGGAAGAGTCTGAATGAAAAACCCAGAGCTGAGCGGGTAACAGTAGCTGAGGAATAGGCTGTACAGCAGTGACAGGGGAATTACAGCTAGAGGGGCTCAGCAGGGGAGCCCCCAAAGAACCCATGGGTGTTTTTCCATGAGAGGTATTCAGCTTTGCATGTGTGCCAGCCTATGACAGTAAATCAAGTAAGAACTTCCCCCTCCTCCCTCCCTACAAAGTAACTAGGGTTACTTTGAAGAAGTGCTGGGTATAATTGATAAATTGAGATATCTGCAAAAATTCTGATGCAACATGAAATTATCAGTGATTTATATTGGTGACAAGGTCACAGGTCCTATGAATACTAGTGGGGTTTGTTGTCTGCATTCATAATAAAGAGATTGCTAAATTTCAGTTAGGAGTTACTGAAAATAAAGATGCAATTTCCCCTCATCCATGTTCTGTCCACATATACCGGGTTAAGAACACTAATCTAGTCCCAAAGTGTCCTGTCACGGATTAGCAAACTGCAGCCCAGTTTTTGACCCCTGTGAATTGTTTGATGACAAAGTAAACTAGTAGCAGATTGAAGGCCTAGAACAATATCTATTCCCTTATTCCAAACTGCTTCATGTTGACTAGAATCTCAAGGATTCAGCATTGGCTTTAGCAACATGCAAATGACAGAAGTCAAGCTAAATTATTTTCCAACAAAGGTAAAATGCTGACTTATACCATTTGATTTCTCTTTTAAAAAAAGCTTTATCTGCTAACAGAAATGTAGTCAAGCCTTCCTAAGATCCACTGAAGTGTAAGATAAAGTTTGTAGGCAAAATTTATCTAGCCAAACACTTGACCTATTAAGAGGGCCTCTCTGGTCTACATTCAGAGTTCTTTTTGGACTTGCATGATTCCTTCATACTTCAATAAGGCCCTCAGATCTATGAGCCAAAATTCTGAGACACTGCCAGTGAACGTCCTTTAAAAAATCCATGTGACAGAGATTATAATTAGAACATTTATTCCTGTTATTACAAAGCCAAACAAGAAAGCATCCAATAAAAGTTCTCCAGGGCCAGGCGTGGTGGCTCAGGCCTGTAATCCCAGCACTTTGGGAGGCTGAAGTGGGCGGATCACGAGGTCAGGAGATTAAGACCATCCTGGCTAATACGGTAAAACCCTGTCTCTACTAAAAATACAAAAAAATTAGCCGGATGTGGTGGCATGCGCCTGTAGTCCCAGCTACTCAGGAGGCTAAGGCAGGAGAATCACTTGAACCCGGGAGGCGGAGGTTGCAGTGAGCCAAGATTGCGCCACTGCACTCCAGCCTGCGCAACAGAGCAAGACTCCGTCTCAAAAAAAAAAAAAAAGTTCTCCAAAGGTAAAACAATGTTTCTGGCTACTCTATAATAATCGTATAACCCAGTTCTTACATACTAAAATGTGCCATCCAAACAGTCCAATGTCGTAAAATTTGGTTATAAGAAAAATGTGCCAGGGCATTTCTTTCCTTGCTAATTCTCTGTCTTAGGCTCTCTAAACTTCTCATCAGTCTGTCAGCCAGTCAGTGCTTGAATGTGTTTTTAACGGCCTCTTCTCTGTTGACAACTGTTCTAGGCTATGTTAACTATTTGTCTGTATTCTTAGATCTCTGGCATGTGGAGCCTTGTGGACCTGGGGAACCACTCCTCCCAGAGTTAACTAATTCCTAGAGATAAGAATTTGCCTGCCAGCACATCTTTGATATGCAGACCAACCAATTAGGGTTCCACGCCCCAACCTACCTGCTTTTATCAGATCACTACAGGCCCTGCTGAAGTTATTTAAACTGTCCAATCATAAGGTTGTTCTGCTTGCTTACTTTGCTTTCCCCTTTCCTCTTTTCAAAAGCCACAATAAAGGCTTCTGCCCTTTCTGCCTGCTCATCTGGCTTCGGTGCTTCCCTATGTGGCCCTGCCTGCCATGCCTTGCCTCCTGTTTCTAGGGGACTGTGAACATAAAAAACCTCCTTCCTTCATGGCATTTTGTGTCTGTGTGTTGTACTATATCTGCTCAAAACAATTTCCAGGTAAATTTTTAGACAATAGGCTGGAAGAACAGCAGCAAGTAAGACACACCAAATCTGTCTTTGAAAAGCTGAAGATCCTTGAAGGAGCTTATATTTTAGCCTAGGGTTTATACATTTGCATGAGCGAGGGCTCTAAAATAAATAGAACCTAGATGTGATCAAGCACCATCCTTTTCTTCCCCATCTGGCTATTTTCTGCTAACATATGGGATAAAGGTAGTAGATGAGAATTGGGGAATCAAGGATTTAATCCTAATTCTCTTTTGCCTGGATAAAGACCAGACTCTGCCTAGAGCACACTCCACCTACTAATGCCTAGGCTGGGGAGAAACGACCAGGATGGGGTCCTTTTAATTTTATCTTGCCACATGATTAGGAAGATGCAAGATGATTAGGAATAGGTGTGGTGACTCACACCTGTAATCCCAGCACTTTGGGAGGCTGAAGCAGGAGGATCCCTTGAGTCCAGGAGTTCAAGATCAGCCTGGGCAATATAGGGAAACTCTGTTTCTATAAAAAATTTTAAAAATTAGCTGGGTGTGCTGGCACACACCTGTACTCCCAGTTACTCTAGAGACTGAGGTGGGAGGATTGCTTGAGCCCAGGAGTTTGAGGCTGGAGTGAGCTGTGATCATGCCACTGCATTTCAGCCTAGGTGACAGTGGGAGAGCCTGTCTCAAAAGAAAAAAAAAAAGGAGGGGGAGGGAGATGATTAGGAAGACTTACCAATGTCTTTCCTGAGTGCTTCCTGCCTTACCAGTTTTCCTTAAACCAAACTTGCACTGGATGGTGACGGAAGTGTGAAAGCAAAGTAACTCTTGGGGCCCCCAAATCACTCAGCTAAAGGGAAAAGTCAAGCTGGGAACTGCTTAGGGCAAACCTGCCTCTCTATTCTATCCAGTCATCCCTCTGCTCACTGAGATAAATGCATATCTGATTGCCTCCTTTGAAAAGGCTAATCAGAAACTTTAAAAAATGCAAATTTCTATAATCTGGAAGCCCCTCCCCATTTTTAGTTGTCCTGCCTTTCCAGACCAAACCAATGTACATCTTACATATATTAATTAATGTCTCATGTCTCCCTAAAATGTGTAAAACCAAGCTGTGCCCCAACCACCTTGGGCACATGTCGTCAGGACCTCGTGAGGCTATGACATGGGCACATGTCCTTAACCTTGGCAAAATAAACTTTCCAAATTGACTGGGACCTGTCTCAGATACTTGGAGTTCACAGAAGTATTTAAAATTTAAATGGAGGATCAGGCAGATCTTACAAAGCAGTATAGTGTGGAGGGAACAGAAGTCATGCCTAGGTCTAACCTACTCTTCTTCCCATGCTCTTCTTCTCCCATGCTCCCCACGTAGCACAAAAGAGGCTGTACTGAATTAGACATTTTGCTGGAATGCCTCTCAAAGATGCTCTGCTCACTCCCCATTCTCCCAGATACCTTCCTCTTATCCTTGTGTCTGCTTGTCAGTCCAGTGTCTTACTCTGTTCCCTTAGTAAGAGAGTTTCTTCCTGCCTCTTCTCAAAGGAAGAGGCTATGGACCAATACAAATGAAACCTTCCACTGCCCCAGCCCTGCCCACGTGGGGCAGGTGGACCCAGAGCCTCTTGAATTGGAGAACTGGTAGAGGGCTGCTTCCACAGCCAGTATCCCCACAGTGAGAGCAGAAGCTAATCTCTCCAGTTCCCTCAGAGGAAAAATCCCTCAGCAATGCAGGTGTTTGTTTTAGACAACACAGTCCAGCCTTACATGAAGAAAGTTTATTCCCCCCATTTAACATGGGTTTGGCTATGTTCTCTTCAAAGCAGTAATCCTTGCTTTATTTCATCAAGAAGCCTCTGACCACTCTGGGGCTTGGCTTGCCTCATGAGTCATGGTGCCGGCAGGGAGTTCCTTTGTCTTGGTCATCTGGGGCAGCTTTCTGGTCCAAATCTTTTTTTTTTTTTTAGGCGGAGTTTCACTCTTATTGTCCAGGCTGGAGTGCAATGGCACGATCTTGGCTCACTGCAACCTCCGCCTCCTGGGTTCAAGCGGTTCTCCTGCCTCAGCCTCCCAAGTAGCTGGAATTACAGGCACCCACCTGGCTAATCTTTTGTATTTTTAGGAGAGATGGGGCTTCACTATGTTAGCCAGGCTAGTCTCGAGCTCCTGACCTCGTGATCCACCCACCTCTGCCTCCCAAAGTGCTCGGATTACAGGCGTGAGCCACTGTGCCCAGCCACTGGTCCAAATCTCTTAACCAGAAGAAGGGAGGAAAAGAGAAAGTGGGAAGGGAAAGCATGTGAGTTCATCCCTCCTGCCTGTGATTTTCTCACACTGCGTCCGTTCCTCCATTCATCATATGTCTTCAGAAGGCATGAACAAAAGGCTAGGAGAACAGTAGTATCAGGTCAGAATATTTCCCCACTTGTATCTGGTCTTGCAAGAAATAGCTGGTTTGCACAAAGGATTTAATTGAAGTGAGTTTAATAAATGGACTATTAACAGAGGTGCAACAGCCTTAAGGGAACTCGGCAAAGAGTGGTGAAGAACCAGGGACAAGCACAGCAGGAAGCCAATGCCACTCATAGACGCGTAGAAGCAAGTGGTGATGGTGTTACTGGACCCCTGTGAGAGCCACAGCTGTGGAGAAGGGAACACTTGAAAGTCCCGTGGCAAAGAGGAATGCAGCCACTGCAAAACCATGTCCCAACAAGGAGTCACAGTGGGATAAATAGGCTGACCTGGCTTCCTGCCTTCTAATCCCCAGTCAGCACCAGCCATCAGCCAAACCCAATTGGAAGCCAGAGGACAAGGAGAGTCAGATGACACAGTTGTAGGCGTCAGCCTCCCAGAGCACAAGCCAAGGCAAAGGGTGGAGAGTGGAGGGGAAAACAGAGAGGAACCAACACACAGTCAACAATCAGAAGTGAAAAATGTTCGGCTTATCCCACAAAGCAAACCACTGTGTGCAGCTTATTACGACTTTCTGTTAGCATACTGGACTTCTTTTTTTTTTTTTTTTTGGAGTCATGTGCGCCTTTATTAGCTGAGCCATTACTTGAGAGGGATGAAGCGGGAGGAGTGGGTGGCCCCGATGCCGGGCCGGCCGTGCTTTACGGGCTTGTAGGTGATGGAGAACTCGCCCAGGTAGTGGCCGATCATCTCGGGCTTGATCTCCACCTGGTTGAAGGTCTTGCCGTTGTAGACGCCCACCATGCTGCCCACCATCTCGGGTAGGATGATCATGTCCCGCAGGTGCGTCTTCACCACTTCCTGCTTCTCCATGGGCGGCGCCTCCTTCTTGGCCTTGCGCAGGCGCTTCAGCAGGGAGTGCTGCTTCCGCCGCAGGCCCCGGTTCAGCCGCCGCCGCTGGCGCGCACTGTACAGCTGCATCGGCTGCTCCAGCTGCTCGTAGGACATGTCCAGCAGCTGGTCCAGGTCCACGCCGCGGTAGGTGAACTTGCGGAAGGTCCGCTTCTTCTTCTGCTCTACTTCTGCCATCTTGCCGGATCCTCAGAAGAGCAGCATACTGGACTTCTGTATGCACCAGAAGAAATGCAACATTATTTTGTGGAAGTTCAAAAGACAGATGGCATCTAGGGCTCCCAGTGCCTCATCTCCTGATGGGTGGGATTTGGATTTTCTTTCCACAACCCTCACAACATGTCTTCTTACTCTACATTCTACATCTGTGTGAGGGACAAAAAATTCTGCATGAGCATGTTTCTAGCATCTAGGTGTTTTTTTTGTTTGTTTTTTTTTTTTTTTTTTTTTTTTTGAGACAGAGTCTCGCTCTGTCGCCCAGGCTGGAGTGCAGTGGCGTGATCTCGTCTCACTGCAAGCTCCGCCTCCCTGGTTCACGCCATTCTCCTGCCTCAGCCTCCCGAGTAGCTGGGACTACAGGTGCCTGCCACCACGTCTGGCCAATTTTTTGTATTTTTAGTAGAGACAGGGTTTCACCGTGTTAGCCAGGATGGTCTCGATCTCCTGACCTCAAGATCTGCCCGCCTTGGCCTCCCAAAGTGCTGGGATTACAGGCGTGAGCCACTGCGCCCGGCCAGCTTCTAGGTTTTTAGGAAGGCCATCTTCTTCAATGCTCTCCCCCACCTGCTACATCAGGAATCACCCAACAGCATTGCTGACAGGTTATTGAGTCTGATTAGGTACTTTGGTGACAAACTGCTTACAATCTCCAGAGGGAAACTTCTATCATTTAACAACTCTGTTTTAAAAAAGTTCACAGGCAGGGGTGGTGGCTCATGCCTATAATGCCAGCACTTTGGGCCGCCAAGGCAGGTGGATCTCCTGAGCTCAGGAGTTTGAGACCAGCCTGAGCAACATGATGAAACCCCCTTTCTACCAAACATACAAAAATTAGCCAGGCATGGTGACACACGCCTGTGGTCCCAGCTACTTGGGAGGCTGAGGCAGGAGGGTGAGTCCAGGAGGTGGAGGCTGCAGTGAGCCAAGATCATGCCACTGCACTCCAATCTGGGTGACAGAGTGGGACCCTGTCTCAAAAAGAAAAATAATTAATTAATTAATTAAAAGGTTAACAGTAAGCCACAACAATGTTTATTGAAAAATTTCCCCTTCTCAGTGACAGTTTTATTTAATATCAAAGTTAGGTTCTTAAAAGATAATTTAAAAGTTGAAATTCTCTCAGTTTTACATATAACTTCAAGATGATTCAACACCATTGGTACCATTTGGCCATGTTTTCATCCTCCCGAAATGTTTTGTTAAATGGGGTCTGGAATCCCAGAGATTCTCATCTGCTGCTGCTATGAAGCAAAATTAACTCAAGAGTGGAGTGAAGGTGTTAGGTCAATGGGGTGAAAACATTAATTGAGGACAAAGACTAGATACTTTTAGGGAGAGGGATAGGGATACAATGATGTCATTATAGAATTACAAGCTAAAGTTCGCAAAGGAAAAGAATCAGTGTAAGATGAAACAGGCAATGTTTGCAGCACTCAGGAACCAAAAAAAGGTCTGAAAAAATAAAACCGGAAGATTCAGGGATAGTTTCCTTTTATTCCTAGGGATCCGCTCTCACTCTTCTCTCTTCTGCTCTGTGCCCTAAGTTGACCTGGGATGGATACATGGACTGCCCTGTGGCTTCTGATTAGGTTCTGGTTAGCCCCTGGGACACCCTAGGCAGAAGATCAGAGGGGAGAAGAGTAAGGCTGGAATATTTATCTGCTTCCATCTTTCTCCCTATGAGGTCTCTGCAGGCTGGCTGCATCCCTGTACTCAAGGCCTCTATCGGACTTCCCCCTCCGCACAATTTTCTCTCTGGATTCCAGTAATTCTCTGCCCTTCAGACCTGGGGCACTGCCTAACCCTGAGGTTTCCTACACTGCCCACAACTTCATAAACAGTCTTGTTCATTATGAAATTACTCAATTCCAATATGCTGTTTGTTTTCTGCCAGGACCCTGATTAACACACTCAGTCTCATTAGCCTCCCAACACATGTTTATTGAGTAACTACCACATCCCAAGGAGGAATAAAATGATCAATTAGAGAATCAATGCCTTCAATAGGGCAGTCTGAGAGTGGAGACAGCCAGAGAAGCAGATCCTTATATTACATCCTGACAGGTGACACAAGGAGGCACTGGATGGGGAGGTCAGTGGGATATAAAAGTCTGGGCAGGGGCAGACTCAGGGAAGGTTTCTCAGTGGAGATGGGGGTCAGGGAAATTTAGAGGCAGTGGCGTGGGTAGGAAGTGGTCAGAAGCTGCCAGAGCAGTTTACAGCCAAGGACATCAGGGCCAGTCAGGTTGTGGTAAGAGACTGGCAGGGGGTGCTAGGCTGGACCAGATCAAAGAAAGCCTTGTGCTGGGGAAAGGTATCCTTCTCTTCCATTTGCTTACTCTCCCCACCAAGGGAAAAATAATGACACAGGTGAGGTCTACAGCCTTTTACTCTGAGCCCTTAATCCTGCCCTACTACCATGGCTTGCCACTCCTATTTCCTTAGCCTGCTTTGAAAATCATCCCCGTATACTTCCTGCACATTCTAAGGTCTTTCAAGACGGCAACAAGACAATATAGCAAAGTAGTCCTTGGAGATGAGCTACAGAAGAGGGCTAGAAGTGAACGTTCCCAAATGCATTCTGGAAGCCCTGGCAGTCAGAACCCTTTTTCTTATAATAGCATTAGATAATGCTGACATTGTTTTTGTCCAGTGGAGAAGGGTGAGGATAATGTTGGAAAGAGGGCAGGGAGCAAGCTTCACTTCATCAAGGAGGGGCTTTGGTTCAAATTGGTTTGGGTGGGCGGGCACTTTGAAAATCCATTTGTCACACTAAACGGCAAGTCCAGGTCCAGGAGGTTCCTGTCTTCCCTCTCTCAAGAGCAAACTGCAAGTAGTTTCATTGCAGGATAAGGCCAAGCCCACCGCTGCCCATGCTGTTTTTGTTTTGTTTCCAGACAGAGTCTAGCTGTCACCAGGCTGCAGTGCAGTGGTGCGATCATACCTCTCCTGAGCTCAAGTGATTCTCTTGCCTCCACCTCCCAAAGCCCTGGGATTACAGCTGTGAGACACCTCATGGGGACCCGGTTTACTGGGTTTTTTTTGTTTTTTGTTTTTTGTTTTTTTTTGAGACAGAGTCTCACTTTGTCACCCAAGCTGAAGTGCAGTGGTGCAACCTCAGCTCACTGCAGCCTCGACCTTCTGGGCTCAAGTGATCCTCCTTCCTCAGTCCCCCAAGTAGCTGGGGCTACAGGTGCATGCATTTGTATTTTCAGTAGAGACAGGGTTTCACCTTGTTGCCCAGGCTGTTCTCAAACTCCTGGACTCAAGTGATCTGCCCGCCTTAGCCTCCCAAAGTGCTAAGATTACAGGTGTGAGGCACTGCGCCTGGCCTTTACTGTTAACTTAAAACAAAAAATTATAAATTTGAAAAAAGAGGAGACTTTATTTCTTATAAAAGGTTATAGCCTGCAAGGAGGCCATTCCATAGGCTGATAAACATAGCCTCTGGCCTAAGACCAGAGACAGGCACTTGGAAGGCAGAGGGGTTGGGGTAGGAGCTTTATGCTGAACAGTTTGGCCAAACATACATACGTAACAGGTTACAGGAGGAGCTATGAATATTAATGGAGGTGGTCCTTACACATGCATATTGAACAAACATGCATGTAACATGTTCTCTTTGGGGTGGAGACTTAACATTTAATTGTATTACTTCAAATACATTTAAATGTATTACTTCAAACCTACACTTCAAAAGGTCTTTTCAGGACGTGAATGCATACAAGTGCACAATCCCTGTACACTGGCCAGAACCGGTCCATGGTCGGTCTTCTTATCATGAAAAAGTTCCTGAAATCAGCCCAGTGAAAGCTGTAGTTCTGGCTGGTGCAACAGGGGTTCAGCTGGTCAGCATCTGTGAACTGATTAAGTTGTAATTGTTTTAATATTGCTTATCTCAAGCCAGTGCTTGTTTAGCCTCTAGAGGAAAAGAAAACCTTTGTGGCAGTTAGACCATAGTTTATTTCTTAAGTGTAGGAGTGTGTGACTTAGGTCCTTTTTATAATTTGATGTCTTATTGCTACAAAGAGTCTGTTCTGTCCGCCTTATGATTTCTATTTTAAACATTAATGCTAGTCAGCTGTTGAGTCTAAATTCCAAAATGGAGGGGGTAGACTTCCCTTCCGGCTGTAGCTAGAAACTCAGCTTTAAGGTTTTTCTGGGGTCTGCTTGGCCAAGGAGGTCCATTCAGTCAGTGAGGGGCTTAGGATTTTATTTTTAGTTTACACCACCTTACAGGTTCCTCCTTAACACCCTTTGATGTCAGAGACAGCCAATTCTCCAGCACTGTGGCTAAGGAGGCTTCGTTAGTAGTTAAAAGCACACACATAACCCTACCCAACGGATCCCTCTCTTCTCTTAACCAAGAGGGCGCACCACTGCCCTACTCAACCTCCCCACAAATAAGGACGAGACACGGGAAGTGTTAAAAGCAAGTGGTGAGTATAAAATCCTCGGAATTTTCTCTTTGAGCAACTAACTAGGTCTGTTACTGAAGCCCTCTGCGAGCTTGGATGCTGGACGAGGGAGAGGGTGAGGCCACCAGGCAATGAGCGCCCTCGGCGGCCGCGTGATCCCGGGGGTGGGGCCCATTTCTGAGTTGGGGCCAGCTCCCCACCCCCAAGAGGCCCCACATTCCGGGCCAGCAGCCCAGAAAGTCCCTCCCCGCAGGCGGAGACAGCCCCAAGAAGTCGACGCCCCGGTCCCGCCGCCCGGCCACTACCCAGAGGGCTGCCGCCGCCTCTCCAAGTTCTTGTGGCCCCCGCGGTGCGGAGTATGGGGCGCTGATGGCCATGGAGGGCTACTGGCGCTTCCTGGCGCTGCTGGGGTCGGCACTGCTCGTCGGCTTCCTGTCGGTGATCTTCGCCCTCGTCTGGGTCCTCCACTACCGAGAGGGGCTTGGCTGGGATGGGAGCGCACTAGAGTTTAACTGGCACCCAGTGCTCATGGTCACCGGCTTCGTCTTCATCCAGGGCATCGGTACTGGCACCTCCTGGGGGGGTGCGGGGAGGAAAGCGGGGAGAACGGCGGGGGCAGAGGGTCCTCCGTGAAGCCCCTTCCAGCTGAGGAAGTGCTGGAGGATCGCGGGGCCCGGAGGAGTGCGGTGAGGAGCGCGCGGGAAGCCAAGTCGGCTGGGCGGGAGGGAGGCTGGCTGGCTCTGGGGCGGGACAGAGCTGCGGTTCAGGAGGATCGCCGCGAGCGCGGGGCCGGGGGTGCGCGGTGGAGACGCGCTGCTGGGGGCGGCGGAGCGGGGCCGGCCCCACTTGGTTAACTCTTTGCGGCGACTGGCTAGGACGCACTGGAGGGGCCTCCAAGACCCAGAAACTTGAGCCCGGGCGCGATGCCGGAGCGCCGCGCAGTCGGGCCGCTGCAGCCCACGCGCCCCGGAAAGTCGCCCCTGTGGACCGAGCCTGCGCGATCGGGGGCGCGGAAACACTTTCGCCTCAGCCTTTTGCTGAACTTGCTTCCAGGCTGCAGATGAGGAGGGGAAGGCAGCGGGGAAAAGATTGCCGGAGCGAGAATTTGCCCGTATTTGTAACATCCTCGGCCCTGGGTAAAGGGGCTGGCCAAGGGGGGCGAGTGAAGCATCCGCCCTGGGTTCCTCTCCTCCTAGAGTGTTAAACTCAGTCGAGTCCGGGAAGCTGCCAGGACTTCCAAGTGTGTTTCGCCGCCCTGCCCAGTCATTGGACGGTCTTGAGCCCGACTTGTTTATGTGGCAGAAGAGTGGCGAAAGTTCCCCCGCGGGGCTTCCTATTGGGCACTGGCCCAGCACTCCGGGTGGGAGATGCCCGGAGAGGGCCCGCGGCTGCCTGGCACCGAGGGATGCCTCTGCTCGGGATGCCCCCGGCGCAAGCTGCGTCCGTGTTTGGCCCGCGGCGAGCCAGCCCCGGGCCTGCATTCTCTGGGCTGAGGCTGGCGCGGGGGAGGGGCTCAGCAGTCGCTGGCAATGTTTGTTGTCATTGTGTAGTGCCTCTCAATGTCCTGACTGCTTCCTTCGGTTTGCCGTGTAGCTGGAGGAACCTCTAGCTTTTGGCGCAAACACCATTTATTTGTAACCACTTCCCCAAAGGCACGGCCTTCAGAAAGTAGTTAGAGAAAGGCAGCAAGGGGTGGAGTGGTGTTATGTCGCAGAAAATAATCGAGAGGAGTAGCAAGGGTTTGGAAAGATATGCCCACTGGCCGAAATCTCTAGCTTTGCCTGCGGGCAGGCTGCCTTTTCTTCACCAAATATTTAACTCCCCACAAACGAGTGTGCAAAAGAGTGCTGACCTCATTCCTAAAGAAAAGTGATTTTGGCTTTTGTTTTTGTTGGTTGTTTTAAACTTGTACTGCAGCTTTGGCAAGTGTGGCCAGCATTCTCCCACTCTGGAATGTAGTGGAAGGTGTTACTAACCCTCAGCATTCAAAGGCTTCCCTGGTGTGAGATCGGCATCAGGGTGTGAGATCGGCATCAGGGTGTGAGCACCACTGGGCACCTAAGGCATTTCGTTGCGTAACTCTCAGTTATTTTGCCACTATGCTTATAAGAAAAAAACATACTCAAGTTCCAAAGTAACTGTCAGAAGCACTCTTTCCTTCGTGGTGGAGCCCTTAAGTTTGGCCCCGAGCTGTCTACACCTTGTTTGCTCAAAGAGTAGAGCCAGTCTCCTCTTCTACCCAACTCTTCAGAGCAGCTTCTAATACCAAAAAGCTTTCTGGAGGTCTTGGAATATCTTCTCATAATTGAGGGTAAGGGAAACACAAGTGTTATTGCTCGTTGCCTGACTTGCCACAGAGGAGAAGACATCAGAATGGCTAATAGTGATTGCATGCTGTGTGTCCACTAAGTGCATTATGTCACATCACATGTATGTAAGAGTAAACTGAGGCAGAGAAGTTATGTAACTTACCCATGAAAGTTGTTTTAAGTCTTTTCAGTGACCTTATCGTCAAAGTTGGATTCTCTGCTTTTATGGCAATATGCTTATTTTCTGCCAAATCTTTTTAGACAGCGAAAACCTTCATCTAAAATATGTTTTGAAACTCTTCATTCATGTTAGAGTCCAATATACGGTTTTCTAAAAGGTTTTTAAATTTCTCTAAACTTTGTACTTCTCTTAATCTGTTCATACTTAACTCTTGGACAAAAATGTGTAAATTTTGGCAATTTTCATCTGCTGCTCTTACGAAAATCTTGTTTCTTTTTTTCTTTCTTTCAAGACGTAGTCTTGCTCTGTCGCCCAGGCTGGAGTGCAGTGGCGCAATCTTGGCTCACTGCAACCTCCACCTCCCAGGTTCAAGCAATTCTCCTGCCCCAGCCTCCCCAGTAGCTGGGATTACAGATGCCTACCACCACGCCCAGCTAATTTTTGTATTTTTAGTAGAGACGGGGTTTCACCATGTTGGCCAGGCTGGCCTCGAATTCCTGACCTCAAGTGATCCGCCTACCTCGGCCCCCCAGACTGCTGAGATTACAGACGTGAGCCACAGTACCCGGCCGATCTTGTTTTCTTTAGGTTCAATTACTGTATTTGTATCAATGGTCCAGAGTTTGTCCCGTCATTACTCATCCTGTTTCCTGTTTGGATCCTGGATGTGCAAATCACTTTAATCATAATGCATTTAATTGACATGAGCATAAATGTTTTCATACATGTAGGCACATGTATAGTTCTCCCCAGTTCTTCCATATCTTGGCCAACCCATCCACATTCCTCACCCTAAGTATTAGGAAGGCTCCAGTGGAAGGAGGGGGAGTAATAAATAAACTTTATAGGCTGCGAGGGACCCACATGTTACAGACTCGCCATGTTATAACAGACTTTTTTACCGTGTGTGATTGCTGCAAGGAGGAAAATTTTAGGCTATGAGATTTCAAATCTCTAACAAAGAACACGATGTATTGGAGTTCTTCTCTTCTGTAATACACAAATATTTGGAGATGAAGAAGAGAAGGCTAAAGTACAGTTATTACTCTAAGTATAAAATGCTTTAGAAATGCAATATACAAATAGTAAACAATATTTGAAACTAAGAACAAGTATGAGTCCTTTGAAACACCTTTAAGAAGTAGGCTCTGGGCCGGCACAGTCCAGCTACTTGGGAGGCTGAGGCAGGAGAATTGCTTGAACTCGGGAAACGGAGGTTGCGGTGAGTCGAGATCTTGCCATTGCACTTCAGCCTGGGCAACAAGAGCGAAACTCCCGTCTAAAAAAAAAAAAAAAAAAAAAAAAAGAAGTAGGCTCTGGCCGGGCACGGTGGCTTACGCCTATAATCCCAGCACTTTGGGAGGCTGAGGCGAGTGGATCCCCTGAGGTCAGGAGTTCGAGACCAGCCTGGCCAACATGGTGAAACACTGTCTCTACTAAAAATACGAAAATTAGCTGGGCGTGGTGGCAGGCACCTGTAATCCCAGGTACTCAGGAGTCTGAGACAGGAGAATTGCTTGAACCTGGGAGGTGGAGGTTGCAGTGAGCCAAGATTGTGCCACTGCACTGTAGCCTGGGCAACAGAGTGAGATTCTGTCTCGAAAAAAAAAGAGGGATAAACTCCAAAGAAGCAAAGCTAACATAGAAGTTACAAAACAAATCTCCCTCTCCTTCTTTATTCCCCTTTCCCTTTCTCGCTCACCCTCTCTCTCCTTGTCCCATTTTCTCCTCTGTGTCCCTCTCCCTTCCTTTCCCCCTCTCTCTCCCCTCCTTTCCCCCTCTCTCTCCCCACCTCCCATACTCCAAGTATATTTTGGAATATGTATATATTCTAAATTAAAGTATAACAGATCATGGGAAATCTAAAACTAAAATAAAATTTTAAACTAGTGGGAAATCTAGCTAACAGACTCTAACATGAATGAGGAAGGGTTTAGAAGAGGCTTTGTGCTTCTCTGAAAGAAATGTTTCCCATGAAATAAGTATACTACTAGGAAATCAGAGAAACGAACCTTGAAAAGAGGGCCACAGAAAAGACTGAAACAAATAAACGCTGTCAAAGTGGCTGTTGACCTTTTAAAAGGTTCAGCAAGGTGGAATGTGTTCTTTAGTGAAAGGTAGAAAATTCGGGTGTCTACATTTAGCGAAAAGAAGTCTTGGCAATTCTATATTCCTTCCTTTCCTGTGTAGAACTCCTTTTATTGTATAAACTGAAGGGAGAGAAATTAAATAGTCTAATGATCTCAAGTTGATTTCGTGAGATAATATAACTACCTTTAAGTAACATTTAAAAGACTAACAGAAATTAAGAGCAGTTCTTAAAAAACAGTTGGGATATCCTATTAATTTATCTAAAAGTGACCAAATTCCAAGATTACTTAAATAGACTTGAAAAGGCTCTTGGGGTAAAATCCAGCAAGTAAGATAACGGAGAAAGTGTCCCAAATACCTACTCTAAAAGAAGCTTCAGGGACACCATTGATAATAAATCCTATCAATATTAGCGATACAAGGGTTTTTACAAAGCGTAAAGAGATGATTTAAAGCAATTTTGTGACCAAAACCACAAAAAATATCCCCAACATATTTTTTGTTGTAAATAAATACACATAGATTTTTAAATAATGCAACCAATAAAAATGTTTTAGATATGACTGTGGTGCTCAGTGCTATATCCCCAGTACCTAGAATAACACTGAGAACTGGCACATGGTAGACGAGTAAGTGGTTGTTGAATGAATGAGTGATTATTTCTGTACCATCATTGAATTGTTAGTAACAAAATGCAGTTTACAGCCACTTACTTGTGACGATAACAATAGTGTCTAAAGTAAACACACCCTCGCTTTTCCCTAGTGATTCTCCTGTTCAGCCAGTTTAAAAGCACTGGCTTAGTCAACCTCCAGGAAGAATGGACATCATATTGCACTGGAAACGCATCTTTATTCTGAGGCCTCTAGCTGATGAGAATGTTGCTGCTTAAGTACAATCTGTACCTCCTCTTCCCTTCATCCCAGTTCTCCCTCCTTTTTCTGCATCATTAAGTTTCTCCCCCAACTGGCTTATTTCCAACATGTTATAATTTCTATCATCTTCGAAAACAAAACAAAGCAAAACAAAACAAAATCACTCTTGACCCTGTATATCCCTCAGCTACTGCCTCAGTTCTCTGCTTGCCTTACTATGAACTTTTGAAATTTTTGTCCATACCTGCAGTTTCTAGTTCCTTTCTTCCTGTTCTTTCTCGAGCCGGTTCCAATTAGGTTTTCATCTCCTGCTCCACCAAAATTGTGCTTAATATGGTAGCTAATGACTACCATGTCACTAATTCCATTGGTCAATTCTCAGTCCTAATAGTGTTTGAGTGGAAGGCAGCATTTGACATAATTGACCCCTCACTCCTCCTTGGGGCACTTTATTTTATTTTATTTTTTTTGAGATGGAGTTTTGCTCTTGTTGCCCAGGCTGGAGTGCAATGGTGTGATTTGAGCTCACCGCAAACTCTGCCTCCCGGGTTCAAGCGATTCTCCTGCCTCAGCCTCCAGAGTAGCTGGGATTACAGGTATGCACCACGATGCCCAGCTAATTTTGTATTTTTAGTAGAGATGGGGTTTCTCCACGTTGGTCAGGCTGGTCTTGAACTCCCGACCTCAGGTGATCTACCCGCCTCAGCCTCCCAAAGTGCTGGGATTAGAAGTGTGAGCCACCACGTCTGGCCGGGACACTTTCTTTACTTGGCTTCTCTTTCTTCACCTGGTAAGTTGGGTGGCTTCCAGGACACCTGATTCTCATGGCTCTTCTCTCTTTCCTGGCTGCCCCATCCTCAGTCTCCTTTGCTGGTTCTTCCTCATCTTCCTGATGACGGCAGGTTAGAGTGCTCAAGCCTCAGTCTTCTGACCACTTCTTTTTTTCTACACTCACTTCTTTGGTGGTCAATCTTATCCAGTCTCTTCTTCGCTTTAAGTACTATCTATACACTGAACCCTCTCAAATTTGTATATTCAGCCCAGACTCTTCCCTGAACTCCAAATCCAAATATCTGTTTGCCTACTCAAACTCTCTACTTGAATATCAGATAGGCATGTCCAAATCTCAGCTCTTGATCTTCCTCATGCCTGCAAAACCAACTCCTCCCATAGGTTCCACCATCTCAGTAAATGGCAACTTTATCCTTGTAGTCGTTCAGGACGAAATTATGCAGTCATCTGTGATTCTTCTCTTCCATACTTCTCAGCCATTTCACTAGAAAATCTTATAGACTCTGAATTCAAAATACAGTATTATCTAAATTCTGATCACTGACTATTAATTTATTGTCTGTCTTCTCCTACTAGAATATAAACTCCCAGAAGGAAGGGATTTTGTCTGTTTTCTTCAATGCTGTATCCATAGCATTACCCAACACATAATAAACATTCAATGAATATTTACTAAATTGATGGAAGTTTGGCCAGTTCTTTAAACCAGAGGGTCACACCAACAAGGATTGGAGTACAAAGTAAATAGGTGAAGTAGATTTAGTATACAGCACCCACCAGGGTGTCTTTCTGGATTCAACTAAACATTCAGACACGAGAAACTGCTGCCAGGGGCGGTGGCTCATGCCTGTAATCCCAGCACTTTGGGAGGCCAAGGCAGGTGGATCACCTGAGGTCGGGAGTTCGAGACCAGCCTGACCAACATGGAGAAACCCCATCTCTACTAAAAATACAAAATTAGCCGGGCAGGGTGGTGCATACCTGTAATCCCAGCTACCCAGGAGGCTGAGGCAGGAGAATCGCTTGAACCCAGGAGACAGAGGTTGCGGTGAGCTGAGATCATGCCATTGCACTCCAGCCTGGGCAACAAGAGTGAAACTCTGTCTCAAAAAAAAAAAAAAAAAAAAAAAAGACATGAGAGACTATTAAGACCATACTGAACACCAGTCTACTCAGAAGGATGTAGGACAGAAGTCAGAGCTTGCTGGCAGGACAGTGGCTGGGCAGTGGCAGTGGGCATCCTTGCAGCAGCAGTCATCATAGCCCTCAGTAAGCTATCCTTTCCTCAGGTAACAGCTCAGGCACCAGGAGATGAGATCTGCACTGGTGAGATCAGAGCTTAAAGTCCCCTTGCCCCATAGGAACCACTGTCTTTTGTAGTACTCTGTATACCTACTTCTATGATCCCTGCAAGGGATAGGTAGTGGGTTGAACAGTGCCCCCCAAAAAGGTATGTCTAAATCCTAATCCCAGGTATCCATGAATGTGACCTTACTTGGAAATAGGATCTTTGCAGATGTTAACTATGGATCTCAAGATGAGGTCACCCTGGATTTAGACTGGGCTCTAAATCCTATGATTGGTGCCCTTATAAGAGAAAGGAGAAGGAGATTTGAGACAAAGACACACAGAGAAGAAGGCTATGTGAAGACAGGCAGAGATTGGAGTGATGTGGCCACAAGCCAAGGAAAATGGAGAATTGTTGGCTCCCCTAGAGGCCGAAGAGGGTATGGCATGGCTTCTCCCTCAGGACCATCCTGCTATTATAACACCTTGATTTTTAATTTCTGGCCTCCAGAACTGAGAGATAATAAATATGTTGTTTTAAGTTACTAGATTTCTGGTAATTTGTTATGGTAGCTCTAGGGGATTAATATAGGCTATAACAGTTATCACTGCACTCTGGGAAGCCCAAAGTATTGGCATCGTCATCAGGTATTTACAGATTTTTCATTGTTTCTCTCAGTCCAGACACAGTTTACCAATTGGGTCAGTTTTTATTATAACCAGCGTTGCCTAATAACTGGTGACAAACCACTTATCTGTTTACTAAGGCAGTTAATTAAAGGTCAAATCCTCATGCAGCAGAGTATAGGTGTACACTTGTGTGAGAGGTGGGAACTGTAGGGAACTAGAGAGTGCTCACTCCTGGCAAAACAGGAAGCTTCCACTTAGCCCCAGTGGATCGTGGCTACGTGAGGATGCCAGTTCAAGGTTGCCAGGGCTTCTCATTCTCCCGAGAGAATCCAGGTTTTTAAAAAATTGGTTCAAACAAAAAGTAAACCAGCCACAAAAACAAAACCTCCAAAACATTGGGCTGATCAAACAAAACAACATCTTTGGACCAAATTCCAGTCCATAGCTTCCAGTTTACAGGTGACTCCTGCTAGGGTTTTCTGACTTGACTTTGCAAGGTTTTAAATTTTTCCCTTAAAAGGTAGAACATTCTTCCTTTTTAAGAAAGATAGAGGGCCAGGCACAGTGGCTCATGCCTGTAATCCCAGGACTTTGGGAAGCCAAGTAGGGAGACAAGCCTGGGCAACATGGTGAAACCCCATCTCTACAAAAAAAAATACAAAAATTAGCCAGGCGTGCTGGTGTGTGTTGGTAAGTCCCAGCTACTCAGGAGGCTGAGGCTGGAAGATCACTTGAGCCTGGGAGGTTGAGGCTGCAGTGAGCCATGACCATGCCACTGCACTCCAGCCTGGGGACAGAACAAGACCCTGTCTCAAAAAAAAAAAAAAAAAAGAAAGACTAGAAATCTTTGTTATAACTTTTTTCTTTATATAGAGACTTCCTTAAAAGGTCAAAACAAGCTTTGAAATGACTATACAGACTTTGGCTGTACTTTTCTAAGTTTTTGTTGTTGTTCATTCAATTTCTTCATATTATCCTATCCATTTAATTAACATATTTATTAAGTACTTACTGTGTACCAGACACTGTGTAAAACAAGTAAGATACAGCTCGGTCTGCAAGCTGTTCCCATTTAATTTGGTTGGACACGAGTTATGGTTTCTTTCTTTTTGCTTGTTTGTTTTGATACAGGGTCTTGCTCTGTCAGCCAGGCTGGAGTGTAGTGGCGAAATCATGACTCACTGCAGCCTCGACCTCCCGGGCCCAAGTGATTCTTCCACCCCTCTCAAAGTGCTGGGATTACAGTTGTGAACCACCGCACCGTCCCAGCTCAAATTATGATGGGGTTTTTTGTTGTTTTGTTTAGAAATGTAGGTTATATTGATCCTTAAATATTTAGAGCTGGCTGGGACCTTAAGTTCTACCCTTCATTTTAGAGACCAAATGTCTGGCCAGGGTCAGACAACCAGGTAGTATCAAAGCCAGTACTCTTTCTAACCTGTCATAATATTGATATGAGGCACAAGAAAATATAGCTGATCTTTCTGAAAACACACAATTTCTGAATATTTTTAAATGTGTAGTCAATTAATTGAATTTTTTTCTTTTTCTACATGTATTTGGTACCAAGTAGCTGCCTTTGCGAGGATTTTAATCACTCAGAGATGTTTCTAGGGCTAAAAATATCTTCCAAATCATCTGAATCACTTCCTTCATTTTGACTTTCCAGAGATTTTCAGTTTCATGACATTCGTGCTGTGAGACAGTTTGAATGCACAGACATGTTTCAAAGCTCTGATTCTCTTTGACAGCCACTGCAGGAATCTTTTCAAGAAGTTTATTTAAAGAAGATTCTCTGCTTTTTCATTTAAACTTAAGGTCCTTTGGATAGAATCTGGTAAGCTCTTGCGTGCAGAGGGAAATGAGTTGTGGAGACTGATAATCCTGTTCTGAGCATTCTGCCAAGGAGAGTGAAATAATACTTTATTCAAAGAGGGAAGGGAAGTGTAATGAGCACACCATGTTTAAGTAGAATTCATAAGTGTTTTAAAATTCCAGTGTACTTCAAACTCAATAACTTACTCTTATTTTATTTTTGAATTCACTTCAAGTTGTTAAGTGGGTCCAAGTGCAGAATGCTTTTTACTTATTTGAAAGGGCCATTTGGTCTTCTATTAGCTAATACTTGCATCAGCAGTACAATTTTTCTTGAGTTTTTTGATTTGTGCATTTTATGGGCCTGGCATGGTGGCTTATGCCTGTAATTCTAGCACTTTGGGAGGCTGAGGCAGGAGAATCACTTGAGCCCAGGAGCTGGAGACCAGCCTGAACATCACGGCAAAACCCTGTCTCTACAAAAAAATACAAAAATTAGCCGGGCATGGTGGTGTGCACCTGTAATCCCAGCTATTTGGGAGGCTGAGGCAGGAGAATATCTTGAGCCCAGGAAGCAGAGGTTGCAGTGAGCCAAGATCATGCCACTGCACTCCAGCTTGGGCGACATAGTGAGACTCTGTCTCAAAAAAAAAGAAGACTAAAAAATAAGTATGTGAGGTGATGGATATGTTAATTAGCTTGATTTAACCATTTCACGATGTGTGTGTGTGTGTGTGTGTGTGTGTGTGTGTGTGTATGGAAACATGTTGTATAGCACAAATATATGCAATTTTTAATTGTCAAGTCTCTAAATTAAAAAAATAAATTTTAAAAAAAGTAAAAGAGGATTTGCTCATTTGCTGGCAATACTGAATGAACTACTGTGCTTTATTAGCAATTATTCCTGTGCTTTATTTAGAATTATTTGGGCCGGGCATGGTGGCTCACGCCTGTAATCCCAGCACTTTGGGAGGCCAAGGTGGGCAGATCACTTGAGGTCAGGAGTTCGAGACGAGCCTGGCCAACATGGTGATACTCTATCTCTACTAAAAATACAAAAATTAGCCGGGCATGGTAGTGCTGGTCTGTAATCCCAGCTACTCTGGAGGCTGAGGCATGAGAATTGCTTGAACCCGGGAATCCGAGGTTGCAGTGAGCCGAGATCCCGCCACTGCACTCTAGCCTGGGTGCAAAGAGAGAGACTCTGTCTCAGAAAACAAAAACAAAAACATACTTACTGAATTCCTACTATATGCCAAGCTCTATGCTAAATACTGGGATGTGACAGTGAACAAGATAGACATGTTCCCGCCTTCATGAATCACAAGATTTAAACACAGAAGAACTAGAGTCAAAATGTTTTCCATGTTTGGGGACATTTCTCTCCCTCTAAGCACTCTTCCCCTACCACACACACTTTGACAGATTCTAAATTTGCATTGCCTGCTCTAAGACAAACTTGTGTATATAAATAGTTTTGTAATGGTATATGGATGGAAAGCTGGTGTCAAACCAGAGATTACATTTTAGAGAGTATACATTTTCACATATTCCCAAGTTTTGGTTATGCAACAAGGAGCTGAGACATTTTCTTTTCTTTTCTTTCTTTCTTTCTTTTTTTTTTTTTTTTTGAGACAGAAACTCCAGCTCTGTTGCCCAGGTTGGAGTGCAGTGGCTCACTGGGACTACAGGTGTGAGCCACCATGCCCGGCTAATTTTTCTATTTTTTTATAGAGACAGGGTTTCACCACATTGGCCAGGATGGTCTTGAAATCCCGACCTTAAGAGATCCGCCTGTCTTGGCCTCCCAAAGTTCTGGGATTACAGGCGTGAGCCACCACACCCAGCCGACATTTTCTAATAATTAAACCCAAATTCAAGTTACTGTATTTTTCTCTTCATTGTCTTAAGATAATTATACACAGGTATTCACTTCTTCCTCCCTCCCTTTCTTTCTTTTTAAGTTTGTCATGCTAGCATGTTCCACCATCAATATCTTTTCTTTTAAAGGATTTAAAGTGTATTTCTCATCTATAATGTTTGTATTTCCCCTCATTTTCTGGGAGAAATGGAATGCCAACTACAGCCTCTAACAGCAAAGCCTTGTTTCCGTCACAAGTAGCTGTTTTATACCATTTCCCCTTCTTGTGGGCTTAGGGGACCTTTTTCTTCCTTCTCATTGAACCTCAGGAATGGTGTCTAGGTAAGTGCCAAGCCAAAGAAGCAAGAAATATTTAAATTCCGCTCTCCAGGCAGTTTTTATAACTGTTGAGAATAGATTCTTGTTTAGGAAATATGGCTTGGTTTGTTAAGATTGCCCTTTTCTCCCAAAGTCCACCATATTTCAGTTACTTATACATTTTAAAAAGCATGTAAACAGCTTATGCAAATGCAACATTTTGCATTTATCCTTCATTTATCCAGAGAGCATTTTGAAGCATATTGAGCTTTGCAGCAGAGCCTCTATGTAGCCAGGATAGATGCTGTGAAAACTCCATGTGCTAGAGGTCACCTGCCTCACTTCTGTGAGAGCCCCTCAAATCTCTGCGAGCCACCTATTGAGTAGGTAAGACTAATTGGCTAGTGGGTTTGCAGGCTTATGGAAATATTGTTTTAACTTTAAAACTGGAATGAGCTCTTTCAACCATAAGAAAAAACATAATAGATCCCTAAGTACCCACGACCCAGATTTAACAGATGTTAAGATTTTCAGCAACATAAAATTTTATAAGCTGTTAGCTGGGTGTAGTGGCACACACCTGTAATCCCAGTTACAGTGGAGGCTGAGATGGGAGGATGGCTTGAGCCCAGGAGGCAGAAGTTGCAGTGAGCCAAGATTGCGCCACTACACTCCAGCCTGGGTGACAGAGTGAGACCCTGTCTCAAAATAGATGAATGAATAAATAAAAATAAGACATTTTATAAGCTAAAACTTAGAGCTGGTGGGAACCAAGGATGAGACAAAGTGATGGAGGAGAGAGGTTGGAAGTAGGTGCCCTAACTCAAGCCAGAAACAAAACGAGATAGAAAAACTCTGAGAGAGACCCAGGGACTCTCAAACCATAATTGTATGGGCTCATTTGGATCAGAGGTGAGCACCTCTCCTGCTTCAGAAACCCCTAAGGGCTTCCCTTTAGAGTAACAGGATAATAATTGGTGTTTGATTGATGACCCCAAATGATCAATAAAAGACTGAATATATTCTATTCATTCTACTGCTGGACAGGGAAAGCTAGCGTGCAGCCAATTTGCGTAAATGTAAAAGGTTTTTAAAAATCAAGTTTTGACACTCAGAGGGGGCAAAGTTCAGTTTTACAGCAAATTTGACACATTTCTCTGTGATGCTTCATAGCATTAGAAAGAGTAAGAAGTCTTCACTGGGAACACGGTTGTCTTTGAATTTTTGGCTTTATTTATTTATTTTTGAGACAGAAAAGAGTAAGAAGTCTTCACTGGGAACACGGTTGTCTTTGAATTTTTGGCTTTATTTATTTATTTTTGAGACAGAGTCTTGCTCTGTTGTCCAGGCTGGAGTGCAGTGGCTCGATCTCAGCTCACTACAACCTCCACCTCCTGGGCTCAAGCAATCCTCCTGCCTCAGCCTGCTGAGTAGCTGGGACTATAGGCACACACTGCCAGGTGTGGTTTATTTTTGTATTTCTTTGTAGAGATGAGGTTTCACTGGGTTGCCCAAGCTGGTCTTGAACTCCTGGGCTCAAGCAGTCTACCCACTTTGACTTCCCAAAGTGCTGGGATTACAAGCATGAGCCGCTGTGCCTGGCCCCCACACTTTCTAAAAGTAAACTTTTTACTGAAGAACAACATACATGCATAAAAGTACCTAAATCGGAAGGGATGTGTGTTTATCACATGCACACATCCGGGTACCCAGAACAAGAAGCAATATTCTGTGCACATCAGAACCCCCCCAGCAACCCTTGTAACTCCTTTGAGTCATGATATCATGATAGTTACTCTTTTTTTTTTTTTTTTTTTGAGACAGTGTCTTGCTGTGTCACCCAGGCAGGGTGGAGTGCAATGGTGCGATCTCAGCTTACCTCAACCTCTGCCTCTCGGGTTCAAGCGATTCTCTTGCCTCGGTCTCCCCAAGTAGCTGGGATTATAAGCACATGCTACCATGCCCAGCTAATTTTTTGGGTTTTTTTGAGACAGAGTCTGGTTCTGTTGCCCAGGCTGGAGTGCAGTGGTATTATCTCTGCTCGCTGCAACCTCCGCCTCCCGGGTTCAAGCGATCCTCCTGCCTCAAGCCTCCCAAGCAGCTGGGATTACAGACATGCACCACCATGCCCAGCTGATTTTTGTGTTTTTAGTGGAGACGGGGTTTCACCATGTTGGCCAGGCTGGTCTCAAACTCCTGACTTCAAGTGACCCACCCGCCTTGGCCTCCCAAAGTGCTGGGATTACAGGCATGAGCCACCACGCCCAGCCTGTATTTTTAGCAGAGACAGAGTTTCACCATGTTGGCCATGCTAGTCTTGAACTCCTGACCTCAAATGATCTGCCTGCCTCAGCCTCCCAAAGTGCTGGGATTACAAGTGTGAGCTACTGCGCCCAGCCTACTCTTGACTTTTAATATCAGAGATGAGTTTTTATTTTGGGAATTTTTGATATAATATGATCCAGATTGGGGAGAAAATGCTACTGTGGTTCATTGTTCATAATTTGCTTTTCGAGTGTTGAAATCCTGAGTATTTTTTTTTTCTGTATGTAGATGTTCAAGTTCACTCATCTAAGACTCCTTACCCGGAGTGGTGTTTGCATAATGTGATGGTGATGATGATAACAAAAAAACAACAATATTAATTTTAAACCATGAATTGAGGAGGGACAAACTACTTAACCTCTCTGCCTCAGCTTCCTCTGTACAATAGTAATAATAATTCTATCTTCACAGAGTTGAGGTGAGAATTATAATGAAACTGTGAAGCACTTAGATGGTACCTACTACCTAGCAAGGACTCAATTGTGTGTGTGTGTTTGTGTGTCTGTGTATGTGTGCGTGTGTGTGTAATAAATGAGCCCAACACAGGCAAGGGGGAGATGTGTTATTAGGTCTTCATATATCGCACATTTTTATTTTACTATTGCGTGATCACACACAGATTGCAGAAGGCTCCACTTTGTAGATAAAAGTTCACTAGGTCATTGGGTAAAGAGGCATTTGCTTTCCCAGGAAACTAAAGAATTATGTAGGGTCTGCTTAGAGGAGAAAAAGCATGAGGAGGGGAAACCACAGTGTTTGAGTTGACATCAATTTAGTTTCCAGATTTGATCAGTCTGTAGAAAGTGCTTTGTGTTTGTTTATTTAAACAATACTTATGGGTCACACATACACACAAGTAACCTAGTGAAATCTGAATAAGGGATGGAGGAGGAGGGAGAGAAAAAAATAAAAAATAAGTAAATTTTAAAAAAACCTGAATAAGGTCAGAGGATTGTATCAATGTCAATTTCCTGGTTGTGCTATGGTACCATAGTTATATAAGGTGTTAGAGAAAACTGGGTGAAGAGTATATGAGATTTCTCTGTACTGTTTCTTACAACTGCTTGTGAATCTATGATAATCTCAAAATAGTTTAAAAAATAAGTTCTAGTGTTCTATATAGCACTGTAGGACGACTAGAGTTAACAATAATATGCTATATGCTTTCAAGTAGCTAAAAGAGAGGATATTGAATGTTTTCAACAAAAAGAAAAGAGTTTGAGGTGATAAATATGCTAATTACCTTGATCTGATCACTATACATTGTATGTTTTGAAACATTACTATGTACCGCATAAATATGTACAATTATTATATGTCAAGTTAAAATTTTAGGCCAGGCACAGTGGCTCACACCTGTAATCCCAGCACTTTGGGAGGCCAGGGTGGGCGGATCACCTGAGGTCAGGAGTTCAAGATCAGCCTGGTCAACATGGCAAAACTCCGTCTCTACTAAAAATACAAAAATTAGCTGGGCGCGTATTCCCAGCTACTCAGGAGGCTGAGGCAGGAGAATCTCTTGAACCCAGGAAGTCGAGGTTGCAGTGAGCTGAGATCGCACCATTGCACTCCATCCTGGGCAACCAAGAATGAAACTCCATCTCAAAAAGAAAAATACAGAGATTTAAAAAATACTTATGGAGGAGCTACATGCTTTGAGTCCAGGGCTGCCTTAGGCTCTGGGGATACAGTGGAGAACCAGCAAGACACATTAACGCCCTCAGAGAAGATGAAGTAGGGGTGAGAGGGGGCCTTGAGTTTGCTTTAAAAGTGTACTTTTTAAGGTATTGCATTAAATCATTTGAAAAGATTCCTTGAATATAGAAATGATTATCCAAAAAGTCTCCACGTTCTCAAGGAAGTATAACCAATCGACATTCATAGGATACCCATATACACACTAAATTTAGTAAGTAGCAGTCCTTCAGGGTTGGGATTAAGTAAAAGAAATATTGTCCTAATGGTGAGGACTGTTAAGTGTTAGAATGGAACCAAAGAATAGGAAAAATGACATCCTGTGCTGAAAGCTTTAAAGAGGCTGAATTCACATCGGTCTTTGTAGGTTTAGATGTGTTTCTGTCTGAAAAAGGAATAGATAATCCCTTATATTTTTATAATCCTATGAAGTTCTTGGGTGTTTGTTTGTTTGTTTTTTGAGACAGAGTCTCATTCTGTTGCCCAGGCTGGAGTGCAATGGTGCGGTCTTGGTTTACTGCAACCTCCGCCTCCCGAGTTCAAGCGATTCTCCTGCCTCAGCCTCCCAAGTAGCTGGGATTACAGGTGCCTACCACCACGCCCGGCTAATTTCTGTATCTTTAGTAGAGACTGGGCTTCATTATGTTGGCCAGGCTTGTCTCGAACTCCTGACCTCAGGTGATCCACCTGCCTTGGCCTCCCAAAGTGCTGAAATTACAGCACCGAGTGGCTCACTGAGCGCAGTGAGCCACTGCGCCTGGCCTGAAGTTTTATATATTAAAATTATAAAAGCCTTTGGTGAAGTGAGGCTCCTTTTTATTTTCTGGAATTAAGAAATGTACATGAGGCCAGGCACTGTAGTTCATGCCTGTAATCCCAGCACTTTGGGATGCTGAGGCGGGTGGTGCACTTGAGCCCAGGAGTTCAAGACCAGCCTGGGCAACATGATGGAATCCCATCTCTGCTAAAAATAGAAAAAATAGCAGCGTGTGGTGGTGCATGCCTGCAGCCCCAGCTACTCAGGAGACTGAGGTGGGAGGATCACCTGGTCCCAGGAGGTCAAGGCTGCAGTGAGCTGTGATCGCAACACTACATTCCAGCCTGGGTGACAGAGAAAGAAAAGAAAAGAAATATACGTGATACCCTGCTGATATAGTGGAATCCATCGTCTGAGGAAGTATTCTATAAACTTTTTCAATCTGCCACACATTTCCAGATATCTAAATTTTCCCTGACACAGACTGGAGGGATGGATAGGGGCAGGATTTTATCTTCAGAACAAAAATTAACTGAATGTTGGTTAAGGTGGCCATATAATTTATTGCTTAAACCAGGACACTTAAGACAACCCTTTGTAAAAAAACTTTTGTTTTCTTTTTTTTTTTTTCCCCGAGACGGAGTCTTGCTCTGTCACCCAGGCTGGAGTGCAGTGGCATGATCTCAGCTCACTGCAACCTCTGCCTCCCAGGTTCAAGCGATTCTCCTGCCTCAGCCTCCCAAATAGCTGAGATTACAGGTATGCACCACAATGCCTGGCTAATTTTTTTGTATTTTTAGTAGAGACAGGGTTTCACCATGTTGGTCAGGCTGGTCTTGAACTCCTGACCTCAAGTGATCTGCCCACCTCGGCCTCCCAAAGTGTTGGGATTACAGGCGTGAGCCACCGCGCCAGGCCATAAAAAACTTAATTGGAGTTTGTTCTACATGCAGAATGATGAATCTTCTGTCTATGACACCTGTGAAACCAGCACCTAGATTGAGAAACAGAATGTTAGTAGGAGTCTTCAAAATCCCTTGTGTGTTCCATTGTAATTGCTGTATCCTTCCCCACGAAGGCAACTACTATCCTGACTTTTCCAATGCAGAGATGAGTTTTGCTGGTTTCTATACTTCATATAAATTGAATTACACTATATACTTGTTAACGTCTGGCTTCTTGAGATTGACATTATAGGTTGATCCATATTACTGGGTCTAGTTCTAGTTGTAGATCGTTTCTTTCCATGGTGTAAATTTATTTATTCATTCTATTGATGATGGGCATTTGGGGGAGTTTCCAGGTTTTGGTTACTATAAATAGTACTGCTAATAATATTCTAGTATCTTTTGATGATCATATAAATATTTCTTTTTGGCATATACCCGAGAGTGAAATTGCTGGACAATAAGGTATGCATAACTTTACCTTAAGTAGATACTGCCAGTTTTCCAAAGTTTTGTTCTCATTAAAGCACTCATCAGCAGAACATTAGAGTTCTGACTGCTGTATATTCATTTTGATACTTGGTGTTTTCCAGGTTTAGCCATTCAGATATGTGGTAGAGGTATTCTCATTCGGCTTAAATTTGTATTTCTCTATTGCATGGTTTAAATTTGCATGTTTTTCTGTTCCTTTCTTTTTCTTATCAAACTAAGACTTTTTTTTTTTTTTTTGTCTTCCTCTGTTGCCCAGGCTGGAGTGCAGTGGCGCAATCTCGGCTCACTGCAACCTCTGCCTCCCGGGTTCAAGCGATTCTCGTGCCTCAGCCTCCAGAATAGCTGGGATTACATGTGCATGCCACCCCATGCCTGGCTAATTTTTGTATTTTTAGTAGAGATGGGGTTTCACCATGTTGGCCAGGCTGGTCTTGAACTGCTGACCTCAAGTGATACCCCGCCTCAGCCTCTCAAAGTGCTGGGATTACAGGCATGAGCCACTGGGCCCGGCCAAACTGAGACATTTTTAAGAAGAAAGGAGACAACAGGCATAAATCAGATTGTTAAGATTAGGAATTTGGTTTTGGATAAGTTTGAGATGTCTGGGAAGCAAACGCCGTACGGAAATACCAAGAAGACATTGGATTATGCAGATCTGAAGCTTAGAAGACAGTTCTGGGCTGGAGATATAAATTTTTTGGAGTCCCTGCCATGGAGACAGCATTTCAGTGAAAGAGTGAATGAGATCACCCACAAGAGGGAGTGCAGAGGGAGAAAAAGCCCTAGGACCGAGCCTGAGAGGCACCAAGGTTCATTCACAAGTTGGGAGTGAAGAAAATGCCAGCAAAGGAACTCCTCCACCGTCCCCTAGAGGGAGCCACTGAGAGGCAGGGGTAACATGGGGAAGAGGGGAGAAGCAAAAGCCAAGGGAAAAAGGTTTCAAAAAGGGAGTGTCCAGTGTGTCAAACTGTTCATTTTGTGTTGTTTAAAAAACAAAACAAAACACATTCTGTGTCCTTTCGTCTTTCCCTAGCCATCATCGTCTACAGACTGCCGTGGACCTGGAAATGCAGCAAGCTCCTGATGAAATCCATCCATGCAGGGTTAAATGCAGTTGCTGCCATTCTTGCAATTATCTCTGTGGTGGCCGTGTTTGAGAACCACAATGTTAACAATATAGCCAATATGTACAGTCTGCACAGCTGGGTTGGACTGATAGCTGTCATATGCTATTTGTTACAGGTCAGTATTTCAGTGTATTTACAAGCAAGTTATAAAAACAATTCAGAGACTGTAAATGTTTTCTTTTCTTTTTTTTTTTTTTTTTTTTTGAGACAGAGTCTCGCTTAGCCACCCAGGCTGGAGTGCAGTGCTGCGATCTTGGCTCACTGCAACCACTGTCTCCAGGGTTCAAGTGATTCTCCTGTTTCAGCCTCCCAAGTAGCTGGGATTACAGGTACCCACCATCGTGCCAGGCTAATTTTTGTATTTTAGTAGAGATGGGGTTTCACCATGTTGGCCAGGCTAGTCTTGAACTCCTGACCTCAGGTGATCCGCCTGCCTCAGCCTCCCAAAGTGCTAGGATTACAGGTGTGAGCCACCGCGCCCAGTGACTGTAAATGTTTTCTAAACATTCTTTACATTTGTTTCTATTATAACTATTTTCCCCTCAGAGAGCACCAGAATTGCAGAATTCACAGAACAAAATAATAAGAAATAAAGATTTCTTATACTGGATATGACTTTTAATCTGGATTCTCTAAAAACCAACTTATACTCTGCTCTATATCTTAATATGTAAAATTAAGAAATATCAGGCTGGGCATGCTGGCTCATGCCTATAATTCCAGCATTTTCGAAGGCCGAGGTGGGAGGATCATTTGAGCTCCGAAGTTCAAGACCAGACTGGGCAACATAGGGAGACTGTCTCTACAAATAAAGGAAAGACAGAGAGAGAGATCGAGAGAGAGAGAAATCAAGAGAGAGACTGATCTAACAATTAGCAATAAAGAGAATACCTATTTAAAAATCTGTGGGTCCTGGCTGGGCATAGTGCACTGCTCACTCCTGTGATCCCAGCACTTTGAAAAGCTGAGACCAGTGGATCGCTTAAGCCCAGACGTTTGAGATCAGCTTGGGCAACATGGCGGAACCTCATCTCTAAAACAAAAACACAAAAATTAGCTGGGCAGGGTGGTGCACACCTGTTGTCCTGGCTACTTGGGATGATGAGGTGCACAGCTCCCTTGAGACCAGGAGGCAGAGGTTACAGTAAGCTGAGATTATACCATTGCACTCCAGCCTGGGCAACAGAGCCAGACCCTGATCTCAAAAAAATAAATAAATAAAAATCTTTGGGGTTTAATTAAAATGGTTCCCAGAGGAATATAGGCTTAAATGCTTTTATTATATTTTTTGGAAAGAAAACTTAAAATACATAAGCTATTTACTTAGGTAACTATAAGGGAACAGCAAAATATACCAGGAAAAGTAAATCAATAAAGGTAAAAAAAAATCCATAAATAATTCATTTTCTATTGTGGTAACCAATTACCACAGACTTAATGGCCTGAAACAACATAAATTTATGACCTCACAGTACCTGTACATCAGAAGTCCAGATTGGCTTGTCTGGTTTCTCTGCTCTGGGTCTAACAAGGCCAGTATCAAGGTGTCAGCCTTCCAGGGCTCTGATTGGGAGACTAGGGTAGAATCAGCTTAAAGCAAATTCAGCTTGATGGCAGAGTCCAGGTCCTTGTATGTGCAGGACTGAGGTCCCTGTTCCCTTGCTGGCCATCAGCTGGGGCTGCCCTGAACCTTGGAGTCCTCTCTTCCTTGTACCCGGCTCCCTTCATCTCCCTACCAGCAATGGACATCCAGTCCATCTCGCTGGCTTGGAAACTCTCTGACTTCTCCTTCTCCTTCCTCCTCATCTCTTCTCCTCAACCAGATAAAGTTCTTACCTACCCCAACCCCTAGAGGTTACCATTCTCCCGGTGTTTATTCTCATTCTCTGCTTTTTAAAATACTTTAATCACATACTGTGAATCAATATATTGATTAAACAAGATGTTTAATTAAATAATATTGATTAATTAAACAAGATGTTTAAATATTGATTAATTAAATCATATATTGTTTAATTTTGCTTTTTAAATGAAACTTTTTTTAAAAAATGGTCTCATATATATTCTATTGCAACTTTTTTTTAACTCTACTGATTAAACTGTATTGATTCCTCTGGCTATAGTTCATTCATTTTTACTTTTGTATTCCACTGTATAAATATGCCACAAATTTACTTACCTGTTCTCTTGCTATTTTCAGTTAGAAACTATGCTGCATTGAATATTCATATATACATCTCCTGGTCCTCACATCTAAAGGTTTCTCTGGGCATATACATAGTAGTGAAATTACAAGCTCAACCTAAAAAGATAATGCTAAATTGTTTTCCCAAGTGATTGACCCAGATTATATTCCTGCCAGAAGTTTATGAGTTCCCATATCCTTACCAGCTTGCACCCTCTTTAAACTTTAAATCCTTGCTAAACTAGTTGGTACTTAATGATGTATTCTTGTAGTTTTAATGTTCATTTCACTTGTGTTTTATCTTCTAAGACACACCTGTTTGTGTCTTTTGTCTATTTAAAAAATGTTTCTCTTTTTCTTAAAGATTTATAGGAATTCTATATCGAATTCTTTTTCATTTATATATATTGCTATATCTTCTCCTAGTTTGAAGCTTGCATTTTCTCTGTTGTTAACATCTTTTGATAAACAGAAATTGTCAATTTTAATGTAACCAAATTAATCATCTTTTCCTCTGAGACTATCATTCTTTGTTTTGTTTTCTTTTGGTGACTTGTTTATGAAATTCTTCTCTACCCTGAGGTCAAAATATCATCTTATGCTTTCTACTAAGAGCATTAAAATTTTGTCTTTTACTTTTCTACTCTAGTACACAGAAAAAACAAACCAAAAAAACCCCAACAATATGAAAAATAGTTTTGTCTTTGATATTTAAGTACTTACTTCATCTGGAATTAATTTTAATGTGTGAGGTGATGTGATTCAACTTCATTTTTTTCCAGATGGGTAAACTATCTTCCCATCACCATTTATTGAATCATCTCTGCTCCTACTATTTATGTACAAAGCCAATTGCATCCTATAGAGTATCTTATCCTCTGTATCCTAGCCAGTGCAGTACAGAATTCAAGTGTGTAGAAGTACTGAAGTATGTAGAAGTGTATAGAAGCCATAAGAAGTAGAGAAGTAGAGAGAAAAATCTTTGACTTTTGGGGCCAGGCACAGTGGCTCATACCCATAATTCCAGCACTTTGGGATGCCTAGGTGGGAGGATTGCTTGAGCTCAGGAGTTCCAGACCAGCCTGGGAAACATGGCAAAACCCCGTCTGTACAAAAGATATAAAAATAAGCCAGCTCTGGTGGTGCACACCTGTGGTCCCAGCTACTCAGAAGGCTGAGATAGGAGGATTGCTTAAGCCTGGGAGGTCAAGGCTGCAGTGAGCTGAGATCCCACCACTGAACTCCAGCCTGGGTGACACAGCAAGACCCTGTCTCAAAAAAAAAAAAAAAAAAAGAATCTTTGACTATTTTTTATTTTAAAGAGAATGCCTGCCAAAGGCTAAAAAAGAATTAATAAATAAAAAGAATGCTTCTAATATTTTACCATTGAGTACAGATGCGTCACATTTCCTCCTACCCCTGTTTGTGCAAAGGTTTTGTTTTTCTTCTTAAATCATAAATGGATGTGGAATTTTATTGAATGCTTTTGCTATCTCTGCTGAGATGAATATACCTTTTTTGTTTTTTTTTTTTGAGATGGAGTCTTGCTCTATCACCCAGGCTGGAGTGCAGTGCTGCCACCTTGGCTCACTGCAACACCTGCCTCCTAGGCTCAAGCAATTCTCCTGCCTCAGCCTCCCGAGTAGCTGGGATTACAGGCTCGTGCCACAACATGTGGCTAATTTTTTTTTTTTTTTTTTTTTTTAGTAGAGACGGGGTTTCACCATGTTGGTCAGGCTGGTCTCGAACTCCTGACCTCAAATGATCCACCCGCCTCGGCCTCCCAAAGTGCTGGGATTACAGGTGTGAACCATCACGTCCGGCCAATGTTTATTTATTTTTTAATTGATGTATAATAATCATAACATATTTTTGTGGTACATATGATATTTTGATAAAAGTATACAATGGGTAATGAACAAATCAGGGTAATTGGGATACCCATTATTTCATTTATCTTTACTTTGTGTTGGGAGCATTCCAGTTCTTCTCTTCTAGGTATTTTGAAATATACAATAAATTATTACTAACGGTAAACACCCTACCTTAAGTTTTCTTCTTTAACATCTTAATGTAGTCAATTATATAAATATATTCTATTTTTAAACTTGGGTGAGTTAAAAACATATTTGTCTCAAAATTCTCTTTTGCTGTCTGAAATATCCAGATTCATATCTCGCGTTGTTGTCTTTGTGCTAACCGAGCTTCTCAGAAATATTATTTCACAACTTCATGGCTTTGCTTAGTGGGAGGAATTTTGGCACCTGGCTTCTTCCTTGCTCAGATCCAGAGGACAGGTAGTGTTTAAGAAAACAGGATTTGCAATTAGGAAGACCTCAGTTTGGATTAGGTTCATCCATTTGATAGTTGGTGACCGTGGACCAAGTTACTTCTCTGAATTTCTTTTGCACAGCTATAAATCAAGGATTATAATCCTTCACAAAATCATAAGAATCAAAGCCAAATAATGCATCTAAAGGTCCAGCCCAGGGCTTAGCACACTGGTATAACACAAACTAGCTGTTGTTATTATAAGTGTAAATCCTGTGGTATGCCCCTTTATGACCTGCAGATGACATTTTCCACTTCTACTATTGATCATAGGTACCTTCATGGTTAAGAACATGCATTTTTTGTCATTGCAATTTTATTCCCAAATCTATTCATATATTCAGCAGTGAACCGAATACCCGTTATATGCCAGATACCTTGCTAGGCTGGGCTGTGGGTGATACCTGTTCCACAAGACAAATGTGGGCTCAAAGAGACATGCTCTCTGCCCTTGTAAAGCTTGCAGGGAAGATAGGCAATTGAGTATTTGGTAGATAGGAAGTGTTCTGGGAGGCCTCTCATATAGTATGTGAGAGCTCTCATATAGGGGATAAAGGAAGTCACACCTCACACCAAGACCTGAAGCCACACACCTGGTGTAGAAAGGGCGGAGAGTCTTCTAGGTGGATGGAATAGCATGTGGGGAAGAGTTTGTGGTATTTGAGGAGTAGGGAGGAGACCAGGCTGTCCAGAGCAGGGCATAGAAGATGAATTGGAGGCTGGACAGGTATAATTATAGGGAGACTAGCTTGCAGGTGTTTATGGAGTTAAGATGAGAAACAATGGTGGCCTAGAGGAGTAGCAGTAGCAATGTAGCAAAGTGGATAGATTCTAAAGATATTTAGCAGGTAGAATTAATGCGTGATGTAAAGAATGAGAGAGAGTCACTCACAGGCTTTATTGAGCAGGTGGGTAGCCACAAGTTTGAATAAGTGGGTAGATGAGAAGGGAAACATTGGAGGGGAGGAGAGGGCTGGAGGAGTGTTAGATGCTACTGAGGAGATAAGCAAAATAAAGTCTGAAAACTGATCATTAGGCTTAGTAACCTGGAAGTCACTAATGACCCCAGAAAGCAATTTCCTGGCTTCCTTCCTAGGAGCCAGACTGCAATGGATTGAAGAGGGAGCAGAAGGTGAGGAAACAGAGTGGTAACTCAGTCAAGAGGTTTGGGTGAGAGGGGAGGAGACAGAGAGGGTGACAATTGGACAGGGGCAAGAGTCCAAGGAGGCATTTGGGTGCTCTTTTTTTTTTTTTTTTGTCTACTTCTGCTTTTTATTGTGAGAAGTTTGGGCTTATGGAAAGGCTAACAGGATGGCACCAGTAAAGAAAGAGACACTGTGAACACTGGAGAGACACAGTGATGTATAGCTAGGTCCTTGGGAAGCAGGTCACAGAGCACAGCTGAAAAATTGGAGGACATAATCTCCAATGTAATTGAAGAAAAGAATTGTTGGCTTGGGGTGATTTCTTGCTTTGTTTTGTTTGGTGGCAGGAAATTGAGGCTCTTCTCTGAAGTTGCTTCTGTTTTTCCCATGAGGTGATAGTAAAATCATCCCCCAAGAGTAAGGAGGCACATCGGAGAGTCAGACATTTGAGGATGGGGGAGAATGGAGAGCTCATTGATAAATAAGACAATAGAGGTTTGCTGAGCAGGGTTGTTGAACTGCTCATAATCATGAACTTGGAGTGATGCTAGTCTCTGTGGTTGTGGTTTACTCCAGTATTACCTAGCAGACCAGGGGTAGTCATGAAGATGGCTGAGCCAGGGTTGGGGTATTGCCAAGTTGATGTGATGAAAAGACAGTGTAGCAAGGAGATGTAGAATATTGGCAGGAGACTTAATGACCAGTTTGAGTGTCTGTTACGTCCCTTATAAAAAAACTATGGGCATATTGTAGTTGGTGCTGGTTAGATTTATTTATTTATTTATTTTTAATTTTTTTTTAACCCCTGGAAGAAAAGTGTCATTACACTGGAGGAATGCAATTTGGCAATGACCTAAGACAGCGTTTGGTCCCTAGAACAGCAGCATTAGCATCACTAGGGAAATTAGAAAGACAGATTCTCAGCTTCCACCCTAGATCCACTGAACCAAAGACTCGGGCTGGGGCCCAACAATCTGTGCTTTAACAAGCACATAAGGTGATTCAGATTAGTGCTAATATTTCTGAATAATTAATCTAAGAGAAAAGCCTATGAATGGTCAAAAAGTTGGACATTAACAGTAATATTAATGAAAATAAATGTGAGTTCTTTAACATTGGGAGCTTGTCTGTCTTGTGTAGCATTCCCAACACTCCGAACATCTGGGTCATAAGAGGGGCAAAACGTATGTGGAATGAAGGACTGAATGAGTTTATAAAATAGTACAAAGATGAAGGAGAGCTGGGAGGAGCTTCCATATAATAATCTACAGTTTACTTGAAAGCTCATTAAATCTACCTGTACCCTAAAAAAAAAAAAAAAAAAAAAGCAAACCATACCTACTACAAAAGCTAGCCAGGTAGATATTTTCTGGTCTCATTAATGTCTTTTGCAATAAGAGCTTTTGTTATGTCTAAAAGCTTACACACACTAAAAAAAAAAAAAAGAAAACAAAAGAAAAGAAAAAAAACCAACCTCAGGCCAGACATGGCATGGTGGCTCACGCCTGTAATCCCAACAATTTGGGAGGCCAAGGTGGGAAGATCAGTTGAGGCCAGGAGTTGAAGACCAACCTGGGCAGCATAGCAAGGCCCTATCTCTGTAAAAATAAAAACAAAAAAACTCATCTGTTTCATAAAGTGAGAAACTGCCATAGTAGTATACATTTATATCTTTAAGAATAGTAATAATTAACTGAGAAATGCCCAGGCATTTAAGATGGAAACTTTATTCTATTCTATTCTATTTATTTATTTATTTACTGAGACAGCGTCTCACCCTGTCGCCCAGGCTGGAGTACTGTGGTGCAATCTTGGCTCATTGCAACCTCTGCCTCCTGGGTTCAAGTGACTTTCATGCTTCAGCCTCCCAAGTAGCTAGGATTACAGGCCCATGCCACCATACCTGGCTAATTTTTGTATTTTTAGTAGAGAAGGTGCTTCACCATGATGTCCAGGCTGGTCTCAAATTCCTGGCCTCAAGTGATCCACCCACCTCGGCCTCCCAAAGTGCTGGAATGGCAGACATGAGCCACTGTGCCCAGCCAACATGGAAACTTTAAAAGTAAACTTTTATTGTCTATTTCTAATTATAAAAGTAATACACATTAATGTTAAAGTTTATAAGATGTAGAAAGATATAAAGAAAAAACCCTGGCTATTCTGGGCACACTGCCTGTGGGGTATTCCTGTTCCACAAGGAGTAGAACCTCTGCTGCTGCTACAAATTAAATAAAAAAACAAAAAATGAAAAAACCCACTGATACTGCCATAATCTAGAGATATCATTAGCTTTTGGCTTATTCCCTTTAGGCTTTTATTATGCCTATGCAAATGTAGATATAGATATTTAATTTTTAAACATAATTGGGTCATACTGTATTTTCACTTTCATCTCTAAGTAATAACTTTTTATGAAAGTTTATTTTTCCTTAGCTCTTAAGAACTTCCACTGTGTTGAAGAACAGCTTCCTGTAGGTGATGATTCCTAAACACTGGGGCACTTTGTTTGCATATAGTTGGCATTTAGTGTGTTTGTAGACTATATATAATGGAATATTCCACTACCTTCTCTTTTGAGGGTTTTCCAGACTGTTTATCCATATCTCTAGAATAATTTGAGTGAATCAACAGCAGTCATTTTCAAACTTCAACATACGTAAGAATCGTCTGGGCAGTTTGTTAAAAATACAGATTCCTGGGCCCTAATCCAGAAATTGGATTTAGCAGGTCAGAATGTGGCCCAGGCATCTTTTTATTTTTTATTTTTTTGTTGTTGTTGTTTTTGTTCTTGAGACAGAGCTTTGCTCTGTCACCCAGGCTGAAGTGCACAATGTCAGCTCACTGCAACCTCCGCCATCCGGGTTCAAGCAATTCTCTTGCTTCAGCCTCCAGAGTAGCTGGGACTACAGGCATGTGCCACCATGCCTGGCTAGTTTTTGTATTTTTAGTAGAGATGGGGTTTTGACATGTTGGCCAGGCTGGTCTTAAAATCCTGATCTCAAGTGATCCTCCTGCCTCGGCCTCCCAAAGTGCTGGGATTACAGCAGGCATCCCTTTAAATGCATGCCTTCTGTGAACAGCACTTCCAGTACTGACTTAGAGAGACAAAAGGTCTTATAATTTTCGGTCCACTAGGTTATAAATTATCACCTTCACTTGTAAGGTAGTAAGATTAAGATAGTTAAAAGGAAATAATGATTATTTATAAATTATAAGTTATTATAAATTATAAATATGCATTATTGCAGCATTCAGAACACTTTTAATCAAAGTTAAGCATTCTGTAATGTTTTTCTTTTCCTTTTAAATGTAATTTTCTTTTGTTGCAAAAAATGTTTAATGGTGAAAGTCAGATTTAGGGTAGTTAAGTTGCTCAGGGATCCTGTAAGCAAATTTCTGACCTCCTACCTGCTTAGACTGTTGAGCCCTACAGGATTGTAAGAGACACACATGACAAATTATGGAGGAAATGAGAGAAAACAGAAAGAATCTTAGGAATGAAAATAGGAGAGCAGGAATGAGAAATATATGTTTCTATGGGTAAGCCACAGAAAAGATATGATGATTTATGGAGATATATTTGTGCTATATCCCTGAGCCCCATTTTCTTTTCCTTTCTTTTCTTTTTTCTTTCTTAGACAGGGTCTCACTCTGTCACCCAGGCTGGAGTGCAATGGCACAATCTCAGCTCACTGCAACCTCCATCTCCAGGACTCAAGCAATCCTCCTGCCTCAGCATCCACAGTAGCTGGGACCACAGACGTGCACCACCATGCCCAGCTAATTTTTTGTAGAGATGGGGTTTCGCCATGTTGCCCGGGCTTGTCTTGAACTCCTGGACTCAAGTGATCTTCCCACCTTGGCCTCCCAAAGTGCTGGGATTACAGGCGTGAGGCACCACACTCAGCCCCCATTTTCATATAGAAAGCACAACATGGACATCAGGAAGCTTGCCCTTTGATACTAATAGAATCACTGAAGTTCACTGAAGAAGATTTAGGAATATTCTGAACCACCAAGAGGGAACCCTCTGAACCATTTCTAATATATTCAGGCATTTTGGTTATTAACTAAATAATAAAATATGCAAACCAACCTATCAAATGCATTTGTTATTACTTTTTAAATATAAATTACAGAATTTATTGTATTAGGATATACTTCAGAAAACAACAGTTAATCTTGGCTATTCTTGGCCCTTTGATCTATGTAAATTTTAGAATCAATGCATCAAATTCCACCAAAAATCTATTAGGATTTTATTTAATCTATAGATGAATTTGAGAACCGACATCTGTATAATACAAGTCTTCCAACTCATTATCCTGAGCCTGTTTTTTTAGCCTTCTCCAAAATATTGCAAAGCTTTATATTTTCTTTGTAGAGTTGTTGTCTCCAACTTATTGCTAGCTCCTTGCTATTAAAAATGGTATCATTAAAAATTAATTCACTTGTTGCCTCTTTACAAAAAGTGCAACTGATCTCAAGTATAAATTTATACCTAGCAAACTTGATAAACTTATGTTAGTAATTAATCTCAAGATTCTTTTGGATTGTGTTTTATAATCTTATGTGATTAATAAGTTTTGTTTCTTTTTCTATCATCATTTTTTTTTCTTGCTTAACTCAGTAGCTGAGACTTTCAGAAAAATGCTGAATAGGAATAGGTGATAAGGGATATAAGACAAATCCCTTCTAGATCTGAGTCATGTCTTGGAAGAGAGCTACTCTGAAATGCCTATAGACCATAAGCAGACTGTGTGTGAGCAAGAAATATACTTTTATATGTTAAGCTCTTGAAAATGGAGCCTGTTAGTTCCTATAGCATGTTCTGTCCTAATATAATCAGATTAAAATAATCATCTTCCATTCCTAGTTTGTTAAAACATCTCATACATGACTGTTGAATCCTACCAATGTTTTTCACCATCTGTTTTGATGATTATATGATTTTTCCTCTGCAGTCTGTTAAAGTGACAAATCATACAAATTGTTTTGTTATCAGTTTCCATTTATTACTACTTGGTATTACACATGAGCTGATTCTCAGTGTGAATTAGGGCGTTGGACCCCTCCCCCTGCCTCCCTTCTTCTGTCTCCCCATTAGCCCTTGGATCTCAATCAAGAAAGCTGAACAGTGATGTTAGTGCTTTCTCCCCACTCTCCTCTCTTTTCATAATTGTTTTGCTAGGATGGTAGATCCTAAATAGGCATCTGAAAAAAAATGTTCCTTTAAACTCAGTAATTCAGTAACCACAAAGTCATCTTTATCTTGTTGAAGAGAGGATACTTGATGGGCAAACGTGTGGGGTGACAAAACCGTGAAAGCGCAACAGACTTCAGTTTATATAGGAACCTTGCTGTCTTCTCTGCAAAGAGGTATCCCACTAGCGATTTCATTATCAAGGAAATGAAGACACCTTTTCTGCAGAATTCATTTCTTTCTCATAAAACAAAAATCAACTTCATTCCACATAGCTTTTTAGGTTGAACTGACTAAATTCTGTGTCCTAATGTACTCGGTTTTAGTGATTTAAAAAATCTTTTCCTTCCCTTCCTACTTAGCAACCTTAGGAGATTGGTAAAAACAAACAAGTAAGTACCAGAATGTTCACTATAGTCGGATTAAGGATAGCAAAAACCAAACAGAAACATCCATAGAGAACTGTATAAATAAATTGTTATAGCCTTAGGATATTAGCCATTAAAAGGAATAAATTAGGTAAATGTATAGGTATGAAAAAGATTTCCAAGATATTCTGTTAAGGGAAAAAAGCAAGATGCAGAACAATATGTATAGGGATAATAAATTTTCTGGAATGATCCATGAGAAGGTGATAAAAGGGGTTACATTAGGTAGTGGAACTGGAGCGAGGAAACTTCATTTTCTACCCTTTGGTTCTATATGAAAGGTTTTGTCATATTACACATATTGCTTTTTAAATAATTTAAAATTAGTTTAGAACTTAAAATTAAATGATAACCTTTGCACTTTTTGGTGTTTAGCTTCTTTCAGGTTTTTCAGTCTTTCTGCTTCCATGGGCTCCGCTTTCTCTCCGAGCATTTCTCATGCCCATACATGTTTATTCTGGAATTGTCATCTTTGGAACAGTGATTGCAACAGCACTTATGGGATTGACAGAGAAACTGATTTTTTCCCTGTAAGTTGCATAGTCTTCTTAATTGTAATACTTAAGCCACAAAATGTTAAATACTTGTTCACTGGGAAAATGTAATAAAAATATAACAAAATTTTTTAGATATTAAAATTAAAAAATATTTTAAAGAATTTGTTATATCATATAGGTAATATGATATTACTAAAAGTTTAGAAGGACCAAAAAGTCTGACAAATTGTATTACTCTTATGAAACAACTATTGAAGTTATACATTCCCTTTCAATCTTGTTGATATGCATGTTTTTATATTAATTGTAATTATAGTGTACATACATTTTTGTTTCATCCTTTTTAAAAATTTTAAGTGATAACTGTTACTGGTGGAGGGTGTCCAGGTTCTTGGCGTTTTGAACAAAGAAGTGGACAAAACACACAAACAAAGCAAGTAAAGAATGAAGCAACAAAAGCAGAGAGTTACTGAAAATGAAAGTACACTCCACAGGGCGGGAGTGGCCTGAGCAGCCACTCAACGGCCCGATAGGGAATCTTCTTGGGTCCAAATAGCCCCTAGAGGTTTCCCATTGGCCAGTTGGTGTTCACTGCATGTAAATGAAGTGGTGGCCTGCAGTCAGTTTGATTGGTTGTAGAAAGCAACCAATCAGAGATACTTTCAATTTTCCATCCGCCATGCAGAAAAGCGGGGTTTGCAAAGGGAGTAGCCTCGGGTCCTTTTGCTACTTAGATGTGGAAAGTTGGGGTTTTCCTTTTGGTTTAGTTCTAGGAAGTCCGTGTGAATTGACCTGAGGTTGCCTGCCTCCAGACCCTACCTGCCTTAAAACAAGTGTTACAGATGCTATATTATTTTCATATTTATTATTTTTAAATCAATTTCATTATATATTCCCGAGTGAATTGTAGCATAATTTATATTTCTCCTTAATAGCAAGCTTTGAGAGTTTACATTGAAACTGTACTAGTGTGCATTTTGAGCAGATAAATTCAAGACTGTTTTGCATGTTGCTGTATCATCCTGTTTGTAATTGGATACATCTCTTATTTCATAGGAGAGATCCTGCATACAGTACATTCCCGCCAGAAGGTGTTTTCGTAAATACGCTTGGCCTTCTGATCCTGGTGTTCGGGGCCCTCATTTTTTGGATAGTCACCAGACCGCAATGGAAACGTCCTAAGGAGCCAAATTCTACCATTCTTCATCCAAATGGAGGCACTGAACAGGGAGCAAGAGGTTCCATGCCAGCCTACTCTGGCAACAACATGGACAAATCAGATTCAGAGTTAAACAGTGAAGTAGCAGCAAGGAAAAGAAACTTAGCTCTGGATGAGGCTGGGCAGAGATCTACCATGTAAAATGTTGTAGAGATAGAGCCATATAACGTCACGTTTCAAAACTAGCTCTACAGTTTTGCTTCTCCTATTAGCCATATGATAATTGGGCTATGTAGTATCAATATTTACTTTAATCACAAAGGATGGTTTCTTGAAATAATTTGTATTGATTGAGGCCTATGAACTGACCTGAATTGGAAAGGATGTGATTAATATAAATAATAGCAGATATAAATTGTGGTTATGTTACCTTTATCTTGTTGAGGACCACAACATTAGCACGGTGCCTTGTGCAGAATAGATACTCAATATGTGAATATGTGTCTACTAGTAGTTAATTGGATAAACTGGCAGCATCCCTGGCCTGTTGTCATGCAGTCATTTCCTGTTAATTCTGGGAGACAATGATTTCACAACTAGCGGGAAGCAGTCCTAAAAGTTTAAAATCCGATAAGGAATATCTGGGACAGGGTTTAGATCATGACTCTACACAGATACCATGATGAGAGTATATTAAAGAAATTTAGGAAAGCACCTGGTTCCTTTCTCCCCATGCCTGCCTTCTGCTCCCTCCCCAGCTGGTTTGGGCTCAAATTGTCCCTGGAGACTAGGGTTTATGTTAGGGTATTGATAGATTAGAGCAGGTGGTTGAAGAGATCTTCTCTGGTCAGACTTGGAAGAATTTCCAAAACTGAAGTTAGCCCCAAGACTTCCCTAGGGTTGATGTACTTTATGATCCAGATGCTAAACTTCTTAGAATGAAAATATGCTTCAACACTTAAGTAGCATACACTGCCCTACAAACCTCAGAGAGCACTTTTCCCCAAGTTCTTGTTTTTATTTTTGAAAGTACTCACACAGCACTTACTATGCTCCAAACACTCCTCTAAGCACTTTACACATATTAGCTCATTCAGTCCCCAGACAGACGGGATGAAGTAGGTATTGTTACTGTTCCCATTTTACAGGTGAGAGATTTGAAGCCTGGGGAGGCTAGTAACTCACCCCAAGGTCACACGGCTCATACATGGTGGGACTGAGACTCAGATGCAGGCAGTCTGGCACCTCAGTCTGGATTCTAACCATTTCACTAAGCTATTTTTGTCTTGTACTACTTTGACCCACCCCTGAATAAACCTCAATTGCTGGAGTGGGGTGTAGTTATTAAAGGGATGCTTTTTACCTTTTGCTGTTTGCTGTGGCAGATTCCCCAGATAACCAAGGAAAAGGGGCCACCCATACCTGGAAATAGGCCATAGGGCCCCTACTACTGCCAACAAGCCATGGCCTACCTTGACACTTGTTTGATCTTAAAATTGTGTCTTGGTAACAAAAGATTTGGACAGGCATATCTGTAGCTTTCAAGTTAATTAATTGCAATATTTTTTTCTTCAGGATTTTAGCTGCTGAACAACTTTCAGTTTGGAGCTAAAAGAGACCTGTCTCATGGTCTGCCCTTCCCTGGGGCAATAGCTAGGGTCTTTCCTGATTTTTATGGAATTTTAGGGGATATTTTGAGCTTTGGGTTCTCAGTAGTGAATTGAGACTTGGAGGTGACTTTTCATGTTTGGAGTATCATCTCTGTCTGGGATCTGGGCTGACAAATTAAAACCTAGAGTAGTGCTTATGCTGAAATGATACTTTTCATTTTTTGGTTGATTTTTTTGCCTTCCCTTCAATTTTAAACTGAAGCATTTTAATATGGGTAGAAACTCTACACCAAATACACTAAACATTTTGGTGCTTAGTGGATTTCTTTTTAGGTAACTGGTACTTACTTCCAAAGACTGAATACAAGCCACACTCCATCATATCCCTTAAACTTCATGAAAAACCATTCAAGATCCCCTTGCTGCAACACTGTTCTCTTCTTCTCTACTAAATTCTATTTCCAAAATTGGTAATAGAGCCAGAAGGATCCCCAGTACCCAGCCCTCTGCCTGGCACAAAGTGGTAGCACAATTAAATTCAGTATGGGTGGAGCATGGTACAGTCTTGGTGCCATAGAAGGAGTAGTTGCATAGTCACACATCATTTGATAAGTTGGATGTTCCATTACATAGAGGAACACAAAATTCCAGGGTTTTTGGAGGAAGGGATTAGATAGTGACTAAGCCGCCAGAATTGAGGTGGCCATTCCTTTTTGTATAGGCTAAGAAACAGGTTATCAGTGAAAAGTTAATTATGGCTTTGGCACTAGAATAGCACTGTTGCAAAGTATTTAAGCACCCCCCATCTCAGCCCTTTATTTTATCTTTCATGTGGGCTAATGTGAGGATAATCTTACAGATATTATAGGAATTTCTTTTCTATCTTTATGAAAACAACGTATATAAAATATATCTAGAAAACCTTTGTTTGAGACTCTTATTTAATGGGCTTTTGATTCTAATGATAATTGTACCTTTATCTTTCAAAAGCTGATATTTCCTACCTAAGCATCTCCCGAGAAAAATATCTCATTAAAAAGCCCATAAATAATAGGGGAGAAGAAAGCCTTAGGTATCAATTCCAAAACAGTGATTGAAATTTCCCAAAATAATTATGGCTTCTGTCATCTCCAGAGATAATCTGGCTTGGTTTACCCCATAATCTAATTTCAGAAAAGAAAGCTTTATTTTAACACTCATCTGAATCAACATTAAAGCCTTTTCTCTCAAAGCGTTTATTGAGAAACTCAAATGAATATACTTTTTGAATTACTGTCATCAAAAGTGTACGGCTTCCTGTGCTGCTTGTGTCAAATGGAACCTGCCCTCTAAAGCACTTTCTTTCCTTTACTTGCGTGGTTTCATGTAAGCTGTGCTGTTTAGAAACAACATCTCAGACTTTACAAAGAAATGACAAAGAAGGCAATTGCACTTTTTAAGGGATATCGACAAGCAGTTTCTGTTTTCTAAAGGACAAAATACAGAGTGTGTGTCATTTTTAATTAGATTCTTTCCCCTGCTGAGTTGGAAATTCCAGTGCAGCACTGATTGACCACAGTTGCCAATCTAAAAGCACAAAGACAGAAGTAAAGCTTTATGCTAATTTTATTTCAATATGATAGAAAATTTATCTTGGTATGTCCTTTTTTAGATAACTCCAGCAGGAAACTGTAACTGCTATGTCTTTAGGAAAATGTAGAAGAAAGAACATTATTGTTCTTTAATTCCTACAAGGTACTCGAAAACCTTAAGTGAAAAAGATTTCTATCTTTTTATCTTAGCGCATTTATGGAAAAAATATTAACTATCCTGAATATTTTATAATTTTGTAGGAAAAATATGCATCTATTTTTTCTTGACTTCTTTTATATAGTAATAAAAGTTATTTTGGAAGCTCTTTGTGTGTTATCAATTTGTCTGGGGTAGCAGGGGTAGGCATTGTTGTGAAAGTTTCTTTGCCATGGTTTTTGGTTTGTTTATTTTTCAGCAGAGATAGTCTTTTTTCAGTTTCTTGATTATGTTAACTGAAAAGCCAGACTCTGTAATGTATAATACATATTTTATAATATTTACTATTAATATTATATATTTATATATAATATTTACTATAAATATCATATATTTATATATAATATTTACTATAAATATCATATATTTATATATAATATTTACTATTAATATCATATATTTATATATAATATTTACTATTAATATTATATATTTATATATAATATTTACTATTATTATATATTTATATATAATATTTAATATTTTATATATATAAAATTTTTCGCAGTAAAGAGTTTAATTAATGCAAAGCAGCCAAGCAGAAGGACTGGAGTTATCACTCAAATCAGTCTTCCTGAGGGCTCAGAGGTTAGGGTTTTTCAATGATAGTTTGGTGGGCAGGGGCAAGGGAATGGATGCTGCTGATTGGTTGGGAATGCAATCATAGGTGTGTAGAAAACAATCCTCATGCACTGAGTCCCCCTCTGGAGGAGGGCCACAGGACCAATTAAGTCATGAGTCACAAGTCCAGATGGGGTCAGCTCTTCACTACCTGACCAATCTTAGGTTCTACAATAGTGATGTTATCTATAGGAGCAACTGGGGAAGTCACAAATTTTGTGACCTCTGGCCACTTGACTCCTGAGCAGTAAGAGATTAGAGAAACTGATGCAGGTCAGGGGAGCCCCAACGTGGAGCTTAGCCCATGTAGGTTTTTGGCTTTGCCCAGGAAAGAATTCAAGAGCAAGCCAGAGGTGGAAGAAAACAGCTTTACTGAAGAGGCAGTGTTACAGCACCATGACTGCTCCTGTAGAGCAGTGCTACCCCCTAGGCAGAGAGTAGCCTGTAAAATATTTTAAAGAGGTTTATTCTGAGCCAATACAAGTGTCAATGACCTGGGGAACACAGTCTCAAGAGGTCCTGAGAAAGTGTGCCCCAGCAGTCGGAATTACAGTTTGCTTTTAGATATTTTAGGGAAGCAGGAGTTATAGGGAAAGGCATAAATCAATGCATGGAAGGTATGCAGTGGTTTGCCCCAAAAAGGTGGGATAACTTGAAACAGAAGCTTAGTTTATAGGTGGATTCAGAGACTCTTTAATATGCAATTGGTTAAAGGAATAGAGCTCTGTCTAAAAATTTGGAGTTGGCCGGGTGCAATGTCTCATGCCTGTAATCCTAGCACTTTGGGAGGCTGAGGTGTGAAGATCACTTAAGCCCAGGAGTTTAAGACCAGCCTGGGCAACAAAGTGAAACCGCATCTCTAAAAAAACAAAATTAAGAAGTTATCTAGGTGTGGTGGCATGTGCCTGTAGTTCCAGCTACTCAGGAGGCTAGGGTGGGAGGATCACTTAAGTCCAGGAAGTCAAGGCTGCAGTGAGCCATGATCATGCTACTGCACTCCAGCCTAAGTGACAGAGCAAGACTCTGTCTCAAAAAATAAAAATAAAAATAAAAAAATAAAAAAAAATTTGGGAGTCAACAGAAAGGAATATTTATGGAATAGCAAATTATTCTACGTAGTGGTTCTCTGCTAGGTTTAAGACAAATTTCTGCCCTGTAATAGCTACAATAAGGTCATGAGGATCTGGTAAAACATACTCAAATATCCTACCCAACTTTCTACACCTTGCTGAATTCAGCATCTCCTCTAAAACTCAGATTTTAGAGCTTTTCAGCTCCTGCTTCATCTCCTTTGCCCCTGCTCCCACCACGCCTCAGTCTGGGTGGAATGTTTCTCCTCACAGCATTCAAAGAACTTGGTTCCTGCCTCTAGCCCATCTTTTTTTTTTTTTCAGTTGCAAGATTTAATAGAGTGAAAACAGAGCTTCCATAAAATGGGAGGGGACCCAAAGGGGGTTGCCGTTGCCGGCTCGAATGCCTGGGTTTATGTCCCAATCATTGTCCCTTCCCCTGTGCTCTCACGTGATAGATGATTGGCTATTTCTTTACCTCCTGTTTTAGCCTAATTAGCATTTTAGTGAGCTCTCTTTACTACCTGACTGGTCTGGTGTGAGCTAAGTTGCAAGCCCCGTGCTTAAAGGTGGATGCAGTCACCTTCCCAGCTAGGCTTAGGGATTCTTAGTCAGCCTAGGAAATCCAGCTAGTCCTATCTCTTAGTACCACCTCTCAACAGGAAAACCCAAGTGCTGTTGGGGAGGTTGGCCAAAGACCGCTCTAACTGCTTCCTGCTGAATTGGGACGTAGTAGGGGTCGTGCAATTGAGATTTCCTCGGGAGGCGTGCCTTCGATGTCATTAACATCAGAGCATGGGCTAGCAGGCCGGTCCAGGGGTCCACGGTAGATCTTAGTCATGGACTGCTTCTGGGGCTCCATTTGAAGAACGATTTGTAGTTTTACAGCTTCGATTCTGGAAGAGACAAACTTAACAAGGAGGTTAAAGATACAGGGATTGAAATGTATGGCCTGCAGTGCAGGAGATTATTTCTTTGGCACACTTCACAGGCCCTGACTATCTGCTTGATAGTTTTGAAAAGGCCTGGTCCCATAAATAATGATTTGGCCATCTGATGGGTGCTATCAATGGCTAAGTGAAAGGTTTGGTGAAGGGTTTTAAGTAATTTCCATTGGTTAGCTGCAGGCAAAAGTATTTTCCCTTCTTTGGTGGCTAGCCATCCTGAGGGGAGGAAACTATGTCCCCGTGAGGTTCCCCATTCTATTTCTCCTGCTGAGTACAGAGGGGATTACCCCACACTAGGGGTCCTTCTACAAGCATTTCTAATGGAGGGTCCCACCTTGTGGCTCTTTTGGCTTCAATATCCACTTGGCAGTTCCCTTCCGATGACCCCGACAGTGTAAGACTGCCACCTCTTTAGGTTTCTGTACAGCTAATAATAATCTCCTAATGGCTTCCTGATGTTTGATAGGTGTTCCCTCGGAAGTTAGGAATTCCCTTTCTCTCCATATTGCTGTGTGGGCATGGAGGACTAGGTAAGCATACTTAGAGTCTGTATATATATTTACCCTTTTTCCTTTTTACCCTTTTTCCTTCTTCTAATTCTGGTGCCCAAGTGAGGGCTATTAGTTCTGCCAGCTGAGCGCTAGTTCCTGGAGTGAGGGGATTACTTTCAAGTATTCCATTATCACTGACCACTGCATACCCCGCTTTTCGAAGTCCTTTTTCTACAAAGGAACTTCCATCAGTATACAAGTTGAGGCCAGGATCAGTCAAGGGAATCTCTAGAAGGTCCCCTCGAGTGGTGAAGGTTTGAGCAATTACTTGTTGACAGTTATGTTCTATTTTTTTCTTCATTGCCTGGAAGAAATGTGGCTGGATTAAGAGTTGCACAAGTGTGCAGTCGCAGCACTGGTCCCTCAAGTAATAGAGCCTGATGTTTAAGCAAATGGTTGTCTGACAGCCACAAGTCTCCACACAGTGAGATCTCTTCCCTGTATCATTTTAACTGCTTCAGATACTAAGACTGCTACTGCTGCCACTACCAGTAAAAAATGAGGCCAACCCGTTGTCACTGCATCAGTTTCCTTACTCAAGTATGCCATGGGTTGCAAGCTGGTCCCTCGGACCTGTGTAAGGACTCCTAGAGCTATTCCTGTTTTTTTCTGTTGCATATAAGGAAAAGTCTTGCCCTGTTGGCAAGCTTAACACTGGGGCTTGGTTAGGGCCTTTAGGGCCTGGAAAACCACTTCTGCTTCAGGTGTCCATCTTACTAAATGGGTATTGGCTTTCTGAGTTTTCTTAATTAGTGTATATAATGACCTGGCTATTTCGCCGTACCTGGGAATCCATATTCGGCAGAAGCCTGTTATGCCAAGGAACCCTGTTAGTTGCTTTAGTGTTTTGGAATGAGGATAAGCCGGTATAGGCTGGATACATTTCTCACCAAGGGCAAAACTTCTGGTGAGTGTACTCTTTCTGCAGGAAGTAAAAATGGCCTTACTAAATAAATTAAATTTATGTTCAAGTACTATTTCTTTACAGCACCTGGGAACAAGCATTTCAAACAACTCCTTACCATTTATTCCCCGGGTCCACATCTCTTCTTAAAGGAATGTGGACTTTCTTCCATGATTATCGGCTGTATGAAGAACTGTCTTGGAACCAAGAGAATACATCTTCATAGGATGCAGGCTTCAGGGAGCTAGAATAGAGGAGTGGGGAGCACAAACTGAAAAGGGTTCCCCTCACTCACTACAGAGGCACAACCCGTAAGGCCAGCCATTCTAAGGACAGGCCAATTTGGGTGGGTGAGGATGCTCGATACGGGAGCGGTCCAGGAGCACATGTCTGCCGACCTTTGTTCATGTCAGAGGTAGCCCACAGGGCAGTGCTCATTTATATCACCAATCCATAAGAATACATTTTTGTTTTGTCAAAAAGACAATGTCTATAGAATTATCTGAAACCTGTTTTTTCAGATCTGACTAGAGTGAGTTAGCTATGATCACTTTCCTTCTGGTAGCCACTCAAGGGGCGTGATAGGCGAGTGAGGTTTATAGAGTGAAAGGAAGACGGCTCATGCAGGATTTGGCTGGTGAGTGTTCTATTAGGGTGAGAATTTTGGAAGGAGAAGCTTTCTGATTGACTTTCAAATACAGTTGGCAATCTGGTTGGTATAATATCTACTGGTACATAACTAGGAAATTTCTAGGCTGAGTGGAATAGTATGAGTTTTTCTGTTTCAACGGGAAGAATATCTGGTTGTCAGCCTCAGGGTCAGAACTGTACATAAGCAATCCCTTAGTTTGGTGAATGTTATGGCAGAAATTTAGTCTGAAGTCTAGTCCAAATAAATGTTTTCTATATTCTCATATCTATTTATATGAATCTTATCACATTAAGGCTAGACTGAGACATGTCACAAATTTCTCTCTTGTGGAATGAAGGTGAAAAAGAGAAATATAAGCATTGGGTGAATGTTGAAATGGATAAGTTCTGAGATTCCTCTTAAAGTTTAGATTCTGATGAGATTTCCTGAACAGGTGCCTCTCTTGTGGCTCAGGTACCAGAGGGACTCTGTAGAACTCCAGGGGGCCAGGCCCTAGCTCAGCCCTGGCACACACAGGCAGGCCCTAGAGTAGCCACTAGTGATGAAGGAGGAGGGCAGGAAGCATCCTTGCCCTCCCCAACCCACGACCTGGCTCCCTGTCTCTATCAGCGCTCACATTCCCCATTCAAACCTCTAGGTCTTGAGCAGATTGTAGGAGGTTCTGGCCCAGTGAACTCACCTGGAACACTCAAATGAAGGAAGTAAAAGGGTGTGAGGCAAGAGGAGCAGTGACAGCCTTAAGTGTGAGCTAATTCACCCCAAGAGCAAGCAAAAGTGCAAATAAAACTCAAGGGTGTGGAAAAGTGTGGAGTGATGATTAGGATTCAGGCCTCTCCTTGCCTAGCCTTCCTCCATTCTCTCTCTCTCAACCTCTCACTCTCTCTCTCTCTCTCTCTGTCTCTGTCTCATTTAACAGAGCACTGGATTGCGAATGGAGTGCAAGTAGAGACTGAGAATCACCACTGTAGTGATTGTATCTGTGTGGCAAATCATCTTAAAGATTTCTTGTATTTGGAAACAATGTCTAATAAAGAATGGCCAAATACAAAGTTACACTATACAAAAACTATGTCATCAAAAATTATATTGTTCAAGTGAATAATTAGCAATATGAAAATATGTTCATAAAATATTAAGTGAAAGAAATTGAATATAAAAGAGTTTGTAAATGTGAATGTGCATACACTTTCAAATAACTGGAGGCATAATATACCAAATAGTTAATTAGTTAATAATGGTTATCTTTGGCCTGGTGTGGTGGCTCATGCCTGTCATCCCAGCACTTTGGGAGGCCACGGTGGGTGGATCACCTAAGGTCAGAGACCAGCCTGGCCAACATGGTGAAACCCTGTCTCTACTAAAAGTACAAAGGAAAAAAAAAAAGACAGATGTGGTGGTGCGGGCCTGTAATCCCAGCTACTTGGGAGGCTGAGGCAGGAGAATCACTTGAACCTGGGAGGCAGAGCTTGCAGTGAGCCGAGATCGCACCACTGCACTCCACCCTGGGTGACAGAGCAAGACTCTGTCTCAAAAAATAAAGTAAAATAAAATAAAATAATGTTAAAAAATGGTTATCTTTGAGACATGGTAGGATAATGGGCATTTTTCATTTTCTTCTTTTTGTTTTCTCTGTATTTTCTATAATTAAGTATCACTTTTGTACTAAGAAAAACATGTATTATCGGAATCCCGTCTGCCTCATTGACATCATCCAAATGTTTGCTTAGTCTAATTTATCAAGAAATTGAAGATAATATATTTATAATTGAAATAAATGTTTTCCTAACACCAGGAAAGAGGAACTAAAGCATTTGCCAAGATCCTAACTTGGTCAGATACCGGAATGGCCTGAGGGACTATTTGCTTTGCAGCATTGTTAATCTCCAGATCGCAGAGACATAAACATTTACAAGTCTTCCGAAGGTCATGCAATCACTGGAAGCTGGGCAGTATATACTTGTAAGAACTGGACAAAACAGAAAAATCTGGATTCTTGTAGGAACTCTATCATGGTCCACGGGTGTAATCTTGGGCAAGCCGCTTAATCTCTCCATCTGCTACAAAAAACAGGTCCTTTTATATTCACTCACCAATTAGTGATTGAGGATGTCTTGTGTGCACTGCTCCTAGGCACTGCCTGGGGCTCATGCTGAAAGCTATGAATCTGTTATTTTATAGACTATTGCAGCCAGTTTAATTCATACACCATTTCCATCCTTCAGCACAGAATTACCTACAATTCTCATGGCTTACAACTGGAATAAACCTTTGTAATCTAGGTATCGAGGGCTCCAAAAAAGAGAGACAGTTAGTAGGCTTTGTAAAAGTGACAAAAGAGGCAAAAATGGGACCAGACACAGTGGCTCACAGATATAATCCCAGCACTTTGGGAGGCTGAGGCGGGCCGACCACTTGAGGCCAGGAGTTCAAGACCAGCCTGGCCAACATAACAAAACCCAGTCTCTATTAAAAATACAAAAAATTAGCCAGGTGTGGTGGCACACACCTTTAATTTCACCTACTCCGTAAGCTGAGGCAGGAGAATCGCTTAAACCCGGGAGGCAGGAAGCGAAGGTTGCTGTGAGCTGATATTGTGCCACTGCACTTAAGCCTGGGCAACAGAGTGAAACTCTATGTCAAAAAAAAAAAAAAAAAAAGAAAAGAAAAAAAGGCAAAATAGGGTAAGGAATAGACTGAGTAAAGAGTTAGAGATGGGTCAGAACAGAATCCACTTGGCCCAGATTAGCTTGGAGGGCAGGGAGGAGGGATGAAACCCTGAGCAAAAAGCAATAAGAGAAATTACAGATCACGGTGGTAAATTCCCAAACATGGTGTTTTAAATACCTTATTTACCACAATGTACAATTCATTATTCTTTTCTAGCAACAATAATCCGTACTAGTGTTTATGTGTTTGCTATTATTGCAAGAGAAGGAGAGGTTGAGCAAAACACCTTTGAAGATCTAATACTGTACACAGTGGTTAAGGTCACAGGTTTTAAAAGATATGGGGACTATGGGCCAAAAGCCATAGAGACTGGTTTTTGTTCCATGAAAAAGATGACATAAACTAAACATGATCATAAAAAACACCATAGTGTCCGGAAAAGTTATTTGTTTGCTTCTCAGAAGATATTTCCATACATTGCTAAGCACAATGGTTTGCTCTATTTTGTTTTTGATATATCATAATTTGATTGTCTTTTGTGATCGCACAAAAATTTTGTGCAGTTAATTGTTTTTCCTCATTGTACAACAAAGTGCTCATTAAGAAAATTCAAAGGGCTGTTAGTAACAAACAATTAGAAAGCAAACTATTTGGAAACATGCTCCCATGAGGATATGCACTCACATTTGAACACATATACACACAGATACAGATAAATGCCATCTAACCAAAAGAAATGTGAGGTATTCAATTAGCAAAACTGATCATTAACCAGAAATTTAACTATAAAGCCAAAAATACCTTTGAGCAAAAGTTGGTGAGCACATTTTTTCTTTGTGAGAGACCAAAGAGCTCCATATTATGCAATGTCAAAGAGCTCCCCTCAGCTCAGCTGTCTTAGCCAAACATAGGGCTAGCAAGGTAAAGGTACGTTGTATGTTAAGTTAGATAGAGGGTTGATAGGAATATAGAACCTAGTTATATGCTCTGAAATCAGGACAGAAGGTGTTTCCAGCCATTATGAGAGTTTGATCTGATAAGAGAACACTTATGAACAAAACAAACTCATATTTTATTATACAAAAAATAATAAAGCTTCTTGATTCATAACCCACATGCCTGATGGGCTCCCTTCCTTGTGTCAAGAAGCTAGGAAAGCTCAACTGAGACAATTAATAACATGTCATAGCTTTACATTGCCTTACAGATTGTACATTATATATAATGTATTTAAGTATGTAAAGTACAGTCACTTTATGGTCCCAAGCTTTATCCCTTACTAATTGTGAGAACTTCAGCAAGTTCTCTGAATTATAGCTTATGCATCTATAAAATGGAGCTAAGGATACCTTAATATTGGTGGTTTTAAAACAGGTCCTCAAATTCTTTGACACTCTTTCCCATCAAAAGATAGAACCCTATTCTCCTCTCCTTAAACATGGGCCAGGCTTAGTGACTCACTTGTAAAGAATCGAAGACAAGACTGGTGCAGTGGCTCGTGTCTGTAATCCCAGCGCTTTGGGAGGCCAAGTTTGAAGCCAGGAGTTCAAGACAAGCTTGGCCAACATAGCAAGACCCCATCTCTACTAATAAAATAAAAATTAACCAGGCATGGTGGCACACACCTGTAGTCCCAGCTACTCAGGAGGCTTAGGTGGGAAGATCGCTTGAGCCCAGGAATTCAAGACTGCACTGAGCTATGATCTGCCACTTGCACTCTAGCCTATGCAACAGAGCAAGACCCCATCTCTAAAACAAACAAACAAAACAGGAAGGCAGCAGACAATACTATGCGACTTCAGGGACTAGGTTTCCTAGCTCGCTGTCTCTCTCTCTCTCTCTCTCTCTCTCTCTCTCGTGTGCAATGCTTGCTCTGGGAACCCAACCACCTTGTCATTTGATGGGGAAATCAAACACTACATGTGTATTAATCCATTTTCACATGCTATAAATAAATATTTGAGAGTGGGTAATTTATAAAGGAAAGAGTTTTAATTGACTCACAATTCACACGACTGGGGAGGCCTCAGGAAACTTGCAATCATGGCAGAAGGGGAAGCAAACGCGTCCTTCCTCACATGGCAGCAGGAGAGAGAAGTGCCAAGCAAAGTGGAGAAAAGCCCCTTATAAAACCATCAGATCTCATGAGAACTCACTCACTATCATGAGAACAGCATGGGGGGAAACCAACCCCATGAGCCAATCACCTCCCTCCCTCAACATATGGGGATTACAGGTCCCTCCCTCCACACATAGGGATTACAATTTGACATGAGGTTTGGATGGGGACAAAGAGCCAAACCCGATCAACATGGAAAAGTCACGTGTTGATATTTGGACAACAGTTCTGCATGAGCTCCCAGCTAACAGCCAACATCAGCCAACCGGACACGTGAATGAGTGAGTTTTGAGTTTATTCTAGCCCCCAATCTTTGAACCACCCCAGCTGACACTGAGTTGAGCAGAGATAAACCGTCCCCTCTAAGTTCTTTCCAAATTTTTTTTTTTTGTTTTTGGAGACGAAGTCTTGCTCTGTCGCCCAAGCTGGAGTGCAGTGGCACAATCTCACCACACTGCAACCTCTGCCTCCTGGGTTCAATCTTCACCGGGAAGCCATTTCATTTGCCGTATGAAGAAGCTAGAAAGGAGAAACTTTTATTTTCAAACCCAGCAATTCCTGGCCCCTCTATATTTCACAGTTCTCTTTCACTTCTCTCTTTCTCTTGAAGTTTACTATACTCAGTGAGAAAAACCAGGCAGCTTCTTCAACACTTTTCCCAAAAATCTCCTTAGATAGACGGTTCAGTTAACTTGGTATATTTTCTATTCTCCATGTTACCACAGGTGACAGTGTTGCTAAACTTTTTGCTGCTATATGACAGCTCTCAGTAACATTTTCCTCGCTTTCCCATAAGCCCTAACCAATAACTTCTTCAAGAACCATGAGGTTTCCACTAACAGTCTCTTGAAGACTCTCAAATTCTGCCTGCCACCCAGTCCTGAAGCCATTGCCACACGTTAGCAGTTTTTGCTGTGCTACCAAACTCTGTTCCAGTTATCTATTGCTGCATAACAAACCACCCCAAAATTTAATAAATTAAAACAGTAACAACATCTATTTATTCATGAATCTACAATTTGAGGGCTGGGTGAGGTGGCTTTCGCCTATAATCCCAGCACTTTGGGAGGCTGAGGTGGGTGGATCACCTGAGATCAGGAGTTCGAGACCAGCCTGGCCAACATGGAGAAACCCTGTTCCTACTAACAAAAATTAGCCAGGTGTGGTGGTGTGCACCTGTAGTACCAGCTACTCGGGAGGCTGAGGTAGGAGAATCGCTTGAACCCGGGAGGTGGAGGTTGCAATGAGAGGAGGTAGCACCACTGCACTCCAGCCTAGGTGACAGAATGAGACCCTGTCTCGGGAAAAAAAAAAATAAAGAAAAATATGGTTCAAAAATAAAGTGAGTTTATTTTTGGGCATGACTATAAGACTCTTTGCTGAGACCTCAGAAAGTCCATAAGGTGTTGTTTCATAGGCCCTTTCAAGCAGACAAAAGGCCTAGCAACTTTTTTGTTTGTTTGTTTGTTCCTTCTTTATTTGTTTTCAACACACCATTGCTGGCTTGAAAGGCCTACAGATCTCAAGGGAATTATTGGACCGCAGCTTTAGGAGAAGGGAGAGAAGGGCTAAAGGAGATTTATTGGTATGGGTTTTGCCTAATGGAGTTAGTTATAAATTGATTAATAAGAAGACTATATATACATATTTTAAAAGAATTAGAATTAGCTTGGAGTGAAAGGGACATTCAGGCCTTTGGATTCCAGGCTTCTAAGAGCAGGAAGCAATCTAAAAAGACTGTCACTCAGCTGCAAACATGGGCTACTTTTTTTTTTTCTTTTTTTTGTTTTTTTGAGATGGAGTTTCGCTCTTGTTGCCCAGGCTGGAGTGGCATGGTGTGATCTCGGCACACCTGCAACCTCCACCTCCCAGGTTCAAGCGAGATTCTCCTACCTCAGCCTCCCGAGTAGCTGGGACTACAGGTACGCGCCACCACACCTGGCTAATTTTGTATTTTTAGCAGAGACAGGGTTTCTCCATGTTGGTTATGCTGGTCTGGAACTCCAGACCCCAGGTGATCTGCCCACCTAGGCCTCCCAAAGTGCTGGGATTACAGATGTGAGCCATTGCACCCAGCCCAACATGGGCTACTTTTAATGGAAAAGAAAGAATGGCTCAGAAGGTGGGACCGAGAGTGCAGTGGGTGGAGCCAAAAGCAAGGTGGACAACTTCCAGGTGTAGGACCAAGCCCTATCAAGGAACTGGCAACATACGCTCAGCTGGATTTCAGAATCGCTGTGCGCCAGTGGCTGCTGTGTGCCTCCCATTTCCCCCCTTTTTGAACAGAAGCGTCTGCAGCGATTATCCTGTGCTTGCTCCACTATTGTACAATATATTGGGTGCAGTGAGCAGAGAGGCAGCTTGTCCTTTGATTCCCAAGTCTTCAGGTGGAGAGGAACTGCACTGCAGGGGCTCTACTCCAGGAACAGCACCCAAGGAGCCTCAGCCACTCCTGCACCTGATTTATATGTCAAGATCATGGACCTTGAGCCCCAGCCTGATGCTACAGGAGATACAATGTTTAAGGGGTTTAGGGCAGGGGAGTGAGTCTACTTTGCATGTAGGGGAAAATGTAGGTAATGTATGTCCAACGGGCAAATTGTGATGATTTTAAAATATGTCCACAAATTCTATGATATTCTTCTCAGCAGAAGGTAGAGCCTAATTCCCCTTCCCTTGAATCGTGGCTGGCCTCAGCAACTAACTTTTAACCCATAAAATATGGCAGAAGTGAATCTGTAAGATTTCTCCGAGGAGGTCACCAAAGGGGACACAGCTTTTGCCTTCTTCTCTTCTCTCTGGGGATGTTTACCTTCGGAACCCAGCCAGCACTGTGTGAAAAAGCCAAGGAGCCCCATGGAAAGGTCAAGTGGAGGGGCTGTGGCCATAGGCCCTGCTGAGCTCCCAGCACCAACTAGCTGACCTGTGAGATTTCAGATGATTCCAGCCACCAGCCTCAAATCACCCCTGCTGATGCCAAGAGAAGCAAAGACAAACTGTCCTTCTCAAGCCCTGCCCAAATTACAAATTAATGAGCAAAATAAATGCAGTCATTATGTTAAGGAACAAAGTTTAGAGTGATTTGTTATGCAGCAACAGGTAACCAGATATTGATATGCAAATGCCTACTCAGAATATCCACATTATCGGTCAGGTACAGTGGCTGATACCTATAATCCCAGCACTTCAGGAAACTGAGATGGGATCGTTTGAGACCAAGACCAGCCTCAGCAACACAGTGAGATCCCATCTCTATAAAAATTAAAAAATTAGCAGGGTGCAGTGGCACATACCTGTGGTTCCAGCCACTTGGGAGGTTGAGGTGGGAGGATTGCTGAGCCGAGGTGGTTGAGGTTGCAGTGAGCCATGATCATGCTACTGCACTCCAGCCTAGGTAACAGAGCAAGACCCTGTCTCCAAAGAAAGAAAGAAAAAAAATCCACATATTGAAATACAATCTTGCAGCAGTTGCAACATTTTATACATTCTGAATTACAATGGCTTCATGGTCCCCAGCTTTATCACTTACTAATTGTGGGACCTTCAGCAAGTCAGTCTCCTGAGCTTTAGTTTCTGTAGCTGTAAAGTAAAGATTAGAATACCTGTCATTTTATTTTTCCAGCTTTATTGAGGCATAATTGACATATAAAACTATATATATATATATTCTTTTTCTCTTTCTTTCTCTCTCTCTTTCTTTCTTTCTTTTTTTTCTTTCTTTCTTCTTTCTTTTTTTTTGAAATAGGGTCTTGATCTGTTGCCCAGGGTGGAGTGAAGTGGCACAACCATAGCTCACTACAGCCTTGACTTCCTGGGTGCAAACAATCCTCCTGCCTCAGCCTCCCAAAGTGCTGGGGTTACAGATGTGTGCCACCATGCCTGGCCAAAATTATATATATTTAAGGAGTACAGTGTGATGACCAATATACTATACATTGTGAAATGATTACCACAATCAAGTTAGTTAACACATTCATCACCTACAAAGCCTACCACTTGTGTGTGTGTTTAGTGAGAACACGTAAGATCTACTGTCTTAGCAAGTTTTAAGTACACAATACCATATCATTAACTAGAGTTATAGGACTTTCTCCTTAGTTCAGCTGAAAGCCTAGTTCTTGTCACATGGCCATGAGAGATTAGGTTCACAGACAATTTGGAGGATGAGAAAAATGGAATTTATTAGGCAAAAAGGAAAAAAAAAAAGGGAAACGGACTCTCGGCAGAGTGAGAGTCCTGCTAGCTGGTTTTCCAGAATCACAGATTGAATTCCAGGTTCCACCCTGGAACCGGAGAGGCCAGCTCCTCTCTGCCTGCAAATGGGGCGAAATTCCGGAGGCTCCACCCCAGTGCGCACTCCTTGGCTGTCTCAGTCACCATGTTGTATATCAGTACTTGTCTTATTTTAGAAAATCAACTGTGAAAGCCATGTAGCAAGAAGAAAAATGGTAATATATCGTAGGCTATTGTTCTGTGAAATGGCCATATATGCAAAGCTGCTCCCAAATGCTGAAGAGCCAAGAAACCAAAGAAGGTGGCCAACAAATCCAGTGTGTCAGTAAAGGGTATTTTATTGGGGAACTTACAGACAGAAGCGTGGTCTTGGGCAGCAGCAAGACAGGTAGATCTCTGCACTGTTATTGAACAGGCAAGAAGGCTGTGCGTCATGTCCTATAATTTGTGTGATAACATCAAAGTTGACATGTTCTTAGACTAAGGACAGCAAATAAAGTAGGAAGCAGGAGGCATTCACGGGACTGGAGCTAATCAGAAATCAACCGGACAGGTTAGCATCTAAGAGGGATCCACTTTTGTCTCCATAGTTATAACGCTAAAATCAAATGATTACAACTTTAAGTGTGTATAGAAGAGAAGTAGAGGGATTAGAGGAGTGGGTGGGGATGATTTTTTCTTCCATTACCCAAATTTTCTATAATATTTTTACTTTAGTAATCCAAAGAAATGCATATATTTTAAAATTTTTTTATTGTGCATTTCCAGTCCATACCCAGTTAGTTCTTTTCACTGACCTCCCTTCCTGTTAAATCGGGTGAAGTGGCTTGGAAGAGGAGCAGGGATGAAGCAGTATCCTATTTCTTGGAGCTTAGGGATCAACAGAGAATTAACTCTAGGACCCAGATTGCCTGCCTTCCCAACCTATGCCCAATTCCTTGCCCTGTAACCCTCCAATACTAGTTAGTTCTCACCTATATAAGCTGAGTATTGGATCCAGTGCCACATTAAATGCCCATTATTTGTGTAAGCAGAAGTTGCAGCTTTCTGAGCTTAGAGGCGATGTCATCCAGTGGTTGGAGGAGTTGGTCAAAATGCATGGGTTGGACACCTACCTCCACCATGTATTGCCTGGGGGCTTGGCAGATGTAATTAAGGACCTCAAGGTGAGATCATTCTGGATCAGGTGGGCCCTAAATCCAATGACAAGTGTCCTTCTAAGACAGGAAGACACAACAGAGAGCAGGAGGCCATGTGAAGACAGAAACAGAGATTCACAAGCCAAGGAATGCCTTGGGCCACCAGAAGCTGGAAGAAGGAAGGAACACATTCTCTCTTAGAGCCCCAGAGAGAGCCCAGCCCAGCCCACCTCTTGATTTCAGAGTTCTGGCCTCCAGAACTCTGAGAGAATAAATTTTCGTTTTATTAAGTCACCCAGTTTGTGGTTGTTTGCTACGACAATTCTGGGAAATTAATATGATGGATGGGTCTCACAATCCTAATACTGAAAGAAAAAAATCCAAGTTACAGAAAACACGGATACCATCTCAACAGCGTTTCAGAAACGTGAAACCCGTACATTGTACCGTTTAGGAACACATATGTATCGGCAAAAGCGTAATGAAACAAATGGGAATGATGAACACCAAATTTAGAGAAGTGGAAACTGTAAAGAGAAGGAAGGGAATACAGCTGAGGGGGCACAAAGGCTTCACCTGTTTGGATGGTAATGCGTTTCCCAAGCTGAGTGGCAGAGTCAAGTAGAATCAGTATCATAGGTTTACACCTTTGTGTAGGACTTAACTATTTCATTACAATAAAATTTAAAAGGGAAGAAATGAAAAAGGACAAAAAGGAAGGTTAATAGCACATTGAAGATGGGGGAGCTTCTTTCTTGGATAAACATACAACCATTCAAGGTCAAAGCGGGATGATTTGGTGCATATGTATCTCCTGCTACTTAATAACCAGGTGAAATTCAGTTTGTTAATATTCAGTGTTCTGATGTTGCTTATAAATAATTCCAACAGTAACCTTTTCATTGGAAAAACACCTGTACAGTGCCAACTCTGATTACTCCCTGTGGATATTGCTTAGCTAAAAATTAATATATCATACTTTCTAGAATGACAGACTGTGGGCTGGAATAAGAGAAAACAGTAATTTATAAGATGGAGTAATTATTGGAGGATTCAGGTACCATTTACTGACTTTTTTTCTTTATCCTGAAGCCAACAAAATTATCGAGTCCACATTCTCAGTCTTTTATTAGCCTTTATCTTAGGTTGTCTATCAAAAACAATATTTCTGTGGATTAATAAACACCACAAACACATAATAAACTGCACAGGCCCCTGGTGTTCCTAGGCAATACGTGAGCTAAGCTGAAGACCATCAAAGTGAGCTGGCCAGCGCTTGCTACCTCGGCGTGGCTGAGGCCTCCTCGCTGGCTGCACTACCGATAATATGCACGAGGTGGCAGCAACGTCACGGCCGCCAGCCCGGGGCCTCCACGGGCGACTGAGGCTGCGCAGTTGACTTCCTCATCACCAACAGGGCAGTCTTGGTTTCAAAACCAGATCTGGTTGTTTCTTTGAGCGCTAGGATTTAGACAAACATTGTGATTATTTTCAATTAAAAATTATTCATGCCAAACATACAACCATAATTCGATATCTAGTATAAGTAGCCTTCTCTTTCCTTTTTTTTTCCGGACACTCAATGGTGAAATGCTTCATTACTTTAAAAACATGCCCAGGCCGAACGATGGGGACTCTAAAAAGATCAGCGGTTTGCCAGGGGTTGGGGAGGAGGGAGATGAATAGGTGGAGCACGGAGGATTTTTAAGGCAGTGAAAATACTCTGTATTATAGCATAATGAGTTCTATGTAGTTATAAATTTGTCCAAACACATAGAATGTACACCATAAAGAGTGAACACATAGAATCCCAGCACTTGGGACTAAGGTAAGTTGTGGACTTTGGGTGATAAGGTAACAAATGTACCCTCTGGGGAATGTTGATAAGGGGGGAGGCAGTGCATATGCAGGGCAGGGGTGGGGATATGGGAAATCTGTGTACCTTCTACTCAATTTTGCTGTAAACATAAAACTGCTCTAAAAAAAATAAAATCTTTTAAAAATGCCTATTTCCAAAAGTGTGCTAGGTATGTCAACATTTAAAAAATAATGACAATTATATAGGAAAGGTACCCTGAAAATCTATATCTACAATATTCAAAGAGAAACAGTCTTCCAAATAATTAGCATTTTATGAAGGACAGAATCATTTGACAGCAGGTAAATTACAACTGGCTCCAGCCATCTCTTCTTGTAGGGCATTATTGCTAAAATTCAGAATCAGCTGAGAAATGGCACATCAAGGCTGTGTCTTTCTGTGCCAGATTTGGAAGCTCTGAACCCTTGTCAGCCCAACTTCTGAAGGATGATTAGATGGTGGCCTTCAGAATTTTCTTAGCAGATGCTGCCTAATTTTCTGCCTCATTTTGTGGAATCTAGGATGTCTCTTCTGTATAATGAACTTAATACCACTCCTACCGACCTACAGGTTACTGTGAGACTCAAATGGAATAATCTAGATTCTCAATAAATATTTGTTGAATAAATGATAATGAGAGGACTTTAAAAACTGTACTTTTATAGACTACCAAAAATACATAATGATAGAGTTTTGTAACTGTGATATAATGAGAAATATGTATTTGTTCTAACTCCAATTCCTGGCACAGAGCTTCTAAAACCCTTGGAATTTTCCAAGTGATGGGGTGAGAGGAGTGTCTTTTGTTCTTCATAATAAGCATTTCAACCACACCTGAGTCCACCACACCTGAGTCCACTTTAGAGGATGGGGCTGGTTGCCAGAGGAACCCACCATGTGATTAGAGGGTTGGAACTTTCAGTCCCACTCCCAGACCTCTGGGGAGGGAAGAGAGAAGGTGGCCATTGAGTTCAGTCACAAATGGCCAATGATTTAATCAAGCATGCCTACGTAGCGGAGCCTCCATAACCACTCTAGATGACGGGGTCTGGAGAGCTTCCAGGTTGAATATATCCATGTGCCAGGAGGGTGGTGCACCCCAGACTCCACAGGGACACAAGCTCCTGTGTTCAGGATCCTTCCCGACCGCCCCCTAGGTACCTCTTCATCTGACTGTTCATTTGTTGTCTTCACTATATCCTTTATAATAATCTGGCAATAGCAAAGTGTTTCCCTAAGTTCTGTGTGCCGGTGAGGTGTCAGAACCCTGGCATCAGAAAGTAGTTGACTCCTGGTTTGGTAGGAAGATTTTACTGACAACAGTATAGGTTTGAAAAAAGAAAGAAGACCAGGCGTGGTGGCTCATGCCTGTAATCCCAGCACTTTGGGAGGCCAAGGCGGGCAGATCACCTGAGGTCGGGAGTTCGAGACCAGCCCAACCAACACGGAGAAACCCCGTTTCTACTAAAAATACAAAATTAGCCGGGCATGGTGGCGCATGACTCTAATCCCAGCTACTCGGGAGGCTGAGGTAGGAGAATCACTTGAACCCGGGAGGCGGAGGTTGCGGTGAGCTGAGATCGCGCCATTGTACTCCAGCCTGCGCAGCAAGAGCAAAACTCCGTCTCAAAAAAAGAAAGTTAGAAAGAAAGAATACTGCAGAATAGTGCAGCGGGGCATCTCAGAAAGAGGACTGAGCGCACCCCACACTGCTTTTTTTTTCTTAGGGGTATTTATGGACCTTAAGGCAGGAGCTGAAGGGTAATTTGGGCCATATTAGCCTTGTAGGTCATGATAAATGATTACATTTGTAGACATTTTGGTGCCTTAATGTCAGCAAGGGTTGCACACTGAGTTTCCGCATGGCATTCTGGAGATGTATAGAAATTCTAGTTACTTATACATTTTAAGTTGAAAAAGGCCTGGAACCAGAAGCTGACTTTAGATACTAGGGAAGTTTAATTACTTCTAAATTCCCCAGATAAGGAGTTTTGGCTGTTTGATAGTCACCAGGTGTCTTTGCTCCCTTCTAAGTTCCTCAGATAAGGAGTTTTTGTCTCCAGGGTTTGCTCAATGGTCACCAGCTGATTTCACTCTCGTCGCTGTGAGGGGCTAGAGCAAAAGGTGGAACCTAAGTGGGACATGGAAGTCTGGTTTGTAGCCAAGTCAGACAGAAGCGTGAGTCACCCAGGGACCCCTGACTTGCAACTGGCATCTGAAGTTGTAAGTGGGCAGTTTTGTGGGACTGGGTACTTAACCTGTGGGGTCTGTGTGAACTCCGGGTAGTGTCAGAATTGAATTAAATGGTAAGACACAAAGTTGGTGTCAGAGAGTTGGAAAATTTGTTAGTATGAGGGGAAAAAAACCCCATGCATTTGGTGTCAGGAGTATCATGAGAAACATTTTTTTCCTTTAGTAATTAAAACACATATTGTAGGAATGATTTTTTCTTTTTTTTTTTTTTTTTTTGAGACGGAGTTTCGCTCTTGTTGCCCAGGCTGGAGTGCAATGGCGTGGTCTCGGCTCACTGCAACCTCCGTCTCCCGGGTTCAAGCGATTCTCCTGCCTCAGCCTCCCGAGTAGCTGAGATTAGAGTCATGCGCCACCATGCCCGGCTAATTTTGTATTTTTAGTAGAAACGGGGTTTCTCCGTGTTGGTCGGGCTGGTCTCGAACTCCCGACCTCAGGTGATCCGCCTGCCTCAGCCTCCCAAAGTGCTGGGATTACAGGCTTGAGCCACCACGCCCAGCAGGAATGATTTTCAAAAATGAAAGAACTATGAATATCCTTCCAACCATTACTGAACAGCGGTTCTCAACACTGGGAAGGTTTTTAAATGTCCCAGTGCTCAGGGGTTTTTTGCCGGCCAGCAGGTGAGAAGCATCCATTGTTCTAGTGGTGTTTGGTTGGTGGGTTGAAGGTCCTCTGGCAATGGTATCATACAGTCAGCATTGACAGGGAAGTTAATGTCATTGTTGAATATTGGCCTTTTTTATGACTGACTTTATACAAAATAAATACACACTTAATGCAGAAAATGTGAAAAGCACAATCAAAACAGAAGTGTTACCGGAAAGCGGTCCCAATCCAGACCTCAAGAGAGGGTTGTCGGACCTCGTGCAAGAAAGAATTTGGGGTGAGTCCATAGAGCCGAGTGAAAGCAAGTTTATTAAGAAGGTAAAGAAACAAAAGTGCTGGGCACAGTGGCTCACACCTGCTGGGAGGCCCAGGCAGGAAGATGGCTTGAGCCCAGGAGTTCAAAACCAGCCTGGGCAACATAGCGAGACCCCAATCCCTAAAAATAAAAAAGAAAAGAAAAAGAAACAAAAAATGAAAGAAAAGAATGGCTACTCCATAGGCAGAGCAGTGGCATGGGCTGCTCAGCTGAGTATACTTACATTAATAGTTACTTCTTGATTATGTGCTAAACAAGGGGTGGATTGGATTATTCATGAGTTTTCCAGGAAAGGGATGGGCAATTCGCTGCTGTGAGAGTTCCTCCCACTTTTAGACCATATAGGGTAACTTCCTGACATTGCCATGGCATTTGTAAACTGTCATGGGGCTGGTGGGAGTGTCTCTTAGCATGCTAATGCATCATAATTAACACATAATGAGCAGTGAGGATGACCAGAGGTCACTTTCATCACCCTCTTGGTTTTGGTGGGTTTTGGCCGGCTTGTTTGCCACAACCTGTTTATCAGCAGGGTCTTTGTGACCTGAATCTTGTGGTGACCTCCTATCATCCTGTGACTAAGAATGCCTTAACCTCCTATTAATGCAGCCCAGTAGGTCTCAGCCTCACTTTACTCAGCCCCTATTCAAGATGGAGTCGCTCTGGTTCAAACACCTCAGACAAAAGCACTCCAAATCTGTCACTGCTGTTAATATGTTGGCGTGTGCCCTTGCAGGGTTTTTTTTCTTGTGCATAAATATGTATTTCTAAAATGAAAATGGAATCCTGCATGTCTTATGGCCAGCTTTGTTCACTCAGGAACACAATGTGGACATTTCCCCATGCCAATACTTTTTTCTATGACACAGTTTTTTAATTAATTAATTTATTTAGAGACAGAGTCTCACTCTGTTGCCCAGGCTGGAGTGCAGTGGTGCTATCTTGGCTCACTGCAACTTCCGCCTCCTGGGTTCAAACCCGATTCTCCTGCCTCCGTCTCCTGAGGAGCTGGGATTACAGGCACCCACCATCATGGCTGGCTAATTTTTGTATTTTCAGTAGAGATGGTGTTTCACCATGTTGGCCAGGCTGGTCTTGAACTCCTGACCTCAAGTGATCTGCCTGCCTTGGCCTCCCAAAGTGCTGGAATTACAGGAGTGAGCCACCACGCCGGCCTTATGACAGTTTTTAATAGATATTTTGCAGCTATTGGATGCACAGTTTCTTTAATCTCTTATTATTTAATATTAAGTTGTTTTCAATTATTCTGTGATAAAAACATTAAAAGTTCCTTCAATACACTTTTTTTTTTTGCATACAGCCCTGATAATTTCTTTGAATAATTACTTTTTTTTCTTTCTTTTTTTTTTTTTTTGAGATAGGGTCTCCCTCTCATAGCCCAGGCTGGAGTGCAGTGGCATAATCTCAGCTTACTGCAGCCTCGACTTCCCAAGCTCAGGTGATGCTCCCACCTCAGCCTCCCAAGTAGCTGGGACTACAGGCCCTTGCCACCATGCTGAGCTATTTTTTTTTTTTTTTTTTTTTGTAGTTTTAGTAGAGACAGGGTTTTGCCATGTTGCCCAGGCTGTTCTGAACTCCTGGGCTCAAATGATGCACCTGCCTCAGCCGCCAAAAGTGCTAGGATTACAGGCATGAGCCACCACAGCCAGCCATTCCCTCACTTTTAGTATTTACTCCTGACCAGTTTGGGCAGGATTCTAGATGAGTCAGTGATAGGAAGCTGAGCTTCTTGAAGGTACTCATCAATGAACTACCTCCTCATTTCAGCAGTTCCTCCAGAACAGCTGGCTTTCCTAGCCAATACTATCATGTAGGGTGGCTCAAAATTAGCCAAATATTCACTAAACAGGGGTTCTCAAATTTTGATGTGCATACAAATCACCAGGGGATCTGGTCAAAAATGCAGATTCAGCCCCTGCCTCTCTGGAGTGGGGCCTGAGATTCTGCACCGTTTAACCAGCTCCCAGGGCATGCTGAGACGCTGGTCAGTGGACCACACCTGAGGAGCACAGGCCGCGGCTCTATCACATTAGGCTGAGTATACCTGTGTTTCATCTTTGAGTTTCCCAACTGTATAAACGAAATGACTTCCAAAATAAAGGGGCAGGCTCAAATCAAATATCTATTTTTGATATGTTTCTTCAAGTCAGTTCATTTGAACATTGTTTTTGAAAGAAAAATTTTTTTGCTCTTTATTTTTAATCCTCTCTAATTTCCAGGTGACTACAGGCAGCTTTTCTTTAAACATTAGTAATTATATAAAAGAGAAATTCTAAGATTTTATAGCTGAAATTGATATATCAAAGATTTCAAAAGTGAACAAAGCAGAAATATTCTTTCATCCATTCATTATAGGAATCGTTTCACTTTCATGGCTGGCTTGTCTGAAGTATAATGAACATGCTTAGTAACTGGTAGAAAGTTTTGGGAAACATGAGTTTTTTGGGGTTTTTTTTGGCCAGATTAAAATAAATACTGCTCAGTTTTTGTTTTAATATTTGGAATATTGACACTTGGCATTTAAATAACTTAAATTCTTTTTTTAACTTTCATTTTAGATTTGTGGTACAGTAGTAGCTTTGTTATATAGGTAAGCTCATGCCACGAGGGTTTGTTGTACAGATTATTTCATCACCCAGGTGCTAGGCCTAGTACCCAATAGTTATTTTTTCTGCTCCTCTCCCTCCTCCCACTCTCCATCCTCAAGTAGGCCCCAGCGTCTGTTATTCCCCTCTTTGTGTCCATGAGTTCTCATCATTTAGCTCCCACTTATAAGTGAGAACATGTGGTATTTGGTTTTCTGTTCCTGCGTTAATTTGCTAAGGATAATGCTTCCGGCTCCATCCATGTTCCCACAAAAGACGTGATCTCGTTCTCTTTTTATGACTGCATAGTATTCCATGGTGTATATGTACCACATTTTGTTTATCCAATCTGCCACTGATGAGCATTTAGGTTGGTTCCATGTCTTTTTTTTTTATTCCATGTCTTTGCTATTGTGAACAGTGCTGCAATGAATATTCGCGTGCATGTGTCTTTATGGTAGAATAATTTATATTCCTCTGGGAATATACCCAATAATGGGATTGTTGGATTGAATGGCTGTTCTGTTTTTAGCTCTTTAGGAATTGCCACATTGCTTTCCACAATGGCTGAACTAACACCAACAGTGTATAAGTGTTTCTTTTCTCTGCAACCTCGCCAGCATCTGTTATTTTTTTGGCTTTTTAATAACAACCTTTCTGACTGGTATGAGATGGTATTTCATTGTGGTTTTGATCTGCATTTCTCTAATAATCAGTGATGTTGAGCTTTTTTTAATATGCTTGTTGGCCACATGTATGTCTTCTTTTGAGAAGTATCTGTTCATGTCTTTTGCCCACTTTTTAATGGGGTTGTTTTTTTCTTGTAAATTTGTTTACGTTCCTTATAGATGCTGGATATTAGACCGTTGTCAGATTCATGGATTGCAAAAATGTTCTCCCATTCTGTAGGTTTTCTGTTTACTTCATTTACTCTTTGCTGTGCAGAAGCTCTTAAGTTTAATTAGACCCCATTTGTCAATTTTGCTTTTGTTGCAATTGCTTTTGGCATCTTCATCATGAAATCTTTGCCAGTTCCTGTGTCCAGAATCGTATTGCCTAGGTTGTCTTCCAAGGTTTTTATAGTTTTGGGTTTTACATTTAAGTCTTTAATCCATCTCTTTGTGTGTGTGTGTGTGTGCGTGTGTGTTTTGTTTGTTTGTTTTGTTTTGTTTTGAGACAGAGTCTTGCTCTGTCACCCAGGCTGGAGTGCAGTGGCTCACTGCAACCTCCACTTCCCGGGTTCAAGCAATTCTCGTGCCTCAGCCTCCCAAGTAGCTGGGATTACAGGTTTGCACCACCATGCCCAGCTAACTTTTGGCATTTTTAGTAAAGACAGGGTTTCACCATGTTGGCCAGGCTGGTCTCGAACTCCTGGCCTCAAGTGATCCACCCGCCTCAGCCTCCCAAAGTGTTGGGATTACAGGCGTGAGCCACCGCACATGGTCGCTTTAATCCGTCTTGACTTGATTTTTGTATATGGTGTAAAAAGGGAAACGTTTAAATTCTTAAAAATTTAAATTGATAAAAACTGTATAATTTATTGTGTGCAACCTGTTATTTTGAAATATGTATACATTGTGGAATGGCTAAATCAAGCAAATTAACATATGTATTACTTCACATATTTTTTGATGGTAAGAACACTCAAAACCTACTCTCTTAGCAATGTTTAAGAATATAATACATTGGCTGGGAGCAGTGGCTCATGCCTGTAATCCCAGCACTTTGGGAGGCAGAGGTGGGCAGATTACCTGAGGTCAGGAGTTCGAGACCAGCCTGGCCAACATGGTGAAACCCTGTCTCTACTAAAAATACGAAAATTAGCCAGGCATGGTGGCACACGCCTGTAATCCCAGCTACTGGGGGGACTGAGGCAGGAGAATTGCTTGAGCCCAGGAGGTGGAGGTTGCAGTGAGCCGAGATTGTGCCACTGCACTCCAGTCTGGCTGACAGAGTGAGAGACTCTGTCTCAAAACAAACAAACAAAACAAAACAAAAAACAATACATTGTTATTAAGTATGGTCACCATGTTGCACAATGCATCTCTTGAACTTATTCCTCCTATCTAACCGATATTTTGTATCCTTTGACCAACATCTCCCCAGATTCCCACTCCTTCCCAGCCTCTGGTAACCACCAACTACTCTCTGCTTCTATGACTTTGACTTTTTAAGAGTCCACTTATGAGTGAGATTATGCAGTACTTGCCTTTCTGTGCCTGGTTTATTTCACTTAACATAATGTCCTCCAGGATCATCCATGTTGTCAAAAATAAACAGATTTTTTTTAAAAGGCTGAATAGTATAAATATTATTACAACAGAAAAATGCTCCAGGCGCGGTGGCTCACGCCTGTAATCCCAGCACTTTGCGAGGCCAAGGCGGGTGGATTACCTGAGGTCAGGTGTTTGAGACCAACCTGGCCCAACATGGTGAAAACCCCATCTCTACTAAAAATACAAAAAATTAGCCGGGCATGGTGGCAGGTGCCTGTAGTCTCAGCTAGTCAGGAGGCTGAGGCAGGAGAATTGTTTGAACCTGGGAGGTGAAGGGTGCAGTGAGCCAAGGGTGCAGTGAGCCAAGGGTGCAGTGAGCCATTGCACTCCAGCCTGGGTGACAGAGCAAGACTAAGCCTAAAAAAAAAAAAAAAAAAAAAAAACAGAAAAGAAAAGAAAAATGCATGTGCATTGTAGAAAATTTGGACACATTGAAAAGTAGAAAATAAAAATTACTCCTGTATCTCCTTACCCAGATACAATCATTATTAAAAATCTGTAACAAACACCTCCAGATGCCTCAGCAAATTAGGGAAATTCTCATTTCTTCTGTCTCATAAAATTCTACACCTCATTTCCAGACACAAATCTTGTCCAATTTCACTGCCCCTTATCCTAGGAAGCAGGCATAGTCAATCCAAGACACTCTTAAGAACTACTTCTTTACTTTTCTTTTTCCTTTTTTCTTTTTCTCTTCTATTTTTTTTTTTCCAGACAGAAAAAAATGGCTTTGTCACTCAGGCCATAGTGCAGTGGTGTGATCTCAGCTCACTGCAACCTCTACCTTCCAGGTTCAAATGATCCTCCTGCCTAAGCCTCCTGAGTGGTTGGGACTACATGCATGCACCACCACGCCCAGCTAGTTTTTCTATTTTTGGTAGAGATGGGGTTTTGCCATGTTGCCCAGGCTTGCCTCAAACTCCTGGGCTCAGGCAATCTGCCTGTCTCAGCCTTCCAAAGTGCTGGGATTACAGGCATGAGCCACTATCCCCAGCCAAGAATGATTTCTTCTTTATATCCTTTCTGAGTCATATAAAATATGTTTTACTTGGGGAAAGCTATTAAATCATCTAAAATTTTATATTTATTTTCATAGTGAAATTACTCCACTTGTTTTACAAGTGGAAATTTAATTGTTTAATAGTTTCTGAGTTTTTTTCCCCAACATCAGTTTAGCAACCCCTCCTTAGTAAGATGGTAGCCCACCCTACAACAAGCTAATGAAGCACATTAAACCCTGCTTGTCAACTCACATACTGTGCCCAATCAGTTAAAATACTAGAGGGTACTGCAGAATAATTACTAGAACTAAGATTTGATCAGTGTTTCAGGATTTACATTGTGTCCATATGCAGACATTTCACATGCACTTTATTATGTTGTCACCATGGCAACTCTGTGAAACACTAGTTTTATCTCTGTTTTATAAGTGAGGAAACTGAGATTCAAAGACATTAAGTGATTTTCTAAAAATCTCATGTTCAGGAAGTGGAACAGAAAATGGTACCTATTAAAATTTTCTATTACCGATTAGTTTTTGTTCCTAATTTCCTATTCAAATGTTCAGAATTGAAATGCCTTTATTTAAAAATAGAAGATACATACTGGAACTATGTACACTATCTTTTCAATTTTTCTATAAATGTAAAACTAAAATAAAAGGTTTATTTACATGTAAAATAAGATATATAATCTTACAAAATTACATACACTGTGTTAAAATATTTTTTATGTAAATAGTTCCTTCCTAACTCCATTTCTGTCTTTACTGCTTTTAAAATCTTGTGATTAGCCAGGAGTAGTGGCATGTGCCTGTAGTCCTAGCTACTCTCAAGGTTGAGGCAGGAGGATCACTTGAGCCCCGGAGTTCAAGGTCAGCCTGGGCAACAAGCGAGAACCCCATCTCTTAAAAAAAAAAAAATCCTGTGATGTTTGGCAAACACAGACCCCTGGTTAAAGGCTAGACCGCTGCGATCTTCCAGCTGACAGACCATAGCCCACAGAATCGAGAGTCTCTGGGTATGATGAAGCATCTCTTCCAATGTGGCCAAATACATTTCCCCATTAGGTCTCTAACTCTTTCAGCCCCAGAGAAGTGCTGGCTTCCATAAATAAAATTTCACTCCTTTTGGAAGATGAGTGTTCCTAGGGGTGATTGCCCTAGAACACTGGATGTACTTCAGGTCCCAACTCAACAAGCCTGTGCCCCTCACTGGCCAAGAGCCCACAGCATTGCCTCTGAATTTTCTCTAGAGTTTCATCGCAATGACTAGCTGGTCACTCTTCTGGTAGAAGTGGGGACCCCAGGAGAGGACTCCAAGTATCACTTGGCTTTCCTGATGACACTTAATGTCCCCTTTCTTTTAGTGGTAACAAAATCTAACTATTTAACAACCCTTGTTGTTAAAGAGGATCCCATCTTTGCCACCTCTTTTTCATCTTCTGTCTTCTGAGGATGGGTCTGCCAGATGTGTTCTCTGGACTTTTAGGAAATTGAATTTGGAGGAAAGGGAAGAAGATTGAGGACAAGAAGCACTCAGGTTAGTGGTGGTAGAGAAATTTCTCAGAGAAAACCCCTGCTTTTATCTGAGCACATGGCCTCCCAGAATCTCCAGCTTCCTTTGCAGCTAGGTGTGACCATATTAGCCAGATGACTAGGTTTTGGCCAATGGAATGCAAGTCAAAATAATGTGTATAACTTCTGGGTTATGCCTTTAAGATGAAGGGATATGATTCTCTTCTTTCGCTTTTTCTGCCAGCAGGAATATGGGAGTGGGAGTGGGTCATCTTGTTCATGAAGATAAAGGCAGCATCCAACACATCACAGAACAAGAGAGAAGAAACCTAAGCCCTTGACTACCTAGCAAAAGAAAGCCGCCATGTTTTCCCATGAGAGGAATAATCTTCTCACATGTTAAAGCCATGGATACCATTTCTTACATGCTTGAGTGGATTTCCACCCAATGTCATATCTGTCTCAGGCTCTGGGCCCTCTTGGCACCGCCTATCCCACTGTAATTAACTAGGCCAAGTTTAGGATAGTGCAAGGTACAATTTGTTCTACACTTTTTCTCTTGCTCCCCACCCTGTGGTTCTTAGACTATTTTCTCTATGAAAAGCATTACACAATGTTTTTTCCCTCCTTCTGTTCTCTGCTCTAAGCTTTCAGTCAATCAGTCACTCTCTCCCCCTCTCTCTAAGGCTCTTATTAAGCTCACCACCACCTTTGTACTGCTGGCATCTATTAAGGCTGCAATTCTGTGGTTCTGCTGCTCATTCCCAACTGACTTGTTACACAGTCAAATGGGGCAATTTATCCCCTTCAGAAAACTCCATGTCTTCTTCCATAGGAAAAGGACAGGCTCTCTCACATAAAACCACTGGAAAGATTACTTTCTCAAGGAAAACAAACACATTCTCGCTGTGATGTCTCATGACACAGCCACTCTTGGAAGAACTAACTGGATCTCAACAGGACAGATCCAAAGACCGAAACCAGCCCCACCCCATCCCCATAGGAAATCTTCTTATGGGGGATAAAGGGTCACTTGCTCAAGTCAGAGAAAATGGTATCTCCCTAAAGAGCAATCGACAGTCCAGCCAAGCTGTTGGCATGAGAAAGAGGCTGTGAGAATTACAGCAGCATCTTCCCAAGACAGCGGGGCATGGCCATGGGAACGCCAGGAATAAGCTATATTTGGAGAAATTGCCTTGTGTTTGGTATTAGGAGGTTTTGTCAGCAGATACCAGGACTCTGGGCATCAGGCAGAAGTTTAAAGACAGGATTTCAGGCCCTGGAGTAGTGATTCTTGACTGGAGGTTATTTTGTCTCCCCAGTACCTCAATGGCAAAATACCTCAATGGCACAGTAGGGTAAAGACATGGAAATAGGGCTGGGCATGGTGATGCATGCCAGTAATCCCAGCACTTTGGGAGGCCGAGGTGGGAGGATCGCTTGAGCATGGAAGGTTGAGGCTGCAGTAAGCCACATTGGCACCACTGTTTACTCTAGCCTGGGTGACAGAGTGAGATCATACTCAAAAACAACAAAAAAGAGAGATCAGAATGCTTATGACCAGAGGCAACTTGGCCAGGGCCTCCAGCAGCCCCACATCCACTTCTCACCCATCTGACTTGGCCTCTTCAGGGCTGAGTGTTTAAAATCTCTGAGGCCCACTCAGAACACACCAGATAGAAAGCTCTGCTATTGCCTTTTGGCTGGAACCTCCGTCTTCCAGTAATTCGCCAAAATGATGAACACGGGAAAAGAGGAGAGGCACCAGATATATGTTCTCTAGGCCTTTTAGAAAACATGGGGTTTTTCCTTTGGCCACGTATATGTGAATCTATGAGAAAGGTGATATTGTAGACATCAAGAAAATGGATACTGTTCAAAAAGGAATGCCCCACAAATGTTAACCATGGCAAAACTGGGAGAGTCTACAGTGTTCCCCAGCGTGCTGTTGGCATTGTTATAAACAAACAAGCTAAGGGCAAGATTCTTGCCAAGAAAATTAATGTGCATATTGAGCATGTTAAACATTCTAAGATCCCTGATAGTTTCCTGAAACACATGAAGGAAAATGATCAGAAAAAGAAGGAAGCCAAAGAGAAAGCTACCCGGGTTCAGCTGAAGTGCCAGCCTGCTCCACCCAGAGAAACACACTTTGTGAGAACCAGCGGGAAGAAGCCTGAGCTGCTGGAACCTATTCCCTATGAATTCATGGCTTAATAGATGTTTAAAATATCAAAGACCTCTGGACTGTAAAAATGTTTCTCTTCATTGAGTAGAAGTGTGGTGTCATCTCCCACAAAGATACATTTAAAGCAAATTTTAATTGTGTCCTAATTCATTGTGTAATATCTTTACTATTCTAATTTAAAGTTTTTCTTGCTGAAAGATGTGAGGTAGCTTATTGTGCAACAAATTACTCAATTGGTTAGAAAACGGGCAGATGTTATTTATGAACTGTTTGTACTGGTTTGAAGATAGTCCCTCTAAATCATCATGGGGCTGGGCGTAGTGGGTCGCACCTGAAATCCCAGCTCTTTGGGAAGCCCAGGAGGGCGGATCACTTGAGGCCAGGAGTTTGAGACCAGCCTGGCCAGCATGGCAAAGCCCTGTCTCTACTAAAAATATAAAAATTAGCTGGGCGTGGTGGCACATGCGTGTAATCTCAGCTACTGTGAGGCTGAGGCATGAGAATTGCTTGAACCCGAGAGGTGGAAGTTGCAGTGAGCTGAGATCACACCACTGGACTCCAGCCTAGGTGACAGAGCAAAACTCTATCTCAAAAAAAAAAAAAAAAAAAAAAAAAAAAAGAATTTTGGAAGAAATAAAATAATTTATAAAAAAAGACAGCTCTGCTATTATCACTAAATATATTTAATTACTAGCTATAATTTTTCCAACAGAGAAAACACCAGGCCTAGTTAGTTCAAAAGGTAAGCACAACCAAACATTCAAGAGATCAGTGCAATCATATGTGAAGTCTTGCAGAGAATAGAAAAAGAGAGATGAGCATCCAACTCATTATATAAGGCTAGTGTAATTTTGATACTAAAACCAGATAAAGACCTGGAAAAGAAACGTTCAAGCCAGTGTAATTTATTTGAAAATCCTTTTAAAAATTTAGCAAATCAAATCAGCAATGTATAAAGAAGTTAATCTATTGTGACCAAGATAGTTTATTCCTACAATAAAAGCTTAATTTCACATTAGAGTAATTTACCACATTATCAGATTAATGAAAAAATATTATTAGCTCAATAGATACAAAAAACAGCAATTGATTAAATCTAGTCATCAATGATTTTAAAAATTCTTAGTAAATGAAGGCTAAAAGGAAACTATCTAACATGATAAAGGGAAGTTGCAAAAATCTAACAGCACATATCACACTTAATGGTGAGACCTTAAAAAGCATTTTCTTTAAAACTAAGAACACGGTAAAGATGACTGTTCTCACCACTTCTGTAACATTGTACTAGGTGATCTAGCTTGCCCTTAAAATGGGAAAGAGGAATAAAAGGTATGAGGACCTGAAAGAAACAAACTATTCCTACTTGTGAATATCTTGCTAGGAAACTCAAAAACTCCATCAAAAAGCCATTAGACTTCATAGGAGCTTAGCAAGTCTGCCTTAAGTAAGGTCAATATACAAAATACAATTACACATGTATACTTCAGCAACAAATATTTAGAACACACAATTAAAGATGCCAATTACAACGGCAATTAAAAAAAAGACACCTTTGGAGTAAATCTAACAAAAATGTGAAGGCTTTTACAGAAAAAAATAATAAAAACTTCAGTAAAAGACAAAAAGAAGATACAAATAGTATTTCCCTAAAATAAGCTGTAGATTTAATGACTTTCTATTCACAGAACTTGACAAGCTGACCCTAAAATTTATATATTTTATATAGCAAAGCAAAGGGCCAAAGATAGCCAAAATAATCCTGAAGAAGAACAAGTGTCAGTAATTACACTACTACCAGGTATTAAGAATTGATATAAAATCATCATAATTAAGACTGTGATATAAGTTCAGAGATAGATCCATGGACCAAAACAGAATCTAGAATAAGACTTGTGAATAGATGAATAAACAGAAACCTCACCTATGACAAAACTGGCATTGCACATTAGGGGGAGGGAGGACTATTTAATAAAAATTAATTGATTAGCCATATAAGGGAAAAGCTAAACTGACTCCAACTTTACACTATACACAAAAGTCAATTTTAGATGGATAGATGACTTAAAGGGAAAATTTTTTAACTTTAGAAGAAAATGTAGAATATCATCTTTTTAACCTTGAGGGAAGGAAGGATTTCTTAATGCAAAACTGGAAACATAAATTCAATTACATTAAAATAAACAGGTCATGCACTGTGACTCCCACCTGCAATCCCAGCACTTTGGGAGGCTAAGGCAGGAGGATCACTTGAGCCCAGGAGTTTGAGACCAGCCTGGGCAACATAGTGCGACCCCCTCTCTAAAAAAAAATTACAAAAATTAGCTGGGTATGGTGGCACACACCTGTTGTCAAAGCTACTTGGGAGGCTGAGGCAGGAGAATCACTTGAGCCCAGGAGCTCAAGGCTGCAGTGAGCCGTGATTATGCCACTGGACTCCAGCCCGGGTGACAGAGTGAGACCCTGTCTTAAAAAATAAACTATGGCTTCTCCAAAGACATCAAGATACCAAGAGAGTGAAAACATAAGCTAAAAACTAGAGGAAGATACTCACCACACATATAATGGCCTTGGGGTTAGAACTGAGACTATATGAGCTCCTTTGAATCAATAAAAAAAATTTAATAGAAAAATAGAAAAACAACATGAATAGCATTTCACAGAAGAACAATTCTATGTGGTACACATTTGAAAATATGCTCAACCTCATTAACCATTTTATACCCTACAGCTTGGCAAAAATTAAAAAGACTGACAATAGCAAGTGTTGGTGAGAACTCATAATAATGGCAACTCTTATAGTCTGCTAGATAGTAATCTGGAACTATCTAGCAAGGTTAAACATGTGTATTACCCCTACCACTCAGCAATTTATCTCCTAGTTTGGTAAGCGGACTTCTAAGTTGGTCTGCAGGCATCTGCACCTTCTAGTATTCATGCCCACATGTAACTCCCTCCCTTAAATATGAGCTGCACCTAATGACTTGTGTCTAATGAGTAGAATACAGCAAAAGTGATAAGATGGCACTTCTGAGATTAGGTTTCAGAAGACTGCCTTCTCCTAACTCTCTCTCTCTCTGTTCTTCCTGATAACTTTAGAGAAGCACATTGTTGAAGCAAACTGCCCTCTGGAGAGACTGTCATGGCAAGGAATTGAGCATCCTCACCAATGAGGAAAGGAAGCCTGCAGCTCAATAGCCAAGGAGGAACTGGCCTTGCCAGCATTCATGTGAGTGAGCTTGGAAGTGGATTCTTCAACAGAGGATGATAGCAGCACCTGCTGCTCATAGCAGCCTTGTGAGAGCCCCAGAAGACCCAGCCAAGCCATGTCCAGATTCTTCACCCACAGAAACTGTAAGATAATGAATGTATATTGTTTTAATCTGCTGAATTTTGGGGTAATTGCTTATGCTGCAATAGATAATTGATAAGGTTTGGCTGTGTCCCCAACCAAAATCTCATCTCGAATTGTAATCTGAATTGTAATCCTCATGTGTTGGGGGTGGGACCTGGTAGGAGGTGATTAGATTATTGGGATGGCTCACCATGCTGTTCTAATGATAGTGAGTTTTCAAGAGATCTGATGGTTTTATGAGGGGCTTTTCTCCCCTTCTCTCCACACTTCTCTCTCCTGCCACCATGTGAAGAAGGATGTGTTTGCTTTCCCTTCTGCCATGATGATAAGTTTCCTGAGGCCTCACCAGCCATAAGGAGTTGTGAGTCAATTAAATCTTTTTTCGTTTATAAATTACCCAATCTTGGGCAGTTCTTCATAGCAGCATAAGAATGGACTAATACAATAATTAACACACCTGAGTATAAATCCTAGCACAGACCTTCCCAGCAGATGAGCCAAGGCATACTGGTATGCAAAATATGGATTACAGGTGAACCCAAGATATTGATCCTTTAACTACTGGGGATGCCAAGGGCAGGTGGGTCAGGTTGGGCCTGGGATTACTAGAGTTTAAGGGCAGGTTATCCCCAGTAGAGGAAGCATTCTAAAGCATACAATAATTTGGATTTACAATGGAAAGATAGTTTTTAAAGACTGAAAATAGGAGAGAGAATAGAAGAATAAGGTCTAAATAATCTTTAAGTCTTCGGAAAATCTAAGTAACCAATTCTTCTTTGCTGGAAAGAAATGAAATCTATGATATTTAGAAATCCCATTAAAATAAAGTTATAAAATCTCTCACATTTAGCCTTTGGGTAATTCATTTTGTTAAGTGGATGTGCAGAAAGGAGGCAGTTTCCCTTAAATGGAACCACTTAGGGGTCTAATTGGAGGTCCGATCCCTTTTTGCAGAAGATGTTTTTTTATCTGCTGAATACAGTTAACTCTCCTGCATGTCCTCTCCCTGGTTTATTTGCTTACTCTGGGAAATGAAAGGATGGCGTGGTTTGTGAACCAGGAGTTGTTATTCTTTGCCTGCATATCATGTTGGCTTTTTTTTGGTAAGAAAAATCACAAGAATATATGAAGTTTTTTTATGAATAGAACCCTTTATTTTTAGGAGAAAATGGATGGAACAGTTTGGGGCTTTGGGGCCGCCTGTTGCTCTTGTGTGAGCACCTCCCACTGCCTTGACTTTACTCTGCTGCATACTCGGTGCCAGGATTTACATGACCTCGGTGGGGAACAACTGGATTTAGCATAAGTAAGAATAACTGCTTTTCCCCTGGGGAGAGACAAAAAGGATAAGTGCATAAGGCACAGAGACAATATTATCGGGAGTTATATTCCTGTTCGGCTCTTTTATTCACTCTGAATTCTGGATTCTGTTGCAAATAATGAAAGCAAGAAGCTAGCTGGCTTGGAGCCAAGGTCTGGGATTAGCAAAGACTATTTTATTTGGGGCTAAAAAATATGTGTTCATTAGTGATGTTCTATACGTTGCACATATGGCCATCGGATTAAAAATCATTGTTTGTTTTTTTTTTTTTTTTGGTAAATTGATATTGCCAAGAAAGCACAGTTAATAATTTGAACTAGGCAGGGAAAGGTGAGTTTCTGCCACTGTGTCTACCCAGGATGAACGCAGAAGGTGTCTGTGCACACCTGTTCCTGCTTTGCCACACATTCTCAGGTTGCCCCATATTCTCTGGGCTTGGGTTGGACAGCTATCATCCCCATAATAACCTGCATCCTTTTCTCTCCCTTACTTCCAACCGTGAGGTAACTTTGACACGAACACCCTAAAATCTAATGTCAGTTTTTCCTTTTTACTCTCACCTTAAATATCCTGTTTTTCTTTTCTCATAAAACCATTGAACGAGTTGCAAGACCCCATTTTGAACTCAGCCAGACCCTGGTTGGAATCCCAGCTTCCCTGCATGCTACTGTCTCCAGGATCCTAGGGGAAATTATTTAATTTTCCTTCACTTCAATTTCCTCATTGATAAAGTGAAGAATAATCATATACATCTCATTGGGTTTTGTGAAGATTAATGAAACAAGAATAAAGAGTATTATATTGCATTGTACCTAGTAATAAAATTTTATCTTGATCATTAATACAGGGTAAAGTGGTAGTCAGAGGGAAATTTATAATTTAAATACTGATATTAAAAATAAGAAAGCCCTTAAAACCAAAATAAATCTTCCACTTGGAAAGTGTAGAAAAAAACAGTGTTTATATTATAAAAATGATGACTTCCATTTTTGGTTGTTTGAAAGACTAGATGTCCGGAAAAAGTCTTCTGGTATGGAACTAAAATTCTGGATAAAATATATTTTTAAACTTTCTAGAAAATACTTGTCTGAACTCTTGGGGGGAAAAAAGGAAGATCCTTGCCATAGATAATAAGAAGGTAAAAATCCAGGCCAGGCTCGGTGGCTCACGCTTGTAATCCCAGCACTTTGGGAGGCCGAGGTGGGCAGATCACGAGGTCAAGAGATCAAGACTATCCTGGCCAACATGGCGAAACCCCGTCTCTACTAAAAATACAAAAAATTAGCTGGGCGTGGTGCCACACGCCTGTAGTCCCAGCTACTTGGGAGGCTGAGGCAGGAGGATTGCTTGAACCTGGGAGGTGGAGGTTGCAGTAAGCCGAGATTGTGCCACTGCACTCCAGCCTGGGCGACAGAGCGAGACTCCATCTCAAAACAAACAAACAAAAAAGAAAGTAAAAATCCAGAGACTTAACCTCTCTAAAGCTGGTGTTTGCCATGACAGCCTATCTGACTGTCTTCGGTGGCACCTGCGGGGGAGGATAGACAAAAACACGAGGCCTGTGAAAGCCAAGAGGATGGACTAGAAAACATCACGTGAAGCCAGAATCCCAGAAATATTACTCTAGGTATGTTCAAAAGGGTTGAACAGAAGTGTGGGGGGTGCCCGAGAGACAGAGATGTAGAAAAACTTACCAATCATCTCTAGACCGAAATGAAAATTATAAATGGGAAAGAATACTTGGAGAATGCTAACCACAAGTTTGTTATCACAAGTGTTTAAGCCAGAATTTACACCATCTGTATTACCTACCCACCAATAAATCTAAGTCAAATATGTCGTTAAAAGAGCATCCAAATATTTAGCTAATAGGAACAGAACAATAGGATAAACCTAAAGAAAGTGGAAGGATGGGAATCATAAGGGAAAAAAATAATGAACTAGAAAATGAAGAAACAGTAAAGCACATCTTTTGAAAAGACTCATGGAAGTGATGACCCAGACAGAAAGGCTGTGCCCAATCCCCAGTGTTGCAGTTGGGGAGAGCACAGGTTTCATAGAAAAGTGCTGCATTGCCAGGCACGGTGGCTCACGCTTGTGATCCCAGCACTTTGGGAGGCTGAGGCGGGTGGATCACCTGAGGTCAGGAGTACAGGACCAGCCTGGCCAACATGGTAAAATCCCATCTCTACTAAATAATACAAAAATTAGCCAGGCGTGGTGGTGGGTGCCTGTAATCCCAGCTACTTGGGAGGCTGAGGCAGGGAGAATTGCTTGAACCCGGGAGGCGGAGCTTGCAGTGAGCCGAGATCATGCCACTGCAGTCCAGCCTTAGTGACAGAGCGAGATTCTGTCTCAAAAAAAAAAAAAAAAAAAAGAAAGAAAGAAAGAAAGTGCTGCATCCAATTGGATAAAGAAAATGTGGTCCATATATACCATGGAATACTACACAGCCATAAAAAATGTCTTTTGCAGGAACATGGATGGAGCTGGAGGCTATTATTCTTAGCAAACTAACACAGGAACAGAAAACCAAAAACCACATGTTCTCACTTATAAGTGGGAGTTGAATGATGAGAACACGTGGACACAAGGAAGGGAACAACAGACAGTGGGGTCTACTTGGGGGTGGAGGATGGGAGGAGGAAAACGGCAGAGAAAATAACACTTGAGCTGGGAGCAGTGGCTCATGCCTGTAATCTCAGCTCTATGGTAGGCCAAGCGGGCGGATCACAAGGTTGGGAGTTCGAGAGCAGCCTGACCAACATGGCGAAACCCCATCTCTACTAAAAATACAAAAATTAGCCAGGCATGGTGGCACGTGCCTGTAATCCCATCTACTCAGGAGGCTGAGGCAGGAGAATCGCTTGAACCCAGGAGTTGGAGGTTGCAGTGAGCCAAGATCACTCCAATGCACTCCAGCCGGGCGACGGAGCAAGACTCCATCAAAAAAAAAAAAAAAAAAAAAAAAAAAAAGAAAGAAAGAAAATGACACTTGAGTACTAGGCTTGATACCTGGGAGATGAAATGATCCGTACAACAAACCCCCATGATGTGAGTCTAGCTATATAACAAACCTGTACATGTACCCCTGAATCTAATATAAAAGTTAAAAATTTAAAATATATATATTTTAAGTGCCACCTTCAACAGTTCCTGAACAGACTGTGGTGGCTGAGGGACAGGTCCAGGCAGATTCTAGATTTTCCATAAAATGGGAAATCCTCTCAAAAGCCAGTGAATGCCAGCATGGTCCAGGGAACAAAACCAAGAGCCCTTGACCCTCCAAGAGAAAGTGGAGGTGACTATTTAGGCCACAGAAGGAGGAAGAGGCAGAGTATGGGACCAGCCTCAGAGCTGTTGGGGTCAGAGCCATCAGCCAGGCATGTGGTAGAAAGATCATTTAGGACCATGTGGGTCCCTTGGGGAGGGTGAGCAAAGCTCAGACCAGAGCTCCTCCTAATGCCAGCACTCCATGGACACTCCCATTGTGTTCCACCTGGGAATTCATATCTCTCCAGGGAGAAAGGAAGGAGAAGAAGGAAGGGAGAATTTCATAGTTGATGTTTACTTACCCAGAAGAGACTGAGTCTAAACTAAATGCTACAGTTTGAATTAGAAAAACATTTTTGCATATCTGAGTCCTAAGACTCTGAAATTCATGCTAGCTATAAAAGAATAAATGTGCAAAGAGGACTTGAAAAATCTAAATAACTAGACCTTGGAAAAATCAGAATGGAGAGTCAGGTTGAGTCACAGGAGCTTTCTGCTGGCGTTTAGCCATTAATGTGATTCAGCTTCTTGCTCTTTATGCCTTTGCTCCCTTCTCTCTCCTCTTCCAGGCAGATAATTCCTTCTGTATTTGCAAATCAGTTTCCCTAGAGAAAAAAGTACATTGGCTCAGCTCACCAGTTCACACCAAGTCTCACCATAGTGAGTTAGCCCAAGGGCTTCCTTTGGGTGAGTCTTGCTTCCATTACATCTTCCCAGTCTCCCCATACTCCCCCACCACCTCCTCACAGGCACGTGTATGTGTGCAAAGACCAGCTCAGGTTGAGTGAGGCAAGCTTGAGGAGTGATATTCCTGGTGTCTACAGTTAAAATATGGGAGAAAAATATACAGGCCACTATGATCTCGATTTTCCTGCCCAAGAATATGAGCCTAAATGAGGTAAAGTGTGAGTGCCTCATACAAAGGCTGGCTGTGTACTAAGCCCTGTGTTAGCTGTTATAAGAGCCAAGGGAAAACTTCCCCGTGGCCCCTAAAGGTTTGCAAAAATCAACTGACAAAAGGCAGAGTAATAGGAGAAAAGGCATATGAATGTATTTGACCATAGTTTTACATGACACAGGAGCCTTCGGAATGAAGACCCAAAGATACGGATGAAACTGTCTACTTTCATGCTTAGGTTCACCAAAATGTGGACGGAAAGGCTATGAGCTATAATAGACTGAGTGGGGAAACCCAAGAAGGCCTGTCTATTATTTATTTATTATTTATTTATGTTTAATTTATTATTATTATTTTTTGAGATGGGGTCTCACTCTGTCACCCAGGCTGGAGTGCAGTGGTGTGATCTCCACTCACTGCAACCTCTGCCTCCTGGGTTCAAGTGAGTCTCCTGTCTCAGCCTCCCAAGGAGCTGGGATTATAGGTGCGCACCACCACACCCAGCTAATTTTTGTATTTTTAGTAGAGATGGGTTTCATCAGGTCTCAAACTCCCAACCTCAGGTGATCCGTCCACCTTGGCCTCCCAAAATGTTGGGATTACGGGTGTGAGCCAACACACCTGGCCTCTATTTAGGTTCTTCTTGGCCTCTGTGCAGCCTTCCTTCCTCTTGGGTATGGGGCTGGACCCTCTCTGGAATGGGGAGATCTTATGACCTACAATCAGACAAACTAGGTCAAATTGCTTCTTTATGGCCAGTTTTTACACAGAAAGGTGATGTGGGTGGAGGAGTGGAGTTAGAATAATATGTTTAGGTTTTATGGCTGGCTTTAGGGGAAATGGATTTTGGTTTCTGAGATGCACCTTGCCAAAGAGTTTCTTCAGTAGCTAGCCTTGGGGGAGAATGAGAGGCCAGTGACAGGAGGCGAGAAGAAGGTCAGAGAGAGCTGCTTCTGAGGTCTTCATTTTGGGTTATCATTTTCTGAGATCTTACACTGTCATTATCAACAACATTAGATTAGAGCAAAACCTTGGGCTACCTTTTTTTTTGTAAGTCCCTTTTCAACTCTCCTTTTTATTTTTTTTTAAACCATCCTCAGAAATCCTCTAGTCATTTCCTATAATTATTCTATACATATAAATCCTACCTCTCTAACAAGGCCAGATAATTTTTTTAGGAGTTTTCCCTATTTTTTCTTTTGGATCATCCACAGACTCCAGGGGAGTGTTATGCACAGATCAAGTGCTCAAATGATAAAATACTTTATTATACATTGGCTTCATGAGACATTTATCAAATTGTTCTGAAAATTTATTGAATTGAATTTATTCAGTTGAATTAAAACTTCCTATTAACAAGATAGTAATTATTTGAAAGACACATACATTTTACTAATGAGCACCTAAAGAGTGGCCAGATGCTGTGCATGCCATCTCCCAAACATGCCAGCCTGTTCCCTGGTCCGCACCTGTCTGTCTTAACCATTTACTTCTATGCTTCAAACATTCTCACATGGAGACTAAAAAAGATATAACAGCAAAAAAATCAGGCCTAGTTTATGATTCTAAAAATAAACTTAGCTGGGCATGGTGGCACACCTGTAGTCCCAGCTACTTGGGAGGCTGAGGTGAGAAGATCGCTTGAGGCCAGGAGTTTGAGGCCAGCCTGGGCAACATAGACCCTGTCTGAAAAAAAATAAAAATAAACTTAAAACCAGTAATTTTTAAAACATTTCTTATGGAAAATGTCAAACATAAACATAAGATAGAGGGAACAATTTAATGGAGTCTCAAACTTCAAGAGTTATCAACATTATGGCAAATCTTATACCCTAGTCAACTGTTTTTCCATGCTGTATTACTTTAAAGAAAAATCTAGACTATTCCTCCTGTAACCTTTCAGAATGTATCTCTAAAAGATAAGGACTCTTTTATTAAACATAACCATAATATCACTAAAAAATAACAATGTTTCCTTAAGACCATAAAATATCCAAGGTTCAAATTTCCCAAATTGCCTCCCTAATGCTTTTCAGAGTTTTACAATTAAGATCCAAATTAGGTCACGCTTTGCATTTGATGATGTTTTTCTTCAATCTCTTTCAATTGAAGTTCTTTCCTCTCTCCTTTTTCCCCTTTGTAATTTATTTCTTGAAAGAACTGGGTCATTTGTCCCATAAAGTTTCCCACATCCTAGATCTGCTGATAGAATCCTTACACTGTGTGAATTATGTTCTTTAGTCCCCTGTACTTCCTATAAACGGGTAGATTTTCAGCCCTGTGCAATAGAACTTTTTGTGATGATGGAAATGTTCTATATCTACACATGTGGCTATTATGCTAGTGTAACCGAGGGATTGAATTATTTTTATTTTATTTTAATTAATTTAAAGTTGACCACAAGCAGCTAGTGCCCACCATAATGGACAGCACATAGAGGTTAACTGAAATGGAAATAGACACGTGGCTAGTGTCTACTGTATTGGATTCAGGTTTGATTATTTATCAACAGTATGTCATACATGGTGAACTTCCACTAGGGGGCTCACAATGCCTGGTTGTCTGTAATGTTAGCAGCCCATTGGTGATCATTGTCTGTACCCGTACGTGAGAGCAGTTGCAAAATGATAAGACTCGATTTCTATCATTCCTTCTTTATTTATTAGCTGAAATCTATCAAGAAAACAATGACTCATCAATAGTTTGATTGCTCTGAGGTATAATTTATACAAGAAAGACAGAATAAATAGATGTTTAACTTTTTGAGGAGCTGCAAGACTGTTTCCCAAAGCAGCTCCACCCTTTAACATTCCCACCAGAATGTATAAGGGTTCCAATTTCTCCACATTCTTACCAATACTTGTTATTGTCCCTCTTTTTTATCATAGCCATCCTAGTGAGTGTGACGTGTATCCCATCGTGGTTTTGTTTGCATTTTCCTAATAACTAATGATGGTGAGCATCTGCTCATGCTTATTGGCCATTGGTATATGTCTATGGGAGAAATTTCTATTCAGATCCTTCGCCTACTTTTAAATGAGTTATTTATCTTTTTATTATTGAATTGTGTTATTTATATACCCTGGAGACAAGTCCTTTATCAGATATATGATTTGCAAATATTTTCTCACCTTCTGTGGGTTGTCTTTCACTTTTTGTCCGTCCCAGCATTTGCACTAAGACCCTTGCTGCCCGTCGCGCCTCCCAGCCGATAACTGAGCAGGGAGGGGATAATAAGGCAGGCTCATTCCTGGAGATGTGGGACTTCTCTTATGGCTGAAGGTTTTTGCCAAACCTTCCTTACACTGCTCAGTGGTCCAGGATGCTTCATCCAACCTTCCCTCCTTTTCTTCTTTGAGATCGGACTTGCATTGCCATCTGACGGCTCTCAGCCTTCTCCTCCTGCCCATGTCTCTCACAGCAGAATTTTTCTTAATAAAATCTTTGCACATTTAATTCCATCTTGGTGTCTGCTTCTCAGAGGACCTGGACTAACACATCAGGCAATGGCAATGCCTACCCTAAAGAACGACTTTTACAGTTCAAGGCCAAAGTCCTTCTGTATTGGATAGCAGCAGCAACCCAAAGCAAGAACAAAGGTAGAGATCTGGACTCTCTAGTTGACCACAGGGTTTCTACCCAGCGAGAAGGATGATGATTTTTTGAGCTGGATAAATCACACCTGGATTTGAATATCAGCTCTGCCACTTAGGAATTTGGTGGCTTTGACAAGTTATTTAGCCTCCCTGTGCCTTAGTTTCTTCATCTGCAAAATGTCAACAATACCAATGCTGTCTCTCTGCATTTTTTAAGATTGAATAAAATAATGTAAAAAGTAACTAGTACAGAGTACAGAGCAGGAGCTCACCAAATGTTGGTTTCCTTTCCACACCCTTCAATCAGGCAGTATCATGCTCAGTTAACTGTTCAAAGGCAAGTCATAACTTGGCTGGATATGGGCTGCACACACTTTGTAGGAGTAAGCTAAGTGGTGAGCATAGAGTTTTCCCTTGCCTTTCCCTGATCTACTCTGGCCAGCTATTGCCCTCTTAGCTTCCTGGGTACTCAAGAGATGAGCTTTCCTGATGGGTTCCATAGAGATACCCAAGAAAAACACTGCTCTGAAGGAAAAAGATAAGGTTAGGCTAGAACCCCTAAAGCACAATGCGGTCCCAAGAGAAACAAGCTCTGTTATGTTTTCTGACAGTGACACAGGTGCCTATGGAGGAGGTGGCCCAGGAAAGGGACGGAGGAAGGAAGAAAAGAAATTCTGGAGAATCTGACAGAGGCAATTCAAGTTTCTGAAAAAGTTCTTTCTAGTGGTTTGTGAGCATGTTAGCAATAAGGCAGCACACATGGATGTCCATGTCCTAAATAAGTAATCTTTCCCCTTTGTTTCCTCTAGCCAAGATTGATGTGGGCTGGGCACGGATTACATGCATGTAATCCCAGCACTTTGGGAGGCCAAGGTAGGTGGATCCCTTGAGCCCAGGAGTTTGAGACCAGCCTTGGCAACTTAGGCTCTTGCAAAACCCCATCTCTACTAAAAAAAAAAAATAGCCGGGCATAGCAGCACGTGCCTGTAATCCCAGCTTCTCAGGAGGCTGAGGTGGGAGGATTGCTTGTGCCTGGGAGGCAGAGGTTGCCGTGAGCCATGATCGCACCATTGCATGCCAGCCTGGGCAACAGAGCCAGACCCTGTTTTGTTTTTTGTTTTTGTTTTTTTTTAATTGATTTAAAGAATGTTAAAGCACGTGATTGAATATGGAAATATCAGGAAAGATGTTTACCAAAATACCTTTGTGGCTGTCTTTGGATGGTGGGATTTCAGGTTTTTGATCTTTATAATTTTCTGTATTTGCTGCCTTCTGTGCTGCCCAAAGCTGCTCTCCCTTCTCCTCACCTCACCTGAATTTTTGTGTTGTTCTGCGATGGCGCCTCTTGGCCTCCAGCTTCCATAACCTTCCCAAGTGCTCTGCCCCAGATATCCCCACTTTTAACCAGCTTTTTTTCTCTTTAAAAATTCTCTGGACAAAGTCTGCTCCTTCTGGCCAGATGTGGTGGCTCACATCTGTAATCCCGGCACTTTGGGAGTCCAAGATGGGAGGATCACTTGAGGCCAGGAGTTCAGGAGCAGCCTGGTCAAGATGGTGAGACCCTATCTCTATTTTAAAAATTAAAAGATACGTCGGCACAGTGGCTCACACCTGTAATCCCAGCACTTTGGGAGGCAGAGGTGGGTGGATCACCTGAGGTCAGGAGTTCAAGACCATCCTGGCCAACATGGTCAAATCCCATCTCTACTAATAATACAAAAATTAGCCAGGCGTGGTGACACGTGCCTGTAATCCCAGTTACTCAGGAGGCTGAAGCAGGAGAATTGCTGGAACCTGGGAGGCGGAGGTTGCAGTGAGCTGAGATCACTCCACTGCACTCCAGCCTGGGCGACTAAGGGAGACTCCATCTCGAAAATAAAAATAAAAGAAAGTCTCCTCCTTCTGTTGTTCTCACACACTTCGCGTTGGCATCTTCCCTTCCACACACATTCTAAACTCCAAAGGGCCTTGATGATGAGGAGGCTCTTTGAAGAAAATCTCTAGTCAGCCCAAGCCTAACCCTATCCCTGCAAAAATCATGTTGTGGTTGGAAGTGTGGATTACTGGTAAATATTGCTGTGTGGAGAAGATTACAAAGTTTTTTTTACCTGTCAGAAAGTAAAAATATAAGCTTAACCCTGTAAGCTTATATTTTAAACTTTAAACTCTATAAACTCCCTGTCAGCTAGAAATGTTCTAGAAAACATTATTTAAAAGCTGGGATACTCCCTAGAGAAAAATTACCTTTACTGCCATGTTAGGCAAAAACATCTGATGAGGCACGGTGTTCTGTGTAAAAACTGAGGTGGTCCCAAACATGGACCAATAGTTAAATCATTTATTTCTTAATATAATACCCTTTGCCTGGTCCACAAAGTAAATTAACTTGTAAATCTAATGAGTACATGAAAATCTCAGCAAGCTCATCTGTGATCCACTCTCCGTCCATCTTCCAGCCAATCCCTCAGCTGCCTGAGGAGGGTCTCAGCCCCGGAACCCTCAGGTCCCTTCTCACCTCTTCTCCTCTAATTGACCTGCCCTCCCCTCTTCCTTCTCCTACTTCCTTCTCATCCTCAGATTTGAGAGGCGGGAGGGGATGGGAGACTGATTATGACTTGTTAGAGGGTGACGGGTCCTGGCCTTTTTCCTTTGTTTGTTCCTGAATCAGGAGACAATGATCTGCTACAAAGGGCAGGGGCCTCTTCATGGATTAGATGAACACGATCATTTCCCATTGTTTTCTTTACCATCTCACTTTCACATGTAACGTACTCATATGCACAACTATTTTTAAATAATAACCATTTGCTTATTGACTTTGTAAATAATACCTGCTTGTTGAAATAAAATAAAGCCAAGTACAGAAAATTATAAAGACAAAAAACACCTGAAATCCCGTCATCCAGAGACAGCCACATTCATATTTTGGCAGCCATCTTTCCTGATTTTTTTTTTTTTTTTTGAGACGGGGTCTTTCCTGATATTTCTATATACAATCCATGTGCTTTAACATTCTTCAAATCAACCTTGGCTAGAAAAAACAAAGGGTAGGGGTTACTGATTTAGGACACATATGTCCATGTGTCTTGCCTTATTGCTAACAAGCCACTTAGAAAGAACTTTTCCAGAAATTCGAATTGCCCCTTTTAGATTCCCCATAATTTATTTTGTTCCTCTTTTCCCCTCTTTCCTGAGCCACCTCCTCCAGAGGCACCTGGGTCACTGTCGGAAAACATATCAGAGCTGGTTTCTTTCTCTTGTTTCTTTCACGTTGTGCTTCAGGGACTCCAAGGCCACCTTCTCTTTTTCCTTTAGAGCAGTATTTTTGTTTTTATGCCAAGACGTTTTCCAACTTAGAGGTCATTTGTGGGAAGCTTAAAGGGAAAAAGCGTCAGTTTCGTGTTTATGTAAGAATTTGAACACCTGATATTTTTCTTGGGAGCCTTTAGCATATTGTGGAACTTGTGGATACCTGTGATATGCAAGAGGAGAACTTCTCTGCATCTTCACCTCTATAAATATGTAAAATAAATATTTGAAAGCCAGGAAGTGACTTTGACTTAATTGTCTTCCCCTATTTTTTTTTTTTTTTTTGAGACAGAGTCTTGCTCTGTCGCCCAGGCTGGAGTGCAGTGGCGCAATCTCGGTTCACTGCAAGCTCCGCCTCCCGGGTTCACGCCATTCTCCTGCCTCAGCCTCCCGAGTAGCTGAGATTACAGGCACCTGCCACCACACCTGGCTAATTTTTTGTATTTTTAGTAGAGACAGGATTTCACTGTGTTAGCCAGGGTGGTCTCGATCTCCTGACCTCGTGATCCACCCACCTCGGCCTCCCAAAGTGCTGGGATTATAGGCATGAGCCACCGCACCCGGCCTGTCTTCCCCTAGTTTTAAATTATGAAAAACAAAATCATTACAAATATCAATGGTTCTTAAATGTTAGGATAAGTGATATTCATGAGAGGATGGCTTATTTTGTTTTTCTTTGTTTGTTTTTTTTTTTTTTTTTTAGACAGTCTCATTCTGTCGCCCAGGCTGGAGTGCAGTGACATGATCTCAACTCACTGCAATCTCCACCTCCCAGGTTCAAGGGATTCTCCTGCCTCAGCCTCCTGAGTAGCCAGGACTACAGGTTTGTGCCACCACGCCTGGCTAATTCTTGTATTTTTAGTAGAGATGGAGTTTCACTATGTTGTCCAGGCTGGTCTCCAACTCCTGACCTCAGGTGATCTGCCCGCCTCAGCCTCCCAAAGTGCTGGGATTACAGTCATGAGCCACTGTACCCAGCCAGAGGGGGTTACTCAATAAGCACATTCTTAGACCTGAACCCTAGAAACCCAATCAAGTAGTCTGGGGTGGGCCCCAGAATCTGCATCTTTAACAAGCACACCAGAGAATTTTGAGGAAGTGGCCGTCTTTTGTGGCCTTGAATTATGCCCCCTAGTAAGATATGCTGAAGTCCTAAGCCCCGGTACCACTGAATGAGACCTTATTTGGAAAAAGGGTCTTTGCAGATGTAATCTAGTTAAAATGAGGTTATATTGGATTAGGGTGGGCTCTAAATTAAATGACTGGTATAGATATAAAAAGAAAGAGATTTGAAGACAAAGGCACATATAAAAAGGCCATGTGAAGATGTACTTATAGATTGGAGTTATGCTGCCACAAGCCAAGGAACACCAAAGACTGCCAGCAACCTCCAGGTGCTAACAGAGGCAAGGAGGGATTCTTCTCTAGAACCTTCAGAGGGAGCCTGTCCCACCTGACACCTTGATTTCAGACTTCCAGCTTCTAGAACTTTGAGAGAATAAATTTCTGTTATTTTATTATTTTATTTTATTTATTTTTGAGATGGAGTCTTACTCTGTTGCCCAGGCTAGAGTGCAGTGGCATGATCTCAGCTCACTGCAACCTTTGCCTCCTGGGTTCAAGCGATTCTCCTGCCTCAACCTCCCAAGTAGCTGGGATTACAGGCATGCGCCACCAAGCCCGGCTAATTTTTATATTTTTAGTAGAGACGGGGTTTCACCATGCTGGCCAGGCCAGTCTTGAACTCCTGATCTCAGGTGATCCACCTGCCTCAGCCTCCCAAAGTATTGGGATTACAGGCATGAGCCACCGTGCCTGGCCAAATTTCTGTTACTTTAAACTATGCTAGTTTGTTATGGCAGCCCTAGGGGACTAATACGCCCTCAGTCCTCACTTTCAGAAACACTGCTATCCATAGCAAAAACATGTAAAATGTATTTCAATAGAATGTGCTTTGATGGTTGATACTGAGATGGGAGAGTTCCTGTCTCCCCTCCATAGGACTTGTGACAGGGGTGTGGCTTGTTTCCTTGGCTGCTCAAACCCCTTGCAGAAATGGGAGCACACAGGTGAGAGGGTGCAGGAGCTGGGGCAAGTGCCTTGGGCACCGGCAGGAACAAACCCTGTACCGGCCTGTGGCAGTGTCTAGGGGTTGCCCGTGACCTGTGGAGCCCCAGAGGGCATGTGTTACAAACAATGCTCTTTTAACTTTTGCCATCTGTGGACAGCTTAAGTGTTAAAGAGCTCAGTGAAGAGTCAGTGTGACGGCCTTTTTGGGTTCCTGCACCCAGTTCATCCCGAATTCTTGTCTGGTGTCCAGGAAGAATCAGGTCACCCAGATTGAAGGGTGGTGTATGCGGAGGATTTTATTGAGTGATGGAAGTGGATCTCAGTTGGATGGGAGCTGGAAAGTGGATGGAGAGGGAAGATAATCTTCCCCTGAAGTTTGGCCGTCTCCAGCCGAACCCCTCTCCAACCGTCCCTGGCCAAACTCCTCTCTGACCGTAGTCTCTGGTGTTCAACTGCTTCTTCTCTTGACATTCAGATGCTTCTTCTCTTCTCTCCTTCTATGCTGCTCTGCTTCTCTGCCAGTGGAGCTCAGAGTTTTTATGGCTACAGGGTAGGGGGTGTGGTGGGCCACAGTGGTTTTGGAAAAGGCAACATTTGGGCAGGAAAACAGGAATGCATGGTTTCATTTAGGGCTGTGGGTCCAGGTTTGAGGGTGAAACCCTTGCCAGGGACCCTGCTCTCTTCTACTCAGTATTTCCCTGCCTCCTGTCTGTATCAAAACTATGGTATTTTCTTTTCTTTTTTTTTTTCTGTTTTTGGGAGAATCTCTCTCTGTCATCCAGGCTGGAGTGCAGTGGTGCAATCTTGGTTTACTGCAACCTCTGCCTCCCAGGTTCAAGCAATTCTCCTGCCTCAGCTTCCCCAGTGGGATTACAGGCGTGAACACTATGTCTGGCTAATTTTTTGTATTTTCAGTAGAGACAGGGTCTTACCATGATGGCCAGGCTGGTCTCAAACTCCTGACCTCAAGTGATCTGCCTGCCTTGGCCTCCCAAAGTGCTGGGATTACAGGTGTGAGCCACCATGCCTGGCCAATATTATGGTATGTTCAATTAACTGGGACCCAGGACCTTACCTATGGGGGCCTTAGTCTTCATGACAAACACCTGATTATGGTTAATGATCTAGAAAGGCCCATTCCTGTTCTAAAACATTTGAAAGTAATTGTATTAGTTTTCCCATTGTTGCTGTACCAGATCACTGCAAATTTAGTGATTTGAAACAATCCAAATTTATTTTCTTACAGTTTTGGAAGGAGTCCAAAATGAGTCTCTCTTGGCCAAAATCTAAGTGCTCGTAGGGCTGTGTTCCCTCTGGAGGCTGTAAAGGAAAATCTCTTTTCTGGCCTTTTTCAGGTTCTGGAGCCCACCAGCATTCCTTGGCTTGGGGTCTCCTTCCATCTTTAAAGCCAGATTGATGGCTTTAAATGGCTGTTTGAGTCTTTCTCATATCACATTCCTCTGACACTGACTCTTCTGCCTCCTTCTCCCACATATAAAGACCCTATGACTACATTGGGCTTACCTGGATAATCCAGGGTACTGTCTCTATGTCAAGGTCAGCTGATTAGCAACCTTAATTCCATTTGCAATTTTACTTCTTTTTTCTATAATCTGGGGATAGGGGCATAGGCCATATTCTATCTACCATAGTAACCAATTTTTGCACTCATTCAAAATTGTCATTTTCCACTTTAAAAAAAATCTTTACAGTAATTATTCTCCAGGAGAGGTAGAACAATGGTATAATTACCATTTCTGTTTTCCAAGTGAAGCAAGAGAGGTAGTAAGAGGTGATAATAAACCCACATCACTGAAGTAGTTTGTATATTTATTCAACAAATATCTATAAATAACAGCAATGTTACAATGAAGACCCAGATGCATGACTCTGCCAAGGCCCCTCTCCACCATCTGACTTGGGTCTGCTCTTCTCAAGAAATGAATAAAAATCATGTCCAGGGCAATTGATAGAGCTATTTAAGTATTATGTATTTTCCCACAGTTGTAGGAGATTCTAAAGAATAAAAAGCTAATTCTCCTCTCTTCCAGCCTCCTGCAAGAGCCAAACTCTTAAATTCTTGGGTCCAGGATTTTTTGCCCAGCCCTCACACACCAACCCTCACTCCCCAACCGTCCATCACTCCCTTCTTTAGGGAGGGAGGTTAAGAGCTTCCCTGTTGTAGAGGCTACTCCAGTTTTTGCCCTTGATGGGGGTAAGCTAAAGCTGCTTCCTGAGAACGATGGTGAGAGTGGCCCAAATGTGAGTTAAAGACATACAGATAGTAACTGAACACATGAAAGGACATTCAAAATTGCTAGCCAGTGCCAAGCATAGTGGCTCGTGTCTATAATCACAGCATTTTGAGAGGCTGAGGCAAGATGATTGCTTGAGTCCAGGAGTTCAAGACCAGCCTGGGCAACATAGAGAGACCCCCCCCCAATCTCTTAAAAAAAATGCTGAACATAGTAGCATGTGTCTGTAGTCCCAGTTACTTGGGAAGTTGAGGTGGGAGGATCACTTGAGCCTGGGAGCTCAAGGCTGCAGCAAGCTGTGATCACGCCACTGCACTCCAGCCTGGGCAACAGAGTGAGACCCTGTTTCAAAATAAAAAATTGCTGGCCATTTGGGAAATTCAAATTAAAACCATAATGACATACTATTACACACCTAGTAGAATGACTAAAATAAAAACATCGGCAGTACTGAATGCTAGCAAGGATGCAAAGAAACTGGATTGCTCATACTTTGCTGGTGGGAATGTTAAATGATACAGCCACTGTGGAACTATGTCTGGCAATTTCTTAAAAAGTTCTACATATATTTACCAAGTGATCCAGCAATTACATTCCTGAGCATTTATCCCAGAGAAATGAAAACTTATATTCACACAAAAACTTGCGTACACATATTTATTTGTAATAACCTCAAACTGGAAACAACCTAAATGTCCTTCAACAGGTGAATGGTTAAACTGTGGTACATCCATACAATGGAATACTACTCAGAAAGAAAAAGGAATGAACTGTCATTACATATGACAGCTTAAATGGCTCTCAAAGGCATTATGCCGAGTGAAAAAAGCCAGTTTTGGCTGGGTGTGGTGGCTCATGCCTGTAATCCCAGTGCTTTGGGAGGCCAAGGTGGGAGGATCAGATCACCTGAGGCCAGGAGTTTGAAACCAGCCTGGGCAACAAAACAAGACCCTGTCTCAATTTTTATTTTTTTTTGAGATGGAGGCTTGCTCTGTCACCCAGGCTGGAGTGCAGTGGTGCGATCTCAGCTCACTGCAAGCTCCGCCTCCCAGGTTCACACCAGTCTCCTGTCTCAGCCTCCTGGGTAGCTGGCACTACAGGCGCCCACCACCATGCCCGGCTAATTTTTTGTATTTTTAGTAGAGACAGGGTTTCACTGTATTAGCCAGGATGGTCTCGATCTCTTGACTGCGTGATCCGCCTGCCTCAGCCTCCCAAAGTGCTAGGATTACAGGCGTGAGCCACTACACCCAGCACAAAAAAAAATTTTTTTAGAAAGAAAAAAGCCTGTTTCAAAATGCTGCATGCTCTATGATCCCATTTATATAACATTCTTGAAATGGCCAAATTATAGAGATGAAGAGCAGATCAGTGGTTGTCAAACACTAGGGAAGGAGGAGGGGAGCGTGTGAGTATAATAGGGTAGAGGAAGTGACGGAACAGTTCTTTGTCTTAATTGTGATGTGGGCTACATAATTCTATAGCTATGATAAAATATCATAGAATTATATACAAAGACATAGAGTGAAAAACTGGTGAAATCTGCGTAAGGCCTGTGGTCAAGTTAATTGTATTGTGCCAGTGTCAATTTCATGGTGCTGATCATGTACTACTATACAGTTACATAAGATGCTATCACTAGGTGAAGCTAGGTGGTGGGGATGGGGAACTCCCTACTTTAATATTTCAAAAAACAAAAGCAAAACAGGCAGTGGGCTGAATTTGGCCAAGGCATAGTTTGATGACCCATTCTTTGGAGAAAAGAACTTTGTTCTCTCATTTCTATTTCAAAACATCCCCGAAGACTCTGATTGTCCTGGCTTGGGTCATGTGCCTCTCCTTTGTATCTGTCACTGTAGACAAAAAAGCAAGGCCATGTCATTACATATTAGAACTCATCAAGGGTGGTGAAGGAGTTGTTCTCCCAAATAAAGAAAGGAGGCCGGACACGGTGGCTCACACCTGTAATCCCAGCACTTTGGGGGGCCAAGGCAGGTGGATCACAAGGTCAGGAGTTCAAGACCAGCCTGGCCAACATGGTGAAACCCCGTCTCTACTAAAAAAATACAAAAATTAGCTAGTCACAGTGGCGTGCACCTGTAATCCCAGCTACTCGGGAGGCTGAGGCAGGAGAATTGCTTGAACCTGGGAGGCAGAGGTTGCAATGAGTCAAGATCGCGCCACTGCACTCCAGCCTGGGTGACAGAGAAGGACTCCATGTCAAAAAAAAAAAAAAAAAAGAAAAAGAAAAAAAAGGGCTGCAGTGTAGACAAAACCATATCTGTCCACTAGAGTAGTGAGTGTCTTAAAATTCTCAAAGTTAGGAAGCACAGATGGGCTTCATGCAGAACTAGAACCAGGAGCTCAAAAACTAGCAGGAGCTCCTTTCCTCATGGAGCCATTTCATCTCTTTTGACTCTACCCTTCTCTGTACCTGCTTCATTCTTTGCTCATGCTGCAGTATAGCTTTCTATGCCTTTCTGTGGGGGCTCAATTTTGTGGGGTGGTTGCTCCACAGCTTCTGTGCTTATGTTTTCCCTACTAAAATGCTTACAATATCATTATGCTCACATTTTATATTGCACTGGAGAATATTAAGATAGTAATCTTTTGACTTACTATTAAAATTTTGTGAATTTTTATCTTTATGATGCTATACTCCTTTCCTAGCCTAATAAACTATGTGTATTATTTTAAAAGGCCCAGAGACGAGAGATCAAAATGGCTGCCTAGATGCAGGTAGTGTGTGCCTCCTCCTCAGAGAGGAACCAGAATAGTAAGTAGATAGATTTCATACAGACCACCCAGCAAAGAGTGCTGGGATTCACCAGAGAAGAGATGGGAAGCACCAGAAGTAAGGAGAGGGTTCAAGGCAGCTTGCCTGGCCAGGGACTGCCTGTGAGCCAGGAATCTTCTATACGTTGGTAAACAGACTAAGAGTGAAACCCCAGGGCTCAGCTTTTACAATCTTGGCTATAAGAGAAACCCTCAACTCATTAGCTAGCGCCTTGGGTCTGACATACGGAGCTGCCTGAAGATTGCACAGAGATGTTGCTCCAGAATGGGAACCCACACAGAATCTCACAGGCACCCTAGCCTAGAGCAGCCTCAGCCAGGTGCCATATTGAGAGCCTACATGCTGGGGATCTACAGACATGGCTGTTGCCACTGCACTGCACCAAGGAGAGGGACAGGAGCCTGGGCACTCACACACACCCCTGGGAGGGTCCCTACCACCCTGCAATGGGCTGCTGTTGAGACTGAGACATGAGCGGACCACACTTCCCACAGTGCCTGCCCAAGCCACTTGCCTGGGAGGGACGCCACCCTCTCTGGTCCCAGGCTCAAGGTGCCATTTTGAGTTTAATGCTGGGTTGCACCCTGCCCTCAGGCCCAGTTTGAGCTGACTCAGCTGCCGCCATGATACGCTTTGGATGTTTGTCCCCTCTAACTATTACGTTGAAATGTGATTTCCAATATTGAAGGTGGATCCTGGTGGGAGGTTTTAGAGTCATGGGGGTGGATCCCTCATAAACGGCTTGGTGTCATCCCCTTGGTGATGAGTGAGTTCTTGATCTGTGAGTTCAATCAAGAGCTGGTTGTTTAAAGAGCCTGGCACCTTTCCCCCTCCTTCCCTTGCTCCCTCTCTCGCCGTGTGACACACTGGCTCCCCTTCACCTTCCGTACAATTGTAAGCTTCCTGAGGCTCTCACCAGATGTAGATGCTGGCACTATGCTTTGTGTATAGCCTGCAGAACCGTGGGCCAAATGAACCACTTCACTTCTCTCTTCTCTTCTCTTCTCTTTTTTTTTGAAACAGAGTCTCCCTCTGTTGCTCAAACTGGAGTGCAGTGGTGTGATCTCAGCTCAGTGCAACCTCTGCCTCCCAGGTTCAAGCAATTCTCACGTCTCAGCCTCCCAAGTAGCTGGGATTACAGGCACGCACCACCACACATGGCTAATTTTTGTATTTTTAGTACAGACAGGGTTTCACCATGTTGGCCAGGCTGGTCTCGAGCTCCTGGCCTCAAGTGATCCGCCTGCCTCAGCCTCCCAAAGTGCCGGGATTACAGGCGTGAACCACCGTGCCTGGCCAAACCTCTTTTCTTTATACATTACCCAGCCTCGGGTACTTCTTTATGGCAACACAAATTTGATTAATACAAGCCACCACCCAGCCAAGGAAAGCCAGAGAATCCAAGCCCTCCTATGTACATCTAAGATAACACCTACTACCCTGCAATGGGCTGCTGTGGAACTGAAGTGCTAGTGGACAGCACTCCCTACAGTGTCCTGCCCACGCTGCCTGCCTGGGAGATACTCTGCCTCTGGTTACAGGCCCAATGTGCCATTTTGAGGGTTTAATGCTGGGCTGCATCCCACCCTCAGGCCAAATTCAAGTTTACATGGCTGCCGTTGCTGCCTGGCCAAGGAAGGACAAGGAAACCAAGCTCTCCTACATACACCTAGGACGATACCCACTGCCCTGCTGCTGTGAGACTAACATTCAAGCAGACCACACTCCCCACAGCTTCTTGCTCATGCTGCTCACCTGAGAAGGGCCTTGCCCTCTCTGATCACAAGCCCACAGCTAGCACCATTTTCAGAGTTTCCCCACTGGGTTGTGTCCCATCCTCGGGCCAAGTGTGAGGTGACACAGCTGTAGCCACCACTAAGCCAGGGGAGGGGCAGATGAGAACATGCTCTCCCAAGCACACTTAGGACAATACCCACCACACTGGTATGGGTGGCTGCAGGGCTGGAGACTAGCCTGCTCAACACATTGAGCTACCAGGAACACCAACACAGACCAGTTGGGACCTTGTGGGTTACAGTACCGCCATCACCCACACCACACCAGCTGCCTGAGAATCCACCCACTACCTAGCCCACCACTCCCACTACTAGCTTCTAAGCAAGCCAACTGGAGATTGGCCCAAAACTCAGCCCTCCAGGACTAACTAACATCAGAGCCAGTGTAAGCTGCTCTAGAGTCTAAAAACAGCCACATTCACCCCGTTGCTGCCAACACCAGGGCCTGGAGACTGGTTCAGTTGGTGTCCAAGTCCCCAGCAAAACTATCACAACTTCAACTAGTAAGTGTTCCCTAAGCCACTGAGGAAATCATATATACCAGTGGCCCTGTGCACTGCTGAAGAAGTTGTACAAAGATTACACTATTTCAGGCATCCAAAATAAAAGCCAAAGTATCCTACTCAGCCGACAACATACATACTACTCAGGAAAAAATTTCCCTACAAAAGCAATGTCAAGAAATTGAAACAAGCAACTGCTACAAAAGATAGACAGATATCAATGATGGTAGAGCTCTATAGAGAGAACTATAAAACACTGATGAAAGAAATAGTAGATGAGACCCAAGAAGTGGAAAGACATCTCATGCTCATGGATTGGAAGAACGAATACTGTTAAAATGACTATATTGCCCAAAGCAATCTACAGATTTAATGTAATCCCTATCAAATTACCAATATCATTTTTCACAGAATGAGAAAAAACAATTCCAAAGTTCATATGGAACTAAAAAGGAGCCCAGATAGCCAAAGCAATCCTAAGCAAAAAGAATAAAGCCGGAGGCCTCACATTACCTGACTACAAATTATACTACAAGGCAGCCGGGCACAGTGGCTGACGCCTATAATCCCAGCACTTTGGGAGGCTGAGGCGGGCGGATCACAAGGTCAAGAGATCGAGGCAATCCTGGCCAACATGGTGAAACCCCCGTCTCTACTAAAAATACAAAAATTAGCTGGGCGTGGTGGCACGCGTCTGTAGTCCCAGCTACTCCAGAGGCTGAGGAAGGAGAATAGCTTGAACCCAGGAGGCAGAGGTTGCAGTGAGCTGAGATTGTGGAACTGCACTCCAGCCTGGCAACAGAGTGAGACTTCATCTCAAAAAAAAAAAAAAAAAAAAAAATTATACTATGAGGCTATAGTAACCAAAACAGCATGACACTGTTATAAAAACAGACATATAGATCAATAGAACAGAATAGAGAACCCATAAATAAAGCCACATGCCTACAACCAATTGATCTTTGACAAAGATGACAAAATAGACAATAGGGAAGGGAAACTCTATTCAATAAATGGTGCTGGGAAATTTGGATAGCTGTATGTAGGAGAATGAAACTGGACCTATGCATCTCATCACAGACAAAAATTTGAATCAAGATGGATTAAAGTCCTAAACATAAGACTGGAAGCTATAAAAATCCTAGAAGAAAACCTGGGAAAAACTGGACATTGGACCTAGGCAAGAATTTATGACCAAGTTTTCAAAAGCAAATGCAACAAAAACAAAAATAGGCAAATGGGACATAATTAAACTCAACAGCTTCTGCACAGCAAAAGAAACAATCCACAGAGTAAACAGACAACCTACAAAATGGGAAAAAAATATTTGCAAACTGTGCATCTGACAAAGTGTTAATATCCAGAATCTACAAGGAAGTCAAACAGCTCAACAAGAAAAAACCCCACTGAAACATGGGCAGACTGGACACGGTGACTCATGCCTGTAATCCTAGCACTTTGGGAGGCTGAGGCCGATGGATCATCTGAGGTCAGGAGTTCGAGACCAGCCTGGCCAACATGGTGAAACCCCACCTCTACTAAAAATACGAAAATTAGCTACGTGTGGTGGTGTGTGCCTGTAATCCCAGCTACCTGGGAGGCTGAGGCAGGAGAATCACTGGAACCCAGGGGTGGAGGTTGCAGTGAGTCGAGATTGCACCACCGTACTATAGCCTGGATGACAGAGCAAGACTCCATCTCAAAAATAAATAAATTAAATTTAAAAAAAAAAGAAACATGGGCAAACAGCCTGAGCAACATGGTGAGACCTCATCTCTACAAATGGTAAAAAATTAGCCAGGTGTGGGAGCATGCACCTGTGGTTCCAGCTACTTGGGAGGCTGAGGTGAGAGAGGTTGAGGCTACAGTGAGCCATGTTCATACTATTGTACTCCAGCCTGGGTGACAGAGCGAGACCCTGTCTCAAAAAAAAAAAAAAAAAAAAAAAAAAAAAAAAAAAAAAAAAAAAAAAAGTGGGCAAAGAACATGAACAGACGTTTTTCAAAAGAAGACATACAAGCAGCCAAAAATCTTATGAAAAAATGCTCAACATCACTAATCATCAGAAAAATGCAAACTGAAACCACAATGAGATACCATCTTATACTAGTCACAACAGCTGTTACTAAAAAGTCAAAAAAACAACAGATGTTGGCAAGAATGTGGAAAAAAAGGAACACTTTTACACTGTTGGTGGGAATGTAAATTAGTAGAACCTTTATGGAAAATAGTGTGGAGATTTCTCCAAGAATTAAAAATAGAACTACCATTCAATCCAGCAATCCCACTACTGGGTATTTACCCAAAGGGAAATAAATCTTTATATTAATATCAAAAAGATACCTGCACTTGTATGTTTATCACAGCACTATTCACAATAGCAAAGATATGTGATATATTTGGAATATTTGTTCCCACCCAAATCTCACGTTGAATTGTAATCCCCAGTACTGGAGGTGGGGCCTGGTAGGAGGTGTTTGGGTCATGGGGGTGGATTTCTGATGGCTTGCCACTGTCTTTGCAATAATGAGTGAGTTCTCATGAGATCTGGTCATTTAAAAGTGTGTGGAACCTCCCCCTGCACTAGCTCCTGCTCCCACTCTTGCCACATGATGTGCCTGCTCCTGCTTCACCTTCTGCCATGAGTAAAAGCTTCCAGAGGCCTCCCTAGAAGCAGATGCCAAAACTATGCTTCCTGTACAGCCTGCAGAACTGTGAGCCAATTAAGTTTCTTTTCTTATAAATTACCCAGTCTCAGGTTTTTCTTTATAACAATGCAAGAATGGAAATACAATATGGAATCGACCTAAGTGTCCATCAGTGGAGAACTGGATCAAGAAAATGTATTGTATGCAGACACACACACACCCCCACACCCCTACACCCACCATGGAATACTACCCAGTCATAAAAAAGAATGAAGTTGGCCATCACAAAGAAAATGATGGCAAAATATAAAATAATTTTTAAGAAATGAAATCATGTCTTTTGCAGCAGCATGGAAGGAACTGGAGGCTATTATCCTAAGTGAAATAACTCAGAAACAGAAAGTCAAATGCTGCATGTTCTCACTTATAAATGGGAGCTGAACAATGAGTACACATGGACATACAGACTGGAATAACTGACTTTGGAGACTCCAAAAGGTGGGAGATTGGGAGGGGGTAAGAGTTGAAAAATCACCTGTTGGGTGCAATCTTGTCTATTTGAGTAATGGATACACTAAAAGCCAAGACTTCACCATGACACGATAGATGCATGTGAGACATCTGCACTTGTACTCCCTAAATATTTAAAGATAAACACACACATGCACGCACACAAAACAACCCAAGGGATCGGTGTAGTAGCTTTCTTTCAATGAAGAGGGGTTGGAGGAAGGGCATAACATAGAGGTCAGAATGTAAAACATCAGTCTGTTTTAAGTCTTTAAGGCTTAAAAAACTATTTCTGGGAAAAAAGGCCCAGTAATATATAAAATTTTGGAATAGATTAAAAACAAAACATTGTCTCTAGTGAGAGTATATGTATATCATTTTAGTTAAAGTGCTTAGTAAATGAAGAACATTTTTTTTTCAAACCCAGAGACTGACAAGCATCTCTTAGTATCTGACCAGAATCTCTGGAGGGATACTTTGAACTAGGTGTCGCTCTTTAATTCAGTAATGATCTGTGACAACTGGTGGGGTCAGATAATAAAGACACAGCCACAGGGCCCCATCCTCTGAGACTCTGCAGTTCTTGGAGATGGGGGCCATGTGCTGAGCAGATACCTACCAAATGTGTCTATTATGCTACAGGAGACTAACAGGGTGCTGACCACCTGTGCTCCAGAAAACTAGCTACCTATCAGAAGCCATGCTCCCACTTCCAGGGGGTAGAATTGCACTGGGAATCAGCTACTCTGGACTGCGTCTCAAAGGACTATATCTCTCAGCCCTTGCAACCAAGTGAAACCATGTGACTCATGTTCGTCAGTGGAACATGGGCAGAAATGATGTGCCTCACTCCAGGCCTGGCTGTCCCTACCACCTCCCCAGTCCCTGCTTCATGTATACTTCTCCATGCCTGTTCCCCTTCTTCTAGCTGGAGGCAGAGGACTCCGGAGGCCTAGAGAGGGGTTGGGCAACCTGTTTAAAGAGCTGGATAGTAAATATTTTAGGCTTTGTGGGCCAGATAGTCTCTCTCGCAACTACTCAACTCTGTAATTATAGTACAAATGCAGTCATAGGCAATGCAACAAATGGGAGCAACTGTGTTGCAATAAAACTTTATTTCCACAAACAGGTAGTGGTGGGCTGGATTTGGTTCATGGAGGGCCCCAGTTTAGTGTCACCTGGGTTGTGTGATCTTGGCTATAGCATGTAATCTCTCTGAGCCTCAGTTTTCTTACCTGTGAAAGGAAGAAATCTGACTTAATCTCAAAATTCTCTAATAATTCCATGATTCTACAATTTCAGCTCATCAACTATTATTTATACTCAACTTCTAGCTTGAGTATAAGCTATTTACACTCTAGCTTGAGTATAAGCTATTTACACTCTAGCTTGAGTGTAAGTAATAGTTGATATTTGACCCAGCCATCCCATTACTGGGTATATACCCAAAGGACTATAAATCATGCTGCTATAAAGACACATGCACATGTATGTTTATTGCGGCACTATTCACAATAGCAAAGACTTGGAGCCAACCCAAATGTCCAACAATGATAGACTGGATTAAGAAAATGTGGCACATATACACCATGGAATACTATGCAGCCATAAAAATGATGAGTTCATGTCCTTTGTAGGGACATGGATGAAATTGGAAATCATCATTCTCAGTAAACTATCACAAGAACAAAAAACCAAACACCACATATTCTCACTCATAGGTGGGAATTGAACAATGAGAACACATGGACACAGGAAGGGGAACATCACACTCTGGGGACTGTTGTGGGCTGGGGGGAGGGGAGGGATAGCATTGGGAGATATACCTAATGCTAGATGACGAGTTGGTGGGTGCAGCACACCAGCATGGCATATGTATACATATGTAACTAACCTGCACATTGTGCACATGTACCCTAAAACTTAAAGTATAATAATAATAAATAAAAAATTAAAAAAAAATAGTTGATGAGCTGAAATTGTAGAATCAGCTACAGGATGGTGTGTGTATGCATTTTAAAATACTGATGACTTTACTTTCAAGCATCCTGTGAAAGAGAAAATTAGCTCAAAAATATACAGCAGTTAACCTTTATTTCCCAATTTGAGGAAAAGTAGAGGAGAAAATTATCAAGAGAAGAAGAAAAGCATCAGGTATTTCTACCGTTTACGGAACTTAACAGATTAAATACAGAAAGCAAGTTAGTGAATGAGTTCCAAGCATATATTCCATTGATGCAGACCACAGGGTGCTGCAGCTTGATCACAGCCATCACACAAGAGGGAAATTGAAAGTCTTTCTTTGGGAACTTCACAGCATCATTTATTAAATAAGCACCCTGGGAGCTAAAGAATTGTTTAGCTCAACAGCAGCAAGACACATTGAGAAAAGAGGGATGATGACATGAGTCCTTCCAACAACTGAGCAGTTTGCTCAGTGGAGGGAAGTTAATGTGTTAAAAAAGAAATATCAGCTATAAAAGTAGCAATAATAATCAAAATCTATATTTGTTTTTATTTACTTTCAAGAAGTCCTGAGGACTTTAACTCTGTCAACCCCACATTTGTGGGAGAGTCGCAAATTTTATATGATTAGTCTTGTTCGACAGATGAAAAACCTGTAAAAGCACTTATTAATGTCACATTTATACATATTTAAGTTTCAGGATAACTTCAAGGAACAATATTTTACTGAATGACAGCTATTTCACACCAAAACCACTAGTGGTAACTATTGCTGTATGAGTAATAATATTGGAACAATAAAATTCATGTTTCAAACAATTTTTTAGTGTAAAAATGTACCATACAATATTTGGTACATACTTACACTAAAAAATTACTCATTGTTTACCTGAAATTCAAACTTAACTGTGTGTCCTGTATTTTTGTTTGCTAAATCTAAATGTTGAAGCCAGAAGGAACCTTGCAAATCACAGTTCAATTCCTTAATTCTAAAGACAAAGTGGGACCAAGAGACATAAATCTCAAGGGAAATTTTCCTTAATGGTGATTGGAAATGCCTTAGAGTCTCTGAATTGTCAGTTTCTTTTCTAGTTCATCTAAGTCCTTCAGAGGAAGGCAGTCTAGAGATAGAAAGACAGGTAGGACATTGAGCCTCTGGATCCAGCAGTGCCCGAAGCAATTCTCAAACTTTTCAGTAACATGAGCCAGTAAATGTCCTTAATCACTTGAGCTGGTTTGAATGGTATTTCTATCCTTTTAAACTAACCTTGAGAGTCCACACTAATATTGCAAGGACTTCCACATTTCACATTTTCTTTTTTTTTTTTCACTTGGAGATAGGGTCTCACTCTGTTGCTCAGGCTGGAGTGTAGTGGTGTGATCATGGTTCACTGCAGCCTCAATGACCTGGGCTCAAGCAATGCTCCCACTTGAGCCTCCAAAGAAGCTGGGACTACAGGTGCTTGCCACTATGCCTGGTTAATTTTTAAATTTTTTGTAGAGATAGCATCTCGTCATTTTGTCCATGCTGGTCTCAAACTTCTGGCCTCAAGCAATCCTCCTGCCTTGGCCTCCCAAACTGCTAGGATTACAGGTGTGGGCTACTGTGCTCTGCCCACTACCACATTTTCTTATTCAAGTTGATAGACTAATTATCATAGTGCCATACAGTAGAAGTTCAACAAATACTTTTCAAATAAATGATAACCTTGGTTTAGGTTATTGCTTTCATTTTACCATCCAAACATTTTCCTTAATCATACAGTGTTGTTGTTGTGGGGTGTTTTTGTTTGTTTTTTGAGAAGCAGTCTTACTCCATCATCCAGATTGGAGTGCAGTGTTATAATTATAGCTCACTACAACCTCGAACTCCCAGGCTCAAGCAATTCTCTTCCTGCTTCAGCCTCCTGAGTAGCTGGGATTGCAGGCATTGCACCACTATGCCCAGCTAATTTTTTTATTTTTTGTAGAGAGTTGGGGGGTCTCACTGTCTTGTCCAGGCTAGTCTTGAACTACTGGTCTCAGGTGATCCTCCCACCTTGGATTCCCAAAGTGTTAGGATTACAGGCATGAGCCCCTGCACCCAGGCTTGTTGCTGCTTTTTAAAAACAAAGTCTGAATTTATTTGCCTGGGCACACAAAAAACAAATATATTATTAAAAGAAATATAAACATGTAGAATAATGAAACCAGAGGTCAAATTGTATATCTGTATTGCTTTCTGGAGAATAGCTTTGTTGACCTAAAGGAAAAAACTGTGGCCAAATTAACATAAGTAGAGGGTTTATTTGGGCCAAGTTTGAGGACTGCAACCAAGGAGCACAGATTCAAGTTGCCTGAATATATGCTCCAATTAGCAGTAGTTACAAGTGGGTTTTTAAAGGAAAAGAGAAGAGGCAGTTTGTAAGTTGTTTATCAAGAATTTACACTAAGGTAACATAAGGTATTGATTGGCTAAACATTGTTCTTTCTTTTCTCATTTCCCCCTTTTGATCAAAATTTTTCTCTTCTGAAGGCATCGATGACCAAAATTTTAGATGTTTGTCTCATGTCATTGGGAAGGCTCATTCCCAGGTAATCTCATCCCATGTCTGAGGGAAAGAGGACAGGTACTTATGGCTTAAGAATTTAGTGATGGCCAGGCACTGTGGCTCACACCTGTAATCCCAGCACTTTGGGAGGCCGAGGTGGGAGGATCACTTGAGCTCAGGAGTTCAAGACTAGCTTGGGCAACATAGCAAGACCCCCATCTCTACACAAAAATATAAAATAAAAAAATTTGAAATTTTAAACTTAAGAATTTAGAGAGGTCTCAAGGCTGAATTGACTGGCAACATAAAGGGACAGAGCAACAAGATCTAGGCCATCCACTTACAGAGGAGCCACAGCATGTTGGATCATTTCTTTCTTGATGTTAAGACATCTAGAAATACAAAGCATAATCAACTTAAGAACCAAAAATATTGAGATGGGATTTTTCCCCTGACTTTGACCCTCTTTGTGGACAGGAACTAGAGTGGCTCATTTCACTCAGCCTGCAGTCCATGGATGGCTAAGTGTAACAGCTCAGTGAAGGCTCAGGGTGACAGCCTCCTACACCTGCCTTTTTTGACACCTGAGTTCTTGTTCAGTGTCCAGGAACAATCAGGTCACACAAACTATTTGAAGGATAGTGTATTTGGAATATTTATTGGGCGATAAAAGTGGCTCTCAGTAGGATGGGGAATTTGAAAGGGGATGGTGTGGGAAGAAGGTGATGTTTCCCTGAAGCTGCACTGTCTGAAGTTAGCAGCGTCTATTCGTAATTTCTGACACTCAGCTGCATGGATCCCTGATGCTCAGCTGCACATATCTCCAATGTTCAGCAGCTTGCATCCCCAACCACTTGTATAAGCCGCTTGTGTTGCTCTTCCAGCTGAAGTCTTTTTATGGGCACAGGATAGGGGAATGGCAGGCAAAAAAGGCAATCACTTGGGCAGAAAAATAGGGCCAGCTGTTTTTACTTAGGGCTGAGGGTTCAGGCTTGAGGGTGGTGTTTAGCTGGGAGCCCAGCTGTTCTGTATCAATATGATGCAAATAAGGACAATTATTAACAAACAATTTGAAATCTAGATCTGAAAGGTGTTTTTATTTCTTAAGGTAACCAATCAAGTAAATCATGTAAGGGGTTTGGTCTTTCTAATGTCTTGTAGCCATTTAGTCTTTTGGGTGATTCTTTCTAACTGAATTTCTACTTTTCATCCTGGTCTGTAGAACAGGGTGACTAGCTGCAGGTCAGCTCCAGTTGGAGATCTTCTCCAGTGATGGAAGATGTCTGCTCAGGTAGGGCTAACTTTTTAAAATGAGAAATGTGAATTCATGAGTAGATGGCCTTGAGTTTGGCTGCACAAGGATTGGTTAACAATATCTGATATAGTCCCTTCCAATGGGGTTGGAGAGAAGCTTTTATTTGATGTCATTTCCAGTAAACAAAATCTCCGGGTTGTAGGCCATGATCTCTGATGTCTTCCTCTCCCAGGAGCTCAATGTTGAAAGAATCCTTAACTAATTTAGAAATGTTAACCAGAAGCTTATAAGGCCTTGGCAAAAATGAGGAACATCACATTTGAGGAGAGCTGGTTTGTAGGCTCCTTCAACCAGGTGCACGGGCCTTGCAGTTATTATTTCAAATGGAGAAAGGTGCTGTTTTCCAAATAGGGTAGAACGTAAGTTAAGAAAGTGGAAGAGGCCGGGCATGATGGCTCATGCCTGCAATTCTAGCCCTTTGGGAGGCCTAGGCAGGTGGATCACTTGAGCTCCGCTGTTCAAGACCAGCCCGGCCAACGTGGTGAAATCCTGTCTCTATAAAAAATTAGCTGGGTGTGATGATGCATGCCTGTAGTCCTGGCTGCTTGGAGGGCTGAGGTGGGTGGATCACTTTATCCCAGGAAGTTGAGGCTGCAGTGAGCTGAGATTGCACCACTGCAACCTAGCCTGGGTGATGGGTGACAAAGTGAGATCCTGTCTCAAAAAAAAAAAAAAAAAGAAGAAAAGAAAAGAAAATGCAAGAGCCTTAGGCCAGGGAAGGGTAAACGTTTCTTTAAACCTTTCCAACTGATCTTTTATTATTCCATTTGTGCATTCCACCATTCTGGAAGACCGAGGGTGGTTTGCACAATGGAAATAATGATTGATCCAATCTCAATCAACTTTGACCGTACAAGATAATCATCATCAGCAGCAGCACTTTGGTAGGCTGAGACGGGCAGATCATTTGAGGTCAGGAGTTCCAGACCAGCCTGGCCCACATGGTGAAACGCCGTCTCTACTAAAAATACAAAAATTAGCCAGGCATGGTGGCGCGTGCCTGTAATCCCAGCTACTCAGGAGGCTGAGGCACAAGAATCGCTTGAACCTGGGAGTTAGAGGTTGCAGTGAGCTGAGATTGCGCCACTGCATTCCAGCCTGGGCAACAAAGTGAGACTACATCTCAAAAAAAAAAAAAATTTAATAGCAGGAACGAAAGGAAGTAAAGTACACTTGGAAGATGGCCAGGTGGGAGATTAGAGATCCAAGTGCCCTGTGTGGCCCTTGACTTGGGGTTTTATACATTGGCATGGTTGGAAGTTTTGCATTTCTTCTCTCTCGATTCTTCCCTTGGAGCAGGCTGTCCACATGCAGGGTGGCCAGCCAGCACTTGGGAGGGGCTGCTTATGCAGTGTGTTTGCTGATGTTGTGTGCATGCTCATTTGAGACATTTTTCCCTTAACCGTCAAGTGTTCTAGAGGAAGGTCATATATCAGTTAAACTCCGCCATTTGCCTCTTAATGCCCATGCTTGAGCCCACTCAACTCCTGAGATCTTATTGGGAAGCCGCTAATCACCAGCTTCAGGTGTTTTCTATCTATTGGGAGGCAGTCCTTCCATGGTGCCAGCTGCAAACAATTATTATTACTAGAGAAACAGTTTAACAACCCCCTGACCATCACCTGATGGTTGCTTGATGTTTCTGGGGTTGGGGAGAAGCTCTTCTGCCCTGCTCATGTCTGCCTAACTGCCTACTCTAATAGTTCACACTAGTTTTCAAAAGTTTTTCTCCCTACTTTGGACTCTTAGTCTTTTGATTACCCATTCCATTGCCCTAAACAATTGTCAGGTAGGCAACCCTGAGTTTGCATTGGCAAAGACACAACTCGGCTGAAACGAGGTAGAAAATTTATATCTCAAAGGCACAAAATTTAGATATAAACACCATTATTTGCTGAGACAAGAGAATAGATAGAGGCTCAGTTAAGATTGCTAGGAAAAGTATCTTAAATAGGTAAGGTATGTTACATAAACTTTAAGCTAATGTATTCCCTGTGATAAAAGTGTCTAATGGTTTAGGTGCAAAGAGAGAGATACCCTTACAAATGGAGATTTCCTTAATAGATATAAATTTCTTTTACAAAGAGTTTCAAAATAGCTAAATATCCGAAAGGTATATTTTGGAGACTGATTTAGTTAGAATGGTGGCCTTATTCATTTAGCATCTTTCTTCATTCGATTACTGACTTCAGGGTGGAGGCCATTAGTGTAAAGGGTAAAGAAAGTATTTGCGGTTTTCAGGGCCTAATATGTAAGTATGTGAAAAGCAGGCACAACCAGAAGGAAGAGCATCTAGATCTTTCAGAATCAAGGATCCTATTTTTATACCAAATTCTGGGTCGCCCAATAGAGGGAAACACCCTGCAACAGGGCTGCACAACATTCCGCAGTGCTTCTCACTACAAAGACATTCCCCCAAGGCCAGTGGTCACCCAACCCCAGTCAGCCCACTCTGTGATCACCCATTCTCCATGGGATTCTCATCCCTTGGTGGCAAGTGTTTCCACAGCCTCCACATATTCAAACTACACCTTTGTTATCTGATCGTGCAAAGAAACAAGGAGTTCCCTACCAGTGACTTGCCAGCGATCACACCCATCAAAGTTAAGTTCTCTCTTACAGTACAAAGTAATCCCTCATACCCCAAAAGCCAAAGAGATTAGGAAACTCAATACAAACAACAGCAGAGCTTTACATCTGAGAGGAAACTGCCTATGCCCTCTTGAGACTCCACAAAGGAGAGAGAGGACCCCAAGGGGAGGTGTGTGGGGGTGGGGGCACGTTTTTCTGTGTTCCTCAAGGGGTATCCAGGCTGCTAGAAGTCTACCCTAGATTTTTTTTTTTTGAGACGGAATCTCACTCTGTTGCCCAGGCTGAAGTGCAGTGGCATGATCTTGGCTCACTGCAACCTCCGCTTCCCGAGTTCAAGCAATTCTTCTGCCTCAGTCTCCTGAGTAGCTGGGATTACAGGCACATGACACCATGCCCAGCTAATTTTTTTTTTTTCAGTAGAGACAGGGTTTCACCATTTTGGTCAGGCTGGTCCCCTAGATTTTTTCATGTGGTTTTAAAAGTAGCAAAAGTGAAGAGGATCAGAAGTAGAAGGAAATAGAAGAGCAAGCCTAGAGTAGCCAATTTGGGAGGTTTTAAGCTTTCTAAAAGGCCAGTGAAGTTTTACATTTTTCTCAGTGGAATTGTGTCAACAGGAAAGCAAGCAAACAGAGGGACCGAACATATTTTACGAAGGGTTTCAGTTGACTGAAAAAAATTCTCAGAAACAGGATCCAAAATAGAAAAAGCAGAGACCTTTTTTCCAAAAAAAATTATAGCCTAAATATCAGCTTTTAATTAAGTTGACTTCTGACCATAGAACTGAAAAAAAAAAAAAAATTCAAACCTCTTATCAGATTTCAGCCAGCACAAACAGAGAATAGTTCTCCTTCAATGTGTCTGATTCTAAAACCAGCTTTTTCCAATTGTACACACATGAGTTATCTTAGGCATTTCAAAGGACCCTCATTTCAGCCATTGCTGCTTATGACCATCCTGGGTCATGTGGGTTCATTTTCCTAGATATTATAAGAGGACGCCTTGTAAGTGTTGTACATAAAAACCAGCTGGTGTTTCTAAAGGAGGCTGTCCCTTAAAAGAGCACTCCGATTTTGAAGCTTGAATTCCCATAATTTAGGAACTTTTCAAAAGTGACCAAGGCCAGAAATGCGTTTTGCTTTGAGAAGTGTGCTTCTTCTGAGTGTCACTCCTCAGGGTGTCATCCAAAAGTCGAGACTCTCTCTGTTATGTGTCCCAGACTGCCTCTAACTGCCAGGTGGCAGTAGGGTGCTCAAGGTATTGGGGTAACCAATTCCTTAATTTTTACCTTTCCTGATGAGTTAGATTCCCTAAAATGTTCTTCTGGTGAAAAATGCCCTATGAGGCTGCTTCCCATCCCAGACAATATTCCTGACACCTCTATAAAGTCTCTAGTCACATAGAACACCTGAATGGGTCAGAGGGAGCAGTTGCCTCTTCTCTTGGAGGCGAGAAAACTCACACTATGCACCTTTCAGTTTGAAACTAACAGGAATTGGTCACAAGTGAAAATGCAAGTCTAAATTACAAGGAGTAGATAGCAGCTGCAATTTTATTTTATTTTACTTTATTTATTAATTGAGATGGACTTCCACTCTGGACCCTAGGCTGGAGTGTAGTAGTACCATCATAGCTCACCGTAGCCTCGAACTCCTGGGCTTAGGCAGTCCTCTTGCCTCAGCATCCCAAGTAGCTGGGACTGCAGGTACATGCCACTGCATCTGGCTAATTTTTAAATTTTTTGTAGAGATGCCACTGCACCCAGCCAATAGCTGCAATTTTTAAAGCATGCTATGTAATTTTAGGCCAAAACAAGTGTAACTACTGGTACCAGACTGCCCATACCATAACCTGAACTTCTTGCCCTGAGGTAGAGGCAGAAAAAGCAGTTCTCTGCAGACCTGTTTATCCAAATCTCCCATCCAGACACTGAGACCAAAGCCCTCACTCTTAGAGGAAAGAGAGGGTTTGACTTTTTTCTTATTTTTTAGATACAGTGATGGCAGTGGCAGCCTGTCTGGAGCAGCTGCTGTGAAGATGCGGGCTGCAGTAGGGGAAGTACTGCCAGGGCTGCATGCTCCATGGAGCCAGCAGGAGCTGAAACAGGCAGGAGCCCTGCCCGCTTCCAAGTTGGCAGGGCAGGAAACCTGTGCTCCCTGAGTGTAGCTGCAGCTGCCCAGCTACAGCTCCAGACCCAGGCATCCCTGTGCTCTTGGGGGCCCAGGAAGTGCCCCCTGACCCCACAGGCTCAGAAGTGCCTGCTCTCACTCCCTGGCCTCTCCCTGCACTCAGTGCCCACTCTGTTGCAGAAGCAAAGTTGTGGCCAAAGCCAGATGCTGTCGTGACCCAGCCAGGTGTGTGTGCACTTGGGGCAGTGCTGACATGCCGCCCTGGCCCCCTTTGGACTTTGGTCACTGATGAGTGCAGGAGGGAGGTGGTGGGGGGTGCTGAGGGCAGCTCGGTGTGGGCCTGCAGGTACCCCTTATCATGAAAAGCCTGGGTGCCATGGATGGAATGTTGTTAGCAGGAGGTAGACAGGTTCCTGGGCAGAAAAGAGCAGGTCCCTATCCACCTTCAAGCCAGGGATGGCCTGAAGCCTGGGGGCCAGTCTGCCACTTCCAGGTGGAGTCCACACCTGGAATGAGAACTTATGGTGCTTTTTCCGAGCCCATCCATGACCACCCATGGGCCAATTAGCATGCATTTCCTCCCTTCTGAGCTCATAAAAACCCTGGACTCAGACAGATGTAAGGACGACCTGCCTGTGAATAGGAGCTACCCACTCTGGGTCTCCTGTCTCCTGACAGCTGGACACTCAATGGGACAACCTGCCTGCAGAAAGAAGCTACCCATTTTGGGTCTCCTGAGAGCTGTTCTGTCGCTCAATGAAACTCCTCTCTACTTTGCTCACCCTGCAGTGGTCTGTGTAGCTCATTCTTCTTGTACGTGGGACAAGAACTCAGGAACCGCCGAATGGCAGGACTGAAAGAGCTGTAACACCAACAGGGCTGAAACATGTGCCCCACCTCCCTGTTTGCCACACCGTGGGCAATGAGAAGGGGAAAAAAGCTGTGGCCCTTCAGGGATCCCAGACCTAGGGGATCCCCAAGCCAGAGCTGTGACACCCTCTTTGGGGCTGTGTGGTTCCTGGCATCTCCAAGCTTCTGGGTACCACCACATTCCCCTCATCCAGACGTGGATGCCTGCAGCAGAAGCTGTGTGTGGTGCATCTGTTCCAGCCACAGCTTCACATGGAGCTGGCACCTGTGCCAGAGCCTGGAGCTGCCTGCCCTGCCACAGCAGCCAGCATCCCTGGCTGTGCACAGTGACCTCACCTCGCACTCGCTCACCCACACACCCCTCGCCACTCCCTGCCTGGCTTGCCTTTGGCAGGTGTCAGATCCAGGCCGGTAGTGCAAGCCAAGCACAGCCTGCCAGGCAGAGTGGGCAGAATGAGCCCAGCAGGTGCAAGCAACACTCAGGCAGAATGTACTGCTAGCCACAGAGGTTTCTGGCTGGTGAAGCAACACCCCAAGGATTCCATGACAACAGGAATCTCACTCACTTGCCCAGGTTAGAGTGTAATGATGTGATCATAGCTCACCGTAACCTCAAATTCCTGGGCTCAAGCAATCCTCTGGCCTCAGCCTCCTGAGTAGTGAGGCTAATTTTTAATTTTTTTGCAGGAACGGGGTCTTACTCTGTTGCCCAGGCTGGCCTTGAACTCCTGGCCTCAAGCCCTCCTCCTGCCTCAGCCTCCCAAAGTGTTGGGATTACAGAAGTGAGGCACCATGCCCAACCATGAAAGAGAGGGTTTGAAAAACACAGCCCAAATAAAATCTAGACCTCAGCTGAAAAGGAAATGGAGATCCAGATTCAGGACTGAAACTTTTGTGGCCACTGAAACCTCTGGAGTTGGAAGAACACAGTGGGTTTGTGCTGGTACCAAGCATTGAATCAGAGAAGGAATGCCAGATAGTCGGCAGTCTGTCATTTTAAATCCTGCTGGTGACATTTTAAATCTGGTGACATACACCACATATGTCAACCTGAAGGAAAAAACTGATACAAAATTAATGGAAGTAGGAAGTGTATTTGGGCCAAGTTTAAGGAGTATAGCCCAGAAGCATTGATTCAAGTTGCCCTGAATATATTCTCTGATTAGCAGCAGTTACAAGTTATATCTTATTTATTCATTTATTTAAATTTAATTTAATTTGTTTTTTTTGAGACAGAGTCTCACTCAGTCACTGGGGCTGGAGTGCAATGGCGTGATCTCGGCCTACTGCAACCTCTGCCTCCTGGGTTCAAGTGATTCTCCTGCCTCAGCCTCCCAAGCAGCTGGCTGCCGTCATGCCCAGCTAATTTTTGTATTTTTGCAGAGACAGGGTTTCACCGTGTGGGCCAGGCTGGTCTCAAACTCCTGACCTCAGGTGATCCGCCTACCTTGGCCTCCCAAAGTGCTGGGATTACAGGTGTGAGTTACTGCACCCAGCCTTTATTTATTTTTGTTTGAGACAGAGTCTAACTCTGTCACCCAGGCTGGAGTGCAGTGGCACGATCTCAACTTACTGCAATCTCTGCTTCTGAAGTTCAAACGATTCTCCTGCCTCAGCCTCCCAAGTAGCTGGGATTAGAGGTGCATGCCACCATGCCTGGCTAATTTTTGTATTTTTAGTAGAAATGGAGTTTCACCATGTTGTCCAGGCTGGTCTGGAACTCCTGACCTCCAGTGACCCACCCACCTTGGCATCCCAAATTCCTTGGATTACAGACATGAGCCACTGCACCTGGCCACAAGTCAGTTTTTAAAGGAAAAAAAGAAGAGGCAGTTTCTAAGATGTTTACCAAGAATTTACATTAAGATAACAAAAGCTGTTGATTGGTCTGTTCCTTGCATTACATTGTTCCTTGTATCCCAAATTCTAGAAACATAAAGATAATGAGTGAGGCAGCTAGTGAGGAAACTACAGAGAGGAAAAGAAAGAATAAAATTCAAAGAATTGCCCCTGGGCATGTTGGGCAGCAGGATTATTACTGAAGTTCTATCCTCATGTCTCTCCGGTCCTGTTAAATGTTGCATACCACAGATAGCTCAAAGTGTTCTGACCTATTTTTCTTTTCTCAGTTTAAACATAGAAGTAGCCAAATTGAATAATGCTATACTTCCAGACTACATCCATTCTTCTTCTCCTCCATTTAGTCTCAGTCTGTCAGAATAAGAAATGAAGAATGACTGGTGTGGTGGCTCATGCCTATAATCCCAGCACTTTGGGGGACCAAGGCAGGAGGATCACTTGAGGCCATGAGTTCAAGGGCAGTCCGGGCAACACAGTGAGACCCCATCTCTACAGAAAAATTTAAAAATTAGCTGGTTGTGGTGGCGCATGAGGCTGAAGTGGGAGAATGGCTTCAGCCCAGGAGTTCCAGGCTGCAGTGAGCTATGATTGCATCACTGCACGGCAGCCTTGGTGACAGAGCAAGACCATGTCTTTAAAAAAAGAAAGGCGGTTGTGGGGGGAATACAGGGATGTAGACATCCATAGTAACTTTAGAAATTAAAAAGGTATTTTAAAATGAATATATTTCTAAATAATATATTTCTAAAACTAAAATCCCCTTTTTTATAATTTATTGTTTCATTCTCGGGACAAAACTCTCAACTTTACAGATGTGTTATTTTAGCATATTTACTTATTTACACCCAGATGTGAGAATTTAGCCCCTATACATCAAAAGCCATTTGAATAGCTGGATTGGTGTTTTCCTCTTTCTCTTTCTCTTAATTCTCCAAGACAGTCACATTTCTGAATGCAGATTCTGCAGGCCTCATTCTGGTAGCAGCCCTTCTGGAGCTGAGCTTCTTGGACATTTGAAAGTCAATCTCCAAGACAGTTTATATTCAGTTTCATATGAATATTGAGGAGTATCAGAATATGCCAACCTAAAATATGCCTATTTGGCATTTGGCTTATTTTGCGCTAAAGCCCGCTGAGAACCAGAAGACCAGGAAATTACATTTAGAAAGTCAATTTACATATAGAAATGGTGCTTCCCTCTGTACCAGGAGGAAGAGGATCCTTAACAACTCCTATCAATGGAGAAGGTACTTCCATCTGCATAACAAACCAATGACCCTTGTTTACCATACTTTTCCTGGTCACCTACCCCTAACTTTCCTCCCCCATGCAGAAGCCTAAAACTCTTCTTTCCTTGTTTAAGCCTAAGATGATAGAAAGCCAACTTCTAACCACCTAATGGAGTCAATCAATTCTGAATATGCCCATATGTAAGCACCAGGCATATGCTAATAAACATCTGTTTATTTTTTTTTCTTGTTAATCTGTCTTTAGCCAGCCTAATTTATATGGCACCAGCTGGAGAACTTAAGATGAGTGAAAGAGGAGTTTTTTTCCTCCTCTACAGTATCTATTTCTGCATTGGAAATGGACCCACATATACACTTAAACACAGTCTTCTAAACCACCCGGCATTCAAAGGTGACATTGTCACCTACCAACCCCCACATCCAGTAAACTCATTGCTTTAGATTGAATTTCAGATCATTTCATTGTGAAAGAAAAATAAAAAGTAGGAACTCCCAATTCATTATGCCAAAAGAGAAAAGTTAAGCTTGAAAACTGAGTCACAAAAAAACTGCCTTGCCTTTTGCTCCTAAACTGAAAGGTACAGATAAAAGACCACATGCCTCCACAGGGGACCTCCCACCCTGACCCTGAAAATGAAAATTAACAGCTTATCTCTATGGGTGCAGGACAAGAGTGAAGCAGGTGATACAGAAGAAAAAACAAATTTTCTTCCTTTCCTTTGGTATGAGCAGCTTCTCCCTTGAATCCCTCCCGCCTCGTGTGATTGTACCCTGCTCTGCAAGTTTTTATGAGTTTATAGGTTCCTGTTTTCTGTAACTAGTGTCTGTAAGTCTGTTTTTCATCTGAGTAGCACCATGGAGGTCATGAGACATGCTTGAGCAATCTTAGATTGCAGCCATCTGGGCGCCATAGTGGAGGACATGAGATAAGATTGTGCAGGCATCTTGAGCAAGCCTAGATAACAGCCACCTGGCCCACATAGCAAGAGTCACATGAAAGCCTGAGTTATGAGCCTGTCTCTGTTTGATAAACTGCCTTTGTTCTGCTTCCGTAAACCCACTTTTGCGCCACTGCATTTCGAGCCACAGATGCATGTATAAAAGTCAAGCCCTGTCTTTGTTTGGGTCTCAGCCTTCTGGATGCAAATCCGCTGAGCTGGTGCACCTAAATAAAATCCTCCTGTCCCACCTATTGGTCTCTCCAGTTCCTTCATTCCCGCAACAAGAGGAGATTAGAAATCATCTCCCCTACTTTAGACAAAGGCATATTTGACTGCTTCATCTACTCTGTTTACTTTTTTTTTTGAGACAAAGTGTCGCTCTGTTGCCAAAGCCAGAGTGCAGTGGCACAATCTCAGCTCAATCTCAGCTCACTGCAACCTCCACCTCCCGGGTTCAAGTGATGCTCCTGCCTCAGTCTCCTGAGTAGCTGGAATTACAGGTACATGCCACCACACCTGGCTATTTTTTGTATTTTTAGTAGAAACAAGGTTTTGCCATGTTGGCCAGGCCGGTCTCAAACTCATGACCTCAGGTGATCCACCTGCCTCGGCCTCCCAAAGTGCTGGGATTACAGGCGTGAGCCACCATGCCCAGCCTATTTTTTCTTATGTAAAGTACAGATTTACTGATTGTGAAATGAATACATAATTGACTGATTCCTCTACCCTCTCCTTTTCATGTGCAATATGTGGATTCACAAGAATGTCACCATACCCTCCCTCTTTTTTTCTTTCCCCTTTCCCTTCATGTCCAGTTTTCCCCTTTAAATGTTGAAGCCTTCAAAATCCTCTTTGGGGCCGGCCGCAGTGCTCACATCTGTAATCCCAGCATTTTGGGAGGCCGAGGCAGGCAGCTCACCTGATGTCAGAAGTTGGAGACCACTCTGGCCAACATGGCAAAATACCGTCTCCACTAAAAAATACAAAAATTAGCTGGACATGGTGGTGCACACCTGTAATCCCAGCTACTTGGGAGGCTGAGGCAGGAGAATTGCTTGAACTGGCGAGGCAGATGTTGAACCCAAGAGGCGGAGGTTGAAGTGAGCTGAGGTTGCGCCATTAAACTCCAGCCTGGATGACAGAATGAGAATCAGAAGGAAGGAAGGAAGGAAGAAAGGAAGGAAGGAAGGAAGGTTGGTCTTCAGAAAAAGTATGGGCTGCAGATCCTACCGTGGCTTGTGTCTCTTTTTCCTGGGTGTGTCCTCAACTTCAGCAAAATAAACCTCTAAGCTGATTGAGACCTGTCTCAGATACTTTTTGGTTTATACCATCAATAAATAGTTATAAATATTTTCCCCATTAACATCTAGTTTTGGGTGTTGAGGCAAGTTTTCCAGTAAAATTAACACTGGAAGAAGTGTTAGAGTAAAATGTTATAATTCTTTAGATGATTCTATCTTGTTTTGTATCCAAACCTTGAATCTCAATATTATTAAAAGTGAATTTTCTGGCTGGGCATGGTAGCTCATGCCTATAATCCCAGCACTTTGGGAGGCCAAGGTGGGAAGATTGCTTAAAGCCAGGGGTTCAAGACCAACCTGGGCAACACAGCAAGACCACATCTCCAATAAAAATTAAAAATATTATCTGGGTGTGATGGTGCACACCTGTAGTCCTAGCTACTCAGGAGGCTGATGTGGGAGGATCTCTTGAGCCTAGGAGACTGAGGCTGCAATGAGCTGTGATTGCACCACTGCACTACATACAGCCCAGGTGACAGAGTGAGATTGTCTCAAAAAAAAGTGAATTTTCTTAATATCATGATAACAAAATAACAAATATGCTTTTCACTCCAGCAAACACCCAACACCCTGACCAATTTAATATAATTGGTAACCATAATGTCTGAAGAACTTCAGTGACTTTCCCTCTTCCTTACATCTCATTGTACATTTACCAAGCTCTCTTTGGGCCCTCAAAAATAAAATTCTTGAGATTCATTTCATCTGTGAGATCCTGTCACAGTTACATTAAATGACAAGAGATTCATTTGTTTGTTTTTGGAATCTGAATGGTCTCCAAATTTCTTTAGGGCTCATTCAAACTTGAAAAGTAGTCCTAGGCCACAAACATAGAACCCAGAAGAAATCTGGGACTGAAAAGGGCAAATTGCATCATGACCTCAGATTTTTCCAAATTGAAATTATTTGCATGAATATTATCTGATACACAAACTTCACATCCATTCAATTCTTATTCCCTGACTACCCAGCCTCACCCCAGCTGTTCACCATAGTCTGCACCTGCAGGCCCAACACCCTTTAAGGACCCCTCAGATTTCAGAATAAGGAATTGCATATGGTGTGACTCAAGGAAATCTCCACTAGCAAGTAAAGTTTATAAGTGATTCCTTCCTTCCTTCCTTCCTTTTCTTTGCCTTTTCCTCTCTTCCACCCTTCTCCCTCCTCTTCCTTCCTCTCTCTCTTTCTCTTTCTTTCCCCCTTCCTCCTTCCCTCTCCCTCTCTGTCCCCTTTGTCCTTTCCCTCCTGTCTCCTTTTGGAATGATTTTAGCATTCTAGGTCTCCATGAGAACTTCAGGCATTGGCTTCCTTAATCTGAAATCTTGCCAACATGTACTAATTTCTGGATTTCCAATAACCTAGTCTCCCCAAATTAGGAAACTGACTCCAGTCAAAATCAATAAATACCATTGACTTGATCTGGTTTTGATTTGGTTCTTGTCACTTATAATCCTGCATTTCTTAACTAATACAGGAACACTCTCTCATGTTTCTTGCTAATCACCATTTTTCCAAGGCTTGGTTCAGTTTGTAATATCCCTCAAATCATTTTAGCACCTCCTGATTTACAACCTGGGTTCCTAAATACTTTTGAATTTTTTAAGTCACCCATAAAAGAAGCCACCACTCAGCTGAGTACAGTGGTGTGCACCTGTAGTCCCTCCCAGCTACTTGGAAGGCTAAGGCAGGAGGACCCCTTGAGGCCAAAAGTTTGAGGCTACAGTTCTTATGATCATATCTTTGAATAGCCATTGCATTTCTGTATTCCAGCCTAGGCAAGATAGCAAAATCTTCTCTAAAATAAAAAAAAAGAATCCCCTCACTTCTAATGAATGGGCAGTGAGTAGGTCATGCATAGGATTGTGCTCTTCTTTCTTACCACTGCTTATTGGGCCAGAAACCTGATCTGACAGAGGCCAGTCAACTAGTCAATCCACAGATATTAATTAGGATATTGCACTGAGACCATGGTGCAGTTGGAACCAAGAGCAAGATGAAAAAGCAGAGGATAAGTAGTTAGCAGAAAAAGAATGCAGCAGAGGTGGAGAAAAAAATAGTTTGTTCCAAGAACTTTATACTTATTATTTCTCTCTTGGAGATGTCAATGCTATGGATATACCTCAACAGAAACAACAAACTTTCAAAGGCACTGTAGATTTCCATAAACAGTGTATAGCAATTTATCCTATGATTTACATAAGAAAATGTTCAAAGGTTTAGCTACAAGTTTTTTTTTGCCATGTGTTATCTATAATAGAAAAATATTAAATATGTTAAATCTAAGAAAAATTCCCTAAGTAAGTTATGCTGCATCCATCTAATGGAATTTTTTTTTTTTTTTTTTTTGAAGACACAGTCTTCCTCTGTCACTCAGGCTGGCGTGCAGTGGTGCAATCTCAGCTCACTGCAACCTCCACCTCCCAAGTTTAAGCAATTCTCATGTCTCAGCCTCTGGAGTAGCTGGAATTACAGGTACACACCACCCCGCCCAGCTAATTTTTTGTATTTTTAGTAGAGATGGCATTTCGCTATGTTGGCCAGGCTGGTCTCAAACTCCTGGCTTCAAGTGATCCGCCTGCCTCAGCCCTCCCAAAGTTCTAGGATTGCATGCATGAGCCACCATGTCTAGCCCCATCTAATGGAATATTAAACTCGCATTTTAAAAATATTCTATATAGGCCAGGCATGGTGGCCTATACCTGTAATTCCCGCAGTTTGGGAAGCTGAGGCAGGTGGATCACCTGAGGTCAGGAGTTTGAGACTAACCTGACCACCAAGGTAAAACCTCATCTCTACTAAAAATACAAAATTAGCTAGGCGTGGTGGTGCATGCCTGTAATCCCAGCTACTTGTGAGGCTGAGGAAGGACAATCACTTGAACCTAGGGGGCGGAGCTTGCAGTGAGCCGAGATCATGCTATTGCACTCCAGCCTGGTCAACAAGAGCAAAACTCTGTCTCAAAAAAAATATTCCATATATATATAATTGTTATCATGGAGTGATCTCTAAGCTACACTATTAACTAAAAAGAGCTTGCTATAAGCAATATGCATATAAAATACCATTTAAATAAAAAAAGTGTTTGTGTTTGTAGAGAAAGACTTCAAAGCATTGTTACTAAAACACACTTATTGCTTCTGGGCCAAAAGAAATGTGAATAAATAACTTTTACTTTTTTATTCACGTTTTTCTTAGTTGCTTGAATTATCTACATGATTATGTGTGAACTTTATAAGGATTTTAAAAACCACAATAATATGTTCTGTTATTTAGTTTTTAAAAATCTCTGGATTTTAGATCATTATTATTCTGTGGTCCTTTTTTTTTTTTTTTTTTTGAGACAGAGTCTCACTTTGTCGCCAAGCTACAGTGCAGTGGCACAATCTCCGTTCACTGCAAACTCTGCCTCCCTGGTTCAAGCAATTCTCCTGCCTCAGCCTCCCGAGTAGCTGGGATTACAGGCACACACCACCACACCCAGCTAATTTTTGTATTTTTAGTAGAGACAGGGTTTCACCGTGTTGGCCAGGATAGTCTTAATCTCCTGACCTCGTGATCTGCCCACCTCAGCCTCCCAGTGTTGTTTGTTTTTTATTATATAAATTTAAGTGTATAATATGATATTTTGATATACACATACATAGTAAAATAATTACTACAAGTAAGCAATTTAACATATCCATCATCTCATTTAGTTACTTTTGTGGTTGGGGGAGGATCACCTAAATCTACTGTCTTCGAAAAATGTTAGTATACTATATCAATATGGTTTGGCTCTGTATTCCCACCAAAATCTCATCTCCAATTGTAATTGCCATAATCCCTACATGTCAAGGGAGGGACCTCGTGGGAGGTGATTGGGTCATGGGGGCGGTTTCCCCCATGCTGTTCTTGTGATAATGAGTTCTCACGTGATCTGATGGTTTTATAAGGGGCTCTTCCCCCTTCGCTCTCTTCCTCTCCTCCATCGCCAAGTAAGACATGCCTGCTTCCCCTTCTGCCATGATTGTAAGTTTCCTGAGGCCTCTCCAGCCATGCAGAACTGTAAGTCAATTAAAACTCTTTCCTTTATAAATGACACAGTCTCTGGCAGTTCTTTACAGCAGTGTAAGAATGACTATTACAAATACGAATAACTAGTCTCATGCTGTACTTTAAGTCTCTTTATTCATCCTATATAACTGCAACTTTGTACACTTGACCTGCATCTCTCCATTCCCCTCCCACCCCACCTCTAGTAACCATCTATGGTCCATTTTTTAAAAAATATATATTCAAAGGGGAAAAAAGCTGAAAGCAATGTGTTAATACTAGTTAATACTAGTATTAAGGGTGGTGGCTTCTCCTCCTCCTCCTCCTCCTCCTCCTCCTTCCTCTTTTGCTAGCATTTGTGTTTTCTTATTTTTCTACGAGGAAAATATGTTACCTGTATAAAAATTTTCTAAAGTTAATATTAAAAGTACTCGAAGGGTAAAGATCTCCTCTATGCAAGGAACTCAGTGAAAAAAATCCCCAATTAGTGTCAAAGATAAGCAAAACCAACATCAGTTAAAGCAGTAAAAACATTTTATTCAGGACTGCAGTAGAGGAAAGAGCCAAGCTCCATCCTGCTCAAATGACCTGGGACTTAACTCTCTTTCAAAAATTATGGGATGAAGAATCAGAATGGTGTCCACAGAGAATTTCAATTTAAATGTTATTTCTAATATTTACTGGCTCCCTTGGCAAGAAGAAAAAATATTATGTTCTTTTAATACCTGGTTTGGGTTGCTCTTACGGACTAGGATGACCTGTTTGCCAATTCCAGCAAATGGTAGCAGTTTCCTTGTCTCAGACTGCTCTATAAGCTTATGGGGGAAAAAATTAAAAGCAATTAGATTGAGATAGGCTTATAAAACAATGAAATAAAACTCCAAAAGGAACAGGGGAAGTGATAATTTCTGTGTGATGGCAAATTCTCATTGTATAAAACTCATTTTTAACATGAGTTTTCAGGGTGCTAAAACTGAAATTAAATTGAGGGTATGCTTAAATACTCTCTCTCAACACCTATTTTAAAACAAAAAGTTAAGTTGACTAAATTAACCTTTTTGAAAAGTTAGCTATTGTCAAACAAATTCATTTTCTCACAAAATGTACAATTATAATTCTTTAAAATCTGAACAAAGAAGATAAAGGCAATTTAGTTTCAAAACCATAAAAATATAATGTTTAAGGTGGCTTCAGATTGATTTTGAAGGCAAATGTAATATTTTCATCTGCTCCTTGGATGTATTTATTTCCTTGGTGCCAAATATTTGTTGATTTTGTGTCATTAAATTTAAAATCCAACTTCATGAGCCCAGGGGTGACCAATCTGTGCTGCTTATGGCTCTTCAAAGCTTGTCTAACCTTGCATGTACACTTTTTAAATTTTGGATTTGCTTTTACTGTTTAAAAATGCCTTTACTAATTATATAATACCATGAATAAAAAATATATATCCTCCAAAAGACTTAAAATGACATTGCAAGGCAGAGATACACAAGAACACTACAACCAACACCAGCAATCTGAGAGGTATTTTTATAACAATCTTTTTTCTTGTGGGGAGGTGGGATGAGCAGAAGGGAGAATGGGTGAGTAGGGTGGGTCTTTCAATGAATGGCATTGATAAATTCCGACATCTAACCTGAACCATGACTTGCATTAGTTTCTTTAATGCCAACTTAATGTGGTGGTGTTTTTTTTTAATTAATACTTTAATGGTAGTTGCTTCCTTAAGCATAGCCACATCCTTTAGTAAAGTAAAAGGAAAATGTGATTATAATATAAAGCAAATAACAGTGTATGGTTACTGACTCAGAAGAAATCACAGATTGGATATATAGGTCAAGTTTTAAAATGTTGATATGTGACCAAAAGGGAGTACTACTTAGGCATACCAAGAAGGAACTGGGGAACTCAATGAGAAGCCTCCCATCTCACCCAAAATGGCAGCTCAGTGAGGTGTCTGAATTGGTGATGGAAAAGCTGCTGAGACTGGACGCATAAAGCAGTGCCCTGGCCCAGTGGTCCCTAACTCTTTATGGTTCTGTTTGTGGGATTGTGTCTGTTGGTAGTGGCCTTTTGAACCAGGATCTGTAGGGTCTTCATGTTATTCTCTAGAATAGAATCTAGATTCTACAATCTAGAGTCTAGATTGTAGATTTTAGTGTTTGAGAGCCTCCAAGCTGCCCAGCTACCAAGTTTGAATTGTGCCCTCTCTCAAGGCTGATGTAGGGGTCCCCTTGTGTTCAACCCAGCTATTATCCAGTCAGATCAGACCACACTGCAGCATGCCACAGTGTGCCATGAGAAGTGAATGTTGGCTGCCATGTCATCGATCCTTACCGCATAACTCCAGAGATTATACACCAACTATTCAAAAGCAGTCCAGGCTTTTCTTTTTTTCTTTTTTTAAATTTATTTTTAATTTTTGTGGGTACATAGTATGTGTATATATTTATGGGGCACATGAGACATTTTGAAACAGACATACAATGTGTAATAATTACATCAGGGTGAATGGGATATCTATCACCTCAAGCTTTCATCCTTTGTGTTACAATCAAATAACTTTCAGTTATTTTAAAATGCACAATAAATTATTGTTGGCTATAGTCACCCTGTTGTGATATCAAATACTAGATTTTTTTTTTTTTGAGGTGGAGTCTCACTCTGTTGCCCAGGCTGGAGTGCAGTGGTGCAATCTCAGCTCACTGCAACCTCCGCCTCCCAGGTTCAAGCCATTCTCTTGCCTCAGCCTCCCGAGTGGCTGGGATTACAGGCACAAGCCACCCTGCCCGGCTCAAATACTAGATCTTATTCATTCTGCTTAACTATATTTTTGTCCCCATTAACCATCCCCATTCCACCTAACCCACCCCACTTACATTACTCTCCCCAGCCTCTGGTAACCATCCTTCTACTCTCTATCTCCTTGAGTTCAATTGTTTTAATTTTAAGCTCCCACAAATAAGTGGGAACATGTGAAGTTTGTCTTTTCGTGCCTGGCTTATTTTCTTTAACATAATGACCTCCAATTCAAGCTATGTTGTTGCAAATGATAGAATCTCATTCATTTTATGGCGGAATAGTACTCCATTGTGTATATGTAGCACATTTTCTTTATCCATTCCTCTGTTGATGGACACTTATCATGCTTCCAAATCTTAGCTATTGAGAATAGTGCTTCAATAAAAATGGGCATACAGATATCTCTTTGATATATTGATTTCCTTTCTTTTGGGTATATACCTAGAAGTGAGATTGCTGGATCATATGGTAGTTCTATTTTTAGTTTTTTGAGGAACCTCCAAACTGTTCTCCGTAGTGCTTGTACTAATCAACATCCCCACCAATAGTGGAGGAGGGTTCCCTTTACTCCGCATCCTCACCAGTATTCATTATTGCCTGTCGAAAAAGCCACTTTTTAAACTGAGGTGAGATTATATATCATTATAGTTTTGGTTTGCATTTCTCTGATGACCAATGATGTTGAGCACCTTTTCATATGCCTCTTTGCCATTTGTATGTCTTCTTTTGAGAAATGTTATTCACATATTTTAAAATCAGATTCTCAGATTTCTTTCCTATAGAGTTGTTTGAGCTTGTTATATATTCTGGTTATTAACCCCTTGTCAGATGGATAATTTGCAAATATTCTCTCCCATTGTATGGGTTATCTTCTCACATTGTTGATTGTTTCCTTTGCTGTGCAGAAGCTTTTTAACTTTATGTGATTCCATTTCTCCATTTTCACTTTGGTTGCCTATGCTTGTGGGGCATTACTTAAGAAATCTTTGCCCAGACCAATGTCCTGGAGAGTTTCCCCGAAGTTTTCTTTTAGTAGTTTCATAGTTTGAGGTCTTAGACTTAAGTCTTTAATCCATTCTGATTTTTTTTTTTTAGATGAAGTCTGGCTCTGTCGTCCAGGCTGGAGTGCAGTGGCATCATCTCGGCTCATTGCAACCTCCGCCTCCCAGGTTCAAGCGATTCTCCTGCCTCAGCCTCCCACATAGCTGGGATTACAGGCACCTGCCACCATGTCAGGCTAATTTTTTTGTATTTTTAGTAGAGATGGGGCTTCGCCATGTTGGCCAGGCTGGTCTTGAACTCCTGACTTCAAGTGATCCGCCTGCCTCGGCCTCCCAAAGTGCTGGGATTACAGACATGAGCCACCGCACCTGGCCAATCCATTCTGATGTGATTGTTGTATATGTTGAGATAGGGATCTAGTTTCATTCTTCTGCACATAGATATCCAGTTTCCCCAGCACCATTTATTGATGAGACTGTCCTTTCCCCAGTGTATGTTCTTGGCACCTTTGTTGAAAATGAATTACTGTAGATGCATGAATTCCTTTCTTGGTTCTCTATTCTGTTCTCTTGGTCTATGTGTCTGTTTTCATGTTAGTGTATATGTAGCACATTTTCTTTATCCATTCCTCTGTTGATGGACACTTAGGTTGCTTCCAAATCTTGGCTGTTGTAGATAGTGCTGCTGTATTGGTTACTATAGCTCTGTAGTATAATTCAAAGTCAGGTAATGTGATTCCTCCAGTTTTATTCCCTTTGCTCAGAATAGCTTTGGCTATTTGGTTTTTTTGTGGTTCCTTATAAATTTTAGGATTTTTTTTAATTTTTCTTTTTTAATTATACTTTAAGTTTTAGGGTACATGTGCACAATATGCAGGTTTGTTACATATGTATACACACTCCATGTTGGTGTGCTGCACCCATTAACTTGTCATTTAACATTAGGTGTATCTCCTAATGCCATCCCCTACTCCCCCCACCCCACAACAGGCCCGGTGTGTGATGTTCCCCTTCCTGTGTCCATGTGTTCTCATTGTTCAATTCCCACCTGTGAGTGAGAACATGAGGTGTTTGGTTTTTTGTCCTTGTGATAGTTTGCTGAGAATGATGGTTTCCAGCTTCATCCATGTCCCTACAAAGGACATGAACTCATCATTTTTTATGGCTGCATAGTATTCCATGGTATATATGTGCTACCTTTTCTTAATCCAGTCTATCATTGTTAGAGATTTGGGTTGGTTCCAAGTCTTTGTTATTGTGAATAGTGCTGCTATAAACATACGTGTGCATGTGTCTTTATAGCAGCATGATTTATAATCCTTTGGGTATATACCCAGTAATGGGATGGCTGGGTCAAATGGTATTTCTAGTTCTAGATCCCTGAGGAATCACCACACTGACTTCCACAATGGTTGAACTAGTTTACAGTCCCACCAACAGTGTAAAAGTGTTCCTATTTCTTCACATCCTCCCAGCACCTGTTGTTTCCTGACATTTTAATGATCGCCATTCTAACTGGTGTGAGATGGTGTCTCATTGTGGTTTTGATTTGCATTTCTCTGATGGCCAGTGATGATGAGCATTTTTTCATGTGTCTTTTGGCTGCATAAATGTCTTCTTTTGAAAAGTGTCTGTTCATATCCTTCGCCCACTTGTTGATGGGGTTGTTTTTTTCTTGTAAATTTGTTTGAGTTCATTGTAGATTCTGGATATTAGCCCTTTGTCAGATGAGTAGATTGCAAAAATTTTCTCCAATTCTGTAGGTTGCCTGTTCACTCTGATGGTAGTTTCTTTTGCTGTGCAGAAGCTCTTTAGTTTAATTAGATCCCATTTGTCAATTTTGGCTTTTGTTGCCATTGCTTTTTGTGTTTTAGACATGAAGTCCTTGCCCATGCCTATGTCCTGAATGGTATTGCCTAGGTTTTCTTCTAGGGTTTTTATGGTTTTAGATCTAACATGTAAGTCTTTAATCCATCTTGAATTAATTTTTATATAAGGTGTAAGGAAGGGATCCAGGTTCAGCTTTCTACCTATGGCTAGCCAGTTTTCCCAGCACCATTTATTAAATAGGGAATCCTTTCCCCATTGCTTGTTCTTCTCAGGTTTGTCAAAGATCAGATAGTTGTAGATATGTGGCATTATTTCTGAGGGCTCTGTTCTGTTCCATTGGTCTATATCTCTGTTTTGGTACCAGTACCATGCTGTTTTGGTTACTGTAGCCTTATAGTATAGTTTGAAGTCAGGTAGTGTGATGCCTCCAGCTTTGTTCTTTTTGCTTAGGATTGACTTGGCAATGCGGGCTCTTTTTTGGTTCCACATGAACTTTAAAGTAGTTTTTTCCAATTCTGTGAAGAAAGTCATTGGTAGCTTGATGGGGATGGCATTGAATCTATAAATTACCTTGGGCAGTATGGCCATTTTCACGACATTGATTCTTCCTACCCATGAGCATGGAATGTTCTTCCATTTGTTTGTATCCGCTTTTATTTCCTTGAGCAGTGGTTTGTAGTTCTCCTTGAAGAGGTCCTTCACATCCCGTGTAAGTTGGATTCCTAAGTATTTTATTCTCTTTGAAGCAATTGTGAATGGGAGTTCACTCATGATTTGGCTGTCTGTTTGTCTGTCATTGGTGTATAAGAATGCTTGTGATTTTTGTACATTGATTTTGTGTCTTGAGACTTTGCTGAAGTTGCTTATCAGCTTAAGGAGATTTTGGGCTGAGACAATGGGTTTTCTAGATATACAATCATGTCGTCTACAAACAGGGACAATTTGACTTCCTCTTTTCCTAATTGAATACCCTTTATTTCCTTCTCCTGCCTAATTGCCCTGGCCAGAACTTCCAATACTATGTTGAATAGAGTGGTGAGAGAGGGCATCCCTGTCTTGTGCCAGTTTTCAAAGGGAATGCTTCCAGTTTTTGCCCATTCAGTATGATATTGGCTGTGGGTTTGTCATAGACAGCTCTTATTATTTTGAGATACGTCCCATCAATACCTAATTTATTGAGAGTTTTTAGCATGAAGCGTTGTTGAATTTTGTCCAAGGCCTTTTCTGCATCTATTGAGATAATATGTGGTTTTTGTCTTTGGTTCTGTTTATATGCTGGATTACATTTATTTATTTGCGTATGTTGAACCTGCCTTGCATCCCAGGGATGAAGCCAACTTGGCCGTGGTGGATAAGCTTTTTGATGTGCTGCTGTATTCGGTTTGCCAGTATTTTATTGAGTATTTTTACGTCAATGTTCATCAGAGATATTGGTCTAAATTCTCTTTTTTGGTTGTGTCTCTGACAGGCTTTGTTATCAGGATGATGCTGGCCTCATAAAATGAATCAGGGAGGATTCCTTCTTTTTCTGTTGATTGGGATAGTTTCAGAAGGAATGGTACCAGCTCCTCCTTGTACCTCTGGTAGAATTCGGTTGTGAATCCATCTGGTCCTGGACTTTTTTTGGTTGGTAAGCTATTAATTATTGCCTCAATTTCCGAGCCTGTTATTGTTCTATTCAGAGATTCAACTTCTTCCTGGTTTAGTCTTGGGAGGGTGTATGCATCAAGGAATTTATCCATTTCTTCTAGATTTTCTAGTTTATTTGCATAGAGGTGTTTATAGTATTCTCTGATGGTAGTTTGTATTTCTGTGGGATTGGTGGTGATATCCCCTTTACCATTTTTTATTGCATCTGTTTGATTCTTCTCTCTTTTCTTCTTTATTAGTCTTGCTAGCAGTCTATCAATTTTGTTGATCTTTTCAAAAAGCCAGCTCTTGGATTCATTGATTTTTTGAAGGGTTTTTTGTGTCTCTATCTCCTTCAGTTCTGCTCTGATCTTAGTTATTTCTTGCCTTCTGCTAGCTTTTGCATGTGTTTGCTCTTGCTTCTCTAGTTCTTTTAATTGTGATGTTAGAGTGTCAATTTTAGATCTTTCCTGCTTTATCTTGTGGGCATTTAGTGCTATAAATTTCCCTCTACACACTGCTTTGAATGTGTCCCAGAGATTCTGGTATGTTGTGTTTTTGTTCTCGTTGGTTTCAAAGAGCATCTTTATTTCTGCCTTCATTTCATTACGTACCCAGTAGTCATTCAGGAACAGGTTGTTCAGTTTCCATGCAGTTGAGCGGTTTTGAGTGAGTTTCTTAATCCTGAGTTCTAGTTTGATTGCACTGTGGTCTGAGAGACAGTTTGTTATAATTTCTGTTCTTTTGCATTTGCTGAGGAGTGCTTTACTTCCAACTATGTGGTCAATTTTGTGAATAGGTGTAGTGTGGTGCTGAAAAGAATGTATATTTTGTTGATTTGGGGTGGAGAGTTCTGTAGATGTCTATTAGGTCTGCTTGGTGCAGACCTGAGTTCAATTCCTGGATATCGTTGTTAACTTTCTGTCTCATTGATCTGTCTAATGTTGACAGTGGGGTGTTAAAGTCTCCCATTATTATTGTGTGGGAGTCTAAGTCTCTTTGTAGGTCTCTAAGGACTTCTTTATAAATCTGGGTGCTCCTGTATTGGGTGCATATATATTTAGGATAGTTAGCTCTTCTTGTTGAATTGATCCCTTTACCATTATGTAATGGCCTTCTTTGTCTCTTTTGATCTTTGTTGGTTTAAAGTCTGTTTTATCTGAGACTAGGATTGCAACCCCTGCCTTTTTTTGTTTTCCATTTGCTTGGTAGATCTTCCTCCATCCCTTTATTTTGAGCCTAGGTGTGTCTCTGCACCTGAGATCGGTTTCCTGATACAGCACATTGATGGGTCTTGACTCTGTATCCAATTTGCCAGTCTGTGTCTTTTAATTGGAGCACTTAGCCTATTTACATTTAAGGTTAATATTGTTATGTGTGAATTTGATCCTGTCATTATGATGTTAGCTGGTTATTTTGCTCATTAGTTGATGCAGTTTCTTCCTAGCCTCGATGGTCTTTACAATTTGGCATGTTTTTGCAGTGGCTGGTACTGGTTGTTCCTTCCCATGTTTAGTGCTTCCTTCAGGAGCTCTTGTAAGGCAGGCCTGGTGGTGACAAAATCTCTCAGCATTTGCTTGTCTGTAAAGCATTTTATTTCTCCTTCACTTATGAAGCTTAGTTTGGCTGGATATGAAATTCTGGGTTGAAAATTCTTTTCTTTAAGAATGTTGAATATTGGCCCCAACTCTCTTCTGGCTTATAGAGTTTCTGCCAAGAGATCAGCTGTTAATCTGATGGGCTTCCCTTTGTGGGTAACCCGACCTTTCTCTCTGGCTGCCCTTAACATTTTTTCCTTCATTTAAACTTTGGTGAATCTGACAATTATGTGTCTTGGAGTTGCTCTTCTCCAGGAGTATCTTTGTGGCGTTCTCTGTATTTCCTGAATCTGAATATTGGCCTGCCTTGCTAGATTGGGGAAGTTCTCCTGGATAATATCCTGCAGAGTGTTTTCCAACTTGGTTCCATTCTCCCCGTCACTTTCAGGTACACCAATTAGACAAAGATTTGGTCGTTTCACATAGTCCCATTATTTCTTGGGGGCTTTGTTCGTTTCTTTTTATTCTTTTTTCTCTAAACTTCTCTTCTCGCTTCATTTCATTCATTTGATCTTCCATCACTGATACCCTTTCTTCCAGTTGATGGAATCGGCTACTGAGGCTTGTGCATTCATCATGTAGTTCTCGTGCCATGGTTTTCAGCTCCATCAGGTCCTTTAAGGACTTCCCTGCATTGGTTATTCTAGTTAGCCATTCGTCTAATCTTTTTTCAAGGTTTTTAACTTCTTTGCAATGGGTTCGAACTTCCTCCTTTAGCTTGGAGTAGTTTGATCGTCTGAAGCCTTCTTCTCTCAACTCGTCAAAGTCATTCTCTGTCCAGCTTTGTTCTGTTGCTGGTGAGGAGCTGCATTCCTTTGGAGGAAGAGAGGCGCTCTGCTTTTTAGAATTTTCAGTTTTTCTGCTCTGTTTTTTCCCCATCTTTGTGGTTTTATCTACCTTTGGTCCTTGATGATGGTGACGTACAGATGGGGTTTTTGTGTGGATGTCCTTTCTGTTAGTTTTCCTTCTAACAGTCAGGACCCTCAGTTGCAGGTCTGTGGAGTTTGCTGGAGGTCCACTCCAGATCCTGTTTGTCTGGGTATCAGCAGCAGAGGCTGCAGAACAGTGGATATTGGTGAACAGCAAATGTTGCTGCCTGATCGTTCCTCTGAAAGCTTCATCTCAGAGGGGTACCTGGCCATGTGAGCTGTCATTCTGCCCCTACTGGGTGTGCCTCCCAGTTAGGCTACTCAGGGGTCAGGGACCCATTTGAGGAGGCAGTCTGTCCATTCTCAGATCTCAAGCTGCATGGTGGGAGAACCACTACTCTCTTCAAAGCTGTCAGACAAGGACATTTAAGTCTGCAGAGGTTTCTGCTACCTTTTGTTTGGCTATGACCTGACCCCAGAGGTGGAGTCTATAGAGGCAGGCAGGCTTCCTTGAGCTGCAGTGGGCTCCACCCAGTTCAAGCTTCCTGGCTGCTTTGTTTACCTACTCAAGCCTCAGCAATGGTGGGTGCCCCTCCCCCAGCCTCGCTGCCGCCTTGCAGTTTGATCTCAGACTGCTGTGCTAGCAATGAGTGAGGCTCCATGGGTATAGGACCCTCCGAGCCAGGCGCAGGATACAATCTCGTGGTGTGCCATTTGCTAAGACTATTGGAAAAGCGCAGTATTAGGGTGGGAGTGACCCAATTTTCCAGGTGCCGTCTGTCACCCCTTTCCTTGGCAAGGAAAGGGAGCTCCCTGACCCCTTGCACTTCCCGGGTGAGGCAAGGCCTCGCCCTGCTTCAGCTCACACTTGGTGCACTGCACCCACTGTCCTGCACCCACTGTCTGACAGTCCCCAGTGAGATGAACCTGGTACCTCAGTTGGAAATGCAGAAATCATTCGTCTTCTGCATCGCTCACACTGGGAGGTGTAGACTGGAGCTGTTCCTATTCGGCCATTTTGGCTCCACCCCTCGATTTTTTTATTTTTCTGTTTCTTTTTTTTTTTTTTTTTTTTGAGACAGAGTCTCACTCTGCCACCCAGGCTGGAATGCAGTGGCACCATCTCGGCTCACTGCAAGCCCCGCCTCCTGGATTCATGCCATTCTCCTGCCTCAGCCTCCCAAGTAGCTGGGACTACAGGTGCCCACCACCACACCTGGCTTATATTTTGTATTTTTTTGTAAAGACAGGGTTTCACCATGATAGCCAGGATGGTCTCGATCTCCTGACCTCGTGATCCGCCCACCTCAGCCTCCCAAAGTGCTGGGATTACAGGCGTGAGCCACCGGGCCCAGCCTATTTTTCTATTTCTGTGAAGAATGTCATGATATTTTGGTAGGGATTGCATTGAATCTGTAGATTGCTTCGAGGAGTAGGAACATTTTAGCAATATTGATCCTTCCAAACCGTTTTCATTTTTTTGTGTTCTCTTCAATTTATTGCATTAATGTGTTATGGTTTTCATGGTACAAATCTTTCACTTCTTTGGTGAAGTTCATTTACAGGTATTTTATTTTATTTGTATATATTGTAAATGAGATTATTTTCTTGATATCTTTTTCATATTGTTTGCTAATGGCATATGGAAAATGCTACTGATTTTTGTATGTTGATTTTGTGTACTGCAACTTTACTGAATTTGTTTATCAGTTCTAATAGTTTTTTTGGCAGAACCTTTAGGTTTTTCCAAATATAAGCTTATATCATCTGCAAACAAGGATAATTTGACTTCTTCCTTTTCAGTTTGGATGTTCTTTATTTCTTTCTCTTGTCTGATTGCTGTAGCAAGGACTTCCATTACTATGCTGAATAACAGTGGTGACAGTGGGCATCTTTGTTGTGTCCCAGATCTTACAGGAAAGACTTTCAGCTTTTGCCCATTCAGTATGATACTAGCTGTGGATCTACCGTATATGGCCTTTTTGTGTTGTGGTGTGTTCCTTCTATACTCAAGTTTTTGAGGGTTTTTATCATGAAGGGATATTGAATTTGATCAAATGCTTTTTCAGCATCAATTGAAATGATTATATGGTTTTTGTCCTTCATTCTGGACATATGATTTATCAGGTTGATTGATTATATATGTTAACCATCCTTGCATTGCTGGGATAAATCCCACTTGGTCATGATGAATGATGTTTTTAATATGCTGTTGAATTTGGTTTGCTAGTATTTTGTTGAGGATTTTTGAATCAATATTCATAAGGGATATTGGCCTGTAGTTTTTTTTTTTTTTAACCTGTCCTTGTCTGGTTTTGGTGTCAGAGTAATGCTGGCCTCATAGAATGAGTCTGGAAATGTTTTCTCCTCCTCCTCTATTTTTTGGAATAGTTTGAGTAGGACTGGTATTGGTTCTTCTCTAAATTTCTCACAATAATCAGCAGTGAAAACATGGGATCCTGGACTTTGCTTAGAGATCTTTTATTATGGCTTCAATATCATTACTCATTACTGGTCTGTTCAGGTGTTGAATTTCTTCATGGTTCAATCTTTGTAGGTTGTATGTATCTATGAGTTTATCCAGTTCTTCTAGGTTTTCTAATTTATTGGCATACAGTTACTCAAAGTAGCCTCCATTGATCCTTTGAATTTCTGCAGTATCAGTTGTAATGTCTTCTTTTTCATTTCTGATTTTATTTATTGTGTCTTCTCTCTTTTTTTCTTAATTAATCTGGCTAAAGGTTTGCCAATTTTGTTTATCTTTTCAAAAAAACAACTTTTCATTTCACTGATCTTCTGTATTATTTATTGTTTCAATTTCATTTATTTCTGCTCTGATCTTTATTATTTCTTTCCTTCTACTTATTTTGGGTTTTGTTTGCTCTTGCATTTTGAGTTCTTTAGGATGCATCAATAGGTTGTTTATTTGAAGTTTTTGTACTGTTTTGATGTAGCCACTTGCTGCTATAAGCTTGGCTCTTAGTACTGCTTTTGCTGTATCTCATAGGTTTTGGTATGTTGTGTTTCCATTATCATTTGCTTCAAGAAAATTTTAAATTTTCTTAATTTCTTCATTGACTCACTGGTCATTCAGGAGTATAGTGTTTATTTTTCATGTGTTTGAATACTTTCCAAAATTTCTCTTGTTATTGATTTCCAGTTTTATTCCATTGTGGTCAGAGAAGATGCTTGATATTATTTCAATTCTTTGAATGTTTTAAGACTTGTTTTGTAGTCTAAGATATGATCTATTCTTGAGAATGATCCACGTGCTGAGGAAAGGAGTGTATATTCTGCAGCCATTGTATGAAATGTTCTGTAATATCTGTTAGGTCCATTTGCTCTATAGTGCAGATTAAGTCCAATGTTTCTTTGTTGATTTTCTGTCTGGCAGATTTGTCCAATGCTGAAAGTAGGATGTTGTGGTCTCCAGCTCTTACTGTTTGGGGTCTATCTCTCTCTCTTTTGCTCTAATAATATTTGTTTTCTATATCTGGGTGTTCCAGTGTTGGGTGCATATATACTCACAGTTGTTATATCCTCTTGAAGAATCAATCCCTTTATCATTATATAAAGGCTTTCTTTGCCTCTTTTTATAGTTTCTGTCTTGAAGTCTATTTTGTCTGATATAAATACAGCTACCCCTGCTCTTTTTTGGTTTCCATTGGCATGGAAAATCTTTTCCATTCCTTTATTTTCAGTCTATGCCTGGCTTTTGTTTGTTTGTTTGTTTGTTTATTTTTGAGACAGGGTCTCACTCTGCCCAAGCTAGAGTACAGTGTCATGATCTCAGCTCACTGCAGCCTCCACCTCCTGGGTTCAAGCAATCCTCCCACCTCAGCCTCCTGAATAACTGGAACTATAGGCACGCACCACATGCCCAGCTAATTTTTGTATTTTTAGTGGAGATGGGGTTTCACTATGTTGCCCAGGCTGGTCACAAACTTACATCCAACGTTATTGGTAGGTAAGAACTTACTCCTGCCATTTTGTTATTTGTTTTCTGGTTGTTTTGTGGATTTCTCTTCCTTCTTTCCTATCTTCCTTTAAGTGGAGGTAATTTTCTCTGGTTATATGTTTTAACTTCTTGGTTTTTATTTTTTTGTGTGTCTGTTGTATTTTTTTTTATTTGAGGGTACCATGAAGCTTGCAAATAATGTCTTATAACCTATTATTTAAACTGATGACACTGATTGCATAAACAAATTAACAAACAAGTAAAGAGACAACTAATTAAAACTCTACACTTTAACTTCATCCCTCTGCTTTTTAAGTTTTGGTTGTTTCTATTTACATATTATTATTCTATGTCTAGAAAAGTTATTGTAATTATTATATCTGATAGTTCCATTTTTTAGTCTTTCTATTCAAAATATGAGTAGTTTACACCGACAATTACAGTGTTATAATAGTCTGTGTTTTTCTGTGTGCTTACTATTATCAGTGAGTTTTGTGTCTTCAGATGATTTCTTATTGCTCATTAACATCCTTTTCTTTCAGATTAAAGAACTCCCTTTAGCATTTTTTGTAGGATAGGTCTGGTGTTGATGAAATCCCTCAGCTTTTGTTTTTCTGAGAATGTCTTTATTGTTGATTATATAAAGAATAGTATATCTTTCAAACATGATTTTGAAGGATATTTTTGCTGGATATACTATTCTAGGACAAAACTTTTTCATTCAGCACTTTAAATATGTCATGCCACCCTCTCCTGGCCTGTAAAGTTTCCAATGTGAAGTCTGCTGCCAAATGTATTACAGCTTCTTTGTATGGGTTTTGTTTTGTTTTGTTGTTGTTTTTGAGACAGGGTCTCGCTCTATCACCCAGGCTGGAGTGCAGTAGTGCAATCTCGACTCATTGCAACCTCCACCTCCTGGGTTCAAATGATTTTCCTGCCTCCACCTCTCAAGTAGCTGGAATTACAGGCATGTGCCACCATGACTAGCTAATTTTTGTTATTTTTAGTAGATACAGGGTTTCATCATGTTGGCCAGGCTGATCTCAAACTCCTGACCTTGAATGATCTGCCTGCTACAGCCTCCCAAAGTGCTGGGATTACAGGCCTGAGACACCATGCCCAGCCACCTTTGTATGTTATTTGTTTGTTTCTTTTCTATTGCTAATTTCAGGATCCTTTCTTTATCCTTGACCTTTGGGAGTTTCATTATTAAATGTCTTGAGGTAGCCTTATTTGGGTTAAATCTGCTTGATGTTCTATAACTTTCTTGTACTTGAATATTGATATCTTTCTCTAAGTTTGGGAAGATCTCTGTTACGGTCCCTTTGAATAAGCTTTCTACCCTGTTCTCTCTCTCTCTCTCTCTCTCTTTCTCTCACTGCCTCCTCTTTAAGGCCAAATAACTCTTAGGTTTGCCCTTTTGAGGCTATTTTGTCTATCTTGTAGGTGTGCTTCATTCTTTTTTTTATTCCTTTTTCTCCTCTGACTCTGTATTTTCCAACAGCCTGTCTTCAAGTTCACTAATTCTTTCTTCTGCATGATCAGTTCTGCTGTTAAGAGATTCTGATGCATTCTTTAAAATGTCAGTCATATTTTTCAGCTCCAGAATTTCTGCCCAATTCTTTTAAATTATTTAGATCTCTTTGTAAAATTTATCTGATAGGATTCTGAATTTCTTCTGTGTTATCTTGAATTTTGTTGAGCTTCCTCAAAATAGCTATTTTGAATTCTCTGTCTGAAAGGTTACAAATTTCTGTTTCTCTGGGATTGGTCACTGGTGCCTTATTTAGTTTGCTTGGTGAGGTCATGTTTTCCTGTATGGTCTTGATGCTTGTATATGTTTGTCAGTGTCTGAGCATTAAAAAGTTAGGTATTTGTTGTAGTCTTTGCTGTCTGGGCTTGTTTGTACCTGTCCTTCTTGGGAAGACTTTCCAAGTATTCAAAGGGTCCTGTGTATTGTGATCTAACTCTTTGGTCACTGTAGCCATATCTCCATTAGGGAGCACCCCAAGCCTAGTAATATTGTGGCTCTTGCAGACCCATAGAGGTACTACCTTGGTGGTCATGGATAAGATCCAGAAGAATTCTTTAAAATCCCATGTAGAGACTCTTGTTCTCTTCTCTTACTTTCCCCCAAACAGAGTCTCTCTCTGTGTCCTGAGCTGTCTGGAGCCAGGGCAGGGATGACATAAGCACCCCTGGGGCCACCACCACTGGGACTGTGCTGAGTCAGACCTGAAGCCAGCACAGCCCTGAGTCTCACCCAAGGTCCTCAGAGACTACTGCCTGACTACCACTGCTGATTATTCAGGCTCTTTAGTCAGCATGTAATGAATCTTGCCAGGATGGGGTCCTTCCCTTAAAGGCAGGAGGTTCCCTACTAGCCCATGGTATGTAGAAATGTTGTCTGGAAACTAGGGCCTGGAATAGGGACCTCAGGACTCTTTCTGATGCCCTGTCCTACTGTGGCTGAGCTGGTATCCATGTTGCAAGACAAAGTCCTCTTTACTCTCCCCCTCCTCCCCTCAAGAAGAACAAAAGAGTGTCTCCTGGAGCTGAGAGCTTTCCTATCTGGGGTTGGTGGAGGGGTGGCACAAGCATTCCCTTGGCTGCCCCAGCTGGTGTCTCACCAGGTCACATGCATCCCAAGTCCACTGGCTCTGAACCCAGGACTTGCCCAGGAATTGCAGTCCTCATGCCTAGACTGCCTTTCAAGTTTATTTAGAACCCCAGAGCTCTTTGGCCCACAGTGGTGAGGCTTGCTGTAATCCCAGCACGTTGGGATGCCAAGGTGTGCAGATTACCTGTCAGGAGTTCGAGACTAGCTTGGCCAACATAGTAAAACCCAGACTGTACTAAAAATACAAAATTAGCCAGGCGTGGTGGTGCACACCTGTATCACAGCTACTCAGGAGGCTGAGGCAGGAAAATCGCTTGAACTCAGGAGGCGGAGGTTGCAGTGAGCCTAGAGAGTGCCATTTTGCAGCAACAAGGATTGCTAGCCAAGATCAAAGCTAACATGATCAAGTCCACACTGAAAGTGGGAAGGAAGCTGTGTTTTTTTATCTCATCGTAGAATATCCCTGCTTCCTTGGTGTCATTATGTAACTACTCTGCCCCTGAGTATCTTGTTACATGAGATAGTAATTGCCCTTAGTGTTTAAAACAGTGGACTTGTGGTTTTCTGTTACTTGTGGCCCAGAGAATCCTAATTGATACTCAAGGAGAGAGAGAATTTGATTGCCTCAGCTTGGGTTAATTAATTAATTAATTAATTTAACCCAATCTTGGGTTCATCATCAGTGGAAGGGAGACAGGGTCATATGTTGCAGACAAAGTCCCTTGGGGCCTACTTTTACACATTGGGAATATTCTTAGAAAAGAAGGAATTTGGAGGAGTCAAGCAACTTCCTAAGAAGTGACTACTTAGGAAGTGTAGAAATTCATTGTAGAAATTCAACCATGAGAACCTGAAAAATAAATAATAAAGGAAGAGGGAGACAGCCTTAAAATTCCTCAGACACAACCAATGTATAGCACTGTTAATACTTTGTGCACATCCCACCATAATTCTTTACTATATACAATATTGACATAGGTAAAGTTATTTAGCAAGATTGAAGAAACCTTCCGGATCACTGAGCCAGACACATATGTCTGGGAACTCATGTAGTAACACACTATGGCACATGGCTTTGTCTTTGGGTACTCTCAACAAGTCCTTTGGGTGGTCTCCTCCCAGGCTTTCTTTGCCATTACCTACCTCCCTGATGCTAAGACCTTGCTTGCATTCTGGCATCACATAGACCACTCCTCCTGGACCTTACTCTGCACTTCAAAATTGATTCCTTTCTTTTCCATGACCCCAGCTACATTTCTATTCCCTCTCTGCCCTGCTCATCTCTGGGTTTCAAGAAGGAAAGAATATAACCAACTCATTCTCACCAAAATGTCAATAGTATATTTTCTCTTAACATGTTAATCCTTCAACAGATGTCACTTAGAAAGAGGTTTGCTGGGCCGGGTGCGGTGGCTCATGCCTGTAATCCCAGCACTTTGGGAGGCTGAAGAGGGCGGATCATCTGAGGTTAGGAGTTTGAGACCAGCCTGACCAATGCGGAGAAACCCCATCTCTACTAAAAATACAAAATTAGCTGGGCGTGGTGGCGCATGCCTGTAATCCCAGCTACTCAGGAGGCTGAGGCAGGACAATCGCTTGAAACTGGGAGGCAGAGGTTGTGGTGAGCCGAGATCGCGCCATTGCACTCCAACCTGGGCAACAAGAGTGAAACTCCATTTCAAAAAAAAAAAAAAAAAAAAGGTTTGCCAGATGAGGCAAAGCCTCATAAACTGACAAACTAAATATCTAATGGGTTTTGTCTGCCAAGAGACCTGAGGCAGAACAGATCAGAGAGAGCGGTAGGGTGCGGTGGCAAGGAGTCAGCTGGTATCCACCTGAGGGTTTCCATTTGTGCTGGCTTTTCCTTGACAACAGGGTCTGCAGATTGAAAAGTTGCCCTGCATCCTTTTCACTTAAGCTTGATGGCACTTTAAGTTATCTCCTAAAATTTTATATCAGGCTCAGCTTCTAGGCTACATTCAGCAGGTCAGCCCATAGAACTTTCTGCCTTCAAAGAAAAAGCACTTCTAGAAAGAAACATTTGCCATTTTCCTTGGCAGAGGGAAGACAAGTCATGAAGACCTTCCCTAACAGAATTTCAGACACCTAATGGGGACTGTGGACATACTTTTAGCTAAGATTTGGGACCATCTCCAAAATCCCCAAATCCTACCACATATCAGCCTCCTATAAGGGAATCATGTAATCCCACCTTAGGTAATATTAGATTTTTAAAGTTTCCTATCACTAGTTTATAACAAAACTTCATGAATGGAAACACACACAAAGTTAATGGAGTTGACTTGATGATGGTCTGTTCTCCCTTTTCTTTACTTCTCCCTTTTCTTCTTTTTTCAGGCTAGGACTGATCTTGGACAAAACTATTCCTTCCCTTTTCTAGGGCCAGATTTCTAGGCACCCAAATTTCTGTTTTCTCATCCTCCCTGTATCTTCTCCAGCCTAGGATTACTGTGTCCAACCTCCTGGGCTTCCTTCTTTCCCTGCCACACCACTCCTCCAGTTTAGCTGGCTCTAACTTTCATCATCTCCAGATCTAAGGCTTCAACTAACTAATATGGTTAACTAATCAGTGTTACAGTGTGATGGTGGAAGACTATGGGTTCTCCCAGGTAACCAGTGTTCTGAATCTAGAGACATTTAGAGGCAAGATACCAGGCAAGTGTTTACTCTCTGCATTAGAGAATATAGACTGGTGATGTTACTAAGTGCATTATTTTTTAGCAGAGAGGTTAAGCAGGTGGTAACCGGATTTTAAAAACACCAAAATGTATTCCTAAATTAGCTCTGTCCAGACATCTCTTCTTTCTCTTCTCTGTCTCTCTGACCATCATTCTACTTCCTCTTTTCTAACTTCCTCTTTCTCCTGGCATTTTGTTCCTTTTTTCTCAGGTTATTAAGATTTAACATCAATACTTCCCAGATTTAGATTAATCTGATAAATACAATCAAAAGCCTCAGTTGCCCCATTTATAAAATCAGAATTATTTTAGTTCTAAGAGTATAGCTAAGATAGTGTTAGTTTCCTCCATCTGAAATATTTTATAAACTACATATACTATAACATGTATGTATTAGTGAATTAAATTTAAAAAATAAAATGGACTCCATGTACCCATGTTTGCCCCTTATTTGCCTCTCCCTAGTCCCAACCTTACTCTCGGATAACCATTATCCGGAAATTGCTTATGATTCTCTTGTTTTTATGTTGTTTTTACCATATATCATTATAACCCTAAACAATAAATGGTTCATTTGTGCATGTTTTTAGACTTTATATGATATACTTTGGTTTTAGACTTTATATAATATACTTTGTGAATACTTTGGCAACTGGCTTTTCCTCTCAATATTATGTTTATAAGATTCAGCTCTTGGCCAGGCACATAATCCTAGCATTTTGGGAGGCCTAGGCATGAGGATCACTTGAGGCCAAAAGTTCGAGAACATCCTGGGCAATATAATGAGACCCTATCTCTACAAAAAAATAATTTTTAAATATTAGCCAGGCATAGCGGTTCATGCCTGTAGTTCTAGCTACTCTGGAGGCTGAGGTGGGAGGATTGCTTGAGCCTGGGAGGTCAAAGCTGCAGTAAGCCATGATTGCACCACTGCACTGCAGCCTGGGCAACAGAGCAAGCCTCTATTTCAAACCCCAGTCAAAATGGCTTATATCAAAAAGACAGGCAATAACCAATGCTGTCAAGGATGTGGAGAAAAGAAAACTCTTGTACACTGTTGCTGGGAATGTAAATTAGTACAACTATTATGGAGAACACTTTGGGGGTTCCTCAAAAAACTAAAAATTGAACTACCATATGATCCAGCAGTCCCATTGCTGGGTATATACCCAAAAGAAAGGAAATCAGTATATCACACAGACATCTGCACTCCAATGTTTGTTGCAGCACTGTTTACAATAGCTAAGATTTGGAATCAACCTAAGTGTCCATCAACAGATGAATGGATAAAGAAAATGTGGTACATATACACAAGGGAGTAGTAGTCAGTCATAAAAAACAATGAGATCCTGTCATTTGCAACAATATGGATGGAATTGGAGATCATTATGTTGAGTGGAATAAGCCAGGCACAGAAAGACAAACTTCACATGTTCTTACTTACTTGTGGGATCTAAAAATCACAACAATTGAACTCATGGACATAGATAGTAGAAGAATGGCTACAAAAATAATTAGAAAGAATTAATAAGTCTGGGCACAGTGGCTCATGCCTGTAATCCCAGCACTTTGGGAGGCTGAGGCAGACAGATCACTTGAGGTCAGGAGTTTGAGACCAGCCTGGCCAGCGTGGTGGAATCGCATCTCTACTAAAAATATAAAAATTAGCCAGGCATGGTGGTGGATGCCTGTAGTCCCAGCTACTCAGGTGGCTGAGGCAGGAGAATTGCTTGAACCCGGGAAGTAGAGATTGCAGCGAGCTGAGATTGTGTCCCTGCACTCCAACCTGGGTGACAGAGCAAGACAGGAAAGAGAGAAAGAGAGAGAGAGAAGGGGAGAGAGAGAGAGAGAGAGAGAAAGAAGGAGGGAGGGAAGGAAGGAAGGAAAGGAAGGAAGGAAAGGAGGAAGGAAGGAAGGAAGGGAGGGAGGGAGGGAGGAAGGAAAAATAAATAAATAAAAAAGAATAAGACCTGCTATTTGATAACACATTAACTTAATAGCAGATTTTAAAATAACTGTAAAGGGTATAATTGGATTGTTTGTCCTTAATGCTTGAGGAGATGGACACCACATTCTCCATAATGTGCTTATTTCACATTGCATGCCTGTATCAAAACATCTCATGTACCCTATAAATATATACACCTACTATGTGCCCACAATAATTAAAAATTAAAGAAAGAAAGACTCCATTTCAAAAACAAATCATCTCTATCTTAGTAGCTGTAGTTCGTTTATACTGTTCCATGGGAATCTACAGCTTAAACACCATTTCGTATCCATCCTTTTGTTGGGGGACATTTGAGTTGGAAACTCAATACATTCATTATATATGTTATGAATATATATGTTTTTGTGAACATATAAATGGATTTCTATTGGTTATACATACAGGGAGTAGAATCACAGAGTATGCCTGTATTTACCTTTATTACATAATGGCAAACTGTTTTCCAAAGTAGGTATATCCATTTATATTCCCATCAGTGGTATATGAAAATTCCAGTTGCTTCACTGTCTTGCTAGTATTTGATATTTTCCAACTTTTAAGTATGTGCCAATATGGTGGATGTAAATGGTATCCCCTCATTATCTTAATTTGTATTTCCCTGATTACTAATAAGGTTAAGCATCTTTTCATGTTTATTGGTCATTCCTGTTTCTTGTCTGTGAAATGTTTGTTCATGCTTTCTGCTCATTTTTCTATCACGTTTTTTCTTTTTATATTGATTTGTAAAATTTTCATAAATTCTAGATGCCAGTGATTTGTTGGTTATGTGTGTTGCAAATATCTTCTTCCAGATTATGACTTGTCTTTTCATTTTCTTGATGGTAGTCTTTTGATGATCAGGAGTTCTTAATTTTAATGAAGTAAAATTCATCACACTTCCTCAGTTAGAACTTTGTGTATCTTATTTAAGAAACCTAAGGTCATAAAAATATTTTCTCATAACTTATTCTAAAAATTTAGCTTTTCACGTTTGTATCTTTAATTTAAACTGGAATTGAAATTTGGTGTATAGTAAAAAAGAATGAGATCATGTCTTTTGCAGGAACATGGATGGAGCTGGAGGCCATTATCCTTAGCAAACTAATGCAGGAACAGAAAACCAAATACCGCATGTTTCCATTTATAAGTGGGAGCTAAATGATGAGAACTCATGAGCACAAAGAAGGCAACAATAGACACGGGGGCCTACTTGAGGGTGGAGGGTGGGAGAAGGGAGAGGAGCAGAAAAAAATAACTATTGGTTACTGGGCTTAATTCCTGGGTGATGGAATAATCTGTACAATAAACCCCCATGACACGAGTTTCCCCATAAAACAAACCTTCACATGTGCCCCCAAACCTAAAATAAAAGTTTAAAAAAAAGAAATTTGGGGTATGGTGTGAGGTAGGAGTCCAATTCCACTTTTTTTTTCCTATATGGATATCCAATTTTCCAGTACTATTTCTTGTTTAGACCCTTCTTTCCTAAATGATCTGTAATACCAGATGTGTGACAGAGCAAGTTTTCACATATGTGTGAGTCTGTTTCTGGGCTCTCCATTCTGTCTGCCTCTATGTCAGTATCATAATGGCTTAATTACTGTGGCTTTCTATTAAGTTTTGATATCTGGGTAGAGCAAGTCTCCTATTCTTCAAGAGTGTCTTGGCTATTCTTGACCTTTGCTGTTGTATATGTAATTTTAGAGTCAGCTTGCCAGTTCTGTGACAAGCTCTGTTGAGATTTTAATTGAAGTTACATGGACTCTTTAGATCAATTTGGAGAATATTCACACTCTTATCATACTGATTCTCTCTTCCTATGAATATCATACTTCTTTTATTTAGGTCTTCTTTAATATCTTTCTATTGAGTTTTATAATTTTGTCTATAATGATCTTAAATTCATATTGTTAGGTTAATTCTTAGGTACAATATGTTTTTTGTTCTTCTTAAGTTACTTTTTTTTTTTTTTTGCCTTGTCGTCCAGGCTGGAGTGCAATGGTGCGATCTTGGATCACTGCAACCTCTGCCTCCCGGGTTGGAGTGATTCTCCTGCCTCAGCCTCCCTAGTAGCTGGGATTACAGATGCATGCCACCACACCCAGCTAATTTTTGTATTTTAGCAGAGACGGGGTTTCACCATGTTGGCCAGGCTGGTCTCTATATCCTAACCTCGTGATCCGCCTGTCTCAGCCTCCCAAAGTCCTGGGATTATAGGCATAAGCCACCATGCCCGGCCCTAAATTATATTTTTAATCTCTTTGCTACTGGTATTTAGAAATAAAATTTAGTATTTATATACATCTTATATAAAACAACCTTGATAAACTCTTATTAATTCTGATAATTTGACTGTAACTTACTACTTTTCCTAATCTTATTGCACAACCTAGATCCTCCAGTAAAATGTTGAACAGAAATGACACCATTTATTTGTCCTTAGTTTGCAGAAAATGCTATTATTCCAATATTGAATATATTGTTTGCTATGTATTAAGGAAGTTTCCTCCTAGTCTTAGTTTGCTAAGAGGCTTATTTGTTTAAATTATAAACAAATGTGCTGAATTTTATAGAATATTTTTCCCATCTTTCAATATGATATAATTTTTCCTTTACTTTGTTAATCCAATTTTTGTAAACATTTTATAAATTTGAATAGTCTGACCTATGAACATAATGTATTTCTCCATCTATTTAAGTCATTTTTAAAATTTGTGACAATTTATGGGGTACATAAGAAATTTTTTATATGTATATAATGCGTAGTGATCAAGTCGGAATATTAGGATGTCCATCACCTGAGTACAATACTTTTTTGTAAGTATAGTCATCCTACTCTGCTATCAAACATTGCATGCATTTATGCCTTCTATTTTACTGTATTTTTGTACCCTTTCTCTTCATCCTCCTCACCTACCCCACTCACTCTTCCTAGTCTGTTATCTATTTATCCACTCTCTGCCTCCATGTGTTCAAATATTTTAGCTTCTACATAAAAGTCAGAACATGTGACGCTTGTCTTAAAGAGAATTATTTTAGCATTTTACATTTAATGTTGATATGATTGGTAGGTATCTTTTATAAGGTTAAAAAGTTCCTATCTGTTCCTGATTTGCTAAGGATTGTTTGAAATCATGAAACCTTGATGGATACCAAACCCTTTTTCTACATTGATCAAAATAGTCACATGCATTTTCTCCTTTATTTTGTTAATGTAATAACCATAAAAAGATTTTCTGATGTTAAACTAACTGACTTCCTGAAATAAAACTAACCTCATCATGGCTTATTATCTTTTTTATACATTGCTGGATTCAGGCTGCCAAATTTTTGTTTGTTTGTTTGTTTGGATGGGGTCTCACTCTGTTGCCCAGGCTGTAGTGCAGTGGCATCATTATAGCTCACTCCAGCCTCGAACTCCTGGGCTCAAGAGATCCTTCCGCCTCGGTCTCCCACTACAGGCTGCACCACTACACCCGGGTTGGGTTGCCTATACTTTTTCTGTGATTTGTACACCTATATTCATGAGAAAAACTGCCCTGTAAATTTTCCTTCTTATACTGCCCTTGCTTGCTTTTGGTATTAAGGCTATACTAGCTTCAAAAATGAGTTAAGTCATGCTCTTAATCTGTTTATTCTCTAGAAGAGTTTAAGACTGAAAATCTCTGCTACTTGAATGTTTGTCTGTCTGTGGTTTTCATTCGATTCCACTCCTCCCCTCTCCCCAGTCTTCCTTTCTCCCATCTCTTCCTCTCCCTGTCATTCTCTCTTTGTTCCTTCCTGCTATATTCACTTTCTTTTTCCTTTCCTATACCATCAGTAAGACCACCTTTGATTTAAAAGCATTACAAAATTGGCCTGAAGCCCAGGTATCAGGATTTTTATTTTAATCAATGTTTTTAACATTCCCAGATATAACATTTTTGTGTGTGTTTGATGTAACCAGTTAGTACTGCCTAGATGTGAAAAAAAGAATCTTGCAGTCATTTGAAATAATACTGATTGCTAAATAAGAATTTCAATTATCTGTTCGTAATTACCTATTTTGAAATATTTTTGAAACGAATTCAGTCCCATTCACGGCGTGGTACTTCCAGATTTCTCTGCCTTGTGACACTCAACAATGAAGGGAAACAATTTGAGGATGTAAAGAATACATCAAAATTTCACGGGAACGAGAGCCTTTTCACAAATAAGCTATGCTGATTTTCCACCTTCAATTCTGTCCTTTATGTTTCATAGATATCCTCCCTCTCCTTTCAAATAGCACAAATGTAATTTTCTTGATGGGGCATTATTTCTGGATGGTAAAGATTACTTTAATTCTCTGTAAGAAAAACCTGGGATGTTCCCATCTTTACTTAGTTGAAATGTAAATATTTTAAAACCTTCCATATCATTATGATTTCTTTTCTCCCAGTGACTTAGTGGCTAAATACCAAATGCTCCTTACAAAATGCAAATCACTTATTCAAAATACAATTAAATTATAGCATACATAGTTTATAAGCAATTACAGTCACATAATGTGTGTAATTTGGATTACTCTGGGTAAAAATCTATAAATGTATGGCTGCTACCTTCAAACCAAGAAATAGTTCTTTTTGGAAATATGATATACTACAGCAAAAATACCATTTTTAGGTAAGATGTAAAGTAAGTAGGGTAGGTCTTTCTCAAAGAATACCAATTAAGCCTTCCTCTTCAGGAATTCTGTGGGGGTCCTGTCAGTTAATTAGGTCATTTTACAATGAGAACAGATACCAACCTCGGAGTCTGGATTAATTCTATGGGTACGAATAATGATTGTTAAGATTACTAGTGTCCATTTTTTTATCACTTCTTTTGAGCAGTACCCCTCACACACACACACAAAAAAACTTAATCGAATTGAAATATTCCAAAAGAAAGATTTCTGAGTTTTCATAGCTTTAACCAGAAATCCCATTAAACTGAATCTTTCGTGGACACTGTGATAAGTTACCCAGATGCCCGTCAGGAAGAAGGACTTTGTGTTAGTTTCCTAGGGCTGCCACAAAAATTACCACAAACTGAATGGCCTGAAACAACATGGGCTTATTTTTTCATAGCCATGAAGGCCAAAAGTGTGAAATCAATGTGTAGGCAGGGCCGTGCTTTCTCTGAAGGCTTTAGAGGAGAATCCTCTATGTTTCTTCTAGCTTCTCATGGCTCCAGGCATTTCTTGGCTTGTGGCTGCATGACTCCAGTCTCTGCCTCTGTCTTCACATGGCCTTTTCCTCTGTGTCTCTGGGTAGTCTCCTCTTCTATCTCTTATAGGGACACTTGTCATTGGATTTAGGGAACCCCCAGGTAATCCAGGATGATCTCTTCTCGGGGTCCTTATTTACATCTACAAAGATCCTTTTTCCAAATGAGGTCACATTCACAGGTTTTGGGGGTTACAATGGGGACATATCTTTTGGGGGGCCACCATTCAATCCATTGCAGACTTATTCCCTGGACTCCTGGGAGAGCTGCCAGAAGGAAGTCTTAGCTGTTAGCCTTCTTTGGGGATTGCCTCAGCTGAAAGAAGCTGCTTTGTCCATGGCAGGGTTCCTTCTATGGGGAGCTCATAGCTAACACTGATCAAAATGGGTACAAAGGCCAGCTTGGAGCTATACCAACTTGGAGCTATACCAGCTTGGAGCTATACTTCAGAACTACTCCAGTTCCAGAACTCTCACTATGGTGAGCTGAGGCCTTCATTAGGACTGCACCAGGCTCAACTTCTCCTTGGCCTTCATCCTCCCCTTCCTCCTCTCCCTGGTCCTCCTGGTCAGTGCCTTCTGACTCAGCTTTGCAGGGAACCCAGCCCGAAACACTTAGATGAAAATAATTCATTCATTCACTCACTCCTTTATTCATTCACTCATTCATTTTATTTCATTCAATAAACATTTATTGAGCACCTACTGTGTGCCATGTGCTTTCTTTCACAAGTATGGCACAGTGATCATATTTGAATCTTTTGTAAATCAGGATCTTCTCGTGCCTCAAACTAACCATCCTGAGCCTCATTTGTTAGTTGTAGATCTTAAAGGTTTAAGAGAGGAACTCACAATTTATCCTAGAAGTTATCTTTTGTTTTGATAAATCCCAACCTAACATAAGCTTTTTTCTGCAGTGATGTGCAGTTTGCCCCCAATAAAGGTACCTAAAAAATACATCACTTGAGTAGTCTGATCTATCAGGACTTGCCTAGGTTCTGGATTTTCTGTGTTATTTAAGGTCTGTATTTTAACCTTATTAAAATGGATAAGTGGAGAAGAAATAATGACAGACTTTCAGTGTTAGAAGTACGCACCACAGGATTTCAGAAGGTTAAAGCACTGCCAGAACCAAGGAATTATCCAGCCAGCCCAAATTCCCTGTACTACAAATGGGAAAACTGGGAGTTCATCCCATAGCTGCCTTCATCAGGTAGAGTATGGGACTTTTATCTGATTGTTGTATATATGGGGCTGGGGGTGTTTCTCCATTTCAGTTGTAAACTCCTTTTGGGCAAGATCTGAATCTCATATTTTTCTGCCCTGCTCAGTGTGTAGAAAAATAAGAAGTAAGATTTTGAATAAATAATTGATTGATTGGGCCCTCTTCATCTAGCAAAACTGCTTCGATCATGTCGGTAGTTAAGGGTCTTAATTTTTTATATGCAGACCTCCAGAGGAAATCTAATAATGTCCCTCATCACTTGAATCCTAGGCTTAACAATAATCATTGTCAAGGAGTTCCTCCTAAAAAATAACCCAGCTTTACAGAATAGCCCCAAAATGTCATAAATATGCACATAATTTGTACTAGCCCTTTTCTTTGTAAGTAGTTCGCAGATAATAAAGCATGTTGGAAATAAAATCAGTACTTTTTAAAATTTGAAATGTTTAAATAGCTACTTAACCATTATTTTTACTCCACCTCATTCCATAAAGGATCCAAGGTCACTTACAATTAGACACACATTTCAATATTTTAAAAAATAAACATGATGTGAGAAAACTGAAGTAGAAAATAAGATAAAGTACAGGGTAATGTTAATATCCAAAGTTCATAAATTGCTAGTAGGAGGCCTGAAACTTGGCTCTGAGCATTCCAATTAATTAATAATAACTGCTTTTCTAGAAGGCAATAGAGTGGTCCAAGTTCCTAGTCATCAGAGTCTACTTCATCCGAGATAATAAATCTAAGTCAATCACAATAATCTTACCTCTTGTTAGTAAGTGTTTTAAGAATCTGTACATGACTGAATTCTGATAAAACAGACACAGGAGAAAGTCTGTGGGGGAGGAGAGATTTCCAGGAAGTCTCCTCATTTTTTTTTGTCTCCTAATTCTTAAATGAAAGACAAGAAAGGTTTGGTTCCTTTCTTTCTCTGGATGGTCTTGTGTTTGGATATCATGCTTGGAACTGACGAGTGTCTTGCTATCAGCCTGAGAATGAAGCCAAGACATAGAGGAAGGAAGAGCCAATAGAATCCCTGCCAAGAGAAATTGATGCCCTGACAAGGTGCCCTGGAGCCACATGACCTCCGCATCTCTGGTTTTGCAAGTTATGACATTTTCTTTAAGACAATTTGAGTTGAGATTTTCTGTTACTTGCAGCCAAATGCATCCAAAATGATATAAAAGTAGCATTTAAGAACAAGGGTTTGAAATAGACCTGGTTCTGCCATCTAACTTGTACTATGTAAACTTGAGAAAGAATTGAAATCTTTAAACATGAGTCCTTTCGTCCATAAATCAGGGTAGATAATGGCTACTATACAGGGTGGATATAAACATGTAATGGAGAAAAAAGCATGTAAAGTGTTTAGAGAACCTGATGCATAGCAAGTGCTTGATAAAGAGACGATTTTAACACCGAGGAGAAAGACAGATAATCAATACACAATTGTCTGGCTCTTTGAAATGGCAATGGAGCGTTCTGAGGCTGTAATTCCGGCTCTTAACCTGTCTTTAGTGATCATGGAAGACAACTGATCACTTCTTGCTGTAAAATAAGCCATTACACTGGGCGCGGTGGCTCATGCCTGTAATTCCAGCACTTTGGGAGGCCGAGGAAGGCGGATCACCTGAGGTCAGGAGTTCAAGACCAGCCTGGCCAATACAGTGAAACCCTGTCTTTACTAAAAATACAAAAATTAGCCGGGCGTGGTGGTGAGTGCCTGTAGTCCCAGCTACTCAGGAGGCTGAGGCAGGAGAATTGCTTGGCGGGAGGCAGAGGTTGCAGTGAGCCAAGATCAGGCTACTGCACTACAGCCTGGGTGACAAAGCGAGACACCATCTCAAAAAAAAAAAAAAAAGAATAATATACTGTATTTAATTCTACTTAGAATAATATACTGTATAACATTTCTGGCACTACGGAACAATTTATTCCTGTTGTATTTGTAATTTTTAAAAAAATATGCAAATCAAAAATACAGAAGCAAAATGAAAATAAAAATCACATATAATCCACCCCTCAGAGATAAACACTCAGTATTTTGGTGACTGCTTTTCCTGAACACACACACACACACACACACACACACACACGTATATTCATGTATGTAGGATCATTTTCTATGAACACTTATGTAAACTGGGGTTGTTTTTTTTTACATAGCATAACATTGCAAGTAGATTTCCATATCAACAAATACATTTCTGCAATTATATTTTTGCAACATCATTTATAATCTCTACATAGTACTCTATTATATAGAATCTGTATGTTCTATATTATAAGTAATATGCACAACCAAATCATTAGTGTGAGATCCTGAGGCTTTTCTAAGTTTTTGTTGTTATAATTAAAAGTACTATGATAATTGTAGCTAAATTCCTTTTAAACCTTCTTATTAAACTCTTAAATTCCTTAGTGTAATTTCTGAAACGTGGACTTGCTGGTTAAAAGCATTTGTACAAAAGGCATACAGAGTGGTATAATGGACACTGGAGACTCAGAAGGGAGGTGCATGGGAGGTGGGTGAGGGATAAAAAAACTACATATTAGATACAATGTACACTACTCAGGTGATGGTACACTAAAATCTCAGCCTTCACCATTATACAATTCATTCATGTAACCAAAAATTACTTGTACCCCCAAAGCTACTGAAATAAAAAATATATATATAATTTAAAAAATAAATAAATACTTAAAAAACAAAGTATTTGTACAATGTTGTTTTAAATATATATTGCAAATTTCAATAGGTACATTTAAATATTTTTATAAATAATGTTTCTACTTACAGAAAATTATATTAGCCTTTTAAATAATTCTACCAAAATGTTCAGTTTATTTCTCTATACCTAACAGTATCATAACAAGGTTATTACATTATGATGGTAATGAACTTACTATTCTGAAATTGTAATAGGTTTTATTTTTTCTCAAAGTTAAAATTCTTCCATTATTTACTAGCTTCACACTTTCTTGAATTTCTTCCACACTTGGAATACCAATAATTGGGTTTTACAGCCCAATCTTTTGGTCTCTTAATATAGGCAAATCTCTTTTGTGGTTCTATTCATCTTTTGATTAACTTGATCATATTGCATAGAACAGTAAGCTGCCACTATTTAAGTGAATTCAATGAAGGCAATGGTAGGCCTTTTTGATTTGCAAATTTACTTGAAAAGCCATGTCCCTATAGCAGTTAAATGCTCAGTCTTTTGATATTAGCACAGCATGAAAAGCAACAGTTTTTATATTTTGGTGGCATACATTTACTTTTAAAACATGCATACATATATATATGCATTTCCTACCATGTATGCTTTATTGCTTATAGACATGAAATAAATAGTTTAACTACCAAGCCAAATATTTTAAAATGTTTTGTTATTGCTTCTTATCTGTATAAAAGACCGTAGTTGCTTCCTTTTCTGCTATCTCAACCTTAGCAAGCAAGAGTACAATTTAGCACTTTTCCTTGATGATTAACTGTCCAAAGGCCAAGAAAATGTTGATGGTTAGGCAAGGGAGAGAGTATTTCTACTTTATATTTTAGCTTATGTTCACAGCATAAACTACTTCATTCACACGAAACTGAGAAAAAGCTAGAAAAATCTTACCATTTTAGGGACAACTGTTATGACATGCATGAGTCTCCCTAAGTAAATCTAACATAAATAAATAAGATACATTAAAAGATAATATACTAATTCAATCTACTTGATGCATTGTGAACATAAGATTTGGCCGGTCATTTTTATAGGAAAATCTGATATTTAGAAATATAACAGATTGCACACTGGTATTATGTCTCTAATCATCTAAATGAAACAATGAGCTAATTATCTATAATGACTCACTACTATACTTTCAACACCTTTAGGGATCAATTTCACCCAAAAGTGAACTAAGCCAGTACCACATGGTCTGCTCTCAAGCAGTGACCTCTCTGATTCAAATGCAAAATGCTATTGCAGATGAAATTCACTGGTACAAAATGTTCAATAGAAAGATTACATTTCCAGTGGGGCAGAAAGATATTTGCCAGCATCTCATTAAGGCTTCGATACAAAGTCTTGGATTTCAATCAGCATCGAGATAGAATGACAATAATCCAGTAGCAAGAATGTAGCTAGGGCTTTGTTTCTGTAAGCATTATGCATTTTTCCCATCTACAATAAAATCTTGAAAAAATTCCAAGAGAATAGATATGGAAAGAAATAACCTTGTAGTCATTTTAATGTCAGCCACAGAATGCGTTCTGTGAAGCCTCTGCGGCCTGATAACTTTGCCTCTCACTCAGGGAGGAGAAGGTGACATCATTTACATTTAGCCCAACACGTGAAAAAGGCTGAAATTCTCTGCACCATAAATGTGGCATCAATTCTTCCGCCTCTCCAGCCCCACCTCCCATCATTAATATAGTCCAGCCATTTTATCATCAGCATTTTATCTTTTTCCCCTAGAAGTAATTTACTGACTTAATGGAAATGTGAGAGATTTGCTTTAACAGATTTTACGAATTTAAGCAAAAGGTCCTGCTGAACATTTCTCTGTGGAGAGAGGTTATTCTTTGGCCAGGAGACATTTGTAATAGTTCAGTAATCTAAAAAGATTTGCCTTGGACTTGCTAATTTGCTCAATCTCTTAAGTAACAAAAGGGTCTAAACTCTGCCTCTCAATTTAAAGTGAGCCCCATAAAAGCTTCCAGCTTAGCAAGAAATCTAAGATTCCACAATGTGAGCTTTTAACCCCATTTCAATTTGTGCAAGTGTAATATCATTAGGGACTGATTTCTACTACAAGGTAGTTGTGGCTTTTCATGGAATTTAGTTCTTTATCTGAGAGGTGGCATGGTAGTGGAACACACAGAAGAGGACAAAGTACTGCAGAAATAAAGTTTGTTTTTCCTGAAGGATCAGAATCTGGGAACACTGCAAATTCATAAGAAAGCCTCATTCCTATGAAACTTTTGGTTAAATACTGCCAAGTAAGAATTGGCAAAATCTGGATTGGACTTTGATTAGGGGGTGAAAAATTCAACTGTACTCTTCTTCATTTTCATGGTTGAATCTGAAAAGGATACAATTAGGCAGAATTGTGTCACTGTATTCGCAGCTGTGTCCCCAGTAGCTAGAACAGTGCCAGGCACTAGGATACTCAATAAATATTGTCTGAATGAATACACTGCAATAGAACAGAGTCATCCTCATTGTTTAGTCATGGGAAGAAACAGTTGCTTTGCCTCGGGTTGTATCAATAGCCAGCCATTCTTTGACTGGCTTTTTGGGGCTGGTTGCTGCAGCTCCTTCTGCATCCAGACACCTTTTTCTGGAATCAGCTAATCCAACTGTGCAACTTCATGGGAAAATGTGTAATGAGTAATGGGGCCTCTTAACCGGGAAAACAAATAGAAGAAAAATAACCTGTGAATTTATCATCTTGCCCCAAACCTTGGTACGTTAAAAGAAATCTACACAATTGAGAGCCATATTTGCTGGAATTCCTGAAACAGTTTTGATTTTAAGTGTCTTGTCTCCCTGTCCCTTAAGTCATTGGCTGACCATGTGCTCATCACAGTTAGACTGGAAGGTAGGGAGAGGGAAAACTAAGATAGCAGGAAAGAGGTAAGAGGCTCTACCCAAGCTTAATTTGAACTAAATTATCTCCTCTAGATATGTCATTCTGTTAATTATTAAAAACTCCATCAAGTATGGAAAGCCTCCTACAGGTATGGTAAAAAGGTAATACCAGGAGCGGCAGGACTAATTACAGTTGCCTCATAAAGTACGTATGAAGAATCGGTAGCTAAGAAAATACAACACATTTTGGAAACTTGGAATAGTTCAGTTTGACAGAAATATAAGCAAGAATGTTTCCTTTTCAATATTATCTTTATCTCTGGTAATATTCTTCCTAAACACCTGGCCACTTCTAGTACAGTTTTTCCTGATCATTTTGTACAGGCACTGTCCGAGGACCTTACCTGGCCTGTCTCATTGCAGCTAGTCGTGTTTATTAATTGGCTAAGTCATACTGAAGTCTTTCAACTTCTGGAACCAAAGAACAACAACAATAAAATCACTTTGGGTTAGAATAAAAGTTTCTGGAAACTACTACTTGCCAGAAGCAGAAAAAAGAAAGAAAGAAAAGAAACAACACTTGCAGGGATTTTGCCTTTGTAAATAATCCCTGCTTTTTTATTTTCAAAATAAATACGGGTAAATTTTTGTCTTAATTGTAATTTTTGCCAAAATAACACACATATATCATTTACACAGTCAAATAGCAATAGAAAGGTCCTGTCCTGAACCTCCCCACTAATAATATCTGTACTTTTAGCTGTTTCTTCTAGTATTTTGATTTTTTTTTCTGACTTCCTACTATGGTAGATGAGAATTTGATTCTTACCCAGATACAGCCCCCACATCCCTCACCCCCTGGTACATCTTCTTTCTCTTTTCATCCTCTTATGTAGTTTTGGCATAATTTTCATTCAACCAATATTCAATGTTTACATTATTATCATTTTGTTAATATTATTCAGAGCTAAGCTACATAGTATACTATAAATACATTTTCTTTATGGTATAATAATTTCCTCATATTTTTATTTGATTAATTTGCTATGAGTCATCATTAAACTCTCTGAAAGACATATAAATATCCCTCCAGTACATTTGAACATACCAAGTAGTCTAGCAGTTTCATTATAATCATTTTAGCCATGTCTCCACTGCATTCTCAGGCTCATATCTGGCTTGTGTCCAGACCTGCTGTATGCTAAGAACTCCCTTCTGCCCTGGCCTAGACAATTCTTTCCAGGTCCCATGTCTTCTTCCTTGGAGTACTCCCTTATTTTGTTGAGCAATGTCATTAAAATTTCCTTTTTTTACATATTACAAATTTGTAATAATATTAAAAAATGTTCTTTTGGGTTTTTTAAGCTACATATTTTTCTGTTTGGAATTTTAATGCAACTTGCATACTACCTGAAAGTCAAAGATCACCAGAGCTTTTCAGACTGCCCTTTAAGAACTCTTATTCCATTAGCTTAAGAAACAACCAAAAACACATAGTTAGAACTGTTCTTGTTGCTATGAGAAATACAGAGAAAAATATGAGACATATATGAAGCTTACAGCATGTAAGATGCTGCTGCTGCTGCTGATGATGATGACTAGTGCAGTCAATGAAATCACAAGGGTCCCTAAATATGGGAGTGGGAGGCGGAAGTCAGAGCGTCAGAGCGATGCAATGTGAAAAAGACGCTGGCCATTGCTGACTTTGAAGATAGAAGGAACACGGACAGTCTGTAAAATCTGGGAAAGGTAAGAAAACAGACTTTCTCTGGCAGCCTCAGGAAGAAACACAGCCCTGTCAACACCTTGGTTTTGGCCTACTGAGACTCATTTTAGACATCTGAACTACAAAATTGTAAGATAATGTTTGTATTGTTTAAAGCAACCACGTGTGTGGCAATGTGTTACAGCAACAATAAGAAACGAATACAAGGAGATAAGATTAATACATATACAATATTAGCAGTTTCATCGAATCAGATTATGTAATTATTATATGCTTAAACTGTGTTGTTTGGATCAAAAATTGAAAAGGCAATAGGAAGAAATCCAGAGAAAGGAAAAGGTAGTAGCTAACATTCATTGAACATGTACAACATACCAGGCACTACAAGATGCCTTAGATTTGACATTTCATTGGGTCAATTTCAGTGCTCCAGTAATTGAATAGGAAAAATGGAAAATAGAGAAAGATATTTGCCTTTGTATAAGAGGCTTACGTACTCATCAGGTATGATTTTAAATGGAATTTGGGTTGTGATGCTCTATGTTTCTATTGGTTTGTCAAATATTCCATTTAAAATCTCAATCATTTTAAAGAGTACAACTGAAGTATTTCCTTCCTTCCTTCCTTCCTTCCTTCCTTCCTTCCTTCCTTCCTTTCTTAGACAGACTGCAGCCTTAATCTCCCAGGCTGATCCTCCCACCTCGACCTCCAGAGTGGCTGGGACTACATGCGTGCGCCTCCTTACCCAGCTAATTTTTGTATTTTTTTGTAGAGCCGTGTTGCCCAGGCTGATCTTGAACTTCTGGGCGGAAGCAATCCGCCTGCCTCAGCCTCCCAAAGTGCTGGGAGTGAGCCACCATGCCCGACCAGCCTATGTATTTTTTCTTAAGCAATGGACTTCCAAATTTTGAGTTGAACACAAATGATTTAACTCTACCCATTTCTATTAACCATCAAACACACAGAGATGCATAGACACACACACCTGCACTGAATTAGCCAACCTACTGAAGCGCTAGGGAGAAGTTTATGTTTTGAGAGAATCTGGCACAAGCCATATTAACCTGGTTGAGTTTTAAGTGTGTGAAAAAATATATGTTCAAATCTCTTGATACTGGCTTGTGCTTTGAAGCCACTGATACATGCTACCTAAAACCTATAGTTAAACAAGAACAGAATAATTGTTCAAGCATCCTAAATTAACCTGTTTGTTGAGTTAACAAACAGTTTTATTTCCTATCATCAACTGGAGTTTGGTCTTGGAAATCTGGAAGTCAGTGATCTATTTGGGCACAAAAGCTACAACAAAAGAGCAGGATTTTTCTTTGATTCCTCCCGACTTGACAAAATGAATCCTTCCTACGAGAAACAGATGCTTTCAAAGTCAACTTGGTTAAATCCTCCTAAAACAATAAACCTCAGGGCCAATACAAAAAGAACACCAATGCTCACCTGCATATCCTTTTCACATGCAACAAATATATCTTGCTATATGTGTGCTTTTCTTGGCAATAAGTGTTTCCATTTGTCTGGCCTGCAGTCTTTGCAAGTTTTTTCTCTGAGAATCTGAACTGTTATTTTTAGTGATTTAGAATTCCAAGGCAAACATGCCAAGAATTGATGACAAGGGCCCGATTATTTATTTTTCAGTGGTTAATTATTTGTCACATTTGTGTTTAGAAACAACAAAAGTTTCTTCCCTTCCCTCTGTGGGAAGTTGTAATAATGTTTTCACCTGAGGCTCCAATCGCCAAGGCTATGTGGGTATTCTCAGTGCTGGGAATGACACTAGTGTTGAGAATATTTATTTATTTATTTACTTGTTTATTTATTTTTGAGACAGCGTCTCTGTCATCCAGGATGGAGTGCAGTGGCATGATCACAGCTCATGGTAACCTCAACTTCCTGGGCTCAAGCCATCCTCCACCTCAGCCTCCTGAGTAGGTGGGACTGCAGGCATGCACCACCATGCCCAGATAATTTTTTAATATATTTTGGTAGAGATGGAATTTCACCATCCCAGGCTGGTCTGGAACTCCTGAGCTCAAGCAATCCACCCACCTCTGCCTCCCAAAGTGCTAGGATCATAAGTATGAGCCACTGTGCCCAGCCTGAGAATATGGGAATTTTTAAAGAGAAGGCTATATGTTTTTTAAAATGTCATTAAACAACAACCTTATGTAATCAAGCTTTTCTTTGACTGGTCCCTCAATGGTTATAAGTTCCTGTGGTTTGTAGAAAGTAACTAGAGATAAAAAGATAGATGAATCTTCTGTCCAATCTGCCTTGTCTCATTTGCGATTTGAAGTGAAACATCATGCATTTATAATGCAAAACTTTTATTCTTTACCTATCCCCAGATGTGAAAAAAGAAACTGCACCAAAATCTTAGGAAACAGAAGAAAGAAATTAAAAGATGGAGATCAGGAAATGTATGTTAAAGGATCAGGGCAAGGAGGAAAGAAAAGGGTTCTGAAAGACCTCTATTCATTCCATTAGATAAGTTGCTTAAACAAGTCAGGAAGCAAGGGGCTTGAGAGACTCTAAGATTTTTGTCTTATAATGTTTTAAAATTTTTAAGTTAACAGCTGAGTTACATATTTGATCAGTTAATGACAATCATATACAGCGTATATGATTTCAAGTTCTTAAAATGGAAAAGAGGGAATATTGCATAAGGGAATGTTTTGGTTAAGATAATCAGGACTTGAGCAATATCCTCCTGCATTCTCAAGATAATAAAATCTGCCTTCTGGTTTTAGACCCAATGTTTTGTTTATATCCTAGATCATATCTCCAGAGATGTTTGAAGAAAATAAATTGTTGATTTTTAAAAATCACTACACTTTCTGAAGTGAGCTGAGTGAATGGCAATAACTTTTTTTTTTTTGAGACAGGGTCTCACTATATTGCCCAGGCTGGAATGCAGTGATGTGATCCCAGCTCACCACAACCTCTTCCTCCTGGGTTCAAGAGATTCTCCTGCCTCAGCCTCTTGAGTAGCTGGGACTACAGGTGCCCACCACCACGCCCAGGTAATTTTTGTATTTTTAGTAGAGACGGGTTTCACCATGTTGGCCAGGCTGGTCTCGAACTCCTGAACTCTGGTGATCTGCCTGCCTCGGCCTCCCAAAGCACTGGGATTACAGGCTTGAGCCACCACACACAGCGAATAATGCCTTAAAATAGTTTTTAAGAAAAAGAAAATTTTCCTGACCAAATTCTGAACTGAGAAAGCAGTGTAATCTACATTATTTTAAATTAGCACTTCACAATGAGGTAAGCACAAAAAGCAAGGATTTTATTTTGTTTTCCTAAATCCAGCAGATTTTATTCTGTTCAATGAAATACTACAAAAGACACAAAGGAACTAACATTTACAGAGAGCCTTTTGTGTGATTTAGAGTGCCTCCTATGTTGTGGGCATTGTGTGGTGATTTGCAGTAAAAATAACCTTCGATATATTCCTGACAAGTAGATACTAGTATGCTTATTTTTCAGATAAGAAAACTGAAGTTAGAGAGGTGAAACAATTTGTCTGCGATCATATAACGTGTAATTGAAAGGACCAAAAAAATTTTTAATTCCAGATGTATTTTTGCCAAAGCATGTAATCATTCCACCTCCCCACCCTGTTCTCAGAGAGTTAACTGTCTAGTAAGGGATATGACAAATTCTCAAAAACATATAACAAAAGCTGAATGTTATAAATGTCTTTAGGGATACATAAACAGTATCTTGGTCTTCAAAGGAGAGAGATCTCATTGGGTTGGAAATGGAAAGCCCAAGGCTTAGCCTTCTGTGTGGGACATGGTTTGGAATTTCTTGGCACAGCAGAGTGGATACCACCACACCAGAATGGCCCTGGAGTCCTGCTGACCAATGGAGACCCATCTGATCAGGACACATGAGACAGTTGAGTCTGGCTGAGAAAAGAATAGGCCCAGCACATTTCCTACTTCTATTATGGGTACCTGCTAGCTTGGACTCTTGCCTAGCTCGTCCACTTGCACCCATCTTATCCACTTGCCACCTTTTCACTAACCCCAACCACTTTGATTTCTTTCTCAGTTCCTGAAATAATCCAAGCTCTCTCTCCACCTCCACTCCCACTTCAGGGCTTCTGCACGTTCCTGTAATCCCAATGTCCTCCAATACTGCAATGTACTCCAATTCCTCTCCCAGCCCCCATATTCATCAGGATTCTTAGATGGAATCACCAGAAACTGACTCGGGCTGATTTAAGCCTGAAAGAAATGTATTGGAGTGCATTGAGTGGCTCACAGAATTTCCAGGAGGGCCAGAATACCAGGTTTGGAGAACAGGAAGAAACAAAGCAAGCCTGGACAAACAGAGCTTCGGGCAAGATCACACCTGGACCCAGTCTAAGAGGGCCCCGTTGCCTTTGCCTCTGTAGGTAAAGCTGTCATACACAAAGGAAGCTGGAGTCGCTGCTCCAAAAACTGGATGTTGCTACCACAGTCACTACCACTAAAACAATTTCTCTGCTCTGCTTCTGAGTAGCACTAGTTCTTGATTCACTGACTTGGGCAGGTGACTCTGATCCAAGCCTGGCTCACGTGCTCATACCCTAACTGCTAGGAAGGCTAGGAAAGTCAGTAAATGGGCTTTGGAGAAGCCCGCCTCCTACCAAGACTCACATAGTGGAAAGTCCTCACACACAAGAAAAGAATTCAGATGCTAGGCAGCCAAAAAATTCCACTCCTCTATTCTTTCCTTGCTTGCCTTTTCAAGACTGACCTCTTTACAATCCGGGTCTTTGTTGAACTAACACCTCAAAGAGGCCTTCCCTTGACCACCTTATCTTAAAAGATCTTCAGTCTGTTATTATCTGCACCTGGTTTGTTCCTTCACAGCACGTATCATAGTCGATAATTATAGTCCCCAGGGCAAATTAACCCTCCTTGGATTATCCTAATTTGCGTGTATTATCTATTTCAGCCTACTGGCTCTGCTTTAGTCAGCGAAAGTAAACTAGTATATGAATTTCTATGTTCAATTGTTTCTATCTTCAAATTGTATTCATAGAAAATTTCTTTGTTTCTAAATCCATTTAATAAATGGTGAACCGAGGCGGGTGGATCACGAGGTCAGGAGATCGAGACCATCCTGGCTAACATGGTGAAACCCCGTCTCTACTAAAAATACAAAAAAATTAGCCGGGCATGGTAGCGGGCGCCTGTAGTCCCAGCTACTCGGGAGGCTGAGGCAGGAGAATGGCGTGAACCTGGGAGGCGGAGCTTGCAGTGAGCCAAGATCGCGTCACTGCACTCCAGCCTGGGCAAGAGCGAGACTCTGTCTCAAAATAAATAAATAAATAAATAAATAAATAAATAAATAAATAAATAAATGGTGAAACAAATTCTTATGCTGCTCAGAACTCTTATGTGTCCCATACCCTAAATTAGGCATGGAATCCTACTGCTTCTCCTTGTAAATATTCCTCAAATCTATTCCCAATTCTCTCATTGTCTTCTTTTATCTCATTGTTTCTCACTTAAATTATTAATTGGTCTCCCTACCTCTGGTCTAGATTCCCCACTCATCCATCTTCTATACAACTACCAAAAATATATTTTTTCAATTTTTTACTTTTACTTTTTAATTTTGTAGGTACATAGTAGGTATATTTATTTATGGGGTACACAAGATATTTTGATACAGTCACGCAATGTATAATTATTACATCAGGGTAAATGGTAACCTCAACCATTTATCCTTTGTGTTATAAAACAATCCAATTTATACTCTTTTAGTCATTTTTAAATGTACAATTAAATTATTTTTTACTACAGTCACCCCGTTGTGCTATCAAATGCTAGTTCTTTTCATTCTTTTTAACCATTTTTTTAATACCCATTAACCATTCCCACCTCTCCCCTACCCTCCCACAACCCTTCCTAGCCTCCGGTAATAATTCTATTCTCTATCTCCATGAGTTCAATTGTTTTGATTTTTAGATCCCACAAATAAGCGAGAACATGCGATGTTTGTCTTTCTATGCCTGGGTTATTTCACTTAACATAATGACCTCCAGTTCCATCCATGTTGTTGCAAATGACAGGATCTCATTCTTTTTTATGGCTGAATTGTATTTCATTGAGTATAAGTACCACATTTTTATCCATTCATCTGTTGGTTGATTCCAAATCTTAGCTTTTGTGAATAGCGCTACAGTAAACGTGAGAGAACAGATATCACAAACATTCCTATACACGAACAACAGACAAGCAGAGAGCCAAATCATGAATGAAATCCCATTCACAATTGCCACAAAGAGAATAAAATACCTAGGAATACAGCTAACAAGGGAAATGAAGGACCTCTTCAAGGAGAACTACAAACCACTGCTCAAGGAAATCAGAGAGAACACAAACAGATGGAAAAACAATCCATGTAGATTCTAATATCCAGAATCTACAAGAAACAAACCTGCACATCCTGCACATATACACTAGAAATTTAAAATAAAATAATTAAATTTTGATCTTTATGCCCAAATTGTGTCATTGATCATTAGTGCTCAACACTATAGTTGAATACAATAGTTCGACTGTTAATATTTGTTGTTATAGTATCATAAGTATTATACTTGGGATGCCCTATAACCTGTCAACAGGACAAAGAAATAAATCCAAAGGAATCAAATTTTTTAAAATACCACTTTCTCTTGGCTTTTTTGTTTTGTTTTGTTTGGGAGACAGGGTTTCGCTCTGTGGCCCAGGCTAGAGTGCAGTGGTACAATCTCGGCCCACTGCAACCTCCACCTCCCGGGTTCAAATGATTCTCCTGCCTCAGTCTCCCGAGTAGCTGGGACTACAGGCACACGCCACCACATCCAGCTAATTTATTGTACTTTTTAGTAGAGACAGGGTTTTGCCATGTTGGCCAGGTTGGCCTCAAACTCCTGACCTCAAGTGATCCGCCCAATTCAGCCTCCCAAAGTGCTGGGATTACAGGCATGAACCACTGCACCCAGCCACTCTTGGCTTTTCTTCTACCTACTTTTCTCCATTACTTTTTTAATATTCACTTCTTCTCACCTATTCCTTGAATGCTGGTGTTCTCCAGGATTCCAAAGAGTTATCTTCTCCTCTTTTTATGTACATAATCCCAAATCATTGTTATTCATATCCATCTCCAACTATTATTTATCCATATGTATATGACTCTCAAATCTACATTTCCAGCCCAGCATCTCTCTTGAACTCCAGATCCATATATGCACCTTCCTACTGTATATCCGCAACTTAATGTCCACTAGCAACTAAAGTCAAACATTTCTCAAACCAAGTCACTATTTTTCCTTTCCTTGTATATTCTCTAATGGCATCCAGTAAGCCAAGATATTGTCTTCTATTGGAGAAGCACTTCCTCTTTCCTTATCTTAGGTTTTTTTGTAGTGGGATCTTTCCAGAGTACCACCCTTGGCCTCTCTCCATCCCCTCCCTTACTCCTCCCTGCAGGAGGAGGAGAGAATTATCTCATTAGTGAATTTGGGAGAAAAAACCTTAGTACATGCAGCTTCCTACTTTCTCTCTACTTTATTATTTCCTTTGGCATCTGTGCACCTAAAGAAAGTGCCCATGCATTGCTGTCTGTTCTCTGCTATGGGTTTCATACAAGCAGGCCCTCCAAGGAGAACTGCCTGAGTTACTTGTCCCTGCCTCTGTCTCTCTGTCTCTGTCTCTTTCTCTCTCTCAAATAGTTCTAAATTTGGCTAGAGAAAATGCAGTGTTACATATGTACCCCATCAAATACAATGCCTTTAAAGAATTCTAAAGTCCTTCATCTCCCTCTACTTCCTTATGTCTAATCAGTTCACAATAAAGGGCAGTGCTGGATCATTGCTCAGGGGGCCCAATTAAAGGATTCTAACTATTATTAGAATTAATTAGAAACATGGTGCCAATTAACTCAGGGTTTCCCATGCAACTTCTTATGAGTGGCAAAATGTACATTGGTCTCATTCCTGGAAAATATTGTCCTTGAATAGTAACAAACAAAACACACACACACACACACACACACACACACACACACACACACACACTCCTTACAGGCATTGTTCCAATCCCCATTGAGTGTTTTGTGACATGTAGCTACCTTGAGATGAGCTATTATTTACCTGAAGCCAGTAGCTCCAGTCAGCTGAAACTGAAAACTTAACAATGTATGGTTGCCTACCGGGAACAAAGTGCTTACTTCTCAGAATTAAACCACCTGTAACATGTCATCTGATACCTTCCCTTTGCCCCTCCAGATGCACTTTCACCCTTCTCCACCCTGATTTCGGCCTCAGGAGGCTGACCTGGGTGAATGGTCTCCTGTGCCTACTGGCTTCCAGTAGGGTTTGGCCAACGGGAAGCCCCAGGAGGAGATCAGAGTGACATCAGGGTCACTTATTTCCTTGGTTTCCTCCCTATGAGGTCACCTTGAGCTGCCTGGGCTCAAGATACCTCACCCTGTAAAATGTTCTTGAGTCAGGTTTCTGTTACTCTCTCTCCCTTTCTTCAGGCCTTGTGGGTGTTGACGCCCCTGCAGCTATGGGCTCTGAGCTCGTTCCCGCAGTATCACTTGTGGTTCTCTCACACCCTCTCATACCTGAGAGTACTAGTATTTTTCTATGATTTCAATGAGTTTTGGGAATGTCAACATTTATTTATTTATTTATTTATTTATTTGAGATGAGATCTCACTATGTTGCCCAGGCTGGTATTGAACTCGTGAGCTCAAGTGATCCTCTCGCCTCGGCCTCCCAAAGTGCTAGGATTACAGGCATGAGCCACCACACTCGGCCCCTCAAAAATAATTTATAAGTAGCATCTTTATTAATTCAAATGTTTTGCTACAGAGCTGCTTGAAAACAATATATTGAACATCACTCCTAGTTTTCCTTGTTTACTTTGTTACAATGAGAAAAGCAAGATTACAGTTTGTGATGTCTTAACTGTTAGAATCTAAATCTGTAAGGTCCAAAGTAACAAATACGATTATAATTACTTAGTTATTCAACCAAAATTAATGACTGTTTCTCGTATACCCCACATGGGCTAGATACTATTCTCAAGGCTGAGGAAACAGTGTAGGCCAAGCAAGATGACGCATTTGCCCTCTTGCAATTTACTGTCCTAATCCAGGTACCTTGGTAATCTAGTATATACCCGAGAATAGCCAAATATTAATACATGGCACAAACATTGTTCTTTTGAAACTGTGAAATTATTCAGAGAAAAACATCTTAAGCAATAAATTAAAATGATAAGGGAGCTGTTAATGACACACTTACAGATAGCATCCAGAGATAGCTATGTGACGACCTCTCTGGCTGCAAAGTCCCAGAAGCTGGAAGCTGGGACCACCCAACTCCCATCTGCTCCTGCATTCCTACTCCAGACTCTGGGCTTAATTTGGCTCCCAGGCCAGGGAAATGTAAGGACTATGGGATCCAGAGCTTTGTGGCTCTGCGTTAATAAAAGTGTTTACTGTTGGCCCAGTTGTGACCTTTTATCTTGTAGCAAGTGACCATTTAGGCCATATGTCACCAAGTCCTGCTTGCCATCCCAGTTCCAGGAATATATCCCCCATCTTACGTCTCCACCCCTGGCATTCGCTCGTTACTGCTTCGTTTTCCCACTAATCTGTTAGTTATCTGAGCTTGGGACTATCTTGCCTGAATTTCCGCACTGCCAGTCCTGTGGCTGGATTCTCCCTTCCTGCGCTCACACTTCTCTCAGGAAGACCATCTGCCTAGATCTGATGCTAGATTCATGCTTGCTACAGCCTGCCCACTCACACCACAAATGTCTTCCTGTTGCCTCCAGAAAATATGTAGGAGATGGAATCAACAAATGTGGGGGATATGAAATCTGAAATAGGATGATTTTGAAGATTGTGGCTTGGTTGAGTGAAGGAATGATGGTTTCATCAGTGAGGTTGGAAACAGGGGAGGAGGAGCAGGCTTGCTAGGAAAGGTGACAGTTCAGTTTTAGACATGTAGAATGTGAGGTGCCTGCAGGATCTCCAGGAGATATCCAGTGGAGAGTTGGATGCACGGCTTGGGAACTCAGGAAATGGTGTTACATTTGCACAAATATTTCTGTGCGCACACACACACACATATTCAGGCATATCCACAAACAACATTTTAAAAACTAAAATTCTGGCCAGGTGCGGTGGCTCACGCCTGTAATCCCAGCGCTTTGGGAGTCCGAGGTGGGCGGATCATGAGGTCAGGAGATCGAGACCATCCTGGCTAACATGGTGAAACCCCATCTCTACTAAAAATACAAAAAAAAATTAGCCAGGCGTGATGGCAGGTGCCTGTAGTCCCAGCTACTCGGGAGGCTGAGGCAGGAGAATGGCGTAAACCCGGGAGGCGGAGCTTGCATTGAGCTGAGATGGCGCCACTGCACTCCAGCCTGGGTGACAGAGCGAGACTCCATCTCAAAAACAAAACAAAACAAAATGAAAACCTAAAATTCTGCCAGTGATCAAGATTTCTATATTTCTATACTTACATACAGCTGGAAAGACCACTGAGCAAACCACAGTTCTTTTCTCATTACGTAAATCTGTGCATGTTGTTAATCAACAGTTCTTCAGAATTAGAAGCTCATTTCAACATTAATGTGGAAAGTCTTAACCACCCTTAAATTTGTCTAAAGTCAGTAAGGTCAAATGTTGAATAAATATTCAATGAGGAGTATTACAGGTCAATGCTTCTAGCCTGAAAATTAATCAATCTGGGTCTGGTTTGGGCTTTACATAGGGTTTGTGGTTGTTTAAATATATTCTACCTGCCAATTAGCAATTTTTATTTTACACTCCCACATTCAAAAGATGATATATTGAATAGTCAAGAGGAATTAAAAATATAATACAATATTTTATTCTACCATAAGAAACTAAATCAATACAAGAAACTCTGGTGAAGAAAGTGTATGCCCCTACCACATTTTGGGGGTATACGCTCCTTTAACGGGGCACTCATAATTCCTGTTATAGTTAATGGGAGCTGCGTGTGTGTTATCAAGGGCACAGGCTCACTGTCTCTAACAGAAAATGATTCCTTTTGTGTTGATCTCCTAGCTGTGTTTTCATTCTACCTTTTAAAACCATTACACCTAACAGAGTTTTTTTGAGTGCATTATCAGTAACTTTAAGAAGCCATCATTATCTCCTCTCTCTTAACCACATAATAGGGGGTAGGAAAGTGAGAGTGCAGTATATACACCATGCTGAGTAGAAGGAACTTGCCTTGAATTTTTGAGCCCCTCAGCCTATTTTCTGTAATGCTCAGTGGCGAATCACTCTTAAGTGCTCCATCATTCACTAGGATATGTGCTTCATGCCAAAGGTTACCAGATTACAAAAGTATTCTAGGCTCAGAAGGGACTCATAATTCACCATCACCTTATTTTGACACTAACAGAGAAAATATGTGCATCAAGACAAGTAGAGGAAATAATGAAAAAAAAAACCTATATTAAGTTAACAATGCAGCAAACACTCCAAAGGGAAAAATACAGACTAGAACAATAATAAGGATAATAGAAAAGTAATGCTGTTAAATTATCAGAGACCTGCTGGTCAGCTCATGAACACTCCCCTGAGTGAAGATAGTTTCCTAAAGAGCTTCTCTTAGACATGAGAGCAAATGGGAAAGTTAAGAGAGTTTCCAAAGTTGGAAGAAAATATTTTCTCATGCCAATGTTTCTAAGAGTCAAATACATTTACTGAAGGTGAAGTGGAAATATTTAGAAAAAAATTAAAAACACAAGTGACTCAGGAAGAGCTGTTAACATGTGAAGAATGAACAATCTCAAGATTCCACAGGCAATCTGGTAGAAACCTCATGAACTTAACCAAAGTGAAATCTTAGAGGACCTCTGATTAAAATGTGGAAAAAATAATAACAATCCAATATTTATGAAAAGGTCCTGGAAAATGTTCTTTGCATGGTAAGAAGGTCACACAAATGTATGTATTAGATTTTATACATGTCATTTTAGCAAAGTTATAAACCAATCAAGTGACATTTACGCAAGAGCATTAAAAATATAATTACTAGAAAGCTTCATGCATTGCTATGGGGCCACAGCTTTCTTTTCACAACATAATTTCATTAAAAACTTGTATGATGAGGATGTATATAACAAGGTTGTCAACAAATGGCTATAAATGTTCTAGCTGATTACTTGGGACTTACTAGAGTTCCTGGAATATTTTGAGATGCCTGAACTGCTGGGTAGCAGAATACATTTTTAACCCCTTCAAATTCCTTCCTCTTCCAATTTGGTGTCTGCTACATCTTTTTGATGTTTTATACATTTGTTTAAGTCCCATGGTTTAATAGCTACTTTTTTCTTAACTATTTTTTGAATATAACATACATACAATAAAAAGGACCCATGTTAAGAGTAGAGGTCAATGAATGTTTTACAGATATGTAAATGTGTGTAACCCCCACCAGATGAAGAAATGAAACATTCCCAGCACCGCAGAAACCTCCCCATATCCCTTGCCATCAATATCCCTATACCTCAATAGCCACTATTCTGACATTTCATTAGATTAGTTTTACCTTCTTTTGCATTCTATATAAATGAAATCCTGCATTATGTCAATATATTAATTGTATTAAAATTTTGCAAACATTGGCATATTGAATTCAAGTGTAAATCCAGATATGAGTTTGTTCAACAAATTCATCTGTATATATTATATTTCTACCCTCTCCTACAAACCATTATAAGAAGTTTTAAAATGCAAATTCTCCCCTTCGAAAACACCCTGCAGCACTAATGCTTATTAGGACTCCTCCCCAGCCCTTCCAACTTAAAAAGTAGGAAGACATAGTGGTTTGAACTATGTAATGTCCAGGGTACAGTCTTTCTAATCAGTGCTGCTAATGCATTTCTTCAAAAAAGTGTTAAAAATAAAACAACAAAAAAGTGGGGGGTTTTTTAGTTACGTATTTCATATCTTAAAACATTTTTTTAAATTTTATTTATTTATTTAAGCAATAGGATGTCACTCTGTCACCCAGGCTGGAGTGCAATGGTGTGATTATAGTTCACTGCAGCCTCAAATTCCTGGATTCAAGCAAACCTCCCGCCCTTAGCCTCCCAAGTCGCTGGGCCTACAGGTGAGTACCATCATATTTAGCTAATTTTAAAATTTTTTACAGAAATGGGGTTTTGCCATCTTGCCCAGGCTGGTCTCGAACTCCTGGGCTCAAGTGATCCTCCCACCTTGGCCTCCCAAAGTGCTGGGATTATAGGCATGAGCCACTGTACCCACTCAAAAGCTACATTATCCAGCCAGTATATTGAGTGGTTTTCAGTGGGAAGAGGTATCTAGTCTGCTTTATTGCTGTAGAAGTCTCACATAATGTTAACATTTCTCCAATCCATCTACTTTTCTTAATTCTCACTGATGATGCATCAGTTCATGCATTTATAATTGCTGGCTCTACCCAAATTCTTCCAGTTGCATTCCCTGCTTCCAGTCTCTACCTTACCTCTTTCTCCACCTCTCATCCCTCTAGGCAAGCTGTATCAACAAGGGTCTCAACAAGAAACAGAATTCACAAGATAGTTCACATGAAAATACTTTAATGAAAGGACAAGTTACAGAGGGGTGAGCGGGTATTAAGGGAACAAACGAGATGATGAGGCACTCAGAGACTAGCTACAGAGGAGGTGTTCAAGAGATAAAAGGAGAACATAAAATCACCAGACAGCCCGGGGAAAACTAGAGCCATGGTGAAAGAGCCATCTGGCAGGTACTGTAGTCATGAAGGAATGAAGCTATTGCTGGACATCTGACACTCAAAGAAGGAAGGAGCAAGGAAGAGATGCCCCAATTTCCCTTTCTACCCACCTTCTGATATCCTTGCCTTGGCCTTCTTTATGTCCAACCACAAAGCAGTCCTTAAAGAAACTGAGGTCAACCCTCAGAGGCATAGAGCTTAGCAAAGAAGGGCAGGAAATGAATCTGGGGGGCAAAGAAAATAACCAGCACATTAGTCTTTCTCCGGACTACTTTGAAAGGCCAGTCATCTAAAATGCAAACCTTCTCATACCTTGCACCCTCTTAAAATCTACCAGTGGATTCACATCATCTGTAGGACTAAATCTAAACTGGGATGTGCGACTTTGCCCCTGCTTATGGCTTCATTCCCCAGTTCCTGTCTTAGCCTACGGCCATTGTGAATTATTTCCAAATTCACCAGCATTCTATGCTCTCACACCTCTGTCCTTTGTCCATATTCTTTTCTCTTCCCAAGGCACCTTTCTGCATCTTCTCTGCTTGGCTAACTTCTTCTACTCAACCTTTGAGAATCAAAGACTTAGCTCTAGAATCACCTCCTTCCAAAAGTTTCCTGAAAAGTTTTTCCAGGTGTTTCTATGACTTCCTTATATAATTCCATCATTATACAGATGCTCCTTGAGTTATGTCCTGATAAACCCATTTTAAGTCAAAAATATATGTTGAAAATGCATTTTACTCTAATAAGCCCATTGTAATGAGAAAAAAATCATAAGTTAAACCATCAGTCAGGAACCATCCATTCTTAGTTGAGCGAGTGTCCTTTCTCCCTTGAGAAGAAGGATGTGCATTTTTGTGCATTTTTATGTTTTTTGTTTTTTTTGTTTCTTTTTCTTTTTTTTTTTTTTGAGGCAGGGTCTTGCTCTGTCTCCCAGGCTGGAATGCAATTGTGTAATCTCAGCTCACTATAACCTCCGCCTCCTGGGCGCAAGCCATCCTCCTGCCTCAGCCTCGTGACTAGCTAGGACTACAGGCGCATGCCACACACCCTGCTAATTTTTCTATTTTTTGTAGAGACGGGGTTTCACCATGTTGCCCAGGCTGGTCTCTAAGTCCTGAGCTCAGGTGATCTGCCTGCCTCGGCCTCCCAAAGTGCTGGGATTACAGGTGTGAGCCACTGCGCCTGGTCCATTTTAGCTGTTACCACAACACCCATCACCATTGCTGGCACATGGTAGGCAATCAATAATAATTTTTTTTCAAATTAATACATGAAAACTATTAGGAAAGAAGTAAAAAAATAACATAGCTATAAAGCTCTTTGAATGTTAGGTTATTGGGAAAAGCTGTGGAAAGCCAAGGATTTTCTTTCTCAAATTTATTTTTAGAATATTTTTTTCTACACAAAAGACCACAGATAAGGCAGAGAAAGATAAGAAAAAGACCACAAGCCCAAGGACTTGGAATTTGAATCATAAAGGTTCATTCTAGACTTGGGCAATATCTAGAACTTCTAGAACAATCAGTTTTCTAGAACATAGAAAAGATATTACCTTGGTGTTAGCTTTAACTCCTGCCAAATAATGCTTTAAATTATTTAAACTTTAAAAAGGTGTGTCAATGTATACATTGCAGGTAAATTCATGTTCCAGTAACTTTTGTTTTCTTTGTATGTTAAAAATCTAACTGTGGAAAACATTCTAGCTTGGTTTGAGAGTCCAATAATACAAAATGCTTTATTTCCTAAAATTGTTTGAGAGAAAACCAAAATGCTACCACACTGCAACAAAATACTAAAGAATTATTTGCTATGTCAGTTGACATATTTTTATTTAGATTTTGCCTAAGATGCCACATGAAGCCTATATAAGACATTCTTTCCCTAAAACTTACATATGTATGTACATATATATATATAATGTTTTACATCCTAAACAGTCTACTTCACGTCTTCACCAAATGTGCAGCAGCGTGATTCACAGGTTCACCACTGGAAAATAGACCTTAAAATTCCGCCAATATTGGGTCAAAGATCTTACACTATAACACATACTACACTGTGGGCACGGATCAACAGACGAGAATACTTTATACAGAAGCTTCTCGACGGAAGAAGGCCTTGGAGTGGGAAATCTAAAGGAGGGGACACACTACATGTCCCAGCACACCTTGCGACGCCCAGCGACCACAATTCCCAGAACGCACTGCTCGTCGCACGCAGGTTTTCCTTGTTGCCGGGGTTTGTAGTTCTTCTCGATCGTGTCAGTTTGTAAGGCGAGGGCGGAAGTTGGATTCCTGGCCTGAGAATATTAGGCGTAGTTTTCCAGTTTTTGGCAAAGCGGAAATACTTAAGGCCCCTGGGTTGACTGGGTTCTTTGTTTTATCTACCGGCTTCTGCTTTACGACAGGTAAGTCACGGAGGGGCTACAATTCCTCGCAGCAGGGCCCCACCTTTTATTTCTGGGAGCGACCTCGTTCTGGTGAGGCTATTTGTCCCTAAGCTCTCGCCGTAGCAGCCGCCGCCCATCCCTCTTTGTGTGCTTTGGAAAGCCGCGGAGCTGGTGGTGGCTACAGTTGGTGTTGGGGGCTTAGGCGAGGGACGTTACCGGGAAGTTGCAGGCGGGAGGACTCTTCCCCATCCAGTCACCTGACAGGTGGGTTGACTGTTCTTCCCTCAAGGCCTCCCTGCCTGTGTTCCACGTCGCAACTCGAAGGGCGGCTTGGCAGTTCCTGCTGACATCCCCGCCCGGCCCAGCTTTGGGGAGGAAAGGCGGGGAGACCTGGGTGCGGTGACTCATTGCGGCCCGGCGAGAGGAGTCCACTCCTTTCCCTTCTCGACCCTCCAGAGGCGGCCTGGGGAGCCTTGAGGCTTGTCCGGCGCCCACTGGCTTCTTCCGGACGCCCTGCCGTGGACCGCGCCCTCTTGGCCGTGACCCCAGGGGAGAAAGTGATTCGTTTTCGCCTTGCCCCATTTTACAAATTAAGGCCATCTCTACTTGCCTTGATAGTGTCTCCCCTCACCTTATGTGTGATGGAAAGCCCCCGAACACGGAGGTTCTAGCACAAAACTCTAGAGACTCTCTTCTCTTGAGTTTTAAGAACGTGAACATGTCGGTCATGGAGGAAGGCTCTGGCTTCTGTGAGGATGAGAGGATTGGTCAGCTGTAGTTCAGCTGGTCAAGACTTTGTTGTTGGGCTTTAAAAATGCGCTTATTTTAATATCAATTAGTGTTGGTATATCTGTTTTACAGTTGACGTTGAACAAAATATAATGTGCCTAGCGTAGCATACAGTTACGTATGGAAGTTCTCTTCACCAGCCGTTTGTATGGAGCTGTTTAGAGGTGTAGAAAGAGTGGAATAAGAAACACGGTCTCTTGCTTTTAGTTTGTTCAAACAAATCTTGGAAGATATTGTGTATATATTTCAGGTCTGCTATGTCAACTTTTCATCCTTTTCGTATGCTTGAAAATTATCAATTCGCTTGCCAGTCTTAATGGAGTTTAGTAGCTGAAATTTCCTTTATCCACTTCTTAGTAGGTGAATTTCTCCTCTTGACTGACTTACCTTTGTTCAGATTTAACAATTGTGCTTTTTAAGAGATTTCCCCTAACCTCTGGAAATACAGTTTTCCAGAGGTTATTCTCCTAGTTTTCTTGATCTAAAGCATTTAATACTTCACTTGTACAGAGACATTGAAAGAGATTGATCATTAGGCAATAAGTCAATCATGTGGAGAAGGTAAGGAGTTCCTGGCTCCTGCCTTATGCTCAGCTGCTAGGCTACTTAAAAAAAAAAAATCCTAATTCATTATTTCTTCCTAAAACTCAAGCTGAAGTAGTGTTTATGCAATTGGTTTTTGAAGCTCAGATTGTAATTGTGTCTACCGTATCCATTATTCATTAGCCAGTGTCAATTGTAATGTTAAGGTCATTCTGCTGGATGTTGTGAAGGCAACAAAAATAACTAAAAAACAGTCCCTGATTTCAAGTACATTACAATCTAATAGGGAACATTTCAGGTATGTCCACAAATAATTGTACTAAAAGTGCCATCAGAGGTATACGTAAGGTGTTATTGTGGAGAAATACAGTCATATGATTTGATAGCTAATGATGGTAACTCCTGCGTTTTGCTTTAGTATTACTACAGCACTTTTAGAACTTACAGGAAAGTTCAGTTTGACCTATTGTTTTTTATCAAGTTTCTATGAATGCAATAGAATTGGTAATAGTTTTGATCTGTGTCATATAGCTTAAGAGCTTCTAAATGCCAAACCATGTCCTCTGTTTTAAGAGCCAGTTTTGACCTTTATCTTGGGTACCTAATATATTGTCATCAAAAACTTTGAGACATTGTGTTCAGTTTGTGTATGCGAACATTAAAGTGCTTACTATGGGCTAGCTACTATGCTCAGCTCTAGGTAATATTTATTATATATATTTGTTTATACATTTTTTAAGTCTTAGTAATAATATATATGCTTCCTTTATTTTATCTTTTAAAAGTTTATTTTTTAGAGACGCTCTGTTGCCCAAGCTGGAGTGCAGTGGCATGATCACGGCTCACTGCAGCCTTGACTTCCTGGGCTCCAGCAATCCTTCCAAGTAGTTGGGACTACAGGCACATGCCACCATGCCGCCTAATTTTTTATTTTTCTTGCCTTTTTTTTTTTTTTTTTTTTTTTTGTAGAGATGGGGTCTTGCTTTGTTGCCCAGGCTGGTCTCAAACTCATGGCCTGAAGCAGTTCTCCCACTTTAGCCTCCCAAAGTAAGCTACTGCCCAGCCCCATTATTTTAAAAGTAAGGTTTTTGTGCTTTTTTGAGATAGCATTGAACTATATGGCCTTTCGGGACAGTTCTCTTCTTGGAACACTAGTTTTTTCAACTGTGCTGCTTTTACTAACATAATGATTATATGTTTCTAAGGTCACAAACATGTCAGACAAAAGTGAATTAAAGGCTGAGTTGGAACGTAAGAAGCAGCGACTGGCCCAAATCAGAGAGGAAAAGAAGAGAAAAGAAGAAGAAAGGAAAAAAAAAGAAGTATGTTTGATTTTTTTGCTTAAATAAACAACATAAAGTAATTGGGTTTTATTTCACATATTTATATATTTACATATAGGTTGGTGCAAAAGTAATCGTGGTTAAAAGTAATGGCAAAAATTATGATTGCTTTTGCACAAACCTAATAATTTCAGGATAGTTAAAAATCTAGCAGTTCTGACTGCAGACATAACACTGTAAGTGAATCTTACTTTAAAGAAGCAAGATATGTGAAAATGACAAAACTGATAAAATATGATTTTTAAAAACAATTTCGTATAGATTGATGCATTTCTAAAATTTGATTTATTAAAGTTCAATTTACAATTTAGTCTCCTAGGAATATATTTATTATAAAGTAAGGCGCATCTGTATTTTTTTTTGTTTTGGGTTTTTTTTTTTTTTTTTGAGACTGGGTCTCACTGTGTCACTCGGACTGGAGTGCAGTGGTTTGAGCACAACTCACTGCAGCCTCAACCTCCCCTGACTCAGGTGATCCTTCCACTTCAGCCTCTGGAGTAGCTGGGCCTACAGGCACATGTCACTATGCTAGGCTAATTTTTGTATTTTTTTGTAGAGACGAGGTTTTGCCATGTTACCCAGGCTGGTCTCGAACTCCTGAACTCAAACAGTCCTCCTGCCTAGGCTTCCCGAAGTGTTGGGATTACAGGCACGAGCCACCACACTCAGTCAAGATGTCTATATTATAATAACTCATAAATATGGTGTATATATATCATAACTTAGTTTGGACTTTGAATTTATCTGAATATTTTGCTAGTCTGAATTGCTAATTTGTCAGAATGGATAATATTAATGGCAAATAAAATATATGTAATAGATGATTTAATTGACTAAGGGATTTGTTCTTATCTCTTATGAGTTAGTCATTGAAATATTTTTACTGAGTAGTAGGTTTGATGGTACCATAAAGGTGGACCAGGTACTTCTTTTGATTTTTTGTATCAAAAATATGCATCACATTATATACAGCAAATGTACATTGGCCCTGAGCTGGAGACATTTTACTTGTTCATGCATTGAAATATACTTTTATCCCTATGGAAACTCTTTAGACATATCAGTGTACTTTTACTACAGATATGTTTTAAATACCTAGTGTAAGGTAGTTTTTCTTGTGTGTCTTTAGGACCAAGTTTTTATATGTGGTAGCCTAAATAATGGCCAAGACTGCCAGAAATCTCTTGGGGACTAAGAGAAAAATAAGTAGTAGAAAAGTTGAAGGTACAATTTATGTGCAGCATTACTATGATGCTGTAAAGGCCTGTAATTGAAGAATTTGCTAGTTTATTCTGAACCTTTCTGTGAGACATTATAAGAGGATTGGAGCTTTACATTAGCTATTAGATTAAAAGCTGACTGGTAGAAGCATGATTCAGGTTGGCAGAGCTATTCCAAAATAATATTTATATCCCTAAACATTTCCGTGCTGAGAGCAAATTTCATTTTTGTTTTCTAATGATGGCCATAACTGGCAAAAATGGGTTCTAAGGGATATCTATTGCATGATTTATACCTAATTTAAAGCTTGTAAAACTTATTGAGTCACACAGACCAATGGGAAAAAACAAAGTTTATAAAAATGTTACAAGAGATAATACAATGGTATTAAACTGTGAGTCTATTAATATATTTTTATCAACAGTGAAGCATCAGCTTGATATTACAACCTGTTTTGTTATTTTGATTAATTTTTCTGATGACTTTTAAGTCAAAATGGCATAGAATATTATGGCTAACAAAATTCACTCCAGACAGTGTCTGAGTAATAGTTGTCTAGGTGGCATAGGGATTTGAGATTTACATAAAAAAAACTTTTCCTTGGAAAGCTTACATTTTACTTGAGAAGTCTTGGATGATCTGAGAGTATTGAGGTTTATCTAGTTTAACCAGCAGATTGTGCTAAAACGATAAATAGCCGAGATAAAAGCTGACAAAAATTTTCATAACAAAATGTTTTGTGCTATGCAAAAGTGAGTTTAATTTTACAAAACACAATCCCAAATAAAATGAAGACTTTATACAGAAGTTTGTGATACTCTTTTTCAACAAATCATATTGTCATTCACTTAAAATTTGTTACCTCTTAAATAATTACACTTTAATTTTTTCATTGTATGTGATATTGTATCTAACCTTTTGTGCCACTTGGGGGAAGTTGTCTATTATTCCTGACCATAGACAGCAATTTCATACTGTAGATAATTCGAAGTTGACTGTACTTCTTGAATTTGTCTGTTAGGAAAATTTTTGTGGAAACTCCTTGATTACATATGAAGATAGAGCAGTTTAGTACATATCATTTGAAGGTTATTTACTAGAACTCTATTGAGAATGATTTTCATTTAATGACTATAAAAAGAACTTAACCTGTACTCAAAACTAAGTTCATGCCTTAAAAGTATACAGTGTTAGCATATTATTTAAAACATTTTTGCAAACAAATTTTTCATACTATATGTAAACATAAGTTTTTAACCTAAACATTTTAGACAGACCAGAAGAAGGAAGCTGTTGCTCCTGTGCAAGAAGAATCAGATCTTGAAAAAAAAAGGAGAGAAGCTGAAGCATTGCTTCAAAGCATGGGGCTAACTCCAGAATCCCCCATTGGTAAGGTTAAGAATATATCCATTTATAAGAGATAGGCATAGATTCTGTTCAGCTCAGACATAGCTGAGTGGATTGACTTGATATATTTTACATATTTTCCTTGTGTCTCTAAAATTATTAATCTTTTATTTGGAATTGTCTTTTTTTCAGATATGCTAGTACATGGTTATTTTATTTGTTCAAAAGAGCTGCAAGAGTAATTATTAACATATACTGAACTACCAATTGACTTCTCTTATTAAATCAGTAATTTATTTCAACAAACATTGGTTAAGCAAGTTTTATGTGCCATACTGTGTTAAGCTCAAAGATAACTAGGATTCCTGATCTGAACTCTATATTCCTTTCTGGAGATTAGCGAGAGATACAATCAGACTTATATTGTTAGAATGCAAAATATATTAGTATTCAAAGGTACAGGAGTGGAAGGATAAGCTTATAGCCTTCTGCTGTTAATGCTAATAAGGGAGATAATTTTGTGGCTTATTTTCGAAGTGATTTGACTTAATCTTATTATTTTTCTGGGTTATTCATTTTGATAACTGTACTAGACCAAAAAAGCTGAAATAGTAGAGGTACACAGGACAATCTAGTTACATATCAGGAACAAATGCTTACTTAAAATAGTTCTGTGCTGGGTGCTATTATGTAGTATTTTAGTTTAACATGGCCTTTATCCTTTAGAGACCTAACATTTTAGGGCTAGTTGGTGGGCTAATTTTATCTAGTCCAGGGGACAAATACTGGAGATTGTAAATGCTCTATGCTTGTTGTGAAACTGCAACATAACTGTCCTTAGAGCTGATATTTCTAAAAGGTTTCAAGATGAAAAGGCTGGCTACTCTCATGGTCAGCTTCATTGTTATTTCTTTCAGCTCATTTTCCTTTTCTTGTAGAATTTGAAGACTGAAGTATATTAATTTTATGTATTTATTCAATAAGCTTATGTTGAACATGCAATTTTAAAAGTAAATGAATCAGAACACTTAATTTCTTGTAACTAAACCAAGTTGCTTGTTAGCCTTTGTTTGAGTTACCTTTTTTTTCTGTGCTTTGGCTTTTGTTTTTCTCCTATAGGATTTTTTTTCTTTTATGTTCTTCTTAAGACTTTAGTTTCACTGAACTCACTTGTTCATATTTCTTTCTTCTTTTTTTTTTTTTGAGGCTGAGTCTCACTCACTCTCCCAGGCTGGAGTGCAGTGGCACAATCTCGGCTCACTGCAACCTCCACCTCCTGGGTTCAAGCGATTCTTCTGCCTCAGCTTCCTGAGTAGCTGGGACTACAGGCTTGTGCCACCACGCCAGCTAATTTTTGTACTTTTAGTAGAGACAGGGTTTCACCATATTGGCCAGGCTGGTCTCGAACTCCTGACCTCATGATCCACCCACCCCTAAAGTGTTCATATTTCTTAATTTATGGCTGGGTTAGTTCTTTGTGTTGCTATAAAGAAATACTGAGGCTGGGTAACTTGAAAAGAGGTGGCTGGGTGGGGTGGCTCACGCCTGTAATCCCAGCACTTTGGGAGGCCGAGGTGGGCGGATCACCTGAGGTCGGGAGTTCAAGACTAGCCTGACCAACACGGAGAAACCCCGTCTCTACTAAAAATACAAAATTAGGTGGGCGTGGTGGCGCATGCCTGTAATCCCAGCTACTCAGGAGGCTGAGGCAGGAGAATTGCTTGAACCTGGGAGGCAGAGGTTGTGGTGAGCTGAGATCTGGCTATTGCACTCCAGTGTGGGCAACAGGAGTGAAACTCCGTCTCAAAAAAAAAGAAAAGAGGTTTAATTGGCTCATGGCTCTGCAAGCTTTACAGGAAGTATGTTGCTGGCTTCTTGTGGCAAGGCCTCAGGAAGCTTCTAATCATGGCAGAAGGCAAAGGGGCGTCAGCATGTCTCATGCAGTGAGCAAGAGCAAGAGGTGGGGGGAGGTGCCACACAGTTTTAAACAAAACCGTGAGGGATCCGCCTCCATGACCCAAACATCTCCCACTAGGCCCCACTTCCAACACTGGGGATTACATCTCAACAAGAGATTTGGAGGGGATGTCCAAACTGTATCAATGGCCCATCTCCATCATTAATTCTTGAAAGACCATTCTTTAGGGTTTGTGTATGTGTCCCTCATTTCTCATCTCTAATTCCATTCTCATTCCCACTAATGCATTAAGTGACCACTTTTGCAGTTTTTGTTTGTTTATTTGTTTGGTTTTTGGTTTTTTTTTTGAGACGGAGTCTTGCCCTGTCGCCCAGGCTGTAGTGCAATCACGTGATCTCAGCTCACTGCAACCTCCACCTCCCGAGTTTAAGCGATTCTCCTGCCTCAGCCTCCCAAGTAGCTGGGATTACAGGCACGTGCCACCACACCTGACTAATTTTTTGTATCTTTAGTAGAGACGGGCTTTCACCACGTTGGCCAGGCTGGTCTCGAACTCCTGACCTCATGATCCGCCTTCTTCGGCCTCCCAAAGTGCTTGGATTACAGGTGTTAGCCACCATGCCCGGCCCACTTTTGAATTTTTAACATACATCCTTCAGATTATCCTCTGTTTTTCAAGGTTTCACATATCTCTGTGTATATATACTTTATATATATAAATGGCATAGTGCTGTATGTCTTTTGTTTATTCCATGTTGCTATATACGTATTTAGTCATTTATTTCTAATATATAATATCCTATTATGTACCACATTTTACTTATCCATTCCCCCAGTGCTATGCACTCAGTTTCCTTTTGTCTCTTTGCTTTACTATCATAAGCAACACTGCAAAAAATATGTGTTTTTTCCCTTGAGGACTGTGGAATACTTTCTCTGGGGTGTATCCCCAAGAATTTACTTGCTATGTTATTGTATATAAGACTTAGCTTAATTAGGTTCTGCGTGTCACTCTCCAGAATGGCTACAAAGTTTACCCGCCCGCTACCAGTGCATGAAAAAGTAACTGCTTTACCATATTCACATGATGACTGGATATTATCCAGCTTTCTAATTTTTGCTAACTTGATGAGTATAAAGTGGTACACCAAAATGTTTTAATATACATTTATCTGATTACAGTGAGGTTGACCACCTCTTTATATATCTTTTAACCATTCAAGTTTTCCCTTCTGTGAACTGCATATTCATGTCCTTCTCCCCATTTACTATGATTGAGGTTCTTTATCTTCTGATGTATAGGCATTCTTTGTGTATTTTGTATATTTTAGGGAGGACTTTTGTCTGTTTTAGTCTTTTTAAAAACCCTTCTAATCTGTTAACTGCTTATAATATTCTTCATTGAACAGAATCCTCTATTTTGATATGATCAAATCCTTCATTTTGATATGATCAAATCTAGCAATTACAGGCTAAGTATTCCTAATCCAAAAATTCAGCATTCAAAATGCCCCAAAATCTGAAACACTTTAAGCACCAACATGACACTCAAAAGAAATACTGATTAGAGAATTTCAGATTTCAGATTTTTAAGTTAGGATACTGAACTGCTAGGTATAATGCAAATAGTCAAAAATCCAAAATAATCTGTCACCTTTGGTCCCAAACATTTTGGGTAAGGGATACTCAACCTGTATAACCCTTTTTTGTGTGCTTTTGGTCTTTTTTAAAAAGAAATTGTTTCCTACATTGTGGATGCAAATATATTCTTCTATGTTTTTCCTATTAATTTTATAGTTTTACCCTTCACATGTAGATATTTGGGTTATATTTTTAAAAATAGTATGAGGTAGGGATCCAACCTAATTTTTCTCTATATAGGTAGCTAATTTTCTCAGTGCCATTTGTTAGTCTATCTTTTCCCCCACTGAAGTCCGATGCCAACTTTGTCATACAGTAAATTCCCATATATTTATGGGCATTTCTGGGCTCTCTATTTTCACTATGAATCTATTTGTTTGGTTCTACACAACCCAGTTTTAATTACTGCACCTTTGTATTATATTCTAATTTCTGATACAGAAAATCACCCCCTTTGTTCCTTTTACAAAATAGTCCTAGGTTCACAAACATTTTTCTTTCCTCAAGAAATTTAGTTTGTTTCCCTCCAAAGTGTTGCTGTACCATACATACATTGCATTGCTATATGTTTTTATTTTTCTTAATTATTATTATTATTATTATTTTTGAGACAAGGTCTTGCTCTGTCACCTCGGCTGGAATGCAGTGGTGCAACCATGGCTTGTTATAGCCTCAACCTCCCAGGCTCAAGCGATCCTCTCACCTCAGCCTCCCAAGTAGCTGGGAACATAGGTGCACACCACCATGCCCAACTAATTTTTTTGTTTTGTTTTTGTTTTTGTTTTTTTTTATAGAGATGGGGTCTCACTATGTTGCCAGGGCTGGCTTTGAACTCCTGGGCTCAAAGCGATCCTCCTGCCTTGGCCTCCCAAGGTGCTGGGATTACAGGCATGAGCCACTACACCCTTCCTAATTTTTAAAAATCTTGAATATTCTCCACACACATACTACTTTTTGCCTCATGATATCTACTTGTTGAAGAGGGTGGGCCAATTGGTTTGTAGACTGTCTCCCCTCCTGGGTTTGTCTGATGGCATTCTCACATTTAGCTTTTATCCCTTATATTTCCTTTAAACTGGAAGTTAGATTTAAAAGCTCAATTTTGATCTAATTCGAACTGTGTGTGGTGGTTCACACCTGTCATCCCATTACTTTGGGATATGAGAGAGAAAGGAAGAACGAAGAAAGATATTTGGGAGGCTGAGGTAGGTGGATCACTTGAGCCCAGGAGTTCAAGACTAGCGTGGGCAACATGGCAAGACCCTGTCTCTACAAAAAAAAAAAAAGAAAAACAAAATTAGCCAGGCATGATAGCAGGCACCTGTAGTCCTAGCTACTGTGGAGGTTGAGGTGGGAGGATCAATTGAGTTTGCAAGGTCAAGGTGCTGGCCATGATCGCACTACTGAACTCTAGCCTGAGCGACACAGCAAGACCCTATCTCAAGAAAAGAAAAGAAAAGAAAAGAAAAGAAAAGAAGCTTGATTCACTTTAGGCTGAACTTTTTTGGCAAGAAAATCTCATAAGTGATGTTGTGTCCTTCATATTGTATCATATTAGTAGCACATCTCTGGCTATTGAGCAATGCTAAGCTTGATTATTGGGTTACAATTGTGATAACCTGATCTCTCCATCATAATTAGCCCCTTGTGACTAATAGGTAATATCTGAGGGTGATACTTGGGCACTATGTGACTATTAATTTCTTTATCAGCCTTTTATCTGATGGTGTTAATACTCATCGATGATCCTCATCTAAGTTATTTAATTAAGAGTTGCAGCATTGTTTTTGTAATTCTGCCATTCTTTCTGCATTTATTGGCTAAAGCTCTTCTGTAAAGGGGAGCTTTCTCTCAATAACTAGGGGTTTTGGTTACCCTAAATGTTAGAAAAGCAGGAGACATGTTTACTTTTTTGCTTTAATTACTCATAGTCACCTCTAGGCATGGCAGATGAGTTTTTGCATGTATTTTATCTCTTTTTTTTATTTTTTGAGACAGGGTTTCACTTTGTCACCCATTTTGGAATGCAGTGGTGCGATTTTGGCTCCCTGCAACCTCCGCCTCCCAGGCTTAAGCAATTCTCCCACTTCAACCACCCGGGTAGCTGGGACTACAGGCATGTGCTGCCACCACACCCAGCTAATTTTTAAATTTTTAGTAGAAACAGGGTCTCACAGGCCAGGCACGGTGGCTCACACCTGTAATCCCAGCACTTTGGGAGGCTGAGGCGGGCGGATCACGAGGTCAGGAGATCGAGACCATCCTGGCTAACATGGTGAAACCCCATCTCTACTAAAAATACAAAAAATTAGCCGAGTGTGGTGGTGGGCGCCTGTGGTCCTAGCTACTTGGGAGGCTGAGACAGGAGAATGGAGTCAACCCGGGAGGTGGAGCTTGCAGTGAGCCGAGATGGCGCCACTGCACTCCAGCCTGAGTGACAGAGCGAGACTCTGTCTCAAAAGAAAAGAAAAGAAACAGGGTCTCGCCGTGTTGCCTAGGCTGGTCTTGAACTCCTGAGCTCAAGCAATCCACCCACCTCAGCCTCCCATAGTGTTAGGATTACTGGTGTGAGCCACCACTCCTGGCCTGCATGTATTTTAAAAATAGATTAGCTAGGCTGGGCATGATGGCTCACGCCTGTAATCCCAGCACTTTGGGAGGCCGAGGCAGGCAGATCATAAGGTCAGGAGTTCGAGACCAGCCTGGCCAAAATGGTGAAACCCCGTCTCTACTAAAAATACAAAAATTAGCTGGGCATGGTGGCAGGCACCTGTAATCCCAGCTACTCTGGAGGGTGAGGCAGGAGAATCGCTTGAACTCGGGAGGCAGAGGTTGCAGTGAGCCGAGATCGCGCCATTGCACTCCAGCCTGGGCAACAGGGTGAGACTCCGTCTCAAAAAAAAAGAAAAGGAAAAGATTAGCTAATATTTTATTGAGGGTTTTTTGTATATGTACTAATGAATGAAATTTGCCTTTGATTTTCTTATACTATCCATGTTCATTGGTCATCATGGTTATGGTTTTAAAATAAATTGGTCAGTTTTTGCTTTTGCTATTTTGTAGAATAATTTATAAAAGATGCCTGTTTCTTAAAAGCTCATTAGATTTCCATTTTAAAACTGCCTTGATTATGACTTTTTTCTACAGAGAGTAGAGAGCAGGGGTTATTCATCATTTGGAGTGTGTGTGTGTGTGTGTGTGTGTGTGTGTGTGTGTGTGTGTGGCGGCGGGCGGGGGTGCAGTTTAGAGACAGGGTCTCAGTCTGTGGCCGAGACTGGAGTGCAGTGGTGTGATCTCAGCTCACTGTAGCTTCAGTCTCCTGGGCTCAAGTCCTCCTGCCTCAGCCTCCTAAGTAGCTGGGACTACAGGCAGGTATCACTATGCCTGGCTAGTTTAAAAAATTTTTTTTTGTATAGATGGGGTCTCGCTATGTTACCCAGGCTGGTTTCAAGCTCCTGGCCTCAAGTGATCCTCCCGCCTTGGCCTCCCTAACTGCTCAAGTTTTTTTAATGGTTATAGTCTCTTCAGATTTTCTATTTCTTCTTATGTCTGTTTTTTTCTCCCCAAAACAATAAACATTTATTATCTCTTATAGTTTCTGCTGGTCAAGAATTTGGTAGCAGCTTAGCTAGGTGGTTCTGGCTCAACTTCTCTCATTGGGTCAAAGTCAAGATTTCAGTTAGAGCTTTAGTGATCTGAAGTCTTGACTGAGGCTCGAGGACTTGCTTTCATGGTGGTTCGTTCACATGGCTGGCAAGTTGGTGTTGGTTGCTAGTGGGACAGCTGAGTTCCCATCCTCGTGGGCCACTCCACGGATCTACTTGAGTATCCTGGTAGCATGTTAGCTGGGTTCTCCCAGAGTGAGCAATCGAAGAGAAAAAGAGAGTCAGAAGAAAACTGTCCTTTTTATGACTTAGATTTGGAAGTCACAAAGCATCACCTCTGCCACATTCTGTCCATTGGAAGAGAAACACTAAGTCCAGCCCACATTCACAGAGAATTTACCCATAAATCAAAGTCACAAATTTTTGAGGGATTTTCTGAGAGATTTCAACATTTAAAAAAATCGTAGCCTTATAAGTGATGAAAGGCATTTTAATAGAGTTTTAAGCAGGATAGTGTCTTAGATGGGTCACTAAACCAAACTACTGTAGAGACTAAAGACTGGCTTGTTTAATCGTAACTATAACCAGCTTTCAATTACCCTAGTTTTTTTGTTTTTTGTTTTTTGTTTTTTTGAGACAGAGTCTTGCTGTGTCGCCCAGGCTGGAGTACAGTGGCGTGATCTTGGCTCACTGCAAGCTTCACCCCCTGGGTTCCCGCCATTCTCCTGCCTCAGCATCCAAAGTAGCTGGGACTACAGGCGCCCGCCACCACGCCCGGCTAATTTTTTGTATTTTTAGTGGAGATGGGGTTTCACCGTGTTAGCCAGGATGGTCTCAATCTCCTGACCTCGTGATCCACCCTACTCAGCCTCCCAAAGTGCTGGGATTACAGGTGTGAGCCACTGTGCCTGGCCAATTATCCTAGTTTTATAGCCTGTCTTAGGTGACTCTGATTTTTGAGAGTTGACTCTGAGAAAAGTTGGTTAAAATAAAAAATATGTCTTGATAAACCATTTGTAGCCAATAACAAACTGATTTTATCTTAATGGATTTGAACTCAAAAACAAGCTTTTTGCTGGGGTAAATATTGTAGTATTAGTATTGTATTTTTATATTCATCTTGAATGGGCATGTTTAGACTATAAACTTTAAAAGAGATCATTCCCCTGCTATTTTTCTTTTTTTTGGAGACGGAGTCTTGCTCTCTCTCCCGGGCTGGAGTGCAGTGGCACGATCTCCACCTCCCAGGTTCAAGCAATTCCCCTGCCTCAGCCACCTGAGTAGCTGGGATTACAGACATCTGCCAACAAGCCCAGCTAATTTTTGTATTTTTGGTAGAGACGGGGTTTCACCATGTTGGCCGGGCTAGTCTCGAACTCCTGACCTCAAGTGATCCACCCACCTGGTCCTCCCAAAGTGCTGGGATTATAGGTGTGAGCCACTGTGCCCAGCCCCTTGCTGTTTTTCTTTATGCCAACTTTTTTTTTGTTTGTTTATGAGTGTAGATACAAGAGAGAAAGGGAGAAGGAAGAAAGATACCATTAAACTTCATACTGTTAGTTTAATGTTATTACTAAATTAAGCCATGGAGAGATAATTTAGTTAAGTAGCTACTTTTTAAAATAAAAATGTCCCTAGTGAACATGATTGGCTATAGAAAGGTTTTGAAGAACATTTTATATATGATTTAAACTTTGTTGAGTATTTGGATTAGTTATAAGACAGTGGGGAAGGTAGCATATTTTATCTCCAGTCATTTTATAAATAGATTATTAATAAAAAATTTTTTACAGAGTATACTATCTGGCATAATTTTCAACAAAGGTTTTTCTGAGTGGGGCGGAATAGTATCTTCCTCTTGATTAAATATTAGCTTATCTGTTGTGAACTATTTGACTTCAGAGTTTTTAGCTGTCAGTAATTAAGAGTGGAGACTCAATTCTGGTCAAGATAGAACATTGTAGGGAGCAGTAAATAAATATGCTTTGAAAAACAAGCCAAATGTCATTGCTTTAATTTATTTAGCTTATGATATCTATTTGAAATTTTCAATAATGTGTAGGCATGTGAGATTGTGTTTATCAAAGCAGCATGAGCTGATTAACAGTTGAATTACCAGTTTCTCCAAATAGCTATGAACAAAGGGTTGGCTGTTCCTTCCCAGAAAAGGTTAACACTGTATTTAGATTTAAGAATTTAAGTTTCCAAGTTAGATCTACATCTTTTCCTTTCTTTGAGGTTCTTATTTCTAAATGATGTTTCCCTTTCTTGTTGGCAGATTTACCATTATAATGGAACCTGTGAAGGGTTAAAGGCTTTCTGAAGATCTCATTACCGTTAGAAAATTAGGCTAAGTGCATTTCATAATCCTTAAAACATATGCCTACAAGTCCAGTATTTATTTGTAATTTGGCCTGAAAAATACAGGATACGGATGAAGGCCATGGCTTTCAAACCTTTTTTGACAGTAAACCACAGTAAAAAATCTATTTTGTATCATGACTTAGGATGGATACTTGTTTTTCTTTTCAATATAGAATGTACTCCTTATTAAATATTTTTAAAGCATAGAAGTATAAAAACACTGGGTTTATTTTAAAAAATCAATCTATTGTTTTCCTAAAGTGGATTTTTTTTTCCTACTAAAAACAATTGGTTTAAAGAAAAAAGAGATACAGCTAATCAAACCTCTCATAACTTTTCTTTGCTGGTAGTTTTTTTTTTTTTAAACAGTCTCACTCTGTTGTTCAGGTTGGAGTACAGTGGCACAAACTGCAGCTTCTACCTCCAGGCTCAAGCAGTACTTTCACCTCAGCCTCCCAAGTAGCTTGGACTACAGGTTCACACTACCATAGCCATCTAATTTTTTTGTTTTTGTAGAAATGGGGACTCACCCATCTCTACAGGCTGAGTGTGCAGGCTGGTATCAAACTCCTGGCTTTAAGCGATCCTCCTGCCTTGACCTTCCAAGATGCTGGGATTACAGGCATGAGTCACTGTCCCTGCCTACTGGTAGATTCTTAATTATTTGGCAACTTGATGACTTTTTGTTAGAGATTCTTGAGAGCAAGGAGAATATATTACTTACATTTTTACCTCTGGTGCCATCACAGGCTAGACACCTAAATTTTTGTTCCATTATTACTAGGTCATGTCTTACCGCCTGGTAAGGGCGAATTAAAGCCATTCTGCTTTAGGACAACAACTAAATCGTATTGTTTAATTTAATTATTTTTTGAGACAGGGCCTCACTCTGTTACCCAGGCTGGAATACAGTGGTGCAACCATGGCTCACTGCAGCCTTGACCTCCTGGGCTCAAACAATCCTCCCGCCTCAGCCTCCTGAGTAGCTGGGACTACAGCCATGCGCCACCATGCCCAGCTGATTTTTTGTAGAGACAGAGTCTTGTTATGCTGGCCAGGCTTGTCTCAAATTTCTAGGATCAAGGAATCCTTTTGCCTCAGTCCCCCAAAGTGCTGAGATTATAGGCATGACACATCACACCCGAGCTAAAATGTTATTTTCACTTATTAATTTCTTTTTTTTAATGTAATGCTCTAAATCACATTGACAAGGAGAATAAAGGAAATGAAACTCTTACGAGAGATTAGTAGAGGATATTTAAACCTCATTATGAAGAGAAAGAGCAAGGGGAAGGAAGAAATTAATATTTCAGAGAGTTAAGGTTTAAAGTAACATCTTTCAGAAGGTCAAAAAAAAGTAAGGTATGAAAAATAGGTAGTTATTTAAATTTTAATATTCCGGGCTAAGAACACTTGTGTCCAGAAGGGGGCATTATTGTAACGTGGACTGTGTTTGAGTACTGAGTATCATTGATGACCTTAGAAGAGACTTCACAACTTTGGGTTCCACGCATCCCAAAAGCTCACTCCTTCCATTTCACAGTCTTCTACCAACACTCCCATTCCCTACATTCACCTTCCTTAGCTTTCTACCTTTTCCAGGTCTTTCTTCCTGATAAAAACCCCTTCTTGCCAGAGGCTTTCTTCTACTTGAAAAATAATTCAGCTATGTGCCATCCTTTGCCCTTGAGACTTCTGTGTAGTTCTGAGTGGTTGACCCAGACTTAATGCTAATTCTAAATCTAGGTGCATTCCCAGGTCCTTTGTGGTCTAAAAATATTCTAGTTGTTTCTTCACAGGCCAGAAGCCAGCAGTGTTAATTTTATATCCTTGGAAGGACAAGGTCTAAGCTGGTAGGAAAGGCTTTCTTGATTGCCTTTTTGTCCTGGATAGTTAAAGAAGTACAGTCTTTCTCACATTACCTACATGATCAGTGACTGCCATGGTTTAGCTTTTTTTTTTTTTCTTTTTTTTTTTCTTCTGTGACAGTTGTCAAAGAAGAGAATAGGTATCTGTGCTCTAAACTTCTAAGAAGCTGAAATTCATTAACATATTCACCTATGTTTATATTAATTCCTTTACTTTATACCATTTAAAACCTGTTTTAGGCTGTTTATGTGCAGAACTGTGGAGTAAAGGTAATCTGATTGAATCACTGTTCTTACTAAGCAGATCATATCTCAGATACTTGGCAAAAATTAATTAGTAATGGTTTATGTTATTTTCAAGGCTGATTAGACTTACAAACTGTCTTTAAAAATGAATTCCAGAAGTGAGTCTTTTCTTACATTTGAGAACCTGTGAGTTGATTAGTGTTTCTGTTTTGTTTTGGCCTCCTGAATGCATGCATTCATTTGTTCTCAGGGGTTTATTGAAGTCTGGGAATATAGTGGTATTTGCCTTCTTGCATAATTCTAGTATTCTTTGATTTTTCTAGATTAATTGGATTAAAATGTAGCAGTTACCAAATAACACTATCATTCCCCTTTTTAAAAATTAATATTCCTCCTTTTGTAATGATAGTAATTTTTTTCTAGGATTGTCCCTTCTGTGGTATACATTATTTATTATTGCAAAATGTAGCTGTGGCTCAGATAATAGCTAAGAGTCCTTTATAGAGTCTTTTCCATCATTTGGCTTGAACCTATATTTGGGAGAAAGAAGATAGTTCTGGGATGGAGATATTTATATAATTACAAATGTGAAGTCACTGTGATTTATTTTGGCTTTGGCTAAGAAACTGTGATAATATGGTAGCATCACCCTTTTATTTTTTATTTCTGAAACTTTTATTTCAGAACTGGCTGTTAATGTATCTGTTTATCTGTGTAATTAGTATTTAGCCTGTTTCTGTAAAGAATTTTGATTAACATTTTTTAAAAATGTAGTCTTTAACCAAGTAAAATACTGTTGAACTTGTTCAGTGGAGTCATTGATACTTGAAATCATCAGAAAGGGGGAAAAGCATGTTAAACTGAAAAAGAATTCTGTAGTTCATCACAAATAGATTGATGGGAATTTTACTAATTTTCCTCCAACCTCTGATATGTACACTTGGAAAAATTGTTTTTCTGAGTATGAAATTAGGTATGTAATTTAAAGCATACAAAATTTCTTCTTTAAAAATCTTGAAAACATTGTGGTGCCTCACTATAATTTAATAAACATTTATTTGTGTTTACAGCACAGTAGGCAAACAACTGTTAAGTATTACTCTAGTCCTATATCAGTTGGGACTTAGACTAGGGGAAGCCTCACAGTGAAAGATGGACAAAAAATGAAGAAATGTAACCTAAGATAAATTAAGGGACATTAATATTCTTCTACTTTAGATGAAAATCATTTTTAGGTACTTTGAATTATACATACAGCACCTAGCACAGTGCCACCTACATGTAAACTATAGGAAGCTATCTGGTCTTATAGTTGTTTCTGACACATTTAATCACAATATTAGAAACATTGATGAAGTTTTTATAGTCCTTTGAAATTTAAGCAGTTAGCCACTGTATCTTAGGAAAGAAATATTCTAGTTGTGATTTTTTTTTCTTATAATCTTATTGGTGTCAATTAGAATTTACCATTGAAAAAATAAGGATGATCAGTTTTATACTTATGTTTAAGATGTGAGCCATCATAATATATTATACATTTTGATAGATTACCAAGCCCACTGTTTTTACTGCAGCGTGTATAAACATTTAGACATAATTTTAAGGTTCAATGAATGTGACTATCCTAAAAAACACAGACTTTTAATTAAATACTTATTTCTTTAGTTCCTATATAACTAGGAACTTGCCTTCTTTTCAGTAGACTGTTAAAAGAAGGGCTTTCAGCTCAACATAAACTGTATTAGTCACTTAATATCATACACTGAAAAATTATTTTGAAAAGATACTTGGGATTGGGGACATTTATGATAAAATTTAACCAGAAGATGGCAGTGATGATCCTCCTATACTCCCTGCAACGGTAATCAAAAAGTTTTACAAATGTCATAGCATGAAATGTGCACGTTCAGCTGTTGTTATATAATGTTAAAAGTTGAGGATCTAGGGGAAAGCACTTGCTGTTTATTTTATATACTATGAAAAATGTGTATTTTTCTATAAGAAGGGATTAAGAATATTTTGGGTGTCTGTATCTTTGTCTGTACACTTCAGTTTTTTCTGAATACTGGGGTAAGGAAGTTCCCATAAGTCTTGCCTTGTTTATTTGCATGCATCACTTTATGTTATGCATAATGTCTAGAAGGCATGCTGTTTTATTGCCTGTTTGCATTTTTCACCCAAATTGCTGGAAACTAATGAACATTTTAAAGGAGCCATTCCTTTAGCTGCAGTCATTTCTCTAAATTGATATCTTTTTTTGGGGGGGAGGCAGTGAAATCATTTTAAACATTACTTTTTGAAAGAAAAAATTATTAGACAAAAGTTAATATTTTAAAATAAATCTTGAGAAACTAGAGATTAAATAACTTAATGAAACATATTTCAGAGTTGAATTTTGGCAGCAATTGTAAATAATATTTATAATCTGGTGATATTAAAAGTGAAAAGTTACAAGGGGGAGAAGGAATGCTCTCCTTTGAAAATTAGTGGCCACATTTGGTGATGGATGAGATGAAGATGCATCCTTCCATAATCTTGCCTTTTTAAAAAAATTATAAAGCTCAAATGCATTTTGCCAGAAAAATTGCATGAATCTTCAGCATGCATTGTTAACTTTTTGTCTTTTCCCCTTTCTTTCTGCTGTTCATTTTCATTCATATATTTTTGATTTTTGGTTTGCCATTGTTTTTTTCTTTTTTGTTAATTACTTCATTAAATTATTTTTGAAACGTCATAAGCTGAGCAACCTCTCCGTGTAGTAACAGCGGATACCTGTCTATTTCACTATTTAGTCCCTCCTCCTATGTCTCCATCCTCCAAATCTGTGAGCACTCCAAGTGAAGCTGGAAGCCAAGACTCTGGAGATGGCGCCGTGGGATCTAGGTACAGTAATTTTCCTTTTAATGTTTTAATGATAGAATGCATTCAGTGCCCAAATACTGTTGATACTTTAAAGGGACTCTAAATAGTTGTGTCGAGTTAGTCCTAACATTTTAAAATCTAAAATGGCATAGAAATTCTCTGTTGGACACTGGGAGAAAAAAAAGGTTTCTTTGTTTTTTTTTAATAATATTTTAACTGTCACATTTAATTAACTTAGTACTAAATAGTCAACCGGTTTTATGCTAATTATTTTATATTAAAAATAGAGATATTAATGCTTTTAGATTTTTCTGTTTAAACTTTTTGTTGGTTATTACGTGAATGTTTTGGGTGTAAATAGTGTAAAACCTCTCTCTTGTGCTTGATTCCCCATTCAGTAATTGAAAATGTAAACAATTCTGTTAAACAGTTCAATTCTGTTCTATTAAGTCATTAGTTCTGCTAATTAAGATAGAGAATAATAATGCATAAAATGTCAAGAGTAAGGAATAACTGCTAAGGACAACATTGAGAATGTTTACTGTCAAGCATTCCTGAACTTGCATCTTCCTTGTAAAATTACATTTCGTGTTTGTTTTAGGATCCTGCATACATGTTGGGACTTGCTTTTCAAAAGTTCAGTAAGATTTCAGCTTTCTTTCAAAGATCATATTGGGAAAAGTATTACTACTTATTCCTCTTTGTCTCTCTCACACACACACACACACACACACACAAAATAGTGAGTATTAAATGTACTTTTTGACTTCTGAAATGAAATTAAACATAGGTAGTCAAAATCCACAGCTGATTAAGAATGCTTATTTTGGGCCAGGAAGTTGCATGTCCTCACCAAGAAAATCTCTTAACACACCTTTTAATAAGACATAAGCTGTTAGAAGTTTTAAGCTTTTTATGCCTGAGTCCCTCTAGTTGAAGTTACAAACCAGTAATAAATATCTAAAAGACAGGGCAAGAAAAAAAAAGCAAGGTGGCTGGATGATCTGTAAACTCAATACTTCAATCAGCTCTTGAATAATCAGGTTATCATTAACAATTAAAAGGCACATAAAGCTTGCCAGCTTGAATTTGAGAAGTGCTTTCCAAATAGAACCAAAATCACAAATCTAAGCTATACTATCTTTGGAGGAAAATGACATAACTCTTTCATTTAAGGAAAATCAAAATTTTCTTTTTAGAAATAATGTTATTACCTTATAAAATAGTATGCATTACAGAATAAAGACAATTTGTCTAGTGTAAATTCATTTTTATAGGGTTAAAATTTTTTTTCATATTTTGTGCTTCTATATTTTTATACAAATATGTCATTATTCCTTTATTTTTTATTTTTTTTGCAGACAGGGTCTCTGTCACCCAGACTGGAGGGCAGTGGCGCAATCTTGGCTCACTGCAACCTCTGCCTCCTGGGCTCAAACGATCCTCCCACATCAGCCTCCCGAGTAGCTGGGACTGCAGGCACGCACCATCATGCCTGGCTAATTTTTGTATTTTTTATAGAGACAGGGTTTTGCCATATTGCCCAGGCTGGACTCGAATTCCCAGACTCAAGTGATCCACCCACCTTGGCCTCCGAACGTGCTGGGATTATAGGCATGAGCCACTGCACCCAGCCACTATTCCTTTAGACAATTAATAATCAACTGGCATTTTTAAGTGAAAGCGTTTTTTTTTCCCTTCTACAACATTACCATAGTAAAAATGTTTCCCAAGATTAAAAATTACTATATTTATTAAATGTCTTTATTTGATATTATACATTATTTTTATGTAGATACTATACTGTGTACATTATGACTCATCGTTCCTGATTTTGAATAGTAGATTATTTTAATTCAGTGTCAGCAAGTTTGCTTTCAAAAGTACTTTGACACTTAAGTTTTTTAAATTAATGTGAATTAAAACATGTCCCCATGAGTTTTATGGACAACCCAGAGATTATTAGAGACCTTTTAGAATATTGTAAATTAATACAGGGAGTAATAATGGTAAGAAAAATATTTATTCATGTATAGAACAAATATTAAGTTACCAACTTTATTAAAATACTATGGTTTACCACAGAAGATAAAACATTCATGGTCCTTGCTTTCATAGAATTTACATTGTAGTGATTACATCATTAATTTAAAGATACTGTTGACTTTATTGGAAAGCCCTAAGGGTAGTGTGCTATGTTTAGTGTGAAGCATAGTTTTTTTAATGATAAATTGTAAAACACAAAAACAAATAGTTAATATTTTTTAAAGTATTTGTTCTTGTTAGATAATGAATACAAAATTGGTTTCTTGTGAGTTTAACGGAGAGAAAAATCCTCTTTTTGAGTGAGGTGACCTTACATCTTTCTTTTTTTCTTTGAGATGGCATTTCCTTCTTGTTGCCCAGGCTGGAGTGCAGTGGCACGATCTTGGCTCACTGCAACCTCCACCTCCCACGTTCAAGCGATTCTCCTGCCTCAGCCTCCCAAGTAACTGGGATTACAAGCATGCACAACCGCGCCCAGCTAATTTTGTATTTTTAGTAAAGACAGGGTTTCACCATGTTGGCCAGGCTGGTCTCGAACTCCTGACCTCAGGTGATCCACCCACCTCAGCCTCCCAAAGTGCTGGGGTAGCAGGCTTGAGCCACCGCACCCAGCCACATCTTTTTAACCTTAATATGTACGTTGTCTCCTTTGAGAGCACAGACTCACTTGGAAACATTAATTTTCAAGAGGGCTGAGTATATTCATTTTTATGTATATATACACACACACACACACACACACACACACACACACACACACACAGAGTAATAGAAAATGATGAATTCTACTAAATCATATCCAGCTTTCATAGAGGTAATTAATATTGTGATGGTGATATTGGCAGTGAAATAATGCATTTCTAAATATGTGACATTTAAAAAGAGTGCCCAGGTCTCAGAATGAAACCTAATGAACTCATATTGAGCAAACACGATGTTAATGTAAGAATAAAGACAATTAGAAGAAATATAATAGGAAAATACATGAAGACATGTGAGATGTGTGCATGCACCTGTACGTGCAACTTCAGTTGGCTAAGATGGTCTAAGATTAATACACTCAGGGAGTAGGAATAGATAAGACATTATAAAATATGCTGTCTAAACATGTTTGAATCACTCTAAGTGCCAAGAATTTCTTTTGGGACTGGTGGTAATTTATGAATAAATATAAAAGGTCGTGAGAAATAATCTCTCTCTAACTTTGCAGATTAGGAAGCTGCATTACATTTGTTATCTCAAAAATTTAGGAACAATTATTCAGTGGGGTAATCCAGGCCTCTTGTTCCTTTTTTCCTTTTTTTTTTTTTTCTTTTTTGAGTCAGAGTCTTGCTCTGTTGTCCGGGCTGGGGTGCAATGGCGTGATCTCGGCTCACTTCAATCTCTGCCTCCTGGGTTCAAGCAACTCTCCTGCCTCAGTCTCCCCAGTAGCTGGGATTGCAGGTGTGTGTCACCATACCCAGCTACTTTTTTTTTTTTTAATGCTTTTAAGTTCTAGGGTACATGTGCACAATGTGCAGGTTTGTTACATATGTATACTTGTGCCATGTTGGTGTGCTGCACTCATTAACTCATCATTTACATTAGGTATGTCTCCTAATGCTATCCCTCCCCCCTCCCCTCACCCCACGACAGGCCCCGGTATGTGATGTTCTCCTTCCTATGTCCAAGTGTTCTCATTGTTCAATTCCCACCTGTGAGTGAGAACATGCGGTGTTTGGTTTTTTGTCCTTGTGATAGTTTGCTGAGAATGATGGTTTCCAGCTACTTTTTGATTTTTAGTAGAGATGGGGTTTCATCGCGTTGGCCAGGCTGGTCTCGAACTCCTGACCTCAAGTGATCTGCCCACCTCGGCCTCCCAAAGTGCCAGGATGACCGGTGTGAGCCACCGTGCCTGGCCCATTTTTCCATTTTTGATCAGTTTACTTCTCAAGCTTTGTACTTGGAATTGTACTCTATGTGCCTGAAGATGCCCCTAATAAATGTAATAATGTACAGGTATGTCCAGTGCATTTTCAGTACTGGCTGTATTTTGAGGTACAGTGTTACTTGATTTTAGACTAAAATGACATCCTCAACAAGGAATTTTATGTCATTGATAACAGAGCTCTTACATAATGTAAATGACAGAACATTCCTTGGAGACCATCTCATAGAACTTTTGATTTAACAAAGCCTAAGCTTGTTGCTATTCATTGCTTAGTACAAAGTAGATCTTCACTGTGGCTGCTTCTTACATTGCATACACATAACCTTGTTTAAATTCCAAGATCTTTCTTTATATTTTTTAAATGAAGGATTTCTCTAGATTAATTCATTACTATTTTTCTTGATAAATTATATAGGCAGGTAGAGAAACCATTTGTTGTATTAAAACATTGTAGCAACTAAAACTAGTTATAAATTATAATGTCTTACATAAGTGAAAAATATATTTGACAAAAATGGTAATACTAAATGTATTGTGCTTAACTTTATTTAGTGGGGACTATGAGCATTATACAGTACCATACATAATTATCTTATATATTGCTAACCTATATAAATGCCAGTATGATAAAGCACCTTTTGTTCTATTAGTAACTAAGTTTGGCTTAAGTGGAAAAGATCCTCTGTAAGTTACTTAGCCAGCAGGCGATGCTAAAACTTATAACTCAATATTTAGGATTGACATTTGAACATAAAATATTTTTCCAGGGAAAAATCTATTTTTTTCCTAGAGACAGAAATCTTTAGTTGTTTTCTTTAAGCAGATGATACGTAAGCCCAAGGCGGTGCTTAACCCATAAATTACAGAAGGGTCACATTTTGGAAACTTTAGCTATTTTGTATCCCAGTGGGATAGTCTTTGGTTTTATTACCAAAAGGCTTATGTGTTGACTCATTTCCTTTACCAGTATGACAATTTCCTGCACACATGTAATGCTTTGGGGAAGATTAGAATATGTTAACCAAGATGTTTTAATGTGTTTGTTTTCATTAGGAATCTTAAAATTTCAACCATTTTATAGCCTAGCTTGTTATCCATAAATAATTAACTTGGGTTGTCTGACTTTAGTTGTTCTAAAGCAGATCTATTATTATACAATATTAGTTTCCCATAATCTGCAAATAATGTCTTTTAACTATTCTGGGTTGTATGCTTGCATCTTTAACCATAGGAAGCCTATTGCATGCACTAGATGATTGAGTGACCTGGTGGATTTCTTGTTTTGTTTTCGATTTTTTTTTTTTAATACTAACCAGAACATGTGTTTTTTAATTGTGAATAGTACTTTAGCTTTAGCTATTCATAGAATGTATTTGCTTGACTAACTTATGGCCTTTTTTGCTAATGCTTCATGGTTGTCCTACAACCATTTAGGACGCTGCATTGGGATACAGATCCATCAGTTCTTCAGCTTCACTCAGATTCCGATTTGGGGTATTGAATAGATTTTTTACCTTCCCTGTTTTATAATGAATTTGATTCTTTGTGAAACTGTCCTAATTTTATTTTGCTTAAGTTTATAATATTGTATCACGTAGTAAGGACAAGAGTTATATTTTACTGTGACACCTCATTTATCCAGTATCTTTAGTGAAAGAATATTCTGTGTGATGTTCTATGTACCCTGAGTCCATTTAAGTGTCCAAATGTTTAAAATTATTTCTATGTTTTTAATACAAGTTTTGTAGGATGTATTAAAAAACTTCTCAGACTTCTTCTAATATTCTACATGTAATTGAACCTTTTCAGGGTTACTTGATATGAATATTAATTTATTTTTCTGTATTAAAATTCACTGATGATTTCTAAGATTTTGAGAATAATGGAGATGCTGGTCCTTACACTGTTCATTCATTCATTACTATTTATTCATGAATCTAGAATAAAACTATTCATGAATCTAGAATAAATAAATGAGTGAATGAATGGATTAATAGATTATTCATAGAATGTATGGATGAATATTCTTAATATAATTGTCATTGAGCCCCTAGGTTAAATAAATAGGTTCTTTTCTTTCTTCCTTTTATTTTTGTTTTGTTTTTTGCTTTTTTTTTTGGCATATTTTCTTAGTGAAACGTTAGAAAACTAATGCTTTATAGTTTCTGTATGTCTCTTTTTTAGAGTTTTAAAACTTGTTCTTTTAGAAGTTAGTGTTGTAAGCTGTATGTATGGTTTTTTAATTTTGTTGACATAGAGATAAGATTATCCATCCATTCATTCATTCAGTTATTTATTCTAGATTCTAATGCAAATTATAAATGTTTGCTGCTGCCATTTTGCCTGACTCAGATAGCCCTTTTCCCCTGATAATTTACAGCTTCAAAAACATATGAATATACCTTTTGGAATTGTGTCTAAAGTAAGGTAAATAAGCCTTGATTTGAGGCATGTAAGAAAAATATATGAGTTTCTTGTACTTGAACTGGAAGCCCTCTGTAGTGGCCACACTGAGGCTTCCCCCTCCTGCCTCCCATTGCTTCCTTATTTTCAGTAAAAGTGGCTTTTGGATAAGTGAGGTATTACTTCCCTACCCACCTCCTCCTATAAAATCTTGGAATATTTCGTTTGTTTAGTATTATGGTTTTTTCTGTTAGACTCTGTATGCATTCAAGTTGGTAATTGATTCCTAATATTGTTGGCTTGACGATTTTTTTCCAGCTATGTGAGTGATTTACTTTTTATATAATTTGCATCTTAAAAATCAGAATATAAAGTTTCTTATTTCAAATTTTATTCTTAGACTTCTAGATTACTTCAGATTACTTAAATTGTCCACTTAATTCTTTGACTATACTTTTTTTTTCCCTTTCTTTTTTATTTCTAAACTAGAAAAGACATTAAAAAATTGTTATGGCCCACATTTTGGAACATTAATTTTTAAAATGTACTAATTTTATTATACTTTATAGTACTTTGTTATGCTTTATTAGATTGTATAGGACTTGGATTTAGTTACTAAATAGAACTGAAAAGAATATTTATATAAGAAAAAAGTTATATTACCAGCGATAGCCTGCTTTATATTCTGAAAGTTGCAGCAGTGTCTTTATTGTATATCCTTTTAAGGCAGCTTCATCACTGAGAACTTTTTTGGGAGTCTGGAAGCGTACTTTATTTGGTTTAGGATTTAAACATCTAATAAAACCAATAAAAGATCTCCCAGATAGCTAATAAAATATATTTTTCTTTTGGTTCATTTTCCTCAGCCACAGCTCTCTTCCATTGTCAAAAAAGAATGTATACCCTGTATTTCTAAACAGAAGTGACTTTAGTAGATTTATGGTATTCAAAAGATCTGTCACTTTAGTCTAAGTGTAGAATATCTGGACCTTAGTTTCTCCATAATGTGAATCAAGGACAGTATTGATCATGCAGAGATTAGAGATTTAAAAGTTTTAAATATTTCATTTTAAAGTCCAAATTGATAGTGTAATTCTCAATTTCTGCCAAATATAAGTAGAAAAAAAGCTTTCAACAGAAACCTGTTTTTCAGTCGTAAAGCTGAATTCTCCTAGTGGCACAATCAGCTAAATGTGGTCTGAGTGATATCTAGTCTGATTCTTAAAAAAAAGTCCAGAAAGAACCATATCCCAGCTGAAACCAGTTCTTACGACAACCTTATTCAGTGGTCCACTCTGAAGTTCCTATTCTCTTACTTCATTATTGCCCGCACATTTGTTCTAAAAAAATGAAATTACTTGCCTTTTTAAAATGAAAATAAAAACACTGAATGATTCAGAAATATCTTTTGCTTTTGCTACCTTCTCATTCTTTTGCTAAAATAAAGCCAATTTATTGTTAATCTAAAATTTCTTGAATAAAATGGATTGAAATTACAATGTTGGGTGCAAATGACTGTTTAATTCTTAATTTTTGAAAATAACATGGTTTGATGTAGTTAAAATTGTGTTGTTTGTATTTACTTAATTTAGACGAGGACCTATTAAACTTGGAATGGCTAAAATCACGCAAGTCGACTTTCCTCCTCGAGAAATTGTCACGTATACAAAGGAAACTCAGACTCCAGTTATGGCTCAACCCAAAGAAGGTGAATATCTATCCTTAGTATAATTGTCATTGAGCACCTATGTTAAATACATAGATTCTTTTTTTCTTCCTTTGATTTTTGTTTTGTTTCTTTTTTGCTTTTGTGTTTTGGCATGTTTTCTTAGGGAAACATGAGAAAACTAATGCTTTACAGTTTCTGTATTTATGTCTTCATTTTTTCGAGTTTTAAAACTTATTAGAAGTTAACGTTGTAAGCTGTATGTGTGGTTTCTTAATTTTGTTGACATAAATTTAAGTCTTTCAGCCCTTATTTTGTCATTAATGTATACTGCTTTTAGAAGCCAAAAAGCTTAAGAATTTTCTGTTTCTGTCATTGAGCATAATTCTTCCCCAAAAGAGAGTGGGTCCCATAGTAAACAAAGTCATGTAAATTATTTCTGAAAAGCATACTGTACCCTGATGTTATTCATACTAATGAACAAATCTAGACTTAATTCTTAAATTTTCTCTTTTATGATATAGGGGCTCTATTTTGTTGATTAGTTAGTAGCCTGTAATTTGTGTATAGTATGGGGACGTATGCACAGACCTATTGAATGTGGAGACCCTTTGGTTCTTAAACCAGAAAGCATTACAAATAGCTAACGATTCAAGCATAAAGTACTACGATCTCATTTTCCCAGTGAGGCTAATGAATTTATATCATACAAAAAAAAAAGATTTATGTGAGATCCCTAATACACTTCACAGTGTCTTTTCTGAAGCTTTTGGGGCCATATATATATTAGAATTCCAAGTTTTTCAGATTATGTAAAAGTAATAAAATATATGTATTATATGTTAACACTCTAGTAGTATTTTGGGCATTAATATTTTGGCAGCAAAACATATGAACATACTAAGTGAGATAAGTAATGATTATAAATAGCTTTACCTCTGACTTTACCATGTCAGAGTTTACCACCAAATGAGTTATGGATTTTAGAGCTGTTAACAATTTTGGAATAGAAATTTTATCAGATGTTTAAATTAATGTATTTTTAAATTTTTAATTAAATTACCATGTTTCTCCATTAAGGAAAAACAAAAGTTATATTCATTGCAGAAAGCCAGGAAATACAGGTAAGCAAAAGTGAGGAGAAATCCTTGAAATCCCTGTCTACTACCAAAGAAAATCTTTAAATTTTCATATTTGCCTAAACCTAAAAAAAAGTTAGGATTGTGGCCGGACGTGGTGGCTCACACCCGTACTAGCACTTTGGGAGACCAAGGCAGGTGGATTGCTTAAGATTAGGAGTTCAAGACCAGCCTGACCAACATGGTGAAACCTTGTCTCTACTAAAACTACAAAAATTAGCCGAGCGTGGTGGTGGGTGCCTGTAATCCCAACTACTCTGGAGGCTGAGGCAGAAGAATTGCTTGAACCCGGGAGGCAGAGGTTACAGTGAGCCAAAATTGCGCCACTGCACTCCAGCCTGAGCGACAGAGCAAGACTCCGTTTAAAAAAAAAAAAAGAAAATTAGGATTGTAACTATTTACAACCTTTTGACTTAATAGTAGATCATCACAGACACTTTTAACTACTCTCCTTTTGCTGCCCTCTGAGGATGGAAATGAAATAAATACATTAAACTTTTCCTTTCAGTCTTCTCAAAAGGAGGCAACATTATGATACACATATAATTACACTTTCAAAATTTTGAGGAAATTGGTATAACATTTTTGTTCAAGTATTTTCTTTTTTTTTTTTTTTTTTTGAGATGGAGTCTTGCTCTGACACCCAGGCTGGAGTGCAGTGGCGCCATCTTGGCTCAGTTCTCCCACCTCAGCTTCCTGAGTAGCTGGGATTACAGGCGCCTGCCACCACGCCCGGCTAATTTTTTGTATTTTTAGTAGAGATAGGGTTTCACCATGTTGGCCAGGCTGGTCTCGAACTCTTGACCTCAGGTGATCCACCCACCTCGGCCTCCCAAAGTGCTGGGATTACAGGTGTGAGCTACTGTGCCCGGCCATGTCCAAGTACTTTTTACTTGACCATGTAGATGTTCTGTATGTTCATTTTTTTCATTCCTGCTGTTCCATTGGTTGGTAAGATATCTTTTGTAGATGCAAGATCCTCATCCTAACAGAAGAAACACACTGATGGTAAACTTGCTTGAGACACAAGCAACTTTTTTTAAAAAGAAAGAAAGTATGGAGCTTTCAGTATGAGAATACTAATACTGCAGGATTCTGTAATTTCTAGAAAATATTATTTTGTTAACTAGTATATTAATTTGGTGAGTATTATTATGTCTGCCTTTTAGGAGCTACGTTAGTAGATATGTTAACTCAGAAAGTGACCAGAATAACCAAAACGAAGGCACAGTGACTCATTTAAAAAAATAAATTAGGCCTTTTTCTTCATCTGATAATTTGGAGATTGTATTTTTAGTTACACTACCATACTTACTGGTACAATGCATCTTGGATTTTTTCAAATATAAAGTATTCTGAAACTATTTTGAGTAATGCCTATTATATCTATAGTTATATCCAGTTTAAGTGAAGACTTTCTTTTTTTTTTTTTTTTTGACAGAGTCTCTCTTTGTTGCCCAGGCTGGAGTGCAGTGGTGCCATCGTAGCTCACTGCAACCTCCACCTCCCAGGTTCAAGTGATTCTCCTGCCTCAGCCTCCTGAGTAGCAGTGACTACAGGCGTGCGCCACCACTGCCAGCTAATCTTTGTATTTTTGGTAGACTTGGGGGTCTCGCCATGTTGGCCACGCTGGTCTCAAACTCCTAGCCTTAAGTGATCTGCCCGCCTTGGCCTCCCATAGTGCTGGGATTACAGGCATGAGCCACCACATCCAGCCAAGATTTTCATTTTTTTCAACTATTTTCATTTTTTAAAAATAGTTTTTTCTAATTACTATAGTGGTATATCATAGAGAATTTAGAAGTACAGAAAGGATATAGAGAGGAAATGTTTTTGATACTGCTGTGTACAACCCATTGTTAATATTTTGGTTCCAATGAATATGTCTCCAAACTTCTTTTTTTTTTCTTTGAGACAGAGTCTCGCTCTGTGGCCCAGGCTGGAGTGCAGTGGCACGATCTTGGCTCACTGCAAGCTCCATCTCCCGGGTTCACACCATTCTCCTGCCTCAGCCTCCCGAGTAGCTGGGACTACAGGCACCCGCCACCACGCCCGGCTAATTTTTTGTATTTTTAGTAGAGACGGGATTTCACCATGTTAGCCAGGATGGTCTCGATCTCCTGACCTCGTTATCCGCCCGCCTGTGCCTCCCAAAGTGCTGGGATTACAGGTGTGAGCCACTGCCCCGGCCGTCTCCAAACTTCTTATTTAAATTGATGACTAAAAATTATAACACCAAGAAGTGCCTACCACTTATCAGGCATAGTGTGAGACACTTTACATCATCTGTAATGCTGTCACCAAAACCCTGAAAGTTAGGTATTGGTTTTGTTTACACACAAAGAAGCTGAAACTGAAAGAGGTAGTTTATCGAGCATCACAGAGCTAGTAGCTATGATTGTAAACCAAATATGACTGATTCTACGATGTGCTTTCTCTTGCCACTGAAGTAGCAACTCATGTTTTTATGAGTTGTTTTATGAGTAACCTATAGTAAGTAGTTTAGTTAATATTGTCTAGCACTGATTCTACAAGCTTATTGAGTATTTGCTCTATGTAAAGGCACTAGATTATCCTTTCTTTGGATTTGTTGTCCTTTTAGTTACAGGTTGAGGTATATAAGTGAAGGAGAAGGGAAAAAAAAGCATCCTGATACCATGGAGCTATCCTTAACCCTTTGGAAATATTTATAAAAATGAGATATTTGGGCAGTATCCTTTGGGGGAAAAAATGAGATAATTTGTTTTCTATATCATTACAGTTATTTTCATGTCTGGAGCTCTTACATTAAGTTTCTTTTCCCAAAGTGTATAAGTTTTAGAAAGAAGGAAAGAGAAAAACCTTGAAATTAAGGTTTTATAATGGAAACACTGTGCGCTTAACTGTTCTTGTGCTTACCCATCACGTTAATACAGTGGTTCTCAAACTTTGCCTGGTTGGTTCCCATTTAAGAATTATGTAATGAATTCCAGAACTCACCATGAAACAAAATTGGTGAAATCACAGTTGGAGTGTAACAGACAGCAAATTAAACTTCTGTAGGCAGTAAAATCCATGCCTACAGAAATCCGTGACTTACCAAATTGAAGGTAAAAATTGGTCGTAGACTTAACTCTTACCTTTCTTTTGTATTCTTTTTTTAAATAAAAATGGCCAAGCCTATTCCTTTAAAAAAGCAGTTTTTATTCTGCCTTGTTTTTTCTTTTTCACTCTTCTGGCCACCTTCTTGCTTTCCAGTTTACTCTGTAAGTTGGTAGTACTGTTTCTGAACTGTGGTGCTTTGCTGTCTTAAAGCGCCTACTGTGAATGAAATTGACTAGCACCACGTGACTTCAGTCGATTTTCTTCTCAGCAGGTGAAAAGCTTCTCTTGGCAAGAATGTGGTGCCCACAGATACACTCCTGGAAAAGTTACTTTCTTTACCTTTTTAAAAGTTTTAACTCTTTTGAAAAAATGGCATTATTTTTTCTTATTCACTTCTTCTGTATGGATTTTTTTTTTTTTTTGGCTATTTTTTGAAAGATTATTAAAGGAAAAAGAAATCCTGAAGGTTACCTAATCTAATCAGCTTGTTTACTCTGAGGAAACTGAGGTTCAAGGAGATTACTTGGTGAGTCTAAGTCCACCGTCTGAGAGAATATCGGGCATACATCCAGAAACTGGCACTTGATTTCTAGTGAAGTACCATTTTTCTTATTCCATTCCACTTTCTTATCTGTGAAGGAGTTTATAATTACTGTTGGTATTGGCTTAGTAGCCAGATATGTTTTCTTCAATACCTGTTGATTAGCTTTATTGTGTGTAGAATATTAATATATGTGATTATCTTGTAATCACTTATTGCATGATCTTAACATTTGGAATTCACTCCCAGAAGACCAAATTTGTATGCCTTCTGGTTAATACATCTACCTTATCTAAAATGGATTTTTCTGTAATCCTAGCACTTTGGGAGGCCGAGGTGGGGCAGATCACCAGAGGTCAGAAGTTTGAGACCAGCTTGGCCAACATGGTGAAACCCCATCTGTACTGAAAATACAAAAATTAGCCAGGTGTGTTGTCACATACTTGTAATCCCAACTACTTGGGAGGCTGAGGCAGAATTGCTTGAACCCAGGAGGCAGAGGTTGCATTGAGCCACGATTGTGCCATTGCACTCAAGCCAGGGCGACAGAGTGAGACTATGTCTCAAATAAATTAATTAAATAAAATGGATTTTTAAAAGATTTTGGAATGAATAACACATTTAATAAATTAGTTTTAACCCTCAGAGGACCTATAAGAATATAAACAAAATTGAAAATTGAAGCATTTGTTCTTAATCTTGATTGAAAGACTAATCAGCATATCTGAAACCCTGGCCTCAGAAAAATATAATATTTGATGAAATCACAGATAACAAGACCTATGTAAGGGTGCTAATACTGCGAAAATAAAACCCAAATTTTATATAAAAAGGACTGTGACTGGTCAAGGTGGTGTGCACCTGTAGTCCCAGGTACTCAGGAGGCTGAGACAGGAGGATCACTAGAGCCCAGGAGTTTGAGGCCAGCCTAGGCACATAGCAAGACCCCATCTCTTAAAAAAAAAAAAAAAAAAAAAAAAAAGAACTACAGAGAGACAAATTTTGTGTTAAAGGAAGTGGTATAATTAAACTATTAGTCTTTTCTTATTTTCCCCCCAAGTTAGCATTACATCTGTATTGAAATCATTAATGATTAAAAAGTCAGCTGTGTATTTTTCCCTTGTTGAAGAGCCAAAGAAACCCAAGTGACCTTGCATCTTATTCTAGATGGTGTAAAAAAAGAAAGGGAATGGATTCCATTGATAGATTCATGAAACTTTGTCCCAATGAAGATTCTCTTTAATATGCATCTGATTTTAAAGAGTAAGGTATAAGAAGATGAAGTGATGGACAAATGGATTGAAATAGAGTGATTCAAAATGAAGCTGACCCAGAAAAGAAGGGATTTTTTGAAAATATTAAAGGAAAATCATTCCTATGTAATCTGTATTTTTAAACTAATGATTAAAGCATTTTCCTCTAATATTTTCATAGCTGTTTGTGAAGTTATTCATAAGTTGAATTTTTATAAGTCAAATCATATTTTTATATGCAGCAAATGTCCTGACTTTTAGAACTCAGTGTCAGCTTCCTTTATACCAGGAATAACCAGACTACCTTGTAAGTTAGGGATTTTTCATAGGATATTAAGTTATCTTAAAATGGGATGCACCAGTACAATAAAACTACATAGTAAATTGATAGACAACAAACATATTTCCTAAACAACAGTGCACTAATGATGGGATTTGTTTTTCACTTCATATTGAGATTTAATCATTAAAAGTGATAGATTCATAAGTAGCAATGTTTGTTCAGTAAGGATTTTCTAAGATACTGTATATTACCTTTTAAATGTCTTGTAATATTTTAAAATAATTCAGAGTATGCTTTGTGGCATACTCTTAGCTTATCTTAAATGTATCTTAAATGTAAAATGTATCTTAAATGTACTGTGAGGTACAGATGAGAAAACTTGCTCTGAAGTCTCCTTCCTTCAGTTTAACAAAAGCCACCCATTTCACAGATGATTTAACTTTGATTAACTTACTCCATTGTAAGAGATTATTCCAACAACTGGAATTTCATTCTTTCGTGTTACTTGTAGGTGCAGCTTAATTTACAAAACAGCTTTTCTTTCTGTCTCACCAAAATACATCACAATTTTGATGTTAACTCAAAGTAAAAATTCAGTGGTTCATTAAACCTAGTTTTAGCATTCATTGACAAGAGATTTGTCATTTTAAAAGTAACTGCTACTTTTATGCACTCTTTACTGCTCAGTTTATAACCTTAGATTCCTTGTCAGAGAAAGCGTGGAGTTAACCACTTTAGCATATTGTAATGAATATTCATCAATAAATTGATGTGACATGGCAGCCCCATTTTTCAGTCTTCCTGCTCTGTTACAGTCTTTTCCAGTTTTAAATATAGCTTATCATGTAATAAGGACTAGCTTAGAAAATCTTCAGAACTGTAATTTTATATTTTTGGCCACGTTAATAGTCCTTTGGTAGCTATCATATTAGCTTATAACAAGAAAAGCATATTTGTTTCAGAAGAACATTTTTTAATCTGATGTTATTGATGTTAGGCATTTTTGCCAAATATTTGGTAAATTTGATAATTATTTAAGATCAACCTTATAGCAAAAAGATTGCATTTTACAGTTTTTAAGAACAGCATTATCATTTGTTTTTATGTTCCTTGAAATTTATTTAATCATTTTTATGAAGCTTAAGTACCAATGATAGTTTTAAAGTCTGGTTTTAATCCATGTAGAAAGGGAGGGTATGTACTTTAATTCTAAAATAAAACCCTGAGAGCATGTATTTAAATAGTTGATACTCATGATTCAGCTACAACTGAAATAATTTATATGGACAAATAGGCATGGCAAATGCTGTATAGTACACAGATATAGATCACTGTCTGACATATTTCATCTACATTTTAAATTTTAAAAGGAAAAGAGTGTCTATAAACAAGATCTTTTCTGTTAAATATGTAAATTATGAGGTCACTTAGCACTAAAGTACTGACCATATGCATTATGACAGGAATTTGACACCTGTCATTGGAAATGGTACTTAGAGGCCGTATAATACAACAAAGTTGAAGGAGGAGAATAAGATGTGGGTAGGAGGCTGTAATTTATAATTCATAGTGCTCAAGAATGACCTGTCCTGGGTGATTCAAAATTCCTATCTTTGATTTTAGGATTTACATACAGTGAAACCTACTAGTAAACACTTGATTAGGATAACTGGTAGCATTAGCAGAAAGTGGAAAATATATGTATATTCTTACAGTGAATTTTTAGTTGAAATAGATGTCCTATTATTCTAAAAGACAGCTTGTAAGTTAAATGTAATTAAACTATTTTGTTACATTACACCTGCAGGTGACTTTATGGAAGAATTTCATTCTAATGCTTGAGTAATATAGTATAGAATTGCTACCAATTATACTATTTTCAGATTAATAATTCGTTGTATATGAGAATTCATCTAAAAAGGAGTAGTGTCTTTCTGTTTCTCTATGTGATTATTTTGCCCCAAAAAGCTTTCATTTTTTTAAGTAGCACAAAAGCTATAATTGGCATGCTTTGTAAGGAAGTGTCAATGTGCAAGAGAGTGGCGATCACTAAGAATTCTTTTACGTGTTCTTTCCCCTTTGCACCACCGCCTCCTCAGCAGGGTCACTGAGATCACTAGCTTTTCTTGAAATGGCCATTTTCACTGGCAGGTGCATTATACCCTGTATTTTCAGATTGTTTTTCCATTCTGAATGTTTGGCAGGTTGATTGCTCTGGCTGCGTTGACGGAGAAAGGGCTGACAAATGTGGTTGGGCTGGCTGAAAAGACAGTGATTACTGTTTTCCTTTGTGGCTGATTGAGGCCGTTGAAAGGAAAAATTTTAACCTTCACCATTTGGTTCAAAAGTATGAGCATATATTGAAATCACTCGTGCCATTTATCCTAGTTCTGTAAACTTGTCAGAACACAAAAATCGCTCAATTTCAAGTAATGTAGGATTGGCATACGTCATTATCATTTTGATTAAGTTGGAGGTTGTATCATTGTGTGCATTATACAGTGTCATTTAAAGCTTTCTTTCCACAGGTACAGTTATATTTTTATTGCCTATACTATAGAGTTAGAAAGATTTTCATAGCTCTCTAAACCTAACAGTATGTGTGTGGTTTGGCAGCTGGTGTGGCCTACAAGCTGCATTTTGTTTGCTGGGTAAAGGCTTGTCTTTAGGCCTCCTGGAGTGCTGGTAATTGCACAGGCCTGCCATTGGGGAGAGACACAGGATTGGAAGCAGTGAAGCGGAAGAATGTTATGCCATCCCATTGCCACCTTGTAGCAGAAAGACACAATCCCAGCAGTGCCATCTGGTTGTTGCTGTCTAGTCAGCTGGCCTGGCTGCTGGGACCATGACTTGGCAGCTGGTTCCCATTCTTGACCATTCTTTTGTGTACGTCGTATGTATGTGTGTTTTAGATAATTTTGAACATGAGTCAGGGAAATGACTACAGCAAGTAAAGTCCCCTTATTGAATAGGTTGTCATTACTTGAACTGCACTCTGGTGCAGATGCCTGCTGCCTTTCCCTTATAGACAAATAACGCATGTGTTTAGGCAATAAAAATAAACATTTTCTTCATAAAAACCCATCTCAGTGTGTAGCAAAAGAAAAGGTGGGCAGGGTTATGTGTTCTATAACATTTTAAAATAAATGATTTTAAATTACTTCCTGGTTTGGGATGTAAGAGATTTAGTAATTTTTTAGAAGTCTTGTAAACATTGTATATTATCCCAATGTATACTTTTATTCAAATTAAGAAAACATTATTTTAAGTGCTTATTGCCACATCATGTAACAATAGATAATGAGACTTGCATTTAAAATGACAGAATAGAAAATGTGGTCTTATAGCTATTATCTTCAAAATCTGCCTCTCAAATAGCAACCTGAGAGTTAATGTAAGCCATCTTTATGCCTTATGAAGGCCCATTAGACACTGATGGTTTCAGATCACAAGTAAGCAGCCAGCTCTGTAGGCTATTTTAGACATTTGATTTTCCTCATTCTACAGCATTAATGTGTCAGCATGCTATATAAAACTATGCAGGAGTTGCATGTTGTTCTGTCTAGAATGATAAATGCTTGCAAGCTTTTAGAGACTTAATGAGGAATTCATCCTAGTTGCTTATATATCTTATTTCAGTTTATGTAGCTACAGAATTTAGGGTGGCTGTTGCTGAGGTACCACATAGGTATGTATAAAAACCAAGAGGTTCCACTTAACTATTTGATTATGTTGATAAAAATCCCTATTATTTGTACTTGTTCTGTCCGGTCAGTGGTTTACTTTTGCTTATATCTTGGGAGTTGTGATACCTTCTGAAATACTGTCTCAAAAGTTACCAGCTATTTTCATTAAAATAATTTATTATATCATTCTGTTTTTTTGTTTTTTTGTTTGTTTTTTTTTTTTTTTTCAGATGAAGAGGAAGATGATGATGTAGTGGCTCCTAAACCACCTATTGAACCTGAAGAAGAGAAAACTTTAAAGAAAGATGAGGAAAATGATAGTAAAGGTATCTTAAGGAATTAAACTTTAAAACATTTTGTTGATTTCTGTTAAGATTCCTTTTATTATGTATTAAAGTAGGATGAAATGCTGTAAATCAAATAAGTGAATCTGATTGAAAAATAATAACATACATTGATCCATACTGTGATAGTGAGTTGACGTGATTTGCCTGACATAAATCATACTTCAAAAAATTATTTATTTTCCAGCTCCCCCTCATGAGCTGACTGAAGAAGAAAAGCAACAAATCTTGCACTCTGAGGAATTTTTAAGTTTCTTTGACCATTCTACAAGAATTGTAGAAAGAGCTCTTTCTGAGCAGATTAACATCTTCTTTGACTATAGTGGGAGAGATTTGGAAGACAAAGAAGGGTAATGTTTAGTTGCTAAGATTTTTAGCTTCAATAATGTTAAATTACTTTAAGATTAAGAGTGATAAAAGTTATAACACCATCTTTTTGGGGGGTTTGGTCTTTTTTTGTAGAGAGATTCAAGCAGGTGCTAAACTGTCATTAAATCGACAATTTTTTGACGAACGTTGGTCAAAGCATCGGGTGGTTAGTTGTTTGGATTGGTCATCTCAGGTAAAATATAACAAAATAGGCCGCTCTTAACTCATTTTTAAAATTATAATTAGCAGGTCATTTTATTTTAATTATGGGAATTTTGTATAATAAATCAATATGTGTTATTTAAAATTAATGGATGATGGTTCTAATGTTAACATACTCATCTTATGTACTTTGGAAGAAAGATTAGAAGCATTATTTATATTTAAAATTCAGGACTTTATGATACAGGCCAGTTTTACTAATTTCAGTTGCTCACCAAATCCTTTGTGTAAAATTTGGACACATATTTTAATTAAATGTTTTAACATTAAAACATTTAAAATAATTAACTGTTCTAATTTAAAATTGTACTAATGTCCCAGTAGGCATAATGCTAGAGATGTCTCTCTTGATGAAATGTTAGGTATTTGTATTTGCAGAATAATAATCTGATAAAGACAAATAACTAGGATTATAAAACAGTTCTTATTATGCATAGCATTTCTTTTCTTCTTGATTCTTCTGAGCAGTATCCGGAGTTACTCGTGGCTTCCTATAACAACAATGAAGATGCCCCTCATGAGCCTGATGGTGTGGCCCTTGTATGGAATATGAAATACAAAAAAACTACCCCAGAGTATGTGTTTCACTGCCAGGTATGGTGGTCTTTTAACAGTCTTCGCCTCAAGTTTAAGAATTCATTGATGAATTAAGACAAGTGCCTTTTTTCTTTTCTTGTCAACATAATGATTTCATTGGATTGGCATTTTACTAAACCACTCCATATTTGCAAACAGATGTTAACAGAAAACTGAAGACTTCTCAGTTCAACATGATCTGCCTTTTGTAGCTTTTCTGACATCTCTTATAATGTTTAATCACACCTAAAGTCCTTTGCAGTTGTGATTTTCTGTTATGGTGATTGACTGTATAAAAGGAATCTTTTATAAAATGTCTTTCCTACAGGGAGTTTCCCAGGAACTTATTTGTGAATATACAATTAGATGGTTGGCCCACTGAATTACTTATACATGGCCTGAGGAATTGGAACTAGATGGTTTTAAGTAGAAACATATGGTTGAAGTAGAAAACAGATGCAGATTTTTAAAGCAGATTTAGTAGAAGGTTAGAATTTGCAAGCCTTTTCTGATTGCATAATTTAAAATCTTTTAATAGTGTCTTAATCTTGAGTAAACACTTAACTTGAATTAAACTAGCGTGTACTCTACTGTTAGATTACTGTCAGAGTCTAATGCAGGGCTAGTTATCTTTTTAATACTGTAGTTAACTGAAATAACTTTTTGCTTTCTTTGATAAATTAGTTAAACCTACTTAATAGTAAACAGCCATTGCATTGGACTTTTAAGCAAAAAATATCTTAAAGATATATTTTTATATTTCTGAAACAGTGAAAACTTTTAATTAATTTACTTAGTTGTTTTTATAACCTCTAATACCATACAATGAAGAAAGAAATGTTTCGGATAATAGATTGATTTTTAGAACTTGTCAGGCATTTTCCATTTGAATCTCAAGTATAAAAATCTTACTTATTTGCAGTCAGCTGTGATGTCTGCCACATTTGCAAAATTTCATCCAAATCTTGTTGTTGGTGGTACATATTCAGGCCAAATTGTGCTTTGGGATAACCGTAGCAATAAAAGAACTCCAGTGCAAAGAACTCCACTGTCAGCAGCTGCACACACAGTAAGTAAATAAGGTTATTTCCATTAGGCTTCTGTGCTCCTTCATCCTTAGCTATAATACTTAGTAGTGGCCATCAGAGTCATCTCAGAATGTGCTTCCTTTGGTGTATGAATTCCTCACCATTTAGCAACCAAGAATGAAGGCTATTTTTTTTTTTGGAGATTTATTAGAAACTCATCTCTCTTCTGCGACAACATTTTGTTAATAGCAAACTTCACATTAAGAATACCCACAAGTTATGAGACTCGATAATAAACAGAATGCTTATAATTAGACTAAAAATTTTGTTTTGCTTTTTGGTACAATAATCCCTGAAAACTTTTTTTAATATCTCTAGCACCCTGTATATTGTGTAAATGTTGTTGGAACACAAAATGCTCACAATCTGATTAGCATCTCTACTGATGGAAAAATTTGTTCATGGAGTCTGGACATGCTTTCCCATCCACAGGTGGGTTAAACTTGGGAAACTGAAATTTTGAGGCAAATGTTATGTTTTAAGTGTATGTGTACCTCAACTTATGTTTCTCATAAACTGTTTTATAGTAGTGTTACAACAGCTTATAAGCTGAAACGTGTTTAATATAAGTTTGTTTCATATATATATATTTTACTTTGAAACCTGCTTCATTTAATTTAGATTTATGTAAATAATAAAAGAATTGTTTACAATCAAAGACTAGAAGTTTTTCTACAGAAATTTAAAATTGCAAGTTTACAAACTAATTTTCTCAGGTTTTTCTATGTAGGATAGCATGGAGTTGGTTCATAAACAGTCAAAAGCAGTAGCTGTGACATCTATGTCCTTCCCTGTTGGAGATGTCAACAACTTTGTTGTTGGGAGTGAAGAAGGTTCTGTGTACACAGCATGCCGCCATGGCAGGTAAACCTAAACTGGAATTTGCAATAATTTAAAATTCCTCCTTTAATCCCATTGAAACAAATTGTCTTATTTAAGTAGAAATCTGTCGTAGATCTACTTGTTATTTGTGACAGATTTTTTGTGTTCAGGCACATAAAATTAAAACTTAATACCTTTTTGTATAAAAGATAATTTTGGATTCATGATGTGTTTAGATTTTGTGGGTTGTGGTTTTGTGTGTGTGCATGTACTCACGTAAGTTAGTGATAGGCAGGAACATTCAGTAGTTACAAATACAATATGCACATGCCAATATTGACCTATAGACTTATAAATGAGATTTTCAGCTGTTTCCCCTTTTGATTTATTTGGACTTTAAGCATTAGTTCATTCTCCTGATAATTGTACAGTAATGTCACATACATATTTTAAACTGAGTAATATTTCTCCTTCCGTTCTGTCTGTTTTGAAATTGTCTAGCTGTACCTTATTGCTTCCTTAAAAAAAAATTGAGTGTCCAGATTTCATCTCAAATATAGATCACCTTCACTTCAAAGCTTTTGTTTTAAAAGTAGCCCAGATTGTCTCTCTTAAATGTAGGGTATCTTTGTTTCTATTACACCACTTCAGATATTGGACTTTTGAGGTCTGTTGTCAACAGCATGATGTTTACAGTTCCAAAGGTACTTATTGCTTTAGTAGAGTTACCAAATGTGGATGGAATAACACTCAACAAAGTTAATTCTGATAAGTTATGAGCACAGAGTTAAGTCTGTCAAAATGAAGTCAAGGCCTGATATATAAACCTATAATAAAATGTGTATGTAATTGGTCTACTTATAGGAGACTTCTCTAACATTTTCACTTTTATGAAATTAGCAAAGCTGGAATCAGTGAGATGTTTGAGGGGCATCAAGGACCAATCACTGGCATCCATTGTCATGCAGCTGTTGGAGCAGTAGACTTCTCACATCTTTTTGTCACTTCATCGTTTGACTGGACAGTAAAGCTTTGGACAACTAAGGTATCTAAAATATAGATGTCTGCTATTTGCTCAGGTTTCTGACACAAGGTGGTGATCTAATACTACATAGGAATGATGAAAACCTTTTAAATCATAATTGTTTGCTAATAGATGAAGCCTGCTAGGAAGTTACACAGAGCATGAGTGAACTACTAGATGTTGTAATTTTTATAAAAATATGCTAACAAGTATGGTAACCCTACGCAGAATCAAGGACCAGTCTTCCCACCACTTCAGTCTTTTCGAGCATGTAACTGTTTACCCTGAACTGCACTGGGAAAAAAGCCCTGAGTATCTCGCATAGCACCTCATACAGTTGTCATTCAGCTCAGCACAAAAGCTATGCATTTGCTCTTTGGAGAGTTTTTAACAGGTTATTCATAACTACAGTGGCTCACAGAGTTGATGGGAAATAGGGAAAAGAGAGAGAGAAACTGATTTACAATAAGTCCTGTATAATATGGCTATATGTAGTAAACTGGAATCCTTAGGAAAGCATTGTGTAAAAGCATGGATGCATATATTTTTTGTTATTCTATGATAAGCAGTTTAAATCATTTATTTTGGTTTTAATAAACTTCAGTATTTTAAAAACCCATTCATGTGATAAAATGATTCTTGATCCTCCAGCAATTCCAGATAAATGTGACATTGTCTTGACCTGTTGAAAGTCTCAAGACAAATCCAAGTAGGCAACATTACCTCCTGTGATAGACTTGTAATTTCATTTAATCTCATTTTATAATTAAAGTGCCTTAACTTTGCTGTCTAGTTTTTCTGCGGTATTAACATTATTGCTGAGAAAATGCATACCCAGCATCTGATTCTATTTAAATTAAATTCTAAGGTGTTTTTTTTTCTGTTTCTATCTGCCTTATCCTAAATATTGACTTTTTAAATAATTCATCATGAGACAAAGTTTAGAGATCTTTGGTTCTTCAGTTTCTGTAAGAAAACCTAATGTAAGAGATGTTCTTCACTATTTTAGTGAACTCCTAGTTATTTATCAAGTGTTGGCCTTAGAAGTCTGGGATGAACTCATTATTCATTCTTGTCCTTTCTTGATGCCTCCTTTCTGTCTGATAATGAAACAGGTTAGAAAACTTTGCCTCTAAAAGCTTGCCTTTTAAAATTGAGCATTTTCAGGTTTGTCATTAGCAGATATAAAAATAGTGTTTACCTGAACTCTAATAAAGGAAACAGATGCTTAACACAGTGTCCAGCAAATAATAGGCACTTACCAATGTTTAGTTTCTCTTTTACCTCTTAATGGGGATCGGACAGAGCCTGAATACATTTAATAAGTCATCTCTTTCCTTTCTTGGATTGTTCTTGAATTTTTATTCTTCTAGTGAAATTTATACAGTGGGAAAAGGTAGAAGAAGATTCTCAAAGCTCACAAGCAAAGAAATGCGTAATCTAGCTAGCACAGGCTGAGCATCCCTAATCTGTAATGCTCCAGAATTCAAAACTCTTTGAGCGCAGGCATGACACTCAAAGGAAACATTCATTGGAGCATGGATTTTTGGATTAGAGATGTATAACCATAAGTATAACACAAATACAGCAGGTCATCAAATAGTGTGTTTTGTCATAAAATTGACAAGAAAAAACATTGGCCGGGCTCAGTGGCTCACTCCTGTAATCCCAGTGCTTTAGGAGGCCGAGGCAGAAGGATTACTTGAGCCCAGGAGTTCAAGACCAGTTTGGGTAACACAAGGAGACCCCATGTTTACAAAAAATTTAAAAATTAGCCATGCATGGTGGTGCGCACCTGTGGTCCTAGCTACTTGGGAGGCTGAGGTGGGAGGATTGCTCAACTGGCATGTCTAAATTGTCCCAGTCTGAATGAGTGTGGGTGTGTCTGAGTGTGCCCTGCGATAGAATAGCATCCTGTCCATGGTGGGTTCTTGTCTTGTGCTCTGACCAGCTGTGACCTTGAACTGGGAAAAGCAAGTTGGAAAATGAATGAATGAATACAAATTGTCGTAAAATAAAAATTTGTAAGATACATAGTAATCATACAAAGGCAAGACAGTTAAAGGATGCAGTATGAAACCGCTCAGTGAGCCTTCCGTCTTTGTCATTGTTTTAGAACTGCCTGGTGATAGGGTGTGCTCCTTACAATTTTCACTTTGCAAAACATTTATTCCTTGATTTAACCCACCACCTCTTCACCAAAAATTGGGTTAATAATTATCTTGTTTTTATGATTCTTTCTCAAATGTGACCGGGCAGGGTGGCTTACGCCTGTAATCTCAGCGCTTTGGGAGTCCAAGGCGGGTGGATCACCTGAGGTCAGGAGTTTGAGACCAGCCCAGCCAACATGGTGAAACCCCGTCTCACTGAAAATACAAAAATGAGCTGGGCATGGTAGCGGGCACCTGTATTCCTAGCTACTCGGGAGGCTGAGGCAGGAGAATCACTTGAACCCAGCAGGAGGTTGCAGCAAGCCGAGATTGTGCCATTGCACTACAGCCTGGGTGACGAGCAAAACTCCACCTGAAAAAGTAATGATAATCTTTCTAAATTGTATGTATAGCTCACATTTTATTTCAGTGCTTAATATTTGAAGTGTTTAGGGTCATTATTTAGAAATTTGATGATGTTTTTATCACCAGATAAATGCCACAGGGATTTAACTCTTGTTTGTATCAATTAGCCTGTGGTAAAACTGGTTTTGTTTTATGTTGTTTTGCTTAACGTCACAGTTTCCAAGAACCTATAAATGATGTTAAGTGAGGACTTACTGTATTCTAAAATCTGAAAAAGTCCAAAATCTCAAATGCTTCTGGTTCCAAGTATTTCAGATAAACCTATAAAACCAAAGCAAGATGCAGAATTGGTGAGATGAAGCCAACTATTTCTCCAAAGGCTTCATACAGCCATGTAAGTTGCTAGATTTTTAGATGTGCTTTCATCTTAGTAATCCCATGTATAGTCACAGGAGACACATTTTTGTTAGATTGTTGGCCAACTTCCTTTTCGGTAATTGAAAGTAATCTTTTTTTTAAAACTTTTATTTTACATTCGAAGGTACAGGTAAAGGATGTGTGGGTTTGTTATGCAGATTATTGTATCACCCAGGTATTAAGCCTACTATCCATTAGTTATTTTTCCTGAGCCTCTCCCTCCTCCCACGCTCACCCTTCGATAGGCCCCAGTATGAGTTGTTCTCCTCTATGTGTCTACATGTATGTTCATTGTTTAGCTCCCATTTATAAGTGAGAACATGTGGTATTTGGTTTTCTGTTCCTGCATTGGTTTGCTAAGGATAATGGCCTCCAGCTTCATCAGTGTCCCCACATAGGACATGATCTCATTCCTTCTTATGGCTTCGTAGTATTCTGTGGTGTATATGTACCACATTTTCTTTATCCCATCTACCATTAATTGGCATTTAGGCTGATTCCATGTCTTTGCTAGTGTCTTTATAATAGAGTGATTGATACTCCTTTGGGTATATACCCAGTAATGGGATTGCCTGGTCAAAAGGTATGTCTGTCTCTGGGTCTTTGAGGAATCACCACACTGTCTTCCATAATGGTTGATACTCCCACCAACAGTGTAAAAACGTTCCTTTTTCTCCACAACCTTGCCAGCATCTTTTTTTTTTTTTTTTTTTTTTTTTTTTTTGCTTTTTAATAATAGTCATTCTGACTGGTGTGAGATGGTATCTCATTGTGGTTTTGATTTGCATTTCTCTAATGATCAGTGATATATGTCTTCTTTTGAGAAATGTTTGTTCATGTCCTTTGCCCTCTTTCTAATGGGGTTGTTTTCTTGTAAATTTAAGTTCCTTATAGATGCCGGATATTAGATCTTCGTCAGATTCATAGATTGTAGAATTTTTCTCCCTTTCTGTAAGTTGTCTGTTTACTCAATAGTTTTTTTTGTTTTTTAGGGGTTTTTTTGTTTTTGTTTTTTGCTGTGTAGAAGCTCTTTAATTGGATCCCATTCGTCAAATTTTGCTTTTGTTGCAATTGCTTTGGGCCTCTTCATCATGAAATTTTTGCCCATGGCTATGTACTGAATGGTATTGTCTAGGTTTTCTTCTAAGTTTTTTGTAGTTTGGGGTTTTACATTTAAGTCTTTAATCCATCTTGAGTTAATTTTTGTATAAGATGTAAGGAAGGGGTCTAGTTTCAGTTTTCTACATATGGCTAGCCAGTTCTCCCAGCACCATTGTTAAACAGGGAATCTATTCCCCATTGCTTGTTTTTTTGTCAGGTTTGTCAAAGATGATGATTGTAGGTGTGCGGTCTTATTTCTGGGTTCCCTATTCTGTTCCCAGTCTGTGTGTGAAAGAATCTTTTATCTATTTCTAGTTTGTTTTTTACTCTCTCAGGGTGTCAGTTTGCCAGCATCCTTTGGCTTTAAATTTGAGGCTTCCATCCTTATATACGTTAATAATAGGATTTGAAAATAAAGAGTTCATCTTGACTAATCAAGGACAGAACTTATCTTGTGATAGCAGACTGATTGATACTTGCTTTTGTGGTACTACACAGCTAGTTGAGGGGCGGTTGATATTTTTATTCTTGTATTTTAATGTGTTTCAACATAGAAGTGCCTTCTGAATAAGAATGACAAGTGGGCATATCTCTTTCTTTGCCAATTAGGCTAGGCATTGCTTCCTTCCTTGGGCCTTATATAGAAGACTCATTTATTCATTCAATTGGGATACATGCCTCTCACCCTGCCCCCAACATCCCTCCAGTGTTACTGTACAAAGGATGGGCCACCATAGAACATGGTGTTTTTATAAATGCCTAAGGACCCTCTGAAACTTTATCAGAAGAATTACCCTTCATTCTAACTTTTCTGCACACAAGTAGTTCTACTCTGTGAAGGGTAGAGAAGAAACAGTCTGTTAAGTGAATACTTTTATATTTGGCCATACTGTGGCTCCAGTGTCAATTTACACTTCCTGGTTAATTGTGTTGCTGGTATTTATTTCTGCCCTGCTGAAAAACTGATAGAGCCTCTATGCTGTAATAATGACTGATGGGCAATGTTAATTAATAATGAATGGTAAAGAATAATAGGCAGTGTTTTTAAATAATCTCTCTTTAAACACCTTGTTCCAATTTCATTTTAAACTTTTAAACCAGAGTCTTCACACTCATGAATTTAACAGACTTTAAATGTTTTGCTTCTCTTCCTCTACTTTTTAAGTGCTCTTTGACTCCAGGAATTGAGTCCTCATAAATTGGAAGACTGAATCGTGAGATATTGCTGTACTTTTGTGTCCTTAAGATCTGGCTCTGCCCTGATAGCAAAACAAGATTTCTTCCTTTTCTCTCTTTCTATGATAAAAATCCCTGGGAATCTCAATTTGGCACAGCCTCAAATTTAGTTTAAAGCAATCTACTTCTACAGCTAGCCACTAATCTTCGCCTAGCCAGAGATTTATAATTCAGTCACATAGTTCTGGTTCATTGACTTGTTTTCATTACTTTATTGAACTCAACTATTTTTAAGACAGGCTGAGCACCCTAATCTGAAAATTCAAAGTCTGAAATGCTCCAGAATTCAAAACTTTTTGACCACTAATGTGACACTCAAAGGAAATGTTCATTGAAGCATTTCACATTTCATATTAGGAACGCTCAACCATAAGTATAATGCAGGTATTCAAAAATCCAAAAATATTTGAAATCTGAAACACTTCTGGTTCCAAGCATTTCTGATAAGGGATATTCAACCTGTATAGAAGACAAACAGATTATTTTCCGTGTATGGAAGTTTAAACCAGTAAAGACAGGGCTTCTAATATATTTAAAAGACTCTGTTGCCATCTCAAAATACCAAATTTTAAATTCACAACCGAAGCACTTTGGCAGGTCTGAAAAATGGCTGGGAGAATAAGGAGTGAAAGCTTCTGCAGGGTAACAAGGATTCTAGAAGAGTTTGATTATGGGTAGACCTGGTAGATTCACTAAATGTTCTACCACATTTAACCATACTTGTTACAGATTACTGTTAAAACATAAGAATTATTTACTTGGGACAAGATGGATTTTGAGATGTGTGCACAAATTCTTATCAGAACCATATTTACCATAAAATGACGAAGTTAAGATTGTTAATGTGGTAATTTCTTGGAAGGGGGAGTTTTCACACTTTTGTAGTCCATACACATCTTGAAATTATTCACACTTTCTGATAAGTCTTAGAACCCCTCCTTATATTAATAGCTTACTTAGTTAACTCTCAGAGGGCACCAGCATTAAAACAGGGTTAAAAGTTCATACTAGTCCTTAGAATAACAACTATGCATATTTAGACAAGTTAAGATGAAAAAATGCTTTGAAGTTGGGTGTTCTTAGGGAAGGCTGCCTATTCATCTGGACCGAGGCCTGCGCAGCAGCATTTGCCTCAGTAACTTGCTACTGGCCAATGTCCAGCCTCTCCTTTGCATATTCAGAAACTCAGTTTAATCAGTATACTAGAGTTGATTAGACAGGGAGTGCTAACCGGAACTAACAGGCTCCTAAGACACTGGTACATTGGAGAATGTCAATTTATTAATTTACAATGAAAAACATAACTGCCAGAAGGCCCAGATACTCCTGTGAGCCTGACCAGCTCATTGTTTCCCTGTAGACAATCCACATGGGAAGCCAAATTATAATCAGAAGATTGCTTGGTGAGTAAGGAGTTGGAACAAAAGAAGTTTTATAATTTGAATGTTTAATGGCACCAAGCTAAGATAGCCTGATTCATTCTAGCCTTGCCATGGGGTAGTAATTCTCAAAATCCATTGGTTGAGACTCCCTTTCTCCTGGACGATGCTTGAATGGGTACTGTCTTCATTTTCCTTGTAAGACTGTTTCTTTGTATTTCTATTTTAATAGACACATTTGGTCTCAAAAAGTTAATATATTCAGTCAAGTTATATAGAAAGATATTTCTGACCTTGGAATCCATTTCTTTGGAAGAGAATTCATTTATTTCTCTTCTGATCCAAATTGATGACATATTTATTTCCCAGTTCTCTAGGAAGCATCTCACTATTATCTTCACGTGTTTAATGTAGGGACTATCTTTGTTATTAATCTAGAACTCCCCGCTTACCCCAGCTTTGAAAAATAATCTATATTCTTTTCCCAAAGCTGCCATAACAAATTACCACAAACTGGGTGGCTTAAAATGACAGAAATTTATTCTTTCACATTTCTGGAGGCCAGAAGTCCAAAATCAAGGTGTTGACAGGCTAGTTACTTTTGGAGGTTCTGAAGGAGAATCTGTTTCTTGTCTCTCTCCCGGCTTCTGATGGTTGCCAGCAATCCTTGCTGTTTCATTGACTTGCAGCTACCATCATTCCAGCCTCTGCCTCTGTCATCAGATGGCATTCTACCTGTTTGTGTCCGAATTTTTCTCTTTTTTTAAGGATACCAATCATGCTAGATTTAGGACCTACCCTAATTCAATATGACCTCATCTTAACTTGATTACATCTGCAAAGGCCCTGTTTCCAAATAAGGTCACATTTACAGATACCAGGTAGACACGAATTTTGGGAAGACACTATTCAACTCAGCGTACAACCTTAAAGAGCTTAGGAAAAATATGGCTTGACTCGTGACCATACTCTGTTGCCCAGGCTGGAGCGCAGTGGGGTGATCTCGGTTCATTGCAACCTCCACCTCCCAGGTTCAAGCGATTATCATGCCCCAGCCTCCCAAACAGCTGGGATTATAGGCATGTGCCACCATGCCCAATTAATTTTTGCATTTTTAGTAGAGACAGGGTTTCACCATGCTTGGCCAGGCTGGTCTCAAACTCCTGGCCTCAAGTGATCTGCCTGCCTCGGGCTCCCAAAGTGGTTGGGTTATAGTGTGAGCCACCACACCCAGCCTTGTTTTTCTTTTTATTGTAATCTTTTACCCAGTTACAGTGCATCCTGTTTTTGTCTCTGGCTGCATATTCGTCCACTGAGTAGATGATTTTTTTTTTTTAACTTTTAGGTTCAGGGGTACGTTTGCAGGTTTGTTATATAGGTAAAATCATGTCACGGGGGTTTGTTGTACAGATTATTCCATCACCCAGGTGCTCAGCCTAGTAACCATTTCCTGATACATTTAGCAATCTTTTATATTATAAATACAAGTAAGTTTTAATCTAGTTTGCATGTAGCTTTTTTCATATTTTGTATCATATAAAAATGGAATCATAGAGTAGAAAATACTCAGCCAGGCGCAGTAGCTAACGACTGTAATTCCAGCACTTTGGGAGGCCGAGGCAGGCAGATCATCTGAGGTCAGGAGTTCGAGACCAGCTTGGCCAACGTGGTGAAACCCCATCTCTACTAAAAATACAAAAATTAGCTGGGCATGGTGGCACACACCTGTAATCCCAGCTACTCGGGAGGCTGAGGCAGGAGAATTGCCAGAACCCGAGAGGTGGAGGTTGCAGTGAGCTGAGATCGCACCATTGCACTCCAGCCTGGGAGACAAGAACGAAACTCCAGCTCAAAAGAAAAAAAAAAGAAAAAAAGATACTCATTTGTGTCTGGCTTCTTTTGCTCAACATTATGTTTGTGAGATTGATTCATATTTGTTAGTGTAGTTGTAGATTATTCATTCTCTCTGCTGTATACTATTCCATTATGTAAATATACCATAATTTATCCATTCTACTGCTGATGGTATTTGCATTAATTCCAGTTGAGGGCCATTACAAATAGTGTTGTGAGCATAATTGTAGATGTCTTTTGATGGCCATAAGCACTCATTTCTTTTGGGTATATACCTAGAGTGGAATTACTTGGTCTTTGATGGAAGACATAACATTGCCTAAAAATAAGCTGTTTTTGAAGAAGTACACTATCACCTCAGGAGTCAGAGGCCTTAGCACAGTGGTTCTTAATCATTGGTGTGCATCAGAATCACTAGTGGAGCAACAGCAGAGATACCGATGAAGTGCATCTGGAGTTGAGCCCTGCATTTGTATTTTTCAAAAGCTCTGCAGATGATTGTGCACATCCTAGGTTGAAAACCACCTTCTCGGCCAGGCATGGTGGCTCACGCCTGTAATCCCAGCACTTTGGGAGGCCAAGGCAGGTGGATCACCGGAGGTCAGGAGTTCGAGGCCAGCCTGGCCAACATGGTGAAACCCCATCTCTACTAAAAATACAAAATTAGCCATGTGTGGTGGTGCATGCCTGTAATCCCAGCTCCTCGGGAGGCAGAGGTTGCAGTGAGCCAAGATCACACCATTGCACTCTAGCCTGGGCAACAAGAGTGAAAAAAAAAAAAAAAAGAAAACCACCTTCTCAGAGTGAGACTTCATTTGGTGGTGTTATCAGGGAGAGTGACAGATAGTGATTGTAAAAGAAAAAGGCTTTTAATTTTTGTGTTTACCTTAGTTTTAAGTTTTATTAAAATTTTGGTTTTTAAATTAAAAACAAACATTTTGGCTATTAAAATGATCATGCTGTTGACATTTACTATCATATCTGAAAATTTTTAATTCACAATTTTAAAACATTTTATTATGGAAAATCTCAGATACAAAAGCAGAGGGAATAATATAATGAAGCCATTATTGTTCCCAGCTTCCATAGTTAACACATGACCAATCTTGTCTATACATAACCTCTGCAATATTAAAATCAAGCCTATACATACCATTTCAACTATAAATATTCATTATGTATTTCTAAAAAATAAAACCTCTTTAAAAAATACTACCATATCATTATTAAATGCCCCAAAATGAACATTGGCTCCTTATTTTCGTCAAATGGCCTATCAGTGTTCAATTTTTTTTTTCTTTTTACTATTTATTTGAAGCAGGATCCAAAGGAGGGCCATCCATTTGCGATTGACATATCTCTTTTTTTTTTTTTTTTTTTTTTTTTTTGAGACCGAATCTCACTCTGTTGCCCAGGCTGGAGTGCAGTGGCACGATCTTGGCTCACTGCAACCTCTGTCTCCTGGGTTCAAGTGATTCTTATGCCTCAGCCTCCTGAGTAGCTGGGATCACAGGCGCCCGCCACCATGCCTGGCTAATTTTTATATTTTTTGTAGAGACAGGGTTTCACCATGTTGGCCAGGCTGGTCTCAAACTCCTGGCCTCAAGTGATCCGCCTGCCTCAGCCCTCCTCGGCTTTCCAAAGTCCTGGGATTTTGAGCCACCAAGCCCAGCCACAATTGACATACCTTTTAAGTTCCTCTTTAAAGTAGGGCTTGCATCCCTCTTTTTTTTCTTGCTGTTTTATTCTTGAGGAAGAAACCAGGTTGGTGTCTGTCAAGTTGGTCCTGTAGGGTTTCTCAGTCTCGATTTTGCATTCCTGTGGTGTCATTCATATTAATGTGTGTGGTTGCAGATAGTTTATGTTTCTGTAATGAGACGTTTACCCTCATAAATGATTTGGTTATCCACCAGACCTTACGTTAACGTCTCTTCAGTCTTTTTGGTCATCTGAAGCTCATTCTATAGTACGTGATGCAGAAGGTGCCCACAGGTGCATTATTCCCATATTCCACAAAAGTACATGATTATGAAGATTAGTTTGATTGTTTATAAAATCCATGACTTACGTTTTCTTTCTTTGCATACCTTAGTTACTCTGTGGACTTCTGGAAAAAAGCATTGCTGTCACAAAATCTGATCACAATCTGATTTTCTTTTTCCTACTTGCGATTTGGTCTTTTTAAAAAATGTGGGTGATCAAATGATTTTTTCCCTTTTCTTTAGAGGGTCAGTGTTCCTAGATACACAGGATATCCTTTCAATATGTAGTTTCAAGCTGTCTTTCATTTTAGGAGAGTTCTTTTGAGTTGTTTTTGGTATTTGTTCTGTATTACTGCTTTGGTTTTCTTCTTCAGGACCTGCCATTGTAGATGTACTTTTGCTGATCTTCTTTATCACTTTTTTTTTTAGATCACCTTATCTCTTCTTTTAAAATAAGTTTCTTTTTAAGTAACAGTTTTATTGAGCAAAACCCTTATACCATGAAATTCACCCTTTTAAAGTATACAATTCAGTGGTTCTTAGTATATTCACAGAGGCACGCCTAATTGCCAGTATCTAATTTTAGAACATTTTCAAATTTTAGAAAGAAAAATTATGCCCATTAGCAGTCACTCCACATTCTCCCCTACCCCCACAGCTCCTGGAAACCACTAATCAATCTACTTTCTATCTCTTTGGGTCTGCCTGTTATGGACAGTTCATGGACATTTCATGGAATCTTGCAATTGTGTACTGGCTTCTCTCACTTTGCATAATGTTTTCAAGGGTCATCCTTCATATTGATACTTCTTGTATCAATGTATTGTTCCTTTTATAGCTGAATGATACCCCATTGTATAGATATACCACTTTTTGTTTATACATTCATCAGATGAACACTTCAGTTGCTTCTGCTTTTTGGCTATTATGAATCATGCTGCTGTGAATGTGCAAGTTTTTATTTCTCTCGGGTATATACCTAGGAGTGGGATTGTTGGGTCACATGGTAACTAATTAGCATTTTGAGGAGCTGCCAAACTGTTTTTCAAGTGGCAGCACCATTTTACATTCCCCAGCAAGGTATGAAGGTTCTGATTTCCTGTATCTTCACCAACATTTGTTACTTTTTTATACTAGCTATCCTAGTGGTATGAAGTGATACCTCATTGTGGTTTTGATTTGCATTCCTCTCACGACTAATGATGTTGAACATCTTTTCATGTACTTATAGGCTATTGTAAGCACTGTGGACACAGTGATGTATCAGATACATGGTTTGCAAATATTTTCTCCCATTGTGTAGGTTCTCTTTTCACTTTCTTGATATCATTTGAAGCCCAAAAGTATTTAATTTTGATGTAGCTCAGTTTACCTACTTTTTCTTTTATCATTGTGCTTTTGGCTTCTCAACTGAGAAATCATTGCTGAGTTCAAGGTCACAAAGATTTACTTGTATGCTTCCTTTAAGAGTTTCATAGTTTTGGCCAGGCACGGTGGCTCACGCTTGTAATCCTAGCACTTTGGGAGGCCGAGGTGGGTGGATCACCTGAGGTCAGGAGTTCAAGATCAGCCTGGCCAACATGGTGAAACCCCTTCTCTACTAAAAATACAAAAATTAGCTGAGCATGGTGGTGCACGCCTGTAATCCCAGCTACTTGGGAGGCTGAGGCAGGAGAATCGCATGAACCCAGTGAGCTGAGATCATGCCACTGCACTCCAACCTGGGCGACAGAGCGAGACGCGGTCTCAGAAAAAAAAAAAAAAAAAGTTTCATAGTTTTACTTTCCATTTAGATCTGTGATACATTTAATTTTTCTATATGATGTAAGGAAGGAGGGATCCAACTTTATTTTTTTTATTTTTTTATTTTTTGAGACAAGGTCTCACTCCCATCGCCTAGGCTGGAGTGCAGTGGTGTGATTTCAGCTCACTGCAGCCTCGACATCCTGGGCTCAAACCATCCACCCATCTCAGCCCCCAGGGTGGCTGAGACTATAGGTGCATGCCACCATGCTCAGCTAATTTTTGTATTTTTTGTGGAGATGGGGTTTTGCCATGTTGCCAAGCTGGTCTCAAACTCCTGAGCTCATGTGATCCACCCACCTTGGCTTCTCAAAGTGCTGGGATTACAGGCATGAGCCATGGCACCTGGGCCAGCTTTATTCTTTTGCATATGTATATCTAGTTTTCCCAGCACCATTTCTTGAAAAGACTATTCCTTTCCTATCTAATTTTCTTGACACCACAATAACTTTTATGGAATCTGACTGAGATCCTTTTCTTTGCTATTGTCTACTAGTGAAATGAATTTTTGTGTATTTTTAGGAGGGAGGGAATGGGCAAGGATAACTTTCCTAGTTCATTTTCTAGGTTAAAGCTGTCTCTTCTCTGGCTTTTGCAAAGTGAGAATACATGTACCTTGTGCTTTCTGAGATGTGCCTTTTCTGCTTCTCTCCACCACTTCTGTCTGAACTTACTGCTTTGTCTCTTTTGTCTGGCATTCTACAACTTGGATTCTACTCCCAGCAGTTTCTCTTCTGTGAGACTTTGTCTTGGAAAGGAACTTTGATTTGTTAATTTTGAGAGTTTATAGCACCCAGACTGTACCATGAGAACTTACTTATACTGCACTGTAGTCTGCTTGCATTTACAGTTGACCCTTGAATAATGCAGGGCTTAGGGGTGCCAACGCCTATCCCAGCAGTTCAAAATCCACATATAACTTCTGACTTCCAAAAAACTTAACTACTAATAGCCTACTACTGACCAGAAACCTTTCTGACAACATAAATTGTTGATTAACACATATTTTTTATGTTATATGTATTATATACTGTCATCTTAAGGGCAAGCTAAAGAAATGAAGATGTTAAGAAAATCATAAAGAAGAGAAAATATATTTACTATGCATTAAGTGGATGTGGATCATCATAAAGGTCTTCATCCTTATCATCTTCACAGTTGAGTAGGCTGAGGAGGAAAAGAAAGAGGAAGGGTTGGTTGTGCTGTCCCAGGGGTGGCAGAGGCAGAAGAAAATATGAGTATAAGTGGATCTCTGCAGTTCAAACCTATATGGTTCAAGGGTCAAATGTATTTATAAATGGAATTGTGCCAAACTGCCCCCTAGTTTTTGCTGCTGTTCTCAGATTAGCCCACCACACTGTCCAGTGAGCATCTGCTATGACTGTGAGGTTCTGTTCTCCACCTGTCAGAAGTTCTCGTGCCTTCCTTCATCTTCTTCCCACACAGATACTGATACCATGCAAGTCTTGTAGTTGTGAGAGGTTTGTTTCCACCTGATTTTATTTGGAAGTTTGTCTCCTGATTCTGCTGTAGATGCTGTCTGTGAATCTTTGCTCTTCCTGCCCTCATTGCTTTATCTGAGTTTATGGGGAGAACTAGAGGAGATTTAAAAAGTACACTGCTATTGCTGTTATCTTCCCAGAATCTTCTCATTGACAGATGTTCTTGAAGCATGTTCTATTTCTTTTTTTAAACAGTATGGCATCTACAAGTTAAAAAGAAAATGCAATCAATAGTTGATTCTTAGTTTACAATACCAGGTAATTCTGTAGTGAAACAAATTGTAGGAACTTTTTCTAGGCTGAGTTAAATATCATAAAATGTTATCATACCTGTTGAATGTATGTCATTTTTTTCCCAGTGATAAGTAGTTTAATGATTTGTATGTCATATATGGACTGTGCTAAGAATCAACTTTTCTCTTTCAGAATAACAAGCCTTTGTATTCATTTGAAGATAATGCAGACTATGTTTATGATGTTATGTGGTCACCTACCCACCCAGCCCTGTTTGCCTGTGTGGATGGCATGGGGAGATTGGATTTGTGGAATCTCAATAATGACACAGAGGTGAGCAGGAAAATAACAAAAATTGCATTGAAAAATAGAAAATTGGATATTTATTGAATAATTTGTGAAATTCCTTTTTTTCCAAAGAATGTAAAAGGGTTCTGTGATTGTAGATTCATCACAAAGAACTCAAATAAGCTTTGTACCCTAAATAATAAACAGCATGCTGCGAAGAACTAAAGGGAGAAATAATGTTGCCAGGAGCACTGGGGCATTTCCTTTTACTTCTGAAAAGCACTATCATGTCTCTAATGTCCTGGCAAAGTCTCATTCATAAGATAACTGGGATGTTTTTCATTCATAAGCTAGAAAGCAGATAGTTTCAGACTGTTGAAGTATGTTAACCTTAATTCTGAATTTCTAAATTATCTCTTAGCCTTGATAGCATTGTATATCATCCATAAACATTAATCTTAGCCTGATTTGTTTGAAGGAAGGAAAAATATATTTTGATTTTTGATGAGTTTTTTCTATGAAGGATTGAAAACAGAGTGTTACTATAAAATGAATATAGAAACTATCAGATTTCCTAATTGCTGTACTAAAATCACTTATTAGCCATTAAATTTAATTGCAACTCTTATTTATTTTTAGTCACATGTATTTTTACCAGCTTAGAGAAGCTTAAAAATGTTCTTAGAATTCTATTCTATATTGCTATTAGTAATATAATTAATATTAGCATTTCTGTCAATAACAATTGTTGAGAGAGTCAACTCAGATCTCCCACATCTCTTCCTAGTTAGCTAGAATGGTACCAATTCTGTTTTCTTAATTTGGATTTTAGTCTTAGAGATTTGAAGTTACAATTAAATGTGGATTGAAATTTAATATTTCTTTATAACAATTTTGGTATTCTGTGTATGGGGTTAAATTATTTGGGGATGACTAGTACAAATTAGAAGGATTTTTTTGTCAAATTTCAAAATTTTTTAAAAATTTTATCATACTTTTAGTCTGAATCCAAACACTGAATGTTTGCTCCATGTGTAGCAAATAAAACTCTTCTTCCTTAGCAAAGAAGAGGCACAGTCAGATTCCAGGGAGCTGGTGCCATTGTGTTGGTGCCATCATCCTGGCTATCTCCAGCTAGCTCATGGAACAAGAGGCTTTAGACAGACTCATACTGCACCTTCAGTATGAACCGTTTCTAGGAACACTGAGTCAAATACAGGTTTCAGCTGATAGAGATACATGCTGCACAAGTGATTCTTGTCCTTTACAACTGAACCATAATCTGCTTATGAGGGCTTTTGAAGTGTTTTCTTTTTAAATGGGTTTTGGCCATGTGTTTTCAAACAGCTTGACTTCTTAAAGACATTAAAACAACAAAAAAGGATTCTTTATTCAAGAGAAGACCTTTCAAAATAATGTGTCTAGTCTTCTGAGAATTTTTTATACAAAGACTTATTTTCCCAAACCATTTTCAAGGATCGACTATAATGTCATTCATAATATATCACTGAAGAAGAAGAAAGTTGGGGAAATTCTTACCTGTTTTCATCTTTGTTTTTAAAAATGTAGCCAGCTTGAGAGAAGAATTACTGTTTTACATGTTTATAGAAATCTTGATGAAACTTTTAACACTGTCCTTTATTTTAAATGACTTTAGGTACCAACTGCCAGCATTTCTGTGGAGGGTAATCCTGCTCTTAATCGTGTGAGATGGACCCATTCTGGCAGAGAGATTGCTGTGGGTGATTCTGAAGGACAGATTGTTATATACGATGTGGGAGAGGTATGGGACTCCCTGCCTGTAATTTTGACACATCGATTTAGTTGCATTGTAGTAAAGGCATCTTTGTGGCTAACCCTAGGCTTTGAGGTTTATGAGTTGTTTAAACTATATGGTTGTAAAGATAAAACTTACTTTCTACCACAGAAGCAGCTCTTGAAACATTTTCTTTCTAAACCGAATGTTCTGTTTCCCATGCAACAGATTTTGAGGGTAATACAATAAATACATTGAAAATACCTTGTTTCTTGAAGCATGCATTGCTGGAAATTAGAAATTCTTTGGGGAGAAGTTTGGAGTTATAGGTGGACTTTGGGGTTTTATTGATATTGAAATAAGATTTATTTTTCTGTATTCATTAATTTGGGCCAGGTAGTAGAAACCAAAAGTAGTATCTTTTGAGAACCATCTGTGACTTTATGCAATGTGCATCTTGACTCTTAAGCCTTGATGCAAAGCCACAGTAATGGAATCCAATAGGATGAGCTGCAGCTCTCTCATCTTTGCTGCTCTGATTGGCTGAACACAAAGCCCAGGATGGATTTCCTCTTTTTTAACCCTGGCTAGGGGTTAAAAAAGTGACCTTAGTCACTTTCCTTTGCTATGCCTCATGATTTCTCTCCTCTCTGGATATCCCATGGCCTCTAGCAATTGGATCTGGTGGGAGGTAGATTTAATCATTTACAGCAGCCAATTAAACTATCTGCACAAATGGAAATGTTCTGTACCTGCACTAATATGGTAGCTTCTAGCCACATATGGCTATTGAACACTCTAAGTGTTGCTACTACAACTGCGTAACTGAATTTTTAATTTTAATTAATTTTAATATACACAGTCACATGTGGCCAGTAGCTACCCTACTGGATAGTGTAGATTTATAAACAGGCACAGCCATTTGCCACAGTGAGTGGTTTGTGCCCTAACATGACAGTGTCAGACTCCTATGATATTATAATGGCAGTTATCAAAAATATTTGTTATTGGGGCCGGGCGCAGTGGCTCACACCTGTAATCCCAGCACTTTGGGAGGATGAGGCGGGTGGATCACCTGAGGTCAGGAGTTCGAGACCAGCCTGGCCAACATGGCAAAACCCCATCTCTACTGAAAATACAAAAATTAGCCAGGCATGGTGGCACATACCTGTAATCCCAGCTACTGGGGAGGCTGAGGCAGGAGAATCACTTGAACCTGGGAGGCAGAGGTTACAGTGAGCCAAGATAGTGCCACTGCACTCCAGCCTGGGCAACAGAGTGGGACTGTCTCAAAAAAAAAAAAAAATTATATATATATATATATATATATATGTTATTGGGCTGCCTCTGAAGTAAAGCATCACAAGGCTCTTTTGCCACCAGTGCAGCACTAAAGTGGTAAATAGTAGCACAGCTTTTGATGAAGGAGTTAAGGTATCAAGAAAGATTACCTTATGTTCCAAAGAAAAATACTTACAAGAAACGAGCCCCCTTATGAACCATGCTTCAAACACTGTTTCTTACTAGGAATTTTGCAAGAATACAGTAAAAAAAAAATTTTAAGGAATTCCTCTCCAGCAAAATCCATGAGATGGTGCATAGGAGTTATATTTACAAAGCATCATTGTTATTCTCTCTTGCATTGGTGGTGATAATAGCCAAGTCATTTCTGAGGCTGTCACAACACACTTCACAAACACCGTCTTTTGTTTTGAAATGTTGTAAATCATTGTTATAGTCCCCGTAATTATGGAAAGGCCATTCAGGTCAATTATTACTTTTTAACAGAAAAATTATTTGAAAACAAACTGAATAATAGTGGGTAAAATGATCTTTTATTTCATTGTATATAAAACATTGTCTTTCTTTTAACAGCAGATTGCTGTTCCCCGCAATGATGAATGGGCACGGTTTGGCCGAACACTTGCAGAAATTAATGCAAACCGAGCTGATGCAGAGGAGGAAGCAGCTACCCGAATACCTGCTTAGTTCCTGAAAAGGGGAGTGTAACTAGTGGATTTGGGAAAGGTTCTTAAGTAGATCCTGAGACTATTTGCATGCTTCTGTCTAAATGATAATTAAAAGGAAATTTCATGGATTAAACCATGGGTTTAATGCAGCAAGGAAACTTACAATGTCCCTTTATATATAACATGCATCTTGTTTTGGATTTGTGTCATTTTTTAATATAGCTGATTGACTTCACAGAAAGCAGCTTTTTTGAATTCTAATACATAGGTGTATATTTGGTATTAGTTATTTTGAGTTCTTTTCAACTTATAACACTGTATACAGTTATTTCTAAAGCACAGATGAAATAAGTTCTGCATATTTTTAAATAATCACAGTTCCCTGTTATACAGATAATGTTCTCACTACCCATAATATGTAGGAACATTGTTTCTCCTTAGCCGTAGTATGCATACACCTATCCATGTTCATTCTGACATCCTTTGTTGTCTTTATAATTCATGTGGTAGTTACCTATAAATAAAAACAAATATGCGTTAACTTTTCAAATTTTCATTTTTACTCCTTACAACTTGAATTTTTCCATCTTTTATAAAATATATTTTTTCCATATCTTTCTTTAAGCTCCTGCTGTGAGCAGCCATCTCAAATCCTATAGAGCTGTGTACCCTAAATATACCATGTGGTATATACTATAGATCTCCCAGTGCATTATGAATTGATGTCTAGATAATCTGTTGGTGAAAAAATTTCCCCTAGGTTAACTTTTGCTTTACTACTTTATATTCTTTCCATCTAAGACATATTTCCTTTAAAGGATAAATAGAAAGCTGCCTATAATTTTCACTGATTAAGAACTATGTATGTGACCTCACTGAGAGTAAAATCTTTGAGAGAAATTGATTTCATGATTTCAGTAGCCATAAAGGCAAAGTGCTCAAATGGACCCATACTTTGGCATTAAAATCTACATCTTGAGATCTGTTGCCACAGCATTGTCTACAAGTCCGAAAGGTAGGTGACAAATATCTAAGAATCAGTATTGAAATCAGTGAATTTCAGGAATAGAGGAAAGGACTATGATCAGATCTTGATTTTATCTACTTTAAATTGTCTATTTATTTGATCCCAACCTTTTGTACTTCTGAAGTGTAACTGTCTTTTATTCAACAGAACATGAACTAGGAAGAGAGATTAGAAAACAGAATGTGAACATTTTTCTTTTAATAATTGTAACAAAGATTTGTTGGGAGAGAAATTTCCAAATAATGAGTAGTGTATAGTGTAAGGAATAATTGACCTGGAATTATTGGCCCCAAACTCTGATTCTTGCTGAAGCATCTATGAGAAGTGTGATTTTAGCCAAGTCTGTGCCGCATTCTTTATATGTAGGAATTAAGTTTTGATTTAATGATTTCTGAATTTTCTTTCAGCTCTACTCAATTAAGGGGTATCAGTATGTGAAATGGAATATAGAAAAGTAGGCAATTCTTTACTTTTCTATATTCAGTTTCATAAATTAATACCCCATAATTGCCCATTATATACCAAAGACAATATCTCAAGTTATCTCATTGTAGCAGTGTCTGTGAGTCAAAACTTCAATTTTAGTAGAGTCACACTTTCTTTATATAGAAAAATTCATGTACTCACTACTCATGTAGTTACTGTATCTTTACCTTCAGTTTGTAAAAATGACTAAAAGTAGGGAAAACAAGTGTTAAAACATAATGGATAAGAAAAGGTTGGAAATCATATGGCAAATCACATGTTCCTCAGCCTCAAGGTGTGTTTAGTTGTGAAAGAAAGAATAAAATTGTTTAAATATTTCACTTTTTGGGAATGACTTCTCCCCTACTCCCCCAGAAAATGCGATGTATACCTTTGCCCATTCAACTTTAGTCCATATTTTTAGGAACACACAAATTTACTTTAAGGAATTACCTTTAAAGTTGACTATATAATAGCAAAAGAGAAAGTATTGAGACTGTCAGTGTTGATAAAGCTTCTAGCAAGATTAGGTTGACTAGAAGTGCATCACAGTTCTTTATACTTTTAGAACTAAAAGCCTTATAATTTTGAAAAATATCCAGTTACAGAAATTGTACCTTATCAGTTATACTTTTTTTCTGAGTAAGAAAACAAGCTATAGCTTTCTGGTTAATTTCTTATTTTTCGTTGTTTGGTTTTTGTCTTTTTGAGTGGAACGTTAAAGTTTATTACCTTCATGTTAAGGAATATCCAGCTTCACAGACAATTAACTTGCAATAAATCTCTGAAATAATCATTTTTTGGTATTATTTAAACCAAATATGCATTGGTAGAAGCTTTCTTCCTGTTTACAGATCCAGCTCCCTATAAAGTTTAGAAAATCTCTTTGTATAAAATGTTGTTACAATAATGCTGAAATACTGCATCTCAAAGGAATGGATGACTTAAAATTTAGTGGGAGGAACTATAGGAAAGTCGTTTTAGGAATGATTGGTCCTAGTCTTTCAGTGTTGTTAAAATGTTTTAGTCTGTTCTGTACTAGTGTGGATAGACTAATATCCACCCCTTGAACCATACAGAAAGACTTGAATGGATGAGTGAAAATCTGCTGTGAAGCATATCATACTATCTTTGCTTTATATTGAGTAGTGCATTACTTTTAAGTCAGAAAGCCAGTAGGTTTTTTTGTTTGTTTGTTTTTCCCTAAAGCGCTGCCATAAATTTCAGTGGTCACCTGCCACTCACTGGGCGGTGTATTTTTAAATGTCTTTTCCACAACCCCAGTATTTCAACATTGACATTCTAATAGTTTTCTAAATGAGAAAGCTGTATAATTAAATGTATGCTAAAGAGAATGGAGCTCCAAATGCAGCTCCAGATGCTGCTTATCATCTAGGATGCTGGTGTCATGTCTTAGTCTTCAGGATAAGCCAAGGTTAAAAAGCCAACAGCTTTACTTCTTGATGACTTAGTAATGGGGTTCCCATTGAGTTTTGTTTTTAATCCAAGCTACACAGCAACAAGAAAGGAGATCTTGCTTTCCTTAGGCTACCATCTTGCTGATTGCTAGCCCAGCAGTCCCCAACCTTTTTGGCACCAGCCATCATCTGTTTGTTTCATGGCAGACAATTTTTCCACGGACCAGGGAGGTTGGGGAGATGGTTTCAGGATCAAACTGTTCCACCTCAGATCATCATCAGACATTATTAGATTCTCATAAGGAAGGAGCACACACAACCTAGATCCCTCACATGTGCAGTTCACATTATTAGGGTTTGCGCTCCTCTGAGAATCTAATACCGTCACTTGCTGATCTGACAGGACGGGGAGCTCAGGTGGTATTGCTCATTCGCCTGCCCGCCCGCCTGCCTGCCGCTCACCTTCTGTTATACAGCCTGCCATGGACCACTACTGGTTCTGGTTTGCGGCCCAGGGGTTGGGGCCCCCTGTGCTAGGCAACTTAGAGACCTTACAGGTTTGAGGAAAAGTCACTCCCAACTAGGAACTTATCATTTACTAATTAAAAATTATTGATGCTGTGAAATTATTTACTTAGAGATCTGGCTTACAAATCTAGGGGTTCCTAATGCTGTCAGAGAATTAGAAATTGCCCCAAAGGCAGTATTAAGAGAACAGCCATTTTCAGTATTTCTTTTGAAGGGGAAGATTACAATTAGGAACCTTCTTTTAACCAGTTTTTTCAAAAGTTTTACAGCCCCCAAATGGTAGTAATTTGCTTGTATTGTATTATATTTTGTAAATCCTTTTTCATAAATAGGAAACATGTTATGGAGTCCATCTTAGAGAAAAATCCTACACTGATAACCAGAATACCAACTATAAAACTTGGAATCCATCACACTGGAATGCTTTTCACAATAGGCCAGTTCTCTCATTCCTTTTGTTGGACTTTAGGTATTTAGATTGTCTTTCTGCCTGCCATGTTCACAATTCCCAAACTTCTAAAAGTTCAAATGGATAGCAGGAATTTAAGTTTTCAGTATGTAGCTTTTAGCCACTGATAGTTTCCACATAGCCAATCAGCAGTCTTTTACAAACTTTTATAAAATTATGGTATTTTGTGTTGTTAGTTTCATAGCAGGAATCCCAGTTTTGGCTTCTTAATATTCCATTACCAGTTCCCAGTCAGAGGATGGAACAGCTTGCACTCAGGTAAGCTTTCTGAAAGGTCTGTTTCACTTTGTGAGGTCGCTTATTCAGGTCTCTGGTAATGTATTATCTTGCCTCTCTTATAATGTACTTGATTTGGTCAGAAAGCTGTGGGGCGGTGATTGTATGGATGTAGAACACACCTGCGTTGGGCCGAACATGCAGAGATCTGACACTGTGACTCCTGAAATCAGGTATACCAGTGGTAAGACTTTGATAGCAAGTAATTTTATCTTTTGTGAATTTTTTTACTAGATTTTTTTTTTTCCTGAACAAGGTAATGGAAATGCATTGAAACAAAATTTCTTATATTTAAGAGTGGCTTGGTATATGAGGGAAACAACACTGGGTACAAAAGACCCAAGTTCTATTCCTGATTTCCCCCATTTCTAGTAGTGTAACCTAGGACAAGGTTAAGTATTATCATCTTTTAAATGAGGAAAATATTTGCTTTCTGTGACAATTATGTGAGAAAATGTATATGTGAAGACCTTTGTAAATTATATTACAAAGTACTATACAAATAAGGGATTTTATTTTTCATTTTCTTGTTAAGAATACAAGAAGGGAGAGAGACCATCTGTGTACGCCTCTGTGCAATGTAATGAGCTCAGGATAAAGGGGGTTGGTGTTCAAGAAATTATTATTTTTTAATTCTAGGAAATCACATAACTTAAACCCTCAGCAGAATCCTCAAGTGTTCAGGAGTAGCAGTGAACTGAGAAAAATACCAATTGCTTTTCATCAGTGATACTTTTTCTAGGAACGTTTTATTACATTCTATGATAAAGTTACAGATTATGTTTAGTAGAAAAAAAAATGACCCACTCTGAATTTCCATCCTAGACTCAGCTGTTCCTCTTCTGTTATATACAGAACATCGACTGTGGTATCTGGAGCCTTTGAAAAGTGCAAGTGGAACTCCTTTTTTGAATCAATGAGAGAACAAACTTGGTTCAAGACTATACAGTTACATAGTGGCAGAACCGGAATCAGTCACTTCTATACAAATCTAGGAACAACAGCTATTCAGCTGTTATGCTCTTTACATAGTACTTCTCCCTTCCCTAGGGTTAGTCCTCTCGGAAATAATGTGTGCTCATGTGAGAAGATGATCACTAAAAGGAAGACCTTTGTTCCTTAAGGAACTGTGTATTGGCTGTCAGGCTTACAGGACACCTTGAGATCAGTCCTGCAGAAATAGCTCTTATCTGCTTCATATCTGGCTTGGCAGAGCCCTGCTCTCTTACTATATCCAAAATATGATTTCCAGAAATAAGTCAAAACCTGATTTAATAAATACCCACTGAGGAAGAAACTTGGTAAAATGACTAGGCCCTTATTAATGGGCCTCATTTCTAATAATGTTTGATATAGTCATGATTTGTCAGTACACTAAGGGTTCTTAAGATGGATTTGAAGGAAACTTCATTTTCTAGAGGTAAAAGAAATGATGAGCCTTACTCTTCCTCAAACTCAGGAGTAACTTAAGTAGTATTTGTATCAAGAAAAAATTTTTATTTTGTGCTAAAAGTCCAATAAGGAATAATACAGTGTAATACAAAAAAGACTGCCCCTGAGTTGCCTGCTCCTCATCTTACACAAATTCTTCACCTCTCTAGACCTTCCCCCTCTTTGCTGTAAAATGAGTGCTGCAGTATCAGTGTTACCAGGGAATAACTGGAATAATACATTCATGTAGATCACATGCCCCAAAATGCTAAATGAATGTCAAGAAGATGTGCTTTAATTGGAATTGTATCAACTGAGAGGAAATAATCGACTCCAAATGTTAATATTTAGTTGGTAGATTAGCCCTTTCAAACATGGTAGTCCTGAAATTTATATTTCCAGTTCTAAGAGCCTTGAATGTTAAGAGTCAACTTGTGTTGATACTCAGTTAACCATGTCTTTGGGCAAATGTTTTCACCTCTCTAAGCCTATTCCTTCATCTACCACTTCTCAGAGAAGTTTGAGAATTAAACCCAGAATATATGTGAAAATGCATGCTAATCTATGAAGCACCATACAGGTATGAAGCATTGGTATTATGGAAGGTGATAAGTAAATAACCTTCAACAGGTTCAGTATCTGATCTTCAGTAGCTCCTGTAAGCTTTTCAGGCTCTATCTCCTGGCTGTTAGAGGTTAAAAACAGGCTCCTAGAAATTCAGATATCTCTGCTGACACAGCTGCTTTACCACACAAAGCCTTCCTGACCGGTTAGGATTCACTTATAATCTTTATCTTAGCTTTTTTATTCTGCTTCTGAAAGAGAGCGCTAAATCAGTATAAGTTTCAAAAAAAAAAAATAGAGATGGGAGTGATATGAGAACCTACTCAAAGGTCTTTCACCATTACTTTATACTTAGTGGAAATGTACAGCTGTTTCTAAAGTTACCATTTCCTCTGCCTTACAAAGAACTGGCCTGTGTACATTCTGACCATGTAGTAGTAATAACTGCTACTATTTACTGAGCATTTACTAAATGATATATATATACACACACAGATGTGGGAAATATTGCTAATTTACAAAAGAGGAAACTGGTTTGTAGCCAATTTGCATGATGTAAATGTTCCCACCATGGCCAATTGCAAACAACAAATGTAGTATCAATGAAAATGGAATTGGGAAGATACACACATAATGGGCTGTCATTGGGCTGGTACAAGCCAGGTCCAGCATATCCCTGGGACTAGGGACATTAAGTGAGTCATAGTTTAGGAACTAAACACAGAAAGTCTTGATTTTAGACTTGTGTACTTAACCAAGTTGCTGCACTACTTTTATGATAGTTTTCAGCTCAAATAAGCCTACATATAATACTACATATTTAAAAGACCACAGAGCAACTCTTTGTGAGAGAGAGGAACTAGGATTACTCTTCTGGCTTCTAGAAAGTGATTCTACAACTTAAAAAAAAAAAAACTTTTAAGTTCTGGGGTACATGTGCAGAACATGCAGGTTTGTTACATAGGTATACACGTGCCATGGTGGTTTGTGGTATCCATCAACCCATCATCTAGGTATTTCTCCTAATGCTATCCCTCCCCTAACCCCCCACCCCCGACAGGCCCCAGTGTGTGATGTGTCCATGTGTTCTCACTGTTCAGTTCCCACTTAGGAGTGAGAACATGCAGTGTTTGGTTTTCTGTTCTTGTGTTAGTTTGCTGAGAATGATGGTTTCCAACTTCACCCATGTCCCTGCAAAGGACATGAACTCATCTTTTTACTTATTTATTTATTTAGAGATGGAGTCTTGCTCTGTTGCCCAGGCTGGAGTGCAGTGGCACAATCTTGGCTCACTGCAAGCTCCGCCTTCTGGGTTCACACCATTCTCCTGCCTCAGCCTCCTGAGTAGCTGGGACTACAGGCACCTGCCACCACGCCCAGCTAATTTTTTTGTATTTTTTAGTAGAGACGGGGTTTCACCATGGTAGCCAGGATGGTCTCGATCTCCTGACCTTGTGATCTGCCTGCCTCAGCTTCCCAAAGTGCTGGGATTACAGGCGTGAGCCACCACACCTGGCTGAACTCATCCTTTTTTATGGCTGCATAGTATTCCATGGTGTATATGTACCACATTTTCTTTATGCAGTCTATCACTGATGGGCATTTGGGTTGGTTCCAAGTCTTTGCTATTGTGAATAGTGCCACAATAAACATACACATGCGTGTGTCTTTATAGTAGAATGATTTATAATCCTTTGGGTATATACTCAGTAATGGGATTGCTGGGTCAAATGGTATTTTTAGTTCTAGATTCTTGAGGAATCGCCACACTGTCTTCCACAATGGTTGAACTAATTTACACTCCCACCAACAAACAGTGTAAAAGCATTCCTATTTCTTCACATCCTCTCCAGCATCTGTTGTTTACTGACTTTTTAATGATCGCCATTCTAATTGGCGTGAGATGGTATCTCATTGTGGTTTTGATTTGTATTTCTCTAATGACCAGTGATGAGCTTTTTTTCACATGTTTGCTGGCTGCATCAGTGTCTTCTTTTGAGAAGTGTCTGTTCATAACATTTGCCCACTTTTTGATGAGGTTTGTTTTTTTGTTTAAGTTCTTCGTAGATTCTGGATATTAGCCCCTTGTCAGATGGATAGATTGCAAAAATTTTCTCCCATTCTGTAGGTTGCCTGTTCACTTGCATGACAGTTTCTTTTGCTTTGCAGAAGCTCTGTAGTTTAATTAGATCCCATTTGTCAATTTTGGCTTTTGTTGCCATTGCTTTTGGTGTTTCAGTCATGAAGTCTTTGCTCATGCCTCTGTCTAGAATAGTATTGCCTAGGTTTTCTTCTACGGTTTTTATGGTTTTAGGTCTTATGTTTAAGTCTTTCATCCATCTTGAGTTAATTTTTGTATAAGGTGTAAGGAAGGGGTCCAGTTTCAGTTTTCTGCATATGGTTAGCCAGTTTTCCCAGCACCATTTATGAAACAGGGAATCCTTTCCCTGTTGCTTGTTTCTGTCAGGTTTGTCAAAGATCAGATGATTGTAGATGTGTGGTGTTATTTCTGAAGGCTCTGATCTGTTCATTGATATATATATATATATATCTTTTTTGGTACCAGTACCATGCCATGTGGTTACTGCAGCCTTGTAGTATAGTTTGAAGTCAGATAGTGTGATGCCGCCAACTTTGTTCTTTTTGCTTAGGATTGTCTTGGCTATGCAGGCTCTTTTTTGGTTCCATATAAAATTTAAAGTCGTTTTTTCTAATTCTGTGAAGAAAGTCAATGGTAGCTTGATGGAGATAGCATTGAATCTATAAATTACTTTGGGCAGTATGGCCATTTTCATGATACTGATTCTTCCTATCCATGAGCATGGAATGTTTTTCCATTTGTTTGTGTCTTTTCTTATTTCCTTGAGCAGTGATTTGTAGTTCTCCTTGAAGAGGTCATTCACATCTCTTGTAAGTTGTATTCCTAGGTATTTAATTATCTTTGTAGCAGTTGTGAATGGGAGTTCACTCATGATTTGGCTCTCTGTTATTGGTGTATACAAATGGTTGTGATTTTTGCACATTGATTTTGTATCCTGAGACTTTGCTGGAGTTGCTTATCAGCTTAAGGAGATTTTAGGCTGAGATGGGGTTTTCTAAATATACAATCATGTCATCTGCAAACAGAGACAGTTCTTCCTCTTTTCCTGTCTGAATACCCTTTATTTCTTTCTCTTGCCTGATTGCCCTGGCCACAACTTCCAACACTATGTTGAATAGGAGTGGCGAGAGAGGGCATCCTTGTCTTGTGCCGGTTTTTAAAGGGAATGCTTCCAGTTTTTGCCCATTCAGTATGATATTGGCTGTGGGTTTGTCATAAATAGCTCTTATTTTTAGATACATTTCATCAATACCTAGTTTATTGAGAGTTTTTAGCATGAAGGGTATTGAATTTTGTCAAAGGCCTTTTCTGCATCTATTGAGATAATCATGTGGTTTTTGTTTTGGTTCTGTTTATGTGATGGATTATGTTTATTGATTTGCTTATGCTGAACCAGCCTTGCATCCCAGGGATGAAGCCAACTTGATTGTGGTGGATAAGCTTTTTGATGTGCTGCTGGATTCAGTTTGCCAGTATTTTATTGAGGATTTTCACATCGATGTTCATCAGGGATATTGGCCTGAAATTTTCTTTTTTTGTTGTTGTGTGTCTGCCAGGTTTTGGTATCAGGATGATGCTGGCCTCATAAAATGAGTTAAGGAGGATTCCCTCTTTTTCTATTATTTGGAATAGTTTCAGAAGGAATGGTATCAGCTCCTCTTTGTACCTCTGGTAGAATTCGGCTGTGAATCTGTCTGATCCTGGACGTTTTTTGGTCGGTAGACTATTACTGCCTTCATTTCAGAACTTGTTATTGGTCTATTCAGGGATTCACCTTCTTCCTGGTTTAGACTTGGGAGGGTGTATGTGTCCAGGAATTCAGCCATTTCTTCTAGATTTTCTAGTTTATTTGCATAGAGGTATTTATAGTATTCTCTGATGGTAGTTTGTATTTCTGTGGGATCAGTGGCAGTATCCCCTTTGTCATTTCTCATTGCGTCTATTTGATTCGTCTCTCTTTTCTTTATTAGTCTAGCTAGCAGTCTATGTATTTTGTTGATCTTTTCCAAAAAAATAGCTCCTGGATTCCTTGATTTTTTTGAAGGGCTTTTTGTGTCTCTATCTCCTTCAGTTCTGCTCTGATCTTAGTTATTTCTTGTCTTCTGCTAGCTTTTGAATTTGTTTGCTCTTGTTTCTCTGGTTCTTTTAATTGTGATGTTAGAGTGTCGATTTTAGATCTTTCCTGCTTTCTCTTGTGGGCATTTAGTGCTATAAATTTTCCTCTACACACTGCTTTCAATGTGTCCCAGAGATTTTGGTACGTTGTGTCTTTGTTCTCATTGGTTTCAAAGACCTTATTTCTGCCTTCATTTCGTTACCCAGTAGTCATTCAGGAGCAGGTTGTTCAGTTTCCATGTAGTTATGCAGTTTTGAGTGAGTTTCTTAATCCTGATTTCTAATTTGATTGCATGGTGGTCTGAGAGACTGTTTGTTATGATTTCCATTCTTGTGCATTTGCTGAGGAGTGTTTTACTTCCAATTATGTGGTCAGTTTTAGAATAAGTGTGATGTGCTGAGAAGAATGTGTATTCTGTTAATTTGGGGTGGAGAGTTCAGTAGATGTTATTAGGTCCGTTTGGTCCAGAGCTGAGTTCAAGTACTGAATATCCTTGTTAATTTTTTGTCTCGTTGATCTAATATTGACAGTGGGGTGTTAAAGTCTCCCACTATTATTATGTGGGAGTCTAAGTCACTTTGTAAGTCTCTAAGAACTTCCTTTATGAATCTGGGTGCTCCTGTATTGGGTGCATATATATTTAGGATAGTTAGCTCTTCTTGTTGCATTGATTCCTTTACCATTATGTAATACCCATCTTTGTCTCTTTTGATCTTTGTTGGTTTAAAGTCTGTTTTATCAGAGACTAGGATTGCAACTCCTGCTTTTTTTTGCTTTCCATTTGCTTGGTAAATATTTCTCCATCCCTTTATTTTGAGCCTGTGTCTTTGTACTTGAGATGGGTCTCCTGAATACAGCACACTGATGGGTCTTGACTCTTTATCCAATTTGCCAGTCTGTGTCTTTTTTTTTTTTTTTTTTGAGACAGAGTCTTGCTCTGTTGCCCAGGATGGAGTCTAGTGGCACGATCTTGGCTCACCACAACCTCCGCCTCCCGGGTTCAAGCGATTCTCCTGCCTCAGCCTCCTGAGTAGCTGGGATTACAGGCCTGCACTACCATGCCTGGCTAATTACTGTATTTTTAGTAGAGACGGAGTTTCACCATGTTGGTCAGGCTGGTCTCAAACTCCTGACCTCGTGATCCACCCTCCTCGGCCTCTCAAAGTGCTGGGATTATAGGTGTGAGCCACCATGCATGGCCAGTCTGTGTCTTTTAATTGGGGCATTTAGCCCATTTACACTTAAGGTTAATATTGTTGTGTGTGAATTTGATCCTGTCATTATGATGCTAGCTGGTTATTTTGCCCATTAGTTGATGCAGTTTCTTCATAGTGTTGATGGTCTTTACAATTTGGCATGTTTCTGCAGTGGCTGGTACTGGTTGTTCCTTTCCATGTTTAGTGCTTCCTTCAGGAGCTCTTGTAAGGCAGGCCTGGTGGTGACAAAATCTCTCAGCATTTGCTTGTCTGCAAAAGGATTTTATTTCTCCTTCTCTTATGAAGCTTAGTTTGGCTGGATATGAAATTCTGGGTTGGAAATTCTTTTCTTTAAGAATGTTGAATATTGGCCCCCTCTCTCTTCTGGCTTGCAGGGTTTCTGCAGAGAGATCCACTGTTAGTCTGATGGGCTTCCCTTCGTGGGTAACCCGAACTTTCTCTCTGGCTGCCCTTAACATTTTTTCCTTCATTTCAACCTTGGTGAATCTGACAATTATGTGTCTTGGGGTTGCTCTTCTCGAGGAGTATCTTTGTGGTGTTTTCTGTTATTTCCTGAATTAGAATGTTGGCCTGTCTTGCCAGGTTGGGAAGTTCTCCTGGATAATATCCTGAAGAGTGTTTTCCAACTTGGTTCTGTTCTCCTCATCACTTTCAGGTACATCAATCAAACGTAGATTTTGTCTTTTCACATAGTCCCATATTTCTTGGAGGCTTTGTTCGTTCCTTTTCATTCCTTTTTCACTAATCTTGTCTGCTCGCTTTATTTCATTAAGTAAGTTGATCTTCAGTCGCTGACATCCTTTATTCCACTTGATCGATTCAGCTGTTGATACTTGTGTATGCTTCACAAAGTTCTTGTGCTGTGTTTTTCAGCTCCATCAGATCATTTATGTTCTTCTTTATACTGGTTATTCCAGTTAGCAATTCGTCTAACCTTTTTTCAAGGTTCTTAGCTTCCTTGCATTAGGTTAGAACATGCTTCTTCAGCTTGGAGGAGTTTGTTATTACCCACCTTCTGAAGCCTACTTCTGTCAATTTGTCAAACTCATTCTGCATCCAGTTTTGTTCCCTTGCTGGCGAGGAGTTGTGATCCTTTGGAGGAGAAGAGACATTCTGTTTTTTGGAATTTTCACTTGTTTTGCGCTGGTTTCTCCCCATCTTTGTGGATTTATCTACCTTTGGTCTTTGATGTCGGTGACCTCCGGATGGGATCTCTGAGTGGACGTCCTTTTTGTTGATGTTGATGCTAGTTCTTTCTGTTTGCTAGTTTTCCTTCTAACAGACCTCTCTGCTGCAGGTCTGCTAGAGTTTCCTAGAGGTCCACTCCAGACCCTGTTTGCCTGGGTATTACCCAGGCTGCAGGACAGCAAAGATTCCTGCCTGTTCCTTCTTCTGGAAGCTTCGTCCCAGAGGGGCACTCACCAGATGCCAGCCAGAGCTCTCCCATATGAGGTGTCTGTCAGCTCCTACTGGGAGGTGTCTACCAATCAGGAGACACTGGGGTCAGGAACTCACTTGAGGAGGCAGTTTGACCCTTAGCAGAGCTCGAATGCTGTGCTGTGAGATCCACTGCTCTTTTCAGAGCCATCAGGCAGGGACGTTTAAGTCTGCTGAAGCTGCGCTCACAGCTGCCCCTTCACCTGGGGGAAGGTGACATCTGTCCCAGGGAGATGGTGGTTTTATCTCTAAGCCCCTGACTGGGGATGCTTTTTTTTTTTTTTTTTTTTTTTTTTTTCAGAGATGCCCTGCCCAGAGAGGAGGAATATAGAGAGGCAGTCTGGCCACAGCGGCCTTGCTGAGCTGCAGTATGCTCTGCCCAGTTCGATCTTCCAGGTGGCTTTGTTTACACTTTGAGGGTAAAACTGCCTACTCAAGCCTCAGGAATGGCAGACACCTCTTCCCCCACCAAGCTCGAGCATCCCAGGCTGAGTTCAGACTGCTGTGCTGGCAGCAAGAATTTCAAGCTGGTGAATCTTAGGTTGCTGGGCACTGTGGGGATGGGATCCACCGAGCCAGACCACTTGGCTCCCTGGCTTCAGCCCCCTTTCCAGGGGAGTGAATGGTTCTGTCTTACTGGCATTCCAGGAACCACTGGGGTATGAAAAAAAACTCTTGCAGCTAGCTTGGTGTCTGCCCAAACAGCCGCCCAGTTTTGTGCTTGAAACCCAGGGCCCTGGTGGTGTAGGCACCGGAAGGAATCTCCTGGTCTGCAGGTTGTGAAGACCGTGGGAAAAGTGCAGTACCTGGGCCGGAGTGCACTGTTCCTCACAGTACAGTCCCTAATGGCTTTCCTTGGCTAGGAGAGGGAGTTCCCTGACCCCTTGTGCTTCCTGGGTAAGGCAACGCCCCACCCTGCTTCGGCTCGCCCTTGTGGGCTGCACCCACTGTCCAACCAGTCCCAGTGAGATGAACCAGGTACCTCAGTTGGAAATGCAGAAATCACCCACCTTCTGCATCCATCTCTCTGGGAGCTGTAGACCGGAGCTGTTTCTATTCGGCCATCTTGCCAGCAATTGATTCTAGAACTTTTTACTCCTCTTCTCGTTAGCTCAAACTACTGGAAGAAACTGGTTAGATATGGAATATGTTTCCACTGGCTGAAAAAAATGGTAGTAGCTATAAGTGGCTTACCTAAAACTCAGCAGGACTACTTTATGACATCACCGTTTGCAGGTATGCTGCCTGGACCCACTTAGGAATCACTCTTTCTCCTTCCTAGGACCTCCCCTAAAATTTGCAGGCCCTGAAGCAATAGATAGGTCAAGATATTTCGGTGTTATAAATCAAGCTTAAAAGCTACTAAATTTTATGCACAACATGCAAGTCCACCTTGAATTTTCACACTTCTCAGAATTCCATGCCCAAAGATGGCAGCCAGGGGAGAACCAGCCTGCAGCACATTGCCTTCCTTCTCTTCCACCCGCTCCTTCAGTATTCTGAAGGGCTTCACAGGAACACTTGTGTATTCTTCAGCCTACATGCCTAAGTAAGTAAGTTTTTCCACAGCCTTGCAAATAGCTGCCCCTTGGACACCTTTTCAACCAGGGTAGGTTTGGGCAAAAGATAGATAGGCCTTGTGAAAGCCCTGGAAGCTGAGCAGTTTAGGCAGGAAAATCAGGGTTTCAGGTACCTTGAACGTGGTCGAGAAGAGAATGAAGTGAGTTCCAGGTAGGCATAACCCACTGGCCCAGCAGACTTTTTGCCCCCTGGGAAAGAACACAACTACAGGAGGGCCTCTAAAATGAGGCACCCGAGGGCAGTGCTGGGCCTGTCTTTTCTCCTAAAGTCAACTGGGTCACTTTTTAAAAGATAATTCTGTTGTCCCTAATATGTTATTTTTTCAATGCAAATATAATTATCACTGAATACTATTTCATGACTCCTAGAGTATTCACTGCTAGGAACTGGTGTTTAGTATTAACAGATTCATCACAAAATGTTGTGTGTTAGGAAGAAGGGAAAAGGGCTGATATTTTAATAAAACCTTGTAAATATGTTCTGTGAGTTACTAGTTGCACAGCACATTTTGTAACTATAGGATCATCCCAGGAGTCTCAACAAGAGAAAGACAAAGAGTTTTTGTTCTGTTTGCTTTAAGTGCTGTTTGTTAGTGAGATTGGATCAAGATGGCAAACAGAAGTATCTGCTCTCCCTCTCAACTCTAAATTCCATAAAGTGCTGTAATTAATAAAACAGAAGAAAAATAAGAAATCTGCTATAGCACTGAAAGATGAGAGGGCTAGCAATGGAATAGAAATTTGGAAGAATGCCAGAAACATCAAAAGCAGGTAGGATCAGTTATAGGCAAACAAAATGATAGGGAATCATAATTCAAAACAGGCAAGACTACTATAAAAGGAGGCATGGGTTGGAACCCAGAGTCAACAGATGCAAAAAGCAGGAGGGTTCCCTGGGGTACTGGACAGGGTGACTCATTAGGGAGCTGATTGATTCAGAATAGCTACGCAAGTTCCCTTCCCCAACCACAAGCTGAGTGGTGGACAAAAGCAGTGTCTCTGGCCAGCCTATAACAACTGAGTGATGCCACCGAAGCTGGGAAAGCAGGGCAGTGCCCCCAGACACTTGCTGACCCGCAAGAGGAGAACAGAAGCCCATACCCTAGTTCCCCCTTATCCATGGTTTTGCTTTCCACAGTTTGTTACCCATGGTCAACACAGTCTTAATATATTACATGGAAAGTTCCAGAAATAATTCATGAGTTTTACATTGCAGGTAGATTCTGAGTACTGGGATGAAATCTTGTACCATCTGCTCTGTCCTTCCCAGGATGTGAATCATCCCTTTGTCCAGTGTATCCACACTGTCTACGCTGCCTGCCTGTTAGTCAATCAGTAGCTGTCCTCGTTAATCAGATCAACTGTCACAGTATCTCAGTGTTTGCATTCAAGCAACTCCTATTTAACTTAATAATGACCTCAAAATGCCAGTAGTGATTCTGGCAATTCCGATGTGCCAAAAAACTGTAAATTGCTTCCTTTAAGTGAAAATGTAAAAGTTCTTGACAATAATTATTTTAATTGTATGCTGAGGTTGCTAAGATCTAAAATATGGCTTAGATCTAAGGTATGAACAAATCTTCCATCCGTGAAATTGTGAAGAAGGAAAGATAAATTCGTGTTAGTTTTGCTGTGCACCTTAAACTTCGGAAGTTACCCCAGAGTGCAGGTAGGCACTTAGTTAAGGTGTAAAGAGCATTAAACTTGTGGATGGCAGACGTGAATGGAAACGTGTTCCAACTGACAGCCACTGGGTTTGGTACTATTCATGGTTTCAGGTATCCACTGGGGGTCTTGGAATATACTCCCTGCAGATAAGGAGGACTACTGTACCCAGAGCCAAAATACTGGCATATCCTCAACATAGCACAGCCCACTACTCTCATCACAGGCTATGATAACAGATACGGCATCCATAAAAAGAGGCTCTCAAATACAAAAATGAGCAACTAAATAACTTAAAATTATAACTGTGAATCACTAAAATATTTGAAGAAAGTCAGTAACACGAAAGGCCCTGAACAAACCGTTTTAAAAAGTCAAAATAACAGCATATTAAAGAAGACATCAAATAAGTGTATTTAACATCCCAAGAGTATAGAGTATGGTATCATAGCCATAAAATAAGTATAGGTTATTATAAAAGAACCAATCCAATCTTAGATATTGCAATTATGGTTGTTAAAGTTGTTTTAAAAGCTAAATAGAGGGATACAGCTGAAGAGTAAAGCTGTCAGAATAATCACAAGGTGTCTCTCATTCAACCAAAAAGTACTAACAGAGAAAGTATCAAGGAAAGCTCAATGATACAGGGATATGTCCCAAAATTCCAGTATCTAAATAGGAGATAAAAGATGGGACATAGGGAGAAAAATATAGACTAGAATAGCTTTCTTTGGTTTGAAAAGGCACAAGTTTAGGACTATAAAACGATCTTTCCCTTTTAAATAAGAATCATTGACCAAAAGTGTCAGAATATCTCAACAGGAGTGATTGTAGGTGTATTTTTACCATAGTGCACTAAAATGTACATTTTTAAATGCAAGGCTTGCCGAAAAGAAAGTTTTCAAATCCCCTTCTAAATAACTCAGGGCAAAAGGAAATTTAAAAATTAAATAATTTAGTAATTAATACAGAATTAGGGCTCCGTGGAGAAATTACTAATATCTGGTCTTGGCAAGAAATAAAAGGAAGAGTTTGGAGCATCTTGTCATACTGGAAAGCTAGGAAGCTATCAAAGATTCCTGAGGGCCAAACACAGTGGCTCATGTCTAATCCCTGTGCTTTGGGAGGCCAAGGCAGGAGGACTGCTTGAGCTCAGGAGTTTGAAACCAACCTGAGCAATATATTAGGTTGGTGCAAAAGTAACTGTGGAAACTGCAACCTAAAAGCAAGACCCCTGTCTATACAAAAAATCAAAAAAACAAAAACAAAAAACACAAAAAACCAGCAGGTGCAGTAGCATGTATCCGTAGTCCTAGCTACTCATGAGGCCGCGGTAGGAGGATCACTTGAGCCAAGGAGTTTGAAACCAGCCTAAGCAACATACCAAGACCCCATCTCTTAAAAAAAAAAAAAAAAATCCTGAGGTAATATCGGTAGGACTTAGAAGTTAATTGCAAGAGGCTCCCACTGGCCGAAGATGAGACAACTTGAGTATTAAAAAAAAAAAAGACCAGGCGGCCATGGTGGCTCACACCTGTAATCTCAGCACTTTGGGAGGCTGAGGCGGGCAGATCACCTGAGGTTGGGAATTGGAGACCAGCCTGGCCAACATGGTGAAACCCTGTCTCTACTAAAAATACAAAAATTAGCCTGGCATGGTGGTAGGTGCCTGTAATCCCAGCTACTTGGGAGACTGAGGCACGAGAATCGCTTGAACCTGGGAGGTCGAGGCTGCAGCGAGCTGAGCTCATGCCACTGCACTCCAGCCTGGGTGAGAGAGCAAGACTCTATCTCAAAAAAAAAAAAAAAAAAAAAAAAAAATCCAAAGGTTTAAAACATATCAAATATGTTTAATTCTTTGACACTTCTCAAAGAAATTCTCATTGTTCATCTCTGGAAGATGCTGGGGAAATATTTTGAAAACAAAAAAATCAAGCATTTATCCTGTTTTTCCCCTCTGTGTAACCAAATAATTGTTACGTTTCTCTTTATAAAAGTATCTCAGCTAATATGTAAGATATAATAGAATACCACCATTTTGCAACTCCTGATGAAATAATGGTTGAAGGTAATTATCAAAGGCTGCTAGTTACCAAAAGAGACATTATTCTGTGCCTTCTTTTGGATGTACACGTAACACACCCACAAAGTATTCTTTTTTTTTTTTTGAGACAGAGTCTCGCTCTGTCGCCCAGGCTGGAGTGCAGTGGCGCAATCTCGGCTCACTGCAAGCTCCGCCTCCCAGGTTCACACCATTCTCCTGCCTCAGCCTCCCCAGTAGCTGGGATTACAGGCACCTACCACCATGCCAGGCTAATTTTTGTATTAGCCTGGCATGGTGGTAGGCTAATTTTGTATTAGGACTACAGGCGCCCGCCACCACACCCAGCTAATTTTTTGTATTTTTTAGTAGAGACAGGGTTTCACCGTGTTAGCCAGGATGGTCTCAATCTCCTGATCTCGTGACCCACCCGCCTCGGCCTCCCAAACTGCTGGGATTACAGGCATGAGCCACCGCACCCGGCCTCCACAAAGTATTCTTACCAAAAAAAAAAAAAAAAATTGATCATAAATGCTGTCAAGCCTCTAGAACATAACTACCAATTTATAGAAAATTCAGGGAAATAGAAACAGCTAAACACCACCACAAGGATGCAATCACCAAAATTGAGAATGTAGGAAACTACAGGACAAACAGGCTGAAGTCTTATGTGCAAGTAAAAAAGAGGAGGAGAGGGAAACCAAAGACTAAAAAGAGATTTAGGAGTGAAATCAATCATATTCCATGTATGGACTTCACTTGGATACTGATTCAAACTGTGTGAGTGTGTGTGTGAGAGAGAGAGAAGGAAAGAGAGACTGACAGACACAGTTGGGGAAATGGTAGTGTTAGATTTAAGAGAGAGATCAACTATATTCCATGTATGGACTTTACTTGGATACTGATTCAAACTGTGCATGTATATGTGTATGTCTGTGTGTGTGTGTGTGTGTGTGCATGCATGCGCGAGAGAGAGAGAAGGAAAGAGACTGACAGAGTTGGGGAAATGGTGGTGTTATGTATTTTTTTCAAAAGTCCTTAACACTTAGAGGTATATAAGGAAATATTTCTGGGTGATCTGATATCTGGGGTTTGTTTCAGAATAATTCAGTAAGGGTGGAAGAGACATGGATGAAGTATAATTGAAACAGGATTAGCTATGAGTTGATCATTTTTGAAGCTGCGTGATGAGTAAAAATTGTAAATATTACAGTATTCTGTTTACTTTGTATACATTTGAATTTTTCCAAAAGTTAAGTCAATACAGCATATACCTTTGTTAATAAATTTGAAAACCTTGACAATATAGAAGAAAAACTAAGGAAAATATAAATTGGTGAAGTTGATCTAAGAAGTAAAAACTTAAATAGACCAGTAAACCAAAAAGAAGTTGAAAAGGTTACCAAAGATTACTCCCTTGAAATACGTAAGCTTTTTTTTTTGAGACAGGGTCTCATTCTGTCACCCAGGCTGGAATACAGTGTCACGATTTCAACTCACTGCAACCTCTATCTCTAGGGCTCAACTGATTCTCCCATCTCAGCCTCAGTAGCTGGGACCACAGGTACATGCCACCTCTCCTGGCTAATGCTTGTGCTTTTTTGTAGAGACAGGATTTCGCCATGTTGCCCAGGCTGGTCTCGAACTGGTGGGCTCAAGTGATCTGCCTGCCTTGGCCTCCCAAAGTGCTGAGAATACAGGCACGAGCGACCACGCCTGGCTGAAAGACATAAGCTTTAAAGGCACAATTTCTAGAGCTTTAGTAACAGCTATTCTAGAAACTAGAAAACGATGGAAAATGCAGTGGACACCAAACCAGACATGGACAGTACAAAGTCAAAACAAAAGAATAAGCCAATCTCAGGAATGAACAAAAATGCAAAAATTGAACACGTGTGGATTAAGATATCACAGCCAAGTAGGCTTAATCCTAGAAATTTTTAAATGTTTCACTATGAGAAAATGTACTAATATTGCTAATCATATGTAAAAATTAGAAAAATCTCAGTGGAGGCAAAAAAGTATATGATAAAATTTAATACCTATTCTTGATTTTAAAAGAAAAAAGAAACACCAGAATAAATTAGGAATAGTGAAAACTCTTAAGTCAATAAAGTGTATCTATCAGCCCGGTGCAGTGGCTTATGCCTGTAATCCCAGCACCTTTGGAGGCTGAAATAGGCAGATCACCTGAGCTCGGGAGTTCAAGACCAGCCTGACCAACATGGAGAAACTCCATCTCTACTAAAAGTACAAAATTACCCGGGCGTGGTGGTGCATGCCTGTAATCCCAGCTACTCAGGAGGCTGAGGCAGGAGAATCGCTTGAACCTGGGAGGCAGAGGTTGCGGCGAGCCAAGATCGTGTCATTGCACTCCAGCCTAGGCAACAAGAGCGAAACTCTGTCTCAAAAAAAAAAAAAAAAAAAAAAATCGTATCTATCAGAAACCTACAGCAAGCATCACACTTAAGGGTGAGATGTTAGAATCATTCTCACTAATGCTAGAGAAATGCGAGGATGCTTGCTATCACACTCCTCCTGTTTAACATGGTGGTAGATGTCCAAGCATCTGCATTAAGATAAGAAAATAAAATGTAAATATTGAAAAGACACAAAACCACCTTTGCAGATAAAATTTTTAACCATGAGAGGACAAGATAATCAGCCAACTGAAAAATATTGCAAGAGTTCATTAAGATGACTGAGTATAAGATTAGCATATCCAAATTGCCTGTTACATTAGTTAGAAAATGTAATGGGCAATAACTCTGTTCATAATAGGAATGAAAATATTTAAACCTAAGCATACTACCAATAAAAGGAGTTTGTAAAACCTAATACTTAAGAATATAAAATTTTGCTGAAGGATATTAAAAAATCTGAAAAATGGACAGACCTGAGATGGAAAGATCCCATATTACCAAATATCAGTATACATCCTAAAGCAAATTATAAATTTCCAAGGAAAATTCCAACAGAATTTTTAACTAGAACTTGAAAAAATGTTGATTGTATAACTCATGGAAGAGAAATGATAGAAAAATAAGCAATATAATTTTGAAAATGAACACAGAAGGCGAACTTGCTCTCCCAAATGCTACTTCATACTGCAACTGGCCTTCCCTCCATATTTGCAGGTTCTATATCCACGGATTCAACTAACCAACTTGAAAATATTGGGAAAAAACTATTAAAAATAACAATACCCAATAAAAATAATGCAAATAAAAACCCAATATAGCTATTTATGTGCATTTACATTGTATTAGGTACAAGTAATCTAGAGATGATTTAAAGTACATGGGAGTATGAGCGTAGGTTATATGGAAATACTAAAACATTTTATTTGGGGAATTGAGCATCCTTGAATTTTGGTATCTGTGAGGGATCCTGGAAATCAGGAGTAGATATACTGATTTCAAATAGAGAATACTCCAGAGCAAGGAAAGTTATCAGGGATAAAAAGGGGCATTATATAATGATAAAGGGGTCAATACTCCAGGAAGACAGAACAATTCTTACATATGCTCCCAACAAGACAGCATCAAAATATGTGAGGCAAAAACTGATTGAACTACAAGGAGTTCACTAGTATGGTTAGAGGCTTCAACACCCCTCTATCAGAAAAGGACAGATCCAGCAGGCAGAAGATCAATCAGTAAGGACATAGTTGAACTCAGTAACACCATCAATCAACTGGATGTAATGGATGTCTATTTACTACTACTTAAAACAACAGCAGAATGCACATTCTTATCAAGCTTACATGAAACATTCACAAAGACCACATTCTGGGCCATAAAAACACACTTTAAAACATTTAAAAGAATAAACATATAATATCTATTCTCAGGCCTCAAAGGAATTAAACTAGAAATCAATAATAAAGATAGCTCGAAACCTTAAAATACTTGGAGATTGAACAACACACTTCTAAATAACACATGAGTCAAAGAAGAAATCTCAACAGAAAATTTAAAATATTTTGAAATATATGAAAATGAGGGCAGGCGCAGTGGCTCATGCCTGTAATCCCAACACTTTGGGAGGCTGAGGCAGGCAGATCACTTGAGATCAGGAGTTTGAGACCAGCCTGGCCAACATGGTGAAACCCCATCTCCACTAAAAATTAAAAAATGAGATGGGCTTGGTGGTGCAGGCCTATAATCCCAGCTACTCAGGGGGCTGAGGCAAGAGAATCGCTTGAGCCCAGGGGGCAGAGGTTGCAGTGAGCTGAGATTACGCCACTGCACTCCAGCCTGGGTGATAGAGCAAGACTCTGTCTCAAAAAAACAAAACGTATATATATGAAAATGAAAATACAACTCATTAAAAATTTATGGGATGCAGTGAAAGCAGTGCTTGCAGAGAAATTTATTACATTGAATGTATATATAAGAAAAGAAGAAAAATCTAAAATCAGTAATCTAAGCTCTCACCTTATAAATAAATCCAACATAAGCAGCAGAAAAAAGAAATGGAACAGAAATCAGTGACATTGAAAACAGAAAATCAATAGAGAAAACCAACAAAACCAAAAGCTAGTTCTTTGAAAAGATCAATAAAATTGATAAGCCTCTAGCCAGGGCCAAGAAAAAAAGAAGATACAAATTACTGATACCAGAAATGAAAAAGGGCCATCACTATAGATCCCACGGGCATGAAAATGGTAACAAAGAAATACTATGAACAGCTCTATGCCCACAAAATGTGAAACACAAAACTGGCCTAGCACGGTGGCTCACGTCTATGATGCCAGCACTTTGGGAGACAGAGGTGGGTGGATCACGAGGTCAGGAGATCGAGATCATCCTGGTCAACATGGTGAAACCCCACCTCTACTAAAAATACAAAAATTAGCTGGGCATGGTGGCGTGTACCTGTAGTCCCAGCTACTCAGGAGGCTGAGGCAGGAGAATGGCTTGAACCCAGGAGGTGGAGGTTGCAGTGAGCCAAGATCACGCCACTGCACTCCAGCCTGGGCGACAGAACGAGATTCCGTCTCAAAAAAACAAACAAACAAACAAACTATAAAACTCCTAGAAGATAACAAAGGCGAAAAACCTTTGATAAGGAGATAACCTGGAGTATGACAATAATATTTTAGATACAACACTAAATATATGATCCATGAAAGAAATAATTGATAAGCCAATTTCATTAAAATTTAAAACTTCTGCCTCTGGGAAAACAATGTGAAGTTAATGAAAAGATAAGCCATAGACTGGGAGAAAATATTTGCAAAAGACATCTGATAAAAGGCTGTTATCCAAAAAAATACAAGGAACTTTAAAAACTCAACAATAAAAAAAAAAAAAAAACAGACAACCTAATGTAAAAATGAGCAAAAGACCTGAATGGGACACTTCACCAAAGAACACATACAGATGGCAAGTAAGCATATGAAAAGATACTCCTCCACATCATAGGTCATTAGGAAGCTGCAGATTAAAACAACAATGAGATACTACTACACACCAATTAGAATGGCCAAAATCCAAAATACTGACAACAACAAATGCTGACAAGTATATGGAGCAACAAGAACTCTTAATTCATTGCTGATGGGAATGCAAAATGGTACAGCCACTTTGGAAGACAGTTTGGCAGTTTCTTACAAAACTAAACATACTCTATCCATACAGTCCAGCAATTGCAATTCTTGGTATTTACCCAAATGAGCTGAAAACATGTCTACACAAATACCTGCATAGAGAAGTCCATAGCACCTTTATTCATAATTGCCAAAACTTGGAAGCAACCAAGATGTCCTTTAGTAGATGAGTGTCTAAATAAATTGTGGTACATCCAGGCTTTGGAATATTATTCACCATGAAAAAGAAATGAGCTATGAAGCCACAAAAAGGCATACAAAAAACTTAAATTGATATTCCTGCTGAGGCAGGAGGATCACTTCAGCCTAGGAGTTCAAGATCAGCCGAAGCAATATAGTGAGATCTCATCTCTACCAAAACAAAACAAAACAAAAAAACAAGTGAAAGAAGCCAATCTGAAAAGGATACATACTGCGTAACTCAAAGTATATGACACTCTGGAAAAGGCAAAACTATGGGGATAGTAAAAAGATTAGTGGTTGTCAGGAATTGGGGGAAGGGAGGGATGTCAGGAATTGGGGGAAGGGAGCGATGAATAGGCAGAGCAGAGTATTTTTAGGGCAATTAAATTATTTTTTACAATGATAAACACACGTCTTTATATCTTCGTCAAAACCTATCAATTAGAACCAAGTGATCACAGCAGAAAAAAAAAGAAAAAGAAAAAGAAAAAACCCTATAGAATGTACACCGCCAAAAGTGAACCCTAATGTAAACTATGGACTTTGGGTGACAATGATGAGTCAATGTAGGTTCATCAAACATACACCACTGTGGTGTGGGATATTGATTCGGGGAAGGGTGTCCAAGTGTGGGGAAAGGAAAGTGGTATATAAGAACTCTGTTTTCCACTCAATTTTGCTATGAACCTAAAACTGCTCTAAAAGATAAAGTTTATTAATTTTTTAAAAAAAGATTTGCCGCCTCATCCTGTGTTCAATTTTTTTTAAAAAAAATTATATGCGCAGAAAAGGGTTGGTAGAAATATTGCAGAGTTGATATCCAGATAACAAAGAATGTCTATAAGTCAATAAAGAAAAAAATTGTAAACCCTATTTAAAATTTAAAAGTAGGCAGTTCACAGAAAGCACACAAATAGGGAACTTCATTCCTAGGAAGATGGCAGGCTATGTTATTTGTATCAGCACTAAAAACTAAAAATGCTAGATTGTTTAAAATTTTCAAAGCACTGAAAAGCTGAGAATATAAGTCAGCAATCTAAGGAAAAGCCAGAACCTAGAGCAGTAAGGTGAGCATTTAAGCAGCTTTTGCACTGTAGGATAATACCAAGTCTTCAAGTGTACTAACATCCTTATATAAAAAAGAGCAGAGTGAATCAATCCAACTTCAATTTTAGAAAATTAAGTATGCATATTATAGATTTACTAAAACAATAAACAAAGTACATAAACTCCAAACAGTGGGAAAAGAATAGAAAAATAAAAATAATTGCTCTAAAACACCCAAGAATATATTAAAAATAAGTAGAGATGGGTCAAAGGAATCACAAAATGAAATGTTATACTTAAATACAAATAAGGTATATCTGTAATTACATTAAATGAACTAAAATGCTTCCACTGAAAGAGTGAAGTCAGACTACACTTTTTTAAAAATGCAAATATATGCTGCTTATAAGTGACATACCTCAAATTAGAGAAAATGTGAAAATAAAAGGACAGAGAAAATTTTCCTTGTAAATATTAAAAAAGAAAAATATAGTTACAGTAATATCAAAAAATAAATTTTCAGACAAAAAGCATTACTAGAGATTAAAAAAAGAGACAATGACAAAAGAATCAATTCATCTGGAAGCTCTTAATTTGTCTTGATGTACCTAATGACATAACCTTAAAATGTAAAAAGCAAACATTGACAGAACTACAAGGAGAAATAGAAAATACAAAATTATAATAGGAAAGTTTAACATGCTTTTTGTTTTTTTACCAATTGACAGAACAAGCAAACAAAAAGTAGGATATAGACATTTTAAATAAATTGCTGTACTTGACCAAATAATGCCATGTGTGAAAGTAGTGAGTACACACATGCCCTCACACAGAGTACCCATCAATAGCAGAATACATATTCTTGTAAGTGTTCATGCAATATTTATTTTAAAATGACGATCTATGGAGCCAAGAGGATTTCAAAAGGATTGTAATCATAGATAGTGTGTCCTTAGACCACAATGCAATTATGTTAGGAATCAATAATAAAAACTAATATCTCCCTCTCCCTCTCCGTCTCCCCACGGTCTCCCTCTCCCTCTCTTTCCACGGTCTCCCTCTGATGCCGAGCCGAAGCTGGACTGTACTGCTGCCATCTTGGCTCACTGCAACCTCCCTGCCTGATTCTCCTGCCTCAGCCTGCTGAGTGCCTGCGATTGCAGGCGCGCGCCGCCATGCCTGACTGCTTTTCGTGTTTTTTTGGTGGAGACGGGGTTTCGCTGTGTTGGCCGGGCTGGTCTCCAGCTCCTAACCGCGAGTGATCCGCCAGCCTCGGCCTCCCGAGGTGCCGGGATTGCAGACGGAGTCTCGTTCACTCAGTGCTCAATGTTGCCCAGGCTGGACTGCAATGACGTGATCTCGGCTAGCTACAACCTCCACCTCCCAGCCGCCTGCCTTGGCCTCCCAAAGTGCCGAGATTGCAGCCTCTGCCCGGCTGCCACCCCGTCTGGGAAGTGAGGAGCGTCTCTGCCTGGCCGCCCATCATCTGGGATGTGAGAAGCCCCTCTGCCCAGCTGCCCAGTCTGGGAAGTGAGAAGCGCCTCTTCCCGGCCGCCATCCCGTCTAGGAAGTGAGGAGCGTCTCTGCCCGGATGCCCATCGTCTGAGATGTGGGGAGCGCCTCTGCCCCACCGCCCCGTCTGGGATGTGAGGAGCACCTCTGCCCGGCCGCGACCCCATCTGGGAGGTGAGGAGCGTCTCTGCCCAGCCGCCCCGTCTGAGAAGTGAGGAGCCCCTCTGCCCGGCAGCCGCCCCGTCTGAGAAGTGAGGACCCCCTCCGCCCGGCAGCCGCCCCGTCCAGGAGGGAGGTGGGGGGCAGCCCCCGCCCGGCCAGCTGCCCCGTCCGGGAGGGAGGTGGGGGCCAGCCTCTGCCCGGCCGCCGCCCCGTCCGGGAGGTGGGGGGCGCCTCTGCCCGGCCGCCCTTTCTGGGAAGTGAGGAGCCCCTCTGCCCAGCCGCCACCCCGTCTGGGAGGTGTACCCAACAGCTCATTGAGAACGGGCCATGATGACGATGGCAGTTTTGTCGAATACAAAAGGGGGAAATGTGGGGAAAAGATAGAGAAATCAGATTGTTGCTGTGTCTGTGTAGAAAGAAGTAGACATAGGAGACTCCATTTTGTTCTGTACTAAGAAAAATTCTTCTGCCTTGGGATGCTGTTGATCTGTGACCTTACCCCCAACCCGGTGCTCTCTGAAACATGTGCTGTGTCCACTCGGTTAAATGGATTAAGGGTGGTGCAAGATGTGCTTTGTTAAACAGATGCTTGAAGGCAGCATACTCGTTAAGAGTCATCACCACTCCCTAATCTCAAGTACCCAATGACACAAACACTGCGGAAGGCCGCAGGGTCCTCTGCCTAGGAAAACCAGAGACCTTTGTTCACTTGTTTATCTGCTGACCTTCCCTCCACTATTGTCCTATGACCCTGCCAAATCCCCCTCTGGGAGAAACACCCAAGAATGATCAATAAAAACAAAAACAAAAACAAAAAAAACTAATATATATTTTCCCAAATTTTGAAATTAAGAAACATTCTTCTAAATAACTCATGAGTCCAAGAAGAAATAATAATCAATGAAGAGTTCCTTCTCAGTTTCTAGCATATGATGATTAGAAAAGAGTTCTTAAAAAAATAGTGAAAATGTCCTAGCTTTCTTTAAATAATAATAATGAGGGGCTGGGCATAATGGCTCACACCTGTAATCCCAACACTTTAAGAGGCTGAGATGGAAGGATTCCTTCAGCCCAGGAGTTTGAAACCAGCCTGGGTAACATAGGGAAATCCTATCTCTACCAAAAAAAAAAAAAAAAAAAATTACAAATTAGCTGGCTTTGGTGTCATACACCTGTGGTCCCAGCTACTTGGGAGGCTGAGGTGGGGGATTACTTAAGCCTGGGAAGTCAAGGCTGCAGTGAGCTGTGATTATGTCACTGCACTCCAGCCTGGGCAACAGAGTGAAAACCCTATCTGAGAGAGAGTGAGAGAGTGAGTGAGGGTGAGGGAGAGAGAGAGAGAGACATCTCAAGAAGTTAGAAAGAGAATGGTAGGCAGGGCATGGTGGCTCACACCTGTAATCCTAGCACTTTGGGAGGCTGAGGTGGGTGGGTTACTTGGAGTCAGGAGTTCAAGACCAGCCTGGCCAACATGGTGAAATCCCGTCTCTACCAAAAAACAAAAATTAGCAAGGCATAGTGGGGGTGCCTGTAATCCCAGCTGCTCAGAAGGCTGAGACAGGAGAATCACTTGATCCCAGGAGGCGGAGGTTGCAGTGAGCCGAGATTGCATCACTGCACTCCAGCCTGGATGACAGATGAGACTCTGTTTCAAAAAAAAAAAGAAAAGAAAGAATGGCAAAATAGCCTAAGAAAATAGAAGAAAAACAGATAAGAGCAAAAATTAACGAAATAGCTGGGCCTGATGGCTCACACCTGTAATCCCAGCAATTTGGGAGGCTGAGGCAGGCGGATCACTTGAGGCCAGGAGTTTGAGACCAGCCTGGCCAACATGGTGAAACCCTGTCTCTACTAAAAATATAAAAATTAGCCAAGCATGGTGGCATGCACCTGTAATCTCAGCCACTTGGGAGGCCAAGGCAGGAGAATCACTTGAACCCAAGAGGCAGAGGTTGCAATGAGCCAAAGTCATGCCACTGCACTCCAACCTGGGTGTCAGAGCGAGACTCTGTCAAAAAAAAAAAAAAAAAAAAAAAGGATCAACACAGCCAGAAGTCAGTTCTCTGTAAAAACTAATAAAATTGACCAATCTCTGGACTGAATCATTAAAATACAGAAAGAAGTCACAAACAATATCAGAAATGAATAAGAAGAAATATTAAATGCTATAGGGCCAGATGTGGTGACTCATGCCCATAAACCTAGCACATTAGGAAGCTGAGGGGCAAGGATCACTTGAGCCTGAGTTCAAGACCAACTTGGGCAACATAGTGAGACCCTGTCTCTACAAAAAATAAAAAGTAAAATATTAGCCAGGCTTGGTGGCAGGCACCTGTAGCTCCAGACACTTGGGAGCCCAAGGTGGGAGGATCACTTGAGCCCAGGTGGTCAAGGCTGCAGTGAGCTATAATGGTGCCTCTGCACTTCAGCATGGCTGGCAGAGTGACCCTTTCTCTTTGTCTCTATTTATTTATTTATTATTTAATTAAATGTATTTCATTTATTTCATTTATTACATATAATTTAAAATGCTACAGACATTAAAAATAAAATACTTTTAAAATTTAAATAAAACTGGCTGGGCACAGTAGCTCACGCCTGTAATCCCAGCACTTTGGGAGGCCGAGGCGGGAGGATCACGAGGTCAGGAGATCAAGACCATCCTGGCTAACATGGTGAAACCTCATCTCTACTAAAAATACAAAAAATTAGCCGGGCGTGGTGGCAGGTGCCTGTAGTCCTAGCTACTCGGGAGGCTGAGGCAGGAGAATGGCATGAACCCAGGAGGCGGAGCTTGTAGTGAGCAGAGATTGAGCCTGGGCGACAGAGCGAGACTCCGTCTCAAAAAAAAAAAAAAAAAAAAAAAATTAATGAAACTGAAAAATTCCTAGAAAACTTAAAATTTAACAAAACTGAACCAAGAAGATTTTTTTTTTTTTTTGAGATGGAGTTTTGCTCTTGTTGCCCAGGTTGGAGTGCAATGGTGTGATCTCGGCTTCCCAAAGTGCTGGGATTACAGGCGTGAGCCACCATGCCCGACCAGAAGGAATTCTTAAAACCTGAAAATCTGAAGAACTAAAAGAAAAAAAGAAGCAAAATGAAGAAAGCCTCAGAGACCTGTGTAGCACCATCAAGCATACCAATGTATGTATAATTGGAATTTCAGAACTCTATACTGCAGAAGACAACAGGGAGTGGCCAAGCACGGTGGCTCACATCTGTAATCCCAGCACTTTGAGAGGCCAAGGTAGGTGGATCACCTGAGGTCAGGAGTTCAAGACCAGCCTGGCTAACATGGCAAAACCCTGTCTCTACTAAAAATACAAAAATTAGCCAGGCATGGTGGCACACGCCCATAGTCCCAGCTACTTGGGAGATTGAGGTGGGAGAATCACTTGAACCCAAGAAGTGGAGGTTGCAGTGAGCCAAGATCATGCCACTGCACTCCAGCCTGGGTGACAGAGCAAGACTCTGTCTCAGGAAACAAACAAACAAACAAACAAAAAAAGACAGTGAGCAAACGGAATAAAAAGAGATCAACATTTAGGCACATAATATTCAAAAAGAGGAATTTTTGAAAGCAGCAAAAGAAAGATGACTTACCATATATAAGGGAACAACAATATGATCAACAGTTGATTTCTCATCAGAAACCATGGATGCCGTAAGGCAGGAAGATGACATATTCAAAGCTGAAAGGAAAAAAAAAAAACAACCTGTCAGTCAAGAATTCTATGTCCAGCAAAATTATTCTTCAAAAATGAAGCTAAAATAATGACATTATTAAACAAATGACTGACGGTATTTGTTGCTAGACAACCTACCTTGCAAGAAATTATTAAAGGAAGTCCTATTATCTAAAAAGAAATAGCAGTAGTGTTTTAGACCATTTTATGCTGCCATAACAGAATACCACAGATTGGGTAGTTTATAATTAACAGATATTTGGCTCACAGTTCTGGAGGCAGGGAAGTCCAAGAGCATGGTGCTGGCATCTGGCAAGGACCTTTGTGCTCCATCATCCCTTGGTGGAGGGCAAGACGGGTGAGAGCAAGAAGGGCCAAACCGACTTTTATAACAAACCCACTCTTGTGATAACCAACCAACTACTGAGACAAATATGTTAATCCACTCATGAGGGCAGAGCCCTCATGACCTAATCACCTCTTAGAGGTCCCACTTTTTAACATGGTTGCATTTGGGATTAAATTTTCAACACATGAAGCTTGTTGGATACATTCAAACCATAGCAGATGGTAACTCGAATTCACATGAATGAAAAACACCTATAAAGGCAATATATAGGTAAATATAAGACTACACATATATTTTTTATCTTGATTTAAAATACAACTGCAAGGAACAGTAACTATAAAACTTTACTGTGTGGTTACAATATATACAAATGTAATATATATGACAATAGCAAAAGGAGGGAAAGAAATGGAACTATATTAGAGCTATGTTTTTATATTTTACTGGAACTTACTGGAATATATTTTCCAGAATTAATATGAATCAGTACATTGTGATAAATTAAGACATATATTTTAACCCCTAGATAAATCACTAAGAAAATAACTCCAAAAAATAGTTAAAACAAAAAACTTATAATAGAACACTATAAAATATGTATTTTTAACACAAAAGAAAGCAGTAAAGGAGAAAGAAAGGAACAAGAAAAAAAAAGAAGAGACATAGAAAATAAAACCCAATTATCAAAACCAGTGAGTTCAGCAAGGTTGTAAGATACAAAATCAACATACAAAAATCAGCTGTTTCTCTGTATAACAATGAATAATCTGAAAATGAAGAAAATTACATTAATAAAAACATCATAAATATTTAAGGGCCGGGCACGGTGGCTCACGTCTGTAATCCCAGCACTTTGGGAGGCCGAGGCAGGCAGATCACAAGGTCAGGAGTTCGAGACCAGCCTGGCCAACATGGTGAAACCCTGTCTCTACTAAAGATACAAAAATTAGCCGGGCGTGGTGGTGTGTGTCTGTAATCCCAGCTACTCAGGAGGCTGAGGCAGGAGAATTGCTTGAACCTGGGAGGCGGAGGTTGCAGTGAGCCGAGATCACACCACTGCACTCCAGCCTGGGTGACACAGCAAGACTGTCTCAAAAAAATAAATAAAATATTTAGGAATAAATTTAACAGAGGTATTAGACCTGTACACTGAAAAATATAAACATGGCTGAAATTTTAAAGATCTAATTAGAGATCCCCAGTGTGTGGATTGGAAAACTAAGGATTGTTAAGATGGCAGTTCTTCCCAAATTGATCTATAAATTCAGCAAAATCCCTATCAAAAAAAGAACAGCTGGTTTTTTTGAAGAAATTGACAAGCTAATCCTAAAGTTTATATGGAAATACAAAAGATCCAACATAAGCACAACAGTTTTGAAAAAGAACAAAGTTAGAGGATTTACACTTCCCTATTTCAAAACTTAATGTGAAGCTACAATAATCAAGATTGTGATACTGGCATAAGTATAGTGATATAGATTAATGGAACAGAAATGAGGGTCTACAAATAAACTCTTACAGGTATTGTCAATTTATTGTTGATTAAAGAACACCAAGGCAATTCACTGAGGAAAGGATTGCCTTTCAAGAATGGTGCTGAGGTTGGACATAGTGGCTCACACCTGTAATCCCAGCACCTTGGGAGGCCAAGGCAGGAGGATTGCTTGAGGCCAGGAATTTGAGACCAGCCTGGGCAACATAGTAAGACCTCATCTCCACAAAAAGTAAAAATAAAATAAAAATAGTAATTAGACAATCGGATATTCACATACAGAATATGAATTTAAATCCTTACTTCATACCATATACAAAAATTAACTCAAAATAATCATAGACCTAAATGTAATAACTAAAATACTAAACTTTTCAAGGAAAACAGAAAATCTTCATGACCTTAGTTTAACCAGTTTTTAGATGACACCAAAAACAGGAAATTGAACTTAATAAAAATGTTAAGCTTTTGTGCTTCAAAAGACACCAATAAGAAAACAGACTGGGAGAAAATATTTGCAAATCTGATATAGGACTCACATCCAGAACATATAAATAACTACTTCAACTCAATAATAAAAAGACAAACTCCAATTAAAAAATAGATAAAAGATTTGAAGAAACATAGATGTCTATAAGCACATGAAAAAATGCTCGACATTAGTTATTAGGGAAATGCAATTAAAACCACAATGTGGTATCACTTCACACCCACTGAATAGCTATAATAAGATAGTCAATAATTAAGTATTGGTAAGGATGTGAAGAAACTGTAACACTCATCCATTACTGGTGGGAGTATAAAGTGATACATTTTACATTTTGGAGCATGATATCAATACACTAAAATTTTATTGTGGTGATGGTTATGTAGCTCTGTAAATACTTCAGTAAAGCTGTCAGAAAGAAAACTGTACTGCTAGACTAACTTCCACTTTATTGTACTGGAACACGTCAGACGATACCAGGAGGAAGCAATCAGATAAATAATGTGAGACATTCTGTAAGACAACTGGCTTCCAATGTTATGAAAAAACTGAATTATATTCCCACATACCAGAAATGACATTTCCAAAAAAGATATTTATAATGGCATCCAAATATATGATGTACCTAGGAATATATGTAACAAAAGATTTACAAGACCTTCTTGGTGATTAATAAAATTTTATTAAGACATTAAAAGGACTTAGCAATATATCATGTTCATGGATTGAAAGGCCCACTATGATATAAATTCTCCCAAAATAGCTTATAGATTCATCGCAACTCCAATCAAATTTTCAATGTGTTCGGCTTTTTTTAGTGAAACGTGATAAGCTATTTCTAAAATATATAAAGAAGAGCAGAGAACCAAGAAGAGCCACAAGCTGTTGATGAATAACAAGGATGTGAAAGGACTTTGATATTATATATCAAAAATTTTTTTGAAGATCATGAAGTAATGAAGAGAGTGTACATTAGCACAGGAAAAAAACCAATATAATAAAGAGCCCATAAAAGATCTTTGCATATATTGACAATATACAACAGAAAAGGCACTTCAAAGCAATAGGAAAAGGAAGGTTTTTTGTTTTTGTTTTTTTTCAATAAACAGTGCTGGCACAACAGACTAGCCCTATAGCAGCAAAAAAATTACCTCATACTATATGTTGAAGATTGTTCCAAGTGGGATGAAACCAAAATGTGAGAGGCAAAACTACAAAGCATGTAACAAGAGAATATTAACTATATTTTTAACATAACCATAAAAAAAACCGAGCTAACCATAAAGGAAAACTATTATTTGAAGATATTAAAATTAAAATGTTACTATATTTATAAACATTGTGAAAAGACAAACCACAAAGTGGGAAAAGATTCTGCAACACAACTCATAAAGGAGTAGTAGCCAGAATATATAAAGAACCACCTGCAAATTCATGAGAAAAATGGGAGAACTTTAACACACTTCATTCACCAAAGATGAAATCCAAATGGTCAAAAAATATATGAAATGTGATCAGCCTCATGAACACCTTTCATATTTTTTTTCCATATAAGGAAAATGGTCATTTAAACTACAATATGATACCATTATACATCTACCAGACTGGGGGGCTGGGGAAAAGCCAATACACCCTGGGAAGAATGTAAATCAGTATGAGAATCTTCGGGAAACAGTTGGCATGATCTAGGTTCCACTCTTATGTATATGTCCTTTTAAAGATGCAAACTCCAGAAGACATGTTCAAAATATCCATAGAAGCACTGTTTGAAATATCCCCAAAGTGGAAAAAATCCAAATTGTCCATCAAGAGTAAAATGAAAAAAGTATATGTAATGTAATACATTCATACAATGGAATAAACACACTATGGCTACATACAATGATAAGGATGAATCTCATAATGCTTAGCAAAAGAAACCAGTCTCAAAAGTGTACAGTATAATTTGATTCATATAAATTCCAAAAATAGAAACTAAATATGGTCTTTAGAGACATATACATGGGTGGTAAAACTATGAAGAAAAGCAAAGCAAAGAGTAGGGATGATGTTAAAGTGGACAGAGGGTTGTGTTAGGGAGGGACATATATGGAGCTTTTGAGGTACTGGAGATGTTCTATTTCTTGACCCGGTGGTCATATGGTATGCACATTATGATATGTTAAAAAATATATATGTATGTGTGTACATATCTGTTGTGGACATGCATACATATGTTTCATGTACTTTGTCCATATTCCACAATAAGAAAATATACAAATGACCAGTAAATATGAAAAGACATTCAATCTCACTAGTAATTAGAAAAATAAAATAACCATGATCAGCTATCATGATTTGCTGAAAATGTAAAAGACTGATAATATCCCTCTTTGCTGAGGTTGCAAAGAAATAGGCATTCTCATATGCTGTCAAAGGAAAGTAAATTAATAACTCTTTTTGAAGAACAATGTGGCAATATGTATAAAAACATAAAGCTTGTCTTAAAAGTTTTCAATTGCAATTCCAAATATCTATCCTAATGAAATTCACATGCACTAAAGATATGTGTACAAAGATGTCTGCCATTCACTACAGCATTGTTTGCAGTAGTGAAAAAAATGAATAAATATCAATAAGGGAAGATTTATGAAAAGTATTATAACCCATACAATGAAATACTATGCAGCCATTAAAAATAAAACTTTATAAACTGACATGGAAAGATATCCAAAACACATTAAGTGAACAAAAGCAAGACACAGAATAACACACACATAACATAATCCTGTTTCTAAAATATAAATATGTACATATATTTCTATAGAGTTATGAAAAACAGACTACATATTCATGCTGTAACCTGTTAGCAGTGATTACCTCTGGGCCAGGAAGTGGTGGAGGTAGAAGGAGGGTAAGCGGGACACTTTCCCATCTCACTCTAGATACATACATAGGATTCTTTTGTAATCACATATCCATGGACTACTTATATATTTCTAACAAGTGGTAGTAGCAAAACAACTGTATTATTATTTGTTCCACTCCCATGAGACCAATCTAATACATTTGAAAATAACTTGCTTTCAAAGCTAATTCTTTTGTTCCTGGAGGGCCTCCAGGGAGCCTACAGTTGCAGTCACAGGGCTGTCAGCCATCAATCGAGGAGCACTGTGCAGGATACTAAGTAACTTGGTCTGTCTCCAGGCTCGCCTCTTGAAAATATTTGCATACATTCTCATATCCCAGCTTACTGGCAGTAGCAATAATGTCTTCCCAGAGCACTTTGGTAAGGTAAATAAATTCTGATACTGCACATCAAATCACATCCATATCAAAGTGTAGATGTGGCTGTCAAGATCTATGTTTAGATCCAAATTAGTAATCACGCCCTTGATGAGTGACTTTTAGAACAGTTTGCATTTGGATTCCAAAGTAAGAACCTAGACCCCACTAAATCACCATATAGAGCTTTTCTTCTCTTTCTTCTTCCCTCCCTTCACTCTGCGCTAGCCCTTTCTAAAACTAATTTTTCTGTTTTCTATAAAGGTGGAAGAAAGGGCGAACCCGATCATGAGTTATTTGCAATCAGTAGTCAATCAGAACAAAAAGTATTATCAGTATATTTACAAAGAAAAATCCAACTACATGTATACATTTTGGTGTGCATTTTATTTTTGACTGGAATCATATCCATATGAAGGGAAATTGTGAAAGTATCCTTTACTCTTTTGAAAGCTTGGCCTTTGCCTTACTGTGTCAAAGGAAAGCAAAACTAAGCCAGTAATGATGGAGATGTCCCTGTTTCCATATGCACACTGACAGGCGAGGAGCTGCCTAGGAAATGCTTTTTGATTGATGAACAGAGGAGGGTCTACACACATTAAATACAAATGGAAACACATCAGCACACACAAGTCATTAGCCTGGTCCTCTGGCATCCACTGGCATGCATCTTTCCAAAGTATCACTTATTCAGTGGTAGCAGCACTATGTCTCGTTATGCCTTTTATCAGCAAATACCTTTTTATTCCAGAATGGAAAACAAACTAGGAATTAAATACATCCAATATTGATGCTTTATTTCCATAAGTCACCAATAAGAGAATGAATTTAATTTTAATACATTTATTTTTGTGTGATTCTTAATAAAACACTTTCAAAACATTCTGTACATTTCAAGCCACTCAGAACCGCATTACATTTCTACAAATGTGATTTGTTGGGATGAGGTGCCAAGATGTCTCTGTACAAAGATGTACAATATGTACAATCACTGTAAGTGCAAGCTGTGCAAAGCAGAGTCTAGAACACTAATTCATGCCAAGGCTTACAAAAACATTTCAACACATAAGACTAAAGCTTGAAACAGCGTTGTGGTTTTTTCCCTGGGCAAATGATTATTTTATAAACAAGTATATGTATATGTCATACAGAAAGAAGAGTTTGACTCCTCAGCTCAGTCAGTACCATGCAGCTGACTGGATACATTACAGGGCTGCTCTCCTAGGCCTCTTTCTTCAAGGCGCCATTTTGCCACACTCAACAGTTGTCTCATCACTGAGTGGCTGCCACTGCTGCCTTTGGCTGAACCACAGCAACACTAGGAGACTTAAATTTCGGGAGATAAAGGCCAAATTTGTTTTCGATGCCTGCAAACGTGGCTGTGGCGAGTCTGTATCCACCGATGTGATCAGGGTTGGCAGGAGGAAGGTCTGCAATGCGTGACTTAGGTGTTGGTTCTGAACCAGCGGGTTTGCTGTTGACAGAAAAAAAGCCAATGGTTAGCATGCTCAAGGTGGATGAGCGCAGCTTACAGCTGGACATTTTCGGTCTGACCCATGTGCCACAAAGAAGAATGTTTCTCTCAACCATTTCCATGGCATCTGTGCTGCATGACTAGAAACCACAGTCATGATTTATAGCTGCTTTGACAGCAACTTATCTACATATTTGATTTACAAGAGAAATGGCCTTATTTCCAATGCTTGCATACATATATAAACAAATCCATAGGAAAAAAGTCAGAAGAAAAGACACTCAAATATGAAGACTCTCTGGGTAGTAAGATTATGGATGATTTTTTTCTTTTTTCTTCTTGTAAAGATGGGGTCTTGCTATGTTGCCAAAGCTGGTTTCGAACTTCTGGTCTAAGGAATCCTTCTGCCTTGGCCTCCCAGAGCACTGGGAGGTGTGAGCCACCACACCCAGGCTGGTTTTTTTCTTTTATGCTTTATGGTTTTCCAAATTTTCTGCACTTAGCACATATGAAAGTAATTTTTAAAGTATATATTTTTCTTTTGACATAACTTTAGAAGTTAACTTTTTATGTAGTAGACTCATAAAGATTATCAATTAAATTATTTAAAGAGAGATAGGCCGGGCATGGTGGCTCACGCCTGTAATCCCAGAACTTTGGGAGGCCGAGGCAGGCGGATCATGAGGTCAGGAGATCAAGGCTATCCTGGCTAACACGGTGAGACCCCGTCTCTACTAAAAATATTAAAAAAAAAAAAAATTAGCCAGGCGCGGTGGTGGGCGCCCTTAGTCCCAGCTTCTCAGGAGGCTGAGGCAGGAGAATCACTTGAACCTGGGAGGTGGAGGTTGCAGTGAGCCGAGATCGTACCACTGCACTCCAGCCTGGGCGACAGAGCAAGACTCCGTCTAAAAAAAAAAAAAAAAAAAAAAGAGAGAGAGAGAAATAGCTTTAGTTCTTTTACAGAAGATGAAAGAAGCATGGAAAAGCCTGAAGCCTCACATTTCTACAATGCAACTGTAAGACTGCTGTTCTCACTTTTTTTGCATAGGTCCCTCCACTTGGTTCAGCAGCTGATTCCCTATATGGCCTTTGGGCACAGAGGAGTTCACAGGTTTCTGATGTGAGGACTCAGGAATGGTACTTGGTCTTCTGCTGAAAAGCTAATAATTGCTTGCTTTGGGTACAACTTCCCCACCCAGAAAATTCAACTTGTAATTCTTCTTCTCAGTGCAAGCTTCAAGTGGTAAGCTTTTAGAAGCCCAATTTCTGGCCTACAGCTCACTAGTGATTATATCCATGGGCAAAATCTCTCTTCAAACCTATTGGTTTTTCCAGTAAATTAGCTTCAAGAACATCTGCACCTAACTAATAATAAATTGTGGTGAATAATGAAATATCAGAGATGCAAAAGGGCTTGGGACTTTGAAAGAAAATGCACAAAAGTGTTACTGGTATACATTTACATTACTTCTGTGAAAGGGCCATATAATAAAATCCACATAATGAGAACGCCATGAAGTTCAGTATTTGCTTATGTGAAAAAAGACAATTATTTACACAGCATTTTAATCTGCTGCCTCCTGGCTAGGCACGGTAGCTCATGTCTGTAATCCCAGCACTTTGGGAGGCCAAGGCTGGTGGAGTTCGAGACCAGCCTGGGCAACACAGTGAGATCCCATCTCTATAAAAAAGTACAAAAATTAGCTGGGTGTGGTGGCATGCCTCTGTGGTCCCAGCTACTCAGGAGGCTGAGGTGGGAGGATCGCTTGAGCCCGGGAGGTTGAGGCTACGGTGAGCCAAGAACATGCCACTGCACTCCAGCCTGGGCAACAGAGGATATCCTGTCTTTTTTAAAAAAATTTGCTGCTTCCCTAAAATCCCCCAAATAGCTGCTTAATATTATGTACGATGTCACTCTGTCAAGTTTTACTTGCTTAACACAAATGCTTCTTAAGCTCACTGTTTTAAATGCATTGGTCTTAAAGGTTCTGTCTTATCAGTTTTCTAAGAGTTGCAACAATGCTTTTGTAGACAGAACAAACATTTGTTTTGGACTTAGTGATTTCTTTGTAAAGGAGTTGAGCAGCTGACTTACAGGCCTCCAAAATCAATGTAAAACCACCGCTGGAGAAGTTCATAAGTGACCAAGGTAACACCAAACTGGGGAGAGGATCGAAACACTCGAGCTGAAAAAGAGAAGCAGGGGCAGGGGAGACTTGAAACCAGGACAAATGTGGTAAAGATAGCCACTGAGTCACAGGGGAGGACGCTAGAGCCAGCCAGCCATTCTGTATGGCTCCAGCCCCTGCCTACCTGCAGTCCCTTTCCAAAATGCTGAGGGCCCTTCTTCCCGGAGAATCTTCCTGAAACAGTCGATGACACCACTGTATGTCGTCTGGCCAGCGCGGGCAGCCACCTGCAGTCTTGTCTTGATGACATCAGCAGGGGTCACCAGAGATGCAGCTGGGACACCTTTCAGGAGAAAACCACATTTAATTTATCTAGAGTACCTTATAAAAGATAGGAATACTGCTAACATCTACTATAGAGCCTGCAACTTCAACCACTTGAGCGGAACTCAAAACTCTTTACATAGATGTCTGGCCATTAATGGGAAAAGGGCATAGAAGCCTATTAGCTGTTGCAGTGTGATCAGGGGAAAATTATTATTATTTTTTCCTGAATTAAAAAAAAAATCACTCTACATTGCATGATCCCAAATAACTGTGAGAGAGAAAAAAAAAGTAGCAATATTAATAAGACAATTCCCAAGCGTTCCCTTTCAGTTTCAATTATTTTACCTCCTTTTTTTCTTAAATAAGATACAAGTATTTTTATGTATAAAAAAATGATAATGTCATCTTAGTGAGTCACTAAATGTATCTGACACCAAACTACTGTTTTTGCTGATTCTTGTCGTAGTGTGGGAAGTGAATATCAATACTTATAATCACTCGCTTGTTTGAAGGGCTACCTTGAGAGTTGACTGTGACTCCTTTCAGACATGCTTACATGACAAAAGTCATTACAACTGGAGCAAGAGGTGGCCAGGCAGCCAGTTAAGAAACAACAGGGGAGCTGGTCAGGGAAAGGCCCCTGTGCCCGAGCTCCCTGGGGTCATGTTGAGATTGATCAGCAGCAGGACACAAAAGATGGATTTCACAACCACACCTTTTACTTATAAAACAAAACAGAGAGCAAAGGAGCAAAATAATCTTCCCCGGGGGAAGAAATTCAATTTGGCCTGAATATCACTGTATCCTCACTAGGCGGATGGAGTTGGCAGCCTTGTACGAGGTTCTGCTAGGGAATAATGCAAATACTTCCCCTTGGCATGGCCTTGCACCCTATTCAGATGAAACTAGGTAAACTTCCTGCCTTTGGAGGCAGACTTCTGAATGTTCTCAGTTCCTGCTAGCAAAGCTTGACTGGTAAAAATTAGAAAAAATAATCTCATTCTGAAAACTGACATCAAATGTCTATGGGGAAGAAGTCGGTGCTGACAGTTCCATGGAAATATTTACTTGGTTCAACCACTTGCAAACACCTGTCCACAATTAGACTCTTCTTCTCTGGCTGTTTTTCATTGTTGATTGGAAAGCACAAGGAAAAGCCTGGAAGGCAAATGCTGCCCCCATTTAAAAGTAGGAGACTGGGCCAAGTGTGGTGGTTCACGCTTGTAATCCCAGCACTTTGGAAGGCCAAGATGGGAGGATCACCTGAGGTCAGGAGTTTGAGACCTCACATTTACAGCCTGACTCTCTTTTTTTTTTGAGACAGTCTCACTCTGTCGCCCAGGCTGGAGTGCAGTGGCACAATCTCGGCTCACTGCAAGCTCCGCCTCCCAGGTTCATGCCATTCTCCTGCCTCAGCCTCCCCAGTAGCTGGGACTACAGAAGCCCGCCACCACGCCCGGCTAATTTTTTGTATTTTTAGTAGAGACGGGGTTTCACCGTGTTAGCCAGGATGGTCTCGATCTCCTGACCTCGTGATCTGCCCGCCTTGGCCTCCCAAAGTGCTGGGATTACAGGAATGAGCCACCAAGCTCGGCCTCAGCCTGACTCTTGAGTTAGGAAGGAGCTGATTTGGAAAAGGAGGAGAGAACCAGGTGTCCTTGGCTGCACCAACACTCCGAAAAGACAAAGGAAGGAAGGGGTGCATGTTTGCTCTCTATACAACCAGTAATGAACCATTACAGAGCTCAGTGTGGCTCTGACCAGCTGTGCTGGCCAACATGGTGAAACCCTGTCTTTACTAAAAATACAAAAATTGGCCAGGCATGGTGGTACACGCCTGTAGTCCCAACTACTTGGGAGGCTGACACAGGAGAATCGCTTGAACCCGGGAGGCAGAGGTTGCAGTGAGCAGAGATTGTACCACTGCACTCCAGCCTGGGTGACAGAGCAAGATTCTGTCTCACCAAAAAAAAAAAAGTGGGAGACTGGTAAGTACCAGAAAGGGGCTGCTACAAACAGCTCACTGCCAAGACTGAGCAGGTAACTTTACTGGCTTTTAAACACAAAACTGACTAAAATTACCATTGCTAGAGGAGAAAGGACTTGCTGGGCCCCAAATAAGGGCGGTAAGTTCCCTGGGGCCGTTTCTTAATGATCAAAGTCATCCCTGTCTTCACGAGCAAGAACAACGTGGTCCATCGCAACACTCTCAGGCCCAAGGGCTCCTACCACACAACAAGCACAGCACACTCCGGGAGCTGCTCAGGTTGCCCTGATGTTTAGCCAGAGCCTCCAGAGGAGAATGAGCCCAGCAAGGAAGAGCAACACAGTGAACATAAGCCTGGCTGGTCAGAGCCACACTGAGCTCTGTAATGGTTCATTACTGGTTGTATAGAGAGCAAACATGCACCCCTTCCTTCCTTTGTCTTTTCAGAGTGTTGGTGCAGCCAAGGACACCTGGTTCTCTCCTTCTATTCCAAGTCAGCTCCTTCCTAACTCAAGAGTCAGGCTGTACCTATGAGGTCAGAAGGAAGCATCTTAGTACCTCCCTGCTCTTACAAGGCTCCTCTTTCAAATGAAATCTCTTCTGTGCCTAATTTGGTATCTTAGACGACATGAAGGTTTTCATTCATGTTATTGACATTTATTGAGCACCTATTACTATTACACTGGCCACGTAGGAAAGGCAAGGATGAAGAGAATGAAACTCTTGCCCTCAAGAAGCTATTAGCCTAGTACAGAGGATAACAATTATGCAAATAACTATTAATAAAAGACAAATTTTTTTTTTTTTGAGACAAGCTCTCACTCTGTCACCCAGGCTGGAGTACAGTGGTGTCATCTCGGCTCACCGCAGCCTTGACCTCCCAGGCTCAGGTGATCCTCCCACCTCAGCCTCCCGGGTAGCTGGCTGGGACTACAGGCACGCACCACTACACCTGGCTAATGACAAAGTGTTAACGATTAGAAAAAATACAAAAATTGAGTTCAAGGTGGTTTGCTGAGGGGTACTGCTTACTTTGGTCTAATGAGGGCAATGGTAGGAAGAAGAGGGACAGCTTCACGACAAAAGCTCAATTTTCGGCCAAATCATGTAGATTCCAATATACAGAAGAGAGAAAGTAAGAGCATGCTAGATCTGTGCATGAGCATGAGATACAGCTAAGCAACTGATTTGAGGAAAAACTTTCCCACCTTAATGCTTAGCTTGGCTGTACTCAAGGTTTCAGGGGCACAGGAAACTAAGAAACATGTTAATGATGAAAGCCCAATTTAGATGGGCAGATCTAATTTGGCTCTGAGTTGCTAAGCTGCATTAAGCTGTTTATCCACATTATGCAAATGTAATTAACTCTCATCAGAATTACAGCACATCCCACAAAGGAGAAAAAGTGATATTTAAACTAAGTCAGGTACAAACAATAATACTTCCAGAAATAAAGGGGGAAAGTACATAGAGATTCTGTACTTTTTAAATAATGGGAGAATTCTTTCAGTTAAAAAAAAATTTGTAGTTACCTGCCATGGCTCCAGCTGCAAGAAGATTTAAACCTCCCACGTGTCCATTTTCATCAGCCAGAAGTAGTTTGCAATGAGCATAAACAGGAAAATAGATTGCAGAGAAGGGAATGTCTCGGAGGAAACACGCTTTGGCACCCTGTCACACAGTGAGGAAATAGTGCAAAACAGTGTGAAACTGAGTGTGAATGCCCAAATGGGATCCATGTGACATTTGTCAGTGACAAGCTTGAGGTGTCCCTCAGTGACAAGCCTGAGGTGTCCCTTAAACAGCATTAGAACTGATGTGCAAGGGAAATGGGGGAGGCGGGAGATAAGTGGGGAATAGGGAAATCTGCATATCTCAAAGCTTGTGAAAGCATGGTGAATCCTGCAGTCCTAGAGTTAATAACTGGGTAATGATAGTATTCTGAAAACTAAGAACTTTCTGGCATTTCTTATATAGATTCAGAGTTTTTAAAATTAATTAATCTCTTACTATGGTAAAAACACACAAGATCTACCCTCTTAAGTTTTTACATCAGCTGAGAGTCCCCGCAGTGCCAGGTAAAAAGCTATAGGCAGTGGTGAAGGAAAAGTAACTACTCTAGAGCAGGGGGAAAAGAAACCCAAATCTTCTCTCCTCATTCCCCATGTCCTAAATAGCAGACAAAATATTTTAGCGGCAGGTTTCCACAGGAGTAGAAAATCATTACCCAGGGGCAGCTTGTCCCAATGACTGAGGTCTCAAAGAACACCTCCCTCAGCTTTGTCAGAAGCCCACACCATTCCACTACCTAGCTAGGCAAACACTCCACCTTGGCGCTTGTTTTTTTAATGACTCTGTTTTATTCTTTTTAATTTTTTTTTTTTTCTGAGACAGGGTCTCACTATGTTGCCCAGGCTGGAGCATAGTGGCAGGATCACAGCTTGCTGTAGCCTTGACCGTCTGAGCTCAAGTGATCCTCCCACCTCAGCCTCCTGAGTAGCTGGGATGATAGGTGTGCACCACTGTGCCGGCTAATTTTTTCTTTCTTTTTTTTTTTTAAGGTAGACACAAGGTCTTGCTATTTTGCCCTGGCTGGTCTTGAACTCCTGGGCTCAAGCAATCCCCCTGCCTTGGCCTCCCAAAGTGCTGAGAGTACAAGTGTGAGCCAGTGCTCCCAGCCCTGGCTTTTTTAAAAAAAGACAAACTCAAACATTGAAAAAAAAAAAATCCAAGGACTCGCTAAAGGATAATACAGAGAGAAGCAATATTAATAAATTCATCTCTCAAAGGGAATTCAAAAAGGATGGAAATTGGGAGTGGGGAGGAGGAAGCAAAAATGTGTACGAAACTCTCTTGAGACAGGCATCATTGTTTGCTGGTCTCCAGAGAACCCTGTAGCTGTGTGATTCCAATCTAGAGAATTTCTAATTTCTAATTTGCAGTTACCGAAACAAATTTACACATTTCTGCAGTGATGGATCTATATCAGATGCTGTGGAAACACACTTGGCTATGGTGGCTAAATTTACGTATTCCCCTTATACCAGGCAAAGGAATGGAAAGAAATATTCTTCCTTGTTTAAGAAAAATAATAGCTTCTGCTCCATTACATCTGATCTGTAATGATGGGAGTAAGTATACCCGCAGGGAAGGAATCTTTTGACTGGCATTTTGTTAAAGTACAGTACACTCTGTTGTTGGTTTGTTTTTTTTTTTTTTAATGGAATTCATTATTGACAAATCCTACCACTTAACTTCTTAAAGACCTGAATCCTACCAAACTCTACTACTGTTTTACTGTGGTCAAATTATTAAGACAAAAGCTCCCACTGGGAAGATAACAATAGAGATAATCAGACCGAAAATAAACATAAGACTATTTTGAAGCCCTAAACCAACCCAAAGAGAGCACCAGGGAAAGTTTTCCCAAGCCCCCCAGCAAATGAAAGGCTGTGAGCCTGAGGCCAGCAGGTCTGCGGTGCTGGCCTCCTTGCTGGCAGTTTCATAAAAGCCTGATGACAACAGGAGAGGCTGCATGTGTATCCCACTGCCTCTCATACAAGTGTCCTGATTCTTTTCTTTTTGTTTGATTTTCTGCTCCACAGACTACCCTGCTGGACAAGATTGCTTTTCAACTTGGAGGGAAGAAGTCTGGTTTCCACATTCTTTCATATTTTATTGAGTACATTATAACCTAAACCTACCCACCTTATACAGACCAAAAATTCCCAAGTCCCGGAGCACATTCAGGGCGCTGACTCTGGGTCCCGTGGTGATCTCTCCAGCTACTTGCAGACGAATCTTCACTATCTCCAATGGGTTGGTAAAAATGACCTGAGAGCCTCCAGCCTGTAGGCAAGGGAGAAGAGACAGGCAGATTCCACATCAGAGCCCGACTGGCAGCGTAAAAAAGGAAAATCCAGCAAAGCCTCCACATCTTGCTATCTTGAAAAGAAGGAGGTGAAACTTCCTTCCTCAGGGGGGAATGACAGTTTGACACTTAGGCCAACCCTGGAGAGGTTCAGAGGGATGGTCCCAAACTCTGTCTCAGATCAATCTACCTCTGGGTTTGTTTCTAGCTGAAATGTCAAGATTGTTTCTCAGACCAGTCTTTCCAGGATCACCCCAGCCATATTCAAAATAACAAAATAAACCCATTTGGAAAAAAAAGCGGAGCCAGATGTGGCAGCAAGGTACTCAATGAAAGAAAAAGAGATAGTAAAAGACTGTCATATTTTACAAGCCAGAGCTAAAATTCAGAGCTACAATTATTTTTTTCCTCTTTGTGGTAAGCGTTCTTGGCAGCAGACCCACTTGCTTCTGCTTCCTTGGATTGTAGAGCAATTAAAACTACTTTGGTGCCTTAAGTCAGAAGGGGAAAAGTCTCCTCCAGTTCCAATTCTAAAATGTATTATCCTAAGCAAAACTCTGATACAGGTACATGGCTACACCCACACAAAAGGGAAGAATTTAGAAAGATAAATTTCAGTATCATTTCAAGACAAAACCAGAAAAACTCTTCAAGGCAAAGCTGAGAAATGGAACATCTAGTTACCATGAGTACAACACCCTCAAGATCAAAGCCACATTCTATATTCCTGTGGTGAGTGACAGAGATTTGAATTTGGATAATGAGAGTATATTTGCATCTGAAATCTGTTAACTAGTAGAGAAAAAAAAAAAACGTTTAACAAAACTTCTACCAACTTCTTTTTTTTGGTTTCTGTAAGAAAGAAAAAAATGTGTGTGACTATGGATATATAAAAATAAATAAAATATATATCTCCTTTCATGAAATGAAAAATCCCATTTGTACATCTTCAACTGTAGCTGTTTATATTATGTAATCATAACCATACTCATATAATATTCATAATGATATTCATATCATTATAATCATTGTATATAATCACATGTGAAATATGAAATCTGGGGCACTGTAATTCCACAGGTATAGAACACCTAAAAATTCACATGCAGCTTTCAATGGCACTTCAGTGCTCAACCTTTGCCCACATTCCTGCTCACTTATCTAAAACCCAAAGCCCTCCCAGACCCGCTTCCAAGGGGCAGGAACATGGCTCAGCCCATTTTCCTAATTGCCTTGGGACTATAAATCCCCCAACTACCCCTATTCCAATCCTGACTCCTTAACTCCTTTCAATATTCAAAATTGCCAGCACTGATACTAAATTCCTTCCCTCTTCATGGACAGCTTATTGTCCTGGATTCCCCAGGGCCTTAATCCCCTCTTTGTCCTTCGAGCAGGGAGGTGCAGCAATTTGCTATCTCTCTCTCATGGTTTCCTCTAACTCCTCAACTCGACACAATCCAGACCACTGGCACACAGGTCCCCCAACGATGTACTGACCCAATTTTACATGTTGATTTGCCTGCCTTTCTCTCTCTTTGAATCTGTTGTACTGCAGGCAGAAGGAAGCACTTTAATGTTTCAATCTAAGCAAACAATACTTTCAAAAGGATTGCTGCATGAAAAATTATGTTAAAATGATAATCCAAGTAATTGCTCCTGTAGCTAGTATTAAAGACCAAATCAATTGAAAAAGTTTACTACTTCCCTGAAATCTCTTGTTTAAATAATGGTTGCAAAGACTATCTTAAATAATGGTTGCATATCTGCTTTATGTTTTAACTAAAGCAGATTTAAAAATGAATAGAACCACAAATTTTTATTCTAATTCCCCCAAATTTGCCACTACCAGACAGTGTCAGTCCCTGGGTGCCAAGTGTTAAATGTGGACATTATGTTTAAATAAATACTAAGGTCTTTCATGTTTGTAATCATTAGTAAATTATAACATCCTGCTGGGCAGGAGTACTCCAATCCGTGTCCCCCACCCCCACCCCACAGCTGCCTCCTCCTCTTCCTTCTCTCTTTTAGAAATAATTGATTGAGATTTATACTCCTTTAACAATGCTTCAAATTTTTTGAAGTATACAAGTAATAGGCTTTCTACTGAAACTTTACAAAAATGGTACAATAAAAAGAAATAACTGACTACATTTTGTTTGTGTTTGTTTGTTTGAGACAGGGCCTCACTCTGTCACCCAGGCTGGAGTGCAGTGGCAGGAACAGCTCACTGCAACCTCAACCTCCCCAGGTTCAGGTGATCCTCCCACCTCAGCTTCCCGAGTAGCTGGGACTACAAGCGTGCACCACCACGCCCAGCTAATTTTTGTATTTTTTGTAGAGATGGGGGTCTTACCATGTTGCCCAGGCTGATCTCGAACTGCTAGGCTCAAGCGATCCACTCGCCTTGGCCTTCCAAAATGCTAAGATTACAGGCGTGAGCCACTGCACCCAGCTGGGACTACATTTTAAAAATACATACACCTTAATTGTTGTATGCTTTGAAGATTAGTTACCTAGCACACATACCAAATCCCAACAACGCACAGGACATAACCACAAAACTCAATTGATGTGCATTTATAAACACATATAATCTAGCAAGTAAGAGTGCAAATAATCAATGACACTATAGCAAGGCACACATCTGTAAGTTTGTTTCATGCCTATGTTTGAAGGAGGAAAACTTCTGACAATTAATGATTTGTATATGTTTTAAAAATTAACATACAAGCCAAGTGCAATGACACATGCCTGTAGTCCCAGCTGCTCACAAGACTGAGGCAGGAGGATTACTTGAGCCCAGGAGTTCAAGGCCAGCCTGGGCAATGGAGCAAGACCCCTATCTCTTAAAATTTTTTTTTTTTTAGTAATTAGTATACATTTTTAAAACCTCATGATAGGCCTAGGAACATAAGGCAAATACTTTCCAGAAACGCTGAATAATTTTAGCAAAGATAAAGACTGCAAAAACCGCAGTTACTTTTGTACCAACGTAATAATTTGTCTAAAACTCTGGATGTTTATAATGCTTAAAGGGAAACACACATGGCAAATATGCACTGTTCTTTTTCGGATTCTGAGGTTGACCACTCTCTCTATCCTACATATTAAACTGGGGATAGGGAAGGGGGAGTAAAATCTGAGATTAGTTCAATTATACTGGTAATAAATCAAGCAACTCAGAATGAGGGACTATGATGTTATCAAACTCTTGAACTGGGTGTTTCCTCTCTGCGAAACAAATACAGAGAAATACCATATTTCTTCTAAGACTCTATTGATTATAAATGATATCATTAATAACAGCTTTCCAAAGGGGAAAAGCACTGCTTGCAGTAAATATAATCTTTAATATAGAGAATTTCATAAATACAGTAACTTTTCAATAAAAAATAGTACCTGTATTTCTACAAATATGCTAATGTTTGCTATTTTTAATAGCAGCAAAATTGAACAGGAAGAAATTCAAATTCCCAATAAAACAGCTAAGTAGATACAATTCTATGCTATTAATTGGGCAATATGATTTGATAATAAAATCACGCCAAATGACAAAAACAGAACATAAAATATTAGGCACACATTTGATCATAAATATGTCAAAATTTACCTAAGTTTCTCAAAACCCAAGTGGCTTAAAGATTAAAACATTGATTGCCTCCTGGAAAGAGAAACTGAATAGCTGGGAGAAATAATTTTCATAGCATACTCTATTGTACCTTTTAAATTTCAAAACATATGAATGTATTAACTACGCAACAACAACAAGAAACAGACCTGGTCTTAGAAACAATGGCTTCTTTATAGACTAAGTCTTCTCTCGCATATTCTTCTTCATGGTAAATTTGGTAATTTGGCAAATATATTTTTTAAACTGGTTGGCGTTAGTTACTGTGGACCCAAGGTTTTTTAAAAAGCTTATTATATATGAACATCAAAAAACCTAATCAAATATAGCTAGTGACCTGAAATAATCGACACTAAGATATATAAAATTTTAAATTAAATCACAATGATACACAGCTATATAAATGTAAATGGACATTGCTAAATTTGGCATCTTGCTGCTTCTGTTACTAATGCTTACATTAGATAACATACCACTCTATATCATACCTTTGCTGAATTTTTTTCACTCATGAAATCACCAAAATTAGCTTCTAATTCTCTAATTGCTTAAATTTCCCGCCTATTTTTTAAAAGAGATACAAACATTAATACTAAAACAGACTTAGATGCTTTCTATTTTTCAGTATTCTGTTGTCATTTCTTTGTTCTAGAACTGAGTTTAAAAGATACATAAAAGAGAACAAATCTCATTTTGAATGAGGGTTACCCATATATAACAGAAATGGAAAGAATAAAAAACTTCCATTTAATCTTATATCATATGAATTTTTTAATGAGAAAATCAACTAAAGCTGACAGCAAAAGTTAGCGGGGAAAAGGATGTAATTTTGAGATGTCACCATGCCTCCACAGTGCCAAAGGCCGAGGGGCTGTATACAGGATTAGGCCTATTCAACCTTCTGCCCTCTCAATCCTACCCCTGGGGCAAGGTTCACAAAGAGGTTGGAGGCTGGGCCCTGCTTGTGCCAAGTCCTTTGTTTATTTCCTTCTTTGATCTGTTGTCTCCTATAGATTGAAATGATTTCCCTCCAACCACAAAATATCCAATCTAAGCAACTCATTATAAAGTCTTCCCTTATCGAGACTGATGAAAATCTAACTTCAATTTATTTAAGGTCACATCAACTCCAGATGAACACAGTATGTGCGTATAAAATAACCAGATAAACAGTAAAAGTCACAGAACTAGCTGTCACTAGGACTGACTCAAGAGGAACAGGAACAGACAGTGACTCAGCCTTGCACACCACCAACCGTTCATATTTTTGTAAAGCAATAGGAAATGCTATGGTTCTTTCTAAAATAGGATAGTGATAGTTTAAAAGAAATAAATGCAATGTGCTCATTGCTGAGTGATGATATATGCGAGGGTGTTACAAATTAACACTACATATACTCCTAACTAGGGTAAGGGAAGTGCTATGATCCGAATATTGGTGTTTCCCCACAATGCATATGTTGGAACTAATATCCAACATTATAGTATTAAGAAGTAGGGCCTTTTGGGAGGTGATTAAGTCATGATGGTTCTGCCCTAGTGAATGGGATTAGTGCCCTTATAAATGAGGTTGAAGGGAGCTGCCTTGTCTCTCCTACCATGCAAGCACACAGCAGCAAGGTACATGCAAGCACACAGCAGCAAGGTACATGCAAGCACACAGCAGCAAGGTGCCATCTTGGAAGCAGAGAGCAAGCCCTCCCTCACCAGACACTGAATCTGCTGGTACCTTGATCTTGAACTTCCAGCCTCCAGAATTGTGAGCAATAAATTTCTGTTGTTTATAAATTACTCCATCGAAGGTATTTTTTAATAGCAGCCAAAATGAACTAAGACAGCAAGAATGAAAATCCCTGTGTACCTATCATAAGCCACTTTTGACATAAATATATAAGGATTTTCAACTTGTATGCATATCTATATGTGTTCACATAAGTATGTAGGCATAAAGTTGGACTACACTAATTCCTGGGGATGAGAGGTGGAAGAGCTGTTTCCAAACTACTCTTTAGAGATATACAAGCTTGGCTTGCTGAGGAAGACATAGAATTCTTCATCATAAGGAGCTGGCTAGTTACAGATCTTGGCCCCCAGGATTAGTAAATGCTCCGCCTAACATGTGGGCTTTTTGCTTTACCGATATGAAGGGAGGGTGTGTGTATGTGGTGTGTGTAGACACATGCTTAAGCTGAGAAAAAGCATGGGAGAGTTGAAAGATTCTAGGTTTGGAAGACTACTGACCTAGATCGTCATAGATTTTGCATTCGGCATAACCATTCCATTCCCACAACCATGCTCTCTGCCTCACCGAGGTCTTGTGCACTACTAACTCATTTGAGAGCACTATGCAGACTGAAAGCAAGACACAAAGGGAAAGAACGTGTTCTCCAGAAAGTGTGTTCGCATAGGGTTGTGAAAATTCACCTGCAACATTAGCACTTTGCTGAGTAATAAGTTTTGAGTTTCATGACTTCCATCCACTCAGGAGTATATACTCTCTGAAAGAGGTAATGCAGTCAGCTAGGTAAGTTTATCACTAATCTCTGATTCGAGTTTAACAATTAAAAAAGAACAGGTACTTACCAAAGAGACCATTAGAAAGTACCTAAAGGTTAGTCCATTTAGATTTTTTAATATTCTGCTTTGTTAATTTGAAAAGATATTTAAATTTATTCTCCCTTAAGTTTCTGGATCTATCCAAAAAACTACATAATTACTTTTTCTTTAAAAACTACTATAAACATCATTAATAAAAGTAATAAACAAGTCACAAACTGGCAAAAAAATATCCACAACACATCTGTTTGACAAAGGGCTGTATCCATGATGTATAAACAACTTTTACAATTAGTAAAAAATATGAAACCTAATAAAATGTACGCAAAAGACTTGAACAGATACTTCACACACACACACACACACACACACATATACGAATAGCCAATAAACACATGAAAAGATAATCAACATCTTTAGGAATCAGAAGAATGCAAATTTAAACCACAATAAGATACTATTTCACATACCTACAATGATTACTATCAAAAACACTACAGATATCAAACATTAGTGAAGATGTGGAACAACTGGAATACTTGTACACTGCTTAGGAGACTATAAAATGATCCATCCACTTCTAAGAACTAACTGGCAGTTTATTTTAAATTGAATATACATCGACTCTATTCTATTCTTAGATACCCAAGAAAAATGAAAATATTGGTTGACAAAAAGATTTGTACAAGAATGTTTACAGCAACCTTATTTGTAACAGACAAAAACCCAAACATCCATCAAGAGAAAAATGGATAAACAAATTGTGGTAAATTCGTACGATGAAATACTACTCAGCAAAATTTAAAACAAACACAAACCTGATACCCACACAAGGATGACTCTCTGAAAACATGTTAAACAAAAGAAGCCAGCCATGAAAGAATGCATCTCGTGCACTCCATTTACATGAAATCCAAGAACAACAAAACTTCAGACAGAAATCAGAAGTGTGGTTGCATGGGGTAAGGGAGAAGGGACTGAATGGAAAGACGCATGAACGACTTTTCTGGGGTGAAATGTTCATTATCTTAGGTGGTGATTACATGGGTGTATACAACTGTCAAAACTCATTGAGCTGAATATCTAAAATCTGTTCCTTTTAAAAATGTTAATTATACCTAAAAAACCAAATATGTAAATATGTCATATTCATACACTTATTAAAGGAAGGAAGGAAAGAGGCAAGAAAGTCACTATAAAGTTGAATAGTGTCATCTAGATTTATTTTGACACAATCAATGATTTGATTCCCCCAAAAGGACATCATAGAATAAAAGGACTTGGTCTAAAAAAATCAGAATACTTGGGTTCACATGAAACCTCCAGCATATATTAGCTGTGTAAATTGGGGTAAGAGAGTTAGCCTTTTTGGACTTCTGTTTCTCATCTACCTATTTTATAGAGGGTGACAATAATGCATAATAATGTACTTTGAAAATTCTAGGTTGACATTAAGGTACTATTTTTGCCCACAATAGATATCATAATCAAACATTCAATTATATTTGTGTCTTCGAATAAACATACATTTGTACATATAAATATTATATATAAACACATATATACAGGTGGTCCCCAACTTAACAATGATACAACTTATGGTTTTTTGACTTTACAATGGTGCAAAAGCAATATGCATTCAGTAGAAACAATACTTCAAGTACTCATACAGCCTGTTTTTCACTTTCAGTACAGTATTCAATAAATTACATGAGATATCCAATACTGTATTATAAAACAGGCTTTGTGTTTTATGATTTTGCCCAATTATAGGCTAACATAAGTGTTCTGAGCATGTTTTAGGTAGGATAGGCTAAGCTATGACATTCAGAAGGTTAGGTGTATTAAGTGCACTGTTGACCTAAAAATTTCCAACTCATGATAGGTTTATTACAATGTAACCTCATTGGAAGTCGAGGAATATCTGGATCTGTGTGTGTGTGTGTGTGTGTGTGTGTGTGTGTGTGTGTGTGTACAGAAAGACAGAAATTTTCTAATAGAAAAATAAACATATGGTCTGATAAGAATGGTTTACCTATGAGAATAACAGGAAAAATTATTTAAAACCTACTGTTACATATTTAATACTCATACAACACTCAACATTCATAAGAGATATTTACTGAGCAACTGTATACACACACATACAATCTTACCCCATCTCCACCTAAAAAAGGGTCAAGCAATTTTAAAAAATTATTATTATTTGTAGAGATGGGGGGTCCCACTATGTTGCACAAGCTGGCCTTGAACTCCTAGGCTCAAGCCATCTTCCCACCTCAGCCTTCCAAAGTGTGGAGGTTACAGTCATGAGCCACCACACCTAGCCAAGGTCAGGCAATTTAACCTAGAGTTCAATTTATAGATACTACAAACAAATAAACAAAAAACATGTTGGGATAGCACATCCAAGTTATCATAAATTCTGAATGAGTAAGTTTGTTTGAGAAGATTTTGATATAGATACAAAACACAAGTTTGGTTAATGTTCACAATGAGATTTAAAAATCTGAAAATGGGCCAGGCACTGTGGCTCACACCTGTAATCCCAGCACTTTGGGAGGCTGAAGTGGGTGGATCACGAGGTCAGAAGATCGAGACCATCCTGGCTAACACGGTGAAACCCCGTCTCTACTAAAAATACAAAAAATTAGCCAGGCCTGGTGGCGGGTGCCTGTAGTCCCAACTACTCGGGAGGCTGAGGCAGGAGAATGGCGTGAACCCGGGAAGCGGAGCTTGCAGTGAGCCAAGATCACGCTACTGCACTCCAGCCTGGGCGACAGTGCGAGACTCTGTCTCGAAAAAATAAAAATAAAAATAAAAATCTGAAAATGCACAATCTGTTTATACTACTATTCCCAAAGGTTATATACTACTTCTAAAATAAGACATTCCACTGTGACTCCCTCTTTCCTGTAGTAAGTGAGAGTTGCTTGCATTTCCAATCAGGAAGTCAGAGTCAACAAAACTTCCATCTGGTTTTAAAAAGTGTGTGTGTGTGTGTGTGTACACATGTGCACACATATGTCTATGCATAAGAGCATGTACACATGTATATGAAAACATTAGAAGGAAATACACCAAAACATTAGCAATCAAAACTAAAACAAAACTGACATTTAGTAATATCTCTCTCTGTTCAAGGCAAAAAAAAAAAACCTAAAAAACTTAGGCTTAAAAATCGGAAAAGACCTAGATGTAAAAGCTAAAACTATAAAACTCTGAAAAGAAAAAAGGAGGCATACATATAAAGTCAATTTCTATATACCAGAAAAAAAAGGCATACATCTTTCATGATCTTGGATTAATGACTTCTTAGATATAACACCAAAAGCACAAACAACAAAAGAAAAAATAGATTAAACGAACTTCATTAAAGCCCAATTCTTCAAAAGACATCATCAAGAAAATAAAAAATATCTGAAAAGGGACTCATATCTAGAATATACAAAGAACTCTGTAACCAAAAAACAATCCAATTTAAAAATAGGCAAAAATTCTGAATAGACATTTTTTCAAAGAAGATATACAAGTGGTCAATATGCACACAAAAAGATGCTCAACATTGTCAGTCATTAGGCCACAATAAGGTATCACTTTTCACTCAGTAAGATGGCTATAGTAAAAAGACAATAAGAAGTGTTATCAAAGATGTGGAAAGTAGCTGTGCATGATGGCACATGCCTGTAGTCCCAGCTACTCAGGAGGATGGGGCAGGAAGATCACTTGAGGCCAGGAGTTCGAGGCTGTAGCATGTGATGTTCACACCTGTGAACAGTCACTGCACTCTCAGCTTGGGCAACATAGTGAGACGCTACCATTATTTAAAAAAATACACACACACACACACACACACGCGCGCACACACATACTAGCAAAGATGTAGAGAAATCAGAAGCTTCACACTACTAGTAGGGATGCAAAAGGATGTAGCCACTTTGAAAAACAGTCTGGCAGTCCTGAAAATGCTAATTACAGTTGTCATATGACACACCAATTCCACTCATACGTATATACCCAAGAGAAATGAAAACATGTCCATGCAAAACCTTATATACCAATATTCATAGCAGCATTATTCATAAGTCAAAAGGTAGAAACAACTCAAATGTTTATCAACTAATGAATGAACAAACTGTAGTATATCCATATATTCAGCAATAAAAATGAATTAAGTACTGATACATGCTACAACACAGATGAACCTTGAAAACACGCTAAGTGAAAAAAGTTAGGCACAATGTCATGCTTACAAAAGGCCACATATCATGATTCCTTATTTATTTATTTATTTATTTTGAGACAGAGTCTCTCTCTGTTGCCCAGGCTGGAGTGCAGTGGGCACAATCTCTGCTCATTGCAACCTCCGCCTCCCAGGCTCAAGTGATTCTCCTGCCTCAGCCTCCCAAGTAGCCAGGATTAAAAGCACCTGCCACCACGCCTGGCTAATTTTTGCATTTTTTATAAAGATGGGGTTTCACACCATGTTGGCCAGGCTGGTCTCAAACTCCTGACCTCAAGTGATCCACACACCTCAGCCTCCCAAAGTGCTGGAATTATAAGCATGAGCCACCACGCCCAGCCTCCATTTATATAAAATATTCAGAATTGGTGAATTTGTAAAAACAGAAAGTATATTAATAGTTGCCTAGAGGCCAAGTGCAGTGGCTCGTATCTGTAACTCTAGTACTTTGGGAGGAGGAGGCAGAAGGATTGCTTGAGGCCAGGAGCTCAAGGCCAGCCTGGCCAAGTAAGACCCTGTCTCTATGAAAAACTTAAAAATTAGCTGAGGGTGGTGGCACACACCTGCAGTCCTAGCTACTCATGAAGCTGAGGTGGGAGGATTGCCTGAGCCGGCAGTTCAAGGTTGCTGTGAGCCTTGATCGCACCACTGCACTCCTGCCTGGGCAATACAGTTGCCTAGATCTTACGGATGGGATGGGAAGATTGAGAAGTGATAGCTAAAAGGTACTGCATTTCTTTCTGTGTTGATAAAAATGTTCTAAAATTGATTGTGGTGATGGTTTCACAACAAAACACTGAATTATACACATTAAATGGGGGAGTTGTATGGTACGTTAAGTATATCTCAATAAAGCTGTTATTTTTTCTGTTTTTTTGTTTTGTTTTGTTTTTTGTTTTTTTTTTTTGAGACAGAGTCTCACTCTGTTGCCCAAGCTGGAGTGCAGTGGCACGATCACAGCTCACTGCAACCTCCACCTCCTGGGTTCAAGCGATTCTCCTACCTCAGCCTCCCAAGTAGCTGGGACTGTAGGAACGCGCCACTTCACCTGGCTAATTTTTTTGTATTTTCAGTAGAGACGGGGTTTCACTATGTTGGCCAGGCTGGTCTCGAACTCCTGACCTCAGGTGATCCACTTGCTTCGGCCTCCCAAAGTACTGGGATTACAGGCGTGAGCCACCGCCCCCGGCCTAAAGGTGGTATTTTTAAAATTTGCATGAAAGATATCAGGTATTCAATGAGTAAGTGAATATATGAAAGAACAAATGAAAACCTATATCAAGTGTGAAAGAATATGGATTTGGAGATAGAAGTGGTTTGAACCACAATTTTGATATTTACTAAGTCAAAATTTGGATTTCACTAAGGTTTTAGTTTTTTCAACTCTAGTTGGGAACAATAATGAGATAATCCCTATAAAATGTTCAGCCCAGTAAGAAAGGTATCTATTCCTCATTAGCTGATTCAAGCTACATCAAAAGCAATAATCATCATCAACAATAGTAGTAACGTTTTAGTTAAGTTGGGTGCTAGAAGCATGGATGCTCATTTTATTATTCTGTAATTATATTGTTTGTATTCTTTTGCATGTATCAAAAATCACAGGCCTTGGCCAGCCTGGTGACTCACACCTGTAATCCCAAAACTAGGAGGCCAAGGCAGGTGGGTTGCTTGAGCCCAGGAATTCGAGACCAGCCTGGGCAACATGATGAAACCCCATCTCTACAAAAAATACAAAAATTAGCAGAGGATGGTGGCATGCACCTGTAGTCCCAGCTACTGGGGAGGCTGAGAGATGGGAGGAGCCCTTGAGCCCAGGAGTTGTCAAGGCTGCAGTGAGCTGAGATCGCACCACGCCACTCCAGCCTGGGCAACAGACTGAGATCCTGTCTCAAAAAAGAAGAAAAACAAACAAACAAAAAAACAAAAATCACATGCCTTTAAAAACAGATCATAAAGACCGGGTGTGGTGGCTCACGCCCGTAATCCCAGCACTTTGGGAGGCCGAGGCCGGTGGATCACCTGAGGTCGGGAGTTTGAGACCAGCCTAACATGGAGAAACCCCAGCTCTACTAAAAATACAAAATTAGCCGGGTGCAGTGGCACATGCCTGTAATCTCAGCTACTAGGGAGGCTGAGGCAGGAGAATCGCATTAACCTGGGAGGTGGAGGCTGCGGTGGGCCGAGATCGTGCCATTGCATTCCAGCCTGGATAACAAGAGCAAAACTCCATCTCAAAACAAAAACGAAAACAAAAACAAACCAGATAATAAAACAAAACATACAACAACAACAAAATATATAATGCCCAAGGACTAGAGATTTTCACTTCTAGGTCACTTCATGATCTAGTCAACACACACCATTTTTCCTAAAAGGGAATATTGTCATTTCCATGGCAATAAAATTTCCCTCTCATCTATAGGGAACTCAAGGCCTAGGTCCTAGCTAATCCTTCCTCTGGGAAAAAAAGCCTAGAACTCAATTTGAGCCATTTCTTCCTAATTAACCTGCAATAGGTTAATGTATTAGGTGCATCTTTAAAATTGGGTAATTTTTGGAAGAACAGCAGCATTCTTCTCACTAGTGGCACTGACAGCACTCAGCCAAAAGCCATAAGGACACCGTACATCGTATCACCACCACTACTCAGGATGATGAAGACTCAGGGTCAGGCTCACAGACAGCCACTCTTCACAGTGTTAATCTGGTGGCTGTTTGCCAGGTATCATTTAGGAAATGGAGTATCCTATGTCCCATACAGCCTGATATTCTATAAAGAGAGACTCATTCTTTTTAAGACTTTATTCTCTGTTGAAATTTATAGACTTTGGGGAGAAACAGTGAATTATGTTTTAACAATCATTTATAGCATAGCATAACTGAATTTGTCAGTAGAAACTCAATAATTGCACTTTTTTCTTCTTCCCTGAAAGAAGAGATTTAGAGCAAGGGGGAAGCAGAAAACGTTTGTGGTGAAGAACTGCAGACAACCTTATCATTCTGCCTAGAGTCCAACCTGACTATTTTTCATGCTGTCAATTTCCCACTAGACAATCCATCAAAGCCTCCAGAAATGAGTCATGATTAAGGAAGAGATTTAGAGTGTCAGCACAACCCTCAAGGCAACCCAGACTTCAATAGAAATTCCTAAAGTTCAAACCTATAAACAGGGTCGGTAGCTAGGAAGAACAAAGGAACTAAACATCTTATTTTGGTTTAACCACTTAGGTCACATGTCAGACATGGAAACAGGTCAGCTTCATGACCAAAAACCTGGATATTGCAAACGGAAACAAATAATTAGCTACATGGAACAGAAAGAGCATGACTTATATTTCTGGCAAAGGTATGCATGTGCTGTGATAAAAATGAGTTAGAAAGCTTCTTAACCAAACAGAAACTTAAAATGACCAAGAAAAAGAATATTTATGATTGGCAAAGGTTCGCTCTCTAGATAAGAACCAATTACAGAATCTAATTGGAATAAAGGAAGAAGAGAAACTTCATTTTTGGTGATCCACCTAAGCAAAAGTTTTATTCTATGTCCACTGTTAACTCTTCATTAAAAAAGAAATGTAGCCAAAGAGATTTCCTTCCTGAGAATGTGCTGGGGCATGCATACAGGCACACACACACCCACACAGCAGTCCACCTCTTCCAAAGCAACTCTGCAGAGGACTCAGGTATGTGCCACACTGACACATATCAAAGAGAATCTGGAGCAACCTCTCTCTCTCTCTGACCCCCGAGGCAGTGTCTCTGAATTAAATGTTGCCAAGGTCACTGACCTCATCACTTCAGGTTTCACAAGCAACTGAGGAAGTTTTAGCCAAGACTGTCAGCCAATTCAACTGGAAGTTATTAATGTTTCCAAGAACAAAATGGACTAAACAAGTCTGAAACGAACCATGTGTTATCAAATATGAAACAAATACCACAAATGAAATTAGTTGAGCTGCAAATAGATTTAAGAATTGGTCATGCTTACACTTTAAAGACAGAAACCTTTGTGCGCTAAGTAAATATCTGAGTCTCTTGGTTCAGAATTTCTGTCAATAGCTGAAATGTAGTTACCGTTATTATTGTTTGCCAATAATCATGTCATGCTTACACTTTAAAGACAGAAACCTTTGTGCGCTAAGTAAATATCTGAGTCTCTTGGTTCAGAATTTCTGTCAATAGCTGAAATGTAGTTACCGTTATTATTGTTTGCCATACCCTCTGGCCTCTAAAGAAGAAAAATTATTATTAAACAATGGCTTACTCAGTCCTATACCTAAGATATAAGGGCCCAATTAATCAGCCATCTCACACTTGTTTTAAAGTTCCAGTTAACATATATGAATGGTAACTCTATCCACTACTATATTTTCTGTACTCTATTTCTTAAAAGGCATAGGAATTAGAACTTTTAAAAAAGTCTGGAAGGTAATGCTTTAGGAGCATCAAAGAGATAGAGCTGATGAAAATGCCACCTCTTTTTTTGTTATTATACTTTAAGTTTTAGGGTACATGTGCACAATGTGCAGGTTTGATACATAGGTATACATGTGCCATGTTGGTTTGCTGCACCCATCAACTCATCATTTACATTAGGTATTTCTCCTACTGCTATCTCTCCCCCAACCCCCAACCCCCAACCCCATGACAGGCCCCAGTGTGTGATGCTCCCTGCCCTGTGTCCAGGTGTTCTCATTGTTCAATTCCCACCTATGAGTGAGAACATGTGGTGTTTGGTTTTCTGTCCTTGTGACAGTTTGCTGAGAATGATGGTTTGCAGCTTCATCCATGTCCCTGCAAAGGACAGGAACTCATCCTTTTTTATGGCTGCATATTATTCCATGGTGTATATGTGCCAAATTTTCTTAATCCAGTCTGTCACTGATGGGCATTTGGGTTGGTTCCAAGTCTTTGCTATTGTGAATAGTGCCACAATAAACATATGTGTGCATGTGTCTTTATAGTAGAATGATTTATAATCCTTTGGGTATATACTCAGTAATGGGATTGCTGGGTCAAATGGTATTTCTAGTTCTAGATCCTTGAGGAATTGCCACACTGTCTTCCACAATGGTTGAACTAATTCACACTCCCACCAACAGTGTAAAATGGTTCCTATTTCTCCACATCCTCTCCAGCATCTGTTGTTTCCTGACTTTTTAATGATCACCATTCTAACTGGCGGAAAATGCTACCTCTTTTCTACACTCAAAACCCGTTAGCTTTTACAATAAAATTTAAAACTTATTCCATATGATTATTGAGAAAACCTGCTTAGAATCCCTTGAGTTCAAGAGAAATGCCACTAAGATATCTATTATATCTGTGCAAAAAGGTCAACGGAATGTATTTGTCACAAGAAGCGCCTAACAGTAATACTTACACAGCCTCCAGCAAGAACTTCTGCTGGAAGTGGAACAGAGCCATCTCTTCTGGTAAATTTGTCCCGAACAAAATCATTAACCTAATTAGAAAGACAACATCAGTTAACCAAAATTCCCAACCATTTCTCTTCTGGCATACTGTTGCTTTTCCAAGTCAGCAAAATATTTGTCTTATGATAAAATTTAAAATTATCAAATGCTTACATGTAAAATTAAAGTTGTACAAATTCTGCGACAGTGTGCCAGTGTCAGCAGCATCAATTTTAGTTTTGTTTTTGAGACAGGGTCTCACTCTGTTGCTCAGGCTGGAGTGCAGTGGCATGATCATAGCTCACTACAGCCTCAAATTCCTGGACTCAAGCAATCCTCCCACATCAGCCTCCTGGCATAAATCACCACACTTGGCTAATTTTTAATTTTGTTGTTGTTGTTGTTGTTTTGGTAGAGCTGAGTTCTTACTATGCTTATGCTGGTTTAGAACTGGTCTCAAGTGATCCTCCCACCACCCAAAATGCTGAGATTATAGGCATGAGCTACCACGCCTAGCCTTGATTTTAGCTTTTTGGCTTAATGGTAATCTAAACAAATGACATAAATTCAGTTAGAGATAAACTTACAGTCAGTTTAATGGCCTTTTCTGGAGCAACCCCTATAAGTTGTGGTATCAGACCTAGGTAAAGGGACAGAATCATCAGCAATATAGCTGTACCAGACATGAATACACAAGCCCAGCAACAAAGAGTTTCCCCCATATTATTTACCCATCAAACATTGCAGAGTTTTCATTAAAATGGGAAAAAGATTATCCTTAAAACTCTGTATACATATGTAATAATTATTTACAAATGCAGTATAATGTCACGTTTTCTTGAGGCTATAAATCCTCTTCTTAAGCATGCTTACTTTAAAGCCTAGTTATCCAACACTTCCCAAAAAGTCCATGAAGAAGAAACGGAGCCATGCGTCTTCTCTATTCTGGGAACACTGCCAATAACAATGTAACCAAATTCCCTCCCTTATTACAACCAACAACATATAAACATACACAGATACTGTACACTTGGAAAAGCTCTGAAAAGCATGCTGTTAAGCATACCCAGATTTTGCTACCTACATAATGGCATACAGTGGCTTCGTTATTATAGAATACTAACTCCCATAATCTTCTCTTCAGAGAAACACAGCATTCAATATTCATTTATTTAAAAGGAAGCCAAAACTGCAAAGAAAAATGCAGTTTTAAGTATTGTTTAACGAGTATCTCCTATAAGCAAAAACATATGCCTGTTGTATTCTTATTGACTAATATATGTCAAGCTTAAGACATTTTAAAAGAATCCCCTCAAAACAAAGGAAATCATAATCCTTAGAAAGTTAAATTCCCCAGGCTGGTTGTAAACTGGAAAAGAAAAAAATAAACAATTCAACATCTGTTGGGCTCAGCTTTCTAAAGCACACAGCTTATCCAAATTGTTAGCATACTTTTTTGCATACATTTTTTAAAGATGCTAACAATAAACATTTTATATCCTTTAAATCATCCAGCCAAAGGGGAGTTATATATGTGTTTGCCTGCTTGCTGACTGCTGATCTTAAGCCTGCTTTGAGGATACTGCTGAGTTCCATAAGTTGAGAGCCACAAGTAATCATACATATAGGCTACTGTCAGTCAGGCTGAATTATCAATGATACACACAAAGCCTCACACACCTTTCATGCGTAGCAGACTGATTTAAAAGAACAAATCAGCAGATGGCAGTATTAACTTTCTAACCCTCGTGATTATCAGGCTCTATTACTTTTAATCTAACTCCCATACAACCATGTCAGCATGCATATTTGTTTTACAACTCGCCTCAATAAGGCTCATGGAATTTAATAAAGTACTGATTTGTGTCATTTTATCATTGTTGCCTGCGAAGAAATTTAGCTAATCTGTCAACAATTTTGTCAATCATCTGACAGAATAATGGACCAGTTGCAAGCAATATATGACAATCTCAATAATCATAGTGCTCACATACAGGACTCCTACAATCTTCTCCCTAATACAAAAGTCTCTCATTTAAAGAACTGCTTTTATGAGCTTACATCCTGAATAAAACCAACAATCCCCTCCCCTACTTGCTATATTGCATCCATTTAATAAACATGACATCTCTCTCAAATGAAATCTTCTGTAAGCATCTATCCATTGAGAAGGCTAAACTATGCAGTAAATATCTAGGTTCCTTTTAATAGGGGACATTTTCTTTGCAATTTAAAAGTATACCAAAGAGGAGAAAGGTCATTATTCAACAAAGAAATATTGGAGATATCAAGGAAAAAAACAACCTTAATGCCACTCAACCTTGATTCCCCATTAAATAAAATCTGGATATGCAGGGTTTAATCAGTTAAAACAAGCATTCACATGGAAAGGTCTGCATTCTGGATATTGTACGCCTTTCCACAGGGTACATGCTGTACAGGTGGAATTCAAAGAGACTACAGTTCTGAATATTTGAGGAAAACTCATCACATTCATTCTCAAGAGCAGGGTACTTGAGCCTAGTTTGATTTCGGAATAACTCTCTCCTATTATTCTATATATAATGCTAAAAATGAACATCCTTGTGACCCTCTACTTCAATTATGAGTTTATCGGAGTTATATTTTTTGCTTGAATACCTGTATATAATGCTAACCAGCGGTGTTTTTTTCCTCCTGTCCATGAGCATAAAGCTCTGTTCGGGCCCAGTCTTTCTTAGGAAGATTTCTAAGCCAAATAGTTCAACAGAGCTCAGAATAGGCTAGGGATTAATGAGCTTGTATGTGCAAACAAACAAGTACAGTAAATTACATAAATGGCATGGACTTGAGCATGTAGAGAGTATTTTCATAGAATCCCAAGTGGCGCCCAAAGAGATTAAAAAATTAATCTCCCTCCCAAAGGAAACCCTATATTCTAATGTGAAAACACATACATGAAAGTCATTCTCTCTCCAAAGAGACAAGTTCCTACAAAGACAACGGGGGGTGGGGAAAATTCTGCATGGGGCGCAGTGCTGCCTCTGATGCCAACTGCACTGTGCTCAGTCTAGAGTGGCTGCTAACATTCCCTGCGAAAGAAAATCTCTCTGTTTTGACTGTACACCTCTGAGCTAAGTGGGGGAAAGAAGCAAGAATTAGACTTGGAACCAAAGGGTTTTCCTTTTTTTTTTTTTTTTTAAACCTTCAGATGGCTCATTGGAAAAAATTTATAAATGGTCCCTGAAAGAGACAAAAACATTTGATATTTATTTCAGTTGAAATAAATATATGGAGGGTAAACTCATCTTTGAGTGGTAACCTGGATTCTTTTTCACAGGAAAGAGATGTATTTCTCCTCTTTAATTCTTTGAGAAAAGCAGCTCTATATTTCTTAACTATCATCCTTGTATTCCACCTGCAGATATGTGCCTTGGTTTGTAGGAGCATGGTGACATAGACCCATGTTGGGACAAACACATAATTTGGACACCAAGAAATATAAACCACAAGAAGAAGAAATGAAGACCTTATTTGCAGATTAATATTGCTAATCACCAGAAAGAATGCAAAAAGGGAAATGAGCAAAGAGAAAATAAAAAGAGAGAAACAGACCTAGTCTGGCTAGGCATACTACATATTGGCTTCCATAATTAGTGAGTTAAAATCTGCTGCTGGTGAGATCAAATCACTAACTTCAGCAGCTGGGATTTGCTTACTCACCCCTGTAGAGTCCAAAGAAGCCCTCATAACGCAAGACTTTCTTAAAACAGTCAAAGCTGTTTTTGTACATTAGCTCCCCAACAACAGAGCCAGAGCCACGCTGGTTTTGCATTCGGGTCTTCACCAGATCTATAGGATACACTGCAGTGGCTCCCACAGCTACAAACAGAACAATTTTTAGGCTTAAAAAAGAACACAATTAAATGGAGAGTCCATAAGGATGACAAATCTTATCTTAAAGGATGAGAAAATAAAACACAACATGTATTCTCACAAAAGAGAGTTTATTATTTTTCTTTCCCTCACAAACACCTTAGGGATAGCAGGCTATAGCAAGCACTGAAATCCATAAATACAGCTGCTTCAGAAAACAACTGTCAAGAATGCTCTTTGATATCGTAGGTTCATAAACTACAGAGTGGATTATCGAGTCACTTCCCAAATTAGATAATCAACACTCAGTTTTCTATAGTAACAACATTAAACTATTATGTATAACATTTATTTATATTTTCCATTAAATGCTTAAATATTATGCCAGTTACTTCTTAAAATGACTATATCCGTACACTAGGTGGCTACGATTTTAAAATTTAGTTTAATAAAGCATCTTGGTAAATTAATCATAGTTACAACCATAATATTAGAAACACACTTCAACATTATCCTATCCCTATGTATAGAATTTGGTTTAAAAGAAAATATGGCTATGCTTTAGAATTTCTCAGGGAATGAAAATTTATTTACATGAACGAGAGTATTACACATTTTGACTGCTGAAAGCCAAAACCTGGTTTGCAACTTCTAAAACTGAGAGTGAAAAGAAAAAAAAAAGTCTTTTGAGTTCAGGCTTATCTTAAAAAATCGTAAGCATTTTAATCACACCTGCTAGCTTCTTCTCAACAAAGCAACTTCAGATTGTACACATTTTCTAAGTAGAGTATTTAAGCAAAAACAGTCTCTCAAATTTTGGCTGTGAACAGGGAGGGAAGGGAGGTTCATTTTTGCAAATAAACATCAAGTCCAGATATTGTTAAGCAAGCGATAAGGGAAAGGAAAACATACAAGCAGAAAAGCAAAACTGGGTCACTTTGAGAGGCTCTTTTATTTCACGAGGTTCTGGGATTCATATCCCAAATCTCAATTTCTTTCTTTTTTTTTTTAGTTTTATTTTAGGTGTGGGGTATATATGAAGGTTTGTCACATAGGTAAACACGTGTCACGGGCGTTTGTTGTACATATTTCATCGCCCAGGTATTAATCCCAGCATCCAACAGTCATTTTTTCTGCTCCCCTCCTTCCTGCCACCCTCCCCCACAAGTAGACCCCAGTGTCTGTTGTTTCCTTCTTTGTGTTCATAATAAGCTCCTATTTAGTTCCCACTTATAAATGAGAACATGTGGTATTTGGTTTTCTGTTCCTGCGTTAGTTTGCTAAGGATAATAGCGAATCTCAATTTCTTAACCTGTCCCATAAACACAGTCTCATTTTCCATTTTTTCATACTGGCCTTAGCCAGTATAATTAAGGTGAGTGCAGCACTGCATCCCAGACTTTCACATCATTACAGAGGTTCTGTCCTGAAGACAGACTGGAGCCAGATGGTCATAGCCATTGCTACGACAAGTCTCCTGATCATAGGTAAAAATAAAGAACACTTCAGAAAGCCCTGAAGTCGTGACCCATGGGAACAATGAACTGCACCTTTGCTGATCTGCCTCAGTCTGGTGAGATAATATTACATTAACACAAGCCTCAAACAGCACACAGACATGTCACTCACCTCCAGCAACTGAGCCCAGAGTGAATCTGTAAGCAGACTCGGCAATCTGGAGCCAGATAGGCCTGCCTAACCCAGGAGACTGCTGCAGAGAAGAAAACGGGTAAAAAAAAATCTTGAAAGCGCACACAGCAAGTGAAAAAGCTACAATTTGACTATTTTAAGACAAGAAAAAACAAAACCTAAAAGTGATATTGTTAATGCAGTAATATCTTTTCTAAAAGAAGAAAATAGGATATTCATGCAGCCAAAAATGAAAGCAATGTATTTAAAAATAGATAACTCTATTGTCAGCATTTAAAAACCATGTTAGGCCAAATACACAGTAGCTTCCCACTTACCCCAATTTTTACAAGCCTATTAATGCCTCATTTATCTGCTACTGTTGGGGGAATACACTATCAGTTTACAGAAGTGAATCTTTCAGGTAAACAAGCATTTCAGTTATAAAATTTTTTTCCTTCTTTAACTAACTTAAAATTTAAAAAGCTTTCTAAAGTGTATAAAAATTAACTTGATTCTTAAATCAGAGAATATTGATCATAATCTACCATCTCTAATGACTACTGCCACAGTTCTAACATAAAAATCTATAATAATAAAAAAGAGAAAAATTCCACCAGATGTTATTTCACAGGTATCCCACAGCATAAAGAAAGGATCTAAGATAACTTGTCTATACTAGTGTGTCAGTCTTGTTCTTTAATATTTTCACTATGAAAAGACCTTCTATACTATGTAAACAGTATGAAATGACAGAATAAACTAAATAAAAAGTTCACATATTTGCCAACGTCTTAATTATATATACATAAACTTAATATACATTATAAAATTACACATAAGATGTATTTTAAAGTATATACAAAAATAGAAATTATAGAATGAGATAAATATTTCTAAGTAATTTTATATTTCACTTATTAATTAATGCAAAAATATTCCTTTTTTTTTTTTTTTTTTTTGGAGACAGGGTTTCACTCTGATGCCTAGGCTGGAATGCAGTGGCACAAACATGGCTCACCGCAGCCTCAAATTCCCAGGTTCAGGCCATCCCAACGACTCAGCCTCCGAAGTAGCTAGGACTACAGGTGCATGCCACCATGCCCAGCTAATTTTTAAATTTTTTGTAGAGATGGGGTCTGTTTATGTTGCCCAGGCTGGTCTCAAACTCTTGAGCTCAAGCTATTCTCCCACCTCAACCTCCCAAAGTGCTGGGATTACAGGCATAAGCCACCTCACCTGGCACAAAAATATTCCTGATACTACTTTCAAATACCAAAATCCATGGATGCTCATGTCCCTTATCTAAAATAGTGTAGTATTTTCACATAACCTATGCACATCCTCTTGTATTCTTTAAATCATCTCTACATTACTTCTAATACCTAATATAAGGTAAATAAGATGTAAATAGTTGTTATACTGTATTTTTAAATTTTGTATTTTTTTATTGTTGTAGTGTTATTTTTTATTGTTTGTTTTTTCCCAAATATTTTCCATCCACAGTTGGCTGAATCCAAGGACATGAAACTCAAGCAGATGGAGGGCCCACTATATTGAATATGCTTCAGTATAATTAACTGAATATGCTTCAATGAGTTTCTAAAATGTTGATTAACCAGTTAATTCTGATACTTTGTTTCAAAGACAACAGTTGAAAACATATACACAATCTGTCCTTTCAAGGCAATGATGATATTTAATCTCATATACTTTGAAGGAATTCAAGTTATGGCATTGCTACAGATTCACTGCTTGTGACTCCCCAAAATTCATGTGTTGAGACCCTACTGCCCAATGTGATTGTATGTGATGTGAAGGTGGCAACTTTGGGTGGTAATTAGGTCATGAAAATGGAGCCCTCATGATAGGATTAGTGCCATTATAAGAAAAGACACAAGAAAGACGACCTCCCTCTATCTCTCCCTCTTATAACAAGGATATAACAAGCAGCCTGCTGTCTACAGACTAGGAATAGGGCCCTCACCAGTAACTGAATCGGCCAGCACCTTGATCTTGTACTTTCTAGCCTCTAGAACTATGAGAAATAAATGTTTGCTATCTAAACCACCTATGGTAATTTGTAATAGGAGTCCAAACAAAGACAGGCATTTTAGCTCACATTTTAAAATCAATATAGCTATTATGCTACCTACTAAACACATTGGCATACGTTTTTAACTTCTTTAAAAATGCACTGGGCCAGCACAGTGGCTCATACCTGTAATCTGAGCATTTTGGGAGGCCAAGGTGGGCGGATCACTTGAGTTCAGGAGTTCAAGACCAGCTTGGCCAACATGGTGAAACCCTCTCTCTACTAAAAATACAAAAATTAGTCAGGTATAGTGGCAGGTGCCTATAATCCCAGCTACTTGGGAGGCTGAAGTGGGAGCATCACTTGGACCTGGAGGTGGAGGTTGCTGTGAGCTGAGATCACATCACTGCACTCCAGCCTGAGTGACAGAGCAAGACTCTGCCTCAAAAAAAAAAAAAAAAAAAAAAATGTATGTAGAATGTTATTTCCCCCACTTAGAGTTTCTCAATCACAAAACTGGATGAAAATAAATTTCATTCTCATAGATTATGAATTATTTTCAATCATGTATCCTTTCAAAAGAATATGTTGAATTAAAACTCACAGAATAAAAAGCCTATGATCCTAAATAAGCATCAAGTAACCACTAATACCCTTATTCATATAAAAGGTTTCTCCTGTATTCAACTGCATATATTTTTCTGTATACTTTCTTCCTTTAAAGAATGTTTATAAGCCCTACAAAATCCTATGAAAACTGAAGGATTATACTGTGCTTTAATTCTTTGCTAAAAACATTTCTAACTATAAATACCCAAATGCCTTTTGACAGAAATGTCACCTTCACCCTTATTAAATAACATTTAAAAGAAAACATACAATATATGGTTAGCAACATTTTTTTAAGGCTTAGTTATCACTTATGGCTCACTTGTATTCAGGTATGTAAATTAATGTAATTAATGCTATGGATTTCACTTCATGAATATTCATAAATGAAATGCTACCGCTGTCATCCCTATTAATGACTGTGTCCTGAATTTTTAGCATTTAGGCTGAAGGAAAACACTCAGCACTAAGAAGATTGCCTGCCGTGAGCAAATGGGCCAAAGGAAAAGACGCTCTTTCCCTTAAGGTTATGATTATGGTCGTAAAGTTTGATATTTAACAAGGTTAATTAAGTGTTTTTCAAAACAAGAGTTGAGAATCTTAAATGATTTTTAACCTACTCCCTAAGCATATGTGTATGATAGGAAATAAGTTGAGACCTCATTTAAAGAGATGTTCTCTTCATTTTTTTGTTATACGTATCTCATTTTGTAAGTGAGAATTAGGTCTAGTGATGTGGCTCATAGCAGTAATCCCAGCACTTTGGGAGGCTGAGGCAGGCAAGATCACTTGAGCCCAAGAGTTCAAGACCAGCCTGGGCAACATGGTAAAACTCCATCTCTACAACAAATACAAAAGTTAGCCAGGCATGGTAGTACATGCCTGTGGTCCCAGCTACTTGAGAGGCTGAAGTGGAAGGATCACTTGAGCCTGGGAGGTTGAGGCTGCAGTGAGCAGTGATGATGCATTAGATAAGGCAAGATTATGTCAGTTAACAAGTCAAACCTGCCCAAACCACACTGCCAACTCAATAGGGAGAACTACCTCTTTCAAATGACACACTATTAATGGGTAGAATAAAAGGGAGAAATAGCTAAAGTTTTTATATCAAGCATTGGAAGGGGGAAAAAAGGCTAGATTCTATAAAAACAAAAATGTATGACTGGAATGGCAAAATAAGGCTAGAGAAAACAAAACAAAATTTTTCTGTCTGCAAACTACATCTATGACTTCAATAGTCTGGGATTTGAATTCAATATTCTTGGCCTTAAAAAGTAAGATTAAAACCTAAAGCCATGACAGTATAGGAGAAGGAGATGAAGGAAAAATATATATATACATAAAATATATATATAATATATAATACATATTATATATAAATATAAAATATATGATATATAATACGTATTATATATGTATAATACGTATTATATATTAATATATAATATATAATACATATTATATATGTATATAATATATACTAATATATATAATGTATACATTATATATTTACATAATATATAATACATAATATAGAATTATAATTATATATAATACATAATATATAATTATATATATTATTATATATGTATTTATATTATATATAATATATTATATATAATATATATTATATAATTATATAAGTATATAATTATGTTATATACATAATAATATATAATATATAATACTTATTATATATTATATATATTAATATATATATAATTTTCCCCTGAATGCTAAACAATACATATTTTTCTCTCAGCAAAAAGGGAGTTAAGTTGTGTTAAAGACTATAGTTAAGTCTTCAAATCTAATAATTTAAATGAGTTAAATTTAAATGAGTTAAATGACTAATAAATAATAGCTAATAATAGACTAATAAATAAACCTAACTTTCTTTTTGAGAACAGACTTCCATTTGTGGTAAAATATCACAGGTGAAAGAGGTAAAATGTTCCAAAAAAAGGAATTCCTAAATGGACAGTAATGTCTTCCTATATGTGCTCATGAATCCAAAATTCAAAGAAGGTCCACAGAAATGCAAATTACACAAAGAAAACAAAGTCCTATGTCTAAGGAACGCTATACACAAAATAAAGATAAAAGTAATTCTAATATGCAGCCATAAAAAAGAATGAGATCCTGTCTTTTGCAGGGACATGGATGGAGCTGGAGGCCACCATCCTTAGCAAACTAACACAGGAACAGAAAGCCAAATACCGTATGTTCTCACTTATAAGTGGGAGCTAAGTGATAAGAGCTTATTATGAACACAAAGAAGGAAACAACGGACACTGGGGTCTACTTGAGGGAGGACTGGAGGAGAAAGGAGAGGAGCAGAAAAGATAACTATCGGGTACTGGGCTTAATACCTGGGTGATGGAATACTATGTACAAAAAAACCCCATGACACGTTTACCTATGTAACAAACCTTCACATGTACCCCCAAACTTAAAAGTTAAAATAATAATTCTTAATAATTCTAATGATGTTTTGACAGAACACAATCCAGCTTATATTCCATAGTTTTTTTAGTGAGTGGCCTATAGCTTTAATATAATTTCCCATAGAAACAAAACTTTTTTAAAGAAAGTACATATATACCCAAGCAGGTCTATCACAGATCATTTATCCCATACAGTTGAAAAAAGTAATTATGTAATATACAGTAAAGAAAAAGAGGCCGGGCGCGGTGGCTCACGCCTGTAATCCCAACACTTTGGGAGGCCGAGGCGGGCGGATCACGAGGTCAGGAGATCGAGACCATGCCGGCTAAAACGGTGAAACCCCGTCTCTACTAAAAATACAAAAAATTAGCCGGGCGCAGTGGCGGGCGCCTGTAGTCCCAGCTGCTTGGGAGGCTGAGGCAGGAGAATGGCGTGAACCCGGGAGGCGGAGCTTGCAGTGAGCCGAGATCCCGCCACTGCACTCCAGCCTGGGCGACAGAGCGAGACTCCGTCTCAAAAAAAAAAAAAAAAAGAAAAAGAGAAGGTTTGTTTTCCCATTTTCACATAGGACCAAAATTGGTCTATAACCTGGTTTTAATATCCAAACTGTTACATGCTTCAAAAATATACATCCTCTTCTTTCTGCAACCCACCTCCTCTTTTATCTCACTTCCCTCAAATCAAAATTTCCATTTCTCTCACTGTAGGTCATCTTAATAGCACAACATATTTATCCGTTCTACTGTTGGTGAGTATTTAGATTCCAATATTTTTGCAACTGCAAATAACGCAGCTATAAACATTCTTTTTTTTTTTTTTTTTTTTTTTTTTTTTTGAGACAGCGTCTCCCTCTGTTGCCCAGGCTAAAGTGCAGTGGCGCATTCCTGGCTCACTGCAACCTCTACCTCCTGGGTTCAAGCAATTCTCGTGCCTCAGCCTCCCGAGCAGCTGGGACTATAGGTGTGCACCACTATGCCTGGCTAAATTTTTTGTATTTTTTGTAGAGATGGGGATTCATCATGTTAGACTCCTGACCTCAAGTGATCCACCCACCTCAGCTTCCCAAAGTGCTGGGATTACAGGTGTGAGCCACCACACCCGGCCTAAACTTTCTTGTACATATCTCTTAACACACATGTGTAAACATTTTTGTTAGGGACTACACCCAGGAGAGGAACCAACAGGTCACGGGGTATGTGTTTCTTCAACTGCAGTGGTACTGACAAATAGTTGCCAAAGTTGTGATGCTAGCAATTTCCATTCCTTCACCTCTTGAACAACACTTGCCATTGTCAGAGTATAATTTTGATCAATCTGGATAGTATAAAATAGCATCCCATTGCAGTTTTAATGTGTGTTTTCTTGTACTAATGATATTAAACTTTTCTATTATTTTTCCTTACCATTTGGATATCCTCTTTTGTGAGGTTTCTGTTCAGGTATTTAGCCAATTTTTCTATTGCATTGCCTGCCTTTTGCTTATAAATTTGCACAAGTTTATTATACTATATATTCTGGATACAGATCCTCTATTATTTAAATTATTGCAAATATCTCTGCCTATTGTGTAACTTGTCTTTTCACACTCTTAGTGGTATATTTTGATAAAAGTTCTTAAATCTAATGAAGTTTAACTTATTAATCTTTTTCTTTATGACTGGTGTTCTGTACTATTCACAAAATCTCTGCCTATCTCCAGATCATAAATAGAATATCTTGTGTTATCCTCTTTAATCTTTCACATTTAGGAACAGGAAAAGACTTTTGTGTATGGTATGGGGTAGTGATTTTTTTTCCTTGTTGAATATCCATCATTAATTAAAAATTTTTAAAAACAGGCCTGGTAAAATTTCAGCCAGCATCAAAAAATTAAAATATAAAACATTTCAGGCACTTAAAAAATACAAAGATATATTAATACTTTTTCCTCACTTCCCATCCCCTTCTACCTAATGGAAGTAGATGAGGGTAGATTAAGCAGTTGTGTCACATATATGTTTCAGCCCATCTTGGAGTTTGCTTATATGGGCTTCTCATATTTGATAACAGTAATAAGCACAATAATAGCAGTTAACATTTATTGCATGCTTAGCAGGTGTCAGGCTTAATGTAAGTGTATTATTACTCATGTAATTCCCATAACAATCCTATAAAGATGCATACTGCTATCCCTATTTATTTATTTATTTGAGACAGGGTCTCACTCTGTCACTCAGGCTGGAGTGCAGTAGTGTGATCACAGCTGACTGCAGCCTCAAATTCCTGGGCTCAAGCAATCCTCCCACCTCTGTCTCCCAAATAGCTGAGACTACAGGTGCATACTACCATGCCTGGCTAATTTTTTGTATGTTTTTTTAGAGACAGGGTTTCATCATATTGCCCAGGCTGGTCTCAAACTCCTGGGCTCAAAACAACCTGCCCGCCTTGGCCTCTCAAAGTGCTGGAATTACAGGCACAAGCCACTGTGCCTGGCATACTGTCCCTATTTAATAAATGAGGAAACAGAATGAGAGGATGTTACATAATCAGTGGCCAGGCTCTTAACTACTCTCTCCCTCATAACTTCTAGTTCTGGACTCACAGATTCTCCATCATAAACAAGTGTTTTCATAACAACTTTCATAAGGTGAGATAACAAGACATATATCCTTCTTCCTATTTTATATTTAGGTTTCTAATAGATTCATATAAGGGAATACTCTGCATAATAAATGTAAGTAATTATGTACTTCTAATTTGGCAATATAGGAAAAATTACAAGAGAATCAAATCAAGATATCTTCTGGAAGTAACATGGGAATAGTTAAGGTTAGCATTACTGAAATTCTGTGAACTAAAGAATGTTAAAAACTGAGTCACTAGGATTGTAGTCTATATGGCTGCCTTACAATGCCTCATAAACCTGAAATATGTTAACTGAGGAATGTTTTTTCAAGGCTGAAAATTGAAGAAAGTTTATTCCATTACTTTGGTTGCTATAAGAACTTAAGCATATTTTCATATTATTCTACTTGAGTCCAGCCTGTATTCCTTATAAAATTTTAAATGTTACAAAGGAAAAAGGAGGATAAATTTAGAATTCTGAAAATAAAATCCATTGATACATACCATTCTACAGAATGCAGGAGCTTGAAGGCTTCTCAGAAATACATGAAGATACTCACTTTATTAAAGGGAAAACTGAGTCCCAAATAAACTTGTATCAAATCTCAAGGACAGTAAAGATCAGATTTCACAATGGCCATTAGTGGACATTAATCTGAATCCTTAACCTTCACAAATCTGTTTCTATAAAATTCTAATAATTATTTATTATTTCTGTTGAGTTCTATTTTCTCAGATTTTGTTCCTATAATAATGTACAGGAAAATATACACTTAAGACCTTAATTTTTATTTCTCTGTACCTAATCCTCAGTAGAAAGACTATCTTCTATGTGAGAGGAAACATCAAACATTTTAGCTGAGTGCAGTGGCTCACACACACTGTAATCCCAGCACTTTGGGAGGCCAAGATCAGTGGATTAATGTAAGCTTAGGAGTTTGAGACCAGCCTGGGAAACATGGCTTAACCCTGTCTCTACTGAAAACAAATTAGCTGAGCATGGTGGTGTATGCCTACAGTCCCAGCTATTCAGGAGGCTGAGGTGGAAGGATCACCTGAGCCGGGGAGGTCAGGACTGCAGTGAACAGTGATTGTGCCTGGCTGACAGAGTGAGACCCTGTCTCCACAAAAAAAAAAAAAAATTGTCCTGAGACTCTGAGGTTCTTCCTTTGGGGACAATGTAAGAATACCTAAGACTTCTACCAGCTCTCCAGAAATTCTAGATCCCTGTACTATCTCACTGGTTAAGGAAAGGCAGAGAAAGCACTCCCCATCACTCTGGATACCAATCAGAGACCCAGGGAAGAAGAAAATGGTGGTTTTTATCACTGCCCATTTCCTAAATATCTGAAAAGACCCTTGAGGCCACCCATCCCAGCATAAAAGCATCAGCGCTGCCACTGAAGACAGGCAAATCATCTTGAATCTGTCTTAAAAAGAATTCACAGCAGTAGCAAAATTACATCACTTTCCTAAGGATGAAGAAATGTGAAGGATGCAGACTCAGGGTGCCAAAGATTGCAAAACAAGCTTCAGATATGGCCTCTAGGAAAATTGCTAGGGGCAAGAGAGGTGGGTGAATAGAAAAGTAAGCAGCAGAAAAACTGAGGAGGAGAAATGAGTTGAGACTTTTAAATTCAATGTTTTTAATAAGCTAAATGAAATATTCCCCAATTACAAATATTAAGGAAACCTCCAGGGAGAGCTATATCAATAGACACATGCAACACTGCAAAATATCTTCTTTTGAAATGCAATTTTTCAAAATTCAAGAGCAAATTTTCACAGATGTATAGGCTACAAAAAATAAAATTAAATTCAGTAAGAGCTCTTTAAATATTTCAATGTCTCTTAATTTTATTAAAAATTTTTCACATTCTTTCCTTTTATTAAACATAATTTTATAAAATTTTATTTTTTTAAAATCACTGAATTGAAATAAATCCATCTATTTTTAAAGGATCTGAGACCTCCTAATGGAAATAAACTTTTTTCTTTTTTTTTTTAAGACAGAGTCTCACTCTGTTGCCCAAGCTGGAGTGTAGTAGCACAGTCACGCTCACTGCAACCTCAACTTCCTGGGCTCAGGTGATTCTCCCTCCTCAGCCTCCCAAGTAGCTAGGACTACAGGCACACGCCATCACGCCTGGCTAATTTTTTGCATTTTTTTTTTGTAGAGATGGGGTTTTGCCATGTTGCCCAGGCTGGTCTGGAACTTCTGGGCTCAAGCAATCTGCCTGCCTCAGGCTCCCAAATTGCTGGCATTACAGGCATAAGCCACTGTACCCAGCCTGGAAATAAACTTTGATGGCAGCAGATAAAAGAGTTTTTCTGATACAAAAGAAGCTAAATTGCAATGAGTTACAACATATTTTAATCTGTAGGAAGCTTTATTACACATCAAGCAAACAGTTAAAGTATTAATACAAAATGCAGATATAATGGTTTCTTTTCCATTTTCAATTTACTTCAACCTGACTACAAAATGTTCTTGTTCCTTATGTAAAGTAGAACTGTAAATTCTAATTAGTTTCACAGGCAGAATCATCATTCCATGGAGCTCAAGTAGAAGAAAGGTTTCCTAACCAAGTCTTCCCAAAGCGAACTACACTTAAACATATCTTGATGTTTCATTAACACATTTGGTGAAGGTGAACAATAACAGCAAGCCAACCCTGGCTACTCACCAATGTGGCAGCAATGAAGAAAGAGCAGACATAGCCTCTTTCTATAGCATGCACATTTAGTAACTGTCTCTCTCTCTCTCTCTCTCTGTATCCTGTCTTCTTTATCCATGCCCTCCCCACGTCGCCTTGCCTAGTATGGCATCACACTCTCCTAGAGAATTATGAGGAACACAGGTTCCATGTCTATTAGAGCAGGAAAGTACCAGGAGGACAATGACTGGCCCTCCTAACCCTTACCCACACACAAAAGCAATGTGATCATCTGCTACCACTGAAACTTCCTAAGTGCTATAGAAGTGGAAGTTTCAACTTAAAACGAGATTTATTAAAAACTGTTCCATTCCACTCTTCAAGGTAATTTCATGGATTTTCTTTTTCTTACCAAGATAGTATTTGTAAAATCAGAAATGGGATTGTATTAATTTTATAGGACTCAGAAGCTACTGTTTTAATCATTCTTAACATTTATAAAAACCAAAAGTAATATTTATCAAAAATGTAATTAACAGTCAGGGTTTTCTTTCTGGTTTCACTAATTACTTTTTTTTTCCTGGCTGTAATCTGTAAGGCACAATCCCAGTGAATGATTTATTTAATTTGAGGGAAGTTTTTTAATTTTAGAAACCCTATAAATATCAGTTTAATGATACAAAGTAAACCTAACACTAATCTTTAAATGTGACGAGGCAAATGAAAAGAATGCTAATTCTAAGGGGAACGGGGTCAAACCCATGTATGTTTGAACTCTTATTTTCCTTATCTGAACAAAACAAAAAACAAAACACAAATATAAATCTAGTTATCTCATAAAAATATTCTATAGGCTGGGTGTGGTGGCTCATGCCTGTAATCCCAGCACTTTGGGAGGCCGAGGCAGGTGGATCACCTGAGGTCACGAGTTCAAGACCAGCCTGCCCAACATGGCAAAACCTTGTCTCTACTAAAAATACAAAAATTAGCCAGTTGTGGTGGTGCACGCCTGTAATCCCAATTACTCGGGGAGGCTGAGGCAGGAGAATCTCTTGAACCCAGAAGGCAGAGGTTGCAGTAAGCCGAGATCACGCCATTGCACTCCAGCCTGGGCAACACAGCCAGACTCCATCTCAAAAAATATATATATATTCTATAAAAGTGGGGGTAACAGTAGTTCTATAAAGGTAATCTTTAAGCTAAGTAAAGTCTTTCTCTGGAAAGTAATTTTTAATTTTTACAGCATTCAGAAGCTGTCAGCTCCTATTTAGTCTACTAGTTCAGCATTTTTTTAAGGTGATCATATTTATGAGATTACTCATACCTGTCTCTGAAGTTCTGCCAGGTTGTAAGGTAAGGCCCCCTCAGCCAATGGGGCTATTCTCTCAATATCTGCCAAAGTCAAGCGCCTTCAGGAAAAATATAGGAAAGAATTGTTAGACACTGACAAACTCCTCACGCCAAAATCATCTTTTCTCAAAAAAAAAAACAAAAAACAGTGAACTATAGTTTAAAATCATTACTTCCCTATTTACACAGATCATTTTAGTGAAATAAAAACCTTTTAACTCTGTTTTCATCAACAAAAAGCAAAAGACTCCAGAGAAATAATGTGGAGTGCATGAATTTGGTAAGACTCCAGTGATAGATATTAAAATCAAATAATTATTGCCAGAAGCAAAAGTATAGAGATTGACTGTCCCTACCCACTAAATGTGTCCCCAAGGATACCTATCTAAAGGACAGGCGCAAAGTATCTGGGAAGGATACACATAAATCTGATAAATACTGGTTGCCTCGAAGGAAAGGAACAAGGGTATGAGGGAGACTTTTTTTTTTTTTCCAACGATATGTTCTTTCCAACCCTTTGAGTTTTGACCCATTTTTAGGCAGGAGAATAGGGTCTGGAGACAGGCAGCCTTCACTTCAGCCTCTGATTGGTCATGGGCCAAGTCTTCATTTGCGTAGGATGTAACTTCAGCCTCTGATTGGTTGTAGGCTGAGCCTTCACTTCAGCCTCCAATTGATCACGGGCTGAGCCTTCACTTCAGCCTCCGATTGGTTGTGGGCCAAGTCTTCATTTATATAGGGTGTAACCGATAGGAAACCTCTAATGGGTACTTAAACCCCGGAAGATTTGCAACTAGGGCTCTTGAGCTGCTTGCTCAAGCCTGCTCCTGATCTGTGGAGTATACTTTTGCTTCAATACATCTATGCTTTTGTCTTCTATTGCTTTGTTTGTGCGTTTTGTCCAATTCTTTGTTCAATATGCCAAGAAACTGGACAACTTGTAGTCAAGACCCTCCACTGGTAACATATCTTGGCAAGTCAGCCAGGAGGTAAGCCCAAATTTGGGGATTTATTTTTCTTTGCTTTGCTTTTGCTCTTTTTCTTTTCCTCTCTATTGAGCCTTCATTTGCGGGCACAGGCTAGAGCTATCTCCATGCAGAGCTCCCTACACTCCACAGAGGGGAACCCTTTCTGCTCTCTTTCCCTTTTCCAACACGGGACCCTCCACAGACAGCATCTAAGCATGAAGGCAACTGCAGGTCTCTGGCCAGGTCCACTCTCCCGGGAGACTGAAAGGTATCCATGTGGAAGCACCTGACCACCATTGCCTGGTTTGGGTGAGGGACCTGAGTCCTTTTCTTTTTTTCAGTCTTTCAGAGGCTGTTTCCTAGTAGATCCTTGGTAATTGAGGGCAACTAGCCAGAGCCACTCTCTGGTGTTACCTGAAGGCCAAGAAGTGAATGGGGATAGCTGCCCTGCCCAGAATGGGGAAGTACTCTTTTCTATCTTTCCTAGTTAAAGTCCCTAATCCCTACATGTGACGAAATTGGCAGTGGCAGCTCTTCCAGAACAAACTCACAGATGTTTCAGTCAACTTAAGCCCTCTTTTCTTATGTCAAATTCTCCTAAAGAGTTAGCTTGTAATGGCAAAGGATATCTCTTAGATGTTTTGACTTCCCTTATCCTACTCAATCTATTCAACTTGCTGAGGACTTTTGGGGCCCACAATCTTTAGAATACATTCTACATCTTGTTTCTTTTGTCATCACCAGATTATTTTTATAGAATGGCCTGCCCTTACACAGGGTCCACTGTCATGGTGGTGGATTTTTAAACATTCCCTCTCTTGTCGAGGGCCTGAGTGGAATAGCCAACACTATTATTTCATTTTTCATGCCCAAAATCTACCTTTCCCCCCTTGAGATTACCTGTAATCCACATGACAAAAGAAATCCATCCAACCTCTAGTTCCTATTATTAAAGTTCATGGCTATCACTCCAGTGGAACAGGAAACCATGGCCTTATCAAATTATATGGATGCTAGAAGACAAGGCCTTCATCCAGGGACAAAAGGAAAGCTCACAGTGGGTCATCAGTGGTGGAGAGAACCTTCCCAAAGTGGTACCATCACCCATCTAAGGTCAGAGACATCTGACAGACTAAGATGGGGCCCTAAAGGGGGACACCCCTGAGGACCCCAATCAAGGCCCAGAGTTTTTCCAGGGGGATGCCCCAGGTAAAATTTGAGTCACCAAATAAGCTAGGTTCTCTTCTTTCTTCCAGACCTCTATGGGCAACTCTCCATCCATTCCACCTGATTCCCCACTTGGCTGCATTCTCAACCACTGGAATCAATTTGACCCTGACAATCTAAGGAGAAAACATCTGATTTTTTTTAACCATAATATTGTATGGCCCCAAAATTAGCTAGACAGCCAGGAATAATGGGGAGTCAATGGAAGTCTTAATTACAACACCATCCTGCAATTAGACCTATTTTGCAAAAGGCAGTGTAAATGGTCAGAAATCCCATATGTGCAGGCCTTCATGGCCCTATATCAAAACCCAACCATCTGCAAAACTCCCAGAACCTGCCCCCAAAAGGGCAGGTTCTAAGGCAGAACCGGATATTGTGGATGACCTCCTTTTTGCAAGGGCCACCTGTCTCTCAGGGGCAATGGCAACCACCCCCATATAACCCCTTGCCAAGTGTTTCTGAGGCTCAAACCCAAGAGCTAAAACCAAGGGCCCTGCTAAGTCCCCTCACATTCAGAGGGGAACACTCTATTCAACTACCTCTATAGCCCTGCTATCCCTTAGGGAAGCAGCAGGAGCCGAGGGGCTGGTCTGAGTGTAGGTCCCCTTCTCCATAAATAACATACAACAATGTAAAGAAAAAGCTAGGAAGCTATTCAGAGAACCCCAGAAAATTTGCAGATAGGTTCCAAGCTTTGACCTTAGCCTTTCATCTCTCATAGAGAGACGTTCAATTCATTCCAGCAACTTGTTGCACCCTGTTGGAAAAGGAATGAATCTTTGAGGCCACTTGCCGAGAAGCAGACAATTTATTTGCCCAAAACCCTCAGGGTAATTGCCCAGGCCCAGACACAGTCTCCGCTACTGATCCTAACTGGGACTATAACACCCCCATGGGAATGAACAACTGGGCCAAATTTCTTAAGGCTCTCCTTGGAGGAATGAAAAAGGGAATAACTAAGGCAGTAAATTATGATAAAGTAAGGGAGGTTGCACAGGGCAAGGAGGAAAATCTAGCCGTGTTTTATGGCAGGCTGGAGGAAGCCTTTAGAAAATATACCAATCTGGACCCTTTCTCTCCTGAAGGCAGTGTTGAGCCCTCTTTTGTTCCTAGTATTACTACCTTCAGTATGAACTCTCTTGTTAGTTATTACTCCGTTTAGAAGTTTGTACATTTTACTGACTACTTTATAGAAACAAATAATCTATATTGCATCATTTTCAAGCCCACAGAAATGTATAAGCCCTATAATCTTGACACTTTTCAATTATGTTTAACGTTACAAGCATGTAAAACACTGCTGATATATGTAAGAATATGTATAAATACCACTAGATAGCTTATTTTGAAGAGATATTCTCTAAATTTTTGTTCACAGTAGATTGACTGCAGTTTCTTAGGTGTGTTTCTCAATATACTCTCTCAATGTTTTAAAGCATAAAGAAATTTGAATACTGTTTAACCTCATGTACTCCTTTGTTTACAGGTTGCTTTATATTTTTTTTTTCTTGAAATGGAATCTCATAATGTTGCCCAGGCTGGAATGCAATGGCACAATCTCAGCTCACTGCAACCTCCACCTCCCGGGTTCAAGCTATTCTCCTGCCTCAGCCTCCAGAGTAACTGGGATTACAGATGCACACCACCACACCTGGCTAATTTTTTGTATTTTTAGTAGAGACGGGGTTTCACTATGTTGGCCACACTGGCCTCGAACTCCTGACCTCATGATCCGCCCACCTTGGCCTCCTAAAGTGCTGGGATTACAGGTGTGAGCCACCACACCCAGCCAGGTTGTTTAATATTTCTGAGGATTAAAGACATCATGGCTCCCTTTAAGATTCAGTAATATTAATAAAATGTGAGATATATAGGGTTAGAATCCAACACATTGAGAGGAAAACTGTTAAATTATATAGCTGTAGAGCAGGAAATGAAACCCAGGTTGTAAGCTCTGAGGGGGCAGGAAACCTGTTGGTGAAGTACACCATGAGCTACCACACAAGTGCATCAGTGACTGAGCAGCGAGCTGCGTAGCCTAGCTCTATGTGAACGTGAATTTTTAAACTGCGTTGTGCCTCAGTTTATCCATCTTTACAACAGTTTTGTTTTTCTTCTCAGTTGACTGGACTATTTCCCTGGTCTATCTTCTTGCCACTCTTGATGCCCATGAAAGGACCTAAGGGAGCCTGGGACTCCTTGGGAAAAACAGAAGGTGCCACAGACCCCATTTTAGGAGAAACCCCTGTTTTCCTCATGGAACCCCAAGAACTGTAGGCAGACAGGTCCCTCTCAAAATCTAAGGCTCTGCTCAGTTTTGCATCACATTACCTGACCTTTTTGACTTTTGGAGGCATCAGAAATTACTTTAGTAGGAAAGAGAGATATAAAGAAAGTTATAGCTATGAAGATGTATTTATGATAAGGAAGGTTATGAAGAAAAGAAATTTTATATGAGAAAGAATCTTGTATGGCAAATTCTTGTCCTAAAGTAGAATGCTTAATTACTTAGGAAACAGGGAAATACAGGACAAGTCAGAAAATCTAAGCACGTCATAGATGGTCTGTGGAAGTTGTGATAGGGTTCATAAAGTGGGAAAGAGGCTGGGCCCAGTGGCTCACGCCTGTAATCCCAGCACTTTGGGAGGCCAAGGTGGGTAGATCATCTGAGGTCAAAAGTTTGAGACCAGCCTGGCCAACATGGCTGTCGCTACTAAAAATACAAAAATTAGGCAGGCATAGTGGTACGCACCTGTAGTCCCAGCTACTCGGGAGGCTGAGGCACAAGAATCGCTTGAACCCAGGAGGCGGAGGTTGCAGTGGGCTGAGATCATGCCACTGTACTCCAGCCTGGGCAACAGAGCAAGACTCTGTCTCAAAAAAAAAAAAATTAAAGGGAAAGAAAAACGTAACAACAGCTAGATCTTCCCCTGTCTACAAGTGTTGTGTGTGTGATGTTATATAAAGGAGCTCTAATTAATTGGCTTAAGAGCTACACCCTAGAGATTAACCCTTCACATGATCATGTAAGCTATGCAGTTGCCCAGACTGCATCATTTGGTAAACCTGTATGGTTTCAAGGAAACCATTCCTAGTTCAAGGCACTTTAAAGGATACACAGTCTAAGTACTGCCAAGATAGGCCCAGTAGCTGTGTTCATATTTTCCCTTGGGAAAAACCATACTAATCCTGAGACATCTAGTTGTCTTTTGGTTCCCCAGTATGAAAATACCTCTAGGTGGTTGCTGGTGGACACTAAGTGCAACTACCTCCACTGGAAAAATGCTGCTGGGGCAACTCAGGATACTTCCCAAGGTCCTTTCCAGCCTTTAACCAGGGCCACCTTAGCAGGGACCTTAATCACTTGGGAAAATGAAAACAACAAACTAACCCATATGTTCACCATAGACAACAATTTTTGTCTTAAAAAACAAAGATCCTTTCTCCTGTGTGGAACTAGTTGTACTTATGTTTATCAGCCAACTGGATTGGAAGCTGTACACTTGTATATTTACCCCCTTAAAATCAACATAGCTCCCAATAACCAGTCTCTCATTATACCTCTAACTGCAACTACCAAGCACAAATGAGCCATCCAACTCATACCCCTTTTGGTAGGGCTAGGAATAACTGCAGGAATAGCAATAGGAGTTAGCAGGCTTCCAACTTCCCTATCCTATTACCAATGCTCATCCAAGGATCTTCCAGACAGCTTGGAAGACACTGCCCAAAGTATTGTCACCTTACAAAATCAAACAGACTCCTTGGCAGCAGTCACTGTACAAAATAGAAGGAGACTGGATCTCCTAACTGCTCAAAAAGATGGCTTATGTCTTTTCCTATAAGAATGTTGTTTTTATATCAACCAATCAGGATTAGTAGGGATGCCACTCGAAAATTAGCTGACAGGACTTCTAAAATATAACAACAGCTGTCCACATCATAGGGCTCCTGGTCAAGGGCACCAAGCTGGGCTTCATGGCTCCTTCCCTTGGCCAGCCCATTGTTAATAATTATACTTGCATTGACTTTTTGGACCATGTTTGTTCATCTTTTTACCAGATTATTTCTTCTCACCTAGAGACGATTAAGCTTCAAATGATCATGCAGCAGGGCTTCCAGTTCCAGATGATGATGCCTGCCCTGGCCATCAAGAAGTCACCCTATCTCCACTAGACAGAGCAGTGCTAGAGTTCCATGGTCCCCAATAGGTAGGGACTGTGCCCCAATCAGCATGAAGTAGTTACAGAAGAAAGACTATTGGTCCCTCTGCCTCCCATAAAGATTTATGAAGATCACGTCTCTCAGGGGGAAATGAGGCAGAAGAACAGTCTATTTGAATAGTTTAGAATATAAATTCCAAGAGAAAAAGACAAGCAGATGTAACAGAGGAGAAGAAAGAAACACAGGGTCTGGACACAGGGAGCCTTCACTTCAGTCTCCGACTGGTCACAGGCCAGGCTGGTCTCAAACTTTTGACCTCAGATGATCTACCCACCTTGGCCTCCCAAAGTGCTGGGATTACAGGCGTGAGCCACTGGGCCCAGCCTCTTTCCCACTTTATGAACCCTATCACAACCCTTCTCTTCTCTGTCAGATTGCTTTCTTCTCCCATTTCACTCTCTCATGCATCTCAACCCCTTATTCCTATCTCACCTCACTCCCGCCTTCTCTTCCCTCCCCTTTCCTTCCCTTTCTTTCTTCTCTCCCTTGTTCTCTCCTTTCCCCTCCCTCCATCTTCTTCTCCCTCTGTCTGTCTTCCTGTGTTTCTTTCCTCTCCTTTGTTACATCTGCTTGTCTTTCTTGGAATTTATATTCTGAATATAAACTATTCAAATACATGGAAAAAACTCATGTTAGAATGAACTAAAAGGACACCACTGCTTCACATTTTAGAACTACTCTATAATAAATATCATGAAGAATTATTGAAATACTTACCCTGAAGCATTATATAAGTCTGCAAGCTGATATAGAATATCAATTTCTAGTGGTGTGACTTGTCCATAGCGTATGGCACTCTGGGCAAATTCCTCTGGAACAGAGAAAAAAAAAGTTAAAATCTTGAATGATTCTTAATATATAACAAAGTTCTACCTTCACCAACTATAATATAACCTGAAAGCTATAGGCATTTTAGTATCATTTTTAAAATCTAAAATTGAATTTAAATATTTAAGTTCAACTATACAAGAATATGCATTTCTGAAGGCTGGTAAAAGATAAAATGTTAAGATGATAAAACAGCAAAACAGATGAATTAACTTCAAGAATAAAACAATCTCTTTAGAATCTCCTCTTATCTTGCTTATTCACTTTGTTCTCCAGAGTTATAATACAAAAAAAGTGGGTGTTCTCCAGTCATTCAAAACATCCTAATACCACTCACCAAAAGGAGTAGGCTTGCTCATCTTTCTGTGGCAACTCCTTCCTAGTACAAACAAGCTGCTGCCACACTGCCACTGACCTGTTTGACAGATTGGGTCAAGGTTCTTTTCAAAACTGTCAAAGCCACTTTTCCATTCCTGACCTCAGTATCACATTAAATCCACCTGGATTTTTGGAGCCCAAGTAAAGCATACATACACATGGTAACATACTTTCTAGATCTGGCTTTAGAGTGGTAAGCTTAGATCAACATCATGCCTCAGTGAAGAAAAGTGAAAATGCTGAGATTCTTATTTATGTATATTTTAAAATCTTACCCTTTGTGACTTCAACATCTTTCCTTGTGCCAGCTAGAGTGCTATATATCTTACGAACAAGCTCCATGTTATTCAGTAACGAGTTAAATGCATTGAAGTAGGAGAAGCTAACCTGGTGTGAGATACTTCCTCCAGCTGCCTAGAAAATGACAACACAAAAAGTTTAAAAAACAAACAAAAACAAAAACACGTTTATGGACACTGTACTTTTCTCAAAGAGGATCCAAAGGAGTCTTCACTGTTAAAATGATGTTAACAACCAGTACATAAATACAAGGAAAGTATCACACTGAAACAGTGCACTGCATGCCCTCAGGGAAGTCTATGTAATTTAGGTTTTAAGGAAGAAAGTAACATCTGGAAGTTGGACTTCATGGTTCATCTACCTATAAGGTCAAAAACAACAAATATAATTATCACAGATCAAAACAATAGTTATTTAAACAGGATCTTCAAGACCCTCAACTGTGAAACTCTTGCTAGTCCTGGATAAACAAAATCACTGTACAATCTATGGAACACTTTTTAACCTTGTTTTTTTCCTTCACACACATACACAAAAACCAACTGATGACTTTAAATTTTAAGACAATTTTATTACATCAACTTTTCCTAATTTTTAAGGCCACTGTTATAATTAAAATACTTAACAGTCTGTGCTAAACTCTAAATTCGGATCATGAAGGGTACAATTATCAAAAACTCCAAAAAATGTAGAAAATCTGGAGAGAATTTATTCACTATTGAGTTATGTCTTCAATGGAATAGTGCAAAAGAGGCTCCCTCATGCCTGAGATGGCGGGCAACGTGGCCTTCATTACCTCTGCAGGATGAAGACGTAATTTGTTCTCTGCTCACCACTTGGACATAAACTCAAAAGAGAATATTTTGCATAGTTTGCAAAAGCCTCATTTCCAAGCCAGAAGTCAGAGGAACCCATATGATTGAAAACATTCTCCTTTAAAAATGCAAAGAAATGCTTATGTAAATATCAATGTAACAATTTTAATCATAAAGGTCTATTACAAATAGTGTAGGTAATGATGAGCAAATATATCCCACCCCACCACCCCTCACACACATGCCTTAACCTAAATACAGTTTATATTTGTGTTAGCCTGAATTTGGATACCAGCAACCCAAAAAGCTGGACTCAAATTTTCATATACTCCTCTGAGGATTAGAATTGACTTTTGGTAAACTATAAAAAATTGAGCCTCAAAAAATTGAGGCTATTATAGTAGGTCTATCTAACCTAGTTGGAAAAGATTAAATGAGTCCCTTCCCACTAAGGTACTGAGCCCCTCCCTCTAGGGTTCTCTTCCCTTCTCTCTCCTTCCCTCCCTTTCTCTCTTTCTCTCTCCCTTTATCCCTTTCTTTCCTTCCTTCTTTCATTTTTTTGGTTGGGGTATGAGGTGAGGGCAGGGGAGTGGGGGATGGTGTCAAGGAGGTGAAACGTGTAGGAGAAAGTGACATGGTCCATGTTCAGATTCACTGAAGAAAAAGAACAGAAGTTGATCTTTCTACCCCAGTCTAAATCAGGGATAATGATCTTCAGCTGAAACAACAAAGGCACTCATTGGCTTCCCTCCATTCAAAACAAGCAGTAATCAAAAACTTATACATAAGTACAACGCATAGACAAGAAAACGGGTAAGTGAGGAAAGTTTCACCACTCTATGTGAGGAAGTGGATGACATGAGTTTGCTATTGGTCCAGATGATTACTTTATAGAGATTAGCAGTTTGACAGAACAAAAAACTATGTCTGGTGCATACAGACTGAATGTACAGGTGAAGGGGCAGAGAGAGGAGTGAGCCACAGAGGCTGATGGCCACATATTTCCTCCATACCTTCTGCCATGGGCATGGTTATTAAAACACTGCAGAAGCCAGTGATGATCCCTCCGGCAGACAGCACCCTGAAGGCAACAAAGGAAGGAGCCATCTTTATAGCAAGACCTTGGGAGCCCGGTGGTGTGGAAAGAGGCCAAGATGAAGGCAGTAGTGTCTGGGAGAGTTACTGCCCACTGGAAAAAGTAATTGCTCACCCTTGTCTATAAACTCTTGTTTCCCTTGAACTGGACTCTGTAAATGGAAATAAACAATTTGGAAATAGATGACAGCAAGATGGTGGCTCTGAATAAAACTATGATCCGGGAAAAGATAACTCACCATCACCTCTACCTCCATTACACACACACATACATACATTCACGTACACACACACACATGCACACACACACACACACACACACAAACCTGTTTACTTTCTACCAACCAAGCATGAAATTTGAATAGTTGAGAGTCATATGAGTCCCTGGAGGCAATCCAGGACTCAATGGATCAAAAGGTTTGAGGAAATAGAAAGTTAAAGAACTTGCTTTTTACTTACTGAAACTAAGTTCTCCTCCACAAAAGGAGTAAGCATGTGAGATCTAATGGTAACCATGATGTCACTGAAATCCAGACCAGAAATCATGCCACTTTTGCTTTTGTCTTTGAGTGCAAAGGCTTGTCTTGCATGTTCCAATTGCAGCTCCTGTGAGGAAATTAGAAATAGGGCATTAAGCTGGTTAAACACATTCCAAGTACATGGTTTGGAAAGGAAGGAAGGACAGATATCCTTCCCACACATGTACTTACTACAAAACAAACAATGCACAGATCTGAATTTGCAACAAAACTTTTAATTTCTTTCAAAAAGCATGAGCTTTCTTAAAAATGTACTACATATTACTCCTCAGGAAAAAGAATGAATGAGAGCACATCAATAAAGGAAAGGTAGGAAAAAATAACCCTTAGATTTTACTTGACAAGTTTTCATTACTGAAAACAGAGAATAATGTTTTTGGTGCTTCATTTCAGCCTTTAAAATATACAGTAATTTATCTCTCCTGCTTGAAGGCTTACCTGTCATCAAAGAGTACTTCATGAATTAAGAGTTTAGATTCATTTTCAGTTTTTCAATTTTAAATGTTGCAATCAAAGTCTCTCTCTCTGTCATTCTATAAATGAATTAGAGACCATTTTTTCAAACAAATTTTTCAAATAAACTCAGTGAGAAACTCTACCAACTGGTAAGTGCAATATTCAGTCATTCTAAAATGAAAGTCAGGAATAACAAACTGCAAAAGTAGTGTTCAGCTATCACTGGCTCTGGGCACCGTTACTCATAAACTGTAAGACAGTCCAGAATATCTCTGAACTTTTGAACTATTGGGCAACCAAACTTTGTAATAAGTGATATCCACAAAAACAACAAAATGTTCCAGCAATCCCCTGTGTACTATACAAAAGTCAAAATCAGAGCATTTCTGTTGTGGGGATCCATGACTAAATGCAAAAAACCTGTTAGCAAACATAACAATGGTGCTGCTATTGGATGCCACCGTCACACTCTTTGCAACTCTGTAAATAATAGTCATATCTAAGTATATACATATTATTTAAAGATTACATAATTTTCATTCACATTTACTTATCAAAGACTACAAATTAATGTTGCTTTAACTTTTCATGACATTAAAAGTAGTTTTTATAGAAGTCTCATCATTTTTATTTAATTATATTTTCCTATGGACTTGTGATAACTCACTCCATTTTCCCATGACCTCAGCTCCAACCACTTCACCCTTCAAATGAAGTGGGAATTTTCAATCCATCTACATCATTACATGGATTTGAAATTGGTCCCCATGGCAAAGATATTCCTAAATAGCATCAAAAGTAGACACAGGTTCACTCCCTGTCTTATATCTTTTTCTTTCCTTCTACCTCTTTTCTATCTCTTTCTTATGTCTTTGTCTTCCCTATATGTCTTAATCACCCAGAAATATCAAATGGTAGCCATGGGTACAATTTAGCCTTATTAATAACACTCAGTACTAAAGAAGATGTGGACCTTTACCTTCAAGATGAAGCAGAATGCTCACTGAAGGAGTAGTGTTAGTAGAATAGATTGTCTGTTTTCTATAAGGTCAACAGTTAAAGGACTCTTATTTGTCTTTTAAAGATACGTATTTGAAGGATCACAGATGAAAAAATCATAGAGTATGTGCATCTGGCTTCCAAATGATCCTGCAGGAGGCAGGGTGGAGGGTATAGATAAAAAAGATTGGCCAAGAAGTGGTAATTATTGAAGCTGGTTATAGGTCCAGGAGGTTCATTACACTATTCTCTCTACTTTTGAGTATATTTGAAGTCTTCCAAAATAAAAAAGATTTTAAAAAATAAAATTAATGACTTAAAAATGAGAAGTTAAACACAGAAAAAAAGAAGTTACATATATGCGGCTCTCAGTTTATACAGTATAATTAAAACATCAGGGTACAATAGATATTGTAAAATAGACTCTGTAAATGCAAGGAAAACAGTGAGAGAAAGAGAGAAAGTAATCTTTGGAAGAATCTTAAACACTAATCAGGCAGACATTTCCTTTTTTAAAAAAGTCAGCTCTCAAATGCATATATTTTCAACTTTTCAAGTTTGAGAATTTTATAAGGTGAGTTAGATAAGCACTAACAGGGAAAAGAGTTAGAACAAACACTGGCACCTCCAAATACCCACACCTAAAGCCCATAGTTTCAAATCTGTGCTCATCCTAATGAAGAAAAACAATACTGTGGGCTTATAAAAGGTAAAATAAATAAATCTTGGGTTAAAAAGGTAGGTAGGTAGGTAGGTGGATAGGAGAACTAAAGGAAAGATAAAGAAAGGCAGTTATGCTGAAGGGAAAGATCCTATGCCCTTGAAAATGCATTTCATCTAATTATGAGATGAAAATTAGCAGAGCTTCAGAAACAGTGTGACTGGATGAGAGTGAACTTGTACATTTAACTCCACCGTCTTCCAAAATGCCACTCTCCACTAAAATAACAATAAAAGAACAAAACAAAACAAAACAGAAACGCAAGGACAAAGACAACAGAAAAGGAGAAGATGGCAACTATATTTTTAAGATCAGAAAGCAGAAAAGCAAATGACAACTGACTTAATGGACTCAAAAAAACTAAGCAGAAAAAGCCAAAAAGGAAGCCAATGTACATGACAGGACCCCCAAAAGATTCAATTATTAGCTGCATTGGTACCTCTGGAAGTGATGGTGAAGGTGGAGCTGAAAACAAGGGGCTTAGCTGGATATCTGTTTAAGAAGCAGTTAGTTACCCCTGCCTTACTCCAAATAAGGCCTCCACCCTTTCCCAACCTTGGCAGAAGACTAGAGGTCTACTGTCTGAGGAGTTTAACAGAGGATCTCTGAACCAGCATAGACCACACACAGTTGAGAGGGAGAATACTACAGTGAAAAAAGGTAGTAAACTGAAAGTCCTTCTGCAAAATTGAACACTGAGACCTCCAACTACTTATTACTCAGCAACCAAAACATCAAAAGCCAGATCTAATATTCCAGATTGGAGACTAGACAATTTTTCCCTGATTCCCTAATCCGAAATAAAAGACCTAGCCTAGGCAACATGGCAAAACCCCATCTCTACAAAAAATACAAAAAATTAGGCAGGCATGGTGGCACACGCCTGTAGTACCAGCTATTCAGGAGGCCGAGGTGAAAGGATCCCTGGAACCTGGGGAAGTCAAGGCTACAGTGAGCCATGATCCTGTCACTGCACTCCAGCCTGGGGGACAAGGTAAGACCCTGACTCAAAAAAAAAAGAGAAAAAGAAAAACAGAGACCCAAACAAAGAGTAAAAATAAATAAATAAATGTGGAGAAAGCAGACACTATGCAAGAAGAAAACTTTAAAAAAACAACAAAGAAACCTGTCTTCAATATCTTTGAAGAAGTGAAAGAAAAGAGTGCATCCATGAAACAAGAACAGTATGCTATTTTTTAAAAGGAATATTCAGAAAACCAAAAAGAGTTCCTGAAAATTAGAAATACAGCAGAAATAGAAAATAGAAGGCTCAGAAGGAAAATAGGAGAGAAAAGAAGACTAAAAGGTCATAAATGTAACATTTAATAGTCCTAGAAACTAAGAAAATAGAATAAGAAAAGTAATAAAATTTTCAAGAATTGAAGGACGTAAGTTTCCAGATTAGAAAAGCCCAATGAATGAAGAGCCCAGACCAATGAATAAAAATAAACTCACACCAAGGAATACCATCGTGAAATTTCATAAACACCAAAGAAAAGAAAAAATATTAAAACACTCCCGAGTCAGAGTGGAAAAAGTTTCAAGATTAAATTAAGAATGAGAATGGCACTGTGGCAACACTGGAAACTAGAAAACAAAAGAGCAATGCTTTCAAAATTATAAGGAAAATAAACTCCTACTAGAATTCAATAACCAGCCAAACTATCTTAGCATAATGGTGGAACAAGAGGGATTTGTTTGTTTGTTTGTTAGTTTGTTTTGAGATGGAGTCTCGCTCTGTCGCCCAGGCTGGAGTGCAGTGGCCTGTCCTTGGCTTACTGCAACTTCTGCCTCCCAGGCTCAAGAGATTCTCCTGCCTCAGCCTCCCAAGTAGCTGGGATTACAGGTGCCTGCCACCACACCTGGCTAATTTTTGCACTTTTAGTAGAGACAGGGTTTCACCATGTTGGCCAGGCTGATCTTGAACTCCTGACCTCAAGTGATCAGCCCGCCTTGGCCCCCCAAAGTGCTGGGATTACAGGCGTGAGCCAAAACACCCAGACTGTTTGTTTTTTGAGACAGGGCTCACTCGGTCACCCACGCTGGAGTGCAGTGGTGGGATCATGGTTTACTGCAGCTTCTACCTCCCTGGGCTCAAGTGATTCTCCCACCTCACCTCCTGAGTAGCTGGGACTATAGTCGTGTGCCACCACACCTGGCTAGTTTTTGTATTTTTTGTAAAGATGGCATTTTGCCATGTTGCCCAGGCTGGTCTCGAACTCCTGGACTCAAGTGATCTCCCCACCTTGGCCTCCCAAAGTGCTAGGATTACAGGTGTGAGCCACTGCCCTCAGCCGGAACAAGAGGTTTTTACATATGAAAAGTCTCAAAAAAATTTTATTCCACTTTCCTCAAGAAGCCATTGCAGGAAGTATTCTACCAAAAATAGGTAAACCGCAATAAAAGAAGAGATAAAATGCAGCAAACAGGAGGTTCAACGTAACAGAACAGCAAATGGATTCTCCAAGGTAAAAGTGAAGGGTGATCACAGAATGACTCCTATGCAGTGAGCTTACACAGTCTGGCTTCTGGCCCTGAAGCAGGTGAGGAAACAACAGGAAAATGGTGCAGCTGCTGTGGAAAACAGTCAGGTGGTTTCTCAAAAAGTTAAACAGAATTACCATATGACCCAGAAATTACACTCCTATGTATATAGCCAAAAGAACTGAAAACAGGTATTCAAACAAATATTTGTATACATATGTTCATAGCAGCACTATTCACAATAACCATAAGGTGGGAACAACTCAAAGGTCCATCAGCTGATGAATGGATAGACAAAATATAACATATTTATACTATATTATACAATGGAATAGTATTCAGCCACAAAAAAGGAATAAAGCACTGATACATGCTATGACATGGATAATTCTTAAAAACATTATGCTAAGTGGAAAAAAAAAAAAACAGATGCAAAAGTTCATATTGTTTGGCCAGGCGTGGTGGCTCACACCTATAATGCCAGCACTTTGGGATGCTGAGGTGGGTGGATCACCTGAGGTCAGGAGTTCGAGACTAGCCTGGCCAACATGGTGAAACCCTGTCTCTACTAAAAATACAAAAAATTAGCCAGGCATAGTGGCGCACACCTGTAATCCCAGCTACTCAGGAGGCTGAGGCAGGAGAATCGCTTGAATCCAGGAGGTGGAGGTTGCAGTGAGCTGAGATCACGCCATTGCACACCAGCCTGGATAACAAGAGCGAAATTCTGTCTCAAAAAAAAGAAAAGTTCATATTGTACAATTCCATTTATATTAAATATCCATAATAGGTAAATCCATAGAGACAGAAAGTAGGCTGGAAGTTGCCAGAGCTCAGGGGAAAGCAGAAATAGAAAGTGACTGCTTAATGGAACACGGTTTCTTTTTGGGATGATAAAAATGTTTTGGAACTAGATATAAGACACTGTGAACGTACTAAATGCCACTCAATTGTGCACTTTTATTTATTTTTAATTTTTTAGATGGAGTCTCGCTCTGTCACCCAGGCTGGAGTGCAGCGATGCAATCTCAGCTCACTGCAACCTCCACCTCCTGGGTTCAAGTGATTCTCCTGCCTCAGCCTCTCCAGTAGCTGGGATTATGGCACTCACCACCTCGCCTGGCTAATTTTTGTATTTTTAGTGGAGACAAGGTTTCGCCATGTTGGCCAGGCTGGTCTTAAAGTCCTGATCTCAAGTGATCTGCCCACCTCAGCCTCCCAAAGTGCTGGGATTACAGGCGTGAGCTACCACACCTGGCCTAAATTGTGCACTTTTAAATGATTAATTTTATGTAAATTTTACCTCAAATTTTTTTAAAAAAGAAAGCTCCTGGAGAGCTCCAAGAAGATGAAATTAATAGAATACCTAATGTGTTTTAAACGCATTAAAAAGAGATCTTAATAATTGGGCCAAGGTTTGAGAATGACTTAGTATTAGTACACAGAAAACTAAACAAATGAAAACTAGAAACTCTAAGAACAATAACTTTAGGCCAGGTGCAGTGGTTCACTCCTGTAATCCCAGCACTTTGGGTGGTCAAGGCAGGCAGATCACTTGAGGCCAGGAGTTCAGACCAGCCTGGCCAACATGGCAAAACCCCACCTCTACTAAGAATACAAAAATTAGCCAGGTGTGGTGGCACACTCCTGTAATCCCAGCTAGTTGAGTGGCTGAGACATGAGAATTGCTTGAACCAAGAGGTGGAGGTTACAGTGAGCCAGGATCACACCACTGCACTCCAGCCTGAGCAACAGAGCCAGACTCTGTCTCAAAAAAATATATAATAACTTCAGCCACCAATAGTATTTACAAAATTATAATAACTCATAGGATTACTGATCTAAGCAGAATCATGACATAATTATATTGGGGGAAAGGGGACAGAAGTCCAAGTCTGTGATAAAGAGGGAGAGGAGAGAGGTGAAAGAACTAGCTTTTTTTTTTTTTTTTTTGAGATGGAGTCTCACTCTGTCGCCAAGGCTGGAGTGCAGTGGTGTGATCCCAGCTCACTGCAAGCTCCGCCTCCCAGGTTCACACCATTCTCCTGCCTCAGCCTCCCAAGTAGCTAGGACTACAGGCGCCCGCCACCACACCCGGCTAATTTTAGTAGAGATGGGGTTTCACCATGTTAGCCAGGATGGTCTGGATCTCCTGACCTCGTGATCTGCCCGCCTCGGCCTCCCAAAGTGCTGGGATTACAGGCGTGAGCCACTGCGCCCAGTCGTGAAAGAACTAGCTTCTAATCTTCTATAGTTAGGATACAATTAAAAAGTATTTAAAAGTAGAAAAAAAGTAGAAGTGCTTTACTATTTAAATAAATGGAAGTAAACACTGAAAGAAACAGCTATTAAGAGTTTAAAGAAGTTGTCTCTGGCGAGGGGGAAATTTAAAAAATAGGAGTGAAATACCATGGAGAACTTCTATTTTTGTAATAAACTTAATAAATACAAAGCGAAGGACACAGAAGAATAGTATATATTGATACCTGTTATGAAAACTAAGCTCACCTGGAGAAACTGCGTGAATTCTGTGTAGTTAAGATGCTTCTTCCGGTTATGCCCAAAATGCAGTCGGATAAATTCACAATCCCAGTTAAAAGGGATATGATGATGAATAATAGTCTGTCCAAAAATTTCTTTGACATTTTCTTAAAAGGGAAAACAAAAATAAATCAATTATATCTGGAATAAGTAGTTTAAACCACTGCAATGTTCCTACAGAAAAAAATTAAGAGAAGTTTTAAAAGTCAATATCATCTGCTTCTATTAAAATAACTGCAATTTTTTTGTGTGCCCAGAAACCATGCGCAGGAACACAACTGATACAAAAAATATAATTTTACACTTAAGAATATGTACCATTGCATATAAGGCCATGAGATTCTTAATTTCTCTTTATTTAATTTTAATTAGAAAGTGATTTCTATCTTACATCATAAATGGCTGCTATTTTACATCCCGTATAAAATCAATAGTGTTTTCCCAGTTTCTCAAGGAGTCGAATTAAACCCTTTATCAGAAGCATGAATACCTAAATTACAGTATAATGCAATATTTGTCATACTAAGTATGGTTTGATTGAGGCTTGATTATTACATTCACACTAGCCTGAATATGTCTATTGAAGATAGGTATAAGAAAAACTATCAAAAGCATATCATTAGCTCAGCAGCAAGCACCTTATTAAAAGCTTCTGATATTGTTAAAAATATGGTCTTGACACAAAGCTTCAAAATCCCCATAAAATCCATGATTATTAGTCTGAACTATTAAAATATTTTAAGATAAGTTAAATTAGTGTTTCACTTTTAAATAAAGAGCTAAATACAGTACACTAATTTTTAGATAGGAACTAGTCACACTGTGTAACATACAACCAAAACCCTCTGGCAGCTTGTCTTCATGCACTAACAACGTTATTTACATTCTTACAGAGTTCTATACTTACTATAAAAGTCAATTCACAAATGACTGGTACTTTAACAAGCATAGACTGGATAAACTAATTTAGAAGCTCATGCCAAAAAAAAAAAATCATGAACAAAGTTAAGAAAGCAGGAAGCCTGTTTAACTGATGTCTTAAGAACAAAATTATTTTCAAATTTCAGCCAATTTTATTAGTGAAAGAGTTTTGCCATCGATAGCTATCAGTTATACTAGAGAATTAGTAAATACACATTTAAAGTTTTATAATCTCCAACTATGCTGTTTTCTCTAATTTCTGCAAATTCTTTAAATAAGATACTGATCTCATATTGTAAATGGTTTAATGGATTCCCTTTAGTTTTATATACATACACTTTTTCTTAATAAAAGCATTACTACTGGGATAGGGGAATGTAAGAATTCTGAACTGGACGTTCTACCAGTCTAGAGTCAATATAATAGCTCTGAATAGATTGCAGCAATCAGCAAAGTTGGAAGAAGGCATTGGATGTCACTGGGGAGATGGGATTCTCATCTTTTCTTTGAAATGGAATGCAGGATTCATTTCTTCCCTAAGTAGGGACAAATACTTCAAAGTTTTCAATAGGTCAAGCGTTTTCACCTTACATAAATACAAATTTAAAAAGCAAAGAATTAACCCAATAGCAATTTGTGGGATCCTGGTTTCTAACCAACACAAAAGATGATCCTTAAATCTATGTGAAACTTCGAAGTTGTAAAATATGTTAAAGTTTACAAAACAATTAAAATAATAAAGATAGCAGAAAATATTTAGGGCTACAAATATTGTAGCAGATTATTAAAGATTTTTAGGATCTAACTTAATTAATTAGCTGTTTCTAGTCCCAAATTAATTAATTTCTTACTTTTAAGGTCTAACAAAAAGAAGTGTTTCATCTTCAAGTTAAAAAAAATTAAAAATGGAAAGCAAATTAGAACAAATTACTATATTTAATTAAGTAACATTACAATTATTAAAGGGAATAGTTATTTCATGGTAACCTTTTAAAGGTTATTTCAAGAGTTAAAATATAATTATTTGATAATAAATGTATATATTACTACCTAGATAATTCTTATATAATGGTAGAATGAAATTGAATCCCTTTTATATAATAAGAAAATATCAGAATCTCAAATATGAAACTATGTAAAATAAAGTCCAAAATGCAAAAGCGTTCAAGCTAAGAAAATTCAATTATCTATAAAAATTTTTTTGGCTGGGCACAGTGGCTCACACCTGTAATCCTAGCACTTTGGGAGGCCAAGGCAGGCAGATCACGAGGTCAGGAGTCAGAGACCAACCTGGTCCCCATAGTGAAACTCCGTCTCTACTAAAAATACAAAAATAAGCCAGGCATGGTGGCACATGCCTGTAATCCCATCTACTCAGGAGGCTGAGGCAGGAGAATTGCTTGAACTCGGGAGGCGGAGGTTGCAGTGAGCCAAGATTGCGCCACTGCACTCCAGCCTGGGTGACAGAGCAAGGCTCTGTCTCGAAAAAAAAGTTTCTATTATCACAAAAAGGATATTTATGAACTAAATTTATAATGTATAATTTACATCTGGAAAATATCTCTGTAATAAAAACTTTAGATATCCTATTTCATAAACTTCTTAGCCATCTCTAAATAAGATCTTAGAATGTCTCTGAAACAATTAAAATGATGGTCTAAATTAGTCATAGTGATCTCCCCAAATACAGAAGTGTCATTTTCCATGAGTATTTGGACATTTTCTACTTCTCCCAAAGTGGTCACTTGACAGCTTTATATATGGTTTTGTTATGATCATTATTATATGCTGTGGTTTATTTACTCTGACACTTTTAGGGTTTTTTTAAGACACATCATGGACTACTATAATTACTAGAACTAATAAGATTACAAACCTACTTTGGCACTTCTGGAGATGTATTCTACTTCTCTTCTGTTATCATTGTTTCTACTACCAAGTGCCTGAGACTGATTCAGATACACAGAAATAATTAGTAGAACTATTGTTTTCAAGTCCAATTCATAAATTGCCACTTTACTTTTATCAGAATGTGATAAATAAAATTATATAAAAGCTCCAGAACTGGAGAGCTTATGCTTGTATGAGGTAATAACTCAAACAGCTGGTGTTTTTATGTTACCCAGCTTTATCAGGTCCTGCGTGACATGAAAGGGAACACCAATAGTCTCAAATATACCAAATACATCTAACTGAAACTGTATAGCAAGTTCCACCCACCCCCAGAGAGAATCCCATCTTTCCAGTGGCAAACAAGGATCTTTTTTTTGCCATGTTTAAGAATGCTATTTCTGTAGCATAGTTCTGGCCTGGAAGAAAGGGAAATGACAGTCACATCTTATTGGCAGCAAAATCACGATATAGTATTTTATACTAGGTTGGCATAGCTAAGAGAACCAGGAATCCATTAGTTTTCTGACATATAGAAAACAAAAGACAACTTTTTCACTTCCTGCAGAGCATGGGCTTATGAAAGGGATGGTTTATACTTCCATTGAAAAGGGAACTGGGGCTAAATACAAAAGTAGCCTGTCATTATGTTCTCTTTGCTCAAAGGAGAGGAGCACAATGATTTGTCAGGAGAGCAGGTAACGGTGACAACTGTGATTAAGTAAAAATGTTCACAGATGTGTAACATTAGTCAGTTTAGCTGTATCAGTCACTTATGATGATTGGACTAGATGAAATACACATTAAATCATATATATTATGTAAATATGTCTTAACAGAGGTTTTAATTTCCCCAGAAACCCATACTGTGTCTCCCCATCTCATCCACCCTCATCCCTCCCCTGGTTCTTATGGGCACTTCCTACTGGTCTTGTTCACCTTTCTGCAGTACAAAATTACCTCTGACCGGGGCTGGCACTCTTCTCCAAGACTGCCACCATGCCTGTTCCATGAATGAGCCTGGAAGGAGCTGCTGTACCAACGGTGTGGCCAGAGAACTCCTCCTGTAGGTATACAAGCCATCAGCCCTGTGACACAGCCCACCTACCATCAGCCCAACGACATCCTTATTCCAAGGATTCCAGCCCAGCAGGAGCCACTACAACCAACTTATAGGCTTGAGACCAAACATTCTTATTGTCAGGGGGAAAAGTTCCTCAGTAGCTGAATTTCACCTGCACAGTTCTTAAAGTGAAGTCAGAGAGGTTTTTAGGACTCCCACCATGAATGGTGAATATCCTTGTACATAGCTGAACAAAAACAATGGTGAGACTTGTAGAAGTGAAGAGTTTTTCAGTGAAGGAAAAATTGGGAGGAAAGAGGAGGAACAACTGGGAAGCCAAAAAAGAAAACAAAGGAAAACAAACAACAACAACAAAAAGACCAACAACAGGAACTTGTAGAGGAAGTCCCAACCAACATGGCATGTAGACTCAGTCCCAGACTTCTGGGTTCTCCTCTCAGATGGTCATTAGTTTCCTGAATGACCTCCTGTTTCTCTGAGAGAAAGTATTTCTATTAGCCCTTTACCTACCTCTAGAAGGGACTACTGCACAGTCAATAGAGTAGTCCTGCTGTCAAATATATGTAAAGGTCCATTTCTCAGGAAAGATGAGTTCATATTTAAAGACTATCGGTTGGGCGTGGTGGCTCACGCCTATAATCCCAGCACTTTGGGAGGCCAAGGCAGGTGGATCACCTGAGGTTAGAAGTTTGAGACCAGCCTGGCCAACATGGTAAAACCCTGTCTCTACTAAAAATAGAAAAAATTAGTTGGGCGTGGTGGCACATGCCTGTAGTCCAGCTACTAGGGAAGCTGAGGCAGAAGGATCACTAGAACCCAGGAGGTGGAGGTTGCAGTGAGCCGAGATCACACCACTGCACTCCACCCTGGGCGACACAGCAAGACCGTGTCTCAAAATTAATAAATAAATACATACATACATACATACATACTATTATTATTGAAGCTAGACACTTCAACAGTCTATCATCAAACAGCATAAAAACTAATAACACTCCACCTTTTCTTTCACCTTGAACTCTTAAGCTACTCTAATAGCCTTGAGTACTAAAAAAAAAAGCAAAAAACAAAAAACTTCTCTGCAATATCCGAAAGCAACACCAAGAAAAAAAAAAATCAAAAAATCTTCCTGATTTAATTTGAATACTCAGGTGAAGCTCTACTTCTTACCAAATTAAGCTATATATTTATTATCATAGAATTTTCATTTCTTTTTATGAAAGTCTTTGTCTGTCACGCAGGCTGAAGTCAGTGGTGTGATCTTTTTTTTTTTTTTTTTTTTGAGACGGAGTTTTGCTCTGTTGCCCAGGCTGGAGTGGTGCAGTGGCACAATCTCAGCTCACTGACCTCAGCCTCCCGGGTTCACGCCATTCGTGAGCCTCCCAAGTAGCTGGGACTACAGGCATCCGCCACCATGCCCAGCTAATTTTTTTGTATTTTTAGTAGAGACAGGGTTTCACCGTATTAGCCAGGATGGTCTCGATCTCCTGACCTCGTGATCCACCCGCCTCGGCCTCCCAAAGTGCTGAGATTACAGGCGTGAGCCACCGTGCCCGGCCCAGTGGCGTGATCTTGGCTCACTGCAACCTCTGCCTCCCAGGTTCAAGAGATTATCCCACCTCAGCCTCCCAAGTAGCTGGGATTACAGGTGCATACCACCATAACTGGCTAATTTTTTTGTATTTTTAGTAAAGACAGGGTTTCACCATGTTGCCCAGGCTGGTCTTGAACTCTTGGCCTCAAGTGATCCTCCTGCCTCGGCCTCCCAAAGTACTGGGATTATAGGCAAGAGCCACCATGCCTGGCCGCCATAGAATTCCCTTTTTTTGGGGGTGGGGGTATGGAGTCTTACTGTGTCACCCAGGCTGGAATGCAGTGGCATGATCTTGGCTCACTATAGCCTCTGCCTCCCAGATTCAAGCAATTCTCCTGCCTCAGCCTCCCAAGTAGCTGAGATTACAGGCACATGCCACCACGCCCGGCTAATTTTTGTATTTTTGCTAGAGACAGGGTTTCACCATGTTGGCCAGGCTGGTCTTTGTTTTTTTTTTTTTTTTTTTTTTTTTTGAGATGGAGTCTTGCTCTGTCGCCCAGGCTGCAGTGCAGTGGCCTGATCTTGGCTCACTGCAACCTCCACCTCCTGGGTTCAAGCAATTCTTCTGCCTCAGCCTCCCAAGTAGCTGGGATTACAGGCATGCACCACCATGCCCGGCTAATTTGTTTGTATTTTTAGTAGAGATGGGGTTTCACCATATTGGCCAGGCTGGTCCATATTGGCCAGGCTGGTCTCAAACTCCTGATCTTGTGATCCACCCGCCTCGGCCTCCCAAAGTGCTGGGATTACAGGCATGAGCCACTGCACCCGGCCCAGCCAGGCTGGTCTTGAACTCCTGACCTCAGGTGATCCTCCCGCCTCGGCCTCCCAAAGTGCTGGGATTACAGGCGTGAGCCACTGCACCTGGCCACCATAGAACTTCATATTATTGCATGTCTATAGCTTTGTTTCCAGTGAGAAAGGGTACATTTTTCATAACTACACTTCCATCTCCTGGCTCTTTAAAATAATAACAGTGGTTGTGCCTAACCCATCCCAATTTATTCTCTCCTTCAGGGAAAAACAGCCTATTTCAGAGGCACAAATGGAACACATTTTTATTTGCTATATGTATTAATGGTCAAACATAGTACTACATTTAAAGGAATCTCTGCTTTTTGAGGTTTCTTCAGTCAGAGGGTGAGGATGTGTCCTTGGAAAAGTTTACTTTGAAGAGTGTCCATTCCTAGGCAAACACCAAATTTGGAACACAATGTTGATGTTAATAGAGAACTCAGAACATATAACATGTTTCATACTCATTTTGTTAGTTAACAGACAACAGTTTGTTGTGGTTTTTTCTTGTTTGTTTTTTTTTTTGGAGACGGAGTTGCACTCTTTCACCCAGGCTGGAGTGCAGTGGCGCAATCTCAGCTCACTGCAACCTCCACCTTCTGGTTTCAAACTATTCTCCTGCCTCAGCCTCCCAAGTAACTGGGATTACAGGTGCCCACCACGCCCGGCTAATTTTTGTATTTTTAGTAGAGACAGGGTTTCACCCTGTTGGCCAGGCTGGTCTCAAACTCCTGACCTTGTGATCCTCCTGCCTTGGCCTCCCAAAGTGCTGGGATTACAGGCGTGAGCCACTGCGCCTGGCCCCTTAAAAAAAAAAAAAAAAAAGGATTAAATCTTTAGTAAGGCAATAGGCCTTTTTTTCATTTGAGACAGGGTTTCACTCCGGTTACCCAGGCTAGAGTGTAATGGCACAATCTCAACTCATTGCAACCTCCACCTCCCAGGCTCAAGTAATCCTCCTACCTCAGCCTCCCGAGTAGCTGGGACTACAGGCATGTGCCACCACACCCGGCTAATTTTTGTGTTTTTAGTAGAGATGGGGTTTCACCATGTCACCCGTGCTGGTCTTGAACTCCTGGGCTCAAGCAGTCTGCCCACCTCAGCCTCCCAAACTGCTGGGATTACAGACATGAGTCACTGCTCCCGGCCTTTTTTTCAATTTGGATTTTAAATGCATGGCAGCTACTGACAACACAATGTAGTATAACTGCTTATCTAGGTTACCTGAATCTAATAGTACTGAACAGGATCTCCAGTACACTTGTGGACAATGGTGAGACCAAGGCAAACTTACACTGTAGCTAGCACACACCAGTCATGCAATAGCCTCTACAAGGCTCATGCCACCTGACAGTAACAGATATACAAACCATTAAGTAATTATCCACGGCATGCATTAGAAGTTTTATTAAAGAAACATCAAAGAGGAAACAATTAACTAATATTTTATTCACTCTTAAAAAAACTCCAGAACCCTTTCCTGAGTTTTCACGTTCTGAAATGGATTTCCAAGGCCTCAATCTAAGTCCTCTCCCCAGAGCAGAGGTATCTTTAACAACAAAAAACCTTATATAAACACTCAAGTAAATGTTCAATATTACTACTTATATAAATACTTGCAAAGATGCACACAGTTTAAGTATATAATTTGATGTGTATAAAATCATATCTAAAAAAAGCATAAATGAGAATATATACAAGTACACAGATAACATTATCATCATAGTCTACAAGAGATGCTGATAGCATAACAGGTTTTCTCCACTTCCTTACACATTGCAGCTAATATTGTCTTCCAACTTTCTCTCATGTGCACAAGAGAAAACTATAAATAGCTCCAAACTAGAAAACAGAAGGCCATTTGGTGAAAAGGATTTAACTCTATTTAGAATGGATCTAAAATTTCCTTTTACCTAAACATGTGCCTATAAATACATAAGCACAATTCATTTTATTAAGTGGTTACAAACATGAAAACTGACCTTTACCCCAGATCCAAAATCCTATAAAAATAAACTCGAAGTTAATTACTTCCTTATGCATAAATTCTGTAGTCTTGAATATGGCTTGAAATAAGCAGTGCCTAGAAATCTTGTTAAATGGCATTTGCTACAACAGTTTCAATATTTTCCCTCTTAAAAATATGAAAGGAAACTTTCTTTTATCATTTCTCTCATTCTACTTAAGAAAATTTGTCTCAAAGTGGATCCTTAAAACTAGGAAGGCAGGGACAGAAGGTGAAATGGTCAAAGTCCTTAGGAAATAGGTGAGCACCATCAAAAGAGCCAACCAGCTAGCCAGGGAATCCAGAACAGAAACAGGGTACAGCTTTTAAAAAATGTTTTAAATTTTTTAGAGACTGGGTATCACTATGTTGTGCAAGCTGGCCTCAAACTCTGGGCTCAAGAGATCCTCCCATTTCAGCCTCCCGAGGAGCTGAAATCACTCCTTTGGGAGTTGAGACTACAGGTATGCGCCACTGCACCTGGCTTCATCTTTTTCTTATTCCATAATAATATTCCTGTCTCTAGATTATGGAGGAAAAGAATGAAAGCAAGATTCTTGAGGGCTCATATGTTCTTCAGTTTATACCTGGTACCGTAAAAACTAAAACTGGTTTGTGTTTAATCCTAACTATATTTCTAAAAATTCTAATTCATAAATCATAGTTTGAAAGAAAAACAGAAGACCTATAAAAAGCTAAAGTTGGCTGGGTGCAGTGGCTCACGCCTGTAATCTCAGCACTTTGGGAGGCCGAGGTGGGCAGATTACCTGAGGTCAGGAGTTTGAGACTGGCCAGCCTGACCAACATGGGCGAAGCCCCGTCTCTACTAAAAATACAAAAATTAGCGAGGCGTGGTGACAGGTGCCTGTAATCCCAGGTACTCGGGAAGCTGAAGCAGAAGAATCGCTTGAACCCAGGAGGCAGAGGTTGCAGTGAGCCAAGATCACGCCACTGCACTCCAGCCTGGGTGACAGAGTGAGGCTCCACCTCCAAAAAAAAAAAACTAAAGTTGAGATCTAATGACTACAAGCTTTCATTTACATTAAATAAGGCATATATAAACTTAGCTACTTCCTACACTCATTTTAATCTATTTATCAACAATGGCATGTGTCTTATTGTTAAGTTGGTCTTGACAGTCTGTTGGATGAAGTGGCTTGAGTTACTAATTTTATAATAATCGAAACTGGGAAAAGTAATTAAATGGAGGAGACACAAAGAACCATGATATCAAGGTAGAGGGACAAAAATTAGAATTTGATTGTGAGATCTAATTCTTAATGCACACAGGATATAAGCACAGGGCACTGTCACTAACTCAGACATCTGAATCCAGTTATTTTCCAAGCATTTCTGCATCACATTTGTGAGATATGTGAGCATGTGTGATACCTACTGAAAATAGAAAATGCAGCATTACTAGTAGTGCATGGTTAATGCTGAATGAGATGATGGAGGGTTTGTGCCTTAAACTACAGAATCTAGGTGTTTCTGAGGAAAGTCAACATTCTTCAGGAGGCAAGATGGTCGAAGCTTGCTCCAAAGGAGGAGGATGCCAAGATTTATATGCAAAAATCTAAATAACTCTGCATAGCAGGCCAGGCGCGGTGGCTCAGGCCTGTAATCCCAGCACTTTGGGAGGCCGAGACAGACGGATCATGAGGTCAACTGTTCGAGACCAGCCTGGCCAACATGGTAAAACCCCATCTCCACTAAGAATACAAAAATTAGCTGGGCATGGTGGCGCATGCCTGTAATCCCAGCTATTCGGGAGGCTGAGGCAGGAGAATCACTTGAACCCGGGAGGCAGGGGTTGCCGTGAGCCAAGATCACGCCATTACAATCCAGTCTGGGCGACAGAGCAAGACTCCGTCTCAAAAAAAAACAAAACAAAAAACTCTGCATAGCATTTTTTTGGAAAGTCTTCTCATACAGAAGATAGTTGAGTCAATGGGCAGAAGGAAGAAGAAAACAATCAATGTCACGCTAGAAAATGTGTCCACCAAAATTACAGCCAAGGCACTACTGATCCTTCTGATTGACTGACCTGTACTTTCTCACCACTTTGACCATTGCAGTGATAATTTTTCCTTCAAGTTTAACTAAAGGACATCTATTTTATAACTCAAACACAATAGTGAATAAGTGTTTAATGCCATAGCTCAGGGAAAGCCTGATTTTCAAGGGTGTTTCTACAAATATCCATGCCAATTCACACTATAAAAGGGGGCTTAAGTTTAATTTTGCAAGATGAGAAATTTCTGGAGATGTCTTTCACAACGTTGTGGATATACTTAATACTACTAAACTGTACATTTAAAATCATTAAGATAGTAGTAATTTTATCTTGTGTTTTTTGCCACAACAAAAACAGTGGCAATCTTTAAAAAGGTGGGGGCAGTGCTCAAGGTCCTTGAACTACTACATGGCTTTTATTGAAAAAATTGTTGCAAGAAAAATTAGCCAATACTTTTACTAAACATATACTAATTTCTGTAAAAAAGTATCTTTAATATATGGTTACAAATAAAAATCCTAGTGTATACACCTGTGAAACATCAACAGTGTGTTAGATTTTGTGTCTACTAGAGGATTTAAATAAATTTCTACATTCATGTCAGATGGCAATTTTAATATTCTAGCCTCTTTCCTAAAACTGAAATCTAAAATTCAGGTTCAGAGAACACTAATTTTGCCTTGATATCCTCCTTCGGTTCCATTCTTGGTGTTACAATGACATAGTAGCAATTTTCCAAGGATGCTACAAGAGAAGCTCTGAACTCCCTATCTAAAAATCACTTAAAGAATGAGAAAATTGTTTCATGTTGTTCAAAATCGACCTTGTAAGGAATTTTGCCCAGGCTGGCCCAGAACAAGAAAATCTTACACCATTTATTTTAGGAATGTAAAGTGTCAGTGACTCAATGAGCTAAAGCAACAGCATTACTACACTTCTTCATCTTTGGCAACAGTTTAATGCTTTGAAAAAATAAAGCCATCATTATCTGCATAAATCCTTTTAGGAAATTCAATTATGGGTCAGATCCCAAATAAGCAGTAATCTATATTAGTTACTAGATTCAGCAATTGAAGACTGGACCAGCATCATTAACTTATCACTTATAATCTTCTTTTTCCCTTACCAAATGTCACCTCTCCATTTCCACTCTTGTCAAACAACTGGAAAGCCACTATGAACATGGAATCTGGAGCACATAAAACAGATTCAAATGCCAAAAACTCTTGATAGGAGATCAACCTGGAATAAAATATAAAACGTCATTGGCTGGTGAAGAAAGGGAAAGCATCAGGCATTTAATCTGCCTTTACTATATAAACTGTAGCTCAGGGTAACCAAATAATTGATAAAGGGTAGTTTGTTTTTATAGAGGTACTTCAGATAAGGAAGGAAAGGAGAATTAGAATATCACCCTTTTGTAAGCCCCTAGAAAATCAATGAAACTGGGCAATAATCAATAGCTCCTAACATCATGAAGAGAGAGAACCAGGCAAAATATAATTAAACCTGAATCTGATCAAGTCTCTGGATCAGTTTCTCAACCTCAGTACTGGTGACATTTTAAGTTGGATAATTCTTTGTTGTGGGGGTTTCCTGTGCTTTGTAGCATGTTTAGCAGCATCCCTGGCCTCTACCCACTAGATGCCAATAGCATCCCCAAGTTGTGACCAGCAAAAATGTCTCCAGACATTGCCAAATATACCCTGGTGAGCAAAATCACCCCTATTGAGAACCACTGCTCTAGAACTATTCACTAATTTACAGAAAACACAACAAACAAAGGAACATGTTCACTACCACCACATAAATGCAGACTGTAGGAAATGACAGAAGAAACATTCCATAGCTGCAGAAAAATAATTTTTAATGAAGCTATGAAGAGGATTCTTCTTTTTTTTAAGGGGCCATGCTAATCTCTGTATCATTCCAATTTTATTATATGTGCTGCTGAGGCAAGCACAGGGAATCTCAATCTTAAAAGACCTAAGAGATATAACAATGAATCACAATATACATCCTTATTTGGATTCCAATTTAAACAAAGTAAAAAAAAAAAGTTTTTTAATTTACAAGATAATCCGGGAAATGGAAATACCAATATAATACAAATGCTTGATGATATTAAGAAATCAATGTTTCTAGGAGGTTTTTTTGGTTGTTGTTAAGCATTATCTTTTAGAGATACACAGTGAGACACTTACAAATGAAATACATCATCTAGAGTTTGCTTCAAAATAATCCAGAGGATGGAGAAGAGATGGAGGTATAAACGAAATAATTATTTTGGTAATGATTAAAAGTAGGTGATGAATTCATAGAATTTACATTATTCTCTGTGTTATACATGTTTGAAACATCACTAATAAAAATTTTGGCCAGGCACAGTGGCTCACATCTGTAATCCCAGCACTTTGGGAGGCTGAGGCAGGAGGATTGCTTGAGTCCAGGAGTTTAAGACCAACCTGGGCAACATAGGGAGACTCCACCTCTACAAAAAGTAAAAATAAAAAATTAGCTGGGCATGGTGGCACACACCTGTAATCCCAACAACTCAGGAGGCTGAGGTGGGAGGATTGCTTGAGCCCAGGAAGTAGAGGCTGTAATAAGCCATGATCATGCTACCGCACTCCAGCCTGGGCGACAGACCAGACTCTGTCTCAATAAATAATTAAATTAAAATAAAACTTTTAGAGGCAGGGCACAGTAGCTCACGCCTGTAATGCCAGCACTTTGGGAGGCTGAGGCAGGCAGATCACTTGAGCTCAGGAGTTCAAGAGCAGCTTAGGCAATATGGTGAAACCCCATCTCTACAAAAAATACAAAAATTAGCCAGGTGTGGTGGTGTGTACCTGTAGTACCAACTACTTGGGAGGCTGAAGTGGGAGGACAGTTTAAGCCCAGGAGGCAGAGGTTGCAGTGAGCCAAGATTGTGCCACTGTACTCCAGCCTGGGTAACAGAGCCAGACCCTGTTTAAAAAAAAATTTTTTTTAAATAAAAATGTTAAAAGGAAAAATCAAAACAAAAAAGGTGGGAGCCAGGTGCAATGTCATGAACCTGTAGTCCCAGCTACTCAAAAGGATGAGGCATGAGGATCACTTGAGCCCAGGAGTTCAAGGCTGTAGTATGCAATGCTGGTGCCTGTGAATAGCCACTGCACTCCAGCCTGGGTAACAGAGTGAGACCCAAGTGAGACCCATTTCAAAACAAAACAAAACAAAACTTAACAAAAAGTGGGGGAAACTCATATGTTGGGTTTCTAGAACTTAATGAGTCCTATTATACTCAAGGTTATAAAATTAACCAGTGGTCAAAACTACACAGAAATTGCCTTCAGTGACCTTACAAAGCCAGCATATACTAGATCTTTCATAGCAAGCTTGCTACAAAGATTCCATACCATCTTGCTGCTCATTAGTAATGAGTGTCCAAGTAACAGCATTATAAAAATGTGTCTCATATGCATACAGATCTGCAGACTGGTCTTCAATGAAGTATTTTCCTAGGAAACTAATCTTTCCTTGATTGTCCAATGTTAATTACTCTATATATTTCAAAATGTGTTAATTGATACAAGGATTTTCTATAGTGTATTTTTCATGCAATTTCTGTTTGAGGAAGAAAAAAACAGACTGACCAATAATTTTAAAAATAAAAATAGGCTGATTATGGGTTTTCTTTAAAAAGGCATAACATATTGGTTTCTACAAAACAGCATCAAGACATAAAAAATACACCTACCCTGAAATACAGAATACGTAGCTTTAAAACAAATTTCATGCTCAGTAGTAAAACCTTCTATATTTATGAGAAGAGGCCAAAAACTTCTTCCTTAACTAGCAAAGGTCACAAACTATCAGCTGGCAGACTGAATTTGGTCCAAAGATGTGTTTTCTTTGGCATGCAAAGTACTGTTTTTTAGTTGCATTAGTTGACATTAAGAAATGACAAGATTTCCCATAAATACTCAGTTTTTCTGGTTTATTTTGATAAACTGCAAGTGTGAACAACACTAGGTTTCCGGTCCCAAGTAGCACCAGCCCCTTGAAGACAAGCAGTCTTTCTCCTTCAGAAAAGCAACCAAACAGGGCTCATCAGTTATCTATCTACAGACCACACTGTCCTTGTGGATTTGAGACTCTTGTCACATAGGTTTCCAATTAAGTAGCCCTTTGTTTAAAATAGAAAGTCTATGGAATTTACTAAATATCTACATTTTGTCTGTCAGCATATTCAAAAAGACAAATCATATATTCATGCAACTTTGGAGCCAGAAGGACCCTTAGAAAGGCAAACGTTAAGTGATCTTCCTCAAAGACATTCAGCAAATCAGTGAGTCTACTTAAAGACTCCTAACTCCTGCCTTCAATTTGGTGTTCTTCCATTACTGTATATCTCCTAACCCTTTCCCAATTTTAAAGCTATAGTTGAAAACCAGAAAGAGTATCTGGCATTAGTAAGTAGACCACTATTATAAGAAGCTATTGGGGTAATACTCAGCCATCCCTCAATACTCAGTTACCTTCAGATATATTCAGATATATCACGAGATATATATTCAGATGTATCATGAAAATACACAAAAGCACCAACAACTTAAAAATTAGTCAAAAATCAGCCTGTTATGGTGACACATGCCTGTAGTCCTAGCTACTCAGGAGGCCAGGGCAAGAGGATCGCTTGAGCCCACAAGTTCGAGGCTGCAATGAGCTGTGATTGTGCCACTGCATTTCAGCCTGGGTGACAGAGTGAGACTCTATCTCTAAAAAATAAATCAACTGAGTACATTATTCAGCCTTAAAAAGGAATGAAATTCTGACATATGCTGTAATATAGATGTGCCTTGAAAACATTATGCTAAATGAAATAAGGCAGACACAAAAGGACAAATATTATATTGTTCCACCTATGTGAGATAGCTAAAATAGTAGCAATAAGTGGAGTACTGGTTATCAGGGGCTGGTTGGAGTGGAAGGAAAGAGAATGGGGAGTCATTATGTAATTGGTATGGGGTTTCAGTATGGAATGATAAAAACGTTCTGCAAATGGATACAACAATTTTTTTTTTTTGAGACGGAGTTTTGCTCTTGTTGCCCCAGCTGGAGTGCAATGGCATGATCTCGGCCCACTGCAACCTCCGCCTCCACCTCCTGGATTCAAGCAATTCTCCTGCTTCAGCCTCCTGAGTAGCTGGGATTACAGGTGCGTGCCACCACACCAGGCTAATTTTTGTATTTTTAGTAAAAACGGGGTTCCACCATGTTAGCCATGGCTGATTTTGAACTCCTAACCTCAGGTGATCCGCCCACCTAGGCCTCCCAAAGTGCTCGGATTACAGCCATGAGCCACTGCGCCTGGCCTTGGATATGATAATGGTTGCCTAACAATGTGAATGCACTTAAAGCCACTGAACTGTCCACTTAAAAATGATTAAAATGGTAAATGTTATATTATGTATATTTTAACACGATAAAAAAAGTCACTTGAGGTTACCTAGGTGCATACATTTGTCAAAGCTCAGCAAATACACTTTTGAGATTTACGTTTTCTTACTATGTGCGAGTCCTACATTTAAAGAAAAACACTCAAAGGCTGGGCATGGTCACTCACACCTGTAATCCCAGCACTTCGGGAGGCTGAGGCGGGTGGATCACTTGAGGTCAGTGGATCACTTGAGGTCAGGAGTTTGAGACCAGCCTGGCCAACATGGTGAAACCCCATCTCTACTAAAAATACAAAAAAAATTAGCCTGGCATAGTGGCACATGCCTGTAATCCCAGCTATTTGGGTGGCTGAAGTATGAGAATTGCTTGAACCCGCGAGGTAGAGGTTGCAGTGAGCCGAGATCGGGCCACTGCACTCCAGCCTGAGTAACAGAGACACACTCTGTCTCACAACAAACAACAACAACAAAAAACCCTCAAAACAAAAAACACTAGTAAATAATGTGCATGCTAAAATATTTAAGAACTATATCAATGGCTGCACTTTACTCTGAAATGTATTAAAAAAAAGATGGATTGATGGAAGGATAGAGGGATGGATGGATATATGAAAAAGCAAGAATAGTCAGATGTTAATAGTAGAATCTGGCCAGGTACAGTGGCTCACGCCTGTAATCCCAGCACTTGGGAAGGCCAAAGGGGGAGGATTGCTTAAGCCCAAAAGTTCAAGACCAGCCTAAGCAACATAGAAAGACCCTATCTCTACAAAAAATACCAAAATAAATAAAAATTAGCTGTGCATGAGGCAGGCGCCTGTGGTCCCAACTATTTGGGAGGCTGACGTAGGGAGGATCATTTGAGCTCAGGAAGTCGAGGCTGCAGTAAGCCATGATCACACCACTGCATTCCAGCCTGGGCAACAGAGTGGGACCCTGTCTCAAAAATAATAATAATAAAAATAAAAATAAATAATAAAATAATAATAATAATATAATCTCTGTGGTAGTCTAGGTGGTAGATATATGGGTGTTCACTATAAAATTCTTTCAACTTTCTTGAATGTTTGAAAATTTTCATAATAAAATGTTGGGAGGAATGAGAGAAAAATAGGCCACTTGACAGTCTCTCTGATACTCTCCTCTATTTTAAGCCCACAGTCATTATATACTTACTGCATTATAATGCAACAATATTTTTCTGAAAGCAAGAAATAGTCTGCAATGCTAACATAAAGCAAGCATGTTCCAGAATTTTATTTATTTATTTATTTTAAGAAACAAGGTCTCAATCTGTCTCCCAGCTGGAGAGCAATGGTGCAATCAGAGCTCACTGTAACCTAGAACTCCTGGGTTCAAGTGATCCTCCTGTCTCAGCCTCCTGAGTAGCTGGGACTACAGACAAGCACCAGGATGCTCGGTTAATTTTTAAATGTTTTTGTATAGACGGGGTTTTGCTATGTTACCCCGGTTGGTTTTGAACTCCTAGCCTCAGGAGATCCTCCTGCCTTGGCCTCCCAAAGTGCTGGGATCATAGGTGTGAACCACCATGCCTGGCTCCAGAATATTTTTAAGGCTCCTTTTCCTTTTATCCTGCCATGGATTCCTTTATTGCTAGAAGGGCCCAATCAAGACTTTAATAGAATATATGCAAACCACAAGCTACTAACTGTTGAGTGAAGAAACTACTGATTAGTTCACACTCTATTAGTTTTCCTTGTAATGGGGATAAGGAGGTACTTTCACTCTTTACCGTATTACCCCATTGTCTGACTTTTTAGAAAGAACATGTATTCATTTTATAACTTTGAAAAATATATTTTCTGAATTTGGTGTGTTTTTTAAAAATTTTCTACGAAGCCCCTTTTTAATTTAGTAAATAGGAACTAATAAAATGACAAAATATTAATGTTAATTTTATAATTTGTAAAACAATCAAGATTTCTGCATAAAAGGTTCCTCTATATGCCTGTGTAACATAAAGGAAAACACTTGGGGAAAAAGTAGAAGAAAAGAACACCAGTTTTCTACATCACAGGAGAACAGAACCTCCAGATAAAATTCTGACTAGGACTAAATATAGAAACTATGGTTCTAGAAGTTACAATTTCAAGTAAGCAACAGTCTAAATATTTTAGATTAGATCACACAATTATAGTCTCTGAGATCTGCATTAAATGCATAAAATCATTTTGCTTTTCATTATACACCAGAACTTCAAAGTTTAAGCCACAATCCCACAAATAATACTTGGCTAATGGCTTTTACTTTTAGACAACTGATTGTGCTATTTATAATATATAATGCTGTTTTGTATGTTACATGGCTTTCTACAGCAAGCACCCATATCCAAACACTCCTACTTATTTTACTATCTACTGGGGGAAAGGAGATGGGGAACAAGAGAGAGGAACAGTTAACATCCCGGAAAACATGGGGGAAGGATTGCAGAGCACAAAAGAGCGTGTTTCAACCACTCCTAGACCAATTTTTCTCACACACTTAACCAAATCACTTGAACTTGTCTATACTAGCTCCACTCATTCAGACTTGGTCTTGAGTGGTTATAAGCAATATTATATGTTGCTATTTCACATAACATATCTATAGGACTCATCATCAGAAAACTATGATAGAACCAAGGAACACATTTTGGAGCAGGAAACAACGTACCAAGTAAGCTATTCTAATATTTCATCACTGCCCTGGGTTAAGGGGTAGAAAATAGAAAGAGGGAGAAAAGAGAATATCTTTTTTCTTTTTCGTTAAGACAGAATCTCACATTTTGCCCCTCAGGCTGGAGTGCAGTGGCTCAGTTATAGCTCACTGCAGCCACAAACACTTGGGCTCAAACAATCCTCCTGCCTCACTCTCCCAAGTAGCTAAGGCTATAGGCACACACCATCACAACTGGCTAATTTTTTTCTTTAATTGTGTAGAGATGGGGTTTCACCATGTTGTCCAAGCTGGTCTCAAACTCCTGGCCTCAAGCGATCCTCCCGCCTCAGCCTCCCAAAGTGCTGAGATTACAGGTGTGAGCCACTGTGCCCAGTAGAGAATATCTTTTTAAAAAGATGATTATAAGAAGAAAAATGGGCCAGGTGCGGTGGCTTATGCCTGCAATCCCAGCTCTTTGGGAGACCGAGGCGGGCAGATCACAAGGTCAGGAGTTCGAGACAACAAGCCTGGCCAAATGGTGAAACCTCATCTCTACTAAAAACACAAAAATTAGCCAAGCATGGTGGCATGCACCTATAATCCTAGCTACTTGGGAGGCTGAGGCAGGAGAATCACTTGAACCCGGAAGGCAGTGGTTGCAGTGAGCTGAGATCACACCACTGCACTCCAGCCTGGGTGTCAGAGTGAGACTCCGTCTCCGACAAAAAAAAAAAAAAAGAAAAGAAAATGTCCTACTTTAACAATGCAACTCAGCCTAGGAGAACCACATGAAGCTTCAAAGAAGATACACTACTGAGATAGAATAGAGCAGATGGTCATAAAAGGAAACATTTGAAAATATATGGATATTCTGAAATCAGGTCTTAGACCAAATTACTAACAATAAATACTCTGATAATTTCTAAAAGAGCTAAATATATATGTTACCTTTAATAATTCTGATGAAGGACTTATGATAGGTATAATTAATTTTCATTTGCTTTATTGTCTAATCATTATTGAAAGATCCTATGAGTGAATGATCCACAGTGATTTATCAGTTGATATATTTTGAGAGAGTAGACCTAAAAGGTATACAAGTTTCCCAATACCTGCCATTTATAAATGATATAAAATCTTTCCAAAACAAATATTTGTTGAACACATAGTAAATTTCACACACTGTGCAAGGTTCTATGGGACAATAAAACTGAATACAGTACTAATCCTGGACTCAAAGAACTTAGACACCAATCTTTCTACTTTATTACAATAGCTACCTAAATTGATTCTATTGCATGCGAGTCTTGTCCCATTCCAACCCACCATTTCTAAAATCTGTTTACATCTGTGGTAATGGAAATAATTTTTAGACTACTTACTGCCTAGTTTCTCAAAGTTTGTCACACAAGCACCTCAACAGGTAGGAGAAAGAGCCTAGGCCCTGGAGGCTTGGAGATGTAGACTGAAACTGCCATAACAAGCCAAAATTGTCTTTATCTAATTCATGCAACTATTACATTCACTCCATAATACAGCCATATATGATTTTAATACAAATAATGATTGCTTTTCTCCCCTGAGTTGAGTAAACTGACACTCTAGCAAGATGCCCCTTGTTATTTCTGTCTTTTCACACACCCATACACTACCAGGCTAAAAATACCTGCAAGACAGAGTCAAAAGCCTTCAGCCACTCCAACTACATCTCCCCCAGCAACAAAGCAATGCCACAGCCACATCAAAGTACTTGCAACACAACCCTCCTCCATTGCCATTCACTAATGTGAGCACATGCGCACGCACACACACGCCCCTTAATGTTTCATGCCGTTCCTGTTCCCTTTCCTGGAATTCTCGTCCCTACTTATCCAACTACTAACAAGCTTGTACTCATCCTGCCAGATTTCACTCAAGCATTACCTCTTCTGTGATGCTGTCCTGACCACCCAAAACAGTTAACCATGCTTTCTTGGGTTCCCTCTATTCCTCTCATATAGCTATGACAGCACCTCATTTCAGAAGTGTTACTTTTTTCCTTTGTTTAGTCATTTTCTTTCTCACTAAGCTATTACCTTCTTTTGAAGGCCAAAAGCCTCATTTAATTTATGTTTGTATTTGTAAGGCCCAACAGTGCCTGACAAACAATGGCTGTTCAATTAATGTTTGCCAAATAAATAGAGAAATAAATTAATAAATATCACTCCCTAAACTCTCCCCTAATTTATTTTTCATCATAGTACTTACAGCTTTCTAACATACCATAATTCACTTTTTTATTATCTTTTTGTGGCTTTTTCACTGATATATTAATAATTCCAGCACCAAGAACAGTACCTGAGGCATAGCAGGCACTCAATACCTATTGAATGAATGGAAGAAATATACTTGGTTATTTGGAACTCGTTCTGCTCAGATTATTCAACATAAAATGAGGCTTTTCCCGTGAAATATTTTTTCGAAAAAAAGAAATGCCTGTATCCTTGATAATCGCAGTAAATAACACCATTTTTATAAACTTTGAATAAAATATATAGTTTAATTATACAACTAGTATATACCAATTTTTAAAGGCTGGGCATGGTAGCTCACACCTCTAATCCCAGCAGTTTGGGAGGCCGAGGCAGGCAGATCACTTGAGGTCAGGAGTTCGAGATCAGCCTGGCCAACATGGTGAAACCCTGTCTCTCCTAAAAATACAAAAATCAGCCAGGTGTGGTGGCACATATCTGTAATCCCAGCTACTTGGGAGACTGAGGCAGGAGAATCACTTGAACCCAGGAGGTGGAGGTTGCAGTGAGCTGAGATCATGCCACTGTACTCCAGCCTGGCCAACAGAGCAAGGCTCCATCTCAAAAAATATATATATTATATACATATATATAAAATATTTTTTTAATGTAGACCAAAACAAAACAAAACATGGATCTCCAGTTAGTGTGGTTTAAAAATTATTGGCTCAGAATTTGACCTATAAAGTGGAATACTTGCCTGGCATCCTCATATTTTTCAACATAAAGCTTCAATTATTTTTCCAAAAAAAAAATTTTTTTTAATTGATCATTCTTGGGTGTTTCTCGCAGAGGGGGATTTGGCAGGGTCATAGGACAATAGTGGAGGGAAGGTCAGCAGATAAACAAGTGAACAAAGGTCTCTGGTTTTCCTAGGCAGAGGACCCTGCGGCCTTCCGCAGTGTTTGTGTCCCTGGGTACTTGAGATTAGGGAGTGGTGATGACTCTTAACGAGCATGCTGCCTTCAAGCATCTGTTTAACAAAGCACATCTTGCACCGCCCTTAATCCATTTAACCCTGAGTGGACACAGCACATGTTTCAGAGAGCACAGGGTTGGGGGTAAGGTCACAGATCAACAGGATAAGAATTTTTCTTAGTACAGAACAAAATGAAAAGTCTCCCATGTCTACCTCTTTCTACACAGACACGGCAACCATCCGATTTCTCAATCTTTTCCCCACCTTTCCCCCCTTTCTATTCCACAAAACCGCCATTGTCATCATGGCCCGTTCTCAATGAGCTGTTGGGTACACCTCCCAGACGGGGTGGTGGCCGGGCAGAGGGGCTCCTCACTTCCCAGTAGGGGCGGCCGGGCAGAGGCGCCCCTCACCTCCCGGACGGGGCGGCTGGCCGGGCAGGGGGCTGACCCCCCACCTCCCTCCCGGACGGGGTGGCTGGCCGGGCAGAGGGGCTCCTCACTTCCCAGTAGGGGCGGCCGGGCAGAGGCGCCCCTCACCTCCCGAACCGGGCGGCTGGCCGGGCGGGGGGCTGACCCCCCCACCTCCCTCCCGGACGGGGCGGCTGGCCGGGCGGGGGGCTGACCCCCCCACCTCCCTCCCGAACGGGGCGGCTGGCTGTGCAGAGGGGCTCCTCACTTCCCAGTAGGGGCAGCCGGGCAGAGGCGCCCCTCACCTCCCGGATGGGGCGGCTGGCCGGGTGGGGGGCTGACCCCCCCCACCTCCCTCCCGGACGGGGCGGCTGGCCTGGCGGGGGCTGACCCCCACCTCCCTCCCGGACGGGGTGGCTGCCGGGCGGAGACGCTCCTCACTTCCCAGACGGGGCGGCTGCCGGGCGGAGGGGCTCCTCACTTCTCAGACGGGGCAGTTGCCAGGCGGAGGGTCTCCTCACTTCTCTGATGGGGCGGCCAGGCAGAGACGCTCCTCACCTCCCAGACGGGGTCGCGGCTGGGCAGAGGCGCTCCTCACATCCCAGACGGGGCGGTGGGGCAGAGGCGCTCCCCACATCTCAGACGATGGGCGGCCGGGCAGAGACGCTCCTCACTTCCTAGATGGGATGGCGGCCGGGCAGAGACGCTCCTCACTTTCCAGACTGGGCAGCCAGGCAGAGGGGCTCCTCACGTCCCAGACGATGGGCGGCCAGGCAGAGACGCTCCTCACTTCCCAGACGGGGTGGCGGCCGGGCAGAGGCTGCAATCTCGGCACTTTGGGAGGCCAAGGCAGGCGGCTGGGAGGTGGAGGTTGTAGCGAGCCGAGATCACACCACTGCACTCCAGCCTGGGCACCATTGAGCACTGAGTGAACCAGACTCGGTCTGCAATCCCAGCACCTCGGGAGGCCAAGGCTGGCGGATCACTCGCGGTTAGGAGCTGGAGACCAGCCCGGCCAACACAGCGAAACCCCGTCTCCACCAAAAAAATACGAAAACCAGTCAGGTGTGGCGGCGTGCGCCTGCAATCGCAGGCTGAGGCAGGAGAATCAGGCAGGGAGGTTGCAGTGAGCCGAGATGGCAGCAGTACAGTCCAGCTTCGGCTCGGCATCAGAGGGAGACCATGGAAAGAGAGGGAGAGGGAGACCGTGGGGAGAGGGAGAGGGAGAGGGAGAGCGCCTAATCTCTTTTTTAAGACCATTACACTAACCCGTAAGTCACAGAGCTACCCTACAAGATGCTTTAAATATAGGATGCCAGTATTTATTGCCTTAGCTCTTTGCAGCTCCTCTGTTTTTTAACATTGGATTAATATTGATGCAGCAGTGCTACACCTTGATTTAAAAACAACAAAATTTTTTTTAAATACATTTTTCTGAGATGGAGCCTCGCTCTGTTGCCCAGGCTAGAGTGCAGTGGCGCAATCTCGGCGCACTGCAAGCTCTGCCTCCTGGGTTCATGACATTCTCCTATCTCAGGCTCCCAAGTAGCTGGGACTACAGGCGCCCGTCACCGTGTCTGGCTAATTTTTGTATTTTTTTTAGTAGAGATGGGGTTTCACCATGTTAGCCGGGATGGTCTCAATCTCCTGACCTCGTGATCCACCCACTTGGCCTCCCAAAGTGCTGGGATCACAGGCGTGAGCCACCGCGCCCAGCCTGAATACATTTTTCATAATGATTTATGTATCCCCAAAATATAATAATAATATATTTATTTTAAAAACATATTTTCTAATTACTAATGAGCAACTTGGTAATTACTAATTACATGTTTACTAATATTAAAATTCTAGATACCCGTAGGTAAGTTTGTGGGTTTTTTAATTTTTTTTTTTTTTTTTTTGAGACAGAGTTTCGCTCTGGTTGCCCAGGCTGAAGTGCAGCAGCTCGATCTCGGCGCACCACAACCTCCACCTCCCGGATTCAAGCGATTCTCCTCCCTCAGCCTCCCGAGTAGCTGGGGATTACAGGCATGGGCCACCATGCCCAGCTAATTTTGTATTTTTAGTAGAGACAGGGTTTCTCCATGTTGGTCAGGCTGGTCTCAAACTCCCGACCTCAGGTGATCCGCCCGCCTCAGCCTTCCAAAGCGCTGGGATTACAGGCATGAGCCACTGTGCCCAGCTGGTTTTTTAAATTTTTAACAATATATTCCAGAACATTAGTTTTCAGAAAATGCATGAAGATACTTACCCATCCTTGGTTTGATCAGCTACTCCTGCCAAGAGCTGCACGATCTTTGGGTTACTATTTGGATCATTATACAGTCCAAGATAGCGCTGAACAAAGTCTTCTGGGGTCATATAACGCTCTCCATCAACCTCAGTACTGGCATACTAAAAAAATAAATAAATAATGCATACTGAAAAATTATCCAATATCATTTTATATCCAATAAATGGTTTGTGAAAAGGTAAATTAAAGGCCAGTATTAAAATCAAAATAAAGATAATAAATGCAGAATTTTTCTCTGGATACCGAAAAATCAAATATTCAGAGCCTGATTTAAAAACATTTTATAGTACTAATACATGCACAACATGTAGGAACCTTGAAAACATTATGATAAGTGAAAGAAGACAGACACTAAAGGCCATATATTATGTGATACTATTAAGTGGCATGTCCACAATAGGCAAGACCATAGAATCAGAAAGCAGAATATTGGTTGCCAGGAGCTGAAAGGAGAGGGGGAATGGGAGTTAACTGCTTACTGGTTATCAGATTTCTCTTTGGGGATGATGAAAATGTTCTGGAATTAGATAGTGGTAACATCATACAACATGGTAAATATACTTTTTTAAAAAACACTGAATTGTATACGTTAAAATGGTGAATTTTACATTATGTGAATTTTATCTCAATTAAAAATACATATATTGGTAAGATAAAAGATATGAAAAGACTAAGAAAAGTGAAAGGGCAGCCAGGACCTGAAAGTGACTCCCAGAGGCTTCCTGTCTACAAGAGCACCAGGGAGACACGTAATCTGCCAAACCTTAGAAGTGAAATGAATGAGAAAAGAATAACAAACAAGACCTCTCATCATTCCAAGTTCCAGTAGCCAGAAATAGGAAATAAATTAAAATATTCTTTGACATCAGTAATTTTTTACATCAATAATTTTTTTAAATAAAATAATAATAATACCTGTATCAAAGAAACTCATTAATTTAAGGGCTTTATATACTATGGGATGACCAAACATGAACAACCAAAGCCCTTCTCCTTGAGTTGCATCAGATTGATTGTTACTTCAGTCAACCAACAAAGCAGTAAGATCAGAACTGAAGAATACAAGGGCTCACAAAATGTCAAGCATGAAAAATTAAAGCGAACATCTACACTAGGGCCTGGCCCATCATCGTTAAATTGCAGAACATCCAAATGAAGTGAAAATTCTACAAGTTTTCAGAGAGAAAAACCAGGTCACATATAAAGAATCATGAATTAAGGGCATCATGCTCCTCAACAGTCCTGCTTTTTTTTCCCTCAGCACCTCTTTCTAACATACTTTATATTCTACTTCTTATGTTTATTGTCTATCTCCCAATTAGAATGTGTCACAAGGGAAAGAATCTTTGTCTAATTTGTTTACTAATATATCCCAAACACCAAGAATGATGCCTGGCTTATAGTAGGCACTCAGTAAATATTTGGCAAATGAATGAATTGGTAATAGGTACACAAATAACTAGGCAAATCAAAAGTTTGGTAATTTTTAACTATGAGAAATTACTTTAATTGTACAAAAATAGAAAATATCATAATCCATGACTTGGCTCAAAATAAACAGTATTTATAGTCATAATAATATAGACATCAAATATTAATTTAATAAAAATTATAAATAGGACAGGTGCAGTGGCTCACACCTGTAATTCCAGCACTTGGGGAGGCCAAGGCGGGCAACTGCTTGAGCCCAGGAGTTCAAGACCAGCCTGGGCAACATGGCAAAACCCCATCTCTACAAAAATACACAAATTAGCTGGGCATGATGTCACGTGCCTATAGTCCTAACTACTCAGGAGGCTGAGCTGGGAGGATTGCTTGAGCCTAGGAGGTGGAGGTTGCAGTGAGCAGTGATCATGCCACTGTACTCCAGCCTGGGCAACAGAGCAAGACCCTGTTTCAAAAAAAAATAAAATTATAAATATACTGACAGGAATGTGAGAGGAAGTAGTACAAGGAAGCTAAGACCTCAGCTACTATTACAGAAAGTCAAAAATGTCTAGAAATATCAATATAGAAATGTGAAGGGAAATACCAAATGAAATAGCTAAAAGAGTTACAAGTGGTTGCTTCTAGGAAACAAGACAGGGAAGAAGAATCAGGGCAAATGATTGTTGGTTTGCTTTCTAGTCAAGTGTTGCAAACATCTCCATTTGTGGATCTGACTAAACAAAGCCACCTGTTCTTTCAATAAGAAAAGAGTTAGGCCAGGCACAGTGGCTCACACCTGTAATCCCAGTACTTTGGGAGGCCAAGGCAGGAGGATCCCTTGAGCTCAGGAGTTCCAGCCTGGGCAACATGGAGAGACCAGGTCTCTACAAAAAATTAGAAAAGTAGCTGGGCATGGTGGTGCACACCTGTACTCCCAGCTATGCAGGATGCTGAGGAGGGAGGATCACTGGAACTTGGGAGGTCGAGACTACAGTGAGCCATGATTGTGCCACCACACTCCAGTCTGAGTGACAGAGCAAGACCCTGTCCAAAAGAACAAAAAACAAACAAAAAAAGCCACAGAGACTACCACCACAAGTGCTATATCAGCCTGCATAAGAAGTAACCCAGTGGCCGGGCGCAGTGGCTCACGCCTGTAATCCCAACACTTTGGGATGCCAAGGCGGCCAGATCACTTGAAGTCAAGAGTTCGAGGCCAGCCTGAACAACATGGTGAAATGCCATCTCTACTAAAAATACAAAAATTATCCAAGCATGGTGGCATGCGCCTTTAGTCACATCTACCTGGGAGACTGAGAGGAATGGGAGAATCACTTGAATTTGTATTTTTAGTAGAGACGGGTTTCACCGTGTTAGGCCAGGATGGTCTTGATCTCCTGACCTCGTGATCCACCTGCCTCGGCCTCCCAAAGTGCCGGGATTACAGGTGTGAGCCACCGTGCCGGGCCCTCACCTGTATCTTTGTAATAGCGACTTCCTAGTTTCCCTGTCCCAAGTTAGTTCCTCTCTCCTCCACTCACCTTCCATGTTGCCATCAGGAATAGCACAGATCAGATTATGTCTCTCCTTTCTTCTAAAACTTTTAGTATTGTTCCATGGCTTGCAGAATAAAGTTCAGACTCTTCTGTTTAGCATTCAAAGCATTTGAGAGGTGGGAGAATCACTTGAACCTGGGAGGCGGAGGTTGCAATGAGCCAAGATTGCACCACTGCACTCCAGCTTGGGAGACAGAGCAAGACCCTGTCTCAAAAAAAAAAAAAAAAAAAAAGTAGCCCAGGGGTTGCTTGATGACTTGTGCTATAGAACAAAAATAAAAAGACGTAGCCCAATATGGACTTTTTTTTTAACTAATTGGTGCTACCAAAAGCATTCAAGAAATATCACCCCAAAATAAAGTCATGTTCTCTATACATGACTATAAAAGCCATTCTTGAAGGGGTTTTGGGTTTAAACCTTGGCTCTACCACTAACCCTTTGTGAGTCCCTAGACAAGTTTATTGTCCTCCCAGGCCTCTAGATATTTCACACACTTACACAATGAAGACAAAATAATCTTTGAAATTTCAAAACAATAAATATATAAACACAGGATAAAGAAAACAATAAGTTTCAAAACAATAAGTATATAAACATAGGATAAAGAAAAAGCAAACTGTAAGGTATTTACACTAATAGTAAGTAGATTCCATCAATTCCTGTCAATTGCTTTTCTTCCTTATTCTTAATATGTACGAGATAATTGGACATGTTCCACCAAGATCACAAAACCACTAGAGTTAAGAATAGGCAGGAGTGAGGAAAGGCACAATATGAGGAAGACCGCTGCAACTGGAAAGAAGGATGGATACAAGGAAGTCTAAAAACAGAATGTAAGGAGACTGACAAGTTAGTTACTAGTCAATTACTAGTTCCTGTTACCAGTTCCATCCACCAGTAACTAGAATATGGGTTGCAAACAATGGTATGAGAAATATACTATGGGAACCAAAAAGGAGTGATTCATTCTTAGGACTGGTGGGATGGGGCCAGGGAATGGAGGGAGAAAGGCAACACTTGGAATGGACCTTAAAAGTTAAATCCAATTTCAATTGCAAGTGGAGAGAATGGGTATTTCAAGCTAAAAACAAAAACAAAACAAAACAAAAACACAAAAATCTAATGTGAACAAAGTTGAAACAAAAAATACCCCCCCTTTTTTTTTCTTTTCTGGGAGAAGGCTTAGTTGGAGAGAGAAATGGTAATAAAGAGAGCGTATACTAATACATGTAGTAGAAAAGGCAGTTTGAAACCAAATGGTAGAAGACTTTGAATGCTAAACAGAAGAGTCTGAACTTTATTCTGCGAGCTGTGGGATACTACTAAAAGTTTAAGAAGAAAGGAGAGACATACCTGATCTGTGCTATCCTTGATGGCAACATAAAAGGTGAGTGAAGGAGAGAAGAACTAACTTCGAACAGGGAGACTGGTAAGTGGCTATTACAAAGATACAGGGGAGGGCCGGATGCAGTGGCTCACACCTGTAATCCCAGCACTTTGGGAGGCTGAGGCAGGCAGATCACGAGGTCAGGAGATCGAGGCCATCCTGGCTAACACGGTGAAACCCCATCTCTACTAAAAATACAAAAAATTAGCTAGGTGTGGTGGCACGCACCTGTAGACCCAACTACTGGTGAGGCTGAGGCAAGAGAATTGCTTGAACCTGGGAGGCGGAGGTTGCAGTGACCCAAGATAGCACCACTGCACTCCAGCCTGTGCGACAGAGCAAGACTCCATCTCAAAAAAATAAATAAATAAAAGATACAGGTGAAACAGCTTGAGGCCTGAACCAACACAGTGGGCATGAAAAAGAAGACAGTGGGTACTTTTACCTATTGCTAATGGTTTTTTATTATTTTAATAGTATTACATTCATACCATTCAAAATTCAGAAGGTACCAAAGAATATACAGTGGAAAGTCTTCCTCCTACTTCTGTTCCCAATCACTCAATTACCCACCCCAGAGGCAATCGATTTCTTATGTATCCTTCTAGAGATGTTTTATCCATAAACAAGTAAATTATATATATAATGTTAATATATATACATCCAAATATATGTGTGTATATATGAAATTCTTACCATTTCTTTTTATATAAATGATAGCATACTATTTATACCGTCCTATACATCTTGCTTTTGTCGAATTCAGTCCTTTTGAAAAGAAATTTAGCAATATATAGGTACATACACACAAGTATACATTATATATAATCATAAAAATGCTCGAATCCTGGCCAGGCGCGGTGGCTCAAGCCTGTAATCCCAGCACTTTGGGAGGCTGAGGTAGGGGGATCACCTGAGGTCCGGGAGTTCGAGACCAGCCTGACCAACATGGAGAAACCCCATCTCTACTAAAAATACAAAATTAGACGGGTGTGGTGGCGCATGCCTATAATCCCAGCTACTCGGAAGGCTGAGGCAGGAGAGTCGCTTGAACCCGGGAGGCGGAGGTTGCGGTGAGCCGAGATCGCACCATTACACTCCAGCCTGGGAAACAAGAGTAAAATTCTGTCTCAAAAAAATAATAATAATTAGTTGGGCGTGGTGGCAGGTGCCTGTAATCCCAGCTACTCGGGATGCTGAGACAAGAGAACCTCTTGAACCCGGGAGGCAGAGGTTGCAGTGAGCCGAGATTGCACCAATGCACTCCAGCCTGGGTGACAAGAGCAGAACTCCATCTCAAATTTAAAAAAAGAAAAAAGAAAATACTAGAAATGGGATTATGGTGATCTTTGTTCTCGCTCTTCACAACTGCTTGTGTTGCTTCTTTGTTTCATTAACAGATGATAAAAGAGGGGGGAGCACATGAAAACATTTCAGAGATTTTGTATTAAGAAAATTTGGCAACAATTGTTCTTTTTGCCACAGAGGTGTCTATTCTCTAATATCTGAATTTGACCTCCAGGACTACAACCACTAAATAAAAAACACAAACACACAATACAAGCGTTCTGTATGGCATCTACTTCATAGAATACTATGCAGCCATAAAAAAGACTGGAATCATGTCCTTTGCAACAATGTGGATGCAGCTGGAGGCCATTATCCTAAGCAGAATTAATGCAGAAACAGAAAATCAAATATCACATGTTCTCTTTTAAAAGTGGGAATTAAATATTGGGTATGAGGCAGGAGAACAGGGTCTGGAGGCCATTTCACACCAACTTCCTAGAACTAAATTGAAAGGAAAACCCTAACTTTCCACACCTAAGTAACAAAAGGACCTGAGGCTACTCCCTTCGCAAACCCCCTTTTCTCCACGGCAGATGGGAAATTGGCTGTTCGCAATCAGACCGACTGCAGGCAGACTCTTCCTTTGCATAGAAATACAACGTTGTAACTTTCCCTTAGCCTCTGATTGGTTGCTTTCCGCAACCAATCAGATGTTTGTACGGGAGTGTGACCTTTATAACTTCACTTCAGCCTCTGATAGGTTGCTTTCCGCAACCAATCAGACCAATTGCGGGCCACCACTTCATTTACATGAGGTAAGCACCAAGTGGCCAATGGGGAACCTCTAGGAAGTATTTGGACGCGAGAAGTTTCTGTATCCAGGCCCTTAATCCGCTGCTCATTGGCTCCCACACTGTGGAGTGTACTTTCATTTTCAATAAATTCCTGCTTTCGTTCTTTCATTGCTTCATTCTTTCCTTGCTTTGCTGGGCGTTTTGTCCAACTCTGTTCAAAATGCCAAGAACCTGTACAACTTGCAGTCAAGACCCTCTACCTGTTACAGGTACACATGGACATAAAGACAGGAACAATAGATACTGGGGACTATTAGAGCGGGGAGAGAGAGAAAGGGCAAGGGGTGAAAAAATTCCTGTTTGGTACCATGTTCACTATCTGGATGACAGGATCAACAGAAGTCCAAACCTCAGCATCACACAACATACCTTTGTAAGAAACCTGCACATGGGGGCCGGGCGCGGTGGCTCACACCTGTAATCTCAGCACTTTGGGAGGCGGAGACGGGTGGATCACGAGGTCAGGAGATCGAGACCATCCTGGCTAACATGGTGAAACCCCGTCTCTACTAAAAATACAAAAAATTAGCTGGGTGTGGTGGCGGGCGCCTGTAGTCCCCGCTACTCGGGAGGCTGAGGCAAGAGAATGGTGTTAACCCGGGCGGCGGAGCTTGCAGTGAGCCAAGATTGCGCCACTGCACCACAGCCTGGGCGAGCGCAAGACTCTGTCTCAAAAAAAAAAAAAAAAAAAAGAAACCTGCACATGGGCCTTTTGAATCTAACATTTAAAAATTTTTAAAGTATACTGTATATATGGAATCGCCAAGATGTCAACATTCTTGACTTTAAAACTATCAGGAAATAGAGCAGCCTTAGCACAAACCACAAAGGACACAGCGGCTAACAAAGAAAACAAATGCTTTAGTTGACATGTACTGAAACAGGCTTTGCCAGTATCTGGGGTTATAAATGATGCCAAAGAACCACTTACCCTGAGGTATTTTGCCAGTGTTTTCTCCAGCTCTCCTACTCTATTTTAACTTAATTTTAACTGAAAGATAGAGTGTATAGCTTAGAGGAAAAAAGCATAAGTTTTCTCCCATCCATAAGAAGTCAGTACTTGACTTCTACAGGAGACAGTTAACTAATTAACTCATTAAATTAGAGACAATTACTTGGCAATGTCTGTAAGCCTGTTGCCTGAACAACACAACCAAAGAGGGAGTTTAGATCTGAAACTAGAATCTATCTACCCACAGTCAGTCAAAAATGCTAAAATATTTTAGGTATTATGCTAACAAAGAAAAGCTGGTACCTCAAAAATTGGTGATATATTTAAATCAGGGGTTTGGGTTTTTTTTTTTTGGGGGGGGGGGGACTCAAGTGATCCTCCCACCTCAGCCTCCTGAGTAGCTGGGACCACAGGTACGTGCCACCATGCTCAGCTAAGTTTTTCAGTTTTTATTTTTTTGTAAAGATGGGGGTCCCACTAGGTTGCCCCCCCACACACACATACACACTTAGTATAGCAAGCAATTTAATAGTTTCATAATATAATTTTCATTTTGTTCCTGTGTTTTCAAAGGATGAACTAAAATGACTTTAGATGAAATTACCCAAGTATGTCTATACTCCAAGTAACTTTAGAGTTTATCATTTGCCATTTCAAAGATATCTCTTAAGCAGTTGTATATCCCTCTGGGGCAAGAAGTCAAGGACACATGGAAGACATTGACATAAAGTAGCTGACAGTATCTGAAATGTATCTGAAATAGCTGGTCCATTTTCTTGATTAAACTTTTTCCAAGCCCAACTCAAGTATTTGAAATGTAAAAGAACATACAGCTTTGACATTTCCAGAAATATTTAAATTTACATTGAGTATAGTTAGCATGTGCTCAGGAAAGCCTTAACATTCTAAAGCTTAAGAAATAAAATAGATCTCATGAGATTAGAATCCTCATACATTTAATCAAAATTATTGTCTATAAAAGATGGCAGGGTTTCACATACAGATGTGTATCATAATTACACTGAACTATCTCTAGCTCCAAATGAGAAGATCATGCCATTTAAAAATGTTTTGCCTACCAAGCCAACAGATCAACATACCAAGGCTTCAACTGACTGGAATAAACTGGATAGCAATAACTCCTTTGCAATTTACCAAATTTAACCTTAAGTGACCTTTAGGATGTATGCAACCGGCTGGGCACGGTGGCTCACACCTGTAATCCCAGCACTTTGGGAGGCCGAGGCGGGTGGATCACGAGCTCAGGAGTTTGAGACCAGCCTGGCCAACATAGCGAAACCCCATCTCTACTAAAAATACAAAAATTAGCCAGGCCTGATGGTGGGTGCCTTCAATCCCAGCTACTCGAGAGGCGGAGGCAGGAGAATCACTTGAACCCAGGAGGCGGAGGTTGCAGTAAGCCGAGATCGTGCCACTCACTGCACTCCAGCCTGGGCGACCAGAAGAAGACTCCATCCCAGGAAAAAAAAAAAAAAAAAGGATGTATGCAACCTATATTATTATATTAACTACACATTACAAAGACTGACACACAACCCTAAATTTCCACTAAGAAAAAAAGGTTAACTTAAAATTCAATGATTTGAATGAGCATAAAGCCCAAACACTCTAAATGATACAAATTACTTGTTTAAATAGTTTAAGTTCATAAACAGATCCTTTGATGTTTTATATCTCTAAAAGATATTCCAGAGACTATAAAGAAAAATTCTGATGTGTTGTGACTAGAAAACTGGTTACTTTTAAAAAATTATATGGTGTATCAAGATTAAGGATTTTTGAAGTATGCACATCAAAACTAAGGCAATATATCTAGAAACACTGCTTTTTAAGCCAAAAATCTGCTGAGATCAAATCTTTCAGGTTATTTTGCATTCATTTTGAAACTGTGTACCAGGCACTATGCCTGGTGCCTGGTACTGGGGATGCAGAGATCAACAAGACATAGTGCCTGCTGTCAAGTAGCTCAGAGATGATGGCACGACGGACACTAAAACTGGGTCAGAAAACTTGGGTTCTAAACTCCTGTGCCATTAACTCAAGAATTTTTGGGCAAAACATGCAGATTCTTGGAGTCTCTTCTTTAACAAGGGTTTGCAGAAAAATTGCTGTCCTATTGTGAGGCAAAAATGACACCTTGAACACCAAAGTACTTCAAAATTGTAAAATATAACTTGAAATAGTTACTGTAAAATGCTTAGAAACAGAAAAGCATAGGATCTCTATTTCCCTCCTTGCTTAGTGAATTCTTCTGCTTTTGCCCAAACATGAAGAAATTATTGTTCTAACCTTTCATCTCTCTCCAAGCCAGAGTTTCCCTGGGTTGGCTTCCAGTATTCCTGGGCTTACCACGAGATCGGTCCTGACTGGTCTAGGCAGCTTTATCTCTGTCTAACCAACATGTGGCTGTAATATGAGTCAAAACAAACTGTTCCTCCATTACTTTGTTCCAACTGAGATGAACTGACATTTTCAGATCTTAACATCCTTTCAATTTCAGTAATTCAAATGACAATATCATGAAGTTTAGTAACTACAGATATCTCATAGAGCATTTCCCACATAGAAAAATGAATTATTTGAACAATAAAAGAGGACAATATGTACCAAGGCAAGTACTGAGTATATGAAGCTAGTTCTCTTACTGTCCTTCACTATTATGGCTCTTACTTCCAACAGAAGCCAAATTTAGTCAGGAATGCATGCCCTTTCACTACACAAGCACTCTACATAAGGAGCAAAGACCACAGCAGATCTGACACACAAACCCTGTTAAACAGTACAATGTGTAATTTGCCTTATTATGTTAGTTCAATTAGAATAAAAGAGCATTCTATCATAAATAATACTTTATAAGAAAAAAATTATTTTAAATACATATGGCCAGTTTGATTTTTTAACAACTTTATTAAGCCATATTAATTTTTAAAAACAAGGATTTTAATTAGTAATGTAAAATTTTTCCAATGTTACTCAAATCAACTACATGAGCATTAGGGAAAAGCAGTTGTATAAATCTAATTTTGATTAGCACTTTCAGTTGCATATTTTGGATATACTAGAAACAAAACCTTTTACTGATTTTGCTAAAAAAATATTATTCAGTGCTCTGTCTTCCTAACTCAGATTGCTTCCATGAATACTATGTGCTTATTTTTGTTGTTGTTTTAATATATTTTCACTGTCCACTATAGTAAGCCCTACTGTCAGCTACTGAATGATGCAATTTCTAACACAGCAGGGAGGTAAAGACCCTTATTAATCAATGAAATCAATTGAAGCTACCATAATAAAGAAGATCTACCAAAACAATTTTCCACTCAAAATAACCAAAAACCTTGGAAATAAAATAATGACCCAAAGAACCCAATAACTGGAACTAGAATGCTTCCCAAGGCAGATTAAGTTGAATAATTAATTTGCATCATTCCTTAAATAAATACTTTAGTCTCTTAGTCTAAGTAACCATGGGAACATACAAGAAGCATATATATGTATAAGCTTGGGCAAATCATGTCGCTTTGACAATCAAGGTGCTGCTCCTAGGGGGATGGAATGCCTTAATGTTGATAAGCCTTGATTAAATACCAAGATTTTTACCAAAGAGAAATAAGGACCTTTAACATAGCAGGGTGCAGAAAGTATTAAAAGATCTAAGAAACAGATCAACCAAATGCAATGTATGAATCTAGCTTGGATCCTGCTTTTTAACAAAGCTACTTAAAAATATATGAAACAATCAGAGAACTTCGACACTCAAAAGAAATTGATGATAAGACTTTTTTTAGGTGTGATAATGGTGTTATGATTTGGTTAGTTTTTCAGAGTGTTTATCTTTAGGAGCTACATACTGAACTATTTATGGATACTGCAAGATGATGTCTGAGAACTGCTTCAAAATAAGCCACTGTGGCTGTAATACAGATGAAGCAAGGTTAGCCATGATAATTGGTGACACTGGAATGACAGATATATGGTGATTCATTATACCATTTTCTCTTTTTTTGTATGAATTTTAAAGTTTATTAATTCAGTTAGAATTACAACAAACTTTTTAAAAAATAATTTCAAATCATATTTTATTTTTTTGAGATGGAGTCTCCCTCTGTCACCCAGGCTGGAGTGCAGTGGCGTGACCTTGGCTCACTGCAACCTCCACCTCCCAGGTTCAAGTGATTCTCCTGCCTCAGTCTCCCTAGTAGCTGGGATTACAGGCATGCACCACCACGCTAATTTTTGTATTTTTAGTAGAGGCGGGGTTTTACCATGTTGGCCAGGCTGGCCTCGAACTCCTGACCTCAAGTGAGCCACCCACCTCAGCCTTCGAAAGTGCTGGGATTACAGGCATGAGCCTCAATTCATATTTTAGATTAAGAGGGTACATGTGTGGGTTTGTTACAAGGGAATACTGTGTGATGCTGAGGTTTGGGGTACAAATGATCCCATCAGCCAGAGAGTTTGCATAGTTCCCAATAGTTTTTCCACCCTGTTCCCCTCCTTCCTTTCTCCCTCTAGTCATCCATGGTATCCATCATTATTCTATTTTCTCTAGATTTGTATATGTTTGAAATTTTTCATAACAAAGTTATTTAAAGGGCTACAGAAAAATAATGAAACAATTCTTTACACACTAACATACCTGTATCTCCAAATAATATTAAGTAAAAAAGGCGAATTGTATTAAAATATATAAAGCAAAGCTCCTCCGTTTACTGTATATCCTTGAACAAGCTACTTAACCTTTCTGGGGCTTAGTTTCCTCATCTGTAAAATGGGAATACTAATCGTTCCTACCTTATAGAGTTGTTCTGAGGATTAAATATGATGATTTATATAAAATACTTAAAATAGTGCCTGATACATAACAGTGACACAGTAAGCATTAGCTATTATTATTTATGTTTTTTAAAACCACAAAACCCCATATTTTCTTTTTTTGTTGTTGTTGTTGTTGTTGTTGAGACGGAGTCTCACTCAGCCACCCAGGCTGGAGTGGAGTGGTGTGATCTCAGCTCACTGCAACCACCATCTCCCAGGTTCAAGCGATTCTCCCATCTCAGCCTCCCGAGCAGTTGAGATTACAGGCATCCGCCATCATGCCTGGCTAATTTTTGTATTTTAGTAGAGATGGGGTTTCACCATGTGGGCCAGGCTGGTCTTGAACTCCTAACCTCAGGTGATCCAGCCGCCTCGGCCTCCCAAAGTGCTAGGATTACAGGCCATCGCGCCCGGCCAAAACCCCATATTTTCTGTGTAAATGTATGGGGAAAGATCAGAAAGAAACACGACCAAGAACAGTGGTTACCTCTTAGGTGGCAGGGAATTATTGGCTTTTGGGGTAGAGCTCAGGAAGGACTTCAAGCCTTCAGAAGTATTGGCTTTTGGGGTAGAGCTCAGGAAGGACTTCAAGCCTTCAGCTTTATACAGAATGTTCTATTTTTTTAAAAAAGTATTAATGTAGGGATGTGTAATTTAAGCAGCTCTAGGCTATGAGTCCTTTAAAAACAGGGATACCTTATTCATCCTCATACCTCTAGCACCTTGCACAGTACCTGGCTCTTTGTAGGACAATCAATAGCAATCTGTGTTGAACAGATCTGCTGAAAATAATGAGCCATGGGATGGGAGGGGTAGGGTAAGGACAGAAAAGAAGATGGGGAGAGGAAGACCACCATAAGAAAAAGACTAGAAAGAAGACTGAGAGAAAAAATTTTTCTGAAGAAAAAATGAGGTGAGGATACATTTCTTCTTCAGGGGTCCTAATTTTGGTTATTTTTTGTCATTTCACTTAAGGTATTTTTGCAGATAGTATGACAGCTGCACTGGAATGTTCTAGAAAGCTACCAAATACAGCAGTGTTGACTTGGAGGCACAGAATCTCTTGCCATCTCTGTCTCCCAGCCTCCCTGAGTCACCCCTAGGCTTCCAGGTTTTCCAATCCCTTATATGCTATACATAAACAGTTCTTGGTTTTAATGTGCCTAGCTTTCCTTCCCCCCTTCTGGTAACTGCATGCTAATTTTTCTTGAACATACACACCTCCCTCACCCTCAATTTACACAGGTCATTCAAATGGGGCTGACTCAACTGAACAGTTCCAGAGGTGAGCATGTGAACCAGATCTGGCCAATGAGAACACTGCCTCCTTCTAGTACATGGGTTTTCTTGGGGTATTAGGGAGGACAATAATTCCTAGACTTAACCTAGAAATTGGAGAAACAGTACCTTTTCTCTGCTGAATGGGTAGGATTTTAATCTGGGGATGCTCCACATGGCAAAGCCTGTTTGAGAATGAAGCTAGCACAACAGAAACCAAAACTAAGAGATGAAAGGTGCATGATCCCTGGTGACAGCAGTTAAGCTCCTGATCCACTCATGGCTAGAGCCAGTACATTCTAAGCCTACGCATGTTTAACCAAAATTCCTGTCACTGAAGACTGAAATAGTACTGACTAATATTTTCAAAATGTGTGTTTCTTCCAGTTCTAGAAACCCAACGCTGGCCATAGCAATGGTTTCAGTGGAAGATGCTTTCAGAAATTTCCACAGTACTAAGTAAGAGAAATCTGCACAGAACAGGGAGGTGGTGATTTTAAAAAAGAAAGTTACGCACAAAAAAAAAATATGTATTTTTTCAAGTCTGTGTCTTGGGATTTCAGAGCCTATGGCTGGACCGTTATTCTTTTACACGTCCAGACTGAGCGAATGAAGTTTCAGAAGAAAACTCTGCAAACATCTTCCATGGTCTCTCGGGTCTCCCAGCCTTAGACTGTGACTATACAACATCTTAGAACCTCATAGACTTGAGAGAAATCGGTATTTGTCAATAACTTCAGATGGATGTCTCAAGAATGTAAGTAATTAACTGATTATATGTACATAATCATAAATACATATTAACATCTTAGTCTCTTGACTAGGTCCAGCATAGTCATCTGGAGAAGACAAGGGACTCAGATCTTATTCAAGAAACAAACAAAACATCCTAATCTCAACTTAGAAGAGAAGGAAAGAGACAAGGAACTAAGCTTTATTTGGTTCTGCATAGTTTACATGTTATTTTATTTAATCTTTAGAACATCCCTATGTGCTAGGTGTCATTATCCCTTCTTAGACAGATGAGAAAACAGGCTCCAAAAGTAAACACCTGAGCTCAAAAGGTTTCAAATGAGGATTCAAACCCAGGTTAGACTACAAATCCCATGTAGGCTCCAGGTACACTCTGCTGCCCTCTGGATGAAAAGGAGTTTCATCCAGCTCAAGATGTTCTAGGAACTCTATAGACAGGAGGACATTAAATTGAAAGAATCGGCCAGGCGTAGTGGCTCACGCCTGTAATCCCAGTACTTTGGGAGGCCATTTACCCCCATACTTAATTACCAATGCTTCAGGCACACTGGCCTTTCTGTTTGTTGAACACATCAAACCCTTTTCTATATCTAAGCTTTGTACGTGTGAGCCCTTTGGAATTCCCTCCACCACTTCACCCTCATTCCCTTTTAGTTCTCAGCTCTTAATATTGCCTCCTAAGGGCCCTTCACTGACCACTCTCTTGAAAAATGATTTAAAAAATGATGGCCCTTCTCATTATTCTGTTTACTTCCTTGGACGTGTCACAATCTGTAGTAAGCTTTTTTTTGTTTGTTTTGTTTTTTGTTTTGTTTTAAGAGACAGGGTCTTACTCTATCACCCAGGCTGGAGTGCAGTAGCATGACCCTAGCTCACTGTAACCTCAGACTCCTGGGCTCACATGATCTTCCTTCCTCAGCCTTCCTAGTAGCTAGGACTACAAGCACAGGCCACCATGCCTGGCTAATTTCTTTTCTTTTTTATCTTTTTTTTTTTTTTTGTAGAGACAGAATCTCACTTTTTTGGCCAGGCTGGTCTCAAACTAGTGGCCTCAAGTGATCCTCCTGCTTCAGCCTCCCAAAGAGGTGGGATTACAGGAATGAGCCAGTGTGCCCAGCCAATCTGTGGGCTTTTTTTTTTTTCCCCCCGAGACTGAGTCTTCCTCTGTCGCCCAGGCTGGAGTGCAATGACACGATCTCGGCTCACTGCAACCTCTGCCTCCTGGGTTCAAGCAATTCTCCCACCTCAGCCTCCCAAGTAGCTGGGATTACAGGCGCCCGCCACCACGCCTGGCTAATTTTTGTATTTTTAGTAGAGACGGGGTTTCACCTTGTTGTCCAGGCTGGTCTCGAACTCCTGACCTCGTGGTCTGCTCTGTGGGCTTTTTTAATTGTCCACCTCGCCCCTAGAATGTTAGGTTCTAGGCTGGGCACGGATGGTGGCTCTCATCTGTAATCCCAGCACTTTGGGAGGCCGAGGCAGGTACATCACCTGAGGTCAGGAGTTCGAGACCAGCCTGGCCAACATGATGATACCCCCATCTCTACTAAAAATACAAAAAAAATTTAGCCAGGTGTGGTGGTGCACATCTGTAATCCCAGCTACTCAGGAGGCTGAGGCAGGAGAATTGCTTGAACCTGGGATGCAGTGGTTGCAGTGAGCTGAGACTGCGCCATTGCACTCCAGCCTGGGCAACAAGAGCAAAACTCTGTCCCCCACCAAAAAAAAAAAAGAATGTGAGGTTCTACCTTCACTGAGGTCCTTTGTATTGTCCCTACCCTCACTAAACAGCTCTATCTTATCTCTATAAAGGTAGAACCTAGTACAGTGCTTAGCCTGGTACATAGTAGGCAATTAAAAGTGTATTGATCGGCCAGGTGCGGTGGCTCACGCCTATAATCCCAGCACTTTGGGAGGCCGAGGAGGGTGGATCACAAAGTCAGGAGACTGAGACCATCCTGGCTAACACGGTGAAACCCTGTCTCTACTAAAAATACAAAAAATTAGCTGGGCGTGGTGGCGGGCGCCTGTAGTCCCAGCTACTCGGGAGGCTGAGGCAGGAGAATGGCGTGAACCTGGGAGGCGGAGCTTGCAGTGAGCCCAGAGACTCCGTCTCAAAAAAAAAAAAAAAGTGTATTGATTGGTAGTAGAACATCACATGGCATTTAATAACACTAATTTTCTTATCTTTTTATTATTTTTCAATCCTTCTGCTTGATTCAAGGACAAAGTCTCACTATCCTGCTAGTCTGCCTTTAATGCCTAATACTGTTCTTTTTTTTTTTAATGAGAACTCTATATAGTTTATGTTAAATACTTTCTAAAGTATTTAGAAAAGGCTGGGCATGGTGGCTCATGCCTGTAATCCCAACACTTTGGGAGGCTGAGGCAGGTGGATCACCTGAGGTCAGGAGTTCGAGACCAGCCTGACCAAGATGGTGAAACCCTGTCTCTACTAAAAACACAAAAATTAGCTAGGCATGTGTCTGTAATCCCAGCTACTCAGGAAGCTGAGGCATGAGAATTGCTTGAACCCGGGAGGCGGAGGTTGCAGTGAGCCAAGATCATGCCACTGCACTCCAGTCTGGGTAACACAGTAAAACTCTGTCTCAATAAATAAATAAATAAATAAATAAATAAATAGGTTATCATCTTCAATTTCCATATTTCTGAGGAACTGGTGAAAACCCTCAATTATAATAGCATGGTTAATAAAACTATAGATCCTTTTCTGTGTGTCTCATACTGGGTTTATTCAATCCAAATTATGCTGGGAAATCCTCTTGTAGCTTCAGGCTCTGAATTGCTAAATTCTTACTTTTTAAATTACTCACTTGCTCAAAGCTTAATACATATACATTGAGACTATTTTTATTTTCCTCTTTATTCTTCCCTCAAGTTAACAACCTAGTATTTATCCTTTCATAACTTTCTCAGTGCTCATTAAATCATACACAAACATATTATATGTAAACATACATGAAATGACTTTGTTTTACAAATCAGAATCATGCTATATATACTTATTTGCATCTTTCTCACTTAATAGTACATTGCAAAATTTCTCTAAATTGGTGGTCTAGGCCTAACTCATTCTTTTTAGTATCTGCATAACTTTCATAGTATAGTTATTCCATAAGTCTTCTACCACTCCTCTTTAATATAATAGCTTTTTTTTTTTTTTTTTTGAGACAGAGTCTCACTCTGTCACTCAGGCTGGAGTGCAGTGGTGCACATGGCTCACTGCAGCCTCAACCTCCTAGGCTTAGGTGATCCTCCCACCTCAGCCTCCCAAGTAACTGGGACTATAGGCTCATGCCACCACCACACCCAGCTAGGTTTTTGTATTTTTTGTAGAGATGGGGTTTTGCCACGTTGCCTAGGCTGTTTTTTTTTTTTTTCTTTTTTGAGGAAAAATTCAGTGCTGCAGTTAACCTTGTACATATATATTCTTTTTTTTTTGTTTTGAGACAGAGTTTCGCTCTGTCGCCCAGGCTGGAGTGCAGTGGCGCGATCTCGGCTCACTGCAACCTCAGCCTCCCAGGTTCACGCCATTCTCCTGCCTCAGCCTCCCGAGTAGCTGGGACTACAGGCACCCGCCACCATGCCCGGCTAATTTTTTTGTATTTTTTGTAGAGACAGGGTTTCACCATGTTAGCCAGGATGGTCTCAATCTCCTGACCTTGTGATCCGCCCACCTTGGCCTCCCAAAGTGCTGGGATTACAGGCATGAGCCACCACATCTTGCCCTATATTCTTATATTTTTACAAATATTTTTATTTCTCTGGGATAAATAATCCAAAAGAAAATACCATTGTTTGTTCAAATGATATTTTCTTTTTATTTTAAACCATTGCCAGCTTGCTTTTCAGAGTCTTTGTTTCCACAAATACTGTATCACCCTTTAATACTTGATAATCTTATTGTTACTCTAATATTGTGGTATACCTTCCACACTTTTGGAAACACAGCCCTAATGTATATTTCAACAAAGAGTAAGGGTCTCCTGCTAAAAGCCCTGCTTTATTCCCTTCTCAGCTCCAGGCTACTGTCAAAAATAAGTAAATAAAATACATAAACTATTTGAATAAAAGAACATATCTTTCTATTAAAAATAAATGTTATTGTAAAAACCCTAAGGAGGAATCGCCCTTTGCTTTACATTAACAGTATCTTCTCCTCTTTATTCTCTAACCTAAAATAAGACAGGAAAAAAGCACATTTTCATAATTTTGTATGGGATACGATCTTCATTGTTACATTGGTGATAATGAAAAAAGAACAAAATTAAAATAATATTTGAGGTCTACATTTCAGTAAATTTTTGATCTGGCAAATATAGTTGCAGTCTTAACATATATTGCCTTTACTATACAACACACCAGCAAACAAAAGAAGCCTATTAACTAAAAAGAGAGAGAGATTAAAAAATAATTCATTTAAATGTTTTTGATAAATCTACTTTGCCACAAGGGACAGACAAAATTAACTCTTCATTTAGAAATTTGTCAGACTTATGTTCCTGCTGTCCCACCTCACCTTCTTCTTCACTGCTTCTATTGTCTCCTTTTGCTACTGTACACTGCTGATGTAGCTAAATTGAATCAATGACAGTGTGTGGGTGAGAGAGGTTAAAAGAAAAAAGGGATAAATCAAGAAATGACAGTTGTAAGGGTGGTAATGGTAAAATCTTAGCTTAAACCAGTTGTAAAATTACAGCACAGCCTAACACATAAGAATTCATTTGTTGTACTCCAATTTCATGAACTTGGCAGAGTGGAGGTGGGCAGAAAAAGGCAGAATCTTAGTGCATACTGTTGTTGTTGATGTTTTTTAACTAATAGAAACATAGCTCATCAAAACTTGAGAAGCAATGAACACCACAGGAAAAATGAACCTATTTCCCTATATTCAAAATAATAATGCTTTACTCTTATAAAGCCCTTCTTATGAACTCCCACACCAATTCTCATACAATTTCACTAAACATAGATACATAAATAAGTCAGTTGCCACTTTCTTTTCTTTTTTCCTTTTTTTTTTTTTTTTTGGAGACAAAGTCTTGTTCTGTCACCCATGCTGGAGTGCAGTGGTATAATGATAACTCATTGTAACCTCGAACTTCTGGGCTCAAGTGATCCTCCCATCTCAGCTTCCAGAGCAGCTAGGACCACAGGCATGTACCACCGCACCCAGCTAAATCTATATACATATATTTGTAGCCATGGAATCTCGCTTTGTTGCCCAGGCTGGTCTTGAACTCCTGGCCTCAAGTGATCCTCCCACCTCAGCCTCGCAAAGCACTGGGATTACAGGTATGAGCTGCCGCACCCAGCTGATATACCAGTACTTTCAAATAAAAATATATATATATTTTTTTAATTATTATTTTTTTTGAGACAGTGAGTCTCGCTCTGTCGCCCAGGCTGAAGTGCAGTGGCACAATCTCGGCTCACTGCAACCCCCGCTTCCCGGGTTCAAGCGATTCTCCTGCCTCAGCTTCCCTAGTAGCTGAGATTACAGGCGTGCGCTACCACATCTGGCTAATTTTTTATATTTTTTATAGAGACAGGGTTTCACCATGTTGCCCAGGCTGGTCTCAAACTCCTGACCTCAAGTGATCCACCCGCCTCAGCCTCCCAAATTGCTGGGATTACAGGTGTGAGCCACCACACCCGGCCATTTTATTGTTTTACAAATGACTTTTGACCCATGGCTCAAAAGTTTAACAAAATATTCTTATTTGAAAGTAGGAATTTTTATTGACTATTTGTGAACTTAAACAGTTAATGCCACAGATCTACATTTTACAAAGAGTTTTCAACTGTACTCTAAAATTTAAAATTATATCTCTTTATAGTCTTTAAGTAGCTCAGATAATTCTAAACTCAAGTGACCCCAAAATCCTCCCCAAACTAAATCATACTAATAACAGAATAATCTACATTTTAACCTTTAATTATATCCTTCTTGTGAAACTCCTACTTTAAACTTTCATGGGACCATTCTCCCTATTTCCCCTCCTCCTCCTTCCTACTTCAATTGGAGATATCACTTATAAATCAGCCCCTGATCCTCTGCCTTGCTTTATATACAAGGAATTCATCTACCACCTGCACAAATTTGTATCTGTCCAAATCCAACTTTAACTTAGTGAGATACATTTGTTTAGCAACCAAACTAACCCCATCCCCCCAAAAAATATTATCTAAATAGATGCCTTATCAATTAACACCTATCCTAAAACTGACAGGTTCACTTCTACTTCTTCCCTTACTTCCATATTTAATACCAAATTCGATAGATTCTTCCCTTACATCGCTGGTATTGTCCTTGCTTTTCATTTCCCCAGCCATCAACCACTCTAGGTCATTAATTCTCAAAAGTATTACTTCAGTAGCCTCTCAGCTTATCACCTAAGCTACTTCCAATCTCTTCATACTTTATCCAACATACACAAAAAGCTGCCAGAATTCACCACTTCAATTTGCCTACTCAGAAACCCACAGTGGCTCCCTACTGTTTCAAATCCAAATTCCTTGGCTAACTATTCTAGACAGTTACAGTGTAAAGAAACTTTTTAAATTTCATCACCTAAGTAACCAGATTTTTTTTTAACTTCTTAACACTCTGCCATTATCCCCTGATATACCTCTGTCTTTCAAAAGTCACCCCATTTCAATATCCTACCAGTAGTATTATGTAAGGGTTAAGGGTATGGGCTCTGGAATTTGATTTGAATCTGGCTCTACCACATAGTCTGACATTAATTTAACCTCATCTATGTAACAAGGATATTAAACCTGCTTCATAAAGTTGTTATGAAAACTAACATTAATATCCTTAAAGCACTAGGCCAATCTCAAGCACACTCTAAATGATCAATAAATGTTAGCCATTGTCAATATTATTACACAGCCACTATGATGTAAGAAGCCAATCTGATTGCTCTACCACAGGCTATGCATTTGCCTTCACTATTCTTGATTCCCTCAACCACAAACCATGAGAGATGGCATGGGCCTGAGAGAGCAGCTAGTCCAATCACATGTCCATCAGCATTTAGGTCTTGGCTCTGTTGTCTCTCTTGATATTCGACTTGGTGTCTGCTACTGAACAGTATTGTATTGAATAAAAGTGCATGGTACACAGCAAATAATCCTTTGTAAATATTTGTTGGGTAAATATGTTAAGTGCTAAAGAAATACACGGTTAGCATGTATTTTTGTCTTCTATTATAGCTAAAATATTAATCAACTATATGCATCTATAAAACTGTTTCATAAAACTGTTTCTAAACAGTACTGCAAAGCTTCAAATAACTATAGTTTGAAGTATTCAAGCCAGGAATAAAAATCTTTTACTTGGTAACTATCCTCAAATTGATCCAACTAGCAATACTGTATCGTGTGTGTCTGTGTGTGTGTGTGTGTGTGTGTGTAACAAGGTCTTGCTCTGTTGCCAGGCTGGAGTGCAGTGGTATGATCTTGGCTTACTGCAACCTCTGCCTCCTAGGATCAAGCAATCCTCCTACCTCAGCCACCTGAGTAGCTGGGACCACAGATGGATGCCACCAGGTGTGGCTAATTTTTAAAATTTTTTGCAGAGACGAGGTCTCACTATATTGCTCAGGTTGGTCTTGAACTCCTGGGCTCAAGTGATCCTCTAGCCTCAGCCTCCCAAAGTGCTGAGATTACAGGTGTGAGCTACTGCACTCAGCCTATATTGTTATCTTTCTTGCTGCGTTAGGCCTTTCTGAAGGTGAGTATTTACATTCTATCACTCTCTTATCTATCAATAATGCTTGTGTCAATGTTTCATACTTAGTGCTAAATAAGCAGTTATGAATTCCACAAATTTTCAACATAAAAATAAAGGCATCATCAAAATAATGTGTAAAAAGATAATGACGATATGCAAAACAGTAAATGAAAAGCTAAGATTTAAAAGTTGTCAAAGAATCGGCCAGGCATGGTGGCTCACGCCTGTAATCCCAGCACTTTGGGAGGCTGAGGCACACAGATCACGAGGTCAGGAGATCAAGACCATCCTGGCTAACATGGTGAAACCCTGTCTCTACTAAAAATACAAAAAATTAGCCGGGTGTGGTGGCACATGCCTGTAATCCCAGCTACTCGGAGGCAAGAGAATTGCTTGAACCCCGGAGGCAGAAGTTGCAGTGAGCCAAGATCACGCCAGTGCATTCCAGCCTGGGCGACAGAGCGAGACTCCATCTCAAAAAAAAAAAAAAGTTGTCAAAGAGCTAGGGACAGTCCTCGCCATTCTCCTCATACCTCCAACCCACCTCTACCCCCACTCAAAAACAAAAAACAAATCCATACAGAATCACAGTATATTTTTTTCCCATAGAATTTTTAAAGCTAGAAAGACCTCAATTCCCATTCCTTTATGTCCCACTGAGTCCCACATGAGAAGCTGAAACTCAGGAAGGCCAGATGATTAGCCTAAGGGTACAAGAACCAGATAAATGCAGGGCTGGGAATTAACTCCGTATTCCTAGGCAGTACTCAGATACCTAGGCAGTATTCTTTTCACTACATCATGCAGCATTTCAACTCATTTCTTCCGCATCTACTTAGTCTAGAACATAAAATTAACTATATCACATGAACTCTTCACAAAACAATTGACTATAATCACATGGTATGGTGAATACCGATATATTTTTGGCTATTTTCAAGAATGCCTGCAAGGAATAAAGGTTTCAAGTCATAAATGGACCATTTCTGTTATTATAATTACTTCTGTTCTGGAAAAAAATACTTCCCTTATCAGATATTATGACCTTTAAGATTCCCATTTTCACAAATTATTTTTCATAAACTACACATATGTATGCTCAACTACGCAGCGTCTTACCCAACAATAGCTTAAGCAAACCACATATCTCAAATAAAAATGTCATCTATTCCAGGCTCATCAGCATATGTTAGAATCTGTTCCTAAAATAGACTCATAGACTTTTGGAATGGGAAGGAACCTTGGAGATCACCTCTCATTTCACAGAGGAAAATAATACACAGCAGGGACCTGCCCAAGGTCAAAGTGTCTTCATAAGAACCCAGGTCCAGAATAGAAAGTTCTCAAAAGATTTCAGAGAGAAATGCAATATTTGGTGAAACACCTTAGCTTGCCTCCCTTTACATCTACTTTTTTTTTTTTTTGAGACAGTGTCTCTCTGTCCCCAGGCTGGAGTGCAGTGGCACGATCTCGACTCACTGCAAGCTCCGCTTCCCGGGTTAACGCCATTCTCCTGCCTCAGCCTCCCGAGTAGCTGGGACTACAGGCGCCCACCACCACGCCCGGCTAATTTTTTGTATTTTTAGTAGAGACGGGGTTTCACCGTGTTAGCCAGGATGGTCTCGATCTCCTGACCTCATGGTCCACCCGCCTCGGCCTCCCAAAATACTGGAATTACAGGCGTGAGCCACCGCGCCCGGCCTACATCTACTTCTTAAGTACAATTTCCTGCATAGGAAACTTTTGAAATTTAAGAAAAGAAAGCAAAACAAAAAACTAAGCCAACCTTTTTTTTTTCTTTTTTCTTTTCTTTTTAAGTCTACAGCCAAGTCACTGATTCTAAAAGCTTAGAAGTTAAGGTAGACCATTGCAAGAATCTTAAGAGGTAACATTTTGGGGTAAAATCCCCAAGGCTTAAGGATACAATGTAAGTAAGACACACAAATTAAGAATAGCTATAATATTCTTATCTCTGTAACAAATTACATGGAGGATAGCTCATAAGTAGGAAAACTTTGTAAACATGCAACTTTCAAGGAAGAGAATTTTAGTCATCATACCTATTAACTATACAAGAATGCCAATACATTTTGAAATTTTATCTTGGTCTCTGTGCTTAAGCTGGAAATTTTTTTTCAAAATATATATCTTAAGTCATGTAAAAAAAAAAGCAGTAACTTGAGGAAAACCTTTTATCGACCCTTAATTAAAAGAAGGCCTTAAATCAAACCTTATTAAGAGAAGTATAAGCTATATTGTCCGGTCATGTTTGAAAGAATACATGAAAACTGAACATTCCTCAAAGTTAAGGCATGAATAGGACTAAGGACATGTACGTTTTTTGTTTTTGCAATGAAAGGCACACTATGCAAGCCAATTTACCTGTAGAAATATGTTTCTTAACTCATGAGGATCCCCTCGCTTAGTTGTCTGCACCTGTAAGCAAAAAAGAAAAAAAAGCCAGTTAATGCTTCACTAGAGACCACACAATCTCTTCAGATTAGAGGTCACATGGCTAACAATCAATGCTCCTATCTTTTATCATTTAGTTTAAAACAAACTAAAAGCCCTAATTGCTGATAAGAACTGTCAAACTGGATAACTGTGACTAGAGGGCAGAAAAACAGGTGCGAATAGCCTAAGATACAGCAAAGCTATCGGACAGTGCTTCCTCTGGACTGGAAAGGGAAGGCAATGAGGATCTTTTACTTTATTCCACATCTACTAGCAACACAGTAGTAACCACCCACCTTCAAATCAAGAAGCTAACAAGAGTAGATCAACAGGAAAGTTAAATCACCCAAATTAATCACTTGGCCTAGCAGCCTTTCTCCATAAAAAGCAAACCCAACATGTAATTATCTCCGCGTCCCTCTCCCCATCCAACCTAAAATATGAGAGCTGCCACAAATACAAATACTTTCCATACCCTGCAATCTGCAACGCAAAAGCCAACCACTGCCCTCGGCCTTATTGAGGCCCCAAATTACTCAATACTTACTCCCTCCCCCACCGCAATTCACTGATACCCTAGGTATCCCCAGCTTTACTTGCCACTTCCTCCCACACCCTTTCTGATGCCCTCCAACTCCGGACTCACAATCCCATGCACCTAGGACAGGACATTACTCTTCCTTCACTGACCCGTGTTACCGTACAAGCCCCTTCAACTCACAATCCCTCCTCCTTCCCCTCCCCCAGCCGGGCATCCCCTCCTCCGGTCCAAGCCCCGCACAGCTCTCCCCGCAGCAAGCCGGAGCCCCAGGACAAGCTATCTAAGACCTAGACAATGAATAAAATGGGAAGCAGTGGGGGGCTGCAGGCAGGGCGCTCGGAATGTCTCTTATGCAATAAAAGCAGCAGCAGAGAGTTGGAGTCACCTTGACCGCCATGCTGTGCTCGGAAGCCGGGGACGAGCGAGTGAGCGAGCAGGGCCGAGCTGTCAGGGCGCGCGCGCGCCGTCTTCCCGGCCGCGCCCGCCCTCCCTCTCGCCGGCGCCGCGCGCGTCCCTATGCAAATGAACTCGGGGCGCGCCGCGTGCGGAAAGGGGCCCGGCGTCCCGGCCAGAAAGGCAGCTGGTCCAGGGCCGGCCGGCCGGGCGGAGGAGGGGGACGCGCCTCCCACGGGGAAAACAAGCGCGACCCATGGGATCCCGACGCGCCGCGTGGTTGCCACAGCTAGGTCGCCGCCAGGAAAGCCCCAGGTTTCCTAAGGCCTCTTAGTGGGTGTGGCTTTGGGCACCGACCAGCCAAAGTCGTTTTCCCCGAGGCTTAAAGGAACATTTGGGGCCTATACTGAGCAAGGTTCCGACGGATCAAAGAGCACTTCCCATTAATAACAATGAATTAATGACAACTGATGGCAAATACCGACAAAACAAGATTGGGAACCACTCACTCTAGGGAAAACCTACGTAAACATAATTTGAGAAATATGCTCCTAAATTGGCATGGGACGAATACGCTGAATTTATTTTTGCTTTGCGTGCTATTACAACGGTTTATTAGTAGACTCGCTCCACTTTCCTAATCACCCAAATCCTGTGTGCAATGAGAAAAAAAACTCTATGTGTCTTTGACAGGGCTGGCAATGAATCGCTTGCCCATACATGAACAGAAAGTAATTCTCCATTCGATTTCTAGCCCTACCTAAGAAGTAGAAGAAGCAGTAACTCTATCTTGAACCAAAACAATGTTTCTAAACCCGTCTTGCCAATATCACTGTATTAGGCTACATATTGATTCAAACATGTATGGGCATCCATTATATGCCTGACATGGTCCTGCTTGTAAAAAACGCAAATAACCTATAGCCCCCACCCTCTAGGGGCTTACAGATGGTCAATGCTTCTCCACAACCCCAATCACATGTGTATTGTGTGTATGTGTGTCTGTGTGTGTGTGTGTTGAGACTGAGTCTCGCTCTGTCGCCCAGGCTGGAGTGCAGTGGCACCATCTTGACTCACTGCAACGTCCACCTCCCAGGTTCAAGAGATTCTCTTGCCTTGGCCTCCCGAGTAGCTGGGATTACAGGCACCCGCCGCAATGCCCAGTTAATTTTTTGTATTTTTAGTAGAGACAGGGTTTCACTATGTTGGCCAGGTTTGTCTCAAACTTCTGACCTCTGGTGATCCGCCCACCTCGGCTTCCCAAAGTGCTGGGATTACAGGCGTGAGCCACCGCGCCCGACCCTGTGTATGTTTTCATTTTTAATTTTTTGAGACGGAGTCTCGCTCTATCGCCCAGGCTGGAGTGCAGTGGCGCCATCTTGGCTCACTGCAACCTCTGCCTCCTGGGTTCAAGCAATTCTCCTGCCTCAGCCTCCCAAGTAGCTGGGATTACAGGTGCACGCCACCATGCCTGGCTAATTTTGTATTTTTAGTAGCTATGGGGTTTCGCCCAAGCCACTTATAATTAGACACTAGATAAATGACACACTTTAGGGCTTCTCTATACTGTACAACTATTCTCCCTATATGAACATTTGCTGTCATTGAAATAAATTCTCGTTTTGGTGGAAATGGAAGAGAGGGGTATCAAAAATCAGAAGAAATAGTTGTACTCCTGCAGTTATGTCTTTTCCTGAACTGTCTTCCTCACAGCCTGACTCTAAATCCTATAAATTATGCAGTGGAGATGATGGTGATCTTATTTTTGGACCACAGCCTTCTTTATTCCCTTGGTGAAGCAATAACAAACAGTTTTCTTTTCAGTGAATTTTGGAAGGAATTCATGGAATGAGCTGCTCTAGACATATATGGCTGTGAGTACTCTATCACTATACTAATTATGTATAACCTGGTATTTAGTAGGACACTATATAATCAGATGGAGGATTGAACTAGATGAGCTTTAATGCTTCTTCAAACACTCTAATTTCATGATTTAAAAGGAGCCAAATTTTAGTTAATAAACATTTATTGAGTGCCTTGCGTTTGTGTAAAACATGTGTTGCAGCCGGGTGCAGTGGCTCACACCTGTAATCCCAGCACTTTGGGAGGCCAAGGCGGGTGGATCACAAGGTCAGGAGTTCAAGACCAGCCTGTCCAATATGGTGAAACCCCCTCTCTACAAAAATACAAAAATTAGCTGGGTGTGGTGGCGTGCACCTGTAGTCCCAGCTACTCAGGAGGCTGAGACAGAAGAATCTCTTGAGGCCAGGCACGGTGGCTCACACGTGTAATCCTAGTGCTTTGGGAGGCCAAGGCGGGTGGATTGCCTGAGCTCAGGAGTTCAAGACCAGCCTGGGCAACACAGTGAACCCTGTCTCTACTAAAATACAAAAAAGTTAGCCAGGTGTGGTGGTGTGCACCTGTAGTCCCAGCCACTCGGGAGGCTGAGACAGGAGAATTGCTAGAACCCGGGAGGTGGAGGTTGAAGTGAGCTGAGATTGTGCCACTGCACTCCAGCCTGGGCAACAGAGCGAGACTCTGTCTCTGGGAAAAAAAAAAAAAAAAAAGCCCGGGCACAGTGGCTTATGCCTGTAATTCCAGCACTTTGGGAGGCAGAGGTGGGTGGATCACCTGAGGTCGGGAGTTCAAGACCAGCCTGACTAACAAGGAAGAGACTCCATCTCTACTAAAAAAAAAAAAAAAAAAAATTACAGGCTCATGCCTGTAATCCCAGCTACTCGGGAGGCTGAGGCAGGAGAATTGCTTGAACCTGGGAGGTGGTGGTTGTGGTGAGCCGAGATCATGCCATTGCACTCCAGCCTGAGCAATAAGGGCAAAACTCCGTCTCAAAAAAAAAAGAAGAAGAATCCCTTGAACCCAAAAGGCAGAGGTTGCAGTGAGCCAAGACCACACCACTGCACTCCAGCCTGAGCGACAGAGCAAGACTCTGTCTCAAAAAAAAAAAACAAAAAAAACAAAAAAAACCAAAAAAACTTGGGTTGCAGCTACAGGAAACATAAGAGAAATAGCATCGTTCCCAAAGTATAGAGAATATTTTACCGAGGCAAGTGCTACCATTCTTTTTTTTTTCTTTTTTTTTTTTTTGAGACGTAGTTTCACTCTTGTTGCCTAGGCTGGAGTGCAACGGCATGATCTTGGTTCACCGCAACCTCCACCTCCTGGGTTCAAGCAATTCTCCTGCCTCAGCCTCCCAAGTAGCTGGGATTACAGGCATATGCTGCCACAATGCCCGGCTAATTTTGTATTTTTAGTAGAGATGGGGTTTCTCCATGTTGGTCAGGCTGGTCTCAAACTCCTGACCTCAGGTGATCTGCCTGCCTTGGCCTCCCAAAGTGCTGGGATTACAGGCATGAGCCACAGCGCCCAGCTTACTATTCATTTTTTAATGAATAATGTGAAAAGAATGATATTGAAACCTGTTGTCCTGTGCCAGTGCCCAAGGCAGCTTTAGGTAATGATGGGGTAAAGACTGTGTGGCTTGCCACATATTCTCACTCCAGTCAGAAATATATAACTGGGAGAATAAACATCCTGCCAGGTCCCTCAGCTACCCACCCCTACCCTACCCCTGTCGATTTATTTGGATGCTTTTTGTTTCTCTTCTACTTAGAGGTCAATGAGGAAGAATACTTTGGACCTGATCCAAAGTAAAGAAGAAAGTGTCACTTTAAAAATTGTGTGGGAGAAAAGCAAAGGTCCCAAAATAGCCAAAGCAAATTTGAGAAGGAACAAAGTTGGAGGACTTAGACTACCTGGCTCCAAGACTTACTATAAAGCTTAAGAAATTGCTACAGCATAGTGCTGCTGGCTGGCATATGAATTGATAAACAGATCAATGGAACAGAATAGAGAGCCCAGAAATAGATCCAAAATTATAAAGTCATTGGCTCTTTCCCTCTTTCTTTCTTTCTTTCTTTTTTCTTTCTTTCTTCCTTTTTTCTTTCTTTCTTTCTGTTTTTTTCTTTCTTCTTCTTTCTCTCTCTTTCTTTGTTTTTTTCTTTTCTTTCTTTTCCCTTTTTTTTTTCTTCAAGACAGGATTTCACTCTGTCACCCAGGCTGGAGTGCAGTGGCATGATCATGGCTCACTGCAGCCCCGACCTCCTGGGTTCAAGCAGTCCTCAGACTGAAGCCTCCTGAGTAGCTAGGATTATAGGCATGCACCACCATACCCAGCTAAATTTTTAATTTTTGTAGAGAAAGGGTCTCTCTATGTTACCAGGCTGTTCTTGAACTCCTGGGTTCAAGCAGTCCTCCTGCCTTGGCCTCCCAAAGTGCTGGGATTACAGGTGTGAGTTATCTTGCCTGGCCAAAGTCATTTGATTTCTAACAAAGTTGCCAAAGCAATTCAGTGGGGGCAAGGAAACTTTTCAACAATTGATGCTAGAATAACTAGATATCAGTGTGGGAAAATTAATGAACCTAAATCCCTACCTCACACCATATACTAAATTTGATTTGAGATGAATCATAGACCTAAATGCAAAAGCTGAAGTTATAAAGCTGCCCCCAACAGCTTTATAAACAAAGGTTTTAGTAGAAAACATAAAAGAGTATCTTTGTGGCTAGGTGCCATGACATGTGCTTGGAGTCCTAGCTACTCAAGAGGCTGAGGCAGGAGGATCACTTGAGGCCAGGAGTTCAAGGCTGTAGTGATGATCATGGCTGTGAACAGCCACTGCACCCCAGCCTTGGCAACACAGTAAGACCCTGTGTCTCTAATATATATATATATATATATATATATATATATATATATATATATAACATATATATATATAAAACATATATATATAACATATATATAAAACATATATATATACACATATATGTATATATATAGAATAGATAGATAGATCTATCTTTGTAACTTGGAGGTAGGTAAAGTTTTCTTAATCAAAACCTAAAAAGCAATAACAATACATTAAGAAATTGATAAATTCCTCTGCCTCTGCCTCTGCCTCTGCCTCTGCCTCTGCCTCTCCCTCTGCCTCTCCCTCTTCCTCTCCCCACAGTCTCCCTCTCCCTCTCTTTCCACGGTCTCCCTCTGATGCCGAGCCAAAGCTGGACTGTACTGCTGCCATCTCGGCTCACTGCAACCTCCCTGCCTGATTCTCCTGCCTCAGCCTGCCGAGTGCCTGCGATTGCAGGTGCGCGCCGCCACGCCTGACTGGTTTTCGTATTTTTTTGGTGGAGACGGGGTTTCGCTGTGTTGGCCGGGCTGGTCTCCAGTTCCTAGCCGCGAGTGATCCGCCAGCCTCGGCCTCCCCAGGTGCCGGGATTGCAGACGGAGTCTCGTTCACTCAGTGCTCAATGGTGCCCAGGCTGGAGTGCAGTGGCGTGATCTTGGCTGGCTACAACCTCCACCTCCCAGCCGCCTGCCTTGGCCTCCCAGAGTGCCGAGATTGCAGCCTCTGCCCGGCCGCCACCCCGTCTGGGAGGTGGAGAGCGTCTCTGCCTGGCTGCCCATCGTCTGGGATGTGGGGAGCCCCTCTGCCTAGCTGCCCAGTCTGGAGGGTGAGGGGCGTCTCTGCCCGGCCGCCATCCCGTCCGGGAGGTGGGGAACGCCTCTTCCCGGCCGCCGTCCCATCTGGGAGGTGGAGAGCGTCTCTGCCCGGCTGCCCGTCGTCTGAGATGTGGGGAGCGCCTCTGCCCCGCCACCCCGTCTGGGATGTGAGGAGCGCCTCTGCCCGGCCGCGACCCCGTCTGGGAGGTGAGGAGCGTCTCTGCCCGGCTGCCCCGTCTGAGAAGTGAGGAGACCCTCTGCCTGGCAACCGCCCTGTCTGAGAAGTGAGGAGCCCCTCCACCCGGTAGCCGCCCCGTCTGGGAAGTGAGGAGCGTCTCCGCCCGGCCGCCACCCCGTCCGGGAGGGAGGTGGGGGGTCAGCCCCCTGCCCGGCCAGCCGCCCCGTCCGGGAGGGAGGTGGGGGGGGTCAGCGCCCCGCCCGGCCAGCCGACCCGTCCGGGAGGGAGGTGGGGGGTCAGCCCCCCGCCCGGCCAGCCGCCCCGTCCGGGAGGTGAGGGGCGCCTCTTCCCGGCCGCCCCTACTGGGAAGTGAGGAGCCCCTCTGCCCGGCCAGCCGCCCCGTCCGGGAGGGAGGTGGGGGGGGTCAGCCCCCTGCCCGGCCAGCCGCCCCGTCCGGGAGGTGAGGGGCGCCTCTGCCCGGCCGCCCCTACTGGGAAGTGAGGAGCCCCTCTGCCCGGCCACCACCCCGTCTGGGAGGTGTACCCAACAGCTCATTGAGAACGGGCCATGATGACAATGGCGGTTTTGTGGAATAGAAAGGGGGGAAAGGTGGGGAAAAGATTGAGAAATTGGATGGTTGCCGTGTCTGTGTAGAAAGAGGTAGACATGGGAGACTTTTCATTTTGTTCTGTACTAAGAAAAATTCTTCTGCCTTGGGATCCTGTTGATCTGTGACCTTACCCCCAACCCTGTGCTCTCTGAAACATGTGCTGTGTCCACTCAGGGTTAAATGGATTAAGGGCGGTGCAAGATGTGCTTTGTTAAACAGATGCTTGAAGGCAGCAGGCTCGTTAAGAGTCATCACCACTCCCTCATCTCAAGTACCCAGGGACACAAACACTGCGGAAGGCCGCAGGGTCCTCTGCCCAGGAAAACCAGAGACCTTTGTTCACTTGTTTATCTGCTGACCTTCCCTCCACTATTGTCCTATGACCCTGCCAAATCCCCCTCTGCGAGAAACACCCAAGAATGATCAATAAAAAAAAAAAAAGAAAAAGAAATTGATAAATTAGATTTCACTAAAGATAAAAATGTCTTTTCCTCAAAATATAGCATTAAGAAAATGAATAGGCAAGGTATTAACTGGGAGAGAATATTAGCAAAACATATACACAACAAAGGACTAATATCCAGGATATATCCTAAATCTCAATGACATCAATGATAAACAACCTAGTCCTAAAAATTGGCAAAAGACTGGAACAGAACTTCACAAAATAAGGTATACAAATGGTCAATAACACATGAAAAAGTGTACAACATCATTAGTCATCAGGGAAATGCAAATTAAATCACAGTGAGAAGGTACCACTACACATCTACTAGAATAGCTAAAATTAAGGACTGAAAACACCAGATGCTGGCAAGGATATGGAGCAACCAGAGTTCTTATTCACTACAGTAGGCGTGTAAACTGGTATAATTACTTTGAGAAAAAGTCTAGCAGGTTCTTGTAAAACTAAACATACACCTACCTATGACCAAGCAATTCTATCTCCCAATATTTAACCAAGAGAAATGAAAATATATGTCTATTAAAAGAGCTGTACAAGAATGTTCACAGCCACTTTATTCATAATAGCCCAAAACTGGAAATAAGCCCAAAACTGGAAATAACCCAGGTGTCCATCAATAGAAGAATAGATAAACTATGGTATATTTGGAGAATGGAATACTATTGAGAAATAAAATAGAGTAAACTAATGATACACACAACGTGGACAAGTGTCAAAAGCATGATGCTAAGTGAAAGAAGCCTTGCATAAATCATATAGTACAAAAGAGCATATATCATATGATTCCGTTTATACAAAGTTCTAGAACCAGCAAAATAAATCACTGGTGAAAAAAAATTTGAGCCATGATTGCCAGAGAGGACTTGACCAGAAAGAGGAGTAAGGGAACTATGTGAAGTGATAATAGTAGTATATGCCTTGCCTAGGGGCTTAGATAACAGGTGTATGCATTTTTCAGAACTTAGTGAATGTAAACATAAGTTTTGTACACTTAATTACAAATGTGTGTAAATTTCCTTCAAAAGGAAGAACAACCTGAGCAAATATTGAACTCTAGCCAATGATATATTTAGGGGAGAGAATACTAGTATTTTAAATTTACTTTGAAATGCATTAAAGAAATAAGAAAGATTTACAGATGGATAGAGAAATGGATGAATAGGTATGTAATTTCTAACTGTGGGAGTGTATACAGGAGTTCACTGAAAAAAATTATTGTTGCAACTTTTCTAAATATTCTAAAATTTTCATAATAAAAGGTCAGGGAAAATTTGTGTTGGTCTTTGTGTTTCTAAAAATGGCTATCCATGTATGTAATTCTGTTGTTTGGTCAGAAATTGTACTGGGACTTATTTCCTAACCACTAATAGGCCTCTGCATTGTTGGAGAGGAGGAGAAAGAACTGAAACTGCTTGACAAATAATATACCTCTTTTATGGGGAGGGGAATCTGTGAAAATTATATTGCATTGAGAAGGCTGGGTGTGGTGGCTCATGCCTGTAATCCCAGCACTTTGGGAGGCCAAGGTGGGCAGATCACTTGAATCCAGGAGTTCGAGACCAGCCTGGCCAACATGGTGAAACCCCATCTCTACTAAAAATACAAAAATTAGCCAGGCATGGTGGTGCCCACCTATAATCCCAGCTACTCGGGAGGCTGAGAAAGGAGAACTGCTTGAACCCAGAAGGCAAAGGTTGCAGTGAGCCGAGATTGCACTACTGCACTCCAGCCTGCGTGACAGAATGAGACTCTGTCTCAAAATATATATATATATATAGTTTATATATATAGTTTATATATATATAGTTTATATATATATAATTTATATATAGTTTATATATATATAATTTATATATAGTTTATATATGTAGTTTATTTATATATATAGTTTATATATACAGTTTATATATATACATATAGTTTATATATATATTACATCAAGAAAGAAAATGTTTTCCTCAACATAAATTCAGACACTAATTATATGTCCTTGGGGTCATGCATGTTTGGGTATATGTGTGTGTTCGGTCTAATAGTTACCCACAGGAAAACTAGAAAAAGAATGTGAAAGTATATTTGCATAACATACTGACAGTTACCTTGGAAAGAACCAGACTTGGAATCTAAAGCCTAACTTGGAACTCCTCTGCTGAAGTGCACCCAGGATGTAATTCTAGACTGAGAAACTCAGACGTAGGTGAGGAAGATCCTGCAATTGGTCATTGTGTCCTTGGATTGCCCTGTTGGGGGAAGGAGAATTAATCATAGGATAACACCAACTCTTTTGAGTAGGAGGTTTCCAAAAAGGGGAGGACAGGTTTGTACTCACTTAGGAAGAGAAGTCTACAGACAACCAGACAAGTAAGCTAGGAATTGGGATATGCCCAGGAAGAAACTTCTCCTGAATAATTACATTAGAGAAGTAATGTAATATTGATCAGTATCAAATTGTACGAATCAGAAGGATAATTGGAAAGTTTAAGTTAGAAAGTTTTGGAGAAACAGTATGAAATAGCTAGACCTTAAGGAGAGACAGATCTTGTGAAAAGAGACAAGTTGAGGAGAGAAAGTGGGTAGAATTGTGGAATTCTTGACTCTAGTCAAGCCAGTATAGACAATAAATCATGGAGTAACTGATCTACGAAGTCTTGCCTGTACTATGCCTCGCTATCACTGCTTGAAAAGAAGAAGAAACAGTTGCTGTTGCTCACTCTCCTGACTCTGCTCTTCTGTCACCCTGAGTGGATGGACTTGCCTGGATGGTTTGGGGTGAGGATAGGAAATAAAATAGGGAGTCAACAGTTATAATTCCTCTAATCATCCCCAACCCTTCCATAAAACACTATCTGCGAACAAGTGTTGTGTTGATGGCATGGAAGAAAAATCACAGTAATAGGAAGTATAACCTTCCTCGGTGAAGTGCTAACCCCCTCACTGAGATCCATGTGGCAATAGCAGCAACATCATCTCATCAAAGACAGTAGGCTCAGGGTTCTACATGGATAACAGCAGCTAAGTGAGTGTAAGCCAAGACTTAACAGAATGGTAATGAGGAGCATGGATCACAGAGAAGCAACTGCCCAGTAGATGAGACAAATCCTTCTTTACTTAAACATGCTAGAGAACATTGCAGGGAGAGTGGGATGCTTCATCATATGGAATTCTATATGGCTATGAAGTTCTACTCTATCTCCAAGATACTATATGTGCCTTCTTATTATTGATATCTGTAAGCAGGAAATATGAAGGGAACATAATCATCTAAAACGATTAAGTAACAATGCACATATGAGGATTCTTAATTGTGTGGTAAATTTATGCAAGAGAGGTTTAGACAAAAAATCGGTTTAAGCTGGACGGTAAACAAAAGGTTTCATGGAAACAATAACTCACCTCTGCTTTAATTCAGCATTTTTCTGCATTCCTTCCAGAATAGGTCTTATTATTGTATCCTTCTTTCTTTATCCATACCCTCAGTCCTAACACTTATCTCAGTGCCTGCTGTTAGTCATGTGGGTATTAATTAAATGGTTTATTGATCATTCCTAGCCAGTTTCTCTACCGATAGCCAATTAGTCCCCTTATCTTTCCTAAGTGAAGGCCATTACTATTGCCCTTGTTGCTTGAGTCAGAAAGCTAGGTATCAGACTCTCCCTTGTTCCTCACATTCAAATAGCCACCCAGTCCTGCATTTTCCATTCCCTTCAGTGCTTTTTAAATCTCTTCTCTTGGCCGGGCATGGTGGCTCACACATGTAATCCCAGCACTTTGGGAGGCCAAGGCGGGTGGATTGCCTGAGCTCAGGATTCGAAACCAGCCTGGGCAACATGGTGAAAGCCCGTCTCTACTAAAAATACAAAAAATTAGCTGGGTATGGTGGCAGGCGCCTGTAATCCCAGCTACTTGGGAGGCTGAGGCAGGAGAATCACTTGAACCCGGGAGGCGGAGGTTTCAGTGAGCCGAGATCATGCCACTGTACTCCAACCTGGGTGACAGAGCAAGACTCTGTCTCAAAAAAATAAACAAACCAAAAAAGCTCTTCTTTTGATTATAATAGCCTTTATTGTGCCTTCTAATTCCTCTCTCAGTTTCCACTTCTCTACTTTCTGCCTCCTGTCACTACCCTCAAATCCATTCTCCACAGTGCTACCAAGTGTTTGATCTAAAACAGAAATTGAATTTTGTTACTTGCCCATCCTTCACTGGCTCTCTACTGACTTCAATATAAAATCCAAACTTGACCGGGCACAGTGGCTCACTCCCGTAATCCCAGCACTTTGGGAGGCCGAGGCAGGTGGATCATGAGGTCAGGAGATTGAGACCATCCTGGCCAACACGGTGAAACCCCGTCTCTTAAAAAATATACAAAAATTAGCCTGGGCGAAAGAGCAAGACTCCGTCTCAAAAAAAAGAAGAAGCTCCTCCTCCAGAAAACAATCCCTAGCCCCGTTTTCCCATTTAGGGTAGCCTCCCTTTGAGCACTAACTCTATCCTATGCATAGTATTTATCACACTTTTGTTGTTGTTGTTGTTGTTGTTGTTTGAGATGGAGTTTCGCTTTTGTCACCTAGGCTGGAGTGCAATGGCACCATCTTGGCTCACCGCAACCTCTGCCTCCCAGGTTCAAGTGATTCTCCTGCCTCAGCCTCCCAAGTAGCTGAGATTACAGGCATGCGCCACCACACCCAGGTAATTTTGTATTTTTAGCAGAGAGAGGGTTTCTCCATGTTGGTCAGGCTGGTCTCACACTCCTGACCTCAGGTGATCCACCCGCCTCAGCCTCCCAAAGTGCTGGGATTACAGGCGTGAGCCACCGCACCTGGCCTAATTACACTGTTATAATTACCTCTTTGCTTATTATCATTTCCACTGGTGGCTTTCAAACTACTTTACTAACCCACACCTATATATTAAAAAAACACATTTTTTTTTTACAACTCCAGTACATACCAAAATAAAAATTTCACAGAGCAGTACTGAACCTTACTACATGCAACACACTCTGGTTATTTACTATTCCACACTATATTCTATTTCTTTATTCTAATTTTGGTTTCAACACACTAAATTGATATCATGCATGACCCTTTAGTGGGCCAAACTTACAGTTTAAAAATATTGCAATACAATGTGAACTCACGTAGATTCTAGAGCATGGTAGATGCTCAATGTAGGAATTGAAGAAAAAGATAAAACAAAAATCTGTGTATCCCTAGCAATTAGTGCAGGGTAAGGTACAAAGCAGTGGTTAATAAAAATGTTTGAGAACAAAATAAACACAAAATTCTGGGATAGATCATCTTCATGAATCATATTCCCCCCATCACTTCCCTTTTTAAGAATAAAGATTTCTTGGCAGAGCGCGGTGGCTCACTCCTGTAATCCCAGCACTTTTGGAGGCCAAGGTGGGTGAATCACCTGAGGTCAGGAGTTCAAGACCAGCCTGGCCAACATGGCGAAAACCTGTCTCTACTAAAAATAGCAAAAATAATTAGCTGGGTGTGGTGGCACATGCCTGTAATCCCAGCTACTTGGGAGACTGAGGCAGGAGAATCGCTTGAACCCAGGAGGCGGAGGTTGCAGTGAGCTGAGATCATGCCATTGCACTCCAACCTGGGCAACAAGAGCAAAACTCCACCTCAAAATAAATAAATAAATAAATAAATAAATAAAGATTTATTACAAGATATTAAGATGAAAACATGGACATGTAAAAACATATACAGAGACAGGCAAAACTGGAGAAGGAATAAAACTTGTTGTATTTGAAGGGGATGGTGAGATAGAGAGGCACGATTCTGAAAGCCAGCTGTTAGGTCTTCTTCCAAAAAAGGCTTGAAGTGGTAAAGTCACCAATGTCCAGGATATGGTCATCAGTTCTGTATGTCATAAATCATCTTGTAAATGGCCCAAATATCACTTAAGCTAACCAAATTAACAAGATACTGATGAATAACCAATATAAGCTAATATTTACTGAGTACTTACTTTGTTTCAGGCACTATTATAATCACTTTCTATGAATCTATCCTCAAACAACTCTGAAGTAGGGTAATTTCATGTCATTATCTCCATTTCAAAGGTCAGGAAACTGAGACTGGGAGATTAAGCAGCTTTCCCAAGGTTATAAAACTAATAAATGGTAATAAAGTTATAAAAAGAATAATAATGAAAACATTGTGAAAAATCTCTCAGAAAGTAGAGCAATACACCAAGAAAGAGAGGGAAAGGATTTAAATACAAAGAACTAATCCAGGGGGCCCAATAATTGAATTCTAAGAAGTCTGGGGGAAATAGAAATTTAGCATGATAGAAAAGAAATTATCAAATAAACAACGCAAGAGAACTTTTCATATCCAAAAGATGAGTATTCAAAGTGTTCTCTGTGTACCCAAAACAATGAATAAGAAAGGCTCCATACCAAGGCACATTTTGAAATATCAGAACATTGGAGATAAAAAGAGAAAAAAAAAACAAAAAAACACAATAACAAAAAAAAAAAACAGGAGGAGGTGAAAACAGCCCCTCTCATTATCTCACGAAATAATCCACTGGAGAAATTTTTTTTTGAGACGGAATCTTGCTCTGTCTCCCAGGCTGGAATGTAGTGGTGTGATCTTGGCTCACTGCAACCTCCGCCTCCCGGGTTCAAGAGATTTTCCTTCCTCAGCCTCCCGAGTAGATGGGAGTACAAGTGCACGCCACCATGCCCAGCTAATTTTTGTATTTTTAGTAGAAACGGCATTTCACCATATTGGTCAGACTGGTCTTCAACTCCTGACCTCATGATCCACCAGCCTCGGCCTCTGAAAGTGCTGGGATTACAGGCATGAGCCACCACGCCTGGCCTCCACTGGAGAAATTTTTGCCTCTTTTCCCCACAACCTTGGGCTCACAGATTTTGAGGCCCTAGTGTCCAAGGAAGAAATGCTTCCACCAAGAAACACCATCATGGGTCAGATGAATTGGAAACTGAAACTGCCTCCTGGAGATTTTGGGCTTCTTCAGCTGCAAAACTAGAGGTAGAAAAGGGTCACCACAGCCAAGTGGTGATTAATCCCCAATATCAAGGAGAAACTGGGTTGTTACTATACAATGAGGCAAGGATGACTACGTCTGAATCCCAACTGAGGCAACTCAGTAGAGACAGCCAATCCAACAGAAGTAAGACCATAGTGCACTCAGACCATTTGGAAATTAGGGTTTGGGACACTGTACTAAAGAATAAAACATAGTCAAGGTGCTTACAGAAATGAGGGGACACAGAATGAGGGGTGGAAAAAGGAAGTTATGATTATCAACTTAGGCCTCATAATCACCCACAGAAGTAGAGTTCAATAGCAGCTTCATTTTACATTATTCTTGATCCTTATTCCACCTGTACCTCATACGAAGAGCATTGGCATTGGCTAACATTTCAAATTTCATCATCCTCTGATGATATGATAGGTGTGGGACTATGTGTGGTCACTGTGTTAGCAACACTGATTGCCACACAAGAGATGGTATGTGAATTTCTTACAGGCAAGTGAAACCTGTAAGATACTGGGGCTTGAATTGCCTTTACAGTATTCCACCCAAAAACAAGGCCTACTGACAGGAGACCACAGCAGCAAGGAGCCAGAGTTTCCTTGTCAGGAAATTGGTATAATGCGGAGGCCCCTGTAGGCTCATTGAAGTAATTAAGAATGCATGCTATCTAAGAGGCAGTAAGAACATCGATGATCAATGTCAGCTGGAGAAGTAGAGATGACCAAAAGTGAATATAGTTAAGTAGCAAGATTCATTTCTTCTCTATTCCTACTTCTAACCCCTAACCTGGAGGAGTTAGCCTTGAAAAAAAAAAAAAACGAAGAAATATCCTAGAACCAGATACCACCCCCCACCTGCCCCCAACCCAATCTTAAGGAGCTTAGAGAGGGAGAATGCATAAAAAATTGACCAGGATCTATTACACATCTCAGGTCCCTATGGCTACAAATCTGGCCAGCAATGGGGAAGTTTTAAAACTAGTCCAAGTTTAAAATTCTGAAGTTTTAAAGTAGTCCATGCTAGACTTCGAATAACTTAAAAGACCAGAAAGCTGGTCGGGCACGGTGGCTCATACCTGTAATCCCAGCACTTTGGGAGGCCGAGGCCGGTGGATAATCTGAGGTCAGGAGTTCGAGACCAGCCTGGCCAACATGGTGAAACCCCCCACCTCTACTAAAAATACAAAAGTCAGCCAGGTGTAGTGGTGCGTGCCTGTAGTCCCAGCTATTCCAAAGGCCGAGGCAGGAGAATCACTTGAACGTGGGAGGTGGAGGTTACAGTGAGCTGAGATCGTGCCACTGCATTTCAGCCTGGGTGACAGAGTGAGACTCCATCTCAAAAAAAAAAAAAAAAAAAGAGAAGAAGACCAGAAAACTATGGAATCTGCCTGGGGGGAAAGGATATTCAACACAGTACTGAGGAAACAGTGACTTGAGAAAAAGAAAACATTTTATTTTTGAATCTCCACCAAGTTCAGATTCCTTAGTAATCTGGTCGCATAAAAGTATGAGTAGAAAATAGTTTATTACATAAGTTAAGTGAATGAATCAGAACTTGAAATTGTATGTATGTGATAAGCACAATTGTATAAATAATCTGAATATATTAAAGTCTGGAGCAGATACTTGAATTTTCCCTAAATCACAATTTTGCATAGGGTCAGCAATGACCACATATCTAATCAAACGTACTATAATACTTCTTTGTGTTATTTATTTGTTTAAGATGTAAAATAGGTTTATTTAGCATGATTGCTTTTCACAAACCTATGTTAGATGATGGATACTTGGCTACCTTCTGTGGATCTATAAATTGCAGGGGTTTTCTTGTGGGGGCTGGTTATTGTTTTTCAAAGATTTAACACTATAGTCTTGCAAAGAAGCAGACTAAACAGAGCATGATCCCTCAGTTCCTCCCTTTTCCATTAAAAATTGAGTATTTTGCTTGACTTTTCCCGTTATCTGCAATCATTCCAGTTTGCAGGGAGTCCATACATATAATTGTTAATATTGCAGATATTTCAGAGAACATGTCTTTGAGCCTTCCAGTGAAGATTCCTTTGGCCCACCTGATGTGAAATCATCTATCCTAACCCATTCTATCTCACTCCAATTTCTATAACATCATTGGTAATATTTGTATGAGGACTCTAATTTATGAAGTCTTCCTCCCACACTGAAACATTTTAGGGCACTGGAGCAAGGTAAGAATCTCCTGGAACTACTTGTGGTACACTGATCTCATATGTAGGAGTGCCTTAACCTCAAGACTGGCACAAAAAAAGATTAAATGTTCATGGTTATCATTTTTTTTTAAAAATCTCAACCTTGTATGACCCCAGTGAAAAATACATATGAACTAAACAGCATAAAAATAATGAGGTTTATCAAAGAATGACCCTTTCAAATCACAGCTATTGTTCTTATCTGTCACATGATTTAGATAATTATCTTTCTACCTTTAGTAAATGGATGTGTTGTAATATACTAAATATACAACACAATTTTCATTTGTGGTTAGATATGTACTCATATATAATTAAACCTTATAGTAGTAAATAAAATTGTCATTTGGTATTTAAACATATAATCTATTTCATTTAACAAAAAGCAAAGCAAAACCTAAGGAAATTAAGTCATACTGATACTATTTGAATGAATTGGACATTTGTCATCTCCCTGCTGCAGTCCTATATTTACTCAAAAGTACAATACGAACTTCAAAATATGAGAATAAAATAACTTCAAAGTCCACATGCAAAGGAAAAAATAGCAAACATCTTTACCAAATGAAAGAAACATACAATTTAGCTCAGCAGGACTTCTACACATCCAAGGACAATGTAGGTTTGCAGCCACACATTTTTGAAAAAGAAAATTTCTTGGCTGGGCACAGTGGCTCACACCTGTAATCCCAGCACTTTGGGAGGTTGAGGCAGGTGGATCACGAGGTCAGGAGTTCGAGACCAGCCTGGCCAAGATGGTGAAACCCCATCTCTACTAAAAATACAAAAATTAGCTGGGCGTGGTGGCAGGCGCCTGTAATCCTCGCTACTCGGAAGGCTGAGGAAGGAGAATTGCTTGAACCCGGGAGGTGGAGGTTGCAGTGAGCTGAGATGGCATCACTGCACTCCAGCCTGGGCGACAGAGCAAGACTCTGTCTCAAAAAAAAAAAGAAAAAAAAAATTATTTCTGGTCTTTCTTGCGATCCTTCCTTAACAAAGCTGGCATAAAACAAAATGTTATAGGCTGGGCGCAGTGGCTCACCCTTGTAATCCCAGCACTTTGGGAGGCTGAGGCGGGCAGATCACTTGAGGTCAGGAGTTCGAGACCAGCCTGGCCAACACGGTGAAACCCCGTCTCTACTAAAAACACAAAAATTAGCTGGGTATGTTGGCGGGCACCTGTAATCCCAGCTACTCAGGAGGCTGAGGCACAAGAATCACTTGAACCTGGGAGGCAGAGGTTGCAGTGAGCCAAGATCACGCCATCACACTCCAGCCTGGGCAATAGAGTGAGACTCAGTCTCAAAAAAAAAAAAAAGTTATAATTATCTGTTAATATTTTAAAAGATTTTAGAAACCTTTTGAAATTTTATTACTTTTTTAAATGAAAATTTTCATTTCTCCAAGTATTCAGAATATTACATGTTTTTTAAAAAGTCACATTCATATTTTTAGATAAGATTCAGTTAATGAGAATATAACCCAGTATCTCGGGGTAAATAGATCATTCCATTTATATAGGGATTGTCCTTAAGGATCAGGCAGGGAAGGAAGGGGATAAAGAAACCTGAGAGGGGGCCTAAGAAGAGAAGATATGGGCAAACTTAAATAATGTATTCAATACAACAATTAATCTGAATAAAAGTCTTTAGTAAATGTTAGTTAAAAGAATTGCTCTCACTTCAAGTGAGAACTCAGGGATGAAGATAACATAGATCCAGCCTTGTAGAGTATAAGGAAATGGCTGTGCTTTGGTCAAGGAGGGGCCAAGGTAACTATCCAGAGTGACTCAGAGAGTTTAGAGCGCAGGCGTATAACTCCACCTGTTATCACAGCCATGTAGCCATAACATAGGAAGGCCATCACTTGGTTCTACACCACATTGTCTGTAAAAGGTATAAATGCCCTACTGACACCGTACAGGCATGCTCGCACCCAGAGAAAGAGAGCGAGCCAAAGCTGTCCATCTTACAGATGGACAGGAGGGATCCAGGACACAGCTAGACTTGCTTGTCCTCAGAGAGAGAAAAAGTTAAGCTGCTGACCCTGAAAGCAAGGGAGAGGCGGCTGGCGCCACTGTGCATGGGAGCCACAGGCTCAAGCAGCCCGGACAGAGCAGACAGTGTAAGAGAGCTGCTGAATAAAGCCGTATTTCACCTGCCTACAGCCCCCCGAGTGTTCTTCCACCTATTTGCCACTCATCCTGTAACCGACCAAGGGGTTCACCTTGCCCGCTGCCTAGACAGAGCCAATTCATCAAGACAGGGGAATTGCAATTGAGAAAGAGTAATTCACGCAGGGCCGGTTGTGTGGAAGACTGGAGTTTTATTATTATTACTATTATTATTGTTATTATTTTGAGATGGAGTCTCGCTCTGTCGCCTAGGCTGGAGTGCAGTGGCGCAATCTCGGCTCACTGCAAGCTCCACCTCTCCGGTTCACACCATTCTCCTGCCTCAGCCTCCTGAGTAGCTGGGACTACAGGCACCCGCCACCATGCCCAGCTAATTTTTTGTGTTTTTAGTAGAGATGGGGTTTCACCGTGTTAACCAGGATGGTCTCGATCTCCTCACCTCGTGATCCGCCCGCCTCGTCCTCCCAAAGTACTGGGATTACAGGCGTGAGCCACCGCGCCCGGCCAGGAGTTTTATTATTACTCAAATGAGTCTCCCTGAGCATTCCGGGAGCAGAGTTTTTAAGGATACCTTGGTGGGTGGGGGGAAGCCAGTGAGCCAGGAGTGCTAATTGATCAGAGATGAAATCATAGGGAGTCAGAGCTGTCTTGTTGCGCTCAGTCAGTTCCTGGGTGGGGGCCACAAAATCAGATGGGCCAGTTTATTGATCTGGGTGGGGCCAGCTGATCCATCAAGTGCAGGGTTTGCAAAATATCTCAAGCACTGATCTTAAAAGCAGTTTACGGAGGGTCAGAATCTTGTAGCCTCCAGCTGCATGACTCCTAAACCATAATTTCTAATCTTGTGGCTAATGTTAGTCCTACTAAGGCAATCTAGTCCCCAGGCAAGGAGGAGGTCTGCTTTGGGAAAGGGCTGTTACTGTCTTTGATTAAACTATAAAGTTTCTCCCAAAGTTAGTTCAGCCTACGCCCAGGAATGAACAAGGACAGCTTGGAGGTTAAAAGCAAAATGGAGTCAGTTAAGTTAAACCTCTTTCACTGTCCCAGTCATAATTTTGCAAAGGTGGTTTCAATCCACCTGCTCCCTCCGGACCTCAGCATGGGCTGGAACCTGACCCTGAACCTAACAGAGAAGTTATCAATAAGGAGCAAATAAGCTTAAAAGTAGAGAAGGTAATGATTCACCATTATCCCCAGAAGGACAGATCAGAAAGTTGAGGCAGTCCTTCTGTGATAAGCAGGCCTACCTTGGTGAATGAACATAGCAGGCCCTCAAAACAGCAAGCCTCAATGAAGCCTGCTGGAGAGAAGTGAGAGGGCAAGACTCTGTCTCAAAAAAAAAAAAAAAAAAAGTCTTACTCAGGGTGAAATGTGGGACTGCTGCATGGTACAGCAGCGTGTTCCTGTTTGTTGTGGGAAACCCGAGGAGAAGAGGAGGAAGGATATTATATTCACTGTATCAATTGCCCAGTACCTCTCCTTGATTCCATAAATGTATTCCGAACAGGTCTCTGGATCTGGGAAGATGACAGTTTACATTTAGTGTTTGAATGTTCAGGTGCTTAATTGATTGAAGGGTAGAGAGAAGGAGGGTAAGCTCCTGATGGGGAATAGCCAGGCTTTCTTAGAGCTTGGTAAGAAAGCTGGAACCTAATCTGAGTTAAAATTGTCTAGGGAAATCCAGAGCTACTGGTGGGCTTGTCTCCAAGAATACTCCCATGTCCCAGAAAATTGTCTCTTTAGAGCTATTGTACCAGGGATACAATTTACTGTGGCAAAAGATCACCTCTTGGAAATTGTGTTGCTTACTCACCTTCCGCCACAGCTATTCCCTGGTGACATTCAGAGGGCAAGGCCTGTGTTACACATGTGTTGGTAGTAATGGGTTAAACGTGGATGAGACACTTTTTAGTCCCTGATTCTAATCACATGCTTAAGGATGTTTTTTAAAGCAAAGAAACTTAGCAGTTTTCAATCTCAAGAGCTGTGAAATACTTAAACAACAGTGAAAGCTTAGTTATTTGGGAGGAAAAATATGTTCTTGGTATTACTACGCAGTCATTTAACAAACATTTAATAGGTATCAACCATATGTCAGACACAGTGACTTTCTCTGCAAAGTAAAGGCAGCAAATTGGCCCTTTCTACAACATGAAAGGGGAAGAAAAAAAGTAGAAAAACAGAACCATTTGAGAGACTTGGGCCATAATATCAGCTTATCAGTTTCTTACTGATAATCGAGAGTGTGAAATTAAGGCAGGGACCTTCACGGGTGCACAAGTGATCTACTGGGACAGAAAGTATTAAAAATGCAGCTGAGCACAGTGGCTTATGCCTGTAATCCCAGCACTTTGGGAGGCCGAGGCAGGCAAATCACTTGCGGTCAGAAGTCTGAGACCAGCCTGGCCAACATGGTGAAATCCCATCTCTACTAAAAATAAAAAAATTAGCTGGGGCCAGGCACGGTGGTTCATGCTTGTAATCCTAGCATTTTGGGAGGCTGAGCTGGGCTGATCACTTGAGATCAGGAGTTCAAGACCAGCCTGGCCAACATAGTGAAACCCCATCTCTACTAAAAGTACAAAAAATTATCTGGGCATGGTGCCGGGCCTATAGGTACGTGCCTATAGTCCCAGCTACTCGGGAGGCAGGAGGATTGCTTGAGCCCAGGAGGTGGAGGTTGCAGTGAGCCAAGATCGTGCCAGTGCACTCCAGCCTGGGCAATAGATCCAGACTCTGTCTCACACACCCGAAAAAAAGCCGGGCGTGGTAGTATGCGCCTATAATCCCAGCTACTCAGGAGGCGGGAGGCTGAGGTGGGCCCATCCCTTGGACCTGGGAGGCAGAGGTTGCAGTGTGCTAAGATCATGCCTCTACACTCCAGCCTGGGCAACAGAGTGAGACTCCATCTCAAAAAAAAAAAAAAAATAGTATTAAAAGTGAGTATTTATGATCTTTTTTGTCTAAAAAATAAAACATTAATAGTAATATTTAATATGTGAATTAACAGTAGTAAAAAGCATACATTTTTAAGGAGATATGACCAAAAGTTGTTACACATATGTGTGCCAAATAAAAATGTATCATAATGACGAGATTATCTGATTTCTAAAGCCACTTGGCTCTAAAATTCCTGATTCTGTATTATTCAACTGCCTTAGTTTCTCTTAAACTATATTAAAAAATAAAATCCTATCTATACTAACACTGACTTCCTCATATAAAACAAAATTTAATTTTGAAAAGATTTTAAAAAGCAAATCTTTTATTCTTTAAATGCATCCTACCCCTACCGACTCACCCTTCTTACCTGATAAAGCAGGTTCTCTTTGTGTCATGTGATGCCAGTCAGTATGACTTTCTTCCTCTTAATTCATTCAACTGACTGGCAAAGGGACTGGCCCTGTGTTTATGCGATTAATGAAGTTAACCTTAAAGTCTGGATCCCCCTAGAAAATTTTTGAAAAAAATCTCTTTAATTTTCACTAACTTGCACAGTGGTTGATTTAGCTTGTTGACTTCATATAGTCCCTCAAAACTCCAATTTGTAAAAAGAATTAGAGAAAACACTACCATAAAACTAAACTTTATTTTTATTCTTTTAAGGTTTATGAACTAAACACTGAACTAGCACCATTATACAGTTGGTATAAACCTTGTTACTTTGTGTGTCCACATCATGGGAAGTTAAAACTCCTGCTGTACATAGTGATATAGGTAAATAGGTTACAAAGGAGTTGACTGAAAACCAACCTATTAAAATGACAGATTTCACAACAAGGTGAATATATTCTTAATATTACTGAACTATAAACTTAAAAATAGTTAACATGGTAAGTTATATGTTATGTGTTTTTTTACATTAAAAGAAAGACAATGGCCTGGTGCGGTGGCTCACACCTGTAATCCCAGCACTTTGGGACAGAGGCGACAGAGTGAGACTCCGTCTCAAAAAAAAAAAAAATAATAATAATAATACTTAAAATAGCATTTTAATGATAGAATGTATAATATCACAGTTATTATTGTATTACCTACCAAAAGTAGACAAATACATAATTAATGCCATTCTAATAAATTAGTTTCCAAAAGTAAAGCAGGCATCACTGGACAGTCATTTTGAAAACAGGTATAAATAATTATAGTGCTTGTTATTTTGGCCAATCTTTGCTTGTAAATAATGACAAAATGCAAAATGGAAAATATTAGTTTTCAACTAATTGTTCCTAGTTTTGATTAAATTGCTTCCCTTAGAGTCTGTGTACCATAATACGTCGAATGTAGAGAAGAGGATAGGGAGTTAGCAACCATGTCTAAAAACCTCCAAAAAGATGGATAAGTTTCTCTTTTTTTTTTTTTTTTGAGACGGAATTTTGCTCTAGTTACCCAGGCTGGAGTGCAATGGCGTGATCTTGGCTCACCGCAACCTCTGCCTCCCGGGTTCAAGTGATTCTCCTGCCTCAGCCTCCCGAGTAGCTGGGATTACAGGCATGCACCACCACACCCGGCTAATTCTGTATTTTTCTTTGAGACGGGATTTCTCCATGTTGGTCAAGCTGGTCTCCAACTCCGGACCTCAGGCGATCTGCCCACCTTGGCCTCCCAAAGTGCTGGGATTATAGGTGTGAGCCACCACGCGCAGCCAGATGGATAAGTTTCTAACTGTGAAAGAAACCAATACATCATCATTGAAAGAGACAAATGGTATTAAAGAATAAAAAAACTCATTAGGCTGGGCGCGGTGGCTCACGCCTATAATCCCAGCACTTTGGGAGGCCAAGGAGGCAGATCACTTGAGGTCAGGAGTTCCAGAACAGCCTGGCCAACATGGTGAAACCCTAAAATTACAAAAATTAGCTGGGTGTGGTGGCGGATGCTCACTGTAGCCCCAGCTACTCGGGAGGCTAAGGCAGGAGAATTGCTTGAACCTAGGAGGTGGAGATTGCAGTGAGCCGAGATCATGCCACTACACTCCAGCCTGGGCAGACTCTGTCTCCAAAACAAAAACAAAAACAAAAAACCTCATTAATCCCCATCTCTAAATTCCCCCTAAAGGCAACTATAGTTAAGTTTGTGAGGTATGCTTTCAGATGTTTTCTGTTTATATCAAAATATATTTTTATATAAATGAAATAACATTATATTTTTTGTAATTTATTTTTTAGCCTATTGTATAGGAGATAGAACATATTAGCCAGCCCCTTGTGCTAGTAGTTTAGGCTATTTTCAACTTGCCAGTGAAAATAATACAGCATTGAACATCTTTGTTTTAGTGTATCTTTGCATTTCTGTGAAATAGTTTTGCAGTACAAATGCTTAAAAGTGGAACTGTTGTTGCCTCAAAGGATACACAAATTGAAAATTTTGTTACATTTGTAAAAATGTGTTAAAATTTCTAAATTGCCCCTCAAAAGTTACTAATTTATACACGTATGGGTAGTACATTAGAGTTGGAAAATAAAGACTGTTGGTAATTTTTGTGTATTTAGGATAGGGGTCCTCTTACAGTAGTTTTCAACATGAGCCGGTCCATTTTTATTTTCTTTCTTTCCTTTTTTTTTTTTTCTTGAGACAGACTCGCTCTGTCGCCCAGGCTGGAGTGCAATGGCGGGATCTCGGCTCACTGCAACCTCCGTCTCCCGGGCTCAAGCAATTCTCCTGCCTCAGCCTCCTGAGTAGCTGGAATTACGGGTGTATGCCACCACACCCGGTTAATTTTTGTATTTTCAGTAGAGATGGAGTTTCACCATGTTGGCCAGGCTGGTCTCGAACTCCTGACTTCATGTGATTTGCCTGCCTCGGCCTCCCAAAGTGCTGGGATCACAGACGTGAGCCACCGCGCCCAGCCTATTTTCTTTCTTGTATCCCATTTGGAAGTCATCTAGCTGGATAATGGTTTCTGGATAATTGCTCTGGGAACTGAGACTCATAACTTTATGCTCATTAGCACTACGAGCTAAAAAAATGAGCTAACTAACTACTGTTATTTGTCTGTGTAAAGGTATGCATTTTGAAATGAAGACACATTACATACATGCATTTTTCTTAAAATTGATTTCCTGCATCAATTTTCTGATGACCATATATATATATATATATTTTGAGACGGAGTCTGTCTCCCAGGCTGGAGTACAGTGGCATGATCTCGGCTCACTGCAAGCTCCGCCTCCTGGGTGCATGCCATTCTCCTGCCTCAGCCTCCCAAGTAGCTGGGACTACAGGCGCCCGCCACCACGCCTGGCTAATTTTTTGTGTTTTTAGTAGAGACGGGGTTTCACCGTGTTAGCCAGGATGCTGTCGATCTCCTAACCTCGTGATCTGCCTGCCTCGGCCTCCCAAAGTGCTGGGATTACAGGCATGAGCCACTGCGCCCGGCCCGATGACCATATTTTTTTGTGCCAAATTTTAATCCATTCTGGAGGTTTCAAAGCAAGATAGTGAAGTTTATCAGTCCATATGAACTTGAGCCTGTACCAACACATGGTTGCCAGTTCATACCTAATAGTGTAATATGGCCCTTTTCTCTGAAGAAAATGCCTTTTCCAAATCTCCCTTACTAGAATAAATGTTATCATAGTAATACCACTTCATACCTGCATAGAGTTTTAGAGTTTACAAAGGTCGTTCACAAATATTATTCCGTTTAGTTTTTACAGCAACCCAGTGTGGTGACTGGGCAGTACTATTATCTCCACTTAATAGATGCAACAAGGTTGAACAAGCATGAAGTAGTAGAACTGGGACTAGTAGGGCAGTAAACTTCCCACAAGATATGTTGTCTCTTCCATATATATATGAGGATAGCATATTCCTTTCATAGAAATTTTATTCCATGATTGTAATAGTTGCTTTCTTAAATTCTCTTTAGAACAAAGTAAAATATAAGTTAAAAAAGGAAAGAAATCCCTACAAAAAAAAAGAGAATTTTTTTCCTTTTGGGTAATTTTCACATTACCTTTCCAAAATAAGTCATTCTTTTATCTTTTAGGTAAACTGTACCAAAACATCTATTCTGTAACATTAAAAAAAAAAAATGTGAGGATGGACATGGTGGCTCACACCTATTATCCTAGCATTCCGGGAGGCCAAGCTGAGAGGATTGCTTGAGGCCAGGAGTTTGGGACCAGCCTGGGCAACATACTGAGACTCCATTTCTACAAAAAACAAAAAAATTAGCTGTGCACAATGGCACACATTTGTAGTCCTGGCTATTTGGGAGGCTGAGAGGCAGGAGGATCTTTTGAGCCCAGCAGTTGGAGGCTGGAGGCTGTAGTGAGCTATGATTGCATCATTGCAATCCAGCCTGGGTGAGAGTGAGACCCTGTCTCAAAAAAAAAAAAAAAAAAAAAAGTGAACATCTAAGACGAGGACAATATAAAACCTCAATTCTGCAAGCAAATCACATTAAATGCTAGTCATACAATATATCAGTAAGTTTCATCATATTTTTTTCCTACAACTAACCATAATATCACAGGACTAATAATCTGTGATATACCACAGTTAAAACGTAATTCTTCTTGATTTCTTACTTATAAAGATCATAATTGCTGGTCAGCAATTGATCCATAGATAAGGTGATTTTGGAAAGAAATGATAAGTCTTGCCATTTTGAAAAGAAAAGTTTTTTTTTTTTTTTGAGATGGAGTCTCGCTCTCTTGAGCAGGCTGGAGTGCAGTGGCACTATCTCAGCTCACTGCAACCTCCGCCTCCTGGGTTCAAGCGATTCTACTGCCTCAGCCTCCCAAGTAGTTGAGATTACAGGCTCATGTCACCACGCCTGGTTAATTTATTGTACTTTTTAGTAGAGACAGGGTTTTACCATGTTGGCCAGGCTGGTCTCAAACTCCTGACCTCAGGTGATCTGCCTGCCTTGGCCTCCCAAGTGCTGGGATTACAGGTGTGAGCCACCGTGCCTAGCCAAAAATGATTATTAAAGAAAAAGATTGTTTTCCTTTTTTGATCCATAATGTCATTAGTCTCATTGATTTCAGTTTTCTGTCTTAACATTATGACTGTAATTTCTTTTTTTTTTTTTGAGACGGGGTCTCGCTCTTGCCCAGGCTGGAGTGCAGTGGCGGGATCTCGGCTCACTGCAAGCTCCGCCTTCCAGGTTCACGCCATTCTCCTGCCTCAGCCTCCTGAGTAGCTGGGACTGCAGGCACCCGCTACCACGCCCGGCTACTTTTTTTGTATTTTTAGTAGAGACAGGGTTTCACCATGTTAGTCAGGATGGTCTGGATCTCCTGATCTCGTGATCCGCCCGCCTCGGCATCACAAAGTGCTGGGATTACAGGCGTGAGCCACCACGCCCGGCCTATGACTGTAATTTCTTGTGTATCATTAGGTTTCAAGAAAAAGGATCTTGAAACCTTTTCTTGGGATCACGACTGTAATCCCAGCACTTTTGGAGGCCGAGATGGGCAGATCATCTGAGGTTGGGAGTTCGAGATCAGCCTAACCAACATGGAGAAACCCCGTCTCTACAAAAATACAAAATTGCTGGGTGTGGTGGCGCATGCCTGTAATCCCAGCGACTCAGGAGGCTGAGGCAGAAGAATCGCTTGAACCCGGGAGGCGGAGGCTGTGGTGAGCTGAGATTGTGCCATTGCACTCCAGCCTGGGCAACAAGAGTGAAACTCCGTCTAAAAAAAAAAAAAAAAAAAAGAAAGAAAAAGGATCTGGGCATTCTCAGTACCTTTTCTGATCTTTATCTTCAGGAAAGCCATCTCTATATAGTTGAGCAAATAAATACTGGGCTGAGTATCTGATGAACTGCACTCTGCATAGGTTGCATACTGAGAATGAACTTGGGCAGTTTATCTTTTCTGGGCTTTGGTTTCCTCATCTCTAAAATGAGAGGGCGTGTTAGTTCTAGACCATCATCCCAAGGGTCCATTTTAGCTTTAGCGTGCATCACTGTAAAACCTGTTAACAAATATTTGTTGAGATAAGGAATTCTGGTGTATAGCCAACATTGTGGGAATATTTGTGGATACCTAAATAGTGGTTTATCCTCTGGGGAAAGCAGTTCCTACAGCTACTAAATACTAACAAGGCCTATGGCTAAAATCAGGTAGCACCTTGTGATGTAATTCAAACCACTAGGACATGTGGCATGCAAGACTACATCAGGCTACTTGAGGTATTTATTAGGTAACAATTTTTTTTTTTTTTTGAGACGGAGTCTCACTCTGTTGCCCAGGCTGGAGTGTAGTGGCGCAATCTCGGCTCACTGCAACTTTCGCCTCCAGGGTTCAAGCGATTCTCCTGCCTCAGCCTCCCGAGTAGCTGGGATTACAGGCGCCTGCCACCATGCCTGGCTAATTTTTGTATTTTTAGTAGAGACGGGGTTTCACTATGTTGGCTACACTGGTCTCGAACTCCTGAGCTCAGGCAATCTACCCGCCTCGGCCTCCCAAAGTGCTGGGATTATAGGCGTGAGCCACCGCGCCCGGCCTAGGTAACGATTTTTGCGCGCTAAACGGTTCTTAGTAACCTGCAGAGTGAAAGCAGAGTACCTAAATATCATACTGTATACGTTAAAAACAGGGGAGAAAGGAAAAAAGGTGTTAAAGTTTACAGCAAAATGAGAAACAAATGAGGAAAACAAGTGAAAGCTTCTCCCGCAACTGAAACTCAACCTCTACATTTTACCTAGGTAAAATGGTAAAATTGCCCACAGGGCTCAGGTGTTTGGATGCACTGTCCAGGCCAAGAGGAAAGATTTTCAGCCAGTCTCCAAAACATCTCAGGGACGGGTATGGAAAACAGGCGTAAAGTGTCTGTATTGATCAAATCAACCCCAGAGAAACTTTCCTAGGGCCAGAGAGCATCTCAACCGCGAAAGTCCGTTTGCGGCCTCCTTCTCCACTTCAGGCCTGCAAAGCGGCTGACGGCATTCGCAGTGGCTAGGCAACGGCCCGCGCAGACTTCTCGGCGTTAGCCCCGCCTCTTGAGGCGCTTCCGCCGCCGGGCTCCTGGACACGCCTCCTTTAATTGGCTAACGTCACGCTGGGAGTGGGCGGGGAAAATATGTCAGACTGTGCGGTCACTTCCGGCCCGGGAGCGCGCGGGTTGATTCGTCCTTCCTCAGCCGCGGGTGATCGTAGCTCGGAAATGGCGGGTAAGTTACCGGGAAAAGTTTACCAAGGGGAGGAGGCGGCCAGATCGGGGATAGAACGCCGAGACGGTGGTGACAATGCCCGCCTAGAACTTTCGGGCTGTAGCCTGGGTTCCAGAAGGCCTGCTTGGGACCGGAAGCGCGGAACTCTCAGCCCAGCAGCTCCTTGTTGGCGGCGGTCCGCGCCCCCGCCCCCAACTGCTTGGGGTTCTGCGCCTTCTGCCAGCAATCCGGCCCCTACCGAGGGCCGAAGACGCCAGGGAAAAGCGTCATGATTTGGGCTCGTAAAATGCCACATGCCTTGGGGCCTGTTTCTCTTCCCATTCCTTTTGTCCACTGCTGCTTGCTTCAGCTCTTGTACATCTGGTCCTGTTCCCGCCAGCTGATTTTAATGCTCAGATCCTCCTCCTCTTCCAGGTCTCCGTCTACCTTCCACTACAGTCAACTTCTGAGCTAGCGCATTGCTGCCTTGCCCTGCTCTGGCGCTCCCACTTGGATCTCGACTGACTTCGTAGTCGTCTCGTTAATCTGTCACACTTTAGTATTCCGAGGATCGTATTTAGATGCCCTTTGAGAAAGACTTTGTTCCTGAACTGCTCCCTTCTCTTTTAGGGTTGGACTACTATAATACAATTCTCTTGTGTACATTCTAGAGACCCTTCAAGTTACAACATTTAATAATGTATAATTGCTATTACTTTGTACGTGTATTAAGGCTGTTTTGGTGTGATTATTTTTTTCGATTACTTATCTTTTGAAGTTATGGACAGTTTCTTTTTCCTGAGACAGGGTCTCTCTGTCGCCCAGGCTGGAGTGCAGCGATCATAGTTCCGGGCAGCTTCCAACTCCTCGTAGGCTCAAGCGATCCTCTTGCCTCAGCCTCCCGAGTAGCTAGGACTACAGGCATGCGCCACAACATTCGGCTAAAAAAAAACAATTTTTTTTAACCTTTTAGAGACAGAGTCTGGCTGTATTGCCTCAGGCCGGTCTGGAACTCTTGGCCTCAAGCCATCCTCTCGCCTCAGCTTCCCAAAGTGTTGGAATGACAGGATTGAGCCACTTCGCTGGCCTTTGTTGCTTTTATCATCTCTTTACAGGGCATTCCTCATAGTCTCTCTACATTAACCATTCCATTTTTATGAATATGTGGGATAGACAAGCTGTTGTGTGAGCTCTACAGATGTTTAAAGAAGGACTTTTCTACCAGATGGAGATTGTAGGATCTTGAAGTACCACAGAAGAGGGAGGACGTACTCTAAGAATTACATCTAAATTCGAATTTTGGGCCCATCATTTAGTAGTTGGATGCCCTTCAACTAAACCTCTTTCTAAGCCTGAACTTTTGAATGTAAAATGGGGTTGATGTAATACCTACTTATAGAATTGTGCAGATTGAGCTAATATATGATTTCACAGGTTAAATTTTGTTGCTTACATTCCTCGAAGTAAATTCTGTAATCTCGGTTCTGTAGATTAGGGTCAGAGGGGTTAAGTAATGTGCTCTAGTTCCCTGAGCTTACTAGCTCAGTAAGTGTGTGAAATAGTCAGAATCCAGGAATTCTCACTCCAGACTATTAATCTGTACTGCTTCAAGTCTTTCCCATTTTCTGTGTGTGTGTTTTAACCCCTTTTTGAAGTTTATAGCACATCATTGTACCCCTTTTTATTTTTTGCTTATGGCTTTTTTCTGTCTGAATTTTTACTGATTTTTTTTTTTTTTGGAGACTGAGTCTCGCTCTGTCACCAGGCTGGAGTGCAGTGGCGCGATCTCGGCAACCTTTGCCTTCTGGATTCAAGCAATTCTGCCTCAGCCTCCGGAGTAGCTAGGACTACAGTCACGCGCCACCACGTCCAGCTAATTTTTGTATTTTTAGTGGAGATGGGGTTTCACCATGTTGGCCAGGATGATATCCGTCTCGACCTCGCGATCCCCCTGCCTCGGCCTCCCAAAGTGCTGAAATTACAGGCGTGAGCCACCGCGCCCAGCCCATTTTTACTAATCATATGCCCATTTTGTCAGGAGATTTGTTATCTTGAAAGTTTCTCTTGATAGTGATATCTTCCAATGTTATTTATTATGTATATTATTGAGTAGCCACTATGTAGTAAAACTATTGTGCCAGTAGCTCACAGTTTATGACTTTAGGCATACATGATTTTTAAATATTTAATACAGTGGAAAGATGTTTTCTTTGTGCCCCTGTTCCTCTTCCTTCTTTCTTTACCCATGGTAACTATGGTTACCAGATATTTGTGTATTCTTCTTGAGACATTCCATGCATTATCATTTCCTTATCTGAAGCACTCTGGTAGACTTTTTCCAATACTTAAAATGAAATTCTGTCATAATTATCAGAGGACATTCTCATTTTGCTTTTTACATCTTATAATGAAAAAGACGACTTAGGTATAAATCCTAGCAGGTAATTTGTATTAGTACATGTTCAGAAATGTTAGTAATCTATCATGTTAATTTTCAGGTTTATTCATTTATATTAAGTATTCCTAGTTTATAAGCCTGTATCTCAAAAGTGATTTCTTTTTCTGTTTTGTAATGAGGCATTCTTTTTTTTTTTTTTTTTTTTTGAGATGGAGTCTTGCTCTGTCGCCCAGGCTAGAGGGCAGTGGCATGATCTCGGCTCACTGCACCCTCTGCCTCCTGGGTTCAAGAGATTCTCCTGCCTCAGCCTCCCAAGTAGCTGGGATTACAGGCGCCCGTCACCGTGCCCGGCTAATTTTTGTATTTTTAGTAGAGACGGGTTTCACCATCTTGGCGAGGCTGACCTCGAACTCCTGACCTTGTGATCCACCCACCTCAGCCTCCCAGAGTGCTGGGATTACAGGCGTGAGCCACCGTGCCCAGCTGGCATTCTTAATACATTTATTTAAGAGTATGTGGAGAATGACTTGTGCTTTTATGATCTATCAGCATGTTTTAAATCATACCCCTATTCCACTTATAATAACCCTATTGCAGGTTTGACAATTTAAGTCACTTCCAAACTAAACCTTTTAAAAACCTTTTCTCTTAGGATTTGGTGCTATGGAGAAATTTTTGGTAGAATATAAGAGTGCAGTGGAGAAGAAACTGGCAGAGTACAAATGTAACACCAACACAGCAATTGAACTAAAATTAGGTATGTATGCCATTTCTAAGTGATGTTATGTACATACTGTGTGTGTATATATAATCTTTCATTTTAAATTTGAAGTAAAATTTTATGTAAGAGCAGTTATTTATGCAAATGTATGGTTTTCTGCATTTATTGAACATATTCAGATTTTATTCAGTTTTGATTTATGTCATGGAAGGTGTAGATGTTTGAAAGGTGACAGAATTTTATATAAAAAGGAAAGACGGTGGGGCAAAAAGTAATAAGTATATATAGTTTTAGCCTCTTAAAAATATTTTTTACTTTTTTGCCTGTAAGAATAATAAACAATAGCAAATATTGGTGAGGATGTGGAAAAAAACACTTGTATATTGCTGGTGGGAATGTAAAGTGATATAACTATTTTGGAAAACAGTTTGGCAATTTTCTTTTCTGTCTTTTTTATTTTCTTTCCTTCCTTCTCTTCTTTCATTTCCTCCCCTCACCCCTTTTTTTTCTTTCTTTCTTTTTTAAAGAGACAAGGAAGGTCTCACTCTATCACCCAGGCTGTAGTGCCACGGCATGGTCATAGCTCACTGCTGCCTCCAACCCCTGGGCTCAGGCAGTCCTTCTGCCTCAGCCTGCCAGGTAGCTAGGAGACCACAGGTGTGCACCACCCAAGCCTGGCTAATTTTTATAAAAAATTTTTTTTTTGAGACGGAGTTTCACTCTTGTTGCCCAGGCTGGAGTGCAATGGCGTGATCCTGGCTCACTGCAACCTCCACCTCCTGGGTTCTAGTGATTCTCCTGCCTCAGCCTCCCGTGTAGCTGGGATTACAGGCATGCGCCACCACGCCCGGCTAATTTTTTGTATTTTTAGTAGAGACGGTTTCTCCATGTTGGTCAGGCTGGTCTTGAACTCCCAACCTCTGGTGATCTGCCCACCTTGGCCTCCCAAAGTGCTGGGATTACAGGCATGAGCCACCACGCCTGGCTTATAAAAATTTTTTCATAGAGATGGACCCTACGTGTCTATGTGTCCAGGCTCATCTTGAACTCTTGTCTTCAAGCAGTCCCCTGGCTTGGCCTCCCAAAGTGTTGGGATTATAACTGTGAGCCACAGCGCCCCTCCTGGTTTGACAGTTTCTTAAGAAGTTAAACATAAATGAATTATATGACCCAGGAGTTATACTGCCAGGTATCTGTCTACTCAAGAGAAATGAAAATGTATGTTCACGCAAAAACTTGTACATGAATGTTCATAGCTGCGTTATTCACAGTAGCCAAAAAAATGTAAGAAACCCAGATATATATCAGCTGGTAAATGAATAAAGTATAGTATAGCTATACCACGGAATACTATTTGACAATAAGAAGGAATGAAATTCTGATACCTATTGCAGTAAACCTTAAAAAGATTGTGCTAAGTGAAAGAAACTAAACAAAAACACCATATATTGTGTAATTCCATTTGTATGAAATGTTCAGAAAAGACACATCCATAGAGACAGAAAGTAGTGGTTGCACAGTGGAGCGCAGAGTAACTACAAATGGGCCTGACATTTCTTTTGGGAATTATGGAAATGTTTGAAAGTTAGATTGTGGCACAGCTCTGAATTTGCTAAAATTTTACACTTAGAACAAGTGAAAAATAATATATGCTCATGATTCCTGGTTGCATTACTTTCCATGCCTGAGTTTCCTCATTGTTAATAGTACTTCACAGTGGTTACAAAGATTAAATATGGAGTTAAATATCAGTAAAGTGTTTAAACTCCTTGACATGCAGAAAATACTTGGTAAGGGCTGAGTGGAGTGACTGGATGTGGTTGCTGAGATCTGCGTATTTTTTTTACATGTCCCCTCATTTTTCAATTACTTCATTCTTTGATAGTTTGATTACCTTGGAACATCCTGTCATCTGTTGTCTCTGCCCCAGCCTTGGAATCAGCCATTTCTCCAAGGATCCCTGGTTTCTTTTAGTAGGAAATGTTATTTTATTTTATTTTAGAGACAGAGTCTCACTCAGTCGCCCAGGTAGAGTGCAGTGGTGCGATCTTGGTTCACTGCAACCTCTGCCTCCCAGATTCAAGTAATTCTTGTGCCTCAGCCTCCGTAGTAGCTGGGATTACAGGCATGTGCCACCAGCCCTGGGTAATTTTTTTGTGTTTTTAGTAGAGATAGGGTTTCGCCATGTTGGTCAGTCTGTCTCAAACTGACCAAGTGATCCACCTGCCTCGGTCTCCCAAAGTGCTGGAATTACAGGCATGAGCTACTGCACCCAGCCAGGAAATGGTTTTTTATTTTGAGATGGAGTCTCACTCTTGTCACCCAGGCTGGAGTGCAATGACGCGGTCTTGGCTCACTGAAACCTCTGCCTCCTGGGTTTAAGTGATTCTGGTGCCTCAGCCTCCCAAGTAGCTGGGATTACAGGCACCCGTCACCACACCCAGCTGATTTTTGTATTTTTAGTAGAGACGGTTTCATCATGTTGGCCAGACTGGTCTCGAACTCCTGACCTCAGGTGATCTGCCCACCTTGGCCTCCCAAAGTGCTGGGATTACAGGCATGAGCCACCACCCCCAGCCACAGGAAATGATATTTTAAAGCCAAGATTCGGGTGCTAAAGCCAAGATCTAGGTGCTAGGTGAACACATTGCTGTTAGTATTGCTCTAGCATTAATGAGAGCAGGCTTAGTAGATAGAACTTTATTACTTACTGTTCAGTCCCTGCCACCTGCAAGGTGACTACAGTCTCATTTCTTTGACCAAAATTAGCTTTCTGTGTTCTAGCACTTTATATAAATGGAATTATACCATATATACTGGCTTTGTGACTGGCTTGTTTCATTAAGCATAATTTTTATGAGGTACATCATATGTTGTCTGTACCAGTAGTTCATTCCCCATTTTTTTTGTTGTTGTTGTTTGAGACAGAGTCTCACGCTGTTGCTTGGGCTGGAGTGCAGTGGCATGATTGCGGCTCAATGCGATCTCCACCTTCTGGGTTCAAGCGATTCTCCTGCCTCAGCCTCTGGAGTAGCTGGGATTACAGGCGCCTGCCACCACGCCTGGCTAATTCTTTTGTATTTTTAGGAGAGACGGAGTTTCACTATGTTGGCCAGGCTGGTCTCGAACTCCTGGCTTCATGATCGCCTGCCTTGGCCTCCCAAAGTGCTGGGATTACAGGCGTGAGCCACCGTGCCCGGCAGTTCATTCCTTTTTATTGCTGAATACTGTTCTGTTGTTGGATACATCATTATTCGCCAGTTAATAGATATTTGAGTTGTTTCTAGTTTTTGGCTGTTATTGTATGAGTTTTTTTGTGGACATATGATTTTATTTTGGATAAATTCCTAGCTGTGGATTTGCTGGGTCAATAGGGTATTTGTATGTTTAACTTTATGGGATACTTGGCCAGACTGACTTCCAAAGTACTTTTATACTCACATCAACAGTGTATTAGAATTTTCGTTATTCCATATCCTCACCAACATTTTATGTTGTCAGTTTTTAAAGTTTTAGGCATTCTACTGGGTTTATAGTAGTATTTCTTTGTTAATAGTACTTCATAGTGGTTGTAAAGATTAAATAGGTTTTAATTGTCTTTTCCCTCATAACTAATGCTATTAAGGATTGTTTTTTTAATGTGGTTATCGACTATCTCCTTTTGGACTCATGTATTCACATCTTTTGCCCATTTTAAAATTAGGTTATTTGTCTTTTTGTTATTAGTTGTAGGTGTTATTTACCTACATATTCTGGATGAGTCCTTTATGCAGATTACATGTTTTGTGCACATTTTTCTCTCAGTTTGTGGTTTGCCTGTTCATATTCTCAACTTTTTTTGTATAACTGGAAGTTTTTAGTTTTAATCATGTCCAGTTTATTAATTTTAAAAATTTCTATTAGTGTTTTCTGGTTCATGCCTAATATCTTTGTCTACCCCAAGGAGATCATGAAGCTCTCCTAATGTTTTCTTCTGGAAGGTTTTTAGTTTTAGCTTATTAAAATTATGTCCATGATCCATCTCATGTTATTTTTCATGTCCAATATGAGGAAAGGGATTAAGGTTTGTTGTTCCATGTGGATATCCACTTGTTTCAGTATAATTTGTGTGAATGCCTTGGTGCGTTTTTAACAAAAAAATATTGAACTTACACGTGTGGATCTACATCTGGACTTTTCTCATTCATTGTCTGTTTTTCTGTCAATATCGTACTGTCTGGATTAGTGTAACTTTCTATTGATTCCTGGTAGTGTGAGTCCCACATCTTTATTTTTTAAAGATTGTTTCGATTATTCTTGACCTTATTTCTGTATACATTTTGGAATCAGGTGGTTAATTTCTATTTAAAAAGTTCTGACTAATCTTAAGATTACATTGAATCTAAAATTGAATGTGGGGAGAATTGCTATCTTAATAACATTGAGCCTTCCAGTATATGAACATGATGTATTTCTGTATTCTAGAAATGTTTCAGGTTTTCAGTCTTGCATGTATTTTGTTAAATTTATCTGAGTAAATCTACATCTTTTGATTTTTGATGCTCTTAAAAATGGTATACTTTTTTATTTATTTATTTTTGTATGTGTGACATGTTCTCACTTTGTCACCGAGGATGGAGTGCAGTAGCGTGATCTCCACTCACTGCAACCTCTGCCTCCGAGCTCAAGTGATCCTCTTACCACAGCTTCCCGAGTAGCTGGGACTCCGCATACACCACCATGCCTGGCTAATTTTTGTATTTTTTGTAGAGACAGGGTTTCGCCTTGTTACCCAGACTGGTCTTGAACTTCTGGGTTCGAGTGATCTGCCCACCTAGGCCTCCCAAAGTGCTATTACAGATGTGAGCCACTGTGCCTGACCTAAAAATGATATACTTTAAACATTTTCTCTTCCAATTGCTTGTTTTATGTGTGTGCATGTGCATATGCATGGACACACAATGGCACAGTTTGTGTAATTGTTTTGTATTCTGCAACCTTGCTAAATTCACTTATTATTGTAGTTTTTTGTATTCTGGGCTTTTTCTGAGAGAGTGGCTCACTCCATTGCCAAGGCTGGAGTAGAGTGGCGTGATTGTGGCTCACTATAGCCTTGACTTCCCAGGCTCAAGCGAACCTCCCACCTCAGCCTCCTGAATAGCTGGGACTATAGGTGCGTGCCACCATGCTTGGCAAAATTTTTTTTTTTTTCTAGGGACAGGGCCTCACTATATTGCCCATGCTGGTCTTGAACTCCTGGGCTCAAGCAATCCTCTTGCCTCAGCTTCCCAAAGTGCTAGGGTTGCAGACATAAGCCACCACACCCAGCTATAGGATTTTTTTTTTTAGATGTAGATTATTTCAGATTTCCTGCACACAAACATTACCTGTTAATGAAGAAAGTCACAGTTTTTCTTTGCCTTATACAGTTGTCCATTGGTATCTTCAGGGATTTGGTTCCACGATCCCCCGTGAATACCAAAATCTGCCGATGATCCGGTCCATTATACAAAATGCCATAGTGTGGCTGGGCATGGTGGCTCACATCTGTAATCTAGCACTTTGGGAGGTTGAGGCAGGCAGATTGCTTGAGCCCAGGAGTTTGAGACCAGCCTGAGCAACATGGCAGAACCCCATCTCTACAAAAAATACAAGAATTAGCCAGGCATGATGGTGTGCATCTGTAGTTGCTACTCAGGAGGCTGAGGTGGGAGGATCTGCCTGAGCCCAAGAGTTCTAGGCTGCAGTGAGCTGTGATTGTGCCACTGCACTCCAGTGTGAGTGACAGAGTGAGACCCTGTCTTGATAGATAGATAGCCATATAGCCGGGCATGGTGGCTCACGCCTGTAATACCAGCACTTTGGGAGGCTGAGGCAAGAGTTCGAGAAGACAAGCCTGGTCAACATGGTGAAATTCCGTCTCTACTAAAAATACAAAAATTAGCTGGGCGTGATGGCACACACCTGTAATCCCAGCTACTTGGGAGGCTGAGGCAGGAGAATTGCTTGAGCCCAGGAGGTGGAGGTTGCAGTGAGCCGAGATTGTGCCACTGCACTCCAGCCTGGGCGACAAAGCAAGACTGTGTCTCGGGGGGGAAAAACAGCCATATAGTACAGTCAGCTCTTTGTATCTGCAGATTCTGTGTTTGAGGATTCAGCCAATCTCATGTTGATCCGTAATTGGTTGAATCAGTGGATGTGGAACCTGCATATGTGGAGAGCCACTTGTGTTTCATTTTCTTGCCTTACTGCACTGGCCAGAACCTCTATTACAATGTCAAATGGAAGTGATAGAGTAGACATCCTTGCCTTATTCCCAATTGAAGAAGGAAAATTTTGAGCCTTTCACCATTCACTATGATGTTAGCTGTAGGTTTTTCATATGTGCCCTTTATCAGGTTGAGGAAGTTTCCTTCTATTCCTAGTTTGGTGAGAGTTTTTATTATGAAAGTGTTACCTTCTAATGCTTTTTCTTTATCAAGATAATCATAAGATTTTTCTCCTTTAATTCTGATAATGTGGTGAATTACATTGATGAGGTTTTAAGTGTTAAATTAGCCTTGCATGCCAGTATATTATCCTTTTTCTGCTTTGCTAGATTTGACTTGGCAATGTTTTGTTAAGACTCTTTGTTCATGACAGGTAATGGTTTCTTTTTTCATACGTCTTTGCTTGATTTTGGTATCAAGGTTTCCTGGCCTCATAAAATGAGTTGGGAACTGTTTCTTCTCTATCTTCTGGAAGAATTTGTATAAGACTGCATTATTCCTTTAAATGTTCAGTAGCATTCACCAGTGAAGTTTTATGTGCCTTGAGTTTTCTTTGTTGGAAGGTTTTTAACTATACATCTAATAAATAGATTTAATACTGTTCTGATCTTCTGTTTCTTCTTGTGTCAGTTTTGGTGATTTTTGTCTTTTAAAGTATTTCTCTATTTTATCTAACTTTCTTGGCAGAAAGTTGCTTACAGTATTCCCCTGTTACCATTTAAATGACTGTAGAGCGAGGTGCAGTGGCTCAGACATGTAATCCCAGATCTTTGGGAGGCCAAGGCAGAAGGATCGCTTGAGCCCAAGAGTTCAAGGCCAGCCTGGGCAATATAATGAGATCTCAACAATAAAATAAAATTTAAAAATTAGCCAAGCATGGTGGCATGCACCCATAGTCCTAGCTACTTGGGAGGCTGAGGTGGGAGGATCACTTGAGCCGGAGAGGTGGAGGTTACAGTGAGCTGCGATCATCTCACTGCACTCCAGTCTGGGTGACAGAGCCAGACGCTGTCTCAAAAAATAAAATAAGTGACTCTAGAATCTATAATCCCTTCTTGGGGGTATTGGTAATTCTTTTTCTCTTTGTCTTTTAATGTCTCCTTACAAGTTTACCAATCTTACTGATCTTTTCAGCATTGCCTTTGTCTGTTATTTATCTGTTTTCTTAATCTTTATAAATTCTTTCATCTTACTTTGGGTTAATTTTTTTATTCCTTCTTTTGAGACAAGGTCTTGCTCTGTTGCCGAGGCTGGAGTGCAGTGGTGTGATCATGGCTCACTGTAGCCTCAACCTCTTGGCTCAAGTGACCCTCTCACCTCAGCCTCCTGAGTAGCTGGGACTACAGGTGTACACCACCACACTTAGCTAACTTTTGTATTTTTTTTGTAGAGATGGAGTCTCACTGTGTTGCTCAGGGTGGTCTCGAACTCCTGGGCTCAAGTGATCCTCCTGCCTTGGCCTCCCAAAGTGTTAGGATTGCAGGCATGAGCCACCTTACCTGGTCTAATTTGCTTTTTTTAAGATCTTTCTTTTTAAAGTAGATGTGTATATAATTAACTTTAAACTTTCCTTTTCTAATACTAGCATTAATGTTATAAATTTACCTCTAGTTGCAGTGAGCCAAGATCGCATCACTGCACTCCAGCCTGGGTGACGGAGCAAGACTCTGTCTCAAAAAAAAAAAGAAAAAAAAATTTACCTCTAAATATTGATATAGTTGCATCCTACCAATTCTGTTATGTTCTATTTTTATTGCTCAATTCAAAATATTTTTAAATTTCCCTTGCGACTTCTTTTTTGACCCATGAGTTATATAGAAGAGGGTTACTTAATTTCCAAATATTTGGGACTTTTCTAGCTGTCTTATTGTCACTGATTTCTGAATTAGTTCTGTCAAGGTCAGACAATATAGTCTTATTTCAGTCCTTTTAAATTCATTGAGCCTTGTTTTATAGCTTATCATGTAGGATCTGTTTGGTCAGTGTCCTAGGTGCACTGAAAAATAATTTATAGTCTGCAGTTTTATGTAGTGTTCTATAAGTGTAAATTGACTTAATAGTATTAAAGTCTTTTATATTTTTACTGACTTTCTAGCGATTAGGACAATTGAGAGAACTGTCAAAATCTCCAGCTGGAATTGTGGATTGTCTATGTCTTCAGTCATTAATTTTTGCTTGATGTATTTGCAGCTCTGATATTAGGTACATACAGATTTAGACTTCCTATGTCTTCTTGGTGAATTGACCTTACTCATTATAAAATGTTCCATCTTTATCTCTGTCCCCTCTTTAACCCATCTTGCCTCATATTTAAGTCTACTTTGTTAGCTATTAATATAGAAATGAGAATGTTTTAAACCTGTAAGAAATAACAGCATGTTTATATGCTGATGCCAATGATCTATCAGAGAAGGGGGAAATAATACAGGAGTATTTCTGGAAGTATCAGAGAAGGGGAGTATTTGTTGAGTAATATCCTTGACAATGTAAGAGGGGTAAGTATTTTATTAATCAGTGGAAGGATTAGCCTTAGATAGGAGCATGGAGAATTTCTACCATAACAAGATGAAGGAGGGTATACAGGAATTGCTGCAGTAAGTTAGAAGGTGTAGAGGAAGCATTTTGTGCAGTTTCTTTTCTGAATGCTTCTGTTTCCTAAGTGAGATAGTAAGCAAGGTCATCTGTGGAGAACGTGCTTATAGAAGAAGGCGTTGGAGATTTGAGGAAATAGTCATCTAGGTGAGTGGGAGGAGTGAGTAGACTTGAGAACTGTTACCATTGTCAGGTAGCACTAAGGGCCCACTTCAAGTTAGTTCTCATGAATGTAAAGTGAGGTCAGCCACGTCCAGATGAAAGTGTGCCACAAAGAATAGACATATAGTTAAATTTAACTAGAGTGGGTTTTTTTTTTTTTTTTTTGAGACAGAATTTTGGTCTTGTCATCCGGGCTGGAGTGCAATGGCGCGATCTCAGCTCACTGCAACCTCCGCCTCTGGAGTTCAAGTGCTTCTCCTGCCTCAGCCTCCCAAGTAGTTGGGATTACAGGCGCCCACCACCACGCCCAGTTAATTTTTGTATTTTTAGTAGAGGCGGGGTTTCGCCATGTTGGCCAGGCTGGTCTCAAACTCCTGACCTCAAGTGATCCATCTGCCTCGGCCTCCCAAAGTGCTGGGATTACAGGCGTGAGCCACCGCGCCTGGCCTAGAGTGGTTTTCTTTTTACGAGGCTGCTATGAAAAAAATTAAGGCCAAGGGGTTGAGGATGTTTAGGATGGAGTAATAACATTGATGGACCATGGAATTCTGCACTGGAAAGGGAGGAAAACGAGGATATGAAGTAGAAGAGGGACAGTGAAATTATGTTCAAATCAATTCATTGTGGCCAAGCACGGTGGCTCATGCCTGTAATCCCAGCACTTTGGGAGGCAGAGGCGGGTGGATCACCCGAGGTCAGGAGTTCGAGACCAGCCTGGCCAACATGGTGAAACCCCGTCTCTACTAAAAATACAAAAATTAGCTGGGCATGGTGGCACATGCCTATAATCTCAGCTACTTGGGAGACTGAGGCAAGAGAATCGTTTGAACCTTGGAGGCCAAGGTTGCTGTGAGCTGAGATTGTGCCATTGCACTCCAGCCTGGGCAACAAGAGCAAAACTCCATCTCAAAAAAAAAAAAAAAAAAAAAAAGACAAAATTCATTTTAAGTCTTGGTGGGGGCTGAAGAATTGTTAGAATTGGGGTATGGTTGGGTGTGGTGGTTCATGCTTGTAATCCCAGCACTTTGGGAGGCCCAGGCAGGATGATCACTTTAGCCCAGGAGTTTGAGACCAGCTTGGGCAACATAGGGAGACCCCATTTCTACAAAAAATAAAATATTAGCTGGGTGTGGAGGTGCGTGCTTGTGGTCCCAGCTACTCAGGAGGCTGAGGCAGGAGGATCACCTGAGCCTGGGAGGTTGAGGTTGCAGTGAGCTGTGATTGGTTGTGCCACAACACTCCAGCCTGGGTGACAGAGCCAGACCCTGTCTCAAAAAACAAAAAACAAAACAAAAAAGAATTGGGGGTATAGGGAGTGAGGTAGGAAGATAAGTGGTGATGGTAAGATGGTACAATGTTTGAAATAGAGATTAAGGAGGTATAATTGTCAATAATGATAAATAAAGGCTAGGGCACATCATGGGAATAAGTGGCTAAGGTACAGTAAAGACAAAATTCTTGGGGAGGAATCAAGGAACTGCAAGGCTGGATTGGAAGATTCATTTTCATTAATTTTGAAGTTACCAAGATTTAAGTCAGATGTAGTGTTGGAAAGTGCAACAGTGAGCCTGGAGCTAAATTATTCAAAGAATGAGGGAGAGAGGTGGAGCATGAACTTTAAAGTGGTTTATTCTTAGTGTGTGGGGAGAGAGACATTAGTCTGAAACCAGCAATGAGGAGCAAGGAGGATACCTTGTTCTAGCAGTATGAAGACAGAGAAAACAACCACTACCTGAGAGGTCTGTAAGACAGGAGCATCCTTAGGGGAGAGCCATGTGTGCCAAAGAACTGTTAGCGCAAGATAGGAGAGCATTTGATAAAGAGGTTGGGGATATGGAGAATTTTGGTGGTAACTGACCTCTAAGTTTCACAGTGGTCACAATGAGTTGGGAAGGGGTGGGAAATTAGATGAGTATTTTTATACTACTGTATAATACAGGGATGAGAATCCCAGTGATAAGGGAATTTTTAAGAATTGGACTGCTGTTAATGGGAATAAAGAGTGTGATGGGATTAATTATGGCATCTCTAGGGAATATTTAATGTTGAGATACCTCATTTTGCAGATTGTTTGTGCTGATGGGAATGTTGCCAGCACACTGGGGCCACTCTTGTGTTTTAAAATTATATAATTAAGCTTGTTTTTCAATTTAGCATGGGTAGGAAAAGATGTATCGGGCAATATGCTAAGATTTCAGTTATTTAAAGAACACAGGATTATGAATAAACTTAGATGTAGTCCAGAATACAATTAGATACTATACCCCGTGGGGGCCAGAATCCATTTATGTCTGCATTATGAGCACCTGTTGATAGATCATATATATTAAATGTGTTAAATACTTAAGTATTTATTTATTTATTTGAGATAGGGTCTGGCTCTGTTGCCCAGGCTGGAGTGCAGTGGTGTGATCTCGGCTCATTGCAACCTCTGCCTCCCAGGCTCAAGTGATCCTTCCACCTCAGCCTCCTGAGTAGCTGGGACTACAGATGTGTGCCACCACGCCCAGTGAATTTTTGTATTTTTTGTAGAGATGGGGTTTTGCCGTGTTGCCCAAGCTGGTCTTGAACTCTTATGTATTTATTAAACAAGCTTTAAAAATTGATTAAAATAATGTGCCTTGGTGATTTCTTAATTTTACTTTTGGTTAATAAGACATGTAGACTATATCTTCTTTCATGCATCTTGCCTCTCCAAAACTACTGAAGTGATTCTAAGAACTAGGAAGTATATGAACTTATTGCCATACATGGTGGTTTGTGCCTATAAAAAGGTGGTGCCACTGACAGGGACACAAAGATTGGAGGGGAGAGCTGGCTCTGGTGGTACTGTTGCTGGTGATAGTTGAAGCCAGGAAAAAAGATGAGCTCTGAAAGGAACACACTGTGAAAGAAGGGCAGACCAAGGACCAAGTCTTGGAAAATGCCTATATCTAAGGGAGTGGCAGCAAAAGAAACCAGGTTAAGTCAGAAAAACAAGGAGGTATAGTATATAAGTGAGAAAGGAAGAATAATATTTCGGGTAGAAAAAGAGTTTAATAACATCTACTGTTATGGAGTTCAAGGAGAGTGAAGAAAAGCAGAACAGCACTAATTGTACAATAAAGTCATCAGTAACTCTGAAATAGAAGTAGCATGATGGTTAATTATAGTAATGGAGCTGTAGGAAAAAGGGTGGCTGAGGGAGGAGGATCACTTGAAGCCAGGAGTTTGAGGCCAGCCTAAGCAACATAGCGAGACCTTGTCTCTTAAAAAAAATCAAACAATTAGCCAAGTGTGTGGTACACACTTATAGTCTCAGCTACTTGGGAGGCTTGAGCACAGGAGATCAAGGCTGCAGTTAGCTGGGATTGTACACTGCACTGCAGCCTGGGCAACAGAGCAAGACCCCATCTATCTATCTGTCTGTCTACTGATTCTCTCTCTCTCTCTCTCTCTCTCTCTCTCTCTCTCTCTCTCTCTCTCTCTTTAAATGAACTGTAAGAGTAGAAACAATAGGGCAGGGCAGGCATGGTGGCTCACACTTATAATCCCAGCACTTTGGGAGGCCAAGGTAGGAGGATTGCTTAAGGCTAGAGGAGTTCAAAACCAGTCTGGGCAACATAGCAAGACTCTGTCTCTACAAAAGAAAGAAAGAAGCAACAGTAAATATATTCAAAAGGAAGAATCATTGCAGGCCCTATGTTCTATATAGCAGCAGTCCCCAACTTTTTTGGCACCAGGGACCAGTTTAGTGGAAGACAATTTTTCTTCAGACCAGGGAGGGAGGTTTGCGGGGAATGGTTTTGGGATGATTCAAGCGCATTACATTCATTGTACACTTTTTCTATTTACATTGTAATTATAATGAAATTATTATACACCTCACTGTGGAATCAGTGGAAACCCTGAGCTTGTTTTCCTGCAACTAGACAGTTCCATCTGGGGGTGATGGATACAGTGACACCTGAAGTGTATTGCTTATGTCCAGTCTACTCTGTAATCTCGTTTTGGTTGCTGTCATTGCAGAAAACCCTGCCTCACAAGGATAAGATGTTGAGAATGGAAGCAGGCTTTTCAGTACTTTTCTGGCAATCTCAGGATGTTCTGCCTTGATTTTAATCCAGAACATAAGGAGATTTGAAGTTGTCTGAAACATATTTTTTTTTTTTGAGACAGGGTCTTGCTCTATTGTCCACACTACAGTGCAGTGGTGCAGTCTCAGCTCACTGCAACCTCCACTTCCTGGATTCAAGTGATTCTCGTGCCTCAGCCTCCCAAGTAGCTGGGACTATGGGTGTATACCACCAAACCCCACTAATTTTTGTAATTTTAGTAGAGACGGGGTTTCGCCATGTTGCTCAGGCTGGTCTTGAACCCCTGGACTCAAGCAATTCGCCTGCCTTGGCCTCCCAAAGTGCTGGGATTATAGATGTGAGCCACCAGGCCCGGCTTCAAACACACTTTTAAGGCCACCTTCATTTGCTGTCTTAAGCAGTTGACCCTATTCCAGCACGGATAAAGTCGATTCACCTGACTTATTCAAAAATGGGTCACGGATCCATTCCTTCCCAGTTCAGGGTTCTTTTGTGGTTGGGAATTAATGCTCAAACTCTTTTGAAAGCTGAGATAGGTGATCGTGCACCAGCTGGAAGTAAGAGGACCCTGTGAGCCAGGGCCTTTCAAAATCTCTGCTAATGTTTGAAACATGTCAACAAACCCAGTGTTCGCTCGTCACCCTAATACTTCTGCTTTGGCTTTGAATGCAGCCACTTTATCTGCCAACTTGAACACAATTGTTGTTCTCCCTTGAAGTGATAGATCAAGTTTGTTAAACAGGTTGAATATGTCACAAAAATAAGCAAGTTTTGTGACCCATTCTGTGTCACTGAAATGTGCTGCCCGTGGTGACTGTTTTTCTAAAAGAAATCTCTGGAGCGGCTGTTGTAACTCAAAAACTTTAGCCAGTGATCTACTTTTAGAAAGCTATCTCACTTCTGTGTATAAGAGAAGATATGTGTGATCTGTGTCCATTTCCTCACAGAGCAATGTGAACAGGTGTGAGGTAAGGGCATATACTTTAATGTGGTTGATAATTTTAATTACGTCCTGCAAAATGTCAAGTTCAGGTGACATTTTTTAGCTAGCCAGCATTACTCAATGGATGAAATAGTGCGTAGACTCACATTTGGAAACAACTCCTTTTTTTCTTTTTTTTTTTTTTAAGACAGGGTCTCACTTTATTGCACAAGCTGACTGCTGTGGCGCAGTCATGGCTCATTGTAGCCTCAACTTCCTGAGCTCAAGCAGTTCTGCCTGGGACTACAGGCACATGCCACCACACCCAGCTAATTTTTTATTATGTGTAGAGAAAGGGTATCACTGTATTGCTCAGGCTAGTCTCAAACTCCTGGACTCAGCGATCCTCCCACCTCAGCCTCCAAAAGTGCTGGGATCACAGGCATGAACCACTGCGTCTGGCCAAGGTGACCTCTTTGACCTGAATAATGAAACCAGAAAGCTGTCCAGTCATGGCAGCCACTTCGTCCATGCATATACCAACACAAAATGACCAATTCAGTTTCCCTGATATGTAATCATTCAAAGACTTGAATAGTTCTGCAGTGTGGTATTGGTTGGCAAGAAAAGTACACATAACGTATTCTCATGCACATCCTCCTGAAAAATATATTGCACAAAAACAAGCGTTGTTGCCTTGTTGTCAACATTGGTAGACTCGTCAACCTGGATTGTGCACCATGGTGACTCAACCCTCTCTAACAATTGTGCCTCAATATCCCCTGCTATTTCATTAGTTCTTCTAGTTATGGTATGAGCCTAAGGAGGAACACGCGCCACCTTTTGAATTCGAGCCTCTCCTAAAAGTTCACGACAAATGTCCTTAGCAGCAGGCAGGATTAACTCTTCACCAGTAGTAAAGGGCTTCTTAGTTTTAGCAATTTGGTTAGCCATTAAGAATGGAGCTCTCAGTGCAGACGCATTTGATGAAGTGGTGGCCTTCAATAAATTGCTTCTGTTCTTCATGTTCATGTTTTTTTCTTTTGAAAACTCCAAAGGCTTGTCTTTTAATGCAGGGTGCTTGGTCTCGATGTAACTAAGCAGTTTTGAAGGTTTTGTGGCTTTGTTGGATAGCTGGTCACCATGTACTATACACAGAGGGCTTGGAGAATGTGAATCACCTGTTGCAGTGAACCCATAATTTAAGTAGGACTCTTGGTATTTTAAATGCAGCTTTCTTTTTGTTGGCAGTCTTAGAGTCTTCTGCTGTCTCATCATTGGGTCTTTCCCCTTTTTCAAAGAAGCTCTTCAGTGATATTTGTTTTTCACTCATTTTGACTAGGGTTAGCAAAAAGACTTACCAAAACTGTGACTGAGACAAGTGTACAGTGTGAGAAAGAGGCACAGATGGAAGTCGCAAATAAAATAATGGGTTGGCAACATGGGGACTAAAATAAATGTTGGATTCTGACTTAAAGCCTGCCACTAGATGTAGCTGTACAATGGAACTACATGAACTCACTTGCCATTATAAAGCCTGCCACCAGATGCAGCTTAGTTGTCACTTGCCACTCACTACTCACTGATAGGGTTGGTGTTTTTTTTGTTGTTGTTTTGTTTTTTTTGAGACAGAGTCTCGCTCTGTTGTCCAGGCTGGAGTGCAGTGGCGGGATCTCGGCTCACTGCAACCTCCACCTCCTGGGTTCAAGTGATTCTCCTGCCTCAGCCTCTGGAGTAGCTGTGATTTTAGGTGTGTGCCACCACAGCTGGCTAAGTTTTGTATTTTTAGTAGTGACGGGGTTTCTCCTTGTTGGCCAGGCTGGGCTGATAGGGTTTTGATATGAGTCTGCAAGCAATTGATTTATTATGGTCTCTTTGCAGTCAAACCTCTCTGCTAACGTTAATCTGTATTTGCATCCGCTCCCCAGTGCTAGTATCACTGCCTCAGCTCCACCTCAGATCATCAGGCATTAGATTCTCATAAGGAGCCGTCAACCTAGATCCCTTGCATGAGCAGTTCTCAGTAGGGTTTTTGCTCCTATGAGAGTCTAATGCCACCACTGATCTGACAGAAGGCGGCGCTCAGGCAGTAGTGCAAGCAGTGGGGGACAACTGTAAATACAGATGAAGCTTTTCCAGCTTACCCATTACTCATCTCCTGCTGTGCAGCCTGGTTCCTAACAGGCCACAAACCGATACATGGTGTTTGGGGGCCCCTCCTATAGAGCAATAAGGTGCCATTTAGTATTCCAGGCCCTGAGCTTCCATTTTTCTACAAAAGTGTGAGTGACATAGATTTTTTTTGTTTTTGTTTTTTGAGATGGAGTCTTGTTCTGTCACCCAGGCTGGAGTGCAGTGGCTCGATCTCGGCTTACTGCAACCTCTGCCTCCTGGGTTCAAGCAATTCTCCTAGTTCAGCCTTCTGAGTAGCTGGGATTACAGGTGCACACCACCACACCCAGCTAAGTTTTGTAATTTTAATAGAGACGGGGCTTCACCATGTTGGCCAGGCTGGTCTTGAACTCCTGACCTCAGGTGATCCACCTGCCTTGGCCTCCCAAAGTGCTGGGATTACAGGCATGAGCCACTGTGCCCAGCTGCAACATAGGTTTTTAGTGCTTATTTTGAATTGTTTCAGTTTTTTATACTGTATATTTTTTCTGAGTATTGTGGTAATACATATTTTGCAGAAAATTTGGAAAGTAGATAAAAGTATATGAAATAAAAATTATCCATAATTCATCACTCAAAATACCTACCTCTGTATTATAATTTGGAGTGTTTTCTTCTAGTATTTTTTTATTATGTATTCATTTCTATTGTTTCCCTTTTATAAAATCGAGGTTACCGTATCATGTTCTGTTCACTTAACTCTGCATTGTGAACATTTTCCTATGTTTGTCATGATAACATGTTTAATAATTATGTAAGCCATTTCATGTATTTACTGTAATTTATTTAATCATTCACCTGTGACATTTGGGTTGCTTGTTTGCTGTACTGCCATACCTGCCTTATAAAGACTTGAAAATATTTAATGTTTCTGATATCCTGGAGAAAGTTCACATTTTGTACATGTTCTCAAGTAACATATATATATGTGACATATATATGTCACACTGGTTGAACCTTAGATCCGCCAAATACCAACTTTTAGTTCCTATTTTCTGTGGACCAAATTTTATGGGAAAATATTAAAACCTCACTAATTTGGATGACAGGGGCATCAGAAGAAGGCCAATCTGAATTTTAGAAATTATTATCATAACTAGGCTTAAGACAACTTTTCTTACTCATTACTTGTTCTTTTCTCTATGTCTTTTTACCCATCACTACCAAAATGTCATATAATATACATATTAGTTTGAAAATTAATTTTTCACAATTTCTAGATTTTCCAAACATTTTCAAACATTAGAGATGTAGTAGTTGTGAATTTTTAGGTTAGTGAGTCTGGACATATTTGAGTTTTTTTTTTTTTTTAACTATTACAGGCATACAAAAAATACAGTGCTGGCTGGGCACGGTGGCTTTGCCTGTAATCCCAACACTTTGGGAGGCTGAGGCGGGCAGATCACCTGAGGTCAGGAGTTTGAAACCAGCCTGGCCAACATGGTGAAACCCCGTCTCTACTAAAAATACAAAAATTAGCTGGGCGCTAATTTTTGGGTGGCGGGTGCCTGTAATCCCAGCTACTTGGGAGGCTGAGGCAGGAGAATCACTTGAACCCGGGAGGCAGAGGTTGCAGTGAGCCGAGATCATGCAATTGCACTCCAGCCTGGGCGACAGAGAGAGACTCTGTCTCAAAAAAAAAAAAAAAAAAAAAAAAAGGAAACTAAGCAATATCTCTGATCCCATCACTCTGCTTTTTCAAGTCTTAACATTTGGCTGCATTTGCCTAAGCCTCTTTTTTTTCTTTAAATTTTTGTTATGAAACATTTTAAACACAGAACAATTGAGAGAATAAAACAATACTCATGTATATTTAACACCTAGATTCAACAGTTAACATTTTGCCATATTTGCTTTAGTATGTGTGTATTTTTGCTGAATTATTTGACAGTAGGTATCTAAACATCATGACACTTCCCTATAGTATATCTCCTAATATATGGACATTCATATATATATATATATATATATATGTATCCATAATAGTGTTATCACACTTAAGAAAATTAATGGTAATTTTTTCAATACTGCGTAATTTCTGGTTTCCCTAGTTGCCATCAAAACACTTTAATAGCTTTAAAAAAAATTAGTCCAGGCATGGTGGCTCATGCCTGTAATTCCAGCACTTTGGGAGGCTGAAGTGGAGGATGGCTTGAGCCCAGAAATTGGATACGAGCCTGGGCAACAAAGACCCCCATCTGTACAAAAAATTTAAAAAATTAGTTGTTCATGGTGATTTGCGCTTGTAGTCTCAGCTACTTTAAAGGCTGAGGCGGGAAGATCTTTTGAGCCCAGGATTTCAAGGTTGCTGTGAGCTGTGATTGTGCCACTGTATTCCAGCCTGGGTGACAATGAAACCCTGTCTCAAAAAAAAAAAAAAATACTTAAACAAGGATCCAGTAAGGGATTGTGCACTGCATTTAGTTGTAATGTTTCTTAAATAATCTCTTTTAATACAGAGCAGTCCCTTTCCGTCCACATGCAACTTTTCCCCTACATGACATTGATTTATTTGGGAGAGTAAAGTCATTGCACAGATAAATGTACATTCTGGATTTGTGTATTTCCTTTTGATATTAGTTTAACTTCCTCCTCTATCCTCTGTATTTCCTGTGAATTGGAAGGTAAAAAGCTTGATTAGATTTAAGATAAAAATTTTTGGTGAGAAAACTTCATGGGTGATGCAGCATACAGTTGGTCCTTGAACAACACGACTTGAACTGTGTGGGTCCACTTACACATGGACTTTTTTTCCTACCAAATGCAGATAGAAAGTACAGTGGGACACCAGACAGAACTACAGGACTTGAGTATGATGGATTTTGGTACAGTCAGGGGTCCTAGAGCCAGTCTCTTGAGTATACTGAGGGATGACTGTACTTCATATTGCATTGAATCAGGAGGCACATAATGTTGTTCTGTCCCACAATGAATGATGCTAAGTTAGATCATTTGGAAAGGAGGTGACTACCAGATCTCTACAGTGAAAATATACCTTTTCTTCTGTAAATTAGTAATATGCTGGTGATACTTTGGCATGCAGGGAGTGACCTGGTCTGTGAGGACAGTGTTAGAAATTTTTCATCTACAGTTTATCTTCTTTTTTCCCCCTGAGACGGAGTCTCGCTCGATCACCCAGGCTGGAGCGCAGTGGCACAATCTCAGCTCAATGCAACCTCCTCCTCCCAGGTTCAAGCGATTCTCATGCCTCAGCCTCCAGAGTAGTTGGGATTATAGGGACCTACCACCATGCCTGGCTAATTTTTGTATTTTAGTAGAGATGGCATTTCACCATATTGGTTAGGCTGGTCTTGAACTCCTGACTTCAAGTGATCTGCCTGCCTCAGCCTCCCAAAGTGCTGGGATTACAGGTGTGAGCCACCGCGCCCAGCCCTCCAATTTTTCTTTACATTCTTCAATTGCTTAAGAATTTTTTAATGAATAAAATTTTCTTCCTAAGATAAATTTTATCAGGGAACTATCTAGTATTTCAGTACTCACAACAAATACAAATAAAAATAATAAAAGGATACCCATTCCATCTTAGATTGATAGAAATTGAAGTCGAGGGTACAGAGTATCCTTGAGTACAGCAGAGTGTTCTCAAGGATGTAGGGAGCAAAGGAGTCTACAAGCTATGGGTATATAAACTGCTTGTGGGTGTATAAACTGTTACAATATTTTTATAGGGCACTTTAGCTAGCTAGCTAGCTATCTATAATTTTTTTTTTTTTTTTTTTGAGACAGTCTTTGTCGCCCAGGCTGGAGTGCAGTGGCATGATCTTGGCTCACTGCAACCTCTACCTCCTGGATTTAAGCGATTCTCCTGCCTCAGCCCTCTAAGTAGCTGGGACTACAGGCATGCGCCACCATGGCTAGCCAATTATTTATTTATTTATTTATTTTTTTGAGAGAGAGTCTCGCTCTCTTGGCCAGGCTGCAGTGCAGTGGCACGATCTCGGCTCACTGCAACCTCCGCCTCCTGGGCTCAAGTAGTTCTCCTGCCTCAGCCTCCCAAGTAGCTGGGATTACAGGTTGTGTGCCACCATGCCCGGCTAATTTTTGTATTTTTAGTAGAGATGGGGTTTCACCATGTTGGCCAGGCTGGTCTTGAACTCCTGACCTCAGGTAATCTGCCCACCTCAGCCTCCCAGAGTGTTGGGATTACAGGCATGAGCCACTGTGCCCAGCCTAATTTTTGAATTTTTAGTAGAGATGGTTTCACCATGTCAGCCAGGCTGGGCGTGAACTCCTGACCTCAGATGATCCACCTGCCTTGGCCTCCCAAAGTGCTGGGATTACAGGCATGAGCCACTGCACCTGGCCACTTTAGCAATATTTATACAAATATTTCAGTACTCTCCCCCTAGTTTTCTGCTGCCAGGAATTTCCCCTGTGTATACTTATAAAAGTACAGCAGGATGTATATAAGGATGTCATTGCAGTGTTATTTTTAATAGCAAAAAACAAACATGAGAACAACATAAATGTCATCTAGCAGTCAAAAAGAATGACTTCATCAAACTCAGGTTATTGTTATTATCAGAATGTTTCTTACAGCATTCTGTTTTCATTTGCTGTAACTTCTTACCTCAAAGTGTCTTTTTGTTTTTCCTTTACTCATTGCATTGTGCATAAACATGGAAAAATAAAAACTAAATGAGGTGCCTCTGTCATACTTAGCCTTCTGATTCTTAGAATAAGTAGGGTTTTGACGCTGAAGCACTCAAAGTAATATTTTAATTTTCTTTGTTCACTAGTCTCTTGAGAATACAGTGTAAATAAATCATATAATGGTGAAATGACACTTTTAGTAAGAAAAATGTTGGCTGTATCCTAGTTATACTGAAACTCATGAAATAGGAATACCTGTCACCTTCAATATCTTTAGTTATCTTTAATATCTCTATTTTTTTGTCCCTTGAAACAGTTCGTTTTCCTGAAGATCTTGAAAATGACATTAGAACTTTCTTTCCTGAGTATACCCATCAACTCTTTGGGGATGAGTAAGTAACTTAGTAAAATATTTGTCAAATTAGTATGGAAAAAAAAATTTTCATTCTTTTTCTTTTAGATTTAGAAATCAAATTTTATTTTCTTCTTATTTTTAATGTGGTTTATCTTAAAATATATGTTATAATGGTGTTTTTTTACATTGAGACACCAGTTATTTTAATACCTACCATTTAGTGCTGTAAATGCATTATTTAATTCTCACAGCAGTATTAATGATGGTATTATTATTTGCTGCTTTGTGCATTGATAGAATTGGATAATTGTTCATGAACATACAAATGGCTGGAGTATAGATTTTAGGCAATCTGACTCCAGAGCCCATAATCATAACTACTACTTTTTTCTGCTACCATTTTGCTAAATTACTTCTAGTAGCATGTATTCCCCTAAAGCTGTAATAGAAAGCTTAAGTTGTTATTCTATGATCAAATAAGCAGTTGAGAGAAGTTTATTTATTTATTATTTATTTATTTATTTTTGAGATAGGGTCTCGCTGTGTCACCCAGGCTGGAGTGCAGTAGTGTGATCAAAGCTCACTGCAGCCTGAACCTCCTGGGCATAAGCAGTCCTCCCACCTGAGCCTCCGAGTAGCTGGGACTACAGGCACACACCATCATGCCTGGCTTTTTTTAAAAAATTTTTTGTAGAGATTGGGTCTCCCTATGTTGCCCAGGCTGGCCTTGAACTCCTGGCCTCAAGTGATCCTCCCACCTGCGCCTCCCAAAGAGCTGGGACTACAGGCATGAACCACTGTACCTGCCCTGAAGTTTATTTTTTAGAAGGAACTTTAAATATATGTCCCAGGCCAGGCGCAGTGGCTCATGCCTGTAATCCCAACACTTTGGGAGGCTGAGGCGGGCAGATTGCCTGAGGTCAGGAGTTCCAGACCGGCCTGGCTAATATGGTGAAACCCCGTCTCTATTAAAAATACTAAAATTAGCCAGGTGTAGTGGCACACGCCTGTAGTCCTGGCTACTCGGGAGGCTGAGGCAGGAGAATCACTTCAACCTGGGAGGCAGAGGTTGCAGTGAGCCGAGATCATGCCACTGCACTCCAGCCTGTGCGACAGAGCGAGACTGTCTCAAAAAAACAAAAACAAAATAAAGATATGTCCCAGTATATTTAGCACTGTTCTTTAATTTCCTATACTTTGATTACATCATTGAAATAGTTACTTTTTTAAAAAAAACTTTTGATTTTGAAAACATTGCACATTTGCAGAAAGTTGCAAGAATAGTACAGTGATCTCTGTATATTTTTTTACCTGGATTCACCAGTTGCCATTTAGCTACATTTGCTTTAATCATTCTCTCCTTGTTGTTGAACCATTTGAGAGTAGGTTGCAGATCTATCCTGATCCTTTACACCTCATTTCTTTTCACTATGTATTTCCTAAAAATAAGATTAATAACCATGGAAGAGTTGTAAAAATTCAGGAAATTTAACATTGATACAGAGTCTCGCGTTGTTGCCCAGGCTGGAATGCAGTGGTGCTATCTCAACTCACTGCAACCTCCACTTCCTGGGTTCAGATGATTCTTCTGCCTCAGCCTCCCAACTAGCTGAGATTACAGGCGCCCGCCACCACACCCAGCTAATTTTTGTATTTTTAGTAGAGACGGGGTTTCACCATCTTGGTCAGGTTGGTCTCAATCTCCTGACCTCAAGTGATCACCCACCTTGGCCTCCTGAAGTGCTGGGATTGCAGGCGTGAGCTACCATGCCCGGCCTGATACAGTACTATCTTCTGATATACAGCTCATGTTTCAGATTTTGTCAGTTGATTTCTAGTAATTCCTTTATAGCAATTTTCTCCAATCCTGGATCCAATACAGAATCATATTGTATTTCGTTGCCATATCTCTTCATTCTTCTTTAATCTGAAACAGATCCTCAGCATTTGTTTTTTCCTAACAGACATTTTTGTAGGGTATAGGCTAATTTTGTAGAACTGTTATATTGGATTAATTTGATTGGTTTATTTGTGATTAAACTCAGATAATGCATATTTTTGCTGTGCCATTACAGAAATGGTATTGTGTCCTCAGTGTATCACATCAGGAAGTCCGTGATGTCAGTTTGTCCCTTGTTGGTTAAGTTAACTTGGGTCACTTGGTTTAGAGGTGGCTGCTAGGTTTTTCCACTATAAAGTTAGTGTTTTTTCCTTTGTAATTTATAAGTAGTTTGTAGGGAGATACTGTGAGACCGAAAATATCCTGTTTTCCTCAAGCTTTCACCCAGAAGCATCCATTAATGATTCTTGCTTGAATCAGTATTTTACTATGATGATTGTAAAATGGTAATTTTGTAACTCTTTTGTACCTTTTTCATTTATTAGTTGGGCATGCTACTATAAGAAAGAGCTCTTCTTCTTCTTCTTATTTATTTCTTTATTTATATCAAACTCAGGGATGCTTTTTTTTGTTTTTGTTTTTTGAGACAGGGTCTTGCTCTGTCACCCAGGCTGAAGTGCAGTGGTGCGATCACAGCTCACTGCAGCCTTGAATTCCCAGGCTCAAGCAGATCTTCCCACCTCAGCCTCCTGAGGAGCTGGGACTATAGGCGTGTACCACCATACCCAGCTAATTTTTAAAAATTTTTTGGCCGGGTGCAGTGGTTTAGACCTGTAATCCCAAAACTTTGGGAGGCCGAGGCGGGAGGTTTGCCTGAGCCAGGAGTTTGCGACCAGCCTGGGCAACATGGTGAAACCACGTCTCTACTAAAATACAAAATTAGCCAGGCTTGCTGGCGTATCCTGTAGTCCCAGCTACTTGGGAAGCTGAGGCAGGAGAATTGCCTGAACCTGGGAGGCAGAGGTTGCAGTGAGCTGAGATTGCGCCACTGCACTCCAGCCTGGGCAACAGAGTGAGACTCTGTCTCAAAAAAAAAAAAAAAATTTTTTTTTAAGAGATGGGGGTCTTCCTATGTTGACCAGGCTGGTCTTGAACTCCTGGGCTCAAGTGATCCTCCAAGTGCTGGGATTACAGGCGTGAACCACCGCACCTGGCTAAGGAGTCTTTTACAATTCAGTGGGCTATGTACAATCTGTTACTGCTACTAATTTTGATGCTCAAATTATCCCAGATTTGGCAAGTGGCCACCCTTTCAGACACTTTTGAGTCTTTCTGATATGTCCTTATAATTTTGGTGATACTTTACTTTCTCACACAACAAGATGTTTCCAGATTCATCTGGTACTTTCCCTGTTAGTTCTGGAGTCAGTCAGTCTCCCATGGAACCCCTGGTTTGTTGTAGTAGGAAAGGGTATTTAGACATAGTGGACATTTAAATATTTCCCTTCATGTCTTTTTTCCCCCCATGCATTATTTTAACATCATTGACATATTTCTTTAATGTGTGGGGGTTTTGGGTTTTTTTGTTTGTTTGTTTTTTGAGACGGAGTCTTGCTCTGTTGCCCAGGCTGGAATGCAGTGGCATGATCTTCTTGGCTCATTGCATCCTCTGCCGCCTCCCAGTTCAAGCGATTCTCATGCCTCAGCCTCCCGAGTAGCTGGGACTACAGGTGTGTGCCACCACACCCAGCTAATTTTTTTTTTTTGTAATTTTAGTAGAGGCGGGGTTTTGGCATATTGGCCAGGCTGGTCCCGAACTCTGGAGCTTAGACAGTCTGCCTGCCTCAGCCTCCCAAAGTCCTAGAATTACAGGCGTGAGCCACTGTACCCAGCCATATTTAATGTGTGGCTTTTTTTGTTGTTTGCTTGTTTTTTGAGATGGAGTCTCACTCTGTTGCCCAGGCTGGAATGCAGTGGTGCAATCTTGGCTCACTGCAACCTCCGCCTCTCAGGTTCAAGCGATTCTCCTGCCTCAGCTTCTCGAGTAGGTGGGACTATAGACACGTGCTATCCCACCCAGCTAATTTTTGTATTTTTAGTAGAGACGGGGTTTCACCCTGTTGGCCAGGCTGGTCTTGAACTCCTGACCTCAGGTGATCCACCTGCCTCAGCCTCCCAAAGTGCTGGCATTACAGGCGTTAGCCACTGTGCCCAGCCTTAATGTGTGTTTTGTTTTGAGACGTAGTTTCGCTCTTGTTGCCCAGGCTGGAGTGCAATGAATGGTGCGATCTCGGCTCACTGCAAGCTGCGCCTCCTGGGTTCAAGTGATGCTCCTGCCTCAGCCTCCCGAGTCGCTGGGGTTACAGGCGCCTGCCACCATGCCCAGCTAATTTTTGTTATTTTTGGTAGAGATGGGGTTTTGCCGTGTTGGCCAGGCTGGTGTCGAACTCCTAACCTCAGATGATCCACCCACCTCGGCCTCCCGAAGTGCTGGGATTACAGGCGTGAGCCACTGCACCAGGCCCTTATTGTGTTTTTAAGTCAACAAATGTCTCTTCCTGCAACGAATTTCCTGTGAATTTTTCATTATTGATGTATCAGATTAGGCATTTTATGTGCTTTCACATATTAATAATTGTATCTTATTATACATAGATTAATGCCAAAATTTCAGCCTTTCATATTTTAAATAGGTTTTACTTTATTATAAAAATAAGAATATTTTCTCTTTGGAGTTCTATCTCTAAAGAGACATTGTTTTATTCTCTACTTTTTACTACTTTAAAAAATCTGTGTAATATCTTAGTAGATAAGATCTAGTTTTACAGATAGTGCTTCTTTTTAATTTTTTGAGACGGAGTCTTGCTCTGTTGCCCAGGCTGAAGTGCAGTGGCGCAATCTCAGCTCACTGCAGTCTCCACCTCCTGGGTTCAATCTATTCTCCTGCCTCAGCCTCTTGAGTAGCTGGGATTACAGGCACCCACCACCACACCTGCCTATTTTTTTTTTTTTTTTTTTGTAGTTTTAGTAGAAACGTGGTTTCACCATGTTGGCAGGCAGGTCTTGAACTCCTGACTTCCAGTGATCCCCCCCCGCCTCAGCATCCCAAAGTGCTGGGATTACTGGTGTGAGCCACCGTGCCCAGACCAGTTAGTGCTTCTTAATGGCATTTTGCACACTGTTTTGCGTAATATCACTGAAAGTGGGGTGCTTGTATACCACTCTTCTAAGATGGGTAGGGGACAGTAACATAATAGTGATATCCCTGAACTGTATGACCCAAGCATGATAATTGGTCTTGATCCTAGTATCATTGCCACTCCTTTCTTCTTCACATAACTTTCAGAGTTGCTGGAATGGACAGTGCTCCGTATTTTCGTAGCCTAGACAGAAATTTGGAAATGACACTGCTTCTTTCAAACACTTTTCTTTCACAATTCACTTTCTAAAAAAATCAGAATACAGCTTTATTGAGATATATACTGTGCAATTCATTTATTTAAAGTGTACAATTCAGTGGTTTTTAATGTATTCAGAGTTGTGCAAACACAGTCAATTTTGGAACATTGTCATTACTTCCATCAAAAACCCTAAAATGCATTAATAGTCACTTTACCCTGACCCCTAGTCTTAGGCAGTCACTAATTTACTTTCTGTCTCTATAGATTTACCTATTTTGGATAATTTAGAGTTCACTTTTTAGAAGACTCTTTTAAGCTGGAAAAAGGAATATTAAGGCATAAATGTGATAGCAGGGAGCAGGGGTGGAAGAATTAGCAGCAGTTCCATATCTGCCTTTTGAGTTCATAGAGCAGTTTACATGTAGTAAGGCAGGTGCTATTGCTGCAGCTCTGGATTTTGGTGATTCAGTAAGCAGTAAGTTGGAGGGACTGGTCCAAGGCTTGGTAGCTGCTTGCCTAGCCAGGTCCTAATTTAACACTACTTCTCTCATTTGAAATGCCTTCTAATACTGGTAATGGTAGCAGCAGCAGCAACAGTAGCAATAGTATTAAATGTCTGACATTTAGTGAGTACTTATACAATGTGCCAGTTTTATAAGTAGTTTACATGTATTAACTTATTTAACCCAAACAACATTCCTGACTTAGGCAACATTCCTGAGTTATTCTATTTTATAGATGAAAACTGAAGCACATTTTATTGTAGATTTTTTTTTTAAGTATAGTTTAAAATCTTGAAACTACCCATGAAGTTAAACTTGTTTATATGTAGGGTTAATACTTTTTAATGACTGCAAAAATTCATTCCATTATTGCTATTTTTTCCATTTCAGTGAAACTGCTTTTGGTTACAAGGGTCTAAAGATCCTGTTATACTATATTGCTGGTAGCCTGTCAACAATGTTCCGTGTTGAATATGCATCTAAAGTTGATGAGAACTTTGACTGTGTAGAGGTAAGAACAGAAATACTTTTTAAACTGTTTTCCAATTTAATTTATTTTAAAATAGGTTTTAGGCCAGGTGCGGTGGCTCACACCTGTAACCCCAGCAGTTTGGGGGACCAAGGGGGGCAGATCTTTTGATCTTAGGAGTTCGAGACCAGCCTGGCCAACATAGTGAGAGCCCATTTCTCAAAAAAACCACAAAAATTAGTGGGGCGTGGTGGCATGTGTCTGTAATTCCAGCTACTCAGGAGGCTGAGGTCAGAGGATGGCTTGAGCCCAGGAGGCAGAGGCTACAGTCAGCTGAGATCATGCCACTGTACTACAGCCTGGATGACAGAGCTAGACCCTGTCTCAAAAACAAAACAAACAAACAATAAACAAATAGTTTCTAAAAATTAAAGGTTTGGGCTGGGTGCAGTGGCTTGTGCCTATAATGCCAGTGCTTTTGGAGGCTGAAGTGGGAGGATCTCAAGCCCAGGAGTTGGAAACCAGCCTGGACAACATAGTGAGACCCTCAGCTACTTGGGAGGCTGAGGTGGGAGGATTACTTGAGCCCAGGAGCTTGAGGCTGCCAGTGAGCCATGATGGCACCACTGCACTCCAGCCCGGGCAACAGAACAAGACCCTGTCTCTTAAAAAAAAAAAAAAAAAAAAAAAAAAAAATTAAGGTTTGAGGGAAGAGAGAATCTGTTACATGGTAGTTTTAAAATCACATTCTCAGGCTGGGTGTGGTGGCTAACGCCTATAATCCCAGCACTTTGGGAGGCCAAGGTGGGCGGATCACCTGAGGCCAGGAGTTCAAGACCAGTCTGGCCAACATGGTGAAACCCCGTCTCTACTAAAAATACAAAAATTAGCTGGGCGTGGTGGTACACACCTGTAATCCCAGCTACTTGGGAGGCTGAGGCAGGAGAATTGCTTGAACCTGGGAGGCAGAGGTTGCAGTGAGTTGAGATCGTGCCACTGCACTGCAGCCTGGGTGACAGAGTGAAACTGTCTCAAAAAAAAATTAATTAATTAAATAAAATCATATACTCAGTCTTTAGTTATGGAGGCATTTGCCTCCCTGTCATTACAGTTAATCCTGTGATCATGATCCTGTTCTGTTTCCTGCATGGACCTTCTTCATAAAAATCTTTGCCTTTGTGATCAGAGTTTTATTTTTTTGCCAACTTTTGTTTTTTATTGTGGTTATTTCCTATAAGTCAAAGAAGATGGAGGGAAATAGCTAAATTTTCCACTTTTACCTAGTGTGGAATCTATTGAAGTTTCTCTTGCTGCATTTCTAATCCCACAAATTTTGCTAATATATTCCTTTATGGATGGAATACATGGATGATCAAGCTGATCACATTATAAAACTATTTAAAGTGAGTGTATCAAAAGGGGATAAAGGTAAAGAGAGAGATGAGGCCGGGCACAGTGGCTCATGCCTGTAATCCTATCACTTTGGGAGGCTGAGGTGGGCGGATCACCTGAGGTCAGGAGTTTGAGACCAGCCTGGCCAACATGGCAAAACCCCGTCTCTACTAAAAATACAAAAATTAGCTGGGCGCAGTGGTGCATGCCTGTAATCCCAGCTACTCGGGAGGCTAAGGCAGGAGAATTGCTTGAACCCAGGAGGTGGAGGTTGCAGTGAGCCAAGATTGCGCCATTGCACTCCAGCCTGGGTGACAAAGCAAGACTCCATCTCAAAAAAAGAGAGAGAGATGAGTATGCATCTGTGGTAGACTGAATAATGGTTCCCCCCAAAAGATATCCATGTCCTAATATCTGGAACCTGTGAATGGTGCCTCATATTGCAAAAAGCACTTCGCTGATGTAATTAAATATCTTGATATTATCCTGGAATATTTGGGTGGACCTAAATGTAATGACATGTATCCTAATGAGAGGGAGACAGAAGGAAACTTGATGACAGAAAAGGAGAAGGCAGTGTGACCACAGAGGCAGATGTGATATGGCCAGAAGCCAAAGAATGCTTACTCACTAGAAGCTGGAAGAAGAAAGGAACAGATTCCCTCCTAGAGCTTCCAGAGGGAGTGTATTACCTTGGTTACAGCCCAGTGATACTGATTTCAGAACACCTCCAGACCGTAAGAGAATAAATATTGTTTTAAGCCACCAAGTTTGTGGTAATTTATTATAGCAGCCACAGGAAACGAATACAGGTTTTCATACCAGGAAGTGGGATGCTGCTATAACCAATAACTAAAAATGTAGAAGTGTCTTTGGAAATAGGTAGAGGCTGGAAGAGTTTTGAAGGTGCATGATAGAAAAAGCATAGATTACCTTGAATGGACTGTTGGTAGAAATATGGATGTTAAAGGAAATATGGGCTGGGCGCAGTGGCTCATGCCTGTAATCCCAGCAATTTAGAAGGCCAAGGCGGGAGGATCACCTGAGGTCAGGAGTTTGAGACTAGCCTGGCCAACATGGTGAAACCCATCTCTACTAAAAATACAAAAATTAGCCGGGCGTGGTGGCAGGCACATGTAATCCCAGCAACTTGGGGGGCTGAGGCAGGAGAATCACTTGAACCTGGGAGGCAGAGGTTGCAGTGAGCCAAGATCGCGCCATTCATTGCACTCCAGCCGGGGCAACAAAAGCAAAACTCCATCTCAAAAATAAATAAATAAATAAATAAAGGAAATAATGGACTGTTGGTTAGGGCTCAGAATGAAGCTAGGAGTGTAGGAGAGAACACCTGTATCATCTTAGAGAATATATATATAGTCATAAACTTAGTTTTGGTAGAAACACGAACATGAGCTGGATGCGTTGGCTCATGCCTATAATCCCACAGCACTTTGGGAGGCCAGGGCAGGTGGATCACGAGGTCAGGAGTTTGAGTCCAGCCTGGCCAACATAGTGAAACCCCGTCTCTACTAAAAATACAAAAATTAGCCCGGCATGGTGGCGCATGCCTGTAATCCCAGCTACTCGGGAGGCTGAGGCAGGAGAATCACCGGAACCCGGTAGGCGGAGGTTGCGGTGAGCCGATATCGCGCCACTGCACTCCAGCCTGGGCAACAGAGCGAGACTCTGTCTCAAAAAAAAAGTGCCTCTGCTACTGAGGAGAATGAGGCAGGAGGATCATTTGAGGCCAGCAGGTTGAGGCTACAGTAAGGTAAGTATGATCATGCCACTGCACTCCAGCCTGGGTGACAGTGAGACCCTGTCTTTAAAAAAAAAAAAAAAAAAAAAAAGGCCAGGCTTAGTGGCTCACATTTGTAATCCTAGCACTTTGGGAGGCCAAGGTAGGTAGATCACTTGGGCTCAGGAGTTCAAGCCAGCCTGGGCAGTATGGCGAAAACCCATCTCTACACGCACACACGCACGCATGCACACACACACACGCTGACACACACACGCTGGGTGTGGTGGTGTGTGCCTGTAGTTCCAGCTACTCTGGAGCCTGAGGTGGGAGACTGGCTTAAGCACGGGAGGTGAAGGTTGCAGTGAGCCAAGATGGTGCCACTGCACTCCAGCCTGAGTGACAGAGCCAGACCTTGTCTCCAAAAAACAAACAAACAAACAAAAGAACTGCCTCTGGTTGGTGAGGGCTTAGAATAAAATGAGGAACATGTATTTGGCAACTGGAGAAAAGGATATCCTTGTTCTATAGTGGCAGAAAGCCTAGCTGAGTTATGTCCTGCAGTTCTGTGGAAAGGAGAACTTACTGTAAGCAATGAACTTGGATGTTTAGCTGAGGAGGTTTTCATGGAAAGTATTGGAGGTGTGGCCTGATTTCTGGCTGCTTATAGTAAAGTGATGAAAGAGATAAATTGAGGGAAGAACTGTTAAACAAAAAGGATACAGGACTTGATGATTTGGGAAATTCTTAACCTATCCAGATTGTAGAAGACACTAGTTAGGATATTCATTGTCAGGAAGGTGGAAAGTGTGTTCTGGAGAGAAAGCCGTGAGTGTGACAGGATAACCTTTTGCTAGTGCTGAAGGGATTAGGCACGTGACTCATGGATCTCCTCAGTTGTCTCAGCAAAAAGCTAGGAATGTAGATCTGGGGAACATTTGTGGAGGACCCTCTTGTCTAATGGTATGAACCCTCATGACGTACACAGGCGACTCAAGGGTTTTGAGAATTAAAACTTTATAGTGCAGCTTGGATTGACAGGACAAAATGAAGGAAGGCTGTATGAACTCTCCAAATTTCACAGGCAGGAAACAGGCTAATAAAACTGCTCAGCTGCCAACATGTGCTACCTTTAAAGAAAGTGGAAGAATGACTCTGAGGGCAAAGCTTTGGGTCCAGAGGGTGGAGCTGCAGGCCACAGTTATTCTTAGGCCTTGAAACCTAATGGAGTTTGCCATGCTGAATTTTGAAATTGCTTGGTGGCAGTGGCTCCTTTCTTCCTTCCATTTCCTTTTCTGGAATGAGAGATTCTATAACTGTTGTCCTATGCCTGTCCTACCATTGTCTTTTGGAAGTGATACTGTGTTTTCTAATTTCACAGGTTCATAGATGGAGAGGAATTTTGCCCTAGGATGTATCATACCCACAGTCTTACCTATGATGAGAGGTGTGACTTTTGAACTGACTATATCTAGATGAGATTTTGGGCTTGAGTTGATATGGTAATGGTTGAGACTTTTAGGAATGTTTGGATAGAATGAATGTATTTTGCATGTGGGATGGACATGAATCTTTGAGGGCCTTAAGAAAATTATATTTTAGGCTTGTTCTGTTTCCGAGCATTCCTCATTTAAGGGCATTGAAACTTCACCATTGATTTTTTTAAAGATTAAATCCCATTTTGTCACTAAATCATATTTATAAAATTGAAAGTTAATTCTTATAGCAAAATCTCTTTTCTTTGCACTTATTAATCCAGCAAGTTTTAGTAAATTATATCTGATATACTGTTGGTAATACTGTGCTAGACACAAGTATGGAAAATGAAATATATTACTTCATACTGTATGTCATAACTTTCCTCTGCAGAAGTAGCAGTTCCTAAAGAATTAACAATTAAACCAACTTTTTCAGGGCTTTAAACTGATTTTAACTGTTGACTTTACCTCTTTTGCCACCCCTATGCCCCATCTATATTTTTGGTTAAAACCTCCTCTCATTACTGGAACTGACTTACTTGGCCCTTTTTTATTATTTAAATTTTGAGGGATTTGTTATATTTAAAGGTTTTGCCCAAAGTCATACAACTAGTAAATAATCAGTATTGTACTAGGAGATGATTATTTAGTGTTATTATGCATAATATATAATAATATCCTGATTAAAAGATGTTAGGAATATTTATGACCTGTTCTAAGAGGATCCAGGCTCTTGGGCTTACTGCTTTTTCTCTCTCTCTCCCGTTATTTTTTTTTTTAATTTTAAGTTCTGGGATACATGTGCAGAACTTGCACGTTTGTTACATAGGTATCTTTCCCCTTTTGACCATGTGTTTTTCCCCCTCATTAAAAAAAATATTTTTTTAATTTTTAATTTTTTGTAGAGACGGGGTCTTGCTATAGTGCCCAGACTGGCCTCAAACTCCTGGCCTCAAGCAATCTTCCCACCTTGGCCTTCCAAAATGCTGGGATTACAGGCACAAGCCACCGTACCCAGCCTTCTCCTGTGTTTTATGCCATGTGCTCCCAGTTTACTGCTATCATTGTAAGGAGCTTCACACTAGCAAACCCCTTATGGTTAAAAATACCATATTGGTAAGCTTGATGGAATCTGATTACTTCATACTGTATGTCATAACTTTCTTTTGCAGAAGTAGCAGTTCCTAAAACATTAACAATGCCACCAACTTTTTCAGGACTTTAAACTGACATTAACTTCTGACTTTACCTCTTTTGCCAACCCTATGCCCCATCTATAAAACTAATTGTGCGTAGCATGAAAAAGATCTGAAATAGTTTCATATAATATGAATTGTGCATAGCATGAAAAAGATCTGAAGTAGTTTCATATTCATTATTCAACTTTAGTATTAGAAATATTTTGAGTTCTATTTGGTTTTTTTGTGTGTTTTTCCCCACTTCCCAGCCATGTTTGAGATGACTGAGCTTGCCAGATAAATAATATGTAACTACATTTAATATTTGTTTTATTTTATATAGTTTGTTTCCCAGGATAACTTTTGAAATTGTGCAGATACAAAAGTGATTCTGAGTAATACTGTAGTGGTTTGATGTTTGAAAAGATGTAATCTTAGATAAACTAGCATTTAACACATTTATTAAAATAGAGTTTTTTCATAATCAAATATGTAGATTGCTAAATTCTCCAGACCCAAGCCCAGCTAGATATTCTTATTAAAAATGCAGGTGATGTTTTTCCTTGTGTGTAAACCCACTGTTGGAGGGTTTTTGTTTTTTACAGTTGCAGCTGATAGCACTGAATTGATTTCTTCCAAAGGAACTATTGATTTAGTTATAGATAAATCTTTTAAATATTTCATGCAGTGAAAATAGCTGTGTATTTGCATTGACATCTAATTGTTCCATTCTTGAAAATTAGGTTTTTCCATTTAGAAATACTGTGTTAGGAATAAGGAATCAATCTTTTATAATGTCTCTTTGTAGAGTTACTTATTTGCTTTGTGGTCAAAGATCATTTATATTGCGTATTCAAACAAAGACTTTTTTCCCCTTATTAAAAACGATTGGGTAGGGGATATGTGGGTCATGGGCTTGCTTCTTCTATCTCAGTTTGCAGTGAGTGTTCATTCCATAGTGCCTTCTGTGTTGTTGATGCCAGCGATACAGTGGCAGACAAAGTCATGGAGCTTACATTCTAGCCAAGAGGAACAGTCAGTAAACAAAATAGTAAATACACAAATTAAATTCAGGCAGTATTATGAAGATACATTTTGCTCATTTCTGAATGATAAAGGAGGAACCAGCCATGTTATAATCTGAGGGTAAAGCTTACTAAGATACAAAGGCTCTAAAAATACAGCATTTTTGGCATTTTTGTAGTCCAGAAAGATTACCAGGGTTAAATCATTGTGGTGATGGAGAGAGGGGTAGGAGATGGTTGAAGGGGATGCAAAGCTAGATCATCATATAGGATCTTGTGTTCTGTGATAGGTGTTTGCAAGAAATAAGAGTAGTTGGCATTCTTTAGAGGCATTCTTAAGTAGGTGGAGGTCATAAACAATGTGATTTATATTTTTAAAATATGATTCTGGCTGCTGTGCAGAGAACACACTGTATAGGGCAAAAGTGAAAGAAGAGACCGGAACATTGCAGTGTTAGAGGTGACACTGGACTTAGTTGTCAGAGTAAGGAACATTTTGGAGGTCTGCTGTTGAATTAGATGTGACAGATGAAGAAAAAAAACGAGAACCCCATTGCCCAAGTTCAATTATGGTACTGTTAACTGGGAAAACTATAGAAGAAATAGGTTTAAGTGGAAACAATAAAAAAATTTTATTTTGGATGTTAGGTTTGAGTCTAATATATTAGGGCTTTGCAGATCATACTGCATAGATGGTCAGCAGCCATAACATCTGCTTAGAAGTTATTTCTTATTAGGATTATGTCATTACATTAATTTTTAATCATCCATTCTTTTACTTTTCCAAGCTGAATGCTCTAGTTGCACCTAAAATTCTTCAGTCACAATTAAGATGCCTATAAAATCTCTACTAGCCACCATCTTTAAAGGAAACATAATTCTGAATTTTACAATACAATAAACTTGATTATTCAGACACTGATGATTTTTTCATCTGGTTGTCCTTGACCTTTGCTTTTATTAACACCTCCTGCTCTGTGCTTGTAATGCCAGCTACTCTGTAGGCTGACTCAGGAGGATCATTTGAGGCCAGGAATTTGAGACCAGCCTTGGTAACATAATAAGACCCTGCCTATTAAAAAAAAAAAATGCTGAACGTGGTGGCTCAAACCTGTAATCCCAGCGCTTTGGGAGGCCGAGGTGGACAGGTCACTTGAGGTCAGGAGTTTGAGACTAGCCTGGCCAACATGGTGAAACCTCATCTCTACCAAAAGTGCAAAAATTAGCCAGGTGTTGTGGTGCGTGCTTGTGGTCCTAGCTACTCAGGAGGGTGAGGCAGGAGAATCACTTGAACTCGGGAAGTGGAGGTTGCAGGAAGCCGAGTTCGCGCCACTGTACTCCAGCTTGGGTGACAGAGCAAGACTCTGTCTCAAAAAACGAAAACAAAAGCTAGGCATGATGGCATGCTCCTGTAGTCCCAGCTACTTGGAAGGCTGAGACAGAAGGATCTCTTGAGCCCAGGAGGTCAAGGCTGCAGTAAGCTATGGTTACACTACTACATTCCAGCCTAGGTGACAGAGCAAGACTCTTGTCTTAAAAACAAAAACCTCCTGCCTTTTCTTGGGGGTAATTTCATTGCCTTTTAGTGAAGTAGTGGGTAACTAAGATTGTTGTCTTGCTAATTGCTAGCATTTCTGGGAAAAGTTTGGTACAGGAAGTTGAAATAGATGGATAAAGTTTGTATTAACTGTGAATTTCAGTTATTTTATCCTAGTGTCCCACTAATTGGATTGAATTTGAGAGGATATGAGAGCAGATTTTAAAAATTTTATGGAGTGTTTAGCCTCTTTCTAGGAAAATCCTACATACTTCCAGAAATTTCGAAAAAATCTTTGGTAGACTAGTAAAATTTCAAATTGTGATGGTGTTCTTGATAAGTAATACTTTTTATGAAATATCATAAAGAGCTTTAAAAGTATATATTGACAAGTTTATCTTGTTTAGTTCAAGTAGCAAAATACTAATGCAGTGTAAATAAACATAATATGACCTTTGTTTTTCCATTAGTGAAAAAGTTCACACTTTTAATTTCTCAACAATACATTCTGTAGTTAAAGCTTAAATATTATCAGAGAACATGAGATTGAGAACATTAAGTAGATACAGAATTTCTTTTGCTTGTTTTTTTTTTTTTTAGCATATTTTAGGTAGTCTTAGAATTATAGTTAAGTCTATGTACCACTTTAGCCAAGTAAAGAACAACATGTTACCACCTACTTAACGTGCCTTTAATTTCAATCTCAAAAATAACTAGACAAATTTAGACAAATGGTGCTGCTTAAGATAAGATGTTAGAGAGGTTATTGGGTTTTCAAATGTGTATAAATACAAATATAAACATTAAAAAAATAGATTACTAATTATCAGGCATATCGCTTTATTCAATAATGAGGAAATGCAAAAATTGCTCCATATGAACATGTTCATGTGTAATAAAGTACAGAACACTGGAACTTGAAATGACCATAGTTAAATAGTATACAATCTAAAAATATTTCATAATGACCCACCTACCAGAATATCTAACTAGAATACTTTTGCACTTTCCTTTTTAAAAATAAATTACCAAGCGTTAGGAAACCATTTGTAAGAGATGTCTTTGTTAATTAAATATATCAGGTTGTATTCTGGTTTCTTTTTTTGAGACGGAGTCTCACCCTGTCACCCAGGCTGGAGTGCAGTGGCGCAGTCTTGGCTCACTGCAACCTCCGCCTCCCAAGTTCAAGTGATTCTCCTGCCTCAGCCTCCCAAGTAGCTGGGATTACAGGTGCACACCACCACGCCCAGCTACTTTTGTATTTTTATTAGAGACAGGGTTTCACCATGTTGGCCAGGCTGGTCTCAAACTCCTGACTTCAGGTGATGTGCGTATTTTGGCCTCCCAAAGTGCTGGGATTATAGGTGTGAGCCACCATGCCCAGCCTGGTGTCTTTTTAAAAATTTTTTTGAAATTCTAGTTCCCTGGTGTGTCTAGTCAGCTGAATTTCTTACCCTTTCTATATTTCTGTATAATTTTAGTTGAAGTTTAGAATAATGCTCTGGAATACAGGGAATTTTTCAGTGATCTTCAGAAATAGATTCTAAACTTTTAGCCACAAACATTGGAATTAAAAAGTTTCTGTTCATTTTTAACTCTATTCAATTAACAATGATTAAATGAGGTCTTGCTCTTGTGCTGATTTTATTATCTGATCAGTAATCCAATCTGAAAGACGAATATTTTAAATTAAACTAAATTATATATTTGAGAAAAGAGTACAGATCTCTAAGACATGGTAGTCAGGATTTTTTTTTTTCTTAAAGCAGAATCCATTTAATAGAGAAATGCAGACATTTTCCCTTTAGTGAAGCGAAGTTGTAAATTCTAGGTTGAAGAACTATTTGGTTTTAAGTTGTATATTTTATGTAAGTATATCAGATACATATTTATATACATAACTATTTATAAATATATATTTATATAATTATATAAAGATTCCTTGCTTTAAAATTGCCCTTTGCCCCGTAAAAATTCTTAATGTGTAAACTTACACAAAGCAAACTATTTTATTTGAAGATATTTATTACAGGAAATAGACATCCTTTGAAGGCTGAAAGCCCTTTTTCAACTTTGTTGGGCTCAAACCTTCTGGTTGCTCTGCCCGCCACCAAAAGTGCTACTTGAAACTTAGAGTTTCTGAGAAGTCTTTGAAGTAGATTTGATACAAGATATGTAAAGTGATTTGCAATGCCTTCTTGAGAAGACAGGACATAAGGAAAGTTTTTAAAAGTTAAAATTATACATGCTATGAAAGTCTTAAAGTGATTTTTAAACTGATAGATTATAAATCCCTTTTTAAAAGTAGTTTTTCTTGGCTTTTTAAAAACCTTAACTAACATACTATACTGTTTTACTCATCACTACTTTGGATTTTAATTGCTACACAACACATCTATTACAGCTATCCCTCATTATGACAGTTTCCTTGATAGCTGTTGAAATTGTACTGATACTATAAAATATGCTTACGATGGCCTCTTCATGTTAGCAATTTCAAGGAAAAATATTTATCAAATAGTACTTTAAAAATAAGCAAAAACTGTCCTATGAAATGCAGTTTATTTGATCTAGAGTGTGAATGAGTTGCAAGGACTGATGTACATATTAGAAATAAACTGTTGGGCAAAATGCTGAAGAGCTATATTTTCAATAATAGGTCTTTTTTATACCTATAAACAAATTATATATAAATGTTGGTGGTACCAGAGCATTGAAAATAAAACTTGTTTGTGATAAACGTCATCACTGGTTCTCTATCCTGAAATGTAACTGAATCATAATAAAGTGCTATTCATCTGCAGGTGCATTGCTTCTACTTAGTTAAAAGATGGTTGAAAGGATAGGAATTAGTAGCATGTTGTATTAGCCTTTTGTAGTGTATTTTGTCCTAAGCATCTTAATTTCCCTGTTTTGAATGCTAAGTAGCAAGGGTCTTGGTTTAGAACTAATACCCATCATGCATGTAAACGGTATGAAAGAGCTGCTTAGTAAGTTAACACAAAGTGTTCTTGTGTCAGTCCTTGTGGAAATAGATACAATACAAACATTACAGCTGAACTCACGGCAAACTCCATTAAGTAAAAACCTGGCCTCATTGTTCAGGAAAAAGTTTGAATAGAATACAAGCTCATTTTGTTGAATGTAATGTCAGGCTTTTAGGGACTGTATTGAGGGATAAGGTTTTGTTAAGTTGAGACCAATTCATTAAGTTTTATTGCCTGGTGAGAAGCAGCAATACTTTATTGTAAGACTTCATCAAATATTCATGGTTAAAGAGAAGTAGTAAATGTATTCAATCAAGTGGTCTTTTGGGATTTTGAAAAGGATTATGAAGTCTGCTCAGCTGATAACATTGATAGAGGTTGTTTAACAAGGGTAATTTTAATCTCCGAGTTTAGTTTTGTTGTCCAGTCTTGTCTCTTTTTTACTGTCACAAATCCAGGTCTGTAAGAATTGTGTCACATTCTAAGGATAAAAGAATGATATATCCATTCATATAATTTATGTTATTTCCTAAATATGTATATTTTTAAGTTATCATCTTAGTTTGAGTTTGGCATATGAGGGAATTGTGACCCATCTAGTTGTGAGATTGCTATTCATTTGGTCAGACTCTAGTCTCATCTCACCACTGCTGGTGATCTTTTCATGTCTTGGATAATATGATTTCTTTGACACATATAAAATAATAAGCAACCTTTTGCCTTGGCCAGTTCAGACTGTCATGAAGGGGTATAGTCAGCTGTTTCTGCATAATGGAAATGTCCATAGCATTGCCCTTATTATTGTACTTGGTATCAGGTCACCTGCCTTCTCTTATTTACTTTTATATTATGCTCATCTCAGTTTTGTGTGATGCAGTTTGTGCACAGGAAGCTCATCCTTTTCCAATTCGCTGTGTGTTTACTTCTTTAGTTTTCAACCAAAGTTTTGTAATTTGTGTTGGTTTTGTCAGTTTTAAAGAAATAAACCATATTCAACTTAAAGTCGAATTTGTTATTAATTTTTTATATCCTTTATTCTTTAGGCAGATGATGTTGAGGGCAAAATTAGACAAATCATTCCACCTGGATTTTGCACAAACACGAATGATTTCCTTTCTTTACTGGAAAAGGAAGTTGATTTCAAGCCATTCGGAACCTTACTTCATACCTACTCAGTTCTCAGTCCAACAGGAGGAGAAAACTTTACCTTTCAGATATATAAGGTAAAGATAAATCTAAATATTTATTGAGTAAAGTTCTATTTGCCTGAAACCTGTATGTAGTTTTGTTGTCAGTGATTTATTCTAACTGCAGTAAACAAGTTTTAATCAGCATTATAAACCAAGATCTATTTTGTGTGTATGTCTGTATCTATGTTCACATCTTAATCTGAGACTTCTAAACATTTTCCCACAGGATAATTTTGTGTTCTGCGGACTTTCACTTACCTTTGTGATGAGTTTCACCTGACTTTTCCTGGCTTTTTCCCTAGGCTGACATGACATGTAGAGGCTTTCGAGAATATCATGAAAGGCTTCAGACCTTTTTGATGTGGTTTATTGAAACTGCTAGCTTTATTGACGTGGATGATGAAAGATGGCACTACTTTCTAGTGTAAGTACAGTTCTAAAGCAACAGTAGACCTTATTACCTCCACAAAGCCAGCATTTTAATTGTGGCAGCCCAATTATTGGGACAGTATAATGATATTTTTCCCAGGAAAGAAAAACTATTGTTTATGAGGCTTGAGTTTTCCTTCATTATGCTTTGGGAGACCTTGAGAATAGAGCTGAATTAAATGCTGTTGTCCGTTAGGGCCCTGAATGTAGGCTTAAACAGTAAAATGAGCTTTGCCTGTGTTTTCTTTTACTTGCCACCTATTCATCTTTATAATAGGCAAGTGCACTGAAGTGATGTAAAGAGGTCTGATTTATCCAAGTTGCTGCACACCAATTAAGTGAATTGTACATTCAGAACATAGCAGGTGTACCCATTGGGCCCTCACAGAGTAGCTTGCTGACACTGAAAATTCAGTCAGAGAATGGAAAAGAAAATGGACACTGCATGGGAGCGCGACTGTAATTGACCTGCTTGGCTTTCTGTTTTATCTGCAGATTTGAGAAGTATAATAAGGATGGAGCTACGCTCTTTGCGACCGTAGGCTACATGACAGTCTATAATTACTATGTGTACCCAGACAAAACCCGGCCACGTGTAAGGTAATTGGCAGTATAACACGTGCCTTGTCTTTTATTTCAGAAGAAGGAACTGCTGAAGTTTCCAATACTTGTTATAATAGTGTTGATTTGTTTAAAAAAAAAATCACTATTATTCATGGGCTATGTACTGATTTATTTCATTGTTCCCTTTGAAACAGTGTAGAAGATTAAACTAATTTTGAGTATCTTGATAATTTTTGGGTATCTCAAAGGTGGATTGAAAAAAAGATCACACAAACTTTAAAGTGTTTGTAATACTATAGTGATCTGCAGGTTTTAAACTGGTCATGTTATGATATTTTAATTTTAAAATAATTTCTTTACTGTAGTCAGATGCTGATTTTGACTCCATTTCAAGGTCAAGGCCATGGTGCTCAACTTCTTGAAACAGTTCATAGATACTACACTGAATTTCCTACAGTTCTTGATATTACAGGTATGTAAAATTTGATTTGTTACTGAAAGAGCCTTTCTAAAAATGTCTTCTTACTGATTGATTTTATTTTTGTCAGAAATAACTATTTTAAACAGCAACATTTTCCTAGGGTGTTTAAGCCATCTAAAGATGGCTTAAGTTTATGTTTTAGAGCATAAGCCTTTGTGGGGATTGGATTACATCCCTAACTGTGAAGTGCATAATGGAACAAATTGAAGATAATGAGCTGAATATATATGGGGAAGTCTTGGTCAGGCGTAAATACGTTGAAAGTATGGTATAACTTATTTGTTCACTTTATTTGGCAAACAGTTGCATTATTTAGAGGCAGCCTGCACTTTAATTTACATGTAGGGGCAGAATATTATAAACTTTACTGAGAAAAAAAGTCAAGGTAAATACTTCTTGAATAGAATACACATTTCCTAAAGTGTGTGTTTTGTATTCCTAAAATGCATGCCTTCACAACAGTAGTAGATAAGGTGAAATGTAGGCCTATTTGTTTTGGAAATGTCTTTCAGTATGGATTAGCCATAGAAGTAGTAGTATGAATAGAATGCTTAGGAGAAGGAAAGACGACTTACTCGACTTACTCGACTTGACTCTTCAAAAGGAGAAGGCATTATTAGATGGAGTTTCAGATAATATGTTAAAGTGTGATCCACCAAAAAACAAAGTGGCCCAAGGAATATTTATGTTATTTTCTAACTTTCAAATTTGTTGTTCATAAAATTGCTGATGAAACTGAAAGTTACCTTTTTCTTTTATTGAAAAATACTTTACCAGATAGTTACATGCAAATTGGTATTAAAATTTATTAATCTTACAAGTTTGAATTTGGATACATCTTTGTTACAAACTATACTATTTAACATGCACTAAAACATTAACATGTTAAAAAATGCTATTTGGGAATTTTGTTTAAAGACACCACCTCCCACCCACCCACCCCCACCAAAAAAAAAATGGTTGTAAGACTGGCAACCACATAAATAGGCTAGTAAGCAGATTGTTTCATCCTTCTTTATATAGACTAGTAATCCAAGGTAAATAAAATTGAAGTTGCTTCAGAACAGTGAATTGATCTGTAGAATAATAAACTGGAGGGAAAGCACGTTGTCTTTAAAAGGGAGTTTCACATTTATAGAGGTGAATTATCTTTTCATCTGACTTTCCTGCTACTGTTAAATGGGTTGGAAACTCAGGAGATAAAGTAGTAGTTACTAAACTTCGTTTATAACAAAAGTTATAAATTGTTTAAGCGACAACTTCACTAGCTTAGTGACTTATAAAATTGTAGAAACATAATACAGACTATGTCACTTCTTTTAGTTGAGCAGAAAATTGTTTAGCTTCTATTAACTTATAGAGCTTAGACTTGCTGCTACATGAAGGGACATTTTTGGTGATTTTAATGTGGAGTTCACATAAGTAGTCTTTGTCTACTCTAGTGGGTAATGTGCCAGCAGGGGTTGTTTCTCTGAAGCCTCTTAACCACTTTCTTCTGTCTACTCCAACCAATAAAGTCCTTGATACTTAGCACCAATTAGCAGATAAAGAATTTTATTTCTTAAATCTCAGTGAAGAGTCATCAATAATGGTAGCCTTTATTCATTGGTGTTATTCATTAGAAACTGAAGTCTCTAAAAAGAAAAGACTAAACATGCTAAAGGACTTCTGAATTTGACAACTGGGTATTGGCCTTTATTTTCAGCATTAACATTTCTCAGCATTTAAAAATACTAAAAATGCCTTATCAGCTGTTCTCATTAAGATATTTATTTCTCCTAGATTTCCATACCCAGTCCTTAAAAAACAAAACTGCAGATTTTTCTACTCTTCTGTCATTTAGTTGCCTGTTTCTCCATTATTGTGTGTGCTTTTTTAGCTTTGTGGTTCTTTTGCAGGCTCTGGATCTCCATTTGCAATCCAGAATATTCTTTATATTGAGATGGCCTTTTGCTTACTTGACAGATAGCCAGATCTAATAATAATTGAAACTTCCTGTAGATGGCCTAAGTTATATCTTACTTCCAATGGATGGGTGTTTGTGGTATAATTGCCACCCATTTTCATTTTTTTGCACTCAATTTTAAGGTAAAATACTGGCAGACAATTCCTTGTATACCATCTGCCTTTTGAAGATACTATTCTCTTAAGATGTACAGCATTTGAATACATCTCAGTTGTATAACTTTATAAATAGAATCAATGATCTTGTTTCCTCTGGACTTCTGAAAGGAGTTGCATTTGGCAATAGAAATCGATTCTGGGCTGGAATACATATCAGTATTATTATCTATCAGTAGTACATTAAGAGCTAATTATATTTGTCCTTTAAATGTACTTTATTGTTCTGGGATGTGCCATATAGCTTTTTAGAATATTATGTGAATTGTTTATAACTTAGGTGATTGTGCTGTTATCTCATTTCCCTTCTTTAGAATATGATTTTTTATCACTAATATGTATGTTAATATGAGAAGCTTTAAAAAAACGATTGCTAGATGATGTATTACATTTAGAAAAAACTCAGTTTTTGATCCTGCATATCATTGTAGATTTAAATTCAAGAAAATTTTATCTTTAAATATGTTGCTTATCTTTGTAGCATAGAAACAAAGGAATTGAAGGATGTCATACATTATTGGGTGTCGTTTTAAGTTCATTTCAGACTGACACTTTCAAAGGGCTTAAAGATTGAGTGGTGACTTGGTTCCTTATATTAAGCTGCAAACAAAGTATTATCAGTCATAATGGCTTATTTAAAACTGGAAATTTTTTTGCATGTTTTTTGACTTATGTGAAAATTTCAGGTAAAAATGTGGCCTGAGTAGTTTTTCTCAACTGTAACTCATTTTCCTATGATACCTATTTCCTAAACTTTTCTGAGGGTATAGAAGTTACTTAAAATTTCACTCAGCTGGTTACAGTGGCTCATGCCTGTAATCCCAGAAGTTTGGGAGGCTGAGCTGGAGGGTTGCTTGAGCTCAGGGGTTCAAGACCAGCCTGGGCAACATAGGGAGATTCCCGTCTCTATAAAAAAATTTTTTTTAATTAGCTGGATATGGTGTCACACACCTATGGTCCCAGCCAGCTACTTGGGGGACTGAGATGAGAGGATCGTTAGAGCCCAGGAGGTCAAGGCTGCAGTGAGCTGTGATTGCGCTATTGCACTCCAGCTAGGGGGACAGAGCGAGACCCTGTCTTAAAAAATACACACACACTTTGGGAGGTCGAGGCAGGTGGATCACGAGGTCAAGAGATCGAGACCATCCTGGCTAGCATGGTGAAACCCTGTCTCTACTAAAAATACAAAAAATTAGCCAGGCGTGGTGGCATGCACTTGTAGTCCCAGCTACTCGGGAGGCTGAGGCAGGAGAATCACTTGAACCTGTGAGCCGAGATCCTGCCACTGCACCCCACCCTGGTGACAGAGTGAGACTCTGTCTCAAAAAAACACACAGATTCACACACACATACACACACACAGCCATACACACATACACTAAATGTTAGTTTAAATCAGTATTAGCAATGCAGTTTCTTTTTTTTTTTTTTTTTTTTTTTTTTTTTTTTTTTTTTTTTGAGACGGAGTCTCCCTCTGTCCCCCAGGCTGGAGTGCAGTGGTGCGATCTTGGTTCACTGCAACCTCCACCTCCCGGGTTCAAGCAATTCTCCTGCCTCAGCCTCCCAAGTAGCTGGGACTACAGGTGCGTGCCACCATGCCCGGCTAATTTTTGTATTTTTAGTAGAGACGGGGTTTCACCGTATTGGCCAGGCTGGTCTCGAACTCCTAACCTTGTGACCCTCCGGCCTCGGCCTCCCCAAGTGCTGGGATTACAGGCGTGAGCCACCACCCCTGGCTGCAATGCAGTTGTTTTTCTCAACCAATTTAGAAAGAAATAGACTTGGAAAAACTGACATTGGATAAGCTTGTACCTCATCTATTAGTACTTGAAAAAATGTGGCCGGGTGCCATGGCTCACGCCTGTAATCCCAGCACTTTGGGAGGCCGAGGCGGGCAGATCACAAGGTCAGAAGATCGAGACCGTCTTGGCTAACATGGTGAAACCCTGTCTCTACTAAAAATAAAAAAATTAGCCAGGCGTGATGGTGGGCGCCCTGTAGTCCCAGCTACTTGGGACGCTGAGGCAGGAGAATGGCGTAAACCCAGAGGTGGAGCTTGAGTGAGCCAAGATCGCGCCACTGTACTCCAGCCCGGGTGACAGAGCGAGACTCCGTCTCACAAACAAACAAACAAAAAAATGTTTTACAAGAGATACTTGCTTAAGCGTTTGTCTCTAGTAGAGTTTTTAATTAAAACAACTTTATTGAGGTATAATTTCCAGACCATAAAATTCACCCATTTTAAGTGGACAGTTCAGTGGTTTTTAGTAAACCTGCCTGTTTTAGAACATTTCCATCACTGAAAAGATCCTTCGTGTCCATTTGTAGTCAGTTTCCTTCCCTACACCCGACGTCCATTGAGGTCCTTGGTCCATTTTGAATAAATTGTTGTGTATGATGTGAGGTAAGTATCTCGTTCATCTTCTTAGATGTGGATATCCAGCTGTCCTGGCACCATTTGTTGAACGGAGTGTCTTTCCTCATTGAATTGCCTTGGTACTTTTCTTGAAAATCAGTTGACCATAAATGTGAAGGTTTATTACCGGGCTCTCTAATGATCTATACTTCTACCCTTATGCCACTACCAAGCCGTCATGATTAGGTTGATATAGCTTTATATTTTTTATTTATTTATTTATTTTTAAAACGATAATGTCAAGTTTAGCCTGTCAAATATACGAGTTGAATTTGTGGAACATATTTTGCCTGTGTGCTGCAAGGTAAACAGAAGTTTCTTGAAATGCTCGATGGTGTAGGGTTAAAAATGGGTCCTAGCCCTGGCCAGGCAGGTGGGAATGGGACAAAGAAGGGTAGAGATGGAGGCTTCAGAGTGGACTGGCTGGGCTTGGGCCATGACCCTCAAGGACACAGGAGTACAGGGTCCCAAAGGGCAGCCCCTTTCTGAGTGAGCACCCAAGCAACACACATAGGGGCTGCATGTTGCAAACTCATCAGTGCTCAACCCCTGGCACAACCACCCCCTACTGTGTAATGTACCTGACAAAACCCTACTTTCTAAGGCACTCCTCCCAGGCCCCCGACCAGAATCCTGAACTCTTAAAGATAGTTTTTAAGAAAACATTTAAACGGTTACATATGAAATGCTATCTGCATCTTTCCAGGGTTTTTCTTTTGTTTTTTTTTTTTGTTTGTTTGTTTTTGTTGTTTTTTTTTTTGTTTTTTGGTGAGGTAGGGGTAGTGTTTGAGACAGGGTGTTGCTCTGTCACCCAGGCTGGAGTGCAGTGGAGTGATAGCTTATTGCGCCTTGAACTCCTGGGGTTAAGCAAAACTCCTGCCTCAGACTCCCAAGTAGCTGGAACTACAGGCACATGCCACCATACTTGGCTAATTTTTAAAGTATTTTCTGTAGAGATGGGGTCTCACTATGTTGCCCAGGCTGGTCTTGAACTCCAGGGCTCCAGCTGTCCTCCTGCCTTGGCCTCCCAAAGCAAGGGATCACAGGTGTGAGCAGCTGCACCTGGCCTGGCACACACAAAGTTATAGCAGGTGCCCTGCCCCAACCCCCACAGGCAGCAAGCTGTGGGGTCTCCTAGCTGTAAAGGGCTGCTGCAGTGGCGACAGCACAGAGTGGGCAAGGCACAGCAGAGGTTTTGGCAGCATGGCCCAGTTCCTGGTATCTGCTCCTATATAGTCCATGCTTACTTCTTCAGGGAGAGTGACTGCATTCACTTTCCTGACAAACATGAATCATCTTTTGCTTTCCTCTCTTTCTTCCTCTTGGCTTTCTCCTGCTATTTCCAGATAATCACCTGCTCTGTCTCCCCAGCTAAATGCAATTTCATGTAATGCTCTTTTGCTTTCTCTTCTCAATGTCTTCTTTTCTTGAAATCTCCTTTGGCCTGCCCAGATTCAGTTGTGTGACCTTTCTGGTTATCTATGGCATCCAATTGGGGTTCTTCATGTCAATGAGCTGTTCTGTGCCTTTGTACTTTTGTTGGCAGTCAGTCATCTTCATTCTCAGGCAATCTCTTGCCTGATGCTAGAGATTTCTTCTTTTTTGGGGTCACTTGCAGCCTCCATTCTCCACTCTCTTCTTGTGTCTTCTCTGGCCTTCTGCTTTTCAACTTGGAGCTGTGCGTTGATCTGCTTGGGGAATATTGTACTGCCTTGCTTAGCCTTTGTGGCCTCCCTTTCTCCTTCCTTTAGGCACAGAGGCTCTGGCAAAGCAGCACCTCAACCACATATGAGTCTTGAAATCAGAAGTGAAAGTCCTCCAATTTTGTTCTTTTTCAAAATTATTTTGTTTATAATGTCCCTTGTATTTCCATAAAAATTTTAGCATAAGCTCACCAATTTCTGCAAAAAAAAAAAAAAAAAGTCTCTTGGGTCTTGATAGGGATTGAGGGATTACATTGAATCTGTCATTAATTTGAAGAAAATTCCCATCTTAACAATTCAGAATCCTCTAATCCAGGAGTCTCAAAATCCCGGGCTACGGACTGGTACTGGTCCAGAGCCTATTAGGACTGGGTCACACAGCAGGAGGTAAATGATGGGTGAACAAGCATTACTGCCTGAGCTCTACCTCCTGTCGGATCAGTGGTGGCATTAGATTCTCATAGGAGCACAAACCCTATTGTGAACTGCACATGTGAAGGATGTAGGTCGAATCTAACTAACGCCTGATGACTGATCTGAGGTAGAACAGTTTCATCTGGAAACCATCCCTTGTCTGTTCCCCTCATCCCCAGGGAAATATTGCCTCCCACAAAATCCCTGGTGCTAGATATTTTTGGCACTTCTGGTACCAAAAAGGTTGGGGATCACTGCTCTAATCCATTAATATGAAATGTCTTGGGCCAGGCTTGGTGGCTTGCACCTGTAATCCCAGCACATTGGGAGGCCACAGCAGGTGGATCGCTTGAGCCCAGGAGTTCGAGAGCAGCCTAGGCAATGTGATGAAATCCCATCTCTACAAAAATACAAAATTTAGCCAGGCATGGTGGCAAGCACCCGTGGGCCCAGCTACTCAGGAGGCTGAGGTGGGAGGATCACTGGAGCCCAGGAGGTTGAGGCTGCCGTGAGCCAAGATCGTACACTGCACTGCAGCCTGGGTGAGTGAGACCCTGTCTCAAAAAAAAAAAAAAAAAAAGAAAAAAAGAAAAAGAAAAAAAAAAAAAGAAATATCTCCATTTAGTTAGATCTTTTAAAACTTTTCTCAACAATGTTGTTTTCAGTATACAAGTTTTGCACTACTTTTGTTAACTTCATTTGTAAATATTTTTGATGCTGTTGGAAATGGGATTATTTTCTTAATTTCTTAATTTTGTTTTTGGATCATTGATTGTTTTAGTATGTAGAAATACAGTTGGGTTTTATATATTGATCTTCTATCCTGCACTCTTACTGAACTTGTTTATTAGTTGCAGTAGTTTTTTGGTTAGAATTTTCCACATACAGGATCACATTGTCTGTAAATAAAGACATTTTTACCTCTTCCTTTGCAGTCAGATGCATTTTCTTTCTTTTTCTTACCCGATTGCTTAGCTGAGAACTCCAATATAATGGTGACTGGCAATGGTGAAAGCAGACATCTATGCCTTGCTCCCAGTTTTAGAGGGAAAGCATTTGGTCTTTCACCATTGTGGATGATGTTAGCTATAGCTTTCATATGTGTTAATTATGAAATTGAGGCAGTTCCCTTCTATTTCTAGATAGTTGATTATTGAGCGTTTTTATCATGAATTGATGTTGGATTTTGTCAAACGCTTTGTTCTGCATGTATTGAATTTTTCTCATTTATTTTGTTAACATGGTATATTACATTAATTGATTTTTTTTGGATGTTAAACCAACTTTGCATTTCTGATATAAATCCCATTTAGTTCTGGTATGTAATTCATTTTATATATTGCCAGATTTGGTTTGCTAATATTTGTTGAGGACATTTGTATCTACATTCATGAGGGATATTGATTTGTAGTTTTTGTCTTAGATCCTTAGTGTCAGCATAACTCTGGCCTCATAGAATGAGTTGGAAAGTGTTTCCTCTATTTTCTTTCTTTTTTTTTTTTTTTTAATGGAGATGGAGTCTCACTCTGTTGCCCAGGCAGGAGTGCAGTGGTACCACCTTGGCTCACTGCAACCTCTGCCTCCCAGGTTCAAGCGATTCTTCTGCCTCAGCCTCCCAAGTAGCTGGGACTACAGGCCTGCGCCACCACTCATGGCTAATTTTTATATTTTTAGTAGAGATGGAGTTTCACCATGTTGGCCAGGCTGGTCTCAAACTCCTGACCTCAGGTGATCCGCCCGCCTCAGCCTTCCAAAGTGCTGGGATTACAGGTGTGAGCCACTGTGCCTGGCCTGTTTCCTCTATTTTCTAGAATAGTTTGTGAAGGATCATCGTTATGTCTTCTTCAGGTTGTTTCATGGAATTTACCAGTAAAGCCATCTGGTTGTAGACTTGTCTTTGTGGGAAGATTTTTAGTTGGTAATTAAATGTCTCTGTTATAGTCAGTTCACATAGTCATTTACTTTTTGAGTCATTTTGGTAATTTCTTTCTAAAAGCTGTCTGTTTCATCTAAATTGTCTCATTTGTTGGCATAAAGTTCATGGCATATTCCCTTTTAATTCTTGTGATTTTTGTAAAGTTGGTAGGAATATCCCTTCTTTCATGCCTGATTTTGGTAAATGTTGTTTTCTCTCTTTTTTTTCAGTCATTCTAACTAAAAGTTTGTCAATTCATCGATCATTTCAAAGAACCAACTTTGTGTTTATGTGAACTTGTCTATTTTTGTTTTCTTTTTCATTGATTTCTACTCTATTATTATTATTGCTTCTTATTACTTTGGGTTTAATTTGCCCTTCCTTATCTAGTTAAGAGTGACTCTTAGGTTATATTGATTTGATGTCTTTTTTCTTTTCTTCTTTTAGACAGAGTCTCGCTCTGTCACCCAGGCTGGAGTGCAGTGGTAGAACCTCCACCTCCCAGGCTCAAGCGATTCTCAGGCCTCAGCCTCCTGAGCAGCCTAGCATATATGTTGAGATTGCAAAAGATGAAGAAATTATATTGAGTATCAGGGAAATGTTAATATTATTCTGCTTTATTTATTTAGCGGAAGATCCATCCAAAAGCTATGTGAAATTACGAGACTTTGTGCTTGTGAAGCTTTGTCAAGATTTGCCCTGTTTTTCCCGGGAAAAATTAATGCAAGGATTCAATGAAGATATGGTGATAGAGGCACAACAGAAGTTCAAAATAAATAAGGTATTTTTATTCTGTAGGAGGAAAACAGATTTAAATTACAAACAAATTTTTGAAGTGTATACCTTAACTAAAATATTATAAAGACATTAAGAATACATGTGTGGGAACTAGCAATGGTTAACAGTACAGCTTTGAAGCCAAATTGCCTGAGTTCAAATCTAGCTCCAACACTTGCTCTGTGATTTATGGCAATTTAATTTACCTCGTGCCTCAGTTTCCTCATTAATAAAATGGGAAGATAATAGGTGTTATTGCTATATTAAGCATAACAAGCAGAGGAAAGATGGATAATAGGATCTTATTTTTACTCTTTAAAGTAGTTGTACCCCTGGAGACATTATTGGTGGGAAGAATGGTTGAAGTAAAACACGTATTTCATTTTATATACTTTTATATATTTATTTAAATTTTAAAGTGGTAAATGTCTTAAGATAGGTACAGAAAAAATAAATATGGAAGTTCAGAGAAGAAAGTTTATTACATTTATGTAAGCAAGGAAATCAGTGGTTATTTCATAGAAAGGATGGCATTTGATATAAACCTTGAAGAATGAGTAGGATTTGGATTATGAAAGTATGTGAGATGGGCTGGGAGTGGTGGCTCACGCCTGTAATCCCAGCACTTTGGGAGGCCGAGGCGGACAGATCATGAGGTCAGGACATTGACACCATCCTGGCTAACATGGTGAAACCCCACCTCTACTAAAAATACAAAAAAGCTGGTCATGGTGGCATGCGCCTGTAGTCCCAGCTACTCGGTAGGCTGAGGCAGGAGAATTGCTTGAACCTGGGGAGGCGGAGGTTGCAGTGAGCTGAGATGGTGCCACTGCACTCCAGCCTGGGCGACCGAGCGAGACTCCATCTCAAAAAAAAAAGAAATTTGTGTAGGCCGGGCGAGGTGGCTCACGCCTGTAATCCCAGCACTTTGGGTGGATCACGAGGTCAGGAGTTCGAGACCAGCCTGTCCAATATGGTGAAACCATGTCTCTACTACAAATACGAAAATTAGCTGGGCGTGGTGGCGCGTGCCTGTAATCCCAGCTACTCAGGAGGCTGAGGCAGAAGAATCGCTTAAACCTGGGAGGCGGAGGTTGCAGTGAGCCGAGATCATGCCACTACACTCCAGCCTGGGCAACAGAGAGAGACTTCATCTTAAAAAAAAAAAAAAGAAAAGAAATTTGTTTAATAGCTCAGCTTTTAAAAGAACAGGCATATGAATATATATATATATATATATATATATATATATATTTTTTTTTTTTTTTTTTTTTTAATGGTGCTTTCTTAAAAAAAGAATTCAAACTCCCTACCTAGAGCACAAAGAGCCCATGATAATCTGGACCCTGCCTACCTTGCTAGCTTCAGCCTGTTAGTACTTTGCCACATGCTCTGGCTACTTTGCCACATGCTCTGGCTTTACTCATCTTCTAGCCATTTCCCAACTCTGCCACATCCTTCTTCCTTCTGTATTCCTTTACATATTCTGTTCTCTTTACCTGAAATACTCCCTTTTCCTAATTGCCTGGCCAGATAGTACTCATTTTTTCAGGTTCAACTCAGGTTCCCTTCCAGGAAGTCAGAAAATATTACCTTCCCAACCTATCCATACCCCAACTCCCTGCCCAAATAAATACATAAGTGAAACAACATCAACAGAAAAACTGTGGTTCTCCTTTGGCTTCAGTGCTACCAAAAACTTCCTGATTCTTCTGATATTTCCTTGATACCATTTGTCTTTTTTTTTCCTTTTCCTTTTTTTTTTTTTTTGAGACAGGGTCTCTTGCTCTGTCACCTGAGGTGGAGTACAGTGGTGTAATCACGGCTACGGCTCACTGCAGCCTCAACCTCCTGGGCTCAAATGACTCTCCCACCTCAGCCTCCCAAGTAGCTGGGACTGCAGGGGTACGCCACCACACCTGGCTAATTTTTGTAGAGACAGGGTTCCTACAGGCTGTTCTCAAACTGCTAGGCTCAAGCGATCTGCCCACCTTGGCCTCCCAAAGTGCTGGAACTACAGGCATGAGCCACCATGTCCAGCCCTGTCTGCTTTTTAACTGTCACTGTACTAGCAGGTTTCTGACCTTTCTCCTTTTATCACTGTATATGCTTTCCTCAGGTGACCTTAACCAGCCTTATGGTTTTAACTCTTACCTATATACTGACATTGCTTAAATCCTTGCCCTTAGACTAGAATTTTCTTCAGATTTTCTATTTTCTGCTGCCTCCCAAATCTCTCCTAGGCTGTGAAAACTCACATTTTCACATCCTTCTCTCAGTTTTTCCTCTCATATGTTTCTAGAGTCCTTGACCCCTTGGTCTTCTTGTGCTGTTCCAGTTCATGCCCTCATCGTTTTTTATGTGATGTAATAACTCAGCTTCTTGATTGGTCTCTATGCACTTCTTTTTGCTACCATTTCTTTGTAGCTGAAAGAGTGACTTATTTAAAACTCAAAATTTGTGCATATTGCTTACATTCCTATTTAAAATCTGTCATGAAGGCTGGGGCAGTGGCTTACGCCAGTAACTCTAATACTTTGGGAGGTTGAGGCAGGAGGATTGCTTGAAGCTGGGAGTTGAAGATCAGCCTGGGCAACAAAGTGAGATCCCATTTCTACAAAAAAAAAAAAAAAAAAAAATAGCCGAGTGTGGTGCATATGCCTATGGTCCCAGCTGCTCAGGAGGCTGAGGTGGGAGGATGGCTTGAGTCTAGGAGGTTGAGGCTGCAGTGAACTATGATCGTGCCACATTAAATTATCCATACCATAATCATTTGTGTTACCCACTAGACTGCTTGAGGGCAACTACTTTTATTGCCTTTCCTCTGGTTTCTAGCACAATTCCTTGCTCATGGCAGATATTAAATATATCCTGTGTTCTTTTGGGAAAGTGTCATTATTTTTACTTTGAAAATGTTCGCATTTTCTTTTGTTTCATTCTAGCAACACGCTAGAAGGGTTTATGAAATTCTTCGACTACTGGTAACTGACATGAGTGATGCCGAACAATACAGAAGCTACAGACTGGATATTAAAAGAAGACTAATTAGCCCATATAAGGTAGGACTTTCAAGAATCTTAAACACTGTATTCTTTTCACTGTTTAAAACAGAAGAAAAGCTACCAAATATCAGTATATGAGAGAGTCCAAGTCATTTTGTAAAATTAACTTTTACAAAAGTAGAAATATTCTTCCAGTAATTTATAAAAATTCTCACTCATGGCCGGGCGTGGTGGCCCACACCTGTAATCCCAGCACTCAGGGAGGCCAAGGCGGGTGGATCACCTCAGGTCAGAAGTTCAAGACCAGCCTGGCCAACGTGGTGAAACCCTGTCTCTACTAAAAATACAAACATTAGCTAGGCTTGGTGGTGGGCGCCTGTAATACAGTGACTTGGGAGGCTGAAGCAGGAGAATCGCTTGAATCCAGGAGGTGGAGGTTGCTGTGAGCCAAGATTGCACCATTGCACTCCAGCCTGGGTGACAAGAGCAAAACTCCATCTGAAAAGAAAAGAAAAGAAAAGAAAAAAAACCCGGGTGCAGTGGCTCACGCCTGTAATCCCAGCACTGTGGGAGGCCGAGGTAGGTGGATCACTTGAGGTCAGGAGTTCAAGACCACCCTGGCCAACATGGCGAAACCCCATCTCTACTAAAAATACAAAAATTAGCTGGGCATGATAACACGTGCCTGTAATCCCAGCTGTTTGAGAGGCTGAGGCACGAGAATCACTTGAACCCAAGAGGTGGAGGTTGCAGTGAGCTGAGATTGTGCCACTGCACTTCAGCCTGGGTGACAGAATGAAATTGTGTCTCAGAACAAACAAACAAACTTATCCCAAGGATAGTCTACCATGGTTAGCTTTTCTTTCATTTGTATGCATCTTTAAAAAATCTGAATGCCTAGTCTCTTCCCTAACAAATTATGTTGTTTTTCCCAAGTTTCTTGTCTTCTCAGTTGTTATATATATATATTCTCTTTTTTCTCTCTTCCCAGATAAAAGCAAAGTTATACATATATATTCTCTTTGCTTTTGCTTTCTTCTTCCTAAAAATAGCCTTTATTGCTATTTATTAATATAATCTTTGTACTTTACCATAGCCGAAACCATGTTAGTACTATTATATTTTTAAACATTCTTCTTGCCCTTTTTTCCCACTTCGTCGTCATCTTCCATATTTTCCCTCCTAGATCAAATTGGCCTTATCATTTGGACATTGTCAGGATGGATATTGTTTATGCCACCTTATGTGAATGAAAATTTGCTATCTAGGCAAGGCGTGGTGGCTCATGCCTGTAATCCCAGCACTTTGGGAGGCCGAGGTGGGCAGGTCACCAGAGCTCAGGAGTTCAAGACCAGCCTGGCCAACATGGCAAAACCTCGCCTCTACTAAAAATACAAAAATTAGTTGGGTGTGGTGGTGGGTACCTGTAATCCCAGCTACTTGGGAGGCTGAGGCAAGGGCATCACTTGAACTCGGGAGGCAGAGGTTGCAGTGAGCTGAGATCATACCACTGCAATCCAGGCTGGGCAATGGAGCAAGACTCCATCTCAAAAAAAAAAAAAAAATTTAAAAAAAAAAAAAGGCCAGGTGCGGTGGTTCACGTCTATAATCCCAGCAATTTGGGAGGCTGAGGCGGGCAGATCATCTGAGGTCAGGAGTTCGAGACCAGCCTGGCCAACATGGTGAAACCCTGTGTCTACTAAAAATACACAAATTAGCCAGGCATGGTGGGAGGTGCCTGTAATCCCAGCTTCTCCGGAGGCTGAGGCAGGAGAATTGCTTGAACCTGGGAGGCAGAGGTTGCAGTGAGCCAAGATTGCGCCATTGTACTCCAGCCTGGGTGACGAGCAAAATTCCATCTCAAAAAAGAAGAAAATTTGTCATCTAGTTGCAGCTGAGTAGTGGGATGATTGGCAGAATATTTAATTTATTCAACATATAATTATTGAGTACAGTTGCTCAATGATAAAATGTTGTTGCTGCATTTATATATACTATACCTATAGGGTTATACATCACAATAGCTGGGAACATAAGTGACCAAGTTGATTCTACATTACAATTTGAGAAAGTAAATTAACTAACTGTATCAGGTACACATAGTTTTGGTTTTCCTTTGTAAATTTAAAGAAAATTTAAGTTTTATTTGCCATGGATTCTGCTTTATAGAGCCAGTCTTGAATGCTGATGGTTCATTGGCTGACACTACTTGCTGAATCCCAACTTTTCCTTCATAGCATCTTTTTACTTTGCAGTGCAACTGTATTTCCTAATTTGTCATTGTAATTCTGTTCACATTCTGAATATAAAATTATTATTTGCCTATGACTAAATCATTTTATCTTGAATTCATACACAGATGTATGAATAGTTCCTCATAGTGTCATTTCATTGCAGTTTAATAGTTTTTCTATTTTACAGACCATCATCTGCATATAGCAGGTTTGTAATAAATTATAATGGTCTCCTCAAAAGTTATCCAAAGTAGCATTTTATTATTTGATGTTATCAATTCAGAAACATCAGAAAATGGGTAAAAATGGTATTTTCCAAAGGTTTTGACCTTTAAGTAATATTTGTTAGCTAGAAAATGTCTTAATGATGAAATTTGGGCACAGAGAGCAGTATAGATGGCAACATTTAAGAGTTATTAAGATTTTACTAAAGTAAAATAATTTATTGAATTATATATTTTAGATATTAATGTGACTTTTATATAAAATATAACAAATGAAAGATGGAAATTCTGAGTACAAATAGTAGTCACACAGCTAATGCCAAATAATGGGAACCTCTGTAGTTCATAAGTGCAAGTATTTTCTACTCTTAAAGAATGATAATTCTTTTTTATATTATTATTAAGTACCTTTACCTGTCCAGCCAGTTCACCAGTCTAAAAGGCCAGAACTGGGCCGGGTGTGGTGGCTCATGGCTGTAATCCCAGCAGTTTGGGAGGCCAAGGTGGGTGGATCACTTGGGCCCAGGAGTTCTAGAACAGTATATCCGAAACATGAAAGCTTCATATTTGCAATAATGCCACCCAACCAGGAATCCTGGAGTTATTCTTCATTCTTCCTTCCTCATATCACCCAGTATTTTCTCCCCTAAATCTGCCCTGTCCTCTCCATCTCTGCTGCTGCTGACTTGATCTAGGCTTTCATCAACTCTGGCTTGAACTACTGCAGTAGCTGCCCAGTCCTCCAGTCCCATCCTAAACATCTCTGACACAGTGTCCTGCATAAAAGTTGTTATCAGCTACCTGTTGCAAACTCCTTAGCATAGCGGTATCCTAAGTCAAACCAGGAGGGTTTAGTATGATAATGTATGTCTGGAACTTAATAAAGACTCAAATGCTATTTAATATATTTTTAAAGTATAGCAGTTTTCCATTTGTCTTTCTGAAACATTTCTAACAGTTTATGTTAAAATTAGCATGTGGCCCGTAAGTACTTCACTGGGTGGAATTTAAAATGTAATTAATTAATGACTGAATAGTAAAATGAAGAATAATAGCACTTAATCTCAGTTGTCTTTCTTCAGCTAATGTCTTCTATCTATTAAGCAAATATTTGAGTGTCTATACTGCCCAGAGTTCTTTAAAGTTTTGGAGGGGGCTGCTAGTCACATGTCTGTATTTACCATCATTGGACACAAATACCAGGTCTTCTTGTTAACTCTTTTTAGAGGGTTTGCAATTCATGGTTAACATTATGTTTAAGCTTCCTTAAAAAACAAAACAAAACAAAAAAAAAACATTGTGGGACAAGTTTGGGCGTATTCATACTATTCTTATTTTTAACATTGGAGACTTAAAATTGTAAGACTATAAGGAAATATATTTACTTTCTTCGTCTAACAAATAATTGTTTGTCACTTAGAAAAAGCAGAGAGATCTTGCTAAGATGAGAAAATGTCTCAGACCAGAAGAACTGACAAACCAGATGAACCAAATAGAAATAAGCATGCAACATGAACAGCTGGAAGAGAGTTTTCAGGAACTAGTGGAAGATTACCGGCGTGTTATTGAACGACTTGCTCAAGAGTAAAGATTATACTGCTCTGTACAGGAAGCTTGCAAATTTTCTGTACAATGTGCTGTGAAAAATCTGATGACTTTAATTTTAAAATCTTGTGACATTTTGCTTATACTAAAAGTTATCTATCTTTAGTTGAATATTTTCTTTTGGAGAGATTGTATATTTTAAAATACTGTTTAGAGTTTATGAGCATATATTGCATTTAAAGAAAGATAAAGCTTCTGAAATACTACTGCAATTGCTTCCCTTCTTAAACAGTATAATAAATGCTTAGTTGTGATATGTTAATGTGTGATGATATGATTCTTAAATACTTACAATAAACCTCATTCTTAAATACTTATCATTCCTTCCACACTTTGCTTCTAAGATTTTACATCTGACACCTTTAAAACATTTCTTTAAGGTTATCCTGGTAATTTTATTTTTTCAATATGATTTTTCTTTCTTTTTTAACTTTTAGATTCAGGGGTACATGTGGAGGTTTGTTACATAGGTAAACTAGTGTCTTGGGGGTTTCTTGTACAGATTATTTCAACACCCAGATACTAGGCCTAGTATCCAATAGTTAATTTTTCTGCTATTCTCCCAACCTCCACCTTCAAGTAGGCCCCAGTATCTGTTGTTCCCTTCTTTGTGTCCATGTGTTCTCATCATTTACTCCCACTTGTTAAGTAAGAACATACAGTATTTGGTTTTCTGTGCCTGTGTTAGTTTGCTAAGGACAATGGCTTCCAGCTCCATCCATGTCCTGGCAAAATACATGATCTTGTTCTTTTTTATGACTGCATAGTATTCTGTGGTGTGTATATACCACATTTTCTTTATCCAGTCTGTCACTGATGGACATTTAGGTTGATTCCATGTCTTTGCTATTGTGAATAGTGCTGCAGTGAATGTTTGCATGCGTGTGTCTTTATGGTAGAATGATTGATATTCCTCTGAGTATATACCTAGTAATGGAATTGCTGGGTCAAATGGTAGTTCTGTTTTTAGCTCTTTGAGGAATTGCCACACTGCTTTCCACAGTGGTTGGACTAATTTATACTTCCACCAACGGTTTATAAGTGTTCCCTTTTCTCCACTACCTTGCCGGCATCTGTTATTTTTTGACTTTAATAACAGCCATTCTGACTGGTGTAAGATGGTACCTCATTGTGGTTTTGATTTACATTTCTCTAATGATCAGTGGTATTGGGCTTTTACTCATATGCTTATTGGCTACACGTATGTCTTCTTTGAAAAGTGTCTGTTCACGTCTCTTTTTAATGGGGTTGTTTGGTTTTTTCCTTGTAGTTTAAGTTCTTACTGATTTTTCATAATAGGAAATGTTCTTAGTATAGGTTTTATTTTGTTTTAAATAAAATCCTATTAACTCTATTAACTGTTTGGGAAGGCAGGTACGAGGGAAATCAAACTAGATACAGCCTAAAAGCCAAAATTTTGGCATCAAATATTATTTGAAGATAACTTAGAAGTTAGCATAAACATTCTATAAATAAAAATAGAAGATAGAAATCAGTGTATAAAATACAATTTACACACCATTATTAAAATATATCTTGTGTAAAGTGAGACGCCCATCTGTTCGGATTTGCTGTAAGGTTACCAAGGTATTGAAATACAGCAAGAAAAAATAATGACAAACTGCTTAATATAGTCTTGTTTTTAATGAAGTAGAGTATAAATAGATTGCTGGAAACAGAATCATTCAAAGTAAAAGTTTGAGATGTTTATAATGTATGCTAGTAAACAAGGTATTATATAACAAAAACAGGATGTAAGTTGAAATTTACTTTTAAAAATCTGATTTGATGGATGCTTGGGGCAGAATCCCAAGTTGGACAGGCATTATCTCGTCCTTTGATCAATTTCCATCCGTAAAATCTGTCAGAGAAGTAACTGGTAGCCTCTGGACACAAAATAGCTGTGGCCAGCAGCATACCAACAGCACTACTGTTCCCTTAAAATGAGGGAGCTATAAAAGTTTCAAACCATCTCATCTCAGAAGCCTGTATATAGATAAAACTTGTTGACTTCTGAGAGATTATATCTGTGTACATAATTTGCTACAGATAAAATGAACTAGTTCAGTTAAAATCCTTTCTGAAATGATATGAAAGCAATTTGTCTTTCATCTAAATTGGCTAATTTTTAATTTTTTTATTGACAGTTCACAGCTGATACTTAAAGATGAGCTCTGAAGAAAGCATCAATACCATCTAAACCAATTATCTTTCAAGATTTTTTTTTTGTATAAAAACCAGAAAGAAAATGTGATGCTGATTTTCCTATTGTTTGTTTGTTTTGAGACGAAGTCTCTGCTGCCTAGGTTGGAATGCAGCTCACTGCAACCTCTGCCTCCCGAGTTCAAGTAATTCTCCTGCCTCAGCCTCCCAAGTAGCTGGGATTACAGCCCTGAGCCACCATGCCCAGCTAATTTTTGTATTTTTAGTAGAGACAGAGTTTCACCATGTTGGCCAGGCTGGTCTTGAACTTCTGACCTCAAATGATCTGCCCTCGGCCTCCCAAAGTGCTGGGATTACAGGCGTTGAGCCACTGTGCCCGGCCTCTTACTTTTTCCCTGTCCTCTATAAATTGCGTTTTCTCTACATATATTTCCTTCTGAGCATCAGGTTTTTCATCTGTGAAACTGAGGTTGTACTAGAATGATCTCTAGGCTCACTCCCTCCCTGTTCTAGGTTCTGTGTTTGTCGTTTTCATATCCTTTCTCCTTACCCTTATACTTTTATACTCAGATGTGGGTGTAGATGTGGTATATGTCTAAAATAAAACACTTTTCTAAGTCACACAAGGATATTCATAGTTTATACGTGACATAGTTTGTGTGAGAAGGGAGGGAAAAAGGACTGTGTCCCTGATTGTCTCCAAATTGCTGGGGCCCCAGTTTGTTGTACCAGAGCCTTGTCTAGGCTGAAAATCTATCAGACCTTCTGATTAACTGCCATCTTTACCTACTAGAGAAGAGCTGGCAGCAAAGCTACTAAGGCCATATTTGATAACAAGATTAGAATCATACACCTGAGAGGTCAACTGATTTAATTCCTTAAATTCTTAAGTTCTTTTTCTTAGAATTTAAAAGCCAGTTTAACTATTAAATACTGATTTAATAAAGTACTCAATACTTCCAAATAAAATTATTTTTGCATTTGTATATCTCTGTGTATATACTTGGAACATAGTAGTATATCTTTGTGCATGTATATATTTGTATCTGTGAAATCATTTCCTGGGAAATGTAGTTAACTGAGTTAAAGGATAAGAATATGTCTATGGCTCTATTACATAAACATGCCATATTTTGCAGAATCGTTAAAATACTACCCGATGTGAATGTATATACCAATTTTAACAGAATTTCAATGACGTGGGATGTTGTTTCCATAGATAAAATATCTTATTTACATTTATTTTACTGGGAAGGTTGAATTGTGTGTGCGTGTGTAAAATCTTTTCCTTGATATGAATTACCTGTTTTTTTAAAAAATGTATGTTTTGCAGTCTACACTGTCAATTTATAAATGGACAGTAAATCCAGAGGCCACACTACAAGTAACTGGCAAAGCCAGGAATATACACTAGGCTCCTGACTTCTACTCCATCTCATCTTCCATCAAGTAGGCCAGCCAAGTAAGCATGCCAGCCCACTAGGCTGTTCTAAGAGGGACTTTTAGAGGAGCAAGTATTAAGAAAAGTATTCTCGGCCATGCACGGTGGCTAATGCCTGTAATCCCAACACTTTAGGAGGCCAAGGTGGGGGACTGCTTGAGGCCAGTAGTTCAAGACCAGCCTGGGCAACATGGCAAGCCCCCGTCTACAAAAAAATTTAAAAATTAGGCTTGGTGGCCAACATAGCGAAACCCCGTCTCTACTAAAAATAAAAATAATTAGCTGGGCATGGTGGCAGGCGCCTATAATCCCAACTACTTGGGAAGCTGAGGGAGGAGAATCGCTTGAACCTGGGAGGCAGAGGTTGCAGTGAGCCGAGATTGCACCAGTGCACTCCAGCCCAGGGAACAGTGTGAGACTCCATCTCAAAACAAAACGAAAAGAAAAATTAGGCTTGGTAGTGCACACCTGTGGTGGTGCAAGCCAGGCTACTTGGGAGGCTGAGGCGGGAGGATCGCTTGAGTTTAGGAGTTCAAGGTTGCAGTTAGCTATGTTCACACCACCGTACTCCAGCCTGGGTGACAAAGCCAGACCCTGTCCTCTAAAAAAAAAAAAAAGAAAAAAAAAAAGCTGGACTTGGTGTCACATGCCTGTAGTCCCAGCTACTTAGGAGGCTGAGGCAGGAGGATAGCTTGAGCCCAGGAGTTCAAGACTAGCCTAAGCAACGTAGAGAGACCCCCATCTCTAAAAATAAGAAAAAAGTAAAAAAAACACAAAAAACCTTAAGAGTCTGTTTGATAGCAATGACTGAAATTATCAATGCCTCTTGAAATATGGCCTGAAGTTACTCTTCCTCTCAACATTTAATCTTCAACTTTTCTGTGTTCCCATATGCCTTTACATTTCTATTATAAATATTTCATTCTTGTTTTATGAGGTGTGGTGGAATTATACAGTGCATTTAGTTTACTCACTGAGTTGGGCAGAGCTGTGTTTACGTATATGTGATATTTCAATAGGAAGTATGCACACGGAAATAAAAAGCAACAGGGCATGCAGTGAAAATTTCCTCACTGCATTCCTCCAGAAACAACCAGTTATCAATATCTTGTGTATCTTTCAGAGATACATGCAAAAGGGAGCATGTATGTATATATATTTTTTATATACCATATGTATATGTGATGACCTACCACGTTTTCTAACTGCTTTTTTACTTTTGGGGATTATTTGAGCTATCTTGTTTAATGGCAGCATGGTATTCCATTGTGTGGATATATCATACATTACTCTACCAGTAACATATTTATGTTGTTTCCAATATTTTCCTTTACAAACAATGCTGCAATGCCTATTGTATATGTGCTATGCATACATATACAAGTATACCAATAGATGAAAGTCCTAGAAGTCATGGACATTAGTCTAACCTCACTCTTACAGTGACTCTACTACCTTTACAACAGTTAAAATTATCACCATAAACTAAGGTTGTGGGAACTTTATAATGTCCCAATTTGAATAAACTCTATGCAAACAGGAGCATATTGGACTTATCCAACCATCTCTTTCATGGCTAGAAATTTGAATTACCTTTTTTTTTGTTGTTAGAGACAGGGTCTCACTCTGTCATCCAGGCTGGAGTGCAGTGGCATGATCTCGGCTCATTGCATCCTCAGCCCCTCCAAGTAGCTGGGACCACAGGCAAGTGCCACCAGACCTGGCTAATTTTTATATATTTTTGTTGTTGTTGGTAGAGACAGGGTTTCACCATGTTGCCCAGGCTGGTCTCAAACTCCTGAGCTCAAGCGATCCACCCACCTCAGCCTCCCAAAATGGGATTACAGGCGTGAGCCACTGTGCCTGGCCTTATCTTAAATGCACAATGATTTGAATGGTTAGGCATATGCACCTTTCTGTTTATTCCTTTAGTCTTGCTTAGCTCTTCTCAAACCTTTGCATCCTTAAGAATCACTGTATTTCCGGGTGTCTCAGCTTCAGTCCTACTGACATTTTGGGCCAGATAATTTTTTCTTGTGTGGGGCCGACCTATATATTGTGGGATGTTTAACAGCATCCCTGGCTTCTACCCACTAAGATGCCAGTAGTGCCACCCCCACCACTAGTTGTGACAACCAAATATGTCTCTAGATATGTCCTGTGGGGAGCAAAATCATCCTTCATTGAGAATCATTGTTCTATGGGATTGAATATCCATCTACTTTAAGCACTATTTTTTTAAAATTATGTAACATATACTTAGTAAAAAAAAAATCAATGCAGTCATGGGCTTTCTAAGTAAAAATTAAAAATTTAAAATCTATGAAAGTATTTGATGAGAAATAAACTGCCCTCCCACACCGCCACCCAATTCACTTCTTTACAATTACTTTTACCAGTTTCTCTTTTATCCCCCAGATTTATCAGTCTACAAATGTCCATTTCTATTACAAACACAAATATTGATATACTACATGCAGTACTCTGAGTATCTTTTCCAGTTAATGCATATCTCTACCAGTACATGTTACTTCAGTTCTAAACACCTTAATTCTAAACAACTGTATAATATTCCATAGCTCGATGTCAATGTTTGACCCAATACTGTATTAAAGGACATTTAGGTTGCTTCCTATCTTCTACTACAAGCAATGCTGCAGCAAATAGCCTTTTGTATACACCATTTTGTATATTTGGGAGTGTGTATGTAGGATAAGTAGTGATTGAATCGCTGAGTGAAAAGGTATGGACATTGTACATTTTGGTAGATTTTGCACATATTTGAGACAGAAGGAAATTTTTTTTTTTTTTTTTGAGACGGAGTCTTGCTCTGTCGCCCAGGCTGGAGTACAGTTGCACGATCTCGGCTCACTGCAAGCTCCGCCTCCTGGGTTCACGCCATTCTCCTGCCTCAGCCTCCCGAGTAGCTGGGACTACAGGTGCCCGCCACCATGCCCGGCTAATTTTTTGTATTTTTAGTAGAGACGGGGTTTCACCATGTTAGCCAGGATGGTCTCGATCTCCTGACTTCGTGATCCACCTGCCTTGGCCTCCCAAAGTGCTGGGATTACAGGCGTGAGCCACAGTGCCTGGCCAACGAAGGAAAATTTGAATATGGACACAATTGGTAAGGAATTTTGTTAATTTTCATAGTCGTGATAATGGTACTGTTATTATGTAGGACAATGTCTTTATTCCTGAGAGTCACATGCCTTAGCATTTAGGAGCAAAGAGTCATGACATTTGTAGCTTACATTCAAATGGTCCAGAAAAATATGTTTGTGTATTGGGGCATGTATGTGTGTGTGTGTGTGTGTGTGTGTGTGTGTATAAAGCAAATGTGACAAAGTTTGTAAAAGTGTTGAATATAGGTGGAATTAAATACAGGTGTTCTCAGTATGGTTCTTTCAGCCTGTATGACTGATTGATTGATTGACTGGCAAGGTCCTGGTCTGTCACCCAGGCTGGATTGCAGAGGTGCAATCTTGGCTCACTGCAACCTCCACCTCCTGGGCTCAAACAATCCTCCCACCTCAGCCTCCCAAATACCTGGGACCATAGGTGCACACTACAATGCCCAGCTAATTTTATATATACATATTTTTTGGGGGGTGGCAGAGGTATAAATGGAGTTTCGCCATGTTGCCTAGGCTAGTCTCGAACTCCTGGGTTCAAGCGATCAGCCTGCCTCGGCCTCCCAAAGTACTGGAATTACAGGTGTCAGCCATTCTGCCCGACCTGCTCTATCTTTTTAAGTGTTTAAAATAAAAACTGGGTAAGAAAAGACATATCATATATGAAAGAACAGTATGAAAAAGGAAAAAATCAGCGAGTAGGAAAGAGCTCTGAGAAATTAAAAATGATTGCTCTAACTCAAGCGGCAGAAAGACTGAGCTATAAAGTTGAGGGAATTTCCCAGAACATCAAAAAGAGAGACCGAAGATATGAGAAAAAAAGATAAAACAGAGGATCAGTGTGGGAAATTCAATAACCAATAATTTTCGTTTCGGAGAGGAAGAGCAAACAGAACATAACCAAAGGAAGAGGATAATGCCTCAAAGTTGAAGAAATGAATCTTCAGACTATAAGAGCTCCCTGAAGTTTGAGCAGCGTTACTAACATTTACTGAGCACTTTCTATTGTTGGCTAAGCACTTGCATGAGTTATCTCAATTCTCATTAACAACCCTCTGAGGTACTTGGTATCCTCAAGTGAGGCCTAGGAAGGTTATCTTCACCAAGGTCACACAGCTAGTAAGTGGCAGAGCTGGAAATTTGGCCCATGCAATATGACTCACTTAGATTCTCAACCACTGTACCGCTACCACTTACCTAAAAAGATCGACTCACAGGCCAAATTATTAAGTTACTTACCTAAAAAGATCGACTCACAGGCCAAATTATTAAGTTCAGAATCCACAGCATAAAATTAAGATCCTGAATGCTTTCACAGGGGAAAACACAGACAACCTGGGAGAGGAAGGGGGATTCAGCATTAGAGTTTATCAGCCATACTGCATGTTGAAAGATAATGGAACAATATCTTCAAAGCTCTGATGCTGAATTGTTTTGTTTGTTTGTTTGTTTTTGACATGGAGTCTTGCTCTGTCACCCAGGCTGGAGTACAGTGGCGCAATCTCAGCTCACTACAACCTCCGCCTCCTCGGGTACAAGCGGTTCTCCTGTCTCAGCCTCCTGAGTAGCTGGGACTACAAGCGCACGCCACCATGCCTGGCTAATTTTTGTATTTTCAGTGGAGATAGGATTTTGCCATGTTGGCCAGGCTGGTCTTGAACTCCTGACCTCAGGTGATCCGCCCGCCTCAGCCTCCCAAAGTGCTGGGATTACAGGCATAAGCCACTGCACCCGACCTATTGCTTTTCATTGTAAACCTTTTTATAATTGTATGGTTATTTTTTCACTATATATGTCTTTGATATAAAAATCTGTTTAATATTACTACAGGTATATTGTTCTGCCACTGAAGCTCCATATTACTGTCAAATAAAATAAAACTGTAAATCCAGGAAATTTTTTAAATAAAAGTTTACCTAAAGCAACCAAGTGGCACCCTTAACAAATGAAATCGTGCTCTGCCTGACTTCGACCAGGCAGAATTCACCAAAAGATACTGAAGAGCTTTCTTTGGAAAAAAAAAAAAAAAGCAATACTCAATTCTTTTCTTAGGAAACTGATTATCAAAGGAATCATAATTTACCATGTACTTACCTGGTAAAAGACGAATCTGGAAAAAATTTGTTATCAAAGCAAATTGTCTCCATCTTTGATACACTGGTTTTATGAGTCAGTAGACACTGGATGTACAACCAAAGCTCTGAAAAACATACTTCATAATTTTTTGGGCATCCCATTAACCCAGTGGAGAAATATAATGCAATAAAAGTATAATATCATCATTTATGAATATCTGCTGAGCTCTTGTGTGTAAGAAGCTGCAAGGAGTGCTGTACTAATGTAAAAAAAATGTTTTTAAAAACCTCCAGTGTTAAAATATATACAGGCTTGAAATGGAATAAATCTTCTATAACCTCCCTGGGTCTCACTGTCTTTATGTTAAAATTAGAAGGGGTAGGGTTAGAGTTGTATTAGGTGATCTTGAAGCCATTTCTAGTTCTTCAACCATATTCTCGCTCCTCCATCTTAATAAAAGACTAGTTGGAAAATGTGCTTTAGACTCTCAGTTCACCTGGACAGCTCGTTACATGTTTAATTAATAATTTTGGCAGGTGAATCTGTGCGGAAGTCTTGGGCTGGATGTGTGTGTTTGCCCGGCTCTCTGAATCCCCTTTTGTGAAGGCCGTGGTGCTACCACAGAGAGGCTTGTTTGCTGTCTGGTCCTAGAGCAGCTGCTGCTTTCTTCCTTTATCCTTTATCAAGCAAAAGAAAATGCAGTGATGTTTGTGTGTGCTTCAGATGAGGAGAATGCACTCCACACAGGTTATTCTCTGGGTTAAAGTGGATGGGGTGAGCACAGAGGAGCTCAGTTCAATGGGAAGAGAGGTCGTGGCAGCATCTGCCCTCTTGTTTGTTTCAACGGTTTCAGTCTTGAGTATAGAATGTGTTCAGTGAGAGGCAAGCAGAAGAAGTTAAAAAATGCACTACTGCTTAGTTTCTCAGCCATTTTGGGGAGTGGAGGTGGAGAGTGGGAGGGGAGAAAGGGACATACAGCTAGTTTTCTCTTTCTATTATTAAATCTCTTCTTATTTCATGATCTCCACTTCAGAGATTCTTATTGCAGTCTCTTTTGTGTAACTGCTAACTGACTAAGGAACACTATTTCATACTTATATGCAGGAAGTGGCAAAATTACAAACATTTTCAACCTCTGATATTAATGATCAAACTGCTTTCCACAGGCACTGGCCTCACACAGTCCTACAGGACCAAATATTTTAAACCAAAACCACTAAGAACGTAACAGCAAACATAGAACCATAAATATAGCAAAAGAGTAAACAAAGATGGAAAAATATGGGAAGATAACCAATATCATCACTTCATGAGGGAAAGGGAAAAAAGCCACAAGAAAATAAGTAATTTTACAAGAGAGAGAAAAATAAAAGAAAGAAGAGAAACAGATGCAGAGTGAAGGCAAAAGGAAGAGAGAGAATGCACAGTAGACTGCAATAAAGACATGAATAATATTGTGTGTTCCCATGCTTTTGCATGTGACTTGCCTAGTCTGCTGTCTTTTATTCTATATACCTGTGTGACTGGTCGTGATAAAAATGGGTATCTTCCCTTTGAAAGTCCAGCAAATAGTGCCGGGCACAGTGGCTCATGCCTATAATCCCAGCACTTTGGAAGGCTAAGGTGGCAGGATCACTTGAGCCCAGGAGTTTGAGACTAGCCTAGGCAACATAGTGAGACCCAGTCTCTACAAAATATAGAAAAATTAGCCATGTGTAGTGGTGTGTGCCTGTAGTTCCAGCTACTCAGAAGGCTGAGGCAGGAGGATCACTTGACCCCAGGAGGTTGAGACTGCAGTAAGCCATGATTGTGCCACCACACTCCAGTGTGGGTGACAGATAAGACCCTGTCTCAAAAAATAAAAAAAAAGGCCAGCAAATGAGTATAGGCATAGAAAAAAAGTCCAGATGAATGAATATACATCAATTTGTTAACAGTAATTACCTGAATGTGAGGGACTTCTATTTTCTATATTACACATTTCTCTCTTTTTTTTTTTTTTGGAATGTTTTTCAAAGAGCACATATTTGAAGGAAGGAGATTAAATAGGTATAATTTCCTGGGAACTTAGATAATTAGAGTTCACCATTTTCCTCAGTTCCTGGCAGCCAGGGATGGCTACAATCTGTGACCCCTGGCATTGCTCCATGGGGCTTATAGTCAAGAGGGTACAATTTGGTCTTGTTTTATGGACAATCTTGTGAGCATGTTAGTCTCTTCCAATTTGTTTCTTAAGAACAAATTGGAAAGCTGAGACTAATTCAAGGCCAGGGAAGCCTTGTCCCTCAAGCCTGCACAGTTCGTTTCCAATTTGTTTCTTGAGAATAAAGACAGTATCATATCTCCTTGGAGCTTAGAGTAGCACTTACATATTTATTGATTGGTTGATTGCTAGATTCGCTTGGGAATTTGTTGCCTTTTCCCCCTATTCTGAATGGAATCTTCATTCTCTGGAAGTGTATAAGCAGGAACTACCTTTCCAGGCATTGGCAGTTTGGGAATGGATGGCAGCCTCTTATGGTTCACACTTTCATTTAGATTCCATGAGGCAATTGCACACTTCTGCTTTAACCCAACACTCAGAGTCAGTCCCAAGACATCAGGTCAGGGAAGCCTTGTCCCTCAAGCCTGCACAGTTCCCAAGCCAACTCTGACCGAAGCAGGCAGTATTATCAGAAAGCTTTAATGCACCAGTGAAAAGGGTCTGGGACCATCTCCATGCTCTTCCCTATAGCCGTCCCTTCCCTTCCCTCGCTCCCTCAGCTCCTGCCACGATTCTAGATGGGCTACTGCTCCAACAATGGATATGTTACTATGTTGGAGTGTTACTGCTGTTTTTACATCTCCTATAACATCTTTTAAGCCAAAGCGTTGGACAAACTTGAAACGAATGCTAGCCAGACTGGGCCTGATATCAACAACTTCCTTGGGGCAATGTTTTGGTCTTACCCTACAGTTAAGTTAGCCCTGTCTGGTCCCATTCTACTCCCCTTCCCTTGACAGACTGCTCAGGAGGTTGCAGCATGCTATTTGCTGAGCCCATTTGGATTATGCCTATAAATGGCTCTAGATCCCTGAAATCCTCAGAATTTCAGTATGGAAGAGGCTCAGGTAGGGCAATCCCATTAGGAAGGGGTGGGGCTTAAAGTATCATTTGCATAGGAATTATATGACTGGGAAAATGTCATTAGACTAATAAAAAATGAGAGTGGCAGGAGGATCACATGCAACTAACATCCTCCTTCTCTTGTCCTGGCTCCCTCTTGGCACTGCTAAAGATCAAGGAACAGGGCACAAACAGCAAAGATAAATCCACTTGATTTTCCACAACTGTCTCACATATGGCATTACTTTTCCTCGCAAAACATGGAATATTTACACATTTTCTCTAACAGTACCTTTAGATTACTCAGTAACATATTCATGATTGTCTCAAATGATTGGTATAGGAAACATGACATTCTGCCAGCAAGTTAGTTGAGAGTGCCCTAGAAACTGTCTGCCTGAACCTATAATCATTCAAACATAGACGCTAACTTTAGAGGGGCCCAATCAGCTACTAAGACAGATCTTTGTTGTACATGCGGCTTATGTTTATGCAGAACTCCTAGTTCCTGAAAAGAATGTTCATTTGACTTAAAATATGTAAACAAGTAGCATACCAACATATTAAAATTAGAGAAACTAGAGGCCAAGATCGGAGATTCTTCTCCAACCACAGAGTTGCTAAGAAATGATCGTGAAATCAAATCAAAAGGCTAACTTTACGGATTCAGATGGCAAAACAAAGAGGCAGGGTCAGGAAGGGAGAATGAGGCCCCTGGGTCTAGATGACAACTGCGCTGAAGCTGTGTGGTCCCGGGGTACCAGTTTCCCCCAGCAGCCACATTATATCAGTTAATCTTACAACGTATTCACATAAAACAGCTTTTTATTAGAGATATGTAAGCACCTTGGCCCCTATTTCATGGTTTGTGCTCTTTCTTTTCTTTCCTTCCTTCCTTCTTTCTTTCCTTCCTTCTTTCCTTCCCTTCCTTCCTTCTTTCCTTCTTTCCTTCTTTCCTTCCTTCCTTCCTTGCTTCCTTCCTTCCTTCCTCCCTCCCTCCCTCTCTCTCTCTTTCTTTCTTTCTTTTGACAGAGTCTCCCTCTGTCGCTCAGGATGGACTGCAGTGACACCATCCTGGCCCACTGCAACCTCCGCCTCCAGGGTTTAAGCTATTCTCCTTGCCTCAGTCTCCCGAATAGCTAGGATTACAAGTGCCCGCCCCATACCCGGCTAATTTTTGCATCTTTTAGTAGAGATGGGGTTTCGCCATGTTGGCCAGGCTGATCTTGAACTCCTGACCTCAGGTGATCTGCCCGCCTCGGCCTCTCAAAATGCTGGGATTACAGGCATAAGCCACCACACCCAGCCTGTGTTTTCAAATATCTTATAGTAATCCTAATATATATATATATAAATCTAAACTTGTGAGACAAATTACAAGATGATGTTATTTACTATAAGACAAACATTTTTAAAAAATTATTTACTTCATGTCACATAATCCCTTAGAGCATTTAAAAATGCAAATATTCAATTAAAAATTCAATACATACATTACAGAACCTGCATAATTTAACTTTTATTACAAACTACAAATTTAGACACACTCATGGTATAAGTCTATAATATTAAGTTCAAGAAGGAGGAAGGAAAAATGGGTTTTTCAAAAATATGCATATTGGAATTTATTTGATTTATATCTTTTATAAATAAAAAGATTTTAAAAGATGTGAATAAGACATGATCTTTTGAAAATCAAGGTAAAGACCTATAAAATAATAATCACAATCAAAATATTTTAACATTCAAGAATGAATTTTTGGACATAAACTGAAGGTATTAAGTTATCCTTTATTTCTTGAACCCTGGTTTTCAAAAGTTATTCAACTTTTTTTTTTTGAGACAGAGTCTTGCTCTGTTGCCCAGGCTACAGTGCAGTGGCACAATCACAGCTCACTGCAGCCTCAAACTCCGGGGCTCAAGCGCTCCTCCTGCCTCAGCCTCCCAAGTAGCTGGGACTATATGCATGTGCCACCACATCTAGCTAGTTTGTAAATTTTTTGTAGACACGGGGTCTCACTATGTTGCCCAGCTGGGTCTCCAACTCCTGGGCTCAAGCAATCCTCCTGCCTTGGCTTCCCAAAGTGTTGGAATTACAGGTGTGAGCCACTGCACCCGGCCGAATTATTCAATTTTTTATTCAAGAATCCTAAGTACAAAATCTGACTAATGGTAAGAATTCAAATCAGTGAAGTGCCATAATATAATTAACCTTCATTTCACAGATAGGAGCACGGACAGAAATGGAGTAGAGAAGTGACTCAGTAGCGGTTACTCATCTAAATAAAAGCACTCTAATGCTCAAGATCACAGAATGTTAAAATTGCAAGGGATCCTAGATATCAGTGATCTAGCCCTTTATCTTGTTGGTCACTATGTATATATCCCTTTTTTTTTTTTTTTTGAGAGAATCTTCCTCTGTGGCACAGGCTGGAGTGCAGTGGCAGGATCTCGGCTCACTGTAAACTCTGCCTCCCAGGTTCAAGTGATTCTCCCGCCTTAGCCTCTGAGTAGCTGGGATTGCAGGCATGCACCACCATGCCTGGCTAATTTTTGTATTTTTAGTAGAGACAGGTTTCACCATGTTGCCCAAGCTGGTCTCGAATTCCTGACCTCAAGTGATCTGCCTGCGTTCGCCTCCCAAAGTGCTGGGATTACAGGCATGAGCCACCACACCCAGCTTATATCCCATAAGTTGATGGTTTTGGCGGACATGTGCTGGCAGCTTTTAACCCTTCTGCGGTGAGAAGGATGTGTATGAGAGAAGCCAGATCCAGGGTCAGTGGATGAGCTATCACCTGTGCAAGTTCATATTTGCTTCATTTCTAGCTCATCCCAGATATCTACATTCCATGCCGAACTTATTGAGGATTTCCTCACTGGATTCCACTACTGCTGGTGCCACCTGGGTCCTCATAGTGTTTCCTTTTCCTTTTAGTTGTAGGGGAATAAAGCATTCATTTATTTTCCAAGGGTTGGCTGAGTTAAGTCACATGAACATGTGTTCTATTTCAGATGGGTTTGAAACTAGGCTTGATGCCTTAAGGAATAGGGATGTCTAGATTTCTTTTTTCTGTACACTGCTTAAGACTCTGTGGCCAGCTAACTCTCAGGCTCCTTTGCTGCACTCAGATTGCTGGCCTCAGTTACACAGAGGACAGATTTGCCACATTCAAAAATGCTCTCCCTGGAATTGAAATGAGTTTGCAAAAGGTAGGAGTACATTTTATTCTCATTCTTGTGCATCTTATTTACCCTGATGGAAAGCATTACTTCTCTTTATCTTTCAAGGTGACCCAAAAGCATCCAAAACCAGGTTTTCCAGAATTATAGCATGTGTCCTCTAATGAAATGCCAACATTCACTCTCTTTAAAAGTAAAAATATCAAGATTATATAGTCATTAAAAAGAATAAGTCTGAACTAAGTGTTCTAAGATTTGATGCCTATGATGACTGGAATGGAAAAAGCAAGTCATATGATTCTATTTAAAATACTTACATTTGCCTGTGTGTAAAAGGCAAAGATCTCAATTGAGCACACGGTGGTTAACTGGGGAGTGGGACTATGGTATGTACAGAGGGCGAGGAAGGGGCTTGCACTTGTTCCTTATTTCTGAATTGTTCTGAATTGTCTAGATTATTCACTGAGTGTGTAGTGCTTAAAAATTAATTAGAAGACATCACACACATTCACTGAGAATCCTAATCAATCTTCACTGCATTTAAAGTCTGGAAACGGTTACATTCTCAGTTTGACTGGTTTCATGCAGTGTTCAATTGCTTCACCTGACATTCCTCGGGTATCGGGTTCTGTGCCGGGCACGGAGGCTACTAAGATGAATAACACCTGGTCCATGACAGGATGGCATCTACCCCAGAACACAGGTAAGAGAGACAGTGAATTTGGTAAAAATGGGCACCGTCATCAGTAGGCATACATCAGCTCCCTCATCTGATTCACAATTGGCCTTCTGTAGGCTTCTTCTCTTGGCAATGCAATTGGCAGGCGTCATCCTTTTATACTTAAACTCCAAATTTAGGATTAAGACTCCAGTTAATACTGCCAAGCAGAAGGCGTCCTTGGAGAAAGAGAAGTCTCCTGAACATACCCACTGGGGTACCTAGAATAGATTTTGCAGCGACACACAGATCCTGTGTTGTCTGGAGTCTCTGCTGAGTAATGTAGATTCTGGGACAGCAAAAGGGGAGCTGGTGACTTTGAACCAAATTTTACCTTTCAACTGAATCCAGGGGAATAATTTGCAACAGAGTGGCAGACGATACAAAGTGCTATGTTGAACACTAGATTGTGCTTTATTTTTTCCGCCCAACTTCACGTTTCCATGCACCAAAATGTTGATGCTATAAATATTGGATGCCACGCTTACCTGACAGGCTTCTTCCATCCCACCTGGGCGCGGGGGCTCAGAGCGAGCGCGCGAGCCGCGGCTGGAGCCCGCCTCTCGCGGCTGGAGAGGACTCAGCCGGCCGCGGGTTCTGCTGCTTGCCCGGGTGCCCTAGCCGCTTCCCAGCCAGGGCTCCCGCAGTCAGCCCCGCGCGCGCACGCGCGCTCCCCTCGGGCGGCCTCGACGCCTCAGGGCTTCGGCAGGGCTGCGACTGGCCGGCTCCAGCGGGCGGGGCGGCGAGCGAGTGCTCGCGGCCACGTGACCGACGCCAACATGGCGGCGCCCAGTGGCGTCCACCTGCTCGTCCGCAGAGGTAAGCGCGTGGAGGAGAGCCCCGTGAGGGTTCGCACGGTTGCTCACTAGGTACGCACCCGGGTCCAAAGGGATGCGCACCCGCGCTCAGACTTCTCGGCGCACACGACTGTACTTTCAGTGTTTACGAACACACGCAGGCACACACGATGACACATTCACACACCACAGGATCACACATACAAATTTGTTCACTGATCACCCGCCTAGAACACGTCACCACGTGGCATCTTTTCGCAATTACTCCTTGAGATTTGCGGGCCATTGTCTGAAGTTTTTTTCCCCAACTTCGGTTGTATCATTAGTGTAACCAACATTTATTCTGTATGCCGAGCAAGGAAACCTATGGTAATTCTGAAATGCATCTGGACACCCGGTTCCCTTCCCTAGAGCTTTTATGCAGGCATGCTTTTTGGGGACTTGCAAAATGTGATGGTTTTCTTCCAGTGACTTAAAGTTAAGAAGATAAGAAAGGATGTCTGGGTAGTTCTAAGTAGGTTTTATCCTGCGTGAGTGTTGAGATTTTAGTAAATATACAAATGCCTTTGCAGCAGAATTGGGGAAATCTTTGTTGGATTTGAACTAGGTGCTGAATCTTTGTTGGAAAGAACTAGAAAGTTTTTCCAAGGACGGGGGAAGAGGAAAACTATCATATTTTGAGGAGCTACTTAAGCGTCAGGCATGTAGGAACAGTTTTGTGAGGTAAATATTATTTTCATAGTAACAGCTACTGTTTATTAAGTGCCTTTTAAGTACACGATACTGTGTTAAGCGCCTTACATATGCTTGCTTCCTTTTAAAACTCAATGAATGAGACCCCGTCTCTACAAAAAATTTTAAAAATTAGTCGGGCGTGGTGACACATGCCTGTAGTCTCAGCTATTCTGGGGGTTGAGGTGGTAGGATCGCTTGAGCCTGGGAGGTCAAGAGGCTGCAGTGAGCCGTGATCGTACCACTGAACTCCAGACTTGGCAATAGAGCCAGACCCTGTCTCAAAAACAAAAACAAAAACCCAGTGAGTTAGGAATTATTTTCTCTTTGCAGAAGGGAAAAGTAAGGCTAGAGAGGTTAAGTAACATTACTAAGGTCGCATAAATGGTAAGAGGCAGATTGCTCATTTGAACATGACTCTAATTTTTTTTTTTAAGACTCATTTCTCGGTACTGCATGACGTGGTCACTCCATAGAAGTCAGTGTGTAAAGTTCAGCAGAGACAGTGCAGGATGAGTGTGTACAAAAAGTGAAGAGAGCCTGGGCACGGTGGCTCACACCTGTAAACCCAGCACTTTGGGAGGCCGAGGCAGGTGGCTCACTTGAGGTCAGAAGTTCAAGACCAGCCTGGCCAACATGGTGAAACCCCGTCTCTACTAATATACACAATTAGCTGGGCGTGGTGGCGCATGCCTGTAATCCCAGCTACTCGGGAGACTGAGGTAGGAAAATTGCTTTAACCCAGGAGGTGGAGGTTGCAGTGAGCTGAGATCATACCACTACACTCTAGCCTGGGCGACAGAGCGAGACTCCGTCTCAGAAAAAAAAAATAAATAAAAATAATAAAAAATAAGAAGTGAAGAGGAAGATATTTTTAGAGAGGAAGAAGGTTGGTAATCGAATAGACTTCAGTATTTCAGTGTTAGTGGAGATGAGAAAGGGGCCACAGGAAGATTTGAGGGGAGAGATGTGTATGGGGAAGGTGATGTAGCGAGCATTTTGGACTGGTTGCATGAAGGAATGGACATCAGCATGAGAGTGTAGCCTTGTGAAAAGACAGCCAATTTACATCTCTCAAGATCTGGGTGCCAGGCCTGGCAAGGTGGCTAATGCCTGTAATATTACCCAGCACTTTGGGAGGCCAAGGCGGGCAGATCACTTGAGGCCAGGAGTTCAAGACCAGCCTGGCCAACATGGTGAAACCTGTCTCTACTAAAAATACAAAAATTAGCCAGGTGTGGTGGCACATGCTGGTAATCCCAGCTACTTGGGAGGTGGAGGTGGGAGGGATCGCCTGAACCCAGGAGGCGGAGGTTGTAGTGAGCTGAAAAAAAAAAAAAAAAGATCTGGGTTCCAGTCCAAACTTTCTTTACTAATTACTTTTCTGTTTCCTCTTTTCACAAGAAATCATGGCTTTTAGACTTCATTTTTGTATGCTTCAGGTAATGGTGAGAAGGATCTGAGGAGATAGTCAATGTAGAGGAGGAGCCAAAAAAAAAACAACCTGAAAACATACATAGGTGTATGTATGTATATATATATACACCTATGCATGTATAAACGTATTTTTATATGTGTGTATATATGTATTAGGTTGGTACAAAAGTAATTGCAGTTTTAGAATCAATGACAAAAACTGTGATTACTTTGCACCAACTGTATATATAACATCTCTTTGCAGATAACAGAAATAGCATTAATCTTTTCTTTCTTTTTGATCACTTATTATTTTGACAAATGGTGGTTTAGACAGTCTTGAGAAAATATATTATATGGAAGTCAGGCCAAGTTATTGGTTCCTATAATCCATCCCACTGTATCCCAAAGTGTTGCAACAACCAAGAAGTGGATCCTCTGATTAGAGGAGAGAAGAAAAATGTGTCATCAGGAAGCTATTTTAATGATGGAGAAAGGGCCCCTTTTTGGACTACCCATAGCTAGTTTTAAATTGCAGAGAGGTTTTCCTGCTCCCCACCCCCAAGAATTGAAAATGAAGGGTAAATTCACGAAGACTCCTCTCTCCACCCTCTTCCTCCCTTTCACCCATCTAGATTTATGTAAAGCAATCCATTACAAGTCTTCATGTACCAGGATTTATTATCAGCATTTATGAGCATCATTTCTTCTTGAAATAGAGGAAGACTTTTTTTTAACCTTTTAAAAAAGGCATGAGGTTTCTCTTGTGACGCCTCAACTCATTGTGGCTTTGGTCACAGTATACCCTATATACAGTAGTTACCTAGCTCCTCTCACCATTTCTGCTCCTTACTAGATTATTAATTCTTGTTGAACAGAAGCTTTGTCTTATGTATCTTTCTGTCTTTATAAGCACAGTACCTGGCTCAAAGTTAAGCTCATTAAAAGTATACAGAATTGAGAGGCTGTTAAGATTTGTTCTCTTCCATCATGGTCTAAGGAGGGTTGGGTAGAAACTATGAGTAGTGACATTGGAAAGAGGAAAAGACAGATCAGCCTCTTGGAACCAAGAGAGAAGGTAACAAGGGCCTTTAAGGGACTAAAATACTCCCAAGTATTAGTGCTGGCAGGAAATCCCTTCCTCAGAGTACAGAATCCCTACCCTGGGGCCCCAGGAACTCTCTCCTATCTCAGTCTCACTCCCAGCCCTCGCTTCACTGGAATCCCAGGTCTAGCTCGGGCCACGAAGCAAGATCCCAGTGAATATGAAGAGGAACAAGGAAATCTCAGCTTGAATTGTAATAATCCCCATGTGTCAAGGGCAGGACCAGGTAGAGGTAATTGGATCATGGGGATAGTTTCCCCCATTCTGTTCTTGTGATAATGAGTGAGTCTCAGGAGATCTGATAGTTTTATAAGCGTCTGGCATTTTCTCCTGCTTGCACTCATTCTCTCTCCTGCCACCCTGTGAAGAGGTGCCTTCTGCCATGATTATACATTTCCTGAGGCCTCCCGAGCCATGCAGAACTGTGAGTCAATTAAACCCCTTTTCTTTATAAATTACCCAGTCTCAGGAATTTCTTCATAGCAGTGTGAGAACAGACTAATACAGCAAGTAAGAGGGCATATTTTCTTTCTTTTTTTTTTGAGACAGAGTCTCGCCCTGTAGCACAGGGTGAAGTGCAGTGGTGCGATCTTGGCTCACTGCAACCTCTGCCTCCCGGGTTGAAGTGATTCTCCTGCCTCAGCCTCCCGAGTAGCTGGGACCACAGGTGCCCACCACCACGCCTGGCTAATTTTTGTATTTTTAAGTAGACACGGGGTTTTGCCATGTTGGCCAGGCTGGTCTCTCTTGAACTTCTGACTTCAAGTGATCCGCCTGCCTCAGCCTCCCACAGTGCTGGGATTACAGGCATGAACCACCGCACCTGGCCATTTACTTATTTTTAACAAATATAAAAAAAACTTAGAAGTACTTTTGTTCACTTGTGACTGTAAGGCCCTAGACTCCTCCACTGAGAATTTTGTTACCTTAGTGGTTTTTCAAAAATGTAATAGCCAGGCAGGGGAGGGGCTGTTATACATCATGAGTTAAGTACTTTAAACTTTTGCCAACTGCCCTGAGATCCTTGCTATCTTGTATAGCTTCTGCAGGAAAATGTCTGCTCAGTTTTGCCAAACCAACTTTTCTTTTTTTTTTTAAATCGAGACGGAGTCTTGCTCTGTTGCCCAGGCTGGAATGCAGTGGTGTGATCTTGGCCCACTGCAACCTCTGCCACCCAAATTCAAGTGATTCTCCTGCCTCAGCCTCTTGAGTAGTGGGAATTACAAGCATCCGCCGCCATGCCCGGCTAATTTTTGTATTTTTAGTAGAGACGGGGGTTTCGCCATGTTGGCCAGGCTGGTCTCGAACTCCTGACCTCTGGTGACGCACCTGCCTCGGCCTCCCAAAGTGCTGGGATTATAAGCATGAGCCACCACGCCCAGCCGCCAAACCAACTTATAATTAAACTTTTGGGATGCAATTCATGGGTGATTTGGAAAATGCTAACATTCCTAAGTTTAGCTTCCTATTACTTAGACTACATTCCTGTTGACATCCAGAGAATGGAAATGGAGTTTTGCCGTATGACATCTTTTAACAAATACATTCCAATTCTATTATAATATGGCATGTTACTACACAGATTAAGAAATACTTATGAAACCTTGGCTCTAAAGTGCTCCTAAATCCATACATACTTGTATGTGTTTTCCTCTATTTGAAACAGCTAGCTTGCTTCCTTTCTTCCTTCCTTTTTTTTTTCTTTTTTCAGGGTCTCTGTCACGAAGGCTGGAGTGCAGTGGCACAATCACAGGTCACTACAGCCTCAACTTCCTGGGCTCGACCAGTCCTCCCACCTCAACCTCCTGAGTGGCTAGGCGCACACCACCACACCCAGCTAATTTTTTGTTTTTTTCATAAAGACAGGTTATCATCATGCTGCCCAGGCTGTGAAACAGTTTTCTTTCTTTCTTATTTATTTATTTTATGTTTTATTTCAATAGTTTTTGGGGTACAGGTAGTTTTTCGTTACATGGATGAATACTTTAGAAGTGAATTCTGAGATTTTAGTGCACCCATCACCCAAGCAGTGTACATTGTACCCAGTATGTTTTCTTTTATCCTTCACCCCTGCATCCCTAGAGTTCATTATATTGCTCTGTATGTTTTTGCATCCTCATAGCTTAGCTCCCACTTATAAGTGAGAACATACAGTATTTGGTTTTCTTTTCCTGAGTTACTTCACTTAGAATAATGGCCTCCAGTTCCATCCAAGTTGCTACAAAAGACATTATTTTGTTCCTTTTTATGTCTGAGTAGTATTCCATGGTGTCTGTATTTTATATATATATATATATATATATATCTTTTTTTTTTTTTTTGAGAGTCTCTCTGTCACCCAGGCTGGAGTGCAGTGGTGCAGTCTCGGCTCACTGCAACCTCCGCCTCCCGGGTTCAAGCAATTCTCTTGCCTTAGCCTCCTGAATAGCTGGGACTACAGGCACCCGCCACCATGCCCGGCTAATTTTTGTATTTTTTTGTAGAGGCGGGATTTCACCATGTTGGCCAGGCTGATCTCAAACTCCTGACCCAAATGATCCACCCACCTCGGCCTCCCAAAGTGCTGGGATTACAGGCATAAGCTACCATGTATAACACATTTTATTTATCTACTCATTGGTTGATGTGAAACAGCTTTCTGTACTACAAATAGTTCTGTCTCCCATTGAAATTATGAAATTTCAATGTATACTACAGGGCATATAGACCCTCAGTGATGAATGCTTTGCAGTCATTAAAAAAAAATATATTGACCTGCATTTGTTGGTATGGAATGATGTCCACAAAATACATTATTATGGAAAAGCAAGTTATAAAACAATATAAGCTACTCACATTTTGTAAATAAAATATCAATATTTCTGTATATGTGTATACATGTGTCTAAGTGTATATAACATGTATACACACAGAGTATGACATACAAGCAGATATTTATAGTTTTTGTTTTTTTTTTTTTTTGAGACGAAGTCTCGCTCTGTCACCCAGGCTGGAGTGCAGTGGCGGGATCTCGGCTCACTGCAAGCTCCGCCTCCCAGGTTCATGCCATTCTCCTGCCTCAGCCTCCCAAGTAGCTGGGACTACAGGCACCTGCCACCACGCCCAGCTAATTTTTTGTATTTTTAGTAGAGATGGGGTTTCACCGTGTTAGCCAGGCTGGTCTCGATCTCCTGACCTCGTGATCTGCCTGCCTTGGCCTCCCAAAGTGCTGGGATTACAGGTGTGAGCCACTGCGCCTGGCCAATATTTATAGTTTCTATGAAATACCCGCTTTCCTCAAGCATTAGAAATCCATAAAAATCAGTGTGGATGCTATATATCTTAGGGAACTTGGCAAAGATGGGAGAAGTACTATGTGTATGCAGAACTTCATTTGAACAACATCTAGTTTTAAGCTGAAACAGCTTGTTTTTACGGAGACTGAATTTTCTTTTTTAGCTTTTGAACATGGAGACAGTTAAACATAATGCAAAAGTAGAGAGAATAGTACAATGAACTCCCACGTAGCCATCATCTAGTTACAATAGTCATCAACCTATGGCCACTATTGTTACATCTATACTCCCAGTTACTTTGCCTCCCCACAGGTGGATTATTTTGAAGCACATTCCAGATATATTATTTCATCTGTAGATTTTTTACCGTGTATCTCTAAAAGATAGGGAGCCATTTTTTTCTTCTTACGTTGTACATATCAGTTCTAGAATTTGCATTATAATTTCCATTTCTTGTTGAGATTTCCCACCTGTTCACTCATTATGTTCATCTTTTCCTTTAAGTACTTGAACATACATATTTATAACAGCTTTTTAAAAATCTGTTAATTTTATTATTGGGTCTCCTCAGAGTCTGTTTCTGTTTTGTTGACTGCTGTTTTTTTTTTTATTGTACATTACGTTTTCCTGCTGCTTCCCATGTCATGTAATTTTTTTTTTTTTTTTTTTTTAAGAGAAGGGCCTTGTTCTGTCACCCAGGCTGGAGTGCAGTGGTACAATCATAGCTCACTGCAACCTCAAACTCCTGGGCTCAAGCAATCCTCCTGCCTCAGCCTTCCAAGTAGCTGGGACTATAGGCGCACACCACCATGTCTGGCTAATCATGTAATATTTAATTTTATAAGTGGCATGACAGATAATATCTTGGTGGAGATTATGTTGTTTTTCTTTAACATATGTTTTAAACAACTGCCAGGCAATATGTTAAATCTGTTTGATTCTTTCAGGCTTGGTTTTTATTCTCTGTTAGGATGGATCTATTTGTGTTTTGCTGTTAGTTCTAGGGGGTGGCTGAGGCCAGTGTGGGCTCATGTGTTGTATTGTTTTCTTTTAAGGTTCATGGTCCTGCATTGCCTAATATCCAGTGCCAAGATATAGTTGCTTCACATATTTTGTCTAATTGGTTAAGACAGGTGGGAATTCTAGTACCAGTTATGCTGGAATGGATGGAAAAGGATATTAATTTTGTTTTTTTTGAGACAGAGTCTCTGTTGCCCAGGATGGAGTGCAGTGGCGCATTCTCAGCTCACTGCAACCTTCTTCTCCTGGGTTCAAGCAGTTCTCCTGCCTCAGCCTCCTGTGTAGCTGAGATTACAGGCGCATGCCACGACACCCGGCTAATTTTTGTATTTTTAGTAGAGACGGGGTTTCACCATGTTGGCCAGGCTGGTCTCCAACTCCTGATCTCAAGTGATCCACCTCAGCCTCCCAAAGTGCTGGGATTACAGGCATGAGCCACCGCGCCTAGCCGGATATTATTATTTTTTTTAATCTATAAGTTTACTTTCCCTTTTTTTTTTTTTTTGAAAATTATTTGTTGAAGCAACTGGTTAGCCTATTGGTTCTGTGGAGCTTTGCATTTTGTGGATTTTGCTGATGGTATTATATTCCACAGGGCTTGTTGAAGATGTTCCTCTATAAAATGGTAGTTAGATCCAAGGCCTGATTTAAGTTAGACATTTTTTGGTACAAGTACTTCATAGTGGTGTTGCTGGAGACATTGTGGCCTGGAGACATTGGAGACATTAGTGGCCATTGGCAATCATGACCTGGCTCATTAGGAGTTTACAAATGACAATATTTTAATTACTCCTTCTTTATTTATCAGCTAGAAAACATCTACAAAGAGAAACTTTCTCATCAAGTATTTCATTACCCTGACAGGCCCTGTCCCAGCAAGGAAAGTTAAATGGTTTGTTCTCCTTATTTATCAGTTTTTAAAATACCATAGTCCCCCGCTTATCCAATGGGGGTATGTTCCCAGACCCTCAGTGGATGTCTGAAGCCACAGATGGTACTGAACCCTGCACGGTGCTGTACTATGCTTTTTCCTATACACACATTTCTGTGGTAAGGTTTAATTTATAAATTAGGCAGAGTATGAAATTAACAACAATCACTAAAAATAGAACAATTTTAACAATATACTGTAATAAAAGTTAGGTGAATGTGGCCTTTCTCTCAAAATATCTTTTTCACTGTGCTCACCCCTTTTTTTTTATGATGATGTGAGATGATAAAATGCTTACGTGATGAAGTGAGGTGAATGAGAAAGCATTGTGATGTAGTTTTAGACTACATGTCTGAAGGAGAATCATCTGCTTCAGGTGATCCTGGATCACTAAGCCATGACATGATGTCAGAAGCAGAGAATGTGGATGACTAATGGGTTGCTAGTGTGCAGGGTGTGGACCTGCTGACAAAAGGGAGGATTCATGTCCTGAGCAGAATGGAGTGGGCCAGTGTGAGATTTCATCACGCTGTGCAGAACGGTGTGTTTGTGAATTGTTTATTTCTGGAATTTTCTTTCTTTTTTTTTTTTTGAGACAGAGTCTCGCCGTGTCTCTCAGGCTGGAGTGCAGTGGCGCGATCTCTGCTCACTGCAAACTCCACCTCCCGGGTTCCCGCCATTCTCCTGCCTCAGCCTCCCGAGTAGCTGGGACTAGGGGCGCCCACCACCGCGCCAGGCTAATTTTTTTTGTATTTTTTAGTAGCGACGGGGTTTCACCGTGTTAGCCAGGATGGTCTCGATTTCCTGACCTCGTGGTCCGCCCACTTCGGCCTCCCAAAGTGCTGGGATTACAGGCGTGAGCCACCGCGCCCGGCCTGGAATTTTCTATTTAATATTTTTAGACCTTGATTGACCTTGGATAACTGAAACTCTTATCTAAGAGGAGACTACCGTAACAGGTTTATCCTCCAAAAGTGACCAATGAATTTTTGTTTCGGGTCATTATATGGGTTAATTTTTTTTATATGGGTTTATTTTTAATTGTGTATCTACTTCTTTAATTTTCTGAAAGTATATGAAACGTCATGGAGCATTGAAATTGTGAGGCAGGATTGCAAGATTCAAGATAGAAGAGCTATTGACAGAAGTAGCATTTCTAATATATGGAATTTAAGAAACTCTTACTATACCTTAATGTTAGAGTGGAAGACTGTAGGGTAAGAGAGGATTAACAAGAAAGTGAGATGGTGTCTCCATTTTAATCTGCTGCTTGTGTGTTCTGAATGTATTGGAGAGGGAAAGCCATTGCAGTCAGTTAGAAGATAATGGCAGAAACAGAAGGACCTGAACTAGGGTAATGACTGCGGGATGGAAAGGGAGAGATGGATGCCAAGGAAATGGTACAGAGGAGAAATCATCATGACCTGGTGGTTTGCTGGAAAGGAGACCCGAGGAAGGGAAGGGGCATCAAAGCAGAAAAGGAGGAGTTGGCAGGAACAGAGAACTTAGTAGGGAAAAGAGTCTCTAAGATGAAATTGCAGGATGACTAAGTATCAGTGAATTTGGCCACTAGTGATGATGGCGGCTTGGAGCAAAATTTAGCAGTAGAAGGAGCTTGTGAAAAGTGACAGTTGGTGGTGGTTGTAGAGAATTGTGGAGGGGTTTTTTGTCCCTTCTTTTTTTTTTTTTTTTGAGACAGGGTCTCACTTTGTCACCCAGGCTGGAGTGCAGTGGCGCAATCTCAACTCACTGCAGCCTTGACCTCCCAGGCCCAAGCGATCCTTCCACCTCAGCCCCCCAAGTAGCTGGGACTACAGGTGCACACCACCACACCTGGCTAATTTTTTGCATTTTTTGTAGAGATGGGGTTTCACCATGTTGCCCAGGCTGGCTTTGAACTCTTGAGCTCAAGTGATTGGTCAGCCCACCTTGGCCTCCCAGAGTACTAGGATTATAGATGTGAGCCACTGCACCCAGCCCTTTTTTTTTTTTTTTAACAACTTTTTTCCTTCTTTCCTTCTTTCCTCTTTTTTTTTTTTTTTTTTTTAACAGAATCTCACTCTGTCACGCAAGCTAGAGGACAGTGGTGCAATCTCAGCTCACTACAACCTGTGCCTCCGGGTTCAAGTGATTCTCCTGCCTCAGCCCCCCGAGTGGCTGAGATTGTAGGCGTGTGCCACCTCGCCTGGCTAGTTTTTGTATTTTTAGTAAGAGACAGGGTTTCGCCATGTTGGCCAGGCTGGTCTTGAACTCCTGGCCTCAAGTGATTCACCTGCCCAATGTTTTTTTTTTTTTTTTTGAGATGAAGTCTCTGATCTTTCACCCAGGCTGGAGTGCAGTGGCATGATCTCGATCTCCACTCACTGCAACCTCCGCCTCCCAGGTTCAAGCGATTGTCCTGCCTCAGCCTCACGAGTGGCTGGGATTACAGGTACATGCCACCACACCTGGCTAACTTGTATTTTTAGTAGAGGTGGGGTTTCACCATGTTGGCCAGGCTGGTCTCTTAAACTCCTGACCTCAAGTGATCTGCCTGCCTCAGTCTCCCATAGTGCTGGGATTACAGGCGTGAGCCACCGCGCCCAGCCTGTCTGTTCAATCTTAACAGCTTTTTTGAGATATAATTCACAGTCCATACAGTTCACCTATTTAAGGTGTATAATTCAGTGATTTTTTAGTATATTCAAAGAGTTGTGCAAGCATCACCACAATCAGTTTTACATTTTTATCACCCCAAAGAGAAACCTCTTACCCATTAGCAGTCACTCCCCAATCTGCCCATCCCCTCATCCTTAAGCAACCACTAATCTTTCTGTTTCTTTTTTTTTTTTTTTTGGCGATGGAGTCTCACTCTGTCGCCCAGGCTGGAGTGCAGTGGCGCGATCTCGGCTCACTGCAAGCTCCGCATCCCAGGTTCATGCCATTCTCCTGCCTCAGCCTCCAGAGTAGCTGGGACTACAGGCGCCCGCCACCACGCCCAGCTAATTTTTTGTATTTTTAGTAGAGACAGGGTTTCACTGTGTTAGCCAGGCTGGTCTCGATCTCCTGACCTCGTGATCCTCCTGCCTTGGCCTCCCAAAGTGCTGGGATTACAGGCGTGAGCCACCGCGCCCGGCCTAATCTTTCTGTTTCTATAGATTTGCCTCTCCTGGACATTTCATATAATGGAATCATACAACATGCAGTCTTTTGTGACTGGCTTCTTTCATTTAGCATGATGTTTTCATGGTTCATCCCTATTGTGGCATGTGTCAGTTTATTGCTGTATAATATGCCACTGTATGGATATATCACATTTTGTTTATCCATTCACCAGTTTGTGGACATTTGGGTCATTTCTACTTTTTAGTTCTTATGAATAATGCTACTATGAATATTTGTGTATGTGTTTTTCTGCGGACATATATTTTGTTTTGGTTTTGAAATAGGCTATGTTTAGATGCAGAGGGAAGCAAAGAAACTGGTAAGGATGTGGTAAAATTACCACATCCACAAGACAACGTTTATTAAGTACTGAAATATTCCTTTATGAAAGTTAACTCTTGCCATCCCTTTTATCTTTCACATTTAGAGTCTATATTATCACAACCTTGTTTTTCCTTTGAGTCAGCATTGTGATCATTCTGGACGTGGGGTCCCACACACCCTGTCTCTGTCAGTAAGATTATGATTAAGATCAAATAGAAATAGGTCAGGAGAGAAAAGAGCTCCCTGGCCTTATTCTCCTCAAACTAGCTGATGCTCCTGAATACCAACCTCTTTAAGAATTGATATTTCAAAGGACAACTCCTCTCTGTGGTCTTCTGTCCTCTCTCCCCTACTTTATGCTCTGTGCATAGCAGCTGTTCAGGACATCGCCCGAGCGCAGGGGCACTGCAATCAGAAAAGCGAGTGAGGGACACAGCAGGAGAAGGCTGTTCTGGGGCTAGTGAGTGGGAGACGGGACAAACAGCTAGATAGCAACGTGATGGCTTCACCATGGGGTGAAGCGTGGGGGAGAGTATCAATTACCTAGATTTTAAAAAGAGAGCCCTTGAACACCTCTGTCACTGGTCACTTTTACCAAAGCCTTCTAACTTAACGGAAGGAGATGCTGCACTTTAAAGAAAAATCACAGCTGCGGAAGACAGTCTCGCAAAGCCAGTTTTTGTGGCTTAGTATTTTGGGGTAGCTTGTTTCATGAGGGTCAGATTAATTTTCTAATGTTGTTTTCTACCTTAATGTTACTGCTTTAATCATTAGAATGCCACCAGTTCCTTCAGGCAATAGGAAGCTATTGAAGATTTAATGAGATTCATACTGCTTATGCTTAAATGTTGATGACTTCCTGCATGCATATTAATCATTCCTGACCTTGATCTCAAATTCCTTCCCGGTACAAATTCTCATTAAACATACCTACTAGATCTCCCAGTGTTCACTGAATACCTGGTTTGTTTCCAAAAGTACATAAAAGAACATTAAGTCTCATGTTCGGTATGTGTCAAATGTTCAGTTCCCTTGTCTGATTTGTTTTCCAATTCTTATTGTGACTGTAAATCTGGAGAATTTAGGGGAAGAAAAATCAGTAACTCTTAACAGGGGATTTAGCCTAGTTTACAAGAGTATATGATCTGTGCAGCAGACCTTGAACACAGCTAATTGCTTGTCTAGGTCAGTATGTCCAACTGGCAACTCTCAGAGCCCATCCAGGCCACAGAGCATTTCCGGGTGGCTTGTGTGTGCGCTCCGGCTGTCGAGCAGCAGGACTTGGCTTCTGTCCCCGGCTTCGTTGGCCCCATCTTTTAGTTCAGGTCCACCCCCTCCTGCCTCAGAGGCCTGGGAAACCCAGCCTGGCCACCTGGTGTCCTCATGCCCAGCATCTACGCATCTGCCCCAGTTGTCCCCTCAGCCACCTTGGCAGATTTCTTGACTTAACAGTTCTTCCCTGAACTAGGACCGGGGGCAGGAGTTATTAGAGAAGGGAGAGGAAAGGTGACAGGTCTCAGGAGTCTGAGGGAAGATGAAAGTGAGAGCGAAGTAGTGTGGGAGAGAGGGGGATCACATCCATGGGAGAGAAAATAAATATGTCAATATTAGGGTGGTGAGGCCTGTATACAAAGACAGGATGGCAGGGAGAAGAAGTAGGCAAGGACATAAAGGGGCTTGGGTATGCAGATGCTGGTCACTGAAATGAGGAACAAAGGAGGGAAATTTGCGTGTGAAAGAGGCCACATGTGAGAGAATAGAGAGAGCAAAATGACAGCTTTGCTTGGCAGAACGTGACCATGCACAGCATTGGGAGACACAGTCTGATGAAGCATTTTTTCCAATTTGTAAATATATTTATAACAAAGAAACATTATACTTTTTTTTTCTTTTTTTTTTTTTTTGAGACAGAGTCTTGCTCTGTCACCCAGGCTGGAGTGCAGTGGCGTGATCTTGGCTCAGGGCAACCTCCGCCTCCTGGGTTCAAGCGATTCTCCTGGCTCAGCTTCCCGAGTAGCTGGGACTGCAGGTGCGCACCACCATGCCCAGCTAATTTTTTGTATTTTTTAGTAGAGACGGGGTTTCACCATATTGGCCAGGCTGATCTCGAACTCCTGACCTCAAGTGATCTGCCTGCCTCGGCCTCTGAAAGTGCTGGGATTACAGGCGTGAGCCACTGCATCTGGACTACTTTTTTTTTTGAGAGGGAATCTCACTCTGTCACCCAGGCTGGAGTGCAGTAGCAGGATCACTGCAACCTCCACCTCCTGGGTGCAAGCGATTCTCCTGCCTCAGCCTTCCCAAGTAGCTGGGATTACAGGCACCTGCCACCATGCCTGGCTAATTTTTGTATTTTTAATAGAGACAGGGTTTCACTATGTTGGCCAGGCTGGTCTTGCACTCTTGACCTCAGGTGATTTGCCTGCTTCAGCCTCCCAAAGTGCTGGGATTACAGGCATGAGCCACCGTGCCTGGTCAGAAATTTATTATTATAAAAACACAAAGAGATATATACTTAGCATATTACATTACATTGGGATTATTTTAGGTTGTCCCAAAGGTGTAGTCATTTGATTCAGAGGCATAGCCTGCTTCTGACATGTTGGTTGTTTAAAATGTGGCCTGTTCTGACCAAGAAGTTGGACAGTATTGGTTTTGATGACTATCTTGCCACTTATTTTTTACAATGTGGTAATTTTTACATCCAGATAGTTTTTCATCTTTTTTTCTTTTTTTGAATCAGAGTCTGGCCCTGTTGCCCAGGCTGGAGTGCAGTGGTGCAATCTCGGCTCACTGCAACCTCCATCTCCCGGGTTCAAGAAATTCTCCTGCCTCAGCCTCCCGAGTAGCTGGGACTACAGGCGCCCGCCAGCACACCCGGCTATTTTTTTTTAGTTTTAGTAGAGATGGGGTTTCACCATGTTAGCCAGGATGGTCTCGAACTCCTGACCTTGTAATCCGCCCACCTCAGCCTCCCTAAGTGCTGGGATTACAGGCGTCAGCCACTGCGCTGGCCTAGTTTTTCATCTTTTTAAAGCACATTTCCGCTGATATAATTTGACTGGATAGGTGAAAAGATATCCATTTTGCAAAGTAGATTTTTTATATTTAATGATCAAAATCTTTATCTTTTAAAAACAATTTTTATAAAATAGCCACAAAATTTCATACCCTTTAACTTATTTACTTAATTCCACTTCTAGAAATCTATATTTAGAAAATAATTAAGTCGGGCGTGGTGGCTCACGCCTGTAATCCCAGAGGTCAGGAATTTGAGACCAGCCTGGCCAAAAATGGCGAAACCTCGTCTCTGCTAAAAGTACAAAAATTAGCCAGGCATGGTGGCGCCCACCTGTAATCCCAGCTACTTGGGAGGCTGAAGCAGGAGAATCACTTGAACCCAGGAGGTGGAGGTTGCAGTGAGCTGGGATTGCACCACTGCACTCGAGCCTGGGCAACAGTGAGACTCTGTCTCAAAAAAAAGAAAGAAAATAATTAGAGATGCTGCCAAAGATTTAGGTTCAAGAATGTTTATTACAGTGTCGCTTATATTAATATTAGCAAAGAACTGGAAATAGTCTAAATGTCCAATAAAATAGAGAAATGATTCAGTAAATTATGATTTATTCATAAGTTGAGATGGGCTGTTGTATGGTCATTAAAATACTGCCTATTAAACTATTATACTTCCTCCAGTTTATTCTCCACACTGCAGTCAAGTGACCTTTGAAAAAGTACATTGTGGCCAGACATGGTGGCTCACACTTGTAATCCCAGCACTTTGGAAAGCCAAGATGGGAGGATCGCTTAAGGCCAGGAGTTCCAGACTAGCCTGGGCAACATAGTGAGACCCCCATCTTTATAAAACATTTAAAAATTAGCTGGGTATGGTGGCATGTGCATGTAGCTACTCGGGAGGCTGAGGTAGAGGATTGCTTTAGCCCAGGAGTTTAAGGCTGCAGTGAGCTATGATTGTGCCACTGCACTCCAGCCTGGGCAACAGAGTGGGACTCTTGTGTCTTAAAACTATAAAAATAGAGAGCCGGGCATGGTGGCTCATGCCTGTAATCTTAACACTTTGGGAGGCTGAGGCGGGCAGATCACTTGAGGTCAGGAGTTCGAGATCGGCCTGGCTAATATAGTGAAACTCCGTCTCTATCAAAAAAAAAAAAACAAAAAAAGAAAAAAAAAATTAGCTGGGCGCGGTCACATGTGCCTGTAATCCCAGCTACTTAAGAGGCTGAGGCAGGAGAATTGCTTGAACCCAGGAGTCCAAGGTTGCAGTGAGCTGAGATCATGCCACTGCACTCCAGCCTGGGTGACAGAGTGAGACCCTGTCTCAAAAAAAAAAAAAAAAAAAAAAAAAATATATATATATATATATATATATATATATAAATAGTCCAGGCGTGGTGACTAATGCTTGTAATCCCACCACTTTGGAAGGCCAAGGCAGGTGGATGGCTTCAGCCCAGAAGTTCGAGACCAGCCTGGGCAACATGGAAAAACCCTGTCTCTACAAAAAAAAATACAAAAATTAGCTGGACGTGGTGGTGTGCACCTGTAATCCCAGCTACTTGGGAGGCTGAGGTGGGAGGATTGCTTGAGCTGGGGAGGTGGAGGTTGCAGTGAGCCAGGATGGCGCCACTGTACTGCAGCCTGGGCGATAGAGCCAGACCTTGCCCCCACCCCCCCAAAAAAGAAAGAAAGAAAGAAAAATATGAAAATAAAATAAATTTTAAAAGTACATTGGATCATTTCACTCCCCCTTAAAATCTTTTCTTGGCTTCTCATTGTAGTCACTGTAAGTTCCTGACCTCCAAGGCTCTCTGGCCTCATCCCTTCACTCTGGTCTCCAGTCCTTCCACTCCTGTCCACTGGCCTGCCCCTCAGGTGCTGTAATTCTCTAGGCCCTTTCCTCCTTGGGATCTTTGCATATGCTATTCCTCGTGCTTGAACCATCTTCCCCCAGCTCTTCATCTGGCTAATTCCTGCTTGTTCTTGAGGTCTTCATCTCATTGTCACTTTAAGAGAGGGATTTCCTGACCTCTCTACCCAAAGGAGGGGCCTCAGATATATTCTGTCATTGTGGTCTATGCTTCTTTGTAACGTATATCACATTTTAAAATCACGTTCATTTGTGTGGTTCTTTAATTCCCAGATCCCCTCTGGACTTGGTCTGTTTCCTTTCTTTTCTGGAGGAGTTCCTCAAGTTTCTTCTCTATCCCTTCAATTGAGGTTTTCATTTCTGTTGCCATATTTTAAATCTCCAAGAGTCTGTCTTGTTCCATGAAAGGTTTTACACACACACACACACACACACACACACACACACACACATTTTATATATATACACATATATAAAACCTTTCATGGAACAAGACAGACATATATATGTGTATATATATGTGTATATATAGGTATATATGTATATATATGTGTATATATATGTATATATGTGTATATATGTATATATGTGTATATATCTAAAACCTTTCATACATACATATATATAAAAGGTGGCTCACGTTCACCTGTATTAAACTGTAAGTTCCCTCAGGGTAAGGACTGTGCTTTTTTCATCCCATGAGTGGTAAGTGGTAGATTTCTGACTAACAAAATTACCAGACATGAAGTATGAGGGCAAAAAAAAGTTAAAGGAAAAATTAGGAATATGGACAAAAATGTGATTCATGGATAGTCTTCAAAGATTAACAGTGTTGTCTTGCCCAGAATTTAATAGAGAAAAAAAAATGGACTTGCAGAAAAACTTGAGGCCCTTCAAGCTGTCATCATATCAGAGGTGATAAGACCCAGTGAACTGTTTGAGAAATTGGGTAATTGTCACTAGGTAAAGGAAAAGGATTGAAAATTAGATAAGGGTTAGTCCCACAAAAGAAATTTTAAAACTGGGCTGGGCGCGGTGGCTTACACCTGTAATCCCAACACTTTGGGAGGCTGAGGCGGGTGAATCACGATATCAGGAGTTTGAGACCAACCTGACCAACATGGTGAAACCCCGTCTCTACTAAAAATACAAAAATTAGCCGAGTGTGGTGGCAGGCACCTGTAATCCCAGCTACTTGGGAGGCTGAGGCAGGAGAATCGCTTGAACCTGGGAGCAGGAGGTTGTAGTGAGCTGAGATCGCACCACTGCACTCCAGCCTGGGTGACAGAGTGAGACTCTGTCTCAAAAAAAAAAAAAAAAAAAAAGGAAATTGCAAAACTGAAGTAAAATGAAACAAAATATGACACGTATAAGGGCAATATTTCTGGCCAAGATGCAACAAAATTCATTTCAGAAGTCCAAAGTTCAAATACACATCTACCCTTGCTGCCTCTCTTGTAGATTAGGGCATGACCCTATAAGATTAGAGAACAGGAGAGGAGACAACAGGAAACAAGCAAAAAAAGACCAGAAGCTGAAAAGCAGATAATAGGAAGTAAATGGCAGCAGAACCAAGAAAACATAATCCTGTTCAGGTGGTAGAGAAAGCAAGAATTCCCAGGAATCAACTGGTGGCACCAGGTATCTCTTGATACAAGAGTGAAGTGGAACTAAAACGAAGAACTGCTAACCTCCAGATCTCATACTCTACAAAATGTAATGACTACCCCTCTACCATTCTGGCAGAATTATTCTTAGGAGAGAGTAAAACACTCTCAAGAGAGAATAAAACAGAGAGGTCTCTGACTGGAGAAGGCTAGCAACATAGTATCCCGGTTAAGGGTGGGGTACTATGATGAGTGATGAGGGAGATTAAGTGAACAACTGCATACTTGGATGCTAGGACACCCCCCATCCCCCCCTCACCCCACCGCCACCTGCTGCGGGCTATTACCTTTCTGCCCTCCTATTTATCTTCCAGAATGTAGGTAAATTTCACCAATTTCTCCACTAAAATTCTTTTTGTTTTCCAGGATCCAATTCGGTATTCCACAATGTAATTTAGTTGTAAAGTCTTCTTAGTCTTCTATAATCTTCTGACAGTTCCTCAGTCTTTCCTTGTCTTTCATGAGTCCACTGAGGGTTTTAAATCCCCCACTCTTACATAGAAGCAGACAACCATGGATTTCCAGATATCTGAGAACGCCTCTAATATAAAAGACAAATACCAAACAAACAAAAGAAAGAAGCCAGGCGCAGTGGCTCATACCTGTAATCCCAGCACTCTGGGAGGCTGAGGTGGGAGGATCACTTGAGACGAGGAGTTCAAGACCAGCTTGGGCAACACAGTGAGAACCCATCTCTACAGAATATTTAAAAATTAGCTGGGTGTGGTGATGGATGTCTGTAGTCCTATCTATGAAAGAGTGTGAGATAGGAGGATCACTTGAGCTGCCACTGCATTGTACTCCAGCCTAGGTTAGAAAGAAAGAAAAAGAATTCAGAGACTACACAGAGAAGAAATTTTCTAGAAAACTATTAATAATATACTCAAGAAAAATTTTCCAACCGCAAAACAAGAATAGAATACTATTTTTAAAAACTTTCATGGGGCTGGGCATGGTGGCTCATGCCTGTAATTCCAGTACTTTGGGAGGTGGAGGCGGGAGGATTGTTTGAACTCAGGAGTTCAAAACCAGCCTGGGCAACATAGAGAGACCCCTCTGTCTATTGTATATATATAAAATATATACATATTATATATTTCCAAGGAGGAAAGGGCCTAGAGACTATATATATGTATATAATCTCCAAGAGGCCAGGTGCAGCGGCCTCTTCCGTCAAGCCTTAGCACCTATAAACTTTATAAAACCTACTCTCTGTGAATTGTGCATGCCACTAATCTTCATCTAGCAATACATTTCTGCTCATTCTTTAAAATTCATCTCAAGTACCATTTGATTTAGACGAGCCACCTCTTGGTTCCAGTGGCTTCCTGATCATACCTCTAGTGCTATATTGTAACCATCACTTAATTAGTTCATGATTTTTTCTCTTCTAGACTATAAGTTACTTGAACATATGGATTTGAGTCAGTAGGTATAGGTGAGACATGGGAATCTGCATGTTCAACAAATTCCTCCTGGCATTCTAGGGCTCCAATCTCAGGTATGTTTGTTTCTTTTTTTTAGACAAGAGTCTTGCTCTGTCTCCAGGCTGGAGTGCAGTGGCGCAATCTTGGCTTGTCGCAACCTCCCGGGTTCAAGCAATTTGCCTGCCTCAGCCTCCCAGGTAGCTGGGACTACAGGCGCACGCCATCATGCCCGGCTAATTTTTATGTTTTTAGTAGAGATGGGGTGTCACCATGTTGGCCAGGATGGTCTTGATTTACTGACCTCATGATCCACCCGCCTCAGCCTCCCAAAGTGCTGGGATTACAGGCGTGAGCCACCGCGCCCGGCCTAACCTCAGTTTTAAGTGGTTTTTAAAATCTACTTCAACTCTGAAATATCAAGGCTTTTCCTCCCTGCAATTTAACTGGTATTGGGGAGGGCAGGTAAAGCTTTCGGGTAGTTGATTAAAAACAACAACAAAAAAAGCAGGGGCCGTCTTCTTTCGTGCCCACAATAAGAGCTTATACTGAAATGTAGAGTAAGGTAGATAAGTAGAAATAAGATAAATACCCTTATTTCATTTAACAGTGTTTGCACAATGTGTCCAATTTTTATTCACTAGTTCTAAAACTATTGAGGGCTTACTATATGCCAGACACTGTTCTAGTCATTGGGAGTACATCAACACAGACAAAACCCCCTACCCTATAGGAGTTTGCATTGGTAGGCAATAAGCAAATAAAATAAGTAAAGCAAAGTATTTTAGAAGGTGATAAGTATTGTGGAGAAAATAGAACATTTAGGGGAGCTTTCTTTTATTTGTCAGTGTTTAGTAATAAATTACTAGAGAGAGTAATTTTTAAAAATTTGAGCTATTTAAATAAGCCATACTTTAAAAGGCAGGATTTAACCTACATCTAATCAGAAGAGAACTTGGGATTTGCAAAATTCAGGTCTGGTTTCCTGTTATAAAGTTGACAGTAAATGGCTTTCCCATTATGTCAATAGGAATGAAATAATTTAGTGGCTCAGGGAATTGCTTCCAAGGAGTCAAAAGTAAATTGTGTTTATATAATTTTTTTTACTACTATTAAAAAAAGCCACAAACCAGAAAAAAATTGTTTTGTACTTGTCTACAAGGCAGAGTTAATTTTATTATTAAAAAAAATCCTATACTCTAAAACCTCTTCTATTATCTCCTCACTTCTTCGTTTTAATTTTTTGTTTGCATTTTCACGTTTAGGTAAAAAGATATTGGTCCTTTTAGGATATATGGGGATAGAATTATATGAGGAAGCACAGGACTCCTGGTATGGAATGAGGAAGCTGGAGATTTGAGCTTAACCTCTCTGGGGTGCTTAGAACTAAGTAAGAGAAGCAGTCTGTTTCTGCAGGGAAAATCACTTCTCCATCTTTACTCTCAAATAACTTACTTAATCAAATGGTCTAATGTTTCATTGTAAAGAGTCTTAAAAGTCAAAATTAATGTCACCTGCAGAGTAAGCTAAACGAGTGATGAGCTTTGTTTTGCACAGCAGTTGAAACTGATTTTCAAAGTCCCACCAAACAGTAAAAGACTTTTCTTGCATTTCTGAAAAACTAGAACTGTGTGGTGATTCTGAAGACTGTCAGTTCCTGTGGGGTGTTTACACAAAGGTACTTTTAAATGAAGAGTCATTTTTAGAGCAATTAGAGAAAAGGCTAGACAGAGAAGAGCGGCTCAGGGGCTTGGCAGGTCGGGGTTAAGGTTTATTGACAGGACAGGGTCAGGCGTCTGCTTAGCCACCACTGCCCCGAGTACCTGCCCTCCGGATACACCCAAGACCTCCCTGGCCTTGGCTCCCTGCCATAGGCCAAACTCCCATGCAGAATGAGGAGAGGGGAAAGGAGGAAGAGGAGAGCAAGTTCTGCTGGTTCAGTATTGAACTGCAAGTATGAAAATGTTTGTGTATATTTTTCTGGCCCAGATGTTGTGTTAACATTAGGAAGAAGAAACTTTAAAACAAAGAATTGTCTGTTCTTTCAACTTTGTAGTTTGCAGTTTGCATCCTGAAGAAAGAAATTGCCTAGCTAAAGTAGTCTTTTAATTTCATTTTTTAGTTTTGAGTTACAGGTTTCTGGCAAGCTCCCTGACCACTACTGTTACCTGGTGGCGCCTATATTTCATCAAATTTAGACATGCAGACTACCTGGATCCAGGCCCAGATGAACTGTTGTGACTGATAAACATGATCCCACCCTGCCCCCATGCAGACTCCTGCTTTTCCCTTTAAGGGAATCTAAGACGTTGAGTCGCCGGATCCCCAAGGGAGTTAAAGAAAAATGTCTTCCGGCATTCACATTTGCTCTGTGGTTTTCTTGAGCTGCATCTCTGCTTGCCCAGAGGCTGGTGAACATCCCAGCAGTGCCCTGACTTCTCCAGTGTTGGTAACTAATGGAGGGAAATTTTTTTGTTTTTAATAAAAACAAGCAGAGACATCTATCAGTACTCACAGACAAGGCAGAATTTGTTTGACATCTTGTGATTGCTGCGTACAAAAAGAATGACAGCAGTTATTAAACAAATAAGAAAAAAGATGCTGTTTATTGATAGTTTTCAGATATCCTAAGAATATTTTTAGTAATCTTACTGCCTTTGCTTGCATAAGTAAAAAAAGTGGAATTGTTAATTTTTGCAATCTGGGTTGTATTAGATTTGGAATCATAATAAAAATGTAAATATTAAGCAAATATGTGCTGTTTAGCTATGTAACATACTCGTGGCTTTTCCTTTTATTAGAATTTATTTCAAATACTTGTTTTTAAGATGGTAAGGTGAGTATTAGCAGTCAATGCAATTAAACTTAATTGCATTTTCTATATGAATTGTTTTTGTCTCTTTTTAAATGTATTTATGGTTCTTTTTCTCCATACTAGCTATTCCTATAGGTTTGTCTTGACAAAAAATTATAAACAATTGTTTGTTTGCAGCCGGGTGTGGTGGCTTAACATCTGTAATCCCAGCACTTTGGGAGGCCGAGGCGGGCTGATCACCTGAGGTCGGGAGTTCGAGATCAGCCTGACCAACATGGAGAAACCTCGTCTCTACTAAAAATACAAAAAATTAGCTGGGCGTGGTGGCACATGCCTGTAATTCCAGCTACTCAGGAGGCTGAGGCAGGAGAATCGCTTGAACCCAGGAGGCGGAGGTTGCAGTGAGCCGAGATCATGCCACTGTACTCCTGCCTGGGCAACAAAAGCAAAACTCCATCTCAAAAAAAAATTGTTTGTTTGCTTGGAAACAGTCTAAAGTCACAAATTTGATTTCAGTTTCATTTGGAAATTTTAAAATGAAAAATTGGGACACAGTCAAGTGGGAAAAGCATTTAAACTGTTCAGTGACTGAACTTTCGTTTTCATATCATGTTAATGTGATCTAAAAAAAATAATTTCTTCCTGGCCTAAGTTACCCCACTTGAGGATTGTTACAGTGATTTCAATCCCTGACCTCACCAGATGATGTGGAAGCATCAGGCCACATATTTTTATAAGTACTGGGTGAGGGCAAAGATTTGCTTGGAAGGGAGGAGAGAACCTCCTGGAAGGTTGATAATAGTTTGTATCTTGATAGATGTTGGTTACACCAGTACATGCATTCGTCAGGACTCATCGAATGGTACCTTAAGATTCGTGCATATCATGGTATGTAAATTTTACCTCAAGACACCAACAAAGGAACTTATAAACATATATTAAAATCTAGCATGTTGAAGTATTATAGGAGAGTGAATACTGATCTTGATCTTTAAAACTTACTTTGAAATGCACCCCCCAAAAAAGATGGGTGAATGGATAGTGAAACGTTTAGAAATGTGGTAAAGAGTAAGTATAGTAAAATGTTAATTGTCAAATCTAGGTAGTGTGAGTGTTCACTGTAAAATTCTTTTTTTTTTTTTTTGAGACAGAGTCTTGCTCTGTCACCCAGGCTGGAGTGCAGTGGTGTGATCTCAGCTCACTGCAAGCTCTGCCTCCTGGGTTCACGCCATTCCCCCACCTCAGCCTCCCAAGTAGCTGGGACTACAGGCGCCCGCCACCATGCCCGGCTAATTTTTGATTTTGTATTTTTAGTAGAGATGGGGTTTCACTGTGTTAGCCAGGATAGTCTCGATCTCCTGACCTCGTGATCCGCTCACCTTGGCCTCCCAAAGTGCTGGGATTACAGGCATGAGCCACTGTGCCTGGCCTCATTGTAAAATTCTTTCAGCTTTTTTGTGTGTTTGACATAAAATGTTGTGTTCCATAAAATGTTGGGAAAAAATGAAGGTACTGGTTTTTGCTCATTTAAGGATCTGTGTACCTCCATTTTAAATCCCCTCCTTAATTCAAAATCAGACCACTTGGATTAATACCAAAAAGGGGAAGGGTGTGAAAGTAGCCATTTAGATAAACAGAAAAATGTACCCACCTCATACTTTCTCTAGTTACCTGCTGAAAGACCATTACCAAGCATGGAGGCCCAGGGGGTCTTTACAAACAAGAATAATTCTGAGAAACCCAAACCACAAAGCCCAACCAATGACCTCTCCAGGCAGATAAAAATTGGCCTCCAGAACCCTAACCATGAAAAAAGACATGACTTCCTACATGTAATCTTCACCAATGGCAAGCAGGTAACCCCCCGCTATATACCTTATACTAAGACCCTATGGAATGAAAATGGGCTTTTGGTTTTCAGCCAAATCCCCAGGATTTGGCCATGAACACCTCCACTTTATCAGAATGCCAAGCTATTTCTTACATCCTGATAAAGCCTCCTTTTTAAAGACATATAGATTGTGTGTGTGTGTGTGTGTGTGTGTGTGTGTGTGTGTGTGTTTTAATCTTGAAGGGTCAAAAGGATAAGTTGGTTCTGGTAGAATTTGAGCCAAACTTTTAAAAGCTAATGATAATATATTTTTTAATTAGGCCATATTGCTCAGTTGATGCTTGAGCAGTAAACTAGAAAATCAAGATTTGAGAGGCTCAGTGATCTCAATTCCTTCAGGGTCTCATAGTGAACTCTGGCCAGTTAATTTATCTCCAAACTTTGATTTTCTCATTTGGAAAGTGAGAATAAAGCCTGACACAAAATGGCTAGCCCATGGTTCTCAAACTTTTGTGTATGTAGGAATCATTGGTTAAGAAACCTTGGTGTGTGTAAACATAATTTAGTTTATTAAAATAGAGATTCCTGGGTTTCAAACTGGGTTTTCTCAATCAATTGTTCTAGGGCAGAGCCCAGAAATCTACATTTTAATAAGCACCTAGTGTGATACTGATGCAATTATTGGACCACAGGATATATGGTGTAGATGTGTTTTGATGGGTATTATATTAACTGAGAATTTTTTTAGCTTTTTGTTATGGAAAAAAATTATTATTATTATTATTTTGAGACAAGATCTCACTCTGTGGCCCAGGCTTTAGTGCAGTGGCACGATCAAGGCTCACTGCAGCCTTAACCTCCAGGGCTCAATCAATCCACCCACCTCAGCCTCCCGAGTAGCTGGGACTACAGGCAAGTGCCACCATACCTGGATAATTTTTGTATTTTTTTGTAGAGATGGGGTATCGCCATGTTTCCCAGGCTGGTTTTGAACTCCTAGGTTCAAGCGTTCTGCCCACCTCAGCCTCCCAGGGCTTCCAAAGTGCTGGGATTACAGGTATGCACCATGTTATGGAAAATTTTAAATATGCATTAGAGAGAATAATGGTATGAGTCTCCATGTAAGAGATAGAAGCATCACCCAACATCCATCAGATTTTTTTTTAAGAGTCTGGGTCGCTTCGTTGCCCAGGCTGGAGTGCAGTGACACAGTCAGCTCAGTGCATCCTCAAACTCCTGGACTCAGCGTGCCTGTCTTCACAACTTCAATAATCTTGATTCACTTTGACATTCACCCTTTCCTGCATCCCTCCTCCAAGGTGATATGTAGAAGCAATTGTTAGATATATCATTACATCTAGTAAATATTTTAGTAGGCATCTCTAAAATATTAAAATATAAGTACTCTTTTAAAGATATATGATGGTTAAACCTTACCAAATTTGAGAGTAATTTCTTAGTATCAAATATGTCAGTGTCTAGATTTCCTTGATTATCTTTTTGTTTGTTTGTTTCAGTTGTTTTGTTAGAATTAGGAACCAAACATATTCCCATGTTGCATTTGGCTGATATGTCTCTAATCGTTTATTCTATAGGTTCCTTCTCTCTCTGTTTTTCCCCTTGTGGTTTATTTGTTGATGAAACCAGGTCATTTGTTCTATAGATTTTCTCAGTCTAGATTTCGCTTTTTGGGTCCCCATGATGTCATTTACCTTTTTTTCCCCTCCTGTTTCCTGCAAATTGGTGGTTCCATCACTTCCCTCCTGAAGTATGATCAGATTCAAGTTCAGTTTTCTGGCAGGAATACATCACAGATAGCGTCTTGTACATCTTTCAGGAGGCACACGTTTGGTTGTCTCACTTTTTGTCATGTTAGCACCATTGATGGTCATGGCTGAGATCCTTTATTTCCTTAGGGAGAGCCCCATATTTTAACTTAGTGAGTAGCTCATGAATCTCTCCCCTTCATCATGGAGTTTTTTCTTTTCTAAGTTAGACTTCTAGAGCTTTCACAGATTTCACAGTGAGCCCATAGCGCCTACCTAGACATTCTGTTTGCTGTAGAAACCAGAAAGGCTTTCTTGCTCTCATATCTTAGTTTAATTTACACAATATAGTAATCTTTAAAATTTGTCCTAGTGTCCCCCAAATTTGTTTCTATTTCTGAGACATGTTAAGATGAATGGATGACAGAACAGAAAGTTGAGGGCTCTAGAGTGAAATCACAGTTGCAGGTAAGTTGACGAGGTGCAAGTACAAATAAGACACAGTCACCAATTCTGTACCAACATCCTATCCAGAGGGAAGGGGATAAATTTTTATTATCTATATTTACTTATTTTGTCCTGACAGCAAACATAAGGTTTCTGGGTCAGGAGCAGACAATTATGACTTAGAGCATTAACTAAGTCAATTCCCCATACCCCAGTACCCTCCTTCAGGGCAACATAAAGGGGTCTAGAAGAAGAGGGCCTGGAAGAATGAGGTTGGATATGCCAAGATTACTCCAGGAACTGAGAATGAATGGAATCATTCCTTTATTCAGCAAACCCACTGATTGTCGGCTGTATGCCAGACACTAGGGTAGATGATAAATACTAGAAAACTCCCAACCTAACACACAAAACCATATGCCTCTGTGTCTAGAGTTAGGCATCAGGTGTCATCTTGTGCTTATAGGTAAATCACATACCCACAGTTACATGCCCTGCAATGACATTTTGGTCAACAATGGACTGCATATATGATGGCAGGTCCCATAAGAATATAATGCTGTTTTTACAGTACCTTTTCCATGTTTAGATACACAAATACTTACCATTGTGTTCCAGTTGCTGACCATATTCAGTACACTGACATGCTATACAGGTTTGTAGGCTAGGAGCAATAGGCTATCCCATATAGCATAGGGATGTAGTAGGTTATACCATCTAGGTTTGTGTAAGTACCCTTTAGGATGTTCTCACAATCACAGATCACCTAATGATGCATTTCTCAGAATGTATCCCTGTTGTTAAGTGATGCATGACTGTATTTGTGTGTGTAAGGATATGAGTGTGTATGTGTATTTATGATTTTGTACGTGTACACGTGTGTATGTCATATTCCCTTCTGACTTAACATTATAATTTCTGAAAATCTTTTTCTTCATTTTTAATTTGTCTTCAGTTGTCGTTTGTGCTAAAGTTTGCATGAAGTTTTCTTATCCCTCACTTTCCAGGTAGCAGTGGAATTTACTCTCTACCTTCTGTTGTGTCTGCTCATGTGACAAGTTCTTTTGGTAAGAAAGTAAAGTCTAAACTATAAAAGTTAAACTCTGAAAGAAGAAAATTCAGGTGCAAAGTGACAAGGATTTCACCAGACTGAAGAGACCTAAAGAAAGGGAGGGCCAGATCCCTCAGCTGCAAGTCTCTTGATTTGGTGAGGGATTAAATGTGCTAGGTCCCCTGGTACTAGTGGGGGCTGGGGTTTCAGACCTCACGGAGTTGCCATTCTGATGGGGAAACAATAGACGCAATTAGACAAACAAACATGATAACTTCAAAATGAGAAACGTGCGTTTAGGGAAATAAACAAAGCTAAGAGGGTGCCAGTAACTAGGGGGGACCACTTTAGAGAGAGAGGTCCCAGAAGGCCTGCTGATGAAGTGACATTTGAGCTGAGGCTCAAAGGCCATGAATGGGCCAGTGATGTGAGAACTTGGTGAAAGAGCAAATGCAGAGCCCAGAAAGGGCTTAGTGTCTCTGAGGAGCAGAAAGGGGGCCCCTGTGGCTGGCGGCAGTGAGTGACAGGAGGGTGGAGTGCCAGGAGGCCAGAGGGAGGTGGGGTCAGACCATTGCAGGCCCTCAAGGCCATAATGGGAAGTTGAAACTATGTTCAAAAAGCAGTGGATAAACATTGAAGAGTTTGAAGCAGGAAAACTTAGTAATTATTCTCACCTAGACTTTTTTTCCTACACATGAGCAGACTTCTGTATGTGTGTCTGTGTGTGTGTGTGTGTGTGTGTGTGTGTGTGTGTGTGTGTGTGTGTGTGTGTTTTCTTAGTGGTAACATGCTGTGTATATAATATGCAACTTGTTTTTCATTTACCAATAATATCTTGGTCATCTCTGAAAGGAAGACTTATAAAGAAAAATAAGGTTTGCCACGAACTATATAACAAATTTAGACATGCAAAAATGTGAAGCTGTGATGGAAAATTAGTTTCTTAGGAATAAAAAAGGAAGGAGAGTGCTTGTTTTTAATGTCTGTTATACCTATGAATTCCCTGTAATAATTTAAGGACATTAAAAATGTATTCTAACTTGATTCTTGATTTTCTCATAAACTTGCCATGATTAGTATGTTACTTTAATTATGTATTTATTGTTAAAGCATCTTTACACACCATTTTTAGTCTTCTAAAATATAGCAGAGACTGAACAAAGTAGGAAAATAGAAGAATAAGAATTCAGTAGACATGCATGGTCAAACCATAACAAACCCAAAGATACTGAGACTCTAGAGAGAATGTGTCACCTTTCAAAGTACTGCTTACTATTGCCAGTAGTTATAAATGTACTTATTAGCTGGGCATGGTGGTTTACGCCTGTAATCCCAGCGCTTTGGGAGGCTGAGGCAGGAGGATTGCTTATCTCTGGAGTTTGAGACCAGCCTGAGCAACTAGGTGAAAACCTGTCTCTACTAAAAATAGAAAAATTAGCCAGGCCTAGTGGCATGTGCCTGTGGTAGTGCACGCCTGTGGTCCCAGCTACTTTGAAGGCTGAGGTGGGAGAATTGCTTGAACCCAGGAGGCTGAGTTTGCAGTAAGCTGAGATCACACCACTGCACTCCAGCATAAGGGATAGAGCCAAACCTTGTCTCAAAGAAGAAGTACTTATTTATTTGCTTTTAAAATATACTTTTGTGAAAAGATATACCTAAAATCCCCAGCACATTTTAGTTCTTGCCCATTTACAAAATAGTATATAGACAAAAGCCTGACTAAGAGAAACTGTCAATATTACAGCGAAACAGAGATAGGGATTGTTTTCTGGTCTTAGAGTTACCATAACATGAGCATCTGTGGTGAGCAAATATTTTCCAGAAAAGCAGGTGAATGAAAAAACTATAGCCCACAAAAATAACCGCCTCAAACTCATGATCCCTAATGTAGGCTCATTTTTAAGTCTACATTTTATTTTTATTTCTACTTACTTACTTATTTATTTTTTGAGACAAAGTCTCACTCTGTTGCCCAGGCTAGAGTGCAGTGGCACCATCTCAGCTCACTGCAACCTCCATCTCCCAGGTTCAAGCAATTCTAATGCCTCAGCTTCCCTAGTAGCTGGGATTTACAGGCATGCGCCACCACATCCAGCTAATTTTTGTATTTTTAGTAGAGATGGGGTTTCACTATGTTGGCCAGGCTGGTCTCAAACTCCTGACTTCAAGTGATCCACCCGCCTGGGCCTCCCAAGGTGCTGGGATTACAGACATGAGCCGCTGCACCCGGCCTTTAAGCCTACATTTTATTTTATTTTATTTATTTATTTATTTATTTTTTTTGAGGCAGAGTTTCACTCTTGTTGCCCAGGCTAGAGTGCAATGGTGTGATCTCGGCTCACCACAACCTCCACCTCCTGGGTTCAAGCAATTCTCCTGCCTCAGACTCCTGAGTAGCTGGGATTACAGGCATGTGCCACCATGCCTGGCTAATTTTTTTTTATTTTTATTAGAGACGGGGTTTCTTTATGTTGGTCAGGCTGGTCTCGAACTCCCGATCTCAGGTGATCTGCCCACCTCGGCCTCCCAAAATACTGGGATTACAGGCGTGAGCCACCACACCTGGCGTAAGCCTACATTTTTAAAAAAATGTATTGCAGAGGTGGAAATGAACTAAAGTAGGCATGAAGTAAGGGTCGAGGTCCAAGGGTGTGTGACACAACATTGCTACCATGTTATAGAGGGATATTCTAAACAAAATCTCTGCATTCTTACCCCATGAACCCTATCTTCAGCCTTTACCACTGGAAAGCATCTTTCTAAATTCAAATCCTTGATTTGCTTCTGGTTTTGTAATAAAGTCATGAGCAATAGGAATGCAGCCAGCAATTACGTTTCTGCTTTTGTCTTAAATTGGAGACCATGGAGCGACATCAATTCGCAGGAAATATACTGTTTCTTAAGAAAGTCTTTCATTTAACTTTCTTCTGTACTTAAAATTGGAAATATATTTAGCTTCTCTAAATATTTAGTTGTATGTGAACCAGTTGTTAAAGAATGTCTTAATTCTACAGTTAAGCTCACTCACATGTATGTATGTCTCATACATTAAAAATGTCATCCTGCTGTGTAGTTTTAAGAAATTACTTTTCAGAAGTAAAGACTTTAGGTATGATAATGATAATTTAGGAAATGATAATTTAGGAAAATTTTCTCAAGTACTCATCATTTTTAAAAATTCATAATTCAGAAATATTTTATTGGGAGACTAAAGACATTTATAGTATTTTCCCCCAGAGTGTCATATTTTTATAAAACAGGTTATTATTAACAAATGATATAATTTGAAATAATTGGAAAGGTCCACTGGCCCTAAAATATGTCCCCTACAGCCTTCTTGGAACATAAAATGTCCAACTACGTATTAGAATTTTCTTTGGGTTAATGGAGTATCCTCATAAAGGCTTAGTTTAATAGGAGTTATCACTCTGGGTTTTGCCAAGATTGCTTTAGAAGGAATGAGTTGGGTATGTTTTCAGTAGTCTTGGTGAAGACCCCAGAGGAAGAGCAGAGGGTAGGGATCTTGGTGGGAGAGAAGGGAGACACTCCCCTACCAGGGGCTCCAAAAGAGGGCTTTAGGTTGTAGGAAAGGTGGGCAAAGCCTGTCCTTTATAATAATAAAATGTTTAGTTAGAGGGGAGCCATATTTAAAACTATAGCACTAGACTTATCTCAGTTGTAAAATGGATATTATATAATAAGATGGAGGAAGTCATTCACATATGCTTTCTCTCTCTTTTTGAGCACAATACCAAAGTGTTTCCAGAATAATTTGGCACCTTCACTTCCTGCACAGACTTGGAGTAGAGTCCAGAAAACAGTCTAGTTGAATTCTCAGATGGGTTTTTGGCAAGAATACAAAGTAGCTTTATACAGCTCATCTCTGATGCTTTTCACTGAGTGTCTGAAAGAAAAGGGAGGATTTGAGGACCTGATTTAAACAAGGAAGTAACCCAGTGACTTAAAGAGGAGTGTTGTGGAATTCGAATCCCAAAATAAAGCCCTACGTCGTTGACTTTTCAGCCATGGGAATAACCAGTTGCTTCATTGTGTGTTTTGTCAAAGTGCCTCAGCCATTTGGTCGGCCTGATGGTTACCTGCTGCCTCTATTCATAGTTTCTGCGTCCTTTCTTGTTGCCCGGCTGGTCAAACATGTGTAACGGTGCCCTGGGGCACCAAGCATGCCCTCGGGGAGCTAAATGCTGCCAGATGTAGGGAGCAAGGGTTGATTCACATAGCCATAATTTCAATAGCTAATTTTACCTGTTTTCTTTTGGTTTTGGGTTTCCTTCTTAAAGAAAAACCCATTTGGAGTTGAGTTTTTCCCCCTTTAAATTGCAGTCTTATCTTGTTACCTCTAATCTCCCAGCCTCATCCCACTCCCGAAATAAAAGTGTGAGAAGAAAAGAATAGAAAAGATACGTGATTTATTAAGTCTGAGAGATTAATAGTTTTACTTTATGATAAAATCAGTAAAATGTTTCTGTTTTACTGGATTCTGATTAGTATTCTTATTTCAAAGTGAAATTATGTTTCACTTGACTCAACCTTCCCTGTAGAAATCATTTAGATAGAAATAGATCATCTTCTAGATAGATACTTTATGTAATCTCTGATTAGGAACACTGAATTTGTTGTTGAAAGCCCTATATTTTTTAACTCACTCTTGAAAACTGGTTAAGTAGAAGGAAAGAATCAAGCCCTTAACTTGATATATCCTGTATGGAACTGAACCTCAGGATGACCAAATATTTGATGAAAGAAAGTTTCTCTTTTTAGAAGTATTTCTGCCAACAAATTAAGAAGGTCTGAGAGAATATCACCATTTGGCAAACCCCTCGTGAAATAATGAATCTATCTACTGGTCATCAATGGTTGCTAACATCACAAAAAGAGCCACAGCTATCAGAGCACACCACTGTCCATTAAATATTCTTGCCAAAAAAATTGAACTTGAGGCCGGGCGTGGTGGCTCACGCCTGTAATCCCAACACGTTGGGAGGCCGAGGCAGGTGGATCACGAGGTCAGGCGATGGAGACCATCCTGGATAACACGGTGAAACCCCATCTCTACTAAAAATAAAAATTAGCTGAGCCTGGTGGCGGGCGTCTGTAGTCCCAGCTACTCGGGAGGCTGAGGCAGGAGAATGGCGTGAACCCGGGAGGTGGAGCTTGCAGCGAGCTGAGATCACACCACTGCACTCCAGCCTGGGCGACAGAGCAAGACTCCATCTCTAAATAAATAAATAAATAAATAAATAAAAATAAAAAAATCAAACTTGAATCAGAACAAATCCCTAGATTTAATATGTCTACAGGAAATACAAAGGACAGAGAAACATATTAATTGACACCACCAAGATACAACTGGTAAGTTACAGAATGTGAGAAGTGCTAGGGACAAATTCATTTTCTTAACAAATAATTTACGAGAAAGAAAAAAGGGAGGAATTCATTAAAACTGGCATAAGAGACATAGCAATCAAGTACAATAGACCTTATTTGGCTCCTATTTTAATAATACATTTGTTTAATTTTTTTTTTTTTTGAGACGGAATCTCACTCTGTCACCCAGGCCAGAGTGCAGTGGTGCGATCTTGGCTCACTGCAACCTCCGCCTCCCGAGTTCAAGCAATTCTCCTGCCTCAGCTTCCCAAGTAACTGGGATTACAGGTGCCTGCCACCATGCCCGGGCTAATTTTTTTGTATTTTTAGAGAGGCAAGGTTTCACTACGTTGGCCAGGCTGGTTTCGAATTCCTGACCTCAAGTGATGTGCCTGTCTCGGCCTCCCAAAGTGCAGGGATTACAGGTGTGAGCCACCGGGCCCAGCCCATTTGTTTAATTTAAAAAAGAATATATGACAAAAGGAGAATATCTAAAGGCTGATAAAATATTTGATGGTACTAAGGAACTATTGTTAATTTCTAAAGGTATAATATTATATTATTAAACCATTAAAAAGAGTTCTCATCACAGGCCGGGTATGGTGGCTCACGGCCTCCAGCACTTTGGGAGGCCGAGGCGGGGGGGATCACGAGGTCAGGGATTTGGGACCAGCCTGGCCAACATGGTGAAACCCTGTCTCAACTAAAAATACAAAACATTAGCTGGCAGTGGTGGTGCGTGCCTGTAATCCCGGCTACTCGGGAGGCTGAGGTAGGAAAATCACTTGAACCCAGGAGGCGGAGGTTGCGGCGAGTGGAGATCATGCCATTGTACTCCAGTCTGGGCAACAGAGCAAGACTTCATCTCAAAAAAAAAAAAAAAAACAAAAGTCCTCATCTTTTGGATGTACACATGGAAATATTTACAGTTGAAATTATATGATATCTGAATAGGCTTCAAAATTATCCAGTGGGAAGGGATGATGGTTATGGATGAAACAAGATTGGCCATCTATTGGCCATTGTTGAAGCTGAATGATAGATACATGGGGATTTGTTACACTAATCTACTTTTGTGTGTTTTTGAAATTTTCTATAATAAAAAGTTTTTAAAATAGGCTTAGGTAAATCCCAGATTTGCCACTTGTAAATTTGTGATCGTGGACAAATTCATTAGCCTCCATAAGTCTCAGTTTTTGTGTGTGTGTGTGTGTGTGTGTGTGTTATTTCTGGTTAGGGCGTTGCCTATAAAATAGGTACAAGGTTATTTTCCCAGTTTACCACCTGGTCCGGGTTGTTGTGCCAAACTTAATAATATGTATGATGTTACTTTGTAAATTGCCACAAATATATCAACTGTTTTATTATTATGAAGTTCCTGAAAGGATCCAGGTTTTCTGCTTAGAAAATTTAGTAGCTTTTTCTGCTTCAACAAGCAGTATGGCTGTCTACATAGATTATATCAACTAAAAAGCTCTGGAATAAGAATATAATTATGTATCCAACAAGGGTTTTATCAATTAGTTTGTAGTAATAGAGTAATTATAAGACTTCATTTTAAAAAATTTGCAAATATAAATTTCTCATGGCCTAGTAAATTAAATGTCGTGTAGACAACTGTGCTATTAATGTTTTCCCTGTATAGTAAGAATTGTGAATTATTTCTGATTTCTTATTTTTCTTGATTGGAAGAAATTGCTTGAATTTAACACATCAATAAAGATTTTAAATTTATTCCTTCAAAATATAGAGAAACCCTGATTGTTAGAATTTTTTTCTTTTTTTTTTTTTTGTTGTTTTATTTTCTAATTCTGGCCTCATTTCTTCCTTCCTAACTCCCAGCATTTTATTGTGAAATATGTAGAGAGAAACGTGTAAAAGAAATATACAATTTAATGAATGATTATGAAGCAAATACCTATGTAACTACTGTACTGTGTTTTTTTTTTGTTTGTTTGTTTGTTTGTTTGTTTTGAGACGGAGTCTCGCCCTGTCACCCAGGCTGGAGTGCAGTGGCCCGATCTCAGCTCACTGCAAGCTCCGCCTCCCGGGTTCACGCCATTCTCCTGCCTCAGCCTCCCGAGTAGCTGGGACTGCAGGCGCCGGCCACCACGCCCGGCTAACTTTTTGTATTTTTAGTAGAGATGGGGTTTCACCGTATTAGCCAGGATGGTCTCCATCTCCTGACCTCGTGATCCTACCGCCTCCGCCTCCCAAAGTGCTGGGATTACAGGTGTGAGCCACCACCCCCGGCCTACTGTACTGTGTTTTAAGAAAAATCAGAATATCACCAGCACCTCAGAAAACCTCTGCATGCTTCTTCCCAGTCCAAATCTCTTTCATCCCCTGGGTAGCCACTATCCTGACTTTAGTAGTATTCACTTTCTTGCTTACCTTTATAGTTTTACCACTTGTGTATAGATTCCTAAACAGTGTGATTTTGTTTGTTTGTTTGTTTTGAGACAGGGTCTTCTTTGTCACCCAGGCTGGAATGCAGTGGCATGATCACAGCTCACTGCATCCTCAACCTACCAGGCTCAAGTGATCCTCCCACCTCCACCTCCCAAGTAGCTGGGACCACAGATGCATGCCATCATGCCTGGCTAATTTTTAATTTTTTTTAGAGACAGAGTCTTCCTATGTTGCCCAGGCTGATCTCGAATGCTTGGGCTCAAGCAGTCCTCCCACCTCTGTCTCCCAAAGTGCTAAGATTACAGGTGTGAGAGACCACACTGGGACTGATTTTTATATTTTAAGGATCCATTTATATTGTATCTGTAGTGAATTCATTTTTTTTGCTGTATAGTCTTCTGTTTTAAGAATTTATGGCTGGGCATGATGGTTCATGCCTGTAATGCCAGCACTTTGGGAGGCCAAGGTGGGCGGATCACTAGGTCAGGAGATCAAGACCATCCTGGCTAACACGGTGAAACCCCGTCTCTACTAAAAATACAAAAAGTTAGCTGGGCGTGGTGGCGGGTGCCTGTAGTCCCAGCTACTTGGGAGGCTGAGGCAGGAGAATGGCGTGAACCCGGGAGGCGGAGCTTGCAGAGAGCCGAGATCGCGCCATTGCACTCCAGCCTGGGCGACAGAGCGAGACTCTGTCTCAAGAAAAAAAAAAAAAGAATTTACTGTAATTTATTCTGTAGTTGATGGACATCTGGGTTGTTTCCACCTTTTTCTTTTTTTTTTTGTCGCCCAGGCTGAAGTGCAGTGGCGTGATCTTGGCTCAATGCAAGCTCCGCCTTCCGGGTTCACGCCATTCTCCTGCCTCAACCTCCCAAGTAGCAGGGACTACAGGCGCCTGCCACCACGCCCGGCTAATTTTTTGTATTTTTAGTAGAGACGGGGTTTCACAGTGTTAGCCAGGATGGTCTCGATCTCCTGACCTCGTGATCCGCCTGTCTCGGCCTCCCAAAGTACCGAGATTACAGGCGTGAGCCACCGCACCCGGCCCGTTTCCACCTTTTTCTATTACAAACAGTCTGAGTATGTCTTTTGGATGCACTTCTGTATGCATTTCTTTTATGTGTATACCTAGGATTGAATTAGTGACTTCATAATTGACAGGCAGTTTTCCAAGGTGGTTGTACCAGTTGACTCTCCAGCAGTATTCGAGAGATCTTGTTTTCCCACATCTTCAACCTGTACTTGGCATTGTCAGACTTTTAAATGCTTTATTTTAAAATATTATTAGTAAAACAACATAGATAAGTTTACTGTTGTCTATTACTTACATGTACTTGTAATGTTAAAGTCTAGGTTTTATGGCTGCGGGCGGTGGCTCACGCCTGTAATTCCAGCACTTTGGTAGGCCAAGGTGGGCGGATCACTTGAGGTCGGGAGTTCAAGACCAGCCTGACCAACATGGAGAAACCCTGTCTCTACTAAAAATACAAAAACATTAGCTGGGCATGGTGGTGCATACCTATAATCCCAGCTGCTTGGGAGGCTGAGACAGGAGAATCGCTTGAACCCGGGAGGCGGAGGTTGCTGTAAGCCAAAATCGTGCCGTTGCACTCCAGCCTGGGCAACAAGAGGGAAACTCCATCTCAAGAAAAAAAAAAAGTCTAGGTTTTACTTGGGGTGTGTGTGTGTGTGTGTGTGTGAATATTTCAGAGGTACAGAGACTCTTTCTGGTCATCGATATCTACTTGCTAAATTACGTCTTCCTACCTAACAACTGCTACGCTAGAGACCAGAAAAAAAAATAGTAAAGCTTTAAAAAAGGAGAGAGCATTTTTGTACCTTTTTCACTTGTGATATTAAACCTATGAGTGATAGCTCAATTTATCAATTGCTACATGCCAGGCGCTGTGCTAATGAACTCTTAAGACATGTAAACTCATTTAATCTTTACAACAGTTTTTTATTTCCCCATTTTTTAACAGATGAAGAAACTGAGGCATTAAATGGTTAAGTAACTTGCTGAAGATTGTAAGCTAGTAAATCATAGAGCCAGAGCTGAAGCTCAACAGTTGAGCTTCACTGGTTCCATCTGGGTTCTGAACACTTAATATCTAGACCTCCTACCCCGTTGGTGAGTTCTGGTTAGTGACATTAGTCCTCCAGAGCCACCATGTTTTGTCTCCGGGTGGCTGTATTTGAGCTTGACATGTTGTTTCTGGTGCTAACAGTTAGGAAAGCAGGGTTGCTTGAACTTCAAGACAGAGACTTACTTCCTTTCACTTGTTGTAGAAGTTGAAAGAAGCTGAAGCAGCATGAGAATCCTGGCTCTGGGGCTGGTACAGCTATTACAGGAAGGGACAGGACTTGGCCCTCTCTTCTCCTCTCTAGATTTTCCTGGGGGTACTCAGCCTTCATCTTCTGCCACTTAGGGTTTGAGTGGAAATGGCCGAGAATATGTGGTAGGAAGCAGTAAAGTGGACGTTTCAATTTCCTTAATTGTCCAAAAATGTGGAATATGTTATCCTTTAGAAACCATGTTGTAAATGGCAGCAACATTCCCAGGCCAGCTCAAAAAACCTATAATGTGGCCAAAATATATGCTTACAGCTGTATTGTTTCCTAGTTTTTTGTTTTCATTGCAATTGTGTAGCATTTTATTTGTCTTATGAGCTACTGGGCTAGCTGAGAACTTAGCCACATTGTTTATGTCGGAAAATGCATTCCAAACAGCTAAGACCACGTATTTATCTTAGTGTAGAGCTAACTATCCATAGCTTAGATCATTGACTACCTGAACACTCTGCTCCAAGTAAACTGAACAATACCATCACCAATTTTTTGACGGTAAAGAGAAAAACATCTCAGTAAGATAGAGAAACATTTTCTATGGATTTACTGTGACCGAGACCAAATTTTAATTAGCTAGGATATTTTTTAAATTGTAGCATTATATAAATGCATCTGTTTTTCATTTGTTACATATGGGTTTTTATTTACCCACCCTCCTAAAACATTGAAATATATTCATGTAGCTACCTGAACCACTTGTAGATCTTCAGACTTGTGCGGCAAAAGGAATGATAATTATAATCTGCTTCAGGCTACAGGCTAGAATAATTCAAAAGGAAATGTGCATTACTAATGCAGCAGAGCTCATAAATTCTCAATGTCAGTTTGCCATTTATGCAGTCAGTCTGGTTGGCCAGAGGCAAAAAGACTAGGGTTACATAATATTTATGAGGTCTGAAGTTAGCCATCACCAAAGCCAAATATTGCCAGTGTTTCAGATTACTCATTAAAGTCAGCATCATCTAGTCACGCCAATGGAGTTGGGAGCAGGGTGGATTTGGTAGTGATGAAACATTAGTTATAAGTATAAATTCTGTCCATTTTAGTCCACTACTACCTCCTTTACAGGATTTATAGCCTTCCTATTTTATATATTATCCCTGAGATGCCTACCTAAGGAGGGTTCCCATACCATTCTGCAAAAATCTACTTGCCACCTAAGGTTTCATAACACAAAAGTGGGAATGGGACTTTCTTTGCTCTGCATTGTTTCTCCAACCCTCTTCATGTTTAACTCCTGAGAAGACCTCCTGCCTCTCTGTACATCATCACAATGGCCAAGTCTCAAAAACTTTTAGATCCCAGCTAGCACCTTATGTCATACTGTGCTCAGAAATAATTAAGTGTCCAGACCCATACTCTTGTGCTCTAGTGCACTTCAGGAGTTTGACTTGTATAGGGTAATGAGCAGCTACAACTCCAGGCCTCAGGGTTACTCCCAGGAAACACTGTGGCTGTGAACTCCAAATTAAAAATGTGTGTACAATTGTACAGTTTCCAACATCAAGAAGCACTAGTCCCTGGGGCTGTTCATAACGGCTTTCTTTGTATTTTCACAAAAGAACAGTCCCAGAATTAAAATAACCCTTTCATTTCCTACACTTCACTTCTTAGAAGTCGTCAGGAAAGATGAGTTTTGGTATTATTGTTGATGGTGAGTTTTTTGTGGGGTGGGGGTGATGGAGCAAATACCTTTAAAACTTTTTTTTGTTTTTTTTTGAGATGAACTCTCGCTCTATCGCCCAGGCTGGAGTGCAGGGGCTCCATCTCAGCTCACTGCAACCTCCGCCTCCCGGGTTCTAAAGCAATTCTCCTGCCTCAGCCTCCTGAGTAGCTGGGATTACAGGCACCCACCACCAGTAATTAGTCCCAGCTAATTTTTATATTTTTAGTAGAGGCGGGATTTCGCCATGTTGGCCAGGCTGGTCTCGAACTCCTGACCTCGTGATCTGCCCACCTTGGCCTCTCAGAGTGCTGGGATTACAGGCGTGAGCCACTGCACCCAGCCAAAACTTTTTTTTGTTTTATTTTGTTTTGAGACAGAGTCTCGCCCTGTCGCCCAGGCTGGAGTGCAACTGCCTGCCGGGTTCAAGCGATTCTTCTGCCTCAGCCTCCTGAGTAGCTGGGATTACAGGCGCTCGCCATCACGCCCGGCTAATTTTTGTATTTTCAGTAGAGACGGGGTTTCACCATGTTGGCCAGGCTGGTCTCGAACTCCTGACCTCGTGATCCACCCACCTCAGCCTCCCAAAGTGCTGGGATTACAGGCGTGAGCCACTGCGCCCGGCCGAAAACTTTTTATTAGTGAGAAAAGTTTTAAGGATTTCAGTTAAACCAGGATTATAGCTTAACTTTAAGGATTTCATTTTACCCCTTTCTCTACTTTTACCTATATTTAAAAATATTAAAAAGTCCGTTTTTTTCTGTCAACTATATGGCATAGTGATTTTCTTCCAGACTAGTAGGTGGAGTCGGAAGTAGTATTCTGAAACATGTGGAGGAAACTACATCAGGAGAGCATTTGCCCCAAGGGAGCAATAGTGAGAGGATTCCCCACACTCTCTTCGAAAATTTTAAGACATACTGCTACTCCCAGGGGGAGATCAAACTAAATACACAGCGTTTTAGGAACTAGAGATATACAGAGTCCTTGTTCAGCGGAGTGGCAGATTTGTTTTAAGTTTATTTTTGTTCAAAGTTTTTGATCTCTTTTACTGTTACAAGACTAGGGGAAATATCGTAATCGATTGTGCTATTTGCTTTGATACATTCAGGCCCTCTTTTTTTTTTTTTTTTTTGAGATGGAGTCTCGCTCTCTCTCCCAGGTTAGAGTGCAGTGGCACAACCTCGGCTCACTGCAGCCTCTGCCTCCCGGGTTCAAGCAATTTTCCTGCCTCAGCCTCCTGAGTAGCTGGGATTACAGGCGCACACCACCACGCCCGGCTAACTTGTGTATTTTTAGTAGAGACGCCCGGCTAACTTGTGTATTTTTAGTTTCACCATGATGGCCAGGATGGTCTCAATCTCTTGACCTTGTGATCCGCCCGCCTCGGCCTCCCAAAGTGCTGGGATTACAGGCGTGAGCCACCACACCTGGCCCATTCAGGCCCTCTTGTACCTGATAGCCACAGTATACAAGAACTGAAGGAGTCTGAGGCCCCCCAAAAGCATATTATATAAAGCAAAAACAAACAAACAAAAAACCCACTTAAGGCTGGATGCGGTGGCTCATTCCTGTAATCGCAGCACTTGGGGAGGACGAGGTGGGTGGACCATGAGGTCAGGAGTTCAAGACCAGCCTGGCCAATATGGTGAATCCCTGTCTCTACTAAAAATACAAAAATTAGCTGGGCGTGGTGGTGTGCACCTATAGTCCCAGCTACGTGGGAGGCTGAGGCATAAGAATCGCTTGAATCCAGGAGGCGGAGGTTTCAGTGAGCCGATATCGTGCCACTGCACTCCAGCCTGGGTGACAGCGCAAGACTCTGTATCAAAAAAAAAAAAAAAGAATCCACTTAAATGCTCATCATTGGTTAAATAAGGTGTTGTGTGACCTGTCCGTAAAGGAATTCATGAAACAACTAAAAAAGATCATGTAGATCTATATTGTTTTGTTAGAGACAGGACCCCTAACACTGAAGACTGGTTGCCCCCAACTCAAGCCAGATACATAATTCAAAACCAAACAAAACTAAGCTTTAAATAAGTAAATACAGAATAAGAATATAAAAACGTTTTAATTTCCTTACTCTAATTATTTTATATATATATATATATATATATATATATATATATATATATTTCATCCCCCAAAAGAAATGACCTAATATATATATAGTTTTTTTTTTTTTTAAGATGGAGTCTTACTCTGTTTCCCAGGCTGGAGTGCAGTGATGCCATGTCAACTCACTGCAACCTCCGCCTCCCACATTCAAGCAATTCTCCTGCCTCAGCCTCCCCAGTAGCTGGGATTACAGGTGCCCACCACTATGCCCAGCTAATTTTTGTATTTTTAGTAGAGATGGGGTTTCACCATGTTAGCCAGGCTTGTCTTGAACTCCTGCCCACAAGTGATCTACCTGCCTCGGCCTTCCAAAGTGCTGGGATTACAGGCATAAGCCACTGTGCCTGGCCAGAAATATATATTTTTTCATTTTAAAAAATATATGTATATATACATATGTATGTGTACATGTGTACACATATACATATGTATGTGTACATGTGTACACATATACATATGTATGTGTACATGTGTACACATATACATATGTATGTGTACATGTGTACACATATACATATATACATATATACATATGTATGTGTACATGTGTACATATATACATATATACATATGTATGTGTACATGTGTACATATATACATATATACATATGTATGTGTACATGTGTACATATATACATATATACATATATACATATGTATGTGTACATGTGTACATATATACATATGTATGTGTACATGCGTACATATATACATATATACATATGTGTGTGTACATGTGTACATATATACATATATACATATGTATGTGTACATGTGTACATATATACATATATGTGTGTATGTGTACATGTGCACATATATACATATATGTGTGTATGTGTACATGTGCACATATATACATATATGTGTGTATGTGTACACATATACATATGTGTGTATGTGTATATGTGTACACATATACGTGTGTATGTGTATATGTGTACACATATACGTGTGTGTGTGTATATGTGTACACATATACGTGTGTGTGTGTATATGTACACATATACGTGTGTGTGTATATGTACACATATACGTGTGTGTGTGTATATGTACACATATACGTGTGTGTGTATATGTACACATATACGTGTGTGTGTATATATGTACATATATGTGTATGTGTGTAAATATGTACATATATGTGTATGTGTACATATGTATACATATATGCGTACATGTGTATACACGTATGCGTACCTGTGTATATATATGCGTACATGTGCATACATATGTGTGCGTGTGTACACATATATGTGTATGTGTACACATATATGTGTATATGTGTACACGTGTACACATATATGTGTATATATATACGTGTGTGTGTACATATATTTACATACATATATATATATATATATATATTTTTTGGGATACAGGATCTCACTTTGTTCCCCAGGCTGGTCTCAAACTCCTGAGCTCAAGCAATCTTCCCATCTCAGCCTCCCAAGTAGCTGGGATTATAGGCACCCAGCTATGAGAAATATTTTAAATATCAGATCCTTACAAAAAAAATAGTATTCTTTTATTGGAACTTCACTTGGTTTGCACTTCCAACACCTGTTAGTTTATCCAGTCAGGCACTCCATATTTGGAAGGAAGGAGGATAATATTTGGGGAGAGGAAAGGTAAGAGAGGGGTGAGTTGGCAGTGATGGAAAGCAAAGTCAACCCCACTTGGTCACGACTCACTAACCTCCAATGGAGAAAGTGTGTGAGTCTGCATGTATGTTTGATTTTTGATACATGAAAGAACATAAAAATATGACATTAGACTATTATACTTCAATTTTTAAAACTTAAGTTTTTTAAAGAAAAGTACGTTTAATGTTTTACAAAAATTATTTTATTTATATTTAATAGCATTATATTCCATTATAAAAATTTCATTTATTGTAGCAACCAAGGAGTTAAAAAAAACCAAGGATAGACAAATAACAAGAAATGTACAAGGCCTGTATGGAGAAAACATTAGATCTCCAGTGATGGACATTTAAGAACACTGTAGGAAATGTGAAGGCATTTCTTATCTTAAAGAAGACGTTAAATATTTTAGAGTCAACTGGACATGGTGGCTCACGCCTGTAATTCCAGCACTGTGGGAGACCAAGGCAGGAGGATCACTTGAATCCAGGAGTTTGAGACTAGCCTGGGCAACATAGTGAGACCCTGTCTCTGCAAAATAAAAAAAAATATTGGGCATGGTGGCATGTGCCTGTAGTCCCAGCTACTTGGGAGGCTGAGGCAGGAGGATTGCTTGAGCCCAGGAAGTTAAAACTGCAGTGGGCTATGATTGCACCACTGCACTTCGTCTGGGTGACAGAGCAAGACCCTGTCCCCCCAAAAAATTATAGTCATATTGTCCTTAGATTAATCCATAAATTCAATGTAAACCCAATTTTGTGGCCAAAAACACTTTAAATATGGTGGAAATACAAAAAGCAAGCTGAAAAGATAGTTGAAACAGTGTAGTACACACATTTAATATTTGTAATTCACAGAATACTCTTAAAAATAAGTCAGGTGGGCTGGGCACGGTGGCTCACACCTGTAATCTCAGCACTTTGGGAGGCCGAGGCAGGTGGATCACGAGGTCATGAGATCAAGACCATCCTGGCAAACATGGTGAAACCCTGTCTCTCTTAAAAATACAAAAAAAAAAAAAAAAAAAAAACCCAAAACAAACAAAAAACCTAGCTGGGCGTGGTGGCATGCACCTGTAATCCCAGCTACTTAGGAGGCTGAGGCAGGAGAATCGCTTGAACCTGGGAGGCAGAGGTGGCAGTGAGCCGAGATCGTGCCACTGCACTCCAGCTTGGTGATAGAGCGAGACTCTGTCTAAAAAATAAAAATAAAATAAGTCAGGTGAAGAGGCTGGGCGTGGTGGCTCACGCCTATAATCCCAGCAATTTGGGAAGCCGAGGAGGGTGGATCACTTGAAGTCAGGAGTTCGAGACCAGCCTGGTCAACATGGCGAAACCCCATTTCTACTTAAAATACAAAATTAGCTGGTCGTGGTGGCACATGCCTGTAATCCCAGTTACTTGGGAAGCTGAGGCAGGAGAATTCTTGAACCTGGATGATGGAGGTCATGCCACTGCACTCCAGCCTGGGTGACAGAACGAGACTTTATCTCAAAAAAAATAAATAAATAAATAAATCAGGTGAAAAACAACCCAAGAGACCTAATAGGAGACTTCACAAAAGAGGATACAGAAATAAACAAAGGAAAATATCTTTAACCTCAGGAGTATCTGAAGAAAAATAAGTAAAAGTGAGATACAGTTTTTCATTTATCAGACTAACAGATTTTAACATTAAACTGTTGGTAAAGGTATAGGAAATAGGCATCATTAGGAAGACAAGTTGCAGTGTTTGTGAACAGTTTTGCAAATATGTTAAAGTTTGCATATTTCTTAACCCACAAATACTACTTTTACACATTTAAACTAAAAAGAAGTCATCACTTGTGCAACTGTACTTGTAAAAAACACATTATATAAAGCAAAAAAATCAAACCAAAACAAAAAGGACCTACCAAAATGCTCATCATTGTTTAAATAAGGTACTATGTGATCCCTTCGTATAAGGGAATGCTCCAAAACCACTAAAAAGGATCCTATATAAGCCGGGCGCGGTGGCTCACCCCTGTAATCCCAGCACTTTGAGAGGCCGAGGCGGGCAGATCACTTGAGGTTGGGAGTTCAAGACCAGCCTGACCAACATGGAGAAACCCCGTCTCTACTAAAAAATATAAAATTAGCCGGGCGTGGTGGCGCACGCCTCTAATCCCAGCTACTCGGTAGGCTGAGGCAGGAGAATCACTTGAGCCTGGGAGGTGGAGGTTGCGGTGAGCCGAGATTGTGCCATTGCACTCCAGCCTGGGCAACAAGAGTGAAACTCCGTCTCAGGAAAAAAAAAAAAAAAAAAAGGATCATTCATATATATGTGTGTGTGTGTGTGTGTGTGTGTGTGTGTGTATATATATGTGTATATATGTATATATGTGTGTATATATGTATATATGTGTATGTATATGTATATATGTGTGTGTGTGTGTGTGTGTGTATATATATATATATATATATATATATATATATATATATATATATGACGGAATTCTTTAGTGGTGATTTGTGAGATTTTGGTGCACCTATGCTGCTGTGTATTTTTATACATACGATAAGCCTGACCCTACTCTTGGGGCTCAGCCTCATTTAGAGCTGGGCTTCCCAAATTTTATTTTTTTTTTCTGGAATCAAAAAAGTTTCAAAGATTGCCATGTAATGCTTTTTATTTTTTTTAATTACACTTTGGTATCTCAGAAATCTCTTTCTGTGAGTGTTTACTTCGATTCTGAAAATAGAGCTAGGGTCTTGAAGTGGTTTCTGAATAAATGATGAAACATATGTTCAAAGTCTGTAACTCTTCCTTCTCCTTAACCACATCCTAGATAATCCACTGATGGAAAGTGTCATTTGTGTGAATAGATTCTCTAGTTTTAGTTTTCAAGGACTTTTTTTTTCATTTTAGCTGTCTGGATGATTAATGTGACTAGGAAAATACTGTTGACCCATTTAAATCATGTCAGACAACATCCATTGCTCATCTACATAATGAAATACACACTGAACATTACAGCTTAAGTGTGGGAGGCAGTGAACTACAAAATAATGTTTTAGTCATTTAGATTATGAAATAAAATATAAGATATTAGGACTAACTATAGCATTAAATATTAAACTCTTCAAATGGTAATTGTCAGTAAAAACAACTTTTAAACCAAAACAACTAGTAGCATTTCTGCTTTAGTAGTTAATTAGAGGAAGTGGAGGTGGTTGCATGCAACAGTATTAATTTAAGAAAAGTCTTTATGTGAAAGTGTCTGTTAATATTACTTGACTATTATGGGACTTACTGTAAATAGTTGAGTTTTTCAGTTAATCAGTGGTTGTGAAATAATAGTTTTCTGACAAAATTAGAAAAATTTGTTTGACATTTTTATCATAGTTTCATTAAACGGTCTCCGCATAATTTTAAAGATAACTAATTTATAGCTGAAACTATTTCAATCAATGATCTAATAACAAAGATAAGCTTTGACAGCTTTAAAAATATTTAAATTTTGTAAGGACATCATTTGCACAGTGATTAAATAAATGCAAAATTTAAAGGTACTGAATTTAGGCTATCAGGTTTCCATGGTTACACCTTTCCAAGTTATTTTGTGTATTGTGTAAATAGGTCTGTGAGTCACTGGTAATTATTTGTTTTTTTGTTTGTTCTGTTGGTAATTCTGTGTTTAGCTGAATTTAATACAGTTCACACGGCGTGCTTTGGTTTATGTATATTTTAGTGTTTGTGATTGACAGTGATTGAGCATTTCTTATGGAGTGCTTGCCTTTTTTGTCATAAGTGATGTATGTTGGTAGTGCTTGAAATGTAAATAAGTTCTTCCTGTATCACTGTTTAATAAACAGGAATTTTTATGCAAAGAAGACTTCTTGATACATTTAAACAATAAGGTTTGTTGAGCTCTGAAATATTTCTGCTAAACAGATTGTGCACCAAGACAAATAGGTTTAAATTCTTACAAACTGAGGTTACCAAGGGCAACGTTAAAGTTTATGGCTAAGCACAGCATTGACTGAATGGTATTTAGTAACAGAATAAAAAAGGCTGAATTCTTTTTTTTTTTTGAGACAGGGTCTCACTTTGTTGCCCAGGCTGGAATGCAGTGGTGCAATCTCCACTCACTACAGCCTCAGCCTCCTGGGCTCAAGTCATCCTCCCACCTCAGTCTTCTGAGTAGCTGGGACTACAGGAGCATGCCACCACGCCTGGCTAATTTTTGTATTTTTCATAGAGATGCGGTTTCACCATGTTGCCCCAGGCTGGCCTTGAACTCCTGAGCTCAAAGGATCCGCACACCTCGGCCTCCCAAAGTGCTCAGATTATAGGCGTGAGCCACTGCGCTCAGCCAAAATAGCAGCATTCTGATCTAACTCTTAAAATTGTTTGTGATAGTACACTTTACAGGGAATGTCTTCAATGCAAAGTAGAATCTTCCTATAACATAATTTCTCCCATCCCACCCTTTGCACAAATTTAAGAAGTATTCTTATATGTTTAGAAAGATATGATTCTTGAAAAAAGCCAGGGCCTTTTATGGATGTAGGAAGGAATTTTCCTTAGACCTCACCATTAACCATCAGCATACTAGCAAGGGCCCAGCAGGAACTCTCAGGAAAACATCAAAATTAGGCTGTCCGTAATTCATCCTACTGAGTGTGAGCCTTCTCTCATACACTACAATCATGAAATGCTGTCCAGTTTGTAAAGTGTTTCTACATCTGCAGTCTCATTTGGGGTTCAGGTTGGCCCTGTGATGGAGTGAGGAGAGGCCCAGTGCTTTGGATGGTGTCACTTTTAAGTAGCAGCTCTGGGACCCAACCTAGGATCTCATGATTACTTTGTGAATTACTTGCTTTGTGGATTATCCAAGGCACATTTTAAAATTCAGGCTGGTTTCTACCTACTGATTAGTCCATTTTAGAGTGACCTCCTCCCACAGTCAGGTAACCAATGATAGTAATTACCATTTATTGAGTGCTTACCTTATGCCACTTTCGATATATCATGTCATACAATTATCATAGCAACCCTGTGAGGAAGGTATTATTATCCACATTAACAAATGAAGAAACTAAGGCTTAAAGAATTTAACTAACTTGTTTAAGTAAACCAATAGTACTCAGAGAAGGAAAACCAATTTAAACAAGAGCTCAAGTGAATATAAATAGGAAGGCATATCTTTTGGAGGAAATTCTCATGGTGCATTCACAAGCAAAATATAAAATTTTAAATTTCACACTGTTTCCTTCTTTTTTACCCCCAAATTGACTATACCTTATTAGGCATTGAAGAGTTGAGGTTTCTTTGTAACACTCCAGTAGAAGCATACTTCAAAAAGTGTCCCATCCCCTCAGACAATAAATATGTTTCAAATGTTTTACACATCAAATATTTTGGTATTGTGGCAATATTAAAAACTTTAAATATGAGATGATGAATTTGTCATTTTACTGTGTGAATAATCTTGGTGTTGGCTAAGGTTTTCAAGTAATGTGTTTTCAGATATGAGAAGCAAGCAGCCTGCTATATACAGATAAAGAGTACATGTTTTTTTGGTGGTTGGGGTGGTTTTAATTTTTAACGTTTTTAAATTTTTATTTTATTTTAACTTTTTTAAGGCAGGGTTTCGCTCTGTTGCCTAGGCTGAAGTGCAGCAGCGCAATCTTGGCTCACTGCAACCTCTGCCTCCTGGGCTCAAACGGTCTTCCCACCCCAACCTCCCAAGTAGCTGGGACTACAGTTGTGTGCCACCATGCCTGGCTAATGTTTGTATTTTTTGTAGAAACAAGGTTTCACCATGTTTCCCAGGCTGGTCTCAAATTCCTGGACTCAAGCGATTCACAGGCCTTAGTCTCCCAAAGTGCTGGGTTTATAGGCGTCAGCCTGGCTTAATTTTTAATCTTTAGTACAAAAAGTAACAGATAGTTGAACATTCATATCCTTAAATATATAAGTATATATATTTAAATAAATGTTTATTTATATTTATGTTTACTTATATACATATATTTACTTATATACATATTTATATTTATGTTTACTTATATACATATACACACACATACACATATATATGGGCCAAATTGTAAGCAGGCATCTATGGAGCTCCCCTTTTAAGCCTGTGCCATTTTAACACTTTGTACTTTTTGAATTAATACCAAAAACTGTCGAGTGAGTATTCATATGGTCAACCAGGTATACCTAGTAGAATTGAGTGTAAAATTATTTGGGCAACATAACTATACCAGTCCAAAAAGCTGCCTTCAGAAAATTTGGAGCTTTTGCTTTTACTAAAGAGGTTACTGTATACTTTCTCTTTATTTTTCTGGTTGAAAATAACTCCTTGATGAGTGATCTTGGCTTCTGTTGTCTTGAATCTGTGTACTCTCAACTGCAGAAGCTTGGAAATATATTGTTTTCCTGAAGCATTAGCTTTCTCATTTTAGGTAGTAATTATTGACCTATCTACCTACCGATTTACCACTCCTATTGACTGGTTACAGGGCAGAGACAAAACTCCTACAGTTGTCAAAATACCACGATAAGATTGATATTCAAATGTTTTCTTTCTATCCCATGCCTTTCACTTAGAGATGTACAGTGAAAATCTTCTCAGGAAGTTTAAGATGTAGGGTTTTTTGTTTTTTGTCTTATTTGTTTTTGATATTGATACTACAATTTTGGTCAAAGCTCTGAGCTATTTCATCCCAATGGTTTGCTTGTGTGGCAATAACTTTCAATGGCCCATTGAAAAGAAAAAAGGAAAGAAAGACATCCAGCAATATACCTAGGGCATGCTGTATCTAGAATTCAGTTGACACTATTGTAATATGAAGACTAAAATCATGCTCTTTTCAAATGCTTTAATGTAATTTAAAAATATATTAAAGCTGTGCTTTTGATCATAGATTATAAGCCCTCATATCTTCTGTTATTGGGCATTTTAATACAAAATAACTAATATTTTAAGTAGTATATGACAGTAGTATTTATGAATAGTCTGGAGGTTTTTTTAAGAATTAAAGAAGGATTTTGTTACTATATCAGTTTTTTTTTAAAAAACTCATGATGTTTTTATATAGACTTTCTCTAAAATTCAGTTCCATGTGTGATTCCTATGAAATTGCTCTTTCTGGTTCTGATTTGTGTGCTTTAATATAAAATCATTCTATTTTCCTCTTCTTTAACCAAAGTGTGTGAGGTAACAGGAATGTTTCTTTTGAGAGACTTTGGAAGGTTGAAATTTGCCAGATGTTCTGTGCTAACCTAGAAGTGTGCATTCCCTGGGTAGCAGGACTGTGTGAAATTCTTTCCTATAACTTTGACAGAGCATTTGGTTTTGGTTCATTTTAGTGTTGTGCTTCTACTCTGATGAGAGCTTGTCTTTTATTCTGTGTTTAAATGATATTAAGGCATCCAGAAAATCTGACAAAGAAAATGATATTTTGATGACATTTTTCACAGGGCTCAACTAGAATGAATTATTACATTTTAACCACGGCCCTAATAAACAGCTTCTTTATTTCCTCTGTAAGGATACAATATTTCTTTGTCCAAGAAGTTGCCTGAGTATATGTATTGTTGAAGTGCTAAAAAGCTGCTTTTCTCTAAACTTTAGCTGAGAGACAATGGGATTTGCCAAGTATATACCATTTCATTGTGACTCAATACTTTATAAAGATGAATTTAAATTTTGAAGTAAACTTTTTTTGTCTCAAATGGAGAAATTCCATGCAATAGCCCTATTGTACAAATTAAACATTTCTATGTAACTTCTACTTATCCACCAAATGATCAGCTTTTAGTTTTATACTTGAGTTCTGACTATAATCTTTGGCACCCTTCCCCCAGCTATAATTCGGCTAGCCTAAAGGAATTTTTTTTCCTAGACTCACAAGCAGGAGCCTATATTATTAAGTAGGAATGTTTATAGATCTGTGTTTCTAGAGTAGGTTGAGGTGTTTTAGTTTCCCAAAAAGAGGGGAATGCTTCTTGTTTTAAATACAGATGCCTGTGTGCTGGTGGTGTACATTAGTGAATAATCACATATTAACAGATTTAGCTTTTGTAAAGAAGCAAAATGAAGTGTTTTCGTAAAACATTTCTGAACTTGTCATTGATGTTATACTCTATCAGTTGCTATTGATAATTTTATTTAAAGGAGGAGGTATATAGTATAGCGCCAACTTCCTGATTAGGCCTTGGGGAAGGTCACGTTTTGCAGTGACCTGGGCACCACTCTTAAATGTTGTTATTATTGGAAGAGGGTACCCTCAGGCTGCTGCCCTTCCTCTCCCCAGAAGCGCTCTGTGACTGACTTTCCAGTTCATCTTTTCTAGAACCAAGACTCCCAGGCTGTAGATGAATTCTGACATCTACAGACCAGTATCCATCTCAACTTCATTTGAGGTGAATTTTATTAGTAGTAGTGACCCAGTCCTACCTTAATATGAGAATGATGCATCCTCATAAAAATTGCAAACTTAGAGCAGTAAACAACTAGGATAAACTTTTATGTTTCAGCATAAAAGTGAGTTATGACTTTTTTGTCATTTAAAATATTGCACACATTTCCTTTTTATTTCTGTGGGATCTTTGTTACTGTTTTAGTGGTCTTAAGTAAAAATAACTTCAAGGACAACACGGTTGGATGTGAAGTAGAATATTTATTTCAGACAAGTATTATGCCCACATATTTTAGATTCAACTATGTGCTTTATTTTCAGCATTAAAGAAAATGAGCTGTTTTCCAACACCTGCATACCAACTGGGCCTGCATCCTCTTTAGAAATGTTGTTTAATAAACACTGTGGCTTTATCATCCAGAGGCTGTTGCCAAATGCTGTTAATTAGGCCAAAAAAATGTTTTTTAAAGGTTGGTGAAACAGATCCACTTTTCTCTCTGTAATGGCATCTTAGCTTGAAATCCAGGAAGCAGTGGTGTATGGTGTCCATATCCACGATTTCCTGCATTGGAGAAAAAGTGTGGAAAGCATCTGGGGAAAAGGAGGCTCTTTACCAGCTTGTTTCCTGTAAGTTCAATTGGAAGACCTTGTCTGTGCAAATAGATTTCAAAATAGAGCCTGCCCTTTGACTGTCTCCATAATTACATGGCTCGCTCTGTATTTTATTTGGCAGCCAGAGCAGTTAACCCCTGGAAGGAAGGGGCTGATGGTATGGCCAGCTTGGCTTCCCAGGCATGTCCATGGGAATGAATAAACCACTGTTTGGAGAAGCCCATAGCTAAAAACACACTAGAATAGTCTGTAACTGAACTGAAACTCTTTTAAAACAAGTTCACTAATGTTTATTATGATCGGTTAAAAAACTTAACTTTGTCCTTATTGTGTAGATTATAGAGCTGTATTAATTGTTTTAAAAATTGGGAATTGGGGGAGTTCCTTGTTGCTTTGATGTAATCAACATCTGTCAACAGATGAATTTGCTTTTGTTTAGTTTCAAGGGCTCTTGTCCTTTAGCTTTGCCCAATCAGTATCTGCTTCAGCCTGGGGCATTCCCTAGTAGTGCATGTGGTTTTTTTTCCCTCAGCAAATGCATAGGTTATTTCTCATGAAATGTGAGCTTCTCTTCTGCTTTATAGTTGCCTTGAGATGGGAAGGAACCTTCAATCTTTCTCATTTATTTTGAAACGTACACCTTAGTACTAGATTATAAAAATCAATAAAAGAGTTATATCAAGTGATGCAGACTATTTAATTTTTCTTTAGCAACATTTGTACAAGTTATGAAACATGTCAAGCAATCAGTGTTTTAGGTCAAGAAATATAAGGCATGGATGCATTTGCAGTGTTCTCATGGACTTGAAGCACACAGCGCTGTAAGAGCCTGTGCTCCTACTCTGAGTAATTGGTTGGAGTTCATGAAGTGTGATCTTTCTGTGGGTCTAAATCAGCACCCCGAAAATATATTCCTATGCTATAGTCCCTTCTGAGCTTACTGTAGGAGGCAACATTTTTAAACAGTTAAAAATGTATCAGATTGCTGTCACAAAGTAAGTTGGGTTTTTTTTCTTGTTAAAGTTAATATATTATTAAGCAAATCATTTGGTTTAAAATTAAAATCATCAATGAATGTAAGAACCATATTTGAAAATGAATTAGCAAAACATTGTTGTTTTTCTCTCTTGGTAATCATAAATCATTTAAATCTGGCAGGCATTCCTCTCTTCATCCAAAATAATTGCCTCCATTTGTAAAATCAATTAGATGTTAACATGCTATAAATAATAGTTTTGTTACTAGACTTTGGCATTTACTGATCATTATGAAAAAATATATTCAGTAAGACATTTTACAGGGTGTCTTTTAAATCACATATTATCTCTGGTTGACATTGTTAGCTAATGTAAAGTAGTGCCAAGCTACATTATTGTGTTGTTTTCTACCCAGATATTTGATACCTCTGCAGTGTAACGTAACTGAGGATTGATGGCACACTGCAGGGTGAAAGTGCTTCCCTGGAAACATACAATGAAAAATATATGTGTTGGTAGTCCAAACTTGAGTACAAATGTACTTTGTTCAGTTTTACAACTGCTTAAAATAATAAGCATTTTAAATGTCTCTTTGAAAGTTCATTCAGACCTCTCCCTTAAAAATACTTATTGACCAAAAGAAAACTCACATTTTCAGGGATAAAATCAGCTTAATTAAGGGTCATTAGTAAAGGTGCACATGAAAACCCAGGGCTCAGTGGGTGAAATGGAAGCATTTCATTATGTGGTATAGGATGCATGAGCAGATAACAATTAAAATGGACCCTGAGTAAGAGGCCAATAAATATAGGGCATGTTGTGTGCAGCAACATTCGTTATTTAAAATGCATTCCTCCTGGCCAGGCACGGTGGCTCATGCCTGTAATCCCAGCACTTTGGGAGGCCGAGGTGGGCGGATCACGAGGTCAGGAGATCGAGACCATCCTGGCCAACATGGTGAAACCCGTCTCTATTAAAAATACAAAAATTAGCTGGACGTGGTGGTGGGTGCCTGTAATCCCAGCTACTCGGGAGGCTGAGGCAGGAAAATGACTTGAACCCGGGAGGCAGAGGTTGCAGTGAGCCGAGATCGTGCTACTGCACTCTAGCCTGGTGACAGAGCAAGAAGACTCTGTCTCAAAATAAATAAATAAATAAATAAATAAAATGCATTCCTCCCTCCATCATACTTGAATTCTATAATCCTACCTTCAGATTTAACCTATAAAGGAAAATAAAATGCAGCTTTTAGAAATGGATGTTATTACTGAATATGAAAATATTTAAAACCATAACCTAGATTTACATTCCAAATACAAATTTTAAATATGAAAAAATGTGCTGCAGGATCCAGAGGACATAGAGCAATTTCAAGAGATGTTCAGACTGCACAGTGTGCTCTTCCATGGAGTGCAGGAAGAAGTTGCCTATAATTTTCAGCGTTCAACTCAGACTAGGTGCTGATAGAATTTTTGTAACACTAAAAATAATTCTTATTATTACCTTTGATAACAGTAACTATTCTAGTATTCATAAAAAATAACATGTAGATTTACTCCCTAAGAAAACCCTATATAGAGTTGCTGTTAGGTCATCAACAGTAGCAATACTACGATCATCTCTTGCAAGATCAAATTAGTATAAAGCAACTCCTCACTGTTCTGGGCTCTCCTACTCCCCTGAGGTTTCTGGTGATTTCCCACTGGTGTCTCTAAAAACATCAGATTAGTCCACTTGCCCCTTGTAGTAATTAGTACACACCTGAGTCTTGTTTCCCCAAATAGCTTTACCAAAACACCGTGTGCAGTGAATCCTGAATGAATGATAGTGTGTGGGAGACGGAGGGACTATTTCTGTCTCTGAAGATGGTCATCATGCATCAAATTTGTTGTAACATTGGTGGTAGCAATTTGGAAATTAGATGTAGTTATAAGGTATCAGCAGTGCTTTTGTCAAGAAATGAATTATATAGGAAATTCAAGAGACCATTTCTACATTGATCTACATTAGTTACTGTAGTTCGGGTATCCTTTCTGTGACCCTGAATATAATAGAGACTGGGGATTTTAATTTTGCTCACTCTGCATTTAGAAAATTTACTACTTATTTGTATTGTGATAAACAAAGTTGAGGGCCCGCCCCTCTTTCTTTGCCAGGCTAGTTGGAGGACCATTATCTTCTAAAGGTACCATGACTTATGCCCATTTCTTCATTTCCCCTGTGAAAACACCAGATTTTATTTCTAATAAAAAGATGGAATCATTTGTAATGAGTAGTTAGTGGAATAAACACAGTATGGCACCTTATTATCCTGTTGCCTTGTGACAACATTTGTAAGGGTGTCTTTCATCAGATTGAAAGAAAAGAATTCGTTTCAAATACAAAAGTGTCTTATGAAAGTGAAATTGCTGAATACAGTGTAGAACCATAATTGTCAACAGATTGGATATGTTCAGGCTGTGTTCCTGACGTTTCGAATTTTACCATCCAGTCATGTGTGGGTGTGTCTGCATCTTTTCGGCAGTGAGGCTGTCATTTGGCAGGACAGGTACCTTGGCAACACTGTTCATCCTAAAAGTGAATGTCTCAAAAGCCTCATCCAGATATCTAGTGGAGGCCTGATGACTTCATGCTTCAAGTTTAAGTACATAGAAAAGATTCCCCCTATAATGACTGTGTACTTGAACTTGATAACACTGATAAAGATGATCTTTTGTGTAATCAACCACATTGAAAAAAATCTTCATGAGTCCTAAAATTGATCAGAGGCTACATCTTCCCATTTCCTGGGATGTAGCATGACAATCAGATGGTGCTGAATGAAGGCACACATTTCAGAGCTGAAGGGACCTCAAAGATTGTGAAGCCCAACTCTCATTTTACTGAGCTTCTGCATCTCACAGGGTAATGTCTTTGAAGTACTCAGCACCGAGCTTGGCACCAGTAAGCTCTTGGTCAGTCAGCATCCACTGTTATTGTTATTGCTCAAGATCACATAGCTCTTAGCAGGACCAGGGGTAGAACTTTCTGTCCAATGCTGTGCCACTTTGGTTATTTTTTCATCATGCATAGCACTGTCTGATGTAATCAAATGCATTTGTTGATTTGCCTATGTCTGCCTCCCACTACAAGGATGTAAGCTCCCTGGGAGTCGGGACCTTGTCACCTCATTCACCACTGAATTCTCTAATCCAGAGCATGGCACATGCAATGAGTTCATTAAGTAGTTGTTGAATGAATGAAGGCATTTAGAGACCCCACAGGTAAACATGTTGAAGAATGGAGAAGGAAAAGGAAAAGAAAGGAGCATTTATGGAGCACCTATTTTTTAAAAGATGGTTTACCTATTTATGTTATCTCAGCAAATGCTCACATCAGCTCGTGGTAGGGAGAGCACTACTACTCCCATTTAATAGTGAAGAAAATGAGTCTCAGAAGTTTTGGTAACTCACACCTGTTTGACCTCCAAGCTCATGCTGTTGTCACTACCATAGTGCCTCCCAACTGGATCATTTCTAAGAATTTTCATGAAAAGTGTCTTCATTCTAAATGCTAACTAGTTACATGATATTTACATTTTTCATGATAAAAAAAACTGACCTTGAAATCTAGTCCCTGAAAGAATACATTATGTAACAAAACACACTAGCGAATAGAACTCATAGAGCCCCTGCACACTGCTGAGAGGCAACTGGAATGGCAGACACAGCCCTGGATTTGGATTTACAGGATTAAGCTTGGGGCCTGGTCATTGATTACCAGACTTGTGAGCCTTAGTTCCTCATCTATAAAGCAGTGATGTTAACAGCTACCTGCCTAATGACAGAGCTGGTAAGAGGTAATGTATGTAGAGCACCTAGCACTGAGCTTAATCTAAGTGTCCATTAAATTTTAACCACTGTTATTATTACTATTTATATTAGCATTATCATTATTAATAGTAATTATAATACTTTCCTCAGAAGAGAAACACTTGTGAGTTTGTGTCTTGTATGTGGTCCTGCCTAGCAATGCAATTAGGGAGGTGGAATCATAGATTGAGTCCACCTGTGTCTTTCCAAATTTTCCATTTCATATCCACAGACTGTCCAACTAATAGTTCTGGCAGCCACCTCCCCAAAGCGTGTGTTTGGTCAGCGAAGGCAGCTTGGCTTAAGGTAGTGGGTGGATTAGGCCAACCCATCACCACTTTTGGAAAAATAATAGTAGTAGTAACAATAGTTTTGTGATGCCTTTTCAATTTTCTGGGTATTTCCCTGTGTTTTAGCTCCTGTTTTTTCTCATGCCTGTGAGAGAAGTAATACATTTTGTAGAGGCAACTTAGCCTGCTTTCCCTCTCAGCTTTGGCACTTACTGCATGTTCCTTTGTGTGCCTCAGTATCTTCAACTGTGACATGGAGTAATAACAGTTCACAATTCATACAGTTTCTGTGAAGATTAATGAGCTAACATATGTAAAGTGCCTAGTACAGTAATTGAGGCATAATAAGTGTTCAGTATTAGAAGCTATACTGGAGGTCATGTTTTCTTTCCCATTTTATTTTTTGTGCAGACTTTTTTTTTTTTTTTGAGACAGGATCTTACTCTGTTGCCCAGGCTGGAGTGCAGTGGTGTGATCATAGCTCAGTGCATAACTCAGTGATCATAGCTCCAGGGCTCAAGTGATTCTCCTGCCTCAGCCTCCTGAGTAGCTGGACTCCTGAGTAGCTGGACTGACTCCTGAGTAGCTGAACTCCTGAGTAGCTGGACTACAGTAGCTGATGGCCCAAGCCACCACATCTGGCTAATTCTTTTATTTTTTGTAGAGATGGGATCTCACGATCCTCCCACCTCGACCTCCCAAAGCGCTGGGATTACAGGTTTTTATGTATTCTTGAAAGAACTATTATTTATTGGGTATCTTCTAAATGCAAGACACTTTCACATTTCTTATTTCAATTCTCACCTGAGACTGAAATGAAGAAACTTGTGCAGGGCCACACAGCTAATAAGTGGTAGAGCTGAAACAAAAGTCCAGGCTTCTGCCTTCCAACTGTCTGCTTTTCCTAGGACACTACCCTGTCCCTCATATATCAGTTGACAATACTAGGGTTGGTGATATTGTCATTAGGGAAATATTATACTTTAAAAGCTTTACACAATACATACCTGCCTCTATCAAGCAACTTTTTTTTTTTTAGAGAGACAGGAGTCTTGCTTTGTTGCCCAAGCTGGTCTCAGACTCCTGGGTTTAAGCAATCCCACATCAGCTGCCCTCCAAAGTAGCTGGGACTACATGTATGTGCCACTGTACCTGAGTTTTGTAACTTCTTTTTAAAGAAATGATATTACTGACATTTTGTCTAGTGCTTGAAATTGTTTAAAATAGTACCAAAAACACCTCTATAAGTTAGATTCAACAATATTGCAGTCCACTTTAAGGAGGGACATAATTGAGTGAAACCTATCACCCTGAATCACTGATCATTGCGGTTTGTTTGCATCAGTGCCTTTCCCCAAGTCAATTAGAGATCCAGAGTTTTGAAGCCAGTACTTACCTGCAATTCACGTTTTCATTATGTTTCACAGCTGAAATGTTACTCTAGGCCAGTTCTCAAGCTTCGTGTGCGTCAGGATTACCTGAGGGCTGGTTAAGGCACAGATTGCCCGCCTCCATCACCAGTTTCTATGTTTGTAGGTCGATACGGGGCCCAAGAATTTGCATCTTTTTTCTTTTTCTTTCTTTCTTTCTTTTTTTTTTTTTCTGAGACAGAGTCTTGCTCTGTCACCCAGGCTGGAGTGCAGTGGCGCGATCTTGGCTCACTGCACCCTCTGCCTTCCGGGTTCGAGTAGTTCTCCTGCCTTAGCCTCCCGAGTAGCTGGGATTACAGGCGCGCGCCACCATGCCCGGCTAATTTTTGTATTTTTAGTAGAGACAAGGTGTGGGATTACAGGCGTGACCCACCGCACTCAGCCTTGCATCTTTTTTCTATGTGACATTATACTGCTGGTCTGTGAACCTCATTTTAAGGACTACTGCTCTAGACCAGGATTCAGCAAATGTCTCCTGTAGAGGGCCAAAGAGTACATTTTTTAGGCTCTGTGGAACATGTGTTCACAACTACTCAGCTACCACTGTAGCTCAAAATCCTCCATAGACATTTGTAAGCAAATGAGGGTAGCTATGGTCCAATGAACCTTTTATTTATGGGCACCAAGATTTGAATTTCATGTATTACAAAATATTGGGTTAAAAAGTTTTTTTCAACCATTTATAAATGTAAAAACCATTTTTAGGTTTTGTGCTGTATAAAAACAGTCAGCAGTCCAGATTTGGCCCTTGAGCTGTAGTTTTCTGACCCCTGCCATGTAGTTGTGACCTGTTGGGGACTTCTAAAACTATTGTTCTGGCCAGGCGCGGTGGCTACGCCCGTAATCCCAGCACTTTGGGAGACCAAGGCGGGCAGATTACGAGGTCAGGAGATTGAGACCAGCATGGCCAACATGGTGAAACCCCGTCTCTACTAAAAATACAAAAAAATTAGCCGGGCCTGGTGGTGCGCGCCTGCAGTCCCAGCTACTCTGGAGGCTGAGGCAGGAGAATTGCTTGGACCTGGGAGGCGGAGGTTGCAGTGAGCCAAGATCGCGCCACTGTACTCCAGCCTGGGCGACTGAGTGAGACTCCGTCTCAAAAAAAAGAAACCAAAAAACAAAAAACAAAAAAAAGATTGTTCTAAATATGAAAGTAATAAAATGAATCAAAATGTCTTCCTGGCTGGATGCAGTAGCTCACGCCTGTAACCTCAACACTTTGGGAGGCCGAGGTGGGAGGATCGCTTGAGCCCAGGAGTTTAAAACCAGCCTGGGCCACATAGCAGGACCCCATCTCTACAAAAAATACAAAAATTAGCCAGGCATGGTAGCATGTGCCTGTGGTTCCAGCTACTCAAGAGGCTGAAGTGGGAGGATTCCTTGAGCCTGGGAATCCAAGGCTGCAGTGAACCATGATCGCACCACTGTTGCCTTAGCCTGGGCGACAGAGCAAGACCCTGTCTCAAAAAAAAAAAAAAAAAAAAAGTCTTCCTCTCTACCTCTAGCCCCAACCACAAGCCACAGAAAGAGCCACTGTTTACAAATATCAATTTCCAGAAATTTTATGAGCACGTGCAAGCTTATATAAATGTATAAGCTCCTTTTACATTAATGGGCTTTTTATATGTATTTGTTAAGCATTCACTTTTTTCCTAACAGTGTATTGTGACCTCTTTCCATATCAACACATAGAGATGATGATTTAGCCTATTCTTTTTAATAGCTCCAGAATTTTCTGTAAGTATACCATAATATATTTAATCAGTCCCCTACTGGTATTTCCTATTTGGAAACATTTGAGTTGTTTCCCACTTTCTTCTACCACAAATAATGCTGCCATGAGGGTACATCTTCATTCATCCATCAGTGCATAGTGTCTGCAGGATAAAGTCCTAGGAGATGAACTGCTGAGTCAAAGGATATGTGCATTTAAAATTTTGATAGACATTTCTAAATTCCTGTTGTGAGTACTTCAAACCCTATATTCATTTTCTTTCAGTGTTATACTTACATTTTTGCTATTTAGTCTTTATCTGACTTGAACATTCATCACAATGAATTTCAGTATAATGCCTCACTGCACGTGAACTTAACACAGAGTAGTAATCCTATGGAGGGCAAAAAGTGCAGCTGGCAATTTGTCCGTGATTCTTGAAAGGAAACGGCTTTACAGAGTATAAAGCCATCAAAACAGTGCCCTGAATCTAGGGTCGTCTTGGACATTGCCACATAAGGTATTACAGCAGAAATTGTTCTTTTTACAGACCTGGTGCTTAGCAGATGTTTCTATATGTTTGTTTCCCGTTAGAGTAGAGTTTTCCATTGTCACGCATTTATGTAAACATAGTATTAGCTAATAAATACGCTGTGTTACTATTGTACTAGAATTCAGAATACCACTGTTTTCATTTCTATTTGGGGCTTTTCCTTTTTCAGTCAATAAGGTATTAGAATAATGATTTAATAGACAACACCACAACATCTTAAAGTGGAGGACTGTGTTAGGTTGTTTTTTTACTTAAAATATGTCTGTTTCTGCTCACAGGTTCTCATAGAATTTTCTCTTCACCACTCAATCATATCTACTTACACAAGCAGTCAAGCAGTCAACAAAGAAGAAATTTCTTTTTTCGGAGACAAAGAGATATTTCACACAGTATAGTTTTGCCGGCTGCAGTTTCTTCAGCTCATCCGGTTCCTAAGGTACTGTATTGCCTATTATCTCCTGCTTTTTCCAGCCAAGATAAAAGTTGACTGCAGAAGTGATCAAATATTTTTGCACCTTTGATTTCTGAGCCATTTGGGTTTTAATTTTCAAACTAGGTTTGTGATCTAAAACTGTGATTTGAGAAGTTTTAATATCCTGCAATTCTATAGCATTAATTTTTTAAAACAAAGCTCTAAGCTTTCAATTGCTTAGAGTATTTAGAATTAAAATTTTTAACATGAAATTTTCTATATTAAATTTCTAACATGAAGATAAAACTATACGTATGTAGTTTTCTAACTGTTTTAGAGAAAAAAAATTGACTATAAAATTGTGATGATTCAAAAGAGATTACTTAAAACTAACATACTAGATTTTTTTAAGCCTGTTCTTACATTTTCCTTGTTATTGATGCTGGTGTCTTTGAATTGTCTTTTAGACTAAATTAAATAAAATATGTCTCAGAGCAGTCTTGGCTTTTTTTTTTCAGAGATTGCAATTCTGTGGAAAGGCAATCTATCCATTTTTCAAAATGCAATATAAAGGGAGTGTGCGAGTGAGCCCTTTAGGAAGAAGGAGAGTAGCTAAAGAAATATAGATTGGTCACAAAAATCATCTGCTTTCTCCCTTTTATGAACTTTGTTTACAGCGAGCCCATATTTAGTATGTTATACTTCTGAAGGTGAGTGGCCCACTTTTATGGCAAAGGCCAGTGACACAGAAGGGCCACCAGGATGTATCCCCTGGCCTGGCCATCACAGTGAGAGTGAGAATTTGGTATTAGTTACAAAACTGACACTTTTTTCCTTAGAAGAAAAGAAAAAGAAATCTCTGGTGAGGTGAATTGTATTGCTTTAGCCATTTCAGTCAATTTCAGCATGACAGCCCAACAGCCCTTCTGCCTGCAAGTTATAACCTTGCCAGATCACAGAGCAGAGTGGAGACAAGAACACAGGCTCTTTGGGGGAGACCTGGTGAGCATTTGTGGGCATTTGTGGTGTAGCTGTGGGAGAGTAGATGTTCCTCTGGAGCTCAGCTGTGGCAAACCAGGCAGTAGTGTTACCTGTATCAGAAAACCCATCTGAACAGGGGAGCAAGTGAAGACCCGTAACTCCTGCAGGACAGGCTTCACAAAGAAGAGAGCCCTAACCTCAGCCCTTCCAGAGCTGCTGCAATGTTTCAATTGAAGAGTGTTATCTCCCTCAGCTTCCTGTCCCAAACTGCTGTGGAGCCTAACTGTGGACTGTCCAATAATGCTTATAGTTTGTAATGCATTATAAACTATAAATAGTTTGTAAAGAGCTGTGCAAAACCTTGGGACTGAAAGAAGCTTTGTGTGTAAGATGGTATTTATTTCCTGAATACTGCCCATGGTGGAGAATGGTCTGCAAAAGTGATCAGGGTTGCACGTCTTGAGTTTTGGGGTGGCTTTTTGTTTACTCTTGACAAATAATGGAAATGTTCTAGGTAATTTTTATGTATTTGAAGAATAAAACTTGTTTCATTTTATTCTAGTGTCTCAGTGTAAGTACGGTTGCAAAATGTAAGAAAAGTGTATATGTAATAGGCTTTAGGGAACTTGATAGTCAGCCTTTTTACATATGTTCATTTTGAGAGGGTGTTGGGAGCTATCTTTTGCATAAATTATATTTTTGTGTTAAGAAGATGAAAGTGCTCTTAATTAACCATTTGGTGAATTGGAAGCTTGGTGCTATTTTTCATCAATGGTGAATATGCTTCTAACTGGGTTGGGAGGAGGAAAAAGAGAAAACTACTGTTTGTTTTGACCAGAAGTCTACTTCAGTCCAGTTTGACTCAAAGCATGGTAAGGTTAACAGACCATCCAGAGGCAGCACTAACAGGCAATGTTAAGTTCAAAAGGGCAGGGGAAGGAACTGGGGGCAGCCTGGAGGGTCTGTTGTGCTGGCTTCGGAGGTCGGTGCTCCGGCAGGAAGGGCAGAGCTCCATGAAGCAGGAGGCTGTGTCTGAAAAAATGATCCCATTGTCGTGCGCTGGGTTCTGATCTTCGTTTTCAATCCTTTTTCCTCAAGCACATAAAGAAGCCAGACTATGTGACGACAGGCATTGTACCAGACTGGGGAGACAGCATAGAAGTTAAGAATGAAGATCAGATTCAAGGGCTTCATCAGGCTTGTCAGCTGGCCCGCCACGTCCTCCTCTTGGCTGGGAAGAGTTTAAAGGTGGCGTCTCACCAAGCCTCAGAACGACTTACATAAGGGGCAACAAACACTCCTCTTTTTTTCCTTCTCCTTAACTCTTCTTTTAGGTTGACATCTAATTTGTTTTAAAAATTTATTTGTTTTAAATTAATTTGTTTTTAAAAATTAAGTAAAGCCTTGGGATGGGGAAAAGGAATTTTATTATTTTATGTGTTTATTCAAGAAGTAATTTAAAATCCAAATTCAATTTTAACTAGCAGAATTCTAGAGATACTTTGGTCTCAGTCAACCTATCCAAGTTGATCAATGGCAGACAGCTTTGATTTTTGCCCCCCTACTCCTGCCTGTAGTTTCAGCTTTTACTCCCCACATTATTTCTGTGTGCTTGAAGATTTGCTCTACCTTGTCCTTTGTCTCCTATTTTCTTGCATTTGCCCTGCAAAGAAAGATCAGATCACATACACAAAGCTGTAGGTAATATAGCAGTGTAATTACATACAACTTCCTACTACAAGATTTAGTTCTTTTAGGCCAGGCGCAGTGACTCATGGCTGTGGATCATTTGAGGTCAGGAGTTCGAGACCAGCCTGGCCAACATGGTGAAACCCCACCTCTACTAAAAATATAAAAATTAGCCAGGCATGGTGGCGGGCACCTGTAGTCCCAGCTACTTGGGAGGCTGAGGCAGGAGAATCACTTGAACCCAGGAGGTGGAGGTTGCAGTGAGCCAAGATCATGCTACTGTACTCCAGTCTGGGCAACAGAGTGAGACTCCATCTCAAAAAAAAAAAAAAAAAGATTTAGTTCTTTCATTTAGTTCTTTCATAATAATCTGAAGCACCCTTCTGTATAAGGATTATAAAAGAAAAATATGAGCCTATTTTCTGCCAAAAGGTGGGCAGAATTTAGGAAGTGAGACTCAAAGATAAAATCACTCACAGTATCTTCTGTGTAATAAACTTACAACACGGCTAAACATAATGTATATATACAAAATGAAGAAAATTATTGAAGAAATGGTTAATTTTTAATAAAAGATTTTATTTTTGTTTTAGAATTTTATTTATGTTTATGGAGTTTATGGAAATAGTCTTCATATACTTATAAAACTCAATTTCAGTTTTCTTTTAGTTTGGGAGCAATTTAGTTTGGAATACCTTTAGTAAGGAAAAAATATTTTAAAAATTACATTTATTTAGACATGAAAGAAATGAAGATTACTTAAAATCAAATCTCTACAAACTATATTAGACTCACTCTTTTAAATATCAACCATAATCTCTGTGCCATTGCTGCAAAACCCCTGTAATGTTTTACTGAGATAAAAAGATGCGAGTTGACCTACTTTTCAAGCTTTTCAAGGTTCAACTGATGAACCTTTTGAGCATTTATTCACATGCGCTGGGTAGCCCAGGGCACCAATCATTGAGAAAGAGTAAGGAATTGCCGAAGAACATAATTTTGAAATCCTCAGGCCAAAAGGGAGTTATGTCATTTAATGACTCACAAATGATTTAGAGGATCGTAGGGTTTAACATTTCTATTTCCTAATGGTCCATAACACCATCATATGCCCAAATGATTGTCCACAAGGCACAGTTGAGGATTCTAACACTAATCATAATTAATTCAAATGTTGTACCATAACTTTATCATAGTAAATTTATACAGTCTCACATGGAAGTACTGTTGCTATAGCATAGTTGATAAATACAAGAAATGTCTTCAATTGTTGCTGCACAATTTCTTTATTTAACATTTTAGGTTGACATGACAACTGAAGAGATAGATGCTCTTGTTCATCGGGAAATCATCAGTCATAATGCCTATCCCTCACCTCTAGGCTATGGAGGTTTTCCAAAATCTGTTTGTACCTCTGTAAACAACGTGCTCTGTCATGGTATTCCTGACAGGTATTCAGTTCTTAATAACATATTGTTCCTTTGGAAACTAAAACATGAAGCTAAGATCTGTAACATATGTTGAAAGACACTATCATTCAATTGAAACCCACCGGTAAACTTCTGAAATTGATTATGATAAAACAGAAATTTTGAAGTATTTTACTTCTAAATGGATACACCACCACCATTTAATGTTTGTTAAAGCAGTGCATAATCTAAATGGGGGTTGTGCATTACGTATGTCTTTTACTTCTTAGATTTTAATCATATAAGTGGTAAAATTCAAATGTGGCAAATTTTTCTTATCAACTCTTGTTTTGGTTCTTGGCAAAATTAAGGTAATAAATTAAGTGCATCTTTTGAAATAAAGATTAGATTTAGTTATCCTGTGTAGTCCTCCTTCACTCCAAATTATCACTGCATCCCATTGGGTTTGTGACAGTAGTCATTAAGTATTTATTTTTATTTTCCTTTTATTGAGATCTGTCTATCACCATTTTTTTTTCTGTTTACGTTTTAGTCGACCTCTTCAGGATGGAGATATTATCAACATTGATGTCACAGTGAGTAAATCATATAAAAAATTGTCTTTGATCAACTTCAGAATTGCTGGTAGCAACAGGAAGAGTGGATTGAAAATGTGAACTGCACCAGTGGAAGTGCTGTTTACTTCTAGACCCAGACGCAAGCAGCTGGTTTCCTTTTTTGTCTTTAACTCTGTGTTTATTCCAAGTAAACCCAGGCCTGACTTGAATTTAGGGCTGCAATCAGATGCACTGAGATCAATGTTGGCCTAAGTGAAATGTCAACCCAATCCTGCTATGTGTCATGTTTTTGAGAAGGTGTAATTGTTATTGATCCACTGTGTAGTTAACGCAGAGCACCACAGCACTGGGCAGCTGCTGAAGCTAGATATGTATGAGATGAGCTAACACGAAGAAAGCCAGCATTTTTCCTTCACTCTGCCAAGATTGATCTTCCTCTTCCTGCTGATTTTGAGTGGGGCCTGTCATTATCTTACTCTGTCATTAGGGGCTACATTGGCCTGTGTATGTCAGTCTATTTGGACAGCAACTCTTTTGCTAGCAGTGTTCCCTAGATTTATTAAAATCCCTGAAGGTAACGTTGAGTTCCATTTCTGGTATAGAGAGCCTTGTGCTCAAAGTAAGCAGAGTGGTTTTTTTGTCTGAACTTAAGTTTTCACCAAATGGTTAATAGCCTTTCTTTTAAGTAACAAGCCTAAGTAATTTATCATAGGGACTTCAAATTGTACAAGATGTAGCTTTTTCTCATTTTCTTAGCCTTTTACCATTCTCAGACTTGGATTATATGTGCTTTTACATTTCTGTTTATTAAAGAATTTTGTAATGATACCTTTGGATTACCTAGATTATAAATAAATTCTGTACATCTAATGATTAACAAATACATTTTAAATAAATAAACAAAATTTAAACATCTTAGGAGAACTAGTTGAAATGACAATATTCAGGGAATACAATTTCTATTAATAAGGAAGTGTTTTTAAGAATAGTATCTAGACCATGAAACTGAAGTAGGAGTGGGAATGAGATAAAAATAGGAATCCAATGGTGGAATTCAGTCTGACTTTTAGTTTAAGTTAACTAAACCTTTTTTCTTCATATCAATCATATGAGGAGATAGCCAACGATTCTTTCATTGCTGATGCTATTTCCTGTATCATTTTATCCTACTTAAAATGCTTGAACACTTGCACCACATACATCCTGTTGGTATCTTTCCAACTCAGAATCATGTGGAAGGAGGTATTTTATGAAGTATACCTAAAACAGAGTTCTTTTCATGAGACACTTTTATTTTGGATTGTACCTGATTTTACGGTTTTACATCTATTTTCTCATCTAGTCACCCTATCATGAAATGTTACCATTTTAATGTTTTGAATGAAATCAACTACTCTTCCCTACTGTTTCCAGTGTGTCCAAAGAAAATACTCTATTCCTTTTCTAAGTTTCCTGAATACTTAATAAACAGTTTTGTATTTAACATTCAAATTACTTCACAATTGCAAAACTTATAAAGCAAAGTGAAATATTTCCAAGTGTCTAGAAATGTGAAGGAATCTAGGAAACATATAGGTCCATATCTTAACAAATTATATTTCTTATAAAATATTTTATTAAGTGAAGGACTCCATTATCAGATCCTATGTTTCTATCAGAAAATACTCATTGCATCTTAGAATTATTGACGTCTAGTATACATCACAAGAAATTAGATTTCCTTCCCCCCTTTAAAACTGAAAAATGTTTTTCTTAAAGACAATGCGATGTCCATAGTAGTTGCTCAATAAATATTTGTTAAATGAAGTACAAGGGCCAGGCGCAGTGGCTCATGCCTGAAATCCCAGCACTTTGGGAGGCCAAGGCAGGCGGATCACCTGAGGTCAGGAGTTCAAGACCAGCCTGGCCAACATGGTGAAATCCCATCTCTACTAAAAATACTAAAAATATAAAAATTAGCCCTGTGTGGGGGCAGGAGCCTCTAATCCCAGCTACTTAGGAGGCTGAGGCAGGGAGAATTGCTTGAACCTGAGAGGCAGAGGTTGCAGTGAGCTGAGATCGCGCCCCTGCACTCCAGCCTGGGTGACAGAGCGAGACTCTGTCTCAAAAAATAAATAAATAAATAAATGAAGTACAAGTACTAGTTTATGGGTATAAATAGAAATTGTAGATGACTGCCACAGACTTTCAAAAGTATTGTATTTCTGTATATAGTGAATCTTTTAAGTAGTCTTTTTTTTTTTCAGACGGAGTTTCCCTCTGTTGCCCAGGCTGGAGCACAATGGCAGGATCTCAGCTCACTGCAAACTCCGCCTTAAGGGTTCAAGTGATTCTCCTGCCTCAGCCTCCCCAGTAACTGAGACTACAGGCACACGCCACCACACCCAGCTAATTTTTGTATTTTAAGTAGAGGCTGGGTTTACCATGTTGGCCAGACTGGTCTTGAACTCCTGACCTCAAGTGATCCGCCCACCTCCGCCTCCCAAAGTGCTGGAATTATGGGTGTGAGCCACTGCACCAGTCTCAAATAGTCATTTTGATATTCCTTCCTTCCTTCCTTCCTTCCTTCGTTCCTCCCTTCCTCCCTCCCTTCCTCCCTTCCTTTCTTTTTCTTTTTCTTTGTTTCCTTTTCTTTTTTTACTTTTTCAGATATAGGGTCTTGCTCTGTCACTCAGGATGCAGTGCAGTGGTGCCATCATGGCTTACTGTAAGCTTGAACTCCTGGGCTCAAGTGATCCTTCTACCGTAGCCTCCCAAGTAGCTAGAACTACAGGCGTGTGCCACCACACCTGGTTAATTTTTTAATTTTGTAGAGATGGGGTTTCACTATGTTTCCCAAGCTGGTCTTAAACTCCTGGTCTCACGCAATCCTCTCATCCCAGCCTCCCAAAGGATTGCAGGCGTGAGCTACTGCACCCAGCCTCAAGTAATCATTTTCAAAGCTAGGAAAAAGTAATATGAAAAGATGAATAAAGATTTTTTAAAATAGTACATTTTTACTTAAAAAGCAGTTATATAAACATTCATTTATACATTTTCTTGACTACGCCTATATTAGCAAATTTTATATTCTTGTATTTTGAATGAAATCGTATTTTGTATTTTGAAATAGTATTCTTGTATTTTGAATGAAATATAAGAATATAAAAATTTGAATTTTTGAACGAAATCAGCATAGTCTTCCCTACTGTTTCCAATGTGTCCAAAGAGAATACTCTATTCCTTTTCTAAGTTTCCTGAAGACTTTTAATAGTTTCATTATTAACATTCAAACTATTTCAAAATTGTAAAACCTATGAAGCAAAGTGAAATACTGCCAAGTGTATAAAATAAAAACTCATACTTTCCTGGATTGCAAAGGACTGTAAGTGGGAGTAAATGTATAAAACACTATTCTGTTGCAAGGTAATTAAGATAATTTGATATAGTAGAGAAAACACTCGATTAGAAGCCAATAATCCATCATATTAACCTGAATCTACCTCTATATTCTGCCACCAACCTTAAACAAGTTACTTATCTGTGCCTCAGTTTCCTGAATTATAAACTGAAGATCTAATAAAGACCTTTCTTGCTTCCTTCACAGAATATGAGAGCATTTTTTAAGAAATGCAGAGTAGTATACAGATTTAAGACATTAATTCAGTATCACAACAGACTGAAAGCTCATATAAACATCTTTTTTATAACAGTTTCTACATTCTACCTTATGAGCAAGAGAAATGTGAAAAATAATTAGATAGGACAAATTTATGCAAAGTAGCAAATTCCATGCTACATCAAAGGATCAGTATCCAAACAGTTGCCTCTGCCTTTTATATTTACTATAGTGCTTGGTTATCAATGATTTATAATGAATCTGGTATCTTTCAAGATCCTACTTGGCTTCTGAATCACTGAAGACTGATAAAATTATACTTTCTGTAATTGTGCTTTTAAGCTTGTTTTATTATATTCTAATTCTTTAGATATCCATATATAGTGCTTTCTGTTAACGTTCGGCTGTCTGGAACATTTGATTAAGATTTCACTTCTAGACATAGGATTTTTCTGTAACACATTTCATTCCTATATGGAACCACTTCAATTCTTAGAACTGAATTCTCCTATTTGTTTGTTAGAATACAGACATGTCTATCTTACTTCTTCTTGTCATTATATATCACTTCAAATGTAGAACTGGTAAATACAAAATCAAGTAAGTCTTCATGACATTGAAGAAACTTTTCACTATGTTAAATACTTTTTGGTTCTCTAAACCTGTTGTGGTAATTGTAGATCAAGGTCTTTGGCTACTAATTTTTGCTTATATAATTTTGTCTTCTCAGAAATAAAGTGAGGAATCAAAATATTACAGTAGTATTGTTCATCATAATGCTGAAATAACCATACTAGTTAACATAGTTGTTTTTAAATTTTGCAATATCATTGCATGGCTTCATCTTTTAAATTTCTGCAAGGTTTCAATATATCTATTTCTTCTTTTTTTGATAGGCAAATGAATAATTCTGGAAGGGTAAAACATGAGTCTACTAAATACATAAATGAATACAATGTATACTTTAGGAAAGTAGATTTTTAAACAAGGACATATTTTTAAATTTCTGCTTATGTTTAGGTCTATTACAATGGCTACCATGGAGACACCTCTGAAACATTTTTGGTGGGCAATGTGGACGAATGTGGTAAAAAGTTAGTGGAGGTTGCCAGGAGGTGTAGAGATGAAGCAATTGCAGCTTGCAGAGCAGGGGCTCCCTTCTCTGTAATTGGAAACACAATCAGGTAAGCCTTACATTGACAAGTAAAGGGAGGGTTGGCAAATGGTACAAAGGTTATTGGTGGCTTGGTATAAAGTTGATGACATGTTTTATGATTCAGAACCATCATTTCAGTCTGATATCAGTATGTGAACTGCCAGGCTGCAATATTGTTCCCTGAGTTGAAAAAAAAAAAAGATTTTATAAAAATGAATTATACCAGGGTCAGCAAAGAAACTTATAGAAGGAGCAAGCAATATTTACATGGCTGCTTTTGTTTTAGCTTGACATACTGGTCTATAGTTTCCCTTTATTCAAAATCACACCAAATATGGAAGGGAGTACCTAAGAAGGGGATGAGCATCTCAACCCTGGGGTTTTTAATAAGACAGGAGAAAAACTAAATTTTATAAAGGAATGAAGTGAAATGTATTTCTGTGATATGAAGATAATAAAGTGTTAGTTCAAGCAAGCCTTACCTTTCAAATTGGTAGATTAACAAATAGCCTGAAACGGTGATCTTCTGTTCTTTTTTTGTCTGGTTCATTTTTCCTGTAAACCGTTGTTTATTTTTCACAGAGTATTCTATCCTTACTTTTTGAATGTATGTGTATGTGTGTTTTCTGAATTTAAGACTTTTCTTTATAATCTGTTACCTACTTTTAGGTCTTTTTTCCCCCATAACTGTTTTGAAGTAGACATGCCGAATATATGTTTTCATTTTAAAGTAATGCATTCTGTTAAAGATGATCACATCAGTGCCCTTTAAAGTACTGTTCTCATTAATATGAACCATTGAATACTTCCCATTTGTCTAAAGGATGGAAGGCTTAGTCACCTTGAAAAGATGCTGCCTTTTTTTCTTCGTAAGCCTTCAAATACTTTAAGAAAAAAGCCAGTAAAATATCAGTTAAATGTATTTATGGCTTTAAAAATATTGTAACAGTGTCTGAATCAAACTTTAGTAAAATCTCTTTGGGTTATATCTGAGAAGCTTTTATTGAAGACTTTGAACAAAATTGTGTTTTTGACAGTTTTAAATTATAGGCTAACTAGCCTGGGAAAAAAGGATAGTGTCTCTCTGTTCTTTCATAGGAAATGTTGAATCAGACCCCTACTGGGAAAAGAAATTTAATGCATATCTCACTATCTTACTGTCCATGAATATAATAGAAATGAATTCAAAATGCAGTTTTATTTTTGCAAATGGGATGAGTCGATAGATGCACCTCATATTTTTGAACACCTAGGGTTCAACAAATTTACTGGTGGTGCTCTTGCATTTTAACAAAATTTATTCTTCAGTAGAAGGGGGCAGAGAACACTAGATTCTTATTCAAGCATTCTATCGAGCTCTGCATTCATGGCTGTGTCTAAAGGGCATGTCAGCCTTTGATTCTCTCTGAGAGGTAATTATCCTTTTCCTGTCACGGAACAACAAATGATAGCTAACTACAGAGGCACATTTGCAGTAGTCACATTCATCAACTGCAGAAAAAAAAATTCAATTTAATTGTGCAACACAGCTGCACATGGGCTTTTGAGCATTTCTGTTGTTCTCCCTGTCTCGCTATTCCTCCCTCCAGATCTATTTTTTAAACTTTTTTTCTGGTTATTTTTTCCCCTTTTTGTCTCTTCTTCCATTTTTACTCTCTGTACTTTCTTGTTAAAGTAATTTTCCTTTGTGGCTCTCATTCTTTTTCCCCCATTGAAGGCTATGAATGTAGAAAATTATCACAATTACTCATATAATTGAGCCTCTTTGTAGCAAGTGCAACTCCAGTAGCCTTTCTCCATCATGAAAATGGTTTCATTATAGGGTTTTTCATATTCTCTGACACCATCTACACAGAGGAACAGGCGTGCAGATGAGATGTGCTAGGAACAGGCTAGATCAGTAAGGTCACAGTAGGAATAATTAGCTCTGCTATGGAAAGAGCATCTAGGCCTTTTACTGCTACATAAATGTACTGTCCATGGCTTTTAGTCACAAAAAAAACTTACTAACAAATGGAGCTCCCGCCTACTACTTTGAAAAAAAGATTTGTATCAACACTACAATTTTCCATCATTAAGACTAATAACACAGAGCCTAGTATACATCAAGGGGAATAAAAAGAAAAATCTCACATTCAAGTGGCGGCTGGGTGCTGACCTTTGTTCCCTTTTTTTGTGTACGACTTAACTCTTTACAAAAAAGAGCCACACGCCACACCAACATGCAGGTGAACTCCAGCTAGTACTAGCAAAGCATAGCATTCAGTTGGAAAATTTGATAAATCTCCATGCAGGATAATGCATTTCATTACATATTCACTACATTAATTCTAGCTACATTAAAAAAAAAAGAAGAAGAAGAAGAAGAGTAGAATTGAAAGTGACATTGGATTTTAGCTATCTGGATACAAAGGTCAGTTTTCACAGAGTATGAATTTGCATGTACAAGCTTTTTTGAAAACCAGATCAGTCAGTCCCAACAACTGCACTTAAAAAAACTATGTGGAAAATAACAGACAATGAACTTTTTACTTGTACCCTAATACATTTCATTATTTAGATGGTTTATGTCTGCCGCTAGAAAGGAAACTGGCCCCGATTCTAACAAATATTTGTTCTGATGTGTTAAAGCAGTGTTTCTGGACACCTATTATCTTGCCTTTTCTTATTCTGGCAAAATCTTAGGGGAATAAGTAAACAAACCATATTTACCTTTAAGCCAAAAGTACTTGAAATCATTACAGACCAAAGGTTTACAAACATCTTTCAACTCGGTCTTGTTTATTTTAAGATATTCACCATCTTTTGCGTAGCCTCTCTCTACTGATACACTAGGAAAAGAACAAGCAACTTGTATTAGTATCATGTTATCAAAAACCTTGAGATCTCTACAGGAAATTTTGGAATTCTCCTCTGAAACCTAAAGAAGATAATGTCTTTGAGGAAGTATCAGCTAAAATGTTTTAATGGAAAGAGTTCTCTCTGGGCCCTTTTGCTTTTGTGAGGAATGTCTAGTAATCTTTAGGTCATAGTGTTACTAGACTCACTGTATCTCCATTTGCTTTAAAATATTTCTAAATCTGTATTTTTATAATTATCTCTAGATTATACAATCTGTACATATGAGTATATTGTGAATGTGTAGATTCATGCATCATGAATATGTGACAGTTCAATCAAAAATAATTTAAACTTGTAAATGTCATGATGAAAGTATCAATAAATGGTTTTTAATGTTTAATTCATAACTATATGTTTTGATATTAATTTGGAACAATATAAAGCAGATTTTTAAAAAATAATCTCTTTCTATTAGATTACGCACATTTAAACAATAAGTGGCTCAGGCAAAATAAGTCATTTTAATGTCATCTGTGATGGATTTTTCTTGACAGCTACTGTAAATTACAATTATACTGCTTCTCTCTGCACATGAAAGTAAGCATTGCAATAAATTATCTTTTATTTCAATCCATCATGTCTGCTTTTCAGAAACAGAAAACCTCAAATAAAAGTTCAGCACTATTGTAAGAAAAATACAGTAATTTGTGATCTGGTTTGAAACAAAAAAAATCTACTACTTTTTTGGAAAACAGTTGTTGGCTTTCAAAAATATTACTAATTGTACTTAAACATTCCTTTTCATTAGAAGGAATCCCTGGATTTGTGCATTTCTTCATTCATAACTACTGCCTAAAATAAATATCTAGAAAGAGTAAAGAAAAATTTCATAACTTATGAAATAACATGCCATTTGAGATCATTTATTAGAGATGTGACTATTTGGAGATTAGTGCTGTTTATAGGATTAATGTAAAATTGGCAATAAATCTATTTTCATGTGCATTTTTATTTCTTTATAACAGCATGTACGTAAACATAGTACTCCTCTGCCCTCTTGGGGAATGTATTTTTAGTCAAAAAACTAGTTGAAAAGTATTAAGAAATTTAATTTACCTAGGTGACATTTAAATTGAGTATAACTGCCTCATGAAAAGGAATTAAACTGAAGAAAATGGTCACAAGATGAAATTCCTTAAAAGAGGTATCTTTTTCATGTATAAACTGTAACTACAACATGAATTGTAATCAGACAGTATAATAGGAAAGTAAGTTCATAAACAACCTTTATGTATCCTCCTCTCCCTCTCCAAATATTCCATATAAAAGGCCTCAAATCACAAGTGTGCTTGGGTTCATGGGCAGATGTCACACTGTCTTAAAGGATTTTTAGTTAGAGAAAATCAGAAGATCTACTACCAGGAGAATTCTTTTCAGTAGGTTTCAGCAGAGCGAAGACAGATTTTATCCGTGAAATGTCCAGGGCAAGAAAACTCTTGTGCACAGAAAAGGGTTATGGCCTGTGGTGACTGGTGTTTGGGAGCACTTCGGTGCTTCTGCCTGCCCTGCTGTTTCCATTTTCCCCAGCATGCCAGTCAAGAGCTGCAGACATACTCCAACTCCCCATGCCACAGTTAGGGTTACCAGTACTTTCTTTCAAATTAGAGGAGTGAAATTTGCTACTACTGGTCACTTGGATTGTCTCTGTGAATTTGGACTTAAACCCTACAATCAGGTAAATAATCTTGTGCTCCCCATTTATTCCAAAATAATAGAAAGGGAATGCTTTTAAACAGTAATTAGGAATATTAATGAGATCCTATCTGACTTAGTTCCAGTAAGTGCTAAAAACCACCTACCAATCCAGAAGGAAAATACTCTGCAAAGCAAACAGGAGTGTATACTCAGCTCCTGAGAGTCAGGCATTAAGATGTGCTCAAGCAGGGAACTGGGGGAAATTTGGCCTGTTCTTTTCCTCTTTCCACCTGGCTGTGAAATCCTCTAACCTTTGCATCCATGACACACAGATTCTATGATACTCCTGGAGCCAGAAGTTCCAGCAGGACCCACGGAGTAAATTGTTGTAGGAGAATGCTCTTAGATATCTTTAGCCACCTAGTAATTGCACAGCTTCTTTTATGCAGAGGAACGAGAGGTATGATGGGGGGAGGGACCCTAAGTGTTTTTTCAGAGTGGGCTTTCTTCCTCTCCTCTCATCGGAAATTAAAATGAAGATTGCCATTGTAACACACATTTAAGATGTAGCCGTGATGCCTGCCAATCAGCCGGATCCTCTAAAAACAAAAAAAAAAGAACCTAGATTTTTTTTTTTAGAAGAGAAAATAGAATAGTTTATATTGAGTGTTCTTAGAATCATTGAGGTTTGTTGGGATTGAACTAACATAATTTATAGGTTTAGGGAGAAACTGTTCCTGTAAAAAAAAAAAAATCTAGATTATTATGTCCTATTTAATTATCTTTCTTCCACCCTGTATTCACTCTTCATCCTCAGTGTTTATTCAGAAACTGTGTGGCACAAATAAAAACACCTTGGGAAACACCAAATAGAAATACTTGCCCACCAAAGATCCACAGAAATAACCATAAAGTACAACGTAAGAGATAAAAACCTTGACTTACCGTTCCTGTCCTCAACATATGTATAGCTTACCTATTTCTGCACTAACAGTTACATCAAAATTAAATCTGAATAAGAGGCTGCCCATCTGCTGGTTATAGTGACATCCAGGTCTAAGTGAAGCTGTCTTACAAGTCTGGGGATGGTTAAAATTATTTAGAAAAATGTATAAACATGAATGGCCATAAAGATGCTGGCTGAAAGCCTGTGGGTTCATGTTAAACTAAACTTAGAGTCTGTTAGAGACTCTAGTTTGAGATCTAGAAACTTAGTTCTGTTAATAATTGAAATAGTAGTCCTGTAAATCCCAATCTAGTGTTAGGGTTAGGGGCATTTTGCCCTTTGTCCACATGAAAATATAAATTCTTAATAGTATATATGTTCTTGTTTGTCTGATGCTCCCCAAAATAAACATGTTAGCTGATTTCAAGGACTACTTTTCAATCTTGTAGATGAAGATTTTAGAATTGGAGTCTGTGTGCTTGGTTTCAGATGGAATGTAAAACATTTGCATGTAACTAATGTAGTGCATGCAATGTACTTCTCCACATACATGTAATGAAGTAACTAATGAAGCACTAAGAATTGGGAATCACAATACTAGCTTATCTTAAGCATCCTAGTGATTAAAAAGCATTCTTTATGAATTTTGTTAATGGTGCAGGTCTTGAATGGAACTCTCAAATGATCTCACGGTTTTGGAGTATTTCAAGAATATTGACAAAGTAGATTGAGCTTTTCGTGTGAGTGTGCCTGTTGGTAAAATGTGTAACACTTTGAAATAGAGCAGAAAAAGGGAACCATAGAAGTAGAAAGTCATATTTCTATATTGTAATTTGTTTTATATTTGGTTCCCCAATCAGGAGTAATTTATAGTCTTTTTGTGAAACCTCAAAAAAGCCAGGCAGGTTTTTATGACCTGCATTATATGCACATATATCCCGGTTATGTATGGCAATCACTATGTGTGTATACACACTCACTTGTTGTCTAAAAGTGGCTTTGTTTGAATGCTGTACAAAGGTAAATGACTCAAACGACTGTGTTGGATAGATATGTACCTTCTCTCTTCATATATCCAAAGACAGTGGTTGCAGGCAACAGCAAAAATTAAAATTATTACAGCATAATGAAAACACATGAATGTTATTATCTGACTCTAAATATTACTGACTTTTTCTTTTTCAGAGAATATTTTAAAGTGACTTTGTTTTATCTTAGTATGCCTGAAAAACTTATCTAATTTAATTAAATATTTTTTGGTCACTTTTAAAGCCACATAACTCATCAGAATGGTTTTCAAGTCTGTCCACATTTTGTGGGACATGGAATAGGATCTTACTTTCATGGACATCCAGAAATTTGGCATCATGGTAAGAAAGTTCATTTGGAGGCTGTTTCTTGATCAGAGATCAAGATGTGGCAGCTTTGACCCTGAAGCTCTTCCTCTGACTTTGAATCTGCATTATCAACCTTGTGTTTGTGTGTGTGTTTATGTGCAGGGGGCAGGGGAGGGGGGTCTGCTTAATTTTAACCGGGACATTACTGTGTTACTGGATTAGAGCCCAGCTGTTTCAATCCCAAAATAAGGTTTATTTTGCTCTCTGTCTTCTCCTGAAGGGTGCATGGCTGGAAGGCACAAGGGATATTTGTGTAGAAAAAGTTACTGAAAACAAAACGCCACTGCATCAGTGTCCCAGCAGCATGCACATATGACTGTTTCTGTTTTTCTTTTTCTACCCCCTTTTCTAGCTGCTGACTGTTGTGGTTAAACTTCATTACATCCTACACAGCGTTGACAGCTGATGTATTTAGCAGCATGTACTCCTTCGTGATTTCTAGATTATGCCCACCCTTGTCTTCCTTCCCCAGAATCTCTTGTTTTTCACTGCCTGGGTGTGCACCCTATAGTGAGAAGACAGGGGTGGGCCCAGAGGGGTGGGAGGATTTGGATTGAGGTAGGAGGCAGCTCAGTGGAGCACCCTCAAGGCAGGTCCACACCTGGACGGGGATCAAAGGAAAGTTGGTCCTGGGGCCTTGACCTGTGCCCCTATGGACTTGATTGGTCCATAGAAGGACTACTCTTTCGGACCCATGCCCTCGAGGATCGCTGGACACCCAGCAGGTCCAAACCCTCTTTGGACCAAAGAGCCCCCACCTAGGCAGCTCAAGAGGTTCAGGTGAGAGTGCAGAAACGGCTTGTCAGCCTTGTGCCCTACCTGGTGCCAATGTCTGGAGTGAAGCTATTTGAAGTCAGGCCCCTGCTCCCCACAACCTGCACCAAAGGAGGCTTCCCTCCTTTGCATCCTTCCCCAGGACTTCTTTGAGTGAGGGGTGTGGGCAAGGCCCAGGACCCAGTAGTAGGCTGGGAGACCTAGTAGCCTGGGGGACAGGGAGAGGGGGCGAGGAAGCCTGACGTGTCTGAAACAACCAGGCTGCCCCTGCCAGGCCTTGGAAAACTCTTCTGGGGGAGTCTTGACCCAGAGCACAGATAATGCAAAGACTCAGGCCCAGTAGCCCCGTGTTTAACTCCTGGTCACTATCCAGGACTCCAGAAATCTCCACCCTTCCTTCTCTAAAAGAAGAGAAATAAAACGACCAAGTTTTTTAAAGGGGCCTGACCCCTGTAATCTGTTTTTTTTTTCTGTCCTCCCCATTTCCTATTCTCACCCCCCATGTTTTTTGTTTTGCAGCAAACGACAGTGATCTACCCATGGAGGAGGGCATGGCATTCACTATAGGTAAATTGAGCTCCTCTTCCGAGTGAGTGCGTAGCTCCTGGTGGAAGCTTTTGCCACTGGCCTAGGCCCGGCAGTCCGGTGAAGGACCAATAAAGCCAATCAGTGTAATGAAATAATTCGGATGCACTGGAAATCTGATTAAATAATATCCTCAAGCCCCATCTTCCTAAATCAGATACTTACCGACACATTTAGGAGAAGGCAGCCATCCAACCTCTAATTCTGTTACCAGCATAATGTGGTGTTGGGTTTTTTGTTTTGTTTTGTTTTTTCATTAACACCCAGTAACTAGACACGATTATGTCCCTTGCTCCCTGTCAGCAAGTGGCATGTGCTCTCTGGTGGCCCGTTCCTGGCTGATCCTGTGATTGGTATCACCACCAAATTCCAGTCACCTAGGGCCGTAAAGACATCCTGTTTCTGACTGTGGGACTTAATGGAGAAGCAATTAGAGTGAAATAAGAAAATTGTTATTTGCTGATGAATGAACATCTCGAGCATGTTTTTAAAATTTAAATATTTTTTTAAAAATTGGTATTTATAAGAGGGACTGGTGTTTGGGTGGTTATTATCCACGGGGTCCTAATTAAAGCTTGATTAAAATGCCCTTCTTTCTCTAAAAAATTACGAACTAGGCAACTTCATACATTTTGAATGGCGCAGTGTTTCCTCTTCCAACTGTTTAGTTTGTAGTATACTATGTAAGCAACATCAATTATCAACCCTTGCAAGATGACAACATGAGCCTGTGGGGGAAGCACTTGAGGGGAGGGAGGAGAAACTTCTCTTTTTTAATAATCAGCCGGAAACAATGTTTAACAAGAATCTGATGAGGTCACTGCAGTAAATATTTTTCCTCTTACAGAGCCAATCATCACGGAGGGATCCCCTGAATTTAAAGTCCTGGAGGATGCATGGACTGTGGTCTCCCTAGACAATCAAAGGTGTTTGCTTTCTGCTCTGTTGCTTTTAAATTGTATGGGAAAGGAAGATTGGTCCGACGGCGCGCTTGTGGCCCGGCCGGAGCTTGCGTGCGCGTTCTGACGGCTGGGTGCTGTGTTACAGGTCGGCGCAGTTCGAGCACACGGTTCTGATCACGTCGAGGGGCGCGCAGATCCTGACCAAACTACCCCATGAGGCCTGAGGAGCCGCCCGAAGGTCGCGGTGACCTGGTGCCTTTTTAAATAAATTGCTGAAATTTGGCTGGAGAACTTTTAGAAGAAACAGGGAAATGACCGGTGGTGCGGTAACCTGCGTGGCTCCTGATAGCGTTTGGAAGAACGCGGGGGAGACTGAAGAGCAACTGGGAACTCGGATCTGAAGCCCTGCTGGGGTCGCGCGGCTTTGGAAAAACAAATCCTGGCCCTGGACTCGGTTTCCCAGCGCGGTCAACGCATCTGGAGGGGACTGGAGGAAACCCCCTTGTTGGAAGAGATTCCAAGAGAAGCACGGTTTTCTCTTTCCCTTGCCCTGACTGTTGGAGTAAAAAACCTCTTAAATCCATTGTATCAGAGGTCCTTACCTCTCTGACAGTTACAGTGATCTTTGTATCTGAACTTTGCACGTCTGCCGAAAAATCCGAACCTGTTGACTGGGATTTTTAAGAATCCGTTTCTCCCTTTTGTGTATTCCATATTGGCCGGCCCCAAGGATGCTCGCAGAAGCCAGCCCCCAACCCCAGCCCTTCCGTATCTTTCCCCTCCATCGCGGCTTTGCGATGAAAGATTAGCCCGCGAACAGAGGCATTGATTACAAACATGTCCTTGGCAGTGGACTCTGGGCCTGGCCATTCTTCAGGTTTCTGTCAATCCAGAAACGCGACTTTCCTGGACCCCTGCGGCTCTTCCTCCCCCGCCCACATCCAGCCCTCCAAGGCCAGTCCAGAGGTGAAGTTTGAGGCCCTCCCCCCACCCACCCCACACGCACGCACGCACGCTAGACCGTTTGCTGCACTAGGAATTCGAGCTTGGGCCCCACTCGCCCAGGTGTGAACAGTGGCTGATTAGTGGGCGGTCTAGTCTCTAAAATGACCCCTCCCCAGACTGGCCCTTCTCGCATCGGGACCCGCGCTTGCACGCTGCAGGAGCCGCAAACGTCAGCTGTTCTGGAAACCGAGAGGGTCCCAGAGAGAGGAGATACGGGCGCATTTGAGAGCAAGGGCCTACTTGGCCGGGACTGAAGCTTGCGAGTTGAGCTCCAGTTCGGCCGGCAGTTCCATCCCGCTTCAGGAACAGGAATCCAAGGGCCCACGCTCTGTCTGCCAAGGGCCATTCCTGCCCGGAGCACCCTCCTTTCCCTTGCGCTTGCTCTCCGGTACCTGTTCCTCACCTGAGCTCAAGGGCAGGGAGAGGCCGGGCCTCTGGCAGTCCACGAAGGAAGCCGTCTGCCTTCGGTTATGATTTTAGGAACAAGTCCAACGAGGGTGTTCAAGCAGTTAATGGTTGTGCTAACTCTTGTTTCTACTGAAGCGGGTTTTGCAAAGCTGACATCCCTTAAAGATAACTTGGGCTTTCGGAAGCGGCAAGGAAATGGCACCTGTAGTTGCCAGGACAGGTGGTGTCCTCGGCCAGGACTAAGAGCCAGCTCATCTTTGTAACATTCATAATACGGGAAACTGAGGACCAGGTGGCTCGGAAAAGAGATGAGTTCCAGCTTTTACCTAACACAGGGTTCTCTCGTCGTCCCCCAACCCCTCCAGCTCGGCTTCTTTGTGTCCAGGGTTGTAGATTTTTGGATAGAGGTGTTTCTGATTCTAGTGAGTCTGAGAACTGGAAAAGACCAAGGAGGGGTTGATGATTTACAAGGTCCATAGAAAAACTTTTTGTGTGGTCGGAAGTTGGCCAAGCAGAGGCCCACAGCCTGATGCTACTGCCCCCCACCCCCCCAAAGATCTGAATTCCCTAAAGATCAAGAGGGTTCAGCTGGCCTTGGGAGATGTTTGCTGGAGAATGACTTCAGTTTTCTCCTAAGGCAATCAGATTGCAACCATTAGCATTGTATCTTATCTGCAAATCAGTTTACTCCGAGGTTCCCCAAGGATAGTTTTATTAGGACCACAGGACTTTACTAACCACTGAGGTAACACGCTGCTTGTGCAGCAATTATTTTGAGGTGGAGGTATTTATGGGACAAGTTTATAATTCCATTTATTAAAGGGACTAACCTAAAGTGTGTGGGTGTATATATATATGTGTGTATGTGTGTACCAACACTCAGCAGCTCCCTAAAGAACTCCCTTTAACATGCTTTGAAGTTGAGATTAGGAAGTAGATTTAAAAATACCTCGTCCACGCCTTCCTGTCCCTCTTCCAGCTGAACTGGCCGAAAACCTCACCCAGAGCCACTGGGATTCCAGCCAAGAGTGGCTGCGGCTAACACCACCAGGACCTCCTGGTCCTGAGGTGACTCCAGTAGGCTCCATGAGGAATCCCGGACCCTCAGGACAAATGGGAGAGTTTTGTTTTCTCTCAGAGTGAGGGCAGGCAACAATTTAAGCAAACCGGCATTCAGAACAGGTGTCACCTTAGCAGTAGGGGGTGGGAGGGATCCACTCCAAGTTCACTGAGTGCAGCTAAGATCCCACATTGAGAAACCAGCTACCGCCAGCGGCTCGGCATCAGAGGGCCCGCGCTCAGTGCTCCTCCCTAGACCTTTCTGAGCTAAGAAATAATTCCGGAGTGTAGCCATCTCTTGCTCACACACAACCCGCTTCTAAATTAAGCAAGGCTCTGAAACAGTATCCCGAGGGGCTCATGCCGGACTTTTGTTCCAAGAAGGCAACCAGGTCCCCTGTGCTACCGCAAAAGTCTTTGATCCTTTTCCAGCTGTGGACACAGAGCACCCAAGAGACTGTCGCGATGTGCGGCCGTCTCTCCCCTTCCCCCACCTTGCAAGTCTCTGGAATACACTGTCCCTAGGCGGCCCGGCCGTCGGGTTTCCTCACGCCTTGCCCTGAGCTCCGGGAATTACCAATTCCGCTTTCCCCGGTCCCAACCCCGACCCCGCGCCCGCCGCGGCGATCACTTACTTGGGCAAGGCCCTCAGGGCACGCGCGAGAGACCTGGGGCCCGGCAGTATCCGAGCGACTGTGCTGGGCACACGGCGTGGCACTCCATACCCTAAAACAGGCACTAGGAAGGAGCAATTAAAACCACAAGTGCGACACAGAAATCAGGACGAGCCGAGCGGCTCCCGGAGTTGCCTGGTGGCGGAATCATTAGCTGGCTGTTGCTACAAAGCCTCACCGTGTGGTTCGGTGATTAAGAAAAAAAAAATCTTTTAAACGTTGGCAAACCCGTTATTGGTTTGGCGTATTGGGTTTTTTTTGCTTTTGCTTTTCTTTTTGCTCCAACCACTCTGCCTGAAATATTTCTGCCCCCAGCATTGTGCCCTTAAACCAAAGGAGAGGAATTCTGCGGGCAGCAGCAGCTGGTACAGAAGTTAAAAAAAAAGAGAAACCCCCTCTACTAATATCTGTAACGACAGCACCGATGTAATTTGTTTTGAATGTTCATTTTTATTGGTGTTCCCTCTGCCAAAATGTGCTTGATTACAGAGGTTTGTCCTGTGATCATTGCACACTCCAGACAGGGGAAGGTGCAGCGATGAAGGTTCAGCTCAGGCCAGATCAAATCCCGGGCTGTTTAACGCTGAAAGGCTGCATGTTGCTATTAGTGTTAAATATATGGCTAATTATGCGTATGAAAATTAAACATCAGTGTTATGCTAATGGGGCGCCTTCAGCTGCGGATCTGAGCACTTGAGACTACCATTTAATCAAATGAATCAGTAACTAATACATCTGCACGTGTGAACTTTCACAAGATCATTTCCCCGTTCCCGTCACACCGCTAAATTATGAAAGAAATAATTATCAACACTTTCTAATTACCTAACAAAGTAATTTGGGATTCACCGTGGGGCTGGCGGGATGGGGAACCAACATCCACTTACAGCCAGGGTGGTGTACGCCACACCGCGAGGGACTGGCTGTATTGGTAGTAGTGGCGATGGGGTGGGGGCTCTTGTGCACTTTTTTGTACCTAGCACCCCAGAAGACAGAAGGAGCAGCGGCAGATCTTGCCTCCACTAGCCCTGCCCCCTAGGCCTGGTGGCGCGCGCTTTGGCCACTGGAGGTGAGGAAGATCCTGGGTGGCAACGAGAGACGTCTACACATAGATAAGGGAGCCTACCACAGGCCTGGGTTTGCTGCGGGTTTCGGTGTCCCCCAGGGACTCCTAAACTCTGGAAGTCGCGCTAGACCTCAGGAGGCCGGAAAATGACCACCTGGCGTCGGTGGCTCCAGCAGATCTGAGCCCCTAGGCCCCCTGGGCTCCACGCTGAGCCGCGCTCTCGGGGCGAGTGAGCCCGGGGCTCTCCGCGCATGGGGAGTGGAGAAGGGAGGGGGAGGAGGAGGAAGGCTGGGAGGGAAAGAGGATGTGTGTGTTGGGGGAGGGGGCGGTGCAGCCGCCTTTCCTGGGAGGAGAAGCGCGGGTTCCTGGCTCTCCACGCGCACTGCTTTAATCAGACCCGTGCAGCCTCGAGCTGGAGTGGCCAGCTGGGCCTGGAGCAATGCGAGCGGGCCCCAGGGAGCGACAGCGGCGTTGGCGCAGCGGCCGAGTGAGTGAGTTCGCAGGGAGGGCCCCTAAGCCCCGACTCCAGGGATGCGGCAGAGCGTACCGGGGAGGCGCGGCCGGATAGGCGCTGCGCTAGGCACAAGGCTCTTAGGAGAACCTCTGTCTGTTGGCCGCCTCGGGCGCCCCCAGTGCGCGACTCCGCGCTCCAGAGGCAGAGGTCAGTCTCCTCCTGAGCCGCCCTAGCTCTGCGCCGAACTGAGTGGCAGCGACGAGAAGCGGTCCCGGGTGTCCGGTGTTAGGGACCGCTGAAGGGTGGGGACAGTGGTAGGGGGGCGGCGGCGCGGAGCCGCTGGTTGGTTCCTGGGGAGGAAAGCGCGCGAGGGAGGCGGGAGGCCGATGAGCCGCGGGCCGCAGGGGCCCCGGCGCAGACGCCGCAGCCCATTGTGCTTCCTGCCCGGCGCGCTCTGTTGCAGAGGAGCCCCGGCCGGGAAGTGTGGATGCGTCTTACCCGAGGCCGGGCCGCCTCGCCCGCTCTAGTCCAGCGGAGCCCGAGCGCCTCGGACCAATCCCCAGTGATTATGCAAGACAGCGGACCAATCAGCTCCGCCAGCTCATGAATATTTATGACCTTCGCTGAGTCAAAGCTTTGAACCGAGTTTGGGGAGCTCAGCAGCATCATGCTTAGACTTTTCAAAGAGACAAACTCCATTTTCTTATGAATGGAAAGTGAAAACCCCTGTTCCGCTTAAATTGGGTTCCTTCCTGTCCTGAGAAACATAGAGACCCCCAAAAGGGAAGCAGAGGAGAGAAAGTCCCACACCCAGACCCCGCGAGAAGAGATGACCATGACCACCATGCCAGAAAGTCTCAACAGCCCCGTGTCGGGCAAGGCGGTGTTTATGGAGTTTGGGCCGCCCAACCAGCAAATGTCTCCTTCTCCCATGTCCCACGGGCACTACTCCATGCACTGTTTACACTCGGCGGGCCATTCGCAGCCCGACGGCGCCTACAGCTCAGCCTCGTCCTTCTCCCGACCGCTGGGCTACCCCTACGTCAACTCGGTCAGCAGCCACGCATCCAGCCCCTACATCAGTTCGGTGCAGTCCTACCCGGGCAGCGCCAGCCTCGCCCAGAGCCGCCTGGAGGACCCAGGTACGTGCGCTTGCCAGGGAGAGGGAGAGGAGGAGGTACAAGGGAGAGAGGGAAAGAAGGAGCGGGGGAGAAGAGGAGAGGGAGAGAGAGAGAAAGAGAAGAGAGGAGAGCGAGGTGGGGTGGGGGTGGGGAGGGCGCGGGAGCAGTGGAGGTTTCGAATATCAATCTATAGATCCTTGTCACAGCAAATAAATTTTTTTAAAAATTCCCTCAATTTGCAACTATCCAGCCAAGGATAAATCCCAGAGCGTCTCCTGGCACTGGCTGGGCCTCTGGGCGGCTCGGTGTGCAGAGCACACAATGCCCCGCTGGAAAACAGAAACCCACATGTGCACGTATTAGTCTCGGTAATTATTTATTGCGTAGCGCTATAAACAATGTATGCAATTAAGGGTAATTAAACCTCAACTACCGCCTGCAAAAATAGCAAACTTTCCCTGCAAAGGCAGGAGCTGAGCTCCTGGGAACGGCTCTATCCCTCCTGCAGCGTCCCGGGACAGGCCCTCGGATTTTGGGGGACCCTTCCCTGGCTTTCAGAGTTTCTTGAACGTTCTCTCCCTGGTGCTGCCTCCGCCACCCTTCGGTAGCCACTCGCTCTCGGCTGTTCGCACTAAAGGCGGCCCCTCGTATTAACAACGGGCCCTACTTCTGCTGTCCCTCCAGGGGCGGACTCGGAGAAGAGCACGGTGGTGGAAGGCGGTGAAGTGCGCTTCAATGGCAAGGGAAAAAAGATCCGTAAACCCAGGACGATTTATTCCAGTTTGCAGTTGCAGGCTTTGAACCGGAGGTTCCAGCAAACTCAGTACCTAGCTCTGCCGGAGAGGGCGGAGCTCGCGGCCTCTTTGGGACTCACACAGACTCAGGTACCTCGCCGCTGCCGCTCCGTTCTGCCACGCAGGCTTTCCGCGGCCGGCCTGCGCCCGGGTCTTCATTTGTTGCTCGCTGGGACTCAGGGTCGGGGTGTCACTGTGTGTATGTGTTTGTGTCCACCCCTGGCTCTCAGCGTGTCTCCTTCCTCCCTCATTCCCTCTGCCCTAGCTCTGTCACTGCTCTCGGTATCCCGAGCTGCCTGCCGTCCGGCCCTCTGTCCCTGGACAATCTGATTAGGGCGCAGGAAGGATTTCCCCAGACGATTTGTTTGGGAACTCAGAGGTCACACGTGCCTAAACAACTGGAACAATAGACTCCGGGCTTAATCCCTCCTTTGCCTTTAAATTGTGTGACTAATCACTCGGGGCCTGGGTCCGCGCCTCAGCCTCCCTCCTCCTCCTCCTTCTTACCGGTTGGGGGTGGGGGGAGATCCTTTCCTCCGCCCTCTCACCTCTCAAGTCCCAGACCTTAGAGAAGAAACGGGACCTTCCTTCCCGGCTTTCTGTAAGACTCCGGGGAGCCCGTGAGCGTTCCTGACGGCGGCGGGCGCGGGTTTCCGACGTCCGGTCCGGGATTTGGAGCAGAGCTGGAGAAAGCAAACAGACACTAGTGCAAGAATGGTTTTGAATCCAAAGAGAAGTTCAGCAAAACCTTGAGGCCTCCTTAGTCCGTCCCAACTCAAGGGCAGAAAAGATGGCGCATAGAAAAGTTGGGTCGCGTTGCAAATAAATTTCCTCCACTCCTTCCTAGGTTTTCGATTCTTTTTATTGATGTTGATATTGGAATTGCTGGCTCGGTGTTATGCAGGCGCTGTATCTTCCGCAGGCGGTAGCCACGGTCGGACTGAGCCCCTGGCAGGCTAAGGCCTGGATCCCGGTTCTCCCCTCATCACAACTCCTCCCTGGCTCTCTGAGAGCTGCCCCCGTGGGCTGACGGCGGCGGGAGGTTCGGCCTTCGAGCCTTTGGCTCTTATGGGGGAAGGGAGGAAGGAGGGATGTCTCTGCTTCTCTGGCAGGGAGCTGCCAGCTGGCGCAGGGTTGGGAGGTCCTATCTCTGCTGTTCTGCGGTCCCTTTTTTCCTCCCTGTGACCTAGGTAGGCTCAGTGGTCCCAGCCTGAGTCACGTTGTTGTCCGCTCTTGCAGGTCAAGATCTGGTTCCAAAACAAGCGATCCAAGTTCAAGAAGCTGATGAAGCAGGGTGGGGCGGCTCTGGAGGGTAGTGCGTTGGCCAACGGTCGGGCCCTGTCTGCTGGCTCCCCACCCGTGCCGCCCGGCTGGAACCCTAACTCTTCATCCGGGAAGGGCTCAGGAGGAAACGCGGGCTCCTATATCCCCAGCTACACATCGTGGTACCCTTCAGCGCACCAAGAAGCTATGCAGCAACCCCAACTTATGTGAGGTTGCCCGCCCGTCTCCTTCTTGTCTCCCCGGCCCAGGTCCCTCCCGCCTCCAGGTCCATCCATCCCGTCCGGAAAAGAAGGACCCAGAGGGAAGAAGGAACAGTGGAGGCGGGACGCCCTCCATCTCCTCGGAGCCCCGCGAGGTCCGGCCCAGCAACTTCCCGGCATCCGCGCTCTAGCCTGAACCCTGGCCTGGGCCGAGCAGTGGCAGCAGAGAGTGGCCTCGGAGGGAAGCCACTGCCACCTGAGACAGCCCAAGCAGCAAGATAAACCCGCTCCACCCGACCCGCCGACCTTCAGCTTTGTGGGACTATCAGGAAAAAACAAAACAAAAACAAAATGTAGAAAAAGCAAAAGCTCTTTTCTGTCCTGTCAGTCTCCTGTCTCCTTTTGCTCTGTCTGTGCGCTGGTAAAGTCCAGGTCCTCATCCGTCCGCTGTCCTCATTCTGCGGCCTCAGCAAAAAGCCACAAGGTCTGAGCGGCCCGGGTCCTGCCGGGCTGACCATCTCCGGATCCTGGGACACTCTGCCTGACCATCTGTGTAGCTGGTGTGGGAATCTGGGGGCATTGGAGGGAGGGGGTTTTATTTATTGAGAAATGGACTTCGCCTGAGGCTGTTTGCCAATTCAGGGTTCTGCTGGGCGCAAGGAACGCACTGTTCAAACGCACTGTTTACTTTAAGCGCACGGGGAGAAACGAATAAGGAGGACGTGGTGATTTTTAATTTATACAGTAACTTTTGTACTTCTCTGGTATGGAGAGTTTGGAGCCGAATGATTTGCATTTTTTACATGTCCGACATTATTTAATAAATAATTTTTAAAAGAAAAGAACGATAAATGAAGCCAACATGATTTTCTCATTTCGGGAGGAACTCTGTTGCTTCGCCTGGACAAGAAGGAAAATGCTGATTTCCTCCTTGGGTAGAAAGAGGGAGCGAGGGCAAATGGGGAGTAGAGAGAAAACAGGCGAGAACAAGCACTCTAATTCCAGTGGGCTTTAAAATAAGACAAAATCAGCTTTACAACAATCCCTAGAGGCTCGACCACAGAATAATGCCAGTCACCACCCTGAACGCACAATCTCCAGTGCAGGATCTAATGACTGTACATATTATTGTTATTATTATTATTGTTATTATTGTTGTTCTGTAAACATGTTGCACAAGCTTAGCCTTTTTGCGTTCTGTTGTGTGTGGCTGTAAAACCCCATGCTTTGTGAAATGAGAATCTTGACATTTTTCTTGTGAAATTTGGAAAATGTGATCAATTGAAATCAACTGTGTTTTGTGTTCTCTATGTCAAAGTTTAGTTTTATATTGAGAATGTTAACTTATTGCTTTGTATCTTGGGAAAAAAACTTTGTAAATAAGTTATAAAGTTTCTTTGAGACAGTAAAATTATGATTTCTTGAAAGAACTGCTCTCTTGTGCTGTGTGAGGCTGTGCCAGGGGGCCAGGCCAGGTTCCCGCCTCTGGAGACAGTTCATACAGGGTCAGCGACTTATCAACTTATCGGTGATAGAATGGAGACCCTGTACCCCAGAAACACCAGGGTATCGTCAGAGGCCTGTGAGGTGCCCCATTGGGCTTTTTCTTCCTGCCTTGCTCCATTGACCCCCAAGGTGTCTGATTCCTACCTGAATTGGAAGGGTAAGGAGAGAATGCCTGGCGAGGGTTCCCCAGGAAGGGGGCTCAGGAACAGGTGCATCAGGGCAGGGCTGACGCTCAGGAACCAAAAGGATGTTGAAGACCGGCTGAGAGGAGATGAAGTCAGAGTTCAAAGTCAGCCGGCCAGGACGATTTCAGTTTTTCCCACACCCAGCCAGCTCTTGAGAGGCCGGGAGGTTGGGAGGCTGAGAGGCCTGAAAGCAGAGACACTGCTTTGCCTCTAGCCTTCCTCCGGATCAGGCCTCCCTGCTTTTGCATGCCCGGAGGCGCTGGATTCCGTCGCGGAAAAGACGCAGCCAGACGCCAAGCAGGGGCCCGGAAAGACACGTCTGTCAGACTGCCCCTCTATCAATCAGTGCGCTCCAGGGGACAGGGCACAGTCCCAGGCAGCCACCCTGGGAGCTCCACAGTGAGAAAGGCAGGTTCCTGCCTAATGATCCGGGGCCTTTCTCTGCACCTCACAGAAATGGAGGTGCTAAGGAAAGGGTGGCTGACACTTTGGAACCCCAAAATCTGACCAAAGTCAAGCACACCACTCCCACCTCATCCCAGTCCGAAAGTCCCAAGGCCAGGCCCTTATGGGAGCACCTCTAGTGAAGCGCTTGCTCAGATTAGTTTCCTCCAGAGGAACACGGGCTTCAAGGGACTAGAACCAGATTGGTTCCCTTCTCGTGGCCCTGCGTCCCAGCCCAGCCCCAACCCCCACCCCAGATCTCGCAGCCGAGCCGAGGCAGTCCCGGAGAGCTGCGGGCCCAGACAGGCTGCCAAGCGCTGTTCCTACTTCTCCCGCACTCGCCTTCCAGCGCTGCTGCCCGCGGGAGCTGGCCCTCCACCTTTGGGGGGTCTTTTCAGGCGCGCGGTGGGGAGCAGAGCCCGGAAGGCAGTGATCTGTGTTGTGACAAGCACCCATTTTTCAATTGGTGCTGGTGAAAGATCAGATGCGCCAGGCTCTTCCGACGCCCTTTGGGAAGGGGAGGAGGAAGTGGTGGGGCTGCTGGGGGTGGGGGGAGGCGGTGTGATGGAAGCAGGGAAAGTAGTCGGGGGTGGGGGAATGATGCCGGGGACCTCCAAGCCCCTTCCAGGCCTGAGATTGGGACTTCTCCGCAGCACCTAGAAGAACCAGCGCTGATGGGAGAGATCAGACCTCAGAAACCAGGATGTGGGCAGTCAGATGGGCCTCAAAGCTGAGGAAAGAATGAATTTCCCAGCTCCCGCGCGGGGTAGGGGGTCTTCCTAGGTTCAATTTCCCCTAGGAGATGTGACTTTGCTAGTGCGAAGATTTCTGTCCGGCATCTGACTCAGGTCCCCCAGACGGCAGCTAGGGCCCAATGCCTCAAGCTACAGGCAAAATCTGTTTGGTCAAGCGGATTGTAATACTTTGAGATATTAGCTTATACTAATTTAATAATCTCTTGCTAACAGTTCAAATAGAGAAATTATTAGTTTTAGCTCAACGAAAACGGTCTTTAGTTAGGCTTTATTATAATTATAAGCGGTTGTACTTTTTAAAAATGTTAATCTCAATATAGGCCTAATTAATGCTGCCTTGTTACTGACAAGTAGTTCATCAAATATCTGATTCAAAGATTTTCATAATGAGTATATTAATTAAACTATGAATAATCTAAAGGTGGTTATATTTAAACAATACCTCATTATAATGATTAAATACTGATTTCGAATATTATGTCTTAACAATTGTCACTTAGAAAACACAACCTTTCCTTATGTATGAGTCTGTAATGGCAAAATGCAATTTTGGGATTTTTTTCCCTTGTTCAAAAAATGTGAAACTCATTTTAAAACACTTCTGAAATAGGTTACACACAGCTTAATGATTATCAAAATGACTCTTTTCTGCAAAAAAAGACCCCAAAGTGCGCGTACAGCTGCAAACCCAAGAGGGTCAGCATCATTTCACTGTATTCTCTTCTTGATTACAAGCCGGGCCCATCAAACACAACATAATTACAGTAATTTCAGGTTTATTTATTCTAATGCAGTTTCCCCATCTCTCTGGTAATTATGAGCAATTTTTTCGCCCAGGGAATCTTTTTGCATTAACAAAAGAGATAACGCACTGAAAGCCAAATTTGCTGTGCATTGAGAAAAGGAAAAAAAAAAATCAAATAGGTGCGAGCTGCCATCTCTGCAATTCTCTGGTACCGGAGCCGGCAAATTGCTTGCAGGTGTATGGAGCAAGCTTGTCAATGGCCAGGCCTCCAAATTAGCAAATGCACAGCAGCAAAGTAATGAAGACAGACTTAGCAAAATTGCCAAACAACAGATATCCCTTTAATATCTTCTCTCACCCACACTAGCTCTAAAAAGGGGTAGGGGTAGGGAGAGAAGCAACAGTCCCCAGCCCCCTCCTCACTGGTCTTGGCTTTCAGGAGCCTGGAGGGGCTGGGTAGCCTTGTGAGTGGTAATCTAATTGTGGGAGAACTCATATCTTAAATCGAGGCACTATTTAAAAATATAAAACTGGAAACGTTTATAGTTCACAGCTTTTCCTCTCTGATCATTATGTTTTATTTTTATTTCTTTCTTCTGGAAATCTGCACCTGGGCTGGGTTAGATATAATAGCTCTTCAGCCTTCTTGATTCTGTACGAGTTTTTAGAGCCACAAGAAGTTTTAAGATTCCCCCCACCTATATGCACAGAAGTGTGAATTTATTCATAGAGAGTCATCTGATGTAGAAACTAACTGAATCTTTCACCTTGAAGAAATTGTCAATTTCTGTCACCCCAGGAAAGGTAGGTCTGTGCGCTGGATGTGGAACCCGAGATACTAGATCAAGAAAAATTGGGAGCAAAGAAGCAACCCAGGCTTCCTGGCTTTAAATCTTTATCCTGGTATCCATCTCTTCCTTTCTGTATCTTTTATAAACTGATTTCAGAATTACCTGGTTTTTGTCATCCCACCGCCTGGATTAAACACCCTTGAAATTATAGGCTAACGCAAACTTTTCTGCTCTTCATCCCGCATGGCCATAGGAACCTCCATCAAATGCAGTACAGAAGGCGAGGGTCCTTCCCTCCCATGCCTCAAAGAAATCCTCCTCCGGTCCCCAGCTCCACAACAAACCCCTAGCTCCAGCGTAGACAGACAAACGGCTGTAAAAAGTGCCTTCCCCAGGCTCAAGAAACATGTCACCCCCACCCACCGCTTTCCTACCCCCTCCCTCATCCCCCAATCTTCGAGGATTAACACTTCCTGAAACATCAAGTGTTTTTATAAAAAGGAAAAAAATAATCCTGACATCGCTGACAAGAAGTTTTGATGGAAGAATTAGCTGGTGCATACATAATCACTCCCCCACCCTCCTACTCCCGGAGCGGGAGCCACGGCGGCGGGCGCAGCGCAGCCTTCCAACCCTCTGAAAAATGAAACCGGTTTCCACCCTTACCTTCTTCAGTGTCAATTTCAGATAATCTGGACACACACTCTTTGCTACATCAAATCAAAAGGGTCGAAGGTAGCTTTTGGCTGGGAGAATAACGGGAAAGAAAAATCAAAAAAGAAAAAAGGGAAAAAAAGGAAAAATAGAAAAATACAAAACCGACCAAACCAGAGTAAAACAAAACCAGAAAACCAAAAACAATCCCCCAGACCCATCCTCCTATCTTGAGAGTAAAGAGTGGAAAGAGGTCCCCAGGACCAGGCGCCTCAGAGCGCCGCAGGCTTTTTGCAGCGCTGCGCTTGCAGAATAGGACTGAAATTTTCGGCTATATAGCCTCTGTCTTTATAGCTGATGAAAAAAATTGCAGATTATTAGCATAAATGTTTACTCTTCATTACGCTGATGACATTGTGCACTCGAGATCTTGGTAATCTTTGGGAAAATTATGAGTAATTTTTAAAAATTTTAAAGCAGCAGCAGTTACCATGCAATTCAGGCTAATTCTGCGTAGGCTCCGAACGGATATAATTATCGAGGAGTCAAGATGTTATGCTAAAAACTATGCATTGATATTCCCATTTATTATGTACATACAACTTTGACAATGTTGATGCTTGAAATAGCAGGAAATTGTCTTGCGCAAAAATTACAGTCCATATTAGGACATCTGAAATTGCGAAGAATTATATAGTAATTGCAGGCTTTCAGATGGGAGAGCCAGAATGCTCAAACTAGTGCAAATGTGGATAAAATTACAGATCAGAGCAAAAATTAGGGAAAAAGGGGGTCTGGGATTTTTCAGGTTGGCTATAGGATTCCGGAAGTGTCTAATGCCACATGATTGCTGCAGCTTTAGGGGAGACATTCATGCCTCAAATAGAGCATTGGCCAGGGTGGCTTTAATTGAATTTCTTGGGCTTTTTCTTTTAATAGGGGCGAATGAGGAAATTGGCCACCCAAGGCAAATTTTCACTGTCCTCCCGTGAACGTGCCGAGGAGAGAATCCTTTTCCCCGCGTACCTGCTCTCCCCAGTTGAATGCCCGGGAGGCCCCGAGGGGCTCCCCACCCTAAAAGCAGCAACTGAGAAAGTGACTGAACCGGATACCCCCTCCTGCCACCTCCTCCTTTCTTTTTCTTTCCTGTTCCCCCCTCCTCCTTCCTTCGGCCCCATTCCCGGATTCTGGCAAACCCCTCCACAGTGCAGCCGGGCCGGGCCCCGGGATGGGCAGACCGGGCCCAGGGGGCGGGGGGGCGGGATGATGGGGGAGCTGGCTGACTGTGCTGTCGGTGCCAGGCGGGGAGCATCTCGGGAGATGCCCAGGGCAGTTTTGGGAAGGTGGGACGTGGAAGGTAGGAGCGGAGGGTCGGACTGTCCCGCCCCGCGACCGCCTAGGCTCTTCTTTTGTCTCTACCGCCTGGAGATAGCGTCCCCCCACCTCCCAAACATTCACTTCCCACTTGGGCGGCGCTTCTCTCGGGAACCGAGACACCCTGCGACTTTAAGAAGCCGAGGCCAGACCCGCGGAGGGAGGGGGCGGGGCGGGGGCTGCCCCCCGAGCGGGGAGCGCGGTGGCGCCCGGCGGGAGAAGCCGACTGGAGCGCGGCCACCGCTCGGAGCTGCAGTGCCTCAGTCCGGTTCTCCGGCCAGAAGTCCCCATTGTTCCGGGTGCGATGATTTCACCTCCCGGGTGTCCGAGACTCCTGGACCACAATCGGGACGGAGAAGCGGCAGCGTGGGCAGCCTGCCACGTTTGCTCCGTGCGGGCCCCAGTCTGTCCCCCGGGGTCACCCGAGCGTGCTCCAAGTCCAGTCCTTTCGCCCTCGCTTCTCCTGCCCCGAAGTTGTAATCCTCTGCCCAGCACCCCCGACCCGCCTCGTGGGCCGGTTCTGCACCTTCTCCCACTCGGCACCCGACCCTCGGCCCCCATCTCCTAGCCCGGGACCCGACTCGACTGGGGACCCTCCCCAAAAGGGCCTCTTTCGGAGCGCTGCCACGCAGCCCGCAAACTGCCGGGACACTGCAGCTTGTGCGCTCTGGCCCGGGAGGACTAGTGGGGGAGCCGGAGAGGCCGAGGGAAGAAAGGTCTGTCTGGAGGCTGTCTGCGTTCTTGGCGTGGAGGCGCCGAGCTGCTCCTCCAAGACCTGCCTGCACTTTCTTTTCCTGAAACACAGTCTCCCCGCCCCGCCCAGCATCAGGCCGCAGGGCGGAATGTAACATCTTGTAATGCGGCAATCACTGCCAAACCCGTCCCCGCGAGGGGAACTCCCGCGGGGGGGGAAGGGAGATCGAAGGGATGTGGGGCCTCAGCATCCGCCTTCACTGGTGTGTGTGGGGGCGGGGGTGGTGTGGGCTGGCGGCGGCGTGCCTGGCAGATCCTGGGTGGGGAGGGAAGGGAAAGGTCGGCCGGGGGAGGCTTCCCTGGGGCTGCTTTGGGTGTTAGGATCCTGCTAGAGGCCGCCAGTCCCCGCAGGACCTAGTGCCCTAGCGCCAAGGCTGGAAGTAACGCGGCCCCCAGGATAGCGCCCCATCCTACAGCTTCTAGGATTCCTGGACCCCAAAGTTGAATTCGAAGGGAAAGGACCTATCTGTATTTTTGGAGGAGGAGAGGATCTGTAGCTTAATTCTCAAAGGAGTCTCCGACCCTAAACAGGTTAAAGCCACTGGTGGTCGCTGTTCCATGGAGGGAAAGGAGCGGGCTTTTGACTTTTGAGCGAGTTCGGGGGACGCCAGGAGTGGGGGAGTTGCACTCGAGTTTTACTGCCCGTAAGAACGACTTTTTGAGAGGGGACGGGGCTTCTTGCTCCCGGACATTGTTCTCTTGGGCGGAGGGGACCACTTCAGAGCTTCTCTTTGCACCCGCCTCTTCTGCCCCTCGTCTTCTACCACTGAACTGTTTGTAAACAAAGTTCCAGTCTTCCCCCGCTCTCTCCGCCTCCACCAAACCGGTATTTCTCCCAAATTCGCTCCATCAGTCTGGGATCGTTACACAGGGCGGATATTCACAATTTTCACAAGTGATCCTGAAAGAAGGCCTAGGGGAAGCCTCCTAAACGGTCCCACATTGCAGCAGGGCTGGTGAGGCCTGGGATCCATTCTCTCTCTTTTCTGCCCTTCCCATCCCGGAGTCTCGGGGCCGGCGGCGGGAATTCCGCGCAGCCGGAGGGGGGTCTGCGCCCAGCGGAGCGCCGTGCTGGGGCGAGGTGGCTGTGGGCAGAGCGTGCACCGGGGTTGGGGGGAGAAGGGGATTGAAGGGGCGGGGGGCGCGGGAGTACCTGGGCGGCAGGCAGTTGGCCCTGGAGCTCAGTGCCCGCGTTCTGCCTGAGTTGGGAGAGCCCTGCCAGAGGGTGGAGCGGAGAGGGCCGTGCACCCCTCACTCTTCAGCTTCCCTCCCCCTGCTTCCCAGCGCTTGTCATATCCTGTCTCTGGCCTGATATTTCACGCGAGCAATTGGAAGGAGATTACAATGGAGATTTATGTGTGTTCTGAGCACTGCTAGTTTCCCAGCGTAGAGAGCCGAGATCGCTGCTTCCCATTTCCATTTTTCATTCGCGCTTTGGGGAGCTCAGTAGAGCACGGGGGGAGCGTGTCTGCGCGGCGGCGGGCTGATCACAGGACTCCGCGTCTCCGGGCGGGCCGGGAGACTGTGAGAAAGGCTTGCCAGCGCGTCGCCCCCGGCGGGGCTGGAGCCGGCCCCCGCCTCCAGGAGCCAGGCTTTGTTTCCTCCCTTGCCTACCCCTCCCCCTTTCCGCCCCCTCATTTCTGGGACCTGGGCGCGTCCTTGCAACCCCTTCTCTTTGCCCTTCTCGTGGTCTGCGGAAACACCCCCTTCCTCTGGCCCCTTCACCCTCCTGCTCTCGGCTTCGCAGGCTCCCTGGGGAAAGGCACACCGTGGCCCGGCCCGACCCTGTCGTCACTGGGTGCCGGGTAAGGTGACTCCGGCGAGTCTGTGGGGCCTCAGCCCACCCCGGAGCTGGGAGCTCCCGCCCTCCCGACTCCCAGGCTTGGCTCATGCCAAGGCCTGTTGCGTGATTCCAACTTGGGCTGACATTCCCTGCCCCGGGCTCTCCAGCGTAGGCCTCTTAATCATCTTGTCTGCTGCAGATCCTCGACACCAGCCAATTTACTGCCCGTCTCTCCCCGCTGGTTTCGGGAGGAGGGAGGGGAGTGCGTGCAAAGGAGGGGAGGGCACAGTCACCCTCAGGAGGAAGGCTGGCACCAGTTAGTGGCACTAAAAAGAAAAAAAAAACAAAAAAAAAAGAAACAAAACCCACAGAATTTGGAGCTGGGGTGCGGGTGGTGGACAGGGATGGGGGTCTGCCAGGCAGCGGTTGCTTAGGGAAACCCAGGATCATAGGTCAATGGGCTTCAACCCAGGCCTCCCTAGCCTGGGAAAACAATGCAAAAATGCAATGGGACACTGGATCGTGTAGCCCCCCTGCTTTTTCCAAAGCCGCAACTCTCTGGACCGCATGGTTGTAAACCAGACTCAGAGAAGGCCCCAAAGCAATCTGCTCAGAAAAGTCATGATTCTCCTCAGGATGATGCCACTGAGCCCAGAAAGTCACCTCCGCCCCGTGTCTGGTTTTGGCAGATAAGTTGAAGACACACAGCACAGATGGCCTCATCCTAGAGGAGACGAAGCCTGGACCTGGCAGGCGGGGCTCTGTGGCTGGCACCCAGCCCCTCTGCAGTAGGGGAGAATCCCTTCAGAGGGCATGGCTGAGGTTCAAACCCCAGGTAGGAAGGGGCTTTCCCAGCCCCAGGATGTTGCTCTTCCACACAAAGTGAAGTTGGAAAGCCTCTGGGTAACTGTGGGTTTCATACCCCTCTCTGGGGGTAGTGAAAAAACAGTAATACTAAATATTAAATAGATATAATTTAGTGAGTTGTTACCATGTGCCAGGCACTGTTACACTGTTGCCTCATTAAATGCTCACAACTGCAAGCTATAGCTGTTAATATTTCTCCTATCTTACAGATCTGCAAACTGTAACACAGGGTGGTTAAATGGGTTCCCCAAGGTCACACAGTCAGTGATTGAAGCCAGGAAGCTTCCAACTGCGGGCCCTAGCACTTTCAGGGAAAGGCCCTAGCACTTTCAGGGACCTTCATTAACCACCAACCCCTGGCCTTTGTAGGGAATGCCAGAAAGCAGGGTCACCTCCAAAGTTGTAAGCTGGTTGTGTGGGGCCCAAGGTAGAAAGCAGAGCCCAGTGGTGTGTGGACATCCCCCCCACCAAGAGTATGAAGTGGAAAGATGCCACTCTCATACCAGTGTATATAAGTCTGTGAGTAAGTATACATGAGTGTGCATATGTGAGTTTGTCTATCAGTGTGTAAGGGTATGAATGCGAGTGTGCATGACTTCGTGTGTCAGTGTTGTAAGAGTGTGATGGAGTATGAGTGTGTGATGTGACGGTGTTCGAGTGTGTGTCATTGTGTGTGCGCCTGAGAATATTTGAGCATGAGTGTGACTGTGAGAGTGTGTATCAGTATGGGTGAGTGTGTGCTAGTATAGATGGGCCTGTGACAGTGTGCTCAGTGTGTGATTGTGTGTTTGCGCGCGCTCGAGCACGGCCCCGTGTCGTTGGGGTCGGCTTGCATTCCAGAGCAGCCAGCCATGCCTCCCGAGGGTGACTCACAGAGCTCTCAGTTCAGTCCCGAAGGGCGGTGGGACAAACGGAGGGGAAGGTTCAAAGTAGGGTTCCGACCCTCAGGCTGCTGCAGAGCTCAGGTCCCTGACAGGAGGTCCCCCGCGGCGGCTGGGGTGCCGAGCCTGGCCATCTAGGCGGGCGCGGGGGCGGTGGCGCCGGCGCCGGAGGGGCAGGGCAGGCGGAGGCTGGAGCCGCTCCGCGCTGAGTGAGTCACCCCGCCGCCGGCCGGAGAATCCCTCGCGGGGACTCGGGAGGGGGCGGGGCGTGAAACCCCCGGTGCGGCCCCACGCCCAGCGCGCCTGTCCTCTCCTTGCCGCACCTCGCGGTGTCGCAGCCTCGGAAAGATGTAAACGTAGCTCTCGGCCGGCTGGCTTCCCGGCCTGGGCAGCGGCTTGAGCTCTGAGCACGTGACTGACCGGACCCTGGCACCAAGAAAAAAGCGCACACATCCAATGAAAACAATAATTTATTTAAATAATCTCTTCATATTGTAAAATCAACATTAAGAGCATGTTGTTTTCATAATAAATAACCCCAAAATACCTTTCATTTCAACAACAAAGACTTTAGGATACGATAAAACAAATCCAAATCAGTAGCTTAATTTAACTGAAATGTTTTTAAAGGAAAAAATAAAAAGGAGGGGTTGCTGAGGTCACTGCTAAACTGCAGTTTTCACAACTGGGGGTTTACAAAAAAGTCTGAAAAGATGAGTATTTTTATACAAATAAATCAGTGGGAAAATCTGCACAGACACCTTTATTTACAAACTCTGTGTCCAAGTCCAGGCTAATAATCCTGAATAGGTTTTAAAAAAGATAATTTAAACACATTTTTGCAGTGTTCACATATTAAAAAATCATTTTTTCAACGTCAAAATGAGGTCATCCGCAAAGGCACCTAAACTTTTAAAAAAATAACAAATAAAAAAACTCCACTGGTGATGGATGAGGAGAGAGCTGAGGGAGCGCTCCTGGGGGAGCGCGGTGGGGGTAAGATAAGGGATGGGGGCTCCGAGGGCTGGGAACTGCAGGAAGGAAAGAAGCGGCGGGGCCGCCCGGGTCAAGGGGCCACGTGGGGGAGGGCGGGCAGGCGGGACCGGGAGGTCAATAACTGCAGCGTCCGAGCTGAGCCCAGGGGAGCGGGCGAGGAGAAAGAAGCCTCAGAGCGCCCGGGAAGCCTCGCGCGCCTGGGAGGCTTCCATCTCCCGGGACCCAGCTCTCAGCCCGGGGCGAGGAAGGCGCCAGACAGGCTCACCCGGAGGGGAGGGAAGGCAAGTCCGAGGCGGGGCTCGAAACAGCCGAGACCCGGGGCTCAGGTCAGAAATGCGGCCTTTTAGGGAGGCCTTTGCCAAGCTGCTGTCCGGTTCCCCCGAGAGAGGGGCCCGTTTGGTGGCCCCGGGAGTGAGCAGGGCCTGAGACGGGCCACTGCAGGTCGCAGCCTGCAGGAGAGGTGGGTGGCGGCAGCGGGCCGGGAGGAGGGAACCCCGGCTCGGGGTAAGCAATGAGGATAAGTGGTCTCTGCTCTCAGTCTCTGGCGAGTTCTCCCTGGGGTTAGAAAATCGTCCCCGCGCTCACCGGGGCGCCCCCGCCGCCGTGATGGTGGTGGTGGTGATGCGGCTGCGGGGTCTGAGTGGGGTGCAGCAGCGGCGCCGTGGCCTGCAGGTGTGAGGCGGATCCCGAGGTCTGGTGGTACCAGGGGTAGTTGCCCAGAAAAGCCGAGGCCGCGCTGCTCGGGCTGGAGCCCGAGCTGCCGGCGCCGCTGCCGCCACTGCCCGGACCACCGCCGCCCGCCATCCGCTGCGGCACACCAAAGTCCCAGGAGGCCGGCGCTGAGACTGGCGGCGAAGCACAAGGTGGAGAAGCGCTGGCCCCAGGGTGCTGCTCCGAGGGGATCTCACCACTTTTCCACATCTTCTTGAACTTGGACCGGCGGTTCTGGAACCAGATTTTGACCTTTGAGGAAAAAGACCTGAGCATTAGTGGAGGAACCTAGTCTTGGGGCAGTAGGGGTTCGAAGAGGAGAAAAAAGAAGGCAGAGAAAAACCGCTGGCTAGCGGTGGGCAGCGAGCGCCCTGGGGAGATAAGAGGATCACGGGCGGCGGCCTTCGAGGCTCTGCCGGTTCCTGCTCCCTGGGGAGGTAATTGCCAAAAGGCCAGGACTGCTGGTGTACGTGCACTGTGATGATGGTGACAGCGGGAGGGTGAGGAGGGCCAGTTATTTCACCCGCTTAATCAGTAGCGAGAGGTACGGGATTTCTGTCCACCCGGTCCCTTTCCTTCCCTCCCACGGCGGCCCCTTGGGGGTTTCCAGCTTTGGGCCTAGAAGCTTACTTAGGGCCGCTCGAGGCGCAGGCCTGGAAATCCTTAAAAGTACTTAAAATGAACTTTAAAAAGCATTGTCCTAAACCCGCCTGCTTCCCAGCCATCTCAGGCCCGCGCTCTCCTCGCCCCTGCAGGGCGCGAGCCCCACCTGAGTCTGGGTGAGGCCCAGAGAGGCCGCCAGCTCGGCTCGCTCCGGCAAGGCCAAGTATTGAGTCTTTTGGAAACGCCGCTGAAGAGCCGCCAGCTGGAAACTGGAGTAGATGGTGCGGGGTTTCCGGACTTTCTTTGGCTTCCCGTTCACTATCCGAATTTCAGGCTCAAGGTCCTCCTTCTCTGCAACGATAAAGAATCGTAAGAACAGCGCAACCCAGGGGTCCTGGAGTTCCCGCCCTCCTAGAGGGCCCGGCGGGGGGGACTTGGCTTGAGCAAAGAGGTGGGTGCACTGAACTGTGGCGCCACGGGCAGGCGCAACTTCGCAGCGTGCGATCGGAGCCGCCACCGACCCCGGGAGCTGTACCCTCCAGGGAAGGGGGAGACAAGTGCACACCCAAGAGAAAGAAGCTGGTGGCAAGGAGATGCCCTTATGAGGCAGGCAGAGCACGCCCACTTGGCTCTTGAGGCCACCAGGTCCTACCAAAGGAGAGAGGGACGTAACCGGCGACCTGCGGCAGATTGGAGGCTGGGGAGGGTAAAGGGCACAAGCGGGCGGTGAGCAGGCAGCGTGAAAATCCAGAGCTTTCGAAGGCCCCCCGCCCCAAACACGTTTACCCATCCATCCCATTAACTAGACCGACTCGGCACTCTTGACTTCAGCGTTATGCATACCAGGCTCGTTGTTGGCTGGGGACGAACTGGTTCCATAGGGAGCGTAGGAGGTGTAGGCGGCGGTGTAGCCCAGGTCATAGCTGCTCTTGGCGGAGTAAGGGACGTTGTTGAGGCCGCTGGCTTGGTACTGGTAGGAACCCATGTGCGCGTAGGGCGAGCCCCCGCCGCCGCCGCCGCCCGCCGGGTGCTGCTGGTTGGTGTAGTAGCTGCTGTCGGTGGCGGTGGACACCGGAAGGGTGGGCGACTCCTGGGGCTTGTGGAGGCTGCTGCTGCTGCTGCTGTTGCCACCCGGGCCGGCGCCGCCGCCGCTCGGGGGCTGCTGGTGCTGGTGGTACGTGCTGGAGGCGGCGATCTGGGTCGAGTGCATATCAGCCACTAGACTGTCAAAGACTCCAGTCATCCTGGCCCGAGACGGGAAAGAGCAGAGGTGGCGGGCGTGCGGGGGAAGCCAGGCGCCTCCTCTGTCTCTCCCGGTCCCCTCCAGCAGCCAATGTAATTACGGGGGTGGTGGTGGGGAAACAAGAAAGGAGGCAACCGTCTAGGCGCCTCCTCCTCCGGGGGAGGCGATCACCGTGCGCTGCTCGGGACAGCTGCCTCTGGTCGCATCCTCTTTCGGCCTCTGGGCCCGCTCGGCTCCTTGCCCAGCGCGAGCGCGGGCTCTGGCGGGGGGCGGGCAGTGGAGGGGGCAGGGGTGGCTGGGCCGGGTCGGGGCTCTGGGAGGCGGGAGCAGGTGAGCGGCCCCGAGCGGCTTTACGATTGTCTGCCAGGCGGGCTCCTGAAGTGTGGGCATTTAACACTCGTCACGTGAGCGCTGGCGACGTCACCTAGCAACAGCCAATCAGAAGCAAACGGCCGCGGAGCTCCGGGAACGCCCGGCCAAGGGGCGGGCGTCACATGGTGGGCGCTGTGGCTGCGGCTGCGGCTGCAGCGGCCCCAGGTGCAAACAGACTGCCGCCGAATGTGAGCAGCGAGGCGAGGGGTCGAGGTAGCGAGGAGTCAGGGTGGCCCGCAGCAGGAAGACAGAAGGCGTGGAGACAGACTGGCGTTTTGCCTCAGAGGAAGAAGTGGGGTCCCCTCTCCCATTCTGTGAGCAAGTGCCAGTTCCAGTGATTCGTACTTTCATGTCCGAGGTCAGTTTTCAAACACATTAAAGTACATCGGTGCCCAGAGTCCAGCCAGCTCTATCTTCACTTTTCCTCGAAGTGTCTGGCATTTATTCTTGTTAGCCACTCGGCACTTGACATAATCAATTGATTTAATTATCCACAAACCACGTGTAATGCTCGCTTCTTAACCAATCCGCAGGGATATTAGGACAATTAATCATATAATATTGAAACGGGTTTTCCTTGTTGCTTCAAAGAGAAGCTACATAAACTTAAAGGTATTATTGCTAATAGTATATTTGAAACCACTTTCCCTGGTACTTTCCCGACACGCGAGACTCTGAGTAATTATATACGTTTGATAAGTAAATGACACCCTGAAAGCCATCCCGAGGACTTCCTCCTTCGGGTGGAAAGGTTCACCAGTTGTCCTTGAAAATTCGATGCTCTTGCGAAAAAGGAAATAGGATAATAGGTGAGATTATAGATTTATCAAGTAGATACTAGATTTATCACTTCTCTGTAAATTTACAACAAATATAAAAAGTTTTATCTGGTTTGTTGAATTTAATCCTGTTTTACAGTTTTGCATTTTAGGACCCTGTTCTACCCTATCATTGCAATTTTTTTCTTTTCCCTCTGTTTTTTAAAAAATCGGAAATGGTGACTTCCTCTGTCTCTATAACCTTGTAGTTGGAAACCTTGGCCCGACGGTGATGGACTGCACGACTTGCTGGACTCCCAAGTCCGAAGTTCCTGCGGCAGCGCTTGCTTTGTGGCGCCACCTGGTGGGCAGTGTGCGAGGTTGCGGGGGGCGGGGTAGACGGTCTAATCACGCCCAGGCGCCAGCCTCTGAAACCCCCCAAAAGAACAAAATAGTAATTAAAAGCCACAAAATTGTGCTAGTGCGCACCATCTGAAGCACCCTTTCCTAAAGACATAACATGTCGCTGAAAGAACTTGTTAAAACAACTGTCTGATAGAAAACAAGTTGATACCTTCAAAAATATGATCTTTGGTCTTCTTCCCCATAAAAAGCAAGTGTGTAATTAAAACTCCAGCATTCACACAGAGAAATAATGAGATAGGTAATGCGCCTTTAAGTCTACCTGGATTTAGTTCCCAGCTTTTTTTTGGTTAAGGAAGGCCCCTAGATGGAAAGCGCCAGCTTATGAGAAACGTTGGAGGTGGAGCTCACCTCCACCCACCTGCATTGCTTTATGCGGTTCTCTGCCTACTTTGTGGGCCTCAGCTGCAAAACCAACCTCTTGATATTGAAACATGATTGCCTTTTGGTGTTTTTTTGTTTGTTTTTGTTTTTTTGAGACGGAGTCTCACTCTGTCACCCAGGCTGGAGTGCAGTGGCGCCATCTTGGCTCACTGCAACCTCCACCTCCTGGGTTCAAGCGATTCTCCTGCCTCAGCCTCGTAAGTAGCTGGGATTACAGGCGCGCGCCACCACTCCCGGCTAATTTTCGTATTTTTAGTAGAGATGGGGTTTCACCATGTTGGTCAGGCTGGTCTCGAATTCCTGACCTCGTGATCTGCCCGCCTTTTGGTGTTTTGACTTCAAATTCCAACTCTTTCTGTCACCACAGTGGTAGCTGCTTTGATCTAATGTAGAAAAAAAATTCCCTGAAAAAGACAATTTTAAAAATCCAACCGCCTGCTGGGCACGGTGGCTCACACCTGTAATCCCAGCACTTTGGGAGGCCAAGGCGGGCAAATCACCTGAGGTCAGGAGTTCGAGACCAGCCTGGCCAACATAATGAAACCCCATCTCTATTAAAAATACAAAAATTAGCCAGGTTTGCTGGTGGGAGCCCGTAATCCAAGCTACTTGGGAGGCCGAGGCAGGAGATTCACTTGAGCTGGCGAGGCAGAGGTTGCAGTGAGCCAAGATCATGACAAGATCATGCCATTGCACTGCAGCCTGGGTGACAGAGCGAGACTCTGACTCAAAAAAAAAAAAAAAAAAAAAAAATCCAACCACCATGTCTTCTTCTCTCTGTTCTTTGTTCCCACCCTAAATATGTTCTCCAGGCTTTTTCATGATGGCAAATTTGTTGTATTTTATTTATTCAGTAACTTCCATTAATTAGCAGCCCAAAGTCTAGATCAGCTGGGATCTGGAAAATGGTTTCTTTCTGGAAGGAAATGACTGGAGCCCCACTTTATCTGTAAAACAAAGGATTGTGTACATGGGGGAAAGAGGGGGCAAAGAAGAGACCAGAGGCAATGAGCAAGCGGGGAGAGTGTGAGGGAGGGGGAAAGGGAGACAGAACGCACAACTGCATTTGGAGAATCAAGTAGAGACTTGAGGTATCAGTTCTGATAATTTGAACACAAGTCTGGGTTTAGCCAAATTATCTGATTACTGCACCACAATGTCCAAACGATTTGCTTACTTTGGTCTGAAGTCAGGGAAGCAGTGGCATAGGGAATTGACAGTTTTGTCTACAGTCAGAGTGACGCCCGTCTCCTTAGTGATCTGAGAGGAGTGAAGGGGAGGCTTAAAACGAGTTTGGGAGAACACTGGTGCTTGAGGGCGGCCAGCTACCTCTTCTGCCCCAGGGCACTTTCTTTCCCCTTCTCTGTTTTCGGATTTCTCTGACTTCGGCATTCTTTTGCTCCGCAGGAACATAGAGAACGGTGGGGGTAAATAAGGGGAGCCTGAAGTTTCTGCTCTGTGCTTGCGTGTTCGAATCCCATCGCTGAGACTTTCTTCTGCTTTGGATCGCTTGTCCCAGGCTGACGCCGCGCTGCGACCTCTCCCCTCGTAGGAGCCTAACGCCAACCCCTGCGCCAGGCAGGGATGGAATCATCATTCTCATTGTATAGATGGACACTGAGGCTCGAGAACGGAAACGACTTCTTTTGAGTTGGGTGCCTCTCCCCCCTTGCCAGGCAGCCGCCTTTCTCTGTTGCCATAGCACAAATCACAAGGGTATTTATGGTAAGCCTTAGTTGAACAGCTCCAGGTCTCCAGAAGACGGCGAGCTGGAGAGGACAAGTCTGCGCTTTGCTCTCAGACCCTTGCCCCACCGCTAGCCTGGGGCAGGATTCCAGCCTTCGCCTAGCCGGGCGCTTTGCTCTGCCGGGCTATTGGGCGTCCTCCGCTGCACAGAAAGCCAGCCCAGTTGGGTATTACTGGGGAGAGGATGCCTCCTGTCGGCAGGGAGCTAGGGTGGGCGCCCGGGTGCCCTCAGTGCGTGGCGGGGCCAGGCCCATTTTCACTCTCCTTCCTCACTCGGGGGATGGGAGGGCTGCATGCGCTGCTGCTCCTACTCCTCACAGTCTCGTCGAGGGTCCCGGAGACGGGAGTTTCCGGGCCGCTGGTCCAAGAGGCAATGCCAGTTTCGGTACCTTTGTGTTTTCGTCCCCGAAGTAGTAGCTCTAGGAACCTGCGCTTTCGAATCCCTTTGGGGTTTGTCCTAAAACTCAAAGACGTTGGAAGAGGGCGGGGATTTGGTTATGAGAACCTCCCAGCTCAGCCTTTGCGACCAAACCCGCAGTGCTTTTGTTCTTACTTCATTGGCTAATTGCAGCTTCTTGGGACAACTCTGGCTGGGTCCTTTCGCATTGCTGGTCTCCTCAACCTGATTTTCCCTGCGACCCCTAAGGCAGCCTCGAGGGACTCCGGGAGCCATCAGCTCTCCGCAGCCCCTTGGGCCGGCAGGCAGACGCGACCCCTGACTCGGGATCTGCGTCCTGGGATTTCACATTTTTTCTTTTCCTGCATGGACCTGGCGAGAGGACACAATGGGATCACTCTTGGGGAGCTAAAACTCGGCCTGTGCAGGGAATGGGTGGGTCCTCTGGTCTCTGCTGCCACGGCTTCCCAGCTCAGAGGTTGTCTCGGGTTTCTACCATTTTAAAAATTATTATTATTATTATTATTATTTTGAGACGGTGTTTTGCTCTTGTTGCTCAGGCTGGAGTGCAATGGCGCGATCTCAGCTCACCGCAGCCTCGCAACTGAGGCGATTCTCCTGCCTCAGTCTCCCGAGTAGCTGGAATTACGGGCATGTGCCACCACGCCCTGCTATTTTTTTTTTTTTTTTTTTTTTTTTTTTTTGGTATTTTTAGTAGAGATGAGGTTTCTTCATATTGGTCAGGCTGGTCTCGAACTCCTGACCTCAGATGATCCTCCCGCCTTGGCCTCCCAAAGTGCTGAGATTACAGGCCTGAGCCACCGCGCCAGGCCTATTATTATTTTTTTAAGAGTCAGAGCTTCACTCTCTCACTCAGGTTGGAGTGCACTGGCTCGATCACAACTCACTGCAGCCTCGAATTCCTGGGCTCAAGGGATCCTCCTTCCTCAGCCTCCGGAGTAGCTGGGACCACAAGCATATGCCACCATGCCCAGATAATTTTTTTATTTTGTAGAGATGGGGTCTCACTATGTTGCTCAAGCTGGTCCCAAACTCCTGGGCTCAAGCGATCCTGCAACCTCGGCCTCCAAAAGTGCTGGGGCTGGGATTACAGGCGTGAGCCACCGCTCCCGGCCCGCATCTTTGGCTCCACACTCCCTCCTGGCTCCCGAGCTTGAGAGTCTCAGTCAGCCATTCCTCTTCCACCTGCCTCCAGGCACTGTCCTCCAGCAGCGTGCAGTCTAGTGCAGAGAACGATTGCCCGCGTGTATTTACTGAGCGCCCAGCGTTCTGCCAAGCCCTTTACCTCAGACATCTCACTGACTCCTGGGAATCGCCCTGTAGGGTGGGTACAATATCACCCACATTGAGGAAACCAAGGCCTAGAGCCAATCACATGGTTACCGACGCGCAGCAGAGTCCGACCTCGAACTCAGATCTGGGCCATGGAGGCAAGGCCGCTGTCGCTCTGGGCTGTTTCCGGCCAGGGGACGCGAGAGAAGGCGGCACCACACTTACTTCTCCCGGGCCTGGTGCTGCCAGCTCCGCGGAACAGATTGGAAGGGGCATTGGCCGTCCTGAGGGCGACCGCGCCCCTCTCTCCCCAAAGAGAGTCCTGGAAGGGGGGTTCCCCTGGGAGAGGAGGAGGCCCGCCCGGCTGCGCAGAGGGTAGCCCCGGGAAGATTCCTGAACAGACTCGAGCCTCTGCGGAGAGGGCGGGATGCGGGTGCCCCCTGGCTTGGCACGTGAAGCCAAGCTTGAGGACCTGATGTTTTGTTCCCGCTGGGATTCCGCCCCAAGTTATCTTTGCTCCCTGCTGGGGTGTAAGTAAACCCCAGGGGCTTGAACCGAAATCATCGGTTACTCGACGCTTCCAGCCGTGGCCTTTCCGCGGCGCTGGGCTTCTGGTGCTATCAGACCCAATTTCGCCTTTTGCCTTCCAGATCTAACAGACTCTAGTCAGGTCCATTTCACTTTATTGTCTGTTCAATGGTTAAAGCAAAGAGAGTGAGAGCTGGGGCCCTTGACCCAGGAGGGCGCCCTGTATGGGGCGAGGGGTCGCCCAGGCTCTGAGGCACACTGATCCGGTGGCCTAACTGTGGATCCCAGCGCACAGGCCCCATAGGCAGGCCACAGGTGGGTGAGCTTCCAAGGGCGAGAGAAACCCATTCCCCTTAGATGGTGAAAAGCTGCCACATTTTAGTGTCCAGGTCCTGAGAGCTGCAAATGCTGATGGAGTAAATTACTCCCTCTTCCTTTCCCCACCGCCCCTGCCCCCTCCAGGAACAAAAGCTCAGACCGCTGAGATGTTCACTCTGCACTTTCAGCAGCACTCACATTGAGATATGAGAAGACTGCAACAAGGTTTGTTCTTACGAAAGAAAACAATCTCAGAGAACACATGGACACAAGGAGGGGAACGGCACACACTGGGGCCTGTCAGGGGGCGGGGGTGGGGAGCAGGGTAGGGAAAAACAGCTAATGTATGCTGGGCTTAACACCTAGGTGATAGGTTGATAGGTGCAGCAAACCACCTTGGCACACCTTTACCTATGTAACAAACTTGCGCATCCTGCACATGTACCCCGGAACTTAAAATTTTTAAAAAAAGTAAAAAAAAAAAAATTTCCGAGGTTTCCCGCCCCTGAACTGAGGACCATTTGTGCCCGGCGTTCCGGGGGGACCGGGAGGGGGCTGTGCTTGGGGGGCGGCGGGGCGGGGGACTGGAAGCGAGGGGGTAAGTGTAGCAGGGAGGGGAACGTCGCCGGGGGGTCTTGGACCTCGGGTCTTCCGCGTGTCCGGTGTTGATTGGCTCCAGTTGTCAGGTTGAAACCACAACTCCTCCCCTAAGAGCTGCAGAGGTGAGCCCACGACGTGCCGGCCCTAGGTGTTCTCATCGTTGGGTTGTCAGTGCAGCATGCTTCTGGAACTTTCAGAGCCTCACAGGCCTTAGACCCTTTTCACTTTAGTGTCTATTCAGCGGTTAAAGCAAAACACACACACACACACACACACACACAGACACACACACACACACACCACCGCCACCACCATCACCACAACCAACAAACGGGAGAACTAGGAAGGAAAACTCTGGAACTTAGAAACTACCCTTGGACACAAAATTCCCTTCTCTTTCACAGAGTCTTTCTTTCCACTCTCTCATTTTAGAACAAAAGGGTTGTGCCACCTCCTTTGGATGTGAAGAGGATGTGCTGACACGTGTGCTCGGGAGCCAGACTTTGTGGCCTTGGGGAAAGGACTGAATATTTCTGTGCTTCGTCGTTTGCATCTGTGGAATGCAGGTGATACTGAGCTCTTCCTTGTGGGATTATTGCCTGGAAATACACCATTATAGGTTCATCGCCGCCAGGTTTACCGCGACACTCGGCGTTCTCGGGCCTCAGCGGAATGGGTTTTAAACCGCGGAGGGAGGCCCAGGCGGAGAGGGTGTAGGCCCACTTTTCTCACTCGTGTCTAAGCAGGCCTTGTCCTGGCGGCAGCCAAGGTGAAGGCAGACGCTGTTTCCGGGATCCAGTGGACCAGGCCAGGCCAGGGGATTTGGGCGTGGGCCTCCGAGGCGGCAGTGGGTGGTCCAGGGGCATTGTGAAGCCGTCAGGCACTGTGGATGGGGAAGTGCAGGGCCCGCCTGCAGCACTGAAGTTTGGAAAGGCCAAATACTGCTCCTAACCCGTGCGGCAAGGACTGCCCCATTCAGTAAGCGGGGCAAAGTCCCGCCTTGACAAGCCTCTCTGTAGTTTCCCTGTGTGCTACACCTGGGCTGCTTCTGCTCGCTTCTTTGAAAATGGAGAGGGGAGCAGAGGGAAGAACCTTGCAGGTTATTCACAGGGAACTGACCCTAGGCAGTCATGTCAGATTGTTTGCATGTACTTGTGCACGCGTTTTCAAATGCATAAAACCCTGTGCATGTTTCAAATGTGTAAACACGTAAGCATTTTTATTTGTATTTCTATTTCTTTTATTTATTTATTTATTTATTTATTTATTTATTTTCTTTTGAGACGGAGTTTCCCTCTTGTTGCCCAGGCTGGAGTGCAGTGGTGCATCTTGGCTCACTGCGACCTCTGCCTTCCAGGTTCAAGTGATTCCCCTGCCTCAGCCTCCCGAGTAGCTGGAATTGCAGGCGCGTGCCACCATGCCCAGCTAATTTTTGTAGTTTTAGTAGAGATAGGGTTTCACCACGTTGGCCAGGCTGGTCTCCAACTCCTGACCTCAAGTGATCCGCCCGCCTCGGCCTCCCAAAGTGCTGGGATTATAGGTGTGAGCCACTGCGACTGGCTAGCATTTTTATTTTTTAGAAATCTTGGCCGGGCGCGGTGGCTCACGCCTGTAATCCCAGCACTTTGGGAGGCCGAGGCGGGCGGATCACGAGGTCAGGAGATCGAGACCATCCTGGCTAACACGGTGAAACCCCGTCTCTACTAAAAATACAAAAAATTAGCCGGGCGAGGTGGCGGGCGCCTGTAGTCCCAGCTACTCGGGAGGCTGAGGCAGGAGAATGGCGTGAACCCCAGGGGGCGGAGCCTGCAGTGAGCCGAGATTGCGCCACTGCACTCCAGCCTGGGCGACAGCGAGACTCCGTCTCAAAAAAAAAAAAAAAAGAAATCTTTTCTTTCTATGTCAGTCGTTACAGAGCAATCATTTTCTTCTTAAGGTGAATGTGTGAGGAAGGTATCATCATTTATTTGACTATCTTCTTTGCCTTGTCATCTAGATGATTTCCGATATTTACAAACAACACATGAGTGAATGTCTTCTGGAGAGCTTTGCCCACATGTTCAATTATATTTGTAAACTAGAATCCTAGTAACTGAATTGTATGTCAACATTTTAATAGCTACCACTAAGCTCCCCTTAAAAAACAAGCAATTTAAGCTCTATACTCATTTCTGAGCACTCTCACCAAGAATATTAGGAATCTTCAGTGTTTTTTGAATATGATAGGCTTAAAATAGTGCCATATTTTAACTTGCAAAGGCTTTACATTAGTAGAGTGTGTGTCTTTTTTATTTTATTTTATTTTAGAGAGGGATGCTCTGCTATATTTTGTCCAGGCTGATCTTGAACTCCTGGGCTCAAGTGATCCTCCTGCCTCAGCCTCCAGAGTAGTTGGGACTACAGGCATGTGCCATCGCATGCTTGGCTTGTGTTTTTATATAGGCATTTTATTTTCTTCTGTGAATTGCCTATTTTTGTTCTCTGCCCATTTTTCTGTTTTTAAAAAATTGATTTACAGGAAATTATTACATATTTTGGAGATTAACTCATTATTGTGTTTATAGTCAATATTAATTCCAAGTTAATTGCTTCTCTTTTACTTTTGTTTATTCTCTTTTCTAGTTCAGAGATTTTAAGTTTTGTATGGTCAAATATGTGACTCTTTTTTTTTTATGGCTTCTGGGCCTTCAGGTCATGATTATAGATGCCAATACTTTTTTTTTTTTTTGAGACGGAGTCTCGCTCTGTCACCCAGGCTGGAGTGCAGTGGCGCGATCTCGGTTCACTGCAACCTCCGCCTCCTGGGTTCATGCCATTCTCCTGCCTCAGCCTCCCAAGTAGCTGGGACTACACGTGCCCGCCATCACACCCGGCTAATTTTTTGTATTTTTAGTAGAGACAGGGTTTTACCATGTTAGCCAGGATGGTCTCAATCTCCTGACCTCGTGATCTGCCCGCCTCGGCCTCCCAAAGTGCTGGGATTACAGGCGTGAGCCACCGCGCCCGGCCTATAGATGCCAATACTTTTAGATGTTAATACTTTTAGAGTTAATATATACAGTGGTTAAAAGTATGGGCTCTGGGCTTAAATCCTAACTTGGCTACTTGCTAACTGTGTAAATTAGGGAAAGTTATTTAACTTTTCTGTGCCTCTGTTTAATGTTTAATTGAACAAAACTTCACTTAGACTACTGAAGGATAGTTGTGGAATGGACCAAGTGTTGTCTCTCAAATCTGATTTTTGGGGAATGCAGCTAAACTACTCCCTAGCCCCCTTTGCACTTATGTGTAACCATGTCATTCAATCCAAGAGAATGGAACATAAGTGGAAGCCATGTGTGCCTCTCCCAGGACAGGACCTTTTAGGCAGAGTTGAGACTCCTCTCTGCTCTCTTTTTCCTTCCGCTGTCTGGAACCAGCTTCAACTATGAAGATGACATGGCCCTAGAGTCTCCTAGAGGCCCTAGGGGACTCACCGCCTAGGGGAATCTTCATCACTTGTTTGGAAGGTTATCTGACCAAGAAATAAACTTACATTTTAAGATACTGACTTTTGGGATTATATATATACACACACACATATATATACACACATATATATATGTACACACACATATATATATCTATACACAAACATATATATATGGCAGCTTATCTACTATAGCTAATACCATGACCTTGAAGTTAGGATGCAATGACTTTGTTAGGAAAAAATTACAGGAAAAAGTCCAGAACATCCTTTATCTGTGAAAACCAGATGAATGGGAAGCCAAGCACAGACCTGAAACCATTTGATTCCTAGGTGCATTCAGTCCATGAATAGAAAGAGGTTAGCATAGCTGGTTGTTATCCTTAGGAACATAAGTCTTTAATGATCATTAGTGGGGTTCTTTCACTTCTAAGCCCAAATCATATGCGTTTCCTTTTAAAGGTGATGGATTGCAGAAATTTTGTCACTGTGCCACATGGGACCCTCCCCTCCATGTCAGTGTCACTCTTGCCTTGGGCACATGCTTATTATGCTTAGGAGTTGTCATGGGGTGATAAGCCAACTTACTACTTTAGTCTTTTTTGGACGACAGTGCCTAGGATAATGGAATGAACAAGGCAAAGGCAGCACAAAGAGAAGAGGTGCTAATAATGAAATAACTTCAAATAGGAAAAAGAAAATTAAAAAAAAAAGGAAACTTCCCACTAAAAGGGCCCAAATGGCTTTCATTTGAGGAAAGTACGCAAACTTAAGTGAATGAACTTTGGGATGTCATTTTGGGCCATTTCAAGACATTGTTTTTGCCTATTTCCCAGTCCTCAGTTGTGTACTCCTTGCTGGTGTTACTACATAGCTAAGTTCTGAATTGATGATATGCTTTGGTTTCATTTAGAACTGAGCACAATTTATCACCACATTCCAGAAAAGATTGAATACTAAGGAGCCACACCAAGTCTTGTGTAAGACAGTGATGACACCCAGTGGTCATTTAGGGTCTTCATCTACATCGACCCAATTCATAGTAAAGCTAACAAATTGCACATATTAGTATACGAAAAGTGCTGTGTGTGTGACAGCCTGTGGGGGAAGGGGCAGCTAGACTTTACAGCTCTGACTGTTGTATCCTTGTAGTTTCATCTTGGGCATTTCTTTTTTTCTTTTTTCCTTTTTTTTTCTTTTTTTGAGACAGAGTCTTGCTCTGTCGCCCAGGCTGGAGTGCAGTGGCGTGATCTCAGCTCATTGCAAACTCCATCTCCCAGGTTCAAGTGATTCTCCTACCTCAGCCTCCCCAGTAGAGTAGCTGGGACTATAGTCCTGCACCACCACACCTGGCTAAATTTTTTATTTTTAGTACAGATGGGGTTTCGCCATGTTGGCCAGGCTGGCCTTGAACTCCTGATCTCAAGTGATCTGCCCACCTTGGCTTCCCAAAGTGCTCGGATTACAGGCGTGAGCCACCGCACCTGGCCTTGGACATTTCTTTTTTCTTTTCTTTCTTTTTTTTTTGTTTTTTTGAGATGGGGTCTTGCTCTGTTGCCCAGGCTAGAGTGCGGTGGTGTGATTTTGGATGACTGACTGCAACCTCTGCCTCCCAGTTTCAAGCAATTCTCCTGCCTCAGCCCCCTGAGTAGCTGGGATTACAGGAGAGCACCACCATGCCTGGCTAGTTTTTGTATTTTTAGTAGAGACAGGGTTTCTCCGTGTTGGCCAGGCTGGTCTAGAACTCCTGACCTCAGGTGATCCTCCCACTTCAGCCTCCCAAAGTGCTGGGAATACAGGCGTGAGCCACCGTGCCAGGCTGGGCATTTCTTACTATGCAATTACCTTCCCTGGTTGAACTCAGTAAAGGATTTCACTCTTATCTCTATTATACTTTTGATACTCTGTCATAATCCAAAGAATAGCTGCTGGAATCCTGAGATGTTTAAACAAGGTTTTACTTAAGTCTTGGGATAACAAAAGGGAAATAAACATCAAAAGTAACCTGGACCCAGATGGCCGAATACTGTAAACTCTGTTGGTATGAACCATGTATTTATTGTATGAAATAACCCCATCACATAGTGAGTGACTGAAGTGAAAAAATGACATATAAAAGACTTAAAGGGTAAATGAGAGTTAGCTAGGTAAATAGTTGAGAGAAAGGCATTATAGAAAGAAGAAATAGTATGTGCAAAGTTCTGAGTCTGAAAGGGACATTTGAAAACCTGGAAGAAGGTGAGCTGGGCCAGACCACAGTGGATGAGGAGAGTATGTACGGTGGGGCTGGCAAGGTAGGCAGGAAATATATCGTGTAGGACCTAATAGATTTTTGGCCCAAGAACAATGGAAAATTCAAAAGTTTAGAAAAATTTGGCCAGTCGCGGTGGCTCACACCTGCAATCCCAGCACTTTGGGAGGTGGAGCCGGGTGGATCATGAGGTCAGGAGTTCGAGACAAGCCAACATAGTAAAACCCTGTCTCTACTAAAAATAGAAAAATTAGCTGGGCATGGTGGGGCACGCCTGTAGTCCCAGCTACTTGGGAGGCTGAGGCAGGAGAATAGCTTGAACCTGGGAGGCAGAGGTTGTGGTAAGCTGAGATCGTGCCACTGCCCTCTAGCCTGGGCAACAGAGCGAGACTCCGTCTCAAAAAAAAAAATTAAAATTAAACTTTTAATTTTGAGATAATCATAGATTCACATGCAGTTGTAAGAGATGATAAAGAGTGATCCTTTGTACCCTTTCCACAGTTCCCCCAGTGATAGTGTGAAGTTATAGAGCAAATCAACAACTTTTTGTTTTTTTTTTTAAAGGAGATAGAGTCTTGCTATCTTGCCCAGGTTGGGCCACAATTCCCGGGCTCAAGTGATCCCCTTGACTCAGCCTCCCCAGTAGCTGGGACTGCAGAAATGTGCCACCGTGCTTGGCCTATAACAAGGATATTGACTAATCTATTCTCTATTCCTATAATTTATCATTTCAATAATGTTACATCAATGGAATCATATAGTATGAAAGCTTTTGAGATTGGCTTTTTTTTTCTCAGAGAACGTGATTTTCTGGAGATTTGTCCAGATTGTTGTATGTAACAATAATTTATTCTTTTTTATTGTTGAGTAGTATTCCATGATATTATATCCCACAGTTTGTTTAACCATTTGCCCATTGAAAGACATCTAGATTTTTCCAGATTTTGATTGTTCTGAATAAAGCTGCTATAAACACTTGTGTATATGTTTTGTGTCAACACAAGTCTTCATTTCTCTGGGATATAGGTTTAGCTTTAATGCTGAGTTTGAGGTATCTCTATCAGTTAGCTACTTCTGTGTCACAAGTTACCCCAAAACTCAGTAGCTTGAAACAATAAGCATTTCTTATTGTTTGTATGTCTAAGCTCGCTCATGTGTCTGTGGAGGGCTGACTGAATTGGACGCTGGCTTGTTTGGAATGGCCTCACTCTCATGGCTGGCAGTTGGTTGGCTGTCAGCTGAGGTGACAAGGGTCACTGGGCCATCTCATCAACTAGCAGGCTAATCTGCAGGTGGCCTGCAGTGGCGGGGACCTGAGCAAGAGAAGAATCGTAAGATGCCTTTTGAGATCCACGCTTGGAACTTGTACATTGTCACTTCCACTGTATTCTACTGACCAAAGCTAGCCATGAGGTCAGCCCAGATTCAAAAGGGGAATTGGACTTGGGGTGATCAACTCATCCTGGTTTGCTCACAATTTTGCTGGTTTCAGCACTCTAGTCCTATGTGCCAGGAAACCCCTCAGTCCTGGGCAAACTGGGATGGTCAGTCACCCTAAGCAGATGCCACCTCTTGGTGGAAAGAGCAGCAAAGTCACATGGCAAAGGGCATGGTTATAGGGAGAGATAAAGAATTGGGACATTTTTACAATCAATCCACTACAATGCCTATGAGATTTCCAGGCAGAAGTATCAAGTATCATTTAGCTCTTAGAAGACAGATCCATCTGGAGATAAATTTGGCTTATATGTAAGTGATTATCTAATATTTATTGAGCAATTAAATGACAGATACTAATGTAATAAATCACTAAGTTTTAATTCTCACAAATTATTAGGAAATATATATTATAGAAGTTTAAGATATTGTTTCTCAAGATAAAAAGAAAGCAAGATAAAAGGAAATTGATGGTTAGAAATAAAGATTAAAGAAACTACCAAATGCTGATATATGGCCCGCTAATGCAGCAATTTGGGGCTAATTAGCATAGGGAGACTATCCTGACACACCTTGATGAGGTTCTGATAGAGCCTGAAAATTGTTAATATTTAGAATAATGAGTCTTGACTAATTCAGGAAAGATTGGAGTGTGTTCAGCATTGCTCTGCCTGACATGAAAAGGATGTCACCACAGTTTAAATGGTTAAATGGCTTTCTATCACTTACAGCAGTGTTTCTCAAATTGGGGCCTGGAGATACCTGGGGCCACACTGTTTTTGCAATAATTATATTCCAGGTTTTTGCTTCAAAAACAAAAAATTAATATAAGTATGCCCTGGATCATTTGGATGACTATAACAGTTCTGTCATATGATTTTAGCATTCATATTTGTGTTAATAATAAAATTTGAGCCAGTAAATTCCACAGGATGTTATGGTGTGCAGTAAAAGATAAAGATGTGGCAAATCGCTCAGAGGAGAACTTTGCATAGCATAAGATACAATAGGCAGAGTGAACTCAAAACGATCTTCTAGTTGGTTAAAGCAGAAGATAGTTTCAGTTACTTGGGAGACTGAGGCAGGAGGATCCTTTGAGTCCAGGAGTTCGAGGCTATAGTAGCTATGATTGTGCTTTGTGCCACTGCATTCCAGCCTGGGCAACATAGCAAGATTCTATCTCTAGTATATATATATATATATATATATGTGTGTGTGTGTGTGTGTGTGTGTGTGTGTGTGTGATATATGAGACTATTCTATCTCTAGTATATATATGTGTGTGTGTGATATGAGACTATTCTATCTCTAGTATATATATATGTGTGTGTGTGATATATGAGACTACCTTCATATATATGTGTGTGTGTATATATATATATATATATACACCTCCTTATCCTTTATATAGTCCATACCTACTTGCCACATTTGACCATAATTATCTTTATTATATATAGCTCCTTTATATATAGGAGGTAGTCTCATATTCTCTTTGAACATTGATGCATTCGGTGGATTCTGTCTTTGTATAATTTACAGCAGTTTATTATTATTAAAGGCAGTAGCAAATGCTCAATAAAGAACTTGTTTCCCATTCTCAACAATAGGTTATTTTTGCTGGGTGCAGTGGCTCACGCCTGTAGTCCCAGCACTTTGGGAGGCCGAGTTGGGCGGATCACAAGGTCAGGAGTTTGAGACCAGCCTGACCAACATGGTGAAATCCCGTCTCTACTAAAAATACAAAAATTAGCCAGGTGTGGTGGTGTGCGCCTGTAATCCCAGCTACTCAGGAGGCTGAGGCAGGAGAATCGCTTGAACCCAGGAAGCAGAGGTTGTAGTGAGCTGGGATCGTGCCACTGCACTCCAGCCTGGGCGACAGAGTGAGACTCCGTCTCAATTAAAAAAAAAAAAAAAAAAAAAAACCAAAAAAATCCCAAAAAACACAATAGGTTATTTATTTATTTATTTATTTATTTATTTATTTATTTATTTATTTATTTTTGAGATGGGGTCTTACTCTGCCACCCAGGCTGGAGTGCAGTGGCACAATCTTGGCTCACTGCAACCTCCACCTCTAGGGCTCAAGTAATCCTCCTGCCTCAGCCTCCCAAGTAGCAGGTTATTTATTTTAGATTTCATTAATGATTAGTTATTAGTATTAAAAACACAATTTAAATCTGTTTAAGCAGAATATAGAATTTATTGTCTACGGGTTCATCTGGATTCAAACAAACCTGGGTCCAGTGACTGAGATGATGTCATCAGGATACAGACACTTTCTCTTTGGCTTTCTGCCACTATCTTTCCTCAAGTTTTCAGTAGCAGCTTCCTTACTTTCTTTTGAATTTGAATTTTCATTGGTAGTGTCTTCAATGTCCAGAATTCTACTTACAGTCTACTCAAAGCAATTTAGACACTTTCTAAATGCTTCTCCAAATCCTGGTAGCCTGTACCTACTTGCTACATTTGACTATAATTATCTTCTCACACTGTTCTTCCAATATATACATTCAATTCTATACATTTCCCTCTCAATCTGTGCCAAAGTATCTGGGGCACTGCAGCAAACTCACATGGGTAGCATGGGAAGTTTTCAAAATTCAAGGAAAACACAATGATACCATACAAACTAAAACTATGTAGCTTGAGGTAATTCATAGTTTCAACAGGAGATTGCAAAACAGTCTTTTTGATGACATATCTTTTTGGTATGTCATTGTATTAAGCACAACTATGTTAAAGGCAAGAAGCATGTGAAAATCAATGTGGCACAGGGAATAAGAGTGGTGGTATCCAATCTGGTTCCAAGGTTTGAGAAGTAGTACAGGGCTCAACAGGTACACAAATCCCATAATGATGCAATTCTGTTATTTAACTGTGATGAAATATGAATATCATCTATTCTTTCAACTCTGTGTATTCTTTTTTCAAATGGCTAGTAAGTTGCTAGGATTTAAATACTTATTAAGTTGTTTGGATATAACTACAGTCGTGTGCCACATAATGTTTTGGTCAACAATGGGCAACATACACAATTAATCTTGCGTTGTGTTCATTACAGCCCTTAGCATTCAAAAATTATGGCTAATGTTGTTAGTAAGAGCCACATTGAGTGATTGACCCAGAAAAAAAGATTAAAAGTGATTGGGCCGGGCGCAGTGGCTCACACCTGTAATCCCAAAACTTTGGGAGGCCGAGGTGGGCAGATCACAAGGTCAGGAGATCGAGACCATCCTGGCTAACACAGTGAAACCCTGTTTCTACTAAAAATACAAAAACGAAATTAGCCGGGCGTGGTGGTGGGCGCCTGTAGTCCCAGCTACTTGGGAGGCGGAGGCAAGAGAATGGCATGAACCCGGGAGCCGGGAGGCGAAGCTTGCAGTGAGCTGAGATCGCACCACTGCACTCCAGCCTGGGTGACAGAGCAAAACTCCATCTCAAAAAAAAAATATTAAAAGTGATTAAGAACTACAAAAGTAAAAAGTCAGTGATAATGTTTGTTTATCAGGCAGGCATGTCCCATTCCACCATAGCTATGATTTTGAAGAATAACTAAGTGATGGAAGCTGTTAAAGTATTTGCTTCCTTAAAGGCAATGGGATTAACACAAATTTGAGAAGGGTCTCTATCAGATATGGAGATACTTCTAATGACCTGGATTGAAGCCCCAAACAGAAGCACATCCCTCTCAGCACCATGACCAACACAGCCAAAGCAAAAAGTTTGTTTGCAATGATAAAAGAAAAGGCTGGACCTGACTACGATGTTGAATTTACTGTTTGCTCTGGGTGGTTTAAACAATTCCAGAATTGTTATCCATTACATAATGTGAAAGTGAGTGGCGAGTCTGTGAGTGCTGATGTGAAGGCAGCTGAAGAATTTTTGGAGACTTTAGAAAAGTTGACTGTGGAGGAAAATACTTGCCAGGGCAAACTTTCATTATAGATAGAACTCTTTTGGAAATGGATGCCTAAAAGGACTTTCATCCACAAGGAAGAAGGTCAAGGTAATGCCAGGTTTCAAGGCTTTTGAGCTCAGGATAACAGTCTTGCATGGAGACAATGTTGCAGGCTACAAATTGAAACCCTTTATGATCTGGCACAGTGAGAGCCCCAGGACCTTCAAGAATATAAATAAGCTCACACAGGCCAGTGTACTGCATTACTTAATAGTCATGAATCCTCTTCCAGGATTCTCTCTGGAATTACTATGCCAGCAGAATGGAGAAGTACTGTTTGGAGGATAATGAACTTTCCAAGATTCTGCTTATGGTTTTTTATTTTTATTTTTTTGAGACAAGGTCTTGTTCCGTCACCCATGCTGGAGTGCAGCAGTGTGATCTTGGCTCACTGCAACCTCCACCTCCTGGGCTCAAGCAGTTTTCCCACCCCAGCCTCCTGGGTAGCTGGAATAACAGGTGCAAGCCACCACACCCGACTAATTTTTGTGTGTGTGTGGTTTTTTTTTTTTTTTTTTTTTTTTGGTAGAGACAGAGTCTCACCATGTTGGCTGGGCTGGTCTTGAACTCCTGGGCTCAAGTGATCTGCCTGTCTCAGCCTCCCAAAGTGCTAGGATTACAGGTGTGAGCTATCGCTTATTGCTGTTAATGCTCCTGCACATTCTCCTTTTATTGGCGCTCTTCATCCCAACATCAAGGTGTTTCTCCCTCCAAATACCACCTCTTTGATCCAATGGATCAAGGAGTTACAGCAGGTGTTTTTTTTGTTTTTTTTTTTTTTTTTGAGACGGAGTCTCACTCTGTCGCCCAGGCTGGAGTGCAGTGGCGCAATCTTGACTCACTGCAACCTCCGCCCCCTCGGTTCAAGCGATTCTCCTGCCTCAGCCTGTTGAGTAGCTGGGATTACAGGTGTGTGCCACCACGCCCAGCTAATTTTTGTATTTTTAGTAGAGACAGGGTTTCACCATATTGGCCAGGCTGGTCTTGTACTCCTGACCTCGTGATCTGCCCACCTTGGCCTCCCAAAGTGCTGGGATTACAGTGGTGAGCCACTGTGCCTGGCCAGTTACAGCAGCCTTTAAAACTCACTACCTGAGGAGGACCTTCTTTCAGGCTATTTCTGCAACTGAAGAAGACACTGAGAAAACACTGATGCAAATCTGGGAGGATTACAACATCTATGACTGCATTAAGAAGAATCTTGCTTGGGCTTGGGGTGATGTCACCAAGGAGTGTATGGATGGCATCTGGAAGAAGAGACTCAAGAGGTTTGTCCATGACTTTAAAGTATTTGCCAAGGATGGGGAGGCTGCAAAATCAGCAAAGCTGTGGTTAAGATGGCAAACAACTTTAACCTGGGCGTGAATGAGGATGACAACATTGAGGAGCTCCTAGAGGTGGTTCCTGAGGAATTGACTAATGAAGAGTTGTTTGAAATGGAATAAGAATGTGTAGCTGAAGAAGAGGCAAGAGAAAAGGAAACTGTAAGAGATATAAAACAAGAACCACCAAGAAAATTCACAGTGAAGGGTTTATCAGAAGCTTTTGCAGACCTCAAAAAGCTCCTTAAAAAGTTTGAAAACAGGCTGGGTGCGGTGGTTCACGCCTATAATCCCAGCACTTTGGGAGGCTGAGGCGGGTGGATCACTTGAGGTCAGGAGTTTGAGACCAGCCTGGCCAACATGGTGAAACCCCATCTCTACTAAAAATACAAAAATTAGTTGGAAGTGGTGGCAGGTGCCTGTAATCTCAGCTACTCAGGAGGCTGAGGCAGGAGAATCCCTTGAGCCCAGGAGGAGGAGGTTGCAGTGAGCCCAGATCACACCACTGCACTCCAGCCTGGGGGACAAGAGTGAGACTCCATCTCAAAAAAAAAAAAAAAAAAAAGTTTGAAAACATAGACCCTAACAGGGAAAGGTTTTCATTAAGAGAGAGGAATGTCCATGGCGCATTACCTGGTTACAAGCAAATCTACAATTAAAAAATAAAAAAAGAAAGAAATCAAGCAAACCACCTTGAACATATTTCTAAAAAGAGTGACACCACCCCATTAAGAGCCTCAGGCAGGTCCTTCAGGAAGCATTTCAGAAGAAGGCATTGTTATCATAGGAAATGACAGATCAGTGCATGTAATTGATCCTGAAGACCTTCCAGTGGGACAAGATGTAGAGGTGGAAGACAGTGATATTAATGATCCTGACCCTCTATAGGGCTAGACTGATATGTGTGTTTTTATCTTAGTTTGTAACAAAAGTTTTAAAAGTAAAAAAAATAGTAAAAAATTTTAAAAATAGAAAAAAGCAGGCCGGGTGCCATGGCTCATGCCTGTAATCCCAGCAATTTGGGTGGCCGAGGTGGGCAGATGACTTGAAGTCAGGAGTTCAAGACCAGCCTTGCCAACATGGTGAAACCCTGTCTCTACTAGAAATACAAGAATTAGCACTGGAAATCGCTTGAACCCAGGAGCGAAAGGCTACAGTGAGCCGAGATCATGCCATTGTACTCCACTCCAGCCTGGGTTGAGAGCGAGACTCCATCTCAAAAAAAAAAAAAAAAAAAACACCTTATAGAATAAGGATATAAAGAAAATATTTTTGTACAGCTATACAATGTATGTTTTAAGATAAGTATTATCACAAAAGAGTCAAAAAGTTAAAGAAAACTTTAAAAGTTTATAAAGTAAAAAAGTAGTAGTAGGGTGGGTGCAGTGGCTCATGCCTGTAATCCCAGCACTTTGGGAGGCCAAGGCGGGTAGATCACTTGAGGCCAGGAGCTCGAGACCAGTCTGGCCAACATGGCAAAACCCTATCTCTACTAAAAATACAAAAATTAGCAGGATATGGTGGCAGGTGCCTGTAGTCTCACCTACTCAGGGGGCTGAGGAATTAGAATTGCTTGAACCTGGGAGGTGGAGGTTGCAGTAAGCTGAGATTGTACCACTGCACTCCAGCCTGGGTGACAGAGTGAGACTCTGTCTCAAAAAAAAAAAAAAAAAAAAAAGAAAGAAAAACGCAACAGTAAGCGAAGGTTAATTTATTATTGAAGAAAAAATTTTAAATATATTTAGTGTAGCCGAAGTGTCTACCATAGTGTACAGTAATGTCCTAGGCCTTCACATTCACTGACTGACACCCTGAGCAACTTTCAAGTCCTGCAAGCTTCATTCATGGTAAGTGGTCTATACAGGTATACCATTTTAAATTTTATATGCCATATTTTTACCATGTCTTTTCTTTTTTTCATTATACTTTAAGTTCTAGGGTACATGGGCACAATGTGCAGGTTTGATACATAGGTATATATGTGCCATGTTGGTTTGCTGCACCCATTAACTCATCACTTATCTTAGGTATTTCTCCTAATGCTATCCCTCCCCCGGCCCCCCTCCCCAGCAGGCCCCGGTGTGTGATGTTCCCCACCTTGTGTCCAAGTGATCTCATTGTTCAATTCCCACCTATGAGTGAGAACATGTGGTGTTTGGTTTTCTGTCCTTGTGATAATTTGCTGAGGATGATGGTTTCCAGCTTCATCCATGTCCTTGCAAAGGACATGAACTCATCTTTTTTATGACTGCATAGTATTCCGTGGTGTATATGTGCCACATTTGCTTAATCCAGTCTATCACTGATGGACATTTGGGTTGGTTCCAAGTCTGCTATTGTGAATAGTGCCACAATAAACATACGTGTTCATATGTCTTTATAGTAGCATGATTTATAATCCTGCGGGTATATACCCAGTAATGGGATTGCTGGGTAATCTAGTTCTAGATCCTTGAGGAATCGCCACACTGTCTTCCACAATGGTTGAACTAATTTACACTCCCACCAACAGTGTAAAAGCATTCCTATTTCTTCACATCCTCTCCAGCATCTGTTGTTTCTTGACTTTTTAATGATTGCCATTCTAACTGGCATGAGATGCTATCTCATTGTGGTTTTGATTTGCATTTCTCTGATGATCAGGGATGATGAGCATTTTTTCATGTGTCTGTTGGCTGCATAGATGTCTACTTTTGAGAATTGTCTGTTCATATCCTTTGCCCACTTTTTGATGGGGTTGTTTTTTTCTTGTAAATTTGTTTAAGTTCTTTGTAGATTCTGGATATTAGCCCTTTGTCAGATGGGTAGATTGCAAAAATTTTCTCCCATTCTGCAGGTTGCCTGTTCACTCTGATGGTAGTTTCTTTTGCTGTGCAGAAGCTCTTTAGTTTAATTAGATCCCGTTTGTCTATTTTTTACTGTATCTTTTCTATGGTTTTGTTGTTGTTGTTGTTGTTTTGTTTTTTTGTTTGTTTTTGAGATGAAGTCTCACTCTTGTCCCCCAGGCTGGAGTGCGCTGGTGCGATCTTGGCTCACTGCAACCTCTGCCTCCTGGGTTCAAGTGATTCTCCTGCCTTAGCCTCCTGAGTAGCTGGGATTACAGGCGCCTGCCACCATGGTCAGCTAATTTTTGTATTTTTAGTAGAGACGGGGTTTCACCATGTTGGCCAGGCTGGTCTCAAACTCCTGACCTCAGGTGATCTGCCTGACTTGGCCTCCCAAAGTGCTGGGATTACAGGCATGAGCCACCGCACCCGGCCTCTATATTTAGATATATTTGGATACGCAAATACATACCATTGTGTTCTCATTGCCTATAGTATTCAGTACAGTAACATGCTATACAGGTTTGTAGCCCAGAAGCAATAGGCCCTATTATATAGCCTAGGTGTGTAGCAGACTATACCACCTAGGTTTGTGTAAGTACACTCTATCATGTTTGCACAATGATGAAATCGCCTAATGATGCCTTTCTCAGAATGTATTCTCTTCATTAAGCAACATATGACTGTACTTAATAAATGTAACTCTTATGTGGTCTTTTTTTGGGCCAGGGGAACTGTAAAAACTTACTGAGACAATGAAGGAAGGCATTGTGAACCAAGAAATTTGGGGAACCTCTGGCCTAATCACTGCTTATCTGTATTCCATATATTCGATATGTTGTATTTTAATTATCGTTCACTTTGAAATGTTTAAAATTTTCCTTGTGATTTATTCTTTGACCTATTGTTATTTAGAAGTATGTTATTGGCCAGGTACGGTGGCTCACACCTGTAATCCCAGCACTTTGGGAGGCCGAGGCAGGTGGATCACCTGAGGTCGGGAGTTCGAGACCAGCCTGGACAACATAATGAAACTCTGTCTCTACTAAAAATATAAAAATTAGCTGCGCGTGGTAGCAGGTGCCTGTAATCCCAGCTACTTGGGAAGCTGAGGCAGGAGAATTGCTTGAACCCAGGAGGCGAAGGTTGCAGTGAGCTGAGATGGCACCATTGCATTCCAGCCTGGGCAATAAGAGTGAAACTCCATCTCAAAAAAAAAAAAAAGAAAAGAAAAGAAAATTTCTATGTCTTTGCTATTTTTTTGGATTGTTCTATCAATTACTGAGAAAAAGATATTAAAATCTTCAATGATGTTTATAGATTTGTTAGTTTTTTCATTTAATTCTATCGGTTTTTCTTTATGTATCTTGGAGTTCTGTTTTTAAGTACATACACGTCTTCCTGATGAATTAAATCTTTAATCACTGTGTAATGTCCCACTGTATCTCTGGCATACTCTGTCTTGAAGACTATATGATCATAAGATAGCCAGTCCAGCTTTTTCATGCTTATTGTTTGCAGGGTATATCTTTTTACATCTTTTTCTTTTGATCTATCTGTCTTTATATTGAAAGGTCAAATTAGTGAGGGTCTAATCAACAGACAAAAATGATACAGCAATTTGAAGTGGGAATGCTTAATATAAAGAATTATTAAATAAAACGCGATTGAAATAATGAGAGATTGGCTAGTAGTAAAGAAAACTCTAAAGAATATAGAAATAGCAGATATAAGGAGCAGCCACTGTCCTTAAGGCTGAGATAGGTTGCCCAGAGAAGAATGCCCTTCCTCTCTACTACTACCTCGCATGCCCTTCTTGCCAAGCTGAGAGCTAGACCTTGTTGAAGAGGGTGGCTCATTGAATGGCAGAGAAGCCAATGTGATGCCACATTAACAGAACTTAATGTGGCCAGGCATGGTAGCTCATGCCTGTAATCCCAACACTTTGGGAAGCCAAGGTGGGTGGATCACCTGAGCAGGAGTTCGAGACCAGCCTGGCCAACATGGTGAAAACCCATCTCTACTAAACATAGAAAAGTCAGCTGGGCATGATGGTGGGCACCTGTAATCCAGCTACTTGGGAGGTTAAGGCAGCAGAATCGTTTGAACCTGGGAGGCAGATGTTGCAGTGAGCCAAGATCACGCCACTGCACTCCATCCCGGGCGACAGAGCGAGACTCTGTTTCTAAAGAATAAATAAATAAATAAATGAACAATAAGAAAAACCCCAGAACTTGCTGGAAATCCACCCTCCAAAACTTGCCAGATACTTACTTTCTTTTCCTTTTTTTTTTTTTTTTTTCAGACGGACTCTCGCTCTGTCGCCCAGGCTGGAGTGCCGTGGCTCGATCTCGGCTCACTCCAAGCTCTGCCTCCCAGGTTCACGCCATTCTCCTGTCTCAGCTTCCTGAGTAGCTGGGACTACAGGCGCCCGCCACCACGGCCGGCTAATTTTTTGTATTTTTAGTAGAGACGGGGTTTCACCATGTTAGCCAGGATGGTCTAATCCGCCCGCCTCGGCCTCCCAAAGTGCTGGGGATTACAGGTGTGAGCCACCGCGCCCGGCCCATCCAGACACTTATTTTCTAGGGTACCAATGAAAGTCGTTAATGCGGAGTGAGTTTTGCTAGAGGTTTTTTCTGCTATGAAACTGCCTGAGAGGGTATGCAGAAGTTGCTGCCTTCTGTTTACTTCTGACTACTGTGAACTTCAGGAGCTGGGCACTATAGAAGCTGAAAGTGCCTCAGGTTATCTGCTGAGAGAGCACTACAAAACCAGGAAAGAAAATCCTTTCTTCCTGCAGTGTTTCTCTAGTGCCCTCTACTGACAAAACTTGGTATTTTGCTAGATGGCAAAGGGAAAATATCTAAAGAACCTAGCTCCATTTTTACAGGACCTGCAATGAAAGGTGAATTTGGGGCTGAGAGGCAATAAATTGGTAACTGGCACAAGTATGTCTCTTGTAGAAAGCATATAGTTGGGTCTTGTTTTTTTCATTTAGTTTGATAACCTCTGCCAAATTTTGTCCATTTAGATTTAATATAAATATCAATAGATTTGGACTTATGTCTATTTGTTTTCTGTTTGTTTCATTGGTTTGTTTTTGTTCCTCTGTTTTTCCTTTGCTGTTTTCTCTAGAGTCAGTTGGGTATTTTCTTAAAATTACATTTTTAAAATTTATTTACTTATTTTTGGAGACATTGTCTCACTCTATCACTCAGGCTGGAGTACCTTGGTGTGATAATAGCTCACTGCATCTTCAAACTCCTGGGCTCAAGGAATCCTCTTGTCTCAGCCTTCTGAGTAGCTAGGACTATAGGTGCATGCCACCATGCCTGGCTGGTTTTTTTTTTTTTTTTTTTTTTTTTTTTTTTTTTTGTAGAGATGGAGGTCTTGCTATGTTGCCCTAGCTGGTATGAACTCCTGGACCCAAGAAATCCTCTCACCTTGGCTTTTCAGTGTGTTAGAATTGCAGCTGTGAGCCACTGTGCCTGGTCCCATTTTATTTTTCGATATTGGCTTTTCTGTTATTCTTTGCACCTTTTTTTTTTTGGAGACGGACTCTCGCTCTGTCGCCCAGGCTGGAGTGCAGTGGCGCAATCTCGGCTTACTGCAAGCTCTGCCTCCTGGATTCACGCCATTCTTCTGCCTCAGCCTCCCGAGTAGCTGGGACTACAGGCACCCGCCACCACTCCTGGCTAATTTTTTTGTATTTTTAGTAGAGACGGGGTTTCACTGTGTTAGCCAGGATGGTCTCGATCTCCTGACCTTGTGATCCACCTGCCTCGGCCTCCCAAAGTGCTGGGATTACAGGCTTGAGCCACTGTGCCCGGCCCTATTCTTTGCATTTTTATTTTGAATAGTTGCTCTAGGGATTATAATATATGTCCTTAACTTTTTATAGTCTACCTGGAATTATGATACCAGTTCATATTACATATAAAAATTTTGCAACCATACAGTTTTATTTACCCCCAATCCTTTATGCCAGGGGTTGGCAAACTCTTACTGGTGAGTCAAATCTTGGCTGTATCTGCTTTTATTTTATTGCAACATAACTACACACATTCACTTATGTATTGTTTATGGCTACTTTCATGCCATGTGATGGTATAGTTGAATAGTTGTAACAGAGACCACATGGTTTACAGAGCCTAAAATATTTCCTGTCTTACTATTTACAGAAAAAGTTTGTTGACTCCTGCTTTATGCTATAGTTGTCACATGTATTATGTATGAGAATGCTGTAGCTACCACAATACTTCGTTACAATTTTGCCTTAAATAGTCATATGTATTTAAATAAAGAGAAAGAAAAGAAAAGATAATCTTTTATATTTGCCTACATATTTATTATTTCTGGTGGTCTTTTTTTTTTTTTTTTTTTTGAGATGGACTCTCATTCTGTCATCCAGGTTGAATGAAGTGTGGTGGTGTGATCATAGCTCACTGCAGCCTTGAACTCCTGGGCACAAGTGATCCTCCAAACTCAGCCTCCCAAGTGGTGGGTACCACAGGCATGCACCACCATGTCCAGCTAATTAAAAAAATTTTTTGTAGGATATGTTGTTGCTTTGTTGCCCAGTCTGGTCTTGAACTCCTAGGCTCAAGCGATCCTCCTGCCCTGGCTTCCCAAAGTGCTGGGATTACAGGTGTTAGCAACCATACCTGGCCATCTGGTAGTCTTTATTTCTCCCTGAAGAGCTGAGTTTCCATCTGGTTTCATTTTCTTCCAGCCTAAGCTTTTTCCTTTAGCATTTATTGTAGCATAGGTCTGCTGTGATGCATTCTTTTAGTTGTCATTTATCTGAAAATGGCTTTATTTTGCTTTCATTCTTAAAATATATTTTTACTCAATATAGAATTTTGGGTTGACAGTTTTTTTTAAAAAAAGATTTAAATATTACACCACTGTCTCTGGCTTCCATTGTTTTAGATGAGAAGTTGTCTATTAAAACTATCATTGTTCTCCTGTAGTAATGAGTCATTTTTCCTTGGTTGCTTTAAAGATTCTTCTCTTTATCTTTGGTTTTCAGCAGTGATATACCTAGATGTGGTTTTTATTTCTCCTGCTTGAATTTGCTGAGCTTCTTGAAACTGTAAATTTATGTTGTTCACTAGATTAGGGAAGTTTTTGGCCATCATTCCTGGACAGTTTTTTTTTTAGCTCTCTTTTCTCTTTTTGGTCATTCTGGGGTTCCAATTATATGTAGGGTAGATTGCTTGATATTGTCCTATAGGTCTCTGAGCCTTTTGTTTTCAATCTTTTTGTCTCCCTGTTTTTCAAACTAGGTAATTTCTAGTTTACTGACTCTTTCTTCTGCCATCTCAGTCTGCCCATTCAGTGGGGTTTTTATTTCGTATGTGTACTTTTTATTTATATTTTCTTTTCTTTTTTCTTTTTTTTGAGATGGAGTTTCACTCTTGTTGCTCAGGCTGGAGTGCAATGGCATGATCTCAGCTCACCACAGCCTCTGCCTCCTGAGTTCAAGCAGTTCTCCTGCCTCAGCCTCCTGAGTAGCTGGGATTATAGGCATGCACCACCATGCCCTGCTAATATTTGTATTTTTAGTAGAGATGGAGTTTCTCCATGTTGGTCAGGCTGATCTTGAACCCCTGACCTCAGGTGACCCACTTGCCTCAGCCTCCCAAAGTGCTGGGATTACAGGTATGAGCCACTGTGCCTGGCCCCCCTTTTTTTTTTTGACGGGATCTCACTCTGTCACCCATGCTGGAAGGCAATGGCGTGATCACAGCTGATTGCAGCCTCGATCTCTGGGGCTCAACTGATCCACCCACCTCAGCCTCCCTAGTAGCTGGAACTACCGGCATGTGCTACCATGCCCAGCTAATTTTTGTAGAGATGAGGTCTCACTATGTTGACCAAGCTGGCTTTGAACGCCTGGCCTCCAGCAATCCTCCTACCTTGGCCTCTCAAAGTGCTGGAATTATAGGCATGAGGCACCATGCTTGGCCTGTAATTTTAAGTTCTAGGATTTCCATGTGATTCCTTCCATTTCTTTGCTTAGCTTTTCTTCCTTTCTTTCTTTCTTTTCTTCTTCTTCTTTTCTTTTTTTTTTTTTTTTTAGAGAGGGTATCTTGCTCTGTCACCCAAGCTGGAATGCAGTGCTATATTCACAGCTCACCGTAGCCTCAGATTCCTCGGCTCAAGCAATTCTCCTGCCTCAGCCTTCCAAGTAGCTGAGACTACAGGCTTATGCCACCATGCCTGGCTAATTAAAATTTTTTTTGTAGATACAGGGTCTCACTATGTTGCCAGGCTGATCTTGAACTCCTGGCCTCAGGTGATCCTCCTTCTTTGGCCTCCTAAAGTGCTGGGATTACACGTGTCAGCCACCACTCCCAACCTTAAATTTTTAATCTGCTTATTACATGCATATTTTCCTTTATATCTTTTAATATTAGTTATAATAATTTCTTTAAAATCCTTGTCTGCTAATTCCAACATCTGGGTCATCTTACTGTTAGTCTTTCTTGATTGCAACTCACTACTGGGTTGTGAAATAAAATTAAAGGGTTGTGGTCAGCATTACAAGAGAAAATGGATGAAAAATAGAAGTGTGAAAAGTGAAGATGTTATTTTATGGAAAATTTATTTATGTATGTATATATAAACATGCATATTCTTTGTCACTGTGTAAAGTGTATTTCTTATTGTGGTTATGGTAAAAAAAATTTGAAAGCCACCAGTAGAAGACAAATGTGGAGTGGAATCTGTTTTAGAAGAAATACTTCAAATTCTTAGAGCTAGAGTTTTCCTAAGGGAAACAAATGTGTTTATGGTCTAGTGGACACTTTCATTTCAAAGGAGTAAAAGCACAGGATAGAAGCACTTGCTTGCCATTTGTCAATGCTTGGCTCTCTGCATAAGAACATCCAGGAATTTTATTAAAATATTTAAGGCTGGGCACGGTGGCACATGCCTGTAATCTCAACACTTTGGGAGGACAAGGCAGGCAGATGGCTTGAGCAGGGGCATTTATGACCAGCCTGGGTAATATGGCAAAAGCCTGTCTCTACAAAAAATACAGAAATTAGCTGGGTGTGGTGGCAGGCGCCTGTAGTCCCAGCTACTCGGGAGGCTGAGAGGTGGGAAGAACCCTTGAGTCCAGGAGGCTGAGGCTGCAGTGAGCTGAGATCACACTCCAGCCTACGTGACAGAGTGAGACTCTCTCAAACAAAACAAAACAAAACAAAACAAAACAAACATTCAAATAGTTCCTCCTGGACCAGGCTCAGAGGTCCCAAGAGCAGAGCAGGAGTAATCTGCATTTAAAAAGTTCCCCTAGGTGGTCCTTATGCAAAGGAAAGTTTGAGAACAGAGGCTTACACTACAGATTAGCATCTGAGAAAGAAGTGATAATAATGGCTACTATTCATTGAGCTTTGACTTGGATAACTGAAGCCAGAGAGGTTAAATAATCTACTTGAGGTCACATAGCTTGGAGGTAATTGGTCTGAGACTCTAACTAGGATTATCTACCTCTAAAGCCCTAATTCTGAACCACTGAATGGAGCTGAGTCTAAGACGCCAAGTCTGCAGTGAGGCAGGGAAATCACTGGCACCAGCAATGGCTTGACTGGGCTCCACTCTGTCAGCTGTGTCACCTCAGGCAGATTTTACAAGTTCTCTGGGCTTTGATTCTCTTCTCTGTAAAATGAGGGTCTAATGACTCTACTGGCTCGGGCTTGTGAGGAGTTTGGGCTGTTGCACATGTTGGGTGAGTGCTATTGGTCCTTGCATTCTGCACTTTTATCACACTCTGCCCTTTTCTCAAACTAGAGCAGTAATGAAAGGAGTGTTGGGGGACACCATAGGCCCTGTTACAGCCAGACTTGCGGGGAGGACCTTAAGGGCTAGGAGGAGTGGAGGCCAACCTTGAGAATACAGGCCAGGCTCCTGGGGTTGGTTGGTAAAAGCAGGAGAATGCAAAGGGCTTGTTTGGGCCTGGGCAGAGTTTCTGGGCTGAGTTGCCCAGGGCCTTTGTGAAGTTTCCCTGTGCCTGTGATCTTCATGAGGTCAGGGCAGTCTGCTCTCCACTTGGTTAAAGTATATTTCCAAAGCCGAGGGACTTCATTTCCTTAGTGGGATGTTTTCAGGATTTGTATTTTCAAGTGAAAAGTGTCGTAGAAGGAGGGCAAAGAATCATTTGATTACTTAATTTTCATGTTTACATAGCATTTGTTTGAAAGTAGTAAGAATCTAAATTCCAAATGCAGTTACAAAATCAGCCTCCACTTAAACTGGTAAGTGTATTTTAATGAAGTGTAATTTAAAAGCACAAATTTGCATATTGAAATTTGCCTGAGCCAACTTTTAGAGTATGATCTTCAGAGTACTGGTTTCTAGTATCCTGAGGATATGAAATTCTTTTGAATTGCTTTTCATGGCCTGGAAATGAGCTTACTTGGTATAATAAGGCTTAGCAAAATGGGGACAACCTAAATCAAACCTTCGTTATGATACAGTGCTCCTCAAGTCATTCTCAGAATGGTCTTGTGAAACTTTGGAACCCAAATGTCACCATTTTGGAATAGTAAACATATTTGTTCAACAGCTAATCTGTATTTAAATCAACTGGCAGAAGAACCTTAAAATAACATATGAGAATTTGTCAAATCAGGAATAGATGACTTTCTACTAATACATTCATGCAAAAATCAAACTTTCTACTAATACATTCATGCAAAAATCAAGCTGTATTAATACACTTATCATAAGTCCAGCAATTTCAGGACTTCTATAGTCACATAAAGCTGAAGCTGATTTGTTTATTTTAAACCTTTATTAATCGTAAAAGATAGCACACAGACAAATGCGCATGAAACACACATTTAAAGCATGACGAATAATTATAGAAGAAATATAATTACAAAAAACCATGAAAACACTGCACAGGTTAAGAAACAGAATATTGCTGTCTTTCCCAGAATCTTTTTCCGTGTGTCTCATCCTGATCACCTCCTTCTCAACCTCCCCCTCGTCCCAGGTAACTATTATCCTGATTTTTATGGTAACCATTTCCTTGCTCTTCTGTTTCTTTTTTTTGAGATGGAGTCTCCCTCTGTCCCCCAGGCTGGAGTGCAGTGGCGCGATCTCGGCTCACTGCAACCTCTGTCTCCCAGTTTCAAGTGATTTTCCTGCCTTAGCCTCCTGAGTAGCTGGGACTGCAGGCACACACCACCATGCCTGGCTAATTTTTGTATTTTTAGTAGAGGTAGAGTTTCACTATATTGGCCAGGCTGGTCTTGAACTCCTGACCTCAGGTGATCCACCTGCCTCGGCCTCCCAAAGTGCTGGGACTACAGGCATGAGCCACCATGTCCGGCCTCAAGTTGGTGTTTATAAAATTCATCCATGTTGATGAGTAGTTGTAGTTTGCTCGTGTTCACAATATATGATTGTAATATATCACAATTTATTTATCCGTTCTATTATTGATGGACATTGGATCATTTTCAGTGCTGCGAAGAACATTCTTGTGCATGTCTCCTGATGCACATCCATATGCATTTCTGTTCAGTGTCTACCTAGGAATGGAATTGCTGGATTATAGAGTTTGTGTATCTTACATTTTGGTAACTAATTCTAAACTTTTCCAAAATGATTGTAATGTGTATTTGCTCAACAGATTAAAAAAACGTGGTCACTATAGAAAAGTAAAGGTAAAATAAGTCATTCTTCGGTTTGCAGCTGTTAGTTTTAATCATTGAGAACTGTGCCCTAAGAGATGGATGTTGGGCTCAAGTAAAGTGGTCCATCTTCTTTATTGTTCCTGCTCCACACAATTCTGGTTAACTATGATAACCTGGTGGCTCCCCAGGGGAAGTACAGCACGCTTGGTAAGTAAGTACTAGTGTACTTGGTAAGATACCAGTAGATATCCAGGTGGGTGTCTTGGGGCAGGTAGGGCAAGGTCTCCAGGCTCTTTTCACAGACCTGGTGTTCCACCCAAAGAGGCCCCTTGGAGGATGACTTTTTTTGTTCCTGCCTTTTATGGAGCTGTAATCTTCTGGGGTATAATTCTTGCTCAGTGTGTGTTCTTCTCTTCCAGTGTGATGCTTTAGTTACATTTACAGTTTAAATGAGTGCCTCATTTAAATTTCCTGCCCCCAAATTATATGGCATATTGATTTGTAAATGGCTAAATCAACAATAAGTTAGGCAGGTGGTTTCCTCCTTTTTTTTTTTTTTTTTTTAGCATGATGACCTATTAAATTTTTTTAAATGATGGACTTATTTAAATATATACAAAAGAATGGTATAATGAATCCCAATGGAGCCATTTCTGAGATCTGACAGCTATCCATCCATGGGCAATCTTTTTTTTTTTTTTTTTTCTAAGACAGGGTCTGTTTCTTATCATTCAGGCTAGAGTGCAGTGGTGCTATCATGGCTCACTACAGCCTTGCCCTCCCAGGCTCAAGTGATCCTTTCACCTCAGCCTCTCAAGTAGCTGGGACTACAGGTGCGTGCCACCACGCTCAACTAATTTTTGAATTTTTTGTAGAGACGGGGTCTCACTGTGTTGCCCAGGCTGGTCTCAAACTCCTGGGTTCAAGCAGTCCTCTCCCCTCAGCCTCCCAAAGTGGTAGGATTACAGGCATGAGCCACAGCACCCAGCCACTTCATGGCCAATCTTGTTTACACCTCTCTCACTCTCCTTTCCACCTGATTGTTTTGCAGGAAAAACCAAATGTTAAATGATTTCATCCATAATACTTCAGCAAGTGTTCTTTTTAAAAACGCAGTCATCATACCATTATCACACCTAAATAAACTTAACAGTAGGCAACTCATTACAAATTTATTATTATTTTATTAAAAATAGAGATGAAGTCTTGCTATATTATGCTGGTCTTGAACTCCTGGGCTCAAGAGATCTTCCCGCCTCAGTCTCCTAAAGTGCTGGGATTATAGGCATGAGCCACTGCACCTGGCCAACAATAACTCTTTAATATGATGAAATATCTTCTCGGTATCCACGTTTCCCCAGTTGTCTCATAAGAGCTTTGTCATGGTTGGTTTGTTAGAATCAGGGTCTCAATGGAGTAGTTGCATTGCATTTGGCTTATTCATCTTTTAAGTCTCTTCTGTATTTTACTAGCCTCCTTTCTTTTCTTGCCATTTGTCCAGTAGAGTTTTTCTATTTTAGATATTTTATTTTGTTTTATCCTTGTGGCGATGTGAATTTTATTTCCATTGGTGATAAAGGTCAATTTAAGCTATGTGATTTCTTTTGGTATACTTTGATTAAGAAAATACAGAATGACAACAAACTACTATAAATTCAGTAACAGTTTCAATTTAATTTGTATTTCATGTGAGCAAAACAGCTGAAAAATGGTAGATTAGTGGGTTTTCAAACTTTTTGGTCAGGACCCCTTTACACTCTTAAAATTAGTGAGGAGCCACAAAACATAAAAGCCATTTGTTTATTTAGTGATATTTACTGTATTAGAAATTAAAACTGAAAAATATTTGTTAATTCATTTAAAAATTAGAACAATTAATCCATTAGATATTAATATAAATAACATGTGTTAGAAAACGAATATTTTACAAAAAAAAAATTAGTGAGAAGCGTGACATTGTTTTACATCTTTGCAAATCTCTTCAGTGTTTTGCTGGATAGAAGACAGCTGGATTCTTAGATCTACTTCTACATATACTCTGTTATCATAGCGCACACCGTGTCATCTCTGGAAAACTCTGCTATGTTTTTGACAGATTGGGAGTGAAAAAAGCAAACATCATAGTAGTAGTATGAGAATAGTTTTGACCTCATTATGCCTCTGAAAGGGTCTTAGCACCCCTGTGGGTTCCTGGGCCACAGTTTGAGAACTACTGCTGTAGAACATTTCTCTGTGGAAGATATTAGTAGTAGTAGTAGTATGTAAATAACGCTTAGTGAACAGGTATATTTGAGGGTCCCTTGCAAATACTTCTCAGCTCATCCTCTCTCTCTGCATCCCAATATTCTTTTCTTTTTACTCCAAGTTTGGGACTGGCAATACAAAAACATTCTGTGGATGCAAAAATGGCATTTAAAAAAAATTTTATTTTGTAGAGACAGAGCTTCACTGTGTTGCCCAGGCTGGTCTCAAACTCCTGAGCTCAAGCAATTCTCCTGCCTCAGGTTCCCAAGTGTTGCAATTATAGGCATGAGCCACTGCATCCAGCCAAAAATGGCATTTTAATCATATTCTATGTTTTTAAAAAAAGTCTTTAGTTTATAATAGCTCCCCATCCCCGGCTCCTTAACTTTCTCCTACGAGTACAAATGTAGGTAATAGAGTGGAAGCAGCCCCCAACTAGAAGTCTGAAATGTGGACTCTAGTCCCAGGTCGGCTTCTAACAAACTGAGTGGCCTTGGGCAAGTCATTTACTCTCTCTGTCCTTCTATTTCTTTAGCTGTAAAGTATAGAAAATGGGTCAGGTGATTTTAAGGCTTTTTCCTGATCCCAGATCTAAGACATCTTCTTACTGCTCATTAATAAGCCCATTCTGATATTTCCTCTAGCTCAGGGATGTAACATTAGCCTAACATCTAATGAAGGGTGGGAGGAGGGAGAAGAGAAGAAAAGATAACTATTTGGTACTGGGCTTAATACCTGGATGATGTAATAATATGTACAACAAACCCCATGACACAGTAGGAGTCCATGGTAACCCCACGAAAGGGAGTTAGGACTCTTTTTGATGAGTCAGAGAGAAAAAAGGGTTGAATATGCTTTGGCTGACCAGGACCAGGATGATGAGATGTAGACACACCTCCTCAAGGAGTTTTGCAAGACGTCCCACCCACATCAACAGGTAGCCTAAGAACAAGAAGCCTGACATTTTTTTTTTCTCCTAAGTTTGTTTTTGTTTTTTTGAGATGGAATCTCACTCCGTTGGCCAGGCTGGAGTGCAGTCGCACAATCTTGGCTCACTGCAACCTCCACATCCCGGGCTCAAGCAATTCTTCTGCCTCAGCCTTCTGAGTAGCTGGGATTACCGACATGGGCCACCACACTTGGCTAATTTTTGTATTTATAGAGATGGGGTTTCACCATGTTGGCTAGGCTAGTCTCGAACTCCTGGCTTCAAGTGATCCACCTGCCTTGGCCTCCCAACGCGCTGGGATTATAGGCATGAGTCACAGCTCCCGGCCTCTCCTAAGATCTTTATAACCTTCTAAACTCCATTCCCTAAGGCTGTGGTCAGCAAGCTATGGCCTGGGCACTAAGAATAATGTTTACATTTTCAAATGGTTGAAAAAAAAACCAAAAGAAGAATAATATTTTGTGACACATAAAAATTATATAAAAATAAAACTTCAGTGTCTATTAGTAAAGTTTTATTGGAACACAGACACATTCATCCATTTATGCAGCATCTGCTTTTGGGCTGCCATGGCAGAGTTGAGTAGTATGGCTTGCTAATATATATTATCTGGCCCTTTACAGAACAAGTTTGCAAACCCCAGCCCTAATGCAAACTTATAATTTGCATTTTATGGGTGCTCTTTTAAGGGCTATCTACAGCCAACAAATACAGGCACACCTTGTTTTATTGTGCTTCACTTTATTGTGCTTTGCAAATATTGTGGTTTTTAGAAATTGAAGATTTGTGGCAACCTGGCATCAAGCAAGTCTGTTGGTACCATTTCTCCAACAGCACGTGCTCACTTCATGTCTTCGTGTCACATTTTGATAATTCTTATAACATTCCAAACTTTTTCATTATTATTGTGTCTGTTATGATGATCTATTATCAATGATCTTTGATGTGACTATTGTAATTGGTTGGGGCACCAAGAACCATGCCCATATAAACATTGAACTTAATTGGTAAATGTGTGTATTCAGACTGCTCCACTGACCATTCCCCATCACTATTCCTCTCCTCAGGCCTGTATTCCCTGAAACACAAGAATATTAAAATTAGGTCAATTCTATGATTAACAATTCAAAAAATAACAGATGCTGACAAGATCGCGGAGAAATGGGAACACTTATACACATTGGTGGGAGTGTAAATCGGTTCAACCATTGTGGAAAGCAGTATGGTGATTCCTCAAAGAGCTAAAAGCAGAACTACCATTCGACCCAGCAATGTCATTATTAGGTATATACCCAGGAGAATATAAATCATTCTACCATAAAGACACATGCACATGAATGCTCACTGCAGCACTATTCACAATAGCAAAGACATGGAGTCAACCTAAATGCCCATCAATGGTAGACTAAAGAAAATGTGGTACACATATACCATGAAATACTATGCAGCCATAAAAAATGAGATCATGTCCTTTGAAGGAACATGGATGGAGCTGGAGGCCATTATCCTTAGCAAACCAACTAAGGACAGAAAAGCAAATACTACATGTTCTCACCTATAAGTGGGAGCTAAAGGATAAGAATATATGAACACAAGAAAAGAAAAAAATAGACACTGGAGTCTACCTGATGGGGGAGGGTGGGAGGAGGGAGAAGAGAAGAGAACTCTTTGGTACTGGGCTTAATACCTGGATGATGTAATAATATGTACAACAAACCCCCACGACACATGTTTAACTGTGTAGCAAACCTTCACATGTACCCCCAAATCTAAAATGGAAGTTAAAAATGGAAGTTAAAAAAAGTTAGGCCAATTAATGCCCCTACAATGGCCTCTAAGTGTTCCAGTGAAGGAAGAGTCACATCTCTCATTTTACTTATTTGAGACAGAGTTTTGCTCCGTTGCCCAGGCTGGAGTGCAGTGGCATGATCACACCTCACTGCAGCCTCGACCTCCCTGGCTCAAACAATCCTCCTACCTCAGCCTTCCAAGTAGCTGGAACTACAGGCATGCACCACCATGCCTAGCTAATTAAAAAAATTTTTTTTTGTAGAGATGGGGTTTGGCCACGTTTCCCAGGCTGGTCTGGAACTCCTGGGCTCAAGTGATTCTCCTACTTCAGTGTCCCAAAGTGTTGGGATTACCGCTATGAGCCACCACGCTTGATCATATCTCTCATCTTAAATCAAAAGCTAGAAATGTTTAAGCTTAGTGAGGAAAGCACGTTGAAAGTCAAGACAGGCTAAAAGCTAGGCCTCTTGCACAAAACTCTTAGCCAAGTTGTGAATGCAAAGGAAAAGTTCTTGAAGGAAATTAAACGTGCTACTCTAGTGAACACATTTCACTTTTTGTTGACATGGAGGAGGTTTGAATGATCTGGGTAGAAGATCAAACCAGCCACAACCTTCCCTTAAGCCAAAGCCTAATCCAGAGAGTTCAGACTCTGAACTCTCTTCAAGTCTATGAAGGCTGAGAGAGATGAGGAAGCTGCAGAAGAAATGTTGGAAGCCAGCAGAGGTTGGTTCATGAGCTTTAAGGAAAGAAGCTGTCTCCATAACATAAAAGTGCAAGGTGAAGTGGCAAGTGCTGATGTAGAAGCTACAGCAAGTTATTCAGAAGATCTAGCTAAGACCATCGATGAAGGTGACTGCATGAAACAAAAGCTTTTCCATGTAGATGAAACAGCCTTGGAAGAAGATGCCATCTAGGACTTTCACAGCTAAAGAAGAGAAGAGAATGCCTGGCTCCAAAGCTTCAAAGGACAGGCTCTCTTGTTAGGGGCTAATGCAGCTGGTGACTCTAAGTTGAAGCTAATGTTCATTGACCATTCTGAAAATCCTAGGGCCCTTAAGAATTATGGTAAATCTGCTCTACCCATGCTCTATAAATGGAACAACAAAGCCTGGATGACAGCACATCTGTCTAGAATATGGTTTACTGAATACTTTAAGCTCAATGTTGAGACCTACTGTTTAGAAAAAAAGATTCCTTTCAAAATACTATTGCTCATTGACAATGTACCTGGTCACCAAACAGCTCTCTGATGGAGAGGTACAAGGAAATTAATGTTTTCTTGCCTGCTAACACAACATCCATTCTGCAGCCCATGGATCAAGGAGTAATTTTGACTTTCAAGTCTTATTATCTATTTATTCATTTGTTTAGAGAGGTAGTCTCATTCTGTCACCCAGGCTGGAGTGCACTGGCAATCACAGCTTACTGCAGCCTTGAACTCTGGGATCCAGTGATCCTCCTGCTCCAGCCTCCCAAGTAGCTGAGACTATAGGCATATTCTACCACACCTAGCTAATTTTTTTTTTTTTTTTTTTTTTGAGTTGAGGTCTCTGCTGCCCAGGCTGGAGAGCAGTGGCACAATTATGGCTTACTATGGCCTCAAACTCTGGGCTCAAGTGATCCCCCTGCCTCAGCCTCCTGAGTAGCTGGGACTACAGGCATGTACCACCACTCTTGAGTAAGTTTTTCTATTTTTTGTAGAGACAAATTTCACTGTGTTGGCTGGTCTGGTCTAGAACTCCTGGCCTTAAACAATCTCCCTGCCTTAGCCTCCCGAAGTGCTGGGATTACAGGTATAAGGCACCACCCTTGGCAACCCTTATTTAAAAAATATATTTGCAGCCAGGCTTGGTGGCTTGTGCCTATAATCCCAGAGACTCAGGAGGCTGAAGTGGGAGGATTGCTTGAGGCCAGGAGTGTAAGACCAGCCTGGGTAACATAGCAAGACCCAGTCCCTAAAAACAAAAATTTACAACAAAAGAAATACCTATCATAAGACTATAGCTGCCATAGATAGTGATTCCTTTGATGTATCTGGGCAAAGTAAATTGAAAACTTTCTGGAAAGGATTTACCATTCTAGATGCCATTAAGAACATTTGTGATTCATAGGAGGAGGTCAAAACATCAACATTAACAGGGGTTTGGGAGAAGTTGATTCCAGTGCTTATTGATGACTTTTGAGACGTTCAAGGCTTCACTGCAGCTGTGGTGGAAATAGCAAGAGAACTAGAATTAGAAGTAGAGCCTGTAGATGTGACTCAATTCCTGCAATTTCATGATCAAACTTGACTGGATGAGGAGTTGCTCCTTTTTTTTTTTTTTTTTTGAGACGGAGTTTCATTCTTGTCGCCCAAGCTGGAGTACAGTGGCACAATCTTGGCTCACTGCAATCTCCTGGGTTCAAGCGATTCTCTTGCCTCAGCCTCCCGAGTAGCTGAGATTACATGTGCCCACCACCATGCCCCAGCCAACTTTTGTATTTTTAGTAGAGATAGGGTTTCACCATGTTGGCCAGCCTGGTCTTGAGCTCCTGACTTCAAGTGATCTGCCTGCCTCAGCCTCCTAAAGTGCTGGGATTACAGGCGTAAGCCACCGCGCCTGGCCCCTGACAACTTTAATTAGGCTTCTGGATCCCTGTTGTATAAAAGTGTGAAGGCTGTAGAGGTGCTCTTCTGTGACACACCCCTATCCTGGCTTCCCTTACAGAATTCCTCAAATTCAAAACCAGCTGCACTCTCTGCTTTCCATTTCCAAAGCCTTTCTACCTGCAGCAATTGTTGAGAGCAGAGGGAGGAGGATGGGCTGTGTGCCTGTTTTTTTTTGTTTTTTGTTTTTTTTTTTTAACTAGGGCAAAGTCTCTTACCTAAATCAGTAGAGCAGCTTCAAATGTGCAGTTTTGCACACCCCTCTGCATGATCCAGAACCCTCCCGGTGCGCTGCTGCCTCAGAACCTTTGCTTGCAGTATTGCCATGCTCTTCCTCCAGAGAGCGGCCTCCCCACTCCTTCACTTCTCAGTTCTTTACTCAAATATACCTCAGAGAGGTCTCCCAGACAGGATGTTGGCTATGTACCACACATTTCCTATCCCCTTCCCTGATTTATTTTCATTGTTAGCAGTTTGTACATAGTAAATATACCTTTTGCTTATTTCTCTTATTTATTTTCTGTCTTCCCAAACCAAATATAGGCAGAGATTTTTGTGCCAGTGTCTGATATACAAAAGATACTCTATAAATACATCTTGAATGAATGAATGAATAAATATCAAGCACATGTACAATTATATAGTACATATTTATTTGTATAATCTTTTTTCTTTTGGATACGTCGTCTCGCTCTGTCACCCAGGCTGGATTGCAATGGTGCGATCTCGGCTCACTGCAACCTCCACCTCCTGGGTTCAAGCAATTCCCCTGCCTCAGCCTCCTGAGTAGCTGGGATTACAGGCACATGCCACCATGCCTGGCTAATTTTTGTATTTTTAGTAGAGATGGGGTTTCACCATGTTGGCCAGGCTGGTCTTGAACTGACCTCAGGAGTTCACCCACCTCGGCCTCCCAAAGTACTGGGATTACAGGCGTGAGTCACTGCGCCCAGCCCAATCTTTTTTTTTTTTTTTTTTTTTTAAGTTGAGACAGGGTCCCACTGTCACTCAGGCTGGAATGCAGTAGTGTGATCTTGGCTCACTCCAGCCTCCATCTGCTGGGTTCCAGTGATTCTCCCGCCTTAGCCTCCCTAGTAGCTGGGATTACAGACATGCACCACCACACCTGGCTAATTTTTTGTATTTTTGGTGGAGATGGGGTTTTGCCATGTTGCCCAGGCCGGTAAGCTTTTTTTTTTTTTTTTTAACAAGTGGGATTATATTATACATAGAATCTCCAACTTGCTTTCCTTCACCTAGCAAGAAATCCTGGACATTTTCCCATGTGAGCACATATGGATGCCATTCATTCTTTTAAGTAGTTGCATAGTATTCCAGAATATAGCTAAACAAAACTCTTTGTGCGTGTGGTTTTTTTTTTGTTTTTTTTTGTTTTTTGAGACGAAGTCTCGCTCTGTTGCCCAGGCTGGAGTGCAGTGGCTTGAACTCAGCTTAATGCAAGCTCTGCCTCCTGGGTTCATGCCATTCTCCTGCCTCAGCCTCCCAAGTAGCTGGGATTACAGGCGCCTGCCACCACACCCGACTAATTTTTTTTTGTATTTTTAGTAGAGAAGGGGTTTCACGGTGTTAGCCAGGATGGTCTCAATCTCCTGATCTTGTGATCCACCTGCCTTGGCCTCCCAGAGTGCTGGGATTACAGACATGAGCCACTACACCCAGCCAACCAAACTCTTTTAAATCAGTCATTTACTGATGGTCATTAGGATGTTGAAAATTTTACAATTTCCTACAACAAATCAAGAAAAATAATGCAGTCCCAATTCAAGATACAAAACTTGTTCCAGAACTGACTGGAAGCTATTGGTCATTTTCTGACTTCCCTGTGCTGTAATTTATATATTTTTTCAGTTCTTGGCTACTCAGTTGAAAAAGGGCTGCTCAGATGAGGTATGGGCAGAGGTGGATGTTGGGATCATCACATGTACTTGTAATAATTCTACATTAATAATTACTAGAGTTGAGAGCAGACCTCTGCTCAGGCAGTATGTTGGCATGTGGTGGGGAGGATACCTCTGCTTCCTGTGACCCAGGTCACTTCATTTCTGCAAACCTGCATCTGGTCTTATATGCCTTTTGCTGACTGGTTCATTTATCTACTGTGTGCCTTCAGTATTAATACCTGACACTTCATATGCTAGCCAATTTCTCTTCTCAGTAATCACATCTTTCTTCCATTTTCTATTCATGTAAGCCCCACTTCTCAGTCTTCTCTTAAAGAGTCTAGTCATGTGGTCTCTTTCTCCACTGGCATCTGCCCAACCCTCTGGCATCTTCTATACAAATGCCAAAGCCTCATCTCTCAATGCTGGTCCATGATAGGGCTTTGTCTTGCCTTTCATTTCCTCCCTGGCTTTGGACCAGTCCCTCTGTTCCTTTCCAGCATCTCTGTAGCCTTAATCAGTTGCGCCTCTGATCTGTGCTTGTTACACCTGCAAGCCCAGTCCACGTAATATGCTCTTCCTCCCTAACCTTCAGAAACTCCATCTGCTTCCCTGAGCGATTCCAGCCTTCCCTGAGCAATTTCTCAGGCTACTTCAGCTGGGTTCTCTTGAGGATCAAAATGCTGAAATTTCATGTGCTATTCCTTTCATCTCTTTTGAATATTCCGTTTGGCTTAACTAGGGTGCTGCAGGATCCGACTTGGCCTTCATAACTTCAGAGAGGCCCAGCATCACCCGGTGGACACAGGTAGGGTAGGAACTTCCAGGTGATCTGCCAAGCCTGGTATTGCTCACTCCCTCAGCTCCTCCATGAGCCAGTGGGGGACAGGCCACTATTTTCAGGAAGGAGGAGCAGCTGGGTTTAAGAAAATCCTGTGGATTTAGGAGATATTTATTTCTCCTAATAATATTTGTTAGGAGATATTTATTTATTTATTTATTTAGTGGTTTTAGTGTTTTATTTTTTCTTTTCTCAGGTGGTGGGCCTTTTGATGACAGCTATGGAAAAGTCTTTCCAGAAAAATGCACGTGCACATAAAATTAGAATGTTTCCAAGATACGCATGGACCCTGTGAAACCCACTGAAGATTCCATGGCCCCAGGTTAGAACTCATTTCCCTAGAGCATATTTCATGTTTGTTCTTGGTATTTTTTCTTCTACCTACTTGTCCACTGACTGGTTGGAAAGCATTGTCTTAATGAGATAATCAAATAGACATGAATGATTCTGATGGCCTCCTTGGCTTTTTTTTTTTTTTTTTTTTTAATTTTTAAAGCAAGCTTTGCTTCTCCTTGGGATTTAAAGAATTAGGTAGTGTTCTTTCCCCTACCTCCCAGCCCCCCATCCTCCACCAACCCTATAACTTTAAAATTACAAGGTTCTGTCTTCTGAGTTATTTGGTGGGAATTCTCCTTTGAGTTATACTGAGAGTTCTTCAGTATTGGCTCTTTACTTCTTTCCCACACAACTCAATTTACATCTGGTGGGCTGACTAGGAACAAAGGGACTGATAGTGAAGTGGGATAGCCTAGGAGTTAAGAGAATGGACCCCATAGCCAGGCTGAGGGGAGTTTCTAAATTTAGTGATCTTAAATTGGTGGCTCAAAGGCTGGAGAAGCCAGAGGGTAAGTTTTTTTTGCCTGCCCAGCCTTTCCAAAAGTTAAGTTACCTTGATCTCAATAAAAGAGGTCAACTATTGTCTTATGCTGATCCTCTGAAAACATTTATGCCAATCACCTGCCCAAGGCAATTGAGTTTAGAATTTCACTTGCTCATCTATAAAGGGGGCACACTACCTACCTCAAATAACTCAATGAATTTATGAATGTAAGAACAAAATGAGTTAGCTTGGTTCCTGTAAGTTCTTAACAAATTGTACATTTGATTACTGATAATAATTTTCATTGATGAATGCCTTTGGAAGTGCTTCGAGGGGGATCTGCAAGCATGGGGGTGGAGGCTGGGAGGGAGACAGGATAGACTTGAGGGATATTGAGTCCATTTGAAAATAAAATTAGGCCTGTTTCCTGGGAAAGCCACATGAAGTGGGAGAGATAATTTGGCCCAGAAAACTGAGAAACAGTAGCCTGAAATTGCTGGCACAGAGCTCACAGAAGTCAATGTCAGGAGTTCCGCCAGAAGGAGAATGAATGGTATAGTGCTGCTTCCTGCAGAGGGAGGGAAAGCCTCTGCCAGGCCTCTTTCCCATGGAGTCTCACCTTCAGGTCTTCTGTGCCTGCTGCTCACAGCTGCCCTCTTCCACTGCCCACGCCTTAGATTTCACAGGTGTTTCCAGACATGGAAATGCTTTTGATGGGGCAGCCTCCTCCATAGCCCTGGAAGGTGCGCCTGGGTGCCATGGCCCAGGCCTGGGTGTCTGGAGCTCATTTTTGTCCGTGGCTGGGATGCTTTCTGCCTGGGCTCCCTCGGGCTTCCATGAGCTGACCACCTCATCCTGCATAGTGTTGACCTCTCGTCGACTCAGGTTCTGTTGTTGGTGGAGGGTAAAAAGTATGTTGGGAGAGCCCTGATGGGGCAAGGTGGGCAGATGCTACCTTCTGACTTTGGGTGGCAGAGTGGTGGGGCTCAGCTGGATTTAAGGAGCTCAGGCTCCCATCAGAGCTGCAGGGTCTGGGGGTTGGATTGACACTGGCTTGAGGGCAGGGACTAAAACTTTTAGTGTTGGTACAGGCTAGAGGTTAGGAGTGCAGACCCTGGGCTCAAATCTATTCTGTTGTTTGCAAGCTATGTGACCTTGGGCAAGTCACTTAATCTCCTGGAGACTCAGTTTTCTCATCTGTAAAATGGGAATAATAATAGTATCTACCTCAGAGGATTGCTGTAAAGATTAAATAAATAAGTGAATAAGGACATTTATAAGTGTTAGCTGCAATTAGTAATGATTAGCATAAGGCCAGGGCATGCATTGCTGAGCTGGGCATTAGGGGCAGGCACTGTTCAGGCAGGGCTGGGGGCCAGAATGAAGTTAACCAGGGAATTAAACAGATTTGGGAAAAAGTATTAGGATGGATGAGGTTGGGGTTGGTGCTGGAGTACAGCTTGGCCCAGATTTTCATTGAGGGGTTAGAAGAGCAGGGAGGGAACCTGGTGGAAGCAAAGGCAGCTTCTGTTTTGCCCCCAAACCTTGAACACCAATATGGACACATGTGCAGACTCCTGTCCTTCCCCTCCACTCCCCGCTCTTGCCAGCCAGACCAGGGTCTCTGTAGTCATGGAGAGGGCTAAGAAGCGGGAGGGAGGGCTCTGAGCTATTCCATCATGGGTTGGGATTGGTGGTGGCTGTAGAGCCAGTGCCAGAGGCTGGCTGACAGGTAAGAATCACTGCTGTTGTCATCTGCCTCCCAGGTCTCCTATCCCTAAAGGCTCTCTTATCCCCATAGTTGGGAAAACCCAAGAAAAATCTTGAGAGTAGTCTTAGATCCCCAGGACAGTGAAGATGATGCTGTAGAGGCCAAGGGAAAACTTCCCCTTTACCCTCTGAAGTTTTGCTGAAAAATCGACTCACAGAAGGAGATTAATAAGAGAAATGACATACAAATTTATTAACATGCACATGGGGAAGAACCACAGAGTGATTACCCCAAATCCCAATGGGGTTCAGAAGTTTATATACCCTCTTGAAGGTATAGAAAGAATGGGGGCTTGTATCCTGGCAAAACAGGTTATGGGAGGGGGAGAAGAGAAGCCCTGGCTAGCAAAGATGGTTGTGTTATGCAGGTGAAACCTCACAGGTAGCAGCCCTCAGAGTGGAGAGATGGGTGAATGTTCTTTCAGATCTTTAAATGTGTCAGACTCTCAGTTAATCTCTCCTAGATCTGGACAAAGGAAGGCCTTAGGAGAAAGCCTGGCTGCATCAATGCAGATTCTCTGCAGATGCAAATCTCCCCCCACCTGCAAAAGACAGCTTTGCAGGGCTACTTATGTTTGCAGGCCCTCTGAACAGCCATCTCAAAGTATGCCAAAGAAGTCTGTTTTGGGGTCCAATATTTTTATTTCCTTCAATACCAATCTTCCTCCAGGCAGCTCTGACAGCTCCGACAGCTCCAAAGCTTGGACAGTGGGCTGGGGAGGACATGGCTGTCTAGGGAGGGCCTCTGCCCAGGTGGTGCATCAGGTTCACACACTCAGGTCCTGGTACCATTGTGCCTGGTGAGTGGTTCCCAGTGTTTGTGATCATGGTTTGCATAACCTGCAGGCAGCTAGTGGAGAGCTTGGCTCTGTAAAGAAGGAGAAGTGTGTAGCAGGCGGAGGTCTGAGACTCTAGAAAGGCAGTCTCAGCCTGCTTTGAATCAAATAGCGGGAACAGACAAATTAATTTCCTCTAGCATGGATGGGTGGGTGGACAAAACGAAAGAGCCAGAATTCAGCAGACCTGGTCTCAGGGGCAGGAGAAGAAGTAATTATTTTCATTTCATTTCAATATCCTGTTCACTTCTTATGCTGATTAGGACAAGCCCACAGTTGCTGTCTATTTATTCGTGTAGTACTGCCAGGACTGCCAGCGCTGCCATGGGAATGCACATGTTTATGCCCGGGTGCTCTTGATGTTCTCAGAGCTGCGGGCACTGCCCTAGCCAGAGGACTGCGGATGTGCCGGGGCCCTTGAGGCATCAGCATTGCTTCATGCCCCCCAGAGCCCATGAATCAGAAGAAAGCAGGGGTTGGACAGGCTGCATCGGCTGTGTGTGTGTGTGTTTGTGTGCATTTAATAGAGGCAAAGGAATGCTCTTGCATTGTGGTTTAGGGACGAAAAGGAAACTTCTTTGAGGACTAACCATCTTGGTGTTGTTAAAACTTACATTATTACATTAGGATTATTTTAAGTGGTCTGTAATAAGGTAAAGTGAAAGGAAATGAGCAGATGAGAATCTTTCTGGGCTCTAGTTGTGAAAATCAGAATGAGAAACACCAGAGGTCTGTTTCTTAGAATCATGAATAGATTATGGAACACCCACCATCACCATTATCGTTTGATGTTTTTCCCAGTTTGCAGCTAGTGACAGCAATTAAAGATGAAACAGAAATGAGATTTAGAACTTTGGAAAGGAAAAGACAAAATTTTATTTTTGCAGATGATACGATTTTATATCTAGCCTACTAAAAGAAATTCAAGGCTGGGCGCAGTGGCTCACGCCGGTAATCCCAGCACTTTGGGAAGCCGAGGCGGGCAGATCACAAGATCAGGAGTTCGAGACCAGCCTGGCCAATATGGTGAAACCCCGTCTCTACTAAAAACACAAAAAATTAGCTGGGCGTGGTAGCGGAAGCCTGTAGTCCCAGCTACTCAGGAGGCTGAGGCAGGAGAATCGCTTGAACCCAAGAAGCGGAGGTTGCAGTGAGCCGAGATCGCACCTCTGCACTCCAGCCTGGGCGACAGAGCAAGACTCCCTCTCAAAAAAAAAAAAAAAAAAAAAAAAATCAAGCAAAATGAAACTCCAACTATTGGATTTTTTTTTTTTTAAGGGGGAGTCTCACTCTGTCGCCCAGGCTGGAGTGCAGTGGCGCGATCTCGGCTCACTGCAAGCTCCGCCTCCCAGTTTCACGCCATTTTCCTGCCTCAGCCTCCCGAGTAGCTGGGACTACAGGCTCCCGCCACCATGCTCGGCTAATTTTTTTTTTTTTTTGTATTTTTGGTAGAGACGGGGTTTCACCGTGTTAGCCAGGATAGTCTTGATCTCCTGACCTCGTGATCCACCCGCCTTGGCCTCCCAAAGTGCTGGGATTACAGGCATGAGCCACCGTACCCGGCCCAACTATTGGATTTTTTAAAAAGAAACAGGATCCTACTCTGTTGCCCAGGCTGGAGTGCAGTGGCATGACCATAGCTTACTTCAGCCTCCCAGGCTCAAGCGATCCTTCCTCCTCTGCCTCTCAAATTTCTGGGATTACAGGTGTGAGCCACAGTGCCTGGCCCCAACTATTGCATTTAATGAGAGTTGAGTGTGTTGGCTGCAAGCAGGATATATTCAAATAAAAATATTTTCCATATGCCAGCATTGATAAACTTTAAAATATAATGAGAAAGAGAGAGGAGAAAGAGAGGGATGGAGAGATTACATTCTTTAAACTGATAAAATAGGAATAATTTTAATAAGAAATGTGCTGTAGGCTCTATGTAAAGAAAACTAAAAAAAGTTGCTCAGCATTATAAAGAAAGATGTGAATAAAAACATAAGAATGAAGAACCATACCATACTTTTATTTTTTCTGATTGTGTATGTCTAAAAATTTCATGTCCTCCTTCATTAACTACTTATTCCATTTGTGCTATGTGCTAGGGGGTGGGGATTCAATGGTGAAAAACACAGATACTGTTCCCATCTTTATGGAATTTACATTTTAATGGAAGAGGTGGGCAATCAAAGCATAAACAAGTTATTTAAATAAATACAGCTAACAGTAAGTATCCAAGGGAAATAGCCTTTCCCTTTGACTTCTCCTGTGATAGATCTCTCTGATCGCCCCCTATTATTTAGCTATCTAAAGTGCCCAAAGTTTTTTTTTTAAACCACAAATACACTGCCAATAGTAAATTTGCAGGGTGAGTTGTGCATGATCAATCTAATTTAACTGGTAAGAAAATATCCTAACAGGGGCACTGTAAATCACCTCAGCTCTCACTTACGAAGGTCAGAACTCCCTGAGTACTGGGTTCTTTTCTTTATTATTCATGTATTTATTTTTCTTTCAGCAGGTTTTCAAGGAACAGGTAGTATCTGGTTCCATGAGTAAGTTATTTAGTGGTGATTTCTGAGATTTTGGTGCACCTGTCACCTGAGCAGTGTAGTGTATACTGTATCCAGCATGTAGTCTTGTATCCCTCACCCCCACACCCTTTCCCTTGAGTCCCCAAAGTCCATTGTATCATTCTTATGCCTTTGTGTCCTCGTTGCTTAGCTCCCACTTATAAGTGAGAACACACAATGTTTGGTTTTCCATTCCTGAGTTACTTCACTTAGAATAATGCTCTCCAATTCCATCCAGGTTTCTGCGAATGCCATTATTTTGTTCCTTTTTATGGCTGAGTAGTATTCCATGGTATATATATATACACACCACAATTTCTTTATCCATTTGTTGTGATGGGCATTTGGGCTGGTTCCGTATTTTTGCAATTGCGAATTGTGTTGCTATAAACATGCATGTGCAAGTGTCTTTTTTGTAATAATGACTTTTTTTCCTCTGGGTAGATACCCAGTAGTGGGGTTGCTGGATCAAATGGTAGTTCTACTTTTAGTTCTTTAAGGAATCTCCACACTGTTTTCCATAGTGGTTGTACTAGTTTACATTCCTACCAGCAGTGTGGAAGTGTTCTCTTTTCATCACATCCACGCCAAAGTCTATTATTTTTTGATTTTTTTATTATGACTGTTCTTGTGGGAGTAACATGGTATCGCATTGTGGTTTTGATTTGCATTTCCCTGATCATTAGTGATGTTGAACATTTTTTCATATGCTTGTTGGCCATTTCTATATCTTCTTTTGAGAATTGTCTATTCATGTCCTTAGCCCACTTTTTGACGGGATTGTTTTTCTCTGGCTGGTTTGTTTGAGTTCCTTGTAGATTCTGGATATTAGTCCTTTGTCAGATGTTTAGATTGCAAAGGTTTTCTCCCACTCTGTGGGTTGTCTGTTTACTCTGATGATTGTTTCTTTTGCTGTGCAGAAGCTTTTTAGTTTAATTAAGTCCTATCTATTTATCTTTGTTTTTGTTGCATTTGCTTTTGGGTTCTTGGTCATGAAGTCTTTCCCTAAGCCAATGTCTAGAAGGGGTTTTCCAATGTAATCTTCTAGAGTTTTTATGGTTTCAGGTCTTAGATTTAAGTCCTTGATCCATCTTGAGTTGGTTTTTGTATAAGGTGAGAGATGAGGATCCAGTTTCATTTTTCTACATGTGGCTAGCCAATTATCCCAGCATCATTTGTTGAATAGGGTTTCCTTTCCCCACTTTGTGTTTTTGTTTGCTTTGTCAAAGATCAGTTGGCTGTAAGTATTTGGCTTTATTTCTGGGTTCTCTATTCTGTTTCATTGGTCTGTGTGCCTATTTTTATGCTAGTACCATGCTGTTTTGGTGACTATGGCCTTATAATATAGTTTGAAGTCAGGTAATGTGATGCCTACAGATTTGTTCTTTTTGCTTAGTCTTGCTTTGGCTAAGTGAGCTCTTTTTTGGTTCCATATGAATTTTAGGATTGTTTTTTCTAGTTCTGTGAAGAATGATGGTGATATTTTGATGGGAATTGCATTGAGTTTATAGATTGCTTTTGGCAGTATGGTCATTTTCACAATATTGATTCTAATGGGTTCTTTAAGTGGAAATGTTTCTTCTTTTTCCTTTGTTTAAATGTGTTCTTGTGTAAGTCATGGGAAAGACAGGAGGGCTTGATTTGGCCTGTGTCCTCAGAAGTAGACCAGGCCTACCTCTGGATGTCATCATGCTGGCCAAATCTGAACTTGACTAGCAAATCATGAGAATGCAGTTAGTTCGGCCGGGCACGGTGGTTCACGCCTGTAATCCCAGCACTTTGGGAGGCCAAGGCGGGCGGATCATGAGGTCAGGAGATTGAGACCATCCTGACTAACAGGGTGAAACCCTGTCTCTACTAAAAATGCAAAAAATTAGCTGGGCGTGGTGGCGCACGCCTGTAGTCGAGCTACTCAGGAGGCTGAGGTAGGAGAATCACCTGAACCTGGGAGGTGGAGGTTGCAGTGAGCCGAGATCGCACCACTGCACTCCAGCCTGGGTGACAAAGTGAGACTCCGTCACACACACACACATACACAAAGAATGCAGTTAGTTCTTCAATGAGAACACATGGGCACAGGGAGGGGAACATCACACACTAGGGCCTGTACGGGGGTGGGGGGCAAGGGGAGGGAGAGCATTAGGACAAATACCTAATGCATGTAGGGCTTAAAACCTAGATGATGGGTTGATGGGTACAGCAAACCACCATGGCACATCTATACCTATGTAACAAATCTGTATGTTCTGCACATGTATCCCAGAACTTAAAGTAAAATAAATAAAAAAAGAATGCAGTTAGTTCTTCTTGATGCTGGAGACTATCACAATTTGTGGACCTCTGCTTGGCTTGAATGGTTAGCCAGGGAAGAATGTAGTTTAAATATTTTTGCATCATTATTTGTTATAAAAGTCATAGAAATGACTTTTCTAGAGATAGAAAAATACCATTATAGCGTAAGGGTGTTGAACTTAATGTGGAAACAAATCTACCTCCAGAATGTTATTTTCTAGCCTGTTTTTTCTTCTCCATTTTTTACCAGCATCTTAAACTTTTCATCTTTTTCCATTCTGGCCACACCCTGAATGAAAGTTTGCCCATTTCCTCTGCAATGTCTGCCCAAATCTTCCATCAACTCCTTTCCTTTTGCCCTATCAGAGTTTTCCAAGGGGTCCTGCAGCCAACAGACAATGCTCAGCTGGAGAGAATACAGGAAGCAGCTAACCACATTCTGCACCGACTGTCGTCCTTTGATCCTCTCTTTATATAGTGTGCTAAGGACATGTGGAATTAATTTTGCTTCTGAGGCTTCACTAATTGCCAACTGACACATTTGTTTCTAGAAAAAAGGTAAGTGTAGGCCAGGTGCAGTGGTGGATTAGGCTTAAAAATGTTTTTATTTTGCCACAAGAGGAAGCGCTGAGGGTGCTGCTTCCCCGCTGGAGCATCCAGGAATTTGAAGACTGTGCTCAAGGAGAAGAACTGACCCTTTGCTTTCTCTTTTGGGCCATGATGCTATGTCTGGGAAAGCAGAAACTCCAGTGATAAACTATTAGTGCTTGAAGGGAACTTTAAAAGCATTCATTGCAATCATTCTCTTTCACAGATGAAGTAAATGAAGCCTTGAAAGGTGAAATAACTTTCCCCAGGAGATTCCCAATTTTTAGCCCAGTGGTATTCCCAACACACTTTGGCATCTGTTGTAAACTTCAGAGGCCATTACTGGAATCTGCTGGGCATGGCCCCTTCTTATACAGCAATGAGGGAATCCATGGCATTATCTTTTCCCCTAGAGATTGAGAGAATGATTCATCTTTAAGTTTCAAAGAGACAGTGACATATTCCTAAAGCTTCATATATCCATGAGATAATGTCAAACATGTGAGTTGCTGAAACAGAAAATGCTCCCAGTGAGACAGCTGCTACAAGGAAAACCCTGCATACTTGCAGGCAGTGGAAACAATACTTTGGCTTAGACCAGGTGTGTGGGTTTTTTTTATTTGAAAGAAAAGAGAGTCTAAGAAGACAAGGATAATGCTTTAACACCCAGCATCATGAAGGAAAAAAAAAAAGCAACGTTGAGGCCACATTCAAGTCTCCACTCTCTGTTTTACCTGAAAAATTTCAAACCTGCAGGGAAATTGAAAGGATAATACAATTAGCACCTGTACATCCTTCATCTAGATTTACCAATTGTTGACATTTGAAAATTGCAAACATTGTGACGTTTCAATTTAGCGTGCATCTCTTGAGAGTAATGTCGTTCCCCTAACCACGACAGCATGATCACACCTAAGAAAATTAGCAATGATTCTGATGTATAATGTGTATTAAATTTCCTTTCAAATGCCTTTTTTATAACTTTTTTTCCCTCAATCTGAGATCCGATCAAATTCATGCATTATATTTGGTTGTTATGTCTTTGGTCTCATTTAATATAGAATAGTTGTCCTACCTTTTTTTTTCTTTTATGACATTGACTTGTTTGAAGAGATCAAGCTAGTTGTCTTGTGGAATGTACCATATTCTGTATTTGTCTGATTGGTTTCTCATGATTACCTTTGGGGAAACTTTTTTGGCGCAAACAGTACTTATGAAATTGTGTCTCTTTTTCTGTTACACCAGAAGGCACGTAGCATGTTACTGAGTGTGATCACTCAGTTGAGGTGTTTGCCATATCTCGCCACTCCTCCCTTTACAATTATCAAGTCCTTTGTGCAGTGATACTTTGAGTCCATGTGAATATATGGGTCCTCTACAGTTTTAGCATCCACTGCCTGAATTGATAATATCATAGGTTCCAAAATGGTCATTAAAAAAAGTTTATAATGCATATTTTTGAATCCACAGTCAGGAGTTATCTTTGAGTGACTATGGACACAGACTACCCCATATTATACACTCCATCTGTCCAGGACTAAGCTGAGAAGCAGGATGAGCAATCAGGAGACTGAGCAGTGGGCATGAAATCACAGCCCAGTGTGTGAATCGCTTCTTACTATAAGACTAAAATTTGAGGGCAGAACCTCCTTCAGTTTATTTATTCTGTATATCACCCCAACACCTCGTTACCACCCCCAACACCGTGTTACCCTCCATCCCTGTAACACCAAGCACAGTGTTTCACACAAAAGCCCAGAGGATGTTGTGAAATGAATGGAATTAGAGGAAAGAGAAGGTAGTGGTTTCACAAGTTTCCTGGAGGTCAAGGCAAAATCTGGTATTTGGCTCCGTCACGGGATCAACTTGTTTGTGCCTCTTTTTTTTGTGCTCTCTCCCTTTTGGAAACTCACTGTCCAGTCCTCATGCTGCATTCAACTCCATCTAAGCTTAGAGGGACTATGTTTCCAAACTCCAAATCAGGAAACAAAGCTTGATGGAATACTTGCAACCAGGAACCTACATTCCAGAATGATCTGTGCCCTTCTGTTTGCACTTGGATTTATACTATCCTCTTTCTGCATTTTGGCAGATTTTTCTCAGTCCAATTTGCCAGTTTACAGCTTTCCTTATAATGATTCGGTTACTCTTAAATACATCTAGGGAGATCCCTTAGACTCACCAGTAGACTTTCACATTATCTAACTGCATGGCTTGTTGATACTATTCTGAAGTCTGCTCATTTCTCCATTTCCTTCTTCCAATGTCTTTCTTGGAGTCCACTAGACCTGGGGTCCCCACGGTACTGGTCTGTGGCCTGTTAGGAACCGGGCTGCACAGCAGGAGTTGAGTGGCGGGCAAGCAAGCATTACCGCCTGAGCTCCGCCTCCTGTTAGATCAGCAGTGGCATTAGATTCTCATACAGCGCAAACCTTATTGTGAACTGCGCATGCGAGGGATCTAGGTTGCGCACTCCTCTTTTTTTTTCTTTCTTCTTCTTTTTTTCGTGTCAGATGGGTAATGTGCTAACGTCATAACAAGGTTCAAGGGTGGCAGATCTCACACATGCACGTGAATACCCAATCATCATGCTCAGGTTGCACAGTCCTTAGGAGAATCTAATGATAAATGTAGTGTGCTGAAATCATCCTGAAACCATCCCCGCCCCTCTCTGTTCTCCCTTGATCCGTGAAAAAATAGTCTTCCATGAAACTGGTCCCTGGTGCCAAAAAAGTTAGGGACCACTGCGATTCATCTATTACCCACAGCACAGGGCAGGTAAGTAGGAGGTAGGGAGGATTATGCCCATGGAGAGAGCCCTCATGTGCTGGGTGGTGCAAGAGAGGTCTCGGATTCTGATTCCAGTTCTGCCTCTACTCATTGGTGTGCGCTTTGACAAGTCAGTTCCCTTGTTCATCTTCATAGGAAACTCGGTAAAATAATTGTTTATACAGTCGGCCCTCCATCTCTGTGGGTTCCACATCCATGGCTTCCACCAGCTTAAACCAAATTTATCTTCACAAGGCTCCCCCTAGAAGAGAGGAAATTCCACAGCTTTGATGTGATGTGAAATGTGATCTCAAAATGATCATTTTCTAATATTATCATTCCTTTCACATTTATTAGTTGACATTTCTATCAGATCTCTCTTTTTCCCTCTTTCTTTTGAGTATCACCATGGACTGTGGATTTTTTTAGGCAATTCATTGTGTTATCATCCATTACTATCATTGTTCTTTTATTCTATTTGCTGCTCCAGTTCTTCCAAGTTAGGGTAGCAGGAGCTCTTTCAAGCTGGTTCCTGTAATTTTTTGACATGTCTTGGTTGGTCTTTGAGCACTTCATTGCTTTCTGGTCCAACAAAATGTCCCAGGCTCACTTTTTCTCCATTCCAGACCTGGAATGAGGATTTCATCAAAGGATTCTTAGGGGGACTGACATTTATAAACCATGGCTCAGGTGCTAGTGCATTGCTACTGGGGGACATTCACGTTAAAATAAAATCAACTTAACGATAAATTGTAGTTACATGTTTTTTCTGAGATATATAAATAATCAACTTCTCTGATCTCAGAATTAGATAAATCAGGAATGAATAACCAAGGTCAATAATAAGAATTCTCAAAGAAGCCCCAAGAATTTTTTTTTTAAAGAAGTGTCTGAGGGGCCGGGCATGGTGGCTTACACCTGTAATCCTAGCACTCTGGGGGGCTGAGGTGGGCAGATCACAAAATCAGGAGCTGGAGACCAGCCCGGCCAACATGGCGGAACCCCATTTCTACTAAAAATACAAAACCCCATTTCTACTAAAAATACAAAAATTAGCCGGGCATGGTGGCAGATGCCTGTAATCCCAGCTACTCAGGAGGCTGAGGCAGGAGAATTGCTTGAACCTGGGAGGCGGAGGTTGCAGTGAGCCGAGATTGTGCCATTGCCCTCCAGCCTGGGTGGCAAGAGCAAGACTTCATCTCAAAAAAAATAAAAAATAAAAAATAAAAGAAGTGTCTGAGGGACACTTTCTTAGGGCTGCTGTAACAAAAAGCCACAAATTGGGTGGCTTAAAATAACAGAATTTTATTATCTCACAGTTCTGGAGGCTAGAGTCCAAAATCAAGGTGTTAGCACCCTCTAAAACCTGCAGTGGAGAATCCTTCCTAGCCCCTTCTAGTTTCTGGTGTTTGCTGGCAATGCTTGGCATTCTCTGACTTGGAAATGCATCACTCTAATCTCTGCTGCCATTGTCACATGGCTGTCTTCTTCCTGTGTGTCTGTGTCCCTGTGCTTCTCCTCTCTTATGAGGATACCAGTCATATTATATTAAGGACTCAGCCTATTCCATTATGAACTCATTGTAAAGCATGATTACACCTGCACAGACCGTATTTCCAATAATGTCACTTTCACAGGTACTGGGGTCAGGATTTCAACATATTTCTTTAGGGGATAAAATCCAACCCATAATAGACACCATAATTCAGGAGTTAGACATTCGAGAAGAGTTTAACTGGAGTATGGAAACATGAATTTTGTAGAAAGTCTGTCCTTTAAATCCTGACAAATGCTCTCCTTATAATTCCAAATTGGATGAAAAAAAGTGTCATACATAAGAAATATTTACACTACTTATTGTAATCAGTTTTCTATACTGGTTAGATAAGGATAAAAGAGAAATAGAAGAGGTATGGAAGACACTGGGAGACATATTGAAAGGACAGCAGGAGATAAGAGATTTAGGGATGACTGAGAGAGGGAATAGAGGGGAATTTAGAAGAAGAAAACGGGGAGCAGGATGCCTGTCTGAAGAACAGAAAGATCATTATCTGTCACCCATTCAGCTAGATTCAAACTGTATGACCTCACGCTCCATTCTGGCTCTTTACCTAATACTACATTTTTGACTTGTACCTCTTTGATAATAAGGCTGAATATTATTTTGTTTTGCTCTGTGGCACAAATGGATGGGGACTGAGTGATGTGCATACCTTTTGGTGTGATTACTCCAGGCGAGGGGTATCTGAGGGCTGAGGGTCTGTGAGTAAGACAGGAATGGAGTAATGGGGACAGATTTGAGCTGGGTGAGGCCACTGTCTAGGTCATTAAGTCAAAGGGGTTCTCCTGAAACCGGAGGTGGGAGTGGCTTGAGGCACCAGTCCAAAGGCCAGTTGCCAAATTTGGTGATTATGGGGGAAGCAGAGCTTGTAGCCAGAGATGGATAAATAGCCCATAAATAACAGTATGGCAAGAGGATGGGCAGGTGTGTAGCTCCCTGTGGTCAGGAAAGGGGTATGCCCAGGACAGACAGACATGGGGAAGGCTCAACTGTGTGTCTTCCTTTGGGACCTCTCATCTGCCAAGCCCTGAAGCTGATGGAGTGGTGCCTCTTGGATGTGCTAGTGTGAAAGTCTTAGCTAGTGTAGGCCACTGCCTCCCCTGTCTCTTTCATCCCAGCCCATGTGCCTGAACCCAAGAGCCTCACTCTGACTGGGGTAACTGCTTGTTTCCTGGGTTACAGCATCCAGATCTCTCAGGGAAACTCAATAAACAATTATTACTGTGCACCAGGCACTGTTTGGGGGCACTGAAGATATATGGGGAACAAGACAGACAAGGGCTGTGTTCTCATGGAGCTGACATCCTAGTATACTTTGCTTTTGAAGCCTGAAGTGGAGGCCCACACTGGCACATTGAGGTCAGTTTACAAGAGTGCATTTAGTTTTGTTGTTGCTTTTGTAAAAGTTTTTTTAGGTGAAAGTTTTTGATAGATAATGCTTAAAATAATAGCTGCAGACTAGTCTCAGATACAGTTCTTAGCTTTTATGACATATTACCATAGATAAAATAATAGTTATAATAACATATATATATAATTTTATTTTGGTAAGAACTTTTAACGTGAGATCTATCCTCTTAACACATGTTTAAGAAATGTGTAACGCATTATTGTTGGTTATAGGTACAATGTAGTATAGCAGATCTCCAGAGCTTATTCATCTTACTTAACTGAACTTTTTGCCTATTGATTAATACATCCCCATTTTCCCTTCCCTACAGCCCCTGGTAACTACCATTCTAGTCTTTTATCTAACAAATTTGACTATTTTAGATTATCTCATCTAAGTGGGATCCTGCAATATTTTTCTTTCTGTGTCTGGCTTATTTCACTTAGCATAATGACAAAGTTCATCCGGTTGTCACACATTGCGGGATTCTTCTCTTTTTTGAAGCTGAATAGTATCACATTGCTCATATATACCACATTTTCTTTATCCACTCATCTGTTGATGAACATTAAGGTGGTTTGGTTGTTGGCTGTTGTGACTAGTGCTGTAATGAACATAAGAGTGCTAATATGTCTTTGAGATTCTGATCTCATTTTTTTCAGATATATACCCAGAAATGGATTGCTGGATCATCTGGTAATTCTATTTCTAGATTTTTGAGAAACCTCCATACTGTTTTCCATAGTGGCTGCACCATTTTATTTATTTATTTAGAGATGAGTTCTTGCTATATTGCCCAGGCTAGCCTCGAACTCCTGGGCTCAAGGGATCCTACCACCTCAGCAGTGGCTACATCATTTTTCATTTTCATGAACAGTGTTCAAGGATTCCAATTTCTCCACACCCTTGCCAACAGTTGTCTTTTTTTTTTTTTTAATAATGGCCATTCTGATAGGTGTGATGTGATACCTCATTGTGGTTTTGATTGGCATTTCCTTGATTATTTTGTGACCTAGACACTGGCCTCACCCCAGCTCAAATCTGGCCCCCATTACTCTACTCATGGTCTTACTCATGCACCCCAGCCCTCAGTGACAATGAGCATTTTTTCATATGCCTGTTGGTCATTTGTATATCTTCTTTGGAGAACTGTCTATTCAAGTTCTTAGCCTATTTTTAAATTGCATAATTACTTTTTGTGTTATTGAGTTGTAGGGGTTCCTTATATATTTTGAAGATTAACCCCTTATCAGTAATATTGCTTGCAAATGTTATTTACCATTGCATAGGTTGTCTTTTCATTCCAATGATTTTTTTTCTTTGCAGTGCAGAAGCTTTTTAGGCAGTGTAATCCCACTTGTTTATTTTTGGTTTTGTTACCTGTGCTTTTGGGGTATATTCATAAAATATTTTATATTCCTAATATAAATATGAATATAAATATTTTATGATTTTATGAATATATTATATGAATATATATAAATAAAATCTTTGCTAACACCAATGTCATGAAGTTTTTCCCCATGTTTTCTTCTGGGAGTTTTATAGTTTCAGGTCTTAAATTTAAGTCTTTAAGTCATTTTGAGTTGATTTTTGTGTATGATATAAGGATCCAATTTCATTTTTTTGTCTGTGGATATCCAATTTTCCCCACACCATTTATTGAAGAGATTATCCTTTCCCCATTGTGTATTCTTGGCACCCTTATTGAAGATCAACTGACTGATATATGTGGATTTATTTCTGGGCTCTCTTTTTTGTGCCATTGAGTATATGTCTGTCTTCATGCCAGTACCATACTGTTTTGATTACTGTAGCTTCATAACGTATTTTGAAATCAGGAAGCATGATGCCTTCAGCTTTGTTCTTCTTTCTCAGGATTGATATGGCTATACAATGAGTGATATATTTTTAAAATTATTCTGTAACAAGTTTTCTGGATATCACTTATACTTTAATACCAGGTTTCCTCATATTGCTGTACTGTTTTTTAAAGACTGAAGTGAACTTCACACAACAAAATTAACAACTTTAAATTGAACAATTCAGTGACATTTAGCAAAATGTGCAACCACCAACTCTATCTAATTCCAAAATATTTTCATCACTCCAAAAGGAAACCTCATACTCATTAAGCAGTTGCTTCCCATGTCCCCCTCCTCCCAGTGTTGTGGGATCCTTGGTGTGTGTGGCGTGGGGGGGTGTTGCTTTTCTGGCTGGAAACCTCTGTGGCCAGTGGCACCTTTGCCTGAGTTTTGCTTGGGCCTAATAAGCTCACTTGTCCTGGAAGGCTGCGTTCAGCAGGCTGTGCTCAGCTTGCATTACTGGCCTGGATCCCATGCCTCCAAAGAGACTGGAGTGGAGCAGCGAAAGGTGTGAGTGAGCAAGCATGGGGTTTGGCCACTATGCACAGTCAGGCAGGCTGGCTGCTGCAGTGGGACAGGCAGCTCCAGGTGCCGGCACAGGTGCCAGCTCACTGTGAGGCTGCAGCTGGACTAAGGGCACCACAAGCAGCTTTCATAGCTGGCACTGAGGAACACAGTGGTGCCTTGAAGCTTGGAGACTCCAGGAACTGCAGGGCCCCAAAAGGGGAGTCACAGCCCTGGCTTGGGGAGCTCCCAGGTCTGTCCCACCCCACTGAGGGCTGCAGTGCTTCTCTCCTTCTCTCTTCTTTCCTCCTTGCTCCCCACAACGTGGTGAGCAATGGGTGTGTTTTAGCCCTGTTTGTATTACAGCTCTTTTAGCCTCGCCATTCAGCGGATCCTGGGTTTTTGTCCTGTGTCCAGTAAGAATGAGGTATGCAGACAAGTGGAGGGTGAGCAAGGCAAAGAGGAGCTTTATTGAGAATAGAACAGCTCAGAGGAGACTCGCAGTGGGCAGCTCCTCTCCTGGGCAGCTCCTCTCCGTAGCCAGGGTGTCCTGTCCTCTCTTCAGTCTCAGCAGAAAGGATAGTTTCTCTCCGCAGCTGGTTGTTCCATTGCTTTCTGTTGTCTCCCTGTCATCTCTCCATCCTCTCTCCCTCCTGTCTCCATCTTCTGCTTGAGTCGCTCTGAGTCTGGGGGTTTTTATGGGCCTCAGAGGGGAGGAAATGCATGCTGATTGGTCCATGAGCAGCCATGGGCAGGCCCAGGGAAAAACACCACGAGATCCCCCTCTGGTCCATGGGGCTGGCTGACAGCCCCCAGGCTTCAGGTCCTCCCTGATCTGAAGGTGGGGCTTTACTGGGGACCAGCCCCTTTCCTCCCAGGAGCCTGCCTGCCTCCTGCCGCTATTCATGGAGCACAGGCTGTTCATGTCAAGGAGCACCTGCAGTCCGGTGCTGGGCTGTCCTCAGCTCCCCTTTGGCCTCCCTCCTGTGCTTGTCAGTGCCCAAAGTCCGGAGGGGGCTGAGGTGGCAGGGGGCTGGCGTGTCAGCACTGCCCTGAGCGTATGCACACCTGGCCAGGCTGTAATAGTGCCTAGCTTGGCCTGTACTCCACTCTGTGATCAGGGTCAGTGCCCACAGTGGAGAGAGGCCAGGCAGTGGGAGTAGACACCTCTGAGCCTGTGGGGGAAAGGGAGGCCTTCCTGGGCCCCCCTGAGAGTGCACAGATGCCTGGGTCCACAGTCACAACCTGGGTGGCCACAGCCATGCCTAGGAGTGTGAGACTCCTGCCTGCTCCTGCCTGCTCCATGGGGTGCAGCACCGCCCTGGGTCCAGGTCTGCCTTGGGGCCCCTCTCTGCCCGCCTCTCTGTGCCAGACTGTGCTGCTCCCCTGCTGGTAGGCAACTCAGCCTGGCCCCATCGCAGTGGCTCCCAGGGTGGCGGTCTCCTGGGGGGCCCCAGGGGCAGGCTCTGGGTACTGTCTGCCTCCTCCCCACACCCTCCCTGCAGCAGTGATGCAGGGCCAGGTTCTGGAGCAGTGGAGGGTCTGGGCCTGGGAACACGTCTGGCCTGGCCATGTGAGAGTGGAGGTGGTGTAGTTGGCTGCTTTGGGGATGTGGGACACAGGGGATGCGGGGCACAGGGGGTCCCACCACTGCCACTGCTGCTCCCGCTGCTACCACCTAAGCCCGACCCCTCTGCCACAGCCAGCGTGATGGCAGGGGCCACTCCAGATGGCCCGCCACTGCCATCAGCAGCAACCATCAATCTGTGTTCTAGATTTACTTATTCTAGATATTTCATATAAATGAAATCATAAAATATGTGACTTTTTGTGTCTGGCTTCTTTCATTTAGTGTAGTATTTTTGAAGTTCATCCACTTTGTAGCATGATTGGTACTTCACTCCTTTTTATGGCTACGTAATACTCTATTTTATGTATATGTCACAATTTGTTTATCCATTCATCTGTTGATGGACATTTGGGTTGTTTTCATTTTTTGGCTATGGGTGAATAGTGCTGCTATTAACATGCATGTACATGTATATGTGTATTTGAGCACTTAGTATCTGTGGGAGATTGGTTCTAGAACCCCCACAGATACCAGATTCCATACTCCCTGCAGATACCAAATCTACATATGTTCAAGTCTTTTAAATAAAATGGCATAGTGTGGTTGGCCCTCTGTATCCAAGGGTTCTGTATATATGCATATAGAAGGCTGATTCAACCTGTTTTCAATTCTTTTGGGGATGTTGTTTTAAATCATTAAGATAGAGAACACATGACTCTGACTCTGGCTACCCAAGGTCCTCAATGCTGTCACCGTTCTGAGTTTGCCATTCGTCACTGCTAATTGGATACATCTCCAACCTTGAATAGCCCAGTCTACTCTCATTTGGGAAATGGGAAGGGGAGGAGCCTTAGATGGCACTTTTACATCTGCATACATAGTTCCCAAGATTTTCTTTTCTTTTTTGAGACGGAGTTTTGCTCTTGTTGCCCAGGCTGGAGTGCAATGGTGTGATCTTGGCTCACTGCAGCCTCCGCCCCCTGGGTTCAAGTGATTCTCCTGCCTCAACCTCCCGGGTAGCTGGGATTACAGGTGCGTATCACTATGCCAGGCTAATTTTTGTATTAATTTTTTAGTAGAGACAGGGTTTTGCCACGTTGGCCAGGCTGGTCTGGAACTCCTGGCCTCAGGTGATCTGCCCGCCTCAGCCTCCCAAAGTGCTGGGATTATAGCCGTAAGCCACTGCGCTTGGTGTCCAAGATTAATTTTCTTGTTTAGTCAATTAACACATTTCTTTTGAGCATTTATTCTATGAAAATCAGTGTCCTAGATCACTTGGAGGATATAAAGAGATCTAAGTCATGATCCTTATTTGCTGGTGCTTGCTGGCCAGTAATAAAAATAGTATCTATATGCAAAGAACTCTAAAATAAGATACTTCACAAGCGTCCTCTGCCGAATGCAAAGGGAAAGGGCCTTTCTGGCTGGGGTGACAAAGCAGGTTTTATTTAGGAGGTATCCACTGAAATGAACCTCAGCTATTAATAGGGGAGCTGTAGGGAGAAGGCATTTTTCATGGAATGGCAGTAGGAAATTCAATGTGTATGTGAGTTTGGCTGGAGCAAGGATAAACGTAGGATAGGAATGGGTGAGAAGATTGAGGTAAAAGATTGTAAAGGATTGGGAGTTTGTACATTATCCTGAACCAGAATAGAACCTGATGGGAGGTAATATGGTTTGGTTGTGTCCCCACCCCAATCTCAACTTGAATTGTATCTCCCAGAATTCCCATGTGTTGTGGGAGGGACCCAAGGGAAGGTAATTTAATCATGAAGCCCGATCTTTCCCATGCTATTCTCATGACAGTGAATAAGTCTTATGAGATCTGATGGGCATATCAGGGGTTTCTGCTTTTGCTTCTCTTGCCACCACCATGTAAGAAGTGCCTTTCTTGAGAAGCTGCGAAGATGGCGGAGTAAGGTGTGCTGCTGTAAACTGGCCTCTGGGCTGGGGGTGGGCAGCCCCCGGGAGGCCGAGTGCATCTGTTGGACTGTGCGAGGAGAAGAAAAAACAGGGATCGGCCAGAGGAAAGGAACTAACCGAACAGTCTTCGTCCCTACCTTACAGTGGGCAGTACTCATCTACGCTAAAGCAAAGTGTCATGTGTGTCCGTATGAAGAGACCACCAAACAGGCTTTGTGTTCCTTATCACAGGAAGAAAATTTTCCTTGACCTTTAGGTGCTTTTATATTCATCTCAAAAGCAAAATTCTGAACTCAGGACTTGGCAAGTGTCTCTATGCTGTCTCCTAGAGTGGGTAGTCCTGCTTCTTTTACCCAGTTACCTTCCCTATTCTTGAAATGTGGCTATCACTTCTCTACACGTTACCTCCATGATTTGGAATGGAAAGGCCACTTTCCTTTTTGTTCTGCCTCTCAAATTCAACACAGAGGAGCTCCTAGGATTCCAGTTATCCTCCTAACATCTCCAGGAAGAAAGAAGCAACTTGCATGGGTCTTCTGTTGTTTACTTAATTATAAAGACATCATTTTGCAAGCTGAAGGCTGAGTTTCATTTGAAACAGGTGCTTAGGTGGTGGTATTTGTGAATACTTTTCATTCCAAGCAAGAAGACTAAAGAAGTAGCAAGTATGGATGACTTCAGGGTTTAAAAAAAATGTCTTCCAGTTTCAGCCACTACCACGATAAGCACAGTTGAGACTGCAGCAGTAAATTCCAAATATATGTTTCTAATTTGACGTGAAAGATACTAAACATTTATATTTGTATATTTAAATCCTGGCTCATCCTGTGACACAGATTTACTGAATAGGAACAAAGGCCCAATTTTAAACAAAAACCTAGGCCGGGTGCGGTGGCTCACGCCTGTAGTCCCAACACTTTGGGAGGCTGAGGGAGGTGAGTCACCTGAGGTTGGGAGTTTGAGACCAGCCTGACCGACATGGAGAAACCCCATCTCTACTAAAAATAGAAAATTAGCCGGGCGTGGTGGTGCATGCCTGTGGCCCCGGCTGCTCGGGAGGCTGAGGCAGGAGAGTTTCTTGAACCCGGGGGGCGGAGGTTGCAGTGAACTGAGATTGCACCACTGCACTCCAGGCTGGGTGACAGAGTGAGACTCCGTCTCAGAAAAAAAAAAAAAAAAAAAAAAAAACTTTGGACATAGAGGAGTCAGGGGCAGAGAGGGGAGGATGAGAGAATTTTCCATATAACTCCTTTTCCTTAAGAAAAAGAAGCAAAAATGCCTCAAGCAGTGCCATCTGACTTTATGGTTTTTAACATTATATAGTTACATTTTTGTAAACGCATTAAGATTAACTCTTCCTGCAACCCAAGGTGGATACTTGGATGTTTGATTTTTATTTTTTTATTTTATTTATTTATTTTTTGGGGCAGAGTCTCGCTCTGTTGCCCAGGCTAGAGTGACTGGCATGATCTCTGCTCACTGCAGTCTCTCCCACCCGGGTTCAAGTGATTCTCCTGCCTCAGCCTCCCGAGTAGCTGGGATTGCAGGCGTGTACCACCATGCTCAGCCTGATTTCTTACTCTAGATATTAGGTATAATGTTAGGCTGAAAAGGCTGGGACTCAGTTACTTTCCCCAGTTGGGACTGAACTTTCTCATCAGAGAATGGGCCTCAGAAGCAATGTTCCCAAACTTGTGGTTGGGTCATCGTGGAAAAGAAACCTCAAACAAGAAAAATAATTACAATAAGAAGTGGATTTTCTTTTTTCCCACAACAGTTATACGTTATAAAGAACAGACTCATAGAAAACTGTCCTTGCTTCCAAATCAGCAGAGGACCATTGTATGTATTGTCAGGTCTTTATATAAGAGTGAAATCTTTATTTATGCTTCTTTGTGAGTAGAGAATAAATTTTAAAACTAATTAAATGAAAAAAAAAAAAAAAAAAAAAAAAAGAAGTGCCTTTCGCCTCCCGCCATGATTCTGAGGCTTCCCCAGTCATGTGGAACTGTAAGTCCAATTCAACCTCTTTTTCTTCCCAGTCCCAGATATGTCTTTATCAGTAATGTGAAAGTGGAATAATACAGTAAATTAGTACCGGTAGAGTGGGGTGTTGCTGAAAAGATACCTGAAAATGTGGAAGTGACTTTGGAACTGGGTAACAGGCAAAGGTTGGAACAGTTTTGAGGACTCAGAAAAAGACAGGAAAATGTTGGAAAGTTTGGAACTTCCTAGAGACTTGCTGAATGAATGTCTTTGCCCAAAATGCTGATAGCGATATGGACAATAAGGTCCAGGATGAGGTGTTCTCAGATGGAGATGAGGAACTTGTTGGGAGCTGGAGTAAAGGTGACTCTTGTTATGTTTTAGCAAAGAGACTGGCAGCATTTGCCCCGCCCTAGAGATTTGTGGAACTTTGAACTTGAGAAAGATGATTTAGGGTATCTGGCAGAAGCCATTTCTAAGCAGCAAAGCATTCAAGAGGTGAGTTGGGTACTGTTAAAGACATTCAGTTTTATAAGGGAAGCAGAGCATAAAAGTTTGGAAAATTTGCAGCCTGACTATGTGATAGAAAAGAAAAACCCATTTTCTGGGGAGAAATTCAAGCCTGTGGCAGAAATTTGCACAAGTAGCAGGGAGCCTGATGTTAATCCCCAAGACCACGGGGAAAATGTCTCCAGGCTGAGACCTTCACGGCAGTCCCTCCCATCACAGGTCTGGAGGCCCAGGAGGTAAAAAAAAAATGGTTTCATAGGCCGGGCCCAGGGTCCCTGTGCTGTGTGCAGCCTATAGACTTGGTGCCCTGTGTCCCAGCTGCTCCAGCCATGGCTGAAAGGGGCCAATGTAGAGCTCATGCTGTGGCTTCAGAGGGTGGAAGCCCCAAGCCTTGGCAGCTTCCATGTGGTGTTGAGTCTGTGGGTACACAGAAGTCAAGAATTGAGGTTTGGGAACCTCCACCTAGATTTCAGAAGATGTATGGAAATGCCTGGCTGTCCAGGCAAAAGTTTGCTGCAGGGGTGAGGCCCTCATGGAGAACCTCTGCTAGGGCAGTGTGGAAGGGAAATGTGGGGTTGGAACCTCCACACAGAGTCCCTACTGGGGCACTGCCTATTGGAGCTGAAGAGGTCCACCATCCTCCAGAACCCAGAATGGTAGATCCACAGACAGCTTGCACCGTGCACCTGAAAAAGCTGCAGACACTCAATGCTAGCCCGTGAAAGCAGTTGGGAGAGAGGCTGTATCCTGCAATGCCACAGGGACAGAGGTGCCCAAGACCATGGGAACCCACCTCTTGCATCAGCGTGACCTGGATGTGAGACCTGGAGTCAAAGGAGATCATTTTGGAGCTTTAAAATTTGACTACCCCACTGGATTTCAGACTTGCATAGGCCCTGTAACACCTTTGTTTTGGCCAATTTCTATTTTGGAATGGCTGTATTTACCCAATACCTGTACCCCCATTGTATCTAGGAAGTAACTAGCTTGCTTTTGATTTTACAGGCTCATAGGCGCAAGGGACTTGCCTTGTCTCAGATGAGACTTTGGACTGTGGACTTTTGGGTTAATGCTGAAATGAATTAAGACTTTGGGAGACTGTTGGGAAGACATGATTGGTTTTAAAATGTGAGGATATGAGATTTAGAGGGGCCAGGGGTGGAATGATATGGTTTGGCTGTGTCCCCACCCAAATCTCAACTTGAATTGTATCTCCCAGAATTCCCATATGTTGTGGGAGGGACCCAGGGGGAGGTAATTGAATCATGGGGGCCAGTCTTCCCCATGCTATTCTCATGATAGTGAATAAGTCTCATGAAATCTGCTGGGTATATCAGGGATTTCTGCTTTTGCTTCTTCCTCATTTTTGTCTTGCCGCTGCCATGCAAGAAGTGCGTTTCACCTCCCACCATGATTCTGAGGCCTCCTCAGTCATGTGGAACTGTAAGTCCTATTAAACCTCCTTTTCTTCCCAGTCTCGGGTATGTCTTTATCAGCAGCTTGAAAATGGACAAATACAGGAAGCAGTGTAGTAACTGGACATAAATATTTTACTTCATGTTATGACTTTATGGCTGTGATTATCTTTAGCAGTGTTGCATGGTTGTGGCTTAGAATAGTTACTCTTGCCAAATCCTTGAGAACCTTCAACTGTTTAGTCACTTATTTTTGGCTTCTCTGATACTTATTGACATTCTTTCTGAGGACTTGCCCAGCAGGTAAATTATAAGTTTGTGCCAGAGTGTGTTCTGTGGAATATTGCTTCTGCAAATAGGATTTCATGGTTGAATAATTTTGAAAATCACTGTATAGTGTATCTCACTCTTGGAGATTCACAATGCACATTTAGGACGTTACAGGCTTTGCAAAATCCTGTAGAAAAGAAACCAATTTAATTTGTTTAGTCCAGCATTTCCTAAACTTCCTTGCTGTAGTGGGTTGAATGGTGGTCCCCTCAGAACACCCATGTCAAATCCCTGGAACCTGTGGCTGTTACCTTATTTGGTAAAAGATTCTTTGCATATGTAATTAAGTTAAGGATCTTGAGATCATCCTGTATTATTCAAGTGGGCTTTAAGTCCAGTGATAAGTGTTCATATAAGAGAAAGGCAGGGGTAGATTTGAGACAGAAGAGGAGAAGACAGACACAGAAGAGAGAGACAGTAAGGCAGAGGCTGAGGTTGGAATGGTGTGGCCACAAGCCAAGGAAGCCATAAAATATTAGCCACCAGAAGCTGGAAGGCCAGGCCCCTAGAAGGAAATGAGCCCTACTGATACCTTGATTTCAGACTTCTGGCCTCCAGAACTTTGAGGGAATACATTTCTGTTGTTTTAAACCATCCATTTTAAGGCAATTTGTTAGGCAGCCCTATACAATGGATACCCTTGCCCATAAAGATATTAAAAAAAAACAACAACAACTTTTCAAGGAAAAACTACTGTGTATGCTCAAATATGAGGCAAGGGTTTTTTTCTTCCAAATTATCTCTCAGAAAAGATGGAGTATCCTAATATTCAAGGGCTTCCGAGGTCTCATATTTCAGAGCATTTTCTGGATTACTTACTTTTAAATGACTAAGGTATTGTATGGAAAAAGCACAATACTGAAACCAATCAATACTAGTTTTAGTTGATGATAAAGGTTATCTGATGGAATTGGTTAAAAAAAAAGAGGGGGAAAAATACATTTAGCACAAAATTAGTAACTATTATTGGGAGTATGAGGCAGTTGCTGTGGACTACCTTACTCACCATGTATTCTAACTTTCTTCTATTGTCTTAGGCCAGGTGCTGTGGCTCATGCCTGTTATCCCAGCACTTTGTGAGGCCAAGGTGGGAGGATTGCTTGAGGCCAGGAGTTTGAGACCATCCTGGACAACATAGTGAGATCCAGTGTCTACTTTTTTATATACATAAAAAAGAATCTGTCTTCTTATACTGAAGAATCCGGAAAGCTAAAAACAATCTTTTCTAGACCTTCTTGCAGTAAGAATTTTGGATGTACTTTAGGTTCTGACATTCAGATGCACTTGCTTATATAAATCTTGGCTTTGGAAGGTGGCATTCATTTTTGTTTGTGATTGGTAGCAGATATGATATGCAGCAGCAGCAAGCTTGGCCGGCAGCTTCTTGATTGTAGCAGAGGTGGCATCATTTCACACGGGGCCGCCATAGCAGCAGAGCCAGATTTGGCTTGGGGCTTTTTGTTCTCTGGCCAATTATCTGATGTGACTTTGGAATTATTACTAGAAGCTCAGTCTAGAGTCTGTTTCTTGCCAAACTCTCCCCTACTACCTCCAGTTCGGTGATTCTGGAAGTTATATGACACCCTGTTACAAATCTCTTGCTCAAACTAGCCAGGAGCTAGACCCTTATTCTCTGTAGCTAGACCCTTACTGATTGATGCAGGGCCTGACCTCCCCATGTGACTATTGACTGGGTGCTGGTGTAAATCAGCAATGACAAAAAAGCAATACAGTTAGTGAATATGTTGAAGAGATCACAAATCTATACCTATAGGATACATTTTTTAAAACTCTGAATTTATCAAATTATGGCTTAGTATTAAATGTCCGGTGGTAGCTCACACATGGGTTCAAAAAATATTGTTTGTAAATAAAAATGACTGTGTTAGATGCCCTAAGATACGTCTCTTCTTCTGACTAAGATATTGAAAAACTCAGGTAAGAGTTTAAATAAAATTGCTTCATAACATGTCAGAGTAGAAAAAAAGCATTATTTCAAAATCAATGTGTTATTTCACATGTGTGATTTAAGCTTTTATGTGTAACCAAATGAATAAATCCAATCCTATACACTGACATTTAACTCATATATATCCTAAACATTTATGTTTTCAAGTTGGCTAAAAGAATTCCTAAAACCGCAACTTTTTTTTTTGAGGAACTTTTCTCTTGCAACACGTGGGCTCACCATATGTTCAGGGTGCCCTGATGTTCAAGTTATATGGTATTAATATGGCCTGAAACTGAAGTGCAGAGGGCATCCATTGAAAAATGCTGGTCTACTGGATCAAGGTTCACCATAATATATGGTTATTTGGTGTTCAATAAACTTTTTTTTTTTTTTAAGACAGATTCTTACTTTGTCACCCAGGCTGGAGTGCAGTGGTGCCATCTTGACTCACTGCAACCTCCGCCTCCCGGGTTCAAATGATTCCTGTGCCTCAGCCTCGCGAGTAGCTGGAATTACAGGCGCGCACCACCACACCCGGCTAATTTTTGTATTTTTAGTAGAGACAGGGTTTCACTATGTTGGCCAGGCTGCTCTCGAACGCCTGATTTCAGGTGATCCACCGGCCTCAGCCTCCCAAAGTGCTGGGATTTTAGATGTGAGTCACCGCGCCCAGCCCAATAAACTTGTTAAGTGACAAATAAAATTGGCGAGTGAGTGTTGCTGTTGTGACTTTGCTGCTTTTTTCTTTCCTGTTCTTAACTGCTGCAGGGTTTCTTTCTGTCTTGGTGCCTATTCCTAAGACAGATGAGGAAGATAGGATCTCTGCTTCATGGAGCTTGTAGGTTCTGCTAAAGGGAATGACATGCAGATTCAATTCACAGGGAACGTGGTAAGAGCTGAGAGACTGTTACAATGGCCGCGAAAGCCAGCGAGCCAGGGGACATTTCCACTTAGCCAGAGGCCAACGTCACAAAGCAGGTGGCATTTTGGTCGAGCCTGCTTATAAGCCTAGTGTCTATAGATTTTATTAAATCATTAGAGTCATTCTTCAGGTAGAAACGGACCTTCCTTGACTTCATAAATTACAAGATGTCTGGAATTCTGAATTTTATCCCTCCAAGTCCCTCCACCGGAACTTTCCAGCACTTCGATTTTCTTCTACAGCGTGAGGGAAGGGTCAGGTTTAGACATTGTCTTGGCAAACAGATCAGCCCTCTCCATTTAGGAAGGAGGAGGGAAGCTGCTCCCGCGGCCACATTTCCTGGAAGGCTGCAGGTGAGGGCTCGGGCGGTGGCGGGCCGTGGTCCGGCGCAGTTTCCCCGCGGCCCGCTGGGTCGCACTGTGGCCTTAGGAATGTGGGCCGGGGCGGGGCGGCTTGGGAGCGCGCTGCAGCCAACGCCGCGTTCAGCCCCGGGCGCAACTGCAGCCGTGCCGGGGGCCTCCGGGGCCCCGACCGACCGACAGCTCTTTCAGACCGCAGCGAAGTTTGCACACACGACAGCACGTCCCGGGGCTAGGATCTTGCCCGCCTGCGGGGCTGACCTGCACCACCCTTGGGGAAGCGCGAACTGCCGCCCCGCTGCCGGGAGTTAGGCGCCCGGGCCTGGGTCGCCCCCACAGACGGCTCGGACGGCACGAACGAGCGGACCCCAAGGATAGTGGGCTGGGGAGGGGTCCAGTCGTGGTCACGGAAACGGGTGGTCCTCGCGCCGGGCTGCACTCATTCTGACTAGCAATATGCTGGTGGAAAGTGCTACTCCAATGCCTTTATCGTTGCGTTGCTATCATTTTCTTTATATCTACATAAATTTTTTTATTTTATTAAAAAAATATTTTTTTGGCCTTGCTTCCTCCTCCAGCGTTTGACTTTCCATTGTTGCTCAGTGCTTGGGTGGGATGTGGACTCTCTTTCCTTGTGACAGCAGAGCTCAGAGTACCATGAATCTCCCTCCCCTCTACCTTGCTTTAAATGGCTATTTCTTTCTTTTTTTTTTTTAGTTAACTAAAAATGGAAAAAATAGTAAGTGCACATGGTAGAAAATTCAAACAGTACAGAAGCCTCTTCCCCTTTCAGAGCAGGCAGCCACTGCTAATATTTTCTTTTGATTCCTTCCAGAACACAAGTATATGGCTATCTCCTTTCAAATGCGTCCCCATCCCCAAACTGGGTCATCTGCCCTGCCGCCTCAGCTCCCCCTTTATCATGTATCTTGGAGATGACCTCACATCAGCATGTGTGGGTGTACGGCATTCTTTTAGATGGCTGCCTGGTGTTCTGTATGTTATACCAGCACCCCGTAATTATTCTATCGGCCACGATGGAAGGATATGGCGGTTGTTTCCAGTCTTTTGCTATGACAAACAATTCTGCAGTGAACATCTGTGTGTATATCTTTGAGTACGTGTGCAACCATGTCTATAGAATACATTCCTAGAAGTGGAATTGTCTCCTTGAAAAATATTTGCATTTAAAATTTTATAGATTTTGCCAATTGACCACCAAAGGTGGTACCTATTGATACGCTCATCAGTGACTGCTCCCCATTTCCCTCGTTGTTCACACTAGGTTTATCGCACTTTTAAAATATTTGCCAAGGTGAGCAAATAGGCTTTAAAAGTAGAATTTCATTCTAGTTTTCATCTTTTAAATTGTGAGTACAATTTATTCTTTTCCACATGAAAAAAGAGCTACTTGAATTCTATGAGCAGATGGTTCACATCGTTTTCCTATTTCTATTGGATTATTGGATTGCAAATGATTTTTATCCTTCTTGCACATGACCAGTTAATCTCTGGTTATAATATGCCAGGACCCCATTTCTGAAAGAATTCATACTTTTTGCACGTAAAAGAAGCAAGTCAAAATTCTAGTTCCTTAGTTCCTTACAGTTTTCATCTTCTAATGCTGGCCTCTACCCTACCTGATTTTTTTTTTTCTTTTTTTTTTTTTTTGAGACGGAGTCTCGCTCTGTCGCCTGGGCTGGAGTGCAGTGACGTGATCTCGGCTCACTGCAACCTCTGCCTCCCAGGTTCAAGCGATTCTCCTGCCTCAGCCTCCTGAGTTGCTGGGGCTACAGGTGTGTGCCACTGCGACTAGCTAATTTTTGTATTTTTATTAGAGACGGGGTTTTGCCATGGTCGCCAGGCTGGTCTTGAATTCCTGACCTCAAGTGATCTACCCGTCTCAGCTTCCCAAAGTGTTGGGATTACAGGCATGAGCCATTATGCCCGGCTTCTTTGCCCTACCTTTTAAAATGTGTAAATCTCGGCCGGGCATGATGGCTGACGCCTGTAATCCCCACACTTTGGGAGGCCGAGGCAGGTGGATCACCTGAGGTCAGGAGTTTGAGACCAGCTTGGCCAACATGGTGAAACCCTGTCTGTACTAAAAATACAAAAATTAGCCGGGCGTGGTGACAGGTGCCTGTAATCCCAGCTACTCAGGAGGCTGAGGCAGGAGAATCACTTGAACCTGGTGGTGGAGGTTGCAGTGAGCCGAGATCGCACCACTGCACTCCCGCCTGGGTGACAGAGCGAGACTCTGTCTCAAAAAAAAAAAAAAAAAAAGTGTAAATCTCTTAGGCTCAGGGTGAGAAACTACAAGCTGTATTGCTTGTGCATTTATAAAGGACCTCAGAGACCATCTACCAATCCCTTCATTTACAAGTGAGGAAGCTGAGGCTCAGAGATGTTAGGAGCCCCACCCAGGATCATGGCTCAGCTACATGAGGTGGCACAAGATTTACATTTTATTTTTTTGTTTGTTTGAGACAGTCTTGCTCTGATGCCCAGACTCGAGTGCAGTGGCCTGAACACAACTCACTGTAGCCTCGAACTTCTGGGCTCAAACAATCCTCCTGCTTCAGCCTCTTGAGTAGCTGGGACCACAGGCGTGTGCCACCATGCCTGGCTAATTTTTAAAATTTTTTGTAGAGACGGGGTCTCACCATGTTGCCCAAGCTGGTCTCAAACTCCTGGGCTCCAGCAATCCTCCTGCCTCTGCCTCCCAAAGTGCTGGGATTACAGGTGTGAGCCGCCACACTTGGCCCATATTGGATTTTTTTTTGTTACCCATTATCTAATTGCACATTTTTTCTTTACTGCCAACTTTTAAGGTGAATTGGCCATTACTAGCTGTGATTGTAGAATTTCTGAATAGGGACACACTTCTTAGAAAGCTGGCTGTGCCACATACCCAGCTGCAGAGGAAATCTCAACTCCACATACAGAGTTCTTCCCTTTCTAGTTCTACCATTTGCACTGAAAAAATTCCTTTAAGAATTTCGTTTCTTGTCTACCATTCTGCTACAAGGAGTTTAATTTTACACTGAGTTTTTGCCTTAGATACTCATCAGACTTTTATTCTATTTGTCATTGAGAAAACAGAACTTTTTGTTAACTCGATGTTTTTCTTTTTAACTCTTTAAAATTTTATTTTTATTTTTTCAATAAACAGTATTGTGTGTATTTGAGGTTTACCACATGATGTTATGGGATACCTGTAGATAGTAAAACAGTTACTATAGTGAAGCAGATTAATGTATCTATTACTTCACATAGTTACTTTTTTGGTGACAATAGCTAAAATTTACTTATTTGACAAAAATTTCTAATACAATACAATTTTAATACCTATAATCCTCATGTTGTATTTTAGATTTCTAGACTTGTTCATTCACTAAATCTGCTACTTTTTTTTTTTTTTGAGAGAGGGCCTTGCTCTGTAGCTCAGGGTGCAGTGCAGTAGTGTTAATATGGCTCACTGTAGCCTTGACTTCTGTGCTCAAGCAATCCTCCCACCTTAGCCTCCTGAGTAGCTGAGACTACAGGTGTGTGCTGCCACACATGGCTAATTTTTATATTTTTTGTAGAGATTGGGTCTCGCTATGTCTTGAACTACTGGGCTTAAGTGGTCCTCCCACCTTGGCCTCCCAAAATGCTGAGATTACAGGCTGTGAGCATATCTGCTACTTTTTATCCTTTGACCTACCCCATTTCACCCCATCCCACCCAACATGCATGGTAGCCACTGTTTTATTCTCTATCTCTGTATAGTTGACCTTTTTTTTTTTTTCCTAGATTCTACATATAAGTGAGAGCATGCAATATTTTTCTTTCTGTGTCTGGCTTATTTTACTTAGCATAAGGTCCTCCAGGTCCATCCATATTGTGACAAATGGCAGGATCTCCTTTTTTAAGGCTGAATAATATTCCATTATGTATACATACCACATTTTCTTTATCCATTCATCAGTCAGTGGATGCTAAGGTTGTTTCCATATTTTGGCTATTGTGAATGATGCTGCAATGAATGTAGGAGTGCAAATATATTTATGTGGTGGTGATTTCATCTCCTTTGGGTATATATCCAAAAGAGGGATTACAGGGTCATATGATAGTTCTATTTCTAATTTTTTTTAGGAATCTCCATACTGTTTTCCATAATGACTGTACCAATCTATATCTCCACCATCAGTGTACTAAGGTTCCCTTTTCTCCACACCCTTGCCAGAATTTTTTATCTCTTGCCCTTTTTTTTTTTTTGAGACAGGGCCTTACTCTGTCACCCAGGCTGGAGTGCAGTGGCACAATCTCGGCTCACTCCAACCTCCGCCTCACAGGTTCAAGCAATTCTCCTGCTTCAGCCTCCTGAGTAGCTGGGATTACAGGCATGGGCTACCACAGCTGGCTAATTTTTATATTTTTGGTAGAGACGAGATTTTGCCATATAGGACAGGCTGGCCTTGAACTCCTGGCCTCAAGTGATCCACCGTGTCTCAGCCTCCCAAAGTGCTGGGATTATAGGCATTAGCCACCTCACTTGGCCTTGACTTTTTGATAATAGCCATTCTAACAGAAGTGAGACAATATCTCATAGTGGTTTTAACTTGCATTTCCCTGATGACTGGTGATGTTGATCACCTTCCCATATATCTGTTGGCCATTTTTATGTCTTCTTTGGAGAAATGTCTGTTCAGGTCCTTTGCCCATTTTTAAATTAGGTTATTTGTTTTTCTGCTATTGAGTTGTAAGACTGTGAATTCCCTTTATGAGGCCTTTCACTTACAGTATAAAATAATGCTTCAGACAAACATTATGAGAGCTTTAGAGTCATTTATCTAATTGTCTAGAAGATAAGTATAGTTAAAAACACTTGGATTCTAGACGTTATATAGAATAGACACACAGTTGCAAGAATCTTTTTTTTTCTATAGGGTCTCATTCTGTCACCCAGGTTGGAGTGTAGTGGCATAGTCATGGCTCACTGCAGCCTCGACCTCCTGGGCTCTAATGATCCTCTCCCCTCAGCCTCCCAAGTAGCTGGGGCTACAGGCGCAAGCCACCATGGTGGCTAATTTTCGTGTTTTTTTTGGACAAGAACTCAGCAAGGTTAGTTTGATAAAGCTCAGCTGGTTGGAAATTTGAGGAATTTGAAGTTGATTTGTTTTGATTGTTGTTCTCTCTTGGACTGACATCATCAGCACAAGTTCATCTCCCTTTTACTTCCCCTAGCAGATTTTGCAGATAACTCTTGACTTTACTTTGACATAGAATAAAGCATTTCTTTTTTAGAAGAAAAGGTTTAGGAAATTATTTTTATTCTGGACTTGGCTTCGGATGAATTGTATGACCTTGGGGGAAATTCCATATAACAAATTCCTTGTGCCTCCTTTTCCTGAAGAACAAATAGGATATCCTACTTTAAACTAATATTTGGAATATTAAAATATAAACTTTAATTTTGGATCTTAAATGAGGCTGATATTCACAATCATGGAATGGGTTTTTAAGCCTCCAGTGAGAAAATGGTGATACTAATTAGCTAGGACCCTTTAGGTTGCAAGGGAAAGAAAACCAGCAAAATCCAGTTTAAGCCACAAAGGGGAATTTATTGACTCATACAAATGAGAAATCCAAGTGGGTGATTATGGCTTCAAACATGGCTGAGTCAGGAATTCAGGTGATGTTATCAGCTCTATCCCTCGCCCTCCATTTTTCAACTCTGTTTACCTCTGCCTGGCTTTATTCAAGCCTTCATGATCTGTATAGCTCAACATCCTAGAGGAAGAGAGGCAACATTTCCCTTTTAGTGCCCATGTGTCAGATCTTAGGGAAGATTTGGATTGGTCCAGCTTAGGACACTTGCCTATTCCTCAATGAATAACCGTGGCTTGGAGAACGGGGTGCTCTAGTGGGCCAGCCAGTGTGTGGGCCCATCTCTTTGACAGAGGCAGATTTGGGGTACCATGATAGACAACCCCTCCAGGATCCTATGGAGTCAGATGAGGGTACTTCTGTTGTTTCTAGACAAAGAGGGAAGGGATGCTGACCAGGCCAGACCAATAAAGGTCCACTATAAAGGCTTTTGGGTGGAATATAGTGTATCAGCTCTCTATTTATTCAATGTTTATACACGTTTTTGTCTGCCTCCATAAATCAAACTTGTACATCTGCTCACCTTTAATTTTTTTTTCACCATAAAGCTTAATCCCTATTGTGTAGAAGCAGCACCTAATATGCCTGCCAAGATGTGGTATTAATATAGAAATGTGTATTAGGCTAGAGAGATAGAAGTAAGAAGATGATTTTTATTTTTAGCTTCTGTTAGCATAGAGACATATTTATAATAGTTTTTCTTGGCCTCATTCATCATATAATTTAGAAAAGGTCTTAACTATTTTTAAAAATTATGCAAGTAGTACAAAAGGGCAAAAAGTGAAAATGAAACTCCCTCTATCCCCCCCATCCCCAGGAATAAGACAGTTACTTCTATTTAATATAGCATTCCAGAAACGTCCTATGTATTTGCAAGAATATATGTATACTTTACATAAACCTATGGGCTCATTCTCTTATGTCTGCTGTGCACTTTGCCTTTTTCACCTAGTACCATATTATGGAGGTGACCTCCCTTGTCAGCACAGTAGAGTGCCTTCATTTTTTTTAGCACACAATGTTCTATAGTGTGGATGTGACCAGATTTATGTAAATCACTCCTCATCAGAGAACTTTAAGGCACTTTACAATGCATTCCTCCTTTTTCTTCTCTCCTCTCTGCAGCAAACCTGGCATGACCAGAGGACCTGTGGCTCTGAGTTGGGCCAGGCATTGCCCATTGATGGTAGATGCAGCAGATGCAGCCATGAGGGATTTCCCAGAAGGAGCAACATTTCCCCAAGGCTGAGTTAGAGCCAGAGTCTGATCCTGTGACTGCCCCACCCTCAGCCCTCCCTGTGGTTAACCAGGAAGGTGGCTCATTGTTGGGTGGTTTGGCAAGTGTCTGAGAAAATTGCAAGGTGTAATGACCTCCTCTCTAGCTTGTGGCCACACACGAGGGTACCTATGCTAATTTTACAAGATGACAGCGGCAGCTTCTGTTCTTCAGCTCTGCGAGTTGGCTCCCTGGTGTTACTTTTTATTTTATTTTATTTTATTAATTTATTTATCTGAGACAGAGTCTCACTGTTTCGCCCAGGCTGGAGTGCAGTGGTGCAGTGGTGCAGTGGTATGATCTCTGCTGAATGTGCAACTTCTGCCTCCTGGGTTCAAGTGATTCTTGTGCCTCAGCCTCCTGAGTAGCTGGGGTTACAGGCATGTGCCACCGTGCCCAGCTTTTTGTAATTTTTGTAGAGGCTGCCTTTCCAGACAGTCTTATTTCAAGTCTTTATTTCAATAAGCAAAACCGTAAGGAGAGAGCAATGCAGAGAGAGGAATCTGAGGAAAACCAAGAGAAATGAGACAGCTTTCTGGTCTTTTTACCTAGGTCATCTCAACTCTAGCTGACATCCAGCCAGGAGACTCCAGGAGCTGGGGCATCTTTCCTTTGGCCTGAAAGCTGAAGGGAGTGAAGCAGGGAAGGGAGTAGGATGGATTATTTAGAGAAATAGTTTCACCATGTTGGCCAGGCTGGTCTTGAACTCTTGGCCTCAAGTTATCCTCATGCCTTGGCCTCCCAAAGTGCTGGGATTACAGGTGTGGGCCACTGTGCCTGGCCCCTGGTGTCCTTTATCTGTTTGCAAATATCAGCACAGATTTCTGGACTATGGTGATGACAGGGGAACTAACTGACATTTAGTTTGAAAATGCTCATATCCGATGTAATTCCCCCAAGTACCTGCTTCTTGTCACCTAATAATCCCCAAGACTGTCTGAAAAAGCCAGCAGGTTAGAGAGACAGTGACTGGGATGGGCTGACAGGGCAGCCCTAAGGCCAATGTGTCAAGAAGGCATCCACAATTCTTCCTTCTCTCTGACCTCTGCCTCCGAATAGTCCCTCCCATGCCTGTCCTTGCTTCACTCCCTTCAGCTTTCAGGCCAAAGGAAAGATGCCCCAGCTCCTGGAGTCTAGTGGCCGGATGTCATCTAGAGTTGAGATGACCTAGGTAAAAACACCAGAAACTGTCTCATTTCTCTTGGTTTTCCTCAGATTCCTCTCTCTGCGTTGCTTTCTCCTCATGGCTTTGCTTATTGAAATTCTTGTCCTTCTTTTTTTTTTTTTTTTTTTTTTGAGCCAGAGTCTTACTCTGTCGCCCAGGCTGGAGTGCAGTGGCACGATCTCAGCTCACTACAACCTCCGCATCCTGGGTTCAAGCGATTCTGCTGCCTCAGTCTCCCCAGTAGCTGGGATTACAGGCACCCACCATCACGCCTGGCTAATTTTTTTTTTGGTTATTTTTGTAGAGATGGGGTTTCACCATGTTGGCCAGGCTGGTCTTGAACTCCTGATGTCAGGTGATTCGCCTGCCTTGCCCTCCCAAAGTGCTGGGATTATAGGTGTGAGCCACAACGCCTGGCCAAAATTCTTGTCCTTCTAAACACAGCTCTGATACCCCCATGATGGTATCTCTGGTCATCTAAGTGAAAAGGGGGTCCTTCATTTTTGCTGCATGCGTCACTAACCATTGTTCCCTCACTGGAGCCCTGGATGCTCTTGGAGGTGCTGGGATAGATAAGCTTTGTCTCTTCCATACTGGACCATCCTACCTCCCCCAAGCGAGGCTCAGCAGGTGCTGTATTCTTGGCCCATAGCAGGTACTCAATATGTTTGTTGAAACAGTGAACCTGTCTGGTTCAATATCTGCTGTGGAGACTTGGACTTAGTTTCACAATTAAATTGCTAACTTTTTAAAAAAGTCATTCATTTATTTCCTGTGTTGCTGTTTGACTTCTGGGGATGCTTTCACATTAAAAAAAAATTGTCTTTTCAAATAGAGCCAGACATGGCAGCTTGTGCCTGTAGTCCCAGCTACTGGGGAAGCTGAGGCTGGAGGATTACTTGAGCCCAGGAATTTGAGTCCAAAATAGTGAGACCCCTTCTCTAAAACAAAACAAAACAAAACAAAACAAAACAAAACATAACAAAACACCCTTCCCCCAATCCCCTAGTAGATCTTAAAACCATCAGATCTTAGGGGATGTAACTGCAGCAACAGGTTGTATGTAAGTCTAAAATGGTTTATAAATTCTAAAGTCAGAGGAAAAAAAAAATGTAAAAAGACCTCAGGAAATAGCATCTTGCCCTGTGAGGGGTTGGGCCAATCCCCATCTTACTGTGATATACTTTTGGGTCCTGGAAGCCCTCCTGAGTGTCTCTCCAGCATAAGGAAGAAGCTGCAATTATGACTACAATGGCACTACTTTATCTCCCTAGGCTGAGCACAGAGATCTCAGGGAGGCTGAGGGGCAGGCGGAGCAATGCACGTGGGCGTGGGCTGTGTACTGGAATGTGCACCATAAAAAAGGTTCTGTTTGTTTTCTTTCTTGATACAGATGCAAATGGAAGCCCTTGAGGCCTTTGTTAAAGCAGACATTTACTCCTGGGGTTCTCTGGGACACTGCCTCCTTCTGCTCTCTGTATGATGCCTGAAACATGCCACAGAAACAGTCTTTGGCTTTTGATTGTCTTCTGAAAACACTCCAACCCCTTTATGTGGATTTTTGAGACCTCCCCCACCAACCCAACTCTGGCTCTGATAATAGTTAGAATGGTAAGTCTAGAAAGCGACAGGAAAATCTGTTTTCTATTCTTACAAGTGGAAAGGATCTTGATTTCTCTTATTTCCACAGACCTCTCGCAAAATTTCTGTGACTTCTATTTGGAGACCAATTTCTGTTTATGATAGCTCTCCCCTTAGGGAAGTTCTAATTGACCTTCGCATCTTCACTTTCTTTATGAAACCCATCATGTGGTTTAGGGCCTTTTCCCTTTATTTATTCTTTTAAGACCTTATACGTAACTAAACTTTTTTTCCCCTCTAGAAAAAAGTACATGCTCATTAAAGAAAATTAGGAAAAACAAATAAGTTTAATGAAAATAAAACCAGTCATAATTTTAAAACACTTTAAAAATATTTTGGGGTATTTATTTTTGAATATTATTACTTAATTATTATTTTCACACTGGTTTGTATCTTGCTTTCTTCTGTACTCAGCTTGACATTTGAGAGCATTTTCTTTTTTTCTTTTTGAGACCGGGCTCTCACTCTGTTGCCTAGGCTGGAGTGCAGTGATGCAATCATGGCTCACTGCAGCCTTGATTGCATCACTGCAGCCTTGACCTCCTGGGCTCATACGATCCTCTCACCTCAGCCTCCCCAAGTAGCTGGGACTACAGGTGTGTGCCATCACACCTGGCTAATTTTTGTATTTTTTGTGGAGACGGGGGTCTCATCTTGTTGCCCAGGCTGGTCTTCAACTCCTGGTCTCAAGCAATCCACTAGCCTCGGCCTCCCAAAGTGGTAGGTGTGAGCCACTGTGCCTGGTCAAGAGTGTTTTCCACCTCAATAAGATACTTTATTAACACTTTAGATGTTGCAGAGTGTTCAATCCATGAGAAGTTGTATGGCTTACTTTAAACTTTCCCCTTTTGCTAGACATTTAGATAGTTTTCATGCTTGCAACTAAATCTTTGCTTTTTCTCTTTCCTTAAGATTCAGTCTCAAAATTGGATTACTAGGTAAGAGAGAATAGCAGTCTTTTTATATTGCGATAAAATATACATAACATAAAACTTGCTATTTTAGCCATTTTTAAGTGTACTGTTCAGTGGCATTAAGTATATTCATATTATTCAACAATCATTACCATCATCTATCCCCATAACTTTTTCCATCTTCTCAAACTGAAACACTATACCAATTAAACAATAACTCCCCATTTCCTTCTTTCCCCAGCCCCTGGCAAGCACCATTCTACTTTTTGTCTCTGTGAATTTGACTACTTCACATAAGTGGAATCACACAATGTTTGTGCTTTTGTAACTGGCTTATTTCACTTAGCATAATGTCTTCAAGGTTCATCCATGTTGTAGAATGTGTCAGAATTTCACTCCTTTTTAGGATGAATGATATTCCATTGTATGTATGTACCATGAATGGATATTTAGATTGTTTTCACCTGTTGGCTATTGTGAATAATGCTGCTATGAACATTAGTGTACAAATATCCAGGCCCTTACTTTCAATTCATTCACCCAAAAGTCACAACACTTCCTCTTAAGTAAAAAGTGTATACCCAAAAGTAGAGTTGCTGGAACAGATGGTAATTCTATATTTAATTTATCCATGAACCTCCACACTGTTTTCCACAGTGGCTGCACCATTTCCCATTCTCTCCAGCGTTGTATGAGGGTTCCAATTGCTCCATATGCTTGCCAATACTTGTTATTTTGTGTGTGTTTTATATTTTTTTGGTAGTAGCCTTTCTAATAGGTGTGAAGTGATATCTCATTGTGGTTTTGATTAGCGTTTCCCTAATAATTAATGATATCGAGCATCTTTTCATGTGCTTATTGACATCTGTATATCTTCTTTGAAGAAATGTTTATTCAATTTTTTTTTTTTGAGACATGGTCTTGCTCTGTCACCCAGGCTAAAGTACAGGAGTGCCATCATGGTTCACTGCAGCCTTGACCTCCTGGGCCCAAGTGATCTTCCCTTCTCAGCCTCCCAAGTAGTTGGGACACAGGCATGCACCACCACACCTGGCTAAATTTTTTATTTTGTGTAGAGACTGGGTCTTGCTGTATTGTCCAGGCTGGTCTTGAACTCCCGGGCTCGAGTGATTCCCTTGCCTTGGCCTCCCAAAATGCTGGGATTATAGGTGGGAGCCACTGAGCCTGGCCTAAGTTTTTTGCCCATTTTTTCACCAAGACATTTGCATGTATAAATTTAATATTTAAGAGATTAAAATGTATAACACAAACATTCATATAAATGAGAAATGGACATATTAAAAAGCATATTAGATAGCATTAAACTATTATAACATCAAACTTCTGGTATACAACAAATAATGAATATAGAGAGTGTTAAATACCTTTATTAGAAAGTTTGATGAGAATCAGGTAAACGAACAGAATTTACGACAGGTAAACATAGTGTACATGTTATTTTTAAATTCCAGACAAAAGCATTTAAAAGAAAAATTTTAGGCCTAAAAATGTCAGTAACTTCATGAAAGTAGAAATCTAACAGACCATATTTTCTAAACTCTGTGAAATGACAGTAGAAATGTCAGTGAAATGAAATCAACAAGTAATATCTAGCCACATGCAAGTTTTATTTAAGATCAACTTAAATAACTATTGGGTTAATGTGAAAATTAAAGCAAAGAATATTTTACAAAGTCATGGAAGTACTTAAGAGGAAGTCTTGTGACTGGAGTGAAAAGACTTTAATTCATCTAATTACTTCTTTTTTAAAAAAATTCAATTTTATTTTGGGTTCAGAGGTACACATGCAGGTTTGTTACATGGATATGTTGTATAATGCTGAGGTTTGGGGTAGAAATGATCGTGCTACCCAGATAGTGAGCATAGTACCCAATAGGTAGTTTTTCCAAGTCTCTCTCCCCTCCCTCCCTCTGTAGTAGTTGCCAGTGTCCATTGTTTCCATATGTGTACTCAATATTTAGTTCCCACTTGTAAGTGAGAACATGCAGTATTTGGTTTTCTGTTCCTGTCTTAATTCACTTAGGATAATGGCCTCCATCTGATTCCATGTTGCTGCAAAGGACATGATTTCATTCTTTTTTATGGCTGCATAATATTCTATGGTGTATATGTGCCATGTTTCCTTTGTCCAATCTACTACTAATGGGCATCTAGATTGATTCCATGTCTTTGCTATTATGAGTAGGGCGGTGACGAACACACAAGTGCATGTGTCTTTTGGTTGAATGATTTATTTTCTTTTGGGTATACACCCAGTAATGGGACTGCTGGGTCAAATGGTAGTTCTGTTTTCAGTTCTTTGAGAAATCTCCAAACTGCTTTCCATAGAGGTTGTACTAATTTACATTCCCACCAACAGTGCACAAGCATTCCCCTTTCTCTGCAACCTCACCAACATCTGTTATTTTTTGACTTTTTAGTAATAGTCATTCCGATTAGTGTGAGATGGTATCTCATTGTGGTTTTGATTTGCATCTCTCTAATGATTAATGATGTGGAGCATTTTTTCATGTTTGTTGGCCGCTTGTATGTCTTCTTTTGAGAAGTGTCTGTTCATGTCCTTCGCCCACTTTTTAATGAGTTTATTTGTTTTTTGCTTTTTGAATTAAGTTTTTTATAGATTCTGGATATTAGACCTTTGTTCTGATGCATAGTTTGTGAATATTTTCTCTCATTCTCTAGGTTGTCTGTTTACTCTGTTGATAGTTTTTTTTTTGTTTTGTTTTGTTTTTGCCATGAAGAAGCTCTTGAGTTTAATTAGGTCCCACTTGTCTGTTCTTGGTTTTGTTGCAATTGCTTTTCAAAACTTCATCATAAAATCTTCACCAAGGCCTATGTCCAGAATGGAACTTCCTAGGTTTTCTTCTAAGATTTTTATATTTTTAGGTGTTACGGTTAAGTCTTTAATCCATCTTGAGTTGATTTTTGTATATGGCAAAAGGTAGGAGTCCAGTTTCATTCTTTTGTATATGGCCAGCCAGTTAGCCCAGCACCATTTATTGAATATGAAGTTATTTCTGTATTGCTTATTTTTGTTGACTTCGTTAAGATCAGATGGTTACAGGTGTGTGGCTTTATTTCTGGGTTGTCTGTCCTGTTCCATTGGTCTATGTGTCTGTTTTTGTGCCAGTACCATGTTGTTTTGGTTATTGTAGCCTTGTAGTGTAGTTTGAAGTTGTGTAATTTGATACCTCTGGCTTTATTCTTTTTGCTTATTTGCCCATTTTTGAATTGAGTTTGTTGTTGTCGTTGTTGCTGTTGTTGTTAAATTGTAATTCCTTATATATTCTGGATATTATCTCCTTGTCAGGTATATGATTTGCAAATATTTTCTCCATATTGCAGGTTACATTTTCACTCTGTTGATAGTGTCCTTTTGTTTATTACAAACAAAATATTTAATTTTGATGAAGTCCAATATATCTGTTTTTTTTTTCTTGTGTTGTCTGTGCTTTTCATGTCATATCCAAGAAGTCACTGCCAAATCTAATGTCATGAAAATGTTTCCCCTATTTTCTTCTAGAGTTTTATAGTTTAAATTCTTATGTTTTGGTGTTTGATCCATTTTTGGTTAATTTTTGTATATGGTATAAGGTAAGGATCCAACTTCATTCTTTTGTATGTGGATATTTAGTTTTCCCAGCACCATTTGTTGAAAAGACTGTTGTTTCCCCATTAAATAGTCTTGGCACCCTTGTCAAAAAATTATTTGATTATTTATTAAAGGGATTATTTCTGGGATATCAATTATTTTTCATTGATCTTTATGTCTGTCCTTATGTCAAAACCATACTGTTTTCATTACTGTTGCTTTCTAGTGTGTTTTGAAATCAGGAAGTATGGGTCCTTTAACTTTGTTCTTCTTTTTCAAGATTGTTTTGGCTATTTAGGATCCGTTGATATTTCATATGAATTTTAGGACTTTTCTTCCTCCTTCATTTTTGAAGGATAATTTTGTAGATATAAAATTCTTGGTTGATGGTCTTTTTCTACTGTCACTTTATTTTATTTTTATTTTATTTTATTATTATGATACTTTAAGTTTTAGGGTACATGTGCACAATGTGCAGGTTAGTTACATATGTATACATGTGCCATGCTGGTGTGCTGCACCCATTAACTCGTCATTTAGCATTAGGTATATCTCCTAATGCTATCCCTCCCCCCTCCCCCCACCCCACAACAGTCCCCAGAGTGTGATGTTCCCCTTCCTGTGTCCATGTGTTCTCATTGTTCAATTCCCACCTATGAGTGAGAACATGTGGTGTTTGGTTTTTTATCCTTGCGATAGTTTACTGAGAATGATGATTTCCAATTTCATCCATGTCCCTACAAAGGACATGAACTCATCGTTTTTTATGGCTGCATAGTATTCCATGGTGTATATGTGCCACATTTTCTTAATCCAGTCTATCATTGTTGGACATTTGGGTTGGTCCCAAGTCTTTGCTATTGTGAATAGTGCCACAATAAACATACGTGTGCATGTGTCTTTATAGCAGCATGATTTATAGTCCTTTGGGTATATACCCAGTAATGGGATGGCTGGGTCAAATGGTAATTCTAGTTCTAGATCCCTGAGGAATCGCCACACTGACTTCCACAATGGTTGAACTAGTTTACAGTCCCACCAACAGTGTAAAAGTGTTCCTATTTCTCCACATCCTCTCCAGCACCTGTTGTTTCCTGACTTTTTAATGATTGCCATTCTAACTGGCGTGAGATGGTATCTCATGGTGGTTCTGATTTGCATTTCTCTGATGGCCAGTGATGGTGAGCATTTTTTCATGTGTTTTTTGGCTGCATAAATATCTTCTTTTGAGAAGTGTCTGTTCATGTCCTTCGCCCACTTTTTGATGGGGTTATTTGTTTTTTTCTTGTAAATTTGTTTGAGTTCATTGCAGATTCTGGATATTAGCCCTTTGTCAGATGAGTAGGTTGTGAAAATTTTCTCCCATTTTGTAGGTTGCCTGTTCACTCTGATGGTAGTTTCTTTTGCTGTGCAAAAGCTCTTTAGTTTAATTAGATCTCATTTGTCAATTTTGGCTTTTGTTGCCATTGCTTTTGGTGTTTTAGACATGAAGACCTTGCCCATGCCTATGTCCTGAATGGTAATGCCTAGATTTTCTTCTAGGGTTTTTATGGTTTTAGGTTTAACATGTAAGTCTTTAATCCATCTTGAATTAATTTTTGTATAAGGTGTAAGGAAGGGATCCAGTTTCAGCTTTCTACATATGGCTAGCCAGTTTTCCCAGCACCATTTATTAAATAGGGAATCCTTTCCCCATTTCTCGTTTTTCTCAGGTTTGTCAAAGATCAGATAGTTGTAGATATGTGGCGTTATTTCTGAGGGCTCTGTTCTGTTCCATTGACCTATATCTCTGTTTTGGTACCAGTACCATGCTGTTTTGGTTACTGTAGCTTTGTAGTATAGTTTGAAGTCAGGTAGCATGATGCCTCCAGCTTTGTTCTTTTGGCTTAGGATTGACTTGGTGATGCGGGCTCTTTTTTGGTTCCATATGAACTTTAAAGTAGTTTTTTCCAATTCTGTGAAGAAAGTCATTGGTAGCTGGATGGGGATGGCATTGAATCTATAAATTACCTTGGGAAGTATGGCCATTTTCATGATATTGATTCTTCCTACCCATGAGCATGGAATGTTCTTCCATTTGTTTGTATCCTCTTTTATTTCATGGAGCAGTGGTTTGTAGTTCTCCTTGAAGAGGTCCTTCACATCCCTTGTAAGTTGGATTCCTAGGTATTTTATTCTCTTTGAAGCAATTGTGAATGTGATTTCACTCATGATTTGGCTCTCTGTTTGTCTGTTATTGGTGTATAAGAATGCTTGTGATTTTTGCACATTGATTTTGTATCCTGAGACTTTGCTGAAGTTGCTTATCAGCTTAAGGAGATTTTGGGCTGAGACAATGGGGTTTTCTAGATATACAATCATGTCGTCTGCAAACAGGGACAATTTGGCTTCCTCTTTTCCTAATTGAATACCCTTTATTTCCTTCTCCTGCCTAATTGCCCTGGCCAGAACTTCCAACACTATGTTGAATAGGAGTGGTGAGAGAGGGCATCCCTGTCTTGTGCCAGTTTCAAAGGGAATGCTTCCAGTTTTTGCCCATTCAGTATGATATTGGCTGTGGGTTTGTCATAGATGGCTCTTATTATTTTGAGATACGTCCCATCAATACCTAATTTATTGAGAGTTTTTAGCATGAAGGGTTGCTGAATTTTGTCAAAGGCCTTTTCTGCATCTATTGAGATAATCATGTGGTTTTTGTCTTTGCTTCTGTTTATATGCTGGATTACATTTATTGATTTGCGTATATTGAACCAGCCTTGCATCCCGGGGATGAAGCCCACTTGATCATGGTGGATAAGCTTTTTGATGTGCTGCTGGATTCGGTTTGCCAGTATTTTATTGAGGATTTTTGCATCAATGTTCATCAAGGATATTGGTCTAAAATTCTCTTTTTTTGTTGTGTCTCTGCCAGGCTTTGGTATCAGGATGATGCTGGCCTCATAAAATGAGTTAGGGAGGATTCCCTCTTTTTCTATTGATTGGAATAGTTTCAGAAGGAATGGTACCAGCTCCTCCTTGTACCTCTGGTAGAATTCGGCTGTGAATCCATCTGGTCCTGGACTCTTTTTGGTTGGTAAGCTATTGATTATTGCCACAATTTCAGCTCCTGTTATTGGTCTATTCAGAGATTCAACTTCTTCCTGGTTTAGTCTTGGGAGGGTGTATGTGTCGAGGAATTTATCCATTTCTTCTAGATTTTCTAGTTTATTTGCATGGAGGTGTTTGCAGTATTCTCTGATGGTAGTTTGTATTTCTGTGGGATCGGTGGTGATATCCCCTTTATCATTTTTTATTGTGTCTATTTGATTCTTCTCTCTTTTCTTCTTTATTAGTCTTGCTAGCGGTCTATCAATTTTGTTGATCCTTTCAAAAAACCAGCTCCTGAATTCATTAAGCTTTTGAAGGGTTTTTTGTGTCTCTCTTTCCTTCAGTTCTGCTCTGATTTTAGTTATTTCTTGCCTTCTGCTAGCTTTTGAATGTGTTTGCTCTTGCTTTTCTAGTTCTTTTAATTGTGATGTTAGGGTGTCAATTTTAGATCTTTCCTGCTTTCTCTTGTGGGCATTTAGTGCTATAAATTTCCCTCTACACACTGCTTTGAATGTGTCCCAGAGATTCTGGTATGTTGTGTCTTTGTTCTCGTTGGTTTCAAAGAACATCTTTATTTCTGCCTTCATTTCGTTATGTACCCAGTAGTCATTCAGGAGCAGGTTGTTCAGTTTCCATGTAGTTGAGCGGTTTTGAGTGAGATTCTTAATCCTGAGTTCTAGTTTGATTGCACTGTGGTCTGAGAGACAGTTTGTTATAATTTCTGTTGTTTTACCTTTGCTGAGGAGAGCTTTACTTCCAACTATGTGGTCAATTTTGGAATAGGTGTGGTGTGGTGCTGAAAAAAATGTATATTCTGTTGATTTGGGGTGGAGAGTTCTGCAGATGTCTATTAGGTCCGCTTGGTGCAGAGCTGAGTTCAATTCCTGGGTATCCTTGTTAACCTTCTGTCTTGTTGATCTGTCTAATGTTGACAGTGGGGTGTTAAAGTCTCCCGTTATTATTGTGTGGGAGTCTAAGTCTCTTTGCAGGTCACTCAGGACTTGCTTTATGAATCTGGGTGCTCCTGTATTGGGTGCATATATATTTAGGATAGTTAGCTCTTCTTGTTGAATTGATCCCTTTACCATTATGTAATGGCCTTCTTTGTCTCTTTTGATCTTTGTTGGTTTAAAGTCTGTTTTATCTGAGACTAGGATTGCAACCCCTGCCTTTTTTTGTTTTCCATTTGCTTGGTAGATCTTCCTCCATCCCTTTATTTTGAGCCTATATGTGTCTCTGCATCTGAGATCGGTTTCCTGATGCAGCACACTGATGGGTCTTGACTCTTTATCCAATTTGCCAGTCTGTGTCTTTTAATTGGAGCATTTAGTCCATTTACATTTAAGGTTCATATTGTTATGTGTGAATTTGATCCTGTTATTATGATGTTAGCTGGTTATTTTGCTCGTTAGTTGATGCAGTTTCTTCCTAGCCTTGATGGTCTTTACAATTTGGCATGTTTTTGCTGTGGCTGATACTGGCTGTTCCTTTCCATGTTTAGTGTTTCCTTCAGGAGCTTTTGTAGGGCAGGCCTGGTGGTGACAAAATCTCTCAGCATTTGCTTGTCTGTGAAGGATTTTATTTCTCCTTTACTTATGAAGCTTAGTTTGGCTGGATATGAAATTCTGGGTTGAAAATTCTTTTCTTTAAGAATGTTGAATATTGGCCCCCACTTTCTTCTGGCTTGTAGAGTTTCTGCCGAGAGATCAGCTGTTAGTCTGATGGGCTTCCCTTTATGGGTAACCCGACCTTTCTCTCTGGCTGCCCTTAACATTTTTTCCTTCATTTCAACTTTGGTGAATCTGACAATTATGTGTCTTGGAGTTGCTCTTCTTGAGGAGTATCTTTGTGGCGTTCTCTGTATTTCCTGAATGTGAATGTTGGCCTGCCTTGCTAGACTGGGGAAGTTCTCCTGGATAATATCCTGCAGAGTGTTTTCCAACTTGGTTCCATTCTCCCCGTCACTTTCAGGTACACCAATCAGACGTAGATTTGGTCTTTTCACATAGTCCCATATTTCTTGGAGGCTTTGTTCATTTCTTTTTATTCTTTTTTCTCTAAACTTCCCTTCTTGCTTCATTTCATTCATTTCATCTTCCATCACTGATACCCTTTCTTCCAGTTGATCGCATTGGCTCCTGAGGCTTCTGCATTCTTCACGTAGTTCTCGAGCCTTGGCTTTCAGCTCCATCAGCTCCTTTAAGCACTTCTCTGTATTGGTTATTCTAGTTATACATTCGTCTAAATTTTTTTCAAAGTTTTTAACTGCTTTGCCTTTGGTTTGAATTTCCTCCTGTAGCTCGGAGTAGTTTGATCGTCTGAAGCCTTCTTCTCTCAACTCATCAAAGTCATTTTCCGTCCAGCTTTGTTCCGTTGCTGGTGAGGAACTGTGTTCCTTTGGAGGAGGAGAGGCGCTCTGCTTTTTAGAGTTTCCAGTCTTTCCGCTCTGTTTTTTCCTCATCTTTGTGGTTTTATCTACTTTTGGTCTTTCATGATGGTGATGTAAAGATGGGTTTTTGGTGTGGATGTCCTTTCTGTTTGTTAGTTTTCCTTCTAACAGACACGACCCTCAGCTGCAGGTCTGTTGGAGTTTGCTAGAGGTCCACTCCAGACCCTGTTTGCCTGGATATCAGCAGCGGTGGCTGCAGAACAGTGGATTTTCGTGAACCGTGAATGCTGCTGTCTGATCATTCCTCTGGAAGTTTTGTCTCAGAGGAGTACCCGGCCGTGTGAGGTGTCAGTCTGCCCCTACTGGGGGGTGCCTCCCAGTTAGGCTGCTTGGGGGTTAGGGGTCAGGGACCCACTTGAGGAGGCAGTCTGCCCGTTCTCAGATCTCCAGCTACATGCTGGGAGAACCACTGCTCTCTTCAAAGCTGTCAGACAGGGACATTTAAGTCTGCAGGGTTACTGCTGTCTTTTTGTTTGTCTGTGCCCTGCCCCCAGAGGTGGAGCCTACAGAGGCAGGCAGGCCTCCTTGAGCTGTGGTGGGCTCCACCCAGTTTGAGCTTCCCAGCTGCTTTGTTTACCTAAGCAAGCCTGGGCAATGGCGGGCGCTCCTCCCCCAGCCTCGCTGCCGCCTTGCAGTTTGATCTCAGTCTGCTGTGCTAGCAATAGCGAGACTCCGTGGGCGTAGGACCCTCCGAGCCATGTGCAGGATATAATCTCCTGGTGCGCCGTTTTTTAAGCCCGTCGGAAAAGCGCAGTATTAGGGTGGGAATGACCCGACTTTCCAGGTGCCATGTGTCACTGCTTTCTTTGACTAGGAAAGGGAACTCCCTGACCCCTTGTGCTTCCCGAGTGAGGCAATGCCTCGCCCTGCTTTGGCTTGCACACAGTGCGCTGCACCCACTGTCCTGCGCCCACTGTCTGGCACTCCCTAGTGAGATGAACCCGGTACCTCAGATGGAAATGCAGAAATCACCCATCTTCTGTGTCGCTCACACTGGGAGCTGTAGACCGGAGCTATTCCTATTCGGCCATCTTGGCTGCCTAACTCTTTTGTCACTTTAAATATGTCATCCCACTGCCTTCTGGCCTCCATGATTTCTGATGAGAAATCAGCTGTTAATCTTATTGCAGATCCATTGTAGATGATGTGTGGCTTTTCCTCCTTTCAGAATTCTCTTTGTCTTTTGAAAATTTGGTGATAATGTGTCTAGGTGCAGGTCTCTTTGAATTTATTCTACTTGAATTTTGTGAAGCTTCTTGAATGCGTAGGTTAATGTTTTTCATAAAATTTAGACATTTTAGCTATTATTTTATCAAATATTCTTTCCATCTCTTTCTTCCCTCTTCTGAGACTTCCAGTGGGTGCATATTGGTATACTTGATGGTGCTCCACATGTCCCTGAAGTTCTGTTCATTTTTGTTGTTCTTTCTGTTCCTCAAATTGTATAATCTTAATTGACTTATCTTCAAGTTTACTATTCTTTCTTCTGCCTGACCAAATCTGATGTTAAGTCCCTCTAATGAATTTTTTATTTCAGTTATTGTACTTTTTAACTCTAGAATTTCTAGTTTTTTTGTTTGTTTGTTTTTACTATTTCTAGCTCGCTCTCTCTCTTTTTTTATTTTTATTTTTTGGATGGAGTGTCACTCTGTCACCCAGGCTGGAGTGCAGTGGTGCAATCTTGGCCGAGTTCACTCCAGCCTGAGTGACAGAGTGAGACTCCATCTCAAAAAAAAATGGAAAAGAAAAGAAAAGAAAGAAAATGGTTAAACCTCAGTAACAACAGCAAGCTTTGTGGCATTTTAACTTGCCTTAGTCTCATTCCTCTATCCCCATACTCATGGTTGCTCTGAAAACTAATAGCCACACACTGCAACCTCCACCTTTCAGGTTCAAGCAATTTTCCTGCCTGATTTCTAGCTCTTTATTGATCATTCTTATATTTTTCTTTAGACATGGTTTCCTGTAGTTCCTTGCATACATTTAAAATAGTTGATGTAATGTCTTTTTCTATTAATAGTAAATCTAATGTATCAACTTCCTTCCAAGGTCAGACAGAGGTAAGAACTTAAGGTCTTTTGGGGTCTTTCCTGGGCATTTACATGGTACTGGGTATGCGCACATCCCTATGCATTCATGTAATCTTCTAGTTTCCCGAGAATATTTGGAGCTTTTCAAACCACCAATGGGTGTCTCATTTGCCAGCTTTTCCTTTTAATTTTTTTGGCTCATGTATTATTTGTTTGTTTGCCCCAACTGTTATCACTGCCTCAGACAGCTGTGATCTTAAACAATTGCTACTACTTTTGACAAATGTCCCAGGGAAAAGGCTATTTGCACTGAGATCTGAGACTGGTCAAAGATAAAAACTGTGAGTGGGTTTTTCCAGATAACTTCCAGGGAGGTAAAATAATGACAGTTTATGTGAATTAAGATTTGGAGAAGCTCCAACCTTTTTCTGTGCCCTTTAGAGGCTGCTAGGCTACTGTTTTTCACAATAATTGTGTGGCTATTGGTTTTCAGAGCAACCACGAGTATGGGGATAGAGGAATGAGACTAAGGCAAGTCAAAATGCCACAAAGCTTGCTGTTGTTACTGAGGTTTAACCATTTTCTTTCTTTTCTTTTCCTTTTTTTTTTTATGAGATGGAGTCTCACTCTGTCGCTCAGGCTGGAATACAGTGGTGCGATCTCGGCTCACTGCAACCTCTGCCTCCTGGGTTCATACAATTCTTCTCCCTCAGCCTCCCAAGTAGCTGGGACTACAGGTGCATGCCACCACACCCGGCTAATTTTTGTATTTTTAGTAGAGATGGGGTTTCACCATATTGGCCAGGCTGGTCTTGAACTCCTGACCTCATGATCCACCCGCCTCAGCTTCCCAAAGTGCTGGGATTACAGGTGTGAGCCACCACGCCTGGCCTTAATCATTTTCTTAAATAAATACTCCCCAGATTATTGCAAGCCTTTGGTTAATTACCAGGTTCTGAAAAAGTTGGTTTTGACAATTTTTGGTGTTCTTATGGTATTTATATAGAGGGGAAGATTTCCAGAGGTCCTTGCTCTGTCATTTCTGCTGATGTTACTGCCTCCATTGCTTCTTGAAATTTGTTTGTTGACAGGAAGTCAGATAGTAATTTGATTCTTGTTAATTTTAGGTACTTTGTTTTTAGGCATTATGAACTTTTACCATAATATGTCCAGGTTGGTCCTTTCATTCAAGGACACGTGCATTTCCTCAGCTATAGGAAATTTTCTTCTATCATTTCTTTAGTGAGTTCCTCTCTTAGATTCTCTTTCTTCTGGATGTACCCTCCATGTTTTTGTCATACGTTTAATCTCTTTATCCTGTTATTTTTTCTGGAGGAGTTTCTCTACTCTACCTCTTTGCTAAGTCTATCTTATGCTGTGTCTATCTGCTGGTCAGCCCACCTGCTGGGTTTTGATGACTTTCATTTTTGAAGGTTAGTTCTTTTCTTAGTTGTAATTCATCCTCTCTGTCACAGTAAGGGTTTTCTTCAAATCTTTCCTGGTTTATGATTGTGTATTCCTTTCTGATTTGAGAGGCCCAGAAGGTGTGTCTGAGAATGCACTGCGTCTGGCAGTAGGGCAGGACATGGGGCCGGGCAGGTGAGTCAGTGGAGTCTTCTGGACAAGATGCTTCCCCTCCTTCTGGGTGAGGCCAACCACCAGAAACATTGCTCTCTTTCTCTGTGCAAACACTGGGTATGGACGCCTCTGGGGCTTGCTGTGCCTACTGTTTGGCATGCATGTGCATGTGTGTGTGTGTGCATGTGTTTGTGTTTGTGTGCATGTGTGTTTGTGTGCGTGTGAATGAGAGCACCTGCCTGACGGTCCTACTGTGATGTCCCACCAGCTCTGATCGTGGCCCAGAACCACCCTGGTCTGCACAAGCTCCCAATATCCTCTTCATCTGATTTAAGGAGTCATCCCCACTCCATGCAACTGCCTCTCCTGGATGTGATTTGTATTCATTACTCTGATTTGATCTGTCTTCTGTCTTTCAGGAATGGCTCATTATTTCTGGCTAGATGCTGCCTTTCTTTATTTACCTTCACTGTTTCCAATTCACTTATTTAAAATTATTTTCTGTCATTTCTAGTGACTTGGTGTGGGGGAGTGTGGGCTGTGGCGTGTCTTCAGTCACCCTTCTTTATTCACCCTTCTCAGGTGATTTTGTCAAAGTCATTTGAGATTTTCCTGTGGACTATGAATTCAGAGAAACTACTCATTGATAATCAGAGGAGGAGATAACTTTTGCCCCCAATATCTTTGTAAATGTTGAGAATTTCAAACCTGAAGGCAGAGAAAGCATGGCTTTGGGCCATCCACTTCACTAAAATGCAAACGTTCCTTATCCATAGTTAAGGGCTACTTTCCCTCGGAAGCTTCTCTCTTGACTGCCGACTACCTCGTTGCTGGAGAACTTCAGTGGCCTAACCTAAGACGGCCCCTTCTTGGCTGAGGGCCACTGTTTTAAAGCTTTGCAATTTTAGGGAGCGGTCTGGGTGGAGTCTTGTAACTGCACCCCGAAACATTTCCCACGCACTGGCTGCGTTGATGGCTGTTGGTGTCTGCGGTTCTCTGTTTCGGCCCGTGAAGGCAGAAGCATTGCTTGTGTTGAGAAAGCCCTGACTCACCCCGCAGCCTCTGGCTGTGGTTTGCTCACACGTGTTTCTAGACCTCTGGGGCTGGCATTTTTTGTGAATTATTTCAAGTTCATTCCTGTTCCTCGGGCTCACCTCTGTGCAAGTGCTTGCTTGCCCTGCATGCCTAAAATGGCAGAAGGACCTCAACTCCACCTGATAACTTGTCAGTGATTGTTTGTTCTAGGCTTTTCCAGCACTACTGCATTATCATCTCCATGTTTGTGCAACGTAATCATAAAGATACGTTGTACTTCTCTGGAACTTTCCCCTGAGGAACTTTTGAACATCTAAAGACGATAGTTTTGTAATCCTTGTAATTTTCCAGTCTGAGGTAAATGTTTCTTTGTTAATTTTTAAGGAAATGACTATGACTTTGATGATAGCACCCTGAGCTTTTAATTTTACCGTAAAACAGAAGAACTCTGTATCCTGAGCCTGTGTAGAAATGAGGCATATCATACTTATAGGCGTGTGGATATGTGTACAGACATCTTTCACTTAATGATATTTTGGCAAAGTTGACTACAGGCTATTTGTCATAAAACTTATTCTATTTCCTGCAATACTTTTTTATATGAAATTAAAGATATATTTTTCCAGAAGAAAAACTTCTAACAGAAAATATCCAGATTTTGTGAGGCAGGACTAAGGAGAGAGTTTAGCTCTATGGTGTCTAAAATGGTAGTTCTTGTTTTTGTTTTTATTTTTATTTTTATTTTGAGATGGCGTTTCGCTCTTGTTGCCCAGGCTGGAGTGCAGTGGCGTGATTTCAGCTTACTGCAACCTCTGTCTCCTAGATTCAAGTGATTCTCCTGCCTCAGCCTCCCACGTAGCTGGGATTACAGGCACCCACCACCATGCCCGGCCACTTTTGTATCTTTAATAGAGATGGGGTTTCACCATGTTGGTCAGGCTGGTCTTGAACTCCTGACCTCAAGTGATCTGCCCACCTCGGCCTCCCAAAGTGCTAGGATTACAGGTGTGAGCCATGGGACCAGGCCTAGAATGGTAGTTCTTAGCCATGTCTGCGCACTAGAATCACTTGGAAAACTTTCTGAAAAATACTGGTGCTTGCAATCTTTAAAGACTAGGAGCAGACCAGTGCTGCCTGGGGCTGGGGTGAGGATGGGGGCTAACTACACATTGGCACTAGGAGACTTGTTGGGGAGAAGGGAAGGTTCTACATATTCTAGATTGTGCTGCTGATTATACAACTATATATCTTAATAAAAAATCATTACACTTACAAGGGTGAATTTTATGGTATGCAAATTATATCTTAATAAAACTCTTAAAAAAGCCGGCCTAGGTGTCACTTCAGAGTAATTAAGTCAGAATCTCTAGAGGTAGAACCTTGGCAACTTTTTCAAAAGTTTCCTAAGTGCAGCCTGGGGAGGAATAACCACTGGCCTAAAACCTTGTTTGCCTCAGTAAGACAATCCTGCCCTAAGGCCAAGAACCTTCCAGACAAATACTACTTAGTAACGCAATTTGGGTTTTCTGAGTATCCCTTAGAGTAATTAAGGCTCCTAAGACTTAGATATGAAGATGGCTGATGCATCTGGCCTACAGTTCTATGGTGAAAATATAAGCAAATGACTGGATGAGTTATTGTAATTTTTTCTGGGGAAACGCCCCTCCTCACGTGCCTGGTGATTATCTGCCTAGTCAGGGCCAGGACGAGGGTAAGGCAAGTGAAACACTCACTTTAGGCACAAAATTTAAGGGGGATACCAAAAAAACTCAATAAATGAGATAAATACTATTGTAGGGCAATCAAAATTGGTAAAAAAAAAATATTGATGATGAACAGAATATCAACATATTAAATAAAGGCAGGATCCTTCTAGTCTCCCCAAGAAGGTGTGGTATCTGTCCTCTCCTCCTCAGAGTCAGGGCCACATTTAGCTGGTTCTGTAAGAAGGGCCTGATGGCTGTCTGGGCCTGAAACAGGAGGACTCACCCCCAGTCCTTGCTGCTGCTGTTGTGCCTGTGGGTGCACAGATGTCCTGTCTTTCTTCTTGTTGAAAGATAAGGCAGCCAGCTTTCTGGAGACCTGTGGGTTCCTGAAATACCACAAATGTGCACTGAGCCCTGACTGGGTAGTAAGAAACAATTCCTTACTCTCCTTTTTTCTCCCCAGGGCACGGGAGAGTAGGTGTGGTCTCCAAGGTTGTCTGTGCTTCTATTTGTATTCTGTAGGCCTCTGTCTCTCTATAAAGAATCCCTTCTTGGTATCCAAACCTGGAGCTAGAAAATAAGTCTCTAGTTCATAAATTTATGGTATCATCCAGGGGATGGATCCAGGTTTTCTGGAATGTGAAGCCTATCTCATTTTGGAGGATTTCCTTAAGAAAAATAATACAAATTTATAAATACAAAATTAAATTTAGGGCTTTGGAAGGGGCCCCTTGCAAATGAAGGGCACTTAAGCTACATTACCCTTATGGCAAAATTGTCTCTGATCTCACTTTAATATTTTATTTTCCTTATAGCATTGCAGGATTTCTTTCTGCAATTCACAGCTCCATCTGCCCAGAGGCCTTAGGAGTATGTCTCAAGTCTTGTCTTTCAATTTCCTTTTTTTGAGACAGAGTCTTGCTCTGTCGCCCAGGCTGGAGTGCAGTGGCGCAATCTCGGCTTACTGCAACCTCCGCCTCCTGGGTTCACACCATTCTCCTGCCTCAGCCTCTCCGATTAGCTAGGACTACAGGCACCTGCCACCACGCCCGGCTAATTTTTTTGTATTTTTAGTAGAGATGGGGTTTCACTGTGGTCTTGATCTCCTGACCTCATGATCCGCCCGCCTCAGCCTCCCAGACGGCTGGGATTACAAGCGTGAGCCACCACGCCCAGCTGTCTTTCAATTTCATAATTCCAAAAGCCCTAGTATTTTTTCTTTTGTGAGATAGCGAAATACTTAAGAGAATTAGTTATAGCATCGAACTGGCTGATTTTATATCCTGGCTCTGCCAAACTACTTGTATGAGTTGGGAAAATTATTTAGTCTTTTTGCCTCTATTTTGGGCTCTGATCTTACCTCATAGGGTTTTGTTGGGGAAGGACTAAATGAGATAATGTGTATGTGGGGTGAAGAACAATCCCAGACAGATAGAAGACAATAAATGTTAGGTAGTGTATCAGCCAGGATTCTTGGTTGTAAGCAACAGAAACTTACTCTGGTTTCCTTAAGTGGAAAAGGAAATTATTGGATGGATGTTAGTTCACAGAATTGGCAGGAAGTTTGGAAAAGCAGATGCTGAAAATAGGAAAGTACTAAGAGAGGCCAGGCAGCAGAAATAATCTGATGAGGGCATTCTGTTGCTGCTGCTAGACCCACATACCACTGCTGGATTCTGCCATTGCTGCAACCCTAATTTACCCATCCCTTCTTCATGGGGTCCCTTACTTAAGATTCAAAATCAATGGTAATCCCAACTTGCTGAGTCCCAAGGTTAGAGAGATGCAGTTCTCTCCATGTTAAATTCTGTAGTAGAAGTTGGGGTATCTTACAGTGAGGGATTCTACCCAAATAGGAAGATGGTGTGGTTGTTGGGGAACAGAAATCTCCCAAACTAATCCTATTGTTTCTGTAGTGATTCCGTTGCTGTATTATTAATAGTTAATGCCTAATAGAACTATGCTGCAGTATGAGATTCTGCCAGTAGGTGCCACTCTTTGACATGAGCATGTACCTTAACCTCTTAACTCCTCAAAAGTAATCGGCTATTTTTTCCACTGAAATCAAACTGTGATGATCAATTCTTAGGTTACAGAAAATGGATTCAGATGGTCAATTCTTAGGTTACAGAAAGTGGATTCAGTTCTCTTAAGTGAAAGCTTGCTGTCCATAAATTTATGTTAATTCTTTGGTACCTATTGCTATTTATCTGACAATAAATAAGAGCATCTAGTAAATTAAACAATGGAAAAACACAGTACAGCTAATTCTTTTATGATGTGCTTTCAGAATTATAACATTATATTGCTTCTACATAAAATATTATTTTCTGCTAGAAGTATTTCCTGGAACATGATGGAATTAGATCAGTGAAACATGGCATTTCCCGAAGACCAGGCATAGGTTGGTGTTATTTGAAGAGCACTGTGAAAACATAAGTTCTCCAAAGGCGAGTATTCCATCTCCTGTTTATCAGTGCATACTCTGCGTAGTTCTCAATACATAGTAGGTACACAGTTAGCTGTTAAATAAATGGGGGAAGGAAGGAATGAGCATTGCAGGTTGTAGGTGCGGTACTGTCTGGTCCCATGTGAGAATCATTGCCAGTCTGAAAAGTCCTTAACCTTGAGCTTTGACTCAGGTCCCAGTTTATGGGTGTGATTTCTTTCCATTCATTTATTCGTTTGCTATTTTTTTCATATCTTCAACCAAAATACACTGATTACTTACCAGACAGCAGCACTGTGCCAAGTACAGCTGGGAAGATTTGTCAGCAGAGTCTCTTGCCTTTGTGGATTTCATGTTTGAGTTTAGGAACAGACACACAAAGAGAACTACAAAATAGTGGGGTCAACTCAAGGATAGAAATATGTACATGGTATTAGGACAATTCAGAAGAAGGGTGCCTCCCCCAGCCTGGGAGGGTCAGAGATGATCTTTAGGAGGATAAAAACCTAAACTGAATTTTAAAGGGATTCTTCAAAATATCTGACATGTACATAAAAATCAATGTACATTTTAATTGGTCTCATAGGTTTGATATTGTAGACATCACTATGAAGTGAAGAACCTAGTGCAGTGCCTGGAACATGGTAGCTGCTCAGTAATGAACAGTTGTGGGTTAATTAATTAAAGAATACTTGTACTATCTAGGCTGGTGTAATCCACAGTATGCTCTTAAATATAGGATTGATTTTCTAGTACACATGAATTGAAACTTATGGATTTAATTCCCACATCATCTGGTTAGTACACACAGGAAAAGCTTCTGTTTCAAGGTCACAAAATTGAACCTCAAAGCCCATCTGATCCCAAGAACAGCAGCAGTAGAGTGCAATGGCTTACGACAAATCCATCATCAGTACTAGAAAAAGTGAGGAACAGTGTGGGTGCTCCTATCCTCATCAGGTTCCCATCTATGTGGGCATCAGTGTGGAAGATATTCTTTATTTTGAAGACAGAAAATCAACCAATAGCTGTGCTGGAAGGGCCAACTAGAATATTTATTAATTAGATTAAGATTACATTTTTATTCCTTACAATGAATGCTTACATCTATTCCTATAATAAAAGAGTCCCCAAAGAAATCTTGATTAAAATCTATTAGCATATGGAAGTATATTTGCCTTGTTGCAAGGGGAAAATGTTGTCTGAAAGTTTTTTCTTTTGATATATGAAAAAATCTCAACATTACTAATCATTAGAGAAATGCAAATTAAAATGACAATGAGATATCATCTCACACCAGTCATTATGTTTATTACTAAAAAGTCAAAAAGCAACAGATGTTGGGGAGGATGTGAACAAAAGGGAATGCTTATACTCTGTTGGTAGGAATATAAATGAGTCCAACCTTTATGGAAAACAGTATGGAGATTTCTCAAAGAACTGAAAATAGATCTACCATTGGATCCAGCAATCCTGCTGCTGAGTATCTACCAAAGGAAAATAAACCATTATGTAAAAAAGATACATGCACTTGTGTGTTCATTGCAGCACTATTCACAATAGCAAAACTATGGAATCAGGCTGCGCGTAGTGGCTCATGCCTGTAATCTCAGCACTTTGGGAGACCAAAGTGGAAGGATCCCTTGAAGCCAGGAGTTCAAGACCAGTCTGGGCAACTGAACAAGACTTCATCTCTACAAAAAATAAAAGATTAGCTGGGTGTGGTGGCTCATACCTGTAGTCCTAGCTGCATGGGAAGCTGAAGCAGAAGGATTGCTTGAGCTTGGGAGTTCAAGGTTATAGTGAGCTATATTCAGGGCACTGCATTCCAGCCTGGGCAACAGAGTGAGACCTTTTCTTTAAAAAAAAAAAAAAAAATCAGCCGGGTGCAGTGGCTCACGCCTGTAAACCCAGCACTTTGGGAGGCCGAGGTGGGCAGATCACAAGGTCAGGAGATTGAGACCATCCTGGCTAACACGGTGAAACCCCATCTCTACTAAAAATACAAAAAATTAGCTGGGCATGGTGGCGGGCACCTGTAGTCCCAGCTACTCAGAAGGCTGAGGCAGGAGAATGGTGTGAACCTGGGAGGCAGAGCTTGCAGTGAGCCGAGATTGCGCCGCTGCACTCCAGTATGGGCAACAGAGCGAGACTCCATCTCAAAAAAAAAAAAAAAAAAAATCAACTTCAGTGTCCATCAACAGATGATTTGATATAAAGAAAATGTGGTATATATACATAATGGAATACTATTCAGCCAAAAAAATAGAATGAAATAATGTTTTTGTGGCAGCATAGCTGGACCTGGTATACTCAGCACAGAGTTATGCTCAAGTGTTTCATAATGATAGAATAATAATAGCTATCAGCATTGGAAAAATACCATTACCTGGAGAGATATAATACATTTTTGTGATTATTTCCAATTACATGTAATGATATCAGATTATTTCCTGTATTTATTTGTTTTGAGTGAAGAGAGCTGTTTTAAAAGCAAGAGAATACTCCCTCCTTCATTGTATTTAAAGTCTCTTGGCATTAACTACTATCTCCTGATGACTTTCAAATTCATATTTCTAACACAGGCCTCTCTCACCAACTCCAGGCTCCTCTACCCAACTGCCCTATAACATTTCTTTTCTTTTCTTTTTTTTTTTTTGAGACAGAGTCTCACTCTGTCGCCCAAGCTGGAGTACAGTAGCACAATCTTGGCTCACTGCAATCTGGGTCTGCCTCCCGGATTCAAGCAATTCTCCTGCCTCAGCCTCCCGTGTAGCTGGGATTACAGATGGCACCACCATGCCTGGCTAATTTTTTTGTATTTTTAGTAGAGTTGGGGTTTCACTATGTTGGCCAGGCTGGTCTCAAACTCCTAACCTCAAGTGATCCGTCCACCTCGTCCTCCCAAAGTGTTGGGATTACAGGCGTGAGCCACTGCGCTCGCCCGGCCCCTTATCCAACATTTCTATCTGGATGCTGGCCTTAAACTTCACATGTCGGTATAAAATCTTATTCCACCCACAGTCTTCCCCATGTCAGTTGCTAGAAATTGTCTTTTTGGTTGCATTTGGAAACCCCTTTCCTTCCTTGTATCCCACATCTAACCCATCCAGAAAGCCTGTTGGCCCTTCCTTCCAAGTTTATGTATAGTCTGACCACTGGTCACTTCTCCACTGCAGCCACCCTGGCCCCAGCCTTTATTGCCTCCAGCCTAGCTTACTGGCCTCCCTGCATCTGGCCTCCGACTGCATTCTTAACAGAATTCAGAGTGAGCTTTTAAAAACACACATCGGATTGCGTCACTCTTCTGATATATCATCCTTCTGTTCAGGGTTTTTGCACTGGTCATTCGCTTTGCCGGGAAATCTCTTTGCTCCGATATCCCTGTAGCTAACTCCCTCACTTCCTTCAAGCTTTTGCTCATCGGTCAGGCTTTCAATGAGGCCTATTTTAAATTGCAGCCACTTTCCCTCAAGCACTCCCAGTCTCCCTCACCCTGCTCTGCCTTCCACAGCACTTGTGCCCCCCAAACCACGATATAATTGCTGAATTTCTGTGCTCATTGTTTGCTGCCTGCTCTTTCTCACACACAGCAAGCTCCCCAAGGACATGAGCCCTTGTCTCTTGCAGTCGCTGATGCAGTCCAAGCTCCAGGAATGGTGCCTGCCACCTAGTAAGCACTCAGTCAGTACTGAGCAGCAAAGTGAATGAATGAATGAAGGGGATGCCCCTGAAGGGGAACTATGAAGACATGGAAACCCAAGGACATGAAGGGGAAACTGCTTACTTGGCAGTTTTGCAGTCTCGGTAGGTGCACAGTCAAAAGAAGTTCTTCAAATTATCTCATGTCCTTCCTGAGTGATGCTCACCCTAGAGAAACCATGGCTTGAAGTGGCTTGATATTCATGGCCTGTGCCCTGGTTTAGGAGACTCCACAGAGTTGTCCCTCCAGCTCATGTGATCTGCCCTCATCTGTCACCTGGAGCTTGTGCTGTGCTTGGGCAGGGCTTGAACTGGGGAGTCCTGGGACACCGTTCTTTTTTTATGAGGCTTTGGGATGGTTCCTATTTGTTTGACAAGGAGAGATAAACAGCTATTGCCTTAAATAAGTTCCAATTAGTGAGGGAGAAAGAAACCATTATAATTCAGAGACATGAGTGCACTGTAGCATGAGGAAAATTGATTGCAGTGTGTGATGGGACACAGCAAGGGCTGGCACTAACAGATCCTGGGGAGGCCAGCAGGGTCTCCCAGGGATGTGATGTCTCAGCAGGGTCTTGGAGCACAAATGAGAACAAGTCAGACAAAGAAGGACGGGAAAGGCATCTCAGATAAAGCGAGCTGCATATGCAAAGACAGGAGATGCCAGCAAGGGGGTGGGACCACAAGCAGCCCAGGCAGATGGCTGGCGCAGGGTGGAACGAGAGGGTGGTCAGACCTGAGGCTGAGAGGGGGGCAGGCCATGTCCTGGGGGGCCTTGTTTGTCTTTCTAAGGAGCCAGGAACTGGTATTATGGAAAGCCACTGCAGAATTGTAGGCAAGGGAGGGACACGGTCAGATTTGGTTTTAGAAAGATCATTTTGGACAAGCTAGATTTGGTTAGGATGTGATCAATGTCTGAATTAAGACAATAGCAGGGGAAACAGAGAAGTGGAGGGATTCTGGAGATATTATGCAGGTAGAATTGATAGGACAGTGTACCCTGTCTGTCCAATATAGGCCATGAGGGAAAGAAGAGTCAAGTATGACCCCCAGGTTTCTGGCTTGGGTAACAGAATAGATTTCTGAATTAAGAGGAGAAGGAAGGGGCTTCATGGAAAGATGCTGAGGTCAGTTTGTAACATGTGGACTTCAAAATGCAATGAGTGGCCAGGCACATTGGCTCACACCTGTAATCTCAACACTTTGGGAGGCCGAGGCAAGAGGATGACCTGAGGTCAGGAGTTTGAGACCAGCCTGGCCAACATGGTGAAACCCCGTCCCTACTAAAAATACAAAAATTAGCCGGGGCATGGTGGCATGTGCCTGTAATCCCAGCTACTTGGGAGGCTGAGGCAGGAGAATCGCTTGAACCCAGGAGGTGGAGGTTGGAGTGAGCCTAGATCACTCCACTGCACTCCAGCCTAGGTGACAGAGGGAGACTATGTCAAAAAAACAAAACAAACAAACAAAAAAGCCAACAACAACAAGTAATGGGGCATCTGTCTTAGTCTGTTTGGGCTGCTCTAACAAAAGGCCATAAGCAGAATGCCTTGTCACTAACAGAAATCGATTTCTCATAGTTCTGAAGGCTGGGAAGTTCAAAATCAAGGCAGATTTGGGGTCTGCTGAGGGCGTACATTCTAGTTCACAGATGGCACCTTCTAGCTGTGTCTGTACATGGCGAGAGAGTGAGTTAGTTCTCTGGGGTCCCCCCCCCCTTTTTTTTTTTTTTTGAGATGGAGTTTTGCTTCTCCTGCCCAGGCTGGAGTGCAGTGGTGCAATCTCGGCTCACTGCAACCTCCACCTCCCAGATACAGGTGATTCTTCTATCTCAGCCTCCCAAGTAGCTCGGATTAAAGGCATACGCCACCCATGCCTGGCTAATTTTTTTTGTATTTAGTAGAGACGGGGTTTCACCATGTTAGTTAGGCTGGTTGAGAACTCCTGACCTCAGGTGCTCCACCGGCCTCGGCCTCCCAAAGTGCTGGGATAACAGGCATGTGCCACCACACCTGGCCTGGGGTCCCTTTTATAATGACATGAATCCCATTCACTTCCCAAAGACCCCATCTTTTAATAATATCACATTAGGGGTTAGAATTTTAACATATGACTTTTTTGGGGGGATATAAACATTCAGACTGTAGCAATATCCATCTTGAAATATCCAGCAGGAAGTGGGGTCTTTGAGGGGGACCCCGCTTCCTTGGGGGAGTAGGGTCCTTCCTCAAAGGGGGAGTCTGGGGTGGAGGAGTAGGTGGGCTCACTGATGGAGAAAGACTCTGGGACTACTGAGTCTCTTCCTGTCCATCATTCCTAAGGCATAACAGGGTAACCTGGGCCTCCTTCACAAATGTTGGCTTGCTCTGGCCTCCCTGACTCTGCTTCATCCTGGCTTCTGACACTGCCTGACTAAGATCTTGCTTGTGGGCATGGGGGAAAGTGAGGTTCCAGAATGTGGGAGAGGGAAGTCCACTGGTGACCTCTTAGCTTGCCTAGCCCCTCTGTCTGGAAAGCTCCTCACTCAAATATTTCTGTAGCTCATTCCCCAGCTTCTTCTTCTTCTTATTTATTTTTGAGACGGAGTCTTGCTCTGTCACCCAGGATGGAATGCAGTGGCATGATCTCGGCTCACTGCAACCTTTGCCTCCCAGGTTCAAGCAATTCTCCTGCCTCAGCCTCCCGAGTAGCTGGGATTACAGTGTGCACCACCACACCTGGCTAATTTGTGTATTTTTAGTAGAAACTATTGGCCAGGCTGGTCTCGAACTCCTAGCCTCAAGTGATCCACTCACCTTGGCCTCCCAAAGTGCTGGGATTACAGGCGTGAGCCACTGCACCCTGCCTCATTCCCCAACCTCTTTCAAGCTTTGGCTCAGAAGTCATGTTTTCAATGAGGCCTGGGTTAAATGGGGTTATTAGAAAGCCTGCAGTTGTCAGGAGCTATAGTGACTTGGGGCTCTGCTAGTCGCCATTAATACACCTTTTTTGGTAAACAGAGTATTTTTACAAATAGAGTTCTCTGAGAGGGACTTGTTGGTGGGGGAATTCTGTGAGTTCCATCCATTTCATCATAACTCAAGGGGTGAAAGTTGAGACAAACATATAACAGCCGTGTACTCAGCTGGCAGCTGCTTACACGGGTCATCATTACATCATTAATGGGTCATCATTACAGCCCCCTTGCTGAGCTTCCTATCTTGGTAGGTTAATGGCTGACGGGTGTGTGGCCTTGTGCCCTGAAAGTGAGCTTTGATCCATTTTTACAGCAATGTATTTCTACCCTGGAAAGTTCCGTAGCTCTCCAGTTCCACACTAGCAGGAAGGACTCCGATTGCTGAAGACAGGTGGGGACTCTTGACTTAGAGCCAGATATCCTTCTCCACTCCTATCCCTCTCCTGTTCCCTAATTGGGAATTTCCTGGGGGTTTATCTTGGTAGGTTAGTGTCACAGGTGACATCTTGTATGAGGACAAATTAGTATAGGAGGGAGAAGTATATATCTTTCACAGTATATGCACTGTAGCAATGGCCTCCTTAAGATATAGCTATACGTCTTTATGTAATTTTCTTTCCAGGGGCAATACCCACCTCCCTCACTGACACTGTCAATGGCATCTCCAGTTAGTTATTCCCCACTCCACGTCACAGCAGTGAGGATGGGCTCCTCTGCCATCTGTTTTCTTCACCAGGTACATGGGAGAAGCAATGCAGGTGATCCCAGTGCTGTCCTTCAGTGGAGCTCATGAAGGGGCTGACAGATGAATTCTAGATCCACCAGGAGGGATTTTGGTTAAAAGGAGGGCTGCATTATCAGTCAGAGTTGTTAGTCCTGAGGAGGCTGTGGGCTTCTTTTTCTTTAGACCTTGACAAATAAAATAGCTTATTATTAGATAGGAATGCATACTCCCCTCTGAGAGCTGGAAGAAGGCTTGAAGGACCTCTTTGGGGACACTGCTCCCCTGTGGCTATTTTTGTTTTTGTTTTTGACTTAAGGGAGCCAACGTTCAGCAAAGGCTGAGGTAGCAGAAGAATCTATTTATGGCACGTATGTTGTGAAAAACACAATCAGGGCAGAAGCAGATTTTCTCCTCTGGAATAGCAGTTTTCAAGGCTGTAAATTGTGAAACAGCCTAAAGAAGGAAGTGGCCTCAGTTTGATTCATATCTAAACCCTCTTTCCGTGCTTATAAAAGATGATGAGCCTAGGGTCAGAGCAAAGGATGGCTTTTGCCTTGATGACACAATTGTCAAATATTTTGTACAGGTTGCAGGACATGCTTGGTGCAGCTTTCAAAGGTTCCTGACCCGCTGAATTCCATTCCTCACTCTTGCTAAACAGTCCCAGAGAAAGCACAGGATATGAAAATCGTAGGCTAGAGGGAGGCAAGCACTGCTGAGCAGTGGATAGAGCCAGAGCCAAACGAGAGGATTTTTCTGTACTGCCTGAGTAAACTATTTTTCTTTATGAAACTTTGAGATTATTCCAGCCCTTATCTTTCTGATGAATTTTTATTAGCTCTTGCTTCAAAGTTTTAAATTTGTTTTTACACTCTAAAATGAAATGTTGTGAAAAACCCAGGAGAACAATGAGCAGAAGCCCGTGTGCTTCCTGGCCATTCTCTGTCTGCGCCATGCTGTTGGATGGTATATTACACATTGAGATGAACTGCTGTATGGGAAAGGCCACCTCATCAGTGGCGTGGAAAGAGCTCAGGGAGGTTTGAAATCATCTGAGCCTGGGGTAGTCAGGTCTGGGCAGGAGGGATTTGAGCTGGGCTTTAATAGGGCGTCTCTGGTCCAGAGGAAGTGAACAAGGAAGGCCTTTGAAGAAATGGGGATGTTTTAAGTGAAAGCACAGAGGTGGGAAAGCAAAGGGTTGACTTAGGCAGTAATGAATGGCAAAGAACAGTGGAGGATGAGGCTGGAATAGTAAATTGGACCAGGTAGACGGTCTCAAAGGCCAAGAGTTTGGTCTTTAGCACACAGGTAGGGAAAGCTAATGAGAGGTTTCTGAATAGGGGATTGCCTCCACGGTGCTCAGACATTTCATGTTGAGGTAGATAGTCTCTGAAGTTCCTTCCTTCCCTAGATACCCTGGTTGTCTTTTTCCTCAAGAGGTGGAGTCTATTTCCCTTCTCATCTGGGTTGGCCTTTGTGACTTTCTTTACTGTTGCAGAAATGACATTCTAGAACTTCTTTTTTTTTTTTTTTGAGATGGGAGTTTTGCTCTGTCACCCAGGCTGGAGTGCAGTGGTGCAATCTTGGCTCACTGCAACTTCTGCCTCGTGGGCTCAAGCAATTTTCATTGCTCAGCCTCCCAAGTAGCTGGGATTACAGGCTTGTGCCACCATGCCGGGCTAATTTTTGCATTTTTAGTAGAGACGGCATTTTGCCATGTTGGCCAGGCTGGTCTCAAACTCCTGGCTTCAAGTGATCCGCCTACCTCAGCCTCCCAAAGTGCTGGGATTACAGGCATGAGCCACCACACCTGGCCTATATTCTAGGACTTCTAAGACTAGGTCATAAGAACCCTTGCTGCTCCCTCCTAGGTCCCTCTGAATGCTCAATCTGGGGATGCTCCCTCTTGGAACCCAGCCACCCTGGGAGAAGCCCAAGACATATGGAGAGGACATGTGTTTATGCTCCGGTTAACAGCTTCATCTGAGCTCCTCCGCCATCCCAGAGCAGAGTGAAGGACAGAAACTGGATCCTTGATTATATACTCAAGTCACTAAATAAAATCTGACCCTGACTTCCAGTTACAGGAGCCAGTGGATCAGTTTTATTGTTTCCAGCCAGTTTGGGTTTATTTTTCTGTTTCTTGCAACTACATGCATTCTAAATGATACAAAGTGGTACTAGTTATAAACCCAAGTTCCATTTCTCACCTCTTAACTGTGTGATAAGGAAATGTCTCTGGACTGGCTTCCTTATTGCTGTATCTTTAAGGGATGTTTTATGTGGCTGATTTTCAGCTGCCCTAAAATACTCCATTTATTTTGCTCCAGATAAAAGTACTTATCCCTCTGAAACCTTGTTCTGTGCAAGGTTCAAGAAGTTTCTCTCCTTGAATTGTCAACTATCAACACAACATTTTAGAACTACTTCCTTTTTATTTGCTTTATGCATTAAAGTCATCTCACCCTTCATTTCACATATAATACTTATTCTCAAATGTCTACTTTTTCTCAATAATGCCACTCTCACTAAAAAACAAACAAACAAACAAACAAAACCCTCCATATAGAGGAAGGATGTCCTGGTTTGAAAATACAAGTGTCTAATCATAGGAAAATTTTTACCCAATTTAAGCCAATAAATTAGATCTTAGTTAAAAATCAATGTTGACAGAATTTGGATATAAGAAGTTTGGATGATGATCCCTTGGGTCTAATTAATTGTGGTTAAGCTGATTTTTAAGGCTGTGAACTTGCAACCCTGGGATCTGTCTCTGAATCCCTCTCTGATAACTTACCAAGATAGGCATCCAGTGACACCTAGATGCTGAGCTCTCTCCTGAACTTCCTGGACTCCCCATCTCCAGGGATTTTTAAGGAGGTGTATTAGTTTGTTTTGCATTGCTATAAAGGAATGCCTGAGACTGGGTAATCTATAAACAAAAGAGGTTTATTTGGCGCAAGGTTCTGCAGGCTGTACAACAAGCATGGCATGAGCATCTGCTTCTGGTGAGGCCCCAGGAAACTTACAATCATGGCAGAAGGTGAAGGAGGAGCAGGCTGTCACGTGATGAGAGAGGGAGCAAGAGAGGTGGCATGCTTTTCTAAACAACCAGCTCTCACGTGACCTAATAGAGCAAGAACTCACTCATTACCACAAGGACAGCACTAACACATTCATCACAGGTCCAACCTCATGACCCAAACACTTCCCACTAGGCCCACCTCCAACATGACGGATCACATTTCAACATGAGATTTGTAGAGGACAGATATCCAAACTATATTAGGAGGTATCGGAATTTTCTCAATTCTGCAACATAGTAAATTAAAAGATGTGTGGGTCTTATGAAATATAACAAATCTCATGTCCAAAACAGTTACTAGGCTAGAAAAAATATTGTCTTGGGCCTCTGAGACGTTCTGCAATTGCCATCCTTTGTAGTCATACCTGGAGCGCTAGAAACCCTCATTCTCTCATTCTCCCTGCACTGTGAAGGAAGGGGCGGGGGTCAGTGCCATGGTTAGGAAGCTCTCGTTTAGAGACAGAAACCTCACAAATTCAGATGCCAAGTCCTGACACATCTGTCCATCTCCATCCTGCCGCAGGGCTTCTTCTGTATTCCACCTTCATGTTAAGGGAGTCAGAACTGCACCTCCTTGAAAGCTTCCCTCCTGTAAATACATTCTAGTTCAATCTCAGAGCATGTAGGAGCAGGGGACTTGAGTTCTAGGGAATCTGACTTTTCAGCCCCTTGAATTTGGGAAAGTCACTTGAAGATACAGTTTTCATACATGTAAAATAATCTCTATCTCCCCAGGGCTGTGGGATGAAATAAATAAGGCACTTTGAAAACTGGGAAGCACTAGGTCTGCATCTCAGCCACTTTGTGTCCTCTTCACTTTTTCAAAGAGGAACATTTTTGATGAATGCTTGAAACCATTAAAAGTGAACACCCATTAAAACAAAAGCCAGCTTTGGATCATTGTAGGTAAATCGTTTTTATAAATCATAGGCCCAGATGGCCTATCTCCTCTTACTAGCCCGAGTAATTTTTGAAGGGAAAAGGACAAAGGAGTAAATAGCAAGGTATGGGGAAAGGAGGAGTAAAAGGAGGAGAAGCCCCCAGTAGCTGCTCTGCAGCTTGTCTGCACATTAGGTTGGCAACTCAGAAATTATTTGGTTAATTCGGTGGTTGTAGACAGACACCAGATAATTACAAGGGGGAACATTAGCTTTAGGACATGATTTGCCCAGACTGGCTGTCTAGAATGATCTGATTATCAAGCAAAGCAGCAACTTTTCATTTCACTTGAGGCTACAGAGAGTTATAGTTGGTTTTGTATCACTGAGATCAATGTTTAGAAACATACAGTGTATTTCTGGTTTAGTGCTAGAAGAGTTTTGTTTTGTTTTGTTTTGTTTTTAATGGAGTTTTCCTTAGCAAGTTCAGTTTAGAGAGAATACTACAGCAAATTTCTAGGCCCTCATTTTATTTCCATCACAGAATATATGCTCTTGATGTTGCCCGTGCATTTAGTTATGGATTATTTAACACCACCATATATTCTAAACTTTCCTTTCCCCTCATTTCATTAGTGATGAGAGGAAGATTACAGCCTACAATCACAGTCTTCGTAAAAAAGAAAAAGGAAATTGGTTGCTTCCTCTCTTATTTATTCATCTTCTCTGACTTCTTACATTTCCCAAATTACCTTCTGGGTTGTGTGCCCACCGGGGTGGTTAGCATTCTATTGATGTGGGAGTCCATTTCCTGCTTGCTGGGCCTTCTAACTGGAGTGCCACATTGCTTTCTTTAAATCAAACCTCTTAGAGCAGTCCAGCTAAGAGTTGGAGTAGCAGTACTTACGGGCCTGACTTGCATTCAACTTAGATTCACTGCAGCTACATGTTTTCTGCCTTTAAAATGGCGGCCTATTATTCCAAGGGTCGGAGAAAGCACAGCAGAAAGCGGCAACATAAAGTAACTCTGCAGTGTATTGTTCTCGGGGCAAAAGGGTTTCGAATCCAACGGCACAACAAAAGAGTAGAGAGAAAGTGCTTTTTGTCACCCTGGAGAAAAAACTCCCCTCTTTGCCAAAACTCCCTCTACTTGGAAAGGATGAAGAGCTTTTACGATGTTGATAAAAGAGCAAGGAAATATGGTTCCATTCCCATGTCAGGACCTGCTATTTCTTGGTGGGTGCGGAAGGGCACTTGTGTGCATTCAGTCAATTATAGGAAAGGAGCATTTACCAGCAGAAGTGTGGCATGCTCGGAAGAGGCATACCCCCTTCCTTTCCCGCCAAACATAAAATGGACAGTTTGGTAGAGGGGAATTTGTTCTTTTTAACAGGACAATAGCCGCAGTGTTCTAATTTCCATTGTATTCTTGATTTAAATTACCTTCCCTTAATAAGAAAAGCCTGCCCGATTTAATGAGTAATGAAATCATTGGCATTAGAAGGACTGTAGCTTTCAGACTGTGGGGAGGTCCGGGATTAAAATTAAAATTTAGGTCATTACAGAAAAGACCAATAATATGTTTCACATGGATCAGTCTCGGTTTTTTCTTTTTTAGCACAGTGGTTCTCAAACCTTACATACGCCAGAATCACTTGGGGGTCTTATTAAAACACAAATGGAAGGAGAATGTTAGTGTCTACTTCACAGATCAGTAGCTCTCAAACTTTGGTGTGCATCAGAAACACCTGGAGGGCTTGCTAACCCACAGGTTACTGAGACCCTCCTGCCACTGTTTGTTTCAGTAGGGCTGAGGTAGGGCCTGGTAATTTGCTTTTCTAACAAGTTCTCAGGTGAGGCTGCTGTTACTGACTTGGGAAACATTTGAAAAACATTGGCAGGGCAGGGCTAGTTAAAACATCTGAAATCCTGCCCTGACTTGTATGAAATCTGCTATAAAGTAAAAAGTGGAGTTTTTGGCCGACTGCTTGCTAGTTGGACTTAAGAAGACTGGCATGTGTTGGTCAAGCTGATAGACTCAGTTTACATTTGAATTCCAATTGCTACGAACAATGTCAGAGAAAAGATTCTTTTACATACCCTGGGAAAGAGATATAAGGAAAAATATATTTTATATGTATTTCTATATTTTTATAAAATCTATAAATATATATTTATAAATATGTAAAAATATATATTTTGGGGTATATTTATAAATATGTAAAAATATATATTGGGGGCTTTGAGAATGGTAAAGATATAAATCGGCACAATAATTTCATATAAGCCTTGTGCAATAGAAACGTTTTCTTCTTCTAATTTTCCCTTCATAATTGTGAATTATTTGAATCTACAAATAACTTATTTATAAGGAGGGTTAGATTTGAGAATGTATTTACTCTGTGCTGTTCCTAGGATAAGCCTTGGGGTTTTTTGTACCTAAAATGCCTCTTCAGTTAACAGAATACTACTCTGCACCAGGTCTCAGGAATTTGGAGATTTGTATCTCTGGCTAAATTGTAACAAAGGCAGGCAGAGAATATGCCCAGAATTTGGCCTTCCACAATGCACACTGTAGTATCATAGCATGATGGGACTGGAAGAAGACTAGAGGCCATCTCTTTCAATCTGCTCCTTCCACAGATAGGTAGACCCAGCCCGGAGTGTTTGAAGGAGGTGTCTTTGTGGCAAACTGCACGGTTCTCACATGGCTCACTGGTGATGGGTCTGGGCAGAGGGAGAACTGCGGTATAAAGGGCCAGCCCGTCCTGCTGCCCTGCTCGTGCTGGCGCCACATTCGACACGTGGCCATGCCTGTGCAACCTGGTGTGTGGAGGCAGGGCATTCAGGTTTTGAGAAGAGAACATCATTGGATCTGGCAGCTAAAATATGAAACACCATCCCTCGGGCTTCTCTGAGTCTGTAGTCTCATCGGGAGGCCAGCCAACTTGCTGTCTGCTATTGAGTGTGGGCTTGGAAGTGGGAGGAAAGCACTGGGTGATGAGAGAGTAGGAGGACAGAGAAAGCCTGAGGAGTGGAAAATGTGTTGAAGAGGGTGAGGAAAAGGCAAGAGAGCCCCAACTTAAAATACACAACTTAAAAGACTCTGCCACCGGCAGTGAACCAACTCCTAACAATCCTTACTGGCTCTGGGCCTGCTGGCCCTCAGGTGCAGCCCCTGCTCTGTGCCACAGAGAGTCAACCCGCAGGGCGCATTTCCCAGGCTGCCTCTGCATGGCATGTCCAGTGGTGGGATTGAAAGGTTGGGGGAAAGGAGGGGCCAGGGAATCCCACTTCCCCTCCCCAGGTGGCCGCTCCAGCAGGTACTGGACGAGACCTCAGAGACTCAGCCTCCTCAGGCTGCCCTGGACTTCCACAATTCCAGCTCCTCTTTTTGTCTTCCACCCCATGGTTGGTAGCAGCTTTTTCCTGAGCTCAGTTCCCTCTTCATCTGTAGAAATAATTCCCGGCATTAAGCTCTTTCTATTGTAAATACTTAAAATAGTTACTGTTTTATTGGTTAGATCCTGACTGATACAGGTTAGAATGATTATTTTCAGTGAATTTATGAGGAAACAGAGGATTATGTAGGTTAAGTAACTTGTCCAAGGTCATCACAACTAGCAAATGATGAAATCAGCATCAAAACATAAGACTGCAGAGCTCATACTCTCAACACAATACTCTGTGGCCTCTCACAGTGAGTTTGAGGGAATTCAGAAAAAGGAAGACAAGAAATATCTTTATGTATAAAACAGTGGTAATAAAAACAGTGGTGTGAAAACGTTGCTTTGACCTCAAGAAATTAGGTAATCTCTGTGCTAAGGTGGGTGTATGTGTCTGTGCCCGGTGTTCCAGGGTCCTAAATCTTGAGGAATTAATTCAGCTCAGGCATTGGTGCTAGTCTTTTATTATTCCTCATTTTCTCAGTTGATCACAAAGGGTTACTTATTTCCACTCATCTAGTTGCAGTTTGTGAAAATGTGGCCTGAACCTTGCTTTGGAACTCAGGTTGCTATAGAAACCTTTGACTGGAGGTGAGGGATCACGAAGGTTTATTAATGAGAATTTCCCCGCTTTACCCCTGGGCTCAGTCTGTATGAGATTCCCAGAAAGGCTCATTAGTTTTTGTATTAGGGTCCTCCAGAGAGACAGAACCAATTGTGTGTGTATGTGTGCACGGGTGCATGTGTGTGTGCATATGTGTGCGTGTGTGTGTGTATTTAAAGGAATTGGCTCATGTGATTATCGAGGCTGACAAGTCATAACATGTGCATTTGGCAAGCTGGAGACCCAGGTGAACTGATGGTGTAGTTCCAGACAGAATGCCGGCAGGCTTGAGACCCAGAAAGAGCTGATGTTTAGTTTGAGTCTGAAGGCAGGAAAGAACTGATGTCCCAGCTCAAGGCATTTAGGAAGGAGGAGTTCCTTTTTATTCTCTGTTTGGTCAGCCTGTTTGCTCTGTTTCAAGTGATAGGATGAGGCCCACCCATGTTGGGAAGGGCAACCCACTTTACTCAGTCTACCCATTTCAACGTTAATCTCTTCTGGAAACACCTTCACAGACAGAACCAGAATAAGACTTGACCAAATGTATGGGCACCCTGAGGCCAGGCAAGTTGACACCATTAATCATCACAGTTTTCATTACAGAAGGCTAACTTTTCAGCCAAGTAGTTTTGTAACAAAAGCTGATGATTCTCTCTGCAATCAACCCTACAGAACTCTGGTCTTCAGGCTTCAGAGGAGAGCATATACTTGAGTTAATTGCTGCCTGGCTCCTTCCTTGAGCTCTGTCTTGAATTGATGGGTATCAGAGAGTCACTTGATATTTGAAAGAGAGAGGGCAGTTGTTCTCAAGGAGAGGTCCCCAGAGCATCAGTTTAAGAATTGTTAGAAATGCACATTCTTGGGACTTAACCCAGACCTACTGAATCAGAAATCCTGTAAGTTGGGCCCAGCACTCTGTGTCTTAACAAACCCTCCCAGTTGATTCTGATGCATGTGCAAATTAAAAACCCAGTGGTCCAGGCTATGGCAGTGTTTCTCAAACCAGAAGGTCAGCAAATGCATTTTTTGGGGAAATGAAATTTTGCTAACAGAATAAAAAATGAAATGTTAAATTTTTTTTTGTTTTTTAAAGATAGTGTCTGGGTATAGTTCCCAGGTTGGACTTGAATTTCGGGGTTCAGGTGATCCTCCTACCTCAGCCTCCCAAGTAGCTGGGACTGCAGGCATGTGCCAGCACACCTGGCTGAAAATGAAATGTTTTATTTTTGGCAAAAATCCCCAAAAGTGAATATAAATATATTCTAGGTAACCTAAAACGACCAGTTAATGAACAACTACTGCCTTATTTTTCCTTTTCCATAGTTTGTGTGTGTACTTCTTTTTGTGCTGGTATAGAGTAGAATTACTTTGCCATAGGTTAATGAGCCTCATTTGTGCTAAGTGAAGACTGGGTGAATAATATTGTTGCAGGTGTTTGAACCTACAAAAGTGATGGAAAATTGGGGCATCACCTAGTTTGACACTATATGCACGTCAAACATGAATGACCTGTGCCATAGCTATCAATGTTTTTGCAAGTGTGATTTGGTTTCAGCAAATAGCATCATTTCCCATACCAATTTAATGTTTGTAGCTTGATTTCATTGATTTTGCAGTTTTGAATATGTTTAATTTGTAAGGTTATTTTGACTTTATTATTACTTGTATATCTAAGCCTAAAGACCTTACACTGAAATTTCTATGTGCATATATTTAAGTAATATATAATGAAAATAATTTAAATTAACTTTGGGGTCTATATAAATTTGTTTTTGTTTCTTTTTAAAGGAATCTCTTCTGATATCAGTAAGGATAGGATAACTTATATAGCAATATACAAACAAATTTCAGTTACTTAACTCAATAGCAGTTGAGGGAATTTTGCTAATTGAGGTCACTCAGTGACCCAGGCTGACTGAGGCTTCATTTTGACTTGAACATTCTTTTAAAAAATATTGCATTCAAATATAATCCACATATAGTCACAATATGCCACTATAAAGGGTATAATTTGGTGTTGCTTAGTATATTCACATAGGTTATACAATCTAATCTCTCACCACTGTCTAATTTGAGAACATTTTTGTCATCCTGAAAAGAAGCCCTGTGGCTACTAGCAGTTACATTTTCCCTATTCCCTAACCCCTAGCAACCACTAATTTGCTTTCTGTCTCTGTGGATTTACCTATTCTGGATATTTCACATAAATGAAACCATACAACACATGGCCTCTTATGTCTGGCTTCTTCCACCTAGAATAATGGTTTCAAGGCTCATCTATGTGTTGTTTTGTTTTTTGAGACAGAGTCTTGGTCTGTCACCCAAGCTGGAGTACAGTGGAGCGATCTCAGCTCACAGCAACATTTGCCTCCCAGGTTCAAGCGATTCTTCTGCCTCAGCCTCCCCAGTAGCTGGGATTACAGGCATGCGCCACCATGCCCAGCTTAATTTTCGTATTTTCAGTAAAGTCGAAGTTTCACCATGTTGGCCACGGTGGTCTCGAACTGAGCTCAGGTGATCCACCTGCCTTGGCCTCCCAGAGTGCTGGGATCACAGGCATGAGCCACTGCACCCAGCCTAAGGCTCATCTATGTTATAGCATGGATGAGGACTTCATTCCCTTTTTATTGCTAAATAATATTTCATCTTATTGATGCACCACATTTTGTTTATCCTCATTTATCAATTGATGGACATTTGGGTTGTTTCCACCTTTTGGCTATTGTGAATAATGCTGCTATGAAAATTCATGTGTACATTTTATGCAAACTTATGTTCTTAATTCTCTTGGGTATATACCTGGGGTGAAATTGCTGAGTCATAAGATAATTCTACTTTTGAGGAACTGCCAAACTGTTTTCTACGTGGCTGCACCATTTTACATCAGCAATGCATAAAGTCTCTAATTTCCCTACATCCTCTCCGATAGCTGTTGTTGTCCTTTTTGATTATAGCCATCTTAGTAAGTGTGGTTTTGATTTGCATTTCCCTAATGACTAATGATGTTAAACAACTTTTCATGTGCTTATTGGCCATTTATATATTTTCTTGGGATAAATCACCATTCAGATCCTCTTGTTTATTTTTTAATTGGGTTAACTTGTGAGATTTAAAAAAATATATATATATGTTCTGGATGGTAGATCCTTATCAGACATGATTTGAAAATTCTTTCTGTAGGCTGTCTTTTCACTTTGTTGATAGTGTCCTTTGATGCACAGAAGTTTTTAATTTTTATGAAGTCCAATGTATTTTTAATTTGGTTGCTTATGTTTTAGGTGTCATAGCTAAGAAACTTGTTAAGCATCTTTGATAAATGTTATGGCAAAATGTACACTGGCTTTGAAGCTTCCACCTGGTAGCTCCACGTATTACTGATGATCGCCTTCTGTTGGCCACAGAATGCCACATGGTTTCACCTAAAAGGGCAGAGAAGCACAAATCTTGACATGTTTCTGGAAATGGAGAAACTAGAAATATTTGGTAAATAGCACTAGTGACTGCCATGATTTAGCTCATGTTTTGGAAACATCAAAATTGGAATCACCTAAAAACAATGTATCTGGTTTATGTTAGAATCAAAAGATTTGTCTTCATTGAAATACTAGATCTAATGTCTTTGCCTTTTCTCAAGGGCCTTTAAGATAAATGGTCATATGAAAAGTTTTATATCTTCAGCAAGTTTGGCCCAAAGCATACTCTTTGTTATGTTACTTGGTGCCTCTTATGTAAGGAAATGCATGGCAATTCTTCTTAGAATTTAGCAACAGGAAGGTATTTATTTCTAGATAGACTTATGTGCTTCCCTTTTGTTTTAGAATGGGAAATATGCTTCTATTTTTACTTTTGTTGCTAGGAAACTCAGAGCTGAAATTAATGACCACCTTATATCTTCCCAGTATAGCTAACACTCTCTTCTCAAATATTAAGATCTTTTTTTCTTATACATTTAACTGTCTGTCATGCTTTTATTCTGCACTACCTCATTTTTTTTCAGTTAGTATATAAATCATAAATAAATTACAAATTTGATTACATTTTACAAACACTGCTTGGAGAAATATGCTTAATTTTCAAATTTACAGCTTATTCTGCTCTGTGTATCAAAAATACAATAATTTCAGATGCAAAAATGCAACATGACTAAGGGTTTGAGAAAATGGATAGAGGCATCTTTTAGAGTAGACACTGTATAATACTCTCAATGTATACTTTTGTGTATATGGGGTAGTTTGGTAATTAGAAGTCTCAAAAATGTGCATGCCATTAGACTCAAAATTGAACTTCTGGGTATTTATCTTAAGAAATAATTTGGAATGTGGGCAAAAATTAAAGATTAATAGCAATATAGTAGCTAATGCTTTTTAAGCTCCTAGTGGCCAGGCGCGGTGGCTCACGCTTGCAATTCCAGCACTTTGGGAGGCTGAGGCAGGTGGATCACTTGAGGTCAGGAGTTTGAGACCAGCCTGGCCAACATGGTGAAACCCTGTCTCTACTAAAAATATAGAAATTAGTCGGGTGTGGTGGCGCACGACTGTAATCCCAGCTACTTGGGAGGCTGCGGCACGAGTATTGCTTGAACCTGAGAGGCGGAGGTTGTAGTGAGCTGAGATGTCACGCCACTGCCCTCCAGCCTAAGCCATAGAATTAATAAGCAATTAATAAGCTCCTACTTAGTGCTTTATATGTATTGTATCATTTAAAATGTAGGCACCACTATTATCCCATTTAACATATGAGAAACCCAAGGCTCAAAGAAGTTAAACTCATCTCTTTGTTCTAGTACTAAGTTCCATGTCCCAGGAAACCCCCCAGTCCTGAGCAAATGGAATGGCTGGTCACCTGTTCCTGCTCTGGTGGGCACTCTCATCTCATGCCCTCCACTCAGGCTCTGAGCCAAAGCAGTGCCAACCTTTCCAGGTGAGCTCTGCTTTTCATAACCACCTAACCCAATGTGGGGAGGGAAGGGGGAAGCAAACCACATCAGTGTCTTCTCCAGGGCTAAAGTACAAAGGAGAAATAGTTTTCCTTTTTCCATGCTTTTTGTTTGGAAGAAGGAAGATAGCTCTAAGCCCGATGGTACCAGGATTTCTCTTTTATTTTGCTCTGAGCTGTCCAAATGGCCTTAAATATGTTTGATGTTCTAATCTATAGGAGAGTTATGGGTATTCTTGCTGAGTAGTACATTTCTTTAATATTCCTGAACCATAATATATGTCTGTATGTTAGAGGCCTGCCAGCCAGCCTCTCAATGTGACTTACCTTCTGTGCGGTTTTGTGAAAAGTTGACCTGGATTTTGCTTAGATGGCTTTAGAAATGGAATCCATCAAAAATATATTTCTTCCTATCTCTCTCTTTCTAAATTGCTGTTTGATCTTGTTGTAGTCTGCTAAATCTTGGCACTTGCTTCAAGTTGCACATCACCCTTTTTACATGGTTTGACAGATATAACCAACTTTCATTTGAAATACATACAATATATCAAATATTACTGGTTATATAGAATATTGGTTATATAATACATACAATATATCAAACATTATTGGTTATATATAACACCATTGCACATATGTAGCTCATTTTTTAAATTTAGTGCATCAACATAAAAAGGAATGAATTAATGGCATTTGCAGTGATCTGGATGAGATTGGAGACTATTATTCTAAGTGAAGTAACTCAGGAATGGAAAACCAAACATCTTATGTTCTCACTGATATGTGGGAGCTAAGCTATGAGGACGCAAAGGCATAAGAAGGATACAGTGGACTTTGGGGACTTGGGAAGCATGGGAGGGGGGCGAGGGATAAAAGACTACCAATATGGTGCAGTGTATACTGCTTGGGTGATGGGTGCACCAAAATCTCACAAATCACCACTAAAGAACTTACTCGTGTATCCAGGCCGTGCGCGGTGGCTCATGCCTGTAATCCCAGAACTTTGGGAGGCCAAGGCGGGTGGATCACTTGAAGTCAGGAGTTCGAGATCAGCCTGGCCAACATGGCAAAACCCTGTCTCTACTAAAAATACAATAATTGGCTGGGTGGTGCTTGCCTGTGGTTCCAGCTATTTGGGAGGCTGAGGCAGGTGGATCATTTGAACCCGGAAGGCAGAGATTGCAGTGAGCCAAGAGCGTGCCACTGCACTCCAGCCTGGGCAACAGAGCGAGACTCTGTCTCAAAAAAAAAAAAAAAAGAAAAAAGAAAAAAAGAACTTAAGTAACCAAATACCACCTGTACCCCCAATAACCTGTGGAAAAATAAAAAATAAATAAATTTAGTGCATCAAAAGTTTATCCATTCATTTGCAAAAATGCCATCTTTACCCATCAATTCCCACCGAATGATACACAGCTGACCCAAATTATTTAAATGAAAGTGTCTTTGATCTGTTAAAAAAGCATAAGAACCAAAGCTCCATTTCAAAGCTGCAGTAAGACCTAGTTTGTCAGACAGAACTAAAGATTCAAGGCCAAGGGTTGTGTTAGGGATGATAGGATTGTATGTTCTCTTTACAAAAACAGAAATTAGCCAGGGCACAGTGGCTCACACCTGTAACCCCAACATTATGTGAGGCCAAGGTGAGAGGATTGCTTGAGGCCAGGAGTTTGAGACTAGCTTAGGCAACATAGTGAGACCCTGTCTCTGTAAAAAATTTAATAATTAGCCAGACATGGTGGTGGGCACCTGTAGTCCTAGCTACTTGGGAGGTTGAGGCGGGAGGATTGCTTGAGTCCAGGAGTTTGAGGTTGCAGTGAATTATGATCATGCCACTGCACTCCAGCCTGGGCGACAGGGCGAGACCCTGTCTCTGAAAGAAAAAAAAAAAAAGAAAAGAAAAAAAAGACACTGGACATCATAATTGACCAGAATGGGGCTAAATATTTGCCCTCCTTTTGCTATAGCTACTCACTTGGGAAAAACTGATTTCATTAGGCAGAATTTCCCCAGGCTCTGTACTTTCTTCAGATAGCCTTGGTATGTTAGGAAATGTTTGCATTTACCAGAGACTAAATGGCTGTTTTTTCTCTAAAACTTGTAACATTTCCTTCAAAAGGTGAATGCAAGACAACCAGCCCCTCCCTGCAATTTGCTGAGCTAGTGTACTGGTAATATGGGCCAAAGACTGTGATCTCTTCCTAGAAACACCTGGCTGGTTACAGACACACAGGAAGAAAAATTGGGTAAACACAACCAGCTTTCCGTCAAGTTCTGGTGGGGGCTACCCTCACCACTTCGACTGAGAAGACACAGTTTCCTCCCAGAAAGTTCTTGGGGGTAGAGGAGTGAGTATCCTGGACCTTGGAACCATTGGCTACCTCGTGCCTCTCTTACCTGCGCCCTTAAGAAACGTTTCTGTTCCATTTCTGGTTCCTTTTGGAGGAATGCCATGGTTTTAATGCTAATGACTCAGCAAACATTAGTTCTTTTCCTTAGTTATGGATGCTTTTGCTCCTTTTAATTTCTAATCTTATTTCCCAAAGATTTTCCCCACCTCAGCCCACCACCACAGCAGGAATAACTTTATTTAGAAAAAATATTGGGGCCGGGCACGGTGGCTCACGCCTGTAATCCCAGCACGTTGGAAGGCCGAGGTGGGCGGATCATGAGGTCAGCAGTTCGAGACCAGCCTGGCCAACATAGTGAAACCTCGTCTCTACTAAAAATACAAAAAAATTAGCCGGGCATGGTGGTAGGTGCCTGTAGTCCCAGCTACTTGGGAGGCTGTGGCAGGAGAATTGCTTGAAGTCGGGAGGCGGAGATTGCAGTGAGCTGAGACCGCACCATTGCAGTCTAGCCTGGGTGACAGAGAAAGACTCAGTCTCAAAAAAAAAAAAAAAAAAAAAAGAAAAACTATTGGGTATTTTCTAAATGAGTAAGATCTACTTTACATCTTCAAACCTTCACTGTCAGCGGACCTTGTCTTCCAGTTACCAAGAGTGAGGCCACCTAACCTGATGGCCTTCTTTCTACCCACCTGAAAATCTCTGTTTTTACCCATTTCCTCTCCCCTCCTCATATCTGAGGAGTAGAAGTGTCCGTCTTCTTTACATAGTTAATATTTTCCTCTGTATCTTCTGTCACCTCCCACCACGCCTCTTTTGGACCTTGCAGAGTCCCTTTTCTCTGTATCTTTAGTCTGGTGTTTTCATTCTTTCCTTCTCCACTGAGTCCTCATCTTACACACAAGTTCCAGCTTCCAACTTTTATATTTTTTAATATTTTTTTCGAGGCAAGGTCTGTCTTTGTCACCCAGGCTGGAGGGCAGTGGCATGATCACAGGTCACTGTAGCTTTGACCTCCCAGGCTCAAGTGATTCTCCCACCTCAGCCTCCGGAGTAGCTAGGACCACAGGCCTGTGCCACCATGCCTGGGTAATTTATTTTTACTTTCTGTAGAGACAGGGTCTCCTTGTGTTGCCCAGGCTGGTCTCAAACTTCTGGGCTCAAGTGATCCTCCTGCCTCAGCCTCCCAAAGTGCTGAGATTACAGGTGTGAGCCACTGCATCTGGCCAGCTTTCACATTTTAAGGAAGTCACCTGCTCCACTGTTGCTGCCCTTTCAAGCTACTCCCCTTCCCTTCATTGCTAGTCTTCTCCCTGTGTTATCTGGAACATCCCATCCTTCCAGACCCTGCTCAATTGCTCAAAAGCCTCCAGGTGGGAAGGACCTTGTGCTGCTGCTCTCTGCTCCCTCTTTACCAAAATCTCTCTTCCTCCATAGGAAAAACTCATCCTCAAGACAGCCTCCCCATCCCCCAGTCCTTATGACAGTGTGCTAAATCCGAGAGGAAAAACCCAAGGTCAAGTTTTCCCTTAGTAGAGCCACCAATGGGAACAGTAATCTGTCTGATCCCTGCATTGGTTGACCTGTTCAATTTAGGCATCTTCCAAGGACAGATGCTAGTTGGAGATGAGGTTGGTGAATAATTAAATCTGAAATTACATTAAGAAAAGAAACAGTTCCTCCTTTAGCAAGGAATCTAGTCCAGTTTCAGGGAGTTACTGGGCTTCCTGTATCATGTGGCTTCGCATTTGGTTCCTATCCATTTAATTTCTATCTTGGGTCTGGTTGTGGGTAGGGGAAGGATCTCCCAGTATAAAAGAGGAGCTACACCAGTCTTTAGTGGATCTTTTGTTACTCAAAGAAGGGCTCTGGGCATTCTATTAAATATTAAGATTCTTTCTGTTTCATTTAATTGCTGTTTCTCAGCATCCTGTGACCCTATAATTTGTCCAGGATGGTTCTTCCTTGACCACTATAGGATGTCAGGTATCCTTGTTTTCCTCATGTCTCAATGGCCCCTTAGGGGCCGCTGACAACAATGGTTGAGAAGACACTATTTTCCCATAAATGTTTACATGCTGTGGCAGGCAGAATTCTCAGATGACCCCCAATGACCCACCCCAGTATGCAGTCTGCTCTTCCTGAGTGTGGGAAGCACCTGTGAGTATGATGATATTATGATTGTATTCTATGCGATGGTAAAAGGGAGAGTATCCTGGTGGACTTGACCTAATCTGATGAGCCCTCTAAAAGCAGAGAGTTTTCTCTGGCTCGCTCCAAAAAACAAAGTCAGAGATTTGAAACAAAAGAAGAATTTGGCATGGAATTGCTTATTTGAAGGTAGAGGCCACATGGCAATGGATGTGGGTAGCTCTCTGGGAGCTGAGAGCTGGACCCCAGTCTTACAAGAAAATAAATTCTGCCAATAACCAGTGAGCTTAGGCAAGGACTCTGAGCCCCAGATAAGAGGTGAACAGACGACCTTGTTCTGTGCCTGGACTTCTGGCCTACAGAACTGTGAGATAATAAGTTTGTGGTAACTTGTTGCACAGCAACAGAAAACCAACACCCATGTGTTTGTCTTTTAAAAGTATACAGATTTCTTCAATACATTGTAATGTTCTCAATTGTCAGATTGGCCCTTGCTTCATCATGGTGTCTGTCACCGTGCCCCGGGTGACGTCTAGTGGCAGAACTCAGCTAATGCTTGTCTAGTGAATGAATGACATTTTAAGGTTCACCTGGGTGGAGAAGGCGGGGGCGGGGGGGAGTAATAAACATTCTTTAAAGTTATCCCAATTCAGCTGAACAACGTTTGTTTAGTATCTACTTCATTCAAGGCACTAATTTAATGTGTTTTATCCTGATTTCTTTCAGTGGCTGCAGGTTTTTCATTAAAGTTGATTTTTCCTGGACTTTCCTGAAAGGTTTCTTTCTTTGGCAAGGATTTAACAAGAGCCATATCAGCATATAATTTTATTTGTGTTGTCTTATCAACACCCTGCAGCATGTGTACACTCTACCAGACTGTATGAAATGGCAAAGTAATAGCTTTTTTTTTTTTTTTCTGGAGACAGTCTCTGTCTGTTGCCCAGGCTGGAGTGCAATGGCGTGATCTTGGCCCACTGCAACCTCCACCTCCTGGGATCAAGTGATTCTCCTGCCTCAGCCTTTCTAGTGGCTGGGATTACAGGGGTCTGCCACCACGCCTGGCTAATTTTTGTATTTTTAGTAGAGATGGGGTTTTGCCATGTTGGCCAGGCTGGTCTTGAATTCCTGACCTCAGGTGATCTGCCTGCCTTGGCATCCCAAAGTGCTGGGATTACAGGCTTGAGCCACTGCGCTTGGCCCAATAACTTTATCATTGTTTTTTCTAATTCCCACTATAGACTCAGGGCCCTGCGGCAGGACAGAAAGCCAATGGTATCTGAGGCGATGGCTGACCATGAATTTGGCCACACCAGTGCTCCTCATCCTTGGACATGGTATGGAGTGATTTACGGTTTGATCCTGGAGTTAGAGTGCTTCAATTCCAGTTGCTGCTCTACTCCATACTAGGACATGCCTTTGCTTCCCTACTTGAGCAACGGAATAATAGTATTACCTCAGGGGATGGCTGAGGAGTAAGCGAGGTCATGCAATGTAGAGAGTTTAGCATAGTGTCTGGCGTAAGGTAGTTCTCAAATATTAGCTATTATTGCTCTTATAAAATGTGAAAAGTTGATTCTTGTAAATTCCAAGAACTGAGCTTTCGCTTCTATAGTTGGTACTGCAAAAGCAATAGGTGTTTTGTTTTCCAAATATAAAATGGCATATTAATTACACTTTTTCAAATGAAACATCCTTTTGGATATTCTCATACCAGCTCCTCTTAGGAGAGGCAGGCTCGCTTGCTTGAGAATCACTGGTCCTGGGCCCAGATAAGAGTAACTGTAACTGCCTCCAGAGTCATCCAAATTTCCAGGACCTTCCCCCAACCCTGGAGCTCAAACTAACGAAACCAGTCTGTTAGGAAACTAGAGGGGGCTGTCTTTTACAGATGTGGGTAGCCTCGGGAATTTTGGCTTGTCCAGAGGAAACCAGGTTCAGGCTGTTGGCCCTAAGTTCTTGCAAAATCAAGTGTTGCCTTTTGTGGGTATGTGGTGTGGATGTTCTTAGAGATAAGAGCCAGGTAGGAGAGGCCATGCAGAAATCCGGTTTCAGAACTCCATAAAAACTAGGGGAGGCTGCTCTTCTCAGGAGAGTGAAACAGTCTTCCCACAGAAGATGAGCTGGAGGCTGAGTGTCATGGCTTACACCTGTAATCCCAACACTTTGGGAAGCTGAGATGGGAGGATTGCTTGAGGATGGGACTTTGAGACCAGCCTGGGCAACAACAAAGGGGGACCCCCATCTCTACAAAAACTAAACAATTAGCTGGGTGTGATGGTATGCACCTGTAGTCCCGGCTAGTCGGGAGGCCGAGGCGGGAAGACTGCTTGAGACTAGGAGGTCAAGACTGCAGTGATCCATGATCTTGCCACTGCGCTCCAGCCTGGGTGACAGAGTGAGACCTTGTCTCAGAAAAAAAGAAGGCAAGCTGGGAACATTGTGAGGTTTGTTTCTCTGTAGAGCATGGAGGAAGGGAAATAATTTGGTGCCAGGGAAACACGCTTACTGCTCTTTCAGAACTTTGTTTTGAAATGGCATCTAGATTTCAGCAACATGCTCGCACTTGAAAAATGAAAACATTGGACAGAGTTGGTGTTTACGAGTGTGAACTTGCTCTGGCATTTAGTGTAATTTTTTTGGCTACGTAACTGCCATTCTTCCCATCTGCTCCCTGAAGCAAATCTTTGTGAAAGAGGAGTTCCAGCTGGAGATTTTAGTTGCTTGGTTCAAAATATGCTGCCGGTGGGAGAGGGAAGGGGTTTCCCTGTCTCCATCTGAGAAGTGTGTTACATGGAGACTTACCTGTGAACAGGAATGAAGAAAGGAACTATGAATTTGCAACCACAGAGATCAATGTGATGTGGACACATTTGGATTTTTCTTGGGGGTAATTAGGGTTTAGCCCAGGCTCCTCCTGGTGGGAGGATGCTCTCACCAAGCCCCAAGCAAGGGCTTTAGAAGTGTGTGCTTACTTTCCCTGGGTCTTAATTAGGGGCCTGGGTGGCTTGTTAAATCTCATATACCTTCTGTGTAATAGTTTCTGACCTTCACTAGAACGCTTGTTTTTTGAAGAGAGAAGTGCTGTATTGGGGGCCCTTGTAGGGGTTACTGAAATTCAGGTAATCAACAAGTAATATTTTAGAATAAGCATTCACAAGATTGCATGTGACGTACTTGTACTAAAAAAAAAAAATCCATTGTTGATCTGAAATTGGAATTTAACTTGGGTCGTGTTCTGTTTTGTTTTGGCTGAATCCGGCAACACTAGTTCCGTGGGGCCAGGTGACCTGAGCTGGGGTGAGGTAGCAAATGCCAGGATGATAGTAGGGTTCATTTCCTGGTAGTTTCTGATGGTGGCTTGTGATAAGAAAGTGGCACCAAGGAGCTGCCTTCCTGAGAAGTCTGCTAAATTACAGAAAGCTGTTTGGAATCAGAAAGGAGCCAATAACCTGATTAAGAGCACCCTTGCATTTCTTCCTCATTGGGCAATGGGAAATTGCCTGGGAGGATCCAGCCTTTACCATTAACCTTTCCTTCTTGGAGGACCGGCTCCAGTGGCTTTGACCAGTTATGTGGTGGCCTGGCATGCTGTCATCTGTGCTAGCCACTTTCCTATAATGTCTGCTCTTATGCTTCCAGCGAAGAGGGGGGCACCAAAATGTTGTTGTTTTGAGGGCTGATAGCAGGGAGTGAAATCAGAAATCCTGTGTGAAGGTTAGTGTAACTGGGAGATTGAAGGATGTAGTGAGAAGGGAAACTCCATAGCCAGACAGACCTGGTTTCAAAGCCTGGGACCAGCACTTGCTGGTTGTTGGATCTTGGAACAAGGGCTCAGTTTTCTGGTCTCTGAAATGGGGTTGCTAGTGATGCTTACCTCACAAGGTTGTGCTGAGGGTTAAATGAGCTAGTATAGTCAAGGCTTTTACATAGTGTGTGTTATTCGGTACAAGCTGAATTAATGACAGTGCTTACTGCCTCATCAACATGTGAGTTCTAGGTACTCCATGTCACCTACATGCTCATGTTTGTCTTTTAAATCTTGCCACTTGCCCATTGAAATAGGATATCTTGCATGCCTCCTTTTTGACGGAGAGCTGGCTGGCTCTGAGGCTCCTTCTAGAAGGACTCTGGGGTTTCTTGGCACCATAATCAATGGCTGCACTTGATCTTATTGGCTGCAGCTCCAATATGGGGGTAGGGTTTTGGGTTCCTCATTATTTCATGACCTTCTACTCCAAACCTCTACATATCAACATTAAATATCAGTACATGCATCATGATTGCTCTGCAAAGCCAGCTTCAGACAAGCTCCTAAACCTCCAGTCAGACTGTGGCCCCAGGTCCCTGAGTAAAGATCTTGGGAGCCACCACTGGGCCAGATGAGAAGTACTTGAGAGACCCAGCATGACCAGCCTCTCCTGGCAGGAGCCCCCAAAGTCTCTGGAGCACAGACTGTGTAAGAACACAAATAAAACAAATACAGAAGCCATTCTGAATGTGTCAGCATTTACAAGAAAGGTACTGTTAATATTCTATAGATAGCTCTGTGGCTCATGGAATGTGTTGATGTATGTATTGCAATAAAGGAAGCATGGGTAGATTAAAGGGCAGATTTAATGGAATGGCTAGGCTTTTAGAAAGGACATTAAAAGAAAGTTCCAGTGAGATTTTCACATAATTGATTACACATGAGGATGGAGGAGGCTTGTTTAGTGGGCTGGTGCATAGGCTGTGGGCTGTAGAGGCCGAGGCTGCCCAGGAATTCAGGCCCTGGGAGAGGCAGTGCCGGTGCAGGTCCCTTGGCCTCATTGGCCTATTCCTTTACCTGGCGGCTGCATCCAGCCTTGCTGCTCGGCCTGCCGCTGCCCTCAGAGAGTCAGCTGGCTGGTGGGTTGGCTGACAGCAGTGTTGTGTGCTGAATTCCTTTCCAAGGAGGAGGAGGAGATGCCAGCTATTCCATACATCATCCTCTGCCACCTGCCAAGGAGGCGAGATACTGCTGGGGAGAAAACAGCTTTTACTCATTCCTTTGTATTTGGGCCTGAATACCAGCCAGAAGCAGTGGGGTTTGGTTAGTAAGTCTGTCGCAAATCATGCTAATGGAAGTGCTGTGTAGAACATCAGGGCTGGGGAGTGTGTGATTGTTGAAAATTTCAGGCAGGGTGTTATCCTCCCCAGTGTTCCACTTAAGGAGCTGCTCTGCTGCAATCACATCATTGTGGCTGGGTGTGAGCAGCCTGCTCTGACAGGAAAGGACAGGCAAGGTTCGGGGTGGGGAGCACTCGGAGGTCTGTGATGTGATTAGTGGAGGGTTAGCACGGACAAGCTGTTGGCCTGGTCTCTTGAGTAGTGAACCCAGATGGGAGAGACAGTTTGCCGAATGCACAAAGACAAAGGAGAGCAGGACAGTTACAAGTGCCACCCTCAAACTCCATCAGACGGTGCTAGGTGAGGTTTCCCTTGGACTTATACCATCTGACAAGTTGGCCAAATTAGACATCATACTCAAAGAAAGGGCCCACCATGTTCAGGGAGAAATCTTTCAGTCCTGGGGCATAGAGGTTTGCCATTGTCTTCCCTCTGCCTGACTTTGGTGCGTCCTGGCACTCAGCTTTCACGGTTGGCCCAGGTCTGAGTTTCATGTTGCTCCCATCTGTCCCTTTCACCTGGAGAACCTGTTATACTTCATGACCTGCTGACATCCTCCTCCAGTAGGTAATGTGTGGTGCTAGAGGCCCTTCATTTTACCAGTGATATCAGAGGTGTACTGGAGGCAGAAGAGTCGCCCACAGCAGAATGGCTCATGGTGAAACCTGCAGAGGTTATCTGAATGAGTCCTTCCTGGTTTACATGAGCTATCTTTAGGAAAGCAGGGGCTTCCATTTTTCCACTAACATTGCCCAAATGCCTCTCCTTTCCCACCTTGTCCCAAACACACACCTGCACCCCTCCTTGGCTCCCTTCTTCTCTCCCTAGGTGACTAGATTAGTAAATCTGAGTTAAATACACTTGAAGGGGCCTTGGTGTTTTTTAAGCCGTGGTGCTGAACCAGCTTCTCCTGCTGCCTGCCCTCCTGAGTCATTGCCTGGCCTAGTTGCCAGTAAGAGTTGGGAGGAGGGAAAGGTGACTAATAACAAGCATGGGGGAATCTTTAGCCTGGAGAGCGATTTTCCTGCTTTCTTTACACCAAGTCATTGTGTGGAAGGAATGCGTGTGTGTGTGTGTGTGTGTGTGTGTGTGTGTGTGTGTGTGCATGCTGGGGCCTTTTCCAAAAGCAAGTGCTTTCTCAGCATCACCTGGGGCCCTTGCCACAGGAGGATGTTCTGAGGTCATGCTCTTTTCCTTCTTGTTGTCAGACTCGAGTCCAACATTAGCTTTGTTATTCCGGCCAGATGAGGAAGGAGACCATTTGGAAGTCATTTTTCACCATGTTCTTGGGCTTACTAATCCGATCACCTTTCTTGTCAGATCAAAGGTGATTGTTAAGTGTACTAAATTCTTCACACAGGACTTTTGCCCTTTTTTCAAATTTCTGTTTCTCCAAAACTGTAAAAATGAGCATAGATGCTTTCAAAATGAAAGTCCCTCCACAAATAACCCTAATGGAAAGGGAAACAACATCCTTCGGTACACTTCTTGCTTTCTGGGCCCTCAGAGAAGGGATCGGTCTGGGAGAAAGGGATTGTGTATCCAAACTGGACACCTCCAGCCAGCCAGAAAAGAGGATCTGTGCCTTTATTTATACTGTATTTACACAGCTCGGTGACCATTGAAGAAGTCTGTTTAATGAAATGCTGGAGTCGTTTTTAGATGGGCCTGTTGGAATCATTATGAGTAAACACGTGTAGAGATTTATTTTCCTTCTCCCAGAGGTCTCTTGGAGGTCCCTGAAGATAAATATTTGCATGGTTTCCAGTTTATACTTCCCCAGCCTAATGTGGTGCTGAGGCAAGTGGTTTGCCTCCTTTCACTGAGCTTGTTAACATGCACAGGACCCCTGTCCTCCCAGGGCGGGCTGTGACATTCTAACCCTGCCTCAGAGACAGTGCCTGGGTGGGCAGCCACTTGACCAACCTAAAGGCTAGTGCAGGCGTGGGCTTGTTGCTGTTCCAAGCAACCACACGCGGTAGTTGGTGGAGTGGACCAGCTTGAATCTAATGGTTTACCTTGCGTTCATGAAGCCAGGTCCTGCGTGAATCTGCATGGCTGCCCCAGTGTTATGGAATGTGGGGGCAGTGGACATAATTCTCAAGTGTCCTGAGAAATGCAGATCTCTGGAATTCTCAGTGTTCTCTTTGGGAAGCTGATTTACACTTGCTTTTCAATTGTTTTCCCTTCAGACCCTTAATCCAAAACAAACCAGGAGATGTTACCAAAGACATGGTTTAAACAATTTTTTTGATTGGTCTTTGTCTCCTTTCTTGGTTTAAAGTGAGGGGACAAGGAATTGCAGGGTGTTTCATGTTTATACTATATGCATTTTATTTAACTACAAGTTAGGAAAGTAGACCCAAGGTTACCCCATAAAAGACATGACTGGTTATTTGAGAGTATGTTATTAGCATAAAATGGGGTGAGGAAGAGGTCTGGGACTGTTCGATTTATTTTGTGGCTCCCTACTGGAGCACAGCAGAGGTCTTAGAAATTGATGTCAATAAATTTCAGAAATATTTTCATCTCAGAGTCAAAATGTTCTTTACCATAAGGTAGTGATAGTATTTAACCTAAGAAATACAATATGCTCATGTCTAATCTTCAGTTGGGTACACAAATTCATGGAGAGGCTTAAGGAAGACTGAAGTCACCTTTCATTCAGGGATTTGGGAAAAGGTTATGGCAGCTTTAATTCAGCATTATAGATATGTCAATCTAACTATGTATTGCCCCTGAAAGCATGGCTACTGCATCCTGCAAGATTTTGCAGCTGACCTTTTTAGGTTGTTGTTGGACATCCAGGGCTGAATGCTGTCATGAAATTCTGCTCCTTGGTAGCTCACCATCCACCGTAAGCTCACCATCCACTGTATGTGAATTGTCCCTAAGTGAGAAAACAGACTGCAGCAGGCCAGTGAACTTTTTGAGAAACTGGCAGACCAGCAGACATTCTGGCGCCAGCAGGACACCAGTGGGAACTGAAGGTCTTTGTACCAGGAATAAAACAGTGCTTCTTCCTTGAAGGAGAGGGAGCCTTGGCACTTGGAAAACCCTTGGTAGGAATTGGGTAGTGAAGCTTGAGGGAAGGGCCTGGAGACTGGTGAGTAGCTCTATGTGTAACCGGGGAGAGGAATTTCTTCTCCTGGGTGAAACAAGGGATGTAGGGGTGAGAAGGGAGTGGGGACAGTAGCTGAAAGTGTCAGTCAAGAGGTGTCCTCTCTGGGTGGAAACCCTCTCGTTTTCAGTGAAATCTCTCAGGAACTGCTTCATGGCAGCAGATTTTGAGAACCAGTGAAAGGGCTGCATTTTGCATTAGGGTCGGTGGGGGAACTAAAAGAATCACAGGCAGATGCAGGGCCTGGGAATTGGCACGATTCAGGGGTAGGGGAGTGAGGAGGAGTTTCGGACATTCCTAGACTGCAGAATTGGTGGATTCAAGACAATTTCACCCAGATCTTACAGGGCAGAGATCCACACCTGTGGGTCATGTGTTTGAAACAAGGTCCACAAGCAACCCCGTGGGTCCATTCTGTTTTCCCCGAAGAATACTGAATGGGATGGGAGGTTCCTGGGGAGCGTGCTTTGACCCTGGGACAGCGCACGGGAGGAAGGCCCCGCACAGTCTGGCTGCCTGGGGGTCTTGTCGCCTGGGGGCGGCGGAGAGCGCCAAGGCAGCCAAAAGAAGCTTGTGTCGTGGAGCAGCGGCGGGCACGGGGGACACTGGGGGGAGCAGCGGCGGGCATCTGGAGGCATCGGGGGACAGCGGGGGACATTGAGGGGCAGTGAGGGCGGCCGAGTTGTCGGCGGTGGGCGGCGCCGGGGGAGCCGCGCTCGGGGACAGCTGGCGGCTCAACGGCAGCATCGGCAGCATCGAGAAAGGTGACGAGTTCTGCAAATAACAGCTGCGGAGCAATCGTTATGTTTGGACAACGTGGGAAGGGCCATTGTTCACAAATTGTTCTCTTCAACAACACCTGCATGCACAGATAATAATCCATTGTCGGTCTCCGGCTTCAAAGACAAAAGGCAGCCGCGGAGGGAGGAGTCAGCAGAGCCTGGAGATAACAGGACCACTTTGCAACCGGGGAGAGTGCAAACGAGGACTCCAAGTCGCGTCCCGGGTCTGCCGCGACGGTCGCTCACCGCAGGGGTCTCCTTCCTCTTCTGGCAGCGAGTGCGACCTCTTTTATCCTAGCAGGCCACCACCTTCGCGGCAACAAACATCATTTCCTATGCAGTTGCAAAGCATGCTCCCTTGCAATCAGCGATCAATACTGGCAAAGTGGCTCCAGGATAGGAAAGGTCGCACGTGTGTTGGTAAATGGAAAGGTTTATGAGGCGCAGGTGGTCGTGCTCCGCGGAGATTGTGGTATTAGCATGTCAAAGACAAAACGGAACCAAGGTATACAGGCACAGAGTCTCTTCCTGGGGCTCCGGGAAAGCTTGGCACGACCCTCTTGAGCCTTCAGTTTAAAATGAAACGCTGGCGCCAGATGTGGCCACCACATTGCTGATAAGTCCAGTACCTTCCGTTTGTGCAAAGCTTTGTGATTTAAGGTTAAGTAGTTTTGCTTACTTCTCTCATTTGAGCCTTATAAAGACAGTGTGAAGTCTGTAGTGAGTAAAAGCCCTATTTTAACAGAAAAGGAACCAAGGGACCAAGTTGGAACTTGAATCTGGGGTCTACTGATGTTCCATTCACTACACTGCTTGGTATAACTGCATATCAGGTTATTTGGATTTTATTTTATTTTTTTCTTTTTCAGCCTTTATTCAGTAACTACTACCAGATTAGGTAATAGGCACATAGAGACATGAGACATACATTCCCTACCTTGCTATGCTGTTCAACATAGTAGCACGTGGTAATTTAAATTTAATGAAAAGTCAATAAAATTTAAAATTAACTTTCTCAGTACAACTAGCCATATTTAAAGTGCTCAGAAGCCATATGTGCCTAGTGGCTGCTGTATTGGGCAGGGCAGAAAGTTCTACCGGGCAGCACTGTGTCTACAGGCTAACAATCTAATGAAGATTAAAGACAGTCTCACTTCTTTTCTGTCCTATTTGCTACTTCCTTGCAGTTCATTCGTTCCTTGGTACATGTGTGCCTCTTGCTTTCTAAAAGACACCCTGAGCAGTTTCCAGCTTTATTGAGGTCAAATGTGCATGCAATGGATGCATCCATTCTCATGCACAAGTCAATGAGTTTTGACTCTTGAACAATTGTGTGAACACCACCATAATCAAGACACAGGACATTTATATTTTAGCAAAATATTCCCTGTGTCCTTTCCCACTCATTCTGTTACCGGAAAGGGGTCCCGATCCAGACCCCAAGAGAGGGTTCTTGGATCTCGCACAAGGAAGAATTCAGGGCAGGTCTGTAAAGTGAAAGCAAGTTTATTAAGAAAGTAAAAGAATAAAAGAATGGCTACTCCATGGCTCTAGACAGAGCAGCCCCGAGGGCTGCTGATTGCCCATTTTTATCGTTATTTCTTGATTATATGCTAAACAAGGGGTGGATTATTCAGGCCTCCCCTTTATAGACCATATAGGGTAACTTCTGACGTTGCCGTGGCATTTGTAAACTTATGGCACAGGTAGGAGTGTAGCAGTGTGGACTCCCAGAGGTCACTCTCCTAGTCATCTCGGTTTTGGTGGGTTTTGGCCAGTTTCTTTACTGCAACCTGTTTTATTAGCAAGCTCTTTATGACCTGTATCTTGTGCCGATATCCTGTCTTATTCTGTGACCTAGAATGCTTTAACCATCTGGGAATGCAGCCCAGCAGGTCTCATCCTCATTTTTACCCAGCCTTTATTCAAGATGGAGTTGCTCTGGTTCAAATACCTCTGACAATTCCTCCCCCCAACCGTTGTTCAGGCAAGACTGCCCTATTTTCTGTCATTATATATTAAATTTTAGTTTCTAGAATTTTAAATAAATGGAATTATGTAATATTTATTCTTTTATCTGGCTTCTTTCCCTCAGCATAATGTTTTTGAGATTCATCCATGTTGTTGCATGTATCAGGAGTACCTTTTTATTGCTGAGTAATATTCTTTTGTATGGATATATCACAATTTGTTTATTCACTCACCTGTTGATAGACATTGGGGTCGTTTCCAGTTTTGGCTATTATGAATAAAGTTGTTATGAACATTTACATGCCAGCTTTGTGAGGACATGTTTCCATTTCCTAAAAGTGGAATTGCTGGGTCATATGGTAAATATACGTTTACCTACATAAGAAACTGCTAAACTGTTTCCAAAATGACTATGACATTTTGCATCCTGTTTGGCAAAGCTGCAGGATACAAGGTCAACATATAAAAATCAATTCTATTTCTATATGATAGCTATGAACTGTCTATTTCAGAAATAGAATTTTTAAAAGCACCATTTATAGAAGCATAAAAATATGCAATAGGGTGAAATTTAGCAAAATATGTGTATGCTCTGAACACTGAAAACGACAAAATACTACTGAGAAAAATTTTAGAAGACCTAAATAAATGGAGAGAAATATACTGTGCTCACAAATTGGAAAGTTGATCTTCTTTTTGTTTTTTTACTCATTGAGAGAGAGTTCTTGCTATGTTGCCCAGGCGGGTCTCAAACTTCTGGACTCCAGCAATCTTCCCACTTCTGGCTCCTGAGTAGTTAGGATTACAGGTGTGAGCCACCACACATGGCTCTAAAACTTCTTCTTCTTCTTCTTCTTCTTCTTCTTCTTCTTCTTCTTCTTCTTCTTCTTCTTCTTCTTCTTCTTCTTCTTCTTCTTCTTCTTCTTCTTCTTCTTTCTTCTTCTTCTTCTTCTTCTTCTTCTTCTTCTTCTTCTTCTTCTTCTTCTTCTTCTCTTCTTTCTTTTCTTCTTTTCTTCTTTTCTTCTTTTCTTCTTTTTCTCCTTCTCCTTCTTCTTTTTCTTTTTCTTTTCATGACAGTGTCTCACTCTGTCTCCCAGGCTGGAGTACAGTGGCACTATCATGGCTCACTGCAGCCTCAACCTCCCGGGATCAAGCAATCCTCCCACCTCAGCTTCCCGAGTAGCTGGGAGCATGGGCATGTGCCACCATACCCAGTTAATTATTTTTATTTTTGGTAAAGATGGGATTTCACTATGTTGCCCAGGCTGGTCTTGAATTCCTGGGCTCAAATGATCCACTCACCTCAGCCTCCCAAAGTGCTGAGATTATAGGCATGAGCCGCTGTACCTGGCCTTGATCTTCTTAAGATGTCATTTCTCTTCAGATTTTTTTTGTGTGTGTGTGAAACTGACAAACTGATTCTAAAGTTTGCATGGAAATCCAAAGGCTCTAAAATAGTCAAAAAAAAAAAAAAAGATAGAAAAGAACAAAGTTGGGAGATTTACAGGACTGAATCTGAAGACAGAAAGCTATGATAATAAAAATGGTATGGTTCTGATACAAAGAGATTCTAGACAGAAGGTATTGGAGGAGAGCTGGAGGAGGAAAAGATTTAGTTCTATGAGAGAGAATAAAAATAGCAGCTTTGGGCTGGGGATTTGTGGGGAGAACAGAAAGGCGTAATGGAGATTTTTACTAATTTGCTTGCTGTCTCTGGTATGTGATACAATTCTTCCTCTGGTGACAACCGTAAATCTTCAGTAAAGTTCTTAAGGTCAGAGGATGCTTAGGTTAAGTAAAATTTCCATAGAAATCCACGGAAGGTAGAACCAAGATGGTAGACTCAGATGAAGGAAGGGGGATTGAGGGGCAGGGAATATCAAGAGGACATAATAAGATCCAGAAGTATAAATACCATAGTAAGTAAGTGTCTGAAGTAAGATGAGCCATTTTATAAAAGCATGGGGAGGCTTTTGAATTTTCCAACCTGTAGAAGGAGAGTTAATACCATAGTCAGCCAGGTTCCCTATGTCTAGGTAAAGACTTTTTTTTTCTTTTCTTTTTTGAGACAGAGACTCGCTCTGTCATCCAGGCTAAAGTGCAGTGGCATGATCTCGGTTCACTGCAACCTCCATCTCCCAGGTTCAAGTTTCTCCTGCTTCAGCTACCTGAGTAGCTGGAATTACAGGTGCCTGCCACCATGCCCCGCTAATTTTTGTATTTTTAGTAGAGACGGGGTTTCACCATGTTGGCCAGTCTGGTCTTGAACTCCTGACCTCAATTGATCTGCTTGCCTCGGCCTCCCAAAGTGCTGGGATTACAGGGGTGAGCCACCGCGCCCGGCCAGACCTGTTCTTATGTGAAGAAGAATTTCTGAATCCAGGGCTGGTATCTTACAACTCTAGGGGTACCATTTTCAGGTTCTCTGAATTCCAGTGAAAGCTGGTCCCCAGAGATGTGCAGCCCATCTCAGCAGCCCACGTTGACTGAGTCTGAGAACGAGCATTTTACAAAAGGTTATGGAGTGTGAAGTTTATAGTACAATCTTCAGAATTACATATTGTCTTTTTTATGTTCCTCAGCTGTGTCCCTAAAATACGTTCCTTACTTTCCAAACTTCTCAAAGACCCACTAGGAAGGACAGGGAAGGGACGCAGTGCGGCCACATTATAAAATGGGGCTCACAAAAGGAATTATCTTTTTTACCTTCCATCTTCTCCAATTTGAGGAGTCAGAAAAAGGAAGGAGCTCTCTTATTGACACAGCCTGGATTAAACTGCATGTCCAGTTCTATTGTACGTAGGTTTCAATTTCATATTTCAAACCACTTACGAAGTGTTCTCCATCTGGACATTCCAAATAACGAGGTATGTCCAATGCAGAAAGTAAAGCACTTTTACTGCTTTTCAATATTCAGCATTCTTTTCTCTTTCTATAGTGTCGGTACCCTGATTTCCCGCTGGAGAATCACCCTCACCCTCACTCATGGTGGAGCTGGCTCTTCTTCCAGTACTGAAGTAGCTCACTGCCACTTGGCCCAAGGACAACAGGTATCATATTCCCTGGCTTTTCTGACTGGTTCCCAGGTGGGCACATGACCTAAGCTGGGCCAATCAGAGCTTATCTCATAACTCTGTGGAAAAGACTTCCGGGAAAGCCACGCTAAAGTGAGAAGCATCGTCAATAACACCTTTCTCCCCCTTTAAGTTAGTTTAGGTCCAGTTTTGTATTACTTCAAAACAAAACAACTCTAGCTGAAACACTGAATTTTTTAGCTCCTCCTCTAAACCCATCCCAGCTCCCTGTATTTGTTGTTAAAGTGGCATGACTATTGTTTCGGTCTTAGGATGTTAACTGCCAAAACAAATGACTCAAAAGTGAGCGGCTTACCACAGTAAGCCATGGAAAACTTCAGTGGTGTTCCTGTTTTGTGGGCAGGCTTCCATGTAATCATTCGGGGACCCAGGCTCCTTCAAGTCTTGTGGATATGGCCTCCTCTTCAGCCTCAGCAACCTCTTCCATCAGGAGAATGGGGAAGGAGAGCAGAGAAGCATGTGTGGGAGGGTGTCATGGACCAGGCCTGGATGGGGAGCATATTACTTCTGTTCACAGTCTTTGCTCAGAACTCAATTATACTGTACATCCAACCTCATGGGAGGCTGGAAGAAGCATCCTTGCTGTGGGCCCAGGAGGGAGCAGGAACTACAGCTGCGAGATATGTGTAGTCATTGTTATTTGTTCCCCTACTTGAGTTACTGTATTCAGCCAGCCACCAAGTCCTGTTAGTTTTTACTTAGCAATGTCTCTGTCATCTTTCCTTTCTCCCCTCTTCTCTCTGTCACTTCCTGAATCCAGCCCAACACTTTCTCTCCTCTGTTTCATCCCATTCTGCATTCCCCTCTGCCAGATTCCTCAAGGGCAGCTGCTGCATTTTCCAGCTTTGTATTCTCAGTTGCTTGCGGGCATCTCATAAGCATCAAGAAATATTTGCGCTGTGAAAACCTGACAGACTCATCTTCCTTAAACACCAATTTCAGCATGTCATTCCCTTGCTGAGAAATCTTCAGGAGATCTTGTATGTGTCCATCAACCCCATATTTGTCTGCCTGTCTTTAAGGATGTAGGCCCTTCTTTCCGTCGTACTCTACAACCTTCTCCTCTGCACCCCGGGCCCAACTCCAAACCAAGTGGGTCCTGGCTTCTGGGAGCCTGAACACATCACTATGCCTCTCCTGAAATACTCTCATTTTCCTCCTCCCTCTGTCATTCCAAAAATCATCTTCTCTCGAGGCCTGCCCAAGCCTTGCCTCCTCCACGAAGCTTTCCCTTTATGTTCCTGCTTTCCCTGACAGCCCCTCCTCTGAACTCTGGCAGCCGGTATTGTTGGTAACCAGGATACTCTGTCTTGGCTTGGAGAGAGCCCTGAATGCAAATGATGTGCCCTGTTGTTAGACTCTTTGGACTCAGATGCCTCACATGAAAAAGAGACCAAGAAGGAGCTGCCTTGATTGCAGGGATGTGGGCAGAGATTAGTCCTTTAGTACCACACCTCCTGCTCCAGTATCTTCTTGCAGCCCTCTGAAGAGTAGAGTTTAAAAACTGTTGATTAAATCCAATCCTTTCATTTTACAGATGAAGAAACTGAGGTATCCAGAGAGGCAAACTTGCCTAAGATCCTGGTTGGTTAGTGTCAGAATCAGAACCTACACCTCCTGACTCTTAGTGCTGGTCTTCTTTCCTACCAGCTGCCTCCTCTATATTCTAGCTTGCTTTTGGTCTCTGGGACACTGTGTAAGAGATAATAAACACTATAGGGCATAACTTCCCTGGTAGCCGTATCCATGGCTGAAATTTACATGATAGTGAATACCTCATTCATACTTGTTGATTTGAATTCAACTTCATAACAGAGGGTTTGAAATCTAGTGAAGTTAGCCAAGATCTGTGACTAAAACTATGAACTCATTTTACATACATATAGACAAAGATTAGAAGGGAACACAGAAAAAAACTAATTAGATATCTGGCAGGACCCCAGGTGAGTTTCTTTTATTTGTGCCAGATGTAAGGTGACAATGTAATGAAATTAACTGGAGTCCAAATATTCTCTATGCTTTTAGTGCAACTGAATATTTTTTTCTTTTGCTCTGATTTCAGAGTTTACTGATTCCAGTATTCTATCTTCTTTGAAGTTTCCCTCTAATCTTTCTTTTTTCCATTCAAAATGTCCTCAGGCATTTGACAGTCTAATTCATACCAGAAATTTATGATTAATAATATCAGTAAAATGAAACTTGTAATTATTTACACCATAATTTTAAACATGGTGAAGCATTTGCAAAAGCAAGGACTTTGCCTGAAGTGTTTTAATGTGCAGACTCCACATCGATATGCAACATGAATAAATCCCTTTAGATAAGATGACTGTTGGATCTCAAAGGTAGAAAATTCTTCAGTTATGTCCAGTAATAATAGAAATCAATTTTTCAAAGAGAGAACATCCCCCAAAGGACAGAGAACAAAGGCAGGAAGGAGGCTGCTTTGAAAACTGGCTTGAAAGAGATATGGGGTAGGCATGGCATGTGTCTGAGAACAGGCCATGCTCAAGCCAAGGGATATGAAGATGCTGGCATCTCAGAGCTGACAACTTTGGAAAGAGAAGATTCCATGCTTTTTCTTCACTAGAATCTGGGACAAGGAACTGGAGCTGAATGTCTGTGAGAGAGATTGGTTTGATGTATTTTTTCTCAACTCTTTTTTTTTTTTGGAGACAGAGCCTCAATCTGTTGCCCAGGCTGGAGTGCAGTGGTGTGATCACGGCTCACTGCAGCTGTGACCTCCTGGGCTCAAGCGATCCTCCCACTTCAGCCTCCCAGGTAGCTGCAACTACAGGCATGGGCCACCATGCCCCACCTCTCAATTCTTAAGAGGCAAGTTTGAAGAGCTATTATAAGGAAAATTCGCCAGATCACATTCTGGTACCAAAGGGGCAGGGGTGGGAAATACTACTTTCAAATACTTTAAATCACAAGGAAACTGAAAAGTCATCTACAAGTACTTCTTATGGTCCTTGTTTAGAATCTTGTTGCAGAGACCTTGCTGGATGGGAGCCAAGGCTGCATTGGGAGGTTGGGCAGTTTGTGTACTGCACAGAGGCCCAGGCTGAGGTAGTGAGTACAAAGTGAAATCCAGCCTGGTTCCACCTACTGGGCTCTGCACTGGCATGAGGCTGTCTCAGCTCAAAGGAAGGGCAATTTCTTTTCAATTTATTCAAAGTTGTTTTGCTAAGCCAAGTACCCACAGGGTGTACTCTTTTTAAATTTGTGCAAAGGCACTGAGTAAACTCATAGTAGCCCAGAAAAGGGAAGGGGAAGCAGAAAAACATCCCCAAGCTAATGAAAGGCCAGAGGTGAACATTTTTTTTTTTATTTTTTTAGAGGTGGGATCTCACTGTATTGCCTAGGCTGGTCTTGAACTCCTGGCCTCAAGTGATTTTTCCCACCTCAGCCTCCCAAATAGTTGGTATCACAGGTGTGAGCCAGTGTGCCCAGCTCTCAGAGGTAAACATTTGACCTAAGCTCAATCAAGCCATTAGCTGACTATGACCTATATAGCCTGCTCAAAAAGTTTAGCTGGGTCTATCACGTGTTACTTGGGAATCTGAAGTCCAAAACATGGTAAGAAGTTACCAGTTGGAGCAGGGGAAAAAGGTGAAAAGATGCTAGGTGATAGTTCCAGGAACCTAGCCTGCTAAATTATGGATAAATTGCTGAAGTTAAAAGCCTGCAAAGCTATGAGTGAGCAGGGGAGGCCAGCTCATAGACATGGAGAAAGCAGCAGAAACATGGAGGGGAACAGCTCTATTTAGTGGCGGGGACCAAACAGAGGGAAGCTTGAGACTTTCTGCTGCTAATGACTCTAAGGGCACCTCAGATACAGAACATGCTGAAGCTCTAGTTCCCATGAGGATTGGCTGTGCTGTGATTCAGTTGCCAGATCCTGTGACATCCCTGTATTCTTCCTTACTACTTATTTATTCTTAGAGCAACTCTGCCCCTTCCTCCCTTCACCCCCTGCCCCAACAATCAAGTTCAGTGGCTCTCTGTTCTTTCTACCCCAACAATGTGACCCATAGTAGGGGTCTGAATAGTACTCCTTGAACTGGTAAAATCTGTAAACATCATAGGAATTTTTTTTAAAAGGGAAAGAACAATGTAATTTGCTGTGGTCAAGTAAGGCTTCATAGAAGAACTAGAACTTTAAGTCAGGGGAAGGGAAGAGGGAGATGTTCCAGGCCTGAGATCGAGCACACTAAATTATCCTGGGTCATGCCAAGGAAAAGGCTGGTTAGACAGCAGTAATTTGAGATTGCTTGGGAATGCTGAAAGCCTGAGAGTCCTCTCTTGATTCTTCTGGCTGCCAACAACAACCCCCCTCCCATCTCCCCAAGTCATCATTTGGATTAGTCTGACCCCCAAACTCGGAAAAGACAAAGAATGACTACTAAAGAAATCTCACTATGTCATGGAAGATGGAAAGGTAAAATTGTGCTGTAATAATCCTGCAGACAGAATAAGTGTTGTAGTGGATTATTATGTTGTCTAAAAACAGTCTTTGTGAATAGTGAATGACATTTGTGAAATTTTCGGCTATTTACTTTGCAGTGCTTCCATTTCCATTCTATTTGGAGTGATGGTTTCTCTTTTCCGACACCTCCCCTCTTCCTTCAACTTGGCAGTGTGAGATAACCTGACAGGGTGTATTGAGGAATCCTTTCAAGGTACAGCCACTCAAAGTTCTCCAGAATTCTGGAAAATTCCACTTCTTCAGTTGCATATGAGTGTGCATGTGACAGGAACAGAGAGAGAGAGAATGAGACTGAGAGCTAGAAAGACAGAACATCACTGGCCAGCTGCCATGGAGAGAAACATTTGTGAAGAGGCATTTGTGAAGAAACAGCCCAAGGGTTGGGGAAATACTTGAGGATAGAGCAAAACCCTTTAATGTGCTTCAGTTTTGCAGAGCAAACCTCAGTGTGCTGGTGCAGCCATCTAAAACCTCAACTTTCATAGCATCTTAATTTTTAATATTTCATGCCAAAAAATAGGTCATATACCCTTGGTGCAACATTTAATATTTCTATGTGTTCATCATGAATATTAAATGGCTTTTTCACTCCTATGTCCCAGCCCGTCAGGATCTTTCTTTGGAGACAACTTTTCTTTTTTTTTTTTTTTTTTCACTTAACTTCCAAAGATGGTTCGTGTATCAACCAGCGTGTGTGTCCTTTTTCTTCTCCTTTTAAATGCAAATGACAGCATGCTGTGTACATCATTTTATACTGACATTTTTGTTTTTACTACTTTATATGTATCTTGGAGATAAGTCCAGGATTTATAGTTTTTTGTTTTGTTTGGTTTTGTTTAACAACTACCTGGTGTTCCATTCTGTGAATGTGCCATCGTTTGTTTAACTTGTTTCTGTTGGGAGTTATGGACTGAAGTGTGTACTTCCCAAAATTCATATGTTGAAGTTCTTACCACTAGTTCTTCAGAATAAGACTGTATTTGAAGATAGGTCTTTAAAGAGGTAACTAAGGTTAAATTAGGTCATTGAGTGGCCCCTAGTCCAGTATGACTGGTGTCCTTTTAGGAAGAGGAGATTAGCACACAGGCATACACAGAGGAAAGACCATGGGAAGACACAGGAAGATGCTGATCTATAAGCCGAGAAGAGATGTCTGCATATTAATGGAAGGCTGTGCCTGAGTCCACAAGAAGACTGGCTGATCCCAGATTCAGAGCATTGTTGAGTTTGCCTTGACTGAAGTTTCATTGCAAAAATATTGTAGGTGTACCTAGAGACATCATCCACCTTTACAGGAACAGAGTATATGACTGATTCTGTGCAGTTTGCAAAGAATGTTGTGTGTCTGAGAGTTGCTTTTGTAGAAACATAACACTGTTTGTGCAGGTTATTGTGGGAAGAGACAGAAAACTCCCACCCACCTTTGAGAATGGCAGGCCACTGATACCCAGAACACATGTTGAATGGCAGGTTGCCTTTGATCATTTTGGATCTCTCTCCTGAAATTGCACAGCATGTGGCAGAATTGGAAAGGGAAACACAGCCTGCTGGACTTCAAAGTGTGTGTTCTCAGCCACCTCATTTTACTGCTTGGTGATAAAAATAACCTAGGATACTTCTGATTATTCAGTCCAGAGCACTGTCATGTAAAATGACAAAAAAAAAAAAAAAAAGTATTATAAAAGATTGCTAGTTTCCCTAAGATAGGAGTTTTTCTATCCAGGCATCAAGGATCCCAAGAATCCTTGAAAATTGCATATAACATTTGGGTTTATGTAAATATCTGGAGTTGTTTTTTCATGATCAGAGCCCCTAACTTCCCACAGAATTGTAAAAGGGTCCATCTGTGCCTATTGCCTAGAAATGTTTACTGCTGTTTCAGAAAACCAACTGTAGATCCTCCCTTTTCCCTCCTAGGCCATTTTCCAAGACATCAACATGTAAGTTTTATTTAAAAATTTATTTAGAGGTAAGTGGAAACTGTCATTGTTCTCATTTTGCTCTACAAGGAATGGAAGTGTAAAGAGGTTAAGGTGATTCAGCACCAGTGTGTTGGTCCGTTTGCATTGCTATAGAGGAATACTGGACTCTGGGTGATTTATAAAGAAAAGTGGTTTATTTGGCTCACAGTTCTGAGGGCTGTACAAACAAGGCACCAGCATTTGTTTGGCTTCTGGTGAGGCACAGGGAGCTCTTAGTCATGGTGGAAGGGAAGGGGAACGGCATGTCACATGGTAAGAAAGGAAGTGAGAGAGGGAGGGAGGAGGTGCTAGTCTCTTTTAAACAACCAATCTCATTACAGCAGGGAGGGCACCGAGTGCCTATGAAGGATCTGCCTCCATGACCCAAACACCTCCCACCAGGCCCCACCTCCAACATTGCGGATTACATATCAGCATGAGATTTGCAGGGGACAGAGATCTAAAATGTATCAACTAGGAATCCTGGTGCATGGTCCTGCCTCTGAAACTGCTCTTTGCCCAGGGTCTGTCATCTCTACTTGTAAACTATTGGTTACATTTTCTGGCCAGGCTTCCAACTCTTCCTAAAAGTGCCTCCCATTTTTCTGCCTTTGTGCTTTCTGCTCATGCCATTTGCTTTTGGGAGCTTTTCAATTCTACCCACCCTGCGAGGCCCAGCCAGGGCTGACGTCCTCTGAGCAGCTTCTGTAACTACTCCAGTGGAAAGTGTTCTTCTCTTCCTCCATATTAGGATGGTACCTAACTCTATATGAGCTGTCACAGCATGAACCTTGAGTCATTTCTCACATTCTTTTCTTAAGCCATCACCTGTACCTTGTGTTTGTAGCCTGCGATTGCCAGGCCACAGCCATCAGGGCTTTTGTGGAAAGGGGACAATGAGTATCATATTTCTTAGGCTCCTGCTGAGGCAGGTCCCTCTACCTCCCTTGAGGTCACCCTTGTTTCCGAGAGTCCCTGGGGTGGCTCGTGTGTGGCCTGCGCAGGGTCCCCTTCCTTCTGCCCTGACTCTGGCTGGTGGTGGGGGCTCCTCCTGAGGCCCCCCTGCTCCCAGAGCTCTGGGAACTTGCTGCCCAGATGGCTGTCCAAGCCCAGTTGCACCAGGGCCACACTGAGCTGAGGCCGCTTTGCCTGTTCTACTCACGCTGCAGCAGTCCCTCGGCAGGCTGACCCAAGTTGGCCTCTCAGCTGGGTCGGGGGGAACCCCTGATCTTCACCTCTATTTTGTTCTTTGTTTCATGGGTTCAGAGCAGTGAGACTTGGCTCCCAATGGCTTACAAATTTTTAGGCCAACCACTCTTTCCATCTTATTTGGTGTTCCTAGAATGCAGCTGGGAGTCCAGGGCACTGTATCCTCTGATTCCAGGTCTCAGTCACTGATCCAGGTTATGGCCTGACTCTCTTTCTCTTTGGGAGGACTCTTTCCTAGGAGACCTATTGGTAATAATATGCTGGGGGCAGGCACTGGCTATAGGCTTTGCCCCTTGACCTTACAGAAACCTTTGTATAACCTTATGAAGTCGATAGAAGGATGAAGCACTAGACTGGGGATCAGGAAGCCTGGAAGCCCTCTGGTGGCTTTCCAGTTGCTGTTGTTTTTAGTTTAATATATTACTTTCTTTAACTGAAATCATTCAAGAAGCCCAGCATGTAAAACAAATATGGCTGGAGCTGCTCTGGATGCAAACAGGGTCAATGTGAGGAGTCCTACAACTCAGCCACCCTTTCCCTGGGCAGCTGGGCCCTGAGTTTTTTCTGGGGAAGGATAGCCAAAACACAGCTCCCAGAGCACCCAGTCTCACCCAGAACACAGGTGAGCTTCCGGGTACATCAGAGGTACATTTCCCACCCAGAAGGGATGCAAGTTCATTTTCACACAGGCCAAAAAGAAACCCAGTTTTATCTGGTGGTGATTTATTCTTTCTCTCCCTAGCCACTTCTCTTGAGCCGAGTCTCCAGCCTCTGTGGGTTTAATCTCTTACTAATCCTCCACCTCCCCTCCAGCATCTTTAGCTGACACTCTTTCCTCCTGGCAGATGATCACCACAGGCCTTTAAGGGATGGTAAAATGAGCCAGGAAATAATCAGAGGCCCCAAGGCTGCTTTAGGTGATGTTTGTTGGGTCTCACCCCCACTTCCTCGGAGCTTCAGGTTTTCCATTCAAGCTCATGGATGCCACACCCGGGGCATTCCAGCTGAGCTCTTTGTAGCTAGCTGAGCCAGAGTTTGTAGACAGCTGGAGAAAAAAATGTGCTGAAGAAGCAAGACCTCCATGCTGTCATCCTGTTGGGACTCACCCCAATAGCCTCAGCCGGCTCTAGCTTTAGTGGGTGCTGAGATGGTCTGCCCTGAGCAGTGAAAAATGTCAGGGGAGTGAGCAACAACAAAAGCCTGCATCCTTTCTCTCACTCCATCCTGGAGTTGAGAATGACTGCAGAATGAGCAACTATCCAGGATACAGGATATACTTGTCAAAGTGAGAAAGGTACCTACAGGCCATTTGGAATGACTCATGAGATTCCTACCTGATAAAGGAATGTCTCAGCCCTTCCTGGATATGTATTAGGGGATGCTTAACTCTAGAAAACCCTCCTCAAATGCCACAGATGGCAAACTCCAGGCTGTGTGTGTTTTCCAAGTAGGGAAAACCAAGGATATAGAAGGCGAGCTGCATTCTAAAATGATACTGAGACACATGTTTTCAAGTGCAGATTCTGGATTAAAATGGTATTAAATGAAATAAGCAGGAGGCTATTGGCTTGAGGCTGAGTCTGTACTTTGAGTCTTTAATTAACAAACTGCAACCTAGTTTAGTAAGTAAACAAATTGGAAGTCTAATAGGAGCATAACAGTGGAGTCTCAGCCAATCACAAGCAGCCATGCTTTAGCCAATCACAGGAAGCTGATTGATCAGACCATGTCCAAACAAGACAAATGCTGAGATGTAACCAATAAAGCTCTTTCTGTCCTTTACTTCCTGTTCTGTTTATAAATACTGCCCACACTGCAGAGTGAATTTCTCTGAATCTCTTCTAGTTAAGTGCTGCCCAATTCATGAATCATTCTTTGCTTCCAAAAACTGTTAAATTTAATTTATCAAAAGCTTTTCTTTTAAAAATGTCTGTTGGCCGGGCGCAGTGGCTCGTGCCTGTAATCTCAGCAGTTTGGGAGGCTGAGGTGGGCGGATCATGAGGTCAGGAGATCAAGACCATCCTGGCCAACATGGTGAAACCCCGTCTCTACTAAAAATACAAAAAAATTAGCCACATGTGGTGGCACACACCTGTAGTCCCAAATACTCAGGAGGCTGAGGCAGGAGAATTGCTTGAACCTGGGAGGTGGAGGCTGCAGTGAGCTGAGATCATGCCACTGCACTGCAGCCTGGTGACAGAGTGAGACTCTGTCTCAACAACAACAACAACAACAACAACAAAAAGCTGTTGACTCTGGGGAGACTGTTCTTAGAGTGTGGCCACTTGCCTGCTCTTCCTGAAACTCCATGACTGATGATTCTTTTCATGGCCCCTCCTTGGCTGGAAGCTCTGGGCCCCTGATGAGTAACCATAAGTCACATTTCCATAGCAGTTTGTGGTTCTGGAAGCACTTTCTCATATTTACTGGGCAGTGTTAAGTGCAGATAATGGAGATCACTTAAGTAGTTTAAGCAGAAAAGGACTGATATAAGGAATTAGGTACTTACAACATGGCTGGAAGGGCTGGAGGAGGCTTCAGCATGGACCTCCAGGATGATTCCCACAGCTGTGTTCCAGAACTGGCCTGCCATTACAGCATCTGCCTATGCCACAATCAGGAAGCCACTGCCAGAAATGTTGGGTCCAAGAATGCATTACCTTTGTTTTGAGTTGGAGATCAGTGCTGTTGGCTCCATAGCCATGTGACTGTAGCTCTGATCTATACTAGCAGAATGCATACTTCATCCCTGCCCCTCTCCCTTCTCAGCTATCTACATTTCAGCCCTGTTCAAGGATATTTGATTGGTAGAACCCAAACCACCTAGGAGACGTAGTTGCAAGGGAGTATGGAAACTAGGTTTTAGCTTACTAGTCTCTTCGGTACAGGAAGGTACACTAGAAAGTTGGAATAGACATACATTCTGCATCTGCCATCCCATATACCTCATTTAATATTTGCAGAAAATCTAGAGAGTGACAGGAGAGGTGTTAGCCTCATTCAGCACATGAATAAACAGGGGAGTAATGAGGCTAGAAGAGAATGGCAGGGAGACAGAAAGACCCGGACTGTTGCTTTGAGCAAATAATATTCGTGTTGGGGGTTGAAGAGTATTAGGGGTTAAACTAGATGAAGGGCTGAGCAGGAACGATATTCTAGGCAGGAGGAATGCATGCGCGTAAAGGTGCTGAGACTGGAGGGAACATGATACAATCACGGAACTGAAAGACAAAGGGGGCGTGACTGTAGAGGGGGCAAAGTGGCTGCAAAATGAGGCTAGAGAAGCACCAGAGACAGACAGGCAAGCACCAGAGAGAGACAGGCAAGCACCAGAGAGAGAAAGGCAAGCCCCATTAAGAATTTCGTCTTTTTCCTAGAGCAATGGGAAGGCATTCAAAGGTTTATAGATGGGAAAGGTGTGTGGGACTTGATCATGTTTGCACTACAGGGTCACTGGCTGTTCTGTGTCTCCTGACTCCATGCATGTACTCACCATAGTCCACAATTTGACACCAAACGGTCACTCTCCTGTATTACTAAAGTGGTTTCATTTTTGCATCATTCCCACTTCTTTACTCCAAGCAACAGGAGGAAAAAACAACAGCAAGAGGTCTACAAATCTGGGAAGGTATAAATAGGAGTTTTTGCATTTGTATAAATAAAAGCCTCTGAAGGAAACCATTAATTTCCTCTGTAGCTGCTTTGGAATGTTAGTGAGGGCATTTGGTGCGAACTGTTTGAAAATGCTTCTACATATTGTTCTGTGGGTGGAGATCAACGAGGTATGGAAATGAATCAGCAAGCAAGGCCTCTAATGGTGCTTCTGGTCCTGCAAAAATTGACTGGTTGCTGGGCTGCCTCAGCTCCCCACCGTGAGGGACAGGTACTGTTTCAGCTTGGTGGAGTGGCTTCTCTCCTCTTGCCAGTCAGCAACCCAGGGGCTTGGGAACATATGGTTGAGGCCTGTTTCAAAGAGATCAAAAATCAAAAATTTTAAAAACCTCTCAGATGTACAACTGTACTCCAAAAAGGTCGCACCTTTATAAAGGAATCTGCCCCTGAGAGTCTCAGGACTCAGCTTCCTCCTGAAGCTAGCCAACTCTGCTAGCACCTTCTTCACCACGTATGAACACAGTGTATGAACACGGTATCCGGCACAGTTTCACCTAGCTGGAGACCTAGGCTCTGAGTCCTAGCTTCCTAACCAGGCTGTGAGCGCTCTGAAGGAAGGGCTCACTCCATTTATATCTTCATATTCATTAAACACCTAGGTCAGTGGATTCATAGTCTGAGCTCAGAATATTCACTAATCCCGAGACTGTTGGCTTTCTGTGGTCATGGTTGCCATTGGGTGGGGCGTCCATGGACCCCAGGCTAAGCACTTTGCTTAGGCTAAGTTCCCAACAGTGCTGCTCAGCAGTGGACCTCTTTCTGATTCTCTCAAGCCTATACACTGAGGGGTTGTCCACACTGCCTCTGAGAGCAGTGGGCAGGCAAAGGAAGTGTGCTTTGTGAGGTCACCCGTGGGGACAGTGAGTGCAAGCAGCTGCAGTCCTCATGGGCCGCCAGCCTCCCGCTTCCTGCAGAGGCGCCCAGAGCTGGAGCTGGTCTGCGCATGCACTTGGAGGCACGGTATGAACAACCGCAGAAATGCCGGCCAACTACGCCAGTTCCCAGAGCCCAGCGTTCTCCTCTCTCCTCTTTCATTGGTTTCCCAGGAAAGCTGCTGAGGGCGGGAACCCCAGATGCACAGTTTGGCTCATAAGCGGGCTGCCTTTCACAGCCACCACTACCCACCCGGGGAGAGCACTGGATTGTGGCAAACGGGACCTCTTTGTGTGAGCAACCAAGGTGTGTTGGGTTTGGTGCTCCAAGGCAAACTTCTTTGCTCAATTGAAACAGCCCCTGGTCATCTCTGCTTCTCCATCTATAGCCACCCCGTGAGAATAAAAACTCCAGAGAGTCCTTTCTATTTACATTTAGGGAATTCTAAAAGAAAGGTACAAGAAGCCAAAGGATTATCCGTGTTTGTCCTTAGAAAAAGAGGTAACAATGCAATTTTTAAAACCCTAAAAGATTAATGAAATAAAACATTACAGATAGATACAGCAGTCAAATGCAAAGAAACAGAGAATAGTGGTTACCAGGGGCTGGGGGAGAGGGGAATGGAGAGCTATTGTTTAATGAATATGAACTTTGAGTTTGGGAAGATGAAAAATTTCTGAAGAGGGATAGTGGCGATGTTTGCACAGCAGTGTGAATGGACTTAATGTTGCTGAACTATACACTTAAAAACGGTTAAAATAGTAAATTGTATGTTGTGTATATTTTGCCATAATAAAAATTTTTCAGAAACCATTATGAACAGAGCATTGTCTCAATGAGGAGACACTAAGCTTGTTGACTTTTATCTTGGGTGCTCTCTGTGTATGTGTATTTATATTAAAAGTAACCAGTTTCCTGAAAACACAAAACCCATTCCTGGCCAACAGGCTCTTTTCCTGTGCTTTTGTGCATTCTGAAGCTGTCTTCATAATGTGTTGGTCAGGAAGTGGGTGACTCATGGGGCCTTTATGACAGACCCTTGAGTCACACACACACACACACACACATACACACAGACACACGTGAGTCACCCCTACAGGCTTCTAGGACAGGCAGCGATTTAGATGCCAGAGTGATGTGCCTGGGGCATGGCGGGAGGCAGCCTGGCGCCCATTGCCAGGCACATTCCTGGGAGCCTCTCCCATGGTTTAGTAATAAATGGAAGCTGTGGCCACAGCTCCCAACTCCAGGCCCAGCAATAGCTGTTTCTCTGACTTTTAAGGACAACCCAAATGGTGGCAGGAGGGGAGAGCAGTTGGTATTGGAAACGCCCAGTGGCCGCTGGGCTGCTGTGAGTGGCGCCTGTTTTGGCGATGTGAGTGGCGCTGGGTGTAGGCCTCTGAATCTGCCGGTGCGTGGTGGCAAGAGCAGGTCAATCACAGGGTGATCTTACGTCTTCCCGGGGGTCGTGAATCGGGTTGGGAGCCACTCAGTTATATAAACAAATGGAGGACTGATCTAGACCTTAGGAGACCTGGTTTAGACTTTGATCTGCCACTAGCTTGTTTTGTTACCATGGTAAATCACATAAACTCTCTGGCCTTGGGTTCCTTGTCTTTAAAGTGAGGGAGTTGGATTAGATCAGGATTGGCTGGCACACAGCTCCTGTGCCACCCGTCCCTCCAGTTCCTGAGGCAACAATGTTCACTGCCCTCTGAGCCCACATGGCAGCTCCTGGTCCTTCTTAGATGGCCTTCTCTTTCTATTCTGTTAATTGGAGTTAGCATCTGAAATGACACCTATTTGCTATCCTGAAAGCTGATATGCTGGTTCTCAACTTTGCCTATAAATTAGAATCACTGGAGAGCTTTTAGCAAATACAGGTGTCTGAATCCTACCCATATGGATTCTGATTTAATTATTCTGGGATGAGACCCAGGCATTGATAAATTTTAAAAGCTCTCTAGGGGATTCCAGTGTGTAGCCAGGAATGAGGGTCACTGGACGAGATGACCACTACAGGGGCCTAACAGTCAGTCACTTTGTGATCAGCTGTTGGCATGAAGATGACAGGAATGATTGGGCTGGTTGAGCCGAGCTCTGCTGGCAAGAACATTAGGGGATCAGGAGACTTGGTTCTCATTTCTAGTTTGCATTCCTAATTTGCTTGTGATTTTGGGTGAGTTATTTATTCTTTTTAGCTTTAGTTCCCACATGTATAAACTGGGAGTAATAATCTCTTGAGCTTCCTACCTCACCATATTCTTAAGAGGAAGAAAGAAATGTTAATAGATGTATAAGAGAAAAGTGCTACAGAAAGTGCTACGTAAATTATTCCATTTTTATAACCCACATACCCCAAAATACTCTTCTAAAATTTGAAATAAAAAATTTTGAATCCATCCCTTGTGGGGAATTATGAAGATTCAGTGAGGTGGCATATACAACAGTCCCTAGCCTGGTAGGTGTGCAAGCAATGCTTGTTTGAATGAACATTTTGATGGAGGTTACTGAAACACCAAATCACAGAGTTCTGTGTGCCTTCAAAGGAAGAGGAAGCTCATTTCTGTGGCTGTTTTGTTAGAACTGGTCCTTTATTTGAGTTTTCTAAAGTAAAAATTATGCATGTAATGCCTGAAATATTCTCAGTATGAAATATTCCGGCTGGGAACAGTGGCTCATGCCTGTAGTCCCAGCACTTTGGGAGGCTGAGGCAGGCAGATCTCCTGAGCTCAGGAGTTCAAGACCAGCCTGGGCAATATGGCCAAACCCTGTTTCTACAAAAAATTAGCTGGGTGTGATGGTGCACACCTGTAGTCCCAGCTACTCAGGAGGCTGAGGTGGAAAGATTGCTTGAGCTGCCTGGGAGGTGGATATTGCAGTGAGCCACGATTGCACTGCTGTACTGCAGCCTGGGCAACAGAGTGAGACCCTGTCTCCAAAAAAAAAAAAAAAAAAAAATCAAATGATAAATAAAAAGAGCAAAATTTGAAAGCCCTCTTAACCTCCTCCACCCCACCACTCCCCTCTCCAGAAGCAATCACTGATGGTGATTGAATTGTATCTGTTCAAGCTCTATATATTTACAATACACACACACACCCATATTAAATTTTTTTTAAGAAATGGGGTCATATATGTTATTCTGCAATTTGCTTAACAATATGTTTTAGGGCTCTTTCCATGATCTCTGGCAAGTTACTTAACCCTTCACATGCCTTAATCTCCTCATCTGTAAATGGGGATAATAATATAAGATCATTATAAAGATTGTATTAGTTAATATTTGTAAAGTGCTTAAAATAGTGACTACCACTGTTCCATGGTTAAGCTCACAATAACTCTTATAGAAATTTTCTTCCCCTAAATAAATGTCTATTAGATAACAATTTAAAAATAAAAATTTCTGTATTTTCATTTGTGCTGGACTTAGATCTGATTGCAAAAAATACCATCAAGTCGAAATTTGGTAAAGAGGTTGTTTTGAAAGTAGGTAGATAGGTTACTGACCTTTCATATTTCACATAATGAATGATGGACCCAAGAGCATCCCTAGAGACCTTCATTCAACTTCTGCAGCTCGGTTTCTCTGCTGGAAAGTGAGGTATGATATTATCCACTAGGCAAGAGGTGCCAGGGGGAACTGGACTCAAAGTGGTGACCAGCTCACGGTGGGCAGCTGATGACGCCACAAAGCATTGGCCTGCACGGCTGAGGAGCATTAGGTCGTGACCTTGTTTCCAACCTCTCTCCGGGTTTTCTGAGGGAAGGTACAAAAGAGGTGAAAGTGTTGGCATTTTGCCTCTAGGAAGAATTTTGATTAAGGATAAACATATTCCAAGATGCTGTGAAGTTGAAGTCACATGAATGCTAAGTGATTTCTTGGCATCAGAAATCAATCTCTTTCATGTCAGTCCTAAAAAAATAAACACTTTTACCTTCTTTGGTACCAGGAATAGCCAGAGAGGCTTCAGCTATTACAGCAAAAGCTTTTAAAATAATTACTTCTAGAATACGATAATATTAGTGATTAGCTTTGTGTGAAAATTGAAGAGATAAGTAGTTAAATACTAGGAATAATAAATCTTGGAAGTGTCATTGTGTAATAAGTTTGCCCTTTAAAAGTATCACTTTTCAATGATTTTGTTCATAGTGAATCTTTCAGAAAAAAGTCTTCACTGAATCCTTTTTCTATGATTAAGGTGAGTTCTTAAAGTGATCTTTGATTTTCATACATTAGAGTCAGATTCCTTCAAAACAAAATTTTTTTTTAAATGGTAATTGCACTCTCATTTACGTCAGTCCTAAAATAGTGCTTAAATAGTACCTTTCTATGTTCTGGCCACTGTGCATGCACAATCTTATTAACTCTGCAAATAGCCCTATGGAGTGAGTATCACTATTACCACCCCATACTAGAGACGGAGAAACTGAGGCTTAAAGAGGTTAAGAAAGCCAGATCTGCCTATTTGGGAACAAAAATTTCTAACTGGTTGTTCCATAAGCCAGATAATTATGTCAATGAGATAAATTACTGCAAGGGTCTGGATTTGCCACACGTCAGATTAACCCCCTGAATCATCAGTTATGTATAGTAAAAAGTGTGTGTAAAAAAGTGAAGGATAAATGGGGTGGGAGGAATGGAAATCTGGTAGACCTTATAAAATACAACTGTACTGGAAAAGCTGCTTCTCCAAGTGACTTGCTTTTCCCGGGGCACAGATTGGCTCAAAGAGGGTGGAGGCAGCTGGCAGCTTCTCTTGGCAGACCAACAGGGCTGGCTGTGGGGAGGCCCCTGGGAAGAGCAAATCCCTGTCTGCTGGGAATGTTGGTTTTGTAATTAAATTAAGGGTAAGGGAAACTATACTGAAAATTCTGCTTGGTGGCTCAGAATTTGAACTTCACTGCTTCTGTTTGTTGTTGCTGTAGCTAGTATAATAAAAATTCAGAATTTTTCTTTTCTCTCTTTTTTTTTGAGACTGGAGTCTCGCTCTGTCGCCCAGGCTGGAGTGCAGTGGCGCGATCTTGGCTCACTGCAAGCTCTGCCTCCCGGGTTCACGCCATTCTCCTGCCTCAGCCTCCCGAGTAGCAGGGACTACAGGCACCTGCCACCATGCCCAGCTAATTTCTTTTTGTATTTTTAGTGGAGATGGGGTTTCACCATGTTAGCCAGGATGGTCTTGATCTCCTGACCTCGTGATCCGCCCGCCTCGGCCTCCCAAAGTGTCTTTTTTCTTTTTAAGGACAGTTATGAGGTAGAAATTCAAAAAAGTCCATATAAGCTGGGCATGGTGGCTTACGCCTGTGGTCCCAGCACTTTGAGAGGCCAAGGTGGGTGGATCACTTGAGGTCAGGAGTTCGAGACCAGCCTGGCCAACATGGTGAAACCCTGTCACTACTAAAAATACAAAAACTAGCCAGGCATGGTGGTATGTGCCTGCAATCCCAGCTACTCTGGAGGCTGAGGCAAGAGAATCACTTGAACCCAGGAGGTGGAGGTTGCAGTGAGCCGAGATCACGCCACTGCACTCCAGCCTGGGCAACAGAGCGAGACTGCATCTTAGAAAAACAAACAAACAAACAAACAAAAACTAAAGAAGTCTACATTTGCTTTAACTCTCTCCCCCACCTTCCACAATTATACACAAGAGTTAGTTGTAGACATGCTAAAACTTTACCCCTTCAGCATATATCTCCTAAAAGCAAGTCATTTTCCTGTCATCTCTTACAATATAACATTGATGATTGATAGAATGCCGTTATCCAATATATGGCACACATTGAAATTTCCCAGTTGTCCCAATAATGTTTTTTATAGAATTTTAAAACAATTTCTGATCCAGGATCCAATCAAGGTCATGCATTGCAGTTATTTTTAGGTCTCTTTAGCTTCCTTTAATCTGGAACATTTCTTGACATTTTTTTTTCATTCTTGATGTCACTGACGTTTTTGAAGTGTCCAAGTGAGTTGCTTTATAGCATGTCTCTCAATTTGGATTCAACAGACTGTTTTCTTTTTTTGAGACAGAGTCTCGCTCTGTCGCCCAGGCTGGAGTGCAGTGGCGCAATCTCCACTCACTGCAAGCTCCACCCCTCCGGGTTCACGCCATTCTCCTGCCTCAGCCTCCCGAGTAGGTGGGACTACAGGGGCCCACCACCATGCCTGGCTAATTTTTTTGTATTTTTAGTAGAGACGGGGTTTCACTGTGTTAGCCAGAATGGTCTCGATCTCCTGATCTCGTGATCTGCCCACCTCGGCCTCCCAAAGTGCTGGGATTACAGGCGTGAGCCACCGCACCCAGCCTCAACAGACGGTTTTCTAATTTTAAATTCATGAGACTCAGTTGAGACAGTCAAGTGACCTAGCTGGCATTTTTTATATACGTGTTATTTACATGCAAATATAAATGTAGAATGATACACTATAAAATTCATGTAAGTACATGATAAGAACATTTAAATGATTTAAAAAGTACAAAGTAACAAGAGAAGTTCCTTTGTCAATGGTGACAACATTAACAGGTTTTTGTGTTCTATCCTGAAACACATTTATGTATATACCAGCCATATCCCTCTCCATGTTTAACAAAAGGAGGCGGGCAATAAAAGGCACAGACGCTGTGGTCCAGTAAAGGGCCATTCCCAGGGCGGAATGAACCTTGTAGTTTTTCCTGGCTTGATGAGCATCGCATGTGACTGCTTTCCATCCCCGTTGTGAGAAGCCTTCGTGAGCTTGTATTGAGACAGCAACCTTTTGCTGACTAATACCAACCAAGGGCAGTATACTTGATATTACCTAGTCAAATATAACCCTTATGGGGTTGATTGGAGAAAACTGGTGGTCAATTAACTCTGAGAAGCATTTAACGAAGTACAAGATTATAAGCTGAACTCAGGAATGGCAGCCTTTGCTAAAAGTAAGGGTTAGGATGGTTTCCTTTTTTTTTTTTTTTCCAAAAAAACCTCAGGCTCTCTTTAAAAATATGATAAAATTCATGACATAAAATTTACCATCAGAGACATTTAGTACATTCTCAATGGTGTGCAACCATCAGTGTGATCTAGTTCCAAAATATTTTCATCGCCCCAAAAGGAAACCTTGTATCTGTTAGCAGTCACTCTGATTTCTCTCTCCCGTCAGTCCTTGTTAACCAGGAATCTGCTTCTATCTCTATGGATTTGCCAATTTGGCATTTCACAGAATCATACAATATGTGGCCTTCTGTGACTTGAAAACACATAATGTTTTCAAGCTTCATCTATGTTGTTGCGTGTATCAGCACTTCATTCCTTTTCCTGGCTGAATAGTGTGGCTAAATGTGGCATGGATAACCACCTTGTAAAATCCATTCATCAGTCGATGGCCTATTTCTAAATATTGCTGTAAACCTTGGATTGAAGGGAGCCTCCTGCATAGGAGTTTTAAAATCACAAAATCATGAACTGTCAACAGTCTCCTTAGGTCAGCAGTTAAGTATGCCAAAAAATAAATTGTTTAAAAATCATCAGGTCCCTGCTACTAACAGCCGATAGTGCTCTGAAAGGTAAAAGGCAGAAGGACTTGTCCAGAATGTAGAGGCTTTAGGATCTGTGACAATAGTGATCTGTCTTCTTACACCACTAACCTCCTCTGCAGCCCCTCTTGGGTGATAGGCCCTGAGACATCCAAGCTGCTGAAATAATCCCGAGTCTTGAGTCAGATGGAGCAGAATGGTCGCTCCTCACAGGGCAGCTTAGGGAAGGGGCAGCCACAGGCACCTCAGGTGATGCTGGTTCCCTCGTTACTGCAGATATGTGCTTCCCTTTTCTGTGTATCATTAGAAAAAAACCCAGAAAACATCCTCATCTTTGAACAAAAGATTTAAGAATTTCTCTTGTGAATAAGATATTGCTGGCTGCTTACTTCAACCTAGATCTTTACTGTGGTTGTGTGTGTCTAGAATCATCTAGACAGGGATTAGCAAGAAACTCTTTAAGAATTCATGTGCTGGCTAATGATGGAAAATCCCGGGATTTAAAAGGAGCAGGGGAAAAACCGCCTGACTTGCTTTCTAGACAGATGCAAAATCTTCACCTTCCCTAAACGTCTTGAGTCCCATCGTGGGGCAGGGAGTGAAGGAAGGCCAAGCCCTAAGAGCAGGAAGATATGTCAAATTGCTGAGACCTTGGTGGCCCTGAGCATTGTTTAAGAGAAGAAGCCTGACAAAGAATAATCGATTGCCCCCTCTTCCTCCCCAGCTTGTCTCAGCTTTTCCATACTTAGCATTTTAAAGACTTGAACAAGAAAGGAGAGCCTGCAGGGAGCCGAAATCAGTGTAGCTGGCCTTTCATATCCTCAGGTTCTGCATCCCTGGATTCAACTAACCGAGGATTGAAAATATTCGAAAAAGAGAATTGTGTCTGTATTGAACTGTACAGACTTTTTTCCTTGTCATTATTTCCCAAACAATATACTACAACTATTTACAGAGCATTGACATTGTAATAGGTATTATAAGTAATCTAGAGATGATTTAAAGTATACAAGAGGATGTCTGTAGGTTATATGCAAATATTACACCATTTTATAGAGGGAACTTGAGCATCCTTGAATTTTGGTGTCTGAGGTTGCGGGTCCAGGAAACAATCAGACAGTGAGGGAGGACTGTCTAGGCAACAAGAAAAAGGGCATCCTGAAAGGGGGCCTAAGGCCCGCTTTCTGTACTTTTGATGGTGTAAATCTGATGCTCTGGAGAGATTGTTTTTTGTTTCCCCAGCCAACTGTGCCCTCCTCACCCATGTCCTTTTCTCTCTTTTGTCATTTATCCACCCATTCTTTTCTTTTCAAGTCCTTCTCAAAATCCTGACAGTTACATCCCTCCTTGGCTAAGACATTCACTAGCAGGTGGGGCTTTCTTCCTTCTCCATGGACCACAGCTGCCCATGACCAATACATCAAGTTCTGTATCCGTTGTCTTTCCAAAGCCTCTAGGTCAAGGCCAGCTAGTGCAGAAGGAGGAAAATACTTTCTGGTTACCTGTCTTTAGCTTTAAAGGTTCTGGAATATTAAAAACAATCAGCACAGGCTTTTCTACAGCATGTTTTTGAGACCCACTTGAGAATTTGGGTGGGGTTCGAAGAAACCAAATGTCTGGCCTATCCCAGGGGATATTAGTCACCCAAATGATGTTTCAGGATATAAAAACATATTAGACAAGTTCATACATGGGAGTAAGTGTCAGAATGGCCACTCCTTGTTGAAGCTTGAGGTTTTAAAATTCTGATCTACTTTCTCAAAGAGTTTGTTTGTTTTAAAACTAAAAAGGCCAATGGAGAATAATTCTGGGAACTTTTTGAACATAATTTTTTTACTAAGGTGTAATAACAATTGAGAAAAAGGGAAGGGGAGTGCAAGAAAGAGGTAGGCATGTCAAATATAGGTATAGACCCCAAACATCATCTCTGCATTAACTTGTGTACCATCTGCAGTTGGATGGCTGGGTTGGACTCTGGTCTTTGTATGTCAGGAGAGACTGAGAAAAATTTTAGAGAAAGACAAGCCTGGAGCCAAAGGGGCCATGGGGCTTTGGTATATACAAAAGGGGTTGCATTAGTATAATCTCAAGTTCTGAAAAGTTGGGCCGCTTCACAGAGTAAATTGCTGGACTTATTAAAGGCTATGAAGCAAATCAGTTACCCCAAAGGCCCTGGAAAAGTTGACAGGCTCCTAGTCACCAAATTCAGGAAGACTCAAGCAAGAAAGTCCTTGAGTCCTGATGGGACTAGATTCAGCCAATTAGAAAAAAAGTTTCTGTGTATAGAGACTGCTCAAATGTAAACAAAAAGATCCCAAATAATTGTGCAGGTTGGACAAGGAGACATTCTAAAAGAAAAAGTGGCTTTTATTTAAAAAAAAAAAAAAGGAATAAAGCTTATATTCTTCCAAGTCAGCATTGAGAGATGATTCCAGCAGCTAATGTTCCCATTCCTCTGGAGTTGTACCATCCATTATGGAAGCCATTAGCCATACGTAGTTACTGAGCACTCCAAATTGATGTGCATTGCGAGTATAATATACACACTGGATTTCAAAGACTTACCATGAAAAAAAGAATGTAAAATGTCTCATCAATAATTTTTTCATGTGGATTTGTTAAAGTAACATTTTAGAAATATTGGGTTAAAACTATACTAAGATTAATTTCACCCCTTAAGTTATTTTAACATGGCTACTTACATGTAAAACTTACTTATGTGGCTTATGTTATATTCTTATTGAACAGCATTGCTTTAGAGTCCTTTGTTAATAAACACTCATAGTCATGCTTAAGGGGAATGCTTCTCCTTTGTTAACATCAACACAAGCATGTGTAGTATGGGCCTACAGCGTGTCTAGAATGCCTGAAAGTTGATTTACTGAAGGTCAGGGTCATGCCACTAGGGCAGAAACACAGAGGGTCTTGTTGATGAAAGCGATGGATTTTAACCTTTCTGGAGCTGCTTTAATTATGACCCAGCTCCCCTCACTTGCAGGGTTCTAGAAGTAGTAGGTATCTAATAGTAGCATTGGGTTCTATCATTTACAGCACGTAGAACAGAGTCCATAGTAGACACTTTATAAGCACTCACTGTTACACTTTTCTCTGTAAAAATTAAACTCTATATAAATGGGTTTCCCTGACACTAATAGAATTCTCCATGAGTGTTTTTGCCCCAGTTTTTAAATGTAGGGAACAATGGCCCCTACTTTGCCTATCTATAAGCTGTCAGGGCCTGCTATTGACTGGGTCTGGTGCTTGAACCAATGCTGGAATGCAGATGCTCTTTCTAGGGAGTAAGGTTTGGACACAGTCTGTGGTTCCCTATGCCACTCGCTGGGTGGCTAGGATTGATCTTATTTCTGGGGCACCTACTTAAGCATTTGATGTAGTCTCCTTGTCTTACTTCCCTCATGTCCTCTCTGAGACCCTTGTCCTTTTTTGCTCTGGACATCTTGGGTCATGGTGTTCATCATGCTTTGGATCCCCCTTTAGCTGAAATGCCACCCCACCAATCACATGGCCCCTGCTCAATAAATGTGGCCACGTCCAATGGCAATTAATTTAAAATAATACAGAAATTTGGTTTTTAGCCAGCTATTAGCAACTAGGTACTGTGGATCTCAACCGTTCAGCTACTATTAAGATCATCCAGATCAGTGGCTCTGAATGAGAGAGAAACTTTGTAATGACGTGGGTGCATCTTCAAAGGACCCATTCTTAGAAAACCTGGGACCCATTCTTAGAAATCCTGATTTCATGGGTCTGGGATGCTACCTTGGGATCTGTACTTTTAAAAAGATCCCAAAGGCCGGGTGTGGTGCCTCATACATATAATCCCAGCACTTTGGGAATCTAAAGTGGGAGGATTACTTGAGCCCAGGAGTTCAAGACTAGCCTGGGAAACATGATGAAACCGTGTCTCTGCTAAAAATACAAAAAATTAGCTGGGTGTGGTATTGCATCCCTGTAGTCCCAGCTACTCGGGAGGCTGAGGTAGGAGGATCACTTGAGCCTGGGAAGCAAAGGTTGCAGTGAGCTGAGATAGCATCACTGCATACCAGCATGGGTGACAGATGTGACCATATCTCAACAACAACAACAACAACAAAAATCTCCCAATATGACTCAGGTGAATGCACTTGATTAAGAATTACAAGTGAGATAACAATGGGAATACATATTTTCTATCATTTTGGGTGTTTAAAATAATTTTTGGTGTGAAGATTAGATGGCTAATATTTTAGTTCAAACTTCATAGCATAACCATTTGTAGATTTTATAAATTAGCATACTCCCTGGCACATAGCAAGCAATAACTAAAAGATTGCTGAATTGATGACTGTCTTAGTCCATTTGCACTGCTGTAACAAAATGCCTGAGACTGGGCAATTTATAAAGAACAGAAATTTATTTCTCACATTTCTGGAGACTGGGAAGTCCGAGATCAGAACAGCAATGAATTTGGTGTCTGGTGAGGATCTTCTTACTGAGTCCTCCCGTAGTAGAAGAGTGGAAGAGCAAAAAGTGGCCTAAGCTAGTTCCATTCAACCCTTTATAAGGCACTAATCCATTCATGAGCCCTCACTGAAGCGGCATCATTGTCTGGGGTAAATACCTGTGGTTCATCGTCTCGTGCAGAGAAGGTTAACAACATGGACATACACACATGGAGTGAGTTAAAGAGTAGAAAGTTTAATAGGCAGAAGAAAGGAGAGAGGAGACTAGCTTTCTTGTGAAAGAGAGCCGTCTGATAGGGAAACATGGCAGACTGCAGCAGATATTATAGGCAAGGTTGAGATGCAGTGTCTGATTTACGTAGGGCCCACAGATTGGTTCAACCCGGTGTCACGTTTATTTATTATTATTTTTTAAAATTATACTTGAAGTTCTAGGGTACATATGCACAATGTGCAGGTTTGTTACATAGGTATACATGTGCCATGTTGGTTTGCTGCATCCATCAACTCATCATTTACATTAGGTATTTCTCCTAACGCTCTCCCTCCCCCAACCCCCTACTCCCCAACAGGCCCTGGTGTGTGATGTTCCCCTTCCTGTGTCCAAGTGTTCTCGTTGTTCAATTCCCACTTATGAGTGAGAACATGTGGTGTTTGATTTTCTGTTCTTGTGTTAGTTTGCTGAGAATGATGGTTTCCAGCTTCACCCATGTCCCTATAAAGGACATGAACTCATCCTTTTTTATGGCTGCATAGTATTCCATGGTATATATGTGCCACATTTTCTTAATCCAGTCTATCATTGATGGGCATTTGGGTTGGTTCCAAGTCTTTGCTATTGTGAATAGTGCTGCAGTAAACATATATGTGCATGTGTCTTTAGAGTAGCATGATTTATAATCCTTTGGGTATATACCCAGTAATGGGATTGCTGGGTCAGATGGTATTTCTAATTCTAGATCCTTGAGGAATTGCCACACTGTCTTCCACAATGGTTGAAATAATTTACAATCCTAACAGTGTAAAAGTGTTCCTGTTTCTCCACATCCTCTCCAGCATCTGTTGTTTCCTGACTTTTTAATGATCGCCATTCTAACTGGTGTGAGATGGTATCTCATTGTGGTTCTGATTTGCATTTCTCTGATGACCAGTGATGATGGGCATTTTTTCATGTGTCTGTTGGCTGCATAAATGTCTTCTTTTGAGAAGTGTCTGTTCATATCCTTTGCCCACTTTTTGATGGGGTTGTTTGTTTTTTTCTTGTAAATTTGTTTAACTTCTTTGCAGATTCTGCATATTAGCCCTTTGTCAGATGGGTAGATTGCAAAAATTTTCTCCCATTCTCTGGTTGCCTGCTCACTCTGATGCTAGTTTCTTTTGCTGTGCAGAAGCTCTTTAGTTTAATTAAATCCCATTTGTCAATTTTGGCTTTAGTTGCCGTTGCTTTTGGTGTTTTAGTCATGAAGCCTTTGCCCATGCTTATGTCCTGAATGGTATTGCTTAGGTTTTCTTCTAGGGTTTTTATGGTTTTAGGGCTAACATTTAAGTCTTTGATCCATCTTGGATTAATTTTTGTATAAGGTGTAAGGAAGGGATCCAGTTTCAGCTTTCTACATATGGCTAGCCAGTTTTCCTAGCACCATTTATTAAATAGGGAATTCTTTCCCATTGTTGTTTTTGTCAGGTTTGTCAAAGATCAGATGGTTGTAGATGTGTGGTGTTATTTCTGAGGCCTCTGTTCTGTTCCATTGGTCTATATCTCTGTTTTGGTACCAGTACCATGCTGTTTTGGTTACTGTAACCTTGTAGTATAGTTTGAAGTCAGGTAGCGTAACGCCTCCAGCTTTGTTCTTTTTGCTTAGGATTGTCTTGGCAATGCAGGCTCTTTTTTGGTTCCATATGAACTTTAAAGTAGTTTTTTCCAATTTTGTGAAGAAAGTCATTGGTAGCTTGATGGGGATGGCATTGAATCTATAAATTGCCTTGGGAAAGTATGGCCATTTTCACAATATTGATTCTTCCTATCCATGAGCATGGAATGTTCTTCCATTTGTTTGCATCCTCTTTTATTTCGTTGAGCAGTGGTTTGTAGTTCTCTTTGAAGAGGTCCTTCACATCCCTTGTAAGTTGCATTCCTAGGTATTTTATTCTCTTTGTAGCAATTGTGAATGGGAGTTCACTCATGATTTGGCTCTCTGTTTGTCTGTTATTGGTGTATAGGAATGCTTGTGATTTTTGCACATTGATTTTGTATCTTGAGACTTTGCTGAAGTTGCTTATCAGCTTAAGGAGACGTTGGGCTGAGAGGATGGGGTTTTCTAAATATACAATCATGTCATCTGCAAACAGGAACAATTTGGCTACCTCTTTTCCTAATCAAATACCCTTTATTTCTTTCTCTTGCCTGATTGCCCTGGCCAGAACTTCCAACACTATGTTGAATAGGAGTGGTGAGAGAGGGCATCCTTGTCTTGTGCTGGTTTTCAAAGGGAATGCTTCCAGTTTTTGCCCATTCAGTATGATATTGGCTGCGGGTTTATCATAGATAGCTTTTATTATTTTGAAATACGTTCCATCAATACCTAGTTTATTGAGAGTTTTTAGCATGAAGGGCTGTTGAATTTTGTCGAAGGCCTTTTCTGCATCTATTGAGATGATCATGTGTTTTTTGTCATTGGTTCTGTTTATGTGATGGATTATGTTTATTGATTTGTATATGTTGAACCAGCCTTGCATCCCAGGGATGAAGCCAACTTGATCATGGTGGATAAGCTTTTTGATGTGCTGCTGGATTCGGTTTGCCAGTATTTTATTGAGGATTTTTGCATCAATGTTCATCAGGGATATTGGTCTAAAATTCTCTTTTTTTGTTGTGTCTCTGCCAGGCTTTGGTATCAGGATGTTGCTGGCCTCATAAAATGAGTTAGGGAGGATTCCCTCTTTTTCTGTTGATTGGAATAGTTTCAGAAGGAATGGTGCCAGCTCCTCTTTGTACCTCTGGTAGAATTCGGCTGTGAACCCATCTTGTCCTGGACTTTTTTTGGTTGGTAGGCTATTAATTATTGCCTCAATTTCAGAGCCTGTTATTAGTCTATTCAGAGATTCAACTTCTTCCTGGCTTAGTCTTGGGGGGTGTATGTGTCCAGGCATTTATCCATTTCTTCTAGATGTTCTAGTTTATTTGCGTGGAGGTGTTTATAGTATTCTCTGATAGTAGTTTGTATTTCTGTGGGATTGGTGGTGATATCACCTTTATCATTTTTTATTGTGTCTATTTGATTCTTCTCTTTTTTCTCCTTTATTAATCTTGCTAGTGGTCTATCAATTTTGTTGATCTTTTCAAAAAATCAGCTTCTGGATTCATTGATTTTTTTGAAGGGTTTTTTGTGTCTCTATCTCCTTCAGTTCTGCTCTGATCTTAGTTATTTCTTGCCTTCTGCTAGCTTCTGAATGTGTTTGCTCTGGCTTCTCTAGTTCTTTTAATTGAGATGTTAGGGTGTCAATTTTAGATCTTACCTGCTTTCTCTTGTGGGCATTTAGTGCTATAAATTTCCCTCTAACCACTGCTTTAAATGTGTCCCAGAGATTCTGGTATGTTGTGTCTTTGTTCTCATTGGTTTCAAGAAAACGTCTTTATTTCTGCCTTCATTTTATTATGTACCCAGTAGTCATTCAGGAGCAGGTTGTTCAGTTTCCAGGTACTTGTGTGGTTTTGAGTGAGTTTCTTAATCCTGAGTTCTAATTTGATTGCACTGTGGTCTGAGGGACAGTTTGTTGTGATTTCTGTTCCTTTACATTTGCTGAGGAGTGCTTTACTTCCAATTATGTGGTCAGTTTTAGAATAAGTGTGATGTGGTGCTGAGAAGAATGAATATTCTGTTGATTTGGGGTGGAGAGTTCTGTAGATGTCTATTAGGTCCGCTTGGTGCAGAGCTGAGTTCAAGTCCTGGATATTCTTGTTAACCTTGTTTCTCATTGATCTAATATTAACAGTGGGGTGTTAAAGTCTCCCATTATCATTGTGTGGGAGTCTAAGTCTCTTTTTGTAGGTCTCTAAGGACTTGCTTTATGCATCTGGGTGCTCCTGTATTGGGTGCATATATATTTAGGATAGTTAGCTCTTCTTGTTGAATTGATCCCTTTACCATTATGTAATGGCCTTTGTCTCTTTTGATCTTTGTTGGTTTAAAGTCTGTTTTATCAGAGACTAGGATTGCAACCCCTGCTTTTTTTTGCTTTCCATTTGTTTGATAGATCTTCCTGCATTCCTTTATTTTGAGCCTATGTGTATTTCTGCACATGAGATGGGTCTCCTGAGTATAGCACATTGATGGGTCTTGACTCTTTATCCAATTTGCCAGTCTGTGTCTTTTAATGGGGGCATTTAGCCCATTTACATTTAAGGTTAATATTGTTATGTTTGAATTTGATCCTGTCATTATGATGTTAGCTGGTTATTTTGCCCATTAATTAATGCAGTTTCTTAATAGTATTGATGTTCTTTACCATTTGGCATGTTTTTGCAGTGGCTGGTACTGGTTTTTCCCTTCCATGTTTAGTGCTTCCTTCAGGAGCTCTTGTAAGGCAGGCCTGGTGGTGACAAAATCTCTCAGCATTTGCTTGTCTGTAAAGGATTTTATTTCTCCTTCACTTATGAAGCTTAGTTTGGCTGGATATGAAATTCTGGGTTGAAAATTCTTTCCTTTCAGAACGTTGAATATTGGCCCCCACTCTCTTCTGGCTTGTGGGGTTACTGCTGGGAGATCTGCTGTTAGTCTGATGGGCTTCCCTTTTTAGGCAACCTGACCTTTCTGGCTGCCCTTAACATTTTTTCCTTCATCTCAACTTTGGTCAATCTGACAATTATGTGTCTTGGAGTTGCTCTTCTTGAGGAGTGTCTTTGTGGTGTTCTCTGTATTACCTGGATTTGAATGTTGGCCTGCCTTGCTAGGTTGGGGAAGTTCTCCTGGATAATACCCTGAAGAGTGTTTTCCAACTTGATTCCATTCTCCCCATCACTTTCAGGTACACCAATCAAATGTAGATTTGGTATTTTCACATAGTCCCATATTTCTTGGAGGCTTTGTTTATTTCTTTTTACTCTTTTTTTCTCTAATCTTGTCCTCTGACTTTATTTCATTAATTTGATCTTCAATCACTGATATCCTTTCTTCCATTTGATCAAATCAGCTATTGAAGCTTGTGCATGTGTCACGAAGTTCTCGTGCCATAGTTTTCAGCTCCATCAGGTCATTTAAGGTCTTCTTTACACTGTTTATTCTAGTTAGCCATTCATCTAACCTTTTTTGAAGATTTTTAGCTTCCTTGTTATGGGTTAAAATATGCTCCTTTAGCTCGGAGAAGTTTGTTATTACTGACCTCTGAAGCCTATTTCTGTCAACTCGTCATTTTCTGTCCAGCTTTGTTCTGTTGCTGGCGAGGAGCTGCAATCCTTTGGAAGAGAAGAGGCGTTCTGGTTTTTATAATTTTCAGCTTTTCTGCTCTGGCTTCTCCCCATCTTTGTGATTTTATCTACCTTTGGTCTTTGATGATAGTGACCTACAGATGGGGTTTTGGTGTGGCTGTCCTTTTTGTTGGTGTTGATGCTGTTCCTTTCTGTTAGTTTTCCTTCTAACAGTCAGGACTTTCAGCTGCAGGTCTGTTGGAGTTTGCTGGAGGTCCACTCCAGACCCTGTTTGCCTGGGTATCACCAGTGGAGGCTGCAGAATTGCAAATATTGCAGATCAGCAAATATTGCAGAACAGCAAATATTGCTGCCTGATTCTTCCTCTGGAAGCTTCATTCCAGAGGGGCACCCACCTGTATTAGGTGTCTGTCGGCCCCTACTGGGAGGTGTCTCCCAGTTAGGCTACATGGGGGTCAGGGACCCACTTGAGGAGGCAGTCTGTCCATTCTCAGAGCTCAAACACCTGTGCTGGGAGAACCACTGCTCTTTTCAGAGCTGTCAGACAGGGACGTTTAAGTCTGCAGAAGTTGTCTGCTGCCTTTTGTTCAGCTGTGCCCTGCCCACAGAAGTGGAGTCTATAGAGGCTGTAGGCCTTGCTGAGCTGTGGCGGGCTCTGCCGAGTTTGAGCTTCCTGGCCACTTTGTTTACCTACTCAAGCCTCAGCAGTGGTGGATGCCCCTCCCCCCACCAGGCTGCAGCCTCACAGGTTGATCTCAGAGTGCTGCACTAGCAGTGAGCAAGGCTCCGTGGATGTGGGACTTGCCAAGCCAGGCACGGGAGAGAATCTCCTGGTCTGCTGGTTGCTAAGACCATGGGAAAAGCCCAGTATTTGTGGGAGTGTACCAATTTTCCAGGTGTAGTCTGTCACGGCTTCCCTTGACTAGGAAAGGGAAATCCCCCAACCCCTGTGCTTCCCGGGTGAGGTGACGCCCCACACTGCTTCTGCTTGCCCTCCGTGGGCTGCACCCACTGTCCAACCAGTCTCAGTGAGATGAACCAGTTACCTCAGTTGGAAATGCAGAAATCACTCATCTTCTGTGTTGATCATGCTGGGAGCTGCAGACCTGAGCTGCTCCTATTCAGCCATCTGGGAATGTTTATATATGGAGCAGGGAAGGCCGGTCATCCCCACCCTAATCTTATGATGCAAATGGGCTTTCCACTTGGCTGGTGCCACCTTGTCTGCTCCTTACTGTACATGTGGCTGGCAAAGAGAAGTTAGAGCCACCATTTTGATCATGCCTAGTCCCAGATAGCATTTTTCTTCTATTGGCACAACCACGGGCATTCACTTGTGCAAGCTTCCAGTTTCCTTGTTTATGTCTACAGCTCAATTTTACAGGCTGCTCTTTGTTAGAAAAGAAAATGATTTGGGGGCACTTTTCATTAAAAGGAAAACCTTACTGAGGACTTCCTTACCCTCACTATCTGCCTAAATAATTTCTTTTTAACTCCTATATCATGATGACTTAATCACTTCCCAGAAGCCCTTCTCTTAACACCACCAAATGGGGATTACATTTCCACCCAAGAATTTTGGGGCAGATTCAAACAATAGCAATAAATGTGAATATCAAGTACATATTTGTAGAGAAAATATTTTTAAAATGTATTTTATAAAGTGTTTTTCAAGATACCTTTTTAAGATTTATTTTTAATTTTTATAGATTTAGTGAGTATAATGGCAGATTTCTTTTTTTTCTTTTTTCTTTTTTTTTTTTTTTTCCCTGAGACAGAGTCTCGCTCTGTTGCCCAGGCTGGAGTGCAGTGGCGCGATCTTGGCTCACTGCAAACTCCTCCTCCCGGGTTGCAGTGATTCTCCTGCCTCAGCGTCCAGAGTACCTGGGACTACAGGCGTATGCCACCATGCCCAGCAATTTTTGTATTTTTAGTAGAGACGGGGTTTCACCGTGTTAGCCAGGATGATCTCCTGACCTTGTGATCTGCCCGCCTTGGCCTCCCAAAGTGCTGGGATTACAGGCCTGAGCCACCGCACCCAGCTAGATTTCTTACATGTGCAGATTTCTTACATTTCTCCTGCCCTCCTCCTTTTTGGAGTCTCCAGTGTCTATTATTCCACTCATGTGGAATAATAATACATGTGCAGGATGTGTAGGTTTGTTACATAGGTAAACGTGTGCCATGGTGGTTTGTGCACCTATCAACCCATCACCTAGGTATTAAGCACCCTGCATGCATTAGCTGTTTATCCTGATGCTCCCTCTCCCCCAACCCCTGATAGGCCCCAGTATGTGGTGTTTCCCTCCCTGTGTCCATATGTTCTCATTGTTTAGCTCTCACTTATAAGTGAGAATATGAGTATATACCACATTTTTAAAATTCGGTCCTCCATTGGTGGATACTTAGATTGATTCCATATCTTTACTATTGTGAATAGTGCTGTGATAAACATACAAGTGCAGAATCTTTTTGATATAATGATATTTCCCCCTTTGGGTATATACCCAGTATTGGGATTGCTGAATAGAATAGTGGTTCTATTTTTAGTTCTTTGAGAAGTCTCCGTACTGTTTTACATAAAGGTTGTACTAATTTACATTCCCACAAAGAGAGTAAAAGTTCCTATTTCTCTGCATCTTTACCAACATCTGTTGTTTTTTCAACTTCTTAATGATAGTCATTCTGACTGGTGTAATATGGTATCTTATTGTGGTTTTAATTTGCATTTCTCTGATGATTAGCGATGTTGAGCATTTCTTCATGTTTGTTGGCTGCTTATATGCCTTCTTTTGAAAAATGTTCATGTCCTCTGCCCACCTTTTAGTGGTGCTATTTGTTTTTTCTTGTTGAGTTCCTTGTAGATTCTGGATATTAGCCCTTTGTTGGATGCATAGTTTGCAAATATTTTTTCCCATTTTGTAGGTTGTCTGTTTATTCTGCTGATTGCTTCTTTTGCTGTGCGGAAGCTTTTTAATTTAATTAAGTCTCATTTGCCTATTTTTGTTTTTGTTGTGTTTGCTTTTGAGGACTTAGTCATAAATTCTTTGCCTAGAGCCAATGTCCAGAAGAGTTTTTCCTAAGCTTTTGTCTGGGAATTTTAGTTTTGGGCCTTAAATTCTTCTAGAGTTAATTTTTGTCTATGGTGAGAGGTATGGGTCCGGTTTCATTCTTCTGCATATGGCTATCCAATCTTCCTAGCAACATCTGTTGAATAGGGTGTCCTTTTTCCAGTGTATATTTTTGTTGACTTTGTCGAAGATCAGTTGGTTGTAGGTATGTGGCTTTATTTCTGGGTTCTCTGTTCTGTTCCATTGATCTATGTGTCTATTCTTATACCAGTACCATGCTGTTTTGGTTACTATAACCTTGTAATATAATTTGAAATCAGGTAATTTGATGCCTCCAGCTTTACTCCTTTTTCTTAGGATTGCTTAGGAGCTATTTGAGTTCTTTTTTGTTTCCATATGAATATGAGGATTCCTTTTTCTTTCTTTTTTTTTTTTTTTGAGACGGAGTCTCACTCTCTTGCCCAGGCTGGAGTGTAGTGGTGCAATCTCAGCTCACTGCAAGCTCAGCCTCCCGAGTTCATGCCATTCTCCTGCCTCAGCCTCCTGAGTAGCTGGGACTACAGGCGCCCACCACCACGCCCAGCTAATTCTTTTTGTATTTTTAGTAGAGACGGGGTTTCACCATGTTAGCCAGGATGGTCTCAATCTCCTGACCTCGTGATCTGCCTGTCTCGGCCTCCCAAAGTGCTGGGATTACAGGCGTGAGCCACCGCGCCCGGCTGAGGATTCTTTTTTCTAATTCTGTGAAAAATGATGTTGGTAATTTGTTAGGGATTGCATTGAATCTGTAGATTGCTTTGGACAGTATGGTCACTTTAACAATGATTTCAAGATATCTTTAGCTTTAAAAATGTATTAAGCATGATAACTATAGTTAATAATAATGAATTGTATTTTTCAAAATTGCTAAGACAGTAGATTTTAAATGTTCCCACCATAAAAAAATGCTAAGCAGATGAGGTGATGGAGATGCTAATTAGTTTGATTTACTCATTCCATAATGTATACATATATCAAAACATTGCATTGTACCCCATGAATATATATATAATTTGTCAATTAAAAATAAAAATTTAAATATGTATTGAATGTTTCCATCAAATTTCATATGCCTTAAATAAAGGAGAACTGTGCCTCTGAAGAGTCTGGCAGGTGGCCCCTTGGAGGAGGCCAGCTTCAGAGCTGTCTCCTCAAAGAAGACGTGGATGGGGTAGTTCATTTGTTTTTGAACACAGAATGGATACAGCTGTAGGAGGGGCCTTTATCAACAACCAGTCCCACTCTGCAGCAGTTAATTGCCACTTCCTGTCTAGAGAGTGCAGCACAATAGACTGAGCCCATCTGCTGTTTGCATCCCCCATGCCACCCACATGGGCATTAAGGTGGTGGAGGTCTAACAAGAAAGACTGATAGCGAGTCTGCCAGTGGGAGACTGGTCCATGGGTCTCTGTTAGCCCCAGGAATGGTTTCCACAGGTCAGGCTGACCTTCTGTGGCTGCCCTGCAAAGGGCCACACCTGTGCCTGCAAATACAGCTGCTGGCGTCTTCACATGGCTCAGCTCCCTGACCTGTAAACCTCTAACCGGAATGTTCTTTGGTGGTTAGGTCTGATGTTTCTGTTACAGGAAAAGGTTCCCGATCCAGACCCCAAGAGAGGGTTCTTGGATCTTGTGCAAGAGAGAATTCAGGGCGAGTCTGCAGTGCAAAGGGAAAGCAAGTTTATTAAGAAAGTAAAAGAATAAAAGAATGGCTATTCCATAGACATAGCAGCCTCGAGAGCTGCTGGTTGCCCATTTTTATGGTTATTTCTTGATGATATGCTACACAAGGGATGGATTATTCATGCCTCCCCTATTTAGACCACATAGGGCTCCTGACGTTGCTATGGCATTTTTTAAACTGTCATGGCGCTGGTGGGAGTGTAACAGTGAGGCTGCCCAGAGGTCACTCTCGTCACTATTTTGGTTTTGGTGGGTTTTGGCCAGCTCCTTAACTGCAACCTGTTTTATCAGCAAGGTCTTCATGACCTGTACTTTGTGCTGACCTCCTATCTCATCCTGTGACTTAGAATGCCTTAACCACCTGGGAATGCAGCCCAGTAGGTGTCAGCCTCACTTTACCCAGCTCCTATTAAAGATGGAGTTGTTCTGGTTCACATGCCTCTGACATTTCCACAGGCTGCTTTGTGTAGACTTTTAAAGAAAAAACAACCCACAAACCTATCTAAAAACAGTTGAACTGATGCAAGTTCTAAAAATGACTGAAAAATAAGCTTTATGGGGTAGGAGCCCTGTCCAAAGCAGTGCTTTCAGGGGCCATGTGGGAAATCCACACCCACGCAGTTAGCTAGTTGCATCTCTTTACCCACATTAGATGGCGATTTTAATTTGTTTTTAACTTAGCAAGAATTTGTTCAGTGATGATTCACTTTCACCAGCCTCCATGTCAGAGAAGGAAGACAGGTCATGTTCTCAAATTGTCCTTCCTTTTCACTCCTTCATAAAAATCCTGTTGTCCCCTTCCCTTTCTTCCTTGCTCAGCCATGTCCTCGCTCCCTCCCAAGCCTTCAGGAGTCTTTGTATCTGCAGAGAAATGGGGAGCTCAAATTAGTTAGGCAGGTCAAAAGAGGCAGAAAGAGGAACAGGGGTGGGCAGAGTTTCCACAAGTGGCTTTGCACGTCCCTGAGCTGCACCTTGCACCAGCAATCCCCTACCTATGCTTCACTAGCAATGACAGCGGGTCAGTGCAAAATAATCCAGGAACCACAGGCTGCCTGGGGGCTGCTGCTGCCTCTTGCTCAAATGAACATTATTCTCTGCTGGGAGCGGCGAGTCTACAAGCATGGGTGAAAACATCATGTCTCGGATTCAGAATCTGAGAAGGAGCAAGAAAGGAAGTCATCACAGACACAGAAATATCGGGAACCTGAACGAACTTATGTAGTGGACATTGGAGCATTCTTTCTTTTGGTGCTGGCATTCCCAGTGTTAGAAGGGACAGTATTCAGCCAACACATATTTATCAGGTAGTAGCTATGTGTCAGGCTTCTGTGCTAGCTGCTGAGGTGCTGTGAGTGACAGTCCTGCTTTCACAAAGCTCATAGTTGAGAGCAGTAGTCTCCAAACATTAGTCATTTTACATCCCTATAGGAAAAACATTGAGCTGAACTACTCTGTTTTTTATTTATAAATTATGTAATATATTGCTATGTTATGCACATCAAGTAAAATGATTTGTGTACATTACAAAATGAACAGGCAAAATAAATTAATCCAGAGGAGTTACAAATGTATATATCTATATAAGTTTCTAATATTTTCTTCTCACCTTCCAATAACTTATTTTACACAAGTTCTGGGATGCAGGCACCCACTGTAGAGATGACAGATGGTATTAAGAGTGTGATCTAGTGTGAGATTTTCTGGGTTCTGATGTTGGCTCCAGCCCATACTTTTTGTGTGGCCTAGGATTTGTTTCTTAAGTGCTCGGTCTAAGTTTCTCCATGTGTAAAATAGGTTTTATAATAATACTTTCGTTAGGGTTTTAGTGAAGATGGAATGAGGTGATCCATGTAAAGTGCTTAGAAGTCTTCCTGGCATTTGGAAAGAGTGCAATAAATGTTATTATTTTGATTATTACAGTCTCTTCAGAGAGAAAATCACTAACCAACTAAGTATTTAATTTCAACTGTGATGAGTACCAAGCAGGGCTAGTCTAGGATGCCAGGAGGGTGTATTGGGAAGACTTAACCCAGTCAGTTTTGAGCTGTGTTTGGAGTTCAGGAGGGAGCCAGGGTTGGAGCAGGGGCAGAACATTCCCAGCTGAGAAACAGCACCTGCGAAGGCTGAGGCAGGAGAGAACTTAACTCCTTGGGGGAGAAGACGAGGGCCCAGTAAGAGGGGAAGAACACTAACAGGTCCAATAGGAGAAGCAGGCTGGCTGGAGACCATGCAGGTCTTCGTGGGCATTGTATCCATCAAGGATCTGTTACCAAAACCAAAACCCATTTGCAGTCGTTTCAGCAGAAAAAGGAGTTTATTAGAGGATATGAAGATACTTTCAAAATTTCTAGAGGGCCAGAAAGTCAGGCTTGTAGGCCAGCAGGTCAGAACAAGGCTCAAACCAACCACACCCTGGGAGTGAGTCAGAAAGGGTCTCTGCAGCTGCCTCCAAGTCTAGACCCCCTCAGCACAGCTCATGCCATTGTTGCCCCTAGGATCTGGACACACTACTGCCACCCTTTCTAGCAAATGGATTCTGCACAGTTGGCTTGCTCATGGCCTCAATTCCAAATGAAGCTGTTTGTTAGACTATCTGATTGGCAGAGCCTGGGTCACATGGTGAGGTCTAGCTGCAAGGGAATCAGGGAAAGTCAGTTTTCTGGTTTCAGCTGTGGGGAGGTAAGAACCTCTAGGGTGGGAAAGTCCCCAAATATGGGAATGATGTCAAGCATTTTGGGCTTAACTGCTTTCACATCATCACATGGTCTGCTGTGGTCAGGAAGGCTGGAGAGGGGCAGAGAGGGGCAATCATCTTTGTAGAAATAAAAAAGAATAAACAAGCCTCAAATAACCAAACCCCAAACCCAACCATTTGGGAAATTAAGAAATGCTACCTCTTGAAAACTTTGTCCATTTATTTGCAATAAGTCTAACAAACCCTCTCAAGAGGTGGTGCTCAAGGGAGCTGTGCAGTGGGTTTGGATGAATGTGCAACCAACGCTGAACAAACATCCCTATTAAAGGGCGTGTTGTTCCAGGTTACAGTTTCTCTCAAGCTAAGGGCAGATCCTTTCTCTCAAAGACACAAACTGGAAAGCCCTGACTCAGGTGCCCAAATTAGGTTTGTGGGGTGGTGGGTCAAGGATTGGAAGGACCCAACAGGACAGAAGTATGAGATGGAAGCATTTTGGCATATCCAGAGGGAGATGGGTTAAGGAAGCAAGATGAAGGTCGGGCAGAGAAGCTGCTTTCTTAAGAAAAAGCTGACCGGGCACAGTGGCTCATGCCTGTAATCCCAGCACTTTGGGAGGCCGAGGTGGGCGGATCCCCTGAGGTCAAGAGTTTGAGACCAGCCTGACCAACATGGAGAAACCTTGTCTCTACTAAAAATACAAAATTAGTAGGGCGTGGTGGTGTATGCCTGTAATCCCAGCTACTTGGGAGGCTGAGGCAAGAGAATTGCTTGAACCTGGGAGGTGGAGGTTGCGGTGAGCTGAGACTGCGCCATTGCACTCCAGCCTGGGCAACAAGAGCAAAATTCTGTCTCAGGAAAAAAAAAAAAAAAAAAAAAAGAAAAAGCTGCATTTTTTCTTAAAGCAACTCCTAATGAGATCATGATTTTCATTGATACAAGAAGCTGGTTGAGTTGGCAGAGCGTTTTTTTGTATTAATGGAAACAAATTACAGCTTAATTCAGATAATAAATAATGCACTTCTAAACACAAAGCAAAATGTATTAAACAAATGGCTGTGGAATAGAAGGTCAAAATGAAACTGTGGTAAGGTGATTTCTCTGCAGCTCAATATTTTCTGTTTATAGTCTGACTTGGAGCCAAAAATAGGATTCTCATTCAGTTGTATTATTAAAAATAAAACGATCTAGTAAGTTAAAAATGGAAGTCTGATGAATCCTCTAGTATTATGTATATAATATAGGCATGTCAAGAGAGAAAATATTAACTAATTATTTTAATGATTTAATAAAAACCAGAATTTCTTAACTGATTATCTAGCAAGTTAAAAACATTGCACACCACTTAAACGTAACAAACTTTTTCTTATCCACATACCTACACACGCACCACCTGACATCACTTGACTATGTTTTTGGTATCAGCCTCCCTCTGAGACTTGTACTAATTTTATTTCAGTGCTTTTCTTCTACAACGGTGGTTCTTAAACTTTTGGGGAGCTCATAAATCCCTTTAGTATTTGACTGTCTCCCTTAAGAATTGCAGTCTCATCTTACTCCTGCAACAAATTTCAAGCAGTTTCGTGGACCGCCAATTAAACTTCTGCCTTAAACCTCAGCTTTCTCCCCATAAATCATGGCAAAGGGAGACAGGGAGCTCAGGCTGGTGTCGGTGATGACATCTGCAAGGATGGAAAGTCCCCACTGGGACTGCTTGTATGTAGTCCCCTGAAATACTGGATTCAGTGGTGCCAGCTTAATGGCCAGGAGAAGTTTTGTACCAGGAACTAACCGATTAGCGTTTTTTTTTTTTTTTTTTTTTTTTTGAAACAGGGTCTGGTTCTGTCATCCATGCTGGAGTACAGTGTACAGTCTTGGCTCACTGCAGCTTTGGCCCCCTGGGCTCAAGCGATCCTCCCACCTCAGCCTCCCGACTAGCTGGGACTGCAGGCATGCGCCACCAAGCCCAGCTAATTTTTGTATTTTTTGCAGAGACAAGATTTGCCACATTGTCCAGGCTGGTCTCAAATGCCTAAGCTCAAGCGATCTACCCACCTCGGCCTCCCAAAGTGCTGGGATTATAGGCCTGAGCCACTGCACTGGCCTGATTAGTTTTTAATAACTATAGTGTGCTAGGTAGAATGGAGGTGGAAATGGCTACAGCACTGCTGCCTTCTGGTTGCCTGGGACCGTCTGTGTCTGCCCCACCTCCATAACAAAACAGACCCTGCCAGCACCACTACAACGCCTTCCCCCCAGGAATCCTGCGGTGTTAGTGCTTTTGAAATATACATTCTTGTTAAGTTCTTAATGATGAAGAATAGCTTCCTCATTGAGTTTCTACTTCTAAGTATACATATACATTTTGAGAGGAAGGAGCTTTTATGTTTTAACTCAAAGGGTGTCTAATGGCAAAGTCCTCTCTGATTGGTCTGGGCACGGGGGACAGCAATTGGGAGCAGAGTTTGGGGATGGGTCCTTTCTAAAATCCCTAAAACTCCTGAACAGAAGATAGTCATTTAATTGCAAAATTACACATAAGGATGAAAATGAAATACCTTTTTGGAGGATTAACAGGAAATATAAATTTCTGTAAGGAGGTAGTGGAAGTTCTTTTCCAAAGAGGTGTTGTGGTAAGGCTTCAAGGTTTCAGATAAAAAGTCTGGTTCTAATCCTGATTCTGCATTCTACTAATTCAGTGGAGATAGAGGAACTTTAGGGCTCCTCAAAAAGTTCAGGCCTCACTTTGTGGCTTTAAGTTTTGAATATTGCCAATGTAGCCATGGCAGTAATTTTGGGAAAATTTCCAACTTCCTGAGCCCAGTTTCCTCATCTGTAAAATGACACACCTGCCTCCCAGTGTTGTTATGTGGAATTAAGGAAATAATACCTGCTATGTATTTAATCAGGTCTAAGGTTCTTATTTCCACCCATACATTAGAAAGGTCTCTGATATTGGGATGGCATCCAGGGGTCTAGACAACCCCAGTTTTATGGGGCCTGAACTCTATATTATTCAGGGACCTTTATAAAAAAGAGAAAATAATACGTGCAAAATTAGGTAAGAACATGAATATTTGTTTAAATGGGAAAATCACAACAAACCACAAATTTTAAAAAGGTGATATAAATCACAAACAACATAAAATACCATAATATTTGTAAAAATTAACTGCCTGGCCCACTTCTGTTATACTTCTTTGCCCTGCATTTTTGGAGGGGAGTGGGCTGTATGACAATGAATTCGTTATGTCTGTTTTCTATAGAGAGAATAGACAGTTCAGTCTTCCTTCTCAATGGTTGACGAAAATTTATTTTTTACTATCAACAGTAAAATGTGTGTTTTCCAGCTTCACAACTGTTTTTGGTAATGTCATATAAATCTTGAGAGTTTTTTTTGTCAAATTTGGGGAAAACCTCTATGAAGTTTCTTTCCTATATGAACTATGAGATTTGGGAAAATTTTCCACAGACCAAATTCTGGCTCACACACTTCACACCTTGTTTATTTTCTGCTGCCCAGGCCATATGCTGCTGGCGAGTGTGGTGGGATGTATTTATATTGGATACAGCCTGGAGCCCTGCACTGGAGCTTCTTACTGCCAGGAGAGCTAGTGTGGTGGAGGGGAGAAGCGGTGAAGCCATTTCTATCCCAGCATGCCCAGCAGTAAGTTAACTGCACAGACCACATACAAACGTCCCACTGAACCCAGACTAAATGTATCCCCAGCTCAACTTCCCCTTTAATAGGATCCCCAAGTTGCCCATAGCCACTCCAGTGCCACCCACATAAGGGGAAGTGTGACAGAGGGGAAGTCAGAGTGGAAAGAGACAGTGGTCTAATTGATTGCAGTTAAAATATCTTTTGCAAATTTTACAAAAATATATGGCCACGTGAACACACTGCTGGCCCCTCTCCAAGAACATTGGAAGGGCCCATGCAAATGAAGGGCCCTGAGGCTGAAACTCTCTTAGCTTCCCAGTAAATACACCCTGGATGGCATCTTTCAATTAATCGGCAGTAGGTTTGCTTTCCTGCTGGGCGTGTTACAGTTGGTGGCAACTTAGATTTGGTATCATATATGTAAAGCACCCCATATGGTGCCTGGCACACACTGGAGGCTCACTAAGTGTTCCTTCCTCCCTTCCCTTAGTGAAAAATCAGCAAACAGAGCTCCATCCCTGGCAGGGGACTATGTCCTTCAAGTGTGTTATTGAAGAATCAGCCTTGTAGAAGTTGATATTCCATTAGTTTGCCTATAAAATTTTTAAATTGCAGTTTTTGAATTTATGGATCTTAGTTCAAGGTCAATAAAAAGTGATTGATGGGTAACCAGCGTGTGCCCAGGGACAGAAGATGTCCTCCTGTTGCTTTGTCAGTGGTCGATGATAATGTACTCGTTTCCAGCCAACCCCTAAAAAGGCAAACCCATCGCTAAGAAACAGAAGAAAAAAGAACAAAATGGACTACACTGTATTAAAGACACCTGAGTTCTGTAGAGGAGAGTTTTCCCAGAATCAGCCCAACACTGCCCTATCACCTACCTGAAGGGCATGTGCCAGACAGTCTGAGCTCATCAGATTCAGGACATGAGGAAAGTTATCTTGGTTTTCCTTTCTACTCTCCCTTCTTCCCTTCACTCTTTCCTTTCCTCCATCTTGTCCACATTTTCTAGACTGCTTACTGTCACTTTCTGAAACAAGAAAAAGATTCCACTTTTCATTGCTTATTAATGCTAAATGACTACCCATTCCCTCGAAGCTATTAATATATATATAAAGAAGTAGGGCATGGAGTGCTGAAATGCAACTGTGTGTCACTTAACAATGTAGATATGTTCTATGAAGTGCATTGTCAGGCGATTTCTTTGTGCAAACATCATAGAGTGTACTTGCATAGCTCTAGATGGTACTGCCTACTATACACCTGGGCTGTGTGGTATAGCCTATTGCTCCTAGGCTATAAAACTGTACAGCATGTTACTGTACTGAATATACCATAGGCAGTTGTAACACAATGATCAGTATTTGTGTATCTAAACATAGAGAAGGTTATGGTATAAAAGATAAAAAATGATATACTTGTAAGGACACTTACCATAAGTGGAGCTTACAGGACTGGAAGTTGCTCTGGGTGAGTCAGTGAGTAAGTGGTGAGTGATTGTGAGGGCCTGGGACATTACTGTACATTACTGTAGACTTTATAAACACAGCACACTCAGGCTACACTAAATTCATTTTACTTTTTTTGAGACAGTCTCACTCTGTCATTCAGGCTGGAGTGCAGTGGCATGATCTTCGCTCACTGCAACCTCTGCCTCCTGGGTTCAAGTGATTCTCCTGCCTCAGCCTCCCTAGTAGCTGGGCTTACAGTTGCCCACCACCATGCCTGGCTAATTTTTGTATTTTTAGTAGAAATGAGCTTTCACCATGTTGGCCAGGCTGGTCTCAAACTCTTGACCTCAAGTGATCCGCCTGCCTTGGCCTCCCAAAGTGCTGGGATTAGAGGCGTGAGCCACTGTGCCTGGCTTAAATTTATTTTAAAACTCTTCTTTCTTCAATAATAAATTAACCTTAGCTTACTGTAACTTTTTCACTTTATAAGCTTTTTAATGTTTTTAACTTCTTTTGGAATAACACTTAGCTTTAAACACAAAGGCATTATACAGCTATGCAAAAATATTTTCTTTATATCCTTATTCTATACATTTTTTTCATTAAATTTTATTATTATTATTTTTACTTTTAAACTTTTTTGTTAAAAACTAAGACAACTACACACACATTAGCCCGGGCTTAATCATCGGGGTCAGGATCATCAATATGTCATCAGGGGATAGGAATTTTCCAGCTCTATTCTAATCCTATGGCATCACCATCATACATGCAGTCTGTTGTTGCCTGATGTCACTGTGTGGCACATGACTGCAGGGGGTGTGGGAAGCCCATTTCTGAGTCAGTTAGAAGGCATATATATTTTCTTCCTTTGCCGTCACTTTACGTTTGTAATTCTGAGGCTCTCTACACGGTTCACTTGGGACTGTATGTTAAGGCTGCTGTTAACTATAAAACAGGTTAAACTGTATTTCAGAGTAGGCATAATTAATGAGGGTGTTATTTCAGGAACAATGATAGGGATTGTGAATAGTCAAGATTCATTCTAGAATGAGCAAGAAATTTGCTGGAAAAAAGAGGTGTAATGAAAAAGGAAGCTTCTTTCTATTTCTGATGAGGAGCTTGGTATGTCTGTAGTTTGATTTTGTAACAATTGTTTTCCCTGAAGTAATTTGGATGCTGCATTAGTCTGATTATTATGATTTCCTGTTTAGAACCCAGATACCTTCTCGATATGTCCCCAATAGCATATTTCTGGAAATGACTTCAACCAATTACATTAGCTCTCATTCCCTTGGTTTCTATGTGGTTGACCAGACAGGAATCAGGCTGCCTGAGTGTGCAATCCAGATAGCAAGAGGCAGTCGGTAGAGAGAGTGTGAAATTGCCCTGAGATACTGTGTGGTCTGCAGGCGGGTCCAAGTGAAGGAATGTGATGCAGCTGAGGCCTCGGGGGTGGGGCCGGGGGGCATATTTTTGATGTCTGAAATATCTTGACCAACTGGCCTTTCAGGGATAATTTTGATGACCATGTTTCATCTGGTGCCGAGTCTACTTCTGGTGCTTGACTCATGAAGGTATCAGTGATGACAAGGATAATGAAATTTATCTTCAAACCTACTCCCCTTAAATGTAGTAGATGTAAGCACTGGGACAAATCTGAAAAGAGTCTTCAGCATCTCCTTAAGGTTACTACTATTATGGATAATAGTGCTGTATCATTTACAAAACCATAGCCATATTGTGCAGCAGGTATTATTATTCCTGTTTTACAGATGTGTAAACTGAGGCACAGAGAGGTTCAGGGATATACTAATGTTGCCTACCGAGTGAGCAGTGGAGGTGGGATTTGACCCCAGTTGCCTGAATCCAAATCATCCCGTTCCCATCTTCTCCCCTAATGATGTCATGCCCCATGCTGCATCGGTGGAGGGGTTTTATGGGAGAGTGACAGGAGCCTTCAGCTCCTTCTGTGGTACCCCTTGCACTCTGTGAATCCACCAAGGGAGGAGAACACTCCAAGACTGCCCCAAAGGGGTATGTGCCCTCGCCTGCGCAGATGCTGGCTGTCAGAGGACTGAGGAATTTCCCCAGGGGGAGATTTTCCCAACCACTACATTAACCTGTTCAAAGATCCTGTCCAGCTCTGCAAGATTAGCTGAGATCTGAGGCATTTAGCATGGAAAGAACACATTCTTCTAAAGAGTCATTTCAGCCATTCTACCTATGCACATCTGAGTTTAAAAAAGGAGAGAAAGAGGGCAAACCTACTTCAAAGTGGCCTATTTGGCAGTTGACCATTGGAAGGCTAATGATAATGACAAAAACTGAAAACAGGAGGCACTCTCTTATGGTGTCTTGTCCTCTAGATATGCATAAGATATGCAAAGGCACTGTGGAACTCGATGAAACACTCAGCCTGCAAGAGTGCAGTGGGGAACAAAATACTCAGAAAGTAGAGACTGTTTTATTTATGGGATGGGGTCTCACTTTGTTCCCCAGGCTGGAGTGCAGCGGTGCAATCATAGCTCACTGTAGCCTTGAACTCCTGGGCTCAAGTGATTCTCCTACACCAGCCTCCTGAGTAGCTAGGACTACAGTGCATACCACCATGGCCACTAATTTTTTAATAAATATTTTGTAGAGACAGGGTCCTGCTCTATTGTCTAGACTGGCTTCAAACTCCTGGCCTCAAGCGATCCTCCTGCCTCAGCTTGGTTGCTGAGGCAACAGGGGCACGACACTGGTCTTGGCCAACATTTTAAACTTTATTTGGCAAAACCAATTCTTTTGCTACTTCCCTACTGCACTCAGGATGGGGACACAGGAGCTGGGAGAAATTTCACCAAGAAAGAAGTGGTTATGTACAGCACAGACAATAGGCTGGCAGGTTTCATTTCCCCCCAGTCCTATAAAAGAAAGCATGTAACTTGAAACCAGTTTAATGAAGTAACTCCAGGATTCCAGTAGCTGGTTACTCTGGGCCAGAAAGCCTGGAACCACCAAGATTCCTAAGGATGTGGTGGACAGGGGCTGGGCACCCACGAGGCTGCAGCAGCTGTCAGCCATTATCCCTAAAATAATGCTCTTCCAGGCCTGGGAGCACAGAGGCCTTTGAGAAGGTCAGTGAGTGCGGCTGCCAGTCACAGCTTCAGTGGCTTTGCACAGCTGGGCTCCATTCTGGAATCTGGAATCCTCAGTGCAAACTGTCAGGGCTACGTGTCTGTGCTGGGCCTGCTGAGAGGCAAAATGAGTCCTTTGGGATTTGAAATCTAGCAGTTTTGGATTAGGTGAGACTAAGAGTTCTCTGGATTTAGCTGAGTCCAAGGTGCTTATTTGTGGGCAAGAAGTTCTCCCTTCCAGTGAATGAAACCTGTGCAGTGCCCCTATCCTGCTCTTCCACAGGGGCACAAAAGGCTGCTGGCACAACATGCTGTTGGTGTGGGTGAGGTCGGGTAGTTTGGAGTCAGATCAGCCTGGTTTCAAATCCTGCTGTCCCTCCACTTCTGTGATCTCTGCAAATTACTTGTTTTGCACTATTGTTTCTTTCCTTCCTTCCTTTTGATCTCCGCAAATCACTTAACTTTTTTTTGAACTACTGTTTGGTTTAGTTTCCTTCCTTCCTTCCTTGCTCTCTCTCTCTCATTCTCTCGCTCTCGCTCTGTCTCTCTCTCTCTCGTCTCACTCTTCACCCAGGCTGGAGCGCAGTGGCATGATCTTGGTTCACTGCAACCTCCTCCTCCCAGGTTCAAGCGATTCTTATGCCTCAGCTGCCCCTCCAACACAACGGCTGGTTAATTTTTGTATTTCAGTAGAGACGGGGTTTGACCATGTTGGCCAGGCTGGTCTGGAAATCCCAACCTCAAGTGATCTGCCCGCCTCAGCCTCCCAAAGTGCTGGAATTACAGGCGTGAGCGACCGCACCCGGCTGATCAGGTTTATATTCTGTAAATGGGATGCCTTCTAATTATTTCTTGTAAACTGTGGAATGACTGAACTGATCTTAACATTTCAGTTAACCAACGCAACAAGTAATGCAGCTGTGTGATTTTGAGACAAGTTACTTAGCCCCTCTGTGCCTCAGTTTCCTTATCTGTTCATAAAACAAGTATATTAGACTAGAGATTATTTTCATTCCTAAATTTTGTGATGTTATAGGGCTGTTCCTGAGTGAAATTTCACAGAGGAAAGGATGTACCTCTCAATGGCTGCCATAGCTCATATTGTGGCTTTTATGTTTGAAAAGAGACTTTCATTTTGGAAGGTGGGCGTGGTGGTTGTGATGTCCTGCAGTTTGAAGGAACAAGGCTAACAATCAGAGGGCCTGAATTAGGTACTGGCTCCACTATTTAGTGGCCGGAAAACCTTACAGGCAGAATCATTCCCTGGAAATAAAGCTCCCCTGGATACTATCTGTTCTGTATGAGCATCTGTTCCTCTCCCATGAAATGGACATAACTGTCAGTACCTTATCTGTTGACTTCCCAAGGTGGAGTGAGAATCACATTAAATCATTTACTCAGTCAGCTTGCACTATGCAGAAGATTTTTGGCATTTTGGTGGTATAAACCATAGGTGTGCATATAGCTCAAAAGATTCTATGCTGTGATTCTAATGAACTCTCAAACTCTTTAGATCCCAATTTTACACTGGAGCAGTGACCGTGCTTCTTGGCTGATCTCTTGGCTCTCCCTCTCCTCCATGTCCTTCCTCTACCTTCTAAAGGACGAACTGTTCATGGCTTAATAGCAACCACAGTCTACAATTTATATTCCAGAACTTTTCTCGCTTGCTAAGAAATAACTTCCATTGTTTCTATAACAAGGGAAGTAAGCAAATGACTTGAGGGGCACAGAGGTGAGTTCTGAGTTAAGTATAGGCCTGCCAGGAGTTGGCTTTCCATGAGCAAAACCCAAATTTTCATTCAGATAGAGTATTAGCTCAGAAATCAGAACACCTACTGATCCTCAGTAGGCAACATGAATTAGGCATAAATAAATAAATAAATAGGCTGATTTATTGTTCCTTGACAATGTGGTTTAATTTTTAAATCAAAAGGAAATAATGACTATTTCAAACTAAATGTATGGACTCTTCCTGTTTTTTCCCTCTGATATAAAATTCCATAGGTCTTACTCATTCTTTTTTTTTGTTTAATTTAGCATCCAACCTTTATTTTTATTTTTTTGCTTTAGAACCTTTTTTTTCATGTATACTTTAAGTTTTAGGGTACATGTATACAGGTCTTACTCATTCTTATTGGTGATCCAATTTGAAGTACCAATAGATTAAATGATTTTCCTAAACTGGTGAGTGTCTCTCACAAAATCCATCAGAGCTGGGGCCTGATCCCTGGGCTCTGTTCCTAATGACCATCCTACATGTCTCTATAAATAGACCATTATCAAATGGTTTTTACCGAGCTTGGATTGGATGACAATCATGACTCTCAATTTTCCTTCCTTCCCTCTCATCTGATTTTAAATTATCTCTGACAGTCAGGATGTGATAAATCTACTGTGTTCAGAGTTCGGAGTTCTGAACACAATTTTCCAACATAAGGAAGGCTAGAAATACATATTTGAGACAAAACATGGAAATCCTACCAACTGCTGGTGAATTCCCTTTGAGTTTCTCTCTTCCCTTTCAGGAAATGTTCCTTGGGTCTCCTGTCCTTGTTAGCACCAGCTTCTCCGGTCTGGTTCCAAATCATCACCTTGGCAACATCACTTCCCACGGTCCACAAAGCTTTGGACAGCCAGTCTCTATTTTGCCTTTATCGCCTATATGTTGGCCAGTAGGGTAGAGAAGTCCATGACCTTGCTCATCCCAGCTTTGTTTTGTCCAAACTCTTTTGTGCAAAGAGGAAAACCAGGATTTTAAATCATGCACTGGGCTGTGCTGACACGGTGCCCAGCAAAATAAATCACAACCCCTTTATTTTAGAGCAGCTGGAAATGGACACTTTTAATGGACAGGGGAGTCTGGCCAAAACAGGACTGGGATGAGACAGGATCATCATTTTAGAATGCTGATTTTGCAGGGAGAATGTCACTTCTCTGTTTTTATACATCCTGAGTTTTCTTCCCTTATAGGCAGCTGCTGAGCTGAAGGTGTTTCTGCAGCAAGCGTCCCACTCTCATCTGCATGCTGACTACACAGACTGGGCAAAGTCTGTATCTTTCCAGTCTGTGTGCACACAGGCTAATTTGTCATTAGCTCTGCAAAAGTCATGAGAGGAGGTTTAATTTAATAAATTAAAATATAATCCCCAAACACAAGTTTATAACCAACACTTTCATGTGCATTGAGCAAGGCTTTTTCACTTAGTTGTAAAGGGGAAAAGAACTAACACTTACACTGAGGGCCCACTAAGTCTCACAACATTGTGAGACAGGTACTATTTTGTCCCAACACCTAGCTCCTCTGGGCATTGTGCCAAATGGTGGTGGTGACGATGGGTGTTGATACTGGCAAGCAGCAGGAAAGGGGTTTCAGAGACTGCTTGCCACTGAGTCATCCTGGGAGTCATCTCTGGATAAATGGGTATGACCAACAGCACTGTGATGGTCAAGGGTACCAGCATGACACCTGTATAACTCCATCAAATTATGTTGGACTCAATTTTGTGCCTACCTTGAGGGATAATGTTGATTCAATCACTCATATCTTGCAGTTACACTATGATTTTTTTTTTTTTTTTGAGACAGAATCTTGCTCTGTTGCCAGGCTGGAGTGCAGTGGCGCGATCACGGCTCAGTGCAACCTCCACCTCCTGGGTTCAAGGGATTCCCCTGCCTCAGCCTCCCGAGTAGCTGGGACTACAGGCGCACGCCAACATGCCTGGCTAATTTTTTGTGTTTTAGTAGAGATGGGGTTTCACCACGTTGGCCAGGATGGTCTCAATCTCCTGACCTGGTGATCCGCCCACCTCGGCCTCCTAAAGTGCTGAGATTACAGGTGTGAGCCATCACACCCGGCCAACACCATGATTTTTAAAATAAGACCAAGTTTCGATGTCTCTGAGGGTATCAGATGCATCAAAGGGGCTTGGACACTTGAGTATGGATGCACCCATGAAACCTGACTGTCCATTTTGTCTGGCTGATAACAGCTTAGGGGTGGGAGAAAAAAATCATCCTCTGCAGGAAAGATCTACACCCAAGAGGCAGCAAGGTATAGCAGTTATAAGCACAGATTTGGGGTATAGAATTTGGATTCAGATTGAGATTTATCATCCAAATTCTCTTACTTATTTCATGTGTGACATTAGGTGAGTTATTTAACCTCTTGATGCCTCACTTTCTTCAGCTATGAAATGGAGATGATATATATAGTGCTTATCTTCCATAGGAGTTACAAATATTAAATGAATTAATATATATAAAGCATTTAAAGCAGTGCCTGGGCAGCCAGTCTCTATTTTTCCTTTATTGGCTATATGTTAGCCAATAGGGTACAGAAGTCCATGACCCTACTCATTACAGCTTTGTTTTGTCCAAACTCTTATGCAAAGAGGATAACCAGGAGTTTAAATTATGTGCTGGGTTGTGCTGGCATAGTACCCAGCAAAATAAATCACAACTCCTTTATTTTAGAGCAGCTGGAAATGGACACCTTTAATGGACTGGGGAGTCCATTTAGCAATGTCAATATGTATTTGCTATTATTGTTGTTGTGACACTGGTATCAGTTTACTGGGGCTCCCATAACAAAGTACCACAGACTAGGTGGCTTAAATAATATAAATTTGTTTTTGCACAGTTTTGAAGACCAGGCATCCAAGATCAACGTGTCAATAGGGTTGGTTCCTTTAAAGGTCCACAAGAGAAGGATGTGTTCCAGGCCTTTCTCCTTGGCTTGAAGATGACCATCTTTCCCTGTCTTTTCATATCATCTTTCTTCTGCATGCCATCGGTGTCCAAATTTCCTCTTCTTATAAGGACACCAGTCATATTGGATTTGGGCTCACTCTTGAAGACCCTATCTTCAAAAAGGTCACATTTTGAGGTACTAAGGTTTAAGACCCCAATGTATGAATCTTTGGGGGACATAATTCTGCCTGTAATAGTGCCTAAGCAAGGCTTTTGGTGAAACTCACTTTCAGAGTAGATTTTGTTCTTACAGTGTTGCCTGTTTTTTCCTTTTTTGAGTAATCATTGTAAATTTTCTGCCTTTCTCATATTATCTCCTACTTTTAAACTATTTTAAAAAATCTAAATAAGTATCTTGGTCAAAGTTCTATAGATGCTGAGCTGGGTGTGGTTTTGGCATCTGTAGTCCCAGTTACTTGGGAGGCTGAGGTGGGAGGATCTCTTGAGCCCAGGAGTCCAAGAACAGCCTGGGCAACATAGTGAGAGCTTATCTCTTAAAAAGAAAACAAACATTCTATGGATGCTGAATAGAATGGATTCAATGGTATCTTCCCCAAAGGAAAAAATCCATGAAATGGATTTTTTTTTTTTTACCATTCAAATGGTAACCTAATACCTAAATTTAGGAGCAGTGTCATTTTAATACATTTAAACTTTTTTTGTTGGATCCAGCTTTATTATGTTATTATTGATAACAACCATAAGTAATCACTTTTTCAATGGATTTCTTAACTAATTCAGTTAAAAAATGCTATGTCACTCCAGTCACTAAATGTTGGTGGCCTGCATGATTCATTACCTGTGTTTGTGAGCAGGGACTGGTCAGGTCTGGCGAGTACTAGGAGAATTCACTTGGGGTTTGACTGGTCCACAGATTAGCCACTCAGGCTGTGTGTGTTAGGTAAGAGTTTTTGAGTGGCAAATATCAGAAATCAACTTCAGTTAGCTTAAGCAGAAAAAGGACTATATTGGGAGGATACTGGGAAATCTCACTGAATCCCAGGAATCACTAAAGTCCCAGGCCCCCAGGAGGCTGAGGACCAGGGTAGGAGTTTTGGGCGTTTATCGGGTCTCTTCCATTTGTCCCTCCAGCTCCACTCTCTTTCTTTCTCTCCTGCTCGGTGCTCCTATGGACTGTATTGATGGACGTTATGAACTGTAGCAATAGGCTCCTATGCGCTTTGACTTCTGGTTGTGTTTGGGCAGTGATGTATTTTGTCAGGAGATCAGAGGAAGAAAGGGGAGTGAGGCCAACAGTTCATCTCCTACCTTGGCTCCTACCTTGGGTAATGCCTTGGGCTAGTCAAGTCCCTTGGCCAGTAGTCACAGGTTGTCTGCAGATGGCCTTCTGGGCATGACTTTCTCCTTCCAAGCTCTAGTAACCACTCCTGTGTTTTATCCCTTTGGCCCTAGATGTGGTAACAGCTCTGCTTTTCCCACCCCCAGGGTACTGTACTATCCCTTGAGGTTTCTCTACACCTTGACTAGTTCTATGCTGGGCTATGTTGGAGCTTGAAGCAAAAGGAAGTATCAGTGATATGGTTTGGATCAGTGTCCCCACCCAAATCTCATGTTCAATTGTAATCCCAAGTGTTGGAGGTGGGGCCTGGTGGGAGGTGATTTGGTCATGGGGGCGGAGTTCTCATGAATGGGTTAGCACCGTCCCCTCACTGCCGTTCTCATGACAGTGAGTGGGTGAGTTATGAGATCTGGTTGTTTAAAAGTGTATAGCACCTCCCCTCTCTTTTCCTCCTGCACTCGTCCTGTGAAGTGCGTCGCTCTCCCTTCACCTTCCGCCATGACTGAAAGTTCCCTGAGGCCTCCCAAGAAGTTGAACAGAGGCCAGCCTCATGCTTCCTGTACAGCCCACAGAACTGTGAGCCAATTAAACCTCTTTTCTTTATAAATTATCGTCTCAAGTATTTCTTTATAGCAATGTGAGAATAGACAAGTACAATGAGTAATACTAATCCTTTGTTTAAAATGTTAATATTTTGTTCATCATAGATTTTTTTACAGTAATTTTGACTTTAAAAAATTATTACATTGAAATATTATTTATCTTGATTACTAAAATTTTTGGTGTCCCCTTAAAATTTTTTACCTTGCGGCAATTGCACACTCACTTTACTATAGTCCCAGACTGGCACTGCACTTTTGTAAATCATCCCTTTATAAAACCCTCCTGTCCTGTGAGCTATGATCACACCACTGCACTCCAGGCTTGGCAACAAAGCGAGACCTCACCTCTAAAAAAACTAAACAAAAACGCTCCTCTCTGAGCAAGCAATTTGTTTACTGATAGGACTCTGATAGATATAAATGTCTTCTCTCAAAAGCATAGATTGTAAATCATTGGCCCTTAGGCAATATTTTATCAAGAGACATAATTTATTTGGGCTGTACAGTTTTGAAATTTAGTTGATCACTTTTAAAAGTCAGAGACCTTCATATAAAAATCTAGATTTCTGGTTTCTCTTGAAAAAAGAAAAAATCAGACAACATGGCAACACAGATTCCTTTCCTGCATGGCAACAACTGGCAGGAGCTGAGTAGCAGCTTCTTTGGCCTAAGCATGTCTCTCCAAATGGACATAGTCCCCACCACTCCCTATTACCTCCCCACAACACTGAGACTTACTGTTAGTCAACATTTTTTTTTTAATCACAGTGGTGCTGTTTATTATTATTATTATTATTATTATGCCTGGCGTGCTTGCCTAGCTGACTCCTATAGGCTGCTGAGTTTGAGACACTTGCTCTAGTTCTTTGCTGTTATTAGGACTCCACTCCCAACCTCTGCAACTTCCAGCTCAAGTTCTACCTTCCCAGGATGATGAATCAGATTGGCTCAACTTGAGGCAGATATCCATTTCAGCACCAAGCAACAAACCCAGGGGCCAGGATCTTGTGTGAGCACCTGCTAGGGGCCCACCCTTGATAGTGGAGAGTGGGGATTCCAGAAGAGAGGAACTGTATCTGTAGGACATAGGAGAGGGACCTACCACACTGCAGTGCTGGCTCTTGAACCAAAGTGTAAAAGTGTATTTAATCTTGAATTGTTCAGAGTAAATACCAGATAATGTCCCATTCAGCAGATTCTGCAGATTAAATGCTTCCAAGTGCAAAAATGGTAAAAATGAATGCAATTTAAAATGTATTCTTTCTGTAAGCAACATCTGTAAGAAGGGAGTAGGGATGTATTCACAAGCCACAGTCTGGTCCTCGAAAAGTCCATGTAAGACAGATCTATTGTGGTCTAGTTTGAAGCTGATGGTCTAATATGGCTCTTGCACATCTGCCATACCCAGGCTAAAGATGGTCAGTGTGTGGACCCATGAATCTATCTCTTGCCTGGCTCATTGCGGACATTGCTAATATGCTGCAGAACTCCTTACTACTAAGCTTCAGGATCCTTCTCAACACAGTTTTCCAGGCCACCAGTACTGAGCAGGTGGCACATGAAATGAAACCCATTTGCCACCCCTGCCTGAGAGGCTTCTGGGGTGACTTATCATGGAGCTTCCTTGAGCTACTGGAGCCAGCATTTTATTGCATATGTGAAAATTGGGATGGAGACTGTTTTGCTGAGCAGATTAGAAGCAGCTCCCCCTCAAGTCCTCAAGATAACTCCCCCACTGTGATCTTGTTACAAACCCAAGGGGCCTGCTCTAAATCCTTTCCCCTGAGACGCCTCAATCGGACACAGGATGACTTCTTGTTTAGTTCTAAGGCAGGGAAGCGATCTCTTGGGCCAGAGTTGGGAAGGCATGCGAACAACCACAGGCCTCTGGAGTCAGATGGCCCCTAAGGGGACTTTTCAGAGGGTCCAGAAAGCAGTTATTCCTGAGTCCTGAGCAGGGGCCAGCCAAGGAAACACCATCGGCAAAGGCTGTTTTCTTCATTCCCAGTTCCCCAGGCCTCCATCCATGGCAGCGCAGTGGCTGACTGACCTGGCAGGCTTCCAGACACCAATATTGCAAAACTGGTTATAAAGCCAAGCCTGATCTCTTTATGCCTTCCCTCCTCTCGACTCCCTGCTTCCTGATAGTTTAGTAAATAATCAAATTTAGATGGATTTTGTTTGAATGAGGAACCTCAGAATTAAACGTTTGCTCCCCCTTAGGGCTTTCGTGTGGGAAGATGTCCTATTATTTAGGGGTCGCCTCTTGACTTCATCAATTCCCTCTCATGTCAGCTGCTCCATACCCTCTGCTTTGAGAAAGAGCCTGGAACAGACATGAGGAGACCTGAGCTGCCTCTACCAGGCTGGGTGCCCTGTGCAAGCCCCTGGCCTCTCCAGCACTCAGGCATCTCATCTTTAAAATGGAGGGGTGCAGATTGCTGGTAACTAAGTTCCCTTTCAGCTCTCAAGGTTATTCTAAGCTCTGACCCTCTCCATCACTTAAATGTAAGGATGAACAATACTGAGACTTCTTGTGTGCTTGGAAGGGCACTAGGAGTTTTACATACATTCTTTCACTTAGTTCTTACAGAAAAAAAATGAACCAGTTACTTCACGTTATGCCCATGTATCAGGTAGTATTTGGTGCAGCTGCTTACACAGAATGCCCTGAACAATATTAGCTTAGATAAGATAGAAGGGTTTTTTTTTTCTCCCCAACTGGAGGCTTTTTATTTAAAAAGAAAAAAAAAATAGAGTTTTTCTCCTATGTGAAAAACAAAACGTCTGGAGGTGGGCCCGGCCACTGTTGTTTCGGTGGCTCCACAGTGTCATCAAGACGTCTACCTTTCTCCGTCACCATTCTTGGCATGTAACTTCAAGGTTACTTCTTGGTCCAAGATAGCAGCAGTAGCTGCAGTCATCACATCTCTGTTTCAGGTAGCAGAAAGCAGGAAGGGATAGTAAAAGGGTCATCTTCTTTTGCTCGTAGAAATCTCAATACTTCTGCTTACATTTCATTGGTCAGAACTCACATGTTATGTATTCATATCTAGCTGCAAAGAGAGGCTGGGAAATGCAGTCTTATTGTTTCCCAGTCACAATGTAACACAGGTAAATATTTGAGTTCTGTCATAAGACAAAAAATGAGAGTATAGAGAGTATATATTAGAGTAGATACCACCAGTTTCTTCACATTACCTTTGACCAATGAGGAAGCAGGGTACACAGAGTTTAAAAAACTAGCCCTTTACTTTTATTTATTTTTTATTTCAACAGCTTTTGGGGAACAGGTGGTTTTGGGTAACATGGCTAAGTTCTTTAGTGGTGATTTCTGAGATTTTGGTGCACTCATCACCCAAGCAGTGTACACTGTACCCAATATGTAGTCTTTTAATCACTCACTCCCCTCCCCGCACCCTGAGTCCCTGAAGTCCATTGTATCATTCTTTTGCCTTTGCATCCTCATAGCTTAGCTCCCACTTAGAAATGAGAACATATGATATTTGGTTTTCCATTCCTCAGTTACTTCACTTAGAATAATAGTCTCCAGCTCCATCCAGGTTGCAGCAAATGCCATTATTTGGTTCTGTTTTATGGCTGAGTAGTATTCCATGGTGTATGTATACCACATTTTCTTTATCCACTCACTGACAACCAGCCTTTTAGAGATATGCTTGGTGGCTGAGGCAGGTGTGGCCCCGGGCAGCCTGCATCCAGAGCCTGTGCTCTTACATGTTGTGCCATTTGTCCTCCCTGGCGTTCCCTTGCTGCTGCTTTTCCCTTCTTATCAGAAGCTTCATGCAGTCTCCTTGGCTCTAAATTTAGTTCTCCCTCTCTATCAGGAAAGCCTTATTGAGGCTTCATGTTCAACCACCTCCAAAAGGCAGGAAAATTGAGCAGGACTACGAGCCCACAGTGTGACTGACCTTCAGCCAGGGTCCTCCTGTCACCTGCGGAAGGTACAGTACACCTGTGGAGTCTCCTCTGGCCCCCAGGCTCAGTCCTCATTCCAGATATCCTTGGTCCCTCCCCAGTTCCTCATCCCTTAGTTCCCTCCATGGTGTTCCCAAAAACTGCACAGTGCTCTCAATTCTGGTCCTGGCCACATCCTGGAATAAATTGTTGCCTCTCTTCTTGAGGTGTTCTTATTTGAGAAGATGAAGGGATAATTTTTCTGACTAAAATTTTAGGTGGCAGGGTTTCCCCCGCTTTTTGTAAGTTGAGAATGCTTCTCAAATTAAGCCCTTAAAATCACATTACAAAGGACTCCTAGTCAGGTTGGTTTGTCATTAACGCTACTGCCAGGAGCTGTCTCTTCCTGTCAATTCAGTGTGGTCTAAGAGCTAGACACGCAGAATGTGTTAGGGAACTGGCAGCATCTGCATTACCTGGGAGTTACTAGGAATGTAGGATCTCAGCACCCCACACCGGGCTCCCTCCCTCCCACCTCCTCCTGGACCTACTGAACCAGAATCTGCAGTTTAACAGGGTCCCCAGGTGATTTTTATATACATCACAGGCTTGCAAAATACCCAGAAAATCTGGGCGGTTGGATTTCTAATGAGTCATTATGAACTAAAAAAATTCACCTAAGAGTATGCATATTAAATTCATTGTTTGTTTTAGAAGAAACTGAATTGAGAAAAAGAGAGCAAATAAAAATTAGGTACTGAAATTTAAAAATTGCTGTTTATGGTACAGCCTTGGTCCTCATGATCTTTCCAGTGTATTATGCAAATGTCAGCAGTTCATTGACTGATTGATATATTAGGATGCAGAACCAGAAGAGAGTAGATAGAAATTCTCATGCTTACATTTCACCTTAAGATTCCCTTGTAAAATTGCTCAAATCAGTGCACTTAAGTCTCCAAATGGCTTTTGCAAACCAGATAAGCTTGGCATTTGGGGTTCACGTAATTGGCCAGTTTTGCTAGGAGACTTCCAAAAGCACCGTTGTCTAAACAACTATTTTAGTTTAAGGATACAATCTAGATTTAAAAGCCAACATGTGACTCACTTTAAGATTGTTAAAAGCTCAGAGGACAGAGCTGTTGTACTTGCGAACTTGTTATTTTTGTATCCTATCATGGATTTCAGACACCTGAGAGAACAAGAGAGCTATTTATTTCTATGAGCCCAGGCTTAAATTGTGGAGAGCCTCAGAGAATTTCATTTGACACTTTAAAAATACTTCCCCCACCCCAGATCCTTCATGAACTGAGAGGCTCATACGGAGGTTTTATACTTAGGCAGGCAGCAGGATGTAGTGGTTAAAAGCATGGGCTGTAGAATCTGACCATCTGGGTTTAAACCCAACTTTTATCAACTCTGCAAGGTGGGGAAACCGTCTCTAGGGCTGTCGTGATAATTGAGTGAATAAAGATTCACCCAGGTGGTGGCTGCCCTGTCGTAAGCACTGTGTAAGCATTTGCTGTTACTACATCTTCCTACAATACCTAAACGTCTGGCTCCCTCTTTCATTTTGTACATGAGGACATGGAGAAGGAGAGTTTCAAGGTCTGTCTGCTGCCTGGCCTGGCGGGGACCCTTCCTTGCCAGCACCCCCTGTTCTCCCAGGGCAGCTCTGTGCTGAGTCAGCACCCACCCAGCAGCTGTGTGGGAATTCTTTCCCTACCACTCCATTTCACACAAATGTCCTTGGGTCCCCAGGTAGGGCCAATGACAAGAACAGAATCTGAGGTTGATTCAGGTCCTGTTTGAACATTGACATCCCTCCTCCCCCTCTGCTTACCTGGAGCTATTTTCACCTTTTCACCCTGGGCGGGTGGTGTATGGTCTGGGATGTTGCTGGAAACCCAGCTGGTCTGTGACGTCTGAGAGACAAGGACGGCTACCTCAGCTGTCATTAACAGCAGAACACTTCTAATTGACTAGATTCAAAACTACTCCTTCCCCAGGGTTTTGATAATTCCTCCCACCAATTATAGCACTTTACTCAGATTAACTAATTAATCCTCACCATATACCCCAGAGACAAAATTAAAGATAATTCTTTCATAACTGTAAAGCACCTTTTATCTAAGGATTACTAACACTGATGCATTTGTCTCCCATGACAACATCACAAGTTTCAGAGATGACAAGGAAAATCTTCATTACCATTTCAAGAACTGGGAACAAAGAAAAATCCCGTTCCAGGACGCAAAGGAGGAGATGCGGGTAGCTGAACAGAAACTTTTGAAGATTACCATGGGAATACACCTGTGAACTTCCAGGTGGGGCTATGTCTGCATCGGGTCAGTTTTCTTTATGTTGTTTACAATTTCCAGGGATCATGTCCACGATAAAGAACAAGAGCTGGTTCACAGGCTACTGAAACATATGCCTGACTTCCTAAAGAACCTTCTGTTTTCTACTTGCCCACTCGTCTCCATCACGCTGTTGCCCTGTTGTCTCTATTTGCCAAAGTTCTGTTTGTGATCTAGATGAAATGAAGCTGATAGCCAAAAGCTACAGGAAGGAGAGAACCTGAAAAAGACATTATAAACTGAGAATCCTTAAAGAGGAGAGTGGGAGAGGCAGGGTGGAGAATGGGAGAGAGGAAGGGAAAGAAGTCAGTCTGTCAAAGTTCTGGAATCCTCATTTGGGGTAAACGAAGGGAAAAGAGGGGTCTGCGCTCTGTGGCCCAATATTAGGTTTGCTATGATTTCTTTGTAATTCCCTTGGCAGCAGATTAATTTTACTTGACTTGGCAGCATAGGCAACTGCTACTGAGCTGCAGCCAAGGCTGGGAACTATATCATTGTGCATTATACCATGGGTGCTTCATAAAGGGGGATCTCAAAAACACTCAGGGAGGCACAAATGGTCATTTTGGATACACTTCTTTCATTTGGCCAAGCAGTTGCATTTGTTCTAAGATTATTAGTGCAAACAACATGGCTGGGTGCTGGTAGTGATTTGCTGGTTTCTCTTCATGGCTGACAGCTATGACTGGAGCTCAGCACCCTGGACCTTCAGGATCTGGTGCTGGTGAGTTTGCTGCAGCCAACAAGCAGCTTGACAGGAGCTTTCTCCAGGCCTCTTGGGAATAGGAGTGTTAGAAGGAAAAGCTCTTGATCAACTTCAAATTAAAGAAAGAGAAGTGAACAAATAAGTAAAAATAAACTTTACACTTTCTAGGGATTTAAAATGGGATCGTAGGTCCATGATCTCATTTGAGCCTCATGACAAGCAGATGAGGCTGCACAGTGAATGAACGCCTCTTATTTTGCCAGCCCAGTATCCCTTTCTTTTGGATACTGACTTTTCCCCCATTGTGTTCTGGTGGGGCTGCCAGTCACAGGACAGTCCCACCTCTCGGATCCCTTCCCTCCCTGACCCGCAACGTTGGGCATATGGCTCCGGCTAGGCCACTGAATTCTTTTTGCTGGGGATTAGAATCTTAAGGAGAGATGCCCTGGGAGAGAAAGATGTTGGAGTTGTGTGTAGAGAATGTTCAGCTCTTCCTTCCATTCTGTGAGTTATTTTAGTTTCCTTCCAGTAAAATTGCCTGAGTTCATGTGGGCTCCTGTCTACCAAAGAAACCCAAATTATAAACACCCCTTAGTTTCCAATTGCCAGGTGTTAAGCCCAGGTCCTCTTATCCCAAGTCAGTGACTCTTCATGATACTAGGTAAATGCAAAGTCGCATGGGAAATTTAAGGAAGGAAAGAGAGAGAACTGAGAAGTTGAGCAATGCTAGCAGTGAAGCTTTTTTTTTTTTTTTAAAGAAGCCAAACATCTTTCCCAATGGCGTCATGTCAGGATTCATCCCTGGGAATGCAATTCATTTTTAATGGCAGTTGTGTGAGTTGGCATGTACCCAAGTTCGCCCACAGCCGACATGGTCAGGCCAAGCCTCTTTTTAGTTTTATTCTTGTTATGCTTTCGTAGGATGTGTGTTTGCTGGTAGGCTGATTCTTAAGTATATTTACCTACAAGTGTGTCTTTGTGTTTTCTCAACTCTGTTGATTTGGCAAACAATCAAAAGTAGCTGGTGCAGTTCAGATGGAGAGGGAGGGAGGTTGGTGGGTGTGGTTAGCAAAAATTTAGCAGCAGGTAAAATTTTGGCAGGCAGGAGAAATCTTTTCAGGTAGCATATATGCTAAAACATATGACTTTGCTTTTTACTGGTTCATATCAAATAAAATTCCAGATTCTGTGCTTATGAATATACATGAATTCTATGTTAAAGGCACAAGGCTCTCTCTCCCTTTTGAGGCTGTTCTGGTACTTTCTGCAGTGGCATGAAATTAAGTGTGGAAGATCTCTTTTGTGAGAGGGTTCTCTTCTAGGTAAAACTAAGAGGTACCAAACTGCTGAACTATTAGCCTATTTAGATCATTTCCAGCCGAGGACTTACATCCTAAAGGAAGTCAGAGGTAATCTTAAGGCTTTTGGAATTTCTCATACATGATGGTTGAATGATTGAGTGAATGAATAAATGGGATAAAGAGTGAGAGGAAGCCTAAAAGCCTAGAATGCTGGAACTAAAAGGGAACCTGGTGGTCACCCAATACAACCCTGCACTAGTTATTCATAGCTGCATAACAGGTCACTTCAAATTTCAGTAGCTCAAAACAACAATAATCATTTACTATTTCTCTCATGGTTTCTTTGGGTCAGGAGTTCAGAGCAACTTGGCTGGATAGTCCTGTGTCGGGGACTCTTATATGGTTGCAGTCATATGTCAGCTGGGCTGCGGTCATCTGAAGGCTTGACTGGGGCTGGGAGCTCTGATTCCCAGGTGGTTCACTCATATAGCTGACCAGTTGGCATGGGCTGTTGGTGGGAAGTTTCAGCTCCTCTCCATGTGGGCCTCTTCATAGGGCCTCTTCATAGAGCTGCGAGTGTCCTTCAGTGTGGCAGACAGCTTTCCCTTGGGCAAGTGATGCAAGAGAACAAGCCAGAAGCTGCAATGTCTTTTATGACCCAGTGTTGGATGTCACATACCATCACTTAAGCAGCCTTCTATTGTTCAGGCAGCCCTGGTATGATGCGGGAGGGAACTACACAGGGTGCGAACACCAAGCCAGGATCACCAGGACTATCTTGGAGGCTGACTACCACGATCCCTTCTCTTTCTTTTTCTTCCAGTTTTATTGAGGTATAATTAACAAACAAAATTGTGTCTATTTAAGGTGTACAATGTGATGACTTGATAAGTGTATATATTTTGAAATATATATTTTGAAATGATTACTACAGTCAAGTTAGTTAGCACATCTATCATTCACATAGTTATTATTTTTGCGTGCGTGGTGAGAACATTTAAGAGCAACTCTCTTAGCAAATTTCAAGTATACAATACAATATTATTAATTATAGTCACAATGCTGTACATGAGATCCCCAGAACATATTCATCTTATAACTGATAGTTTGTACCTTTTGACCAACATGTCCCCATTCCCCCTACCTTCTATGAGTTCTCCGTGAGTTTGACTCTTTTAGATTATAAATATAAATGAGATCATGCAATATTTGTCTTTCTCTGACTTATTTCACTTAGCATAATGCCTTCCATCTCATCCACGTTGTTACAAATGATAGGATTTCCTTCTTTTTTATGGCAGAATAATGTTTTCATGACATAAGTATATCATGGAACATAATATTTTAAGACAGATAAAAAGGATAAAGAGATAAAATAGACACATATATACTCACCACCCTGTTCAAGAAATAAAAGAGTATCAATTCTGTTGACACCCCCCCACAACACTCCATATACCTGCCCTGATTGCATCTCCCTCTTCCTCCATCCCTTTATCCTTAGGAAAATTCATGTTCTGAATTTTGTGTTTAGGCTGCTATGCATTCTTTTATACTTCCACTACAAGTTTATGTATCTCTAAATATATGTGGTGTTGTTTGGCATATTTTGAAACTTTCTGTATGGCATCATCCTGTATGATTCTTTTGCAACCTACTGTTTTTATTCAGAACTATATCTGTGATATCCATCTATGCTAATCTGTATAGCTCTAATGTGTTTTTTATTTATATTTTTATGTTTCAAAGACAAGGTCTCACTCTGTAGCCCAGGCTGGAGTGCAGCAGTGCAATCATAGCTCACTGAAGCCTCAAACTCCTAAGCTCAAGCAATCCTCCTTCGTCAGCCTCCCAAGTAGCTGGGACTACAAGCTAATTCATTTATTTTAATGACTATACAAGTGGTCCCCAACTTACAGTGGTTTGACTTAGGATATTTTAATTCAGGATGGTATGAAGGCAAAATATACATTCATTATGCTCCTCGACTTACGATGAAGTTACATCTAGTCAAACCCATCACAAATTGAGAATATCGTAAGTTGAAAATGCACTCTTATATTTTCAACCCAGTAATGGGTTTATCAAGATGTAATCCCATCATAAGTTGAGAAGCATCTGTATAGTATTTCATTGTATGAACAAATAATTTGTTTATCCATTCTCCAGCTGATGGACATTCAGGTTGCATATAATTGTTGTTGCAATTACACACAATAATTACTATAAGTGTTCTTTCTTGTAAGCTCTCCTTGTACCCTGGTACAAGAGTTTTTCTAGGGTATAGGTCTAAATGTGGAATGGATGGATCATATGATATGCACAGCTTCAGTTTTACTCAGTCGTGTCAGTTTGTTTTCCAAGATGGTTGCACTCATTTATACAACTACCAGTAGTGATGGAATTCCATTGCTCTTGATTCTAGTAATGTTAAACTAAAAATTTCATGCAAAGCTGATGGATATGAAATGGTATCTATTTATGGTTTTAATTTGCTTTTCCCTATTAATGAGGCTCAGCATTTTTTTCCCTCACATTTGGCCATTTGGGTTTCTTCTTCTGAGCAATTTTTGTTTATATATTTTGCAAATTTTTCTATTACAAATTTTTTTCTTATTCTTTTGAAAGAATTATTCATAGATCCTGGATACTACTTTTTGTCAGTTATATATGTTACCAACATTTTTTCCTGTTTGATGCTTGTCCTTTTTACTTTTTTGTTGTCTTTGTTGAGTAGAATTTTAAAGTTAATGCAATTAAATATATCAGTCTTTTCCTTTAGGGGTTGCTTACTATGGCAGAGACTACTGGTGTCCAGTCAAATTCACCCCTTCTTTCTTTTATAGTAGAGTGAAGCGGACTGTGCCTGTGGAGTACATCTGGAAGTAATGCGTGCAAAGTCTACCTCACTTGTATCAAAGGAAATCTGTTTCTAAATGTCCACTCTTTCTCCCTGCAGTGGCCTGAAATGGCAGCAACCAGAGAGCCTGGGAAACCTCACACTGAGGTGCTCAGAGCTGCCAGCCACCTGGATCTGCCACTACCTGCAACTGCTGGCCCGGAGGCCTTTGCTGAGCTGGGAGGGAGACGTAACTGCCTTTGTTTTTTCAGCTGATGAATTATGGGGTCTTTCAGTTATTGCAGCTTAGCCTACTGAGGTCACAAAGATATTTTCTGTTTTCTTCCAAGAATTTGAAGTTTTGCTTCTTACATTTGGGTCTTTAATCTGCCTGGAGTTGATTCTCATTATGGTCAAAAATTATACTTTTAAAAAATGGATTAACAACTGTTCCAGTACCCAATATTTTTCTTTTTTTCTCCCAGATGAATGAGGCCCATAGAGGTTAAGACACTTTATCAAGATCACACAGCTGGTTAGTGAATTATAGTTTGTATGGAGAGCTGGCATTTATAATATTCTTCCCCAAAGCCTTACAAAGCAGGAATTATCATTAGTATTTGATTTTACATAGAAGAAAACCAGTGCCATACTGACAAGGTAAGCAAGTCATCTCCATGCCCTGGCTCCTCCTGTTGTGCCCTTTTATTGTGTGACCATGCCATGGAGAGATAATTAAACTTAATCAAATCTAGTAAGTATTAAGCACCTCCCATATGCAAAGCTCTGTGATAAGTGCTGCAGGCACCCCAAGGTGAGTAAGGCACAGGGACACAGCCACTGATCCAGGGACTTTACAATCTGGTCAGAAGTAAGGCAGAGTCACTTAGGAGTTTGAGAGAGAAAAAGGAGCTGTGGGGTTTGGGATGTGTGTGTGAGGACACGTTCTGCTCAGGGGATGAGGAAAGTCCTTGTGATATTTGAGAGCCCATCAGGCAGTCTGGGGGAAGAGTTTCCTAGGGGCAAGGAACTGTTTGAACAAAAGCACACAGGCTGGGTTGGGCACAGTACTCCTGGCACTGTAATTACGCGTGTAATCCCAGTACTTTGGGAGGCCGAGGCGGGCGGATCACCTGCGGTCAGGAGTTCAAGACCAGCCTGGCCAACATGGTGAAACCCCGTCTCTACTAAAATACAAAAATTAGCTGGGTGTGGTGGCATCCGCCTGTAGTCCCAGCTACTTGGGAGGCTGAGGCAGGAGAATCACTTGAGCCCGGGAGGTGGAGGTTGCAGTGAACCAAGATCGCACCACTGCACTCCAGCCTGGGTGGCAAAACAAGACTCCATCTCAAAAAAAAGAAAAAAGAAAAAAAGAAAGGCACACAGGCTGGAAAGCCCAAGGCATGCTTAGGGTACAGGCAGGAGTTGAGTTTGATTGGAGTGAGGTTGGGTGAGGGGCTGTGGGAGGTGAAGCTGGACTGGACCCAGTTGCATCTACCATCCAGCTGTTTCTATGAAAGAGCAGTAATGGCGACCAGGCATGTGGGCACCTCAGGTTACAGGGATTGCAGGTAAAAAACTTGGGGGAGTCAGTAAAATCATTTTTGCTTTAATCACCTTTTAAAATGTTAGTACGAAGTCTATATCACTGTATTTGGGTAGGGTTTTTGAACTTTATAGAAACTTATATGAAAAGCAATTCAGGAAGTTGCAAAAGACATTATCATCTTAGGAGTCCTTTCCCAGAGCCACCATCACCTCTTGTGGAGCTGGCATTATATGTGTCCATTCACAGACCTTTAGAGACATGGCTACATCTCAAGCTTAGCATCAGTTCCTTCCAGCAGAATTTCATAGCTCTCTGAATTTCTCCACCATCTTGTGCTTATAAACTTTATAACTTGACTGGTACTCTTCAGAAAAAACCTTATTCATTGTTAGGTCCCCAAAGACTGTGTCCCCTGCCAGGCACAGAGCAGGTGCTCACACACATTTGGGGAATGAGTAGCAGATGTTGGGAGGGACTAAGGAATGAATTCCTCAATGCTGCATGTGGCGACTGCTGTGGAGCAGCTGTGCACAGGACAGGCAAGACAGGATGCCCATGTGACTGCCCTCTGCTGACATGGCAGGAGGCCAGAAAGAATTCCTGAAACTCGTTTGTTTGTTTGTTTGTTTGAGACGGAGTCTCACTTTGTTGCCCAGGCTGGAGTGCAATAGTGTGATCTTGGCTCACTGTAACCTCTGCCTCATGGGTTCAAGCGATTCTCCTGCCTCAGCCTCCTGAATAGCTGGGATTATAGGCGCTCACCACCATGCCCAGCTAATTTTTGTATTTTTAGTAGAGATGGGATTTCACCACGTTGGCCAGGCTGGTCTCGAACTCCTGACCTCAGGTGATTTGCCTGCCTTGGCCTCCCAAAGTGCTGGGATTACACCTGGAGCCACTGCGCCTGGCTGAGTTCCTGAAACTTGGCGTTAATTCAGATCCACACCCAGGTGATGTCACAGAGACTTGGCCTATACAACATAGAGGTTTATTTCTCTTTCACGTTGAAGTCCAAGGCAGTCTGCGGCTTGGCTTGCTAGAGTTGTGAGAGACCTAGGCTTCTTGTACTCTGTGGCTTCACCATCCTGGGGGGTGTCGCCTTACCCACAAACTGCTCCATCACATCCACATTCTAGGCAAAAAGAAGGGGGAGAGGAGGAAGGGAAGGACATGATCCTTGTAGTAAGAGCACATCTTGGAGGTGCACATATCCCTTCTGCTCACACCCTGTTAGCCAGAACCTAGTTGTGTGGTTACGCCTCACTGCAAAGGAAGATGGGAGATGTGTAGTTTTGTTCTGGATGGCCAGTATCAAGTAAATGATCCAAGTTATGGATTATTCCACGGAAAGGGAGAATAGATATCCGTGAACAACTTGCCATTCCTACCACAGGCTGATTTTATCTAATGTAGTTCAGATGCATGTACTCAAGTAGGCAGAGAGGCAGATAGTCTAGTCTGGTTGAATAGAAAGGATTTACTTGAACACATGTTTCAGTATTGGCTAAAAGCCACAGCCTGCAATGCACCAAAAGTAGCATTGTCTTCAAATACAAAGATCAGTAACTGTTCTTATTAGTTTGGTTTGGTCATTACGAATCTTCTAGCACCTCCCAAGAGTAAAGGGAATGGTCAGTTGCATAGGCTGGTGCATCACGACCTTAAGAGCAATAGTGACGTGAAGGAGGAGAAACAGCATTTCAGAACTGTGTAAGTGTATCATTGGACATATTGCTTTTTAAGTGATTGGTCCTCTCGTGACATTTTCTACTTAAGGGGGCACAGCACAACCAGTATTGGTAGTTGTCCACCAACTCTGGTCTCCTCTTCCTCTCGGGTACATGACTAGCTACAATTCCACATGGTGGAATTTCATGCGGCCATTAAAATTTTATGCTGTTGAAGAAAATGTATTGAAGTAGGGAAATGCTCACAATATAACAATAAGTGGAACACAGCAGAATACTCAGGGGCCTGCAGGCCTTCCATGATCTGAGTCTCCCCAGTCCCCAACTCTGACCCCATTTCCGACCACATTGCCCCTTATTCACTCCACTCCAGCCACCCTGGACTCCTGAATGTTTCTCCAACATGTCCAGTCTTTACAGCCCTGGGACTTTGCTCTTGCTCGTCCCCTCTGTCTGCAACAGTGCCCTGAGATACTGCATGGCTGCTCCTTCACTTTCTTCAGTCTCTGTTTGCATCTCACTTTATCAGCAAGATGGTCCCTAACTACTCCATATAAAGATAGTAATCTCGCCTCACCCGACCCGCTGTACCCCATGCTCCAGCCCTTTTACCCTGCCTTATTTTTCTCGATACTCTTTATCGCTGCCTGGCATATGACATACACTCATGTTTATTCATTTATCCTCTATCTTCCCATGAGGATTGCAGCTCCCTGAGGACAGGAACTTTGTTCATTTTTGTATCTGTAACACAAGGTAGGCCATCAATCAATATTGTGAGATAGATGGATAAGATATGTGACTATGATCAACAATAGTATAAGACTTTTGTACAAAAATCTCATTCAAACGAACGAGGAGGTGATATACCAAATGTTAACTGTGGTGGCTCTTGGATGGCTGGATTGTTGATGATTTTGATTTTTTCATTATACTTTTCTATAATTTTGAAACTTTTATGGTAAATATGTTACAATGAGAGAGAAATCAATATGTTGTTATTATTTTAAAATTCCATTATTTACAACAATCACTAATACCTGTGCGGTCAAATGTTCAAAATTGTAGAACAATTTTTTTTTTTTAAGAGAGAGTCTTGCACTGTCACACAGGCTGGAGTACAGTGATGTGATCAGAGCTCACTGCAGCCTCAGACTCCTGGCCTCAAGTGATCCTTCTGTCTTGGCCTCCTGAGTAGCTGGGACTATAGGTGTGCACCACTACATCCTGCTAATTTTTTATTTGTAATTTTTTACAGACAGGATCTCACTATGTTGCCCAGGCTGGTCTTGAATGCCTGGCCTCAACCAATCCTCCCAAAGTGCTGAGATTACAGGCGTGAGCCATCACACCCAGCTGCAATTCTATTTTTTTTTTTAGAAGTTCTCACTTTTTCCATTTGACAAATCTGGTGACTCTTCCACAGAGCTACATTTTATCAGCTACTGCCTCCTGGTATTTCCTTCCTCTGCCTGTTCCACTTCAACAAGCACCTCGAGGCTGCAGAATTTCTTTCTGGGCTCTACATCATTTACAAAAGAGGCTTATTACTCTCTGCATCTAGTGTGTTTGGCCCAGTGCCAGAGAGATCTGCCAAGCCTTCCTTCTCTTCCTCCTCTTCCCCAGCCCAGCCTCTTCCTGGAGTTCCTTCCTGGGACCTGCAGTGCCAAGTGCTGGGGGAGATGAGGGAGTGAGTGGCCTTTCAAGCCCCTCAGGCCTCCAAGGCAGAAGGTGAAGGTTACTTGCGGGGATTAGCTGAAAACAGAGGAGCCTGATTTGGGACAATGCATTAATTCCCTGAAGAGAGTTTATCACAGGAGCTACCTCCAAAAAGTCCCACCTGCATAGGGATCTGCAGCTAGCCCTGAGAGGAAAACATATCCCAGCAGCCATGCGAACTGAAAGAGTCTTTCCTTAAAAGGGAAGTGACTCTTGGCTCAAAACCTTAGGGCTCCCTTTATGGGTCCCCTCACATTTCTTCCTAGTGTGGAATACCCAGCCACACAAGGTGAACGAAGGGTTATCATTCAGAACAGACACTATTGTTTCACTTGCCACAGCACCTCATTTATTTAAAAATAATGATCTAAATACAAAGAGTAGCCATCCTCTTGAAAACCAGACACACATCCATAATGACCAGCGGGTGCACAGGCCTGGGCTTGAAGGAAGGAAATCATCAGAAACAACAGGATAATGCTCCTCCCTCAGGGCATGGGTAGTGGTGAGCATTTTCAAGGTGAGGTGGACGACATTCAATTATTATTTATAGACCCAGTGGGGAGGGCTTTGGGGCTGCTGGGAAGCCTGTGGCAGCCGGGAACAGCACGGGCTTTGTTTGAGCAAAGATACCTATGTCCTGGGTATTGGGATGGAGTACGCGCCCCAGGCCAGCAGCTCCAGTGCACGCCCAGGAGGAGGCTTCCTCTTGCTGGCCTCTTAAACATGGCTTGCAATAGCAATAGTTGTGCCTTCTTAGAATGTGCAGCAGTGTGCTTAGGAATCCTGGGTGTCTCTGAACCATAGCTGCCCAGAAAAGAACTTCAACATGCACCCTTTGTCCTAGGCCAATCTCTACTTCCATTTCAAAATCCACAGACCTCCGAATTGGGTCCCTCCTCTGCAGTCTGAACACAGTGGGTATGTCTTTATTTATCACCCTCCATATTGTATAAGAATGATTGGATCAGGTGTCTGTTTCCCTTACTAGAGAGCAGAGTCCTTAGAAGTAGGCACCTGATGTTAACTCATATTTGTAGATCCTGTGCCTGGCACACATAGGTGCTCAATTAATAGTTCATGAATCGATTTGTGGAGTCTGTCTTTGAAAAGCTCATTTTAAAACATTCCAAATGATGGTGATTCCTTAGAAAAGTTGCTTTCCTTTTTCTTTCCTTTTTTTTTTTGAGACAGAGTCTCACTCTGTCACCAGGCTGGAGTGCAGTGGCGTGATCTTGGCTCACTGCAAGCTCCACCTCCCAGGTTCACGCCATTCTCCTGCCTCAGCCTCCCGAGTAGCTGGGACCACAGGCGCCCACCACGGCGCCCAGCTAATTTTTTGTATTTTTAGTAGAGAGGGGGTTTCACCATGTTAGCCAGGATGGTCTCGATCTCCTGACCTCGTGATCCGCCTGCCTCAGCCTTCCAAAGTGCTGGGATTACAGGCGTGAGCCACTGCGTGCCTGGCTGTTTTCCTTTTTCTTTTGAGACAGTGTGTCACTCTGTTGCCTAAACTGGAGTGCAGTGGCGCAGTCATAGTTCATGGCAGCCTCAACTTTTCGGGCTCAAGTATCCTCCTACCATGCCTGGCTAATTTTTGTATTTTTTGTAGAGACAGGGTTTTGCCACGTTTCCCAGGCTGGTCTCAAACTCCTGAACTCAAGCGATCCACCTGCCTTGGCCTCCCAAAGTGCTGGGATTATAGGCATGAGCCACTGCCTCCAGCCTGGAAAAGTGTTTTATTTAGGGCAACATTCATGGGGCTATTTCTCAGGAACCATATCTACTTCTGAGTCTTTAAATGCTGAAGAGGGAGAGGATCTCTAGGTCATCAGGACCTCAGATGGGGTTTGTTAGTATTATTTGATACAATGATTATCACAATGGAAATTTCTTACGTCTTCAACACTTCACAATTTATTATTTATTTTTACTTATTTATTTGTTTATTTATTTTTGAGATAGAGTCTTGCTCTGTGGCCCAAGCTAGAGTGCCGTAGCCTGATCCTGGCTCACTGCAGCCTTGAACTCCTGGGCTCAAACAGATCCTCCCACCTCAGCCTCCCAAGTATCTGAGGCTATAGGTACACACCACCATGCCCTGCTAATTTTAAATTTTTTTTTTGTAGAAACAGGGTTTCTAAACATACAAAAATTAGCATGTTTCCCATGCTAATTTCAAACTCCTGGGCTCAAGTGATCTCCTGCTTTGGCCTCCCAAGTGCTGGGATTACAGGTATGAACCACCACGCCTGGCCTACTTGACAATTTCAAACCCTTTCAATTTTATTGTCACATATTATCGTGTGTACTTCTTATCTGTATGTCTGGGGAGACATATTTTTAAATCTTATAAAAATCAGATGACCTTGGCAAAATGTGGTGGCTCACAATTTTGGGAGGCCGAAGCTTGAGCCCAGGAGTTCAAGACCAGTCTGGGCACCATAGGGAGAACTCATCTCTATTTAAAAAAAGAAAAAGAAAAACGTGGGTGTGGTGGTATGCTCCTATAGTCCCAGCTGCTCAGGGAGCTGAGGCGAGATGATAGATTGAGCCCAGGACTTTGAGGCTGCAGTGAGCTATGATCGTGCCACTGTACTCTAGCCTGTGCGACAGAGTGAGACCCTGTCTCAAAAAGAAAAAAAAAATAGGCTTTGTGACTTGTCTGAAAGCCATATTTTTAGAATTAAGTACCATGTTGCATGTACTCGACACATTTATTGCATACCGACTATATGCTAGGCACTGTAGAAGGCACTGGAGATACAGAGATGGAAAATTATGATCCTTCTCATATTCAGTGCATCGATACAAAGTGATGAGGACTCTATTAAAGGTGTCATTAACAGCTCTGGGAGCAATAAGCAAGAGGGCTTGATAATGCCTGGAGAGATATGAGGGAGGTGTTAGACCAAGGTGATGGTAATGTGGATGAAGATGGGGATGGTGGTGATCTCATCAGCAATATACAGTGCTTACCAAGTGCCAGGCACTGTTCTGGGTGTTTGCACATATTAACTCACTTGATCCTCACAACCACCCTATGAGATAGGGGCTCTTAATATTTCCATTTTACAGATGAGGAAAAATGAGGCATGCAGAGAGTAGGTAAATTGCTCAAGATTGCACCAGCAAGTGGTAGACATTGTCTACTATTTCTTGAATTTCTGAAACTCAAGAGCAAAACAGCAATGATAATATTGGCAAAGAATGGGGTCATCTGCTGCCACCAAAACCCACTTTCCCTGGCCCCCTTTCTGAGGTGCAGCCCATTTATTTCTTGAGCCAATCCTTGAGTTTGGCAGGGCCCTTCCTGTCCACACGATGAACCTGGTTTGTGGCACTGGCCCCATGTATCCAAACGGTCCACCATGGACAGAGGGTCATGGTTAAGATCTGGGATTTCAAATCAGACAAACATGGGCTGGACTTCTGGTTCTGTCCATTCTCAGCTATATGATCTCTGAGCCTTAGCTTTACCATCTGTAAAATAGAGATAACAGCCATGTCTGTGCCTCTGTGGCCTTTCATGTCAGCAGCTTTTTGCCCACCCCACACCCCTCACACAAGACGAGGCCCTTGAACTAAACAGACACTGAAAGGAAGGCAGCCTGGAGGCCTGTGGAGCTCCCTGGCATGATTGGAGCCATTGTTCTGTCGCTGGGGAGGGCCTTCTGGAAGAGAGGGCAGAGGGCTGCAGCACCTTTGGTAGACATCTGCCTCAGAGATTTCTTCTGCCTTGCTGTTTGGAGACATAAGCTTTTCCTTCAGAGGGTGAAGTAAGTGGAGATGAAAGAAGCTACTTCATGGAAACAACAGTTGTGACTGGCAGGAGGGCTGGCAAGAGGCCTGGAAGTAGGCTCAGCCCAGGGTTGTGTCCCTGGGGTGCACCTCAGAGAACTTGGGCCAACAGCATGCTCTCTGTTTATTCAGGAGTTTCCTCACTGAACCCTCTGAGGAAACAGCTTTGTAAGGAAAGGGAAAACATATGGGTGAGACAAGGTACTCAGTGGCCCAATGGAGCCCAAGTGGCTGCCTACAAATTGGCTCCTACCTTGATACCGAGGGGGAGAGGATCCCTCCGGTTCCTGCCCTGCATGGGCTCAGGGCCAGTTGTATAGTGCCAGGCCCTTGTGAGTGGCTGGCCTATGGCCACTGCCTTCTGGGAGACCTGGTACCTTTAGGGAGGTCCATTTACTCTTCCAGGCCTTTCAGGCCCCTTCAGTCGTTTCTGAGAGGCATTAACTTGCCTGTTTGTAACAGAAATATCCATCTCTTCACTCACTTTGCTCCACCTCTTCTTCATCCTTGGTGGGAAGAGGTTTTAAAAGCATAAAAATATACCAAAATTATGCTGTGAAATGTTATAATATGAGCAGGCGAGACGTTTGTTTTTCTAATGAGGGCTTTACTTGGAAAAAAGAATTGGCTGGGCGTGGTGGCTTACACCTGTAATCCCAGCACTTTGGGAGGCCGAGGTGGGTGGATCGCCTGAGATCAGGAGTTTGAGACCAGCCTGGCCAACGTCGTAAAACCCCGTTTCTACTAAAAATACAAAAATTAGCCGGGCATGATGGAGAGTGCCTGTAATCTCAGCTCAGGAGGCTGAGGCAGGAGAATTGCTTGAACCCCGGAGGCAGAGATTGCAGTGAGCTGAGATCACGCCACTGCACTCCAGCTTGGGTGACAAGGCAAGACTTCGTCTCAAAAAAAAAAAAAAAAAATTTTATGCCACTTTCCCAGAACAAAGGGCAGACTTCAGGGACCTCATGGCTGTGAGGTCTTGGTGATGCTGGTGATGAGGTCGGTAGGCATGAACAAGGCTGAGGGTGAAAGGAGGGAGGGAGACTAAGGAAGCAAGACTTGCTCATATTCAGAGTTTGACCCCATATGGACTGCAGTAAGTCCATCCTTACTGGAAGTCCATACTTAATGGAAATTATTTTACCATCCTCTGGGCACTCAGCTACCTGTGATCAGCTACAGGAAACATTGGGTCCTTTCGGGAATTGGACTGTGGTGTCTAGGGGAGGATGGAACAACACGGTCTCTCTTGATTCAACAGCCCTGGTGTCTCCCACATGTCAGCAGCATGCTTCATGCGAGAAGAGACCAAGGAGCTGAGTGCCTCACGCTCTTGCTGAGGAGACAGTGTCCACAGTAACAGTCGCAGCGATTGAAGGGCGATAGAAGTGAGAGCCTCCCGTGGGGGTGGTCAAGAGAGGCTTTATAGAGAGGCAGGTCTTCCCCTGGCCTCAAAGAATGGCAGGACAGAAATGGAATGGGATGTAGTGCCCGGCCAGGGAGAGGATCTCCAGGGACACAGCTGCCTAGAGCTGGTTTTAAGTGTGGCTGTAGCAAGGTCTCTGAGGGAGAGCTTAACTCTGCCTTGAGATCCTTCTTTCACCATGGACTACTGGCCCTTGATCAATCAGTGCACACGACTGGACCCAGGACTCAAGGCTAAACTGAAGGGCCTGGGCCAGCCCGGGTTTTAGGGCCCAGGAGATTCTCTGGACTCTGGGCTTCTTGGCATCCTGTTATAGAAGCACCATTTATACATTTATATTGAAAAATAAGCGCGACGGAGGGAGATCTGATGCCCTCAACAAAGCTCAGAAAGACTTTTCTGGTTGAAGAAATAAGCATTGCACACACCACAAGTGCAAAGCCTTCTGCCCAGACCCTTTGCTGGAGAGCTGTGCCGAGCAGAGGGCAGGTGGTTGTGGTGCAGGCTGGGCTGCAATTGGCTGGGCTCAGCATGCAGCAGTGTTCCGAGAGTGTGGGTTCTGCTGGTGCCCAGATGGCTTCAGGGTGCCTGATAAACTTCTCTAGCTCTGATTTTCAGGTCTGCAACCCTCTTGCTGCCTCCTTCAAGGGCTTCCACCAGAGGCGACATAACGTGGCCTGGACTGTTCTACTCTGGGCCTCACCTCCCACTCCACCCACCTTGTTTATCTGACCTTCTTCCCACGGGAACATTAAACCTCCCAGAAATATTAATATGTTTGATTTTTTTCTCCTTTGTAGCTATTTAAAAAATGTTCTCCTTTTTGTTTTCTCCTTTAAGAATTTATAGGAAAGAAGGATCTTGGAATGGTTGGTGCAGATAATGAGAAAAGATTGGGAGCTTGTTACAATGTCATGAGATTGGGAAGAAGAAATACTTCTTTCCCTTTGTCATTACAGCCAGTGGAGAAACAGTTTACAGCCATTCCGAGAAATGTGAACAATGTGGAGGGATTTAGGTAGCTCAGTAGCAGGGTGCATCCTATACATACCTTATAAGGTATACTGTAGAAATCTTCACCAGAAGATTTTATAAATAATCAGGAATATCATTTTGAAATGAGAGAAATGTGCCAGTAATGGATATAACACTATTTTAGCTAGGATTTGCTATGATGCCTACAGTGTACATGGCAAAGTTGGTGTCAGAACTGAGAATACTCTGGTCTATAGGATCCAAGGGGAAGAATCCAAAGAGGAAGGATTTTTCACCAGTTGAACAGTGGTCCTTGGGTCCAGTGCTTGATTCTGCTTTAATAAGACCATTATTGCCACATTCTCCTACACTGTGGACTGTTTAGAATTTACAAAGTGTGCTTCTAAGAACACATTTAATGTGTGCTCTGATAACACATTATTCCATTTCTAGGTTTCTTTTTGAGATCTGAGCATGTTTAACTCAATTTCTTTGTGTAGGATCTGTGTTAAGGTCTTTGCATGTTTAGTAGAATTCTATTTCCAACTGCAAAAGTCTTTTTAGCAGAATCTTTTTTTTTTTTTGAGACGGAGTCTTGCTCTGTTGCCCAGGCTGGAGTGCAGTGGCGCGATCTTGGCTCACTGCAATCTCCGCCTCCCAGGTTCACACCATTCTCCTGCCTCAGCCTCCTAAGTAGCTGGGACTACAGGCGCCCGCCACCAAGCCTGGCTAATTTTTTTGTATTTTTAGTAGAGATGGGGTTTCACCATGTTAACCAGGATGGTCTCCATCTCCTGACCTTGTGATCTGCCCACCTCGGCCTCCCAAAGTGCTGGGATTACAGGCTTGAGCCACCGCACCCGGCAGCAGAATCTTTTCTTTGTCGCGAGGAGCCAAGATGGCCGAATAGGAACAGCTCCGGACTACAGCTCCCAGCGTGAGCGACGCAGAAGACGGGTGATTTCTGCATTTCCATCTGAGGTACCGGGTTCATCTCACTAGGGAGTGCCAGACAGTGGGCGCAGGTCAGTGTGTGCACGCACCGTGCGCGAGCCGAAGCAGGGCGAGGCATTGCCTCACCTGGGAAGCGCAAGGGGTCAGGGAGTTCCCTTTCCGAGTCAAAGAAAGGGGTGACGGACGCACCTGGAAAATCGGGTCACTCCCACCCGAATATTGCGCTTTTCAGACCGGCTTAAGAAACGGCGCACCACGAGACTATATCCCGCACCTGGCTCAGAGGGTCCTACGCCCACGGAGTCTCGCTGATTGCTAGCACAGCAGTCTGAGATCAAACTGCAAGGCGGCAGCGAGGCTGGGGGAGGGGCGCCCGCCATTGCCCAGGCTTGCTTAGGTAAACAAAGCAGCCGGGAAGCTCGAACTGGGTGGAGCCCACCACAGCTCAAGGAGGCCTGCCTGCCTCTGTAGGCTCCACCTCTGGGGGCAGGGCACAGACAAACAAAAAGACAGCAGTAACCTCTGCAGACTTAAGTGTCCCTGTCTGACAGCTTTGAAGAGAGCAGTGGTTCTCCCAGCACGCAGCTGGAGATCTGAGAACGGGCAGACTGCCTCCTCAAGTGGGTCCCTGACACCTGACCCCCGAGCAGCCTAACTGGGAGGCACCCCCCAGCAGGGGCACACTGACACCTCACACGGCAGGGTATTCCAACAGACCTGCACCTGAGGGTCCTGTCTGTTAGAAGGAAAACTAACAACCAGAAAGGACATCTACACCGAAAACCCATCTGTACATCACCATCATCAAAGACAAAAAGTAGATAAAACCACAAAGATGGGGAAAAAACAGAACAGAAAAACTGGAAACTCTAAAACGCAGAGCGCCTCTCCTCCTCCAAAGGAACGCAGTTCCTCACCAGCAACAGAACAAAGCTGGATGGAGAATGATTTTGACGAGCTGAGAGAAGAAGGCTTCAGACGATCAAATTACTCTGAGCTACGGGAGGACATTCAAACCAAAGGCAAAGAAGTCGAAAACTTTGAAAAAAATTTAGAAGAATGTATAACTAGAATAACCAATACAGAGAAGTGCTTAAAGGAGTTGATGGAGCTGAAAACCAAGGCTCGAGAACTACGTGAAGAATGCAGAAGCCTCAGGAGCCGATGCGATCAACTGGAAGAAAGGGTATCAGCAATGGAAGATGAAATGAATGAAATGAAGCGAGAAGGGAAGTTTAGAGAAAAAAGAATAAAAAGAAACGAGCAAAGCCTCCAAGAAATATGGGACTATGTGAAAAGACCAAATCTACGTCTGATTGGTGTACCTGAAAGTGATGTGGAGAATGGAACCAAGTTGGAAAACACTCTGCAGGATATTATCCAGGAGAACTTCCCCAATCTAGCAAGGCAGGCCAACGTTCAGATTCAGGAAATACAGAGAACGCCACAAAGATACTCCTCGAGAAGAGCAACTCCAAGACACATAATTGTCAGATTCACCAAAGTTGAAATGAAGGAAAAAATGTTAAGGGCAGCCAGAGAGAAAGGTCGGGTTACCCTCAAAGGAAAGCCCATCAGACTAACAGCGGATCTCTCGGCAGAAACCCTACAAGCCAGAAGAGAGTGGGGGCCAATATTCAACATTCTTAAAGAAAAGAATTTTCAACCCAGAATTTCATATCCAGCCAAACTAAGCTTCATAAGTGAAGGAGAAATAAAATACTTTATAGACAAGCAAATGCTGAGAGATTTTGTCACCACCAGGCCTGCCCTAAAAGAGCTCCTGAAGGAAGCGCTAAACATGGAAAGGAACAACCGGTACCAGCCGCTGCAAAATCATGCCAAAATGTAAAGACCATCGAGACTAGGAAGAAACTGCATCAACTAACGAGCAAAATCACCAGCTAACATCATAATGACAGGATCAAATTCACACATAACAATATTAACTTTAAATATAAATGGACTAAATGCTCCAATTAAAAGACACAGACTGGCAAGTTGGATAAAGAGTCAAGACCCATCAGTGTGCTGTATTCAGGAAACCCATCTCACGTGCAGAGACACACATAGGCTCAAAATAAAAGGATGGAGGAAGATCTACCAAGCCAATGGAAAACAAAAAAAGGCAGGGGTTGCAATCCTAGTCTCTGATAAAACAGACTTTAAACCAACAAAGATCAAAAGAGACAAAGAAGGCCATTACATAATGGTAAAGGGATCAATTCAACAAGAGGAGCTAACTATCCTAAATATTTATGCACCCAATACAGGAGCACCCAGATTCATAAAGCAAGTCCTGAGTGACCAACAAAGAGACTTAGACTCCCACACATTAATAATGGGAGACTTTAACACCCCACTGTCAACATTAGACAGATCAACGAGACAGAAAGTCAACAAGGATACCCAGGAATTGAACTCAGCTCTGCACCAAGCAGACCTAATAGACATCTACAGAACTCTCCACCCCAAATCAACAGAATATACATTTTTTTCAGCACCACACCACACCTATTCCAAAATTGACCACATAGTTGGAAGTAAAGCTCTCCTCAGCAAATGTAAAAGAACAGAAATTATAACAAACTATCTCTCAGACCACAGTGCAATCAAACTAGAACTCAGGATTAAGAATCTCACTCAAAGCCGCTCAACTACATGGAAACTGAACAACCTGCTCCTGAATGACTACTGGGTACATAACGAAATGAAGGCAGAAATAAAGATGTTCTTTGAAACCAACGAGAACAAAGACACCACATACCAGAATCTCTGGGACGCATTCAAAGCAGTGTGTAGAGGGAAATTTATAGCACTAAATGCCTACAAGAGAAAGCAGGAAAGATCCAAAATTGACACCCTAACATCACAATTAAAAGAACTAGAAAAGCAAGAGCAAACACATTCAAAAGCTAGCAGAAGGCAAGAAATAACTAAAATCAGAGCAGAACTGAAGGAAATAGAGACACAAAAAACCCTTCAAAAAATCAATGAATCCAGGAGCTGGTTTTTTGAAAAGATCAACAAAATTGATAGACCGCTAGCAAGACTAATAAAGAAGAAAAGAGAGAAGAATCAAATAGACACAATAAAAAATGATAAAGGGGATATCACCACCGATCCCACAGAAATACAAACTACCATCAGAGAATACTACAAACACCTCTAAGCAAATAAACTAGAAAATCTAGAAGAAATGGATACATTCCTCGACACATACACTCTCCCAAGACTAAACCAGGAAGAAGTTGAATCTCTGAATAGACCAATAACAGGCTCTGAAATTGTGGCAATAATCAATAGTTTACCAACCAAAAAGAGTCCAGGACCAGATGGATTCACAGCCGAATTCTACCAGAGGTACAAGGAGGAACTGGTACCATTCCTTCTGAAACTATTCCAATCAATAGAAAAAGAGGGAATCCTCCCTAACTCATTTTATGAGGCCAGCATCATTCTGATACCAAAGCCGGGCAGAGACACAACCAAAAAAGAGAATTTTAGACCAATATACTTGATGAACATTGATGCAAAAATCCTCAATAAAATACTGGCAAACCGAATCCAGCAGCACATCAAAAAGCTTATCCACCATGATCAAGTGGGCTTCATCCCTGGGATGCAAGGCTGGTTCAATATACGCAAATCAATAAATGTAATCCAGCATATAAACAGAGCCAAAGACAAAAACCACATGATTATCTCAATAGATGCAGAAAAAGCCTTTGACAAAATTCAACAACCCTTCATGCTAAAAACTCTCAATAAATTAGGTATTGATGGGACGTATTTCAAAATAATAAGAGCTATCTATGACAAACCCACAGCCAATATCATACTGAATGGGCAAAAACTGGAAGCATTCCCTTTGAAAACTGGCACAAGACAGGGATGCCCTCTCTCACCGCTCCTATTCAACATAGTGTTGGAAGTTCTGGCCAGGGCAATCAGGCAGGAGAAGGAAATAAAGGGTATTCAATTAGGAAAAGAGGAAGTCAAATTGTCCCTGTTTGCAGACGACATGATTGTTTATCTAGAAAACCCCATTGTCTCAGCCCAAAATCTCCTTAAGCTGATAAGCAACTTCAGCAAAGTCTCAGGATACAAAATCAATGTACAAAAATCACAAGCAGTCTTATACACCAACAACAGACAAACAGAGAGCCAAATCATGAGTGAACTCCCATTCACAATTGCTTCAAAGAGAATAAAATACCTAGGAATCCAACTTACAAGGGATGTGCAGGACCTCTTCAAGGAGAACTACAAACCACTGCTCAAGGAAATAAAAGAGGACACAAACAAATGGAAGAACATTCCATGCTCATGGGTAGGAAGAATCAATATCGTGAAAATGGCCATACTGCCCAAGGTAATTTACAGATTCAATGCCATCCCCATCAAGCTACCAATGACTTTCTTCACAGAATTGGAAAAAACTACTTTAAAGTTCATATGGAACCAAAAAAGAGCCCGCATCGCCAAGTCAATCCTAAGCCAAAAGAACAAAGCTGGAGGCATCACACTACCTGACTTCAAACTATACTACAAGGCTACAGTAACCAAAACAGCATGGTACTGGTACCAAAACAGAGATATAGATCAATGGAACAGAACAGAGCCCTCAGAAATAATGCCGCATATCTACAACTATCTGATCTTTGACAAACCTGAGAAAAACAAGCAATGGGGAAAGGATTCCCTATTTAATAAATGGTGCTGGGAAAACTGGCTAGCCATATGTAGAAAGCTGAAACTGGATCCCTTCCTTACACCTTATACAAAAATCAATTCAAGATGGATTAAAGATTTAAACGTTAGACCTCAAACCATAAAAACCCTAGAAGAAAACCTAGGCATTACCATTCAGGACATAGGCGTGGGCAAGGACTTCATGTCCAAAACACCAAAAGCAATGGCAACAAAAGCCAAAATTGACAAATGGGATCTAATTAAACTCAAGAGCTTCTGCACAGCAAAAGAAACTACCATCAGAGTGAACAGGCAACCTACAACATGGGAGAAAATTTTTGCAACCTACTCATCTGACAAAGGGCTAATATCCAGAATCTACAATTAACTCAAACAAATTTACAAGAAAAAAACAAACAACCCCATCAAAAAGTGGGCGAAGGACATGAACAGACACTTCTCAAAAGAAGACATTTATGCAGCCAAAAAACACATGAAGAAATGCTCATCATCACTGGCCATCAGAGAAATGCAAATCAAAACCACTATGAGATATCATCTCACACCAGTTAGAATGGCAATCATTAAAAAGTCAGGAAACAACAGGTGCTGGAGAGGATGTGGAGAAATAGGAACACTTTTACACTGTTGGTGGGACTGTAAACTAGTTCAACCATTGTGGAAGTCAGTGTGGCGATTCCTCAGGGATCTAGAACTAGAAATACCATTTGACCCAGCCATCCCATTACTGGGTATATACCCAAAGGACTATAAATCATGCTGCTATAAAGACACATGCACACGTATGTTTATTGCGGCACTATTCACAATAGAAAGACTTGGAACCAACCCAAATGTCCAACAATGATAGACTGGATTAAGAAAATGTGGCACATATACACCATGGAATACTATGCAGCCATAAAAAATGATGAGTTCATGTCCTTTGTAGGGACATGGATGAAATTGGAAACCATCATTCTCAGTAAACTATCGCAAGAACAAAAAACCAAACACCGCATATTCTCACTCATAGGTGGGAATTGAACAATGAGATCACATGGACACAGGAAGGGGAATATCACACTCTGGGGACTGTGGTGGGGTCGGGGGAGGGGGGAGGGATAGCATTGGGAGATATACCTAAGGCTAGATGACGAGTTAGTGGGTGCAGCGCACCAGCATGGCACATGTATACATATGTAACTAACCTGCACAATGTGCACATGTACCCTAAAACTTAGAGTATAATAAAAAAAAAAAAATTAAAAAAAAAAAATAATAAAAATAAAAATAAAAAAAAAATAAATAAAAAAAAAATAAAAAAAAATAAAAGAAAAAAAAAGAATCTTTTCTTTGTCTTCCTTTTATTTAAAAAAAATCAAAATGAAGCCTTTTCAGTGCAAAATTTTCAGAAAAATAGCTCTCTTTTCCATTGCAACATTGTGCTGAGAACATGCGTGTCTTGATTCTGCCTCTACTTTTCAACGCATGGCAGCTACCTTAGTTCAGGTTCTTATCGTCTCTTTCATTATTGTAATTACATGGCTACTTTTCTTACCTCCATTCTCATTCCCTTTCCTATCCATCAGCCACACTATTGTTAAATTGAACTTTGAAAGTACAGGTCTAAGAAAGTTGACGACACACAGCCAATGATGTGTAGAAGCAAGCAATCTCATAGATGTTGCGGGAATGAATTAGCGCAGCCTCTTCGAAAGGCAATGTAGTAATGTCTATCAAAGGTACAAGTATGGTCACCCTTTGACTCAAAGTTCCACTTCTAGGAAATTATTTTACAGATATTCTTGTACCTGAAAAGATGTACGTGTAAGGATGTTCATTACAGCATTGTTTATAATGACAAAATATTGGGAACAAGGTAAAGGACCATTGGTAGGAGCTATCCAACTTGGGAGTTGGATAATGGAATTTGTAAAGGCCATCTACTGGTTGCTACCCTAGTATTCATTCCCTCATGCCCCTCCTAAGTGTTGACTGGTGTTGACCCCACTCTTATCTCCGGGGGTGGACACCAACTGGTGGAAGCCACTCACTCAATCCATCATATTTCCCTGGCCACAGTAACTGTTTCATATATAATGACATGTTGTCTAAGTAGAATGAATCAGAATGGATATGAAATAGTTTTAGCCACATGGGTAAATCCTGGAGCTTCTGGGAGGCCTGAAGATGGAGATACTCATGGAAGCATAGCCTGCTGATGTCAAGCTGGGTGGCATGCTGACATTTGGTGAATTCCCTTTTGGTTTTGGTTTTAACTGGTGAGAAGTGAGTTGTCTTTCACAATAAAGACCCTACGTGCTAAAAAAAAAAAAAAAAAAAAAAAAAGCCAAGTGGCCGTGAAAGAAAATTAGGTGGATCTTCTTGTGTTCATGTGAATGATTTCCATGATACTTTATAAAATAAAGGTATTATACTATGAATATAGAATATATTCTCTTTTATATAAATAAAAAGCTGTGAAAATGGGTGAGTGCCTATGCGTACACGTGCATGTGTGTGATGTATATAAATGGCTTCAGCTAGCCTATGTAGTACCTTTGTTTTCTGTTTTGTTTTTTTTTTTTCTTTTCTTTTTTTGAGACAGAGTCTTGCTCACTCTGTCCCCCAGGCTGGAGTGCAGTGGTGCGATCTCGGCTAACTGCAACCTCCACCTCCCGGGTTCAAGCGATTCTCTTGTCTCAGGCTTCCAAGTACCTGGGACTATAGGCACCCATCACCACACCCAGCTTATTTTTGTATTTTTAGTAGAGATGGGGTTTCACCATGTTGGCCAGGCTGGTCTTGAACTTCTGACCTCAGGTGATCCGTCTGCCTCGGCTTCCCAAAATGCTGGGATTACAGGCTTGAGCCACCATGCCCAGCCACGTGTAGTACCTTTGAACAAATTAGGAAAAATGTCCTCTCTGGTATATGTAGCACCATGCCAGTGGCAAGCAAGTGTGCAATGGATTTTAACCTCCTCTAGTCTCCTTGACTGGTGGCCTCATGCAGTATGCAACCTGCACAATAGTATGCTGTGGTCATTTGTGTATAAATATATATGCCTGCCTATGATGCTTCTGGTTGGATATATGTAAAACTAGAAAGAAAGACTGCTTCTAGGAAGGGAAGACAGGGAGCTTGGTAGTAGGAGGTGGAAAGGAGGCTTATCTCCATACCCCATTTGGAGAGTGTTTAATGTTGTTACTATGTTCACAAACTGCTTTTCAAAACTAGTTTATTTAAATAAACAAAAGGAAAGCAAACGAAAAATGACAGGTTTGTTTTGTTTTGTTTTGTTTAAACCACAGGTTTGATCTCAGTTACTCCCTTACTTGAAGAAGGCTTCGATGATTCCTCATGGAGAAATCCCAGATACTTCTGCACATGATTCAGAGGTCCCTTACAACTGGCTTCAGCCTGCCTTCCAAGCCCTGTCTCTCGCCTCTCCCTTCCTTCACACTGTGCTTCAGCGAGGTAGGAATGCTTGTGATTCACCTTCCAGGTCAAGATGATTGGCCCCTCGGCCTTCACATATGCTGTTCCCTCTGCTGTTCCCCATGCTGCCCCCAGGGAGCTGCCCATCACCCGCCAGGACCTTCCTGCCCTGGGTGCACCCATAGTGCTTTGTGCCTTTCTCTTTCTTGCCACTTGCCACATTTTACTGTAGTTATTTGTTTATAATTACAAATATAAACCTGCTACTCTAGGAGTAAGCTCTTTGAGGGACCTGTGTCTCCCTGGACCTACGACAGTCAGTGCTTGTGACACTATGGGAATAGGCGCCTCATAGGTGTTCCATGAATGAATGGAGGTGGCTTCAGATTCCAGCTTTCTTTTTACTAAGCTGCTCTATCCCTTTCAGATTTCTTTTTTTTTTTTTACAGCTGCAAATTTTTATCTATTCTTTGCCTCTCTGCCCAGTAGCAATTAACCAGGTTGTAGCAGATCTAGAGTTTCCAGCTCAGCCCGGATTGTGTTTCCTTGCTCTTAGCAGCTCAGGGGAATCTTTTTTCACTTCACGAAGGATGCATCTGAGATTCAGAGCAGGTTCAGTGACCCTTTTATTAATTCTTTGTCTGCTCCGACACGCACAGTCTGTCATGAAGTATTCATCCAGTTCAGAAAATTGAAAAAGCCAGGGAGAAGAGAAAGAAAAGGGAATCTGTGAAAATAGAGTCAGTCACTTCAGCATCTATCCCACTCAGCAGTCTGCCCCCTTGGTGAGCCTCTTAACCTAGAGACTTGTTCATGAGCTATTCCCTTGGAGCCGTCTTTCCCTTTAAATAATAATCAGGCCCAGTAGAAACCTGCGATGAGTACATGAAATCAGCGAGGCTGAGACTTTCCAGGAAACAGACTCAGGGAGGCAATGGCTCACTCATTCACACAGAGGCAATGACCAGGCTTGCCCAGGGAGGACCGAACCACCCAGGGGCTGACCGTGGCCGGGAGCATCCTAGGTGATCAGGAAGACCTGATGGTGGTTGACTGGCTGATGGATAAGGAAAATGATGAGCCACTAAACCCATTTCTGGAGCAAGGATTGGTAGAGGGTGCTCGCTGTTGAGGTCTGGGGAAGATAAGGTGGCCAAGGAGTCAAACAGCAGGTTCAGGGCTGCTACTAACCTATATAGCGTCTTTGATTAAATCAGAAAAAAAGCAGCCCTCTGGGCTAAAAGGACCCCTAGAGCACAAGGCTTGCAAGTTGGAAGCACCTCTGTCCAAAGAAAGAAGGCTCATCACTCTGGGTAAACACAGCCCCATGTCGCCAGGCACCTAGATCCCGGCTCCCACTTGCCTTTTCAGTTGGTAGCCATTATATAGCACATCAACTGCACAACCATACCTGTGGCCTACAGGGTATCATAGCTCTGGGGGCATTTAGAAAGGAAAGGTGAGAGAAAAGTGAACTGATTATGGGTAGCAGATTATAACTACCATCGTTTAGGGTTGTTTATTTTTAAACTGTGGAACTCCCTATTAGAATCACCTAAGATACTTGACGGGTAAGAACGCATATTCCTGGGACTCACCTCAGACCAACTCGATCAGACTCTTTGAATGGTGAGGTCCAGCAATCTGGATTTTTAACCAGCCCCCTAGGTGCTTCTAGTGCCCACTAAAGCTTAAGAACTGCTGGTGTAGCAACTGTTCCATCAGAAGTCCTTGGGGCTGGGCATGGTGGCTCAGCCTGTAATCCCAGCACTTTGGGAGGCTGAGGCGGGTGGATCACCTGAGGTCAGGAGTTCAAGACCATCCTGGCCAACATGGTGAAACCCCGTCTCTACTAAAAATACAAAAATTAACCAGGCATGGTGGCGGGTGCCTGTAGTCTCAACTACTCAGGAGGCTGAGGCAGGAGAATCAAGGAGGTGGAGGTTGCAGTGAGCTGAGATCGCACCACTGCACTCCAGCCTGGGTGACACAGCAAGACTCCATCTAAAAAAAAAAAAAAAAAAATTCCTTGAGATCTGTCCATCTGGGAATCTAGAACTATCTGACTGGACTGAGAAAAAGCCATCCATCCATTCCCTGAGCTCTGCAGTGTCCGCTCCTCACATGTCCTTGAGGCATTTCCTGGAGGTTGCTTCTCTGGAGTTTGTGGCTGATGTAATTGTTTTTCCTGGCTCTACTGCTTTGCTATTTCTAAGAAACACCTTTAAAAGTAACAGCTTTTGGCCATGCATGGTGGCTCACGCGTGTAATCCCAGCACTTTGGGAGGCCAAGGCGGGCAGATCACGAGGTCAAGAGATTGAGACCATGCTGGCCAACATGGTGAAACCCCGTCTCTACTAAAAATACAAAAATTAGCCGGGTATGGTGGTATGTGCTTGCAATCCTAGCTACTCAGAAGGCTGAGGCAGGAGAATTGCTTGAACCTGGCAGGCAGAGGTTGCAGTGAGCCAACATCACGCCACTGCACTCCAGCCTGGATGACAGAGGGAGACTCTTGTCTCAAAAAAAAAAAAAAAAAAAAAAAGTAACAGCTTTCAGGATAAAAACTCTAGGAATCTTGAAACAGAGAGTAGTACGACTCATAATTCCACACTCACCCTTCCTTCTTTGGCTCCTCTCCTGTCTACTGGTCCTGTGATAGAGAATGTTTCAAGTTGATCCATTTTAAGGAAATTGCCTGGAGATGCTGCATTTTCATTTGGTTTCCAGCCTATATGAAAGTTAAGTTACATTTTGCTGAATTCCAAATGTCCAGTTTGCTTTGCTGAACTGGTTATTTATGCCATTTTGAGTAATGCTTGAAATATGAATGTGGGGCCAGGCTTTCATGCCTATAATTCCAGCACTTTGAGAGGTTGAGGAGGGCAGAGCCCTTGAGCCCAGGAGTTAGAGATCAACCTGGGCAAAAAATGCCATCTCTACAAAAAATACAAAAATTAGCCACATATGGTGGTGCATGCCTGTAATCTCAGCTACTCGGGAGGCTGAGGCCAAGGATTGCTTGAGCCTGGGAGGTGGAGGTTGCATTGAGCTGAGATTGCACCATTGCACTCCAGCCTGGATGACAGAGCAAGACCCTGTTTCTAAAAAATAAAAAATATTTAAAAAATAAAGAAATATGAATGTGATCAGCCCATGCCCAGCCATCTTTCTTTTATTTAGAGAGTTTTGCTGGATCAGTGAAATTTTAGCTGAAACCATAGTGCTTACAGCTTATGTTGCAGGCACCCACTGTTCTGGGCCACAGGTCAGTGCTTATATACCTCCCTCCCTTGGGGGATGAAGTCATTCATAGATGCTGTTCGCATTGTTGCTCTTGTGCCAAGCAAGGTACAAGATACACTAGTGTGAGAGGTTGAGCCCATGCCCTGACTTCAGGAAATTTCATCTCAGCCCTTGTTTTGCAATATGGTAGCCACCAGCCACATGTAACTATGGAGCACTTCTAATATGCTTAGTCCAAATGGAGATGTTCAGTAAAGGTAAAATACACACTGGATAATGAGGACCTAGTAGGGGGAAAAAGCATGTATAATATCTCATGAGCAATTGTTTTATATTACATGTTGAAATAATATTTTGGCTATACTAGATTAAATAAAATATATTATTAAAATTAATTTCAGGCCAGGTATGGTGGCTCACACCTGTAATCCCAGCACTTTGGGAGGCCGAGGTAGGCAGATCACCTGAGGTTGGGAGTTCGAGAGCAGCCTGACCAACATGGAGAAACCCTGTCTCTACTAAAAATACAAAATTAGCCAGGTGTGGTGGCGCATGCCTGTAATCCCAGCTACTCGGGAAGCTGAGGCAGGAGAATCCCTTGAACCAGGCAGGCGGAGGTTGCAGTGAGCCGAGGTCGCGCCATTGCACTCCAGCCTGGGCAACAAGAGCAAACTCCATCTCAAATAATAATAATAATAATAATAATTTCATCTGTTTTTTTCTTCTTTAATGAGACTACCAGAAAATTCAAAATTAATAGATGGCTGGCACTATATTACTATTAGACCATACTTGTCTAGAGGGTGAGAAAGATAAGTCCTTGATGGTCGTGAAGCAGTGTGATTACTGTTGGGACGGGGAAGGAGAGGGTGAGCTAGGAGCAGTTTGAAAGGGCCTTAACTGAGCTTTGGCAGCTAGGGAAAGGCTTCCGGGAGGAGATGATATCTACTTCAGATGATGAGTAGGAGTGAAGTGAAGAATGAGATGGTGAGGAGTGTAGGAGGCAGTGGGGCGCAGTGTGTTTGGGGAGCTTTAAGCAGTTCAGCATGGCTGTAGTGGAGTGTGGGGGAAGTGGGGAGAAATAGGCTGGAGGGGTGGGAGGGGCCAGGCCGTGCAGATGGGGGACTCTGTTTCTTTCTGCTGGGGCAAGCTATGACCTCCTTTTCCTGGAAATGGGATTGGAGTTGTTAGAGATGAATGGATATTTGGTTTCCTTTCCACCTGGCCTGGGCAACCGAGTTGGGGAAGAAATGCTCAGCAGTGCTGAGGGTGGGGAAAAGTGTTTAAATTTTTGCCCCTTTTTCCAAGGGTAGAACTGATGAGTTAGAGCAGTTCTTACCAATGAGATGAATTCTATCTTTATGAAAGTTGGAATCTTTGGAATATTCCAAATATATTAATATTTTGAATATCTTAGGTTAAATAAGATATTAAAATTAATTTCAAATTCAAATTAATTTTAAATTAATTTGATTTCATTAAAATCTGGAATATCCAGATTTTAGCCTATTTTATTGACAGAGGAGGTGTGATTTGCAATAACAATGCTCTTAAAAAGGATTACCATCATCATCATCACCATCATCATCTTCATCATCATCATCCTTTTGAAGCAAAAGAATCCAAAAGGAGTAACAGGGATGACATTTAAGGTTCAGAATTCTATAGGGATGGTACAGCCCGGGTCCTAAAGCAAGGATATTGTACTATTTTATCATCTTGTAGGGTGCAATGCATCCAGAAGATAAAGGCCAAAGATTATACATCAGAGAACCACCAGAATCTTTCTGTTCTTGCAGGGAGCATCTTTACTCACATGGCTATAGTCACCGAAATTCCAACCGAGTAATAAACTAAATGCCTGGGTGTGGGATGTTCAGAAGTTTCACTTCTTTGTGTGGTTTGGCTTTGCTCTTAACACACAGGAAAATTGTTAGCATCTGAGAGTTCACTTGTCTGGAAATGGTTAGTTTTCACATTGCCTTCTTTGCCTTGGGGTTTCTCTGGGGGAAGGTGGGAGGGCAGATTTTGTCCAGAGCAGTTTCCCACAGATGAATGTTCTTTGGCCCTGGAAGGCTCACAGCTGCATTACTTCTACCTAAGAAGAGGAGATTCTCCAAGGAAGGGGAAGTTTTTAGACGATTGTTCATTTATTCTTCCCATTTATTGAGCACTTACTATGTGCCAGGGCCTATACTAGTCACTGAGAATAGACAGATGAGTTAAAGGGGAGCCCTTACTCCACTGAGCTAATAATCAGGTCAGAGAGACTAACATAGAATGAAATAAGTTGGCTATGGTGTGGTTCAATGTTTTAGGAAAGTTATGCACAGCAAGCTCTGCAAACCCAAGGGAGGAAGACATTCAAATTCCATGTGGATGGGGGAGAAAGGGCAGGAGAGTCTTCACCTAGGAGGTAACATTTCAGCTGGGCCCTGAAATGTGAGCAGAAGAAGGTAGACACAGTGGGGAAGGCTACCCGAGGTGGTATGAAAGCACAGGGCTTGCTTGGGGAGTTGTGGGCCTGTGCATAAAGTGTTGAGGGATGAGACTGGACAGATAGGGGCTGGAAGAGCTGGGAAGAACCTGGAACGGCATCCCTATGGATGTGGGCTTCTTCCAGGAGACTTTTCAGTTGGCGGGTGACAAGATCCAGTCTGTTTTTGAAAGGACTCCAGCAGAGCTGAAGCCTAAATGGGAGGGGAAGGAATACTCAACAGTCTGGGGCCAGGTGAGCTGGAAAACCACACCTGTCTGCAGTTCCTTCCTCCTCTCTGGAAAATGTCCAGCAAGTCCCTTGGACCACCAGGCAAAGGTGAGCTTCTTAGAGTGGAATAACCTTCTAGCTCCTTAAACAGGTAGCCTATGGGGCACGTGTCATTGGGATTCACAGACAACTTACCCTTTGTCTGCTGATGACAGACTTTCCCTTTGTCCACACTCCATGGTTAGAAAGAGCCTTAGTCACCAAGTTGGATGGTTCATTGCATCCCACCATCCAGCCCACTGGGGCCAAAGTTGCCTGGCCGGGGCTTGGAGAGCCTGGTCCTTTCCTGGTGCCTGTGTCTTTAGGGCTGGCTGGGAGGCTGGACTGTCTCCACTGATGTGATGCTGGCCTTTATAACAACTGCGAAGTGGCAGAAACCTTCGTGAAACGTGAAGTTTCCGTTGGCCGCCTGCCACTGTTCCCACTGCACACTGACGCTCCACCCGAGGCAGGATGCCCTGCCCTGCGGAGTGGTTGGAAGTGATAAATACATTTGTTTTTGAATTAAAACCTTTCCTGGCATGGGGAGGAAATGCATCTGCAGCTGGCCTCGTCTCACTGCTCCCCAAGCCTCCCCAAGCAGGCTGCCATGCCAGCCTGCTCTCTGTGAGCCTGGCTTTTGCACTGGAGGCCTGGGTAATGATTACATTGGCTTACTGGAGCCCAATACTCCAAGGGCAGGGGCACTAGGATGAAAGGCCGTCGAAACAGCTTATCAACATCAAAGCTACCCTAATCACACCGCTCCAGTTATCAAAGCCCAGCCCAACCCTGCTCCTCATGTCCCTTATTATGGCAATATGCTCTGTTTATTTCCACCCTGTGAGTGGCAGGAAGTCAGATGGTCCCCAGATACCCCTCAGGAGGCTGGACACTTACCCAGCTGGTGAAGCAACATTTATTTCACTCTTCATCTGCTTAGCAAAGTTGAGCAATTGGGTGCCTTTTTAAGAGGTTTCTGTGAACTCCAAACCCCAGATGCAGCCATGATAGTAGGAGTGCCGATGGCAGGAGCAGGTGTGCCCAGGGAGATGGATGGGGTGGGTGAAACTAGGGCAGGCCTTCCCTGGCCGCTCCACAGGGCAACTGGCAGCCTGTATTGTGAGCACTCTTGTATGACACATCCATGGACAGGTGTTTGCTAAGCAACCTACATGTGCCAAGTACTATTGTCCATTTTGTGAGCGAGAAACTATAGTTTTAATTTAAGCTGCATTGTATGGTAATAATGAGGAAATTGTTTGGCTAGCCAATTCTGTTTGGTTGATACATACTGGCTAATTTCTGGGGAGACAGAAATTATGATATTAACAATCATTTGCTCTTTATTGTCCCAGCCTGGTAAGATATGTTATCCTTCGATGAAAAACACAACCCAAAAGTTTACCCTTAGTTGTCTGTTTAGGTATCACTTAAAGAGGGCTGAGGGCCATGGATTTGCTGAATTAACAAACAGTATAATATTGCAGTTAAGATAGTTCGGTCTGGAGACACACCAACTGGGTTCAGATCCTCCCAAAGCTGTGTGACTTTGGGCAAGTCACTCCACTTTCTCGAAGCTTGGTTTCTGCATCTGTAAAAGGGAGATACGAATATGACCAACCTCATTAGGTCATTGTGAGAATTAAAAGAAAGCCCAAGAAAAGGTACTGAATGACTATTCAGTAATATTGTTAAGTGCCTACTCTGTGCTAGGAGTAATAGAGGAGAATATAGTCCCTATCTGCAGGTGTTCCAAGTCTAGTGGGAAAAATAGATATTGACACAGGATGCTAAGCATGGAAATACAGGCATGTACAAAATCCCTTCCAACTTGAGTATCTAACTTCATGGAGAAATTGAGGAGGGATTTGCAGAGAAGGCAACCTTTAGCTAAACATTGAAGGGTGGTTAGGAGTTCACCAGATGCAAAAAGATCTGAAAGAAACTTCTGGACAGTGACAACAGCTTTTACAAAGGCAAAGATGCAGGAAAGAGCATGGCCCAATCTGGGAACTATAGGAACTGATAGAAGAGGAAAAATTTTTAAGGATAAAATTGTGATTTTTCATAGAATTATAAATTGTGTATCAAATATTTTATTTAACTCAATTCATGAGAAAACAAGTAAGATGTTAGAAATAGTTCAAAGAAAAATCCAAAGAACGCTCATATATAGGTGATCAGAAATGCTGAACAGAATTTAAAATAGATGCAAAAGTGGTCCATATCTACAGGGCAATAATTTACTGCATCTTGAGGGATGCATTTACACATTTAAGGCCAAAAATCATTTGCATCACTTTCACTAATTTATAACTTCTAGTAATAAAATATAAAATAGCACGGAACAAGGGAAATTGAAGACAGCCTAGTAGGGAGCATTGGACCGGACACCCAGGAATCTTTTCAATTTCACACTTCAAAGTCTTCCACGATTTTTCCTGACAGAGTGGATTCTTTTTATTGGAGAACCAGAGGGCAGGGTGGGGAGGGGATGAGAGGGAATTGAGGCCTGAACTGTGGGTGGGGACCAAATCACAAGGAGCCTCGCTGGCCATGCTGGGGAGTCTGAGTTTTATTCTGCAGCCCACAGTGTGAAGGATGGATGCGGTGGTGCTGAGGCTGGAAGACTGGGCCCAGGGGAGAAGTGAGGAGGTCCTGAACCAAGGTGGCAAGAATAGAGATGGAGGCATGGGGTTGAACTGGGTATGAAGCAAAGGGGATGTCCAGGGTGTCTTAGGTTTCAGGAGGAGAGGTACATGACCAGGTCATTTGAGGGGGCTCTAAGGAAGAGCTTTTCTTTATGTGCACCCCAAGGGTGATGTTTTCTTGGGAGGCCTTCATTGCATTTGTTAGAAATTTGGGAGAAGGAATTTTCTTATAGGTAGCTTTCCTGGAAAAGAATGTACATCTTGATTTTCTCTCTTGGTTTATCTAAATACTCTGATTTCCAAAATATACCAATTTCTATCCCAAATCCATTTGGATCTCTTGATTCAAATAAAGAGATTGGAATGTTTTCTCTAATTGCCCCTGTAAATACACACACACACACACGCACGCATGCACGCACCCACCGTATCCATTCTCCTCCCTTCTCTGTGACTTCCCCAAATGGTATCAGCTGGTTCCCTTGTCCTCTGTCCTGATTGGGTTTGGTGCCTGGAGAGTGGGATGAGAGACAGGTTAGAGTTGTATTTATTTCGCCAGCCTCTGCCTGCTTTGGTGTGGTGCTGGCACAGCTGTGGCGGTCTCTGACGACAGCTGTTGCTGGGCTTCAGGGCTCAAGTAGGCTCCACAACACCTTCTTTTCCATCTCCTCTCAGGCTTAGGGGTATGTTATGGGTGGAATTATGTCCCACCCAAATTCATATGTTGAAGTCCTAACCCCCAGTACCTCAGAATGTGATCTTATATGGAAACAGGGTCGTTGAAGATGTAGTTAGTTAAGATGAGGTCATTCTGGGGCAGGGTGGGCCCCAGTCTTTCCTTATGAGAAATGTTATGTTCCTGGTCTTTATATGCTTATCTGAGTTGTTTTGTATTGGAATTGTTGTTTACATAAACTTGGGAGTATTATTATAGAGAACAGTTTGCATTTTTTTTAGCCCACAACTACTGTAAATGGCAGCAGGCCAGAGCAAGAGATGGTAGTAGAAAACACACACACAACCCTACTGTTGCTTTCCAGGGTGGCAAAACTCTTGCACGTTAATGCCTACAGTCTGGGTGACTTCCTGGGCAAGCTAGGCCCTCATACTTCCATCTCCATATTGGGACCACATCTGTGTAGGGGCCTTCACCTTAAGCGCCAGGAAAAGCAATATTAGATCTAACTAGACACACTTGTCTGTCTCCAGCCTTAGCGTATTAGAAGGGCTTGTTGTATGCTGTGGAGTGTCGCATTCCAACGGCCACTGCAAGTTGAAGACACAAGTATCTCATTATCCCACAGCCCTTTTCTCTCTCCTTCATGCTAGTGTCTGAACAAAGGTTAGACTGTATTCTTTGGCTGGGTTTCCAGATTTCTCCTCTGACCAGTAGAGAATGAAAAGATCTCTTCTTAGCTTAGTAGTCTCATTTATTTTCTCCACTCAGGAAAAGACACATCACCAGTTAATATCAGAGGTGATAAAGTGACACTTGGGCAAGGTCATACAAATGGCAGATGTCCACACTGTTAATTTTCTCAGAGCTGAAATGCCACCATCTGTTCTTTTAAATGTGTGTGGCACTTCGTATTTAAAAGCCTGTTCAACATATCTCATTCTAGAACTTTCTGTCTACAGAATGTTGTGCCAAACAGGTGGGTCTGTGGTGGTAGGAGAATCCTCACAGCAGTACAATACAGCAGTACAATGAAGTTTACAATAGAAATTTCTTCCATATTTGGACTTAAGCCAGCTTTCCCAGCAGTTTTCAAAATAGTTCTAGTCATAAAAACTCTCTCAGCTATCAGAGTAACATTGATCCTGCCCCTGTTTACCAGGCAGCTTTGCCCTGGCCAAGGCATTCCCTGATATATTAATATAAATGTTATAATAACCAGGCAAATACTTTTTATTTTTACTTTTTATTTTTGGCAGATGATTCTGGCTTTCAATTTTGAAGAGTATAATAACACTCCATTTATTTATGTATATTTATTTTTGATAAATAATAAATTAATAAAAAAATATGTATTTATTTTTGAGACACGATCTCACTCTGTCATCCATACTGGAGTACAGTGGCACAGTCCTAGCTCAGTGCAATCTCAAAGCCCTGGGCTCAAGCAGTCTTCCAGTCTCAGCCTCCCAGAAACTGGGGCTCCAAGTATGTGTCACCATGTCCAGCTAATTTTTAAATTATTTTTTGTAGAGATGGGGTTCTCACCACATTGCCCTGGCTGGTCTTGAATTCCTGGGCTCAAGTGACCCTCCTACCTCAGCCTCCCAAAATGCTGGGATTACAGGCATGTGCCACCATGCCTGACCACAAAACTCTTTTTTATTCTGTGTGTGTGTGTGTGTGTGTGTGTGTGTGTGTGTGTGTGACAAAGTCTTATTCTGTCACCCAGGCTGGAGTGCAGTGGTGCAATCATGGCTCACTGCAGCCTTGAACTCCCGGACTCAAGTGATCCTCTTGCCTCAGCCTCCTGAGTAGCTGGGACCACAGGCGCATGCCATCATGCTGGACTAATTTTTTAACTTTTTGTAGAGATGGAGTTTCACCATGTTGCCCAGGCTGGTCTTGAACTCCTGGCCTCAAGCAATCCTCCTGCCTCAGCTTCCCAAAGATCTAGGATAACTGGCATGACTCACTGCATCTGACGCTAAAATTCCTTTTAAAAGGCAGTTGGTGCTATGTCCATTTGACATTTTGAAGATGGAATGACCAAAGTGTAGAAAACCCTGGTCTTTGAAAATGCAAGTGATTCTTCACTCAGCAAATAGATCCAGTCCCTCACAAACAAAAATTTCAGTGCAATCCAAACAAAAGTCAAATAGAAAAGTCAAAAGCATCCCCCTTTGCCCAGCCCTAACAGATCCCGTGTCCTGAGCACATGGCTCAGTTCTCATGGCTGTGGCTCAGCCACACCGGCCAAACCCAGCACCATTGGGGGTCCCTCCCCAGGCCCCATTTGCATGCCAGGGGAGAGACTGGCTTGTTCTGTGAAGACATTGTCTATTCAGGAGCTGAGGCTGTGCCCCTCTTCTGGTGGCTCCTGGATTTACCTCAGCCCAGTCTCGTGTGCACCAGGGGTGGAGGCAGCAGCAGGCTGCACCAGGCTCTTGCACCTTCTTCACATATTTACACAGTGGACTCATTCCTTGTGGCTGCCATGACAAATCACTACAAACTTGGTGGCTTAAAAACAACTGATGTTTCTTCTGTCACAGTTCTGGAGTCCAGATGTCCGAAATCAAGGTATTGGCAGGGTTGGTTCCTTCTGGAGGCTCTGAGGGAGAAAGCACCCCAGGCCTCTCTCCCAGATTCTGGTGTTTGCTGTCACCCCTTGGCCTTCTTTGGCTTGTAGATGCATCACTCTGATCCCTGCTTCTGCCCTCACACAGCCTTCTCCTCCACATGTATCTACAAATTTCCCTCTTATAAGAATACCGGTCACTGGACTAGAACCCACGCTAATCCAGTGTGATCTCAAATTCTCCTGATCACATGTGAAAGACCCCATTTCCAGACAAGGCATATTCACAGCTACCAGGAGTTAGGCTGTCAACATAACTTGCAAGGGGGACACAGTTACACCCAGTACACACATCACAGCCTTTCTAAACAGCCACAGCATTTTAGAATTGAAGAATAATTTCAAACGTGTCCAAGAGTCAAATCCTGCCTCCCCACCCTCCTGGGTTAGGTGCTGATTACATTCAATCTGTTTCCTTATCAGCAGGGTGTGGAGGACAGTAGTGCCTGCCCTGTGAGTTTATGTGAGGATTAGCTGGGGCAATACACATGAAACAGCGCCTGGCACAGAGCAAGCTGCAATGATGTTACATAATCTTCTAACAGTCTCCAGATAGGTGCAGTCAGCCTCACAGAAACCAGTCGGTGCTCCATAGGATCCTTGACAAGAAAAAAATGACTTTCATGCTGGTCTGGAAAACAGAATTAAGCTTTTGGGATCAAGAATAAGTGCTAGTCGGGACCAGGCACAGTGGCTGATGCCTGTAATCCCAGCACTTTGGGAGGCTGAGGCAGGCAGATCATGAGGTCAGGAGATCGAGACCATCCTGGCTAACACGGTGAAACTCCGTCTCTACTAAAAATACAAGAAAAATTAGCTGGGTGTGGTGGCAGGCGCCTGTAGTCCCAGCTAGCACAAAAGAAGCTGCTGGCTGCCCAACCAGTTTGTACTTTCCTTGTTAACAGGACCCCTGAGTAGTCCAAGATGCCTTTGCTAGCAGGGCTGGCTAGTGACATCCAAGCAGTAGGGATGGGGGCTTCCAAGACCACTCTTTAAAGGAAGCCTATTCATCTGACAGGGCCGTTTTACAACCAACCTACCACCACAATCCAGGGGTGTGTGTGTGTGTGTGTGTGTGAGCTTTCATCTAAACACAGGGCGGGTTGGTTAATCTTTGAAATCCCAATTAGGAGCCTATCTTCCAGGGCATGGTGAATACATTTGCAGGGCTCTGCTTGGAGTCCACTCTCCAGACATGGCTGAAGACCACCACTTGAATCTTCACATGGTCTGTTAATTAGCATAAGAGATTTTCATGGACAAAATGTGGGTTGGCTACAGATATTGTAAAGGTAAAGGCACCTCTCGCCCTGCATTAATGTGGTATTAGAATGAGATGGCCAGCTTAACCCCCTTTGCAGCGGTGTTGTGGAAGGGGCCTTAGTTGTGTTCTGTGCCCCAACAGATAGCAGAGGATTCAGTCACTAATGCCACTGGAATTTGAACTGACTCTGCTGCTGGAGCTTATATGTTTTTGTGCCTGCTTATTCATAAATGTTGGTATGTGTGGCAGAATTCTGAATGAAATCTGCCTTCATTTTCACACACCTCACAGTGAGGTCATTGGGGAGGGGAACTGTGGCTTTTATAGACCTCTAGCTATTGAAGATGGCCATTATCTGCCAAAAATGAACCTGACAGATGTGAATAGCCAAATTGACTTAGGTCAGTTGTCAGCAGCCTGGCCACCATGTTTGGATGGGCAACTGTCCCACAGTTGTGATTACTTAGAGCAGAAGGGGATATTGGTCTAAGCAGTGGCAATGGGTTCCTTCTCCTGCCAGTTTGGAATTCAGGCTGAGAAATAGGAGTCTCAGGCACTACTTACTGCTGAAGTGGAGGGAATGTAAGCCCACGAGTGATGAGGAGGACATGTGGGTGGCCAGGGAAGAAAGATGGTCTGCCGAGAGAAAAAGAGGGAGTGCACATGCAGGCAGGGATAGAGACCACGGGGCCCCACCAAGAGGGAGGGTGTGAGGGGCGGGAGTGAGGCTGCAGGGAGCTCCCGTGGCTCCTGCTGGCTTTCTGGTTCTAGGTTTTCAGCTCCTTGGGATCATCTGACTGGTCTTCCTGCCCTGAGGTTCCAGGATACACTCCTCTATCCTACAATAAATGACTCCCTGTTATTGATTAAGTCAGTTGTGCCCATCTGAACTCATTCAGGTGACCCTAATGAAGGCAGCACTAAGATCAGAGAGCAGAGGTCACTTGGGGCCAGTTTTGTCAGGTTTAAAGAAGTAAAGACTCTGAAGGTACACAACATAGTCAGCATCCAAGGTAGAAAACATGCACACCTATGGCTTGCTTCATGGGAGAATAAATTAGTGGAAATATGTTTACTAAAGAGAGTAGTTTTGATTATGTATTATATTAGAGTACATAGTTAAGTCATCTACTATGTAAGGTCCCAGCTTTCTTTTCTCTTGATGTAATTAGCTATTAGGTTTATGTTAAGCCTTATTGCTGTTTTGTTTTGCTTTTTAAATCCATCAGCATTTAAAGAAAAGAAAAAGCTGGGCTATAATGGAGAGAACACGAAAGATTAGGCTGTGTTGAGAACACCAGATTCTTACTAAACACCTACTCTGGGCAGCCTGGTATAGTGGAAAGCACTAATTCTGAGCTGAGAGGCCCACGTCAAGTTTTGGTTTAGTCTCTTCCTCAGAGTTCTCAGGCAAATAATTTCATCTTGTTTGGGCTTTTCTAGATTGTCTGTAAAACAAAGGGGCTGGAGTAGATATACTTTAAGATCTCCTGTAGCTCCTAAGGGCTATGATGTAGGATGTGCTGGGCATTATGCTATATTCAGTGGCCAACAGAAAAATGGGGACAATCCCAGGCCCTCATGGAGGTCAATGTTCAGCAGGTAAAATATGCATACAACCTTATTTAGTTTACAAAGAGGCAAAACACTACAGGAAAACATTTAACTTCCTCCAATAATTGTTGACTTAAAATACAAACTTAAATACCTTTGAAATTGGATGCTGAGAGGTTGATCATCTAAGTAAAGAAAGATCATCTAAAATAAAGGTAAGGCAAGGGCCCAAGAATACCTCCTCTTCACAGTTAGGGACCTTAGTTTTCCTTCTTTCTGTATTCCTAAAAATAAATAACCAGATAGAACTCTTTTACTTCCCCCCACCCCAAATCACCACATTTAACTTTTCAAATGGGAGAATCAGCCATTTAATGGAAAATCTGAATTTCGCATGGAGGATGAAACATAATAAAGGGAGAATTAAATCACAAGGCACCGAACAAGTATCTTCTGCCCCCTTACAGAGACTAGGCCCCTTTTTTGTAGAATTCATTTGAAAAATGGGGTAATGTGTGCCTACCCCACTTGCTTATTATCATGAACATTATCTTTAACACAATAGGCAATTTAATTCTGTTAATGATAATTTAATAATTTACAAAAAAAAATTTAATGCACAGGAGCCCTCCTTTATCCCCAATTTTTACATGAAGAAATGAGGCCCAGGGAGGTGAATCAGTTAACGTAAGGCCACACATTTGGTGCCTGGCAGATCCAAGGTTAGAACCATCCGCCTATATAAGCCCAGAAAATCCAGTGGACTCCATGGACTACAGGCAAGCAGATTTCTGGAGAGCACGTGTGAAATCTACATAGTGGGACAAAGCTTATGATTAAACATGGCAGACCTAAGCTTCTGCCTTCCAAAACCCCAACTAAAAATTCTAGTAGAGGAATAAAAAGGTACTAGTGCACAAAACCAGATACCAACTAAAAATTCTAGTAGAGGAATAAAAGGGTACCAGTGCACAAAACCAGATACCCTGGAAGAGGAGCTACACAGATTTTGAATTGGCTCCATGGTGTAGACAGATGGAAAGCAGGTGGAGGGGTGGTGATTGGTTTAGTCTTCAGAGGGCATTCCAAGGAGGAGTGTGCCATACCCACCCCTTTTCCTCCCAGCAGAACCTCAGAAAGGTTGAGGTTCTGGGGCACCAAGTGCTGCAGGAGGCAGGAAGGAGTTTGGCAACTGAATGCAGGGGGCTGCTTAGAAGTCTGGAATTAGATCCCTAAGTGTTCTCCCCGACTGGGCAACCACACAATTCCTCTCCCTCCCCTTCCTCTGCCACCTGCTTGCATAAGGCTGGAAGTTTTTCTCTAGAGATGTGGAACCAAAAAGGCTATGAACATAGCCACATTAGCACAGAGGAGGGCAGGAGTGAGGTTTGGAGCTGGTACTGGGGGAAAGTGAAAGTCAGCACTGACAATGATTGAATGGAGATGATGACCCCAGCTAGCCCCTGCCTCTTTCGCAGCCAGGCAGGCATCCTCTCCAGCCAGAGAGCAGGGATTCTGTCTGCCATGGGGGAACTGAGCTGCAGACAGAAGACCGACTAAAGTCCATTTGGGGCCCTACTCTGAAAAGGCTGCCTCAGTATTAGGTTTCTGTCAGTGAAATTCACCAGCTCACAAGCCTGCCCACGTGTCTCAAAGCAAACCCATGAATCAGAGTTTTGGATCTTCGTCTTCAATAAGAATGGGCATGCGAGGGCCACCTGATTCTGGAGGAAAGACTTCAACATAAAAGAGATCAAAATCATTCAAATGGGAAAAAATACTTAGGAGAAACAAACAATGAAAGGGAACAGAAGTAACCTTTATAAACATACAAAAACTTATTTGATATTGGTAGGGAGATAAGAGAGGGTGCTGTACCCGTGAATCCAGAACAGGATGCTTTAATTCAGAAATCATCAAAGGACAAGAAAGAAAGGTCTTAAAAGCCCTAAAAAAAAAAACACACACACACACACACACAACAACAACAACAACAAACTCCCAGAAAAATGAACAAATGAACAAAAAAACATGGACAACAGGGAAGACATGATAAGAAAATGAAAGGATTGGTCCTGGAGGGCTAACATTCACCTAAGAGGAATTCCAGAAAGACAAAATAAAGAAAATGAAAGTGAAAGAATGGGCAAAGAAATATTACCAGAATATTTCCTGTGGATTTGAAAAGATCCATGCCAGCTTATACCACTTTGGAATTTCAGAAACCGTGAATGAAGAGAAGACCGTAAACATTTCCCTAGACGGATAAAACAGGTTCTGTTCAGAGGAACAGAAAGTAGAAGGGCACAGGATTTCTCAGTAGCAACCCTGCACACCAGAAGGCAAAGGAAGTAAAATGATAGTGCACTCCTGTCCTCAGCATTGAGCAATTATCTAATAATGGAAACACAGAGGATAGATTTAACCAAAAATTATAATTTATCTATATCGAGAGAATAGAGGGAGGCAAAATATGGAGGAAAGTGTAAGAAAGAGTCTCCTAGCCTAATGGGAAGCTTATTGATGTCCCTACTGGATAACTCAATAGCAGCACAAGCATTTTATTTAGAAATTTGAAGGAGAATATAAGAAACAGCTGAAAGGGGACAGGTCAGGGGAGGAAAGCAGGAGACTGGCTTTGTCTGTTCCATGATAAGACTTGGACTTTCTAAATCACTTGCATGGACTACATGATAAGATCCCTGTAAGGACTTTGAAGAAAAGATTCCTTTTTTAAATTCCCTGATCTGATTGCTTCGACTTCTTGGAGGACGCAGACTGACCCTCGCTGTCTTACAACCTCTTCATTAATAGGGGATCTGGGTTCCCCTCTCTTGGGGGTATAGGACTTGTCTCTTGGAACAATGAGAAAAATAAGACTCCGCTGGGGCTTTATGCCTACGCTTACACAGGCAGATAAAATACATGAACTTTGTTCATTGTTCTCATGGGGATATTTACAGAGTTCTTTTCCCTCTTGCTGTTTATCTTTTGGCTGGGGTTCTAAGCGGAATGGACTCAGGTGGTGAGTAACGGCTGAATCTCATTGTTCCCCTCCCTTGGTGACACACCCTGAGCCTGTAACCCAGCAGCAGCTTTCGTGCCATGTCTACTGTCCCGTGGAGTAAAGCTAGTCTTGCCTTTGATGTCCTACTGGTTGTAAGGATTTTTTTTCTTTTTTTCTTTCTTTCTTTCTTTTTTTTTTTTTTTTTTTTTGAGACAGAGTCTCGCTCTGTTGCCCAGGCTGGAGTGCAGTGGTGCAATCTCGACTCACTGCAACCTCTGCTTCCTGGGTTCAAGCGATTCTCCTGCCTCAGCCTCCTGAGTAGCTGGGATTACAGGTACACGCCACCAAGCCCAGCTAATTTTTGTATTTTTAGTAGAGATGGGGTTTTACCATGTTGGTCGGGCTGATCTCGAACTCCTGACCTCGTGATCCACCCACCTCTGCCTCCCAGAGTGCTGAGATTACAGGCGTGAGCTAGTGCGCCTGGCTGATTTTTTTTTTCTTGACATTAACATGAACGTGGGTTTGTAAAAATCAATGCGGGACAAATATATTATGAAGAATGAGAGCTTAGGAGTTAAATGTAATGGAAATAAATCCTTGGAAAAGTTGGAGTGAATGAGTGGGGGAAGCTAGGTTAGGCAATGAACTACTGTGGTTCTCTACTGCTGTTTTGTTTTGGTTTGTGTTTTGGATTCTAAGCTATGAGAATCTTCCAATTTAGATTTTAATAGACCTCTTAGAAGTGCTATAGCTCAAGGAAAAGAAGGATATATTCTGCCGATTCTATCTCTTTGGAGTTTGTGTTCTCAAACCTACAAGCAGTGTCTCCTTCCTGTAAATCACAAATTCCTGCAATGCCTCATAAAAGGGTCATCTTCCTTGGACCTTTTATCTGGTGGGAGCTGTGTGCACCACTGAAGGGGAGGAAAGGAGGATGCTGCCAACAGTGATCAGTGACCTTCGGGAGAAGCAGAGGCCACGGACCTCCCAGCAAAGGAGTGGCCCTCTGCCAGGACACAGGGCTCCCTGCCTTCTGCCTCGGCTTCCTTCTCCTCCCCTTGGTGCTTCCTTTCTTTTCCCATTAGGGCTTGAAGTCCATTTTCACCTGATTAAGGGAAGGAGCCCTCACAGACTGCACCTCCCAGGAATGGCCTAGGCTCCACTCCATGAGCTCCCTCCCTCTCCCTCCTCTGCCACCACCTCCTCCTCCTCCTCCTCCTCCTCCTCCTCCTGCTCTTCCTCCTGCTCCTTCTCCTCTTTTTCCTCCTCCTTTTCTCTCTCTCTCTCTCCCCCTCCCTCCCCCTCCTTTTTATAAGATCTAATAAATACATTTTTCAGTTAACTGCTGAATCCTTTAAGGAAAATAGATGTGTACCTCTATAGTTTTGTTGAGACTAGGGGAGATGGGGAATTTATATTTCCTCAACATGTTTTATTTACAATCCTCCTGGTGCTTGAGAAGAAAAACACATGAAGACTGCCCTTGGATAAGATCTGTGCTGAGTTTAATCAAGTGCACTCCAGTCTAGCTCAGCCTTAAACCAGAGTGTGTGGGAGCAGAACTTGCGGTGAAAGCCACATTTGATTAAGAACACTCATTAACATTTGAAAAGCAAATCCGTGTCTCCACTGGGCTTCTACATGTCTGATTTCAAGAAGCTTATCCAGGCCCTGACTTTCTCTTCCAGAAGACCCCTCTCATGACTGTTTCTGCATCTGCCAACAAAATTAATCGCCCTCATCTCTTGCACACTGACAGTCTAGAAGATTCTAGAAGATGCTGGGTTTTTTTTGGTGTTTACCACAAACAAAAGGCCAATGCTTTCAGCAGCTGCCCAGCCAGAGGGGTTTCGGAGTAAGTTTCAACAAATCCAAGTTGAATTACAGGCCACCTTCTCTCTCTGGGGCTGCCCAGTCTTCTTATCAGTAACCTCAGCTTCTGAGGCCAAGTAGGGTATTTTACTTGTCAAAGTAAGTTTGCTTCCTTAAGAAAAAAGGAGAAACAACGCACCACTTTCTTACCTGATGGGAAAATAAATCTTCAGTTTGCAGTTTGGGGAAAATGGTATGGTATTTACATCTTACAGAGTTTTATGTTGCATTTACAGTATTGCTTACAGAATGCAAAAATTTTCTTGTTTCTTACTTAATGCAAAGAAACCAAGGACAAGAGAAGTTCCGTCCCATTCAGTTCATACAATAGTATTTCTTAAACATAACTGGCATCAGGATTACCTGGGATGCCCAGGCATCCTGATTCCATAGGACCCCATTTAGAGAAACACTGACCCTTGTAAGTGTCACAAAATTGGAAACGGCCTTGAAGCTCCTGGGTCCCACCCTTCATTCTACAGAGGGAAGACTAGTCCAGAAACCTGAAGAGGTTCTCCCAGGCTCCTATATCCCACACAACTCCTGCTGCTCACCAGAAGCAGAATCAGGCCCAGATTTTGGTCCTGGGCCCTCTAGGTGTCCTGCCCTGCCCAGCAGCCCTGGCTGTTCTGCAACCTCATTTATTTCCTGCTCTCTTCCTCTCGCCCCTGCCCCACAGTTGCTTCCTCCTCCCTGGTCCCTGTTCTTAGTCTAACCAGAACCCTTAACTTGGGTCTTTCCTTTTCTCTGATCTCCTGGCCCTGCCCATCTTACCATCCTTTCTTATGTTCTACAAATTTGCATGGCATTGAAGTGATGAGAGCCCTCTTTCTTCTACCTGGTGAACTCCTACTCATTCTCAAAACCGAACTCAACTTTTATTTTCTTTACATTTTTTTGAGACACTGTCAAACTCAGTTAATTTGTCCCCTCTCCTAAAATTTTATATGAAAATGGTATTTATCTAGACAGCACTGTATTTAATTAATTTTTGTTTGGCTTCTAGTGGCTTCTCCACTAGAGCATGAGCTCTTTGAAGGCAGGCACCCTACCCTAATAGATCACTCTATCGTTGTATTCCTCCATGACTAGCTATTCTGGTTAAGTATTGTTGTAGGGGGAAGAAAAACTCAAAACTTTAGTGTCCTAAAACAAAAAATATCATTTAATTGGTACATGAATCTACAATGTGGGCAGGGCTCAGCAGGGATGGCTCATCTGTGCTCCATGCAGTGTCAGCTGGGGCAGCTCCAATGGGGCTGAAGTATCTGCTTTCAAAATGTCTTACCCACCTGGCTGGCAAGTTTTTGCAAATTGTCAGTTTCTCTCTGTATGGGTTTCTTCACAGGGCAGCTTGGGCTTCCTCATACGATGGTGTCTGGGTTCTAAAAGTAAGAATCCCTGGAGAAAAGGCCAAATGTCTCAAACCTTTGCAGCACCAGAAAGAGCAGTAGCTCCTGAGGGATTCTAGATTAGATTTCTTGAATTTTCTCTTTTAGATAGTTATTTATTGTTTTCTCAATTGTTTTGGATATATGAAAGTTTTCATACAATTGGGAAAGAAATGGATTCAGAGAATCCCAAGATACATTCCCTTCTTATTCTGAGACACCAGTGTGTAGGCCCTAGGGATGAAAGGAAGACTTACTTTTAACAGTATTCCCTTTTGTACACTTCAGGTTTAGCACCATGTACAAATCATATACAAGTATCTATTTTTTTTATTATACTTTAAGTTCTAGGGTACGTGTGCACAACGTGCAGGTTTGTTATATATGTATACGTGTACCATGTTGGTGTGCTGCACCCGTTAACTTGTCATTTAGCATTAGATATATCTCCTAATGCTATCCCTCCCCCCTCCCCCCACCCCACAACAGGCCCCGGTGTGTGATGTTCTCCTTCCTGTGTCCATGTGTTCTCATTATTCAGTTCCCACCTATGAGTGAGAACATGTGGTGTTTGGTTTTTTTGTCCTTGCGATAGTTTGCTGAGAATGATGGTTTCCAGCTTCATCCATATCCCTACAAAGGACATGAACTGTGGCATAAGTATCTATTTTTTAAGTGTTTAAATTAGAAAATGAAATTTAAATAAAAATTGTACATAATGGGCATGATGGCTGCAACTTTCAAATGTTTCAGAAAGAATAGTAAATGTGTATGAAGATTATGTACCTATGTATACATATACACATACACAGAGAAAGAGAACGAGGCTGGTTGCAGTGGCTCATGACTGTAATCCCAACACTTTGGAATGCTGAAGCAGGTGGATTGCTTGAGCTCAGGAGTTGGAGACCAGCCTGGACAACATGGTGAAATGCCACCTTTACAAAAAGTATAAAAAATTAGCCAAGTGTGGTGGCGCATACCTGTAGTCCCAGCTACTCGGGGGGCTGAGGGCAGAAGGATCACTTGAGCCCAGGAGGTGAAGGCTGCATCGAGCTGAGACTGCACTACTGCACTCCAGCCTGGGTGACAAAGTGAGACCCTGTCTCAAAAAAAAAAAAAAGAAAAGAAAAAGAAATGAGAAAGCAAGTGGGCAAAATGTTAACGGTAGGTGAATCTGGGGAAAGGGTGCACATGTGTAGTTAGTGCTATTATTCTTTGTGCTTGCAAGTTTTCTGTAAGTTTGACATTTTCCAATAAAAAGTTTTCAAAAATCACGATAAAATGAAAGTGGGCCACAGCTGCTGGGCTACCAGCATAATGGCTTGTTTTGGGGAAGGAAGAGTGTTCTGAGCCATTCTCTTTGTTACTTGCTTGATACAAATTTAGGTTTTCATTCACAGACCCTTTTAAAATCATTTCCTGGAGCAAATTCTTTGATGAGTTTAACAATAACAATAATTAGAGAGAAAATCATGGTTAATGCAATAATTATCTCAAAATTGGCAGCATCAAGTTTAGCAGGTGACATCATGAACAGTTCTGTGAACTTTGAATGTGTTGAACTTTGTCTCCTTGGTTTTTAAATGGCAAATTCCTTAAGAGAGGAAAGGAAACTTACATTTACTTAGCATTTCCTAAGACAGGCACTGTGCAAAGGGTTCTAAGTAGATTATCTCATTTATTGCTCTCAAAACCCCATCAGACAGATGTTACCATTCCCGGTTTTACAATTCAGGAAATGGAGACTCATGCAGTGGTTGTCTCAATGCTGATGCTCTTGGCTGCAAGTAAGAAACTTCCATTTGACTAACTCAAACAGCAAGGGTGTTCATTATCTCACATGACACAAGTCTGGGAGCAAGAAGAAAGGATTGAGTACATGCCAGGGATTCTGCTAGCCCCAGCAATATGAAGATGAGTAAGACCTAGCTCCTGCTCATGGGGAACTCACATAGGGATAGAAAGGTAGGCAGATCCACAGTCTGTGGATTTGTTCATAGTTCACCATTAGCTGGTAGTCTATCTTTATTTTAATAGGCACATGTGATTCTTATTAAATGAACACATGGCTTACAGACAGCTATTAAATAAGTCATTGCTTTTTAAGAGAAATATTTATTTGTGCTTCAAACCAATGATGTATTTTTTCATCAAGATTAATAATATTTCTGTATATCTACATATGACTTTATTGGCTTGCATTTTGCATAATCTTACATCATCTTGCTTTTTTGGCCTTATTTGCAAACAGGGCAATTTTCTGGTCGTAAGAATCATGTTCGTGTTAGATCAAAAAAACAGTTTGAGTCATTTTAACACTTTTATTATGAGAAATATTTTTAAAATAAGTATTTCATCTATTTTATTGCAGATAATTCTTTCCTTTGCACAAAAACTGTTATTAGTCTCATGAAAAATAGATGTGTTTAGAACTAGCGCCATGATACATCACTGACATTCTTCAAAAGTTCACATCTGATATCCCATTCAAATTCTTGGTTTTTTTTCTCATAGTTTTCTACAAGCCTCTCTTTATTAGACTCCAGCTTTTGTTGTTTCCTACTTTTTCTTACACTTGTGTTGTAGAAAGCACATTGGATTAGCAACCAGGAGACTTTAATACTAGTTTTAGTTTAGTACAATTTGTTCTGCAGTTTGGCCTCAGCTTAATAAAACAAGACATTTGACCTGGGTCAGAGATGAAAAAAAAATTTTTTTCCTCCCTGCAGCTCTAACTCTGATAGGTAGTAACTGCCTGAATGACTTGTTTGCATTTCCAGGATAAATCCTATTTGGTCATAATGCATTGTCCTTCTTATATGTTATTGGATTCAATTTGCTAAAATTTTGTTCAGAATTCTTGAGTCTTATTTATGAAGAATATGGGTCTGTAGTTTTCTTGCAGTGTCTTTTTCTGGATTCTGTTATTGTACTAATTCTGGCCTCATGCAGTATTGGAAAGTATTCCTTTCTCTTTACTTTTCTGGGAGAGTTTGTGTAGAATTGGTATTGTTTTTTTCTTAAATGTTTGGTAAAATCCCCAAGTGAAGGAATTTGAGTCTGGAGCTTTCTTTGTGGGAAGATTTTAAACTACAAATTCAATTTATTTAACAGGGCTATTTAGGTTATCTGTTTCTTCTTGAGTAAGCTTTTTTAAGTGGGACTAGGGCAGTATTTGGTCTATGGTTAATGTCACCCAGTGCCAAGTGAAGGCCCTTTTGAGTAGTCTACCTGATACCCTGTGAGTTATGAGGTCTGGCTAGTGAGAACAGGCATTGTTCCCAGCCCTAGGTGAGCTCCCTGTACTCCTTATTCCTTAATTATTTCAGGTAATTCTTTCCTACTGTCAGGCAGTTTCTTCTCATTTATATCGAACAAATAGTCAACTGAATATTTAGGGGGATCCTCTGCAGATTTCCAGAGTCCTCTCTGCAGCTCTCTCCTCTCTGGTATTCCACCCTGTGAGCTCTAGCTACCTCGGCCTCCCCAGTTTCCTCTACTCAGAGAGACAGCTGACTCCATCTGGGTTTCTCCTCCTTGCACTGTGGCCTGGAAACTCTCTCAATGCAGTAAGCTGGGAAAATCTTAGGGCTCACCTCATCTGTTATCCCATCTTTCAGGGATCACTGCCTTTCATTGCCTGATGTCCAATGTCTTGAGAACTGTTGTTTCATATATTTTGTCTGATTTTTTCGTTGTTTGGAGTAGAAGAATAAGTTCGGTTTCTGATCCTCCATCTTGGTCTATAATGGATGTCTCCAGATTGGATAATTTTTACAAGTTCATTTAAAATTGTGATTCCAGACCTCCAAAATCACCTTCTTTGGGTGATTTTTAGATAGACTTTGGTTACTTAAATTCTGTTTTTAATTTTGTGTTTGACAGTTTCTTCATTCTAATATCTGCTGTCCTATAGATAGGTTTTGGCATTCTGCTTGCTTCAGAAAAATCCAAAGCACTTCCACCTGTCTCTGTGTGTCCCCTGGCATGGAGGAGGGCAGACATCCACCATGTTCCACAGGTGACCCTTCTGAGGCGAGAGGAGTATGTGATTTGTTCAAGGTAGAATATTTCAGTAGTAGCAGAATTCTAGAAATTGATTAAGGTACTTGACCCTTGGGTCAGAGAACTGAGCCGCCCTCTTTCTGCATAAAGTCACCTTTTGGGTACCCAGGACATTTTAATCTTGTTGGCATTCAGTCTGCAAATAAAGCTGACTCATAAGTATATCCATTAAACACATTTTAAAAAGAATACTTGGAAGTTTCCTATCCTGCTGATGTCTAAAATTTCAAAATCAACTAGTCATTTATTTGGGTAAAGCAATCCTCTTCTAAGCATTTCTTCCATAATCCAGTTGCATCTCAGGGAAATAATGTAAGTTAACATTCTATTTTAATTAACTACTTAGATTTTTTTTTCTCCTACAATAACAGGAACAGGTGAAAACCCTCATGTCAGTAAGCAGGGTATAAAAGGTGGGGAAAAGTGTCCGGAGATGGCTTTACCTGTGAGTCAGCTTTATTTGCACACTGAATGCCAACAAGATTAAAATGTCCTGGGCACTGAAAAGATGACTTTTTGCAGAAAGAGAGTGGCTCAGCTCTCTGACCCAAGGAGTAAATCACCTTAATCAATTTCTGGAATTCTGTTGTTACTGAAATGTTCTACTTGCACAAATCACATACTTCTCTGGCCTCAAAAGGGTCATCTATGAATCAGGGTGGATGTCTGCCATCCTCCGTGCCAGAGGACACACAGAGACAGGTGGAAGTGCTTTGGATTCTTCAGAAGCAAGATGCAGACACAAAATATGTGTAGGATGCATTGTCAGCTTTTTGCTCATGATTGGAACAAGGCTGCAGACTTAATTATCAAGTTTCATCCCTCTGTCAATGGATGAAGAGTCATCTTGGGGACAAGAACAAGATCTCATTTAGTTATCTAGGTATTTTAGATGACACTTGGTTTTTTAAGGAAGGGATGATTTTTGCATTCCTGTGGACTTCTTTCTGAAGTCAAGCTGAAATGAAGTCTCAGAATCCTCATGTCATTTTGTTTTCTAAACAAGTAAAGTGGAGGTCAATGGCTCCAGGGACCTTTGCCGCACAAAAAGAAACACCCGGCCAGGTGCAGGGGCTCACGCCTGTAATCCAAGCACTTTGGGAGACCGAGGCAGGTGGATCATCTGAGGCCAGGAGTTCGAGACCAGCTTGGCCAACATGGTGAAACCCTGTCTTTACTAAAAATACAAAAATTAGCTGGGCGTGGTGGCAGGTGCCTGTAATCCCAGCTACTCAGGAGGCTGAGGCAGGAGAATCGCTTGAACCTGGGTGGCGGAGGTTGCAATGAGCCGAGATGGTGCCATTCTACTCCAGCCTAGGCAACAAGAGTGAAACTCTGTCTTAAAAAATAAATAAATAAAAATAAAACAAATTTTAAAAAACACCCCATATTTGTGCTCCCAAAGTGGTCACTAAACTTTGAAATCCATCTCACAGGGTTTGGTGGGGTGGGAGTGGGGGGGAACTAAAATTCCATATGGAAAGGAGGTGGAAGGTGGTCCATGAGTCTCTGGTTTTAGGTATCCTTCATGGGCAATTATCCTGTCTACTATTGGGGCTTGATGAGGTAAGGTGAAGTCAGGGCAGAAGAAATGGACCCCTGCCTCCAAGAAATAATCTTAGTCATTAAGTTAGCATTTTCACAATCTTTTACCTTTTTTTGACAGAGATCTAGAAGACAAGACCCAGAGGACACAGGGAGCACAATTATTCCATACTGTAAGGCATAATTGAGTCAGACTCACATTGATGTACATCACTTTCGCTGGGGCACTTTTGTAAAACATCAGATTTCCAGCCACTACTCCAAGAGATTCTAATTCAGAAAGGCTGGGAGAGGGCCCTCAGTCTTCATTTTTAACAAAGACCCAGTGTTTCTGATGTCTACCTCACTTTTAGAAAGATTGACATAGGTCTTTTAAGCTACAGTCAGTGACTCTACTGGATGGTCCAAGTGTTTCCTAGGAGAGAAGCTTTTCAGGAAATGGGAGAACTGTAATCATTGAGGCACAAAAGAATAACTGAGGCTGGGCACAGTGGCTCACACCTTTAATCCCAGCACTTTGGGAGGCCAAGGCAGGCAGATCAGGAATTCGAGACCAGCCTGGCCAACGTGGTGAAACCCTGTTTCTACTAAAAATACAAAAATTAGCCAGGCGTGATGGCTCATGCCTGTAATCCCAGCTACTCTAGAGGCTGAGGCATGAAAATCACTCGAACCCTGAAGGCAGAGGTTGCAGTGAGCCGAGATCATGCCACTACACTCTAGCCTGGGCAACAGAGAGAGACTCTGTCTCAAAAAAATAATAATAAAATAAAAAGAATAACTGAAAAGATCCACTGGCAGGCAAACATGGAAGGTGATTCTGTAAAGAGAAGAGGGTGCTGGGACTCTCTGACGACCACAGCTTCCTCTTCTCCTGTGGTCCCTTGTCCTCAAGACTCAGGCGTGGGCCACTCCAGGCTCTGGGTGACACAGACAATGTTAAGATGGTGCAGGTGTCACAGAGAATCAGAATACCCTCTGTCTCAGTAGGAGGACTTGGAACTTGATCACGTTTATCCGCCAAACAAAAACAAGACCTGTGACTGAAGTCACCAGCGGCCAAACTTGTACAGCTGTCCCACAAAGAGAGGTGGCAGCAAGGGCAGCCAGAAAGTCATGGGAGAGCCCTGCCTGTGGATAATGAGCCAGGGTGAGGTCTGAGCTTGGCAACCTTTCTGCTGGGCACTCGTGAAGCCTGTTGGCAAAACCTCGTGTGCTGGAGCTGGGAGCTGGGCCAGGCTGGCCTGTTCTATTAGATTGGGAAACAAAGAAAAATCTAGCCAAGGCTAGAAGGTCTTACTTTGGCCTAGGGTCATTTTTTGGCGACCACACTAGGCCTTGGTTTCATATGGACACGGAGGGAGCTGTATTAGAAGGGAGCTCCCTGAGGGTCCTCCATGCCTTCTTGTTCTGCGATTGAATGAAATAAACAGGACAAAGTCCTTGGTGAACTGGAAGCTGCTCCTTATGTGCATATTTTTGGGTCCCCAACGTGATCTCAGGGCACCTTGCTATTCAATAGGCATCATACACTTCTTTGGACATGTGTTGGGAGGCAATGAGGGCAACCCTCAGAACATGCGGTAGCGTGAGTGGTGCGGTGTGTGAGTCTATGTGTGTCTCTGAATGTGTGTGTGATTGTGTGTGTTTCTAACCTAGTTTTGCTCATGAGGAGCTGCCAACAGGAAGAAGGAAGGATTATTTTGCCACAAGGAGAGCTTGAGTTATACAAAGAAATCCCTTTTTAATGCAGTTGCTGGATTTTGTTTCCAGGAATACAGGGCCTTACCCAGGCTTTGTAGCTCCTGCTCTAGTTCCTGCCACCCCCACCCCTGCTCACACACTCTTGTCACCCAGACAATTGGCCCTTGTCCCCTCAACAATTTTATTCATATGGATCCTCAAACAGGTTCCTTTCTCATGGCTCTTCCATGAAAATCTCTGAACCACACTTGAGACCCTCATCGGCCAGGAAGCCACTCAGGGCCTCTCTGGCTTCTCTTGCAGGCTCTGTTTGTTTCCGCATCATCTGAGGTGCAATGGTAAACTCTTCCCAAAGCAGTCTTGCCTCTTCTAGTGACTATTTGCTCAGGCTGCCGTCTCTTTTGCTTGCTGCTATCAAGAAGGGCCTTTAAAAATACTTTCTCCCAGGAAAGATGTGTCAGGCTGAGCCTGGCATCAGTGGAGTGGCTGTGGACTTTCTGGGGAGATGAGGTAGAGTGAGGAAGGGGAGAGGCGATGCTACTCAGGCCTTGTAAGGACCAGAGAGCAGAGAGGAGCAGAGCCTGAGGCAGAACAAGGGTAATGGATGGGCTTTGCAGGTCTGGGCAAATCAGTTTAATGTTGCTGTGGGTTTGTACTATCATCAGAGGTGTTATGAAGTCCAGCAATTTAAACATACTTGTTTTACGCTATCTTCCATAGCCAGAAATGGCTTATGGATTATTGACTGTTTTTGATTATCTACATCTGTTTTTATATGAACCGGGGCATGTTTATGCTCAGGTCCTCATCAAGACTATTTGGGATGTAACAGCAAATGTACCTGAGCCAGGGGAAGAAGAAAGGGGGAATGTCTCATAGGATACAAGGCTGTGTCACGATGGTAGGAATGTTGCCGAGGCCCCACAGGAGTCCAGAACCAGAAAGGACAGAGCATCCGTGGGCAGGGCAGCCATCTTCTCAGTCTCTGTGGATAGGGACACACGGGGTCTGGTGACTCTGTCTCTTGTTCTATTTGTCCTCCTTTTTCTTCAGAGATATAGATGGCCTACATTGCCTGGGTTTACAGGTGCTCTGAATCACAATTCGATTCTCAGGAGAGAGAATTTGGCTCAGCTTGGTTAGGTGTCCACTCCTGGTCCAACTGTCTCTGACAGAGCGGGGAATAGGTGATGATGTGTAAATATGGCCACTGGATGCCATAGCTGTGGGAGGAGGTAGTTCTCAGAGAAAGCAGGTCACTGTGGGCTGGAGAGATATCCCAGATGTGTCTATTATAGCTGTTCAAAAATACATGTAACCTCTGCATGCCTTTTTCTTTCTCTCTTAATACCCACATTAATAATTTGTTCAGTTGGTTTCTCCTCCATGCTGAAAGTTCCTGGAGGCCAGGGATTTGGTCTGTCCAGTGCTAGAAGCCAGCAGGTTGACTTATACAATGTTCTGCATCTTATGAGAGTTTGCAATAGAGAATATAAGCAGGATATTTAACATCTTTTCAAACTTATGCTTCACCAAGATTAGACACATCTTGTTCTGTTCTAAAATTTAGAATCGGTAGAATTTTAAAAGACTTGTGATTCACACAAGGATGAGACTTGTTCCTAGTCCAAAATTACAATAATATTGTAAGAGGCTTTCTCTGATACTAATCTAGGGGAAAAGGGCAGCTGTTACTAGTAAGAATGTTATGAGTTTCCCCATCTGGTGGCCAGGTTCAAGGACTTCACATAACGACCTGTACCTGGAGAAATTAAGTAATAAAGAAACTAGGAGACATGCTTTTGCGGGAATTGTTGGCAGAGCTGAGACACAAATGAGATCCTCTGCTCAGATCTTGTGCTCTGGCCCCTCGTGGGTATCAGTGCAGACAAGATTGTGTTGTGGGATGTTCCTCATAGACACAATGCCCTCATAGGCAAGAAAATCAACTTTGGGGCTGCTTGCTCTTGCAAACTGTGTGACCTTTCTAATACAATACAACCCCCAGGCAAAGAGAGTTCCATTTTAGAAAAAAGACCAAATTATCGCAGCAAGCAATATTATATCACTAAAGTTGACCAAAGTTATTTGACCTTAAATATTTGTTCCCTGTAACCACTTAAAGGAGCAAGATACTATAGAGGAATGAGTTAAGCTCCATATAGCTGAGAATACACTGATAAAGTTGTTGATGGCTTTTTTTTTTTTTGTCATTGGGTGGTTCTCTTGCAAAAGTTGTTGATGGCTATATATATATATATATATATATATATATATATATATATATATTTTGTCATTGGGTGGTCATCTTGCAGGTTGCTTCTGTCAAAAACCTTTGTGTTAAATTCTAATATTTGAGTTGTAGGCTTGGCTTATTGACCCTGTTCAAGAGAATAAATGCATATCAGTTCCACAGAAGGCAAATTTAGATTCAGACAGCCTTAGGTCAGATCACAGCCCCTGAACATAACTGTGTATAGCAAAAGGCTGATATCAAGCTCTGTGCTGATAAGGCAGGTATCTGTCTTGTCCCTAGCACTACTCCTGCATCTGGAACCCCTAGCACACTAACCCAAGGATATGCTGACATGTCTCACTCACTCCACTATCCAGCTCACCTAAGTGACCTCAGAGGTGTGTGCTGATCCTGGAGATGAGTCGTCGTCCCTGTCCCCCGCCTGTCCTGGAGGCACGCTGGAAAGCCACAAATAGGCCTTCGTAGCAGCAAGAGGCAGCAGAACAGCACCACTGCAATGTTGTCATCACTCTTGGTGTCTCAAGCTCCTTCCATACTCAGCCCCTCTCTTCAGGTTTGGGTCCTTCAAGCTGATTCTCAAGTGTGTCCCCAGTGATAAGAGCCAGAGGTGCTGCTGTCTTCATTGCAGCAATTTTAAGGCAAGTCAAGAGTGATTCAGGTTCTTTCTGTTGATAGAAGGTTGTGAGGAAGAGGTATGGCAGGCACTGTGAGGGGCTGACCTTGAGGGTATCTGGAGTAGGAATGTTGTATACAGCTTGTGTGCTCAGGAGCAGGCAAAGGGAAGATAAACAGAGATGAAGGTGTAGTTGGTCAGGGCACAGTGATCCTCCCTAACGACCTCCATCTCTTTAAACCCTATCATCAGCATCTTGAGGCAGGGAAGGGCTTGAAATGTCATACAGTCCAGTAACCTACCCGATACTGGTATGCTATCTATTCCATACCTGTAGTGGAATACTTCCAGGGGTGGGCAACTCAATAACTTCCATAGCAGTCTGTCTCTGGAGACGATAGCTAGAAAGTGCTACATGTCCAAAAGTAGGGGAATGGTTGAATGTGTAATGTCCATGTGGGATATTATGCAGCTGCTGAAAATAATATCTTCAAGGAATTTGAAAATGATATGTAAAGATACTATAAATGCTAAGTGAGAAAACCAGGAACTAAAACTATTTATAATACATAATTCCACATTTGTGAAAATTTGTGTATGGGTATATGTGCTTATAGAAACATATGTATATTTGCATTAGAAAGACTAAGCCAGGCTGGATGTGGTGGCTCATGCCCGTAATCCCAGCATTTTGGGAGGATGAGGCAGGAGGATCATTTGAGACCAGGAGTTGAAGACCAGCCTGGGCAAAAAAGCAAGACCCCACATTTACAAAAAATTAAAAAATTGGCCAGGCATCATGGCACGTGGCATTGGGAGGCTGAGGTGGGAGGATCACTGGAGCCCAAGAGTCTGAGGCTGCAGTGAGCTTTGGTCATGCCATTGCATTCCAGCCTGGGCAACACAGTGAGATCCTGTCTCAAAAAAAAAAAAAAAAGACTAAGCTAATCTGTGGGTTGAATCACAGGTAACTTTGTTGTGGTAGACACTGTTGGGGGCAACTGAAAAGCCATCTCCTTATCCTTGCTAATCTTCTATTGTATAGGCTGGAAAAGCAGATAGTTTTTTTCTAGCCTCTCTTGCAGCCAGAACTGGCCATATAACCCAGTGTGGCCAATGAAATATACAAGGACATCTGAGAAATTATTTTCTTTTCTTTTTTTCTTTTGAGACAGGATCCCATTGTTGCCCAGGCTGGAGTGCACTGGCCCAATCACAGCTTACTGCAACCTTGAAGTGTTAGACTCAAGTAATCCTTCCACCTTAGCCTCCCCGGTAGCTGGGACTACAGGCGCTCGCCACCACACTTGGTTAATTTTTGTATTGTGTGTAGAGACAAGTTTCTGCCATGTTGCCCAGGCTGGTCTTGAACTCCTGGGCTCAGGTGATCCACCCACCCTGGGCTCCCAAAGGGATAGGATTACAGGCATGAGCTGCTGCTTTGCCTGGCCCAGTTATTTTCTTTTCTGACAAAATGATAGCACCATTAAGGAAAAGGTCCTCTTTGCTACCTTGGCTACCCTCTCGCTGTCACCCTCCTCCCTCACTTTGAGTGCAGACTTGTGCTGTTAGAACTTCAGCAGCCATCTTGTGACCATGAGGCCACAGACAGAAGGATGAGGCCAACACTGAGGATGGTGGAGAAGAAGGTTGGAGAGCCTTAACCACAGGTTACTTCTAGGCTTCTTTTTAAGTGGCAAAAATTTTTCTTTGGTTAAGTCATTATTAATCAGGTTTTCTGTTACTTACAGTTAAATCAATACTAATGGGCACATCGGGTTTCTTCATTATACATTACTCCAATTTCTCCCTGAAGTATCCACTCACTGTCCTGAGTTCACTCCTCAGAGCCAGACATGACAAGCCCAGTCTTTCTCCATGCAGGAGAATTGTAGATGTTTATAGAGAATTCTTGAGTCACTCTGAAGCTTATTGATATGGTTTGGATGTTTGTCCCCTCCAAATCTCATGTTGACATGTGATCCCGAATGTTGGAGGTCATGGTGGAGCCTGGTGGGAGGTATTTGCTTCATGGGGGCGGATCCCTCATGAACAGCTTGGTGTGCCCTCCCAGTGGCAATGCCTTCCCTTCATGTGAGATTTGATTGTTAAAAAGAGTCTGGGATTTCCTCCTCTGTCTTGCTTTCTCCTCACCATGTGACACACCCGTTCCCTGTTTGCCTTTCACCATGATTGTAAGCTTCCTGAGGCCCTCACTCCAGAGGCAGATGCTGGTGCCATCCTTCTTGTACAGTCTGCAAAACTGCGAGCCAAAATAAATCTTCTTTCCTTATAAATTACCTGGTTTCACGTATCCCTTTTTAGCAATGCAAAATGGACTAATACTCTTGTCTTCTCCAGCTAAACAGCACTATTCCTACATTATGCAGTCCGGGGTTGTGTGAATCACGCTAGCCATTTATTCTCTGAATGCACTCTGGTTTGCATCCTTCTAACTGGACGGTAGGCAGACCTGAAGTTGATATTCCAGGGGTCTAACCAGGAAAAATGGAACTGATTACCTATTCCCTCCTTTGCATCTCATTTTTCTATCAGAACAGCTTCAAATTCAGCTTTTCAGGTGCCCTCATCTGAGTTAAACCCCTGACCCATTTTCATGTGTTTTGCATGGACAGTTTGTTTTATTTTGGTTTATTTATTTATTTTTCTCAAGTGCAGGACATTCCCTCATCCTTATTAAGTTTTCTCTTATTAAATTCAGGCTGGCATTCTAGCTTGTTGAGACTTTTGGGGATTGTAATTGGGTGTTTGCTGTTCCTTTCAGCTTCCTGTCCTCCACAAATCTGATAAGCATGCCTCCTCTGTCTTCATTTCAACTCCTTGATAACAAGTGCAACCCAGATGTCAGTTGACGTCACCCTGTCCTTTGAGATTTAAAATAAAATTAACTCGAGCCCCTGTCACACATCCTGTGGGAAGTCGGAGGCCTCCTCCCAAAGATCTTTGCAAAGCTTCAGGGCTTTCATGGCCACTTGTGGTTCCAAGGCCTCCTCCAGCTGGCCTTGGGCTCACACACACCCCACCTCTGGCTGCTCTCCTCTTCAGCCCATGCCAACCAGACTCTTTCCTTGATTTCTTTAAGGAAACTGCTCATATAAGACATGTGGGTGTGTGGTAGACTTCACTCAAGACGTGCAGATACAGGGTGCATTTGGAGTGAAGTCGTGGTTGCACAACATGTACTTACATTCAAGTTATTAGGTATCCTTTTTCTGTCCTGGAAAGCTCCTCAGTAATAACAGCACCAGGACCTTCTCCCTAGCTTCCTTTTTCCAGGTGCTCCTCAAAACTGCCCAGAAACCCAGATCCCAAGTTTTCCCATTAACAGCCCTTGCCCTGGTCAGGGTTTGGGGAGGAGAGCGGGCAATGGGAAACATAAGGGTAGACCCTGGGCAAATTTGTGAAGGAGTGTTTAAGATGCCCCCAGCCTTCCTTTTTAATTCAAGAGTAAATAGTAGATTGCATTTAACCCAACATAATCAAAATGTGAGAAAATATATTCCTGTTGTTTAAGCCAGCCAATCAGTGGTATTTCGTTATGGCAGTCCTAGTAAACTAATGTGACATGTGGTCAACATAAAATATATATATATATGTTAAGGAGTATAATGGGTTGAAATGTGGTCCTTCAAAAGTTGTGTCCATGTCCTAACCCCTGGAACCAGTGAATGTGACCTTATTTGGAAGAAGGGTCTTTGCAGATGTAATTAAATTTAGGATCTCAAGGTGACATCATCCTGGATTATCAGAGTGGGCCCTAAGTCCAATGACAAGTGTCCCTATAAGAGAAGAGGAGGAAATACAGAGACAGAGAGGTAAAGGCCAAGTGCAGACAGAGGCAGAGATGGGAATTATGCAGCCACAAGCCAGGGAATTCCTGGGGGCGTCCAAGAATTAGGAGGCTCTGTTAACATCTTGGTTTCAGACTTCTGGCCTCCAGAACTGGGAGAGAATAAGCTTTTATCATTTTAAATTACCGAATTTGTGGTTGTTGCAGCAGCCCTGGAAAACTAATATGAGGAGGGATTTTGTGTTCTTTGTTCATTCTTTGAAACGTGGTGCATATTTTTTATTTCTAGCACAGCTCAATTCAGAATAGCCGCATTTCATGCCAGTTTATTTGGGAAGTGATCCCAGGCAGTTGGAGTGAGGGAAGGGATGGAGTCATAGGGCAGGAGGCCAAGATGCACGGTCAAGTCTGCGCCAGCACACCCACCCCTCCCTCATGCAGTTCACTTTTATGTCCTTGTGCCCACAATGGCCAGCACCTTTCAGGTACAAGGGGGCTCCTGGGGCTGTCACTCAAGCTGGAGTTCCCTCCCAGGGTGGCAACCGTTTCATCCATGTGAAACTCAGAGCCACCTGTGCAGTCTCCCTCAGGGTGCTGGCTGGTGATCCGAGCTGAGCCCTGTGGCTGGGAGGCTGGGAAGTTTCCCCAACGATGTCCACATCCTGCCCTTCCCAAGATGGAGGATCCGTGTCCACATTCCCACCATTCTTTCCCTCCTGCATTAGTTTTCTAGGGCTGCCGTGACAAAACGCCACAAACTGGGTGGCTTAAACAACAGAAGGTTTTTACCTCACAGTGCTGCAGGCTGGAGGGTGAAGATCAAGGTGCAGGAGCATTGGTTCCTCCCAAGGGCTGTGCAGGAAGGATCTGCTCCACACCTCTCTCCTTCTCCCAGGGCCTCTTCACATTGTCTTCCCTCTATGGGTGTTGATCTCCGTGTCCAAATTCTACCACCACCTTTTTTTTTTTTTTTTTTTTGAGACAGAGTCTCATTCTGTTGCCCAGGCTGGAGTGCAGTGGTGCCATCTCGGCTCACTGCAAACTCTGCCTCCCGGGTTCAAGCGATTCTCCTGCCTCAGCCTCCCGAGTAGCTGGGACTACGGTCGCCCACCATCATGTGTGGCTAATTTTTTGTATTTTTGTTAGAGATGGGGTTTCACTGTGTTAGCCAGGATGGCCTCGCCTCGGTCTCCCAACCTTGTGATCTGCCTGCCTCGGCCTCCCAAAGTGCTGGGATTATAGGTGTGAGCCACTGCGCCCGGAGTAAATTCCCCCTTTTTATAAGGGCACCAGTCATATTGGATTAGGGCTCACTTTAATGACCTCATTGTAATTTGATGACATCTGTAAAGACCCTGTCTCCAAATAAGATCACATTCTAGGGAGCAGGGGTTAGGGCTTCAATATGTCTTTTTGTGGGGAACACAAATTCAACCTATAATACCTCCTTCTGGTTTCACCTCATTATCAGACCCAATGCCCCTGGGCTTTACCTGGAATCTGTGGTCTATTTATTTCTCTAAATCTCTATATTTAGTTTCCTCATTTGTAAAATAGGGGCCATCATATTTATTTTACAGTGTTGTAAGGGTTAAATGTGATAAAATATGAGGCCATGCTATACAATATGAGCTGGTGTTCTTGTTGCTTCCCACCACCACCCCCTGCCCTTCATACACCCTGACTAAGAGGTGGGACAAGGCTAGCTGGTTCCTGGAATCTGTCACCAGCACCGAAGTAGCCAAAACAGACAGTGTGACATAAATCTAAGATAAAATTGGATTTTTCTAAAGGGAATCCACCAAGGAATAAAGTTAGACTACCCAATATGCAAAACTATAGAAACAGATGAGTGTGTAGGATCCCTATAAAGATTTTAACATAGGAAGAATGAGTGCAGGTAGGCTTGGCTGGCATGTGGCTATAAAGTTTGCCCGGGGTTAGCCCATTCCCCTTGCTTCCATCTTGCCTGCCTCACTTCCCTAATCCCCTAGTGTGGGGTCATTGGCTGGTGCTCATGGCCAAGCTCAGTTCTCCAAATCCTGTGGCCTCATGCATAGCCCATCACCAAAGGGACTCAGCTTAGCATGGGTGCCCCAGCTCGCACTGTTCCCACATCCTCCCAGGGACCGGGGCCAGCCCCTCAGAAGTCTCATGGTTCAACTCAAGGGATTTCAACAGTGCCTGCTCTGTTATGCATCCACCTAGGATCTTTTCTTGAGTGGAAGGAGAAAGTAAAATCTTTTTTTTTTGGAGACAGAGTCTCGCCCTGTTGCCAGGCTGGAGTGCAATGGCGTGATCTCGGCTCACTGCAACCTCTGCCTCCTGGGTTCAAGCGATTCTCCTGCCTCAGCCTCCCAAGTAGCTGGGATTATAGGCATGTGCCACCACACCTGGCTAATTTTGTATTTTTAGTAGAGACATTGTTTCCTTCATGTTAGTCAGGCTGGTCTCGAACTCCCAACCTCAGGTGATCTACCTGCCTCAGCCTCCCAAAGTGCTGGGATTACAGGCATGAGCCACCACGCCCGGTCAATTAAGTCTCCATTTTAATCTTGTGTAACTGGGCCCATTCTCCTACCCTCACTAGCAATATGAAAGATTGGAGAGGAGAGGGGAGCACCTGATAAGGCCTTGTATGAGGAGGCGTCTCTGAAAGCCTTGGGTTGCTTTGCTGTCTTCCCTGAGCTGGGGTAGAGTAGAAAGAATTAGATGATGGGGGAATTTACTGCAGTATAAAAGCATAAACCTTTGGCCAACATGAAGATTTTCTTAATCTGATTAGGTGCCTGGCATTCAGAATCATTTAATGCCTATTGTACAAAATGAATAAAAATGTGCTGAACTTCAGCTGCTTAATAGAACAAATAAAATTATAATTTACTAGGCTAATACATCACAAGGAATGGGGCTGTTTCTCTTTGGGGAATCTAGAGACCTGTGATTCAGAGTTCTGAGTCGAAAGACTGATTTGAACACTGAAGAATCCATAACAACAGATAACAAACAGGTCAAAATCCAGCAAAGGGCGTGCTCACCCTTTCCCAAATTCCTCCTCTGTTCTGGTATTTACCATATCTGGAACAACGTCAGAACCCTAGTTCTGATGATATTTTTATAGGATTGACTGGAATGGCAATTACCCTAGAATATTTAACTTTTATTATCCCAGCAATTCCATCTAGAATATATAAAAAGGCAGGAGAAACTGCACTCAACTCCACCTTCCCATTGCTAATTTCCTTCCTTTCTAGTCAGTTAATAGGTCTCAAGAGGCTGTGTTAAGACAGTATGTTCAGAAGCTTTCAATTTTTTAAATTCTGTTTGAACATTTTCTACCCAATCTATAATATCGCTTCTCCAACAGAAAAGCAACAATTATAACATGGCTATGGCTTTTCTTTGAAAAGGAAAAAGAATGGGGTGGGAGCAAGGGTGGGGCAGAGAGGGGCACGTGGGCTTGAAACTAAGTGAAGACATGTGTGGCCAATACAGATTCGCAGAGAGGCAGCTGGGAATATGCTAATATCCCATCTCTCCTGTTCAGTGCCATCTAGCTCCTAGCGATGGGGAAGAGGCGGGAATGCCTGTCATTAATCTGCTGAAAACTACACCTCAAAGATCATCTTGAACTTGATGTTGATTGAGAATTGATATTAATTTTCCCAACTTATCTTTTGGAGAAGGAGCGTGGACAAATGAACTTGAGGCTATCTTTTTTTTTTTTTTTTTTTTGAGACAGAGTCTTGCTCTGTCACCCAGGCTGGAGTGCAATGGCATGATCTCTGCTCACTGCCACCTCCACCTCCCAGGTTCAAGCAATTCTCCTGCCTCAGCCTCCTGAGTAGCTGGGACTACAGGCGCCCACCACCATGCCCGGCTAATTTTTGTATTTTTAGTAGAGGCAGGGTATCACAATGTTGGCCAGGCTGGTCTCGAACTCCTGACCTCAGGTGATCCACCCGCCTCAGCCTCCCAAGGTGCTGGGATTACAGGCCTGAGCCACTGCACCCAGCTGAACCCAAGGATATCAATGGGTTTAAGCTATGGGCACCTGATTCCTGAGCACTGCACAAAGACACTGTCACAAAGACACTTAGGCAAAGACAAGTACTACTTCAACACTATGGATTTCACAACCATGGACAGCCACAGAAACCTGTTGTTTGAATGTTCATTGACTAAATACGTGTTAAGAATCCCCTAGCTGGTCAAACCTATTTGGGCTTTTTCTGCCTTCTTTGCTAAATTCAATATCCAAGGACATTTTCTACCACTCTCCCCCTTGTGTGCTCCAGCCGTAGTAGCATCCTCGCTGTTTCTTGAACACAACTAGGGTGGCTCCCACCCGGGGCTTCTATACTTGACAGTCCATCTATCCAGAAGCTCTCTCTCAGATAGCAATATATGGTTCCATCACCTCCTTAGGTCTTTGTTCAAATGTTATCATCACTGAGAGTTCCATCCTTCCCCAATTCTCTGACACCTCCATTCAGTCTGCTTGATCTTTCACTTATGTATTTATCATCTCTCTCTTTCTCCCCTAAAATGTGAGCTTCCTGAGGAGTCTTGGTTGTTCACTGCTATATCCGTCCTCATCCTAGATTGGTGCCAGGCTTAGGGTAGGCACTAAGTAAGTATTTATGCAATGACTAGATAAATGAATGAATGTCCTCCTGAAGCCGCTTTCCTTGTGAGGAATCACATATCTGCATATCATCTATACATTTTGAGGAAGTTAGCATCTAGGGCAACCATGTCCAACCCTTTGAAGGCAAGGATTTTTTGCTTATTTCTGTGGAGGAAATCACGAAAATTACGCACAGAGTCTTGCTCTGTCACCCAGGCTGGAGTGCAGTGGCACAATCTCAGCTCACTGCAACCTCTGCCTCTGGGGTTCAAGCAATTCTCCTGTTTCAGCCTCCCAAGTACTGGGACTGTAGGCACACGCCACCATGCCCAGCTAATTTTTGTATTTTTAATGGAGATGGGGTTTCACCATGTTGGCCAGACTGGTCTAAAACTCCTGAACTCAGGTAATCTGCCCACCTTGGCCTCCCAAAGTGCTGGGATTACAGGTGTGAGCTACCGCACCCAGCCAATTATTTTATTTATGTATTTATGTATTTATTTATTTATGCATGTCAGCTATTGTTAGTGTTAGCATATTTTATGTGTGGCCCAAGACAATTCTTCTGCTTCCAATGTGGTCCAGGAAAGCCAAAATGTTGGATACCCATGATCTAGGTCCTGTAATGTGCTTTTGTTATTTTCATAACTACGGCAAGCAACGCTTTTTTAAACACATATTTATTTCCAAGTGAAAGTAATAGAAAATAGGAAATTCATTTGATCAGTTAGCAAACTTTCACTGAATATTCACTCACTCTACAATAGATCCTATGGTAGGTCTAGGGATTCAAAAATTAATTAAGACGTAATTGTTGATTTCAAGGAATTTCTGGCGAGGCATGGTGGCTCATGCCTGTAATCCCAGCACTTTGGGAGACTGAGTCAGGAGGATTGTCTGAGCTCAGGAGTTTGAGACCAGCATGGGCAACATAGCAAGACCTCATCTCTACTAAAATAAAAAAATCGCTGGGTGTGGTGGCACATGCCTGTAGTCACAGCTACTTGGGAGGCTGAAGTGGGAGGATCACTTGAGCAGGGGAAGTTGATGATGCAGTGAGCCCTGATTGTGCCACTGCACTTCAGCCTGGGCGACAGCAAGACCCTATCTCAAAAACAAACAAGCATACAAAAAAAAAAAAAAAAAAAAAAAACAAGCAAAAAACTTCTACTAGGAAAAGAAAAACAAACCAAAGAAAGAACAAATAATATGTGCTATAGTGGAAACCATGTTACATTCCTCAGGGTAAAAGGCTAAGCAGCTTTAACAAACAGACCCAACAATTCTGTGGCTTAAAGAAACAATGAATTCATTTATCTTGCCTAACAGTGAGGGTGGGTAGGCAGGATGGCGTACACAGTCATTGAGGAATCCATATTGCTCCCCTTCCACCCAAAGACTTTGTCCTTCTCTGCATGACTGAGGTAGATTAGATTATTGCTCAAAAATAGTTATTTCCTCCCCTAAACCTCTATAAAAGATGTTTTGTGCTCCTCCTCTTGAATTTGGCCTCCACCATGTGACTTGCTTCGGCCAAGGCAAGGTTGGGAGCAAGTGTGGCTCAAGCAGAATTTTGACATGTGCCTGCACAGCTAGGCTCACCCTCTGCCATCCCTGCCATCACAGTAAGAAGTTGCCCTAGGTAGCTGCTGCCCCTTCAGCTTGGGTCTCAAAATGAACACTTGTGGAACAGATCAGAACTCAACCCCAGCAAGAGTCAGGCCCTGCCAGACCCATAGCTTGAAGCAAAGGCACTTAGCCAACTCTCCAAGAGAAGAAATGATTCTTGTTTTAAGCCTGGGTTTTAGGGTGGCTTGTTACCTAGTGCTAGCTCACTGATGCAATGGTGAGCACTGGGTTTCATAATACATCCATGTTCCAGCTCACAGGAAGGGGACAGAGAGCAGAAAAGCAATGCAGTGAGGTGGGAGTGGCACAAATCACATCTGCTCACGTTCCCCACACGGTCACACAGAGCTGCAAGCTGAGAGTGGGGGTGGTGTGGGAAAGTCAGTCTGTGGTAGGGTGGCCATGTATTTAGCTACTTCCCCATTGTTATGGAGAACAGGGAGAATGGATTATTTATTTATTTATTTATTTATTTATTTATTTATTTATTTTCTGAGACAGAGTCTTGCTCTGTTGCCAGGCTGGAGTGTAGTGGTGTGATCTTGGCTCACTGCAACCTCCATGTCCCGGGTTCAAGCAATTCTCCTGCCTCAGCCTCCCGAGTAGCTGGGACTACAGTTGCCCGCCACCACGCCCTGCTAATTTTTGTACTTTTAGTAGAGACGGGGTTTCACCATGTTGGCCAGGATGGTCTCGATCTCTTGACCTCATGATCCACTTGCCTCGGCCTCCCAAAGTGCTGGGATTACAGGCGTGAGCCACGGCGCCCGGCCAGGGAGAATGGATTTTAGGGGCTAGCTAGCAGTACGTGCTACATGCAAACAATGACCGAAATGGAGAGGTGAAAGGGACCATCAGAAGACATTTCTCAGAAAAACAAAATACTTTGGTTGAGGCCTGGGGGTGTGGAAAAGGCAGGGAGAAGCATTCCAGGCAGAAGAAGCAGTGCACACAAATGGGAAAAATACACGGGAAACTATGGCTTGATGAGGGGCGGTAAAGAGATTGATGTGATTGGAGTGGCATCGATGGTGCTGGAAGGAGAGCCGGTGTAAGCAGAGGCCTAGCATGATTAAGACATTTGGGCAGCTGAGAGGGCACATAGTTTGTTTTACTTGACTTTCTATCCTGATAGATCTTTATGATCGTTACATGGTCACAGAAAAAAATAGAACTGAGGCAAAAGTTTTATAATGTGCCAGAGCTGGTTGTGTGCACCTTCTCTGTTCTATCTGACTTGTTTTCTCCTAGGAAATGGGAGGTGGGCATGTGCTTCCACCTGGGTGCCCCCATGTCTTTGACATGGTCCTCACTCCTGCAGCTTCAGGAACCACAATGCACCTTTTCCAGCTTTCTGCATTGCCAATTCAAACTTCCACCTTCCTTTCTCCAAATGCTGTCTGGGAAGCACATACATTTTTCTCCCCACTTCTCTATCTCCTAACTTCCATGCAGAAACTAAACGAAGTCAGAAGATTACCCTAGACCAAGAAATGGAGATTATAATTTTCAACACCTTAATTGTTGAACTGTAGAAATGCTATAATGCAGCCTGGTATGTGGGGTTCATTATGTGGGAATCATGTCCTGGACAGGTGGATGGATGAACTCTCTAGTCCATTATTAGATATTAGCCCTGTCTCTCGATAAGTTCATTATGTTGTGCCTTGTCTGTTTTGGACTCTCTGTTTCTGCTTGCTTCCTTTCTCAGTCTTGGCTAACAGAAGCTGGAGCTCACATTTTATGTGGCTTCCTGGTCTTTATTCCTTTCAAGAGCTCTCCACAGGGCAGGGCTTTATAGAGATATGAAATGTATGTGGTGTCAGCAGAACCCAGTCCCAGATGTCCCAATGCTGGAAGACTTCTATCAGGCAGGTGCTGCGACGCGTCTGCTTCACTTAGGGCCTGATACGTTGCAGATGTCCTAACATTTGCAACCATCAGCATGAAGTCCAGATACTATCACTCAGGATTCCTAAACTCATCTTCTCAACACTTATAAAACTGCCCAATCTTCAGTATGCTAAGCCAGCGGCATTAAGCAAATGGGGAAAATAAAAGCTCCTTTTAAGCACATTATTTTCTACAAGAAAGCTATTTTCCATGTGAATTTTTGGAAAAGTTCCCCCTGACATAATGTGCCTGCAGCTATGCCAGGAAGAGGGAGTCGAGAAGCAGCCCTGCTGTCGGTGCCTTCTATAAGCGTTTTGGAAGAAACTCCTGGAATCTGGCTTTCAGATAACACAATGGGTTGGCTTCTTCTGATGATTCTTGGCGGCACCCGAGGAAGCAGAAGAAAGTGGGTTGCTTCTTGGGGGCTGATGGTGCAGCAGTGGGAACTCTAGTCCTTCCGGTCCTGGAGGTGTCCTAAGGGTCACCCGACAAATCCCTCTGCATAAGGAGGGAGGCAGCCCAAGGTGATTCCTCACCCCTCACTGATCACTCTGTGGCCCCTGAGAGCTGATTGGACTAGGAGAAGACCTGACAAAAGGGCCGCTGATCTATTGGCTGGCCCGTCAACAGAGTTCACCCAATGGGGATAAGGATAGAAACCACCTGGACCAATCAAAGCCCTTTCTCTCAGGATTTGACTGTAGTAAAGCATCCCGTAAAGCAAACAAACCTGAAGGAAAATAGGGACAGAGTGAGTGACTGTATCTCACACTGCTGGAGTCCTGGAGTAGGAACCCATGAACTCCCATCACTGAGCTGACAGAGAAATAACCCGGGGGCCAGAGCTGCATAACATTCTAGTCCAGGGCTCTAGCCAGAAAACAGGAAGGACGGCAAAAGCTCCTACAGCACTTGCTGTGTGCCAGGCACCGTTCTGAGCACTTTACCTATGTGATCTCATTTAATCCTCACAATAATTCTGTGAGGTAGGTGCTTTTTATCATTCTGTCTTTACGAGGAGGAAATTCCAAAGAAACTACCTATAGGCATGCCTCGTTTTACTACCTTTTGCTTTATTGTGCTTCACAGATGCTGTGTTTTTTGCAAATGGACGGTTTGGGCAACTCTTTGTGGAGCAAGTCTATCGGTGCCATTTTCCCAACAACATGGATTCACTTCATGTCTCTGAGTCACATTTTGGTAATTTTCTCAATATTTTGAACTTTTCATTATTATTATATCTATTATGGTGATCTGTGATCATGTCTTTGATGTTACTATGGTAATCGTTTGGGGGTGCCAAGACCTGTGACCATGTAAAATGGCAAACTTAATTGCTGAATGTTGTGTGAGTTTTCTGACTCCTCCATAAATAGGCTGTCCCCCCACCCCCACCCCCCCACCATATCTGTTCCTCTCCTCAGGCCTCCCTATTCCCTAATTAGCAATTAGGCTAATTAATAATCCTACAATGGCCTCTGAGTATCTGAGTGAAAAGAAGAGTCACATATCTCTCATTTTAAATCAAAAGCTAGAAATGATTACGCTTAGTGAGGAAGACATGTCAAAAGCTGAGAAGGCTAAAAGTTAGGCCTCTCACACTAAACAGTTAGCCAAGTTGTGAATGCAAAGGAAAAATTCTTGAGGGAAATTAAAAGGGCTACTTAAGCAAACAAACAAATGATAAGAAAGTGAAACAGGCTTATTGCTGATATGGAGAAAGTTTTTGTGGTCTGGGTAGAAGATCAAACCAGCCATAACATTCCCTTAGGCCGAAGCCTAATAATCCAGTGCAAGGCCCTAACTCTCTTCAATTCTTTGAAAGCTAAGAGAAGTGAGGAAGCTGCAGAAGAAAAGTTAGAAGGTAGCAAAGGGTGATTGACGAGGTTTAAGGAAAGAAGCCATTTCCATAACATAATAGTGCAAAGTGAAGCAGCAAGTGCTGATGTAGAAGCTGCAGCAAGTGATCCAGAAGATCTAGCTAAGATGAAGGTGGCTACACTAAACAATAGACTTTCAATGGCAAAAACTGCAATTACTTTTGTACCAGCCTAATAGAAGAAATTGCCTTTCACTGGAAGAAGATGCCATCTAGGACTTTCGTAGCCAACGAGAAGTCAATGCCTGGTTTCAAAGCTTCAAAAGACAGGCTGACTGTATAGCTAGGAGTTAATGCATCTGGGTACTTTAAGTTGAAGCCAATGCTCATTGCCATTCTGAAAATTTTTGAGCCCTTAAGAATTATGCTAAAACTCCTCTGCCTGTGCTCTACAAATGGAACAACAAAGCCTGATGACAGCACATCTGTTTAAAGCATGGTTAGCTGAATATTTTAAGCCCACTGTTGAGATCTACTGCTCAGAAAGAAAGATTCCTTTCAAAATATTACTGCTCACTGACACTTTACCTAGTCACCCAAGAGCTTAATGGGTATGTACAAGGAGATTAATGTTGTTTTAATGCCTGCTAACACAACATCCATTCCATGGACCGTGGATCAAGGAGTAAATTTGACTTATTACTCAAGAAATACATTTTGTAAGGCTATAGCTGTCATAGACATTTCTCTGATATATCTGGGCAAAGTAAATTAAAAACATTCTGGAGAGGATTTACAGTTCTAGATGCACTTAAGAGCATTCATGATGCATGGAAAGTCAAAATATCAGCATTAATAGGAGTTTGGAAGAAGTTGATTCCAACCCTGATAGATGGCTGAGGGGGGTTCAAGACTTCAGTGGAGAAAATAACTACAGATGTGGTAGAAATAGCAAGAGAATTTGAATTAGAAAGGGACCCTGAAGATGTGATGAAATCGCTGCAATCTCATGATAAAACTTTAACAAATGAAGAGTTGTTTCTTATGGATGAACAAAGAAAGTTGGTTTCTTGATATATAATCTATTCCTGGTGAAAATGCTGTGAATGCATTGTCGAGATGACAACAAAGGATTTAGAATATTACATAAACTTAGTTAACAAAATAGCTCCAGGGTTTGACAGAATTGATTCCAATTTTCAAAGAAGTTCTACTATGGGCAAAATGCTATCAAACACCATTGCATGCTACAGATAAATCTTTCATGGAAGGAAGCGTCAGTCAATGTGGCAAACTTCATTGTTATCTGATTTTAAGAAATTGCCACATCCACCCCAATTTTCAGCAACCACCACTCTGATCAGTCGGCAGCCATCAACATTGAGGTAAGACCCTCCACCAGCAAAAACATTATGATTCACTGAAGGCTCAGATGATTGTTAGCACTTCTTAGCAATAAAGTATTTTAAATTAAAATGTGTACGTTTTTTAGACAAAATGCTATTGCATACTTACTAGACTAGAGTATAATGTAAACAACTTTTTTTTGAGACAGGGTCTCGTTCTCTCACTCAGGCTGGAGTGTGGTGGCGTGATCTTGGTTCACTGCAACCTCTGCTTCCTGGGCTCATGCGATTCTCCTGCCTCAGCCTCCTGAGTAGTTACAACTACAGGTACGTGCCACCAGGCCTGGCTAATTTTTGTATTGTTTTTGTAGAGGCAGGGTTTTGCCATATTGCCCAGGCTGGTCTTGGACTCCTGGGCTCAACCAATCTGACTTACTTTTGTAAAATGCAATAAAATTAATGACCTGGGAAAATAAAATAGGTAAAACAGGTATATAAAGTACATTCCCAATTTTTAAATTATTAGATTCAATAAACATAAAATTACTTATTTGTTATATGTGTGAATTTGTTATATGTGTGAATTTGTTATATATGTATAATGTTATCAAGGTTTCTAAACTGCCACTTTCTGTACTTACCTTGCAGTAGACTGGTAACAAATATGTAAGCACTTGACAGATTTTTCTTGCCTGCTGCACAGAAAAGCCAATTCACTGAGACAGAAGTATTGCAGTAAAGAAAGAATGTAATAAATTCAAAGCTAGCCAGCTGGAAAGTTGGGAGCTTATTACTCAATCAGCCTCCCTGGGAACTCAGAGGCTAGGATTTTTATGAATAATTTGGTAGACAGAGGGCTGGGGAATGGGTTCTGCTCACTGATTGGGGATGAAATTATGAGCGTGGAAAATGGTCCTTGTATGCTGAATTAGCTTCTGGGTGGGAGCCACAGGACCATGGGAAAAATTTAGTTATCAGTCTCAGGTCCAGGTAAAGTCAGTCAGTCACAAAAAAGCAAAAATCTGAAAAACATCTCAAAAGACCAATCTTAGGTTCTACAATAGTGATGTTATCTATAGAGGCAATGGGGGAAGTCACAAATCTTGTGAATTCTGGCCACGTGACTCCTGAGCAGTAAGGGATTATAGAAAAGCAAGCTGGGAAACAATGGTTGGTTATTGTTTAACTATGCCTATATTTTAGCATAATTCAGGCATCTCTCATTAGCCTAATCTTGTGGCCTTTCATTACTCCTACAAAGGTGGTTTCAGTCCCTAAACAAGGAGGAAGTCAGTTTTAGGGAGGGACTATTATCATCCTTTCTTCAAAGTTAAACTATAAACTAAATTCTTCCCATGGCTAGCTTAGCCTATGCCCAGGAATGAACAAGGAGAGCCAGCCCTTGAGGCTAGCAGCAAGATTGAGTCAGCTATGCTGGATTTCTCTCACTGTCATAATCATTGCAAAGGTGGCTTCAAATAGATTTCAAAGACACTTTGGGTAGTATTGTGCTAGATAATATCAACCCTTTCTTTCAGTGTCAGTTAAGATATCACTTCCTCCCAGAGGTCTTCCTGACCACCCTTCCCCACCCCACATCTGAACTAGGTGGTCTCATAGAATCCTGTGTGTCCCCCTATCAGAACACGAATCAAACTGTGTTTGAAATGGGTCTGCCTTGCTGATTTGGGGGTGCTGCCATTGCCTCTAAGTGTGTCAACCTTTTGCAAACATTCAGGGCTCCAAAGTCAGTAGTCATCACAATCCCTTCTGTAAACCAGTTGGCCAAAGGAGGTAAGTCTGTATGTGAAGGAAGAAATGCTGTTTGTCATTAAATTTAAGATGTCTTAATACAAAAATTAGCTGGGCATGGTGGCGGATGCCTGTAATCCCAGCTACTCAGGAGGCTGAGGCAGGAAAATCGCTTGGACCCAGGAAGTGAAGGTTGCAGTGAGCCAAGACTGCACCATTGCACTCCAGCCTGGGCAACAAGAACGAAACTCAGTCTCAAAAAAAAAAAAAAAACCCAAAAAACCAAAAAAATCCCCCATGAATTGTAAAGTGCATCCCTAGTTCAGTAATGTGAAAATAACAATTTTAAGACATGGGTTTGGTGTGGTGGTTCAAGCCTATAATCTGAGCACTTTGGGAGGCCAAGGTGGGAGGATCCTTTGAGCCCAGGAGTTTGAGACCAGCCTGGGCAACATAGGGAGATCCTGCCTCTACAAAAAAATAATGAAAATAGCAACCAAACATAGTGATGTGAACCTATGGTCCCAACTACTTGGGAGGCTCAGTTGGGAGGATTACTTGAGCCTGGGAGTTCGAGGCTGCAGTGATTGTGCCACTGCACTCCAACCTGGGTGACAGAGTATTCCAGAGATGGTACAGTATGTGTGTCTTTGAATTGATAACATGTGGGTGTTAAAATCTCAATCATCTGTCTTTTGAGTAAAGTCTCAATTGTCTGTCGAAAGACGATTTTGTAGAAAAGGATAAAACATAAAGTAAAGTATATTTACATTTAAGATTATAAATACCTCTGCCAAAAGAGAGTATTTGTGGCTTCTTGTAATCCTTTGCAGATATTGTCACTAATCTCTCCTTCATTCCTCCAAATTATGTGTGTACTTGGTATTCTTATTTCCTCATCCCCATCTTATCCCTCAAGTAAGTAAAGCCCTGGATACCTGAGTTAGTTAGTTATCCAAGACTTTGCAGTGAGTGAGTCAGAGAGGAATGAAATTTCTGTTCTCCTTACCCCCAGGTAGCATTGCCTAGAGCCATGCTGGGAAGATCACTCTGTAAGACAAACCAGGAAACCTAATTAACAGGACAGGTCTGGTCCTGACTATACATTATTTTCATCTTCATATGGATGACTGATGAGGGGTGGCTATGACAGAGCTATCTGTATTGTCTGATCTGGGAAACTGTTTCTTTGAAAAGCTCATAAATTGACCTATTAAGACTATTATCTGTGTTCCAGAACTAAATAAAAGCCACAGCTGGAGACTCCAGTAATATGTAAACATGAATCTATATAAATTTGAATGTAAAATTGCCCAGAAATTTCTTGATGGACAAATTTTTATGTATGTTTTGCTTATCTATAACTGATCTCATAGCTTCCCTTGCTTACTGGGTATCATTATATAATAATTAGTGTGTTTATATGTGTTGAAGTATCTGCTAACTAGAATGATTTGGGATTTATCCAGCTTGATCCAAAAACAAATTTGGCCAGAGCTTTGATAATCCCTGCCTTCTAGGGATATCAATATATAAATAGTTCATATTAATATTTAGGAAGACAACAGACAAATGGCTGTTAAGAATGCCAAGACTTCCAGATAGACTAGTGATGCCAGAAATAACGAGTGGAATCTCAGGAGTGCAGAACATTTAGAAAATTATAGGTCTAGAAGATGTGTTATTTTCCTGATAGTAGAAAAACATGTTGCCGTAGAAACAATATTAAAGTGACCATTAGAGTCCCGAGCCTTCCCACAAACACTTGTGTAGCCTACGTTGAAGCTACCCTCTTATCCTGATAGTCCTAACCTGATTTCTGGCTGCTAGGACTCAGGGACTGGGAGGAGGAAGGAGGAGAAAGAAGGCGTTTGCCTTGCACCTTCTTTTCTTCATGTCTTTTTCTTCCTGGACCCCCCTCCAGGCAGCAGTGCTCACGAGCTGCTTTATCTAGACACTACCCAGGCTTGCTCCTTTTCCCCAAGGCCCCCAAGCATCTCAGTGACTTCCCTCCTTTTTGCCCAAATGAAACTCTTATTCCCTCTTGGCAACGGAAAGCAATCAGACTTAATTGATTGGCACCAATTTGTGTTTAACTGATTATTCCCTATATTCATCTATTCTCTAGGTCTGAATTTTAAAAAAATATTTTCCAAACTTTGTCCAATGGGTGGACTATAGGCAGGGAAACAGTAGTGAAAAATATTTAGTGTGTGTAGAAGGAGGATGATATTTAAACACATACTCATAAACACAACAAAGTATATGAGTTATGGTTTTCAGATGTCAAGCAACAGAAACAAATGCTAATTCAAATATAAAAGGCATGAACTTGATGGTTGTGGGGTGACTCACAGAATCAAAAGGAAAGTTGAACAATTAGGACAGACGGGAATCGTGAAGTTTGAGTGGAAGAGGAAGATGTGTTCTAAGCAGAACTGATGAGTGATATCTTACCAAATCAACTCCAACAGTCATTTTATCACTTGGCTAAACATTCAGATACCTGAATAGTCTCGCTTGGGTCAGAGACCTTCTGCTTAGCTGGGACTGGGCAAGGCACCTTGATTGATGGTCCCAACCAAGGGGAGAAGGTGGTTCACTAGGGTAAAACTAGGGTTCCATTCCTAGAAGAGTGGATAGACACTGGTTGGATGGCTCACTCTCTGCTAAGTGCTGTAGGTGCCAATCTCCTTGACCAGCTGTGCCTGGGATGGTGTCCGTGAGTTCAGTCTCCTACTCTCTACTTTTCACAGCTTCTACCCTTTTAGAACCCACAGCTGATCCAAATCAGTTCATACAACAGCTCTTACAAAACAGCAACACCGATAAAGTGCCTGGTTAGCTCGTCCTGCCCCCAGTCCCCACTGTACAGGTCCCTGGAAAGTCTGACTGCTTTGTGGGAGCTAAGGGCAATGGACTGGGTTGGTATCCAGGTTGCACTTTTTATTTTGGTCCTCTGGGCAGTGTTCCAGTTAAAATGAGAAAAACAGGATTAATTCTAGTGACGTTTCATCCCCTCATAGAAGTATGGAGTCCTTCCTTTGTGACTACCATGGATCTGGCCTCTTAGAATGTGGAAAAGCCCTTGCTTTGCCCAAGGTAGCCTTTCTAGCAGGTGGATCTCAGAATTACTGTATTAAAAAAAGTCTAATTAATGACCAACGGAAGGAACAGTGACACAGATTAATATTTAACCTGTTGGAAAGAGTAACTGTGTGTTTGGGGTTTAGTAACAGATCTGCAGCACAGGTTAACTCAGTCTCTGCCTCATCAGCACTCCTTAGGTCGCTCTGTTCCCTAGACCACAGTCTTTCCTTGACTTCATTCCCCACCCCTATTCCTCTATGAGGAACTCAGGAGGAAACATGGAAGCCAAGCCTCAAACTGAGACTCGCTAGCCAAAGGCAGAGCTGAGTTTAAGTTTAATATTTACTCAGCCAGGAAATACTCTAATTAAGCCTTGCTCTTTAAATCTTAAAGCTCCACCCTGGAAGGACAGAAATGAGCTCTCCCAAAGGGTTTCATCCTGGGGATGAGGAATCCTTTTTCCCCTACATCCAAATATTTCTGAGATGGGGTTAGGCAGGTCTTCTTTCCAAGTTCAAAAGGCATAACTAAGATTGTGGGTTGAATTTCCATGGGATACCCAGATGGCTTCCAGAAAAAGAGCTGGCTGTGTAGATCCCTAATTCCAGACAGCCAGAAAGGATTCACTGAATATCTGGAGCAAAAGGAGATTTTCAATGCAGGGAGGCAGTTTAGTATAAATATAGGAGCCGAAGTCAGATGTCCTGGGTCAAATCCTGGTCCCGCCACTATTTTCTGTGTGACCTTTGAGTGTGACTCATATCTCTAAGCCTTAGTTTCCTCATGGGGAAGTTGCAGTAACAGTATCTACCTCATTGGACTCTGGAGAGAATTAAACAAAATAGTCCATGTAAAGTGCTTAGTACATAATAAGTGCTTAAAGAATATCTGCTATAAGTTATTTGACCATTCATTCAAAAAAAATGACTTGTGCCTAAAATGTACCAAATAATGTGTAAGATAATGGTACATATAGAGATATAATGGTATGTATAAAACTCCTTTTTTCTGAAGAAGCTCACAGTTTAGTGGGGAAGCTAACATAGAAGTTATTCTTCTATGTTGTAATAATTGCGACAGAAAAGGTATATAAAAGTACTATTAACGTGCTTATTAGAGGAGAGAGAGTTCCTTCTATGAAGAATTTCAGGAAGGCTTCATGGTGACATTTAAGCTGTGTCTTTAAGAAAGTTTTAGAATTTTTCATGCCCAGAAAAGAGGATCAACTATTCCAGAAAGGAGGAACATCCTAAGCAGAAGCACAGCAATGAGAAAAATCTCAGTGTGTTTGGGAAGCAACAAAAAATTTGGCTGGAGTACCAGGGTGCAAGGTGGGTTTGGTAGGCAGTGGAGTTGGAAAGTCAAGGTTAAGGATGTCATGGGCCATGTTAAGATGTTTAGACTTTATTTTGCATGATCAGTGTTCCATTAAGGAAGATAATTTTACTGTGGCCATTATGGGAGTATTTACATCATGGGTATTGGCAAGCACTACAAACCTGGCCTTTTTATTCCACAGAGTTGGTTGTTAAACATTTACCAGCATACCACTGCATGTGCACACATGCGTGTAAATGTGCACGGACACACACAGACGTACACACACACACACACTGCCCCAGGATAGATTTCTTCAATTTTTAAAATACAGGTGGTGTCACCTTTACCGTATGTCTCAGCACAACATATCAAGGAAAACGCTGTCATGCATTGAAATATTGTAGTATGTGCATCATTCACAATTAGAGTTTCTTACCAAGATATTTATCTGTCTCCCTTTTGCAGTAAATAATGACATTACTAGACATACAGTACTTAGATTTCTCCCCAATCTCCCTTTAAGGAATTCCTTATTGTGAGGGGCCTCACCCAAATAAGAAACCTGTACCTACTTTCTTAGGTGTAGTGTTTTTTCCCTATTTTAAGACCACAGTTAAGAGCACTTCCGGCACAGAACCAGAAGTCTTGCCAATTTCCCAAGTCCTTGAAACAGTAATCACTCAGTAGCCAAGGATAAATTTACATTGGATGACTCTTTTGGCCTTTCTCACTAACAGAAATATATTTATTAATTCAGTGGCGTCACTGTAATATTATTTCCTTGCTTAGTACAATTAGGCCAAGTGTAAGCTTAAAATAGAATCAAATATTGAATACATACTGTTTTAAGGCTGATGTAATATCTTTCTTTTTGCAAGCTCCGATTGAACATGCATATTTAACAGACCAGCCATACGGTGTTGGTGGGGGTGGGGGCAGCCAATGCTTTAGACTTTTAATCTACTTAATGGGAGAAAGGTTAGACATAATTAAATATCTTTAAGCTTGAATCTTTCAGTGCAATAAGTAAATGAATTAAATCTATCCAGGGGATAAAATAGAAACATTTGTCAAGGTAGCAATTTGGAAAGCGTAAGTCTCCTTCTAGTCAAACTTAAAATGTCTTGGCATCTTGGCCAAATGCCTGAAAGATATGTATCAGCCTTAGCATATTCTTAATAATAGCACTCATAAAAAGAGAGCATGAAAAGATGAATTCCCTCTTCTTTGAGCCCCAGGATTTTCCTTTTTATGTTTTTGGTCTCCATATTATCCTATGAACTTGCTGGAAGAATGTTGGAGGTCCCAAAAGCAGCCACACCTTGAGTGGCAAAGGTGAGGCATTCAAACTCGGGCACCCTGAAGAATTTTCTACACCTGATAGATAGCTAAAATGCAGTATGGAGGACAGGCAAACATTGCTTTGAGAAGACTATATTTTCCTATAAGAAGAAAGTGCTTGGTTCCTGAAATGACTAGGTTTCCACTTGGGCAGTAGAGCAGAATTCCAGGAAGGTGCTCGCAAGCATGACATCCTGCTGCCTCAGATACTATCTAGAGCCACTGTCCCGAGATCCTGGTTCCAGCTCAATGTAGAATTCTCAGTGTTGGTGGAAGCTGACATCAGTCACTCCTCTCTGCTACTTTGCCTGAGAAGACTGTGGTCCAAACAGCTGCCTTTGCTAATGTAGCCTTGCATCCTGGCCCTACACTGTTCTGCCCTGCCTGTTGACTAGGAAATAATGCATCTACTTGCTAGCCAATAAAACAAACTAGGTACACAGGATTCCTTGCGGATAATTCCCTAAGATAGTACTATGTCTGCAGAGAGATCTGCACTGCTATGAGCAGTGATCAGAAGGCTAGAGGAAGGGAGGGAGTGATAGGGAAGAAGAGAGGGGGCTCAGTAACCAGGGCCCCACATAAAGGCAAATCACATGGTGTCATGTGAAAGTAGCAAGAATTTCCATTAGCTGCTCTGATGCCTCGCCTCTAATATCCCAGAGGTCCCCTGTAACCTAAAATTTTAATCTTGGCCATTTCTTTGCTTCTCAGAATTAGGAAATGGAGGACAGATGGTGACCAAGAGATCTTTCCCCACCTCCACTGCTTGCTCAAGCTCTTGGTCTCTCTCTCCTTCTCCCTCTCCCACACATGTACAAATGCACATACACATGACAGACCTACACTTGTGTGTGTGTGTGTGTGCGTGTGTGTATATATACACACACGCACACACATATATATATATATTTTTAGACTAAGTCTCGCTCTGTTGCCTAGGCTGGAGTGCAGTGGCGTGATCTTGGCTCACCACAACCTCTGCCTCCTGGGTTCAAGTGATTCTCCTGCCTCAGTCTCCTGAGTAGCTGGGACTACAGGCATGTACCACCATGCCCAACTAATTTTTGTATTTTTAGTAGAGATGGGGTTTCACTATGTTGGCCAGGCTGGTCTCGAACTCCTGACCTCATGATCTGCCTACCTCGTCCTCCCAAAGTGCTGGGATTACAGGCATGAGCCACCGCTCCCAGCTTGTGTATGTATTTGTATAAGTCCTGATATTAGAGTTTGTTTCTGATTATGTTTTGCATTTTAACAGATATTTTTCTGGATCTCTGCTTTAAGAACACTGTATTGTCCTTTCTAATGATGACCTATGTCTGTGATCTTTCATCTCCATGTTTATTTTGAGCCACTGTTTCTTGATGCTAAGTTTTTAACATTTTACATTTTCAATTCTATCAGTGTGCTCTACATAACAGAGCTTGTTTGGGCCAAATACCCATAAAGAGAGTGTTTGCTTAACAATACAGTAGATTCTGTGTTTCCCTATTGACTCACCTCAAGCCCTGGTGCATGGAATATCTTGGCCTCACGAGCTACCTGGTAACCATCAAAATCACCTTATTTGACTGGGGGTATGAGGAGTGGGGGAAGAAGAATATGGTATGTAAGCTGTGATGACCAAGCCAAGGCCTTCCCTGGGCTCAAACTATATAAGAGACAATTGTCCCAGAGGAAATGCAAGGGTATGCATTTACCATGAGGTCCAGAGGATGGAGAGGCAAGTTCCTGAGTGATGCAGGGGAGGGGCAGACAGAACTGCAGTTTGAAGGTGGTTACCCAACACCAGGGGTCTCCAGGTGGTTCCCCAGGTGGAAGCCAAAGGATGGCTGTTCCTTTCACCAGCTGGGGAGCCGAATGGCACTACTTTCTGCCCATTCCTGGATCAAGCGCTCCCTATGGCCAGTCCCCATGATGGCATTGTCTTTGAATCCCTGGACATCCTATTTCTGGAATGTCTGCCCAGTTTCCTATGGCCTTGAGCATTTTCTTCCCTGTGTTGTAGAGAGGTAACTCAACCCAGTCATCTATTGTACTTTTCCAGCATTGTCTGTGAAGTAACAGAGATGAAACTAAGAAATGTGTGTGGCTGACATGGTGCCAGAGGGTCTCCACAGCCATGCATGCCTTTGTCCAGACTAGTGGGCATTGCTAGGCCTGAGATACTCGTGAAGGTCCTTGTATTAGTCCATTCTTATGCTGCTGTAAGGACATAACCTGAGACTGGGTAATTTATAAAGGAAAGAGTTTTAATTGACTCGAAGTTCCACACAGCTGGGGAGGCCTCAGGAAACTTACAATCATGGTTGAAGAGGAAGCAAACATGTCCTTCTTCACAAGGCGGCAGGAGAGAGAAGAATGTGAGCCAAGTGAAGGGGGAAGCCCCTTATAAAACCATCAGACCGGCCAGGCGCGGTGGCTCATGCCTGTAATCCCAGCACTTTGGGAGGCCAAGGCGGGTGGATCACGAGGTCAGGAGATCGAGACAACCCTGGCTAACACAGTGAAACCCCATCTCTACTAAAAAAAAATACAGAAAATTAGCTGGGCGTGGTGGCGGGTGCTTGTATTCCCAGCTACTCGGGAGGCTGAGGCAGGAGAATGCCATGAATGCAGGAGGTGGAGCTTGCAGTGAGCCGAGATCACGCCACTGCACTCCAGCCTGGGCAACAGAGTGAGCCTCCGTCTCAAAAAAAAATAAATAAAACCATCAGATCTCGTGAGAACTTACTCATTATCATGAGAATAGCATGGGGGAAACTGTCACCATGATTCAATTACCTCCCACCAGGTCCCTCCCACCACATGTGGGGATTATGGGAACTACAAGATGAGATTTAAATGGGGACACAGCCAAACCATGTCAGTCCTCATGGATGGGATCCCCAAGAAACAAGCCAGGGATCTGAGCTGCTGAGAATTCAGACACAGGGATGAGCCCCCTCATCCTTGTTTTAACAAGCCCTGAGTTTGTTAAAAGTCTATGAGAAGCTGCTCATTTCCAACTGCAACTTTCACATATCCACTCATCCTTAAAAAAAGAGTAGATGAAACTCAAACTCAAAGAGCTGGGCTCTTTCATGCCAAAAGTTCCCCAAACCTGTGAAACCCTTCCATGCAGCTTTCTCCACTGGCAGGACTTTGCACTTGGAGGTGATGACCCTGAGCTTGCATCATTTGTGATTTCTATTTAAAGGCAAACCCCAGACAGAGAAATATTTGCCATAAATTGTTACAGCAACATGACATATGGCTTTTCTGCCACTAAGGTCACACTGCCATCGGCCTCTCACTTCCTCCTCAATTGCTTGTTCATTCCACAAGGTTTCCTCAATTTCAGCAATTCTTGTGGTGCAGATCTGCCTGCCCAGCCATTTATCACCAGTAATAACAAGGAGAGTTGTGATGTTTTACATCTCTACACAATGATCTGAGTCTTGGAAGGCTTCCCAAACCCCCTTGCCCCTCTGCCTGGCCAGGCAGGGCCTCTTTTCCTTTCTTAGTGTGACATATCAGCAGTTTAGATGCAGGGCTCTCCCGCTGGGTAGGAGCTTGTAGGTCACAGCGACATCCAACAGATTCATTAACATAGCAATCGCAGGAGAGAAAAGAAGCCCAGGCGATTCTGGTGAATGCTGAGCCTTGTTCTAAATTCTCATATAGAATCTCCATAGAACCAGGAAGGAGGGAGAGATCTGAGGCTCTGTTTTGCAAAAGAATTTCGGAGAGCCACCAGCTTGGAAATGAAGCTTATCAGGATGGAAAGAAAGCCACGCATTGCAAAGCCCTCCTGCAAACAAGCTCAGCTCTGGGGAGAAGGATATTAACTAAAATAACAGCACGTGGTAGTCAACAAGTTCCCTAGCTGTGCCTTCACTGAAGCAGGTGAAAGTATTTTAAAATGTTGAATGAAGTGGGGGGAGGGGAACCCAGATAAAGCCAAGAATTCCTTTACTCTCTGCCAGTGGTTCTGTGAATTATTCCGTTGGAATACTGTGCCTTCTCTCCAGCCCTGTGTTTCAGAATCAGGGGACCTTCCTGCAACCTACGGACATTTCCATAGATTTTGATGAACCTACCCTGGTGTCAGGGGTGGGCAGAAGGATGTGTTAATCAAAAACAAACTGAAAAAATGCATCTTTTGAGGAAGCAGGTCTGTGTGCCTTCATCCATCTGCATCTTGCCTGTGAGTGGCCTTCTAGACAGGCACCCATAGCTGGCTGACACAGTGGCCTATGAGTGTTTGCCTGTCAGGGATAACTCTGGGGTAGTCCACAGCCAACAGAAAGCCTCCACACTTAAGGAAGGTCTGAGCAGTGGGCCATCTTGAACTCATAACCACATTTAGGGAACAAAAGCTATGCATAGAGATTTAAGGAATTAAAAACTCAGAAAAAAAGAACAACAATGGGATTGAAATGAGAGGGGACTGCTTTTTGCTACTGTCAAAGGCATGTGAACCAGAGCAGCTCCATCTTGAATAGGAGCTGGGCAAAATGAGGCTGAGACCTACTGGGCTGAATTCCCAGACAGTTAAGACATTCTAAGTCACAGGATAAGACAGGAGGCAGCACAAGATACAGGTCATAAAGACCTTGCTGATAAAACAGGTTGCAGTAAAAAAGCTGGCTAAAACCCACCAAAACCAAGATGGCCACGAGAGTGACCTCTGGTGGTCCTCACTGCTACACTCCCACCATCACCATGACAGTTTACAAATGCCATGGCAACATCAAGAGGTTACCCTATATGGCCTAAAAAGGGGAGGCGTGAATAATCCACCCCTTGTTTAGCATAGCATCAAGAAATAACCATAAAAATAGGCGGCCTGGAGCGGTGGCTCACACCTATAATCCCAGCAGTTTGGGAGGTCGAGAAGGGGGGCGTTGATCATGAGGTCAACAGATCGAGACAATCCTGGCCAGCATGGTGAAACCCCATCTCTACTAAAAATACAAAAATTAGCCAGGTGTGGTGGCAGGTGGCCTGTAGTCCCAGCTACTGGGGAGGCTGAGGCAGGAGAATTGCTTGAACCCAGGAGGCGGAGGTTGCAGTGAGCTGAGATTGCACCACTGCACTCCAGCCTGGGCGACAGAGTGAGACTCCGTCTCAAAACAAAACAAAAATAGGCAACCAGGCTCACGCCTGTAATTCCAGCACTTTGGGAAGCCAAAGCGGGTGGATTGCCTGAGATCAGTAGTTCAAGACCAACCTGACTAACATGGTGAAACCCCATCTGTACCAAGAATACATAAATTAGCCAGGCATGGTGGGACACACCTGTAGTCCCAGCTACTGGGGAGGCTGAGGCAGGAGAATCGCTTCAACCTGGGAGGTGGAGGTTACAGTGAGCCGAGTTGGCACCACTGCACTCAGCCTGCACAACCCAGCGAGACTCCGTCTCAAAAAAAGAGAAAAAAACAGGCAACCAGCAGCCCTTGGGGCTGCTCTGTCTGTGGAGTAGTCATTCTTTTATTTCTTTACTTTCTTAATAAACTTGCTTTCACTTTACAGACTCACCCTGAATTCTTTCTTGCATGAGATCCAAGAACGCTCTCTTGGAGTTGGGATCAGGACCCCTTTCCTGTAATACTACAACTACTTTTTTGGCCACAAATTTCAGAAAACTTATATAACTGTTCTTTGGGTTTTTTTTTAAAACTTTTATTTTAGGTTCAACGGTACATGTGCAGGTTTGTCATATAGGTAAATTCATGTCATAGGAGTTTGTTGTACAGATCATTTTGTCACCCAGATACTAAGCCTAGTACTCAATAGTTATTTTTCTGATCTCTCCCTTTTCCCACCCTCTACCTTCTAGTAGGCCCCAGTGTGTATTGTTCCCCTCTATGTGTCCATGTGTTCTCATCATGTAGCTCCCACTTATAAGTGAGGACATGTGGTATTTGGTTTTCTGTTCCTGCGTTAGTTTGCTAAGGATGATGGCCTCCAGCTCCATCCATGTCCCTGCAAAGGACATGATCTCGTTCTTTTTTATGGCTACACAGTATTCCATGGCATATATGTACTATATTTTCTTTATCCAGTCTACCACTGACGGGCATTTAGGTTGATTCCATCTCTTTGCTATTGTGAATAGTGCCGCAATGAACATACATGTGCCTGTGTCTTTATAATAGAACTTTGTATATTCCTTTGAGTATATACCCAGTAATGGCATTGGGCCAGCCACTTCCTACAAAAAGAGTGTACTTTACAAGTACAATATTTGGAACTTAAAAAAAAAAACTAACAAACCAATGACCTTTTCTTAGTTTGTGACTGCATATAATCAAATACGCTAGTAAGTTGCATTTTTGCTTTCGAAGTCATCCTATTTCTCCCACTTTACGGTTTCTTTTGGTGGTGAGTTATTGTAAGGAAACTTGAATGATAGATGTGACTTGCTCTGTACTGGCTTTCCTTCCTTAGTACCGGCTGCTTCTTTTGATCAAAGAGCAAACCAGGGAGGAGCAGAGGAAGAAGGAGCAAAGGAGGACCAAATAGCTGCCCCTGGTCCCTCCCTCGGAAGCCCCGCCTCACATTAGTCACATCTCTTTACTCAGAAGGAAGAAGAGTTACCATTTGAGAAAATAAAAGAGCTTTTTTTTTTTTTTTTTTTTGAGACGGAGTCTCGCTCTGTCGCCCAGGCTGGAGTGCAGCGGCGCGATCTCCGCTCACTGCAAGCTCCGCCTTCCGGGTTCACGCCATTCTCCTGCCTCAGCCTCCCGAGTAGCTGGGACTACAGGCGCCCGCCACCTCGCCCGCCTAATTTTTTGTATTTTTAGTAGAGACGGGGTTTCACCGTGTTCGCCAGGACGGTCTTGATCTCCTGACCTCGTGATCCGCCCGCCTCGGCCTCCCAAAGTACTGGGATTACAGGCGTGAGCCACCATGCCCGGCCATAAAAGAACTTTTATCTGAGGAATGTGAGTCCTTTTAAATTATCAGGTTCAGAAAGATGTTGAAATGAGACAGCAATTACGTTCCACTACCCACTCTGAGCTATGTATTTATCTCCTGAAACTGCTTATTATTGCCACAAGTAACTATAAATTCACCTAATAGTACCACACCAGACACTAAACCCACACCCTATAGCTTAACAATCTATAGCCAATCAGTAATCAATGTCACTTCTATAAACCATGAGAATTCCTGACAATAGCTTTGTATCAGCCCACTCCCAGTCCCCGCTTTTGCCTTTAAAAATCCACTTGTAATCGTGTGTATATTGAGGGCAATTGAATCTATGCTCCCAAGTTGCAACCCTTAAGTTTGGCTCAAATAAACTGCTTATATTAATTTTGCCTCAGCTCCTTCCCTTTAGGTCGACATGTTTGTTAGTGGCTGAGAGTCGCTGTCTGCTCATGCTATTGATTTAGGTCCCTCTCGTGTCACAGCAAAGGGGGGAGTCGTGGGAGTGGGGAATCGGGGGCTGAGCAGGATGATTTGGTGTTTGAAAATGAACAAGTTGGGCTTTCTCTTGGAAGCACAGCAAGAATGGTACACACACAAGAATGGTACACAAGAATGGTACAGAGGGGTTGGGAAAGGGGAAGGCTCGGGGTCTGCAGCTGCTGAGGGCACAGGCATTCTTGCCACTGGGCCTCCCGAAGGGCCACCAAGCAGGGCTATTGTGTTGTACAACTCCAGGGTCCCCGTTCACCCTGGGGACTGTCCCGCTGGCATACTAGGTCTGTGGGTTCCCATCTGGCAGCCTGAAGGGGGAGAGGTGACAAGGACAGTGAAAGCCCACAACCCCGCCCCCACCCCACCTGCCTCCCTAGCTGGCTTCGACTCAGTCATGCAGCTGGCTGAGTGGCAAGGGCGAAAGTCTCTGAAGGCCGAGATGTGCCCATGTGGGAGGGACCCTCTTCATGGCTTTGCTGCATATTAAACATCTGCCATGTTATTCTATTTCCTGAATAGGGCCGATAACCAAAAGGCTCGTGAATGACGTTTGGAACTTGGCCTTCAAAACTGTACTTCATGCCTTACACATTGCCCCCTAGACATTTCTTTTATACTCTTGGTGATTCTTCATTTGGGCCAAGTCCATTCGTGTGATGACTGAGTTTATAGTGTGGGCTCTGGGGTAAAGGGCTGGTTCATCACACTCTGAGGGCCTGGAGATTCTCTCAGGTTGCCTCGAGTAACAGTAGATGTTGTAAAAACAGACACGGCAGAAAATGGGGATCCCACAAGAGCCCAGGATGGAGGACACCAGCTACCCACAGAAGAGAGAGTAGAGTTCAGGAGTTGGAATGATCTAAGTCTTCTCCAGGGCTTACTTTGTTGCTCCCTCACAGTGACAATTTTGTATCCCCACCATTATGGTGACTGAGCTCTTTTCGTCTTTTCTTGGCTTTTCCCAGCATCCGCCCAGTGCCTTGCATTGTGTTTCATCCCCTGTGCCTTTGCTCTGTGTCGGCGTGTTCAGCTGGCCCTTCACTCAGGGAGAGCCATGGCTTCTGCTTACTCATGGCTTTGGTTCATCTGTGGACTCTCGCTGCTCGTTGCCAATGAATCAGTGCTCTTATATGTTCAAACTCCACAACGACGGGCCTGGTTTAAACACCAACAATCTTCTGGATTTCATGCAAAGACACTCACCAGGGCTGGGCACAGTGCCTCATGCCTATAATCCCAGCACTTTGGGAGGCAGAGGTGGGCAGATCACAAGGTCAGGAGTTTGAGACCAGCCTGGCCAATATGGTGAAACCCCGTCTCTACTAAAAATACAAAAATTAGCCAGGCGTGGTGGCACATGCCTGTAATCCCAGCTACTAGGGAGGCTGAGGCAGGAGAATTGCTTGAACTTGGAAGGCGGAGGTTGTAGTGAGCCGAGATCACGCCACTGCCCTCCAGCCTGGGTGACAGAGTGAGACTCCGTCTCAAAAAAAATTAAATAAAGACACTCACCAGTCTGTACATTGCCTTCCTAGACCTGTCCCTTAGCAGGGGGGTGGGGGGGTCTTTTCCCTAGAAGAAGAGTGTGGGCTTGCAGCACTTGATGGTTCCCTCCAGTATACAAAGAAAAGTGTGAAAAGGGAGAAAATGAAATTTGCTACTATTCCACAAAACCCTGGACGCACCCCTGATGCCGAGGCGTCCTGGAAGCCTGCTCTTACAAAGGCCCCTATTACTCATGTGGCATTTCTACCAACAGAAGATTCTGCAGGTTGTTGGCCTGAAAGCAACGGCCAGCCATTATCTGCCTGCCATTTTGTAAAAAATAATAATAAAACCAAACCTTTGCTCAAGGCTGTGAATACTAAAATTTGCCAGAGAAAGTGGTGGGAGCTGCATTACTTAAATCTTTTCAAAATTGCCTGAATAAAGCACTTCCCTCAGATTTACACAAAAAATAGACTGGCGCTGACCCTGCGGGGCATCTATAAGATGATCTCAGAGGGATTTTTCCTGCATCTGATTTCTGTGAAGGAGAAAGGCTGGAGCTGAACCAATGAAACAAAGAAGTAAGTTCATATCCCCTCTCACCCCAAGCCCTTTAATCTCTAGTTGGGCTCCGATTCCAGATCGTTTCTACCAAAGAAGTTGTAAAAGCATCTACACATAATGTCATCCTAAAATATTGTAAGATCATCCTTTCAATTTTAAAGAGAGAACCATTTCAAATAGCCTTTCGTGCTTCCATTTCTTCTTCCATAATTACTACAAACGTTGTCATGAATGGACTCTGAATAAGTCTCCCAACTCCCTCCGGTGCCTCAAAATGCCCTCCACCTCACAGCAGTCAGAGACTAAGATATTCCCTTGCACAGCTTTTACGGCATGTGTTATTAAGTAAGGGTTGTTTGCTCTTTGAGATCCAAATAATCACATGGCAGCTTCTCAACCAACAGCTAGAATCCCCAAAAGTAACAGCAGAAAGAAATGGGCATCTTTTGCAGGAGGTGTAGCTTTGCTTTCTTTTCTTCTTCTTTCATTAATTCTTTCTTTAGAAAGCAGATAAGGAGGTATTATTTATTGAGAAGGAAGTGTGTGCATTAGCTACCATGGTAACTTATGTTACTATCAGCACTGTCCAGGCCAATTAAAGCCCTTTCATAATGTTCATTTTCTTTCTCTGGCCTGAGAAAGCCACTCAAGTCAGAGACAGATAAGTATCTTACAAGCACGAAGCATCAGGCTTCGTATGTCCCTCTATTGACTTTCCTGGAAATCTTACTGTGCACAATGGAGTTGCATTTTCTTCCAAGTCTCTGGGAGGACCCTAGGCCCTGGACTGTGTCCAGCTCTAGCTCTAGGCAGGGAGAGATCTTCTTATGTAGGGTTCGGTCTTGCCACTATGCTCTTCTGCTGTTGCCTCCCAGTCGCTCTGCAGTTAGATTCTATGGATTTCTTCTTTCCCAGGGCTCTTTGTTTAGGCCCAGGAACCTGCTATTATAATCTCTTTGGTGCTAAAACTGCTTGTCTGCTGAGATCTATCCGTTTATCCATCTACCCTTCCATCTATCCCTTCATTCATCCATCCATCCATCCATTTATTACCTACTACATACCAGGTGTTGTATTTGGGTCAGAGATACTGAGATGGATCGGACATTGTTTCTATCCTCAAGAAACTTACAGTTTAATAGGTGAGGCAGGCAAAAAAGCTGGTGATTTTATATATGAGCATATAAAATTAACATCATATGAAAAGTTTACAGTAAAACATTTTATTTTCACTTCTATGGTGCATACCCCGGGTTCTTCTCCCAAGTAAACTTAAGAAATGAATTGACATTCTCCCAGGGTTATGTGTACATGCATATACCCAAGGTATCTGAGTTGGGGTGGACATACAGTAGATGTCTTCTGGACATGGGGACTCTAATTGAAGTGGTGAGGGTACAGAGTCACTCTAGCAGAGACATTTTGGAGCTATGTCCCAGTTTTGGTGCCCTAGCAAACATGCTTTCATTCTTTCCAACTCCCATCCGCTCACCTGTGGATTAACCCTCCTAGGTTACCAGGATATCCATGATGCCTACCAATCCCTAGTTACCTGCTCATCATGAGACTTACTCTTTTCTTAGCCACGTCTTTGGAGATGATAGAAGGCACCCTAACATTTGCATTCCAGATTCTATGTATGTCACTTCCATTGCTTCTTCGGGAAGGTTTGACTCCATCCTTCACACTTTATCGACTATAATGGGTATTCATCATAATGTAAAATAATGGGCAGGAAGAAAGGCCACATTGGATTAAAAACATGGTTGTCCAACTTGGAGTAATGTAGCTGATGTGCCAGTGGCTTGCAGCCTGGATAAAATACACACTAATAGTGGATTTGTAGTGAATAAAAGTTTGCGTATGTTCTTCTGGTATGCACTGGACAGCCACGCTTATTAATAGTTGGTGGATTTCTGATTACTCAGTGTCCATGCCATACAAATTCAAAACTATATCAGCTAAAAGTGTTGATATAAATAAGTACTTCAATATAAATAAGTACTTCATGGGACAGCTTTGAATAAAGCATGCCTATATTTTATGTATTTTAATATAAGCAAGCATATATATTAGGCCTGGGATTTTAAAAGCATTTTCTGAGCCCCTTTAGCCTTTTCTTAAAGTTTCTCAGGGGTAACTTCCTTGGGTAAACAATGTGGCCAAGTAGGCAGGGCCTTGGTCACCCTCCTCCACTTTGTCAAAGCACCTGCTCTTTTGCGTTGGGTTCTGAGTAAGATTTCTTTTGAAGAAAGTGCTCCATTAATAAGAAAAGTGGTTGAAATGCTATGAAGGTTTTATATTAAATGGTACTGTGGCAGTATGTCTATGGAGACCATGGGGATTCTAGGGGAGGGGCGCCTAATTTAGTCTTGGGGGTGTGGCATGGATTAGCAAAGGCTTTCCATAAAAAGTGATTCCTGGCTGGGCGCAGTGGCTCATACCTGTAATCCCAGCACTTTGGGAGGCCAAGGCAGGAGGATCACCTGAGGTCAGGAGTTCAAGACCAACCTGACCAACATGGAGAAACCCCGTCTCTACTAAAAATACAAAATTAGCCAGGCGTGGTGGCACATGCCTGTAATTCCAGCTACTCGGGAGGCTGAGGCAGGAGAATTGCTTGAACTCGGGAGGCAGAGGTTGCAGTGAGCCGAGATCACGCCATTGCACTCCTGCCTGGGCAACAAGAGCGAGACTCCGTCTCAAAAAAAAAAAAAAAAAAAAAAAAAGGTGATTCCTGAGTGTGTGTAGAACAATTGTGTATCTTTCAGGCAGAGGTAGCAGCATGTGGAAAGCCCCGGAAACAAGGCAAAGAAAATTTAGCTCATTCAGAAAAGTGGCAAGTGGTTCAATATGGCTGGCAGGTTTGGTGAAGAGAAGCCTGAAGAAGCAAGCTGAGGTCAAGCCTACATTCCTGCCCACTCCACTCTGTCAGTTTCACATCCTTCAACCAGTGCTCTGGATCTGAGTGGTGCCTCCCAAACTCTGAACTTCAAACCCAATGCGGGTATCACATGTTTCTCCTGTCCTTTCTGCACTGCTGAACTTTGACCCCAACCACATGACCTAGCCTAAAAGACTGGACATTGGATCCTGACAGCTCACCTGTCCATTTGCTTTCCAGCAGTCTGCATATACTCATCAACTTTCCAGACTCCTGAGCCCTAGCAAGCCTGAGGCCTGATTTGTCTAAAGCAAGTGCTGAACTTCCACCAGAATTGAAAATGCCAAAAGTTTCATCCCCTTGTGTGCCATTGAGCACCACGATGGCTGCCAGCAAGGGAACTTTGGATCTTTACAAAGAGCTCAGTTCAAAGTCTTTAGAGAGCCGTCCTTTCTGGTGGAGAAATCATAAGTCCTATACTGCTTATTATGGTCTCCAAATTGTTGATTGTGACAAAGCAAGTTTTGTGTACAGGAAACAACGGCTTCCCTTCTCCTTTGGAGGATCTAAAAAAAATTGATCTTAGATAACAAGCCATAAATAATTACAGAAACACTCAGCCTTTGCCTTTTTTCTTTTAATCTCATAATGGTACTTTAGTAATAACATCAACACTACTATTTCTCTTCAGTTTTCACAGTGAAATAAAATAGCAAGAAAATGTAAATATTATAAATACTTGGTCCTTAAGACTTTGTGAGAAGACATTGTTATTGATTCATTGCTGGCTCCTAATTTGCTAATTATGCATCACTGAATGCAAATTTTCCCCCCAAGCAGAGAAAAAGACCATTTTACAGGATGTCACAGGGAACAGAAATTTCCCAGGTATAGGAAGTCCTTGGGTTAAAACTGTGTTTTTCAATGTGAACTATAGATTCAATGTTTAGTTTTAAATATCTAAACTTTAAGTTATCTCAAGCCATAAAGAAGTTAAAAGCCAAGCCACTCTCTCTAAACAGAGGTTGGACTTTCTAATCTGTTATTTTTTATGGGACAAAAGGAATGGCTATGCGGTATAAATGTTAAGCTGGCTTACCCTATGTAGCTTTTCTGTGGGAAGTTAGGAATAAAAATATGACCCAACAATGTGAGCAATAAATACTTGCCATGTAGTTAGTGATATTAGACATCCCCTGTTTGGAAATGTTCTGGGAAAAAAAGGAGGAGTCACTTTACTGTGAAGAATAAGACTACCATTAACGTGAGAAATAATTTCCTAGATTTGAAGTGAAAAATGGTTGATTTAATATTTAACATTGGTGTTATATAGATTTTTAATTTTTTGCTTTTTTGTTTTTTGAGATGAAGTCTCACTCTGTAGCCCAGGCTGGAGTGCAGTGGCGTGATCTCAGCTCACCGCAACCTCTGCCTCCCAGGCACAAGCGATTCTCCTGCCTCAGCCTCCAGAGTAGCGGGGATTACAGGTGCACAGCATTGCACTCGGCTAATTTTTTGTATATTTAGTAGAGATGAGGTTTCACCATGTTGGCCAGGCTGGTCTTGAACTCCCAACCTCAGGTAATCCACCCACTTCGGCCTCCCAAAGTGCTAGAATTACAGGCGTGAGCCACCTCGCCCGGCCTGATTTTTAATATTTTATAACCATGGCAATACATGATTATAACTTGGATATTATAATGCTATATAATATGCTGTGACTAAGGAAGCTCATTTTATAAAAATTATCAAGGTGGAAGCTTCATTTAATGCTCTAAAGCAGTTGTGTAATTGTCCCTTTTATTTAATTAAGCTTATTTGCCTCATAGTAGTAGATTTGATAGCATAAACACCATCTCTATGCCTCCCTATGATGCTTTTGTCATTCATTCATAACATCTGTTGAGCACCTACAAAGGACTAAGCCACTCTGTAAAGCAGGAGAAATCTATAAGTAGGCTGTTGTCTTTGCCCTCCAGAAGTAAAAGATAAGTGGAATGGGATGTCTGACGTGCTCTGACGTAAGTGTGAACAGGGTGCAGAGGAAAAACAAGGGGGTGGGGGTTGGGTCTAGATGGACAGGGGCCTGGTGTACAGCCCTACAATGCAAGATTGACACATAAAAGATGAGGAGGTGTCATGAAGAAGGCCCTGCACTGGGAATCAGATGGCTTGAGTTTGGCTCCTTGTCCAGCTGCTTACTAGGTTTAGATTAGGACTCTGGGCAATTCACTTCAACTCCATGAGTTTTCTCAGCTATAAAATGGAAGTAATAATGGCTCCTTGGCCATCTCACAGAATGGCAGTTTTAAGGTTTAAATGAGCTGGTGCATATGAACATCTTTTTAAAAAGATTTAAAAAGCTAAGCTATGATATTTGGTAGGCTAGGTGTATTAAATACTTTTTTGACTTACAATATTTTCACCTTACAATGAGTTTATCAGTTGAAAATGCATTTAATACACCTAACCTATTGCACATTATAGTTTAGGCTAGCCTACCTTAAACATGTTCAGGATACTTACATTAGCCTGTAATTGGGTGAAATCATCTAACACAAAGCCTATGTTAGAATAAAGTATTGAATTCCCGTGTAATTTATTGAACACTGTATATTTTGTTGAAATTGCAATGGTTTTGCACCATCATAAAGTTGAAATATTATAAGTTAAGCCATTACAAGTCAGAGACCATCTATATATATACACGTGCGTACATATATATACATATGTTTACTATATAAGATACATATATATTTATATTGTGGGCACTGGCGTCCTGTCCCAAGCACTGTGGCTCCTTTAGGACTTCATAATGAGAGAGGAAGATGAAGAATTTCGAGGGGACTCAGGAGAGATGGATAAGGAAGTAAAAAAAGAATAAAATGAGAAACCCAAGACACCATGTACAATAAACACAGGAAGGGCTCCAGGTGTTTCCTATCTCTACTACGAACCAAACAAGAAGAAATGGTTTTAAATCCCAGCACAAGAGATTTGGGTCAGGAATAAGGATGTTTTTTTTTTTTTCTCTAAAGAGCTGTTAAAACATTAAGATGGCCGGAAAAAAAAAATGTTCTGGTTTTCTCCTCTGGGAGCCTTTAAAAATAGGGAGAATGGGCAAGGCGCGTTGGCACACGCCTGTAATCCTAGCACTTTGGGAGGCCAAGGCGGGCAGAACACTTGAGGCCAGGAGTTCAAGACCAGACTGGACAACATGGCAAAACCCTGTCTCTACTAAAAATACAAAAATTAGCCGGGTGTGGTAGCGTGTGCCTGTAATCCCAGCTACTCAGGAGGCTGAGGCACAAGAATCACTTGAACCCCAGAGGTGGAGATTTCAGTGAGCCAAGATCACGCCACTGGGCGACAGAGCGAGACCCTGTCTAAAAAAAAAAAAAAAAAAAAGGAAGAATGGTGCTATCTTATGATGGGTCACTGTTCAGTGCTGAGTATATAAAACAGAGGTTAAGGACAAGAAATGCACAGAAAACACTTGGTACAACATTAAATTATTCCTTTGGGGGAGAACTGGAATCCTGAGAATCACATCAGGGCCCCACTCAGCCTTCTGGATGTGGTAGATGGGAAAGATATGCCTTCTCTTCTCTGGACCTCTGTGATTCTTTATTCTTTTGTATAATTTCAGATGTTTTATGTCATCTCTATACAGACTGAGGCCATGAAAGTCATTTGCTGCAGAATGAACTAAACATGCAACTGCTTTCTCTTAAGCATGTGAGCTGATTTCCATTCTTGGTGGGATTCTATTATTCCATCCCATTGCAACGTAGAGCACCGTACAGGCTTAGTGGACACTGGACTAACACAAGCCTATACGTTACAGCCTTTACTTCCATGCAGTCTAGTTCAGGGATTACTGGTATGTGGCTGGCTAGAAACCAGGAACTTTGGGACCTAATGAAAATTCTTAATTTGGCTGTTTTCTGGACTCTGTAAAGTGAATAAAGTGAACTAGAATCTTCAAAGCAGCCAGGTAAAGATGTAGTCCAAAGAGAAGGCAAGGGATAGACTGCATAACCAGCTCAAACATATCTTAAAGACATCATTTGCCCTGTTGGAATTGTTCTGGAATATTTTAGAACTGACACCGTGATTAAACCTGGCTTCCATTCCAACCACAGATGAGAGGCTACAAATGGGCAGAGGCCTACGGTGGGTTTGCCTGTTGTCTCTAGTGCTGCCATTGCTCCTGCCTCTGCCCTTCTTTGGCTGTGAGAGAAAGAATTCAGGGCCAGAGGATGCACCAATGGGTCCTCTCCTTTCCAGTTGTAATATTTGGTTCAGACTCGTTCTTGAAATGGCAATGTTCTTCCTTAAACATATTTCCCATGTGATCACACCATAGCTTGGAGCATGGGATGCTTTTTTCCACCCTCCATGATCAGGGAGTCTGCCTCTGTGTTTGTGTAGCCAGCAGAGAAAATGGCAGAAGTAAGAGGAAGTTTCTGTTGTAACTGTCTATTTTTAGTGGCTCATAAACTTCTCAATATTCCTTGGCCTGAAGCTACACATGCTTGGTCTCAGCCCAAAGGGAAGTTATTTTGGAAAGTTTGAGCAAAATCCTCTCCATTGCTGTTTGGGCTGGGTAAAGGAGACAGAAATAAATGGACTTTTGGAAAAACAGGTCTGTTACTCTGGGGCTGGTGTGGAACTGGCTGCTGGAATCCTACCTGGTGCGCCCTCCCCCAGGCTCCCGTTAGAGGAGGGTGCTGACTGAGGTCCTTTAATCGGCCGTCCTTCTAGCCACAGGAAAATGGCATCGCCACTGCTGCTGAGGCGAGTTCTGATAGCAGCGTGGTCAACAGGCTACACTGTGGCATGAAAGGAGAATGAACTGGATCCAAACTCAGGAAACCTGTGGTCTACACAGACAACTGGCTCTTACTAGTTGTGTGGCCTCAGACAGATCTATTCCCTTTCTCTAGGTTCAGTTGCCTCCTCTATAAAATGAAGTGGTTAGGCCAGTTCTCCAGCAGACACGTTCTAAAGTTCTAATTCTGATATGGAACAAGAGGATAGGAGTAGATTTCATCTTGGGATGAAAATACCCAAACAACTGGGGGGATATTCTCTTCATTCTTTGGAGGCAATGCTGGTCAGAAGCCACTGAGACCAAAAGTCAGGCTCTTCCTGAAGCCCACATGAGGGAGAATTTAAAAATTGAGGCTCTGGGTGGGGGGAGGGGGGAGGGATAGCTTTAGGAGATATACCTAATGCTAAATGATGAGTTAATGGGTGCAGCACACTAGCATGACAAATGTATACATATGTAACTAACCTGCACATTGTGCACATGTACCCTAAAACTTAAAGTATAATAATAATAATAAAAAAAGAAAAGAAAAATAAAAAATAAAAAAATAAAAATTGAGGCTCTCTCGTACAAACGCATAGGATTTCTTGTTTGTGGAGGGTAGAGATGCGGGAGAGAGCTAAACAAAGGCGATGATTTATAGGCGGTAATTCTGTGTCACTTCCCAGAAGTAAAGCTATTTATCCATCCAAGCAGATGAAAATAAAGCTCAATTCTCCTTCTTCCAAAAATGCAAAACCATTTGTTTATTTATTCATCTATTTCTTCTAACAATAATTATTGAGTGCCCACGAATTTTCACCTTTTCCTGTTTGAGTGGGAAAGCAAATGGACAGGGGAAGGGAAAGGTAAGGGAAAAATGGGTTGACACAGAAGATAGAGCTTGGGGTCTAGGGAGTACATTGAACTTGAAAATGGTATCCTCCAGGAAGGACCTAGAGCATCACTAAACTGAGTGGCCAGATGCCCAGATTATATATTTGTACTTCCCACGTGCTTCCAGGTTTCAGAGGCAAATCCCCCGACCCAGCTGACTATCAAGATGCTGGGCAGGATGCCATCACACCTACATCAGCCTTGTCACTTCCTTGCTCTGTCATTCATTCCCAGGGGAAGCTCTGAGTTCCCACATGTCCTCGGCCAGGAAGGTAGGTGTGGACACATCTGTGTGTATCACAGAGCATGGCTGATAAGCACCAGCTGCTGGACCCTATTTGGCCCAGAGAACCACATCCTCTTCCCTATCAGCTACTGCAGCAAAACCACAGACCTCATCCAGAGCCAGGTTTTGAGAAAGAGAAGAAGGAATGGTGTGGGGAGCTTGACTGGGTTTCTTGCCAACCAGGCTAGAATGACCTGGTGTTGGTACTGCTGCTGTCAGAAGCTGTAGAGGAGTGGCAGCATCCTTCTTCTGAGGCTTTAGCATGAAACCAAGAGAAAGGAATACCTCTACCTTCATCAACCTGAGAAAGCGATACCAGAGCATTAGAGTGGTCCTTCTCAGGCCTTCATGTGCATACAAATCACCTAGGGATCTTGTTAGAAGGCAAATGCTCAATCAGCAGGTCTGTGATGGCACCTGGGAGTTTCCATTTTTTAACAAACTTCTAGGCGATGCCCAGAGAGTTGGTCCATAGACCACACTTTGACTAGCAAGGATCTATGATAGTCTCCCCAGCACCCCTCCCCAGGGGTAGGAACACAATCGTGAATCAAGCTGGACCAATGAAAACCTCTCAACATGGGCCAAGGGGTGGGGACATGACCCCTGGAAGGCCAATCAGAGTTGTTTTTAGAGAAAAAATAGGTGGAGGGGTGGGTAGGGGATGGTCAATACAGACCTGAGAAGCAAAGCTCTATCCTCTAGCTGCTAAAGGGTAAGCCAGAGCCACTACTAGTAATGATTCCCATCTCAAGGAGAGAAGATGCAACAGATATGCAAGAAAAGGGGAACAGAGGAACAGAGAGGATCTTGACTGGTTCAATGTCCTGGTTCTAGTTGTCCCTAAGGACAGCTCCACCTTCTTGTGGTTTTCCTCTGTGAGTTTGCAAATTGTCCTTTGTTGCTTAAACCAGTGGTTCTCAACCTGACTGCCATTAGGATCTGATGTCAGGGTCTCTCACCTGGGGAACTGGATTCAATTGGTCTGGGTCTGGGATAGGACTTGGGCATAGGTAGGTTTTAAAGCTCCCCCGGTGATTTGAATGCACTGCCAAGATGGAGACCTGCTGAATTAAGCTCATTCAAGTTGGATATCCATCACAGCGACTGAGAGAGTCTAAAGTGGGTTCTCAGGAACCACTGATCTAGGAGAGCAGTCAGACTCAACAGGAAGGCTGGGACAGACTCCAAGAGCACAGCATCTACAGGGGGCCTGAAGAGAGGGAGGCTGTGGGCAATACTCCAGCTTTCAGTGACCTCTCTGCTCCCTAAACTCTGTGCTGAAAGATGCCCTCTCTGAATCATGTGTAGTGCTCAGTCTTATTTCGGTCTTTGTTTCCAAGGGGTTAGCTCTTGCTTCAGATCCTATGCTCCTTAAGGGCAGGGATGGTATTTGTTGCCTCTTTCCTTTCTTCTAAAGCACCAGCCTCTGTTCATTTACTGGCATTCTCACACAGGGGATAAATGGGCATCTGAGCCTGTGCCATCATTGGCTGGCCTCAGCTTTCCAACCTGTCTTCCCAACTTCCTCCTTGACTGTGAAGAACTCCTAAGGCTGCTGACTGTTTTCAGCATGGGTTTTGGAGGAGGGGAGCGGAGGCGGAGGTGAAGGCAGAGGTTCATCAAGTGCTTGTTTTATAGTTCAGACCCACATCTTAGTTCAGAGTGGATGGAACATGCCAGAAGTGGGAGATAAAGGGGTTTGTGAATTCCTTTGCCACTTAGGTTCAACAACTTGTTCTCTTGAAATAGAAATAGCTGCTAGCATTTTTTTAGTCCAAGTTCAGGCCCTTTTCTCAGAAATGCAGTTGCCTGTGGAAAACTGACACTCCCTAACGAGTCCTTAACAACTGTCAGCCCCAGAGCAATAGTAATGATTCTGCAGGCTTCTTGCTAAATTCCAGCGACGGTTTCTGCCAGGGCCTGGGAACAGATGTGCACTTGGAGCTCTTTGGGTGGTATCCTCTTCCCTTCCCTTGGGAGGACTTGCCCTGGGAGGCTTCCAGGCAGACCTTCCACAGCGGTGTGTGTGAGGAGTCCCAGGGAGTGGGTGTAGAGCTCTTGGGAGCCTCAGGGCACTTCTCCCTGAAATCAAAGAATCTTAAACACAATAGGGTCCTGAGCTGACAGTTAAACAGACATGTGCTTTGCCAAGAAAACACATACACACACCCCTGCACGCTCATTAACATGTAGAAAATCTTCCACAAATGTAAACACTGTCGTTCATTGCATGGATGAAGGCAAGAACATAACATACATAAGACAGCTTCCATCAAAGGTCCTCTAGGAGTCCAGAGCTTAGCTATGGTCTTCTAGAGTATTATGCTACTACCTTGCTGTGTGATTTGGGATAGTTCAGTTAATTTGTCTGGGCCTCAGATTTCTCATGACTAGATATCTGTGGTCCATTCTAGCAACAACATTTTTACAATCTGGCAAATTATTCTTTAACTAAGGTCAATAGTCTTCAAATAATAGATGTGGGAAACTAATTACAATTATTGGAATATTAGGGGACTATTTCCAAGTGACTTGATTCTGCACAGATGTCAATTCTTTTATTTTGTGGAGACTTGGCAGAAACAAAAGGCTAATTGGGAAGAAATTGTAGCCTCCTAGTTGTAGCCTTGGTGTATTAAATAGATCCCCTTTGGCTTAGTGAGATAGATAATTCATTTTTTCTAGCTCATTTGAGAATTTTTGTTGTGCTTTGTTTCTCTCTCCCTCCTTCTTCCCCCAGGCTCAATGACAGCCAGAGGTGACCTGTCCCAGCACACCTGGGAAGGACATGGGAATGGGGTGGGGGGAGTCCAGTCAAGTCAACAGCTGCTTACTGCACATGCTAAAAGGGCACTAGATAAATAGCAAGGGATACCTACCCAGAGAACTGCCCCTCCCAGGCCATTCTGGAGAACTTCCACCTCCCAGAGGTGGAATCCAGCCAGTACTTCCTAGCTGGCTCTGAAATCGGATGCATGGTTTTCAGTTCTCAGTAGGGGGAGTACATTTAATTTCATGTTCAGAGCCCGAGTTAATTTTTATTAGTATAATCAAATTATTGGTTAAGTAAATTTTCTTTCTTATAAGTAAAACTCCAAAGTCTTCTAAGATAACATGAAGTAATCCCATGATGCCCTAAATATGTAGAAGTAATAAAGCTTGTAGGTTCGTTTATCCATCCATAAGTATTTGTTAAATAATAAATGAATTAATAATTAGTTCTTAATTAACAGAATATATATATATTTCCTGTAACTTTCTTTGAACTTCACTATTTTTTAAAAAAATACCTTTAAATGAGAAAACATAAACCGGTGTTGTGTGTGGCACATAAATGTTAGCTATTTTAATTATTTTAGTGTAGATAATGAATGGAATGCTTCCCCATTCAATACAAATCTGAACCCATCCTTCTATAAGGAACCCACTCCCAAGATAACAGCTTTAACCCATTCAAGAGGGAAGAGCCCTCATGACCTAATCACCTCTAAAAGGTCCCACCTCTGGGCTGGGCGCGATGGCTCACGCCTGTAATCCCAAAACTTTAGGAGGCTGAGGCGGGCGGATCACAAGGTCGGGAGATTGAGACCATCCTGGCTAACATGGTGAAACCCCGTCTTTACTAAAAATACAAAAAATTAGCCAGGAGTGGTGGCAGGCGCCTGTAGTCCCAGCTACTCAGAAGGCTGAGGCAGGAGAATTGCTTGAACCTGGGAGGCAGAGGTTGCAGTGAGCCAAGATTGTGCCACTGCACTCCAGCCTGGGCGACAGAGTGAGACTCCATCTCAAAAAAAAAAAAAAAAAAAGGTCCCATCTCTGAATACTGTCACAATGGCAGCTAAATTTCAACAAGAGTGGGAGGAATCAAACATTCAAACCACACAGAAGGGAAATAGGACAGGTGGTGTGCATTTCATTACTGGTGTCTTCAGAAGCCCTGAGGGTATCTGGCTAATTCCATCAGGATTGAGAGGGTTTGATGTTGTTTTTAAGAACCCTGATGAACAAGGTCTCTTTACAGGGCAGGCACTCCCCTCACCATTTACCCAACCCCTCTCCCTACCTCAACAGTGAGGACAGGGCTTCATCACCCACACTAGCTTTCCTCCTTTCCCCAAGCGGGTGGCTGTCCATCTGCAGGGATTAGGCAAACTTTCTGGCTTTACGTTATCCTGGTGTCCCCAAACATGGGCACGAGAGCCACGTCCATTTTAAGGATTGTTTTGCTGTTTATGAACAGGAAGGCAGGTGACAACCCTTATAAGGTGCATAGAGCCGGGTGATGTGGCTGGGGATCAGGGTCCAAATTAGGGTGAGGCAAGTGAGGACAAGGCATGCAATTGCAGGGCTGGATCTGATCATGTCTTTGTTTAACATTTTGATATTTTGTTCATGCTGGAATTTTGCATTAAAATATTCTCTTGCTTTCTGATGTTTTTGGTACCCCCTTATATTTTGATGAAGTCAACAGTGTTTCAATCACCAGCACTGTCAGATTAGATTTAGTTGTTGAATTGGTGTTTTTTTTTAATGGTTTCAGAGCAGATCAAGGCCTTGGTATTTGTATAATACGATGATGCATCATTACTTCTGAGTTGCCACAGATAAATTAACAGTGCCTGGTGCAGGTTAGGAACTCAACAAGTGTAGGTTTCCTTTCTTCCACTCTCAAGGGGAGAAACGTCTCAAAGCTTGAGGGAATCTTCATCAGCTCAATGAATATGTCCAAGTGAAATGTGATAGGTGAGTAGGTCTCTGTGGATCTATTCCCCACTGCAATGGAAGGATTGTTTTTACTTCTGATGTAAGAAAACTGTTTGCCTGCCTGTGGCCTCCTATAGCACTTCATCTCTCCTGGATTACCACCCTTCCTCTGCTGGTGCATCTGCTCCAATGTCTGCCTCCCACAGGACTGTGAGTTTCTCTATGAAGGGATGTTGTCTTACCCTGTTTCTCCCTAGCAGTGCCCAGTCTAGACCTGCTCAATGAACGTTTATGAAGTGAAGGAATCAATTGGGTAGTATTTCTGACATATGCAAAATGTTTTTGGGAGACACCTTATTATGGTGCTTTTTTGCTGGCCTAAACTTTTTGTACCAGTAATTCTTTAACAAATCAGAACCAAATGCATTCTGTGAATGCTATCTAGCTCTCTCTTCCTATATTTCCATTTATGAGTGTTCAGTGTATGTAGGGTCTGGCCATTTAGGAAAGTCAGTTTTGGGCCAGAGTGCCTGTCACTTGAAACCATTATTTTAGTGATTGAAAGTTTTCTTCAATTAATCAGGACCTTTTGGGGTTCAAGTGACAGAATCCAACTCAAATTAGCTTAAGTAAAAGTGGGAATTAGCTCAAATACCAGAAAAGTCCAGGATGGATAGCTGCTCCAGGAGTCGAAATGATGTAATCAAGCTTCACCTCCCACCACTGGTGAAGATGGTTTCAAGCATTCTGGGGCTCACATGCAACCTGCTTAGCAACTCCCACTGAGGAAGAGCTTCTTCACATTAAGTCCACCAGGAAAGTCCTGGGAGAGGACTAAATCATATGCTCACGTGTGAACCCATCACTGGAACTAGAGGTAATGGGCCACCTTGAACAGGCCCAAGTCCTATTCCCACACCTGTGGCAGAGGAGAGGTAAGGGTTAGCTCCAGCTGAACTGTAGGGCCTGAGCCCCTCAAGAGAAAGGAGGTCTCCCTTACAGAAGAATAGGGTGGGTTCTGGGCAGGCAGAAACTACAAATGCCTTACATTTCTTGTTTGTTTTTGGAGACAGGGTCTTGCTCTGTCACCCAGGCTGGAGTGCAGCGGCATGATCTCGGCTCACTGAAACCTCCGCCTCCTGGGTTCCAGTGATTCTTGTACCTCAGCTGGGACTACAGGCACATGCCACCATGCCTGCCTAATATTTTTTATGTTTGGTAGAGACAGGGTTTCACCATGTTAGCCAGGCTGGTCTCGAACTCCTGACCTCAAGTGATCCACCTGCCTCGGCCTCCCAAAGTACTGGGATTACAGGCATGAGCCACTGCGCCCAGCTGCCTCCTACTTTCTTACATCAGACATTGTATTTGTTACATTTGCTTATTTTCCATTTAATTTTCATTTTTGCATTTTGTCTTATTAATGTATGTTCACTTAAGCCACTAAGTAGATTTATAATTAGAGCAGTTTTATAGTTTGACCTTAATCTTTTTTTCTCTGGGGGAAATTTTTTCAGGGCTGTTCTTTTATGTTTCCCTCTGTATTGATCTGCTTTTCTTGATTTGCCAGTCTCTCCCTTTTCATCCTTGGCTCAGTGGTTGATCTTCATTATCCAGGGTGGATCCTGGGCTTCTAGTTATTAACAGCAGTATCACGTGTGTGCTGTGTGCATACAGGCATGCATGGGTGGATGCGTGTGTGTGTGTTGTTTTGAATCTTGACCATCTTCAAATGTCACTTCTAATGACTTGAGTGAGCTGCCTTGTTCCACAAGGCCTGCTTCTGAGAACCCCCAGGTGCATGTGGTCTGGGTGCTCACTGGGGGTGTTTAGGGAAGGAATGCTGATTCTCTGTTCTCACACCACCAAGCATTTGCATTTACTGTTATCTCTCTCTAAAATGCCCTTGCCTGGTCTATTTCTACTTGTCCTTCAAGTGGCTAATCAGGCCTCACTTCCTCCAGGAAGCTCCTGGGCCATCCAGTCTGGGCTGGGAGAGGGTTTTTTCCTAATAAGACAGTGCAGCCATTTATAGAGTCAATTGTTTACTGCTGGAGTCATTTCCGATGGTGAGTTAAAGATCTTGAGTATTACCTATGGTTAGAGCCCCTCCTCTGAGTTCCACTGCATCCCATATATATCCCTATTTGCTCATTATCATGCTGTTTGGCATGCACCTGTTTGTTTATCTTGCTCTCCTAGTAACAGGTGAGCCCCTTGAAAATAGGGACTTTATTCCTAGTATCAGAGCTTAATAAGCCTAGGATAAATGTTTGGGGAGTAACCCACCGCCTCCACTCAGAGCCTCTTACTCTGCTGCAGTCCCTGCTGTTCCCAGCACACATCCATTACTGCATCATTGCTATTTGTTTGTGTGTCTCATTTTCCCCATTGCATTGTAAAGTTCCTTGTGCTAACCAAGTGGTCTTTATTCATTTCTGTTATCTGGCCCATAGTACAATGCCTGGCATATATAGAAGGTGCTAAATCAGTGTAGAAAAAATATTTTTAAACGTATGTCTCTTTAACTACTCAGAGTGGCAGATTATTATATACCTTTTTGTTTGTATCTTCTGGAGTGCTTGGCTTGTTTAATGTGACTTTTGTCAACACTTGGTTTAGATATTCCTTAAACGTCCTCGGGTACCAGACTGTTTAGTTGCACAACTAGACTTCTGTTACTCTTCATATTAGGAGGAGAATAAACTCAGAGACAATGAGCACAATCTGGGCATTTTGTCGGTCCCACAGTCCTATCATATCCTGGGATATGTCTTTATTAGGCACCTTGTGGAGAGTGCCCAAGCCTTTCAGTGAGCTGGGATTCTCAGACCTCAGACGGGTAATACAAGGGAATGGGGCTGGATTTGGGATCCATCAATGAGGGCAGTGGTAGGTCTGCATCAAGTCCACACTTGTAGGTGGAGAATCCAGAAGCGAGAAGAAGCCAGAGGGAGCCCTGAAAGGGGGTACTGGAAAGACTCCCAGAGACAATGGGATGCAGCAAGGGCCTTGTCGCTGCACACTCACGATTGAGTCTATGGGTGGAGAGGGATTGTCTGGGGCCATGAGTGAGCTCTGAAGTAAACAGAAGGAAGCTGGCTCTTGGCTACATGCAGTGGCAAGCCAGGGGGCCACCACAGACACGCCATGTGTGTCAGAGGATATGGATGGAGTAGGCGGAATACCCAAGACAAATGTACCCTGAACTGGTCTCAGCCAGGCTGTCTTTGGGGCCCAGGGTGGAGGCCATGCATGTAGAGACAGGCTGCAAGATAGGGGTTGTTGCTCTCTTCTGTGTTCTGAGCAGCCTGGATTCTGACAACAGTGCTCCTCCTCATCCTAGAAGGAGGCAAAGCCAGCTCAAATAAATCTGATGAATAATGTGTCAGCTGCCATTCAGATAAAAGAGCACAGACCAAGCCTGGCTATCCAGTCAGTAATTCACATTCACTGGGTGGCAGTGGGCTCACAACCTGTGCTGGACAAACTGAGGAAGATCGGGACAAAATGCTAGAGAAGAGAAAATGGGAAAGCTCGCATCTACTTTTTTATAATTGCAAGTGAGTAAGATTTCTGAGTATGGAGAAAACAGACTTGAACCACTTTCCTCTCGGAAGGAGACACTTTCTTTCCCAGCCAGTTTACGTCAGAGTAGAAGATGAGGCTTTGATAAAACAATGTCTTTATTTCCTATGTACATTTCTTTGTTCTGAAAAGAGCACTAATGTGTTTTCATGTTGGGTTCAAAGAAGAGATTGTCCTGGAAAAGTCACAGCTCCTTTGGAAGGGCAACCAGGATGTAAAATCATTTCTACTAAATCTTCACCCCGCCAAGCTGAGAATTGAATTTCCTGAACCAGAGTGAACTCTGTGGCTCAGGTGGTTTTTAATTAAAGCAATTTATATTCAAAGAATGTGCACACTTGCAGGCTCACACAAAATCAATGAAGTCAAGAGGGGAAGCAGAAAAAACTGTAATTGAGAAGCACTTATGTGGCAGGGCAAAAAAATTTTTTTTTAATTTAATTTTTGTTTAAAATATGTGTATACATGGCCTACTATCAGCCAAAATTCAAAATGTATTGCATGCTATTTACTATTTTCCCCCTTTCCAGCTCTACTCCTACAAAATAAGGCTAGGTTTCATCCTAGATTAGGCACTACTACTTATTTTTTCACGTTTTAACAAGTATAGAGTTTGAATGTCTAGAACCCATGGAATAATTTGCTGCCACTTTCTTTCAAGCAACTCAATGGGAATGAGTTATTAATCAGTGTCCCCTGATGCAAGCTCCACCGTTTTGTCATTTTCATGAAGTTTGCTGGCATATAAATATAACCCCCACATTCTTTTATGAAATACATAAATGCAATAAAATAGTTGCTTTGGTTCTTTTCTGGAGGCAGAAGGAGAAAAATGTCAAACTCTCATTGTTCAGTGTTTCTAACAGACCCCTTTTGTATCACCAGTATGACTTTCCAGCACAAAGTTCTGAACTGCAGATAATAGCTTAAAAGGCTATCTGAACCCATTCTGTTATGTAGATGAAAGAAAGCCTTTAAAATTAATCTATGGCATCTCTGAATAAAAAAGAAGGGCACTCATCCAACTCATTTCCTTGGGCCAAAACAGTGAGCAAGCAGACCAAAAATGCCAAGATTCTGCTGCTCCAAAGCCAGAGTCTGACACAGCGCAAGCACAGCAGATTAGCAACCAGATTCTTACTTCTGACCTGTCACTGTTTGGAAATATGCAACAGTGTGCTATTATTCAGTGTTATCACTAAACTAAGAGGCAATGTAAGGCATCTGACTAAATAAAGCATAGCATACTAATTAAGAACTGTTTTGTAACAAAATATTATTTTATGAGATATAAATATTTAATGGAGATAAAATAATCCTTATTTAAAAATTAGACCATCTGTTAGAAGACTGTCTAAACCAGAGGAAGTAACTGAAAAACTATGTTTGTCAAATTGGGATGAACATACTGGGAAATATGCACGACACATCACACTGGAGTATCAATTTTATTAATAAAATAGTGTCCGTAAATTTATTTATATGACAACAAATATGATATTAAGGAATTCAATGCAAACATGACCAAAATGAGGTATTTATTTATTATTTTTAGAATTTTTGATTTGGGGGCACACGTGCAGAATTGTTACATGGATATATTGTTGTGATGCTGACATTTGGGATACAAATGGTCCTGTCGCCCAGGTGGTAGGCGTAATACCCAATAGGTAGTTTTTCAGCCCATTCCCCATTCCCTCCCTGTCTCAACTAGTAGTCCCATGTCTACTGTTCCCATCTTTATGTCTATGTGTAGTCAGTGTTTAGCTCCCACTTGTAAGTGAGAATATGTGGTATTTGATTTTCTGTTCTTGCATTAATTTGCTTAGGATAATGGCCTCCTGTCACATCCATGTTGCTGGAAAGGACATGATTTTACTTTTTTATGGCTGCATAGTATTCCATGGTGTCTATATACCACATTTTCTTTATCCGATCCAGCGCTGATGGGCACTTAGGTTGATTCCGTATCTTGGCTATTGTGAATAGTGCTGTGATGAAGATGCAAATGCACGTGTCTTTTTGATAGAATGCATTATTTTCCTCTGGTTATACCCAGTCATGGGATTGCTGGGTAGAATGGTAGTTCTGTTTTAAGTTCTTTGAGAAACCCCCAAACTGCTTTCAACAGTGGATGAACTAGTTTGCATTCTCATCAACAGTGTATAAGTGTTTCCTTTTCTCTGCAGCATCTGTTATTTTTTGACTTTTTAATACTTGCCATTCTGATGGTATCTCATGGTGGTTTCATTTGCACAAAATAAGAGATTTAAATATTTTTTGAGTTAATAGCATTACTTAAAATGGCATCTGCCATTAATGGTATTCAGATGAAAAAGAATGGAAGCAATTATCAGACCTAATCAGAGGAATCAATTACAAAATAATTATGCAAATCAATGCTGTTCCTGTATGCAAGCAATAAACAGAAATTATAATAAAAATATAGATTCCATTCACAATAAGACACACACACCATAAGATATAGATAGTGCTATGGTCTGAATGTTTGTCCCCCACAAACTCATATGTTGGAACCTAATCCCCAGTGTGATAGTGTTAGAAAGTAGAACCCTGTCTTTACAAAAATAATTTAAGAATTAGCTGTGCATGGTGGTATGTATGTGCCTGTCGTCCTAGGTACTTGGGAGGCTGAGGTGGAAGGACCTGAGCCTGGGAGGTCAAGGCTGCAGCAAGCTGTGACCATACCACTGCACTGCAGCCAAGACAACAGAACGAGACTCTGTCTGAAAAAAAAAAAAGATATATTATTAATAAGTCAGTCCCCCAAATTAAGCTCCAATTTCCAACACATTCCTAATAAAAAAAAAACCAATAGGATTTTGGAGAAAACCTGACAAAAATGTTCTAATACCCTTCTGAAAAAAAATTCATGTAAGGGCGAGGCGCAGTGGTTCATGCCTGCAATCCCAGCACTTTGGGAGGCTGAGGTGGGTGGATCACTTGAGGTCAGGAGTTCAAGACCAGCCTGGCCAACATGGTGAAACCCAGTCTCTACTAAAATTACAAAAATTAGCTGGGTGTGGTGGCGTGCACATTTTAAAAGAAGACTATGAATCATATTAGGAAGATCTACTAGCTTTAAATCTCTGCTGGAAAGTTACTGACAAAATTCTTTTCTAATAGGTAACATTAGAATGAGATTTTCTCTTTAGTAAGAGCACCAAGACCCAGCTAATGCCCTCATTCAGTATTTCTCAGATTTGGTTAGTTTATATACAGCTTTTCATGGAAAAAATTATTAGCCCAAGTGATGACTCAAATTATTTTTTTAAGTAACATTACTTCATTACCATCAAACAAAACTAGTTATATGCTTCTTAGGTTTTTGACCCTTAAACAAGTATAATGGTAAAATACATTTATCAATTAAATATCCATAATTGTAAAAATCAGTGAAATTCAAATGAGGAATATTTTTAAAATGTGATAAATGATATTTTATGGAAACCAAATTGCTGGTGTTGGATTGAATAGGAGGAAGATGTGTTTGGTTGTTTCATGCTTCACTAGCTGGTTGTTGCTTTTGATCTGGAATATGATGAGCCGTTATTTGAGGCTTAATTGTTCCTATCACTGTTATTTTTAGCTCTTATATTTGTTTTTATCCATTGATCGACTATGTTGATTGTCCAATAAATTTAGTGCACTGTCTTGTATACGATGTTGTGTACAGTGTTGCATACGACATTGAAAGTTTAGCACCAGTTCTCTTGGAAACACAAACACAGATAATGAACTCAAGCCAGTATTTAGTTACAAGATGGTCAGCCTGATGGGCCAGAACACTCTGATATGACTTTTCTTAGATCATAATCCAAAGAAAAGCCCCGAATTTAAAAAATTATCTCAGAACTTGTGAATCTCAGTTTGAGAAAACATTACCCCAGCTTACTTCAAGTAGTAATTGATGTAAAAAAAAAATTCCAGGGTAACAGAAGAAATTGGGTAGTATTTTGTGATTATTATAAGTGAGACTTTGTGACATTGATCTATATTTTCAACACCCATCTTTGGCATGGACTGGCTGATCCTCCTTTAGAGATGGGCACTGCTAAGCCTATTCTGCAGATGAATAAATTGAGGCAGAAAACAGCACTCCAGGGGCATAGAGAAAGTTGTGGTGAAATTTAGGTTCGAGGTCAAAGTTGTGCCTAACTGAGAGGGAAAGTGAGGGGCAATGACAAAAATTGCTCAGCCTTGGCTTGCTCTGACACTATTTAAGCTGTACCTTTTTTCTTCCTCTGGCTAACCAGGACAAGGCATCCAGGACCACAATGCAGGGAGCCTCATCAGGCACTTGTGCTAAACAGGCACTCCCTGTACCTGACCCCCTGTGTCCTATTCAGCTACAAGGGATGAAATGGAAACTAATCGCTTTTCTGAGACCATGAGAACAAGCAGTCAGCTTGCAAGATGTTATCCCCTTCTAATTATAGGTCCACAAGCGGTGAATGCTTGCCATGGGAAGCTACTATTCTTTCCCAAATGCAGGTGTCCCTTCTTGAACAGCTGCCAGGAGCTCAGCAGCCTTGGAAGCCCTTCAGATAAATAGCACCTGAGGTTACATTGCCTCAGCTGTGGCATGTAGAGACACAACCCTCGGGTATCTGGGTGTGGACTTGCTTTAGTCATGGGGAGACTAGAGAGACTTGTCCTTCAAATCAGACCAACTTATAACCACCTCCCCAAACATCAGGGGAATAGCACCCTAGCCATAGTTACTATTGTAACCAAAGGAAATAACCAGAGCACCAGACTCTGCCAAGTAGATTCATTATGAGTGGTAAATAAGATAACATTTAGGATTAAATCGAACTTTCCTAGGCTTGAGACTTTTCTGCAACTCCACACAATAGCACTGGAAAATAATTTGGTTTTATAGTTCTTATTAACTATGGTCAAGGCTGGAGTCCTGTTTTTAAATTACCAGATTTGACTTGTTTGCCTGTTTGAGGTAACCTGCCAAAAGTAGTCACAGAAAACCAGGTTGCTTTCATTCTGCACTTACTATTTTTGTTTTTAGGACCCCAAAAGTGAGCTTAATGCATTATTAATAGGAAGTTTGACTTATGATCTTTAAACAGGAGCTTTTAAACATTAGTCAAGGTTTGAAAGCCAAATACTTATAAACATGTTCCTACGGGCATAAAAGGGAGGATGTAAACCAAACTGTTAACAATGATTATCTCAAGGGAGGGGCACTGGACAGGGTGGAAAATGTCACTTTCTGTTTTATACACTTCTATTGTCTAAGTTTCTTTGTTTAATACTGAGCATGTGACTCATACTTTAACTGTTTAAAAACAGTTTTTATTTAGAATAATTTCATTCACATATGAAAAATTAACCTGGATTCACACTGATGTCACAAGCAAGCACAATTCAAGGCATATTAGAATAAGTTGATTTGATCTGATTGACTTTAGGAAGAACTTGTGGAAATAAACCAATGTAATTTAGGGTAGAGCCTCTTCCTACAGCAGGAGGGGTGATTTTTCTCAGTCTCTTCTCAACAAGACCTCTGGTTTGAGAAATGGTGTGAAACCAGGCAGATTGCAAGCCCTTGTATGGAACCTTGGTGGCAGTGACTGGTGATTATTGTGCCCCATTAAGGCAGAAGATCCAGCCTCAGTGGAAGCCATGAAATTGCCTCAGCCTCTGCCAAGTGTTTGTTCTACAACTGCATGATTTGTATGCCACTGCAGAACCCTATGAATCCTAGTGTGTTGCGATGTTGAGAAGAAGAACATGCCACTCTCATTTTAATCTGGTTTTCTGGGGAAAGTACTTGTTAGGATTAGGGAGACTCACAAGCTGGGCCTGGCTCTGCCCCTTACCCTTTATGGGTCTCAGTTTCCTTAACTCTATACATAGGAGAAGACTGAATTTTACACGATCTCTAAGGTCTCTTTTGGCACAAAAATCCTTATGACCTCTGAAGTGGTTCCTAAACCAAGATTTTTGAGTAGTGAGTACCGTATAGTTCCTTTCTTGTCCTTATTGATTGACGGATTGAGACAGGGTCTTGCTCTGTCACCCAGACTGGAGTACAATGGGGTGATCATAGCTCACTGTAACCTTGAACTCCTGCGCTTAAGGGATCCTCCTGCCTCAGCCTCCTGAGTAGCTGGGACTACAGGTGCATGCCACTCTGCTCAGCTAATTTTTTTATTTTTTTAATTTATTTTTGTGGTAGAGTCAGGGTCTCACTAAATTTCCAGGACTGATCTCAAACTCCTGGTCTCAAGCAGTCCTCCTGCCTTAGACTCCCAAAGTACTGGGATTATAAGCATAAGCCACCATGCCCAACCTCGTTGTTTTTTAAAAAGCCCAACTTCAAGTAAACATAGCAACTCGGTCATTGTCATATATGTAGTCATATAGGTCTATGTTGTATGTTATATGTGTATGACATGTCAGTCAAAGAAAAGTCAGCCCAACCTGCTTTATAAGTATGGGAGAGGGAGGACCAAGAGACATGGAGGGCTCAGGGTTTCTCATGAAACAAGTATGTATTTGGGATTAAGATCTTGTACTCCATGCTCCCACATGGAGACAAGTCTGCCTTCAAGTTTCTCTTCATTAGCGCAGCACCTTAGAAATAAGGGCCATGTCACCCATTTTCCTTTAAATTACTCCTAGCTCAGGGGCTGAGTTGGTAGAGGGTGGCACCCTCAGTGATGTTCTTCTGGCCAAGCCATTCCTGCTCTGACGGGGCCACTCTGGAGCCAGCAGGTGGGTTCCTGAAGTAAGCTGATGACTCACTCGGTCTTGACCTGATTCCCTCAGGTATGGAATCTGTCCCAAGGAGGTCTTGTGGAGAGTGGGGAAGGGAAACTGCACATGAAGTGCCCAAACTCCTGGTCACTCTATATGTCAGGCTCAACTTGAGTCACTTGCAAGCATGGATGTGATTTGATGATGAACAGCCTGTTACATACTACATTGTACAAAATAAGAGAGGTCAGAGTGGCCTTCAGACATCATCCTGAAAGTGAACGCTAACTTGAACACCTCCTCTGACAGCCTTCCCTTCTTTGCTTTTTTCTTTCTCCTTGTTTTTTCTAATCTCCAGTTCTTCCTTCTTATCTGACTCATGACTTCCCATGGCACTCATGGATGGATGTCGTGTATTTTCCTATCTGCAGCTCAGATCCAAAGACAAAAAAACCCAACTGAGCCCTATCTGCCAACCATCCAAGACTCCCAGGTGTTTCTAAATTCTTTCCTGGATGTCTATCTCCAGGACTAAGAAGTTCTGGGTCTTCTTTTGCAGGCTGTCAACAGATTCCCCCTCATATTTGACAGAAAAGCTTTGAGCAAAGCTCAGTCTTACTTCTATGAATAAAAGAGATAATTGTGATCAGTGATTAAAACCATATACACACACGTGTGTATACACACGCACACACACGTGTGTATACACACGCACATACACACACGTGGGTATGCACACGCGCACACACACACGTGGGTATGCACACGCATATACACACATACGTGTGTATGCACACGCACATATACACGTGTGTATGCATACACATACATATGTATACACGTATGTGTATACATATATACAGACGTGTATACATATATACAGACATGTGTATACATATATAGACATGTGTATACATATACACAGACATATGTGTATACATATATACACAGACGTGTGTATACACACGTATACACACACGTGTGTATACACACGTGTATGTGTGTATACATATGTATATATGTGGGTGTATGCATATATATACACACATACATATGTATATATATGTGTGTGTATACATATATATATATATTTTGTTTTTTGTATTTTGTTTTTTGAGAGAGAGAGGATCTTGCCCAAGCTGGAGTTTAATGGTATGATCATGGGTCACTGCTGCCTCAACTTCCCAGGCTCAAGCAACCCTCCCACCTCAGCCTCCTGAGTAGCTGGGGCTACAGGAGCATGCCACCACACCCAGTTTGTTTGTTTGTTTGTTTATTATTTATTTTGTAGAGACAGAGTCTTACTATGTTGTCCAGGCTGGTCTTGAACTCCTGAGCTCAGTGATCCTCCTGCCTTGACCTCCCAAAGTGCTGGGATTACCGATGTGAGATACCATGCTCAGCTTCTTCCATATTCTTTGTTTTTGTTTTTGTTTTTTTATAAAGAGACAGAGTCTTGCTCTGTTGCCCCGGCTGGAGTGCAGGGGCATAATCTTGGCTCACTGCAGCCTTGACCTCGCCAGCTCAAGCAATCCTTCCTCCCACCTCAGCCTCCCAAGTAGTTGGGACTACAGGGAAGTGCCACCATGCCCAGCTAATTTTTTTGTTTTTATGTTTTGTAGAGACAAGGTCTCACTGTGTTGCTCAGGCTGGTCTTGAACACCTGGGCTCAAGCAATCCTCACACCTCAGCCAATACTCTTAAAGATAAAAAAGAAATCACCACTAGCTTTCTTCTCTCTAGACCACATAGCACAAACTCCCTGTGGCTTTACTTATAAGTCATACCTTAATAATTTTGATTATTATTGGAACCCTTGTCAGAAGCCGTATGTCTTTTCTTAAAAGGATGACTAAGATGAGATGGTGTGCTATGTAAGATCTGATTTTAAAAGAGCAAAAACAAAACCCCTAGCTCTTTGAAATCCATGATTTATATAATGCATTCATTTTCATATAGGCCAACATTATATTGGTTTTTTAAAACAATGCTTCCACATAGGTAGATTATTCTTAATTTTAGGTCATTTTTCTTTTTCCACATTAATATTTCCTCAACTTATTTTTGGGTGGGAGGATTCTGCCCAAAAGTTAACCATTTTTATTCATCTACTTTTTGCATCAGGTTTTTCTCTTCACAAGGAACAAAGACCCTCTTGAGTTATCTAAGGCCATGGGGCTTGTTGTAAGGGTCCTTGTGGACTACAATGGAACCAAGCACCACCAGAAATCTTGGCAGCTTGGCACAGGGCCACTGTCTGGCCTCTCATGTTCATTCATGTGTGTCTCCTCCCGTTCCCCTATTCTCTTTCATTCCGCATTTCTATCTCATTCATCTCTCTAAAGTGACCACCTTGCTCTGCTCCCTCAAAGCTCCTGTTCTCTGTGGCCTTGGCTTGCACATGCACTTGGCCACAATGATCTCTCTTCTCCTTTCCCCACATCGTAACTTTCCAACTTAAGTTCTGGTTGCCAACTGGGTCATTCTGTCTTCCAAAGCAAATTCCCAAGAGTGAGGATTTGATAGGACCAGCTCATTTTTTTCATTCCAGCCTGTGGAGTGACTGAGGCTCAAGAGTGACCCAGCACGTTGGGTCAGGTGTTCACCTATGTCCCTCTTCATGCTGGGCATGTGAAATTGTCATTCAAAGAACATGCAGCTGGGAGCAACTGATCAGGCATTGTGATTGATAAATATCTGGTACATCTTAAGTGAACCGAATAGTTTTCATAGAACTATTCTCCCCACTTTCTGAGAGGGAATTTTCATTATCTCCCAGAATATTAACAATTCTACTAAATTTATTGTCATATAAAAATTGGGGGCATATATTCTAATGCTTTTTATCCACCTAATAAATACTGATATTAAATAAGATTGATTGTAAAAATGAACCCCATGGGAGTTTCTTCTGAATATCCCAGGTGGATACTGTCCCATTGAACACTGCTACCTTTTGGGTTCAATCCATAAGCCAAAACTGTAACTCATACCAAAATAAAGTCAAAGAGTATACTTTTTCTTGATGGGTAACCTATAGAGTCCCAGGTTCTGGGAAGCGGTTGGGAGTGGGGGTTGCTTGCACAGGCTCTGGAGCCAGCCTGCCTGGGATCAAGTCCTGGCTTCAACACTTCTGAGCTGTATGGTGTGGGGGGGCTTTTGTGACCCCGCTGCTCTTCACTTTTCTTGTATATAAAATGGCACCGCTAAGAGTATTTGTGAGACAGGCTATTGTGAGGATTTAAAGAATTAATCAACCTAAGATGTTTTGAACAGTATCTACTACAAGGTAAATACTCCACAGAATAGTTACATTGTCACAATTAATTCCATAACCTTTTGTTGAATACCAACTATATAGCTTAAGCTAGTTTCAGGCGGAGTTCTGTGAATTTTACAATCACAGTGGTCTTTTTATTAAGCCATTTTTAAAATTTTATTTTTTTAAATTGACAATAATTGTACATATAACAGACATGTTTCAATACATATAATGTATCATGGTATAGGGTAATTGCCATATTCATCATGTCAGACATCACTTCTTTGCTTTGGGAACATTTAATATCCTCTTTCTAGCTGTTTGAATCTATATGTTATTGATTGTAGACATCCTACACTGATACAGAACACCAGCATTTATTCCTCCTATCTAGCTGTAATTTTGTATCCTTTAAAAATCTCTCCCTATGGCTGCCTTCCCCCTACTTTTCCGAGCCTTCAGTCACCTCTGTTCTGCTTTTTACTTCTATGAGATCAACTCTTTTTTAGCTTCCACATATGAGCGAGAACATGCGAAAATACAGATGGATTTCCTAGTCGCTTTCTATCAGTCTATGTGGCCATAATTTTATTATAGAAAGAAATTAGACAAGTTGCTATGCCAAGCTCTTTACAGAATCACATTGGTAATTTTCTGTCATCTTCATATGTATTATTTCATGAATTTCCTATTATGAATATTTCCAACTGCCGGGATCAAATTGAGAACAACTGCTTGATTTTTACTGTCTTCCAGAATATTAGAGACTTAATTTAATTAATTCCAATGAAAGTTTCCTTAAGTCAATATAAAATATTTTACAAAGATCATTCTGTGAATCTTACAGTGATGTTGTTCTTTGCATTTCCCCCACTGCATCACTTCTGGGTGTAGTGACTTGGAGCATAAATATATTGGTATGAGAGTCTATACTGAAATAGACACAGCAGGCCTTCTTGGATCCAAGTTCAATAAAAAATGAAGTTTGGCATTGCTAGTGATCATCCTGAACTAAGCTGCAAAAATTCTGCTCTAAGGTTTTGTCAAACTAAATAGACTTATATTACTAAGTATACATATCAGATTCACTGCCTATGAGAGGCAGACTCTCATAACCTAGTGGTAAACATTTTGATTAGTGAGAAGTGTTTTCACATCTGCTTATTTGAAGCACAAGTGTTTTTCTCCTCCTCACAGAAAAATTAGGATAAGGCAAATATCATCAGCTCCATTCATTTCCACTTGCAGTTTCAGCTAGTATGTAAATACAAGGCTCGGAGGACCAGAAGATGTCTGAAATTAACACAGTATTATAACTGCATTGCCCAATGCTAGGGACTGATGGGAAATTGGCATTCCTAATAGAGCTGTGGTGAATATTCATTTTTCCATCTGGAAACTAAGTATGTGTGAATTTAGGAGATTAAAAACTGGTGTGACTTCAGCAGTATAACTATATAAACTTTATAGTCTTGAGAGTGAAATTCAAATCAAAAATGTGTTTCTGTAAAAGTATTGAATGAGAACTAGAACTGAAACTAATTAAGTCCGTTTGTCAGAAGTAACATAGGGCACAATTACATTTTAAAGAGAACACAGGTGGGGGATCCAAGACCATACTTTGATCACTATTTTAGAGACCATAGGAACTTGGAGAAGTTCTCTGCTCAATTCCTCCACAGGATTCCAATTTCAATAAGAGTTGCCAGGATCTCCTTAGAAATACAGAATATTGGAGAAATGGAAGGAAACAGTAACTGGAAGACAAACGTTATGCCATAAATAAAATCCTGTAGTTAGAGCTTGGAGTGAAAACCTTCTGGGGATCGACAGCTCATTCCTCTCTTAGAATTGCTCTTTAGAAATTAATGGGCTTGGCTTTGTATCTCCAACTGTTCTTCACAAATGAACCAAACTGGGAATCAGTTGGAGTCACTGAAGCTTAACACAACTCCAGCTATTGTTTACATGGCTCCCATGAAACCCCTGTGGCAAACTGATTAGATTTACAGTTCATTCGATAAGCCTGTCTGCTCATGGCACATAAGGCAGTGAACCTTTTCACAAAATGAAACTAGAGCTGGAGAGGGGGGAAAACACAAAATCTTTAATGAAGAGGGAGGCTAAGAGACTTGGGTAGAAGATCTTTTAAGTTTGTAGAAAGCCTCCCTTGTATTGGAGTTCGTAGGCTCCACATTGAATTGACACTTTGGGACTTGCCCTCCTGCCTACCAGAAACTCTACAGTGCCATTTTCAAATTCTTTCTGATCATAGGTATGTTTAACGCCAATAAGAACTAAGGATTGGAAAAGACTCTTTAAAGTAAAGATGAAGTGGGCCAGGGAGCACCGTGTGGATCCATGGAAGTGATCACCAACCACACGATGTCAGACAGAGCTGCTTTTGTTTCTAGCTATCTCCCATCCCCACCCTAAACCAGAGGCTTGGGGGAAGTGTGTAAAACCTATCCCAGTGGCACATGCCTTGGACCTATTATTGAGTGGTTGGGAATTAGTCATGGAGCCATAAAGTCATCACCCCCAAAACTCTTTTTAGTCCCTTTTTAGCCAGTATAACTGATCTCACTTCTCAAAAAGCATGACTCAATCACTTTGTAGACCCTGGCCTAGCACTGCAGACTTGCTCCCACTGTGACAATGGCAGAGGAAGTGGTCAGCTTCTGAATAGAAGCTGACACCCACCATCAGAAGAGTCCCTTGTGGGAATTTTACACCATCCATTGCTTCATCACAGACTGCCCTAAAACTTAGTGGCTTGAAGCAACAACCATTTTATAAATACTTCTTAATTCTGTGAGTCTGTGATTCAGGTAGGGCTTGGCTGGGTGGTTCTTCTGCTCCATTTAGTGTCAGCTGGGGATACTCGGTTATTCAGCTGGTGGGTAGGCAGGTTTGTAGATTCCAAGATAGCTTTACTTCCACAGTCTTGGCCTGGACAGCTAGAAGGATGGGCTCAGTTGGACCTCTCCCTTTCCATGTGGCCTCATATTCACTCCACCATGGAAGCTAGGCTTCTTACATAGTGGCTTAAGGTTCAATAATGAGTTCCCAAGAGTCCTAGGAATAAGACATAAGATTTCTTATATTTCAGTCCTGAAATTCCCAGGTCATCATGTCTGCTAATTTCTATTGGTCAAGAAAGTCACTAAGTCCAGTTCAGATTCAAGGGAAAGGGAAGTAGACCCCACTTCTTAATGAGAGGAGTATCAAAAAAATCTGTAGCCATCTTGAATCTGCCTCAAACACTTTCTTTTGACCTTAGAAAAATAATTCAGTATTCTATATCAAGTCATTTTTCACATATCTTACCCAAAAATGAAAAAGAAAATAGAAAAAAATACTCTTTAGAAAAGAAACCCAAATTAAAAAAAAAAAAGGCATATTCCTTATTCAAAAGATGCCATATTCTCTGCCAGGCTTGGTTTCTCTTAGAACATAGGCTCTAAATTTGGTTTTGTCGGTGCTCTTCTCCCCACCAACATGGCTTTTACTTCTTTTTTTTTTTTTTTTTTTTTTTTTTGAGACAGACTCTCACTCTGTCACCCAGGCTGGAGTGCAGTGGTGCGATCTCGGCTGACTGCAACTTCTACCTCCTGGGTTCAAGCAATTGTCATGCCTCAGCCTCCCAAGTAGCTGGGATTACAGGTGCCTACCACCACGCCTGGCTAATTTTTTGTATTTTTAGTAGAGATGGGGTTTCACCATGTTGGCCAGGCTGGTCTCAAACTCCTGACCTCAAGTGATCCGCCTGCCTCGGCCTCCCAAAGTGCTGGGATTACAGATGTGAGCCACGGCGCCTGGCCCATGGCTTTTAATTCTATCATGAACTCAGTACTTAATAATATTCATTAACACTTGAGAGATCCATTAAATGGAATATATGACTGGGAGTAATAACCTAGCTTTCAAATGGATAACTCTTGGCTGGAAATTTTACTGTCAAGCTTGAATAAATCACAGAGAAAATTGATGTTTAGGTAAAACAACACAGCCCATAAGTATTAAATTCTGGGACTCACACATTGAATGCTTCTTCCCATTCCTTGCATCATGGTCTGCCATCTCATACTATAACCATACTCCTTCACATATCTCCGATGTCTCCAGAATTCTATGTACACTATAGTTGTGGCTTTGAAGGACACCATATCATCCTTGCAGGTGTGAACAGAGGCCATTTCCTTCAGTCTTTTCATTTTCATTGCAATGAAAAGGCACATTCATAGTATTCTTCAAGCTCATAAACCTTAGCCATGTCTGCTATGATACTCAATGCATGCCTTCTCCCAAATATTTTCCTGAGAAGACCTTGCTGGCATTGAGCCTCTTACCATCTGGATATGTACAGTTGGAATAGGGAGAGGGCAGGGTGCAGAGACTGACCCAGTTATTTACCATTGGGTGGGTTGGGCAGTGGAGGGAGAAATGGTTAGAGGAGTCTATCATCTCAACCATTTCCTTTCTAGTTCATGTCACCATGTCTTTGTATGGTGACTAAAGGATGGGACACATTGAAGATGGTAGCTTTATGAGTATCTTGGCACAGTAGACCAAAGAGTGAAACAAATACATTTTCCAATTTATGGAATCTACCCCTCCCAGAACCCTGCTGCTTTGTTCAAGGGGCTTCTCAATTTGCAGTCATCATGGCCCCCTTTCCAATCTACACTTCTCTCCCCATTTTCCCTCCAACCGCCCCAAAGTCCTGCTCTAGGAATTTCCATTCTAGATTATGCAGCTCATCTTAACTTTTTCCTCGATATCTTTGGATTGTAGACAGCATTATAGCACCAGAGACCTTGAGTCCAAAATGGTGCCTTGCTAATCAGCTGACTTGATGCAGTTTTTCATTTCCATGAGAATTACTCATCTGGGTAGACAGCATGTACCCTTTGGATAAAGTACACTATTGGGTATGCTCCATTTTAAGAATGTAACACAAGGATGACACATTTTCTAAAAATAATAACAACAACAAAAAAATCCTTTCAACTTCAAAGAAGCCTTTTGGCATAAAAATGATGATTGGTAAAAACCCTTTGGTAACATACATGATTTTTTGGTAGCTTCTGTACTCTAGGGCCAGTGTTTGGCATCAGGGATAGAAAAATGACCAAGGCATGGTCCCTACTCTGAAGGAACTAAGGATTTAATAGTAGGCATCTATGTAGGCAAATAAATCACAGTGTCCCTCAGTGTGAGATAAGAGAAAGGGATATGCAGACTGTTGACTAGGAAGGGAGAGCTGGGGCAGATGGAAAGAGTGTCTACTTAATGCCCACCTTCCTCTTTGAATTTATCGTAAGTGTAACCAAACCTAGATTCTGCTACTTGCTTCCCAAAAGCCAAAACTTGAGAGGCAAGAGTTGGTGGGAGGAAAAGCAGGTTTATTCGGAGATCCAGTAAACAAAGAAGATGGTGGACTAGCATTCTAAAGTACCATATTAAGACAGTACAAATTTCAGGCTCTTTTTATGTTAAAGACAGAGGGAAGAAGAGAGGTTTGGGATCAAGAGGTGACCAACGACCGCAGACATCTGGACGCCAATGAGGGTCTGAGGAGGTTGGGAACAACTCTGTCCTTGGTCAGGTCACAACACTCCTATAAATCTTTAACAAAACATAGTTAATTGTTTACATACTTTCCCTTTAATCCCAGAGTTCGTTGCAAAAACTACATGATTGTTGTTTTTGCATATTTTCTCAGTGCTCCAAAATTATCCTAGCTTACGTGCAGGCTAAAGGCTCCTTAAACAAAAATGGAGTTTGCTATGTTAGTTCTTTTGCTGTTTCACTGTTACATAAGTGGCTGATGGCTGGAGTATAATCTATAGCTATAAATCCTTTTGATTAACATTTGAAAAGGTTTCAACTTTGGAGTATATTTTCAAAATACACATAACTCTCAAATTATTTTCCCTGCATTGGAATTATTTTAGAAATACAGATGAGAACTGTTTATAAGCACTAAAGACATTGCTAGCTGACTGTAGTCAGCACATAAAGTCTCAGAGAAATAGATGTATTTTGGTTATTTACAGAGTATAAATTAGGAAATTCTAAAAGCCCTCCAAAATCAAAGAGGTGACTGTCTCCCATACTCTTACCTCCTTTTCAACCAATGTGGCATTTACCCAACTGTTTCTGTAACCAACAGCAACCAGGGGTGGGTTGGCTACTTGGGGAAAGTAAACTTCTGGGGCAATGGATTGGAGGCTCTATTTCCTAGTAGGGCCTAAGGCTGAAAAAATTCACTGTGGCTTATTGGATTAAGTGGGGGCACAAATCCCCCTAAGTAGGCTTTCTGTGCTTTGCATCCTTCTGTAAGCAGGATGAACAAGTAGCATGTGTTTATGCCTGAACTTCCCAACCTAACTGACAACGTGTTACTGGTGTAACACGTTTTTTTCCCCACCAGAAAACACATTGGCTGAAGATCACACTTTACAAACTGCTACAGTTCCTTGTTTGGGAAGCAGGAGATTTGGTCTCCATGGAGAATTTCTCTGCCAAGGCTGAAGAAGGGTTCAATGGAGTGGTCTGGGTTATGAAATCAGAAGTCGGGAAATCCCAAATTTTAATTTGGTCAGAGAGACTGACATTCTTTTTAGGAAAAGTCCCTGCTTTAGTGTCTCCAGACATAAAATTAGGACACTGGCTTTTGCTTTGTGGAGATGCACTGACTTTAGGGTTTGAAAAGATTTTTGAACATGAAATGTGATATAAGTATCTGTGAACCCATTTTTCTCCTTTTTCACCAGGGAAAGTTCAGAAATATGTTGTATAATGCAGAAACGTTTGGCCCTTCACTTTTGGGCATGTGATCTGGGACAACAAAGCCATTGCAATAGGGACATTCTTGGCTATTAGGTGGTTCAGATTTCTACGTTCTTTTCCTCCTTTCTTTGTTATTTGTTCTATAGAGTAGTGTGTTCACAGGGCAGAATTTATTGCATTGCTTCAAATGTTTTGTTAATGTGCCATAAGAAGGGACCTGTTAAATATAGTGACTACTTTTCACCTTCCAATGACTTGCTTTCCAGATTCAAAAATGTTGAAGAAATTTTAAAGTTCAAGATTTGATTTCCCTATCAAGTGACATGTCCTCATAACTATCCTGTCAGCTTATTTTAAGTAGTATAAGCTGCTTTAATATTAGCAGCAAGATGTATTCAAGAAGATGAAGCTCCAAACAAAATAATGATAAGTTGGCTGTGATTTTGGATAATTCATAGTGCTAACTTTCTCTTTGGCTGAGCAGGTTGTGATAAGGACGTGTTCAGTAATGTCCCTGTGCTTTTGTCTCTTTATTCTCCCCAGGCCTCCTAGCTAGCTTGTCATCTGAACTGTTTGTCTCTTCTGAAGTTCCGGCGGACGCAGAGTTTAGGACCCACTCTTACTTCTCCAAATCCTGGCAAAAGACAGAAATGGTTCAGACCCAGAGTGAAGCACAAACTTGTTTCTATGCAGACCTTGGCATCAGGAAACTATCATATGACAGAGATTATAGATGGCTCTTTAACAACATGGGTTTGAACCACAGGGGTCCACTTACACATGGATTTTTTTAAAAAAAAAACTCTCAGATTGAAAATACAGTATTTGCGGGATGTGAACCTGGTGAATGTGGAGTACCGACTTTGTCTATATGTGGATTTTCAGGGCTGACTTCAGGATTTGAGTATGCATGGATTTTGGTTATGTGCAGGGGTCCTGGAACCAATCCCTTGTGTATACTGAGGGACGACTATATTTGCCAAGCTATAACGATAAGGAATGGTTTATGCTGACCATTTAAATGACGCAAATATGGGGCACAAGTGACCTCATTTGCATATTGCCTCTCCCTATGTTTAATCTCCATTATTTGAAGTCCTCTCTTGTTTTATTTTCTAGTATACTTTCTTCACCTACATTTTCACAGCTACTATTTTATTTCAGCGTGCATTTAATAGTAGATATTGTACTATATGCTTCACTTATATAATCTCACTTAATCCTTATAACAACCTGATGAGGTAAGAATTCTGGCTATTTTACAGATTAGAAAATTGAGTCCTAGGCCAGGGGAGGTGGCTCATGCCTGTAATCCCAGCACTTTGGGAGGCCAAGGCGGGCAGATCACGAGGTCGGGATTTCGAGACCAGCCTGACAAACATGGTGAAACCCCGTCTCTACTAAAAATACAAAAATTAGCTGGGCATGGTGGCATGTGCCTGTAATCCCAGCTGCTTAGGAGGCTGAGGCAGGAGAATCGCTTGAACCCGGGAGGCAGAGGTTGCAGTGAGCTGAGATTGCACCACTGCACTCCAGCCTGGGCGACAGAGCGAGATTCACTCTAAAAAAAACAAATTGAGTCCTAAAGAAGTTGGGTAACTTGCTCCAGGCCCTCAGCCGGGAAGAAGGTGAGGCTAAGCTGCCTTCCATGAGTGTTTGCCTTAATCTCACCTGATACACTCCACAGATCACTGGCTTAAGTCCTAACTCAAAATCAGCCTTTCCCCCCACCCCACCAACACAGGAGATATTTTTATAGAAAGCAATGAATTTTTTTCTTTAAAGAACTTAATTTTAAAATGTCTACCCCATGTTTGGTCTTTCAAGAGTGCATTGCGTGTGGCATGAGATGTACATAGCTTCATGTTTGTTTCTAATGAAGGTGGGGATGGAAAACCAAATTTGTCAGGTGGGGATTTCACCCCAGCCTTATGACTCAGTTTTAGATTTAACTTGATTCATTTAAGGTTGGAGTTTATTTCTGGCTGGCAAAATATGGCTTCCTGGCTTAGAAAAATTCCCTCAAAACAAACTTGAAAAAAGTTTGCCCACCTAAAATGGCAACGTGAAACACTCTACATTTTAATGAGCTCATTGTAAGTGAATTAGAAACATTCAAATGCAATTTACTTCAAAATAGATCTAGGTGTTAAAATAAGGAACAGCTGGCAGTATGGAGTCTCCTGATCCCAACCAAAGGCAGGTTTGCCCCTATTAAATGGTCTGTGACTTAGAGCGAATAAAATGTCACTTTTTTTTTTAAACACAAAAGCATTAAGTTTCAGTGTCGAAGAGAAAACTCTGAACACTAATATAAAAAGACAAATAAAAAAACAGTATGGGAAAACTCTGTTTCTTTCTCTGGAACAAAAAATCTGCCATTGAATAGTAGAATCCCTAGTCAGAACAGTTTATTAAGTTTAGTTCACGAAACTATATTGTGGTCAATGCATAGCTCATAAAAGCCGTATCTTGAAAGACTGTACACAGGTGGGAGCTCTGGTTTTGATGCAACATTCTAAGTGCTTTAGATAACATCAACTCTACTAATTCTTAAGAGAAAGCAACTACTGAGGGGTAGATGACATGTTGTTATTTCCGGTTTACAGCTGGGAAAACGGAGACATGGAGAGATTAAATGGCCTTGTGGCTAGCGTGGAGCAGAGGCAGGATCCGTAATAAGGAACTTGGGTTCCAGAGACCATGTGCTACCCACTCTCATGGATGGCCTCACATTAAAGGGCTCCAGGAAATATGTAAAACTGTTGGGATAATGTAACCACAGAAAGAGAATAAAGAGATGTTTTCATTAACTAGTTTCTTGAGACGGAGTCTTGCTCTGTTGCCCAGGCTGGAGTGCAGTGGTGCAATCTCGGCTCAATGCAACCTCTGCCTCCCGGGTTCAAGCGATTCTCCTGCCTCAGCATCCTGAGTAGCTGAAATTACGGCACCTCCACCACGCCCGGCTCATTTTTGTATTTTTAGTAGAGATGGGGTTTCGCCAAGTTGGCCAGGCTGGTCTCGAACTCCTGACTTCAGGTGATCTGCCTGCCTCAGCCTCCAGAAGTGCTGGGATTACAGGCATGAGCCACCACGTCCGGCCTAATAACTAGTTTTTATGTTGCATGAAAAAAGCAAATATATTCTCTGCTGTTAGTGATGATGAAGTCAATATAACAGTGAACATGATAACAAAATGATTAAAGTAGGTCTCAGGGAATGGAAAATATATTAGGTATGACATGGATTCTTCAGACTTCTCCATAAATGACCAATATTCTAAAATTATCTTGAAAGCTCTTCTACAGAGGGTGGGATATAGTACAAATAAATAATTTTATTTTGAAAAGTGTACTGGTAAAACATAAGAATTCAAAAGCTCTCACCTGAGCAAATGCCTCTATGCATAGCTTTCACTGCCTTTTAATTAAAAATGTTCAGTTTATAGAAGTTTCTTCTGTGATGTGTTATTTCGTTTTCTAATCGGCCCTTTTTTTTTTTTTTTAGACACGGTTCTGCCAGTTAACTGGATTTGTAGGGCCCTTCTTGCACTGTGCATGTCTTGTTTTCATAGGCATGTGTGCTAGCACACACACACACATGCCCCATGCCCTATATACTCAGCACACCTTTATCACCAAGCTATCTCTCTCCCTTTGGTTCCAGACAAGTATCTTCCTGTCCCAGATTTTGTTTTCCCCATTAAAACTGTGTACTCCCTCCCCAGGTCTTTAATTTTTAGGGCTCTGAATTCTTTTATTCCTTTGGCCCCAGAGATTGATGTGTCCTCAGTGGATCCAGAATGACCTCTAAACCTCCTTTTTGTAAGACACTTTTGTAAAACACCCAACTCTGTTTTACAATGGAAATAACAACTGAGTCACAAAACTTGATTCTTTTTTTTTTTTGAGTCAGAGTCTTGCTCTGTCACCTAGTCTGGAGTGCAGTGGTGCAATCTTGGCTTACTGCAACCTCTGTCTCCCCATTTCAAGTGAGTCTTGAGCCTTGGCCTCCCGAGTAGCTGGGATTAGAGGTGCCCATCATTAGACCCAGCTAATTTTTGTATTTTTAGTAGAGACGGGGTGGTGGGGTTGGGTGGGGGGGAGTCTCACCATTTTGGCCAGGCTGGTCTCGAACCCTTGACCTCAGGTGATCCTCCCACCTCGCCTCCCAAAGTGCCAGGATTATAGGCGTGAGCCACTGTGCCTGGCCAAAACTTGATGGTTATAGTCAGAAGGAGCTGACAATCTTCAAATAAATTATGTCAAGAGTGAGGGTTTGACTCAACTTCAAGTATCTTCGGCATCTATGTTGAGAGTGAGAGTTTGACTCAACTTCAAGTAGGTAGGAGACAGGTGGCAGGTAGGAGCACTGAGCTAATAAGTTTTCCATTTGCGATGGGCACTTGACATATTCCAGAACAAGACTCCCAGCCTTGTTTTTCTTTATCTGAACCTCTTCCCACACAAGCATAATTTGCTTCAGTAGTGCTATACATGTAGTTGTGATATTTAAATTTAATATTATTTAGAATTTCAATTTGAGCACAATCTGTGTTTGGGATAAAGTAAATAACTCTGGCCATTCATACATCATCCACTAAACACATCTTGGGAAGACAGGAATCAATGGTCCACAGAATTACTCTTAGAAGCAAGGGGTGATATTCAGAATAGTTAACAGCTGGTGTGACATGGGGATATCCAAGCAGAGGGAGCCCTTGCTGCATCAGGGCTTAAGGGCTTAAACTTTCATTTGCCAGGTTGTGAGGAAGTTGCTTAGTCCTAGGAAAATGGGCAGGGCAGGGATGGTTGCCTGTGAGGAACTAAGGGCAGCAGCTTTTATCAACCAATTCAGAATATTTCAGTAACCATTACAGCCAAATCACCAGCTCCTGGCTGAGTACACTCTGCAGTGAGGTTCATTATACTATGCCTATAATAGTCTGGACCCCATCTCTCTGGAATAGTACATATTTTACACGAAGGGAAAAGGCTAACTTGCAACTTATTTGCATGAAAAATCACGTTGCAAGTACTTCTTAGTTTACTAGATTGTCTCCAATAGTTTCTCAACCTTATCAAGATATATTTGTTAAAACTGTGTGCTCTCCAAAATCATCTACTGAATTTAAACCACTGCACCCCACTTTGGACTATAATTGACTGGAGTTACTGATTGGAAAGGAAGTGGTACACACCCCTAATATACTGACGGACTTACTCTGACAGCTGCTACCACCTGTGGGGACCCTTGATGATGTTCACGCAGCTTTTCTGAGTGGCACATGCTGTTCTCTTGAATACTCCTTGAGGTGAAGAAGAGGCCACCCCTACCCCTATGCACACACAGCTCCTGCTCTTTCCTGGGGCTGCACCCTGCTTGTATTTCCAATGCAGGGATGTCAGATTCCAAAGAGGGCTCCCCAAGGCATTCCAGAAGGCTTCAGGCCAGCACGTCCCAACCTTTTCATGCCATGGGACCCCTTTGGCAGGCTGCTGAAAACCATGGGGTTCTTCTCAGAATAAGGGTTTTAAATACATAAAAGAAACCACAAGAGGTTACAAAAAAAGCCAATAATATTGAAATGTAGCTAACAAAATGTTTTTAAAAATTTGTGCTAGAGCAATATATATGCTTCATTATTGACATATAATATCTGGCTGATTGTCTAATAACTACTGTTATTTGAGATACTTGCAACAACTGTGATGTGATGTAAAAACCTATGGTTTCTAGTGATTACTAAGTCATAAATACTTATCCTACTGCTACTGTAGTTTGTTGTCTACGTTCATAATGGCAAAACGTGCTAAATGTCAGAGGTTGGTGAAAATTAAGACGTAAATTTTTTCTCATCCAAGTTCACAGTACTCTTGAATTAATTACCTCTCCTCGGGTTAAGAACCCCTGCAGGATAAGGTTGCCCCTAGGGCCAACACCTCACTGGAGCCCCGCCTCATGTCCTGGAGGCAGGAGCCTTCATGCCACCTACACAGAACTCGGAGCTGTCTCTTGGCCCAGCAGTTCTCCCCACAACTAGTTCTGAAAGTCCGGGGCTAGGAAAGAACGGCATCGTCGCCTGAGCTCCTGGCGCCACTTTAAACAACCCATCCTTGACTTGCGTGACTTCTTCCACAAGCTCTCCTGGTCACCTGGGCAAAATCCTAGGTGATCTGGGGACAAGGCGGAACTTCGGTTTTCTGATCTGCAAAAAGAAACACCTACCTCATAGGACTGTTAGGATGAATTGAGGTAATGGCTGGGTTGTGTACATTATACAGCACTATCAAGGTGTGCGCTGTGATCATTTTTGAGGGTTGTTAGGTGTTTGAGGACCCAGAACAGTCTACACAGCTGTAGTCCCCAAGTGTTGGGCACGCCTTAAGCGCTCCATAAACACCTGTAGAAATGAATGAATGACGTATGCATCTGCACGTGGGCCCACATCTGCAAGAACAGGCTGCTCAGGCCATGAGGCCCGGTGCATCACCTGCACTTCTCTTTATAACGGGTAGTAAAGTCTCCCTCGCTCTGTGCTACTCGGCAACCACAATTCTGTCCACAGAGGGCGGCGCAGTGGGGCTGCTTCGCCGCGAGCTCGCCTCCGGGGCTCCCACGTCGTGGCTTCCGGGCAGGTACCGGGCAGCTGGAGACGCCAGAGCCGGCGGGTAAGGTGCGGGCGGTGCGCCGGGCCGCGGGCGCGCAAGGAGGGGCGAGAGGGTGGGGAGGGGCGGGGCCGGCGTCCTCGTCACTTGATAAAACGCCTGCGAGTCTCCAGAGAACAACGGGCTCATTCAGCGGTCGCGAGCTGCCCGCGAGGGGGAGCGGCCGGACGGAGAGCGCGACCCGTCCCGGGGGTGGGGCCGGGCGCAGCGGCGAGAGGAGGCGAAGGTGGCTGCGGTAGCAGCAGCGCGGCAGCCTCGGACCCAGCCCGGAGCGCAGGGCGGCCGCTGCAGGTCCCCGCTCCCCTCCCCGTGCGTCCGCCCATGGCCGCCGCCGGGCAGCTGTGCTTGCTCTACCTGTCGGCGGGGCTCCTGTCCCGGCTCGGCGCAGCCTTCAACTTGGACACTCGGGAGGACAACGTGATCCGGAAATATGGAGACCCCGGGAGCCTCTTCGGCTTCTCGCTGGCCATGCACTGGCAACTGCAGCCCGAGGACAAGCGGCTGTGAGTTCCCAGACCCTTCCCACCCCCACTGGGGCGCCGGCCTGCGCGCGAGTTGAGGCGAGGGCGCGCCCTGTTCCCGCCGGCCCCGGGGAGTAGTTGGCCCGTGGGTCGCGCCCGGGCCGGCCGAGGCGCACCCAGCGCCCAGCGCGCTCGGCTCCCCGCCCTGACCCGCCCCGCGCGGCGCCTCCCTCCATTCAGCTCGGGAAGGAGGAGAACCCGAGGGCTAGGCTGGGCCCCGGGAGAGTTTACTTTTTTTTCTGTTTTAAACAAAGTGCTTTCCGCCGGTTCTTCCCTCCGGGCGTGTTTGCTGGGACCCCGGCAGGTGGCACGCTTTGCTGAGCTTCACGTGTGTGTTTGGGGCTGGGGTGGCGTTCAGGGTCACCGCAGCGCTGCTGTGGGTTTGCAGGGAGCGTAGTTCCAGGATGGTCTAGGCCTTTCCCAAACTCACGGTGCACCCCGTCTCCCCCGCAGACTGGCGCGCCCCGCACAAGTTGGAAAGCCACTTTCCATGTGTCCTGCATGACTTTCTCAGCAAGGCGGGGGCGCTCCTTAGGAGATACTTTTACATGCCTTTGAAAAAAAAAAAAAAAAAGATGGGGGTGGGGGCGGGAATTAACCAAACACCTGTTCGCTGGACTAGATCAGCTGAGAAAACAAGTCTGAGTGATGTGCCCAGCCCCCAAAGTACTCGGCCGCACCCGAGACCCGCTCGGCTCCTGCGTTGGGCGGGCACAGCCAAGGGGTTAAAGCAAAATGTCCGATCTGAGCCTGGACTTTGCAAACAAGGTTTGTAAGGGACAACCCCCCACCGTAGCGGTAAACCTCCCAGGAGAAAGAGGAGACCGGCACTACTGGCCTCTCCTTTTATTTCTTAAACAGTGTTTGGTTCCCACATGATCGGCTATTTAAGCCGGAGAGGGTATTTTGGCGCTTAGTCGCCTTAATCGCTATGGGGTTGCATTCTTCATCTGTGCTACTGAAAAATAGGCTGTAGCAACAAAAGGTCTCCCCTCCCCACCCAGGCCTTGAGTTGAACTAAGGACCTTCCAGGACCAACAGACCGGAGAAAGCAAAGTGCAGCCACAGTGAAGAGATTTTGTGTTTAGGAGAGGCGAATGGGATTTTAGAACTGGAGGAAACCTCTTGATTTCAGCGGTTAACAACTTTGGAATTCGTGAATGTTGCAGCCCCTGAATTTTAGTCAGTTTTTTTTTTTTTCTGATAACACCTGCTAGGTGAAGCACAGAAATTAGCTGGGGGTGGGGAGGCTCTAGGAGGGTGGTCTGAGGCTATATGCCTGGCCAGCTGCTTATACTCTGCTTTCTCTCAGAAATAATTGTTGTTAAGCTGTAAATCTGAAATGAAAGGTTCCTGTTAACTCAGTTAATAGATGACGTTTATTGTCTCGGAATACTTGGTGTGTAGAATTTGAGCTTGTTAGTGCAGAAATGATTGTGGGCCAGCAGAGGGAATTCATTCTCCTGGGCATTCTCTCTCTGCACCAGAGCCCCACTGAAACCGGTGGCTTCCTTGAAATACTTGTTCAAGCAAAAAGTGTGAAGGGAAAGTACTGGGACAAGAAATATCCTGGCAGTGGAGATTTGCGAAACGTGACTTTGCCAGGAATCTGTGTCGTGAAGGTTAGCAGCATGCTTGCTAAAACTTGTTACTGCTGCTGGGCTTCTCTGGTATTAGAGCTGAGGCAACTCCTCCCGAGGTAAGGATAAGCCTGCAATGGGGTCTGATGCCTTCTAGGAAAGCTCTTCTTAGCAGCTGACAGAGGGGAGAGGCCCCGTATAAGGAGACTGTATGTTTCCTAGAGTCCAAAGGCAGTGACCACACTTTAAAGAGGCTGTGGTTTATGTCACGTGCTGCCCACCTCCATGCTTTTGTAAAGCTTTATTCCAGCTTCAGGAATAGCATTGGTCTTCCCAGGAGAACCAGCACACACAGGCCATAGCACAGGTCAGTTGTCAACCTTTGACAGTAAAGAATGTGGGTGTAAATGGCAGAGCCAGTAAGACTGAGAAAACTTCTGGACCAGCTTCCTAAACTCTATGGAAAAACTCAGTGGGGGTCTTTCAGGGACCTGGTGGGAGAGAGACCTAAGCTGAGATTCCTTCTCGGCCTTTTATTAGCAGCTGTTAATTTACTTTGAGCTTTAATTTCTTTATCTGTAAAATGGAGATATTACTGCTTACTGGGGTTATTATGAGGATTAAGAGATAATATGCAAAGTGCTTAATGCCTGTCTGGCATGGGTACTTGCTGACTAAATGGTAGCTGTTAATGATCATTTAAAAAGCAGTAATTGTGTACCTACTGTGTGTCAGGTACCTTACAAGGTGTCTTAAACATTCTGTGATTCTAAGATTGCCTGAGAGTAAAGCCAAAGGTGGTTGTTTTTGGGTAATGATATTTTAAACTCAGTCATATTTATGAAACCCATGTTCAAAGCAACTTAACTTTAATAGGTCTTAATTAGACTTATAACAAAAGTGAGTTTAATGAACAGAGGACTTTGAGGAAGGAGAAGTAAAATATCAGATGCATGGGACGGTCAGATAAAAGCACGATCATAGAAGACCTATCATAAATGTTTGTAGTTCAAATTTTCTATAGTGCCTTTAACTATTCAGTCACATTTTAAACTCCAGTTATGACTTTTGCAGAATAATATTGTGTCAGAGAGCCCCAAAACATGTCGGGTGTTCCTAAAGCTTTGGAGACTATAAAATTGAAGTAGATACCATAAACTTCATCCAGGTTTTCAGGCTGTATATTAAAGAAGTTTCGGACTCCAAAAGATTACTCAATGGTCAGCCAAGTTGGTCCGCCGAGTGACTGAGGTCAGGGTCTGAGCACCTTGGACTCTTTAATTTCTCTTAGGTAGTTAAGATTGAGTCATTCCCAGAGGTGGAAGGTATGTGATGATGACTGTGGGTATATCCAGCCTATGAATCATCACTCTTAGCTCTTCTGGGAAGAGATGGATCTATATATGATCACAGGGAAGAACCTAGAAGAAGGAGATCTATAAGAGATAGTCTCATGAAGTCATTTTGGATTTCTGCCAACCCTCATTTTCTTCTTTATGGGGTCTCTCTCTCTGACCACCACTGTCTTCCAGAAATGCTCCAGGCCCGCGGTCTGTTCTGTTCTGACCCTTACTAGGTTTGTTCTTGACTTTTCTCAGACTTGTCATGTTCCATCTCTTAAAATCATATTTTCTGAACTAGAGATCATCTAGTCCAACTGCCTCTTTTTACAGATGAAGAAACTGAAGCTGAAAGTTCAGCTTGAGCAGAATCTTAACAGAATGTGGATTTGAATCTCTGACCCATGCTCATGCCATTTTTAAATGGAAAAGCCAGAAATGTTCTTCAGACCTAGAGAAATCGGCAAGCATCTGAATTTTGGAAGTGTACTATATTGTGTTGATTTATCAAACTGCTTCCCATATGCATAGGTCAGGGCTATCTATTTAAATATTGGTGCCTGGACTCTTACTATTGACTCTATTCCAGCTGGCCTTGGAACAAGTTCTGGGTCCGTCCTTCTTTGCCTGCCTCCACCCCATTCCCTTCTGAAAAAGCCCAGTGAAGTGTGGCTGTAGCTAGCCAAGAATCAGAGCTGTATTCAGGATGTGTACCTAAGCACTTGCTTCCTTGCATTTATTCACTCGGAGTGCCATGTGGCCCAGGGCCATCTTCCAGGGATTGCTGGGTCACCTTGAATGCTAAGAGTAGAGAAAAAGCCAAAACGGGCAGCGAGACTTACAGGAAGTCTTAGGACTCTGCAAGAAAGCAGAAATAGGCAAGTTTAATTTTAACACAGGCTGGTGTGAGACCAAGTAATGACAGGGTTGGGGAAAAAAAGGGTCAAAGTATTTATATGGTATAAATAATTTGTTGGGGAAGTCAGGATAAATGCTTATATAAAAGGATTCCTTTATTATAAAGAAGTGGTTATTCTGTGTTCTCAGTTATATAGACTCTCTTAGCATAACAATATATTGAGATTTAATTTAAGCTTTCATAACCAAATAGTACCAGAATTATGGCGCATGGTTTCCTGAAGACCTCGGCTCAACATATTACTGTGGACAGTGAGGCCAGTGAATTATTTGGTATTTTCAAGAGGGACAGTGAGACAAAACAGAAAATACTGTTGTAAGCTTAGATGACAGGGTCAATTGTGCCTGAAACACTGATTTAGTGCTGAATCAGCCCATTTTAAGAATATAATCATAGCTTAAGAACCAGTTTAAAATTTCCCCATCCTACACTAAAGCAATGTCTTTAACTCCTTTGGATGTCTGTAGCACATTGTGTCTGACAATTCTGATGTTTTGTGCTAAACTGTGATCCACTATCTTTAGGACATGATCTAATCTCTCCCAACTGGATTGTAGGTTATGTGAGGGCAGGGGTCTTACATTCATTTCTTTGCCTGCTAGCACCTAGCATATGCCTTGCAAATACAATAGAGACTGATATTATACACTCAGTTTAACCTGTGACATCAACTCTTCCTGCTGAGGGTGGAGAGAGGGAGAAATCCCTTTCTTTAACCCTTTGCCCTTCCTTGCTCAGGCCTTGGTGTCTTCTGCCTCTGAGGAAACGGAATCTGTAAGCTTAGCAAAGAAACGCACAAGACGTTAATTCTTGGTTTTTGATTTTTCAAAGGCGGGGGGTTCCAGCTAAGGGATTTTCATGAGTGTTTGTAAATTTCACCTGGCTTTTGCCCTAAAGGCAGACTTTAGAACCTAACCCCAGAAATACAGGCTGACCTACACTGCAGTGGGTACTCGGGACTTGCTGAGGTGGTTGGTTGTTATGAGGCTGGACAGAGAAGGATGACTGTGGAATAGAGATCTTTCTGAAAGCAACTTGACAGGGGTGTGGGGGTCAAATGGAAGTGTGCAGTACACGTGTGAAGTCACTTGTGAATTGATAGCGGCAGGTTTATTTCTTCAAGGATAGTAAGGGAATCTTGGATATATTTAACTCTTTCGGTAGGATGGTGGGAAGGCTGCTTACCTGCTCCGGGGGTGAGCCTAGGAGCCATAGCATGGGATCTGGGGATCTGTGTAGCACCCCCGCTGGCTCCTGGGAGGATGGTAAAGATTACGTACTGCAGCAGTGGGAAGTGGACGTAGTCTCAGCCCCCGGTGCCCATCTTCCCTTTCTGGGCTTGGGTACAACTCTGGAATCAAATAACTTTATATCTGGAAGGAAGCTTAGGGGTTCTGAAACCTGGCTGGTCTTCAGGGTAACTACTTGGGCAACCTTTTATAAAAGTGTGATTCTCAGCCCAGCCTAGATCTGTTACGTCAGTTTCCATAAGTGTGCTCCAAGAAGCTGTTCTTAAAGTCTTCTTCGTTTGAGTCAGACTAGCTTTTCTCCTTTACACAGAAGGCAGAGTGTAATGTAGTGACTAAGAGCAGAGCCTAGAGCCAGGTAGGATCAAACCCTTTTCTGCCATTGACTAGCTATGATTTTGTGCAGGATTCCTAACCTTCCTAGGCCTTCCTGCCTTCAGCTGTGAAGCTAGTATCCTCGCACATTAGAATAGTCCTGGTCCAGAGTGAGCATTTTGTGTTTGTTAAATAGATGAGGAAACCAAGGCTGTAAGAGGTGCAGTGGTGGCGGCATGTCTAGCAAACTTGGTCTTCAATCTGCATCTTCCCTGCTTCCCGGCCTGTGCTGTGTATGTGCTTTCTCCTTTTAGGTTTGGTTTTCATCACGTTTAAAGGTTTGGTTTTCATCACATTCTCCCTTTCTTCCATTCCACTCTCCAGTTGAAAAGTGCATCTCAGAAGAGCCATGCCTTCTACTTAGCAGCCCTTCGTAGCTACTAAGCCATAGATAAATCCCAGTGAGGTCTCAGTGTTCAGAGATGAGTGGACAGATGGGTGCATAGACATGACGGGGCAGTGACTGTGAGCTGGATACCCATGGAGGGTGGGTGGTGCAGTTATAGGTTGGGCTTACTGCTAAGGAATACCACCTGTCTGGTTTCCAGGCCTTCTTAGACCTCTATGACCTTGAAAGCACCCCCACACCTCCATCCCTAGGAGGCTGGATAACTTGCACAACACCCAGGGCAGGTTTGAAAACGATTTATTTTTCTTAGTTTTTTGCTTGGCACTAATGTTTGCTAGGAAGGAGCTTGTGGATTATTGATGACAAAACTGCCTAAGGTTGGAAAGTATGTGGGCAAATATGGAAGTAGTGTTTCCTTCACAGGTTTGTTAAACTGGCATTTAGATTTGCAAACACTGATCTCTTGGAATTAAGTTAAAAGGCTAATTGTTAATTAGCCCTGAACTGGGGCAGGTAGATGGGCCTCTCACCAGTGCAGGTCCCTGTCAACTAATAACAGGGTTTGATAACCACCATCAAATCTGCTATCTGGCTTTTCTGCTTAGATAAACAAGGCAAGACGATCTCAAACCAGCATACCGATTCCGAGGTTGGCATGTTTGTAGAAGACTGTTCTCAGGCCGCAGTGTGGCAGCAGACCCTCCCCAGTTCAGCCCCATGCCAGATTCCAACGTTGGATCCCACTGTCGCTTCATCTCATCCTAAATTGGCAGAAAGACTGTTTAGAAAACTAAGTCTCTAAAACCAATTAAATGGTAAAGAAGACTGTTCTGAATTAGGGGGAATGGGATGAAGTACCACTAAACGCAAGTCACAAAGGGCAAAAACTCATGACATGGAGCCGTGGGTATCTGCTTGCATGTTTATTTGCCAAGCGGCTAGTATATTTTGCATGTCATACAATCTGAAACTTACTTTTTTGAAAAGCCATTTCAGATATAGTATAAGAAAAGCCTTTGAGAGAAACATGCTTTCTAAGCCTGGGAGTACAGAAATAAAAATAAACTTTGCAATAATTTGAAAGGGGCACACTGGTTAGTTGAAGAGTAAGGAAGCACCCAGTAATGCCTCTTTACCCAAGAGCTCTGTTTGCTTTGCTCGGTGATATCAATGTCACTGTGGTTTCTTCATTTTGAAAAGGAAGTTCATTTGTACTGAGGTGGTTTTAAGTGTGTGTGTGTGTGTGTGTGTGTGTGTGTGTATGATGCAAATGATAATAAACATTTCAGACCCAGAGGGCAGAATGTCACTGAACCTAAGCCCTCCTGAGCCAAATAACTCCTTTGTCCTTGCAGAATCAGGAGCCCTTCTCTTCAGGATATGCTGCCATTATGATAAAGCATTGTGATGTAAAGTTAACGAGAGGATCCTTATCCAAGTGAATCACAGCCAAGGGGTGGAATGGTTGGCCTCTGGTAGGGATGCCCCATTCAGCAGCACTGAGAGTTTGGAGTTGTTCTGTTCTCTTTCCTTCTTGCTGAGGGTAGTAAGAAATCCTCCCTAGGCCCCATTCCCCTGATATATCTTGCGGGTGATGGCCTCTTACTGGCAGTGTGATTATGTATGTCCCTTTAGAACAAAGGTATCGAAACAATAAAAGTTGTGAAATGGAAATGTTTACAATTCTACAAGGCTCCAGAGAGATTAGAGATAGGTAGGAAAAAGGCCATTGTTTTCCAATCAAAGGTGCTGAGAACCTGTTGATTGGACCTAAGGAATCCAGCTTTGCCACGACACAAAACCCAAGAGTTTTGTTTCTTTTTTTTTTTTTTTTTTTTTTTTGTTGAGACAGAGTCTCACTCTGTTTGCCCAAGCTGGAGTGTAGCGATGCGATTTCAGCTCACTGCAGCCTTGACCTCCTTGGGCTTAGGCAATCCTCCCACCTCTGCCTCCCCAGTAGCTGGGACTGCAAGTGTGCAGCACCACACCCAGCAATTTTTTTGTGTTTTTAGTAGAGTCAGAATGCTACCATGTTGGCCAGGCTGGTCTCGAACTCCTGGATTCAGGCAATCAGCCTGGCTTGGCCTCCCAAAGTGTTGAGATTACAAGCGTGAGCCACCATGCCCAGCCCCAAGAGTTTTCAAAAAAGGAAGAGTTCAAAGAGGCTCAGAAATGATCAAGTGGACATACAGAGACATAATTTTAGGAAAGGGATATTATTAATATTTGCCAGTGAGTCCTCGTTACTGCTGGTGAGACTAGGCCCAGGTACCGACTTAAGGCGATACTTTGAAAAAGTTGAGAGGTGGCTTAAAGACCTGGGTGATGAATGAAGAAGACCTCCATGACTTTACAAGTGCAAAGAGAGATGGGTCTGGGCACTGCTGGGCCTTTTAGAGGCTCAAGGACAGTGGCCTTGGGGAAGGCTGAAGGAGACACCTATTGAATTAGATGGTGCCAAGGCTGAGGGAGGACTTTCGGGAATCCCAGACTAGAGAAGTGTTTTAATGCCAAGAACATGGGAAACCCATTTCAGATACTGTATCAGATAAGCCAGCTTAGAAAAGCACCTTCTAAGGCTTGCCCTATATTTAGAAAGGGCTGCTACAGAGGTTAACTGAGAAGGGGTTGTAGGAATGTGGAGAGGCGTTGTGAGGATCCTCATTCAGGATGATCTGGGAGGTAAGCTCTGAGAGACAATGATACCTCTCCCCAAGCTTAGCAGCCATGCCAGAAGCCAGCTGAGAAGGTTTTTCAATATCATAGAATATGTAAGCTCTGTAAGCTCATTTATTTCTCTCTGTGTGTGTACATGTTTTAACCCAAAAGAAATAGGGATTTTTGTCTGTATTCGAACATGCAGGGAATGTGGTCTGGACCTGCCAGAGAAACCGTGGCCAGCTTTTTGGGGTTTTCCTATAGAAATTGTTCATTCAACAGATATTCACTGAGTATTTACTATGTATTTGGCACTGTTCTAGTGCTGGGGCTACAGCAGCAAACAAAATAGACAAAATCCCTGCCTATGTTCTGATCGGGGAGACAAACCATAAACAAAAAGGTGTATTATGTTAGATAGTAATAATTAATGCAGAAGTGTTAATGCAAGAGAGGGGAGAATGGTTGATGTGATCTGCAAAAATATAAAGTAGAGAGGGAACAGGGAGTGCAGATGGGGAGGGAAGTGGTCAGCAGTAGGGCTGCCTGGGAAGACTTTGCTGAGAAGGTGAAGCTGCATTCCTGGCAGAGAGAATGGCAAACACAAAGGCCCTGAGGCAGAAGCATGTTCAGGCAAAGCAGTGAGTCTCCTTGGAGGCAGATTGTATAGGGCCTTATGGATCATCGAATGACTGGCTTTTACTCATGAATGAGATGGGGAGCATTTGTAGGTTCTGAGAAGAGTAGGACATGTCCTCACTTGGATTTTAAATGGATTTCTCTGGCCTGCAGCCTTGAGAGTAGACTGTATGAGGACAAAGATAGAAGTAATGATACTGACTAGGAGGCTCCTGTAATAAACAGATAAGAGATGGTGATTTGGACCAATGTGGCAGCAATGAATATAGTAAAAAGTGCTTGGATTCAGGATATGTCTTGAAAGTAGAGTCAACAGGATTTCCTGGGGACTAGGTATCAGTTGGGACAGACAGAGTAGAGAAGAATGTGTCCAAAGTTTTTGACCTGAGCAGCTGGAAGGATGGAGTTGTATTATGGTTTGGGGAGAGATGTGAGAGTAATAGATTTTGGGGGCAGGGCAGGAGTATGGTTTTAGATATGTCAGGTTTGGAGTGTCTAGACAGCCAAGTGAGTTATTTAGGCAGTTGAGTAAGCAGCTGAGTCAATTAAAAAAATTGAATTTAAAAGCCTGAAGTTCAGTTGGAAAGGTTTGATTGGTGATGCAAGTAGAGGAGCCTCTAGGTTGTGTTTAGAATGATGAACTGATGAGGGCACCAAGGACGGGGATGGAGGCCTGAGCCCTATGGTGTTCTTACACATGGAGGTTAGGGAGAGCCCTGGAGACTGACACCCATGGCAGGAGGAGAGGGAGGGAGTGTGTGGTCCTGGAAACCACATGATGGGGTTTCAAAGAGGAAGTGAAAGATCAGTTATATCAAATGACACTTACTGAGATTTGATCGCTAGATTGGCAATGTAGAAGCCACTGGTGACCTTGTGAGAGCACTGATGGGGAGGAGTGGGAGCAATGCCTAATTGGAGTGGGTTTGTGAGAGAACAGGAGAGAAGGAATTGGAGACCATAGGAACTCTTGAGGGGTTTTGCTGTAGAGGGGAGCAGAGCCATGGCAACAACTGTAAGGGGAAATAGTGGGTTTTTGTTTCGTTTTGTTTAAGATGGGAGAAGATTATAGTGAGCTGGTTTGATGAAGATGATTCAGTCAAAAAGGAAAAGTTAATGCAAGAGAGGGGAGAACTGTTGGTGTGACCTCACCAACTGAGTAGGTGAGAGGACGTACCGTGGGGGAGGTGGCCTGATGACTGGAGCAAGGGTAGCTCATCACAGTTATGAGGAAGAAAGGTCGGATGAGGGGCACAGATGCAGGTAGGTGGCTAATTATCCTGGTGGAAGGGCATGGGGTTTTTCCATTGCTTCTAATTTCTCAGTGAATAATAATAAGTCATTAGCCCTAAGTTACTCAGTAGTTGTGTAAAAGTTTGCCTCATTAGGAGTAAGAACTTCACTGAGGCAGATGGATGTGGATTTGAATCCCAGCTCCTTTACATTCTGTTGATTTTGACATTGGACAAATTACTTATCTTCATTGGTCAAATGAAGGTACTAATAGCACCTACCTCAGAGGGTTGTGAACATTAAAGGTGAGGATAAAGCACTTAGCAGAGTGCCCGGCATATCCAATCAACATCAGCCTTTACTGTTAGGGTCCCTTAAAGTAAAATATGAACATAATTCCCTCACACTGGGGAGTTTTTGTAGCTCTCTTATCTTTTCAGTCTGGTGGACAGCAGAGGTTACCCTTTGGGGGCCAGGTCAAAGGTTAAGTTTCCCTATGGAAGACTACAACTGGAGGGCAGTCCACAGGCCGCCATGAAGTATACATTGTTTTGATGAAGACAGGAAGGGGAAATATGGGACTTGGAAGAAGGAAGAGAAGATGGCAGCATGTCAAAACTCTTTGGCAATCTGCAGACCTTTGTGCTATATTTGAGCTACAGAGAACCACGACTTTTTATTTTGAGTTCTTACAAGACTCATTTTAGGTGTGGAGAGAGCTCTTCCCATGTGGGTCTGCAGCTCTAGAATTGGGTAGTGCCTTGGATGGCACAGTCCTGGTGTATCCTGCAGGCTGAGTGGACAGGAGGGCGTTGACTGGGTGTGTGTGATACAGGGTGGAAGCCAGCTCCGAGAACGCAGCAGGAGAGCCAAGGCTGTGCTTCCTGTTCCTGCTGGCCTGGTTGATTTGTCTTTGTAATCCTAGTCAATGCATCCAGCGTCTCAGTGCATATATTGAATAAAAAATGACGAATGGCCTTGTTGAATTGTCAGGAGTGTAGAAAATGAGGCTCAATCAGCACTTTGGGTTCTAAAATACTGTCGTTTTTCAATCTCTTCTTTCAAGATTATTGGTATAGACCTTGAGGGAAATCTGAGTTCAAAAGGAAATAGAATATCTTTGGAATTTTGCAAAAGTGTGAGTCATCAGGACTTGAGCATACATTCCCCTGGTGTGCTGCAAATCAGATATGAAACATCTTCCTGAGGTGGCATGGTGGTGGTATAAAAGCTTCATTATAGTACAGAATGAAGTGTGTACTTATATAAAACACAAGTCTTCGAAGACATTGCAAGCTTTTGGTGGTTGCTTTGCACTGTGCCTCTGTACATGTTCACCTGCCTCTGTCATTCAGTGCTTTTGTGAAAATGGCTGGGAAGCATTGACCAGCTCAACCTTTTCTCTCTAGAAGGAAGACTGAGACCCAGAAAAGTCAAGTGACAGCTAGTCAGTGGTAATGTGGGCCCTGAAACCTAGCTGCCCAGTGCCCAGTCCACCTGATGGTATGCCATACACATCTTCCGTTTGGTGAAATAGCCCATTCTTGGAGTTAAACTTGTGCCACATAAATCTTGCCCTTAATAGAACAGTATCTTGGGTTTTTAAATGTCCCCTACATAGTGGGCTGGGAGAGATAGAAAATACAGCCACTGTCACCCCTTCCCCTGCTTACTAGGGCACTCCAAATGACCATAGCACATTTTTTCAGTGGAGTCTCAGAATTCTTCAGGTCAACATTGGTCAGCCTTCACTGTTGTGTGGGTGTTTGCAAATAAGACAGCACCTGTTTGCCCTCCTGGCCTTGCTAAATCCCGTGCATATGGAAGGCACCCTATAAATGTATGCCTGATGGATATGAGTCCTGTTGGTTTGTGAGCTTCTTAAGAACAAGGCTGACATCTTGTTCAGTTTTGGTTCAAATCTAATACATAGAAATGGATATTCAGTAGGTATTTGTTGAACTCTTTGATTCCCCAAATACACTAAAGGCTTTTAGAGAACAGGAACCAGGGTAAACATTTCTTTAGAATGATCTTTTACATGCTGGTACTTTGAAAAAAAATTGTGGTAAAATATACATAACATAAAATTTATTTTAACCATTTTAAAGTGTATGATTCAGTATTGTTAAGTATATTCACATCATTTCTTGCCCGGAAATGATGTTGTTTCATATTATGAGGCCATAAAGTATTGATAAGCTAAACAAACTTTAACTCAATATATGATTGTGCTGTATCATTTAGTACTATATTCTAATGTGTATTAGTGGCAATGAAATTTAAAGTTTAACATATTTATGGTACAAGTTGAAATTTAGTCTCTTAGCTTATTATGTGTTTTTCCAATCCGGTTAAGGACTGCTATGAGTTGAATTCAGCAGTTGTATACCTGGCACCAACAGCCTTTGAGAAACCAAGTAATTTAAGTTTTTAATTGAGTAACAGAAAATTGCAACTAATAAAATGCCTGGCTATATTAGCTTATTTGTCATTTATATGTTGTTAGTACTCCTTAACTCTTGGTAGCTTTAAGATGAAACCAAGAGTGGTTTCAGTTGCATTCTGTGTTCTGATTGAAGCTGAGGCTTGATTTGTGGCTTGAAGTTTGAAAGGAAGTGCCTGTTTGTTCAGGGAACACCAATTGGACTAACAGCTGTCCTCTGTATTAAGGCCATCTTTAGCTTGTCTTGCAAATACTTTCCTTGTTCACTAATCCCTTCTCCCCACCCTGCTTCCTTTAGACCCATGTTAATCTATTACCTGGGAGCAGCTCTAGATTCTTGAGTTGGTAATGACTAATTTCTCCGTTGCTCTCATCCTGTTGAGTTTAATAGGCTCTCTTTTTTCTTACTGATGTTTTCATGATGAGATTTCTAATAAGTTATTTGGGAGCTATCAGAATAGAAACTAATAAATATTATCTATCTATTAGCTGTCAGAATAAAAGCTTACTGAGGGTCCTGAACTGTGAGGCCACTGAAGGCAGGGGTTTGGGTCTGATTTATCTGTGTTTGCCTAGAGCTTTAACAGAGCCTGACACTTGTAACTCTTAAAAATATGCTTTAAAATAAATCTAAACTCAGGCATGGTGGCTCATGCCAGTGATCCCAGCACTTTGGAAGGCTGAGGTGGGAGGAAGGCCTGAGCCTAGGAACTCAAGGTGAGAGTGAGCTATGATTGTGTCACTGCACTCCAGCCTGGGTAACAGAGTGGAGACGCTGTCTCTTTAAAAAAAAAAAAAAAAAAAAAAAAAAAAAAAAAAAATCAAACCTCAGTGCATAAGACACAGGTGTTTTCATCTGTGAACGAGAGTAGACACATTCTAGTAATACCCAATGTTTTTGTGAATTTCTTTACAATTGAAACTATTTTCCACTTGTAGAAGTTGGGAAGGAACTTGGGGAATGGCCTGGAAAGGTAGACCACCATCCTCATTTCATAGAACAAGAAATGGAGACCTAGGATTTGTCATAGTCCTGCAGCCAGCTACAGACAGAGCTGTGCCTACAATTCCCTTCTTGTCCTGAGTTGTTTCTGCTTCATTTCCCACTAGAACCCCATCCCGCCCTCACCCCTAAGCAGAGGTCCAGCTAGCTAATGTGTCTGTTTTTATAAAATGCCACCAGAAGCTTAAGTACGTCGGTTCGTGTCCCATCAAACTTGTCCAGATCTCTTTCTCATCATAGAGAGGTACCATCCTGAGTTGCTCAGATGATAAACATTTCTCCATTAGAAACTAGGCTCGGATTTGCCTGTGGCCACAAATCCAGAAGCAGCTGTGTGTTCCCCATGTTTCTCACCAACCCCTGCGTCATGTTTCTGAATAAGGAGTCCTGGTTACCGCCACACCCCTCATTCATTGCTTTAGATTAGATGAAAGGCGAGGTGCCTGACTCAGGCCACTGACTCACTCTGCTTGGGTGAACCCAGCTCCTCCCGGTAGGAAGTGATTGCCCCAGGCAGGTTGAGGAGTGCCCACAGCATCCAGGACTAAAGCATTTGGACCCTGCAGCTATTTATAAACAGCACTTTACAGTGCTTTCAGTCTGAATATTGGGACTCCCCTAGAAAGGACAGATTCAGTCCTTTCTGAAAGGAGGATAGACGAAGGGTGAGGAGTTCTTGTTGGATGTATTTTCATAGCTGAAAGGTTCCCCTGAATGCTGTCAGTGCCATGGATGTTCATAGGGAAGGTTAGAGTTCCTGTCTCTGATGTCATTCATTTTATGCTGCAGCTCACTTGACTGTGGGACTCCCTAGGAAAGCTTATCTACCTTTTCAGCTGTTGCACCTCTTTTCTTCCATGTAGTTTGCCCTCTGCCTTACATTCACTCTTCATTGTAATGCCCCAGTTGCCAGCACAGTGCCTGGCGCACAGTAGGTACGTGTTTGTGAGCTTGCTTTACTGATGTGTTGTCATGCCTCTGGAACGGGCTGTAAAAATCAATCTTTGACTCTTTGCCAGCAACTGCCCACATAAAGAGAGCATGTGTGAGCTTGTTTTATGCAATTACAAGGTTTGCTTCATGACTTGTGGGCGCTGATTTTTTTTTTTTAACCTCACTATCTCCATCATTTTCTCTGCAAGATTTTCAGTGACCCTCGTGTCCATGGACTGACCTCCATTTTTAAAATTTCATTTTTAATTTATTTTTGAATAGGTAGTACAGTCACATGGTACAAATATTAAAACTACAAAGATGGAATGAAAGTCAGCCTCCCACCCTTGATCTCTGGGCATCCTATTCTTCCTGGAGGCAACCATTGTTTTACCAGCTTACTGTGAATCTTTCAGAGCTACCTATACATTTACAAGCAAATATGTACATAGATTTTTTTTACCCATTTGCCATGTAGATTCTTTTGCACCTTGCTCTTTTTCTCTTGGTATGTTTTAATGCCTGTTCAATCTTGTAAATAAAGAGCTTCCTTATTATTTTTAATCTCTGCATAATACTCAGTTTCGAGGATGAACTATGATTTATTTAACCAGTCTGGGTATTCAGATAATTTCTAATCCTTCGCCGTTAAAAGCAGTGCTGCAGTGAAGAACTTTATGCTTCCCTCATTTCACCTTAAATGAATTAATTTAAGGTGAATTAATTAATTCCTAGTGCAGAGTGGCCTGGCCGGCGTTGTTGTTTTAATGGTCACGGCTGATTCTGGAGGAGTGGCTGCCCTCATTCCTTTCTATCCTAACCATCTGATAGGACCACAGGCTACGCTATCAGTGGGTTTAGTAGAGTCTTTTCAACAATCGAGTTTCCAGCCTTATGCCCAAGCTGTTGGATCCCTGAAGGCTTCAATGTTTGTGTCCTAGCTGTACTTTATGCTTGTTAAAATGTATGTGTTAAAATTAGAATGGCTTGTTGGAATGTGTAAGATTGCGTATAGTGTTTCATGTTTTATCACTGTGTTGAGTTTACAAAGTTACTTGATGTTATTTCTTTTTTCTTTTTTGAGGCAGGGTCTCACGCTTTCGCCCAGGCTGGAGTACGAGTGGTGCACTCACGGGTTACTGCAGCCTCAACCTCCTGGGCTCAGGTGATCCTCCCGCCTCGGCCTCCCGAGTACCTGGGACTACTGGCATGCACTACCACGCCTGGCTAATCTTTGTATTTTTTGTAAATATGAGGTTTCACCATGTTGTTCAGGCTGGTCTCAAATTCCTGGGCTCAAGTGATCCTCCCACCTTGGCCCCCAAAGTTCTGGGATTACAGGAGTGAGCCACCATGCCTGGCCCATCGTTTCATTTGATCCTTGCAACACCCTATGAGAATATTTAGATAGAACGATTTCACAGATAATCCATAGTGATACTCAGCTAACGGGTGGTACTGCCAAGACTTGAACCCACCATTCTTGTAACTTCCTTGATATCTCTAATTATGGTTTTGGTCTGCCAGTTTGTTATGGAGCAGAAAAGAAGATGTAAGCTTTCTGGAGGTAGTAGCTGCTACAGGCATACACTATATTATCTCAGCAATAGCAAGTCCAAGTAGGACTGATTCAGTATACACAAAGAAGTATTAGTTGCTAAAATATTGAAATAACTTTCATTCTGGTTGGTGCACGTTGAGTATCCCAAATATGAACAACCAAAATCTGAAATGCTCCAAAGCTGGAAACTTTTTGAGTGTTTTTGAGTGCCTGCCAACATGACATGCAAGAGAAACATTCATTGGAGCATTTCGGATTTTGGATTTTTAGATTTGGGATGCTCAGTAAGTATTAATGCAAATATTCCAAAATCCCCGCCCCCCGCCCCCCGCCAAAAAAAACCAAAAACCCAAAACACTTGTAGTCCCAAGCATTTCAGAAAAATGATACTCAACCTGTAAATAGCTTTGCCCCAAACCCCCCTGAGTTTCTTTCTCTACTTCCCTGGCCAGTTTTCACATAGGAACCCCCCTAATCGCCACGTATTTCCCCCCCACAACCCAGCAATAAAGGGGAAATGCCCTCATAAGCGAGGAGCCCCTGGATTGTAGCTCCCGTGCTATGGCCACCATCTGTGCTCGCTAATTGGTTCCCAAGCCATACTGGTCCCTAAATATTCTTAAATCTGTAAGTGCAGGAATGGAGTATTAAACAATGTAAGCGTTTAGGCATATAACTTGATTTCTGTAGGTTTTGTTTGTTTTGTTTTGTTTTGAGAGAGAGTCTTGCTGTCACCCAGGCTGGAGTGCAGTGGCGGGCTCTTGGCTTACTGCAACCTCTGCCTCTCAGGTTCAAGTGATTCTGCTGTCTCAGCCTCCCAAGTAGCTGGGACTACAGGCGCCCACCACCATGCCTGGCTAATTTTTTTGTATTTTTAGTAGAGACAGGGTTTTGCTATGTTGGCCAGGCTGGTTTGAACTTCTGACCTCAAGCGACTGCCCGCCTCAGCCTCCCAAACTGCTGAGATTACAGGCATGAGCCACTGTGCCCGGCTGGTATTTATACTTTGTAAATTGCCTTTGTTGTTCTTAGTATCCTATTTCTAAATCTGTTGTCTTTTTCTTTTCTTTTTTTTTTTTTAACAAAAAAAAAAAAAGGCCGGGCGCGGTGGCTCACGCCTGTAATCCCAGCACTTTGGGAGACCGAGGCGGGCAGATCACGAGGTCAGGAGATCGAGACCATCCTGGCTAACACGGTGAAACCCCGTCTCTACAAAAAATACAAAAAATTAGCCGGGCATGGTGGTGGGCGCCTGTAGTCCCAGCTACTCGGGAAGCTGAGGCAGGAGAATGGCCTGAACCCGGGAGGCGGAGCTTGCAGTGAGCTGAGATTGCGCCACTGCTCTCCAGTCTGGGCGACAGAGTGAGACTCCGTCTTTTTTAAAAAAAAAAAAAAGAAAAAAAAAAGCCTGAAAGACCTCTTTTGGTTTTGCTTTTTGCTTTGTCTTTGTCTTCCCGGCCTCTAAAAATCTGGGTAGCTGGTCTGAGGTGTTGGGACCCAGGACTTGCTCTCTTATTGCTCCACCACTGGAGCCTCAACCTCAAACTCAAGGTGGTGGCACCTACATTCCAGGCAGCTGAAGAAAGGAGCAAAGAACAGAGCCAAAGGCACATGCATGCCATCTTCTAAGGAAAATTATTGGAAGCAGCAGTGTGATGCTTTGTCACACGTCCTATTCAGCAGAACTGAGTTGTGTGGCACATCCAGCTAAAGAGGGAGGTTCAGTTGAGTAGTAGTTATTCAGGGTGGCCTTATGCCCAGCTAAAAAGTCTTTTACTATGGGAAAGAGGAGAACTGATGTTGGGTGACAGCCAGCACTCTCTGGCAGAGCTACTAAGCCTGTTGTTTCATTTATCTCATTTAGAAAATAAACTGTGACCATATTAATTTCCTTTTCAAAGCATTGAAAAATTTGTATTTCCTAAACTATTGGAGTAGTAAAATGGGTATGGTGACCCACCAGGTGTGAGCTCATTAAGTCTATCTTTTCTCTTCTTGTTTTTTATTTAAAATATTTTATTGAAAAATGATGGAATTTAAAGTCGCTTTTTCCTTTGCAGATGAACTATTTGATAACAGGTTTTAAGACATGAATCTTATTTTTTGAGTTAACACTGATAATATTTATGCTTGGTACACTTGAAATAGAAAAACCTGCTTGGTCACAACATGCTAGAATTTAAAATTATTAAAAGTGATGAATTAATGATAAAACTTTATTCCCATAACAGAAATTTACTAAGCATCTACTATGTGCCGAGCACTGTGCAAAGGTCAGGGATGGAAATGGTGAGCTCACAATCCAAGTGTGTACAGTTTCCTAGACTTGGTTTCTTGAAAGGAAAACTCACTAGAGATTGGACTCCAAATCACAAATGTCATTTGGCAACTGATAAGTCGGGTATCTGGTAATTCAGAAGCACAGGAAATGATTAAATGCCACATTTGACAAGATCTGGCAGCTGCCTTGTGAAACTGAAAGAACAGGATTGCCTGGAGACAATTATCAGAACTTGGACTTTCATTTTTCCTTGCTGCAGTAGACAGTGTTTTATTGTGGCTCTTTAAGAGATGTCTTAGTGGTATGAATTGCTTGGTCAGCTGAAAACTTTTCACCTAATTTAATTTTATTTTTAATTTTTTTGAGACAGAGTCTCACTCTGTTGCCCAGGCTGGAGTGCAGTGGCGCAATCTTGGCTTAGTGCAACCTCCACCACCCAGGTCCAAGCGATTCTTGTGCCTTGGCCTCTGAAGTAGCTGGGATTACAGGTGTGCACCACCGTGCCCGGCTAATTTTTGTATTTTTAGTAGAGATGGGGTTTCGCCATGTGGGCCAGGTTGGTCTCAAACTCCTGACCTCAAGTGATCTCCCTGCCTGAGCCTCCCAAAGTGCTGGGATTATAGGTGTGAGGCACCACGCCTAGCCAAATTTTATTTTTATTTTTATTTATTTATTTTTTATTTTGTGAGATGGAGTCTCACTCTGTCGTCCAGACTGGAGTGCAGTGGTGTGATCTCCGCCTCCCAGGTTCAAGCTATTCTCATGCCTCAGCCTCCCAAGTAGCTGGGATTGCAGGCGTCCACCACTATGCCCAGCTAATTTTTGTATTTTTAGTAGAGACGAGGTTTTACCATGTTGACTAGGCTGGCCTCGAACTCCTGATCTCAAGTGATTCGCCCATCTCAGCCTACCAAAGTGCTACGATTACAGGTGTGAGTCACCACACCCAGCCCCAATTTTATTTTAAAATGAGCTAGTTATATATTTATTTCTGTACTTACAAATTTCTGTTGAAGTGGAATTCTTGATCATTTTAAATGCAGGCCAGTTGCTTTTGTGATTTTTATGTTGTTGCTAATGTTATTCTTTTTTCCTTGAGGTTATTGAAATTCTTATGTTGGGAGGTAAGAAGCAAGTGTTGGTGGACCAAGGTCACACCAAAAATAGATCCTAGGGATAGAACCAGAATTCCAGAATTCTTTTCCTGTCTCCTCCTCCATTTTCCTGATCTGACCGCTCTTATTAGCATATTCCCTTTAAATAGTTGAAATTGAGGGTTGTGATTTCACATTTTTTCCCCCGGTACGTGGTAAAGACTTTGAGCTGAAGGAGTTGAAAGTTGTGGATGTTAAAAACACGTTCTGCTTTGGATGTTCCTTTACTGCATGAGCTCCCTTGCTCTTAATGAGACACACCCATAGTAAAGTCCAGACACTCAGTCTGGACTTAACTGAGTCAGGTTAAGAACTAGAACCCTCAGGCGCAAATGTCACATGAGCATCATATTCACTAGAAAATGGGTTTAGTTCTAGCATGCTCTTTCAAGGAGGCAGGAAAGAAGGCATCTTGTGAAATTTTGGGAAGGCCAGGATAAAATTGCTGGTCTTGTGCTCCAGTTAAAGGTAACAGGTATTCTTTGCCTTTAATTTTGCCTTTAGCACAGATCTCAAAGTACTTAATAGACGTTAATTATAACTGACCATGCTCTTGTAATAGATTTTTTTTAATGAGTAAACTGGGGTGTAGTGATGTCATCAAATCAAGCAGAAAGGAGACTCTTGGAGTAGTGGTTTAGAGCAAGATCTGGGAGCCCAGGAGTGCTAGGCACAACTCCTGGTTTGTCACTTACCAGCTGTGTGACCTTGGACAAGTTACTTGTCTTCTCAATTTGTGTCCACATTTGTAAAATGGGTAATGGCAATAGTGTCTCTTATATTATTGTCTCTTATAGTGTCTCATGTTATTAGGCAGAGTACCTAATATGAGAGCATAGGAGATGATAGCTGTTGGGGCATTATTAATAATAGCTTGTTTGCCTCCTTTGAAAGTAGGCTATGTTTGTGATTTCTTAGAAGGTTATTAGAAATCTAGTCTTTTGAATGTGGAGTTGTAGTTTATAGTCAAAAGAGAGCCTCAGCCTTTTAACCAACTTTCTGTGTAAACATGAAAATTCCGGGCTGGATTTGTTCCACTGTGAATTTTAGCTCACACTTGCCCAACTGGATTATCCAGTAAGTATAATTTAAAAATAGGGTTTGGTTTTTCTTCTCCAAACACCCTTAAGGTTACAAAAAAAAGCAGGATCTGCTTCCTGCCCTCAAGGAGTTTATAGCCTAGTAAAGTGAAATTGGGAGAAGTACTTGCCCTTGGAGATGATGAAACTTGAGTTAGGGGTCTTGAAGGCAAAATCGTAGGTAAGGCCTGGAGCTGGAGCTTGGTAATTGACAGTGTTTATGGGGTTGGGGGCAAGGTGGCAGGAAAATGTGAGCACAGGCGTCAAAGTCCTTGTGTGCCTGGGAAGTGAAAGGAGGAGGGGCAGCTCCTGGTGGATGGCCAGGGTGTGGCTAGATGGAGGAGGAGGGCTCCCAATTGTGGTGGGAAGAATGCTGCACAGTGGGAAGGGCACTGGGCTGGAAGCCCTACCCATGTCAGGGAATGTCTGGGCCTCAGATTTTTATTTTCTAGAATGAAGATACTTACCCCCCAATTGCTGAGATATTTGAATAAAAGTATATGTGAAGGATTTTGTAATTATAGAATGTCCTACAAATATGAGTAGTTCGTTTGCTACTTTTTTGGCGAAGAAAAATATTGGGATGCATGAATAATATCTACCTAAGGTACCTAAGGTTGTATTCATCCCATTTATTGAATGCCAAGGATATACCAGCTACTGCTCCAGATGTTGTATTCAGGGAACAGAAGAAGAGTCCCTGTGCCCATGGAGCTAACAGCATTCTAGGGGAGGAAAGATGGGACAGCTGACTTTCACGATCTCAGGTACTGATGAAGATTGTGAAGATTATTACATCAGGTGAATGTAGGGGTGATTTAGAGAAAGCTGGTAGCTAGGCTGTTCAAGGAAGGGCCTCTGTGAGAAAGGGGATGGTTGGCTGGGTGTGGTGGTTCACGCCTATAATCCCAGCACTTTGGGAGGTTGGGAGTTTGAGACCAGCCTGACCAGCATGGAGAAACCCCGTCTCTACTAAAAATACAAAATTAGCCCGGCATGGTGGCACATGCCTGTAATCCAGGCTACCTGGGAGGCTGAGGCGGGAGAATTGCTTGAACCCGGGAGGCAGAGGTTGTAGTGAGCCGAAATCATGCCACTGCACTCCAGCCTGGGCAATGAGAGTGAAACTTCCTCTCCAAAAAAAAAAAAAAAAAAAAAGAGAGAGAAGAGGATGGTGGAGTTAGCCCTGAGGAATGTGAAGGATGCAACCAGCGAAGATCTGAGTCAAGAGTGTTCGGAACCAAAGGAAGCGACTGCGGTTACTCTGAGATGGAAATGAGGCTGCTATGTTCAAAGGACAGAAACGGAGTCAGTGTGGCAGGAGTGCACACCTTAGAGGGTGCAGCTGGAGAGGCAGAGAAAGGGCCACTCACCATGGGCCTTGTAGAATGTGGCAGGAATTCAAATTTCATTCCATTGCCCATCGGAACCCACTGGAGGGCTGTAAGCAGAGGAATGATGTGATATGACCTGAGATGTGCAAAGAACAGCAGTTGCAAAGAACAGATGTGGAGGACGGGCTCGGGTGGAACAAGAGTAGAAGCAAACCAGTTAGAATGATACTATAGTTGTTCAGGTATGATGTGATGGTGACTCAGGCCTTTGTTTTAGGAGTTTGCAGGAGCTCAGAGCAGACAGTGAAAGTGGCCACCTTGAAGCAAAACACAAATGAAAGGGTTGATCACAAACTGGATTAAAGTTGGCAGTGAGAATACTGGAAAGGAACTACTGAGAAGTGGTCAGAGTAAAATGTGGAGGTAGAGCCTGTAGACTTTACTGATGCATTGGACGTGGGATATAAGGGCAAGTGAAGAATCAATGATGACTTCTAGGTTTCTGGCCTGAGCACCTGGGTAGATGGTGTACATTTAGTAAGATAGAGAAGGGGGCCGGGCATGGTGCCTCAAGCCTGTAATCCCAGCACTTTGGGAGGCTGAGGCAGGTGGATCACTTGAAGCCAGGAGTTTGAGACCAGCCTGGCCAACATGGCGGAACCCCATTTCTACTAAATATATATATATTTTGTATGTATGTGTATATATATATAAAATATATATATAATTTATGTATTTATATAATATACAAATATATTTATATATTTATATACAAATATATATTTATATTATATATAAATTATATAAATTTAAATAAATATAAATATATTTATCTTGTATATATAAATATATTTTGTGTGTGTGTATATATATACACACACAAAAATTAGCTGGACGTGGGGGCACATTCCTGTAATTCCAGCTTCTTGGGAGGCTGAGGCATGAGAATCACTTCAACCTGGGAGGCGGAGGGTGCCGTAAGCCAAGATTGCACCACTGCACTCCAGCCTGGGTGACAGAGTGAGACTCTGTCTCAAAAGAAAAAAATTTTTAAATAAAAATAGGGAAGGAGGCCGGGCACGGTGGTGTAATCCCAGCACTTTGGGAGGCCAAGGCCGGTAGATCAGTTGAGGTCAGGAGTTCAAGACAAGACTGGCCAACATGGTGAAACCCTGTCTCTACTAAAAATACAAAAATTAGCCTGGTGTGGTGGTGGGCACCTGTAATCCCAGCTACTCGGGAGGCTGAGGCAGGAGAATCACTTGATCCCAGGAGGCAGAGGTTGCAGTGAGCCAAGATCGCACCACTGCACTTCAGCCTGGGCAACAGAGCGAGACTATCTTAAAAAAAAAAAAAAAAGGGAATGCTTATGGCAAGCCTGGCTGGGGGAGAAGCTGAGTTCTATTTTGAATGTGTTAAATATGAGATGTTAAGTGGAAATGTTTACTAGGCAATTGAATATCTGAGTATGGAGTTAGGAGAGAGGCTGGGGCTGAAAAGAGGTGTTTTGAGAGTTATCAGTGAATGGATGGTGTTTCCAGCCACAGGATGAGAGCGCAGCTAGAGATGAGGAAAAGGTCTAAGAGCTGGTGGAAGAGAGGAGCAACCAGCAAACTTGAGGAGAAACTGGCAAGTATCGACTGACTTGTACATCCATCTACCTTGCTGTCGTGATCGACCCTTATGTTTGTGTTTTGCCTGAAGGTGGCCACTTTCACTGTCTGCTGCGAGCTCCTGCAAACTCCTAATAATCCGAGGGACAGAGGGGAGTGGTGGTGTACTGTTCTAGTATCTACTTTTATGATTCAAAAACCTGTTCTTTTTGAAATCACATGGTACTTAAAGATATTTATATTATCTTCTCTATCGTCTTTTCCTCCCTTCATTTTTACTTTGGTAATTTTACCTATTAAGATTGTGAAGGAACTTGACATTTTAGGGATTTCTTGTAGATGTTGTAATGAAATATGGTTTTGGAATTTGATTTAGAAAGAGGTGGAATGTAGTCCGTTTTCTTTCTCCGGCTTCCCTCAACCTTCCAGTTCTTTATAGGTGGTTCATTGCTTTGACTACCAGAGGCCTTAAATGCAGGTTGCGTAGTTGACCATGCGACCTGTGAGGCTCCCTTTGAACCTTTGTCCCTATTTCTGTAAAATTAGGAGCTCAAATGAGATCAAGGTGGGCTTCCTTGATTTCTTCCAGGGAACAGGGACTGGTGGGAGTCAGTGGCAGCAAGTCTTGTCTAAAGGTGTGAGCAGCAACAAAGCAACACACGAGGCAGGAAAGGACTAGGCTTCATTAATGGAGGTGATGCTTCAGCTGAGATATAGAGGGGATTGGGGGCTGGGCACGTGCTTTTTGGAGAATGGGCAGCATTTGCACAGTGTGGGAGTGCGAACAAAGAGCCTGGTGGACCAGCTCCAGGTGGTGACCCCATCAATAGGAATAGGGTGATTCTCCTGCATTTTCTCATCTATAAGTAGCCATGTGGGGAATCCAAAAACCAGTTACCAACATTCAAAATTGCTAGTGCTGTTAGTTCTGCAAGTATAAAATTAGAAACAAAGTTCAAGCTTCGTCTGCCAAGTTGAAGTTTCCTAAGTGTTCTCTCAAAACCCATATTAATGGACTCATTTTGGCGTTTGTAACCGGGTAAGTTACAGATAAGGGCATCTGCATTAACTGGAGTTGCCTTTTGAAACTCCTCAGCCCTAGCTTTGGTTTCTCAAATGTGGTGTGGGTATTTGGAGTAAACTGCTGTAAGGCTAAGCTGTTAGTAAGCATTTGATTTTGAGAGCCCTCTTTCCTTTGCAGCTCTTATAAATGGATTACTCAGTAGGAATTGCTGGAAATTAGAATCACTGCCTCCTTTAATAAGTCTAGTTAAGGCAGGGAGGTGGGCCCCGTCACAGCATAGGGCAGAGCAGTCACTTAGCAAGGAGCTCAGGAAATGTTTGCTGAATGAAAGAGTGGAGAGTGAAAGGTCGTGTTCTCAACCTGGCAGCTGGCATTTCTACATCACTTTTACTCAGAGATTTGCAGACAAAACTTTTTGTTTAAAACAATGCTATGTTAATTATAATCTAACTGTTACACAATTTTTTTTTTTTTAAATCACAGTACAGGGCTGGGCGCAGTGGCTCATACCTGTAATCCCAGCACTTCCGGAGGCCGAGGCAGGAGGATCGCTTAAGCTCAGGAGTTCGAGACCAGCCTGAGCAACACTGTAGAACCCCGTCTCTACTAAAAATACAAAATATTAGCCAGGTGTGGTGACACACACCTGTAGTCCCAGCTACTTGGGCTGAGGTGGGAGGATTGCTTGAGCCCAGGAGGTGGTTGCAGTGAGCCATGATTACGCACTGCCCTCCAGCCTGGGCAACAGAGCAAAACCCTGTCTCAGAAAGAAAATCACAGTATACATGGAATACAAAGGTTTTTTGTGTTTGTTTTTAAGAACTAGAGCCTTCGAAGGAGCATGTGGCTTACTGGTATTGGGCTGAAGGATGATTGCATGGGGCCCATCTGGATAATCCAAGATACTTTCCTGGGCAGGGGCATTGACAGGGATATTCCCTACTTTCTTCCACCTTTAGAGGATTTACTTTAGAAATGGTTTAAGGTTTCTCAAAGTTTTAAGTCTGCTGTGTTGGAATTATTAATACTGGAGTTTGTCTTTTAATTGTGTAAATTACCTGGCTTGTTCATTACAAATAACCATTGGATGTCCTGTAAGTGCTAGGCACTGAGCTGGATGCTAGGTGATGCAACAGTGACAAGGACAGGTGTGGCCCCTGCCCCCATGGAGCTGACCTTCTGGGGAGGGAGAAGGACAGTGAGCAAATGGTCTCACACACAGTCGTATAATCACTAACTGTGGCCATTGCTGTGCAGGAAAGGCAAATGATAATTATAAGAGATGGGACCTGAACTAGCCTGGAAAGTGGGAAGTTTTTTTTTTGTTTTGTTTTGTTTTTTTTTTTTGAGATGGAGTCTCACTCTTGCCCAGGCTGGAGTGCGGTGGTGCCATCTCGGCTCACTGCAACCTCTGCCTCCTGAGTTCAAGTGATTCTCCTGCCTCAGCCTCCCGAGTAGCTAGGACTACAGGTGCGTGCCACCGTGCCCACCTGATTTTTGTATTTTTAGTAGAGATGGGGTTTCACTATGTTGGCCAGGATGGTCTCAATCTCCTGACCTCGTGATCCACCTGCCTCGGGGAAGGTTTTTAAGCAGAGACATGAAGGGGTGAGTAGGAGGATGCCTGAAGGAGAGAAGAAGAAACTGTGCAAAGGTCCTGAGCCAGGAGAGTGGTGGTGGTTGGAGGGGTGTGAAAGAAGCCCACTGCAGTTCAAAGAGTAGAGAGTGATGGAGAGGGTTAACCCAGAATGTGCCCTTTGGAAATACCTAACCTGAAATACTTTTACCTAAGCCATTGTTAGGATCTGAGTTCTTGGTGTCTGAGCACAACTGAATGTGAATAAGAGGCTGTTTGGATTTCCTGCTGTGGATGGCAGGATGCTATTCACAAAGAAGCCTATGTCCTGACCCTCCAGACCTGCTGCTACATTAGGTTAAATGGCAAAGGGGCATTAGGTTGCAGAAGGAATCAACGTTGCTTATCAACTGATGTTAAAATCAGGGAAGTATCCTGGATTATCCAAATGGGCCCAGTGGTTCTTGTAATGTGGAAGAGGGAGACTTGAAGATGCTCGCCCGCTGGCTTTACAGATGAAAGAAGGAACCATGAGTCAGGGAAAGTTTTCCTGTTGGGCACTAGGCTTAGTACCTGAGTGACGAAATAATCTGTACAGCAAACCCCGGTGACACGAGTTGTGCTGCATAACAAACCTGCATGTGTACCCCCAAACCAAAAATAAAAGTTAAAAAAAAGCTGGAAAGGGCAAGGAAACAGATCCTCCCCTACAACCTTTAGGAAGGAATGCAGCCAAGTGAGACCTGGGTTGGCCTGTGGCCCTAAGGAACTGTGAGATAGTAAGATAAGATGAAGGCTATTATAATAACTGTGTTTTAAGCCACTAAGTTTGCGGCCATTTGTTAAAGCAGCAATAGAAAACATCCTGCCTACCCAACTCAACGTCTCATTGCATAGGTGGGTGTTACCACCAAGTCACTTGGCAGTGACGACCTCTGGTGCCTGCTTTGCTGCTCACAGAGCAGTGGAGAGTGGCTCTTACTAATAATGCCTCCAGGTAAATATTGCTCAGTAAATACTTACTGAGGGCCTGCCACGTGCCAGACCTTGCTCTCAAAGCTTGGGATAACTGCTGGGTGAAAATGGTAAGATGTGTGCCCTCACCAAGTTTCATTCTAGATGCCTCTCAGCCCTGCCCCATGGAGAAGGGCCAGCAAGAGTGTGAATTTCACATCCAGACACCAACCCTGACTGCAGCTGCTGCTAAATAGTTGTGAACAGCAGTGACTTTTCCCTGAAAAAGAAGTCCCTTCCTTATCTTAACTACTTGTAGGAAAACATATATATACTGAAATAGTTTCCTTCCAGGTTATTCTGAAGTGATTCTTTGGGACTGATAAAATGGGACAAACTGAATACAATAATAGTTGCTGAAGCCTAGCTCATTACTGCTGGATAGAACCTGTTGTGAGTACAGAGTTCTCAGATGTCTTTTTAGATCTCCAAATCAGTCACCAAAATAAGGAAAATAGTTTTTTTTATAACTTAAAGTACACACACACCAACATGCATATAGGCTAGAAAGCCTGATATGAGGTGTTAGTCTGGTAGATTGACTTCTTGTTTAAAGGGAGAAGAGTTTACAGAGGCAGAGGCACAGGGTTTGGATAAACGCACAAACAAGCTTTAACGCCTCCTCTGCTTTTCTTCACCAGGTGGGGAAGGCAGGGAAGTGGGGGGACCCTTAACTAAAGAGAGGAGAGTAAAGACTAAGCAGTCGAGGCAGGCCACCAGGTTTGCTGAGGGCAGCCAGGAAGTGGTAGAGGGTGTGGACATTCCCTGTTAATCACTGGCCCTTAGAGAGCAGGCACTTCCCCCTGCAGCCAGAGGAGAGACAGTACTTCTGTCAGTGGATACCTGGAGGGTCAAGCTGCGGGAAAGGAGAGGGACTCTTACAAGGCCAGTGAGCTTTGACCAGATGAGCTTACCCTCAGGTATCCTGATCACGTGGAGACTGGCCATATGGCTTCCCAGACCAAAATAACTCACCTGTGCCTGTGAAACCATACCAGGGCCAGATGCAGCTGCACTGTTGAGATTTGAAGCGTGGTGCTGTTGAATTCAAGCTGCTGCATCAGTCAGGTTTCTTTGCCAGCTTTCTATCCGAGCCTGGGGTGACCATATCATTCATCTTCCAAACTAGGACACGTTTAATGAAAGGGAGTGGAGTGAATGTTCAATCTTTAGACAACAGGTATGATCCAGGACTGTCCTGGGGAAACCTGGACATATGGCCAGCCTAGCTAAGGCTAGAAGCGTTAACCATTCCATTGGATGGTCTGATGACCCAAAATGGCTAAGTACAACATAGCCTGTGTGTGGAAGGGCCTCAGCACCCCCAGGAAGAGAGGGATTGTCCCAGGTGCCCTTGCTAGCATATGTCTGTGCCCATAGCATAGACAGCTCTCTGATGTAGGGGTCTAGAATAGGTGTTTTCTTTATAATCCAAATACAAAGCAATATTTATTTTTACCCCAAAATTATTCTCCTTGTATTTGAACATTACAAAATTGTTCTCTTATGAGAGCTGCCCTTCTGACTACTTTATTTTGGAATGACACAGTCATCTGTTCTAAACACCTTGGCTAATCTAAAAGGACCTCAATCCATTTTAGTTGTGAATGCTGATAGAGGTTAACTTTGGTTTTAAATAAAAATAAATAATTTAAAGAAGGAGGCAGGTCACTGTGGTGGCTCACACCTATAATCCTAACACTTTGGGAGGTTGAGTTGGGGAGATCACTTGAGGTCAGGAGTTCAAGACCAGCCTGGCCAACATGGTGAAACCCCATTTCTACTAAAAATACAAAAATTAGCCAGGCTTGGTGGCGGGCACCTGTAGTGCGAGCTACTGAGGAGGCTGAAGCAGGAGAATCGATTGAACCTTGGGAGGTGGAGGTTGAAGTGAGCCGAGATCACAACACTGCACTTCAGCCTGGGTGACAGAGCGAGATTCTGTCTCCAAAAAAAAAAAAAAAAAAAAGAAGCAAAGAAATTTAGTTCACATTCAATACTCATTCCTCAGGATTTAGCATCGTAATTGCAAGTACTGGATGTTACAAACTTTAAAACATCCTGGAAATGTTCTAGAAAACTGGGTTAGGCATTGCTCTCTGATGAAGTAATATCAAAGAAACATACAGAGTTTGATTAAAATTGCTTGATGAAATACAAATAAAATTATTTTTAAATGAATGTTTAGTATGTGTGATTTTAAATGTTTGTATAAATTTAAACGATCAAATGTCAGTTGACTTTCATCTGCGTTCATAAAGCTTAAATATATATGTTAGCCAAAAAAAAGTTTGGAATGTTTTTCCCCGTTATATTCATTTATTTAGGCATACATAGTATGTGAGGAGTGGTAGTCATGATAAGAGAGACGTTGTGGTAACAGCTGGGGAAAGGCATCCCCCTTCAAACTGGGGGGGAAGCTAGGCTGGGATGAAAATCTGATGCAAGAAATGATTGTATTTTGACTTGTGGTTCCAGATGGCAAACTAGGTATATGGTTTTGCTTCCTGGCTCCTCAAGGCTCCCTAATAGTTTAGAGATTATGAAGAAGCAGAAAGCAGATGGGATCTGGGCTTATGACCTTAGCAGGGGAAGGAGCCAAGTCTAGAGTTCATCATGTGCCCCTCCCCGCCCCCCAACCAAGAGTGATCAGGTAAAGCAGGGACTAGGAGAGAGGAGTGGGTCTGGAAGTGAAGGACCACACAGGGGTCCACAGAGACCAGGTGATTCCATCGTTCCCTACCTCTGTCTGGAGTAGGGGCTGCTGGCACTTAACACCCTGGCTGTGGGGAAAATACCAAACCCATAGCACTTTCTGGGGACAGGCAGATAGGGGAATGTTGACATGTACACGTTTTACAGAGCTTAAATTGATTACAATGCACAAAAATAATGAATTCTTTTTTTTTTTTTTGAGACCATCTTTCTCTATCACTCAGGCTGGAGTGCAGTAGTACAATCTCGGCTCCTGAAACCTCCATCTCCGGGGTGCAGGCAATTCTTATGTCTCAGCCTCCCAGATAGCTGGGATTACAGGTGTGAGCCACCGCACCCGGCCAAGAATGAAGTCTTTATAGAAGTAGATTAGGCCAAGTCATGACACTAGAAATAAAAAAAATGCCTAAAACTAGGGCTTCTAGTGTGAATGCTGGGACCCCAAGAATTAAGCTGTCCTCATTCTGGCATTTGAAGAGTGGTTTGCAGTCTGATAACTAGCTGGCTACCCACTCAGCCTAAAGCGAATCCCTGGAGTCAGCAGCCCCACCCAGGACTCCCTTTCAGAATTCCTGCTCAGGGTGAGAGCGAGCCAGAAATGGACCTTTTTATACAACATCAGAACAAAAGAGAACAGGGATTATCAGGCATGTGATGAGAGCTAGCAGCATAAAAGGCAATGGCCGAAGCAAACCAACAGAAAAACTACAAGAAACAGATAATCCAGGAACACAAAGAACTGTAGGAAAACTTCTAGGCAAAATGCTTAGAATTTTGGGAACATGTTAAACCCACAGAATAAGATTAGGATCTGTTATGTAAAAGGCACAGTCAGAACAAAGAGCTCTTGAAGACTGCAAATGTGACTACTGAAATTAAAAATGTCAGTATAAATACCAGAAAATACAGTTGAAAAATCTCAGAACCACAGAGAAGGAGGGAAAATGAGAGAAAGGGTAGATTAACCCAGGAGGTTCACCACCTGACTAGTTAACAGAGGTTTCAGAAAGAGGACAGAAAACATACAAATGAAACGATCCACACACAATAAAAAGAGTTTCCAGGAAATTCATGTCCTAAGTCTGTGGAGTGAAAGAGGTCCCACATAGGCTCACCATCATGCTGTTGAGAATGCCTTGGGTAAAGTAGAGAACGTGGTGGAGCACGGTGGTTCACGCACTTTGGGAGACTGAGGTAGCTGGGGCCTCAAGGTAGGCGGATCCCTTGAGGCCAGGAGTTCAAGACCAGCCTGGTCAACATGGCAAAACCCCATCTCTAATAAAAGTACAAAAAGTAGCCAGGCGTGATGGCACATGCCTGTAATCCCAGCTACTTGGGTGGCTGAGGCATGAGAAGCACTTGAACCCGGGAGGCAAAGGTTGCAGTAGGTAGAGATCATGCCACTGCACTCCAGCCTGGGCAACAGAGAGAGACTGTCTCAAAAAAAAGAAGTTACCCTTTTGAGAGTCAGACTAACACCAGAATTTCCACTGGCAACACTGGATACTAGAATTAATTACAGCAGTGCCATCAAGGTTCTGAAGAAAATGTTTTTCAACCTGGAGTTTTACACCCAAACTATCAAGAGTGAGAGCAGCATAAAGACATTTTTGTATATGCAGAGTCACACTCAGTTTACCTGTCATATGCTATTAGGACAGTATTTAAGAAAGTAATTCAAACAAGGGGGAACATCAGATCCCAGATCAAATCCAGTTACCCCAGGATAGCCATGAAGGGCTGTTCCAGCATGATCCTGTGTAGCAGGCCCGGCAGAACATCAGGTCTACATTGCTGCAGAAAGGTCCAGGGGCTCTGAGAAGGGAGTGTGAGCCAAGATGAGATCCTGATTTAACGCGGGTATGGCTTGGGAGCTTAGAGAAGATTGAGGCTTGGATAAAGGTGAACAATAGAAGAAAAAAGAAAGGCAATGAGAAAAGCCAAGGAAAGCAAGAGTCATGGTCCAAATGTGAAGTACACAAAGCAATTGATAGAATGTAAGAATAGCAAGTCTGTTTGACCTTAATGCTAGGAACAGTTTCTTTTGAGGCTGAGGGCTTCTGATACTGCTCCCAGACAGAAAAAGGAAAATCAGAATACAGTTTGGTTCAGCACTGAGTAATACTTATTTGGCTATGTAAAAGAATAGATGACTGAATTGTGGTTAAAAGTCAAAATGTAAGTGGTAATAGGTCCTGTAAGTGTAAAGGTGTAGCTGGTAGATAGCAAGACATGGAGAAACTAAGAGGAAAGTTTGGAAGGAAGAATCCAAATGCTCATAGCTTTGTCTCACTAACTAGGGAATCAAGATTTCTGTCAAAAGTTGAAGGGAAAATAGAGGTTTAAATCTTTAAAACTCAGAGTAGCAAATAGAGGAACTAAATCTAGTTATTAAACATAGGATGGGAGGTGGCAGTTTGTTCTTTCCTTTTCATATTATGGGGCCAACAGTTATTGCCTAAAGCTGATAAATCAATACATATATAATAATCCAGAATTATGGAGAAGTAAATCCAGAATGAAAAGTAAGAGGTTTGTCCGGAGTGTGGGGCTTGGGATGAGTTTGGAATCTGTTGCTTTCTACCGTTAAGTCTTTTATTTTTTGATTTCCTATCATTTGTACTTATTACTTTAGCAAAAATTAAATTCTGAGTTTGAAAATGGGTTAAATGTAAAGGTGACACAATTGCCACATAATGCTACTTTCTAACTTTTTAGGTCTTAATTTGGACAAACTAAGCAGGCTGTGTTTTAAATTAAGCAATAATAGTGTTCTTGTTCTAATGGTGCAATATTTCATGTTTCCTCTGACCAGCTTGCATAGCTAGGGGCAGAATCTTTAATCCTTGAGGAAATGAATTATTGCCAAAGACAGTGAAGCAAAGCTGCCATTGTTCTTGGAGTTTTAAAAGTGTCCCAGTGTTTAGAACTTTTGATTTGAAGTATTTATGCAAAAGTATACCAGCTCTCTTTGGGGGAGAACTTGAATATATGAAACGGATGTGGCTTACTTGAAGAATTTTGAAATAACCTTGTGTTCATAGCATGATAGTGAGTCCTGAGTCTCTGTGCCCAGAGCTCTGATTAGACTCCAAAGACCTGAATTTATATCATATTCCCAGTTACTGTTATACTTATATCGTTAGATTTTTACATTCCATTTTAGTATCTCAGTGTTTATTTCTTATCGTTAAAGATGATTTTGTGGTTTTGAGTTTTGCCTTTTAAGTGTGGGTTTCTGATATGCTGAAATCCCAAGGCAGTTTTTATTTCGGTGCAGCTTTAAAATTCAGTGGAGGTCATTGTCCACTGGCCGGTTTTGAAATGATCTTAGTTCACACCCAGATTCTTGCCCTTTGTTTAGTTTTTCTTGCCTTGACCGCATATGGGAATAGACCTCTCAGGCTCTGCTCTGTTAATTTCTATCACCTCCCTACAAAGGCCCTAACTCATATCCCTTGGTCCCTGTGGCTCTGAAGGTCGAGTTGTCACATAGCTCTTTCCTCCTTCAAACGTACTGGGATGGTCAGTAATGAGTGCTGCAGCTGCCCTGGTCCTAGGAGTTGCTGTGAGCATCCTGGTAGTGCCCAGAGAGTACCTGCTTTTCACACTGAACCATCTGGGTGGCCTGGGCCCAGTTTTTGGCATTTAAGGGCCTTGGAGGGAAAGGGAAGAAAGCTGGAATTTGAGCATAAATTGGATTTTGTGTGGGCTGAGGGTCCTCCTAGGTGTAGACTGTCCCTCCTGGACCTGTACCCACTCTGCTAGCTCAGGAGCCAACCATGTCCTGAACAGCTTAGACCAGCACCCAGACCCTAAATGACCTAGATTAGGAAGTAGATAGGTTGTTCTCTGCTGTCATTGTTTGGACACAGCTCTATTTACCTTATTTATTGTTCCTGCTAGGCACAGCCTCAGCTAATGGGCTGTGATCTCCTGCCTTTAAGGCTGGTTCCAGGCGAATTAAGAGCCTTTGCTTGTTTCCCAAACCAGGGAGGGCAGCTTTACCTTGAGGATGAAGGCGCCTCCAGTTGCTGAATGTGGTTGGGGTTACTGTGTTCTCTCATCAAGGTGTAGCTTTACCTTACCTTTCGGTGATGGGTTCTGCCACCTTATCGCGGTGGGTCCCAGGAGACCGGGCGCAACTGGAGCAGGGGCGCCCTCTGCTGCTGGGTGTCAGCTCTTCCTCCCACGGCTGCCCAGGGGATTTGCAAGGGGCGGTGGAACACTCCTGCTTCCTCCATCCCCTGTGGGACCACCTGAGGTGGAGGAAGGACAGTGCCAGGACCATGTGCAGGCTGAGCTCGCCCAGAGGCGGTGCAACAGCTAACGTTATTCTCTGTGGGTACATTTCTCTTGTCGTTTGCAGGTCTCTTTTCGAATCTGTTGTCCTTTTTCCCCAAACCAGCCTGCTGCCCCCATCCTGCCATGTGGTCTGCTGTCATCTGCAGTAGCCGCCGCATGTAAGACACGAGGACCTCTTCTGCAAGAGCTTGGTGTGGGCATTTGTGAAATTTTGTCACCACAGCCCCTGTAACCAGCCAACAAATTCGAGTTAAATGCCTATTCTTTGTCCCACACGTATTAGTTACAGAGAGTGGAGAACAAGTGGCAGATAGAGGCTGAGGGAAGCCAACCCACTCTGAGGGACTGGGCATGTAAATGGGACAACCTCCACAGCTTTTTAAACCACAGGACACCCAAAAGCAGCTGTACCCTGCAGGACACAGCAGGCTACAGAAGCCTGGGGTTCAGAGGGTCTCTGACCCTTCGTCCTTTAGCGCTGCTGACCAGGCTGCTGATCCTCGACCCCTTCTTGTCACCCATTGTGTCCCTCTTCTCCCTTTTCTCTGGCTCCTTCCCTTGCAGCCTTTGCATATGCTGTGTTCCTTACCTGGCCACCTCCAGTCCCGCTGTCATCTCTTAGTGACATCCTCCCTTCCTCTCCAGCAGGTGCTGGTGCCCACAGCACTCTGTACCATCCTCTCATTGCCTCTAGCTCCCTGTGGTTTCATGACCTCATGACCTGTTCACGGATCAGGCTTCCCCAGGCCAGAGATTGAGGAGTGGGGGCAATTCCTTATTCATCCTAGGAGGCTCTTAATCAGCGTTTGTTGAGTGAATAGGTGAACGAATGTGGGAATGGGATAAACAGGAAATAAGCCCTGTGCCTGCCTTAGGTAACTTAGTAGCCACCTTGGGTGTGGGTGAGAAGAGGAAGTGGTTAGGAAGACACACAGTTAAGACAATGGGACTCCTGTGCTGCTTTTTCTAGGCTTCTCTTTGCTGGTGGTTACCTTTACAGGAAATCTCTTACCCAGCCTTCACTCCACCCAACTGCAATAATGCTTTTCTTCCTTCCCCTCTACTTGGCTCTATTATCTTAACTTTTATCAGCATACAGAACAGTTTTGGTTGTGATGTTTTATTTGTGTAAGTTTTGCCCTTTCAACTAGGTTGTAAACTTGAAATCCTGGGTTTTACTTCCTAAGCAGCTTTGTAAAGAAATGGAGACAACATTGCACCAAGATAATTTTTGTCATGGCCACCCACTAGCTGTGAGATCTTGGGGGATGAGTAATTAAGCTCCTCAAGGCCTCTGTTTCTTTATCTGTAAAACTGGAGGACTGGTCTCTCTCAGGGGCTTCCAGTGTGAAAGTCCTGGGGTTCTGGGCCTCTGATCCTGGCACCCCACTTATCCCTTCCAGCACCCTCCACATGACTCCACCTCTGACATCTGCCAAGTACAGTAATTTAACACATTCACCTTATAGTCTAGGCAGTTCACCTCCCAGGTACTTGTTTGTTGGCATTCCTGGGATCGGGGACATCACTGGAATAGGAGTGGAGCAGACCTGTGGGGACCCTTGTGGCCCCGGCCTTGCCTCTGTCCTCTGTCAAGAAGGTTCAGGCACCAAGGACACTGCTCCAGTTCCTAATTTAAAAGTCTGTGTGTCAGTTCTGTACCTTGGTGTGTGCTGTTTTGTTCCTTCAAATGTAGGGTGGGTTTGGAGGTGGGGGCTGACTGTGACTGTCCAGGGATCTGGGAGGAAGGACAGTGCTGGGGCTATGTGTTATCCATGAGCCACCCCTCCTTCTCTGTCTGGGCATCATCTGGCCCCCCTCCCTGCTTTCCAGGTACACTTGCCTCCGGTGGCACCTGCTGCATGATATTGGTTTAAAAAAAATATGTTGAATCCTTTATTGGAATGATTCCTTTATTGGGACCCAACAGGCATGAAGGTAATAGAGACTATTTGGTTTGTATTTTCATTTGTTTTGCTTTTGCTTCTGAGATTTGTGGGTTTCTTGATGGCCAGGAGTGGCTTGTTTTCTGTTGTAAGAATTTGTTGTTTGTACAGGTTCGTGTTCCCAGTCCTTTTCCTCAGCTCCAGCCTTGTTTCCAAAACTCTCAGCTCTTGGTTTATCTCTGTCCAGTCAGGTGTGTGTTCTTTGTCTTTGTTTCTTGTCCTAGTTGTTCCATGAGTCAGCCAGGCCTCAAAGATTGTAAACCTGATGGTGAGTAAAGGTGTTAGCAAAAGAGACCTAGCAACAAGGTCATTGGATCTCTAAAGAGCCTGTCAAGCTGTGAGATGGTGAAATTTTAAGGACTGTGGATTTGGACTGGGGGCCTCCTTATAGGAGATAAAAACACTCGGCTGGGGAGAAGAAGGAATATTACAGTGCCTAGTACATAAGTGGAGCTACACCAGTTGTCCCTGAATCCTTTGTGGGAGACTGATAGGATGAGAGAGGACGAACTCTTGTAATGTGACAAAAGTGCAAGGAAGTAAGAACTGACTTGGAAGAACAAACATCAACTTGTACACCTCAAATATATCTGCTTTTTATTTGTCCATTCTACCCTAATAAAACTGGAGGGAAAAAAAAAAAAGAATTGGAAAGAGGCCAAGGCTGCAAGTGAATAATTCAGTCGAGTTGTATCTTACTTACCATTAGGTTCTCTCAATTAGTATATAAACTGAAAATCTAAGATATAGTCAGAATTACCCTTGAAAACTACCTCAGGAAGGCACAGTGTTAGAAACTGACATATTATTGCTTATTACATTTAGTGTGGCCATTTTTTCCTTCCATTGTCACAAGTATTTGGTTTCTTCTCTTGAGTTTCATATGATATCCCTGGCATCATAGGGGCTTAGAGGTTGTATTCTTTGAAGAGGGTGTCTTTTAAACACCAGATCATACCCAGCAAGAAATGCTGATACTATGAGAGACAGGCCTATTTTCCTCGTTTTGGTATCCCCTCTTTGGCTTCCCCTGTTTAGTTGTGTTTGTGCGTTTTGCATGAACCAGCCATAGGACTCTACATTTGTTCTCACTCACTGCCTAAGCTGTTGAAGAATTAGTGGACTCCTAGACAAAGAATAATCCCACTATCTCCTAGTTCTGACTGATTTAACTGTTAAACGTATATTAAATTCAAATCTCCAAATTGTCTCTGTTTCATCAACAGGTTGCTCGTGGGGGCCCCGCGGGCAGAAGCGCTTCCACTGCAGAGAGCCAACAGAACGGGAGGGCTGTACAGCTGCGACATCACCGCCCGGGGGCCATGCACGCGGATCGAGTTTGATAACGATGGTGCGTTCCTTTCCCTCACTCAGCGTTCACTCCGGCAGCTTGCCTGTACTGTTTCCATGAGGGAGGAGAGTGGGGACAAACATTTATTCTTGTAGAGAGGACTTCTTTTAATTGCATCAGACTTGACTGTTTTTTATTTGCCCTGAAAATATTTACTTACTTTACTTCTGAATCATACTGGGATGCCGCGTGTTTTGCTGCTCCTCCTAACCGTGGTTTCTAAACCGATATGGTGTAGGGATGTTGCCACCTAGTGATGTGTTGAGGTTCTGCAGGAGGTTGTGGAAAAACTCATTTCATAGCAATGAAGAGAATGAATGAGCGTATCTTGTATTCATCAGCCAAAAGTTCTCACATGCTGTTAAAATATTTGGGAGAAAGACAGTTTTAAATATCAGACCCCTTTGGAATGAGAGCTGGCTAACAGAGATAAAGTTTTCCCTCCTGTCTCAGATAGAGACTTGTTTTGTTAAGGGCTCTGGATAGGTAGAAGATACCATGAGGTAGGCATGTTGACATCCAGTGTACCTGGCTTCTTGTAGGTTGAGCAGAGCAATTAGTGTACTGAGAAGCTCTAGCCAAACCTCGTTTGATATGTTCGGTCTAAGTAGATTTGCAGATTCGTGTCTATGTTCTTCTCTTGCTTCTTCATCTTTTAGAAATAACATTTGTTGGCCAGGCGTCGGTGGCTCACACCTGTAATCCTAGCATTTTGGGAGGCCGAGTTGGGTGGATCATTTGAGGTCAGGAGTTCAAGACCAGCCTGGCCAACATGGTGAAACCCCATCTCTACTAAAAATACAAAAATTAGCCAGGCGTGGTGGTGTACGCCTGTAGTCCTAGCTACTTAGGAGGCTGAGGCGTGAGAATTGTTTGAACCTGGGAGGCAGAGGCTGCAGTGAGCCAAAATCGTGCCACTACACTCCAGCCTGGGTGACAGAGCAAGATACCATCTCAAGAAAAGAAATAACATGTGTTCTTTTATTAGAAACTAATATGTGTTAATTTTAAGAAGCTGGTAAAATACACAGACCTATGAAGAATAAAAAAACCCACTGGCAATCTCAGTATCTAGACTTATTTTTTAACATTTTGGCATTTTTCCTTCTGTCTAAAGTTGTTTAATGTTTTTGTAATGATTCAAGATTAAAACCTGTGTCTGTATTGCTACTTATGGAGGAGTGCAAAATTTGGATATAGGTCACACAGTGGGTTTAAATTGATACTGAAATGAGCACCTGGTGGTGTTTGTGGTCCCCGTCTCTCTGACTAACAGTAACTCTCCTGTTTGGCATTGATACATTGTCAGCTACAAGATCCTAAAGTAAATCTGAGTCTTTTTCTTCCATCTCCAGTAAAGAAGAGAACATTTAATGCTGTTAAATAAAAAAATTGGGGAGTATATAGAGAAGTACCCATTTTTTTTGTTAGTTTGGATGGTAGCTGCAGTTTGGAATACTAGATTTTACATTGTTGCCTTAAGAGATGTATTTTGGAGGGCTCCCTTAGTCTTACAGTTTCACTTACCTTCTGCATTCAGGACCCTAGGTATCAAGAGAGGGCAAAGGGTATTGTTGGACAAAATAGGCAACTATATAGAGCTAAGTACTTTATGTTTCAAATGTTTGAAAGATTCCAAAAACCACATCTCTGTTTCCTTGAGATGACAAGTAATTTTTCTGGATTGAGTAACTGAATTTATTGAGTAGCTAGACTCAGAGTCGAGGCCATTTGGAAACAGTTGCTTGTATTTTTGTTCAGTGATGGTTTCTAGCATGTGCAGTCACTTGGAAGGCTAACTATGCTCCTTTCTACAGCTGACCCCACGTCAGAAAGCAAGGAAGATCAGTGGATGGGGGTCACCGTCCAGAGCCAAGGTCCAGGGGGCAAGGTCGTGGTAAGTGTAGAGACACATGTTCATCCTATACTGTTGGACTGCTGGTTATGTGCCAGCACCAGGCTTACAGCAGGGGACAGCAGGGAGCATACATTCTAGCGAACTTACTGCTTTAAAGCAGGAATGGATGTCAAAAAGAAATCAGACTGGGCGTGGTGGCTCATGCCTGTAATCTCAATACTTTGTGAGGCCAAGGCGGGCGGATCACCTGAGGTCAGGGGTTTGAGACCAGCCTGACCAATATGATGAAACCCCATCTCTACTAAAAATACAAAAATTAGCTGGGCGTAGTGGCATGCGCCTGTAATCCCAGCTACTTGGGAGACTGAGACAGGAGAATCGCTTGAACCTGGGAGGTGGAGGTTGCAAGAGCAAAACTCCATCTCAAAAAAAAGAAAAAAAAAGAAGAAGTAATCACGTAATCAAAGCCTTATTTCTCCTGTGATTCCTGATATACTTAGAAGCAATCACACAACCTACTTTTCTTTAGAACTTTCAGATTTAAATAACTTATTAAAGAACCTTTACTAAATATTCCTACAACTCTAGATGGTATTAAAAACAAAACAAAACTAGACATCATTTCTGTCCTTGGAATTTTATAGCTTTATAGATAAGTTAGTAAAAATATGGGCATGGTCTTAGAAAGTAATAACCAGGTAGTTTTAACCTCTTGTTATTTATTCTGAGTTTTTTCAAATAGAAGGGATAGCAAAGAAAAGAGGGTTTGTTAGGTGGATTGGGCTAGATGGTCATGGTAAGGCCTTCCTGGTTGGAATATGATCTTTTTGTCTCCTTCAAAATCTGGTTGCTGTAACGAAATTTATACAGAATTTTGAGAAAAAAAATTTAGTGAACATTGAGTTTTGATATTTAAGGAATGACATTTATGGAAAATTGATTTGATACTGTATTTTTAGGCTGTGTTTACATGGAGGTTAGCCATTCATACCCTGTAGAAATTATAGAGATTATTTCTGTCTCTTCTGGCCTTGTAATTCTCTCTGCCTTTTAAAAGTAGGCATATTTTGGGAAATAATCTCAGAGCTCAGGGTGTAAGTTAGGACTGATTACAAGGAAATAGTGTGGGGAAAAGGAAATGTCTTTGTTTTAGCTGTGTTTGTTTGATCCCTATGAAAACAGGTCCATGATTTCTCTCCTCTAGAACATAATTACCCACTTTCACACTGATGTTCTGAAGGTTTATACAGCCACTAAAAGCCAATTTGAATTAAGAAAATGAAATAAGGTGTTTCTCTTTGTTTATGTGACAGGTAAATTTACAAATAAATTGCCTATGGATACAGATTGTCATTCAATTTTGGATTGGAGGATTATTCTGAGTGAGAATAAGGCACATTCTAGTTTCTATATGTCTTCATAATGGTCTCCTTAGTGCCACTTTGGGGAATATTTGCTGGTCTGGGATCCGGTCCCAAGATGAGGACATGCTTAATCATCCTCTTTAGAATTAACCTCTGTATTGACCATTTTATTCATATGTAATTTTTTAAAAACAAGGTTTATAGACAAGAATGGGCTACTTTCTTCCATCTGCTTGCAGACATGTGCTCACCGATATGAAAAAAGGCAGCATGTTAATACGAAGCAGGAATCCCGAGACATCTTTGGGCGGTGTTATGTCCTGAGTCAGAATCTCAGGATTGAAGACGATATGGATGGGGGAGATTGGAGCTTTTGTGATGGGCGATTGAGAGGCCATGAGAAATTTGGCTCTTGCCAGCAAGGTGTAGCAGCTACTTTTACTAAAGACTTTCATTACATTGTATTTGGAGCCCCGGGTACTTATAACTGGAAAGGTATGACCTTTGTATTTATAGAAATAGAGATTAGTTCCCCTAATTTCTGTAATATGATTTAGTACATTTTGAGCTAAAATGTGTTAGAAGACATTCGTATATTATAAAAGTTGGGTAGGATATTAAAAATCTCTAAATGATATGATTTTTAAAAGCTAATAATAGTGGAATATATGTTTTGGTGTTGACATTCTTTTCCCCTCTACCAGTACTTTACTTTAATTCAGGTAGTTAACTTTTTTTTAGCAGGAATATAATAATTAACATTAGTATTTTTTGCTGTTTTAGATTTGTGCGACTCATGAAGCTGGAAGTGTTAATTTTAAGTTAGTGATCTGAAAACTTAGGAGGATTAAATAATGGTATATACAAATAACAGTGTATTAACATGGACATTAATAACAGAGTATTAATATGGACATTTCTCTCTGTATATGTTATTTTCAAAGGCCATGCTTTGCTAATAATTCAGTAGAGTTAGAAGGGCAGATTACAGACGAATTGGGGAATTTTGAGGTATAATTTCAGATATGTGAGGAAAAGTCGTTTGATTATTGTGATGTGAGTAAATGGAGATGTAGAGAGGTAAAGAAGAAAATGGCCCACATTTTTTGACTGTGTATGTATAGAAAATGCTATATCATAAAAGACAACCTAACTCTCATCCATGATGAAGAGAACTGCATCTGATTTGGAAATAAGCCATTTTTGAGAAATGTATTAATAATAAGTCACATAACACTTTCACTCATCAGGGAAAACTTAGGAAAATGGTCCCTTTTCCATTCAACAATTTGTTTTAATTGTGGTTCTAAATGACTCTTGAACACCTTTCTCTGTGTGCAATCTTCAAGGGTAATTTCCCTTTGCCCCCACCTCCACCCCAACAGAATCTTCATGTACAGTATTTCCCAGGTTATTTTGACCTAACTGAAATAACATGTTGAATTTAGTTTTATTTTAGCATGAATAAATGCTTTATATAGTAAAACAAAACAAAAATATCCACCAATTATGTATATTTTAATTCATGGAAAATATGGTTTACCTGCTTTATAAACCTGACCTAAAATGTCGCCATTTAAAGCCATATAGTGATTTGGGCTTACTATATGAAAACTTATGTTTTAAATTACTAATTGTAAGAATTTTTAAAAGATGAAATCTTGGTTAAAGTGATCTAAAGAAAAGATCAATATGTCTCACTTTTACACTGCAAAAAAAAGACAAATTGAGGCAGGATTACAGAGAATGTAAAATATATATATCAAGTTCATGTCATTTAAAAATTGGTTCTCTGTAGATTTTGTTAACTAAGCAAACCTTCCATTTTTCATCTAGTTTCATGGCATTATAAAGATAGTTCATGAAAATGCATGGGACAGTTTTTAATGACTCAAACAAATTTCTTTCCCATAAAAATTTACACAAATGTATTTTACAACCATAAAAGTCATCTCTGTCCTTCCTTTTTTTCCTCCAAATTTTTTTTCCTGTAACTAGTGATAGCATGGGGGATGTTTATTAGGAACCATTTATTTTCTTTTGTTTCATCTTCATTTTTTTGTTGTTTTTACCATTTCATTCCTTTAGGGATTGTTCGTGTAGAGCAAAAGAATAACACTTTTTTTGACATGAACATCTTTGAAGATGGGCCTTATGAAGTTGGTGGAGAGACTGAGCATGATGAAAGTCTCGTTCCTGTTCCTGCTAACAGTTACTTAGGTAGGAGCAGGCACAGATGGCTGCCTTTGCCCACCTTCTCAGATACCTTGTGTGAAACTCCCTCGCAGGGCCTATGGCCCCTGGACTTCTAGGCTGAGAAGAGGCCAGGTGGGGCCGGGCCACTTTTGCTGGAATTTGATAAGCTTGGTGATCTAGAGGCGTTAAACCGACTGATGCCTGGGATCCTTTCCTTCTGACTGGGGCTCCCTCAAAGGGGGAAGAAACCTCTTATCACCTAAAATCATCCGTCCTCCCTCCTGCTCAGAAGTCTGTCTCTTGAGCTAATGGCAGCCTCCGTAACCTGAAACAGGCCGCTCATGCAGCCATGAAAACATGCATGGGTGTTCACAGTAAGCTGAGATCTTTGTTCAGTGCCTCCTTCCAGAGATACTCTTAAGAACTGCATTTAATAAAGTTACTCTTAAGTGGCAAGTCAAGACCTCCAGGTCCTCCCTCTGTGATTGTGGTTCTCCAAGGATTAGCCCTGCTTCTGGATTGGGACCCCATGTCACAGGGCCCCACAGATGGATAAAAGCTTCCCAGCGGAGGTTGAGCAGGACTGCTAAAACGGCTTTCAGGACACCCAGACTGTGTCTAAGGGCCAATTCTTAACTCCTAAGGCTTGTTTGCATGACTAATGGGTGTCCTAAGTTATTCATGTACATTATGGTAATTACACAAAGGCTTTTAAAAGCTTTAATTCTTGGTATGAGTTGACAAAAAGAATAATTACTGTGCATTTCTTGGAAAAAATGTAAAAAAAAGTCTAAACCCAAATAGTAACCTGTTTAAAAAAAAAAAAAGAAAGTGAAGAAAAGTACCCAGATGTTAGGATATTACTGGAAGAATGGAAAGTAAAAAACGAAAAAACAGGTATAGATACATGAATAATTTCAAGCAATGTGCTAGTAAACACGCACTAATAAGTTGTTCAGGCCGGGCCTGGTGGCTCACGCCTATAATCCCAACACTTCGGGAGGCTGAGGCAGGCGGATTACTTGAGGCCAGGAGTTCAAGACCAGCCTGGCCAATGCAGCAAAACCCCTTCTCTACTAAAAATACAAAAATATTAGCCAGGCGTGGTGGTACACATCTGTAGTCCCAGCTACTCAGGAGCCTGAGGTAGGAGAATCATTTGAGCCTGGGAGGTTGAGGTTGCAGTAAGCTGTGATTGCAGCACTGCCCTCCAGTCTGGGCAACAGAGCAGGACCTTACCTCAGAATGTTTCATTTAGGGATTACTTATGATTAAAATACTTGATTGTAATTGCACTGGCCAAGAAACCAATACTTTGGTCTTTAAGATGGATGGCTGTGGATTTTATAAATTTACTTGCTGTCAGAACATTTGAAAATATGAAGCATTTTTTCTCAAACACATTTGCCACTTTTAGAATGGATTTCCTCAAAAGTGAATGCCTGAGAAAGAAATCAAATTCATATTGTTACATTCGGTTTGTCTGTACTGTGTGGAATCTGTCACTTCAAAAGATCAGAGGGTTTGGGGGAACAAAACGATCTGCTTGAGGTTTTGGAAGCTGGCAATGAGAGCAGCTTGCCGGATGCAGTGGTGGCCTCCTCATCCAGCGAGAACAGCAGTGGCTGTCCTGCCTCTTACCAAGCATAATTACTTTTTCTTCAATTTCTTCCGTCCCGTGCATGCGTACAGGCCTGCTGTTTTTGACCAGCGTTTCCTATACAGATCCTGATCAGTTTGTTTATAAAACACGGCCTCCCCGGGAGCAGCCTGACACATTCCCTGATGTGATGATGAATAGCTACCTAGGTTTGTGACCTCTGCGACGACAAATAAATTGTCTTGGTTGTGGTCATTAAATTTTTTTTTTTGATCCATACAGAGCATAAATCTTTTTATGCCCTATTTTGTTTCCATTGAAGCACACACAAAAAGCATGCCATGGCTGGGGCTCTGTGGCCAGATGGTTGTAAGAGCTGGACTCCATATTGCCCTCTAATCTGGTGGCTCATGTTTTTCAATTCACTTCACAATTTGAGAACTGCAACGGTAGTGGTGAAGCTTTTCATAAGTAAAACCCAATAAAGGGGGTGAGCTTATATTATTCTGCATCTGCCTCACCTTTCTATAGAAACATTTACTTAATTTGAATGGTTTTGATATGGGCACTTCTATTTGCTTTTCACCAGATCTGTTATTTGTAATCTGACATCCTACCTGATGCTTTATAATGGGTGTGTCCTAATGTTTTCTGCCCTCTGAACAAGTATATAACTGATACCAATGACAACTTCCTCACCTCTGTTGTTTATACTAGGTTCTCAAATACCATGTATCATCAGTCATTGTTTTGTCTGCATGTTTGTGTCTGAGAACTAAGTTGGTCCAAAACAATGAAATGCTATCTATGGTGTATTAATGATGTTAGCATTTGTTTTTGTCTGATTACCAAAGAGTTGATGCCTCTTACCAAGCTTAATTACTTTTTCTTCAATTTTATTTTATTCCTGTAAAAATACTGGTCATTAAATTACAGCAGAACCCTGTAACATGCACTCAATTATGCTTCCAGTCAGGTTATATATTCTCTGTGTATATGATGTAACATAACCAAATTATTCCTGGACAATTCAGTATCTAGCTTGATCTCCTTTTACCATAGTTCCAATATTAAAATAGGGTGGAAATTGATTCTTAAGATGTATGAATACTTCAAAATTCAAGTTATACATAGGTGCTTTTAGTTAAAAGTCTTAATATCCATAGAAAGCAGTAAATTAGCTAGCCCCAGGACTTTGTCCTTGTGTCACATCTGAACTCTGTCACTCATATTACGAATGTGATAGCTGGTGGGAGGGTCAAGAGGAGAGAGGGGTGGGAAGCCAGAGGAAGAGGTAATGATGGAGTTACCAATGTCATAGGCCTAAAATATATGGATTGATGTGAGGGGCTCTATATATTTTGTTTTTCTAGGTTTTTCTTTGGACTCAGGGAAAGGTATTGTTTCTAAAGATGAGATCACTTTTGTATCTGGTGCTCCCAGAGCCAATCACAGTGGAGCCGTGGTTTTGCTGAAGAGAGACATGAAGTCTGCACATCTCCTCCCTGAGCACATATTCGATGGAGAAGGTCTGGCCTCTTCATTTGGCTATGATGTGGCGGTGGTGGACCTCAACAAGGATGGGTGAGAAAGCCTCAGGTTATATTATGCTGCAAATCATTTCTGCTTTGACTAGCTTCTATACGACTGGAGAAGAGCCGTCCTTTCAGGTTCATTGACGTAAAGAATATTTTTATTGCCGCATTTTTACCAGCCTATCTTTATCATTTCTATGATGGCAGCAGACAGACATTCATATCCCTCCCCAGCGTATAGGATTATATTTTTGATTTTCAGTTTTTACTTATATGTTGGGATCATGAGTCTATGAGAATTAAAATTTGAAAAAAATTGACTCAGAAAACACTTGCATGATTCTGTTCTGTGGTTTCATATGGGGCTGATGGAGCATCAGCTCCCGTTGAAAACAGGAATTGGTGATAAAGTAAAAAACAGATATGTGGCTGTTGGTGCCAGTTGGGGGGGTTAGAACAGTGAGGTCTTAATGGGAGTCCTGCTGTACTATGGTTCTAACTCGAGAAATTGGCTTTGAGTTCTTACCCTTAGTATTTTTCTTGGGGCGTTTATTATAGGCTACCTTGGTTTTTAAAAAATGTTATAATTGAGTCATAAATTCTGGAGTTGAGGGCCTTTCTATTATATGTCTTTGTATCCTTAGTACCTAGACTGGTGTTGCTGGTATGTTAGCTGTTGGTTCACGGCTCTTTCCCCTCATTATGTTTTTAGGTGGCAAGATATAGTTATTGGAGCCCCACAGTATTTTGATAGAGATGGAGAAGTTGGAGGTGCAGTGTATGTCTACATGAACCAGCAAGGCAGATGGAATAATGTGAAGCCAATTCGTCTTAATGGAACCAAAGATTCTATGTTTGGCATTGCAGTAAAAAATATTGGAGATATTAATCAAGATGGCTACCCAGGTAGATAATAGATTATGAAATGGCTATGATTTATAGATTATTTGATTGTTTAAATAATAGCGCTGCTGGGCACAGTGGCTCACGCCTGTAATCCCAGCACTTTGGGAGGCTGAGGTGGGCGGATCACCTGAGGTCGGGAGTTCGAGACCAGCCTGACCAACATGGAGAAACTAAAAATACAAATTAACTGGGTGTGGTGGCACATGCCTGTAATACCAGCTACTCCCAGCTTTGGAAAGCTGAGGCAGGAGAATTGCTTGAACCCGGGAGGCAGTGGTTGCGGTGAGCCAAGATTGCGCCATTGCACTCCAGCCTGGGCAACAGGAGCGAAACTCCATCTCAAAAAAAACAAAAAAAAACCCCGAAAAAGCCAAACAAATAAATAATAGTGCTTGTGTCATCTTACTTTAAAACATTTTACTAGAGTGTTTCTAAAGCGTTTGTTAAAATGTTAAAATGTGATGTTGTCAACAGATATTGCAGTTGGAGCTCCGTATGATGACTTGGGAAAGGTTTTTATCTATCATGGATCTGCAAATGGAATAAATACCAAACCAACACAGGTAACCAAATAACCGGGATTTCTACAGCTAGAGTCTCAACTTTTTGCCCTATAATAAAATATTTAGGTTTAAGTGACTTTTCACACAAATCTTATTTTATTTACAAGTCCACAATAGTATAAATTTTTTAAAAATGTATTACTAGAAGATACCTTCAAAATAAATATATAAATGTAATGACTTGCTTGTTCTAATTGTAAAATTTCTTAGATAAGTTAGGAATCAAGGTAATCCAAAGCAAATGAATGTTATTCTACCCTGACGGCATTAAGATAAGAGGAAATACGATATATTCTCTTTAGTAGCATACTAAATAGAGATGAAATTGGTCAAACAAAATAAATGACTGTAACTACATGGAGAATGTAGACACCAAAAATTAAAAATGTCTTTTGAGAAAAATAAGACTTGTAGGGAAGGTAGGGAGATTTGGTTTGAAATGGCCTGATTGACTTAATACAATAAACAAGCTCATCAGAAATGGGCTCTTTTCTGCTTTGAGATACTATGTAAATCGGATGACTTTTATGAAATGAAATGTATGAAGTGTTAGATCATATAGAAATTTATGACTTGTATATAATATAATTTACTTATAAGTGAACTCTCAAATTTCAGTTCAAAAGAAACTTGTGTGTCTTTTTCAAAGCATTGTTAAGAAGCTCATGGTGATAACCTAATGTCCATTCGGATGCCCTGTGTATTTCAGGTTCTCAAGGGTATATCACCTTATTTTGGATATTCAATTGCTGGAAACATGGACCTTGATCGAAATTCCTACCCTGATGTTGCTGTTGGTTCCCTCTCAGATTCAGTAACTATTTTCAGGTCTGTTATCTATGATTTTAGTGTTAAGCATGTTCTATAATCAGGTTATACTAAAATGTTGACCTTTTGGACTGAAATTTGTCATACCTATACTTCAAAGGTTTATATGAATTGTGAAGCTATTTCTTTTTCTTTTGAAGTTAGTAAACAATGTAATAACAACCTATTTTCTAAAATCTTTTAAAGTATCTGAGGAAAACATAGATCCAAGTTAGAATTTTTACTTCATATATTTTTAAAACCTTAATTTTGATGATGAAAAAAACAAAACACATATAAAATGTGACAGTACAAAGAACATACAGAAGGAAACCCCCTATAATTCACCATGCATTATTAAACTCCAAGATCTTGATTTCTATTTTATTTTCTGTGATTGGACCATGTATATTTAACAAAATTAAGACCATAATTGTGCATAATTTTGTAACCTGCTTTTGTCTCTTTAGGATACATAGTAGACTTTTCCTATGTCACTGAGTACTTTTCCAAAATGAAGTTAACAACTGTCTGTGAGGCATCTTCTGACAGGTTCAGAGCTTATTTAACCAACTGCCTTGCTCTCACTGGATGGTTACGTTGCTTCGCAATTTTTTTTTTTGCTCCCATGATATAAAAAGCTGTGGAAAACATTCTTACTTTTGTTTATATCCTTGATTATTTCCTTATTATAAATTCCTGGATGTGAAATTGATATATGTGCTTCAAGACTTTTGATTCGGTTTCGCCAAGATGACCTCCCAAAATGGTGCGACATTTCCCATCCGTGGTGTTTGAGTCTCCCTTTAACCAGCGCTTTCATCACTGCTGGAAATCACCATTAAAAATTGGAGGCTTTTTTTGGTTTGTTTTTTAATTTTCAAAAAGTAGCAGATTTATTTTTTTTAAAGTTAATAATATAGAATTATAGAAAATCCAGTACATTATTCCCATCTTCCACAAAACTTGTGTGCATTTCTCTACTTTTAGGGTATCATCAAAAGGCTACACTGTAACTTCTGCTGTCTAATCTGGTTTTTATTTAATCTTGGGCTATCTCTCCTTGTCAATACAATAGATGACTTAACTTTAGTCAGTTAAATGTTTGCCCCTGTCTATGTGTAACTGATATTTTAATATCCTTACTTTCCTGTCCTCATAAGTAGGTTGACTGTCAACCCTGTACACTTGTTCCCTCTTTACTTGCAGATAGTGTGAAAGTAGAATTCAACAACCCTTTGATAAGAAGAGGAGTAACTTCCCCTTATTTTACAAATGAGGAAACTGAGGCCCAGGACTTGGCTTGAGCTTTTAAGGCTGGAGCCTGAGAGGACAGAATGTAGCACCTAAATCTTCCTGACTTGAATCCTGTGCATTTTTTCTACTAAATTGTACTAGCACTTCAGGGTAGTTAGTAAATAAACACCAATTTTAAACATGAGGCAGCCAAACTAATAAGACTTATTTTCTATGTTAAAAGACACAGTTTTCATAATTCATGTATATTTTGCCCTCAAAATTGTGTGTTGTATGTTTAAAAAACAAAATATGTTCTAGGCAGAAATGTCTGTTAAAATTCTACAGTATGTAAAATACTATATCTGTGGCAACTGTGCCTTTTAAATATGCTCTCAAAACTTAAGAATGTATCTAGTTAGTATCTTAGAACCTAGCAGCTGTCTAAATGTAAAATAAAAATAGAATGGTAAACAATAAAGGAAAATGGAAAAACAGGGAATGTGGGCAGTATTTGACCCTTTATTGGACCCTACCTTCACTGTGAATGGACTTGTGCTCTAGCCTACCAACAGATTGATTCCAGAAGTTCGAGCTAGCTGTTTGGGATTTGGAATGCATTTTCTTGTAGAAACACTGTTCTCCAGAATGGCTGGGTTTACCACAAGCCCATCAGAGTCAGCCTAACTGAATCCACGTGGTAATGAAACCCCAGGCCCCATTCTGAGTTCTGGTGGGGAGCAATGGAGGTGGGCCTCCTCACCCACTCATACCCCTCAACCCACCGCATACCTGCATTTCTTGTGCCTGTGGCAGCAGTTGGGCCACAGACCCGTGGAGACCCCTGTGGCTGCTGGGAGCAGGGCAGCCAAAACATACGAAAAGATGTTTTCAGATGGTGAACCAGAGTAGGGCGTGGAATTGGATTCCAGCTTCTCAAGTGTTTGCGGGGTTGCAGTAGGCAGCGCAGAGATGGGAAGAAGTTTAAAAGTTTAAGTTTTTGCTTGCAGAGATATCGTGGGGGTAGAAAAGTTGTCAATCCTGGCAATAGGAAGGCAAAGACTGAAGGTTGTGGGTGGGAGACTCCGAGGGAGGCTGAAGAGAAGGGCAAGTGTTTGTACAATGGAGACTCCCAAGTTCAGGATTGCCTGTATTAATTCACATACTGTAGACACGCTGATCATGAGCATCTCAGGTATTAGGTGTTTGTTGGTGTAATTCTTCCAGAGGGTATGTTGGCAAGACTACTCGTAATTAAAAATGCACATATTCTTTGACTCCAAAATTCTGCTGCTGGGAATTTATCCCACAGATAAACTCAAGTGTGTGCACAGATGATGTTTGTGAAAGCAGAAAGCTCAACAACGTGAATGTCTACCGATTAGGTACTGGTTAAATAAAGGATGTTACACTGATACAGTGTAACGCCATCAGGTGTGAAAAACAGTGAACTAGATCTATGTGTATATACAGGACAAGACCTCTGAAATGGATGAGAAAAAGCCACATACAGAACAATGGCAATTAAGTTCCCATTTAGTTGAAATTATACATATATTTTAATATTTAATTTTAGATAATTTTAACTGACGTGTCTGGAAGAACATACAAGGCTACTTGGGTGTTCGGGTGGGAATGGAGACAAAATATTTACTTTAACCCCCACATGTTGCACATGTACTCATAAGTGTGTACGTTTTTAAACAAATATTGTATAATGAGGCTCTGCATTGTATACATTTATATCTATTAACAGTTATTTTCTTCAGCAATGGGGGAAAACGTCACGTGTATTTTTTTTCCTGTGTTTTTAAGCTGTGCTGGGCAGCTAAGGATGCTCTCTAGTATGTGAATTAGACTCACATTCAAGGTAACAGAGGCTGAGCTTGTTTTTCACTCCTTTTGTCTTCAGATCCCGGCCTGTGATTAATATTCAGAAAACCATCACAGTAACTCCTAACAGAATTGACCTCCGCCAGAAAACAGCGTGTGGGGCGCCTAGTGGGATATGGTGAGCATCCCTCTGTCTTGGTGGGATCCCCCTCAGTTTCCCACCTCCACTTCATGATGACTCTATTGTCCTGAGGAGCCACAGGGAAGATGACAGGAGTGCTGGGCAAAGGGAAGAGGGTCTGTCAAGTGTTTTTATAACATGTTGATCATCAATGGGCATTGGGGGGATTGGAGAGCTAGGGAACATGTTGGGTTTTTTCCACTGCAATAATGGATCTTTTAAGAAATATGTGTTTGATTTTATTCAGCCTCCAGGTTAAATCCTGTTTTGAATATACTGCTAACCCCGCTGGTTATAATCCTTCAATATGTAAGTACCTAGTACCTTTAAAATATGTCTACTTTCTGTCTGCCAGGTTGAAAGTTCTGCATAAATCACAGAAAAATAAAACTGCAGTGGCCAACATGGGTCTGTCAATTCTGGTGTAAAGAATTAAGTGTATGTTTTGTCTCCCTTTTAATCAGGAGGGCACAGCACCGTGAGGGAGGAAAAAAACTCCACTTGGTCGCCATTTGAGTTTTCCAGAGCAGATGGTTTAGGACAGAATGGCTTGGAAAAGTACTTATTTGCTACCACAACCATTTCCTCCATTTCTGTCTTTGAAAAGCAGTGTGGAAAATTGATTTTGTGGTTGTGAGGTGGTGGGTGGTGGCTGGTGGTTGTGAGGTGGTGGGTGGTGGCTGGTGGTTGTGAAAGGGCAACGGCAGGAGCCAGAGCACAGCACAGAGTCACTGCCAGGCTGCCTTCTCTTCCCCACGCCCCTCCCTCCCGGAACACCCGCCCTGTGTTCCCAAGAGCAGGCCCCTAGGGAATTTGCAAGCCGGCCCTGAGAGGTCAGAGACCTGGTCTCTGCTCCTGGTTTCAGCTTTGATACTGACTGACCCACAGGGCAAGTCCCTTAACATATGAGTTTGCTTTCCTGTCCGTTCAGAACAATGCCTAGTAGTCATTAGTGCATACAGTTGTGCTGGAGATCAACTGAGAAGACATGAAAAGCACTTTGTCATTTATTAGATACTGTTCTGCTTCCTTTTTTTGTAATTCAAAGTAAGATTTTTTTAAATTTTTGTGGATACATAGTAGGTGTATATATTTATGGGGCAACACAGGATTTTTGACAAGAATTTTGACACCGTTAATGATACTCTTAACAATAGTGGCCGTCGTAAGCTCTCCTCTGGCATGTTTTAATAGCAGCCACACTTCTTCAGCTGTGAGTCACCTGACCCCTGGCTCCAGAGTCAAGGCCAGGGGCATAGGAATTCCAAGAAAATCTTTTCTGCAAAGAGGAAGTGAAAAGAATGAGGAAATTCTCAACCCGGGTCCGGCCATGGTCCTGGCAGTTTGGGATTCTAGTGTACTGTATCTGCCACCAAGGGACACTTTGTGAAGAACAAGGTCATTCTGTCCTTTCATATGGTTGTCAGCCTTTACGATACTATGAGGTAATGAGTCCTCTGAAGTGTTCTCCCTGTTATCTAAAGTAGTAGTTTTCTTTATTTAAAAAGATGTCCCTTATAATATTCCAGAATATAACCTAATTCAAATAACCTAAAGTTGTTGCTTGAAACAGGAAAAAATAGCCACATAAGGACTAGGGTTTGCAATGGTGAATCCTCTCACACGTCACAGCTCTGTTCTTAGCTGTACTCTAATTCTTCTTTAACTTTATATGAAGTTTTATATAACACTAATGAATGTATCCACTAAGACAACAGAATGAAGATACTGACCTGTGATAAAGTTCAGTGAATTATGAAAAGGGACAGTTTAAATAAATGTACTGTCTTTAATTTTTTTTAAGTCCCCCTTCACCTGATTCTCAGTGTCATAAGCTCAGTTAGCCTTCATCTTTCCAGATTTCGAGCTGTCTGCAGGTGGTTTCTCCGTCTCCCCTTCTGTGGGGTCGTCTCCTGCTGTGTGGTCTCTCCATGGGACCTGCAGACCTTGCACGAAGCATTCTTAGAGTGGATGGATTATGACTTCGTGCACAGGGGGAGCTGTGGCCTTTTGCTTTGCTTTTTGATGCAGCCGGCATTTTGTCGAGTGTAGAAAGCAATTCTTTGTGTGGCTTTTAATGACAAGAAAATGTATACTGTGACTCTTCAGGATCTATCATCCTTTCAGTATCATTTGTGTTATTTTTACCCAAATGCCATACCTTACACTAGCCCACTTGGATAATGGGCCCTTTGCCAGTGTTTGGAATGAATTAGAGAGACAAGGAGAAAACAGTGATTCTTTGACTAGGCAGCCAGAGAAAAAGGGGAAACATTTTTATTCTGTTCTGATGGCCATTTTTTCAAACCACTCTCAGTTTGACTGTAGATGTGAAATATCATCAGAGCACTCCTTGACTTCCCCCAAATTAATCACCTATATAAAATACAGACTTTCTCCTAGCTGTAGCACAGCATTTGATGCCATGTGTATTACTTTTATGTTATGTAGCTACTCCATTAACCAAGTGTTTATGGATGGCCTTTTATGGGTGGAACTTTCCTTTGAAGACATTCAAAGAACATTTGCTTTCATTGCTTTTACTTCCACAGTAAATTCTAAATGAACTAAGACAGAACTTCTACAAAGCTACATAAGTTAATACATCTAAAATCTTCTCCCAGTAGCCAAGAATGTGAGCTTATTGTTTGACTGGGCTATTTTAGCTCAGCAGTCCTCAGATGTGGTGTTCCATACATATAGATATCTATAATTGAGCCGTAATGAGTGTTCTACTTGGCTTGCCCCTCAAGCAGTTAGCAAAGGTGGCCTGCAAAGATTTTAAGATGATGTGGACTGTCTGGAGGGTTAGGGAAGGTTAGAGTGAATTTGGCAGATAAACGGTTTTCCTGCACCCACACCTCCCATACTTTTGCTGTGAGGGGCACTTTTGCTGTGAGGGGCACTCAGCGTGTGAGCCTTTATCTGGTTCATTGTGAAGCTAGCAGGTCACTTATAAATGGATGATGTCAAGGCTGCAGAGGCCTAAAATGGGGGAGCATTCCATTTGGCAGCTGTGACATTTAAGAATTCTCCAGATGGACACAAAAATTACTATTGAAACTGTCAGTGTTTCTAAATTTTGTTCTGAATAGCTCACATTCAGCATAAGAATGTCACATCGTGTGTGTGCGCATGTGTGTGCAAGTGGGGAACCAGTTACTGCCACTTCTGTTCATCTGTTCCATAAATCATATGTCTATCAGGTGTTGTGCTAGTTGCTGGGGACTGTGGTGGGGAATAAGACTGATGTGATCCTTGTCCTCGGCTTTGCCCCACTGTGGGAGACAATCAGGAAATCACAGCGTAGTGGGCTTAAATGTAGAGACTGGAGAGATGGAATACTCTAGGATCGCGAAGAGAGGCCAGGACAGGCTTCCTGGAGGAGGTGAGGTCCAAGCTGAAATCTGAAGGGGAAGGGAGGGCTTAGCCAAGCAGGCCAACACTGCTGGGAGGTGGAAGGGAAAAGAAGGGAAAGACAGCTGGCTGAGGGAAGGAGTGACTCCTGCGGTGGTTAGGAGGCAAGTGAGACCTGGGCATCTAAGACCCTGTAGAAAGCAATCGCCTTTTGTGTTTGTGATAGAGACTCAGAAGCTGGTGCTGCTTCTGTCCCTCTCAGTATGACCCCAAGCCTCCCCAGAAAAGGTCTCTTCCAACTCTAAAGTGAATATTAGAATGTGAGTTATTCATTTTCTGTGTTTTCTGTAGCAGATTTTTGTCCTGGAGATTGCCTTCTCCAGCCCTCTGCACACTTTGGTTTGCTTTCCCTTTTGATGGTTAGTGACTGCTTAATGAATGTAAGTAATTTAAGTATTGGCCCATGAAAAACAAAGTTAGCAGCCACATCTAATGAACCAACAAAGAATGCGTTCTGAAGTAAAAAAATGAGATTCTGATCATCCACATCCTAGCTTCCCTCCAGGTTCCATTAGTGTAGGTTATCAAGAACAGGCTGTGCCTTCTAGCCCAGTGCAAGGTAGGCAGTTTGGTTGTGGGAGCTATATTATGCTGACCGACAGGCCCTCCATCCACTCAAAAATATATAATTTACCTTGTAATTCTTTTTTATCTTTATTATTATTTTTTTGAGAAAGTTTTGCTCTTGTTGCCCAGGCTGGAGTGCAATGGCATGAATTCAGCTCACTGTAACCTCTGCCTCCTGGGTTCAAGCGATTCTCCTGCCTCAGCCTCCCGAGTAGCTGGGATTACAGGCATGCGCCACCAAGCCCAGCTAATTTTTGTATTTTTAGTAGAGACAGGATTTCACCATGTTGGTCAGGCTGGTCTCAAACTCCTGATTTCGGGTGATCCACCCACCTTGGCCTCCCAGAGTGCTGGGATGCCAGGCAGAATTCACTGTGCCCATCCTCTTTTTTATTTGTTAAGGTAAAGGTCTCATCCTACTGTCGAAAGACTTCTCCATCTCTAAAATATATTATTCCTCTGTTTAGACAACTATCCTTTATCAGTGCTTCTTAAAACTTTAATACGTATAAGAATCATCTGGTGATGCTGTTATTAATAAAGCAGATTCTGCTTCCGTAGGTGTGACTGGGCCTGAGGTTCTGCATCCTCACAGGCCCTCAGGAGATGCTGCTGTTCTAGAGATCTTTCCCAGATAGCAAAGGCACGAGGCCACTTGAATAAGCATTGACTGGTTTAAAGGGAGAAAATCAGTTTAGGTGCTCGGGGGAGTGTTGGGTTCCTCTGCTTATCGTTAGTATTCTGTGGGTTCATGAACTTCAGCCAGAAACTGATTCTTAATAACTGCTGCTGCTGAAAGGTTTTAACTTATTCTTGAGCTCCCCCAGGTGGCACAATGAAAATTTAACTTTGAAACATTGTTAACAGCAAAAGGAAGGAAAAGACAGCTTGATTTGAACCATCACAATTGTGCAAATGCATATTACCAGGAAATATGAAGAGAAACAATGGCAATGTTTTCTACAAGGAATTAAAATCTTAAAAGGAGTTCAACATGCTTGTGGCTGGATTGTGCATGAATGCACTTACGTTAATATGATTTTAATTTTATCTAGCAATTGTGGGCACACTTGAAGCTGAAAAAGAAAGAAGAAAATCTGGGCTATCCTCAAGAGTTCAGTTTCGAAACCAAGGTTCTGAGCCCAAATATACTCAAGAACTAACTCTGAAGAGGCAGAAACAGAAAGTGTGCATGGAGGAAACCCTGTGGCTACAGGTGAGGGCTGCAGATGGTCACATCTGTTTTATGAAGAGGACAGAAAAAGGTTATATGGTGATATACAGATTTCTGAAATTTATTCTGGCAACCTCTTAATCAATACAAAATCATTGTTTTGGAATTCCCCAATAGCATGTACACCCCACTTAACTCTGACTGCATGCTTTTCATGCAGGATAATATCAGAGATAAACTGCGTCCCATTCCCATAACTGCCTCAGTGGAGATCCAAGAGCCAAGCTCTCGTAGGCGAGTGAATTCACTTCCAGAAGTTCTTCCAATTCTGAATTCAGATGAACCCAAGACAGCTCATATTGATGTAAGTCTCTCTGACTTTCATTTTGCCAAAGTTTTTTTGCCATTTATGATGCTAAATCAAATGTCTTTGAAGGGAATAGAACTAGTGATTTGCTTTAAAGGCCATTCTTTTGTGTTAATATGTTTTTAATGTACGCAAAGTTAGAGAAGACTTGTTTCCCAAATTAGCAATAAACATAAAAACATGAAATACAATTTGGGGCCAGAGCGTATTTTCCTTCTTCATTTTTGGCCATTATAACCTATCGAGACTATAAATGGTAGAGCTTATATTCTAACACTGTTTCTCCTTTAGCTGTACATAGAAAGAAAAATACATTGTGTTTTACTTACCATTGAGAATACTGAAATGTAGAAAGCAGTGTGTTGCTAGTCAGAACATTAAAATCAAGGAATATCAAAATTCAGCAAAGCAAAAAAGTATTATTAGCATACAGTAGTCATTTAGTGCCTAATATAGCCTAAGTCATCTTTGGAAGAAAAATGTGTATTAGATGGCCTGTGGGATACCTCATATGAGGTGGGGTCTGTTTGCTAGGGGTTTAGGATGGTTAAGGTGCAAGGTTAGCCCGGGCAGCTATGACAGCTTGATTTGGCATTATGTTCTTGCTTTCAAAATCTAATTGATGATGAACGGGTGTGGTGGCTCATGCCTGTAATCCCAGAACTTCGGGAGGCCGAGGCGGGCAGGTCACTTGAGGTTAGGAGTTTGAGACCAGCCTGGCCAACATGGTGAAACCCCGTCTCTAGTGAAAATACAAAAGTTAGCGGGTATGATGGAGCATGCCTATAATCACAGCTACTCAGGAGGCTGAGGCAGGAGAATGCCTTAAACCCGGCAGGTGGAGTTGCAGTGAGCCGAGATGGCACCACTGCACTCCAGCCTGGGCAAAAAGAGTAAGACTCTATCTCCAAAAAAAAAAAAAAAAAAAAACAACTAATTGATGATGAGTGTCTGTCCACTATGGGGCTGCTGGTACTGGTGCCTTACTGAGGCAGCTTTGCAGAAGTGAGTCCTCACTGTCTCAGGAGCTGATGCTTACATCTGCATATTGTCAATCATTTTTGTCACCAAATATAGTTCCTTATATTTCTGTATACTTTTATGTACTTTTATTATTATCATGTTAATATTACTTGTGTACATTCCCAGCTCCATAGCTAGAGATGATTTTCTATTTATCGGTGTGATTATCAAGAACCCATTGGCATGGTGCTAGTATGCTGTTTGCTTACCTGACCTTAAGCTCTCTGTTTCGTCATCTCTACAATGGAGATCATAATAATAGTATCTTTTTAGAGGCCTGTTGTGAGGATTAAATGAGTTAAGATATGTAAATCGAGTATTATAATCGTTGGTATCATCATTATTATTGATACTTCTTATAGTAGCCCTATAAAGTTAGAATGGTGGTATCTCCACGTTACCTATGATGAAACTTGGACTCTGAAAGGTTAAGTGACTTGCTAGCTAAGTAAGGGGTAGAGCTGCGTTTCAAACCCAAATCTGTGTGGCTGCTGGGTCACACTCTTCTATACCACACTGCCTCCATGCCCTGGTCAAAGTGTTCTTCAAACACAATTTTACTAAAGGACAGAATGGAAATTTGATGTGTGGCAAAGTACATTTAAAGCTTGAATTCTGCATTGGTAATTGTCACACAGGGAAATGAACTGTGTGGAATAGCCAGTCACCTACATCGATGCCTTCCTGAGTCCTGAATGGTGTAAATTGACAATAGTTTTCGTTTTCCTACAGGTTCACTTCTTAAAAGAGGGATGTGGAGACGACAATGTATGTAACAGCAACCTTAAACTAGAATATAAATTTTGCACCCGAGAAGGAAATCAAGACAAATTTTCTTATTTACCAATGTAAGAATCGTTGTGTAGCACTAGCAAAAATGATTCTGGCTTCATGGTGGCTTTGTGTTAAGAAAGTTTACTGGAAACGTATTGAGGACTTTGCCTTTTTGTTCTTGTTTTCTTATTTTTAATAGTCAAAAAGGTGTACCAGAACTAGTTCTAAAAGATCAGAAGGATATTGCTTTAGAAATAACAGTGACAAACAGCCCTTCCAACCCAAGGAATCCCACAAAAGATGGCGATGACGCCCATGAGGCTAAACTGATTGCAACGTTTCCAGACACTTTAACCTATTCTGCATATAGAGAACTGAGGGCTTTCCCTGTAAGTATTGTTAGAGACCAGCTGAGAGGGGAAAAAAATCAACACTGTGTGGCAAATGAGTGGATTGTGACCTAGCGTGTGTTTCTTTTACAGGAGAAACAGTTGAGTTGTGTTGCCAACCAGAATGGCTCGCAAGCTGACTGTGAGCTCGGAAATCCTTTTAAAAGAAATTCAAATGTAGGTGATGCCTTCATATACTGTATTTTACTGTTTTAAATACCATTGCAGTGTCTGTATGCATGGCCTGTGTTAACAGCTATTTATGTTTTTTTAGGTCACTTTTTATTTGGTTTTAAGTACAACTGAAGTCACCTTTGACACCCCAGATCTGGATATTAATCTGAAGTTAGAAACGTAAGAGTTACATCAACCTCTCCATTCAGAATTATTTCATGAAAATATGGGCAGTCAATGAATTGGCCCTGATCTACCTCATAAAAGAAGTCTAATTGTAGTGAGAAAACTGACTGGTAAAATACAACCCTATTGTTTCCTTTTCATTTTCAGAACAAGCAATCAAGATAATTTGGCTCCAATTACAGCTAAAGCAAAAGTGGTTATTGAACTGCTTTTATCGGTCTCGGGGTAAGTGTTTGTGTTTAGCATAACAAATCAATGTTTGAAAGAACCATTTACAATCCTCATTAAAACTGGTGTTTTTTAATTTGACAGAGTTGCTAAACCTTCCCAGGTGTATTTTGGAGGTACAGTTGTTGGCGAGCAAGCTATGAAATCTGAAGATGAAGTGGGAAGTTTAATAGAGTATGAATTCAGGGTAAGTTGGAGCAGTTGGTCTTTTCATTATACCAAAAGCTGACATATACTAGGTATGGTCTTGAGTATGTCATTTTAATAAATCAGCAATATTAATAAGCATTGTAAGTAAATCATGAGTTAAAAATTAGTTTGCCAGCTTTTAAAGAACATACTGGCTTATAGTAAAAATTTTATCCTCCAGGATGGAGAACAATTGTCACTGTTCAGAATCCAGTTCAGTTTAGAATGCGTTATGATTTATTCCTTCCTCCTTTATAAGGTCATCTTTCTCACTGCTTGTGGTTGAAAGAATATTAATGTATGCCTACCTTTCACAAGCCCAGTTTTTGTGGTGAATGTAGATTTGGTATATGCCTGTAGGAAAGGCAGTGACTGGCTCTGAACCATTTCAAAGTAGGCAATCACAGTGACTCTCTGTCCTGTTGAATAAACATAAACATAGGGTACAGAGTCTGTTCGTAACTCACACATGGGTTTAGGTCTGTGTGGCTGAAATCACATTCCTGAAGGCATAGTGACCACTGTGGTGAAAGCCTCAAATGGCAAGCATGGGCCCACCTGACTCCGGCAGAATGAAGAGGCTGAATTCTCCTCTGTGTGTCTCTTAGCATTATAGACACAGCTGGGGCAGGTGGTGGTGGTGGTTATGATCTCTATGCAGGTGCAGCTGGAAAAGAAGTCTTTGGGTTCTGGAACAGTCTCGACACCAAGAGGGCTCTTACCTCCTGTGTTTGGCTTCTGCCGCAGGACGTCACTCTGTTCCCAGCTTGGACTCTCAGATTCATGGCTGTCCTAATAATGGTTTTGCAGAATCTCCTCTGGGACAGAGGCAGCTTCATTTTTGCAGTGGATGGGGTTTTCCAGAAGCAGGTTGTTGGTACACTGCCTTGGCCCAGGACTTGTCATTGGCCAAGCAGGGTGGTTACAGGGCAGTTCACAAATTCACACATGATTTTCCCTGGGCGTATGTTGAGAACATGGTATATCTACACTGCTGATTCTGTTGCATACAGCAGTTGTTCCTAGAACGAGTTAGCTATCAGTTGTCCTTTGACCTTTTTGTTTTTATTTACAAAAATCTTTAGGCACAAGTCTTTATTTTGAATGCCCTATCTATAGTCCATTTTTGGAGCCTGTGCTTTTATTATAGGATTACGTTAGATATTTTAGCTTCTTTCTCTTGGTAAAAGGAGCTGCTACTTAAATTTACATTGAGAAGATTAGACTGAGATAATATGTATTATTTTCTAACAGGTAATAAACTTAGGTAAACCTCTTACAAACCTCGGCACAGCAACCTTGAACATTCAGTGGCCAAAAGAAATTAGCAATGGGAAATGGTTGCTTTATTTGGTGAAAGTAGAATCCAAAGGATTGGAAAAGGTAAC